>NC_000002.12:172489618-177489618 GCF_000001405.40 Homo sapiens
TTGTGAGCCACAAAAGGAGATAAACTCCCTGAACCTAACGGTATGTCGGTAGATTTATCTAATGTCTCCATAAATGCAAATTAGAGAAACTAACTTGTTAGGGGAAAATCATTACTGTTCTTAGGAAAGTGGCATATTCTGGCAGGTTGACTTTCTCTTTGGTTGTCACAATTTCTCTTTTCTAGTTGGGTAACTGAGGGAGGCTGAGGCATTTTTGCTGGTTAATGACCATTATAGTACATAAGGCAGAGTCATTCAGTGCTTGCTGAGGCAAATGGTATTTTCTGATGTTTCATCATGACCCAGTATGTTACATAATAAGGAGAACTGGGGGATGCTCCTGGGGTAATAGTAGCTGCTGTTATCCAGGGGCCAGCCAGTGTTCACTCCAAGTAGAACCAAACTCATTGGAAAAGATAATGGCATCTCAGCAAGTAACCTTGAAAGCTTTTTATGCTTATTTTTAAAATAGTAATTATTTATTGTGTACTCATTGTGTCTCAGGAACTATGCTAAGCATTTTGTTTTCATTTTCTCATTTCATTCTCTGGATGGTCCTATGAGGGCGTTTCATTATCCTCACCATTTCACAGATGAGGACATTAAGATTCAGAGAGCAAGTAACTCTCTCAGTCACTCAGGCGTTAAGAGACAGATTCCACATACAAGCCCTGCTCTGCCTGATGTCAAAGCCTGTACTGTTAACCCCTCTCTCTATACTGCTCCATGCTTAGATAACTGGCCTATCATTTGTGTTCCAGTTTGATGAAGGTTTGCATGTTTATTTCTTTTATTTTAAATTCTAAGGTGACTGGGTATGATCAGTGATCAGAGTTGGTGGCTTATAGCATGATCTTCTACTCATCAATGTTAAAAATCAAGATAATCGGTTATTACTAATCTTTGCTATAAGGAAAATGCAATTTTAAAAGTTCTTGTATGGCTTAGTTTTCATTGCTCTGCTCTGAATGAGCTATATAATGGGTCTTTTTGCTTCTTTCTCTGTTCTTCAGTGTCACTTATTCCTTCAAGATGTGCTGACTACCATGTTTTAGGAACAGAGCTGGAGGCTAGGGATACAGGAATAAGATTTGATCTCTGATCTCAGTATGCCCACAGTTTGGTGGGGATACAGAGGAACAAAGAAAGCATATTTCTCTTTCTCTGAGTTTTAAGGTCAGAGTGGGAATGAATTACTTAGTCCTATGAGTAAATCAATAAACTTGAATTTAGAGTGATAATACTTGCTGGTTTTACACTTACTTCTGTGCCTTTGGCAGGAGAGAGGCAAATATTGTTGATTATGTGAATCTGGCACTGTTTGGGAGGATATGCTCAAGAGGCTTGTATGGTAATGACAAAGAATTACATAAATTGGAACTATTTTGGATATAATTTTTTTCAGGAGTCTCACAACTCAAGAAAGAAACGGGAAATTACTGAAAAACAGATAGATGATAACAGAAAATTTTCTTTATTTGCTGAAAGAAAATACCAGACTCTTGTAAGTATTTTTCAAGAGCTGTGAATATTTGAGAGGATGAGGGGAAGGATTTCTTCAGAACAATGTCTTTTGATGACCATTCTTCTTTTTCTCTCTAGAACTGTAGCGTGAACGTGAACTGTGTGAACATCAGATGCCCGCTGCGGGGGCTGGACAGCAAGGCGTCTCTTATTTTGCGCTCGAGGTTATGGAACAGCACATTTCTAGAGGTATGACCTTGGCTTGAGGCTGTCCCATGGAAGTAATTTGCCTTTGCCTAGGACACTTTTCACTTCCCTAATGCATTCACTGTCTCCAAACAGGAATATTCCAAACTGAACTACTTGGACATTCTCATGCGAGCCTTCATTGATGTGACTGCTGCTGCCGAAAATATCAGGCTGCCAAATGCAGGCACTCAGGTGAGAGGTTCCCCAGCTTCATTCAGGTTCAGAACATGTCTCTTTTCCCTGTACCCCACACTCATGTCCTGAAGTCATGTGCTTTGGTGCTCATTTCCCTCATAGCCCCATTACGGAGAAAACTGTCTTAAGGTACTGGCACTGCAAGCTGTATTTTAATAGAATCATTGAAAAAAAGAAGTAAATCTAGGGTCATCCAGTTCAGCAGTGCCCATGGTAGGTTTGAGAACTACTGGCTCAATTCAGAGAATGGGTGCACCTCACAGCCCTCTAGAAACCTGTGTCTTCTACCATCTCTAATGCTGCAGCCATTGGTGTAATGCCCCAGTGATGGCCCATCCCTTGGCCAGCTGTAATTATTAAAAAAGATCTCTTCATAGCTGACTCCTGAACTGAACCTTGTAAGTCCCTGGTTATGCCCCTCAAACAAGTCTAAAATAAGTTCTCTCTCTTGGCCATGTAGCAGCCTCTCAAATAATTGAAGGAAATGGTCATGCCTCCTTGGATGTTTCTTATTCTTCTCAGAGCTTATGCACCCAGCTCTTGAGTTATGCGTCACATTGGGCACAGCTGAACTGGCTCCTGGCCTCTCCCTTCCTGGGCAATTTGATTCCCACGTGGACAGAGCAGCTGAGGTGGGGTCTGCTTGGTCCCACTTACCCTGGGGCCTTTACCTCTCAGCATCTCGGCACCACACTTCTGTCAGACCTGCCTAAAATTTGCTTTTTCAAACCATTGCTGAGCAGCATGTTTGAATTTCTAGCAGCTGCTATTTTTGTGTTAGTGTTCTACTGAAACTTCCAGGTGTTTTCATCAGAATTTGTTGTCAAGCTGTGTTTCCAGTATCCTGTCCTTGAGCTATTTGTAAAAATCTAAATGTATGCCTTTAAGTGTATCCTTACATTTTATGTGATTTGCTTTGGGTCCATTGTTTCAGTTTGCAAAGTAATTCTGAATCTTGCTTCATCATTTGCTTTCTCAACTTTCTATCCCTGAAAGTTTTAAAAACTGAGAAGCATGTTCTCTATGTCTTCATCCAGGTAATGACAAATATGTTGAATAGGACTAGGTGTAGAACCTTGTAGTGAACCAATAGTGAGGGGTTCCCTGTGGGAGTCTAGAACCCACAGGGACTTGTATAAAGATCTCGAGGCAGAATGACTGCATGTCATGGTGGGAATAATGAATGGGAATGTTTTGCAAAAGAGACTGGAGAAAGAAATACTGTGAATTACTGTTCTTAAGTTAATCTGCCAGTCTACTTATGGAAATGTTCTGGCTTCAGTCATTTAGCTAGCTGAAAATTCAGGGAGCCTCCCTAATCATTCTGTTTTCTGAAATATAGCAGTCCTTACGATTTATTATCCAAGCAAGAATACATTTTTGTTTTTATTTAGTTTTTTGAGATGGAGTCTTGCTCTGTTACCCAGGCTGGAGTGCAGTGGCGCAAACACAGCTCACTGCAGCCTTGAATGCCTGGGCTCAAGCAATCCTCCTGTCTCACCTCCTGAGTAGCTGGGACCACAGGCATGCCACCACGCCCAGCTAATTTTTCAGTTTTTTTTGTATAGCCAGAGTCTCACCATGTTGCCCAGGCTGGTCTTTAACTCCTGGACTCAAGCAATCCGCCTGCCTCAGCCTCCCAAAATGCTGGGATTATAGGTGTGAGCCACTGCACCCAGCCCCAGGATACATTTGCCTGAGACAAATGCTGTACTGGGCAAGCTGCTGCGATAAGTGGTATCAACCAGCACTGTCCCGGTCTCTCCAGGACATATCAACAGGCATCATAAGGGACTTTCAAATAAACCACACCTTCCCTAAGGATCCTTTCTCTGCATCTATAAAGGCAGCAGGTATAGCTTTCTATAACTGTAAATCAGCAACTCTGAAAATCACTGAGATTTCAGAGCTAGACAGAGAACACTTTAGAGGGAAGGGACTAACATTAATGAAGCCTTAATAAAATGTCTGCAGCTTACTAGATACTTTATACTCTATCATTCAAACTTCAGAAGAATGCCAAGGGTAAACATTGTACTCATTTTACAAACAAGGAAGCAGACTCAGAGAGGGGATATAATTTGAGACCCTCAATTGAAACCTGTAATTGTCTGACTTCAGGGCTTCTGTTCTTTGACTCTGTGGCACTTGGTCCCCTTAAAGTCCCCAAATCTCAAATTGAGATAAGAAAACTGAATCCAAGGAAAGGTATCTCCCCGTCAGGGTCACCCGACCAGCAAGTAGAGCTGAGACCAGACCTTGGGTCTGATGTCTCCTCTTCAAGTGCTGTCTTCTTCTGGAAGATGATGGAACTCTGGGGGCCCTGGTGTCCAGTCTGATGACTGGGTCACAAATGAAAGTGAGGTTCTCTTGGGCATTTTATGTTCTTAGAGCTTGGAGAACTCATGCCTCCCAGTGGGAATTGATGTCTTCACAAATTGGTAGATTTGTGAATGGGTTACTGGTCTCATATCTAGAACCCATGTCTTTTGAAAATTGAGACATTTTCTTAACCTCTAGTCTTCTGACACCTTTTCTGTTTTCTGTGATTTCTGACATACAATAGCTCAGATGTCATATCTGCACATTTCTTGAGTAGTTTGAGCTGTAGTTTTTCTGGGCTTGAAGATCTAAGCTTAATTTGGCTTAAAAAAGCAAAAAAACTTTTTTGTTTCTTTATAACCCCACGAATTTCAAGAGTTTTGTGTTCATCTTTTAATAAAACACAGTTAAACTTTGGGAGGCCAAGGCAGGCGGATTGCTTGAGCCCAGGAGTTAGAGACCAGCCTGGGTAACATAGCAAAACCCCATCTCTACAAAAAAATACAGAAATTAGCCAGGTGGGGTGGCACATGCCTGTATTCCCAGCTACCTGGGAGGCTGAGCTGAGAGGATCACCTCAGCTCAGGAAGTCGAGGCTGCAGTGAGCCAAGAGTGTGCCACTACACTCCAGCCAGGACAACAGAGTGAGGCCCTGTCTCAAAACAAACAATAAAAAACACTTCTAAATTAGGATACTATTATAATGAAGTCAGGGAGAGCAGAAGTCACATGATTGAGCCAGGTAAGCCATGCTATATTTTAGCATCAGTTAAATTAAATCCATCTTGTTAATAAACACCCATGAAAGACACATGTATGCCTTCCCTGTGCTAAATGTTAGAGATGCAAAGTTGGGTAAGATACAGTGTCAACTGTTAAGAATGTCATGCTGTAGGAGACAGAACCAGGAAAACACTGTCAAATTAGCCAGGGAAATTGAGGGGGATTGTTTATTGGTTGTATTTATATTGTCCCCATTTATCCCTAAGGAAGCAAGTAGAGAGTATCCAAGCTTCCTGGCTGTCAAAATTTTTTTTAAAATGACCAAAAAAATGCATAATTCTTCAGGGGAATAAGATTTTCCCTTTTGGCTCTAAATTCAGAGAACAACTTAAAATTCAGAGAACAACTTAAGATACGGATCCTTTTATAAGATGGCCTGTTATATGATAAACACCAAGAGTGGATGATGTCCTTAATAGATAATTTTGTAAAAGATACGAAAATCCCTTCATTGGGTGACTTCCTGTACTGAATGAAGTTCAATGAGAACAGTGGGTGGTACATTACAGGGTAATTTAGAGAAGGTATTTTGGCAGTTGACAAGCTAATGTAGTCTCAGCACTGCTCACTGGTAATCGAATTTAATGCATCAACAGAGCTTATATCCCTCTTCCCCTTATGGGCACATGGTGGATGAGTTTCACAGGTGTGCGTCATCCCCATGGAAATAACTACATTGTAATGAAACCAAAGGTAAGAAATTATTTTTGGAGTTGTAAAGCTCTACAGTAGTTTCTACTCACCTGTTCATCAGTAACAGTTGGTGTGACAAGACAGAACAAGGCTTGGAGCTCTGGGAATCACAGCCCACCCTTTGTCTTCCATCTTTGGTCACCTGGCTCTATGGCCAGCTTCCCCTTGTTCTCAATCCCAGCTGGAGAATGACTGTCATACCAGAAACAAAAACAAAAAAAACAAAAACACCTTCAGTTGACAGTTTAAGCAAACAACCAATAAAGTCTTCCTGACTGGCCTCTCGCCCTCCAGAACCACGGAGCACATCTGCCCTTTAAATGTGTAGCCAACCCAGTCCCTGACTTTGGTTCTCAGTCTTTGATGCCCAGTGAGTTAACAATATGTGGAAGTTCTGGTTTGAATGGTGCCAGGCCTGGGGCTTAGAGCTTCAGCTGGATTCCCATCCACCCTGCCACTCCAGGCTGCAAAATCAAAAATTACTTTGCTCAGTTGTTAACAATATTGGATCCCAACCATTTATGGGGGTGGCTTTCCCCTACTGTCAGCTGTTTTAAAGACACTTGTGCACAGTGTCATTATAATAAAGCTGATTCTCCTTGCCGAAGACCAGTTTCCACTCTCCACTTCCAGATTTACTGGAACTTTTTCTTACAAATGAGGATGGCCCTTCCACATGACCATCTTGCCCTGAGGATACACTGTACACCTTCCTTGTGTTAGATAATAGGGCAACAAAGTTAAACAAGATACAGTTTAGGCTAATTGAAATCATCTATTTGGTTTGTTTCATTGTAGTCAGCTTACCAACCACGTAACTATTCTATTGCTTCACTGGTCTGTCCCTGTTTCTTCTTCCCTTCTTTGTAGATGTCCCTGTGCTGAACGCAGTAATCTCTTCCCTGTCAGGGGAGGGAAGGAGAGGGGAAGTGAGCCACGAGGCCACCTTGGGGCTCAGAGCTTGTAGAAAACCTCATTTAGAGCATAACAGGAAACATGGTGGCTGATAAAGGTGTTTTATGCCTGCCTGTTACCATCAGTATAATTGGCTAAATCTCAAGATGTGATTGCTGTCTATTGAATGTTTAAAGAAAAGCAGTTTTGCTGCTTTTAAGTATTTTTTGTAAGTCAGGTGAGGTTGAGAAACTGTTTCCTAGAAGTGGAAAGGGAAGTACTTTGATGAGAGATTTTTTTAAAGAAAAACACCACCGCATAGAAGTATTGAAGCACAGTGTAGACATAGCAGCATCCAGGGTTCAATATGGACATAGAATATTTGACTGAAAACACTTCTCAGAAGTTAAATGCTCCCCCTGAGTTTTGTTTCCCTTTACTTTACATTCTCTTAACTCAGAAATATCAGAAACTTCAAACCAGTGGATCTCTAATCAGTGTAGTTTACAAAATCATGTTCACAATAATCACCAGGTCTTTAGCATGCTTTGAAAAATAGTTCCTGGTATCACAAAAGTTCATTTGCATTCTAAACCCATGTAACTGAGTTGTTGGAATTGCCAGAAGCAGCTTTTTAGGTTTCTGAGTAAACACCATTTCTATTTAATTGATATTTGCAAACTATCCTATGTTTAGAGTTTAAGCTTCTCAGCAGCAGGAGCAACTTAAGCGCTAAGCTGCCTCTGAGTGGGTCCAGGGTCTAGTTTGTTCATATACCTTTTTGTAGAAGATGGCACCAAGCCATTTCAGGAAATGTTATTGTTTATGAGGGTCTTTAGTGTGATATCCTAAGAAAAAGGTAAAATGGTGTCCATCAGTCATGCAGCCCTATCCCTATTTTTGTATTTCACAACATCTTTAAAGTCTGAATGAGGAATGTTGGCTACTTTTGCCTAAACTGGCCCTTTTCTTTCCATTGCTGAATATTAATTAAAAGAAAGTATAGGCCAGGTGAGGTGGCTCATACTTATGATACCCACACTTTGGGAGGTCAAAGCAGGAGGATCACCTGAAGCCAGCACTTTGTGAACAACATAGACCCTGTCTCAACAAAAAAATTTTTAAAAAAATTAGCTGTGAGTGGTGGCATGCGCCTGTAGTCCCAGCTACTTGGGAGGCAGCTGAGGTGGGAGGATCACTTGAGCCTGGGAGGTTGAGGCTGCAGTGACCCATGGTCACACCACTTGCACTCCAACCTGGGCAACAGAGTGAGACCCTGTCTCCAAAAAAAAAAAAAAAAAAGTATGATTGTTCTCAAAAAGATACCAGGTTAGATAGATAGAACAGACTGGCTGTTAGATCTATTTAACTGGGTATCTTTTTGAGAGCAATTTGTTTAGATACACAGACTGGCTGTATATTGATAATTGCTGGAACAGGATGATGAATACTTAAGGGTTCATTATACAGTTTACTTGTGTTGATAACAAATTTTTTTTAAGATACATTAACAAAGAAGTAACCACTTTGTCAGAATACAACCCAGCATTTTCAAGATTCTGGGGAAAGATCTTCAAGGAATGTCTCTTGAAGCAATATTCTGTTAAGAGAAAGGATCTTGCATCAGAAAGTCATCTCATCCATTCACAGGCTGCATTGTCCAAAATATATTCAAAAGCAGAATTAGAACCATAAACTCCTGGTGTGAACTCTTGCCGCTGTATGTAGTAATGCTGCTTTCTTTTCTGCCCTGTAGGTTCGAGTGACTGTGTTTCCCTCAAAGACTGTAGCTCAGTATTCGGGAGTACCTTGGTGGATCATCCTAGTGGCTATTCTCGCTGGGATCTTGATGCTTGCTTTATTAGTGTTTATACTATGGAAGGTAAGTCATATCTGGCATTTGAATTTCATAACAAACTTTATTTCATGTTTTAAAAAATGGGAATCAGCACTGATAGTACGTTTTCTTTTTCATTGCTTCCTTTTTTCTAACATTATGAAACTCTTTTGACATAGCAAATTTGAGGAAAATTTTACCATGAACACCTGTATATTTACCGAATATTTTGTATTTAAAGTATATTATTTGTACACAATAAGTTTCTTCATTTGTCTCTCACACATAATTTAGCATGTTTAGCAAATAACAAATTTAGATTTTATTACTTTAGCATTTTCTTCACCTAAGATATAAGTCTGGATCTAAGCCAAATTGTTAGGGTGTAGTAATAATCTGAATGTGTATCCCTGCTAATTTCAGTTTCTGTGAAGAATGTTCATAGCAGCCATTGGTGTTGGTTATGCTTACAGCTAGATTTGGAATAGAAGAGTATGACATGAATGAATAACTCTATCTCAAGGGGGTCACTATAGCGTGTATCAAACATAAGGAAGGTCTAGGTTCAATATGATGTTCCTCATTAGAATTTGGCCCTTTGACTGTAAATAAAATGTAATATCTTCCCCTGATTCTACCAGTAAAGAGTCTACATTATGAAAAACTGCGTATGAGATGGATACAAACTCTTATTGCCCAAAGATTACAACCTAAAAATTTTAGATTATTCCCAGTGAGTGATAGAGGCTTACAGTCCCTTATCTGCCATTCCAAAAAGCTCTGAAACCTTGAAGTATATATAATGACTTATTTGGCAATAAAACCTGACGTGATGTGAAGAGAGGCTACTTCGAAGTCTTTATCCTTTATGATTAATTTCACTGCAGAAATACTAACATTTTGATTATAGTAGCATTAGGTATGCAGTGCATTACTCATTTTAAAGGACAAAAATTTTGGATTCTCAAACATGTCCGGTCTGGAGGGTTCTGTATGAACCATCAACCCCCTAGGATCAGACTATCCTTTTCTTTTCATTGGATCCAAAAATATAATACATAAGGGTTCAAGATAGTCTTACTTGCAAATATTGAGCATCTGTTTTTGCTTTATTTTTTTTGACTGACTTTTGCAAATTTGAGATAATTTTCTGATGTCTTCTAGACATGGGATTGAAGCTCATGACAAAACTCCTCCTGGTATGGAGTTTTAGCCAGTTTTACCTCTAATGTTTACCTCGGGCAGTAGGTTCCTCTGGCACACACAGCCAGTCAATATAAAACATTTTTTCAAGGAGATGCCTTGAAGAAAAAAAAATTTTTTTTGAGACTGGGTCTCTCGCTCTGTCACCCAGGCTGGATTGCAGTGGTGTGATCATGGCTCACTGCAGCCTTGACCTCCTGGGCTCAAGCAATCCTCCCACCTCGGCCTCCTGAGTAGCTGGGACTACGTGCCACCACATCTAGCTAGTTTTTAAATTTTTTTTCATAAAGGTGAGGCCTTGCTGTGTTGCCCAGACTGGTCTTCAACTCCTGGGCTCAAGCAATCCTCCTGCCTTGGCCTTCCAAATTGTTGTAATTACAGATGTGAGCCATTGCACCCGGCCTTGAAAATTATTTTGATATCAAAAACTAAAGTTGGGGTTTGATATTTGAGGATGATGTTGTGTTTTCTGGAAGAGGTCATAAGGATGGTCTTTTTCAGAGCATTGGCAGCCTTTAATGAGGGTGAGACAGCAGTGGATTTAAAGTTAGAAACCTAAGCTGTATATAATCTTGGTCAAATCATTCCATCTCCCTGGGGCCTCTGTTTGCCTCGTCTGTTAAATAAGTTGATTGGATTATTAGATGATTTCATTATTTTGGGAGTTTTTGTTTTGTTTTTGTTTTTTTGAAGCTCTGAAGTGTCCAGGCTGTCAAGGGGACTCTAAAATACGACTTATACAACCCCACATGAGAAGCATTTTTATTACTTTATACTTTTATTCAACTGAATTATTTAATATGTTAAAGTCATAGGATTTTAGGGTCAGAACTACAGTTCAATGGCCCTTAAATTGGATTTTGTATATCCATGTAGAGGGCAAAGCTAAACTAGGCAGGATGAAGATCCCTACTTCAACCACAGTAGTTCAGATTGTATCCATTTTAAATATCAGGATTCTGTACAGGATTTTGTTTGCAGGTGAAAAAAAAAAAAGTCCCTTGGGCTGGTCTAAATCACCTTCATTTTGCTAACAAAGATGCTCATGACCAGGGATATTAAGAATGTTGCTGGCTGGGCGCGGTGGCTCCTGCCTGTAATCCCAGCACTTTGGGAGGCTGGTGGATTACAGCACTTTGTGGCAGGTGGATCACGACGTCAGGAGATGGAGACCATCCTGGCTAACACGGTGAAACCCCGCGTCTACTAAATATACAAAAAATTAGCTGGGCATGGTGGCGGGCACCTGTAGTCCCAGCTACTAGGGAGGCTGAGGCAGGAGAATGGTGTGAACCTGGGAGGTGGAGCTTGCAGTGAGCCAAGATCGTGCCACTGCACTCCAGCCTGGGCAACAGAGTGAGACTCTGTCTCAAAAAAAGGAAAGAATGTTGCCAAGTTGGAGGCAGGACCAGGCCTCTTGGCTCCTGGTTTATTCTTCTTCCCACCCTATTTACTAGCACATATTATTGAAAGCTGCCCAACAAAACTCTATACTGATGGAAATGTTCTGGAGCTGCAGCATCCAGTATGGTAGCCATTAGTCATGTGTGGCGGTTAGGCACGTGGAATATGGCTGGTTCACTTGAGGCACAGAGTTTTAAATGTAATTTAAATTAATTTCAATCTGAATAGCCTCACGGAGCCAGCAGCTCCCATATATTGTACAAAGTGAATCTAGGCTTTTACCTTCATGAGTTGCTGGACTAGGAATCAGAGTTTTTCAGGAGATTTTATTTGACCAGGTTAAATTTTATAAAAGACAGTTCCATGGCCTTATGAACTAGATAAAAGTAAATAGGAAAAGTTCTCTATCACTGAACGAAGGAAATTATAGTAGAAAGTGGAATTATACTTTTATACTCATTTAGAGTGACCTAACCTGAGGAGCATTGGGTCCCTACCATTTAAGGGTTTTATGGTGCTCAGAGTTTGGGAAAATGACAGCAATCATTCTTTCATGATGGTGTATTCGAATTTGTATTGTGATTCACCCCACAGATCCAAAGGCCTCAAGTAAATGGCATTTGTTCCATAAAATTTACTGTAAAAGGCAGAAAAATACCCATAGTATATCTATATTTTATTTGGATTTGTGCTTTTATTTAGAGAATTTATTTTCTAACCTTTGTCTCAATAAACTGCCGAAGTCAATCTTTTGCCTCTTTTGGAGTTCATATTCTCCTGCAGGAAGAAACTACCCAAAGCTACAATCAGCAATGTATATACGTTTTCCCTATTAGAATGATTTTTGTCCACAAGATTTCTGTTACAAAGAGAAAAATCAATGAGCTGACTAGTGTCATCCATATAAATATTTGACCAGAGATGTATGGTGAAGGGTGTATTGAATATGACAATGAAACAATGCAGTGGCTGTTCATTGTTGGTTGACTGAAAGTGGTCTGTTTGTAAACAAGCCACTAGTAGAAGGCAGATTAAAATTTGAGATGTTCTGTTGTTTGGCTCTTATACACAAAACTGTAAAATTGACTAAATACCTTGCTTCCTTGTAGTGTGGTTTCTTCAAGAGAAATAAGAAAGATCATTATGATGCCACATATCACAAGGCTGAGATCCATGCTCAGCCATCTGATAAAGAGAGGCTTACTTCTGATGCATAGTATTGATCTACTTCTGTAATTGGTAATTGATCAATGTTTTTTAATTGCTAGCTGTGGGACCCGCTATGGTTGTGGTGGCTAACTTTAAGAACAACAGCTTGCTATGTGTGTCCCATTAACAGATGTTTCCAAATGTCCACACTGGCTTGCCTTGCTTGGATTTGTTTTATTTTATTTCACTTGAAAGCTCAGTTTTTGTTTTTTTTAATGCACAGTCTTTCGTTGCAGGTGAGTTATTTTATGTTCTTGTTAAATATCTACCACAGCAATGAAGAAAATTTGCAATATTTGTACACACAAAAAGAGACTTTTAGCCCTCCATAGTAGCCCAGTTTGCAATGTGTTATTAATTCGGTATGTAGCATTCCACTAGGGAATTCAAAGATGCATAAGAAATCATTCTAGATTTCTTGTCCATTTTGGAATTTTCCACAGATAGAAGCTGTGTCGACCGCCTAATTAACCTGTTGCATGTTGGAAATGTTGTGTTTCTCTTGGTGAGGCTTCCTCACTGTCATCTTTTTGTTCTCTTTGCTATAAAGTGATGGGGAAGGCTTGGAATGCTTTTTACTGTTGCTCAGGAATCGTTTTATGCTAGCTAAGCATGCAACTTCCATTTCCTGCATGTCTCCTACAGGTCAAAGACCATTACAACAAACTGATTATCAGCATGATGGGCTTTTATGGCCAACTTCAGAAGATGATCCCTTACCAAAGTTACCTTCCATCTACAAAATTCTAGTACAAAAAATACCCTGAACAGTTTTTATTGCAATATGTTGTGATGGAGTTTGACCATATTTCATGTATCCAGAGATTTTATCCAACCTTGGATCTCAGTTGATTTTAAATTCAAGTTTCTCTTATTTGGAAATACATGGAAATAGGAATTGCTAGTGATCCCTTTCACCATTTACGTGGGCATGAGAGGACAGAATTACTCCTGTAATCCTTTCCATGGCACTATCACAGTGAATCACAACATTGCCATTCAGCTTTACATATTACCCTTAATTTCCCTCTTTGTTTAAATGGGGTAGACAGCAGTCATATTTTGTAATAGATAGGTACTTTGGCTTTTTTTTCTTTTTTTTTGCACAGAATAATAAATGAATCCATGTAGAAATGACCTGGAACAAAACATCTTGGTCCATTTTGCCTATTGATTTAGTGATAACTATACATATAATTTTATCTTGCTCCATGGCATTTTTATAACATAACATCATTCAACATAAATGTCCTGTTACTATTGACGTCACACAATAAACACATTAACAGTTCTATCAATATCCTCATTCTTCTAAACTGCATTTTAAAGTTGAAAACACCTTTTTTTAAAAAAAGTAAATATATTTCATTTAAAAATTTAATCTCAATTCAAATTTTTTCAGATATATTCTCAGTAAAAATATACTTTGGATCAGATTGACTATTTAAATGAATTTTATATATATATATAAACACACACATTAACAGTTTAAAGGTAAATGTATTTTTGCAAAAGAAGAGAAATTAGGGAGTGCTCTGAAATTCAGTGTAGTGATGCACTTCTGAAGTCCTATGCAGCACATGATTTTTATTGCAGGAAACAGTTACTATGTGATTAATGAAATAGCTTAATTAGAAGCACAATAGCAAATCCAGGCAACATAAATGACCTCCTGGCTAATGAGAGAAGTGATATGTGTACTAGAGCCTCAGAGGAGAGAAAAAGATTATAAAGTTGACCTGTTGGAACACTGGCATATTCAAATAGTAATTTGTAAAATACTTGTGACATGATTTGCATTTTATTAGTGGGAAAGGGGCATGAAATAATCTTTGGTTTATGCCATTTAAAAATTATTCTTAATCTAATCTGATAATCAGATATTTTACATATCATATTGTGATTATTTTTAAATATGGAAGCACTGTTTTCATAAACTCTTAAATTGTTAGTAAAGAGGTAGCCTACATTTGTTATAAAATGTAAAGAGAAGATGAAAATGGACTTTTCTTCCAGTTTTACAGCTGTTCTCTTCCGTTGATCCCCACTGGCTCTTCTTTCATTTCAGCCTCTTGGTTCTTTCTTAAAAGAAAACCATGTCTTTTTCCCCTTAGTCCAGAGGTAGACATAGCTGAACAGAAAGCTTAGACATTCCCATTTAGTGTATTTGCTTCTTTGTGAGATTAATTTGTTTCTCTTTCTCTTTCCCTCTTCTCTAGTGTGGATTCTTTAAACGCTCTAGGTACGATGACAGTGTTCCCCGATACCATGCTGTAAGGATCCGGAAAGAAGAGCGAGAGATCAAAGATGAAAAGTATATTGATAACCTTGAAAAAAAACAGTGGATCACAAAGTGGAACGAAAATGAAAGCTACTCATAGCGGGGGCCTAAAAAAAAAAAGCTTCACAGTACCCAAACTGCTTTTTCCAACTCAGAAATTCAATTTGGATTTAAAAGCCTGCTCAATCCCTGAGGACTGATTTCAGAGTGACTACACACAGTACGAACCTACAGTTTTAACTGTGGATATTGTTACGTAGCCTAAGGCTCCTGTTTTGCACAGCCAAATTTAAAACTGTTGGAATGGATTTTTCTTTAACTGCCGTAATTTAACTTTCTGGGTTGCCTTTATTTTTGGCGTGGCTGACTTACATCATGTGTTGGGGAAGGGCCTGCCCAGTTGCACTCAGGTGACATCCTCCAGATAGTGTAGCTGAGGAGGCACCTACACTCACCTGCACTAACAGAGTGGCCGTCCTAACCTCGGGCCTGCTGCGCAGACGTCCATCACGTTAGCTGTCCCACATCACAAGACTATGCCATTGGGGTAGTTGTGTTTCAACGGAAAGTGCTGTCTTAAACTAAATGTGCAATAGAAGGTGATGTTGCCATCCTACCGTCTTTTCCTGTTTCCTAGCTGTGTGAATACCTGCTCACGTCAAATGCATACAAGTTTCATTCTCCCTTTCACTAAAACACACAGGTGCAACAGACTTGAATGCTAGTTATACTTATTTGTATATGGTATTTATTTTTTCTTTTCTTTACAAACCATTTTGTTATTGACTAACAGGCCAAAGAGTCTCCAGTTTACCCTTCAGGTTGGTTTAATCAATCAGAATTAGAGCATGGGAGGTCATCACTTTGACCTAAATTATTTACTGCAAAAAGAAAATCTTTATAAATGTACCAGAGAGAGTTGTTTTAATAACTTATCTATAAACTATAACCTCTCCTTCATGACAGCCTCCACCCCACAACCCAAAAGGTTTAAGAAATAGAATTATAACTGTAAAGATGTTTATTTCAGGCATTGGATATTTTTTACTTTAGAAGCCTGCATAATGTTTCTGGATTTCATACTGTAACATTCAGGAATTCTTGGAGAAAATGGGTTTATTCACTGAACTCTAGTGCGGTTTACTCACTGCTGCAAATACTGTATATTCAGGACTTGAAAGAAATGGTGAATGCCTATGGTGGATCCAAACTGATCCAGTATAAGACTACTGAATCTGCTACCAAAACAGTTAATCAGTGAGTCGATGTTCTATTTTTTGTTTTGTTTCCTCCCCTATCTGTATTCCCAAAAATTACTTTGGGGCTAATTTAACAAGAACTTTAAATTGTGTTTTAATTGTAAAAATGGCAGGGGGTGGAATTATTACTCTATACATTCAACAGAGACTGAATAGATATGAAAGCTGATTTTTTTTAATTACCATGCTTCACAATGTTAAGTTATATGGGGAGCAACAGCAAACAGGTGCTAATTTGTTTTGGATATAGTATAAGCAGTGTCTGTGTTTTGAAAGAATAGAACACAGTTTGTAGTGCCACTGTTGTTTTGGGGGGGCTTTTTTCTTTTCGGAAATCTTAAACCTTAAGATACTAAGGACGTTGTTTTGGTTGTACTTTGGAATTCTTAGTCACAAAATATATTTTGTTTACAAAAATTTCTGTAAAACAGGTTATAACAGTGTTTAAAGTCTCAGTTTCTTGCTTGGGGAACTTGTGTCCCTAATGTGTTTAGATTGCTAGATTGCTAAGGAGCTGATACTTTGACAGTGTTTTTAGACCTGTGTTACTAAAAAAAAGATGAATGTCCTGAAAAGGGTGTTGGGAGGGTGGTTCAACAAAGAAACAAAGATGTTATGGTGTTTAGATTTATGGTTGTTAAAAATGTCATCTCAAGTCAAGTCACTGGTCTGTTTGCATTTGATACATTTTTGTACTAACTAGCATTGTAAAATTATTTCATGATTAGAAATTACCTGTGGATATTTGTATAAAAGTGTGAAATAAATTTTTTATAAAAGTGTTCATTGTTTCGTAACACAGCATTGTATATGTGAAGCAAACTCTAAAATTATAAATGACAACCTGAATTATCTATTTCATCAAACCAAAGTTCAGTGTTTTTATTTTTGGTGTCTCATGTAATCTCAGATCAGCCAAAGATACTAGTGCCAAAGCAATGGGATTCGGGGTTTTTTTCTGTTTTCGCTCTATGTAGGTGATCCTCAAGTCTTTCATTTTCCTTCTTTATGATTAAAAGAAACCTACAGGTATTTAACAACCTACAAATTGGGAGTTGTCTTTGGACTGAATCCTCCTCTTCACTGCCTGTCCTTGTAAGGATAGGGAATTGCTTAGCAATGATAACCTGGCATTAAAAAAAATTCTGACAGCTAAGCTGCTTCCTTCTTAGAATATGTTTTGGATGTGGGAGCAGGCTAGCTGTGACGTGTGTGGCAGAATCAACTAGTCAGAAAATATTTTCTTCAGCAAAAGAAAGATTTTAGATTTGAGTTTTATGAAACTTCTCTAGCTGGATTATCACAACCTAATACAAGAAAATAAAATATATAAATATATAAATATATATAAATATAAATATATAAATATATATAAATATATATATACATATATACGTATATACACACACACACACACACACACACACACATATATATATATAAAATGCCTAGACAATATAGTGTGCCCTGGCCTGAATAAATGTCTGTCTAATATATTAGGTAATAGCTCTCCACTATACTTGGCATTACATAAAATCTTGGCCTTCTTGGTTCTTTGAAGATCAAACAGGTGTTACCACCCAAAGAAATATGTGATTGATTGGCACTTAATGATTTGGGCCAGTGGCTGTGAACCTTTTTAGCCTCAGTTCACATATCAGATATACCCAGATTAAATCACTACAATAATATGTAATCGTCATAACCTCATAGAGCCTATCAGTAGCTGTGGTTTGACTAGGGCTATGGCATAAATAACACAGACTGTAAGTAAGTCATGGCCCATCCAGTCATAGTGCCTGTGATTCCAACACTTCCCCTCCCTCTCAAAAATTACAGGAACGTCTACCAGCGATTGTGGAATTATTACAGGGTTATCCTTGGATCTATTTGGATTCACAGAGGAATCACTGCAAACATTGATACTTCATTATTGGTTGTAAATTAGTTGCTGCAAATTCAGTGTGTCGTGCATAGTCATGGTTTACGCTTTTCCCTTGTGGCTGAGAATATTCTAGCATGTGGTGTTGATATAGGTGGGGAATGCTTTAAAGATTGTCCAGACTGCCAGCCATGGTGGCTCATGCCTGTAATCCCAGCACTCTGGGAGGCTGAGGATCCTTGAGACCACAAGTTGAGATCAGCTTGGGCAACATGGCAAGACCCAATCTCTACAAAAAATTTAAAAATTAGCCAGGTGTGGTGGTGTGCACCTGTAGTCCTTGCTACTCGGGAGGCTGTGGTGGGAAGATTGCTTGAGCCTAGGAGTTTGAGGCTGCAGTGAGCTATGATCATGCCACTGCACTCTGGCCTGGGCAACAGAGTGAGATCCTGTCTCAAAAATTGTCCAAATCAGGGAAGTAAGGATAAGATCAAGCCTTCTACTCTAAATGAAAACATCTTAATGAGAAACTGGTCTCCAGTACACTATCCCACAAAAGGACAATGTGGGAAGACAAGCCGGGATTGAGAGACTTGTTTTCAAGGAGGGAAAGAGACGCTGTCAGTGGTTGGGTTCCACATAAGTACATCCACAGGGCTGAGAAAACAGAAATGTGGAAGAGTTGTTGGATCAATTTGGGGAGCATAAAGTAAGTGATTAAAAGCAGTTCCTTAAGACCAAAGGACAGGGTCCAACCACTTGGAATGAGGAAAAGGTGAGGGTCAAAGAGGTGAAGAAAATGAACTTCAGAATGATTTCAAGAGTGGCTATTGCATGCTAGTGGGCATCTGTTCTTCCCGTAGTTTCTGATTACGGTTAATAGCAAGTTCTTTTTCTCTCCTGTACCTTAAACAGGTTTTGCCAGCTCCAAAAGGCATCTCATCCAGCTGTTGGAAGGTGGGAGAGCTGTACACTAGGAGCTGAGACCAGGTCTGTGGAGGTGCTACCAATAGACCTCATCTAGGAGGAAAATCATGAGGGGATTCATAGCCAAATCCTCTTGACTCAGGGTAAATGAACTGTAAAACACAAACCAGAGGAAGGAAACTGGTGTGGCCCAGTGCAAGGGTGGACCAGGCACCACAAAGGGCAAAACTAACCAGGTAATAGTTGATGATTACACCAGAGTTGAGGGAGTCAAGTGGTCAAGTGCAATTTTTGTAGCAGTCAGCAAAGCATAAGTGCCTCAATCTTCTCTTGCCCTGGAGGCATCTCTCAGTTATGCTGCCTGTGCTGGGGTCATGGAAACAGTTCCCTGCTAGGAGAGGTCAGATAAATTTCTTACTCTTCAGCCTTCTAAAACGTGCCAAAAATCTCAAGAAATTACAGTGTCAGAATGTGCTACCGTTGTTATCTCAAAGCCTAGCAATTTAAGTTTTCAGTTCACCAACAATCAGTAAGTGGATTTAAGTGAGTGTTCTGTTAAGATCCTGTCATTGTGAGAGGGATGTGATTTAATAATTATTTTCCAGTTGGAAGTAAACAGATGTTTAGGGATGTTAGGCTCTGGGGATATACGTAAGACACTGGCTCTGACCTTTTATAGGAAGCTTATCTGAAACTACAGATGGTATTGACAAGCATAAGTGAATTCACTTTTTATAGGTAGCAGAATTTAAAACCCTAAGATATCAATGATTGACACATAAATTCAATACCTGGCCAGGCGTGGAGGTTCACGCCTGTAATCCCAGGACTTTGGGAGGCCGAGGCAGGCAGATCACATAAGGTCAGGAGTTCGAGACTAGCCTGACTGACATGGTGAAACCCCGTTTCTACTAAATACAAAAAATGAGCCGGGTGTGGTGGTGGCACATGGCTATAATCCCAGCTACTTGGGACGCTGAGGCAGGAGAATCGCTTGAACTGGGAGGCAGAGGTTGCAGTGAGCCAAGACTGCGCCACTGCAGTCCAGCCTGGGCAACAAAAGCAAAACTCTGTCTCAAAAAAAAAAATAAAGTCAATACCTGAACCTTTGTGGGCAGAACTTGCCCCCAGAACAACCCCATTCCCAGAAAATTTAGAGTCATTCTTAAGCAGGTCTACACATTTAAATCACCAAAGAAATACATTTATTAAAATCCCGATGGCTGGACAATCTGCCACACTGACTACATGAGAATCTGAGTGAGACCCAGAAATTAGCGCTGCTTAAAGCTCCCCAGCTGACTCGTAAAGTGCAGCCAGGATTGAGAACTACTTTAGAGATTATTGGATGTTGTGAATATTTATCAAAATAATATGCTCACTGTGTGGAATGCCTCGTTCCTGTTTGTGGTACTTCCACTGCACCAGTAACAGGAGCTGAGAAGCTAGAGGTGCATTTGCTATAGGCAGGGAGGCAGCTGAGCGGTGCATAAGGGCATGTCTCTGGAGCCACGCTGCAGGTGTGAATTAGCTTCTCCTCTTAGAACATAACCTTGGGTGAGTTACGGATATCTCTGTGCCCAGTTTCTTGGCCTGTAAGATAAGTGCTCACTCAGAGGTTCTTTTTTTTTTTTTTTTTTTTTTTTTTTGAGATGGAGTCTGGCTCCATCGAGACGGAGTTTTACTCTTGCTGCCCAGGCTGGAGTGCAATGGCACGATCTTGGCTCAGTGCAACCTCTGCCTTCTGGGTTCAAGCAATTCTCCTGTATCAGCCTCCCAAGCAGCTGGGATTATAGGCGCCCGCCACCATGCATGGCTAATTTTTTGTATTTTTAGTAGAGACGGGGTTTCGCCATGTTGGCCAGGCTGGTGTTGAATTCCTGACCTCAGATGATCCACCCCTGCTTCGGCATGCCAAAGTGCTGGGATTACAGGTGTGAGCCACCATACCCAGCCCAGAGGTTCTTGTAAAGAGAAAATTGGACCATCTGGAAGTGCTTACTAGTTACTTTTATACTTACCCTTGTTTATTATATAGAACCATAAATCTTAAAAAGGGAAGGAAGCATGGAAATCTAGTTCTACTTCCTCGTTTCACAGATGGGGAGACACGGTTTATTTTTATTGTCACGGGAACCTTTTGTCTCCTCATTCTTCAGTGTCTACCAACTTAAGTCTTACTAGTGGGTGTTATAACTACAAAAAAAAAATACGATGAACCTCTTAAAGTCCTTATCAACATAGATCATTCTGAACAACGACAAGAGTGACCTTATTTCTATGTTAAATTCTGTCTCAACCCTTAATACAGTGACCATAATGCAGTCTTCGGTTGGGGTCAGAAAGATGACATGTTAAGATAATCAACAAAGCATCTTGAAATCGCTAGGTATTGAATCTTTGTGTTTTTCTCCCCGCTGACATGGAAGAGTGTGAAAAGAGCAGATTCTCTTTTTGAACCTTTTCTCAGAGTTCTTTACACACCATCGATTTCTTTGGTTTCCTTTAGTGGGAAGGCAAGCCACAGTTTTACTGCTTATTACCTTTACTGCTGTGCAGAAGAGGAAATGCTCACAGAGCTCATCTTGCACCTGAGTTACACCATGTGTGTTAGAACGGAGTTTGTCACTGGAAGAACAAATTTGAAAACTCCTGCCTCCCACATGTCACAATAATGCATGGACTGAAAGACTATGTAAAGGCAAAAAACATACATATACATGCATTCTTCCATAGGAAGATTGGGGGACTGCCTGATGCCAAGGTGTCCTCAAATTGCTGATGGAACTGAAGTTCTGGGGTTCTTACCTGAGGAAGCCACTGGTGGTCAGGAAGTCTCAATTAGAGAAGTTAAGAGCAGTCTTTCTCAAAATTTAACATGCCTAAGACTCACCTGAGGATCTTGTTGATTCAGGTTCTGATTTAAACAGTCTAGGAAACAGCCTGAGAGTCTACATTTCTAACAACCTCCAGGTGTTGCAATACTACTGATCTATGGATTACTCTTTGGGTGTCAAGGGTCTCTAGAGCCAGTCTTTATTCAAGTCCCTATTGTGTCACTTTTTACTGTATGACCTGGGCAAGTTTAAATGCCTGATGCCTTAATTCCTTCACCTGTAAAATGGCATAAGGTATAATGGTATAAGGAATAAGATTATAACCTAGGCTTACACTGTCTTATGTCTTTCTACACAACTTCCAAACCCCTAACATCCTCAAATGTGTGGATAAGGACTGACTGGGGTGCAGTTAAGTCTGTTTATCTAAATATATAGCTTTCACCGTCTTGACAGGATAGCTGACATTTGTTGTAGGCTACTCTTACAGGCCATGCTTTTAAGATTCCTGCCCCGTGAGAAGGAAAATCCCATGACAGTGAATAGCATTACAACGGAATGGGAAACAATGTGCCAGTTCTAGTAGCTGACCCACAGAAGCAGTGACATGTTGATCTGGTTATAAAGACTTATCTAAATCAGTAATGAAACAAACACATTGAACAGGTTCAGGATGACTTAAAGAGAAGCTTTTGCAACTTGACATTTCCTTTCTCAAGCAGCAACTCAGTGTTTCTTTGCCTGTGCCTACCACGAACAACCCAAGTACTCATGCCAGAAAACACACACACATAAATTAATAAAACTCCTAAGCCACTGTGATACATATCTGTGGACTGGCTTGCTCTATTCCATACTTTTTCTAGTTGGAAGGGCTGAGGTGCTAAAAATACCTTCCCAGACTCCCTTGCAGCTAGGGTTGTACATATGAATTTTTTATTTTTATTTATTTATTTAGAGACAGGGTCTCACTCCATAGCCCAGGCTGGAGTGTAGTGGTGCAATCTTGGCTCACTGCAACCTCCACCTCCTGAGTTCAAGTGATTCTCTCACCTCAGCCTCCCAAGTAGCAAGTAGCTGCAATTACAGGCACCCACCACCATGCACAGCTACCTTTATATTTTTAGTAGAGATGGGGGTTTCAGCATGTTGGCCAAACTGGTCTGAAACTCCTGACCTCAAGTGATCTGCCTGCTTCAGCCTCCCAAAGTGCTGGGATTACAAGAGTGAGCCACCGCACACGGCTGAAATAAATTTAATTCTATGACTTGCATACCTGTTCACTTGAGATCTGAAAGATGGACTCATGGTGGCTGTTTCTCCTAGCAAGCATGGCACAGAGCCCCAGGATTCAATGTTGAGTGTCTTCCAGCTTTCTAAGCCATCATCAGAGAAGGATTGTGACCTCTTGATTCCATTTTCTTGACCTTCGATTGCAACTTCAAGTATTTGCCTTCAACCCTATTTTGAAAAATAAAAATGAAATCCTAAGCCCCCCAACCAAATAAATGGACCCCCTCTTTGCCACAGGGACCCCAGAGTAATTTTGAAAACCTGAATTTAAGGGATGCTGCATCTCCCTTTTGGGGTTTTGACACAACAATTGACCAGCATTTCTTCCTAATAAGAGACCACTGACCACAGAGTGGCTCTGGCTAGTGTACATGTGACTCATGAAGGGGCATGAAGCCCCATTGCATATATGCACATTTCTCCTTTTGTAAATATTCATGATTCCTATTGCTGGCCACTCTGTTCAGCATAGACTCCTGTTCCCTTTGCCCCTCCCTCAAAGTATCTGTTTCTAGCTCCTGGCCAGAGGCTATCCTTCCCAGTGTCAGAATGGTCACCCTGCCAGCTGCAAACTTTTATGAAAAATAAAGCTCTCCTTTCCAAATTTATAAACTTTGTAACCAACCAATAGGTTCTCCTTGCCTACTGCCCAGATAGAGCCAATTTATCAAGACAGGGGATTGCAATAGAGAAAGAGTTTAATGCATGCCTCTGGGGATTCAGTCAGGATGGTGGGGAAAATTATAAGACGCAAACCTTCTTGGAAGGCCTGGGGGAGATGCATAAGCTCCAGTAATAAACTTGGCTGAAGGCAGCCTTGTCCCCTTAGTTAAGTAAATTAAAGTAGAAACAAAGGAATGTGCGGAGTTTATCTAACTAGCTTGTTTACTCATGTGGTCCTAAGACTAACCTTTGATTTACTGTGGGTGCTTAACTGATTTCTACTCAGGAGGTCCACAATGTCAACTACCCTCTAGTGGTGTTTACTCACGACCTTTGTCAATTAACCTTTACTGAATAAATGCAAGTCTCACTGACTGATCAAGGCCGCAGTCACAACTGTTTACAGCACTCTGCTTGTAGTCTGTAAGCAGCCTGGACACTCAGCTGGACTGGCAAAGCAGCATATCTGTGTGTCAGTGTACTTTATTCATCCGTTGTTGGGTCAGGGTCTGTGGGACAGACTCCGCAGCTGGTGCCCTGTGTGGGGATCGCTGTGAAGGGAGCGCGACAGACCCCCAGAAATGAAGGTGGAGAGGACTGGCGGTCAAGTCAGTAAAACAGTGAGTCATTGGTGCCTGCTTGGGATTACCAAGTTTGGGGGGGTGGGGGATTGTTCAGGCTGAGATTTCATCATGGGACAATAGTTATCAGTTCAACAAAGACAGTACATAAAAGTGTTGAAACAGTTACTTAAGGCTAGGGGAGCATCAGTTTTGCAGGCTCAATTAAGAGACCCAATGCAAACTGTTGTCTCACTTAATCCATGGTTCCCAGAAGAAGGACCGCTAGATGTAGAGGTCTGGGAACAAGTGGGGAGAAATATTAAACAACGTTATGCACAAGGGCAATGTGTCCCAGTAACAGCTTTTAATGCTATGGGCTTTAATTAGAGCAGCCCTAGTTCCGTTATACACAGAAGAGCCTAAAAAGGGGAAGGAGGAGGAACCGTCACCTATCTTATCGCCTCCTCTTCCCTCAGCCCTGATATTACTGGGCCAAAATAACAAAGAGGAAACAGAAGTTGTGCCTGAGCCACCTCCTCCAATAGATAAGAAAAAAAAAACAAAACAAGAGATACACTACAGCTATGAAACCCTGTCTTAAGCAGGCAGCATTAAAAGGGGAGCTCTTAGCCTGCCCAATAATGCAAAATCAGCAAGGCAATCAGGTACCTAAAGAGTTGTTAAAAAAAAGCATTAGAGGCCAAAGCCAGGCGGCCAAGCGAGCAGTAAGCAGAAGGAGAGACTTGGCAGAGAGGAAGTTCGGGAAACCAAAGCCAGCAAGTGCTCCCAGGAACTCTGTCCACACGGAGGCAGCGGCAACAAACAGCCAGGCCCAGTGCTTGGAAGTTAGCCTGTTAGAGAGAGGCAGGAGGCGCATGTGGGAAAGTCGGCCCAGTGGGCAACAGCCACTGGGCAGCGGGGGTAGGAAGTGGCACAGGCGAAAAGCGGCACAGAAAAAAGCAGCGCTTTTGCAAGCGCAACACAGCTGCCACTCCAGGACCAGTCTGCTTAGCTCTCCAGCTCTGCAGGTGGCCCACGGCAAAATTTCATGTGCTCCTTGTAGACAAGAGACATCCCAAATTATAATTCTATGCTAAGATTTAAGTAAAATTTAATAATTTGAAAAACCTCTTTCTGATAATGGGCACTGTTATCTCTCTCTTACCCCTAACTCTCTCCAAATCCAATTTAAGTAAAACTGTAACCTCTAAAGGGAGAGAAATTACAAACGGCCCATGAGTTAGTTAAGGAGCAGTTAAAGCAAACTTTACTCCCCAGTAGAAAACAAAAACAAAAACAAAACAAAAACAAAAAAACTTCCTGATTACAAGGTTATTCATTTTATGGATAATATTCTCCTAACAGCCCTTGGAGTTCGCCCATTTTCGTCATTCCCAAAAAGTCTGGGAAATGAAGACTTTTGCATGACTTAACATGCTATTAATGCTACTTTACAGCCTATGGGACCCCTTCAACAGGGCCACTCCTCCCCCGTGGTGATTCCTCAAGATTGGCCTATAATCATTATTGACTTAAAAGTTTTTTATACAATTCCTCTAGCAGAACAGGACAGAGAAAAATTTGCGCTTACAATACCAGCTATCAATAATGAAAAGCCAGCTTGTTGATTCCATTGGAAAGTGCTTCCTCAAGGAATGCTAAACAGTCCTACCATGTGTCAATATCATGGAAATCAAGCTTTGGTCCCTAGTACAAAAGAATTTCCTGATTGCAAGATTATTCATTTTATGGATGATATTCTACTAGCAGCCCCAACGGAGCCAATACTTTTAAATTTATATTCTTCTGTCGTAAAGAATACAGAGCTAAGAGGTCTAATGATTGCACGTAAGAAAGTACAAATGTCCTCTCCTTGGAAATATCTTGGGTACATACTAACTTCCTGGTCAGCAAGATCTCAAAAGGTTAAATTAAATACTAGCAATGTATACACCTTAAATGATTATCAGAAATTGGGCGATATTACCTAGCTCCACCCCACTTTGAGGATTCCTACTGATAAACTACAAAATCTGTTTTCTATCTTAAAGGGTAATCCAGCCCTGGATTCTCCCAGATATTTAACCCCTGAAGGAAAAAAGGAAACTGAGGAAATAGAGCATGCCATCTCTCAGAGGCAGCTAGATCGCATTGATCCATGGTATTCAATTCAGTTGTTTATTTTTCCCACCAAACACCCCCCTACAGGGTTAATAGGACAGATGACCCCAGGGCTACGCTTCCTAGAATGGGTTTTTTGCTCACATACTAGGACTAAAACACTATCTCCGTATATTTAGTTAATTACTAAAGTCATCTATTCAGGCCACAAAAGATGCAATCAGTTGCTAGGTTATGACCCTGATGTCATCAGGATTCCTTTAAGCAAAAAGCAATGCGAATCAGTATTGCTCTTATCGATATATCTGCAAATAGTTTTCTCTGATTATACAGGACAAATAGAGCACATGCTTCCTGCTGATAAACTCCTTCATTTCTTACCTCATACGCAGGCAATCTTACCTACAAAAATAGTTCACTCCCCCATACCTAATGCTTTAACACTGTTTACTGATAGGTCTGGTAAACATGGAAAAGCGGCAGTCTGGTGGAGACTACACAATTCAATCACTTGATCTGGGTTTACTAGCAATCAGAGAGCTGCAATTGGGGCTCTGATACTGGCCTTGGAAACTTTTTCCACTCAGCCCACAAGTATTGTAAGTGACTTGGCTTACTCAGTATATTTGCTACAAAATCTTGAAACAGCTTTAATTAACTCCACTCTGGAGCCAGCCTTGTGTGCTTTTTTTTCTCCAACTTCAGCAATTGCTAGATCAACATACACAACCTATTTTTATTACACACATTCGAGCCCACAGCTCTCTGCCTGACTCATTGGCTTATGGCAATGAACAAGCAGATCTTCAGGTTATGACATCACTGCTTGACCAAGCCACCCAATTGCATCAATTTTTCCACCAAAATTAGGGAAACTTATCTAAACAATTTCAACATATACAAAGGCTGGCTAAACAAATTATCCTACAATGCCCAGACTGCCAGCTCACAGGCACATCCCCTCCTTCCACAGGTATTAACCCTAGAGGACTAGAACCTAATCAGTTATGGCAAACAGATGTTACACACATCCCTGAATTTGGAAAACTGAGATATGTACGTGTATCCATTGATACCAACACCCATTTAATTAGTGCACATGCCCTTCTGGGAGAGTCTACTCGATATGTCATTAAACATCGTCTTTTAACTTTTGCATTTATGGGATGGCCCACAAAAATTAAAATGGATAATGGTCCCGCTTATACCAGCTCACAATTTCAACAATTTTGTCACAATGTGGAATATCCAACATTCCACAGGGATCCCATATGACCCCCAAGGACAAGCAATAGAACGTGCCCACTCTTAAAAAATACGCTCAAAAAAAACAGGAAAGAAGGAGTATGGGTAAAAGACCCTGCAACACTATAGGCACAAGCCTTATTTACCCTTAATTTTTTAAATTTAGATGACAAATTTCAATCAGCTGTAGAAAAGCACTTTGCTAAAACCTCTCAAGGCATAAAACCTGCAGTTTGATGGAAAGATGTAAACAGTAATGTATGGTGTGGTCCAAATAAATTATTAACATGGGGAAGAGGGTATGCTTGTGTTCACACCCCCTCAGGTCCTCTTTGGATTCCAGCGTGACGCATCAAACCATACCATGGCATGGCTAGGACCCAACCCAGTACCAGAAATGAAGGAGTTAACCCTACAAGATCCACAGACCCAGAAGATGCGGCTTCCGTGGATGACACAAGCCCCAGATGTTACCTGGGGGATGCTGAAGAAGACAACTCAGGAGGCTGAACAAATCCTGCTCCAGACACAGACAGCATTTACTCCAGATAATTTGTTTCTTGCTATGTTTTCTGTTGTACATTGCAACTCACGTAGGGTATTAATCCCTTTTATGCTCTCACTTTGTTCGCAGCTGGTACCTGCTACACTCTTTTGGGCTCATTATCTTAGACCCACCTTTCTTTTGCCCAGTTACCTTGGCAGACACTCCCTTCCCAGCCTTTAATAACGTGACTGCTTGGCTAGGAGGGATAGATTTACCCCCAGTGGAGTCCCTCAATAATCACACACATTGGACTAAAGTGCCAAATAACACTACATAACACTCCACTATCCTCCCACTGTGTATAAGTTATAAAGGTTCTAACCCTTAATGTGTACCTGCCCAAAAACAAGTATGGCTACATCATGGCAAAGGAAATGCCTTAACATTCTTAGCTGCAGGTAGCCTCAAACCAGGCATTGCAATCAATGCTGCTTTCCCAAACATTCCTTCCTGTGCTAAAGAACAAAGCCAGAAAAGTAATGGATTCCACTTTAGCTGGGATGTCTGTCATGGGAAACAAGCCCATAGACTCCAGTTAGGCAACTATAACATCTTAGACTGAAGTCCCCATGGCCGATTGCAGGGCAGCCTTACTAATGTCTTCGTCCATCACAGCATCAATCACAGTTTCATAGCCATGTTTTGTTTCCCTATATTTTGGGCCAATGTGGGGATAGGATATCCCAGACCCCAAGTAAAGTCCATGCCAACCCAAGGCACCTTATGGTGCCTGGGACATCTCAGCACCTCCCTTAACACCTAACATGGGACATATCATAATTCCCATTGCAACTATACTATAACCTTTATTCATAATCACACGAATCAGTGCCTGATTTGCACTACCCATCCATATATTTTCCTTATGGGAACTAACATTTCCATTATACCCCAAAACTCCACGTTTGTGACCCAGGTGCAGGGATAGGCTTGGTTTGCCTCATATATCACTCACCACAATATATCTAATTTAAAAATCACTAGTGTCATGGTATTAAGGAGACAATCTGAGACATTTCTACCAGTCAATTTGACAGGATTGGCAAGGTTCCTCTGCCCTTGCCACCTTAGAATGTGCTCTGTCCCAGGTCAGACACAAAAGATTCACAGTTACACTTATGGCCTTTATAATCTCAGCCTAGTCATCCTGGCAACTGCTAGCATTGCTGTTGCATCTATTACTGAGTCAATATAAACAGCTAGCTTTGTAGATAATCTGGCCAAAATGTGTCTAATGATCTTCTCTTACAGCAACATATGGATCAAAAGATTCTTGCATGACTGTGAGCCCTTGAGGCTGCCTTAGAGTATGTGGGGGAGTGACAAGATGCACTGGCATTCCAAAAGCAATTAAACTGTGACTGGGGCATAAACATATCTGTGTCACTTCTCTACCTTGGAATCAATCAATACATAGTTGGGATGAGGTAAAACAACACCTCTGGGGAACCTTTCATGACAATTTAACAGCAGACATAAAGCAACTTAAAACTAAAATTTTAGAATCCCTTCACACCATAGATCTACACACCCAACAAACACCCATATAGAAGGGTGTGCAAGATCATCTCTCCTGGTTAGAACCCCACTCCTGGGGGTCACTCTTTGACTGGAAAGAATGTTGCTAATTGTACTCATGATTGTATTATGCTATTTGCTAATTCTAGGATGCAAAGCCAGAATAAGAGCAATGACCACCACACCTGACAAACCTGTTGCTGCATACATGTACACTCTCCAATCAAAAAGACCTGATGCAGAAAACAAAAAAAGAGGAGATGTGGGGGTTCAGTCAGGATGGTGGGGAAAATTATAAGACACAAACCTTGGAAGGCCTGAGGGGTTTGGGTAAGCTCCAGTAATAAACTTGGCTGAAGGCAGCCTTGTCCCCTTAAATTAGAGTAGAAACAAAGCAATATGGAGAGTTATCTAACTAGCTTGTTTACTCATGTGGTCCTAAGACTAATCTTTGATTTACCCTGGGTGCTTAATTGCTTTCTACTCAGGAGGTCCACAATGTCAATTACCCTCTAGTGGTGTTTACTCACGACCTTTGTCAATTAATCTTTACTGAATAAATGCAAGTCTCTCTGACTGATAGAGGCCGCAGTTGCATCTGTTTACAGCACTCTGCTTGGAGTTTGTAAGTGGCCAGTATGCTCAGCTGGACTGGCAAAGCAGCATATCTGTGTGTCAGTGTACTTTATTCATCCGTTGGTGGATCAGTGTCTGAAGGACAGACCCCTGCACATGCCCTGTCAACTAAAGGGGAGATCAGAGTCATTATTCAGATTAGTCTCTCCAAAAATTTGAAGACTTCTGGAGTTTTTAAAGGATAATTTGGTGGGAAGGGGATTAGAGAGTGGAGAGTGCTAATTGGTTGGGTCAGAGATGAAATCATAGTCGGTTGAAGCAGGTTCTTCTTGCTGTCTTCTGTTCCTGGATGGGATCACAGAACTGCTTGAACCAGATTACTGGTCTGCGTGACAACAGCTGGTGCACCAGAATGCGGGGTCTCAAAAATATCTCAAACACCAGTATTAGGTTTTACAACAGTGATGTTATCTCTAGGAGCAACTGGGGAAGTCGGGAATCTTATGGACTCTATGGACTGCGACCTCCAGGTTACATGTAGGTTCTAAGTTATACTGAGGGCTTAAGAAATACCCTGTGAGACGTGGGCCATGAAGTCTGCATCACTGTCACTCTAGATGAAAACCACTGTTCCAAACCAAGGAATTATTTCTTTTATTAAGGCCTTAATGCTTCAGAAGCTCTTTTTGTCCAACAAAGAAAAGCCTCAACCCAAGGTATCCACAAACAAGAGTAGGTATTTCAAGTTACCTGCTATCCTTGACATCATAATAAAATCAATTTGCCAGTTCTCTGTTGTTCCTTCACCCCCGGTCTGAATTCCTGTGTTAAGTGGGGAGGGCTAGTTTTTGGGTTGTTCTGGGTACAGAAGAGACATTTTTCTATAACCTTCTGAATGGTCCTGTTTATATGTGAACCAGAAACATATTTTTGTATCCATTGGAGAGTGGCATCCCTACCACACTGGGTGGAGTCATGAATACATTCAACAATGTCATTCCTAAAATATGCCGGTGCCAGAATTGTTTCTCTCTCATTGTATATCCATCCATCATGAGTCCTCTGATTGGGGTCAAAACCCCAATTGAGTGCTCTTTTTAGGTACTCATCTGAGTATATGGGAGGCTCAGGGCCACAATCTGTTTTAGGTAGCAAAGGTATCAATAGCATTTTGGGGACTTTATCCTTACTATTTTCTTCGTGGCCTCATCTATGCAATATTGTCCTTTGCCACCAAACTATCTGTCTGCCGTTGCCCAAGGCAATGTATTATAGTTACTTCCTGTGGGCTAAAATGGCATTTAATAGGACTAGAGTTTCTCTAGCATGTTTTGTTTGTTTTTAATTATCAGAGGTTAGTAGTCCCATTTTTTTCCAGATGGCCCCTTGAGCATGAAAAACAGAGAAAGCCTATCTAGAGTCTGCGTACATGGCCACTTGTGCTCTGTTACCTAGATGGAGGGTTCCAATGAGGGCTCTGAGCACCGTTTTCAGTGCTAATGTTCTGGAGGGCAATGCTCTGGCTTCTATAGTCTGTCAGTGGGTTACCACCACACACCTGGCTTTCTATTGTCCCTGGCCCATAAAGCTGTTCCTGTCAGTGAACATCTCTAGGTCTGGGCTGTCTATGGTTACGTCTGTCAGGTCTGGCCAGCAGGAATGAACTAATTCAACTGTTTGTAGATAATTGTGCGCAAGTTCAGATGGCATTTGATGAAGGAGGGGGCAGGATTTAGAGTAGAGATGGCCTTCAGCATTACATTTGAGTTGTCTGAAAGGATGACCTGATACCTGCAGAGTCTCCCAGAGGTCAGCCAGTATCCTCCCTTCTGTTCCAGCAAGGGGAGCACACAGTGGGTTGGGTGTACTGTGGTTGGCTGGCCTGATGTAAACTTTTCTGCTTCCTGGAGAAAGTCACAAGTGGCAGCAACAGCCCAAATGCAAGGAGATCATCCTTTTGTAACAATGTCCAATTGCTTTGAGAAACAAGCAATGGGTCTTTTAATATTTCCTAGGTCCTGAGTTAACACTCCTAGGCTTATTCTTGTCTCTCAAGCACAAAGAGATCAAAGTGCTGGGGCAGTCAGCAGTTTTCCTTTGATATCAAGGAAGGTCCTCTATCAGTCTCCAGTCCATTCTAGGGGTTCATTATCTCCTCCCCACAAAGCATTGTATAGAGGCTTTGCAATAAGTCCAAAATTAGAAATCCATATCCAGGAAAATTTGGCCATAACTAAGAAATCTCACAACTGTTGCCAGGTGGTTGGTCTGTCTGCCCTGGTGAAGGTGTCCTGCTGGTCAGGGACCAGGTTCTTCTGCCCTTGGGAGAGCTCGAACCCAAGATACTACTGCAGGCCGACAAATCAGAGCCTTTTTCTTGGATACCTTGTACCCTAGTTCAGCCAGAAAACTTAGATTCAATATAGTGTTTTGGTCAGACAACTCCTGTGTGGTACTGGCAATTAAGATGTCATCAGCATGCTGCAATAGAGTCCCACTCTTTAATTGCAAGTCTGGGAGGTCTTTAGCAAGAATTTCCCCAAAGATGGCAGGGGAGTTTTTAAACCCCTGAGGGAGAACTGTCCAACAATACTTTTACTGTGCTTTAGTATCTAGGTCTTCCCATTTAAAAGCAAACAGTTCTTGTGACTCAGGGCTCAGGGGGATGTAAAATAAGGCATCTTTTAAATCTAAGACTGTGAACCAACTGAGTTCACCATTTGGGGATGTGAGTAAAGTATAGGGATTGGGGGCCACCGAGTAGATATCTTTTACCATTGATTGATAGCCCTCAAGTCCTGAACAAATCTATGTTTCTTAGTCCCAGGCTTCTGAACCAGCAGAATAGGCATGTTACATGAGGACTAGCAAGGCCTAATGAGTCCAAACTGAAGGAAAGCACACAGCAGAGGTTTGATGTCCCTTCTCGCTTGTTGGCTTAACAGGTATTGTTTCAAGCATGGCTACGTTGTTCTTACCTGTACCTTCACTTGTACTGGATGGCTGTTCTGGCCCTTCCTGGTCTCCTATCTGCCCATGCTTCCACAGCAACCTGCAGGGCATAGGCTTGTTCTGGAGGGTACTAAAATATTTACTCATACTGGGCTGAAAGTAACTTTGGCATTTACTTTAGTTATGAGGTCATGTCACAGCAGAGGAATGGGGCATTCAGGCATATATAAGAAGCTGTGCTTCAGGTGGGTTGGCCCAGCTGATATTCTAAGGGTTGAAGGATGGTCTCGTTAAGGTTTCTCCCAAGACCCTGGTCACTTTAACAGTTTCTGAACAGTTTAGACAGCCAGGTATTTATCACCAAGTAACTAGCCTCAGTGTCCACCAAAAAGTCCAAAAGTTGACTTCCCACTGTCATCATGACCTGGGACTCTATGTGGGAATATGGAGGGTGTTGCTTGGGTCAGGAGGAACCCCAGGGCCCCATAATTCCTGGTCCTTATCCTAGGTATCTTTAACCTCAGACCTCTTGGCTATTTCAGGCATCTGGTGAACAGGGAGTGGGTTTTCCTTAACACTGTTCTTTTTACAATGTGGATAGTCTTTCCTCCAGCAGCCTATTAGCTTGCAATAAGTGCACTGCTTGGGACCTACAGTGGGGTGTCACCCTTTGTTGGTCTGGGGCTTAGTAGGGGTCCTACCTGGGATGGAGCATCTGAAGGAGATTCACACTGTGGTCCTGGGGCCTCTCGAGTCAGAGCCACAGCCAGAAGGTTAGCCTGATGTTTCACCTTTCATTGTTCCTTTTAAAAAATTATCTGCACTGGCAAACGCTCTAAAGGCAATCTCCATTAACTGGGACAGGGACATACGCAGAGTCCCACCCATCTTCTCCAACTTTCTCCAAATGCCGGGGGCACTTTGGCTGATAAAGGTCATATTTACCATCTGTCGGTACTTCTAGATCATGTCTGTATACCACCTACCCACTTTAAACACCCATTCCAAGAATTCTGAGGGGCTCTCATTAGGTTTCTGCCTAACTTCCTGAAACTTATTAAGACCTTTCTAGGCTGGACGCAGTGGCTTACACCTGTAATCCCAGCACTTTGGGATGCTGAGGCAGGTGGATCACCTGAGGTCAGGAGTTCAAGACCAGCCTGGCCAACATGGTGAAACCCTGTCTCTACTAAAAATACAAAAAATTAGCCAGGCGAGGTGGTACATGCCTGTAATCCCACTTACTCAGGAGGCTGAGGCAGGAGAATCACCTAAACCCAGGAGGCGGAGGTTGTAGTAAGCTAAGATTGTGCCATTGTACTCCACCCTGGGCAACAGAGCAAGACTGTCTCAAAAAAACAAAACAAAACAAAACAAAAAACCTTTCTGTTTCAGCACTACTTTGCAGAGGCCAGCCAGAATACAGCTGCAGTCTTGGTAAGACTAAACCTTGATAAAGCCTTCTCCATTTATGTTCCACTCCCGGTCTAAGGTGGGTACAGCCACCTGTGCAGCCATTCTTACCAGGTTACCTGGGACCTCGTGCATGAGACCAACCTCTTCTCTGGCCTTCCCTAGGACCATTCTCTGCTCCTCTGAGGTCAATAAAATGCAAAGGAAATTTTGTACATCTGCCCAAGGCGTGACTGGGTTGCAAATATCAAGAAAAAATCTTCCATCCTCCTCAGATTCTCCAAGTACGTGGGTACGTTATTTTTCCAACTAAACTAATTGAAGGTGGAAATGGAGAGTAGACCCAGATAAGCCCCATTGGCTGACCTGTGACAGCATCAATGCTCCCCTATAGGAATCTGCTGAAGAGGGAATTGCCTTCCCTGAGCTAGAGGGGCACTCTGGCCAAATTTGGTTTCCTGTCAGAGGTGTGGGGGTAGACCATTCCTATTGCTCCTGGCTTCTATTCCTGCAAAGGTGGGGAGATCACAGAAGATGGGGAGATCAGGGAAGATGGGGACCCCAGCTCAGGTGCTCATAGAGCAGCCCCAGCCGCCATAGGTAGGAGGAGGAACTGAGGGCTCATTTAACCTAGCAATCAAAATGTCATCATCTTTTTCATGTGACTCAAAAAAACAGGATTTTTTCTACTGCCAGTTAGTTGGGCCACAACCTTACACCTTTACTGCATTGGTTTATTTTGCCTAAGTGCCATGAAACACTGTACATAGGAGGTCCCATCCCATTTCTCTTTCCCTTTACAATACAAATCTAACTCCAAGATTCTGTGGTGACAAACAGAACCCTGACAAGGCCATCATGCATTCTTAATCCCACAGGAAACTATGGCCAAGTTGTGTTACAGAGAAAACAAACTGCTTATGGGTCAGTGGGTAATATCCCCAAAATTTCCACTTCTCGAGGATACATGCCAATGGGCTCTCCACCAGTATAGCAGACATTTGGGTCCCCACACTTCTGTGTTTTTATCACAACTTTGTCTCCAATCTTCAAATAAGAGCCTCCAGTGGTTTGCAGGGACACCCCATCCATCAGATCAAGCCCAAAACAAGTTTTCCATTTTCTTGGCCTGACAGGAAGCCCAATATGCCGGAGGGTGAACTTGATGGCTTTCCCATGGGTCAAAGAAAACAGCACATTAAGAGCAGGTGCAGGCATACAAGACGGATTGAGGTATTTCCCTGTTGCAGGAAGTCTGGGACCCCAAATGGAGGGACCGGCTGAAGCCACAGCAGAAGAACATAAATTGTCAAGATTTCAAGGACATTTATTAGTTCCCCAAATTAATACTTTTATAATTTCTTACGCCTGTCTTTACTGCAATCTCTGAACATAAATTGTGAAGATTTCATGGACATTTATCACTTCCTCAATCAATACTCTTGTAATTTCCTATGCCTGTTTTTACTTTAATCTCTTAATCCCATCATTTTTGTAAACTGAGGATGTATGTTGCCTCAGGACCCTGTGATGATTGCGTTATCTGTACAAATTGTTTGTAAAACATGTGTATTTGAACAATATGAAATCTGGGCACTCTGAAAAGGAACAGGATAACAGCGATTTTCAGGGAACAAGGGAGATAACCATAAGGTCTGACTGCCTGTGGGGCTGGGCAGAACAGAGTCATATTTTTCTTTTTACAGAAAGCAAATAGGAGAAATATCACTGAATTCTTTTCCCAGCAAGGAATAACCCAGGGAAAGGACTGCATTCCCAGGGGAGGTCTACGGACTGCCACTCTGGGAGTGTCTGCCTTATGCAGTTGAAGACAAGGGATGAAATACGCCCTGGTCTCCCGCAGTGCCCTCAGGCTTGCTAGGATTAGGAAATTCCAGCCTGGTGAATTCTAGTCAGACAGGTTGTCAGCTCTCAAACCCTGTTTCCTGTTAAGATGTTTACCAATGACAATGCATGCCCAGTGGGACATGGAACCTTATCAGTAATTCTAATTTCGCCCTGGCCTTGTGATCTTGCTCTGCCTCTCTGCCCTTGTGATCTTTTATTGCCCTTTGAAGCATGTGATCTTTGTGACTTACTCCCTGCTCGTACCCCTCTCCCCTTTTGAAATTCCTAATAAAAACATGCTGGTTTTGCGGCTCACAGGGCATCACGGAACCTGCCAATATGTGATGTCACCCCCGGAGGCCTAGCTGTAAAATTTCTCTCTTTGTACTCTTTCTCTTTATTTCTCAGACCGGCCGATACTTAGGGAAAACAGAAAGGACCTACGTTGAAATATTGGGGGCTGGTTCCCCCACTATAAAACAGCATATTAACAGCAGCTGCAGGCATACAAGAGGGATTGAGGTATTCCCCCAACTGCCACATAGCACCTTATAACCACCCTCCCAAAGTGGATTCTGGAACATGCGTTCCCACTCTTGATCTCACTATGGAAACCTCTTCACTGTCCAACAGTAGCCATAAGAGGGCGGGCGCAACCAAGGTGGGGGCCACAGTCAAAGCAAAGCAGCTACCACCCCACCACCCACACCTATCTACGGACAGGACAGGTTGAAAGAAACTCTCCAAAAATAAATTTTAGATTCCCAGAAAGGCAGAGAATACACACAGAACAGTACACAGACGTTAGTTTCTTTGCCAGGGCCCAAATATTGACCTGGCAAGACTAAAATTTGACCCCATTGGCCCCTATCATCTTTGATCCACTCAAGGTGGGGAGGGATGACCTCTGACCAAGAATTCAATTTGTTAGTATTACAAAGCCGGTCTGATTCCCAGGTAAGAAGGAGATTTAGGGAAAACACTATATCATCTTTGTTTCAAAGCTAAACTATAAATTCCTCCTATAGTTATCTCAGCCTATGCCCAGGAATGAACAAGGGTGGCTTGGAGGTTAAAGGTAAAATGGAGTTGGTTATGTTAGATCCTTTTCACTCTCTTTTGCGTGCATGTGTGTGTGTGTGTGTGTGTGTGTGTGTGTGTGTCCTCTAGCTACATAAATCCTAAACCTGGGTTTGTTTTTTTTTATACTTTTAAGTTCTAGGGTACATGTACAAAATGTGCAGGTTTGTTACATATGTAGACATGCACCATGTTGGTGTGCTGCACCTACTAACTCGTCATTTACATTAGGTATATCTCCTAATGCTTTCCCTCCCCACTCCCCCCACCTCACGACAGGCCCTGGTGTGTGATGTTCCCCTTCCTGTGTCCAAGTGTTCTCATTGTTCAATTCCCACCTATTAGTGAGAATATGTGGTCTTTGGTTTTTTGTCCTTGTGATAGTTTGCTGAGAATGATGGTTTCCAGCTTCATCCATGTCCCTACAAAGGACATGAACTCATCCTTTTTTATGGTCGCATAGTATTCCATGGTGTATATGTGCCACATTTTGTTAATCTAGTCTATCATTGATAGAAATTTGGGTTAGTTCCAAGTCTTTGCTATTGTGAATAGTGCCACAATAAACATACATGTGCCTGTGTCTTTATAGCAGCATGATTTATAATCCTTTGGGTATATGCCCAGTAACGGGATGGCTGGGTCAAATGGTATTTCTAGTTCTAGATCCTTGAGGAATCGCCACACTGTCTTCCACAATGGTTGAACTAGTTTCTAGTCCCACCAACAGTGTAAAACTGTTCTTATTTCTCCACATCCTCTCCAGCACCTGTTGTTTCCTGACTTTTTAATGATCGCCATTCTAACTGGTGTGAGATGGTATCTCACTGTGGTTTTGATTTGCATTTCTCTGATGGCCAGTGATGATGAGCATTTTTTCATGTGTCTTTAGGCTGCATAAATGTCTTCTTTTGAGAAGTGTCTTTTCACATCCTTCGCCCACTTTTTGATGGGGTTGTTTGTTTTCTTGTAAATTTGTTTGAGTTCTTTGTAGATTCTGGATATTAGCCCTTTGTCAGATGAGTAGATTGCAAAAATTTTCTCCCATTCTGTAGGTTGACTGTTCACTCTGATGGTAGTTTCTTTTGCTGTGCAGAAACTCTTTAGTTTAATTAGATCCCATATGTCTATTTTAGCTTTTGTTGCCATTGCTTTTGGTGTTTTAGACATGAAGTCCTTGCCCATGCCTATGTCCTCAATGGTATTGCCTAGGTTTTCTTCTAGGGTTTTTTATGGTTTTAGATCTAACATTTAAGTCTTTAATCCACCTTGAATTAATTTTTGTATAAGGTGTAAGGAAGGGATCCAGTTTCAGCTTTCTACATATGGCTAGCCAGTTTTCCCAGCACCATTTATTAAATAGGGAATCCTTTCCCATTGTTGTTTTTGTCAGGTTTGTCAAAGATCAGATGGTTGTAGATGTGTGTTATTATTTCTGAGGGCTCTGTTCTGTTCCATTGGTCTATATCTCTGTTTTGGTACCAGTACCATGCTGTTTTGGTTACTGCAGCCTTGTAGTATAGTTTGAAGTCAGGTAGCGTGATGCCTCCAGCTTTGTTCTTTTGGCTTAGGATTGTCTTGGCAATGCGGGCTTTTTTTTGGTTCCATATGAACTTTAAAGTAGTTTTTTCCAATTCTGTGAAGAAAGTCATTGGTAGCTTGATGGGGATGATGGCATTGAATCTATAAATTACCTTGGGCAGTATGGCCATTTTCACGATCTTGATTCTTCCTATCCATGAGCATGGAATGTTCTTCCATTTCTTTGTGTCCACTTTTATTTCGTTGAGCAGTGGTTTGTAGTTCTCCTTGAAGAGGTCCTTCACATCCCTTGTAAGTTGGATTCCTAGGTATTTTATTCTCTTTGAAGCAATTGTGAATGGAAGTTCACTCCTGATTTTGCTCTCTGCTTGTCTGTTATTGGTGTATAAGAATGCTTGTGATTTTTGCACATTGATTTTGTATCCTGAGACTTTGCTGAAGTTGTTTATCAGCTTAAGGTTATTTTGGGCTGAGACAATGGGGTTTTCTAAATGTACAATCATGTCATCTGCAAACAGGGACAACTTGACTTCCTCTTTTCCTAATTGAATACCCTTTATTTCTTTCTCCTGCCTGACTGCCCTGGCCAGAACTTCCAACACTATGTTGAATAGGAGTGGTGAGAGAGGGCATCCCTGTCTTGTGCCAGTTTTCAAAGGGAATGCTTCCAGTTTTTGTCCATTCAGTATGATATTGGCTGTGGGTTTGTCATAAATAGCTCTTAATATTTTGAAATATGTCCCATCAATACCTAGTTTATTGAGAGTTTTTAGCATGAAGGGCTGTTGAATTTTCTCAAAGGCCTTTTCTGCATCTATTGAGATGATCATGTGGTTTTTGTCTTTGGTTATGTTTATATGCTGGATTACGCTTATTGATTTGCGTATATTGAACCAGCCTTGCATCCCAGGGATGAAGCCCACTTGATCATGGTGGATAAGCTCTTTGATATGCTGCTGGATTCAGTTTGCCAGTATCTTATTGGGTATTTTTGCATCAATGTTCATCAGGGATATTGGTCTAAAATTCTTTTTTTGTTGTGTCTCTGCCAGGCTTTGGTATCAGGATGATGCTGGCCTCATAAAATGAATCAGGGAGGACTCCCTCTTTTTCTATTGATTGGAATAGTTTCAGAAGGAATGGTACCAGCTCTTCCTCAAACCACTGGTAGAATTCGACTGTGAATCCATCTGGTCCTGGACTTTTTTTGGTTGGTAGGCTATTAATTATTGCCTCAATTTCAGAGCCTGTTATTGGTCTATTCAGGGATTCAACTTCTTCCTGGTTTAGTCTTGGGAGGGTGTATGTGTCCAGGAATTTATCCATTTCTTCTAGATCTTCTAGTTTATTTGCGTAGAGGTGTTTACGGTATTCTCTGATGGTAGTTTGTATTTCTGTGGGATCGGTGGTGATATCCCCTTTATCATTTTTTATTGCATCTATTTGATTCTTCTCTCTTTTCTTCTTTAATCGTCTTGCTAGAGGTCTATCAATTTTGTTGATCTTTTCAAAAAACCAGCTCCTGGATTTATTGATTTTTTGAAGGGTTTTTTGTGTCTCTATCTCCTTCAGTTCTACTCTGATCTTAGTTATTTCTTGCCTTCTGCTAGCTTTTGAATGTGTTTGCTCTTGCTTCTCTAGTTCTTTTAATTATGATGTTAGGGTGTCAATTTAATATCTTTACTCTCTTCTCTTGTGGGCATTTAGTGCTATAAATTTCCCTCTACACACTGCTTTAAATGTGTCCCAGAGATTGTGGTATGTCCCAGAGATTGTGGTATGTGTCTTTGTACTCACTGGTTTCAAAGAACATCTTCATTTCTGCCTCCATTTCGTTATGTACCCAGTAGTCATTCAGGAGCAGGTTGTTCAGTTTACATGTAGTTGAGTGTAAACCTGGGTTTTTGAAGGATAAAAACCTCTGGGCGAGATGCAAGAGCAACGGTCACCCTGAGTTAGGCCTGCTGGACTTCTCTCAGCAATTCCTTCAGGGATCCCCTCCATATATGTAAATATACAACAAAGTAATGACAAAGAGAAGGCTTTCCAAACCACAATTCCAGACCAGATTTCAAACCAGAAGAGCATTTCTTTAAACATGTTCCTTATTCTTCATCCAGCTGGGGAGAGATTGCCACAGACTGAGACTCTTCTTACAATTCCAGGAAGAGCTGGCTAGTCCCTGTGATGGGGACACAGGTAAATCTAGAGAGGTCAGAAGATCAGGAGAACAAAGAAGGTTTTGGCAGCACCTGGAATACTCACCAAACCAGGTTATAAGATGTCTTTGAGGAACTATGTCTCCATTGCAATTAGATCCTTGCACTCTGGGTTGGCAGCAGCCTGCCGGCAGAGACAGCACCAGAGGCAGCCCTTAGTCCAAGAGAACTAAGCAGCCACTTGGATTGGCCTGTGGACCTGAAACTGGTGAGGAACTGCCAAACCATAAACAGATGTCCACAAGAGGTATCCCAGACGATCTCCCAGATTTGTAACTGAACACTGGATTCTCCTTGCCCACTGCCCACATAAAGACAATTTATCAAGACAAGGGAATCGAATAAGGAAAGAGTTTAATGCACACAGAGCTGGCTAAAGGGGAGAATTGTTTTATTACTCAAATCAGTCTCCCCCAAAATTCAGAGATGGAGTGTTTAAAGATAATTTGGTGGATAGGGAGTTAAGGAGTGGGAGGGCTGATTAGATGGGTTAGAGATAAAATCATAGGAGGTTCCAGGTGGGTTCTTGCCATCCTGTTCCTGGGTGGGATCATAGAACTGGGTGAACCAGATTACTGATCTGGTTGGTGCCAGCTGGTGCATCAGAATACAGGGTTTCAAAAATATCTTGAACACTTTTACAAACACTGATGTTATTTCTAGGAGCAACTGTGGAAGTCAGGAATCTTGTGGCCTCTAGCTACATAACTCCTAAACCTAACCTTGTGGCTAATTTGTTAGTCTTACAAAGATGGTCTGGTTCCCAGGCAAGAAGGAGATTTCTGTAGGGAAAGCTCTATTATCATCTTTGTTTCAAAGTTAAACTATAAACTAAATTCCTCCTGTAGTTATCTCAGCCTACGCCCAGGAATGAACAAGGGTGGCTTGGAGGTTAAAGGTAAAATGGAATTGGTTATGTTAGATCCCTTTCACTCTCATAATTTTTTTAATTTGAGACAGAGTCTTACTCTATCACCTAGGCTGGAATGCAGTGGTGTGATCTCAGCTCACTGCAACCTCCGTCTCCTGGGTTCAAGTGATTCTCCTGCCTCAGCCTCCCAAGTAGCTGGGATTACAAGCATGCACCACCAAGCCTGGCTAATTTTTGTATTTTTTTAGAGATAAGGTTTCACCATGTTGAGAAGGCTGGTGCTGAACTCCTGACTTCAAGTGATCTGCCCACCTCAGCCTCCCAAAGTGCTGGGATAACAGGCGTGAGCCACTGCCCACTCTCATTTTTGCAAATGCAGTTTTAACTTAATCATTTTCAGCTGGCAATTTCCAGTGACTGCCTCAGAACTCCCTAGCTGGGTTATTATTTTAGAAATGATTCTCAGTGGTACAGCCTAGAGACCATTTTAGTCTATTTTGTTTACATTTAATCAATCTCCTTAATTAAATCTCTTCATGCCAATAATATCTACAGTGGTTTCTATTTTATGCATCAAACTCTGACCAATATGGCCATCCACCCAAAGAAAATGTTATAAGATCTGGGAAATTGAAAGAGAAAATATGTAGACAAAAGGTAATGTTGCCTTCTTCCAGCTAATTCTGAATTCAAAGTACTTTTACTGCTTTTAAGATCAACTTGATTATTCAAGATATGTCCAATAAGTTCATATCGCAGTGAATTCTGTTTCTTCTTTTTTCTAAATCTCTAAGAAGGGTGAAAATATGCGTGTACATTACTTAACTAAAAAATAATAAATGGGGTCAGGCCGAGTGGCTCATGCCTGTAATCCCAGCACATTGGGAGGCAGGCAGATCATGAGGTCAGGAGTTCAAGACCAGCCTAGCCAATATGGTAAAACCCCCTCTCTACTAAAAGTGCAAAAATTAGCAGGGTGTGGTGGTGCATGCCTGTAGTCCCAGCTAGTCAGGATGCTGAGGCAGCAGAATCACTTGAACCTGGGAGGCAGAGGTTGCAGTAAGTCGAGATCGCACCACTGCACTCCAGCCTGGGCAACAGAGCAGGACTCCATTTCAAAAAATAAATAAATAAATAAATAAATAAATAAATAAATAAATAAATAAATAATAAAAGAGACAGGGTTCAGGACATACCACCTTAAAAACTGACTGTAGGAGAATACAGCACTCTAAATTTACCTTGTTAGCATAAAGATTATTTTGAGCTGATTATTTTGCAAAACAGCAGAAACAAGGGAAGCTCTGAAAACAGAGATGTTACCCTTTTGTAAGAGAATTTATACATCTGTAAAGGAAATCGCCATTTGTAAGGACAGCTTCCTCTCTGCATTCTAAAATCACTTGAAACTAATCAATGAAGAAGGCATTGGCATAAGTCTACACAACAAACCTTGCTCTTGTTTACCAGGATTTTCCTGGCCATTATGTCATAATTGAGTCTCCTCCACACCATTGATTTAATTCAGAAAACCATAGTATTTAAGCCTGAAGTGAAAGTCACCTCTTAGAGATTTACCCATTTCTCTGGATTATCTCCCATGTATATAGGAGATGTATGTGTTAATAAACTTCCGTGTGTTTTACTCTTGTTAATCTGTCTTTTGTTCCTGGAGTCTGGGAACTCCCATCAAAAGAAGCAATCAGGAAATGAGAGGAATAAAAGTAAAGTGTAAAGAATCATTATTCTTCAAGTTTTAAAGAATGTCACATTTCGTGAATTGAAATGTGGTTATTAAATCCCACCAACAAATTCCAGAAAAATTTAAAAATCTTCAGTTAGTAGAAATGTGTAAGTACAATAAAAGAAAGTATTTCCAGTGTGCAGAATATCAAAATTGGTGATGAATGGGTATGGTTTTTATTTGCCTAGCAGCCTGTGATGCAGTGTGTGTGTGTGTGTTTGTGTGTGTGTGTGTGTGTGTGTGTGTGAGCTGCCTCTCTACTTATTCCCAGTTTCCAGGAGTGGAAACATGGTCCAACCCCAGCCAAAGAGAGACTATCCTGGCGCTTTTCAAAACTGACTTGGAAAGAAGTGCTCACTACCAAGGTTTTGCTCAGCTAGGACTACTGAAGCCTGGTGCTACTCTGTCCATCCGTCATTATGAGGAAAGCAGACACCAAGGAAAGCAGAGCTGAAATAAGGAAAGGAAGCAAAGTGAGGGCAGTACACATTCTGGTGCTTTAGGTCCAACATAACTGAAGAATTTCCAGTGACACTGATAGCACAGGAGTCAGATAAATGCCTAGGGAGATGGGGTGGGTTGCGGGGAAACCCCACCATCATGACAAAGACAGTTTAAAGCCTGAAAGCCAAGCCACAAGTCAAACCCACAGACTGGATTGAGAACCTGTCTTCCCACTTGGTGCACTGGCCTCTGATCACCAACCTTCAACTATTTTACATATACTTACCCTTCCCCAATTGGTTTTTTACACAGCCATGCACACCTTTGAGTGATGCCTTTGTTTTGAACTTTTTGCATACTCACAAAACAATCAGCATGCACTCCCCTATTCTGAGCCCATAAAAGCCCCAGACTCAGCCACACTGGGAGAGAAACCACCCAATTTGGGGTGGGGTACCACCCCTGCATCCCCTCTGCACTGAGAGCCATTATGTTGCTCAGTACAATTCTTCTACACCCTCCTCACCCTTCAATTGTCAGAATATCCTCATTCTTCTTCAATGCAGAACAAGAACTCGGGAACCACCAAATGCAGGTATGAGCTATAACACAGCCATATGTGCAAGTCAGGCACAGACTGGGTGCGCTGAGGGGGCAGGTCACCTCCTGCAGCAGGTAGTATGCCCAAACGAGGCCTGGGTGGGGGGGGGGGGGGGTCACCAACAGGAGGTCCCTGCTGGCAAAATGACTGAGAAAAATCCTGCATCATTTTCTGGAAGCTCATCCAGGATCATCAGAAGGGTGAGTAAATGTGGACCTATGATGCTTCTCTTTTTCCCAAGGTTTCTCATCCTCAGACTATCTTCTGAAGGCAGATGAAGCACCAATCCTCTGATTAGCCAATTAAGGGCAAATGGTGCAGCTACAGAGCAATGCTGGGGAGGAACCTGCCACACTCACCCCTGCTCTGTTGCACTCGGGTGTAGGGAATCCTGGCTTTTTTTCCCTTCACAAAGGTCTTGCCATCATCAGGGATCAGAATAAGGTCCTGGGGCAACTGAAGGCATCCAGCCAAGGGCACACCTTGATGTTGCCTGAAGTTCCCAGACCAGCTCCAGTTCCCAACCACCTGTTAGGGTGTCAACCAAGACTTTGCTGTGGCATTTCCCTTCTTTCTTTCATGGATTGTAATGGCTCCTATCTCTTCTTTTATAACATTAAGGGTGCTGTTGCAAACTACAGAGATATTACTGGGTAGGATGGGTACATGGCCCAGTCATAAAAATGTAATTCAGAACAATGTGGTTTCCATCTATTCTTGGAGGCAGCGAGGAGGCAGTGATTAAGAGTTTTTTTTCCCCATTGAAGGAACTCATTTGCATAAGAGCAAGAGGCTTTTTCCTCCAGGTGCCTACCCTTTCCTTGACTTAATCTGTTTTTTTTTTTTGTCGTTGTTTCACCATGTCAGGAGTTAACACAGACCTGCAAATACAGAGAGCTTTCCTATGCGAGAGGTTTTTTTTTCTTTCTTCCTTTTGGGAGGCACCTTACTGGGCCACATCCCCAAATCTTGGGACTCCCTTTCTCTCCCTTGTTAGAGGAGGATGTGGTTCCACAGCTTCACCTTAGCAGTCTGCAGAGAAACAATGGCAGAGAAACAATGGAGGAATGGCCCAGGCTGCCACTGCCAGTCACTGACTGCAGTTTTGCAAGGCCCACATGGGAGTCAATTTAATGAGTCCATGCACCCTCCCGGGGCACTTTGTTATCCCAAACTCAATTCCAACCTTCAGGTTGAAGCCCCAGAAAAGAAAACTAGGTCTTAGATCAGACAACAGCAGAAGTCTAGGGGCACAGCACAGGCAAGTACGACTAATTCCTGCCAATTAGGCACCTCCCCCCAGCTTCATGGAAGGAGGTTATGTGTGTATCCAAGGCATAAATGAGGTCTAGGGGACTCGAAGGTTACCAACAGCAAGAGGACAGGCCAGTGCAGATATTCCTACCCTCTAGGCTTCCCTGCTACATGGGTGAAGGCCATATTGGGACCCATGGGCAGCACCTGTCAAGGTTGGTGAAACGTGGGGCTACAAGGATGGAAGAAAAAAGGGGATGCACTTTTTTTCCTCTCCCACATGTACCCTGGGTACTTGCTGGAAAGAGAAATTAAGGGATGCCTTTTTCCCCTCTTTCCAGATGGGTAAAAACCATTTTCAGTCTGTACTTCTCTCCAGTGCATCCTGAATCATTGGAACTCCTTTGAAAAAAAAAAAAAAAAGCCTTTTTTCTGTTTCCTTGTCTGTCCTCCCTTTGTGGATGGTTAATCGTGTCTCCATACCACAGGAACCTCCCATTCACATGTATCCCCAAACTGGGATAAGTATAATTTCCCGAAACCTTAAACTGTTTGGCCTAAAAATGAACCAGGAAGAAATTACAGTTCTAACCGAAAAATCTCTTGAAGAAGGACAACATCTACAGTATGTAGATAACCTCTCTGTCTGCTTCCCCTTCACAGGACTCCAGATAGGACTCCATAGCTCAGGGGAAGGGAACTCAGAAATCTGACATGCTGGCAGAAGGGTAAAAGTTCTTACCAGTGACACTTCCAGCGTCCCTCTCTCTGTAAAAACAGGATGAATGAATGGTAAAACAAAAAAAGAAAAAGAAAAAGAAAAAAAAATCAATGTTTATATAATCTGTAAAGATTTGATTAATGGAAAAAAAGATTTGTGAGGCTAGTCTTAACCTGTAGCTAATCTGGTATACATTGTGTCTTTCTGTATAGTTCTGTCATAAGGTGGAATACCTTAGAATAAAACCTGGGCTTAGGATCCCATAAGCCTGCTGTTCAAGCAGGCCAGAAAACTGGATAGTTACAAACTTTGCTACAGGTCTCAGAAGAAAAACAAAAACAAAAACAAAACAACACTGGATGAGGTCTCCATCTTGTTTTACATCCCTGGGAGCTTAACCTTGTAACCACATGGAAGTATTTTCTCTTGCTCTCTGCCATTTTACAATGGCATCCCATGTTCAGTCCTGCCTTAGGGAATGAGTACTTTCTGGCTAATATCTGTGTGACTTTTTTTTTTTTCTTTTTGAGACAGAGTCTCACTCTGTCACCCAGGCTGGAGTGCAGTGGCATGATCTCGGCTCACTGCAAGCTCCGCCTCCTGGGTTCACACCATTCTCCTGCCTCAGCCTCCCGAGTAGCTGGGACTACAGGAGTCCACCACCACGCTCGGCTTATTTTTTGTATTTTTAGTACAGATGGGGTTTCACTGTGTTATCCAGGATGGTCTCGATCTCCTCACCTTGTGATCCGCCCGCCTCAGCCTCCCAAAGTGCTAGGATTACAGGCGTAAGCCACCGCGCCTGGCCCTATCTGTGTAACTTTTACATTGACTTATTCTGTTCTCATCCATCCACAACTTCTAGCTTCCTTTTTTAAATCTTCCTTTCTGCCTCTGCCTCTGCCTCTCCCTCTCCGTCTCCCCACGGTCTCCCTCTCCCTCTCTTTCCGCAGTCTCCCTCTGATGCCGAGCCGAAGCTGGACTGTACTGCTGCCATCTCGGCTCACTGCAACCTCCCTGCCTGATTCTCCTGCCTCAGCCTGCCGAGTGCCTGCGATTGAATGGTTTTCATATTTTTTTTGGTGGAGACGGGGTTTTGCTGTGTTGGCCGGGCTGGTCTCCAGCTCCTAACCGTGAGTGATCCGCCAGCCTCGGCCTCCTGAGGTGCCGGGAGTGCAGACGGAGTCTCGTTCACTCAGTGCTCAATGGTGCCCAGGCTGGAGTGCAATGGCGTGATCTCGGCTTGCTACAACCTCCACCTCCCAGCCGCCTGCCTTGGCCTCCCAAAGTGCCGAGATTGCAGCCTCTGCCCGGCTGCCACCCCATCTGGGAAGTGAGGAGCATCTCGGCCTGGCCGCCCATCGTCTGGGATGTGAGGAGACCCTCTGCCTGGCTGCCCAGTCTGGAAAGTGAGGAGCGTCTCTGCCCGGCTGCCATCCCATCTGGGAAGTGAGGAGCGCCTCTTCCTGGCCGCCATCCCATCTGGGAAGTGAGGAGCGTCTCTGCCCGGCGCCCATCGTCTGAGATGTGGGGAGTGCCTCTGCCCCGCCGCCCCGTCTGGGATGTGAGGAGCGCCTCTGCCCGGCCGCGACCCCGTCTGGGAGGTGAGGAGCGTCTCTGCCCGGCCGCCCCATCTGAGAAGTGAGGAGCCCCTCCGCCCGGCAGCCGCCCCGTCTGAGAAGTGAGGAGCCCCCCCGCCCGGCAGCCACCCCGTCTGGGAAGTGAGGAGCGTCTCCACCCGGCAGCCACCCTGTCCGGGAGGGAGGTGGGGGTCAGCCACCGCCAGGCCAGCCGCCCCGTCCGGGAGGGAGGCGTGGGGGTCAGCCCCCCGCCCGGCCAGCCGCCCCATCCGGGAGGGAGGTGGGGGGGTCAGCCACCCGCCCGGCCACCCGCCCCGTCCGGGAGGTGAGGGGCGCCTCTGCCCGGCCGCCCCTACTGGGAAGTGAGGAGCCCCTCTGCCCGGCCAGCCGCCCCGTCCGGGAGGGAGGTGGGGGGGTCAGCCCCCCGCCCGGCCAGCCGCCCCGTCCAGGAGGGAGGTGGGGGGATAAGCCCCCCGCCCGGCCAGCCGCCCCGTCCGGGAGGTGAGGGGCGCCTCTGCCTGGCCGCCCCTACTGGGAAGTGAGGAGCCCCTCTGCCCGGCCAGCTGCCCCGTCTGGGAGGGAGATGGGGGGGTCAGCCCCCCGCCTGGCCAGCTGCCCTGTCCGGGAGGTGAGGGGCGCCTCTGCCCGGCCGCCCCTACTGGGAAGCGAGGAGCCCCTCTGCCCGGCCACCACCCCATCTGGGAGGTGTACCCAACAGCTCATTGAGAACGGGCCAGGATGACAATGGCGGTTTTGTGGAATAGAAAGGGGGGAAAGGTGGGGAAAAGATTGAGAAATCGGATGGTTGCCGTGTCTGTGTAGAAAGAAGTAGACAAGGGAGACTTTTCATTTTGTTCTGTATTAAGAAAAATTCTTCTGCCTTGGGATCCTGTTGATCTGTGACCTTATCCCCAACCCTGTGCTCTCTGAAACAAGTGCTGTGTCCACTCAGGGTTAAATGGATTAAGGGCGGTGCAAGATGTGCTTTGTTAAACAGATGCTTGAAGGCAGCATGCTCCTTAAGAGTCATCACCACTCCCTAATCTCAAGTACCCAGGGACACAAACACTGCGGAAGGCCACAGGGTCCTCTGTCTAGGAAAACCAGAGACCTTTGTTCACTTGTTTATCTGCTGACCTTCCCTCCACTATTGTCCTATGACCCTGCCAAATCCCCCTCTGCGAGAAACACCCAGGAATGATCAATAAAAAAATAAATAAATAAAAAAATAAATAAATAAATCAATAAAAAATAAAAAATAAATAAATAAATAAATCTTCCTTTCTGTGAGCCACATTTAGAGATTCTAGATTTTTAAAAAACTGCTTAACATCTCTTTGAAAATAATTCATAATACTTGTGGTTAAGTCATAACCTTAGTTGAGGTTTGTTAGTTTCACCTGTGAGGTTGCTTTTGGTAAAGTTCAAAAGCCAGAAATATTGGCGGCTTGACCAACTCAAGTAATAAGGGATTTGAAAATATTTTTTAAAAGAGCACCATGGTTAAAAGTCAGCTTATATTAAAAGTGGAGAGGCTGCGTGTGGTGGCTCACGTCTGTAATCCTAGCACTTTGGGAGGCCGAGGCGGGTAGATTGCATGAGCTCAGGAGTTTAAGACCAGCCTGGCCAACATGTCAAAATCCTGTCTCTACTACAAACACAAAAAATTAGCTGGGCATGGTGGCATGCACCTGTAATGTAAGCTACTTGGGAGGCTACCTCTTGAACTCAAGAGGTAGAAGTTGCAGTGAGCTGAGATTGTGCCACTGCATTCCAGCCTGAGCAACAGAGTGAGACTCTGTCTGAAACAAAAAAAAATTGGATATCCTAGCTATAGGTATATTTAAAACACCTTTATGTCTTTTTTTTCTCTTCTTGGATCTTGTTTGGTTGGAAAAAGGTTTTTGTCTTCTCAGTTGACTTAATTTTTTTTTCACTCTTAATGCACACATGAGAAGCCTAAGATAATTTCTGATAGCCTGGGATTCCTTGGGAAAAACAGAGAAGGCACCACAGAACCCATTTTGGGAAAAATGTTTTCCTCAGGGAACTCTAACTAATAATTAAAGTCAGATAGATCCCTCTCAAAATCTGTTTTTGTCTTCAAGCTGTACCTACTTATTAGGCCCTAGAAACGGCATGTTTTCCTACCGGTTTTTTGAAGAGCTCAACCCGAGTCCAGTAACCCAATTAGGAGATTGGCAAGTGAAAAATCTGTCAGGGCCAGGTGGCTGACACCTGTAATCCTGGAACTTTCAGAGGCTGAGGTGGGTGGATCACCTGAGGCCAGGAGTCTGAGACCACCGTGGCCAACACGGTGAAACCCCATCTCTACTAAAAATAGAAAAATTAGCTAGACATGGTGATGGGTGCCTGTAATCTCAGCTACTCAGAAGGCTGAGGCAGGAGAATCACTTGAACTCAGGAGGTGGAGTTTGCAGTGAGCTGAGATCACATCACTGCTCCCCAGCCTGAGCGACACAGCAAGACTGTGTCTCAAAAAAAAAAAAAAATCTTATAACTAGTGGATCTTCTTCTGTCTGTGTAGTTATGCATGTGATATGTATGTGATGTTTATATAAAAAAGAGCTCCAATTAATTGGATTAAGTAAAAATAAGCACTTAGATCAAATATTTTTAAAGAAAAAATAGAAGCTGTAATCCCTTTTAGTTCATGTGACTTTAATCTTTGAGAAATAAAAAAAGTCTTAAAGGTTATATGACAAATGTCTTCAAAATGTAAATATGTGGTCTAAATTATGCAGGTCAAATACTTGGATTACTAAATACTTTAAGGTCAAAAACTGCTTCTTTGGCTTTTGAAAGTTGTTAAGACTTGCCTGCTTTACAGTTTAAGGCCTGGGGACATATGGATTTAACTGTACCCCTAACTATGCTGGAAAGACACCTTACCTGTGCCTAGTACATAATTAAAATAACTAACCAGGTTTTACATTAACACTAAAAATATCTAAGAGTTACCATTATAACATGTAACGGAGGCTACCGAAAATAGATTTACATGGAAGGTGTAAGAGAAAAGTAAAATATGTTTTTAGTAAAAGATTATAAGAAGGCATGGGAATGTAAATTTTTGCCTAGAGGGTTAAAGGATTGTTTTAAATTAAAGGTTTGAACAAGTTGTGGAAGGTCTGTAAAAATTAACTTTGTAAAAGAAATCTTGTGTGTAAATGTATTGACTAAATTCAAGAGTATTATTTGGTTTTTCCACAAATAGAACATGGGAATAAAAGGAAAACAAGGTTTTCTAAAGGCACTGATCTGCTCTTTAACAAAAATGTGTAAAGAGTTATAAAAGGCTTATAAGAGGATGGGCGCAGTGGCTCATGCCTGTAATCCCAGCACTTTGGGAGGCTGAGGTGGTCGGATCGCCCAACCCCATGTCAGGAGTTCGAGACCAGCCTGGCCAACACAGCGAAACCCCATCTCTACTAAAAATACAAAAATTAGCCAAGTATGGTGGTGGGTGCCTGTAATCCCAGCTACTCAAGAGGCTGAGGTAGAAGAACTGCTTGAACCAGGGAGGCGGAGGTTGTAGTGAGCTGAGATCGTGCCACCGCACTCCAGCCTGGGCAACAGATCGAGACTCTGTCTCAAAAAAAAAAAAAAAAAAATGGTTTATAAGAATCTCACCTGACAGATGAACAGGTTAAGATTTGATAGAATTACCTATAAGGTTTTTTGTTGTTGTTTTTGAGGCAGAGTCTCACTCTGTCACTACCCAGGCTGGAGTGTTGTGGTACAATCTCACTGCAACCTCCGCCTACTGGGTTCAAGTGATTCTCCTGTCTCAGATTCCTGAGTAGCTCGGATTACAGGTGGGTACCACCAGGCCCAGTTAATTTTTGCATTTTTAATAGAGACAAGGTCTGTCCATGTTGGCCAGGCTGTTCTCGAACTCCTGGTCTCAAATGATCCCCTGCCTTTGTCTCCCAAAGTGCTGAGATTACAGGTGTGAGGCACCACCCCCAGCCTATAAGGTTTCGTTTTTTAAAAATTAAGGCTGACATTAATAGAAGACTAATGTAAGGGTGGAATTTGGCTTTCTCTCTCTTAAACAAGATTTTCACGTAATATAATTAAAGGATAATGAAAGACTTTTGTTTGTCTTGCAAATAAGCTACTGAAAAAAAAAGGAAGGGAGATACAAGAGACAGACTGTTTGGAAACCTAAGTCTTCCCTCTAAATGAGTAAAGGTTTTTGCTTTTTAAAAAAATTTTTGGGCTGACTCTCTTTTTGGACTCAGCTCGCCTGCACCCAGGTGATTAAAAAGCTTTATTGCTCACACAAAGCCTGTTTGGTGGTCTCTTCACATGGACGTGAGTGAAATTTGGTGCCATGACTCAGATCGGGGGACCTCCCTTGGGAGATCAATCCCCTGTCCTCCTGCTCTTTGTTCTGTGAGAAAGATCCACCTACGACCTCTGGTCCCCAGACCAACTAGCCCAAGGAACATCTCACCAATTTTAAATCCAGTAAGTGGCCTCTTTTTACTCTCTTCTACAACCTCTCTCACTATCCCTCAACCTCTTTCTCCTTTAAATCTTGGCGTCACACTTCAGTCTCTCCCTTCTCTTAATTTCAGTTCCTTTCCTTTTCTGGTAGAGATGAAGGAGACACGTTTTATCCGTGGACCCAAAACTCCGGCGCCAGTCAAGGACTGGGGAAGACAGTCTTCTCTTGGTGTTTAATCACGCGGAGACGCCTGCCTGATTATTCACCTAAGTTTCAGAGGTGTCTGACCATGCAGGGACGCCTGCCTTGGTCCGTCACCCTTAGCAGCAAGTACCGCTTTTCTGGGGGGCAAGAACCCCCCAACCCCTTCTCTCCGTGTCTCTACCCCTTCTCCACTTTTCTGGCGGGCAAGAACCCCCCAACCCCTTCTCCTTCACCCTTAGCAGCAAGTACCACTTTTCTAGGGGGCAAGAACCCCTCAACCCCTTCTCCTTCACTCTTAGTGGCAAGTACTGCTTTTCTAGGGGGCAGGAACCCCCCGACCCCTTCTCTCTGTCTTTACCCCTTCTCTGCTTTTCTGGGGGTCAAGAACCCCCCACCCCTTCTCTCCGTGTCTCTACTCTCTCTTTTCTCTGGGCTTGCCTCCTTCACTATGGGCAAGCTTCCACCCTCCATTCCCCCTTCTTCTCCCTTAGCCTGTGTTCTTAAAAACCTAAAACCTCTTCAACAAACACCTGACCTAAAACCTAAATGCCTTATTTCCTTCTGCAATGCCACTTGACCCAATACAAACTCAACAGTGGTTCCAAATAGCGAGAAAATAGCACTTTCAATTTTTCCATCCTATGAGATCTAAATAATTCTTGCCGTAAAATAGGCAAACGGTCTGAGGTGCCTGACGTCCAGGCATTCTTTTACACGTCGGTCCCTCCCTAGTTTCTGTTCCCAATGCAACTTGTCCCAAATCTTCCTTCTTTCTCTCCCGCCTGTCCCCTTAGTCCCAACCCCAAGCATCGCTGAGTCTTTCTAATATTCCTTTTCTACAGACCCATCTGACCTCTCCCCTCCTCGCCAGGCTGAGCTAGGTCCCAATTCTTCCTCAGCCTCTGCTCCTCCACCCTATTATCCTTTTTATCACCTCCCCTCCTCACACCAGGTCCGGCTCACAGTTTCGTTCTGAGACTAGCCCTCCCCCACCTGCCCAGCAATTTCCTCTTAAAAAGGTGGCTGGAGCTAAAGGCACAATCAAGGTTAATGCTCCTTTTTCTTTATCCCAAATTAGAGAGCATTTAGGCTCTTTTTCAACAGATATAAGAACCCAGCCCAGTTCATGGCTCATTTAGCAGCAACCCTGAGACGCTTTACAGCCCTAGACCCTAAAAGGTCAAAAGGACGTCTTATTCTCAATATACATTTTATTATCCAATCTGCTCCCGACATTAAATAAAACTCCAAAAATTAAATTCCAGCCCTCAAACCCCACAACAGGACTTAATTAACCTCGCCTTCAAGGTGTACAATAATAGAGTAGAGGCAGCCAAGTAGCAACATATTTCTGAGTTGCAATTCCTTGCCTCCACTGTGAGACAAACCCCAGCCACATCTCCACACACAAAAACTTCCAAATGCCTAAACCACAGTGGCCAGGCATTCCTTCAGGCCCGCCTCCCCCAGAAGCTTGCTACAAGTGCCAGAAATCTGGCCACCAGGCCAAGGAATGCCCACAGCCCAGAATTCCTCCTAAGCTGCGTCCAATCTGTGCAGGACCCCACTGAAAATCGGACAGTTCAACTCACCTGGCAGCCACTCGCAGAGCCCCTGGCTCTCTGACTGACTCCTTCCCAGATCTTCTCGGCTTAGTGGCTGAAGACTGACACTGCCCGATCACCTTGGAAGCCCCCTAGACCATCACAGACGCCGAGTTTCAGGTAACTCTCACAGTGAAAGGAGAAATTTGAACTAAGATGGAAAGGCTCATGGCAGGCCCTCAGAACCTAGATCAGGGATGGACCTTTTCTGCTGTCCAGAGTCTCCTGTTGTTGTTCTTCAGATCACCAGACTGGACCCTTTGGATACTGACAGCAGCTCAGCTTGGGCCCAGCACTATTCACAATGGCAAGGACTTGGAACCAACCCAAATGCCCATCAATTATAGACTAGGTAAAGAAAATGTGGCACATATACATCATGGAATACTATGCAGCCATAATAAAGGATGAGTTCATGTCCTTTGCAGGGACATGGATGAAACTGGAAACCATCATTCTCAGCAAAGTAACACAAGAAGAGAAAACCAAACACCGCATGTTCTCACTCATAAGTGGGATTTGAACAATGAGAATACATGGACACAGGGAGGGGAACATCACACACTGAGGCCTGTTGAGGGGTGGAGGGCTTGGGGAGGGATAGCATTAGGAGAAATACCTAATGCAAATGACGAATTGATGGGTGCAGCAAACCAACATGGGACATGTACACGTATGTAACAAACCTGCATGTTGTGCCTATGTACCCCAGAACTTAAAGTATAATAATAAAAAAAGAATGGATCGTATGATTAAAGAAATAAAGATATATAACATTAAAATTTTGAGCCATCATTTTAGGTAAATAAATGATTTATGATAACCTGGAATTCTATTTCATAATATCAAGTGTTCTAAATCTTTAACATATTTGATAGGCTTCCCAAAATCAAACTTCAACTTCAAAATTCTCTTTCCTGACTCCCAACTTTTAGCTGCTACAGAGGGCCCCTGAAGCACCCAAAAGAGAAATAAACAGGATTATCTGACATGTTTAGTTACACAGCATTGTCAAAATAAAAATTATGTTTAACTTCTTCAGGTTATATTTTAGTATATCATATTAAAATATGTTCCAAAATTGTATTGGATTTCTAAAATTCTAATGTTTGAGTATATGCTATCAATCATAATTAGAGTTACTATGTTAAGTTATTATAAACCACAATAATAACCAAATTTCTTTGTTAATCCTGTTTTTGACTGTAACTACCCTGGACATTTTGTTATTCAGAGACAACTGTTGTCTTGTTTTGATCCTTTTCAAAAGATGGTTTATAATCAGCTATAGGACTTTGACACGTGCTCTTAAATAAAGGTTTCTGATAACTTGGGAGATTGTGACATTGGAATAGAGGAAAACAATATAGGATTCATGAAGAGCTGAATTGCAGAATAAGAGTTAACAAAATGGACTGAACTAATAGAAAACTGAAGTAATCCTTTTTAATTTTTTGCTTAAAATGTTGCTGAACCTTTTGTTTTTCAAAGCCAGGAAAACTTTTATTTTCAGCTATTTACAACTTTTAACAATTGAGTAAGGTATACTCCTGCAAACAAAATTTGGAGCATATTTGTTTCTCTCTGCCTGGTTTCTCCAAAATTTGGAAGCTAGATGCAAATATTCTTAACTTATAGCAATATAATGTTCTGCATAAGCGCAATAAGAATCCATTTTCTTTTGCAACAAGATGCAATTGGAGAAACTGGTTCTTTTACCAAGGCTTTTACTAAAAGGGTGTGGTTCCCTCTAGGGAATCAAGCTTGACTTGCAGAGGCAATAAAGCTTGCAAGTTTTCCCTCAGGAAAGCTTGCCTCATGCCTTGTCTACACAATCTCCATACAGGTTTGGTGAGTTAGAAATGTCACTTTCTAACAGGGCTAGGAGCCCCAAGTCATCTTGGGCCCTCAAGAAGAGAGAAATGTACCCAATTCATAGGTATTTAAGAGTACAAACCCATGGCTGGGCTGGGCTTTAAAAAGTGTCAACTGAGCTTCCTTAGAGAACAGGGTTTCATCAGAGCCAATTTTTAAAAGCCTATGTGAAAATAATTATTCTTGCTGCACTTTATGCAAATAATCAGGCCAAGTATGAAACTAAACTCAGTTTTGCAAACAATTCAGTCCTATCATGATTTGTTTTAACAAAAATGAGGACTGGAGAGAGAGCAATTATGTTTCAAAACTTATACACTTGTCATTCTATTCTAGTCTCATTATTAGTAGTTTTTAAGTTTTTGTCTGCATTTTAGACTAACCCTGCTTATTCCTGTGAACTAACCAGTGATCTCTGGCTGCAGTTCAGAAGAGAAAAAAGGGATGGGTAATGTAAAAATCTGAAACAATTTTTAAGTTCTGGGCAATCATTCTGCAAGTCCTGCCAGGTGACAGGAGTAAATAGGGTGTCTATAACCCAGCAGTTTCGTTTTTGGGAAAATAAGACCAAAGGAGCTAACCAAAGCTAAGCCCATGCACTCAAATCTTAGCAGGCATAACCATAGCCCCCAGTTATCTGGGCGTGTCAGCAGCCTCAGGATTTTGGAGCTGCCCTTATCCCCCCTCTTTTGTTTTGTTTTGATACATGTCCTCTTTTTTTCTTTTTTTCAAGATGGAGTCTTGCTTGCTCTGTCACCCAGGCTGGAGTACGATGGCGCAATTTCATCTCACTGCAACCTCCGCCCCCTGGGTTCAAGCAATTCTCCTGCCTCAGCCTCCTAAGTAGCTGGGATTACAGGCACATGCCACCACGCCCAGCTAATTTTTTGTATTTTTAGTAGAGATGGGGTTTCTTTTTTTGTTTGTTTTTGAGATGGAGTCTTGCTCTGTCGCCCAGGCTGGAGTGCAGTGGCGTGATTTTGGCTCACTGCAAGCTCTGCCTCCCAGGTTCACGCCATTCTCCTGCCTCAGCCTCCCGAGTAGCTGGGACTACAGGCACCCACAACCACGCCTGGCTGATTTTTTGTATTTTTAGTAGAGACAGGGTTTCACCATGTCAGCCAGGATGGTCTCGATCTCCTGACCTCGTGATCTGCCTGCCTCGGCCTCCCAAAGTGCTGGGATTACAGGCGTGAGCCACCGCGCCTGGCCAAGACGGGGTTTCACCATGTTGGCCAGGCTGGTCTCAAACGCCTGACCTTATGATCCGCCTGTCTCAGGCTCCCAAAGTGTTTGGATTACAGGCATGAGCCACTGTGCCTGGCCTGACATATGTCTTCTAATATGTCTCTTCTTGACTTCAGGTTATCAAACTCCAAACTGTAATGCAACCGCAGCTTCAGACAATGGCTCCCTTTTACCGGGGACCCTTAAATAGGCCTCTGAGGGAGATCTGACTGCCATCTTCCCAAAACAGCGGCCCCTGTCAGCAGGAAGCAGTTAAGTTCAGTCTTCATTTCTATTCTAATGGCAGTTAGATGTACCTCCTCAGAGAGGGGAATGGATAGCAGCAGGAGGCAGAAAAATGCCTAGGCAGACAGGGACAGGTAACTGGTGAAACCCCACCTCCAAGCCAAAGACAATTTAAAGCCTAAGAACCAAGTTATAAGTCAAATCCATGAACCAGATTAAGAACCTGTCTTCCAGTTTGGCATGCTTTCCTCTGATTTACCCCTACCCTTCACCTACTTTACATACACCTACCCCTTCCCTAATGGGTTTTTTACAGTCATGCCCACCTTTGATTCATGCCTGTGTTTTAATCTTTTTTGCATATTCACAAACCAGCACGTACTCCCCTATTCTGAGCCCATAAAAGCCCTGGACTCAGCCACACTGGGAAAGAAACCGCCCAACTTCAAGTGGGGGACCACCCCCATGTCCTGCCTCTATTGAGAGCTCTTCTCTTGCTCAATACAATTCTTTTCCGCCCTCCTCACCCTTCAATTGTCAGAGTACGCGCATTCTTCTTGGACACAGGACAAGAACTTAGGGACCGCTGTATGTGGGTACGAGCTATAACACAGGGGGGCTGGGGCCCAGCCTGGGTGGGTCGAAGGGCAGGCCACCTCCTAGGGGCAGGTAGTGTGCCCCACCAAAGCCTGGAGGGGGCATCACCAGCCAGAGGTCTCCAGCTGGCAAAGTGACCAAGAAAAATCCTGCATCAACATCAGACAAAATAGTGTCCAGTTATTTAAAGACATTTGAACTGAGTTTTTTGTGCTTGAGTCTGAAAGAGGCCTGGCAAATACAAAGTAAAAATCTGTCAACACAAATGTCAGGCCTCTGAGCCCAAGCTAAGCCATCATATCCCCTGTGACCTGCAAGTACACATCCAGATGGCCGGTTCCTGCCTTAACTGATGACATTCCACCACAAAAGAAGTGAAAATGGCCTGTTCCTGCCTTAACTGATGACATTGTCTTGTGAAATTCCTTCTCCTGGCTCATCCTGGCTCAAAAGCTCCCCCAATGAGTACCCTGTGAACCCCACTCCTGCCAATCAGAGAACAACCCCCCTTTGACTATAATTTTACTTTACCTACCCAAATCTTATAAAATGGCCCCATCCTTATATCCCTTTGCTGACTCTCCTTTCGGACTTAGCCCGCCTGCACCCAGGTGATTAAAAGCTTTATTGCTCACACAAAGCCTGTTTGGTGGTCTCTTCACACAGATGTGAGTGAAAACCATTGCACCTCTGAAAGGATTAACAAAATAAAATAAGTATTTGGTTATTCTGCCCCTCCTTAGTTGGTTTACCCAATGAGCTTCTCCCTTGTAAACCAAAAATAAAATTCGGCTGGGGCAGTGGCTCAGGCCTGTAATCCCACCACTTTGGGAGGCGAGGTGGGCAAATCATCTGAGGTCAGTAGTTCAAGACCAGCCTGACCAACAGGGTGAAACCCCATCTCTACTAAAATTACAAAAATTAGCCAGGTGTGGTGGCACATACTTGTAATCACAGCTACTCGGGAGGCTGAGGTTGGAGAATCACTTCAACCCAAGAGGCGGAGGTTGCAGTGAGCTGAGATCATGCCACTACACGTCAGCCTGGGCAACAGAGTGAGACTCTGTCTCAAAAAATATATATATTCTAAACCCTCCAACCAACTGAATGGACCCCTCCTTTTGGCCAAGAGCATTCCAAAGTTAACCTGAGAAACTAGTTCAGGCCATGATGGGAAGGCGGGGTCAGACATGTCTCATTATTCTGTCCTCCCTTCTGGAATTTAGGTACAGCTGACCAGCATTAACATTAACATAGAGATTTTACATCTGACAAAACAGACTGTTTGTAGCCTAAGATACCAACATGACAAGGAGCAGGTTCTGCAAGAAACTAAAGATTTTATCCCAAAATATATTTCTTGACATATTTTGAAATGGCCCTGCAAAGCTGTCTCTTGTGGGGAAAATCTACATTCTACAGAGAATCCTCTTCCCTTTCCAAGTACTTTCCCTGATTCAGAAGGGAATTAACTAACTCTGGCACCTTTTTAAAGTCTGATAAGAAACAGTTACAAGGTTGGGCACAGTGGCTCACGTCTGTAATCCCAGAACTTTGGGAGGCCGAGGACTCCCAAACTCTGTAAAATATTTGAAGAGATTTATTCCGAGCCAAATATGAGTGACCATGGCCCCGTGACACAGCTCTCAGGAGGTCCTCAGAACATGTGCCCAAGGTGATTGGGGCACAGTTTGGTTTTATACATTTTAGGGAGGCATGAGACATCAATCAAATACATTTAAGAAATACATTGGTTTAGTCCTGAAAGGTAGGACAATTCAAAGTTGGGGCTTCCAGGCTATAGGTAAATTTAAACATTTTCTGATTTACAATTGGTTGAGTTTATCTAAAGACCTGAGATCACAGAAAGGAAATGTTCAGGTTAAGATAAAGGATTGTGGAGACCAAGGTTCTTTTGAAGTTTTATTGTGGCTGCCCTCAGAGACAACAGATGACAAACGTTTCCTATTCAGATCTTTAAAAGGTGCTAGACTTTAAGTTAATCTTTTTAGGATTGGGAGGGCCTGGAAGTAAAAGATCTAGCTATGTTAATAGAGATTCTTTACTGATGCAAATTTTCCCCCACAAAAGACAGATTTGCAGGGCCATTTCAAGATATGGCAAAAAAACATGTTTTGGGATAAAATATTTTGCTTTTCTTCCTTGTCATGTAATGTTATTCCAGAGTCAGGGTGAAAAGTAAGTCTCGATATATAGGGTTAAATAAAACCCATCTGATGAGAATTTATGGTTTGTAGGGCATGACTCCCCAGAACTCTTAGATAGGAATTTGGGCAAGATAAAAAAATCAGAATTTACTCCTCAGTAGCAACACATGACAGATAGCAGGTCCTGAAATAAACTGAAGTGTTTTACTACAAAACATATTTTTTTGACATATTTTGAACTAGCCCTGCAAAGCTATTTCTTCTGGGGAAAATCTATATTCTGTAGAGGATCCCCTTCCCTTTCCAGGTTTTTCCTTTTAAGGTCTGACACCTTTTTAGGTCTGATAAGAGACATTTACTATCTGTTCTCTCTGAAGCCTGCTATGTGGGACCTTTATCTGTGTAATAAGAATCTTGGTCTCCACAACCCCTTGTCTTAATCCAGACACTCCTTTCAATTGATCCTAGGTCTTGAGATAGTAACTTAACTCTTTCAACCAATTGCCAGTCAGAAAATCTTTGACTCTCCCTATAACCTGGAAGCCCCCTCCTGCCACAAGTTTCCCAATCCCCCTATATTACGTCTTAAAGTTGTCCTGCCTTTTCAGACCAAAGCAGTGTACGCTTTACATGTACTGAGTGATGTCTGCCTGCAACTTCTGTTCCCCTAAAACTGTACACAATCAAGCTATGACCCGACCACCTTGGGCACATGTTTTCAGGACCTCTTGGGACTGTGCCTCAGGCCTTGGTCACTCACATTTGGCTCGGAATAAATCTCTTAAAATATTTTACAGAGTTTGAGTCTTTTTTTTAAATCAACAGTTCAAATAAATTTTTAAAACTTTTAATGTGCCCAAATTTATCTTTTAACATTACCAGTCTCAGTTTGTGAAAGTCTAGAGTTCTCCCTGTCCATGTCTGTAAATTCTTGAGGCTCATAGTCTCATTTATAGTACCCCCCACCCCACCACCACTCAGACTCTTTGTGTGCAAAGTCTATCTCCATTGCCACAAACTCTCATAAAAAAAATTCATCCTTTCCTCCAATTTTCACAAAAGCACAACACATAAAAGCTTCAGTATCCAATAATCTCTCTTTTTTTGCAAACTTTACTGAAGGTTTGGGTTATAAGGAGTGCTCACATTGTGAACAGTCTTTGCAATCTTCTGCCTCCTCCCCTTCCCCTTTGCTCTACAAAGTGAATTCCTCTCCTTGCTTCCTGTAAAGCTGTTCTGAGCCTTCCCTACAGATCTCTCCTTCCACTCCATCAGCATTTCAAAGCACTTACTCCAGATAAAAACTATGTTTGTGCTAAATAAATCCTGGTGAATAGGATGCCCTCATATCACTACACAAGTAATTACCTGAATCAAAGTACCCTTTAAAGAAAGAAGGCAAATGTATATGGAGAAAAATTATGCTTCAGTGGAATATTACGTATTGTTTAGAGCACAACTTTTCAGGGTATCTGATTCCAATTCACTGTCTTTGAGCTATTTTACAACTCTGTAAATTGCAGATAAATGGTAACAACGCACATAATTCTTACCTATACATGTGCAAATAAATTCTGTCAGGTAGAAGGGCAACCCTCCCTGATTCCCAAGGAAAGAGCCAGTTTTACAGCCTTTGCAAATTTTTCTGAATTCCTGTTTTTTCACTTCTCCTTTGAACTGGCTATAATATCTTTACTGGTTCCCTCATTTAATTAATGTATTAAATAAAATTTTTGACACATGTTCATTTTATAGCTGCATGAGAGTCATTATTTTACCTTTTTTGAAAATTATCTTTCCAGCATATCAAAAAGGGTTCTAGGGCAGGAAATGATAGCACACTCAAAAGGGAAATTGATTAATTAATTAATGAAGGGACTATTTACAGGAGTGTGGGCAGAATTAAACCTCCAGGGCTGGTGAGCACCCAATCAGCAACAGAGAAAAATTAGTACTATCTCTATGGATACTGGACAAGGGTAGGAAGCTATGGCCACACTTAGAGGAACACAAATTATAGCTTGGAAGAAAAGAAGCAGGGGGAAAAAATATGACTTTTCTTTCCTTTTGTCTTCTGAACCTCATGAAGCCAGAGGGTACTGGGGACAAGGTGACACAGTCTAGCTTGTTTTGTATTGCTTTTTCCATTCCTTTCAGTCACATCAGTCCAACATGGATCACAAATTCTCAGTGAATTTACAGGGGCTGGCTCATGTCTGCTATGTAAAAATTTTTTTATAGAAGCTTACAGTATGATTACACTTTATATCTACATGTGTGTCTTAGTCTGTTAGTGGTGCTGTAACAAAATACAGTCTGGATAATTTATAAATGACAGAAATTAGTTTTCTTACAGTTCTAGAGGCTGTGAAGTTCAAGATCAAGATGCCGGAACTCAGTGTCTCATAAGGGCTTTCTTGCTGTGTCCTCATGTAACCATCCAATAGGTTTTTCTTGCCTGCTGACCAGATAGAGCCAATTTATCAAGACAAAGAGTTTAGTGCATGTGGAGCTGGCTAAACAGAAGATGAGTTTTATTACTACTCAAATTAACCTCCTGAAAATTCAGAGGCTAGGGTTTTTTTATAGTTTGGCAGACAGCAGGCTATAGAATGGGGAATGCTGATTGGTTGGGTCAGGAATAAAATTATAGGGAGTCGAAGCTGTCATCTTATGCTGAGTCAGTTTCTGGAGGGGGCCACAAGACCAGATGAGTCATTTTACTTATCTGTGTGGTTCCAGCTGGTCCACTGGAATTCAGGATTTGAAAAATAACTCAAACACCAATGTTAGGTTTTATAATAGCAATGTTATCTATAGGAGCAATTGTGGAGGTTGGTGATCTTGTGGACTCTGGCTGCATGACTCCTGAGCTATAATTTCTAATCTTCTAGTTAATTTGTTAGTTTACTTATTTTTTGAGACAAGGTCTCGCTCTGTCACACAGGCAGAAATGCAGTGGCAGGATCTTGGCTCACTGCAAACTACACCTCCTGGGCTCAAGTGATGCTCCCCACGAAGCACTACAGGCAAGTGCCACCATGCCCAGCTAATTTTGTTCATTTTTTGTAGAGACAAGGTCTATGTTGCCCAGGCTGGTCTCGAACTCCTGGACTTACACAATCCTCCCATTTTGGCCTCCCAAAGTGCTGGGATTACAGGCATGAGCCATTGTGCCCTGCCTAATCTGTTAGTTTAACAAAGGTGGTCTGGTCCCCAGGAAAGCTGGGGATTTGTTTCATGGAAGAGCTCTTATCATCTTTGTTTCAAAGTTTGTAATCTAAATTCCTCCCAAAGTTAGTTTGGCCTATGCCCAGGAATAAACAAGGGCAGCTTGGAAGTGAGAAGCAAGATGGAGTTGGTTAGGTCAGATCTCTTTCACTGTCAAAATTTTCTCACTGTTATAATTTTTCAAAGGCAGTTTCACTCACATGGTAGAAGAGATGGTAGGAACTGACTCACCCCCTCACGCCCTTTTATAAGGCTCTGCCCTCATGACTTAATTCTCTCCTAAAGGCTCCACCTCTTAATACTATCACATTGATAATTAAGTTTCAACATAGAAATTTTAGGGGACACATTCAGACCATAACAACAGAGAAGTAATACAGCTGTTTACTAAAGTCCTCAAAGGTTCTCTCCAGTTTCTGGACTCTAAGTCTTTGACTAAGAAGCAAAAGTTGACACCATTTAATATGTACTTTTATATGCACATTCTCTGTATATTGGTTGAAGCATGGTGAATATACTTTGGAGAAAGGAAAAAGCACTTTATACAACAGTTGATTCCTTCCTGAGGGAAAAAAATCTTGCTAAAATAGTCTCAAGGTTTCTGCTGGGCCTTTGTACTTTCACGCAAATTAATGTTCAGCTGAGCATCTTGACATGCTCAGGCAGAAAGCAGCAAAATTGCAAACAGGGATTGAGGGAGCTGAATAATGCTGTGCATGATAAAGTGACAAGACTTTGGAGCTCAGGGAATAATCTAGAAGGAAGGAGATTAGAAAGGAGGAGGCAACCTGAGAGGCTGGGGTAGAGCTGTGGAAATGTTTGAGGGACTATTTTAAGAATGTGTAATATTCAACTTAAAATTGTTTTCTTCTTTCCAACTTAGGTCCCGCAGAAGAAGGGTGGGAAGAAGAAGGGGGCCATTCAGCCATCAATGAGGTGGTGACACCATCAACATTCCCAAGCACATCCCATTGAAACGGACTTCAGGAAGTGTGCCCCTCGGGCACTCAGCAAAGATATCTGGAAATTTGCCAAGAAAGAGATGGGCACTCCAGATGCGCATACTGATACCAGGTTTGACAAAGCTGTCTGGCCAAAAGAATAATGTCCCATACGGTATCCACATGTGGTTGTCCAGAAAAACATAATGCGAATGAAGATTCACTGATATGTGAAAGGAAAATATCACGGGCCACAAAATCACTGAGCTAAAGGGAAAATTCAAGCTGGGAACTGCTCAAGGCAAACCTGCCTCCCATTCTATTCAAAGTCATCCCTCTGCTGAGACAGATGCATATCTGATTGCTTCCTTGGGAAAGGCTTATCAGAAACTCCAAAGACTGCAACCATTTGTCTCTCACCTACTTATAACCTGGAAGCCTTCCTCCCTGCTTCAAGTTGTCCCACCTTTCCGGCAGGAACCAATGTACTTCTTGCATATAGATTGAGGTCTCCTGTCTCCCTGTATAAAACCAAGCTGTTCACCCCTTGGGCACGTGTTCTCAGGACTTCCTGAGGCTGTGTCACGGGCACGCGTCCTCAACCTTGTCAAGATAAACTTTATACATTAACTGAGACTTGTCTCAAACTTTCGGAGTTCACAAAACTATGTACCCGTTACACTTTCTAAAACCAACAGTCAGTGTGGGAGAACTGCTGATACTCGAATACATCAAATAGTTATAAAACCGCCAAAAACCGTTTTCTCTCAAACTTTTGGTAAAATGTGCTTCAGGGAAAACGCAGATTGGTGGTTCTGATAAAATCTTAATAATGAAATAATTTTAAAAAGCAATAATGGTAAAAATAAATCCCATTTATTATCTGGTATGTCCCCGGCATTGTGCTAACACAGATAGCTCTACTACCCATGTCACAGCAACTGAAACAGATAATATGCTCCTTTTTCAGGTAAAGAGACGGAGGCTCAGAGAGGTTAAACAGCTCACTCAAAGGCACAGAGCCAGTACATGGCAGTACATCTCTTCTCCCGGGGCCGCCGTCGCGGTGATACTATTTAGGGCCACACGTCCCAGTGTTCAGCTTTCGTATTTACGTACTACTGTTTGGCAAGCGGGGACTCCTGAAGCTCTCTGACCCTGGAAAATGCGTGGCTTGCGTCACAGAGGAGCGTTTCTGGAACGCGCTCGCAGCACGACACCGCGGTGTGTGCAAGCGGAACGCCGCCCTGTCCTTGAGCCTTTTGGCTGAGATTGGGAGGGCAGAGGAAGCAGGAAGGTGGGATTTGTTTCAAAAGGGTGCGGGAAGGGGACGCTCCATACCGCCTCGCCTCTTAGTGTCCCCAGTCCCATCACCCGACGTGTACGGGGACGGCCGACACGCTCACCCCACACCTCGCCGGCTGGGGCGGGATCTGGGCGGCGGCTGCGGCCTGGCGCGCGCTCCGCATCTCCTTCCTCGGGAGGCTGGGCGGGACTCCGGCGAGGGGGCGGGCCCCGCAAGCGCCCGCCCCTTTTCTCTCCCCGCCTCCTTCCCGCTCCGCGTCCCGCCCAGCGGCGCAGGGGGCCGGGCTCCGGCTAGGAGGGTGGGGGCCGCGCCGGTGACAGCCGATCCCCGCCCCTGCTGCCCGCCACGTCCCTCACGTACCACTCGGCAGAGGCGCGGGGAAACCTGGCGTACTGGCTGTGGCTTCTCTAGCGGGACTCGGCATGAGGCTGGCGCGGCTGCTTCGCGGAGCCGCCTTGGCCGGCCCGGGCCCGGGGCTGCGCGCCGCCGGCTTCAGCCGCAGCTTCAGCTCGGACTCGGGCTCCAGCCCGGCGTCCGAGCGCGGCGTTCCGGGCCAGGTGGACTTCTACGCGCGCTTCTCGCCGTCCCCGCTCTCCATGAAGCAGTTCCTGGACTTCGGTGAGTGCGGCCCGGGACCTTGGGCCTTTTTGCGCGGTCCCGGGCGGGGAGCTGCGGCCGCTGCCCCAGGCCGGGTCGGCGCCGGCCAGCTCTCGCCTGAGGCGCACCCCTCCTCCTCAGCGTTTCCGCCCCCAGCGCCTTAGGTGCTTCCTTCCTCCCTCCGAAGTGCCGGCGCTGGCTGGCGGCGTAAATAACGGTGGGCGTGTGGCTTTGACCGTATTGTTGAAAACAAACCAGCTGGGCCGCGGGACGACCTCCCGCCTCCCGGCGCACGTGTGCAGGTGCGCGCTAGGCCAGGCCCCTTCCAAGGAGTCGGACCCGGGTGGGAGGCCGAGCGTGGGCACCCCCGAGAATCGCGTTTGGATTCCGTGCAGTGATGATGAATGCCCAGTTTTGCATATGATGATTGCATAGAATTGGCGTGATAATAGGGAAGGCAGATTATAACTGGCCCAGGGTTTCTTAGAATGTTTTCCTTGCCAGTGGCTTAAAACTGTTGGCACCAACAGCACATTTCATCATCAGCAAGTAAGTCTTGGGCACGTGTTGAGTGCATGAGGACAAGATGCTGTGAAGTTTATTTACCACATTATCTTGGTTTTCTCTAGAAGCTGTTCAACAAATTGCAGAAGGAATTGCATAGTTAGGCATTTTAACTTTTACATCCCACTTCCCATGTGAAGGCGATGAGGGGAAAAGGGAAAACCTTAATGAATTCATAAAATTTGAGTACAAAGGTTATCTTCTGCATTGTGACTTCTGCATTGAACGATACCTGCATGGTTGGCAACTTTGTCTTAAAACTGTGGTTTGTAGTGGCATAATTTTTGGCTCAAAGCCTTAGGTTTTTGTTTTTACTTTAAAATGACCCTAGTTCGAGGAAGGGGCGAATTTGGTGGTATTCATGAGTATGCCATAAAACTTTTACAAGCTGTTTTCCTTTAGTACCTTAATTTCTACTGTTGACAATCTAGTTTTTGCTAACGTTTTCTCTTCTAAAGCAGCAAGAATAGTAAGTTTAAAATGCATTACTGGAATAATAAGACCTTTTAGTTTAATTTTAAATGGAGCTGTTTGCCAAAGGACATTCTACAACGATTCTGCTTAGGGAGTGATATGGGATCCTGATATGGGAGTGTAGAGGGGTCAGGAGACTTTCAGTAACCAGACAATTGAATAGGACCTACTTGAAGATGGTGCAAACAGGCAGTGGTGAATTTTGCTGTTGCTTGAAAGCTTTCCTCTGCACTTACTCTTTTTTCCCGTGTGTGTGTGTGTGTGTGTGTGTGTGTGTGTGTGTATTTTTTTTTAAAAATAGAAATGGGGTCTCACTATGTTGCCCAGGCTGGTCTCAAACTCCTGGGCTCAAGCCATCCTCCCACCTCGGCCTCCCAAAGTGATGATAGGTGTGAGCCACCATGCCCGGACTGCACTTAATCTTTGCTTATGGTAATTAGCATTAGTGGTTCTATATGGAATCAGTGAGTCTTCCTATGCAAACATCAAAATTTTCCTCTTTCTTTTGAGACAGGGTTTTACTCTGTCACCCAGGCTGGAGTGCAGTGGTGCTATCATAGCTCACTGTAACCTCAAATTTCAGCCTGAGCCTCCCAAGCCTAGAACTACCGGCAAGCACCACCACGCCCGGCTATTTTTTATTTTCTGTATATGTGAGGTCTCATTGTGTTGCCCAGGCTGGTCCTGAACCGCTGGGCTCAAACAGTCCTCAAGCCTCGGCCTCGCAAAGTGCTGGGATTATAGGCGTGAACCACTGTGCCTGGCCTCCTGTTTTTAATTTATTTTTTTAAGGCTGGTCAAGTTAAGCAGTGGGAGTGGAGAAGGAACAAAGAAATCTGTAACCGGTTGTGATCAATTAGTTGTAAATACCACTGCATTCGGACCAGCTTAAAGTTTCTGTTTCTTAGACAGGCACTTACTGTTTTTAAACCTAGAGTTAGATAACAGATTTTCTAAATGATAGCAGCAACGGGGTGTACAGGATAGACTTTTCCAGGTTCTGCTGTTAATTTTATAAAGCCTTGCTCAGACATGCTCAGGTTACCTAACTTCTAAAATGGGTGATCACTTTAAGGATGCAAATTAGGGAGACAAGAGTATCGTAATTGCTGTACAGAGCCATTGGAATGTCAGTAATTGGAAGGTCATAACTCTGGAGACTGGGTTATCTCATCCCTCGCCTCCCACAGGCAGGTGTATCTTTGCCTCCTATTCCCTGCCCCATCGTGGTGATTCTATCCCTCTGGCCTTGCCGGATAACTTCCTCTCTATTTCTCTCAGCCTCTTGCCTTCTGTTTCCTTATGGCTTTTACTTACTGCTTTACCCATCATGTTTGGTTTCAGGATCAGTGAATGCTTGTGAAAAGACCTCATTTATGTTTCTGCGGCAAGAGTTGCCTGTCAGACTGGCAAATATAATGAAAGAAATAAGTCTCCTTCCAGATAATCTTCTCAGGACACCATCCGTTCAATTGGTACAAAGCTGGTAAGATTCTCATCTTGTGTTTGCAATTTGATGGAGTTGTGGACTTTATTCAAGGTTACAGCAAATGCTTTTTTTTACTCTTTGGTGGAATCTTTTTTGTTTTGTTTTGTTTTGTTTGAGACGGAGTCTTGCTCTGTCGCCCAGGCTGGAGTGCAGTGGCGCGATCTTGCCTCACTGCAAGCTCCGCCTCCCGGGTTCAGGCGATTCTCCTGCCTCAGCCTCCCGAGTAACTGGGATTACAGGCACGTGCCACCACGCCCAGCTAATTTTTGTATTTTTAGTAGAGACAGGGTTTCACCATGTTGGCCAGGATGATCTCGGTCTCCTGAACTCGTGATCCACCCACCTTGGCCTCCCAAAGTGCTGGGATTACAGACGTGAGCCACCGTGCCCGACCAGAGTCTTAAGGTAGTAGCAGTATTCTTTTTTTGGCTGGGGGCAGGTGGGGGCAATGTATTTGGGCTTGTGCCCTGAATCGTGGACTCCACAACTTCTTGATTTTGAGAAAGCCAGTCAAAACTGCACTGAAATACAGATGCTAAATTTAGGATTTATGTTAGTATATCTTCAAGGATATTATAAGAAAAAATGTCTGCAATTTGTTGATGACTGGGTATTTATGTATATTGCCTTTAATCCCTTCAACAACCTTGCACAGTGGGTATGATTCTCTCCATTTTATTCATTGTTATTATTTTTATTTACTTTTTGTTTTTGAAATGGAATCTTGCTCTGTTGCCCAGGCTGGAGTGCAATGGCATGATCTTGGCTCACTGCAACCTCTGCCTCCTGGGTTCAAGTGATTCTCCTGCCTCAGCCTCCAGAGTAGCTGGGATTACAGGCACCTGCCACCATGCCTGGCTAATTTTTGTATTTTTAGTAGAAATAGAGGTTTCACCATGTTGGCCAGGCTGGTCTCAAGCTCCTGACCTCAGGTGATCCTCCCACCTTGGCTTCCCAAAGTGCTGGGATTACAGGCATGAGCCACCACTCCTGGCCTACTTATTTTTTTGAGACAGGTTCTTACTCTGTCACCCAGGTTGGAGTGCAGTGGTGATCACAGCTCAGCTCACTGCAACCTCCACCTCCCTGGCTCAGGTGATCCTCCCACCTCGGCCTCCTGAGTAGCTGGGACCACAAGTGCATGCCACACCCAGCTAATTTTTGTATTTTTTAGCAGAGATGGGGTTTTTCCATGTTGCCTACGCTGGCCTCAAACTCCGGAGGTCAAGGTATTTGCCCACCTGGGCCTCTCAAAGTGCAGGGATTATGGGCATGAGCCATTGTGTCTAGCCTGTTTATTATTTTTTAAATTAATTTATTTTCTTTTTAGAGACAGGGTCTCCATCACCCAGGCTAGAGTGCAGTAGTGTGATCATGGCTCACTGCAGTCTTGACCTCCTGGGGTCAAGAGATTCTCCTGCTAAGGCAGCTGCCTCCCGAGCAGCTGGGACCACAGCCATGCGCCACCATACCTGACCAATTCTTTTATTTTTTTGTAGAGATGGGGGTCTCACTTTTTTGCCCAGGCAGGTTGTGAACTCCTGGGCTCAAGCAGTCCTCTCACCTTGGCTTCACAAAGTGTTGGTATTACAGACATGAGCCACCGCACCTGGCAGGTTAACTCTGTACAGATGAGGATGCTGAGGCACATAAAGGTTAAATCTTTTGCGTAAGACAGTACCATTGATAGTGGAGTTGGGATTCAAACCCCCATTTGTCCATCTCTGCTATACCGTGCTATAGTCAGAATGATGAAATATATGAAAGGATATATGTATTTTTAATAAACTGTGTTTATTGAAGGGTATCTTTTTATAAATTACAAAAGTTAAAATGTTTATTTTTCTGTTTTAAAACAATTAGAAGTTTTTGGAATTGTGTAGAAAAAGTGTGATCTCTTCCCAAAGATAAGTAGAGATGTTAAGGGTATACACTCATGGAGCCACCTATATACAGCCTTCATTAATGTTACTGATTTAAAAGTGTTGTTCTTTTAAGCACTGTATGCTTCAAACAAATGAGTTGCCCAGAGTTAAGTCTTAAATGGAAAAGGTTTAGCTGCAGGGCATTTCCCAGTTATGATTCATGGAGATTCAAGTTTTCTTTTTGTAAGCATTATAGCGTATGGGAGAAGTTGATCTAATCGCAATTTAAAAAAGCAAAATATGACTGCTATATATATGATAATCAGATGCTATCTAGTCCAAGTATGGAATAGTTATAAGTGTGGATTAAATGGGAAGCATTTGTTTAGTAATTATGATGGGATATAATGGAGAAAATATAATATTCCATGGAAGATTTTTCCTGTTTTTAAAAAATTCTTCATTAGAAGTAGAATATGCTGCTTTTTGAAGCTTATCAGTCATGAGGTCTGATCGGTGCCTGTTGTAGGTACTCAAATATCTCTTGGATGGAGAGCGTAGTTGTTCTTGCCAATTAAGAGGAAATTAAGGGTTAAAGCAAAGCAGCAGCTGCTATCAGAATCCCTTAACTTTGGAATGCAGTAAGACATATTGCTTGTCAGAAACAGCTTTCCAAACCAACAGATGGAATTACAGGTTTTTAAAGCACTTCCATTGCTCCTAGATGCCTGCTAAGTTAGGACAGTTGCAGATAAAGTGCTTACAGCCAAGTGGAGCAGATCCCTTACACTGTCGAAGAAAGTAATTCAGTGGTAGCAAGTTATTTTTAGCTCTGGCCCCGCAGTGCCATTGTACTTGCCTGCAAGACCATCAGAAAATCATTTGGCCTTCTCTATTTTGCTCATTCCTTAACAGATGCTTTGATACTTCGAATTGTTAGATAAATTTAAAATGTACATTTTTATGACTTTTGTGTTTTTTGTTCAGTTTAAAAGAACCATGTAGATTATAGGCTTTCAATAAATACTTGTTAGTTGGACATAAATATGTAAAATTAAGGTTTTAAAGCACAGATATTTAAGATACAGTCTTAGAGCAAGAGAGGCTGTCCTCCTTTTACTGATAATAAGACAAATTAAGTCATTTGCCCAAGATCACATAGTTACTGGTGACAGATCTCAGCATAATCAGTATATATACTGTAATGTACAGTGGTAAATTAAAAAAAAATTAAAAGCCATTTTAGAATGTAGAACTCGGAAAATCTTAAAATTCTTAAATTTGACCTTTGCTTTTAGGAGAAAATGTGCACCTTCTACCATTCATTCCCAGCACTTTGCTTGAATGTGCATGGGTGTAAAAATTATACTTCAACCATAATTTATAGCAGTATTCTAAATTAAAAATTATAAAATGCTAAAAATAGCTTTTGAGCTAATTTTCATGATATTGAACTTTCAGAATATAAAAGAACAAACTTATCCTATTGATCTGCATTTTAGGTATATCCAGAGTCTTCAGGAGCTTCTTGATTTTAAGGACAAAAGTGCTGAGGATGCTAAAGCTATTTATGAGTAAGTTCACTATTTTGACCCTATTCTTAAACCTATTATTAGGTCACTTGGGGGAAATTGGTTAACTTTTAGGTTTCTACTACTTTAGAACATGTGATATATGTGACTGTAGCAGCCCATACAGGCAGGACAAATAACAATCAGCAAATTTGACTAGGCATAAGAAATGCTTCGTGTTCCTCTTTAACAAAAGACAAAGTTCAGGTGTGATGATCAGTGGAAATGTAGGTGTGGCCTCAGTGCCAGTTGGACTGTTCACCTGGAGGGTGCATGCTCCTTCTAATGGACAACCACCTTCAGCCCCAGCTGATCTTTGCCATATGAAAATACTGCCCATATCATCTGATTGTTTTCTGATTTTAAAGGAAAGCTACAAGTCTAGATTTGTAATGTAAAATCTCTCACTTTTGAAAGATTGGTAACTAATTAAAACATTTTTTAAAACACAGAAGGCCTAGAAGAACATGGTTGCAGGTCTCTAGTTTATGCTGTATGGCCTGCAAGATGATGTAAGTAATATGACAATGTTAATAACCCATATACCAGAATTGGTAAACCAAAGTATTTGCCTTATGCAGCTACCTGCTTATTGCAGTGAAGGGTACTGAGAGTGTAATGACCATCTCTTGTCCTCAGTTAGTTACACATGTTTTTTGGACTGTCTTTAAAGTGAACAGTAACACTTCATTTTTTTAAACATGATTTTAATCTGAAAATAACTTCAGCAAGAGTTTACTCCTTGCTTAGGTATTGAGCAGACTTTACATGAATGATGTTTTTTAATCTTTAAAACAATTCATTGAAATAATGCTGTTTGTGCACAAAGAGGGTAAGTAGTTTAAGGTTACATAGTTAGCAAATGGTAGAATCCAAGCAGTCTTACTTTAAAAGTAAACATTATGTTATAGAGCCTTCTGAAAACAGTCATTCAGAGCTGTGGAAAATAAGTAGTCAAGCAGAATAATACAGATTTGTGTTTCTTTGAAGCAGAAAGAAAATAATAAAGGAGTGACTAGAATGATGAGTTGTTTGTTGTTTTTGAAGAGTTTTGTTGTTTGTATTTTAGTTTAACAGTCTTGTTTTGAAGCGCATTACTAACTAGGAATTCCAAAAATGTTTTAAGCAGTGGAAACATCATTGGAATAAGTTAATAGTACTCAGGATGATGACTTTGAATAGGAAAGCACTCATTTGGAAGTGTAAATTCAGATGGGTTATGTTAGAAAATTGGTTTCGTTACTGCATAATTAAGACTTCTTGGGCCGGGCACGGTGGCTCACGCCTGTAATCCCAGCACTTTGGGAGGCCGAGGCGGGCGGATCGTCTGAGGTCGGGAGTTCGAGACCAGCCTGACCAACATGGAGAAACCCTGTCTCTACTAAAAATACAAAATTAGCCAGGCATCATGGTACATGCCTATAATCCCGGCTACTCAGGAAGGCTGAGGCAGTAGAATCACTTGAACTCGGGAGGTGGAGGTTGCAGTGAGCCGAGATTGCGCCATTGCTCTCCAGCCTGGGCAACAAGAGCAAAATTCCATCTCAAAAAAAAAAAAGACTTATTTTCTCTTTTATTTAGTTATTTAACCATGCAGTGTCTTCTAAGTGACAGAGATGGGAAGACTAGATGATTTGAAGATTTGTCTTTTAATATAATTGTTTACTTTTCCTCTCCCATTTTATAAACTCATAGGATGAGTGAAATGAGAATTCTTTTCTGTTTTTCTGTCCTAAGTGTTTCCTTCTCTCTTTGAACCCTAGGGAATAGGTCCAAAACAGGCAGGCTTTATTGGCTCATTCATCTTGATTCCTTGCAGAGCAGAGCAGGTGTTCTCTAGAGGCAAGTGCTTTGTCTCCTCCTATGCAGAATGTCTCTGGAATACCATCCTCTTAGCCAGTGCTCAGATGACCTTAGTTGATAACAGTTAAAACCATTAACATTTTTTGGATTACGTTTTGTGGCAGCCTTACTCTTAGGAAGCCAAGAAAAGAATTAAATCTTGAAAGTTTTATTTTGGAGGTCTGTATACTTTCATAGATTTGGTATATTTTATGATCTGAAATACATTTAAATAAGTATAGGAAAACATGAACCGATTTTCCTTTTATTAAATTGGGGATTTTTTGTCTAGCATAGTTGGTTAAGCTTATATTTTTGTATTAAGTTTACTTGTCAAAATATTTGGCTGTTTTGACAGATGGGTTTGTTTAGCTTTACAGATACTGTGATACGGATCAGAAACCGACACAATGATGTCATTCCCACAATGGCCCAGGGTGTGATTGAATACAAGGAGAGCTTTGGGGTGGATCCTGTCACCAGCCAGAATGTTCAGTACTTTTTGGATCGATTCTACATGAGTCGCATTTCAATTAGAATGTTACTCAATCAGCACTGTAAGTGTCCCTCATGAGTCAAGAGAAGAAGCTAAATGAGATGTGTTGGCATATTTTAAATTTATTTAGGAAAGTTCCATTTAGGTAGGAAATTTAGTTTTACCTTTTGGCTAATTAAGAAAAATAAATAGACTGCCATCAAGAAAGGTGTTTTTATTGAATGTAAAATACTATGTTTATCCTAAAGGAAAATATTTGTTCTGTTTGGTACAATTTAAACAGTATTCAGATTTGGAAAAGAGCATTAGGTGGTTTAGCTTATTTTGTTGGTTTTTTTCCTTTTTGGATAGCTTTATTGTTTGGTGGAAAAGGCAAAGGAAGTCCATCTCATCGAAAACACATTGGAAGCATAAATCCAAACTGCAATGTACTTGAAGTTATTAAAGGTAAATACTGACATTTCTCCTTGCAAAAAAAGATACAAAAATCAAAATTATTGTTATTTCTTACTATTAAAACATCTATTTGTATCATGAGATAAAATGGTAGGCACAAATGCATGGGTTTGAAAATAACCTTATAGTATTATTTGTGCATTATGTATAGGATGACTATTTTATTGATAGAATTATTTGTTAGGCAAAGTTTGGTGATACTATAGAGGATATCTTTTTTGTTTTGTTTTGTTTTGTTTGAGACAGAGTCTCACTCTGTTGCCCAGGCTGGAGTGCAGTGGTGTGATCTCAGCTCACTGCAGCCTCTGCCTCCTGAGTTCAAGCGATTGTCTTGCCTCAGCCTCCCCAGTAGCCGGGATTACAGATGCTCAACACTACGCCTGGCTAATTTTTGTATCTTTAGTGCAGGCAGGGTTTTACCATGTTGGCCAGGCTGGTCTGGAACTCCTGCCTGCCTGCCTGCCTGCCTCGGCCTCCCAAAGAGCTGGGATTACAGGCGTGAGCCACCGAGCCCAGCTGAGGGTATCTTTCACTTAAAAAAGAATTGAAGTCCCTACTGCCCTGTTTCTAATTCTTACACTATGAGCAGTAATTCATAACAATTTGGTTTGAATCATTTCACACTTTTTTCTATTTATACCACTTGTACACATACACAATTGATGTTGGTCTTACATTGTTGTTTTTAGAAAATGGGGTGCTCTATGTTTTTTTCTACAAGTTTACAGACATCTTGCTGTTCAGTACATCTGGATATGCTCCAAGGTTTTGAATGGCTCTATGGAATGTATCAGTATGTGTTAATTAATTCTCCTGTTCATGCACACTTAGGTTGTTTTAATTTTTTTCTGTTACCACCAATACCAGCAGTACTGCTGTGAACATCCTTAAATACACGCTCACTTTTGCTAGTATTTTAGAGGTGAGATTCCTAGAATTAAAAACATTTAAATGCATATAAAATTTTGGTATCTCCAAAAAGGTTTCAAACAATGGATAAGAGTGTTTCCTAACCAACTCTTAAGTTTTGTTACATAGATAGCAATTATTTTCTCCAGCCTGTTATTTTTCTTTTTTACATTGTTGGTGTCTTTTTAGCATATAGACTTTTACATTTTTTTTGTAGTTATATTTGTCATTCATTGTTTATGGCTATTCAGCTTTGTCATGTCACACTTAGACTTTCCCTGGGCCAGGCACAGTGGCTCATGCCTATAATCCCAGCACTTTGGAAGGCTGAAGCGGGTGGATCACCTGAGGTCAGGAGTTCGAGACCAGCCTGGCCAACATGGTGAAACCCCCTCTGTACTGAAAATACAAAAATTAGCTGGGCGTGGTGACCCATGCCTACGTAGTCCCAGCTACTTGGGAGGCTGAGGCAGGAGAATCGCTTGAACCAGGGAGGTGGAGGCTGCAGTGAGCCGAGATAGCGCCACTGCACTCCAGCCTGGTTGATCGAGACTCCGTCTCAAAGGAAAAAAAAAAAGGAAAGGCTTTCCCTGGTTGGGGGCAGTGGTTCATGCCTGTAATCCTAGCACCAAGGCAGGAGGATGGCTTGAGCCTGGGAGTTGGAGACAAACCTGAGCAATATAGGGAGACCATGTCTCTACCAAAAAAAAAAAAAAAAAAAGCAGACTTTCACCAAACTATCAAAGTATATTTTCTTCTGTAGAGAGTTCAAGACTTTGATTTGTCAATACCATTGCCATCTTAATGCGTGAAAGAGAAGTATATTTATTAAATCCTTTTTTGTTTTGTTTTGATTCACACTAGATGGCTATGAAAATGCTAGGCGTCTGTGTGATTTGTATTATATTAACTCTCCCGAACTAGAACTTGAAGAACTAAATGGTAAGCCTGATGTTGTCTTTTTCTCAATAATTAGTGCTTTGATTACTTGATAAGGGATAAGAATTTAAATGTTTTAATGGAAGATGACTTTTTATCAACTTCGTTGGATATGAAGGCTAAAGGATAGTAATCATGTAAAAAATATATCTATAAACATATGTAATTTAGTCAGATTCTTTATGAAAAGATTTGGCTTTTTGTATCACATTTTCTTTATTTTTAATTGATAACTTTGATTCTTTGCTTATTTTTTATTTTCTGTTTAGTCATAGAAAGAAAATGATACCAAGAAAGTTACATTTGACTTTTACATGCACTTCACTAATGTAAGACTTACCCTTTTTCTACTTCCTGAGTTGTAAATAATTTTCTGTTGTTGAGGACATAGACTGGGGTTATAAAAGAGGAAAGAAAGATGCTCATCTATTTGAGAATCTGTTTGTCTCTGATGGTTTTCTTTTTACCCTGATTAGTGCCTTTTGGACAAAAAGGGTTTAGATGCCTTGAAGAGGGATTGATGAGTCTCTTTTTCCTGAAAGCATGGTAGTTTGACAGAAAAAAGCATTTCCTAAGATGACACTTTAAGAAGGTGTGGGAAGAATAAAACAAAATAGGCTTTTACTAAGCTGTATTCTGGACCTTAGAGTGAGAGAGCAGTGAAGTTATGCAATTGAAAATAGCATTGCTTGGTGATTTTCTAAAGCCATATTAACTCTTTTGAGCCATGATGGTAGCATAGCATTTGGTAAATAACAATCACAGTGTACAAGTAAGTGATAGTTTGCAAACCTGAACTGCTGTGAGCAATTTCCAGATGTCCCATTTTTGTTCCCAAGGGGGAGTTTATTCAGAGGAAGGTCTGATTTATTGGTTGAATTAGAATTCTAAGATATCATGAGTCTTAATCATTTGTTCTACTAAATGTCTGTTTTATACACACCCCTATCACCACCCCCAGTGGGGCTCCTATTAAGTGTTTAAATGTAGAATTAATTACTGTCTCGAGAAATTGATGCTAGCTCATATTTTTTATTCAGCTTTATATCCATCGAAATGCCTGAAATAAAACAATATTCCACCCAGGTGAAACATTTTGAAAATGGCTTAAAGAATGTATGGGCTGGGCGCAGTGGCTCACATCTATAATCCCAGCACTTTGGGAGGCCGAGGCGGGTGGCTCACAAGGTCAGGAGTTCGAGACAAGCCTGGCCAATATGGTGAAACCCGTCTCTACTAAAAGAAAAATCAGCCAGGCGTGGTGGTTGGCGCCTGTAATCCCAGCTACTCGGGAGGCTGAGGCAGGAGAATTGCTTGAACCTGGGAAGTGGAGGTTGCAGTGAGCCAAGATCGCGCCACTGCACTCCAGTCTGGGCAACAGAGCAAGACTCCGTCTCAAAAAAAAAAAAAAAAAAAAAAAGAAGAAGAAGAATGTATGCATGCATGTGAATTGGACTGTGGAATTTAAAGATTTTAACACTTCTCTATTTGGAAAGTAAAATTCCTACCCGAAAGTTAAGCGATCTTAAAAAAGACTTTACCATCCTAGAGAAAAATGGGCGCATGGGTTGGTTCGATTGTGATGCAAGATTGTGAGAAGTGACCACAGGACTCTTGTCATCATCAGTTGTAAATATTTGTGGGTATGGGTTCAAACACTAATACATTGAAGAAATGGTGTGGCAGTTCTCCCCCAGGTAATACTGTCCTCCGTAGTTAATGTTTTCTTTTCATCACTACACAGTTTATTCTTAAAAATGCTTTAAGCACATCTCTCTGTACTTTCATATTTTTCTCTTCTGCTCTGTAGCAAAATCACCAGGACAGCCAATACAAGTGGTTTATGTACCATCCCATCTCTATCACATGGTGTTTGAACTTTTCAAGGTTTGTAAAATAGTATTACATAACCTTTACCAGTACTTTTCTGAGGTTAGGAATCTGCTCTGAAAGCCAAATATTCCACTAGGTTCTCCTATTAAGAAGTGCCATTTCACATCAGTATCATATCACATTGCTGGAGATCAGCTTTTTATCAACACAGGGAGACATCTCCATGTAGTGGTGAGCTCAGACTATGGAGTCAGAAAGACCTGGGTTTGAATCCCAATTATGGCTCTTAATATGTGTGTGACCTTGGGCAAGTCACTCAACCTCTCTGAGCCTCAGTTTCCTTTTCTGTAAAACAAGAATACTGTCCAGGATTGTTTATGACTATTGGGAATAACATACTAAGTGTCCAGTACAGTGGCAACGTATTACATATAGGTGCTCAATAGAGTTATCTTTATGTTTTTATAAAACAATATTTAGAAGAGTGATTCTCAACTTGCTACCCTCAAAGGACCAGAATTCTTTTTTTGGTCTGGCTTTTCTTGGGAGGGGGAGGTCATTTATATTGACTTACAGGGTTTCTGCTGTAATCTTTGCTCTTTACAACAAAATTTGAAAACAAATTATGCTACTAATATTGAGAGTATCTTTTTTCCCCGCCAATAATACTTGCTGGTTGACAAGAAAATGGGTGAGGAGTGAGGGGCACAGGTCCTGGTGGGTGAAAATGATTGCCCTCTATCAGAAGCTTGTAGTCTCTCTTCAGTTGTGTTTCATCAGCCAGCAGCAAACTAGAGGAAAGAGGGGGTGGCTTTCAATCTGATAATGTAAAGGAAAAGTGCACTGAAACACAGAAAAACTGACCGAATATCTTAGAACAGCAGCAGAATGTTCTTTCTTCCAAGACAGCAAAAATGTATTTAATACCTTACAAAATCTTTTTTAAAATATTTATTTTATTTTTTGTAGAGTTGAGGTCTCACTCTGTTACCCAGGCTGTCCTTGAACTCCTGGCCTCAAGCAGTCCTGCCCCAGAGTGTTGGGATTACAGGCATAAACCACTGCACCTAGCCCTAAAATCTTTTTATCCAAGTAGTTAAACAAGTAGTGATGGGCACTTCAAGCATTAACACGAATTTTTTCCTTGAAATTCCAGTGGCATAAAGATCTTGTGCCCTATGATTGAGGCACTCCGTATTATATTGTACATAATGTCAGTAATAATGGCTTTCACCTGGAACCTAATCTTAACCTGCCTTTGGTGGAAATGATGGAATCTCCTCCATAAGAGGACTCAATCGCAATTGCTGTGCCAGGGCCACACACTCTTACTTCCAAATTCGGATGCCTTTTTAGTTACATCTAGTTTATATCATTTTCTACTGCAATGCTGAATGTCATGATATTGTTTAAGGCTTCTGATATGTTGGCACTGTGTACCCTATTTCCTTTAGAAATTAGTCAAAGCAGCTTTACAATGACAATACCCTTAATTTCAAACTAGAGATAAAGGGATTCATTGCTCCATCAAATACGACCATCGCTGTTACTACTATATGAAAAAAATTGCTTTCCTTTAAAGAAATTTATGACAGTTTTTTAAATAGTTCTAAAAATATAGCTGAAACTACATTTTCAAAAATGTTTTGCCCATCATTTACTAAAATTATAAAAGTGTTTGAACAGAGTTTTCTGCTTTAATGTAACTAGTTAAAAGTGTTTTGAAGTCTGACTTTGGAAAATAAGCAAAATTTAGTTGGAGTCTTTAGGTCAGAATATCCTTCAAATCCCCCCCAAATTGACTCCATTAAAAAAAAAACTTTAAATGTGGTTATAAGAATTGTGATTCTTTGGCATATTTCCATCAAATTTTAAAACTTCAAATAGTGCATATGTACTTGAAAATTACACTTTCTCTTTTCTAAAAAGCTGTATTTTTAATACAACCCTAATGTATTTCAGAATGCAATGAGAGCCACTATGGAACACCATGCCAACAGAGGTGTTTACCCCCCTATTCAAGTTCATGTCACGCTGGGTAATGAGGATTTGACTGTGAAGGTAAATGTGTTTAATGGTTTGTTTTCTTTTTTTTTTTTTTGTAATTGATGAACAGACATGCAAAGGTAACCATACGCATAATTTCTAAAAGACATAATCTACTCTCAGGGGAAAAGAATCTTGTCTGTAATAGATAATAAGCACATTGCTTCATTGAGCTGGTGGATTATAGTTATCCCTTGAGTCTTTTCTATGCAGGTCCCCCGTCGAGGTGATTCAAGTTAAAATAAATCTTGGAGACAGACAATTTATCATTAATATCTCTTTGATAAGTAAGATCTAAAATATTTGGGTAGTTGCAGTATTATGGAGATAGTATTTTATATATAATTTAAAAAATTTTAAAACAGTGCTTTCTAATCTACTGGTTTCATTTGATTCTCATGACGTAGGTAATTTTATCCTCACTTTTACAGGTGTGGAGACTAAGACACAGTGATTAGCTCAGGATCACACAGGGCAGAAATGCTATGGGACATGATATCCAGTCTTCTGTCCCCAGTGCTAGGCCTTTTCTATTACATTGTTCAGGTGGCCCAGTTTCTTCTTTTACATTTTATTAAAAATTGTTTTCTGTCACCCAGGCTGGAGTGCAGTGGTGTGATCATCACTCACTGTGACCTTGAACTCCTGGGCTCAAGCAATCCTCCTCCCATGGCTTCCAGAGTAACTGGGACTGCAGGCTGCAGGCATGCAAGCCTGGCTAATTAAAAGAATTTTTTGGTGGGTAGAGACTAGGTCTCACTTTGTTGCCCAGGCTGATCTCAAAACACCTGGCCTCAAGTGATCCTCCCACCTTGGCCTCCCAAAGCACTAGTATTACAGGTGTGAGCCACTGTGCATGGCTCCAGTTTAAGAGTATGATAGTGTTTTTCTTTTTTAATAATCATTTAAAAATTTATATTAAAGTAATAAATGCAGAGACTATAAAAATTCAAATGTGTCAGTTCCTGGCCCTTTGTAGGCCTCATTACTCAGAGATTCTTAGTCTTTCTTTACTTTTTTTTTTTTTTTTTTTTTTTTTTGAGATGGAGTCTTGCTCTGTTGCCCCAGGGTGGAATGCGGTAGTGTGATCTCGCCCACTGCAACCTCTGCCTCCTGAGTTCAAGTGATTCACCTGCCTCAGCCTCCCGAGTAGCTGGGATAACAGGCACCCGCCACCACGCCTAGCTAATTTTTTGTATTTTAGTAGAGACAGGGTTTCACCATATTGGCCAGGCTGGTCTCGAACTCGACCTCGTGTTATCCGCCTGCCTCGGCCTCCCGAAGTGCTGGGATTACAGGCATGAGCTACTGCACCTGGCCTAATGTTTACATTTTAAACAGTAAATATTACCTTTCTGTTATAGTAGTTGAGGAGTTAGCTCTCTTTAATAGAGCACCTGCTCCCCTCCCCTCCCCTAGCCCAAGGGCCAGTTTCCCTATACTATTATCCCAATATTTAAGTTTGTATATGAAATTCGAAGCTGAGAATAATCATCCTGCAAAATTTTGAAGGCATCCATTGTTCCTTTTTTAAAAAAGGTACAATTCAGTGGAATTCATAAGGTTATTCAAGTATTGCCGCTGTCTCATTTTAGAACATTTTCATCAGTCCTAAGAAAAAACCCAAGTACTCCGTCAGGCACAGCAGCTCATGCCTGTAATCCCAGCACTTTGGGAGGCCAAGTTGGGCAGATTGCCTGAGGTAAGGCGTTTAAGACCAGCCTGGCCAACATGGTGAAACCCCATCTCTACAAAAAATACAAAAAATTAGCTGGGTGTGGTGGCAGGCGCCTGTAATCCCAGCTATTCAGGAGGCTGAGGCACGAGAATCGCTTGAACCCAGCAGCAGAGGGTGCGGTGAGCCAAGATTGCACCACTGCACTCCAGCCTGGGTGACAGATTGAGACTCCATCTGAAAAAAAGAAAAAAAGGAAAATACGCAGTACCTATGAAGTCACTTCCCGTTTTTCTCTCTTCTAGCCCTTGGCAACCACTGATCTATTTTCTGTTTGTGTATTTCTCTTTCTGGGCATTTTATATAAATTTAATCATGCAGTATGTGGTCTTTTGTTACTGACTTCTTTCACTTAGTATAATGTTATAGTATGCATTTGTACTTCATTCCTTTTTATGACCAAATGATATTCTGTTATATGGATATAACACCTTTGGGTTATCCATTCATCAGTTGATAGACATTTGGTTTGTTTCTATTTTTTGGTTATTATAAATAATATGGCTATGAATGTTTGTGTACAAATTATTGTGTGAACATGTGTTTCAGTTATCTTATGTATATACCTAGGAATTGAATTGCTGAATCATAGGAAACTCTGTTTAACTTGAGAAACTGCCAAACTGTTTTCCAAAGGACCTGCACCATTTTGCATTGTCATCAACAATGTGTGAAGGTTCCTGTTTTACCTCGTCCTTGTCAACAATTGTAGTCTGTCTTTTTTATTATAGACATTATTGTGAGTGTGAAGTGGTATCTCAGTGTGGTTTTTATTTGCATTTGTCTAATGACTATGATGTTGAGCATCTTTTCATTTGCTGATCGGCCATTTGTGTATCTTTGAAGAAATGTAGATTAAGATCCTTTTTTCAGTTTTAAAATTGGCTGTCTTTTATTGTTGAGTTGTAACGGTTCTCTCTCATGTATATGTGTATATATATATAGGGATTCTATGTGTGTGTATATATATACACACACATACATATACATATATACATACATATGTGTATATATACGCATATATACATATATGTGTGTGTATATATATACACCCTATATATATTCTATTTGTGTGTATATATTCTATGTGTGTGTATATATATATACACTCTCTCTAGATATATATATATGTATATAGGGGTTACTAGTCCCTGATGAGATGTATGATTTGCAAGTATATTCTCCCATTCCGTGGGTTCTTTTCACTTTCTTGATAGTATCCTTTGAAGTACAAAGTTGTGTTTTTTTGTTTTTTGCTTTTTTAAATAGAGATGGGGTCTTGCTATGTTGCCCAGGCTGGTCTTGAACTCCTGAACTTAAGCAGTCCTCCCACCTTGGCCTCCCACAGTGCTGGGATTACAGGTGTGAGTCACCACACCCAGCCAAAGTTTTTAGTTTTGAAAATTTTCAATTTTTTTTTCACATTGCATGTGATTTCAGTTTTATGTCTAAGAAACCATTGCCTACTCCAAAGTCTTGACGACTTATGCCTATGTTTCTAAGAGTTTTATAGTTTTAGCTTTTATATTTAGGTCTTCGATCCATTTTGAGTTAAGTTTTGTACATGGTTTGAGGTAGAGGTTCATCTTCATTCTTTTGCATGTGGATATCCAGTTGTCCCAGTACTATTTGTGAAAAACCTATTCTTTCCCCATTCAATTGCCCTGTCACCCTTGTCAAAAATCAATTGCTCATAAATGTATGGGATTTATTTCTGGATTTTCAGTTCTATTTCATTGATGTATATATCTCTCGTTATGCAAGTACTTAATGCCTGTCTCAATGATTGTAGCTTTAAGTTTTGAAATTTGCAAGTGTGAGTCCTACAACTTCTTTTTCAAGATTATTTTGGCTGTTATGGGTTCTTGCATTTCCATGGGTTTTAGGATCAGCTTGTCAATTTCTGCAAAAAAACAATGCCAGCTAGAATTTTGATGGGCATCATTTGGGAAGTGTTGCCATCTTAGAGTTAACAATATTAACTCTTCTAATTCATGAATACAAGATATCTTTACACTTACAACACAGGGCATCTTTATAGGTCTTCTTTGCTTTCTTTCAATAATGTTTTGTGGTTTTTAGTGTACAAGTCTTGGACTTTTAAATTTATTCCTAAGTATTTTATTATTTTTGATGCTATTGTAATGGAATTGTTCTATTAATTCCATTTTTTGGATTGCTTATTGCTAGTGGATAGGAATATAACTGATTTTTTTGTACTGATCTTGTATCCTGCATCCTTGCCAAATGTCTTTATTAGTGCTAGTAAATTTTTGTGGATTACTTAGAATTTTCTATATAAATGATCATGTCTCTGCAAAAAGATGTAAGTGTGGCTAGAACCTCTAGTACAGTGTTGAATAGAAGTGCTGACAGGAGACATCCTTGTCTTTTTTCTGATACTAAGGGGGAGAACTTCTTGTCTTTCACTATTAAGTATGATGTTAGCTCTGATTTTTTTCATAGATACCCTTTATCAGATTGAGGAAATTTGCCTGTATTCTTAGTTTGAGTGTTTTTATCATGAAAGGATGTTCAATTTTGTCAAGTGCTTTTTCTGTGAAGATTGAAATGATTGTGTGGTTTGTTCTTTGTTCTATTAAGTAGTGTATTACATTGCTTTTTCTATATCAAACCAACCTTGCATTCTTGGGATAAGTCTCAATTTTTTTATGGTTTATGTTGTTTTGTTGAGGATTTTTACGTTGATGTTCATAAGGTATGTTTATTGGTCTGTAGTTTCTTGTGATGTGTTTGGTTTTAGTATCAGGATGACACTGGCCTTATAGAATGAGTAGGGAATTTCCCTCTCTTTCTACATTTTGGAAGAGTTTTTGAAGGATTGGTATTAATTCTTTCAGTGTTTGGTAGAACACAGCAGTGAAGACTTCTGGGCCTGAGCTTGTCTTTGTGGAAAGACTTTTGATTACTAGTTCAATCTCTATTTGTTATATATTCATATTTATGGATAGCTATTTATAAATATAAATAATAGGCCAGGCACGGTGGCTTAACGCTTGTAATCTCAGCACTTTGGGAAGCCAAGGCAGGTGGATCACCTGAGGTCAGGAGTTTGAGACTAGCCTGGCCAACATGGCAAAACTCCATCTCTACTAAAAATACAAAAATTAGCCAGGCACGGTGGTGCGTGCCTGTAATCCCAGCTACTCGAGAAGCTGAGGCAGGAGAATCACTTGAATCCGGGAGGCAGAGGTTGCAGTAAGCTAAGATTGTGCCATTGCTTTCTAGCCTGGGTGACAGATCAAGACTCTTTGTCTCAAATAATAATAATTAAATAAATAAATATAAACAATACATTTGATATCTATTTAGATTGTCCATTTCTTCCTGAGCTCCTGAGCTGTGTCTATAGTTTGTGTGTGTTTTTTTGTTTGTTTTTTGAGACAGAGTCTTGCTCTGTCGCCCAGGCTGGAGTGCAGTGGCAGGATCTTGGCTCACTACAAGCTCCGCCTCCCGAGTTCACGCCATTCTCCTGCCTCAGCCTCCCGAGTAGCTAGGACTGCAGGCACCCGCCACCATGCCTGGCTAATTTTTGTATTTTTAGTAGAGATGGGGTTTCACCGTGTTAGCCAGGATGGTTTCGATCTCCTGACCTCGTGATCCACCTGCCTCAGCCTCCCAAAGTTCTGGGATTACAGGCATGAGCCACCACGCCCAGCCTATAGTTTGTGTTTTTATAGGAATTTGTCCATTTCATTTAGGTTATCTAATTATTACACACAATTGTTCATAGTATTCCCTAATAATTCTTTTTATTTTTGTAAGATTGGTAGTGATGTCCCCACTTTCATTCCTGGTTTTATAAATTTGAGTCTTCTTTTTTTTTCTTGGTCAATATAGCTAAATACTTATCAATTTTGTTAATCTTTCTAAAGAACCAATTTTTTATTTCATTGATTTTCTCCATTTTTCTATTCTGTATTTCATTAATTACACTCTAGGCTTTATTATAATTTCCTTCCTTCTGCTTGCTGTGGTGTTATTTTGCTCCTGTTTTTCTAGTTTCTTAAGGTGGAAGTTTTGGTTATTCATTTGAGACATTTTACAACTATAATTTTACTTTAAGCACTGCTTTGTCTATCTTACAAGTTTTTAATGTTTTGTTTTCATTTTCATTCATCTCAAAGTATTTTCTAGTTTCCTTTTGGATTTTTCCCATTGGTTAATAGGATTGTGTTGTTTAATTGCCACATACTTGTGAATTTCCCATGTGTTCTCTTAATCATTTAAATTTCATTCTGTTGTGATTGGAAACATACTTTGTATGATTTCAAGTATACATCTATTGAGATTTGTTTTACAGCCTAACATAGGGTCTGTCTTGGAGAATGTTCCATGTGTACTTGAGAAAAGTGTGCATTCTGATGCTGTTGAATGTTCTACAGATAGCTATTAGGTTTAGTAGGTTTGCAGTGTTGTACAAGCTTGTCTTTCCTTGTTGATCTTGTAATTGTTATATCCATTGTTGAAAGTGGAGTATTGAAGTCATCTCCAATTATTGTTGAATTGTCTATTTCGCCCTTCAGTTCCATCAGTTTTGCTTCATGTATTTTGGAGCTCTGTTGAGTACATATATGTTTTTAATTATTATCTCTTTTTTGTGTATTAACCTTATATCATTAAAAAATGTACTATTTTGTCTCTTATAACAGTTTTTGTTTAAAAGTATATTTTGTTTGAAGTTAGTGTAACCATCCCAACTCTTTTTGTTTCTGTTTTCATAGTGTAACTTTCCAGACTTTTAGTTTAAACCTCTTTGTGCCTTTCAGTCTAAAATGTGTCTCTTTATAGCATACAGTTAGAATTTAAAACCATTCTGCCAATGTCCACCTTTTAATTGGAATGTTCAGATCAATTAAATTTAATATAATTACTATTAATGTAATTAACAGTAATTTTGGTTTATGTTTGCCGTTTTGTCTTCAATATATGTCATATCATTTTTTATTATTTCTCCATTATCACTGTCTTTTGTTAAAATATTTTGTATTATATCATTTTAATTTCGTTCTTGTTTTTGTTACTATATTTCTTTGAGTTTTTTAAGTAATTATCCTGGGGATTACAATTAACACCTTAATTTATAATCTAGTTCAGATTAATACCAATTTGCTTTCAATAGTATACACTGACTTTTCTCCTAAATAGGCCTTTTCCCCTCCCCACCCATCCTTTGTGCTGTTATTGTCATATAACATACATTTTTGTACATTGTGTGCCTGTCTACAGAGATTTATAATTATTGTTCTATTCAATTGTCTTTTAAATCAGATAGGACACAAAAAGAGTTACAAACAAAAAATATACTCATATTTTCCTTTAGATTTACTTTTGTAATAACTTTTACTGGCACTGTTTATTTCTAAACATGGATTCAATGTTTTGTCTAGTATCCTTTTGTTTCAGCCTGAAGGATTCCCTTTGGTATTTCTTGATAGCCCATGTCTGTCAGTGATCATCTCTCTCAGTTTTTGCTTATCTGGAAATGTCTTAATTTCTCCTTCATTTTTGAAGGATAGTTTTGCTGGTTATAGAATTCTTGTTGATAGTCTTTTTCTTTCAGCACTTTGGAATATGTTATCTCACTGCCTTCCAGCCTCCATGGTTTGGATGAGAAATCAGCTGTTACAATCTTATTGAATATTGCACATATGTGATGAGTCATTTCTCTGTTTCTCAGACTGGATAATTTCAATTGACCTGTCTTCACTCTCACTGATTCTTTTCTTTCACATGCTCAAATATGCTGTTGAACCCCTCTAGTGAAATTTTCATTTCGTTTATTTTTCATTTCATTTATTGTACTTCTCAATTCCAGAATTTCAACTTAGTTCTCTTATATAATATCTATCCTGTTTTTTTCACCTTTGCTAAATGTTGATGCATATCATTTTATTGCCCTATATTTTATTGTTGTATCGTTTAAAATTTTCTATTTTGAGACATCCTTATACTTTAGTTCTTTAGTGTTTGTTTACGGAGTGTGAGTTTACTGACTCAGGTATAGTTTATTGACTGATTTTTCCTTGCCTGTGTATGGGCAATACTTTTTTGTTTTTTTCATATCTTGTTATTTTTATAGAAAACTGGACATTTAAAATAATATATTTTGACAGCTCTGCAGATCAGATACTGCTGTCTCCCCAAGGCTGTCTTTGTTGTTGTTTTGTAATTTTTTTTTTTTTTGGAGTTAATTCTTTTAAGTTTGAATTCTTTGTTGTGTGTGGCTTCTGAAGTCTCTGCTCATTTAGCTTAGTGGTCAGCTAATGACTGGACTGAGATTTCCTCAAATACCTGGAATCAGTAAGTTTCCCAGTCTTTGCCAAGGGACTCTGTGTGTGTATAGAAGTGTTCAGGAGAATATCTTCAACACTCAGCCAGGCAGTTAACAACTGTGCCTTAACCTTTAGGTCCTGCTCGCATAGAGCAATTAGAGGTGAGAGCTTAGGGCCTTCTCAGTGTCTTTCCTGAGCATGACCCTGGGCATGAGTATGGCCTTCCAGATTCCCAGGAGATAGCTGAGGTTTTCAAAGCCCCTATGGCTATCTCATTCCCTAGACCTTCCTGTTAAGCTTTTTGGTTAGCCTTATTGTTTGCCCTAGCTGTTGTCCAGTTTCTTCTGCAGCCCTCAAATTAATCAGTTACTTCTAATTGTTTTTGACAGATGTTTCCAGGGATGGGGGTGGGGTGCAAGACTTTTGTACTGGGGAGCTCAGAGTCAGGTCAAATAAATACAGTCTTCCCAGCAGCTACCAGGCTGCTGGTTTCACTCTGATTGCATATTGATTGGAGGGAGGGGGAGCAGATGGGAGCAAGTTAAAATGCTTACTGTTCTTATACGGATTCAGTTGTTTTACTTGAATAAATGTTCCCCAGATTGCTGCATGCCTTTAGTTAATTTCCAGAATTCTGTCAAAGTAGATTCTAAATGATTTTTGCACCCCCCTCCCCCGCTCTTTCTTTTTTTTTTTTTTTTTGGTGCTTTGATAGAGGAGAGACTTTTGCAGGTTCTTTCTCTTCTATTTTTGCTGATGTCACTCCTGCTGTTCTTTTTGAGAAGACAACGTTTATTACAATTCCTCTTCCTTCTTATGTGACCAGTTTTAGGTGTCTACTTTTGTTTAACTAGAGTTTTTAACTTTTTTTTTTTTCTTTTTTTTAAGCTGTGCTCTGAAGTTTCAGTGATGTGACTTGGTGTGGGCCTTTTCTTACTTACTGGGCTGTGGTCTTTGAACTTCCCATTATTTTCTTGATATTTTCCTTTTCACTGTGTGTTTAGTCTCTTTCTGATAGTCATATTAAGAGGATGTTGGGCTTCATGACATCACTCCCTGTTTTTTATCGCTTCAACTTTTTATTCTATTCTGTGAGATTTCCTTGACTTCAGATTCCCAGCCCTTCTATTGAACTTTTATTTCCATTATCTTACAAATTTCCAAGAATCCTTATTTTTAAAATTAATCCCTTTTTAGAATTCTGCTCTAGTTTTATTTTATTGCTCTAAGGATATTATTTTTTTTTAATTAATTTGCCTCTGTACCCTGCATTGTCCGTTTCCTGAGTTTCCTTTTGTCCGTTTCTCTCTCGTTTGTTCATTTTAAAGAGATAGGCACAAAAAAGTCAATAAATGGCGATGCCATCTGTTTGCTGTAAAAACAATATGAATGTATCACTTTTTTTTTTTTTTTTTTAGCTCAGATGCTAATGTGTCTATTTTTTGGTTAGTTGTGTGTCAGCTACTTTCCCGTTAAGGTTTACAGTCAAGAAAAGACCCATTGGTCTTCTGGTTTGGGGCTTAAGTTGTGCTGCAGCATGTTCTTTCTTGTACCTTTTTCTGCTTCTATTAGAAGTGCTTTATTTAGCATTTTGGTCTGCAGCTGCTTTCTATTGCTATTATCCGTCATTGCATAGATCAAGGTTTACTGAGTTCTTAGACTCTCAGAAGAGATTACTTCTGTGCTGGTGGATGGGCTTAACCTCAGGAATCTGTCTTTATGATGTAAAGAAAAATTCATAATGACCCAGCAATCCTACTCCTATGTCTATACCTCAAAGGATTGAGAATATTTAGGCAAAACCTTACACACAAATACTCATAGTGGCACTATTCACAATAGTGTACAGGTAGAAACAACCCAAATATCTATCAGCTAATGAATGGATAAACAAAATGTGGTATGTCCATACAGTGGAATATTATTTGGCCACAAAAGGAATGAAATACTGATAAATGCTACAAACTGGTTGTTGTAACATTGAAGACATTATGCTAAGTGAAAGAAGCCAATCACAAAAGGCCACATATTATATGATATTATTTACATGAAATGTCCAGAATAGGCAAATATATAGGGACAGAAAGTAGATTAGTGGTTGCCTAGGGATATGACCACTAAAGGAGCTAGGGTTTCTTTTGGAGGTGATGAAAAATTCTAAAATTGACAGTGGTAATGGTTGCACATATCGATGAATATATTAAAAACCATTCAATTATATACTTTAAGTGCATTAATTATATGGTATATAAATTATTTTTATCTTTTTTGAGATGGAGTCTCCCTCTGTTGCCCAGGCTGGAGTGCGGTGGCATGATCTCAGCTTGCTGCAAGCTCCGCCTCCCAGGTTCAAGCGATTCTCCTGCCTCAGTCCCTAGTAGCTGGGACTACAGGCGCCTGCTACCACACCTGGCTAATTCTTGTATTTTTAGTAGAGATGGGGTTTCACCTTGTTGGCCAGGCTGGTCTCGAACTGCTGACCTCAAGTGATCCGTCTGCCTCCGCCTCCCAAAGTGCTGGGATTACAGGCATGAGCCACTGCGTCCAGCCTGCTATGTAAATTATATCTGAATAAAGCTGTTTAAAATAAAATAGGCTTGTAAAGGTCTCAAAAAAGAGTGTTCTAGAAGCCTGCTATGTTAATTATATTTGAATAAAGCTGTTTAAAATAAAATAGAAAGGCTTGTAAAGGTCTCAAAAAGACTGTTCTAGAAGTCCTGTCTGTATTAGGCTCTGCCTTCACCTGTTGTTTCTGCTCCTCACATCCAAGGTCACATGAAGGCATCTCCTCTTGCAGCCTCTCTTTACATGTTGAATTCTTGCTTTTTCTTCAGTCGAGCTTTGATCCCCATTACTTACCCTAGACTTTTAGAATCAAGGCTTGGTTTTGTTTCTTCCCCATTTTTTTTAGCTTGTTCAAATTATTGACATTTTTTACCTTTTATCCTCTTGCTAAAAATCCTATACAAAAGTTGTTGTTTCTGTCTTACAGCCCTAGCTGCTCTTTCAATTCTGTGTTTAGTATATAATCTATAAATAACCTATGTGTTATAGCCACATGTCTTTTTTTTGTGTGTGTGTGTTTTTTTATAGATGGAGTGTTATTCTGTTACCCAGGCTGGAATGCAGTGGCAGAATCTCAGCTCACCATGACCTCTCTTTCCCGGGTTCAAGCAATTCTCCTGTCTCAGCCTCCCGAGTAGTGGGGATTACAGGCACGCACCACCATACCTGACTAATTTTTGTATTTTTAGTAGAGACAGAGTTTCACCATGTTGGCCAGGCTGGTCTTGGAACTCCTGACCTCAAGTGATCTGACCACCTCAGACTCCCAAAGTGCTGGGATTACAGGTATGAGCCACAGCGCCTGGCCTACATGTCATTTAAATTAAAACTTAAATGTCTTGGTTCATTTACTGTTGATGATTTTACAGACTTAACAGTGAAAACGCTGTTGGCTAAGAAACTTTAGGAACTCTGGGTGAATACAGGGAATGTCCTGGCTTTAGAGCTGTCATCTAGTCAGTAGTGGTTCATTTCATCTGGGCCTAGAGTTCACATGAATTAACCTAGGGAGCCTAGTGTTACTGGGAATAGGAAGTTAGGGATGGCAGCTCTTGGTTAGATGACATTGACAAGTGGTGCTTTTGTGCACTGAAGAGAAAACTTTAAAAATAATTGGCAAACTTCTCTTCCTTGGCCTTCCTGTTGACATTACTTATCTCATTATCTTAATAAGGTTTCGTGTTAGTTTTCACATCTCTCTTTCAATACATTTGTCATCAAAGGTACCATTCTTCTTGCCTTGAATATATACAGACTAAATATCTGTCTCTCCATTATTCCCTCCCTCCCTTTTCCTGAAGAACTTGGATCCTCCAATAATCTATTACTGCTCTTTTGGAAACTCTTTTGCCTACTTTAAAATCCACTGGCTCCAGTTTATTGTATTGTTGGCTGCAAAGCAAAGTACTACTTTGACTGTAGTTTCTAACTCTATTCCTGTGGCTTAGTTTGCCCTTTACCTCTAGCAACATGATGCTTCTCACATCCTCTCTGTCCTGTCTGCTTATCCCCTCTTATTTTCCCATGCAGCCTGAGGCTGGAAATGACTTCTTATTTTGTACTTGCTAGGTTGTTGTTACAGTCTCCGTGGCCAAAAGGTTAAGGAAAACCAGGAAATATTTACTCAAGTCTACCTTTTTATCTTAGTATCTATTCTAATATGTTCTTTACTCCCTTCATGTATTTATAGAATACACATACTTCCTATTCATGTTAACTAGCAAATGTGCAGCAGAGCATTGAATTAAAGGATGAGTAATTAACAAATTGATGGATTTCTCAAAATACCCAGAGCTCTTTATTCATCTTACTAAAATAAATTACTTTACAGGGCCAAGAGCAATTTCAAGCATAATGCTGCATAAAAGTTTTCTGGTTTTTTTTTTTTTTTTTTTTTTTTTTTTTTTACTGAGCAGAGTCTCGCTCTGTCACCCAGGCTAGAGTGCAGTGGTACAACCTTGGCTCACTGCAACCTCCTCCTGGATTCAAGAGATTCTTGTGCCTCAGCCTCCCGAGTAGCTGAGATTACAGGCGTGCACCATGACGCCTGACTAATTTTTGTATTTTTAGTAGAGACAGGGTTTTGCCATGTTGGCCAGGCTGGTCTCGAACTGCTGACCTCAAGTGATTCGCCGGCCTTGCCTCCCAAAGTGCTGGGTTTATAGGTGTAAGCCACCACACCCAGCCACAAGTTCCTAATAAAGTCCTTGTATACTTTATTATTGATAGTGTAATTACTTAATTTTAGATGTATTCGAGGCACATCTTTCAATGGTATTTCAAGGCAGATTTTTTTAGTTATAAAAATCAAAATATCTACATAATTACCATTATAAAGGTAATATATATATACTGTAACAATTTTTAAATATATAAAAACTCAACTATAAGCCATTCAGCCTATTGACTTTTAATACATATTATTCAGTACTATTTTAATCTATATATACATAAATTAAAAGCAGATTTGTTTGTGTATGACAACTATATTGTTATAGGCAGTAAAATCAATTCAGATTCTGTGACAAAGGAAAATGGCTGTAGTAGATTAGAATATAAGCTGGATAGTAGCTAGGAAAATAAGTCCATGTTAACTTTGAAGGAAAAGAAAAATTGTATGTAAATAAATTACTAAATTTGATTTGCCATACTGTTTGAGTTGAAAAATGATATGAAAATGTAAAGACCTACATGCCTTACGAACATATCAGAAAGTTTTCTGGGGTTCTAGGCTGTAAAATTGCTGGTAGATGGAAATACAAAGTAGTGGTTCTGTCTTTTTCTCCCTGAAAATGAAAATTATACTGTTTTTTTCCTGTTAAAGTAATTGTGAAGAAAATTCAGAAACTGAAAACCCCAAACAAGAAGAGAAAATTACTCATTCTACAGACAATAAAATTAGATATCATTTCAGACCTTTTTATAATAGAATTTTTGCAGAGTATTATAAATGCTTCTTTGTAACTGTTTTTTTTTTGTTTGTTGGTTGGTTTTTTTTGCTGCTTAACTATCTCTTATGCCAGTATATGGAGTTCTATATAATATCTAATTAATGGTTAACAATATTCTATTTTAGAATGTACTTTCTTTTACTTAACTAATCCCCTATTTAGGTTGTTTACTTTTAGGTATTCTGCATAGAGCTGTGATGGATGTTCTCATATATACTTTGCATGCTTTTCTGCTTATTTTCTCAGGATAAATTTCTGGAAGTGACATTGTTGTGTGAAAGGTACATGCTTTTTTTTTTTTTTTTTTTTTTAAATAGAGGCAGGGTTTTATTCTGTCACCCAGGTTGGAGTACAGTGGTGAGATCATAGCTCACTACAGCCTCGAACTCCTGGGCTGAAGTGATCCTCCTGCCTCAGCCTCCCAAGTAGTTGGGGATTACAGGCATGCACTACCACATCTGGGTAATTTTAAAGTTTTTTTTTTTTTTTTTTTTGTACAAACGGAGTCTCACTATACTGCCCAGGCTGGTCTGGAACTGCTGGGCCCAAGTGATCCCCCTGTTATGGCCTCCCAAAGTGTTGGGATTATATGTGTGAGCCACCAGACCCACCCAATATATGCTTTTCTTTTTTTGTTTGTTTTTGTTTTCTTAATTTAGAGACAGTGGCTCCCTCTGTCACTCAGGCTGGAGTACAGTGGTGCCATCATACCTCACTATAGCCTCCACCTCCTGGGCTCAAGTGATACTCCTTCCTCAGCCTCCCAAGTAGCTGGGATCACAGTTGTATGCCACCATGCCCAGCTAATTTTAGAAAATTTTTTGTAGCGATGGGGTCTTACTCTGTTGTGCAGGCTGATCTCAAACTCCTGGCTTCAAGTGATTCTCTTGTCTCAGTCACCCAAAGTGTTGAGATCACAAGCGTGAATCACCATGCCCAGCCTAGTACATGCATTTTTAATTTTTTTTTTTTTTTTTTTTTTTTTTTGAGAAGGAGTCTTGCTCTGTCACCCACGCTGGAGTGCAGTGGTACGATCTTGGCTCACTGTGACCTCCATCTCCTGGGTTCAAGCAATTGTTCTGCCTCAGCCTCCCAAGTAGCTGGGACTACAGGCATGTGCCACCACACCTGGCTAATTGTTATATTTTTAGTAGAGATGGGGTTTCGCTGTGTGGGCCAAACTGGTCTTGAACTCCTGACCTCAAGTGATTCACCCATCTCTGCCTTCCAAAGTGCTGGGATTACAGGTGTGCATGTTTAATTTGCTTCTAGTCACCATGCTGCCCACCAGAAAGGAGTAACAGATTTATAGTTACATACAAGATAGGGTTAACTTGTGCCCAGTTCTGTGCTATAATGCACTGTTAATGAGACTCCCGGAAATATACAAAGCCACAGCAGTATTATGATGGAGTTTATGTATTAGAGTTTCACATATTAGAGGAGTTGGGTTGGGTTCAACAGCGAGGGAAATGCTTATATTGGCAACTTGGATTGTGTTGTATTCATTTTCAAAAGCAGCACTCAGGCTGGGTGCGGTGGCTCATGCCTATAATCCCAGCACTTTGGGAGGCCAAGACAGGCAGATCATGAGGTCAGGAGAACGAGACCATTCTGGCTAACATGGTGAAACCCTGCCTCTACTAAAAAAAATTAGCCGGGCATGGTGGCAGGCGCCTGTAGTCCCAGTTACTCGGGAGGCTGAGGCAGGAGAATGGCATGAACCCGGGAAGCAGAGGTTGCAGTGAGCTGAGGTCGCACCACTGCACTCCAGCCTGGGCGACAAAGCGAGACTCTGTCTCAAAAAAAAAAAAAAAAAGCGCTCTCCCACCAGCAGTTAAACTGTGATGCTATGAGTATGTGTTGATATTTTGCTGTTTTGAGGATTTGGGCATAGAGCACGATCCTTTTCTTACCTTAGATGAGTGACCGAGGAGGTGGCGTTCCTTTGAGGAAAATTGACAGACTTTTCAACTACATGTATTCAACTGCACCAAGACCTCGTGTTGAGACCTCCCGCGCAGTGCCTCTGGTATGTTATCAAGAAATAATGAAGTGTGTTTCTGTGAATTGCCTTCCACATGCTGTAGCTGCCAAATAAGTAAGTTAAGCCGTCATGTAGGGTACTCCACAAGGAAGAAAGAAGCTCTTAGAAATGCACACTTTCCCCTAAATTTAAACAGCCTTCAGAATACTTTTTTTTTTTTCCAACTGAAATGGGCACGAGACAGAGATTTGGAGTTCTTGTTACAAAGTTTGATCGTGATATAGCAGTAGTTTTCCTGTGTAAAACCACATTTTGAAATATGGTTAACCACATTATTTCTAATGTGGGGAATAAATTACTGGTTTTAGTAGTGTTTGGTCAACACTGAATTACTTTTTAGTGTTGACTTTTTTCTCAAGTACTTGTCATTAGAATGATCTCATATCCTAGACTGAAAAATAAGACTAAAATTCTAATCTGTTCAATCACCAACCTGAAGGCTTAAATTATAATTGCTTTGATGGTGTTTTGTTAATCTTAGTTCCACCTATTTTCAGGTTTAATAGGATCAACTTTTGAATTGACTCCATCCTTATCTTTATGTTCTAACTCCCCCACAAAAAGTATGTTGCCAAAATTTTGTCTGTAATTCTAGAAGAACTCTATTCTTCTAGGCTTGGAAACTTCTCTGACATTTCCAGTAGAGTTATGCTGTAACATGATGGGGGTATAGTACAAGATAGATCTATTTTAGACCCCTTCCTAGGAAGTTACTAGGACTTTATTCTGATAGTTTTGTGTCCGGAATTGGTGGGTTTTTGGTCTTGCTGACTTCAAGAATGAAGCTGCGGACCCTCGCAGTGTTACAGTTCTTAAAGATGGTGTATCCAGAGTTACTTCAGATGTTCAGATGTGTCTGGAGTTTCTTCCTCCCGGTGAGTTCCTGGTTTTGCTGGCTTCAGGAGTGAAGCTGCAGACCTTCACGGAGAGTGTTACAGCTCATAAAGGCAGGGCGTCTGGAGTTGTTTGTTCCTCTCAGTGGGTTCGTGGTCTTGCTGGCTTCAGGAGTGAAGCTGCAGACCTTTGTGGTGAGTGTTGCAGCTCATAAAGGTGGCACGTCCAGAGTTGTTTGTTCTTCTGGGTGGGTTCGTGGTCTCGGTGGCTTCAGGAGTGAAGCTGCAGACCTTCGCGGTGAGTGTTACAGCTCATAAAGGTAGTGTGGACCCAAAGAGTGAGCAGCAGCAAGATTTATTGTGAAGAGCAAAAGAACAAAGCTTCTACAGCCTGGAAGGGTACCAGAGTGGCTTGCCGCTGCTGGCTGTGGGGGCCTGCTTTTATTCACTTATCTGGCCCCACCCACATCCTGCTGATTGGTCTATTTTATAGAGAGCTGATTGGTCCATTTTACAGAGAGCTGATTGGTGTGTTTTTACAGAGTGCTGATTGGTGTGTTTACAAACCTTTAGCTAGCTAGACACAGAGTGCTGATTGGTGCATTTACAATCCTTTAGCTAGATACAAAAGTTCTCCAAGTCCCCACCCGATTAGCTAGACGAAGAGCGCCAATTGGTGCATTTACAATCCTTTAGCTAGACACAGAGTGCTGATTGGTATGTTTACGATCCTTTAGCTAGACAGAAAAGTTCTCCAAGTCCCCACCCGACCCAGAAGCCCAGTCCAGCTGGTTTCACCTCTCAGTTTTGCCTGATGCATAGCACAAATGCTATGGCTGCAGCTGTACTATAGTTGAAATGCTTGCTCTAGTAATGTCCTTCTCCAATTCAGATACATGCCCTCCAGGAGTTGGCATCCATATGTCAAGGGGCAGACAGACAATGTCAAATGATAAACATGAGCATCTTTTTACAAGTCTAGTTTTATCCTAAAAAGTAGAGGGATAGAAGGGAGCTGCTGTTTTTGTAGTAAACGAATATTGTAGAATTTTTATGGAGAGCGGCATAGTGAGCTAGTCCAGACTCTGGATCTAAACTCTTTGGTTCTGTTTCTGATACTGCTGCATCTTAGATGTGCAGCCTTGGGAAAATTATTGACCTCTGGATGCCACAGATTCCCCACTTAGAAAAATGGAGTTATTGTGAGAATTAAGTGAGTTGATACATGTAAAAATGCTCTTTATGGTGCCTGGCTCATGGTAAATGCCATGTAAGTGTGTGTTATTTTAGGATGTAAAATGTATGTGAATTTTTAAGAAAATAGGAGGCTTGACCTGGAACAGGCTCCTCCATACATCTACATGCCCTTAACAAGGCTAAGACTGTTACTAATTTCTTGCAGAGCCTCCTTTCTGCTGACATCGCTTTGTAGATGGTCCCAGTCAGCAGGCAGTAGGGTAGCTGGAGAAAGGCCAGCTGATGCCCACAGGAGTGGCTTTCTTGTCTACCTGGTTACGGAGGGCTTCCTCCCTGTGGATACCTTCTTGTGGGTCTTTGCATGGATAGGCTATCTTCACACTGTAAGTCCGGAGAGGAACATCCACACATCTCTGTTCCAGACCTCCTTCTCATCCTTCACTCAGTTTTGTTCTTTCCAAGTCCTTAACAAGCCAGCCACTTGTTTTGCCACTGCCCATGCTGGAAGGGTTTACTTTCACTGCTGTCTTTCAGGCCTGCCCTCCAACCTTGAGAGGGATTGTAGTAGGAAAACGGCAGCTTACTTTCAGATGGTGATAGCACATGGGGTAGATCCACCAGTGGACTAGGCCCATGTTGTTTTTCTTCCCTGTTAACTGGTTATAGGGGAAGCCCTATGAGTCAGCCCATAAGTATGGTCAAGAGAGAGCACGTGGTAAAGTAGGTCAGGTATCATGGGAGCCTGAACCACCTGCTCATACAGTTTTCTTCGGGCCACTTCTAAGACCAGTTAATGTATCGCTCAGAGTCACAACAGGAAAGAGGTAGCTCACTCAAATTATGAAAGAAGGCCTTTTTACAAAGAAACTAATTACATAGGTGTAGGTAAAGATAGCACAGGAACCCAGGGCTAGCAGCAGCAAAGCTATCACCACCTTGGATCATGAGGGATGAGGAGAAGGCAAAGTTAGCAGAACCCAGAGGAAGGGAAAGCTGCAGAGTAGCTGCTTACTCTCCAGGGGCCCGGCCTGCCCAAGGCAACCTCAGGGAAGGAACCAGGGGAGTAAATACCCACCTTGACTTCCTCTGAACTCCTGCTGGGTTTTCCAAGACATGCTGTAAGCAGAGGGCATGGGAATCCAGTGACAATCCAGGTTAGCCTCCCAGGGCAGGGAGGTGTGAAATGGAATAGTTGATTTGTACGGGCAAACAGAGACTCTGGGTAGAAAAGTCAAGTTATAGTTGGTGGAGTTAGGTAAAGCTGGAGCCTGGGTTTGTGAATAGCACTCTGATTCTTGAGTCCATACAAGCTCATAGTTAGCATGCTATATGGAATGTCATCAAACATATGACTTGGTAATAAAAACCATTTTCCCATTTATCCAGATGTTTTGTTTTGTATTAAGGAATTGGTAGGATTTATCCAGATAAAGAGGCTATTCTGGATACTGGGACCAAAATGAACAGACACGGAATGATATGTTTAAGGAACTTAAGAGCAAGAGGTGTAGTTGTGCTGGACTGGAAAGTGGGAGGCAGAGACCTGATCTTACCAGGTCTAGAAAGCTCTTTTTAGAAGCTTAGGTTTTGATTTCTAAGACAGTGGGGTAGGGGTGGTGGGAGTGCTGGTATGTTTTGAAGATTTTTAAGTGGAAAAGTGACCCGTCAGTGAGAATTAAGAAAGTAGATCTATATTAGAGATATCTCCAGGCTCAGAATGTGGCTGGAAATTTATGATATTAAGTCATGAGATATATCTATTAGGCTGCAACAAGCCATTTTCTACTCTTGCTCCTAAAAGAGATAACACATTTTATATGATATTGCCAAGAGCAGTATTGAGATACCATATCCGGAATTGGTTTCTTCTGGTAGGTTCTTGGTCTTGCTGACTTTGAGAATGAAGCTGCGGACCCTCATGGTGAGTGTTACAGTTTTTAAAGATGGTGTGTCTGGAGTTTGTTCCTTCAGATGTTTAGATGTGTCCAGAGTTTCTTTCTTCGGTGGGTTTGTGGTCTTGCTTGACCTCAGGAGTGAAGCCACAGACCTTCGCAGTGAGTGTTACAGCTCTTAAAGGTGGCATGTCTGGAGTTGTTTGTTCCTCCTGGTGGGTTCATGGTCTCGCTGACTTCAGGAGTGAAGCTGCAGACCTTCGTGGTGAGTGTTACGGCTCATAAAGATAGTGCAGACCCAAAGAGTGAGCAGCAGTAAGATTTATTGTGAAGAGTGAAAGAACAAAGTTTCCGCAGTGTGGAAGGGGACCCGAGCGGGTTGCCACTGCTGGCTGGGGTGGCCAGCTTTTATTCCCTTATTTGGCCCCACCCATGTCCTGCTGATTGGTCCATTTTACAGAGTGCTGATTGGTGTGTTTACAAACCTTTAGCTAGACACAGAGTGCTGATTGGTGCATTTACAATCCTTTAGCTAGACAGAAAAGTTCTCCAAGTCCCCACCCGACCCAGAAGCCCAACTGGCTTCACCTCTCCATCCCCCCTCTAAACAGTATACCCCAACTGTTGTTGGGAATTGGGCGATGACCGCTGTAGCTACTTCTTGCTGGATAGGGGCAAAGAAGGGGCCCTGCAGTTGTAGTGTCCTCCAGAGGGGAACTCTTTAGGCCAGTGAAAGGGCCAGCGGGTCAGTCCAGGGGTCCTTGATAGAAGTTGTTAGTTGAGTTCATTTGGGATTCCATTTGTAAGACCATCTATAGCTTGATGGCCTTGATTCTAGAGGAAACAAATTTGACAAGGAGGTTAAAAATACAGGGTCCGAAGGTGAGTAATAGCAAGATGGCTGTCACAGGACCTAGAAAGGGGAGAAGCCATGTTGCCCAACTCCAGAGGTTGGTATAAGAGTTTGAAAGGTGTTGTCTGATTTCGGAAGACTTTTCCTGTAAACGCCGGGCGGCATCTCATACTATCCCTGACTGGTTAGTGTAAAAACAACATTCTTCTCCTAAGAAGGTGCAGAGTCCTCCATTCTCAGCAGTGAGGAGGTTTAGGCCTTGGCGGTTTTGGAGAGTCACTGCTGCCAAAGAGTCTATTTGGGATTGTAGAGTAAGGATAGATTTCGTTATTTCTTGCAAACTGTCTAAGAAATCCTTTGAGAGTGTTTGGTAGTAGGATAATGAAGTAGATAAACTGGCTGTTCCGGTTCCTGTAGCAGTGGCCATTTCTAACTCTGTAAGTAGGGGTATTAGTTGTATGGCCCTGCGCTGATGGACTTGAGCTTTGAGGGGCACTGATAGGGTCTGATTTCCATAAGATTAGAAGTTAAGATAATAAATGTTACACTGTTAACTTTTAGCAAACTTTACTTTTGTTGAAAACCTTGTAAGTTTGGAATTTCAATTATTCCTTGCTATTAATAAGACCTCGTTCAGTCCATATTAACTTAAAATTGGTATAGATGGCTCCTTCCTGATTCTGTAAGTACTTTAAGGTTTGGCTGAGTGCAAACAGCTCGCATATTTGAGCAGACCAATTATTAGGCAATTTTCCTAACTCTGCTTCTACAATAGTTTCCTTATTACTTACTGAGTACCCATTGTGTCTTTTTCCCTTAATCGCCTGGGAGGAAACATCTATTGTCCTGTCCTGAAGGGAGTTCCTCCTGTGTCTGGTCGGACCTTCAGATTTAGATCCCCTGTTAGGAAACCTGCTGGGTTAAGGATTTTTGATAGGAAAGCTACGGGTTGTCAGTGGTCTCAGTGCTTCCGGGCTATGCCCTTGTTTACACTGACAACAAGGTGGTATTGGAGTGTTATAGGGTTACAGAGAAGACCTTCAATTATCAGTTATAGGTTTTAAATTTACCCTGGCTTTTGAAGGAATAGGGTACACTGTTTTTTCTTTACTACTTCTATCTCTCTTTCTCTTTGACTTCTTTGCCTCTCTCTTTCTGACTCCTCTTTGTCTCTTCCTCTCTCTGACTTTTTGTGTCTCTCTTTCTCTCTCTCTCTGACTCCCTCTTTGTCCCTGTCTCTTCCTCTCTCTGTCTCTGACTTTGTCTCTTTCTTTCTTTCTCTCTGACTCCCTCTTTGTCTCTCTCTTCCTCTGTCTCTCTCTCTGACTTTCTGTCTCTTTCTCTCTTTCCTTTCTGCTGGTCTTTCCCTGCCTCTGCCAGCTGCTTATGCTGCTCTTCTCCCCTCTCCTGGAGAAGTCCGCAGACCAAGAACCCACTGGAAGGAACCAATTCCAGACACAATACGACCGAGCAGGCCAGCAAGGAAAAGCAATATGCTTTTTCGAGACCAACCACAAGTCATTTTATAGAAAGAATAAAGAGTTTTAAATGACCAGAGGGAAGTCAGCTGATACAGTACTCAAGTAAACCTCAGCTTAATCATTGTCAATGCTTAAATATTAATTATATTAAATATAATGCATCTCTCAGATGCGGGCTCTGATAGCCCCGTGGTACTCAATGGCATCTATCTTAATTAGAAAAGTATTTCAGTGTGTGTCTTTCTGAATAGAATTTTGTTTTTCTCATCAAACAGGCTGGTTTTGGTTATGGATTGCCCATATCACGTCTTTACGCACAATACTTCCAAGGAGACCTGAAGCTGTATTCCCTAGAGGGTTACGGGACAGATGCAGTTATCTACATTAAGGTAATAGCTGTAGTCTTCTTGATTTAATATTTCTTTTGATGATAAGAACAGATGTCCATACTTAACTGTAATGAAATTTAACTCTACCACATGCTGTTTAAATAGAAAAAAACTATGGTTTTTTGCTGGGGATCTCACCCATTTTGATAGATGATCCCCTAAAACTATGGGGAAAGAGATTTGTATCCTGGAGTGATTAGGACTCTGTCTATTAATAGGAAAAAAATTGGGTTAAAGTAGAGAATCATAAGTTATATATCATACAAGTTTAATTTTAACATAAAACACATGAATGGACATTGATAACGCCAAACTTTTGATGTACTGCCAAGGCTTTTTTTTTGTATATGGGTCTGCAGATTGGAGTGTCACATTGTCTTTTTTGCAAAAGCTGTACTGACAGTGCATCATTTTAGTTTCTTTAAACCAACAAGTGCATACTCTTTTTGGACTTTTATGCAGTCCTTTACAGATACCTCCTGACTGATTTGACAGCAAGTTTTATGTGACTTTCCTTCATGAGTCTTTCCAAAACATTCATCTTAGTTTTCAAGGAAACATTCCCCTTTTTATTCTTTGCTTATGTAATAAATTTTGTAATTATCATGACAGAATTGTACAAACAGATTTGGGAACAAGCACAAGTGACTCTTGGTAAGCATATAGCTTACCTAATGGACACAGAAGCACTTAGTCTGCTTGCCTGGAGTGTTCAATGCATTAAGGAGGGTTCCACACATTTTACATGGTGGAAAAACACTAGGTTCCATCATTCCCCTTCTTCGGCTAACTGGTGGCTGTTTATGCCTGATTTAGTGACTCTAGTTTCTTGTTCTGGCCACTAGATGGCATCTATTTTATAGGAAATGTTGAAGAATTTATATTGGAAAAAATATCTGAAAAGACTAAATTCTTTCTAGATGGTATTTTTTGTTTTTTTAACCATGTCAATTGCGAGGGAAAAGGGCAACATCAATGCAATGTTTTTCTTTTTTTTTTTTTTTTGAGACGGAGTCTTGCTCTGTGTCACGTAAGCTGGAGTGCAATGGCATGATCTCGGCTCACTGCAACCTCCGCCTCCCGGGTTCAAGCTGTTCTCCTGCCTCAGCCTTCCGAATAGCTGGGATTACAGGCGCCTGACTAATTTTGTATTTTTAGTAGAGATGGGGTTTGACCACGCTGGCTAGGCTGATCTCGAACTCCTGACCTCAGGTGATCCGCTTGCCTTGGCCTCCCAAAGTGCTGGGATTACAGGCATGAGCCACCACACCTGGCCTAGTGCAATGTTTTTATGACAAAATGTAACATTTTGATCTAGCCCAGGAGTGTCCAATCTTATGGCTTCCCTGGGCCACAGTGGAAGAACAGCTGTCTTGTGCCACACATAAAATACACTAATGATAGCTGATGAGCTTAAAAAAGATTGCACAAAAAAAAATCTCATAATGTTTTAAGAAAGTTTACAAATGTGTTGAGCTTCATTCAAAGCCATCCTGGGCCGCATGCAGCCTGTGGGCTGTGGATTGGACAAGCTTGATCTAGCCTGTAGATCAAGAAATTCTGGAATATTTAGAGAAATATGGAGGTGAAAGGTTTTTTGTTCTACCTTAGGGAAAATAGAAGATAAGAAGTCTTAGAGAATCATTAAAATTGTCAACATCAAAGACTTTAGCATTATCAGAATGAGATTTTCTTGTTCAGGGTGTTCTGCATCTTAGGAAATGCCTTTGGCCTGGGATGGAAATACTACTGAAAAATCCTAACTTGAAGAAGATAACTAGAAATGTAGTTTATCTCAGGTTCCAGTGACTTATAGGAAGCTGAAATACAATGGAGAATTACTGGTAATAATATATGGAAAACTGAAATCATGCATGATGCAGAAATCTTGTGCACAGTGACTGAAATTGGAGGCCGGAGAAGACACAGATTCAAACCCAGGGCCAATAAATGTTCACGAAAAAGCTAAGATGCCTTAGACATAGATTTCTATTTATTAATAATGTTATAATGAGTTTTTAAATTTTTATGTATTTATAGAGTCAATATCTTGCTTTGTTGCCAGGCCGGAGTGCAGTGGTACAATCATAATTCACTACAGCCTTGAACCCCTGGGCTTCAAGTGATCCTCCTCTCTCAGTCTCCCAAGTAGTTAGGACTACACCCATGTGCCACCATGTCCAGCTGATATTTTTATTTTTTGTAGAGACAGGATCTTGCTATGTTGCCCAGGCTGGTCTCCAACTCCTGAGCTCAAGCAATCTTCCTGTGTAAGCCTCCCAAAGCACTGGGATTATAGGCATAAGCCACCGTGCCTGGCTTGTGATGAGTTTTTTTTAAAGCACAGTGACTATGCTGAAAAAAACACTATTTCTTCTAGTAAATAATTAAAATAGAGTTCATTAAATTTATGTGCATCTATTAAGATACATATATCGATTTGTATGCTTTTACATTTAACCAACTTCTTCAGTTAGCCAACTCTGATCTGGGTCATGTTTTGTGTAAAATTTCAGTCCAGCAGCTTCCAGGATGGCTGGGGAATTACTGTAAGCAACAAACTCAGTCAACCTGCACATCAGTCAGTGCCATAGATTTCATAAATAACACGTTTCAAATATACATACCATTTAAAAGTATATTTAGGTGGTATAAGGATTAATAAGATACTAATAGAATATTATTTAATTTGTCGTAACCTTTTTGCCATTGTCTATTTTCTCAAATAATGAATTCTAAAAAATGCCAGACTTAATAGGTCTTAGGTTTTTCTTTTTCAGGCTCTGTCAACAGACTCAATAGAAAGACTCCCAGTGTATAACAAAGCTGCCTGGAAGCATTACAACACCAACCACGAGGCTGATGACTGGTGCGTCCCCAGCAGAGAACCCAAAGACATGACGACGTTCCGCAGTGCCTAGACACACTTGGGACATCGGAAAATCCAAATGTGGCTTTTGTATTAAATTTGGAAGGTATGGTGTTCAGAACTATATTATACCAAGTACTTTATTTATCGTTTTCACAAAACTATTTGAGTAGAATAAATGGAAACTGAATTCCATTTGTGCCCGTTAAACCTCCTAAAGGATGAAATTGCACCTATTTTACACTTATATTTTCACAGTTAATTGAACATATTTTTAAACAACTGTAGTTTTGGGCAACTTTTCACTTTGTGGTAGACTTCAGAAGTGTGGAAATCTTCGGGTTTCTATAGGAAACTAGTTTTTTTTTTTTAAGAAATACTTTCATTTATGTTTGCTAGAAACATTTTCTAAATGATAGTGATTAGCTGGTTAGCCATCTTCCTGTTATTTGGAGGAGTTCTGCCATCTTTTATTCGGTAGTGACAGCTGTAATATGGTCTTCATGTTTATCAGTGACTTGACTACAAGTAAAGCAGAAAACAGTTGGCCTGTAATCACAGAACCAGCCACCCTTCGGCGTCTACATGCATTGTCTTAGCTCTGAGGTTAATTTACCATTTTTAAATTTTATTGTAAAGAAGTGTAATGACTAGCTCTCTGTGGATCTATGCCAAAATCATGGGCCATCTTTTCTAAGTGTACTTCTGATTAATGCAAGGGGAAATTTTTATACTGAAAACAAACAAACAAACTAGCAGCTACTAAAATAGAGAAGAAATTGAGGGCAAAGTAATATGTCTCCAAAACTGAACTGATTGCTTGTTGAGATTACCTAGAAAGCTTTTGGAAAAAAATAGAGCTTTTCTGCATCCTACTCCAGATACACTGAATCGGAATCCCTAGGGCTAGAGCCTAGAAATCTCACTTTTTAAAATGCTTCCAAGGTAAGTCTGATGCCTACCCTAGGTTGGGAACCACTCTTTCAAAGTAAACAGTGATGACACAGCATTTGCTAAAGTAACATCTGTAGGTTTTGGTTTCCACCTATTTAAAGTCAGATTTATAGACTCGAGGAGACAGAAACTGAATCCCACACCTGGTGCAATTAGAAGCATAATTAGAAGCAGAAGAACAAAATGCCACGTAACCAAAGCATCAGAGCCATCATTGCACGTGTCTTTTTTTCTTTTTTCTTTTTTTTTTTTCAAGACAGGGTCTCGCTCTTTTGCCCAGGATGGAGTACAGTGGCATGGTCAAGGCTCACTGCAGCTTCAATCTTCTGGGCTCAAGTAATCCTTCCACCTCAGCCTCCCATATAGCTGGAACTACAGTTGTGCACTACCACACCCAGCTAATTTTTTGATTTCTTGTGGAGATGAGGTCTCAGTATGTTCCCAGGCTAGTGTTGAACTCCTGAGCTCAAGAAATCCTCCTGCCTGAGTCTCTGAAAGTGCTGGGATTACAGGCGTGAGCCACCACACATGGCCTATTGCACAAGTCTTGACAAACAACATATATTTTCTAAAACTATCCAGATTTCATTATCAGGGAAAAGTTTGCTTAGGTTTATTACAGCAGTCCTTGGCATTTGTATGGTAATTTGTACTTTACAAATACTTTGATATATTATAACTCTATTGGTCTTTGAAACAAAGCGATACAGTGTAGGTGGTATCATTCTCTTTCTCACTCAGTGTGGCCCAGAGTTGCTCAGAATTGGAGCAGAGCCTGAGACGTATCTGCAGATCCTGTCATCAGCTGGCAAGTCCAGGAGACTGTGTCATTTAGAGACTGTGTTGTTAGTTATCCCTCAACATCTTCTAAGGTGGCAGGAAATAATATTGGAAATAACATTTTAAAGTAAAAATTTTAAAGTTTAAAGAAGAGTTTTGCCACTTAAACAGGGGAGCTTTGTCTGGAAAATACACTGAGTTGAAACACTTCATCCTTGGAAGGATTATATAAGATGAACAGTTGTGATAAATGTGTAGATTAGAGGGATGTGAATGGGCAGTTAGTCCAGTGCCCTCATTTAAGAGGCCAAGATCCTGATTCAGAGGAGGCATCCTTTGCCCAGAGCTGCTTAGCTAATCTGACCAAATGTTGGGAAAAATGTCTCACCTAACCCACTATTCCTTAATTATGGATTTTGTGAAAAACAATAGAACATGTTAATGAGTAATTTATATTAGTTCGATGTATTACAATTTTTTAGCTTTAAATTACAGTTTTCTTATAATGTTGAAATGTTTTAGAATCCTTTGAATCTAAGTATTTGTTTCCTAAATGAAACATTTGTACAACATTTGATGTTTTTACTTATGAAATATTCTCCTCCCCCAAGAAAATTTAAACTTTTTCTCTCTATTTAAAAGCTAAGAAATGTTTTAAAGGAAAAATGAAATTATCTTCCTTTAGCTTATTTTTAAGGTAAAACAGCTTTTTACTCTGTTATTGTGGTAATGGACAGAATATTACATACAAAAATATTCTGGGAGAGCTTTTTCCTAGTTGGTTTTAAATCATTGTGCCACCTGAAAGGTTTTTAGATTTTATAGGAGCTAATTTGTCCACCAGCATTAATGTAACACAGTGTAGTTATGAAAATATATTGAAGGACAGGAAGTGGACACGAAGTGATTTTTGTAACCTGAGCAGTTAATGAATGTGCCAACATTTTCTAGGAAGGGACAGCAAGAATATTCTGCTCTGTAGTTAAAATACTGGCTGGCTTTTGATGTCTTCATGCTTAATTGTGATCACTTTCTTGCACTGTGATGTTTTTACGTGAATATGTTGAAGTAGAAGTCTACCATATTATTTTATAAAATGTTTTCTGTATGGCAATAAACTGAAAACATGGATCAACCCTTCTTTTGAAAATAAACTGAGTCAATTTAGCCTTTTAAAAATATAGTCATCTCTTTTAAATAGAATCCTCTTCCACCATCAAGGCTCAACATTTTGTAAGCATCCAAAAAATTGGTAATTAGGGGGCTTGCACTAAATTTCACTATCTTCAGTAGAGAGGAACTGTTTGGAACTTAGATTTCCAATGTGTATATTCTAATGGAGAAAGCAAGAGGTAGAGTTTGTATGTTTGACTTACCTTAGATTTTTATTTTCCATACATACTGCAAATGATTGACTTGTTGCATAAATGAAGATCTTCTGTTGTGTGCTTTTCAAACACTGTAAATAAATTTGAAATTTGAATAACTTTCCACAGTATAACTGTAAAAAAAAAAAAAAAAAGTCTTAATTTAACCAGCATTACCCTCTGCTTGTACCAATTGAATGGCAGAACTACTATAGTCAAAAATAAATTCCTATCCTATTTTTAATTGATGGGATATAGGCAGCACAATTTCCCTTCATTGTTGAAGCCAACAAGTTCCGTAACAGAACTCCAGAGGTAAATAGCTGGGAAAACTGTTAGTTTTAAGGTCCCACTGTTGCTCTGTGAATGACTAATCAGAGGAAGCCAAAAATCAGCCAACTAATTTCAGTTTATGTCTTTAATTGTGATGTAAGTGTGAAGTTTCTACATATGGGTAATCAGGGTTGAGTTAGGTAGTTTGCAAACATGACTTTTGCTGGAGGAACTTTTAATCATGTCTTATTAATTTCTGGTCCCAATAATTAATTTTCTTACAGTCAAACCCAATGCACTTGAAAAATAATATAATTAATACTGTGTGAAGAATTTTTTGCATGTTAAAAAAAGCAAACCACTAGTTTGCTTAGTTCTGGCATTCATAAACTACTGTACCTTCTGTTCTATTGACATGTTTGGAAAAAAGAATTGAACATATGTACCACCCCCCTCTTTCTAGAGTCTCCACAGTTCTTTAGCAATTGCTAACCATAGGTTTTTAATAGCAAAAGACAAGATTGTCAGTTTTTGGTGCAAAACTCTACTCTTTTTGGTTGACTTGGAAAAGCTGTTGTTTATATTGGGAATTGTGACAGCTGTCTTTTACTTTGTTAAATTAGCAATTATTTAGCAAAAATACAGAGTTTCACCCCAGTAAAATAAACTTCCACGTGAGAGTTGTGTTCATTCAAGGGTTATTTTTTGAGAGTGGAAGTACATTTCCTGCATTTGTCACAGATAATATCAGAAATTTTGTTGTTTTGATTAAAATGTTGCCATCTACTTATAAGTTAAAAATGCTGAGAAGGTTTTTTTTGGAAACAGTTTATGAGGCCAGGACATTTTTAAGTTTGACTCAAATATAAAAAGCCACAGTATTCTTGCCATGGTTTTGTACTTAGATGTCTCTCATTATGGAATTCAGAATGTGACAGTTATAGTACTACATGAAAATACTTAATATAGAGTTCTACAGTTACAGTATTGCATGAAAATACAGTATGGTATGAAATTATTTGTCCAAAACTGTACTCCAGAAATGGAGCCCATATGATTATATAACTATAAAATAGGATGGGACAGAGAAAAATATGTCTGTATTACAGCATAAACATATCTGGTTTAATATGAACTATTTCTTTTCATCTCTTTACTCTCAGTATCTCCATAATGGCCAGTATGTAGTAGGCACCTGTAATTGTGAAGCAGCCTCATTGTCTGGGGTAAATACCAAGGTTCTTGGTCTCATGGCCAAGGAGATCGAGGTCGCAGACACACACAGTTTGGAGCAGGAGTTTAATAGGCAAAAGGAAACAGCTCTGTTACAGAGAGGGGTTCCGAGCAGGTTGCCAAGTTGTAGTAAAAATGTCAGGGTTTTTATAAATGGGCTAGTGAGGAGGGGGCTCATGAGGAGGGGATATCTTATCCTCCTAGGGTCCGAGGACGCTTTAGTTGGGACCAGGTGTGCTATCTGTACAGAGCATAGCTTTTTATCAGCTCTTATCCCATTCCTTGACCACATAGGCTCTTAGACTCTTATTCTATGTTGTCTTCGTCCAGCTTATCTGGAAGGGAGAGTTTCTCTGTCTGTTCCCATACATCTTGCAGCTGCAGGCATCCCCCCGGTCTGCTTTTAGCTTCCTTATCTTAGTGCCCCTAAAGGGAAAGGAATGTGCTTATTAAGGGCCACTGTTTTACTGGGGTTAACTGCATGAGGTCAAAAAGAGCTATATTTGAGCTGCTGTTTGTTAAAAGAAAAGTTTTCTGCCGGGGACTCGCTTTACCCTGTCTACCTAAATTCTTTCTGCCTTCTATAACAATTGTATGCTCAGTAAATACATAAGGAATAATGAACTTAATAACATTTTTTTCCATTCTCAAAATGATACTTAAATGACTCAGTACAACAAAGAAACTGAGTAGTAACCAGTGCAAAACTAGCAAAAGGATGAAATACACAAGAAAATGAGAGAATTTAAGAGGAGTAGCAAAACAGCACTGCTAAAGTTACGGGTTTATTTTAAAGTTTAAAATAGAAGTAAACAAGCAAACATACTGATAATGGTTAGGCTTTCTGTCCCCACCGCACAAATCTCATCTTGAATTATAATCTCAACATGTTAAGGGAGAGACCAGATGAAAGTAATTGGATCATGGGGTTGGTTTCTCCCATGCTGTTCTCGTGATAGTTCCCATGAGATCTGATGGTTTTATAAGTATTTGGTAGTTCCTCCTGCATTCATTCTTCCTGCTGCCCTGTGAAGAGGTGCCTTCCACCATGATTGTGAGTTTCTGGAGGCTTCTGCAGCCTTGCGGAACTGTGAGTCAATCCTTTTTATTATAAATTACCCCGTCTCAGGCAGTTCTTTATAGCAGTGTGGGGATGGACTAATACTCGCTGGGTTAGCTGGGGTAGGTAAAGCCACAGCTGTGGCAGCAACCAGCTAGTGGGTGTCCCTTGATGGAGGCTTTGCAGGCTGCAGCAGAAGGGACCCTTCAGATAAACCTCCAGTCAGGAAAGGAAAAGGCCCAAATAAACAGTATTTAGATTTTTTTTTAAAGGACATAACTACCAATAGAGATTTAAAATAATCATAAGAATACCATTAACTTTATGATAAAAATTTTGTAAGTGGAGAAGAAATGGATATATTTCTAGGAAAACAGTAGAAGATCCATCTAAGATTTTGACAATTTAAATCAACCACTAAGGAAGTGGAATCAGTAATCACAAGTCCACCTCGCCAAAAGACAATTTTTGAAAGATGAATGTTACCAAAACATCAAGAAACTGATAATTCCTGTCTTATAGAAACTTTGAAATGAGAGAAAGCTACCCAACCCATTTCAGAAAGTTAGTAAAATCTCAAAGCTACACTTGAGCAAAGACTGTGAAATATTAATAGACCAATCTTGTTTATGAACATAGATGGAAAAATTGCTGATGAAATATTGGCACATTGAATGTAGCAGTGCATAAAATATTGTATCATGAGCAAAAGGAGAATCTTTCCCAGGAACAGGAGGATGTTTTAATAAAAATATGTAATTTACCTCTCTACAGATTAAAGGAGAAAAACTATATGATCACATCAACAGAAACAGGAAATTCAGTTTCTTTGGGGGATAGTTGTAATTAAAAGTGCTTAACTCACTTATATAAGCCATTAGTGGATGTTACAATAAACCTCGTATAGTGTCAGATGTAAGACAGACATACTGGAATTGTCTATGAGGTTGGATCCATGGGCCTGCCATGGAAAATTTGTTGAGTAATACGTCCAAGGCGTCACCATTTGCCAGGCGTTGCAAGTATCACCATTTGCAAGGTGTTAACAAAAAGTTACCTGCCTATGGATTCTCCTTTCTAACTCTGACCTAATATTTTGGAGCATAGAGGAAAGAAACATCTTATGTTTCTGTGTTTGGGTAAACATTAGACTTATAAAAGGGCCTAGGGTTTTTTTGTTTGGTAAACCATTGCCTTTCCTGCTTTGGTGTGGCAAATCTTCCTTTGGAGAAAAAGGTCCCTTTAATCTTAAAACCAACTCTCAGTGACCAACAAAAGCAACAAATAGGAACAACCACCCATTAAGAACCATCAGGTGATGCCTCATTTGCTGTGGTGCACAGCTGAACTTGATTGTTACTCTTGGATCAGGGTTGGCTTGATAAGGACTCACTTAACCAATGGAAAGTAAGGTTAAATCTTTGTAAGCAATGCTCCTGATGCGAATCACCTGGAGATCTTGAGCAAATGCAGACTGGTTCAGCAGATCTGGAGTGGGGCCTGAGATTCTGCATTTCTAACAAGTTTCCTGGTGATATTAATGCTGCTGGTCTGTGAGCCATACTTTGAGTAGCAAAGGACTAAAGGTTGTGAGATAAACTGCTTTTAGCAGCCCAAAGGGCCAGCTGGAAAGACGAGACCAGTTACAGAGCAAATGGCAAGACAGATCTGGTAATCTGATTCTTAGAGTACTTAAAAAAGATAAGAAGGATCTATTCCTGATATACAGGGTACTTGGTGGATGTGTCCATGACCTCGAGATCGAAAACCCATTAGTTAATCTTTGTGACATCTGAATTTTAAGGATCTTACCCAGTGAACATATAACTAGTGGAAATCCTGATAATTGGCTAATGCAAGGAAGTGATACCCATGTGTAATGCTTATCTTTGTATCCATTTCATGGGGAAGGTCATGGAAGACGACAGCAAACTTGAGTGGTTAATGAGAGCTTCACTAATGTTGTCTGCTGCAGGCAATAAGTGAAGTCTCTGGCAGTGGGAAGCATGGACCCAAGACCGAAAGCTCTGGCACTTTATAGCAGTGGTGGGGGGTAGATAGGACTTAGTGTGGCCCCTTAAAGAGCAAGGTCCAAGTGATTTTCTCTGGTGAATGTCGATGTGGATCTAGTCTCCAGGGTTAGATCCAGGCAGGTAACATCAAAGTCAGTTGATAAGACCTCTTATGCCTGTGAATGGAAGGCCCTGATAAAACTTCATTATTAATGTTCTGCATTAATTTAGCGGATGACTATAGTCATTTCACATAATCTAATACATGAATGTCCTGTATGGGTGACTGCTGAGGGTTTAACAAAGGAGAGTCCATTTATATTTGGCTGGTAAGATCGATGCTTCTGTCACTACTGATGGGCAAGGATATTAACATCAATATCTAAAAAAATTCTGAGATTTGGATTGTGATGTGTTAAATTTCTAGACCAATTTGAGGAGAATTTAACAATAGCTTTTCAATTTATGAACATGGCGTATATCTTTTTTGGCGGGGGGTGAGGACAGAGTCTTGCTCTGAGATTACCCAGGCTGGAGTTTAGTAGCATGATCTTGGCTCACTGCAACCTCTGCCTCCTGAGTTGAAGCAATTCTCCTGCCTCAGCCTCCCCAGTAGCTGGGATTACAGGCGAGCGCCATCATGCCTGACTAATTTTCGTATTTTTAGCAGAGACAGGGTGTCGCCACCTCAAGGGATCCACCTGCCTTGGCCTCCCAAAGTGCTGGGATTTATAAGCGTGAGTCACCGTACCTGGCCAGACATAGCATATATCTTCCTTTACATAGATTGCCTTTGATTTCTTTCATTGTTACTTTGTAGTTTTCAGCTTACAGATTCCGCGCATATTTTGTTAGACTTAAATCTAAGTATTTGCTTTTTTTTTAACTTACAAATTTTTTTAAAAAAACGTTTTTCCTCTCCAATGTTCATTGCTAATACATTTCACGTTTGAATCTCCAGTTCAGAAAAATCATGGCCTCTGGAGTTTTACTGAGGACTAGAGATAGCTAAGTAACATAGTTCCACCTTATTCACTTGGTCTTTGATGTGGTGTCCATAATTGAGTAAATGGCAGTATGTCCAATGGCAACACCATGAACTTGACTTTGCCCTCTTGTCTAGCCCTCTCCATTTAGACTTGGAAGGGTCAGCAGTAAAATTTCACTGGCCCAGTCCAGGGCTGCTTGAGTGTTACTGTTTTGTGCCACAATATGATGTGGCCAGACTACTTTTCTAGTTTCGAGATTATTTTGGAGCTTTATATTGGGTATGTTCTTATCCAACTATCATTAGGGGCATTGATCTCTGATGCCCTTTTCTTTCTTATCTTCCAAATGGCAGGCAGTAAATGGCTTATTAAGCAAGTATAAGATTCAAGATCTCAGCCCCAAAGATACATTTGTAGATGCCAGGCTTAACATTCCTGAGGCTCTCAGAGAAAACTTTTCCCTCTATAGACTCCCCATTTTAAGAAGGAGGCACAGGGCTTGGTTGGCCCATTTAGTTAGTGACACACCTATATTACTCTCCTTGGCATCTTACCCCAGCCCATCCATTGGGTTGTGTCAGTCTTTTATTTCTAAGTGAGGATCCAGTCAACAGGAGGCACAAGAGATAGAACCAAATACCATAATGCCTCCTTCTATTCCACTATGAACAGTCAAGGACACTGGAGGCCTCTGGGTGGGACACATAGGCGTTCAAGAGCCTCTGAGCTTAAAGATATGTGAGTGGAGCTAACTAGACTGTCCAGGTTTGGTCTACACTGTAATTTTTTTTTTTTTTTTTTTTTTTTGGAAGCAGAGTCTTGCTCTTTTGCCCAGGCCAGAGTGTAGTGGTGTGATCTCAGCTCAGTGCAGCGTCTGCTTCCTGGGTTCAAGTGATTCTCCTGCCTCAGCCTCCAAGTAGCTGGGACTACAGGTGCCTGCCACCATGCCCAGCTAATTTTTGTATTTTTAGTAGAGACGGGGTTTCACCGTGTTGGCCAGGCTGGTCTCGAACTCCTGAGCTCAAGTGATCCTCCTGCCTTGGCCTCCCAAAGTGTTGGGATAGCAGGCATGAACCACCGTGCTCAGCCTCTCTGTAAATCTTGAGTCGGCACTGAGCTCATGAAAGCTGTGCTGAGTGGGTTTCTTTAGATTTTCATTTTCATGTTTGCCCCATTTATGCTAATATTAATTATTGGAAAATAATTCACCTACTTTGCTTCTCTCTGACCAACATAGGGGCAGGATCTGTGGAAAGACATTTACCACCTGTTTGAAAAGGTCAGCGTGCTGATATTCACTAACTACTACCCCCACAACTCCCCCTCCCCCAAACCTGATAGATGCTATAATTTCTGCAGTCCAATCACTATTCTTCCCAAACTCCATGAGCCAGATTTTATACATACTTTGCGTGACCATAAAACTCTGTACTATTATAGACATAAAACCATTTAATTTCATAGATACCTTCAGTGGTGGCATCACTGGGTCCTCTCTTGGATAGCATAGTCCTATGACCAAATGGGTCAGTCGTTGATCAGGCTTCATGAGAATATGATCGCTGGGAGAAATATACAGCTAATTTAACAACAAATGACTGTCCTAATTCTGGAGACCTGGGAAGTATTGATGAGAGTATAGTGATCATAAGCAGACATTGGGTGCTTTAGCAAAGCCAATTTGCCTGCATCCTCTGGAAGGTAAAGAAGATCTCCTCTCTCTTAGAACTTAATCAAACTCTTGGCATCCACAGAAGGCTAGGAGGATGTAATGAATACTTACCATTTTTGTGGAAGCCCACAACCTTTTGAATGGCCTTTCTATACTTTAGTGAACCTCCATGTTATGAACCTTACTTCCTCAAGTCTCTTTTGCTGCTAGGAGGCAGACAGTAACTTCGGTAATTAGAAACATCTGCACTCAGCAACATGAAGCACAAGTTCTGTGCAGTTGTCCATATGCTGTCATGAGTTTTGCCATATGTATCATCTGGCTTTCAGAGGACCTTTCATGGTTGTCAGGTTAAGTTCCTGATACAGAAGTGGCATCAGTGCTGGTGTTAATGGCTGCAGTAAAGTCAAATTCCTAGATTTTAGTGCTCTGTGGTAGCAGAGAGAATGGTGGTAGTTTATTTTTTCTTTCCTTTTTTTTTTAAAAAAAAAAAAAAACCTTTTTCATGTTGAAGTTCACATGACCTACAACTAACCATTTTAAAGTGTAATTCAGTGTCATTCAGTACATCCACAATGTGCAATCACCACCTCTGTCTAGTTCCAAAACATTTTTATCACCCTAAAAGGAAACCTTGCACCCATTAAACAGTGGTAGTTTCTCTATCATGCCACTTTTGTAGCATGCTTTGGGGTCTTATTCCTGGGATCTTTCTCTACAGTGGTATGATTATATAAGGGTGGAAATATAAAAGAGTAAGCCTTTAGAAACAGTTTGTGTCTAAATTAGCTCTCAGGCATATTGTCTTCAAAGGAATGTTTTAAACCAGCCAAAGACTAACATCAACATGCTTACATTTTGAGTCCAAAATTAAAATCCAAAATAGCCAAGCATGGTGGCTCACGCCTATAATCCCAACTACTCCAGAGGCTGAGGTGTGATAGAATTTCTTGAACCTAGGCGTTCCAGGCTGCAGTGAGCTATGATTGTGCTGCTGCACTCCAGCCTGGGTGACAGAGCGAGGTTGCTTCTAAAACAAAAATTTGAAATAGTAAGTGCTTTGATTTTTTTTAATATAGAATCAAACAATTGTGAAAATATAATTGGCTAAGTTTCATATACAGTTCTTTCTAAAACTCCTTCTGTTCTCTAAGATGTAGTTTGAACCAGCCAAGGATGATGGCTTCAACATGTCTCCAGTTGTTTTGCCACTCCAGGGCCTGACTCAAACCAAAATAAGACTTGCTGTTACCCTGAGACAAGCCAACTGTCATTGCTTTAGCAACCACTACGGCTACAGGTTGTTGCATCATGCCAAGCTCTGTGTTCTTTCTAACTAGTAGAATGGAGTGGGATGGTATCGTGATGGTGAACCCAAAACAATGGTACTAGGAAGGAGGTTGGCCAAACTCAGAGTGGAGGCTGACCCTGTATCTGGTTGTAGCAGAGTCGGTCCTAGGGGAACAGGCTCAGCAGCAGCAAGGATGCAAGGACCAGAAGGCAGCAGGGGAAGGAAAAGGAGCAGGGGATAGGGGAACTTTAGGAGCAGAGTAGTGTTGATAACTGGCATCTGGAACCTACAGTTTCCAGTTCAGAGCAGTACACCATACTCAGTGTATACTTACACTCCAAGACATTTCCTGGGCAGTGATCTAGAAATGATATTTTTAAAAGGAGCTGTGTTTCAGTGTTAGACTGTAGTTATCCAAGCAGTATCAGATAGTGTGCAGTTTTTGTAGTAAAAGGTAAAAATCTGAATAATAAAGTTTATTAATAACAGTTTTAGTTAATACTTGACTGACATTGAGACCCTTGATGCAAAAAGGTAAGTAGAAGAGAAGGCTGTAAACACAAGACCATCATACCCTGTGGGGAATTTACAATCTAAATATAACAAACATATAGAGTGAGATAGGAGAAAAGAAATGGGATGATAATGATATTGCTGTACTAAAGTCTATTTAGGAAATGGAAATATATAGCAAGAGGAGTCAGCTACTTGGGCATTGATCAAAGAAAAATAAACATATAGAAGGAAAGAAAGGTCGTTTTAGTTTATAACATTTTCCTTCCGATTCTAGGTGATTATATAGCTAGTTTACTCTTCCACCCCCAAGATTCTGGGGTATTTTGGCTAATGTTATTTGCAATGTCCATAAACTCAGAAGAAGTTAGTATTAACGGGGATATGAAAGAACCTCCAGTTACTATGCAAGAAATTTTAAATTTCCATCATGTTAAATTGTACAACTGTTTATCATTCACTCTGCTGTAAGTCTATGTGAAACCAAATCCGTGGATTTACCAATGGCCATTTTATCACCTCCAAACTATCTTTTATTTTTTTGAATTGTATCTCTCTCCTTATTCCATTTTCTTCTGTTTGATTAAAATCCTGCATGTTCTCCTGCATCATATGTCACTCATTTTTGTGTGAGCCACCTAGACCCTCTGAGAAAAAATTCAAAGCTACCCACTGTATGATTGTTCATTCACTGAACATGTATTTTTTGAGTGCCTACTGCATACTAAGCATTATGAAAGGCACTGAAATGGAAAAGACTAAGACATCCACCATCCACAGATGGGCTTTTGTAGGTCCTGGAATTGAATTTGTCTTGTCTTTCCCCTGTCATTTAACAGCCACTCAGGACGTTGGTAATTGGATATTTTCATAAACCACATTAAATTGTATAATTCTGAATTTCTATAATGGAAAATCATTATAAAGTCCCAAATCAATGAAGATAAACTTACTACATTATGCAAAATTAAAAATATGCTTGACTTAGAAGCTTTATTTTCTAAGGAGACAGTTAATAATGGACACTTTTGAAATAGCACCCTAAATGCACTTTTAGTTTCCAATCAGCAGATAGCAGCACTTGATTCCAATTCAAAGAGAAAGTTAGGATGGTGTTCTGTGTGAATGCTATCTACGACAAGGACACTCAACTTCCAGAAAATGATTGTTAAGTGGAAATTGGGCACATTCTAATTGGAGATTGTCTGGTTTGTCTTAGAAAGGGGAGCGCTGCTGTACATTGGTCAGGTACATTTAATTAAGGTAAAAAGACAGCTTTTCCTCCTCATCAGTGTAAACAACTGGACTTCTTCCTGTTAAGTATCATATTAAACACAATCTGAAATTTTACTTACTATAAAGAAAATAAGATTTTATGCTTTTTTGATTAACTTTTCTCAGGTGCATTCTAAGTGAAGTGAATTTGATTTATTGCAATCGGAGTATTACTGCTGCAGGCACAAAGCTATCCACTGCACTCAATAAAATAAAGATCACATAGAAGAATTTATTAGAGTCCAAACAACCCAAAGAAGTGGAAGGAAATGCTCTGAGGAAGGAAATGCGGACACTAGTTTCTAAAACGGACATGCGTGTTTCCTTAAGTGTACATCATCATTAGAACGCATGATTATCCTGCTGTTTGTACTTGCAGTATTGTCCCAAAAGTAAACTCAATTATCCATCTGGCAAATGCAGTAGATGGGCCCTATGCTAAACCTGTAATTGTTGACAACTACAGAAAAAGCACTCACTACTTTTTTTGTTTTGTTTTGTTTTTTTTGAGATGGAGTCTCTGTTACCAGGCTGGAGTGCAGTGGTGTGATCTCAGCTCACTGCAACCTCCGCCTCCTAGGTTCAAATGATTCTCGTGCCTCAGCCTCCCGAGTAGCTGGGACTACAAGTGCCTGCCACCACACCTGGCTAATTTTTGTATTTTTAGTAGAGACAGGGTTTCACCATGTTGGTCTGGCTGGTCTCAAACTCGTGACCTCAAGTGATCTGCCTGCCTCAGCCTCCCAAGGTGCTGGGATTACAGGCGTGAGCCTCTGCACCAAGCCAGCATTCACTTTTAATCTGTAATATTCTAGCTGAATTATGTCTTGTCATCTAGTATATCCTTTGCTGTGAATTCTATAATATAGGATTTCAGGTTTATGTCCACTCAACAGTGGCTTTTCTTGGTTTATCTTCTCCAAAATGTATCTACTGCATGAATCATCCCTCTTGTTCTACAGTCACTATTTGAAAAATAGGTATCCAGTATGTTTAGGCACTGCCTGCCCCTACGATGCCTCTCAGAGCTCTGAGCATGGGCACACCGGATCTCTTTGCAGGGCCAGCACCAGCCACCATGGTGGGGGGGCTCCTCCCTGTGCCTAGGTTTTTGAAACACCGCATCTTTTCTTTTGTTCTCCAGTCCTGGGTGGGACTGAAAAATTATTTTCCTGTAGTTATTAATCTTTGGGTTACCTCACAATTACCTTTTGGTTTTTCAGTTTTGTATTATCAGTGTAATCAATTTCCTACATCAAATTATCTCTATTTAATTTTTTTCTTTTTTCTTTAAGATGGAATCTCACTCTCTTGCACAGGCTGGAGTGCAGTGGTGCAGTCTCAGCTCACTGCAACCTCTGCCTCCCAGGTTCAAGCGATTCTCCTGCCTCAGCCTCCCAAGTAGCTGAGATTACAGGCGCCTGTCATCATGCCCGGCTAATTTTTGTATTTTCAGTACAGATGGGGTTTCACCATGTTGGCCAGGCTGGTCTCAAACTCCTGACCTCAGGTGATCCACCCTCCTCGGCCTCCCATAGTGGCTGGGATTACAGGCGTGAGCCACTGCACCCAGCCTCTATTTAAAATTCTTTATTTCTGTTTTCCTAATTTGATTAATACAGCTGTAAAAATAGCAAACGTGTATCTAAAGTGTTATTTCAGTGGCAAAGGAATGTTTTTATTTTGTCGAATTTATATGTGATTTTTAAGTGAAATATTTGTGTGGATCTTGGGGTTTTGGTAGCGTATAAAGCCAATAAAATCAGAGACTTAGGGCTTCAGAAGGGAAAAAATCCTCAACATCACATTCAGCAATGGTTTAGATTCATGAACAAGTTGATAGTCAAATCCTGAGTATAAAATACTTTGCATTCTATCAACTTCTCAAATTACTAGTAAGAACTTCATATTTTGTGTGATTCTCTCATTGACTGTTTTCATCTTTTCCTTAAATAAAACCAGGAGCAAAAACCTCAAAAGTACCAGAAATCAACCAGGATGAAATAATGTGCATAGTCCTTTAACCACTAAATAAATTGAATTTGTAATTTTAAAACTTCAAAAAAGGAATCTCCAGACCCACTAGGTGTCACTGAAGAATTCTATCAAACATTTAAAAAAAATTACCAGTTTCATACATTAAGTATGTAAAAAAAAATTAATGTTGGTTTTACACAGTCTTTTCCGGAAAATAGAACAGGAGGGAAACACTTCCCAACTCATAAGACTAGTTTTACCGTGATGCCAAAACCAAACACAATACAAAAAAGAAAACTACAGATTAATCTTTCTCATGAACTTAGAGGCAAAACTCCCGCCAAAATGTTAAATCCAATAATGTATAACAAGAAGTACGTGTCATGACCAAATGTGATTTATCCCATCTAAGTAAGGATGGTTCAAGATTCAAAAATCAATTAGTGTAATCATAGAAACAGGCTGAAGAAGAGAAATCATATGATAATATCAATTGACATAGAAGAAGCATTTGACAAAATTCACATCTATTCAAAATAGCTAGTGGTCCCCACGTTGGGATCTGATAGTGCTGACTGCCCTCAGGCACCTTTTCCCATCTTTGATACTCCCTGATGTAAGAATAATACTTTTTCATATCTCACCTTGTAAATCAGTGAGTCAGAATTCAAAAGAAATACATGGCTAGAAATGGAATAAATCAAACACATATTTGCCATATCATAATTATCAAAGCCACAATTTTAAAAGTTGTTTTCTCACAGAGAAGAGTATTTCTCTAAATGTATAATGCAGTTGGAAAATTCATAATTACTCCTATGGTACGCACTTTATTGGCCTAAGCTAGTAAAGACCATTTCTCTTCCGAAGATCCACCGTTATACATTAACATTTGAATGAATATTTTCATTATACAGCCAAGATAGCAATTCCCAGATCCAACGCTAATGCACTTCCTGGCTAAAGCTGAAACTCTTAAGAGCAATTAACTAATTCCTGAGTTAATATTGTTTAGACATAAGCCTCTAGAACTAAGTGAGCTAATGTATGTACAATGCTTAGCACATTTCCTGCATATAATACTGAATATATGTTAGTAATTAGTATCACTGTCATAAACTAACAATGTCAAGAGGTTTTTTACATTGATTAGAAGGTTTGTTTTTTTTTTAAACATTTTCAAGCTAAGCATAAATTTCTCAAACACATGGTCGAAGGTGATAGGAACACTGTGTTCTCTTAAGTCCAGTCACCACTCTATCCAAAATTCAATTTTAAAATGTACTAATAGTTTTTCTGTGTATTTAGCCAAATACATGCTGTACATGCATGTCAGTGAAAGAAAATGCTACCAGTAGTGTTTTTTTTTTGAGACGGAGTTTCACTGTTAATTGTCCAGGCTGGAGTGCAATGGCGTGATCTCAGCCCACTGCAACCTCTGCCTCCTGGGTTCAAGCATTTCTCCTTCCTCTAGTAGCTGGGATTACAGAGGCATGCCACCACACCTGGCTAATTTTTGTATTTTTAGTGGAGACGGGGTTTCACCATGTTGGCCAGGCTGGTCTTGAACTCATGACCTCAGGTGATCCGCCCACCTCGGCCTCCCAAAGTGCTGGGATTACGGGCATGAGCCACCGCACCCGGCCCAGCTAGTGTTTTAATTAAAGCCTTTGCTACAGAAAAGTTGTGTCATTTGGGTACTCTGGGAAGCAGATGCTGAGACAGGAATGTAAAAGGTTTATTGGAGGGTAACGAAACAATTTAGAAATGAATTGTGGAGGAAGCAGTACTGGGCATAGAGAACCTCAGACCATGATGCAGAACTGAGTCTTGACTAACAGGAGGAGCTCAGGAGCGAAGACTGCCCATGAGGACACCCACTCAGGGCAGAAATGGCTGGTACCCTGGCCCTGCTCAGTCATTGGCAGGGACTTCCCTAGGGGTGTGGCCTTGCGTTGAAAGCTGAAGCACACAGCCTGAAGGAACTGACAGATGGAGCTTATCAGCTAATTTGCATTCTTTACAGCTAAACTGTACATTCTTTCTTGAGGGGAAATTGAGCAGTACGCTCCATGACTTTAGAAGAAATGCTGGAGAAGACAAATAGTAAAATCCTTATCCTTATTTGACCTTTTTTGCTGCTAATTCCTTTTTTTTTTAAGAGATGGAGTCTCACTGTCACCCAGGCTGGAGTGCAGTGGCACAGTGATGGCTCACTGCAGCGTCAAACACCAGAGCTCAAATAATCCTCCCACCTCAGCCTCCTGAGTATCTGAGATTACAGGTGTACCACCATGCCCACCTTTGACTTTTTAACTTATTCCCTATCAGATAGTCTCCTATCTGGACTATCTGAAGGGTGGTTTTAAAAACATATTTCTGTGGAATACCTACCCACTTAAAAATGTGTAATAATGATGCCAGCAGGGAAGTGTGGCTGGGGCTGCATATTCCATGGAGCCAGGGGGAGCCCTTCTCCTTCTGAGTTGGGACAGGAACTCCCAGTGCTGCTGCAGCCACCCAAACCGCAGCTGTAGACCCTCCTGCTCTACGGAGCAGGCAGGAGCCCCGCCCTCCTGGGCTCCTCAAACTGCAGCTGTGGATCCAAGCTTCCCTGTGTTTTTGAGGGAGCCAGGAACAGGCAGGATCTGCCCTCCTGGGTGCAGCTGCAGCTGCCGCACCCACAGCCGCAGATCTGGGTCTCCTGCTCCAGGAAGCAGGCAGGAGCTGTGGACAAGCAGGAGCCCTGCCCCTTCCAAGTTGATGGGGTGGGAGCTCGCGGGTGCAGCCGTGACCGCCCTCCCAGGTGTAGAACCCGGGAATCTCTGCAGCCTGTGCCCTCAGGGGTCCCAGGAAGGACCCCCCCCCCCAACCCCCATCCCTGCAGGTTCAGGGGTACCTGTTCAGACAGAGTCCTGAATGGAAGGGGCGAGTCCCCAGTAAGTCCCCACCTTCCAGCCAGGGAGGTCCTGAAGACTGGGGACCAGGCTGCCAGTGGCTGCCAGTCCCTCCAACAGGAGTGGGGACTCATGCTCTTCCGTGCTGCTCATGGCTGCCTATGGACCAATCAGCATGTACTTCCTCCTCTCTGAGGTCCGTAAAAGCCCTGGGCTCAGCCAGAGCAGGGCAGAGGATGACGGGATGACCAGCTGCAGAGAGGAGTACTCTACTGATAACTGGAGATGATGGGCGACCACCTTCAGAGAGAAACTGTTAGCAGAGAGGAGCTGCCGTCTGCTGAGAGCTTCAGAGACCTGCAGACATCTGAATGACTTGCCTGCAGAGAGGAGCCACTCTTTTCAGGGCCTTCTCTCAGCTGAGAGCTGAACACCCAATGGGATAATTGCCTACAGAGAGGAGCCACCCACTCCTCTGAGCTGTTCCAACACAATAAAACTCTTTTTCACCCTTCACTTGTCTGCATACCTCATTCTTCCCTGGATGGAGGACAAGAATTCAGGCACCATGGCCATAGAGGTTTCTGGCCAGAAAAATTGACACCCCAGAGATCCTGTAACAATAATCTATTTCTAATTCAGAAACACAAAAAGATTTCATAAAAATTAAGTTAACAGATAACATTTTTCTGAATTTTAAGTTGTATTAATTCTTCATAAATTTGATGCCTCATGACATATCTGTTAAGTATTAGTACACAACAGTGTACTATTGTGTACTAATACTGTTTACACTTTTTCTTGGACATAACTTTGCCTGGTCTGGCTGCAGACCCTGCACGGAGTTTGCTCCTGTGTGGGTGGAGTGGCCGCCTGGATCCCACACTTGTTTACTGACGTGCTCCCTGCCGCAAGGGGTTGAGCACAGCAGGCCGAGTAGACAGGGTGCCCCTGCTGGGAGTCTGGCAAAGGGTCTGAGAGAAATCTTGCATCACTGCCAACGTTGGATTCAATATTTCATGTTTTTCTGAAAAAAATGCTCTACTCTGAAAACAGCAGCACTGTTTGAGTTGTTCAGTCACTAGAACAAAATTTAGAACTTCTCTACTGCCATTAAAATTAAATGATAGAGGCCAGGCATAGTGGTTTATGCCTGTAATCCCAGCACTTTGGGAGGCCGAGGCGGATGGATCACCTGAGGTCAGGAGTTCAAGACCAGCCTGACCAACCTGGAGAAACCCCTTCTCTACTAAAAATACAAAATTAGCCAGGTGTGGTGGTGCGTGCCTGTAATTCCAGCCACTCGGGAGGCTGAGGCAGGAGAATCGCTTGAACCTGGGAGGCAGAGGTTGCAGTGAGCCGAGATTGCACCATTGCACTCCAGCCTGGGCAATAAGAGCGAAACTCTGTCTCAAAAAAAAAAACATTAATTAATAGAAGCAAAATACTGCTTCACCAAGGGTAAGTAATATCTTATGCAAAATCATCTTTACAATAATTCCGTGAACACTTTTTGAAACAAATCAATTATGCAAAAGAATCAGTTATTGGTCAGTTAACTAAATTGGCTATATAATGAGACTTATTAAATTACAAGGTTAGGGAAGTAGAGCTTGTGGTGCCCGGTAAAAAAGAACGTCTTTCTTAAATTAGCAAGTCCATATCCTAAGTCTTACTTTGCTACATGCTACATTTATTCAACAAACATTTAGGGAGTGCCTACAACGGAAGAGGCACTATGGGGACACAGCTACGAACAGGCACTTTATAGAAGAAAGCCAGCCAGCCAAATCTCATGTAAGTAGGTGCTGAACCTGCTTAGTAATCAAGGAAGTACAAATTAAGACCACATTGAGGTTCTATTTTATATCCCTTAGACTAAAGGTCTAACAAAGCCAAATGTGAGAATATGAATCATTGTGAACTCTCATACATTATAATGCATGTGTAAATTTGTAAAATCACTTTCAAAACCAATTTAGCAGTTTTTTTGTAAAGTTATACATTGAAATAACTTGTGACCTAAAACTCTACCCCTAGACGTACATTCTAGGAAAATTTGCACATATTTGGAATGCTAAAAACAACTGGAAATACTCTCAAAACCCAATGATGTGAAATAAGTAAGTTTTGATATATTTATCCAGCGAAATACAGCAGTTAATGAACTATAGCTACACACATGGATGAATCTTAGGAACACAATTTTGAGTGGAAAAGAACTCCCAAGAGACTGATACTGTATGATATTGCCATAAACTAAAAAAACCAACACGAACAAAACAATGCTCAGGCATATGAAAACCTACGTTTTTTGAAAGGTGAGGGGATGATAAGTGCAAAATTCAGGCTAATGGTTGCATGGATGGAATAGGGAAAAGCACATAGGTGAATGAATGGTATTCATTCAAATTGAAGGTTTTGTGAGAAATAGGTTCATAGAGGTTCATATTATGCTACATAATTTACTTATATGTGATGGGTTATTTTTTAATTTAGAAATATTTTTAAATTATTAGGTTAATTTTAAAAGCAATAAAATAATGCTCCCTCTTGAATAGCCTACTTCTGCATCTAAATTGGCTAGTAGTAGGACTGACAGTAGAATGCATATTTTCTTTCAGGGTAGTGTCTTGGAAAGTCAACTTGAAAACAAAAGCAGAACATGGTATACAGTGTACTTTCCCAATAAGATGTTCTTTTTCTGTCTTTGTAATTTATAAAAATAATGATTGGTTATTTTATTTTATTTATTTTTGGACAGAGTCTCACTCTGTCACCCAGGCTGGAGTGCAGTGGCGTGATCTCGGCTCACTGCAACCTCCACCTCCTGGGTTCAAGCGATTCTCCTGCTTCAGCATCCTGGGTGGCTAGGATTACAGGCATCTGCCACCACACATGGCTAATTTTTTTTGTATTTTCAGTAGGGATGGATTTTCACCATGTTGGCCAGGCTGGTTTCAAACTCCTGACCTCAAGTCATCTGCCCACCTTGGCCTCCCAAAGTGCTAAGATTACAGGCATGAGCCACCACGCCTGGCCAGTTATTTTAAAATTCAAATAATACTTAAGAAAATTAAATCGATAAAATTATTAAATAATGTTTTATTAAAGAGATAATTCTTATTAAATGAAATAATTTATATTAAATAAAAAATATTCCCCTCTAGTCTATTTTGTGCTGCTATAACAGAAGATTCAGACTGAGTAATCTATAGAGAATGAAAATTTATTCTCTCTCAGTTCTGGAGGATGAAAGTCCAAGAGCAAGCCACTGGCAGGTTAGGGCCTGGTCTCTCTGCTTCCAAGATGGCACCTAGAACACTGTGTCATCTGAGGGGAGGACCATCATATCCTCATATGGCAGAAGACCGAGACAGCAAACCAACTCCTGCAGGCCATTTTTCTAATGGCATTAACCTATCCATGAGGGCGATCCCTCATGACCTAAACACCTCCCATTAAGCCCCATCTCCCAGTGCTGTTGCATTGGGGATTAAGCTTCCAACACATGAGTTAAGAGGGGAACAAACATTCAAACCATAGCATCCTCTGAACCTCTGAACTTTTTTAATTCCATGCCCCAGATATAATGACTGTGAATATTTTTGTGCATTATTCCTAACATTTTCTATGTATATGCAAACATACATATATTTATACACATTAAACACATAACTTTATTTAAAAAAAACCTGTTTGCTGAAAACTATTCGGCAATAACCTATTCCTTTACTTACAAAACATATTTCATGTTAGAACCCATAAATCACCCTCAACACTTTTAGGGGTTATATAGTTTTCCATTGTAATAGATATGATTTAAACACTCATTTGATCACAGTTATTTAGGTTATTGCAATGTAACAGGACAGTAAATGAGACTCTGTCAGTTTTAGTGGAAGCTTCCAAGTCTGCATATAAAATAAAAGGATCCAACTACCCCTACATTCTATAGTGAGATGGTAGACTATGTAGGTAGGACTTATTATACAAAGGAGGCTTTTGTAAACTGGCTTAGGACCCTGAAGTCATCATTCATCTTAAGATATAAAACATTCAAGTGTATAAGATTGAAAAAGAAAAGTTAAAATTTTAGAATGAGATATTTTGAAAAATGCTAAAGACAAAAACAAGAGATCTTTTTTAGTTTACCCAAAAGTAGATGGCAAGGATACATTGGTCCAATGTTTGGACAATGATGGCAACAAGCAATAAAGATTAAAACATTCCATTCCTACTTTGCTTCACTTTAATAATCATCATCTGGTAGGAAAGAGTAGAAGTAAAATTGCTGTGTGAGAACTGAAGCCAAAGATGAATAAAGAAGAAAAGAATAATAGTGCAAACCATGATTCTCTAAAATAATTTATCTCTGCACCTGGAAAAGTTATGTTTGGAGCAGAATTATGAAATCGTCAAGCTATTGTCTCAGGTGAGCAGATATCTTTGATGAATTCCCTGGCAACAAAATTAAGGAGAGCTGAGAAAATTTGTTTGGGAGAGTTCTTAGAAAATACAGCTGGAAGGAGTTGGGGCAGGTAGGACTGACCAAAGTAAGAAGCTTTCCTACAGTGTGGCTGCAGCTGAGGTCCCAGCTGATCCTTCTGGGAGTTCCAGAGTTGGGGATGGCTCTTCAGAGTTGTCCCACATTGAGGCTAGAGAAGTGGGCCATTTTATTCCTGCATCAGTGAGTACTGGGAAGGGTGTGACTTTGGGTAAAGAAATTATGGTCTGCAGCTAATATCCCCAGCAGCTTGGAGTTAGATGCATCGACCCTATAGAGCAACTCTGGATGAAGTGCTGCAGTATCCGCTGTAAGAAGTAATGCAGGTTTTTCTTCCTAGTACTCATACATTTCTGTTTTAAGTCCTCATCTTTGCATGACTTTCACCACTTGTATGCTACCCTCAGGCTTACAGGAAATCATTCTGCCACCCCCTGCCCTCCACTGCACTGGGGAGAGCAGGGCCTTGTGAGGTTGTCTTGGGCTGCTGGGATACATCATGTGGACATTTGCACTCATTCTGCTCCTGGGCAGGAGAAAACCCTCAAGCCTTGCCTTATTCACCAGGGATGCCCACATTCTCTCCTGTTCTTGGATTTCCAACTGTCTTGAGGATTTCTCCTCTGTCTTCCCATAGTCTGAACAAATTTCCATAGCTCAGTGGACCAGGGGTGGAGCTGAAGGGAAGCAGAGGACCAGGAAAAGCAGACACTGCCCGTAACTCATTTTCCCCCATTAAATTTTTGTGCTTACATTATCTCTAGGCCTAGCTTTTTTTTTTTTAATCTAAAAGCATAAGCTTCAGAAATTTTAGAAGCTCTTTCTTTGGTTTTCTGCGGTAACAGTCTTTCCCTGAGGCAATGAATGCATTGACTAAATGAATAAAAGGCAAAGAGTAAAAAATTCAGAGAAGGATTTCTCAGGTAATATCTCAAAATATTATCTCGCCACAATTACACCCAAGGATATTGACAGGATCTGTGATGAGATCCATGAAAGCTTATAATAGCCTTTGATGGCTCATGAAAAAGGGAAAAGGATCAGATGATCAAAGTCAGGGAAGAGTCTCAGTTTCATTTAAAGAAGGAAGAAAGAGGATGCTGCAAATTACAGATTGGCAATCTTAATGTTTTACATGAAGAACATTCCAGACAAAACTGATCTCAGGCTGGGCAGGTGGCTCACACCTGTAATCCCAGCACTTTGGGAGGCCCAGGTGGGTGGATCATTTGAGGTCAGGAGTTCGAGACCAGCCTGGCCAACATGGCAAAACCCCATCTCTACTAAAAATACAAAAATTAGCCAGGCGGTAGTGGCGTTCACCTGTAATCCTAGCTACTCAGGAGGCTGAGGCAGGAGAATTGCTTGAGCCTGGTAGGCGGAGGTTGTGGTGAGCCAAGATCACATCACTGTACTCCAGTCTGGATGACAGAGTGAGGCCCTGTCTCAAACAAGCAAAGCAAAACTCATTTATTTTTTTGATAGTTTGTCTTGGTCAGACAAAGGCTGTTGAAATAGGTATCTGGACTTCAGCAAATAACTGGACAGTCTCCTAAAATATCATGAATAAGATTTAAGAATGGGAACCAGAAGACAGAAGCACAGGTAGATTTATAATACAGTGAACAACCTTGCCCAAAGAGGACTGAAACATGGCCACAGTAAAGTGATCAAGATAGAGGGGACGGTGGAAACGATGGCATGTGAGGGAAGTTGGACAGAACTGAGGATATGAAGCCTGGAGAAGAAAAGCCTCAGGGAACCTAGGGTAATCTGAAAATGAGACCCGTCATCCTATGCAGGCTCATTCTGTGGGGCTCTGATACGGTTTAGCTCTGTCTCCCCCACTCAAATCTCATGTTGAATTATAATCCGCAGTATTGGAAGTGGGACTTAGTGGGAGGTGACTGGATCATGGGCTGGATTTCTTATGAATAGTGTAACACCATCCCCTTGGTGCTGTCTTCATGATAGTGAGTTCTCGCAAGATCTCGTCATTTAAAAGTGTGTGGCACTCCCCACCTCACACTCTTGTTCTTGCTTTCACCATGTGAAGTGCCTGCTCTCCCTTTGCCTTCCACCATAAGTAAAAGTTTTCTGAGGCCTCCCCAGAAGCAGATGCCACAGTGCTTCCTGTACAGCCTGCAGAACCGTGAGCCAATTACATCTCTTTTATTTAGAAACTACCGAGTCTAGTTACTTCTTTATGGTAATGCAAGAATGGCCTAATACAGGCTCAAAGGAGAAAAAAGAACAAATTTCTGATGATTAGAACATGTCGGCTGGGCACGGTGGCTCACTCCTGTTATCCCAGCACTTTGGGAAGCCAAGGCAGACGGATCACTTGAAGCCAGGGGTTCAAGACCAGCCTGGCCAACATGGCAAAACCCCATCTCTACTAAAAATATAGAAATTCACTGGGCATGCGTGGTGGTTAATACTGACTGTCGATTGGATTGAAGGATGCAAGTATTGATCCTGGGTGTGTCTGTGAGAGGGTGTTGCCAAAGGAGATTAACATTTGAGTCAGTGGGCTGGGAAAGGCAGACCCACACTTAATCTGGGTGAGCACCATCTAATCAGCTGTCAGTGTGGCTAGAATATAAAGCAGGCAGAAAAACGTGAAAAGACTAGATTGGCTTAGCCTCTCAGCCTACATCTTTCTCCTATGCTGGATGCTTCCTGCCCTTGAACATCGGACACCAGATTCTTCAGTTTTGGGACTTGGACTGGCTTTCCTTGCCCCTCAGCTTGCAGATGGCCTGTTGTGGGACCTTGTGATCATGTGAGTTAATACTTAATAAACTCTTCTTTTTTATATATATATTATATATATATGTTTATATATTTATATTATATATGATATATGTTTATATATGATATATGTTTATATATCATATATGTTTATATATCATATGTTTATATATCATATATGTTTATCATATATATGATATATGTTTATGTTTATATATCATATATATGTTTATATATCAAACATGTTATATGTTTATATCTCATATATGTCATATATGTTTATATCTCATATATGTCATATATGTTTATATCTCATATGTATGATATATGTTTATATCTCATATGTATGATATATGTTTATATCTCATATGTATGATACATGTTTATATCTCATATGTATGATATATGTTTATATCTCATATGTATGATATATGTTTATATCTCCTATATGATATATGTTTATATCTCATATATGTGGTATATTTTATATCTCATATGATGTATGTTTATATCTCATGATGCATGTTTATAGCTCATGATGCATGTTCATATCTCGTATATACGTTTATATCTCATATATGTGAGATATGTTTATATCTCATATATTATGTGAGATATGTTTATATCTCATATATTATGTGAGATATGTTTATATCTCATATTATGTGAGATATGTTTATATCATATATTATGTGAGATATGTTTATATCATATATTATGTGAGATGTTTATATCATGAGAGATATGTTTATATCTCATATATTATGTGAGATGTTTATATCTCATATTATGTGAGATATGTTTATATCTCATATATTATGTGAGATATGTTTATATCTCATATATTATGTGAGATATGTTTATATCTCATATATTGTGTGAGATATGTTTATATCATATATTATGTGAGATATGTTTATATCATATATTATGTGAGATATGTTTATATCATGTGAGATATGTTTATATCTCATATATTATGTGAGATGTTTATATCTCATATTATGTGAGATATGTTTATATCTCATATATTATGTGAGATATGTTTATATCATATATTATGTGAGATATGTTTATATCATGTGAGATATGTTTATATCTCATATATTATGTGAGATGTTTATATCTCATATATTATGTGAGATATGTTTATCTCATTATGTGAGATATGTTTATATCTCATGTGAGATATGTTTATATCTCATATATTATGTGAGATATGTTTATATCTCATATATTATGTGAGATATGTTTATATCTCATATTATGTGAGATATGTTTATATCTCATTATGTGAGATGTTTATATCTCATATGTGAGATATGTTTATATATTATGTATATGTTTATATATTATATGTAATATGATATATGTTTATATATTATATGTAATATAATATGATATATGTTTACATATTATATGTAATATAATATAATATATGTTTATATATAGTAGGAGATATATATGTTATAAATATTTAGATAGATAGATAGATCTCCTATTAGTTCTGTCCCTCTAGAGAACCCTGGCTAGTACAGCGTGATGGTGCATGCCTGTAATCCCAGCTACTTGGGAGGCTGAGGCAGGAGAATTGCTTGAACCCAGGAGGTGGAGGTTGCAGTGAGCAGAGATCATGCCACTGCACTCCAGCCTGGGTGACAGAGTGAGACTGTTTAAAAAAAAAAAAGAATTTGTCTCAAAAACAAAATAAAACAATCACATGAAAACCTGGGCTGTTGTGAGGTAATAAGCTTAATAGCAGTGTGATGCCATAGTGGAGATTCATTCATTCCACTAAGTGTACAGAGTGCCTACCCTCCACTCACAGAGAAATAGAGAATGAGGTCAGATGACTTCTGAGAGCTCCCACAGTTCTGAGCAGCTATGATTCCACTCCTAGAAAATGCAAGTGCTAAGCCAAAACCAAGTGAATTGCCACTTTTTGTTTTTTACCAAAATGTTTTATGTTTTACAGAAAAACCAGTGATTCAGAAAGAGGTTTATAAAAGCCTGTGGATGCACTCAGAGTCAATTTTATCGCTCATGACTGGCAATATTAATAGAAGCACTAATAAAAGTTATGATATGTAGTAATAAAACACCTAAGCATGCACTCATAAATCATATTCCCACAGGGTTTGCTAGGGCAGATTGTTTTTCCCTTGTGATTGAAGGCAGAACAAATTTTACACTAAACTTAGCTTTTCTCCAGGAGACCCATAAACCTCAGTACAGGCTAAAGACTGGAGTAAAACCATGTTGTTTCAAAGATAAAACACCAATGAACATACAGATATGAAAAAAAAATGTGACATTCTAGACTTACACAATGGAAATGTTTAGTCATCATACTTCATAGGATAAGAGCAGAGCAGGTTGCTCATTGGGCACTCCTAACTTAAAATTCCATAGGTTGGTTTTCTACCCTTCAGTTCTGCTAAGATCCTAAACCAAAAATTTGATGGGAGATTAAAACTTATATAGCTTTGGTGATGGCTGTTGTTTTTGCAGCTACTTACCCCTGCCTTCTGGTATTAGAGCCTTTCTTTCTCTGTTCCTCTCAGGAACTCCTCCTCCCACATCTGATGGAGCTACCAATCATCAGATCTCCTCTGCCTCTGGGGTGCGTCTCAGGCTGGCCAATCACGTTCTTCATCCACGTGGACTATGACTGGCCCTAGGTGGTTATCTGACCCAAGGAAGTCCAGAATCCTTTTGCAGGGATTATTAGAGATGCTAAGAGAATGGTTGGGGAAAGCTTATCTCCGGAGATGATACACTAGAGCAGGAGTTCCCCAGCCCCTGGGGCCCCATACGGGTACCAGTCTGTGGCCTGTAAGGAACCCGGCTGCACAGCAGGAGATGAGCAGCAGGCAAGTGAGTGTTACTGCCTAAGCTCTGCCTCCTATCAGTTCAGTGGTGACATTAACTTCTCATAGAAGGGTGAACCCCATTGAGAACTGCGCATATGAGGGATCTAGGTTGCATGTTCCTTAGGAAAATCTAATGCCTGATGATCTGAGGTGGAACAGTTTCATCCCCAAACCATCCCCCGAACACCATCCATGGAAAAATTGTCTTCCATGAAACCAGTCCCTGGTGCCAAAAAGGTTGGGAACTGCTACACTAGAGATCATTTGAGTGGAGATGCTGGGGTCCCATCCTTGCCACCATAAGGAGAGAGCTTCCCTGGGGGTAAACCAATGGAGAGGAAGGCAGAGCTGAGAATAAGAAGGAAGGGGCAGGGCCAGACGTGGTGGCTCATGCCCCTAATCCCAGCACTTTGGGAGGCCGAGGTGGGCGGATCACCTGAGGTCAGGAGTTCAAGACCAGCCTGACCAACAGAAACCTTGTCTCTGTTTCAAAATTAGCTGGGCGTGGTGTTGTGCACCTGTAATCCCAGCTACTCGGGAGGGTGAGGCAGGAGAATCACTTGAACCCAGGAGGCAGAGGTTGCAGTGAGCCGAGATCGCACCATTGCACTCCAGCCTGGGCAACAAGAGTGAAACTCCATCTCAAAAAAAAAAAACATGCCAGGGAGCGGGGGTGACAAAAGCCTGATAATGTCTTTTGAATGCTTGAATCCAGGGAGAAAACATGGAGATATGAATGACTGTGTGGAGCAGAACCCACCTTCTCCCAGCTCAGCTTTGGACTGTGAGGTGACAGAAATAAACATTTGTTGTGCTAAGCCACTGAGATTTTGAGTCATAACAGCTGTTAGCATCAATGATTCTGACTAATACAGTAGCCCACCATATGATTGTTCACTAGTATGTCTAAAATTCCAGGGCTGTGATCAACCACTCTCCCCGTCCCCACTCTGACAGTTAATTGACCTGTGAATTTGCCTTTTATGTAAATTCTCTTTCTATCCTTACTGCATTATTGTATTTCAGCCTTTGGTTTCCTGACAGATGTAATTGTCCTGTGTGTCCTTTCTCCAGGCAGAGTGATGTTCCTGGAATGTTCATCTAATCATATCATGCATCTGTTTGTAACTTTCTTTCTTCAACCTTATCTCCTGCTAGTCCCTGCTATACCTCTCTATGCTTGGAACATATTTTTCTTTAGCCCTTGTTTTCCAAGGACTGAATCTGTCTCATCTTTTGGGGGCTCTGTGTAAATATTCCTTTATCCAGTAAGCCTGCCTTGAACATTTAGTCTGATCTAATCCTAATCTGGCGCCTCTGCTATGAGCTCCCATAGTACTTTCTATTTGTTTTAATGGAGCACTTATGACACCTTATTTACATTGCTTGTCTGTTTCCCCTCTCTGGATTTGAGGTATAAAGACTCTTGGGCATTGCATTCCCAGGGCCTCGAACAATGCCTGGCACATAGCAAAAAATATGTAGGTATATTTTATGTATACGTATCTATGTCATATATATCATATGTACATATATGTGCTTAATGACATGAATGAATCAGTGACAAAGAGAAAATAAACATAAACGTCACAAAGATCCTCCTCCCATGCAAGTGTAGTAACTGATGTCTAAAGGTAGTTAGTCTGCAGCAGGTAAAAACATTTCCTAGAAATCTTTCAAAATCTTTCAAAATGCAGTCATGTATTTGATTCTTTCTAACATTTTTTTCTTTCCTTGGCTTGGGAGATTATAATATCTCTGGAAGATAAAAATATCTTTGGCTTGGGGCAAAATAATTTATAGTTAAGAAACTAAGTTTATTTATTTTTCGGATTCTGAGTGTGATTAGTTGCTGAGGCTCATTTATTATCTGAAATGTAAGTAGTTAAAAGTTTTCAATAGCCTAAGTCAGATATGTGCTACTTTTCAATTTGATTTTGCTTTTGAAGGTAGAGTGACATTAGTAATAATGGGGGTGATTAAAAAAAAGGAATTTATATACCTAAAATTTCTGTTGACATACTGGTATTGCCAGCATAGTTATTTCGGAGAAGAGGGAAGCTTTATAAGGAATGAAATGAAATAACTGTTCTTGTCTCTGTAGTTTGGCAATCCATATAGACACAATTTGCATTATTTTAAAGATATAGTTTTGAAATTAATGTGTTGCAGGGCACAGTGGCTCACACCTGTAATCCCAACACTTTGGGAGTCCAAGGCAGGAGGATCACTTGAGCCCAGGGGTTTCAGACCAGCCTGGACAACATGGTGAGACCCTGTCTCTACTAAAAATAAAAAAATTAGCCCAGTGTGGTAGTGCATTCCTGTAGTCCCAGCTTCTCAGTAGGCTGAGGTGGGAGGATTGCTTGAACCTGGCGGTTGAGGCTGCAGTGAGCTATGATCATGCCACTGCACTTAAAAAAAAAAAGAAAAGAAATTAATGTCACACCTTCTTTTGGGATAGATCATTAATTTATTTAAGAAATCAATAAAAAACAAGATAAACTAATTTACAGAGATTGTTGAAATGTCTTATAGAAGGCACAGTAAAATACAACAGTATCCAATCCCTTTCTTTCTCAGCTCTGAACACTTATGAAAGACATACAACATCAATTTCTACAGAAAAGAAAACCCCACACAAATCCATTCTTGCAGAATTCTAAAAGATAGAGAAAAAAAGAGGGGAGAGAATGAGAATCTGAAAAAGCTTCAACACTGCCATAGGAATTTTGTCCCAGGCCCAGCAACATGGTTATGCAAATCATTTCAGATGTAGAGGATTGAATGATGCACACGGCTGAGAACATTGTCTGAAAGAATAGTATCTAAACCTGCATCCAGGGCCACCTGTGGATTGTCACAAGCTCTGATCTTGGCCCATTCACTCTTCAGTTCTCATGGTTTCAATTCAACATTCAGACATTATCTGCAATACAGGTTTCATAAAGCATTATGTTCGTCAGGGAAATACTTCAGTGGAACATAAAATACTCTGTTGTGCCAAAGCAACAGCAGCTGGTAGAGTTTATAGAAATGAGCAGAGCCCAATATGATGAATTATAAGCATGCTTATGTTTAAAGCAAGCACTGACATAAAAGAGACAGCAGAACACAGAACATGCTTCTATTTAGCTCAAAAAATATGCACAGTATCAAGAAAGCCATACATAGTCCTTAAAAGATCTAGGAAATTCACATACTAGACCATATTTTGTTCTCTCTTCCCTTGGACATCAGATGTGAGATGGAGTAAGGACCTCCTTAGAGGCCTGTGGGCCCCCCCGAAGCATGGAAATTAAGGAAAATCTTGAGTTCCTTCAAGTTCCATGCATCTAGTTAGCCTTGAGAAGTAAATAAGCAACTTGATACGCAAGAAGGTAGCCTAAAGCAAGAGCCAAGGAAGCTAGAATCAAGGGATATTTGGTTCCCCTATACAAACCAAAGATAACATTGTAACATATGTCTTCAAATTGTTTTTCAGAAACCGAACCCTCACCAAACAGATCTGCTTGCACATCCACTTGCACGTAGACCTCAGATAAGTGAGATCTGGGACCTGAACTCTGACCACCATCTTTTGTTCTAAATTTCTTCCCGCGGGGCGTGGAGAAAGTCACACCCATGAGCTGGACCTAACATTCTTTTCTGCTGACCCCAAATTATTAAACCTTCTCAAACCAATTGCAAATCAGAAAGTCTTTGAATCTGTCTATGACCTATAAGCCCCTGCTTCAAGATATCCTGCAGTTTAAGGCCAAAACCAATGTGTAACCTTGATTTATGGTTTTGGCCATAAATCATTGATTTATTATTTTGCCTATAGCTTCTGCTTTCCTGAAATTTACCCCTGCTTTACAAACCCTTACCTGCTAGTCATAGGGAAGGTCAAGGTTTAAGCGTTAGCTTAGCTACCTGAGCCTCCTTGCTTGGCGCCCTGCCAATAAAACACTTTCTTCTGTTGCAAACCACCATGTGGATATCTGGTCTCACGGTGCCGGGCTAATAGAACCCATTTCAGTTCTATAACAGGTTTGAGGGTTAAGATAATTCTTTCTTTTCCTTTATGGTGTAAAATCATCACTCCTGTTTGCAGTAGCCTTTTCTCTTTTTCCCCTTGATCCCTGCCCCCCACTTCCCTTTCACCCTCTACTTCATGGTGCAAAATTGTCAGTAGGTACCAGGCAAGAGTAATGTGTTTGATATATGGCCTTGGTTATATAAACATCTTTGAATAATATATAACTATTTCTGGGTGAGTTGATTTTGGAAACCTGTGTTCATAGGATCATACTATCACATCTCACTCTATTTCTTACCCTTCTCACCTAATACTAGATTTCCCAGCCCTCTTCATGTTGTTGTATGTAACTCTGGTTCATTATTTCTGACTGTAACAGAGTATTCCATAGTATACCTCCATCAGATTTAACGTCTCCATTCCCACCCACGATAAACTTACATTGCCTCTAAATCTCTACTGTCTTAATGTTGTGGGCCATGGTGGCTCATGCCTGTAATCCCAGCACTTTGGGAGACTGAGTTGGGAGGACTTCTTGAGCCCAGGAGTTCAAGACCATCCTGGGCAACATAGGGAGACCCAATCCCTACCAAACATAAAAATAAAAAATAAATTAGCCAAGTGTGTTAGTGCATGCCTGTGGTCCCAGCTACTCAGGAGTCTAAGGTGGAAAGATTGCTGGAGCCTTGAGGAGGTTGAGGCTGCAGTGAGCCTTCATCATACCACTGTACCTATAGCCTGGGCAACAGAGCAAGACCCCGGCTCAAAAAAAAAATGTGATGGGCACCTTTCATCTTTGTACATGTGATATGGACAGGAGGCAGGGAAATACTGGGTAGAAGAGGGTGGTCCCCAGCGAGGGCCACACCCTCAAGCCTAGACCCATGGCCCAAAGTGAGAACATGCATTCCTGTTTTCCTGCCCGAATGTTGCCTTTTCCAAAACCATCCTGGCCCTTCCCACCACCCCATCCTGTACCCATGAAAACCCCACAGGCCCCACTGGTGGAGTGGCAGAGCGGCAGAAAAAGGAAGAAGAGAAGAAGTAGCTGGACGTCAGAGAGAAGCAGCTTGACTTCAGAGGGATGGTTTGACAGTGAGATCTCAGAGAAGAGTTCAGCCGGGGAAGACCGAACTCCAGGGGAAGACCATCTTCCCAATCCATCCCCTTTCCAGCCCCCTATCCCGCTGAGAGCCACTGCCACCACTCAATAAAATCCTCCACACTCACCACCCTTCAATTTGTTCGTGTGACCTGATTCTTCCTGGACGCCAAACAAGAGCTTGGGATATAGAGGACTGTCACACTGAGCTATGAAACATTTAGCTGTCTGCAGACAGCAAAGCTAAGAGAACACACTGTAACACTCCCTCTGGGGCATCAGGAGTCACAGGCAACCCCTAGGTGCTGCTGCAGGCCCGCATGGAGTTCTGCTCCTGCCGATTGGCCAGAAGTGCTCATCCTGGCCTCTGTACCCTGTCACCTGCATGCTCCCCGTCCTGTGAAGGTTTGAAAGCTGTGGGCTGAGTAAACGAGCCAACCCTTTGGCTAGTCCTGTGAGGAGGTCAAGGGAAGTATTCGGTTTCACATTCACCTCCTCAACAATCTGTGTGTGAGTTGTTCTAAGGAAGGTGAGAAGGATTGATTGATTATTTGATATATAAATACTTCATTCCAAAATGGCTGCAGAAGCCTACTACTCCCCAACCTTCAGCAGTAAATGAGGGTTGCTCTTCCCCACATCCTTACTAACACTTGGGATCATATGACTTTCCAATTTTAGCAATACTATCTTATGGTTTTAATTTGTATTTTGCTTATTTACTTGTGATTTTGGATCTTTTCCTAAAAACTATGTACTTGGGCTTCCCCTCTGTAAACCTATTTATATTCTTGACCTATTTTTATATTGGACAATCTTGTATTTTTTTCTTATTGATCTGCTAGAGTACTTCAAATTACCCTAGTTCTGCACTGCTCCATATGGTAACCACTAGCCACAGATGGCTATTTAAATTTAAATGAATTAAAACTAAAAATTCAGTTGTTCAGTTGCACTATCCCCATTTCAAGTGCTTGGTAACCCAGTGTGGATAGTGACTACCATATTGGAGAGAACAGACAGAAAACATTTCATCATCACAGAAAGCTCTATCTTCTCCCAAATGATCATCCAATTGTGAGTCTTATCTACCATGTCCTTCACTGAATAATGATCCTTAATATTCATATGGTCATATCCACCTATTTTTTACCCTCTAATGGAATTTTTTTTTTTTTTTGAGACAGGGCCTCATTCTGTCTTTCAGGCTGGAGTACAGTGGTGCGATCTCGGTTCACTGCAACCTCCACCTCCCAGGTTCAAGCAATTCTTGTGCCTCAGCCTCATGAGTAGCTGGGACTACAGGTGCATACCACCATATCTGGCTAATTTTTTATTTTTTGGTAGAGATGGGGTTTTGCCATGTTGGCCAGGCTGATTTTGAACTCCTGACCTCAAGCGATCCTCCCACCTTGGCTTCCCAAAGTGCTGGGTTTATAGGCATGAGCCACTGCGCTCAGCCACCCTCTCATGGAACCTTAAGAAGTCCTTCTCCATCCCCAGGTACTCAAAAAATATTCTTCTACATATTCTATGTTCACTTCATAGCTTTACCTTTCACATTTAGGTCTTTGATCCATTTGGAAGTCATCTTTATATATAGGTTGACAAAGTTTCAGCTTTATTTTTCTATATACAATGAGCCAATTTTCCAAATGCCATCTGTTAAACAATGTACCCCTTTCTTGCTGTTTTGTGGGGCCACCTCTATCAAATAACAAATTACCACATAAACGTGTCTATTTTGAGTTTTCTATTCTTTTCTATTTCATTCCATCCCATCCCATCGTATGTCATTCTATTCCACAATTAGTTTGTTTGGCTTGTGCCAGATGTGTACTGATTGTTGTGTTGTTTACTAGAAGACACAGTCCTCTCTTAAAGCAGATTCTCCTAATTATGATTCAGTATTCATTCTCTTTCATTTTCACTAACAGAACCAACCTTCTCTGCTTGTGCATGTGCACTTAACATCCACCATTGTGGACTGGCCTCCCAGTTTTGTTTGGGACAGCAATATATATACTCAGCCAAAATATTCATTTTCTCAGACCCTTGCAGCAGAGGTTAGCCATGTGGTAAGGTTATAAATAATGAGATGGAGACAAAATTCCCTAGGGTGATTTTTGTTTCCTGAGTAAAAAGATCTCACAGAAAGTCATTCTTCTCTTTTCCCTTTCCTTCTTTTCTTGCCTAGAATGTAGACAATATTCTGAGGTAACATACATGGGGACAAAGGTATATATCCTAAGGATATAAGGACAGGAAAACTCAAAGAACCTCTATGACTGGTAGCATTGTTTAGCTGTCAATATCAACCCAACTGTCTCTTGGCCTGTAGCATGAGTTAAATCATCCCTTTTCTATGCAACTCTTATGTTACGGTTTTCTGATATTTGTATACGAATACTCTTCTGACACAGCCTACCTTTCCCCTTCTTTTCTGAAATTGCTTTACTTGGACTTTAATTTTTCTATATAAACTTTAGAATAAAGTATTCAGGTCTCTTAAAAACCTTCCCTTGAGGCCGGACGTGGTGGCTCACACCTGTAATCCCAGCACTTTGGGAGGCCGAGGCAGGTGGATCGTCTGGGGTAAGGAGTTCAAGACCAGCCTGGCCAACATGGTGAAACCCCGTCTACTAAAAATACAAAAATTAGCTGGGCATGGCAGCCTGTAATCCCAGCTATAGGGAGGCTGAGGCAGGAGAATCACTTGAACCCAGGAGGCGGAGATTGCAGTGAGCTGAGATTGCATCATTGCACTCCACTCCAGCCTGGGTGATAGAGTGAGACTCTGTCTAAAAAAAATTAAAAAAAAAAACCTTCCCTTGGAATTTTGACTGGAATTGCATTAAACTTATAGATTAATATAGGAAAAAGGGAACTCTTTACAATAATAAGTCATCCCAACTGCAAATACAGTGTATTACTCCATTTATTTAGATCTTCCTTCGTGAAAGAATTTTAGTGAGTTTTTTTGGTAAAGATCCAGTGCATGCTTTGTTGGGCTAATTTGTGATGGAAGATCCAGTACAAAATGCTTATTGCATTTTGCCAGTTCTAATATGTACTTTGTTTTGTTTTGCTTTACATTTGAACATGTCTGCAATGTGGATTCATCTTTAGATTAATGACATCTAATAGTCATTGTTGGCAGTTGGCAGTGTTCCCTCCACCTGTCTCCTTTGTGGTACACAAAATAATGATGCATTAGAACATAGATGGTTTTGGCCGGGCACGGTGGCTCACGCCTGTAATCCCAGTACTTTGGGAGGCTGAGGTGGGCAGATCACAAGGTTAGGAGATCAAGACCATCCTGGCCAACATGGTGAAAACCCATGTCTTCTAAAAATAGAAAAATTAGCCGGGTGTGGTGGCGCGCACCTGTAGTCCCAGCTACTCGGGAGGCTGAGGCAGGAGAATTGCTTGAGCCTGGGAGGCCGGAGGTTGCAGTGAGCTGAGATTGCACCACTGCACTCCAGCCTGGGCGACAGAATGAGATTCTGTCTCAAAAAAAAAAAAAGGAACATAGATGGTTTTGATTCAAAGAAATATAGTATACATTTTTATTTAATATTTTTTCCTTTTTAGAGACAAAATCTCACCCTGTTGCCCAGGCTGGAATGCAGTGGAGCAATCATAACTCACTCCAGCCTCACACTCCTGGGCTCAAGCGATCCTCCTGTCTCAGCCTCCCAAGTAGCTGGGACTATAGGCATGCACCACCATGCTTGGCTAATTAAAAAAAATTTTTTTTTTTAGAGATAGGGTCTCACTATGTTGTCCAGGCTGGTCTTAAATTCCTGGTCTCAAGTGATCCTCCTGCCGTGACCTTCCAAAGCACTGGGATTACAAGTGTGAACCAATGAGCCTGGCCCTATTTGATGTTTTGTATTTGTTGATTTTCTTTCTTTTTTTTTTTTTTTTTTTTTTTGGTCCATTTTCTTGACACTTCCAATTGATCAAAATCAAAACTGATCATTTTCTAGAAATGCTTATTAACTTTCCAAATTACTGTATGCACTGCTGATTCTGATAATTTATAGTGCTAAGAGCATTCCTACATTTTTTGTAGATAAAGCCAATCTATTTTTTTGTTTTGCTTGTTTTTTTAATTAAAGTTTTTTGAAAAGTACAATATGTAACAAACTCCCATAAGCCAGCCTTGCAGATGAACAAATATTGACATTTTATATTTGCTTCAATTCAATTCTCTTCTTTTTAATAAAAATATAATAAAGTTTTTATTTTATGTATTAGCTTTATTTTATTTAATAATAAAATTATTATGACCAATGAAAATTTCCTACTTCTCTTTTTCCTTTCTGATATCTCACCTTCCCAGTATTGTTTTATGGATTTTAAAATTTTGCCTGTATGACATCTTTAGTCTATGATTTTTTTTTTTTTTTTTTTTTTTTTTGAGACAGAGCCTTGCTCTCTTGTCCAGACTGGAGTGCAGTGGCACGATCTCGCCTCACTGCAAACTCCACCTCCTGGGTTCAAGCAATTCTCTTGCTTCAGTCTCCCAAGTAGCTGGGATTAGAGGCACACTCCACCAGGCCTGGCTAATTTTTGTATATTTAGTAGAGATGGGGTTTCACTATGTTGGCCAGGCTGGTCTCGAACTCCTGAGAGCTCAGGTCATCTGCCCGCCTCAGCCTCCCAAAGTGCTGGGATTACAGGCGTGAGCCGATGCGCCTGGTCAAGTCTATGATATTTCTGCAATTTTCATTCAGCATTATGTTTTTTAGTTCTTGCCGTGTTAGAAGATATAGATGAAATCTATTTATATTATTATTATTATTATTATTATTTTGGAGACCGAGTCTCGCTCTGTCGCCCAGGCTGGAGTGCAATGGCGCAATCTCAGCTCACTGGAAACTCTGCCTCTCGGGTTCAAGCGATTCCCCTGCCTCAGCCTCCTGAGCAGCTGGGATTACAGGTGCGCACCATCATGCCTAGCTAATTTTTGTATTTTTAGTAGAGACAGGGTTTCACCATGTTGACTAAGCTGGTCTCAAACTCCTGACCTCAAGTGATCTGCCTGCCTTGGCCTTCCAAAGTGCTGGGATGCCAGGCGTGAGCCACCATTTCCAGCCGTAATCTACTTATTTTAACGTCTGGATAGTATTTTATAAATTCCTTTACTGAGAGACTTTTGGATTATTTCCACTCATTTGTTATTACAGTCATTGCTGCAGTGAACTTTGAACATGTTTCCTTTTTCATGTTCAGGTACAAAGAATTCCTCAATCCTACCTTCTAATCTCTTGATTAAGGCAATCTATTCTTAAAATGCAAAAAAAAAAAAAAAAGATAAGGTTTTTTATTTTCAAAAAGAAAATACATAATTTATAAAAACTCTAAGGAAACTTTACCCTTTTTATATGAAGTAACTGCAGTGTATTAGTGCATTATAATGAACAGTCATTGTAATTGCATTTCATGAAGGAACTCTTTTCAGAATGTCAACATTCTTTATTCCATTGAAAACTAATTGTTTAAAATACTCCCTGCTTTTCCCCCTCAAATCAAGCACAACCTAAAATGTAGACTTGCATAACTGTTTCATCAGAAATAGTGAAATCTCACTATATGTGTTTAAGTCTACAATATCACTGCATTGTTCAATATATAAATCTAGTATTTGTCTGAACACTTATACCCTATATATGTTTCTATATACTATAGAAGCAGTAGGATTTACATGACTGCATATTTATTTCACAGTAAAATTTATATAAAAATGTATTTCATTCCTATAATCTTATTCTTACCATGCTTTCTTAGATTCTGTATTTGTCTGGCATCTATTTATCACACGGCCAATTGTATTAACTTTTTTGCGGGGCGGAGGGATGAGACAGAGTCTTGCTCTGTTGCCCAGGCTGGAGCGCAATGGTGCGATCTTGGCTCAGTGTAACCTCCCCCTCCCGGGTTCAAGTGATTCTCCTGCCTCCACCTCCCGAGTAGCTGGCATTACAGGCGCCTGCCACCACACCTGGCTAATTTTTGTATTTCTAATAGAGATGAGTTTTTGCCATGTTAGCCAGACTAGTCTCAAACTGCTGGCCTCAAGTGATTTACCTTCCTTGGCCTCCCAAAGTGCCGGGATTACAGGTGTGAGCCACCGCACCCTGTATTAACTATTTTTCTGTTTTTTGTATTCTTGATGCTCTGGCATTTGGGAGCCTTACAGACCCCGGGAGAGACTGCTGCCCCCCTCCACCCCGGGGCTAATTCCTAAACATAGTGAACAAATGACTTGGGAGTATGCCTTTCATATGCAAGCCAACTGCTCTCTTTAACCTCACACACCAACCCAGTATTTCCTCTTCCCCACATCATTCCAGGGGCTGTCACTGGTCAACCAGGCACCACCCCAATAGCTCAAAGCCCACCAGAATTATTCATACTAGCCAATCTTAAACTGCTTCCCGTACCTTGCCTTGGCTTTCCTGTGGAAACCCAGTAAAAGCTGTGACCTAGGCTCTCCTCTGGCTCCTTTCTGCCTCCTAACCAAAACTGATGTTTCCCTTGCGGCCCCACATGGCGTGGTTTCGCCTCTTCTCTTGGGAAATGTAAGAAATTCTTCTTCCAGTGGCCTTGGCCTCTCCATGTCAGCACACAGTCACCTCCACAAATTAGAATCCTGTGAACACAAATGAGACATATCTACAGAAGGTCTATGTCTTCATCTGTTTTGCTTTGCTATAAAGGAATGCCAGAGGCTGGGCAATTTATAAAGAAAGGGGGTTTATTTGGCTCATGGTTCTTCAGGCTGTACAGGAAGTATGGCACTAGCATCTGCTTCTAGTGAGGGCCTCAGCCTGCTTTCACTCCCGGAGGAAGACAAAGGGAGCCCACATTACATGGTGAGAGAGGGCGGGAGAGAGAGGGGGAGGAAGGTGCCAGGCTCTTTTAAACAATCATATTCTCAAGGTGACTTAAAGAGCAAGAACTCAGCCGGGCGCGATGGCTCATGCCTGTAATTCCAGCATTTTGGGAGGCTGAGGTGGGTGGATCACCTGAGGTCAGGAGTTTGAGACCAGCCTGGTCAACATGGTGAAACCCCCATCTCTACTAAAAATACAAAAATTAGCTGGGCATGGTGGTGGGCACCTGCAATCCCAGCTACTCAGGAGGTTGAGACAGGAGAATCGCTTGAACCTGGGAGGTGGAGGTTGCAGTGAGCTGAGATCACGCCACTGCCCTCCAGCCTGGGCGACAGAGCAAGACTCCATCTCAAAAAAAAAAAAAAAAGCAAGAACTCATTCATTACCATAAGGATGGCACCAAGACATTCATGAGGGATCTACCCGATGGTCCATACATCTCCCACCAGGCCCCACCTCCATCACTGGGGTTCACATTTTAACATGAGGCTTGGAAGGGACAAACATCCAGACGATGTCAGTCTACTACCCTCCTCCCTCCAATGCAAAAAAAATAAAAAAGCGCATAGAAAAAAACTCAAACCGTACCAAAGGGTAAACAGTAAGTCTCCTTCCTACTCCAGAACTTAAGTTCCCCAGAATCCCTGGCTCAGTTTATAATACATAAGCTGTTTATATAACTGTTTATGTTATTGCAGGATTTCAATAACACTTATGAGAAAGAAGAGTCTAGAACGGGTTAATGAATCTGCATTAGAACTGACTCAAGTGATTTCTGTATAAGGCAGCTTTGTAGATAACTTTTAAAAAATGTTTCATGTTTCCAAGTATTCTTTAGTTCCCACTTTGACCTGTTCTGGAGCAGCTCCCTGACGCTGGCAGTTTGGTGCTCTGTTCTGGAACACATTTTCTGTTGAAGGACCCTTCACTGCTCAGTTAGAACATTTCACATGCTCCCCGCTAAACATCCACAGAGGTCACTTATTCTGCCTATTTCTCTTCACTGGATATTCCTTTAATGCCTACCAAACAGCCTCAGTTGGCCCCGTACCTGATACACCTTAACCCATTTAAAATTATTCTTTTATCAAGGATAAATAAATGTTGGGACTTTTTGGTCTACAGAATTCTTTATCATCCTTAGGATATTTAGAAATAGTATAATCAATAATTTTTGTTTTTCTCCCATTTTAATCCACTTTTCTGTAGATTTACATTTAAGTCACCATAATTTAGTTGATTTGATTAAGTAAATACATAACTTAGTACTTTCATTCTGATCTGCTCTCTTCTCTACTTCTACATCAATAGGCTGCATTTATCTTCTTATTTTTTTATTTTATTGAGATGGAGTCTCGCTCTGTCGTCCAGGCTAGAGTGTAGTGGCGCAATCTTGGCTCACTGCAACCTCCACCGCCCAGGTTCAAGCAATTCTCGTGCCTCAGCCTCCCGAGCAGCTGGGACTACAGGCGCACACCACCACGCCCAGCTAATTTTCTTGTATTTTTAGTAGAGATGGCGTTTCACCATGTTGGCCAAGCTGGTCTCAAACTCCTGACCTCAGGTGATCCACCCTCAGCCTCCCAAAGTTCTGGGATTACAGGTGTGAGCCACTGCACCCAGCCTGCATTTATTTTTTTTTAAATGGAGTAGGGAGGAAGCTGATAAAAACCAATATTAAGTTAAATACATAAATTCCTTTATGTTTGGTTGATTTTCATAATTGCTACTTGGATAGAAACAGTCATGCAAGCAACTGGTGATCAACCAACCTGCCCAAGTATGGGCCCAAGAAAGAAACACCATGGACTGCTGCCATGGTCAGAGATGGCACTTTTATTTAAAAAAGTAACTCATGAAGAAAACGACATTTTATTATCATGAATGAAGTGTCTTAGGTGATGCCACTCGTTACTACAAAGCCAAAAATAAACAAGTGAAGAAAACAAATTAAAATGAACCTTTAACTGCCATTTTATCTTCTTGCTGACATACATTTCCAAAGACATAAAATCCTCCTTCCTATGAAGTCAGTGGGAGGAAGAAACTGTTTTTGAAAATTATTAACTGAATTTCCACTGAAATATTAACGTGTAGAAAATATTATTTCTTTGGTGGAATCATATAGGTAAAATCTATATAATGGTCTTTATCCATAAAAGAGCTCATATTCAGTATAATATGTAGCATAAAACTAGGAAATATCTATACTTAAATCTTATTGAGAGGTGAAGCTGGCTGGGCTTCTGGGTCGGGTGGGGACTTGGAGAACTTTTCTGTCTAGCTAAAGGATTGTAAATGCACCAATCAGTGCTCTGTGTCTAGCTAAAGGTTTGTAAACGCACCAATCAATGCTCTGTGTCTAGCTAATTGGGTAGGAGACTTGGAGAACTTTTGTGTCTAGCTAAAGGATTGTAAATGCACCAATCAGCACTCTGTGTCTAGCTAAAGGTTGGGAATTTTAATGATTCCACATATAAATTAAACGTTCTTACATTTGCATTTAAAAATGGCATCACACCATATCAAGATGAAGGTAAAAATGCTGATAATCTATAATTATAACTTGGAATGGCATCAAATAACATGTAAAAACGTCACGACAAGGTGAGAGAGAAACTGCAGAAGAAAAGAAAAAACATTTTAGTACCTTTTTAAAAAAATTTTATTTTTTAAAATAGAGACAAGGTCTCACTATGCCGTGCAGACTGGTCTCAAACTCCTGAGTTCAAGTGATCCTTTCACTTCAGCCTCCCAAAATGTGAGGCCTTTTGCTCCAAAAGCCGGATTACAGGCATGAGCCACCATGCCTAGCCAAGTATCTTTAATGGCAAATTTTTCCTGCTTTTGGAGCAAAAGGGTTCACATTTTCATTTTGCAGTGGCCTTAAACACTATGTAGCCAGCCGTGGAGGGAGCTACACAGTTACAAGAATTCAGGAGCCACCTATATCCTGAATGACCTGTGTGCTCACTCTCCAAAGGGTCTGGCTAATGGAGTCCCTGTTCTTCCTGTGAAGTTTGGGCACTTGATTTTTCTAGGTTCCCATGTGTCTTAGCCATGTGTCTGAGGTCCCCGTTTCCTTATTACTACAAGATGATTTATAATAGACTTCCCTAATTGGAGACAACCAGAGTTCTCTATTCTTTGCGATTAAAAGCACCTAACATAAAACCACAAAATATGCTATGATTTTTGTTCAGTAAATTATGTAGAATTATTTTCATTCCCAAAATAAGTGATGCTAACTTAAATATGCTATATGCTATGGTTTGAATATGGTTGCCCCCACCAAAACTCATTTTGAGGCTTGGTCTGCAGTGTAACAGTTTTGAGAAATGGTGGTATTTTTGAGGGACGTTGGGTCATGAGGGATCCATCTTCATGAAGGGATTAGTGCCATCTTTTGGGCATGGGTTCTCGCTCTCCAAAAACAAACAAACAAACAAAATCAGCAAAATGGGTGAGGGAATCTAATGCTGTCATCACACTTCTGCCCTAAGGGACTCCAACCTTTATGTGGGCTTTAGGGGAGACATGTAAAGAATGAGCACAATCATTGTGGTTTTAGTCTGCGTAGACAGGGCATAGTAATCAACACTGACTGAGTCAGCAGTGACATTTGCCTCAGCAACAGATGACTAGGTGGAAGGTGAAACAAATGTGAGAATATGGACCAAGGAGATAGGACTGGATTATGGAAATCAGTGGACAAACCATAAAGCCGAAGAAATATTCCAAATGGACAATGTGATAGAGGCCATGGACTACTGCCAGGAAATTTTTTTTGTCTTTAAACTTTATCCTGTTTGATTTTCCCCTTGACAAGGGATAGAAGGGTACTTACTGGAGAATGTAAACATTTTAGTACGGTTAAGTTATGGACAGTATCTACTGTGAATAGAAATTGAGACTCACTGGAGAAGATGTCTTATATTTATTCATAAGTGTATATTTAGGTTTGATGTGAGTTTAGACACTACGTCTAACTTTGGGCCCTCCTTCCTGGTCCTGAAAAGCAATACCCAACCAAAACTGCCTGAGAACTCAGCCTGCTCATTGGCAGATGAGGTCAGCAAAGGCAAATGGCTACACAGAACCCTCAGACAAAGACTGAGAGAAAAAAATATATATATGGTTTGATTGATAGATAGCATGTTTACAGACCCAAACAATTGTTTGGAAATGTAATAGCTGGCAGCTGTTTGCTTCCTTGGTTTGTTCAGGGTGTTTTGCTTAAATAACACAGGGATGTGCTTGGAGCATGTGGCCTGCTCACAGCCAACCACAATGAGGCAATAGTCTTTTACAAGGAGAGGTAACCTGCTTTTGTTAGAGGTGATAATATGTTAAAAATAGAAACAGGAAGAGTTTAGATAATGTAGGGACCAAGGGCCCTCTAAAGGTTTGCTGAAAATCACTGACATGAGGCTAATTGATTAATAGGAGAAAGGGCATGCAAATTTATTTCACATGGATACACAGTAGCCTTGAGAATGAAAATCCAAATATACAGGGGAAGCTGTCCCTCCCTCCCTCCTTCCTTCCCTCCCTTCCTTCCTTCCTTCCCTCCCTTCTTTTCTCTTTCTCTGTTTCTCTCTTTCTTTCTGTTTCTTTCTTTCTTTCTTTTTCTTTTCTTTCTTTCTTTCTTTTCTTTTTCTTTCTCTTTCTGTCTCTCTCTTTCTTTCTTTCCTTGTCTCTCTCTCTCTTTCCATCCCTCCCTCCCTCCCTCCCTTCCTTCCTTCCTCTCTCTTTCTCTCTCTTTCTTCTTTCTTCTTTTGAGACAGTCTTGCTCTGTTTCCCAGGCTGTAGTGTAGTGGCATCATAACTCACTGTAGCCTCAACTTCCTGGGCTCAAGCAATCCTCTCACCTTAGCCTCCCAAGTTGCTGGTACTATAGGCACGAATCATCACCACACCTGGCTAATTCTTTTTTCCTTTTTGTGGAGACGGGGTCTTTCTATGTTGCCCAGGCTTAATCCCAAACTCCTGGCCTCAAGTGATCTTCCCACCTCAGCCTCCCAAAGTGCTGGGATTACAGGTGTAAGGTGCCACATCTGGTAACTTGTCCATTTTTTTTTTTTTTTTTTGAGACGGAGTCTTGCACTGTCGCCCAGGCTAGAGTGCAGTGGCACAATCTCGGCTCACTGCAAGCTCTGCCTCCCGGGTTCACACTGTTATCCTGCCTCAGCCTCCCGAGTAGCTGGGACTACAGGCGCCCGCCACCACGCCCGGCTAATTTTTTTGACTTTTTAGTACAGATGGGGTTTCACAATGTTGGCCAGGCTGATCTCAAACTCCTGACCTCAGGTGATCTGCCTGCCTCGGCCTTCTAAAGTGTTGGGATTACAGGCATGAGCGACCACACCCTGTCCCAGATCATTTATTTATGGCCAGTTTTTATACAAAAAGGCGGAGGAAAAATTAGAGTAATATTTTTAGGTTTTATGGCTGGCTTTTGGGAAAACGTATTCTGGTTTCTACAACCTGCCTTGGGGAAGAAGAATTCTAGCTTCTATGGCTGGCCTTGGGAGAGAATGGGACTGAGAGACGGGAGGGCAGAAGAGCAGAGAAAACCTTTGTCCTGAGGCTGCTGGCGAGCCTTTCATTTGGGGTATTATTTTCTAAGCCCCAACAATAACGTCATAATTAACAAATCCAAAAGAAAGTTAGAGATGTTTGAGTTTGAGTGGTTTAGGCCAATTATGAAAGTCAGTATTTTTGGAGATTAGATTTCCACAAAACATACCCCATCGGCACTGCTGTTGGGGAAGAATACAGAGCGGAATGGAGCGTCTATGGTGTTGTTTGTTTGATTGTAGGAAAAAAAGGATATGTTATTAACGTTAAGACTTTTGGAATTTACCAATACCTTGAGACTGCATGTGCTTTTTCTTTTTTGTTGTGCAAATGGCTTACACTGTTGAGTTTAATCTCTTGTGTGGGTACTTGGTGTGAAGATGGAATATCAATTATGTAATTAGGAAGGTGGTGGGGGCACAGTTATAGAGGAAGCTGAGCTGTGAGTATGGTGTAGGAGTGGCTGTGAAAACCCTAAGGCAGAGGTTTTCAAAGTGGTGTCCCCAGACTAACAACATCGGCATCTCCTGGGAACTCGCTAAAATGCAGGATCTGGGACCCCACCCCAGACCTACTGAATCACAAACTCAGCGTGGGACCCAATGGCTCTGTTGCCTTTTAACAAGCCCTCCAGGTGAGTCTGATGTGCTAGGAAGTTTGAGAGCTTTGAGCCAGCGAGAGAATGAGCTGGGCCTAGTGTGTTCATAGAGACTTCCTGACAGGGTGGCCGGTCCCATCCTCAAGTGTGTCCCATGATCTTGGGCTCCCTCCCTCAGGCACTTTGTGCCAAGGTACTGGCTTTCTTCTCCTCTTCGTCTTCCTTCTCCTCCTCCTCCCACTCCTCCTCCTCCTCCTCCTCCTTCTTCTTCTCTTTCTCCTCCTCTTCCTCTTCCTTCTCCTTCTCCTCCTTCTCCTCCTCCTCCTCCCACTCCTCCTCCTTCTCTTCCTTCTTTTTCTCCTCTTTCTCCTACTCCTCCTTCTTCTTCTCTGGTGAGAGTTAGGAAATTTAAGTGTCAAACCTTTTCTCTTAGGACATCATCTGTTTTCATACTCAGTGAACTAAAATAAGATTATCCCAAAATTTGCCTATTCAAGAGGAGCTTTGGAAGGAGGTAGCACTCAGTAACTCTGATTGTACCTAGGAAAGCGCTGGGAGTCTTCCCTTCAATTAAACTGTAGTTCTTTTTGGAATGTCATGTTTGTTATAAGCCATTAGCCAAATGGTGTTACTGCATTAGCTCTCACATTGGTGTTATGGACATTGGGGCTGAAAAGGTGACTGTTAGCTATTGCCATGTAGCTGTCACCTCATAATGGTGGCAGTTTTATAAATATTAGGTTACTACCTCACCTCCTGTCATCCGTTTGTCAAATACTTGAGTCATTCAAACTTAACGCCCACACGTTCAAAGTTGTACTCCAGGAAGAGCATACTCACCATCAGTCCCAAGCCTCGATCTGCAGCAGTGGGGTGTGGCCGTGAGCCCTGTGCTTCCGAGGGCTGTGCTGAGTCCTCTTTTAGCCTCAAGGCATCTCTTCTAGCCCCTGGGCCCTGGAATCTCCTGCCCAAATACCCAGAATGCACATCCAGGCCTAAGCAGGCCTCCTCCTTAGGTCTATCTTCCTGGGGACAGGCCACATCTCCAGTGTGTGCACCCCTAGACTCAAGGGGTGGCCAAGGGGCAGCTGCTTGTTGGGAAGGGGGACCTAGCTTGGATGTATGGGCTGGAATGTCCACATTCATGTGTGAAAGGACAGAGCTGAGGGTGGGGAGAAAATGGGACAGGCCTCTGGTTAAGGGCCAGTTCTCCCTGCCCCACCGTGAGAAACTCTGAGGAGTTCAATAATTCTAAATTCCAGCCTGGCTCCCTAAAGCATTATGAAGAACAGAGTACATTTGATTTAACAGTTTAATAGCTTGATTTATAATTCTAAATATTTAGACAAATGGTATGTGGGCCTCCGTTAGCATTCTTGCCCCCAGGCCCCACAAATGTCAAGGGTGGGCTAGCCACCCACAGTGACTCATGTGTTCCCCCATTATATGAAACTTGAAGCTTCAGTTCCCATTACTGAGTTCTATGAGTGCCATCTTCGGAGAATGGTTAACATCAAAGGGCATGACAGGTGTACAGCAAAGCAGACTTGGAGATGCCCCGAGGGCATGAGGAGGCATCCAGCTCTTCTGGCCACAGCAAACACCTGCTGTAGGTAAGAAAGGAGAGATGACCAGGGACAGGACAGGGAGAGAGACTTTAAAAATGTACCAGAAAAAAACTTCAAGGAATATAACAAGGAGTTGGGCTGCTGCGACATAAAATCAGCCCGCACCTCTGTCTGTAGTGTTTCAGGACTGACTATGATAACATAATAGTTAAATAGTTCAGGCTCTAAAAACATGCCTGGGGCTTAAATCCTGGCTCTGATGGTCATTAGTTGTGTGGCTTGGGCCTTTTTTAAGCCTCCTCTGTGCCTTAGTTTCCTGTGTGTAATATGGGAATGGTAATAGTGCCTACTTTACAGGGTGGTTGTGAGGATTAAATAAAATGAAACACACAGAGTATAGAGTGTCTAGCACATTTCAAGTACTCAATAAATGAGAGTTGTGATTACTATTAGTCCTTGTGGAAAATGTTTGCCTATATGGATAATAAGCACAGTTTAAAGTGAAAAGCAAACTCTTCAATGAATGGGTTAGCTCTGAGCCGCAGGATAAATACAACTTGAACTTGAGAAAGTCTCACAGCCAAAGAAGCAATGGCTTCCTTTTCCAATGTGAAGGACTGCTTTCGAATCATCTGGAAAATGCAAATGAGAATTTTAATAACTTTTCATCTTATTCCATACTTATTACACATAAGGAGTGTGATGTCAGTCAGTATAATACTAGCTTTAGCCTCACAGAGCCCAGGTTTAAATCCTAACTTTGCTGTTTGCTGTATGACCCTAAACAAATTACTTAACTTCTTTATGCCCTTGGTTTTCTTATCTGTAAAATACAGATAATATTACTATGACAGTACTAATACTAATACCCAGTACATAGGCTTGTTGTGAGGATTACATTCGGTGGTGTGCTGGAACTAGCTCATACCATGGGAGACTCAATGGTTAAATTTTCAGGATTTTATAAGCCAATTTTTAAACACTGGGTATCTTGAAATTAGCTGTGATGAGAGTATTTACACTACAGAAATCAGCAAAAAGTACATATCGTGCCCTTTCCCCCAGAAATCCATTTACCAGCACTGCACTGATGACATTGGATAAACATTTAAAAGGCTTAGCAATGTACACAGTACAAAATAGGCTTTTTTTTTTTTTTTTTTTTTTTTTTTTGAGATAGAGTCTCATTCTGTGGCCCAGGCTGGAGTGCAGTGGCACGATCTCGGCTCACTGCAACCTCTGCCTCCCGGGTTCAAGCGGTTCTCCTGGAGCTGTTGGAACTACAGGCGCTTGCCACCACGCCCGGCTAATTTCTGTATTTTTAGTAGAGACAGGGTTTCACCATTTTGGCCAGGCTGGTCTTGAACTCCTGACCTCAAGTGATCCACCTGCCTTGGCCTCCTAAAATGCTGGGATTACAGGTGTAAGCCACTGTGCCTGGCCTAAAACTGTTGCTTTATTGTGCTCTTAATACATGTTTACATCTATTTGAGGCACTGTATAACGCCACTACTGAAAGAGGATGGTTGTGCCTATGGTGCTCCAAGAGAAAAACGACTTAGACTGTGTCTAGAGGACAGGACAAGTAATGTGTTGTCATCATAGCCATAGAGACTGGAGCAGTGGTCACTGCAACCTTCTCCATCTCTGTTAGACTCTTTTATTCATCTTTATTTCCCCTAGATTCAGCACAGTACCTGGCAGAAAGGATGTTTGTTGGATACATGATTGAATAAATCAGTTTGATCATGCAGTAATAAAATAATGTATATGACTGGTCAGATGTCACACCAAAAACCTGATTTTTAAAACATTTCACTGACTGGTTGATTGAGTCAGGCTACTGTGGGTAAACTTAGCCAAAATACTCATTTCTATATTTTCTTCTCTTTATAAACATGTACCTTTAACAATGAAGCAAATAACACCTTTTAAAATACTAAATAAGATAGCATAATTGCACAGTGTGCACTGCCCCAACTGGATTATTATAATTTACTGAAGGGTTTGCTGTGGATAGATAATAATATGCAAAATAGATTAAGACACAACAGAAAAAATGACTTCTTATATATGTCTGTTGAAGAGTGATTCTCATACAAAAGGAGTTTAAATTAGATGACAACTTAATTAACATATTTGCTATTTTTGTTTTGTTTCAATTTTTTGGCATTGTTTCATCTGAGAGAAGGATGCTAGAAATGAAAAAGGAAATGGTGCTCTGTGGTGGAATATTTATATTACTCTTTGCAAACAAAAATCCCCTTTTTTTCTTTCTAATTTGACAGCCTCATAGAGGCACCAAGTAATCTGTTTGGAACTGTTTGGATGATACTCAAGAAAAGGAGAATGTTGAATTATGGGAATCTTTAGATAAACACATCGAAGGCAAAAAAAAAGCGGTCAACTTGATGCAGTTGCTTCAGGTAGAGTTTAGACTGGAGGGATGAATTTTGTTAGCCTGCCTGTGATTTTTAGTAGTTACAATATAGCTCATTTCAGTGCTCCTCAGACTAGCATGCATAAGAATTCCCTGAAGAGCTCATTAAAATGTTGATTCTTAGGCTCTGTCCCCAGAGATTTTTGCTTCAAGTCAGAGAGACCCAAACCTTGCATTTCCTTTTTTTTTTTTTTTTTTTGAGATAGAGTTTTGCTCATGTTACCCAGGCTGGAGTGCAATGGCACGATCTCAGCTCACTATAACCTCTGCCTCCGAGGTTCAAGCAATTCTTCTGCCTCAGCCTCCCAAGTAGCTGGGATTATAGGCATGTGCCACCATGTCTGGCTGATTTTGTATTTTTAGTAGAGACGGGGTTTCACCATGTTGCTCAGGCTGGTCTGAAACTCCTGACCTCAGGTGATCCACCCGCCTTGACCTCCCAAAGTGTTGGGATTACAGGAGTGAACCACCATGCCCAGCCTAACGTGTTCCCAGGTGATGATCATGCTGCTGGTACATGGATCACACTTTGAGTAGCAAAATTTAGAGGCCAATAAGGAGCATACTGCCATAGCCCATGAAGGAGGATGGTGATTTCCAAACATGGACGAGCTTCAGAATCAGCACCTAATGAGTTTTTTGTGTGTTTATTTACAGAATCTAGATATAAGCCCACATCAGACTTGCTAAATCAGAGTCTCGGGAGGGGGCGCAGGGAATATGATGGATCGGATACACTGTGAAGTTGAGGGACCCTTGTGGTGATCACTCTTGGTAAGCCAGCTTCTTGGTCAGGACAGATGGGACTTTGAGGCTACCACACTGAGGAGCATATGCTGAAAAGAGAGAAGCTGTAAAATGCAAGTAAGAAACTGCTCAAAAAATAATGGAGGCATGTCAAAAGGACACAGGAGGCAACTTATGGCCAAAGTAGTGCTAATTCAAGGACTAAAATAAACAATGATAGCATTTCATTATAGCCCTCAGAAAAAAGTTAAGTATCCATGAGTCCAAACTTACATAAATAAATAATTGAATGAATGAGTAAAAAATAAAGGAAGGAAAAGAGACAATTCATCCTTAAGGAATTCCAATTAATAAATGTAAAAGGAATGCAGAAAATGGAAACTCACTATGAAGCAAGCTCTACCGTAATAATTGTTGCAGGCAAGATCCATTGATGGATGCTAAAATTAGTAGGTAAAAATTTGATGAGAAACAGAATAGTTGCAGAGTTTCAAAGTCTTTACCACAAGATATTTGTTAGTTTCTAAGGGAAGGTACTGTAACTTCACAACAAAGAAACGCAGCAGACACTACCTTTACCAAGAATCAAGCTGAATATCACCAATAATAAGACATAAGGAAGGTCACACCACTTTGTAATATTCGTGCCAGAAATGTTTTATTTTGATCTAATCATGAGAAAATGCCAGGCAAACCTAAATTGAGGTACTGAACAGTAACCTTCAGAAGTTTCAAAGTCATGAATGACAAAGAAAAATTTAGAAACTGTCATGGATTGAAGAAGACTAAGAAGAAATGAAAACTGCATGCAACGTGGGAAGCTGACTTGGATTCTGGACCAGAAAAAGGATATTAGTAGGAAACCCGATAAAATTTAAATAAGGTCCACAGTTTAGTTAACAGTATTGTAACAGTGTTAATTTCCAGGTTTTACTAATTGTCCTATGGTTAGATGGTAAGATGTTCACCTTAAGGGAAGGTCAGTGAAAGATATATATTAGTAACTCTTAGTTTTGCATCTTTTCTGTAAGTTTATCTCAAAACAGAAAAATGTTAAATGTTGAATAGAGGAGGGAGGTTCCAAGATGGCCGAATAGGAACAGCTCCAGTCTGCAGCTTCCAGCGTGAGCAATGCAGAAGACGAGTGATTTCTGCATTTCCAACTGAGGTACTGGGTTCATCTCACTGTGGCTTGTCAGACAGAGGGTGCAGCCCACAGAGTAGAGCGGGGCATCGCCTCACCTGGGAAGCACAAGGGGTCAGGGAATTCCCTTTCCTAGCAAAGGGAAGCCATGACAGATGGTACCTGGAAAATCAGGACACTCCCATCCTAATACTGAGCTTTTCCAATGGCCTTAGCAAATGGTGCACCAGGAGATTATATCCCGCGCCTGGCTCGGAGGGTCCCATGCCCATGGAGCCTCTCTCACTGCTAGCACAGCAGTCTGAGATTGAACTACAAGGCCACAGCGAGGCTGGGGGAGGGGCGTCTTCCATTGCTGAGGCTTGAGTAGGTAAACAAAGCTGCCAGGAAGCTCGAACTGGGTGAAGCCCACCGCAGCTTAAGGAGGCCTGCCTGCCTCTGTAGACTCCACCTCTGGGGGCAGGGCATAGCTGAACAAAAGGCAGCAGAAACTTCTACAGACTTAAACATCCCTGTCTGACAGCTTTGAAGAGAGTAGTGGTTCTCCCAGCACGGAGTTTGAGATCTGAGAATGGACAGACTGCCTCCTCAAGTGGGTCCCTGACCCCCAAGTAGCCTAACTGGGAGACACCTCCCAGTAGGGGCTGACTGCCACCTCATACAGCTGGATGCCCCTCTGAGACGAAGCTTCCAGAGGAAGGATCAGGCAGCAACATCTGCCGTTCTGCAATATTTGCTGTTCTGCAGCTTCTGCTGGTGATACCCAGGCAAACAGCACCTGGAGTGGACCTCCAGCAAACTCCAACAGACCTGCAGCTGAGGGTGCTGACTGTTAGAAGGAAAACTAACAGAAAGGACATCCACACCAAAACCCCATCTGTACATCACCATCATCAAAGACCAAAGGTAGATAAAACCAAAAAGATGGGGAGAAACCAGAGCAGAAAAGCTGAAAATTCTAAAAATCAGAGTGCCTCTTCTCCTCCAAAAGAACATAGCTTCTCACCAGCAGTGGAACAAAGCTGGGTGGAGAATGACTTTGACGAGTTGAGAGAAGAAGGCTTCAGATGATCGGTAATAACAAACTTCTCCGAGCTAAAGGAGGATGTTCGAACCCATCACAAAGAAGCTAAAAACCTTGAAAAAAAACTTAGATGAATGGCTAACTAGAATAAAGAGCGTAGAGAAGTCCTTAAATGACCTGATGGAGCTGGAAACCATGGCATGAGAACTACGTGACGCATGCACAAGCTTCAGTAGCCGATTTGATCAAGTGGAAGAAAGGGTATCAGTGATTGAAGATCAAATGAATGAAATGAAGCGAGAACAGAAGTTTAGAGAACACAGAGTAAAAAGAAATGAACAAAGCCTCCAAGAAATATGGGACTATGTGAAAAGACCAAATTTACGTCCGATTGGTGTACCTGAAAGTGATGGGGAGAATGGAACCAAGTTGGAAAACACTCTTCAGGATATTATCCAGGAGAACTTCCACAACCTAGTGAGGCAGGCCAACATTCAAATTTAGGACATACAGAGAACGCCGCAAAGATACTCCTTGAGAAGAGCAACTCCAAGACACATCATTGTCAGATTCACCAAAGTTGAAATGAAGAAAAAAATGTTAAGGGAAGCCAGAGAGAAAGGTCAGGTTACCCACAAAGGGAAGCCCATCAGACTAACAGCGGATCTCTCTGCAGAAACTCTACAAGCCAGAAGAGAGTGGGGGCCAATATTCAACATTCTTAAAGAAAAGAATTTTCAACCCAGAATTTCATATCCAGCCAAATTAAGCTTCATAAGGAGAAATAAAATCCTTTACAGACAAACAAATGCTGAGAGATTTTGTCACCACCAGGCCTGCCTTGCAAGAGCTCCTGAAGGAAGCACTAAATATGGAAAGGAGCAACCGGTACCAGCCACTGCAAAAACATGCCAACTTGTAAAGACCATCAATGCTAGCAAGAAACTGCATCAACTAACGAGCAAAATAACCAGCTAACATCATAATGACAGGATCAAATTCACACATAATGATATTAACCTTAAATGTAAATGGGCTAAATGCTCCAATTAAAAGACACAGACTGGCAAATTGGATAGTCAAAATCCATTAGTGTGCTATATTCAGGAGACCCATCTCACGTGCAGAGACACACATAGGCTCAAAATAAAGGGATGGAGGAAGATCTACCAAGCAAATGGAAAACAAAAAAAAAGCAGGGGTTGCAATCCTAGTCTCTGATAAAACAGACTTTAAACCAACAAAGATCAAAAGGGACAAAGAAGGCTATTACATGATGATAAAGGGATCAATTCAACAAGAAGAGCTAACTATCCTAAATAAATATGCACCCAATACAGGAGCACCCAGATTCATAAAGCAAGTCCTTAGAGACCTACAAAGAGACTTAGACTCCCACACAATAATAATGGGAGACTTTAACACCCCACTGTCAACATTAGACAGATCAATGAGACAGAAAGTTACAAGGATATCCAGGAATTGAATTCAGCTCTGCACCAAGTGGACCTAATAAACATCTACAGAACTCTCCACCCCAAATCAACAGAATATTCATTCTTCTCAGCACCACAGTATTCCAAAACTGACCACATAGTTGGAAGTAAAGCACTCCTCAGCAGATGTAAAAGAACAGAAATTATAACAAACTGTCTCTCAGACCACAGTGCAATCAAACTAGAACTCAGGATTAAGAAACTCACTCAAAACCGCTCAACTACATGGAAACTGAACAACCTGCTCCTGAATGACTACTGGGTACATAACGAAATGAAGGCATAAATAAAGATGTTCTTTGAAACCAATGAGAACAAAGACACAACATATCAGAATCTCTGGGACACATTTAAAGCAGTTTGTAGAGGAAAATTTATAGCACTAAATGCCCACAAGGGAAAGCAGGAAAGATCTAAAATTGACACCCTAACATCAAAATTAAAAGAACTAGAGAAGCAAGAGCAAACACATTCAAAAGCTAGCAGAAGGCAAGAAATAACTAAGATCAGAGCAGAACTGGAGATAGAGACCCAAAAAACCCTTCAAAAAATCAATGAATCCAGGAGCTGGTTTTTTGAAAAGATCAACAAAATTGATTGCTAGCAAGACTAATAAAGAAGAAAAGAGAGAAGAATCAAATAGACGCAATAAAAAATGATAAAGGGGATATCACCGCTGATCCCACAGAAATACAAACTACCATCAGAGAATACTATAAACACCTCTACGCAAATAAACTAGTAAATCTAGAAGCAATGGATAAATTCCTGGACACATACATCCTCCCAAGACTAAACCAGGAAGAAGTTGAATCTCTGAATAGACCAATAACAGGTTCTGAAATTGAGGCAATAATTAATAGCCTACCAACCAAAAAAAGTCCAAGACCAGACGGATTCACAGCCGAATTCTACCAGTGGTATGAGGAAGAGCTGGTACCATTCCTTCTGAAACTATTCCAATCAATAGAAAAAGAGGGAATCCTCCCTAATTCATTTTATGAGGCCAGAAACATCCTGATACCAAAGCCTGGCAGAGACACAACAAAAAAAGAGAATTTTAGACCAATATCCCTGATGAACATCGATGCAAAAATCCTCAGTAAAATACTGGCAAACTGAATCCAGCAGCATATCAAAAAGCTTATCCACCACGACCAAGTTGGCTTCATCCCTGGGATGCAAGGCTGGTTCAGCATACACAAATCAATGAAAGTAATCCATCATATAAACAGAACCAAAGACAAAAACCACATGATTATCTCAATAGATGCAGAAAAGGCCTTTGAGAAAATTCAACAGCCCTTCATGCTAAAAATTCTCAATAAACTAGGAATTGATAGGATGTATCTCAAAATAATAAGAGCTATTTATGACAAACCCACAGCCAATATCATACTGAATGGGCAAAAACTGGAAGCATTCCCTTTGAAAACTGGCACAAGACAGGGATGCCCTCTCTCACCACTCCTGTTCAACATAGTGTTGGAAGTTCTGGCCAGGGCAATCAGGCAGGACAAGGAAATAAAGGGTATTCAATTAGAAAAAGAGGAAGTCAAATTGTCCCTGTTTGCAGATGACATGATTGTACATTTAGAAAACCTCATCGTCTCAACCCAAAATCTCCTTAAGCTGATAAGCAACTTCAGCAAAGTCTCAGGATACAAAATCAATGTGCAAAAATCACAATCATTCCTATACACCAATAACAGACAAACAGAGAGCCAAATCATGAGTGAACTCCTATTCACAATTTGCTTCAAAGAGAATAAAATACCTAGGAATCCCACTTACAAGGGATGTGAAGGACCTCTTCAAGGAGAACTACAAACCACTGCTCAATGAAATAAAAGAGCACACAAACAAATGGAAGGACATTCCATGCTCATGGATAGGAAGAATCAAGATCGTGAAAATGGCCATACTGCCCAAGGTAATTTATAGATTCAATGGCATCCCCATCAAGCTACCAGTGACTTTCTTCACAGAATTGGAAAAAACTACTTTAAAGTTCATATGGAACCAAAAAAGAGCCCACATTGCCAAGACAATCCTAAGCCAAAAGAACAAAACTGGAGGCATCACGCTACCTGACTTCAAACTATACTACAAGGCTATGGTAACCAAAACAGCATGGTACTGGTACCAAAACAGAGATATAGACCAATGGAACAGAACAGAGCCCTCGGAAATAATACCACACATCTACAACCATCTGATCTTTCACAAACCTGACAAAAACAAGGAATAGGGAAAGGATTCCCTATTTAATAAATGGTGCTGTGAAAACTGGCTAGCCATATGTAGAAAGCTGAAACTGGATCCCTTCCTTACATCTAATACAAAAATTAATTCACCAGGCGCAGTGGCTCATGCCTGTAATCCCAGCACTTTGGGAGGCTAAGGTGCGTGGATCACCTGAGGTAAGGAGTTTGAGACCAGCCTGGCCAACATGGTGAAACTCCATCTCTACTAAAAATACAAATGTCAGCCGGGCATGGTCGTGGGCACCTGTAATCCTGGCTACTTGGGCAGCTAAGTAACAAAAATTGCTTGAACCTGGGAAGCGGAGGTTGCAGTAAGCCAAGATCGTGCCACTGCACTCCTGCCTAGGCGACAAGAGCGAGACTCCATCTCAAAAAAAAAAAAAATTAATTCAAGATGGATTAAAGACTTAAATGTTAGACCTAAAACCATAAAAACCCTAGAAGAAAACTTAGGCAATACCATTCAGGACATAGGCATGGGCAAGGACTTCCTGACTAAAACACCAAAAGCAATGGCAATAAAAGCCAAAATTGAGAAATGGGATCTAATTAAACTAAAGAGCTTCTGCACAGCGAAAGAAACTACCATCAGAGTGAACAGGCAACCTACAGAACGGGAGAAAATTTTTACAATCTACCCATCTGACAAAGGGTAATATCCAGAATCACAAAGAACTTAAACAAATTTACAAGAAAAAAACAAACAACCCCATCAAAAAGTGGGCAAAGGATATGAACAGACACCTCTCAAAAGAAAACATTTATGCAGCCAATAGACACATGAAAAAATGCTCATTGCTGGCCATCAGAGAATGCAAATCAAAACCATAATGAGATACCATCTCACACCAGTTAGAATGGCAATCATTAAAAAGTCAGGAAACAACAGGTGCTGGAGAGGGTGTGGAGAAATAGGAATGCTTTTACACTGTTGGTGGGACTGTAAACTAGTTCAACCATTGTGGAAAACAGTGTGGCGATTCCTCAAGGATCTAGAACTAGAAATACCATTTGACCCAGCCATCCCTTTACTGGGCATATACCCAAAGGATTATAAATCTTGCTGCTATAAAGACACATGCACACGTATGTTTATTGCAGCACTATTCACAATAGCAAAGACTTGGAACCAACCCAAATGTCCATCAGTGATAGACTGGATTAAGAAAATGTGGCATGTAGAATACTATGCAGCATTAAAAAAGGATGAGTTCATGTCCTTTGTAGGGACATGGATGAAGCTAGAAACCATCATTCTGAGCAAACTATCGCAAGGACAGAAAACCAAACACTGCATGTTCTCACTCATAGGTGGGAATTGAACAATGAGAACACTTGGACACAGGGTGGGGAACATCACACACCGGGGCCTGTCGTGGGGTGGGGGGCTGGGGGAGGAATAGCATTAGGAGGTATACCTAATGTAAATGACAAGTTAACGAGTGCAGCACACCAACATGGCACATGTATACATATGTAACAAATGTGCGTGTTGTGCACATGTACCCTAGAACTTAAAGTATAATAATAAAAAAAATTTTTTTTAATGTCAGTGCACTCTGCCTCGTGGAAAACCCAGTTGCCTAAGCAAGTCTACGGCCTCCCTACCTGGCTAGGGATAAGCTGTAAGGACGGTTTCACCCGAGAGGTTACCTAATAGCGGGCAGAGAAGACAATACAAGCACGAAAGCCTGTGAGCTGCAGGGGATTGGGATTTTGTCAGTTATACTCAGTACTGCCTTGTCATCCCCTTTCCCCAAGCCACTACCCCATAGATGGACAAAAACAAGCATGGTAGTCTTCAAAGACTCCACAGTCAGAATATCCTGGATTTTGGATGATAAGGGGAACTTCTGTAGCTCCTGACCCACCTTTTGGAGCTCCCCCGCTATCCAGCCTGCAGCCCTGCCCACGTGGTGGCTGGAGTCAGCAGGCTTCTGCAGCCTGGCAAAGCCCTTCTCCCATTTTGTGGTCTGGATGAGGCCCATGGGCTCTGCTTTAAGGTGATCATCTGTCCCGAGGACCAGCTTTAAAACTATTTCTTTAGAGAGCATTTTATTGAATACAAACTCCTTAGGCAGCATTGTTCACATTTCCCAGTGTTGAACAAATCGTGGTTTTTATCACACATTCATCATTCCAGGTCTTGCTGATTCACTTCCAGTGACCCCTTTTAGGAACCTTTTGCTAATCCCACTAATAGAAAGAGCTCATTCCACTCCTTTGGTTATTTCACATTCACATGGCCAGGCTTACATTTTATTTAACTTTCTTTTCACGTAAGAAGGTGAAAAAGTGCTAAGCCATATCTTCTAAGCTCTTGGATCATTTCTTGGTCATTCTGGAAGCAGCATGGTGGTGAAATGGGAGAGTTCCCTGAACCCCTTTGCCTGATGTTTGACAGGGGTGTGGCTTGTCTGTTTGGTCACCATCCCTTCAACCCCTTACGGGATGGGGAGCAGGCAGCTGGACAAGTGCAGGAGCCCAAGTGGGCGTGTGTTACAGTGTGCCCTTTTAGCCTTGCTGTCCACGGATGGCTTGAGTGTTGGCCAGCTCAGTGGACCCTCTGCCTTTCTGTAAGGGCAGAGTGCCAGTGTGACAGCTCTCTGTATCCCAAACTCTTGTCCAGCATCCTGGGAGAAGCGGGTCACACATGTACTTGAATGTAAAGAAGTGACTTTGGCTTGTTTTTGACTCAAATCTAGCATGAAGCTTGGTTTCTTCGAAGACACAAACACTTTAAACATGAGAGATATTCAATAAAGATGAGTCATCTTTCCCTGGATCTTTATAGTTTGTCCTCCATAAACATCACCTTATTTGTATATGAAGCTTTATTATCTGCACTAAATTCACTACAGATTGTTTCCATTTTTCTCTCTTTAAGACCTGAGATTATCCTCAAGTACAATTAGGTAGCTTTATTTTAGAACAGTGGTTTCAGAATCTCTAAGTATTTTTTACACTAAAACGATTTACTGAGCCTCCATATGATAGTGGCGGAATCCCACATTATGAAAATACAGAGCAATAAGCTACTATACATTCAACATTGTTTTTAGCTGTAAACCCTTGTTATCTTATAGGAGCCTGATTGATGTGGTAGTGAGGTGTGGGGTGGGGGACACATTCTACAGTCCTATGATTAAGTCTCAGCTTGTGGTGAGCCCGTGTCCCTGGGCTGTGACCTTTACAAGTGCTTCTCAGGTCTCCCCCATGCTCCTCCCTTAGAGGAGCCTAGAGGATTGGAGTTGAGTATTTTTCTTCCCCAGGTTGATTAGGCTCTGGCAAAACCCAATTAGGTTAGGCCCTGGTAAAATAGTTTCCCTGGAAGGCAAGCTTTTGTTAAAGAAAACAAAGCCTCTAGTATATTGCAAAATAGTTCCCCCATGCGGCTGTATGTGATGGCTCATGCCTGTAATCCCAGCACTTTGGGAGGCTGAGGCAGGAGGATCACTTCTTGAGGCCAGGAGTTCAAGAACAGCCTTATTGGGCAACATGGCAAAATCCTGTCTTTACCAAAAATACAAAAATAGTCTCATAACCTGGCCTCAAAATAATAAATAAATAAAAATTAAAAGATAAAATTTAAAAAAAGTAATTCCCCCACCCACACATGAGGGGAAGTTTTTCTCTGACTTTCACCTGAGAGTTTGATGAGACTCTTGGAGGTAAGACTCAAGACAAGTGTGGGGGCTCTCCTAAGACTGGGTTCACCCAGAGTTTTTAACTCCCAAGCTCATTCACGTTGAGGCTCCAGCAATTTGTCAATTACAGTTTGTGTTCCTACTGGTATTGCCTCCAGTGCTGGCCTTTTATTACTGGGCTTCTGTTCTTGGTAAGTTGTGATTCTCTACATCCTCCTGTCTTGCAAATTTTCTGGGAGGTGGTTTGCCCTGTGACCTCAATTCTCTGATGGATCTAAGAAGAATTGTTTTGTTTTGTTATTTTTATTATTTATTATTATTGTTAAATGGAGATGGGGTCTCACTATGTTGCCTAGGCTGATCTTAAACTCCTGGGCTCAAGTGACCTCCACACCTTAGCCTCCCAAAGTGCTGGAATTACAGGCATGAGCCACCGTGCCTGGTCAGAAGAATTGTTGATTTTTGGTTTGTTCAGCTTATTTCTTGTTGTGAGGATGAGAATGATGACTTCCAAGTTCTTTTCATATTGAACCAGAAACCAGAAGTGTTTCGATACTGCTTTTAAATGATGCTTATATTTTTTAACTTGTGGTTTTTATTATGTGCAGGTTGTATTATTTAATATTAATTTACAGATAAAATCTGATACACTTATGGACTCATAGATTTCTTCCAATTACTGAAGGAGTTAAAAGCATGATACCCCAAAATATCTTGCTCTGGCATATTGACTATTTTAAGTTAAAGGCACTTGAACAATAGCAGGTGCAAGAAGATCACTCTGACCTTTCTTCAGTTTCTTAAAAGCAGGAGATGAAATTCCCATGTGAAAGATGCTCTCCCTATGCCAGAAGGAAAGCATTATTCTTACCTTCAAGGATAAGAAGTTGAGGCTGAAGGAAATCTGTACAGTCTTAGCGCATTCTGAGTTGCTATAAAGGAATGCCTGAAGCTGGGTAATTTATAAGGAAAGAGGTTTATTTGGCTCTTGATTCTGCAGACTGTGCAAGAAACATGATGCCGGCATCTTCTTCTGGTGAGACCCTCAGGCTGCTTCCACTCCTGGTGGAAGGTGAAGGGGAACTGGCATGTGCAGAGATCACATGGGGAGAGAGGAAGCAAGAGAGAAGGGGAAAGTGCCTGGCTCCTTCTAATGATCAGCTCTTGTGGATACTAATCGAGTGAGAACTAACTCACACCACCCCACCACCTCCCAGGGAGGGCATTAATCTATTTATAAGAGACCCATCCCTGTGATGAAAACACCTCCCATTAGGCTCCACCTCCAACACTGGGGACCAAATTTCAACATGAGATTTGGTGAAAACAAACCATGTTTTGGGAAGTCAGGGACCCCGAATGGAGGGACTGGCTGGAGCCACAGCAGAGGAACATAAATTGTGAAGATTTCATGGATATTTATCACTTCCCTGATAATACTCTTATAATAAATTTCTTACGCCTGTCTTACTTTAATCTCTTAATCCTGTTATCTTCGTAAGCTGAGGATGTATATCACCTCAGGATCACTGTGATGATTGTGTTAACTGTACAAATTGATTGTAAAACATGTGTGTTTGAACAATATGAAATCAGTGCACCTTGAAAAAGAACAGAATAACAGCAATTTTTAGGGAACAAGGGAGGACAACCATAAGGTCTCACTGCCTGCAGGGTTGGGCAAAAAGAGCCATATTTTTCTTCTTGCAGAGAGCCTATAAACGGACATGCAAGTAGGAGAGATATCACTAAATTCTTTTCCTAGCAAGGAATATTAAGACCCTAGGAAAAGAATTGCATTCCTGGGGGGAGGTCTATAAATGGCCGCTCTGAGAGTATCTGTCTTATGCAGTCAAGATAAGGACTGAAATATGCCCTGGTCTCCTGCAGTACCCTCAGGCTTATTAGGGTGGGGAAAAAACTGCTCCCTGGTAAATTTGAGGTCAGATTGGTTCTCTGCTCTCAAACCCTGTTTTCTGTTGTTTAAGATGTTTATCAAGACAATATGTGCACAGCTGAACATAGACCCTTATCAGGAGTTTTTGATTTTGCCCTTTGCCTTGTGATCTTTGCTTTGCCCTTTGCCTTGTGATCTTTATTGGCCTCAGAAGCATGTGATCTTTGTTCTCCTTTTTGCCCTATGATGCATGTGATCTCTGTGACCTACTCCCTGTTTGTACACCTCCTCCCCTTTTGAAGTCCTTAATAAAAACCTGCAGGTTTTGTGGCTCAGGTGGGCATCACAGTCCTACCACTATGTGACGTCACCCCTTAGCAGCCCAGCTGTAAAATTCCACTCTTTGTACTCTTTCTCTTTCTCAGACCGCCAACACTTAGACAAAATATCATGTTGAAATACGGGGGGCGGTTTCCCCCGATAAAACCACATCCAAACTATAGCACAAATCTAATTTCACTAACCCTTATCTTCCTGGCTGTTTCACCCAAGTAACTACCCTAGCCCAAGGCCCTTTGCTTTCTCACATATTCATAATTTACTACTCTTTGTTCCATTCAGTATATAAGTGTTCAACCCTAACTGCATCTTTGGGTCTTCATTTTCTTATGAGGGCTCCTGTGCCACATAAAACATGGATTAAATAAATTTGTATGCTTTTCTTCTGTTGATCTGTCTTATGTCAATTTAATTCTCAGCACCCCACAACCGAAAAAATCTCTAAGAGGGTAGAGGTAAAATTTTGCCTCCCCTACATTAACCCACATGCTAGGGGAACCAATGTTTTAAAGTACACTAAAAACTCATAATTTTGAATCAATCGTGAGGAAAGCATCCATTCAGTAAATTCTGAAAAGAGATGACCTCAACATGAATACAATTCTATTAGTTTCAAACAGGGCAATGTAGGGTACTTTAACAGGCTCTCCTGGCTCCAAACGTCTCCTACCCCAAGCCCTGCATGACTGTCTAAAATATATCTGTAATCAATCCCTTTGGAATAAGTTATTGAAGGCTTTTTGTTAAGGAGCAGCACCTTTTCTGGGAAGGGAACACTTTCAAACCACACACGCTTTAGCTGGATTTGACCAGCTGAATCATTAGATTTGGTGAATCTAATGATCTAAGTTGCCATCTAGCAGGAATGTGAGGGAATGAGATGCAGAGGATGTTCTGATGCTGCATGGGGGTTCTGCTAATTGAGGAGTCTGGTAACCAGCTTAGGCAACCAGAGAAAATAGAGAAAGGTGCAGGGTGAGAGCAAGAGAGGGACTGACCCCAGGCCCAGGGTTCCATGGATCAGAGATTCCAGGATTGTTTACTAATGTCTGAACAGATTAAAGGGGATGGTTTGTAATTAACATGTCAGTGTATCGATCTATGTAAAATTGCTTTCTCTCTCTCTCTCTCTTTTTTTTTTTTTTTTTTTTTTTTTTGGAGATGGAGCCTTGCTTTATCACCCAGGCTAGAGGGCAGTGGCATGATCTCGGCTCACTGCAACCTCTGCCTCCTGGGTTCAAGCAATTCTCCTGCCTCAGCCTCCCTAGTAGCTGGGACTGCAGGTGCACTCCACCACACCCTGCTAATTTTTTTGTATTTTAGCAGAGACAGGTTCCACCATGTTGCCCAGGCTGGTCTCGCACTCCTGAGCTCAGGCAATCCACCTGCCTCAGCCTCCCAAAGTGCTAAGATTACAGGTGTGAGCCACAGTGCCTGGCCAAATTGCTTTCCCTTATTTTGCTTGCCTCTGAATGATAATTGTGACCTCCTTAATCATATTGTTCTTTTAATGGGCTAACATCTCCCTTGAAATTTTATTTATGCTGCTTATATGTGACAGCCTCAAGGACACTTCTGCTTGGTGGGGGCAGCCCTGGTCGAAGCAGGTCCTCAACTTCAAATCTGTGGACACTTTGGGTTTCCTGTGGATTCCTGCTCGAGCCTCTCTTTGTCCAGGCACTTTCTTCAGTTCTCTTTTGTTCCATTCCCTGCAGGTGCAGGGTCTCTGCCCTGTTGCTCTAAATAAGCCCAAGCCAGAGTTCCAGCTCTGGACTTACCTGTCTGGCAAGGGAAGAAGGACAAGAATAAATATTCTTTGCTTTCATGAGCTCTGTAGATGGTAGTGATATAAATAAGTTTGATAATGGTATACAAAAAAAGACAAAAATGAGATTCATACTGACGTTGGGGGGTTGGTATGGGTGTGATGATGATGTGACCCTACAAGATGAGGGACCTACAAGGTGAGGAAGTGAAATTGACATTTCATCAGGAATGTTCATTCTGATCAGCAGCTAGGGCTGAGGCTTATGGTTTTCAGTTGAATGTAGCTGTGCTTACAGTAGGCTCTACCCTCTCCCAGTAGACCTCCAGGCAGAGGGGTGCAGGAGTGAGAGCTGACTGTTACAGTTTAGGAATTTTGCAACCTGGTGGTCAAACACAGCCATTATTTAAGCTTAAATTATATGCCATTATTGTATAAATTATATAAAAATTATATATTGAAAACAAAGGTAATAAATACTCAAAAACCATCAATTCTTAATTGTCTTACTACACTTTGCTGCTGTTCTTGAGGTTATTTGGTGCCCGTCTGGGGGAAATACCACATAATCATGTACTGCTACATGTCCTGCCCAACTCCACATTCAGTGACGTCAGCCATGAAATCAGCTGCGGTTGGAGTTTTTACATCATAGAATTACAAATATTGAAAGCCAGGGCTTGATTTATTATTTTTTTGATTGTGTAGATTTAAGAAATGGTTGAACCATGGAATGCTATGTAGTCATAAAAAATGAAATTATGTCCTTTGCAGCAACATGGATGCAGCTGGAGTTCATTATCCTAGGCAAATCAATGCAAGAACAGAAAACCAATACAGCATGTAACTTGTAATTGGGAGCTAGACATGAGTTACACATGGACATAAAGATGGGAACAATAAACAATAGGGACTATGAGAAGGGAGAGAGAGGGAGAGGGGCAGGGGCTGATAAACTACCTATAGGGTACTATGCTCACCACCTGTGTGACGGGATCATTCGTATCTCAAACCTAAGCATCAGGCAACATGCCCATGTAACAAACCTGCGTTTGTACACTCTGAGTCTAAAATAAAAGTTGAAATTATTTTTTACAAAGGTGTGGAAGAAAAATGTTAATGCAGATTATACATGTGTCTGTAGTTGTTACAATGTGAATAGTACAAACACTAAGAGAATATTCTAGTTTTCAAAAACTATTATTTGATTCAGTACAAGGAAGTCATTCACATCATTGGTGAATGAGTGAAGTTCCAACATACATTTTCATTATCTTTCTTTTGCCTTACTCATTAAAGTAAATGAAAACATCAACCAAAACTCATGGTGGAACTACACTCAAAGATACAATTATAAGATATTTACCAGCAAACAGCTGTCAGGAGGCCACAATTCACTCTAAAAATTCAGTTCTGATTAGCCAGCACTGCCCTCTGTGGATGAGAAGAAGCTTTTGTTTATTGTACAAAATCTTAAAAATGTATCGATAAGCAAAAATAAAGTAAAAAGCTCCTGTAATTTCTCCACCAAGAGATAACATGACTCATATGCATATACGTATTTTTAAACAAATATTGAATTATAGCTATAAAGGGAAGACTTTTTAAAATCGTGTGTGTGTGTGTGTGTGTGTGTGTAAAAGAGCATTTGGAGAGCATCTTTCCATGTTATTCAGATTTTTAATTATTCCATAGAAGGCTGTCGTACTGATTATAACTTATTTCACCAGTCCTCAATGATTGAACATTTGGATCATTCCCAATTTGTGGCAATTAAAAATACAACCTTAGGAAAATAAATAAATAAAACAAACAAGTGACAAATAAAAAAGACAACCCTACAAAGCACTTCTTTGCAGCTAAATAATACATCCTTTTTTTTCCTTAGGAGAAATTTCTAGAAAAAAGGTGCATGCATGACTAGGCCTTTTCCCCCTCTTTTCTCCTTTTCTTTCTTCAGGGAATGCCATCCCAGTCCTATACTAAGTCTTTAAAAGACCTCCCCTGATAAACTGGAAGCTCCATGTGGGCAGGGACTGTGTCTGCAAGTTGATCCCTCTAGCTTCAACCTGTGGCCCAGTGCCTGATGTGGGGACATATTCAATGCATATTTGCTGAATGTAAGAAGGAAAGAGGAAGGGTTGGTGTATTAGTTTGCCAGGGTTAACAACACAGTATCACAGACCAGGTGGTTTCAACAGCAGAAATGTATTTCCTCACCATTCTAAAGGCTAGGAGTCTGAGGTCAAAGTATCAACAGGCTGGTTTCTTCCAGGTTTCTGGTTTCTTCTGTCCTGGACTTGTAGATGACCAGTTTCTCCCTCTGTCTTCACATGGTCGTTCCTCTGAGTCTATGTCCTTATCTATTCTTCTTAATCCAATCATATTGGATTAAGGCCCATCCTAATGGCCTCCTCATTTTAACTTAATTGCCCTTGAAGATTCCTTTTCCAAATACAGTCACATTTTGATAGGACTTGAACATATGAATTTTGCAGGGGACCTAATTTAGCCCACACAGTTGTGCAGATTGCCATGTGGGGTTGTGGTAAGTTAGAGCCAAAAAGGATGGATGTCTCTGGAGACCAAAGTAATGAATTTTCTTGAGACAGAGTCTCACTCTGTGACCTAGGGGCTAGAGTGCAGTGTCAAATCACAGCTCACTGCAGCCTCCACCTCCCAGGCTCAAGCGATCCTCCTGTGACAGCCAGGTGGGAGGGGGTCCTGGAGAAACTCCAACCAGCCTGCCCACTGAGGTGGAGCCTTGGAAGTTCACTGCATTTGCAGCAGGGAGGAGCCTGGCCCCTCCGCTTCTTGGGTGGAATCTGGGATTCAAATGCTGGGCAGGAAGCACTCTAGCTGGGACTCTGGCCTAGTGAGAGTCCCTGTTTCCCCCTTTTCTTCCTTTTAACCCAATAAAACCCTGTCTTACTCACCCTTCAAACTGTCTGTGAACCTAAATCTTCGTGGCCATAGGATAGACAAGGACCCCATCTTTAGCTGAACTAAGGAAAAGTTCTGCAACATTCCAACTTCAGCCTCCTAAATAGCTGGGACCACACACAGGGTTATGCCACCATATGTGGCTTTTTTTTTTTTTTAACCTCTCGTAGGAATGAGGTTAGTAAGCTTTTTAAAAGCATTGCCTTGCCAGGCGCGGTGGCTCACACCTGTAATCCCAGCACTTTGGGAGGCTGAGGAGGGCAGATAATCTGAGGTAGGGAGTTCGCGACCAGCCTGGCCAACATGGAGAAACCCTGTCTCTGCTAAAAACACAAAATTAGCCGGGCATGGTGGCACGCACCTGTAATCCCAGCTACTCGGGAGGCTGAGGTGGGAGAATTGCTTGAACCCAGGAGGCAGAGGTTGCAAAGAGCCGAGATCGTGCCATTGCACTCCAACCTGGACAACGAGAGCAAAACTCTGCCTCAAAAAAAAAAAAAAAAAAAAAAAGCATTGCCTTGCTTTATATGTTGGTTTTGAAATGTCTGATGCCAGTCTAATTCTTTTACCTTTGTAAGTTATTTGATCTTTTTTCCTGGAGGCTTGAGAGTTTCATTCATTCATTTTTTCTTTCTTTTTTGAAATCTAATAGTTTTACTAGGTTCTGCCTTGGAGTATGATCCTTCTGGGTAAATTTTTCCCATTACTCAGTGATCTCTAGGAATGTGTAGACATAGGTCTTTTCCCACTCTATAAAGTTATCTTGAATTATAGTTTTAGATATTGGCTCTGTCTCATTGTTCTGTTTTTTCTTCTTCAGGAACTCTGATAACACAGAAATTATTATTATTATTACTGGCCTGTCTTCCATGTCTGCTACTCTTCTTCTGGCCCTTTCTCCTTCTTCACTTATGCCTTTCTTATTCTCCTCATAGTTTGCCTGCTTTTCTTCAGTGCCTCTTACTAACTTTTAATTTGAGTCTATTCTGTTAACTTTTAATTTTAGCCTATTCTTGTTTTATCAGAGGAGAATTTTTCTCAGTTGATATAATCGAAATTCCATTTCCTGGCTTTTGTTATAGCTGCATATGGACTTCATTTTCCATTTGTTAATTTTTATGGTATGAAGATGTTTTCAAACTTTTTGGTTTAATGGCATCATCTTATGTTGGTATTGCAAAGTCCAGGTCTTTGGCAGGATATTTTGGTTTTATTTGATGGGATAGAGAGAGTTGTGAATCCTCTGCTTTTATGTTTCCCTTTTTTCTTGCAGGAACCTAAAATTTCCATCTTTTCTTTTTTAACTCTTCCCACCTAGTGCCAAAGAATGTTTTTTTTTTCTTTTCTTTTTTGTTTCTTTTGTTCTTTCTCAGAACTTTTGGGTTTCAATGATTGCCCCCTTTAAATTGCCCAGACTTCCAAGTTCCTTCCTGAAGTCCATGCTCTGATCTCAGACTAGGGTGGACCTAGACTTTCTAGTGTTAAATCAAACTCAGGATCCTTCACAAGCTTCCCTATTTTGCCTTCCCTGCAGCTCTCTAGGTTTGCTTTTGTTTGCCCTAAGGGCTAGGGTGTGGTGAGGGAATGAGAAATTATGTTCTGAGGACTTATTATTCTCTTTCTATTCATAATTATTTTGAAGTTTGGACATTCTGTCTTTAGGTTATGCTGAAGGTGTGGCTTGCATATAAATTCACTTTTTGTCCTTTGTTTGGATCCATGAAGAGGCAGGTGGCTATGCTGTTGCTGTTGCCTGAGCCTACCCTGAAGCCCCTTAACCTCACTTTTGTTAAAAATTGTAGCAGAAGTGCAATTTGCCTACCAGATTCCTTTTCTCTCTCATTCTTCCTTGATAACAAAACCCCAGTTTGCACAGGAAGAATCAGATATGCAGCGTTGGCATTTTAAAATCTAATTTCTAGGCTCCTGTGACCAAGTAGCACAGTTTGGTCAAACAGACATAAGCAGCAATCGATGGGGTGGGGTTTGTGGAAAAGTCTGAGTGTCTATGGAAATGGTCAGACTGAGCTAGCAAAGCCCTTTGCCCTATTCCTTCCCTCATTTTTCTTCCTGGATCACTCAGACATAACACCTGGAGAAGCAGCAGTTATTTTGTGGCCATAAGCATGAAAGCCAAAAGGTAAGGATGATGGAACAGAAAAATAGTAGGAGCCTGCATATTTGAGGAGCTGGGTCAGCTCTGGATTTCCTCTTCCCAGATTTCTGGTAATATAAGAAATATAAACTTCTTTATTAATTAAGGCCTGATGTTTTAGGTCTCTGTTGAGGGCTGTATATACGATCAATACTTTGATTTACTGAGGCATTTCCTCCTTTGCATTGACAAGATTATCATTTCCACAGCTCAACTTGACTAGGGTCCCACTAACCTACTACACATGCTATTCCTTATGTCTCAGTTGTACGTTAAAAGGCTCAAGATTTACATCAATAGAGGAGTACAGAGAAGACATTCCTGTAGGTATCTTTCTCCAGTAGTCTATACAGATGTTGGAAATAAATTTTCAGTGCCACAAATAAATAGCACTCAAACATAAATTTAATTTTCTCAGCAAGGCAATTTTACTTCTGTAGAAGGGTGTATCTTGTGGATGGAGCAATGGCGAGAGCACACCTGAACAAGGGAGGGGAAGGGGTTCTTATCCCTGACGCAGGTAGCCCCTACTGCTGTGTCGTTCCCCTATTGGCTAGGGTTGGACCACACAGTCTAAGCTAATTCTGATTGGCTATTTTAAAAAGAGCAGGGGTACGAGCTGGAGTGGCAGGGTGACTAGTTTGGTGGGAAGGATGGTTACAGAACAGGTGACTCAGGGTGACTAAGAACAGAGCAGGTGACCAAAGATGACTAAGGTCAGAGTAGGTGACCGGGGTGACTAAGGTCAGAGCAGGTGATAGAGGCTAGAAGGGGGTTATTTACTGAAACTAGGGGCAAGAGACGTAAAGAATGAGGAAGTTTAAAATGAAGAACAAAGAACAAGAGAGCTGAACATACTGATACATTAGTTCTTTGGAGAGGATCTCAGAACTCATTGTACTTAACAATTTACTGGCTAAAACCTTTGAAGAGGAATTTATTATATCCTACGCAGACACAGAAAGTTTTGTTGTGAAGAAAGAAATTTTAATTTTTTAATTTTTTATTTGTATAAATCTAAGGGGTGCAGTTTTGTTACGTGGATATATTATGTAGTAGTGAAGTCTGGGCTTTTCGTGTAACCATCATTCAAATAATGTACATTGTACTCATTAGGTAGTCTCTCATCTCTCACCCACTCTCACCCTTTCACCCTTTCAAGGGAACTAGAAAAAGGAAGACATTTTTAATACTCACATATTCCTAGAAAACAGAAGCAGGACCTCTAGGGAAGTAGGACTGGGGTGGTCAGAAAGCAGAGGGAATGAGAGGGAAATGTGGGAAAGGGCCTTTATTGTGGTTGTCTGCAGAAGGAACAGGCAAGACAGAGTGAGCAGGTTTAGAATGAACTATTTTGAATAATTTCAGCAAGGTCTGGGGCAATGGGGCTGTCCCTAGTTGCCTGGTACCTGGCCCAGGGGTGATTAGGAGAGGGATACAGTTTCACAGAGTATAAGAACCAAATAAAGAAGGTGATTGGTAATGTAGGCTCTGAATTAGTTGGTTTGCATATGAAAGGTGCAAACATTTGCTATCTCTGGAAATTAGCTAACCCTGGGAAGGACAAATCCTCCAGGTCAGCAACTCCCTGGATGTGAAAGCTTCAAATTCAGAAACTAGAAAAGCATGGTTTTCGCAAATATTACTGCAATGACCTCAGTTTCTTGTAAAGACCATCTGATAAAACATTCTTGTCAGATATAAGCTAATTCATAAGGTAATTCTGTATTCTGTAGTGCTCTCTACTAAGTACACATATTACAATTTACATCACCATCACATACTAACACAGCTTCTGGTTTTGGGCTCTCTGCCATGTGGGTCCTCAATAAATAAAGCTTAATGAATGCTATAGAGTCTTTCAATAAGAAACTAAATGCCACCAATGACAGCACAGTTAATCAGTGGCAAAACCGGGAATTGATCTTAGGCTTCTTGCTTCCAAATGCATTGTTATCCAGTAAGATTATGCTTTGCCAGAGCAAAAGTCTATGCAGCTGCTCTTGAGAAAGTCTCAATAATAAACGTTAGGTAATAATTGTCTCACTTCTGGTCTAAAATCAGGAGCCTATTTAAAGGATTGACTCTGGGAAATTTGAGAGAAGCTCCAGGAAGAGTTTTCTCCACTTCTGTTTTCTGGACTTGCAATGTCTCATTGAATTCCTTCCCAAATATGAATCATAGCAAGCCTCAGTGAATCTAGAAATCTGGTAGTCTTGGAGGCATCAGTAATAACTGCAAACCAGCAACAATTAGGAAAATCCCAACACCCTGAGCTGATGGTTTCTTTCTTTCTTTATTTTTTTTTTTTTTTGGCAATGAAACAAAGTTTAAGAGACCCAAAACAACCTTCAAGGTCATATCTTTATTCGTTCCCACTTATATCTCTACTTCCTAGAACAAAAAACCCCCAGTAATGATCTGTGAACCATAAATCTTGTGATTCAGTTCTATGATTATTATTTTTCTCGACCTAAACTGTATATACCCTTTATGATTTAATTTTGAACTCAAGTGGCCTACTCTTGCTGCTTAGCTATGGATAGGAGCTTGGGTATGTGTCTAAAATGTTACTTTAACAATTGTTTGACTCTCTCATCTACTCTCACCTCATAGGAAATTATGGCCTCTTTGGATGGGTGCTCTGTAGCTGCCACCAGTTGTCAACCAGCCATGATGATGACTGTTTTATTGATTGGCCACCAGTCAGGCTATTGTCATTTGTATTTCCAGCAGAAGGAAGAAATGTCATTTTATTTTATATATATTAAATATATATATATTTTCTATATATATGTACACACACATATATGTATGTGTATATATATACATTATATATATATACACACATATGTATGTATATACACACACACACATATATATGTATGTATGTACACACACACACACACACACACATATATATATATAGAGAGAGAGAGAGAGAGAGAGAGAGAGAGAGAAAGAGAGAGAGACGGAGTAAACTCATACAATATTTGTCTCCCTGTGCCTGGCTTACTTAACATAATGTCCCCTAGCTTCATCCATGCTGCTTCAAATGACAGAATTTCCTGATTTTTTTTTTTTTTTTTTTTTTTTTTGAGACGGAGTCTCGCTCTGTCGCCCAGGCTGGAGTGCAGTGGCGCAATCTCGGCTCACTGCAAGCTCCGCCTCCCGGGTTCACGCCATTCTCCTGCCTCAGCCTCCCAAGTAGCTGGGACTACAGGCGTCTGCCACTACGCCCGGCTAACTTTTTGTATTTTTAGTAGAGACGGGGTTTCACCGTGGTCTCGATCTCCTGACCCTGTGATCCGCCCGCCTTGGCCTCCCAAAGTGCTGGGATTACAGGCGTGAGCCACTGCGCCCGGCCACATTTCCTGATTTTTAAAAGCTGAATAGTATTCCATCGTGTATATATAACACATTTACAAAATCTATACACTGATTGTTGGATGCTCAGGTTGTTTTCGTGTCTTAGCTATTGTAAAAAATGCTGCAATAAACATGGGAGTGCAGACATCTCTTCAGCATACTGATTTCAATTCCTTTGACTATATACCCACTAGTGGGCTTGCTGGATCATACGGTGGTTTTATTTTTAGTTTTTTTGAGGAACCTCCATATTGTTGTCCAAAATGGCTGTACTAATTTACAATACCAGTGTATCAGAGCTTCTTTCTCTCCACGTCCTTACCAACACTTGTTTTGGTAATAGCAAATTTAATAGATGTGAAATGATATCTCATTGTGTGTTATTTGCATTTCTCTGATGATTAGAGATGTTGAGCATTTTTTAATTTATCTGTTGGCCATTTGCACGTCTTCTTTCGAGAGACATCTGGTTGAGTCTCTTGCCCATTTTAAAATTGGAGTCTTTGTTTTCTTGTTTTTGAGTAGTTTGAGTTCCTTGTATATTTTGGATATTAACACCTTATCTGATGTATCATTTGCAAATATTTTCTCCATCTGTGGGTTGCCTCTTTGCTCTATTGTTTCTTTTGTTGTGAAGCAGCTTTTTAGTTTTATGCAATCCCATTTGTTGAGTTTTTTTTTATTTCATTGCCAAGGCATAGATTTAAAAAAAAAATTATTTAGAGACAGGGTCTTGCTCTCTCAACCAGGCTACAGTGCAGTGGCACAATCAGACCTCACCGCAGCCTTCACCTCCCGGGCTCAAGTGATTCGCCCACGTTAGCCTTCCGGGCAGCTGGAACTAAAGGCTCATGCCACTGTGCCCAGCTAAAAATTGCTTAAATTTGTAAATTTTACACAGATTTTAAAGAAAAATAACCATGACCTAAAATTTTCATATTCTAGGATCTCCAGTGTTGCTCAAAAGGAACATTTCCATAATTTGAACTACCTGCAAAAATATTGACAATTATAATTTAATTTATGAAATCTAACATACTATACTTGAACTTTCAGCTGAGTGAGAAAATGTTAAGTTTGCTGTCGATGTTTACACATGGAAATTTAGTTTGCTAAATTTATGAAGTTTTAATTAATGTTATCTTAGTAATGTGTGAATATTTGGAGAATGTCAATTGCCTGAAGGTTTATAAATTTGATTTTAGACAAAGTACAAATAGTGAACATTTTTTTCCTCATACAGAATTTCCCTTGGGCATTAAGTAAATACTCAAAGAAATAGGCATTAAAAAAATTAAGGTTTTCTTAAATGTCTTAAACACTAAAAAATAAATGAAATCAATATTGCAATGATTGCAAAACTGATCGGTTCACTTGGTTATAAAAGTATTTGTATGGTGTATTTATTTTTAAATTTTCTTTATTTATATTTCTATTCTTTCTCAGGCTAACCTCTCAAGCTCTTGAAGGTTATAAGAGGGATTGATAGTCCATGATTCAGGTCTTGAGATAAAAGGCACGAACGTCCCTCCCAAGGTGAGTTATTTGAGTCTGTCATCCAATTGGATGAACTTTGTTAATAGTTATACTTCTTACATTGCCTCAGGAGCTACAAAATGCTAACGTGTTGACTTTGATCCATAGAGATGTTTTGATTTTTTATGATGTAGATGTTCCTGCAAAATGACTTATCTTTATAGGAAGGATGATAAAAAATCTAATTCCCTGCCGTGTTTTGGGTGTCTTTTTTTTTTTTTAAAAGCACAACTTAATAGCTTGTCTTTGCAACTGTTATTCTGAGTATCTTTTCTTTATCATATATTGTAGGATAAGTTTATTTTGCAGTTACTTGTTTTGCGTCATCCTAGTCTTTGTTAAATCTAAAGACCTTGAACAAATTTGGTTTTCTTTCTCATCAACCACTAAGACCCGTAAGATTTTGTCACCTTTATATATCACTACTATAAATAATTATGTTATAACTATGAATAATTGATATCTGATAATTATATGAATAAATAATATATATATCATTCAAAGATAAATTTTTTATTCTTTAGGAATTTTCAAGCTAAAATAACCAAAATAGATTGGAATGTATCTGTAAGTTAATGCTTTTTTTTTAAGCTCTTAATATATTTAGGCCTCAGTTGCTCCCTCAGAGGATTATAATACTTCTTCCCTCTATTGGTTTTTTTTTTTTTGGTTGTTGTAAAAATAACTTGAACTATAGGTTGTGAAGTTTCTTTGTAAATTACTGTCTAAATGATTGTATTTGATATAATGACTATTCTTGATATAGCACACACTGATAATGTAATAAACCAATAAATCTGAGCACACGTGAGTCATAAGGGGTAATTACATCTCTTTTTATCTGTGTGTCTATGGTGAAACATGAATGCAGAAGAGAAAGAGAAGAGGCAATGTTTCTGTCTTAGAGTAATAGTTTATCATTGCCCTTAGGATATCCCTAGCAAGTTACAATGAAAGTGAAGACAGGTAACACAGTAAAAAGTGAAATACATTTCAGAGAAGGGAAAACAAGATAAAAATTTGGAGAAAGATGAATTCTCAATAAATATTTATTTCATGAGTGAACAAATTAATTGGATAGGAGAGAGAAAGTCAGCTGCCGTTTTTCTCTTACTATTTATATGGGAAACCTCCAGAAAGATAAGCACCATGAGTTGGTAGAAGTGGGAATCTTGGTAAGGAGAGCGTACTTGACTTTGAAAGAGACAAGAAGTATTCTTGCAATGTTTGTAGGTCTGCAGAGAGGAAGACAAATGTAGATCCTTCCCAGAACTATTGATTTTATATTCTTTATCTCTGAATCAGTTGAGCCTCTCATTTTAGTCATTCTCCTCCCTTTTCAAGCTGTTTAAAGTTTGAAATTAGCATCATACATCAGAACAAACTCTCTTGCTAAGTCATAGCTCTCCTTTATGTGTTCAGTGATTGTATTTTTATCCATGAATCACCAGTTCTCTAGATGACATACCTTCCTTCCTCCACTCCTTGCTAAGTAAATTTGTTTATTTCACCATTTGTTCTCTTCACAGTCTAAATGTTAAGCACATTCCCATAATTATTGAGGATTTGTGATTTTTAAATAATGACCCCAAAAGGCTGCTGAGACCTCCCTATCCAAGCACACCTCGTTTAATTGTGCTTTGCTTTATTACCCTTCACAGATACTGCATTTTTTACAAGTTGAAGATTTGTGGCAACTCTTCATTGAGCAAGTCCATCAGTATCATTTTTCTTTCTTTTTTTTTTTAAAAAACAAGATGCTTTTCTTTGTATTTTTACAATATCATTCAATAAAAAGCAGTAGAAACATAACAGTGTTAATATTAAGTTTACAAAGGAATATTTGAACAAAAAATCTGTACACATTATAATTTACAGCAATTTTATGTGGTAAATCCACTGATTGTTAAAAAGTGTTCTTTATAAGTCGCTCTGCTGCATTAAATCTTGGAGTATTATAGATAAAGAATGCACCTAGCTCTATTTACAAATGTTAGCAGCAGGACATACCCAAGTCATACAGCATCAAAGCATGTTACCAGCAGCAAATCCATATGGGTCTTCAGCAGCCTCAATTCCTGCCTCCTCAGAAGAAATAATTCAACTGAGGGGCATGAGGCAGAAGGAGAGACTGAGGCAAGTTTTAGAGTGGGAGTGAAATTTATTATCAAGCTTTAGCACAAGAATAAAAGGAAGTAAAGTACACTTGGAAGAAGGCCAAGTGGGCAACTGGAGAGATTAAGTGCGCTGTTTGACCTTTGACTTGGGATTTTCTATGTTGGCATACTTCCCGGGTCTTGCATCTCTTCTCAACCTGATTCTTCCCTTGGGGTGTGTTGTCCACATGCACAGTGGCCTGCCAGCACTTGGGAGGTGAGCATGTGCACTGTGTTTATTGGAGTTGTACGCATGTTCAATTGAGGCATTCTTCCCTTACTAGTTGAATGTCCCTTGGAGGTCATATGCCAGTTAAATTCCACCATTTTGTCCCTTAATAAACATGCTTGAGCCCAATCGCCCAACTCCTGGGATCTTATCAGGAAGCTGCTGATCACTAGGCTCAGGTTTTTCTATCTATTGGGAAACTGCCTTTCCCTGGCCCTGGCTATGACTAATTATTATTTTAGAGAGACAGTTAACAACCTCCCTGAGCATCACGTGATGGTCGCCTGACATTCCTGGTGTGTGTGCTGGGGGAGGGCCCTCTCCTGTCCTGCTCATGACTGACTAGCTACCTACTGTAACACAGGTACCAAATGAAGAATGTAAACTTCCATAAAACCCATCAGTTTAACAGCTCAACTTAACATGTTTGTTCAGAGCCCTGTCTGACATATTGATAAAAGGCCAAAAATTAAGTTTCCATAAAGATAGTAAAGGTGTCTGACTCTTGACACTGCTTTGCCAGACACCTGTAAAGAAAGATTACTCTCAATTGGTCCCATGAATTACATGGTTAAATCCAAAACAACCCATCTGACAAGTGGCAACTTAAAATACTTGTGGAAAATCCATTTCAGTATACTTGTCAGTTTACCTTGGAGCATGGTAGGGGATTAAAGCAAAGTTTGCCACAAGCCTGCGTTAAGTTTGAGCTTCCTTGGATTTAGCCCCATTTACAATTTAAAACATACAAAATACACTCACTATACATGAAATTAATGTTCCTTAAGAAAATAAGGCTTGACTAACAATTTATTGTGAGATGATGAACTATCAACAAAGAAGCCCCCAGGTGCAAGTGCGCACACGTGCTTGGCACCTGATCAGCCTTCCACCAGACCTGGGAGGAGCTGTTTCTTTTGGTGGCCGCAGGTGGCGCAGTTAGCTCATGACCCAGAAGTCTCTCAAGGGTTCAGCGAAACTTCAAATCAAATTCGTCCTGCACTCCGCAGTCCACGCGTGTAACTTTGATGGGTGCCAGGGCACGTTTCAAAGTCGTCCTGTGAGCTTGGCTGGGGCTCGGGACTGCTCTCTGCGAATTTGAGGTCAGCCGGGTGGATATCTTGGCAAACCACATCCTCCTTCAGCCGGAGGATCCCAGAAATGCAGAGCCACTTCCAGAGTCTGATTTTCTGGTCCACGACTATGCTTCTTAAATGTACTGGGAGTCTGGGTTGAATGCCAGGTGGCAGCATGTGTCTTGGGACGTCTTTAGTGTGGCACCACAGGCAATTGTGTCCGCCTCCTCCTCAGGACGCTCCCCTCTGCAGAAGTCGTCAGCACTGTGGATGCAGGTTCCTTTCCATCAGAACTTCCCGATGAAGATTTTCTCTCTTCCTAAGTCCTGTGTGAGTTTTCTTTTATTTTGCCAGTTCTTTGTCAAACTCTGGTTCTCATTTCATCTTCCACCGCCCTTGTCCCGTCTGAACGCCTAGAATGGAGCTCAGGGCCTTCGGGAGGGGCGAAGCCCTCGGGCTGCAGGCTGCCGGGCCGGGCCCTGGGCTTCCTGAGCCTCTCCCGGGCTGTGCGCCCGCGTCCAAGGCGCCACCTTGCGGGGACAGCAGGCGGGGACTTCGCGGGCCCAGTTCCATTTTTCCAACAGCATGTGCTCGCTTTGTCACATTTTGGTAATTCTCACAATATTTCACATTTGCCACCATTATTTTATCTGTGTGATGATGATGTGTGATAATGATCTGTGATCAGTGGTCTTTCATGTTACTATAGTAATTGGGGAACCACGAAGCACGCTCATAGCAGATGGCAAACTTGATTGATAAATGTGTGTGCTCAGACAGCTCCACTCACTGGCTGCTTCTTGTCTTCTCTCTCTCACTCTCTCTCTCCTCGGCCTCCCCATTCCCTGAGACAGAACAATATTGAAATTGGGCCAGTTAATAACCCTATAGTGGCCTCTAAGTGTTCAAGTGAAAGGAAGATCTCACCTCTCTCACTTTAATCAAAAGCTAGAACTGATTAAGCTTGCTGAGGAGGGCATGTTGGAAGCCAAGATTGGCCAAAAGCTAGGTCCCTTGCACCAAACAGCCAAATTGTGAATGCAAAAGAAAAATTGCTGAAGGAAACTACAAATGCTACTCTAGTGAGCACTAGAATGATAAGAAAGTGAAGCATCCTTATTGCTGATATGGAGAAGGTTTGAGTGTTCTGGAGAGATTATCAAACCAGCCGTAACATTCCCTTCAGCCAAAGTCTAATCCAGAGCAAGGCCCTAACTCTCTTCAATTCTATCAAGGCTGAGAGAGGTGAGGAAGCTACAGCAGAAAAGTTTGAAGCTACTAGAGGTGGGTCCATGAGGTTTAGGGAAAGAAGCCATCTCTATAACATAAAAGTGCAAGGTGAAGCAGCAGTGCTGAGGGAGAAGCTGCAACAAGCTATCCAGAAGATCCAGTTAAGATCATTGATGAAGGTGGCTACACTAAACAACAAATTTTCAATTTAGAAAAAACAGCCTTCTATTGGAAGAAGATGCCATCTAAAACTTTCAGAATTAGAGAGAAGAAGCCAATGGCTTCAAGGCTCCAAAGGACAGGCTGACTCTCTTGTGAAGGGTTAACACAGCTGGTGACTTTAAGTTGAAGCCAAGGCTCACATATTATTCTGAAAATCCTAGGGCCCTTAAAAATTATGCTAAATCTCTTCTGCTTGTGCTTTATAAGTAAAACAACAATGCTCAGATGACAGCACATCTGTTTATATCATGGTTAACTGAATATTTTAAGCCCACTGTTGAGATCTACTGCTCAGAAAAAAATAGTTCTTTCAAAATATTACTACTGATTGACAGTGCACCTAGTCACTCAAGGGCTCTAAGGGAGATGTACAAGGAGATTAACATGATTTTCATGCCTGCTAACACAACATCCATTCTGCAGTCCATGGATTCAGGAGTAACTTTGACTCTCAAGTCTTATTTGAGAAATACATTTTGTAAGGCTGTAGCTGCTATAGATAGTGATTCCTGTGATATATCTGGGCAAAGTAAATAGAAAACCTTCTGGAAAGGATTCACTATTCTAGGTGCCATTAAGAACGTTAGTGATTCATGGGAGGAGGTCAAAATATCAACATGAACAGGAGTTTGGGTGTTGAGTCCAACCTTCATGGATGACTTTGAGGGATTTAAGACTTCAATAAAGGAGATAACTATAGATGTGATAGAAATAGAAAGGGAATAGAATTAGAAATGAAGCCTGGAGATGTGACTGAATTGCTACAATCTCATGATAAAACTTGAACAGATGGGGAGTTACTTCTTAAGGATAAGCAAAGAAAGTGGTTTCTTGAGATGGACTTTACTCCTGAGGAAGATGCTGTGAACACTGTAGAAATGATAAAAAAGGATTTAGAATATTACATAAAGTTAGTTGATAAAGCAGCAGCAGGTTTTGAGAGGATTGGCTCCAATTTTGAAAGAAGTTATATTGTGGGCCAAATGCTATCAAACAGCATCTCATAATACAGAGAAATCTTTTGTGAAAGGAAGATTGAATCCATGTGGCAAACTTCATTGTTGTCTTGTTTTAAGAATTTGCCATAGCCACCCCATCCTTCAGCAACACCATCCTGATCAGTCAGCAGCCACCAATATTGAGGCAAGACCATCCACCAGCAAAAAGATTACAACTCACTGAAGGCTCAGACAGTTGTCAGCATTTTTTAGCAATAAAATATTTTAAAATTAAGATACGTATAGTGTTTTTTAAATACATAATGCTTCTGCATACTTAACAGACTACAGTATAAAGTAAATATAACTTTTATATGCACTGCGAAACAAAAAAAATTGTGTGACTTCATTGCAGTATTCATTTTATTGAAGTAGTCTGGAATCAAACTCACATATCCCCAAGGCATGCCTATACATTGCTTTTGTTGCAGTGTGATAAATGGTGTCGTTTTTGCAGCAAGTAGCATTTTTGCTTCCTCAGATGGGACCGGAAAGTTCAGAGATTTTTATTAGTTAAGGTAGCAATGTGCCATGCTTCTTTCTTTCTTCATACACTTCCTTTATTTGCTGAAGCCTTTCTTCCAGTAGCTTCCTAGAGTATTTGCAAGGTACATTTTGTATCTATTTTGCCTTTACACTTGATTATTTGATTGGGTTTAGAATCCTGAGAAAAAGTAAATTTTTCCTTAGAATTTGAAGAGAAGTCTCAGGACAACAGCTTTTCAACAAGTCCAGACAGCAACTTGCTCTGGATTGCAGCCAGAGGAAGAGGGCTCCAGGAACAAGGCTGTTAAGGGAAAATAACAATTGGAAGTGTTTGAGCACTTAGGAAAATTATTGCCTAGACATTTCACAGCTCTGTTAAAGCATTTTGGGAAAAATAAAAGTACACAAATAATTAAACATCTTAAAAAGAGGCAGTTGTTAACTTCAGAGAAAACAAAAGTTTATACAAGAATGAAAACATCACAGTGAAGTTATTTGGCTTAGCAGTGAATAATACTTAGATGGTCAAAATAAGGTAAATATTGATTATGGATTTAATCCAAAACTGTATAGCTACATTGGGAGGATGAATAAAAGGGAAATTAGGCCGGGTGCGGTAGCTCACGCCTGTAATCCCAGCACTTTGGGAGGCCAAGGCAGGCGGATCACCTTAGGTCAGGAGTTCGAGACCAGCCTGGCCAACATGGTGAAACCCTGTCTGTACTAAAAATACAAAAATTAGCCGGGCATGGTGGTGGGCGCCTGTAAATCCCAGCTACTCAGGAGGCTGAGTCAGGAGAATCCCTTGAACCCAGAAGACGGAGGTTGCAGTGAGCCAAGATTGCACCACTGCACTCCAGCCTGGGTGACAGAGGGAGACTCCGTCTCAAAAAAAAGAAAGAAAGGGAGTCAGAGGGCTCAACCACAAAGGGAAGTCTATCGATCCTGTAATGAATCACATAGAGACACTTCTGAGAGTGAAGGGACCACTGGCTATAATTATTCTGAGACAACAGGTACAAATTGGAATTGATGGGCAAACTAGATGTATGGTCACCCAAATTACAGGCATATTATTTTAAATGTAGAGGTAAATGCCAGATGAGACAGGTAATTCAGTTGGAAGTGGCAGTCTCTAGGGAGTGGGATTGGTGGTTGGAGAGAGTAAGACAGGAGACTGTTGGCTTTTAACAGTCTATTAGTACTATTTGATTTAAAATAATGCTTATGCATTATATTAAAATAAACTTAAAAGTTGACTTTTTAGAACAGATTAGATTAACATTGCCTAATGCTTTTTGATATAAACCAAAATGTTCCTTTTATAGCAAGAGGCCATATAGAAGGACTCCTGGAATACTTACTTCCTATACTATGTATTTGATTCTTTCCCCAATTTAAGAAAGGTGCCACTGGAGGGACAATAAGTACTAGGTCCTCTTTGTCTCTGAAATAGGGCCTTGGCACAAAGTAGATGCTTATTAGTTATTTGTTAATGAATAAAAGCAACATTCAGTAGCATTTTCAAAGGCAGAAAAACCTTTGAGAAACCAGGTTTATCAGATGATATTTCCAAGTACAGGTGTAATGGCTTACCAGGCTTACCCTGAGTGGAGTTCATCAGAAGGGGGTCCGCAGGCAAAGTGAAGCAGGGAAACCTTTTTTGTTTTTACAAAATATAGCTCTAGAGCTTAGAGTGTATGATGTTGACTCTGTCGCAGAGATTTCTTTAAGACAATGGTACCTAAAGCAATAATAATTGAACATTCAGAAATATAGCCTGTAATGTGTGCCTTTAGGGATAATGGTATGTTTTTTACTGCTGACTTGATGCTCATTAGTTTGAAACTTCCCTAAATTTTTATTCTCAAAGAAAATTTTAAGCCAAGCATGATGACTCATGCCTATAAATCCAATGACTTGGGAGCCTGAGATGGGATGATTGCTTGAAGCTAGGAGTTCAAGACTAGCCTGGGCAACATAGTGAGACCCTGTCTCTAAATTTTTTTTTAAAGATTGGTCAGGTGTGGTGACATGCACTTGTATTCCCAGCTGCTTGGGAAGCTGTGGCAGGAGGATCACTGAAGCCCAGGAGTTTGAGGCTGCAGTGAGCTATGATGCCACTATTGTCATCCAGCCTGGGCAACAGGGCAAGACTCTGTCTCTTAACAACAACAACAACAACAAAAGAATATTTTATTTTTCATTGTTATTTGAGCAACAAGATGAAGTCATGAAGTCTTGAAGAAAGAAAGAACTGGAAGCATTTTCTTTTGGAAAACATTTTTATAGCCTAATGTACTATAGTTTTGAGGAGGGTTTGGATCAGTGATGACCATCATAGGGTGAACAACTTGTTCAGAGTATTTGCAGTAAAATAGGCCCAATAGATTGTGAAATTGTAGCTTATTGTATATTAACATGTATCCTCTAAATTGAAGTTATAATGGAAAAAAATGGGGAGAGAAAGAAAAAAAAAGAATGGAAGCAAAACAGAAACAAGAAAGAAAAGAAGGTAATAACTCAGCAGATCTAGCTATTGGAAACCAGGTCGAACACAGGTTAAATCTCTAACCTTAGGGTTTTGGGTTTTTTTTAGCCTCTTCATTTAGAGCACACCTAAACTTAGGTTTTTTATTTTTTATTTCTTTAAGTAGAATTATCTGTCAAAACAGACACAAGACCCTATTTCAGAGACACAAGAAATACCAAAACCAGTCTTCTTAATTTGAAACCATTTTCCCCTCAATGCTTAAGAGAAAACTTATATCAGGTCCATTTTTCTTAGTAGAGTTATATTGTAAAACTTTTCTTGACCCCCAAGTTCAACCCCTAATATACCAAATTCCAGCCAGGTGCTTCTTCCTTGCATGCTCTGTCACAGTCTTTATCACAATTGCATATTAGTAATTGTTTACTTGCCAGAATTTTTCCTGAATTGCAAGCTCTCGGAAGGGGCCATTCTATTTTGTTCATCATTGAATGCCCTAGGTTCAGTATTTGGGCATAGTGGATGCTCAATCAATATTTACTGAATAAATGAATTGTACTATCCTTTCTTTCTTTCTTTTCTTTTCTTTTTTAAATAGAGACAAGGTCTCACTCTGCTGCCTAGGCTGGAGTGCAGTAGCGTGATCATAGCTCACTGCAGCCTTGAACTCCTGGGCTCAAGTGATCCTCCCACCTCAGCCTTTGGAATAGCTGAGGGTACAGGCATGCACCACCATGCCCACTAATTTTTATTTATTTATTTATTTATTTTTTGTGGTAGAGACGGGGTCTAGCTATGTTGACCAGGCTGGTCTTGAACTCCAGGCTTCAAGCACTTCTCTCCCTCAGCCTCCCAAAGTGCTGGGATTATAGATGTGTGCTATCGTGGCTGGCCCTATTCTTTTTTACTTTATGTCTACAGGAACCTGTCTGGAAACAATGTGCACTCATTGAAAACTTGACTCCAACAATAAATTCTGAATTTGGCAACTGGTCAAAGCTCTCTAGTCCAAAGGGAATAAGACAATGGGTATTGTGACAGCTTACAGGCAACAGAGAGCTTAAGGCAGATCTCAAAAGCAGCTACAGAGGGCCTGGGCCAATTAGACAAAGGAAAAACCTGGGATTGCCATCAGGCTTTGACACTTCTCTTTCTTTTTAGTGACTGTTGGCTCATTCCTTAGCCTATGAAGCAACTCAGGGGAAGTATAAATTATGGCAAGAAACTATACTCCATCTTTCACCTGGCAACAGGCTTAGTACATCTGGCTTATTTCTGAGCTGTTGTGTGCTGCTAGATATTGTGATCTCTCTTGTTTTGGACTGTAATAACTCTGAGAGTTTTTCTTTCTCTTTGGGAACAGTTTGGTAGCAATCATTTAAACTAGGCACTGTATTTAATTTATTGGGAACGAAAGTTGTGCCCACAGAGGAAAGGAGTGAAAAGAAGTTAAGCGATGCTCTGAACCAGGGACAAAATCCGTATTATTACATAATGCCGCCCCAGTCCCAGTGAAGTTGATAATTCTGATCACTAATAGTGGACATGCACATTATGGAGCTTTATTATTTAATTTTGAATTTTGTTTTTGCAGTGGGGATAGACTTGTGCCAGTTAATTAGTGTTCTCTTTTCTAATTCCCTTGTGAGACTTGGCATGCAGCTGAGAGGCAGTCCTTCCTAACCATGAGATAGAAAATGAGTTATCAGCACCTACGTGCATTGAGTACTTCTCTCAGCTTCTGTCATTCATTCATTCAACAAATATTCATTGAGCACCTATTATGGGGCCAGACATTATTCTAAGTGCTGGGGAAACAACAGTATGTAAAGTAGACATGATGTTCTAGTTGCGGAAGATAGACAATACACATAATAAATAAGTAAATTATACATGTTCAGAGGTGATTAATGGTATACAAAAGGAAAATCAGGGTAATGGGCATGAGGAGTGTAAGTGGGCAAGGTGGGGAATTGCAATTTTATCTATTAGTTATTATTATTTTTTATGGAGTCTCAGTCTGTTGCCCAGATTGGAGTGGAGTGGTACGATCTCTGCTCACTGCAACTTCCATCTCCCAGGTTCAAGCGATTCTCAAGCCTCAAACTCCTGATAGATGGGACTACAGGCACCCGCCACCACACCCGGCTAATTTTTGTATTTTTAGTAGAGACAGGATTTCACCATGTTGGCCAGGCTGGTCTTGAACCACTGACCTCCAGTGATCTGTCCACCTCGGCCTTCCAAAGTGCTGGGGATTAAAGGCGTGAGCCACCACGCCCAGCCAGGAATTACAATTTTAAATGAGCAAGTCGATGTAGGCCTTATTGAAAGCTGACATTTGAGCAAAGGCTTGAAAGTGATAAGGAAGTCAATTCTGCCAGTATCTGGAAGAAGAGATTCCAGTCATATAGAGACCCCGAGGTGGGACCATGGCCAGCATGTCTGAGGAACAACAAGGAGGCTGTGTGGCTGTAGTAGAGAGAGCAGGGGGAGAATAGGAGAGGACATCAGCAAAATGATGAAGGCTCAGATGGTACTGGGACATGGAAGCCCCTCTCAGGGTTTTTTCTGAAGGTGAAATGGAGAGCCCTGGAAGTCTGTGGGCAGACGAGTGACCTGATCTGATATGTGTTTCAAAGTCTGGCCACTGCAGTGAGAATGATCCATAGGGAGTGTGGTGGAGATGGCCAGCAGACTGCCAAAATCCACCCTCCTTCCTCCACAGTGGAGAGTTGTCAGTGGAAGCAGCTGGCTAACCAGGGACCACATTTCCTGTCCTCCTCTGCATGCAGGTGTGGTCATGTGACTAGAAGACAGTAGAGTGGCCATTGGCTGAGAAAGGAATGAGTGTGTGGTGGAGAGCTGCTTTGCAGACCTAAACCCAGCCCAGACTGTTACATAAGAAAGGAATAAATTTCTTGTTCTTGAAAATACTGAGATTTGGAGGTACTTTTGTTGTGGAAATCTAGCCTACCCTAACTAAGACAAAGGCCAAGAGTGAAATTCAGAAGATTAATGGGGAGGCTGTTGTAATAGTCTAGGTAAGAAATGGTGGTGGCCTGGAAAAAGGCATTAGCAGTGGAGTAACACAAAATAAAGAGGCTGGACCATGAATATATTTTGAAGGTAGAGCCCATAGACTTTCATGACAAAAAAGGAGAGCTGTTTGACTTTATGGTTTTTGTGCTGATACCTTATAAGGCTGAGGAAGTGAGGTGATGGAACAGGCTTGAAAGGGTCTACTTGGAGTGAGGTTTGGGTTGTGTGCTTTTTAAAAAACGTATAAAGAGGCTGGGCATGGGGGCTCACACCTGTAATCCCAGCACTTTGGGAGGCCGAGGCGGGCGGATCACGAGGTCAGGAGATTGAGACCATTCTGGCGAACACAGTGAAACCCTGTCTCTACTAAAAATACAAAAAAATTAGCCAGGCGTGGTGGCAGGCGCCTATAGTCCCAGCTACTTGGGAGGCTGAGGCAGGAGAATGGCATCAACCCAGGAGGCGGAGCTTGCAGTGAGCTGAGATCGCACCACTGCACTCCAGCCTGGGCGACAGAGCGAAACTCCGTCAAAAAAAAAAAAAAAAACAACTTATAAAGAAATGAGTTTTAATTGGCTAACAGTTCTGCAGGCTGTACAGGAAGCATGGCACTGACATCTGCTCAGCTTCTGGGGAGGCCTCAGGAAGCTTCCAGTCATGGCAGAAGGTGAAGGGGGAGCAGGCATCTCACTTGAGCAGAACAGGTGCAAGAGTGGGGTGTGTTAAATTTGAGATGTTAATTCATCTCCAAGTGAAGATGTTGAATAGATACATGGATATATACATTTGTAGTTTAGGAAGATGTCTTCCCAGGGATGTTAATTTGGAGTGAGTAATGCATGGATTATATTTAAAATCATGGAATTAGATTGGGACTACTGTGGGGATGAGTAAAGTTACAAAATAGGTCAAAAGATTGAGGCCTAGATGACTTCATCTTTAAGAGGTTGGGAAAATAGGGAGAAACCAGCAAAAGTGACTGAATGGGAGCAACCAGTGAGAAAGAATGAAAACCAAGCGAGTGGTGTGCTGGGAAACACTGACCTGTTGTACTTAGATGTTCAGGGCCTGCAGCCCAGAGGAAGACTGGAATGGTTCTTTGCCTTTTAGAAGCAGGAGAAATACATATAAACTAGAGACATTATGATGAGAGCAACCCTGGAGGCATAACAGAGGGCCAGGAAAGAGATTTTTATAGCTGAGAATACCCTGGCAGCAGAAATGGTAAGTTGGGAAATATTTGGATTCTATTTTTTGATAGGGAGGAGAGAAATATATTTTTTGAGCAATGGTGATAATCATTTCTATTTTAGAGAAGGAACTGGGCTGGGTGCAGTGGCTTATGCCTGTAATCCCAGCACTTTGGGAGGCCCAGGCAGGTGGATTGCTTGAGCTCAGGAGTTTGAGACCAGCCTGAGAAACATGGTGAAACTCCGTCTCTACAAAAAATACAAAAAATTAGCCAGGTGTGGTGGTGCATGCCTATGGTCCCAACTACTTAGGGCACTGAGGTGGGAGGATTGCTTAAGCCTGGGAGGTGGAGATTGCAGTGAGCTGAGATTGTGCCACTGCACTCCAGCCTGGGCAACAGAGTGAGACCCCATCTCAAAATAAAATAAAATAAAGTAAGATAAAATAAAGAATAGAAAAGGAACTGGTGACAGGAAGGGGGCTAGATTTTGGGGAGAACATAAAAACTTTGTAGGTATTTACAAGACCAGTAAACCAATCTGGAGATGAGTCAGTCCTCTTAAGTGGCCTTGGGATCAGTGCCCCAGTGACTTTAATCAAGCTGGGATCAAGGGGCTGACTCTGAATATAAACTTTCTCTCCAAACCTGGTCCTTTACTTGTGTCTTCAGTCTCAGCAAGGACATTATTATCTACTCAGTTGCTCATGCCAGAATCTGCTAGTTATTTTTAACACCTTCCTCCCCTTCACCCCATGTCCAGTCATTCACCAATTGCTGACGATTTTGGCCTCCTAAATATCTCTCAAATTTGTCTGCTCCCCTCCACAGCTGATATGGTTTGGCTCCATGTCCCTATCCAAATCTCATCTTGAATTGTAATTCCCACATGTTGAGAGAGGGACCTGTAATCCCACATGTCAAGGGAGGGAGGTGATGGGGCGCTTTCCCTCATGCTGTTCTTGTGATAGTGAATGAGTTCTCATGAGATCTGATGGTTTTATAAGTGTTTGGAAGTTCCTCCCTCACTTCTCTCTCTCCTGCCACATTGTAAAGAAGGCGCTTGCTTCCCCTTCACTTTCTGCCGTGATTGTAAGTTTCCCAAGGCCTCCCCTGCCATGTGGAACTGTGAGTCATTTAAACCCCTTTTCTGCATAAATTACCCAATCTCAGGTATTTCTTTATAGCAGTGTGAAAACAGACTAATACAACAGCTCTACTCACCTAAGCCACTCCAATAGGTTCCTGACTGGCCTCTTCAAAACAGTCCCTGAAGCCCTCCTCTAGTCATAGACCACAATGGAGGCAGTGGGAGCTTTTAAAATAGAAATCTTATCATCTCACTTCCATATTTTCCCTTTCTCCTGGATTAAAATCCTGAGGCTGGCCTTCAAGGCTCTGCATGTTCTGATTTCTACATACTTCACCAGCTGTGCACAAAGAAATATCATTTGCTGAATGAGTGAATAAACCAGTAGACTAAGACACAGCCTCACTTTGGGTAAGTCACATAAATATTCTAAGCCTCATTTTCCTCATTTGTAAAATGAAAATTATTATTTTCCTCACTGGGATTTGCTAAGTTAAACAATAAGATACCACATTAATAAAATGTGAGTGTTTAGCATTGCATACTATAATTGATCATTGCAAATATGCCAAATCAGCACTTAGCACAGAACAGAACCTGATAAATGCACCCGATACATGTTGTATTGTTCATGATAAATCAGCACTTTGGGGTTCTAATGATCTTAGGTGACTTTTTGTTTCTATCAAATTACCTCCAAAATTCCATACCACCTCATTCGATGCTGAACAGACAGCTGCACGTGGCTATTTTCAGCATCGTATTGCTGCTCAAAAAAATCTTCGTTGTCTCCAATGCCTGTGAAATCCAGTTTAAATTCCTGTTTTGCATTCACATTTCCAATTTTGTTCAACATACATCCTATGCTCCTGAGAAATCAACCTCAAACAAAATTTACAGGGTTTCTACAAAATTCCAGGAGCTGTGTTAAGTGCTGGATATTTAAATTTAACCACTGAAGACTTGTATGATGTAGTTTCACCACTGAAGTGCTATTTCATTTAAAGAAACAGAGTCTAAGTAGGCCAAAATATCATAAAAAAGGAATTTCACTCTTTAGTAAAGTCTCTCAAAGGATATCAACAGGAATCGTGGCCCTAGAAACACAGCCCAGCACCTGTGGCAGCCATAGAGATACACTGCTAAGATCTCCCTTTGAGAAGTGAAGCCAGCTGGATTTCCTGGGTCAAGGCGGGGACTTGGAGAACTTTTCTTACAAGAGGTTTGTAAAATGCACCAATCAGTGCTCTGTAAAAATGCACCAATCGGCGCTTTGTAACTAGCTAGAGGTTTGTAAAATGCACCAATCAGTGCTCTGTAAAAACACCAATTAGCGCTCTGTAGCTAGCTGGAGGTTTGTAAAATGGACCAATCAGCACACTGTAAAATGGACCAATCAGTGCTCTGTAAAATGGACCAATCAGCACTCTGTAAAATGGACCAATCAGCAGGACATGGGCGGGGACAAATAAGGGAATAAAAGCTGGCCACCCCAGCCTGCAGCAGCAACCTGCTTGGGCCACTTTTTACGCTGTGGAAGCTTTGTTCTTTTGCTCTTCACAATAAATCTTGCTGCTGCTCACTGTCTGCTGCTCACAATAAATCAGCTGTGCCACCTTTAAGAGCTGTAACATTCACTGCAAAGGTCTGCAGCTTCATTCTTGAAGTCGGTGAGACCAGGAACACACCAGAAAGAACCAACTCCGGACACATCTTGATCTAAATCCATTTATGTGTCTATCTATCTATATATCTACCTATCTGCTATCTATCATGATCCAAATAAGATTACTATTATTAGACAACTAAAATGAACTTAATCACATACCATCTGTCTTTGATATCATCTTTAAAAATCACACCTAATTTTTTAGGAAGAGAATAACATATGCACTACTGTTTTATATAACAATTTTTAGGAATATAAGCACTTTTTGTATGGTTGAGCTCATTCATAAGAAGTATTTAAGCTTGTTTTGAAACAATAATACCCATGTAAACTAACAATATATTATATAGTAATATGTAGAAGTTGTAAAGAGAAACATACAATTTAATGAACTCTATTTCCTGCCTCCTTCCCAAATATATTTTATTTGATTTTAATTGGAATCAGGCCAATTACTAATGAGGTTGAATATCTTTTTATATGTTTATTGTCTATATTGTTTCTTCTCTGTAAAATACTAATTCCTGTCTTTCCTCATTTTCCTATGAAATTATCATTTATTTATTTAAGAAGTTTTTTTTTTTAAAAAAACATATTCTGGATTATACTCCTTTGTTGTTAAATGCATCACAAATCCTTCTCTGAATATGTGTCCTATCTTTTTACATTTTTAGGGCATCCTCCAAGTTTTCCTGGGAATATTAGAAGAGGGAAGTTAGAAGGATGAACTATAGCTCCTGTTTCTGTAATTGGTCTCAGGGTCACACTTCATACTCATCCTCTTTTTCCCCATTATCCATTCTAAATCCCTACCCCCCAACTTCAGCTATCACCTCATCAAGGCATGGTGGATTACATGGTGGTGTTTCCCAAACCTTCATTCCGAGGGGTCTGAGCGCTTGGTTTATCATATCTTTCTCAGGCTGGGGTTGCTATAAATGTCCACAGTTACAGCTGGGCAAGAGAATAGCAGGAGGTGTCCAGGTGGATCATTTGGGTTCACACATATTCCTCTCTGCCTGCATTGTGTAAAATCAGCCTGACCTTCTCTTGCTAATGGGAGTCAATTGCCCCGACAAGATGGGGACTCCTCTTCTTGCCTGCTGCCCACTGAACACAAAGACTTCCAAGTGAGGTGGCAGCAGCCATAGATTGCAGTTCAGTGGAAGCCTTACCAAGTCCCCCTGCACAGGGATCCCCTTTTGGGAGCAAGGACCTCCTACCCTGCAAAGTCCAGAATTGTGGGGACAAGAAGCACATAATCCCACAGTGGGTCAATTAAGAATGATGGCAATTGGGACTACTTTTGCTTTCACCCTTGGTTTCCAGACACATATATTTTTCCTTGAGAGGACACACTGCCATAGAGTTCTCTATTTAAAACATGTAGGACAGGATAGCACCTATCCTTGCAGAGTATGACCTCTGAGCATTCCAGCTAATCCTTCAGTAGGCTGTTGCAGTCTTTTGTGAAGCAGCTCCTTCTGGATTGTGCCAGAAGTATGTGATATGTATGGATGGATGTGTGTGATCCCACTCCCATACCTCCTGCACTGTGTAGTAAGAGCCCTGGTCAGATGCTCTTTGTGTGGGATCCCAGAGCACCAATGTTGAAATCCTTAGCAATTAGGTTAACTACCTTGTGCCAGGGATTATTGTGCCTGATGTTTCCCTCATGACTGTGTTCTCCTTGCCAGCTGGGTGGTGTGTGAACCAGTCCCAAGCCCCATCTTACTGACTGTTGTCTTGGACCACTCTTGGTAGCACTTGTGTTAGTTTGCATCCTCTAAGGAGCAGACCCCAACGTGGGATTTGATATGCAAGAGGCATTCAAAATGCCTATAAAGGATAAAGGAGGAGGGAGCAGGAAGAGGCAGAAGAGTCTTTAGACCATTTGCAGGTCTAATATCTGGGAAAGGAGAGAAGGAAGGAAGATAGGGAGAAAATTAGCCTCAGTGCACTCCCCCTAGCACCTGTACCTAGGCCATTCACTGGCTGAGTGCAACCCAGAGTAAGCTTGACCTCAGTGTGAACACTGTTGAATCCCACATGGCAGCCAGAGGCTGTCAGTCAACTATCTTCCCCACAGCATCTTCTGCTGAAGGTGTGTCCAGAGTTGGTTCCTTCCAGTGGGTTCATGGTCTCGCTGACTTCAAGAACGAAGCCACAGACCTTCATGGTGAGTGTTACAGCTCTTAAAGGTGGCCCGGACCCAAAGAGTGAGCAGCAGCAAGATTTATTTTGAAGAGTGACAGAACAAAGCTTCCACAGCATGGAAAGGGACCCGAGTGTGTTGCCACTGCTGGCTAGAGTGGCCAGCTTTTATTCCTGTATTTGTCCCCACCCATGTCCTGCTGATTGGTCCATTTTACAGAGCGCTGATTGGTCCATTTTACAGAGTGCCGATTGGTCCATTTTACAGTGTGCTGATTGGTCCATTTTACAAACCTCTAGCTAGCTACAGAGCACCGATTGGTGCATTTTTACAGAGCACTGATTGGAGCATTTTACAAACCTCTTGTAAGAAAAGTTCTCCAAGTCCCCTCTTCAAGGAGAACTACAAACCACTGCTCAAGGAAATAAAACAGGACACAAACAAATGGAAGAATATTCCATGCTCATGGATAGGAAGACTCAATATCGTGAAAATGGCCATATTGCCCAAAGTAATTTATAGATTTAATGCCATCCCTATCAAGCTACCAATGACTTTCTTCACAGAATTGGAAAAAACTACTTTAAAGTTCATATGGAAACAAAAAAGACCTTGCAGTGCCAAGACAATCCTAAGCAAAAAGAACAAAGCTGGAGGGATCATGCTACCTGATTTCAAACTACACTACAAGGCCACAGTAACCAAAACAGCATGGTACTGGTACCAAAACAGAGATATAGACCAATGGAACAGAACAGAGGCCTCAGAAAAAATACCACACATCTACAACCCTCTGATCTTTGACAAACCTGACAAAAACAAGAAATGGGCAAAAGATTCTCTACTTCATAAATGGTGCTGGGAAAACTGGCTAGCCATATGTAGAAAGCTGAAACTGGATCCCTTCCTTACAACTTATATAAAAATTAATTCAAGATGGATTAAAGACTTAAATGTTAGACCTAAAACCATAAAAACCCTAGAAGAAAACCTGGACAATACCATTCAGGACATAGGCATGGGCAAGGACTTCATGTCTAAAACACCAAAAGCAATGGCAACAAAAGCCAAAATAGAGAAATGGGGTCTAATTAAACTAAAGAGCTTCTGCACAGCAAAAGAAACTACCTTCAGAGTGAACAGGCAACCTACAGAATGGGAGAAAATTTTTGCAATCTACCCATCTGACAAAGGGCTAATATCCAGAATCTACAAAGAATTCAAACAAATTTACAAGAAAAAAACAAACAACCGCATCAAAAAGTGGGCAAAGGATATGAAAAGACACTTCTCAAAAGAAGACATCTATGCAGCCAACAGACACATGAAAAAATGCTCATCGTCACTGATCACCAGAGAAATGCAAATCAAAACCACAATGAGATACCATCTCACACCAGTTAGAATGGCAATCATCAAAAAGTCAGGAAACAACAGATGCAGGAGAGAATGTAGAGAAATTGGAACACTTTTACACTGTTGGTGGGAGTGTAAATTAGTTCAACCATTGTGGAAGACAGTGTGGCGATTCCTCAGGGATCTAGAACTAGAATTACCACTTGACCCAGCAATCCCATTACTGGGTATATACCCAAAGGGTTATAAATCATGCTACTATAAAGACACATGCACATGTTTGTTTACTGCGGCACTGTTCACAATAGCAAAGACTTGGAACCAACCCAAATGTCCATCAATGATAGACTGGATTAAGAAAATGTGGCACATATACACCATGGAATACTACGCAGCCACGAAAAAGGATGAGTTCATGTCCTTTGCAGGGACATGGATGAAGCTGGAAACCATCATTCTCAGCAAACTGTCACAAGGACAAAAAACCAAACAGTGCATGTTCTCACTCATAGATGGGAATTGAACAATGAGATCACTTGGACACAGGGTGGGGAACATCACACACTGGGGCCTGTTGGGGGGGTGGGGAGCTGGGGGAGGGATAGGAGAAATCCTTAATGTAAATGATGAGTTGATGGGTACAGCAAACCAAGATGGCACATGTATACCTAGGTATCAAACCTGCACGTTGTGCACATGTACCCTAGATCTTAAAGTATAATAATAAAAATAAATAAATAAAAGTTCTCCAAGTCCCCACTCAACCCAGGAAGTCCAGCTGGCTTCACCTCTCAAAAAGACACTGGTGAAGTTACCCTTGGTTTTTCTGTTTATTTTTAAAAGCGACTAGCTTTTAGAGCACTTTTAGGCTCTCAGAAGTATTGAGCAAAAGGTAAAGGGATTTCCAATATGCTTTCTGCCCCCATATATGCATAGCCTTCCCAATTGTCAACATCCCACAGCATAGGGGTACATTCGTTACAATTGATAAGCCTACATTGACACATCAATATCGTCCTGAAGCGATCCTGTTGTAGTTCATAAGCATGATGATTTGGTGTTCACGTGCATGTGTGGGATGTGCCGCCCACAAACCTTGTTAGGACATTGGCACATTACCCATCTGACATGAAGAAATATACATAGCACTCAAAATCCATAATTTACATTAGAGTTCCCGTTGGTTTTGTACATTCTAAGGGCTGGGACAAATGTATAATGGCATGTATTCACCATTATAGAATCATTACAGAGTAGATTCACTGCCCTAAAAATCCTCTGTGCTCTGCCTATTCATCCCTCCCTCTCTCCTAACCCCTGGCAACCACTGATCGTTTTGCTATCTTCATAGTTTTGCCTTTTGCAGAATGTCATATAGTTGGAATCGTACAATATTTAGTCTTTTCAGACTGGTTTCTTTCACTCAGTAAGAGGCATTTGAAGTTCCTCCATGTCCGCTCATGGCTTGATGGCTCATTTCTCTTTAGCACTGAATAATATTCCATTGTCTGGATGTACCACAGTTTATGTATTCATTCATCTACTGAAGGACATCTTGGTTACTTATAAGTTTTGGCAATTATGAACAAAGCTGCTATAAACATCCATGTGTAGTTTTTGTGTGGACATAAGTTTCCAACTCCTTTGGGTAAATACCAAGGAATTGGATAGTATAGTAAGAATATGTTTAGTCTTGTAAGAACCTTGGTGTATTTTTTAAACAGAAAGCTGGATTTCTCCCCTTTGGCCAAGAATCCTACATTGGAGCACTTGAAAAGGCATCAGTGACACTTCATAATCAGCCTGCCCATGCTTGATGGCAACCAATATAGGCATTCAGAATTATGTAACCTTTGGTGCAGTGGAGAGGGATGCGTCCAGGGATAAGTACACAGATTTCCTGGCACTGGAAATATTCTGTGTCTTAACCTGTATGAAGAGAGCATGAAAATTGGCTTTATTATTCTTTATACCATATATAAATTATGTATTTTGGTATTGATGAGGAAATATACCATCAAACTAAAAATTTTTTAAGGCTCAAATACAAGGTACTGGTGGCTCTGGGATTATATAATAGTAGTTTACAACCTTTGTATGTTTGTCATGTATTTTCAAAGTTTAGAACTTTTTGCTGTTCACTTAAACAAGCCACTAAATATGTCTGCAAGAATCACACTCCTTAAGTGTAATAGCCTGTTACTGAACCAAACTGGGTCAATTTGCCCATGCGCCATGGAAGGCCAAACACTGAAGCACCAGGCTTTTGTAGAGAGAAGAGTTTATTACAAGCTGCTGAGCAAAGAGACAGGAGTCTGCCTCAAATCTGTCTCCCCAAGTTGGGGGTTAGGGCAGGTCTTATAGGGAGAGGGTATTGAGGCATGCAGTGATTGGATCTTGCAGTGAGGTGATGCTGGGAGCTGTGATCTGGCTGGATCTTGCCATGAGGTGATGCCAGGGCGTGATCTGATTGGATCATGCCATGTGGTATCTGCATTTAATTTAATTTGGTACCCATATTCCTTGGTCAGAGCACTTAGGGCCACCTATGGTTGCACACTTGGTTCACCTGGGGATAATCAGGTTATGTAACTTGAACCCATGGCAACTGAAAACCAACTCACCATTTTATTACACAAAGTTCAACCAGATTGGGTTGGTTCTGCAGTTACAGCTTCACAGAATTTGCAAAAGCATCCACAGTAATCACTCTGTTTTCCAAGTCACCCTTTAGCACCCACTGGGTGGTGTTTGACAGAGGTGTCTACCTGACCAGATTTATGCTTCAGTCAAATCTGGACCCTCCTGGAGGACCAGCTCACCCCACAGTGAGCCTCTTCCCTTGCACCAAGTTCTGCTCTCACCTCCTGTGCCCGTGGCTAGCTCAGCCCCATCTGACACATCACTGTGGTGATAGGAAAAATACATCTTACACGTGAGTCAGAATGTCCATATGCCCTGGGAAGTGTTGATGGCACACTGGCTGGAAGCCATTGGCTCATAAAATCATGAGTCACTGCAGCAGCTCCGTGCAGAAAAGTCCACAGTGTGGGAGTGGTGAGGAGAATCTGCTTGAGTGGTATTGCCTAAGCTGGAATTCTGGCTTTGCCATTTACTGGGGGGTGACCCTGGGCAAGATACTTGACTATGCTTTTGTTTTCTTCTCTGTAAAGTGGTAATAATGTTAGCATACCTACTTCATAGGGTTGTTGTGAAAATTAAATGATTTGGTATATGTAAAATGCTTAGAAGGTACCTGGTACCTGATGCTATATGAGTGTTTGATTTTTTTTGTTTCTATGGCATTAGAGTAGCTCCATTTAAGTCCAAATGGCAAAACGGATGGGGTCAGAGTTGGGCAGAGGACAAACCTGTTTTTGCTTTTCTATGCCTTGAAGCTGTAATAAAGAATCGGACTCTATTTTGACTGCTGACAGCTCTGGAGCCACACCTCTTCCTCTTCCCCTCTTGCTCCACATCTGAGCAAGCTGAGAAGAAAGCCCATATTCCCCTCACTTGGTGCCCATAGGAAGCTCAATCCACACAGTCCTCTTGTCTTATGCAGGAACCTCTAGCCCAGCCCACTCCCTAACTACAATAAAGGCCAAGGCTGCTCTCCCCTCCTGGCTCTCCCTCAAGATCCATTTTCAGACCTTCTTGGGAGCCTACTGTGCTCTCCCCAGCAAGCCTCATTATGTAAGAAGTAAACCTCCTCATACCCTTTTGCTTCCTGTGTAGTCAGGATATCTGAAAAAACGTTTGGTGTATGTGTGGGGTGTCCCACCTCCGTGTGGCGACCATAGCAGAGAGGCATGGGGCCGGGAGACAGGGAGGGCAGAAAGCTACTCTTTCTCTTTCCTCACCCTTCACCATAGGAAATGAATTCCCAGTCTCCAGAGTAAAGACGTTAGGATCCATAGCATTGAGGGAAGAGAACTGCATTTCATGCTTCCTTTAAGTAAGGCTCTTGCACTGCCCTAATGCAATGTCCATGTGGTTACACAAGAGACTACCCAAGCATTTAAGAGTGTAGCCTTCCTTTTGTTTTTACAGAAGCCATTAGAATTTTATTTCTTCACAGAGCTAAAAAAGAATGGAAAATAGAAAATAAAAGAAATACAGCAGGTCCTCAAATAGCATTCAACATCGTTTCATTATAACATTGATGAGAAAAAAATCAATTCCTGCCAGAACCACTGTCTGTGTGGAGTTTGCACAGACTCTCCCTGTCTGTGTGGGCATTCTCCAGGCATTCAAGTTTCTTCCTACATCTCAAGGATGTGCTAGTTTGGTGAATTGGTGTGTCTAAGTCATTCCAGTCTGAGTGAGTGTGGCTATGAGTGCGCCCTGTGATGGAATGTCATCTTGTCCAGGGTTGATTCCCACCTTGCACCGTGAACTGCAGGGATAGACTCTGGCCACCCTTGGTCCTGAACTGGAATGATTGGGTAAATAATTATCTTACTTGTTTTTATTAATCTTTCTTAAATGTATACATAGCTCTCATTTGTTTCAGTGTTTAATATTAGAAGTGTTTTAGTCTTTATGTAGAAGTTTGGTAGGCCGGGCATGGTGGCTCAGACCTGTAATCCCAGCACTTTGGTAGACCAAGGCGGGTGGATCACTTGAGGTCAGGAGTTCAAGACCAGCCTGGCCAACATGGTGAAACCCCATCCCTACTAAAAAATATAAAAATTAGCCGGGCATTGTGGTGTGCATCTGTAGTCCCAGCTACTTGGGAGGCTGAGGTGGGAGAATCACTTGAACCCAGGAGTCAGAGGCTGCAGTGAGCCTATATGACGCCACTGCACTCCAGTCTGGGTGACAGAGTGAGACCCTGTCTCAAAAAACAAAACAAAAAAAGTTTAGCGATGTTTTTTTGACCAGAAATATGCCATAGGAACTTAACTCTTGTTTATATCAACTAGCCTATGATGAAATTGGTTTTATTATATGTTATTTTGCTTAAAGTCACAGTTTCTAAGAACCCATGGATGCCATACTGTGCTCTATCACACTGTAAGGGAAAGGGAGGGAAGAGAGCGAGACAGAAGACTTAACTCATATGTTGAGGACCTACTCCACACCAGGTCCTGTGTTCTGCCCTCTTGTCATGCACACAACATAGACAACAGTCTATAGGGTAGAGATTACAATTCCCACTTAGCAGAAGGGGAAAAAGAAACTCAAGCAGGCTAAATAAATTACCTGTGGTGGACAGACTCTAAACTCTCCCACATATCCTGCTTTCCAGTGTTCAAACCTTTATGTAAGCCCCTCTCCTTGAGCATGGATGGGATCTGGGACTTGCTCCCAACCAATAGTATATGGCAAAGGTGATAGATGCCACTCCTGGAATTATGTTGCATTATATAAACCTCCATCTTACTAGGAGACTGCTCTAGAGACTCTCCTTGCTGGCTTGATGAATTGCTTATGTTGGGAAAAGACAGGTGGCAAGGAACTGCAGGTGGCCTCTAGGAATGACAGGGGGCTCAGAGGAACTGCAGATAGCCTGGTTGCTGAAGATGTCCTCCAGGCAGCAAAAAGCTAGGGCCCTCAGTCCTACAGCTACAAAGAAATGAATTCTGCCAATAACCTGAGTAAGCTTAGAAGAGGCTGGGTGTGGTGGCTTATGCCTGTAATCCCAGCACTTTGGGAGGCTGAGATGGGTGGATCACCTGAGATCAGAAGTTTGTGACCAGGCTGGCCAACATGGTGAAACCCCGTCTCTACTAAAAATACAAAAATTAGCTGGGTGTGGTGATAGTTGCCTGTAATCCCAGCTACTCAGAGGGCTGAGGCACGAGAATTCCTTGAACACAGGAGCAGAGGTTGCAGTGAGCCAAGATCTCACCATTGCACTCCAGCCTGGGCAACAAGAGCGAAACTCTGTCTCAAAAAAAAAAAAAAAAGAAAAAAAAAAGCTTAGGAGAGCATTCTTCCCCAGTTGAGCCTCCAGATAAGAGCACAGCTTGGCTGGCACCTTGATTACTGACTTGTGAGACCCTAAGCAGAGAACCCAGCTAAGCTATGCCTGAACTCCTCACTCAAAAAAGCAATGAGGTAATAAATTGTTTTGTTTTAGGCCAATAACTCTGTGGCAATATATAGTTCATGCACTACCCAACTCCTGTTTTTAACATCTCCTAATTTTAATTTTTTAGTGAGGTAGAATCCTATATAACAGCCTATAAAGTGTTGATGAAAGGCTATAGAACATCTTTGACAGTGGGCCATTTTGATTTAGCTGCTCTCATAATCTGAGAAGTTGATTGTTGAGGAAAGTGTATAATGATCATAATATGCGTTAGTATGATGACATAGGATCACTGACATATTAGGATTTAATAATATCCTAATTGATAGCTTATTTTCTCTTTATTTATACACTCTGACTCTGTCACATTCTTCCAATTTCTATGGAAAGAGTAAATTTAATTTTATTGCTTTATATTTCTGCATTGCTAAAATTTTTCCAGTTAACATCTTTTATAAGGAATCCTATGAAGTTTCTCAATATCTTCCACAAGACTACTTATTCATGATCTTATAGGATCCTTGTAGTGTATGAAATTATTCTAAAGTGTTACACACCTTTGAATATCAGTAATATATAAAGGAGAGGTAAAAAGTGGTAATATTTGTGCCAATCAACCAACATTCACAAGTTATATACTATATTCTAATTTATTACTCTGCTTCTATCCCAATTAGTTTAAGTTTCCTTAGTAAAAGCACTTACTTATTAATATAAATCCACTTCTGCTTGTAAAACTGGTGAATTTGTAACGGAAGATGTTTGAGAGCATATTTCCCAACTTATCCTTGCAATGACATTACCCCAAATAGAGAGGGCTCCTTTGTGTGAATGCTACCCATTTGCTGCCTTAAGAAAATCTAGTTCTCTCATTTGCCAATTCCAACTGCAAAACCCACTGGGCAAAAATCACTAAGTCAAGAAATAATTCTGTGACCAATTCCCCAAGATCTGTAATTGACCCTGTTTGTACAGTCCCAGAGACATACGACAGGGGATGGCAAATAATAAATGGCACGTTTAATTTTAAATTTGCTGGTAAAGTATCCAGATATGTTCCTGCCATTATTTTCACATGTAAATATCCAGCTTTATCAAGCCTCTGACATTTCAAGAAGTGTATTTCTTATGTGGCTGTTGATTACACCAAGTATACCACTGGCCATATTAATCAGGATGGATGGGGCAACTGCCTTCCTTATCTTTAGAATACACGTGCTGAGCAGTGATGCTCTATGATCCAAGCTGAGCTCAGAATGTCTCCAGTTAAAATACAGTCCTCAGAGATTTTAGAGATGTTAATTAACCCCAATAATTACATGTGGTTCTCCCCAAGATTGAGAATCTTCTTAAAAACAATTATTGTGACATTAATCTTTCAATAAATATGTGTAATATTTCAATTACACGTATTTTCAAATATGTGTAATCCTTGTCTCAGAAGATGGAAGAAACTTCCCCATTCTGAAGATACTGGCCCAGATCAACAGAAGCTGAACTGTGTATCTCATTTATATTATACATTACCACAGCTATAGTTTTAGCAAAAATTGCAGTGTATCCTCACCATATGCTACTTGCCAATGAGGAGAATTTAAAATGGTGTCCATAGGGATTTACCATGGCAACTGTCAGAAGCATCTCACCGGAAAACTAGAAACCCTAGAAAATGATCCAAATGTCAGCATTTGTTTATTCTGAAGTACAATCCCACAATGAGATGGCCACCCATCTTCCTGAAAGAAATCCCAGTCTACTGTGTAATTTTTATGGCAGAGATAAAAGTCATCAGCATCAGCCTAGAGGGCGAGATGAAATACTTCCTAAAACCAGTTTAATTTTGCATTCTGGTTTTGTGTATCTACATGGAGGTATGCATGAATCATCCCCCACTTTGTTCTACCAAATATTTAGAGTTTCTAATTTTCATGCTCTCTAGACTTCTGAGCATTTTCCTGCCCCTTCCTTTCTCTCCACCAAGAATCTCCCTCTTCTCATGCAAGAAAATATAGCATAAGTTTGGGCTGGTTTGTAAGTGTGACTCACTTCACCATGGTATGACTCATCCTGGGTAAGCTGATCATAAAAGAAAAGCACCTTCCTCAGCAACGTCTGGTCTTCCACCCAAACTACTACAGAGCCTCCTACCCCTCAGGAAGAAAGTCCACCTACCTATATTCCCTGTCATGTGTTAACTGCATTCTCTTGAAAATTCCTGTTATATTCTTCTAAGCCTAATGGTTGGAACTTGAGTGTGCACCACAGCTATCTGAAGGGCTTGTTAAAACAGAGGTGACTGGGCTCCACCCCCAGAACTTCTGATTCTGGAGGGCTGTGGGAAGCCTCAGCATTCACATGGGTAACAAATTCCCAGGTGACGCTGAAGCTGGTCTAGGAACCACACTGAGAACTACTGTTTTAGGCAATGGTCCTCAACCTTGACTACACATTAGAACCACGTGAGGAGGTATTAAACAACACGCATGCCCAGGGCCTCCCAAGACCAAGTAAATGAGAATCTCTTGCAGGAGAGTCTCAGGTACTGGTGTTTTTTGTTTCTTAGAAGCTCCTCAGGTGATTTTTATGTGCTGCTAGGATGAGAACCATTACAGTAAGAGAAGCTGATGCCAGAGATGCAAAGGGGGGTGAGATTTAAGGAGAGTGCCTTGACTCAAAATCTCCCCTATACGTTTGGTATTTTATGTGAAGAATGCATGTTTTAATATTTAAGCAGCATTTAAAATATTTCAAAAGCACATTAACATATGTCTCATGTCCCCAGAATCTATTGTTAGTCAAATATTAAAGAATTATTATAGCCATAATAATAGCAAACTTTCATTTCTAGTTGCTACAACTGGGTGGCTAGAAATTTAATTACGCTATTTTTTATGGCAAGATGAATGTGCTATTTTCTATGAGAGAATAAAAATTTGCAGCATTTGAGCACAGCAAAAACATAATAAATGGCATGGAAAACATATTCCTTATCAAGAGAATAATTATCAGGAAACCTCAACTGAGTAAAACTAGAGCTTCTCAGCGAAGCTGAGCTGTAAGTTAGTTTGTGCTTGGAAACAAACTCTTCCGTCCCTGCAAGTAGTCAACTGAATCGTTCATATTTTTTTTGAAGACACCTGATTTTGAGTACAGACCTCATCTGACTTTTTTTTTTTTTTTTTTTACTGTTCAGATTGTAAAAGTTAAAAGTAGTGCACTGGATTGTTATTGCATAAGACCACTCAGTCTCTGTGGGACTCAGGTAATTGCGACCGATTTTCAGACTAGACTTCAGTCTTTTCAGGTTTCTTTTCCTGCTGTCTAGCATAGCACTTGGCACAGAATAGATGCTCCACAAATATTTACCAATTTAAGTGAAAATTATTGCTCTATTTCAGAAGAACTAAATGTGCTTTTTTTCTTTTTCTTTTTCTTTTTTTATTATTATTTTTTTTTTAGTATTTATTATCATCCTTGGGTGTTTCTCGTAGAGGGGGATTTGGCAGGGTCACAGGACAACAGTGGAGGGAAGGTCAGCAGATAAACATGTGAACAAAGGTCTCTGGTTTTCCTAGGCAGAGGGCCCTGCCGCCTTCCGAACTGTTTGTGTCCCTGGGTACCTCAGATTAGAGAGTGGTGATGACTCTTAACAAGCATGCTGCCTTCAAGCATCTGTTTAACAAAGCACATCTTGCACCGCCCTTAATCCATTTAACCCTTAGTGGACACAGCACATGTTTCAGAGAGCACGGGGCTGGGGGCAAGGCCATAGATTAACAGCATCCCAAGGCAGAAGAATTTTTCTTAGTACAGAACAAAATGGAGTCTCCTATGTCTACTTCTTTCCACACAGACACAGTAACAATCCCATCTCTCTTTCTTTTCCCCACACTTCCCCCCTTTCTATTCGACAAAACCGCCATCGTCATCATGGCCCGTTCTCAATGAGCTGTTGGGTACACCTCCCAGACGGGGTGGCGGCCGGGCAGAGGGGCTCCTCACTTCCCAGACGGGGCGGCCGGGCAGAGGCGCCCCCCACCTCCTGGACGGGGTGGCGGCGGGGCAGAGACACTCCTCAGTTCCCAGACGGGGTCGTGGCCAGGCAGAGGCGCTCCCCACATCCCAGACGATGGGCGGCAGGGCAGAGACGCTCCTCACTTCCTAGACAGGATGACGGCCGGGAAGAGGTGCTCCTCACTTCCCAGACTGGGCGGCCAGGCAGAGAGGCTCCTCTCATCCCAGACGATGGGCGGCCGGGCAGAGACGCTCCTCACTTCTTAGACGGGGTGGCGGCCAGGTAGAGGCTACAATCTCGGCACTTTGGGAGGCTAAGGCAGGCGGCTGGGAGGTGGAGGTTGTAGCGGGCAGAGATCACGCCACTGCACTCCAGCCTGGGCAACATTGAGCACTGAGTGAGCGAGACTCCATTTGCAATCCCAGCACCTTGGGAGGCCGAGGCTGGCAGATCACTCGCGGTCAGGAGCTGGAGACCAGCCTGGCCAACACGGCAAAAACCCGTCTCCACCAAAAAATATAAAAACCAGTCAGGCATGGCGGCGCACGCCTGCAATCCCAGGCACTCCGCATGCCGAGGCAGGAGAATCAGGCAGGGAGGTTGCAGTGAGTCCAGATGGCGGCAGTACAGTCCAGCCTCGGCTTGGCATCAGAGGGAGACCGTGCAAAGGGGAGAGGGAGAGGGAGAGGGAGGAGAGGAGGAGAGGAGGGAGAGGAGGGAGAAGAGGGAGAGGGAGAGCTCTTTTTCTTAATTTAATTTTTATTTGTACAAAGTAATAGATGCACATGGTGTTAGAAGTCATGGCTTATGACAACAACAACAACAAAATCGGCCACTTGTTCCATCTTCCTCACCCACCAAATTCTGCTTCCCAGACACAAGCACTATCTGCTCTGTTATTGTTGTTTCTTCTGATATTTCTATCCACATTTGTGTGTCAAAGTCATCACAAAAGGTTGTCTTGATAAAAACAGATACTATGTTTTGATTAAAAACAACAATAAGCTGAGCTTAATGAAAACTTCTCAGACAATGGGCAACTGTCCAAATGAATCAGTCAAATGAATTCCCTGAGTCGCCTGAGTATTTGGGTTTTATAAAGTTTGTTGGAGTGGAGTTAGTCATGGGATGGTTGATGCAGGAGTCAGAGTTAGAATCTGGGCAAGAACTGGTGAAGATTTGTAAGCCCAGGTACCCAGGATAACTTGTTTGGTACATGGGTAAGGCTACTTGTTGGAGCAGTCTGTGGTTTTCTCTTTTCAGAGTCTGTGAGTCCAAAAGAGCTGCTAACTAGTTTATCCTGTTTTTTTTTTTGTTTTGTTTTTTTTTTTTTTTGGAACATGAGGGTTCTATTTCTACTTCTAGTTCTGTTAATTTTGCTTTACATATTTTGAGTCTATCATTAGATACATGCACATTTAGAATAGTTCTATGTTCTTGGTGAACTGAGCTCCTTATTGTTATGAGATGTTCCTTTTTACCTCTAGAAATGCTTATTATTTTAAGAGACAGTTCATTTAGATGTACTTACATATGTCTGTTTTAGCTGAATACACTTTGCCTGAAGGATTCCCTTTAGTATTGCGTTTAGTATATATCTTCTGGTGACAATATTCTTAGTGTTGATTTGTTGACAATGTTACTATTTCTTCTTAATTTTGAAAATATTTTCACTGGATATGTTATCTTCCTCCAAAAAGGATTTACATGTGCTTAAGGTCAAGGACTAGGTTAGGGGCGCTGGTAATACAAGTGAATTTGATTTAAGTGAAGGACTGGGATGACTCAAAGACGACTGGCTTACTTTAATTCACCTCTGTTCCTAGGGTGCATTGCTTGTGGGTTCCAACCTAAAGACAGAGGGATGGCCGGGCGCAGTGGTTCATGCCTGTAATCCCAGCACTTTGGGAGGCCGAAGCGGGCAGATTACCTGAGGTCAGGAATTCAAGACCAGCCTGGCCAAGATGGTGAAACCCTGTCTCTACAAAAATACAAAAAATTAGCGGCGCATGATGGCGGATGCCTGTAATCCCAGCTACTCGGGAGGCTGGGGCAGAAGAATTGCTTGAAACCAGGAGGTGGAGGTTGTAGTGAGCCGAGATCGTGCCATTGCACTCCAGCCTGGGCAACAGAGTGAGACTTTGTTTAAAAAAAAAAAAAAAAGACAGAGGGATTTGCCAGGGCCTCTTTCATTGTTAGACCCTGAACTACAATTGTCTCGCTTACCCCATTAATCTACCAAAAGCTCTGTTCAGCTTCTCTGCCTCCTAACTGCCTTTTTTTTTTTTTTTTTAAATTGGCAGATGCTTCCAAGAGCAAAGCAGCCAAAAATGCTGGGCTCATCTCTCTAGGTTTCCTCCTTCTTTTGGATTTTGGCCCTATAATCTTTCACTGATTTGAATGCAAACAGATTTTTAAAAAAATTGTATTCAGCTTTACTAGCTGCTCTCACTAGGATGGATGGTTGGAATTATCTAGATCACCATGATTGAGGGCAAAACCACTGGTACCCTGCCCATATTCTCTTGGCAATACCTTTTCTGTGTACGCTGATTTTATGGTTTATTCCATCTCATTGTAGACTGTAGTGAGACGAAAAGTGTGTCCCCCCAAAATATCAGTTCCTAATTCCTGGAAACTTTAAATGTTACCTTATAAGGAAAAAAAATATTTTTGCATGTGTGATTAAATCAAGGAGCCTGAGATGGGGAAGACTGTGCCAGATTACTTGGGTGTGACCTGAATGCCATCCCAAGCATCCTTATGAGAGAGAAACAGAGGGAGATTTTGCACACACATGCAGAGGAGAAGGCAATATGAAGACAGAGGCGAAGGTGAGAGTGCTGCAGCCACAAGGCAAGGGAAGCCGGCAACCACTGGGAGTTGAGTTGAAAGAGTCAAGCAACAGATTCTCCTCTAAATCCTTTGAAGGAGTACAATACAGTCGACACCTTGATTTCAGCCCAGTGATACTGATTTTGGACCTCTGGCCCCCAGGACTGTGAGATAATATATTTTTGTGGTTTTAAGCCACCGAGTTTCTAGTAATTTGTTACTGCAGCCACAGAAAACATACCTAGATTGTTTCCATCAAAGCCATTTTTATATCATTTTCCTATCTTATTTAATTAAATACCATAAGACACCTGACAGGTTCAAAGCCTTGAGTCCCTGTCCTTCAGAGACTCACAATCTGCTATCATAAGTAATTCTGACCCAACCCGACAATAATAAGCAGGTGCTAAAATTAAAATAAAAAATCAAAGAAAATATGGGAGAGGGAGAAATTAATTTTAGCCGAGGGAAGCCAGGAAGTCATCTTAGATAGGATGGTATTTAAAGATCTTTTACTGACTTCTAACTCCTCACACTTTGTGTTTTTATGTAAGTTTTCATCACTCTTTCTTTTTCCTTTTTTTCTTTTTCTTTCTTTCTTTCTTTTTTTTTTTTTTTTTTTTTTGATAGAGTCTCGCTCTATCGCCCAGCCAGGCTGGCATGCAGTTGTGCGATCTCAGCTCACCGCAACCTCTGCCTCCCAAGTTCAAGTGATTCTCCTGCCTCATCCTCCTGAGTACCTGGGATTACAGGCACGTGCCACCACACCTGGCTAATTTTTTGTATTTTTAGTAGAGACAGGGTTTCACCATGTTAGCTAGGCTGGTCTCGAACTCCTGACCTCAAGTGATCCACCCGCCTCAGCCTCCCAAAGTGCTGGGATTACACGTGTGAGCCACCGTGCCCGGCCTACTTTTTCTCTTGTAATTGCTTTCATTTCATTTAACAAAGGAATACTGTAAAATAGGGTTTAAGAGCATGTTCTCACGGTTCCACTTCCCCTCTATTTATTCTTACTGTGCTTGACATGGCTTTAGAGAAGGGGACACTCCAACGGCTCCTGGCACGACAGCGATGGTGAGACTTCCCACAGCGAAGTGGTGTCTCCTTCCCACAGGGCTCCCAGGGACTCTGTCTTCTAGTGAAAGAAGGGCAGCTGACAGTATGAAAAGGGGCTGTTTTCAGTCGGGGTTTTGTGACAGTTGGGGTCCATGTGTCAGAATGACTGAGTTGGGGTGAAAGGGATTACTTTCTCATTTCTTCTCAGAATACAGGGCAGCTTAAGGGGTACATTGAGAATCACAGGGAATGCCAAGGTTTACAATCTCTGTAAAGGGAAGTAGTATTTTCAGGAGAGCCCACAAGAGGGCAGTATTAAGGAAGGATCAATTTCGACAGGTTCTACAGAGTGTGAGAGCCAGGGTATACTCTTGAGCCCACATCCAAAGCACCACAGTCTTTAAAAATGCCATGCTCAGCATCACAAAAACCCAGATGCTTATGTGCTTTATTTTAGCACGTACCCACCTGATAAGGTATGGGGAAACAACCAAAAGCCATATATGTGTATAAAATTACAACCCTGTGTAGACAGACGCTCTCCCTCATCTGTCTCCCACTTTGGGAGGCTAAGTGAAGAAATGGTCACATAGAACTGTAGCCAGGATTGAACAAGGAAGTTCTAGAAACTTTTCCCCGTACTCTTGAGGTAAAAAGTTATGGAGTCCCAATATCAACCGAATACAAAGAATTGGAAATCACATCAGTTCTACAAGCTCAAAGAAGAACACAAATGCCAGGATCTGCTTCTAACAAACAGAGAAAACAAAGGCCAGCAAAAAAGGTGGAAAACTTTATAGGACTCAGTAATCAGAAAAGAAAGATTAAAATGTGAATATTTAAATAGGCAGTGAGGAAACTGACCATCTCATATACTGTTGTGAGTTAATGGTTGATACACTTTGAGCGGGCAGATTTATCCATATCTATTAAATTTTGTATAAAATGTACAAAAAAATGTACAAAATTTAATGCAAGTCTAACTGTAGGGATGTATCCTTCAAAAATACCCACAAAAGTATCCAAAGTCCAAGGATTTGCCTTGAAAATTTTGCTAAAACATTTAAGGTCCAACAGTCCCTTTCTTCCTATAGATTGATCTTCTTACAGAATGATTCCTATAGGAATTTCTGAGTGTCCAGCCTTTTGCATCATTAATTCTTGACATTTTAAGTCTACGCAAATCTCTGGTGTTTGCCCAACCCTGGGAATCTTTGAGTGAAACTCTCTCTATTCTGCCCTATCTTATTACTGTCACCTAAGTACAGGTCCTGCCACTGTATGTTTCGCTTTACCATAATCCAGGCTTTCTGAAAGATCTATTACTCAGTTTGACTCAGGCTTGTACTCAGTTGTGATGTGGAGTAAAATTGTCATAAGCCTCTAATACTTAGAGTTAATCTTCACTCAATTTAAATGATGGTTGTATCAGACTGTCAGTTTTAATCATGCTTAATAAGAAATATTGAATGAAAAAACTATTTATACAAGTAACTTTGCAAATGTTAAGGATGGGATTAACCATTACCCTCTGTTTGAAAAGGAAGAATAAAGAATATTTACAAAACAGTTGCTCTATAGTTTAAGTTAAATATACTTATTCTGTATTTTGCCTTTGTAAACTTGAGTTTCTAAATCTGTTTACAGAAAAGGGCACAGAACTTACTTGTAGTATTGAGAATTGTGAGGTTTTCAAATAAATGTTTTACTTTGAGAGGAAGAAGGCTGTAGATTCTCATGCAGTTGTAAGAAATAATACAGAGAGACCCCACTCACCCTTTACCCAGTTTCCCCCAGTGGTAAGATCTATAGTATGTCAGTTATCACAATCAGGATATTAAGGTTGACACAGTCAAGATAAAGAACATTTCTGTCATCACAAAGATCTCTCATGTGGCTTGGTAATATCCACACCCTTGTCCCTCCTTACTACTTAACCTTTTGCAACTGTGAATCTGTCCTCCATTTCTACAATTTTGTTATTTCAAGATGTCCTTTCAATGGAATTGATACAAGGCTACAGTGTAAAACCTTTTAGGATTGCCTTTTTTTTTTTCAGTCAGAGGAATTATTGGTGATTCGTTTCTAGTGTGTTTGTAATTGCTTATTGTAACATTTTTATGATGATTACTTTAAAATCTTTGTCAGACAATTCCAACATCTCTGTCATCCTGATCTTGGTGTTGGTGTCTGTCAATTGTCTTTTTTTTTTTTTTCTTTGAGACAGGGTCTAGCTCTGTTGCCCAGGCCGGAGTGCAGTGGCACAATCTCGGCTCACTGCAGCCTTGACCTTGTCAGGCTCAGGTGATCCTCCCACTTCAGTATGCAGAGTAGCTGGGACCATGGGCATGTGCCACCATGCCTGGCTAATTGGTGTTTGTGTTTTTATAGGAACAGGGTCTCACTATGTTGCCCAGGCTGGTCTCAAACTTCTGGGCTCAAGTGATCTGCCCGCCTCAGCCTCCCAAAGTGCTGGGATTACAGATGTGAGCACCCACGCTGGGCTTCAATTGTCTTTTCTCATCCTTTTGGGGTATTCTGTTTGTGCCTCTGGCACTTATTTGAGCTTTCTGTCTTAGCAGTCTTTTGGTACCTCTTTGACAGGGCAGGTGGGGAGGAAAGCCACTCCATTACTGGCCAGTGAGGGTAACATTCCAGGCTTCCCTCTCAGCTTTCATCCACATCATCCAGGGGGAGGGTCTCCTTGTTCCTGCTGGGTGAGGTGGGAGTTCCAGCTCCCCACTCCGCCTCCACTGACACCACCAGCTAGGAGGGAGTTACTGCTTCCTTTGTGGCCTCCATTGACACCATGGGGGTGGGAGGTGGCGTTGTTTCCACTGGGCACGGGCAGAAGTTCTGACTCTCTGGTAGGCCTCCTCTGATACCCCACCAGCAGGGAAGGGTAGGGAGGCTTTGTTTTTCTGGATGTGAGTCCAAGTCTGGGTTCCCTATGTGGTCTCCACTGCTACCACAGGGTGTGGGGACTTCCTTATCACCTGTCAGGGATGAAAGTCCTGATCTGTACTTGGTCTCCTCAGATTCCACCCTGGGAGCGGGAGGAAGGTTGGGGCACTTTGTCATTACAGCCTGGTGTGGTTGGAAGTCTAGGCTCCCCAGCAGACTTGGGCTGGCATGGGCGGGAGTGGGACCACAGTTTGTCTAGGATGTTTGACTAGGCTAGAGTGGAAATCGTCTGAAAGTTTTCTGATTTGCCAGGGTACCCCTTTCCTAGTCCTCTGGCTAGAGAGCAGAGGTTTGTTGGGCATTTATTGTCTGCACGGGACTCCTTGGTGCTTCCAGGCTGCCAGCTTCGACAGCTCCAGGTCTGGGATATACAAGACTAAAGCAAAACCCGGGAACTCACAGCTGTGTCATTCCCTGGGTCCTGAGGTCCCTGACCAGTCTGTCTTCTTCACTCCACCTTTCAGAATCTTATGTTCGTTTTATATATAATGTTCAAGGTTTTGGGTTATACATAGAGGGAGGAATAGGGAAAAGTATGTCTACTCCATCTTCCCAGAAACAAAAGTCTTGAGAATTGTGTGTTAATAGTTATTTTCTGAAAACCATTGACTTATAACTAGGGACCACACATTTGTTGTAGGGATCTTCATTTGTTAGAAAATAGAAATGTTTGCTTAAAGTTCTAAAGTTTCCACAGAAAAATGGAATTTACAAATCCACATTATACTAACTATGACAATTCTCCAACCAGTATATAAGAACTGTGGAGGAGGGAAGCAGAGTGCTTAGGGAGTGGGGAATACATGGAGGATAAAACCATTTAGAAAAATGACCAGCCAGGCGTGGTGGCTCACACCTGTATCTCAGCAGTTTTAGAGGTCGAGGTGAGTAGATTGCTTGAGTCCAGGAGTTCAAGACCAGCCTGGGAAACATGGTGAAACCCTGTCTCTACAAAAAATTAGCTGGGCATAGTGCACCTGTAGTCCCAGCTATTCGGGAGGATGAGGTGGGAGGATCACCTGAGCCTGGGTGGTAGAGGCTGCAATGAGCAATAATTGTGCCACTGCAGTCCAGCCTGGGCGACAGAGTGAAAAAAAAAAAAGAAAAATTGCCAACAGGATTTAGTGATAGATAATTAAATTAAAACTATGGTTGCTAGTAACTCTAAGGAAAACAAAAACTTGGTTTTTGTTGATATTTAAATTGTCATAATACTATAATTGCTTTAACTGTAGGGGGAGGATAGTAGCAAGAGGAGTGTGCAAGCACATGTGTGGCTTGGTTTAAGAGAGTTAAATCATCAACTATTTTAATAGTTTCTCACGAAATAATGACAAAAAAGATAAATTAAGAAATAGCAGTATACATATATCATTGGGAAATATGGAAATAAATCCTGGGAAAAACAGCCAAAATAATTGATACAGGTTGAGTATTCCTTATCTGAAAGGCTTGGGATCAGAAGTGTTTTGGACTTCAGATTTTTTTGATTTCGAAGTATTTGTACATATATATAATATGAAAAACCCTAGGGATGGGACCCAAGTCTAAACACAAAATTTATTTATGTTTCATATTCACCTTATACATATAGGCTGAAGGTAATTTCATTTTTCCCTTGGGAATGCTGAATAAACTAGTGTTGTCCACCTGTGTTTTGACTGGGACCCATCGCATGAGGTCAGGTATGGAACTTTCCGTCTGTGGCATCATGTTGGTGTTCAGCAAGTTTCAGATTTTGGAACATTTTGCACTTTGGATTTTCAGATTAGGTATGCTCAACCTGTAATTGATAGCTGCAGTCAGAGATGGGACAAAAAGACAGCTGATAAAGAGATTTGTTGTTTCTCTCTCTCTCTCTTTTTTTTGTAGCCATTTAGCACTATGTTTTTAAACCTTTGCAGGTATAATGATGTCATAAAATAAAAATTAATTGGAAAATAGTTAAGGGTATTTAAAAAACAGTAGATGGATAAAACAATACATCTACTACCACCACCACCCTAAGCCATCTTTTCTCCTGGAGTCCTAGCCTCTCGTCTTGTGGGACCATCTCTCCTCACAACTTGCTTTCAGCTATTTCAGCTCCTCTCAGTTCCTCAGCCCCTCACTATTTCAAAAACTCAAACATCTTATTTTTCTTATTCAGAGAAATATATATTCTTGTATTTCATCAAAGTCATCCCTGAGTGCTAAGTGAGTCCACCTACCAAATGACCCATCAATATGTTTTGTTGAAAAAAGAAATGAAGTTAGTTCTGTTAGGGAAAAGGAAAGGCAACGCTCATCCCAAATAAGTTTGCTGTCAGTCTTGAAGCTAATTCTTGCTTAATTTCAGCAAACTTTTCATACATTCTTTGTGAGGGTGGATGTGGAAAATACAGGTAGTCCTTGCTCGAATGGTTACATTGTGTATCAATTTCAGTTACCACCATTCAGTTAAATAACAGCAGTCACCCAACGGCACAATTCAAATTTCAGTTACCATGGCATACTAACTGTGAGAAATTGCATAAAGTGCCAACTTTGCTGCTAGCTCTTAGTTCACAAGTCACTATGTAAATAACGGATATGCATCAATGATCAGCAACTGATCACATCACTTCTTCCAGTCTGTTCCTGATGGGTCACGGTGCATCTGTTATTCAATTCAGTGATGGACAGCAATGGTAGTATGGTCTTCTTATCGCTCAGTGATAAACCCACATGACATTTTACAAAAATGAATAACTGAAAAAGACAGTTTGCCAACAAAGACGAAATTGCAGTAAAGAAAAAAAAAGTGATAATACTGCAAATGAAATTTGAAGTGAACATAATGAAGTTATAGAGGAAATCGCTGACCCTGGGAATGTTGACCCTGCTACCACTGGAGAGATTCTGGGTATGCAGCCAGGGGAACTTAGTGCAGGTGAACTCATGACGTAAGTGACGAAAGTGGCTGTGAGGAAATGGATGAAGGTGTGCCAGAGGAAGCGATGCTGGAAAAAACTTTCACGGTAAAGGCACTCTTAGAGATACTTCACCACATCCAAAATGCAAAGGGTAACATGTTGGAAGCTGATCCAAATTCACAAAGGAGTATGACAATCAGCTGAGACATGTGAAAGATGCTTGTTTCCTACCATGAGTTCTGCAACAAGAAGACTGAAAGCATAATTCAAAGTACTCTTAATATATTTTTCACAAAGAAATAAAACACTTTCATTCCAATGTTTCTTATATTTTAAATTACAATGTGCTAAATAACATGCTAGTTTTAGTATTTTTTCATTTCCTTATACATGTATAAGTTTTAATGTTTTGACATTTCCTTATACATATACAAAGTTTTAATGTTTTGACAACAATTATTAAAGGTCAGGAAAGTTATGAAGATTGCTTTGCATGGTTTAGGCATGCACAGTCCTTTTTATGGTCCTGCACTACTGGGCAAAGCAAGGACTGGCTGTAAAGGAAATTAAGAAATTCATGTTTTCCTTCTTTTCTCTATACCAGCCTGCCCTCTGCTGGAGGTGCCAGAGATCAGTGAAATTGTCAGACTGTCAAGCTACAGACAGGTAGTTCTCAACCTTTTATTCTTTTCAGCTCTACCCCTTTGCTGCCACCCTAGAGGAAGCAAAACATTCCCATGCAAAAGCAAGGATGCTCTAATTCTCAGTCGAGTGAGTCATTATATCCACATTGTGGAGAAGGCTCTCATGCCACTAAACAATTACATCACGTAACTAAATTCTCTCAATGTGATTCTGTGCTCTGAGTGTAACCTGATACAAGCCTATTATTGGAAAGCACATTGGAAGTTATTTAGTCCAACTGGTGGCTATGCCAACTTTCACTGCAAAACTAAAATTTTTCCTAGGTTGTAAATGAGAGCTTAGAGAGCATCCTCTTTAAGCCTAGATTGGAATTTTGACTATGCCAAATTTCCCCTGACATTTTCTTCTCTTATTCCATTCCAGCAATTGTCCTCACTGGCTGGACAATTTACTTCTAGAAATGTTTAGCATTAATAGTGACATAAAGATGTCTCTTGTGACCAACAGAAAGAGCCATAGTGTGTCAGTGTGTTTCCAGAACTTTCAGATCTGCTTCCAAACTATTTTAGTTCAGAGATAGTGCATTAATCTCCTCTTCCACTCTGTCCCTACCTTCCACCCTCACAGTTTACATTTCCAAATAAAGTAACAATTCTTTGCCCAGCAGTTTAGTACAAGCAGTTTAGGTCCGCAGGAAATGCTTAATAAATAATGGTTAAATGTGTGAATAAACTAATATATTTCCATTCCTTAATGGAAGCAACCAAAGTTATCACATGGTAATGAGAATAGGAATTTGGATGCAGGCAAATTGTGCATCTATAAATTTATAGAAGGCTGTCAAGACAGCTCTCTATGGCTGGGTACAGTGGCTTACACCTGTAATCCCAGAACTTTGGGAGGCAGAGGCTGGTGAATCCCTTGAGTCCAGGAACTCGAGACCAGTCTGGGCAACATAGTGAAATGCTGTCTCTACATAAAAATTAAAAAATTAGCCAGGCATGGTGGTGCAGGCCTTTCGTCCCAGCTACTCGGGAGGATAAGGTGAGAGGATCACTTGAGCCCGAAAGGTTGAGGCTGCAGTGAGCTGTAATTGTACCATTGCACTCCAGCCAGGGCAACAGAGTGAGAACCTAGCTCAAAAAAAAAAAAAAAAAAAAAAAAAAAAGAGTTCCCTTTGCTCAAAAGGAGAGGAAGAGATTATAGAACATTTAGGAATATGTTCTTATCTGTCTTATATTTTTGTTGTTGTTAAAAGATGTTACATATATATTAGTTACATATATTTACATATATAATGTACATATATTTACGTTTATTTGCATATAGAGTCATATTAAGACTGTTAAGGTTATAGGTTTAAAAGACTAGGTTAGAAACTATTGTCTTAAACCTCTAAGATTCTGAATTGTCTGTTTTGTTAGAACCCATGGGTTTTCAGTTTCCCCTGTAATAAATTGTAACAAATATAAAAAGAACAAGATAAGTGAGTACTTTTATTTCTAACCTGCAATAGTTCACAAGTAATTTAACATATAATGTGGCTTTTACTATTATTGTTGTCATGGGATCCTTAGGTTGTCACTTCACCAGCCAGGAACCTCTGTGGCTGTCGGCACCTTTGCCCGAGTTTTGCTTGGGCCGCTGGGCTCTTTCTGCTCTCTTGGCCTCGCAGGCTTCACTTGGCTTTCGCTACTGGCTCCGATCCCATGGCTGCCAAGGGCAAGCTAGGCACAGGGCGGTGAGGGGTGTGTGAGCGAGCACGGGGTCCAGCCACTGCACACAGCCAGGCATGCTAGCTGCGGTGGGGTGGGCAGTTCCAGGTGCCGGCATGAGTGCTGGCTTCCTGCTAGGCTGTGGTTGGACCAGGTGTACTGCAAGCGGCTTCCACTGTGGACACCCGGGAATGCAGTGGCACCTGAAGCTTGGAGATACCAGGAACCACAGAGCCCCAAAGAGGGTGTCACAGCCGTGGCTTGGGGAACTCCTAGATCTGGGCTTCCCAAAGAGCTGCAGCTCTTCTCTCCTTGTTGCCCACAATGTGGCAAGCAGGGGTGGAGGGTGTGTTTTGGGCCTGTTTGTGTTACAGCTCTTTCAGTCCCAGCATTCAGCAGGTCCCAAGTTCTTGTCCCACATCCAGGAAGAATGAGGTATGCAGATAACTGCAGGGTGAGCAAGGTGAAGAGGTGCTTTATTGAGCAGCAGTTCAGCTCTCAGGAGACCCAAAGTGAGTAGCTCCTTTCTGCAGGCAGGCTGTCCGAATGTCTCTGTAGCCATCAGCAGAGAGGAGACCTGGTGTGGGTAGCTCCTATCTGCAGGCAGGTCTTTCTGATGTCTCTGCAGTCCTCAGTGGAGAGGAGACCTGGAGTACCTGGAGTGGGTAGCTCCTATCCACAGGCAGGTTGTACAGAGTGTACAGCTCTCACTGGAGAGGAGACTCATGGTGGGTAGCTCCGCTCTGCAGGGAGGTCGTCCTGCCATCTGTCCAAGTCCGGGATTTTATGGGCTTCAGAGAGGAGGACCTATGTGCTGATTGGTCCATGAGCAGCCATGTGTGGGCTTGGAAAAAGTACTGTAAGTTTTCACTCCAGTCCGTGGAACTGGCAGCCTGGTCCCCAGGCTTCAGGTGGGGTTTTATGGGGGACTAGCTCCTTTCTGCCCAGGAGCCTGTCTGCCCCCTGCCACTGTTCATGGTGCCCAGGCTGTTCGAGCTGAGGGATGCCTCCAGGCCCGTGCCGAGCTGCCCACAGTGCCCCCTTGGCCACTCTCTCATGCTTGTTGGTGCCCAAAGTCTGGAGGGGGCCGAGGAGGCAGGGGGCTGGCGTGTCAGCACTGTCCTGAGCATGTGCACACCCAGCCCGGTTGTGACAGCACCTGGGCTTGGTCACAACTTTGCTTTGAAATTGGAGCGGGTGCTGGGAGCAGGGAGAGGCCAGGCAACGCGGGCAGGCACTTCTGTGCCTGTGCGGACAGGGGGACTTCCTGGGCCTCCAGAAGCACAGGGATGCCCAGGTCCTGCAGCTGGGTGGCTGCAGCTGTGTCCGGGAGGGCAAGGTTCCCGCCCCTTCAACTGGGAAGGGGGTGTGGATCCCGTCTGTTCCCGGCTCCCCCGGCTCCATGGAGCGCACAGCCCTGGCTGCAGCTAGTGTCTTTTCAGCAGCCTTTCCAGATAGGCCACTGCTGCCATCACTATTACACAAGTTTTTTCCTCACAAGAGCTGCACAGACACCTCTGGCCACAAGGAAAGTTATCATACCCATTTTATATTTGGAGAAAAGACGACAGATGAAGAAATGGAAATAAATGCCTGATTTTACAGTAGATCTGGGAACAAAACACTGGTACCACTAATTTATTTCACTTCATTAGAGTAGTACTTTTTGTTGCTAGCGTACTCCTTAAAATAGTTTTGAAAAACAATGTGCCTTCTCACACATTTTTATGTTAACATCTGAAATTTTTCTCATAAGTTTAAATAGTAACAAAAGATATAAATATTGACACTTTTTAACAAAAACCTATGACATCACTCTTTTCAACATATACAATATAATCTAAATACCAGAACAGTTTTATATGCTCTATCTTAACTTTAAAAATATATGAACAACCTCTCTTCTAAGATTAGGAAAATTTACATTGTTCCTGTTTTCCCTTGACCTTGTATTTCCATTTAACTTTACCCACAAAATTTTTTCTTTATATTTGAAAGTTTTTTTAGAATTAATTATATTACCATACTTTTCTGTATCAAAAATATGCCTATGTTGAAATTAAAATGTATGTTTTCTTTATTGATAAAGCTGAGTGGTAAAATTTTCTTCTAGATTTTGTTATCACAGTTATTAATATACAATTAAATATAACAAATAAATGTATTATTAAATTTGATAATCAATAAAGATAACAAGTAAAATGTTACTAGAACTATATCTCTTAATGAGATGAATGGAGCTTTTTTCCTTTTTAAATTAGGTTATATGTCAATAGATATGTATTACTTATTGCTAGAATGTGACTGGATACTGTGGTAATTGACAGCAAAAAGCAATTATTGGCCATTTTTATATGTATGGCTTATAGAAGTTGTATTAATGACTATTTATAGTAGAATCCATCATCCAATTTTGTTCAGCTACTATGCCTCTAAATAAGTACACTATAGGATAGAATAAACTGATAAAAACCGATAAGAGCAAACAGAAAATGCACCCAAATGAAAAATGAATATAGATTTTCTATATCTAATTATCTTTATGGAATAGTTATTTACAGAATTTCCCTATGAGTCTGAATAAATGTACAAGAAAATATACAACACTAACTCACTTCTAATATATGTTCTGGATACTTGAAAATGTAATGTTGACCAGCAGGAATAACTGGGGGAATTTGTATTCCTTTTTTCTTGAAATCACTTAGCAGAGACACAAACCAGTGTTTTGATCAAGGCAGCTTCCCTGTAGGCACTGACACCCCAGGCCAAGACCCCATAGCAGGATTCCTGATGGGTGAGAGGTTTGCCTTTACTTTAAGAAGTTGGGTCAAGGTGACTGGGAATGAGGAACTGGGAAGAGATGGAGCACTATGCCTTGCCCAAGTTCTCAGACAGCTCAGATTTAAGCCTATGGAAGTTGAGGCTCTGCAAAGTGAGTCCCTTAAAACCATCCAAGATTACATACCCTTTTGAAAGCTCCCACACAAATTCCAGTTTGAAGACCATAGTGGAGACTTCTGAGGCCCACCACTATGTATTTCAAGTTTACTTAAATTTTTTAGAAAGCCCAGCGACACAAAGCCTGCCTAGGAGGTTCATCAGGCTGTTCTGTGAGAGACTGTTCACAGAAGCTTGAGTTGTTATGTGACAACTGCCCGCCTCATGGGAATGCAACCTCACAGAATGGACAGTGAACAGCCGGTGGGACACAGGCAAAGAACACATGATGGGAGATGAGTGCTCTTCCACCTTTGAGTGAAAGTTTATGTCCATAAGGAAAAAAATGAAAATTGTTACATGTGAACTGCCTCCCAAGAAAGTAGTATAATAAGAATCAAAATGTAATGGAAACATTCAAACAAGGTCATACTCATCTTAATGTTAAATTTTGTTTTAAGATACTTTGAAGGGCTAGAGTTCAAATAAGCATTCTTTTTAGTGATCTAGAAATGAAATAAATAAAACTATCATGCTGTTTTCCTAAGGTATTTAGTAAACATACAGGTCACAATCTGGAGTATCATAATTGTGATTAATAATTCTTAGGGAACCAGAGAACATTTCATTAGATTATAATGATTTTTATCCTCCTTTGAAAAATTGCCACAGATTTATAAAGGATTTATATGTTTTTCAGAAACTTCAATCCATTAGCAAAAATGAACAAAGTTGATGTCCTGCCTTTGAGATTTTGAAAATGTTATCAAGATGGATGTGTAGAAGGCATACTCATTAATAATGTGAAGGCAAAACTATGTCAGAAATAGGGTTTTGATTTTTTTAAGTGTTTACTTGGACTACACATTCACCTTCATATTTCTCAACCTACACCATTTCTATATACTTGGCTAAAATACTTGTTACTGAAATATCTGATTAAGTTGGCCTAATTTTCTTTTTTTTCTTTTTTTGAGACAGTCTTGCTCTGTTGCCCAGGCTGGAGTGCAGTGGCGTAATCTTGACTCACTACCTCCTGGGTTCAAGCGATTCTCCTGCCTCACCTCCCGAATAGCTGGGATTACAGGCACGTGCCACCACACCTGGCTCATTTTTGTATTTGTAGTAGAGATGGAGTTTCACCATGTTGGTCAGGTTGGTCTCAAACTCCTGACCTCAGGGGATCCGCCTGCCTCAGCCTCCCAAAGTGCTGAGATTACAGGGGTGAGCCACTGTGCCAGGCCTAAGTTGGCCTAATTTTCTGGCTTAATAAATAATTTATTTTCTTATTGCTAAAATTAATATATATGTATTTGTTCAAATATTCTGTTTTTCAGATTTACTTCTACCTGTGATATTGCTAAATGGAATTTTATTCACATTCAGCAGTTGAATAAATCTAAAATACAGAGGTAAAAATAGACATTGAAAAACTGTGATTCTGAGCCTCAGATCACTAAAATGATATTTTCATGTTGCTAAGAAACAGTTTCTATTTAATTGGAACAAAACTTCATCAATGTTTTCTGTTTCTCTCAGTTCTGTGAAGTAATCCCTTACAGTCCAATAAAATTAAAACCTGAGTGTGGATTGGAGTACTCGTATTTATTTAGAGATGTAGAGATTCCTACCTGGGGTAAACAGCCTCCAAGATGGCACCCAGTGATCTGCACTTCCTGTTATTCACAGCCTGTGGAGTCCCTCCTACATTGTACCAGGGTTGGCCAATGGAATATGGCAGAAATGATGGTATCTCACATCCAAGACTACATTATCAAAGAACTGCTTACGGCTTTTCTCTCATTGCTCACTCTAGGGGAAACCATGTTGTGAGAGACCCATGTATGGCTGAACTAAACCTGTGTGCATGTGAGTGAAGCAGAGCCTCAAGCTCCAGATGGATCTTGAGATGGCTGCAGCCTGGCTTGACTGAAACCTCATGGATGACCTCGAGCCAGAACAACCGGGCTAAACTGCTTCCAGATTCCTGACCCTCAGAAACAGTGAAATAATAAACGCTTGTTGTTTTAAACTGCTAAATGTTGGGGTAATTGGTTGTGTAATAACAGATAAACTAATAAACTACCTTTAGTTACTACGCTTCCTATTAAACCTGTTACTTAAACTATATCCTTGGCTAAAATACTTGTTACTAAAATACCTGATTAAGTTGGACTAATTTTCTTTTTTTGAGACAGAGTCTTGCTCTGTTGCCCAGGCTGGAGTGCAGTGGCGTAATGTCGGCTCACTGCCTCCTGGGTTCAAGCGATTCTCCTGCCTCACCTCCCGAATAAATTGTTCTTTATTCCAAGCCTATTAGTATTTTGAAGTAGAACATTGCTTTGCCATTAAGGAAATATGCCCTAAATTGGTAGTTCTTGATGGTGGTGTTTCCACTCTCCTCCTACCCAAGGACAACCTAGAGCTATGTGAGGGGCTTTTTTTGGTTGTCAAAATGATTAATGGAGCTCACTGGCCTCTAGTAGGTGGGAGCTAAGGGTGTTAGACATCCGGTAATGTGTAAGACACTTCATTTTAAGATAGCAAAGGAAACATTACAAAACATTTGTTTTATAAAAAGGGTGTTATTCCAATAGAGCTGAGAGCTACCAGATTGAAGAGAGGAATGTCCTGCTTTTCCTGGGGAAGGGTAAATGAAATCTGCTGATCTTTTTTTGAGATGATTCATAATGGAAAAGTAGAAGAAACCAGGAATTTGTCACATGGAATGTAATTTGCTGAAAAATTTGAATATAAGAATGTAAAATTTGTAATCATAAAAATTCCATTTGAAATGGTATTTTCTAAAAAGAGAAATCAGCCTTTAGTTTTAGGTAACAGGTTAGTTTGAGACAGGTAAAATTCCACACTCATGGAAGGAAATAATGAAGCTAGTGAAATGAAGAGATGTTCTCACTGCCCTTTAGCATCCTAAACTGGGGAAATCCAAAATTATGAAAGGAAGGCAAAGTAAAAAACTTCCATAAAAAATGAAACCATATTTTGTTACAATTTTCATTTTCATGTAGATATAAAAATATGCATGTTATTGAAATGATCAGAGATTGATTAGATGTGGCTCACAAAAATTGAGATCTGTAAGATATATTTTAGAAAAAGTTAGTTCTTTTAATATAGCATTCAGAGTAATTTGTCTTTGATGTTAAATACACTTTAAATCAAATGTGATGTAGTATATTGTAGGCTTATAGAATTTGTTTTAGCAAACAGAATATGTTGAGTGAGTTTGTATTTTCTGGAGTGATTCCGTTTGGGGTGATAAGGCAAGGTCTCATGGGGAAGGCCCTAGGAAAGGGTAGGGGATGTTCTGGGCCAAAATACAATAGACCATAAGCATCATCTTCTTGTAAGGCAATATAATAGAGGATTGAAAAAGTCAGGAAGCCAGAGTCCCTGTCTTTATTTATCTTTTTATGTGTTTACTTATTATTTTTGTGAAGTATATGTTTATATATTTTAAAAATCACCTTTCTAAATGTACAGTTCTATGAGTTTGGACAAAAGCATAAAGTTGTACAACTACCACTACATTCAAGATATTGAACAGTTCCATCACCCCCAAAATTGGTTTTTTTTAGTCAAAACCTCTACCCCAGTTCTTAGCAAGCTCTGATCTATTTACTGTCTTTATAATCTGGCCTTTTCTAGAAGGTACTAAAAATTAGATCATTATATAGCTCCTCTAGTCTTTTTCCTCTTATTTAGCATAATACATTAGAGATTTATCCACGTTGCTGCATGTGACAGCAGTTCATGCTTTTACTGCTGAGTAGTACTCCATTGCATAGATGTACTACACTTTATCCATTCACCAGCTGAAAGACAATTGGGTTGTTTCCAGCATTTGGAGGTTATGAATAGTCACTATAAATAGTCGTGTACAGGTTTTTGGTTGAAAATAGGTTTTTATTTCTCTTTGGTAAATGGTTAAGAGAGGATAGCTAGATCATACTGTATGTTTAGCTTTATTAAAAAAAACTTACCAACTATATTCTGAAGTGGCTGTATTATTTCATATTTTCATTAGCAATGTATGATGGTTCCAGTGCTCCACATCCTGGTCATCATGTGGTTCAGCTGGTCTTTTTAAGTTTAAACATTCTGTTAGGTATGTAGTGATGTCTCAGTGGGTTTTTATTTGGTGTCATACATAAGAAATCTTTGTTTATCTTTGTTCCCATCTTGCTTTATTTCCAGTTTCCAATATATGTTTATTTCCAGTTTCCAATATATGTTTATTTCCAATATATGTTTCCAATATATGTTTATTTCCAGTTTCCAATATATGTTTATTTCCAGTTTCCAATATATGTTTTCTTACAGTTTTCATCTCTCTGCTGAAATTCCATATTGGTTCATGCACATTGTCTGCCTTCTCCATTTAGAGCCTTTAACATATTACTAATGGTTATTTCAAATGGCTTGTGTGATAGTTCCAGCATCTGAATCATCTCTGAGTTTTGTTCTGTTGATCACTTCATCTCAGGACAGTGGGTTACTTTACCTATCTTATTGTCTTATTATTTTTGACTGAATACCAGACATTGTTTGCAGGACAGCAGAGGCTGAAACAAACAATATATATGATTGGAAATGAGCATGTCTCTTCTTCTGCTAGGCTATTTGTATAGGGGTTGAGTTTATCTAGTTAGCAGTTGAGCAGGTTTTGTTGCTGCTTGGGTGTCAAAGAGCTTTTCTCTCTCTCTCTCTCTCTCTTTTTTTTTTTTTTTTGAGACAGAGTCTTGCTTTGTCCCCCAGGCTGGTGTGCAGTGGTACAATCTCAGCTCACTGCAACCTCTGCCTCCTGGATTCAAGTGATTCTCATGCCTCAGCCTCCCCGATAGCTGGGATTACAGGCATGCGCCACCAAACTGGGCTAATTTTTGTATTTTTAGTAGAGGCGAGGTTTCACCGTGTTGGCCAGGCTAGTCTTGAATTCCCGACTTCAAGTAATCCGCCCACCTCGGCCTCCCAAAGTTCTGGGTTTACAGGCGTGAGCTACTGCACCTGGCTGAGATTTTCTCAATGTTGCTGCTCTACCCCCAGCTTTCAGCCTTTCCTGTGTTGTAGCACCACAAAAGGGATCTATCTTCCCAAGGAATGGACTGCTATTGCTTGTTACCCAGTATTGCAAGCTCAGTTGTTTTGTTCCTGTGTGATCCTACTTCTCCTTTTCAAGGCAGCCAAACTGCCTTGCATCTTTGGCAAATCTTCTATGGGACTTCCCTGTACCTGCCCAGTAGTAGGAGACTTCTATTAGTAATGGTGTAGGATCCTGAGCCCAGGACTGTTCCTTGCTCTTCCAATAATGACAAGGTTTTGTTTTGTTTTGTTTTGTTTTCTCTTTCTCTAGCTGTAATGGGTTTTCATCTAGTCTTGGAGATATGAAGTTTCTGGTTCTTCCCCCAAGGCTAGAGGCTTTTGTTCCTTGAGAAAGCATCTAAGGAGGGCTTTGTGACTTTCCTTCAGCAACTGCACTCCCCTCCTCCAGGCCTGCACCACCAAGGAAGACTCCCTCTGGTCCCCCACCCTCACCCAGTCTTTCTCATGAGCACCAAATGGAAATCTGTGAAGACGATCTTGTAAGTGTGAACTGCTTCTCTGTCTGTGGCTCCCAGACAAACCTGTACTGTCACACTAGTTCACAGTCAGACTTCTGCAATTTGTTAGAAATTTTAGCAAATCCTTCCTACTTGTTTGATGGCAACCGGCATCTCTTCTTCCTGTGTTCTGCCGAAGGTGAGACAGAGCTTGTACCCTGTATTCTTAGAGACGCCTTGGATTTCAAGCTACCTAGTTGCCCTATGGCCTTAACTATCTGATGGGTTCAAGAAAAATTATGAGTTTGTATTTTATCTGTAGTTTTTCTTATTTCTAGGGTGGAAAAGGTGTTTTTGTTTGCTTTCTACATCCTAGGTAGAAGTAGAACTCCCATTGTATCTTTTTGTTGTTGTTTTGAGACACAGTCTCATTCTGTTGGCCAGGCTGGAGTGCAGTGGCATGATCTCAGCTCACTGCAACCTCCATCTCTCAGGTTCAAGCAATTCTGCCTCACTCTCCCAGGTAGCTGGGATTACAGGCATGTGCCACCAGGCCTGGCTAATTTTTATATTTTTAGCAGAGACGGGGTTTCACCATGTTGGCCAGGCTGGTCTCGAACTCCTGACCTCAGGTAATCTGCCCACCTCAGCCTCCCAAAGTGCTGGGATTATAGGTGTCAGCCACCGTGCCTGGCCCCCATTGTATCTTTAAAGTTATTCTAGAGATTAAAATTTTGCAGATTTTTCCCAGTAATGCATGGAAGGGTTAATAATTTTCACTATCCAAAATTTCATCTTCACATTTGGCTGAGTCATAGACCAGCTAGGAAAAGGCCAGGCAATATTGTGTCTGGCATATTGCTATGTGCACCCAAGTGCTATCATCATTTTCTTGTCCTACAAGAAGGCTTGGAGTTTCCCAGAACAGCCTCTCTTTGTGGGCAGAGGTGGCTGGCTGGCCACCAAACATTTATGCTCTCTTCTATAGTAGAATGCCATTGGGAACAGTTGGCTCTTCCATGAACTACACTTTATAGCTTGCCTTACCGTTAGCTACTGCCATGTAACTGTGTTCTAGCAAATATAAAATTGCAGAATTGATGTGAGCCACTTTCAGGCTTCCCCTGTAAAAGCCACTCACGTGGCATTCCTCCATGCTCCTTCCCTTACCACCAGGTGGATGCAAATGCCCACAGTGATGTGGGAAGTCAGGTGTTTAAGAAGACAGAGCCTCTATTGGTCCTAATCCCTAATGACTGTGCAGAATGGAACTCATACACTCCCATCCCCCAAGCCTGGAGTCAACTTGGATTATTTCATGAGCAAGACATCAACTTTGTGTTCCAGCTCTTAGAGATATTGAGGTCAATTGTCCTGGCAAATGGCCAACCCTAACTAATCTTATCCTTTCCTTCCCTAGTCAAATCACCTGGTCAACCTGCTCTGATATGAGATTTTACCAAGCTTGCCAGTTATCTGTAGGTCATTCACAAGAAACAGACTTCTACAGCCTCACCATTCATGTGTAGATGAAGTCGAGAAGCTAAAAACTAGATGAGATTCAGAAAAATATATTTTCCAAGGGTGATAAAGATTTCATCTGATGTATTGACTCCAAATTATTATTAGTGGCTGCTTGTAGTGCTGTGTTGGGAAATTGTCTGAGGCAGTGTCCAGGCTAATAGAAAAGAACACTGTGATTAATTGGCAATAACTATCATGGCAGGTGAGGTAGGGGTGATGGCATGGGTTCAAAGAACTTCGTCATCCCTGGGACTTAAGCCAAGCTCTTGGATGCATTCAGTAGGCTGTTCCTAGAAATAGTACCCAGATTTGTAAATCTCAAGTAAGAGGCACTTACCATTAAGGCAATATCCTTACCATGGCTGTTACTTATATAAGTTGGTATGATTTATTGGCAGCCTTAATCGGCTAAGTTATAAATGAAATTTAGACATCCCTCTGCCTAGATTCTGCTTGTTTAGTTTAGAAATCAGGTATTTTCAGGACTCAAAATTTCTAGTAAAACATTTTTGAAGGCACACATACTGCTTCCATCTGAGCAGTGGCAAAGCAGATGATTTTAATTGTTGGGATTGTGATCTAGTGTCTTGAAGTCTATTCTGATGAACCGATGAACTCCTTACTAGCTTATAGACTGGTCTGGCAAATAGAAAGAAACAAAGAATAGGAAACAGTCCTGATATAGATAAACTTTTGGTGGTTAAAAAGCAGACAGACCCCTTCTTTCTGCTGTGGGAATTAGAGTTTACTTACAGTGGCTCTCAAGTGCCTGGATTTCTTAAGCTACATGTTCTTAGTTATTATACTATTCTTTTGATGACAAAGGATGAAGTTCAGATACACACACCTAAGTCCAAATCACACTGCATCCAAACAAAATCTTAGCTTAATCTTTTTCACAAACACATTAGAGATTTTTTATTTTCACAGGACATGGGAAAGAGTAATATATTTTGAACACAAAATAAAATGGAGAAGTTAGCCAAGAAGTTCATGTAATTTCTAATCTTGAGGAAACAGACACATCCAAATTGAAGGATATTCTGTAAAATGACTGTTCCAGAGTCTTTTAAAAATGTCAATGTCATGAAAGAATTTTTAAAAATGGTTGAGGGATTGTTTTAGATCAAAAAAAACTAAAGAGGCACAACAACTAAATGCAATGCTCAATCCTCCATTGAGTCCTGGATAACACAAGCCAAAGAGATAGTTTTAAATCTTTTGGAGAAATTTGAATATAAACTTTATATCAGTGTTAAATGTCTTGAGTGTGAAAATCATAGAAGAGTTTCCTTCTACAATTTTAGATAGGTGTTGTAGTACTTAGAGCATGGTATCAAAATGTCTGCACTTACTCTCAAAGGATGAGCATTACACTTAAAGAGATGTGGCAACTGTGGTCACTGTTGGAGAATCTAGATGAAGGCTATACAAGCATTTATTGTTCTGGCCTTACAACTTTCCTGTAGGTTTAAACATTTTCACATTGAAAAGCTGGGAAGAAAAGTTTTTCTACTTGATGGTATATCCTAAGAATTTCCTGTAATATTATATTATATCCTAACCACTCATAATGACTACTTTTAATAACACCATGGTATTCTTTTGAGGGAATATGTATTCTCTTTAATGATTCCACAATTTAGATTCCTAATAAATAATACTTCAATGTGCATCTCTGTATGTATTTTGTAGATTCTAATCTTGGCATAAATTTCCACAGGTAGGTTGCTGGATCAAATGGCCATTTATGGAGAATTTGAAACATTCTGCTGTGATCTATTTTTTTTTAAGCTGGTAAGTGAGATGGCAGGATCTTAATAAAAGTGAGTCATTTCAAACAGTTATATTTCTGTGAGCCTGAATATTTTTAGATTGCTGACACCCCTTTTTCCTCACTCATCTGCCAACCTCCCCAATAGCCGTGGGACCTTGGTTCTGTCTTTGCTGCCATTGATTCCTATAGATGAGATTTTTCAGACTCAGATACTGGGCACCAAGAGGCCAATGAGAGTAGGAGGAAGTTGTTAAGCTTTTCAATATTTCATCAAACAAAATTCATACATTTCTCACACTGAAGCTCACATAAGTGAGTTTAGACATGGAGTCTGGCTCTGGTTCAGCTTTGATAGGTAGGGCTGTAACCTCAGACAGCAGCTCAAATGCAACCTGAGACCCTGAGCCAGAACCACCCCATGAAGCTGCACCCAGGTTCCTGACCTGCAGAGACTGTGTGAGAGAATGAATGTTTGTTGTTTTTAGCTGTCAAGCTTTAGAGTACTTTTTTAATGCGCGATAGATAACCAATACAGATTCTGGAAGTGAGATGTGGCCATAACAAAACATAAAATGTGAATAAAAGACTTGAATACCTACTTCATAAAAGGAGATATGTGAATAATAGGCATATAAAAAGGAGTGCATTAGTCAGCAGAAAAATGCATATTGAAAGCACAATGCAATGCCACTACACACCTACCAGAAAGGCTCCAAGTGTTGGTGAGGATGCAGAATACCTGGAACTCATATATTGCTGACGGGAGTATAAAATGGTGTAAACGAATACAGTTAACCTAAACCTAAGCCAGTTGACCCAGAAAATACACTGCTAGGTTTATACCAAGAGAAATGATTGCATGCAACCAAAATAAGAGGAACACATAAATGTTCCTAGCGGCTTCATTTATTATAGGCCTAAACTGCAAATAACTCAAATATTCAGCAGAAGAATGGATAAATAATTTGTGATATATCCAGGCAATGGAATACTACTCAGCAATAATAATAATTGAAGTATACATACAGCAACCTGGATGAACCTCACAAGCACTATTTTGAGCAAAAGCATGCTATGTAGTTTCATTTATATGCCATTAAGGAACAGGTTAAAACAAATTTATGATGATAAAAGAGAGAGTACTGGTTGCCTCAGGATTGGTAAGTTGTATTGACTGGAAGGTAGCAGGAGTGAACTCTCTGGGGTGATGGAAATGTTCAACATTTGATCTGGATAGTGATCACGTGGTTTTATGTATCTAAAAAATTCACAAAATAGTCACCCATTTTGTTCATTTTACTACTATATAAATTACATGTCAAGAAGATAATGTCGAAAAGATCCAAAGGCCTTTCTGGCCCTAGAGAACATGTCTTTGGCCCCTCCTCTGACTTCTCCTCTGAGCACTCTTCCCCTTATTCACTCCCCAAACACCCTGGTCACCTTCCTGCTCCTCCAACACACCAAGCATACTGCCACCTCGGGGCCTTTGCACTGGCTCCTCCCTTGTCAGCACTCCCTGTCCTCAAATATCCCTGCAGATATCATCCTTCGCTTTATTCAGGTCTACCTATCATTGTCACAGTTCTCTAGAGACAGAGCCCTGGGCAAAGGTTAAGTCTTAGAGGGTTACTTGGGAGGTACAATCCCACACAGCTGGCTGCTCGATATGTTAGTTTCTAGAGCAGCTGTAATAACACACCACACACTGTTGTCACTCAGAACAACAGAAATGTGTTGTGTCACAGTTCTGGATGCTAGAAGTCTGAAGTAAAGGTATGGTGAGGCCATGCTCCCTCTGAAACCTGTAGGGGAGGCTCCTTCCCTGCCTCTTCTAGCCTTGGTGTTTGCAGCTCTCTGTGGCGTTGCCTAGCATTTAGATAAATTGCTCCAATCTCTGCCTCCATTGTCACCTCACCATCTTCCCCTGATGTGTCTCTGTCTTTCTCCTTCTAAGGACAAGAGATTGGATTAGGCCCCTACCCCCTTAATGACTTCATCTTAACTTGATTGCATCAGCAAAGACCCTGTTTCCAAATACTATAAAGCCACATTCACAGTTACTGGGGGTTAGGACTTCGACATATCTTTCTGAGGAACATAGTTCAACCCATAACACTCAGTCGGCGCACAGGCTTGGCCACACACAGCAGGCTGTGTGGAGAAATTGTGCACCAGACGGGGCAGGGGGAAAGGGTGAGGCAGTTCAGCTGCCCAGTATCCTCCAATCTCCTGTTTCCTGTCTCCCACTGGTGCAAAGTCCATTCAGGGGGAATGAAATCCTCTTCCTTTCCGAGTTGCATCATTCAGCCCCATTGGCAGTTGCTCAGGAAACAAGGTCCTGCAGTTTGGCATTTCAGCTGAGTTTGGACGTGGGGAGAGAAGCCAGATATTCTAGGCCTGTGGCTGGTGAGCCTCAGGCGGGAAAACCACAGGGGCCTTTGGTGGCTGCAGGGAGCAAGTGGCCGAGGAAGGAACAGGTGGTGCTGAGACAGGCCCCAGGTTCTGCCCAAATGTCATCTGACCAGAGAGGCCTTCTCTGACTACTTCATACCAGATAGATGCTCCTTCCCTGTCTCTGCATTTCCTTGTTTTGCTTAATCATTCTTCGCATCAATTATTGCCAGTTGACATATTATATATTTATGTGTTTATTTGCAATGTCTCATTTTACTCACTACCACGGTGTTCCCTGCAAGTAGGAAATTTATCTGCTCGTCCTTTGCCCTTTCTTCAGTGCCTATCACAGTGCCTGGCACATTGTAGGTGCTCAGTAAATATTGAGTTTCAATAACTCGAGAAATCAATGGATATAAAGAAATGAAAAAGACTTGGTCTCTGCAGTCTGTTAGGGAGTAGCTGAGTGGGTGGCAGTGGGGTTCTCTTAGGTCCAGACAGGCCTGTCCTAAGCAGGTCAGGCCCCAGGTGCAGCTGCAAGCAGAGCTCCATTTCCAGGGTTTGAATTCTGCAGCTCCCTGAGGTGGCCAGGGGCTGCCAGGATCACAGCTGCAAAGCCTCTGGGTCATCAGGCAGAGGAAAGAGCAGACAGAGGGAACTCTTCTCATCTGGACTTGGAGGGTCGACCTTGCCCAGAGGGGAGGGTATTGCTTCCTGCAGAGCCACGGGTGGGGAGAAAGAATCCTGTCTTCCCAGGTTGACCTCTTCTAAGCTTCCTGAGTTATCTTCTATCTCTAGAACCAAACTAGTACTTTTAGTCCCAAAATGCCAATAAATATATCTTCTTTACTAGCTGTGGCACTATCATATTTTTAAGGTGAAAGTTAGTGTCACCTAAGCGAAAGAGCTCAGCTCCTTATTATTTATTGCCCAGTCAAGATTTAATGTGTCTCACTTTAAATGACAATTCTCCATTTTACTTCCTTCAAGTCAACATGCTCTTGGTTCAATATAATCAATATGATTTTTAGTCACATTCTCTCTTTCCTGTGCTATTTTCTCTGTGGAATTCACTATATAAAGTCATCCATTTATTGAAATATGTAGGAGACCATATTGGATTACTGATGAAAAGGAAATTGTAACAAACACTGGGTGACCATAATTCATTCAAAATTCGTTTGTGGTAATTTTCTCTATTAGTGTGAAAAATGAGTATAACACAGGTAGAGATTTTCCGAGTTGAATAATGTACTCTGTGTCTTTCGTACAATAATAAAAAGCAATGGCAGCTTGTTATTTCACCAAAATAAATATACTCCACCACTAGAAAATAAGCCTAAGACTAAAGCTGTGACATGGTGACATTTTCCTCACTGCAAATTATGTACCAAAGTTAATTACTGCAACTTTACCAACTGAGCTTGAGAAAGTGGCATATGTAACCCTCTCCCTTTGTTTTGGTGAGAAAGTGCAGGCTTCGTTTTGGTGAGGAAGACTGTGGCATAGGTGGAGTGCTGAACCCACTTTGGACCTGAGTGATTTGTGGATTGCTGACTTTCACCATTCTGGCTTTGTGAGGAATTGTCCCTTCTGGGAAGGGGGCGAGGTGGAGCGTTCAAGCTCTTTCCTAGCCTATTGCCTCCCAGGAGGCAGGGAGTTCGTATGTTACGGGAACTAACACTAATAACTACCATTTTCTTTATAGAGGTCAGTATGCTTCTCAACCAGATGCAATTACTTCCAGGACAAAAGATTTTTCTTTTCCCTTAAGACTTGCTTGCATTAATAACTAAGTCACAAATTTTAACTCTGAACGTTTTTTAAATTAAGAGAGTTCATTTTAACTTTGCCTCCTGACTGGATAATTTACCTTTCTGTAAAACGAGGAACTATAACTGCCCTTACCTATGAAGTTACCTGAAGAGCACAGGGAGTACAAAACAGAACTTTACCTTAGTCTTTTACAAAGCTGGAGATTGGAAGATAGTCACTAGACAAGTTCAAACCATTTTTTTTCTTGCGCTTATATTTAGTTGTTTGCCTTAATTCTAGTGCCCTGAAGTTGGATATATCTAAAGTACAGTTAAAACTAAATAGCTAATTCCTTTCTAATTTAATTTACTTTTACATGCCATAATGATAGAAATACAAAACCAAAACAAAAGAAAAACTCTGCTTCTAAAAGTCACAAAGAAATGTAATAATACTGTCGATCCAAAAGAAAGGAACTGAGGCAGAGTTAATATAAGTAGGAGTTTATTTGGGCCGGGAGTTTGAAGATTGCAGCCCAGGAGCATAGATGCATGCTGCCCTGAATAGACCCTCTGATTAGTAGCAGTTACAGGTGGACTTTTATTTATCTTTTTTTTTTCTTTTCCTTTTTTCCTTTTTAAACAGGGTCTCACTTTGTCACCCAGGCTGCAGTGCAGTGGTGCAATCTCAGCTTACTGCAGCCTCAACCTCCCAGGTTCAAGTGATCTTCCCACCTTAGCCCCGCCAAGTAGCTGGGACTATAGGCGAGTGCCACCATGCCTGGCTGATTTTTGTATTTTTTGCAGACATGGGGTTTCGCCATGTTGCCCAGGCTGGTCTTGAACTCCTGGCCTCAAGCGACCCACCTGCCTTGGCCTCCCTAAGTGCTGGGATTACAGGAGTGAGCCACTGCAAAGGGCCTACAGGCAGACTTTTAAAGGTAAGAAAGGAAAACAGTGAGTGGGCTGATACAAAGTTGTTTGTCAGGAATTCTCATTGGTTTACAGACTTAACACTGATTAGTGATTGGCTATGCGTTGGTAAGCTATAGGGTGTGGGTTATAGTGTCTGGTGTGGCATTATTAGGTTAATTTATAGCTACTGTGACAATAGCTAAGCAGTTGCAGGAGATAAATACATAGCTCAGAGTGGGTAATAGGGCACAACTGTGATCTCATTTTAATGCCTCTCTGGGCCTAACAATTCGTAAGGGCTCACAATCCTCAGATGAAAGTTCTTTTCTTTCCTCAATACTTAATTTAGTACTGAAAATATTGAGGTCCTAAATGTGGGTCATTTGTGACTTTTGCTTTAGCAGTAAAGTCTAAAAAAAAGTGTTATCGTAAATAAAATTTTAGCCACTTTCCTGTCTCCCCTTATTATCGCTTTAAGATCTTAATCCAAATATATTCCCCTAAATGGACAAATCACAGTTTTAAAACAAACCACAACCTTTTTATTGTTACCCACAAATTGGGACTCTCCTGATCAGATATTTTTAATTACGCATTTCTTTTTTAGAAAGCTCAGGAGACTGTAAGAGCTGTACTTCCCTAATGAGTATGGTATTCCTCCCAAGTCCCAGGCGAATCACTTTGCGTAGAAAAGGCAATTGTCTTGGTTGAGTAGGAATTAATGTTGAAGGTGTGGAAGGAAGTTGACTTGATTCAGTTTTCACTAGCCCAAGTCACAGATGTTAAATTGCAAGTTTCACGTCAGGCACCAAAATAGAATAGCTATGAAATTCCAAAGTGAGATGCCAAGATGCAAACTTTCAATCAAAATACTAAAGACCAGTTTCATGGGTCTAAAACTTCTCACCTGAAGGGGGAAATAGTGCCTACGAAGGAGAAATTAAAGGAAGATTTTGTGAGGAGTTGTAATGGTTAATTTTATGTGTCACCTTGAGTGGACCAACGGGTCCCCAGATTAAACACTGTTTCTTTGTGTGTTTGTGAGGGTTTTTCTGGATGTGATCAGCATTTCAATCAGTGGACTCAGTAGATTGCCCTCCTCAAGGAGGCAGCATCCCATTAGTTGGGGGGCCTGAACAGAACAAAAAGAGAAATTTGCCCCTTTTTTCCTGCCTTACTGCTAGCATGGGGACATCTCGTCTTCTGCTCTTGGATTGGGATTTTTAGCAGCTTCCTTAGTTTTCAGGCTTTTGGATTCAGACTGAATTACACCGCTTTCTTGGGTTTCCATCTTGCAGATGGCATATGGTAGGACTTCTCAGCTTCCATAATTGTGGGAGCCAATTCCTCATAATAAGTCTCCTTTTATAGATACAGATATAGACATAGTTACAGATATATAATCCATTGGTTCTATTTCTCTGGAGAACCATGACTAAAACAGGAGTATTTTCTTGTTTTAGTCATGGAAAGTCTTGAAAAGTAATATTTCTCATACTATTTTTTCCTCTCCATGTGGGCCACTCAGAGAACCTGTAAGTTGGGAGCATAGGGGATTGTTGTCTGACTCCAGCCCTGGAAACCTACAGATCAGGAGAGAGGGATTGGTGAGCCTCTTTGGCGAGTGAAGAGGCTGCACGGTTGGTAGGATTGGTCTGCACTCTGAGTTTATTAGAGCAAAATAGGTGTTGAGTGTCCCTATGGACCAAATGTGGGACACACAGAAGAGAACGATCCTGGAGCCCCTTTAAATCCTGCTCAAGAAGACAGCTGGGGTGTGGGTGGAAGATAAATTGGGAGTCCTACGGAGGGAGGAAATTTGGAGGGGGACTCAGGAAATCCAGTGACACTTGCTTATGTGGGGGGCCCAGCAGCAGGGGCACCTAAGAAAAAATGAAGGCACCCACAAGATAAAGAGCAGGTTTGACATTAGCCAGGTTTGGAAAAGACAATGCCATCTTACAACTGTCCCAGTAAAGTAAGAACTTTCTTGCCCCTTCTTTTCTCTCTTCCCTTCCCTACTCTGATTCTGGAAGGGTCAAAACCAGCAGCTTTCATGGTGGTCTGGGATGAGGAAGGAAAGGAGAAGCTGACCACGTCTTCTCTCCTAAAGGCTGAGACCTGCCTGTGACCAGCTGTAGGTTGGGGAGGAGGGCAGAGTTCTTTTCTTTGAAATGAAGATTGAAATATGTAGTGATATATTGGTTTGGGCATTCTAATAGAAAGAATCTGGTACTTTCTATTACCTATAAGTGACCAAACAAGCTATATCCAGTGGCAGGGGTAGAATTGCCTTCACTGAGCAAGTTTAAAAGGACAGTGAGATAAAACATTAAAATTGCTTTTATGATTTCACCGAAGGAATACTGCGTCTTCATTGAATTGGTTATATCACCAGCAGGAGTGATAGATGTGTTTTTATAACCTACCTTCCAATGAGGTACCTAAAACATGGTGAATCAGATTTTTCCCCATATACGGATATGAGTGAATGCCCAATCTATGATAGAATTTCCTGGAGAATTTCTATGGGTTTCTCAGGAGACCCATCCCTCATATCCTTTATAGCCAAAACTTGCAATTTATAGATGTCGAAGCCCTTTAGCATAAGTGATCTCGACAGCTTATCACCACCAGGTCCCTGTGAAATGCAGAGAGCACCTAGTATTATTTGCACTATATGGAGAATAATAGCTAAGAGTTATTGAACACTCACTATGTGCTTGGCACTTATGCTAAATATCTTACAAATACCAAATTCATGTATAATACTATTAATTTCTCCACTCTACAGATGATGAAACGGAGTCTTAGGCTAAGTAGTTAATTTAAGGCCAAACATTTAGTAGAAGATATGGCTGCAATTTGAACTTGGCTGCCTGCCTTCAAATTCCTAACTTTGAACCTCTGCTCAGATGAACAAAATGGAAATCAGACATTTTAGCAACTCATTCGAGGATCTACATAGCATTAACAGATATTGGTCTTGTCTCATCCTTGTCTCATGGAGATCTTCAGTAGAGATCTTAGTTCTCTAGTAGAGAAAGAATTCACTAAACTATAGGAAGGAGATTAAACAGATAATACCTTTTCCAAGTGAAAAAACAAGTCTCAAAAGATAGTGTAAGTAAATTATAACTGTACACTAGAATATTTGGTGGCCAGGAAAAAATGTTTAAGGATTTTTTAAGGAAAGTAAAGCATTTTTCCATTCCAATAGAAAAAGTAGCCTATAAACTATTAATGCTTTCAAGTCTGTTTGAATACATGTATCTATACACATACATATATGCACACATATACATACACATAGCTAGTTATATGTATGTGTTTGTGGGTACATGTATGATCATATCACTTCTAATTTTTAATTTTTTTTTAATTTTTGTAGAGATGGGGGGGGTCTCACTATGTTGCCCTGGCTGGTCTTGAACTCCTGGCCTCAAGCAATCCTCCTGCCTTGTCCTCCGAAATTGTTGGGACTACAGATGTGAGCCACTGTGCTTGGCCTTGATTGTATCTTTTCATAATAGAAAAGTTTAGAATTAAATGCACTAAAATATTAACAGTATTACCTCTATGTTATGGAATTATGGGTAATTTTTACTTTTTCTCCTATATTTTTCTCTGTTTCCCCCCAAAAGATCAATCATATTATTTTTCCTCTCCATATAGGTTTATTAATATTTTATTTACTTAACATTTTTATTGAGATAATTTGCATACTGTAAAATTCACTCATTTTAACTATACCATTTGATGATTGTTATTAAATTTATAGAGTTGTGTATCCATCACCACAGTTCAATTTTAGATCATTTCTAGAAGATTTCTCAGGCCCATCTGCAGTCATCCCTTATTCCCACCTCCCAGCCTTAGGCAATCCCTAATCTATTTTCCATCTCTATAGATTCGCTTTTTCTGGAAGTTTCACATAAATAGGATCATACAACATATGCTCTTTTGGGACTGACATATATTGTGTTCTTTTAAAGAGAGGGAAATGAATAAATATTCTTTGGTTCTTTGCCTTTCCCATCCAATCCAAGCAAAAGCCTGTTTTCTTCCTCTTAATACTATAATAACTAATTATCAACAGAGTTTCCTTTACTCCTGTAGTTCTTGACCAGCAATCAAATCCCTTTCAGATCACAAGATAATCTATAGGACAGTAAAGCTATTCCTGATGTTTTAAGGATCTCTGTTTTTTAATTCCTCACACATTTCTCTATTTTTACATTAAAAAACTGATTTATAACTATTTTGTTCTTACCCTCTGGACAGTCATTGTAGACATGCCCTATACTCCCATTCTATTGGCAGAAACAGGGACACCATCACTGATGTGGAAGGGTTTGGAATCAGACAGACCCAAATTCCACTCCGGGGCCCCATCTCCTGTAGCTGGGTTATGGACCCTTCCTGAGTTCAGTGTCTTAGTGAGTATCTTGGAGTTACTTGTACCTACCTCCAGGGCTGGATGAAGACATGAGCATGCTCTGGACAAGCTAGTGATTGTTGGTTCTCCTTCGAAAGGATGTTCTTTAAATAAGTCTTCAACTTCTCTTTAGAGAAGAGGCAGGGCCCCCACACAGCAAAACAAAGGCCTTGCAGTTCATCAGAGCTACACTCCTTAAAATGCACTGTGGACTCCTCGAGGGTCTCACTCTCACTCCCAGCAGCTCATCAGTGTCTTCCTTCCAATCCAATTAACACTCTCCCTGAAAGTACTGATACATATCATTTTCAATATTTCACTACATTTTCAAGGATATTTATTGCTGTTTGTGGAGTAGTGTCTTTCTGGCTCTGCCTCATAGAGTGTTCTGAAGATTAAATGGGATCACACATGTAAGGAGTACTGCACAGGGTCTAACACTCAGTGGATGTTCAATAAATGGCGACTATTATTAGTATCATAACCAAAGCTATGGCAACTCTGAGCCTCTGTGTGATGACAGGTGATGTGCAGCTCCTTTCTCCTCTAGCTCCTTACCTGGAAACCTTCTTTGCAGAAAGGCATTTTCAGAAAGCTTTTGGTGACCTTGAAACATTCTCAGGTGCTCTCTGATGTCTTTATAAATGAAACTTAATATATATAGGAGATACAGTTCCTCCTTCATACCTGTATAGTAAAAAAGCCACAACATAAATACCTTTGGTTAATCTTTCTATAGTATATTATTTTAAATATTAGCATAAACATGATAGAAATTAACAGAATGAAGGTTAACTGGGGGAAAAGCCCTGAGCAGGGAGGGAGGAGTTGCTGTGGGAACACTGTGGCAGGTCTGAAACTAGATCCTGGCTATCCAGCAGAGGGAAATGGCACATATTTGGAGGCTTTTATATCATGGTAATAATTGTTTTATTAGGATCAAAGCATCCCAGAAAGCACTTGCTCTTTCCTTCTCTCCAGTCCCCCTGACTCTCCCCTGAGCAGGGTTGGATAGGAGGTTTGGTGGGGGGAGGAGGCAGGGAACAGTAGAAGAAAGCAATGCTATGTCCCTTTCCCCCATTGTCTGGCCCCAAATGTAGTGCCATAAATATCAAAACAGTGCTTGGTAATAGTCCAAAACATTTAACTTGTCCGCAAATTCCTAAACAACCATTGGCGTGTAATTTGGTTCTTGGCAGAGTGTAACTGAATAACTTGTAGACATGACATTTGTGTGAACATCTACAAGAGACAGGCCGTTATCACCACCCATTCAACACTCCAGCCAGAGGAAGAACAGCAAGGGGGCCAGCCATACAAGTTCACCTGCGCGTCCGGGGTCTCGGTTCTGCTGTGGCCCGGCTACTCCCCATTCTCAACTGTGTTTTCTTCACCATGCAGGTGATGGAAGCCCAGGCAGGCCCAGGGTTCAAGGCCAGTGACTTCAGCCTGTCACCCCCTCAGACCACATCGGGCCCACCGGCCTCCTCCCTCCCTGCCCCTCAGCCCTGCCCGCACTGCCCCCCATTGCGCCCAGCCCTTCCTCACCCCGCAGGAGAAGCTGGCCTCTCATTCCTCACTGAGAGACTCGACGGGCGTCCCCACGCCAAGCCTTCCTCGCCCTCCCCTCCAGCCTTTTCTGAAGGGGAGACAGCAAAGGTGAGCAAGCAACCGCCGGCAAGTTTCGACAGCTGCTGAGGAAGACTCATGGGTTTCTAAGGAAACAGAGAGGCAGCAGCCATTTTAGTAGCATTTGCTGTATGAAAAATATATAGACACTGGCAGCCCTCTCCCCACTCTGCCTTGGCGCCTGCCCTCCCGCCCCGCCTCAGAGGCCCCGGGGTGAGGGTGGGGCCCCAGTCTCCGAGGGACGCAGCGGACACCTGTCGCAGGTGGCCGGCCACCGGGGTCGCCACCCCCAGTGTCCCCCAGCAGCGGGACCGCGGGGTCCCCACCCCGGGGCGGAATCCCCACCCACGGGCGCCGCAGTGCAGCGGCGGGCGGGCGGGCGACTCGGCCCTCCCCGCACCCGCGTCCCGCCCCCCGGGTCCCCTCCCTCTCCCCACCGCCCCAGGCCGCGGGAGCCCGCGGGGAGGGCGGGCCTGTCGCAGCCGCGCTGGTCGCCAGGCGTCCGGGAGGAGCGGGGTCCGCGCGGCGGACGAGGCGGGGGCGGAGGCGCAGGCAGAGCGAGCGCGGGAGGTCGCCGCAGCCAGGGACACCGCGCGCCGCCGCTCAACATGGTCGCTGCGCACGCTGCCCATTCTTCCTCCTCTGCCGAGTGGATCGCCTGCCTGGATAAAAGGTAGCTCGCCGGGGGCCGCAGCCGGGGGCCGAGCTCTGCGGTGCTGCCCGGGCCCTGAGACCGCCGCAGCTCCGCACCTGGGCGCAGCGCGGCCGGGCTGCGGGTGGCCGGGGTCCCCGAGCGGGGGAAGGGGTTGAGGTCCTCGTCCGGGAGACAGGAGGACAAGGATCCCCGCCTCTCGTGGGGTGCCAGCGGCATGAGATTATTACACGTGGTGGAGAAAATGCAGCGCAGTAAGGGGAGAGAGCACCCACCTCTCCAACCCCCTGCCCTGCCGCGACTCCAGGCTCCGCTCCTGGGTGGGGGTTTATTTTCTCTTGGCATCACGGGACAGAAGAATCGATGCATACCCTTTCCGGCTATTCAGACCTTGCGGGGTATGAAGTTTTAAAGAGGGGTGGGGGCACCGGCAGGTGCAGAGTAACATTCTTTTTTTGTTCTTGAAAGCAAAGTGTGAGGGACCCGGTGGAGCTGTCGAATCCCTTGCTGAAATTCACAGCTCTCTGCCCCCGCAGTCGCTCGCTCAAGGTCTGTGTTAGAGAAGGTCATTTGGGAGGCTGCTTTCGTCTTAATACCTGCTTCTCGGGAAAAGATCTTTACGCTAAAAATAATTAAAACCATAAAGCATGTAACTCCCGACGACAGCTCTCTCTAAGGAGGATGTGTGTGTTAACAGTGGATTGCAGTTGTTTCCAGGCTGTGACAGCATAATTTTCTGTTTGTCCAGATTGCAGGTTTAAACGTTACACAGTATGTTAGCAATTATAGCTTATTACCCTGATTAAAAGGTGATGCATCTGAACTTTTAAGAACTGAGCAAGAAATCTTGCAGAGTGAACTGCCTCTGAATTTCGGAGTTTGATGCAGAAGGGCAATGATGCACGTCTTGCAGCTATCTGCATGACATCTCTATTTGCATTTGTGTGAAATATTTTGTGCTCTGCCATATTGAAAAATTTTCAATTAACAGATTCGTAACCAGATCAAACTTGAAAATCTTAAGTGTGACGTGCTTTGCATACTCTATTATAGGCCTTTGTTGAAAAATATTAAGTAATTTGAGAAAAGCTAAATGTAGCTCATTTGAAAAGCTTAATATATCTGAGAAATAATCTTGACTTTCAATTACCACTCAGTAGCAAGATTTTTTGGCAGGTAGTGCCCTATTTATGTCTAAAATGATATGTACTAATATTAAAAGAGTTGCATGCAATAAATAGTAAGAGAATTAAAGTAATAGTTAAATCACACAGGATTATGTAGAAGAACTAAGAGTATTTAAAGTATAGAGGTTGTTAATGTGATAAGTATCTACATTTAATAGTTCAGGAAAAAGGAATTATATGGGATTCAGGATCTTGCACTTAACCTATAAATAGTAGTGCTTCCTTATGAGCAAAATTTTTAGATAATAACATATTTCTATGTGTAGAAATGCATGGCATGGCATTTTTTGAACAGTCGGTAATTCACTGGAAACCCGTTAGTCAATAAGAAGTACTTATGGCAAAATCATAGAGCAATACTAACACAAGTGGGACATATTCGACTCTCTCTTTTCATAATGTGTATCTGCCTAAATGATTTTGCTTGAAATGGATTTTTTAGAGCATGGTGCCCCCATTTAATGCCACCATTCATAATGGGAAAAAAATCTAGGAAAAAAAAAAAAACCCTTCACAGATACTGAGCCTAGCATCAGAAGAGTCAGATGAGTGGATAGATCAATAAGTTAAGGGTTTTAGGCACAGAGCTGTTACCAGTTCTGATATTGGACATGTCACTTTTACTTCCTTGAGTGTCTGAAAAATGAGGATAGGACTATCAGGGATAAGTGGACAAATGGAAGGAGAAAAAAAAGGTGAAATAGTTTGAAAACTGTGAGTGCCATGTAGGCTTTTTGTTTTGTGGTATTAAAAGAACTTTGCATGTTCTGCAGTGTTCATGCCAGAATTAATTCCAATGAGGAACAGTTTAGGGCAGCAATCTCATTGTATGAAGGCCATGGGGGGACTTGTTTTGAAGTTGTGTTTTTACTTAGATTGTTTATTTATTTATTTTTTTTAGGAAAGGAGAAAGGTTGAGAGTGTTTATGGAAGTTGGCTAGGGAAGCCCCCTGAAACACCTGTTTAGTGGAGACACTGCCCTCAATGTTTCTGAGAAATGCTGTCTTGATCCTCTTTTCCAGGCACTGTGAAATGCTATCTTGATCCTCTTTTAAATGCTATCTTGATCTTCTTTTCCAGGCACTGTGCTGGGCACTGGGGATGCAACAAAATATGAGAGTTGCTTGTAGGCTTAGAGGGTAGGGGAGATTGGTGGTGGGACGGCTCTATAAACAGCTAACCACAATGCAATAGTAAGTGCTTTAATGGAGATGTATAAAGTGCTTTGGGAATGCAGATGAGAGAGTTATCGAGATACTTCCATAGGTGTCCTGCCTAGAACTCAGAGGCTGAGAACAATTTTACCAGGCACAGAATAGGGAGGGCATGCCAGGGAGTGGTGTGGCATATGAATATGCTAATTTCTTCCCAACCACAAATTCCTCTTGTGACCAAATCTAGAGTATAGGAATGTATGCTCTATTTTTATAAAATCTTTTTTATTATGGACATTTTCAACCCTGCACAAAAGAGAAAGTACAATGAACCCATGTGGGTTCACTTGGGAATATGATGCTGGGACCTTTCAACTGGGAAAAGGACGTAACTGGGAAACACAGTTCAAATATATGCCTCATTCAAGTGACAACTGTTGTGGATGGTGAAAAAAAGAGAAACCCTGGGACTGGAAATAAAAAGAGAGTTAAAAGAGAAAGTCTGCAGTAGTAAAGAAGTATACAATGAAATTTGAAGTGAAACAAAACACAAGGAAAATAGAGCCTTAAAGTGTTTGTTAGGAATGCCTAGAAAGCTATCATAGACAGGACAATATTTGCAAGTGGGGAAGGGTGTTGCAAGTGTTGTAGATATGTAGATTAGATTAAAGAAACAAAATCTATAGCTTTTTATGTATCAATCATCCACCATCTTGGACTATGGTGGGACTGAGGAGATGAGGGTCTACAAATACTAATCTTAAAACCAGAAAGACAGGACATTGAACATTTGGATGGATAAACCAACATTGAAAAAAGTCTCAGCAGATGTATTGTTAGAGTAAAACAAGCTCACCACTATCTCAGGGATCTTACCATTTTTTTCTGAGGGGATGGCAACTAGGAACAAATTACATAGTTCCCACTATTTGGGACTTAAGATAGGTAAAATGTCCTTTCTTTTTTTTTTTTAAGTGTGCTGACCATTGTTTAAGTTTTTTTGTTTTTGTTTTTGTTTTTTGAGATGGAGTCTCACTCTGTCACCCAGGCTGGAGTGCAACGGTGTGATCTTGACTCACTGCAACCTCCCCCTCCTGGTTTCAAGTAATTCTCGTGTCTCAGCCTCCCGAGTAGCTGGGATTACAGGCACACACCACCATGCCTGCCTAATTTTTGTATTTTTATAGAGACAGGGTTTCACCATGTTGGCCAGGCTGGTCTTGGACTCCTGACCTCAGCTGATCCGCTCGCCTTGGCCTCCCAAAGTGCTGGGAATACAGGTGTGAGCCACCACACCCGGCCCATTGTTTAATTTTAATGAAAATATTTTTCCCGTAAGATTTTAAATTTGCCAACTGTGAACTTCAGATCCACTTATAAGTCCTAGTTCTCAGGGTTGGTAAAGGAGTATTATGAAGGGACAGGGACCATACACATTCATGTAGTATAGCGACTCATTGCTGGCATTCATCATGATGGGACAGGCATTGACAAGCTATGGCCTGTGGGCCAGATCTGACAGCTTGCCCGTATGTCTCGTGGGCTAAGAATGGTTTTCACATTCCTGAATGGTTGGAAATAAATCAAAAGAAGATCAGTATTTTGTGACCCATGAAATTTAGATGAAATTCAAATTTCAGTGTCTATAAACAAAGTTTTATTGGAACATAGCCATGCTCATTTGGTTACATATTGTCTACAGCTGCTTTCCCGCTGCAGTGGCAGAGTTGAGTAGCTGCAATGGAGACTGTGGGCCCACAGAGCCTGAAATATTTACTATGTGGACCTTTACAGAAAAAGTTTGCCATCTTTTGTTATAGATGAAAGAACCTATCTAAGTGATTGACAGTGAAACCACTGGAGATGAAAGAAATCGTTTTCATTTGGAAAGGAGTTCACAGTGTTTGGTTTCTTGTTCTTTAATTAGAAGTATAGGTTGGAGAAAGGTTCTCAGTTGATTGGCTTATTTGAGGAACACTGGCCGTCACAGCCAAAGCAGATGATGAAGTTAACATGGTTATTCAAAAGGTTGTGATCTTTCAAAGGCAGCAGATGAATTTTTTTTAAGTATTCGTGTTTCAGTTTAAAAATACTCCATGGACAGTTTCCATCTGACTTGCCCCCAAATAGATGTTATTTTAGCTATTTTGATTAGGTTGAATTCGAGTGAAAGAAATCAAGAAACAAATTTGTTAAGAACCAAAATGCTTTGTAGCACACATGGTGAGAGAAGATAACTCAGATATCAAAGAAGCATCAGACATGGGTCCACCCTTGAGAAATGCAGAGGATCAAAGAAGCACACAGAGCAGAAAGGGGTCCCTGGAGGAGGCTAGTATCTACTAGCCATGTCCCAAGGGATGACATTACCCCGGTACATCCTCCAGGGCTCAGGCTGGTCTTGCAATCTCAGAATACTGACTTGTTAGCACATCAAAAATTAATGTATCTTTCAGCAACAGATACACAGGTACCAGACTCTCAGAGACTCTAAAAGCCAGAAAGACAGTTTATTAATTTGACAATAAGATCTGTCACATCAGAGAAGTGGACACTCACGTCCTTTGGCTAATGTATTCTTCCTCTAAGTAAGCCATATGGGAAATCCAATTATTCTCAGAAGTCCGTTTTCTGCATTTACAATGAGAAGCCAAGCTGCCAGGAGGTCAGGATGCTTACATCTTCTGGCCTGTACAGGAGTACATCCTCTTCCTAGAGCAACAGAGCCTGGGAATTGGATGATAATGAGAAGGCAGTTCTGGGAATCGTCCAGGACAGCGTGGCTGCCACCTTTTCCAGTCAGATCACCATTACCTGTGCTCTCACAGCACACTTTGGTCCCACTCTGTAATAACATAGCACAAGTCCGATTCCATTGTAATGGCCTGCTTACTTCTCTTTTCACATCACTTGACTTTAGTCCCTATATTTTATTCATCATTTTATCTTCAGCTTCAGTGCAGTGCCCTGACTAGAGAAGGTGCTAATGGGCCCAGGGCAAGATGGCCACAGGCATCCTTCTCCTCAGGGATGGTGGCCTCTGTAACCCAAAAAGGCCCTTGCACTGGGCCCTTTGCTGGGGAAGGGCGTGGGTGACACCATCCACATCTGCCTCTGTTGCTTCTTCTATGTTTTTTGGCTAATGTGAATACTTTTTTAAAAATGACACTGCATAGCTCTAATCTAATCTATTCTTCCTCCTTAAATCCTCACCCACCTTTGAAAAAAAAACTAACATCTTTTTATTGTGGAAAAAATCAAAATATACAAAAAGAAGAAATAGCAGTATGATTCTTAATTCTTTTTGTTTGTGTGTGTGTTTTTAGACAGGGTCACTCTGTCACCCAGGCTGGAAGGCAGTGGTTTGATCACAACTCACTGCATCCTTGACCTCCTGGGTTCAAACGATCCTCCTGCCTCAGCTTCCTGAGTAGCTGGGACCACAGATGTGTATCTCCATGCCTGGCTAATTTTAAAAATTTTTTGTAGAGATGGAGTCTCCCTATGTTGCCCAGGCTGGTCTCAAACTGCTGGGCTGAAGTGATCTTCCCACCTTGGCCTCCCAAAGTGCTGGGACTATAGGCTTAAGCCACTGTGCCCAGCCAGTATGATCTGTGCCACCCCTTCCCTGGCTCCAACATCATCAACTTACAGCCAACCTTGTTTTGTTTATACCTTCACGCGCTCCCCACTCCCCCCAGGATTATTTTCAAGCAAATCCCATGTATTTCATCTGTAAATATTTTAGTATATGTCTCTAAAAGGTAGTGACTTTTTATAAAGAAAACAATACCACACACATTAAACAACTTGACGTTAGTTCTCTAATATAATCAATTATTCAGTCAGTGTTCAAATGTCCCCATTTACCTCATAACTTTCTTTTTTGCAGTTTGTTTGTATCAAGAGCCAAATAAGTTGCATTTAGTTGATATGTCTATAGGTCTGGGTTCTCTCTTTCTCTCTTTTTCTTCCTTGTAATACATTTCTTGAAGAAACTGGGTTGTTGTTGTTTTTTTCAGTCTGAATTTTCATTGTACCTCCATGCAGTTTTTTAAAACATGTTCCTTTGTCCCCTGTATTTCCTGTAAATTAGTATTTGGGTCTAGAGTTTGACTTTTTGGTAAGAATGCATCACAGAAGTGTTATATATTTCCATAATGAGGTATATAATGTCAAGTGATCTCTTTTCATAATGTTAGCAATATATTGTTTTTAAAGTTTAATGCTTGGGAATTATCTATTTGCAATTTATTGGGAGACATTTCACTGTGGCCTCAAATACATGGGAGCACATGACATATATATTTGGAGTAATTTGAGAACAATACAACCTCATATGTAATTAGGGTTAAATTCTGTTGTGCTGATTTTACTTGCTTTAATCTATTAGGAAAGGAAAGTTTAGCCAGACCTGGACTCCCTCAGACTGGGGATACATGTAGGATTGGTGTGCTCAATCCACACCCTTGACCCTGCTGCCTGGTCTCCTGCATGCAGCCTGGGAGCTGGAAAGAGTCTTCAGAGGAAAAGTGGTGCTTAGCAAAGCAAATCCAGCCTCTTTGTCTTAGTTGGAGTTCTCTCAAATGGATTTCTGGCCCCTCCTGTGAGGTGGGACTGGCAGATACCTTTTGTTGGAATTTCCCATGAGCTTAGAAGATTTTATGGCCCTCTCATCGTAGCTGCTTATTGTCCTGCACCACCTCCTCACACCCCATGCAGCTAGTTTTTCTTCAGTCAGAATAAAATCACGTTTGTGCATCCTCAACAGTGGTCAATGAGAGTGGGTTTTTCCTCCAGTACTTTCACGTCACAGATGAGGGAGAGACTGCCCTAGGAGTACTGAGAGACTGAGGAAAGAGAAAGAGGATGGAAAGAACTGGGTGGGGAGGGAGACAGCGAGAGATCCAGCTGAACATCTGACAGAAAACAATCTGGCTGACGAGCGGAGGCGGACAATCCTGGTGTGTTGACTCAGCTGCATCCGTGTGCACCCTCTTGCTTCCCCTGCCCCAGAAGAAACACAAAGTGCTGCCACTACTCTCTTTTCTCTCCATGCCAGCTCTTTCTTGGCGCAACTATCTGTTTCCTTTGCTGTAACTGCTCAGATTCCTTAAACTCTGTATCTGTGGCTTATCTTCTAGACCAGATGTATTTTTGTCTGTTGGATATTCCCACATGAATATCCCATTAATATTTTGTGGGGCAGACATTGTTTTCCTTCACCTACCTCTGCTATAGAGGCTAGAAAAACAACATAGTTATTTTCCCAATCTTCCTTCAGGTGAGGTGTCCATGTGGCACTGTCTGGCCAATGAGACATAGCAGAAGTCTACAGGAGGCTTCCAGGGAAGCTCTTGCTTTACCCGTGTATTTGATTTCCCCTTCCTCTCTTCTTTCTGCCTGGAGTTACTACCCGAGGCCCGGGCCTGTGGCAGCCATCTTGTAATCCCAGGAGCAAGTGCCCAGAGAAACACAGAGCCCCCAGTTCTGACTTTGTCCACCTGCTGAACCCAGATCAGTAGTTACCCACCTTCAGATTTTTGTTTTGTGAAGAAAAAAGCCCTATTTCTCTAAAGCATTCTTTGTTTGGTGTTCTATCATTTGCCATCAAAATGATCTCTAACCTAACAGATTGATACTTGTCTAAAGTTGACCTCATCTTTTTTAGCCCTGCTCCCCATTTGTTTCTCCTTCTTGCTTTACTATTTTATTTATGATGTCATGACTTCCTCATTCTCAGAACTTTGAAGTTATCTGCATTTTCCCTTTCCTATGTCCTTTTCCACATCTAACCAGTCACTAATTGTCTTGACTTTTATTCCACTTTTATTTCAGGGCCTTAGCATCTGGATCTCCCCGTTTTCTGTTTCCAGTCTGGAAAACATGATATAGTCAAATCAGCTTTGTCTTAGGATCAGCCAGACCTGGATTCAAATTCTGTCACCTCTACCCTCTAGCTATGTGATCTTGGCCAAGTTATTAATCTTTTTGAATCTTTGTTTTCACATCTTCAAATGAGATTCCCAGTGCCTACAGTAATGGCTATGTTGAGGTGTGTGAGCTAATGCAAACGTTGCGTGGTCATCTCTAGAGAGAAAATGTAGTGTAGAGGTTAAAAATTTAGGAGTCAGACTGTATAGGCTCAAACCCCAGTTTTAATTTTATTGATGGTGTAATTTTGGGCAAGTTATTTGGTTCTAGTAGTTACTTTATAGATTCATTGGGATTTTCCCTGTAGACAATCTTGAATGTGAATACTGGTAGTTTTACTTATTCTTTCTGATTTTTATGTCTTCTATTATTTATTTTTCTTGCCTTATTGCATTTGCCAGGAATGCCAGGACAAAATTGAATAGAAGGGGTGAGAATGGATGCTCTTGTTTTGGTTATGATCTTATAAAAAATAGTTTGCTATTTTGCCACATTAGTTGTCTTTCATGTAGTTGTTTTTTTTTAGCAAATTCCCTTTTCTGAAATTATTGAGATGATTATATTATTTTTCTGTTTTATTCTGTAAATATAGTGAATTTACATTGTCTGAATTTCAAATGTTAAGCCAACCTTGCCTTCCTAGAATAGATACTACTTTGTCAACATGCATTATACTTTTTATATATTACTTTATTCAACTTACTAATATTTCATTAATGCTACTTTCATGTCAATTCATGAGGGATATTAGCCTATAACTTTCTTTTCTTATTTTAGTATCAGGATTATTCTGGCTTAATCAAGTGAATTAAGAAACATTTCCTTTTTTCCTATTTTTTCCCTCTATTTTTAAATGAACTTATATAAGATCAATGCTATTTATTTTACAAATGTCTTATAGATGTCATCTGGGCCAGGAGTTTTCTATATGAAAAGCTTTTTAATGACAAATTCAAACTGTAATAGAGGACTGTTCAGATTTTCTTTTCATGTCAGTTTTTATAGTTATTTCAAGGAGTTTGTCCATTTCATCTAAGTTATCAAATTTATTGACATAGAGTTGTTCATAGTATTCCTTATAATCCTTTTAATGCCATTAGGATATGTAGTGTTGTTCTGTCCTTTGTATCCCATATTGGTAATTTGTGTCTTTTTTTTTTAATTCATTCTTACTAGGAGCTTCCCAATTTTGTTAATATTTTAAAAGAAACAACTTTTAGTTGATTTACTGTTTTCTTTGAGAAATTTATTGATTTTTGCTCATTTTTTTTTCCTTTTTTCTCCTTACTTTGGGTTTAACTTATTCTTCTTTTTCTGGCTTCTTAAAGTGGAAACTTAGTTGGTTAATTTTAACCTTTCTTCTTTACTAATATAAGCATTTCAGCTTCAATTTCTCATTTTCAACACAAGGAAGCACAGGTATTTTTTTATTCAGTATTTGTAAACTTAAACTATTTCTGCTGGAGAAGAACAATTAATCAAGCTGATACTGGGACCTCTTGACTCCCTCAGCCTCAAGAATATACTTTGCAATGTGGTGAACAATATCCTCAACAACATTCCAACAGTGATTCAGCAGTGAGTTTCACAGGCTCTTTAAATACAGCATAATTCTAAAGAAACATTAAGAAAGGGTAATTCTGCGAGGGGGCCAATATAATATACAGTTTTCAGGTGATCTGATTTAATCCAAGGAAAGATTGTAGTATATTTTAGAAATAGATGGATTGTGTTTCTTACTGAAAATCCACTATAAATATTGTTTTTTCGCATTTGAGCCGTTAACAATGATTATGATTGAGTTGCAATGACTTTGAAGTAATATTTTCCAATAGATACCTGGAATCATTCTATTCTGTGTTGTTGGCTGAATGAAGAGTAATAAGACTTTGGTGTCAGCCAAACTGGGGGAAAATTACATTCTTGTTTGGCTATCATTTGACCTTTATATTCCATTGCTTTATTTCATTTCATGTATAATTTGGTAGCCAAACAAGAATGTGTAACTTAATGGTGTTCCGTCTCTTCTCTGTGAGGATGTGGGGGCACGGGTGTATTCTCAAGGAGGAATATTGGTGCCACTCTAACAAATAGACAAATGGTGGTCAAGAGCCCACAGGTAATGCTACAGAACATAGCCCCTCTAATTGCAACTGTGGAAACCAAGGGACATATGTTAATTGCACTGGAGTAATCTTAAAATGCTTATCCGTGAGTGAAATAATTTTCTAAAAACACTTTTATTGAATAAAATTGATTGTACAATGTAAGCATATCAAAATGGATGACTTGCTGTATAGAAATATTACTTTTTTCTTTTTTTTTTTTGAGACAGAGTCTTACTCTGTCGCCCAGGCTGGAGTGCAGTGGCATGATCTCAGCTCACTGCAAACTCCGCCTCCCGGGTTCAAGCAATTCTCCTGCCCCAGCCTCCCCAGTAGCTGGGATTACAGATGTCTGCCACCATGCCTGGCTAATTTTTGTAATTTTAGTAGAGACAGGGTTTCACCATGTTGGCCAGGCTGATCTTGAACTCCTGACCTCAGGTGATCTGCCCACCTCGGCCTCCCAAAGTGCTGGGATTACAGGCTTGAGCCACTGCGCCTGGCCAGAAATATTACTTATAAATTGGTGAAAAGTTCAAGAAACCCCCCCTTAATTAAATGGAGAAATAATTTTTATAGGCCCTTAGAAAAGACTTAATAGTTGAGATGTTGAAAACAAATAGAAAAGATCTTTGATGAGAAGCAGATATTACTCACAACTTAGTAACTTGATTCTTGGTATTATGTGAAATTTCAATTCTGTTTATACCCTGGATGAAGGCATTAATGTTTTCCCTTGTGTTTGGGGCAGCGTTAGAACAGCCTTATTCTTCTAGTCATTAATTTTTCATCTTCATTGAGGCACAATTGACAAGTAAAAATTGTATAACTTTAAGATGTATGACTTGTTGCTTTGGTGTATGTATACATTGTGAAATAATTGCCACAATCAAGCTAATTAACATATTCATCACCTCATATAGTTACCTAGTATGTGTGTGTGGTGAGAACACTTAAGATCTACTCTCTTAGCAAATTGCAGTTTGAAATACAGTATTGTTAACTATGTTCACATTGTTGTATATTAGATCTCCTGAACGTATTCATCTTTTAATTTTAATTTTAATTTTATTTTTTGAGATAGGATCTCACTCTGTCACCCAGGCTAGAGTGCAGTGGCACAATCATAGCTAAGTGTAGCTTTGAATTCCTGGCTCAAGCGATCCCTCTGCCTTGGCTTCCCAAGTAGCTGGGACTATAGGCACCTACCACCATGCCTGGAAAATTTTTTATTTTTAGTAGAGACATGGTCTTGCTGTGTTGCCCAGGCTGCTCAAACCCCTGGGCTTAAGCAATCCTCCTACCTTGGCCTGCCAAAGTGCTGGGATTACAGGCAGGAGCCACTGTGTCCAGCCCAGAATTTATTTATCTCTCATAACTGAAACTTTGTACCCCTTGACCAATATCTCCCCATTTCCCCTTCCCTTCAGCTCCTGGCAACCATCTTCTACTCTCTGCTTCTAGGAGTTTGAATATTTTAGATTCTATATGTAAGTAAGATCATGCGGTATTTGTATTTCTGTGCCTGGCTTGTTTCACTTAGCGTACTGTCCTTTAGGTTCATCCATGTTGTCACAAATACCAAGGTTTCCTTTATTTTTAAGATGGAATAATATAATAATATTCATTGTGTATATATACACCACATTTTCTTTTTCCATTAATCTGTCAACAGACATTTAGGTTGTTTTCTTTCTTGGTTATTGTGAATAATGCTGCAATAAACAGAGAAATGCAGATATCTCTTCAAGATACTCATTTCATTTCCTTTGAATATGTACCCAGACATGGGCTTGCTGCATCGTAAAGTAGTTCTAATCTTAATTTTGAGGATCCTCCATAAGTTTTCAATAACATACTAATTTACATTCTGTATTAGTCTGTTTTCATGCTGCTGAGAAAGACATACCTGAGATGGGGTAATTTATGAAGAAAAAGAGGTTTAATGGACTCATAGTTCCATGTGTCTGGGGAGGCCTTATAATCATGGCAGAAGGTGAAAGGCATGTCTTACATTAGTGGCAGGCAAGGGAGAGAAAGAACCAAGCAAAAGGGGTTTCCCTTTATAATACCATCAGATCTCATGAGACTTATCCACTACCACAAGAACAGAATTGGGGAAGCTGCCCCCATGATTCAGTTATCTCCCACCGGGTCCCCTCCCACAACACAAGGGAATTATGGGAGCTACAATTCAAGATAGATTTGGGTGGGGACACAGCCAAACCATATCATTCTGCCCCAGCCTCTCCCAAATCTCATGTCCTCACATTTCAAAATCAATCATGCCTTCCCAACTGTTCCCCAGTGTTAACTCATTTCAGCATTAACTGAAAAGTCCACAGTCCAAAGTCTCATCTGAGACAAGGCAAGTCCCTTCTGCCTATGAGGCTGTAAAATCAAAAGCAAGTTAGTTACTTCCTAGATACAATGGGGTTACAGATATTGGGTAAATACTGCCATTCCGAATGGGAGAAATTGGCCAAAACAAAGGAGCCACAGGCTGCATGCAAGTCCAAAATCCAGTGGGGCAGTCAAATCTTAAGACTCCAAATGATCTCTGTTGACTCCACATCTCACATCCAGGTCACGCTGATGCAAGAAGTAGGTCCCCATGGTCTTGGGCAGCCTGGCCCCTGTGGCTTTGCAGGGTACAGCCTCCTTCCCTGCTGCTTTTAGGGGCTGATGTTGAGTGTCTGTGGCTTTTCCAGGCACATAGTGCAAGCTGTTGGTGGATCTACCATTCTGGGGTTTGGAGGACAGTGGTCCTCTTCTCACAGCTCTGCTAGGCAGTGACCCAGTAGCGACTCTGAGTAGGGGCTTCAATCCCACATTTCCCTTCTGCATTGCCCTAGCAGGGGTTCTCCATGAGGGCCCTGCCCCTGCAGCAAGCTTCTGCCTGGACATCCAGTTCCATACATCCCCCAAAATCTAGGAGGAAGTTTCCAAACCTCAGTTCTTGACTTCTGAACACCTGTAGGTTCAACACCATGTGGAAGCTGCCAAGGCTGGAGGCTTGCACCCTCTGAAGCTTTGGCCTAAGCTGTACCTCGGCCCCTTTTAGCCATGGATAGAGCAGCTGGGACAGCTGGGACAAAGGGCACCAAGTCCCTAGGCCGCACACAGCAGGGGGGCCCTGGGCCCAGCCCACGAAACCACTTTTTCCTCCTAGGCCTCCAGGCCATTGATGGGAAGGGCTGCTGCAAAGGTCTCTGACGTGCCCTGGAGACGTTTTTCTCCATTGTCTTGCTGACTAACATTTGGCTCCTCATTACTTATGCAAATTTCTGCAGCCAGCATGAATTTCTCCTCAGAAAATGGGCTTTTCTTTTCTATTGCATCATTGGGCTGTGAATTTCCCGAACTTTTATGCTCTGTTTCCCTTTTAAAACTGAATGTTTTTAATCCCCCCAAGTCATTTCTTGAGTGCTTTGCCACTTTGAAATTTCTTCTGCTAGATACCCTAAATCATCCCCCTCAAATTCAAAGTTCCACAAATCTCTAGGGCATGGGCAAAATGCTGCCAGTTTCTTTGCTAAAACATAGCAAGAGTCACCTTTTCTCCAGTTCCCAAAAAGTTCCTCGCCTCCTTCTGAGACCACATCAGCCTGGATTTCATTGTTTATATCATTATCAACATTTTGGTCAAAGCCATTCAACAAGTCACTAGGGAGTTCCAAACTTTCCCACATTTTCCTGTCTTCTTCTGAGCCCTCCAAACTATTCCAACTTCTGCCTGTTACCCAGTTCCAAAGTCGCTTCCACATTTTCAGCTATCTTTTCAGCAGCACCCCACTCTCCTGGTACCAATTTACTGTATTAGTCTCTGTTTATGCTGCTGATAAAGACATATCCGAGACTGGTTAATTTATAAAGAAAAAAAGGTTTAATGGACTCACAATTCCACGTGGCTGGGGAGGCCTCACAATCATGGCAGAAGGTGAAAGGCACCTCTTATATTGGCGGCAGGCAAGAGAGAGAATTAGAACCAAGCAGAAGCGTTTTTTTCCCTTTATAAAACCATCAGATGTTGTGAGACTTATCCACTACCACAAGAACAGTATGGGGGAAACTGCTCCCATGATTCAATTATCTCCTGCCAGGTCCCGTCCCGCAACACATAGGGATTATGGGAGCTACAATTCAAGATGAGATTTGGGTGAGGACACAGCCAAACCATATCACATTCCCACCAACAGTGCACAGAGGTTCCCTTTTCTCCATGTCCTCAATGACACTTGTTATTTTATGTCTTTCTGGTAATAGCCATTCTAACAGGTGTGACATTGTTTTTCACTGTAGTTTTGATTTGCATTTCTCTGATGATTAGTAATGTTGAGCACCTTTTCATACACCTGTTCACCATTTGTTTGTCTTCTTTGGAAATATGTCTATTCAGGTGTTTTGCCTGTTAAAAAAGTCAGATTACTTGTTTTTTTGGTATCAAATTATATAGGTTCCTTATGTATTTTGAATATTAACCCTTTATCAGATATATCATTTGCAAATATTTTCTCCCATTTTATAGGTTGAATTTTTTATTGTATTGATTGTTTTGCTGTGCAGTCATTAGTTATTTACTGGACCTGTTACAGCAAAAGCTGGGTTCTTGAATTTTACATGTTTTCTTTATCGACTCTTTAAAGAAACTTGGAATATAGAAAAGTTCCATATTCAGTGTCCCTTGCCATTCCTTTTGTCACTCTTCTACCTGCCTCATACTGTCTTCCATCTTCCCCCACCCAAATGTGTTGTAGGAAAAGGATCTGATTGTAGTAATTTACTTTCCTACTGTCATTCACTCATTCATTTAGAGATTTTACTATCTGCTTACCATGTGCCAGTCACTCTTGCTGGGTATACATTAGTGAGAAAAACTGTCAAAGGCCCTGACCTCACGAATTGAAATTCTAGGTGGGAAGACATTCATTCATTCAGTCAGTCTTCAAAAAACGATTTATGGGGTACCTAGTATGTGCCAGATGCTGTTCTAGCTGGTAAGGAATACAGTGGTGATAGAATAGGAGAAGTTAGATGGTAATAAATGCTATGAAGCCAAAGATAAGAGAATATGGAGGTAGAGGAACAGACGGTAAACAAATACAGACAAAACTGCACTACTGTGTCAGGCAGTGATAAGAGCAGTGAAGGAAAATCAAGGAGAGAAAAGGGGAAGAGACTGAGGGGTAGTGTTATTTTAGAGAGGGTGGTCAGAGAGGTCTTTCTGTAGAAGTGATATTTGACCAAAGACCTTGAATGAACTGAGAGGTCACCTAGTTTGAATTTAGATCAGTGTAATCCAGACTTTACTAAATAGGTGGATGAGGTATTTTACAGAACAGAGGTCGGGCTGGTTAGTGCCTGTGGTGCAAACACAGGCTGAATCAATGCGGCACTGCCCTTTTGTTTGGTAACAAGGCCTTTTTTTGGGAAAGTACCCATAGACTACTAACTGCTTTTGTTGATGTAATAGACAAGTAGCTTCACAAAACAATGAAAGGGATAGATGAAGTCCTTTTGGAATTTTGGTTTATCCTTTAAATGTTATTATGACTTAAAGATGTGAAAAATATGTTTCACTTTAGTTTTTTCTGATAATAATTTTCAGGAAAAAGAAAGCTACACCTAGAGAACTGATAAGTACCATTCAGACCAGGAAAGGTACTATCATTTAAATGGTGTTGTAAAGATACTGTTTGTGTGCTTTTGATCATGGATGCTGATGATTACAGCATGGTGGTGTCCTCATTCCCATCCTACCCATGGAATTTTGGTTTTCATATTTAACCAGTTTAGTTTCACTAGTGATGAATTTGTCTGGTACCTCTGTTGGATCAGTGTCTTAGCCAGGCCTTGAAGGCAAATGTGCTAGAGCAGGAAAGTGGTCCTGGATACCTAGAAATTCCAACAATTTCTCATTTGAAGGATTTCTTTGCTGTTATTCCACCATCTGCCTTTTGATAATGCTTTTGTATTGAATTTTTATCATATTTTATTCATAGATGAATTCAGTGATATAGCAGTATGTTTTAAAAGTTTTTCATGTCAAAAACTGAAGGTAACTTGAGAATACTAAGTCTCTGTTGTGATGTTAGGGCACCATATGTACATTAGACTTATGAATATTCCCTGATGGTATTTGAAAGTCTAGGTTGCAGAGTTAGAACTATGTAGTTAGCATCCAGGTTTTACATTCTATTTACCAAAAATAATTTAAAAACCTAGATTAGGTGTCCTTGTTTAATTACGTAAATCATCAGATCATAAATAAGGGAGCCTTCTATTGATACAAAGTGTGCAGCTATAGAACATACCAAGAGAACCATAATGAGGCAGCTTCATCTATAAGGCATAGCCAAATCTGGATGTCCAACTGGTTGAATGTGAATAGAATATAATTTTATTGTGCTCTTTTATCTCCTTGCGCTGTAGCTGTACATTATCAGCTTGTGAATGAACCTTATCTGTTCCTCAATTGAATTTTACATTATCTCTGTTGCTTTGCTTCTTACCTTTTCAGCACTTCACTGGATATTTATCTTAACAACTTTAGAGGTTCATTTTAGAATTCAACATTTAACAGGTCATGGATGTCAAAGCAATTCTAATTTTAAAGAGCCCTTGGTGTTCAGACGATTAATATATTTTTGTCTCTGTGACTGGAAGTTCTAATCCTAAATATCCACAGGAGAAATGAGCAATGAAACTGCTTCTCGGAGGAACTTACAGGAATAAAAAATGGACATTACTTAGCCCTAGTATTGTTTTGAGTTATATGAAATATCATAAAGTGGTTGATTTGCAAAACTGAAATAATTTTAAAATGTATATATGATTAATCACCTTTAGGGAAATAGTGTAGGTATTGATGAGAAGGGAGAGTGAACAATAATAAAATAAAAACAACAAAATGGAATGATTTTTTAAAAACTGGAAAATTATTTAAAAGAAAACTGTTCTTCCATTTTAGTTGAACTAAAACCTTGATTTTCTTTTTTTTTTTTAATTTACCTACAATTGATTTTTATCTGCCTATAAAGAGTTTTGTGGTCAAATTCTGCCACATAAGAATACCTCTACAAATAGAATATATTTGAGTATATTTCTTTTGAATTGGGAAAAGCAACACAGGTATACAATTGATTTTATGTACTGAATTATATTTATTCATATCATTATACAGGAAAGAAACTTCATTGATAGGGCTTTGATTTCATAGGATTGATATTGTAGTGACTGAAAAAATTTAGAAAATAACAAATTAGTAATAAGTGAAATTATAGGGGAAAAGGAAAACTTTTTTTTTTAAAGCTTACTAATGTTTAGATGCTAAACCAGATATCTGAGACAGCACTATGACTCTTCTTAACATGAGTGACATGTGACATAATTGCTACCAACACATCCCTTCCTCTTTCGGTTTGTGAGGGTTGCTGCTAGATTGCATCTGAGATGTCACAGTGTATGTACACACACACACACACACACACACACCCGACACACACCGCACACATATACACACCAGCTTCTTTCTGAGAGAGTTACCAATTAACATGTGTTGACATATCTTTATCCTTCCCAGGAGGAAAGTGGCAGGAGCTTGTGAAAAGTTACAGGCTATGATTTAAACTATGTTGTAATTGGACCAAATAAAATAATTTCTGGCTTATAATTATTAATTTTTTGCTATAAACTCTATCACCAGGAATAACAGGTCTTAACATTTTTAGCATATTTTCCTGCAGTATTTTTTTTGTGTGGGTGTTTTTTAATGTGTTTGAGCTTGAACTTTATGACTTTATACCTTTTAAAATGAACTTTATAGGATGATCATTTCCCAGGTTATTAACAGTTCTTTATAAATATAATTCGTATTGGCTGAAATCATACAGATCATGTGGCTTAAGTTTTTCCTTATTGTTGGACAACTAAGACATTTGAAAATGATTGTTGCTGTTATAAATAATGGAATAATGTTTTATATTAAAAATTTCTTGTGTTTTAGATACCTCCTTAGGATGGAGAGATATCTATAGAACTAAAATTAGTTAATGTAAGTTAAGAGATTTAAGGTTTTTAACATATTTTTAAATTACTTTTCATAAAGACAGTAAGAAGCTATTATTGATATTTTAGAAATAAGGAATTTGAGGTCTGGAAAAGTTAAATTACTCGTCCAGGGTCACATAGCTGCTAAGTGCTAGGGACCACTGGGGAATTGGAACCCCAGTCCTTTTCCACTGTAAGTGTTTCAAGTGTGTTCCTTGGAATATTAGTAGATAGGGCAAGGAAAAAAGGGCTTATGAGAAAAAATTTGGAAATGTCAAGTTAAAGCTTTTTAAAAAAATCCTCAGGCCAGGCACGGTGGCTCATGCCTGTAATCCCAGCACTTTGGGAGGCCGAGGCGGGCGGATCACGAGGTCAGGAGATGGAGACCATCCTGGCTAACACGGTGAAACCCCATCTCTACTAAAAAATACAAAAAATTAGCTGGGCCTGGTGGCAGGCACCTGTAGTCCCAGCTAATCGGGAGGCTGAGGCAGGAGAATGGCATGAACCCAGGATGCAGAGTTTGCAGTGAGCCAAGATCACACCACTGCACTCCAGCCTGGGTGACAGAGTGAGACTCCATCTCAAAAAAAAAATCCTCTTATCTCTGGACATCACCATAAAGACAAAATGATATGTGGCCGTAGAACCCTGAGGAATACTCTGGGATGTGCTTGCTGATGCCGGGCTACATTATGGTGATGAAAGCAGACTTTTGATGAGAAGTTGAGGTTCATATTCTACTGGCCCCATACAGAAACTCTTTAATTCAGGACCCATAAACATCTAACATTAATCCCTTTAGGTAAGATTAAATGACCAAAGAGGAATGGTTTAGTGACATAATTAAAATCTTACTAAATTCAGCCCCTTGAGATTTTAGATAGAAAAGTAACACAAATTGAGCTAATAACAATAATTTAAAAATTATCTTTTAAAAACGGTTTATTTATTTGAGACGAAGTTGCACTCTTGTTGCCCAGGCTGGAGTGCAGTGGTGCAATCTCGGCTCACTGCAACCTCTGCCTCTCAGTTCAAGCGATTCTCCTGCCTCAGCCTCCCAAGTAGCTGGGATTACATGTGTGCACCACCACGCCCAGCTACTATTTTTGTATTTTTAGTAGAGACAGGGTTTCACCGTGTTGGCCAGGTTTGTCTCGAACTCCTGACCTCAGGTGATCTGCCCACCTCGGCCTCCCAAAGTGCTGGGATTACAGGCGTGAGCTACTGCGCCTGGCCTAAAAACTATTTATTTTTAAATACTTATAGAGTCACAGGAAGTTGCAAAAACATGTACAGGGAGGTCCCATGTAATCTTCACCGCCAAGGGTAACTCTTACATAACCATACTACAGTACAATGTCAAAACTAGGAAATTGGCATCAGTAAAGTCCACAGAATTTATTTGGGCTTTACCAATTCTATGTGCATTCAAGTGCACATGTGTGTGTGTAGTTCTATGTAATTTCATCACTTGTAGACTCATGTAACTACCACCATACTCAAGATGCTGAACTGCTCAATCTCTCCAAGACTCCCTCTCGCCAGCACTTTGTAGCCATGCCTACCCATCTCCTGTCAATAAAAACTAGTTTTTTAAAAAAATGAGCAGTGTATATCTTAGGATATGATAGTTCCAACCCTACTTCATATCACTCATTTATTTCTATAGGACTCTGCTCATAACTGATTAAGGTTCAAATATTGTTTCGTAGATAGTATTTACTAGGACAGTAAAGTTAGCCAGTCCAGTTTAGAAAGAATTTTAACACCAAAGAAGGCTGGCCTTAATTCTGAGTTTAGGAGGGACCTTAAGCAAAATGGAAAGGTGCCTGTGTGCTCCAGTGCCGTTTCCCATGGCCCTCTGCTGCCTTACTGCACTGCCTAGCCTTTGCGCATCGCTTTGGATACCTCAAATGCCCTGGGGCTGATAGGATGACAGTCAGCTCCCACTCTTAGCTTTCACATGGCCCTCACCACTGTGGGTGAGCCTCCAGGGTCCATTTTCAACCCACATAATCTGCCATACCTATTCTGCTATACCTGTCATATCCCTAGTTGATTGTGTCTAGTCTCCCTTTTGTGTCTAGACTCCTTGGACAGGAGTCCTCTTGACTTCTTCCTCAGCCCTGTCTTGTACTTCTCTTGTAGGCTAATCTCTTAAATAGAAGAAGTAGGACAGACACCTTGTTTCCCACACCTGGAGGTGGTCACAGGATGGTAGGGCACTGCACCTTGCATCTATTTGTTCAGGACCTTGCAGTCCCAAATTTCCTAACCTTTAATAAAGTAATCTGAGCTAACGTGTTAAAGAGTTTAATGTGCTATCCCTTGCAGAAATGACTGTAGTTCAAATAAAGAATTCCTAGTGAAGTAAAAGCCTTAACTCAAAGGAAATCAGAGTGAAACTCACAGAGTTATATATCTGCCTGATGACTCTTGGAAGTAATATTTTCCAGACGTGTGCCTTCTAACCTAACCCTAATCCTAATGCACCTATCGGGGATGGACCATTTCCCAAGCATTTTGGCCAACTGAGAATTTTCTATACATGGTTTTGAAATTGTAAGAACCTCAATTTACCCAGAGTTCTGAAAACCTGCTGAGATCTTGGAGTTGATTGGAATGTGCTCTGTTTTGGAACACAAGATTAATTTGTGGATTTGCAGCAATAAACAAATGGCTGAAAGCCAAACAGTGTAGCTATTTTCAGTGAGTCTTCAGTAATCCAGCATCATAGAGAAGTTAATTTCATACAAGTTTATCCCAATTAATCCTCTAAACTTGCCATTATTTAGTAACTCTGGTAGAATATTTAATGTGACTGCTTTTCTAAAGCATACTGAGTATCATTTTTCTTTTATTTGATGATTAAGGCTCAGTATATTGAACATAAATTAGCATCCTGTGTACTTCTGTGATTTATGATTTTGAAGTATGTGGATTATCTGTTTTAATACCAGATGCCCCCAGTGCTGTTTTTAAAGTTCTGTTTGCTTTTGTTTTATTTGTCTCTTCCCTACTACTGAGAAGCTGTCACTCCTTGCTTGCCCTTTAGGTTTCCATCCTATCTTCTTCCCTTGCACAAACATAATATATTGCTTTTAATCCTTTGGATTTCGAATCCAGGTAACTAAATTTATTGGAGCTGTATGTATAATACAAGTGCATGTATTTGCCTTCTGGGTATTTCTCCTCTGAATTAAGTGTATGAATGTCAGAGTTTTTGGTATTTGGGGCCTTGATTTTGGTTTCACAAATCCTTTGTAAACTTGCTTGCTACATGATCTCACTCCAGTGATTGTTTTAATAACTGAGATTTCCATATAAATATCCTCTGAATAGTTGAGGCATTACTGTAATGAGATTAATTCTTGCATTTAACAAATATTTATTGAGTGCCAAAGAAACACCTTCTAGGTGCTTAGAGTTTATAATTGAACAAAACAAAAGACTCTTGCTCTCATGGAGCTTACATTCTAACAAAGGAAATAGATAATAAACCATAAACATAATAAATAAATTATATCTTATGTTTGAAGGCAGTATGTATTATGGAAGAAAAAACCCCAAAAAACAAATAGAGCCCAGTAAAAAATCAGGAGTGCCAGTGGGTGAAGACTGTAATATTAAATAGGGTGGGCAGAATAGGGTTCACTGGGAAAGTGATTTGAGCAAAGAGGCAGAGGAGTTTAACCAAGCATATGTTTAGGATAAGAATTCCTGGCAATGGGAACAACCAGTGCAAAGGCTCAGGTGTGGGTGCGTGTGTAGGTTGTTTGAGGGATGGTAAGGATGTTGTGGCCAGGGTGAAGTGAACAAGGGAAAGGGTAGGAGAGGAAGTGAGACAGAGAATGAGGGCAGATCACATAGGAACTTGACAGCTGTTATAAAGATCTTGGGTTTTACTCTGAGTGAAATAGGAGCCATGAAAGTTTTTGAACAGAGGAATGATATAATCTGGCTTACATTTTCAAAAGATCACTATGACTGCAACGTTGAAAAGATGCTGGGGGAAGGGGGACAATGGTGGAAGAAGGGAGAGCTATAAGGAAGCTATTTCAGTAATCTAGGTGAAAGCTGATGGTGGCTTGGATCAGGGGAACAGCAGTGAAGATAATGAGAAGCAGTAGGATACATTTTGGAGGTAGAACCAATAGGACATGCTTATGAATTGAATGTGGAAGTGTATGGGAAAGAAGAGTCAAGGATAATTCTAAGCATTTTGGGCTGGGTCATTTGGAGGACTGTGGGTCATCTGTTATGACGCGGAAGGCTGTAGATAAGAGGGGGAGTTCAATTTTGGACATGTTGAGTTTGAGATACCTATTAGACATTCAATTCTAGATGTTAAGTGTGAAATTGGATATATGCTTCTGGAGTTTGGGAGAGAGGTCTGAGCTGGAGATATACATTTGGGGATCATTAATACATAGATGACACTTAAAGCCATGAGATGGGAGAATACCAAAAAAGTGAGCATTGAAAGAGAGGAGTTCAGAAGGAAAGAGAGTAACTAGCAAAAGAAGCTGCATGGGATTGACCAATGAAGCAGGAAGAAGATAAAGGGAATGTCAACCGTGTTTTGAAAGGCAAGTAAAGATGTTTTCAAATATTCAGACAGATTGTGTCATGTTGACAAAACATCAGGAAGAAGAAAGACCAAAATCTGGGGTTGCATTTGAAGTTTTATTTCTTACAGGTGATATGGCTAGTAGGTCTATTTTTCCAGTGTGGTTGGCAGTTGGGCTGATTGCAGACTCTGTGGCAGGTCTTCAAATGGTATTGTGAAGAAGCTGGCAGTACTAAAAACAAAAATAAAAGATTTTGCATACAAAGTGCAGGGCAAATGCATAGCCTGTGACCTAGGTTAGAGTGAGATCATTCAATGAGAATGCAGGTAAGTGGGAAAGTAAAGGAAGATGAAAAATCAAGGCATGGAGGTGCAGAGGGCAAGGGGGAGGATGACATGGATGCAATTATGAAATTAGGGTGTTATTTCTCCATAACAGATGGGAAAAGAACAGAGAGTCAACATCACTGTGATAAATACTGAACAGCAAGGAAGCAAATGATCACAGCTGAGGCATGCGAGCCGCTGTGAAACTCAGAAGTGATATTATCAATAAAGCCAGAGTTGTCAAGTGATTACCAAATAAACAACATATGGTTCATTGGTTGCCATGTCCCTGGAAACATATCCTCTTAGGAGATGGTATGCCTCTGTAAATGAGTTTCTGGTTTGTGCATACTTGCTTTTGGTACATATGGCAGTTGTGACATTGTAACTACCCAGTTTACCAATAAGCAAAACTGCTGCCAAAAAGACAACTATAGATTTCTCATTCTGGATAAGATGGAGTGGATTCAATTCTTCCTATTCCTCCTACTAAGTACAATTCTAAACCCTGGACGTTATATATAAACAAACAAAGAAAGACTCTAAAAGGCAGAGAGAAAAGGCAGACTGGCTTGGGCCCTCTCTATCTGAAGGACACAGTGGTGAATTCCTTGAATTTTCTCTTTTCCTCATGTATCCCAGGCTGGATATTGACAGCTACCCAGAAACACCAATGGGCACAGACAAAAAAATGCCCCAAGAAAAGCTTACTCTTTGTAGCCATAAAACAAGGAAAATAGAATCCCAGAGAAATAGAAAACTTTCAGATAACTGCTCTACTATGCAAACACCACAGAAGAAACCACAGGCTTACCTCCACCCCCATCAGCAAAGACCAAATGAGGAGCCTAATCATCCATCCTTGGTTGGTTGTGATGAAGCAGCTCTTTACTCCTAGATTTTAAAGGCATCATCATAAAAATACTCCACTGAGCAATTATGAACACAGAGCATATGAAAAAACAGAATGTTTAAGCAAAGAATAGAAAGCCTTAGCAAAGAAATACAAGAAATAAAGAAGAAAGAAGTGGAAATTTTAGAACTGAAAAATACAACAACTGAAATTTAAAAGTGAATGGAGGCTGGGCGTGGTGGCTCACGCCTGTAATCCCAGCACTTTGGGAGGCCGAGGTGGGTGGATCACAAGGTCAGGAGATCGAGACCATCCTGGCTAACATGGTGAAACCCTGTCTCTACTCAAAATACAAAAAATTAGCCAGGCATGGTGGCGGGTGCCTGTAGTCCCAGCTACTTGGGAGGCTGAGGCAGGAGAATGGCATGAACCCGGGAGGCGGAGCTTGCAGTGAGCTGAGATCACGCCACTGCACTCCAGCCTGGGCGACAGAGCGAGACTCCATCTCAAAAAAAAAAAAAAAAGTGAATGGATGGTTTGACAACAGAATGGAGAAGATAGAGGAAAGAAATAGTGAACTTGAAGATCGAACAATATAAGTTACCCAATTTGAACAACAGAGAGAAGATGGACTGAATAAAAAATAACAGTGGTAAGATCTAACATTCATTATCTTTGGAATCCTAGAAGGAGAAAATCCTAAATATGAAAACTTAAAGAAATCCACACCAAGACACATAACCAAACTACTGAAAACTAAACATAAAGAAAACATACTTAAAAGCAGCAAGAGAGAAAGGACACCTTACCTATAGGGGAAAAACAATGAGAATGACAGGGGCTCTTCTCATCAGAATCCATGGAGCCCAGAATGAAGTGGAACATTTTTCTTTCTTTTTTTTTTTTTAATTTTTTTTTCTTTTTTTTTTGTTTTAGACGGAGTTTCACTCTTGTTGCCCAGGCTGGAGTGCAATGGCATGATCTCAGCTCACTGCAACCTCTGCTCCCTGGGTTCAAGCGATTCTCCTGGCTCAGCCTCCTGAGTAGCTGGGATTACAGGTGCCCACCACCACGCCTGGCTAATTTTGTATTTTTAGTACAGACAAGGTTTCTCCATGTTGGTTAGGAAAATGTTTGTTTGAGACGGAGTCTCAACTCCTGACCTCAGGTGATCTGCCCACCTCAGCCTCCCAATGTGCTGGGATTACAGGCGTGAGCCACCGTGCCCGGCCTGAAGTGGAACATTTTTCAAATGTGGGAAAAAAAAGAATTGTCAACCCAGAATTCTATACCCAGTGAAAATATCCTTCAGGAATGAAGGGGGAACCAAGCTGTCTCCAGATGAAGAAAAACTAAGAGGAGTTGTGACTAGTAGTCCTAGCCAAGAAGAATTACTAAAAGAAGTTCCTGAAACAGAAAGGAAATGAGAAAAGAAGGAATCTTGGAATATCAGGGAGAAAGAAGGAACATGGAAAGAGTAAATATATGAAGCACAGGAGAAAGGAGATTGAATTAAAGTTGCATAACTTGCAAAACAGAAATGTACAAGGAGATCAGTGGGTGCTAGAATGGGTAACTCTCAATGCAAGTGCCCTCCTGTTTCCACTATCCTTAAAAAAACATGCTGCTTTCGGCCTGGCATGGTGGCTCATGCCTGTAATCCCAGCACTTTGGGAGGCCGAGGTAGGTGGATCACGAGGTCAGGAGTTCAAGACCAGCCTGGCCAACATGGTAAAACCCGTCCCTAAATTAAAGTACAAAAATTAGCCAAGGGTGGTAACGAGCACCTGTAATCCAAGCTACTCGGGAGGCTGAGGCAGGAGAATTGCTTGAACCCAAGAGGCGGAGGTTGCAGTGAGCCAAGATCGTGCCATGGCACTCCAGCCATGAGTGAGACTCCGTCTCAAACAAACAAACAAACAAAAAACAAACATGCTGCTTTCTTCTATGCACCAGAATTCCATATTTTAAAAGCCCCTCAATAATATTCTTAAATTACCCACTTGGTATACAAGAACGATGTTAGTTGGTGAGCATGTACAGCTCCTTCTGCTTCCTGACTTCTATCCAGCATTCCTCCCTCTCCAGTAATCCAGCCACCCCACATGCAAGATCTCTTCCTGAGATATAGACTGCCCCACCCTGGCCTCCACTGTTTCTTTTGCCAGACTGCGAGGAGAATCACATATTTATCACTGAGATCTATGCTCTTTATGGAGTCCCAAAAGTGGTTGGAAAAAATTTCTTTGATCAAGGGCATCACTTATACTCAGTCTTTATTCTCACTCTGCCTCTTCACCTGATAATTATTAATTTTTTGGAACCCCAAAGGCTGAGCTTGTCTATAAGAGGCCTTCTGTCTGGGATTGGGGCTGCATTTGTCCCCAGTTAGAGGCAGGGGACAGAAGAAGAGGTGGCCAACAGTGGACACACCTGGCTGTTGAGCAACAACTTTTATCTCCCTGGCTTCAGACTTCCTATATCCCAGCCTTGTATTTGGACAATGTTGCTGCCTAACACAAGGTCATAGATAGGAATCACGTGGTGTAACCTGGGGAGTGAACATCTTTGCATTTACATGGACCTGCTATCTTAGCTGATATACACATAGGGAAGTGGCGAGTGGGGCCATTGATAAAACACTGATTGTGGACTTGCAAGGCCTCTGCTCTGAGTGACTGTGGGATACACAATGAGATAATAATAAACCTGTGTGACCATGAAGGCCAGTGTGCTGTTATGAGAATTGAGTGGTGAATGTTAGTGATGCCTTCTAGTTATTAAAGAAGGAAAGGCTTATTTAACTTATTTTTTGAAACTAAGGTCTCCAAGATGAGAGCCTGGTATGATTGAGTGGATGGCACAGTAAATCTTTTTCTAACTTGATGAGCCAGTCTGTTGAAGAAACTCTGGCAGAATATGAAGCTCTCAAATCCCAGAACCTACTTTCCTCTGATGCCTTCCTCAATCTAAGTACACCCTCTTCTTCACCATCATTTTATCATACAGCCACTTTCCTTGTCTTGAGTCATACAGGAATAAGGAAATAACATTCAAAAGAATTTTTATAAAGCCTTTGTGTGTTGCCTATTTGTCATATATTGAACAATGTGCTACATGTGACCCTGATGCCGGGGCTCAGTCCTTAGAAGGGGACAGTCCTTGCCATTATAGAAATTACCTGGAACACGGACACTGAACAGAGGGGTGTTTAATGTAATTTTCATATGTGCTATGAGAAATCAGATCAGACTTTGAGAACATACACAGGGGAGATCAGATCAGATTTCCCCAGAGGAGGTGGCATGAAAGCAATAAACAGGAGTAGGTGAGAGAACATCAGAGGGTCTTATGTACACAGTACCTTTTGATTATCATCTCATTCAGATGATTTATTTCCTGGTTTCAAGAAGCCCCCCATGTAGCCAGGAACATGTACATGAATTGTGAATTAATCATTTCGACTCAGTGATATATGGATTAGGAAAAAATGACCTGCAGATTTCTCTGGCTAGATAGTACAGGCAAACTTTTGAAGGAATTTGTTATAAATAATGTTGACTTTTCCAGTTTAATGCAATGAAAATATTATCTAGTTTGTCCATTTTTGAAATATTTGTATGTTGATGTATGTTACAAAATTGTAAATGTATACATATTCATATTTCCTTTTTTTGGTATTTTCTGATTATGCTAAGAAAGGGACTCTGTATGCAAATCAAAGGAAATACTACTTAACCTATAAAAAGTAATACTATCGGCCAGACACCATGGCTCACACCTGTAATCACAACACTGTGGGAGACCGAGATGGGAGGATCACTCGAACCCAGGAGTTTGGAACCAACTTGGGCAAACACAGGGAGACTCTTGTCTCTACAAAAATAAAAAAAAATTAGCCAAGCATGGTGGTGCATGCCTGTGGTCCCAGCTACTCAGGAGACTGAAGTGGCAGGATCGCTTGAGCTCAGGAGATTGAGGTTGCATTGAACCATGATCACGCACTGCGCTCCAGCCTGGGTGACAAAACGAGACCCTGTCTCAAAAAAAAAAAAAGAAAGAAAGTAGTACTGTCATTTCATGATTCAAGTCTTTCTTGTTCACCATTAAACATGCCTTATCTCCTTACATGATTCTTACACAAAGTAGGTGCCAGGTAAAATTTTATTTGCTGTTTGAATTGACATGGAACTTGCAGAGGTACCATCCCAAAATCCTGGAGTCCTACCATAGGTGAGTGCATTTCCTGCTTTTATTTTGTTTGACTTTTCAATGGAAATGTAGTCGAAGGAGTGTAGGTGAGATGGGCTCGGCAGGATGTGGGTGGAAGATGTGATCTCACTTGTCCCAATAAAAGGGTAGCAGTGAGTCCAGATCCCCTGAGATACAGCTGGGACTCTTCAGTTTGGATGCCCGTGGAGAGAATCTTAATTAAAGAGCATCCATGCCTGAACTCTGGAAGGCAATGACTTGCCCCTTTTGTGGGAACTACTTTGAGAGCCATACCCTTATGACGTGTCTACACAGTATCTAAGGTGCCTGCCTTCTTGGTGATGGAGATTGACAAAAGACTTTTTGTCTGTCCAGAGTGCTTTTCAGTTTTATGGGAGAAGCACTGGGCAATTTGGTCAGCCTTATCAGAGTTGGAGCCAGCACTGAACATGGGCCTGAGAATTTGCCCTGGGAAGGTGAATTTCTATGGGACCATGTATTAGTTTCCTACAACTGCCAAAACAAAGTACCACAAACTGGGTGGCTTAAAGAATAGGAATGTATTGTCTAACAGTTCTGGAGGCTAGAAATCTGAAATGAAGGCGTTGTCAGGACAGTGTTTCTTCTGGAGACTTTAGAGAAGAAGACTTCCTTGCCTCTTCCTAGCCTCTGATGGTTGCTTGGCATTCCCTGGCTTGTAGATGCATCACTCCAATTGCTGCCTCCATCATAACATGGTTGTCTTGCCTCCGTGTCTGTTTCTGTGTGTCCTCTCCTTTTCTCAGAAGGACACTGGTCATATTGGATTTAGGGAGAACCCTAGTTCTATATGACCTCTTCTTAACGAATTACATCTGCAAAGACCCTCTTTCCAAATAAGGTTACATTCTGAGTTCCAGGTGGCATGACTTTGGAGGGTAGGGGTGACACTGTTCAACCCAGTACAGACAATAACAGGAAAACTCAGAAAAGAATCTACCTGTTCCATTTTCCTAAACTATTTTGAAGACCTGTGTCTAATATTCCATGAACCCAACTTCTGCTTCATCTATCCCAAGAGAGAAAGAGCCAGGATGGTCTTTTTACTTGTCCCTAGTGTCTTGCCATCTCTCACACACAGAGGATCCAGATCAACATGGTCCTGGGGATGCTGGTGTCTGAGATCATGACTATGCCTGTGCTGAGTATGTACTGTGGGATGCTGAAGTTTTATGTGTATGTAAGCCTGGATCCAGCCATGGCCAACGATTTCCTCATATTTTCCTATGACCTTAGGAACATCAGATATGGGTACATCCAGCAAAACCAACCAGAGAACATGGAGATACTCATCTCTACCGCTGGTGCTGGGTTCCCCTCTCATCGGTCTGGCTGCCACTGTTGGGAGGTGGAAGTGGGAGGCCCAGCTGAACGGGCTCTGGGTGTGTGCAGAGAATCTGCATATTGCAAAGGGACTTTCCCTGTATCTTTAGACTTTGGGTTCTGGATTGTGGGCTCAGGGGAGGACATGAAGTAGCTGTCACTTCTGAACCCTGGGCTGTTCTCTGTGTGAAGCCCAATTTGCAGAAGGTGGGGTTTTTCCTGGACTGTGGTGTTGAAAGCCATTTTATGTTTCAGTGTCACATGTGAATTAGAGTTCTTGTCCCTTAAAAATGGGCTTATCATACCTAATTAAACAAGATATCTTGCAGATTTATGATATCTTATTTTTTTTTAAGTTCAGTTGAGGCACTGAATTTTTACTTTTATTTATGTATTTATCAAACAGCTTTATTGAGGTAGACCATGATACAATAAAGTACACATATCTAGATTATAAAATTATACATTATAAATTATATAATTTGGGGCCGGGCACGGTGGCTCACACCTGTAATGCTGGCATTTTGGGAGGCCAAGACGGGCACATCCCTTGAGGCCGGGAGTTCGAGACCAGCCTAGCCAATACAGCGAAACCCCGTCTCTACTAAAAATACTAAAATTAGCCGGGCATGCTGGCACGCGCCCATAGTCCCAGCTACTCGGGAGGCTGAGGCATGAGAATTGCTTGAACCCCAGAGGTGGAGGTTGCAGGGAGTCACTGTACTCCAGCCTGGGTGATGGAGTGAGACTCTGTCTCAAAAAAAAAAATTACACAATTTGGTACATTTTGACTTATGTGTACACTTGTGAAGCCATCACCACAATCGAGATAGCACACATACCCATCACCCCTAAGTCCCCTGGGGCCTCGTTATGTTCCCTGCCTCCAGCCCCTCCCGTCGCCTTTCTTCATCAACACCAACAGTGGATGTGCTTTTGTTGCTATAGATTAGCTTGCATTTTCTAGAGTTTATTATAAATGGAATCGTTTAATAGATACTCTTTTCTGTAATTGTTTTGAGATCTATTGATGTTGTTGAATGTATCAACAACTCATAACTTTTCATTTCTGAGTAGTATTCCATTGCGTGCATATACACAATTCATTTATCCAAGACGATTCTGAAACTGTGTGCAAGGAAAGCTACAAGCAATTGCAGCATTTTCTTGTATGGTTTTGTTTTTGATTGTCTCACTTCTAGTCAAGTTGGCTGTTTTCAGCTCAACAAATTCTGAGAACTTTCTTTTAAAATGTGCCTAATTGGCTTTTTGATGTGTTGTAAAAGTCATAGTTTTTTATATACGGTCATAGGTCATCCAAGATACAATAAGGTTTGGGTTGTGAAGATAAACTCTCTATTTTAAATAAACATATAAACAAAGATAAACACTCTATTTTTTTTTTTTTTTTTGAGACGGAGTTTTGCTCTTGTTGCCCAGGCTGGAGTGCAATGGCACGATCTTGGCTCACCACAACCTCTGCCTCCTGGGTTCAGGCGATTCTCCTGCCTCAGCTTCCCGAGTAGCTGGGATTACAGGCATGCGCCACCATGCCCGGCTAGTTTTTGTATTTTTAGTATAGACAGGGTTTCTCCATGTTGGTCAGGCTGGTCTCGAACTCCTGACCTCAAATGATCCACCTGCCTCGGCCTCCCAAAGTGCTGGGATTACAGGCATGAGGCACTGAGCCCGGCCTAAATACTCTGTTTTAAAAAAACATATAAACATATGCATGGACAGTTGAATCTATGAGGAAAATGAGATTGTGCTGAGATTGAACATAGCCCACTAAAGAAAAATAACCTAAAGATGGAAGCCTAGGAAATAATTTTTTCTTTCTGCTTTCTTGGAAAACAAAGACACCAAGTGGTTATATTTCTTTTTTTATTTTCAAAACTTTAGAAATAAGGATCCATATGCTTTTTAGAGCCTACCTTTGTGTGTACCTCCAAATAACTGTCTGTGAAATGGCCCTGCCAGCATCTTCTCTTGAGTTTATTGTGGAAAGCTTAAAAGATGACACTAGGTTCCAGAGTCTATAGTGATTCATGGTTTTTTTGTTTGTTTCTGTTTTTTTGAGACACAGTCTCCCCATGTTGCCCAGGCTGGAGTGCAGTGGCACAATCTCGGCTGACTGCAACCTCAGCCTCCCGAGTAGCTGGGATTACAGGCGCCTGCCACCGTGCCCAGCTCATTTTTTTTATTTTTAGTAGAGACGGGGTTTCGTCATGTTGGCCAGGCTGGTCTCGAACTCCTGACCTCAAGTGATCTGCCCGCCTCAGCCTCCCAGAGTGCTAGGATTACAGGCATGAGCCACCGCGCCTGGCCTGATTCATGTTTTGATGCGTGACTTTTTATTGACTGGGACAAAATGTATACACTGCTTGTGCAGACAGTTCCCAATCTCTACCAGGTGAAATCTTGAGAGTTATTAAAGTCAAGGAGGGAGCTCAAGGCCATTGAGAGGATGTATGGACCAGCAGACAATCATTCATGCAAGAAATGTATTGCCATTTTAAAATGTGAAGAGGAAAAATATATCTACCAAAAAACCTTAATTTTGCTTGGTTTTATGTTATAGGGACATTCAGTACAACAGAAAATGAAGCTATTTATAGTCCTGTGTTTGTAAACAAATATTTGATTTATCACATTTTTGAACAATTCCAATAGGAAGCTGCACTAGTTTATGGGAGCCAGTAGAATTTTTGCAACCAAAAGTAAAAAAAAAAAAAAAGAAAGAAAAAAAAGCTGTGGATTCATCAAGAAATCACACTTCCTGGCGTGAGTACTCAGGCGGAAGAGTGCCAGTTGTAGGTGCCGGTGACATCATTAGCATAATCAGTTCTGCCAAAGACATTCTTCACTGTTTCTGCACCATGGTGCTGATTCTGGGGATTCCCATATAACTCCAAAGTACCAAAGATTACAGTCCCTTATTGCACATTAAAATATCTGTGGCCTACTGGTTTCCATGAAAAGCTCGACATTGGCCAAGATGGAAAACCAAAAGACTGCTGCATATTGTTGTGACAAATTCTTTTAAAAACTCAAGAATGCAAAATCTTTCATCTCAAACTATTTCAGTAAAATTGTTGCTTCAGGTAGATGTTTCCTCTGCATTTCACAGCTCTCCGTGTACTCTCACAGAGAACTGAATACCATCATGAGACGACGAGCATGCCACCCACAGAAGCACCAACATGGTGGTGTGGGGCAAGGACGTGGGATCACCATTTCCCTTTCCTTATGTGTGAATGTGGAGCAAATCATGATATGGTGGAAGGGGGAGAACTAGACCTAGGTTAAGCTGTGAAACTTCAGGGAAGTTGTCTTGGGGTATACGTCTTAAGGAGGTTCTAAATCATTGTTAGGGTAAAAGGAATTTTCCTTCCTTGAAGGTTTGATCTCTGGAATAAACTTGACAGTAGACAGCAGAAAAGGCATACACATTTATTAGTGTGTATGCATGGGAGTCACGAAAAGTATGAAACTCAAAGGAAGGCCAGATGGTTGAAGCTTAGACACCCTCTTCATAGGGGAGAGGCAAGTAGGGGATGTAGACAATTTTAGAGGAAGATTAAAAGATTCTGGGGGAAAGGAATGGGCCTGAAGAACAGACAGTAGCCTGGGACAAAGTCTGTCTGAGCTCTGGGTGTGATATCCACCCCTGTCTTCCTTCCTGGGGTATGCATCAATTTCCCCTGGTTGACAAGATATCTGGGAAAGAGATTCATACAGTTGAATATCTTCTGGAGGATCTGGCCTTTAAGTAGATAGGGGGAGTTCAGGGAAAGCCCTTCCCTGCATTTGCTGCTCCCCAGGTGCTCTCAGTTTGAAGTTCAAAGCAGCATATTTTGGGGTATTGCTTTCTGAACCCCAACAACACCAACAGAAATAAGATATGGAGAAAATTGAGCTTATCTAGGTTCCCAGATAAAATATATGATGTCCAACTGAGTTTGAATTTCAGATAAATGACAAATAATTTTAAAATATAAGTATGTTCCAATTATTACAATGGGACATCTTACATTAAAAAAACTGAAATTCATTTATCTGAAATTCAAATATAAGTGGGTGTCCAATATTTGTATTTGCAAAATCTGGCAACCCTAGGCTTACCAGAACTCTTCACACAAAAATACTGTTTAGGGATGGAGTATCCCTTGAAGGGATCCAAGGGTGGATAAAAAGGTGATCATGATGAACCACATATAGTCTAACACCCTTCTAAAGAGGGTGAGACTAATTAAATGCAGGGTTTTTGCTGATGTATTTGGTGGTGTATGCATGCATACCCACTTTTGTTTGTTGACAGAGTATGCTAAACTGCTTGAGGAAGTATAAGAATACCTGAGAGCTGCCACTGGCTGGTCCTTCTCCTCTGGTCAGCTACTCTGCTAAATAAATATTGAACCAACAGTCAGAGAATGTTTGAAGTGGACCCCGATTATCTGCCTGCCTGGGGCAGTCACACATCTGTGGGTGGCCCTGATCAAAAATATGGTGGTTAAGAGAGCAGTCAAATGCTCTGAGTTCCAGGCTGGGCTACCCCACTGCCTATGGAGATTTAGGGGAAGTTCCCAACACCCCAAGCTCAGTTTCCCCATCAGCAGGGTGATAATATAATACCTACCTTTTAAGGCTATTGTGAGGATTAAATGGGTTCATATATGTAAAGTGAGTACATTGATGGGCCCTAATGAAAACACAATAAATGCCATCTGCTATTTTACTGTTATTTCCCAAAACATAGTGCTTGCTAGGTTGTGATATAGTTGTTTACCTAATATCTTTCTTATTCGAATGTACATACCTTGAGGAGAGGGAGTAAATCCTGTTCACATTGCACCCACAGCATGTATTATGGTGGCATGCAATAGGCACTAGATGAGTGTTAAATGGAAAGAATTGCCATCTATTGTCCCCATGGATTAGGAAATAATCTTCCCTGGTTGGTTCCTGAACAGACACACTTACAGAACTGGTTCTTTAGGCCAGAACTTCCCAACTAATATGCGGTATTGGTATACCTAAGGGACTGATTCTGCAGCCTTTGGATGGCCTGAGCTTCAAAAGGTGGCTTGGGGACATGGATCAGTTTACCCTAGTGTGCCATGCAAATGTAATTTTCTGTGAGTCCATCATGACTTAAAAAAAGGATGGGAGGCACTGTTCTAGGCTGTAATGTAATACTTTCAGTTGTTGCAGAATATAGCTTGGCCCTTGTCTTAGTCTGTTCAGGTTGTTATAACAAAGTACATAGGCTGGTCATTTATAAATAATAAATTATTTAAATAATTTATTTTAATAAATTTTAACATATTTATTGTAAACAATAAATTATTTAAAAAATAAATTTATTGCCCACAGTTCTGGAGGCTGGGAAGTCCAAGCTCAAGGTGCCAGCAGATTTGGTCAGGGCCTGGTCTCTGATTCATAGGTGGTGCCCTCTTGCTGTGGAAGGGGAGAACAAGCCCCCTTGGGCTTCTTTTATAAGAACGGTAGTCCCACTCATGAGGACTCCTCCCAAAGCCCTACCTCCTAATACCATCGCCTTGGGGGTTAGGATTTCAACATATGAATTTGGGGGCGGGGATACAAACACTTGGACCAAAGCAGTACTGTTTTTTTTTTTAAATAAAGCGAGTTTTAGATTTTTAGCTAGCTAGCTTGCTAGAAAAAGATTGAAAAAATATATAGCATATTGAGGTTATTTGAGAGATTGTAATTGTGATTTTTCCCCTAATATTTTCCCCGAAATGCATTTCTGTAATTAGGAAAAGACAAACTCTCGTAAGTGTTATTTTTAAATTCTTTTTATTTTTATTTTTTTGGTATGAGGTAAAGGTCTCACTATATTGCCCAGGCTTGTCACAAACTCCTGGGCACAAGCAGTCCTCCCACCTCGGCTTCCTGAGTAGCTAGTATTACAGATGTACACCACCGTTCCTGGCTTTAAAATTATTTTTAATGTTATATTAGAAATGTTTATGTGCATCTGCAAGTAAGTAAACTCTAAACAATGATATGAAGTGGTTATATTGTGAACAATAAACCAGCCTTCAATGCAGCTAAATAAAAGCCCACATTTGATCTTTAAAGAAAAATGTCTGTTGCTCAAGGAAAAATAAAAAGCTTTCCATCCAGTAGAAAGTAATAACTGTTGGCTGGGCATGGTGGCAACATGTCTATAATCCCAACACTTCGGGAGGCTGAGGCAGGATGATCACTTGATCCCAAAGAGTTTGAGACCAGCTTGGGAAACATGGTGAAACCCTGTCTCTACAAAAAATACGAAAATTAGCTGGGTGTGGTGGCATACGCCTGTAGTCTCAGCTACTCGGGAGGCTGAGGTGGGAGGATCACTTGAGTCCAGGAGATGGACACTGCAGTGAGCCATGATCTGGCCACTGTACTCCAGCCTGGCAACAAAGTAAGACTCTGTCTCAAAGATAATTTTTGAACTCAGAGAATAAAATGAATGTAGTTAAAACAGAATAAAATGTTATTTTATGTTTTTTATATTATTTTATTATTTATATTATTTTATTATTTTATTTAATTATTTTATTGAGATGGAGTCTTGCTCTGTCATCCAGGCTGGAGTGCAGTGGCGCAATCTTGGCTCACTGCAGCCTCTGCCTCCCAGGTTCAAGCAATTCTCCTGCCTCAGCCTCCCGAGTACCTGGGATTACAGGCGCCTGCCACCAGGCCTGGCTAATTTTTGTATTTTCAGTAGAAACGGGGCTTCACCACGTTGGCCAGGCTGGTCTCAAACTCCTGGCCTCAAGTGATCCGCCTGCCTCAGCCTCCCAAAGTGCTGGGATTACAGGCATGAGCCACCGCACCCAGCTAAAACATTATTTTAAAATGAAATGAGTTTGTTTAAGGACCAATGATTCATTAAATCCTCAGTATGTTTGTTGAACGAGTATGTGAATAACCAAGCGTGTGCTTTGGTACCAGGTGCTGTGCGTCAGATGTGGTTGCTGTGCTAAGGCTGCTCACAGTCTGGGGGAAGACAGAAGTTTATTTCCTTATCAAACTTTTGTGCTCTTTATTTACTTGTCCTAGTTATGTTCTAAACCCAGGGTTGCTAACAGTGAATCACAAGCACGTGCTTTCTGAATCTGCTTAGCACACAGGTCTTCCAGGAGATGTCAGTAATCACTCTTTGATCCCTTTCTTTGATTAAAACTCATTAGGTCCACTTCCATGTGAATGACTGGATTATTCTCTTTCATTAACTAATCTTGGCCCACCCAGAAATGCAGTGCCACTTTTTGTACATTTACATTGGTTTTTAAAGATGATTCCTGTTGGCTGGGCATTTTCCTTCTTACACAAGTTCATAAGTATCTGAAAAATCCAGATCTTTTACTGGATAATATGATTTATTATTAATAATAGAAGGAGTTAGTGTTGTAAACAAATAATCATGCCACATGTGTAACAAACTATAATTATGAACACATTTAAAGAGTTTACTATTACAATCAAATACAGCCACAATAAAAATGATCTGGCATCTTTTATGATTTACATATTCGTTCTTGGACAGCACTGTAATTAGGGACAAATGGTTCATATGATGTTCTAATAAATGACTATAATTAGTGCTACTTTCATGCAGTAAAGTCACATTTTTCGTTTTGCTGCTAACATGTACCCTTTCATCATCATCTTCACACACCCACTAGCATTTGCAGATGAGAAAAGACAAAGGTCTGGAATCTTACTCATCCATGGCTCTCTGGAGAAACCTTGTCCTCCTCCCTCTTCTCAGACTTGAGAGCCTCTATCTCCTACTCCAGACTTCCCTCCCCACCCCACACTGCCTCCCTGCCCCACACTGCCCCCCCCGCGGACCATCCTACCCAACAGCCTAAACCTTTTCAATCAGAATTTCATCCTGCTCTGACCCACTGACTTGGAGCTGGAGAAAAAAGGCAACAGAAGCTCTAAAGCCAAAAAACAAAACAAAACAAAACAAAACAAATGTGATCACCTGATATCCTGGGGAAGGAAAGAAACTGATCACATAATCGTCATATAGTGAGTGAGGGGAGGGGGCTGCAAATGGTATGAATTGGCTCTGAATCCCTGGTATCTAGGAGAGGATCTGCAGAGAAGTGGAAGAAGAAGGATTATTTCTAAGTAAGGTGCATACATAATTTATTGTCCAAACCAGAATACTTTCGAGAGTGAATGGGGGCACTATTATTAATTTCACCAGGACTACAGGTATAAGCCATGACCATCTCCAGAAAAAAGACTTACTGTTGCGCTACTTCTAAGTAGACATTGGAGAGAGAAGAGAGTAATGATATTATCACACCTAAATGAGGATGTGGATTCTGCATGTTATTGTGAAAAGCATGACATATGGAGCCCTAAAAGCTCTGTCCTAATTACTTTCCATACCTTTTGCCCCTTTCTTCTTCAGTTCATTCCCTGCTAGAAGACTAATTTTTGAAAATGATGGCTCTGATTTTTTCTGATTTTCTGATTTTTAAATATCTCTGGTGGCCTTCCCATGGTTAGCAGAATAAAGTCTGTGCCTGACTGGCTGGCATTCAAATGCTGCCCCAATTGGGTCCCAATCTTGTTTCTCAGAACCACTAGAACTCCAAACCATTGGAACTACTGGCTGTTCCTGGCCTGTCATTTCCTACCCCCATGCCTTTACTCAAGCTTTATTATTTTGCTGTCTGGAAACATTTTAACCTCTGTTTGTACTTTTGCAATTTCTGTCCATTCTCCATGACCTAGTTAAAATATCAGCTAAAATGGTGTGGAAAGCTGAGCATTGGAAGAAAGGGGCTCTCTATGAAGCCTTCTCTACTCACTCTTATCTCATATAGCTCTGAACTTCTAGGAGTTTTTCTACAGACCTCTGTGTATCTTTTATAGACCCATATGACTGCTTTTATCCTTGCATTGCCATCATGTAGATATATGTCTTAGATCCCCTAATAGATCAGAAGCTGTTTTAGGGCAGATTCAAGGTCTGGTTCTTCCTTGTAATTCTCAAATAACTTTTCATTGTGCTTGTACATGCTAGACATGTACCAGTATTGTTGAATGAAAGAAATTAGAGACTGCAATTCAAAATTCTGATGCTGTTTATCTCTGCTTTGGTGAAGAAAAACTGTGGGATGAAGATGCTTCCTGTTTTGCTTGCTCAGAGACTTGGGACTGGGATAAGTGTGGGCATTCGATTCCTGTTGGTTCTGAGGCGTGGCTTCCTTTCCTTCATAGGAGGGATAGAAAAGATGGACCAGCTTTTGGCATTTAAGAAGCCTGTTATAATCTCCCAGGCCAGAGCTATATCTTTGGCATGGGTGGGTAGTTACAGTATCCTATTGCTAAATGGACCATACATGACTATAACAAGACTCCTTTCTGCAACCAGCTTTGGCCATTTGCTGGCCCTTTGGGAGCCCCGTCTCTAGGTTTCTTATTGCCCAGGTAGTCACAATTCCTGGCAGTTATAATTAAATGCAATCATTCAAACCTTGCCTGAAATTATACATATGGTTAGCTTTCTTTTTATTAAATCAGTATTCTATACACTAGCCTACCTGGCCTGATCTATTAATTCTGATCTCTATGAAAACTGAAATGACTAACACTAAAAAGAAAGACTGTCAAATTGAATCTTCATCCCTAACTAATCATAATCCCTGCCATATGTCCTTGGCACAAATCATGCTGCCTGGGGCTTTTCATTCTATGCAGTGAGGCATATTGGAAATTTGTGATGGTGAGGACTGCTCTTGCCATTTTCCACACTGAAGGGTGTACCGGAAGCTGTTTCCAAAAAGAATGAAATTCAAGGCATCTGGCTTTTTTTGGCATTTGTAGTTTTGGAACTATGAAAATGAGGTATATTAGACTCAGTGGGTATGACAAAAGGTCAAACTTTTGTCTAACAAAAGTTTATAAAAAATTATAGATATTTTTTCTACTAGCTACCTCAGATTTATTTAAGTCTATTCACTCTTTAAGACTGAGGGTTGTTGGGGGGAAAGCCTAAGCACTGTGAAAGGAAAGGGATTTGACTATATCCTAAGGTGCCTTAAATCATCTTCGGTTTACTAATACTCTTTAGCTATAGGACCCTATTACTACTATATAATCTTTAGTTTATAAGTCAGAGCCATGAAGAGTACTTTATTCTAGCCAGAATCCTAAGTGTATTTTGACTTAGCAATAGATCTGGAAGGTTCATATACGTTTTGACTAAGATATTCATATTCTTAGCAGCCAAGTACTTACAGATTTACACTTTGACATGTCATCCTGATTTATTTTTATTTATTGGTTTAATATGTAACTCCTCTTAGAACATAGATTTTTCTAAATCTGGATAGAATCTCAGAAAATTGAGTCCCACATCACTCTATTGGATATGAGAAAGTCAAGGCTCAGGGAGGTTAAGCAACTTGTTCAGGGTGGTAGGCTTGATAGTGGTAGTGCTAAACACAAGACAAATAGTATCACTTCCATCACTTTCTGGTGGTCACAGGGCCAGCCTAGATTAACAAGGAGGGGAAATAAATCCCACCTCTTAATGGAGATGATGACAAAGCATTTGTGGCCATCTTTAATCTACCATACTTAGAATGCTTAAATTTTACTTTATAATATTTTAGACTTTTGGGCGTATTTACTGCCTTTTTAACTGGAAAATTTTCATCCATTATTTCTTTAAATTTTTTTCCCCTCCATTTTGTCTCTCTTCTTCTTCTGGGACTTTCATCATATGTGGATTAAACTCTCAGTATTGTCTCCGAGGCTATTGAGTCTCTAATTGTTATTACTGTTTTTAATCCTTTTCTTTTCTCTGTGCTTTACTTCAGATAATTTCTATTGCCTGCCTTGAGGTTCAGTTATCCTTTTTTTTCTGCAGTGCCCAATCTACTATTAAGTCCATACAGTGAATTTTTTTCATATTTTGTATTTTTAAGTTTTAGAATTTCCATTTGCTTTTTAAAAATATATTTACTTCACTACTGATATTCCCTATCTGTTCATGCATTATGATAATCTTTTCAATCTTTAAACATATTTATTATAGTTGTTTTAAAGTTCTGGTTTGCTATTTCAACATTTCTGTAATCTCTGACTCTGTTTTTACTGATTATTTTTCTGATTATGGGTCACATCTTCCTATTTCTTTGCATCTATAGTAATTTATATTTGTATGCTAGATACTGTGGATGCTATGCTATTGAGAGTCTGGATTGTGTTTCTTTTTTTAAAAAAGATCAGCTTCCATTTTCCTAGGCAGTTAATGTCCTGGCCAATCAGCTTGATTCTGTTTGGCTTATTTTTAAGCTTTATTAGAATAGGTCTAGCTCTTGGGCTACAGTAGCATTTTTGGAGACTCAGCTGAATGTCCAGGGTGATCCAGGCAGCCTCCCTCTCTGCCTGTGTTCCAGAAAGTGTTTCTAGGCAAAATAACAAATAAAAAAGGTATAAACAGTATATTTATTCTTTCAACAATGTTTATTGGGTATCTACTATAATCCAGACATTGTTCTCGGTACTGGAGATACAATAGTTATTTAAAAAAAAAACCCTGCTTTTATGGAGCTTATGTTCTAGTGGAGACAATAATCAAAATAAATCAGCCTGTGTACTCTGACTGGTTAGAAGTGCTGTATCTCTCAGCACTGTGTGACCTCTGGAATGTCCACTCAGATCACACTGTCTAGGACCTATTGTCTGCCACATCTCTCCATGAGTATTGGTCTACACATGTGCAGCTAATAACTTAAGAAGACCCCCCCCATGCTAAACTTTAGATCTCTTTCTATGAACAACTTTCCCTCTGACTCACGTCACTGCACATTCCAGCTACTTCAGCATCCCTGAATTCTGATTGCTGCCTCCCCAGCCCCGTGAGACTGCCATGCTCTGTTTGAGTTCTCCCTCTCTGCCTGTGTTCCAGAAAGTGTTTCCAGGCAAAATATCAAGGCGATTGTGTAGACAGATCTTTTTTGTGTGTTTCCCTTCTTCCTGGGATCACACTACTGTGTATTTATTGTCCAGTGTCTGAAAGCAGTCACTTCCTATATTTTATTCAATTTTATAATTGTTTTCTGTGGGTGAAGGAGGTTAGTTTTCTGCCAGTTACTCCATTACAGCCAGAAGTGGAAGTTCTTTCCCTTTTATAGTGATATAATATAATTTTCTAATAAATAAAAATTTCTTATATTAAAAATCACAATTCTACATAGTGCTTAGGTGACCAGTCTAAAGCATCAGATGTAGATATTATCTTGTTAGTGAAGTAAAGACACCTGTAGGACTTTCTTTGACTGTTGGCTAGTATGCGTGGTTCAATAACAGGTTAGTGAGCTGATGAAATTAGTTCTAGTTTAAAATCCTTGGCTCCTGGGTCAAAGTGATGCCTACCTTGATTTGCTAACTTCTTTGTTCTGTTCTGTCTTGGGTTCTTTCCCGGAAGCCCCAGAATGCCTCTGTTATTTTTGCCTCCTGCATGAGTTCTAGTTCCTTATGGGGACTGAACATCTAAACTTTTATAATCTGATTACTAATCTAGAGACCTGTCTTCTCCAATGTATCTACATACCCACTTTTCTATTTCTGTCTGTTAATTATCAATTAAGCTAAAATTAAGCACCCCCCTCCCCATTTAAATATACTTATATCCAAGTATTGTGGGGCAGGAGAGATTAGTGACCAAAGGAGTGGCCTGATTATCTCTGCACAGGAATAATAAACCTTGTAGTTGCTGGTGTGAAAATGGTTTAGAACCATTTTCAATTTGGGCCTAGTTTAAGGGATTTCTTTGAGTGCATCTCTCTAAAAAGGAATGGTGCCTGTCCTCCTGATTCTGGGATACAGCTTTAGAACTGTATTATTTTCATTTATTATATGGTTTATACCTTCAGAAGAGACTTAGTACATAAATAGTGTAATACCACATTTTTGAATATTTAGGTTTACTTAATCACTTAGGAAAATTAGCATAGGCTCACAGGAGAAAAAGTGAAAGGGATCTCACAGGAAGTCCTGGTGTATAAATAAGCTGTTATTCATTTAAAAAAATCACTACCAATATTCATTAAAAAATGAATAATTGCTTATTTATTTTATTGAGAACACTGGTATTCTGAGGAGTTATTATTACTGTTTTGGTAAGTATGGTAGAGAACATCAAAAATTTTCTTAACAAAAAAGTAATTTAATTTTCTCTGAAGTGCCGTTAACTTTTCATGATTATACATTCTCATGTACAAATAAAAAAGATACAAAAGTATATTTATTTCAGCAATGTTTATTGGGTATCTACTATATTCCCAACATTGTTCTCGGTACTGGAGATACAATTGTTTTTAAAAAAGAATCCCTGCTTTTATGGAGCTTACGTTCTAGTGGAGACAATAGCCAAAATAAATCAATCAATAAATTATTACCATAAATATTATGTTAGAAGCTGTTACGTGCTTGGAATAAAGCAATGCAGGGTAAGGGTGCTGTTGAGAGGACTGTGGTTTTAAATGGGACAGGAGGGTAGACTTCATTAGGAAGGAGAGTTTTGCTCTGCCTTACAGTAGGCAAGGGCATGAGCTGGGCAGATATCTGGGGAAATAGTATCCCTGGCAGAAGGAATAGTTGTTGCAAGGGCTTGAAGGTGGGGCAGAGGCCATCAAGGTGCAGCCAAGACACGAGTGTGTTTGGAGAAGTGGGAGTAAGAGGAGGATAGTAGGAGACGAGGTTCCAAGGGAAATGGGTGACTGAGGTGGGACATGGGGGCCAGGTGATGTGGAAACTTTGGTTTTTACTCTGAGCTAAACAGGGAGCCACTGGAGAGTTTTGAGCAGGACATGCTGTGAACCTGCTTAAATATTAAAAGTATCACTCTGGATCCTCCAAGGATAATAAATAGACTCCAAGAGGGCAAGGGTGGAAGCAGGGATTGCTGCTAGGAGATCAGTGCCATAGTCTGGGGAAGAAATGATGGTGGCTTAGACCAGGGCAGGAAGTCTTGAAGTGGTGAGAAGTGACAACATTCTGGAAATATTTTAATGTAATATTTGCGTGTATATTTCTTCTGGTAAACAGCAAAAATTAAATCTCCCTCTCTTGTATTCTAGTCACTTAGTCACGCCATAGAATAACCACTAATGCCAGTTTTCAATTTTTGGTCCAACTTCTTACATGCATTTATAAATACATGTATATATTCTTCCCTCTGCCACTTTTTTATTAATAAATGACGGCATGTTACACACCTAAACCCTGCTTTTTACTGAATGGTACTCTAGGGAAGGAAAAATTTTCCCTGTACACCTCTGAGTTCTTAACTGGGGCCCCTGTAGCAAAAGATTGATTAACAAGAAAAAAAACAAACAGAAGTTTATTAACATGTATTTCATATACACATGGGAGATACCCAGGGACTGAGTAATTCTTCAACAGGTGGCTTAGAACTCCAGGCTCACTATAGCATCTTTAACAAAGAAGAATACATTTTAGAGAAGGATAATACATTTTAGACGAGACAAAGGAAGAGGACCTTGAGTGTCTAGGGACAGCAAATTGTGGGAAGGCAAATCTATGGGAAACTAATTGTGATAAAGGCTAGTTAGCAAAGTTTGTTATGTAGAGTCCTCTGGTATCTTCTCCAGGCTGATAAAGATCTAAAGTCATTTCCAGTGATTAGCTTTTGTTCTTTCTATTAGAGAGGGAAGGAGAGACACCTTTGTAAATTTATGTCTTCTTTTTAGGCAAATAGCGGGAGGGCAGAGAGCTTTTTTTTGGTTCCGCTTCTCAGTTGCCTTTAGCTCAAAATAACCATATGGCATATTTTGGAGTGGAATATTCTGCTGCTCTTCAATACCTTGGATTGATAGCGCTATCTCATTTTTTCTTTGCATACCATTTCATTGTGTGGTACCATTTCACTGTGTGGATTTATCATTATTTATATCCACATATAAATATATTTTATATTCTAGTGCATACATAATTTTACACATGTGCAAGAATATCTGCAGAAGTCTTATAACTGCAATTATTGTATTAAAATATTGTAATTTTGATATACACCATCAAATTGCCCTCCACTGAATTTATATTTACATCTATTTACTGTGTATCTTTACACATTAAAAACATTTCACTTCTTTCATATTCATAACATCTATTGAAATTGAGGCTATTCATTCATAGGGTACATTCTTCTAACAACCAAAGACATCTTAGGGAAGAAATGAGAAGGCTTGTCACTCAATTGTGCATTGAAACTCAACAGTATTTTAGTACTATTTGAATATAGTATTGTTAAATAAAAGTTATTTAACAATAATTTTTGTTATTGATGGTAAGGCAGACTTTATTCAAAGGAAGTGTCAACTGAAGAATAACAATATTCATAAATTTAGAAAGGAAAATTTTACTTCTCAAAAAGAGTTGTAGCCTGCTAGGTGGCCCTTCTGGCAGGCTGGGAAGTGTAGCCTCCAGCCAGAAGCCAGAAACAGACACTTCAGTCAGAAGAATAAGACAGGGAAGGGCCAGGCATGGTGGCTCACGAGGGCAGGGTGTGGTGACTCACACCTGTAATCCCAGCACTTTGGGAGGCCAAGGAGGGTGGATCATTTGAACCTAGGAGTTTTAATTTTTAGCAGAGATGAGGTCTTGCTTTATTGGCCAGGCTGGTCTCTAACTCCTGGCCTCAAGCGATCTTCCTGCCTTGGCCTCCCAAAGTACTGGAATTACAGGTATGAGCCACCATGCCAACAACAGGACTTCTGATAAACATTCTTAAATTTCCAATGCTGCATTTATGTACAGTCGTCCTGGGGTACCCATGGGAGGATTTGTTCCAGGACCCCGCTTGGATACCAAAATCTGCAGACGCTCGAGACCCTGATATAAAATGGTGTAGTATTTGTGTTACATAACCTACCTACCTACACACACACACAACCTAATACAACACCTAATATATAACCTACACATACCCTCTGTAGATTACTTAATACAATGTAAACAGGATGCAAATAGTTGTTATACAGTGTAGTTTTAAAATTTGTACTATTTTGTATTGTATTGTTTTTTATTTATTTATTCAAAATATTTTCAATTTGTGGTTGGTTGATTCTTCAGACGCAGAACCCACAGATATGGAGGGCCAGCTGTACTCCTCTAAATTCAAGTCCCCGACTTCACACCTTCACCTACTTATTCTGTGGGTTCTTCAAGTTGTCACCAGGGTGGGCACCAGCAGCAGGTACTGGTGAACACCTGGGGAGGTGGCAAGATGCAAGGGGTGTTCCATGAATAGCTGGGATAAGATATACAAATAACTAATAAATAACTCATAAACTCATCATTAACTCATAAACTACTTCTTTCTTAAAGCTAGAGCTTCCTAACCAGCTGATTCAGTTGGAGAAAGTCTTTGTCAAACCTTCCCTGTTAAAAATGTGTTCCATGTGTTGCTAGTCCTGGCTGTGCATGCTGTGCCTTAGGTGGGCTGGGAGGGATAAAAGGCAGAGAATCACTGTTCCAGGTAAAGTTCTTAGTCGCTTCCCCTCCCGCCATGCTCAGTGTGCTTCCTTTTTTCCATGTTCTTTCTCTTCGAAGGGTCTCCCTCTAGTTACCCAGGAATAGAGAGAGCTAAGAGAAGACTGTCAGAAGGACCTGACTCAAGAGAGTCCCCTTCTCTAACTCTTTCAACCCAAAGCCCTCCGTGGGCTCTCCTACTATTTAGGGGCAACAGTGGCAATTTTTTAACAGAGTCATCTCAAATTTGAGTGTAGCACTAAGTACTACGAAATGATTTTTGAGAGCCTTTGCTTACTATGGTGAAAATTACACAGAGGAAAAAAAGCCATCAGTTGAAACCCATCCGGAAAGCATTTTAAAGAAGCCTCGGTTATCTGAGTCATCCCAGAAGTTGTTCTAAATTTTAAGGAGCCAAATGAAATTATTTTTTAACTTAATGCTAGTAGGGCAAGTGTATTTCAGAGGGACAATTATGGTAGACTTCTATTTTATGTGCTGTTTGGGATCCAATAAGCATCCCCGTTTGGCTGGGGTCTGGTGACCTGAGGCTGAGGGTGTGTGGTGGAGAGCCTTTGCCAAGCCTGATGATCCTCTACTGAGGTTAGATGCTCAGGAACAGTCAGAGGTTTTTGAAAAGGGGCTGTTAAAATTGGACAAGGCTGTACTTCGATTTCACATTGCATTTTAATTGTAACAAGACAAATTGCAACACTGTAGATCTGTTCAAAAAATTTTCCTCTCTCTCTTCACTTACAAATGCAGGGCTAAACATTCTTTAGATATTAGCAGGCCTGGTCTGGCCCTCTGCCTAATGATGGGGTTTTTCAACTCTCTGAATAGCCCTGAGCCTCAGATGTGGCATCTTATTCATCCATCGGCCGAGGACAGAGTGAGGACAGAGTGGTCGGGGAGGTGGAAGTATTTGGACCTTTTTATTGCTTTGCTTAAGGGCAAAATTGTGGTCTGCAGTGACCTCCAGTCACAACTTTCTTATCTCATTTGGGATCTTGAGGGAGCAGTTTCCTCTTCATTCTTTCACAGAGACATAAAAGCAAGCGGGTATGACTGCTAAACAAGGAGGCATTATGCCAGGAATTCACAGACTCCACGTGCTCTGCTCCCTAGTGGCGGCTGTGCAGGCCATGTTTCCAAAGGATCACAGGGGTCTTGGTGTGCCCTGTCTGACTGATGATCAATCTCAGCTGTGAGTGAAAAACTGCAATGGTCCCTGGGATCTCAGGCTCCTTCAAAGGGGTTTTTTTCTGAGAGTCACCCTGAATACTGACAAAGTCAAGAGCCTCAGCCGAGAGAGAACTTGGGCAGTTGATTGCCTTGAGGAGGTGCTTGCGTGTGTGTATGTATGTATCTCTGTAGGCATGTTTATGTGGGTATGTATATGGGTATCTGTGTGTGTGTATGTGCTTGTGTGTATGTGTGAGTGTGTGTGTGTGTGTGTGGTGGGAGTGGGTGTGTGAGTAGGAAACTCACAGGGAGAGGAGTTAGGAGAGCAGATCTCTAGGGAGAGGGGCCACAGTGATGCACCAAAGTTTTCGGATGAAATGACCAAACAATGTTGGTGCTGTAGTCATAAAAAAAGAAATGAGAAGAAACTGAGTTTAAGGAGATTTTACAGTAATGCCTTCATGAAGTCTTTTTAGAAATTTCATCTGTACGTGAAGTCTCTTTCTCTCCTGGATTCCCATTCTCTTCTTTCCCATTTCCATTGTGCTACTTACCACATTTCACCTTGATACTTGCTGTAGATGTACGTATCTCTGTATCTCTCTTACCCATTTTTAACTTTGTGTGTGCAGGGACCATGATCTTTATATCACCCGAGTACTTTATTCGCCTGTCATACAGATGATACTCAGTAACGAACTATAGAAATGATTCCTGAGCCTGGAGCGGTGGCTCACGCCTGTAATCCCAGCACTTTGGGAAGCTGAGGCAGGCGGATCATGAGGTCTGGAGATCGAGACCATCTTGGCTAACACATTGAAACCCCATCTCCACTAAAAATACAAAAAATTAGCCGGGCATGGTGGCAGGCCCCTGTAGTCCCAGCTACTCAGGAGGCTGAGGCAGGAGAATGGCTTGAACCCAGGAAGCAGAGCTTGCAGTGCGCCGAGATCGTGCCACTGCACTCCAGCCTGGGCAACAGAGCGAAACTCTTAAAAAAAAAAAAAAAAAGATCCCTGAAAGTATAGTCTTCATACTCAGTAAATACTTGCAGATTGAGTGCATTTTCAACACCTTTCTGAATTTTGTTGACATTGTTGGAAAAACTTGTAATTAGGAAAGAGTAAACATTTCAGTATTCTAAGTGGTTAATAATCATATAATTAAAATAATAACATAAGTGGTAAACATCTTGAGTTTCAAAGACTTTTGCTATATCCATGTCATCACTGACATTATAAATACATGATTTTAGCATACTAATAGTCACCTAACTTCTGTGTCTAAATGTGTGTAAAATGAGATTCTATTTTTTTTTTTTTTGTGACGGAGTTTTGCTCTTGTTGCCCAGGCTGGAGTGCAATGGTGCAACCTCAGCTCACCACAACCTCCACCTCCCGGGTTCAAGTGTTTCTCCTGCCTCAGCCTCCCGAGTAGCTGGGATTACAGGCATGTGCCACCACACCCGGCTAATTTTGTATTTTTAGTAGAGATGGGGTTTTGCCATGTTGGTCAGGCTGGTCTTGAACTCTTGACCTCAGGTGATCTGCCCGCCTTGGCTTCCCAAAATGCTGGGATTACAGGCGTGAGCCACTGTTCCCAGCCAAAATGGAATTCTTAATACCTGTTTTATCTAACAGGGCTGCAATGATCAAAATTTTCAGTAAGTGTCAAGGCCCTTTGAAAAGCTAATAGTGTTATAAAAAGATTGAGATTGTAGAGTACATAGTATTTAAGATCTTAACTGTTGTTATAGAGAAAAAACACAATGCACACCTATCCATAAAACCTCTAAAAGGCATGGAAAAATTTTAGTATATGTTTTTAAGCACTTTACTTATTGCTTTCTTGAGATACTTTTTAAAAAATGTCTTGGTGGCTAATAATGATGATGACGACGGTGGTACTAGAAATACCTTCTGTAGCCTTTTATAATTGATAAAGCTCACATGCATTATCTCAGATTTGACAGTTCTTCACTGGAGGAGATGAGCAGCTCTTTGCAATGCTAAATTACTGTTAAAAAGAGTCAAACTGAACCTTAAAGTCATTCTAATGCATATATATTAAGTGAACATTACACTCAATGTTTTGAAATACATTTACTGATTTTCCAAAGACGTCTGAAAATTTAAAAAACATATTGAGGTAGTTGAGCATTATATACATTCCTATAAGATGACAGTGTTATCATAGTCTGCTAATGTGGTCCATTTCTTGGCCAAGCTTTTTCTTTATAATTATGGGAAGGCACTGGGCAGAGAGCAGTTCTGCCTCCCTCCCCCTTTCTCTCCACTTCTTCTTCCTGCACCCCTCATGTGTGTTGGGTGTTGGAATCTGCTGTCCCAAGAGGTCCCCAGAAGCTGTGGCAGAAGTTGCCACTAAGGGGTCTACTCAGCTGATTGATGAAGGCGGTGGGCACTCTCCACGGTAAAGGGTTTGCAAATATTGACTGTCAGATAGCCAAGCAACGGAAGTCATCGAGGGGACAATGTTTCTTACTGATTTATGGTTATTGTGTGTTCTTTCCCACAAATGCCTTTGTGTTCTTATTTTGTGCTCCACCTAACTCAGGAACTGGCTAATTAGTTCCTAGATAATCCAGAGTTGACTGAATTAAAATTTAAGAGCACAGCAGATGTCCACATTGCATAATGCAGGTGGACAGCACCTGGAATCCAGAACCTTTGCTATTGCCTGGATGCCTGACTTTGATAGTTTCCATATTCAACTACCGTGTGTAGTAAAACAAGGTCCAGCCCTGAACCTTGTTGGTACTCGTATTACAGTCCTTATTATACTATATTCTAATTTTGGTTGATTCCATTTGCCACTAGATTGTGAGCTCCTCGTGGATACTGTTGGCATTTTGCTCATCTTTATACTTCCAGATTAAGGTGCCTAATGTATAGTAGTAAAGCAGTATAGTTTACTGAGTGAATAAATAAAATGAATGAGCATTCATGAAAGGATGTGTTCGGTGAATGGAGAGCCATTTAAAATGTCATAGATTTCATAAATTTCTCTGGTGTCTACGTCTCCTGAAGGAAAAAAGAATGGTTTTAACACTTATTTATAGGCCAGGTGGTAATTAAGAATTGACTCAGAGCTTTGGGAGGCCAAAGTGGGAAGACTGCTTGAGGCCAGAAGTTCGAGACCAGCCTGGGAAATATAGAGAGACCTTATCTCTACAAAAAATTTTCAAAATTAGCTGGATGTGGTGGCATGTACCTGTAGTCCCAGCTTCGTGAGAGTCTGATGCAGGAGGATTGCTTGAGGTTAGGAGTTTGAGGCTTTGGTTCACTATAATCATGCCTGTATATGGCCACTGTCCTCTAGCCCAGACAACATAGCAAGACCGCCATCTCTAAAAAAATAAAATAAACTTAACTTTAAAACCCTATTCCTGGCTGGAAGCAGTGGCCCACATCTGTAATTCTAGCACTTTGGGAGGCCAAGGCGGGTGGATCACCTGAGGTCAGGAGTTCAAGACCAGCCTGGCCAACGTGGTGAAACCCCATCTCTACTAAAAATACAAAAAAATTAGCCAGGTGTGGTGGCAGGCACCTGTAATCCCAGCTACTTGGGAGGCTGAGGCAGGAGAATTGCTTAAACCTGGGAGGTAGAGGTTGCGGTGAGCCAAGATTATGCCCTTGCGCTGCAGCCTGGGGGACAGAGTGAGACTCTGTCTCAAAAAATAAAAATAAAAAAATTTAAAAACCCTATTCCTTTTAAGATTATCAATACATTCTAATAAAATGGTCTTTTTTGATACTGCTAATAGACATTATTACCATTATGATTTATATAGAACTTAAAATAATTTTATGTCAGAAATATTTTTAGTTTTAGCCTTTTGCTAACTTAGATGGGTTGTCCTCTGTCTAACTTGCTGTCAGAAAGTTTTTGATGACTGTTAAATTCATCTTGGAAGAGCTGAGGAACCATGAGAAGAAGAAAAAAACAAAACAGGAATACATAGTGATTCGAGGGTTAATAAGAAATAAGACCCAACTAGTATTTATTGGATGAATGAATAGATAAATGAAGGTGACTGTTTGGGCTGCTAAAACAAAGTGCTTTATTTATTTATTTATTTATTTATTTATTTATTTATTGAGACAGGGCTTCACTTTGTCACCCAGGTTGGAGTGCAGTGGCGTGATCATGGCTCATTGCAGCCTCAACCTCCTGGGCTCAAGCAATCCTCCTGTCTCAACCTCCTGAGTAGCTGAGAACACAGGCATGCACCAAAATGCTTGGCTCATTTTTAAATTTTTTGTAGAAATGTAGTTTTGCCATATTGCCCAGGGTGGTCTTGAACTGCTGGGCTCAAGCAACCCTCCCACCTTGGCCTCCCAAAATGCTGGAATTACAGGTGTGAGCCACCATGCCCTGGCTAACAAAGTACGTTAGACTAGGTGGCTTATAACAACTGGAATTTATTTCTCATAGTTCTAGAGGCTAGGAAGTCCAAGATCAAGATGCTGGTAGATTTGGTGTCTGGTGAGGGCTGCTCTCTAACTCATAGACAGCACCTTTTTCTGTGTCTTCACATGACAGAATGGAGAGCTAGTCTCTGGGGTCTCTTATAATAGCACTAATCCCATTCATGAGGGCTCTGCCCTTACGGTCTAATCACCTCCCAAAGGCTCCACCTCCTAATACCATCACTTTAAGGGTTAGGATTTTAACATATAAATTTCGGGGACTTAGGACACAACATTTAGACCATAGCAGAAGGTCTCTCCAAGAAAAAATTTACATGCATGAAACATGAAATAATAAATAATGGGGTTAGATGCCAAAAAGAGATGTTATCAATTGGATTTCAGAGAAGAGAAAACGTTGTAAGGAAAAGCTCCAAGAAGGGAGTGAAATCTAAGCTGGGCCATAAGGAAATCAGTCAGTGTGAGAAAATAACTTTGTGTTAGTTTTCTGTTGCTGTGTAACAAATTATGATGAACTTAGCTGCTTAAAAAAGCATACATGTATTATCTGTCTGTTTTCATGTGGCAGGAGTCTAGGCACAGCTTGTCTGGATCCTCTGTTCAGAGTATTAAAGGCTGAAATCAAGGTGCTCCTGGCCAAGCGTGGTGGCTCACATGTAATTGCAGCACTTTGGGAGACCGAAGCAGGAGGATTGGTTGAGCCTAGGAGTTCAAGACCACCCTGGGCAACAAGGCGAGACCCTGTCTCTACAAAAAAAATAAAAAATAAAAAAATTAGAAGAGCATGGTGATGCACACCTGTAGTCCCAGCTACTTGGGATGCTGAGGTGGAAGGATCACTTGAACCCAGGGGGTCGAGGCTTCAGTGAGCCATAATCATGCCACTGCAATCCAGCCTGGGTGACAGAGTGAGACCCTATCTAAATAAAATAAAATAAAATAAAATAAATAAATAAATAAGAGGTGCTTCTTTCTGGAGCTCAGTTGACCTCTTTGAAGCTCACATCATTTTTGGCAGAATTCAGTTCTTGCAGTGGTAAGCCTGAGGTCCTTGTTTTCTTGTTGGCTGTCAGTCAGTAACTGCCCACATTTCTTGCCACATGGCCCTCTCAGAGGCCCTCAGGCAACCAGGGCAGCTGTCTTCATCAGTGCCAGCAAAAGAACCTCTCACTCCTTCCATTCTTGTTTAAATATCTCACTTGATTAGGTCAGGCCCAACCAGGAAAACCTCACTTTTGATTAACAAAGTCAACTAATTCTGGGCCATAATTACATCTGCAAAATCTCTTCACCTTTGCCATACAGCATAACATAATCATGAGAGTGATCTCTCTTCACTTTGCCGTATTCTATTGGCTAAAAGCAAATTGGAGCTCCCACCCGGCCTCAAAAGGATTATACAAGGTGTGGGTCATAGGGGGCCACTTTATGATCCTGCGTTCTACAGTGTCTTTGTTTACAAATGATTCTTTTTAAAATTTTTATTTTATTGTGTTAAGAACACTTACTATGAGATCTACCCTCTGAACCAATTTTTAAGTGTAGGATATATTTTTGTTGGGTATAAGTACAGTGTTATACAGCAGATCTCTAGAGCTTATTCATCTTTCTTGACTGAAACTCTAGGTCAGCTGATAATAACTCTTCATTTCCCTTTCACTCCAGTCCCTGGTAGCCACCATTCCACTCTTTTATTCTATGAATTTGACTATTTTAGAAACCTCATAAGTGGAAATATGCGGTATTTGTCTAAGACTGGTTTATTTCGCTTAGCAGAATGTCTTCAAGGTTCATGCATGTTGTCACAGATTGCAGAATGTCCTTCATTTTCAGGGGGTAAATAATACTCCATTGTGTGTATATGTGTATTATTTTCTTTATCCATTTATCTACTGATAGGCATTTAGGTTGTTTCTGTATCTTGGCTACTGTGAATAATGCTGAAATGAACATGGAAGTGTGAATATCTCTTCAAGATCCTGATTTCAATTCTTTCAGATAAATACCCAGAAGTGAGATTGCTGGATGAATGGTAGTTCTATTTTTAACTTTTTGAGGAATCTCTAAACTGATTTTCATAGCAACCACACCATTTTAGATACTGACCAACAGTGTGCAAAGTTTCCAGTTTCCTCACATCCTCACCAACATTTTTTTTTTTATAATAGCCATCTTGATAGATGTAAGGTAATATCTCATTATGGCTTTGATTTGCATTTCCCTGATGATTAGTGACAATGAGCACCTTTTCATATCCGTTGGCCATTTGTATGTCTTCTTTGGAGAAATGTCTATTCAAGTCCTTAGGCTATTTCTTAATTAGATATTAATTTTTTTAAATACCAAGTTGTAGAGGTTGTAAATGATTCTTTTGTTGTTGTTTGAACATGTTTTAAAAATGAAAGTTTTTAAAAAGTCATTTTTTATAAAAGGCCCTGGATATTAGATGCCAGGCTAAAGAAAATCAATTCTCTGTACTTGGAGCTTTTGCTTGGGGACCAGCTGTTCATCGTTATGAAGGGAGAAGAAAGGAGCCTAGAGCGAGCTATAATTAGAGAAACCACATCATCATTTTGATATACTGCAAGAACTTCCTAACTTCCTCTTGGCTGTTGATCTTGACTGTCTCCCATCTGCTAATAGTCACAGTCAAGGTGATCTTTCCAAAATGCATATCCAAGCATGCCACTACCCTGCTTAAAATGCTTCTGCTGATTATTGGACAGAACCCTCCTAGGATAGGACTGCCATGCTGTTCAGATTCATGTCTCAACATGTGCTTTGTGCTTCATATGCCCTTTATCCACGCTCAATGAGAGAGTGGCGTAAGGATTAATGGAGGGATGAATTTGAGAGACATTCACAGGTAAAATCACCGGGATGTGGTGAGGGAGAGTGTCTTGGTCTGTTTTGTGCTGCTATCACAGAATACTGGAGACTGGGTAATTCAAAAAGAACAGAAATTTATTTCTCACAGTTCTGGAGGCTGGGAAGTCCAGTATCAAGGTGCCAGCATCTATCTGGTCAGAGTCTTCTTGTTGTGTCCTCACATGGTGGAAGGTAGAAAGGGGTGGGCCTATTCCTGCAAGCCTTTTTTATAGCAGCATTAATCCACTCATTAATCCACAGATACTGCATGAAGGCAGAGCCCTCATGACCTAAGCACTTTTCCTTAAACTCCACCTCCCAACATTGTTGCACTGGTGATTAAATTTCTGACCCATGAGTTTTGAGGGACCAAATAGCAGAAGGAGTAGGCTCACCTCTATGCTATTTAGACCATAGCAGAGGGTGAGTCTACTCCATGCATGGAAATAAGGGGGGCAGGTGCAGTAGCAGATGTGGGAGAGAAGATAAGTTCAGTTTGAGGTCGCTGTAGAAGATTACATGCAAGGACTTTTTGTATGGTTGGCCCTGTTTCGGGCACTGTAGGATCGATAAAGGAGGTCCCAGACATGAACTCTAGAGAGGTGAGAATATACATTGCATTATGAAATTAGAGATTCACAAAAGGATTATCACTGGTGGTAGTTTCCAGAGATCGAATAGTAAAGGTGTCTGTTAATAGCCAAATGAAATTTTCCCCACTCCATGAAGTACCCAATAAAATTAATGACAGATAGAAGGTTGCTTTTCATTGTTTCTGAGGCTTAAATATTAAACAAGAATGACATCGTTAGGGCCTAATTTGGGGGCACACAAAAATATCAGGAGAAGAGATTTCATTCTTCTCCCAGTTATCTCAAATTAATTTTGTCTTTCCAAGTGTCTTTTGTCATTTAACAATCTGGTTCTGAAGCTTGAAGTTCTTCTGTGCTTGTTTTGGACTGTATAGAAGTACCTACATTTTTCTTCTACTGTTTTCTCGTGAGTGTCAGGCTAAAAATCTTTTTAGCTGCCCTAGTCTACACTCCTAATGTGGGAGATGCTCTGGTGAGAATAAACAAAAAGGCATGCTCTTTCTTTCTTTGTGGAAGATGGATTCTAATCTCTGTTTGTCTCTTTTCCTATGTAGCTAAGTAGAATCTGCCATATCAATGTCCAGTCAGTTTCTAGCTCATCTAGTTCTTATGATTCCTCCCACGGTCACTTGCATGCTGCCATTGCTTTGGGCCTGTGGCTGCTACCAGTGCTTCTGTGGCCGCAACCTGACTCCCTGCTGGCACCAGCACCAGCTCTGCCTCCCGGGAAGTGTGCTTTACTGTCTGGGATCCCCCAGTAGGGGCGCCTCTGCCAGCTGCTGCTGTCCTTGCTGCCCCCCAGACACACCAAGACTGAAAGTTATCTGCACCATTGTCCATACCACCTTATTAACTGCTGAAGTCCTAGTCTCTGTTCCAAAGCCCCTTAACTTTGAGGACATAGTTTCTGGTAAGGAGTTTAGAAAGCCCTTCTGAAGGGGTAATAGGAGGAAGAGGCACTGATACTGATGTGTTGTATTTCCCCAAGTCAAGCCTGCACATCTCTCAGTGCTTTCAGGCATGCTGTCATCTCAGAGACTGGGCACACACACATCAGGATTTCCCTTCCTCTTCCCCAGGAAGCAGAATCCAAACCCTTCTAGTAGGGGTTTGTTGGGAGGCCAGGGAGGTTGTGGGCATATTCTTTGAATCTAGTTTTCTTGGGCCTAAAAGTGTGATGGGGTGAAAATTGAGCAAGATGAAGAGCTTTTAAACTAAGCTCAGGAAAGCCTGTATCTTAGGTCTTCCACTTAGTGACAGATCATCTACTCATGTCCTCTGAAAATGTTCATCTCTCATGATGGAATCTGTCTTCTGACAATGTCCCAAGTCCCTTGAACTCTGGCCTAGCTAGTCTTGACTTCTGTATTAGTCTGGGTAATGCTGGGTGATGCTCTGATAATGTACCTGCCACTTACACAGAATCTTTTGTGGGTTGTACATTCTTCTCCATCTTGTGGCTATGGCATGTAAAACACATGCCTCCTGTCTTAGTTTCCTAGGGCTGCTGGAACAAGATACCACAAACTGAATGGTTTAAAACAACAAACACTTTTTTCTCTCAGGGTTCTGAAGGCTGGAAGTCCAGAATCAAGGTGTGGGAGGCACATGACTTCTCTGAAGGCTCTAGGGAACAATCCTTCTTGTCTCTTTCTAGCTTTTGCAGGTTGCCAGCAATCTTCGGCATTCCTTGCTGGTGGATGCATCACTCCAGTCTCTGTCACCACCTCCAAATGGCTGTTTTCCCGGTGTCTCTCTGTCCAAATTCCCCTCTTTTTTTAAGGGTGCTAGTTATTAGATTAGGGCCAACCATAATCCAGTGTGACCTCATCTTAATTTGATTGCATCTACAAGACCCTATTTCCAAAGAAGATTACATGCACAGGTGCTGAGTATCAGGTCCCTGATGTATCTTTTGAGGAGACACAGTTCAACCCATAACACCCTTCAAAGTTGTTCCTGAAGAAGAGAGGCCCCCGGCTCTTATCAGTCTCACCTCAGAATAAATATATGCTAGTTTTGTTCTCAGTCCAGCCCCAACATAACTACAAAGGAGGCTAGTACATTCATGGGAGCACATGGCTATTTGGTGAACATTACTTGTCTCTGTCACATCCTCATCCAGTTCGTTTCCTCTGATCCCAGAATGCTCTGGGGAATACATGATAGTTTCTATATAATGTGAAATATCCATCAAGAACAGCAGTGGGTTCCTGCAAAGCACATGGAAGGAACAGACTTGGAAAATTGCTCAAAGAAAAGAAAAAAATAGTTTATGTAGTGTGTAAAACTGTCTTATTTTTGTTTGGTTCTTTGATTTATCTTAATCCAGAGGTTATGAAATGGCAGTCAGCAGGTTGCATCTATTCCAGAGATTTTTTTTTATGTGTGTGGCCCACACAGTGTTCAAGAAATATGAACAGACTGGGCATGGTGGCTCATGCCTGTAATCCTAGCACTTTGGGAGGCTGAGGCGGGAGGATTGCTTGAGCCCAGGAGTTTGAGACCAGCCTGGGCAATATGATGAAACCCCGCCAGTACAAAAAATTAGCTGGACGTGGTGGAGTGCACCTGTAATCCCAGCTACTTGGAAGGTTGAAGTGGCAGGATCACTTAAGCCCTGGAGGTCAAGGCTGCAGTGAGCCAAGATTGCATCACTGCACACAGCCTGGGTGACAAAGTGAGCCTATAATCCCAGCACTTTGGGAGGCTGAGGTGGGTGGATCACCTGAGGTCGGGAGTTCAAGACCAGCCTGGCCAACATAGTGAAACCCCATCTCTACTAAAAATACAAAAAATTAGTTGGATGTAGTAGCGGGCGGCTGTATTCGCTTGAACCCAGGAGGCAGAGATTGCAGTGAGCCAAGATCATGCCATTGCACTCCAGCCTGGGCAACAAAAGTGAAACTCCATCTCAAAAAAAAAAAAAAAAAAGAAAAAAGAAAAAAGCAGACAAATGTCCACACACCTAGATTTACCTTGAACAATGGGAAGATTTGACAACATCTGGGCTCACATTTACACAGAAAACTAAGAAGAAGGAAAACAGCCAAATAAGAGCTGCTCCCTGCGGACAGTCCCGTTTGCAGTTCACCCTGATGCCCACCATTCCCTGGAGAATCACCAACACTGAGGCTGTCACTTCTCATTTGTCTTTGTGATTTCAGTGTTGTTTTCTTAGAGATTTTTTTCCCTTATATCTTGCTCTTTCTACCCACTTCCTTTATCTCATTGGCCCCTGCAGGCATTTGTGTTTGTGACTTCATTTTTTAGTAGAATCTGCATTTTCATGTATCTTGTGCTTCTAAGGGATTAAGTATTATACCAGAGTATCACCTTGAACTTAGCACTCTGAGGTTGACTCCTGCTGTAGCATCTGCAATAGTAGTGATTTAAGGCGAATAGTTGGTAAAGCTCCAGAAATGTCTGTATTAGCCCAGAAATACCTATAAGGGGGTGGATAAATATTTGCAATGAAATATTCACAAGTGGGATATTTGGGTAAATTTGAATATAATTAAAATGAGGCCTGTTGATTCACTTTGAGGTAAATCTTTACTGACATAGCTTTTGTGCCTTTTCTCCCTATACAGACCACTGGAGCGATCCAGCGAAGATGTGGATATAATCTTCACTCGACTGAAAGAAGTTAAAGCTTTTGAGAAATTTCACCCAAATCTCCTTCATCAGATTTGCTTATGTGGTTATTATGAGAATCTGGAAAAGGGAATAACATGTAAGAAATGCAACTCTTGTAGTATATTTCCATGTATGGTTTATGCTGATTTGTGGTTACTTTATGGAGATAAATAGCAAATGGAGTATTTATGTGCTAAATATTTGAGCTTCAACCAAAAGTATTAAGGTGACATTTCCCTCTAGTCTGTTTATTCAGTTGCATGTAGGTGTTTCCCTAACTCCTTTGTTCACAGAACGTAAATGGTTCTTCCAAGGCAACCAACTTTCTAGATGGAGCTGGAGGGATGTAATGTTTCACACATTTAGCTATATCTTTAGAAATTCACATAATTGTCTTCTCTAATCCAAGAAATATGTGGCCAATAGGATATTAAGATAAAAGTTCTCTTAACTAGTGCTGATAGTAATGTTTTGAATTAATGCCAGTAATATCATCTATTCCAGGTGTGAATAAGGGGCAGGGAGATAGAGTAACAGTTGGATTTTTTAAAAAGTATTTTTTCATTAAAGAAGTAATAGTTCTTCTGTTGGAACACTTTATGCTGCACTCACAGAAAACTCCCTTTCAACTAATTGGAATATTCAATGACTTATACAAGAAGAAAAAAAAATCAATTACTTATACAGAAGAAGTCCTGAGGTAGAATGACTTCAGGGTTGGTTAGTGAAGTGACTCAGTGAAATTATTAAGGCTTCAGGTCCTTCCTGTATTTTTTGTTTTTGTATGCATTCTGAGGTGTTGGGCTTTGTCCTCAGACTTGTCCCAAATTGTTCTGACAGCTACAGCTGTTGGATGCATTATTTACTGATACAAAAACATCCTGCTGAAGGACTATTTCTTTCTGGGTCTCTGTTTTAGAAGTCTCCCAGCAGCCTTCTTGTATTGACTCATTGGCCAGAAATGCATCACATGCCTAAGTCTAAACCAATCACTTGCAAAAATAATGGGATCACCAGGACTGATTTAGACCAATCATGATTGCCCTAGTGGAGCTAACACCTAGCCCTATAGATGAGGGTGGAAACTTGTCTAAAACCTGGGTTCAGTTAGACAAGAGGGCATGAGTGTTTCTGGGTGGGAAAGCAACAGGGTGAGTCACAACGTTATTGTAGAAAATTTAGAAGGTCAACAAAATAAAAATCACCTACAGTTTCTACCATTAATATTTTGTGGGCCAGGCACAGTGGCTCACGCTTGTAATCCCAGCACTTTGGGAGGCTGAGGTGGGTGGATCAATAGGTCAGGAGATTGAGACCATCCTGGTTAACATGGTGAAACCCTGTCTCTACTAAAAATACAAACAATTAGCCGGGCGTGGTGGCAGGCACCTATAGTCCCAGCTACTCAGGAGGCTGAGGCAGGAGAATTGCTTGAACCCAGGAGGCCGAGGTTGCAGTGAACCGAGATTGCGCCATTGCACTCTGCGCTACTCTAGGCTGGAGTGCAGTGGTGCAATCATGACTCACTACAACCTTGAACTCCTAGGCTCAAGCCATCTGCCCACCTCAACCTCCTGAGTCGCTAGGACTACAGGCATATGCCACCATGTCATCATTAATTATGGTTCCCAGAAGCTTGCTCTTCTCCAATAAGCACTAGCCTTGCCAGGACTCGGTTGTCCCACGAGCCGTCATGTGATTTTTCATTGAGTTACTTGACCTCTGACTTTAAGTGTGAAGAGGATTTTAAAATATCAAGTCACTCCATCTAGTTATTTAGTTAGGATATTTAAAAGGACAGTTAGTTTGCATGAGATTTTTGAACCAGTGTTTTGGAATTACTTTCCCAAACTTGGTCTTAATATGATATGGGAAGTATGGTTCTATCTAAATACCTAAATATTTTCTCTCTGAGAGGGACAAACTTAGAGCAAGATCAGGTTCAAAAATTTCTGATGAGGATCATTTCTAAATGCTTAAAAGCAGTGAATTTATAAAAAGAATAAGAAAATGGACAATGATAATATAGTAGTTAAAATTTTTAAACAAAGCAGATTTTGGTTTTTTAAATCAATCATTGGTCACCTTAAAAGGAGAGGTGCTAGTCTAGAAAACACATTGCTTTTAATATAGTCTTGGGAAATATCAGCCAATTCTTCTTAAATTCAAAGGATCTTATAACATTTAAAGTTATCATCTTTATTACAGCTCTGTAAGTATGATAGAGTTCTCTTTAATAAGGTTCCACTTCACAGAATATTGAATAAATAGGATATAGCTTTGTTGACAGATGAGGTAAAGAAAAACATGTTATGTTCCTGTGGGCAACAGATAGGGGAAGGGTGGTAAGCTCAGTTAGGTCCAAGACATGCTTGGACCAGTGAAAAACTGGCAGATCATATAGTAAAACCAAGTTGTATCTGTTATATTTATATCACAATTTTTTTTTCCCAGTATTTCGCCAGGGTGATATTGGAACAAACTGGTATGCTGTCCTGGCAGGGTCTTTGGATGTTAAAGTATCTGAGACCAGCAGTCACCAGGTAATATGGTCTATTTTTTTGAAAGTAGGATTTATTTTTTTTAAAGACTTATTATCCCTATGTCTTTTATGCCATTAAAATTACATTTTCAAGTCCATTTCCTCTTTCCCACAATAAGGAGTTCAGCACTGTTTGTTGGATTCCTTTATTAAGTTACTCAACAAACACCTATTGAATGTCTTCCCTGATTTGAGTATGGTGCCAGGTGTCAAAACATGAAATGCAAGAACACATTGGGGCTGCTTTCTAGGAGCTTGAGGTCTATTTGGAAATGCAAGCAATTTCAGTGTGACACAAATTGCTGTATAGGGTGAAATGTGAGTGAAGGAGAAGGAGAAGTCTTCCTATGTTTCCTCTTGGATCCTTTCTCCATCTTTGTATCTTGAATTTTCTTTGTCCTAGAAGTGATCCCCTCATCGGCCTTGTAGGAGATCTTGTGATGCAGGGGATGTGTGGCTGTTGCAGTCCCCCTGAAATCTCTATTTCTCTGCCTTGTCTTTTCAAATGTGGAAGGCTAATAATATTATTTTCCCTCTAAAGTACAGCACTGGCTTTATTTTCATTAGTCACCTCTGAGGAGTTTGGCATCCTAGTAGATGAAACTCATTCTTTTTCTGTTCACAAGATTTATGAATATTAAAAAAACGAAAACAAAATTAAAAAAGAAAGAAAGAATATTAAAAAAAGAAAAAATATATAAATATTTAAGTCGAACCCAGGGCCTTCTTTCACATCTGCAGTGACTCTTGCTCTGTCATTAAGACAAGTGGCCAAAATGTACACAACCTCACTGTTTAGAGCCAAGAATCTCGAGTCTGAAAAGTATGACCCATAAAAGGCCACCATCAGGTATCACTATGAAAATGTTCCAAGTCTTATTTCCACATATTCAGGATTCAGAAAAAAACTGAAGGAAGAGAATCAGTTAATTGTGAAATCTGAAAGAATTGTCCAAAAAAATTAAAGAATTATTTAAAGGGACAAATAACCTTCTGCCAAGTGTCATATTTAAGGCAATGTTTTGGAGGCTTTTTCATAGGTAGCACACTTCAAATGTGAGAAACATTTATGACACACCAAATTTGAGGTTTACATTTTTTAGGAACTTGTATGTGTATTGAAGTTGTGGGCAGTCACCATCTTAAAAATGGAGTGGTATCCCAAAAGATTGCTGGTAAGGTGTGCATTTGGAATTTGCGATGTAGTTTCCTGGGTGATACCCATTGTAATGGAGGGTTAAATTCTCAGGCCAGTGTCCAAATCCTGTGTAATCCATAGCATACTCTTTCTGTGCATCAGTGCATGAAAATTCCATTAGACACAGCCTGGAACCTGTGCTTCCCAACTTTGATGGTACTTTTCCTCTTGCTGTCTCTCACAGGGCTGGCTTTCTCTTGGATTTCAGAGACAGTCAAGGTGAGAGGTGGGTTTTGATTCTTGTAAGCGGCCTCAGTTTCGAATGGGAAGGAGAACAGTTAGCATTTCTTGGATATTTGCCATATCCTATATAATCAAGATATTTATCCATATGTGATTTATCCAGTCCTTCTTGGATATTTACTTGGCAGTGTTCCAAGCACTTAACAGGTATTTATTTACTTCTTTAATCCTCAAGTCAACCATGAGGTAGGTCGTATTACTGTTCTCATTTTACAGATGAGAAAACGAAGTCCCCGAGTGGTTAAATAACTTACCTCGAGTATTGTATCTAGAAATTAGAGAAACCAAGATTAAAACCCAAGCAGTCAGGCACCTGAACAGATGCTCTTCACCACTGCTCTCCACCATTTGACTCTTAAGAAACATGAGGCAACATGCAACTTCCCTCTCTCCCTGCCTTTTGTCATCCTTTCAGATTACCCCATGTCCTTCTTTCTGCATATCTCCTACCTGTGGATGCTGTCCTGGTGGGGACTCTCTGGGCTTTTTTGCTCAGAGCTGCTCCTGGTACTTCCTTTCCCCAGGTTTTACCTGCATAGATGTTCCCTGGGGACAGGGCCTACACAGGATCATTCTGCTCAGTTCCTCCTGCAGCTCGAGTGGTTCCTGAATGAGTGATAATGGAGAGAGTGGAGAAGCTGAAAAGAGAAATGTGACAAAAGAGAGGAAAGGGAAGCAAGATGAGAATTAAGGAGGAGAAAAGAAAGAAGAGGAAATCTCGAGAAGGAGAGAGAAGGAGAATCAGAAAAGGAAGAGCAGATGTGCCTAAGGGGATGATACATAACACCAGCTCTTATGTGCTGACACACCAGATGTGAAAGCTGGCCGAGATTTTGATGGTATTAAAATAGTATCTGGCCAGGGGTTTCGGGAATATTGCCCTTAACCAGTTATCTCTCACCATGGCATCCTAGCCATGCTATAATAACCCATAATAGCAGGGTTATTAGCTACAGATTCAACAATTTTAACTAAACTTTTAATTTTAGATTTACCTATAATTTTGACCTCAAAACCAATGCAGAGAACTTACCTAAGCTGGGCTCGGTCTTCTTTTAGTTGTTAGGAATGAGTTAATTTAATACCAAAGCTGGCTTACTGCTTCCTTTATGTATTTCATCCCACAATGTTCAACCAGAGTTTTCTGGATGGATTTGTATCACTAAAATAAAAGGAAGAGAAAGCTCATTGACTCCTACACCCTCTAGCCCTCTAGAGTACAGCCTGAGATAAACAGGGCCCAGCTTTCCAGCCAGTTCTGAAGGTAGGACATGGTCCAGCCACATGGGAGAAAGAAGCTAAGGAGAATGACCAAGATGGCAGAGCCCCCTTCCATGCCAAGATGCTTGCAAGGGAGAAACAAAACTGCCATATCTACCCATGCTGGCCTTGTGATGGGCTCTGGGTCTCTGCCCACTAACAATGTGGTAAATCAGGGGGATTGTTTATCATGACAGAGTAGTGCCCCATACAAGTCAGGGTTCTTCAGAGAAACAGAATCACTAAGAGATAGAGATAGAGAGAGAGAGAGACAGGTTTGTTTTTAGGAACTGGCTCACATGATTGTGGGGGCTGGCAGGTCTGAAGTCTAGAGCTGGCAGGCTGGAGATTCAGGTAAGAGTTATTGGCAGAAGCAGAATTCCTCAAGAAACCTCAAGGGAAACCTATTTGCTCTGAGGCCTTCAAGTGAGTAGACGAGGTACACGCACATCATGGAGGGTAATCAACTTTAAGGTCTACTGATTGTAAAGGTTAATCATATCTAAAAAATATCCTTACAGCAACATCTAGATTAGTATTTAACCAAACTACTGGCCATTATAGTCTAGCCAAGTTGACACATACAATTAACCATAATAGACCCCAATGAGGAGGGAAATGGGGTTGGGTGAAGGCCATGGGTAAGGAGCAAGGAGAGACCTAGAATTCCTACCCCTAGAGACCAGAAAAGATCATTGCTAAGTGCCTTCCTTGTGTGGCTCGTGTGAGGGGTTCCATGGACATTAACTGAATTAATCTTTAGGCATTTGTGTCCTGTTTTACCAAAGGCTTGAAAACAAGGCTCAGTGACATAGGTGCAGCTTTCCCAGGGCCACACAGGTGTACATGGGCAAACTGAGATTTGAATTCAGGTCTGACATCCTCCAAATTGCATGTTCTTCTGCTGGGCGCACTCATGAACAGAGGTGTGAGGAGGATGATAAAAGTGAAGGAGGAAAAGTTACACAGTCTAAAAGAAAACTGAGGAAAGAGAAAAGAGGTGATGGCACAGAGTCAAGTCTTTCAGGGAGGATGGGGCAGAGTTTCTTGCCAGCCTGCTCCTTGCTGCCCTGCATGTCTGCTTTCTCATCTGAGAGCCAGAGGGATGTAGTGACAAATTCCCAAACTTAGCACTAGGTTTCAGACCCTCAGTGGGGTGTGAGCCAGGATGGTGGAAGAAGAGCGGGAGTGGCTGCTGGCAATGGGCGCCTATGACAGGAGGCTATGTGCCCAGTGTGTCACAAGCATTATCCCACCAGCACTCACCACACTGCCCTCCCCTTAGTGCTGTGGTTTGTCTCATTTTAGAGGCTAGATATTCAACAGCTTGCCCAAGGTCATAAAGCTGCTGGGTATCTGGGCCAGTTCTTTGTGATTCTGGGGCTCAATGCTTGCCCATTGTGGTTGTATAGGTGCCAACCAGAAGGACCGGAAGGGGAAGGAAGAGAGGTGGGGAGCTGAGCCAGCCATTAAGGAATAAGGAATGCAGGGAGGAGCTTTCCCCTTGCAGCTTCTCCAACTCCCACCTGGGTGTCTGATGCAGCTCTGAGCCCCACAGCCCTCCCCTCTAAGCCCACTGCCCAGGTGCTGTTGGAGGCAATCCTCCTCCTACCCTCTCTTTGATCTGGCGATGCACAGTGAAAGGGGTGTGGCCCTCCCTCCAAAGGGCATCTGGATTAGAGGGTGGGGTAGATAAGTGTAGGTGATAGGGAGGGAAAGTGAAGTACACTGTGTACAAGATGGAGACAAAATGGTTAGAACTGACGGTGATGGGATGTGGAGGTGTAGAGAGAAAGGGAGGCTCCTGACTTGGGTGAAGAGGTGGACAGTGATGCTACTAATGGAAATGGGAATACATGAGGGAGACCACCTTTCCCAGATTCTGCAATAGTATTTTATGCTATACATTTATTAGGTATGTATATTAGTCCATTTTCATGCTGCTCAGAAAGACATACCTGAGACTGGGCAATTTACAAAAGAAATGAGTTTATTGGACTTATAGTTCCACATGGCTAGAGAGACCTCACAATCATGGCAGAAGGCAAGGATGAGCAAGTCACATCTTACATGGATGGCAGCAGGCAAAGAGAGCTTGTGCAGGGAAAATCCCATCTTTAAAACGGTCAGATCTTGTGAGATTCATTCACTATCAGAGAACAGTACAGGAAAGACCCACCCCCATAATTCAATTACCTTCCACCAGGTTCTTCCTGCAACACATGGGAATTGTGGGAGTTATAATTCAAGGTGAGATTTAGGTGAGGACACAGCCAAACCATATAATTCCATCCCTGGCCACTACCAAATCTCATGTCCTCACATTTCAAAACCAATCATGCCTTCCTAACAGTCTCCCAAAGTCTTAATTCATTTCAGCATCAACTCAAAAGTCCACAGTCCAATGTCTTATCTGAGACAAGGCAAGTCCCTTCTGCCTATGAGCATGTAAAATTAAAAGCAACTTAGTTATTTCCTAGATACAATGGGGGTACAGGCATTGGTTAAATACAGCCATTCCAAATGGGAGAAATTGGCCAAAACAAAGGCTACAGGCCCCATGCAAGTCTGAAATCCAGCAGGGCAGTCAAATCTTAAAGCTCCAAAATGATCTCCTTTGACTCTATGTCTCATATTCAGGTCATGCTGACGCAAGAGGTGGAAGGCGTGTTCCCATCGTCTTGGGCAGCTTGGTCCCTATGGCTTTGCAGAGTATAGCCTCCCTTCTGGTTGCTTTCATGGGCTGGCATTGAGTGTATGCAGCTTTTCCAGGTGCATGGTGCAAGCTATTGGTGGATCTACCATTCTGGTATCTGGAGGATACCAGCTGTTTTCACAGCTCCACTAGGGGTTCCCCAGTAGGGACTCTGTGTGGGGGCTCTGACCCCACATTTCCCTTCCGCACTGCCCTAGCAGACGTTCTCCATGAAAGCCCTGCAGCAAACTTCTGCCTGGACATCCATGCATTTCCATACATCCTCTGAAATCTAGGCAGAGGTTCCCAAACCTCAATTCTTGACTTCTGTACATCTGCAGGCTCAACACCACATGGAAGCTGCCAAGGCTTGGGGCTTGCACCCTCTGAAGCCATGGCCCGAGCTGTACCATGGCCCCTTTTGGTCATGGCTGGAGTGGCTAGGATGCAGGGCACCAAGTTCCTAGGCTGCACATAGCACCAGTACCCTGGGCTTGGCCCATGAAACCATTTTTTCCTCCTAGGCCTCTGGGCCTGTGATGGGAGGGGCCACCATGAAGATCTCTGACATGTCCTAGAGACATTTTCCCCATTGTCTTGGGGAGTACATTTGGCTCCCTGTTACTTATGCAAATTTCTGTAGCTGGCTTGAATTTCTTCTCAGAAAATGGGATTTTATTTTCTATCACATTGTCAGGCTGCAAATTTTCCAAACTTTTATGCTCTGCCTCCCTTATAAAACTGAATGCCTTTAACGGCACCCAAGTCACCTCTTGAATGCTTTGCTGCATAGAAATTTCTTCTGCCAGAAACCCTAAATCATCTCTCTCAAGTTCAAAGTTCCACAAATCTCTAGGGTAGGGATAAAACGCCACCAGTGTCTTTGCTAAAACATAACAAGAGCCACCTTTGCTCCAGTTCCCAACAAGTTCCTCATCTCCATCTGAGACTATCATGAGAACAGTGCAGAAAAGACCTGCCCCCATAATTCAATTTCCTTCCACCAGTTCCTCCCATGACATGTGGGAATTGTGGGAGTTACAATTCAAGATGAGATTTGGGTGGGGACACAGCCAAACTGTATCAGTATGAGTGATTTGATGGAATTTTTTCTGAAAAAAAAAATCAACCTCTTTCTTGCATATGGTGGTAGAAAGATATATCTGTATATAAATTTCAAGAATACATGGGGTGTAACTATTCTATTTGACTCAAATTCATATTGCCTTCCTGTTTCAAGTTAATATTACTTTTTCTCCCTTCTTGTCATTCCCTTATATTTTTTACTGTCTAGGTTAAAAAACACACAGCTTCTTCTGTGTAATTGGTCTAGCAAATTCTTCCTGAATTTTTTGAATACTGGGTTGAGGGTCCTACTTATTTTTCATCAGCAATATACCCAGAGCATGTAGTAGTAACTGTTCATTTACAGAGCATTTCAGGAACTTTCTTTGGTTTGAGCCTACCCTGTTTGGGAAACAGCTATGCTGTTTCTTGCTTAGTGCCTGATGCCTGAGTAGCTGTTCAGGATGACGCAGTGGTGAGCCTGGGAACGGGGAGTACCTGGCCTCCTGAGCCCATCCAGCATTCTGCCTCTGCTCTCCTGTGCTTTAGGCAGTGCGTGCAGTCATTCCCTGGGGAATCTGCAAAGCCTGCAAGGCATCTGCTCCCAAGGGCACCTGCTCACAAGCTCCTCCAGTGTCCGTAGTGGGGTGGAGAGGGGTGATGGGGATCCTTTTTTGCCCCTGGATTGCTGAAGCCTAAAATTATATATTAAAAAAAGTCATGATTCTACATTTCAGAGAAGTATTAACTACAGACATTTCGATGAGTGCTGATGTACACTTCAGGCCCTCTCTTAGGAAGGGAGGATGGAGAAAAAAGCTATCGGGCTGCAGGACTGGAATGGCTCACCTTCCAGTGTCACCCCTGGTCAGCCCACCCACCAGAATGGCCAGAAGTTGGCCATTGTAGGAGGCGTGAGTTGCAGGCTGACTGGGCCTTACCCCATGGGTCTTCTCTGGGCCCAGGAAGCATCAGATAGTGGCATGGATTCCTGCTGAGCAGGGGAACCCACTGCTTTCCCCTCTCACAGTCAGGCCCTTTCCAGGCAGGCCCCAGGACCACATGTTGCTTCTTCTCTTTGTTTTCCTCTCAGTCAAGTTTCCCTAATTCAAGGCTTCAAGAGACTGGAGGGGAGACAATGGTCCCTGGACGGGAGGGACGGTGGACTCTGTCTGCCTCTCGGAGACCCTCCCTTAGGAGCTGGGGCTGCATTGCTTTCATTTCTTTTGTTACTGCCTTGAAAACGTGTTTGTCCTAAGAATTGTAGGAAATGCATAGATTATTCTGCCCCTATTACTTTCAGGAACTTTTAAAGGCTGACAAATCCTTGTAATTATCTTTCTATAAATTATATTTATTTCACTACTCTATAAAATGAAACCTACTGCAACACTCTTACCACTATGCGTAATTATCAGAGGCATCTCTCCCAGCTTCTCAGACACCCTTCCTGCCTTAGCCATTCTTCATCTTAACCCAAGGAAAAGAGCACCAAGAAGGGGACCTGCCCACAGACCACTTCATCCTCCTAAGGTGTCCCAACCTGGCTGACATGTTCACGTAGATTTCCACTGGGAACATCCACTTGGCCTCTATCAAGGATTAATCCTTCCATTTCGCCAATAATATCTGTCCCCACCTTCAGTCTCTTGCCTGAGCCTAACCAGGACACATCCACCTCCAGATCCCCACTGCTGTACTTGTCTGCACAAGATCCTCTCCTGTCTTGGTGCCTGTGTAACTTAAAAGTTACATAGGGCTAAAAGTCAGATATTTTGCCTTCCCACTAGAATGAATAATACTATGGGTGTATTTTTTCTCAGTAATATTTTAATCGATTTAGGGTTAGAGATGAACATTGGGACAAGTTATAAGCAATAAATAACAAGCTTAAAAACAATAAATAGGATTATAAATCTCATTGTATCAGATATTATCCGGCTGTGTGTGTGTGTGTGTGTGTGTGTGTGTGTGTGTGTGTGTGTGTTTACTTCAGAGACAGAGAGAAAGGGAGAGAGAAGGTCCTGTTTTTCTCTGCAGATTTTTTAAGTGAGGGGCTTTTTTGGCATAGTAAGTATCAAAATCCTAGATATATATAAGATTTTAAATTAATCTTTACCTCTCAAAAAGTAAAAAGGCTTTTCCAGTCATAGGAAAGAAGAATTTCAAATGGCTGCTGACAGAATAAAGTTTATATTGCAAGATAGAAAATGGATGGTTTATTAATTCTTTAAAACCTTTACATCTCTATCACAGATGCCTATTGAAAGCATTAGTATTTACCCAATGCAACCCACGGTGGTTAAATTCAGAGCTCCTTTGAAATTCTATTGCCACTTAATTGGCTGTGGGTATGCACAGTTAGCTTACTTGTAAATTGGGGATAATAGCTCTTATCTTAAATGAGCTGATGTATGTAAAGCACTTAGTACAAAGCCTGGGATAGAGGCAGAGGGTCTGTGCTTTTTGAAATTACCATTTCAAGAAAAGTTGGTTGCAATGACTGCAATGCTGTTGTTTTATCACAAGAGGGCAGTGCCAGAATAGAAAACGCAGGAAATGTACTTGGGATTTGAAACAGTAGAAGTTTAACAATGTTGTTCAGCCATTTCATGGATCAGAGAATCCGGGCTACACTTGGCCTTGGTCATCACTTAATTTCATCCCCTCATCTATCACTGTGAAATTATCTGGCACATTTTAGCTCAATTTCAGAAAAAAATCTCATACTAGTTTTCTCCCTAAAGTAAAATAATATGCTTTTATTTGCCTTCTCTTTTTTCCTTCTACAGTAACAAATGTTTTTAAGCATTGCATTTTTGTTTACAAAATTTGAAGAACATGTGTGTTTCGTTGTAATGCGGATCTCTCTACCTTTGTCTGTCTTTCTCTTTGCCTCTCTGATTCTTCTATTCACTCATTTCACTCCGTTATTTTCAAACAGAGAACACTGCCATCATTGGAAACATTTTTTTTCTGAGCACATTTATTGAGCCCATAAAACGTGAAAGGTGCCAAGTCCACAGCAGTTGTTTGTAATCTCCTCCTACTTGTCTATGCTCAGGTCAGGCTATTTGTTAGGAGCTGATTGGGAGTTTATTGAGCATCCTGCATCCTGCATTTAGTTTTTTTGCCGTGTAATTCTTTGTTTGGGTGGTTGGATGCAAAACTGCGTCACAATGCTGGACAGACTGGCTCTCCACTGAAATGAGGCTGGCCTCCCTGATTCAGTTACCAGAATGCTAATGCTAGTCCATTCTCATCAAACCTTCCTGCGGCCGGCTTGCCTGATCTTGTTAAGCTTTATTGAACATGCTGATTCCAGGGATGTGTTCTAAAAGTAACAGACCTTGTCTTTGCTGTTTGTTAGAAAACACATTTGCCTGAGAAGTATTTTGCCCTCTTGATTTGGCAGGAAATGCTTCTGCAGCACATACAATCTAACATCTTGACAAATTAAGAGATTGGGTTCCATTTAATTTTATTACTTAAGATGACTTGGAGCACCCAGTAAATTCCAGCACTAAATTCAAGTTCGTGAAATAATCCCAGGTGCTGTGAAACTTAATGGCAAATATTGCCTGTAGGCCTAAAATAAAACTTATAAAAATATTTGCCTTGTTAGAATTTATGTTCACACCTGTGAATAGCCACTGCAGTCCAGCCTGGGCAACATAGCAAGACCTCATCTCTAAGAAAGAAAAAAATATGTTTCTGTCTCCACACATTTAAAGGAGCAATTATTTTTCCCTTGGTGTTAACTCAGTATATGTCCAAAACAATAAATTTGCCATGAGACAATGAACTCTTCTTGAGCCATGAATATGGAAGTGAGTTAAATGTGCATAATAAGATGATCTGATAGCCCTTGAAATTACAGTACAATTTTTAGAAAATCTAGATGTACTTACCACAGAGAATTCTTATGTCTGTTTAATTGATTGTTAGCTATTTTAAATTCCATCAGAATACCTATAACTTGTGTAAGTTGGATTTCAGCTGATGCTTATAGACATTATTTATTTGCAAGGCACAAGTGCCTTAGCTTGAATACCAGTCTTAGTTATATGACACATAACCATTGGCTTTCTTAACACCATTCCCATTTCCATACTGTTTACTATATTTACAATGAAACAAATAAAACGCCTCATATGAGAATGTCTGCTTTAAGAAAACCCAGTGTACATAACTCAGACGTACAAAGCAGATAAATTAAGAGGTGATTAGTTGCAGTACAAAAGGATTCTTTGATTTACAGCACGGTTTGTCAGAAGGGTTCCTTTGAATACGAGCTCCCCCAGAGAGCTGAAGTGTTTTGCAGATCATTCAATCCACTTGACATCCAGACTAGGGGACAGAAAAACTTGGAATTTAAGTGTTGAAAGCCATCATTAGTTGAAGATTAACAAAATGAATATAGAGATTCTCTATTATTTAAATGATAGAAAAAAACTGCTTTGCTTTTTAGAAATATGGATAACCCATACATGTTTGTGACTAAGTCAGAAATAATAATTTCCATTATTTATGGATCACCTGTTATGTGCCAGAAACTATACAGCACTATAATGGACTCTGTGTATTACTTTATTTTGATTTAATACTGCTAATGATATTACAAGTAAGATTGTGCCCATTTTACAAATGAAGATACTGAGGCTCTGGGGAGCATTTTGCCCAAAGCCCACAGGTCAGTCATTGGCAGAGATAAGTTTTGAATTAAGTCTACCAAGGCCCGTGGCTTTTCCACTCTGCTGCTTCCAGGGGATTTTCCCTGCTGAGCATTGAGTGTTCTGACCATGGGTAGCCTCCACGTGGGAGTCCTTTGCCTGATGCCCTGCCTTCCAGCATGGGCGGCTTCATCGACATCTTTATTAACTTACCTAATGCCAGCTTTTATGAATGAAGTTAACTGGACCCTGCATATCCCACTGAAAACACTGTGCCAAGACAGTGCTCATGACTTAACTTCAGCTGGTGCCTGGCTGGGTAAAGGAAAAGAACCTGGAATCTGGGGGGCATCCATGATGGAGGTGGGAAATATCTCGAGGGCATGTTCAGGCAGCACTGGGCAGGAGGGGCAGAGGAAGCAGGAAGGTGGTGTGACACAGCCCCCAGGTTAGTGTGGGGAGGGGCCAAGGCTGGTCTAACCAGGGGTAGCATGATGAGACTTGGCCTGCTGATGGGAGGGAGTCAAAAGCAGGCCCAGTGGTGGAGATGGGCAGTGGGCAGGCTGCCTAAGAAGTCTGGCCACAGAAGGACTGCCAGAGAGGAACTGGGACCCAGGAAGGGCTGTCAAGACAGGATACTGTCACTTTGAGAAGAATTAGGGTACCCAGCAGGTTATCAAGGCAGAGACTCTGAAAGACAGAAACTCAGTTTCTCCAACCAGGGTCAGAACTCAGTTATTAGAACTGGGACACAGGATCAGAGTGGGAAAAGCAGAAATGCCGATTTTATTTTATTTTTTTAGAGACAGAGTCTTGCTGTGACTCCCAGGCTGGAGTGCAATGGTGGGATCATAGCCTACTGTAACTTTGAGCTCCTGGAATTAAGGGATCCTCCTGCCTCACCCTCTTGAGTAGCTGGGACCATAGGCAAACACCAATATGCCTGGCTAATTTTTAATTTATTTTTTAGAGATGGGGGTCTCACTATGTTGCCCAGGCTGGTCTTAAATTCCTGGCTTCAAGCAAGCCCCTCACCTCCCCTCCACCAAGTGCTGGTATAACAGGAATGAGTGATTCAATTCAATTCTTAATTACCTGTTTGTGATTGTTTAAATTTCCCCTAATGAATAAGAGGATTGCCTGGGATGGATTTGATCCTCTAAGGAGGATCAAGTGGATCTCAATATTGGAATTGGAAGATTAGAAGAGGAGCAATGCCAAATGTTTTATATTTTCCTAGTGATTTTGACTTATTTGGTATTCAATAAATACACAGATTGGCTGACTGAAATAAGAATCAATATAAATTAAATTGGTACCTTAACAGATTTTCCAACTGAACCTTGGCTAAGAGGTACTTATACTTACTAGGACAATCTAAGAAGTATGTGGGTAGATCATTAGACTGACTAGTTTCTGATCTCAGCTCTTCTACTTACTAGCCATCGTCTTGGGCAAGTCACTGAATATCCTTGAGCCTGATTTGCTCAACCTATAAAATAGCAATAGTACTACTGATATTGCTGGATCATGTTAGTAAGAGTGTCTGCAATTTATTAAGCATTTGTTTTGAGTCAGGCACTATGCAAAGCAGTTTAAATACATTATCTCATTCACCTGTTGTGAGGAATAAATGAGGCATCGTCATTGAGACACTTGGCCAGTGTGTGGCCCAGTTCCCACTCACACACATGCAGATCAACATGCATGCTGCTGCACAATGGGACTAAGGATGGGTGGATAATTAAGTAAGGAGGTCTGTGTTTTAGAAGGAGGAGAAGGAGTGATCCAGTGGACTGAGAAATGAGATAGCTGGATCAGATTGGAGGAAAAAGCCAGATGGCGTGTCGGTGATATGCCAGAGGCGATTTTGTGTGTGTGTTCCCATCAGCCCTTGTTATCTAGCAGAATTGATCTCAGGTAACCCAGTATGTTTTCCTAACAGAATGAAGTCTTCCCATGTGTCACCCAAAACATACTGCCCTTACAGTGTGTCTGATGCAAGTGGTAAGTGACACTCTGGCCTCTGTCCTTATTACAGAAGTCTCTTTGGGAATGCTGGTTTGGTCCAGTACCTCCCCAGAGGTCTCAGTGCAATTTAGGACCCACGGCCATCTTGGCTCACCCACCTCCTTGTTTTCGGTTTCCCCAGAAGCAGACCTGGAGAAAAGGATTTGGCTACAAGTGGTTTTTTAGAGATGATCTTGGGAAATATGATAACAGAATGGGAAAATTAGACAAAGAAGGAAGGAAAGCCTATCAAAGTGTTCTAGTAAGAGCATTTCCACTGTAGGCAACTGGACTCACTCCTTCAGGGGGCCTGCTAAGAAACTGTGAAGGGCAAGGAAGCTGGGGTGTTTATCTTCCCACTCTCATGTCCTACCACTGTCATGGCAATGGTTGCCCCTTTAAGGCATTAACTGCCTAGCACTCTGCCCTCAGGCAGAGCAAGGGTGCAGATGCTCGAGGTGGCACACTGCACAGAGCCATCCAGAAAGCTACAGATGACATCAGGGGTGAGTGCAGAATCTGGCAGGGCTCCAGCAGCATCTGCTAAACCACCATCACATATTGAAGTCGGGTTTTTAAATCTTTACTTCCCTTTTGAAAGTTCTCAAAACAAAGTGCAATCTTATCACAAAATAGGACATTCCTTCACTGTTACCATTTCATGTTCCCTGCATAGGTGCTGATTGCTTTCATCAGTCTCTGTGTTACTGTAAACATCTTCTTTCAGATGGCCTCGCTGAATATTAATCTGCAAATGAGCAGAAAATTAATAAAAGTGCTCTTTTGAATAGTCCCTATTAAATAAGTATTGAGGCATGAGCAGTATGTATAAGCGTAAAAGAAACGGTTATGTTACATCCAGAAACAGACACTTTCAGCAGCAGGCGAAGGCAGGCATTAAGCCCATCTACAGGGTTTCAGACTTGGAATCCTGACCCATGGAGATCTGGTTAGATGTTAGTGTGGATATCTAAGAGTGCTTCTTCTACATCCACTCATATTCATCCTGTCCATTCTTAATCTACCTTTCATCATACGTGCTGAGCAACATATATTAGTTCTGCTAAGTGAGAGAACATTTGGATGTCAATTTCTTTATTTGAAAATTACTCTCGCAGCACATTGCAAGGCCCTGCCTGTGATTTAAATGTAAATAAGGGCTAGCACCCATAGACTGTAAAGATAGTGAATAGTCTTCAGGGTGAAAATGTTCTTCTTGGCACCTTCTATTTCTCTGTGCCCAATTATCCCAATGCCCAACCATACCTCCCAAATTCATTCAGATTTCTAAGTATATTTGTCCTAAAAAATACTCTGAATCTGCTGAAAGTTTGAACTTGCAAACCATACTCCTTTCAGGTGAGGTTTTCCAGTCCTACTTTTAAGATCATATCTTGTAATTTGTGACTCCTTGTCCTTAAATTTGAGTGGACGCAGTGTGAAAGAGAAGATCTGGAAAGGACTGATCCCATACTTAATTCTGGTAGAAGAATTGATTCCTGAAACAAGCCCAGGGTGCTTGAGCTGATGACTGCAGCTGGGTACTCACTGGCATGGTTTTCCCCTTACAGAGGTGGTCCTGACACAGAAATACACCAAGGAGTACAGTCGGCAGCACTACCGTGATGAAATTTTGTTGTATGTGATAAAGGCATGAGTCAGGTTGAAATCTCCTGGGAAAATCCAAGAAGAAATCCAATCTTGTGTCTTTATTACAAGAGTTGATTATTGGCGAAAGACAGGCTCACGTGTGTCTCCCAGCCTCTGTATTTCCTTGTGTACTGTTTGGTGACAAACTACTCGTGTCAGGGATGGGAGGTGATAAAGAAGACTGATTAATCCATAAACTGTACAGCTAGCTCAGGAATAACTGAGAGCATCCTAGTTCTTTTGCATTATACTTCGCAAATAACCATATATATGTAAAATATGTGGATGATGTCAGTGGTATTACTTAGGGTCCATTTCAGGTTTTTAAGACATGCTGGAAAGTAAAAATTAGGCAAAAGAATTCTTTCCGAAGGGTTCAGGTGATAGAAAAATGAAATAGGCTAGTGGGAACTTCAGGGAACCTGCTATTCCAGAGAATTGTGAAAGTCTGTGATTTATCATAATCTATCTTGTGTTTTTACTAGCATTTAAAAATTGCTCAGAGAGACCTAACTCATTGACTATTGATATTTCAGTTCTGGGGATATTTTTGAGTGAATTTGTTTGCAGTTGCCTTTCTGCAAAATTTATTAGCAGGCTTTTCTTCACTTCTTCCCTGATCTTTTATTCTTTTCTGAGATATTGATTTTATTTTCCCTAACATAATTTTATATGGTAATATCTGTGCAGAAGCAATTTGCTATGGTTGAAGGAACTGGATTCTTATGGGCATTTGTCTTAGTAATGTGATTACAGAGTCACTAACTTGATCTTAATAACATTTGCCTATTATCGTATATTAGATGCATGAAAGGAAAACTGGGCTTTCTAACTCAGAGGATTACCCTTGTGTGTCTCCCTTAGTTTATAATGCCTTACAAAATTAATGTCCAGGTGATTTTGAGTGGCTATTTGCATTATTTGAAACTAGTTAGGATTAAATCCAAACATTATCACCAGTGTTGCATGCAGAGAGGAAATTACTTTTTTTGGTACACCTTAAGAAACTTTTAAATCATCGATTCATGACATTTTATAAGCTAGTCACACCGTACTTCATCGGATGCTGTTTTTACTCTGTTGTGGCTGCAGGAGGCAGCATGATACAAAAATCTTGTAAACTTATAGTCAGATTTGGTTAGAATCTGGCCACACTGCTTATCAACTGTGTGAACTGGGGCTGTGTAGATCCACCACTCTGACCCTCAGTTTCCTCATCTTGTCAAGACAGACAGTGCCAGTTTCTTATTTAAATATTGTAACTGCACTCTCTAACTTAAAAAAAAAAAACTGAGCTCAGCTTCGATAGATTTCTCCTCTTTTCTGAAAACAGATAGTAGTTGTATAAAAAGGTAAGATTCCTGCTGGCAGCTTTATTCATAATATCCTCAAAGTAGAAACAACCCAAATGTCCACCAGCAGGAGGATGATAAGCAAATTGAAGCACACCCATGTTATGGGAAACTACTCATGAATAAAAGGAAGAATCTTTGGATCCATGCAACAACATGGATGAATCTTACAGACATTATGTTGAGCAAAAAAGAAGCTAGGCACAAACCGGAGAATATCGTCTGACTTCTTTTACATGAAGTTCTAAAACAGGCAAAATTCTTTCATGACGGAAATCAGAACAAGTTATCTGAGTGTCTTGCCTGGAAAGGGGCACGAGGGGACTTTTGGGGTTCATAGAAATGTTCTGTCTTGATCTGGTTGGTAATTACTCCGGTATATATATTTGTCAAGACTTGTTGAACTATGCAATTAAATTGGGTGTTTTGCCTTGTACAAATTATACTGCAGTTAAAGAAAAGAAAACACCTACCCATTAGATGTTTAATTTTCTAATGACTAGTTTTTTGGGATCCTCAGGATGCTGTGACCATCTGTACCCTGGGAATTGGGACGGCCTTTGGAGAGTCCATTCTGGACAACACACCCCGCCATGCAACCATCGTTACCAGGGAGAGCAGTGAACTGCTCCGCATCGAGCAGAAGGACTTCAAGGCACTATGGGAGGTGAGCCCTAAGGCTTCTTTGTCAATTAATGCAGTTTCAGAAAAGAAAGGGAGCTGCCACATGGATAATGGCATTACAGTCAAGCCTTAATGTGTTCTGTTCTGAGCTGGTAGATGGAATTTAATTTTCAAAACTTGTTTTTGAAATGAGTGAGTGAAAAAGCCATTTTGACACAAGACATCCTTTTTTTTGTTTAATTTAGTGCTTGCTCAATTTTCTGTAGTTTGACATACCTTATAATTATTTCTTGAATGACCATAGAGTGTTTTATGTATTTTCTCCCTTCTTTTCCACAGATGTATTCTTAACCAGGGAACAAAATACTTTGACATTTTCTTTTGCATTTTAAAAATCATCATTGACATGTTCCCTGGGAAAGTGGAATGAATGGGGTTAACATCTGCTTCATTTAAGTGCTTTTAAAAATGATGCGCCCTATAATAAGATATGAGAAATGGAGGTACATAAAGATGTCTGGTTACTTGCCAACTTCAAAATGCATAGGTGGCACAGCAGTGAATGGATGCAACTGGTCCTAGTGGCTTTTGCATTTATCAATGCTTACCAGAGCCCCTTAAAGTATTGCACTCATTTACAACAAGTATGAGGAATAAATCATCTTACATGCAGTCATGGCAAATAGAGCACTTATAAAGGCCCAGCTAAGCCTTGCATCTTTTACACTCGTTCTTTTCAGTTCTTTAAGCCTCTGATTTTAACCTGCTCCTTGTCTTTGTCCTTAGCTCAGTATGTCCAAGTGTTAAACCATCAGGCTGCAGGCTTCGCCACTGGTCCCAGTGTGGCTAAGATTTTAAACTTGATCTAAAAAGAATTTTGTGTAATCAAATAGTTTCCTCCAGAGCCAAACAAATGGCAGATGCATTAAGGGAGCCAACCTGCAGGTGAATGAGTGATGCTTTGCCTTAAAAGTCATGCAAAGCCTTGGAAGGCCTTGGTGGTGAAACCTGTTACTTTTATTCTTGGCAGTAGTGAATAAATTGTGAGGTTACTTGTTTGAAATATTTCTCTTAGAAAGTATTAAAGAGCTCCAACCGTTCTGTAAAGTTCAGAGACAAAAGCTAGTTTTAGGAAGGAAAATTGAAAGTAGGTTTGCATGAGGTGTATGTGGAGAGATTTTCTGTCAATTAAAAGGGACCAAGCTTGAGGCAAATAAGCCACTTTTTGGATCTTTCATTTTAAAAGGTAAACTGAAAAGTCTTTTTCAAAAGGGGAGTTTGGAAAACTGGTTTTCAGAACAAAAATGATTTCTAACTGTGATGTGTGTCATTATAACCACTTTTGTCTCTGATGACTTACTCAAATTGCTGAGAGAGGATGGTTTGTGGAAATATTTTAAAGATTTATTTTAATTAGGAGCCCTTAGTGCTGAGAAGGAAGTTTCTAAGTGGTTGCTACCTGTGAACATTAAAACAAACTTATTATTTAAAAAAATTTCAAATAGACAGAAAAATCAAAAAGTATAGTACAATGAACACCCATTCACCCCCACTGAACTCAGAAATTGTTAATGTAGAGCCATACTTGCTTCAGCTTTGTTTGTTTTTTTTGGTGAACTACTTTATCGTAAATGATAGACATATAACATATCACCCTAAATATTCAGCATATATCTCAAAAAACTTAGAATATCCTGTTACATACCCTAATGCCATTATCTCACCTATAAAACAATAATATCCTAATATTATCTAATACCCAGTCTATATTTCAAATGTCCTTAATTGTCTCATAAATACCTTTTATAGCTTTGTTTCAAACCAGGCTCCAATAACGAGCCATGTCTTACATTTGATTGTTATATCTAAGTCTCTCTCTCTCTCTCTCCTCTCTCCCTCTCTCCCCCTTCTCTCTCTTACTTTCCCCCTGCCCCATCATGGCATTGACTTGTTAAAAAGGCCAGGTCAATTTCTCCCAAATTCAAGATTTGTCTGATTGTTTTTTTCATGGTATCTTTTTTTGCACTTCTATCCCAAGGTTTCCTATAAATGGAAATTAGGCTAAAGGTTTGATTAGATCAAGCCAAACATTTTTGGCAAGAAAATGTGAAAAGTGATGCTGAGGATATTGCTCTGTTGATGCTACGTTTGATCCCTTGGTTAGGTTGTATCAGAGTACCTTTTAGGACTGTTTTCCACAGTTCTTTCCCTTAGAGGAAAAATATTTAATAGGGACATTGATATGGAGGGCTGTCCTTGCTATCTAAAACCTTGTCACATGTTTTGCAGTTCAGTGGGTCCAACTCTTCCCCTGTAACCTCAGAGCATGATTTGTGATCTCCCTTGCCAGTGGCATAAGTGTACTGGGGACGACATTCAGAGAGCCATTTGGAATTGACAGGAGTGGATAGTTTTTAGTCTGACCTCTTTTACAGGGTGGGGACTGAAATCTCATAGTGAGTAAGAGATAGTCAGATGTTTCATTATATTTGCCTGTTCATGCAACTAAGTGTAGAGTGTGAATTAGATGCTCAATCAATGTTTTAATTGTCTAAACTGAAAATGCAATAAACCCCATTATCTAGCAATCTGTTAATCAGGACTTCATTAATGGGCACACTTGTGCACATGCAGTACATGATAATCCTAAAAAGTTACACAATTCTAAAGTACCTTCTGAATAAAAAAGATTGAATTCTGTTTATTGTCTATTCATTTATTCATAATATACAGAGTATCTCCTATGTGTTAGGTATATGTATATGTATGTATGTGGATATAGTCAGATGTTCGTATGTTTATACATATATACAAATATATATGCTTCTGCTCTCAGGCTAGGGGCTTCTATTCCGCTCAGAGGAGACAGAAAATAAAAATCATAGAATCTCAGAGCATAATATATCATTAAATAACTTTAGGTGCATGATTTGAATGTTGATGATCTATACATGGCATATATAGCGCTAATCTGCTTGCAAAATATTTGATAACCAGAACGCCTATTCCTTGATATGTCAGATAATAGGTTTAGTAAAATTAATCCATCCTTGTTCTGGTAAAATCCATCTTGTGCTGATATCTGTTAGTAAAATTTAAACCCAAGCTCATACTGTCAGCTGAAGCCTAAGTCAGCTAGATCACCCAAATATCAAAAGGGAAGAACTATACGGGGAACAATTATGTATTCAGGATTCAGGCCAACTCCTGAATCATCACTGAACAGTAAGAGTGCAGAAAGAAGGCATCAGATGGTGGGAATGTAAACTAGTGCAACCACTATGGAAAACAGTGTGGAGATTCCTTAATGAACAAAAATAGAACTACCATTTGATCCAGCAATGCCAACTCTGGGTATCTACCCAGATGAAAATAAGTCATTATACAAAAAAGATACTTGCACATGCATGTTTATAGCAGCACAATTCATGATTGCAAAAATATGGAACCAACTCAAATGCCCATCATTCAATGAGTGGATAAAGAAATTGTGATATATATATATATATATATATCACAATTATATATATATATAATATACATATTACAATTATATATATAATGTATATTATATGAATTATATATATATATATACACACACACCATGGAATACTACTCAGCCATAAAAAGGAACAAAATCATGGCATTCACGGCAATCTGGGTGGAATTGGAGACCATTATCCTAAGTGAAGTAACTCAGGAATAGAAAACCAAACATCATATGTTCTCACTCATACGTGCGAGCTAAGCTATGAGGATGCAAAGGCGTAAGAATGACACAATGGACTTTGGGGACTTGGGGGAAAGGGGAGAGAGGGGTGAAGGATAAAAGACTACCATTGGGTACAGAGTACACTACTCAGGTGATGGATGCACGAAAATCTCAGAAGTCACCACTAAAAAACTTATTCATGTAACCAAATGCCACCCATTCCCCAAAAACCTATTGGAATTTTAAAAAAGAGAAAAAACACTAAAATATATATCATGCAAATATAAAAAGAAAGCAGCAGCAAGGTCAACTGGATAAGGCCTCCACCATCAGGGAGCTAAGGTGCTCAGAGTTCAATGTTCGGTGACAGGTTCCAAATAGTAAAAATTAGAGACCCTGAATCAGAGACCCTGGGTCTAAATTTGCATGTTCATCTCATTTGAGTGTTTACTTTTGAGGAATGTCCTGGTGGGCTCATTTCATGGCAGGCGCTCTTATGTTGGGCTTTGTCTCCTTGTAGGTACTCTTACTGTCACTTACAGGAGCTGCAGGCTAGAACACTCCCATCAGGATTCTGTGTTGCTTCTAAGGGAAAATTATGGTCCCTAATCACTAACAGGTAGCACAGTCAAAAAGTAGTCCTTTAATAGGCTGAGCAAATACTCTATATCTTACACTTGGGACTGTAATGGTAGCACAAAGCTAGGGAATTCCTTTTCTTTTCCAGGTCAACAGCAAGTTTTCTAGGCTTCCTCAGGTATGCCCTCAGAGAACCACACGTAAGGTTTTGAAATCCTATTTAATTCTATCCCCAATACCTCTTGCTTTATATTGTCTATTCTGCTGTAAGTCATATAGGCAACACTCAGAGTATTTTTTAAAAATCATCATCATGAATGTGATTAGAAGCATTTCCTCAATAGTCTCTATAAATATATCAAATAAAATAAATATTCCCTAAGATATAACTGAGGTGGCAGCTTGGCACTTTTTTTTCTTTTGTACCCTACATCTTTCCTAATGAAAATGACCTGGTTTCCTTCTCCTTTTCCCTATTTCAATTTCCAATTTTGGTCAGATCTGAGGGTACTGGGTTGCTCTATCTTAAAGTCAGGTCTTATTTTCTTAGTTTAAATGAATTATGTTAAGTTTGTTCAGAGTTGGTAAATAATGCCTCTCTCCATTTACACCCCTTTAATATTAGAACTTAATAAAAAATATTAACCAGGGTATAAAACATCTCATTTTCCAGTAACATTTCAGGAGGGAGGCAGAGATGGGGAGAGATAAATATTGGAGACAGTATGTTTCTGAATTACATACAGAAGAAAATGAATTTAAAAGTCTTAGAATACCATTTTTAGTTCTTTTTTTTTTTTTTTTTTTTTTGAGACGGAGTCTCGCTCTGTCGCCCAGGCTGGAGTGCAGTGGCGCGATCTCGGCTCACTGCAAGCTCCGCCTCCCGGGTTCACGCCATTCTCCTGCCTCAGCCTCCCAAGTAGCTGGGACTACAGGCGCCCGCCACTACGCCCGGCTAATTTTTTGTATTTTTAGTAGAGACGGGGTTTCACCGTTTTAGCCAGGATGGTCTCGATCTCCTGACCTCGTGATCCGCCCGCCTCGGCCTCCCAAAGTGCTGGGATTACAGGCGTGAACCACCGCGCCCGGCCCATTTTTAGTTCTTGAGACAATTATAATTTACAATTTAAACTCTTTGACACTAGTGGCATTTTCTACCCTCAGTAAGGAAGTTAAATGGCAAAGCAGTTAACTGTAAGTTTGGGAGTTTAAAGCAGTTATTATATTAATAGTTGATCTAAGATTATGGGTATTTTATGATTGATAGTAGCTCTTGGAATAAATAAAAACTGATCTATTATCCAAGTCCATGAATTTCTGCTCAGCACAGATAGTATAAGAGGGTTTCCAATGGCTAGAACAAAACAGTGAAGGTTTTGTTGGGTTTTCTTCTTGACTTTCTGTCTGATGTTGTGTTTGTATGAGGATGATTTCAGGTTTGTGGCATGTTTTGACATCTTTACATGGAATATTTCAAATACATGAAATTGAATGAGGTGATGAGTCCACTGTATTCAGGAAAGTAGATTAGAGAGGTGCTCTTGGTTAAATCCATGAAAGATGCTTCTGAGAGGCCCTTGAACTAGTGGTTACCACCTCTTTACCTGTAGTTCAATTGCATGAACACCATTCTGGAAAAATTTCCCTGTTGCCATGAGCCATGTTTGAGCATATTCAAAATAATAACACATATTTATGAATATGTTCTTAAAAAATTAAAGACAATAATAAAATTACAGAGCCATTAAAAATAAAAGCAATGTTTTCAATTTGTAGTCTGACCTGTGTCACTATAAAAGTGGTTTCTTAGCTGTGATTGTTATCTGGGAGCCTCTTGACATGCTATTGTGATTTTATTCCAACCAGGGCAAAACGTGTCATGGAGAGCCGTTGCTTGGATATAATGATTGGCACATTAGATTCACTGCTCAAATGTGTCTGTGGCCTCAGTAAACATTGTTAACTGACTGAAAATGTATTTCATGCTTTATGAGATACAAAACTGAGTGGTAAAAATAAGAAAGTGCACGTTTCTGTCTTAAGAAAAGAAAGTAATTAGTAAATAGAGATATTAATCAGAATAATGAATGCTGTTGAAGAAATATGTTTATGACTGTCTCTATTCCCTAATTTTCAGAATGTTTATTTTTCTATAAGATTCTACCAGATATGTTGGCGGTTGTGAAACTGGAAAGCTTTTTAGTTACTTCCATTTACTGACTTTTTTTTAGAGTAAATAGGGGAAAATCCCTTTTCCATTAAAATCTTTCAAGCCACAGTGAGAATAAGGATTGTTTGAAGCAACAGCAGCTTAGTCTTTGCTGAGGTGCTTTAAAAACACTGTTAGAATAATATACCTTCCAGAGGCATCTGATCTTGCTCTAATAGGCTTGATGTTTCTATCTGTCTGTAGCTGTCAGAAAAATGAAAGCCAAATACTTAAAAATTAATATCTCAGAACACAGATATCCCAGAAGTTCTCAGGTAAATTGTATGGCTTTATCCACCATACTAACAATTTCAGGTTGTTTCACTTTTGCATTAATGGTAGGCTTTTCAGGTTTATATTTAATGGGCTTGGGTATTGAGTTAGGAATGCCCGGCCCACCTGCAGACAAGGCAGCCCCTTGCCTGCCTGATAATGCACGGGGACCGAGACCCATACCCTCATCAGGAGCAACCAGAGCCTCCAAGCCAAGGGGCCTGCATTCTCCCAAGTCAGGAGCCCGAGCTTACTTTTGGCAACCTTGGAGCTTGTACTGTAGGGTTACTTCTCAGGCCAGAAATTTGCATCAAAGGACTAAGAAAAATATATCCAAAAATAAACATGAAAGCCAAGACTTCATGCCAGGAACTCCAGCCACACACATCCTGTTGGCTGGTTCTCTTGTCTCTCTCCTCACAGTTCTGATTCTTTTAAACCAAGCGGAAGCCTGCTTCGATGACTTGGACTTATGTCTGCACCAGGGTCTCATTCCTGTGTCTTCAAGCTTTTCCATGGAGTGGCAAAATGATTCAAATCCAGAAAGGAAGGGAGTGAAGTTATTAGGAGCTAACTAAAGTTAAAAAAAAAAAAAAAAAAAAAAAAGGAAGTGTTTTCTTATTGCCTTAGACTGCCTGAGCTTTCCTGGAGAACCATCAGCACCAGTTTCCTTTCTGTGGACTGAGAGCCACTCAGTAGTAGACACGAACAGGGAATGAACGGCAATGAAGGTACATTTTGCTGATCAAATAAAGGATAGATGCTCACTGGATGTCTGAGAACTTTGAGAGACCGAAAAAGAAGGACGTATGCTCTACAAGGTCAGAATGAATCTTTTTATTTTTTAGTGAAGGGTGGGAGAGTGGGGAAATACTACATGTTACTGTTTGCATTTTGGAATTATGCTCAAAAACATCTCTGGCTTTTCTAATTATGTTCCACCAGACCCAAATATGTACCATGGCAGGGACATAATTTGATTTCATCTTTGTTTGTGGTGTGTGTGGGGCCAGGGGGTGAGTGGTGGCTCATCTTTCTGCTAGTGAAGCATGTTTATTTAGCCTGATGATCTTAAATATGTTTCTAGAAGATAAATAAAAGTAGTTGTTCATAACTAGGCAGAGTAACATTTATCACAGTGAAATTACATACATGTATTTTTCTAGTGACATATTTGAATGTCACATATTAAAAATGAATTTTGTTCAAGGAAACAGATTGTGGGTGATGGTATTTCACCCTCCAGGCCCCTGGAAGGTATTTTGCCTGTAGCTCTCAGACTCAATGAAGTCCTTGCTGTTTATAGGCATTCTGTTACATTATTGATAACTAAGAGTTCTACCTGCTCCCCAAGCAGTGATTTCAGTGTTTCTCAGAAGATGATCAGGGGTCTGAGCAGATCAAGGCTTGGCTGGCAAATGCCAGGAATGCCCAGATGCTGTATGGTGGGCCTGCCGGTAGGGTACTATAACCAGTAGTTGCTTTCTCTGAGCTGGCGCTACTTTGGGTGTTCATTTCGGGAGTGTAGAGTGAATACTCAGGTCTTTGAGGAGCTGCTGTTAAACTAGTTTCCGAAATGCTTCCCTTGGCCGTGCACTAGCCAGGACTCTGTTGACACCTCACCCCCACTCTCTCCCCTGCACTGTTCTCTTACACTGGGTCTCCTCACCCACTCAGCTAAGCTACTGAGCAGCCTGCCCTTCTCAATAGCTGCTCACCTCAACAGAATTGATGCCACGTTAAACATTTCATCTCTAAGAAGCTTCTGTCACATTCAGCAAACATACTTGTTTCCCACCAGGTGGAGGTGCAAAATGCCCTCTGTCTGCTTTTCTGTGGTTTACAATCTAGTGGAAAAGACAATCATAGACACAAATATGAGACAAACTGAAAAAATACTCTAAGAAAGATCCAGCGTGCTAAAGGACAGGGGCAGAGCAAGAAGAGATCCGTTTCCACCAAGGGCCTCGTTTCATCCAAGGACAAAGAGATCTGCTTCTGAATTCTTATGTGGGTAGCAAGGCTGTTTTTCAGCATCCCTAAAGGATTGGGGACAGTTAACCAAATGATAGCATTTGAGGCAGCCTTGTTCCGAGGGACTGAGTCCACAGAAAAGGGGCTGGGCTTCTTCACTCTGTGGTTGTGTTGTGTGGCACTCTGGGTTCTTCTCCTTTGCTGGGCCCCTGGGCAGGCATGGTGAGAACTCAGCCTGTCATGTGTTGTGATTCCAAATGTCTGGGTTTGTTTTTTGTTGTTCAGCCATCATCTGGAGAAATCCGCTCTGGGGTTTAACGGGTTCCCCCAGGCAAAGGCAGTTCTAGTTGGGAAAGCTTTAAGAACTTGAGACTTTCAGAAGGAACTCGTGGTGAGGACTGGGGGATACTGTTAAGCGCTTTATGTGTAGAAAGCCCTGTGGTCATGGGACTTTCCTGCTCTCGTGGGGCCAAATTCCACTCCTGAGTCGTCTCTGGGCTGCTGTGAGAGGTTAGGGCACAGTTACTGGGGCAGAGGGTCTGACACACAGGATGAAGCAGCAGAAATCCTGTCACTAAGTTCGCTTCTCCAAATTCCTGCAGTCTTGCCCCTGTTTGATCTCACTGACCTCAATGTTTTGAGCTGTCTAGCCCAAACCAATAAATGCAAGACAAATCTTCCAAAGGTTGTTGATGTGGTTGAATGGTCTGGCCTGAGATTCTGGTCTATTCTTGGTTTAACCCAACTTTGCTGGATGACATTTTGCAAAGCTCTCCAGCTTCCTAGGCCACTTATTGTAAAATAGAGATACCTTTACTTAAATCCTGCCTTGCTGACAGGAGTGGTCACAGTTAATGTTGATTGATTCTTATGTGCCTTATGAGTTAAAAAATCTAGTGTCCCCCTCCCTTTTTGGTTTGCAAATTAAAGAAGGGAGAGCCACAAATTCTGTGAATGGAAAGAATAAAATATAGGGCAGTAGTTCATATTGTATCAAAATATATTATTTGGAAGGGAAGAAGAACTTTTTGGTAACTTTCATCATTTGTAGTTGTAGTTCTTAAAACTGGTTTCACGTTAGAAGTATCTGGGAAGCTTTTTAAAAGATTTCCATGCCGGGACTTTTGATAGACTGATGAAGCCAAAATCTCTAGAAGATAGAGCTTCATCAGTAGCTTCTGAAAGCTCCTCAGATGAGTCTCTGGACAGCCAGGGCTGAGAACCCCTTCAGCAGTGGGTTTTGGTAATTCACCATTCCCCTTTGTGCTTACTTCTGCATACACCTGGCTGGTGTCCTTGCCCTGTGCTGAGATGCTATGATTGAATAATGTTTGTTCCTTACAAGTCTGTGTTGAATTTCCTAGTGTAGTTTGTCCTTCTCTTCTATAGACATTCTACTTCCAAGTTAGAGTTTCTAGCAGATTTATGTAATAATGGCAGTCAGTACTTTAGAGTCAGAATCTGTGGGGTTTGTTCAAGGCTGTATGATTTAGAGGTTGCCTATGTGGAATGGTTATTGGAAGAGTGAGAATAAGGTGCAAGATCATCCCCAAATTCCACCATCCCACAAATGCACCTTCTCTTAACAGTCTGAGCAATGGTGTCTTTCACAATTTGTAGCTCCTGGGAAATTTCACTGTATGCCTATGAGAGAATGCGAGTAAAGAAGACAGGTAATAATTTTACTGTTACTGTGAATGAAGTTCTGAATTCTTGGATCCCCTAGGAATCGTGGGAGGCTCTCAACTATCCCCAGACTATACTGTAAGAATTACTTACCTACAATAAATTCCCAGGAAAAGAATCACTAGTTTGAAGAATGTGAAAACTTATGACTCTTGATAAATATGATCACATTTATTTTCAGTAGCTTTTATTCTGCCACCAACAGTATTTGAGCATGCCTATTGCTTCTGGCCTTGGCCATCGTGACCATTATATATACAGATGCTCCTCGACTTATGATGGGGATGCACCTAGATAAACCCATTGTAAGTTGAAAATACCATGTCAGTAATGCATTTAATACACCTAAGCTACTGAACACCATAGCTTAGCCTATCCCACCTTAAATGTGCTCAGAACACTTACATTAGCCTACAGTTGGCCAAATCATCTAACACAAAGCCTATTTTATAATAAAGTGTTGAATATCTCATATAATTCATTGAATACTGTACTAAAAGTGAAAACCAGAATGGTTGTATGGCTACTTGAAGTATAGTTTCTACTGAATGCTTATTGCTTTTGCACCATTGTAAATTTGAACAATTCTAAGTTGACCCATCATAAGTTAGTGACTGGCTCTATGTGTGTCCAATATAACAGGCATTGCTATTGCAATTGTGTTTCTGTGATTACTGGGATGCTTGAGGTTTTATTATCTCTTTTTTTTACTGATTATAAATACCCAATGTAACATATCCTCTTTTGGGACATGTTATTCATATGAGTTAAATACATTGGCATTTATTTACCAATTTATGTGAATGCTTTATATGATTGAGACATTAACCCTCTTAGAATTTCTGCAAATATTTAATCTTGATCTGTTTACTTTTCATGTTTCATAATATTTAAAGTACATACCTTTTAAATTCATTAAATCCACCATAAACCTGGCTATATTCATGATTAAAAAAATTAAAATTAGTTTTATAAAGATATTATCTTACCTTCATTTATAGTGGATTTGGAAAATAACATGATGTAAGTAATAATGTGTTTTACCCAATGGTGTTGGCTGCATGAATTGATTGAAGTTTTAAAAATTTTTTGTCGCTTCTCTCATTTGCTTCAAAAATTTATTAAATATTCTTACAAATCCATATCTTGCCTCTAATTGTTTCCTATAGCCTCTGTGTAAACCTTATTTTATGATCTGTAACAAAATTTTGTGAAGATTTCTTTTCTGGATATTTGCACCATGATCTATGGTCATCCCTTCCACTCCTCTAGCCGTTGGGTGTCTGTGAAGATCCCAGCGATTTGACTGTGGAAGGCTCTGGTCCCTTGCTTTCTTTTGCCTCCATGCCATGCCCTCCCACAAACATGCTTTAAGCTTTGGTCTGAGTGAAACCATCCAGTAGAATTGTGATCTTTTCTGAGGTTAGAGAAGCGAGTTCTCTTTTTTTGTGTGCATCCATATCTGCCTTCTCTTTTCCACTGTCCAATACTGTGTCTACCTCTTTAATAGTTGTGGAGAAAGTACTGAAACTCTTACCAATAAGTTTTAATGAAACAGTTTTTCATTTTTAGGCCTTTGCTATTTGTTATGGGTTTTAGTTTATCTGTTTGGAGGGTGTTTTTTGCCTATGCTTAGCTTTGTTTAAAGTTTATAGAATTGCCAAATGCAAATATTCTAAAAAAGGAAAAAAGCTCTATAATAACTTTCACTATATACAATTCCTATTAAAAGCACATAGAACTTAAAAATGGGATAAGATAGTAAAATGATCAGATATTGTATTTAGTAGAGATACACCTGTTCCCAGGGACATACACCACTTTGTGAACAACACCTTGAAAGGCATTCACTTATTTAAAAAGTTATAAAGCTGGGCTCGGTGACTCATGCCTGTAATCCCAGCACTTTGGGAGGGTGATGCGAGCAGATTTCTTGAGCCTAGGAGTTTGAGATCAGCCTGGACAACATGGTGAAACCCAGTCTCTACAAGAAACACACACAAAAAATGAGCCCAGTGTGGTAGCATGTGCCTGTAGCCATGGGAGGCTGAGGTGGGAGGATCACGTAAGCCCTGGGAGCTTGAGGCTGCAGTGAGCCATGATCATGCCACTGCACTCCAGCCTGGGTGACAGAGCAAGACCCTTTCTCAAAAAAAAAAAGAAAAGTATGAAGTTTTAAAATAGTGTTTTAAATGTTAGTGTTTTAGTTCTCTTAAAACTGTGCTGCTAGTCACACTCTCTCCATCCACATTTTCTTTCCTTCCTCACCAAAAAGTTTCATCATACATAGCAAATTGTACCTTATTAATAAAGTGATCATTACTAAATGAAAATTAATAAATTAAAAGCCTTCGGTGAATTCCTGATAATAACAGTTGCAAGCACATGTATAATACTCTAAACAGCTGAGTCCCGGCTCTGTTAATCCATTTTTAGAGACATTAATATATTTTAGCACAGTTGGGAATCCATCTCCCCTGAATTCCCTTTCTTGTTTTCTGCTTGTTACTCTATATTTCCTTCTCCCTTATCCAAGTCCCTTCTCCAGACCTCACCTAGGTCTGAAACATCTGACTTTACCCTTCAGTATTTCAGGTTCGCTTTCTCTCTGCCTCTCCTTGTCCTAGTTGGCCTCCTGTTATAATCAGTCATATAACCTCTTCCTTTACATTAACCTCTTCCTTTTCAATTCCATCCCACCATTCTCAGTGACCTCCCTTCTCTGTCCTCAAGCCTCAGCAGCATAAGTGAGGCAGTACAGAGCTTAAAGACCATGGACTGGAATTGACCAGGACATAGTGACAGTCCTGGCCTTGCTTCTTGCCAGTTCTGTGTCCTCAGGCAAGGTACATAATATCCCTAAATCTCTTCCCTCATTTGTCAAATGGGGGTCAAAATAACCGTACCATAAATGGTTGCTGAGAGGAAGAAATGATATAATGTAATCAACCCCCTAGCTCTAAGAACAAACCCAGTAGATGTGGGTGGTGATGATGATTGGATGCATAGACAGAGCAGGGGTTCAAATCCCTCACTCCAGGTGCTCAGACATCTAACTCAGCTCTCGCTGCTGCCCAAGGATTAAGGTTCAAACTAGCTGCCCTGGCATGCTCAGCTTTCTAAATCTGCCCTTACATCCTTTTCTAGTTGTAGTGCCTCTATTAATTGATGCACACTTTTTTTTTTAATTAACCTCAGTCATATCTGCAAGCATTAGTCAAGCATTCACTAAATGCCAGTTACGATGCTAGGCACTGGGGTTGCAGAAATGAACAACTTGTGGCCGTCAAGGATCTTGCAACTTAATGGAGATAAATATAAGAAAATAAATATTAAAGTGAGATAAAAGATACAACAGGGGTGCATACAGGAGCTAGAGGTGGAAGGAATAGAGAAAGTAATTGCCAAGGAGAGTGAAAAGGGTTTCCAGACCAAGTCCCTCACTCCATGGGCGTCGCATTCGTAAGGCCGACAGAAATGTGACAGACAGGAAGATGCCACCAGACCCAGGCAAAGTATACAAGTCTTTCTGATGTGACATATCTTCACACAGAGGAGGGGTCATAACAGCCCCTCAGTGTGAGGGACAATCTTCTCTCATCCTCAGGCTCTCCCTGTGGAAGGAGAAGCCCTTTGGAGCCTCCTGGCCTTTCTTGAGGACAGAACAGGGTTTTGACATCCTTCAGCTCCTCCTTGACCCATCTCACAGCTCCTAGCTGTGTGCTTGCTTGCTCTCTTGGTGCAGAAACACATAAGACACCCAGACATGTTAACCAAGAGAACTGAAGGTCAAACTCTTGGTGAAAGTCTTGCTAGGGGTAGCAGACTCCAACTTCAGGCCCACTAACTACTGCTCCTGCCTGGGTCTTCCTGGTCTCTTTGCTGAAGGGGCCCTTTGCCTACAGTCACCTTCCTTCTCTACCTACCCCAAGACCCAGTTCAAATGCTGTCTCCTCCCATGTCTTCAAGACAACGCCTCCCAGTTCAGGCAAATCACATCAGGAGGGAATCATGGCAGCCCGTTCACACATTTGTTACCTCTCAGCAGTTTATTTTTAAAATCAGATCTTTCTGTGAAGGAAAGGCTGCAAGGAGGCTGAGTTTCCTCCTGAGGAGATGACGATCCAGATGATCAAAGAGAAAGTGACTCTAGGAAAGACAGGTTGGTGTTGAACCTGAGATCAGCTCAGGGAACAGGGATCAGGAGCACAACATCTCCAATTGCTGATTTAGGGAAAGTGGAGGCCAGAGTGCTGCGGCCCCTCCAAGAGACCTGGGCTACGAAGGCCTGGGGCTGAGAGGCCCTGGAGCAAGAGGCCGTATGTTGCTTCAAAACTGATCCAGTGGGAACTAGACACACTCAGGAGATCCATTTAGTTTCTCCTGGACTAGAGGCCTGCAGGTCTTTCTCAGTCAGTGCCTCCCACTTTCAGCAGGAGTTCTGCTGATACTGGCGTGGCAAGAGCTCACCTTGGCTGTCAGGCCGGGGTTCTTGAGTAGCAGAAAGCCTAAACACTCCATATCACTCTTTTTCATGTGTGTGTTACCCTGGCACTTGGAGAAGTCTTCTCTGACCTCATGCAGAAGGAAGGTGAGCCCCTGAGCTCATCCATGTGAGGCATCCCCGGTATGAACTGGCTGAGGGCCAGATCTGATTCGAAAACATCGTGGTCACTTGGATTTTACATTTGCAAGGCGGGTCTCTGTATGTGAATAATACGTAAGTAATGATAACAGATGAATTTTAGTGACCACCAACTAAGTGCCAGAAACTATTCTTATCTTTTTATGTAGATTGACTCTTTAGTGGTAAATTATTATCAGCTTAGTCTGAAGAAGATAATTTAAGTATCAAGAATTCAGTGATGGGAGCTTTTGGAATGAAAAGAGCTCTAAGTTTGTTTAGGAAAAATGTAGGATTAGGTCGAATGTGAGCCTTTTGCCTTTTAGTAATATAATAACTCATTTATATATATATATTATATATAATATAATAACTCATTTAGTCCTCTGGCAGGTAGGTCTGCGTTTGGAGGGTCAGCAAAGAGGGATGATTCACAACAGGTGCTTTTTACCTGGGATTCTTGAGCCCTGAGGAGTTCAAGGACCAGCTTTGACATTTTTATATGCGTGTGCATTTTTATATTCCATATATATTCCATATATAATACATATATTAATGGATGCACACATATAAATTATGATTAACATATTATCAGCTTTCATTCTAATTGGATAGGGGTCTGTTATCTACCAAAAGATTAAGAACCATTTTCTGTGGAATTAAAAGAATATAGACCAGATTATGTAGCTTATTTCTTCTTTATGTGGGAGAACATTTATTCCCAGTGTAACATATCTTTGTAGAATTTGTGATGGTGAGAGTGGAAATGGAAAAGTACTTGTCATCAAGCTTTAAGGCTTTGACTCTTTTTGCAGTGAAGAAGAAATTATTAGGGAAAAATGCTAAGTTCCAGAGATCAAAACAGAAATACTTTGCCGAAAGAGTATTTCAAAGCCCATTTCAAAATAAATATTTCTAATTTGTTGATTCATTGCCCTTTTAAATAGCTGACATCATTTGGACATTTTGTACCTAGTTCCAAACTGATTGAGCTACCGCAGGAGTTTTTCACAGATGTGTGGTTTTGTATCCTCAGTTCCATATCTCCCCAAAACTGTCCACATTTAAAAATGCCTGTAAAGCTAACTGGACAACTTCAGATGATGATACTTTCAAAAAGTAGTCATAACACAACCCATCACGCAAAACAAGAATCCTGTTTGTTTGTTTATTTATTCATTTGAGACAGAGTCTCTCTCTGTCACCCAGGCTGTAGTGCAGTGGTGCAATCACGGCTCGCTGTAGTCTTGACCTCCTGGGCTCTAAAGATCCTCCCACCTTAGCCTCCTGTGTAGCCAGGGCTATAGGCACGTGCCACCACACCTGGTTAATTTGTTGTTGTTATTATTTTTATTTTAAAGAAATTATTTAATTTATTGAAACTAGGTAATACATACATGTGGTACAAAATTCCAAAAGTACAACAGGGTATATATTGAAAAGTATGCTTCTCACCCTCCCCTGCCCCAACCACCAGATCTCTTCACCAGAAGCAACCACTGTTATGGGTTTCTCTGTAGAATATTTTATGAAGAATATTCTCTTTAATAGGTTGCTGGGCAAGACTTCCAAAATGTACATTTGACTCCTCTTCTCAACCTCCTGAAAAAGAAAAATCAATTTTTAAAATTACTGAAACTGTCAAGGCATTTTGAGTCAAAATTTTCACACAAATTGACTCTAACATACCTACCAGAGTTTTCATTTACTTGTTCCATTTATTTGATTATTTCACTAAACTCCAACACCTTGAACCCCTATTAGCACCGTCTGATGTTTTAAATCTGAGAATATTTTCACAAAATGTGACTGTTTCAGATAGAAAACTTTTTTTTTTTTTTTTTTTGAGACAGAGTTTTGCTCTTGTTGCCCAATCTGGAGTGCAGTGGCGCAATCTTGGCTCACTGCAACCTTTGCCTCCCGGGTTCAAGCAATTCTCCCGCCTCAGCCTCCTGAGTAGCTGGGATTACAGGTGCCTGCCACCATGCCCGGCTAATTTTTGTATGTTTAGTAGAGATGGAGTTTCACCATGTTGGCCAGGTTGGTCTCGAACCCCTGATCTCAGGTGATCCACCCACCTCAGCTGCCCAAAGTGTTGGAATTACAGGCGTGAGCCACCGTGCCTGGCCCAGATAGAAAACTTTAAGTATGTAAGAATCATTGCAGTATAATCATATTGAATTTTTAGTTATTAAGAACTAATACATTTGTTGGAAATTTGAAGTAATGCATATGGTTAATAATATTAAAAGCAAAAGAGGTTACCTCCTTCAATTTTAATAGAGATGTTAGTCTCTATTAAGACTATGGGATATCAAATTGGTACCATGCTAGTAAATGCCACAAGAGAAATTCTTTTTCTACTAATTTTCGAAGACGTTATCCCTGTAAATTACCTCTACTGATCTACATTTCCTGAGTTGATATGTGTGCACTCATCAAGGCAAGCATCCCTTGTGGGGTAGATGACCTTGCATCCATGTCCTTTGAGAGAATAAATATTTATATTGACAGTGCAGCTGCCATATATTGAGTTCGTAAAATTGGGTTTGGGTGTTTTAATCTGGCATATTATTCTTGCTTAATTTCATTGTGCTGACTATGGTTACAGAGCTATAAATCAGGGACAGTGTTTACCCACAGAAGGAAAGGAGAGCAGGAATAATAGTGTGAAATATTGCCTTTGTTTATTAAAAGTGTTTCTTCATTTGGGCACCTGTTGTCTTTTGGTTGCCGGTTCCCTCTGGATCTTACCAGTTTTTGAATTTTTTTTAGAAATTAATAAACAGATCTATGATCGTCTGAGGTAAGAGGTAGCATAAAGCTCATAAAGTAAAGGAGTGAGTGGGGCAGGTAAAAAGAAACCTATTTTTAATATACAAAAATAGGGCATATGTATACAAAGTTCAAACAGTACAGACAAGGCTAACTACATAATTTGTGGGGCCCAGTGCGAAATAAAAATATGGGATCTCTTGTTCTCCTCAGAGGAAAAAATATTAACTTTTTCTGTGTTCTCTATCTCAACTCCTCATTTTGTTCTTTGCCATTTAATGTTCTAAGTAAAGAAAAACCCACATTTTAAATTATTAGCATAAATTTGTTTATCTGTGGTGCAATACCAGTTTTAAATGCAAATATAAGACCATTTAACTTACATGCAGAATGACCCAAACTACATAATTTGAACTTCCTAGCTCGGACATGTGTATATATTTCATTCTTACTAGGGCAGTGGAAACTTTGCACAAAACTGATTCAACTGTTTTCATTTTGCTTCTTGATGCATGCACATTCTAACCAACACTGACTATCTTCAGCTTACTCACAGTAAGGAAGGACTAAAAGGAAAAAGAAGTATAGGTTGCCCTATCTTTCCTTTACTTTAATGTCATTATTTTCAGACTAATGGTTGGCTAATAGAATTGGCTCTTGGTATCCATGGGTTACACATCCATGGATTCAACTAACCCCAGATTTCAAAAAAATATGCCAGTTGGGCGCGGTGGCTCACGCCTGTGATCCCAGCCAAGGTGGGCGGATCGCCTGAGGTCAGGAGTTCAAGACTAGCCTGGCCAACATGGCGAAACGCTGTCTTTACTAAAAACACAAAAATTAGCTGGGAGTGGTAACACACGCCTGTAATCCCAGCTACTCAGGAGGCTGAGGCAGGAAAATCACTTGAACCTGAGAGGTGGAGGTTGCAATGAGCCGAGATCACGCCATTGCACTCCAGCCTGGGCGACAGAGCGAGACTCCGTCTCAGAAAAAAAAAAAAAATCCAAAAAAGGTATGGCACTGAACATGTACAGAGGTTTGGGTTTTTTTTTTTTTTTTTGTCATTATTCCCTAAACAATATGATATGGTAACTATTTACATAGTATCTGTTTGGGGGAAACTAAGGGGAAGAACGCATTTTATGGATGTTATACAAAACTTAAAATTTGATAAATATTTTCTAGTTACACTCTAGAAAGTCTGAAGCAATTTTCACTCTCCACAACAGTGTAGGAGTATACTTGTTTTTTCAGTTCTTTAACCTGAGTAATTTCAAACTTTGAAAATTTTTATTACTTCGCTTTGTATTTCCCTAATCACGCATCTTTTAAATATTTCTTGGCAGTTGTACTGTTTTTGGTCTGTGAATGGCTGGTTCACATCTTTTGTTCAGTACTCTATTGGGTTGTATCTACAGTTTATGAGATTATAAGAACACTTTGTAAATTAAAGAAACGTGCCCCTTTTGCCATACGCATTAAAATATCTTTTCCAGGGTTTTGTTCCAGATACATTTTGTGACTAGGCGCTTAGGACTGAAGAAGCATTTCCTTTATGAGTTTTTTCCTCAAGACATTTCATTCATTAATTTTTTTCCCTGTAATTTCTTCCTGTGAACTATGCCCCAGTTACACATCCCTAAGGACATACAGTATCACTATTGAAGCAAAACTTTTAAAAAATCATTTTATTGTCTACTGCTTCTCCTGGAAATTATTTTAATTTATCTGTTTGATGTTTTTATCCTTTTTCTACTGGGGAGATGCTACTTCAGGAAGCTAATTCCAAATTAGTTAGTTCTTGGATCTGTTGGCTCCAAGACGCAATTCCCAGCACTTATTCATCCTTATCTATTTGGGGGAAACTCAGAGGAAGAAGGCATTTTGAAATTCTATCACGTGCTGTTTTTCTTGGCTGGATCAATGGCTTAGCCATTGGCTGCATGGTCTCTCTTTCTCTTTACACACCAGATACTTTCAATTGGAGTTTCTAGTAGAGTTGAAGCTAAAGAACACTGAATGCAAAAACAAAGTAATTCCACTTTTGTGCCTCAATCTTATCATCCCAGTGCTCAATGTATTGGCCTTCAGTGGTTCTAGTAAAATGGGATATAATCATGTGTGGAAAATAGCAGAGGCAGCTTCAAAAAACTCAGGGAAGAGAGATTGAAAGGAGTGTCCAAGATGGGGTACATATTATAAAGGCAGAGGAAGAGAACTACTCTTCATAAAACTTGATTTGGAGATAATGCTACAATTGTGGTGACTGGTGCTAGTAAACAGGAAGATAAAGCTACTTTTCTGCATGCTCTGAAACCTCTCTCAACAAGAAATAATCCCATTGTAAATAAATTTGTTTATTTGTTTATAAAATCCCAAGCAACTGCTTTTTTCTTCTTCTTCTTCTTCTAATTGGAACATTTGGGATTTCAGGTTTTCAGATTAGGGGTAAACATTCTGCAAATATTCCAAAATCTGAAAAAATCAGAAATCTGAACCAAACAAATGACTTTTAACCACTTTGAAAAATGAGAACCTCTACAAAAGATTGGGTTTCAATAAAGGGAAATCTCTTTTCTACACACATTCTTTCTCCTTTAAACATCGAAATAGTCTTGAAAGAATTTTTTTATTAAATTCTGTTCTCTTTCTTTGATTTTTTTCTTAGGTGAAATATTACATTTTGTTTTCCTGTGGCATAATGGCAATGTCATCCTTATCAGCTTATGCTCCTATTCCGTACTTCAGTTGACTGGCGCCCTCTGAGGCTTCTGAGCTATGTAGGAGTTTTTGCCCCCCACTAGCTGACACCAGTACGTTACAGAGTTGCTCTAAGTTGCCAGCCGTCCCTTCTCACTGAGATCAAACTGCTCTCTTTCCTCTGCTCCTGGTGCCTTTTCTCTGCTAAAGGTTGGGAAATGATATGCGTCTAAGCAAGAGTAAATAGACCGTGAAGAAGTGAGTTGTGAGTGCTCATAGTGGTGTCACCTAGCAGCTTTGATATGTGAAACAGATGCCACATTCATTTTGGTGTCTTAGAGGACAGATATGCAGTTGCTAATTGTGTTCAGATCAATTAAAGGATGTGTATAAGTGGCTATTGGATTACTGGTGTGTTGTTAGTGATTTAAATCTTTATAAAACATTATTTCTAAACTGTTGACCAAGCTGCAAACATATCCAACAATATGCATGCTCATTAATAAATAGAAGAGACAGTTTCTACAGTGGAAAGCACATGGGCATGGTATCAAAATGAGGTTTTACTGCTTTTTGGCAGTGTGATACTGGACCAGAAGTTTGTACCTCAGTTTTCTCACCTGTAAAGTGAGATAATAAAATATAGCTTGTGTGGTGGTGGCATGCCTAGCACATGAATAAACACTGAGTGAAAGAATTTCATTAAATGATAACAATTTTAGAAATATATAACCTGATATTAAATATGTTTTATGAATATAAATCATTAGAATACGTTCTTGATACTTATGATAATAAAATTATTTATCCTTATTGATACATACCTTAAATATATGATTATGACTTGCTAAAAAATATACAATTTTCAAATAACAACAATCTCTTAACCAGTATACATTTCCAATTCAGAAATCAAATTCTCAGTGGCAAGGGAAGATTGAGATCCAGAAAGAACTAAGACTAGCGAGCATTCCATTCCTCTAAGGCTTCTAAATTAGAATGTGGGTCTAGGGCTGGAAAGAGGGTGAGATTGAGTATCATTCTTCCAATCTCTTTCTGGCTTTTTGTTCCTGACTTTGAATGAGGGTGATAGTTGTAATTACTCCAGACTTTCTGAATAGAAGTGAAAAGTGAGGTAAATCTAACTTGTTGAAATGGAAATATACCTTCCACTCCATAAAAGATGTCACATCTTGGTATAATCTCAGGCTTATTTTTTTAGATGCAAATTAGTGAAAAAACAATAGCTAACAATTTTGGCAGCCAAAATCTTCATGGTAGCTTCCTTTGAATGCCAAAAATCTCTCATGTATGGACACATATGCCTGCATAAATACATGCAAAACACACCCTCTTCTGCCTCCACATGTCTATGGCAATTTCCAGGAGAAATGCCAGAAGAAGCAAATGCCTCAAAGACTCTGTGCTTTGAGGTTAAAGGTGTGATGCCTTTGGCACCACCAGAACTCAACTTCGTTGTAGCTCTGTGGTGTGTGACGTCTCAGTTGTGATATCCTAGAGCAACCTCATAGCCCTGATCTCCCATTCTGTCCATGTGATTAAACACGCTCTGTTTGGGTGTTGCCTGGTAGAATAATAACACTGCTTAGGTAAGAAGGGTATTGTCCTGAGGTGTGGCGTCCTTTTGACTTCCTCCCCCAAATGGAGCACTTCCTGCTTTCCAGCTGAATGATGAGTCATGAGAAGAGACTTGAGGATGTGACACAGGAGACCAGTCAGGCCATAATTATTTGTAAGGCATGTGTAACAAATCTGCTTTCAGCACACATCCCATCCAGGTAAAGCCAGGAAATACAACGAGGGCTGGAAATAGCTCGTGGCTAGCATCCTCAACACTAGTCATTTAGTGCTTTCAACAACCCAAAGTGCCACATCAAAGTACTCATGTTTACCAGAATTCTCATTGCAGATCTGAATTCTGATGATTATTTCTATTTTTGTGATTTCTGGCAATTGAGAAACATTGTTAGAGTTTATTCAGAGTGAGAGATTTGTGAAGTGTTTGATATATGTCTGAGATAGACCTAGGTATGTGCTATAATGGCACATAGAAATGTGGCCAGGAGCACAGTCATGTGAGAAAGCTCCCTGAGGTATGTAAGGAGAATGGCTCATATTGCATTTTAAATTGTGTTCTTACAGAACATGAGCATTACCATTTATTACTGTGTATGTCAAGAACCATGTTGGGTGTGTGTGTGTATACATTTTGCTGAATCCTAACTATGGGCTTTTGAGGCAATTATAAACATAAAAATAGCTATATGACTAATGCTTGCTATGGGCTTGTCATTATGCTAAGTAGCCATCTTATATACATTGTCTTATTTAATCCTCCTAACAACATTGGCCGGTGGGGGTGATTATCCCATTTTATAAGTAAGAAAATGGAGACTTGGAGAGATTAAGGAGCTTGCCCAGGGTTGTATGGCTAGTAAAGTGAAAGAGTTAGGATTTAAACTTGCTCTGTCTGACTTCAAAACTTGTGATTTGTACCACACCATTTTTCTCTCTTACCATCCTATGATCAAGCATTATCAGTGACGAACCAGCCAACCAACAAACCAAACAAACCAATAAACAAGTAAATAAACAAATAAATGCAGTTTCAACCTTCTTTAATGGAGTGTATGTTATAATAGAAAGGTATTCTTTTTCTATTATCTCACTCTGTTGCCCAGGCTGGAGTGCAGTGGGGTAATTGTAGCTCACTGTGGTCTTGAACTCCTGGGTTCAATCCCACCTCAGCCTCCTGATTAGCTGGGACTACAGGTGTGCACCGCCTTGCCTGGCTAAATTTATTTTGGTGGTAATGGGATCTCACTATGTTGCTCAGGCTGGTCTCAAACTCCCATCCTCAAGTGATCCTTCCACCTTAGCCTCCCAAAGTGCTGAGATCACAGGTGTGAGCCACTCTGCCCAGCCAAGAAAAATGCTTATATTCACTTGGAGAACAATAGCTCAAATATGGTGTAGTATTCCATTCTCACCAACACTTAGGAAAAAATGGAAATCTACAACCTTAAGTTAAATCCAACAAACATGAAGTGCCTACTGTGTTGGTCATGCTTCTTATGAGACTCTGGGGTGAACAATCAAGAGATACTTTGGAAAAGAGCACCCTCTTAGAATACCAGAAGAATACCAGAAGGCTGAGGCAAAAGAGTACCAGAAGGCTAAGGCTACTGTTCTCACTTTAGTCTCTCACATTGCTACATATCATTTCCTACAAGAAGTGACCTGTTGGGGGGTCTTCCCTTTGATATCCTAAAAAATGAAACATGTTTATTTCTCTGTGGATATCATGACGTGAAAGAATATCCTCCTCAAAAATATCTTCCCCATTTTAACTTCAGTACACTTCATAGAAAGATCAGAGTCATGGTAATGGGCCATTATACCACCATGATCACACACACCAGAACACACTGGGAAATCCGCCTTTGTTATCCCTGCAATTAGGTTTAGTTCTAAAGTGATTAACTTAGAGAAAATGAAGTAAGATAATATTAAATAAGCCAGCTTTTGGATATTTGATTTATGACTAAAAGGAAAGGATCCAGAAGCAGCTTTGAGGAAATCTCATGCACGGTAGAAAGTTAATATCTCAAATAAATTTAAAGGCTTTCTAAGCATGCTGGTGATTAGTTCAATTGTAGATCTCTTTTATCACCTAGATATGGGTTTTAAAAACTATTGTAGGATCTCTTGGTATGGAGGAGATTCCAGAAAACTTTGTATAAATGTTTTTGGTAAAATTTAAAGATATTGTGTACCCCAAATATTTTCTCTTCTCTAGGAATTTAGTTTACACATGTGAAAATTTATCTGAAGTGTGATCTTACATATACTTGATACACCAAACACAGTCACAGGGGAGGATGGGAGGCAAACTTGCATGAAACGCGTTAGAGAAAACCAAAACCTATTTATTTGAACCATATGTTGTTCTTTACTGCACTTATTTTTTTCTTAAGAAGCACAAATTAATTTAGCTAGTTTCTAAGTTTGGGCAATAAGCAAGTTCTTCTTCCCATGCATCCTTTGATCCCCATCACCAAACAGGGAACAGCTTTCTTCTGGTGTAGGTCTCCATGACCCCTCCCCTAAAAGATCAGCAACACACTCAGGACCTCCATTTATATTTTTACTTTTAATGAAATAAATACATCGTGAATATTAATTATGGTGAGTTAGAAGAAAGTGTTCAGCTTCCTTATAAAGCCAGGTCATTGGCTTTGTTACAGGAAAGGGGTCCTGTAGGAACGGGGGTCCAAGAACGCCAAGAGAGGGTTCTTGGATCTCACACAAGAAAGAATTCAGGGCGAGTCTGCAGTGCAAAGTGAAAACAATGTTATTAAGAAAGTAAAGGAATAAAAGAATGGCTAGTCCGTAGACAGAGCAGCCCTGAGGGCTGCTGTTTGCCCATATTTATGGTTATTTCTTAATGATATACTAAAGAAGGGGTGGATTATTCATGCCTTCCCTTTTTAGGCCATATGGGGTAACTTCCTGACATTGCTATGGCATTTGTATACTGTCATGGCGCTGGTGGGAGTGTAACAGTGAGGATGCCCAGAGGTCAGTCTCTTCATTATTTGGTATTGGTGGGTTTTGGCCAGCTCCTTAACTGCAACCTGTTTTATCAACAAGGCCTTTATGACCTGTATTCTGTGCTGACCTCCTATCTCATCCTATGAGTTAGAATGCCTTAAGCATCTGGGAATGCAGCCCGGTAGGTTTCAGCCTCCTTTTACCCAGTTCCTATTTAAGATGGAGTTGTTCTGGTTTACATACCTCTGACAGCTTTATCATCATCTTAAGCTTTAGGGAGAAGCTACCTTTATTCATTCATAGTATATTTACTGAGTATTTAGTAGTGGCACATCATTACACAAAGGAGATACAAAAAAATTCCTGGGCATTGGGCGTACGGAGGTACTAATTCAAGAGGTAAGTCATATGCATATGAAAGGCAGAGTATCAATATAAAAGTTGCTAACATTAAGAGGAACATGTATGGGTCAAGAAGTGAAATGATCAATATCATATTTTCTGTTCTCTTAAGTGCTAAAAGCCTCTTTCTCTTTAGTACTTTGTCTTGTGTTTCATCTCTAATTCAAAGCTTTTATAAAATCTTACTTCCTCCATTGAAACCTTTGAGCATGTGACGAATTATGGTCAGAGCATCCCTGGGTCCAAATTATTCATTATATGGCTTCTCTTCCATTAAGGATCTGTGTTCGCTAGCTTTTTGTTTGTTTATGGCTCTCTATTCCTGTCAGAGCTGGTTTAGAGGTTCTGAGCCAGAGTGCAGCTACTTCCAAATCTTTAAAGAAACATTTTCCTCCAGGAAGGAAAACTGTTCTCTTAACTGATCATGCAATTCTGGAAGGCGAAGAAGGAGTGAGCCCTGACCCAACAGGACAGATTAGCCAGATCAACCTGGTTATCATAGCAGAGTACTATGTTTCCACTTCAACATCTGCACAACGCCTATTCTACCCATTGGGTGATCAACCACTTGTTCTTTGGTCCTCTGTGCCATTCTCTTAGTTGTTGATACTTTTACTGTCTACTTTACCTGCTAGAGTTATTTGCAGTGTTGGGGCGAGCTACTCAGTAACAGCCAAGTCTTAGGCGACTGCATGAAAAGTTCATCACTGCTGACTGTCACATCGTGAGCACCCAGTTAATATTTATTAAGGTAGTAATTGTTAGCAGTTAGATATGGATTTATTTAAGGTGAATATTATACTTCTTTTGTAGGAAAGAATCCAAAAGCATCAAGTGAAGCTGCCCTCTTCTTCCTTAGCAGGTCCTTTTTCAGGGAAATTGTCTTGGGATGTCTTGTTAGCTCTAGGGGTCTTAGAGATCACTCATTGCCTATGAACTGAAGAGCAGAAACAGGTCCAGAGAGCTTTCAACTGTTTCCCTAAGGCCACCATGCTGGGCATTGGCAGAGCCAGGACCAGCCTTGGTTTTCCTCTTACTGGCCCAGGGCTGACGCCATAGCACTATGTCTGAATGGGGCTTAAAAGCTAATGTGATAAGGGAAAGCCTTGAATTAACAGTGTCCAAAACTATTTTGAGATCCTGATGAAAGTGATAGACCCTCTCCCCAGAAAAATGCATGCTATGGTTTGGATATAGTTTGTTGGGCTCCACAAAGTCTCATGTTGGAATTTGATCTCACTGTTGGAGGTGGGGCCTGTGGAAGGTGTTTGGCTGGTGGGGGCAGATCCCTCATGAATGGCTTTGTGCCACTCCAAGAAGTGAGTGAGTTCTCGCTCTTACTTCCCTCAAGAACTGGTTCTTGAAAAGAGCCTAGCACCTCCTCCTTCCCCCTTTCTTCCTTTCTTGCCAAGTAATCGTTATACATTTCAGCTCCCCTTTATCTTCCGCCATGAGTGAAGGCAGCCCCCTCACTGGAAGCAGATGTTGGTGCCATGCTTCTTGTACAGCCAACAGATCCATGAGCCAAACAAACCTCTTCTTTATAAACTACCCAGCCTCAGGTATTCCTTTATGGCAATACAAACAGATTGAGACAATGCACACACACACTTACAATTTTGGATATAATTTTGGACATGAACTTCATGAAGCTTATCCAATGACAGCTGTCTAGGGTGCATGACCTCCATTTTATGAAGTACTGATACAGATGGAATTTACAAGAAACACTCTGCCTATTTCTAAATACTCCTATATTCTCATTACACTTGAGTAATTACAAGATTATAGAATGTGGATGGTTACTGCCACTTCTCAAAATGGCCGTTTAGGATTTAATTATTAGTGAGGGAACAATTCCCCAAACAGACATCCAAATCTACATGTTGGCTGAATAACACACACACACACACACACACACACTACACACACACTACACACACACTACACACACACACGAACATAAATTTAAAAGCAGTTAAAAGGCAGTTAAAAAACTTGAAAAGTGTGAATTTCCTACAACTACCTTATCTTCCATTGAAAAATTATTTTTATTGTCCCTCATTCTCCTATTATATTTTCTTTTCTAGTAAACACCTGCCATAGTGTGTATCCTTTATTCAGGACCTACTGTGCATTTTACTCGGGAGGCTAGAAAATTATTCATCCAGCAAGTATATATAGACCATCTGTTATGTGTAAGATATTCTGAGAGATGTGGGGAAAGGGTTCTTAAGAAGACACAGCATGGTCTTTTCTCTCAAGGAGATTTTGGTTCAATTTGGAGGGCACAATGATATTAATATGCATTCAATGGCAGGTCTTTATTGAGTGCTATTCAAGCTTCAAGCTAGAAAGAGAGACAAAAATTACTTTGAGGTGAACTTCATGAAGGAGGTGAAGTCTATACTGACTGGGCTTTGACAGGTGGATTGGATTGCAGAAGGCCAAAAAGAAGGGGAAGGTATTTTAGTCTATTCTAGTTATCTATTGTTATATAACAGACAATCCCAAATGTAGTGCCTTGAAACAACAACACCTCTTAATTTTCTCCTGAATTTGCCATTTGGATTGGGTTGGGGGATGAGACAGAGAACAGCTTGCTTCTGTTCCACTGGGCATCACCTGGGGCAACACACAGGAGGCTGGCATCACCCAAAGGATCGCTCCTGGCACATGTGTTGGTTGATGCTGACAGGAGCTGTGGCTGTTGACCAGAGCACCTACATATGGCTGTTCCATGTGACTGCCTGGCTTCCTCCCAGCAAGAGGCTTCATGACAAGAGCCAGTGTCCCAAGAGAACCAGGCAGAAGCTTCTTCAATTTTATGACCTGCCTTGGAAGTCATTCACTGCCACTTTCGTCATAGTCACAAGTGCACCCAGATGCAAGGGGAGGGAACATAGGCCTTGCTTTTAACATCTTCAAGTCACACTGTAGGATGAGCATGTGGGAGGGGAGATACTGTTGTGGCCATTTGGGAAAACATAGTCTGCCCCACAGGCCGTGGAATGATAGGAGTGAGATTGCAGAGGTGGTGCAGTTACAGGTGTCTGGATAATCATGTTGGGTGGAGCTTGGAAAATGGGTGGGAGTCTAAGCTAAGGAATCTGGATTTAGTCCTGCTGACACTGGTGATGCTTTCAAGTTTTTGATGTAATCACAGTGATGATGAACTAGAATGATCTGGTTGGAGTGTGCAGGATCGTTGGAGGTGGTGTCATTAACTGGGAGTTTATTACAGTAGTCTAGATATGCCAAGATAAGGCCTTGCATGGAGTACAAATAGAGACTGGAAAAAAGTGACAGGAAAGAGAGAAATTACCAGGAATAATACGATGTTCAAAATACTTGGATAAGAGGAAAAGGGGAAAATAGGACAGTGATAATGTCACTGTTATGAGCTAAGTAAAAATATAGGCTCTATCCTTAAAGAGATGGGCAGTAGTTTTCCAACAGAATTTGCCGGGGGCAAGTCAAAGCATGCACACTTGGATAATTAGTGTTTCCTGAGCTCCCACAGTGAGTTCTGAACAGATAAAGGACATAATTGATTTAAGTGCATTTACAAAATTAAGATTTTCTTCAAAATGTAATTATATAGTTATTTTATTTTGCCTTTAGAGTAGTCCTTTGGGATATTACTACAAGCCTCACAGTCCCTTACTACCACTTTGAAACCTAAACTGTTTCAAAAGATGAAAAGTTCTTGTGAGCTCTTTTGTCAGCAAAACCTGACCTGAACAGGTATTGAATAGACATAAAGCTGTTTATAGTCTCTATTCATCCCACTTAGTGTGAATATTCATGTATTTCATTGCATACATATTATGTATTTGATTTTGAGATCTAGATCTGAGTCATAATTTCATGGATGAGAATAGCGTTACTTGGAAAATTAAGTAGTTTACCCAAGGCGTACGCTAGGATCTGTTATCTGTAAAGACCAATCTGTAAAGGCCTTCTCAGTGAGCACCAACTCCATCTGAAAAGCTGTACACAGGAATTGTTCACAGAAGTAGATCTGTTTCTGACACCAGTTCTTTTTCTGGTTGGCTATCTTATCTCTGACAGGTGCTGGTATTTTTGCCGTTAAATTGCAAATCCTTTGAAGGCAGAAACAGTGTTATTTGCTTTACATAGAAGCAGTTTACATAAAGAAGAAGCTGAATATTTGATTTGGCATTTGCAATTGACATATAAGTACTCCACATTAGGCTGTATTTTACGGGTTGATCAGTATACACTGCCAGGTAAGTCTGTGTACTCTGTCCGTGTCCAGACTTGGGGACTTGGAACAAGCACAATCTCCCAAGGGCAGAATGGTCATGGCCTCACCCTGTCCTCTCTTGGAAACCTCATCTCGATGTGCTGAGCTGGACCTGTGAGACTTTGGGCAGAGACTTTGGGCAGAGTCCAGGGTTAAGCCTCTTCGGCCTCTGGTGGCTTTCAGGTGCCACTTGGGAGAATGGGCCCTGGAAAGTGAGGCACTCGGGAAATAAAAATGTACTTCCATCTTGGGCTTTTCTCCTGTGCAGGCAGGCTCTGCTTTTCAGGAGAGAAAATGACTTCAGGACCTCTTGCATCCTCTCATTTGCCTCCTTCCTCTCCTCCTTACAGTGAATGGGCTGTATACTCTCAAGCATGAGATTCAATTACTTTTATTGTTAGACTTGGCTGTGATTGTCTTTAATGGTCAGAAAATTATCCAGCAACTAAAAAAACACAATTAAAAAAGTCAGCCACAGTGTGTCCCTGTGATTTTTGGCTGGCAGTAAAGAAGAATTTCCTCAGAGGACTTCTTTGAGACATTTGACATTTTGTACTTGTTCTCCAAATTTTATTTCACAAATGGAAACCTAAGGCCTGTGTTTTTGTTTTTGTTTTTAGTTCATTCAATAGCAGACATATTGTAAGCCACTCAAAAGTGATAGTTTCAGTTTAATGTCATCTACGATGTGGAAAATATTTTATAGCTGATAATCCTAACTTTCAACGTACAACATTGAGCAAATATGTATATGAATGCAAAGCATGTTCAGACCCTGGTTCCTGCCCCTAAATAAATTGGTATCCTTGGGCAACTTACTATATACAAATGGAATCCATCTTCTTATTGGGAAGAAGGAAAGAGAATTTTAGCCCACATTACAGATTTTCTGATGGGAATAGTAATACAAATGGTATTGATGAAAAGAAGTACTCCAGGAAGTGTCACTGACTGTAGTGACCTAGGGCATTTGCAATAGGGATCATGTGGAAGTGATTTCAGGCCAAGCTGGAGGTTCTTTGAGTTATGTGGGGACAGGGAGTCCTTGAGCTTCATGGACCTATAGTATTTCTGCCTGAGCAGCAAGTGTTTCATAATATGCCATGGCTAACCACATTACAGGAGAAGTCATCGCCTCTTATGCTTTCAGGGAGCCAGGAAGCAACGCCTAATGAGATGCCTGACAGTTCAGGGAATGGCCCTGCATGTGTTGTTTTGAATGATGCCAGCCAGTTTCAAGTGGGCAGGATTAAAATGCAAACCAAACCCAGATTTTTTTTTTGTATTTAATTAATGTCTGATGTTTGCCAACCAAGGGGAAGGTGATAGAAGGCAGCAAAAAAATTGCTTAGAGCTGTGCTGTCACCTGGACTAAGACATCCTGACATGATGTAGCTGGGACAGCAGCTGGCCCCTCTGTGGTACTGGGGAATGGAATTGGCAGATGGAAAGGAAATGTGAAAATGTTCCTGAAGCATGGCCTATTTACAAGTAGACTTTTAATAAAAAATTGTGGTTAAGATGCACATAACGTGACATTTACCATTTTAACCATTTTAGATATACAATTCAGTGGCATTAAGTTCATTCGCAATGTGGTGCAACCATCACTACTGTCTAGTTTCAGAAGTTTTTCATCACCCCATTAAGGAAAACTTACACCCATTAGCAGTCACTCCCTATTTCTCACTTCTCCAGTCCCTGCCAATTCATCTGGTTCCTGTCTGTAAGTAGGCTTTTCAGGACAGCACAGTAGCTCAGGGGAATGGAAGACACTGGGGTTGGGAATTAAGAGACGGAGGGTCTTTTCAAATCTAGGCTCCTGTCTTTGTTGTTTTCAACAACATAGCAAACCCTCCTCACCGCAGCAGGAGGACAAACCTGTAGCTTATGACTCCCTTTGCAAATCTTTTTAAACCACCTTATTGAGGTGTACTTTATATATCATAAACTTCATGCATTTCAAATGTAATTCAATGATTTTTAGTATCTTTACCAGATGGTGTAACCACTGTCATAATCTAGTTTTAGAGCAGTTTTATCCTTCCAATCAGATCTCTCATGCCTATTTATAGTTAATCCTGTTCTACCCTCAGTCCCAAGCAACCAGTGGCCTACTTTCAGTCTCTATCAATTAGCCTTTTCTGGACATTTCATAGAAGTGAAATCATATGACATGTCGTCTTGCATCTGGCTCCTTTCCCTGAGCATAAGGTTTTGGGGATTCATCCATGATGGAGCATGTGTCAGGAGTTCTTTTTAAAAATTGCTGAATAGTATTTCATTGACTGGATATACCACATTTTATCTATTCACCTGCAAACATTTTTAAAGGAGTTTCTAGTCTGTGAAGTCTAGGGGGTTGGGTTAATTAGGTGACTTCTAAGATCTTCCCTCTCCCAGATTCTGGCCAAAAAAAAGTCCCAGTGGCAGATCTCAGTTCTTAGATCGTGCATTTACTCAACAGATGTTTGTTGAATAGCCCTCATGGTGAACCACGCTCTGTGCTAGACACTGGGAATATGGTCCTGCATTCTTGAGATTTCCGCTTTACTGTAGGAGACAGAGCACTTCTCACACAAGGCCCGGCCCAGCCCCTATGCTGGTGGGTCACAGGAGCAGACACATTCTGTTGGGACTGATGTTTGGTCACAGGCAGGTTTTTCAGTCTGCTCCCCTGACTATGCCCCTCCACAGATGCTCTGTGCTCCTCCCAGGCACTGCCATTCCATCATGAGTTTCCAGCACGTGTTTTTGGAATTGCCTGTTTGCATGTCTCTCCTCCCTTTGGAATGTGAGCAACCTGAGGATGGAATGGAGCTTAGTACAGTGCCTGGCGTGTAGAAGGTGCCCAGTGGTTGTTTGATGAATTAATGGATGATTGAATACCATTCTGGCAAGAATCAGGAGCAAATATAAGAATTGGGGACATACGGGCCTCTTCTGGTCTCTTCGTTTCTAGGGGCAGTGTTCTTCCTTCTCTAGTTCCAGAGTTAGCGGTTGCAGGGTTGCCTCTTTAGACTGCAGGCACAGGTACAGAAGAGAAAATACAGCAATCTGAAGTTGTCACTGCTTCCTGGAACACAAGCTTGACACAGACTTCTTAACACTGTCACAAATATCTTAATAGTGCTCCTAGGGTCACCCTGAGAGCAGACTATTTAGGGAAACAATATGAAAATGGTCTTGCGTGGCAGGGTGACTGTACCCAGATGCCAGAGATGGTGACAGCATGGCTTCCCCAGCCTGTGCTCAGGCTCCTCCCGTTCCACCCTGCCACCACCTGGCTCATGCTCTCAGCCTCCTCCTTGGCTCCTGCCCTGGGACATCTCACCTGACCAGAAAGCCGGGACTGAAGGGGACAGGACGCATCGTGTGTATTCCTGTGGGACACTGGGCTGAAGGTGGAAGTGGGAAGACCCTGAATGCTGAAGCAGGCAAGGTGTTTCATGTGGAGAAGAAAGCAGGTGGTTCTTTGAGGGCTTTATTGGTGGCCAGTACTGGTGGCTGGAGTCTAATCAGAGTCCCATTACCTTATTGGGACAAAACATGTAAAAGGGCAGGGACGTAGTTTAGTTCCAGGGATTACGTGAAACTTTTAAGAGACTATAATTATTTTTAAGATTATTTATTCTGAAGGTGTAATCTACTTTAATAGGACCATGTGTTAGCCTTGTCATCTTGGGACAACTCTGGTGGTCTTTCTCATGTTTATTTTCATGGTTATTGATTGGGGCCCATGGATGTGGTCCATCATACACAATTATTTCATGAGTGGTGGTCATATCATACTCTGTTGACATTCTACTAGGGATCTCCACATCTCCCAACTCCTTACAGAAGGACTCTTAATCTCTGGGGCGGGCAGTAGCTTTCTGGGTTCCTTTTCATAATGGAAGACAAAGATTGAGAGTCTAGTTGGAAAGAAACTACCTTGGGTTTTAGTTGATTTTGTTATTGATTAGCAATTTTACCACTTAAAATGTACTCATGCTTGAGACACCCCAAATATGTTCTATACATTCTAAACTCACGCGCAGGGCACTTCTCCCTGAGCCAGTGTCCAATGACAGTGCAGTGACACCTGGTTCTAATCTTGTGAATCAAAAGTCAAGGTATACATTCTTCCCCCGCCAGCCCCTTCTTGACGCTTTGCCTGTTAATTCACACTAGATCCCTTCTGTTGAGCTGGTAGTTTCATTTTTAGTATAGAAATTAAGTTTAATTAAAATTTACTTGCCATTTAAAATGATAATTTGTTTGGTTTAGCATCCTTAATTACCTTGAGTAAATTGCCTGTAGAGGCTCACATAATTCGTTTGTTTGTTCAAAGTGTTACTGTGTCATCTGCATATTTTGAAAGATACCACTTTAATGAAACACTGGGGTGGAGTCAGGGCAAATGCTAAGGGGATGGTCTTTGCTAAGGGGGTGGTCTTTCCGCCCTAGTCTGTTTGTTCAGCTGGAAGATTTTTATCATCTTACAGAGTTTTCACAAAAGATCAAAGTTTTACAAAGCTTCAGTGTTAGAAAATCATTAGCAAGGAAGTATCTGGGGGAGGGGTGGGAATATAGCATGTGTGAACAGCCTTCGAGTCCAGCAAGAGGCCTGCCTCTCAGCACCCACTTCAGCTTCTTATAAGGAATGCAGGTACCAAGATATCTTCCTGCAAATTCAAGGGTGTATGTAATTGAATCATATTTCTAATGCATCAGAGGAGCTTACAATAAGTTAGAAGGCTCAATTAGTGAAAAAAAAGGTGATGTTGACTAAAGGAGACCATTTTTATAATTCTGAGTGTATTATAACCATTAATCAGTGTTAATAAATAACCATCTATAGCAGAGGGCTTTAGAAAACTTACATTGATAAATAGATAAGAATAATGGCTGTTCTCTGGGAGCTTTTCTTTTTTTTTTTTTTAGCAGAGAGGTATGAGGGATTTCTTTATGGTCTGGACAAGTTTGCCAGACAACTTGATTCAGTCAGTCTCTGATTTATTGATTTTATGTAATTCCAGAGCTTAATCATTGGTTTACTGCCAAAACCTTAGAAACTGATTTATAGTTCTCACTATAAAAAACAATATGACAGAACATAATAGAACACATTGCATTAGTTTAAATATCTCCAGCTTTCCTATTTCCTATAAACAAAATGCAGAAAACATTCTAATAAGAGCCCTTTATTAGTGTTAGTTACATACTAAAAGCATCTCTGAATGATGTGGCCAGAAGGCAAATCTCAAATAGGGAAAATTCTCTCTTTTTTCTCAGGGATTGTTTGTAGAGAAAGTGTATATCATATGGAATATCAGTAATGAAAGTAAAAGAATAACAGAGCCAGTTTTTTATGTTTGCACTACAATTTGGGGCAGTATGAGAAAGTCAGGAAGATTGCTCTCTTCAGGGCCTTGTTTAGCCTGCATCCTAATTTACTATCTTTGTACACGAAGGCACAGCCACTGGTCCAACATTATTAATAGGACATGCCCTTTTCTGTCCTTTCTCAGTCATAATGGAAAAGACACTATCTTGATGCTTGGGAGACCTGCTTAGACCACTAAGATCTCTTAGTGACTGTGCGCCCTTGGGCAAGTTGCTTCATTTTTCTGGACTCCAGTTTCCTTACCTGAAAATTGCTTGTCTGTAGATGAATTAAACATTATCTAAGGTTATTCTTACTAAAATGCTGTGCTTTCAATGGTGATGGATTGTCCTTGGTCCATGTGCCTCTCTACTGGTCTCCATGGATCCACAGATAGGAGTTGGGGAAACCAGTTCCTGGAGTCATGGTGCAGTCAGAAGGCAAGAGTTAGAAGTAAGCAGACAGGCTCACAGGGGAATCAAGACCTTTGCCCTCTTCGTGCTCTCAGTTTTGATGAGCCTGTGTAGCTAAGGATAGACTGACCCTTTAATTTGACCTGACCCATGTTTTCTTCTATTTCCTACTTGGAGTGGAGGGCGTGGGGATGCTGAGAATCTTAAAGATAAAAGCATCTGGAATATGATCTTGATGTCTAAAATAAAAATTTACCTTTGTTTAAAGGAAACAAAGGAAAAATTCTTTTCATCTTATTTGACTCAGAAAAAAAATCATTACTTTTAAATGTCAATTTTTTTGCTTTAGTTAGGTTTGTAACATTTTTAAATTAAAAAGTAAAAATATCAGGCCAGGCGTGGTGGCTCATGCCTGTAATCCTAGCACTTCGGGAGGCCGAGGTGGGTGGATCACAAGGTCAGGAGATCAAGACCACCCTGGCTAACACGGTGAAACCCCATCTCTACTAAAAATATTAAAAAATTAGCCGGGCATGGTGGCGGGCACCTATAGTCCCAGCTACTTGGCAGGCTGAGGCAGGAGAATGGCATGAACCCGGGAGGCGGAGCTTGCAGTGAGCCAAGATCATGCCACTGCACTCCAGCCTGGGCCACAGAGCGAGACTCTGTCTCAAAAAAAAAAAAATTAACAGATATTATTTAAAATGCAAGTAAATTTTATATAAAGTAAAGAAAAATTTTCTCCACTCCCACTAGCCAGAACTATCTACTATTAACACTTTTGTCTGTGTACTTCCAGACATTTTTCTATGGACACATCAATGTAATTATTATGTACGTACCTCTTTTGTTGCTTTAAAAATTGAATTATTTGGATCTTCTCTCTTTTTTTCCTTATTGGTCTAACTAGCAGTCTATCTATCTTATTAATTCTTTCAAAGAACCAATTTCTGGTTTCAGGGATCTTTTGTATGGTTTTTTGCATCTCATTTTCATTCAGTTCAGCCCTGATTTTGGTTATTTCTTGTCTTATGCTAGCTTTGGGGTTGGTTCACTCTTGCTTTTCTAGTTCCTTAAGGTGTGGTGTTAGGTTGTTAATCTGAGATCTTTCTAACATTTTGTTACGAGTGTTTAGCACTATAAACTTTCCTCTTAACACAGCTTTAGCTGTGTCCTAGAGATTCTGGTATGTTGTATCTTTGTTCTCGATAGTGTCAAAGAATTTCTTGACTTCTGCTTTAATTTCATTGTTTACTCAAAACTCATTCAGAAGCGGGTTAATTTCCATGTAATTTTATGGTTTTGAGTGATCTTCTTGGTATTGATTTCTATTGTTATTGCACTGTGGTCTAAGAGTGTGGTTGGTATGATTTGTTTTTTTGAGTTTGCTAAGCATTGTTTTATGGCCGATTGTGTGGTCAATTTTAGAGTATATGCCACGTGCAGATGAGAAGAATGTAAGTTCTGTTGTTTTGGGGTGGAGAGTTCTGTAGCTGTCCGTTAGGCCTATTTGGTCAAGTATCGAGCGACTATAAAGACACATGCACATGTATGTTCATCGCAGCACTATTCACAATAGCAAAGACATGGAATCAACTTAAATGCCCATCAAAGATAGACTGGAAAAAGAAAATGTGGTACATATACACCATGGAATACTACACAGCCATAAAAAAGAATGAGATAGTGTTCTTTGCAGCAACATGGTTGGAACTGGAGGTCATTATCCTAAGTGAACTAACACAGGAACAGAAAACCAAACACTGCCATGTTCTCACTTATAAGTGGGAGCTAAACAATGAGAACACATGGACACAAAGAAGGGAACAATAGACACCAGGGCCTACTTAAAGGTGGAGGGTAGGAGGGTGGCAAGAAGGTGAAGATTAAAAAAGTACCTGTCGGGTACCATGCTTATTACCTGAGTGATGAAATAATATATACATCAAACTCCCGAGACTTGCAATTTATCTATAGAACAAACTTGTACATGTACCCCTGAAACTAAAATAAAAGTTTTTAAAAATTGAATTATGCTGTAAATACGATTATGCAAACTGACTTTTTACTTCAATGTCTTTCATGGATATTTTGCCATGAATATTTATAGATCACAACAAGTTATGTGCTCATTAAAAATAACTCCTGGATTTGTTTGTGTAACTGTATAGACATATTAGATCATATATGAAAGCAGTAACTCTGCAGACAGTGTCACCACATTGTAGCACATTTCATCTTTCTATTTTAGGAATGTCAGTGAGGACTGGTCATATTCTAGGCATCTAGTGTTACTTTCCCTGAACGTTTTCATAACATGAGCCCCAGGATGAAGATAACCTTCCTTATTCTTTCAGGTTATCTTCCTTAAGGCTTCTTAAGCTAATGAATTGTCAATTTTGATGAATTGTCAATAAGTTGATCCGAAACGTAACCCTTCTCAGATTTTATATTTAGATTTGTTTAACTTTACTTAACTCTTATATAGTGCTTACTTGTATCAGGTAGAGTTTTAAACACATCAAATTTAAACTCATTTAATCCTTCTAACAACTATATGAGGTAGGTATTACTAGTGTTACCCTGTTTCAACTTCCTTGTGATTCTTCTATACAAAAAATCATGTTATGTGCCAATAATGGGAATCTTACTTCTTTCTTTCTAATCTTTATGCCTCTGACTTATTTTTCCTGCCTTATCACACTGGCAAGGACCACCAGCACAGGGGTGAATAGAAGTGGTGATAATGGACATCCTTTCCTTGTCATTGATCTTAGGGGAAAATCATTCAATATTTCATCATTAAATATTATTTTTAACTGTATATTAAAGACATATCTTTTTATTTTTAATTTGATGAGAGTTTTTTTAAAAATCACACATTGATATTAAATGTTGTCAAATGCTGTTTCTGAACATATTAGTAAGAGCCACATGTTTGTTCTCTTTTATTCTAGTGATATGGTGCATTACATGGGTTGATTTTTTAATGTTAAAACAGTGTTACATTCCTGAAATAAACTCTACTTGTTATGTAAAAACTCTATTATGTAAAAAGAATGATTGTCCTTTTTATTGATATATATTGCTAGCTTTGATTTGCTGATATTTGCTGTAATTGTTAAGGATGTTTGTGTCTATGTTCATAGCAATTTTTTTCTTATAGTATTTTTATTAGATTTTGGTATCAGGATTATGCTGGCTTCATAAAATGGTTGGGGATTGTCCCATCCTCCTTCATTTTCTGAAGAAGTCATGTAGGATTGATATTATTTTTTCCATAAATATTTGATAGAATACCATGAAACCATTTGTACTAGAGTTTTCTTTATGAGGATTTTGATAACACATTCAATTGCTTTAATAGATATGGCACTATTAAAGATTTTTAATTTCATCTTGTGTCAATTTTGGTAAATTGTATTCTTGAAGGAATTTGTCTGTTTTATCTAAGCATTCAAATGTATTGACATAGAGTTGTTTATTATAGTTATCATCTTTTCAGTGTATCAGGATTTGCAGATACACTGCAAAGAACCAACTTTTGTTTATTTTTAATGTTTTTGTTGACTTTCTGTTTTCTATTTCATTGATTTCTGACTTAAAAAAATTCCTTCGTTCCTTCTCTTTACTTTGGGTTTAATTTGTTCTTTTTTTTTCTAGCTTCTAAAGATGGAAACTTGGGTCATCGCTTTTATACCTTTCTTCCTTTCTACTATAAACATTTAAAGCTATAAATTTCCTCTAAGCACTGCTTTGTTTTCTACAAATTTTGATATGTTACATTTTCATTATCATTCAGTTCAAAATACTGTGTATTTCCCCTATGATTTCTTCTTTGGCCCATGGGTTCTTTAGAACTGTGTTGTCAGTTTCCAAATATTTTGTTTCCTACATATCTTGTTGGTATTGATTTTTGGTTTAATTAAATTGTGGTCCGAAAACATATTTTTTAGGATTTCAGTCTTTTGAAATTTGTTTAGACTTATTTATAGCACACTAGGGTTTTCGCTCAGTACCTTTTAATAACTTATATTTCACTGTTGAGATTTCTTTATATTTACCAAGGTATTCCTATCTTGGTAAATCTATCATGCACACTTGAAAAGAATGTGCATTCTGCAGCTGTTGGGTGTAGTATTTTTTAAATGTCAATTAGGTCAATGTAGTTGGTAGTGATGTTCAGGTCTTATATGTCCCCACTGATTTTTTCATCTTATTCTAACTATTATTGAGAGAACAGTATTAGAATCTCCAAGTATTTGTCTTTTTCTTCAATAATTTTTTTAATTTTTTGCTTTTTAACATTTTGTTATTAGGCATGTATGCATTTATTATTTTTATTTCTTTTAGGTGAATTACCCTTTTTATCATTATAAAATTCATCTCTTTTGTCTGGTGATACTCTATTGCCTTCAAATCTAATTCATAGGATATTAATATAGTTACTGTGGTTTTCTTATGCTTTCTGTTTTCATGGTGTATATTTTTCCAAGCTTTTATTTTCTAACTATCTGTTTCTTTGTATATAAAAGGTATAAAGAACATATAGATGAATTTTGCTTTTTTTATCCATTCTGACAATTTCTGTTTTTAATTGGAGTGTTTAGTCCATTTACATTTAATGTAGTTATTTATATGATTGGATTTAGGTTTACCATTTTGCTATTTTTGTTGTTGTTGTTGTTCCATATGCTTTTTTATTCCTCTCTCTTCCTTTCTTGCCTTATTTTGGATTAATTAATTTTTTTATAGAATTCTACATTAGTTTGGTTCCCTAGGAAGCAGATACCAAGATTGAGTTATAAGTACAAGAGCTTTATTGGATGCAAGGCCAACAAAAATAGAGAGGTGAAAGAGAGAGTTTGTTACCTGTGAAAGGGGCAGAAGGAATGAGGATGAAAGAGAAAGAGCCTCAGACTGCAGCACAGTTTTGAGAATGTCTCTGCAAGCCCGATGGAGAGTATTAATGCAAAAATTGCTTGTAAACAAGTTTTGCATTGGGCAGAAATGATGGCCCTCCCTACCATGCTTATCATTGACTAACTTTAAAGAACATAGCTTTGATTCACTCACAGTAGATCTAAAAATCACTGCAGTTGGATGCTGTCAGCTAGCTGTACTCTTCACAGCTGATTGGCAAGTTTCTTCTAGAAGGGAGATCCTTCTAGAAGTAGATCTTTTACTTCTAGAAGTAGGCACCTTCATGGCTGCCACAAATTCCATTTTAATTTTTCCATTGGCTTTTCAATTGTATCTCTTTGCATTAATTTTTAATGGTTGCTCTGGGGATTACCACATCTATTAACTTTTCACATTCCACTTAGAATTCATATTGTACTGCTTCATGTCAAATACTGAACCTGGAAATGGTATAATTCCATTTATTGCCCTCCCAATGCTTTATGTTATTGTTGATGATATTATACCTATCTGTGTTATAAACTCCAAAATACAGTGTTAGAATTTTTATTTCAATGGTTGCCTGTAATACAAGTAATATTTTTAAGTAATATTTTTAAAGTATGTGTGTGTCTGTCTGTTTTTCATATTTCCCCACATATTGACATTTCCAGTGATCTTCTTTCCTTCCTATAGATCTGGCTAACCATCTGGTGTCTTTTACCTTCATTCTGGAGAGCTTTCTTCAATGTTTCAAGTAATGCAGGTCTGCTGGAGATTAAGTGTCTTAGGTTTTGTTTTTCTGAAAATGTCTTCATTGGCCTCCAATGTTGAAGAATATTTTTGTTGGATATAGAATTCTAGCTTGACAAATAGAATTCTAGCTTGACAAGTGTTGTTTTCCTGTTGGTATTTTAATGATGTCATTCCATTATCTTCTATTCTCTGTGAATTTTGATGGAAAGTTACTACTAATATAGTTTTCTCCTATACATAGTATGCCATTTTCCCCCTGGTTGCTTTTAAGTTTCTCTCTTTATCTTTGAATTTTAATAGTTTGAATATGATGTGCCTTGGCATGGGTCTTTGTTTTGTTTTGTTTTTTATTAATCTGGTTTGGGGTTTTCTGAGAATCTTGAATTTTTAAGTTTATATCGTTTTTTAACCAAATTTTGGGAAATTTGAGGTATTATTTCTTTAAATATTTTTTCTGTCTATTCTCTGTCTTCTTGTCCTTCTGGAATTCCAGTTATACATATGCTGTTATATCCCATTGATCCCTAAGGCCTTCTTCATTAAAAAGAATTTTCTCTGTTCTTCAGATTGGTTAATTTCTATTGTTCTATCCTTAAGTTCACTGACACATTTTATTATTATTTTTCCAATCTGTTATTGGGTCAATTCAGTGAATTTTTTTCAGATACTGTGTTTTTTAGTTCTAGAATTTTCACTTGTTACTTTTTAATAACTTGTACTTCTCTGCTGAGATTTCTTTTATGTCCTTGAGCACTTAGTTATAATAGCTGCTTTAAAGTCTTTGTTAATTCTAATATCTGAATTATCTCAGAGTTGGTCTCTTTTGGTTGGTTTCTTTTGAGGATGGGTTATTTTTTTGTGTGTCTTTGCATGTGTAGTAATTTTGGAATGTACTCTGGACATTGTGAGTGATATATTATAGAGATTCTGAATACTGTCATATGCCTTTAAAGAGTATTGATTTTCTGTTTTTGTAGGCAGTTAACTTGGCAAAACTCAAATTCCAATTTCATCTTCCCTGAGACAGCAGCAGACATCTCTGTTCAGTTCTTTCTCCTTAACTGAGTGGCTTGGAGTCTGCTTCACATATGTATAGTACTGGGATCAGTCAGAGATTTGGTCAGATCTCATGTAGTCAATCTGGGGCTTTCCCTCTGTGGCTGTCTTCTCTCTAGGATTTCCTCCTTTATTTTCTAGCTGCTATCATTTCCCTGAACTCTGTCCTCTGGTTTCTCAACCAGGAAGACTACAGGCTTTTATCTGACTCTGGCCACACTGTGGAACTGACTGGGCCTTGTCCTTAGATGAAAAGTTATAAAAATTGGGTAATTTATCAAGTGCCATTCTTCTAAGTGTCAGCACCCACCCCCCGCCCGCCTTTATTTCTGCCTGTTCTCAGTCATTCTCCACTGCCTTCAGATAATTTTATTATTGTTTTTAAATATTTTATCCAGGACTTATAATTGTTATCTGTGGGAGAGCTGGCCTGAATTGAATTACTTTTGTGACCAGAAGCAGAACTCTATTATCCCACTTTACAGGTGAATTTAAAATACGCGCGTGTGCGCGCGCACACACACACACACACACACACACACAGAGCGAGTCTTAGTACTTTGCCCAAGGTCATACAGCTGGTAAGTGGCAGAACCATGATTTGAAGACAGGCAAATCCAAGTCTTAGGATTTCTTCCAATGGGAGCTTTTAATGGTGTGAATTTTCAGGACAATGGAAGGAAGTCTACAAAATATTCTGGAACGTATAGGGCCTTATGGTGTCAATTCCTTATGCACCAGACTCATCCCAAGATCTCATTACTCAGTGGATACTTCATATGTCTTTCGGTGTATACATTATTTGAGACGCGAGTTTATATACAAGTTGCATTCAAGGATCATGAGCTCTTGGTTAACTACAAAGTAGATCTTTAGTTATGAAAATCCCTATTTTCAGAGTCCTGTGATCTTGGCTTGGGCCATCTTACATAGAAACTGGTGAAATAGGCCAGGTGTCATGTCCATAATCCCAGCCCTTTGGGAGGCTGAGGTGGGAGGATCACTTGAGCCCAGGAGTTTGAGACCAGCCTGCGAAACATGGCAAAACCCCATGTGTACAAAAAGTACAAAAATTAGCTGGGTGTGGTGGCGTGCCTGCAGTCCCAGATACCTGGGAGACTGAGGTGGCGAAGATCACTTGAGCCCTGGAGAGTCTGAGACTGCAGCGAGCCATGACCTACGGCTGTACTCCAGCCTGACTGACAGAGCAAGACCCTGTCTCAAAAAAAAAAAAAAAAAAAAAAAAAAAAAAAAAAAAAAAAAAAAAAAAAAAAAAAAAGGAAACTGGTGAAGTTTATTATGTGATTCTTTTAGTGACTAAAATAAAGAGAACTTTTAGAGGAAGGTAATATCCACAGTAATGTAATGAACATATATGAGTTATTTGTTGAAAACACTCAGAACCACAGTTATGGATAAATAGTAAACTTTTAAAAATGTAATTTAGCTGATGTGAGTCATGACTTTCAAAGCCTAACAACAAGACCAGGCTTGAGCAATTCTTGTTTTTGAGTTTATGCTCCTTCTTGACTGTTTCCCTTTTTCTCATCTAGCCTAAGTCAGTTTGAATTAACATTTACCAAATTATTAATTTCATCGTATTCCTCTTACCCCTTGATTTTATCTTTATGATGTATTTTCAAAGTCTGGCTTGCTCTTTTTGATTTTGTCATAGTTCATAAGCTGATTTGTAGAGTAGTAAAATCTTGTTCATGTATGTTACTTTCAAACTGAAGGAGAAGGCCTGTGTATGTGCTCCTGGAATTCTCTCAGCATCCCAAACCAGTGCTCGGATACCATACTCCAGTGACCGGCCCATAAAGAGCAGGGACTCAATACTTGATTGATTGATGGTTCTGAATGCCAGCCAGTCAGTTCTGGGAAGGTGGGCTTATCTTCCCAGTGAAATAAAACTGAGTCATTGAAGGCCATGATAAAGATTTGGCTTTCAGCCTAAGAGTAATGGGAAGCTATGCAGAGTTTTAAGCAGCCGAGTGACAAGCCCAGATTTAAATTTTTAAAATAATTTATCTGGATGTTTGTGGAGCAGTTAAGTATAACCAAGTTTTAGAGCACAGAAATCAATATATGTTTTTAAAGTTTACCCAAGTGATATAATCTAAGAAGAACTGATACCCTGAATAGTCTCTAATCAGCCCTCTCAAGTTATTTCTCCTGACTGAAATTTTGAAAAACGCTGAGAAGCATAAAGTTTGAGATTGCCTTTTTCTGTTTTTGGGGGGTGCGGTTGGGGAAGAACCTGAAATGTGAGTATTTAGCATTTCTGATGAGACATTTTATTTTATAATGAAAAATTGAAGAAATGCAGATGTCATTAGGATTAGGGAAATGAATATATAAAGCTATTTAAAATGACAAGTCTGTATTTTATGCCTACATGAAAATGGGTGTGTTAAATTTGTTAATTTTAATAAGCAAAATTTAAAATGCAATAACATGTTTAAAATTATGAAAATGATCATGTATTCCCTTAACAAAATACACAAAAATAGAGATGAAACTTGGTATGCTTTGTTATCCATCAAATTCTGTTGCTTAACAGTGGTTTAAGTCTTGCTGAATAAAATGAGAAAATAAACCTAATATTACTTCAGTAATCATTGTAAATCTGAGTTTAAAAAGCATTGAGGTGCTGCTAAGGCAGCAACATTTTCAAGATATTAAAAACTTTCATATGAAAATGTACTCTGATATATTTCCTCTTCCCAAACATTTGTGGAGGTTGAGAAGATTTTAAACATGTTTTAAAGAAAGGAATTGACAGCTCATGAATTAAATACAGCCTTTAGCTCCTGCTTCAGCTGCTGTTTGTTGATAGCAGGTTGCAACAAGGTTAATAATGATTTGTTTGATGGATCTGCCCAAATTTTTATAGCATTTTATTCTTTGTATGGAACTTGCTAAGTCATAGCTCAATATAGCTCATTAAAATAAACATTTAAGCATGTGTATATAAAACAAATATTGGTGGAAAAAGGAAGAGATTTCTCAGAAAGAGTGCCCTGAAGGTAAAGTGCACCCTGGGCAGTAAGGTGAAGTATCAAGTTGCTCTGTTTTTATAAATAGTGTCGATTCTGAATTCTGGGCTGAAAAACTGGTAAATGACAGCTCTCTCTAGTATTTCCTGAGGCCATCTACTGTTTTCGAGCATAAATCATAAATATACCTTTGAACTAAGACAGTCTTGCTGGACCTATCCTTTTGCGACTCTGACTTCCTGTCTCAATGGAATATTGAAGAGGAGGCTCGGTAGAATAAACAGTGGAATCCTTGTCCGGGAGTGACTGCCTGGCAATTGTTTCATGGAAAACAGGGAGGGGTGGGGGACAACAACCCTGCTCTGTTCACTGGCTCTTTAATTTAGATTACCAATGATAAAGCCGGGGCTACGGCTAAAGAAAGGTAGGATGCATACGCAGAAACATTAGTGCTAATATGCTGCAGAAAAGCCAAGATAAATCAGTCCAGCTCTCATACATCACTAAGGGAGAAGCTGATTGCAACTTGACCATGTTGCCTGAGTAGTCCCATCAGTGAGAAGAGGAGAACATGGATTTAAAAAAAACTAGAATGTACCCCTAGGGCTCCTGCCGTGGTGGACCTGGGAGAAGTGTCTGGTGTAAGTTTCAGCTTGTTTTATCCATGTATTTAGCAGTGTGTTCACATATACAGGGAGCTTGTTTCTCTTCTCTGTGTTTTCATGGAAGCCTCAAGCATGTTTATTTACAGAAGTAGACTTCATTTTGTGTAAATGTAATATCAACCTAATAAAGTTCTTAACAGAGAACAGTTTAACCCAGTGTTTATCCAGGAGAGAAATGTAAAAAAAAGTAATGGTTGTCATAACTGTCTGCAGGAAGCCTGTGCGTGAGTTTTGTTTATTTGGGTTTTTTTTTTTTTTTTGGTTTTGTTTTACGGGGAAGTGAAGGGTTAGAGGAGTAGATCTGAAATGAAAAACTCAGTTATTTGGCAATTGTTTTTTTAAAAAATGTATTTGTCACCCAGCATTTCACTCCTCCTGTGGTCTTTTGTTTTGAAAAACTATGTTTAAATATGTAAAGCCAGCCTGCTAGAAACGCATTATATTTTATGACTGGGATGTTTGTATTGTTTCATATCTGTTATTAGACAAAATAATCATAAAGGGTGTTTTCTATGGACCTTTTTATATTCCAAAATTAAGTACAGATGGTAATTTTCAGCAGTTTTAAAAATTTGTCAATTATTTAATTTAGCATCACTTAAGCATCTGCACAAGGAGAAAGCTGAGATGGTACAGAAACTGAATGAGCATTGATTGCTAGTCTGAATTGCATCTTTAAAGTTTTTGCCTCAAATCTCTGATTTCACAGTTTATTTTTACCAAATTAGATTATCATATTTCATTATCGAGACTATGAATGGGTGGAACTCTCTGAGATATCCTACATTTCCCGTTAGAACAGGGCTTAAAGCGCCTGCTGATTGTTGCTCTGAGGGAAATTCTCATGCCGGCTCACCGAGAAGATTGCTTAAATAATGCATGGGCAAGAGCGAAGCAAGATGGAATTTATGGCCCAGACAGTGTGATCAGGCTTTTGTTCAGAGGAGACACTACTTAAGTGTGAGCATACAGCATACACTGAGGCTCAGGGGAAGGGTGTAACTGAATGAAATTAGTGACCACATGATGCTGTCCACATGTTATTTCAAAACAAGCCTTAAAACAGTCCATTGATCCTATAGTGTGGTTAGAGGGAGGGAAAAGGGGGTATCTTGAAGTGCCAGTTGCAAATAGAATCCCCTGACTGAAAATTCCATGGGGCAGACACAGGAAGTGAATGCTATACCAGGAAGATGGTGTCCCTGGCGAGCCTAGGTGTTTGACTGATGAAATGTAGTATGGCAGTCTTGTTAGGAAAGAATAAACCTTGACCAAACTGCAGGGTTCTATACACTATGTCTTCCATCTTGTCCTAATTAGAGGAATATGTCTGCTGAATCTTAATCTGTTTAATTGTTGATAGAGCAGGCATGTGATTTTCTATAAATACACATGAGCATTCATTTCTGAAATAATGGCTGTTGCCAAATATATTAGACCGACAGGAGTGCTGGACTAGGGAAGCTGTGCTGAATAGTTGAGTTTTGGAGGTAATGGACCAGTTGAGAATCACTGCACAGCTGGGCCAGCAGCTGCACCCAGTGCTCTGTCAAGTTTGGCCTCTAATTTCCTTGAACTTGTCCTTGTTTGCCAAAATGATGCACGTAGCAAGAACTTGCTTTAAATGAGCCCACTGCCAGCAAAAAAGACCCTTTTCAAAGAGTCTTTGTCGAAGTGTGTTGTCAACAGCGGCAATGGCCAAATGAGGTATTGATTAGGCGATGGGAAGTTTGAATAATCACAAAAATAAAAACCAAAGACAAAGTGGTAGAATGAGGTAAGCTGGCAGGAGATCAGAGTACATTAAAAGGCAGCATTCGGTCATCACTGTCCTAACTAAAGGACATATGGAAAAATCCCATAATAATATCCAGCAATAATTATCTTGTAGTTAGGAAAAAATAAATTGGCCCCTGCAGTTTGGAAGGCAGCCCAGTAATCTCAGTGCCTTTTTTCTTAACAGTGTATTGTTCTGATATTCTTTGGGACCGGGTCAGAAGGAAGTGTCAGAGAGAGCATTTTATATTAAGAAGCATCCTATGACTAAATAGTACAATTAGTGGCAAGCTGAGCAGAGACAGCAGCAAGGGCTCACCTTCCATTCTCTGGTCCCAACTTCAGCAAGTGTTTATTTAGCATTTGCTGTGTATCTAGCATGTTCTAGATACATGCTGTAACCAACTAGATTAAAAACTCTTTGAGAGCAGACACTTGGATTTATACGTTTCTCTTATAAATCCCATCTCTTGAAAACTATTGCCCTTGATATGATAACGGCAAGTCTGTCTAGTTCCTTGACTTTAAAGGTATTAAATATTAAATCCTTGTTATGGAGATGCTTAATTTTTCTGTTGCAACACAGATCACCCTCCCTCTTCAGATTTGAGGGCTAGTGACTTGAACACTTGCAAGTTAGGTGGTTTGGGACAAAATACCTAATCTCTTGGGAGAGGAAGTTTCCTCCTTTGTGAAATGAAGAAAGTAACATTCATCATACAGGAATTAAGAGAAGAGATGTACCTGGGTGTTAGGAGGTGCTCTCCTGCCCTCACAGGATATAGTAGTATCATTTACCCCGTGGACTGAGTGTGCAGTGGAGCACAGGGGAGGTGGGGGACTGAGTAGGATGGCAGGAAAGCTGGCTAGAAGGGTGGAACAGTACCTTTGATAAGAATATGACCTGAGACAGGATGGTGCCTGTGGGAATGAGGGGGAAAAGATGAATCTGAAATATATTTCAAAAGGGAACATGACAGAATATGGCAGCAGATTGTATTAAAATAGGGTGACAAAGAAGAAAGAATCATAGTGAGGAGTGAAAAAATGATGGGTTTATGATTATGGCAAAGTCTAATGTGTGTGTGTGTTCTCTAAAAATCAAAAAGCTAGAACAATACAGTATTTCAGGGACTTATAAACTAAGAAAAGTAAGAGAGAAGAGGAAATTGGAGTGCTCTAGTTAACTTATGTAAAGGGAAAGGGAAAAATCAATGATAAACCAATAATATAGAGCTATTGCTGACAATAGAATGAGAATTCAAAGGAATTGCTTAAAATGGCAAATCTATGTTTGGAGTTTTTCCCAGACAAGACCCACAATCATCAAATAATAAGGCTCTTCTGCAATCTTGGAACTTATTTAAGTTTTCCTGAGTTAAAAAATGCCACTGAGGGGATACAAATAGTGTCAGGGTTGGGAAGAAAAAAGAGCACGAGGAATGGAAATTCTCAAAATAGCTCGGTTTTAAAGAGGAAATGGGAGCCAAAAGATGGCTAGTTGACCTTTCAGAACATAACCATTCATTATGATTTGTCAGAAAGTTTGGCAACTGTTATTCCCTAAATAACTTATTGTGATTTTTAAGGAAATTCAAGCAAGAATCAAAATTATACCAAACCCCCAACTGGCAAAAAGGTTGTTTTCCACAAGTTCATTTGCAAGCCCTTTATAGGAGCGATGTTGTAAACATATTTAGGCTCCTTTTCAAAAGTCTACCCAACCCACCCTCGGGTCAAAGTCATGTACAATTGCAATAAAAATTAATAGCAAAACCACTTTTCATGTTAATAATTAAAGCATATATAAGCAATATTAAGCAATGACTATATAAGCAGTAAGCAATAATTAAAGCATAATAGAAGCAATAATCACCAGGATAGAAAATATTTTGAATGCTAGTGTTCAGGGTTAACTACAAGATGATATGTATGGGTTGTGACTCTTTTAAAATTTGTGTCTGCCTTCACTGACTTTGAGACATTGACTTCTTTCATTATGAAAAGTAGGATTTTCCTGTCCTTATTTCAGGCATATCATGGGTTCTACCTTTACCCATATCTGCCATGATTTGGGTTGTTTTCACAAACGAGGATGAGAGAAAAAGGCGGGTAGTGAGAGAGATACCTGAGGTAGCTGGGGCAAAAGTTGAGAGGAAAAACAGCAGGTTTAAAGTATGAGTGAGAAGGAGGTCAAAGGGCAATGAAGGGAGCACTGGACATTGAAGGAGGAACACAAAAAGGTGTGCATTTTGCTCTTGAGGGGAAAGAACATTGGGCTTCATGGCTCCCTGGATCAGCCACCAGGGGGTGCTTCAGCCTCAGAGAAGTTGTCTCTTGAGTCTGGGATTCGGCTCTTGACTGGGTAGACCTGAGGAACCTCCAGTGTACGTCCCCCGATTTAGGTCCCCCTTGTCTTCACTTCCTTCCCTGTTCAGTTTGGATACCATTGCCTATCATTTCAATCACCCTCTTGTCCATATTACTGGTTCTCCCAATCATTCATTCAGTAAGGAGTTATTGGCCGGGCACAGCGGCTCACGCCTGTAATCCCTGCACTTTGGGAGGCTGAGGTGGGTGGATCACTTGAGGCTAGGAGTTCGAGACTAGCCTGGCCAACATGGCAAAACCCTGTCTCTACAAAAAATGCCAAAAATTAGCCAGGCATGGTGGCACGTGACTGTAGTCCCAGCTACTCAGGAAGCTGAGGCCAGAGAATTGCTTGAACCTGGGAGATAGAGGTTGCAGTGAGCCTAGATCATGCCACTGTACTCTAGCCTGGGCCATGGAGTTAGACTCTGTCTCAAAAACAAACAAAACAGAAACAAAATCCAAAAGATTTATGGAGTGACTCCTGTGCTTCGGACATTGTCGTACTGGATACTTGGAAATGAATGAAGCAGGTCTGTGCCTGCCCTTGTCACCTACCAGGTCCAATACCAACCCTTCCTCAGTCCAGTTGTAGGCTTTCTCTTGCCTCCAGCCAGGCTGCTGAGCAGTGCCAGAGAAAACCACACCACTTTCCACATGGCTTCTGTGGCACATCCATCGCCGCCAACCTCACTGGACCCCTCGGCACAACTGAGCCATCCTTACCTATTCTCCTAATGCATTTCTACCCTTCTCCCCAACACCCATTTGAAGATTTCTACTCTCCTCAAATCCTTGACCAAACCACCTCCTTGGTCACTTTTTGCAAACAGCCTCACCTCTTACCATGCAAGATTTCAGCTTCCTGCCAACAAATCAATTACCTGCGTAGTCCAAATAAAACCAACTGCCTTGTGGACAGTTCAACACAGTGAAATCAAGTCTAACTCCAGGAAGCCTTGGAAGGCTAAGGAGGTCTTTACTGAAAGTTTCTTGAGGAGTCAGCCAAGACCAAAAAGGGCACTAGTCTTAAAATATATAGCTAGATTTCCTAAAAATCATCTTTACATGTCTTTCTTCCCAAAGTCTGGCTCCTCCTGGTGGCAGTTCGTTTCTTCTTGCCCTCTGCCCTCTTCCTCTGTTTCTTCACCAGCTGCCACACTCATCTGCCTTGCCTTCTTACCCTGGCCTGCCTTTTCTTATTCCTGCATGGGTAGAGCACACTAGCCTGTCTTGGTGTTGGCCACTCCCCCCACCACCCATTCCTCTTACCTCCATCAGGACGAGTCATAGATGGTTGAATAAGCAGTTTATCCTCCTTCCGAGTGAAGGGAGGGAGGCATTGCAAATACTGGCAATTATATATATGTGTGTGTGTATATATATATTTTTATATGTGTGTATACATATACACATACATATATATAGTCCATTTGTACAAATCCATTTCTAGTCCCTCAGGTTAAGATAGAAGAGGTTTTTCCTCCCGTGACCCCTTCATCTGTGTCCTGGACCCCATTCACTCTCATCCTCTTGGGATGCTTACTTTATGCATAATTTCTTCCATTTCTTATATCTTTCACCTTTTCATCCCCAGTGGATCCTTCTCATCTGAGTGTACATGGGCTTCTACCATTCCAATTTAAAAGAGAACAAGACAAAACAAAACCTTCATCTTCCCCTTGCACCCCTTTATCTACTCTATCTCCCCTTTTATAGCCAATCTTTGTCATGGAATTGTCTATTTGTTGTATCCATTTCTTCCCTTCCCAGACACTCCTCAATCCACGGTGATTAAAATTCTAACCCAGCCACTCCACAGAAAGCTGGCTACCTAAAGTCATCCCCTGCCTGCTTGTTCTGAATGTGAAAGAGAGCCTCAGTCCTTAATTTTTCTATAGCATTTGACATTGTGGATTCCTTTCCCTTCTTGAAATATTATTTTCTTGCAGCTTTTTAGTGCTCTCCTATTCCTTAGTCTCTGTAGGCTTATCTTTCTTTATACACTATTAAAATATAAGTCGTATTCAGGGGCACTCTTCTGACTTTGGGAGAAATGGGGAGATGCCATTCATTGCTGTGGCTTCCGTTAATACATACATACTATTGACTCCCATGCTTAGATCAGGCCTCACTTTGGGAGGCAGGATACAGATCCCTTCTGCTTGGAGAACAGAACTCCAAACTCAACTTGGATTTTAACCCCAAAATGGTGCAGTCTGAGGGTGGGCCTGTTTTTCTGGCCCAAACCAATAATTTGCTGAATTACCCTTCTGTTACAAAAAACCTCTCTCAAACATGTTCTATCACTACCACCACCAATTTTGTTGTATTGATCTCCTTTGGGGCTGAAATACAGACTTTAAAATCTTCTTACATTCTTCGATAGTCTAGTGTTTATAGTGTAAACTTTATAGAATTTGTCCCGCTAATTAAGCCAAAATTTTAGAATGCGAAAGTCTTTTCTATCTCAAAACTGCTCTTTTTTTTTTTTTTTTCTTGAGACAGAGCCTTGCTGTCACCCAGGCTGCCAGGCTGCCAGGCTGGAGTGCAGTGGCGTGATCTTGGCTCACTGCAACCTCTGCTTTTCTTCCTGGGTTTAAGCGATTCTTGTGTCTCAGTCTCCCTAGTAGCTGGGATTGCAGGCGCCCACCACCACACACAGCTAATTCTTTTTATTTTTAATGGAGATGGGGTTTTGCCATGTTGGCCAGGCTGGTCTTGAACTCCTGACCTCAGGTGATCCACCCACCTCGGCCTCCCAAAGTGCTGGGATTACAGGTGTGAGCCACTGTGCCCAGCCAAAAACTGCTTATTAAAAATAAAAAAAACCTTTGACTGTCTGTATTTTGGATAAATAAATCTATTTAGACAAGCAGTTGGCTTCTTTGTTTCCTTCAGTTCTTTTACTGTCCTTGGGGTAACTGAATGATCTCATAGGGTCAATGAGATACAAACTTTTAAATATTTTAACCTACACAGGAATGGAAAAGGGAATTGAGTTGGTGAGAGGAATCATTCAAGAGAAGAGACTCTTGACCCTTGAACATGAAGGTCCAAGAGAATACTCCTTTGCTTATCTGAACAGATTCCTTATCATCTGAAATGTATCTATCTCATGTTGAAACTGGTAATGGTTGGAAGACTCCATCTAATTTTTCAACACTTCATGAGTAAATGGATTTATGATTGAGGGTATGGCTATTTGTTGGGCATTCATAATTAAAATGTGGTGAAAGATAGAACTAAATCCACTGGCCTTGTCCAATTTCATCCTGATTAAATAGGCACAAGCTAATTTCCATCCAGGCCAATCTACATAGGTAAAGGAGTTAATGTTTAAGAAACTATTTTGAACCTTTGAGCCCTAATTACATTTTGGAAAAGTTTCTTGTGACAGAGAAGAAGTCTGATGATTTGGATCAGGAAAATAAATTTTTATATTACCTTTTTAACTTCTTTAAAGCCACTTTTTGTAGAAGAATATGGAATATATTTGAACCTTCCAGAGATGAAGAAAGTAAAACATTTCATAAATTCAAATCATGTCGTAGTTAAATTAATCCAAAATTTAACTGTTAGTCAATGACAGAGAAATGGAAGAAGGTGTGACATGCTTCAGTTGCTGGACTCTTATCATCCAGGCATGCAATTGCATTTTGAACAGATTGGAATCACATGAAGAGATTATTGGACCACCTAACAAAACGAGCATCCCAGTAATCAATCTCAGAAATAATAAAAGCATGAATTAAATGTTTTTGATCAATATTCACCCAACTCATATCCTTAATGATAATACTTAACTGAAAGAAAGACCTTTGCTTCAAGGTTCATTTGAAATTCACAGAGAACTCTAAATTTGTTTTGACATCCTAATGCTTCTGGAAAGTATGAGTCCTGTATTTCATTTTGTAGAATTAGAGCAGACTGCATAACATGCTCTTATATAGCACAGACTGTCTCTACTTTTTCATTCTATGTTTTAATAAGAGAAAATGTAATGGGGAAGGGAGACAGAGGGGAAGGAATCTTTGTATTGGGGAGTGGGAGGAAAGAGCCATGTGTACAGCTCTCTCCTGTGAATGGTGCCTGTGCCCTCTTTAAAGGTATGTCTCTTGCAGATAAATTCAAACAATGGAAGCAGCTATCTGTCTGAACCTGACAGTACTTATTAATTCAGAGGACAGAATCATAGTTCTAGCTTCATCTTAATTAAGTGGGTTTCTACAGTTTTTCTTCTTCTAAAAGGGGAACGTGTGTGTTAGTCCATTTGCATTGCTGTGAAAGAATACCTCAGACTGGGTAATTTGTAAAGATATGAGGTTTATTTGGGCTCACAGTTCTGCGGCCTGTACAGGAAGCATGATGCTGGCATCTGCTCCTGGTGAGGGCCTCAGGAAGCTTGCAATCATGGTGGAAGGTGAAGGGGGAGCAGGCATGTCACTGACGAGAGCTGGAGCAAGAGAGAGAAGACTGGTCTCAAATTCCTGGGCTCAAGCCATCCTCCCGCCTTGGCCTCCCAAAGTGGGCCTGGCATCTTGTAGGTTCTCAATAAGTGTTTGTAGTTTTGGTATCTGGAGCCAACTAGAATTTGATCTGAAAACAAAGTTTACATTAAATAACAAAACTGAATTTCCCCCCATTCTAAGTGAATCTCCAGAATGATTCATTTCCCTATCTGTAAAATATGAAGACTAACCCTTACTTCATGGAGTTATTAGGGGACCTCAATGAGATAACACAGGAAAGTCCTTCATAAACAATCCAGCTCTATTAAAATAGAAGGTTTATCATGGAAAAAACCAAACCAGAGCCCTTGATAAATTCTTAGTTATTGTGTTATTGTTTTGGGTTTTTAAAAAAATTAATATGTGCTTTTTAAGGAATAATTTTGAGCATCTGAAGTTAAAATATTGAAAAATCTCTTTGCTAAAAGTCCTTTCCCTGTGGGTAATTTTATGCTGTATATTAGAAAGCACAGGAAGTCCAACATCTTGCATGGAGTTAATGGTAAATTTTGTGTCTTGAGAACTATAGATGGAAAATTGTTTTCTAATATTTAGATGTTTCACCCATGTAGCTGTGTATGGGATATGGGATGGGGGTGTTTGTCAGCTCAGCCTCTTAGCCATCCACCCTCTCACTGCATTTTGATGATTTTTATTATGCACAACCATACAATATTGCTGATATTTGACTCTACTTTTGACCTACAAAAATGGTGATTTTGTATGTTCAGCCTTAATATAAGTATATTTCTGTTATTGAATGTGTGTTTGTTTATCTGCTCTGTCTCACATACGCATTTGGAGGGCAGGGATTGTATGTCATATCTAAAAGGAAGTCCAGAAATCTGAGCTCAGACAATGTAAAATATAAAATGTAGAGGTAAAGTGTCTTTTTATATGGGCTGCAGATACTATTATTGACATCCTTCATGGAGACAAATGCACTGGAAATCATAGGTGCTTAATAGCTGGGGACATCCTACGGGTGAACTCCACTCCCGGGGAGTGGGCATTTCAAACTAGGAGCAATCCTGACAAACTGGTAACCTGGGTGTGCTGCAGCACCCCTGAGTCATCTCCTCATTCCCGAGTCCCGCTGCCTTCCTATTAACTCACTTCCCTCTGCTGTTACCACTGTGTGGATACTGCTGCTTTCACCTGCAGCTTACCCAATTAGGGGGAGATAGGGTGTCCCTGTTGCACTACTTTTCAAGCCTCTTTTATTGTAACCCATAGTAGGAATACATTTCACATCATGACCCGGTACACTATACTGTATGACGTATATATGCATATGATCAGCCAGTCAATCAATCTATCTAATTCTATTCTGTTCTATTCTATTCTATGATATATATCTTGGTAGGCCAGTTGCCAGTTCTGAGAAGCTATCCATCATGTCTTTTTTGAATAAGGACCCAACTAAACTTGTGGAGACCTTTATGCTTCATGAGAGAGGGAAAAAATGCCAGTTCAATCTTTAAGCTTTTTATCCCTCTTAAGTAGCTGTGGCCTGTGTCAGTTTATGTCAGGATTTGTTTTCCTATTCCTGGTTTTGAGAAGCCACAGCCTTGCAGATAAACCCCAGACTAGACTGGGGCTATGGCTTCAGTAACAAAGTTCTGGAACCCATGGAATTAATTATAGGTGGTAATGGCTTCAGTCACGGTGGGATGTTTCAGTTTGACCATGACTATCACGAGAGATATGCTGCTGTGTGCATGGATATAGCCAGGTGAGATTACTTATCTTTATGCTTGTTTCCTATTTCAAATATGACTTTATAATTTTTTCCTATCTATAAATTGAGATTTAAATTTATTAAAATTCCTATGCAGAGACGTATAACTAAATACAGACTATGGATTTTGCTAGGAGAATCAGTAGCTTGGGAATATTTTGGCTTTGATTAAAACTTTTGAAATGTTGTGAAAAGAGGTATAGCACCTTTAACTCAATTCTAAATTTTTGGTATAAAACTTGTATATTTATTTCTATTAGAATTAAGAAAAATAAACACCACTTGCCTGCCTTAAGTCTCAGATAGTCTGTTTAAATGTGGCTTTTCCAGTGGTCCACTGCTTTTAATTCAGTGACCTATATTTTCTAGGGGAAAAAAAGAGGCAGTTTCTTCTCCTCATAGGGTTGTTCCATCATTATCAAACTAGACTGTATCATATCTGAAATCCTGCTAATCAGGCAGGAACTAGAGGCACGAGGCTTTCTTGTTCAGGTGAATTCAGAATGGATTTAGTGTGTTGCTCAAAGGGAAAACTTTTGAATTAACTTGCCTTAGACTTGCACTGATTTTTGAGGTGTGGAGGCCCTTGGCAGAGTGTTTTGATTGGTATCGGCCTGCTTTCTGCAGTGAGAAAGCTGACTCAAGGGATATGTGACAATCATAGGAGATTTCCTTTCAAGAACTCACAGAAATGGCTTACAGAGCCCAGGGTTAGATGGAGGGTAGTGGAGGGCAAGGCACAAAATCTGGATGATTTATCTCAGCCTCTGACACATTTTATATCGTTGAGTAAATCACTTAACCTCTCTTTGCCAGGGCCTTCAGTTGTAAAATGGAAATAAGGTTCCCATTTCATAGACCTCACTAAAAGGGATATTATCTATTTTGACCCAAAAAAGCAGACTTTTTTTTTTTTTTTTGCACTGAAGGTAATTCTAAAAGAGTTACAACAGTATTTTGAGATGACAGCATTATCGAAATAAGCAAATGACCAGCCAAAGGAAGTATATATTAAATTAGGGTAAGTCCTTCAGATTAAAAAAAAAATGCATTGAGAAGCTGCTATTTTCAAGACACTTTCCAATTCACTTTTACATGGCTGTTTAATCCTCCCAGTAGTTCTGGGTGGCAGTTGGTTATTTTCCTGTTTCTAATTTTATGAATAACATAACTGAGGCTCAGAGAAGTTAACCAACTTGCTTGGAGTCACACAGCAAGGAAGTAGCTGTGCCCAGCTTCAAGTCTGATGTTAGGTCCAGAATCCTTCCCATGATGTATCATCTGCCTTTGATGTGGGATTAAGAGATAATAGCATATCTGAAAACAAACCTACTTTCTGAGAAAACTGGATAAATGAAAGACCTATATTTAGTTTCTAAATCTTACTTCAGTTTCCAAATTTGCTTTATTCTCTGGAGCTGTTTTTCTTTAAGGTATATATTGTATTGTTTCCACTTTGTTGTTTCTATCAAATGCATTTGTTAGTTGTTAATGGTTCTTTACTAGTTCTTTTAGCACTGGTTAACAAAACTCTTCAGAGGCTTATCTGTGACGAACTATTATTCCTTTTTAAGATATATGACTGACTCCTGGTGAATAATCTTTGCAGCATTGTTATGCCTATTTTCATAATTTACAACTTTTAGGATAAGGCATCCTTCAATCCAACTGGGTAGTCTGCTAGTTGCCAAGCCCAGGGTAGTTGTATGTTGTGTTTTTGACATCTCATCTAAGAGGATGAAAAGTTGAACAGTGACGTGGTTTGGCCCTGTGTCCCCACCCAAATCTCATGTTGAATTGTAATCCCTACTTGTTGGGGGAAGGGCCTGGTGGGAGGTGATTGGATCATGGGGGCGGATTTCTCCCTTGCTGTTCTCATGATGGTGAGTGAGTTCTCACGAGATCTGATGGTTTAAAAATATGTGGCACTTCCCCCCTCGCTCCCTCTCTCTCTTTCCTGCTCCACCATGGTAAGACATGCCTGCTTCCCCTTCACCTTTCTCCTTGATTGTAAGTTTCCCAAGGCCTCCTAGCCATGTTTCCTGTACAGTCTATGGAACTGTGAGTCTATTAAACTTATTTTCTTCATAAATTACCCAGTCTCAGATAGTTCTTTATAGCAGTGAGAGAATGGCCTAATACCAGCAGATTCCTGCTTTTCCTTCCAGCTTCACAAGCAGTAGTGGTGTTACAAATCCCCTCTCACTTCAGGCTTTCTATGTCTGTGAAGAGTTCAGACTGACCGGAACCATTTATTGAATACCCCTTACTTGGGTGCATTAGTCAAATGCAATTGATTGTTATAACATGCCACCAGCTTAGGAGAGGGAATCAGACTCCTTAATTGAAGATGCAACTTTGGAGGACAGAGTGTAAATCATTGAATACAAAGTCCAATAATTTTCTCACAGTGAATACAATGTGTCTATAATTGCATTCTCAATACAGCCAGACAAAGCAGAGATGGCTGATATTCAAGACTAGGCATTGGGAGACTCCTAAGAACCTTTCTCAAGATTCATCCAGTTTTACGTCTTGTCTGGAAATGTTCTCATGTTTCTCAGGGAACCTTGTTCAGAGGGATGCTGCTAGGTATAGTATCCATGTACAATTAAGATTACAATAAAATTAAAGTTAATGTATTAGAGAATACTTTGAAAGCCAAGACATTTTAACTGTCATCCATATTATAACCTTGGCATAGTCTTTAGATTGTATATCTTACAAAGGATACAAGAGCAACTCTAGGTCTTTCCTCCTTGGTCCTTCAGCTGCTACCCTCTTTCCTAATTCAACAATAACTCATAATCATTTAGCACAAACTAGAGATATGTACAAATGCAATGATTTAGGTAAAGATTTCCTTGTTGTTGCCGTTGACTTTAAAGAAATGAGTTTATCAGGACATAGGCATGGACAAAAACTTCATGACTAAAACACCAAAAGCAATGGCAACAAAAGCCAAAACTGACAAATGGGTTCTAATTAAACTAAAGAGCTTCTGCACAGCAAAAGGAATATCATCAGAGTGAACCGACAACCTAAGGAATAGGAGAACATTTTTGCAATCTATCCATCTGATAAAGGGCTAATATCCAGAACCTACAAAGAACTCAACCAAATTTACAAGAAGAAAACAAACAACCTAATCAAAAAGTGGGCAAAGGATATGAACAGGCACTTCTCAAAAGAAGACATTTATGCGGCCAACAAACATATGAAAAAAAGCTCATCACCACTGGTCATTAGAGAACTGCAAATAAAAACCACAATGAGATACCGTCTCACACCAGTTAGAATGGCAATCATTAGAAAGTCAGGACACAATAGATGCTGGAGAGGATGTGGAGAAATAGGAACACTTTTACACTGTTGGTGGGAGTATAAATTAGTTCAACCATTGTGGAAGACAGTGTGGTAATTCCTCAAGGATCTAGAACCAGAAATACCATTTGACCCAGCAATCCCATTACTGGGTAGATACCCAAAGGATTATAAATAATTCTATTATAAAGACACGTGCACGTGTATTTTTTTTAAATTATACTTTAAGTTCTAGGATACATGTGCACAATGTGCAGGTTTGTTACATATGTATACATGTGCCATGTTGGTGTGCTGCACCCATTAACTCGTCATTTACATTAGGTATATCTCCTAATGCCATCCCTCCCTGCTCCCCTCACCCCACAACAGGCCCCGGTGTGTAATGTTCCCCTTCCTGTGTCCAAGTGTTCTCATTGTTCAATTCCCGCCTATGAGTGAGAACATGCGATGTTTGGTTTTTTGTCCTTGCGACAGTTTGCTGAGAATGATGGTTTCCAGCTTCATCCATGTCCCTACAAAGGACATGAACTCATCCTTTTTATGGCTATATAGTATTCCATGGTGTATATGTGCCACATTTTCTTAATCCAGTCTATCATTGTTGGACATTTGGGTTGGTTCCAGGTCTTTGCTATTGTGAATAGTGCCGCAATAAACATACATGTGCATGTGTCTTTATAGCAGCATGATTTATAATCCTTCGGGTATATACCCAGTAATGGGATGGCTGGGTCAAATGGTATTTCTAGTTCTAGATCCCTGAGGAATCACCACACTGTCTTCCACAATGGTTGAACAGTTTACAGTCCCACCAACAGTGTAAAAGTGTTCCTATTTCTCCACATCCTCTCCAGCACCTGTTGTTTCCTAACTTTTTAATGATCGCCATTCTAACTGGTGTGAGATGGTATCTCATTGCAGTTTTGATTTGCATTTCTCTGATGGCCAGTGATGATGAGCATTTTTTCATGTGTCTTTTGGCTGCATAAATGTCTTCTTTTGAGAAGTGTCTGTTCACATCCTTTGCCCACTTTTTGATGGGGTTGTTTGTTTTTTTCTTGTAAATTTGTTTGAGTTCTTTGTAGATTCTGGATATTAGCCCTTTGTCAGATGAGTAGATTGCAAAAATTTTCTCCCATTCTGTATGTTGCCTGTTGACCCTGATGGTAGTTTCTTTTGCTGTGCAGAAGCTCTTTAGTTTAATTAGATCCCATTTGTCAATTTTGGCTTTTGTTGCCATCGCTTTTGGTGTTTTAGACATGAAGTCCTTGCCCATGCCTATGTCCTGAATGGTATTGCCTAGGTTTTCTTCTAGGGTTTTTATGGTTTTAGGTCTAACATTTAAGTCTTTAATCCATCTTGAATTAATTTTTGTGTAAGGTGTAAGGAAGGGATCCAGTTTCAGCTTTCTACATATGGCTAGCCAGTTTTCCCAGCACCATTTATTAAATAGGGAATCCTTTCCCTATTGCTTGTTTTTGTCAGGTTTGTCAAAAATCAGATGATTGTAGATGTGTGGTATTATTTCGGAGGGCTCTGTTCTGTTCCATTGTTCTATATCTCTGTTTTGGTACCAGTACCATGCTGTTTTGGTTACTGTAGCCTTGTAGTATAGTTTGAAGTCAGGTAGCATGATGCCTCCAGCTTTGTTCTTTTTGCTTAGGATTGTCTTGGCAATGTGGGCTATTTTTTGTTTTGATATGAACTTTAGTTTTTTCCAACTCAGTGAAGAAAGTCATTGATGTAGCTTGATGGGGATGGCATTGAATCTATAAATTACCTTGGGCAGTATGGCCATTTTCACGATCTTGATTCTTCCTATCCATGAGCATGGAATGTTCTTCCATTTGTTTGTATCCTCTTTATTTTCCTTGAGCAGTGGTTTGTAGTTCTCCTTGAAGAGGTCCTTCACATCCCTTGTAAGCTGGATTCCTAGGTATTTTATTCTCTTTGAAGCAATTGTGAATGGGAGTTCACTCATGATTTGGCTCTCTGCTTGTCTGTTATTGGTGTATAAGAATGCTTGTGATTTTTGCACATTGATTTTGTATCCTGAGACTTTGCTGAAGTTGCTTATTATCAGCTTAAGGAGATTTTGGGCTGAGACGATGGGGTTTTCTAAATATACAATCAAGTCATCTGCAAACAGGGACAATTTGACTTCCTCCTTTCCTAATTGAATACCCTTTCTTTCTTTCTCCTGCCTGATTGCCCTGGCCAGAACTTCTAACACTATGTTGAATAGGAGTGGTGAGAGAGGTCATCCCTGTCTTGTGCCAGTTTTCAAAGGGAATGCTTCCAGTTTTTGCCCATTCAGTATGATATTGGATGTGGGTTTGTCATAAATAGCTCTTATTTTTTTGAGATATGTCCCATCAATACCTAATTTATTGAGAGTTTTTAGCATGAAGGGCTGTTGAATTTTCTCAAAGGCCTTTTCTGCATCTATTGAGATAATCATGTGGTTTTTGTCTTTGGTTCTGTTTATATACTGGATTACATTTATTGATTTGCATGTGTTGAACCAGCCTTGCATCCCAGGGATGAAGCCCACTTGATCATGGTGGATAAGCTTTTTGATGTGCTGCTGGATTCGGTTTGCCAGTATTTTATTGAGGATTTTTGCATCAATGTTCATCAGGGATATTGGTCTAAAATTCTCTTGTTTTGTTGTGTCTCTGCCGGGCTTTGGTATCAGGATGATGCTGGCCTCATAAAATGAGTTAGGGAAGATTCCCTCTTTTTCTATTGATTGGAATAGTTTCAGAAGGAATGGTACCAGCTCCTCCTTGTATGGTAGAATTTGGCTGTGAATCAGTCTGGACCTGGACATTTTTTGGTTGGTAGGCTATTAATTATTGCCTTAATTTCAGAGCCTGTTATTGGTCTATTCAGGGATTCAACTTCTTCCTGGTTTAGTCTTGGGAGGGTGTAGGTGTCGAGGAATTTATCCATTTCTTCTAGATTTTCTAGTTTATTTGCGTAGAGGTGTTTATAGTATTCTCTGATATCCCCTTTATCACTTTTGCAGCACTATTCACAACAGCAAAGACTTGGAACAAACCCAAATGCCCATCAGTGATAGATTGGATAAAGAAAATGGGGCATATATACACCATGGAATACTATGCAGGCATAAAAAAGGATGAGTTCATGTCCTTTGCAGGGACATGGATGAAGCTGGAAATCCATCATTCTCAGCAAACTAACACAGGAACAGAAAACCAAACACCCCACATGTTCTCACTCATAAGTGGGAGTTGAAAAATGAGAACATATGGACACAGGGAGGGGAACATCACACATTGGGTCCTGTCAGAGGGTGGGGGACCAGGGGAGGGATAGCATTAGGAGAAATACCTCATGTAGATGATGGGTTGATGGGTGCAGCAAACCACCATGCATACAAACCACCATGGCACGTGTATACCTATGTAACAAACCGTAAATTTTGCACATGTATCTCAGAACTTAAAGTATAAAAAAAAAAAAAAGAAAAGAAATGAGTTTAAAGTCCAGTTCAAGACCTGGATGATGAGCTGTTCCCTACTGGAACTAAACCTTGCTTTTCTCACTTTGCTGGGCTGCGGCACCAGCTGTAACCCAAGTCCTTCACATGCCCTAGACCGGCCTCTCAGATAAAAGACCCCTTCCTTCTGCCCTTGCTGCCTGTATTCTGGAAAGCACCCAGCCAAGTGCTGGCCTGAAGCTCTTTCTTCATTGCTACCCTGATGCCCCTGGAGTGTGTTATGGGTGAGGGACCTTCTGTCTTCTCCATACCTTTGGAAAGCAGTGACTCTCCTAGCTATTGGAAAGATGGTGCTGTATAATTTTAAACATACTGGAAATCTGCAATATGAATAGATCCTCAGTATGTTTTGTTCTTTCACTCTAAGATGATTGCTAAGAATAGAGGCAAATAAACTCTAAGAAACTTTGTCTGTGACCCCTCCGTGACTCAGCCAGCATTACTAATTTGCTGTGGGAGGCAGGTTTTGAATTTGTTAGAACAAATTACTTAAGTTGTGCTCTTTGCATTAGAATCTGCACTTCAAATGAATTAATTCTACACCCACCTGGTGTGAAAAACAGCGTAAGGTTAGAGAGGTGGTAAAGTGGAACTAGAGATGGGGGAAGTGATGCTGTGGTTATTCTTCCTCCATCATTTCTGTGTAGGTCCTTCTGACCACATTTTCTATTGACAAGGTTACCTCCCCTAATCATTCTCTTCTATCTTTTTCCCACTCACCCAATTGTTGATGGACCCATTCACATTCTAACCTTGTACCTTACCTCAAAATATTCTGATGTCCATGTGAGTTTGTATCCAGAAGGATTCTCTGTGACAGTCTTATTTCTAGGAGAGTCTGTTCATTTCTAGGAAGGACTATAACTACAGCTTGGGGCAGATGGCAGCTGTCCAGATTGCAGTGTGTGATTATTTCTGTAGTTATTCCTGTTAAAAAAACATCCAAGTTTGTTAAAAATTGTCGGGAAGAAGCTCAGGAAAGGGACAGCATATTTCACTGAGAGCCATCAGAACTTTATTCTTTTGGAGAATGAAGGCAGGTAAAGTAGACAGATGGATTTAGAAACAACACCTGGATGAGAAGTCTTATATATTACATTCCCTGCTAAAGTAAAGAACTCAAAATATTTTATCAATTGACAAGGAAAGTCCACTAGCTAGAAAAAATGGGCAACAATGTGTATAGGCGATTCACAAAGAAAGGAATATATTTCTTCTTTTGGTCGATAATTATGTAAATATCACTAGTAGTCATAAAGACGTAAATGGAGACAATTAGATATGCTTTTTCACTCACCAGATTGGCAGTGATGGAAGTAATCAATAAATATGCAGTGATGGGAAAGCTGTGGGGAAACAAGTACTCTTGTACTCTGCAGGTGGGGCTGCAAATATTAGTTACATTTTGCAGTTGACAGGCAGTATTTATCAAAATTTTAAATGCACACACCATTTGGCCAAATACCCCTAAGTCTAGATATCTCTCCTTTGGAAATGCTTGCACATGTTCATAAAGATATTATATAAGGGCCTGTTTTTGGTAGTATTGTTTGCTATAGCCAACTACTGGAAAAACTCTAAATGTCCATCAGTAAAGGACTAGTTAAGTAAATCATAATTCATGCTTAACTTGAAATACTATAAGCTGTTTAAAAAACTGAGAGATCTATATATACTGTTATGGAAATATCTCCAAGACACACTGCTAATGCCCAAGCAGGAAGCTGCAGGGACAATACATATGATTATGATTCCATTCATTTAAAAAATAAACCTAAAGCCATAGCTTTGTATATATACTTAGATATGTACATAAATACACAGATAAAGTCATGTAATACTATATACCAAACCGTTGACAGTGCAGCAAAGAGAGGAATTGGGGTGGAGTGACGAAGCGGGACTTTTAATTTTTTACTCTACGTACTTCTGACCTTTGATATTTTATTACATCTCTATTACAATAAGGATGAATTACTTTGGGAGGCCGAGACGAGCAGATCACTTGAGTCCAGTAGTTTGATACCAGCTTGGGCAACATGGCAAGACCCCGTCTCTACAAAAAAACACAAAAAATTAGCCAGGTATGGTGGTGTGCACCTGTAGTCCAAGCTACTCAGAGGCTGAGGTGGGAGGATCACTTGAACCTAGAAGGTCAAGGCTGCAGTGAGCCGTGATCATACCACTGTACTGCAGCCTGGGTGACAGAGTGTGACCCTGTCTCCAAAAAATGGATTACTTGTATAATTTGTTAAGCGTATATAAAAATAGGAAAGTTGCAACTTAGCTTTCTGGGAAAAGTACTCTGAATTGCCTCCCAAAGAGACTGTTCAGGAAACCAAAGGTGGGTGGTACAACAAAAGCTTTTCCTTTTTATTTTGGTAGTGGTTGGTCCATTTATATAATGGAGCATGACAGGCTTTTTTCTGTACACTTTTCGGGAAGCATACCTGCATAGCCTGCAAATGAGGTGGCCATCACAAACAGCTAGCTGAGACAGCGACTTACCTGCAGACTGAAGGGGTGGGGGAATCACATGCCCACTTGCTGACTGGAACCAAAGAGTCCATCATTAAACATAAAATGTTGCTCAGGTCCCACTGTCTACCTCACTTCCCTGATGCCCCAGAGCTCTGGTGGACTCAGTGCTCCGCGCTCTGGGGAGCTCAGGAAGCCTAGGGCTCACAGCTATCATTAGATTCAATAGAGCTCACGCTCTATAAAATGTGCTTCTCTAGGCTCCTAACCAGCAGGCATAGCATTGCATCTCCCTGACACCTTCCTGAACTTCTATAAGTACACATTGCATAGTAATTCATTGTTTACATGTCAGTCTTCTTCTTTACTCTGTCTTTATTCATTTCTGTATTCCCAGAGCTCAATACAGTGCCTGGTATATAGGAAATGCTCAAGAAATGACTAGAATAAAGGATAAAAAGTCTAGATTTTGAAGAACTGTCTTATAAGTGAACTTTTGAAAACCTGGGCTTTCCTTGGTTGGATATAAGGGAAATGTATAGAAGCACGATAATTAAAAACTGGTACAATTAAAACTTAGCTATATGGCTAGTTGGTTCAATGTTTAGGCTTTGGAGTTAATAGCTTATGTTCAAATCCTGGCATTTCCACTTACTAGCCAGTGACTTGACAAGTTCTTTAACCTGCTTGTGCCTCAGTTTCCTCCTCTGTAAAATGGAGATACCAAAGTCAATCTACCTCACAGGCTGGTTGCTAGGATTCAAGAGATAGTGAACGCAAAGCTTTAACAGTGGGAATGGCACATAGATAAATTCATTTGTTGTTCACTCTTAGTGATTGTTGTCTAGAACCTTCAAGACATGTCATTCTAGTTGGTCAAGTTTTTTGAATACCCCTTTAAAAACTGAGTTTTTCTTATTTAACCAACTTTGTGTATTATCTTTTAAAAATGGCTTCTATTTCCTGAAACAATATAATGAGCATCTCCATTTTAACTCAGGAACATTGTCATAAGCAGTAATTATTGTCCTGTGCACAACACAGAAATACTGCCCACGCTTGTGGAGGTGTGTGGAGGTGTCACACTTCCCAACTACTCTGATTTTTGAGTTCTTCTGCCTTACATTTATTAATGGTCAACTTTCAATTCTTACTAAGCTCCATGGCCAGCTTTTAGTACTTTCTTTGACTGTTTTTCTTTTTTCTAATATACTGTGCTCTTGGGAATCAGACTACCAAGTATGTTATAATTGTGTAGAAATAAGAGTGGCTTGATGAGGCTCTTACTGAGCTCTCTAATGAATAAGGCGAATGCTTTTTATAATTTCCACATTGGTTGAATTCTTTCCTATTTAATGCCAATATTTTATGTATTTAAGACAGACAAAGTTTTAGCATATGCAAAAAAGTTTTATTCTATTTTCTATTCTACAGTTTTAACTTGAATTCAACATAATGCCATGGACTGAGCTAGAAGTTTTAGCACTTCCTCGGATAGAAGGAAGCAGCCTGCACTGTGGGGAAGGACATTAGGTTCAGGTCTTGGATCTGCTAGTTAGTTGCTGTGTGAGCTCAGTTTCATCTTCTCTAACAAGGAAAATAAGATGGGCACTCAGTTGTCAGCAAGGCTTAAATAGTCTGTTAATATCAGTGAAAGTGCTAACATTTTGTTGTTAGAAATGGTATTACTCCAACACGTTTGTAGTTTTTTAAATTGTACTTCTAAGGATCTGTATTGAGAGACTACTTTGGTATGCCTTATCAGAGAATTCATCAGTGGCCTTTAAATGACTCTTTTCATTTTAAACATTTTCTAAAACTGTTGTGAAGCTACTCTCTGAGGGATGATGGAGTAAGGTAGGGGGACAGGCTCTTAAAAATGCCACCCTATGGGGTTTAGTGAGCTGGGAGTTGGAAATCCCTTTTTCTAATAGATTTAACAATAAGCTCTTTTAGACATACAGATGGGAAAGCATTAAAATATATATGTGGTGTGTTCATGTTAACAGGGGACTGTTGATAATTAAGTAAATCCAACATTTTTCTTCTAAACTTATATTAACTTTTTCAAATTAAATTATTTCTGTACTAACCATCTGTCCTTGTGTTCCCAGCATGAAATGCCTTGTGATTAGTTAGTAAACTTTTACTCAATTTGAAATGTATCTGATACCGTTTCCCCGCTTCCATATTTACTTCCTCCTCTCTTTAGACCTCAATGGGTATCTGCCTGAAATGAATTCCTCTTTGCAGTCCTGTGTCCTCTGGGGCCAGCTGACCATGTTGAGACCTTGAGTTTGGATCCAATTTTGTCTTCATTACACACTTAATGGGCCTCACTCAGGGCCTGTTTAACTCTGTTGTTTAATGGAGTACAGGAACTTTAGAGACACCCAGGACTAAAATGCAAGAATCTAAAAGACATGGAAGCTGAATTTAAACCACAAAGAAGTTCAAAATGCACTATGAGAAGCTATCATAGGAGGAGGAGGAGGCTGTGTGTTATGAGGGAAGCATATGGAATTCAGAAACTCAAGGTCTGTGTTTATATCTGGACTTTTACCTGTGTGAGTCACTTAGCATTGTCATTTCATCATTAGCAGGTCATTTCATCTCTGAGACTCAGTTTCTTCATTGATGAAAGTGAGGATAGTGTCTGTTCTAGCTATAATGTAAAGTTGAAAAAAGCTCAAATGAGATAACATGTGAAAGTGCTTTACAGATCATAAGGTGCTAGCAAACATTATCATTATCATCATCATCATCATCACCATTATCACCATCCTAACTGCTGTTAGGAAGACATGCTAGATCCAAGAATTCTGAAGTCCTGGCTACTTGAAGCATCAGACTGTTTTCCTGCTTTTAGTTGCTTCAAGTCCAATTGTTGCATTTACTCATGTTTTGTCATTAAATTTTAAATTTGTTCATTTCCAATTATCCACTGATTTGGAAGCATGGAGTCAGAGTAGGGGAGCAGATGAGCAGGAACATGGTCAGAAGACAGGACTAGGCCAGTTTAAAGCAACGTGTTTAATATGTGTTAAAAAAAAAAAGGAGTGAATTTTACCTTAGGGCTAGACTTTGTCTTAGTCTGTTTTGTGCTGCTGTAACAGAATATATGAGACTGGGTAATTTATAAAGAACAGAGATTTCTCTCTTACAGTTCTAGAGGCTGAGAAGTCCAAGGTGGAAGGGCTTGCGGCTATCGAGGGCCTTCTTGCTGTATCATCTCATGGCAAAAGGCAGAAGAGCAACAGAGCATGCTTGCAAGAGAGGGCAGGAGATCCAACTCACAGCCTCAAGCTCCTTTTACAATCAGGATTAATCCATTCATGAGGTGGAGCCCTCATGACCTAAACACCTCCCATTAGGCCCCACCTCCCAACACTGTTGCATTGGGGATTAAGCCTCCAACTCCAATTGAACTTTGGACATTCAAACCCTAGCATACTTCTGACAAGTGGTCAAAAACATTCATATTGGAGTTTGATGAAGACTCTTGAAGAAAAGACCAATTCATGGTCAAACGTTAATAGAGGAAGGAAAATAGGACCTGACATTTTTAAAAATTCTGCTAGGTAAATACCTGGTGAAGTTTTACCCAGAAGATGTTTTTCTCTCCTAGAAGATGTTTTTAGGAAAGGTGGGTATGGTTGGAAGCCCGCTTCAGTTGGCAGTGTCTGGGAGAGGACTTAAGCCACAGAATCAACTTGTGTGGTCCTTGGGACCACAGAAAGCCCAACCCAAATCTGACTTCAAGCAGTGTGAAGATGAGATGCAAAATATGGTTTGGAAGAAGGCAAGAGCATTGGGTCCTTCCTTACCTTGCATTTAGGTTAGTGAAAAGAACAAACCATATATAAAAGTTATTTTGGAGGAGAGAAGGGGAGAAATTATATCTACGGTCAGTGAAATAATTGGCCTCATGGAGTTGGGACAGCAGCTATGGTATCACACCAATTTTTGTCTTCATTGATTAGGCTTCTTCCGGTAACTAAACTGTTGCCACAGCAATTTTGCTACAACAGTGACCTCTGATGACAGTGTTTAAATTCTACTATACCCCTGCACCTCCACCCCAGGACCAGGGAGCCAACAGTGAACTGTTAAAATGTATGAGGTAGTTCCTTGCTGGGAGGCTTCTCCTACAGCAGTGTTTTCAAGTTGGAAGCCATGAAAATGGTCTGAAATATTTTACCTTCAGATACAAGTCCTTAATCTCATGTTGACCTTGGACTGTAATTTGGATAACCAACAGTTTTATTCCCTATTTACAGCAGGGAGGTAGATTGATTAGGAAACTTGTGTTTGCAGTCAGTAGTGTTCCTACACTGGAGCCTCTATCCCTGTTTGGACTAACATTTGCAACATCAGTACTGAATTTGCCAGAAGATTCAGTTTTGCTTGAAGAAACTTATCTGAGATCACCTCCAGGCTTCTCATACTACTTGTCAGCATAGTGCGTGCTTGAACCAGCTGGAGATTCCAAAGCATTGCCTCATATGTGGGAATTCTGTGCTTGTATTAATGCCACACCTGTTCCATCCCTACCATACCCTCTGAGCATTTTGAGAAGAATGATAGGGCTGTTATTCAGCTGGTCCACACATGTGTGCCCCAAAAGAGTTTTAAAGGTCTGTTCTGAATGATCTGTGCCCATGCTGTTTAAATTGTGAGATATTTTGAACATGGTCCCTGTGATATGGTATTATTTTTTTCCAAAAAAATACATATGCAACATACTTCAGTTTAGCAGAGTTTTGTCTTTGATCATAAAAGGGAGAAATTTAGGAAGTTCTGACAGTGCTTGAAAATCATTTGCATTTGCCTTGATTTATTTACTTTCTGATGAAACATAAAGATTACTTGTAGCAAACGCTATTGTTGCCCCTCTCCGTATACCCTTGGCCTATGCCTGGGTTTGTCAGTAGCCACAGTGGACTGCCCCCTGTCCCCTGAAGGCCTCCCATTTCAAGTATCAGTATATCTCTACTTCATCTGAGGGTTTTCTTCAATGCTGGGGGATATTCACAGCCCAACAAGCCAGCACAGACACTTCAGGGATCTGATGCTCCCTGGTGCGTTTGACCATGAGGGCTGAATGCCCCAGCTTCTGCATCCCTCTGTGGGTCAGCGTTACAGTGTGTTCCACACAGTTCCCCAGTGGGTCCCCAGCAGGACAGAGCCCCAGTTGCCCATGGCGGTATTGGCTTTTCCTTCCCCCTGCCTCACTTTCCTCCTCCCTGCCTCACTTTCCTCCTCCCTTATCTATGCCTCCTGAGATTGCCTCCCAAGACCTGGTCTCTGGGTCTGTCTGGGGAACTTAAGCTAAGACAGAATTGTTCCCTGAACTACTGGTTTAGGTTCCCAGCTGGTCGCCCTGTGTATTAGTCCATTTCATGCTGCTGATAAAGACATACCTGAGACTGGGCAATTTACAAAAGAAGTGTTTTATTGGACTTACAGTTCCACGTGGCTGGGAAGGCCTCATAATCATGGCAGAAGGCAAAAGGCACTTCTTATGTGGCGGCGGCAAGAGAGAAAATGAGAGCCAAATGAAAGGGGTTTCCGCTTACAAAACTATCAGCTCTCATGAGACTTATTCACCACCACGAGAACAGTATGGGAGGAACCGCCCCCATGATTCAATTATCTCTCACTGGGCCCCTTCCACAACACATAGGAATTATGGGAGAACAATTCAAGATGAGATTTAGGTGGGGACACAGAGTCAAACCATATCACCCTGCTTGGCATCTTGCCACCAACACCCTGAATCTGTTAGAAATGCAAATTAACCAAGTGCCAGAACCTTTCATGGTTTCCTCTTGCCTAGGAATGGAGTCCCAGATCCCTAATGCATCTCGGTGCCCTGAGTGCCATGGCTGCTGCTGCACTTCAGTATGTCTGAGACCAGTGCAGCCACTGGGACTTCTCTCCCTTCCTTTCCCTGCAAGCTGCCTTCACGCCTGGCTCTTCTGCACCACCTTTCCTCTGTGGGACTTGTTTATTTGCACTCTTTTGTTTACCAGCTCCTAAGATCTTTGAGGCTTAGTCCAGCCCATCGATCTGGAGTAGCCTATGCTTTTCCTTCCTAGAGCTTGGCGTATTTGCAATGATGTAGCTCATTTGCCATTGCATGTTTAACATCTCTTTCTCTAGACCAGGGATCTGCCAACAACTACAGTTTTATTAGAACACAGGCACATCCATTTATTTACATATTATCTATGGCTGCTTTCATGATATAACCACAGAGTTGAGTATCTGCAAGAGACCACATGGCTCACAAAGTCTAAAATGTTTACCATGTAGACCTTTACAAAAAAGCTTGCAGACTCTTCCCCTAGACTGTGAACTCTGAAAGAAGAGTCTCCTGCTCACTATTAGAAAGAACCCAGCACTCGGCATAGTCCCTGACACAAAGTAGACATAATATAAATATGTCTGACTTGAAACAAAGTTTCCATGAATGCATTTCTTCCCTCTTGATTTGTCCCTTGTCTTGAGAATTTTATGTGTTCTTGGGGCAGTACTGTTCACAGCAAGGAAACATTTCCAGACCTGGAGTGTGTGGTACCCCCTTCTTTTAGCTCTTTATCACACAGAAGTGAGATTCCCACCTCTACTGTCATGTTCACTAGGCAATGCCTTTTTTTTTTTTTTGGCAATGCTCTTTCTAAAGAGATAGAGATTTTACTATTTTTTTTTCTTCCCCATTTGTTTCAGACCAAGTGGGACATGATGCCCTATGCAAAGTGTTTTCCAGACTCTTGCTTGTTTGAAAAGATTCTCACTTCCACTTTTACGTGGGAAAGCATGCCCTAGCTATTTAATTTGAAAAATTGGCCGGGCGCGGTGGCTCTTGCCTGTAATCCCAGCACTTTGGGAGGCCAAGGCGGGTGGATCACCTGAAGTCAGGAGTTTGACACCAACGTGGCCAACATGGTGAAACCCTGTCTCTACTAAAAATACAAAATTAGCTGGGTGTGGTGACACATGCCTGTAATCCCAGCTACTTGGGATGGTGAGGCAGGAGAATCCCTTGAACCTGTGATTCAGAGCTTGCAGTGAGCCGAGATTGCGCCACTGCAGTCCGCAGTCCGGCCTGGGCGACAGAGCGAGACTCCGTCTCAAAAAAAAAAAAAAGAAAAAAAGAAAAAAAAAGAAAAATCAGGGTATAGTGAAGTAAAGAAAGATAATAGCTTTAAATTTAATGATACAGGGTATGAAAATATCCATATTCTATGCTGCTGTTACCATTTTAAGCATACACATTTTATCACCTCACTCATTTACTTAAAAAAAATTTAACATTTTTCTAAGCATCTCTGTAATGCCTATAGGAACTTCTCTAATCTGATTTCCAAGGTGTCCTTATAATCTTATCTCCTGTTATGCTCTAGGGCAGGGGTTGTGAAACTATGGCCTGTGGGCCAAATCCAGACTACTGCCTGGGTTTGTAAATAAACTTTTATTGGAACACAGCCACACTCGTTTATTCATATATCGTTTATGCTTGCTTTAGTGTTACAATGGCAGAGGTGAGTAGCTGCAACCAATACTGTATGGGCTACAAAGCCCAAGATTTACTCACTGGTCCTTGACAGAAAACCTTTGCTGATCGCTGCTGCAGGAAGCCTTCTGTATCTGGCCACTCCTGTCTCTTCTCACAGTTCCTCTGCTTGCCGAACCTTTTCGTGCATCTGAGCCTTCGCACATACTGTTCCCTCTGCCTAAAAGCCACTCTCCCCTTTCCTACTTAGAAACTTCTGCTACAAGCTAGTGAGGCCCTGGTTGGTTTTTTCATCTTCTTTGTGAGACTTCTGAATTCCTCAAAATGTATTTTTTCCTCTTCTAGGCTCCCACAGCACTTTGTCCAGATATATATTAAAGCCCTTATCATTGTTATTAGTATCATAATTCACATTCTTGTGTTTATCTCCTACTAGAGTATGAGCTGTAGAGGATGGGTTCCATATCTTTATTTAATTCTGCATCTTCCGTGCATCCGTCCAGGAGCCTGGAACCAAGTAGATGCTCAAGAAGTCACTGATTAATAACTGGGGGTGTTGAATATTATTAACCAGTGCACAGAAAAGAGTGTGGGGGTAATGAGAAACACATGCAGCAGTTGGAGAAATTATAGAAGGTTTAACTGTAAAGTATTTAGGAATTATTTTTGTTCTACTTTTTCCCTGTTCTTTCACCTCCCAGATGGGGAAAAAATCCGAGGCTGAACAGGAGCCTTGACCAAGAAGACGGGGAACATGATGCCCAGCTCTCCTGTATCTCAGTCTGTTGTCCTTTCCATGTGCGACACCATCAACAGAGGCTTTTCAGTGGGGATGAACTAGGCACAGCATGTTAATTGGAGAGTTATTAGTAAGATTGTTAATACTTCTTTCCACAGTGGAAGAAATGGATTATTTGTTGGTGGACCAACTTCTAATAGTAAGTAGGAAGCAGATTAGAAAAGTTTAGCATTAGCTCTGTCTTTCATTTGTGGACCAATAAGTTGATTTTCTATCTACCTCAAGTTTTCCCTTTGAATAATAAGGATAATTCTCAGCCCCAAATACTGTCTTTACCTTCTATGAAAATATGAATACTTTTAAAAAGCTGCTTTGAATCCATAATGGCCTTTGCAATATCAGCTTGGTGACGTGGCTTGTTATGATCGAATTAATAATTGTCTCCTTTTTCATGAAAGATTGAATTCAATACAGAAAGCAGCATTTTTCAAGAGTTTCTCATATTTATCTGAGTGATGGTGATTTCATGTTGCTAGAGCCAGTTAACTGCTGGATGCTTCATGCTCTCCAATTGCCTAATGGGGAGAATTTGACCTGGCAGAGAGCCCAGTTGTCCATCTTCCTGGGGCTGGTAACCACTTATAGGGTAATAAAGGTGAACTTTAATTGACTTCCTAGACACCTCTTCACCGAGGGAAAGACACAGAGAAGAGGAAAGACAACTGTGAGTGCTGACGAACAATTTCTGAGATTGATAGGCAGTTTAGATCTAATTTTAAATAGTAGGAAAATCATATTTATCATCTCAAAGATCATATTTGAATGAGAACTTACAAACTAGAACCTCCCTTTTAATACTTATGAAATTATGTTTTAAGAGTGTGGCACTCATTTTTTTTTCCTTACTAAAGAGCTGGAAGAGATCACATGACACTGTCGCCTTTCAAGTTAATGGGCTTTTAACATCCTTTTGGCATGTTTTATAAAAAAAGAAAACCACTTTTACTGGATTTTCATTGTTCAGGCTTTGACAATAATACTTATACATAGTAATAATGTCAACAAAGAGTCGTATTTGCTTACAAACAGATTTCAATTGTTGAGAGACCAATTTACGAACGGTTGCTAGAAACATGGGCAGCATTTGCTATCTGTTCATAGAACTACTTTGCATTTAGGATGGTGTCCAAATAACAAATGCCTCTTCTCCCACAGAGGTCATTTCTTCTAGTAATTCCCACTCACAGAACGAGGTTTTACAAGGGGACATGTTTATACGCAAGGACAGGCTTTAATCAAATATATATGTATATATATGTATATATACATATATATGCACCATTCATTCTTTCTCATTCACTGTGAGAATACAGACACACACACACACACGCTACCCACTGCATCACTAATCTGATTTGTTACTTTCAAATGTCAATCAGCAAGGAAAATTTTAAAAATATAGATAGATATTTTGTAAGATTCTAGTCAATGTCAGTATTTAAACTCCTGGACCATATGTGGCTTCTCTTAGCAGATTTTGCAAAGGAAACTTACTCCAGTATGCAAGACTGTGAGTTGCTCTCTATTCCTGGGGTTTTATCTACCAGCGTCTGGGAATGTTTCGTGATGTGCTGGGTTTATTTCTGTAGCCATAGAAGAAAGATGCATGCTTCAATATTTTACAGTTGTCAAGCTCAAATGCCACTTGGGCCAATGCCTGCAGACTGAAGGCAAGACTTGACCAGACATCTTAATAGTAAACAGTGAATTTAGAACATGTAAGGAAGGAAGGTCCAATGTGAACCGAAAATAATTTAGAGGGTTTTTATTTTGGCAGCTGAGGTTCTGACGCCAGATGCCTGATTTTGTCTGAGGAAGACTGATGGTAACATTTGTAGTGGCTCTATTTAAGGAGAGGAAGTTGATGACTGATAAGAGCCGGGGCTTAGAGTCAGGACTTTGATGACTGGCGACAGCCATTTCCACAATTGTCCTTGGGGACTATTGGGTGACCTTTTGTTGCCTCCTCTGCCCTTTTTTTCAGGAGAATAGATTTCTAATTGGGCTACATTACAGGAGACTCAAAGAGTTTTCTTCGCAAGGAAGTTAGGCTTTATGTAAGTGAACTTCTTTTGAAGAGTAATCATTGGTTATTTTGGGAGGTATTATTTCTCCACTTCTGCAAATAAATAAACCAGTGAAGGGGGCTTAGAATCTCATCCATTTAGAACTTCATCCATTAAGACTTCCTCCTCTTGGTGCTAATCAACCAGGTTACGTTTCTCTCCTCTGTCCAATGTGTCTATAGGCTGTAGTTCCTAGCATCTTCAAACCTAGACAGACAGCTTCACATGAATCTGCAAGAAGCAGGGAGGGAACCATTGAGAATACCCCTGCAAACCATTTCTTGCTATTTCCTAGACTGTGAAGGAAAGATCTTGTCAAATAATTTCTATTCTTTCACTGGATACATAATATGTGGGAATTCAGTGCAAAATGAAAACATGGGGACTTTCGTTAAAAAATTATTAACAGATCAGGTGTGGTGGCTCACGCCTGTAATCCTAGCACTTTGGGAGGCCTAGGTGGGCAGATCACTTGAGGCCAGGAGTTCGAGACCAGCCTGGCCAACATGGCGAAACCCCGTCTCTACTAAAAATACAAAAAATTAGCCAGGTGCGATGGCACATACCTGTAGTCCCAGCTACGTGGGAGGCTGAGGCATGAGAATCGCTTGAACCTGGGAGGTGGAGGTTGCAGTGAGCTGAGATCATGCCACTCTACTCCAGTCTGGGCAAGAGAGTGAGACTTTGTCTTTAAGGAAAAAAAAAAGGAATTTCAAGATGGTAACAGCACAGTATTAAACCAAGCGCTGACCCTTCTGAACATGCGGTTCTGTGTGACTGCACAGATCTCACACCCATGAAGACAGCCCTGATTTTATCTTTCTTCCCTTCATGAGTTTCATGGGTGATTCTTACCTGATCTTAACAAACATTACTCTATGATGTCTGTCAGATATTAAGTTTCAGGTATGTGTCCCTGATGTCTTCTGATTTAACTCAATCTCTCAATGTATATTTGTCTCCTTTTCCTTCTCCTTCTCCTTTTAAAAAGACATTTTCTATAGAAGCCAGCTTTAATTTCCTTTATGGCCCTTTTCCTCTGTCATGACATCTGTTTATCTCAAAATTCTGGGCTGGTATTGAGCTAAAAGGTTCATGTTGGAAAAGTGTGACTGATTCTAAGAAACAAAGAGTCAAATTCATTGACAGTGGTTCTGCGTGGTGGGATCAGAGGCAGATGGAAGGGGACATAGATGGGTGCACGTGCAGCATGGAAGGATGGGCGGGTGCCTGACGTCCTTTTCAAATAAACAGTGGAGTACAGAGGGTCAGGTGTAAAAACAGTGACAGAATGGGACTTGGTCTGCCTTTATTCCAATTGACAAAGAAAATTCTGATGACATAAATACAAGAAGCTTTCAAGTATAAATACAAATATACTTGAAAGCTGACTAATGCACATTTGCTGTCATTGGTAGTGGGTTCCCCCAACATATTATATAGGAATTCTTTTCCATTATCAAAGCCCAAGAGAGGGGAAGAAGAGCTGTCTTTGAATGATTGAACATACTCAGGTCAGCAAGTCCCCCTCCTTTTCTCTTTACTGCTTCCTTCACCCATTTTTTATAAAATGACCATGAAGACCAATGGTGGAAGGAAGTCACAGTGAATGAAAATGGATGAATGGCAGTTCTCAGCCCTTTGCCCTGTGAATGGTGGGGTGGCAGTAAGGGGAGAGGGTAGGAGCAGGGCGGATGTGAGGGGTGGAGCAGTCTTAGATATTCCTGAGCATCCACTGGCAGATGCTTGCCCGTTCCCCTGAGAACTCTGTCCCTGAGGTCCAGCTAGGACATCCTCATGCTCCCTATTAAGCACTTTCTTTTCATCGATTAATGGATTGTGTTTTGGAATCAGGTTTTTACTTAGCTGCATAAATATGATGCAAAACCTTAACCATTGACTCCACTGCCCTTTCCTTATCAATAGTTGAATATGTGCCCTGGCCAACCTTCCATTTCAGCTGCCACTGTGACAGACAGTCCCTGTGCACATCAACACCCCTCCCTAGTTATTCCCAGTCTCTCAGCCTTTCTGGCTCAGGACTGTTTCCTAACCCACAACAGCTTGCACAGCCTAAACTCCAGATCGTTGAGAAGTTTTATGGGGGCAGAGGGAGTTAGTGCTTCTGAAGGTTCACCTCAGATAACAGGGGATTGCAGTCTGCAGATATGTGTCCCAGATTCCTGTCCTTTGGAGGCACAATTCTGAAATGCATTCAACAAGGGTCCCCAGTGGGATAGCTAGCTCCTTAACACAGCCTGCTTTCTTTCCTTCCTTCCCTGTCTCACTTGTCCTGACTTTCACTCCTGCTTCCTGGGATTGGTCATCTCCCAAATGAGCCGCATTTAGGCTCTGCTTTCACGTTCTGCTTTCAGAAGAGTTCAGACTAAGAGATGCCCCTAAAGTGAATAGGATACAGTTTTGGCCAGGCTAGCATGCATATATGGCAGACTTCTGCATGCATTGGTCCAACTGTGGCATTCCTTGGGGCAAAGGTCTTTAAACTGATAAGTAAAAGAGAAAATCAAAAAATTAGAGATATTCTTTACATTGAAAAGTTTCCCTTATATTTATGGCATCTCATTATGTATTGATCTATGCAGTAAACATTTCCAAAAGCCCCCTTCTGTCGGGCACCATGCTACAGGCTGGTGCTAGAATGAAAGCATTTAGTCTGTTAAAGAGAAACGATGCTAGAAATCTCCCCAGAGTACAACGAAGATCCCGTGGAAATGGTCAGCTGTGGGTCCACAGCGAGGAGTTGTACAGGATAAGTGGATGAGAGCCAGTGGGACAGAGAGAGGAAACACATTAGATGAGAGGATGCCTGGGCAAAGGCAGGGAGGCACAGACAGCCCCGTCCTGGGAGAGAACTGCAAGCAGCTGGGGCCCAGTTGGAGGCTAACTTAGAATCAGGAGATGAAAGCGGCCACCACATGTCCTGTGTGAAAGTCAGTGAAGAGACAAGGAGCATTGCTGAAACATCATGGGCACAGTAACAACCCCATTCCCCGTAAAGTTTGCACTTTATAAAGCGCATCGACCCCCAGATGGCTGCCCCGAATCATGGGAGTTGAGCACAAGACTTTTGATTCAGGATTCTAGGCTTTCAAAAAATATACTATACTAACTTTATTTTCATGTTTTATGAATTCAATTTTTTGTTTTAGTTAGAGCCTCAGGTGTACAAGATATTAGTCACTATCAAATTTTTTATGAAGCATTTATTCACAGCAAATCTTAACTTTCTTTGTCTTCTTTAGAAGAAAGGGCTCCAGGAATGCCTGCAATTCTTGAAGTAATATAAATCTAAAGCAACTTTACTGAAACTCGATTCATTGAGCCAGAGAAAGGTCCAGACTGCAGTTGATCTCCCATCCTGCCTCAGGCATCTCTGTCTGACCTCCTGCCACTACCAGTGTGCATCTGTTTCCAAATGCACTTCCAGTCTTGGCCACTTTCATTGCATTATTGATGTTTACAATGCCACAGTCTGATCAGTTAGATCCAAGCTAGCAGAAAATTCTGCCCAAATCTTTGGTAAAGATGCTACTGGAAAGCCCCTATTTTAATTCATTTTTCTATACAAAGACTTCTTCGTTCTTGAATTTAAAGATGTAAAGAATCAGAGCAGATGTCTCTGTGTGTGCAGTGCACACATCATGGGTAAGACCAGTCACAGTGTTGAGTTCTGCATAATCCATAGCCTTGTCCCTACAGGCCACTGCACCACCTTCTTCTTTTGCTCTAAGGAGCATGCTCACTGCCTGTTTGGCATGGAGTGGCTGGTAGAGAACCTTAGAGTCTAGTGGTTTCCCTATTCAGATCTCTGCTTAGGACTTTTTCAGTTCATTAACAGCTTCATCATGGACGCTGTCCTGTAGAAACAGTTGTATGCTCTCAATAGTATACCACTGGCCAGAGATTCCCTTTGCGCTATGCAAGATTGCTTTCCTGTGATGGCTTCCAAATTTTAAACTCCCTTTCATTTCTAAAATTGGGACTAAGCTTTATAAAATTCTAACTCTCACTGTTACACTTTTCTTTCTGATTTCCTTCTCTTTTTATTCTTAGGAAAAGGATTTAGTGGGAGAGAGTAGAAGAATTATTTTGTGAAAAATGAAGATTTATTTTGGAAACGAGCATAAGTGACTCTGACCAGAGAAGTAGGAAAAGAATGGAACATTCATTTCAGTCTGAATAGGAAATTTAGACTGACTGCATGAATGAGGATTTAATGAGAATAGAAAGCTGATCTGTGACTTGGTGAAAAGTGGGTGCCAAAGTCTGGCTTTGCTCTGAGGGTGCATTTCAGAGAAACTCAAAGGAATGGTATCAGTGTCTTCCCATCTGTTTTCTTATTCCAGTTTGTACTAACCTTCTAAAAACATTCATACTTAAACATGCACATGCATACTCTATTTTGGCCTTTAACTTGGGCAGTGAACATTGCGTAGTAATTATTGCAGAATTGGACTTGAACTGTCTTGAACTTTCTGCATGTTTGTTGCCCAATTGATACTATGTGCATCGAGCCTCTTCAAAGAATGCCAAGCAGAAGAACTGATTTTTGAATTTTCTTTAGAGAGCTCTCTATAGCTTCTGGTGTGTGAGGGAAGGTGGGGAGCGATTTGTTGTTACTTTCTGGGTCTGTTTTAAGTGCTCCTTTGGCAGCAGCCTGACAGCCACTTCGCTTTCATGTTTTTCATTTATCTTTGTTTTTAATCTTTTAGAGACAACAGCTGGATTCTGCTTTTAGTACTTATCCTTGATTCCGTGTCCTGTTCAGAGCCATTCCGGTGGGTTTGGATTTTTTGAAAGGCATGTGGCATCCTACTTGTCCATAGGATTTAATTAAAAGTTTGGCTTTTTGGAACTTGTCATTGGTAACTGCTGGAAAATAGAGCCAGTGAGTATCTCCAAGGAGTCGTAGACCTTTTTCTACCCTTGCAGGCTCCTCACCTGAGGGCTGAATGCTTTTCCCTCAACTCTGCTTTGGGGAAAGATCATAGACATACACTTTCCCTGAAATAAACTGCATTTGTTGATTTGTCATTTACATGAACAAGCCCCCAAAAAGGCTTATTTCCTTAGTTATTGTTCAAGATTTTCTTTGAATTTAGTTATTGCCAAAATGATTTAATTTTATATACAATATTTTACATAGAAGTAATCTACTTCTAATGTGGTTCTCTGAGACTGCCAATCTCGAATTTTGTGTTGACATAATTTGTCCCAAAAGTATGTGTTCAGGTCACCAAGGGCACTCAGAGATGAGTATCTTATTTTTGTATATGGGGAAAAAGGAATTGGGAGAGGAGGGGTAAAAAGAACACTTTCTCAAAACAAACAGACAGACAAACAAACCAGAATTTGCCCCTAAACCATGCAGAATGATTGGTTTACCTAGATTATGAATTGATAGGATGAGCTATATTATTACAACAATTTAGAAATTAACCCACTTTTGATCTGATTCCTTACATTCCCATTGCCCTGGCATCCTCTTCCATAACAGCTTTATTTGGGAAAATTATAGTGAAAATGGAGGCTTTTCTGTGAAATAAACGAGCAGTGAAAAAGAGAGATCATAAAGACGTTGTCTGAGAAGTCAACATTTTAAACATTTCTTTACAATCTTCCATTCTTATGCCAGATTACATGAACTGCCGAACTTCACACACATTTGAGGAATTTAACATAGAATAAGAAAACGGAAGCTACTGAAACCATCAAGATGTATTAACCTTCCTTTTCAGGTCTTTGATTTGAAATGTCCTTATTGAGATAGGACAGAATAAAATTACCCAGTGAATGAAGCGTTTTAGAATTTACAAGAAGATTTATTTTAATCGGCTTTTTATCCTCTGTTGAGATAAGATAATTTTCAGGATACATCATTATGGCACACTGATTTATAATCTACAGGTTAGAATATAACTGCAAGTTGTGTTTAATTCTCTTACTCACATTTTGTATTAAGCATATTCCTTTGTATACAGAGTTTTTCATAAACAGCTATTTAAAGCTATTTATATAATCAAAATAGTATTTATAGATATTTAGAAAATGATTAATCTTAGGATTGTGACAAAGCAGAAAACCTTATTATGTGGGTTTGCCACCAACACCATCCCACCCCCCCCCAAAAAAATCCAGTTTTGGTTAAGTTCCCTGAATGAGCGTAGTGAAAATTAGTTTCTTTTGGAAGGATCATACTATTGAAAGACTGATTTAAATTAGAAGGGCACATTGGGCTTGGCAGAGGGCATTGTGAAAAAGCAAAGCATAATTTTCCTCCAAACAAAGACAAGCTTGTTGGAGAGCATGCTTTATTGCCTGGAAATTCTATATATATGCAAAGTTGTTCATCAGTTCACTGTTGGGTTTTGTGTGCTTGGTTTCTCCTTTTGTTTGGAAAAATCAAATGCTGAGAAAAGTAAGCATAACTCTGCATGCTATAGGTACTGAGAAATCGACACATGCCAGTTCTCTTGGCATGCAGTGTTCCTGTGCGGTGAGCGGCTTAGGGAGGGATGGTCAGATTTGGGCTCCGTGTGGGTAAAATCAGCATATATGCTTCACCAGAAGCTGCCCAGAATTTCTGGAAAATGGCTTTCCTGCATCTTTTTCTGATCCCTCCCTCTGACAACCAGGAGAATACATGGGGCAAGTTAGGCCCACATCCTGAAGTCCACTCAGTGTTTTCTCTTTTTTTAACAGCTTCATTGAAGTGTAATTCACATTGCATACAATTCACCCATTTATGTTGTATAATTCTGCAGCTTTTTCAGTATGTGTGCAGCCACCACAACCAGTTTTAGACCATTTTTATTATTCCAAAAAGACACCCCACATCCCAGTTAGTACTCTCCTGAGACTCAGATTTGGGTGAATTAATTCAGTGAAATGAAGGTGATCATTCTCTAGGATGCTGGGTTTTTGGGGTTTTTTAAAAATATATATATATAGAGAGAGAGACAGGGTCTCGCTCTGTCACCCGGACCAGAGTGCAGTGGTGTAATCATGGCTTACGGCAGCCTTGACCTCCCAGGCTCAAGCAATCATCCTGCCTCATCCTCCCAAGTAGCTAGGACTACAGGCATATGCCACCATACCTGACTAATTTTTTAATTTTTTTTTGTAGAGACAGAGTCTTGCTTTGTTGCCCAGGCTATTCTCGAACTCCTGGCCTCAAAGGATCCTCTCACCTCAGCCTCCCAAAGTGCTGGGATTACAGGCATGAGCCACCATGCCCAGACTCTAGGATGCTTTTGAATGGGAGTTTTCATCTATTTTATTTTATTTTATTTTATTTTATTTTATTTATTTTATAGAGCAAACATCAGCCAGAGAGTTCTTATCTTTGGAATTGCCTTTTTCACTTCATGTCTTAGCTTCACGGCACAGCAACTACATTTAATACTCATCACATGTACTGTACTTTGTAAAGCACTTTCGCACAAGCTCCAGATGAGATGCCTGGCTGACAGTGGAACAAGGTTAGGGGTAAGAAGTTCCCTGGTGACTGGGCTGGCGGAGGAGAGACTGTGTAATTTCACAACATCACTGGGGTGGGTTGCAGGCTGCAGGCTGAGCACAGCTGTGTGGGGACTCCGGGGTGGCAATAGCAGGAGAGCCAGTGACCAAAGTGGATCCGAGTTAAAAAGAGGGATGTGGGACCAGGTGGATTTCTGTACAGGAGGTTGGGGGATTTAGAAGTCAAACATCCAGATGGAAGATCCTCAAAGCAGAAGCTAAAGCTCTGAAAGGGAGGTAGAGATCATGGTAGATATCCACATGATATGATGTGCAGGCTGGAGGAAGGAGAGGCTGGAGTGGGAACAGAAGAGTTGAGAAGGTAGCTGTTGAATCCTGTTCCCTGTGAAAGAATCCCGCCTGCTCGCTGGATACCCCACCTCCCACTCAGCATTACCAGACCGTCTTCTCTTTACTCCAGTTGAGTAGCTCAGGTGCTTGCTTTTTTGCCCCCCACCATTTTCTCTTAATACCTTTTCTCTGACCCACCTCACTCTGTGGACCCACTGGGACAAGCTCCTCTGGGCAACATCTTCCGTCATTGCAAATCCCTGACACCCATGGGTGAGATGAACAGGCATTGGGCAGGTTGTCTAGCTCCTTGGGATGTGGGCTGGCTGGACCTGCTCACTTGCACCTGGAGGAGGGTATAGAGGACAAACAAGAATGTCCTGGAGGGACAGGTGGGTAGGGAGGTTCAGGAGAGATTCCCCTGGGTCCTGGGTCCAAGTTCAGAGTCCCTCACCTGGTTGCCCTCCCTATGGGCCGCCACACATCTGTCCTGAAAGGTGTCACTTTCAGCTTCTGACACTGTCGTGGAAGGGAGGAGAGTCCTTTTTGTCCAGATTAGCTGTGTGCCACGTGTTTAGGTGAGAAAGTGGCTGGCAATGATGTCTCTCCCTGCAGAACTTCTAAGGAAGTTTTAAAAAGGCACTCCTCCACTCCCTCAGGTTTTCTTTCCTGCAGATTATCTTTGTTTTCCCCCAACTTAAATATACCTCACTGTATTCAATTATGTTGCTTAAAAGCTATGTATATATTGATGTGGGCAAAATGCAGTATTATTTTTAAAACACCAAGCATTTTATTTAAATCTGCAATAAAATCAAGAATATCTGTATGTTACAAATACTGAAAAACACACATTCATGTTTTATACTTTGGGTTTTCATAAGCATGGCACACCTGTATCATACTGTTTAGATTTTGTGTTGGCTGGTAAAAAGGTTGGTTGGTAGAAAGGTCGTTTTTCTTCTTCTAGTACTATAGAGATAATTTATAGGAAAGCCCAGTGTAGCTATTTTCTGATGAGAAAATTGGCATTTGAAGTTGGGTTTCTAGATTGCAGCAGAAATCTGTTTTAGTGCATGACCAAAGATTAATCCGCATAGGAAAGTGTTTGCAGCAGAAATCTGTTTTAGTGTGTGATCAAAGATTAATCTGCATTGGAAAGTGAGACTCTTGGCTTGTGTTAACATTAAAGGTTGGATATACGGTGTCCTTGGGCCTCAGGGAAGTCCGGTGTGGAGAATACAAGGAAGCCAGAATGTGCTTCCCAGAAAACCTAGTTACAGAAGCTATAAGGCTGACCCCTGAGGACAGTGGCCAGTGATCCAAATGACAGTGCCACAGGAGGCCAGCAAATTCAGACTTGACTTATGATGGCATTGAGGCCAGGATGATCCGTTTTTCTGCTGGGTGGCACCTGCAGAAGAGATTTAGCAACAGTGAAAGAACAAAAAATCGGACAGCTGATAGCATCAAGGCTCTGGGTCAGCTGTGAAGGGTGGGCTGCATTTCAGGCTAGAACTAGAGGTATGCAGGATAAGAGGTATCCTGTATGTAGGTATGGCAAGGAGAAGGCAGGCTGTGGACCGCATGTAGGGCCGAGCTCCATCCCAGCAAGGGAACAGACATGCTTATCAAGGAAAAAGGCCAAGCACGTGAGGTGGATTAGGGAACGCTGTGGCTTTGTTGCCCTGAGATGCAGCCCTTCCTTCCACCCTTGGACTCCTCCTCCCCTCATGCCAGATAACTGGACACATGGGCACCCAGGGATAGCTCTAGACCTTCCCTGACAGTGGGGACAGAGTTCCCCACTCCGAAGAGGACTCACTCGAGAGGCAGAGGCAGAATGGAGGACAGCAGAGCCTGGAATTGAGTTGAGGAAGACAGATGGACAGAATAAATGCAGTAAGAGCAACCATTTAAAGCTGCAACTCTGACTCCTTTCCATTTTTGGATAATTTTTAGGTTTTGGTTGCTGTTATTGTTGTTTAGAGACAAGCTCTTGCTCTGTCACCCAGTGTGGAGTGCAGTGGCGTGATCATAGCTTACCCTAACTTCCAACTCCTGGGTTCAAGGGATGCTCCCACCTCAGCTGCCCGAGTAGCTGGGACTACAGGCATGTGCTACCACACTTGGCTAATTTTTTAATTTTTTGTAGAGATGGGTCTTGCCATGTTGTCCAGGTGGGTCTCGAACTCCTGGCCTCAAACAATCCCCCTACCTCAGCCTCCTGAAGTGTTGAGATTACAGGCATGAGCCACTGTGCCTGGCCAATTTTTAGTTTTGATATAATTTTAAATATATCTAGCAAAGTTGCAGGAATAACACAAAGGACTTACCTAGAATTTTTCCCAAATTCTGCCAATTGTTTACATTTTGCCCCATTAGCACCAATCTCCCTTTCTCTCCTATATTTTTCTGATTGATTTAAGACATTGTACTCTTTTGCCCCCAAATACTTGAGCACATGTTTCCTTAGAGCAAGGACATTTTCTTATATAACCATAAGACGGTTGTCAAAATCAGCAAAACTGGTTCCTTTTAACACTAATAATAATACTCAAACACCGTCCATAATGTTTTATGATTTCTGTTCTATTATTTTTAAACTGTCAACGACTAAAGTTTTCATTTAAAATGTAATTAAGGTTCTTTTTTTCTTCCCACAGTGTTGAAAGAGAAAACACATACATTATTTTTTTTTCAAATATATTACATGGGAGCTTTTGCCAAGTTTACAGAAATACAATTGAAAGTGGAGTTACAACATAATGATACCAATTAGATAAAGTCATCAGAGAGATCAAAGGAATTTTCTGAGTGACATGCTTTATATCTGTTTACCTTGGAATTAAGTATTTACAGTGCTATCTCATTTTTGAGAATAAAACCGAAATCATAAGTGGGCCACACATGGGTTTTTTAAAACTAAATTTTCACCAATGAGTATATTTTGGCACTAATTCCGAGAGCACAGACTGGGCACTCTATTCCTCTGTACTTCCTTTTAAAATACAAAATTGATTAGTATCCCTAGATTTTGATGAATTAAATTTAGGTTTTGTTTTTATTGGTATCAAGTGATCATCATGCTTCCCCTGTCCCTTCTCTTAAAGCAAGAAGCTTATTCATAAAGAACATCACAGAGAGATTTGACCATGTACATCATATGATTTTAAATGGCTTCTTTCATCCTATCTCCAAATCACTAACATTATGTTTGTAGGTCTTCATGCATTAGGCTGATTTTTCTTTCAAGCATCTGTTTTTTGAATGAAAATGTGCCCTTTGGCAGAATCAATCTGAGAAACAATGATGAAGTAGAGGAAATGGGAACTAATATTTATTGTGTGCCTGTGTTGTGAGGAGCTTTACTTGAGTTATCTCATTCAGTCCTTCCATCAACCATGAGGGGTGCCATGGTAATTTTCTGCTTTATTATTGTGGAATCTGAACCTCAGAGTGGTTGAGAAATTCAATCAGTGATTCTTTCACTCAACAACTATTCCCTGAGAGCTTCTTCCCATGTCCCAGGCAAGTGTTCTAGGGTCTGGGTATGCACTGAGAGAAAATAGATGCCGTCCTGCCCTCCATTAGTCTGTGGTTAACAGAGGAGAAAAAGCATTGAGCCACTCCACACTCAGATGCGGGGCATAATGACACATTACCTGGGCATGCCAATGACAGAGACATGTTGCTGAGGGAGAGAATAACTGGGGGAGTCATGAGGACTGGGGGTTGGGGAAGGCCACGCTGAGGAGGTTATATTTAAGCTCAGGTGAGGAGAAATTGGCAAGGGCAAGTGGCAGAAGTACATTCCAGGCAGCAGGAGGCTTCAGGAGGAAAACTTCGTGTGTTGAAGGACCTGAAAGAGGGCAGAGTGGCTGGAAAGGAATGAATAGGGGAGGCGAGTGGGGGCTGAGGCTGGAGGGAAGGCAGAGGCCAGGTTGTGTAAGGGCTCACAAGTCTTGTTAACAGCAGTGGAGATTTGTAGAGCTGGGATTGGAGCCCATGTCTGCCTGGATCTTCTTTATTTATTTATTTATTTATTTATTTGAGACAGGGTCTCACTCTCGCCCAGGCTGGAGTGCAACGGCATGACCTCGGCTCACTGCAGCCTCGACCTCTTGAGCTCAAGTGATCCTCCCACCTCAGCCTCCTGAGTAGCTGGGACTACAGGCATGCCCCACTACAGTCAGTTAATTTTTGTATTTTTTGTAGAGACAGGCTTTCACCATGTTGGCCAGGCTGGTCTCGATGCCTGGATCTTTAAGCTTATATCTTCCCAACTCTCTCAGCACTGCCGTCTCTCATGCCCCACCCCTTCAAACATGTGGCACCCTAATATTCTCTTCCACACTATTTTGCAGAATAGCTAAAGCACCACTTTCATTATTGACACCTCCTAGCCTTTATGCTGGGGAAATGTAGGGCCTAATCTGTTATTTGATGATATAAAGTATGGGCCTGGGTGAGACTCATAAGAACATACCCTGCAGAGAAAACAGAGTTGAGATTTTCTAGAGTGGAGAGATGACAGAAAGTAGGATCCACTCAAATGACTCAAGGGTTGCAAAATTCCACCATAAACAGAGACTTCCAAAACCACACAGAGCTGTATTACGGTGATTCCTACTACATATATGCAGTAAGTATATATTGGCTTAGATTGACAAGGATGTTTTCAGGTTGTTCATGGGAACTTGGAGCAGCAATAATAGAAAAAATCATAATGGAGGGGAATGAAGAAAGTCACTGCAAACAACATGTGTGGGCAGAAAAGCTGGCGGAGTTTAGAAGGAATTGAAGTACAAAGTCTCGGCCAGGTGCGGTGGCTCAAGCCTGTAATCTCAACACTGTGGGAGGCCAAGATGGGTGGATCACCTGAGGTCAGGAGATCGAGATCAGCCTGATCAACATGGTGAAACCTCATCTCTACTAAAAATACAAAGATTAGCTGGGCATCGTGGCGGGCACCTGTAGTCCCAGCTACTCAGGAGGCTGAGGCAGGAGAACGGCGTGAACCTGGGAGGAGGAGCTTGCAGTGAGCGGAGATTGCGCCACTGCACTCCAGACTGGGGGACAGAGTGAGACTCCATCTCAAAAAAAAAAAAAAAAAAAAGAAGCCGGGCGTGGTAGCAGTCACCTGTAATCCCAGCTACTCAGAAGGCTGAGGCAGGAGAATCTCTTGAACCTGGGAGGAGGAGGTTGCAGTGAGCTGAGATTGTGCCACTGCATTCCAGCCTGGGCGACAAGAGTGAAACTCCATCTCAAAAAAAAAAAAAAAGTTTCTAAAGATGAAGAATGCCTGAAGCTAAGAAGTAGCATGTTCTGGGCCAGTGAGTGTAGAGAACAGACAGAAGTCACTGTTCTTCTGTAGTTTACATTTTAGTGACCAATGTGCATGGATATGGCAAAAGCTAAGAGACCCTATGGATACTGTATGCCCCCCGGGGGTTACTGGGTAGGATCAGACTTAAGACAGGTGAGTTATATATGAATGCTTCCTGAGAAAATTGGTCAGAAAATAAACTGAGAAATGCAAAGTGCCTCTGCCCCAATGGCTTCACATGTTGAGGGACAAAGCCAGAAGGGATGCCTCTGCAGTGGGAAGCCCAGGTGTCTCTGAGCCGGCAGTCTTCCTGCCCCATAAATCTCCACTCAATCCCCTCTACCTGGCATGCCACCCTTGGAGCAGTGCACTGCAGGGCGAGAAAGCAAAAACAAGATGATGGTAGTTTGCTCAAAAGGGTCAACAGTCATGGGCTATTACTTTCTGTGAAATGATCCTTTATTTTAGGTTTTTAAATGATCAGTGCATCCTAATTCTGTCTGACTAATATGTAGGCACTTTTTTGTAACTTCCATGTTTCCATGATTTCTATTACTGACATTATTGTTAATTTTATAAGAGCTGGGCTTCATGTGAGTTTTAATTCAGAATAATTATAGTAATATTCATCACCCCTTGAAGACTAATATGGTTGAATAAAATGTTGTCAGTCAACTGTTTCTCTGTGAACAAGGAGGCAATGGCTATGTTTTTCACTGTTCTTAGTCCCATTTATATGTTCACTGGACTGTAGTAGATTCAGACTTAGTGTGATGAGAGGTAAGGATTTACTATGCAATAACATTGCTAGAGCAAATTGTTTTACGACTTTCAATTAAGTAGCATTGACCTACTGTGTGTGTCTTGCTCTCAACTTGAGCTTCTGTAAGAGAAGCTTATGGTTGATTAATTACTCAAATATACAAAGTGTGCACTAACTAAAATTACACTCATACCAGTGAGCCCCTGAAATCTCTGAACCTTTTAGTCATATGAAAGGCACAAATGGGTTGAGTGTGCTTCAACAAGAAATCAGGGGCTTTAATATTATTAGCAATAAATAGTTGCAGATCATTTCACCTCTGCTTTTAGGAGTGAAGTGTCTTTAATTTTCTCTACCCGATACACCACTTCCCTCTCTCTTTCCTCCCTCTTTTCCCCATTTCCAGCCCCCTTGAGGTGCCACATCTAGGCCTGTCCTCCCCTTCAGCACCTAATACCTTCCTTGTTTTCCCATCAAAACCATCCTCCAAGCAGCAGGCAGGGCGATCTTTTAAAAACACCCATCTGTTCTTGTCACCTCTCTACTTAGAATGCTTCCTGTCACATGAGGATGATGGTTAAAATTCTTCCCGTGACCTGCAAGGCCTTCCCTGTCCTGGCCCCTGTGTGCTGAGGCCTCACTACCCTCCTGTCTTCCCCAATTCCCCTTGCCCTTATTCTCCACCCTACTGGCCTTCTTTGTCCCTTAACACTCGACCTGCTCCCTTTCTCCTTTCTCGCTTCCCCTATCCCCCAAGCCTCCTCAGCCTCAGATTCAATATCATTTCTCTGACTCCCAAATCTGAATTTGCCCTCTCCTCCCCACCCGAACAGGTTTTCAATGCACCCTATACTTTTTTTCCTTTCCGGCATCTAGCGTCATTGTGCGAATCCAGGTATTTGTACTGTCATGTGTTGGTAGCTGTCCTCACTAGCCTGCAAGGCCTGGGAGGGGTCCACCATAACTCCTCTGTCACCCCCCAGCAGGCATGCAGTCAATATTTGTTGACTGACTAAATGAGTGTGGATTTATTCTGCTGTTGCTGCAGGATTAATCTGACTGCCTTCTATGACTGAGACTTGGCTAAACTATTATTCTTCATAGGTAATAATTCTGCTTTCACTTGAGAGTACTTGAGGCTCCCTACATGTATGGGTCAGAATCTTGAACTGTCACAGGCCAGGAGGAGAGAGCATCTCTAACAGGGGGCTTTGTCCACAACTTTATCTGCTCGCTTGTAGTGTCATCCCAGTTGGGCTTTAGTCAGGGGCTCTTATGTGATTCAGGTTTGGAAAGCATCTTCTACTAGAGCTAAAGTTGTGATTCTTGCACTCCAGACCACTGCTCTCAGCAGGTTGGCCATGAATTAAAAATGGTCATAAATTGACAAGCAGAATTTTGCTTCCACGTAGAAATGTCTATAAAAGGGCCAAAGGATGTAATTAGGTATCACTGAAAGGGCTTCGAACTTATTTGTGCCCCATTATGCGGATGCTCTAGGAATCCAGGAACAAGGAAACAGAATAACTTGCCTTAAGAGGTCAACTCAGTCCAGCCAGTGATCTATTGTGGGAAAGGCAGTGCATGTGGCTTTAAACAGGTAAACAGAAAGCTTCTGCTTGCAGCCTTCCATTTATAACTGCTTTGCTTTTTGCCTTCTTATCTACCATGCATGGGTTTAAGAATTCTGTAGTACTCTGGGATTTTGGAGCCATGTGTTGTGTCCATTTTCATATCATCTAGAGGTTGTGAAAGAACTCTGGGCAAGAAACAGAAAAAAAGGGTCTAAACATTATGTCACTCTTCTAAGCTATTCTACTGTCTAATCATGAGGCTTTCAGAGAAAGTACAGATGACCTGTTCTTTGTCATGACAGTTTATGATCTCAGCTTTAGTATATTGGGAGAACCTAGTGGAACATAATGAATGGGACCTTATGATGAGACACATCCCCACATCCCCAGAACAGTCCTGTGTTATTCTTCCCCAATCCTGGACGCTGCCTCTCCTTATTCTGTCCCTATTCTGAGCACACCCCCACCCCAGGTGTTTGCAGCAATGCCTGTCAATTATCCCTGTGGCTTCCTGTTTTTAATGCTTTTCTGGTGCTGATTATCCCAGCCAAGGGGTTTCAGACATATCCCCAGGGAGCTTCTGATGCTTTCGCTACAGCCTGATGATAGCCCAGGAGGAGGGGGAAAGCAAGGGGACAGTTGTGGGAAGGGGTGTGCCCAAAGCTCAGGCAGCATCTGGGTGGGAATGTGGTAGCCGCTGGGTGCCAGCAGTTGCATGCCACTCTGGCCTGCCTGGTGGAGGCTCCTCCTTGGCAGTGGACAGCAGCTTGGAGAACACCCAGAAAAGGCCTCACAGAGTGCCAGGAAGGCCCTGACCTCCACAGTAGGGAGTCCTGCCTGCCAGGACCCTGTCTTCACTTGTCAGATGGCTCAGCTCAGTTCAAGCTGCCAGCCTTCCTTTCTTCTCTGCATCTTGCTTTGTAAACTGAGTCTCAGAAAGTGACATGCCTCTATAATGTCTCCTCCTTCAGGAGATGCCACCCAACTTTTGTATGCCAGCTCCTGGGCTACCTCTAGGCCATATGGAGACTTCGTGCACATTATAAAAAGGGGCTCCCTGCCCCAGGCAGGAGCAGCCCCAGGCCAGGGCTCAAGGCTTGTTCAGCAGAGCTGGGTTTATCCCCACCACCCCTTCCCCAGTCTGGTGGTTGCTCTGCCAGCCTTCCAGCCAGAATTCCTCAGTGCTCTTGATGGAGACAATTGATTGGCTGTGAGGTAGACCAGGTTTCAACCTTTCTAAGACTGTCATCTTTTGTTTCATATTAGAAAATATTAGTATAGTCTGTATACTAATATTGTATTTGTCAGTATAATAATACATTTGCAACTCAATCTGGGGACAGGCATCTGGCCTCACTGGCCTGAGGACTTCTGTCCCTTCCCATCCCTTCTTTCTGCCTTCCCTCTTCCCTCTATTCTGAGCCACAGGCACTTACTTTGCTCTAAAAACTGGCCAATTGTAATTGACAGGTTAATTTTTTTAAAGGAGTCTCTTAGTAACAAACAGCTCAGAGGGCAGAAAGGCTTTGCTTGTGTTTGTTAGGTTATTTCTGGGCTTTCTCTCTTGTGCTCTTCGTTTCTCCATCACTTTGGAACTTGTTGCTTTCTTGTTGAACTATTTTACCATGTGGGTGAAAAACAGGTGGTACATTATAAAATTATTTAAGAAAGTCTATTATTTAAATTCTTATTTTCCCACAGGTCCATTTAGCAGATGATCAGTAGGTGTGTTGTGGGTCATTGTATGCATATCAACAGCCTCAGTGATGTGAAGCTGTAATGCAGAAAATATTCTTTCTCAAAGCTGGAGACTATCTGGTTGGAAAATATCATCAAATATACTGGGGTTCACTTAATCCTTGGTTTATTGTTACAACTACCATTATTATTATTATTACTACTACTATCCAGAACCATTTACTAAGTGCCTGATATGTGCAGGGAACTGTTATAGATTTTATTTCTCATCCTCACAATGGTCCTGAAAGATGGTGCTGTTATCCCAGTTTCCTTACCCAAGAGACTGAGGTAAGTAACTGACCCACGTTCACACAAGTAGCATGTAGTGGAATCGGAATTAAGACCCCAGTCTTGTGTGATTTAAATGTCTGCACACTTTCCGTAACATCAGAGGTTCTTGGCTTTTTCCACTGAAGCTCCCAAATGCAGAGGAAATCAATACATAATGCCTGGGGTCTATACCCTTTGTAGCTAGAAGTAGCCAGCAGCCAGATCAGAATTTCTTTGAAGTCTCATGCTTTAATCTTTAAAATTTATGCAAATTTAGCTTTCTACTCCATAATATAAAAGTATAAAAATAATCCTTTAAACTACTTGACATAGAATAAAATTTGAGCTCCAGGAAGAGCTCCTGTTTATTCTTCTCACATCCCTTTCTGCTCTGCTGGGTCCCACACTGGGTGTCTGCACACCTCGGTTGTGAAGGTCAGCACTGCACTGTGATGCATCTCAGTTAAATTCTTACTACCAGTTTTTGTTGACAAACCTTTCCGTTAAGGTGAAAACTGTCACTTGGCCAAACCACAACCATAGAAGTCATCTTAACAGAGGGTAGAGTCCCTAACACTTCGTAGACAAATCCTAAATTGGTCTTTGTTGATGCTTCATGTAGATCTTTGAGTGACATCTTGTCTGGCTGGAAGTTTAGAGATGATCTAATCTTGTGGTTTGTAAACTCTTATTTTTTAGGATCCAAAGTCATTTTTCAAATGAAACTATTCTTGGAACTTTAATTTATGAAACAAAAAATAAAGACACTCTAGTGATCATTGGGGCTGAAGGCCATGCTTGTGTGGTGTGCCCTCGGCTGAGGGTACTCCAGGGAGTACAGATTCTACAGAATGGATCTAATTCAAAGCACTCATTTTACTGATGGGGAGACTGAAGCCAGAGAGCTTGAGGGACTTGTCTGCAATGACCCAACTGATTAGCAGTAAGGAGCCAAGCCGGCCAAGTGCTTCTAAGACCCTTGAAAGTCCTTGAGGTTTTCTTGTCATTTGAAGAATTGATTTCCTAACTGCCTTTAGAGGTCCTGGAGGGGTCCTGGAGGGTTTGGACAGGGAGTGTGCATGAGTCCTCCTGATAGGGGCCTCCCACGTGTATTAGCACCATGGCAGGGTGGCCTCAGTGTCAGGAGTGAGACTGGTGCCCTGGGCCTCAGAGACAGAACTCAATCCAGACTGGTGACCTGCTGCACAAGCCACCCACCTCTCGGAAGGGCCTTGTAGAAGCTTCTCTGGACATGAGCAGGATGCTCTGTAACAAAAGCCTGAGCCCTCCCAAGTGTTGCTTGAGGCATGCATCCTCAAGGCCACCACGCAAGAGTTTTGGAGTAACACTAGAGCTCACCATTCCCTTCTCCACCTCAAAGCACTGATTCAGTGTTCTACTCTGTTCTTCACCTGACTATTGATTTATCTCTGCTAACTCTCTATCATTGTAGGACTTGAGCCAAAGACATAGCTCTTTCCCAAGTGCATATAGCAATTTGAAAAACGACTGAGTGAGGTCATTGATGTTGTTAAGGTGTTAGAGTGTGTTGGGATCCAGGGAAAGGGTTTACAGGGGGAAGTGCACCAGGGCCCCAGAGAGGACATTGTCCAAGAGCTCAGCCAGGCCACCACACACCTCCACAGCCGGAGTGTGGAGGGCATGTGGGGGCCACATAAAGACCTGCTGAGTCACCTCGGAACCACTGCTGACCCCAGGTTTAAGCTGACTTGTGCTGACTTATATGTGCGGGCCTTATTGAGCACAGGCTTGGCAATCCCCTTAAGTTTCATTTTGATTTTCAGAGAACTTGAAGTGACTATTAAACTTCTATAAAGATATGAACTGCTTCACAACCTAGCATTACTGATATGGTCATCTCTCTTTTATTTTTTTCAATTCATCAGCTAAACACCAATAAGGCCTACTAGAAGACTGCCCAGTGTCTAACTCCCCAAATCCCTCTACCTCAGGAGGATTTTACAGCGGAAGGGAATTACCCCACCGCTGCATGGGATAATCAAAGAGAGAGGACTGTCTGCTCATGCCACTGTGGGCATGACCCTTGCTGCCAGGTGCCATGCGTGCTCTGTGATTTGGCTGCAGACCAGCCCCATCAGTCCAGCCCCTTGCCAGACAGACACATTGGGTGATTCCATGGCCTCAGTGTTTGCTCAGCAAAGAGCGCTTCAGGCTTGGGCTCCCAAAATTGTACCATTGGCTCTCATCTATTTTAGGCCACATAGACATGGTGCCATCTGGTTTAGCAGTTGTCACCTTGAAAACCTAGAATCCTTATGCCCCAATCCTCTCCAATAACCTCTAGACAGTTTCTCCATTGCACCCCATGAACACAAATAGTGTCTGCACACCACTTTGAGGGCTATAAACTCTACAGCTTCCCTGTTGAATGTGGCTCATTAACTTCCAAGGTGATCTTCCAGCCCTGCTTATTCATTGTAGAAGCCAGATCTTCCAATTGCATATATTTAGTCTCTACTATTCCTTTTATCTATTGTCTAACCAAACACACCAAATGTAGTGTCATGAAGCAACCACCATTCTATTATATGTATGGATTCCCTGAGGAATCTGAAAAGGGCACAAAGGGATGCCTTGCCCGTGCTCCACACTGTCTTGGCCTCAGCTGGGGAGACTTGAATGGCTGGAGTTGATCTGAGCACCTGGGGGCTGGAATCATTTGGAGGCTTCAGAGGCTGGCCTCAGTTGGACTGTGGAGCAGAGCACTTCGGTGTGGTCTCCCCATGCAGCTTAGCTTCTCACAGTGTGGCAGATGGCTGCTGAGAGGCAGCACCCCAGGAGAGAGCATTTCGAGACCAAGTGTTCCTGGAGACCAAGGAGAAGCTGCAAGGCTTCTTCTGACCTAACCTGGGAAGTCACACAGCATCACATCCGCTGCATCCTATTGGTTACAACAGAATCACACAGGTCAGCCCAAGTTCAAAAGGAGGGGAACTAGATGGTCCCTATTGATGAAGGAAAGAGAGCATCACCTTTCAGGAAAGCGTATGGGGTGAGAGATAGTGTTATATTCATCTTTAGAAAAGGCAGGCTGCCTCAGTCCACTGTCTGGCCACGACAGTTCACAACCCCTCCCACATCCGAAATGCACTCTGTCCTTTCTTGAGACTCCCAGAGTTGTTCCTGTTATGGCGTCAACTCAAAGTCCAGGATCCCATCAGCTAAATCAGATCTGGATGTGGATGAGGCACCTTGAATGCTGTTTCTTAGGTACAGTTCCCTGATGATGCTTCTTCTCAATCTCAGACCTATGAATGAAAGAGACAAGTTACGTGTCCCCCACACCCAGCAAACAATGGGTATAGGGGATAGGGAAACTGCAGCAGACATTCTCACTTAACACGGGGGAAAGGTTGGAATATGTGGCACATAAGTTACCAATCTGTAGCAATTCTGAAGTCCAGCTGGGCAAATGGCATCAGGTCCAATTCTAGTTTCCGGGAGTTGTTTTCTGTGGCTCCTGGCTTTTCTGCCTTTTTTGTTTTTTTGGAGACAGAGTCTCACTCCGTCACCTAGTCTGGAGTACAGTGGTGCAACCTCAGCTCACTGTAACCTCCACCTCCCGGGTTCAAGGGATTCTCCTGCCTCAGCCTCCCGAGTAGCTGGAATTATAGGCGTGTACCACCACACCCAGCTAATTTCTGTATTTTTAGTAGAGACGAGGTTTCACCATGTTGGCCAGGCAGGTCTCAAACTCCTGACCTCAAGTGATCTGCCTGCCTCGGCCTCCCAAAATGTTGGGATTACAGACATGAACCACTGTGCTAAGCCTTTTTTTTTTTTTTTTTTTTTTTTTCATAAGAGACAGGATTTTTGCTCTGTCACTCAGGCTAGAGTGCAGTGATCACAGCTCATTGTAGCCTGGAACTCCTGGGCCCATGTGATCCTCCCACCTCAGCCTCCCCAGTAGCCCGGATTACAGGTACACGCCACCAGGCCTGGCTAATATTTTAATTTGTTGTAGAGATGAGGTCTGGCTATGTTGCCCAGGCTGGTTTCGAACTCCTGGCCTCAAGCAATCCTCCCACCTCTGCCTCCCAAAGTGCTGGGATTACAGGTGTGGGCCACCACACCCAGTCTGATTCTGCCTTCTGGGTTTTTAGTTCTACCTTCTGAATCATGTTCTCTTTTCATAAAACATATTCTGTGTTGTAGCTGAGTAGTTCTCAGCCTGCTTCCTGCTCATAGAACTTGAAGGGTCCAAAGGATTCTTTTTATTAGTTACTGTCTCTGTTTCTTACAGTCCAGGATAGTGTAATTTGTTGAAAATCTTAATAGGTTTCTTATGTATCAATTTATCATCCATTTCATTAGACAAAACCATACCCATGTGCATCTTTGCATAAGCCTTTTCCTACTTTGAACCTTTTTGTGGTTACTGTGATATAGCATCCTTAAGATTCTTTTAAAAAGTCTTTTGCGTATCTAAAACAATCTGTGAAGCACCACCTTAAATCTTTCTGAAGTCTTAAAGCAGGGTTTTACAGTTGCACAGTTGGCCTCCTTACTCTGAGGCTTTGTTTTCCTGCCAATGCCCTATATTTGATCTTTGTCATGAGGCCCTTTCTAACTTTGAAAATATTTTATTGAGAGTGGTTAGAAATAGCTTTATTTTTGAACTCTGCAAGTCCTAGACCCTAATTTATATTTACTCTAAATTCTGAATACAAACTAAATGACTCCTTTGTTAGCTCATCTGTGTATGCACCTTAAAATATACAGCTAAGAGAAAGCAGCTGCCACGGGTATTTTTCCTAGAAGCCTCTTTGGCTAGATCCATCAGTTCCTCAGGGGCACTTTTCATTTTCCACATTCCTGCAGGCATCAGTTTTGCTCAACTTTCCACCACTGCAAAACAAGGGTGAGTGTGAGTGTCTTCCATCTTCCATTAATGCCTCCCTCACTCTTTTTTTTTTTTTTTTTTTTGAGATGGAGTGTTTGTCTGTCGCCCAGGATGGAGTGCAGTGGCACAATCTCGGCTCACTGCAACCTCCACCTCCCGGGTTCAAGCAATTCTCCTGCCTCAGCCTCTCAACTATCTGGGATTACAGGCGCCCACCACCATGCCTGGCTCATTTTTGTATTGTTAATAGAGATGGGGTTTCACCATGTTGGCCAAGCTGGTCTTGAACTCCTGACCTCAGGCGATCCACCTGCCTCAGACTCCCAAAGTGCTGGGATTACAGGTATGAGCCACTGCGCCCAGCCCTCACTCTTCTTTAAACTGTCATCAAATCTCCGCCAGCCCCATCAGGCTTCCTCCCAAAATTCATGCCACACATCTTAGGTTTTGTTGTACCACCACCTCACTTTCAGGTATCAAATTCTGCTTCAGTTATCTATTGCTGTGTAACAAACCATGCCAAACTTAACAGCATTTGCCAACCATCACTTCATTATGCTCACAGATTTCTGTGGGTCACAAATTTGAACAGGATGCTGTGGGGAATAACTTGTCTGGAGCCTCATCTGCGAATACTTGAATGACAAAAGTGACTTGAGTGGCTGGAGGTGACTTGGCTAGCTGGGAGCTAGAATTATCTGGAGGCGTCTTCACTCATGTGTTGGCTCCTGGGTTGGAATGACTCCAAGGCTGGAGTCAGCTGGGAGAGTTGACCAGAGCACTCATATATAAGCTCTTATTTTCTCTAACTCCTTCCTTTAAAATTTTTTTTGTTTTGATTGTTTGTATGGTTTTTTGTTTTGTTTGTTTGCTTGATGTCTTACTGGTAGAATCCTTTCTTCCATTTCATTTGAAATCTATTAGAGAGTTTAATAATACATGTAAAATAGAGAAGAACATCAACCGTTCTTGAGTCCCATGGAATAAAAGTCAAAAGTTCTAAAGAATGAATAGTGAAAACTAAGTCTCTCTCCTGCTTGACCCTCAGCCACCCAGATCTCTTTTCCAGAGACAATCCTGGTTACTACTTTCTTGTAGATAGCTACACATTTACAGATCTTTATGTATATTCACACACACAAACATCTTTTATTCCCACAAAATGGTATATACACCATGCTGTAGTTTGCTTTTTAAATTTAAAAGCAATAGATCATTCCATATCTGTATATAAGTAGTGCCGCTTCATTCTTTGTCATGGCGTCATACTATTCCAACAGCATCTATTTATCAAGAAATAACCCATCATCGTCTCAGAAAATAACCCAGTGTCCTCTACTAATGGACATTTGAGTAATTTCCTGTTTTGTTGTTGTTTGGTTTACTATTACATACAAGCACATGTGTTTGCATATGTATTCAGGTATTTCAGGAGACTCTGCATCTGCCCTCTGAGGGAGGTTCCTAGCTCAGTCAAAGGAAATATGCATTTTTTTTTTTTTTTTTTTTTTTTTTTTTTTTGGAGACAGAGTTTCACTCAGTTGCCCAGGTTGGAGTGCAATGGCACGATCTTGGTTCACTGCAACTTCCACCTTCTGGTTCAAGCGATTCTCCCGCCTCACCCTCCCAAGTAACTGGTATTACAAGCCTGAGCCACCACGCCCTGCCGGAAATATGCATTTTAAAATTTGATAGATCTAGTCACTGGCCACTGAATATGGAGGAAGAGAGGGAGGGAGGAAGGGAAGGAGGGAGGGAGGAAAGGAGAGAGGAAGAAAAGAGAAAGAGAGAGAAAGAGAAAGAAAGAAATATAGAAAGAAAGAAAGAGGGAGAAAGAAAAAGAAAAAGAATTACACAGATATTTCCAAATTGCCTGCCTCTGAGGTTGTATCATTTTACACTGCTATAAGCAATATATGAGATAACATGTTTGCTTCATTCTCACCAATAGTGTATTAGCAAACTTTTTGGAACTTTGCCAATTCTGACAGATTAAAAAATTATATTGCGCTGTAGTTTTTATGTGCCTTTCTGTTATGAGTGAGGTTCTGCATCTTTTCATATGGTATTTTCTTTTATGAACTGCTTTTTAAATTTGTGCTTGGAAGATGAAATGCTGCCCAAAGATCAAGCTATATGCAAATAATTTAGAAATCCCAATTTTCTGATACAGGTTTTATTCTAGTTAGCTGTTTTTATCCTAATTAATATAGAGCGTTCTGCAGGGTGCTACATAAGAATGAATCTCCCAGGTTTAGTGAATGTTTATTAAAAAGTGCCCCATCAATTTTAAGGACTGACTTTTAATTTACAAGTATAAATATTTCAACCCTAATTTGGTAATCTTCACTATACTAAAAGCTATTATGCTGGAACCCATGTTGTCTTATTAAATGAATTATTTTTAAATTCAATTCAGCAATGACATGAATGAAACAATTAGAAAGTTTGACCATCAACTGGATATTATGGATATATTACATTTTTTAGCTGTGATAATGGTATTGTGGTTTTATTTTGGGAAAAAGGAGTCTTTATCTTTTAGAAATTCCTGCTGAAATAATTATGGATTAAATGATATGATATCTGACCAGGCATGGTGGCTCAAGCCTGTAATCCCAGCACTTTGGGAGGCCGAGGCGGGTGGATTGCTTTGAGCTCAGAAGTTCGACACCAGCCTAGACAACATGACGAAACTCTGTTTCTCCAAAAAAAAAAATTAGCCAGGCATGGTGGTGTGTGTCTGTGGTCCTGTCCCAGCTACTCTGGAGGCTGAGGCTGGAGAATTGCTTGAACTGGGAAGGCAGAGGTTGCAGTGAGCCGAGATTGCTCGACTGCACTCCAGCCTGGGCAACAGAGTGAGACCCTGTCTCAAAAAAAAAAAAAAAAAGATATCTGAGTTTTGCTTCAAAATAATTCTAGAAGGGGTAAGTGGATAAATGTGTAGATGAAATAGTATTGGTCATGAGTTAATAATTATTGAAGTTGAATGTGGAGTATGTGGTATTCTATTTCTGTATCTGTTGAAATTTTCTAGAAAAATTTAGAGAGTCAACAGATAAGTACTAAGTTTGTATTATGTGCAAGACATAGTTCCCTGTGTTGAAGAAAATGGACATTTCACAAGTGCACAGGACCTTGTTTACTTGTTCTGTACTGTAAGCCCATCCTGAGACACTGTACATAGTAGATGCTCAATATGCACAAGTCCTGGAATCCAGCCCACACACTCCTGCCCACAGGGCTGCTCTAGTTTCTGTTCCCACTAGCAGCGACCCTGATGGTGTGCTCCACAAGACAGCAACAGACCAGGTGCTATGGGGCTTGAAGGAAGATGAAGTCCCATTCATTCAGGGATCAGGAAGGTGCTTCCGTGGAGCTCATGGGGATTGACATTAAGGTGCCTGAGACAAAGAACACCCGTCACATCCAAGACAATATTTCTAAGCAAAGTGAAATGGCCCCTTCAATTTAACAGGAAGTATTTCTTTTAGGAGCCTGTTAGGGAGTTGATAATGGTAATCAGGAGTCACAAAACCTTACAACATAACCAGTCCTCCTCTGCTCTCTCTGGGCCTGTTTTGTTTACAGTCCAGCATAATATGAAGCCCAGAAATGTGCTGCTTAGTGAATGCTGTCTCATGAAGAAGAAGAAGAGTAGATGGTGTCTCATAAGAAAGAAGAGAATCAGAATTAAGAAATGATCTAAGGAAATATCAGGAATGCAGGGTGATATATTGGTCCTGTGGGTATGTCTGAGTGATCACTTAGCTCAGAGGCTGAGGAAATCATGGTTTTAATGTTTGCATGCAGGTGTTGGTATAGTTGCCTCAGAATGAGAAGAAAAAAAGAATTTTTAAAAAGCTAGTTACATCTTGACTAGAAGAAGGCTCTTTTGAGAAAGCATCAATGTCACATTACAAACGCCATTCAAATCTACCAAATGGGCCAGATGGTTGCCCCAATACTGCGTGCTGCCAGCTGCCCATTGCTACAGATGAAGTCTTTTCTGCTGACGTTTGTGCAACCCACAAGCACACTATGGAGTGTTGATTCTTTTGATGCTATTTAACATGTATGTGTCATCGTAATTATAAACCATAAATATACATGACACCATGCAATAAATAAAATTGCCCAGCTTCCATTCTGAAAGGGGAGGAGATTGTATTTATGACCTGAGAAGAGAGGGTGGCTAATATTCATTTTCCATTCTTTATAAATGTCACTCCTCTCTAGTTGGATGCTCTAGATGGCTTTATTCTCACCAAGCCTTATCCCTCCTAAACAGCACAGACTCCTGGGGCTAATACCTTATGCTAAGTGCCAGGTTTTAGAGCAAGCTTGGACCAAAAGTCAGGCAGTTACAATTCAGGGGAATCCAAATAGTTCTAAATTAAGCTAAACTATTTTATTTGACACATAGCAAAAGTTCTTTGGAGGTCACATAAACAGGCAGGTGTACGATGTAAAAGGAAGTAGGTAAATGGAAGCGAATCAGCTTCTTTCAAAAAAGACATTTTTCTCAAGATGCGTTTCTTTTTGCTTTGAAAGAAGCTGATTCAGTGCCATTCACCTATTAAGTAGGCAGCACATTTATTTGTATCTGCATCTATAAAGCTCGAGTGCCTTTTCCCTCTACAAAAAGCTGAGCTTGTGTTTGTGGGGTTGGGGAGGGGTGCAGGGGGTGCTAAATATCCCACACAATTCAGGCAGCCACAGATATATAAATGAACTGGCGGAGATAGAACCCCTGCCCCCGGGCACATTCAGTCTTATTCAGGAAGACCTGTTTAGAACACAACATCTTTATTTCAGACCAGAGACCCCGGAGAACACGTTTCATGGCTCTATAAATACAAGGCTCAGATGCTTCCTGACACCCAGCATTTCTGCTTTTTAACATGTAAATAAATGAATGCTCAAAGCAAGTAAATATCTGTGTGTTGAGTTTACAATCTTGTCTTTCAGAAATATCGACAGTATATGGCAGGACTTCTGGCTCCTCCTTATGGTGTTATGGAAACGGGCTCTAACAATGACAGTAAGTGGAAAATGTGAACATTTTGTATCTAAAAATTTGTCGTGTGGTATGTGTTTTCATGTGACAAAAAATATGTCCTACACCAGCTTGTCAGAGTAAGTCTCCAGACTCTTTTGTGGATAAACAAACCTGCCAGCTCACACTGGAGATATTTTTAAAGAAATGGTTAATATAGTATTAGTCTGTGGTCTTAGCTGATAGAGAGAGGTATGCTCTGGTGCCAGCTGGAACTTTGGCATGCATAGAATACTTTCCCAAAATATCTTCATCTTATAGTGAAATCCAGTGTTCTTTCTGTGCCCTTTTAAAGAAGGGATGCACGAACTGTATTTGTTTCAGTCCCATCTGGATACCTGAGAGCCCCACCTCTTGCTTTTTTTTTTTTTTTTTTTTTTACTCTATTGATGAAGAGGAGAAGTGGGGTGAGTCATTTATTTAATCTTCTAAATCATGGCCTCTTCCAATTCCAGGCCTTTGTGAACTTTAGATGCTCTTACCACACACACACACACACACACACACACACACACACACACAAAGTGACTATGGAAGGTGACAGATAGGTTAATTTGCTTAACTGGAGTAGTCATTTCACTAGGTATATGTATATCAAAACAATGTGTTGTACATATTAAATATTTTTAATTTAAAACATCCAGGCCTTTTATGAGAGACCAGTCTCTGGCTGGTCAGCAAAGAAACGAAGTTTTTCTCTGTGGTATTCTTCTCTAGTGGGTCCCCACTAAACTCAAAGAAACCCGTATGTCCCCTGAGTCTTTTGATCTGTTCATGCATGTCGGAAACATGGTTAGCGTTCGTTACCATTGCATCTGTGAGTCTCCTTATGAAGCTCTTGTGTGTACACATATAACAAGATTCCAGGTCCTGGAGTCTTTGGAGCTATAGTGCTTCAGCCAGCAGACCCAGTGATGCAGCAGGTAGTCCCTGCATCTTCAGAGCCACAGCCAGCCACCCTTCAGATCCTCTTCCTGGATCCTAGAATTCCCACCCTCCCTCGCTGACCAGTCACTCACTGCAAGAGATCTCTCTCCCTGCTTGACCGCAATCCTGAGTGAACATCCTCATTTTCCTCCCCGCATTTCACTATTTCTATGCAGCCTCTGCCCTGTCTCCCCATTTGCCTTCTGCTTTCCTGCAGAGGAGGAGGGTGGGAGGGACAGGTTCATCCTTCCTTTCCTCTCTTGTTCTTGCTTTCTTTCTCTCCTGGCTGAGCCAGGGATGGCTGGCTAATTAAAGCACCTGAGTTGCAATCCCAGCAATGCTGTCTTCTAGCTGACATCTGGCAAGGCACGTAGTCTCTCTGTGCCTTGGTTTCCTCAGAGGGTTGTTGTGAAGATCAAGTGAATCAAAGTATGTTGTTTCAAAGGGTGCCAGGCATGTAAAAAGCTCCCAAATGGCATAGGCTATTTCCTCACCTCCAGTCACTCTTCGACCCCTCAAAGTCTGGATTTTGCCCCATACTTCTTGAATAAACCACTCTAAAGTTACCAGTGACCAACCAATAACCAGACCTGATCATTCCCGTTGCCCACGTCCAGACTCCATTCCGCCTTGGCTCCCGGGGCACCACTGTGTTATCCTGGCTTCCTCCTCTCTCTCTGGCCACTCACATTTTGGTCTCTTCCATAGGTACTTCTTCCCCCGCTTATGGAAGAGTTTAGCCATGGCTTCTTTTCTCTTTCCTTCTCCATACTCACTCTCCCCTCTTCCATGGCATCCTTTCCTGCAACTGATACAAACACTTCCCAAACCAACACCTCTGTTTGATCCTTCCAGGGGCAGCCTAAGTTTCCAGGTGACCTCAGGTTCTTTTTCTACCTGGTTGTCCTGCTGGCCTCTCAAGCTCAAAATGTTGATAAGGGAACACATTCTGATTCCCGCAAAACCAGCCCCTCCTCTGGAGAGGCCGGTTTCTGACAATTCCATTGTTCTCCTCTTGTGCTGGGCTCCAAACCTCAGCCATTTTGGACTCCTCCTTTCTCTCGCCATCACCCCTGCTTGCCCGGGCCCAGCGCCCTTCCTTTGCATGTTCACAGTCTTCCTTTCAGTTCCCTCTGCAGCCACCTGGCCTTGGGCCTCATCTCTTTGGATTTTAGGGCAGAGATGAGTCAACTGGCTGTGAACCTTCACTATCTCACCCTTGGTCTAGTCTAGGCCTGATTTCCCCAAGACATTTTTTACTTTTTATTATGAAAAATTTCAAACATACAGAAAGTGGAGAGAATGATACAGTTAACACCCTTATTTTCATCACTTTCATTTAACTGATGTCAATAGTTTAATACTTCAATATATTTCTTAGTAGTAAATTAATATGCATTTTAATATTATTTTTGACATTTTTTTTCTTCTAATCACAATCACATATACACGTCACTCCAAATATGTCACCAGGCATTTTTGAAAATAAGGACTTTTTCATGTGTAACCAGAGCACCACAATCACACCTAATAGCTGGCATGATTTTCCTTAGTAACATCCGCCACCCAATCCATATTCAAATGTTCCCAACCGAATGTCTTTATTGCTGATTGCTCAAACTGGACTTCAGTCAAGGGCCATGCTATGGTCATCTGGTGTTATGTCTTAAACGTCTTTTAATGTTAGACAGTCTCCTTCCCTCCTTTCTCCTGATCATATCACTCTGCTGCTTGAAACCTTTCAATGATCATCCATTGCCTGCCATGGAAGGTGAAATTCCAAGACTATTAATGTCTTAGCCCAACTGTCAAGTTCCTGTGTGGCCTCAAATCACCTTTTCAGTGTCATTTCTCTACAGATACCCTAATTTCCAGCTACTCATATATGGTGATTTGTGCAACTGTGTATTTATCTTATTGAACCTGCTAGAAAGTAAGCTTCTGTTATATCCCATAACCTCATACAATCAACCCTAGTTCTTTCAGATGGATGATGGATGGGTGGATGGATGAATGGATGATTTGGGATGAGCTTCAGAGTGCTGACCTGAGGCCATCCTTCCTCTTTCTGACAGACCTGGGAAGTGATAGCGAGCCTGTTAATACTCTCTGTTTCAGAGAATAGCTCTTCTCTGCCTCTTTTCTGACTGCGTTTTTATGTCTTGTGTGGTCCCAGGTGTGGATCAAAGCTTCAATTAGGGAATGTTTCCAAAGTCTCTTTCATCCTCACCCCTCCTGCATTCTGTACTACTGCCTACTAGGATGAGCACTCAGGTTTTTTGCTTTTTTGTTTTTGTCTTTGTTTTGTTTTTTTTTTAGTCAGGGTCTCACTCTGTCACCCAGGCTGGAGTGCAGTGACATGATCATTGCTCACTATAGCCTTAACCAAACCTGGTTCAGGCGGTCCTCCCAAGTAGCTACAGGCATGCACCACCATGCCCAGCTAGTTTTTTGTGGAGACAGGCTTCACCATGTCGGCCAGGCTGCTCTCGAGCTCCTGGGCTCAAGAGATCCACCTGCTTCAGCCTCCCAAAGTTCTGGGACTACAGGTGTGAGCCACTGCATCCAGCTAGCACTCAGTTCTTTTAATGCTGATACTGTAAATCCTGTGTAGCTCCTTGTGTAAAAACAAAATGTCCTGTTTACTCAGAATTTGGATTATTGTATTTTTTTGTTGCAAACCACCTCATACTGCTCCACTAGTTTGAAGATAGGTGCAAACCACATGTAAAAATGACCTATGCTTCTGTCTCCTCTGTATAAGGTCACAGAACCTCCCAGTGTGGCCACCCTTACCAGGGGAGAAGCCTGAAGGAGGTAAAAAGGAATAGGACTGCCTGTAGTAGATACTCATGAAATGTTTGTAAATCAATGACAAATGAGCAAATGGATGAGTCATTAGCCTTCTAGCTCGGAACACTGAGATACCCCTGGAAACAGCCTCTGCTGTGCTCAGACTTGGCTTGGAGATAGCAGGAATTTGCTTTGCTCACAATGGAAGTTGTTTTCCAATGTCTTTCATGTGCTACTTGCCCCAGCTTCAAATCACTAGAGCCGAGTGGAGTGGTTTGCAAAGTAAAATCACAGCATGTGAAACTTAGGAGTTAATGTGCCTTTCCAAAATTCCGAGTGTTCTGGTGCCTAAATCAGTGGAATTAGTTGTTTTCATGGTGAGAATGAATCAGTGATGGGTATTTACCTCTGTGAAAGTAAACCATATGGTAGACGCAAAATAAGCCTGGGTTTTGGTGTCTGGGCACATGGCCCTGCTCCTGATTCATTGATTTATTTAAGCAGCATTATATAAGTTTTTATATTTCTAAGCAGCATTATGTAAGTTTTCACGGAAATGCAAATTGAAAACACTGAAATTTTACTTGGTTTGGTTCAGCAAAATTTCAATTCCACTTTACCGGTTGATTATACAATTCATGGCCTCTCTCTGTCTCTTTTTCCTCCTTTAGGGATTCCTGACAAGGAGAACGTGAGTAGCTACTCTCTCTGCCTATCTTCTAAAAATTGTTATAAGGTAAAAAATAATCATGGTAACCCTACCAACAAAGAGAGCTCTTGACCCACATTCAACAGAGCAATAAATATTTTTCTAATCTCATTCTGGCATCTTTGGCAAGTCACTTTGAAATAGAAAGGGGAGAAGGTTGATTGCTCTGACATGGTCGTCACGTGTCCCTGATTTTAACCAGTCTGAAGAAAGGTTATTCTAGGGGCAAATGCTACAATTGCTAAGTGTTTTCTTTTTCTGATGATGCATACATGGCAGTCAAACAAATCATTAGCCTAATAGCATATAGAAAACTAGTTGTTTTTCCTTAGCAGGAATACAAACTATGAAATTCAGGGTCAGTTGATGAATTTGTCTAATTATATACAAGTGCACTAGTGTTAACATTTCTCTTTGGAAACTGAAAATGATTAATTGCTATAATTGTTTCTGTAAAACTGTATTCTTTCTGTAAAAGAGTAGAAGGTTTAGGACAAAGATTTCACCAAGAAATAGCAAGCATTCCAAGAGTGGTCATGGTTTAGTGGCATACCTTTGCATGCAAATAATAATAGTATTCATTCTATTAACTAACATCTAAATTTAGACAACAACATGGAAGGGTTAACGATAGGAGTATGCAGTGATTGATTGGGAGCAGTGCTTGGTTGGCTTTCAGATGTGTCACCTTATAATTGTGTCCTTTGATTGCTGTATCCAAGTGGCAACGTTACAGGATTGTCACCTTTGCCTTTCTCTGCTTTCGGTCCCATGTCTGTGGGAAGATATACTCTCTGAATTCAATTTAGATTATTTCCATATCCGTTCTCAGATATCAGTCTCTGGCTTGCTTTAGCTCTTCCTCTTTTCATAGTATTAGTTTTAAAAGGACTGGTTGGGAATTCTAGCCCACTGCTATAGGACTACAAACTTGGGAGGTGGGGGTTGATTTTGGTTTTTGTTTTTTTGTGATGGAGTCTCACTCTGCCACCCAGGCTGGAGTGCAGTGGTGCAATCTCAGCTCACTGCAACCTCTGCCTCCCGGATTCAAGTGATTCTCCTGCCTCAGCCTGCCGAATAGCTGGGATTACAGGCATGCACCACCACACCCAGCCAATTTTTTATTTTTAGTAGAGATGGGGTTTTACCATGTTGGCCAGGCTGGTCTCGAACTCCTGACCTCAAGTGATCCATCAGCCTGGGCCTCCCAAAGTGCTGGGATTACAGGCATGAGCCACCACACCTGGCCAGACTTGGGTTTAAGACCTAGCAGTGTCACTTCAAATGTTACACCAAAATTTACTTCGCTTGGTCTGGCAAAGGTTTCAGTTCCTAGCTGTGTGGTCTTGCCCAAGCTACTTGATTTGTCTAAACATCCTCATCTCTTCTTTAAAATGTGGATGTTACCTTAAAAGGAAATTATGAATATTGAATGAGATAATCTGTGGAGAAAGCACAGACAAGTAGAGTAGGTAGGCTCAGTAAACATTGGGGCTATTAATGTGGTTAGTATTTTCTCAAGTCTTGTATCATTTTCTAGCTACTCTTCACCTCTGAAAAATGTCCTACCCTTTAATAAATTAACTGTCCTTTTGCCTTTTATGGCTGCCCCTTCTTCAGTGAACCTTGCTATTGATATTTAAAAAACTTTAAAAAAAATCTTTGTATGTTGAGTCAAGCTCTAGAAAATCAGGCTCATAAAGATTCTAAAGGAACAAACTGATCTTGCCACCATTTTGGACATGGATGTCCCAAATTATCCATCCTACAACAAATAATACACAAATCATTTGCCAAATAAAGAAGACAGAAAGGCCTTGTCCTTCCTCATCAACAGACTATCAGTGATGTGGGGAGCTCACACAGAATGTCCAAGCCCTGGGAGGGCTGAAATGTTCTAGGCTCCAAAAGGAAGTGGTCGCTCTTGGGCACCCAGTGACCTTTAGGTGGGATCCCCCTGCAGTGGAACAACAGGCACAGGGCTCTAAGCAGAGGGCTAACAGCTGTCATCATGTAGCTCACTTTGTGACAAAATAGGAATTTAAAGTTTGCAGAACAATGAGCTCGTCAGATACAATGAACTGTTAGCATGTTGTTCTGAAAGATCTGGGGAACTGGCCAGGCCATCTCCCTAATACTAGTAGTAGTATATATTTATTTGTATTTGTCTAGGCTATTGTAGGTCAGATTCTATAGCAAACAGAGAACCACACTTTAATTCTCTATTAGCAAATAGAGTAGATGTATCATCACCATGTGTTATTAGGAAAGCTCTCCAATGCCATCAGTCAAAGTACAGCAAATGAAATGAAAGACATTCGTGAGCAAAGTTGAAGCGCTAGAAAGATAAAAAGAAGCTTAAGAGCCTTAAAGTGGTGTTAATTGAAAATGTTTATTTCGTAGGAGACAAGTTGTATTATGATGATTTCTTTTATCCTTCAGCTTCTTTAACTACATGCTGGGCAATATTATATTCCCCTTATGTTTCAAAATAACAATAATATGCCTGTGGACTGAAATAAAAACATTTAGACTATTGTTTCAGTGTCCAAACAGATTATTTGTAGAAAAAAAAAATTCTCCTTCCCAGCTTCTCATCATTTTGTTAATCACCATGTTTAACTGTTTTGTTTTTGTTTTTGTTTTTGAGACAGAGTCTCATTCTGTTGCCCAGGCTGGAGTGCAGTGGCATGATCTTGGCTCACTGCAAGCTCCGCAGTGGCATGATCTCAGCTCACTGCAAGCTCCGCCTCCCGGCTCACGCCATTCTCCTGCCTCAGCCTCCTGAGTAGCTGGGACTACAGGCACCCACCACCATGCCTGGCTAATTTTTTCTATTTTTAGTAGAGACAGGGTTTCATGATGTTAGCCAGGATGGTCTTGATCTCCTGACCTCATGATCCGCCCGCCTCGGCCTTCCAAAGTGATGAGATTACGGGTGTGAGCCACCACACCCAGCCACCATGTTTAACTTTTAATAAAATATGCACACATCAACAAGTGCTGTTTGTGGCTGCCTTGCCAGCTACATTTTATTCTCAGACTCAGGCTTACCTTGCACAAAAATAAATTCCTTTTCATATATTGCACCTTTGTAGGAATAAATGGATGGGCAGCTACTTGCTGGATTATTTTGTCTACTATTTATTATAATTGATGGAGACATCATTTAATGTGAGATAATACAGGATGCTGGAACCTACAAAATATCAAGAAAAATGTTAGAAAAACAACCACGCAGCCAGGACACATAGTGAGACTCTGTCTGTACACACACACACACACACACACACACACACGCTGAATGTGGTGGTGCACACCTGTAGTCCCAGGAAGATCAGTTGAGCCTGGGAAGTTGAGGCTACAGTGAGCCATAATTGTATCACTAGACAATCTATCCTGGGCAACCGAGTGAGAAGAAAGAGAAAGAGAGAAAGAGAGAAAGGAAGAAAGAAAGAAAGAGAGAGAGAGAGAGAGAGAAAGAAAGAAAGAGAGAGAGAAAGAAAGAAAGGAAAGAAGGAAGGAAGGAAGGGAAGGAAAGAAAAGAGAGAGAAGGAGAAAGAAAAGAAAGGAAAGAAAGAAGAAAGAGAGAAAGAAAGAGTAAAAAAGAAAGAGGAGGGAGGGAAGGAAGGAGGGGGAGGGGGAGGGGGGACAGAGGGAGGGAAGGGAGGAAGGAAGGAAGGGAAAGAAAGGACGGAGGGAGGGAGGGAGGGACGGAGGGAGGGAGGGAGGGAGGGAGGGAGGGAAGTCAGGCAGGCAGACAGGAAGGAAAGAAGGAAAGAAGGAAGGAAGCAAAACCTTGGAGCCAATAAAGCAAGTTGATTATTTTGATAGGGTTGTGATTGTTAAAGGAATTCTCTTTGATCTATTAAAGTTGTATTTGTTTCTGTCTTTTATATGTGCTATACCTGACTGACTATGTTTAACACTGAAGTTAAAAATCACAATGATAAGAAAGCTTGAATGTTGAATGCTGAATGTTACAGTTGCCCTTTGGAATAATGACCCTGTCTTTAATTTTTGGCTACTTATGCAGATTGTGTTGCTTATTGTGCTCCATACTTCTGAAAGGGCAACTGCTATGGGGTTTCCTAGTTTTAGAAGGTAATACTTTACTTTAGTGTGGAAGGAGCTGGAGAAGTAGACTCACGGAGATATTACAACATAATCTCATTTCCTAATTTATAAACATCTTGTTTCCCAGAGGATCATCTGGGGTCCTCATTTTTTGTGAGTTTTTTGTTTGTTTATTTGTTTGTTTGTTTGTTTTTCAAGATGGAGTCTCGCTCTGTCACCAGGCTGGAGTGCAGTGGTGCAATCTCAGCTCACTGCAACCTCTGCTTCCTGGGTTCAAGTGACTCTCCTGCCTTAGCCTTCTGAGTAGCTGGGACTACAGGCGCGTGCCACCATACCCAGCTAATTTTTGTATTTTTAGTAGAGACAAGGTTTCACCATGTTGGTCAGGATGGTCTCGATCTCTTGACCTTGTGATCTGCCCGACTCAGCCTCTCAAAGTGCTGGGATTACAAGTGTGAGCTACCGCGCCCAGCCCGAGGTCCTCATTTTTTAGGCAGTTATAGTATTGATAGTATGATTAATAAGCTTTTTGCTAAATACTGAAGAATGCTTTCTCGCTATAAATCACCATCAATGTGGAGCTCAAAGTTGTTTCCCAAGTGCTAGAAGAATTCCTGCTAGTAATTAGTAATGACCCAGCCTGGAGATCATCTCAAACCACTTGGCAAGTCTCATCTTAAGGAGATTACTTAAAGCAGGAGTTTCTCAAACTTTAAAAACTATGGGTCATTTATATGAAGAATAAGTTTTAGAAATTATTATAAAGATGTAAGGTTTCAAATGGCAACTAGTAAGGAAATAAGTTTCACAGTTTGTGGAAATTCTCATTAAGGGAAGGGCAGTAGAATAATAAGAACCTTTTGACTGTGAGGGTCAAAAGGTTAGGAATTTGGGGAATTTTTAGGGAATACAATAACATTTATTTAACTTTATTGTTGCTCTTTTTTAAGGTTAGAGAGAACAAATTAGAATATTTTCCACCTATTATATGACAACATTTTATCACTACAGACTGGCTAAGACAATGAAATTCTGGGCCAGATAAAGAAATAAGAAATTATGTATCCTCATACAAACTTAAAACATTAAAAATTCAGATAATTGATGGCTCATGCCAGTAATCCTAACTACTTGAGAGGCTGAGGCAAAAGGATTGCTTAAGCCCAGGAGTTGAGGCTACAGTGAGCCAGGATCGTACCACTGCACTCCAGCCTGGGTGACAGAGTGAGACCTTGTCTCTAAAAAAAAAAGAAAAAAACCAACAATCAGAGATAATTCCATAAGGCTGTATAAACCCTTTCAACTCCACCTTTCGAGGACCAACTGAATTCAAACTGTTTTCTGTGGAACACAGTTTTTAAAACCCTGCTTTACATGATTGATCCAGGCTGAACCTATGAAGACACCTTGGCCAGTGTCACCGATGTTCCCCTAGCAGTTGTGTCCCTCTGCTCTAGGGTACCAGTGGCCTCACTAGTGCCATTACCGTTCTGAAACTCACGTGTAACTGGCCAGGGTACAAAACTTTAATAGGAGAGTGAAACCACAAAATGCTGAAGCTTTGAAAATCTTGAGCCATCTTGTCCTGATTTTGAAGGACACATTGCTTATCACCCAAATGAAGATTAGATTAGCAGTGCTGCTGGCCCAATCCTGTGAGCTGTGTAGTGTGTAAATACTCCTTTCATTAGCTGGCCTATTAGAAAGCGTAACCCCCGAGCCAGGACTTATTTTGCCCCACCTTCTAGAAAATACCGTGACTTCATGTTGAAGGTGCCAAGAACAACTTCAGCTCTCCAGTCTCTGAGGAAATGTTTGTTTTTGTACTTGTGAGTTATGCATTTTATGGGGCAGACTGTCGTTGCTGAATTTCTTTCTGCTTTTTATTCCATCTGTTCCTCAACTCTTACAAAAGCTAGCCATACCATCTCTCTCTCTAGCTTCTGAAGTGGTAAGCTAATTGCATTTTTAGGAATGACGTGTAGTTGTCATCCATCTAAATGGTAAATAGGAAATGTAGGTAATACTCTAGAACTCTGATCCTTCTGTTGTCAGTTATGCCGTGTGTTGGTTGCTTTTGAATGTCCTGGACATTGTTCCTAGGACCTGCTTGCCGTGAGTTTGTTGGTGAAAGGAGATGTATTGGGGTGATGATTCATTGCTATATTTTAGAATTATTTTTGTAATACTGTGAATTACATTTGGTGATTGTTTTAATATTCTATGTTTGGTTTCTTTGCAATTTTTAAAATCTCTCTTATGAAATAGAACTTTTTAATGCTGCCGCCATGCTGACGATTTTCTAGGGTTGCAGCTGAGATATACTGCACGGCCCTGCTTTGAATATGCTCCCTCCATCTTCAGTCATCAGAATTTGATTTGGCAAGCTATCCCAGATAACCTGTGTAATGTTCGATAGTTTAATAATAATAATAAAAGAAATGAGTTTCTCTTTGGCCAACAGCTTCTTCTTGCTCTCACTTAAAACATTTCACAGCCTTGAGATGCAGCTCAGAATTGTTCCACTGTCAGCAGGGAGGGAGGAGTGTGATGTCATGTTATTAGTAATGTACACAGCTGCTGCTTCCAAGCTGTGGGAGAGTATATTGCTGTCTTCAGAGATATTTTCTCCTGTACTGAAGGCAATTATCGTCATCACCAGTTACTTTGGGCTGCTAGCATGTTATCTCAATTAACTGTGAGAATAAAATAGATAGTATCCCTTATGTTTGATGTGTTTGAATTTTTATTGTTTTGAGAAACTGAGAACAAATTATTTGCAAAATATGTCTTATGGTTAGCAGAAAAAATTATAGTGTTCTCAGATTGGATAAACTAATCTAGTGTTGACATGTCATTTAGGGTTTAGATTCTCTTCTACCAACAATTCTGTGTCAGGCAGGTTCCCTAAGTCCACAGATATTAAATATTCCGTAGTCACCCTCTTTACCTTTAGATGACATTACATTGAAGACAGATGACAGATAAATGCACATATATATACATATACACATAATATATATAGACACATACATATGTATTTGTACATGTATAAATATGTATATAGCAATTTCAATTCTTTAAAATTTTCAGAAAAGAAAATGGTCAAATCACCTTTACTAATATGGTCCAGAATTGTTCAGAATTCCTATTGCCAGTTTTTATAAATGTCTAAATCCTTTTTAGTTTAATTTAGTTTTCTTTTCTATTTCCCTTCAGCCAAAGAATGACTCAGAAACACCCCTGGAATATACCACTGCTTGCTTGAAAATCTTCAATTTAATGAACATTTATTGATCAATCTCAGGCCGTCATATAGGACTATGAAAATATGGCACTGCAGCCTAGACAGAAGCACACGTGAACAAATAAGAACAGTGAAGTATTGTGGGTGCTCATGTCATCAGGGTAGTGTGGCCTCAGGACAGGGATTTAGGAGCTCTTAGGGTTTCAGTTAAACTCCCAGCTCTGCCAATTTCTAACATGGGAACATGAACAAGTTACTTAACTGCCTTACTCATTTGTTTCCTCATCTACAGAAGGAGAATAATAGTAGCATCTTGCCCAGGGAGGTGTTCAAGAGTATTAATGAGATAATGTATGCCAAGGACTTAGCCAGTGCTGGCCTCTAGTATCTGCTTTGTGGAGACACATAGTGGGGCTGTGAAGTTCTTGTTAAGAAGAAGGGAAAGGGTTCAAAGTAGCCCCACAGAGGAGGCAATGTCTGGGTGGGTGCTACCCAGGGGGAAGGAAAACAATATGCCAGGCTGATAGCATTGCATGAACACAGGAAAAGAGTACCCGAATTTTCTCTTCTGAATTATTTTGGGCACTCTTCTTTCTAAGGATCCCTTTCAAAGTTATAAAAACCTGGCTTCCAAGCCATAGGCATTCCAGTGTCCCAACAAGACACCTTCCTCACCCCTCCTCAAAGAGCTTGATCTATTTTGAGTCTGGAGGGGGAATTAGCTTGAGTTTCCCCCTATTTTACTTCTCAAAATCATGCCTTCTTTTTTAAAATACAGAACTAGCTTGAGTTTGGAGGCTATTGTTCACTCTGACCTCCAGCTCCTTTTCCGTTATAATTACCCAATCAATACTCCCTCATTTCTGTTGTTCTCTTTGTTTGCCCCCCTCTTTTGAATGAATTACTTTGCAAAGCTTTCTATTGAATTTTGCCCTCTTTTTCCTTTTCTGTTTGTCAAGGTCATTTTAAATTTCAAACTAGCTCTCCTAACTGCCAGCCACCCCCACTCAATTGGGTATCATTGTTAAATTTGATAAGAATGTTTTTGATTTGATTCCATATTCAAGGCATTAATAAGCATGTTAAATTTAGCAGCATTCAGCCCAGTACCTAAGCCTGTGGGATTCAATTTGTTTGTGCTAATTTATTTGCATACATGATTTATGATCACCCCATCCAGACATAAAAGAAACTTGGGAAAACATACCATGAAAATTCTGGGTAAAACAAGGGCTAAGTCATTGAATTCACTTCTGTCATGCTTTTCACTCAATTGTAGTTTGAGGGAAAAGGAAGACAATAATTTTCTTTCTGTCTCCAAAGACATTAGTATGACGGGGTTCAATACTCATTCATTGTTACAATCCATGTCCCTAGAAGCGCATGTTTGCCAGTTCCCATCCCTGACACTTAATAGCCAGTGACACTGAACAAGTCACTCATTTCCAGGAGCTTCAGTTTCCTCACTGGTATAATGGTGATCTGACTTACCACAATAAAAGGATTAGTAAGATCAAGCCAGGCCGGGGTGGGGGGGGGGGGCGCTGGGGGGCGGGGGGACTGAACAGGTGGGAGGGGATTCCAAAACTCGACAACGATCTCAAATAGAAAACATTCTATTCAGTTTACATGGAGCGTAATTCTAGATAAGATCACATCCTGTTTCTATAGCCTCAGTCCCAGGATATTTTTCTAGCTTGCGGGGAGCTCTCTGAGGCAGGCCTGTGGGTTCTGGTGTAAGTGGAGATTGGGCCTGGAAAGCCTTAGAGAGGTGCTCTTGCTTCCTGTTGGCACTTGGTTCAATTCTCAGTTCTGGGAAGACTTCAGGACAACAAATGGAAAGTCATTCATCTTACCGTCCTTATAAACTTGGCTCAGACAGGAGAATCAGAAATTCCCAAGTCACACCAAGTGCTCCTCTGGTGCTGTAATTTGATAGCCCAATCCCAAACAAAGTGAGGAAGCCACACCCAAACCTTCCTCCAAAGTTAACCACAAAGATGAACCGGAATAGACAGTGAGAGCAGGAACACAAAGATAAGCTGGAGAAGGCAGCTGGCTTGTTTGGGGCACATCGGAGAGTCATGGATGTTATCACAGCAGCCCACCCAGGACCTGCTAGTTTTAGGTTATGTGAGATTTTTTAAATCTTACGTTTAACCAATTCTCCTTTTATAAGTGTCAAAGCATTGCAGTGTACAGCTGCCTAGTAAAAGGATTTGTAACATAGATGCGTAAATGGTTCTGTCATTCAATAATATAGTCTCTTAAATAACTGAAACAGGTAATGCTTCCCTTTCCCCTTCCCGCCACTCCTCACACCCCTTGACTCCCATGCGCCCCCCACCCCCACCCCCATGCGCCCACCCCCAGCTTTATATTTTGTGTGTGTTTTCTTCCTTTTTCTCAATTTGGTGTTTGGCATATTCAGAAAAACACGTGGGCTCCCTCTGGTGGTCATTCCGGTGTTCATGCATGTCTAACCTTCAAGTTTTAGTTACATGGCACAAGATATTTGGATGAAAAGTGGAAATATTCGTAGTAAATGTTATTTTCGTTTGTAAGATTCCTAGTACTTGGAAACCACCAAAATAACCAGCTCATTCACTCATTCATCCATTCATATGTGCACATATATAGTCTTCCATTCTCACATATTGTTGATATTTGACTTTGCTAAATGCAGCATGGTCTGGTCTGCAAGTCCATACAGAACAATTGAGTTCCAGTCCTGTAAGTTAAACAAATTTTCTCAAGGAATGGGGCTGTTAATCAGCGAGTTTTTATGGAATGCATACAGTGTATTAGACCAGGCATTGTGAAAAATAATTTGTTGCTCACCACTTAAAAAAATATATGAACAAGCTTTTTAATAGTTACAATGTTATATTATTTCCTTTTGTTGTTTAAGTCATATTCCCATTTTATTTCCTCTGTAGAAATTTATTCTACTGTAACATATTGTTTTCCAGGCCAGACGACTTTGTCATCCAGATTCAGCTATAATAACAAAGACTCAAACACAACAGCATCTTAAATAGATTTTTTTTTACTCATGTTAACTGTCCAAATATGAGCTGCCCAGGGTTAGTATGGCAGCTTCACGTTGTAACGTATGTTTGTGGTTGAAAGTCTCTTATGGATCACCCTCATACTGAACATGTATCAAAAATATGTACTTACATTTAAATATTCGTGTTTTAAAATCTCTTGTGACCATGGGTCTTTGTTACAACTTTTCTTCTAGATTGGGTTATGACAATAAGTAGATATATATGATCATCAAAACAAAATAAATATTTTATAAATTTCTGTACAAAAATATTAAACATTAAAGTAAATTACTATTAGAAATGCATCACTGGGTGACTTTGGCAAGTGTTTTAAAAAATGAATTATTTTAAAAAGTCAATTCATGCACCTTTAGGAAATAGCAGTTTCATTCTTCTTCTTGGTTTTTATGTATGCAAGCACTGGGAAAACTCATTCACAAAAACAGGAAGCTGGGGATGGAAGTAGTTTTAAGTAACAGTGTTACTAAATTCTTTGAATCCTAGGAAACTCATGTGTACTTCATGGAAAGCTAGAGATGATGGTGGAGTTGCAGTGGAGGGGTGGAAAGTGTTGCATTCTAGATGGATTTTGGAAATAGAGTCCATAGGATTTTCTGATGGATTAAATACGAGGTAAGAGAGAAGGTACTCAAGGGTGACTTCAAGGGTTTTGGCTTGAACACGTGGAAGGATGCAACTGCCATCAACCGAGGGAGGGAAGGATGAGAGTAGAGTGAGTTTGGAGACCTGGTTTCAAGGTCACTGTACTGGGCAGTATCCAAGAATGAAGTGTAATTAGATTTTGCACCGTACCTGGGTGCAGTCAATAGCTAATAATGATAAACATTAGACTAGAGAGTGATAATGAGATAGATGATAGGGATTTGCACTGAGTAGGACATGCCCGGGGCATGAATGAAATTAAAATGTGTCTGAAAGAAATGAAATAGTGAGACATAAATCAGCAAGAATTTTATCAGGTTTGTTTTGGCCCCTATTATATGTTATATATTTAAGATCATTTATGTTTATAAGTTAACTCTGTATATGCTTTCAGGTTTCACCTTTTAAATTAATAAAAGGTTGATTTATGTAATATTTCAAGTAAAAACAGCTAAGTGAACCAGGCTAACAAAGCATTATTTAATAGACATCCTCAGGGACCTAATTTAATGAATAGGTAGAGGGATGTTATTTGTAACTTAGTTCACAAATTATTTCTATATCAATAGGTGACTTTAAATGGCTATGGCCTGCTTGAAACAATTTATTCTCTTAATTAGTTTAATCATTCTTTTTACAGTTTCTTACACTACTAAATGGGTTAATAATCCCCTTTTTCCTCGAGTAAATTAATTTTTCTAGCCTAGTCACAAATTTCTAATTAATAAAGTTTGAAGGAGTGAGGTAATTTTGTAATAGTAGAAAAAATAACTATATTTTATTTAATCCTTTTTTTTTTTTTTTTTTTTGCGTCAGTGTCTTGCTCTGTCACCCAGGCTGGAGTGCGATGGCGCAATCTCGGCTCACTGCAACCTCCACCTCCCAGGTTCAAGCAATTCCCCTGCCTCAGCCTCCCAAGTAGCTGGGATTACAGGCACCTACCACCATGCCCGGCTAATTTTTGTATTTTTTAGTAGAGACTGGGTTTCACCATGTTGGTCAGGCTGGTCTCGAACTCCTGACCTCAGGCGATCCACCTGCCTCAGCCTCCCAAAGTGCTGGGATTACAGGTGTGAGCCACCACGCCCAGCCCTATTTAATCCTTTTTATATTAACTAACATTTATTAAGTTTCTACTGTGTGCCATGTAGGCTCTGGAGATACAAAGTCCAAAAAGTCCAATGCAATGAATTATTGATTTCAAAGAGCAAACCACCTAATGGGGGAGAGAGTTAGGTAAACAGATAATTATTTCAGAATGTGGTACTGAGAGAGATTGGAGTTAAGTACCAAAATACCAAAATACACACTCTAAGAGCCTTGTCACCTGAACCGGAAGGATTTCTGAGACAACAGTGTTTCATTTCATCTGTTATGGTTGCAGTAAAAAAAAAAAAAAAGTTTCAGTATTCACCCCCTACCCCAACATTCTCCCTCTTCACAAGGCTACAGAATTATTAGGTTACTATATAACTCCAGACTTCTAAGTTACAGGTGGCAGAAACCTGGATCAAGCCACCTCGAAAGCAAACAAGAGGCCGGGGGTGGTAGCTCTCACCTGCAATCCCAGCACTTTGGGAGGCCAAGGTGGGAGGATCACTTGAGCCTAGGAGTTCAAGACCATCCTGGGCAACGTGGTGAGGCCCTGTCACTACAAAAAATACAAAAATTAACCAGGTATGGTGGCACGCACCTGTAGTCCCAGCTACTTAGGGGACTGTGGTGGTAGGATGGCTTGAGCCTGAAGGGCAGAGGCTGCAGTGAGCCAAGATGGTACCATAACACTCCAGCCTGGGTGACAGAGCCAGACCCTGTCTCAAAAAAACCAAACAAGAGAGGAAATTGGGGGCTCACAGTGGAGCCGGCCTTGGGCTGATGGGAGCCGAGGGCTCTACCTCTTATTGCTTCTTCCCCAGCCTAGAAACATGGCAACCAACAACTCCTGGTTCCTCCCCAGCAGCCACAATGAGGGAGCATAGGGGAAGGACTCTGGCTGGCCTATGGTGGGTCACATGGCTCCCCTATCCCCACTCTGAGCCAGTGTAGGTGGGATACACAGCTCTGTTGATGGGGAGGTCTGTGCCCAGAAGGAGGAGGAATGATGGGAAATGAGAGCTGTTCATTGCTTCTCGCCAGTGATGTGCATTCCGCTGACTGCCAAAAAAAAACTGCCCCCTTCGATTGATGTACTCAAATAACATCATAATACAATCAATATCTCATTTCAGGCTAGTCTTCATGCCTTGTTTATGAAGAAGTTGGACAGATGCACTTATGAAAATAATGTTGACATCACATTTTGCAGTAGCTGTGATTGCAGTGAGCATTGTGCTTTAGAAAGTCCATGCATTCCATTCAGTCAGAATCAAATTTTCTTTTGCACCGTCTTCTTAACATATATGATGTGGAGATTAACAAGGTTTGATCTTAAGTCTTTTGAGCTACTTAGATGTGGATGCTCCAACAGTACATGACATAAGCAATCTCATTTTTCCTAGAATATTACAGGAATTCTTCCTTTTTAATCTACATTTTTAAGTCTTTAAAGTCTGTGAGCCAAATTTACATTCAGATAAGTCATTGATATTTATACTTTGTGCCTAAAAGGAGGTGTTTCTGCCAAGAGTCTAAAATGAAGTCTAGCAAGATGGTGGATTTTAAAAAATAATGGTTATCTCTTTCTGATCATAAATATAATACTTATGTTGAATATTTGGAAAAATAAGTGTTTTTAAAAATCTTCCTCATGCCTGTAATCCTAGCACTTTGGGAGGCCGAGGTGGGTGGGTTGCCTGAGCTCAGGAGTTCAAGACCAGCCTGGGCAACACAGTGAAATCTGTCTCTACTAAAGTACAAAAAATTAGCCGGGCATGGCGTGTGTGCCTGTAGTCCCAGCTACTCTGAAGGCTGAGGCAGAAGAATCACTTGAACCCGGGAGGCAGAGGTTGTAGTGAGCTGAGATTGAGCCACTGTACTCCAGCCTGGACAATAAGTGAGACTCTATCCCCTGCCCAAAAAAACTTCTGTAAATGCTACCTCCCAGAGCTCTGTGTGTTTATATAGTTAACATATAGGAAAATGTATACAAATAGAAACAAAATTTAGTTTACACTGTATATATAGTTTCATATTCTTCCTTTTTCAATTAAATTTTTTTAAGGATTTTTAAAATTAGTTAATATTGTCTCAACCGTAATGTAGAATGAATTTCCTCTGCAATACATTTTTATTGTTTTTTTTTTGCAATAATTTTTTTTAAATAGCTATTTGTACCTTGTCAAAGTTACTTTTCATACCATCCCTGTCCCATTACTGGAATTATTTTTTGTTATATTGCTGTTGCTCTTCCTTCGTTCCTGATGTTCCTAGTTTTCCTCTGGTATCATTTCTCTTCTGCCTGAAGAACTTTTTAAAGAAATTCTTTTAAAGCAGTTGTGATGGCTACGAATTCTAAATTTTTTCTCATCTGAGAGAATCTTTAATTTGTCTTTATATATAAGAGTATTTTCTTAATGAACAAATATTGATTCATTATCACCAACTAAAGTCCATAGTTTAAGGCTGGATGTGGTAGCTCACACTTGTAATCCCAGCACTTTGGGAGGCCAAGGTAGGAGGATCACTTGAGACCAAGAGTTCAAGACCAGACTGGGCAACACAGTGAGACTCCTCTCTCTGCAAAAAAAAAAAAAAAAAAAAAAAGTCTTTTTTAATTAGTCAGGCATGGTGGTACCTGCTTGCAGTCCTACCTACTTGGGAGACTAAGGTAGGAGGATCACTCGAGCCCAGGAATTTGAGGCTGCTGTGAGTTATGATTATGCCACTGTACTCCAGCCTGGGCAGCAGAGCAAGACCCTGTCTCTTAAAGAAAAAAAAAAGTCTGTAGTTTATTTAGATTTCCCTCATTTTTACCTAACATCATTTTTCTATTCGAAAATTCTATCCAGGACACCACCTCACATTCAGTCGCCATGTCTCCTTAGGCTCCTTTTGGCTATCCATTTCTCAGACTTTCCTTGTTTTGGATGACTGACAGTTTTAAGGGATATAGGTCGGGTATTTGGTAGAATGTCCCTCTATTGGGATTTGTCTAATGTTTTTCTCAATATTAGACTGGGGCTAGGGGTTTGGGGAAGACCGTATTTTCATCACATCATATCAAGAATATATACTATTAGTATGACTTATCACTGTTGATGTTGACCTTGATCATCTGGCTGAGGTAGTGTCTGCAAGTTTCTCCACTGTAAAGTCAGTCTCCCACAACTCCTGCCCCGCTTTCCATACTGAACTCTTTGGAAGGAAGTCATCGTGCACACAGCCCACACTTAAGGAGCAAGGAGCTAGGCTCCAGCTTCTTGATAGCAGAATAGCTACATTGTTTGGAATTCCTCTGTGAGGGGGATTTGTCTCCTTTCCCATGTTGATTGGTTTATTCTGTCATTTTTTTTATATCACTATGCACTCATGGATATTTATTTTATACTTTGGGTTATAATCCAATACTACCATATTAATTTTATTGCTCAAATTGTTCCAGCTTTGGCCACTGGGAGCTCTTTCCCTTGGCTCCTGTATTCCTTTGACACACTCCCATCACTATGCTTTGTTTTATTTTGTTTTATGGAGCACTGCCTTACCTGTGGCACAACTAGTTGCATATATATTCTCGGCTCTAGTCCCAGAGTCAGCCATTTTGCCAAGGATTCTTGGTTCCTTTGATGAAAGAATGGTGTTAGCAAGATCTTGGCGCTAGGCGTGCTGTTGCTACTAGGATATCTTAAGCCCTGTCATCTGAGATAGCAAGGAAATACATGTGTGCATCCTAACCTGTGCATATACACATATCTGTAAGTACACACACACACACACACACACACACACACAGACAACCATCTGTATCTATGTTTGGCTAAGCATGACTTCATACTGATTTCTCCAACTCTAATCCATTACCACATGGATCGTTCTAGTCCTTTCTCCTTGCCTCTTTGTAACCTCCCACTCCCAACAGTGAGAAATTTGGCTTGTACCATCTGCCACCTATTTATTTAACTGTCTAATTCGCATATACATTTACAGTGGTTTAAACTGTTTGCCTGGGCCCCCATGGGAAACAAATGTTATCAAGTAGAATAGAGCACTGTGTGCAGTGTCCTTGCCTTCAGTCTCTCACGCTCCACTCATTTCTTAAGTCAGCACCTTCCTCACCTGCCTCTGCTCTGCCACTCCCTTCGTTGAAGTTATTTCATACATTTATTATACAGTCAAATTATTTTGTCACAGTATGCATTCCATCCTGGGATACCCTAACCTTCTAAATGATTTTTAGAATTTGCATATATTAAGTTTTACTCCTTGTGCTGTAAAGTTATATGAGTTTTGACAGATGTCTAGTGCCATGTATGCACCATTACAGTACAGTATCATACAGAATAGTTTTACTGCCCTAAGCAATTCCCTGTGCTTTACCTATTTAATCTTCTTCCGTGTCTGAAGCCATAGAAACCACAATTTGTTTACTCTCGATAAAGTTTTGCCTTTTCCAACCTGTCATATAAATGACATCATGCGGCATGTAGCCTTTCACTTAGCAATATGCACTTAAGATTCAATGTCCTTGCATTGCTTGATAGTTTATTTCCTTTATCACTGGATAGTGTTCCATTATATAAATGTACTACGGTTTATTTATTTATTCTTCTCTTGAAGGACATCTTGGCTGCTTTCATTTTTTGGCAATTATGAGTAAAACTGTTATGAATATTTGTGGGCAGATTTTGTGTGAACATAAGTTTTCGAATCAGTTGGGTAATTCTTAGGAGCACAATTGCTAGATTGTGTGGTAACACTATATTTAGCTTTGTAAGAAACTGCCAAACTGTCTTCCAAAGTGGTTGTACCATTTTGTTTTCCCACTAGCAGTGAATGAGAGTTCCTTTGTTCTGCATCCTTGCCAGCTTGGTATTGTCAGTTTTTTAAAGCCATTCTAATAGATATGTAGTGGTATCTCATTCTTGTTTTTAATTTCCATTTCCCTAATGACAGATGATATTGAGTATCTTTTCATATGCTGTTTGCCATCTGTCTTCTTTGTTGAGGTGTCTTTTGCCCATTTAAAAAATTTGGTTCTTTTCTTATTGTTTGGAGAATTCTTTGCATATTTTAGATACAAGTCCTTTATCAGATATGAGTTTTGCAGTCCAGTCTGTGGTTTTGCTTTTCATCTTAACAGTGTCCTTAGTAGAGAAGAAGTTTTTAATTTCAGTCTAGTCCAACATTCATTTTTTTTCTTTCATGGATTATGCTTTTGTTGTTGTATCTAACTTATCACCAAACTAAATGTCATTTAGATTTTCCCCTGTATTTTCTTCTAGAAATTTTATAGTTTTGTGTTTTACATTTAGGTTTATAATCATTTCTGAGGTACAGATGTGTGTATAAGGCATAAGGTCTGTGTGTAGATTCATTTTTTTTAGCATATGGGCCATCCAGTTTTTCCAGCTCCATTTCTTGAAAAGACTGTCTTCTCTCCATTGAATTGTCTTTGTTCCTTTGTAAAAGATCAGTTGACTATGTTTATGTGGGTCTATTTTTGGACTTCACATTCTGTTCCATTCATCTACATGTCTGTTCATTCACCAATATTTCACTGTCTTAATTGCTAGCTTTATTATAATTCTCAGACTTTCCTAGTTTTTGGTAACTATGACAGTTTTAAGAGATACTGGTCAGGCATTTTGTAGAATGTCCCTCACTTAGAATTTGTCTAATGTTTTTCTCAAGATTAGACTAGGATTATGGGTTTTGGGGAGAAGACCACCGAGTTCTACTGTTTTCATCACATCATATCAAGAATTCCTACTATGAGAATATATATTATTATTGAAATTAGGTAGCATGAGTTCTCCACTTTTTTCTTCTGTGTTGTGTTGACTATTTGATATAGTTTGGATGTTTGTCCTTGCCCAAATCTCATGTTGAATTGTAATCCCAATGCTGGAGGTGAGGTCTGGTAGGAGGTGATTGGATCATGGGGGCAGATTCTTCATGGGTTGGTGCTGTCTTGGTGATAGTGAGTTCTCATGAGATCAGGTCATTTAAAAGTGTGGCACCTCCCCACAACTCTCTGTCCCTTGTTCCTGCTTTTTCCATGTGAAGTGCCTGCTCCCACTTCACCTTCCACCATGAGTAAAAGCTCCCTGAGGCCTCCCCATAAGTAGATGCCGTTATGTTTCCTGTACAGCCTTCAGAACCATGAGCCAATTCAACCTCTTTTCTTGTAAATTACCCAGTATCAGGTATTTCTTTATAGCAATGCAAGAACAGCCTAATACACTATTCTGTCTAGGTCCTCTACCTTTCCAGTAATTGCAGAATCAGTTTGTCTATATATCTACAGAATAGATTCCTGGGATTTCGATTGGGATTCATTGGATCTATAGATCAAGCTGAGAAGAACTGACGTCTTAACAGTATTGAGTCTGATAATTTATGAACATGGAATATGTCTCTATTTAGATGTTCACTGATTTTCTTCATCAGTATTTTGTAGTTGTCTCTATATATGCCCTGTACATGTTTTGTTAGATTAATACAAAGTACTTTATTTTGGAAGGATGATGTTCTAAGAGGTATTTTATTATTTCAAATTCCAGTTGTTCATTGCTGATATGTGGAAAAACAATTGGTATTTTGTACATGACCTTGTATCCTATGACCTTATACTTACATATTAGTTCCAGGAGTTCTTTGGAATTTTCTACGTAGACAATCATGTCATCTGCAAGTAAAGACAGATTGATTTCTTCCTCCCAATCTGTGTGCTTTTTCTTTATTTCTCTTGTCTCGTTGCACAAGGTAGGACTTCCGGTATGATAGTCAATAGGAATGGTGAGAAAGAATACCCTTGCTATTAGGTTTTTAATGTAATAATTTTTACCTTATTTCTTAAGTCTTCCATGAAGCATTATTTGTAATGGTGGCAAAATAGTCCTTAATTCTGGTGCAGCGTCATTTATTTTAACCATTTGTATAATGTATATTTTGATTGTTTCTAATTTGACTATTCTTTAGTTTTATTATTTTCACGATAAAGATGAAAAATATTCACTTCACGAAGTTATTGTGAAAAATAAATAGCATAATCCATGGAAAGTTCTTATTGCCACGTCTGACAAAAAGTAAGCACTTGATAAAATGCTTTTTTTCTTATCATTATTAAGGCTTTTGAAAAATCAGTGATTAGGGGAGTTAGGGTAGAACCTGTGTTTATGGGCAGAGATTTCTCTTTACACTTTCTGAGGAAACTGTATTACGGCAGTACATCGTAGGAGTAAACCAGCAAGGAGACTGCAAGCTGACTGCTTGAGCTCAATGCTGGCCCTGCCACTTCTTAGCTATGTGGGCTTGAGCAAGTTACTTAAACTAAGACTCAGATTCATCATCTGAAAAATGGGTTGATAATAATAGAATCTACTTCCTCACTTTGTCCTGAGGATTAAATAAGAACACGCATATAAAGTTCACACAGCACAGTACCTGAAACATAGTATGCTCTCAACAAGTATTTTTTTATTATAAACAAGATAAAATTGATTCCCCTCATTTACATCTCTGGTCATATATTCTTTTAATGGTGCTTTGCAGTTTTCAGAGAGTTTAACTGACAAATAATAATTACAGATATTTACGGAGTATGATGTGATATTTTGATGTATGTATACAATGTGGAATGATTAAATCAAGCTAATTAACATATCCTTTTTTGATGAGACATTTGAAATTTACTCTCTTAGCAATCTTGAAATATACAATAGGTTGGTGCAAAAGTAATTGCAGTTTTTGCCTTTAAAAGTAATAACAAAAACTGCAATTACTTTTGCACCACAATTACCTAATATTAACTGGAGTCACCATGTTCTGCAATAGATCTCAAAAACTTCTGGTAATATATTTTTAAATTGTCTTAGCTCAAATTCAGAACCACCATCTGCTTTCTTCCTCTCTAAGATTAAAGGACCATGTTCATATTTTGCTAAAGGAGACAGCATTTTGCTGCTCCCCTTTTCCTAACGGATGTCCACCTTTAATGAGCCTTTATTGTTTCAACAACTCCATTTAGCCACGCTATATGCCAGGTGCCTCAACACTGGAGTACCAGGGGAATCAGACAAACATGGTACTCCTGCTTAGATCTTAGAGTCTGGTAAAAAAAAAAAAAAAAAAAAAAATTCAGTAACCAAGTAATTATAACTGTAATGTGTGTTACCAAAGGGAAGTGCAGAATGCTCTGTCACAGCATGGTCCAGCAAAAATAGGATGCAAGATACATGTGTAATTTAAAATTTTCTAGTTGCTACATTTTTAAAGAGTAAACAGAGGTGAAATTAATTTTAATAACGTATTTTTATTTAACCTAACACATCCAAAATGTTCTCATTTCAACATATAACCAATATATTAATAAAACATGTTACTGACATATTTTGCATGCTGCTTCTTGTTCTCCATCTTCATACTTGGGCATGTGTTTGCATGCTTACATCTCACTTCAGACTCACTGTGTTTCAAGGGCTCAGTGGTCACATCTGGCTGGCGGCCACTGCACTGGACATTGCAGCTTCAGAAGTGTGTATTAGAGGGCTTGGGAAGAACTGTCTGAGGAAGGTACATTTTGGTGTGGCTTGAAGGTTGGGGAAGTCAGGAAAAGGGAGGGGAACACACGTTTTAGGCAGAGGGAACAGATGGGGCAAAACCTCCAAAACAAAAGCGTTTGGCATATTTGAGAAGCTAAAAAGGAAGAAGGGAGCCACTGAGGCTGGAGAGGCAGGCAGAGGTGATGTTCTGAAGAGACTTTGAAGCAGTGGTAAGGAGTTTGGATTTGTTCCTAGAAGAATGGGGAGGCACTGTGTATAACTAGAAAAATGACATGATCAGAATGGCTCTTTTTAGAGAATTGCCTTTACTTTAAGGGGAAGGTAAGCAAGGACTCTTTCCTCAGAGGGCAGCAGACAGTAGTGCAAGTGGTTAACCAGAGAGTTCCTATCCCAGAGCTGCCAGTTTCCTCATCTGTGAAATGGGAGTAATGGGAGCTCATCAAAGGGTTGTTGTTAGTATTCAATAAGATAACTGATGTGACTCACTTGGCACACAGCATTTGATAAATGTTTGTTCTTACCCTTGCCTGAGCCTGGAATAGTCTCTTATAGGAGAAATCCACAAACCTTCCTTTGTCTTCAGAACATACTTCAAATCTTGGGCATCCCTGCCTCTGGATTCCTGTGCTGAAGCACCCTAAACAAATGAGATAAGAATGGAATGGCTTTACTCCTACCCCACAACCCAAAATCAGACAAGAAAACCCTTTCGCTGTCTTGCCTTTCACCCGCTGTTTTTGCTTGCATATGCGTTTGCTTTCATAACCTGAGAACAGTTGTTGCATGAACCACATCCTCTCAGAGTTTTCTCTGTTCTATATCTTCATAAAGGTTCCCACATGCTTCTTCTTTAAAAATATGGTAAGATCACTGAGGTTAACCTCCTAATGATAATTAGGGAGAAATAGTTCTCCAAATGGCTACTTGAGTAAGAAGAAGCAATGACATTACCAGATAATAATAGATCAATTATTTATGGGATTTGCAAACAGTCAGTCACCTAAGGCATTTTACTTATGAAATTTTAAAATAAAAACACTTAATACATAGATATTAAATCACATGGAACAGGTTTTCCTCACTTCTAGCCAAACACACGGGAACATCTTAGGCTGCCTTCTGCTCCGTCCTTCCTTCTGTTCTTGGTAAATGCACCCTTGGTAAATGCAGGCTGCCAGTCTGCATCCTGGGAGGAGCCTCACTGTAGAAAAAAAGAAGGAAACTGACAGGTCTCAATAATCCCTTTAGGTTTATGCGATAAGACAGTCATGTATTGAAAGTTCTGTCTTTGTTTGGAAGAGATTTGCTTTAAAATGCAGCCCACCATTTTGAAAGTCCTAAGGGGCAGAAAGCAGAGATTTGTAGTGTTTCCATGTTAGGTAGAGATAGAGGCAAGAAAACAGGTAAGCAGTGGAGTCCTCTTATTATCTTGGGCAAGTGCCCAGGGTGAGCCTGTGTCCTAGCACAGCGAGTCATGACTGACTACCTTCCCACACTTCGGCTGTTTCTGTTTCATGGCTGCAAAACCCAACACTTCCAGAATCTGGAGCCTCACATAAGGGAAGCAGATGGGATTGAGATACTTGGAGATTTCTCTCAAAACAGGCTGATCTTAGAGTGATTAACCCCAGTCTGACTGAAAGCTTTAATCAAGGGGCTGTTGTAGCTGTGTCATCTTCAGCTGAACATTTCCCCTTTCTCGAAGAGATACTGTGAAAATCTGTCCTGAGGGTGAGCTACAATCCTCGTCGTACTTCCAAAAAAAATTATGTCCACAGTTTAAGTTCCTAGTCAATAAAAGAACACAAGAACATTTGATTCCTTCTCATTGTACTTGCAGATGTTGCAAGTATGTCTAAACCTTTCAAGTTACTTTGAATAAAAAAACTGTGACCTCCAGGTAGAAATGCCAGGTTTCTAAAGTATGCGTGAGCCTCCATCAGCTCATTATTGTGGGTTTTTTTTTCTTCTTATACACATTCTTGGAAATTAGAAAAATACAGAAAGGGGAAGGGAGGAAAATATGAGTGAAATCAAATTTTAGAACTTAATATATCATGCTACTTATTTCTTTGGCCTTTTAGAATACTGTTGGCATATCTAATTGAAACCATCATCTGTACTAGGGCAACTTGATGATAAAAGAAAACAAAACTATGTTTAGGGAACCTGGTTTATGAACCTGATCTGAAATGAACTTGATATTTTATGTAGTATGCTACTTTTCTGATTTGCTTCCATATTTTATATGGTATGCTTTTAGGACTTTGATCATGTTTGTTTTGATGAGCCTTGCAAAGGCTTAAAAGGTTTCTTGAAAACATCAATAGGTTTTTGCTATTCCAGGAATTTTGCCAAACCTAGATCAAATATACTACTGCCCTCAGGTTTCTGAGTCCTTAAAGGTTATCAGAATTATTTGTTTGTATATTCTTGTCCTGTATTTGTACTAAAATTATGTTTATTGTAGCTTTTGCCTACTAGATTGTTTGAGGTAGAAAAAAGTCTTTTACAATTTTCAATCAATACAGATAAATACGCTCACATGCAGAGGACTATACAAAAGTCAATCGAGTGCATTATTTTTAATTCAAAGTGTAGGACAAAGACCTTTTTTTCATGGTAATTATTTTACCTTTCCCAACTGGGAGTTACTATGCTATTAAAATAATGGCCTAAGGCAGTTTACATAGCATGCATTTAAATATTAAGAGAATCTATTTGTGTTTTTCTGTTGGACATTTTTGTCTTAATTGATCTATTTCTTCCACATTAATATGTATTAGTCTTAATAAAGACACTGGCTATGTTCAAGTGGCCAAAGATAGACCACTTTTCTAAGAGTTTATTCAGAAGAAATATCTCATCCAAAGTTACCTTCAATGCAAGCTTCACAATTTGACAATGTGCATTTGGAACCATAATCCCTGGCCTGGGTTTTCTACTTCAGGGAATTGATTCTGAGAAGATAATTCCAAATATGAGTGGGTAAGGGGAACTTTTGGCCTAAGTTTATAGCATATTAATACTACTAGCAAATCATTAAAAACTTAAAGGCACATTGACAAAAAAAATGTTAAATTATGCTGTATACATTTAAAGGAATTTTGATGGTTACAAAGAGTTTATAGCAACATGTAAAATTGCTTATGATTTAGCATTATGTAAAAAGGAAAGATACAAAATTTTATATAAAGTATGATTACACTTCAGTTAAAAATAAAACAAAACCCACACTTAGAAACAGGGGCTGAATATTAATATTCCAAAATATTAACACAATTATCTTTGACTGGTTGGTTTTGGAAGATTAAACTTTTTTATACTTTCCAATAAGCATGCATTATATGTAATGGAAAAATAGGAAAAGGTAGAAACCTATACCTGAGTATATGCCTTTACTACAATTGATAATCTGATTCTCTGTATCTATTCTTAACAATGGTGAATTTTTATCATCACATATACTGTCTTCCTACACTTTCTCTCACCTCCTCCCAACTCCAGCTGTAGGCTACAGCCAGACTAGGGGACTCACAATGCCTTAAACTCCCGTCTGTGTGACTTTGGCTCCAGCCTGCAATTCCATCTGCTCTCTCACTATCAAGCCCTGTTCATCCTAAAGACCCTGTTCAAATCCCACCTCCTCTGGGAAGATTCCTTGAACCACCCTGGACAACTGTTGCTCTTCCCTTCTTCCCCCAACACAAACCTTCTGACTCTATAAAATACTTGTGTATATGTAAAACGGTTCCACCGGATGTGCCTTTCATCATTTTGGGCCAGCCAACAGAGGAGGCATGGGCATCCCTCTGACCTTGAGAAGCCCCACCTGCTGATTTATCAGTGCTGACACTGACAGGTGACAAGTGGGTAACGACTACCTATAAAACTGTATGCATTTTTCTGACTGTTCATTACCTTAACTTAAAAAGTCAACTGTAGAGATTCTGCAACATGTATCATTAAATGTGCTTCACTTATTCTGAATTTAATACATTGCCTAAACGTATTTGTGAAAATTTCTGAGACTTGACATTCAGCTTGTACCTCCAGAAGCCTCTGGTTGTCTATTGACAACTGTGTGTTGTTAAGACTCAAATCATTGGGCTTCCTAAGGGTTAAATCTAGGAAGAATGTGATCATGTTATATTTGCAATGAAATATGTGAATAAATAGGATACATTAATATTTTATTCCATGATCTGCTAGGAAAATATATGCTTTGGCAGGTACAGCTAGTATTTAAATAAAATAGCTGTAAAACATTTAATAACATATGGACTTCAATACTTTTTTTGTTTTGATTTTTCCTGTGTTTACATACTTTTGAGGGTGTTGGTGGTGTTTTACGTAGTAGTAGATAGTTGACATTTGCAATCAGTATTCTTAGACATTTCCAGAATCGCTGAAGGAATGAATATTACTAAAAATGCTGCATGCTCTGCTAGGCTCACTGTCTAGCCAGGTAACCTCCTGCTGAAGACTCCCCTCTGTGGAGGTCGGTGGTGGTAACATTTTTTTTCTGGGTGTCTTTCATGCATACAAGCATATATGCATTCTCTTTTTTCCTTCGAGTCATTCCTAAAGGAAAATTGCTGCATGTTGGGCTGTAGATCAGGATTACATATGAGTAAGTGCTACTCAAATGTTTTTATAAACTTCAAAATTCCAAGGTTTCCTTTACTTTTTTGTATGACTCATCTGTATAAGAGAGGGTTGGTAAGTACTTTCTTAAATTTTTTTTGATAAGAAGTTCTAAATCAAGCTTTTTCTTCTGAGTTTTCATTAAAGAATATATATACATAGAATATACATGTAAAAAAAAGTGCACACATCATTTAGGTCAGTACATTTTCACAAATGCAGTCATATAAACAGCATTTAGATCAAGAAACAGAATGTCACCACCACCCCAGAAGCCTACCTCATGTTTCCTTCTAGCCACTCCCCACTATCCTGCCTTCCAAGGGTATAGTAATCTGTTTTTATGCTTTATATCAGTGAAATCATCTGGTGTATACCTTTTGTATCCAGCTTCTCTCATTCAGCATTCGGTTTGTGAGATTTATCCACATTGTTGCATGCAGGTGTGAATTGTTTTCTCTCATTCCATTATGGGACTACATGATGTATTGTTCATTCTGTTGGTGGTGGGCTATGGTGAATAGCACTGCTCTGAACATTTTAGTATATGTCTTTTAGTGAATGTATGTACAATATTTTTGTTGGGCTTTTATGTGGCAGTAGATTTCTGAGGTGTTAGGAATGTGCTTGTTCAGGTTTATGTTCTATATATGGACTTCCAGAAGTCCATTTACCTCTGAAATTATAAGCACAATTTTAGATATATGTATGTGCATACCATAACTTCTAGGTAATTCTTAGAAGTGTCCCAAAAACAGTCAGAAATACTTATCAAAACAACGAAGCCTCAAAACTGGTTTTGTGTCTATCTAGGGAAAAATAAGAGGAAGTCAAGATGGTGGAGAAGTATGTTTTCAGGATCCAAGACAGTCTGTTTTCTAGAACTTCCTTGATCTAAAGGAAATATAAAGGTGTCCACTTGAAATTAATGTGTTTTCCCATGGAATACTATGCAGCCATAAAAAAGAATGAGATCCTGTCTTTTGCAGGAACATGGTTGGAGCTGGAGGCCATCATCCTTAGCAAACTAATGCAGGAACAGAAAACCAAATACTGCATGCTCTCACTTTAAGTGGAAGCTAAATGATGAGAATACATGGACCCACAGAGAGGCACAACACACACTGGGGCCTATTGTAGGGTAGAGGGTAGGAGGAGGGAGACGATCAGGAACAATAACTAATGGGTACTGGGCTTAATACTTGGGTGATTAAATCCTCTGTACAACAAACTCCCATGACACAAGTTTACCTATATAACAAACCTGCATATGTACCCCTGAACTTAAAAGTTTTTAAAAAGAAAGAAATTAATATATCTTCTGTCCAACCTAAAATACCTTAGTGCAGATTTGAACTGAAGGGAAATGTTATTCCTAGGCAGGAAAAAGCAAAAGTAAAATAGTTCACAAATTAATTTCCAACATCCAGTAAACTTAGCCTTTTCATATCTAACCATGAAGAGCAAAACTGGAATTTCAGAAATGAAAAGAGGAAAAATTCTTTTCATGCCACTTCCAGCTAAAAACTCCTCAGAGATTTCTCTACATATTAATCAAATAAATATTTAATGAACAATCTGTATGCACAAAGCACCGCAGGGATTCTGAGATAACAAAGACACAATTTTTTAAGGACTTCATGTAGTACTTGGAGAAACAGATATATCAATAACTGTGGTATAAGCAATGAAATATTTACTGTAATGGAGATTCAGGAAATGCAGAAAGGTCCTGAGGGTGCACTCAGGATATGACTGGTGTCTGGCGGAAATATATCCCATAGATCCCTCAAAATCAAGAAAATCAGGAATACCCTAACCCGATCAATAATCTCCCTTTCAGTTGTTTCATCTGATGCATTGATTATGAATCTTCAAAGACCAAGGATGAGAAAAGTCACCTGTAGTGTGCTATATTTTTTAAAGCAGTTTCTATAGCTTCTCAGATTGTTTCAGTAGGTGTGTCTCTAATTGAGCCAATCTCATTTTTAAACATCTTGTAACCCAAACCTAGGATTATAATTAACTTAGTATCATTTACCAGAATAGTGTCCTTTGAACTCTGACAAATCAGATGAGCACAACAGATGACATTCTCAAATGTCCATGAAATAAACTGATGTTTGCACAGGTATTTTTATTCAAACTAGAATTACATAACATGGTAAATCATTATATGTTATTATTTATAGGGTGTTATTGTAAGTTTGTTACTGTGACATAGTTTTAAGGATGTATCTACTGTATGCCCAATGGGCTTGAGAAAATACTTCCAAAGTTTTGAGAAATGGAAACTTGCCTTTCTATCAGGGTATCTGAGATAGCTGTAATCTTGTTAGATGTTATACACTGTAAATATGCATGCTTGTAATATTTATAAATTTGTTCTCTATACTTAGGTTTTAACATCCCAGGTTAGTAGACATTTCTTCTGCTTTTCTGGTGGGGAGAGAATGCTAACTTTGATTGGGATTTTTCAAACTTTAGAAATCTGGCCTTCCTGAACACAATTAAAGCCCAAGCTTGTGACCCAAACTCTGCCATCCTTTACAGAATCCAATTCCTTGATGAGGGCGGTAGGGGAGGGGCTGGGTTTCTGGGGTCCAATGTGTGCACTTTGGGAGTCTCAGTGGTACCCAGTGGCGGGGGCCGTGGGGCTTGGCCAAGGTGACCCTGTTCTGCCTCAAGTAGTTAGAATAAGGATAAGGATTGATCCATTCAGCAAATACTGAAATCACGCTATTGAGATTTAAATTCACATGTAAACATTTTCCAATACTAATTTCATAAATTATTATTAAATTTCATAAAAATGGAGTGTGTTTTTTTCCTGATTCTCTTAGGAGGGTAATGTAAGGATTATGTTGTGTTTTTATGTATTCTTGTGTTTTTATCTATTCTTATGAAATGTTTATATAATGAATTTGGTTGAGATAGTTTATTTGTAATTTAGAAAGTTTGAAGTGTGTTATTTGTGAATATTAAGTATATTACTCAAATACTCCTAAAGGCCAAATGCATTTTCTTTAATAAATTATAAGTATTTGATTTTCCTGTAAGGTACTTGAGTATTCCAAAAATAAGGACAATTGTGATTGCACAATAATTCCTTTAACTGGAAAACATATTGGCTTATTTAGATAACATAAATGTTGTTAGAATGATGACCTTATGATTATATTGACTAGATCCAATCTTTAGAAATGCTCACATGTTAGTAAGGATTATGAAGTTATGGATCCATAGGGTTCTACTGATACTCATCCAATTCTTTGATGCTCAAAGTGTGGTTCCCACACCAGCAGCATCAACATCACTTGGCAGAAATGAAGAATCTTAGGTAACATCTCAGACCAACATAACCAAAATCTGCATTTTAATGAGATCCCCATGGGCTTCATGCAGTCATTAAAATTTGCAAAGCACTGATTTTGTGCATCATTTTATCAGACACAAAACCCAGTCCGTTTAAAAAAACAAAGGACTAGGAAGAGGGGAATTACTTAGTATTCCTCTCTGTCAGTAAGTTTCTACTCAATTGCAACTCATTGAATCTGATTCTTCACACCACAGTGCAGTGGAAACACCCAATCAGTTTGCTCCCAACATCCCTTCATATACCTGAACACATAAGTTACTCTCAGTTTTCTCTTTGGGCACCTACAATGAAGTCAGCTAGAATAAATGAATCAATGAAGAAATTCTTCCATTCATTCAATAAATCCTTGAGTAGTTCTGTATGCCAAGAGCTGGGGTAGAACAGTGAGCAAAACAAGGTTCTTGTCTTCATGCAGCTAACATTTCAGTACAGTAAACAGGTAAGAAACGAACATGAATATCCAGTGTGATAAATGCTATAGCGAGAGGGGTAAAGAGTGCCAGATATGGGGCAGGGATACGATATCCTATAGAATGGACAGAGCAGGCCTCTCCAAGAAGGTGTGTTTGAGCAGAGACCTGAAAGAAGTGAGGGTGTGAGCCATGGGGCTGTCTGGGAAGAGTGCATCCAGGCAAAAGGAAGAGAGGGTGTGGCCTGAGCAGAGGGCTAGAGAGCAGAGATAAGATCAGAGGTTGCAAGGAGCCAGACAGTTACACTGTAAACTATAGAGTTTGGCTTTCACTGGGAGTGGGAAGAGAAGCCATTGGAGGATTTGGGGCAACATGATCTGATCTATGTTTTTATAGGATCATGCGGCTATGGGGTTGATGATGTTGGGGCAGGGATGGCAGGGGATGGAAGCATACACACCTTCTAGGACAGGATCATGATCTCTAGACAAGGGATAACCAAGGCTTGGATAAGGCACAAGTGGCTATGGAGCACTTGAAATGTAGCTAATGAAATTTAGGAACAGAATTTAAAATTTTTAATTTAAATGAAAATTCCTGCCAGGCATGGTAATTTACACAATCATAGCTCACTGCAACCTCAAACTACTGGGCTCAAGTGATCCTCCTGCTTCAGTCTCTCAAGTAGCTAGGACTGCAGGCATGTGCCACCACACCAGGCTATTTTTTTTTAAATTAGAGATTATAAAGGGAAATGTCATAGTGTTCCAGCCCTTTTGTAATAAGTGCCAGTCCATGAAAGTTGTAAGAATTGAACCATGTCTTCAAAATCTTAACATTTGTTTTATTTCCAAAAAGCACTCAACACACTATTCCCAGGTTTGGACTTTGTTGTCAGAATTTCTCGTATTGGAAACAAGGGTGAATGATGAGGCCAAGGCTTAGATTTGTAAAAGGAGGAGGGAACAGTGGTTGAAGACTCTTTTTCAGAGTTTATGTTTCCATAGAAGTCACAGTTGTAAGGGGAGACACACCGTAATGGGCAGTGGCTTCTGTGGAATATTATGGTTGGCTTGTGTACATCTCTTAGCTTCTACTACTCAAATGCAGATTTCATAGTAATATGTTGGTATTGCCATTATAAGAAAATCTAGGCTCGATCAAGCCAATTTGTAAGGAAAAAATGAACTACTTTGTAAGATCTAAAAGAGAACCATTCTTACTGGTAAGAACAGGGACCTCTCTAAAGTTACCATTTTATTTTTTGCCTCTAAATATCTGACTTAGAAGTGTCTAACAGATATAGATATACCTCCTAGAAAGCAAACACTCAGAAGATCCTGTATGTTAAAAGAAAGATTACTATCTAATTGAAGCTGCCTCTCTCCACTAGAAGAATTCAGAAACAATCTTACATTGTAAGTTAGGGTTTGACAGAATCATTCTAAAAACATGCCATCTTGCAGCACTGTGTTAGGGTATGTTGCGGAGAAACTTGAACCATTTGCTAGCACCTGCTAAGAGCAGTACTCCAGAACAGTTGACAGGGGGGGTCCAGGCAGCCTGTTTCCTGGAAGCGCTTCCTTCGTCCGGTTTTACAGACTCACCATGCAGTCTTCTGTATTCTTCAGTCTCTTCTTACTGTCAGATACAAATAGTCAGACTGCAGCCTGAGACCACACTGTAGTCTTCAGTGCCCCTGATTTATGAGCCACTTAAAAAATATATATATAATAGCTATCTATTATAGATATTTTACATTTATATAATATACAATCTTTTATATCTATTATATATTATATCTATTATTTATTTTATATGTAATAGTTCTCTCTATATAATTCTATATATATAATAGTTCTCTATATATATCTCTATATATAGATATCTCATGATCTCTATATATGTATAGAGAGAATTATATATAAATATGTTATATAATAAATATAAAAAATAACTGTTATATATTTATATATGTAATATATAGTCTCAGTTATTTGTTATAATATATGTAAAACCAACCAAATAACTCTCTAGAGAGAGACAGACAGAGAGAGAGTATATTTCAACTCAGTGAAATATACACATGAAATAATCCCCTTCCCCCACTGACCACTATTAACTGTGTTCTCTCTGGTACTTAGCAACCATAAAAACACCTCAGTCTTAATCCATAAATGTTTTGTCACTTTGGGCCCTTAAAATGTTATTTCAGCTATTAAAGATTAGTCATGTACATGTTTTAAATGTTCAGCTCTTGTTGGAGCTGAATCCCTGAGGAGCCTGGACTGGTGGTCCCAGCATTCGGTGGGGTGGGGGTGTGAGGGTGAGATCTGTGTCTCCCATCCCACCTGTCTTTACTTGCACTTCTCTGCTACTAGTGTATGAGGGAGAGAGAAAGAAGACATTTATTCTTTTGACTGGTCAAGACAAATTTTTCCCTTCAGGAGACGACTGGTGGGCTAGAGTGGCTACAGTCAGAGAACCTTACCCCATGAGATAAGACACTCCTAAAGTCTTTTCCCTAGAGAGTCTGCCTTTATTATGGTGAATGCTCTGGGTGTATTTCACAATGATGATGCTTTCCTTCTCCTTGCCAGAGCCACAAGGAGACCCTTTTTTGGCTCTTCATGAGGAGCTGAAGTAGGTAAAACTGGTGGGGTTGAAGTAGGTAAAACTCACATAGTGTGGGTGCCCAGCTGAAAACGCCCCATCCCCAGGAGTTTCTCACTGTCAAGCTAATCTGCATTCAGCCTCCAGCAATTAATCAGAACTACCATCTAAGTATTCTTACCAGTTTGTGGTTTCCAGGTGAGCGAATCTCTCAATCAGGACTCTGGATTTTCCTGTCTCTCCAGATTTCTGGGTGGCAGTTTGCTTTGCAACCTCAATTCTCTGAGGAGCCCAAGAGCACTCATTATTTTCACTTTTTTCTTGGCCATAAGCGACAACTTTCAAGCTCTTTACAAGAGAAAAGCTGAAACTGGAAATCTCTAAGCCAATTTTGAACTTAGGGGAAAAGACTTGGGGAGGAAAAAGAAGCCTTCAAATGGAAGCCGAAGAAGTCTCTAGATGATTTTTCCATTATTTCACAAATGGAAAAACTTACAGAGTTAATTCAGAGTAGTGAAATCTGCCTATGAGTCTGACTTAGTCCTTATTTTAATTTCATCTGGGCGGCCCCAAAGAGTGATGACATTGATGATAACTATTACAAGAATGAGACATACATTTCAAAGATCTTAGTTATATTATTCCAAAATGCCAAAGCAAGGGAATATAGCTCCTAAAAGTATATCATTTTCACTAAAAAACTGAATACTGCTCTCTACCTCCTAGAAATGTCCTCAGCTGAAATAAGAAAAGGGGGATTTGAAATCCAAAATGTTGCAGCATTTATTAGATTCATATTATCTTGTAATTGTTTAACCCGTAGAAGTTTGGCTTTTTCAACAAGACCAAGAGCCCATTTTGGCCAGGTACCTTATCAGAGTCTCCTTCTTTAGCCTCGCACACTGCTCTGCACACAACAGACCTTCATTAAATCCTTGAATCAGATTGGATGTGGACTTGCCTGGCTTTTTACCGCACTGGTTTGGCAGGAGTTGTGTCCCAATCTTGCTTGTCATTCTTGTCTCTTGGTTTAAAATGCTGTGCTTTGCAAAAGGCTTCTTTGAGCAAGCACTTGAGGAAAAAGAATTACCCCCTTTCAAAAGGGTCTGAATATGGTCTTTCGTGAGGCCTATTACAGTGCCTTATACCTCATTATAATCTACTGGGGAGTTATTGTGCATCTTGTAATGGAGGCTAAATTCATATTTTTCATTCACCTGATTAGTATTTATGTATTGGCTCTGGTGCCAAAAGGAATATTTTCCGTCTCTGTTTCTCCTTTTCAGTAGTAATATGAACATAATACAAGGCAGTAGAAAGAGCATCCCCTTTCCAGAAACAAACAAAAATCAATTACAGTCAGTCCTGAGGGAAGTCTTTCGTGGAGAAAGCCAAGAAAAGCAGAAAGAAAGCTGAATGCCTCTGCCTTTATCTGTCCCCCCTGCCTCGCGGTTTTAGGATCACATTGTCACAGCCCCATTTGGATTCTTTCATGCTCAGGTAGGGAGGAAGAATTTTTATCAACACATGATTGATGTGTCAAAATCTAGAAAATTTCATTGGAGAGGGGTCCATGCCTTTCGGGGCTCATTTGTGATACGTGTTTTCTGGCTATAGGGCCAAACATGGGGCTCTAGGAAGCAAACCGAGCAGGCCAAATGCAGCCCCTACTCTGTGCCGTCCCGCTGTCCTCCTGCCTAGCCTAGCGCTCAGCAGGAAGAGTATCCGGGAGGATATGGTGTAGGGAGCGAGTGAGAGGGCTGGGTGGCAGCTGTGGCAGCCCTGCCCAGCCCTGTGGCCACTGCGACATCTTCTGTATGGGTCCTGGGGCTGCTGCTCTCGGATCAACTCTTTGCCCTTTGGTTCTGCCTTTGGGCTGGTTTTCTTTCTTTGACTCTCACGGATACTGCAGTGCTGCTTCTTTCCCTCTTCCATTTAACCTAATCATTTATAAAATGAAATTCTTTTCCATGTTTCTCTGACTTCTGGCTGGAGAGAGATCGGATGCGGGAAGCTCTTGCCTCCCTCTCAGCAGTGGCCCCGAGGCATCTCTAGTAGTGGCCATACCTCTAGGGTTCTGGGACACCCTCCAGGGTTCCAGCTCCCAGCAGGACACCTGGCTCAGGCCCTGGTCATGCTTCCTTCTCCCTCTGTCCCTTTGCTTGAGGGCCTCCTGCTTTGCCAATATTGGGACTACCTCTCACAGTGATCTATTTGGCTTCTGAAATTTTCCTCCCCTGGTGCAACACTTCCCGCATTAAATTCCCTTGTGGTAAATACAATGAATGGTTTCCATCTCCTGGCTGCACTGGACTGCTACTCCTCTCCCTGGTATATTTGTCTTAGCCCTGATAGGACAGTTCCTCAATGCTAAATGTTGTTTTATTGTTACAAAGTTTCTTTTTCTTTTTTTTTTTTTTTGAGATGGAATCTCACTCTGTCGCCCAGGCTGGAGTGCAGTGGCACGATCTCAGCTCACTGCAACCTCCGCCTCCCGGGTTCACGCCATTCTCCTGCCTCAGCCTCCCAAGTAGCTGGGACTACAGGTGCCCGCCACCACGCCCGGCTAATTTTTTTGTATTTTTAGTAGAGACGGGGTTTCACCGTGTTACCCAGGTTGGTCTCGATCTCCTGACCTCGTGATCTGCCCGCCTCAGCCTCCCAAAGTGCCGGGATTACAGGCGTGAGCCACTGCGCCTGGCCCACAAAGTTGCTTTTTAAAAAGTTAATTCAGACCAAGCATGATGCAGGGTGCTCATATGTAATCTCAGTAGGTCACTGTGAATATTTATTGCTGGAAATTCATCAGATCAAGTCTGATACCTGATGACCTAGAAGAGCTTGGATGCAATTTTCTCAATAACTTGAATCAAACAGAACACAGACTCTTCCAAAGGGTGGGCCAAGATGTCTCTAGAAGAAAACTGCAGGTGGATGGGGTCATTGTACCTGCAGTGGAGACACTGGAGTGAAATAGACCTGGAGTCTACTCTAAGCAATTCCAGTTATTGGCTGTGTGAGCACAGGCAAGTCCCTAGGTGTCTCTGGTCTTAGCTGTCTCCATAAACAATGGGAGTCAGAATATAGCAAGGAGATACATGTAAAGGAGCATGTGTGCACAGCATGTATAAACCTGCCTCTAGAGCTGGCTTGCTTTCTTTGTTTCTCACAAATGTCACCATGCTTTTGTCTTTCCTTCTCCTGTTTAACCTAAGAATTCTTAAAATGACATTCTTTCTCTTATTTTTCTACAGTGCAGCTAAGGTAAAATTCTCAAAAGAAACTTTACTTGAAAACCAAGGGAAACCAAAAAGGAAGTAAATAATCTGACACAAAGGCAATAAAGTTACACTTGTAATGCAGGGGTCTCTGAACAGGCATTGGCCAGTGACTATTTCCAGGGATGTGGCCTGCCTGTCAGGCTTGCCCTGTCTCAGAGCATTTGGCTTCTAAGTACCAACATAGTTCTGAGGATGTGGTATATTGCCTAACTGAATACAGTGTCCCTTTCAAAGACAAATTCCTATTCCCTCAAAATAAAACCTTCCCTGCTTTCCCCTGCATGTGTTCCTTGGAGATTTTATTTAAATAAAGGGACCATCCCCTCCTCAAGGCATCCTTCATTCATCATGTTGCCCCTAAACCTAAAATCTTTGAGCCGGAGAAGGATCTGAGGATTCTGCCTTTCAACAGATGAAATACCCTCTTGGTCCTGGAACTGGTACTAGGATTACTAGCTAAAAGACAACCTTGTGTACATTTACCTCTTTAGAAGTTGCAAATCAAAGAAAAAGTTCTGGTTGAAGCTTGATACTTCTTTGCTTTAGTAACACTTTCTTTTCAGGGTTCCAAGGAACCAGAAAGGGAGCTGTCCAACAAAATAAAGTAGCCTAGAGACCACTTGTTAGCATTTTGTTAAAATATAGCCATTGCTTTAGAAACAAATTAAAACATGCAATCTTCAAATAATGTTTCATTGCACCTACCAAAGAATAAACACTTATCACCAGTCCAGAAGCATGGGCATCTTCTTGACCTTGGTTCTGGCAGCCTCTCAAAGATCACTGCAAAGGAAAGTAGGTTTTTCATTGGAAAGAAAAGTTGAGCTCAGAAACAAATCCCATACCCATCTACTCTAGACCACACCTATCTGTACCTCTTTACTCTAAGACAAGAAGAAGAAATGGATTTCTACTATTATTTTCAAGAAACCAGAGGTCTTTACAATTTGATACAGTCAGGTGCAGTCCTAGACTGTAAACCAACCTGTGTAATGAAAAGAGGTGAGAGGCTTAAGAACCTGGGAACTCACAACTTAGAAATATGTAGCGTGTTTTAACTGCACGTTTTCAGGGTCCCAGTGTATGATGGTCTCACGTGTTTGAACACTTCTCTGGGTGATATACTATCAAAGAATTCTTGTCTTCTTTGAGGTGTTAGGTGCAAGTACAGGGACTCTGTGAGCTCATAGTCTCTCTCCATCAGTACGTCTGCCATAACAGAGCATGGACTATTTCAGGGCAAAATCAGTCCCTGTTTAAAGCAACTGTTGAATTGGACTAGAGTGATACTTCTTGATCTGTGCTGGTAAACAGTATGCTGTTAAAATACTATAATATTGCTTGACATCTGTGCTACAGTGATTTCAAGAGGGGAAAAAAGTCTGCTAGATGCCAGCGAGGTGATGAAAATGTTTAAATAAGTTAGTTCAGTGAGATTTCAGCCATTCTAAATACATCTGTATCTTATCTATGCTGTTATCTTAAAGTTTAGTATTCTTTTCTCTTTTTCCTTAATTCTATTATAAATCAAAAGCATCAACCCACTTGAAACTTATTGTTAATTTAAAAAGGTATATATTTATGCATGTATGTTTGTATTTAGCTACATACAATATTATATATTGGCCTTTATTTACCTCATTTTTTATTAGGACTAGAGGGAAAACTTATCAATTTATTTTCACTGTAATGGCTTCTATTTGCAAACAGTAGGGTTTTTAGTACAAAGCGTAATAATCTCTACATCAGTTTTCCATGACTGCTATAACAAATTACCACAAATGCAGTGGTTAAAAAACACCTTAATAACCTAACAGTGCTATTGTTTAGAAGTCTGAAATGGGTCTCACTGGGCTCACAATAAGGCGTCAGCAGGGCTGCGTTCATCTGGAAGTTCTAGGGGAAATCTCTTTTGTTTGTTTTTCTCCTTTTCCATCTTCTGGAGGCTGCTCTCATTCCTTGGCCTTTGGCCTCTTTAATCTTCAAAGCCAGTTCTGACTTCTCTGCTTCCCTCTTCCATATTTTAAGCCCCCTTGTGATTACCTTTGGCCCAGCTAGAAACACCAGGATGATCTCCTTGGTTTGATGCTTAACTTAATCATATTTTTGGAGTCCCTTTTGCCGTGTAACCTGACATGTTTGAAGGTTCTAGGGATGAGGACATAAACTTTTTTTTTAATCAGGGGGAGTATTATTCTGCCTACCACAATCTCATAAGAAATAAATCTCCCATCTTTTCTTACCTTCTGGAAGTGGCATAAATGGCATTGTATTGGTGCTTCTGTCACTCCCCTTGACTGGATACATTTTTCTCCACCGTTTGGAATATCATTACCAGATTATTTCAGAGCAAGAAAACGAAGGGGTTTCTGTAAGACTAGAGGGCTTAATGTGTAGCTGTGTGGAAGTAATTTTTCTGGGATTACATTCAATACCTCCATCTGAAGAATGTTGTTAATAGGCCAGGTGCTGTGGCTCATGCCTATAATCCCAGCACTTTGGGAGGCCAAGGCAGGAGGGTCCCTTGAGGCCAGGAGTGCGAGACCAGCCTGGGCAACATATCGAGACCTCATCTCTACAGACAAAAATTAACCGGGTATGGTGGTGCAAGCCTGTAGTCCTAGGTGCTTGGGAAGCTGAGGTGGGAGAATCTCTTGAGCCTGGGAGTTCAAGGCTTTGAAGCTGCAGTGAGCTAGGATCACACCACTGCACTCCAGCCTGGGCAACAGAGCAAGACCCCATCTATTTAAAAACTAGAATGTAGATAATCATATGCACTTTCTCTAGAGCCTAGAGCTGATCTGACAGTCACAGAATCCTGAACTCTGTACACTTTCTTCTACTTAGTAGAAGAAAGAGAAGTGTACTAACTGCCTCAGTGGGCTCTAGGAGCTTGAGTGCATAGAACCGCCAAGAAGTCGCATTTAAAAATTAAAACTTTATTTCTAAAAATACAAATTGCAGAAAAAGAATCTTAACTACACAAGAGAGAGACGAAATAGCTCATTTCCATCCCATATCAATACTTTCTTCCCACCCCTGGAGACAGGTCATTTTAATCTCCATTTATGTTTATCTTGTTTTGCTTTTTCCTCTGCTCTGATGTTTGTTAGGCTCTGAATAGATATTTATTTCCTCTTCTCATGAAGCCTACAAACATCTAATCATTCCTATCTATTTGGTTTTTTCATTTGTAATAATTTATATTTAAATGTTGGCAAATTGAATGGTCTAATTTTGCCCTTTGAATGCCTATGCATTCAAGTTCTTTAGGCAGAATTTATCTCTTATTTTTTTAAATTATATTTTGAGTTTTATAAAAAATGGATGTTTCTTATTATCCCCCAACCCATAATTTTCTTCAGTGAACTTTTTGTTTAATTTTCTTTTGCTTTAACATTTTATTTTTCAGACACCTCTCATTGAACCTCACGTTCCTCTTCGTCCTGCTAACACCATTACCAAGGTAATGGGATGTAGGTGGGTTGATGAGCCATTGAGCTAGCTTCTTAAGTACCTCTGGAGGTGGTCCATATGTCAGGGGATCACATCAGGAAGCCTCTGATACATTTTCTAGAGACAGGAAATATTCAGTGTTTCAGTTCTCAACATAAACCAGTGACATATCACACAAGTGAACAAAGTAAAGCACTGAGTGAGTTATGTTTTCCAAGCCAGAGTCAGATTGGAAAGTGGTTTCAGGATTTGTTTGGTTTGTTTTCCTTCTATAAACACTTCTTTCTCCTCCCCTCCTTCCACCTGATTACAATCCAGGTCCCTTCAGAGAAGATCCTCAGAGCTGGAAAAATTTTACGAAATGCCATTCTCTCTCGAGCACCTCACATGATAAGAGATAGAAAATACCACCTAAAGACATACAGGTATGTGTGCTAATTCTAAAGGCTGTGCCCCGCTCATATTCATGTTTAGTGAAAATGGAACAAAAATGCTTCTCCCTGTTTTCCATGTGGGCGCAGCCCATTTTGTAATGCCTTCAGGTTCTGGAAGGTTAGGCTTGTCTTACATCTCAGCTTAACTGCAGTTGTTTAATTATCCTTAATATTCCTAGCACCTCCTAAACTAAGTTGCTTGGATATTGGTTTAGTTGTGATGAACAAAGAGAAGAAAATTTTTGTAATTTCTTTTTGCTAGTGACTTTTAGGAAGCCTACTAGATTTAGATCACATTCAACCAACATTGACTGCACACTTATTTATACTCAAAGACCTGTACCAGGTCCCTTTTGATATATTAGCTCATTTCATTCACATAACACTGCTAGACATGTAGACCATTTTTCAGATAACAAAACTGAGGCTTGGAGAAATTAGTTTTGCTTGTCCAAATCACAAGTCTAGTGAGTGGCAGGGCCAGGATTTAAACCAAGGTTGGTTGATTTCCAGATTCAGTGATCATTTCATTCAGTCAGTCATTGATTTATTCACAAGTTTAGCACTTACTGTGTGCCAGGCACTATTGTGTTTCAAGCTCTAAGAATACAGCAGTGAACAAAATATGCAAAGTCCTTTACAGAGCTTGTTTTCTAATGTAGGATTCCATCGTAGCATGCATACAGTAGGATACACAACTCTGTATCACATATATATTCATATAGAATATGGATTCCTAATTATAGTTGTCACTGGAGTTAAGAAATGACAGAGATAAAGGCAGAGATTTCATGGTTAGCTGAACCTTCTGGGATGACTGAACCATGGTGGGCCAGTTAAGAACTCGAGTCTAATCCCTAACTTTTGATTTTCAGAATTCAGCAACTTTTGATCAATTCAGCAAGTGTTGAGGAACTAGAATTGCCAATATGTGGCACACAGACCTTCACTCTGTCTTCCCAAACCCAGGGCTCAGACATGACTGCCCTCTTTCAGCAATCAGTGAGACTCTCTTTCCCATTTAGCCTAGACATGACCTCAGAACCCATCAGCATTGGCATGAGTCAAAACCCATTTGATTCACAGGAACCAAATTCATAAGACACACTGAAAAACTAGAATACAAATTTCAAAGTTACCATGAAGGATGCATGTCTTCTACCAACTATGATAGAATCTACAAAGGTTCTGGTTCAGGAATTTGAGCATAAATAAGTGCTCAATAAATGTTAGTTGAATGTGATCTAGATCTAGTATCTACAGGGTTCACCTTAAAGCAAACCTACTCAAGGACAGAGATAGAAAAATATATTGCAAATTCTTCCTCTTCTGATTATTTTTTCTATACTCCATGCAAACTAATACTCTTCTGCTTGCATTTGGCATGAATATGTTAGAAGACCAAAATTGACAGTGTATTACATTTAGATTGGCCTCTTGTTGACCGAATTTTGGAAATGAGATGAGACTTGAGAAAGTGCCTTAGTGTCATCAGTAGCATATTCCACTTAAGACACATTCCATCTCTTAGGACAGATTGATTACTTAGCCCTTTTTATGTTGATATTAACTAACTACTATTTTGGATGTTTACATTTGTAAGTCCTGTTCTCCAACACCAGAAGTTGATTCCTTTTCTAGTCTGTCGACCTGTATTAGTCTGTTTTCACACTGCTATAAAGAACTATCTGAGACTGGGTAATTTTTGAAGAAAAATGGTTTCATTGACTCACAGTTCCACAGGCTTAACAGGAAGCATGACTAAGAGGCCTCAGGAAACCTACAATCATGGCAGAGGGCAAAGGGGAAGCAGGCACATCATACCATGGCAGAGCAGGAGAGATAGAGAAGGGGGTGGTGCCACACACTATTAAATGATCAGATCTCATGAGAACTCACTCACTATCACAAGAAAAGCAAAAGGGGAAAATTTGCCCCCGTGATCCAATCACCTCCCACCAGGCCCTTCCCCTGAAACATGGAAATTACAATTTGAGATGAGATTTGTGGGGGACACAAAGCCAAACCATATCAGGCCCCCTACATACTGCTATAATTTTGAGAAAAGTAAAGGTTAAAATAAATAAATCAATGTGTCATATGTCTTCAGAGAGAGTTCAACCTTTTAAATTCATTCAGGGGATCTCAAAGATCTCATATGGTTAAAGGAACTTTTTCTTTTCAAAATTGTATTACTTTTTTCCATAATTTAAGATGTGATTGTGCTTTGCCAAGTATTGACTTGCATTAGGGAAAATTTATTAAAATATGTCATGTTTGATGATAGATAATGGAAACTAGAAGTTAGAAACCATAATCTCTTTTGTGCTCCATTGTACTAAGATTTTAAACCCCTGAAATATAGGTGTTATGTCTGTTCCATGCCCTGTGACACAAATTAATGACCTATTGGGAATAACCACAGGACTCAACTGGAAGCCAGAAGCATGATTTCTTTTTTCTGCAGGACAGTCTGAGTTCCTTGTCCCAGATCTTATACTTTCCAGTTCCATCCTCTCTCTCCCTCCTGCTTCTCACTCCATTATATTATTGCCACAGTATTCGGGGGCTGAAGCCTCTCCTGGTGCAGCATAACCCCCCAAAATAACTATACTAGCGGTCTGCTGTCAATTCTAAATCGTCTAGGGATCATTAATGGAAAGGATACCTGTGATTCCATCAGCTGCAAGTAGCACAACTGTGTGTCTTTGTTCAGTATTCTGACTGCAAGATTCTTAAACCCTTTGTAAGGACTCATCAGACGCTCTGGGATCATCTCGAGTCTGTGTACTCTTTTTTTGTAAAGGTAATCACTGAATTAAAAGCCAAATGAAATTGATTTTATGTATTTTTACATGATTTTTACGATTAATCAATTCTCAAATTAGGAAAGAAATATAATGGAAGGTCTTATGTTTGGTTCAGAATGATTTATAAGTAGGTGACTGTGCCCACTGAAGCTCTAATGTGCGGGTATAGACTGTAATAAGGGCAGTCCTGGAAATATAATGGCCTTCTCAGTACACCCTCCCTGTGAAATATTCTGAAGTCAGGGTCAACCCCAAATCAAGGAATCCCACAATTCCTCTGATAGATTTCAGAGGTCTAAGATTAAAATTATTACAACTGGAAAAGGCTTTAGAGGCCATCATTTGCTCCTCCTATTTTTTTTTTTTTTTTTTTTTTTACGGCAAAGAAAGTGAGAACCAGAGAGTTGAAACCATGTGGCCAAAGTCACATAGCTAAGTAGCAGACCTAGTTCTGTATCTCATGTCTCCCGCCACTTCAAGATTGTTCCCAAAGTGGCACAGAACCATGAGTCTCCTCCAATTTCAACTAGAGAGGAGCTCCTTAGCCCGTGCCCCAGAGGTGGTGCTGTGCTTAGTATGAGAAGGGAGGCCACCAGTGATTCAGTCCCAGCTGCAGGCAGCCAGCTGCTCTGTGACTCCCTGCCTTGTTCCATCATCCCTTGGGATTGAGCCATCACTAGGACTTCAAGATTCTATTTCCTCTCTTGAACCATCATGTTGTGGATACCTGCCCCCTTCTCTCACCCCATGGGGAATTTCTGTATTCCCAAATATGTGAGTGTATATACTTATGCATTTCCTAACTAATGTATGCAGTTTGCTTATCCAGACCAACTCACCACAGAAGGGCATCTTGGGGACTAATGTGTGAATATACAGGAAGCCAGAAAGCATGTGGAGCTCTTCAGATGACAGGCTCTGGAGAAGTGCTAATGCTCATTACACAGAACTTTTTCAAAGAGATTTGCATTGCTAATTGCTTGTTTCTCCCAACACCCCTCCAAGGAAGATCAGTAGTATTACTTGAAAATATAAAGTGCTATATAATTTTGCACTTATACGGTGCCTTTCATAGCACCTCTGAGTGCCTCATAAACATTAACTCATTCGGCACGAGACTCAGGTGGAGAGAGTCAGTATGTATTTTGCTTTGCCTCCATCTTGCACTGAGATTTTCTGGGACCGGCTCACTAGGACAGTTTCTGTTCCTCTGATTAGCTTGCCAGACAATCTCCCCCTCTAGCGGCCCCCTGGTCTCCCCTGGTGCTACAAGTTGTAATGCTTTCATTTAACCAGCCTTGCTTTAAAGTTCTCTCATGAGCTGAGTGGCTTTTTTGGCTTGTATTAGCATTTGAGAACCTGAAGCTACCGCGTGTGGTGCTTTGTTTGCCATGAGACCTCTTCTGGTAGGAGATCATTAAGCCCTTTGGTAGGTTTTCCTCTCAAAAGCCATCTCCCATCCTCTATCTGAAAAGGGGTGACTTCCCCACCCTTTCTGTCTCACCTCTCCTTAGACAATGCTGTGTGGGAACTGAACTGGTGGACTGGATGATGCAGCAGACACCATGTGTTCACTCCCGGACTCAAGCTGTTGGCATGTGGCAAGTCCTGTTAGAAGATGGTGTTCTCAACCACGGTAAGATGAGCCCCAGTCCCTGGAAACCTCTCAAGAAATGCTAAGTGCATTTCCCTGGGTAAGTAGTTGCTGAACTCTTGAATGGGCAAGAAAGAATTACGATCCCTTTAGGGACCTGCAGAGCTAGCATCTTCATTTAGCAATACAAATGCAGCAAGTAGATGCTATTGATTGCTATGTTCCACCATTGTACCTTCCTAACTTGGGAGAATGTATGAAAGGAAAATGAAATTGCAGCCCGAGTGCATCAGTTCCAATTATGTTTATTAGTTTGCATTCACGGTTCATTGATAGCGTGATTATACTCTGAGCAGTGCATAGCAATCCTGATGCAGGGGCAGAATGAAGAGCAGTGAAGTGTGTGGCTGGGCTGATGACATGAAAGTAAGTAATGAATTCGGAAGCTGCCTTTTAATTGTGCCGCTGTCTGGGAGAGCCAATTTGTATACCCACAGGATGACCATATTTAAAATCAAGAATGTGCTCTGCAATTGTGGCTCTTGATAACTGCAGGGGCTGTAATTGAACAGAGTAGCTCTTCAGGACTGGTGTGTAACTCTGGCCAAACTCTTATGCCATTTGTTTAAGACACTTCCAAACAGACAAAATATTAAAAACATTCATTTCATTTACCAACACCTGGGAATCTAGTAATGGTTTTGCCAGCGTTTCTCATACTTTAATGTGCATACATGTCACCTGGGACTCTTGTTAAAGTGCAGATTCTGATGTAGCTCGTCTGGAATGGACTTAGAGTCTGTATTTCCAACAAGTTCCCAGATGCTGCTGCTGCTGCTCCTCCAGGAATCGCCCTTTGAGCAGCAAGGGATCTACTGCTTGTCTTTACCTTTTGAGAGTATTGATGCTCCATCCTGAAAAGGGGCTCAAGGCTGTAAGACATGTACATGAGGGATTCTGAGCCACGTTCATTGTCTTTGTCCTACCGAGATTTAAATCCTGTTTAAAGGAACAAGAGGAAAAAACTTTAAGACATCAGATTTGGAAGAAAATTACCACAAAATCCTTCTAGCAGTATATGATCTAGAAACCTGGTCTGGTCAGCTTTGTTCAAACAACTAATTTTATACTAACATTTTTTTCCAGAGTGCAGACAGTACAGTTGATAAACAGTACATATAGAAAGAATAACATAAATTCTGATCCTGACAAGGCAGATTGTTTTCAAAGCCTGTACTTTCCAAAGCTGTGACAGAACATGACCTGGCAGTTGGTTCCTTTCCTGTTTGGGACACAGGTCCCACATCCTAGAAAATATCAGGAAGACGATTTCTGCAGGTCAAAGTGTTCATCTGAGAAATGCTGGCAGGTCCTCAAAGGGAGTCCCACAGAGGCCGAGGAGATGGGTGGGTCAGAGAGGGCTGTGGTGTGCATGACTGCAGCCCCGAGGTCATGTCTTCCAGCTGCACAGTCTGGGCAGGGCAGAGTGAGAAGGGCGAGGAGGCTCCCGGCTTTGCTGCCACTTGGCCCTCCTGCCTGACACTCTGCATTTGTTTCTAGTAAACGGAGCTGTGAGGCCGAGGTGCTGCAGCTGACACGTGCTTCCATGTTTCCCATAGTGGACCAGGAGCACCATTTCCAAGACAAATATTTATTCTATCGATTTCTGGATGATGAGCACGAGGATGCCCCTTTGCCTACTGAGGAGGAGAAGAAGGAGTGTGATGAGGAGCTCCAGGACACCATGCTGCTGCTGTCACAGATGGGCCCCGACGCCCACATGAGGATGATCCTTCGCAAACCGTGAGTGAGAGCTCGTGGCTCACCCCTCCAGGTCCCAAGGCCGCCTAGTGCATAGACATACCATGAGGAGAGACACAAGGCTGCTCTCAAAAGCCCTGGCCATCCCCCATGGAACAAAAGGGAGCAGCTGAAGGGTGCCACAGCAGTGCTTGTCTCTGTTATTTTAATTTTTGTGTTTGATCCAGATGGCTCCATTTTCCATTTGCATGAGTTAAAGCTGTAGAGGTTGTCAGTAGTTGGCTCCGGCTGTCAAAACTGAGTCCCCATATTAAATGACCTTTGGTCAATGACAAACAGAAACTGCTCTGTTTCTATGCCAGCCTGTGGCAGCACCTTTCTCCCTAATGCAACAGGACAGAGGTCATCAGGACCATAGCCTTCATGCCTAGGCCTGCATTCATTTGTTCCTTCACTCATTCAGCACATGCTCTTACCCACCTCTGAGGCTTCTGTTCTTCAGCTTAAAGCTCATTCTTCTGAGCACACCACAACTGCATTACCCCTGTCAAGGCCCCCATTGAGCCACTGAGGCAGTCTCTCCCTTCTGTCTCAGCTGAACCCACCTTACCTTCAGGAGCAGGCCACCACCTGCAATTGTGGACTCTGAAATGTTTAATCAGATCCACTCAGAAAGAATGTATTATTAAGCCCCCGTTTGATGCAGGGCACTCCACAAATTGCTATGGGGCATATAAAGAAGCATACATGTGGTCCTGATCCTCAGGGAAACCTTTTCAGTTAGCGGTGACTTGGCCCTTGCATCCGAAACCACCACACAGGCTTGTGTTTTTTGGCTGGAAATGAAGACGCCCTCTGCCCCACAGCCAGCGTCGGCCAGCTGTGGATGTCAGCTCTGAGTCATGTTTGGCCGACCTTGGTGTATTAGTCTTGTATTAGACAAGGGCATTACATGTTACATGTCCTGGATGTCTGCTGGGTGCTTTCCAAGAGTGAAGTGTCCCTCAGGCCAGCCTCCCCAGAGGCTGCCCCTCAGACCAACCCACAGTAGCCTCTCTGAAGGCACTTTAATTTCCCTTCCCCAGGATTCTTTGACTTGCCCTTACTCAGGGTTGTCCCCTTTGTCAAAACTTTCTCATGGGTCTGACTCTCCCACACCATGTGTTTCAAAGGCCTCCCCTCATCCCAGCAGATACCATCATCCTTAACTCTAGAACCACACTCTTCAGCTCTGTAAGCCTCAAAACCCTTTCTTCACATAAAAAGATGAACAGGAAAATCCAAAACATCAAACAAAGCTAGAGCTTCACTGACATAAGCAGGAGTGGGGTCCAAGAAACCTGCCCAGCCAATGTATGCTTTCTCTGCCCTGAAGGATCATAGGAGAGCATGGCTGAGGGGGCACAAGAGAATCCCTGGGGCCTGGGGAACTCAGATGAACACCACCATTTTAAGCCATGTTTTCTTTCTTGTCCCCTCTTGTCCCACTGTCCCTCCTGCATATTTCCTCATCATTTCCTGGGTCCATCCCCTTTTTGCTGTCCTCCTTGCTGCCACCTGCATCCAAGCCAACATATGCAGTGGTTCTGAATCAAGGTGGGACAGCCCCCTAAGGGCTGTTGTCAAAGCACAGGAGGGGGCCCACTGCTAGCACTCACTGGGCAGTGGCTAGGACCAAGGGCTGCCAAACACACTGCAGTACCTAGGAACCCAACACAATAAAGAGCTGTCCTGAGAACAATGCCCGTGTGGAGAAATATTGCAGTCAACCATGAGTTTCTTAAAGGCAAAGACAGATCTCATTTTACTACATTTGTTCATTTATTGAGTACCTACATTGTTCTAGATACTATGTTAGGTGCTAAGGCATTAAGGTAAACATTGAACAAGAAGGCTTCTCCTCCTTGGAGTTTTCTGTCTAGGGCAGAGGATTAAGCAACTACTTATGCAAGCAATCATTTAATCACAGCTGCATTACATGCTATGGAGGAAGATGTAGTGTGTGTTGGCACAGCCTAATGTGGAGGAGGGTTTAACCTGGTGTGGAACTTAGTAAGGCCGTATCCCTAGCTCTGTGCATTACACCACATAAGCCATCAGTAAACCTTTGCTGAGTGAGTGAATGAATGAATGAATGAATGGAAGTGTGAATACACAGTCCCAGCTAATGTTCCCTCAGCTCTTACTTGCTTCAAGGGAGGCAAAAATGCCATCTGATTCACAAATGTTTTTGAAATGGCTCCTGCCCTTGGGGAGTTTATAATTCAGTGGGAGAGGAATCCCCAAATTAGATTAAGATCCAACAATCATCAATTGAGTGCCTGCTGTATGCTAGGAACATTCATGCTAATTGTTTGATTTAGCCTTCTCAAGAGACATGAGAGCTTGTTTTCATGAGTCACCTTGGGAGAAATGGGAGTCGCTGCTTGTGCTTCCTTTTATTGTCCATACACCATTGAATCGCATGATCCCTGGCAGCCCAGATTCTTCACAGAATATTACATTCCAAAACTGACACTCTTCCATTATATCGCTAGTTGTTAAAGTACAGGTTTTACAAATATTCCAAGATACATGATTTCAGGTGGCCTTGGGATTTTCCCATCTTCTTAGGTTTTTCGAAACTTTGCAAACGTTGGAATTGGGCTGGCACTTCTGGAACTCTTCAGTTTTCTTTCTGCTGAAATAACAGCTCCCGAGAGATGGGAAAGTGAAAAATAAGGAATCTAATTTTGGGAGACAGATATTCCAACTCTACATGTACATACACACACACACCCTTTTTTTTTTTTTTTGATCTGCTAATAATCTTTGGAGCTACTACTTTATTTAAGTGGAAAGAAAACAAGCTTAGTTGATCAAGAATTGCCAGTATCACTACTGTCCTTGAAGGGACCAACCAAGCACTTCACTCCTGGAAACTGAGGGCATGTTCAGAGGTCCTGGAAATGTTGACTTTCTACTGCCGAAAGTGCTAAGTCATTAAGAAATGTGGAGGCATGAGATGCATTGGCTTCATACTGACCAGGGCAGGACCCCCAACTTTTAAACTCAGCACGGCTGCATTTTATAATAGTCACCACTGCCAGAGAGGTTGCAGAACTCTGATAATTACTGGGAAAGAAATAACACAATATTCTTTGATGAGAAGATTACTTTGAGAATTTGATTGTATAATGAAGATGTTGCTTTGAAAGGTACTTCCTATTGTTCTGAATCTGAGACTTGCTAGCAAAAAAAAAAAGTGTCACTTGTTTTGACAGGCTACTTAGAAAAATTCTCTGTTTATTACATTAACTGCAGCATTTTAACTGTCAAACTATGAAAGAATGTTCTGTAGTTTAAAAAACAGAATAGAGCTTCAGGGGAAATTTTTTGGCACACTCTTGTTGCTATTGGTATTGAAAAAAAACACATACATTCTGCATGTGAAATTAGCTTTTTATGTGGTGGCAGACAGAGTGACTCACAATGCCCGTCCTGGTTTCGCAGGTGCAGACCTGGATGGCATTTGGGGGCAAGTGCTACAGAACGATGACAGTTTGACGGTGCTGTTGTTGTAGCTCTGAGACAGGGCCATCAAACACTGAATGAGCTCTCCAAGCTTATTGTTTTGATTTTGCTTTGTTTATAAATCTAAAAACAAGAGGTTGCCCTATAGCAAGTAGATATAATGGGTACTCTTACCAGTAGAAATGTGCATTTTGGCTTTCTTTGAGCAGGTACTTTGGTTAGAGAAATATGAGTAAAAGGATCTGGAGTGACTAGGTAAACAGAGTATTGTAAACTTGAGGCCAACTGTGGATAAAAAAGAGGCTTCAAGGAGACAGGACGCTCTGCTGTACAAGCCTTCCAACCACTCCTTCCAAGTAAAGTGAGACATAGGTTCCAATGTTCAGGATGGTCTATCAGAGACCAGCCTAAAGTTGGGAGGACAGTTAAGTAGACACTGTTTCCCAAATCAAAATTTAGGTCTGCAGTTCTGAAAATGCCTAACAGTAGAAGCCTAAGTAAGTTGAGAAAGAGAAAAGTCATTTGGGCCCGAGCAGAGAGAAATATATGTATATATAAGAGAATTGTTAGAAGTTGGGGAATCTTCCAACTGGGTCAGAAACACACAAACTTGAGTTCGTTTATTTTATGTGATAAATTAATATTTCAGTTGCCCTTGGGATTTTTCCCATCTCCCTAGGTTTTTTGAAACTTTTTAAACATTGGAATTGGGCTGGCAGTTTCTTCTTTTGACTCTTTCTGCTGGAATAAGAGCTCTGAGAGATGGGAAAGTGAAAAGTAAGGAATCTAATTTTAGGAGACAGACAGTCCAACTCTACATGCACGTACACACATACCCCATTTTTTTTTTGATCTGCTAATAATCTTTGGAGTTACTATTTAATTTTACTTAAACGGAAAGAAAACAAGCTTCGTTGGTCAAGAATTGCCAGTATCATTGTTGTCTTGAAGAGACCATCTGAACACACCTTGCTCCTGAAAACTGAGAGCATGTTCAAAGGTCCTGGAAATGGTTTTTTTGTTTGTTTTCTTATTGCCCATACTCTGCTAAGGCATTAAGAAATATGGAAACGTGAGATATATTGGCTTCATATCAAACATATGCTATAGGGCGTAAAGTTGAAAGGCAACAATTTAAGATGGATTAAATGACATAAAGGCAAAATACTGTGGGCGGGGGTGGGGAGGGTATTGTTTATCCCTTAATTGGCTGCCCTAATGCAAGGCTGTCCTGCAGAGGCTGGGTGGAGACTACCCTGCTGCTGTTCGATTCCACACACTTGCTCTAGAGGGCGCGTGAGAGCCTGTGTATTGTGTCTTAATTAGCAGTGCCTGTTTTAATAGGATCTTTATTTGTCTAAACTCTTTTCCAGGGTGTGGAATTTAAAATCCTGGTAATTATAGAGGGATTTGTTTCTTCGGGGGATTCCAGATTAGCAAGCCTAAAATTGGTGGTGGTTAGGGTTTTGATTTCTGCTGGGATGTGTCAAGAGAATGTCCACAGTTACGAAGTTCATCTCAAATGTTAATCAGATGAGAAGAAAAGCACGACCGAAAGAACCTAGGCTTCTGAAGTAAGACAGTCACGGCGAATCCTTCCTTCACTGCATGGTGACCTTCACCTTGGTCTTTACTGGAAAGATTTTGGCGTCACAAGTGAAAGCTTGTAGAATTTACCTGAATAAATGATTGCATTAAGTAGGTCATTTCTCTGCCTCTCCCCATGAAAGCAATTTATTCTTATTCCTCATATCCACATGGCCTGAAACCAGCCATTGGATTGCTACCTTTATGATTAAGATTCAGGAGAGGGGAGGATGAACTTAGCTGCTCATCTACAGTTTAGAGTTTATTATAAGATTGCCTCAAGGTTTTAATGACTTTTTATTGCTAAAGTCGATCTCTTTATTGGAGAAAATTTGGAAACCACTGACAAGAGTTAAAAAAGAAGAAAAAATACCTGCAATCACATGTCTCAGTTAATTACTGTTAACATTTTGGTGCCTATCCCTTTAGTTATTTTTTAATTCCTAACTTTTTACACTTAATAACATATCACAGCATTCTCTCTTAAAGTTAAATATCCTTTAAGGATGGAGCTTTTAAATAGGTGTGTTCTCTGAATGTTCTTTAATGCATTCAGTTTGTGATCGTTGGATGTTTAGGTTGTTTTTCAAGCCCCTTTTTTTTTCTTTTTTTTTTTTTTTCTTTTTTTGAGACAGGGTCCCACTCTGTCACCCAGGCTGGAGTGCAGTGGGGTGATCTCAGTTCACTGCAATCTCCACCTCCTGAGCTCAAGTGGTGCTCCCACCTCAGCCTCCCGAGTAGCTGGAACTACAGGCGCATGCCACCATGCTCAGCTAATTTTTTAGTTTTTTATAGAGACAAGGTCTCATTATATTGCCTAGGCTGGTCTTGAACTCCCAGACTCAAGCGATCCTCCCACCTCAGCCTCCCAAAGTATTGGGATTATAGGCATGAGCCACTGGGCCGAGCACCTTTCTTCTTAAGAGCAGCAAAAAAATAATATTTTAATACTCTTCTTCCCAGAACAAAGGAAGAGCTCCTAGCCAGATAGGGGCACAGGTGGGGCAGAAAGATGCTGGGAAAGTTCCCGCAGGGAACTGTAAACTGTTTCACACCAAGGGAGTGACCGGACAGGAGCACTAGGAGATGCAGCTGGAGAGTTAGGCTGACGTCAGTGGGGGCATCTGCCATGCCCTCTGTGTACGTTGGGTATTATTTTATAGTCATTTGGGGCACCACTGAAGAGTTTTAGAGAGAGGTGTGGTGTGATCAGATTTGTAGTAGGTTGGTTTCTCTGCTATCTCCAGAGAATAGACTGGAGGGGCCAACTAAAGACAGAAAGCCAGATACTGAGTTTTATGAGATTATGTTTGTTATAGTTTGAAATGACAGCCTTTGAGATACGTGCATTTGACCCAAGAGTCTTGTAAATGAAGTGAAAATACTACTGAGCACAAGAGCTCTGGGTTCTATTCTTACCAGTTTATCATTATATCATCTAACATCTTCAGATTACAAGTCTCTTAAGGTATAAAAGGAATTCAATAATACCTGCTTGCCCTCTCCCTACTTCACAATAGATTGGAAATGAAAACACAAGTGCCAACTGAATTTAACTATAGCCACCATTTATCGAGCATCTGTGTGCTAGACACTGTGCTAAACAATTACTTAATTCAATTCCTTCAACAAAACTCTGAGGTAGTTATTTAACATTACTCCCATTTTATGGACAAGGAGACAGAGGCTTAGGCTGAGTCACTTGCCTATGGTTATCCACAAAACACTAGACTCAGGATTCAACTCAGATCTGCCTGACTCTTGAGCCTGTGCTCTTTACTGTGCACTACCATAACCTGCCATCGTCCAAAGGGGCTTCAGAATGGACTCATGGGTTTATGCTTTGAGCATTGGAAAGGAAAGGTGTCAGGGAAATCCAATTTAAAATAATTCTTACAAGGCTGGGTGTGGTGGTTCATACCTATAGTACTAACACTTTGGGAGGCTGAGGCACCCAGATCACTTGAACCCAGGAGTTCAAGACCAGCCCGGGCAACATGGCGAAAACCCATCTCTACAAAAAATACAAAAATCAGCCAGGCGTAATGGTGCATGCCTGTAATCCCAGCTATCAGGAGGCTGAGGTGGGAGAATCACCTGAGCTTAGAAAGTGGAGGCTGCAGTGAGCCGTGATCATCTCACTGCTCTCCAGCCTGGGCAACAGAGTGAGACTCCATCTCAAAAAAATAAAATTATTATTACAGACTAATCTAATTTCATTAAATTATTACCATATAGACCAGAATGGAGTTCACCATCTACTGTGGAAAAAAAGTCCTCTAGTATGGCAGATTCCCAGGCGTGCTGCTAATCCATAATGGGTTAAAATGATGATGAAGATTATTCTTTCCTGAGGGAGTTACATGCTTCTGGAACCTATAATTCTTTTATTTTTGTCTTATGTCCTGAGTTTTACTATGTATTGTCAGGAGCAGAATCCAACGGGCCATATGGGTCTAAAGTTTTACAATCCATTGTCAAACTGATTGCACAGAAATGAAGTGCTTTATAGTTTTAATTGCCATATGATTAGGGTTGCCAGGTTAAATACAGGATGCCCGGTTAAATTGGAATTTCAGATGAATAACAAACAATGTTCTGATATAAGTATATTTCATGCAATATTTTTATTTGCCAAATCCGGCACCCAACTTATAATTAATCTGCCTCTCTTCACAGCTCTTTTGAAGACTTGCTGGAAAATTTAGTCTAAAGATCACATAAAAAACACTGAAAACCCACAGCTCTGGAAAGAGTCAATTTACTCCACAGCAACCCTCTAGCCAGAACCACAAACAAAACTTAATCACTAATATTTGAATACCACTGTATAGTTTATATAGTGGTCTCACATCCGTCCCCTCTTTGAACCACTAAAAAGCTCTGTGAATTAAGTATGGCTCATGATAATCCACTATGTCCTGACAAAGAAATTGAGCTTAATCAATACCAAGTGCCTTTCTCAACATCACACAGCAGTATACGTGGCTGAACCAGGAACTGATCCAAATCTTACTCCAAGTCCAATTTTATTTCTTCTTTTTTTCTTTCATTGACAATATTATTTCCTCTCTCCTAGGTTGCCTCAAGTGTGTCCTCACTAGTGAATTTACTGAATAAGCAGTGAAATAACCACAAAATATGGATAATCTATGTCCCTGATTAATTAAGAATTGACATTTTGCAAGGAAGAAGTAACAATGCATTCATGTAGCACCTTCTCAAAAAACATTTGCATTTTCCATCTCATATGTATATTTCATCCTCAAAGGCAAGCAGTTATACTATCTGACTCCATCCAAATTTATTTGTTCTTCTCAACTTGTTGCTTAGGTGTTTTAAAGGAAAATATTTGTACTTGTACCTTTTAAAAGATTTAATGTTAAACTCTTGAGTGTCCTTGTAGTAAACACTTTTGCTGGAAGAATGCTGGGCATATACAGTTTCTAAATGTGATCAAACCACATTGTCCTAAAAACACTTAGCACTCAGAAGCCATGAATTATGGAACCCTTATCCCATGTCCTGACAGGGATGACTTCATTTCTCACAAGTATTCATAAAGCTTTTGCCCTTTATTGCAGTTATAGACTGTATTCATTTCTAACTTCACAAAGCAGAAAAGGATCCCTGTGTACACAAGCTCTGCTATTAGGACTAGAAAGGGAACTTAAAACGTCCTTTTTGGGGTTAAAGATAAGGTGAGGGGGTGGTGGCATGGCAGGGAGCTGAGCAGTCGGAGCTGGGTAGGACACTTTAAATGTGCAGTCACCAGGTTCCTGGAATGTCTCTGACACTTAAGAAGCAGGGGTCCTGAGAGGTGAGGCAAAGAAAAAACATGCTTTGCTGGTTTTGCTAGACAAGGAAGTGCAAAACTGCACTAAACTTTCCTTTAAGGGAAGTGGAAGAAGCGAGATCTTAAGATCTTAACAGTGTGGGAAAATGGTCCAAGTTTGAGAAAGGACTTAAAAGTTAGAGAATCAGGTGGATTGAGATGAAGCGTTGCATCAAAAATAAAGCATCCCCCACCCCACACACACAAAAAAATAGAGCATTTATTTTAGAAACCTCGAAGCTTGACCATGGCTTATGTAGATATTTATAATGTTGATTTCTCCGGGTGTTTTCCCCTTGTACCAAGGTCTGCTAGGTGACAGGTCTAAAGGACTGGAATATTTGCTTTCTTACCTGCATATTTTACTATGGGCCATGCCAATGTGCTGCTTGATGGCTGGATGAATCCCTCATTTTATCCATGTTCCAATAACTGAGAAGCTCTGTCTCTGACCTTGATAAATTCCTTGATAAAACTGTATTTACCAGTAGCTTCCAATATCACCTGAGCCCTCCCATCCTTTAATGTATAAACTGCTTCCCTATCCATCCCCATTTATTATCTTGTCTGTAACTAGACATTGCTGCCAGAATGCATCCCCTGCAGAAACTAGGCCTTTCCACAGCGGGATCCGACAAATCCACATCAATGTGGCACCACGCAGATTTGTAAAGAAGCAGGGATGCCTAATATCTCTCCCTGTGTCATCTGGAGAAGGACAAGTAAAGACCAGGTACATTCACCGGCTGCCACTCAGAGCAGCCAGAGAGTCAATTCACTTCCCCAGCCTTGTAGGTTACTCTTATGAAGGTGCATGGGAGTTCTCTCCTCCTGCTCGGGCACAGTGTTCCCTTTACTCTTGAAAGCCAGATTGCCTTCAGTCCTTGGGACCCTTTCATTACTGTTTGAACAGTCTGGGGGCTGATTTACAGGATCTCTTCTCCATTTTTTTTCCCCTGTCACCCCCGTAAAGACCAAAGCAGGAAAGGTGCTTAATGCCACTGTTTGCCAAGAGAAACCTGCTTTTAAAATGCGACTTTGTTCAGTGATTGTGGTGGGGAACGCTCAGTTTTAGATGTGATCAGGTGCTCTTTGAGGGGTGGGGTGGATTGGGGGAGAACCTTTGTCTGATGTGAGAGTAGAGAGGTGAGCCTTTTCTGAGACACTAGATGGCACAGCAGCTCCGAGCCAGCAGCCTCCGAGAGGCTGGGCTGGTTTCTGTTACTGCTGCCACGAACACTGAGCCCCCACTAGGGTGGGAGGGGGCTCCATTTTGATGCACTTTGGTGGGCACAGGTTGACCAGACTGACTTTTGCTCCACCTGGCCTCCTCCCTGGGACTCACCTCAACTTTCAATCCTAATGACATGTTGAGGCCCCTGAGGGACAGTGTCCTAGCTCACAGCAAATCTCTCATGAGTGCTTTTGTTGCTTTGCTAGCTGTGTATATACTCATTTTTTAAAGTAAGTCTCTTCACACCTGGCAGTCCTGACTTCTCTCACATCATTAAAACATTGGCTGTAAACAGGACCAAAAAGTTCTTTGCTGCCTGGGTGGATTGCCAAATGATAGTTGCTTGCTGTGTGATTGTTGTGACCACCTCAGACCACAGGGTTGGGGTTTTGTTCTTGCTGTGCTTCTCTTTTTTTCTTTGCAGCTTGAATGTTGTTTAGGATTCAGAAACTAAACTGTTTTTAGGCTTTGTTCCCTTTAGTCCCGAACAGCTGTTGTGGACCTCTCTGAGGCATCCAGGAGTCCCCATGGAAGCCTCTCTTTCTCTGCGTGGGTTGTTGATGAATGAAAGACCAGGAGGTAAAGCAGGCTGCCCACGTGGGCTTCTGTGCAGATGTAGTGGTCACACCCCCCCCAGAGCTTCCCCTGGAAATGCTGGGGGCTGTCCCTGCAAGGAGGCAGTTTTCTTGGCAGGCTTTGCTTTGGTAGAGGTACCTGGGGAGCAGGCAGGCTCACACCATCCCCTTTCCTCTCACTAGTTGCCAAAATAGCAAGGATTTCCTGGGAACAGAGCCCTTCCCTGCTCTTCCTGGGAGAGCTGCCTTCTTCTCCTACTGTGTCACCTGGAAGAGCCTGGGGTTTTCACACCCTCTGTTCTGCTTCTCCCAGGCTCCAGTGCTCACCCTCAGTCCTCCTGGGGCGTCTGTCTTAGAGAGCAGGTCTCAAGGTCTTGCCTGGCAGTAAATCTGCCCCTGTCCACTACTGAGTGTGACAGGCGTGGAAAGGTAGGGGCCTGACCAAGTGGTGGGGCCTTTTGATCAACCCCTCTAACACCGCCCTCTCCTGCCCTCTGGGCTGATTGACGCAGAGCTGTCTTATCAGTGATGCTGTCTTACTCCTGTGATGGTTTTCTTCTGTGAGGGTTGAGCTGCGGCTGCTTCCATTCTTGTTTCTCAGACATTCTTTTCTCGTCTGCTCTCTATTATCCAGGAATTCCTAAAACTTTCTGGTCTGCTGATAGTTCATCGTTTGTGGTGGTGGTGTTGCTCATTTGTTTTCCAATGTCATTTTGCATGTTAAAATATCTTTTCTGCCAAACCTTTAGCATGGCAGACAAAAATCTGGCTAAAATGAAGAGATTAGCAAGGTGCTGCTTGTTGGTCCTGAATGGACTTCCATTTAAACTCCCGCTGATCTCAACATAGGTACTGAGTATCTTTAGCTGGTCTAAGATGGGAATTTATTTTTCACAAACAGTTGAGTAAATCTGTAATCCTAAGAAAAATAGACCTTTTCTATCATTTTACAGAATTTGGAGTAAGAGGTGAGGCCCATCATTTTCACATCTCCTCCCTCTATTAATAATTAACTATTTGCCATGAAATAAATGTGTCCTGTACCAAAAGTGAGTTGTGCCGTGGATGCCTTGCCTTGCTTAACCTCAGTGGGAAGGACAACAGAGAATAAGGACACATCTCCCTCAGGACGCAAAAGAACTGCTCCATAGCACCACTGCCATCTCCCTTGGGCAGACCCTAAATTCAGCATGAATCATGAGAACTCGTGTGTTCACTCATACGATGAGCCATATTAAACACCCACCCTGATAACAATACCACCCTACATTTGTACTATATTTTCAGTATATACAAAGCTTCATGTATATTACCTGATTTGACCTTTGTAACAATCCCATGTATTATTCTCATTTTACAGATGCAGAAACAAGTCATTAGATCAGTTGAGCAACTAGGAAGTTCATGATTTAGATCTCAAATTCAGTTTCTGCTTCCAATCTAGTGCCTTTGCACTACCAGATACTGCTTCTCTTGAGAAGAACAGTCTAGATTTATGGATATTTAAGCAAATAACATTCGTGACAGTATGTTGTAATTACCATAGCAGTAAGACCATGTGCCACGGAGGAATAAATGTTAGAGAGTGGCCTTGCATGGTGTCTGATGCCTGTAATCCCAGCATTTTGGGAGGCTAAGGCGGGTGGAGCACCTGAGGTCAGAAGTTAAGAGACCAGCCTGGCCAATATGGTGAAAACCCGTCTCTACCAAAAAATACAAAAATTAGCCAGACGTGGTGGCATGTGGCTGTAATCCCAGCTACTCAGGAGGCTGAGGCAGGAGAATCCTTAAACTCGGGGGGCAGAGCTTGCAGTGAGCCAAGATCACACTACTGCACTCCAGCCTGGGCAAGAAAGGTCAGAGAGCCAGTTTCACTTAGGAAAGATGACATTGAGCTGGGCTTGAGGCAGAACAAAAGTATTTTAAGCAAAGAGAAGAGCATGCAAAAAGTCCTGCAGGCATGAAAAAGCTTAGTGTGTTCGAGGAATGGAGAGATGCCTGGGATAGCTGGAGAGAGAGTGTAGCTATCAGGGAAGATGTGAAGAGAGGGGAGATAGATGAGTCTAGAGAAGGAAGTTAAGATCTGGTTTCCAGGAGCGTTGTGTGATGAAGAGGGAGCACTTCTAGATAGATTAAGCTGGTGGTCCTTGTGAGTTATCTAGGAAGAGATGGCCAGGAAGCCCTTGGAACTCAGGAAAGAGGGCTGTTTGGAGAACAAGATTTAGGTCTTGTCATTATCTAGATGGAAGTTGAGGGTTTTTCCCAGGGAGAGAAGGTAGAACAAAGCCTTGGGGGCTGAACACAATACAAGGGATGGACAAAAGAACAACAAACCAAAAAGACATTGAGGAGAAATGTTCAATAAAGCAGGAAGGGAGCCAAGGGGGAGGAGCATGGGGAGAGGAGAGAGCTTCAGGCATGCTTAGTGGTGGAGGGCAGCAGTTAAAGTGAACATGGTTCAAAAGGAGCTGGAATTCTGCCATCTTTACCTCTCTTCTTCTACAGTTTGTGCAGGTCCTAAGACTAGCTGTTACGGCTCAAAGGTCAGCCTTGAACCATGATGTCAAATTTTTAGTATATGGTATTTAGGGTCTGACAGTTCTTCATCCTGTTTCAAATCTCAGATGCAATATTATTAATATGTTGAGATTTGTAGATCCAACAAGCATCATTATGTATGTGTGTGCAGAAGCGGGGTCTCACTCTGTTGCCCAGGCTGGTCTCAAACTGACCTGAAGTGATCCTCCTGCCTCGGTCCCCCAAAGTGCTGGGACTACAGGTGTGTTCCAGCACACCCAGGCAGGATAGCATTTTTAAAAAAGAAATCCATAAAAGTTGAGTAATACAGATCTCATATTTATATTATATAAACACTTTTCCTAACCTCATAGAGATCTGCTCCCAAAATTACAACTTTGAATATGTCCAGATTTTAGAGCGGAATTCTAAGCCTTTCTTTTCCCAGCTGAGCTTTTCTCCTCTCACCGTAACAGCCCACCCCATGGAGGTGAGAATGAGACTTGGTGACTGCTTTCTCTTTTAGCCAAGCTTCTAGGAGGGTTCCCTGTTATTTGCTGCTGATGTCAAGTAGCAAGAACAGCAGGGCTGCTCCTTGTGCTGAAGATCCATAATCCTATTACGCCTACCTTGAGACTTTCGCATTAGCTGCCTCTATAGTAGTAGATGGATGAAGGTGACTCGATTGACTTTTAAATCCCCAAGAGTCCCAGTTTCAAAATCCCCATGTCCAAGTCAAGTAGTAGATGAGGGCTCTGGCCGAGAAGGCCTGGCTCCTTTAGAGCCCCTGTGGCCACAGCTTTTCTTCAGCATCTTTATGGGTCCCATACTTTCTGGGTTCCACCATAAGCACGAGATTGGTGTGCATTTGTGTCCCTCAGTGGTGACCTTTAGCAGGAGGTGAACCTGGCTAGCATCTCCCGGGTCGTGGATTTAGTATCTGTCTTTATACAGTCAGGATTAGGAAGATAGCCCCTGTTGATTCCAGAAGAGAACGTTATAATATTCTTTTGTTCACGTTAAAACTGTCCTTGGGAAGGTACTGTGCAAAGTATGCAGAGTTTTCTTCCTCCAATTAGACTCCACTAAATCTGTCATCTTCCCCGTGTTAGAATATGGTTGCAAAGTTATTTAATCCAATTAACTATTTTAGAATATTCATAATTCAGTTTTGATTACTAAGAGTACTTATCTAATAATCAGCTAAGTTTCAGATGTACTCTAGCAGACCAAATGTCATAGTTTATTTGTAAGTTTGTTTAACTGCTTCTGCAAAGGTCTGAGTTTTGAATATCACTTTGCTGGGTTTTTTTCACTTACACAAATAAATATGTAGACACCTTTATGGTTGCTGCTTCTGTTAGCTCTCACATCTCTCTCAGAAAGATATTGTCCCCAGTTTTCATATGAGACTAAGACTTTGATGTCACATGGCTGGTGAGTGGTTGCACTGATTTTAAACTTGATTTTCAGACGCTAAATCTAGCGCTGTGTTTAGTACACCAATACTCCTCAAATTTCTTTGACCAGGGAACACCTTATAAATGATAATGTCATGATGGTACATCATCAGTAGCTCATCAAGGGTTTAATGTTTAATTAGTAATAATTACAGTAATATTGGATAATACCATAAATTGTTAAAATTTTAGGACAAAATGCACAAAATGGATGGTTATGTAATAGATAATATTCATAACTGCAGCAATTAGCTGAGAGTAAATGCCGCCTAGCCATCAATATATACATTGTCTCTCAGTTGACTCCCTAGAACTCTCAGGATTAATAACCCATTAGTTTGTTTTCAAGTTTCAAAAACATATTAGTTAGGATTCTTTATTTTGCAGAAAGCAACAAAAAATTCAAGTTGCTGACCAGTTGTATCTCCTACCATTAATATAAACACTATGAATGATTTCAAAATAATTATAGATACGAAAAGTGATTAGGAATCTATTCAGTCTTCCAGTGCCAAAAATGTCCACAACACCCCCATACCCTACACATGTCCTACATAATTCTAATAATTCAAGAAGAAGAAGGAAGTGGTTTCAACTTTCACAGATTATATACTGAGTCCTTGAAGGCATGTTATTGGATACTAGTTTTATAATAAATTTTAGAATAAAAATGCTTTACATAAACTGATTAATATCTGGTGGGCAGTGGTGGTTTTTGTAACAAGAGTTTGGGAATGTGGAATATACCTCCCTTCTTGCCTTCTCTTACTAATCGCAGATGCTACCATTTGCCTTCTCTTCATCTCATGCCCTTATCTCCTCAGGGCTAGAAAAGAAAATGTTGAGTCTGCATACATCCTATATTTGAGTCCTTCGGAAAAAATACATTTTATAACCCCAAATAATAGTGACAGTGGCATTATTATTCTGCTAGGCTAAGATAGTACACAGGATCTCAAGGAATTTAGATCAGTTGTCAAGTTGATTATACCAATTGTTTCTAGTGGTGTTAAAAGACAAGTTTTGCCATTACTGATTAAGGTGGTAATGAAAAGCAGTTTTTTAGCTCAATCATCTACAAAGTGAGAGATGAGTTGGCCAACTACCATGTGAGTGGAGATGCTCTTCCCTCTGAGATCAGAAGAGAAGGGATCCTGTGGACTTTGGCTTTCTCCCATATCCTTTCATCAAGGAACACATTTATTTCAAAAATCCCTTTAGGCATTATACTGGTGCAACCTCTCCCTCCGCCAATATCTTCTTGTGCAGAAGAAATCCCTGAGCATGTTACTGATGCCTGGATCCGTTTCCATGTTTGAGGCCCTAGTGATGCCCTTTTTCCATATTCCTTTTTTTTTTTTTATCTTTGTAGACCTGGCCAGAGGACTGTGGATGACCTAGAGATTATCTATGAGGAGCTTCTTCATATTAAAGCCTTATCCCATCTTTCTACCACAGTAAGTTGTCTCTTAGTTTAGCATGGTTGGAGCACTTTGCAATAAATGCACTGTTAGGACAGAGGAGAGTATTACGGTGTTGTGGGGGGAAAGAATGTCTGATTTTCACCTCATAAATCACCTCTACTCTCTTACGAGATGCTGAGGAAGTTATACCCAAGAACAATCACTGAAAGGAATCAAATTTTGTCCTATTATTGGTAGTTGCCCATGTGCCCTAAACCCCAGAGCAGCCCCATGTGAGTAGGGTTGGAACATGGGCTTCATCCCTGTGAATATGAATTTTGGAACCTGCACACTCAGATAAGAGAGCCAGGCCTGGGAGGGACTCTGAATCCTGCCATGGTATGCTGCCAGAGGGTGGAAAGAGGGAAACCTAGATGACCTGTCTTGGCTTATGGGGCCAACTCCACCAGGGTTTGCTGCCTTCTTGAGAATGGAAGCAGAAAGTTCAAGAGAGCATCAGCTCAGATGTATTAGTGAAAATAACACCACCCACTAATAAAAAATGACCCAGTGGCTGTATCTGATTCTGAACTTTTACCTGATTAGAGTATTTAGGAGACAGAAATTTTTTGCCACTGAATAGGGATAGGAACACCTCCTCCCTTAAGAATATGATTTTTAGGAAACACACATGTCCTACACACTAATAAGTTAAGAAGAATGAAGTGGTTTCAACTTTCACAGAGTATATACTGAGGTCCCTAAGAAATATCTAGATGCCTAGTTTGTTTTCATTCCTAGCTCACTAAAAGTGGTGTTCTGCTACCTCACAGTAGCAGTACCTGCCAGTCCCTGCTGTTGGGGATAAGTTCAGGTCTCTGTTGAGAGCAGCGAGGCATTTGCCATAGCTCCAAGCAAGAGGGCTTCAAGTCCCCTCTCCCCTTCAACCTAGACAAACCTCCTTCACATATCTCCCACCTCTGGCACCACTGAGGGTCTTGAGACTTGCTCACCTATGTGGACTACCCAGGGAAGTGGTCCAGCCCAGCCTCCCACCTACCTACCACTGCCCTTGCCATCCTTACTCTCCACAGGGCATAGATGTAGTGCCTGGGAGCCTCACCTGGGAAGCCCTCATATATACAGGGCAGAAAGCTGAGGCTCCATGAGCTAGTGATGTAGAGGGAAGTAAGGAAGGACCCCTTTCCCTGCCTGTGCTCCAGGGACCCAGCATGTCCCGATCCGACTTCCCTGGTCTCAGTGGAATTGAGAGGATTGTGGGTAGTCTCGTCTTCTACCTCAAACCCCAGGTACCCAGGCATAGAAAAATCTCAAGTTACTGGGTTCTTAGGAAGATAGAGCCATGATTTGGGACCGTAATTTGGAATTTTTTTTTAAATGTGAATTTTAGCTAGCTAGGAATAATTTGGAATTTTAACTAAGAATATAAATGTGTTCGTTCATTTAGGCTTCATTATTCAGCTTCAAGACATAGAATTTTCCAACATGTTTGCCATGATGCATTATATGTAATGCAAGCAAGAGTCACTAGTAACAACAGAATCATGTGATGTTGCACATGGTCTCCCCTTCTCACCCACAGCCAAAGACAGGCAGGCAAGTGGGCTAGTTAATGCAGGTGGGACCATGTTTGAAACAGTCTCTAAGGAGGTTGCCTGGTATGAATTAGCTATAAGCTATTCTATAAAAAGAGCTACAAGCTTTAAAAGCCTAGCAGCAAATCGAGTAGAAGTGATTTTAGATGAGAGCAGCAGCAAGAGAGGTGAGAGATGACTGCATGGGAAGCCCCGGGACAGTTTGCATTGTGCCCCCAGAAAGAGTACAACCCTTTTCCACCCAGACCTGGAAATGTGGCCTTTGCATGTTTCTTCTGTTTTTCTTCTAGGTGAAACGAGAGTTAGCAGGTGTTCTCATTTTTGAGTCTCACGCCAAAGGAGGGACTGTGTGTAAGTGAAAAGCTGTACTGGAACCTTGCGCCTGGCCAGCACCCTTGCAAGCACATGCCACGGGAAGCCAGGCTGCTAACGCCTCACTTCTTGGCCCCGGGTCTGGCTTGGTGACTTGGCAGGGTGTCCTGTGGTACTTTCGTTTTTCTGGACCTGTGATTATTTCCAGCACATGTCAATTATTCTGAAGTATCGTGGTTTTCTAGTACCAGCAAGTGTTGTGGGTGCCAGCCTGAGTCTCACTGGCTCCCTACCCTCCTGACTCACCACAGTGTTTAAAGAGGGTGGGATGAAGTCACTGCCCTTCAGGAAGGGCCTGAGGCAGTACCTTTTCCCAGTGACCTCATTTCGTTCATAGCTTTAGAAGAACTAATCGATCTCTTGAGGTTGTTAGTTAGAATGATATTTAAACCATCCTACTTTATTTTTCTTCTCTCACTTCCACTTTAAGCTCCAAGCTGGAGAGAATTTCTTTGCTTCAAATACATATGCAGTGTTAATCTATAGTATCTCACCAAAATCCAAGTTGCAGTTTAGTTCTGTGATCATATTTGGAAGCAAGAAAAGGAAATTTGATGTGAATAGATGTGAACAATATTATATAAGCTGGCATTCCTTACTACTCCTACAAAAATCTGGCTGGAACAAACAGGGTTAGTGATCTACTAAGGTCAGGAAATGCCTCTCCAATCTCTCTTGCAGAATCACAGGACACAGCAGCATGCTAATGTGTTCTCAGAAGTTCTGCAATAAGGAGAAATGATCACCACGTTTAAACCGATACTTCCTGAGCCTAATGACACATAGAACACTTTTTGCATGGACACCTGTTAACTCTTTAGAGACAGTTTGGAAAATCTTGCTCTTTCTTCAGGCTACATTGTATGAGTCAAATAAGCAGGAAACATTAATTGTAAATGTGGTTTTTTTACTTTCAGTCATCAAAAATGATATTTCTGACATTGATATCTATTTTAGTAAGAATGTAACTTCTTCAAATGTTCAAGGCTTACTTTAATATTTTTATCTTAATGGTTGCTAATGACTTATTCTTTTTTATTTTCTTTTATTCTTTTCATTCAAACTTGCTAATTGTTTTCATTTTATTATGAAATAGTTAAATATTTTAAACAAAAAATAGAGTATATTACAATTACCTTCTTAATCTTTGTCAGATAATAACATGCCATTTTTTTCATATTTTCTTTTTTTTTTTTTGAGACGGAGTCTTGCTCTATCACCCAGGCTGGAGTGCAGTGGCACAACCTTGGCTCACTGCAACCTTCACCTCCCAGGTTCAAGCAATTCTCCTGCCTCAGCCTCCCAAGTAGTTGGGATTACAGGCGTGTGCCACCACGCCCAGCTAATTTTTTTTTTGTATTTTTAGTAGAGGCAGGGTTTCACCTAGTTGGCAGGCTGGTCTCAAACTCCTGAGTTCAAGTGATCTGCCCGCCGTGGCCTCCCAAAGTGTTGGATTACAGGAGTGAGCCACTGCACTCAGCCTTTTTTCATATTTTCTAAAGAATTAAATTATACACGCTGGGTGCAGTGGCTCATGTCTGTAATCCCAACATTTTGGGTGGCCGAGGCAGGTGGATTCCTTGAGTCCAGGAGTTCGAGATCAGCCTGGGGAACATGGCGAAACCCTGTCTGTAAAAATTAGCAAGGTGGATTGGTGCATACCTACAGTCCCAGCTACTCAGGAGGCTGAGGTGGAAGGATCTCTTAGGCCCAGGAGGTCAAGGCTGCAGTGAGCCGTGATCACGCCACTGCACTCCAGCCTAGGTGACAGAGTGAGACCCTGTCTCAAAAAATAAAAAATAAAAAATAAATTATACAACTACACTTGAAGACCCTTTGTACCCTCATTTATCCCATTTTCATCTTTCCTACCCCAAGGTAACTCCTACCCTGAATGTAGTGGTGATCATTCTAACTCACTTTTTTAAAAATACAGTCAGTCCTCTACATCTATGTGTTCCACGTTTACGAATTCAACCCACTGAAGATCAAAAATATTCCAAAAAAAAGAAAGTGGATGGTTGTGTCTCTACTGAACATGTACAGACTTTTTTCTTGTTATTATTCCTTAAATAATACAGTATAACAACTATTTACATAGGATTTACATTGTATTAGCTATTATAAGTAATCTGGAAATGACTTAAAGTATACAAGAAGCTGTGTGTAGACTATATGCAAATACACCACTTTATATCAGGGGCTTGAGCATCTGTGGATTTTGATATCCTTGGGAGGTCCTGGCACCAATTCCCCATGGATACGAAGGGACAAGTGTGTGTAGGTATGTATCTGTAAACAATATATAGTGCTGATTTGCATGTTTTTAAACGTCACATTACTTGTCAGATTACATTTTAGAGCCATTTTTCTATGGGATAAGTTTTAATGAATTGTGGAAGAAATGTGTATGGCTTTAAGAAACAGATTGCTGATAAATTGATATCTACTAAAAACCTATGTTTTAGGGCATAGCAAGGAATGCAGTGTTTCTCTTTCTTTTGTATTCTATAGAAAAGGAGATAATGTGCCACCTGAACAAGTTAATATTTGCCAGTGATGTTTCTCGAATTTTACGTATGCATATTTTCTGGGGACTTAAAGTGATGATTTGATAAGCTGTAATTTATATTGATGTGCTTCTATTCTTATCATAAGTCTTTTCATCTTTTTGTGTCTAGTGTTTAACCAGGGGGAAGAAGGTACCTCCTGGTACATTATTCTAAAAGGATCAGTGAATGTAGTCATTTACGGCAAGGTATATATATCTTTTTCTTTTTGAAACTTTATTACGCTCCACTTACTAGTGTGGCTCTAAGTATTAGCAATGTAGTGCCACAATTAAATTTGCAACAACATTGCTCCTAGATGTAGAAAAGACATTATTGTATCTTTAATCATAAGTTACCTCAGTTATTATACTTAAAGTTGTATTGTACTTTCTGGGGTTTGTCTCCTGATGGATTATAGTGTGTACATTTAAGTTAAGCCACAGACCGTATTACTCAGTGAAAGCAAAGTGAACATCATAATGTAATTATGTAATCCCCTTTGGCATCGCTAGGTACAGCCCATTTATCTACAATGTTTTAGGGGCTTGGGGGTCTTGTGGCAGGAGGTGGTGGGTGTTTGCTCTATTTCAGGGATCTTCTTCATCTGTGTGCTCTACTCTATCCAGGGTGTGGTCTGCACCCTGCATGAAGGAGATGACTTCGGCAAGTTAGCACTAGTGAATGATGCCCCACGAGCTGCCTCTATCGTCTTACGAGAAGATAACTGCCATTTCTTAAGAGTAGACAAGGAGGATTTCAACCGGATCCTAAGGGTGAGTCCAAAGCAAAGTGTGGCTGAGAGACAGCCCATTTTTTTCTTTAACTAAATAAGCAAAGCTTTGAGCATAGTCTTAATTGAGTAGTCCTGTGATGAATGAGTGCTCTAGGCACAAAGGGCCTTTGTTACAAACCGGTTATATTTAATGTGTTGGTATGCATTCTGGGATCCAGAGGTTGTATTCCAGTAAAGCTGCAAATGCAGGATGCTATGCTGGACCCAGTCCCTCTATGCATCCCTGCACTGGTCCATGAGAATTGACGATAAATAGGAATTGCCTTGGCAAAATGTCAGTCTGAGAAGTTTCTCTCTGACATCCTGGGCATCCTTCTTTTTGTCCTTCCCATCCCACTCTCCAACACAGTGGCAGCCCCCTCTGCCCCTTGTCTTTCTCTTTCCTAGACCTTCCTAGTTTCCACCTCCTTCTCCTCCCAAATCTGAGCCTGTCTCATATCATCATACATTCCCTTGATTTATTGAGTGATTACATTTTACTGAGAATTAACATCTATCATGGTTACTCCAACCAAGTATTTTCATTTTCAAGGGCTTTATCTCAAATTGTTACAAACTAAAGGAATTTCTGACATTGGCAGGCAGGTGAATAACTGGGGTGGTAGAGGGAACTATGCAATTGCACTTAAAAGTTGGCTCTGCAGATGAGCCTACTCTAAGCATATTAAGGAATTTGTGAGTGTGGGTGATGTTTAGAAAAAAATGGTCTCTGGTCTCTCCCCAGCATGCGGTCCCTTGTCCCTGGGAGGGATGACTCTGCTTTGGCTGCTTGAGGCCTGATCATGGACTTTTAGGGATGGTGACGATGTCCCACCACCCGTGGCTTCTCAGGTGGCCTGTGGTCCTTCCCGCCCTAGCTTGAGTTCACTCAGGAGGCTGTTCTTTCTAGGGTCACACTGCCCCTCTTTCTTTCACTGCTGACCCACAGAGCAGGGTCCCTTCTGTCCCTCTTGCAGCCTTAGCATCCCTATCCCCTCCTGAAGTCCTAAATGTAGCTTTTGTGCTTTGGGGTATATTCCCGTTACTTAATGATGATTTACAATGTCATGCTCCTGCCCTTGTGTCTGGACATCAATCCCTACATGGCCTTAAGCATTTGCCTTTGGTGGCAAAATTTCTGACAACTAAGTTTGTCTTAGGAATGCATGGTCTTAATGCAAAAAAAAAAAAGAAAAGAAAAAAAAAGGCTAAAATGTATACCCTTGAATGATATATTAAAAAAATACCAGATGGAATTTGAGTTGGTTCTTATCTGACCTCTTTTTAAATGAGGGCCAAATGTTGAGGAAAAGCATGTTAAAATTTTTAAACTAACTATTTACAATGATATTGAAATTTAAAGGTAAACTGTACTAACTCCTTCAAGTTTACACACAAGGAGTTTACATTCAGCCAAAACATTCTTTGAACGAATCAGATTAGGACCATTATCATTGATGTAATTTATAAAATCACTTAAAATAACCAAAAATAGTTTTTAACACATTTCAAACAGATTTTTCTTAAAAACAAAACAAAACAAAACAAAGCAGTCTTTTGATTAAAGAGAAAAGGTGCCCCACTCCTAAGGAAACTAAATACACTTAGGAGAAAAAGAACTTTGCTGAAGCTGCTTGCTATTTACCACATATTTTTATAACTAATAAATGCCTTTGCTCCCCACCTTCCTGCTCTACTTCCTTCTCCCAAAGGTTTCTCAGAGCATAACCACACTATGCTTTATTCTGCTGTTTTTCTGAAGCTAGGGTAAAAGCAGTCTTAAAAACACATGCTTCAAACCTCATCTGGTCCTCTCTCTGACCGTTCCAGCCCTTGACTTTGAAAATGACTTAATTTGTAGACGCAACAATTAGCATGACAAGCACCAAATGAGTTTCTGAAGCATTTGAAAATTTTTTCATTGTCTGAGTAAGCGGCAGCATCTGTATGTGGTGTAATTTGTATTTGCAGGACGTGGAGGCGAATACAGTCAGACTTAAAGAACATGACCAAGATGTCTTGGTGCTGGAGAAGGTCCCAGCAGGGAACAGAGCTTCTAATCAAGGAAACTCACAGCCTCAGCAAAAGTATGTTTGCATCCAACACTGTAATTGCCAGACTATGATTAACCTTTTCACATGGTATCATCATTTCTACAATAGCATGTTCTCCTTTTTTGTGGAAGATGGCAGTGTATGTGACTTTTTTCCTCTCTATTGACTAATCACACATCTTGTGGAGTATAATGTATCCATTTCTGGCACAGCATTGAGCCGGGTGCTGCCTAGAGTAATTCGGGAGAGAATATTCCTTTACTCTAAAAACCACTCTTTGTATACAGTGTTCAACTGTAATAGCTGTGGAACAGAAGGCGTGTGAGAGAACAATGGGAATAGCAATGCCAGGCAGCTCAAAGGATATGAAGGCCCCTGGGTGATGAGAACTTTTGGTATTTGAATTTCGTATGCAGGATTTCGCGTGAAGTGTTTTCCTCTTGTTATCAGAATGAGCGTCTTTGATGGAAACCCAGACTTCCAATATAAAACAGTCTATTGATTTCAGCCCAGAAGCATCCATTTGGCCTCATTCATACTTTCCTGCTAATGTCAAAAGGCCATTAGCTTCACATTTCTCAGATGTCCTGTTTAACTTGAGTCTTTTTCAGCATACCGATGTTCAGTTCCAGCTTTTGCTGCAACTTACTACATAAGACTGCATCAAATGTACCAACATTTGAGTGGTAAGACAGAATAGAAAATGTGGCTCTAAGAAATTACAGAAAATTGCAGAATCTAGTTTTTAAAATGGAGATTAATTTTCAATCTTAGTGTAATAAAAACACCAATTCTGTAGCTAAAGAAATGTTGCCCAATAATATGTTGAAGGAGAATGCATCTCAAGTAATTTTCCTTTGTTTGCCAAATAAGCAAGATGTTTCCTTTATCAAGGCATTCACCATAAATGATTAATTTTTATTGTTTAGACTAAAAGTCTAAGGCCCAGACATTTTCATTTGGGTGAATCAACATATTTGCAAAGAGGGCAGGAAAAAAGATAATATTATTAAATAGCCATAGTATATTTTGCAGATTTTATAGGATTCTTATCATATTACAACACCTTTTAAAAGATGGAGAAATTTATGCTCAGAGCCACAAGTTACTTGCCCAAGGTCTCAAAGCTTGTAATGGCAGAGCTTGGATTCAAGTCCAGCTTGACCAGTTTTCACATGCCTATCCCCCTTCCACCTGACAGCTTACTATAACAAAATATAGTAGATAAGACTACATACTCAACACTGTTTAGTAAATATTGCAAACCACTCCATATCGAAAGAACTGACATCAAAAGGACTATGTAAAAAAACTACCTGTCACTTACAAAACTATAAAATTACCATAGAAATTTCCTTATTATTTATTGTTTTCTACTGTCTGTTCTTGAAATTGTTCTTGCCCAAATGTTTTTAACAGTTTTCCTTCCAGTCCACTAAGGAGGATAAGAATGAAAACATTTTTTTAATGTGAAGGTTGGGACTGCTTCTAGTGATTTTCTTTGGTTCCCTTAAATACCTGGTGTTTTATCTGTATTTTAAACTAATGCTTCAGATGTCTGGGGAAAATTATGCTTACTGAAAAGGCAAGCCTTGAGAATTCTCCTTAACCTAGAAACATCTGATCAAGAGGTTCCCTGGAGGTCCCCTTGCTTGACTTCTTCATGTCATTGGGGAATGATCAAAAGCATTTGCCTGTTACAATGGCTTTCATTCAGGGTGTTCTCCAAATATAGGTTTCTTATGAAATCAAACTAAAAGGAATGGAAAAGAAGAGACCGTATGTTTTATTATTTTAGGCCTGATCTGATTTTCTATTATATCTCCTTATTTGTGTCCTGTATTCCAATCCAAATTTCTTCCGCAATTCAAAAACTTATGCATGTTCACAATGAGCCATTTAAGAAATATCAGTGAGTACAAATTAATGTACCACACATAATCATTTCCCTGAAGAATGAAAAGCTGCTCTCTCAAGGGGTCATTTTCCATGTTGAGCTTTCCCAAATGAGACCAGAGTTGAAGGGGAGGGGGGCATGTAGATAAATATGGGGCTGATATTCCGGACTTCAAAAATGTGGCATCAACCATGTGTATGGATGGACTTAAAATTTAGGAAGCTGTAGGGCCTCTCCTCAGAAATTATCCTTTTTGAGCTCAAAAAGGGTCACCATGTTGGTGCTGCTAATAATGTTATTTTTCTGGTTCATTTTTTTCCCTGAAAAATCCAGAATAGTTTATGTGCACATTTTTAACTTTCAAAACCTCCTGACTCTACCTAAGCATCTCAACTCTGAGTGTGATATTAAAAATGTCAATAATAAGACAATATTTGCCATGAAGGATAAATTCCATGGAGCCCTTAGTCGTTTACTGTTTCGCATGTCTTTCTGCTGTGTGGTTATGCGGGTTTAGTAAGAAAGAATTTGAAATGCATATTCCTGTTTTCGTTACTGTGTTGCTTTTATCTTAGACTGTTTTCTCATTGCTCAACTCCATCCTGTGTGCAGGAAGACAGTCTCTTTCAGGTCCCCTTCTCCACACCCTTCTCTATTCTAGGAACAGATTGTAGTGTCCTCATTTGCAGAAAAATATTTTATGTCAGAGGTTTAAAACTTCATAGCTTATATAATGTAACCAATTGGAGTTTGCTTTTAACTTGGACTAGAGTCGCTCTTTCATGAAATAAACTGAAAAGGGTCATGCTGTGTGGTCTTCAAGTGGTCCTGACCTCATTTTAAACAGAGGCCAAGCAGTAGGTGCCTGGCAGTGGACAGTGGGAAACAAAGCCGTCACGTGATGTTTCAGCCAAACCCAGAACCCCAAGAACCCAGAGGGCTGTGTCTGGCCAGAAGTTCCTGGCCCCTCCATCTTGGAGTCCCCCACCCTAAGGGAATGTTAGCACCTAATAGCCTTCTGTGGAGCTGTGAAGAGAAGCTGGGGTAAGGTGGCCACAGCAACTGTACCACGAGAGGAAGTCTTTGGTAGCAAAAGAAAGATCCTGGGGGTCTCCGACTGGCCAGGTGGGCAGAGCTTAGAGAGGCCACTTTCTAGAGAGGTGATCAGGCATCTGGCTTGCCTCTCAGATCTCTATTACTTTTGACCAGCCATAATGCCCTAGCTAAAGGATGTCCAAACAAAGAATACCAGAATGTGAAGCCAACCTTCTAGTAGAATTAAACTTTTGACAAGGGGACACATTTTACAAACTGATGTATGAGTCACACGGCTAGCTATAGAGCTTGCAACTTCCCAGCAGCCTGGTGCCACGCGAAGTAACAGACTGGTTTTCCCCCCATTCAGTTTTCATGTTATGGAATGTACATATACTCCTATTGAAATAAAACTCGTTTTCAGAAACAAACTGAACAAGCCCTCTTTAGAGGAAGGTTGTTAATTACATGGAGAATTTCCTGTTCTGAAAAAGCTCCAGGTAGCTAGACCTGGTCTCCATGTGGAGCGTCTTGCTGTACAAGCAGAAAAGTGCCATGAAACTCATGCTTGTTCTCTGAAGCCAGACACACCTGGCTCATGTCAGAGGTCTCCCATTTACTAACTCTGTGACCTGAGGCATGATGCCTCCCCGTCCTGAGCGGTCTCTCCATCTGCAGAATGAAGATAATATTTAACTAGCAGGAGTAAACAGGACGACCTTATTCAGTGCCCACCTAGCTGTCTAGGGCATAGTAAACATTCGACAGATGTTGCTCTCTCTAACCCCGTTTCCTGATTAATGTGGCCAACGCTACTCTTCTTCCAGCTCATCTGGTGAGTGCTATCAAAGAATCATATATTTCAGGAATTACTGAATTAATTGAGCAATATTCTCTATTTCAATATCGAAAGTCATTTATAAATATGCCCTCTTCTTTCCTCAAATATGCATTGCCCACAAGAGGAAAAACCATTGTCTTCTACCTTATCTCTTTTGAGAAAGGGGTCAGACTTTTGAGATGAAAGTAGACTATTTTTTTTTTCTATTCCCCTTCTCTCCTCCTCTAGGCTCCAAAGCCAGGTTTCCTCAAAGACTTAACTGTTTAGCTTCCTTTTGGTCTTGTGCGCGCACTATAGTTTTAGCTAACAGCTGCCTTCCAGATAGACTGCATTGGCCACCTCATTCAATACCAGAGGTGCTCCCCTCACCATTTTCACATGCACATATGTTAAAATGTCTGCACATCACTCCCTCAGGCCATGGGTTAAGATCCTGAGATTTAACAATATGTTAAGAGTTACTCTTGGGATCTCAACACACCTCAAAAGTCTCAAACAGGCAAGGAAACCAGAGCTGAATTCTCACTGCTTTCTGAACATTAGACAATTTTATTTTCATTGTTGTTTTTACTTGCCTGTTTGTGTGTGTGTGTGTGTGTGTGTGTGTGTGTGTGTGTGTGTGTGTTTGTATTTTGAGATGGAGTCTTGCTGTCACCCAGGCAGGAGTGCAGTGGTGTGATCTCCGCTCACTGCAGCCTCCGCCTCCCGGGTTCAAGCAATTCTCCTGCCTCAGCCTCCTAACTAGCTGGGACTACAGGCATGTGCCACCACGCCCAGCTAATTTTTTGTATTTTAGTAGAGACGGGGCTTCACCGTGTTGCCCAGGCTGGTTGCGAACTTCTGAGCTCAGGCAATCCGCCCGCCTCGGCCTCCCAAAGTGCTAGGATTACAGACGTGAGCCACTGCGCCTGGCCCCTACTTGCCTGTTATTTTTAAGTGAAATTCCAAGCAGAAAAGCAAAGCCTGAGTTTTGGAAGAGAAGCACTCAGATCATCTGAATGTATTTTGTCTACAGCTCCCACATAGTAGTGTTTTGTCACTGTCTTGAGTATGATTTTGAAACAGTTCACATGCAACTTAAAAAATAAATCCTCCTGTGTTAATTGAAGAACACCATGGAAAGATCTTCTGAAATAATGTCTAATATAACCCCCAGTAATTTATATCTGGCATTGAAATAAATTATAAGGATTTTCTACTGCTGATTTATTTCCCATTCATGATCTACTGGGGTTTGTTTGTTTGCTCATCAGTGTTATGGGGTTTTGTTTGCTTTCTCTCGTTTTATTATTAGCTGAATTTCCAAAGCACATACCAGTGTACAGTTGGGAAAGACAGAGCATTCCAGAAATAGGCGGGGGAATCCAGTGTGGGAAGAAGTTTTGCTATGAGTAACCCATATATGGATAACCTAGCTTACTCTCACTTCCCCTCACCAGCTCCCCCTGCCTGACCTGAACTGCCCTGGGTTTTACATGTTCCTTTTTATTCTCCTTTGGAAAAAAGACTGAAGTTTCTCAGTTCCCAGCCTGCTAAAGCTGCTCTTCAAGAAGTTTACCTTATTTCCATATAGGGAAAAAAGAACAGTGTTTGTAGTAACGACTTCACTTTGTGGGTTTTCTGTTTGTTTGTTTTGTCTTCTTGTGTGACTTTGACAAAGTGTGTGGTCTCTCTTACCATGAAAGGTATATGGTTCCCTGGGATCTCAAATTAAAAAAAAAAAAAACTTAGATAAGTAAAAGTTTTTTTAATGATTTGCCCACTTTTGAAAAATTAATGGCATTTTTGTTTCTTATCCAGGTATACTGTGATGTCAGGAACACCTGAAAAAATTTTAGAGCATTTTCTAGAAACAATACGCCTTGAGGCAACTTTAAATGAAGCAACAGGTATACACATAGAACCGTTTGCATGTCCATTAAATCCATGCATAGCATTGTTTAAAAGTCCTGAATTCATTTGCAGTGTGTATAGCGAAAGCAGTTTGGGAAGGGGATTCTGTGTATTGATATTTGAAAAGCATCTCTGTGTGACCTGACTGGGAACAGTCCTTCTGACTGTCGTCTTCCCTCCCCAATCCTGACTGTTCTCTAGAAATGACTCAGCCTCATTTCTACATACTATGCCTCATCTTCCCTAGGCATCTCTCTCTTAAGTTATTCAAATCCCACCTTCTATAGGCATCTATTGGGTTTATCATACATCCTACCTATTCCCACGAAGGATTTGAAGCTGCCTACATAAAAGGTACAGCCTTGCTCCAGTTGGGAGTAAGATACTTCTCTCTGCAGTTGTTGTAGAGTCCAGCTGCTCTAGAATATAACTAAATGCCACCATTCGTTTGCTAGGGCTGCCCTAATGAACTACCACCAACTGGGTAGCTCAAGCAACAAAATTATATTGTCTTACAGTTCTAGAGGCTAGAAATCCTAGCTGAAGGTGATATTTGGGTTGGTTCCTTTTGAAGGCTGTGAAGGAGAATCTGTTCCATGCCTCTCTCCTAGCCTCCTGTGGTTTGCAGGCTATCTTTGGCATCCTTTGGCTTGTAGATGCATCATCCGGATCTCTGCCCTCATGTTCACACAGCATTCTCCCTGTGACTCTTCACATAGCCTTCCCTCTGTGCCTGTCTGTCTCTGGGTCCAAGGTTACCCCTTTTTATAAGGATGGCAGTCATATTGGATTAAGGCCCTCATTAAGGACCTCACCTTAACTTGACCACATCTGCAAAGACCCTATTTCCAAAGACGATTATATTCTGAGATACTGGAGGTTAGTTCTTCAACATATCTTTTTGGGGGGATACAATTCAACACATAACATCTGCTTACAGTGAGTCAGTCTTGTTACCTAAGACACAGAAATTCTAGGGTGAATAAAACAAATCTCACCAGTGAACTAAGTGTTCAGAGTTATAAAATTGTGTTCCACTTTGGTTACCATCTTGTATATGACTTTGCAACAGCCCACACGCAACGTGTTTTTTTTTTAATCCTATGCTACTGCCTGTCTCTCAGAATAATGTTGTGGGTTAATATTTTAAGCACATTGAGCTCCATAGAAGAGCCTTTCTCACTAAAAGAAGTTCAGAGATTTATCTCAAAAACTTAGTTCAAAATCCATTTCCATAATTGACCTTTGCTATATATTCAAGTTGAAGATATCATTATTATTATTATATACCTCCTAAAGGTATTTTACCACTGAATTCTTATTTTATCTTCTCATTCCAGTTTCTCATTTTATACATAGATTACCTGAGGTTTTTTATGTAGCAAATTAATTAGGGTATAGTAGATATAATCGTCAGGATCACTGGCTCCAGGCCAATTATTCTCAGGTCAATATTTGTTGAGTATCTTGTTGGGCAGACACTAAGCTAGATGCTTTGGACTAGGCAATGTGAACAAGGAATCATTCTCCTGCCTTCAGGAAGCTTATAATCTGTTAGAAGACATAAAGGAATGTGCACATAACTTGAATATAAGGCAGAATGTGGTTAGTGCTTCAGGGACACTGACTAGGTGAGGGATCTAGAAAAGTATCATGGAAAATATAGAGTGGCCCTGAAGGAGGCTGGTAACCAGTAATTAGAGATAGGGACAAAGCCATCCATACTAAGGGATAATATTAGCACTGACCTAGAAATAGACAGGGAAGAGTGAGTGGTCGGATTTTTACTGGACTATTGTATACGTAAGTTGGAAAACGAAGGAAAGGTTTAAGAATTGGGGTATAGATCTTAGAGAGTCTTAAATGTAAAGCCGGCTGGGTGCAGTGGCTCATGCCTGTAATCCCAGCACTTTGGGGGCCAAGGCGGGAGGATCACTGGAGCCCAGGAGTTTGAGGCTACAGTGAGCTATGATCATGCCACTGCACTCCAGCTTGCACAACAACAACAAAAAGGTAGAGCCAAGCACTGGGAAGTGGTTGAAGATGTCTGAGCAAGAAGAACATGATAAGAACTATGCTGGAGAAAAGTTACTCCATATTTAGTATAGAGAAACTGTTGAAGAACCGGTTATGTGAGGATAGCTACCAAGAGCCATATGTAACCTCAAATAAACCAAATTTCCAGGACCATGGGTCAGGAAAAAATGCAGCTGATTTTTTCCCTCTGATTAACTGTTTGCCCAGAATGTGTGATTGCATAATGCAAGAATCAGCATCTTACCTAAGGTATATATTGACTCAAAAAAATATATATTCTGGTACATTAGAGACTGTGGCATCTAAGGAATGAGCTATAAGATCTTTACCACCCATGAAGGGCAAGTATAGCCTTCCTTTCAAGTCACCTCTAAAAGAGATGGAGATTGGATTATTGCTGCTGCTTCTGCTTCTTTTGTTTAGTTTTGTTTTTTTAATTACTGTTCCTTGCAGAGCAGGGCTAACCCATGGGCAGTGTGCCAAGAGTAGCCTGATTATTTCTTCTTCATCAAAAAAATTAAAGCCTAGAAATCAGTGTATTCTAAGGCTGGCGTGTGGGATGTGATTCTTGACCCTTCCATTTTTGATGGTAGAGACTAGGCTAACATCATAATTTAATATTGAACTTCATTTCCTGCAGTTTTTCCTGATATTTTTTTCCTACAAGTAATGTTTATGCCTTGGAGATAAAGAACAAACCAGTATCTTTCTCATAAATCAGAAATACAAATGTGCCTCCCTCCTGTCCTGGACACTAAATAATCCTAGGGTAGGTCCACGAAATTTGTGGATATACCAGAGTAGGAGACCTTTGGCAGTTATAGATTTACAGTACAGTAAGAAAGGTCAGAGTTACCGTGAAAGTTGTTTACATCATAAAAATGCACACTGCTGAATTTGACATTACACTCTCTTAATTTACCAAAAATCTGTTTTCTACCTGAGACCTATTAGTTCTTATATTTTTACTTTTAAAACCAGCATTAGTCATGGAGTGACTTGGTAAATCATCTTCTAGTAGGAAGTGATGTTTTAAATTAGTTCTTAAGCAAATTTTAACCTATAAATTAGATTTCCAGTGTTCATGTTTTTGATGAACTTACATTGGCAAAGTCTGAATCAGTGACTAAATGTTTAACCATGATTCTCATTTAAATATAAGTGATGAGTGTAATCCCAAGCTGTCATCACTCAGTGTCACCAGTCACCTTCAGTCTCATTATACTGAGAAGCAGAGAAGGTGCCAGACAGAAGAGTTGCTACATGTGAGGAGAGAGCCGGAAAGCCACACTGAAATGTGAGCTGAGTGGTTGGCCATGTTAACTGACTCCCTCCCCAGCCTTGGAGCACCCAAGTCAAGTCTCTGCTTTAGCAAACTTTAAACTACTGGATATTACAGCCTCCTGGGTGCATATAAGCAAGTATTACCTACTCTGTTCTCAAGAATATATAAAACATATCAAGATGGTGCTAGATGTTAAGCTCAGGCAAGCCAAAATCCTTTGGTACATTAAAAAAAATATTTTCTTGCAGCCTCTGTCTGACACCTTCTCTGCTTCTTCTCTGGCTCAGTATAACGGGACTGAAGACCTGGTGACATTGAGTTGTGACAGCTTGGTATTACACTCATCAGTTATATTTAAATGACTATGTATAATGGTTAAACCTTTAGTAACTGACTCAGACTTCACCAATAAAATTTCATTAAAAACATGGACAACATTTGGCAATCTAATTTATAGCATTAAAATGTACGTATTTCTCACCATTTTCCATTTAAGATGAGCGTCACAATCTCAGACAGTGTATTTCATGTTTTCCCGGGAAATGTCATGGCATCTTGGGTTCCAAGTTCTGATGGGCATAGTCCTGAGGTTTTTAGGTTTGCCTTCATGAGCTTTCCCATCTGGCTAGCCAGGGCATGTTGTCTGCAATGAAGAACCAGCATCAAATTCAATGATGAAGTAAATGAAGCTTATTTGGGGGACCTGCCTTACTTCCCTTGCCAACCCCCTGCTTCCTTACCTACAAAATAGTTTCACATATAGGACAGTCACCATTTGAATCCACCAGCTTCTGTTTTGTTAGCCTTTGTTTTGCTCTAGTTGCTGCTCACAGCCTTAATCTTGTTTTCTTTCTTTCTTTTCTTTCTTTCTTTTTTTTTTTTTTTTGCTGCTTCTTTCTCCCCTCACCAATTCTCTGCTCTTACCACGTCCTGATTCTGTAATTCTATTGTCCTCCTACCTTTCATTGCTTCTTTTGGAAATAGGAGGTGAAAAAGACATAAAAGAGAAAGGATTTTGAAAAAACAAATACGGTATAGACAAAGAAACGACCATGTCTTCGTTCTGCATGTATGGTACTGCCCACATGTGACCCTTTAAGTACACAGATTTTAAAATCTTTGGTGGCTAAGGTACCCAGTGCCGTTTGTACAAGGCTGTCTCTCTTTAAAATATTATACTTTTTGTCCATTGTCATAAGAAACTGATTTTCATCTCAATCTCTGTCAACACCATTATTTATATGAAGTGCTTCCATGTAAAGTAAACTCATGCCCCAAACCAATGTGTTAGAACCAATGACTAAGAACAAGTGAATGGATACTCTTGCTTTCCTAAAGATTTCCACAAGAACCTAATTTCCTTTTCTGTTTTTTTCCCCTTCCAGATTCTGTTTTAAATGACTTTATTATGATGCACTGTGTTTTTATGCCAAATACCCAGCTTTGCCCGGCACTGGTGGCCCAATATCCTTTTATTGTGATTGTAAGTCCCTATTCCCTCGAAGACAACCCCCCCTATCGAGGGCCATTCTTATCTCATCTTCTGCAGGTAAGTCATGGCCCAGGCAGAGTTGTGCATTCCACCCTCATCACACTGAAATGTGTTTTCCCACATTTCCCACAGTTTTCCCCTGTACAGACTCTAGCTCTGCCTGGCAGAGGTCTGCTGTGCCATGTTTAAGGATTTCCTCCTTGTTACCTGTATTGGGCCATTCTTTCATTGCTATAAAGAAATACCCGAGGCTGGGTAATTTATAAGAAAAGAGGTTTAATTGACTGGCAGTTCTGCTAGGAAGTATCGTGCCAGCCTCTGTTTCTGGGGAGGACTTGGGGAAGTTACAATTGTGGCTGAAGGTGAAGGGGGAGCAGGAGCGAGGTGGGGGAGGTGGCAAACACTTTTAAACGACCAGATCTCATGAGAATTCACTATCTCAAGGACAGCACCAAGACACGAGGGGTCCACCCCCATGAACCAAACACCTCCCACCAGGCCCACCTCCAGCATTGAGGATTACATTTCAACATGAGATATGGGCAGGGACAAACATCCAAACTGTACCATTATCTGTGCAGAGAAGTGTGAACCAGCTTACCACAGGAAGGTGATGCTGGCAAAAAAAAAAAAAAAAAAAAAATCCATTGCCTGGGAGGCAGGCTAGAAAGGGTTATGGAGAAGAACCTGGGAGTATTAGCAGGAATGGTTCCCTAACCTCAGAGACAGACTGTTCCCTGGCAGGGTGGACTGTGGTCGGCTTGTGTTCCTCCTCCGAGCTATGGTATTAAATTGCTAAGCTGCTGAGATAAATACAAGTTATCACTGTAGGATAACTTTCTTTTCCCATTCATCCTCGTCTATCCTCTCCTCTAGATACCAAAATTTCTTTCTTTGTTACTACTTTTTATTATCATCTTACTGACTTAAAGACCCAAAATTTGAAACTCCAGTGACAATTCCTCTCTATAGCTTGAAGGCCAAGTTTATTTGGGACAGCTTTTCAACAGTGTTTGGAATGGCCCAGTTGATGCTGGTATGTAGCACAGAGCAAACATTCTCAGAAAATGGGAGTGGAATAAAAGAAGTGGGTATTATTAATAAGCTTCACACTCAATTTTGGGAGCATGTGAAAGTATATTCTAAGATTTTGTTTTATTTTTAGAACAACAAAAATTTAGACCCCAAATCACTTTGGCCCTTTTGAGCAGTTAAATATATTGAAGGAGAATGACTCTTTTATTCTTTCTTTTTTTTTTTTTTTAGGAATTCAGTGAATGTTGGCATGTTTTCCTCATTCAAGATTATAATTACCCTACCTGATTCTCATTTTCTTGTTCACTCATAATTCTCTTTGAAGTAAACAATGTATGAGGACAGGAGATTTGAGTTGAAGGTGCAACTCAGAGGCAGCTTCAAGAGGGAGATTTGTGTGTTTATTTGCCTGGAAACTGTTTTACCGAGTAATGATGGCTTAATGAGACTTACATACATTATATATTTTTTCTGGCACATACTCAATTTTTCTCGAGTAAAATGAACAAATTCAGGATGTCTGTGCTCTTTTAACTCCATACGCACTAATCATTATAGACCTTTGAGATTTGCTGGAAGGAAAAATAAAATCCACCATTGAGTTTAGACTTGGTTTTTTTTAGCAGATAAGCCTAAGGCAAACAAAACTCAAGGGCGAGTCAGCGAGTTCAGCGGGCCAAGGCCCGGCATCTTTACAAGTCCAAGCCCCAAACACTGCGCTTGTCTTTTTTTTTTTCAGATTCTAACTTCTTCGTGTATTAGCTTGTTCCCCTTCAAGGGTTGACTGAGAACATTCAAATCACTAACTTCTCTTTTTAAAATAGCGCTCTGGAGAGAAGGTCCGTTCCATGCCCAGGTAGGGAGGAGGGGGAAAAATGATACTGGCGGGCAGGGAGAGGGGAAGGCAAGAAAGCAAACAGGCGTGGAAGAGCTGTGACGTCAAATCTGACTTCTTTTGTCTGTAGACGGGGGAATCCAGGGTGACTGGGTATAATCTGTATTATCTAGGTCCCTCAGACCACCTGGCTCATATCTGGCCCTGTGGGAACTTAGATTCTCTTCACTGTTCTATTTTGAATCAGCTCTGTCTGTGTCAGGTGCATGCTAAGAGCATTGACCAATATTATACCACTCTATCCTGGCAGGATTCTATTGGGTTAGTATTAGCTTTGTGTTACAAATCAGGGTCCTGAAGTTACCCCCAGCCCCCACAAAAAAACAAAAAAGGAGTGGCTTGCCCAGGGCAAATAGCTGAGTTCTCCAGATGATTCCAAACCTGGAGTTTGCCTTTTTTTTTTCTCTCTCTCTCTTCACAACTTATTTATTTGAAAGCTTGTTTAAATTTTAATGATTCTGTAACCTTTAATTAGAGTTTAAGAACATTTCAAGACACTATATTGCATCATAAACTGCTTAACAGAACACCTGCAAGCAACAGGGATGTATAATGCAAACTTGAACAAGTGGTTTAACCCCTATGTTTTTAACGTGGGATATTAGGGATAGTAAAATACTTAACTATGTTTCATTAGTCAGTTGCTTTAGTGGAGTATTTTTAAAGTGCTTAACATCTGGAACTTTTCATAGCAGCCCTATGAAGAAGTCAGTATTTTTACTGCTATTTTTCTAAATCAATAAACTAGAATAATGAAAACTTATGAATTGCTCAGAGAAAGGTAATTACTAGCAGAGAAAAGATTTGAGCCCTGAGCTACTGACACGTATTTCTGTTCTTAATCCACATTGTGTGTCTCTTCCAGTTTTGCTTTTACCATGGAGAAAGATAGTAGAACTCTGCTGAACATTAATATATCAGGCCTTTTATGTGCTAATGAGAGAGACTCTCTATTCATTAGACACAGTTTGGACATGATTTGACCCGATGAATACAAGTACTTTATAATGAGTTTGAAAATCATATTTGTTCAATTTCTATACTTTTCATCTCCAGGTTCTTTAATCCTTTTTTAAATCTGCATTTAAAATTGAGTTCAATTTTCCTTTAGTCTTCAAAAGAAAATTAAAACCACCTGTATATAACCCTATAACCTCTCAGGTGTACTATTGCTAACCATTTTGTGTATATCCTTCCAGTCTTTTTTTCTATACATATAGATATATGTTTTTAAATGTAAGAATGAGATCATACTGTAAATAATTTTGTATACCTTTTAATTAAGCAATATTTTGTGACTATCTTTTTATGTCATTATTTTTCTATGCCATTTTTCTAAATATAGATAGTTGTCATCCTTAAAAATAAAACATTCTCATTACAAAAAATTTTAATTACCACAAAAGGAGAAGAGAGCAAAGTTCACCTGGCATCTCACCACCATTAATAAATTTGTTTTTAAAATTTTAGAATTTATATATACATTTTTATGTTCATAAGATTTTATATAAATTAAATAATGTTACATGTGCTTTTTGGTAATATGCTGTTTTTCACTTGGTGGTATATTGTGAATATCTTTCCAAACTAATATATATATAGATAAAACTGCATCATCTTTTTTTTCTTCTAGATGTTTCCATAAACATTTACTGACTACTGGAAATGTGTCACATAGAGTACTGGGCAACAAGGGGGCAAAGATATGTGAGAAAGACACATTATCATTTTTAATGACTATTATATTAATAGATATGTCATAATTATTTTCTCAGCCTCTACCTATTGGATATTTAGATTATTTCCACGGTTTTTTTCTTTTTTTTTTGCTATAACAAACACAATGGAGTGAATCAGCATCCTTCCAGCTAAATCTTTGCTCATGTATATGAAAATGTACACACTTTAAATTCCTAAAAATAGGCAAAGAATATGTAGTATGTTAATGCTTCTGATGTGTATTCCCAAATTACTCTCCTATTGTCTCAATTTAGTGCTTTGTGATTAAACTCTGCCATATTCTTGTTTGTACAACTCCAGGCTGGCCTTCAGTTTAGTAAGTGATCACAACGAAGTCAATACTATTTTGAATTTTAATAACTCTCTTTGATTCAGAGTATTTTCACATTATTTACTTTATCTTTCCAACACCAGTTCTCCAAATGTAAAGCAAAAAAGTCTGGTATATTATTTTTGTTGTTGTTGTTGTTGTTTTGTGTTTTTTTTTTTTTTTTTTTTTGAGACAGAGTCTTGCTCTGTCACCAGGCTGGAGTGTAGTATCGCAATCTTGGCTCACTGCAACCTCCGCCTCCTGGGTTCAAGCAATTCTCCTGCCTCAGCCTCCCGAGTAGCTGGAACTACAGGCACGCACCACCACACCCAGCTAATTTTTTTATTTTTAGTAGAGATGGAGTTTCACCATGTTGGCCAGGATGGCCTCGACCTCTTGACCTCGTGATCTGCCTGCCTTGGCCTCCCAAAGTGCTGGGATTACAGGCATGAGCCACCATGCCTGGTATTTATTTCATTTCACATATAGGAGAAATCAAGGTACAGGGAGGTCTAATAACTGCCCGAGATCCTGCATATACTGGTAGACATTTGGAGGAAGTCCGTGTAGCACTGATGTAATGGACATTGTGGTTGATTTGCCAACATTCATGCCTTATTACTCGGTATTCTAGCCACTCGTAGTAATTAGCCTCACTTGCCAAAGACTGGTTCTGCAACGCCAGACTCTAGCTAGACTGGGCCAATGGAATTCAAAGAGAGGCTTCCTGGGCTTTTGGGTGAAAACCTTTTTAACATTTAGGAGAAAAAAACAGGAAGCCTATAACTCCAATTGCCAGCAGCAGCTATCTTACAACCATGATGGGAATGAACCCCAAGATAAAGCTGAAATGAGGAGACAGGAAAAACAGGGGTCTGTGATAACATCATTAGCATTTGACTGGTCCTGAAGCTTACTCTGCCAATAGATTATCTTTTTATGTCAATGAATGTAGGTGTTTGTTGTTTAGGACAGATTCTTACTGCAGCTAAAAGAATCTTAAGTATGAATGGCTGATATTTAAACTTACAGAAATTTTAAAAAGCAATAATTTTGGACAGTTTTTTTTGTTAGTATACTAATTTTCTTTAGCTTAGTATTCAACACAAATTTTGTGCTTTTGGCCTGGAAATAATGAGTTTAGTTTCTTGAATTAAGAAGAAAAAAATATAGAACATGGATTTGCCACTAAGTTTTAGCTAAATCCACCTTTTCTGTGTTTCATCCCTGTATAGAAGCAAACACAACAGCTTCCCTCACTGAAAAATTAGGGTCCCTGTCATAAAAATCTTTGTGAAATTGATCTGGAGATGTTCTCTTTATAAGTTGACTTGGGTTTTATAAGTGGAACATTTATCAAAATCTGCTTTTCTTTTTGATGAAAGATTCACATAATAGCAGCAGGTTCATATTCTTTAAATGAAGCCAAGTTTTTAGGAACATTTTTTAGATTTCTAAGAAAAACTTTCAACTTAAATTTTGTTGAAACCAGATTTTGTCATCATAGTCCCCATCTGATTCTGAAAAGTGTTTGATCCATATGTCACCGTCAGAGGAATTTGCTTCTGCAGATATGCAATTTGAGTTTGTTTCCATGAGGAAGACTTTGTTTGGTGATGTTATGAACATGATATGCTTTTTGGGAAAAAAATGACTGTCATCAGATATGCTAAAAAATATTTCATATACATGTTCTCGGCCTCATATCAACACTATGTACTCTTTTAGTCTTGTTTTTCACAATAGGGAAAGTGAGCTTGAGCAGCTAGGTAATTGGCCCCTAGCTACCTAGCTAGTAAATGTTAGAACAAGATTTGAACCCAAGCAGTGTATTGCATTAGGGCACGTCCTAACTGCTGTGCTATGAGTACAAGCCCTTGGCTTGAGACTTAAAAGGAGAATAGCCAGGAACTAGAGACTTCTAAAAACACAGAGGATTCTGAAAATCAGTGGGAAAAATATTCTGAGCAAGAAAATGGGAGATATGTAAAGAAATTGATGGTACAGAAGGCGCTCCTATGAGCTCAAAGTTAGTAGGTACACACAAACAAAGGAGCAGCCTGTGTGGATAGGAGTAACATCACAGACTTAAACCCAGAAATGCCAGGTCTTATGAAAAATTCCACAACAGTCCATTGAAAATATTTTAAATGACTTCCAGAGAAGAATCAGTAATAACATTGGTGGCTAAGATTTACTGAATACTTAATATGTTTCAGATACATGTTTTACCTGTATTATCTCATTTCATCCTTGACAGCAATCTTATGAAGTTTACTGATGAGGAAACCAAGGCTCTAAATGGTCAATTAACTTACCAAAGATCATACAGTTTTTATATAAGTAGGGAAGCCAGGATGGGACCTAAGTAGTGTAATTTCAGAACTTGCATTTTATGAACATGCCATATGAAGGAAGAAATAGACGCAGTGGTCAGAATGTCAGGCTGCTCCACAAAGACAAGAAGCCCAGATTATAGTAAAAAAAAGCAAAAGCTCTGAAGTAAAAAGACCTGTGTTTAAGACCTGTGTCCTATAAGCTATATTACTCAGCAATTATGCTTAACCTCTCCAAGCCCCTTCTGTAAAATAGGGGTAATTATATGATACGGTCTGGCTCTATGTCCCCACCCAAATCTCATCTCGAATTGTAATCTGAATTTTAATCCCCATGTGTTGGGGGCAGAACTGTGTGGGAGGTGATTAGATCGGGTGTGGCCCCCCCATGCTGTTCTCGTGATAGTGAGTGAGTTCTCATGAGATCTGATGGTTTTATAAGGGGCATTTCCCACCTTCACTTGGCACTTCTCCTTCTTGGTGCCATGTGAAGGACATGATGGTTCCCCTTCCACCATGATTGTAAGTTTCCTGAGGCCTCCCCAGCCCTGTGGAACTCTTTCCTTTATAAATTATCCTAGAGTTGAGCAGTTCTTTACAGCAGTGTGAGAATGGACTAATACATTATACTTGCCCTACCCACTTTACCAGGTTGTTGTGAAAATCAAATGAGGTTATGTGTGTGAACATACGTTATAAACCTTAAAGTCCCATATATATGTTGCTGTTATTATTATACCATCAGGAGAGGAATATGGCATGTTATAAAGAATATACAAAAGCTTTGTCTTGTCAGTGGGCAGATGACCCCCAAAGTTTGTTTTCAGCTGCAAGCAGAGATCTTGTATGCAAAGCAGGGTTTTAAAAAACAACAACATTGAAGAGTATCAGTTTGAATGTTGTTAAGTGTTTTATAAATAGCTGCATAATTAGCATGTACTTACTGCAAAAAGTATACATAATATTTTATTCCCTGTTGTAGGCTGTAATGAATCTGCTGCCTCTACATCCTGGGAGGTTTTCACTTACTTTCCCCATGATAATTTTAATACATGGAACCATTATTAGCTGAATTAAGAATAAGTAAATGAGCAGTTAAAAAAAAGTACAGAAAAATTACAGGTGCCTGTGGTGAGTAAGATAATAACTAGGTAAAAATATATGAAATAATTACAGTGTTTGAACGGCAGAGCCGGCATGAGGAAAATGACTCAATGGAATATTAAGCCTGATGTTGGCAGGGTAGAAAAACTGTAGCCTACACTGTGGCCTTCACCTCTTCTGATTCTCAGCCCTAAAGCCTCACTGCAAACAGATCCAATCTGCTCTCAGTCACATGTACACAATGCTGAAGGAGGTGGTTCAGTTCCGAGAAGATTTAGTCACTCTGAAAGTTTGTCATCCTGTAGATTAAATACCCAATAACTGAAAGATTCTATTTAAAAGATGTACCAGATGTTTTACAATTAAATTCTTTATGAATTTATTTAGAATGTACCTCTGATCTGTATTTGACATCTTGACAAGATGGGATTCCGGGTAACTTAATTAAAGGCTCTTAAATAGCTGTGATATTTTTAAAGGTTTTTTGTTTTTTTAGAAAAGTGCATTAGATACAGCATTCCAAACAGTGCAAATAAATTATCTGTAATCAGTTGATTAAAAAATATTGAAGGCTTTTGTGTGCCCAGTCTTTAGCTAGAAAGTGCAGGAATTAACAGTGAGTTTACGACCTCGTTCCTTCTGTTAAGGATTTTGATTTAATGCTTCCAGATGGTGAGAAATACTTTATTACAGTTTAAGTATTCCTAATCTGAAAATCCAAAATCCAAAATGCTCCAAAATTCGAAGTTTTTTTAGCTCTCATACCAGTAGGTATAATGCAAACATTCCAAAATCCAAAAAAAAAATCTGAAATCCAAAACCACTTCTGGTCCCAAGCCTTTGGGAAAAGAGATACTCAACTGTGTAAGCAAAACTTCAAGTTGGAATTTGAATGATCAGATTTAACAGTGTCTGCTCAGTCGCAGTGAGCCCCTGCTTTCCTAATTGACAGGTATTAAACTATAGCAGATGGGATCTCGTTCAGGTATTAACGATTTCTGTGCCTCTCTATCAGATTATGAAGGCTGTAATAGTTAACTCTTGATTTTCTGCATGTGCTTTGTTATCAGGATTTGGGGGATCAATTTCTACATCTCAGATGGATTTTCCTATTTCCCAACAAACTTTGAAGTCATCTGACTCTGCTGTATAATCTATGTTTGCATAAAGAAAGTAATGTTAACATCAGACAAAACACAACAACATAGGTAAAAAGAGTACTGGGGAGGAAAATAAGAGAACTGAGTTCTAGTTCCAAGAATTCCTTTGATAAATTTGGAAAAATCACTTAAACTCATTCTGCCTCAGTTTTCTTACCTCTAAGGTGATGGAGTTGAAGGAAATGTAATCAAAGGGCTCTTGAAACAGAGATCCTGTGATTCCATGACTTACCTGAAATCAACTCAAATGTGTCAGTGATAAGTTTGGCCACTTAAATTATATGGCCTTTCCTTAATGGTGTTTAAAATACTAATTCAGTAAGTAATTTTAGATTGCCTTACAGACTTTTAAAAAACTAGAACTTTATGAGATATAGGAACCATGTTGTCTTTCTGCATCTCTTTCCCTATGAGTTCAGGCAGCCATATTGCTTCTTTCCTGGACCCAACTGTCATATCATGAGTCATGGCCTTATTCAATAAAAGCACTTCTTGATCATGCATTATTCCAATTTTAGCCAGAGACGGCTTCTTCAACCTTCCTGATGTGTCTGAATTTATGAACATGCTGTATTTGAAATGTTACTCTTTTTAGATTGCACTTTTGACATCATATTGAGACAAGGGAACTAGTAGGATATTCTTTATTCCTTGGCTGCTACCTGAAGGGAATATAGTTTTTCCCCCTTCCTACCTTTTTTGTAGGAGTTAAATAAAAGCTAAAAATTACAAACTTTCTAAAAGCCTGGGGAGATTGTTATGGGAATGAATAGAAACATCAGCATCTGATCTGTAACCATTTCAGGTATAATCAATTGTATACAAAGTTCTCTCTGTGTTTCTTAAGAACCTGATTCAACAGACATTTCAGAAGGGGAACCCTATGTGTTGCCTCTGGAGGAGCAGAATCCTTTAGCAATGCCTGGATTCAGCTATAAAAGAAGTATCACCCCCACCCTCACTTTAGTAAATAAACATCCATGAGGGGACAAATGAGACTTTGTGAAATAAGTCAGCGCTTCCTTTTATTTTCCCAGGGGTAAAAATACTGAACTTTCGTGAGAAAAGGGAGAAAGCCTTTCCCAGTCCCTCCGGATTTGGTCAATTCTATCTCCCTAGAGGCTGTGGGGTTCTTCATCAAAGACAAGGGGTGCTCAGCCCTGGTGACTAAACATGCTGAATCAGCTGCGGGAACCTTGGAACTTCAGCGCGCGCGCGCACACACACACACACACACACACACACACACACACACACGGAATCTCTTTCCCATTAGGCTTTTTGCTTTCCAGATGCATTTATTCTTAATAATTTCATGAACCCAAGCACTAAGGTCTAGTTGCTATAGCTGCTGGTTAGGATAGTGGGGGTGGGAATAGTGGAAAGAGCCCTGTCTGAATTTGCAAGCCCTGCCATTTATTCACTCAACAACCTTGGCCAGATCTCTTCTCTCTGAATCTCCTTTTCCCCACCGGTAAATATTTCCTCCTCAGGTTTGTAGAAAGCATCATTTGATAGCATAAGAATATTGACTTATTTTATGAATTGTAAAGCTCTATACACATGTTATCATAACAAGTAGGAAAGAATCTTTCCTCTCTCTCTCTCTCCCCCCACTCCTCCTTTCTCTCTTACACATGTGAATACCTCCTTTCCAACATGTTGTCCAATGTAATATTTCAGATGAATAGGACTGTGCCCATTGTATCACCAGAACCTAGCATGGTGCTTTACTCAAAGTAGTCGGTTAATTAATAATTAGTGAATCAATTGGATCAATTTGAATAGTTTCTTTGCCTAAGTACTTGTAAAGCATTTTGATGTATTTTCTCTGAAAAGCATATTAATTCATTTGAAAATATATTTATTTCTTAAAAACCACATTAGCAGACTCCGTCTCAAAAAAAAAAAAACCACATTAGCACCTTAATTGTCCTATCTTGGGGTTATTTTTCTAAATTGAGGCTAAGTGTTCACCACTCTATTACTACCAGCTCAGTAAAAGCTTCCCTTTCCTCTCTATGCTGTTTCCATCTTTGAGTGATTCAAAATATGCTCATGTTGCATGTGTAGTGAAATATTTTTAAGATTGTAGTTTATAGAGTAACTTAGGGCACAGTGTGACATTCTTTTAAATTGGCATGATCTGAGAGAGAATTAAATTTGCTCATTTTTCACAGTACAAGGCCATCAGAAAGGTTGTCTTTCACAGGCACTATCACTTAGACTTAGAAGAGGGACTAGAGGGAAGAAGCCTAGCCTCAGGTACCCGGTGAGGAACACGCATGGTCCATAGTGGCATCAGGATATTTGGGACAGCAGTCTAGGGAGCGAGCCCAGCCTAATGGGAGCTTTGACACATACCGTACTCAGAATTCAGAATCTCCACTGACTCTTACATTTATAGGGGTTGGCATTCCTCAGCCCACACCCCTACTCCCCACCTTGGCCATTCTTACTTTCTCCATTTGGCTCCTATGCCATGGAAATGAAAAAGATAGCACCTGCCAAAGCCTGATGTCATCCAAGTTTCTGCACAAACACAAGATACCATAAAACTAAACCAAAGAAAGCACAGTGGCAACGTAGCATTGTATTTTCATTATGTTAGTTTGTGGCACCTATCTGATTCTCCTTCGGTTCACCTTGCCTTAGCGTTATTAAATGCGGTAGCTGAAAGAGAATTTGGAAATGATTTCTTCTCACCTCCTCATTTCATGGAGAGTAAATGGAAGTCTACAGTGGCTAAGTGACTTACACAATATCACATAGCTAAATGGTGGCAGCTAGAGGACTTGAACCCAGATCCTCCCACTCTCGGGTGAACCAGTACATATTTTTCAATCAGTCAAGACTTTCCTATTTGGTACCTACCATGCATCTGACTATGCTCCTACGTGCCATTAAAAAATGGTCATAAAATATAATGTCCAGCATTGCAACTCTTTGGAAAGAAAAACTCAGTTATAAATGCATGCAAGCAAGAGACCAAAGAGTTAATCAGAAAAGAAATAATTTTCACATAAAGCGATCTTTCTTCCTTTCTTCATTGTGAGCTGAGAGAGGATTGTAGCAATACAGGTTGAGCAATTTTCTTTTTTATGAATCTCGTGCTCAATTTATGAAAGCCATTTTGCAACCCATTTACATGCAGTAAACCTTTGCCTTAAAGTTCTGTCATTTACCTTGATCATGATTATTTATAGTCCTTTTAGACAAGGCTCTTTACTGGTTTAGCTCTCAAGCACAGCACTGTCACAAGCCAGTTTTCTACGTCTTTCAAGGCAGGGTAGGAAGCTAAGACAGGGCCAGTCTTGTAGCTCGCTGTGAGGAATGGGGGCTTTGGGTAATGGGAAGAACACTAGTTGGCATCAGGAGTCTTGCATTCGCAACCTCTGCACTCTCACTCTGTAATCCTGGCCATTTATGCTTCTTTAGTTTCAGTTTGTTCACTTATAGAAATGGAGCGACACTTTCATCACAAGGCTATAAAGTGGAGTTGAAGTGAAGTACTTTGTGTGCAAGTTATATTGTAAATAGTGAAGAGTAAGTTGTTTTATGAACTAATTATCTATAATATGAACTATAAATCATTGAAAAAGGAATGGTGTGTCTAACCTAAAATATTTCTTGATTACCTGTGATGTTGTGCCTCCTGTAGAGCATACAAGAATGGACCAGGGACCTTTACTCTTGGCACATAGGAGACTCTCAATCAGTACTTGTTGCATTAATGAATAAATACAGTTTCTGGGTGAAAGTCAGTATCCTAGGCGTAGTGTAGAATACAGGACAAATGACCATCATCCCAAGCCTCAAGGTGCTTACAATTAAGATGGTAGCCATAAATGTGCAAAGAGCCAGTAAGGTAAGTCATGGTTCTACACAAGAGAAGAAGATATGGTGTAAAAATGTGTCTGAGGCCCTCACCAGAGAATTGGTACAGCAGGAGCCTTTCCTCTTCCTACCTCTGGGTGAGTTTATCTACCTCCAGCCTCTCTTGCCCACCCATGCACTCTTTGTATCAGCCATGGTCCCAGCAGGACTAGATGCCCTGCTGGGCATTCAGTTTTACTGAAATGCATGTAACAAAGGGGATTACAGAGATTCGGGCAGAATTTTGGAAACCAACAACGGGTGGAAATGCACCCAGAGAGAAGCAATGGCAAGAAACATTACCACCCAGAGTAGCAAAGGGCAAGGCAGATCCTGGCAGAGAATGACAGCTAGAGCTAGACACAAGAATCCTTGTCCACACCAAGTCCAGGAGGAGTCTGTGAAAGTCTAATCCCTTGGGCAACTATCAGGCCAGAGTCAGCAGGAGTAAACAAGGAATTGCATGCATTCGGCACAGACACTTTCTGTGGGGTTTTTCATGAGGGCCTAGGGGAGGAATTCTATCCATCTAAAAGCCTGGCTTTCTGAAGCTGGGATCTGTCACTCTTTACCTTTGAAAGTAGCATGTGAAATGAGTGTGAAATGGCTCAATTTCTTCCTTGACTCCTCGGCACCTACCACGCACAGCCTTCACAAGGTACAGAACAGGAGAAAATGGATTATGCCCTCAACAATAAGAGGCGAGTCATCCGCCTGGTTCTACAGTGGGCTGCCATGTATGGAGACCTCCTGCAAGAGGATGACGTGTCTATGGCCTTCCTGGAGGTAGGCAGGGGTCATCTCTTCCAAGAATATACTGTTGTCCTGCAATACAGGGACCTACTTATAGGCTCAGCAGCTTCCCTGGAGAGACCGTAATTGCAAATGCTAGACTTTGTGAACACATTCATTCATCAGAAAGGAACTACAGAAAAAGTAAGGAAAAAATTTACCCATTATTCTGCCATTCTGACTCCCTAATGGGTAGCATTTTCATGTATTTTCATCTAGTCTCTTTTTCTTTGTATGTTTTATCTTGTAGTCACGTAGCACCCATCATTCTGCAGGCTGCTTTTTCCATTTATTTGATATAAGGATTTTTCTGTCAGTACAGTCCTTATAATAAAAATTTATTTACATCTCCTGAAGTAATCAAAAAAATATCTAATGACCATTGAGTAGCCATGTCACAGATATATTTATGTGTTCCCTTATTGTTGAGTGTTCACATCATTTCCAGTTTTCACCTTCCTAGAATAGTAGTACGGTAAAAAGTCTTGTGCAAGTGATTCTGTCCTTGATTACCTTCCTAGAAATGGGATTACTAGATCAAATGGTAGATATTTTTGAGTGGAGTGGAGCAGATCATTTATTTAGGAATTGCTAGAACTGGAAATGGTAGGCTGTGAAAGTGGTTCATAAACACTGTTGAAAGCTGCACTTCCCCGTTCCTTCCCGTAGCTCTAGCCCCAAATTACAGCACTGATTCTGACATTTAAGCTCAATTAGTCGCTCTCCCCTCCAAAATTTGGATGAAGACCTGACTTCTGTTCAGGCAAAAGGCAATGTTACTTCCGTTTCAAACTTTTTCAGTCTGTGTTCTAAAATTATAAATTATCCAAAAGAAACATACACCGTCTCTCCTTTCTATTCATATCATTTCACAGCCAGAGGTGCGAGGCAGTGAGGAAAGATGGACCGAGAGCATCCCTCCAAGCTGAGGAATGAAGTATTTTGAAAATGCGAGGAATGGCGGTAGCTTGGGGTCATACATTGACTCATGGCCTCTACCCGCTGAGTACAGGACCATTTTGTAGATGAACTAAAGTGGTGGTGTAGCTGGCACTGCCATGGTTCTCACCTTCTGCTGCAGAGCAGGCACACCTACAGCTGCAGGGTCAGGACAGTTCCCAGAAGGGCATCAGAGAGTCCTGAGTTGGTGGCACAAACTCATCATAAATTCGCTACAGTGCTGAAGACCATGCTGCATCTTACCACCAACCATGACCCAGAATGAGTGACACCTAGTCAATAAACAATACATACCAAAATAATGTGAAAACGAACATTAAAATTCCCCTGAGAAAAATGAACTAAAAAAAGCACTCTTTTGTGGACTCCAAAATGACCCATTTCAAAACATTGGCTTTCATATAAATATCATATAAACAGTTCACCTGCAATTTACTTTGAATTGAATTTTTATTGTTGTAAAATAGATATCTAATATAAATTTTCCCATTGTAACCATTTTTAGGTGTATAGTTCAGTGGCATTCATTTCATTTCTGATATCCGTGCAGTCATTGATTGCCACTATTTCCAAAATTTTTTCTCATGGCCAATTTTGAACTTAGACATAGTGTAACATTTTCTTCTTTGTTCTTCCTCCAGTCCATGAAGCCATGGTCTGGAGATGCTGGTGAAGCAGATGACATAGGGACACATCTTTATTGCTCTTGACAGAATCATGTGCCTTTTGCAGTTCTTGTTAAAAGCCTGTGACTTTTGCCAATTACAGGAGTTTTATGTATCTGTATCAGATGATGCCCGGATGATTGCTGCCCTCAAGGAGCAACTGCCAGAGTTGGAGAAGATTGTCAAGCAAATGTAAGGAAGGGCTTGACTGTGGGGGTGTGCTTTCATCAAGTAAATCTCAAAAAGTCCTTTGCCCACAAGAAAGGTTAAAGCTGGTCTTTCCATAGCCATGCCCCGCTTGATTTGATTTAAGCAGACTGGGCTGAGGGCATAGGTGGTGCAGTAAGGCCAGAGGAACAGAAGGACTGAGATTCTGTTCATTCTGTGCTAGAGGGCTGCCAAAAGATAGCCTGGGAAAGAAAAGATCCTCCTGGGTGGAGTCCAACTCAATAAACCTGGGTCCCTTAGGTTCAAGGCAGTGAATCTGGCAATAAAATGGCCAGCGGCATTTAAAGAAAGTTTGAGGGCAACTACTTATATGGAAAATTCACTAACTGCTGCCAAAGCTGTTGGTGGTGAATATTTGTGTCCTCTCAATGAACCAGAAGGTTTTCACATGCTATTACTTGAACTATAGATTAAATGCAGTATCAGAGAGTGAGTGTGCTGCTAGATAGACTTTGAAAGCTAGAAATCCTGGCTTTGAACATCGGTTCTGCCAGGAATCTGCCTGTGACAAGAGCTGATATCTTTGCTGTCTACCCTTCTGCTTTGATCTATTACTATTAAAATGAGGAAGCTCATATTGTCTCCTGAAAGGATTCTGTGATTGTGATTTCATTTTCTAACATAAGATTAGTTATATACAAATAAGGCAATTTAATAGTAGCAATGGTATTAAATAATGTGCTTTCTCTACTTCTCGTAGCTCAGAAGATGCAAAGGCACCACAAAAGAAGGTAGGTGGCATGAACTTGCATTCTCTGTCTGTGTCCTGTAGAATTACAATTCCCCAGAAATATTATATTGCAGTATACATAAAAGTGATTTCTTTTTTGTAGACGTGAAATATATTGTCTTCATTTCTTGACTCTGCTTGCTTCTCAGATGTGTCTTCTCTGAGATGCTAGCATGCATTGGTCACTGTCCCTTATGGCACTTGCTGTGGTTGTTTTTACAGCACAAGGTTCTTTTGCAACAGTTCAATACGGGCGATGAGAGAGCCCAGAAGCGCCAGCCTATCCGCGGCTCTGATGAAGGTGAGAACCCTCTTCCAACTAACTCGTAGTTGTATAGATTATTTAGTCAGGATAATGGTAAGCATCACCTTGGACCCACAGAATAGCTTCTTTTGAAGATGCCCTGTTGCCCTCCAGATGGTTTGCTTGGAGGTGCCCTTTGGTGGCCCGATTATTTATGTCCTTAAACTCTTGTGCCTGAAGCCGAGATGCCTGTCTACCTTTCCCTGATTTGGCCTCTCCCTGCTTAACCCCTTTCCTTGGAGGAAATGAAGATGATCTCAGGGCCTGGTTGTCAGGATTGCCCACCCCTGGGAAAAGCTGGTGGGAAGGTAGCTGGCGCCTAGTGGGTGCCAAGGAGACAATGGATCACCAGCATCCTGCCCAGGGACAATGCTCTGGCCCTGAGCCCAGCCCTGAGCAGGGAGGCTTTACATCAGGAAGATCAAGATGCTGGCTTTTGTTTGGTTATTTAAGATTCTCCAAAGAATCACAACCAAAAATAGTCACAATAATAATGATAAAAATTTCATTTAAAGCTATAAATAAATCTTGTCATTTAGGACTGCCTCTAAACCCAGGAATTATAATATAATAATGGGAATTGCTCCCAGGATTTTTGTGTTCAGAGTTGAGCCTCTGGGTGCCATATCCAGATCTGCTGATCTAAGTCTGCTGAGCTAAATAGCATCCGAGCTTACATGGCCTGGCCCCAAAGCACACAAGCCACTGAAGCAAGTGAGCAGGAGTGTCAGCACGTGCTCATGGCCCAGGCGGAAGCCCTCCTGTGTGCAGAGAGGTGAATGGTGTCTCCCCACTGCCACACAGGGTAGCAGTGATCTGTGAATTGCCTACAGTATAGCACTTCAGACCCTGAACATCAGCCTGAAGATACTCTCAATTTTTTCCCATGACCTCTTTGTGGGGTTTTCACCAATATCTCTTGTTCTTTTAATTGGACTTGGCAACCATATGTGCACCTATTCTTAGACCAATGCTAAGGTAAGCAGTTTAGAAGGGGCAGGAATAGGGGTAAATGAGTATGAATAAATACAGTAACAAAAATGGCAAAATGATGCAAATTGGAGAGGATGCCTAAACATTTTTCATAACTATAGTTTTATTGAAAACTCTTAAGAGTGATTTACTACCTTGTTACTGCCTTTGGATAGTTCTGTTTAAGGTCTATTGCATGGACCACACCTACACAACCATTCGGGTGCCAGTGGCCACTTCGGTGAAGGAAGTCATCAGTGCAGTTGCCGACAAGCTGGGCTCCGGGGAGGGCCTGATCATAGTCAAGATGAGTTCCGGAGGAGGTAACAGTCTTAATTCATATTTTAGGCTCTGCAAAATGGGACATTCCATCCAAGCAGAAACTATGTAAGGAGTTAGCGTGGTCATGTGAGGCTCACCCAGAGGATGAACTGGTGCTTATGTATGCTTCCACTAATAACAGAAACAGTATGGGTAGAGGTGGGTTGGGTTTCTAATGTCCCCTATCTGGTAGGTACCCACTCTAAATCAGAAAGGTGACTGGAACTGAGGACTGTCGTGTAGATGTTGGCCTGGAGTTCTTTCAATTTAAACTCTATTCAAAAAAGTTTTAGGCCTTGGAGCCCTGAAAAATATGGGCCCCAAGAGGAAATCTAGCTGGACAAGCTCAAGGCCATGGGTTTCTACAAGTCCAAAGTTGGAAGTGGTCAGAAGCTAGTTCTTTGAAGCTGATGATGGTTTTTCTCCTTACTCAGTAGAGAGGCTAGGAGCCTGGCTCAAATGAAATGAGGAATATTTTTCCTCCACGGGATTACAGTTCCTTTCACTGTCCTTGATTACATGGTGCATTTTTGAAATGTCATTTATTCGTTCATCACATATTTACTGGCCACAGTGTGGCTACGAAGGAAAGAATGAGTTAGACACAGCTCACGTCCCCAGGTTGTTCCCAGGCCAGGGAGGAGGTAGACGGTAAGTTAAAACAATTACAGTTCATGCTGGCAAGAGTTTTAGGAATGACCACATATTGTAGTGAGAGACTAGAGGAAGCAACAGTGAGGTTCATTTCTCCAGTCATGATTTGACAGCCATTTGGCGGAATCCTTCAGGAACAGGTGAGCCATTTCTGTCATGTTTTAAGGTGAATGATTCCACTGATGGAGGATTTTTAAATGCATGTTGGATTTTAAGATCTCCCTTCCATTTCTGCTCCAGTTGCACAAGGCCCAGGATGTCTGCCCTCCCTGACCCCTTGTCACCTTCCCATAGATATCCCAGGTCTCACCCTCACTTTCTTTCAGTCTTTACCCAAATGTCAGTGTCTCACTGAAGCTCCCTCCTTCATTTGCTTCATTCCCTTTCTAAAATGTTAACTTCTTCCCCTTACACAAGCTTCCTAGACCCCACCCCTGTGATATTTTTTTCTCCTTGCCTTCTCACTCTGTAATCTATTTCTTTTCTTTATTGTTGGCATCTCCCACTATGATGTAATGCTTTTTGGAGTGGGATTTTTTTTCTGTATTGTTCCCTTCTGTCTCCCCAGTGCCTGGAGCAGTTTCTGGCATGCAGTAAATACAAAATAAATGTTTATTAAATGAACTAATTTTTTAATTTTTTTGACATGTTCTCATCTGAAGAACTAATTTTTTTAATGTGGGAGGAGGCTTAATCTAGTTAATGCTATTGCCCTGCAAATTAGGGAATAAGTGAAAAAACAATAGTAAATTTTGCATCTAAAATCATGTGAGGTCTCAGAAACCTCCAAAGTTTTTAAAAAGTGATCTTTCTATGTCCAAAGTCCTGGGTGTGATTACCATCTGGAAACATAACTTGTGAGATAAATAGCCAAGTGCGGGTTTTATGTGCTCAGTAATTATGGTTGCAGCACAAAACTGGGTGAATTGACCCTCTGGCATCTCTATTCCTTTTTGTGGCCATTTCTGAAGGCATCCTGAGTGGCGCAGGGCTGCATGAATGCCGTCTTTTTTATTCCGTGGATCCCTTCAGTACTCTATTTTATGCAGTCACTCTGCGTGTTCCGGTAATTCACCAAGCTGGCAATTTGTTGGTGTGATTAGGGCAGTGCAGCAAATCTCAGATGTATTTAATAGGCAATCTCATGCTTTTTATGTTCACAGAAAAGGTGGTGCTCAAACCTAATGATGTTTCAGTATTTACGACGCTCACCATTAATGGACGCCTGTTTGCTTGCCCGCGAGAGCAATTCGATTCACTGGTAGGTGTGGATGGCCTGCTCAGAGCAGCATTGCAATCAGAAAAACTTGTCTGGAGCCTAATTTTGCAGTCACACTGAACCCAGTGGCTAAAAAATCTTGAATGGTACTTAGCTTTTTCTTTTTCTGCAGTCTATTAGGTAAGCCTCAGGTGTTCATTTGAGATGCTCAGGGCTTTTGATTTTCTTTTGTGAAAATTAGCCAAGTAGCACCACTATTAGGGCATAATTCAGCTTTCAGAACTCTTTGTTGTAATTCGCCTCATTGGTATGTCCCCAGTTTAAATATTAAGAATCTGAATACTTACACCAGGATGGAAATAATTTTTCTAAAGCAAGATATCACTATTTATCAGGCTCCTTTGCATTATGGCAAAGCCACCATCTGATCTAAGAGAAATGCTGTTCCCCAAAAGCACTTTCTCTACCTTATGCAGAAAATGGCAAAGTCCAGACCCTTCCCTAAGTCTCCAAAAACACTTGTTACCCAGCATACAGACAGATCTTTCTGTGAAGAAAAGACTAATAGGACCACACTAATAACTGAGTAGCCTGCTCTCTTTTAAGTCGGTGGTAGCATCCATTTCTATTTCTCCTACCAGAATTTGGTATGTAGGTGAGTAGCTAGTAACATATCTTAGAAAGCCTAGAGGGCCAATTCAGAGGGTAGAGAAACTGGTTTCTTCAGTCTTTGGATACACGGGGTTTCTCCTTTAAGAAAGGCACAAGACCGAGCGTGGTGGCGGGCGCCTGTAGTCCCAGCTACTCAGGAGGCTGAGGCAGGAGAATGGCGTGAACCCGGGAGGCGGAGCTTGCAGTGAGCCAAGATGGCGCCACTGCACTCCAGCCTGGGCAACAGAGCGAGACTCTGCCTCAAAAACAAAGAAAAGAAAAGAAAGGCACAAGACAAGAGCTAGAGGTAAACTGCATCCAATTTTAGGGAGAGAGTTTACATAAGGGATGCATGAGTAGGTTTCAAGTTTGATCAGATCAGCTCTTATAGATATCAAGATTCTCTTCCTTGGACTTTTTAGAGGTTGTTTCAGGCTCATCATAATCCTGATTTTTTGTTTTAGAGAGTACCATTTTGTGCACTCCAGTGAGGATAGGTGGATTTTTACCATATTTTGAATTCACTTGGAGAGGAACTTAGCAAATGTGGCATTAGTTTTCCTGCTAATCCCTCATCCATCAGAGCCCATAAGCACGCTCACCTTTCCTCAATCACCAGCCTTATAAGATCTGAGTCTGCCTCCCGCCTTTCCGTATATTTTTTTAGTCATCTACATTCATTGCTTTCTAAATAAATATTTCTCAATACTGAAGGATTGGGGAAAAAAATGTCATAAATGAGTCGTGCTGCCCTCTCCTGGAAAGGAAAGCCATAAAAAGCCAGTTCAGCGCAGCCCCATTAAAGGTGCTATGTGACATGTTACTGCACGGGTGCTGGGGACTCTCTTGCCAGAGGGTTCTTGGCCGCAGTGCCAAATGACATGGCGCAGACACAGGGAGTGCAGACTGTCTTCAGCTCCCTGTGGGGCAGATACTAACTTTCTAAACCTCTGTTTGTTGGCACACAGTCCTGCAGCCTTCCAAGTTCTTAGTCCTTGCTCGTCCTCTGTTTTAAGGCCTCTGTCGTTGGAAGGAATGTCCTCTGCATTGAGTACCCTGGGCATGAACTTCTTCCCTATCAGCGCTCTGCCATTCATTGTGCTGTGAGTGGCCAAACCTTACCTGCCTCACATAACTGTGGACAATGAGCTCCTTCTCTGGCTTTCTAAAGATTCCCTTTGAGGACAGCCCATCGAGGAGGAGTCGCACAGAGGATGACCCTGCAGTAGAGAATGTTGGCCACACTCTCTGATCCATCCACACATGCTTCTGCAGGGTCTGCTCTGTGCTTGGGGCTGTGCTGGCTTCTGTGAGACACTAAACCAAGTGCCCCAGAGCCTCTGTCCTTACCGCAGTTACGCTAAAGCCAGAGAGATGAGACTAACACAAGCAGCCTGGAATAGAACAAGTCTTAGTGTTCAATGTTAGCCTTAAATTGTGTGGTCTATAATAGAATCAGTAGAGTGCTGGCAAGTTAGCCTAGTGGTTAAGGGTTCAGATTCTGAAACTTTACTCTTCACATTTTATTTAAGTATAAATATCAGTACAGAGCAAATTCCTATAAAACTCCATTGTAGTATAATGTGATTCTACTTTTGTCCATTCACTGGTTCCTCAGACTTTTATTTAGTACCTACCACATCATCGCAGGCATTGTAGATGGTTCTGGCTCTAAAATGGTCTTGAAGACAAAACCATCATGGTCCTTGTACCTCAGTGAGCAAACAGTGTAGTGAGGCACCCCCGCATGTGACCAGTGAGAATGCAGTGCAGCAAGGGCCATAGCAGAGCTAGACACAGAGGGTGTGGGCACACGAGGAAAGGAAGATGCTCCGGGTAGCTTACCTTCACCATCTCTTTGTCACTGACAATCCACACATCCCTTTTATGTCTTAGTCTCCTCATCTGGAAAATGGGAGGATAACAATGCTACTCTCCCAATTACCCCTCTCCAGCCTTAGCAAAGAAATCATGGCTCAAAAACCGTGGGGAGAAAATGCATGGGAGTTCTGTGTCTGTGGGTAAGCAGCTTTCAGATCTGTCTGTGCGATGCAGGCTCCACATAAGCTCTGCTGTGCCTTATCTGTAGGACATTTCCACAGGGCTATGTACAAGAAAATGGCCCAAGGAGGCGCTTCCTCTGGGGTCCAGGGTGAGCATTTATATTCCCCACTTCTAAGGGAGAAGCACCTTTTGCTGCTCACATTGCCTCTTCCGTGGCTCATGGAAGGGGTCAACCTGCCCTACGCCGGGAGAGAGACTTGGTGAGCCCTGCCCACTGAAAGAAAAGTTGAGACTCAACAGAGCTTTCCGTTACTCTCAAAAGGGTTGCAGGAGTGATAGACCAGCATCCACGACTAAAAGAACTTTGCATATTTCTTAATATTAGACTCTTCCCTGTGTTGTTAGGTAAACTTGTCCCCCTTATGTAAAGTTATAAAGCCTCAAGGAAAAGAAGGAGCAAGGTGTACTGGGTATCTCCAATCCTGAGGAGAGAGCAAACAGCAGGAATAACGTAGGAGGGGCAGCTCCGCAGAGCAGCAGAAGGGCTGTGTTCACAGCAGCTGCAAGAGGGAAGGAAGAACGTGCAAGGCCAGTTTGATCCTCTGAGAGGCAGTCGTAAACCCTAAAATGTATAAGCTTCCCCAACTTTTTTTACCTAGGACCTACCCTGGTTGAAATCATTCTCCTCATTTGTTTCCATATGCTACTTGCCCATCAGCTTCGGTTCAGTTCCCTAAGATTTAAAACTTTGGAATCACTTTTCTTCCCTGTCCTCTGTCCCCTGTGTAGAGTAAATTGGGAGCAACAGTATTTCGCTCCTACATCCAGGTGTTGTACTGATCACACTTTTCTGTGTATTTGCATTGCTACAGCACTTCTTTTTTTTATTATTTTTTTTTTTTTTTTTGAGACGGAGTCTCGCTCTGTCGCCCAGGCTGGAGTGCAGTGGCGGGATCTCGGCTCACTGCAAGCTCCGCCTCCCGGGTTCACGCCATTCTCCTGCCTCAGCCTCCCAAGTAGCTGGGACTACAGGCGCCCGCCACTACGCCCGGCTAATTTTTTGTATTTTTAGTAGAGACGGGGTTTCACCGTTTTAGCCAGGATGGTCTCGATCTCCTGACCTCGTGATCCGCCCGCCTCGGCCTCCCAAAGTGCTGGGATTACAGGCGTGAGCCACCGCGCCCGGCCTGCTGCAGCACTTCTAGAAAGTGAACTGATTTGGGGGAGGGGACCTCTTTTGTGCCAGGCACTGTATTTACATGATTCACTGAAATCACTCCTATCCAGTTCTCTTAACAAGCCTAGGTATAGGTATCATGACCCCAATTTACCAGAGCTGGAAACAGACACTCAAGAGATTAGGGAATCAATCCAAGTCTACACAGTTAGAGTAGGGTTTATATTCAGAGTCACTTGCTCTCTAAAGCTGACACTAACCTGGTCTATTATCTAGTCTATTACAAAACACAAACTCCTAATCTGGTACACGAAGATGTGCTACTAACTGTTCACACTGTCCATGGGGACCCCCTGTGCTCTCTGCTCCTGCCAAGCAAGTTTCATGACAGCTTCCCCATCTTCATGCTCTTGTTGCCATCCTTCCACCCCAAGGGACCATCCTGGATGCTCAGGGAAAACCTTGCTATTCTCACCTGCCCAAGCTTGTCTGCTTCATCTTTTAAAGCCCAGCTTCTTCAAGATCCTGTTCAGACCACACATTCATTCCAAATACCCAATAACTTCCCAAAAATTCATTCATGTTCCCCTCCTGTTTATCTCTGTACCTGGGTGTCACATGTGTTGTTGCTTCTGTCCCTTTATACCTGCAAATAAGGACCAGCAGCAGATGCTGCCTCTGTGGAGTGCTGTATGGGCCAGACAGGGTTGATTCCCTTCAACTGTAACCTTGCTTGGTCCTCTCTTAGACTGTAAACTTCCAAATGCAAGCACCGTCTACCTGCAGAACATGTAATTTCTCTAGTGCCCAGAATGCAGTGGGAGTTTGTAGAATACAGTGATGATGATGAAAATGATGATGGAACTTGTATAATATTAGGACTTCTGACATGGATAGTATCTAAATATAGTTAGCATCATTTTGTTTTTATTTTTTATTTTATTTTATTTTTTTGGAGATGGAGTCTCATTCTGTCGCCCAGGCTGGGGTGCAGTGGCACGATCTCGGCTCACTGCAACCTCTGCCTCCTGGGTTTAAGCGATTCTCCTGCCTCAGCCTCCCGAGTAGCTGGCACTACAGGTACATGCCACTACGCCCAGCTAATTTTTGTATTTTCAGTAGAGACAGGGTTTCGCCATGTTGGCCAGGCTTGTCTTGAACTACTGACCTCAGGTGATCCACCCGCCTTGGCCTCCCAGAGTGCTGGGATTACAGGCGTGAGCCACTGTGCCAGCCACTTTTGTGACTTTTGGAACTTTGTAATGTGTGTGTTGCCTATTTATATATAAATCTATTGCATTATACGTGTGCTTCCTATATATGCATATCATTCATCTCACTAAGTAAAAACACTTTAGATCATTTCTCATAAAATAAAACTGAGATAAGCAAGTCAGATGGAAACTTTTAGTGAGGGGTCTTCCAGAAAGTAGCAGACGTTGGCTTTCTAATGTCTAGCCCAAAACACCATAACCATGCGAATAACATCCTCAGCTCAACATCTGCCCAAGAGTAGAGGGATCAGACATCATGTGTAACCTCAGTTCACAGAGCTTTCCATTCCCTCATGACCCCAGGCAGTGTGTCCCAAGAGATGGAGAGGCAGCAGTGTTACCATGGCCACCGGCAGCAGGAAGTAGCACTGTGGATGAACGTCCCAAACTGCCATGCCGTTACCTGCTTTACAGCAGCTTCAGTGAGAAATAGGAGAAAAAAGGTCTCCCAGGACTTCTTCCATTTTTACCAGGGAAAAGAAGAGTTTCCAGGGACCTCCCAGGCCTGAGTGTGAGAGAAGAGAACCTCTGCAGGTCACTCTTCACTGAATCTTATTTGCCGCGGTTCACATTTTTCAGTCAGTGGAATTGATGGTAATGATGATTGGTGACTTACAGACGACACTAAAGCAACTAGCGTTGCGAGCAGAGGCATCTCTCCTCAGAGTTTCCAGATATTCCTGAAAGCGTCCATCTCCAGAATCCTTTCCCCTCAGAAACTCCTGAAAGCTTTTAGTGCTAAATACTTGTCTGTGTTGAGTTTCTGATATGTTTTTGCATTATTATTCATAGACTCCCTTACCAGAACAGGAAGGCCCAACTGTTGGAACAGTGGGAACTTTTGAACTGATGAGCTCCAAAGATTTAGCATACCAGATGACAATTTATGATTGGGAACTCTTCAACTGCGTGCATGAGGTAAGATGCAGGATCAGATGTGTTAGTAGCTGAGATAGCAAGGATAAAGGCTGCTGGCATTGCTTAGTTTGTAAGTGCTAATATGTGCTACAATATGGAAACCACATGACCATTTTTTTGCATACTGAGCTTATAAATAAAGCATGCTATAAAGCCTTTGAGTATTAAAGAAAAATCTTTACAGTATGCCGTGTCTTCCTGTGTATATTAAGCCAGTAAAACCTAGTTTATATTTATATATTTAACAAACCTCATGGAAGCCCTTCAAGTCTGATTGACTTCACATTTGCTGACCAGTAAAACACTGTCTTGACAAATAGAGAAACCTGCTGGTGTTTTGATTTAAAAAAAAATAAGCAAAATTGTTTTCCTTTATTTTCTAGCTGGAGCTAATCTATCACACATTTGGAAGGCATAATTTTAAAAAGACCACAGCAAACTTGGATTTGTTCCTGAGGAGATTTAATGAAATTCAGTTTTGGGTCGTCACTGAGATCTGCCTTTGTTCTCAGCTCAGCAAGCGTGTTCAGCTATTAAAAAAATTTATTAAGATAGCAGCCCAGTAAGTATATTTAGCTTGGAAAGAGAAAAAAAAATGTTGAGCTGTGTTTTCATTTTGTTTTCTTAGACTACACCTTAAAAAGAAAAGCAGGATCTAGGAACTGCTAGAGGGCCAAACACAGGGTCTTAGGAATAACCAAACTCTTGTAATGGATCTCTCCTATATTTTGTAGCATTTAACATCAATAGATAAATTAACTTCTTTACAGCACTGATGCTGGAGTCGAAGTTGTGACCTCTCTTTGCTCTTTGCTTTCTACTCAGACGGTTTTGCCTCCTTTAGTTTAAAATTCCTTCCGTAAACCAAGTTCCCTTATACTTCGAAAGTTCAGTTGAAAAGATCTTGAAGTCAATGTCCAGCATGACACATTCTCACCAGTAGAGGGCAGTGCAGCATGCATGTACAGCAGCACATCCAGCCCAGACAGAATTAAATCGGTAAAATGCATGCGAGCTAACCTGGTACATGAAAATCATCACTACAAACATCAGAAAAAGAAGCATCTATCTTATAAATATTCTATTAAACAGCACTTCATGGGAAACAATTTTTTTACTACAGGGGCCAGTTAGAGTTCTCCCTGACATGAATTTAATCTTCTCCTGCTATTTAGATATGCCTGACAACCTCCTGTTTACTTCCATGTTTTTGGTATCACCACAGTGCTAAAAATAAAATGCTAAATGTGGCCTATGGCTGTGAGACTTCTTTCCTTTCTAAATGCAGGGAGCTCTAGCACACAGGAAGGCTGAGAGCACAAGTGACCCCAGCTAGACAATTTTCTTGACCCAAAATCAAACATGGAGTTTGATTTCCTGGGCTAAACAAAGAAGTAAAGGCTGCTTGACATTTTATAGATATCAGTTTGCCAGATGCCTGGAATTATTTGCCAACAACTTGAGGGTTCAATAGAATACCAAATCCCTTGGATTCAAAAGCTGCTATCTGTTAATATGGCAAAGCTGGCTATTTTAAGAAAGGCTTGGTAAAATGGTGCCTGTGAATTTCTGGTTCAGAGTATAGCCACTTCCCTGGTAGTCTGCACAGCCTTATGGCAAGGGACAAATGCCTTCACATATTTGGAATGAGCTGATTATGGAAACTATGACAAGATGTGCTTTCCCGTTAGAAGAAGCACACTCTCTCTCTTCACCTTAGCCTGGCAGTGCCCAATGCAACAAGAAGAGAGAGGCAATCTGCACACAAATGTGGGAAGCCAGAAAATCTTTTGGGGCCTGATCCTGTTATTTTACAGAGGCAACATGGGAGAGCCTTTCAGAACACCCAGGACTTTTTTTTATATATATATATTTTTGCTTTTCTTATCCCTCTCCCTTCTGTTTAGGTGAATGAGTAGGTGGACTTGGCCTTCAGTATAAATTAGTTTATGTTATTTAACCATTATTAAGCCCTGTGCTACATTTGCCGTCCTGTAGAGAAGCTATTTACACAGCCCAGCTGAAGAAGACTGTAGACTTTTTAAATCCGAGATCTACAAGAATGAGGTTGAAACCTCGTGACAGTAGCATCTGTTTTACTTTATATTTTTAGAGAACTTCAACATATTTGTTTTAAGCTCTTTGCCTGCCCAGAACTGTGTGAAGTTGGTGGAAGCAGATGTTCTTATTCCTCTGTTTACATTCGTGGAGGCATAGAGAAATTTCATGACTTACATAGGGTAATAAAGTTAGCTGATAACAAGGCAGTGACTAGAAAGGCAGGTCTACAGCCCTGCATTTGTTCTTTCAAGATCACATAAAGGACAGAGGCAAACACATAGATGCGATTGTATACCTGCCTTTAGCCCCAGGTGTCTTCTAAATAACCTTCAGCTCCTGAACTCAGACCCATTGTCCCAGCACACCAAAGGCCTCACTTGCTTTCTCACCAGTGGGACCATACACACTAGCTTCTCTGAAATATGTTCTCCATCTCCACACAGACAATTTAAGAATTACTCTTTGCTACCTTTGCAATGGGTAGCAAATGCAACAATTTAGTCTTTTTCAAAAATGTTAATCCAAACAGGATTTCATTATGATATGGTCAATTTCGATAACCATATTGATTCAGGATGAAGGATTTATGCGTATTGCAAAATGAATTCTTTCCCTTTTCAGGGACCTGGTATGAAGAAGTTTGGGGTTTCTCTTTCTAAAAAATGGTTAAACCAAGTACCTGTGTTAAACATCACCATTCTAATAAGAATTTCTGTTTTTTTCCACATGTCTCATTCCCAAACATATATTCATAAAAGCTAATAATGGCGTAAGTACAGATTCAAAATGATCAGCTTCATTGATGTCAGTAAAACACAGAGAAGGTTATTTCTTGGTCAGTTGTTTAGGTTACTTCTCAGCTTTAAAATTCCTTGAGATTGAGTGCCCAGCCTATAGAGATCACACCTTATAAGTTGATATTTTTCAACAAACAAGTAGCATTTGCATGGCAGGTAGAAGCCATGGTGGCTGCAGCTGTGAGACTCCCTTAGTGCCCTCTCAAGCTGCCAGAGGAGGATATCCACCTTCAGGCTAAAGGTCTAGAAATCTCCAAGGGCACTTCACTTTTTTTCTTACCCCATGAGATATTTCCCTCTCGGTCCAACAAGGCTTTTAGCAAGTTTGGGATTATAATAACAACCCCTAAGGTAGGTGTCTTTAAGTTCCTTCTCAGATCCCAAACCTCAATGGCTAACGTCTTCAACTTTCTAAAAACACAGTGAGAAATCAAACAGCAGAACATGGTCACCCAAGTGGAACTTTTACAGTACATTAAATCTATCATTGCCTGTTCTCATAAATGAGCCCTGACAAATATTAATGACTATCAGAAAATAGAACTCTAATTTTTTTTATCTCACACAGAAGTAACATTTTACTCAAACACGCATCTCCTGTGTTTCAGCTGTAAGGAGTATAAAAATCTGAATTCCTTTTTTGCCATCGTCATGGGACTAAGTAACGTTGCTGTGAGCCGCTTGGCACTAACGTGGGAGGTAAGCTTCAGCTAGGATCCAGCTGTGACTTTTGCCTTAGGAATAAAAACACAGGCTCACCAGTGAGCTTTTTAATAGAAATATCACTCACACTAGTATAACAATGGGAAAGGTGGGACACTTGGAGGGAGGTGACCTGTCTCCTTTTTCCAGTTGCCTCAGAGGGAGAATTTTTAAAAGATATTGTCCTTTTGTGTATGGAGAGTGGGGGAGATGAGGAGATGTCTACTTCTTGATATATGCAATGTAAATAAAAATAAGTCCAGTTCCTAAGTATAACATGAAGGACCCACATTGCTGGGAATGACTTCATAAGTTTGCTCATAGATTGTATTGTTTTCTGAAATGTCTGCTTGTTGCTTTTGCCATAAATCTTATCTTTAATTGAAAGAGGACAGAAGATCCATTTTTATCCAAGTACTCATTTTGCTTCTGGAAGGAAGAGCCAGGAAGCCAACTGTTTGCAGCAGTTGAGTACTAAGTGTCGCCTCACCACCTGGCAGACTTCTCTCCACGGAGAGGAACAACAGTTGGCTAATATTCAGTTTGGGGCAAAAGTGAGGCAGGTGTGTTGTGAGTCTCTGTAGCAAATATAATGAATGGTTTGTCGAGAGTTGGGTATTCAAGCTAGAAAACATCTTCATTTATTATTAGCTTTGTACTCAAAATGTGCTTGACCTCTTACACGTGGCATATAGTTGAAGAAATACTAATCTCTAATAGAACATACATACAGAAATAGACTCATGCTAAAAATAAAAAATTGTGTGTAAGTGGGACACAGAAAGAGGGCAAGGAGTATGTATTAGAGACCCAACTTGCAATGGTGCTTAAAGGCAGCTGTTTGCATCTCTAAATGCTTTTCTGAAATTATTTTCTTCCCCATGTCCTTCTTGCAATGATTTTCTTTTTCCGTCCCTCCTAAATGTTTCCATTGTTTGTAGGGCAGGTCCTCACAAGTCCTTCTGTCTTGGGTTTCTCTTAAAATTCCAGGCAGATGCAGCACACAGCAGCTCATCCCCTGAATATAGGAATGAGGGAATTGGTGAGGCCTGCGTGCCATGCAGCTATATCATCTTCCAGCTAGTAAAAGGACGGAGCTCGTGCTGCCAAGAGATCTAAGCACAAAGCCATAATGCAACTCCCTCGTCTTATAGTCCAAGGCTCTTGGGATTGCTGGAGACCTAGGGTCCTCCTGCAAAGAGTCTGCCTTCCCCAGTCAGCTACCAGCTTCTAATCCCCCTGCCACAGAGTCCAAATTAGTTGGTTGGGGACATTTTAAAAAACCATAAAGCCTCAAAGGGTCCAAGGAGGCCAGGTGTGGGTACCACAGATCAGCCAGACAATAAGAACAGAGCATGTGGGAAACACTCTCTGAACCCTCTTTCCCAGTCTAAATAAAAAAGTAGGAGGCTGCTGAAGAGGGTGCAGGCAGCAAAAGGAGATAGCTAACTGGCCAGTCCTTTGGTTTCACTAGGGATGGGAGTTCTGTGAGTCTATGAGCTTCTGTTTTCAGCACTGAATGTTGCTGAAAAGAGGAAATTATCCTTTCATCATTTATAAGCCTTTGTTTTTTAAGGTGAAGTATAATTATATAATTCTGTATGGGAGATTTCATTCCTAAGCACCTTTGATTCTAGTTTATGTACCTGCACTTGCCGAGAAAACCTCCCAAAAGCCTCCCATGCAACTCCATTGAGCACCACAGTGACCACAAGAGCAGTGTGAGAAATGCTGCCTGGCCTCATGGAACTAGGGGACACGTGTGGAACAGCCACGGAATAAAATAGAAAGGAAAGCCAGAGCACACAATAAAGGGAAGGGTTCAAAACTGAGGGGGAAGATCAAGCTGAGATGAAGCAAATGAGAATTACCTGGAGCACACACACTCTCTCAGCCTCAGCACTGGTGACATCTGGAGCAGAACAGTTCTTGGTCGTGGAGACGTCTTCTCTGTTGCAGGACAATTAGGAGCATCCCTGGCCTCTCCCCACCAGATGCTGGAAGCACCTCTTACCATGCCCCACCCCGGCTGTGACAACAAAAAAATGTCTGCACACATTACCAAATGCCTCCTGGATTGGCAGGATGGCCCTATTGAAAACACTGCTCTAGAAGCATGGGGGGGTGGATAAATAATAGTATTAAGAATGAAAGAAACATTTTTTATTACCCTGTGCCCTACTGTCTTTGACCTAAAAGAAAGCTAAGTAAAGAAAGAGAACAGATGACAGAGGTCTTGCCAAAAACATAATCCACTCTTATTTTTTTAAATGGACTAAATTCAGTAAGTCAATGTTTTTGCATAACTTGGTGATCTGGATACTCTGTGTGGGGTGAGATCCTGGCATCCCTTGATGCCCATCCCAGCTTTCAGCCCTTTGAATAGTCTCCCCTAAGTGAGGGCATCAAGTCTTCCTGAACCCTAACTTGAAATGCCAGAAAAATGAGTTTGGAGGATATACAGGGACTAGTTTTTAGAAACAAAATCGGGGTTTTACAGATGTTTAAATGGGAATATGACAAACTGAGATAGGAAAGAGAAAGAGCCAAGAAGAGCCATTCTGTGGATTGCAGAGGCCCAATTGGTGAATCAACTGTTGAAGGTAGGCTTCACTGTTCAAAGCCTCCTCCCAGATGACCCAGGAGTCTCTGAGACCCAGGGGTTGGTTGATGAGTTCCTAGTCCTGGGATGGGAAACGTATCACACAGCTCTATCTTGGCTTAGCCCTGTCAGGAGAGAGAAGTGAAAGGTTCAGCTTTACTGAAGACTCAGGAACTAAGCAAAGTAGGAACCAATAAATTGAAAGATGATTCAGTATTGATCTATTGGTGTAGATATGTGGGTGCAGTAAGTGGTGTTGAATCATTTGCCGAAATAAAAACATGAGAAATCAGTAAATTGATAGAACTATCCAATTTTGTATTATAGGAAGGCATGTGGGAGAAATAAATGCTCATGTAGAAAAGCATGGCGCATGTGAGAGACGAGACAGCAGGAAAGGAGGCAGGGGATGTGAATTACAGGCTCTAATGAGAAGCAGCTGTGTGACTCTGGGCCAGTCATTGAAACTGTGAGACTTAATTTTTTCCATCTGTAAAACACAGGCTCAATCTATTCAAATGAATATTTAGGGAGTACTATGTACCCAGTACTTTTTTAGGCACTGAGAAAAATATCAGTAAACAAAACAAATAAAAATTCTTATTCTCATGTAGTTTACCTTATAAGGGAGGAGGAGGGTTGAAAGAGATAGTTTCATAAGCTCTTTTATTGCTAATATTCTGTAATCTAAATTCCTGATTGTGGGAATCAGAGAGTTTTAAAAAGTGTGGGGGGAGGTATATTCAGACTCTTCTAGTCTAGGGAATGCAGTCCTCTTTATAGATCGTCTAGTTCAGAAAACATTATAAAAGCAGTAACACCAAAGCATTCATAGTTACTTTTGGTTCAGTTAGGTTAAAGACGTTTAAAAGGCAAGTTCTCTATATTCTGGAAGATTATTCTCAAATGGCAAGACAGATTACAGTCTGGCCTGTCTCAGAGATGTTTGATTAAGAGCCAATGGATATATATTTCCCCTAGAAATGGTAACCCATGATACATATCTAGATATTGAATCTGACATATGCGTGTGGCATTTTCATTTCATTAACAGAAACTGCCAAGCAAGTTCAAGAAGTTCTATGCGGAGTTTGAAAGTTTAATGGTAAGTGACAGTGGCTTCTTTATTCTGTTCACTGTCTACATTAATCCAATTTCTGATTAGCTGAATTGAAGTTCTCATTTTGGAAATTTTATCTGTCCTTATATGACTTTAAGAAGTTTATGATCCCTTTTAGTGCTGCTAAAACAAGCATGTCTGACTAATGAATGGCACCCTCAGGAACTAACTTAAAGAGGACTTATGTCCCACATAAGGTCAATTTGTATAACTAAGAAAAGCAGTGTAATAGCGTCCTCTCCATCCAGCTCAGGTTGGCTATGGGTTGGAAGCTGCATTTTCCTTGGCTTGCCAAGATTATTTTTCCCCGTTGGCTGGAGGTGTTAGACAGAAAAGGAGTGAGTTGGGCTCGCCGGGAGTGATGGGCAGGTTTCAGAGGGCAAATCGGGACAGGGATCGGCTGTGCAGGGCAGAGAGTGAGTGAGCCAGACACCCAGGAAGAAGACGGGGCTTCAGGAAAAGGGGAATCTTGCAGTAGAGGTTTCATTTTTGCTTTCATAGGAAATATCTCCCCTTGGCCCCTGTATGCAAATCTCTTTTTCAAACAAGAAGGGGAAAAGAAAACTCCAAATTTTTTATGCCATAAGTGAAGTTATTTTAAAACACAAATCAGGCCAGGCGCAGTGGTTCATACCTGTAATCCCAGCACTTTGGGAGGCCAGGAAAGGTGGATTACTTGAGGTCAGGAATTCGAGACCAGCCTGGCCAACATGACGAAACCCCATCTCTACAAAAAATACAAAAATTAGCCAGATGTGGTGGCCTACACCTGTGGTCCCAGCTACTCAGGAGGCGGAGATGGGAAGATCGCTTGAGCCAGGAGGTGGCGGCTACAGTGAGTAGTGACTGGGCCACTGCACTCCAGCCTGGGTGACAGAGTGCGACCCCGTCTCAACACACACACACACACACACACACACACACACACACAAATACAAATCAATTTGTTTAACTAAGTCTACCTTTCTTTTGTAGCTATATTTGATTCAGAAATACAGTTGAGCCTTGAATAACTCAGGGGTTGGGGCACTAACACCTCCACCCCCATGCAGTAGAAATATTGAGTATAACTTTTTATTATTATTATTATTTTGAGTCTGGGTCTCACTCTGTCACCAAGGCTGGAGTGCAGTGGTGCAATCATGACTCATTGCAGCCTTGACCTCTTGGGCTCAAGCAATCCCCCGACCTCAGCCTTCCAAATAGCCTCCCAAATAATTTTTTATTTTTTAAAAAACAGGGGTCTCGGCCAGGCACGGTGGCTCACACCTATAATCCCAGCACTTTGGGAGGCCGAGGCGGGCAGATCACGAGGTCAGGAGATCAAGACCATTCTGGCTAACATGGTGAAACCCCGTCTCTACTAAAAAAATACAAAAAAATTAGCCAGGCCTGGTGGCAAGCACCTGTAGTCCCAGCTACTCGGGAGGCTGAGGCAGGAGAATGGCGTGAACTCGGGAGGCAGAGCTTGCAGTGAGCGGAGATCGCGCCACTGCACTCCAGCCTGGGTGACAGAGTGAGACTCTGTCTCCAAAAAAAAAAAAAAAAAGGGATCTCACTTGGGGTCTCACTATTTTACCCAAGCTGGTCATGAACTCCTAGGCTCAAGCGATACTCCTGCCTTGGCCTCCAAAAGTGCTGGGATTATAGGCATGAGCCAATCATGCCCAGCCCAAGCATAACTTTTGACTTTCCCCAAATTTAACCACTAATAGCCTACTGTTGACTAGAGGCCTTACTGATAACATAAAGTCAACTAACACATATTTTGTATGTTATATGTATTATTATGTACTATATTCTTACAATAATGTAAGTTAGAGAAAAAATGATAAGACAATTATAAGGAAGAGAAAATGTACTGACTGTTCATTAAAGGGAAGTGTATCATCATAAAGGTCTTCATCCTTGTCCTCTTCTTGTTGAGTAGGCTCAGGAGGAGGAGAAGGGGTTGTTGGTCTTACAGTGTCAGGGATGGCAGAGGCAGAAGAAAAGCCATGTATAAGTGACCCACACAATTCAAACCTGTGTTGTTCAAAGGTCAACTGTACCTGATTGTGGGGTGAAAGGCAGGTGTATTAGGAGGTAACAAAGGGTGGTGTATCTGTCACCAGTCATTACCATCATCTCTTTTTCTCTCCTAAGGACCCTTCAAGGAACCACAGGGCCTACAGGCTGACAGTAGCTAAGCTGGAACCTCCTCTCATCCCCTTCATGCCTTTGCTCATTAAAGGTAATCCTAATAAGATGCACAGGCCAAGCAGGTGATGAGTATTTGGGGAGGGAAATGAACAATACCTTGATAAGATTGATTACTTAGGGAAGAATGATCGATCCCATCCTTCTGCCTTCTTTGTCATCTCCTCTCAGTCCTGACTGTTCAGAAAGGGTCAGAAAGATGACTGGAGGAGCAGAGATCCATGATTTGGAAAACTTGTTAGTGAAACAGAAGATTAGTTTAAAAATTTTACTACTCTCAGGTGAAGTGATTTAAAAAGTTAAACACCTAGCATTAAAGGAACTATTAACAGCTTTTTTCAACTGTAGTGTTATGCAAATCTGCCAGCATAATCTAATGGTGCTATTGTGCTTTCTTAGTATGACATATTTCCATTAGTGATTAGAATGTGGCTTTTATTTCTTTACAGATATGACATTTACTCATGAGGGGAACAAGACGTTCATTGACAATCTAGTAAACTTTGAAAAAATGGTATGTGCAGTATTATAACCTTAACCACAATGTGTTTTTAAAATAAAATTTGCATTTTTTCTAATAAAGGAAATAATTTCCATATATGCTGCCCTGCTAAAAAGGTAGTTACACATAAAGGAGTTTTGAAATATTTGGTTCAAATTGGCTACCTATTCTATTCTGTCAGTTCTCTTTTGTGAAATTGAATAGTATTTGTGTGGTGGTTCACAGCAGCAGCTGGCTTTTATGCCGTGTGTTTCTTCCTTGGCAGCCTGTTGCTGAAATGCACAAATGTTCCTGAGTGACTTCCATGTTGTTGTTTTGCTATAACGTTTGTGGAGCTAGACTGCCCCAGGATGCCTTTGAAAGGTTTATCTGCCAAGCCTGACTTCAGTGCCCGTAGGTAAAAGGCAATTCTACGCCTTTATTATAGAGGACTAATCTAAATGTGTACTGCTTACCCCAATAAAGTTCGCTCAAGTTCAGAGAAGGAACATGAAAACCTTTATAATAAAAAGTTTTTAATCTTGTTTTTAACATTTTTATATATTTACTTATTGTTGGAGACAGGGTCTCTCATTGTCACCCTGGCTAAAGTGCAGTGTTGTGATCATAGCCTCACTATAGCCTCAAACTCCTGGGCTCAAGCGCTCTTCCTGCCTCAGCCTCCCTAGGTGCTGGGATTACAGGCATCAGCCACTGCGCCTGGCCTAGAAAATTTTTTTCACAACAGATGTGGAACTGGCACATATTCAGTATTTTCTAGCCACCCTCCTCCTAGTCCTTACTCCTAGCGGGGGGGAAAGCAAGGTTATCTGGCTTAAGTTACTTTGCAGTTTATTTTCTTATCTTCTGTGAAACAATAAAGCAGAGCATGCCAAAACCTTTCTTTAGCTGCATAGTGCATGCTGATGGAATGATCATTGTCTTCTGAATCCTTTGGCTGCAACCTGGTGGATGGAGTGTTGGAGTGCTTAATATCTCTGTGGGTGAGCATTTGCCCGGTCATGAATTGCAGTGTGAATGTGGCGCCGTGAGAAAAGCCGGGGACCTGGAGTCTGGGAGACATGAGGTTCAGTACACAGTTTCATCACTTTATACTTGTCCCTTAACTTCTCTGTGAGTCGGTTTCCCCAACAGAAAATGGGAATCATGCCCAGCCCATCTATCTCTGGATTATGTAAGCCATAAAGTGCTATAGACTTCTTATCAGAAAACTGTTATTCTAGTTGTTTCTTGAAATCAAGCTGGCACGTGTGACTCCAGGAGAATCTGAAACACCCTGCAGTCAGCCTGTAAGGATCTGCAGCATTCAGCCCGGGGAATGCGCTTATTGCAAAGCCCAGTCTGGTCAAGTGCAGCTATTGCTGGGCACTATGTCTTAAGCTTCTTAGGAAGTAACACGAGTACACACTCCTCAAAGACTCTTTGTACTAGATGGCAAGTATGTCCTCAGCAGTCTTCCTTCCCACCCCTCACACCAAAGGCAGGGTATGAACATCTTACTCCTGTGTCAATTTAATAATTGTTTGATCAAAGTAGACAACATTCTTTGCTAACTTATTAGTATGGATAATTAAACAATTCCTCTGACTTCCCAGAAAGAAAACCTGTTTTCCAGAAATGAAAGATTTGGCAAATGCGTAAAGAAACTTCTGGATTACTTATGCAGAAATGCAAACTGAGGATTGGCTAAGCCACCCATTTAATTATAAAATATACATGTGCACAGAGATGTAGAAGTCAGGGTTTCCTAAAGAGTTTACTGAGCTTTAGAAGTTTTGATGGCTATCATTCTCAGCAAACAGAGGAACAGAAAACCAAACACCACATGTTCTCACTCATAAGTGGGAGTTGAACAATGAGAACACATGGACACAGGGAGGGGAACATCACACACCAGGGCCTGTCGGAGGTTGGGGAGCAAGGGGAGGGAGAGCATTAGGACAAATACCTAGTGCATGCAGGGCTTAAAACCTAGACGGGTTGATAGGTGCAGCAAACCAGAATGGCACATGTATACCTACGTAACAAACCTGCACATTCTGCACATGTATCCTGGAACATAAAATAAAATAAAATAAAATAAATTTTTAAAAATAAGTTTTGATGGCCAAAGTTAACTAAATTGAACAAATAAGAACAGCAAGGTATGCAAAGCCAGCCATCTGTTGGGGTAGATAAAAGTTGTTTCATCTGAGTTTTGAGATCTTGGTGTCCCATCCGTAACCTGCAAGGAAAAGTCAAGGTCACATTCAGTGGATACTAGGAGAGTGCCATTCCTCTCCCCATTTCTGCACTTCATACCCAGAGCAGTGGATTCCTCCATGCCTAGCACTAAGGAAAGAGATCCTTCCCATCTTGCTCTCACAGAGTCCACTTTTGCTGAAAAGCAATGAATAGCTACGATAGCCAGCAGTTCAGCTTCATTAATGGAAACCTAAATTAATGATGGCATAAGCAAGATCAGCTTATTTCTTTCTCACTTAAAAGTTCAAGCAGGCCAGGTGTGGTGGCTCACGCCTGTAATCCCAGCACTTTGGGAGGCCGAGGCGGGTGGATCACGAGGTCAGGAGATCGAGACCATCCTGACGAACACAGTGAAACCCCGTCTCTACTAAAAATACAAAAAAAAAAAAAATTAGCCGGGTGTGGTGGCGGGCACCTGTAGTCCCAGCTACTCGGGAAGCTGAGGCAGGAGAATGGCATGAACCCAGGGGGCGGAGCTTACAGTGAGCCGAGATTGCACCACTGCGCTCCAGCCTGGGAGACAGCGAGACTCTGTCTCAAAAAAAAAAAAAAAGTTCAAGCAGGTATGGTAGACCTGCTACAGGATGCGATCAGGGCCCCAGGCTTCTCTCTTGCCAGTTTTACATCCACTTGGTTCAAGATGGCAACCTCCACCTCCACACTCCAACCACAGGGAAAGGGAAAGGAGAAGGTGAAGGCATGCTTCATCCCTTTTAAAGATAGGGAAGAAGTTACACTCACCACTTGCCTCATATTTTGTTGCTCAGAAACCTAGTCCCATGAAAGGAAGGCTAAAACATGAAGCCCTTATTTGAAGTATTCATATATCCCACTGAAAGTTAAGGGGTTTTATTCATATGAAAGAGAAGGGAAGAAAGGATATCAAAAGAGTACTGTAAGTTCTCTGTTCCAGCCACATGATACATTTTATCTCATGTGAGAAATTCTACCATAAGAAAGTTTGATTTTAGAATTGGCCCTCCAGCTGGGTGTGGTGGCTCATGTCTGTAATCCCAGCACTTTGGGAGGCTGAGGTGGGCAGATCGCCTGAGGTCAGGAGTTCAAGGCCAGCCTGGCCAACATGGTGAAACTCCATCTCTCTAAAAATACAAAAATTAGCCAGGTTGATGGCGGGCACCAGTAATCCCAGCTACTTGGGAGGCTGAGGTAGGAGAATCGCTTGAACCTGGGAGGCAGAGATTGCAGTGAGCCGAGATCACACCACTGCACTCCAGCCTGGATGACAAGAGCAAGACTCCATCTCAAAAAAAAAAAAAAAGAATTGTCCTTCCACAAGTTAGATGTTACCAGAAAATGAAATGAAATTTCAAAATGATTTGATTATGTTTTCTAAGCAAGGTGCATGTTGCCAGGTTTCCAAAATTTTCTCCCCATAAACTAACCCACCCCTACCCCCATATCACCACCACTACCATCAGTGGCTGCTGTTGTTACTGTGGGTCTTGGGAAAGGCTACATTTTCCTTTTCAGGTTGATGTCAATGCCACTTCCCAGTCATCCATCGTCAAGGCCCAGGTGCTGAGCAGAGCTGGCAGCCTCTGTGGGGCTGGTGGGCTGGGTCCCCAGAAGGAGCCCCTGCCAGGGGCCGAGGTCACCAGGGTAGCCAGGAATACAGATACCTTTTCTTGGTGGCAGCATTGTAGAGTCACAGCAAACCACCATGCCAACTCTAAGTGTTTTTATTTTGTACATCTTCATTCAAAACATTTCTCTGAAATAGAACCAATCTCCTACATCTTCACCCTTGAGGTATGAAATAAGGATTAGAGAATTTGTTGCTTATTGGTTTTCAGGATTTATGGGTATGAACAAAAGAGAATTCACACCCTAATCCTGATGCCAAAAAAAGCAGACATTCTTTTATTTGGGGGGAACATAAAGGAATATTCAAAAAAATGTTTGAATAAAGTCCTTCCTAGTTCTATGGCATACATGAATATTTATAACATTTAGGAGGTAGACTAGCATGGATTAGAGGATAATATGCTGGCCACCTGCCACTATCCCAGGCTGCATAAAGCATGCTGATAAGAGATTGGTTCTATTTCAGACATACCCATATTTAGGTATATTTATTTATAAATATGATTTTTAAGGTAGTCATTTTATTTGGAATGAGAAGCATAGGGCAAACTTTTATACTTCTGTAAACATTACAGAAGCTAATTCATTAAGGAAGAGAAATGTTTTGAATCCTTTTATTTTTGTATCACTAAGCATGTCATTACATAATTAGCAACAATATGTTTTCTATCACCAATAATATTATTATAAGATTCATGGAGAGAGCACTTCACTTGTTACCTCAATCTATGGAAAAAAAGAATCTCTAAGTAAAAATCTACGTGTTCAAGTCCACCCTATTCCCAGAGCTCTCCAACACAAAAGAAATCTATGGGAGTACTTTGAGAGTTTACATCTTTGTATAGATTTCCCAGGCCAGGCTAAATGCAGATTTCCAAACGGTATGCTTCAAAACAACATAATGTGTGGAGTGTCCAGGCAAAAGAATTTACTAAGAAATATAAACATCTAGAAAGTAACCCTGGGCCTTTAGATTACCTGCAGTTGGGAAGAGAAAACATAAACACATGAAATATTAAAAATCCACATAAGATATAAAAACTAGGTCACAATAGTAATAAAAGATGTCAGAAAGCAAAATGCAGGAAAGAAAACTTCATGCAGTTTTATCAATGGAAAATAAAACCACATTATATGCAGTGACATAATATCAGAAGATCTAGACTAGCCCTAAGCACCTGTCCAGCCTCATCTGACACTTTGTCTTCTCTGTATCCAGTCCAAGTTGGTGAGACTGACCTGCCTTCTTCTCCTTTTGGCCTCAGGGTTTTTTGTACTAGCTGTTACCTTTGCCTGAAATTGTCTTCCCCCAGTTGTCTGCTGTCTGGTTCCTCGTCAGTCAGGCCTCAGCTCACAGGTCCCCTCCTCCAAAATAGTCTTCCCTAACCACCCTTGTGGGAAGGGAAGAAGATCACACATCTTCCCTGATCTCCCCTCCTCCCTGTGGTGCTAACTGTGCCTGACCTCCGTGTAACACCGTTCTGCGACACCCAGCACTCTCCAACACAACCTTGCCTTGATAGGGGTTTCACAGCCTGGGATTATCTTCCTGCCTCTTCAATGTCTTCCCTACCAGAATGTAAGTGCCCTGGCCCAGGTATCTGTTTTGTTCACTGATATTTCTCCAGCACCATAAAAATATCTGACGCATTATTTCCCCAGCACCCATAAAAATGTCTGGCACATCGTAAGTATGCAAGAAGTACTTGTTGAATAAAATGTAATGTTTCAGTGTTGGGCTTAGTGCACGAAAGCATTTTTCAAATATTTTATGTAATAAATCCAAAAGTGTCTTCTATTTTATTAGAAAATTGGATGAATCAACTGGGCACAGTGGCTCACGCCTGTAATCCCAGCACTTTGGGAGACTGAGGCGGGTGGATCATGGGGTCAGGAGTTCAAGACCAGCCTGGTAAAACCCCATCTCTACTAAAAATACAAAAATTAGCCAGGCATGGTGGCGGGCGCCTGTAATCCCAGCTATTCAGGAGGCTGAGGCAGGAGAATTGCTTGAACCCAGGTGGCAGAGGTTGCAGTGAGCCGAGATCGTGCCACTGCACTCCAACCTGGGCAATAGAGTAAGACTCCAAATCAAAAAAAAAAAGGGAAAGAAAATTGGATTAACCAAAATGTCCCAAAGCATTTTGCATAACTGAGACATTATAAAAGATGACTTTCCCTTAGCCTCTGTTCCTAACCAGACATTATTCTGTCCCCCCTCCTCCCTGTGGTGCTGTGTCTGTCCTCCAGTGTCCCTCCCTGAGTACATAGAGGTATACATGCTCTACACGTGCCTGGAAAGGCACCTGAACTGTCTTCTCCCATGGTCATCATATATACCACATACCGTAAGCATCATGCATGTGTTACACATGCGTATCTGCATGTCATACACCTCTTGGATACTAAAGATCTGTAGGGAGACCGGACTCAGGGCTCCTCCTCAATGATGCACACAGTGAAGGCTAGTTCAGCTTCAATTCCCTTTTATCTCTGGTCCTCACTGTGCCTGGCCATTTGGTTGCTATCACAGGCACAATCTTTGTTAGGTGAGACACTGTGTATTTCTGGATCTTGTGAAAAAAAAAATTCTTGTCCCAAATATGTGGAGGTCTGAGTGAAATAATCAAATGGTGTAAATGTGGTTTTACACATGCTAAGCAAGGAGTAATTAACAAAGGTCCTATATTTGATAGGCATAGGTCTGGAGACAGAATCAAATCGGTAGAGGCAGAAATGTAAGAAAAAGCAATCTGGCAAACATTAAGAGCAAGGATGGTACAGATCTTAAGGGGCAACAGAAGGAAGATCAAAACTGTTGAGGGCAGGCATTTAGAAGAGGCCTGACGGTGAGGAGCCGCTTCCTGAGGGATCTGAGCAGAGGCAGAATAATAGGCTAAGAGGAAGGCTATTGTGGCCGCTGTCTGGGAGCGGGAGGTCCTAGAGTGGTACCAATGAGGTGGCGTGGCCTGGAGGGCCTGCCGGTCAGAACTTGAAGAATGAAGTCTTCTCTTCCGCAGTGGGAGAGCAAAGGGGGAACTTGGACTAGGGCACAAGAGTCAGTGCAAGCTGGCTAGGAAGGTGGGGGCAGCCACAAAGTCCTGGTAGGCTATGTCATGTCTTTATAGGAGTGAAAGTGGAACTTGGCTGGCCTGCTCCTGAGGGGAGGACACCACAGAAGGGTGACGCCTGCCAAGAGCCAGGCCGCAAAGGCCCAGTCTGAGAACAAGGTACCTCTGACACCTCAGCGGACTCAAGGGAAATTCCCTGCATCAGAGCTTGAGGGAAATTTGTGTTTGGGATGCCGGCCTCAGAGCCTCTGGCTTGTGCCAGGCCGAGGTGCAGACAGTGGTCACCCCTTCCTCTGGATGCTGTCTTTGTACTGGTCACTCTGATGCAGGCTGACCCCTAAATTGGGGCTCAGCTGGAGAGAGTTCTTGGCTTTCCTAAGGAAGGAATTTAAGAGCGAGCTGACAATGAAAGACAGCAAGTTCATGAGAGGAACAGTATACAGGAAAACAAGTGCTCTGTAGACCGAGCAGCGCTGTCTTATAGGCAGGGTAGCACAGAGTAGCACTCACAGAGTGCTGGCCGGCTCTATTTATACCTACTCTAGTTACATGCTAACTAAGGAGCGGGTTTTTCACAAACTTTCTGGAAAAGGGGCCAGGAGTTCCTGGAACCATCTAAGGTAGCTTCCCGGTCATTGCCGTGGCATTTGTAAACTGTCATGGCGCCGGGGGGCGGGAGGGGGGGTGAGTATTGTCTTATGCAAATGCATTATAATTCCTAGTCCTAGCTGGTTTGGGCTGGTTTCTTTGCTACATCAGCAGGGTGGTGACCAAGGCTGGGAAAACAAATCCTGCTGATCTTCTACCTCCACTCTGCAACGCAGGCCCCAGGAAGGACATCTACTTCTGTGCCCCTCTGTTTTCAGCTCTAAAGAAAAATAGACGCGTGACATAGTCACAGAGTTCTTCACTCACCACATCATTTTTCCTTTCTGCACTTCCCTCCTCGAGTGCATGTCCTGAGGGGAATTCATCAGCTTTCAGTTGGGCCCATCTCTAAGCCCTGTAGGCCACGAACTGTAGGAACATATTCATTTTTGCACATAAGCTCCGAAGACCTGTACTTAGGATTAGTCCCAAGAAACATCAGTTTAAGCGTGGCGACAGGGGGGTTCAATTTGTTCCCCTACACGGATCCGGAGCGCCTTCTAAAGGAGGCGCTCTAATGTGGGGCATGTTTGCCCCACATTTACTCCTGAATTACCAGTTGCTGTCTTAATGAGCTATTTGCTCAAGGGAATGTGTCATAAACCTCAGGCTGGCTACTGGGGAAAAAAAGATGAGAATCTGTGCTTTGGAGTAATCAGACACTCCCCCACTCCGGCCTGGCGTTATAGAAAGTTGCCTGGCCAGCTCCAGGCAGGCCAACCTGCTCTGGCAGGACCATGAAGCGTAGGGTGTAATTTTTGGTTTCACCCCTGCTGCAGCAGTTGGATAATGAACCCTATATCTCTTTAACCTTTGTTTCTGCCAGGCTAGACTGCGAGCACCAATGAATAAACAGCTGTCTACCGTCAAAAATAACATAGGCTGAAGTTTGTGGAAAGATAGACTCTAACTAGATGGTTTTAGTTTTTAAAATCCTCCACTCTGGTCCAAGAAATCAACTGTACGTGCACAGAGCAGAAAGCTGCATCCACAGCAGCTCAGCAAAGGAGGCTGAGAGGTTTAATTCATGAATACTTCAACAGATGTCAGTGGCATGACTTCTTTTTAACTGTAGGCCCAGTATAGCATCATCTAGATCAAGGAAAGAAGAAAGATCATAATTTCTCTGCACTTTACAATTTGTTTAGTCTAGGGCACCATACTAGAGACGGTTTGGAAGAGAACCAAAACTGTCTTATGAAGAATTGTTGAAGAAATTGAGAATATTTAGGCTGAACAAGAAAAGATCTGGGGGTGTGAAGATATCCATAACAGTTATATCCAAGTATTTGAAGACTTGTCCTGTTAAAAAGAAATTAAACATGTTTGCTGTTGGGTCATTGCCGTGGCATTTGTAAACTGTCATGGTGCCCGTGGGAGTCTTATGCAAATGCATTATGAGCTCCAAGGATAAATGAGCGAAAAGTAAAAGGAGAAAGACTTTAACTCAAAATGATAAGTTTTAATAATCAGAGATGTCTAACAATGAAACAGGCTATTTTTGGAGGTAATGAGTTACTCATTGCTGGATGCATTCAAACAGTGGGAGAGCCACTGTTTATAGGCAGGCTGTAGAAAAAGCATTATGCACTCTGGAGATGGTTCAAGGAGGTGACTCCTGAAGTCTCTTTCAGCAACTCAGGAGAGTGCCTTGTAGTTGGGTGTAGTTGTCAGTAACTGCTTAATATTACATGTGTTAATGGGTGCAAAAGGAGGTGAAGTTAAAATATTAAGTTAACCCTTCTTTGGCCTTGTGAAAGCATTTGTAACTATGCATTGACCGGGAATGCTAGTTAGATTCACACATCATCACTGTGGGTTCACACCATTAAACATTATTGTCCGGACCTCACAAAGGAAAAGAATGGACCTCGCTGTGAAGCCAGATTTGGATTTCGAAGTTAAACTGAAGTTATCTTTGAGAACAATTAAAAAGGATACGTCAAAATTAAAACCATTGTTAAAATTAATCAAAGATTTAGAAAGGTAGAATGAACTTCAGGGCTGGAAATTACTGATTTAAACAATTGTTCTCACATTTTAAACTACATGAGCTAAAAATTATGAAGTCTCAGAGTATAGCTTTAAAGAGTAGCATAAAACCAAAGTCAGAATGAAATGTTTTAGCTTTCAAAACTAAAAAGCAGAACAATTACTCCCTACAAAATGGTATAGGAAGAGGTTTCTGACCCCTGCTAATTGTTTTATTATTCTTCAGAGGGGCATACTGGCAGCATTTCCCAGGGTTTTCGGTAATTACACTCCATTCAATATCTGAAGAATTACAATAATTCTACATGGAATATACTTGTGCCCTTCAGATGCAAAGCCTTTAGAGAAGTGAAAAAACAACTTAAAAGTAAATTAGCAGGGAAGTTATCATAGTTACTATTTATTTCACGGCTCCATATATCAAGGGCTAATTATACATTGTACGTTACATTTTCTGGGAGGGATTTGTGATATGTTTCTCATGCTGATCAACAGATGGATGTGTCAGTTTTCACGATCTTTGATGAAGTGAAGTTCTAACTTTTCCAATTGCCTCTTTGTGTGCGAAATTATCCAATGCAGGTACATGTCACTTCAGGCTTGCTAGAGTCCTCAAAGCAGTAGTATTCAGTGAGGTATTATGATGCTTGCAGATAATATATTTGTAAGGCCTTGACTCATCTATGATTTTTTTTTACACTATGTAAGCTTTCTCAAAGTCATTTTCTTATACTTTGGCAAGCCAAGGGTCCGTGAGAGAAGAAAGGGTTGACTAGAATTACATAGCTGCTCAGAGATCGGGGAGTCTCTTTCCCTGGGTGGAGCCTTATCAATTTTCTGCTAGTGTTGTAATTAATCTATTATCTCCACAGGACCCCCTTTAGAGCCTGAGCAGTAAAGTGTCCTGAAACATACATAGTGACCAGGAGTGCCAGCTATTGTTCAAATACCGTGACATTCTGGCTAAGAAATGGAGCGTAGGTCTCATCAGTGTTTTTCCCCAGGGGATAGGAGTCTCTGTTTCTGTCCATTTTCTTTTCTCTTTTCTTTTGTTTTTAATTGAGCTCAGCACAAAAGATTCCCTTTTAAGTCTTTATTGCAACCAAAACTTTACAAAGAAGTTAAGATGATCACTTAGTGACCAAATTTTAAAAGGTCAAATCAATTATAATCTGTCCATTTGGTTGAATACATGCTTTTTAAAAAATGTTTTAAAATGCAAATGGCATGGAAAATAGTCACAATGCAATGTGAAAAATTTCAAATCAAAATAAAATATGTATGTACTATATGAATTCAAATCTTTTAAAAACATGTTTTTATATATTTTTAAATATAAGAAGGCTATATGCCGAAATATTAACAAGATTACTCTGTGAAGTAATATTCTAAGTGATTTTTACTTTGCTCTTAACATTTTCTGTATTTTCTGAATTTCTTTTTTTTTTTTTCTTGAGACGGAGTCTCACTCTGTCGCCCAGGCTGGAGTGCAGTGGCGCGATCTCGGCTCACTGCAAGCTCCACCTCCCAGGTTCACGCCATTCTCCTGCCTCAGCCTCCCAAGTAGCTGGGACTACAGGCGCCTGCCACCACGCCCGGCTAATTTTTTGTATTTTTAGTAGAGAGGGGGTTTCACCGTGTTAGCCAGGATGGTCTCGATCTCCTGACCTCGTGATCCACCCGCCTCGGCCTCCCAAAGTGCTGGGATTACAGGCGTGAGCCACTGCACCTGGCCTGTTTTCTGAATTTCTAAGATGTGTATATGTTAGTGTTATAATCAGAAAGGAGGAAGAAGGGAGGGAAGGAGGGAATCAAATCATCAGGATTAACATTAAAATGCAAACTTTTGCTGGAAGATTAGAGAGGTCAGTAATACAGAGTGTGTAGCAAAAATGTGAAGGTAGAATATTTTGACTTGCTGTTCAGCCAATAAAATCTCATACCTCATTAGTGAGTCTTATTTACTGTGAGGAACTTGATAAGCTAACCCTTCTCCACATCTAGGATAGTTACAGATTCTCTTACAAATTCATGGCAACCTCAAGAAAGGATGGTGAAAAAGCACTAATGTACAGTCTCAGGCATGATAGATGTTTTTTACATCATGGGGAATATGCCAACAATTATGAGAGTTATGCCATTAATATTCCTTACCTGAAAATGCCTTGTATGTATGTGGGTACCCCTTTGAAATAATTAAACAAGTTATACATCAGCTAGTTGCCTTCAGATAGTCAACATCTCAGAACATGTCACTTCTCATGGTACCAAGTATTGCAGAAATGGTTTGTTTTCCTTTTTGGATTGTACTCTACGCTTACTTGAATTTCTATCTTTCTTTTTTCTATATTCCTTTTAGCGCATGATTGCAAATACGGCCAGAACAGTGAGATACTACAGGAGCCAACCCTTCAGTAAGTTAAGTGCTGCCACCTCTTACAATGTAGATGTTGGTGATTAAGGTCTTCTTAATGAGGCCATTGAGACACCCTTGGAGCCTGGGAAATATCTGACTGTGTCAGAGACACTTTGGACCATGAATTCCATGAGATAGGGGCCTTGAGTTTAAAGATTTTTTTTGCTGTTTTAAACTAGAACATATTTACATTGTTGTGAAACTAGAAAATCACCATAGGAATATTATTTTGTGAATGAATTTAAAGAGATTTAATTTGCTCTATCCAGTGCAGCTGGAGACAACTAAAGTACGACTGCCAACAAATCCTGCCTCAAACCAACTCTCTTTATGACTCATTGCTCCATGTTGAGAAACTCACATCAGCCCTTGATGACTCAGTTCAGTCAATTATAAACCAGGAAAGATAATATTTATTGTCTTTCAGGGTGTTGCAAGAATGCATTAATGTTTATAGCACATTCGTAAAAGGTCCAAAAACAGGATTTCATATTATATTTCTAGTATTCCCACATGAATTTGAGGTGCTCTTTTAAAATCTGAACATCTATCACAAGAACTGGTATAATACTTTAATATAAAAAAATTACTAATAATAAATAACAATTTTAGTCTGTTGGGAGTTAAGTTGCATCATAGCACCAGATGGTCATACTAGACCAGTGCTACTGTTTCTTCTGGGCTGGGACTTTGGTGGTGGGGGTGGAGCTTTGGCTCCCTCAATCTGGTCTGGAAATGAGAAGGTGAACACTAAAGGTTTTTGCTAAGCTCATTGTATGACTCACTTGAAGAAATTTATCTCATTAACTCAATATGATACTATGACATAGACATGAATCTGAGGCTACCAGTACCGTCTCCTCCAATAAACCGAGTGCTAAGAGACTATGATGTTCTTGTTTTATTAGTCAGAGTTGTTTGTTCTTCCTAGAGCAGGACTGGCTCATGGCCAGATTTGCTAACATGGGACACCAGAACTACTAAATGTTCATTTTTTAATGAATAGGGAGGAAAAATATAAGAAAAATGACATTGATTTGGGGAGCAACTGATTCAAATGACTGTGCCTTCTCTGACTTCCAAAATGTGAATAGTCTTGCAATATCATCAACTATTCTTATGTGGATTCAGCCAGAATTAAAGTGTCTCATGTGTTTTCATCTATTAATTTACGTTGTGTTTAAAGATGTGATCATAAAGCAGTTGTACAAGTGGAAACAAGAATAGATAAGTGACACCAGTTACAACCGGAGTTTATAATCCCAAATCCAGCAGCGGGGATAAAAGGGGACCCTGAAATTATATGCCAAATCGTGTGTGCCTGAGGGGGTTTATAGCCTTAAGAAGGTTTTCAGTGAGGCTCAAGAACCATAAAATAATATGCTTTGTTTTATGAGCTTCTTTGGAAGTAAATCTTGCATTCTTCTATGTCACCTCCTAGAGAAGCCAAGGGGAAAATGTATTTAAAAAGAAAAAACTCCACTGCATTTGTTGAAGTTATCAGTAACTGCTGGTAAACAACAGCTGCTCAGCTCTGAAGTCAACAATCTATAGATAAAGCTATAGGAATAGATTCACAAACACTGTGGGAATGTGTACAATGTAATTACAGTATATTGTACGTGTAGAGTACACTGCCAGTGAGAAGCAGAGGAAATTAAACACAATGTGCTCTGCAGTTCGCTGTGGTATTATTTCTATGTGATAATTATACTGATGAGTTTCTTCTCACAGGGGGCAGGGGCATGTATGTCTTCTCTCTGCTTTTCTGCCTTCAGACCTGCAACACTCCCCTTCACCCCTTGTGCAGATGGCATTCTAATTGTCTTTGGGAGTGCTGTGTGGATCTAGCAGGAGCAACCAGACTGCAGAAGGCAGTGTACTGTGGTGGAAACCCCGGTCAGGAGCCAGGGTCTGGCTCTGCCACTCCGGGTGTCCCCTTAGACCAGAGGCCCTACCCAGTGATGCTTGAAATGGAGGTGGCCCACAGAGGTGTTGGGTCTAAAGAGAGCATTTTTTTCCCTTTTATTTTGAAATAATGTCACCATTTTAAAATTGGGAGAATTCACGAAGAAGAAATCCAGATTTCCCATTTCTTAACAAAAAAAAAAAAAAAAAAGGAAGATCTGGCAACTCTAGGCACAGATTCCCCGTGGCAGCAACATGCAGAAGCCAGGTCATCACTTCCAGAGGGACCTGTGTTTCCAGTTCACCACCTTCTGGTCTGGCTTTCCTTATTCATGTATGTTCCCTGCGAGGGCTGAGTGCATTGGCTCATCATTCAGCCCTGATCTTCATTAAATTGGTTAACCTCAGTTGCTCACATGCTTGGGATGTGCATCAGAATAGAATGGTAGCTGAGTTTTCAGAGCAGATAGCATTAAAGAATCAAACGTCTAGCAGAAGTCATAACTTCAGCCTGTGAGTTGGGTTTTTTCTGAATATGGACAGTCTCTAAGAACATACAGTCGGTATAGTAATGCTGTATACTGTGTGCAAGTAAAGAGGGGAGTCAGGACTCTGTAGTCTCACTGGCTTGCTTCAGTTTGGCCCAGATGTTAAGCGCTTTTGTGAGGGGCTAATAAAAACTGTCTTTTGACATTAGTCTTCATCTGGATCAAAGGAGGCAGAGACACAGAGTGTGAGACACAGAGACCTCTGGAAAGGGAAACAATTTTAATCTATACCCAGGGGCTATCAGACACATGCTTCCCTTTTAATTTGGTGCCATTTTTTTTTTACAACGTGCAATTCAAAGGAGAATGATCAAAAGAGGTGATTCCAGGGAAGAAAAGAAAATTGGAGGGTAGGAAGGAGGAGATGGAACAACCAAGTGGAAACGTTTCAATGATTGTGGTGTGTTGAAAGGTCTTGAGGGAACCCAGGAACCTATGATAAATGTAATAAATAATTGGAGAAGTAAGATTGTATCTTATATACATATATTACACAATGCCAATTCTGCCCTTTCCTCTTTCAACAGATCCTGATGCAGCTCAAGCTAATAAGAACCATCAGGATGTCCGGAGTTATGTACGGCAATTAAATGTGATTGACAACCAGAGAACTTTATCACAGATGTCACACAGATTAGAGCCTCGTCGACCATAGACATTTCAAATGCCCAAAGCAACAGTTTGTCTCCAGTCCACAATCTTTCAAAAATGCCATTTATGCTACTACTGACTGTATTGCCACTAGAGAATTCTACAAAACAAGCAAAAACACATCCTGAGACACCTCAGGGCTGCATTCAGCTTACCAGCTACCTAGCAAGAGAAGGAATTATTTGACATGCCTAAAGCTTACACACTCTAGCTTAGGAATCCCCAGTTTGTGGCTACCCTGTTTCATTTCCACTTGTGCCATCTTCTTTGCTGAAGTGTTGAATAAGGCCCACGTGAAGAGTTTGGTAGAAATAGCCTTGTCAAGAGAACTAGCAAGCCCCTGACATTTTTTTCTAAGAGTGTTTATGGGATGAGATGTGCTACAAATGGGATAGATTTGGATAAAATTTTAACTCAACATCTTGATTTGGAGCCTGGGGTTTCGGGAAGGTGTTGAGGAATCTATAGAAGTCCAAATTATAGGTTGTATTCTTCCATCTTCATTGTCTTACCTCTGAAGGAATAGAACCTGACCACATTATTATGAAACATTATGGCTGTTTATGTAATTTAGGGAGGACTGGTCTGTAATTTCTGAATGTATATAGAATAATATTTATGTTTACAATGTAACTTTTCAAAATTTACAAATCAGGATTATATACATAAGAATTCCACTAAGAAATGCCAAGATTCTTAAATTTGCCAGCGTTAAAGTAGAAAATAACATTTCAGAAGAGCACAATATGCATAAAACATTTTTCAAAATTGAAATATTTTCCTGGGCATTAAAAACCTTTACTATTGGCTACAAATTTATTGTACCTGATGAAAACATATTTTCTGGACTTAAATGTTATTACAAATATCTTAATTTTCAGTAATTGTTTTGCACTTTCAAAGATTGTAAATAGTTCATTCAATCAATGGTATGGAGTTATTTATTTGCTACATAATAGATACTGTGCCAAATAATTACTTTTTATTTATTTTATTTAGTACGTAATTTTGAAGTACATTTTTTCCTGTTTTCACAATTAGACTACATTTAATGTGTAGGAATTGTATGTATGTATATCTTCTGTAAATAACATCTAGTATCTTCACTAAATATAATTGTCGACAAGAAATGGTTGTGTTCATCTCAATTCCTATAATATGAAAGGGGTAACCATTTGGTATGGTGGGGTGTTGGATCTTTTAATGACACAAAATACACATATTATAAAATTCATTCTTTTAAAGTGCAGAATCCAGTGATTTTTAGTATATTTACAAAGTTGTATAGATAACCATCATCACTATCTAACTTCAGAACATTCTCCTCATCCCTAAAAGAAACTCTGAACTCATTAGCAGTCACTTCTTCTTCTCCTCTCCCTCCAACCTCTGGCAACCACGAATCTGCTTTCTTTGTCTTCAGATTTACTCTGGATGTTTCATATGAGTGGAATCATACAGTATGAGGCCTTTTGCGTCTGGTTTCTTTCACTTAGCATAATGTTTTCAAGGTTGACCATATTATAGCTTGTACCAGTACTTCATTTATTTTTATGGCCATGTAATATTCCATTCTATAAATAGACTACATTTTGTTTATCCATTTATCAGTTGACAGACATTTGTCTGTTGTGTTCACTTTTCGGCAATTAGGAGCATTGCTGCTCTGAAGGGGCACTGGATTTTAGAGCTCCCTTGTGTGGGGCCTCATGCCATTTCTCAGTGATTTAAGTACTTAGCAAATATTTGATGAAGAGATATCCAAAATTCTTTAAATTCCAGACATGCCTCTATTTTTTTTAATAAGTCAGCATTTTCCAGAGTGTGTTCCAGCCTATTCTAGTCTCACAAGTTCACATATTGTCCCTCCAAAAACAAACACACACATACAAAGCCAAAAACAAAACCAAGATTCTATCTTCAAATAAATGTGGGGACCACTGCATAATATACCCCATTCATAGAAATGATTCCCAGTATTCACTCACACTGAAGGCTCTGAGAAGTCCTATTGTAATCCCTTTTAACATCCCACAATTAAAGTCCACTTTCAGAAATGCCAAAGCAGGCAAATGCCTCTCTGTGTTCATTCATATAAAATTTCAGGGTCCCCAGAACCAGAGGCGGTGTTTTCTGCGGTATTACACCTGCCTCTGGAGGCAAGTGCAGTGTCTGGGATTTACTAGACAATAAAAGAAGGTCACTGAATAAATTTTCTTGAAATCATTATCGTTCAGTATTTCACTATCTGATAGACCTCAATGTCAGCTGCAAAGGTTCCACTTTTATATATTTTCCTTTAGATATCCTTTATAGTTTCTTTTCTAGATAATTTACAAAGATGATGAACGAAGCTGGGAGCCCGTTCCTGGGGCATCCTTGCTCTTGTTTTGCTTGTCTTTATTCCTACTTTACTGAAAGCTAGCATTCTATATACAGCAGCACTTCTCCCCAATTCCATGGTGAATGCCAACTTACGATCTTATTTTAATATAGTTTCAACATTATTCAAAATTAATACATATTCCCCATGTATGTTCCCCTTGTTCTTCCACATGAGAATAACTTACTGTACTTAATAAAGATAAGACATTTTTAAGTATTTCTAGCTTCTTTGAAAATGCATCAAACTCCATTCTTGAAGGTAGCAGTGGTAAAATAATAGAATTCGCACTCTAAAAATGTAGAGTAGTAGCCAAGCAACCCTTCCTGAGGCAGGAGATGCAGTTAATACTTTAAAACTTGCAAACAAGCCAAAAGAAAATGAGATGCCTACAGGGTCACAAGAAGGATAATGAGGTTTGCTGGAAGATGTGAAAAAGAAGAATGTTTTTACCAAAAGCGCCTGTAGAAAATTATACATTTGAGTGTTTAACATACCTATTTAGCAAGGTCACTGGCATAGTTTATGGGAGCTAAGCTCTTCCGGCAATTTTTGAATACCATGCAGGTTAAATATACTCCTCCTGAATTCAGTGGCATTTCCTCTGAAGGTATGAATGCAGATCAATGACTACCAGTGTGAGAAAATTAAACAGAGTGTCATTTTAGTTTCAAATTGTGCTCCGAATAATAATAAAAAAAGCCTGGAATATGCAGTGTGGTAAAATGAACCCCTACCTCGAATAGCTTTCCTTTTACTGTCAATCTAGAATGCATTACATCTCTTGCTTTAGAGTAATCTTAATCTGTCCTACATTGAAAATTGTGGTATTAGATGAACAGTTACCTTATCCCTTACTTCTAAACTGGAAAAAAGCCTTTAACTTAGGTATTGTTAGTCACTTTTCTATTCATTCATTCATTCATTTTCATTCATAGAAAATAATGACTGAAGTGCTTACTGAGTGCCCTCTGTGGACACAGAATTCAATGGTGAGGACAACTAGAGAAGGTCCCTGTTCAGGTAACCAAAAAATGATGTGAACAAATAAATAGAAAAATGCTTCCTGCTGGGCGCAGTGGCTCACGCCTGTAATCCCAGCACTTTGGGAGGCCGAGGCGAGTGGATCATGAGGTCAAGAGATCAAGACCATTCAAGAGATGTGGTGAAACCCCGTCTCTACCAGAAATACAAAAATTAGCTGGGCATGGTGGTGCACGCCTGTAGTCCCAGCTACTTGGGAGGCTGAGGCAGGAGAATCACTTGAACCTGGGAGGTGGAGGTTGCAGTGAGCCGAGGTCACGCCATTGCACTCCAGCCTGGCAACAGAGTGAGACTCTGTCTCAAAAAAAAAAAAAAAAAAAAAAGAATGCTTCCAAGGAAGGATATGGTGTTGCAAGAGCATGTAATAAGGGAATTTAACCTGATCGGAGGCAAGGAAGTGTTCCCTGTGAAAGTGACAGTTGAGCTGAGCTCTGAAGGATGTGAGTGCTGGCTAAGACAGAGGAGGAGAATGTGTTCTAAGCAGAAAGTAACATTGGCAATAAGGGACAGCAAGCTCACTGTGGCTAATGGAGATCGAAGGAGACAGCATTTCCAGATGTGCTGGAGAGCTAAGAAGGGCTCAGAGCATGTAAGGCCTATGCAGACCTTTGAGTAGGAAGTCATTGAAGAGCTTGAGGCAGGGCGTTGCATTTCCAATGGTGAGCCCTTGAACGGCAGGGCCACTGCTTTCTGTGTACCACACTGCCCAGGACACTTGGTAAGGGCCATCCCTAATTCCTTAGTTACTTTATTATGAAGGCTTAAAGGTAGAGCAGAGGGAGCTGTGGAGAATGCAAGCATTCAAAAGCAGTAGTGGACCCAGACACCCATACAGACAAACATCATCCCTTCTCCTGACTAAGTCCACACTGGGCCACTTTTTAATTTTTTATTGTGGTAAAAGATATACAACATACAATTTACCACTTAAAGCCTTTTTGAGCAAATAATTCAGTGGCATTTAGTACATTCACCTTGTCGTACAGCCGTTGCTGCTATCTATCTCCAAAACTTTTTCAACATTCCAAACTGAAATTCTGTGCCCATCAAACATTAACTCCCCATTTTTCCTTTCCTCCAGCCCTTGGTAACCACTATTCTTTTATCTCTATGAATTTGCCTTTTTTGGGACTTCATATAGGTGGAATCATACAATATTTGTCCTTTGTGTCTGGGTTGTTTCACTCAGCTTAATGTTTTCAAGGTTCATCCAAATTGTAGCATGTACCAGAATTTCCTTCCTTTTTAAGGCTGAATAGAATTCCATTTTATGTCGATTCTACATTTTGTTTGTCCATTCACCTGTTCAAGTCCCAACTTCTCAATACTTTGGGGTATATACTAAGAAGTAGGATTGCTGAATCGTATAGCAATTCCGTTTAATTTTTTTAGGAACTGCCATACTGTCTTCTACAGTGGCTGTACCATTTAATGGGCTACATTGGACATAGCTCGTAATTACCTGCATCATCTCCGAAGCTGCCAATGTATGGCACAGCTGTTGAGAGAAGGAGTGGGCAGGGGACCCAGGGCTCAGTGTGTGGGTATCCAAGCAAGGAGCAGGGAGGCTTCATTTGCCAGTGTCCCATCTGTCAAGCCAGGGCAGCTCATGAGACAATCACAGCCCCAGAACCTCTGTCCATCCTTGCTGCCCTGTGGGTTGATGCACCACACTCCTGCTGCCTGTGGTCTTACACTGCAGGATGGGAGGAGTGAAGGGAATGTTTCTAACCCCCAGAGAATAAGGGCGTGGGAATGGGAAATGTGGTCGCTTTGCTCGGGCTCCTTTGCATGTGCTTTTCAGGCAGCTAGGGAAGGTCAAGGATGCTGCTACAGGAAGCCAGGATCTTTGTTCCTGGGACAATTCAACCTTGGAAGGATTGGGGCCAAAGCCCTGCTCTAAAGGGAAGTAAACACAAGGCACTATGGGCTCATGGGCTCTGACATTTCCCTCCAGATTTGAGGAAGAAAGAGAGCCTAGAGCCAGGGCATGTGAGAGCCGCCTGATTCCATCCCAGTCTTCTTCCTGCATCCTCCTCTGGGAGGGTTCTGACTCTTCCTAGCCAGAGAAAACTCAGGAAGAGTGGAATTCTACAATAGGAGGACCAGTACAAGAGAAACATGAGAGCAAAAGTTGGTGTAAACCTCTTCAGAACAGGTTTTTGCAGCACCTGAGACAAAAAGAGGACTGGAAAAGCTGCATCAGGTCTCCATCTATTTCCTTAGCCAGAGACAGGTGGCAAAAGTCTCCAGGTGATAACATCAAGGACCTGTCAGGAATGGAGGAGAATCGACGATTTCAGGAAGGAGTCCTGACACTTTAGGACAGAGGGACAGACTGATGATTCAGTCTCCCCAGCAGGGAGAAGCGCTTGAGGTAAGGAGACACAGAAGCTCTTGGGGAACGTGTTCTGCACTAGCCAAGCTGTGGTAACTTTAGAAGAATAAAGAAAGAGGTTGTTCAGTGATATCAGTGAGTTTATCAATTGCTGTGTGTATTCGGGTTATCCAGAGAAATAGAACCAATAGAATGAGCTTTAAGGGAGATTATAAAGGATTGGCTTACATGATTATGCAGACTGGCAAGTCCAAAATGCACCATGTGGACTGGCAGCCTGGAGACCCAGGAAAGCTGATGGTGCAGTTCCAGTTTGAAGGCCGGCAAGTGGAGACCCAGGAAGGCTGGTGGTGCAGATAAAGTCCAAAGGCAGAGTCTGCTGGAGCATTTTCTCTTGCTGATGGAGGCCAGTCATTTTGTTCTATTCAGGTGCCTTTAATGGATTAGATGAGACCCGTCTGCATTATGGAGAGCAGTCTGCTTTAGCCACAGCTCACCAATTTAAATGTTAATCTCATCTAAAAACACCCTCCAACTTGACAAAATTAGCCATCACACTGTATAATAAACCACTCCAAATTTTAGTGACTTAAAACCACAAGCTTTCAATCAACAACCATGAACCATGAGTTGATGGGTTAACTGGACAGTTCTGCCATCTGAGCCAGACTTAGCAGATCAGGGCTGGACTCAGGCATGCATTTGTGGTCAGCTGGTCTAGGATGGCCTCAGAAGGAATGACTTGTCTCTGTTCCATATAGTCTCTCACTCTCCAACCAGCTATCCTGGGTTTCATCACTTGTTGGCTGGGAAGTGTTCCCAGGAAGCAAGAGGACAAGCAAGAGCTCTGGAGGCCCAGGTCAGAACTGGTGCTCCAAGAAGACACTATGACTTCTGCAGCACTTTGCTGACCAAAGTGGTCAAGAGGATAGCCAAGAGTCAAAGAGTGGAGAAACAATTCTCTTTCTTGATGTCTGGCACAACCAAGTCATATCATCAAAGTTGTGAATATAAGGAGGGGAAAGCTGTTGCCATTTTCACAAACCATCTACTAGAGTGAGGGTAGCACATAAGGGGAGTGGCTGGAAGGTCCACTGTTCTTGTTTAGGGAGAGCTTTTCAGGCGTGGTGCAGCCAGCTGTTGAAAGTGCTTCTCCAGGGTGACTCTATTAGCTCTTGGGGAAGCAGCAGGACCAGCAGAAAGATAACCAGCTTGAAGATCAGGTAGACCTGGGTTTGACTCAATCAGGGCCACCTCCAGTATAGACAGCAACTTTGTGTGTATTAGGCAAGAGTCAACCCTTCTCTCCATTGGTACTGCCTCACAGAGAGCTCCTCCTCAACCAGGCTTCCTGTTGTGTGTGCCGTGGCCTACACTGTTGTAATGTGATAGCCCTCAGCTGTGAACTTTGGTATTTTATCTCTTTGAGCTTCATTTTCTACATCTGGCAATGGGAATGACAACGCCTGCCTCACAAAAGCTGGGGGGAGTCCTAAATGAGTGAAGGTGTAGAAAGTGTCTGGCATACTGAGTGCTTGGTGCTCAAGAAATATTAGTGCCTTTCCTGCCTCTCTGCTATAATGAGAGGCCACAGAAAGAGGTGCTTTAGAACATTGAAGGATGCCTGAGAGTTCAGCCAAACCAATTATGAAAGGATGAAAAAGGAGAGAAAGTTATATGGTGGCTTTAAGTCATTGAAATTGATTTGGGCTAGAGGGGCAGTTTACGAGTTCTGTCAGATGCCTGTCCTTTGTATTCCAAACTTGGGTTACACCAGTTTTGCAAAGTTTTTGCTGCAATAATTGTACCAAGATACCACATTTTTATATAGGCACAACTGAAAAGTTATTTGCAGCGGAATAGAAAACATTTCAAATTACTGAATAAAAGAAAGGAGAAGTGAAAATAGAATAAAAGACTCATGCTCCTTAACAACAGATAAAATGTTCATATATGAAAGAGTAGACTAGAAACTAAGCCAAAATATAACACAAGTCATACAGACATAGGTCATGCCAGAAATTAGATTTTAGCCTAACCTGGGTGTTCATTTACATGCTCAGTCTATCTCGCCTAGAAACAATTATGCATTGTTACGAGATGCCTCCTAAGAAAGTAGCTCTTCATTAGCAGTCCTAATCTTCCCCCACCTAATACTCAGAAGCCATTATAAAAATCCATTTATATTTCTGGCTTCAGAAATTAAATTGTAGGTATAAGCCAAAGTGTACATTAAATTAGGGATTATTGCTTGTGGCACTCTATGTGAGCCAGGTGATGCTGGGCCATTTTAATTAAGAATTTGTTTCCAATAACAACACAAGCAAATGAATAACATTAAATCAACACTGAAACAGTCGTGGGTGGAGGGGATTATGGGAATAACTGTGATACTCAGTTGTATTATAGGCTTATTGTGCAGAGTTCATTTATACATTAGAAAAAAACATCTTTGCAGCAACTGAAGAAAGTCTGTAGCACGGGGCATGGAAATCTTTTGAGCACGATGAGATGGTTGCTAGGAGAAAAATAGAGGAAGTCCTGTACTTGTTTTTTAAATTAGAAGAAAAGCAAGGTCACTAAGGAACACAGATTTTTAGTACAAAGTTTTCTGAATGTGGACTTTGGAAGAGAATTTTCTGGGCTATTTACTGGTTCAGTAATCAATGCTTTTTGTCTGCCAGTTCTTCTGGCATTTATTGAACACCCACTATGTGCCAGTTACATACAGAAAGCATTTTATTCTAAATACCTAAGAAATGAATAGTTTCACTATTTGCTGATGAGGAAACACTGAGAGAAATGAAATATCTTGCCCGAGGTCACACACTTAGATTATGAAAGAGGTTGGGATCTCAAACCAAGTACATCTGATTCCAAGGCATATGTTGTTAGCTATGAGGCTCGCTGTCTGCCTAGCTTCTCGTCCCCAAGAGGACTGCTTATTCAGGCTTTTGAAGCTGCAAAATAAAAATAACAGATAGGAGTTCAAGAACCAAAGCATGAGATTAATTTTGCCAAAATATAGTAAGTGAGGTTTTTAGGAAAGTGATTTGGAGTATTTTTTTCTAAACTTTTATCTTTAAAATAAAAGTGTGTATGTATGTATATGAATCCCTTCATAAATATCCCACAAATCATATGCCATATATCAGTTATGGGAAGACTTTACTCAGGAAATAACATTTCTTTGTATTCACCATAAGAGATTCACTCATATACAAGAAGTGGCTTCAGTTGTATTTGAAATGGTTTATCTCTTAAAATACGTATGATTGGCCCATATGTGTTTTCATATTATTCTCTGTAGTTTATTTCATTAGAAATTGACTCCACTGAAATCAAAGCGTTCTTGAACTCCGTGTATTTACTGAATATTATGAAGAAAACAGAGGCAAGGGGGTTTCATTATAGAACCCAAGAGTATTTCATTTTAACAAGTCCTCATTGGATATATCTTGTCTGGAGCTCTTTCTCCTCTGCTGCCAGTCACATGGTCTCCTTTTTCTATTCCCAATTCTCTCCACCCTCTTTAGTTTGCAGATCATTCTTGGGGACCCTAAGTCATGTTTTCTTTTTTATGCAGACCACTTTAATCTTCTCATAGCTTCTGACTCCAAACTTGAAAATCTCTACTTGGGCTAAGGATGAAGATATTGTTTGTACTGAGCAAACAGAAGACTCTCCTGTTACCAAGATCCCTTATCTTTAGAATGGTACTATCAAAGAAAAAAAACAGGAATAACAAAAACTGTTATGATATAAAATAGGTTAAATAGTCTTATTTAAAACCAAAACTGGGCCTGGTGCAGTGGCTGGTGCCTGTAATCCCAGCACTTTGGGAGGCTGAGGAGGAAAGGTTACTTAAGACCAGGACTTTGAGACCAGCCTGGGCAACATAGGGAGACCCTATCTCTACAAAAAATTAAAAAATTAGCTGGCCTGGTGGCAAGCACCTATAGTCCTAGCTATTTGGGAGGTTGAAGTGGGAAGATTGCTTGAGCCCAGGAGTTTGAAGTTACAGCGAGCTATGACCTTGCCACTGCACTCTAGCCTGGGTGACAGAGTGAGACCCTGCCTGAAAAAAACAAACAAAATAAAAATAAGTATATATAAAAATAAAACCAAACTGGCAAAAGCTCCTTCTACCTCCTCAGGATGAATGTCATAATTCACATCAGGAGCAGTAAATATGTTTCCTTTTTAGGTTGGTGCAAAAGGAATTGTGGGTTTTGCCTTTGGAAGTAATGGCAAAACCCGCAATTACTTTTGCACCAACCTAATGCATTTCAGAGCCTGGTAGGAGAGAAAAAGAAAGGAAGACCGAAACTTCAAAGCCTCCTCTAGCTGTGCTGTATCCAAGCACACTTAGCAGAGGATCCATTCATGGAAATGGGAGCCTAATAAGTCACTGCCATTCCACCTGGAGACAAATTCACAGCATACACGTTAACATTACCCTTCCTTTCTCTTCATATCCTGTAAGTTGTGATAAGCTTAGGGGATAGTATTTTTTCCCAGCTACTTAAAAAAAAAATCCTTAGAGGCTGCATATATATATATATATATATATATGTGTGTGTGTGTGTGTGTGTGTGTGTGTGTGTGTGTGTGTAATTTATTTATTTTATTTTATTTTATTTTTTCTTTGAGACAGAGTTTTGCTCTTGTTGTCCAGGCTGGAGTGCAATGGCGCGATCTCAGCTCACCACAATCTCCGCCTCCCAGGTTCAAGCGATTCTCCTGCCTCAGCCTCCAGAGTAGCTGGGATTGCAGGTGTGCGCCACCAGGCCCAGCTAATTTTTATATATATATATGTAGAGACGGGGTTTCACCATGTTTCCCAGGCTGGTTTCGAACTCCTGACCTCAACTGATCCACCTGTCTCGGCTTCCCAAAATGTTGGGATTACAGGCATGAGCCACCACGCCCGGCCTGATTTTTATCTTCTTGATAACCAATCATTTCTTTAAACGCCTCTTGAGCATTGGCAAAAATTTGCATTTAAATACTCAGCAAGATACTCTTCCTGCCACTTTAAAAAATCACCTCCAATAGGCCGGTGCGTTGGCTCACGCCTGTAATCCCAGCACTTTCGGAGGCCGAGGCGGGCGGATCATGAGGTCAGGAGATCAAGACCATCCTGGCTAACACGGTGAAACCCCGTCTCTACTAAAAATACAAAAAATTAGCCGGGCGTGGGGGCGGGCGCCTGTAGTCCCAACTACTTGGGAGGCTGAGGCAGGAGAATGGTGTGAACCCAGGAGGCGGAGCTTGCAGTGAGCCGAGATGGCGCCATTGCACTCCAGCCTGGGCGACAGAGAAAGACTCTGTCTCAAAAAAAAAAAAAAAAAAAACACCTCCAATATAATCTCTCACATTTTTTCATTAGCCATATGGGTTATAACTTCACGAAATAAGACAGAAAAACTCCAAGGCATGCTGGCACTGACTCAACCACACAGGCTGAGCCAATTATGAATACATTACCCTACAATAAGCCTGCTGGTCAACTTGTCCCATCATGTACTAAAGATTCTCATTGAGTTTTCCTATTCAGGAAAGCACCCTATGGCTGAAAAATCTACTTCACAATAGTGGAGATAATCCATGCCAGCTAACTAAAATAAGCAACATAATTCTTCATTCTTACATGTAAACAATAACAATCACCAGAGATCTCTGAGAAAACTAGTACCATAAACATAAAAAAACAAAAATAAAGAGAAAAACTAACTCTGGAAAAAACAAATAATTCAGGTAATTGAATAGCAACAACAACAATAATAATAACAGCAAATATTCAGCATACGAAATGCAACTAATAATAACAATAATAATAGCTAGAATTACTGAACACCCAACTCTGGGCCAGGTCCTGTTTTTAAGTGCTGTTCATATGTAGACTTATTTAATCCAGACGAAAACCTGAGTACTATCCTCATTTTACAGATGAAGAAACTGAGGCTCAGAGAGGCTAATTAAAATCCCCAAAGTTACAGAGCTCATAAGCCGCAGACCCAGGCCTCTATCCAGCTCTATGTGAGTCCTATCATTTCAGATAGAACCATGTTCTTTTTTTTTTTTTTTTGAGACAGAGTTTTGCTCTTGTTGCCCAGGCTGGAGTGCAACGGCGCGATCTCGGCTCACAGCAACCTCCACCTCCCAGGTTCAAGCAATTCTCCTGCCTCAGCCTCCTGAGTAGCTGGGATTACAGGCATGCGCCACCACGCCTGGCTAATTTTTTTGTTTGTTTTTAGTAGAGACGGGGTTTCTCCATGTTGGTCAGGCTGGTCTCGAACTCCTGACCTCAGGTGATCCGCCCACCTTGGCCTCCCAAAGTGCTAGGATTACAGGCGTGAGCCACCGCGCCCGGCGATAGATCCATGTTCTTAGTCCCTATGCTACATCGTCTTCAGAGCCCTAATCTTTGAGTTTTAGACACTTGAAAGTCCTAATTAGCATTTATCCCAAGGGATTCATCAAGCTATCAAGTTCTCTTCTACTAAGACTACTGAAGGTCCACCCTGATTTGTCTATGAGTCTGGGGAAGGATGACAGCTTGAATTTGGTCTCCATCTATATACACATTTACAGATAAGGCGAGTGAGGAGATGAGGGGCCCAGGGCTTTAAGAATACCTATGAACTTTGTTCTGTAACAAGATGTCGACCTTGAAACTTGTAGTGTCCAGGTCCATCAGGATCTGAATCATCTAAAGATATGTCTAAGGCAACTTCCTCCAGAGACTGGAAATGTTGCTCATGGCTATTAAGATGTGTGATCTGACACACTGAAACTTCTTGGAGGGGTTTATGTAACTAATTTGCATAGTAAAATAATCCAGATAAACTGGTTGTCGAGACAGATGGAGGCTGGCTAAGCGAGGCTGAATTTTGATTACTCAACTGAAATAATTCAGTACAATTTTGTATATCTGACTTATAATTATTTTGAAATGTTTTCCACAGTGGGCTGGGAAGGTTTGCTCTATGTTAACAAAGTGAAAAACTTAGGCAATTATCCAGTTATTTCAACACTTTTATTTTTTCCCTGACATCTGCTAGTAAAAAGAATTTTGATTAAAATACTTAAATAGTTGAGGCAAAAATGTGTTTATATGCATGTGCGTGTGTGTGTGTGTGTGTGTGTGTGTGAAGGGTTTACAGTTACATGAACACACTAGATAAATAGCCCTGCTCTCCACTTCTTTCTGATAGAACATTCTTTCCATTAAAGTACTCCTGTATTAGTCAGCTTGGGGTGCCATAACCAAATACTACCTACCTACCACTTCCTACCATGTACCTACCTGTGTTCAATTTTCTCTCTCCACTAGGAAAACAACAATGGCAAGAACTTTATCATTATCATAGACTAAGGCTATTTCTAAAGAAAAAGTTGAAAGTGGGGAGAATTATCATAAAACATGACTGGTAATGAAAAGAGTGTTATGTGTCAGGAGGATGAATTAGTGAGACTAGCTTCTAGTCAAGTGTCTTTCTTGAGAATCAACTCTCATGGAACCTCCAAAATGTATATAAGATGAATTACCCTGAATGGAAAATTAAGCTAATAAATAACAAAATTAATGTTTTCAACAAAAGTTCCACTCTTTAAGACTTCAAAAACAATTTTTAAAAGTGAAAAAGAGATTGGGCGCAGTGGCCTGTAATCCCAGCACTTTGGAAGGTGGAGGCAGGTGGAGCACTTGAGGCCAGGAGTTTGAGACCTGCATGGCCAACATGGCAAAACCCTGTCTCTGCTAAAAATGCAAAAATTAGCCGGGTGTAGTGATGCATGCCTATAATCCCAGCTACTCAGGAGGCTAAGGAACGAGAATCACTTGAACCCAGGAGGCAGAGGTTGCAGTGAGCTGAGATGGTGCCACTGCACTCCAGCCTGGATGGCCGACTGAGATCCTGTCTCAAACAAACAAACAAACAACAACAACAACGAAAAGTGAAAAAGAGTTTTCCATAGCAAAACAAATTTTAGTTTTATTGTGTGTCATCTTTTCTTAACTCAAAGCTCTACTGTGGAATTATTTAACAATGTTGGATGTAAAATTGTATGCTGTATAGTTAGGAACATTCTAAACTACAGACATTTTGTTACTCAATTCCTTGATTCAGAACTCAATTGCATTGACAGCCAAATATGAAAGGAGAGCATGTCTTTTCACATTTACCAAAAAAAGGGACATTTACCAAAAGTTCAACATGGAAAATCATCTGGAAATCCAGCTTGTATTTCTCGGTGAAAACTATATATATTTGCCTTTACTATGTTTCAATAAAAATAATGCCTTTTATTTGCTTTTAAAACTTATGAAATACTTTTACATAAATTACCTCATTTGAACTTGACAACAACACTTTGAGATGGATCGGAAAGCTATAAGGGACAATTCACAGCAGGGGAAGCTGAGTTTGAGAGGTTAAATTCATTTCTCAAGATGGAAAAGAAAAGATCACCATGGGGTCATATCCAGAGAACACTAGAGAAAAAAAGGAAGAAAGATTGAAAGAAAAGAAAATATTTCCTGGAAATATTACATAGAAATGTGAAGACTAATCTCACACATAATTATTTGGAACTGTTATATGCGAACATAAGAATCGCAACAAGTGGCATGTGGGAAGGCTCATCCTATTGAGAATGTAAACTGGCACTACAGAAGTTTTGATAAGGAGGAGGGTGTGTGACCCAGGCAAAAAAAGGCTTAATAAACCTCATTCTCTGATTTGAAGGTGACATGTCTAATTCTATTGTAAAAGCAATGTCACCCCAGAGTCTGTAGAAGTCAGGGAGTCAGTGAGCAGATGTATTTAAATATGTATATCCAAGCCAGGCTCAGTGGCTCACGCCTGTAATCCCAACACTTTGGGAGGCTGAGGCAGGAGCATTGCTTGAACCCAGGAGTTCGAGACCAGCCGGGGCAACATGGCAAGACCCCGTCCCTATAAATAATTTAAGAATTAGCTGGGTGTGGTGGTGCATGCCTGTGGTCCTAGCTATTCAGATGGCTGCAGCAGGAGGATCACTTGAACCCAGAAGGTCAAGGCTATAGTGAGTGGTGTTTGTGCCTGTGCCACTGCACTCCAGCCTAGGCAACAGAGCAAGTCCCTGACTCAAAAAATAATTATATATATATATATATATATATATATATATATATATATATATATATAATGCATGCACACACATCCCTATTTTATATATGTAAATATATAAAATATCAAATATATTTTATATAAGTATATAAAACATATATCAATTGTATGTATTACCTTTACTTGTTTATAAAAAAGATCTAGAATCTATTTCTTTTTAGAACATTGATACTATGCATAGGAAAATAAAATGTTATGGTTATAAAATAAATTTTTTAATGTACGGCATTTCTTAAATCAGTGGAAGAATATCCACTGAGGAAAAAAGTCTTAATTTCCTTTGATAAATAGCTGTGGATTAGAGTACTACAACAATAGTTCCAACTCTGCTATTGCTGTGCACTTGAAGCCAAGATGATGACTGTATTGAAAGAGAGGGATGAGAAAATCAATAGATTATGGCTTCAATGGAGCTCACAACAGTGCTGATTAGAGAACACAAATGGATTGCATAACAGTAAAATAACTATAAACTGGGTATGGATTTAAGCCTATGTTAAGACCATTCTTAACTGCATTGTGTCTTTAGAAAACATGCATTGAAATTATAACAGCAAATTAAATCTATTCGACCGCAAAATTTAATACATAAGAAATAGCATTTATTAATGATCTGGAAGAAGGAGTAAATAGCATGTTAATGAAATTTGCAGATGCTGCTAAATTGGAAGGTGTTACAAACAACAACGCAGACAGGGGCTTAATACAATTGGACCTTGAAAAGTTAAGGAAGAACCAACAGTGACAAAAAAAAGAAACGAAAAAAGAAAGAAGGTTGAATTTATAAAAATAGCAGTTAGAGAAATTTCAACACGAGAAAGAATAATACAAAAGAAGTGTGGCCAGAAAAGTGACTTTGAAATTTGACCAGGATTTTCTGATTATAACAAGTTGTTAAATCCACATCTGGGAGGTCCTAGCCCAGATCCTGGGAAGCAGTAGTCATTCCCTTACTTCCCACTCTTCCTCCAGGCAGTCCAGAGGAAGTATGTTGCTTAGTTGTAGACTTTTGGTAGCAAGAGAAATGAAGAAAACACAGATCAGGCATATCAGTTAAAAATGCATATAGAAAAGAAAGGGATTACTATGGGAGGCAGATGATTATGTATTAGTATCATCTAATCAGGTATATAATGAAAAAGACCATGAGAAATCTACAGATATCTGAAAATTTTATATAAAAGATGGTTATGTCACTTGAATATTTATGAGTGATGATTAAATGGATCTAATAATTACCTTATGAAATATAATTATTGCTTTTCCAGAAATCAACAGATAGAAGAGTTCTCCTGCCCTATTGCACATGCCTAAATTAAAGAAATTGGTGGTATAGCTGAATGACGTATGGGGTTATAGTTGGGTTTCTCAGAATTTCCAGAAGTTTGGGTCTGAGAATTTGGTTTATCCAGGAAAACAGCAAGATGTGTCTAGGGGAAGCTCTGAGGACTGTAAGAAAGTAGAAACGTATCTGTAATGTTTACCAGCTCACCTGTGATATAGCCACCTGGGGATGAAAGTTCATCCCTGCTTATTGGATCTTTTAAAGTAGAAGCCTCAATTTTAGAAACTTGACTAGGTTTATAAAACTTTATTTTTATGTAGTTATATTATGTATGCTTTTCTTTAGATTTCAGTAATGTTTTTTTGAATACAGGCTGCCACCCCGGCACTTGGGATGGAAGCAGTGTATTCTTGGTTGCCAGGTGTGACAATGAGCATGAGAACTGGTGTAGGCAGGTTCCAAGGTGTAGGGGAAGATGTTGGGAGGGGACAATGGTGGAAGAATTGGAGCTGGGCCCATGCACGGACTTTTTCCACCTGGGTATTCTCCTTCTTGAACACTTGTGTAGTGTTTGAGGATTTGTATATAGGAAGATATTCTTTATAGAGATCTGAGACTATTCTTGAACCATTAATTATGATAAAGTAGTGAGAAAACATGCACTTAAAACCTTAAACCTCTTGTATCATCTTATCTAAACGGGTATCAGCCCTTTGCTTCTATGCTATTTAGTTAGTAAATTTTGTTTTAATAAGTTAGACCAAAAACTAAAATCTTTCAGAAAAACATTACTTGATGGCATGTGCTAAGACATGGAATACATGCAATTGCCTCTGATGTGTACAAAGGTCTTACGATACATATTATAAAATATGCCACTTTTTTTCCAATTTTTAGCAACGGCTGGCCCCTTTGAGAAATAATTGTAGAGACTGACCAGGTGCTTCTTATAGCCCATTTCTTTATCAAAAACATCTAAAAGTATATTTCCCTTGAAACACAGTACAATAAAAACAATATGGGCTATAGACTCAGATAGATCAAGGCGTATCTATATCCTGACTTTACCACATATTAGCTATGTGATATTCAGCAAATTACTTAGCATCTCTGAGTCTGCAGTTCTTCTTTTATAGATTAAATAAATAATTAAGTGATGTATTTGCATAACTTCTGATAAAATGCTTAACACAGAATCAGTGTTCATGTGGCGTTAGTTTCCATACTTCTCTACAAATAAACTCCCTGACATAGTTAAAAGTAGTTTCTTGAATCATAATTCAATTAGGAATTCACTTTCTTTTATTCGGTTTTTCATTAAATAAATATTTACTGAGTGATTGCAAGCAATGTTTATGTCAGTTGTGGTGGGTTTGCACAGAAATAATAATATATGTGGATCTTCCCTTTAAAGATCATGAAGAAAAGGAACAACAGCATGTAAATAATCATAATATGGGGCAAAACCCAAAAGATAAACAAAAGTATTCTAAGATTCCAAGGGGGAAATGATTACTTCTTTTTTTTGAGACAGGGTCTTGCTCTGTCACTCAGGCTGGAGTGCAGTGGCTTGATCATGGCTCATTGTAGCCTCAACCACATGGGTTCAAGCGATCCTCCCACCTCAGCCACCCAAGTAGTTGGTACTACAGGTACCTGCCACCATGCCTGGCTAATTTTTAAATTTTTTTTGTGGAGGCGAGATCTCAGTATGCCACCCAGGCTCCTGAGCTCAAGTGCTCCTCCTGCCTTGGCCTCCCAAGATTACTCCTTAACAGAGGATTGGAAAAGGCTTTCGAGAAAGGGAACATTTTACCTGGGCCTTGAAGACAGCAGAGGTGCTAGAAGAAAGTAATTAGAAGGAAAGCATGGAAATTGGAAAATGAATGGTTCTATTTGTCATGAGGCCCATGATGATGGAAGATGTTTGGGTTGGATAATGGAGGATTTGGGGTTTTAACTTTGGGTTACTAATGGAGGATTCTGAATGCACCCTAAAGAGCTTGGACTAACATGTTAGGCAGTAAGGCATCAATAGAGGTTTTAAGCAAAGGTTTTTGGGTTTTGATAGGATTCTTCTACCTAATTTATTAGCTATTCCTTCTAAATTCATGTTAGTCCTTAATTAGATATGCAAGCTTCCTGGGTCTTCATCCAAGTTGTTGAAATGTTCAACAGGGCAGAATAAAGAAGACAGTCCAGCAACATACCATTAGAAACCCTTCTCCACCAGAGCACTGATCCATTCATTAGCACTTGTGGCTCAGTTTTCATTCTAATAGAAATTCACTGTATTGTGTTGTCATCAGTTAAAATTTCCTTCTGATTTCTAAAGCCATCCTGAGAAACTTTGTCAAATGTTTCACTGAAATCAGATCCACACTGACCTCCTCTGATACCAGTAGCAAAAACTAGACATATCTTGATTTCAGTGAACCCATGCTGGGATTCAGTGAATCCCAGTGTTCATATTCAAAGTCGTTACCAGCCCTTCACTTAATAATACCACTTCATAATAAGTAACTCCAGGATTCTGTCAGAAAATTACATCAATTGTTACATCTTTGGGAAGAGGTATATGAGTTTCTTGCAATAAAGTAGAGTTAAGAGTGAGTAGAAAGAATAGCAAGACTCGGCCAGGTGCAATGGCTCACGCCTGTAATCCCAGCACTTTGAGAGGCTGAGGCGGGTGGATCATGAGGTAAGGAGTTTGAGACCAGCCTGACTAACATGGTGAAACCTCGTCTCTACTAAAATTACAAAAATTAGCCAGGCGTGGTGGCTTGCACTTGTGATCCCCACTACTCAGGAGGCTGAGGCAGGAGAATCGCTTGAACCCAGGAGGCGGAGGTTGCAGTGAGCCAAGATCATGCCACTGCACTTCAGCCTGGGTGACAGAGTGAGACTCTGTCTCAAAAAAAAAGAATAGAAGGCTCAATGCTGAATGGATGTGACAAACTCAGTTATGATTCAGTCAAAGTTTAGATATAGCATTTTAAAGAAAAGTAGCATGGCAAACAATAGTAAAGAATGAGCAGTGACTAGGACTCAAGACTCAGATATGTAGGACTTTATCATCCCACATGACCATCAGGTAGTATGGTCCCGAGGAGGGGACAGTTGTTTAAGGACAGGGCTGGCACCACATCCCAGATTTTCTGCCATTTAGCAAAGTGCTCTCTTCCCTGCTTGATGCAGCTGCCCTGTTACGCTGCGTCTTGAAGCAGAGAACAAGGCAACCAACTCCCTTCAGACTCTAAAATATCAGTTCTCAAAATGCAGCCTGGGGACCCTTTGGGGGGTTTGCAAGGTCAGAACTCTTCATAAAAATATTGACACTCTCTCATGAGTGTACAGTGGAATTTCCCAGAGGATATATGTAGTATGATATTGGAATAGATTAAATTCAGAAGCAGATATTAGAATCCAACTTTTGTCTACTAAGCTAAACGTTAAAGAGATTTGCAAAAATGTAAAACAATGGTATTCTTTCAGTTTTTAAAAATCTGGGGCAATGGTTATTTTTCACTAAAATGTTATTTATGTTAACATAGATAGGCTTATTGGCTTATTATTTTTAAATGGATTAATTTCTAATTTTTTTTTTTTTTGAGACGGAGTCTTGCCCTGTAGCCCAGGCTGGCGTGCAGTGGCACCATCTCAGTTCATTGCAACCTCTGCCTCCCAAGTCCTGCTTCAAGCAATTCTCCTGCTTCAGCCTCCCGAGTAGCTGGGATTACAGGCACCTGCCACCAGGCCCAGCTAATTTTTGTATTTTTAGTAGAGACGGGGTTTCACCATGTTGGCCAGGCTGGTCTCGAACTCCTGACCTTGTGATCAACCTGCCTCAGCCTCCCAAAGTGCTGAGATTACAGCCGTGAGCCGCCGTGCCCAGCTTTAATTTCTAATATAATAAATTTGATAGATATGACTCACTTAAAAGCTATTTGGCATCCTCAATGACTTTTTTAGAGTGTAACGGAGTCCTGAGACCAAAAAGTTTGAGAACTGCTTGATTTGAAAAAACAAGCCTAAAGTCTACCTTTTGCTCCCTGAGGGAAGGCAAGTTGCCCAACTTTTCCAAGACTTTTTCTGGCCCCATAGCATGGGATGATGACTTAAAACTACCTGCTAGGGTTATTGTGAAGACTAAATGGGAAGACGTCTGTGTAAAACTCTTAATTCAGTGCATGGCGTATGACTGTTCAGTAAATATTAACCATCTATTATTATTATTGCTTCTGCTATTACTGTTACCACTACTATGAGGGCTATTACTCCCTGCTGGTGATGTCTTTACTCAGATACATGAAGAACTTATTCTTTGAACTTGCTAAATGCTCTCAGGCCATTGCACTTGTTTCCTTTGCCTGGAATATCTTTCCCTCCTTTTTGTCCAGCAAATCCTCTTCATTTCTTCTTGTATTAACTTCGAGCTTCTTTGATTTAGAAGCCTTCATTGACCTCTCAAAACTATGCTAGGTACCCTGCTGTAAGCCCCAATCTTTGCCCCTTTAAGAGCATACCATAGTGTAATTGCTCGTGTCTTTGCTGGCTCTTCCATTGCACTCCGAAAACTCTGTGAGAGAGGGGACCATGCTTGTTCACTGCTATAATCATAAAGCTCTGCACAGTGCCTGGCAGTCAGTAAATGCCTGTTGAATACATTTTGTAAAAGTCTTCAATATGTCTTCTTGCCACACCGCTCCTTTCATGTCCCAGGGTGCCTAAATAAGCTCGATATCCTGCATATTCCTGTAAATCTCTTTGATCCTCAAGTTAGATGTAAACACTAAACTCAAACAATGATCTGGGCTTCATTTATGATTTTAAGGCAATGGTTAAATGACTTAAAGGATGTTTGATTATATACCTTAATTTCCCAGGGATTCAGAGTTGTACAGGAGGTAAAGCCTTGGTCTTTGCATAAAAGTTGGGTAATTCTTAGCTATGATCCAGGCATAGACTATTCACAAGTTAAGATGGAAAACTAAGACGGCTAGAGAAAATGCCCCTGGGTGCCAGCTTGTGCCATAACTCTTACCACTATAAGAGGAGGGGAGGATAAAGACTGCTTTCTTCCTTTTAAGTTGCCATTCCTTCTGCCATTCGTAGAATTTATGTCTGCACTTTTCTCATCCACTGATAGCTAGTGGCAGTTTCAGAATATCTATTTGAAGAGGGGCTTAGAAGAAACAGTCCCATTGAATAGGGGGATAGGAAAGTTTTTCCTTAAGCTATATTTATATTTTTCAACTTAGATTGCATGTTTATTTTGGAGAATGTTCTTGGATATAAGAGGGTGCTAAGGACTTCCAAGCCACCTCACTGCTAAGAGTACATCTATTTTTAGTGTGGAAACATTTGAAGTAAAGGAATAGGCAGGTTTGATAAGAGAAGTTTGACTAGGTCTCTTTTGTTATTGCTTTTCACACGGGTAAACCTAAACTCTGCCTGGTGAGCATTAACCAATTCAAAAAAGATTTGAAAGTTCAAAAAAGCAGTCGGTGTTGAGAATACATACTAGACCATATTTATTAGGTCTGGGGCCTAAAAAGATCAGTATAATCAATAGGAAACAGGCAGCTTGACAAAAGAAAAACCAAACTTGAGGCAATCAGTTTATCATACAATCATTATATATTTATTTCAGCTATGGACAATACATATGCAGATACCACACAATATAAGATGTGACCTCAAAGGGCTTGCAACCTATTTGGGAAGACAAGAAAATGTCTACTAGATTATCATTTAAGCATGTTTCTGAAACTAATCTTTAGTGTTCATTGTTCCTGCTGGTTATTCTCTTGGCCTAATTATGTGAGGAAAACAGAATGAAGGCAAAGGGATGGGAAGCAAGGGCAATGTGGCTAAAAATATTGATGCTCTTAAGCCATGTGTTCCAAATTTAAAGCAATACATTCATGGTTTTAAAGCTGGAACCTGCAACTAACTTCTAATTAGTCCCTCTTATTTTACAGAGGAGGAAACTGTGGCCTATCCTGCAAAGCACTCTAGCTGATAACTGGTAGCTCTAAGACCAGAAGTCAGGTTCTCTGACTCTCAGTCTAGGGTCCTTTCCAAAACAAACAAGTGCCTCTGAAGGTAAGGTAAAATGACTGGAGTCTTCCTATGCCTGGGGTCTATGCTAAAGAGCCTTAGTTTTTCCTTGAATGGATAGGATGGAATTATTTGAATTATTTTATTAGACCTGCATTATACATTTTTTTAGCATGGCAATTTTCATCAATTCTAATTTCTCAGTTACCAAAATAAAATTTATTAATGCTAAAATCTCCAGTCCTTATCAAAGGGCAAATTAATCAGACTAATAAATTGTTTTTTAACCTCTACTCATTCATCCCTCAACTTTCATATCTTTAACCTATTGAATGACTTACAAATTTTCTATTTCACTCTTGACCTCTTTCCTGAATTTCAGTTTCATATTTCAGTTGCTGCATCTCTACCTGTTTTTACTCCTATGACCTCAAACTCAACATGAAGCCAGCTTCCCTTTCACGTATTCCTATTTTTGTCAATGACACCATCATTCTTCCAGTCATCCAGGTCTGAGATCTTGGCATCATCTCTCTTCTTCTTCTCTTCTAAATCTTGTGGGTTACCAATTTCTGTGGCCTCTTGCTGAAACGTTTAATATTTCTCTCAATTCCATTTCTTCTTTTTTTTTTTTTTTTTTTTTTTTTTTTTTTTTTGAGACAGAGTCTCACTTTCATCCAGGCTGGAGTGCAGTGGCGCGACTGTGGTTCACTTTAGCCTCGACTTCCCCAGCTCAAGCGATTCTCCCACCTCAGCCTCCCGAGTAGCTGGGACTATAGATGTATGCCACCACATCAGGCTAATTTTCTGATTTTTTTGGAGATGAGGTCTCACTGTGTTACCCAGCCAGGTCTCAAGCAATCCTCTCAGCTTGGCCTCCCAAAGTGCTGGGATTACAGGTACCATGCCCAGCCCATTTCTTCTTTTTAATTCCATTTCCTACATCCTAACTCAGGTCCTCATGATCCCACAACCGGGTGGTGACAATATCTACTACTCATCCTGGTTCCATCCTAGCAACCCAACCTACAACTACTGTGGACTACTCTCTCAAAATTACCATTTAAACAGAATCACAAACCCCCATTTCACCCCTTTGATTCTAATTTTTCACAGCTCCCAGTGTCCATGGATAATAAAATTCAAATTCAAAATCCTGAATAATGTTGCCCATGCCCTTGCAACCTCCTCTCACTTTTCCTTCACAGAACCATCCTCCCCAATCAGAAATTTCTTTTCTTCCCAACGCCCACCTCCACCTTTGGCTTAGGCCTGTAACGGACTCTGGCTCCTCTTCTGAATTCTGCTCTGTTAAAATTAGCAACTAGAGCAGCAGACCACGGCCCCTCCTCAAAATTCCAGAGGTACCTACTGATCTTTCTAGAGAGGCAGCCTTCAGACCTATGTTCCCAGAAATCTCTACGTTTGTGCCTTTCCCAACTAGAGAATTAACTCTTGCGGGGCACAAAACAGCCTCTATTTCTTTGCGTCCCCAGCGCCTGTTTGTTGAAGACTGAGTTGAAGGAGTAGCAGGTGGTGTTAATTTGTCAAAAAGATGAGTTAAGGTGCTGGGGGCGAGGGGGAACACCCCCACGGCCCTCCCCCCACAGCAAGGCAGGTGTGTCTGGGGGCCTCGGCGGGTGCCGGGGCGCGGGGCGGATGGTGCCCCCCGGGCGCAGGCCAGGGAGGCCCGAGCGCCTTCCCCACGCCCCGCTCGCCCGCGCGTGTGAGGGGAGGGCGGCCCAGCCGTTTCGCGCCGGGAGGTAGGTGGTGCTGTTGCCGTGACTGTCTTCCTCATTGGCGCCGTGCAGAGAGGCGGAATGTTCAACTCCTAACTGCAGCGGAAACGTGGGAGCCGCGCGGGCCGCTGTCGTCCCAACCCCCGCCGCCCTCGTCGCGCGCGGGGCCTCCGCGCCCCCGGCTGCTGCTCACGCCCCGCCCGGGAGCCAGGTAGGGGTCAGGCTGGAGCCCGCGGAGGGCGGGGAGGGAGGGGGCGAGGCCCGCCGCGCTCGCGAGTCGTCCCTGCGTCTCGGGGCCGAGGCTCCGCCGGAGCCCGGGAGTCTAGGCGGCCTCGGGAGGCTCCTCGGGGCTCCCCTCCCCGACCCAGGGCCCGCCCGGCGGCGGCGGCCGGAGCGAGCGGGCGGGCGAGCGAGCGAGCGTTCGCGGCGCCCGGGAAGTCCTCGCGGGACCTTGGCCGCGGCGCCGCCAAGTGCGGTTCGGGAGAGTTCGGGCCGGTCCCATGGAGAAGTTGGCGCCTGGAGGCGCGGGCGCAGGCCGGAGCGGCCCCGGCTTTCGCGGTCCCGGGCGTGCGGCACGGGCAGGGGCTCCGCGAGCAGCAGAGCCGGCCAAGCAGCGGGTGACTGGGGCACTGTCGGGAGGCGAACCGCGAGGCCCCCAAATCAGGGTAGGGTGCAGGCCACTTCCCAGCACTCGCTGTGCGTGCGAGGAGGGACGACGAACTTCTGCTTTTCTAAGAACTCGACCGCGAGCGGTGTTGCTTCCCATCCATTTTCCTTCATTCTGTTTTCCTCACACAATTAGGCCATGCGAATAACCAGCAGGAACAATGAACACTAAAGATTAGTTTTAAAAACATGCGTAAATGTATCCAGAGCCACCGCTCCCCGCCCTTCCTGCCCCGGGCTTGGGCAGCATGAAGCGCCCGCCCTCTCGGGCTTCCCCCTTTCCTCCCACCGGAGCCGGGGATGTCTCCTTTGGCGACCCTCAGGCAGCGGCTTTTTGTGGGCTCCCAGACCTGCACCAGGCCCAGAAGTGCTTACCCAGGCCGTCGCCTCGTCTGGCCTCGCTTGCCCATGACAGCTTTCAGAAAACTTTAATTCAGGACTGGCTAGATGACATCCGATTGCCTAAAAAATTTTTTTAAAAAGTTATCTCTGTTAGATCGCTGAAAATGTTATGTTTCTGATGCGCTTTGAGATCGCGCATAAGTACTGTTTATGGGGAACTTAATTACTATTTTTGTTAGTTTCTGTAATAATGAAAGCAACACAATTTAGGGGCCCATTCCAAGTATGGTACAGTAAGCAGCTCTCGATACTGGTGTGTGAGAATCGTCTTACAGAGTGAATTTGAGGATGTTTGACTTAAGATTGTTGAAAACTGTACTCCTTCTTTAACCCCGAAGCTGTTTTGGAAGAGCCTTCTTGCTTCCTCGACCTTCGTTGAAATGAACAGCTAGGATTTAGTGGATCCAAACCTCCAAACACGTTTAAAGACAAAAATAAACAAGTGATTCAAGGCTAGTTAATGTCCTCTTTGTAGTAGGCCTATCTCCACAGTGAAATTTCACTTGTTTTTCAATTTTCCAAAAAAAAAAAAAAAAAAAAGTGATGGCTGCATTTTAATTATGGTTATGGTCATTTGTAGAGTCTTTGTTTTAAATTCCTGCTACTATAGTGAGAGATTTAGGAGATTGTAAATGAATACGAATTTAGTTTGGGAAAACAGAATTAAGATAAAGAAAAATGGTCTTTTGGACCACTGCACTGTTTATTTTAATCTATCACAATTTAATTCCTACTATAACTTTTTGAGATTATTTGGGGAGTTTTTTAACTACAAAATATTGTTTAAATAAAAAAATTTAGTGATAATAATTCCAGAGTAAATGACCATGATGCAATTGCAAGGACTTTCTCCGTTGTCTAAAAAAGCAAATAGATGATTGATCCGTTTTTCTTAATCTTTTAGGGAATATATAAGGACACAGTAAAGAGAGAAAAAAAAATCCAAATATTAAACACTCGGACTTGGATCTAAAAATGGATGGTCAAAGATCTTGGGAACTAAGGGGCCTTCTTGCCAAATAAGGAAACTTGGCAAGTTGCACTGTGTATTTTAACTTAGCACAAGAGTGAGTGTTATTGGCAATATATTGGCTCAGAGCCTATCTGGAATGAGCAGTGAAACTGACTTTGATAGGGCTACAAAATTATAAATAGGTTTGTGGGGGCGTGGAGTGAATAATCGAATCATCAGAGAAAACACTGAAAACTTTTCATGAAAATAAGTCAGATGTAAGGTGAAGCTATTAGTGTGGAGTGACAGAGCAAAATGGACAGTTTATTTTAGAAAGTGGTAGATTCAGAAGAGAGGAGAGAATCAGTGGTTTTTTTGTTTTTGTTTTGTTTTTGTTTTTGTTTAAACTGGAAAAAGATGTTTGTGGGGATATAATACTTCTTGGAATAAGATAGCCCTATGTCTGTATCCTGAGATGTTGGAAATAAAAATGAATTTAGATCACTTGTTTTCCATTTTATTCTACCCAGGACAGATTGACAGGGTGAGTATCTTGTCTATCTAAATGTAGTAGGAACAGTTAAGGCACCTTTTGGTCTTACTGCAAGGAAGATTTAGGCTAGTTTTTTGGTAGCTATTAACTTTGCCCCACTAGACACAAATAAGCAGAGTTCCAGCTGTGACCAGAAAATTGTACCTGGTAAGGGAAGAGGACTATGAATGCTAGAGCTTAGATTGATTCGACTGATACATGGGTGCTTTTATGTCAGACCCTCCTACGGATGCTGAAGCATCGTCCTAATAGCTGTTAAGTAATCCCAGCACAGTAGAAGAATCTGTGAGAACAAAGCAGCCCCACATTTGACACCCTAACCCCAGTGTCTTCAATTGTAATAGGAAATTAAAGCCTCAAATTGAACTTTAGGTGGATGGTGAGCAATCCAGTAATTACTGTAATAAGAAAATAGTTTAAATAGGGTAAACAAAAGGCAAATTAGAAGGAGGAGGCAGAATGTTATTAACAAAAAGACATGATATGGTAGAAAACAATGATATGACTTTGGAGTCAGGCCTGAATTTGACACAAGTTGTGTCACCTGTAAGGTAGTTGGCTTGAGCTACTTTCATACCCCTGATCCTCAGTTTTCTCACTCATGTAAGTTAGGAACAGTAGTACCTGCTTCCTAAGGATAAGTACAGTCATGTGTCCATTAATGATGGGGATACGTTCTGAGAGAACTGTGTTGTTACGTGATGTTGTAGTTGTGTAAATACCACAGCGTGCACCTACACAAACCTAGATGCTATAGCCTACTACACACCTAGGCTGTGTGAGATAGTCCGTTGCTCCTAGGCTACAGACCTATGTAGCATGCTGCTATACTGAATAGGCAGTTGTAACACAGTAATAAGTATTTCTATCGAAAAATAGAAAAGGCACAGTAAAAATACAGTATAAAATATACAGTATCAAAGATAAAAAATGGTACACCCGTATAGGGCATTTACCATGAATGGAGGTTGCAGGACTGGAAGTTGTTTGGGGCAAGTCAGTGAGTGAGTGGTGAGGGAATGTGAAGGCCCAGGACATCACTGTACACTACTGTAGACTTTATAAACACTGTACACTTAGGCTCTACTAGATTTATTTAAACATTTTTCTTCAATAATAAATTAACCTTAGCTTGCTGTAACTTTCTTGTTTTATAAACTTTAAACTTTTTTTTAACTTTTTGAGTCTTTTGAAATAACACTTAGCTTAAAACACAAACACATTGTACAGCTATACAAAAATTCTTTATATCCTTATTCTGTAAGATTTTTTTTCTATTTTTAAATTTAAAAAAAAATTTGTTTTGCTTCTTAAACTTTGTTAAAAACTAAGACAGAAACACACACATCAGCCTAGCCCCACATGGGGTTAGGATCGTCAATATCACTGTTTTCTACCTCCACATCTTGGCTCACTGGAAGGTCTTCAGGGGCAGTAATGTATATGGAGCTGCCATCTCCCCATCTCCAGTGATAACAATGCCTTCTTCTGGACACCTCCTGAAGGACCTGCCTCAGTTAATTTTCTTTTTTTTTTTTTTAAGTGGAAAGAGTATGCTCTAAAATGAGGATAAAAAGTATAGTAAATACATAAATGAGTAACACAGTCATTATCCTTATCAAGCATTGTGCACTGTACATAATTGTATGTGCCGTACCTTTATACAGCTGGCAGCATAATAAGTTTGTTTACACCAGCATCACCACAAACACATGAGTAATGCATTGTGCTATGATGTTAGGAAACTGTGCCATCACTCAGCAATAGGAATTTTTCAGCTTTATTACAATCTTATGGGATCGCTGTTATATATGCAGTCCATTGTTGACTAAAGCATAGTTATGTGGTGCATGACTTTATGAGAAAGCACATAGAAATGCTTGTAACAGTGCCTGAAATTTCAGCCACTGTATCAATGTGGTAAAGAAGGATGTTTTACTACATCTCTCAAGTTATACGCAGAGCTGCTTGCCCACTGTCCTAGTCTGTTTTCTGCTGCTAGAGCAGTCTGTCACAGCCTGGGTAATTTACAAGGAACAAGGGTAATTTATTTGGCTCATGGTTCTGGAGCCTGGGAAGTCCAGGTACATGGCTCTGGCATCTGGCGAGAATCACCCATTGTGGAAGGGTGGAAGGCGAAAGCAAGCCATGAAAGACAAAGAGAAAAAGTGAACTCCTGAGATAATTAACCTACTCCCAGGATAACAGTGAGAATCCATTTATGACCTAATCACCTCTTAAAGGTTCTGCTTCCCAGTACTGTTACATTAGCGATTAAGTAATTAAGTTTCAACATGAATTTTGGTGGGAGCATTCCTACCATAGCACTCAGCTCTTCCAGCTAAGGCTTGCCTTTGGTACCCTGTCCTGTTCCCAAGTTATACTTATGTAGTGGGTATGTAGGTTTTCATAACTACTCTCCTGCTTTGAGTATAAGTGTTTCTAAAGTGTGCTTTAGAACCACTTGGAACCATTTTTATAGCTAATTTTGAGCAAGGCCCCAATACCCTTCTTTCTGGACTCATCTCCAGGCTTCCATTTAAGAAAACCAAAAAGAAAAGGAAAGAATTGCTGTCTGCACGTCATGTAATAAATCTTTACTTATTAAACTTTTCTACCAAAGTACTCTATTGTGGGGATAAATGAATGTTTTCCTTCAAGAATTTGTCCGTATAGCCACAGATACCCCAATGCAAGCAAGTACTTGCTTTAAAATTTTATATTTAATCTTAAAAATTTATGTGGATTTTGCATTCTCTTCTGTCCTACACTGTTTTACTTAAATTGAACAAATCGATACAGACACATATTTTAAAAAAGACAAATTTTTTTTTTTTTTTTTTTTAGAAACAGAGTCTTGCTATGTTGTCCAGGCTGGCCTTGAACTCCTGTGCTCTAGCAATCCTCCCACCTGAACTTTCCCTGTAGCTGGGGCTGAGGGTATGTGCTACCTTGCCTGGCTTATTCCCCATAGTGTTAAAGTGAAATTGATGCTGTAGGACAGCTGTTTATTCATATCACCTTCTGCACAGTACTGTGTAATACCACGTATGGGAATAAGCACACGAGGAACATGGGATTGGTCCTAATAAAGAGTCCTGCACCATTAAGCTCTGCAGCCCAATACTGCATGGGGTAGTGCAATTCCATTTTGCTGATAAAAGAATAGGGGTAGATCATCATCCAAAGAGTTTTGATGTTAGGTGGTTATACGATGGCTTTCAAGACAAAGAGATCTCTTTGCTTTGGGAATTGGGGGGAAGGAAGAGGAAAGTTTTAGGATAGAAACCTGGAATGTGGCTCTTAGCTTCTCACCCAGTTTGGGAGGAGAAATTGAAGAAGATGGCCAAATCGTTTCCTTTATTTCCATCACTGATGTGGTTCACTGTGCTTCTCCATGATGTTTGGTGTCGGGTTCATGACTGCTTCCCTCAGAAAAGGAGGGAGACCGTCTATACTTTATAGTAGATTAGTCATCAACTCAACAGGGTTGGAGTGGGTCTTAAAGTGGTTTCATTCTGCCCTCTTAGCTGATGCAAGAGTCTCCCACTCCCACTCTACACCGCATATCCCATTGAACGCTCTTGGTGATGGGTCACTCACTACTAAAGAGGGTGGCAGATTTTCTTGTTGGCCAACTCTAAACCAGGAATCCTTTGTTTTTTTTTTGGAGACAGGGTCTCACTTTGTGCAGTGGCATAATCATAGCTTATGGCAACCTTGAACTCTTGGGCCCAAGCTATCCTCCCACCTCAGTCTCTTGAGTAGCAGGGACTACAGGCATGAACCACCACACCTGGCTAATTTTTATTTATTCATTTTTTGTACAGATGGGATCTCACTATGCTGCCCAAGTTGGTCTTAAATGCCTGACCTCAAGCGATACTCCCACTTTGGCCTCCCAAAGAACCAGAAATTCTTTCTGTAACTTTCATCCACAGATAGCCTTGCCTCTTGATCATCAAAACATAATATAAGGTCTTAGTCTTCCCTAGTTTTACCATCCCCATTCCTTTCACCCTTCATCTTACATTGAGGTTACCATGTTTTAACTCTTGCATTCACCCTTCTCAGGGAGTATTCATTCCAGGCACTCAGTCCAAAGTTGTACCTGTCTGTCAGCAGCCAGGATGGTCTGATACTTTCTATTTGACAGAAAACGATTTGGGGTACAAACAAGGGCTGAGTAGCAGCAAGACCTAGGGTGGGGGCAGGATAGGTGGGAGGTAGCGAACTGAAGTGAGCCTTGTTTACTCATAGGCTACGGCTTTCTCCTCATCCCCAGTCCTGACACCTGTGAATTCCTCTTCTGGCCAAGCCCTAGAAATCTCCCCTCTCCGTGCACCCTCACTTTATTCAACTCTGGCCCCATTCTCTTCCTCATGCTGCAAGAAGCTCCCAGCTACTCAACACAACAAGCCCACGCAGCGGCCTATGCCGTGGCCGTAGGTTGTATCCACTTCATGTTTCCTTGTTGGGCTTCTGTTTGAGCACAGACATGTTTCCACGCAGCATTTCTGTGGCGTTAAGTGCTCCCACCAACTACATTCCTGTGCCTCCCATCTTTTACTTCTGGTAACAATACTTTTGGTAAGGAAGTGTGTTGTGGAAGTTGACTTTTATTAAATTACTTTAATTATTTCAATAAGAATGCCTCACTACTAAATTACTTTAATATTTCAATAAGAATGTTTAGCTTATTTTTATTCTTACCATTGCTCTAACTAGAGAGTTACATTACTTTTATATGGTAAAGATAGAGGAAGGGGGAAAATATGAAACAATGGCTATTCTGTTTTTTGGATTCTTATTTAAAGTTGGGTTCTCTCAGATATCTATGCCTGAAGTCCTATTTACTGAACCCAACCTACTCTGTATAAGATACACTATTTTTCTAGGAGCAGCCTTGGAGGAAGAAAGGAAATATCTGGTAGATACAGTACAAGTTGGTTCTGTTCCTATACCTAGTCTTGCAACTTTTATTTTTTTATTTTTTATTTTTTTTTTTTGAGACAGAGTCTCACTGTCACCCAGGCTGGAGTGCAGTGGCGTAATCATAGCTCACTGCAGCCTCGACCTCCTGGGCTCAAGCGATCCTCCTGCCTCAGCCTTGCAGAGTGCTGGGATTACAGGTGTGAGCCACTGTACCCAGCCAGCTTTTATCTTTTTTAGTGATTAAAAAAAAATAGTAGAACAGCAGTCCTGTTGAGGAATAGAATCTTTGAATCTTTGACCTTGGTGTTACGGACAAATACACTGAACCAGAGCTTTCCTCATTTTTTTGAAGATAAGACTCAGGGGAAAAAAATTGCAGAACAGTGATTCCAAGTGGTGTTCTTTTTATACACATGATGACAAAGCACATATTATTAATTTATTCACTGATCTATGTTAAAGAGGCTGAAATAATACTAGCATAAATATCAAGGCAGCAAGTTTGGCAAAATAATTTGCTGAATATTGAAAGCTCTTTTCAAAAAGTATCTTTTTTGTCACATCCAGGTCATGATAAAACGTGTAAGTTTTTCTTCCTATATTGTATAAAAAGTAAACTGGCAACCTTACTTTTTGAAGAAGGGGGAAAGGAAAGTATGAATTAGGGACAGGAAAAGAGGAAGGCTCTAAATTCAGAAATATAGGCCCATATAAAACCACAAGATAGAAACATCCAGAGAAAGTTCAAAGACCTTTTTTCTAGTAAAGTTAATCCTTTCATAAAGTAGGTTTTTATTTTTACTTTTAGAAATGAGATCTCCCTATGTTGCCCCAGCTGAGCTCAAGTGATCCTCCAACCTCTGCTTCCCAAAATGCTGGGATTGCAGGTGTGAGCCACTGTGCCCGGCCAAAGTAGATTTAATTTTTTTTAAAAAATCATCACTTGCAGGTATTGGATAATCAGGTTAAGTTTTCTTGGGTTAGACGTGCAATTGACTGTGCAGCAGATAATGTCTGAAAGAAGACCGTGGTCACTGGGGAAGGAGGGGATGCTCCAGCACCCTACCAAAGTGAGTGCTATCATTGAATAAATAGATCTTAGCAATGCTAATGTCCAAAAAGTGCAAAAAAAAAAAAAGAAAAGTATTGTGTTTTAGCAATTTAAATACATTATGAAAAAAGCTTAAAAGAAATTATAATTACTTACTAATAAGATCTTTCAGAAATGACAAAAACCAAAAACGGCAGTTAAACAGAGGAATGAGAAAGAATTAGAAAATAGGCAAAGAGAGGGAAAGGATTCAGGGATCAATAGCACCTTTATTTGTTAATAATTGCTCTACAAAACTAAGAGATATAATATAAAACAATTCTGAAAATGGGGAGAGGAAAGCTATTGAGAGCATACCTGACCATAAAAACTGAAGGAATAGATGGCTAAATATGATATCAAGGGTTATTAAAATAATGAGAAAACCATAATTTCCATTAATTGCATGTATACCATATACTAGGCACTGTGCTCACGTATGCACTTTCACAGCACTGGTATTATTGCCAGTGAGAACAGTGAGGTCAGAGAGACACAGTGCCTTGCCCAAGTAGCTAATAACAGATCTGCTCATAGATCTCTCTAGTAGGGGTCTTTACCCTGAATCATGCTACTTCCCTGTTGAAATATCTCTTATTTGGAAGTGAGATGTATCAATGAAGTCAAATACTATGCAAACTTGATAACTTTGGGGCTATCAGTTTTGTGACATTGAATGGAAAAGATTTGAAATTTTTTATTTATGCATCTGGAAATGCCACAGTCTGAGAAAAAGTGATTTGTTAAAGTTACCGAGAGGTGGAGGGAGAGTTCAAACTCCTATCAATCTAATTCTAAAACCTTGCTTTTTAACATTAGAACTGTAGTGGGGTCATTTTTGTTTTTAATTTGGGGCAAAAGTAACAGTGAAAAGGTAAATGACTTATTTGAGGTCAACATGGATCTGAAAAATCAAGAAGCAAAATAGAAGGTCTGTGAATAGAGAAACTTAAGTCTATTTTTTTGGACTAGAAGATTGAAAACTTTAAAAAGTAAAATAATTCTTTAAGATTTCCTACCTTCTTATGTTTCCACTTTTCATAATTAGGTGATGCTGCTATATATGCTTTCAGCAATTTGGTTAATAGTTAAATGTTTTTGAATTTTAATTTAAGGAAAACTTTAAATTAAAAATTTTTTGACATTCTACTCAAGTAGTGAAATGATTGGATTCAACCACCAAATTATTGATTTTCAACATTTACAGAGTTGTGATGCCTTATTTTACTTTGATTTTTGTGACATTTCTGCTCTAACTTACCCTTCAGTATTGTATGGTAGATACTTAACATTTAAAACAGCTTTGAGAGTTTATAAAACAACAGTTAGAATCCTACAAAACTAAAACTGAGCATTGTTGCGTGGAGCAAAATTGCCTTTTTTGTGTAAAAGCAATTTTTTTTTTTTTTTTTTTTTTTTTTTTTGAGATAGAGCCTTGCTCTGTTGTCCAGGCTGGAGTGCAGTGGTGCGATCTTGGCTCACAGTAACCTCTGCCTCTACGGTTCGAGCAATTCTCCTGCCTCAACCTCCCAGGTAGCTGTGATTACAGATGCACGCCACCATGCCTGGCTAATTTTTGCATTTTTAGTAGAGATGGGGTTTTGCCATGTTGACCAGGCTGGTCTCGAACTCCTGACCTCAAGTGATCCACCCATCTCGGCTTCCCAAAGTGCTGGGACTATAGGCGTGAGCCACCGTGCCTGGCCAAAACAATTCTTTTAATGCAGTGAGATGAAAACGTTGGATTTGATTTGATATACCATGTAAATAAATTTATATAGATGACTTTTTATTAAATTCTGGTATATTCATTAAGTGGAGAATACATTTGAAAAATTAGAACATAATTTAATCAAGTAGCAGTCTTCCCCAACACGCTTTAAATATAAATAACTAGCACTCAGATTTTTCATTCTTCTCGTCATAAATTGATCCCCTTAGAAAAATGATTCTTAAAGGAGAGAAAACTCAAGGGGAAAAAATATATATATGGTTTAACTTTCATGTATATGGGAGTGGAAATCTCAACCAAGTTTTTCAGCTACATCCATGATGCTTTGCCAAGCTCACTGGAGTTAAACCTGTACTCACATACCCTAGATTACTAGTTTATTCGGTATTCAGATGGAACTTAATTTTTTATGGTTTCAATAAAACATTCAAGTAATTGGATAGTTCCATTCACAACTAGCCAGTTCCCAAAATGGCATGGTGTATCACAAAATAGCAGTGATTCTGTGAAGAACCTGGCTAGTTGCCTCCTGTCAAGTGGTGAAATCCTGGAGAAGTGTGCTTCTCAAAGGTCAGCCTTTTTCTGGCACCCTTAGGTCAGTGTCAGTTGTGACTGATCCTGTCTCAGTTCATCCACATTCCCTGGGCTTGTTCTGCAGCATAAGGCTTACATGAATTCATACTGATCTCATCCTGCTTCAGACCTCTGCCTTTGTTTTGGAAAGGATTTCTCTACTCCTCCTTCTTCCCTGACCCTGGGATTCAGAGGGACCCAGTACTGAAAGTCCCAAATACACTCTCCGAAGAAGCCTAGGCAGCAGTTTCCAAATCAGGATTTGCTTCAGAACCCTCCGGGGCACTTGTAAAAATTACACACCTTAAGTTTTACATGACTTGGTTGAAACCTTTCCAGCTACAAAAGGTATAATGGAAGAATAACCAGAAGCTATTTACTCACTTATTCAACAAATGCTTTTTTAATGGAAAAGCTGCCTAACTGTGTACTTGGCTGTGTAGTAGGTGCTGAGGATCCAGATGTAAACAGAACTGAGTTTTGACTTTAGGGAATTTATAGTCTGGTGGGAATTAAGTGGGAAAGATAAATGGGTAAAGAAAGGTGCTGTGGCACATGAGAGGGAGAATTCAGCTGTGCTCAGGAGACTCAAAGAGGTGGTCAGGGATAGGAGTTTGCTGTGCAGAGAAAAGTATTTGAAGCAGAGACACTAGCCTGTGTAGAAATGTGGAGATGTGAGAGGTCAGTGTATATTGGGAAGTGCAGGCAGTTCCTCGTGTGTGTATGGGAAATGAGATGACATGAAGTCAAAGTGGCTATAAGTGGTAAATGAATAACACAAGAAACTTTCTTGGAATTAGAATACATGAGTTACAGATAGAAAGAGTTCACTGAGTGTCCTACCAATGAATGAAAAAGACTCATTCCTAAACATATCCTATTAAAATTCAGGATTCCTGGGATCAATAGAGGATCCTAAAAGCTTTCAGAGAGGAAAAAATAATATAAAAATGGTTAATAATCAGTAACATCAGACTGCTCAGTAGCCACATTAGAAACTAGGAGAAAATGAAGTAATACTTTCAAAATTATATGGAAAATCATTTCCTACCTAGAATTGTATGCCCAACCAGGCTACCAATCAAGACATTTTAAGATATACAGATTCTCAAAAAATTCTATTCTGTGTGTTCTATTCAGGTAACTAATGGGAGATATGTGTGTCATCAAAACAAGGGAGTAAACCAAGAAAGGGAAGATGCGAAATCCAAAGACAAGGTTCTCACAGAGGAAAAAGGTGAAGGAAATTCTTAGGATGGTAGCCAACAGGAGTCCCAGTCCAAGTCAGGCCTAGAGAGCAACCATTCCAGCCAGACTGAATCAGGATGAAGGGCCTAGAAGGAGTGTCTCTAAAAACAATAGAACCAAAGAGTGAAAAAAAAGAGAAATTACTTGTTTTAATTTTATTGAGAGGAGTTTTGCAGCTCGTGGGAGAGATTAATGGGGGGAATGTGTTAGGAGTGTAAAAAGCTAAGCAAACAACAACAAAAAAGCAAAAACAGGGCAACTGATAACTCTAAGAGAATCCAAACGTTATCCAAGAAAGGAAATGTAATTATTGAATCCTACATGGCACTGCTGGGAATAATGTTTACTTTGTTGGATTACTGTAAACACTGACTATTGACTTAACCAAATGTTACAGTACGGTTGGAAGCTGGGAGGTTTGGGCAAGTATGCCATGCTTGCATGCATGGAGGTAGAGGGTGATATATGAGAACTAAATTCTTGTCTTCCACAGAAGTTAATAGATAATATCTAAAATGGAAAATCAAGAAATAGTAATATAAGCACATTCTTTAGAAATACAGAGTTCAGTGCCAGAAGAAAATGCTAAAGGAGTTGAAATTAGTTGCGTCTAGAGAGTGGGAATTGGGTATGGGGAATGGGGAGACAGGAAACTTCTATTTTTTATGATAAGCTTTGTAGTTCAATTTCATTTTAATGCTTTTATAAAAATAATTAACAAAAATGTAAACCTAGTGTCTGTAATGCTGAGGGAACCTTGCAAATGGTGTTTGACATTTGGTTGAACAAACTTTTTAGCTTGCATACTCTATATACCTACCCTTGGCAACATTCCTGAATTTTATACAAATTTTGTTCTTTTCCATGTTTAACTAAATAGGAATTACAAAAAAGTTGGTAACATAAACTGTTGATTCACATATGTTTATAGACTATATTTGGATACTATGATCTTTCCCTCACTCATATTTTTATGTGGAGTGTATCTTCTAAACTTTAGAGGATGAACAAATAACCCTTCCTCTTTCTCGCCTTCTCCCCAAAGTAGAGCAGCGTTTGACTTCATGTGAGAAATCAGCATTCTTCAGTGACCTGATTTTCCTGAAATGGGATGGCTAGCCAGCTGCATGCTAAGATCTTTGAGCTGCCTGTGCACTTCACTCAGCAGAGCCCCAGGCTTTTTATGGAGAAATGTTGCCAGTTTATATGGATACAAACCAACCCCTTCTACCTTTTTATTTAAAAAAAAAAAACTCACAGAAGAATGGAAAGAGTAGTAAAATGTCCAGATACCTGTCACCTAGATGTGCCAGTTCTTAACGTTTTGGCACACTTGCTTTCTCTCTCCCTCTCTCTATTCCTATGTACTTTTTTGGATGTGTGTGTCGGGGGACAGGGATGAGGACTGAACCATTTTAAAGTAAATTATAGACATCATACTTTAAAATGGCTACATGCATTTCCCAAGCAATACATCCAAGGACATCCATCTATAAAGCAAAAATACCATTATTTGCCATGGATAAAATAATATCATCTAATTTATAGTTAATATTTAGATTTCTCTAATATCCCAATAATATTTTCTATAGATTTTTTTATCCAGAATCCAGTGATCATAAATTATATGTAGTCATCGTGTTTCCCTTTTTTTTTTTGAGATGGAGTCTCGCTCTGTTGCCCAGGCTGGAGTGCAGTGGCACTATCTCAGCTCACTGCAACCTCCACCTCCTGGGTTCAGGGAATTCTCATGTCTCAGCCTCCCAAGAGCTGGAATTACAGGTGTCTGCCACCACACCTGGCTAATTTTTGTATGCTTAGGGTTTTGTCATGTTGGCCAGGCTGGTCTCGAACTCCTGACCTCAAGAGATCCACCTGCCTCGGCCTCCCAAAGTACTGGGATTACAGGCGTGAGCCACCACATCCAGCCTAGTCATTGTGTTTAAGTTTTCCTTATGCTAGAAGTTTTTCTGCAAAAAACAAACAAAAAAAAACTTTCATGACATTCATAATTACAAGGAGCCTAGGCCAGATGTTTTGTAGAATGTCCTAGAAATATAGATTTGTCCCTCTTAAGGTTTTGGTTTATACTTTTTGCAAGAATAGTATAAACCACATAAAATAGTACACATGGGATAAAATAGTACACAAACTTTTTTATCCACTAATTTTAAGCATTTTATGTAGGTTCAAAATTTTAACCCAATTTTAGTCCAGTTTTTGTGTTTGTAAGTCTCACTAATCTATGGTTTGGCATACAGTGTTAACAATGGCCACTTACCTGGAGAATAGTAAAACTCCTTAGACTGTAGGAAAGATCACTAGAATAATCTCTGGGAGGGGTAATACGTTTCTTTGGAAACAAGCATAATATTTTTTAACGTCCTTGGCAGTATTCTTTCGATGACTTAATATATTGTAATCAAGGGCAAATTTTTTCTACTCTTTAAGTTTTGTTACAGTATACAGTCCAGAGAGCCACTTCTGGCAAACAGTCCAGCTTTTCTGTCATCCCTAACCTGAAAGTTTGTTTTTGGAGTCAACGTTTATTGTGTGTTCAGTTTGCAGCCGTTTGGCTGTCTGTGTACCAGGATGCTCGGTGGCTTAGGTTGTGTATATTTTGTGTGAAGTGAGTGCAGCGTGGAGAGGTGGCATGCCTCAGATGCCAGGGGAGCTATGCAAGCTTGCTGTGGAAAGCATGCTTCCCGTCTGTCAGGGCTTCCTGAGAGGAGACCTGGTGACACAGTAGCCTTTCGGCAGAGCTCCTTGGGATGAGTAGGAAGTGCTGCTGCAGGTTTTGTCTGGGGGATATCTGAGCCATTTCTCTGTGGGCAGCTGTGTTTCAAAGTCTGGGCAGGTTGTTGTTGAATTTTGCGTGGGCTGCCAGGGTGAGTGTTTTCGAATTGTTTATAATCTTGCTTTTCTTCTTCCTAAGTCACCGTGACTTTCTGGAAGTTTCACAGGACTCGTTCATGATATATTATCTAAAGTAGGATTCAGAGGATTTAGCCTAATATATTTGTAATTCAGCTTTTCTTTTTCTTTCTTTCTGCAGATTTTGTGGAAGTATAATACTTTGTCATTATGAGATGTCGTCTCTCGGTGCCTCCTTTGTGCAAATTAAATTTGATGACTTGCAGTTTTTTGAAAACTGCGGTGGAGGAAGTTTTGGGAGTGTTTATCGAGCCAAATGGATATCACAGGACAAGGAGGTGGCTGTAAAGAAGCTCCTCAAAATAGAGAAAGAGGTAAGGTCTTTTCCAGCTGACAGAAACAGTCACGATACCATTTATGTAAGCTTTTTCAACCTCGAGTTAGAGGGTCACAGGGCTGCAAGAGACCTAGCAAGGCCTTTGGGACTGATCCACGAGGCCGTTTCCCAATTTCCATTCTGGGAGCCCCATAAATAGAAATTATTGCAGCGTGTGCTTTAGGGTTGAGTTCTACTAGGGGTCAGCTGAAGTAAGAGGATTTCTTTCCAGGGCATGAAAGACCAAATGTTCTCTGAGCTCTCCTGGAGGCAGAGGTGAGATTTTAGACCTTCCCAGGGTTCAAGCTTTTCTCTTCCCTGGGCAGCCAAGAGGGGTCGGTAAAGAGTAATGTGTGAAGTTTTTATACCCTTTCCATTTTCTCTGCTTGAACTTCTGGTCATCAGCAGTTGTCTTTTAAAAGATAAGACACTGTTTTTTTTAACTGAAATATGCAGTACCTGTTTCTTGGATTTCACCTCTACTTAAGGCTAACAGTGATGGTCTTTGTATTATATAGAATTAATAGGTGCCAGACAGAGAGCTGTCCTCCTAGTAAAATCAGAAAAGGGTCTTGGCTTTCAGAGCCTGGGATTTGTGCTGGTCCTAGTTGAGCTCAGAGTTCTTAGAACTGTCATCCTTCTCAGGAATGAGATATAACATGGTTGTCACATTCAGTTTGGTACCATGAGAATAAAAGTAATTACAGAGCTGACCTGCAGGGACTCAGCAGCATTGATAACTTCAGCAGCGACCCTCTGGAGCTGGTTTTGGTCATTTCTATTTACGCCCTGTTTTGGCAAATTATTGTTCAATATCTTTTTAAAGTGAACTTTCCCATAAATATCCTTTAATCTCCCTGAATGATTTCATTTTTTTCATTAACTGCTGCCAGTGAACCATAGCAATTGATTAGAGAAGGAAACCCAAATGGTAGCACTTTGTGAGTTTCCTCCCAGCGGTGCTGTGTAATTGTGTGATCACCAGCTGTGTTTCCAATTGTTGAAGCCAGGTTAGAAGGACTGAGAGATCTCTGCCTTGGGGAATCTATAGGTTTTTGGAAGACATTAAGAAAGGAGAGCTTTTAAAGCCCATCCGTACACAAAACAGAAAGGTACTGGGTATGAGAAAGTCACTTTCCCTTTCCCCCATTTCTCAATCAATAAAAATTTTTAATGGTAGCCAAGTAATAAATCCATGTCTTACCTTGGACTGAACCTAGCCCTTTTAGCTGATCAATTCTTTAAGTCCTTTATAGGAAGCATTATTGTCCCCATTTTATGGATTGGGAAATAGAGCTTTGCGAAATGTATTAAGCTGCCCCAGGAGGGGCAAATGAAATCCAGGAGGCTAGAACCCCTGTTCTTTAGTTTTTGACTCTGAAACCTCTAATTGACCAGGTACGAAGAGAAAACTAAACCTGCTCCATCCATTTATAGTCAGTTATTTATATATATGCTAATATTTTAGCTTTAGATTGTACAACTTTAGTAAAAGGAACATGTTCTTATATGATTGTTCGATGTGAAAAAGATTTTATGAGACATGAAACAGATTTTGATAGGAAAATATTAATTGTAACCCGTTCACTCCACTCCCCCCTCCCCAAGGATACCTACATAATACCTTTTCTTCTATTCTTGGGAGAGCCAGGAAAATGACATAGGAAAGTGCAGGAGTGAAAGCAGGAATTGGAAACTGCCAAATCCTGCTTTCGTGCAGGTATTTAACATGAATGTAGGTAATTCAGAAATTGAGTTGATTCCAGTAAACTGTAAGAGCATAACTCATAAACCTGTAGGTAGGAAAAACAAAACCTCCACTTTTGCTTTGGGGCTTAGTCAGTGATTATGAGTGATAAAGAGACACAGTAAATTATGGCAAAGAACCCCTATTTGTACTGGAATAACATGAGTTTAAGACATAAAAAGTTATGGCGAGGAGTTGACAGTTACTAGCAAGGAAATATACATTTCTTATGTAAATAATTGTTATGCTTTATGAAATGTGTGTTGGCTTCTGGCTAGGTGTTTTCTAAGTGATAAGATAAAGGTAATAAGCCCTGGATTTTTTCCAAATTTATAGATCCAGTTCCATGTCACTTGGTTGTTTTTTGCCAATGAGTTTTAGAAGCAATGGAACACTTAATAAAATGTTCGCAGCTCATTTCATGTGACTCTTTAAGAATGACTTAATATTAGACTAAATATATGTTCTATAAACTTAGCAAAATGTAGAGAAAATATATACCAAACTCTAACTTTGTTTATGTGAGAGGAGAAAGGAAGACTATTTACTTTCACTTTATTTGCAGACCTCTAGTGTAGTGAGTATGTACTACTTTTCTCTGTTTTAGTGGGTATACTACTACTTTATTTAAAAACAAAAAAGAAAGACTGTATTTACTTAAAATCTCTGTAGTTCTTTAAAACTTTATTTAAAAAAATTTTTATATACCCAAAGGACTATAAATCATGCTGCTATAAAGACACATGCACACGTATGTTTATTGCAGCATTATTCACAATAGCAGAGACTTGGAACCAACCCAAATGTCCAACAATGATAGACTGGATTAAGAAAATGTGGCACATATACACCATGGAATACTATGCAGCCATAAAAATGATGAGTTCATGTCCTTTGTAGGGACAAGGATGAAATTGGAAATCATCATTCTCAGTAAACTATCGCAAGAACAAAAAACCAAACACCACATATTCTCACTCATATGTGGGAATTGAACAATGAGATCACATGGACACAGGAAGGGGAACATCACACTCTGGGGACTGTTGTGGGGTGGGGGGAGGGGGGAGGGATAGCACTGGGAGATATACCTAATGCTAGATGACGAGTTAGTGGGTGCAGCACACCAGCATGGCACGTGTATACATATGTAACTAACCTGCACAATGTGCACATGTACCCTAAAACTTAAAGTATAATAAAAAAAAATTTTTTTAAACCTAGAGAACAATTAAAAGAATACTACTATGAACTCTAGTACGTTTTATTCTTCCCCTACACTCACCATTTAGTAACATTTTACATTTGCTTTTTCTCTATATGTTATTGATTTATATGTATTCATATATATTGTATGATTTTTGCTGAACGATGAGAGTACATTACAGATGCCATGTACCTTTATCCCTAAATACTTCAGCATCTCCCAAAACACAACCACAGTACAATTAACAAATTCAAAAAATGTAACAATGATAACAATAATGTTACTTGTTATACAGTCTATATTCACATTTTGCCAACTTTTGCAATGCGAGCTTTTGATGGCAATTTTTCCAACCCAGGATCCAATCCAGGATCGTATATTGCATATAATCGACATGTCTGTTTAGCCCGGCTTAATCTGGAACAGTTTCTCTGCCTTTCTCTGTCTTTTAAGACGTAGACATTTTGGAAAAGTATAGGATAAGTGTTTTGTATAATGTCCCTCATTTGGGGTTTATGTGATTTCCTCCCCAGCCCCCAGCCTAGTCAGAGTTTATGTAGTTTTGGCAGGAAAACTACATAGGTTGTGTGTCCTTGGTGTGTCTTAATGGGTGTCTTGTGATGTTGGTTAGTCTCATTATTGATGATGTTAGTTTTGAATGCTTAGTTAAGAGGGGTTTACCCAATTTCTCCACAGTACAAGAAAATACCTATTTTTCCTTTGTAATTAATAATTAAGCTATTGGTAGATACTTTGAAGCTAAGTAAATATCTTTCCTCAGCAAACATTTACTAATGTTTTTAGCATCTATTGATGATTCTTGTTTGGATCAAATAGTACTATAACAGTTTACTGTGCAGAAAGTAAAAAGTTCTAGCATAAGTGAGTTTGCCCTTATTTTTTCCTTTCTTCCTTTAGTCAACCATTCATTCATGTATTTATTGTTTGATCGTATACTTAAAGACTTTTTGGAATTCAGAATGTTATAATCCATTAGTGTTATTCATTTTCATGCTTAAACTATCCCAAATTTAGCAAGTAAGAGCTCTTTCCAGCTGGCTCTTGTGTCCTTTTGGTATGTCGCTGTCATTTTTTTATGATTTTCTTACTTCAGGCACAAAAAGATGTACTAGGCTCATCTAGTTCCTGTCTCATTCCTGGAGTCAGCCATGTTTTTGAGAAGCCCTGAGTCAATATACCTGATTTTGGAGTATATTATTTAGGAACCAAGATTTGGGTACTAGGATTGTTTACTTTAGACTTTTTTAAAAAGAACATTGTCTTTTTGACAGAAATTATGGTTACAGAGAAATTTTATTCATGAAAGCATTTTATTTGAAATGTAAACTCATGGCTCTGGTTAGCTACATCTGTGATACACTGCTATTAGGAATGTAAATTGGTAAACCTTTCTGGAGAAGAGTTTAGCAAAATGTATCAAGAATCTTAAAATGTTTACTTCTTTGGGCCAGGAATCTTGCTCTGGGACTTAATAATCAGAGATGTGCAGAAAGATGGATATAATTATAGGATTCTTCTCAGATGTATAACAAGGAAGAATTGGAAATTACAAATTACGTTGCAGCTATATAATTGATTTCTCTTCCATTTGGAAGAACATTTAGAAAGCAAGGAAAATGCTCATTGTATAGTGCTAAGTGGTGAAAGGAAGTTACAAAACATTATATACAATATGATCCCAGGTATAGGTTTTGTGTCTGTATGGTGCTTTTATTTTTCTTATACTGTACCTTGTTTTTCATATTTTCCTATGATGATTTTACATTTCTTTTCCCCGCAACATTTTATTGTGAAAAATTTCAAACATAAAGAAAAGGTGAAAAGGTTTTGTAGTAAATATTTGCATACCTACCATCTAGTGCCTATCATTAATATAAATACTTGCGTTATAAGATGTGTATGCAGCTATCTACCCTTCCATTCATTAATTCATTTTGATACATTTCAAATAAGTTGCAGGCATCAGTGTGCTTCTCCTTAAACACTTCATCCTGTATATTGTTCCTAGAATTCAGTATGTGTTTGCAGTTTTGTTTTCTTCTGGGATAAAATTTACCTCAAGTTTTGAGAAATGTAAATACCACATGACCCACACATTTACTTTTATAATCAGAAAAATTCAATTTAAAAAAGTGTAGCTGTGGCAATGTATGTCACTCTCTTTTTTTCTTTTTTCCTTTTTTTTTTTTTGACACAGAGTCTCGCTCTTTTGCCCAGGCTGGAGCGCAGTGGTGCAATCTCCGTTCACTGCAACCTTTGCCTCCCGAGTTCAAGCGATTCTCCTGCCTCAGCCTCCTGAGTAGCTGGGACTACAGGCATGTGCCACCACGCCTGGGTAATTTTTTGTAGTTTAGTAGAAACGGGGTTTCACCGTGTTAGCCAGGATGGTCTCGATCTCCTGACCTCGTGCTCCACCCACCTCGGCCTCCCAAAGTGCTGGGATTACAGGCGTGAGCCACTGCACCCGGCCAATCTAGTGAATTGAGTTTTGTAAACCTCCTTAGCATATCACACAACACTAATTTTCCACTCTCAATATGTGGCTGTAGAGTGTTTAATGTTTACTTTCATATCGCTTTTCCATAGTAGTGCAAGACCTCAGTTTAGCTTGTTTACATTATTTGCAGATTTACTTACAGTGTACTATTTATTTCTGTTTTAAATAGTGTTTGCAATAGGAGAAAATCATATGATCTTAAGCATATACACCAAAGGTAAGAAAGGAAGCCACTATTGTATCTTTTTGATGAATTCCAGATGAGCTGGGATCAAATTGAACTGCTTAGGCAGAAATTTAAGAGACAAGTAGAAGTGGTGCAGAAAGACATTGTGACTGCAATGTCCTATTTACAGCTACTGCCCAGAGGAGAACACTCCCAACATGACAAAGAGTTCATCAGCTTGAATGTTAACTTTTGAAAACAATTAATTGGCCTAGTGCAGTGGCTCACGCCTGTAATCCCAACAATTTGGGAGGCCGAGGCGGGCGGATCACGAGGTCAAGAGATCGAAACCCCGTCTCTACTAAAAATACAAAAATTAGCCAAGCATGGTGGCGGGCGCCTGTAGTTCCAGCTACTCGGGAGGCTGAGGCAGGAGAATTGCTTGAACCCGGGAGGCAGAGGTTGTAGTGAGCCAAGATGGTGCCAGTGCACTCCAGCCTGGGCTACAGAGTGAGACTCTGTCTCAAAATCAATACAAAAACAAAAACAAAACACAATTAATCACAGCAACTTATTTGTACTCTTGTGTATATTTGATAATAAATTGAACAAGATATGTCTGTACATAGTATTTTTTTTTCTGTCTGGAAGAGATGGGAACCTGACAGCCTTTATGTTAACTTGAAATCTGTTGATACTCAATTGAATCAAAAGGAAGCAGAATCCTTAAGAGGTAATATATAAGGCCTTTTCTTCATCTGTCTTGGCTTTTGTAAGACACCACTACCCTTATTTTAAAAGAAAAAGCATCCTACCAAATTTCACTGCTTTAGAAATGTCGGAAGCCAGATAAATTCAAGTTTCAAATTTATTCCACGTTATAAATATTTATAGATAAGGAGAGAAGATCAACATGTCAAACTGGTTATAATAACAGGAACTATCAATAATTTTTATATAAAGGGGAAAATACCTGTGTGAAATAGGAAATATAATCTTGAAATTGACAGAGAACCAAGAGCAAAAAATAAAAAGCTTTTATTATACTCAGTTAATCAATATGATATCGTTTAGTGATTTATGGAAGGCTAGTTAAATGTTATCACTTTATTAGCTCATGGGAGGGAGACCCTTCTTCTTTTCTATGCAGTTCTGTTGCTAACTTTTTATTAATAAATTCTTTAAATTTGTTTTAATTGTAAGTGCTATTTTAAATATTTCCCCCTGACCCAAACACGTTAAAGAAGAATAATGCCACATTTACTTTCTTTGTAAATCCTCTCAATATTTAAGTATATCGATGGGACCAATACAAATAAAAATTAATTATCTTAGATATTTGACAATCGCTATTGAGTTCTGGCATAGTTTCTATAATAACTCGTCCAAAGCGGTGCTCAAGAGTGGCCACTGGTATTTTTAAGCATGGAGAGAGCTTTGTTAACTATACCAGAGCTAACATTTTAATTTGGTACAAGTTGAGTATCCCTAATCTGAAAATCTGAAATTCAAAAAGCTCCAAAATCACAAACTTTTTGAGTGCTGATGTGACAACACAAGTGGAAAATATCACACCTGACCTCATGTAACAGGTCGCAGTCTAAACTTTGTTTCATGCCCAGCATTATTTAAAGTATTGTATAAAATTGCCTCCAGGTATAAGATACAGATGAAACATAAATTGATTTCATGTTTAGCCTTGGGTCCCATCCCCAAGATATCTCATTGTATATATGCAAATATTCCAAAATCTGATAAAATCCAAATACTTCTGGTCCCAGCCATTTTGGAAAAGATACTCAACCCGTACTTTCAAATGTACTCTTTTATGGCTGAAGAATATTGGTTATAGCATCTCCACATGCCTAGTCTCTTCCCCTTCACTCAGGAGTCCCTTTGTGAGTTATTAAATAATCTCATATAAAATTTTTCTCTCCCCAGTTAGAATTTGTTCATTCTGGATTTTATCCTTTTAGGTCAGTGGTTCTCTCAAAGTGTGGTCCCTGGACCAGCAGCATTAAGCATCACCTGAGAATTTGTTAGAAATACAAATTCTTGGGCCTCACCCCACACCAAATGAGTCAGAAACTGGGAGGTAGCGCCCAGCAATCTGTGTTTTAACCAGCTTTCTAGTTGTTTCTGATGTCCCCTAGAGTTTGAGAACCACTACTTTTATTGTACCTAGCCAATCATATGCTAAATACAGACAGTATAACTTCAGTTTGGAATTTTGGGTACCTTGTCAAAAAGTGGCGGAGAGGTTTTTGCTCTTAGAGGCCTTTAGGCTCTTAACTTCACCCATTGTAGATGACCACCTATGCACATAATAAACTGAAGGCTGACTTAGGAATGGCAAATGTACATGAAACCTCAGGCCAATACTTTCAAATTCCAGCCCCTTCTCATAGTGGTGCTAATCTGACTTTCCGGCCTTTTTTTTTTCTTCCTTCCTTCCTTCCTTCTGTTGTTTTTGTTTGTTTGTTTTGTGTTTTGTGTTTTGTTTTGTTTTTTTTTTTTGAGACAGGGTCTCCCTCTGTCCCCCAGGCTGGAATATAGCGAGCTCACTCTAGCCTCGAACTCCTGGGCTCAAGCCATCCTCCCAGCTCAGTCTCCCAAGTGGCTGAGATTAACAGGTGCAAGCCCTCTCACTCAGCTGTTTTATTTTGTCTTTTTTTATTTTCTGACAGGATCTCTCCACTCCTGTCCAACTGTTCTTCTGCATTACTTTTTTAATTTTTGTAACCTTGTTCACATTCTTTCCTTCACTTGTAATACCTTTGTCTTCCCTGTCTGGGCAGATCCTACCCATTCTTCAGCTGTAATTATTTCCTTCTCTGTGAAGCATTCTCAGTCATACAAGCGTATTTTCTCTTTCTCTTCTGAATTTATACCACATAATACCCATAGTACTAATTTGACCGATGGTTAAAACTGCCTGTGACTCTGCATTCCAGTGAGAAATTGCCACCTAAGTTTTCATGTGAACATGCTATGTCTTCTCATCTGAAAAGCAGGGCTAATGATAGTACCCACATCATAAGAGTTGTTGAGAGGATTGAATGAGATCATATATGTGAAATGTATGTAGAAGAGTGCTTGACTCATAGGAAGACTTGGATAACTGTTAACGATCACTCGCATCTTCACAACTGTACCCCACAGTCAGAACAGCAGCTAGATGTCATCTTTTGTGAAAATGTTAATTAGCTGATATCTAGGCCTCATGCTGAGAAGGGATCAGATGCCACATATACAGTTAGCAGCAAAGGCAGCCTGGCAAGGCTCAGGGTGAATACAGTGGGCAAGCACATGTGTGGTGCATTTGATGTCCTGTTGTGAACTTTCTGAGAGCAGGACTGTCTTTGTAGCTGATGCTGTCACTAGACATCATCACTCTACCAAGTACTGCTACCACTGTGAGCCTGAATTTGGTGAAGGGCTTTACACCATTGCCCTCTTCTTCTTCACAGTCACTTTATAAGATTATAATCTGCATTTGATGGAAACTAAGGCTCAGGGAAGTTAAGCAGCCTGCCTAATATAAACAGCATCGTTCACTTGGGTCTTCCTTGCCAGCCTCACAACACCTGCCATTGTGCTTTGCTCCCAGTGAACATTGAAGTATTTGTTCCTTGATACCTGGTATTGTGTCGCAGTGGACATACCTCTCATTTTTGTTCATCTAGGAAATGTATCTTGTATTGACATACCTACATTTTCTTCATTTACTCTGCTTTGAGCTGTGAAGAGGGTAGAACTCGTGTCTTTACCATGTCACTGTAAGTACAGTAACACACTTGCATTCACCTACATAGTAACAAACTCTTAGGTATTGCCCTTTCTGTAGGGTTCCTGATGTCTGGTTTTTATAAATGCCCTTGCTTTTGTGCCTTTTAGACTGGCATGCCATTTCTGCTTAAGGAATTTTAAACGTGTCACTGTGCAGTGCTTTAACATTGTGCTACGTATATAAATCATCATTTTGAATTGGAGAGTAAGCAATTTAAAATAATGGATCATTTTATTTGATAATGAACATAGTCATCATCCGGAAGTATATGTTGAATAGCCATCCATCACTCTGCTCTTTTCTACCAGACATTTCTGTTACTGGGAGCTTGTAATCTAAGACACTCCAAGGTGAACTGCTATAAAGGTGTTAGAGGAAATTGGACACATGTTGAGCAAATAAATGTATTAAAATGAGTAACATGTATTACTGATATGTCTGAAGATAACTCAAACCTTAGGAGAGAGGTCACTGAGGAAGAGCCACCAGAAAGGCTTCTCCTAGGACCTAGAGGAATTTGGAAAATTACCTGAATTATAAATAATGTTCCTACCATGTTATGTGAAATGTAGTTACATTAAGACAAACACCACTGATTTTTTTTAGATGATTAGTGTGACCATAAAAATGTTTTATTTGCAAGCCAAAGCCCCTAATCCTTCTTATGTTTGCTACTTAGTCTTTAAAATTTTTAAAAATCCTTTCAAAGCTTTGTTAGATAATATATTTACCTGTACATGGAGGTTAATTTCAGTTTGCCTTATGAGAAACATTGCAACTGTTATTTCACCTTTTCATTAAAGTATTATTGATCTCAGCATATTGAGCAATAAACATTTCAGTTAGTTAATATTTGTTCTACAGCCATGCTGGAAATATTATGCTGAAGTAAAACCAATTAACGTATTTCAGTAAAAATGTTACAGCCTGAGTAGCTGATGTTATACAAAGCTAGGCTCTTGCTATTAGAAGAAAAATAGTATACAGCATGAATTCAATTCCTGAGAAACTCAAAGCCTAATATAGAGAATTGAGAAATTGAAAAATTGGAGGAGAGAAAAAGCAGCCCGTAAGTATTTCAGATAGTTTCAAAATTGATATGACTGGCTCTTAGTCTTCAAAAATAGAATTATCTCACTTGAATATTTAAAAAGTACCTAGAATTTTCTTCTCTGTTCTGTAGTGAAGATGGGAAGTCACTGACATGAAATTACCCAAGAATAGAGGCCATGTTATCAATTTTTTTTCACTGATGCTTGACTCATACTCCCGGTTAGGACATCCAGTTTCTGTTTGAACACTGCCATTGATGACATATGAGATGCAGTCTGCTCTAGTTTGGAACAGCTTCTTAGAAAGTCCTTTATAATGTAACTTCCAGCCATTGTTCCTGGTCCCTGCCTCCGGGGCCATATACAACAAATCTTACCTTCTTCCATGTATCAGCTTCTAGAGGATGGCATCTGTACCTTATTGATCTTTGTACTTTCTGGACTCTACACAGTACCTGGTCCACAATAAGCAGTCAATAATGGATAGGATATAAATGAAAAGAATAATAAACATAATGATCACATCTCAACTTTCTCTTCTTTGTAAGATTTACAGAAAGGTTTCACTGTTAATGAATCTTCAGAAAAGAATACAGCTTGCCATTCCTACCCTACTTTATAGCCTTTTCTTCTCCATGTTTGGCTGATTTTTTGAGTTCTTAATAAATTACTTTGTCTTTGAATGAAGGGTTCTGTTCTATAGCAGCTAGAAAGGATGTTTTCCTGGCCGTGGTTCTTATCTGGTTTGTTTTTGAACATATTTCCCAAAAAGGAATCCAAGATGCTTTTTCTTAGCCCTGCTAATATCAGATGTTCACTGATTCATGACCTGAGAAAAATTAAGGTGTCCTAAATGAAATGAGACTGCCAGAATTTTAATGACTTGAAAATATGACTCTTATCCCTGATACTGTTCTTCAAGAAAATAATGCTTGGCAGAATTAGGTGCATTAGAGAAGCAGCACTGGTAAGTATGAAAATGTTTGTTAAAGAGGGAGGAGACTGTATGGCAGCTCTGCTTTCCAGAGATTGTATTCAGCAAGTAATGTACAAAATCAGCTGATCTCACGACATTTTAAAAACATGCCAAGCAGTGCTTCCATTAGTCGGAAACTGAATTGCTTCCATTATTGGAACATAGAATCTACCTTAAGAAACATATACTCATAGGTGGGCAGATCACCTGAGGTCAGGAGTTCGAGACCAGCCTGGCCAAAACCCTGTCTCTACTAAAAATACAAAAATTAGCTGGTGCCTGTAATCCCAGATACTCGGGAGGCTGAGGGAGGAGAATCGCTTGAACCCAGGAATTAGAGGTTGCAGTGAGCCGAGATCGCACCATTGCAATCTAGCCTGGGCCGCAAGAGCAAAACTCCATCTCAAAAAGAAAAAAAAGAAAAGAAAAAAAGAAATATATACTCATTTTTATTTTAATCACTTGGTGGCTATTTTAAAATATAATACAAAGTTTAGTGAGCATCCGCTGCTGAACAAATCTTTAAAGTTGTGAAAGCGAGGGACTTTTTCTCCCTAAAACCTCAGGATGTCTTCTTAACTACACAGTAAAGCCTAGGCCTCTAAGTGTGGCTTGCATTCTTCTATGGGAAAAACCTTATGTGCAAAGAAGCCTAGGGATTGTAGTAAGGCCAGGACACCTCTCTCAGATCAGTGAGGCTCTGTGGGAAATCCTGATTCTGGATATACTGACCTCAAGTGTTGACCAGACCAAGAGCAGATTTTAGGAAGAGATCAAATTAATTAATATTAAATGGACTTGGGAGTATGAAGTGTTAAAAAGTTTATACTCTGGCCTTGTTTCAAAAAGGATTTAAGATTATTAGCAGATAAAGTAAGCATGTTTTGAAGTTCCAGGAAGGCCCTCTGTATCTCTGAAATCTCTCTCACCTAAATGTAAGGTGAGGAAATAGAAAAAAATTAACATTTCTTTAGTTTCTGTTATTTACAGCTACTATTCTAAGCACTTCGCATAGATTCTCTATTCAAGCCTACTGCTAACACTTCCAGTTTTATCTTGTAACTTTATTCTTTAAGGTTGTTTCCCATAATAGAACTGCAGATACCACTGAAAGAGGTAACTCTACATGTGAATAATACCTTGAAGTACAAAACATACCTGATTTGTTTCCTGAGCACATATTTTTCTAGGTGGGGAGGTGCATACTTGACACTAGGAAACTGTGACCTGAACAGATTCTGAGGTAACTTTCTTTTCTGTAATTCAGCCATCCAACAAATATTGAGTATTTATTACATGCTAGGTACTATTCTAGATACTGGAACTACACTGGTAAATAAAAGATACAAGGATTCATGTTTTTTAGAGTTTACCTTCAAATGTGGGGAATAAGAAAATAAATGGTATGTCAACACATTAGAAAATATAAGACCTATACCTGCCAGGGCTAGGGGCTGAATTTAGTGATTCATTTCCAAAGATTCAAGTATAGAAAAGGAATAGTTAGTAACTTTACAGTGGGCTAACCTGACAGATGCCTCCTTAACCAAGTGATGAGGGCTAACAACACTAGTAATTAGTCAGGTTGATAACGTGTATCCCACATATGATTTGGTGAGCAAAGCATTTTACCCCTGAGGTTTTCTTCCCCTAAAACCATAACCCCAGTCTAGTCATGAGGAAAATATCAGGCAAACCAAAGCTGATGGACAGTCTACAAAATACCTGGCCCCAGTGCTCCTCAAGACTTTGAGGTTTTGGGAAACAAGGAAAGACTGAGAAACTGTCACAGACCACAAGAGATAAGGAAATGTGATGAATATACACAGTGTGGTATCCTGAATTGGATTCTAGAACAGAAAAAAAAAGATGTTGGTGGAAAAAATAGTGAAATGTCAATAAAGCCTGGAGTTTAGTTCATAGTCATGTATCAATGTTGGCTTCTTAGCTTTGACAAATATACCCTGGTGATGCAGCATGTTAACATGGGGGGAAAACAGGGCAAGAAGAACTATCTGTACCATCTTTGCAACCTTTCTGTGAACCTAGAATTATTCCAGAATAAAAAGTTTATTTTAATTAATATAAGGGGAAAATAGGGCAGAGTAAGGGAGATCAGGAGTGCCAGAGGAGCTAGGGTTCAAATTTCAATGAGTTGGTCAGGGTAGGCCTCACTAAGAAGGTGACACTGAGTAAAAACTTGAAGGAATTAAGGGAGGGAACCAAGCATGGGGGATAAAACATTCCAGATACAGGCCCATGGCAGGTGGGAGCATGCCTGTTGTATTGGAGAAATAGCAAGGGGGCCATCGTAGCTGGAGTGGAGTGTGTGAGGGAGGAGAAACAAGAGGTTGGGCCAGAGAGGCAATGAGGCCAAGTGGTCTTGGACCTTGTAGGCAATTATAAGAGCCTCCGACCTAAATTGGAAGGAAATGGTGAGCAGTTGAATGCTTTTGAATAGTGACGTGAAATGGTTTGACTTACATTTTCACATGACCACTCTGGAGACTGTTGAAAAGAGATTACATGGGACAGAGACAGGGGACCAGTTATGGCTCTATTACAGTAATCTCAGTGAGAGATGCTTGTGTCTGGGGCTAGGAAGGTTGCAGTGGAGGCAGTGAGAAGTGGTTGAATTTGGGGTAGAGTTAACCAGATTTGCTCACTGATTGGCCATGGGCTGTGAAAATAATCAAGGACGTCTCAGAGGTTTTGCACTGAGGAGATGGAAAGATGTGCGTGGGCGCAAGGGAAATCAAGAGAGGAGCAGGTTTGTGAGCAGGTCGAGTTCTTTTTTGATACAAACAATGAACAATTAGAATCTGCCACCTAAATACCATTTACAATGCAATAAAAATATGAAATACTTGGAAGCAACCTAAATGTCCATCAACAGATGAACAGATAAACAATATTTATTATTCAACCTTAAGAAGGAATACAATTCTGATCCATGCTACAATATTGATGAATCTTGAAAACGTATGCTAAGTAAAAATAGGCCTAACACAAAAGGACCAATATTGTACAATTCCACTTATATGAGGTACCTAGAATAGGCAATATTCAGAGACAAAAAGTAGAATAGAGATTACCAGGGGCTGGGAGAGAGAGAGTGGGGAATTATTGTTTGATAGGTATAGAATTTTTGTTTGGGATGATGGAAAAATTCTGGTAATGAATAATGATGAGAGTTGCACAACAGTGTGAGTGTAATTAACGCCCCTGAATTATGCACTTAAAATGGTTTAATTGGTAAGTTTTATGTTATGTACTATAATTTTTAAAACAAAGTTCTATTTATAGAAAAATGAAATGCTGAAGGATAAATTTAACAAAAGTCTGTGTAAGATCTTTACACTGAAAACTGTAAGACATTGCTGTGAGAAATTAGTGAATACATTTAAAAAAGAAATATATCCTACATTTATGGGTCAGAATATTTTTATTCAGATGTCAGTTCCCCCAAAATTGATTTGAAGATTTAATATAATCCCAAATCATAACACACCCAGTTTTTTAAATTTTTTGTAGAAATTGATAAGTAGATTGTAAAGCATATGGCAGTGAAGAGGACCTGGAGTAATGAAAAATGAAAACTAACAGTAATGATGGAGAACTTGTACTACAAACTTATTTGATGGCTTACCATAAAGCTACAGTAGTCAAGATAGTGTGGTATTTGTGTGTAGATAGACTAGTGGAACCGAACAGAGAGTCCAGAATTAGGCTCACATATATTTGGTCAGTAGATTTTTGACAAAGATGCCAAGGCAGTTAAGTGAGGAAAAGGGTAACCTTTTCTAGAATTGGTGCTGGAATGATTAATGTCTATATTGAAAAAATTGAGAACCACTGAACTAGGGAAATGTAGTATGGTTGCTGAGAAGCAATCAGGTTATGTGTTTTCTTCAGCCATATTCAGCTCAACAGTTGCAAGGGTGGAGTAAACAGAGAATTGGATTTCTTCAGGGTTGTGGTTTTCCTGAGTACATTGAAGGAAAAGTAGAACCATGATGCTGAGGATGGTTGCAGGGGAAGGATTCTGTGATTTGGCCTGGAATTTAGGCTAAGTAAGGAGGGAAGACTTCAGGGAAGGGTGTGACACTCATAAGGTATAGGAACAGGTAATGATAGGTCAAGGGATTACTGGAGTTCAGGTGCTGGAGGCAGGAAGCTGGAAATACAGGAATTGGTGGTCAGCAAGTAGGGGGCCTGGATTTTAGATTGTAGAGAGGTGCAGTTATGGGTAATTCCTAAGTCATGACCAAAGGAATTTGTGACTGCGGCAGGGTGAAGGACTAGACTGTTGCAGGGGAAGAGTTCAAAGACTTGAAAGAACAGGTGTCTGAGGGTCTTGTAAGTGCATGAAAATTCCCACATCCAGACAGGAATAGTAATCGGACAAAGTGACAGTGAGCTGGGGCTAAAATCATTAAGAAACAGGGGAGTGAACTAGGGATTGGTACATGATGGCAACAATGAAGGCTCATGAATGATGCAATCTCATGACAGAAGATTCAGCTTTTGGGAGGTGGTAGGAAAGAGTACTGTCTGGAGGTGGTAATGAGGGGCTCCCCACCAAGCTCTGCAGAGCAAGGGCCAAGAGACAGAACAGCAGCTATTGCGAGGGCTGCCGGGGAGGGCCAGGCTCTGGACAGAGGAGGCAAGGGAAGGTTTAGAGAAGAGGTTCAGGATAGAGGGGCTTTGTGCAAGGGTTTCAGGAGTTGAGAAGATATGGGAGGAGGATCCAGCTAGAATACATGCGGTCCTGTAGGAATTGGCATGAGAGGTGAGGGGGCAGCCGGAGCCGGTTGTCTTGTGCTGACCTGCACAGGGATAAGGGCACCCAGAGCCTAGTCCTGGAGTATTCAGGACTCGCCTATTTACATGTTTTAAAATAAAATATATGTTTTAAATAACATCTTCTGCCTTGCGCTGCAAATGGAGGCATTTAATTCCTAGGAAGCAATATGGCTTCGTGTTTAAGAGCCTGGGCTTTAGCGTCAGACAGGTGTAGATTCAGATGCTTTCTCCACTACTTATTAGATTTATGGGAAAGTGACTGCACCAAGCCTTAGTTTCCTTTTTTATAAAATGCAGATAATAATAGAGTCCACTTCATAAGGCTATTGTGAGGACCACATGAGGTAATCTGGGTAAGTACAGTGCCTGGCTCCTACTCAGCTCTCAGTGCGTGTTACCTGTGGCGGTTAGGGCTATGATTTCAGCAGCAGACAGTCGGAACATATTCGAGATTTCTCCTCTCCCCTGTGGCTTGTTAGCACTATTTCAGCATAACTTGCTTTTTTAAGACTTATAGATAACTAGCTATTTACATCATCCTAGAGTATAATGTTTCCCAAACTTAAAAAATCTTTGTTCTCTATGGTGGTTTCTCATCCTTTTTAAAAAAATTTTCTCACCAGACAACAATATTTTGTCATTTACTTACTATATTTTGTGTTATAAACTGGGATTTTTATTTTTTTTTTTATTTTTTTTTGAGATGGAGTTTTGCTGTTGTTGCCCAGGCTGCAGTGCAATGGCGTGATCTCACCGCAACTTCTGCCTCCCAGGTTCAAGCGATTCTCCTGCCTCAGCCTCCGGAGCAGCCGGGATTACAGGCATGTGTCACCATGCCTGGCTAATTTTGTATTTTTAGTAGAGATGGGTTTCTCCATGTTGGTCAGGCTGGTCTCGAACTCCTGACCTCAGGTGATCCGCCCGCCTCGGCCTCCCAAAGTGCTGGGATTATAGGCGTGAGCCACCGCGCCCGGCATAAACTGGGATTTTTAAAAATCTCTTTTTAATTACACATGTCCTGTCCCCTTCCTTGTCCTCTGGAAATTGAGATCTCTCACTTAGGAATCATTGTTATATCAGCTCATTATGATTGCATCATAGAATAATTTGGAGGTATTGTTCCATGTATAAGATTGGTAGAAATGAGAAGGACTGAAACACTTATAGCTGGTGAGGGAATGGAATGATGGGCATAACACTTTCTTGGTGGAAGTCTAAAATGGTAAGCCTTCCAGAAGACAGTTTGAAAGATTGACAGAAGTTTTAAAATGAAATGCCTTCGACCTATCATCCTCACTTTTAGGAATTTGTTGTAAGCAAAAATTGGAAAAGTGCATGTGCATATGTATTAAGAGTTGTGTATGGCAATGCAAATCAGCAACAGTGAGCACATTCTATTTTTATAATCAGAACAAAACAACAAAACTAACCAAAGGCATGGAATCTTACTTGTGGGACAGAGACAGTAAAAAATCTTTATAATTGGTCTGTTTTGTACAGATTGGCAGTTCACCCCTCTGTTGAGTTTTCAATCATGCAAAGTACCTTGAAAGTACACTCATATGCTTTTGATATTTTCTGCTTCAACTCTCCTAGAATGTCATTGATGGCCCAGAATTTTAATCTCCTTACTTCTCTTTTTTCTTTCTCCGAATTTATTTGCTATCATGAAGCTCAGCAGATACGTGATATAAAGTAAACATTAATTCTACTTCAGAGTTTCTCCAGGTTGTAATTGGTAGCTGAAGAAATACTGCAGACATTTTAAGTTAAATGTAACTTGAATTTATCTGGGCACTAGGCACCTTCCTTTAGTATTCTGTAAGAATACAAATAAAACTTTTGGTTACTAAGCAATAATGCTTTAGGGTTTTGCCTTTGTTTATAGCTCTCTCCACATCTGGTGATTATAAAGGGGAGAAATCTGTATATGCTCTGTAGGTGAAAACCAGTACTTGTCACCAGTACATGAAACCAATGCTTGGGTGGTATTTGAAATATGTCTTTCCGTTTATTATGGTGGTTTTTTTTTTTCTGTTTGTTTTAGTAAACCCATAAAGGCTCTGGAATGTCTACCCACAGATATTTGTCAAGTTGAGTAAGAAGAAATCTTCCTTTTTAAGAACTGTGTATAAAGAAAGAAGTATTTCACACCTGTTTATCTTAGCAGGGTCTGCAGAGAGAGGGAGATAGATTCCCCATTAACTCTCATTCAGAGGAGAGTTTAGAAAAGAGAGTGTATGGTGACCTTCTCTGCTCTCTGGAAGGGCACTGGCGCCAGGTAGAAGGGCCCGCTATTTGTGTCTACAAACAAAAAGTCTTCCTAAATTTCTCACTTTTCTTGTTGAGCCCGTTTGTAGAATTCTTTCAATTCACATAGCTGAATTGTCTACAATCATAAAATGCTAATATGATACGTTTCCAGAAACATATTTTAAGGCTTGTAATTTTTTAAAAAATGAAAACCATCTTTCAGTTTGGGTTCCCATTTGATGCAGTTGCAGATGAGAAATGTCTTTCTCATCCTTCCTAGTAGATTAGGCAACCTAGTTGGGGGATGGGACGTGATGTATTTGTCTCCCCCAAAGGAATGTTTAATGATCCTCCTCCTTTTAAGATATTATTAAGTCAAGTTAGTAATAAGTAGGAAATAAGTAAAATTATCTTTTTAACTTTAAACAGAAACAGTTATTTTAATACAACTTGATATATATAAATAATAAAATATATATAATATATGTTATACATATATATATATATATATATATATATATATATATATATATATTTTTTTTTTTTTTTTTTTTTTTTTTTTTTGAGACAGGATCTTGCTTTGTCACCCAGGCTGGAGTGCAGTGGTGTGATCATGGCTCACTGCAGCCCTGACCTCCTGGGCTCAGATGTTCCTTCCACCTTAGCTTCCTGAGTAGCTGGGACTATAGGCACATGCCACCATGCCTGGCTAATTAAAAAAAATTTTTTTCCATAAGTTATTGGGGTACAGGTGGTATTTGGTTACATGAGCAAGTTCTTTAGTGGTGATTTGTGAGATTTGGGTGCCTCATTACCAGAGCAGTATACACTGCACCATATTTGTAGTCTTCTATCCCTTGCCCCGCCCCTACTCTTTCCCCCAAATCCCCAAAGCCCATTGCATCATTCTTATGCATTTGCGTCCTCATAGCTTAGCTCCCACATATCAGTGAGAATATATGATGTTTGGTTTTCCATTCCTGAGTTACTTCACTTAGAATAATAATCTCCTCCAATCTCATCCAGATCACTGCAAATGCTGTTAATTCATTGCTTTTTATGGCTGTGTAGTATTCCATCATATATATAGACCACAGTTTCTTTATCCACTCGTTGATTGATGGGCATTTGGGTTGGTTCCATGATTTTGCAATTGTTTTTGACCCAATGCTGCTATAAACATGCGTGTGTAAGTATCTTTTTCAAATAATGACTTCTTTTCCTTTGGGTAGATTCCCAGTAGTGGGATTGCTGGATCAAATGGTAGTTCTACTTTTAGTTCTTTAAGGAATCTCCACACTGTCTTCCATAGCGGCTGTACTAGTTTACATTCCTACCAGCAGTGTGGAAGTGTTCCCTGTTCACCACATCCATGCCAGCATCTATTGTTTTTTGATTTTTTTGATTATGGCCATTCTTGCAGGAGTGAGGTGATATCACACTGTGGTTTTGATTTGCATTTCCCTGATCATTAGTGATGTTGAGCATGTTTTCATATGGTTGTTGGCCATTTGCATATCTTCTTTTGAGAATTGTCTATTCATGTCCTTAGCCCACTTTTTATGGGATTGTTTTTTTCTTATTGATGTGAGTTTGTTGTAGATTCTGGATATTAGTCCTTTGTGAGATGTATAGATTGTGAAGATTTTCTCCCACTCTGGGGGTTGTCTGTTTACTCTGCTGACTGTTCCTTTTGCTGTGCAAAAGCTCTTTAGTTTAATTAAGTCCCAACTATTCATCTTTGTTTTTATTGCATTTGCTTTTGGGTTCTTGGTCATGAAATCCTTGCCTAAGCCAATGTCTAGAAGGGTTTTTCCAATGTTACCTTCTAGAATTTTTATAGTTTCAGGTCTTAGGTTTAAGTCCTTAATCCATGTTCAGTTGATTTTTATATAAGGTGAGAGATGAGGATCCAGTTTCATTCTCCTACATGTGGCTAGCCAATTATCCCAGCACCATTTGTTGAAAAGGGTGTCCTTTCCCCACTTTATGTTTTTGTTTGCTTTGTTGACGATCAGTTGGCTGTAAGTATTTGGATTTATTTCTGGGTCCTCTATTCTGTTCCATTGGTCTATGTGCCTATTTTTGGACCAGTGTCATGCTGTTTTGGTGACTATGGCTTTATTGTATAGTTTGAAATCAGGTAGTGTGATGCCTCCAGATTTATTCTTTTTGCTTAGCTATGCATGCTCTTTTTTGGTTTCATGTGAATTTTAGAATTGTTTTTTCTAATTCTGTGAAGAATGATGGTTGTATTTTGATGGGGATTGCATTGAATTTGTAGATTGCTTTTGGCATTATGGTCATTTTCACAATATTGATTCTACCCATCCGTGAGCATGGGATGTGTTTCCATTTGTTCGTGTCATCTATGATTTCTTTCGGCAGTGATTTGTAGTTTTCCTTATAGAGGGCTTTTGACTCCTTCGTTAGGTATATTCCTAAGTATTTTATTTGCAGCTATTGTAAAAGGGGTTGAGTTCTTGATTTGATTCTCTGCTTGGTCACTGTTGGTGTATAGAAGAGCTACTGATTTGTGTATATTAATCTTGTATTTGGAAACTTTGCTGAATCTTTTGTCAGTTCTAGGAGCTTTCTGGAGGAGTCCTTAGGGTTTTCAAGGTAAACAATCATATCATCAGCAAACAGTGACAGTTTGACTTCCTCTTCACTGATTTGGATGCCCTTTATTTCTTTCTCTTGTCTGATTGATCCGGCTAGGACTTACAGCACTATTTTGAAGAGGAGTGGCAAGAGTGGGCATTCTTGTCTTGTTCCAGTTCTCAGAGAGAATGCTTTCAACTTTTCCCCATTCAAAATTATGTTGGCTGTGGTTTTGTCATAGATGGCTTTTTATTACATTACATACAAGTATGTCCCTTATATGCTGATTTTTGCTGAGAGTTTTAATCATAAAGCGATGCTGGATTTTGTTGAATGCTTTTTCTGCATCTATTGAAACGACCATGTCACTTTTTTCTTTAATTCTGTTTATGTGGTGTATCACATTTATTGACTTGTGTATGTTAAACCATTCCTGTATCCCTGTTATGAAATCCACTTGATCATGGTAGATTATCTTTTTGATATGTTGTTGGATTTTTTTTTAGCAAGTATTTCGTTAAGGATTTTAGCATCTATGTTCATCAAGGATATCAGTCTGTAGTTTTCTTTTTTGGTTATATTCTTTCCTGGTTTTGGTATTAGGGTGATGCTGGCTTCATAGAATGAATTAGGGAGGGTTCCTTCTTTCTCTGTCTTGTGGAATAGTGGTCAAAAGGATTGGTACCAATTCTTTGAATGTCTGCTAGAATTCTGCTGTGAATCCGTCTGGTCCTGGACTTTTTTTTGTTGATGATTTTTAAATTACCATTTCAATCTCTCTGCTAGTTATTGGTCTGTTCAGGGTATCTAAGCTAGGAGGGTTGTATTTTTCCAGGAATTTATCTATCTCTTTCTAGTTTACGTGAGTAAAGGTGTTCATAGTAGCCTTGAATGATCTTTTGTATTTAAATGATGTCAGTTGTAATAGCTCCTGTTTTGTTTCTTAGTGGGGTTATTTGGATTTTTTTCTCTTCTTTGCTTGGTTAATCTTGCCAATGGTCTATCAATTTTATTTATCTTTTCAAAGGACCAGCTTTTTGGTTCATTTATCTTTTGTATTTTTTTTTGTTTCAATTTCATTTGGTTCTGCTCTGATCTTGGTTATTTCCTTTCTTCTGCTAGGTTTGGGTTTGGTTTGTTCTTGCTTCTCTAGTTCATTGAGGTGTGACCTTAGAATGTCAGTTTGTGCTCGTTCAGTCTTTGATGTAGGCATTTAGGGCTATGAACTTTCCTCTTAGCACTGCCTTTGCTGTATCCTAAAGGTTTTGGTAGGTTGTGTCATCATTGTCATTCAGTTTGAAAAATTTTTAAATTGCCATCTTGATTTCATTTTTGACCCAGTGCTTATTCAGGAGCAGCTTATTTAATTTCCATGTATTTGCATGGTTTTGAAGGTCCTTTTTGGAGTTGATTTCTAGTTTTATTCCACTGTGGTCTGAGAGAGTGCTTGATATAATTTCAGTTTTAGTTTATTGAGGTTGGTTTTATGGCCTATCATATGGTCTATCTTGGAGAAAGTTCCATACACTGTTGAATAAAATGTGTATTTTGGGGCTGTTGGATGAAATATTCCGTATATATCTGTTAATTCCATTTGTTCTGAGGTATAGTGTAAATCCATTGTCTCTTTGTTGACTTTCTGTCTTGATGACCTGTCTAGTGCTGTCGGTGGAGTATTGAAGTCCCCCACTATTATTGTGTTGCTGTCTGTCTCATTTCTTAGGTCTATTAGTATTTGTTTTATAAATTTGGGTGCTCCAGTGTTAGGTGCATATATGTTTAGAATTGTGATATTTTCCTATTGGACAAGGCCTTTTACCATTATCTAATGTCCCTCTTTGTCTCTTTTAACTGCTGTTGCTTTAAAGTTTGTTTTGTCTGATATTAGAATAGCTACCCCTGCTTGCTTTTGGTGTCCATTTACATGAAATGTCTTTTTCCACGCCTTTACTTTATGTGAGTACTTATGGGCTAGGTGAGTCTCCTGAAGACAGCAGATGGTTGGTTGGTGAGTTCTTATCCATTCTGCAGTTCTGTGTCTTTTAAGTGGAGCATTTAGGCCATTTACATTCATTCAATGTTAGTATTGAAGTGTGAGGTACTATTGCGTTAATCATGCCCTTTGTTGCCTGTGTACTTTGGTTTTTTTGTTTTTGCTTTTTAATTTGTATTTTTGTTTTATAGGTCCTGTGTGATTTATGCTTTAAAGAGGTTCTGTCTTGATGCGTTTCTAGGATTTGTTTCGAGATTTACAGCTCCTTTTAGCAGTTCTTGTAGTGGTGGCTTGGTAATGGCAAATTCTCTCAGAATTTGTTTGTCTGAAAAAGATGTATCTTTCCTTCATACATGTGCTTAGCTTCACTCGATACAAAATTCTTGGCTGATAATTGTTTTGTTTAAGGAGGCCGAAGATAGGGCCCCAATCTCTTCTTCTAGCTTGTAGGGTTTCTGCTGAGAAATCTGCTGTTAATCTGATAGGTATTCCTTTATAGGTTACCTAGTGCTTCTGTCTGACAGTTCTTAAGATTCTTTCCTTCGTCTTAACTTTGGATAACCTGATGACAGAGCACCTAGGCGAAGATCTTTTTGCAGTGAATTTCCCAGATGTTCTTTGTGCTTCTTGTATTTGAATGTCTAGGTCTCTAGCAAGGCAAAGGAAGTTTTCCTCGATTATTCCCCCAAATATGTTTTCCAAGCTTTTAGAATTCTCTTCTTCCTCAGGAACACCAATTATTCTAAGGTTTGGTCATTCAGCATAATCCCAGACTTCTTAGAGGGTTTGTTCATATTTTCTTATTCTTTTTTCTTTGTCTTTGTTGGATTGGGTTAATTGGAAGACCTTGTCTTCGAGCTCTGAATTTTTATCTTCTACTTGTTTGATTCTATTGCTGAGAGTTTCCAGAGCATTTCAAATTTCTAAAAGTGTGTCCAAAATTTCCTGATTTTTTAATTGTTTTTTCTTTAAGTTATCTATTTTCTTGAATATTTCTCCCTTCACTTCTTGTATCATAGTTTGGACTTCCTTGCATTGGGTATCGCCTTTCTCTGGTCCTTCCCTGATTAGCTATTTAATAACTAACGTCCTTAATTCTTTTTCAGGTAAATAAGGGATTTCTTTTTGGTTTGGTTGTATTGCTGGTGGCTAGTGTGATTTTTTTGGGGGGTGTTGAAGAGCCTTGTTTTCTTATATTACCAGAGTTGGGTTTCTGGTTCCTTCTCATTTGGGTAGGCTCTGTCAGAGGGAAGGTCTAGGGCTGAAGGCTGTTGTTTAGATTATTTTGTCCCATGAGGTGTTCTCTTGATGTAGTACTCTCCCCCTTTTCCTATGGATGTGGCTTCCTGTGAGCCAAACTGCAGTGATTGTTGTCCGTCTTCTGGGTCTAGCCACTCAGCAAGTCTACCAGGCTCCAGGCTGGTACTGGGGGTTGTCTGCACAGAGTCCTGTGATGTGAACCGCCTATAGGTCTCTCAGCTGTGGATCCCAGCACCTGTTCTGGTGGAGGTGGCGGGGGATGCAGTGGACTCTGTGAGGGTTCTTAGCTTTGGTCCGTGCTTTGCTTCTTATTAGTATTAATTTTGGCCCAGTTCTGCAGGCTTAACCAGAAACATGGCTGGGAGGTGTCAAGAAACTTGCAATCATGGCAGAAAGGCGAAGGGGAAGCAAGCATGTCTTACCAGGGCAGAGCAGGAAAGAGTCTAATTAAAAAAAAAAAAAAATTGTAGAGAAAGGGTTTTGCCATGTTTCCCAGGCCAGTCTCACTAACTCCTGAGCTCAAGCAATCCTCCCATCTCAGCCTCCCAAAGAGCTGGGATTACAGGTGTGAGACATTGTGCCTGGCCTATTATATATTTTGAATTGACAAGTAAAATGGTATATATTCATGCTGTACAACATGATGTTTGGAATGGCTGAATCAAGCTATTTAACGTATGCTTTATCCCACATACTTACGATAGATCTGTTGGTGAGAACACTTAAAATATACTCTCTTAGCAATTTTCAAGTATACAATATATTGTTACAAACTGTATCACCACAATGTGCAATAGATCTCTTGAACTTATTCCTCCTAACCAAAATCTCATGTCCTTTGGCCAGCATCTCCCTGCATTCCCTAAAGCTGATTTTATACAACTTCTAAATCAAAATGAGTATGTTATCTTTGACTGAATCAGTTCATTAGCCACAGAAACATTAGTTTCATTTTTTCATTTGCTGCCACCCCTCATCACTGACTTTGTTTTTCCCCAAGACTACTTAAATTGCTTTGGCCGCAGGCTCATTTCTTCATCTGGCAAACAATCCCACCTTGCGTGTCTTTATCACCTGCCTTGGTTACCATCTGCATCCTGCTTCTAACCATCATCAAGTGAATTTGCTATCCACCCTAATAACCTCTGAGCCAACTGCAGACTTCTTTCTACCATGACCTCCTTGATTACCTTCAGCTACACTTCCCTTCAGCTACTTATTGGTAGAAGCTTAGAACCTTCAAAATGGCATGCCTGCGCTTCCCTTCTTTGCCTATAATCTATCTCACCCAGTCTCTGAACAGTAAATATTGTGAATTCATTGTGAACATTTAAAAATCGTATGATTTTACATAAATCCAGATTCCTAGCTCCTTTGAAAAAGAAGCAAACTGGATCATTGTTCTTGAATGGTGGCAGCAATGGGGATTTCATTGATGGGGACTTCATTGGTGAAGGCAAGGCTTATTTGGAGGTATCAGTTCTAAAAGAGTTAGGAAAGAGAATCAGTTCTGTTTTATCATTTTATGTCATGTAGTGTATAATTTTAATTAGCATTTAACAATGCAATCAATTAAATAAAAAAGAATTGGTATTTTTAAATTTTATCCATAAAGCAAATCTGAAAGAATGAGGAGTGTTTAAGGTGAGTCTCTTAAGAATGCCTGAAGAGTTTCTTTTTTGAAGCAGGGATATGTAGTTTTAAACTTCCTCATTTATTTATTATTATTTTTGAGACACCATCTCACTCTGTTGCCCAGGCTGGAGTGCAGTGGCACAATCACGGCTCAATGTAGCCTCAACCTCCTGGGTTCATGAGATCTGGCTACCTCAGCCTCCTGAATAGCTGGGACCACAAATGTGCACCATCACGCCTGGCTAATTTTACTTATTTTTTATTTGTAAGGAGTCTCCTTATGTTGCCCAGGCTGGTCTCGAACTCCTGGGCTCGACTGATCTTCCTGCCTTGACCTCCCAAATTGTTGGGATTACAGGCACAAGCCACCACGCCTGGCCTATTTTTTTTTCTAATAAAATTATATTGAATTTTATTTTTAATTGCACGAAAAGAATCAATTAGTAATTTTCATGATTACACAGTATAGAATAGAACAAATGTGAGGATACTCTGAAGGAGTACTCATCTAGAAAATGCATCTGAATAAGGCAAGCATAAAAATCATTTTTGGCTACAGAAATTTTTGTTAATCACTTCTGGCACTTAGCACAGAGACACTCTCCTTTTTCCTCTTAAGTTATATATAGGCCTTCCCTGTGTCAGATGATGTCATTCACTCATGATGAATTCATGATGTCATTCTTTCCTGCCTATCATTCATCAAAGTTAGGATGATGGGAAGGGGGTGATAGATGCTTGAGGGGGATGGCAAAAGGAAAGATGTGAGTACAGTGTCTAAATCTCTGGTATGGCAGGAGACTTACCCCCAAGGGGTTTTCTGTTCTTTATACAGTTGTAATTAGAAAATTCTGGACCTGAAAGCATACTACCTGAGCCAGCTGTTATTGCTTCCATCATTTTACAAAAAGAGAAATTCAGCCATTTGGTAGACCTTAAGATTAATTACGTTTCATCTCTTTTCTCTTTGTAATTCCATTTTCCTCCAATCACGTTAGGTTATTTTCTTAGTTTGTTGTATTGTTTATATTTAAGAAGATAAAAATCCTACTGTAAATAGATGTGTCAGAAAGAATGAGATGTGAATTTAGTCACTAACATTAATGGATCTAGTTCAGGGAGCAAGACCTAACCCACGGAGTTTATGGACCTGAATTAATTTTTTGAAATTATTTCTAGATTTTTGTCTTTGTTATAAGTTTGTGGTAGGGGAACAATTTAGAAAGGCAGCAGGTAAAAACTGTAACATATAAATATTCTATGTTTTGGTTTTTTGAGGGGGGTGACTGTGCATCTAATTTTGATGCCTGAGAACATGAGCACTTGGAGCTACAAGCCTGTGTGTAGATACACAAGCACACCCACACATTCTCCAGCTTTGGTGTTCACAAGGCCTTGTTCTGAGTACCATGATCTTACGGCATAAAGTAAAGCATGGATTAGAGAATGTATTTGGCAAGGAGATTTCCTGAATTCTTTGAAGGTGACAGATTCCTTAATGGCCAGATTTAACTTGGAAGTTAGTAATAATCATGATAGGTAACCATCATTTTTTGTATTTACATCATCTTATATGTTGAACTTGATTTATAACTGTCTTCTTTCACTCGAGAAATTACAACTTTATCCTGTCATTTTCTTAAAATGTTATCAAATTAATGGTTCTAGAAGTAGCTATAATTAAGTTTTAGAAGTGTACAGTTTGTCAATTGTATATTCTCTCAAATGGATAATACCATGATATAGTAGATGCTTCAGTATGAAAACAGTAGATTGTATCAATCAGAGTCAGAAACCACACCAGTAATTTGAATAGGGAAACTTCAGTATTAAAATTATTAACTAGTAAAAGATAGTTAACTTTTAAAAGACTCTAAAGAATATAGGACTAGCAAACATAGGGAACAGCTGCTACCTCTAGCACTGAGGGAGAGCACTTAAGGGAGGAACAGACTTGGAGGAGGGCCCCACTCAGGCTGGAAATTAGCCCTTATTGGAGAAGGTGTGTTTGCAGCCGACTGGGTGGTGTCACAGGCTGGAACTGGTTTACAAGAAGCCATCTGCTGGGGGTCCAGTGACGATCTCGAGTGTGTCATGGGGCAGAGCTGGTGTGCAGGAAGCCACCTGCTGGGGTGCTGGGAGGCTAAAGCTGGCCCACAAGAGTCTTCTGGCTGGTGGCCAGTGGAACCCACTTGAGGGTCAGTACCACTGGGCTTTGTACATGCTGCTGGCCATCATGGCCACTGGAGGAAGGAAAAGCATATAGGAAACAGGTCTCTTCCTCCACTAGGCCTTTGCAGTGGTCCCTCCAGTGCACTGTATTGACACAGGTTAACATTGTGCCAGCTGGCAGAGGAAAAGTATTTACAGGGCCTAGCTCCAGTATCACGAGGCAGCACAAAACACGATGGATTTGGTGGTGCTGAGAGGCAATAAATTGTTAACTGGCACAGTTCATCTCTTTGGCTACTCAGCTTCTACATACACCATCTACACACACTTGAACTTCCATGTAATAATGAAACAGTTCTATTTTTTCACCTATGATGAAGGTCAGCTGCCCTTTGTACAAGTGAAGAAGTTCTCACCCTTTCCCCCAAATGAGATGCAGTCCCAACAGTCACTGTGTCCATTGCCTGCTTTATTAATTTCTTCTCAGATTTCATTACAGTACACTGAATATTCTGTTACCTAAAGACTAAATCATAAAGTTAGCCTCTAACAATTTGTATATAAAATAACAAGGGGAAGAAGGAGAGATCAGAGAGAAATAATTAATATACACAAGTATCTACACATATACACAAAGAACAAGCAAAGCCCCCTCCCTCCCTGCCTTCCTGCCTTCTCTCCTCTTTCTTTCTTTTTTAAAAGAAAATGGTTTCAATGTAATACAATTATCTTTTAAAAAAAGAACAAAGGGAAAATCCCCAAAGCTGCTATAGTCCACATTTCTGTAACTAGTCATGATCTCTGACTTCCTTCTCCACGTGTCATTCTATATATATTTTTTTCACTTAGCCAAAACCTTAGCTGGCTGGTCGGCTTTACCTGATGGGGTGACCTGAACTTTCATTCCTGAAGGTTCTGAGTCCTCAGCAGTCCTGCCTTTTATTGATTGTCATATTGTTTCATGAACCTCTATTCTTGGGCATAGGAGCACTAGGAGTCACCCCATGAACCCCCTGGGTTTCAGACATAGACCTCCTTGCCCCCATTGTTTAGCAACAACCCAATATTCCCTTGGTAATTGGGATTAATCACTCCAGTCAGTAGAGTATCCTCTTTTTCTGCTTGTTGGTTCAGAACCTAGAATAGCCAGTGGCAGTCTCGTATCCCAATTAAATGGAATAATTATTATGTCCCCACATGCAATAAGGTGAAAGCATTCCATCCTTGGGGACTAAGATCTCCAAACTAACAGAGCTCAGGGGTACTGTGGTGGGGATCATTAATTCTGTGAGTTATTAGGTATAACAGTGATAGGAGTCACTCTCACTTCTTTTTTTTTTTTTTTTTTTTTTTTGAGATGGAGTCTCTCTCTGTTGCCTAGGCTGGAGTGCAGTGGCATGATCTCGGCTCACTGCAACCTCCGCTTCCCGGGTTCAAGCAATTCCCCTGCCTCAGCCTCCTGAGTAGCTGGGACTACAGGTGCGTGCCACCATGGCCGGCTAAATTTTTTTGTATTTTAGTAGAGACATGTTTCACCGTGTTGGCCAGGATGGTCTCGATCTCCTGACCTCGTGATCCACCCGCCTCAGCCTCCCAAAGTGCTGGGATTACAGGCGTGAGCCACTGCACCCAGCCAGGAGTCACTCTCACTTCTATTCCTTGATTACCAAATCCATGTATTCTGTTACAGGGTTGCCAGTGGTCCGTGATTCAAGGCATATTCTTACTTCATCCTGTAAATCAGAAATGCTTTCAGGGTGTTGTCTCTCATTTGATGCCATAACTGAATTTTCCAGTGAGTCATTACACATTTCTATTAGGTGAGCTGCTTCTGATTGGAGGGATATGGGGTGAGACTACTCAATTCCATGCTTATGAGCCCATTGCTTCATTCCCTTGCTGTGAAGTGGTTTCCTTTGTCGGAAGCAAAGCAGTATGGAAAACTGTAATGGTGAATAAGGCATTCCGTGAGGCAACTGATGAAGATATTGTCGGAAACATTACAGGCAGGGAAAGCAAATTCTTTTTGTTTTTGAGACGGACTCTTGCTCTGTCGCCCAGGCTGGAGTGCAGCAGGCAATCTCGGCTCACTGTAAGCTCTGCCTCCCGGGTTCACGCCATTCTCCTGCCTCAGCCTCCCAAGTAGCTGGGACTACAGGCGCCCGCCACCACGCCCGGCTAATTTTTTTGTATTTTTAGTAGAGACGGGGTTTCACCGTGTTAGCCAGGATGGTCTCAATCTCCTGACCTCGTGATCCGCCCGCCTTGGCCTCCCAAAGTGCTGGGATTACAGTCGTGAGCCACCGCGCCCGGCTGGAGAACAAATTCTTATCTAGGATACGTGTCTATTCCATTCAGCATGGATGCCCCCCCGCCGCCCACCCGCCACCATCACCTCCTGGGAATGGGGGACTGTCAGGGGCTCAGTGTCTATCTCCATGTTGGTAGATTAGATACTCAGCAGTAGCAACAGACAGTTCAGCCTTGATAAGGGGAAGTCCATGTTACTAAGCCCACATTTAGTCTCCATCCTTGCCATCATGGCCACTTTGTTCATGGCCCCATTGAGTAAGCCTTGGGGTGGCTGGGAAGGAGGCTGAATGACATCCGCAGAGCATATAATTGTATTCATTTGATTATTGAGGTCTGTGCCCAATGTGAGAGGTCTGTCACATCCTCTTCCTTCAAATTCTTTGTCACCAATCTTACAATCTTCTTCTATTCAAGTCCCTGATCATTCAAATAAACTATAAGCAATCACCCGTGAATTAATGTAAACTCTTATTTCTGGCCATTTCTGATTACAGACAAAGCGAATCACCAAATATATTGTCAAAGTTTTTCCCTCTGGGAGGATTTTCCTTAAAAGCTGTTCTTTGGGGGTCACCCCTAACTGGGGATGTAAGCTGTGGACGTAGACTTTCATTCAGCTGGTACCAATGTATCATGCAGAACCCTTTATAAATTGAGCTCGTGTTTTTTCTTTCTTAGTCAACTTGTGGGGAAACTTGGTGTTGATTCAGAGCTAGTGTTTAGTATTCCCTGAAATATCTGAGTATGTTCTTTCCCCCTGTGCACTGTCCATCTAGTAATGGCAGCAGGCCTCTTTGGTGAAGGCTTGGAGGAGGATTTATGGTATATGCCTGTGGCAGCACTGCAGGGTTATTTTTGAAGGAAACCTGGCCTTCCCTTCAAAGGGTTATGGGACAATACACTGTTCTAGGCCTAGAACTGGGTGTGATTCTGTGACTCTCCATTGTGGTGACGTAATGGCCACTGGACCTACGTTTTGTTGTTGTTGTTGTTATATAGATTATACAGTATTGTAGTAAACTGCATACTGATTTCATTCCTAGGGACTGCAGGATAAATTAGCTACCACCAGAGATTCCTGTGGGCCAAAGCATTTTGATTAATATGTCCCTGATCCCTTTGATAGTAAATGCACCGATCTTGTCTTTGGCACTCAGTGCTGCTACTTTTTCTGCTCTTCCTGTATCCCACCATCTCCAAAGAAACCAGGAAGCTCATCTCAGTCGTGACATCTCCTGCGGTCTTACTGGTCTACAAAGGAAAATAACTACAGAGTTTTTCAGAGATGCAGCGCTCCCCTCACTTAGGTATTTTTCAATGTCTTAGTGCAAGGAGTGTCTCTGGTCCTTTTCAGGAGATGTAGTTGAGGTGGTTGGGTATGTAGTTCACACATGATAAATCCACTACATTCCTATCTCCTTAAACCTTTGGATTCCATCCTCCATATCATGCCAGGGAAGTTCTGGCATTTCAACCTCATTACAAGTTTCAGTCAACCAACCAAGTAAGCTCTCAGAGACTTCTGGCTTCATGAGCTAACACATTCACATTCAGTCCAAAAACTCTAGTTAGGTGCATCTATATCCATGAAAGCAGCCTGATGTGCTGTATATTTCCCAGCATTCTTTATCTAACACCATGGGTACCTACCCCCACACATATTCCCAGGGTTCTGCCACTATATATTAACAAGGGTCTTGCAGGTTTTTGAGTCTGTAAGCCATTTCCTTCTGGGTGATGCTGTGTACTGTGAAGCATGTTGAGATTTAGGAACTGAGTGGTTATGAGAGATCTTGAGGAGAATGAGCATCCCCTTATAAAGACATCTACTCCAGGTGAGGCTACTCAGCAAAAGTTTTCCAGAAAAAGAAAGCTAGTCTCTTGAGACATAAGAGGGCAAGCAACTTCCATGGTCAAGGGAACCTCAGAGTTTCTTTGGGGCTTGAAATTGTTTGTTTCATCTTGAATTCAACCAGATGTTCCCCTTTCCAGGTTTCAGGTCCCATTCTTTTTTAATCAGTACCCTAACTTTCACATGAGAGACTGTGGTTGTAAATTCAACTGATGTTGTAATTCAGCAACACACCCAGTACATTTTTTTTTTTATTTCTGGAAATAGTAGCTCTATGACTACAGGAAATAAAATATTTTTTTAGAGCTAGTGTGGAAGCTCTCTGGTTCTTAGACTTGGGCTGGGGGTTAAAAACACCTCAACTTATTTTCTTTTGGTAGATGCTTCATTGCACTCAAAAGAATTCATTGTACCCTACAATCTTTATATTCATCATTACTGCCATAGCAGTCAAGGACAGCAGCCTCTTTGACTCCCAGACCTTGTTTCTGTTGGCACTTCATTGCAGTTAATCACAGGTGATAGCTTAGTTAATTTTGATGGGACTTTATGCCATGGATTACCAGCATCCCATATCCCATTGACAAGGATTGGTGCTGTCCTCCAGTCAAAGCTCATGACCATACTAATCCCAAAGTTCTATTAATATTTTTGAGGGTCTGTAACCAGGAACCACACTTGGTACCAACTCTGTATTAGAGTTCATTTAGGAAAATTAGTATAGAGAACTGTTGCCTAGTAAAAGGTGGTTGACTACTGAATGGGGTAAAAGAGACTCTAAAGTATATGGGGATAGCAAAGGCAGAGAACAGCTACTAGCTCCAGGCCTGATGAAGTGCATCCAAGGAAGGAGCAGATTGGAAGAGGGCCTGCTCCCCGGGCTGTGACTGAGACCTCATTGGAAAGGCTGCAGCTGCAAATGGATGATGGGGCGGTGGGGGTTGGTTGGGGTTCCATGGGTGGGAGCTGGTTCACAAGAAGCCACCTACTAGGGTGCTGGTGAGGCTTGATGTAGTGCCGCAGGTTGGAATTGTTCCATGAAAAGTTCTGGGTTGCCTGTGGCCAGAGCTGGTGAGCAGGAAACTGCCCATTAGGGTGTGACATGCCAGAACTTGTTCACAGGAATCCAGCTGCTGGGGTGTCCAGGAAACTTGCTGAAGGGTGAGCTCAACTGGATCTCCTGCACTCTGCTGGCAGCCAGACTGTCAAGAGGAAGAAAAAGCAGCAACAAACAAGAAAGATGCTCCTTCCTCTGCTACGACCCTTCCATGCCTCTATTAAGAAAGCTTAAAGTTGCAACAACTGGTTGGGCATGGTGGCTCACACTTGTAATTCCAGCACTTTGGGAGTCTGAGGCAGGAGGATCACTTGATCCCAGGAGTTCCAGGCTATAGTGAGCTATGATTGCACCATTGCACTCCAGCCTGGGGGACAGTGAGACCCTGTCTCTAAAGAAAATAAAGAAAAGGAAAATAAAAATTTTACCAACTGACAAAAGAGAGATGTTTTTACAGGGTCCAGCTCAAGTACCACATAGGAGGGTAAGGTGTGGATGTGGAACTGAGAGGCAGTTAATCCACAACTTGCACATTTTATAGAGTACTAGTCATTCTGAGAAGGAATGGGTATACCATTTTGTCTTCCCTATTTTAAGGAAGATAGGTATGTTGAATCCACCATTAAATATATCCCTTATAGAATCTCTTATCTTCTAAAAGAAAGCACTTTAACTATGTAATATGTTCTTGTGTACGTATTTCAGTCTTCAGAGCATTACTGTATATCAGTGAATCCTGGACTACACCTAAAGAATGTATATTGTTTTACAGCTTTTTAGCTTGGTGAGCAGGCTCATCACAGCAAAATAAGGATCTCAGATTATCCTTAGAGCAACCTTACTTACTTGTGTTTTTCTGCTTAGCAGTCTCCACCTCACAGTTTGAAAATAGGAAGTGAAGTTAAATGTTAGATGTGTTTTTTTTTTAAATAAAACTTTACTTTATTGAATGTACTAGCATTTCTTGTCAAACACTAAAAATGTCAGTACCCTGGGGATTGGAAGGGAAGATAAATTTTATTCCTGAGAAGAGTTTTCTCAGTAGGCTTTCTTTTCTTTATTTCCTTTTATTTATTTATTTATTTCTGAGATGGAGTCTTGCTCTGTCGCCCAGGCTGGAGTGCAGTGGCGCGATCTCAGCTCACTGCAAGCTCCGCCTCCTGGGTTCATGCCATTCTCCTGCCTCAGTCTCCTGAGTAGCTGGGACTAAAGATGCCTGCCACCACGCCCGGCTAATTTTTTGTATTTTTAGTAGAGATGGGGTTTCACTGTGTTAGCCAGGATGGTCTCGATCTCCTGACCTCATGATCCACCTGCCTCGGCCTCCCAAAGTGCTGGGATTACAGGTGTGAACCACTGCGCCTGGCCCCTTTTAATTTTTTAATTGTATGATATATACTCTTCCATTCTGTTTTGCAGTAATCTGTACATTATAAGTGAGCAGAAAAATTATACCACTAGAATGATTAAAAACAAATGCTTTCAAGCAATATAATTAAATTTCTTTATGGGACTATAACATGTTTAATCCAAAGGATGAGGCATTGTCTCTAAATATATATATTTTTAAAATACTTTGTGTAATGTTTTTGCCTGTGGCACTTATATAGGATTTATATAAATTAGAGTATTTTAGAGTTTCATATTATATAGTTGCGGCAGAGAAAAGAATGTCTGACGTTGGGCAAGAAAGAGATGATTCTATGGTATTCTAGTGGTGATATTGGGGTAAGGGTGGTTTCAAGGTAACAAAGTAACGATGAATTTTTCTTTTTTCTTTTTCTTTCTTTTTGTTTTTGTTTTTGAGACAGAGTCTCACTCTGTCACCCAGGCTGGAATGCAGTGGTGTAATCTCTGCTAACTGCAACCTCCACCTCCCAGGTTCAAGCGATTCTCATGCCTCAGCCTCCCAAGTAGCTGGGACTACAGGCATGCACCATCACACCTAGCTAATTTTCATATTTTTAGTAGAGATGGGGTTTCACCATGTTGGCCAGGCTGGTCTCAAACTCCTGACCTCAGGTGATCCACCCACCTCGGCCTCCCAAAGTGCTGGGATTACAGGCGTGAGCCACCGTGCCCAGCTGATGAATGTTTCTTTACAAAGAGAATATGCATTTCTTATTTTTATTAGCAGTCTAGAGGGAAGGGGAGTGAGAACTGCTTGGACTGCAGAATGCTCTTACAGACTATTCTAGGCAATAAAGCTTGCTTCGAAAAGCAAGCCAGACATTCTGTAGGCAGCATCCACACGTTTAACTCTGACATTGATTTCTGCAACATCAAGAAGGTGTGTGTTCCCTGGATTTTAGAAATTGAAATACAGCCTGTGAATGTTCTTAACTTCTGTGCTGGCCATGTGGTTTTAGAATGGACATTTAAGTTCCCCACCAAACCACAATCCCATCTGAGTTGGTATTGTGGTTTTCTTCAAACATACAACAGGAAGTAGGGACTAGCATTATGACCATTCAATAACATTAGGATTCTGATCACAAAATAAATACAACAAGGAAGAAGAAAGCAAATTTCCATTGAAGGAGACCACCCAGTGACCATTTCTAATTACAGTGAATCTAAGAAAGAATGAAAAGATGGATGTGTAGATACTGACTGCAAAGTCTGCAGAAGTTGGTTCCCATTGGCCCACTCCATTTCCTCTTCATTTAAGAATTCTGTGAATATTTAAATAATGTAATTAAGGATTTACTGCTCTGCCCTTCTCTTAAGACTTACTCTGCTATTCATAATGAAGGAAAGATAGAAGAAAAATAACTTTATAAATAATTTATTCAGAAACAGAAATTTTGCTTTTTGAAGATTCTGTTAAAAAGTCGATCTTTAGAATTAGCAGTATCTTTCAAATTTAAGATCCCAGCTTACAACAAGCACGTTTTCATTTTGAAGAGTTTTTGGCAGAGAAAAAAGATATGGGAAACAACTGGTATAAGATAGGAGAAAAAGTTAAAATATATTACATTTACAGTAAATAAACCGAACCTTTCTTCTTTCTTGGAGAAGCCTTTTAAAAAATTGCCTAATTCTCAAGTGAGATGGGTGTGGGAATTGGAAATAAGGTACTAACTCCAAAAATGCATATGTTGGTTGGGAATACATCAGTAAAATTTATCCTATGTTAGGACAAAAAAAAAAAAAGTAAGACATAAAGGCTGCCCCATAATTCATGCATATCAACCAATAATAAGAATACCTGCAATCCCTTATTGAACTCTTCCCATTTGTCAGGCATTGGGCTGAGTGCCCTGTGTGCATAGGTAACACCCCAGTGGGTTAGGAATTATTGCCAGGACGCAGGTGAAGAGATGGAGAGAAGTGAACATACATGCCCAAAGTCATATAGTTAGTAAGTGATAGAATCTAGACCTTCGTACCTGCCATGCACACACACATTATTTCAACTGTCCCTCTGTCAAATGAACCATACCTATTTTTTTCTCATATCTCATACCAGTTGAAGCCTTTCCACACCGAGTACAATTTCATGTTGATGCAAAAGATTATGAAAATTCTTGAAATGATTTCAATAATTTATTTTCCTCTGACACAAGGTTCATCTCACACTCCTCCTCCTTCATGCCTTCTCCAGTATTTCCAATGATAGTTTTCTAATTGCAGTTTCCAAGAAATGACATTGATTTGAGTTTATGCATCTGTAAAAGATCCAATCACAGCAGCATATGGAAAACATTATAGTTGACTTATTTATTTATTTATTTATTTATTTATTTATTTATTTCAGATAGAGTCTCGCTCTGTTGCTCAGGCTGGAGTTCAGTGGCATGATGTCGGCTCACTGCAGCCTCTGCCTCCTGGTTTCAAGTGATTCTCGTGCCTCAGCCTCCTGAGTAGCTGGGACTACAGGCGCGCACCACCAGCCCAGCTAATTTTTGTATTTTTAGTAGAGAGGAGGTTTTGCCATGTTGGCCAGGCTGGTCTCAAACTTCTGACCTCAAGTGATCCACTCGCCTCAGGCCCCCAAAGTGCTGGGATTACAGGTTTGAGCCACTGAGTCCAGCCTAAATTGACTTTAATGAAAAGTTTCCATGCTGTTCTTTGCATTAATTCTCCTTTAGCTGTTTGGAGACTTTGCTTAATCTCATGATTTTAGTACATTGTTGAGCTGATTCTTTCCTGAAAGTGCAAAATAATCACTTCCTGTTCAAACTAGATTCCCTTTAAATTACATTAAATAAGAACCTGTTTTTCCTGTGGTAATTTTAAAATTTAAAAATTTCAACTATTTTATATGAAATATGCTCCTTCAAGGAACCAAAAACATTCTTCAGATCAATTTTAGAAATCTTTTCTTTTTTTTTTTTTTTTTTTGAGGCAGAGTTTTACTCTTGTTGCCCAGGCTAGAGTGCAATGGCGCAATCTCGGCTCACTGCAGCCTCTGCCTCCTGGGTTCAAGCGATTGTCCTGCCTCAGCCTCCCGAGTAGCTGAGATTACAGGTGCCCGCCACCATGGCCTAGCTGATTTATTTTTTTATTTTTAGTAGAGACAAGGTTTCACCATGTTGGCCAGGATGGTCTCAATCTCGTGACCTCGTGATCTGCCCTCCTCGGCTTCCCAAAGTGCTGGTGAGCCACCGCGCCCAGCCAATTTTAGAAATCTTAAACATTTAAATCAAAGTTGTAGAAATATGTAACACTATATGAATACTTACTAACAGTTTTTTGGAGTATTTACTATGCTAAGCTCTTGCATGCATTATTTCATTTCATTCTTACCACAATCCTGTGAGGTAAGCACTATCATAGCTCATCAAATCTAAGATGCCTTTGGTTTAAAATATTATGCACCACTAAGAAAAAATGCTGCCAATGGAAACTGTAAGATGCCACCAATTGTAATACAGCCCCAGTGTCAGTGATACCAAAAGAAACATGCATCTTACAATCCATGAATACAACAGCATTATCACTGTTTTACATCTGAAGAAACTGAGACATAGAGAATTCAATAATTGCCAGAGATCATGCAGCAAATAGGAGCAGAGCTGGGATCTGAGTCCTGGTCTGACTAGATAGGTCTTGTGTTTGTAACTGTTGCATTTGTGCTTTCATAAGTGCTTTCATTAAGCGATATGGAGGTATTTAGAAATGAAACTTTACCAGATGTTTTATCTATACTTGACCTATTAAAATCAAGTTGGAATTGCCTTTTCTAAAATTACGCATAATCAGAAATTATAATTGAAGCTCACTTAAGTGGAGTCAAGAACTTGGGGCCAAACATACTATTACAAAAATAGAAAAAGGACATGAAGAGACATTTCACAAAAGGGTAGAGTATTTACTGTTGATAAAGATAAAAATGAATGCAGATACTCACTATTAGTAAGGACTTGGGAAATCAATACTCTCTAAATTTGTTTAAGGAACCTCTAAAATTGAGGCAACATAAGTTGATATATTTCCAAAGTGCAGAATTGCATTATGCGTCAAAATGTGCTTACTTTTGACCTCGGCATTTCACAACTCAGAATATATCCTAAGGTTATGGTCAAACAAGTGCATCTGATGAATGTGCAGAGATGTTCACTTAAGTGTTTTTATTATCATGAAACATTTGAAACAACCTAAATTTTCAACAGTAAAAAACTGGGCAAATAAATGTTGGTATTTTCATTCAATGAAAATTAAGCTAGTATGGAAAACAATTGTCTAGACCCATATTTACTGACATGGAAAAATGTCCATTTTTTTAAATAAAGCACCTTATAGACAATATAGATTTGCTTAATGAAGAACTGCCCTGAGATAATATCCATTAATGTTTATTATTCTCAAAAATCAGAAACAAAAAGGGTAATGAGAATATGTCAGTATTTTTATGCTATCAAGGAGACAGGGATACTCATATTTTTATCCTGGACTCTGGAATTAGTTGCTTCCCTCTCTGATGTCTTCATCTGTAAAATGAGAGTTAAAAAATAGAAAGATTGAAATCTTTCCAGTTTTAGATTTTAAATGCACGTTCACTAAAGTGCAGAATTAAATATGATATGAGAATGTGTTGGATCCTGTCCAAAGTATGCTGGTTAACAGAGAACCAACATGCTAGGGTGTGATCAGTCTGGGACGGTGCTGAGCACTGAGCTGTGAAAGTGTTCTATATGGAACAGACTTTGCGATTCTGTTCTCAGGACACTGTCTAGTAGATAAAATGAGACCAGCAGTGAGACAGTGGGAATTCTTGCTGATGATTGTTTTATGCCATGTAAGTGCAAAACAACAACTTTAACTGCACCAGGATTCAGAATGTGACAAGGTTTTAGGATCTATCAAAATTCTACTGAAACATGTGGCTATGACTAAAACAAATAAGATGCTTCTAAGAACAGATTGTGACTTGTCTATCAGCCCCTTTGAAAACAATGTGCATGCTATTTATTAGGGATTGTAATTACCTCATGGAGTAATGGCATTTGCACAGTTTTTGTCTGCCTCGATAAAAACCCTTGGCTGTGTCTGCTAACTTGGTGAAAAATCGCAGCAACAGAGGCAGCCCAAGGATCTTAAATCATCCTGTGCATACTCTCATTTTGTTTTTCTGCTGTGGCTTTTACCCACTAGAGGGGATAGTGCATTGTCTCCAGGGAATTAGAGACTGTCATATATGCCTTATAGAATACAAAGGAGCTTAAGTAATATACACACATATAAAGTTACATGTACAGTAATTGACATTAGGTGCTCCATTAAACAATGAAATGCCACAGTGTACCAGTTCTTCAGGACATGTTGCCATGGATACCCAGTGTGATGGAGATAGGGAAAGAGTTGCTTAGGAATTCAACGATTTCATTTTGAGGTGGAGTGAAAAATAAACTGCCCAGAGATAGGAACCATGAAACCAGTCATATATACAAGTAGTTGTTTTTGAAATTGTCAAATGAAAACATGTTTGAAAATGAGTACCAATTAATAACAGTTATTTTATATTGTCTGTAAGCCAAAGGGCTAGGCAGGGTTCTTTATTTCAGCTAGGAAATTATGTGGTATATTAGATATTTGCAGAAGAAAGTATTTTAATCAAAGCTGAATAAAATTCAGAAAATCATGTGTAGAAATATAGAAAGATGGCAGTGGAATGGTAGGAGGCAAGTTCTCTAAGGGTCTGCTCAGGTGCACTCAGTGTTGTGAACCTCAGGTTGCCTTGGGGTTGATGACAAAGCAAAGATTTCAGAAAGGAGCAAGTTTTAAGAATAAATGTGATGTGATAGAAGCAGAGGCAAGGTTGGCAGCTAACTGGTTTGGTGTGATTTCATGGTTTGCAACCAGGACTGAGTGTCTGATTCTTTGATTTTCTAGAGACATTCCTAATTTCATCCCTAACTCTCCCCAGATAAATTCTCATCTCTTATCAAAAACAAGGTCCCTGGAATGGAAAGTCAGGGAACTCCCTGAGGAAATGAGTGTTTAGCTGTATTCTCAGTCATGTAGGTTTTGTTGATCATAGATATTTTTGAATTGATGCTTTCTTGTCCCCATCTCTCCTTCCCTTAATTCAAGTCATACTTATCACTCCTTTCAGCCTCTGGTTATTCCCCCTTTCTGATTCATCTGTCATATGGACCTCAAATTTAAAAAGAAGAAAAAACAGATCAGATCATGTCATTTCTGCACAAAAATGGAGAAACTTTTGTTGGTTCTCCATTACCTATAGAAAACTTCTAATCCTTAATATGGCATTTAGTCCCTTTACAAAAGTCACCCTCAACAAAGCTTTCGTCTTCTCCTCCGGCTGACTCCCCACCCCTTGCACCCCATGTAGGCTGTGTATCAGCTTTAAGAGAGGGAAGAATCCTCTCCGAATGAGCAGTGTGCTTTTTCGGACTCCAGCTGAAATGCATTTCTACCCCTTCCCTGCCCCTCAGGCGCTTCTTGTCATTAAAACACCCTTCCTTCAAAGCCCTAGCCCCTCCTTGCCTCCACCCAGGAGAGTTAAAGTTTTTCTCTGTTTTCCACCTCTGCCAAGCATTTGTCTTCAGTTGCTTTTTGTAAGCTTTTCCCCTCCCCTGTCAGATATGTAGTGTGGTGTTAAAGGGATGGGTTCAGTATAGTGTAGTGACTAGGAGTGCAGGCTCAGAAGTGGTTGTTGAATTTGAATCCATCTCAGCTGTACCACTTGTTAGCTTTGTGACCCAGGGCCCATTACACAACCACTAAATCTCTTTCTTCATCTGCAAAATGAAGTTAACCTTGGTAGCTTGTTAAGGGAATTAAAAGAGAACACACAAGAAGTGTTTAGCACAGTGCCTAGCACATAGTATTAAATAAATGTTAGAAATGTATCCTGAGCGTTTCTCTTTTCCACTTCCATGCCCTCAACAGTACTTTACATACAGTAGGTACTCAAAAGTATTTATTGATTTAAAAATGTGGCTCACTCCTACACAGTCCTTCAATGTTTCTCTACTTAAGTTGGTGATAGAGATATATAAAATTTAGGGAGTCATCTTTCTAAATAGTTTCCTAAATTTTACATATTTTAAAATGGGAAGTATGGTGAAGAATGTGTATTTTTATTTAATTCCAAAATTTTAGAAGATAGTTTAGTAGCAAAGCAATGTAAACATCTGAGTCCTTTACCTAAAGAAGCTTGTATCAGTGTTTTTATCCATGGTGATAAAAAGTGTATAAGATCTGAAAGCAGATTGGGTAACACGTAGAGACGATGCACAGTTTGGAAACTACAGTTTCCAAATTAACACTAAGTTCTTGGAAGAAGCTTTCTCACAATAACTGTAACTGAAAGGACCCAGTGAAATGAGAGTAGATGCCAGAGTTTGATTTAGAGAGTGAGAGTCATTCAGGGACTGTGGCATCTGTCATACATTAGAATTTTAAATACAACCATAAATTAAGAGATAGTTGAGAGCATACCTTCAGAGAGTTAAAGAGCATACCTTCAGAGAATATGAAGGTATGCTGTATAACATTATAGTATGTTTAAGTTGAACAGGAACTCACAAGACCAACCTTTCTAATTTTGGCTGTGCTTCAAAATGACGTGGTGGGCTTGTTAAAACACACATAGCCCACAACAAGGACTCTGATTCAGTAGTTCCAGGGTAGATCCGAGGCTCCTGTGTGTGTGTGCATTTTAAATTTTTTTCTTTTAAACATTCATGCGGGCGGATCACGAGGTCAGGAGATTGAGACCATCCTGGCTAACATGGTGAAACCCCATCTCTACTAAAAAAAAAAAATCCAAAAAATTAGCCGGGCATGGTGGTGGGCACCTGTAGTCCCAGCTACTTGGGAGGCTGAGGCAGAAGAATGGCGGGAACCCGGGAGGCGGAGCTTGCAGTGAGCCGAGATCACACCACTGCCCTCCAGCCTGGGTGACAGAGCGATATTCCATCTCAAAAAACAAAAAACAAAAAACAAAAACATTCATGCCTGATGTAGCAGGTCAGTGGACTGGGGTTTGAGAACCACTGATTGACCCTAACCAGAGATTCTCAGTATGGGATTATTTTCTACATCATCTGGTAATCTGCATATTTTAAATACCTCTGGTGGTAGGAATCTTATATTAAGACACCCTCCTTGTTTTCAATAGCTATCTTTTTTTTTTTTTTTGAGACAGAATCTCGCTCTGTCCTCCAGACTGGAGTGCCGTGGCGTGATTTTGGCTTACTGGCTTACTGCAACCTCCAACTCCCAGGTTCAAGCAGTTCTCCAGCTCACCCTCTCTAGTAGCTAGAACCACAGGCGCATGCCACCACTCCTGGCTAAATTGTGTGTGTGTGTGTGTGTCTCTATACATATATATATATATATATATATATATATATATATATTTTTTTTTTTTTTTTTTTGCAGAGACGGGGTTTCGCCATGTTGGCCAGGCTGATCTTAAACTCCTGACCTCAAGTAATCCGCCCGTTTTGTCCTCCTCCCAAAGTGCTGGGATTACAGGCGTGAGCCACTGCCCCCAGCCCATTACTGCTGACTTAGTTGGTCTTAGTTAGAGGTTGCTTTACTTTAACGCTGCCCATTGGTTTTAGTACTGTCCTCTGGAGCTACATACATTGGAACTGATACTTCCTCCATGTGGCAGCCTTCAGATATTTCCAGGCAGCTATGATGCTCTTTTTACTTTTATTTTATTTAGGCTACAGAGCCCTTTCCATCCTTATTATGCTTAATATATGCCAGAACTGTGCTGGAAGTTGGAGACCCACAGGGATCTTACAGTCAAACTGGGAGAAAGAAACTTGTGAATATCTTCAGAACAGAGGAAGTGGTTTAAAGTGTGGATTCGGGCGTCAGACCCATGTTGAAATCCCTAGCTCAGCCACGTGACTAGCTTAGTCCTCAGGCAAGTTCTTTAACATATTTGTGCCTTAGTCTCCTCATTTCTAAAGTGAGGATAACAGGACCTGCCTCAGGACAATGCTTGGCATATAGTAAGTGTTCGATACATTTTGGCTACAAAATATACTAGGGGTTATAATTCTGATAGAAGCAAAGAGGATGTATTACTAATTGGATGGCAAAGTTTATCTGGTCCTGAAATAAAAATATTGAAAAAAAGTTTCCGTATACAAATTAGGCGATTTGTAAACACTTTTACAAGTACATAAAGAGCATTTAATTCTTGTAGAGTTAAATAATTTTATTCAATGTCCTATTCAATACTTCCATTAATAATTTAGGTAGCATCTGATTCACTCTGAGTTCCTGTAACAGTCGGAAGAGTAATTGACATGTTAAAAGGTGCAATAAGAATAAGAACCTGAAAAGATTTCAACAGATTAGAGCAGTGGGTTAACAGACGGAAATGAAAGTCCTGCATGGAGACTCTGGAAAGCTAAGGATTGATAGAGGATGAGGAAGATGTGGCTTAACAGAAGGACATTTTATATTTGGGGCTTATTATGAGTTAAAATGTGATATATTTGCCAGAAAAGTTAATGTGATTTTCAAACTGTGATGGGAAGATTTTAGAATCCTGAATGAAGGAGATCATACCCTATTCTTCTGTGTTTAAAGTTTTAGATCTTTTCCTCCTTTGCTGTTTGGGAAATCAGCCAGCCTCTCTGGGACTAGGTTTCTGCACTTATAAAATGGGGATAATTTCTGCCCAGTTATATTTCTCTGAATTGTAAATGTCAAATATAATGAATGCAGGAGATATCATTATCACTCTAGACAATTTTATCACATTTTTTCATATGCTTCAAAACCCTTTTCCTTGATATGAGTGACAACTTAGTATCACCAGTTTTTATTAACCATGTATAATTTTAATTAACTGAATTTAAATTAACTAAAATCTTAGGGATTGTAGCATATAGATTATTAGACTTGCTTTAAACACTCAGTAGAAATGTGAGCATCTAAGTGGTTGGTAAATAGTGAATTATTTTTCACTGCTTTTTAGTTTAGATATTCATTGACAAACCTGTGTGCTACACTGACCAAGGTGTTGTAGAATAAGTTGTACTGAATACCTTAACAACATCAATGCTAAAATTAGCTGTAACAAAAGCAGCATGTGCCACCTTGTTGAATAGCCTGTGTTCCACTTTTAGGGAAAAAGGATACCCCAGGAATATAGGGAAAGAATAGAGTGGCAGTTTCTTTTTACAGCATTTGCTGATGGCACGGAGGAATGTGATTTTTGGGGTGTGGGGCTCCTTTTTCCTGTTCGTTCATGTTTCTTTCCCTCTTTTTGACTTAGTCACTGTCATAACAGAAAATGCATAATATGGAGATCAAGAGCCTGCAGATTACAACTCTAATTATGTTTTAAACCCAAACATGAAAATTAGAATTCTTTTACACACAATCTGACAGTTTTCCATCAGCTTTAAATTGGCATTTTGGATTGTGTTCTCTGCAGTGCCTGAAGAGCCTCGACAGAGAAGGAAAGAAGCAGAGGGTGAGAAAGAAAGGAAGATTCTAAATGACAATCTTTTGAATAGTGCAAGTTCAATCCCTAAAACAAAAAGCAAGATCTTTTTTCCCCTAAATAATGTGCTCTCCGGCTTCACCTCTCATCCTGAGGAACATGAAAGAGAACGTAAAAGAGGTGACCCAAATCACAGAGTGCCTTTGATAGGAGAAATTCAGCTGTTTTGAACACTCACAATCAAAGGAAGTGGTTTCCCTAATTACATGAACTATGTGAAATCTCTCAGAATAGCTCTTCCACCCCAGGATTCCTTGCACTTTAGAAGTTTGCATAAAAGCTCACATAGAGAATCAGATGCAAAGTGTTTGATTCAGATTTTATTAGGCAGAAGAGTGCCCACATCCATCCTGCAGTTTGCCAGCTGCTTAGGTTAGGACCACTATACCTGGTTTTGATGTGGTTGTCTTTCAAACCTGCAACATTAAGATCTTTGTTCTATCCTTTTCTTGCAAGAAGCACCACTTTTTAGGGAGAGTAGCGATGAAAATTTTTGGAAGATTGGTCTTCTCAATTTCTCTCCTGACCTAAAAAGGATTGATGGCTGTGTTTGTGAACTTTACGTGGGAAAACATGCTTTCCTGTGTGTTTGTAGCTGGCGAGTGTTAAAGCGTTAGATTTGATTAAGCTCTTTAATCTGTTTAAAAATGGTTAAATGTCACAATGACTTACCTTAAAATTTATATATGCAAAATTCCCCATTTACTGTCAGGATCTAGACTAGGAATCTGCCAAAACACCTGGACTAAAGAATAATAGTGATTATGGCTTATTAGATCTTTTGTGCCTTGGTAGTCACCTTGTTACTGAGAGATACGGTGTAGTGTAGATGTGTACAGAAGAGAATTATAAATACCCTATGTTCTCTGTTTGGGAAGGCAAGTATAAGTATGAATGCAGAAGACAGAAGCATCCATTTTAATTTAAATGTCAGCTTGAGAAGATTTTTTTTTTTCTGGTTGAGTAATTTTAAAGTAAGAGAAATTGTCTAGTATGTAATTACATATGAGTAAGAAGTGTGCATGTTTTATTTTGTCTCTTTTCTCTCCCTCTCTTTTTTTCCTTTTTCCTGTGAATAGGTATGTTGCTCTTATTGTAGTTTATAAAATATTCTTTTGAGAATCTGTGTGTCCCAAAAAAGAAAAGGGAATCTATGAGCAGAAATGGAAGGAAATTTTATTTTTACAGTTTTTAAAGTACTGGCTTTAATTGTAACCCACATAAAATTTCCTAATACTAGTGCTGTTGACACGTGGGCATCAACATTTAAGTAACAGAAAGTAAAAGTGATCCTCAACCATACAAGCCACAAAAATCTACTTGAACAATTACCTAGCAATTTCTTTCTACTTTAACCATCCTCATTTATTCCAGGTAAGTAGCTTATTTGAAAAGACACGTAGATTAATAAATATTTGTGATTTTTTGTTCTTTTTTGAGACAGGATCTTGCTGTGTCGCCTAGACTGGAGTGTGCAGTGGCGTGATCTCGGCTCACTGCAACCTCCGCCTCACAGGTTCAAGCAATTCTCCTGCCTCAGCTTCCCAAGTAGCTGGGACTACAGGCGCCCGCCACCCAACCCAGCTAATTTTTTTTGTATTTTCAGTAGAGACGGGGTTTCATTATGTTAGCCAAAGTGATCTTGAATTCCTGACCTCGTGTTTCGCCCGCCTCGGCCTCCCAAAGTGCTGGGATTATAGGCGTGAGCTACCGTGCCTGGCAAATACTTGTGATTTTAAAGGGATGTTTAAAATCTGAAAGTGTCCATGATTATGAAATATGCACTTTTTCTATTTTGTGTGTTTTGAACTCCTAATTATGGATGTGTTAAGGTTTGGATATTTTGTACACAGTCATAGCATTGTAATATGGGGAAGATTTGAAAGATGATGAAGGATTGACACTGTAGTGTAGGTTTTTTGCTTAACAGGTGGGTTTTCACATAATTGTGAAAAGTTCTGTTCTCTTAGAAATCGAATACAATACACAAACTGAAATTTTAATAGCTATTTTAGTCCAACAGCCCCAAGCCCTCATTTTAACAATCAGTAATTTGAAGTTCAGATAGGTGATGTTCAGTAGCAACAGATTCAGTCCAAGGGCCCAGGTCTTTGGTTTGCTGGTTTGGAGCTCTTACACCCTGTTAGGTTCCCTCTGTGTCTGTTGCTTTTTAAATGATACTCAACTGCCTACTGGATGCTTGTGACAAGAGAGAAGGTTTGATATTCCTGAATGATAGCCACTTATTTGATAACACTTTAACATTAGCACCAAAAGGTCATTTTGTTTTCCTTCTTCATCTGGTACTTCTATCAGCTAGGGCCATAGTACCACATGAATTGCTGTTCTAGATCAAGATTGTAGCTAAGTCATTTCAGACACTGCGAATTCTGTATCTGTTTTTAAAAGTCCACAGGCTGTCTGGAAGTGGGTTCAATCATACTCACCATTCAGAAGTTCTGCTTAATGGCTGGCTTAAGTAACTTTTGTTAACGTTTGAACTTGGTATCCTCAAATGATAGTATATAATATTACTCAGTGCTTTGCCATTTGTAAAGCACTGTTACTTACATTATTTCCTTGCAAATGATGAAGCAAGTGTGTATGATTCCCAGAAGCACACTGGAGAAGTACAGTGCTTAATCTGAGGTTTTTCTGGCTTTGGACCCAGTGTGTGCTCTACTCATAATAGAATCTCAGCTTTGGAAAGGACTTTAATTGACCATATTTCCGATGCCTTAATGTCCTCCGAAACATTACTGCCACAAATGGGCATTTACCTCCTGTTTGAATTCTGATTGCTTATGAAGGAGAACTCAGTAGCCTCCTGGGCCAGTCCCTTTTATCTTTGGGAAACTGACTATTAGAAAGTTCTTCTCTGAGTTATTCTGAGTCTATACCATATGCTGTCTAACAGTGCTTGTTTGGACCAAGGATAAAAGGATCAATGTAATGCTGTAATATGATTTTAAAAACAACATTAAAATTATACTCTTCAGAAAACTCTTACAAAATGACATTTATTAGGTGCCTACTTTCCCCCTGATTGTTATCTTACTTATAAGTAAAATAACTTCATTTATTTTAGCTTTTTAGTTTTCTGTGAATTTTTAAGTTCTTTTTCTTGCTTGGTGGAATCTCTTCCAAAAATAAAAAATGACCAGTGCTTACTTAAGTAAAGGAACCAATATGGATATAGTTAGTAAACGAAAAGTAGATTCCTAAATATTTTATTTTACACACTCAGTATCATGTTTCTTTTTAAAGTTTCTATTCATAGCCATTTGTTTACTGTGACCCTGCTATACTTACACCCACATATTTCCATGTTATATTTACTTCCTAGATTTTAAATTTTTATGTTAAAAAAGTAATACATGTTCAGTGTAAAACAAGAAATTTCAGCAGTATGCAAAGTAAAAAAGCAGTTTTCCTTCCCTGCAATCCTATACTTAATTTTATTTATTTATTTATTTATTTATTAGATGGAGTTTCACTCTTGTTGCCCAGGCAGGAGTGCAATGGCGCAATCTCAGCTCACTGCAACCTCCGCCTCCCGGGTTCAAGCGATTCCCCTGCCTCAGCCTCCCGAGTAGCTGGAATTACAGGCGCGTGCCACCATGCCTAGCTAATTTTTGTATTTTTAGTAGAGATGGGATTTTGCCATGTTGGCCAGGCTGGTCTCAAACTCATGACCTCGTGATCCACCCACCTCAGCCTCCCAAAGTGCTGGGATTACAGGCATGAGCCACCACGCCCAGCCACAATCCTATACTTTAAAATCATTAGTTTGTGAGTAACTTTCCAGATTTTTTTTTTGAGATGGAGTTTCACTCTTGTTGTCCAGGCTGGTATGCAGGGGCACAATCTCAGCTCACCGCAACCTCTCTGCCTCCTGAATTCAAGTGATTCTTCTGCCTCAGCCTCCCAAGTAGCTGGGATTAGAGGCATGCACCACCACACCCGGCTAATTTTGAATTTTTAGTAGAGATGGGGTTTCTCTATTTTGGTCAGGTTGTTCTCGAACTCCCAACCTCAGGTGATCCACCCGCTTTGGCCTCCCAAAGTGCTGGGATTACAGGTGTGAGCCACTGCATCCAGCCCAGATGTATTTTTTTCTCTGTATTTATAACTATCGCTAATACTATTCCCCCCATAAAAATGGATCATGTGAAGAGGGTGGCATGAGGGAACCTTGTGATGAAATTTTCCTGTATCTTGACTGTGGTAGGAATCACTTGAATGTACGTGTATGACAAAATTATGCGGAACTAAACATATACACACACACACACGAGTGCATATAAAACTGGTGAAATCTGAATAAAGTTGGTGGATTGTGTAAATGTCGATTTCTATTGGGAGAAACTGGTTGAAAAATATATAGGTTCTCTCTGTATTATTTCTTATAATTGCATGTGTATCTATAATTATCTCAAAGTAAAAACTTAAAAAAACTAGATTATGATATTTTATATGTATATATATCATAAAAACGTGTCCCAATGTGTAAGTTGTAAATCACCTCGCAACTTACTTTTTGAACTTAGTATACTGAGGCACTTTTTTATGTGACTACACGTAGAGCTACCACATTCCTTTTAATAACTTTTTTATTTTGTATTTAAATAATATTTGTTTACTTCACATTTACTTTTTATACTAAATTCTCGTGTAGTATTATTAGAAAAACTAGACATGTGAAGTAAAACATATTAGACATGTGAAGTTGTAATTAGCAGACAAAAGACTACAAAGCAGCTTTTATAAACATGTTCAAGAACTTAAAGGAAACCATGGTTAGAATGAGAGAGCAGAATCAGTAATTCAGCAGGAAGATGGAAACTAAAAATTCTAGAACTGTAAAACTACAGTCTCTTTAAATGTAAATTGTACTGATGGGGCTTAACAGCAGATTGAGGAAGGCAAAAGAAAAGGTCAGTATATGTGAAGACAGATTAATATAATTTATCAAATCTCAAGACCAAACAAAAAAAATTTTAAAAATTGAGCAGTTACACATGAGACAATGTCAATCTAATATACATTAATGGAATCACAGAAAGAAAGGAGAGAGAGAGAGGGGATGGATAGAAAAATATGTGAAGAAATGATGACTTCAAGTGCCCCAACTTTGATGAAAACCATACACTTACAGTTCCAGCAAGCTCAGAAAACCCCAAGCAGGATAAATTAAAAATGAAAACCAGAAACACCACACTCAGTCACATCATAGTTAAACTGCTAAAAATCATTGATGAAAAGAGAAATGTCAAAAACAGCCAGAAAAAAAAGACACATTACATAAAGGAAGCAATACCAGTTACTTCTCACTAGAAACAATGGAGGCCAAATGACAGTGGAATGACCTGTAATATGCCAAAAGAAAAAAGATAACTGCCATTTTAGAGATCAATACCCACTTAAAATAGTCTTCAAAACTGAAGATGAAATAGACATTTTTAGATAAATGAAAGCTGAGATAATTTATTGCCAGCAGATTTAGTTATGGTTAATATTAGGGTAAATACAAATGATCATTTTAAAAATTCTTTTAATTTCTTCAAAAGACAACAGCTAAAAGGAAAGTTGCAGTGTTATATTATGGGTTGTATAATGTATGTACGTTAAAATATATAACACATGGCTGGGCGTAGTGGCTCACGCCTATATCCCAGCACTTTGGGAGGCCGAGGCGGGTGGATCATGAGGTCAGGAGATCGAGACCATCCTGGCTAACATGGTAAAACCCTGACTCTACTAAAAATACCAAAAATAAGCCCGGCGTGGTGGTGGGTGCCTGTAGTCCCACCTACCCAAGAAGCTGAGGCAGGAGAATGGCATGAACCCAGGAGGTGGAGGTTGCAGTGAGCTGAGATCGTGCCACTGCACTCCAGCCTGGGCAACAGAGCGAGACTCCGTCTCAAAAAAAAAAAAAAAGTAGTATATATATATCACAATGACACAAAGGATGGGGAAGTGAGCAAGCATCTTACATTTTATGTGTAGCACAAAATTAAATCTAAGTAGACTGTGGCAAAAATATATGTTGAATTCTTAGAGCAACCACTACCTACCCCCACAAAAAAACAAAACAAAAGAGGTATAGCTAAAAAGCCAATGAATGAATGAAAATGATATACTAAGAAAAAAATTGTTAAAACAAAGACAGGAAAGGAAAAACAGGGGAACAAAAAACAAATAGAACGAATTTTTAAAAACCAAGATAGTAAACTTAAGCCCAGTAATATACATAATTACATTAAGTATAAATGAATTAAGCACCCCAATTAAATGGCAGAGATTGCTAGGCTGGATGAAAAAGCAAGATCCAGCCAGGCACAGTGGCTCACACCTCTAATCCCAGCAATTTGGGAGGCCAGGGCAGGAGGATCACTTGAGCCCAGGAGTTCAAGGCTGCAGTGAGCTGTGATCACACCATCGCACTCCAGCCTGGACAGCAGAGCTAGAACCTGTCTCAAAAAGAAACAAACAAAAAACAAAAAAATAAAACAAGACCCAACTATATGCTATCTACAAGAGGTGTATTTTAAATATAAGACACAGATCTGTTGAAAGTAAAAACATGAAATGGGAAAAGAGGGGTATGCAAATAGAAAGCATAATAAAGGTGTAGTGGCTCTATTAATATCAGACACAGTATGGACTTCAGGAACCAAAAGTATTACTAAAGATAAAATGATTTAATAATGATGATTTAAAAAGTCAGTTTCTTAAAAGATATAACAATCATAAATGAATATTTATCCTAATAACAGAGCTTCAAAATACATGAAGCAAAACTGATAGAACTAGAAAAAGAAATAGACAAATTCACAATTACATTTGTAAATTTTAAATATCCCCCCCTAAGCAACTGAGACATTATACTTAACAACTACAAAATATACATTATCTTCAGGTGCACATGGAGTGTTCTCCAGGATAGATCATAAAATAAGTTTTTATAATTTTCAGTCTTTTAAAGGGATCTGCCAAAAAACCTACACCTAACATTTTAACTCAACGGGGAAATATTGAATGTTTTTCTCCCTAAGATTAGGAGTAAGACAAGGATATCTGCTCTCATGATTTCTGTTCACTGTTCTGTAGAGATCCTGGTCAGTGCAGTAAGACAAGAGAAAGAAACAAAAGGCATTAAGATTGGAGAGGAAGAAGTAAAACTGTCTTTATTTGCAGATTAAATGATTGTTTACATAAAAAATTTTTTAAAAATCTACAAAACAAATACTAGGACTGATCAATTTATTTAACAAAGTTACAGGAAACAAGTTTATTATATTTCTATATACTAGCAGCAAAGATTTTAAAGACAATGTAAAAAAAAATTATTTACATTAGCATTAAACACAAAAAATACATTGAAATAAATTCATCAAAAGACATACAAAACCTCTATGCTGGAAACTACAAGACATTTCTGAGAGAAACTTTAAAAGACCTAAATTATAGGCATGTATAATCATGCCTATAATCCCACCACTTAGGGAGGCCAAGGCAGGCAGATCACACGAGCCCGGGTATTCAAGACCAGCCTGTGCAACATGGTGAAACCCTGTCTCTACAAAAAAAATAAAAATAAAGAAAGGAAAAGAAAATAAAAGAAAGAAAGAAGGCCGGGTGTGGTGGCTCACGCCTGTAATCCCAGCACTTTGGGAGGCCAAGGTGGGCAGATCACAAGGTCACGAGATCAAGACCATCCAGGCTAACACAGTGAAACCCCATCTCTACTAAAAATACAAAAAATTAGCCGGGCGTGGTGGTGGGCACCTGTAGTCCCAGCTACTTGGGAGGCTGAGGCAGGAGAATGGTGTGAACCTGGGAGGCGGAGCTTGCAGTGAGCCGAGGTCACGCCACTGCACTCCAGCCTGGGCAACAGAGGGAGACTCCGTCTCAAAAAAAAAAAAAAAAAAAAAAAGAAAAGAAAGAAAGAAGAGAAGAGAAAAGAAAAAAAAGAGAAAAGAAAAGAAATACAAAAAGTAGCTGGGAGTGGGGGGGCATGCACCTGTAATCACAGCTACTGGGGAGGCTGAGGTGGGAAGATTCATTGAGCCTGGGAGTTCAAAGCTACAGTGAGCCATGATCTCGCCACTGCACTCTGGCTTGGGTGACAGAGCAAGACCCTATCTCAAACAAAAAAGACCTAAATAAGTGGAGAGACATGCGTTTTCCATAAGTCCAGTTGTAAGACTCAGTATTAAAATGTTACTTTCCTCCAAAAATTGATTTGTAGAAAAATCAAATTGGAGGATTCACATTACCTGATTTCAAGACTTAATCCAAAGCTCTGGTAATTAAAACAGTATAGTATTGGTATAAAGACAAAAATATAGATGCAACAGAATTTCATATTTAGACCCAGACATATTATAATCCATTGAGTTTTAACAAACATGCCAATGTAATTAAATGCAGAAAAGAAAAATCTTTTTAATAAATAGTGCTGGAGGAGTAGGATATGCATATGAAAAAAAGGGAACCTTGACTTCTTTATACCAAATGCAAAAATTAATTCAAGATCCAGGGTAAACCTAAATGTAAAAGCGAAAACTATAGTACTTCTATAAGAAAGCAAAGGTAATCTCTTGTGACCTTTGATAGCCAGATATTCCTTAGACAAACCATAACAGGTACTAAAAATAAAATTCCAGCCTGGGTGACAGAGCAAGACTCCGTCTCAAAAAAAAAGAAAAAAAAATTGGTAACTAGAGCTTCATCAAATCCAAACTCTGTGCTTACATAAAGAAATTGTTTGAAAAACAAAGATGCAATCTACTGACTGGGAGAGCATGTTTATAATGAGATATATCTGTCAAAGCACTTGCTTTCAGAATATTTAAAGAACTCCTGCAAGTCAATATTAAAAAGATAACGATTTTCAAAAATAGGTAGAGGATTAGAATAGTCATCTCACAAAAAGTTATATGAATAATCAATAAGCATGTGTGAAAGTGTTCAATGACAGTGGTTAAGGATATCAAATGAAAACCACAGTGAGACCCATTTCACCCAGACTAGAAAGGCTAAAATTTAAAAAACCCAAAACACCCAGTGTTGGTGAGAATGTGAGTCAGCACATTCTCATATGTTTTTGGGGGGAGTGTGAAATGGTATCACCTCTTTGGGATGCTCTTTGCTGTTTCTTCAAAAATTAAACACCTACCCTATGAGTCATCAATTCAACTTATAGGTGTTTACCCAATAGAATGAAAACATATATCCAAAAAAGACTAGTATAAGAATATTTGTAGCAGCTGTTTATAATAGCCAACAATTGAGAACAACTCAAATATTAACAGGAAAATAGATAAAGACTGTTGATAAAATGGAATACTAATTAGCAATAAAAAGAATGAACTACTGATATATATATATATCTCAAAAACAAAATGTTGAGCAAAAAAGACTACATCATGATTCCACTCACGTGAAGTTCAATAAAAGGCAAAATTATCTCTGATGGTGAAAGCAGAACAGAGCCCATGAGGGTTGGGTACTGAAGGGTAGACACATGGAAAGATGGAAACATTCTGTATCTTGATTAAGGTCATACATAGGTGCATATATTTTCAAGACTCTACCTTATTCACTTAAGGTCTGTGTATTTTATTATACATAAATTTTACCTCAGTTAGAAGAAACAAAAAAGTTTCAGGTTTTTGTTGTTTTTTTTTTTAAGGCAAAGGAACAAGCCAGTCAAGTCTGTTGCCTTTTAGAGGGATTCTCCAGAAGCGCCAATCAATAACCAAATGTGTGTGTTTGTATACATGCATACATGCACATATACAGTGTACATGCACACTATTTTATTCATATATGTAATACTGAAGGTGAATTGAAGTGTAATTCATATACCTTGTAATTCATCCATGTAACATGTACAATTAAGTGTTTTATAATATATTCACGGTTATGAAATCATCACCACAATCACTTTTAGAATATTTTTATCACCTCCAAAAGAAATCCATATTCATCAAGCATCATTTCCCAGTTCTCCTCAAGTCCCCAACCCAAGACACCCACTCGTCTACTTTCTGTCTCCAGAGATCTGCCTATTCTGGACATTTCATATAAATAGAATTTAAAACCATGTGGTCTTTGTATACAAGATTTTTGTGGACGTGTATTCTCAATTCTCTTGAGTATATATACCTAAGAGTAGAAGTGATGAGTCACATGGTAACTCTTTAATTCTTTAAGTAACTGTCAGAGGGTTTTCCACAGCAGCTGTTACATTTTACACTCCTCCCAGAAGGGTATGTGGGTTCTAACTTCTCTACACCCTTGCCAACACTTGTTATTCTCTGTCTTTTTAATTATAACCATCCTAGTGGGTGTGAAGTGGTTTCTAGTTCTGGTTTTGATTTGCATTTCCCTAATGAATAATGACGGTCAGCATCTTTCCTTATACTTAGTGGCCATTTGTAGATATCTTCTTTGGATACTTATTTGAATTCTTGGCCTATTTTTAATTCAATTATTTATCTTTTTGTTATTGAGTTGTAAGAATTTGTATATATTCCACATACTAGTCCCTTATCAGGTGTGTGATTTATGAATATTTATTGCCCTATTCTGTGGGTTGTCTTTTCACTTTCTTGATAATATCTATTGAAGTACTAACGTTCTTCATTTTGGGGGCATTCAGTTTAACTTTCGTTGCTTGTGCTTTTGTTGTCATATCTAAGAGGGCTTTGCCTAAGGTCATGAAGATTTACTTCTAAATTTCTTTTAAGAGTTTTATAGTTTTAGCTCATACATTCATGTGTGTGATTCATTTTTTGTCTGTTTTGAGGAAGGGATCTAACTTTATTTTTTTGTATGTAGATAATAACTTCTTACATCTTATTAGCCAGGATATGTCATATGGCCACATTTAGCTTCAAGTGGGGTTGGGAAATGAAATTTTGGGGGTGCATATTGCTATTCTAAACAAAATAGAATGCAACCAGCAGCATCTGCCACAGTGTATACTGTTTTTAATTTTGACTCAAAATAGTATACCAACAAACTCCAGCCTTTTTTTTCTTTTTTTGAGACGGAGTCTCACTCTGTTGCCAGGCTGGAGTGCAGTGGCACGATCTCGGCTCACTGCAACCTCCGCCTCCCGGGTTCAAGTGATTCTCCTGCCTCGGCCTCCTGAGTAGCTGGGACTACAGGCGCCTGCCACCACGCCCGGCTAATTTTTGTATTTTTAGTAGAGACAGGGTTTCACCATGTTGGCCAGGATGGTCTTGATTTCTTGATCTCGTGATCCACCCACCTCAGCCTCCCAAAGTGCTGGGATTACAGGCATGAGCCACCGTGCCCGGCCACTCCAGCCTTTTTAAAATATGAATTTGGCCAAGAAGCATTGTCTGTAACTGGCCCCAAAAAGGATTTTTAAAAAAGTTGTCTGATTTTGTTTGTTAATATGCTTATATCCTGACCTCTCTGAAAATCTGACTTTGACCGAGAAGCATTATCCATAAGTGGCCTCACAGAAAGACTCAAAAATAAATTTTCTGGATTTTTGTTAGTATGGTTTTTCTGAAGTTAATCCTACAAGATGGAAGGAATACACTGTTTCTTATGCCTCTACCCAACTCTCTGCCCCTTTATCCTCCCCTGTCCCCCCTCACACCAGTTCTCGTCTGTCTTTGTTGGCTAACATTACATAATTTTAATGGGTTTAACAAACATACCCTTAAGTGGACATGTTTTTGGCCTCTGTACTGAAATCTCTTAGTATTCTCCCTTGCTCTTGGGTTAGAAAACCTTCTTGTTACCACTTTCTGGTAAAATTTTATGCTATGAGAGGTAGGCTGTTTCATGGCTTTCAGTCTAGGTTAAGTGCCAGAACATGTTCTTTATTTTACTATTCGAAAGGGACTTGGAATTTATTCCACTATCTCCTGATATCCTTAGGATGAGTGGTGTGAGTAGAATGGGTCCTGGTCATGCTTTATAGAATTGGCCCTTGAGCAGACCTTCATAAACACCTTGCTAAATCTAGGACAGCAGGAAAGACAAGAAAGGGGCAGAGTTAACCAGCTGGTCCACTGAGGGATAAAGAAAAGCATCCCTTCCCTGCCTCCTTCCACCCCAGGTCGCTCCAACCTCCTGACGATGCCTGGAAGCGGTGTGCAGATTGTTTAACAGGAAATGTGTGGGTATTTGTTATTTTGCTGATCTCTATGGAATGTCCCTTACTGAATTTCATGGTTTGCCAAATTTGGCAGAGTTCTTCACTTCTTTGACTGTATAGCTCTGAGGTGTGAGATTGATGTTCGATGATGAAGGGAAACCTAAGTGGGTCCTGAGGTTCCATTAATACCTCTGCCTTCACTCTGCCTCTTCTTCTGTTTCCTGCTCTCCCAGATTGAGCCAGGTGTTTACAAAAATCTGGTCAAGGGCTGATTCTATAAAGCTGACTTCCTACACTGAAAATAAAATCTGTGGTCATAGAAGGAATTTTGAACCCCAGACATCTGTTGTAGACGTATAGAATTGATCACAATGTAGGATAGGTAGAAATATTTATAATGATAGTGCTGAAATCAATATTTGGAGCTTAATATGTGACAGGCAGTTTTCCTGGTGCTTTACATGGATGTACTCATTTAATGCATAAGAATAGTAAAGTGTATTCTCATGGTACTTTTCACTGTACAAAGTGTTCTTGTATTTATTTGATTCTTATAAAAACCCTGTGAATATGAGACCAGAGTAGACTAAAGAGACATGACAACTAAATGCAGTGTGGCACCTTGGGTTGGATCCTGAAATGCAGAGAGGACATTAGTGGAGAAAATGGTGAAATCCAAAGTCTGGAGCTTAGTTAATAGTAATGTACTATATATAGTAACATAAGATGTTAACAATGGGTGAGGGGTATATGGGAACACTCCTATATTTTTCTCTGAATCTAAAATTACTCCAAAATAAAAAAGTTTATTTTTTTTTAAAAAAAACCCTTATGATCTAGTCAATGCAAGTCTCATTATCCTCATTCCCCAGATTTGTACTGTTTGGAAAGGCTGAGAACCTTGCTCAATAGCACAGGGGGGAGGTGGTAAAAGACCAGGACCTAAACTGGAGTCCTTGCATTCTTACCTGAGTGCTGAGTACTGAGGAGTACTGCCTTAGGAAGAATGCACTGCTTTCTGCCTACGTCATCTCCGCGCATCCTCCCCACAGCCTTTCGAGGGTTGAGAGGTGATACTTTCATTTTACAGTTAAGAGATCATTGCCATTCATTCTCACTACTGGACAAATAACTCAAAAATATGTTTCCTGTTGACTTCAAGTGACTATTGACTTCCATATTTGAATGGAGAATACAGTACATATTTTGGGGCCCATTTGATTAAACCAGTCCAACTGTTGAAATCTCATTTAGGGAGTGTATAGAGATGATATGATGAATGATGGCTAATGCCCAAAGGCAGTAGTTTTGAAAAAGAATAGTAGTGTAGTGGTGTCTTCTGTGATCTCTGACACAGAAATCTGTGAATGGACAGAAAATAGAAACACAAGAATTGCCCCCATCAAATTCAGATTTGTTCTGCAAATGTGGTGATTGTGAGTCTAAAGATGGTACGCCAGATTCCATATCCTGTAAGTGGAAAAGAGAAGTGATGTTCAATTTCTGTCAACATGGCAATTTATTTTTTAAAATAGCAGGGTGACTTAAGAGATTTATTTGGAAGCTTGCAGAACAAGGCTTACTAACAGCTTGTGGTCATCTCAGTATATCTTGGTCTTTGGATTTAGATTCTTTTGCCAGTTGTGGCCTGACCTGACTATGCAGGATGACATGTGTTCTAACACTTTTCCAACGCTCTATTCTCTAGATTCTCTTTGATTTGTGGTCAGTGTCCTACACAGGGTTGTTTCAGCCTCTTCTCTCATAAAAGAGAGAGTGCTATTGCTGTCAGTCTGTGGATCTGTTTTCCAGCAATTGATTGTTCAGGCTGATGTTCTGTGTATCCGAGTTCAGTTCTGCATATCCTTAAAAAAATTTTTTTTCTTTGAGACAAAGTCTTGTCCTGTCACCCAGGCTGGAGTGCAATGGGTGATCTCGGCTCACTGCAACCTCTGCCTCCCGGGTTCGAGCAATTCTCCTGCTTCAGCCTCCTGGGTAGCTGGGATTACAGGCACACACCACCATACCTGGCTAATTTTCATATCTTTAGCAGAGACGGGGTTTCACCGTGTTGGTCAGGCTGGTCTTGAACTCGACCTTGTGATCCGCCCGCCTTGACCTCCCAAAGTGCTGAGATTACAGGCGTGAGCCACCACACCCGGCCAAAAAAAATTGTTTTAATGTAGGTACAATTTCTAGCAGCTAACATTTATTGAGGAAAACCATGCGCCTAGCATGTACTTTACATGGGAGTTTGGTCCTTGTAACTGTGTTAAGTGGATACTGGTTTTATTTTACATATAAAGAACACACTTAATTGAGAGACCTGGAAGACCACACAGCTCATACATGATAGAGCTGAAATTTAGCTCCAGGGTTTTCAGACTCCAAGGCAACTAGGCTACAGTTTAGCTTGCCACAGAACCACTCACTTGTTATTAGACAATAACAAGTGTTGGCAAGGGTGTAGAGAAGTTAGAACCCACAAACCCTTCTGAGGGGAATGTAAAATGAAACAGCTGTTGTGGAAAACCCTCTGACAGTTACTCAGAGAATCCTGGCTACATATTAGACTCACCTTGGAAGCTGGGAAGCTTCTAAGAAGCACCCATGCCTGAGCCCCACCCTATACCAGTTAAATTAGATTTAAGTCAGAATGTTAGACTTGAAGAGACTAGATCATTCCATCTGTCCCTTTTACTTCCACATTTTGACATTTTATCAATAGATAAGCTGACGCCCCAAGTCACACAGTCATTCAGTATCAGAAGCCAGCCTAGAATGCAGGTGTCTTGATTGTGATCTTAAAGTTGCTTCCATACTCAGATCAACTACTACTAAATATGTTAGAACATTTACTGTATACAAAGGCCTAGGCATATGTCTAGTAATAGGTGTTTATTTATATGTAACATTATCGAAATGTGCAGGCATGTACATCTATGTGATTTTGAGAATTTATATTCCTATGTCATGATTGAATTCATAGGCTTTGCAGCCAGATTGCCTCGTTTGAATTTTGGCTTCACTGCTTCTCAGCTATATAACCAAGTTACTTAACCTCTCTGTTCCTTACTTTCTTAGTGACACACTGGAATAACAGTATTTCTGCTATGGACTAAATGAGTTAATGTATGTAAAGTGATGAGCCAGTGTTGAGACACAGGAAATGCTCCATAGGTGTCAGCTATTGTAATGTATGAGTCAGATTGTACTCAGCTTACAACTTCTGAAACTCCACAGTTATTACATTCATTCATTGCAAAAGAATTATAATAAACTATGTGGTCTGCCTCATCTGTCTCAAATTTTATATACCTTTCTATAGGCTCTTAACAGGGTCTATACTCTCATGCTTCATAGCCCATGATTTTTTATCTCCTGGAAAACATGTTGATGTTCTAATTTATTTTCTTCATCTCTGGGCTCACTGTTGGACCACTACATCTCAGCTCAGTTCAGCAATGACCTTCTGTGTATTTTGTTAATAAATGTCTCAGGCTGCCAGAATGTTGCTCTGATGTAGATTGGTATATTGCATCAGTCATCACCAGGTTTATATTTGTTTACATGCAGAACGATTCTTGTCTCTTGAAGGTCATATTTAGCTGATAAGCAGTATTCAGAAAATCTCGGATTATTTTGTCTGGGACTTTTAGTGATGATTATAGGCTGTTACATGGGAAGAGTTCTACCTGGAGAACTCAGAATACAGATTGAAGCCTGTTGTCTCTGATCTCCCCTAGGTTCTAAGCTTTGTTGCATGAAATGTATTTGTTACACAAACACTGCTTCAGTCAACAGGCATGGAAGAATGGACCAGTTACAGTGTTGTTAATTACCACTTATCGAATGCTCTTAAAGGAGCCCTTTTAAAAAAACCTTTCTGCTCAAAGATAGTAAGGTGTTAAGTAGAGTGACAGTCAGATTAAGGACACCCCGCTGAATCTTCAAGCAAAGAGAAAAACTAGAATTTGGGGTGAGACGGTATTTAGAAATAAGGAGATAAAAATCTGAGCTGAAATAGATACAGCAAGCAAGATCAAGACTTGCACCACAAGTTACGTAGGTCAACTCTAGTAATTTGACATAGTAGAAGTAGAATAGGCTATTTTGAAAAATAGTTTCCTACTTTAGGAGATTTGAGGCTCCCAAGAATATAGTGAAGGCACACTCTAGGGAATGCTGGTAGCTGCCCAAACAGGTCCCTGTTGAAGTGGCTTCTGATTTATGCATTTGGAAATTTAATCTTAAGAGTTCAGAGTTGAATGGACTCTCAGGGATGCTAAATCACATATAATTTGATTGAGACTAAATAATTAAACCATATTGCTAATCTCTAAGTTTTCTATTTTTAGATAAGGTGTATGGGAAACAAACTTATAAAAGATTGCTTTATGAATGTGAATTCAGAGCAAGAGCAGTTAGTAATAGGATTTGAATATGTTCTGATACCACATTCAGCTGATAATCGATTTACCTACCCTTCAACAGGAGGCCCACCTTACTGGAGAAGTTGTTACGCCTCCCATTTTCACCCCTCCCCTGTTAGGGCTTATCATCTCTTTAACTTTTCTCTAAGTCTTTGTAACTGACTGTCCGTGACTACCTCTGAATACTCACACAATTTTATTAAATATGTTAAAACTTTCTATCAAGTTATTCTCCATCCTCATGGCCTGAAAGGGTCTTTCACTTTAGGATGACTTGACATGTCTCTGCTGACACCCATTTAGTAGGTTGATCATTTCCAAATTTCCAACAATGCATCACTGTTTCCCTGGTGTTCATCTGTCACTGGAAGTGTTCAGTCAGTAGGATGCCTGTTTCTTAGAATATTACTAAGAGGGTTACTTCATTAGACAACTGGAGCAGATGACCTTTAAGTTCTAACTTATGGGAAAGTAGTGATTCTTTTACCTCTGTAGGCCTTGCTGATCCTGGAAGATTTCTTTGAAGTAAACCTAAGAATTAGTCATTTCACGGTATCTGCAGAAGATTTGTCCTAGGATTTCCTAGATACCAAAATCTGTGGATGCCTAAGTCCTTTGTATAAAATGATGTAGTATTTGCACAGAACCTACATGTATCCTCCTGTATAAATCATCTCTAATTACTCATACTACATATTACAATGTAAATGCTCTGTAAGTAATTCTTATCACATATTTTTACTTGTATTATTTTTTATTGTTGTATTGTTATTTTTAAATTTTTTCCAATATTTTAGGTCTGTAGTCGGTTGAATCCACGGATATGGAGCCCGCAGATACAGAGAGTCGACTGTTTGTTTTCTTGCTTTTTAGGAGTCACTCCCACCGAAATTTGACATAAATATCAGCTTGGCATATGTTAGCAGTCACACTGCTGTGTGTTAGCAATTCCATTACCTGCCTGTTACCCTATCACTACACCACATTCTAGCCAAACTAAAGTGCTGCCGTTTCTCAGGCATGCACCCCGTCCCAGCTATGAACCCAAATGGAATCCATTCTCTTTTTTTTGAGATGGGATCTTTTTCTGTTGCCCAGGCTGAAGTGCAGTGGCATGATCTCGGCTCACTGCAACCTCTGCCTCCCAGGTTCAAGCAATTCTCTTGCCTCAGCCTCCCGAGTAGTTTGGACTATAGGCGTGTGCCACCATACCTGGCTAATTTTTGTATTTTTAGTAGAGATGGGGTTTCACTCTGTTGGCCAGGCTGGTCTTGAACTCCTGACCTCAGGTGATCCACCTGCCTCAGCCTCCCAAAGTGCTGGTATTATAGGCATGAGCCACCGTGCCCAGCCTAATCCATTCTTCATGGTCTAGTTGACACTGTCCATTACCTCCCAACTTCCCTAATTTTAATACAGATCCTTCACGTGTTTTGTACTTCTGATGGTTGTTATGTGGCATCTTGTTAATAGGTACTTTTATTTTTCCCATAATAGTGGGTAAGCCCTTGATAGCAGGAGTTTATTTCTTTTTATTTGACTTCCAGCACTCTGATGCACTCTGCCATCCTTGTTTTAATTCGTATCAATATATAAAATAATGTAGATACTAAGGACAATATCAGAATGTTAAGGAGAGGCATGGTTACATTTAATGTTAAAACTCAGACTATAACCTATATAGGATACTTGAAAGAAAAGATCAGAATTCCAAGTTACTTAGGGAAACTTTAGCATTACTATAGAAATCCAACCAAATATAATGGGATTAGGGTGCCAATAGAAAGTGAGGAAATGGAACGTGGTGTAAAGTATTATTTCAAGAAGTTTTGGTGTTCAGGAAAGTAGTTTGAGAAGGAGGGAAGGGTCAAGAAAAGTTATTTTTTGGAGAGATGAAAAACATTTTCTTAGGCCTAGAGGATGGAACTAGAAAGAGATGGAATATTTCAGAAAGAATATTGATGGAGAGCGATATCCTGAGAGAAGAGGGGGAGGTAAAATCTGGGGAAGGGGAGGGGTACATTTTTCTCTGAGACAGAAAGAAAGGCGTAGGTGTAAGGTAGGAGTGCTGAGTTCTACCAGTTTCCCTAATGTGAGAGTATTCATAGTTTCCCTAATGTGAGAGTATTCATAGTAATCTATTGAGGATGAAAAAGCAAGAGTACTAGAAGACATGAGAAGAGCTGAGGTGTGTTGTAGCTTACTCATGAAAATTATCTTGTATATTTCTTGATATTATTGTCCGTCTTTTCCAGCTAGATAGTAGGCTCCATGAGGAAAAAGGTTTTGCTGTCTTGTTCACCACTGTCCTTAGCGCCAAAAAATAGTGCCTGGCACATCATATATACTTCATAAATATTTGTTGGGTGAATGTTGAATGGAGAGTGAAAGAGGAAACTAACTGGAGATACTCAAAATGATTGCTTTCATCCTTTAGCTTTCAATAAATGTACAGATCATAACTACACCATGTTAACTGTTTCAGTACAGATCTGTCAGAAAAGCTTATCTGAAAGTACTGAGGGGCATAGAAAGGTAATTATTGGATTTTTTTCCATACTTAGAGATTGGTAGCATGGGGACTGGAACTTTAGGGTTTTGGCAAGTATGTTTTGGGATTATTTGACCAAGGAGTGCAAAATGTTGTTGTGGTACCCTAGCGACTCTTCCATTAAACGGAACCTTGATCTCTGATAGCTTGATAGATATGGCATTAATTATTAGCTGCTTACACAGTAATATTCTCCTCATCTTCCTTAGGATTCCTGTATTGTTAGATGTGCCACTATACCCAGCTTAAAACTACATTTCCCAGCCCTTCCTGAAAATAGAACTCATTTATGAGATATAGGCAGAACTTTCTAGATGAGATTGCTGAGAAAGCTCTCTAAAAGAAGCTGACCTAAGAGGACACCCTGGTGTACTTTCCTTCTTGCTGCCTGGAATGTAAATTTAACGGTTTGGAACTTCAGGGGTTACACTGGGACCACCACACAACCTCGAGGATGTAAGCCAGTGCTAAGGATGGTAGAATAATGAATTGTTGAGCTGCCATATTGGGATTCTTTCAGCCTTCGTGTTTTGAGACATTTTATTATTTCAAGACTGATTTGTTATAAAACTCTATCTTGTTTAAAGCACTGTTATTTTGGATCTCTGTTTCTTTTAGTAGAACCCCATTTATTAGAAAGGAATTGAGGGACTAGAAGCCTCAACCTGGTCAACCGAAGAGCTGATTTCATGGGAGTAAGCATAAGAGATTGAGGTCAGAGAAGGGTTTCTAAGTGAGGTGGCTGGGTAATGAAAGGGTCTAAGACAGCAGTCCCCAACCTTTTTGGCATCAGGGACTGGTTTTGTGGAAGACAGTTTTTCCACAGATAGGGCGGTGGTGGGGGATGGTTTCAGGATAAAACTGTTTCACCTCAGATCATCAGGCATTAGATTCTCATAAAGACCGTGCAACCTAGATCCCTTGAATGTGCAGTTTACAATAGGGTTTGTGCTCCTCTGAGAATCTAATGCTGCCTCTGATCTGACAGGAGGCGGAGCTCAGGCGGGAATGCTCGCTCGCCAGCTGCTCACCTCCTGCTGTGCGACCTGGTTCCTAACAGACCACTGTTGGTACCATTACCTAAGAGATGGTCATAAGGAGCTAAAGTAGAATGCTGGTGAAAGTTCCTGGCGTAGACAAAGTCAAGGAAATAGTATTTGTATGTACAGATGGGAAACCAAGAGGTAACCCTTTGATTAGGCCAGTGTTTCTTTGAGTTTTGGTTTCAGGGGCCATCAAGGATCTGTGAATCTATGGACACCTGGAATCTTCTTTTAAAGACTGCAATTTGAGATACACTATAAAATACAGTCAACCCTTGAACAATGCAGGGGTTAGGGGCACCAACCCCTGTGCAGGTGAAAATATGGGTGTCCCTTTTGACTCCTTTGTTAGCGAAAGGAAAGATGGTGGCTGGAGTGATGGTTATTAAGTATGAGACAGTTCATTCAAATGGAGGCGATCTGTTCATCAAGCCATTAGGGGAGAAGTGATCTTTTGCCTTTAAGAGTGGAGTTGCCTTAAAGTGGGATTGTAGTTGAGGACTAGAAAGAAAAAGACTGAAAGACTTCAAATCCCTTCCATTCTTAATATTCTATGATTCCAGATTATCTTTACTATGTATTAGTTAGGGTTTGGTACCTTTTTTTTTTTTTTGCAATTAATAAAACTAAAACTATCTGCCAGCTATCACCCATATGCCTTTAGTTACTGTTTGTGCTGACAGAACCCCAAAACAGTAAAATCATTAATGTAGCTGAAGAATCCAAGTGTTCAAGACACTGTCTAATTGGAGTCTAAAAGATGTTAAAGGACTTTCAGACTCTTTTAAAATTAAATTTGCTAAATTCTTTTAAATGATTTTGTAGATTTCCATAATAAATATGGCAAACATTTCTCTTATGGGATGTAAATAATCAAACTCTGTTTCACTGGAGAGTAATATTATAAAGCACTTAGCTAATCAGATTGTGAGAGTTGCTCAAAATTTCTAACCATGTAATTTTTGCATAGAGAGAGTGCCTCCTGCTGTGCAATTAACTGGTTTTATTAGCTATAAAATTGGTTGATGCTGGTTGGCCTGATGGCCTAGTGCCTGTAGGGAGTTAGATCTTGGTTCTTGACCTGATTCTGCACAGTTGAGTGTCAGGAAGACTTGGAAATCTTATAGTGGGGACAGCAGCTCAGGCCCTAAGAGGAAGCTGATGAGTTGTTTCTCACGCTTCTGTGACTAAAGGGAGCTTTGGAACTTTCTAGACCAGTTAATTTTTCCTTGTTCGTTTTATTCTGTATTCAAATTAGGTTTGTGAAGTGGAGTGGTATGGTTTACTGATGATAAGCAGGGCTTTGAGATCATACTACTTGTACTAAAAACCTGGCTTTGCCATTTCTTGTACCCTCGGGCAAGTTTTAAAGTTTCTCCTTGCCTAGGTTTCTTCCCCTGTGAAAGGGTGATTAATAGTAAGCCCTAACTCATGTTTGCTGTGAGAATGTAAGGGTTCAATCTACAGGAAGTTTTTGGCCTAGCTCACAGTAGGTACTCAATACATGTTAGCTAGTATTATAGAGTCTGCAAGTTGAAATCTCTTTGAGCAGGGGAAAGCTTTAATAAAAAATGTTTAGAAGGACCTATGATTTTACTGGACTTTTTTTAAAGGGAGAAAGGGGGAGGAGAATATATAAAAAGAGGCAGAGGCAGGTGACCTGGCATCAGACTTTATTACATTTACTAGGCAAGTAAGCTTGAGAAAATCAAATCAAAGACCCAATTTTCTCAACACTTAAATACAATACAATATCTCATTTTTGAGAGTCAAGTAAGATAAATGCTTTGGAAATGTCAAAGTGCTATATTTAGGTAAAAACATAAGTAAACAAGGACAGTCGAATATAATAACTACATGAGGCTAATTAAAACAAGCAAAATATGTAAATGGAATCCATTGATGGAAGACATAGGAATTTACTCATAAGCTTGACTTGCTTCTGAATGATCATTGATTATAAAGGAAGGAGAAAGATGTCAGAGAAAGGACTTAGCATTGGTGGAGCAACCTGGCATTTGCTGGGCACTGGAGTAGGATTACTGTCTGCCTTTTACAGATGAGAAAACTGAGTCTCAGGTTAAATAACTTCCTCAAAGTCACCTCACTGGTAAGTGGCAGAGCCAACGTTGTAATGAAGCCTATGTGACTCCAGAGGCTGTCCTAATACAACATGGTTAATTACCTCCAATCCATTTGTCACATATTTATTGAGCACCTACTCTGTGTGCTGTTAATAATACATTAATTTTTTCACAAAAATGGATAGAAATGTAAAGCATGAAGGGATCTGAATGACAATTTTGTGCAATCAAGTCATTTTGTAGGAAGGAAAAAAGGCCCAGAGTGACCAGGTCGCTTTAGGGCCATCCATTTTGGAACAGAATTAAATTTTTACTCACCTAGTCCAATGTTTGATTAAGTTATATTGCTATTCAATTTCGTAGATGCCTAATCCTTCATTAGTTCCAATTTGAAGCCTTGTTTGGGGATTTTCTTTGGGGATAATTTCCGTATGATTGCTTCGACCAAGTTGCATAAGTTGTTTGACAGAAAGCCGACTGAATTCTTGTCTGTGTTTTTGTCACCCAAACTGAGTACGGGTTGTTTCAATGTATTTTACTCTTTCTTTCTTTCCTTTCCTTCCTTTCCTTTTCTTTTCTTTCCTTCCTTCCTTCTTTTTTTTTTTTCCTGGATCTTTGTTGCCCAGGCTGGAGTGCAGTGGCACGGTCTCAGCTCACTGCAGCCTGGACCTCCTAGGTGCAAGTGATCCTCCCACCTCAGTCTCCTGAGTAGCTGGGACTACAGGCACATGCCACTACGCCTGGCTAATTTCTGCATTTTTTGTAGAGATAGGGTCTCACTATGTTGCCCAGACTGGTCTTGAACTCCTGAGCTCAAGTTATCTGCCTGCCTTGGCCTCCCAAAGTGCTGGGACTGCAGAGGTGAGCCACCACACCTGGCCTTACTTTTTCATGTTATCAGTGACATTCTGGTGTGAACACCAAGAATGTAAAATCTCTTTGCCTTTTTGTGATTTGGAAATAGCTCTTGAATCCCTGGTCTTAAATCTTCACTCTGTTTCATCCAGTTTTTGCCACCCTCCTATCCTGCCAGGTGAGTCTGCCCTTAGTTGGGTATGTACTTAACTAGAGAGCAGCTCTAGATCCCTGGAGGGAAGCCCAGGCTCCTCCCAAGTGACTGCACACAGTGAGTCGGCTGCATCACACCAGGAATACCATTGAGCAATAGGAGACTTCCCAGCACTGGTGACTCCATCTCAGTTGCTTAAGAAGAGTGGGGAAATGACTGGTGTATTTTTTTTTTCATAGCATTTGTAACTGTTTTTCTTCCAAAGAAAAGTCTTCATGATGTCAAACATCATTCAGAATATAGGATGTATTCTATTATGGGTTTGAATTCAGTTCATTTATCCTTCTTTATTGCCCTGAATACTAAAGAGCATCATTTGAAAAAGAACCTATGGAATTGTGAAGTTTGCTGCTTTTTATGTGACTGTGACTGAATGGGTCTTGTTAAGCCCAAAGTGACTCAAAGGGCATGACCTGTGTATAACTCTCTGGTGATTATATACAGGATTGAAAATCCTCCAAGCCTGCTTTTAAAGTTGTAGCACAGCAGTTTTAGACATAGAAAGGCTGGTTTTCCATCTTGTCATACAGGTAAGAATGAAGTTTTTTATTTTTATTTAAAAAAAGCCCTGGTTATGATACTCTTGGGGTAAAAATGCACTGAATTAAGCAGCATTTTGTTTTGTTTTTGACTCAGTCAAGATCCTGGGATCATGAACCTTTTATACTTTTGATAACTGAGATTGAAAACTCTCCTTCGTTTTCTTTATAATCAGAGCCTGAAACAATTAGCAGGCAAGGGAAGTTCTCCCTACATCTTTCCTGAAAGATCTAGCTGTTTTGACGTTATAGATTTGTAAATACTGTTTTAGGAGTTTCTAAATCAATAATTTCTCCTTGCGTTCACATTCTGCTGCCAAGTACAATAGTTCTGGACTCTGTAGTGATAAAGATAAGAGGTATGCTGCACTGAGGAGACCCTGGTTCTTTTGTTGTGGATATTTATGATACTGGCCCTGGCCTAGGAATGGAGCTTGTGTGCAATGTGGCCCCACTACTGAGTACCAGGGGTCCATCTGTCAGCACACAGCAAAGAAGCACCTACCGTAGCTTTCAGGTCGAATAATGGGTATTGAATGTGGACTTGGCAAAAGGCTGGCTCATCTGTAGAGGTGACTTTGGAAATACATGGCAAAATGTATTGGGTAGAAAATTGGAAATAGAGGGTTTAAGGTTAAGTAAGCCTTTCATCCTTGCTTAATCCTAAAACCCTACATTTAAGTACACGGCAAAGAAAACGTACAATGCAAAGGCAAGGGCATGCTTGAAGAATGCAAAGCAGCAAAGGATTCTCAAGAAATTGTGCTCATGTAATTGCCTTGGGCAACAGTGCCTACAAAGAGGCAAAGTGCAGCTGTCCAAATCCTCATTCTTGAAGTTTAAATCCACAGTGAACTAGTGAACATAACTCTGAACTGTGCTTCCTACTGCAATTATATAATTGATTGACTGTTACTCTTATGAAATGTACCCTAAGTAACCCTTAAGCATGTAAAAGAGCAGAATGAATACTGAAGCAAATTCATACCTCCCGGCATTTTACTCTTCTCACTGTACGGTTCAGGGTTAACATTTGCTAACATAGGCTCTCCATAATTATTTAAACACACTGAATATCATTATCATCAAATACTGTTCATTCATCCTTTAAATGTTAGTGCTTCCTATATATAGGGTATCTGACTTTTCTCACTCATGTGGTATTATACTAGATATTTTATAAGAGGAGCAAAGTAGGAAAGGCTCTTCTAAAGGGTAGCAGACCATAGGAGCAGACACAAGAAGGGAGAGGAGCATTATGTAATAAAATGCTGAACCACATGCATACCGAGTAGGTTGAAGTCCATCTAGAGCCCACGTGATTTCCAGTATCCACATCTTTAGTCTCATAGCTTCTCAGAACCTATGGCCTTCTGTAAGAGTAACCTGAATGAACGCTGGTTTGTTCCAGAGCCGTATCGGGAGAAAATCACAGGTCAGTGGTTAACTAAATGAGTTTTTATATGCCTACCGTAGTCCTGGGAAGGTAAGGAAAGAGCTTCACTTTTTCCTGACCCAATCCTAGGGAGAATCTTTCCATGCAAATAAATATTTTAAATTTCGTAGTCATATGTTCTTATATATATTACATATAACATGCCTGTACTGCTTTTTCTGATTATAAAAATTACATAGACTTATTGTAAAGAATTTGGGAAACAAAAAAAATTACGATCCCTATTCTTTCTGCCACTTAGAAATAGATGACCACAATAATGTTTTCTTTCTTCCTTGCCTTTTTTCTATACACATAATTTTTATTTTTCAAAAATGTAGGATCATCTCCTATATTCTTGAACTTTGGGGGAATATAGTGACCCTGGATCATATTGGCATTTTGGAGATGCAGTTTTTGGAGAGAGCCTTGGACCTTGGATGTAGAGTGCAGTGAAGAGATGGCTTCAGCTGAGTGACTGGATGAACCACTCTTCTTTCTCTTACTGCCACACTCTGATGAAATGATAGACTCCTACAATTGTTGAGGACCGGCTGGGCATGGTGGCTCACACCTGTAATCCCAGCACTTTTGGAGGCTGAGGCGGGCGGCTCACCTGAGGTCAGGAGTTTGAGACCAGCCTGGCCAGCATGGTGAAACCTCATCTGTACTAAAAATACAAAAATTAGCCAGGTGTGGTGGTAGGCGCCTGTAATCCCAGCTACTCAGGAGGCTGAGGCAGGAGAATCGCTTGAACCCAGGAGGCGGAGGTTGCAGTGAGTCAAGATTGCGCCATTGCACTCCAGCCTGGGCGACAAGAATGAAACTCCGTCTCCAAAAAAAAAAAAAAAAAAATTGGTGAGGACCTTAGAGATCAGGGTCCGTGGAGTAGTTATATGCTTAAATACCACACACACTAGAGGACTTGAAGGAGTAATTGACATTCATGGGCAAAAGAAGTGTACCTTGTGTCAGTGCCACATCACATGCAGAAGCATGGACCCCGCTGAGACACAATCTTGCTGCTAGGTGGAGGGAAGTAGCTGTTGACAATCAGAGAGAAAAGCCTGTTCTGAGTATAAGATGTAAGTGGAACCTGCCAGCCTTATGATGTGGGGCTTCATAAACGATTGCTTTCATTCTATACCCATCAACAGGTTGTTGTTGGTATCTTTGCTTTCTTTCACAAAAATAAGTGAACTCAATTTTATTTTTACAATATTTATCACAAATACATATAGAGTACATAAATGGAATACAAAAGGTGTAAAACAAGCTTTTTAACTTTTAGGTTTAGGGGTACGTGTGCAGGTTTGTAACATGGGTAAATTGTGTGTCATGGGCAGTTAGTTGTACAGATTATTTTATCACCCAGGTAATAAGCATAGTACCCTATAGGTAGTTTTTCAATCCTCACCCTCCTCCCACCCTCCACCTTCAAGTAGATCCCTGTGTCTATTGTTTCCTACTTTGTGTCCATGTGTACTTAGTGTTTAGCTCCTACTTTTAAGTGAGAATATGTTGTATCTGGTTTTCTGTTCCTGCCTTTGCTCACTTAGGATAATGGCCTCCAGCTCCATCCATGTTTCTGCAAAGGACATAATCTTGTTCTTTTTTATGGCTGCATAATATTCCTAGCTCCATCCATGTTACTGCAAATGACACAATCTTGTTCTTTTTTATGGCTGCATGGTATTCCTAGCTCCATCCATGTTTCTGCAAAGGACATGATCTTGTTCTTTTTTATGGCTGCATAGTATTCCATGGTATGTATGTACCACATTTTCTTTATCCAGTCTACCTTTGATGGGCATTTAGGTTGATTCCATGTCTTTGCTATTGTGAATAGTGCTGGGACGAACATGTGTCTTTATGGTAGAATGATTTATATTCCCTTGGGTTTCCCCCATTATATTCCATTACCCAGTAATGGAATGTAAGTATGGAATATAAGTAATAGAATTGCTGGATTGAATGCTAGTTCTGTTTTAAGTTCTTTGAGAAATCTCCAAACTGCCTTTCATAATGGCTAAACTAATTTACATTCCCACCAGCAGTGTATGAGCATTCCCTTTTCTGTACAACTTTACCAGCATCTGTTATTTCTTGACTTTTTTTTTTTTTTCTGAGACGGAGTCTAGCTCTGTCGCGAGGCTGGAGTGCAGTGGTGCAATCTCGGCTCACTGCAACCTCCGCCTCCCAGGTTTAAACGATTCTCCTGCCTCAGCCTCTGGAGTAGCTGGGATTACAGGTGTGTGCCACCATGCCCAGCTAATTGTTGTATTTTTAGCAGAAACAGGTTTTCACCATGTTGGCCAGGCTGGTCTCCAACTCCTGCCCTTGTGATCTGCCCGCCTCGGCCTCCCAAAGTGCTGGGATTTTTTAATAATAGCCATTCTAACTGGTGTGAGATGGTATCTCATTGTGGTTTTGATTTCCATTTCTCTAATGATTAGAGATGTTGGGCATTTTTCCATATGCTTGTTGGCCGCATGTATGTCTTCTTTTGAAAAGTGTCTATGCATGTTCTTTGCCTACTTTTTAATGGGGTTGTTTTTTGCTTGTAAACTTTTTTAAGTTCCTTATAGATTCTGGACATTAGACCTGTGTGAGATGCATAGTTTGCAAATATTTTCTCCCATTCTGTAGACTGTTTACTCTGTTGACAGTTTCTTTTGCTGTGCACAAGCTCTTCAGTTTAATTAGTCCCATTTGTCGATGTTTGCAAAACAAGCTTTAAAGACACAGAATCTTTTAAGGAGTCTATGGCAGCTCTCCAAAATTAAATAAACAAAATAAAATTTGGGATTAGGTTGAAAAAAAGTTTTGAATTGAAGGAAAAGAGTCCTTCTGAAGATGGAGATATTTTTTAACTGTTGGAAATACTTCAAAGGAAGATAATTAAAACTATGATATTTAACTTCTTTTAATATCTCTGAATCAGTCGTTTGGAACCTGTGTGTTAGTCGATGTCTGGAAACATGGCAAACTGAGCTAATGGCTCGTTTTCCCCTGTAAACTTATAGAAATGCCGATAAAACAAACAACAAAATACTCACGACCTCCCAGGTTAATCAACAAACTAAAACTTCTGTAATTTTTCTGATAAAGGAAAGAGGAAAGGAGAAAGGAACTGGCCCCAGCTGGAAACAATAAGAGCAGGCAAACAATAATCTGTAGAGACATTTTGGTACCCTAATAGGACATGACTATTAGACATTTTTATGAATAGACCTTGATTCCTCCGTTTATATCTCAGATTGGGGCCCTTTATTTTATGGAGAATCTTAGAGCCTGAGTTAAAATTGGCACTTTGGGAGGCCAAGGCAGGTGGATCATCTGAGATCAGGAGTTCGAGACCAGCCTGGCCAACATGGTGAAACCCTGTCTCTACTGAAAAAAAAAAAATACAAAAATTAGCTGGGTGTAGTGGTGCGTGCCTGTAATTCCAGGTACTCAGGAGGCTGAGGCAGGAGAATTGCTTGAACCTGGGATGCAGATGTTGCAGTGAGTGGAGATTGCACCACTGTACTCCAGCCTGGGCGACAGAGTGAGACTCTGTCTAAAAATGTATATATATTGTTGCAGTCTGTCCCAGTCTTTTCTTAGATCCTCCAAGTCCTAGTTTGGAAAATTACATGTTTATCTTATGGATACTTAGACCGTAGTTTGTATAACTTTAAGATGACTATTGAATACATAGACTCTGATCACTCATCTCTGCAAAAATTTAGAATACCATTTTTTAAACTTTTGTATTGTGGTAAAATATGCATAGCATAAAATTTGCTATTTCAGCGTAATTAAGTGTATAATTCAGTGGATTTATTTGTTTATTTAGACAGGGTCTCACTCTGTTGCCCAGGCTGGAATGCAGTGGCACAGTCACAACTCACTGCAGCTTTGACCTCCTGGGCTCAAGCCATCCTACTGCCTCAGCCTCCTGAGTAGCTGGGACCACAGGCATGTGCCAGAACACCTGGCTAATTTTTTATTTTTAGTAGAGACAAGGTCTCACTATGTTGCCCAAGCTGATCTCAAACTCCTGAGTTCAAGTGCTTCTCTTCTCCTGCCTCAGCCTCCCAAAATGCTAGGATTACAGGCATGAGTCCCCGTGCCTGGCCAGTGGCATTTATTATAGTCACAGTGTTGTGCACCCATCACCACTGTCTGTTTACAAAAATTTTCATCACCCCAAACAGAAACGCTGTACCCATTAAGCAATAACTCCTCATTTTCTCCTCCCATCAGCCCCTGGTTACAACCTCTAATCTGCTTTCTTTATTGCTGAATGTGTCTGTTCAAGATAGTTCATATAAGTAGAATCATACAGTATCTGCCCTTTTGTGCCTGGCATATTTTACTTAGCGTAATATTTTCAAGGCCCATTCATGATGCAGTGCATATCCAAACTTAATTCCTATTTACAGCAGAAATAATGTTTCATTGTTTTTATATATAGCCTCACATTTTATCTGTCAGTTGATAAACACTTTGGTTGTTTTTACCTTTTGTTTATTGTGAATAATGCTGCTTTGGACATTGGGTCCAAGTATCTGTTTGACTCCCTAGAAAAGCATTTTGCACACTGAGAAATGTGTAGATCTTTTATATAGAAAATTTTAGTCTTCCAGATTTCACATGTTGACTGAAATTATTTCTGTGTAACTTAAATATACATAAACATAAAACTAAGAATTAACTCCTTATAACTCTCATATACAGGTAAATTCAAAACCAATTTTTCAATTAAACAAAAATAAAATCAATACAGTTTAAATTAACGATTGTTATCCAATTATATTTACTGAAAATAAATGGCTTATGTTGGTTTTAATAGTGTAAAAAGATATACTTTTGTATGATGGACCATTATTTTAGCTTTCATCATTTTCATGTTTTCCTTTTAACAGTGAACACGTTTTTAAACCACTAATCCATTATTTTGATGCGCAGCTCATTTGCTAGATTATCCCAGAATATAAATCTGGAAAACAAAGGAAAAACAGCAATTCAGTGACAAATTATTTACTACACATTTATTGCAACAGTTTTTCTGTTTTTTTTTTTTTTTTTTTTGAGACGGAGTCTCGCTCTTTCGCCCAGGCTGGACTGCAGTGGCGCTATCTTGGCTCACTGCAAGCTCCGCCTCCCGGGTTCACGCCATTCTCCTGCCTCAACCTCCCGAGTAGCTGGGACTACAGGCGCCCGCTACCACGCCCGGCTAATTTTTTTTTGTATTTTTAGTAGAGACGGGGTTTCACCATATTAGCCAGGATGGTCTCGACCTCCTGACCTCGTGATCCACCCGCCTCGGCCTCCCAAAGTGCTGGGATTACAGGCGTGAGCCACTGCGCCCGGCCAACAGTTTTTTTTTTAATGAGCTCTTGCAAGCAGGTGCCTATAAAGGCAAAATCCAGAGAGTATATCTGCTTGCTGTCAGAGGGTGATTGCAACAACACAGGTTTTAATAATTTGGTTAACCTCACACTTGTTTTTATTGGAGCTTATTTGAATTGCTGACATCATGATGTCATTTGACCTTCATTTATTACAAACATATCACTTACTTATTCAGTCTGCCTCTGTTTACTGTTGGCCCATTTCCATGAAATCAGTACAGCACTCTAAAATAACATGTTGTTTTTATTATGTTAAATCAGATTCTTAGTTTATTATATAAGAACCTAAAATCTTATTTCATGAAAATGTCATTTACTTGGAAATAAAACTGCAAATTTTTTTGCAAAAAATATGAGCACAACAAGGGGATAGAGGATAATGATTGTTATTTTGACATTAGCATTTGCCAGCCTAACAGCTGTTAGACATGCTTACCGGCACCTGAAATGATCAATCCTATCTCCTCAAGATATCACTTGGCAATATCTTAAATATAAACATGGAAACTAGCTGGCACACTGAAAATCCCATCATGCTGCATTGTAAAGTGGTCATCCAAGGACTCAGAATATACTTGTATTTATTCTTTATTGATAGAAAAATCTTTAATGATCACAAAATTCAGGTGCCCCAAAGAATATTCCGAAGGATAACACTGCCTCAGTTTGACAAATACTGGTTCAAACATTAACTCTATTGCTTTACTCACATTGAACTTTAATGCTTTATTCACAAACAGTTGGTCCTACCACTTAAAATGGGGGCTTTGTGATTTCCAAACTGCACATACATTCTATTTTTACAAAAAACTTTATTTATTATTTCTAATAATAATAAATAAACTTTATTTCTAATAATAATAAATAAACTTTATTATTATTTATTATTATAGTAAGAAGTAGGGTTGCCATGTGGATGAATAGTTGTGTTGCACAAATAATACATCTTCTTCCTAGTTGAGAAACTAAACTATGAGAAGAAGGTTGCTTGATGAACACAGACCCCTCTATACACACGAGGCACTCAATAAGTATTAAGGAATTGTTTGATTAAGCAGCGATAGCCCCCTTTGACACATGTATTACTATAAGAAAACACTGTCAAATCAAGCTTGATAAGCGTCTCATGCAATCAATGATATTCTTTATCTCAATTTCATATTGACCCTATGCCGACCCTCAAACTTGTTTTCCACCTAGTTACACCACCTTCAAAACCAGTTTCGCAGCTGTTTTTAATGAAATCCCAACTCTTATCCTATGAAAAAAACTGATTAGCAAATAACACTAATTCATAGTGTACACATTCCCAAAGGGGAGTCCCTTTCTGACCAAAGTGTCTCCATTTTCATTAACTGCTGACATTCTTCTTGATGATCCTCTTTCTGGGGTGGGGACTTATAAATCTCCAGTCTACTTACTGCCAGTAATATGCCTTTCATTGAAAAATACTGAATATTTTCTATATTTAACTTACGTGATTTTATACCTCATATTTATAATTCTTGATTAGCCATATTTTATCTCCATAAAAGTCATAAAATATTGATGAATATAAGATTTATGTAGAGATCATCTTTCTATTGACATTAGCAGATATATATTATAGTATCTGGTTTTTTTGTTTTAAAAATTAAGTTTAATAAATACAACTTATTTTTACCATGTCACTCTTCAGTACCACTTTCTAATATTTAACACGTTTCAAAATGTATAAATACGGCCTCCTATCGAATCACCACTGAAGGTCAAGAATCTACCTTTATATGTTTATAGTACCTTGCATACAGAAGGAGAACAATAATATATTTTGCATAAATGATTAGATAAATAAGTGGGTATTACCTGAATACCCACTTATTATTGACTCATCTAACCAACAGAAGTTCAGTCTGGCTGTAGCCTCTCAGAACAGACATTTTGCAAAATATATATATTGGACTATTAGGAAGAGGACCTTCACTGTAAATAAATGGGGTATCTCTTCAGTCATTCTCCTCCATTATCAGTCAGGTGGGCTTGCTAGCAAGCGCCTCTTTTATCGCTTCTTCAACCCCATTTTCTTTTTAAATTTTCAGAAAGCTTCAGTAGAAATGTTTCAACTTTCAAGAAAGACAGCTTTAGCAGAATCACATATTTGTTGGGCACATATATACCTTTGTAAATGTACATAGAAGAAAACTAAGGCCGGGCATGGTAGCTCACACCTGTAATCCCAGCACTTTCGGAGGCCAAGGTGGGAGGATTGCTTGAGCCCAAGAGTTCGAGATCAGCCTGGACAACATAGACCCCATCTCTTAAAAAAAAAAAAAATTAATTAGCTGAGTGTAGTGGTGTGTGCCTGTAGTCCCAGCTACTTGGGAGGCTGAGGCAGGAGAATTACTTGAGCCCAGGAGGCCAAGGCTGCAGTGAGCCAAGATCACACCACTGTACTCTAGCCTGGACAACACAGCAAGACCCTAACTCAAAAAAAAATGAGTAGGAAGCCTGTTTTATTTGACTATTATAAATGTGAAATGTTATGCAACTTTGCATTTTATTTTTTGTACAGGCAGAAATACTCAGTGTCCTCAGTCACAGAAACATCATCCAGTTTTATGGAGTAATTCTTGAACCTCCCAACTATGGCATTGTCACAGGTAAGAATTCAGTGTTTGACTTCTTTCTTTTTCCAATTACCTAGCTTTAGATTCCTTAATATGCTAAAATGCTTAATATTAGGCTCAGTTATGAATTGTGTGTTACTGTCAGATGTCACTTTTGTTGCTATAAAGCATTAATAAAACTGATTATATCAATATAATTAAGAATAGTGTTTCCACTTCTACCCATGTTTAATTGTGCTAATTATATCTGCGTAAATGCTATTTAAATGCACTCGCAGCTGCAATACCAATATTTCAAGGTGCCGTTTAACTAAAATTTCATTTAATTAGCTGAAATGAAACATGTTTTTTGTAACTCTGTGACCTTTTATAAATTAAGATTTCTTGAGCTATTCATGTTGTAATTCTTTGCAAGGCATTTTAATCCCATTAGAGCATTCTTTCTTCAAGGTCTCTGACATAAGAACAATATTTTTCAGGTTTGGTCAACTAAGTTGGTAATGACCTTGATCTAAATTATCACATAATTTGGAGCAGCAGTTTATAACTGACAGAAATACGCTTTCTAAAAAGCAGCACATAGAAAGTTTTGCCACATGAAAATACAGAAAGACACATATCTTCAATACTTTATGCTCATATTTGTATAATCCACTGAATAGCTTGTAGGTCTATAATCGGTTTTACAACAAATAACTTTGATCTTTATCTTGGCAAATCTTTGATTAAAACAAAGTCAAACAAGAAAACCTTTAAGTATTAGCCACATGTTCTCGGTAGAGGTGAGAACCTGGATTGTCTTTATAGAAAATAACAACAAAACACCCTCAATAAAAAGGATTGTATTAAGTACTTTCTATAAATTATCTCATCTAATACTTAGAGTAATCCTATGAGATCGATAAAATAATTCCTATTTTACTAGTAAGAAACTACATCTCTAACTTAAGCAACTTTTCCATGGTCACCTAGCTAGTGGTAGAACCAAAGCGGTATAAATTTCTCAGGCTGATTCTCCACAGAAGCTCCTCTTCTATGCAAGCTAGGTTCTGGAAGGCTGTGAGCTGACTGGTTCTTAAACTCAGAGAGACATGGTTACTGTTATACCATCTTCTGGCGGCAGGTAGTTTAACATGCTTTTACTCTTAGTAGCATTTTAACCTAAGTTATTAAGTGGAGGGACTTTTATCCCCAATTCACTGTCTTTAGATTTGTGACTGAAATGGGGCATGTAGCAACTTTTATCTTGAGTCTATATTTCTTATAAATGTGAATACCCAAGAATGGGTTATATTGTTGGTTGAGGGGGAACCATACCTCACATTTTAAGTCAGATTTCTGATTTAAAGTTAAACCTTTCTCTGACCCATATACCATGTGGCTCCTTTTTTCCGTGTCCATTGTATCTACTTCTTTTTACTAGTTATATTTACTTTTTAAATCTGAATCCAGTGTTCTGATCCTCGTTTGTGGCTGATGTTATTCCTCCCTAAGAAAGTGTGACACTCCCAAGAGACTAGAAACTCTGTTTCTTATTATATACTCTTGATGTTTAATGCTTTTTGAAAATATTTTTGGCCAACTAATGAGCTATTCATGAAGTTTTCTAGTTTCTTGAGGTGAGGGTGAAGGATAGAAAAGGGAACTTGAGTGGTGATATGAAATTCTTTCTCCAAGAGTTTACTCTCAGTAGGAAGATATCAAACATTCTTAGCCAGCATATTTCCCCTAGGTCATCTCATCTGAAAGAGGGAGAAAGAATCCAGGAAGTTTTCTTCCATTCAGTATTTGTATCAGACTAGTCAATCCTTTATTTCATTCATCCCTTTAGCATTCTCTACTCATACTTGCACCTACCCAAATTCTTCAGTTAAATTGATTAGTTTTTTATGGATCTATATCTCTTTCCCTGTAGAGCCAGTAAGTAAGCAACTGGCTTTACATTGTTTAGTTAACATTAAACCTAAAGAATTAAAACAACACAAGTTTCAGATTATGAGGCAGTAGTAGATTGTATATTTATAGCTCTCTTATTGACCTATGAGATTGATTATTAAAGAGACCTGTTAGGTGAGTTTTAATGTTTTGAATGTATTGATTTGATATGATTATCTTTGTTCCTAGAGATGTTAGTTTTAATTAACTAAGTGCTTGTTTATGTGAGCCTTTCAGCCTACCTTGTACAGCTATGCTCTGTGCATGGGTAGTAGAAAATATGACAACTGAGTCCAGTTTGGGAGTGAAGAAATCACATGGATTAGTGATGACGACACTTACTCTGCCACTGGAAATGAGCACAAATAAGTCTTAGTATGAGGCAGTTAAGAGAGAAACAAAGATAGGTGGGAAAACTGACCTTGATCACCCAGCCCCAGCCAGATACCCCTCTGTGAACCTTATCATATTTATCAAATAGTGGAGGCTCTGAAGGAGGAAGCTTGGATGGCTTGAATCCATTCAATTTGAGGTAGTTTTTTTTTTTTTAATAGAAAAGGTTGTTGCAGCAGGCAGCTGTTGTCATTCATGCTGAGAACTTGAAAGAATGATTTATTAGAGTGGTGGAATGGAATGAGCAATGGAATGGGAATTGTGAGATGTGAGATCTTGTCTTGATTCTGCCAGAGCTTCATAGATGGGTCACTGATGATCTCTCTCTGTCTCAGTTTTCTCATGTGAATGAAGGGACTACAATACATGATCTCTGGGTGTGTATGTGTGTGTATACTTGTGCATGTGTGTTTGCTGAAACTTTTTTATCACAGACATATAAAACCTGCTTATCAGGGGAGCCAGGGAAGAGACTAAGAGGTAGCTGCCAATTTATTTCCCTTGGAAGGGAAATGAACATCTTTCTCCCAGATCTACAAAGAAATGGGGTGACAAGAAACTCAGAGTCCAAAGCCGAAAGAAAAGATACAATAATGGATCATCTTTTCTTTTCTTTTCTTTTTTTTTTTTGAGACGGAGTCTTGCTGTGTCGCCAGGCTGAGTGCAGTGGTGCAACCTAGGCTCACTGCAACCTCCACCTCCTGAGTTCAAGCAATTCTCTTGCCTCAGCCTCCTGAATAGCTGGGACTACAGGCGTGCGCCACCATGCCCAGCTAATTTTTGTATTTTTAGTAGAGACGGGGTTTCACCATGTTGGGCAGGATAGTCTCTTGACCTCATGATCCGCCTGCCTCAGCCTCCCAAAGGGCTGGGATTACAGGTGTGAGCCACCGCGCCCAGCCTGGATCATCTTTTCTTTGATCTTTGGAAACCTCTTCATTCTGTACTACTCCCATTCTTTTATTTCTGTGTGTGTGTGTGTGTGTGTGTGTGTGTGTGTGTGTGTGTGTCTGTGTAAAACATAAATATGTGAGGGCAGGGGGAGCTCCTGGGAGATGAAGGAAGGAGTTGCTGGATACCAGACCATGTAGCTCTTTTGTAGCAAGCCAGATTGGAGAGGAACCCACACCCAAAGTATCTGGTAATCTAAGAGTAAAGAAAGGGTGGCAGACTGGGTTCCAGGGTTCTGGTGAGAAGTGATTTAGGATCCCAGATGCCTGGAAATTGCTTTGTTCTCAGGGGCTGATCTCTTAAGTTACCTGTTCTGCGTTAGCCTCTATTACTCGTCTAAGAGAGGAGACTAGTTCTGCATGATTTCTCAGCAGGCCCAAATTCTCATTAAACCCAGCCAAGGAAAACATACTAATTTTTAAGTGCCCAATCTCATTTCCCTTAACTTGATCTTGATTTATTTTAAGCACAGATACATCTAATTTGCATGTTTTGATATTGTGCTAGTCTTTTTTTATTAGTCAATTAGAGACAAGTGTCACATTTTGTTATAACACATTTCAGACATTTGCGTAAATTTATTCTATTAGTTATAATTTAAATGAAGCTTGGTCTTGGTGACATTTTATTACAAAGAGATTTCGTGGTAATGGTATTTGTTTCAACAATTCAACAATACTGATACTATGTTTACATTTTTCAAAGCCAGCTATTATCACCGTAAAACTCAAAGGGAAGAATCATCTTATAAATGAAAAGGAAATTTTTGCTTAATGTGGTTCTTAATGACTTCAAAAAAAATGAAACAAATACTTTATACTAAAATCCAGTAAACTACTTTCTACAGAGAAGTGGTTTGAAAAGCATGTAACTATATGTGTATATAGTGAGTCCACAATTTCCAATGGGAAAACCAAAAGGATGAAAGAATTAAATGCTTATTTAAAATAGTTAATATGTTAGTTTAGCTATCCACGTACCTAAAGATGACATTTTATATGAAATAAAGGTAATAATATTGCCTTTCTTGCAACTTCAAAGTCATGAAACTATTTTATTTAATCATGTATCTTTTTTATTATACTTTAAATTCTGGGATACATGTGCAGAACGTGCAGGTTTGTTACATAGGTATACATGTGCCATGGTGGTTTGTTGCACCCATCAACCTGTCATCTACATTAGGTATTTTTCCTAATGCTCTCCCTCCCCTAGCATTAAATAAACGCCCCCGACAGGCCCTGGTGTGTGATGTTCCCCTCCCTGTGTCCATGTGTTCTCATTGTTCAACTCGCACTTATGAGTGAGAACATGTGGTGTTTGGTTTTCTGTTCCTGTGTTAGTTTGCTGAGAATGATGGTTTCAGTTTCATCCATGTCCCTGCAAAGGACATGAACTCATCCTTTTTTATGGCTGCATAGTATTCCATGTTGTATATGTGCCACATTTTCTTTATCCAGTCTATCATTGATGGGCATTTGGGTTGGTTCCAAGTCATTGTTATTGTGAATAGTGCCACAATAAACATATGTGTGTGTGTGTCTTTATAGTAGAATGATTTATAATCCTTTGGGTATATACCCAGTAATGGGATTGCTGGGTCAAATGGTATTCCATGTCTTCATCATCATTAGAATGACTTTTTAAAGTTAACATGGTTTTCGGAGTACAATGTCTTCACTGTAGTGTAAGATGTTTGAAATATCATGCTTTGGGGAAATCTCTGTATTATACTATCTCTGGATATTTATCTCAAGCTACAAGTACCCAATGGCATAACATTAGGATTGTTGAATATTTTAGTCCCATATGCTATATTTGTAGTCATAACTGACAGCTTTTCAAAGTGATCTTTAGAAGACTTGTTTTCAGTGACATCCCGCAGTTGGAATTGAGAGTTCATAGTTCCAGGAATAATTGCTCTGTGTTAAATTTTGTTGCCCCTCCCTACTTCCCTCCCTCTCTTTTGTCTTATTCATATAGGTGACCTTTATAAGCTTTGAAAAACTAGCTTTGATTGAGGTCATCTCAGACTTATATATTTTTCCCCAAACAGTATTTTGTTGTTCAAATAAATTAATGGAGAGAGCATCTTAAAATATGAGGGATTTTAGAAGTATCTGAATATAAGTTGACTCATTCTTTTCTTAGGTATAGTTTTACAGGACTGCAGTTGCCATCTTTATAATATCCACATGACTGTTCCAAGTGTAAACATATTTATCTTAAGAACTGTGTCATGCCTAAGAGCCATTCGTAGGTTGCCGCTTGTCTGTAAACTGGCCTACTTGTCCTTATGAATAATGAGGGCTGACTAAACTTGATTGAAACGTGAGGAACTTTGTGTTTGTAAAAGTTAGCAGTGTTTCTTATTTCAAGGGTTTTATGGCATTCTCTTGCTTATTCTATTAAACCTTTTATTCTTTAAACCTTACAGTGGGCCATATGTATGAAGTTTATAAAGTATTAATGATCTTCTTAACCAAAACAAGAAAAAAATTCCAAAGAGTTCCCAGTTCTCTACTGTTTTATCATCTCAAAAGTTTAAATAAGATGTTCTGCTGCCATTGTTGTTTTTACTGTTTACTATATTAGCACTTTCTCTGATGTGCTTTGGAGGTTGATTGATGAATTTCTTAGGCGTTTTGCTGGAATTAATTTATGGGTGTTTGACTAGATGGTGAAGAGTAGACTGAGAGAATCTTCAAGTGACCATGTCATTGTTTTCTTGCTGTCTTGTCTTGGTGATTAAGATGCAATTCTTTTTAAAACCAAATGGCACTGGTTATCATGTTTCCCAAATCAGAAATCTATTTTAGTTAATATTTTAAAGAAATATGAAGCCACAGCAAAAACCAGTATTATTTTTACTACAGAGTGTTAATGGATGTAAAGAGGTTAGCGAGATATAGTGTTTAATTAATGATGTTTATTTTCACTATATTTAATGAATAATCTTTTTATCTCCTTTAAAGAAAAATAATGTTTATTGGTTAAAGGTAAGAAATAATAGTTAAGACACCAATTTAATTTCAAGATCTTTGACTGTATTATGCATTGTACAATGGATTTCACTTTTCATGAAATGCCTCAGTTTTCCTACTTTTATTTTTGTTTTTTATTACCATTCAACTTATGGTTTTTCTACCTTTAAAATAAAGATAATGATGAATAAAAATAAAAACATAACATTGTATAAAGCAATACGTTTTTGTTCACTTTTGTTAACTTTAAAATGTATGTAGATATATTAATATATCACAACAATAGCATAAAGGATAAGGGAGGGAATGGAGTTATATTGGAGAAAATCTTCTATATTTTATTGTAATTAGATTAGTATTAAACTGAGGTAGACTGTGCTAAATTAAGATACATTTTATGATCCCTTGAACTACTGCTAAGAAAGTCATTCGATAAATATAATAAAAATCAATCAAGGATTTAAATGATAGATTAAAATTTTTTATTGCAAAAGAGGACAATAAAGGCGGAACAGGAGACTAAGAAGGACAGGGGACATGAAGAAAACATGGCAAATTTAAACCCAGCTGTATCAATAATCACATTATATGTAGATGTTCTAAACACTTCAATCAAAAGGCAGAGATTGTCAGATCAGATTAAAAAATAACCAGATCCAATTATGTACTCTCTACAAGAGACATATCGTAGATTCAAAGATACAAATAGGTTAAAAGTAAGAAGATAGAAAAAGATATGCCATGCAGACAGTAAGCACCAGAGAGCTGGAGTAACTATATTAAATTTCAGACAAAATACAGCAAAGATAAGAAATATTACTTGAGATAAATAGAACCATTTCAAAATGATAAAAGGATCAAGACATCAGAAAGACATAGCAATTGGAAATGTATACACACCTAAAACAGGTCTCAAAGTATGTGAAGCAAAACTAACTGAATTAAAAGGAGAAATAGGCAATTCACCAGTAACTGATTTCAGTATTCCACTCTCAATAATTGATAGAACAGCTAGACAGAAAATAAAATGGGATATAGAAGACTTGAAGAACACTCTCAGCCAACTCTACCTAACTCACATGTAAAGAATACATATTTTTTCAAGTACACATGGAACATTCTCCAGAATACGTCATAAGGGAGGCCATAAAATAAATCTCAGTTCATCTAAGAGGACTGATACCATACAATGTGTTTTCTAATCACAATGCAATTAAAATTGAAATTAACAACAAAAGGAAATCTGGAAAATTCCCAAATTTTGGAAATTAGGCAACACACAGCTAAATACCTACTGGGTCAAAGAAGAAATCACAATAGATTTTTTTTTTTTTTTTTTTGAGATGAAGTCTCATTCTGTCACCCAGGCTGGAGTGTAGTGGCGCCATCATCTCGGCTCACTGCAACCTCCACCTCCCAGGTTCAAGCGATTCTCCTGCCTCGGCCTCCCGAGTAGCCACCATGCCCGGCTAATTTTTTGTATTTTTAGTAAAGATGGGGTTTCACCATGTTGGCCAGGCTGGTTTGGAACTCCTGACCTCAGGTGATCCACCTGCCTCAGCCTCCCAAAGTGTTGGGATTACAGGCGTGAGCCACCACACCCGTCCAGAAATCAAAGTAGATTTTAAAATATTTTGGAGTGAAAGAAAATGAAAATGTAACATATCAAAATTATAGAATATTAAAATTATAGAATGCAGATAAGGCAGTATTTAGAAGGAAATGTATAGCTTTCAACACCTATATCAAAAAGAAGAAAATCTGAAGTGGATAACCTGAGCCTCAACCTGAAGAAACTACAGAAAGAAGGACCAATTAAAACCAAAGTGAGTCAATGAAAGGAAATAATAAAGATTAGAACAGAGCTCAATAAAACAGAAAACAGAAAAGCAATAGCAAAAATCAGTTTATTAGATTTGTTAATCTTTCCAAAGACTAAAGGATTTATTAATCTAAAGACTAGACTAAAAGTTTAGTCTTTGAAAAGATTAATAAATTTGACAAGCCTTTAACTAGATTGATCAAGAAAAAAGAGAAGATAAAGATTAGCAAAATCAGGAATGAAAGAAAGAGCAGTGCTATGGCTCCTGCAGAAGTTTATAAGGATTATAAAGAAATGTTATGACAGTCTTTATGCCAATAAATTAGATAATTTAGATGCAGTGAACAATTGTCTTAAAAAGATACAAATTATCAAAACAGAAGATCTGAATAGACCTATAATTTAAAAATTGAATTAGGCTGGGCGCAGTGGCTCCAGCCTGTAATCTTAGCACTTGCGGAGGCCAAGGCAGGCAGATCACTTGAGGCCAGGAGTTCGAGACCAGCCTGGCCATCATAGCGAAACCCCATCTCTACTAAAAATACAAAAATTAGCCAGGCATGGTGGCACACCCCTATAGTCCCAGCTACTCAGGAGGCTGAGGCATGAGAATTGCTTGAACCCAGGAGGCGGAGGTTGCTGTGAGCTAAGATCATGCAACTGCACTCCAGCCTGGGCAAAAGAGCAAGACTGTTTCAAAAAATAATAATAATTGAATTAGTAATTTTAAATATTTCCATAAAGAAAATCCCAGGCCAAGATGATTTCACTGGTGAATTCTATAAAATGTTTATAGAAGAGATAACATCAATTCTTCCCATACTCTTTCAGAAAATAGATGCCAATATTCTATATGAACAAGCAGTATTATTCTGATACCAAAGTCATACAGAGACATAAGAAAGCGACAGACCAATATTCTTCATGAATATAGATGTAAAAATTCTTAATCATATTAGCATACTGAATCCAGCCACCCATAAAGAAGATTATAAATTCCAATTAGAATTTATCCCAGAAATGGAAGGTTGGCTTAACATCTGAAATCAGTCAATGTAAGGTACCATAATAAACAATAAAATCATAGAAGATAAAAACCCTATATGATCATTTCAAGATTCAGAAAAAGCATTTGACAGACAACACTCACTGACAATAAGAAATATCGGCCAGGCACAGTGGCTCACACCTGTAATCCCAGCACTTTGGGAGGCCGAGGTGGGCGGATCACAAGGTCAGGAGATTGAGACCATCCTGGCTGACACAGTGAAACCCCGTCTCTACTAAAAACACAAAAAATTAGCTGGGCATGGTGGCAGGTGCCTATAGTCCCAGCTTCTCAGGAGGCTGAGGCAGGAGAATGGTGTGAACCTGGAGGCGGAGCTTGCAGTGAGTCGAGTTTGCACCACTGCACTCCAGCCTGGGTGACAGAGTGAGACTCCATCTCAAAAAAAAAAAAAAAGTTTAAAAAAAGAAATCTCAACAGACTAGGAATAAAAGGGAATTTTTCCAACCTGATAAAGAGCATCTACAAAAACCCACAGCTAATATCTTATTCCACGGTGAAAAGCTGAATGTTTTCTCCCCAAGACTGGGAACAAGGCAAAGAAGTTCTACTCTGACATCTATTCAACATTGTACTGAAGGTTTTAGCCAGTGTGATCAGGCAAGAAAAAGAAGTAATAGGCATCCAGATTGGAAAGGAAGAAATAAAACTATCTTATCTGACAACCTATAGGTAGAAAATCCTAAGGAATGCGCACACACACACACACACACACACACACACACACACAAAAGCTACTAAAACTAACAAACATGTTTAGAAGGGTCACAGGATGCAAGATCAGCATTTAAAAATCTATTGTATTTCTATATACTGAGAGTGAACAACCTAAAAATTAAATTAAGAAAGAATTCCATTTACAGTAGCATCAAAAAGAATAAAATAGTTGGGTATAAATTTAACAAAATAAGTATAAGACTTGTACAATGAAAAGTACAAAAATTGCTGAGAAAATTAAAGATCTAAACAAATAGACATTTACATATTTATGGTTTAGAAGATTCAGTGTTGTCAAGAGGGCAGTTCTCCCCAAAATGATCTATAAATTCCACACAATTCCTATCCAAATCCCAGCAGACTTTTTTTTAGAAATTAACAAGCCAATCCTAAAATTTACGTGGTAATGCAAAAGACCTAGAAATAGCCAAACCAATTTTGAGAAAGAACTAACTTTGAGGACTTAGACTGCCTCATTTCAAAACTTATAAATCTGTAGTAATCAACATAATACAATATTGGCACAATATCTACAGGGATATAGACCAAAGGAACACAATTAAAATTCTAGGGAAAAAGCCTCACATTGATTGGCAATGGATTTTCAACAAAGATGCCAAGACAGCCTTTGATTGCTGAGACAATTAGAAATTGATATGCCAGGGCCGGGTGTGGTGGCTCACACCTGTAATTCCAGCACTGTAGAAGGCTGAGGTGAGAGGATCGCTTGAGCCCAGGAGTTCAAGACCAGCCTGAGCAACATGACAAAATCCCATCTGTACAAAAAATACAAATAAAAATTAGCCAGCGTGGTGATGTGCACCTGTAGTCCCAGCTACTAGAAAGGCTGAGGTGGGAGGATTGCTTAAACCCAGGAGGTTGAGGCTGCAGGGAGCCAAGAGTGTGCCACTGCACTCAAGCCTGGGCAACAGAGTGAGACCTTGTCTCAAAAATAAATCCATATGCCAAAAAAAAAAATTAGAGCCACACCTCAGACCATACATAAAAATGAAATGAACTCAAAATGGATCATAAGCCTAAGTATAAGGGTTAAACTATAAACTCTCAAAAGAAAAATAGAAAATCTTCATGCTTTGGGGTTAAGCAAAGAGTTCTTAGAAATGATACCAAAAGCACAGCCATAATAGAAAAATTGAGAAATTGGAATTTATAAAAATTAACAATTTCTGCTCTTTGAAACATGATCTTAAGAGAATGAAAAGACAAATGACAAACTGGGAAAAAATATTTGCAAATCATATATATGACAAAGGACTTGTATCTAGAACTAAAAAAAATTATTAGAACTCAATAAAACAACCCAGTGTAAAAGTGGACAAAAGATTTGAATAGATATTTTGCTTAAGAATATATAAAAGGGGCTAATAGGCACATAAAAAGATGCCCAACTTTGTTAGTCACTAGGGAAATGCAAATTAAAAGCACTGTGAGATACCACTAGTGTTATACCCGCTACAATGGCCATAATCAAAAAAACAGACAATACTGCTGGGCACAGTCACATGCACCTGTAATCCCAGCTACTTGTGAGGCAGAGGATGGCAGGGAAGGACTGTTTGACAACAGGAGTTTGAAGTTTGAGACTAGCCAAGGCACCATAGCAAGACCCCTTTCTCAGAAAAAAAAAAAGACAATATCAAATGTTGGTGAGGATGTGGAGAAACTGAAACCCTCATACGTTGCTGGCAGGAATATAAAATGGTAGAGCCTCTTTGGAAAACAGATTGATAGTTTCTTTAAAAGTTAGACATAAACTTACCATATGGACCTGCAATATCAGTCCCTGAAATCTACCCAAGAAAAATTAACATATTTACACACATAGACATGTACACAAATGTTCATAGGAGCATTATTCGTAATAGCCAAAAACTGGGAACAATCCAAATATCTATCAACTGGGGACTGAATAAACCAAATGTAGTATATCCATACAACAGAATAGTATTCGGCAATAAAACAGAATTGAAGTCTTCTTATATGCTTACCACTTGAGTGAACTTTGAAAACATTATGCGGCCAGGCGCAGTGGCTCAAGCCTGTAATCCCAGCACTTTGGGAGGCTGAGACAGGTGGGATTGCTTGAGCTCAGGAGTTTGAGATTACCCTAAGCAACACAGCAAGACCTCATCTCTACCAAAAAAAAAAAAAAAAAAATCAGCCTCAGCATGGTGGTATGTGCCTGTAGTCCCAGCTACTTGGGAGGCTGAGGTGGGAGGATTGCTTGAGCCTGGGAGGTGGAGGCCACAGTGAGCCGAGATCAAGGCTGCAGTAAGCTGTGATCACACCACTGCACTCCAACCTGGGCAAAAGAACGAGACCCTGACTCCAGAAAGAAACAAAGAAATAAAGACATTATGCTAAGGGAATGATGTCAGACACAAGGAACAATTTGTATGATTCTGTTTATATGAACTATCCAGAAAAGGCACACTGGTAGAGAGAAAAAGCAGATTGTAGGGCTGGTGTGAGAGTGATGATTAACTGCAAACTGGCACAAGAGAACTATTTGTAGTGATGGAAAGGTTCTAAGACTGGATTGTGGTGGTGGTTGCCCAACTTTATGAACTTACTAAAAATCATCCAATAATATACTTATTGCAGGTGAGTTTGTGGTATGTAATTTATACTTCATTTTTAAAGGATTTTTCTCACTTTTTTGACCTTCTGTGCTTAAATTTTGAGAGCTCTTCTAAGTCCTTATGTGACAACAATTGATTTGTTTACACTGTCATTAAGCTGTCTGATTTATGCATTTAATATCTATCTCATAAGAATAACAACTTTTAAAGAAATACCTATTTATATACATACCTTTGTTTCAAATTTATTCTTCCAACACCTCTTTGGGTTTCTCAGTTCCAGCTAAATGGCTTTTGATTCTCAACTGAAGTTTACTATTCATTGTAAGTTACTGTCTTTTGTTTGACAGATATTTTTCTGGATGACATTAACTTTTAGAAACCACACCATGGAACAATTTTTTATATATTTTTGATGTCTTTTGTTAAATTCTTTAATGTATTTTCTCAATGAAAATATAAAGTCTTATTTCTGAAATGTATCTTGATTTTAATTATATGCTTATCTTTCCTTTTAAAATAGAATATGCTTCTCTGGGATCACTCTATGATTACATTAACAGTAACAGAAGTGAGGAGATGGATATGGATCACATTATGACCTGGGCCACTGATGTAGCCAAAGGTAATAATATTTGGTATATTCTTATAGAATTAGTGGGGTGCATTTTCCCCTCCTGAAATGGGGACTTAACATCAGAAAATGTTTTATTCTGTCTTTAGATGTTCTTTTTCCAGACCAAAAGTAGTAAGAATTCCACAGCTGATGGTACAGATAATATTTTAGGTCATTGCCTTTCCACTCCTGAATTCCTTTTATCTTCCTCTTAAGACTCTACTTTATTTCTATCCACGAAATCTAGTTGTAGCTTCAGGGCAGACATGTTTGTCATGTTTTGTGATATTATAATTGACTAGCTTGCTTGACACATTAAATGGAAAAATCATAGTTCTGTTGTTCTGAAAGTCTCTACTTAGACTCAGTATCCAGAAAACATGATTTATTGTAGGATTAGTTCTACTCATTTTGTATACATAATATGCTAAAAATAGAAACCACTTGCAAAAAAAATTTTTATTTGTCCTGCCATGTAAAAGCAATTCAGATTTTATTTTACATTTAATGTAAACTTACTTAGGCATCGCTGTTGGAATTAAATATTTTTAATACACCAAACCCCTAAACAAAGTGCCCAGTCTTTTTTCTCATACATTCTTGCATAGATGAATGCTTTCTAAAGCAATTCAAACTTCATTTATTTTTATCTTTTTTTTTTCCATTTTCCTAACTGAACATTTCTGGGCTTTATTTATAACTGTCAGAGTTGCTTTGGAAACAACTTCATCTAAATAATGAACACCGATAGTTATATTTGTATTCTAGCAACCCCTACAAAGTGTGTCTGAATTTTCCTGGGGCAATTAACTCCTCTACATTTTACTACTCCATTCTCTACAAGCATCTCTTTACAAAGCAAATATAATGTGATTTAGCACTCAGTAAGGGGAGCAACTCATACGTTGATTTCACTGTGTGACTTCCAAAAGTAGCAGTCTTTCCTTTGGGGAATTGTCTATTTTAAGTTTCATCAACACCTACCAAATTCTTCAAATAGGGAAAGTGAAAAAAAATTTTTTTTGAGTTTCATGCTAGATGCTGCTGCTGAATGATGCCTCATTACATTATAAAAATAATAAGCTCTGTGTTTAGGGTGGTGTACCTGAGACTTTATGTTAATTTGCTTAATTGTGTATTGATGCATCGGGCATCTCAAATCATGCTTAAACTTTCATATTCTTAAAGATATTTTCATGTAATATCATAGTGACTTCTCTGTATGTCAGTAGAACACAAGGACCAGCTCTCTGTAAGCAAGGTGATGTGCCTTTATTGGAGGCTGCCTGAGCATTGTGGAAATACCCTTAAATAATGTAAATGCATATATAGGTAGTACTTAACTTACAGCACATCACCTTACACACGTTTGCATTTAGGGTGCTCAGCCAGTTACACCCATGTTATTACTTTATTGGCACTTAGAATAGATAGACAGCAAACAAAACAGCTAACATCAGTCACTCTGCTTCCTGCTGTGCTCTACTTAAGCATCCCTGATTCCCAGCCTGGGAAACTCTTCTCCCTGCACCCCCTTAACCACATGCCACATCATCCCGACTGAGGGATAAGTCTCTTGGCTCCACATCAGCTGAGTCATTCTTGGTGTTTTCTCAAGAGTGCTAGTGCTCTGCATCAGAAGGGCAAGGAAGAGAAGGAATCGAATTAGGTAGCAAACTGGGCCTGGTGCAGTGGCTCATGCCTATAATCCCAGCACTTTGGGAGTCCCAGGCGGGTGGATCACTTGAGGCCAGGAATTTGAGATCAGCCTGGCCAACAAGGCGAAACCCTGTCTCTACTAAAAATACAAAAAATTAGCTGGGCGTGGTGGTGCACTACTCGCCTATAGTCCCAGCTCCTTGGGAGGCTGAGGCAAGAGAATCGCTCAAACCCCAGAGGTTTGCAGTGAGCCAACATCAAGCCACTGCACTCCAGCCAGAGTGAGACTCAGTCTAGAAAAAAAAAAAAAATTAGGTAGCAAACTGGTACCAGAGTTAAAAATAAGGAAGGAGAGGCCAGGCACGGTGGCTCACGCCTATAATCCTAGCACTTTGGGAAGCCGAGGAAGGTGGATCACCTGAGGCCAGGAGTTCAAAACCAGCCTGACCAACATGGAGAAACCCTGTTTCTACTAAAAATACAAATTTAGCCAGGCGTGGTGGCGCATGCCTGTAATCCCAGCTACTCAGGAGGCTAAGGCAGGAGAATCACTTGAACCTGGGAGGCGGAGGTTGCGGTGAGCCAAGATTGGGCCATTGCACTCCAGCCTGGGCGACCGAGTGAGACTCTGTCTCAAAAAAATAAAAAAAGGGAAGGAGAGAATGGGATTGGACCCACTGATGGTGTCCAAAACTGCAGATTAATAAAATCCCTTTTGCCTGTCTGGCTAATGTGTTTGACCTCAGGTGAGAAGAGTGAGGCAGAGAAGAGGCTTGTATGTTTATGGACGCAAGTAATACTTAACATTTAAAAATCCTTTAAGATGGCCCATTAAAAAAAAAAAATCAAGGCTTTAGGAATGACTTCAGCTTTCTCTGATAAGCTGGGTGTAGAACTTAAGAATTTAAGAGATTAAGTAGGAAGCCTTGATTTTTGTTGATTCTGTTTCAAATTCAGCTATGTACCTTTCAGTTTAACCTATGATTGAATCCACTGGAGCAATGATATGTTGAGAAATCAGAGAATGAATATTTTAAGCAAAGGTTGATTCATGCATTTTAAAATAGGCATTGCTCAGCATCATTGCTGTTGAGACAATATCTTCTCACAAAAAAGATTCTCTTCTTTCTAGATGTGAGGATAATGGAGGGTGGACCAGCAAGTATATCTGAAATTGCTGCAAGCTAATCAGCAATGCTTAAAAGGAACAATTAAAGCAGATAAACTCCAATCCAGTTTCAAAATGGTCACCACTCATTCCAGTTCTCCCCAAAAGTCTCCTCAGTTACACCTGCCAATTCTTTTTTTAAGGAAACCCTGAATGTACACCTGATGAAAGTATTTTTCAGCCTTCTTAATTGTTTGCAATAAATATAAGGCAGAATTATAGATGGATCTACAAAAACATTAAATAGAATTTTATGTGTGTGTGATGACTATTGTTTATATGAAATATTATTTAAATGTATACTATGCATCGTACACTAATACTTTATGGTACTTTTTTCTTATAATCTTCCATGAGGAAGGAAAGTGCCTATATTTAAAGCTTTTGTATTTGAGTCTTGTTTTTTGAAATCCTTACTTGTCAGCAAGTGTAGAAACTATCTCTACCAGTAATAGTAATTATACAGATTCTACCTGAAAAATTATTCAGGAATTTGATTCTAAAGCAAGAGAGAGGTAACTATGAAATCCAGTCATATAGATTATTAAATGCTACCCAAGTTGTAACTATTGAATTTTTGCAGTTTGAGGGATGTAGAACTTCTTATCAGAAGAGAAATTTCCTTTATCCCAGTTACATCTTATTTAAGATCACATAATTACTAATACTTGTGTTAACTTGACTCTTCAGTGATATCATTCAGTGATATCATTAAAAGGCAAGAGTTTAAATTTTCTTTGTCCTTTCATGATTCTTCAATATATCATAATTAAAATAGAAGAATAAAGATTTAAAAATTAACCTCTCTATATGCTTTAAAAAGCCTAAGCCTCTTATTAAATTATTTTCAATGCATTGTTCATTTTAAAAAGAAGCCTATTTGATTTGGAGGTGAGGGGGAGGCTATTTCTGCCATTAGTTAGAAAAAACAACTTGAGAAATAAAGAGGATATATTTTAGTAGAAAATCATCCTTTTTTTATTCTAAAGGGGTAGACAATACGTAAATACAGAAAGAGTCAAAAACTACTAAGGTGGTAACCATAAAATGTGTCTTTAAAGTATAATTTTATATTCAAAATAATAAAGCTCTATAAATATGATGGAAAGAATTTTGGAGTATGTTGAAATACAGATTATCTCAAAGATTTATCCTTGTAAAAGGAATGAAATACTTTGTAACTACTGTATACTTTTTTATCTGAAGATCATAAAATTATTTACCAACCGTAACTAATCAGTCCTCCCAGTTCTCCCCACCACTACCCCACATCCACTCCCAGGTCTTGTTGGAATGGGTACTGAGAAAAAGCCAAGCTGCAGCCAGGTAACCATAGACATCCAGAACTTCGGTAACTGGACATCAGAATCTGCAGTTGGGTACCTGCAGACAACCAGATGAAAACCACAAATTTTACTCAGAACTTTGGCAGATTTAGAAGGTAGTTGGTAGCGGAATACCTTAGTCGTGGAGCCCTCCTTTCAGTGGTTACTGTGCTATTTTCATGCAGACTGCAGAAAATTAAGGTGTCCTTATTAGGTATTGTAAGAAGCTAGATTTACCCACAGTCAAATTCCAACCTCTAAGAGATTAAAGCTTATAAATTTGACTTCACATATACATGTTACTAATGTAGACATATTCTGTTTTCATTTTATCAGTCATGGAAGAATAAGACATGTGAATTAGTTTCTGCTCTTGAGTTCTTTGAAAAACTATGAAAGGTAATACTGATGTAATGTTGAAAAATATTAATAGGCCTTTATTTCTTCTTGTGTGAAAAGGAATGCATTATTTACATATGGAGGCTCCTGTCAAGGTGATTCACAGAGACCTCAAGTCAAGAAACGGTAATGTAGTTATGTTTTTATTTTACCTATTTTATTACAAATTACATACACTTGCATGTAGAAATGAGCATCATTCTTTTACATATCTTTTGTAACCTACTATTGGACTCACTGCTGATACCATGGAAGCCTTTCTACTGTCAATAAATAACAAAAATCTCAATATTATTTAAAGAAGCTGCATAGTATTTCACTGTATAAATATAGCCCAGAATGTGGACATTTGAATTGTTTACATTTTTTCTCTGATAAGAAATGTTGGGCTTAATATTTCAGCCAAATTTTTCAAGACATCCCTAATTATTTCCCTAGAATCATTTTCTAAAAGAGATACTGCTGTGTCAAAGTATGCAGTCATATATTTTTAGTCTTCTATTTTTAGGTGGCTTTGTGCACTATCAATTTTGAATTTTGTTCTTGTTGCATCTGAATTGCGTGGTGTGAATTGTTGATGCCAGTCATGCCTGTATTACCTGGAGTAGTGCCCAGAAATGAGCCACATGATTGGAAGTTTGGAAAGTAAAGGCTCTCTTTTTCTTCTTTCTCTTCTTCTGTACTTTCTAAAGCTTATTTATGGCCCTGTATCTTATAATTTGGAGGGTGAGCATTTTAAAATAACTTGCAGGATTAGACATTACCTTCAAGTAGGAGTGGTAACAGAATGCTTCTTCTGTTACATCACTTCAGAGTTATCTGAGAAAGGCAGTAGCATTATAGCACTAGCTAAAGTAAACATCAGAGTTTGCCACTTTTCTGAATACCCTCCAATCAATTAATTATTTACATGCTTTCTAAATGCTCCTTCTCAGTAAGGAGGAAGCGAACTATCTATTTTTAGGAGATCTTTAATTAAAACGAGTATATGCTAATAGTGTGATCCTTAGAATGGGTGGTGATGACAAGTAGTGGAAGAGAACCAGGGAATGAATCGATCAGGTACCCTTGCACGTGCCTCAGGACTGTGAGGTTTGTGTGTGTGAGTGTGTGTGTGTTTAGCAGGGGGTGAAGGGATGGGGGCGGGGAGGGAAGTTATCAGCACCTGCCACTTATCAGTAGTCCAGGTTGGACCACCAATTTAACCCTGTCTGATTGTCCTTTCCTCTTCTAGGTTATCATGTATTCTTTGGTTCTTCTTAGACTTAAGCTTCCTGGAACTAAGCACTTTTGATATATGGTCAGCTAACAGGAAGTCATTAGGAAATAATCTAGGCTGTAGTAGAAAAGATCAGAGTTTTATGAATTTGTAAATTTTCAGTTCATGCTCAGAATTTCAATTTAACTATGTTATTTGACTTCAGTATATCTTAAATCTTCTACAAAAGAGGAATGATTAACTAAATTATGGATTTTTCCCTGCTATCATTATGAAGACTATATAACAATGGAGAGTGTCCCCATTTTAAAAAGTTACAGTTATATGTATTATAGTTACTAAATAGGAACACACATACACTGATATTGAAAGAATATAGACCTAACTTATAGCAATTCTTTTTCCCTTGGAAAGGTAACCAGAGTTTCACTTTCTATGTTATGTATTTTTATAATGGCAGTTTTTCTAGTGAGCACTTGTTAATCTTATAATGAGAAAGCTGAATATAAAATTAATAATATTTACATTTCTATTTGTAAAAGTTTGTAGCTTATTACTTATAGTACCAGGTTTACCCTGAGGCTATTTTCAAATATTAGATCATACAAAGATCATTTTCCCTCCTTGGTAAAATCATCAGTAACTAGTAAGTATTGATCATCTATCATGTTCAAGGCACTGCACGGTTTACAAAAGAAACATCTGAAACAGTTCTTCAGAACTTTATCCTTGGACTCATCTCCTCTTATGCTCTGAGTCTTGCACTCCCATAAAAGCCCTATTTACATATTAACACTCAAAAACAGATCTCAACTTCAAAACTATTTTTCTATCTGCTGATTAGACACATCCACATAGATATTTTTTAAGACACTAAAATATATTATGTCCAAATTAATCTTTTCATTTTCTCCCTAACCCCGAAAAATCATCCCTGCATTTCTTTTACTGAGTGGCAATACTGTTTGCCCAAGCCAGAAATGAGATAAATAGTAGTTACAGTTTAAAGCCAGAGCTCCTATTCTAACCATTAATCTGTATTGCTTCTTTATCTGATTTTATCCTTGAGTTCGCTTCCTTCTCCCCCAATATCCAGCCATTCATTAAGCCTAGGTGATCCTACATCCTAAATATTTTTTGACTCGGTCAACTTTTCTCCTGTCCTTTGCCACTGCCTTAGTACAGATGTCCTCATCTGTCTCCTGGACCACAAAACCTTGAGTGCCAAGTGATGCCCTTGCCTCCAGGTCTATTCTTCTCTGACATAGTCTCCCCTCTGCACCTTTGCTCATTTCATCCCTCCACATAAAATTGTTCATTGGCTTTCTCTTTCTCTTCTTGACCTGGCACCTACCTTCCAAAATTGCCATACATTTTTTGTCTGCTCCTGAGTTTTTGCATAGGCTCTCTCTTCTGCCTAGGAAACTACTTTCCTCCCTCAGCTCTCCTCTTCCTGGTTAACTCCTGTGTTTTTCAGGTTTTAGCATAAGCATCATTTCTTACAGGAAACTTCATCTGACCGCCCTCGACACAGATATCATTGTTCTTTGGCTCTATAGTATTGTTTCTCTCATCATGGAATCTATCCCAGTTTGTTGTAGATGTTTATTTAATTGTCTCTCTGATAAGAATATAAACCCCCTGAGAGCAAAGACAGTGGCAGACTTGCTTACAGTCCTGTTCCACAGCATTATACATGGCGTTACCCACAGTAGCCTCAGCAAATATTTATTAAATGAATGAATGTATGAACAAGTGAATGAATGAATATTCTCTCCACCTTTAACAAAAATCACTCAGTTGGGAGGAAACCATATATATAATATGAAGTAGTAAAGCTAATGACTACCTCAGTATCACATTGGCAGTACATGGGCAGAACCCAGGTAAAAATTTGGTTCTCCTAACTACTACTAATTTGTGCCTTTCTTACTGGACAGTACTGCATTTGGATAAAACAAGTGTCTCAGAAGCCTTTTTAATCAGTACCTAATGGAATTAAGTTTTTGTTTTAATGTCAGCCCCCTTTTGCAAAATCCTCAATGCTGTAAATACATTGATTTCACCTTTCATAATCCCATATTGAAGACAGAAATAGAAGTTTATGGTTTTTTTCAGTAGAAGACAGCTCAAACAAATTAGATGATTGTCATAATTTATCCTTTTTTCTTTTTTTAGTTGTTATAGCTGCTGATGGAGTATTGAAGGTAGGACTATTTCTTTTACTTAAAAAAATTGTTAATTTCAGATGTAGATTTTTGTAACTGATAATCCCTTAATTAGCCAATAAGTAGAAAGTTGACACTGATTCCTGTTTTCTCAGATCTGTGACTTTGGTGCCTCTCGGTTCCATAACCATACAACACACATGTCCTTGGTTGGAACTTTCCCATGGATGGCTCCAGAAGTTATCCAGAGTCTCCCTGTGTCAGAAACTTGTGACACATATTCCTATGGTGTGGTGAGTTCATTTCTCATTTCTTGTTTACTAAGGGAAATACAAAAAGCAAACACTCAAAAGAAGAGAGATACAGTTTAACATGGTTTTATTTTTATTTGAGACTGTACTGCTGGTGGAATGCCTAAAGCAGCACCATTGGAGAACGCTTCCTAGTTGCCAAAATGTTTAATCATTTTTAATCATCGGAGTTATTTTGTCCTGTGTTGAGAAGAAACCAACACCACTTCCAAGAAACAAATTAAATGGAATCCGAGATAGTGTTGGGCTCCGCTTTGCCTGTGAGAATGATTTTTTGCAGGGTGGTAATGTGACTGTGGACTCTCTCTGTAATTTCAATGGAAATGTGGATCATTTGGAACAGGACTTCATTGTAATGGATTGCTTAAACAGTATAAAATCACCAATAGATCTGCCAAGCGAGTTAATTACCAGGAAACTTTTGAGTCTCAACTATTAAACTGATTCATCGGTTTCTAAAAGTCCAAAAGAAAATGTACTTAGCACTTACCAGATGACCTTGTCCATGTCTGCTGCCAGTCTTAGAGTAGCAGTGACTATCTGAAGCGTGACTCTAAGGCATTACATAAGAATCACAGCAGAGCCACATAGAGAATAGACTAATGAGGGGGTGGAGTGCTCAAGGAAGAGACCACAGGAATGAATCCGTTAAGGAGCAGAAGCTCCTGGAGGAGGAATTTGGAGATGGGCCATTTCCTGAGGAATAGGTTATACCTGCATTATCAGAGAGAAGGAAGTGGAGTGGGAGAGTTCTTTGCTGGAGGAAGGAATTCATTTGTTGCCTTTTGTTGAGGATAAACTTTTCCCTAAAATGTTACGTATTCTTTAAAAAGTCCAAAATAGTTTTGGAATTCCCTGTCTTTACATCTCATACTGCCCTGCTATTTATACTATTATACTGCCCTGCTGTTTATACTATTACTTCCTAAAAGGGCATTTTCATAGTAATGGGTAAAGAAGCAGCCTGTTTTAGGTCCAAATCAGCCTGTCTCTTCGTCCTGAACTTCTGTGTTTTCTTACTGCAGGTGGTAGCCAATGACACAAGAGGAGATTCACGTTGTCAGACCTGTTTTGTTTTGTTTTGTTTTCTTTATTCGGTCTCTAGGTATTTAATGCTGGCTTCACAGGTTTTGGACTTGTTTCAGTGACTAGCTTTTTGTAAATCATAACACATCCTATGTATACCAAATTAATAAAGATTAATTTTGTTAGCTATTGAAAAAATCATTTCAAGAATGAAATATGTTTTTGACCGAAGGCTAGAATTTTAAAGGTCAGAAGGCAAGAGTAACATCAGGCTTAATACCTGATATCCAAAAAAAGAAAAAAAATCAATACCTGATATCCCTTGATTCTGGTTTCTTAAGAATGAAGACTATAAGCTATTACAGTGATCAAATATTTCTCATAAGTTTCAGAGGAGACTAGCTTATAAAACTGGTCTCCTATGTCAAATGTTACTACATTCTAACCATCATACATTCATCTGTGGGATATTCTGAAAATGGGGTATTTGTAGCAATTTAAGACTCTTTGTAAGATTGTTTTCTCTTGTGAAAGTGCATTCCTTCATTTATAACCAAACGTTTATTTACTGAGGCACACACCACCTGAGAGTAATTTAAATTTTTCTTAGCCTGCTTGTTGGGAACGGCCTCTCGTTTTGTCCTGTTGAAATAGGAACAAGCAAACTTTTTCTAGAAAGGACCAGATAATATATATTTTTGGCTTTGAGGGCCACTTACAGTCTCTGTTGCATAGTCTTCATAGATGCCATAGTTGGCTTTTTGTTTCTTACAACCCATCAAACATGAAAAAGCCACTCTGTATTCTGCAGCAGGCCATCGTTGCGGGCACCTCCCTGGAACAAGAGGGCTTGGGAAGATGAGCAGCGTGGTTTAGGAACGTGGCTTGACCGTTCAGAGTGGCTCACCAGGAGCCCACTGCTCCCACTCCTTTAATGTGCATGTGTATATAAATGTATATAAACATGTTTGTTGGTGTTAGGTATATATGTATGTTGGTTATAGTTATTGTAGACTGTTACAGCTTTTAAATTGTTTGTCACATTTATATGAACTAGAAGACTTTTGAGGTTCATTTTTGCACTTATGAGTCCACACACATACAGTGCTTTTACTTTTAAAATTCTCCCCAAGTGTTTGAATTTCCTTATCTCAAAAATTTTTGACCTTAAGACACAACTATACATACATTGAACTTTTAGCCTCAACATTATTTCATATATGAAAACAAACTTTATGCTGCCTTCTTTCAAAGCCTTACAGTTGCCAGGGCTTTGGTGTGAAATGCCCCCCTCTGCTTTTCCTGAGATGAAGTACAATCTTAGTACCAGTAGCCAAGCACAAATTCCTTTTCACACATAAACTATAAAAGATGTTAAGAGTGACTTCTGTTTGGAGAGCTTAGGATTTTTTTCCTGTATCATTTTAAAATCTCTTCATACATTCCACATTGACCCCATTTCTTAAACATAGTTTGAGTCAACCTTTCTGGAGCTGCACATTTTCAGTGTTTTTTATTAAAAATCTTTTCACTTAAGAAACTATGCACCACATTTCAGTAGAAGGGCTTGAACACGTCTCTTTGTGGATTAGCTTTTCTCTCTACTTGTGTGCTGACCCTACCTTTGCTTAGTTTGGTTTGGTTTTGGAGGGATTTAACAAATGCTTAACAAACCATCCTATGGAGTAATTTCACTTACTGAAACAAACTCGACCACCAGCCACTGAGCATTTCCAGTGTTGCTCTGTATTTACACACTGGATGTTGCTCTGCAGAACCTGTCCACCCCATCATGTGATGTGGAATATCAATTCTGCATTCATGCTAGAGCCTTCCCTTACCTGGTGGAAACAGAAATGCCATTTCAGTGAGTGAGTCTATTTTAAAACAGCTTCTGCTGTGTGAGTCTTGAAGACAGAGGTTTGCTTGGAATGCTGGTTTGCCTCACAGAATGTTGTGTCAGCAGAATTCCATTCAGAAAAGTGTACAGATGCTAATTTAATTATAAACAAGAACTCAGGACTGTATAGGTTGATGCAAAAGTAATTGAAGTTTTGCCATTTAAAAGTAATGGCAAAAACTGCAATTACTTTTGCACCAACCTAATATTTAATTCTGACCTCTTCTCATTCTGTTTGTTCTAAATAAACACCATTAATGAGAGAAAAAATACGAGGTATGCTTTCCAGCGACTTTTTATTTAAACAACCACAGGTATTTTTTTAATGAAGAAAGCATTATGTGTTCAAAGTAGATGTTATAGAAAAGAGCAGGTGAGGATAGTTGTTAAGGTTGGGACCATGTTAGTTTTAGAAGTTTGTGGTCCATAAACTTGGAAAATGATACCTATTTTAATTCAAAATGTGGTTATTTTGAATTTTTTATGTCTTTTCAAAAATAGGTGAGTAGCCAAGACTCCTTTGTCAGTAGGAGCATTTATTTGCATTAAATATCCCATTGTTCATTGGGAGTCTGTTCTGTTCATTGAAACCCCCTCTACACACAGCAGTCACATACAGATGAATAAGACCATTAAAAAAAAGGTTTTTTTTTTAAAATCCACCCAAAAAACTGCAATATATTTTTGCTTTTTGTTTTTCTAATTTTTTAGACTGCTGTAAGAATTTAGCCCCTACTACTCCCAAAACCACCAGCCCTCCCCAGGTTGATAAACCTTTGTTGCTTCTTAACAAATGGCAAGACTCACTAACCTTGTACTGCCTTAAAATAAATGTGCTGTGAATGCCAGAAGTGGATTTTATGATCCTTGCTCTTAAGCTGGTAAACTTTGCTAGGGAGGCAATTGTTTCCCTCCATTTTATGAGAAATGAGATTTTTCTACCCTCTTATGAGAACTCTTGGAGGACTGAACCTGGAAGAGTGTTTAGTATGTTATCCACAAAAAAAGAAAAGCAAAAATCACTGAAAGAATAAGCCTTCTGAGAACACAAGGCCTAGCCTCTCTTTAAAAAAAAAAAAAAAAAAAAAGCTATTCTAATGACAATGCAGAAAGGATTACCTTCTTAGAAGCTTCTCAGCCAAAACCAGCCTTGAAAACATAGTGGCTTAAGAGACAGCATGGCTGCCTGGCTTGTCTGTGAGCACTGTTCCAGAACAAGCTGGGCTCAGGTAATGGCTTTCTATTGTTTGGAAAAGAAAGGGCAGAAAAAGTACGTAGTCTTTTCCAAGTTTCTATTCTGTAAACTGAAAACATAAATTTTCCTTGTGAGCACAGTTTAAATGTGAGGACGTCTCAATATAAAATGAGTCGGAAAATATTTTTAAGGTGAAAGATCACAATAATATTTGGCCTGAATCCTCATAACTGGTATTTTTAGGCATCATTTAATATATTTTTAGACCTCCAAGTGACTTCCTCAGTAAAGTTACTTTTGTATGCCAAATGTTATTTTTGTTTAGTGTGGAAAAAAAAAGCTGATGTCCTATCTTATACCACCTGCTTTTTGATACATCCCCAAATCCAGGGAATTAATAAAAGGAAATCATGAGATGTGCTGATACTGGAATTAAACTAAAGACCTCATTTGGGCTTCAGGACATAGCAGCTAATGACCCCACCTCAGACACTTTTACATCCATCAAGTAACTCCCTCAGCTGTAGTAGCTCTTCAGAGACACAGAGGGAGTCAAATGGAATTGGCTTATTTTTTTCTTTATTTTTCACGGTTAGAGCTCTCAGAGAAATATAACTTAAATTTTATTAGATTTTGGACATTTTCCAGCAGAATATTTTGGAATCAAGAATGACGTAAATGTTTTTCTGGTGTTGTCCCCCCAAACTCTTGGATTTGCAATTTACTTCACAAAATTCAGTCTGTGCATGTGTGCACACATGTACACGGCGTGTTTATCATACCTGCAGGCCAAACTCAGAAGAGGCACTGCTCATCTGTGCGTTTGGGGGTCTGGAGCGTTTGATTTATTGGAGGCTAACTCCCTGTTCCCATTCTCCTTAGGAATGCCACATCCATTAATTTACTTGCCCTTCGTATCTTTTCCCCTCCCCAGCCCTAGCCCCCTGTGGAGTGGTAATTGCAGCCAAATGAGGGGCTCCATTTCCTGCTCAGCCCTCTTGCTGCCCAGCCTCCCTCCCTGTGTAGGTCAGGGTGATTGCATACCTGTTCTGTCACCCTTCCTTTACGTGTGGTGTTCACTAGAATTGTCCCCTTGTGGGATGCCCCTTACCTTTTCCTAATCACTTGTGTGACTCAAATAGAATTATTCAGTAGCTCCTCTAAAGGAGTACCTTACACACTTGATTAAAAGCCCAAAGAGGCTTCAGTGAATTTTTTTTCTCCTGCTTGAGCAGCATCTGCCAATTTCCCTGATTTTCCTGCTAATTATCTTCGTATTAGCCAGAATTCATTTACTGTGTTATGGTTGAAATGAGACTGAGCACTGGCTGAGGAAATAGTGGATATGGAGTGAAAGGTTTCTATGATTTGCTTGACTAGAGAGTATGTGTGCTCCATCTACGTTCCTATTAGAAATGAGCTTTTGTTTTTAAAACAAGGGAAATCTGAGTCGAAGCCACTGGTTCTCTTCCTGCTTCTCCCAGGGCGCCATACCTAAGACAGGGCCTGTCGCATTCTCTCAAGTACTGTCACTTTCCCTTCACTCACATTAAAAGGAGTCAAGAGCCTGACCTTTGGGGTGAGCCAGCAGGTTCATAGTCTGGCTCTGTCACTGGATAACTGACTGTCTTTGGGCAAGTTTTTTTTTTTTAACTTTTTAAATAGTTACCTCACCTATAAAATAAGGGTAAGATGTATCCAGTAGGATTGCTATTAATCATGGTAATATATGAAAAGGGCATCTGGAATATAATAAGTACTCAATAAGCGGTGGTGGTTTTTATTATTAGGACTATTACTGATAAAACTAGAATTGTTTTTGCACTTTACAGAGTATTGGTAGACTCACATTTTTGAACTCCATTTGTATAAACAGGGAAAAGTAACATAGTATACAAATCTCCATTACTCAGTGTTTCAAGAGAACCCAAAATCAGCAGTATTCCTAGCATCAATTTGCTTTCTTTGGGCATTCCACTCAGATTTAATAATCATACTGATCTCAAGAACTGCACAAAGATGAACACACACATAAGCTCACTTTCACATAGTCAGCTTATATGTATAGAAAGTGTTTATTACATCTTAGAGTATGGTATAATAGATTATATTGTAGGTAGATGAAAATAGATCCCTTAGACCGACTCATTTTGCGGGAGATTTCTCCAAAATCTAAAATGTAACTTGTAAAATCTAAATATTACAATTTTGCAAGTATCTACCATTGTGGGGTAGGTAGGTTAGCCAGTGATTTGGATTTGGGGCTCAGTTATTTTTGATGAGACCATTATTGAACCTTTTAAAATATTGTTGAATTCCCAGTTATTATTTCCTAGACAAATGTATCAGAAATTGAAGGTAGAACGAGTTTTAACTAACAAAATATACAATCTAATTTGTGAGAACATAAAAATTCTGATAATTTATGAGATGACATTAAATCAGTCAGGCCCATTGGTTTCATAAAATTTTAAGTCTGGCTCTAGATGTCCTAATTTCTAAACCAGGTTTTTTCTTTATAAAAAAGAACGTAAAAAGTATTTAATATATAGAAGAAGTTGTGTGCTTAATTGTTTTGCCCAAGTTTCTACAGTTGGGGTTGGTTGTGTCTGGTAATTAGATACAATTACATGTTAGATAAGGTCTCAGTAATATGTACCAAAAAATATAAAGTACAAAAATAAAAATTCCATTTTCTTTTTGTTCCAGGTTCTCTGGGAGATGCTAACAAGGGAGGTCCCCTTTAAAGGTTTGGAAGGATTACAAGTAGCTTGGCTTGTAGTGGAAAAAAACGAGGTAAGACTACGTTTCTCCATTCAGGTACATAGATCAGAAAACAGTATTGGGGTTTTGCAAAAGACTTTTTCATCTTCTTCAAATTGAAAGTAAGTTCACGCTTATGGAAAGATTAGCAGTAGGAGCTAACACAAAGGGTCAAAGTGATGTTATTCCTCATGAATGGACCCTTTACATCTAATTGTTGCAGCTTCACGTCGTGATGCTGTAGATCAAAAATTGTACAAGTACTGTACTAGTTTCTCAGTCTCAATTGTAAAACCTAGGGGTTTGTTCTTAGTGATGAAAGAAGCCATTGCGTCCAAGGTAGGGGAACAGTTTAACTCCATCTCCTGCGTTTAGGACATCTTTTTTACTGGCCGGGAGTTGATATATCTGTAAGAGACCTTCAGCTACTTCAACTTACCTCTCCCAGCAGGAGTCACTATAGTACAAGAAACTGTCGCTTAGATGAGAATTTCAAAAATAAAAGAAGAAAAAATAGTTTCAAAAAAGGGAAAAATTACAGTTTTGCCACCTACGTTGAACACTACATTGAAGATGAGCTCCTCACTGGAATTGGCGAGGCAGTGGCATAACTGTTCGCTTCTTCATGCAGAGCCTTTCCATTTCAAAAGAACTTCAGTGGCGTAAACACCGTTTGTGCTGTGTCCCCAGCCTCGCTTCTCTTCTTCCCACAAATTGAGGCTTTCAGTTAGTTGGACCTATGAGCCTACATCAGAGAACATGGTACATTCATATCAAAGAGAGCAACTACATTTTGAAAGGTTTAAAATTGTGACTGAAACGCACAGCCATGGAAATTCTCAGCATAAGGATGAAGCATCCAATATCAAGGTATTATGAGAACTTAGATCATGTAATGGAAGCAAGCAGTTGTCTTTGCAATGCAAAACTACTTTATTTCACAAAACTTCTTCATTTCCAAATCTTATCTGTGCTCTCCACAAAGGGTAAGACTGCAACCTTAGAATAAAATAATTTGCAAAAAGGTGAATATATAAAAATATTCCCTTTTAATGCTCTAAAAGAATTAGATTCATCTGCTTCCCAGGTGAATGCAGGAACAAACTAGATTAATCAAAAAGCTGCTATTGACTAGGAGAAACCAAGTTTCCATCTTTTAGATCACATAATCCAGAGTTACCATATAATTTTTCCTCCTGATTCATTGGGAGTGGATGAAATGTTGATGATAGCTGAAACTGATGGGAAAGAGCTGCCAATTTAAGAAATGAAAAGGAGTTATATGCAAGAATGTGCCTTACTCATTGTTTCACAGGAGCTGTTCTGTTTTAATTAAAAGTGATAGTAATTCCTCATGTGCTATTAAATAAGATCTTACACACAGGATGACTGATATTGTCGTCATATGAGGAAACACTTGTTTCTGTTGTATTTCTTTTGCCAGTAAGATGATTAGAGATCTTGTTCTGGGTTTACAAATGAAAGCAAAGAAAATTACTGACCTTGTGTAGACTCTGGAACCAAAACATTCAGTGTAATCTTTTCCCTCTGCACTATTCCAAGATAAACTAGGAGAAAGGTTGTTTTTTTTTTTTTTTCATTTTGTTTTGTTTTTGTTTTTTTAGCTAACTGGACCCTCCAAATATGTATAAGACAGAATAATTAATATTTTTAAATAATATCTAAAGGGTGGCAGAATAGATATAAATTTAAAGCACTTTTTAAAACATTGGAGTATCCGTGAAGGATTTTTAAAGCTGAAGAAAAAAATGAATTTAGAAGCTGCCTGGATAGTTGACTTGAGGATTGGAATCACCCATGAATAACCTTCAGAACCTCTTCAACATTATACATGCAGAAGCAGTCTTTTTTCTCCCCAGAGATCCCAGAAAGTAGAGTTTACTATTTTATTCATGATATGTTCTGATGATCAGCTAATAACTGATGAAGACTACTCAAATACTTCCCACACTGTATTCATTAAATATAATAGTTAGTTGAAAAAAGCCTACATGGTGAAATACATTTTCTCAACTTTCTAATGAACTTCAGTAAAATTGGGTATTACAAGGATATTTATCTGCTATTCTCATTCTGTACAATATTTATTTGTCAAAAATATGGAAATTAAGTTTCAATGTAAGTTTCAACATCATCATTTAAGAAGGTATCTTCATTTCACCTCACAAATGGAGGTATCCATTTCCAAAATAAATTCTGTTGACATAGCATAAAGATAATTCACAAGGGTTTATTTCATTTCATAACAAAATTGAGGCTTTGACTTAAACATAATTTACAAAATCCCTTCAACTTCTAATTCTTTTACTGTATTTTTACTATTGAATATTTTGGGTTATGGGTTGAAAAGAGAAAGTCGTATTTTTAACAGGCCTCATTTAAATAAAGAAAGACATGTTCAAGTGTTCAGGAAGACATTTTAAATGTTATCTAGTCATCTATAATATCTATATCCAAGTATTAGAGTTGTCTTTTTTTTAACTTTTTATTTTGAAATAATTATAGATTCACAGGAGTTTGCAAAAATATTACAAAGAATCAAAAAATTAGCTGGGTGTGGTTGTGCATACCTGTAGTCCCATCTACTGGGGAGACTGAGGTAGGAGGATCCCTTGAGTCCGGGAGGTCAAGGCTGCCACCATTATCATACCACTGCACTCCAGCCTGGGTGACAGAGTGACACCCTGACTCAAAAAAGTTTTTTTATTTTTAGTAGAAATGGGGTTTCACCATATTGGCCAGGCTGGTCTTGAACTCCTGACCTCAAGTGATCCACCTGCCTCGGCCTCCCAAAGTGCTGGGATTACAGGCATGAGCCAACGTGCCCGGCCAAAAAAGTTTTTTAAATTAACAAAAACTAAAGAAATTTGTGTACTCTTCACCCAGCTTCCCTCACTGGTGAAATCTTACATGTCTGTAGTATACTGTCAAGACCAGGCAATTGAGATTGGCGCATTACTCTTACCCAGACAATAGACCTTATTCATTTTCACCATTTAAGATTACTTTTTGCATCTATAGAAAAATCAATACTTTCTAAAAATTATATCTGAAGATCTTTGCTTCTAATCCCTTAATAATAAAATAAGATGTTTAAACAGTCATATTTCTAATATTAAATCCTATTAAAACTAGATTCATAAAGCACTGCTAAACTTTACAAAGTAAACAATGAACCTTTATAGAAGGCATGAAATTAAGAGGGCATTACTCATAAATTTTTTAAATGGAACAGATGGATATATTTGCTTTTGTCATTTCCATGGTACTCAATCAGTGATCATTCAGAATGTTCTGGTAGCATAATTTCTATTTTTATAAATACTTAAATTCTTACATATGTGTTTGTTCTAAATAACAAAACTATTTGACTAACAGAAATCTTCATAAGACTTAATCCACTGTTCTTGACTATACTTTAGAAAAAGATAAAAACTTGACTTAAAAAAAATTTTACATCTTATGTAGAAAATGGTGCAAAAATGAATATGCTCTTTTAAAAATGTCATGCCTAATTTAGTGATTGGGAAATATTTTAATTTGAAACTTTTATTTAAAAATATTTGTTTTAAGTAGTATTGCAAACCTGGTGCTAAGATCTGGTTATTTCAGAATGTTTTCATGTATTAGGAATGCCCACAGTTATGTAATCAGGACTTAAATAATTTGAATTCTATTTTAAAGTACTTTTTAACGCACCAAAATAATCCATTGCATAAAGTGTCTGAGTCTAGATTTAACTGATATTTGGCCATGTCAGATTATTTAAAATAATTGTGTTTCCTTGTGTAATGACTTCGATGTGGTATCTAAACAGTTTTTCAGTAAGAAAAGATCACAGAAATGATCATCCTCCATATTCAGCCAGCTCACATTCAGTTCTCAGGAAAATGTTGAGACACAGTTGTACTGAAAAATGTTACCCTTGACGAAAACTCATTATTTTTAGTTACAGAGTACATTCAAGTGCATAATTGCAATTATAGTCTACTTTTATTAATTCCCAGCCCCCAACCATTTTATATTTAAAAAAGTAAACACCTGAATTTTTTTTTAACCTTCATCAAAAGGTCTGCAGTTTACAGTAAAATAATAGTACAGTTTAATACATCTTGTCCTATTCTGTGAAATCACAAGACTAGAAGTTTGAAAGTGCTTAGCACGGCCTTTAGTTTGGAGAGAGTTGTTTTGTTTTTCAACTTTGTTTTGATTTTAGGATTATCTGTAATTCAGAATACAGGTTGTCAGTTTTCTTGTCAAGGCAACTATGTTTCTAGCTTCTCATAGCCTCCCCCAAATCCAGCCAAGTTCAGTTTTAAGTTTTTTATTTGCAAAACTTCTTTGGCAAACAGAACTGTGGAATAAGTCTTAATACTTATTACAGCAGTTCTCAACTCCATCACACCCAATGCTCATTTTATAACAACTATGTTAACAACCCCTTACACTCCCTTGAGGTGAAATTCAAAGGTAACACAACTACCTACACACATTATATTGTAAGTTAACATAATGCTCTAACTGTAATATAAAAGAGAAATAAATGAAAGATGTTTTCCAGTGTACAAATGCTCAAGCATGACCACACCAGAGGAGATTTTGGAACAGTTTTAGGGGATAAATAGAACTCAGCAGCTACAAATGCACCCGGATGGAGTTGGGTTGTATTAACGACTCCAGTACTGGGAGTAGCACTGTTGTTGTTATGTCAGAAATCATGATAAAGTTATGAATCATGCAAGAATCAATAAGCCTTTGATTTATTTTATTTGGTAGATGCATTCTGCAGAGTTCAGTGTATCTTAAAACTGTTCAAAAGAATACTTTGTGTTTATTTGTAAGTTAGAGTTAGATTCTAGGCCCAGAAAATTATAAACTTCATTGTTTGCTTGTTTTACTTACATGAATGTAAATGGGGCATTTGAAATTTTGTGGGATACAGGGGAGTTCCTGGTTATGCAGGATAGTATGGTATATTGAATTGTCTAGCATTCCTGACCTGTTATACTTAAAAGTCGGTTGCAACCCACCAGTCTCTAAAACAAACACAAAATGCTTCTGTGGAATAGAGGCACCACAAGTTCTATGAGAAGCACCACTGTAGGATGTTAGAACAGGACCATCCTCACATTATAATTTTTGTTGTATCGGGTCCTTAAAGTATATGGGTTTGACCAAAACAAAGCCGTAATCAGTCATACGTTCAGAATGTCTTATTTACCACTGAGAAATGTAGAGTTTTTAAAATTATCTCTGTGATCTGTGCTCAGATGTTTTCAGAGTTGTATACCTACTGCCAAAGCTAAACTGGTTTCTAGTTACCTGGCCTATTTACATATATCGCAAGTTGCCTATAAACATACAGTGACATATGGTTTTATATTTAATATTTAAGTTCCGACTTGCCCCCTCCTACTGTAGTTCTGTTTAGATATTTTATGTTTTGTTGCATTAGTTGTACTGAACCTGACTTCTCCGTTCACTACAGTTCCCTTTCAAGAAAAAGTATGAGTCTTTAGAGATTACAGATCTAAACATAAATTGTCACTTGTCACATATTAATCAATGGAAGCTTTAAATTTCATGCCTTATGTTCTTAAAATAACTCTATTATGACCCTTCAGATACGGTGTTTGCTGACATTAATGAATAAATCCCTGTTTTATTTTGTTTTGTTTCCCTCTGTCTATTGTAGAGATTAACCATTCCAAGCAGTTGCCCCAGAAGTTTTGCTGAACTGTTACATCAGTGTTGGGAAGCTGATGCCAAGGTATACATATGTATTTTTGTTATTGTTTAGAATTCTGAAATTTCTCTTGTTTGGCTTTCAGTTTTTAAAACTTAGGGTAATAAAATTCATTACAAAGCAAAGCTGGATTGATGCTCCTATGAGCCCCAGATTGACTGTTAAGGTTTTCTGTTGACATTCTGCTTAATCTTGATCTCTAGAGACTCATTATTAACTCATTCTCATAGCACGCTTTGACATTCTGAATTCAGTATAAATAATTTTATTATTTTGTTTTTAATTTTTAGTAATAACTATTGCACCTATATGCTATTGAGATGGCTAAGACACAGTACTTAGAATATGCCAGGCACTGTTCCAAACACTTTATGTATGTTAACTCATTTATTCCTCAGAATATCTCTATGAAATAGATGCCTCAATTATCCTCATTTAACAGATGAAGAACCAAGACATACAGAGGTTACATCATGAGCTCAAGGCCACACAGCTAGTAGGTAGTAGGGCTGGACATGAACTAGGTCTGGCACAGTCCCTGCTCTTAACCACTGCACTATTTTGCTTTTCTAGCCAAAGAGCAGACAAAAGTAGCGCTTCTAGAGCATCTTGATATGTACTGCCTGTCCAGCTTCAGTGATGTTTTTGAGCTCCACAATAGAGTTGGAGAAATTCCAAAGCTTAGGCTTTCATGTGGTTATCACATTTGAGCATGAATGGCCCATATCCTTTCCCTGCAAAGATCATTTTAAAAGACTCTCGCATACATATGGAAATGTTTACAGATGAAATGATAGGCTAGTCTTGGATTTGCTTCAAAACAAAGTGAAGGGAAATGGATGATGGTATAGATTAAAATGGATTGGCCATGATAATTTTTGAAGCTGAGTGATAATATATAGAGGTTCATTATATTGTTATCTCTACTTTTGTATATTTTGGAATTTTCCATAATGAGTTAAAAAATAAAAAATAGGCTGGGCGCGGTGGCTCACGCCTGTAATCCCAGCACTTTGGGAGGCAGAGGCAGGCGGATCATGAGGTCAGGAGATCGAGACCATCCTGGCTAACACAGTGAAACCCCACCTCTACTAAAAATACAAAAAATTAGCCGGGCGTGGTGGCGGGCACCTGTAGTCCCAGCTACTTGGGAGGCTGAGGCAGGAGAATGGCATGAACCCGGGAGGCGGAGCTTGCAGTGAGCCAAGATTGCGCCACTGCACTCCAGCCTGGGTGACAGAGCGAGACTCTGTCTCAAAAAAAAAAAAAAAAAAAATAAATAAATAAAATAAAACATATTCTCACAGATTAAAGATTAGAATAAGAGAGCAGTTACACTCAAGAAAGGAACAAAAGTTTTATAGTTTAAATTTGTCCAGTTTTTTGTGGAAATAGAGGTATTAAAACTGATCTTTTAAACAGAGACTAAAAAGAAAGACTAAAGAATCAAATTTCTTACTGAATGTAAACCCTGTTCCAATCTGACCCCCAAGAAGAATGGCCATAAAATATACTCTGTTCTTCTACAATATGTTTCTTTAATGGGAATAACTAACTCAGAAGCAATTGGTGAGAATGGAGACTGGGGACTATGTTAGTATAACACAGAATTCATGTTGATGGTTCATAATGTTTCCCAACACATTGTTCTGCACTGAGCACAAAGTGTAATAATGCAGCCAACAAGGCAGCAAGGGACCAGTGCCATGAAGCCTGTTCACTCCACGTGCTCCTTCTTGGCTTGGCTTGGCTTAACTTGGAAGAATTTGTTGCTGGTTCTCCCAGCAACAAACTGTGCTGCGTACATGTTGCAAAATCTTTGCTTTCACTCCTGGTCTTTAGACTTCCCTTACCCTTTTTTTTAAGTAGAGTCCTAGATATTCCTAGTATTATTTTTACTAAAGAATAATCTTTTTAAACTGTGTTAGTATTTTATTTAGGATTGTTGTTCTTTTTATTAGTATTTGATGACACAGTTGCATGGTTTTTGAATGGTCTGCCCTGCTCCTTTTTAGTACATGATTTTGTAGAATGGGGATTTTTAAGCATTAAGAGAAATGCCTACACTTTGCAACTAGTTCAGTAGAAACTATAAGCACGTATTTTCAAGCTTGCTTTAAAACATTTATTTTATACTGTTAAAATGGTATCATACTACCCCTTCCCTACCCTTCTTACTAGTTATATGTCCATTGTGATGTAGAAGTCATTTTGGACATATGTTTCTCTCTGATACATAAATAGAAATTTTGCCTGAAATTATTTGCATTGAATTTGATTATTGCAGCTAGATCTCTATAATTGTGATTAGATTTCAGTATGCAAAGCAAATTTTGAGTTTCTTAATTGAGCACTCAGTACCACATTAATTAAAATTCTAAGAATGTACATTTATGGTACATCCACCTTACACAACAAGAACATTAGGCCCAGTCTTGAAGCTGTGCAGCTGGCATGTCTTTAAATGTAGTAAGCTAACCCTTCTTTAGGACCAAAGAAATCTTGCATTCCAGCCACATGAAGTATAAAGGAAGTTTAAGATTGATTTTTATTTTCTAAATTCATGTCATTTTATTCTGATTAAACAGTGACATGTCCCCTGTATTTGATTTGGTTATATACCTGGCCACGGCCCACATTTCCAACTCTCTCACTGCTGATCTCCTCTAGACACACCTTACATACTTTCATTCCCAAACAAGTTCTCTTCCTTCTTTACTTTCTCCTCTGAATACTTCATCATCAAGTCTTCCTTGGTTATTCTATTTATCCCACCCCAGGCTTAGCACTTTTCCTAAACCACAGTCTGGGCCTTACCTGGTACAGCTGTATTTTTAAAGACATATTTTCTTCCTAGATGGACGGCAAGCTTTATAAGGGTGTAGAGGTAATTGTTACATGTATTTGCCTATTGCACATTACATCAATTTGGAAAGTGGATGCCAAATTTGTTGTTGCCTGAAGTAGCCAGACCACAGTAAATTTCCTGAGTGGTACATCCATTTTCTGGCTAGAAATACGTAGCAATTCAACCAGAAGTTAGTGCCAGTCCTATGCACATATGTAGAGCAATAAAGTACTTTCTTTTTTTTTTTTTTTAAGTCCTTAAATTTTTAGAGTATTAACAAACATCTAGATTAAAATATTCAGCCCACCTATAGAACTGCTGTTCTTTTGCAATGAGGGTCGGGGGCGGGGTGGTGATGTATGCAAGAGAAAGCTGATATTAGGTAAATGTCAAGTCCTTCTAGTGGCTTACAACAGGTGCTCAAAATATTTTATTGAAGAGAAGGAGAAAAAAAGGAAAGGTGGGTATTGGTTCAGGTCCTAAAATGACATTTCTAAATAGGGAAAAAAATAAGTTGGTCTCGTGCAGTGGCTCACGTCTGTAATCCTAGCACTTTGGGAGGCCAAGACAGGCAGATTGCCTGAGCTCAGGAGTTGGACACCAGCCAGGCAACACAGTGAAACCCCGTCTCTACTAAAATACAAAAGATTAGCTGGGCGTGGTGGCGCGTTCCTGTAGTCCCAGCTACTTGGGAGTCTGAGGCAGGAGAATCACTTGAACCTGGGAGGCAGAGGTTGCACTGAGCCGAGATTGCACCACTGCACTCCTGCCTGGGCAATGGAGCAAGACGCCGTCTCCACAAATAATAATAGTAAGTTGAAGTCATAAGTTCAATAGGAAGTAGTATCTTACCCTTATGTGATAAAAGATGTTGAACAGTTTATGAACAGAGCCCTTGGTTCTGTAACTTGCTTCCTGTGTGATGCTGGGCACTTCCTACTCTTCTGAGACTTGTGGTCCTTACCTATAAAATGAAGATAACAAATAGAGAAATAATGTATGTAGATGCTTCACAAATGGTCCCAGTTTTTTTTTTTTTTTTGAATAAGCAAATCCTATGTGATGCCTAAAAGGAACCTAATCCGCTTCAGAGGAATTTATATAAGATCCTAGACAAAGTGTTGTATTCTGTAACCAGAATACTCATAGAATATTATTACCACAAAAATCTACATTGTTATCACCTCTTAAATGTTCACTTTGATAACCTCTATCCAAGAGTAGGTTCTGACTATAAAATTAAATTTTTTCTAGGGATGCTGGTCATCCAATTACAGAAGAGTTTCACCTTATTTTAAGAATGATTAAATGTAGGGAAATTATTCTTTAAAAATTCATTAGCTCTTCCTGCTGCTTTTCCTTGCAAAATGAAAATCCTTTATTATATAATTAGTTCTTATGCAAATGATTAAAACATTTTTCAGGCCAGGCACAGTGGCTCATGCCTGTAATCCCATCACTTTAGGAGGCTGAGGCAGGAAGATCACTTGGGACAAGGAGTTTGAGACCAGCTTGGGCAAGATGGCGAGACCCCTCTGTATAAAAAACTAAAAAATTAGCTGGCCATGGTGGCAAACACCTTTAGTCCCCGCTACTTGGGAGGCTGAGGCAGGAAAATTGGTGAGCCCAGGTGGTCGAGGCTGCAGTGAGCTATGATCACACCACTGCATTCCAGCCTGGGCAACAGAGCAAGACTCTGTCTTAAAAAAAAAAAAAAATCATTTTAAAACCTGATACATGCTGGGAGAAATTAAGAGGAGGACAAAGTTAAAGAAGATAAATAGAACATTTTTCAAGCTTCCTACTTAGGGCATTTTCCTCTTTGCTTATTAGAAGGCTTAATATATATCAGTAACATTTATCTATGTGTGCCCTCTTCAAGGAAAGACACAGGCACACACATGCACACAAGTGCCCTTGAAAGAGAATAATAATGGCAGAACTCATTATATATCCTAGGTTTTTATATTTCTGAGAAATGGAAAAATTGCTTTTCTTAGTAATGTAGGAAGCACTTAAATCCTGAGAGCAAGCCACCTCAACATTGTTTCTTCTTGTTTTTGTGCTCTTAAATTAAAATGCATGTTTTAATTGCTGCAACTATAATTTGTTCAGTAATGGCGTAATTACGAGGCATGATGAAGAGAGAATGTGCATCATCCTTTTTATTATCTTTCTCTTTTTGTTTTAACCTTTTGTCTCAACCTTGGCTAGAGTCTAAAGAGATAGACTAGAATAGTTACTGCCAGCTCAAGAAACACACTTAACCACTGCTCATTTCTAGTGAACAGTACCTTACAGTGTCTTAGCACTAAAGCTAATTATAACAGAAAATAAATATTGAGAACAGTGAAGTTATGATGGCTTTAAAATTGGGGTTTTTTCTTGTTTTTACTTTACTTTTAGGTTCAGGGGCACATGGCCACGTTTGTTATATAGGTAGATTGTGTGTCATGGAGGTTTGGAGTACAGATTATTTCCTCACCCAGATAATCAGCATAGTACCTGAATTTTTTTTTCTGACAAACCAATTTGGAAAATTTTATTAGTTCCAATAGATTGATAGGTAGATTTCCCCCCAACGCTTTATCATAAAAATGTTCAAACATAAAAGTGGAAAGAATTTTACAGTGAACACTAACATCCCACCACACACAGTCTACTGTTAACTTTTTACTGGCTTTATCACGGAGATTTTTAAAGGACTTCACTGTTTCCTTTTAGGAGTTCTTAAAAGAGAGAATTAGTTTTCTCCCTTCCTGGACAAAAAACATGAATTATCCCAACCTTAGGCCACACGATAGAAAACAGCATCTGAATCTCTCCTTGTGAATAGTTCACCGAAAATAAAGAATAGAGCTCCCTAAACCTGAGTGATCTGATGATTGTAAAATAACTACATCAGGACATTGTATCATGTTTTATTTTGTTATGGTGGGTTGAGTTTATTACTATGCTTGTAGTATCTACGTTTTCTCTTAAATATCTCCTTTCTTAAGTCCCAGCGAATGATTACTTATTTTCTCTTCTTCAGAAACGGCCATCATTCAAGCAAATCATTTCAATCCTGGAGTCCATGTCAAATGACACGAGCCTTCCTGACAAGTGTAACTCATTCCTACACAACAAGGCGGAGTGGAGGTGGGTAGCCCCGACAGCAGGCCACAGCGTCTGGCTTTCAAAGACCATCACTCGTCTCAATGAAGAAGTGAACCAGAGATCTGAATGACAGTCCTGATTTCTGACCATAGCTTAGGGAAAAAGAAAAGGTTTTTTTTATGATTTTGGAACTCTTATAAGTCCTGCATTTCATAAGCAAGAAATAGTGTTTCTCCAAGCTTGTTGCCTTGTGTAAGTATTTGAAAAGAATATTGAGGCCGGTCGCGGTGGCTCACGCCTGTAATCCCAGCTCTTTGGGAGGCCAAGGCAGGCAGATCACCTGAGGTCAGGAGTTTGAGACCACCTTGACCAACATGGAGAAACCCTGTCTCTACTAAAAATACAAAAAATTAGCCAGGTGTGGTGGCACATGCCTGTAATCCCAGCTACTCAGGAGGCTGAGGCAGGAGAATCACTTGAACCTGGAGGCAGAGGTTGCAGTGAGCCGAGATCATGCCATTGCACTCCAGCCTGAGCAACAAGAGTGAAAAACTCCATCTCAAAAAAAAAAAAATTGAAATCCTGTCTTCTGAGACAAAAGATGGTTACCAGACATTTCTCTGTGTTTACTTTGTTAGGAAGCTTTGTCCTCTGTTGTGTAAGAAACAAGAATACTGTTTACCTTGAAATTCGCTGAGCACTGTGTCTGCTAGTGAAGGGGGATAGGGAGACATCAAAAATACTCTTAAAAGAAAACTTGATATCATAAATCCTATTAAAGCTTGTTAAATAAATTTAGTAATGAGAAAATTGTATTGCATGAGTGGAAGAGTAAACCCAGGATGAAACATTTGAGCCAGGTCACATGATGCATGACTATAAATAGCATGTTTGGAAGCTGACATTATTCCCCCCCTGACTCAGCGGAGATTTAGGTAACTTCATCTCTGCTCCCGATAGCCGTGGGCAGTAACATGACGCCTTACGCCATCTGCTGATGCCAAATGAATACTGCATGCACTTTGAAAATTACTGCGTTGTTTACTCCTGTTACTAGATACTTCTTTGGGCTTTCTGTTTGTTGTTTTACAATAACCTTATTTATTTTTATTCCTTTGAAATATCTTATCTAGGGCTAGTGAGGTAAATGAATTTTTATTTAGGGATACAAAAATTATACAGTGAGCTCAAGTCTAGGTATAAGGGACTTTTTTCTGGGCTGAGATAATTAACAAAACAGAACATTTAAGTAATATTTGTTTTTTGCAGTAAGAGATCAGTATACATGTCATCAGATCATTCTCCTTTAAAATCCATATATGAGTTCCCATTACTCTTAAGACAAAGACCAGAATACTTGGCACAGTGGCTCATGCCTGTAATCCCAGCACTTCAGGAGGCCAAGGCTGGTGGATTACTTGAGCCCAGGAGTTCAAGCCCAGCCTGGTGACAGAGCAAGAATCATTCTCAAGAAATGAAAAGGACCAGAATACTTAAGAAGACTCACCAGACCCTCATTACTGTGGCCTCACCAGTGTCAGCTTAAGAAGATCATTCTCCCCTTAATTTCTGGCTTTCAGTCCCTCAACAGATGCGTATTTCTCCCCTTTTCAGGATCTTTACAAGCAGTTTCCTCTCTTTGAAGCTTATCCCATTTCAGCTGTGTACCACGCCTGCCGTCACACCCCACCTTAACTCCTGTTCATCATTCACATGGCAGTTGAATAACACGTCTGCAGGGAAACACTTCCTGACCCCAGGCCAGATCAGGTTCCACTTTATGTGCTCTGAGAGCATCTCCTTCATAGGCTTTGCTGCTATTGGAATTAAGAAGTAATTCGGGCCAGGCACAGTGGCTCACGCCTGTAATCCCAGCACTTTGGGAGGCCAAGTCAGGTGGATCAACGTCAGGAGATCGAGACCATACTGGCTAACACGGTGAAACCCCATCTCTACTAAAAATACAAAAAATTAGCCAGGCATGGTGGCGGGTGCCTGTAGTCCCAGCTACTTGGGAGGCTGAGGCAGGAGAATGGCGTGAACCCGGGAGGCAGAGGTTGCAGTGAGCTGAGATCGCGCCACTGCACTCCAGCCTGGGCGACACAGCAAGACTCCGTCTCAAAAAAAAAGAAGTAATTCGGCAGTTAGTTGTTTAATGTGTGTCTCACGGGCTGAAATATAAGAGAGGCAGACAATCACGTTTGTTCATCACTCACAGCATCAAAATGTGCCTTGAACACAGCATTTGCTCCGTAAATATTTGGGGAAGCAAGAGAGAAAATTACCATGGTGGTAATAATATAAAAAGAGATTGTGATATTATACAAGAGAATATAAATATGTATGTTTGCCATGACAAAAGTACTTCTTATGTTCATTCATTCATTATCCATTCATTGAACTTCTGCTGGTGTGAGAACGACTGTTGCCATTCGGGTACTGGGCTGTAGCGATGAGCACAAGAGTCCCAGGGCATGTGGAGCTCTCCAGCCCGAGTGTCCAATGTTAAACTATTAAATATATTCAAAACTATCGCATTTCTATTTTGACAAGTATTATGACAGAGAAATATACTAGATGTCTGAGAGCATATGGCCATGAAATCTGATCTAGTCCAAGGACATAGTAAAAGGATTTTGGAGAAAATGCTATTTGATCTATTACCGAAGGGATTAGTAAGATTTTAATACCAAGATAGGGAGTCTTTTAAAGTATGTCAACAAGGCCAGGCGTGGTAGCTCACACCTGTAATCCCAACACTTTGGGAGGCCGAAGTGAAAGACTGCTTGAGCCCAGAAGTTCAAGACTAGCCTGAGCAACGTAGACCTCATCTCTACTCACAATTTAAAAATTAGCTGGGCATTGTGACTCTAACCTGTGGTCCCAGTTACTCAACTCGGGAGGCTGAGGTGGGAGGATCACTTGAGCTGGGGAGGTCAAAGCTGCATTGAGCCGAGATCTGGCCACGACACTCCAGCCTGGGCTACAGAGTGAGATCCTATTCAAAAAAAAAAAAAAAAAAAGAAAAGAAATGAGAAGGCTGTGCAAAAATGTAGGGACACTTATTCAGCAAAACATCACTGAAAAGGGTAAACCAGAAATGGTATAAAGTGCAATAAACAGAGAATTAAAATAAATTTAAAATGATGGTATCTCCATATACAGAATATGATCATTCCTAAAATCACAGATCTGATAAATGATTTCAAAGTAGACCCTACAGTCTAGTTTGTTTAGAATGTTTCTATTTTTTATAAAATAAATATATATTATTGTGTATATGTACACAGAGAAAAGTATCAAAAAGTCAGTGTTATCACTGGGTAATGGGATTATAGAGAGTGTTTTTTATTTGTATATCTTTATTCCCTACTTCTTCCACATTAAACATGGACTAGTTGGATGATAAATTCAATTTTTAAAATGCTTGAAGATGAAAGTGAGGGAAATAAAATTGATGATTGAGAACGGGGGGGAAAAGGAGATACAAGACAGTGAAGTATTTTAGTAAAAGGCGTACAGTTGCCTAAGGGGCCTCCTCATCTTTCAGGAACTGTTAATCCTGTTCTGAGAGCTGGAGAGAGAATATATATCTTGACCTGAACCAGTAAACCACAGTTTGAGAAGCAGTAGAGCTGTTTTCACTGAAGCAGGCAATTGGTTAAAAACAGGACTGTAATAGTAATTTTAATAATAAACACAGTTGTCACTTATTAGGTTCTTACCAGATGCCTGTACTTCATTTAGATTTTCTTTTTTAATCCCCATAGCAACCCTAAATTATATCACAGATGCAAAGGTAAATTGAGTAACTTGCTCAAAATCATACAGAACTGAGAACAGAACCCAGTACAGAATACAGTAACAGAACCCAGGTGGTCTGGTAGCACAGGCCTGCCCTTGCACCCATGCTGTACAGTGCGGTTACTAGACTTGTGGCCGTTGTTGTGCTGTCTTCTCATTAGCATGCAATATTCACTTGACTGAATTCCTTTTTAGCTAAGAGAAATATTACAGGGCATGATCATTTTAGGTTATTAAGGTGTCTAACTCAATATGTAAACTGCTGAAAAGAATTATATGTTTTTATCAGATAATCTCAACATTTCAAAAGACAACACATTCAGACTACTCCCCTTTCCCCCCAACTTTTATCTAGTGTCTGAAACCACATGACTAGTGTCCAAAGAGTGTTTTAGTAAATTAGAGTCACCGTGATCACAGTGCAGCCTGATTCCAATCCTGCTGTGGTGTTTCTGGCAAATGATTATTTTCTGGCAGAGCTTCCTCTACATACAGACCAGATGCAACTTGTATTTTTAGAAAACTGAATGGTTATTCTGAAATTCTTTTTAAAACTACATTATTAAAAACCACATAAACTGTGTTCTTTCCTTTGACCTAATAAATGATAGGAACAAAATCTAGTGTCAGACTTTTCCTCAGTCATCAGATCTTCAGCTTATTTCTCCTCCCATTGACTTACTAGCAATAATGGCAATGAGCATTAAGAACAGAAAATGTGTCATCCTGTTGGTCCTGTTTTGGATTTTCATTAACCATGTGACTGTAGACCTGTGGCAACCTGCACTGAATGAGCCATGCAGTGTTGTGATGAGCGTTCCGATCTGTGTCTCTTGGCAAAACACTTGGTTGGTTGTGTTTCCCGTGGTGACCAAAGTACTCTCACCATGACGTGCGTTCTTAAAAAACCAGAGATCAAAAATGTAACCTTTGCAATTGCACAAATCATGTAATATATAACACATTTAATAAACAGATTATACATTTATCATGTAATATATATTCTATATCACTCTTTTTACAAATTGACCTTTTATTTCAAAGTAAGTTTCTATCTGAGGAAAGAAGATAATTACGGTTCATTGCCTGTTTTTGGCATATGGAAAATTGATACTAGTTGACATTGACCTTGATTGGATTTGGCTTACAAGAAGACCATAATTTTCATCAACTAAGACATTTAAACTATATTTTTAGAACAAGAAGTTTATATAAATATATCAACAAATGCATTTGATGCACAACAATGCACCAAAAAAACCAAGGGAGCAGCTGTTTTTTTTGTCATCTCCAGGTTGGGGTTACATCTCTAATGGCATATAACCTCACACACGATTTGACTCTGCAGTGTTGGGAGTGCTGTTGGAAAGCTGAGCCTGAGAGACAGATTGAGGAAGGAGATTTACTTGGTGTTTGTTTCTGTGTCACAGCTTTCCGTCCATTTAACTCTTGATCTGTTTTCTGGAAGTGCTCAAAATCGCAGTAGGCTCTCAAAGCTGGAACTTGAGATGCATCTTTGGCTTAAATTACAAGTGAAATAGAATGTAGTGGCCATTTACCCTGGTCTAAAAGAACATCAGTCAATCTGTCTCACTGGCAGGGGTGTGGGGACTGGGTCGGCAGAAGCGCTGTGTAGATGCTGTCCCCAGGCCTCTGCCATCGCACACTGAGGGCACCCAGCTCCACCACCTCCTTGCTGCCTTCTGACCGCCTCACTGACTGAAGATGGCTCACTCTTTTCTTTTTTTGTGACAAAAATTTACCCTAAGGTTTTTCACGTTTTTTTCCCCTCAGTCCTCCATTGAAAAATAAAAACTTTGTTTACGTGCATAGGCATAATATTTTTGTCAGAAATATCAGGGATAAAATTTGGATTTTATGGTACAGTCATAATTCTGAAAAATTGCTGATTCACTGCCTTCTTTAGGGACAGTAATGGGACTTATAGCCTTTTATGATTTTTCAGATGGCACCAGTAAAAGGCACAGGGTGTTGATATTTGTGGGCAGTGCAGCAGAAGCTACTTACACCTGATTGCTGCCTCCCTTGCTCTGAGGTGCATTTCAGACGAGTAGCGAAGTGAAATGTTGAGCCAAATCCAGACCCACCTCCATACCTGTTCAGAGTTGGATTTTGCCAGTGAATGCCTGAACTTTTTGTTTTCATTCACTTAGTTATTATCTGTAAGAGCATTGGAATGTTCCAGTAAGAGTAAACTGTTCACTTACTCTTATTCTCCCTAGAAAGAAAAAGGCAGACTTTGGTTACATATATTCATTAACTTAGATGTGGGGGCTTCTACCTTCCATAGTCAACGTCTCAATCATGATTATGCCATCACAACACAGGATTGCCTCAGTGGCACCTGGAAGCAGTAGCTGGCAGCACCCAGCAGCTATTCTGCAATAGTCACCCAGTTCCCATCTTCTTCTGCATCCTTCTCTCCAGTGCCTTCTCTAGCCTTGACTTCCCTCTCCCCTCTCCCTCATTCTCTCAGTATTGTGGCTTACTTAAAGGCTTTTCAGAAACTCAAGGGAAAGAGCTTCCAGTTTTCAAAACATAGATTTAGACTTAAACATTGCAACAGCCCTAAAGGAGAAAAACATTTGTGCTGAGCCATGGTACCAGTTCCACTTTCTGTGAAGAACAGATTTCTGTAACATGGCACATGGTTCCAAGTGGTGAGGTTGGTTGGCCTATAGGCACAAAGGGGATAACTTCCTTTAAAAATTATTAGAATTAAAAGGAACCTTAGAGTTCATCTGGCCCAGGGTTTTCTACACTTGCTTGATTGTAAAAATTACTCGGGTCTTTTATAAAATAATGAAAATTCCAGGGTCCCACCCAGGCCTACTGACTCATGAGCTCTAAGGAAGGGTCCTAGAAATCCATGTTTTGCTGGGTTCTGGTGTGTTTTTTTTTTAAAAAACAAGTTGCCTATGTAAGTCTAAGGATCAGGCAGGTAGGAGAACCCTAATGTACTATAACCACCACCCCTTACAACCAAGGAAACTGAGACAGGTTAGTCAATTGATTGCTTGGGTTACTCAGCCAATGTGTAGCCTAAAGTGTCATCTCAACCACTTACTGATGGTGTGTTGTTGACCACCTAACCTGAATATCATTTTCCCACCTATACTATGAGATTAATACCTGTTTCTTGGGACTGTTAATGGGAATAAGATGAGATCATATATAACATCACTTATGAACTGTAAAAAGCTAGATAAATGTAAGCATTTACTAAATGGCTGTACCAGGACACCAGCTCCATAGGTTATGCTGCACCCCAGTGGCCCTTCAACACTTTGTTGAAATATTTTGAGCTTATTTTTCCAAGCTAGAAACTACCCTTGATATTTAAGGACATGAAAGATTCCTTCTCCTCCGGCAGTTACCTGGTTGATTTTAAAGCACCAGCATGTGTCTTTTACTTTGATTAGCATTCTGATGGACCCACTAAGCGCTTGATGTCTCTTAAGTAAAGTTGAGACTTACACCAGCTATCCCCGTGCAGGTGCGAAATTGAGGCAACTCTTGAGAGGCTAAAGAAACTAGAGCGTGATCTCAGCTTTAAGGAGCAGGAGCTTAAAGAACGAGAAAGACGTTTAAAGATGTGGGAGCAAAAGCTGACAGAGCAGTCCAACACCCCGGTGAGTACCCTCCCCCTTCGCCGTCTTTCCACATGCGGCTCTAGGCTGCGCAGCTGAGCATGGCAGCATGGCACCTCTTCCCCTGCCTCCCGCCGCCCCCTCCTCATTTCCTGCCTCGCGCCCGTGTATTAAAGGGCCCGCGTGTGGACTCAAGCAGCGTTCATACCTAATTTCAATTAATAAAATGCCAGAGATTTAAAAGAAAAGCTTATCCTATTTCTGGCTCCTTCCTTAAGAACTGTTATTCTGTCAGTGTGTTTATATATTAGAATTACAATAATAAAATCCGATGTATTTTCACACCATCTGCTCAGTCTCAGAACATGCACCTCGGTGCTGATTAACTCCTTCTAGTCACTCAGTCATTAATAACTGTAACTCCAGCAGCTCACTGACTAACAGAGTCTTTGATGTGTCAGAACTTAACCATGTTTTCCTTCTAAAATGGAGCTAACCATGATGACATGCAAATGAGAAGCATTAATATTTCGTACTCAATTTAGTGTTATGATCATGGGCAGCAAAATATTGGAAAAAGATTCTCTCTGGACAAGCTTTCAGTATTTATTACACCTAGGCAGTATCTTGTTTTCTCCCAAGTCTTGTATTTAGAGGAATATAAAAATTATTTTTAAGCATTTCACTGGTTATACACTAACCTTGAGCTTACATGCTGATATATTATTCAAGTCTAATCAAATTTTAGCATTCTTTCCTATTTTAAATGGCATAACATTTTCAGGAATTAAGTATAAATTTATAATTGTTTTTTTTCCCAGGGTTTTTAATGGGCAATATTTGTTCACTTAAAATTACCCAAGTAATGGTAGATTAAAAGTAAACATATATTTTAAATTCATTTTTGATAGTTGCTATGGTGATGCCAAAAAATACTGAAATGCCGCTCGTTTTGTGATCTTCAAAAAGCTTTCCTATCTTTAAAAGTCTTAATCTTCATTAAGCAGCCAGTGCCCAATTGCAAAGTATTTTCCAGTGTCTAAAGAATAAAATAGTTTGTCTCCTTCCCAACTTGTGTGGAGAAGCAACCTGATATCCAAAAAAGGAAAATACCATGAAGCTAAATGTTTATTATCAGATTCAACTTGGAAAAAAAGGACTTTGGTTCTCCAGGGAATTCCAAAATGAATTGAATTGCTATCCCTAACACTATCATGGAACATTTTAAAAGTGCCACATTTTATCTGTGAATTTAACTTGGCTTGTGAGAAAGACGATGAGGGAAGTTTCCTGTTCTGGCTGAGTGGCAGCAGGCAGCCTCTGAAAGCCTCACTCTAGGGATCTGCACAGGAGCAGTGCTTCTCCCAGAGCTCATGAGGGACAGGAGCAAAAATGTGACCTCGTCCCTAGAGCACAGCTTCTGAAGTCTGCGAGGTTTTGTTTTGCTTTAAAATGCATTGAAATCTAAAGCTGTAAAGCATTGCATGGCTTGACTCTTTCTAAATGTAGTATTGTAAGAAAAAACTTTACCCATTCATATATGCTTCAGAACCTTTCTTTAGTTTATTGGCATCAGTTTTGCTAAGAAATGGGCTGCCTTGCACACATTATTGCTCTTAGTAACATAGTTGCGTAATAAATAATAAAGTGCTCTACAATAAGGCTCTGTGTGCTCGGTAGGTTGCCTGCTTGAGTTTTTAACCCCACAAAACTTTCTGTGAAGGAACTGCTCTGAGGGCTACCGTCTAACAATGGACAGCCTGCAGCACAATCTCAATGAGATTTTCTTCTTTTTTCCTTATGGGAGATAAGTTTTCTTTCTTTACAGTACTTGCTTTTAATGTGTCTTCTGCTTAGAGCTGGTATTTCTGAAGGAAAGAAAGTTTATGTTCAGATATTTTGTAAGTAGGTATTTTCTTTTGTCCTCACATCAGTTTCTGTTTAGCTTTAACTGAGATTTCTTAGAGAAAGATGAAATAAACATTTTAAAAAGGAAGTGGCTGGAGGTTTAGCTTTCCTGTAGGTGGCCTCATCTTAATTATGTAAGTTTAACATTTATGTAACTTCATAAAAAATTGTATCATTGAATTAATTTCAAGGGCACTATTTTCTTTCCTAAAACTAAAACATTAGTTAAGGATATTTGGGGAGATTAATCCTTTATGCATAAATATGGATGTTTATTTTCTAATTATAGTTGAAGCTTGATGTAAACTTTTTATTTATTTTAAGAATATAGGCTTATCTGAGACACATTTATAGAGATCTTTAGAGTCAAACCTCATGTGAGGAAGGACCCTCAAAATAATGCAATGAGCCACAAAGAGTTCCTGAGACTATCTAACAATTGAAAACGAATTTCAGAAGCTGAGAAGTTTGACTGCAAGGGAAATAACATCCTGTTTCCAATGTTTAAAGATCTAAAGTAATTGTTTTCTTCCATATAATGGATACCTTTGAGTTGAATTATATGAAATTAAAGTTATTGAACTAACAACTCCAGGAGGGTTTTTCCCAAAAGAACAAGCTACTTTTCAAAAACTCAGCTCCAACTTCACTTTAAAAATTAGGAAATTGAGGCCAGGCGCAGTGGCTCACACCTGTAAACCCAGCACTTTGGGAGGCTGAGGGGGGTGGATCACGAGGTCAGGCGTTCAAGACCAGCCTGGACAGCATAGTGAAACCCCATCTCTACTAAAAATACAAAAAATTAGCTGGGCGTGGTGGCGGGCGCCTGTAATCCCAGCTATTTGGGAGGCTGAGGCAGGAGAATCGCTTGAACCTGGAAGGCAGAGGTTGCAGTGAGCTGAGATAGTGCCACTGCACTCCAGCCTGGGCAACAGTGCTAGACTCTGTCTCAAAAAAAAAAAGGAAACTGATCCTGAATATTAGGTACCAGAATATAGAGGTCATCCCAGTATATTATTTGTACATTATTTATCATAAATGTATCCATATTGAAACTATGCCAAAAACATAAGCCTTGATTTGCTTGTTTCTCAAAAGAAGAGGCAGTAACATTTTTCATGTGCTAACAGTTTTACCCCTGAAATAGATATGCCCAAACATTTATGGGAATAAGTTGGCTGTTCAAAATAATTACGTAAAGTAGAAGATAATGTCTGTGACCACTGTGAGTGGTGACATCTTAGAAAAAAGTTCGGTTGAAAGAAGAAAACTTGAATATTAGAGCGTATTAGAACAATCTAAATTAACACTATTTTCCTTTCTTCCCAGTTTTCATGTGTTTACATACTTACGTCTAACTTAAATGTGAGACAGAATCTAGAATTTGTTCACAAGTGAATTATTTAATAATTTGAATAAATAGTATTACATCAGTTCTGGCTACAATAAATAAATAAGTGGAAGCAAGTGAATTCTAGACTAATTTTTAGTGTATATTCAGAGTACTAATCCAGATAAAAAGGGAGTTAATAACCCACATTTCCCTAGAACTGTATAGACTGCTGAACTGTTTTTTGTGCTTCCTCTAAGCTTTTCTTTTGGGTACAAAGTTTCTTAATTTTTCATTTGAGATTTAATCTCTGCTTAATTTATTTTTTTAAAAATATAATGGTCAACTAAATGTTTCCTTATGAAAGTGAAATTGGGAAAAGTCAAGATAAATCCTAGAAACTATTTTGTTTTAAGCAAAATGAGGGCTTAAAACTTGCAACTTCTTTTCCATTTGAAATTTGGCTTGCTGTGGTGCTTTGCAAACTTTTGGTTGTGATTTATCCTGTCATTCATAAATTATGGCAAATATGCTGGAGCCAAATCTGCCATTAAATAAATTCTCACATAATTCCCTACATTCATTTATTTCACTAATCATTTACCTCCTGTGTAGTGCCAACTAATTTTGTGGTATCTATTTTCCTGATTTAAATTGGTCCTAATTTCTCTTTTTACTTCTGTCCTTTCTTCCCTTTTGATAGCTTCTCTTGCCTCTTGCTGCAAGAATGTCTGAGGAGTCTTACTTTGAATCTAAAACAGAGGAGTCAAACAGTGCAGAGATGTCATGTCAGATCACAGCAACAAGTAACGGGGAGGGCCATGGCATGAACCCAAGTCTGCAGGCCATGATGCTGATGGGCTTTGGGGATATCTTCTCAATGAACAAAGCAGGAGCTGTGATGCATTCTGGGATGCAGATAAACATGCAAGCCAAGCAGAATTCTTCCAAAACCACATCTAAGAGAAGGGGGAAGAAAGTCAACATGGCTCTGGGGTTCAGTGATTTTGACTTGTCAGAAGGTGACGATGATGATGATGATGACGGTGAGGAGGAGGATAATGACATGGATAATAGTGAATGAAAGCAGAAAGCAAAGTAATAAAATCACAAATGTTTGGAAAACACAAAAGTAACTTGTTTATCTCAGTCTGTACAAAAACAGTAAGGAGGCAGAAAGCCAAGCACTGCATTTTTAGGCCAATCACATTTACATGACCGTAATTTCTTATCAATTCTACTTTTATTTTTGCTTACAGAAAAACGGGGGGAGAATTAAGCCAAAGAAGTATATTTATGAATCAGCAAATGTGGTGCCTGATTATAGAAATTTGTGATCCTATATACAATATAGGACTTTTAAAGTTGTGACATTCTGGCTTTTTCTTTTAATGAATACTTTTTAGTTTGTATTTGACTTTATTTCCTTTATTCAAATCATTTTTAAAAACTTACATTTTGAACAAACACTCTTAACTCCTAATTGTTCTTTGACACGTAGTAATTCTGTGACATACTTTTTTTTTCTTATAGCAATACACTGTAATATCAGAAATGGTTGGCCTGAGCAACCTAGTAAGACCTCGTCTCTACTAATAATTAAAAAACTAGCTGGCATGGTAGCACACACCTGTAGTCCCAGATACTTGGGAGGCCAAGGCAGGAGGATTGCTTGAGACCTAGCAATCAGTCAGGGCTGCAGTGAGCCATGATGGCACCACTGCACTCTAGCCTGGGCAAGAGAACAAGATCCTGTCTCAAAAAACAAAAAAAAGAAAGAATTGATAGTACAAAATCCAACAACAATACTGAGATGATCTAAGAAGGTTATAACAAAATGCTCTTCAGAAATACCTAAGTGCTGAGAATTTTTAGTACTAAAGAGCACAGCTGCTCAAAGTAAAGCCTGAGCAGTGTTCTCAGTAATGTATTTGAAGGAAAAATACCCTGATTTGAAACCAACAGCAGATGTTGCAAACTTTCATACCACTGCTGGCCATGGAAGCCTCTTAACAACACACTGTCATTTAAGGCTGTGCTTGTGCTTTATACAAAGAGAAAGAGGTGGTCTTAAGGGGATGCTTCCAGGGGGGTGAGTTCATGCCTCTCCTGTATTTTCCAGCAAGTGGGGTATGTGTGGTGGTTTGTTTTTTAGAGGGGCATAATAATCCAGGATTCTAAGCATATGCTCAGCTATTTTAAAGAGGAAATTAAATATTATAAAAGAAATAGTAAAGATAAGTTATCCTCACTTAGGCAAAAGCACAGGTCCTTTCCATATCAAGTTTAGCCTACCAGGGTTGTTTTTTGTTTTAACCCTGCTTAATAATGTTGGTGTTTTAGAAGTAGATACAGGCACTGCTCTGAAAACCTGGCTAGCCAAGGATATTCTCAGAATGTTATCACCTGTTTGTCAAAGCTTGTTTAAATTATAAAACACTTTTAATTATATATATGAGGCAAAAGAACTAAGACTTTTTTCAAACTAAATTAGAAAGGAGTGTCATTATTTGACTGTTAAACCAAAATATTTTTGGTGGGTCTTTTTATGGAAGTTTAAAGAAAGGACATCATCATAGATATGATCTAACAGTATTTCTAACTATATTTGATCATTAAAAGCCTCTTGGAATTTGAAGCGTGACGTGTTTCTAATGCCCCTTGAGAGGTGAAAAATACCACATAATGATCAGTATGCTGTGCCAGCTTCATTTGGGGAGAAATAACTAGTAGAAAGTTCTGGGTGTGAGGTGTACAGCAGTCTAGGTGGCATAGTGATGAAGAAAGGGATCAGAGTCTGACTGTCACTCAGAATCCTGGGCTCAGTTGCTTGACAACCTTGGGAAAATTGTTTTATCTTTGTGCGTCTGTTTGCTGATCTTCAGCGTGGGAATAATAACAGTACCTACTTGAAAGGATCATTGTGCGGATTAAAAGAAATAATATATGTAAAGCACTTTAACACAGCACCAGGCCCACGGAAAGTGGCTAATGTTAGCTACTATGAATGGTGCCAGTGAAGACACTGAAAAATAAGTGATTTCAGTAACCTTCTGGAAAGCTATCAGTTTCAAATAATATTTTCTCTGTAGTATGAGATGAAATTAAAAGTGGATAGCTTTCAGGAAAGATAAAGAGAACATGCTTAGAATGTAAGCTAAACAGATTTTTTCTGTTGCTCTTTGAAAACTATGAGCCCTGGCCAGCTTAACCTGGTCTGAGGTGAGACTAAACACAAAAACAGTAGATAAATCTCTCCCTAAAAGATGGATTCCCCCACATACCCATGCTACTAGTTTCTCTGTCTATTCACACATATGTACAAATACATGAACACAGCCTGTCTGTGCTCAGACATAGAGAAGTACTACCTGACTTGAGTCAATGCACCCAAGAAGAAAAGCTTGGAGTAGAGCAGAAGGGAGGGCTTGGGACTCCTGTCTTTCCAGCATGCCCTGGGGTGCAGTGGTCAGCCACCTGAAGAGAGAGCCAATAGCATGGGGTTTACAAGGCAAAGATAGTCATTCATTCAACACATATTCATAGAGCTCCTTCTCTGTGCCAGACACTGTTCTGGAAGATAGCTAGATGAAAATCTTTGCACTCACAGAGCTTACATGCCAGTGAGTGAAGATCGATGATAAATAAAGCAAATGCATCATATGTTCACATTTGATAAGTATATGCCAAAAAATGAAGCCGGGAAGGAGGACAAGGCCCATGGGTGGGTGTTGAGGTTTTTAAAGTGTGGTCAGGAAAGGCCCCACTGATAAGGTAACATTTGAGCAAGTCTGAAAAAGGCAAGGGGATCTTTGGGGCTAACTTCGGGATCCCTGCACTTTATGTAAGAATGTAAACCTGGAGTCTCATTTAAGAATGATCAGCAATACGTTTAGAACATATGAACTGAATGAAATGGACATTTTTTCTTAATTTATGTATAAATCCATATGATTATACATAAAGTTCTGATGCATTAATAAAAGCAGCCAAATAGGGCCAAAGAGAAAAATAACAGGACTCTGTACTGGACCTAACTTTATCATTAATTAGGTAATATTTTCCTCATTTCTTTACTGCTGCCATTTTCCTCACCAGTATTCCAGAGATGGTCATAGCTCATTACTCTACCACCAAGAACCTAAAAGGAATTAGAATACAGCAGAATTGGCCTCAGTGAAGAGCTTAAAATTGTTCTCCTCGTAGAACTGGACTATTGATCATTACCACGTGACGTTGGCTCTATTACTTTCTGTTCCCAATGTCCTTCTAGTGGTTTGAAAATGTTAAAACATCCCTAAAATCTAAATCATATAATCAGAATTCTATAGTGTCCCACTCTATCTGTAAAGATCATTTGGAAGACTTTAGACTCTATTAATTTTAAAAGGAATATTTATTAGCCATATGCAGAATTTCTAATGATGATATTGTACAGCTTCTAATTCACTTTTCAGATCAGTGTTTGAAATGGCAATTATCAGTGTTGGATTTAGTTCCAACTACTTGATTTACAAAAATGTACATTTAGAGGTTAAAAGAAACAGTGAGAAATGTAAACATTCAAAATGATAATTGAATCTCTCAGTTGTGGGAATAATTATCAGAGACATGCAACTGAAAATGTCTCACCTTTCATCTTTTTTTCTTAATTCATAAAGTTATCTTGTAGAATTTGATGAGACCCTCCCTAGTCATTCTCAACTGGGGCGGTGCTGTCACCGAATGGTGTTTGAGAGTGTTGGGGCTAGGGCACATTTTTGGTTGTCACAGCAACTGGGGTGGCATTTGCTGCCCAGTGCCAGGAATAGTAACATTATGAATGCCAGGGACAGTGTGCTCAGTAAAGTCTTCCATCCAAAAGGGGCAGGGCACGGTGGCTCACGCCTGTAATCCCAGCACTTTGGGAGGCCAAGGTGGGCGGATCACCTGATGTCAGGGGTTCGAGACCAGCCTGGCCAACATGGTGAAACCCTGTTGCTACTAAAAATACAAAAATTGGCTGGGTGTGGTGTCACATGCCAGTAACCCCAGCTACTAGGGAGGCTGAGGCAGGAGAATCACTTGAACCCGGGAGGCAGAGGTTGCAGTGAGCTGAGATTGCACCACTACACTCCAGCCTGGATGACAGAGTGAGACTTCATCTCAAAAAAAAAAAAAAACAAAAAAAAACAACCCGGTAGCATTGTCCCTTCCCCACTGACAAACTTATCAAATCCAGAAGCTTTAGAGTTTCGTCTCTAATTATTTTTCTCCTGAACAAAATTACCCAAGTCAAAACAAAATGTATTTTTAGAATTACGGCAGCATACGACCTGAATTTTGTGAGTTTCGTGGCTTTATCTTAAATCACCATTTCCCTAAAAATGGTTTCTTTCTCCTTAGAAATGCTGGTGGCAACTTGATGAAACAGCCAAATGCACCAGGGCAGGTCACTTTCCCATTACACTGATTCCACAATTAAAAAAAAAAAAGAAAAAAAACTCATTGAGATAGCTACAGTTCTATAGGTTAATTTAAAGCCTCCTTTTTCTACTCATTTTTGAAAGCAAAATTACATTTTACTATTTTACATAACCAGTGAAAAGACGTTGAAAGCCTACAGCTCACTGTTTTTGGTGCTCTGGAAATGTTGAGGGTGGGTTTTTAACCAGTGATTTTTAACGTGCAGTGAATTTGTTAGACTTTTAAACACCAGCTAAGGTAGTCAAACTTGATCCCCATTAAAAATCAAGGAATTAGGGGTCGGGGGAGGGTTTAGGAGTGATCCAGAATGACCTCCCAGAATTACTGTGCGTACAACTTTATTTTTCAGAGTTTTCATTGGAATGGTAAGAGTTTTATGAAAGACAGTTTTAAAACTTATTCTGAGTTAAATATTAATACTTTAAAAAATTATTGTACTAGACTTATTGCAGCCTTTTGAAAGTAGCAGAGTTTCATCATACCACATATATAACAGAGCATAAATTTTCTATAATCAGGCACCTTTTGCTGCTTTTGAGTAAGACTGTTTTCCTGTTTAAGTGTTAAGCATCGCCAGACATAAAAATCTATTCTCTCCTCTCGATTGTAGCATAGCCTGACAGCTCTAGATACAGCATTTCTATGATGAAAAATGAGTATCCATCAGGAAATCTAGAAGACTAGCCGTGTTTTCTCAGACTCCACCTTTGTTTGCACTCTGTTGCCTGTGAGGAGCTTTCTGGCATGTGATTATTTACTTCAAAACTAGAGTTCCAAGCACCTACATTAATTATTTTATATTGTGTGCAGAATAGTATATCTTTTAATGTCAGATATGATACACTGCACATATTGCTTTTGCACTCTTAAAATTTTTGTACTAAATAATAGAAAATATTTATATTCTTTGAGTGTGAGCTTTGAATAGATGGCATTATCACTTTATTGTTTTTTTAACAAAAACTTTTTCTCAATTATTCTATTGCAATGTTATTCTGAGCAAGTCCTATGCCAAATATCTTGTATAATGTTTGTATGGAAGATTAAATTTTACTCTTGTGTGGTAAGACTATTTCAGTTACTGATTTTATAGTTGGAATTTGATATTCCAGCACAAAGTCCACAGTGTATTCAGAAATCCAAGTTGGTGTCATACATTTCATTTTGATGTGAACTTTTCTTTGCTTTCCTTTGTTCTAAGACTCCATTTTGCAATAAACGTTTTGACAGTAAATCCCTTTGTTACGTGTTGCTGTGTATATAAGATCCCTGTTAGATTGGATTCCCAACATCCTTTGAAGGAATCGTTGTCACACGCATGCAAACAAGTGTTAGCTTTTCTCTCCTAAAGTCAGTGGGAGTGTAAATAATAAATTTGTAAAGTGATGGGACAGTCATGGGGTGGATTTTTTTTTTATTCCCTAAAGAAAGAAAGGCTTAGAACTCATCCTACAGCAGATACACTGATATGTTAACAAGGTACAGAAAACATAAAGGAAATGGTAAGCCACTCTGTGGCTGGAGATCATTAACTCTTATCCCCCGTCTTGCCAAATTCAAGCTGTCATGAAGCAGTGCCTGGCTCCAGCCTTCCTCTCACTGATCTTTGCTAGCATTGTGCAAAGAATCCTGCTGGAGTGAGCGTCCAGCTGAAGCCAGTGCCTTTCCCTAGGCATCGTATTGGAGAACCATCCTCAGTGTGCAACCAACCCCCTCTCCTTTCAACATTAAAACCAAAGATTCTGGTTGTGATTAGTTATTTCATTTACAACTTCTATTCTATTCAAAAAAATACTTCTTTCTCAATTTTGTTTAGTACAACATTTAGGAATTTTATAAAAATAACACTACACATCCCCTCCCCCCAACCCAGTTTCTATAAAGGTGAGCCTTGATGCAGGAAAATATTTCTGTAACTCAGACTGTTGTTTCTTGAACGAACCAAAAAAGTTTCGTATTTCACATTTGCTTCTGTGATGGGAGAAGGGAATGGCATGATTCTGCAGCTGTGTCCAGCTGCCCTGTGAAGAGACAAAATTGTCACCTATTTTTCTTTGATCCAGTTCAGCTTTAGATTCTGTTCCTCAAATCTTTCTCCTTTCCCCATTATTAAAGCAAGTGAATGTGTGTGATGACTCCTACCCACCTCAAGTGTTTCCGAGGAGGCAAGGGCAACCCTGGAGGGAAGGGAAGCACATGCAGGTAGCAGAGTATACGCAGAACAGGATCGATTTCAGTGTGTACTTTATGTCCTGACAACTTGTCTATAAATACTCAAACCTAAACATTCATATCCATTTCAGCTAGTGGGTTTTTCCGCTTGCCTTCCCACCCTGTCTGCCTCATTTACCCTTTTTCCTCCAACATGAACTCACTGCCTTCCATTCCCATCCTTCCCTCCTGTCCCTCCCTCTCCCGCCATGCCAGGTTTTGCCTTGTTGCTTCTCTTTACCCGGAATCACCTCTCTTCTTGCCCTGAAGGACCCAGCTCAAGCCGTGCTGCCCTCCATTCTCCCATCTTATTTTATGAATCCCTTTGTGAATACATCTGTCTATGGTATACCCATAGACATTGAACTCTATACCAGAGAACTTAGCATTCCAGTAAATGCACCCTTTAATTTTATTCATTCTTTAAAATGACTCAACAAAAATTTACCAGATACCGTATGCCAGGCACTATGTTAGGCATTAAGTAAACCGAGATTCAGGTGACCTTGGAATCCCCCAGGTATAATTTATAACTGTATTAGTCCCAGTTAAATTGAAAGCTCCTTGAAGGCAGGGGCTGTGCCTTTCCTAGCAGAATTTTGAGCATGTGGGTACAAAATACCTGTAAGTTAGAAAGGTTAACTCACCTACCCTATGATTTTTATACTAACAGTAAAAGCAACCAAACTCAACTTTTTTTTGAAACTCACTCACAAGAAAATATTTGTAACAGAAGATGAGTGACAATTTGCCATATTATCTCATAAGCAATTCATTTTTGGGGGGCAAGTTAGGCTAGTTAAAGCTAATAGCTGTACCAAACTCTAATTTGACTTATAGGACACACAGACTTCTAAAAATTATGTAAGCATTTATTATTTAGATGGCCATGGGGCATATATTGAAGACAGTAAGTAGTTCTTTGGCTCTGAAAATGGTGCAGGCTGAAGTCCTCTGGAGGCATCTTCATTTGTACTTGTGAACCTCACAGGGAGGTATTTTAATCTGTTTTAGTTAGAGCAACTCTGCAGCCTGGGTTTCTTAGGACCGTACCAATTTCCCATGTCCTTCTTCATCCGTGAGTGCTAACATTTGGTTTTTAAAATATTGTGCAAATGAGATCTTTCAACACTTAGAAATTCCCCCTTGAGAACAGGCATAATACATGATCTGGTTACTAAGTGGTTGCTTTGGAATTTTCATTAATAATCCAACAGTCCTCATGTTGGCTGAGACTCTGAGGAAGACTCTAGGTCTCTGAGAAAATGTCAGAAATTGCTTGACTGCTGAGGCTTGATTGTGGGATGTAAAAACCAGGTACCAACAAAGGAATATGATACAGCTCCCAAAGTACATGAATTGTTACTGAGAGATTGGTGAACATTACTGGAGCACTGAGAACTGCCTCTTAAGGTCAGGAAAACTGTTTTCCATTCAACCCAACCTGCAGGAGGAACCAAGCCAGAGCAGCAGCTGAGAGCTGAAAGAGTGAGACAAGAGGATGAACCAAAAAGACAATGATAATATTACTTTTTTTTTTCATTTCATGCATATTTCCCATGCAGCTGCTGCCTTCCTTTGAGATTGGTGCATGGACGGAAGACGATGTGGTAAGCTCTTTGTATTCATGCCTTATTTGACTTGAGCAGGTATTTCATAAATTTTTCCCTAAGTTTTTAGGGGAAGAGATTGGGCCTTAGGAAAGTCTAACTAGGAGAGGTTGACAAATTCTTTTCTCACTCTGTCTCCCAGGCTGGAGTGCAGTGGTGCGATCTCAGCTCACTGCAACCTCCACCTCCTGAGGTTCAAGCGATTCTCCTGCCTCAGCCTCCTGAGTAGCTAAGACTATAGGTTCCCACCAGCATGCCTGGCTAATTTTTGTATTTTTAGTAGAGATGGCGTTTCACCATGTTGGCCAGGCTGGTCTCGAACTCCTGACCTCAAGTGACGTGCCCGCCTCAGCCTCCCAAAGTGCTGGGATTATAGGTGTGAGCCACTGTGCCTGGCCTTTTTTTCTGTTTTTAATGCAATAATGATTGAAAATAAAGCCTCAAGAGTAAAGCAAGTATCTCTGCAAATCTTCTAAGTGGGTTCTACCTTCCTAAATTACTCTGAAACTATTCCAGAATACAATAACAAATACCCATGAGGAAATTAAAGTGGCAGCTCGGGAAAACAAATGAACATACTTGAAAAAAAAGTGATATTAAATCTTTTTACAAGAACAGGGATGGCCTCGAGCCATGGTAGAGGAGGATCTGGTCAAGGCAGTGCTGGGCTGGTACACCGCTGAACCGGCTTTCCTTCCACCTCAGGCCTGTTTGAAAGTGAGGCATCATATTTGCCAGCCTTATTCTGGCCTCCCAAGTGGGAATAGACACAAGCACGCCCAGACATTCTCTGTAGCTTTAGCCAGAGAAGCCCTATGTTTTTGAGAGGCTGCACTCAGACTGTTGAAGTCCAAAAGAAGTCCTGCACTCTGCATTCTTGATAGAAACCCTGAGAAACAATCCAACTTAGTCTGTTACATCACCATATCTATTTTTTTAGTGACAAAACAGGTATGAAAATTCCTGATGTGAAAACTCAGAGACTAGGTTGGGCACGGTGGCCTGTAATCCCAGCACTTTGGGAGGCTGAGGCAGGAGGATCACTTGAGGTCAGGAGTTCGAGACCAGCCTGGCCAACATGGTGAAACCCCATCTCTACTAAAAATACAAAAATCAGCCAGGTGTGGTGGCACATGCCTATAATCCCAGCTACTTGGGAGACTGAGGCAAGAGAATCGCTTGAATATGGAAGGTGGAGGTTGCAGTGAGCTGAGATCACACCACTGTATTCCAGCCTGGGCAACAGAGCAAGGCTTCATCTCAAAAAAAAAATTTTTTTTAAGTTCTATAAAACTCAGGGACTTATGCTATCCAGGTCTATTTAACAAGCTCAGGGTATCACTAAATGAAAATGAAAAAAACAAAAGATGTAATGCCAGCCTTAGTGGGTTTGGGCTCCAGCCCAGGGAACAGACCAGGTGCCACAAAGTGCAGACTAGCTACTGGAAACTCCTCAAAAGATCTGTTTACCTAGCTCAACCTGGTTTTGGGCCCAGGCATTTCCCTCTCTGCCCTTTGTATTCTTTTGAAGTGCACCTGCTTTCAACATTAGCTAACCTCTTTGGCTTCCGTAGGGTAAGGAAACTTGGCACCAGTTGCCACTATTTCTTCCCATTCACTGAGCCCCAGTGAGTCTCACTTTCCTGCCAGCCTTGCTTAACAAGGAAAGAGGACTCAGGGTCTCCTTTATTCACAAGCCTGGATATCATCTCTTTATCCCTAGCTGCAGAGTTTCCCCTGTCATTTGAAAAGAAATTTTTGAAAAATCACTGAGTTCTAACAGCTATTTTTAGTCTTTGCTCTGAGGCTGAGTGGCTTCCAGGCCACTTAAATAAAATTCCAGAGTTGAGGGCTCCCCAGAGAATCACAGGGACTGAGTCTGGCCTCCCATCCTTCTCTCCTCACCAAGGTACTGTGAGAGGCCACCAGTAAACCCAGACCCTGTGATATACAGGGACTAAGGGTCACTGGGTCCAATCTCCTCATTCTACATAGGAAGCTCCACACTTTGACTTGGCTGGGGCCACGTGGCTACTTCATGACCTGGCCTAGAACAAAAGATTCCTTCTGTCTGTTGCTCTGTCCACTGCTGTGTGGTCCCTGGAACTCATACAATTCCTGAGTAAACTGGTGCCCCTCAGCAATCCAGGGGACCACTGGCACATAAATGGAAAAATCACTATAAGTAAGAACCCTCTTGAAAGGATTTAAAAATATCTCCCAAAGAAGGAGGAAAACCAAGGGGCTTTTAACTGTCCAAGACCCCCGAAGAGAGGGATATCTCCCATTTGAAAGCTTGAGGTTTTAAAACTACAAAGAGAAAGTCTTCTATTTTACCTTTGTGGTTGAGCCAGGAATTAAAGTTATTTTGATCTATTGAAAACTCTATGTTTACTGTGAAGACTGGCCACTGACCATGTGTGAATCTTCAAAACCGTATGTGTCCTCTCTTTCACAGTATTGTTGGGTTCAGCAGCTCGTCAGAAAAGGCAAGTGGAATAAGTTACCTTCTTCAATCATGGAGTTAACTTTGTTTTGGATGTGATTTCATCTAATTTTATTCTGCTTTCTAATCACTTCCTTCAGGTGACTCTTCAGCAGAGATGAGTGTATATGCAAGCTTGTTTAAAGAAAACAACATTACAGGGAAGCGGCTGCTGCTGCTGGAGGAAGAAGACCTGAAAGACATGGGCATTGTCTCCAAGGGGCATATCATTCACTTCAAGGTACCTGAGAAAGGGACAACATTCCATCAGCAAACCCTTTTTTTGTTTGTTTGGTTTTTTTTGAGGCAGAGTCTTGCTCTGTTGCCCAGGCTGGAGTGCAAAGGCACAATCTTGGCTCGTTGCACCCTCCGCCTCCTGGGTTCAAGTGATTCTCCTGCCTCAGCCTCCCAAGTAGCTGGGATTACAGAAGCGTGCCACCACACCCAGCTAATTTTTGTATTTTTAGTAGAGATGGGGCTTCACCATGTTTTCCAGGCTGGTCTCCAACTCCTGACCTCAAATGATCCACCTGCCTCAGCCTCCCAAAGTGCTGGGATTACAGGCGTGAGCCACCAGGCCTGGCCTCCATCAACAAATCTTTATTGAGCACCTACTATGCAGCAGATCACGTGTTAGGGGCTGCAGATGGAAACAGTGCTATGCTGGTCATTACTGTGCTGAAATGCTTACACAAGTTGATAATCAGCAGCTGCCCCCAGGCACCCCTATTCCTTCCTCATAATCCAAACAGCAAAAAGGTGCATACATGGTATAGTAGGACTCACAGGGAGATAACCTGAATATCACCCCCCTGCCCTCAGGAAGTCTCTAATCTGGTGGAGAAAACAGATACTGCCTATGCGATAATGGTAAATGACGGCTGTAAGAAATACCACAAAGGCAGTGTGGTGCCTGGAAAACAGCCATCCACCCAGAATAGCAGGAGGTGACTCAGTTTAATTCTAGAGAGGACAAAAATCCATCAGGAATCCCTAAGGACCCCAGAATTTCTGCATGGCCAAAGGGAAACCTAAGCCAATGCAGTAACCTAAAGGCATTTGTAATTTTTGTCATTATGACCTGGAACAGACACCACCATGTATGTGTTTTAATCCCCACTTACTCAGGAAGTTCTAACATTTCCCCCAAAACTTAACTGTTAAGTAGTTTCAAAGCTAAACCTCTGTGTTCATTGTGGTGGTCGTGGTCATGGTTGTTTTTTGTTTGTTTTTGTTTTTTCAATTTAGCAACTTAAACTGAGTAAGAATTGCTGGCATCTGTGTGGTCATTGTGACTAATCTTGTTTCAAGAGAGATCTTAGAATAAAATCAGGTTTGCTCCCCAAACCCACCCCCCATTCCAGTGTGGGTAGATGGACGAGTGTGTATAGGTTAGAAAGAAGAGAAACAGAATAAAGGAGAAAATTCAGAAAAGGCAGCCTCCTGTCCAAATCCACACCTTCACAAAGGCTCTACCAACACGCCAGCTAGTCCCTACCTCAGAGCTACCCACAGTGACCTTTCTAGAGAAATCTCCATTAAGGCCCAAAGAGAGCCCATTCATTTCATTCTGTGGACCCTAGGTCCAGGAAGAAACATCCTTACGGACTCTCAGCACCCTTTGCGTAACAGTAACAGCTTGGCACTCACCCACCAGAGACCACTTCCACAACAGAAAGAGGACCTTGCTGTCTTCTCCCTCTTAGAAGAAGGGCAGGAGAACTCATGCATAGCGTATTTCCCAAAGGCTGGCAAAGAATGTAATCCCAGCCTCTGGGTGTGGGCAAGTCCATCCTAAAAGCTATGCTGGCTTAGGTGGGCCACAGTAGGAAAAAGTATTTTCTGCAGTACAGAGATGTTTCAGAGCTCCAAAAAAGAAATTTTGTAAATCTTGTCCTATTTGGCAGATGCCAAATAAGATGCTCCCACCTCCCCTTCCCACCTGCCATCTTTGAAAAGGCCCAGTATTCCTTAAGGATCAGTTCGGAGGAAGGGTGGTGAGCTGGGATATCTCACCAGAAGCCCTCAGTGATTTACATCTTTCCAAGGGTGGCCCTGGATAACCTAAGTACCCCTTTCATGCTGAGCGGTATCATTTAGGCAAGCGAAGTCCAGACTTACTATTTATTGTTCAAAAAATTCAGTGAATGTCTACTAATTGTGAGACTGGGCCTATGAAGATTCAAAGAAACCTGTGGTTAAGGAATTTACATCTCAGAGAAAAGATTAAACGTGCACACAGCATCCCCTTGGCAACTGGGAGGAAAGGACCAATTCATTACCCGGACTTGGGAGAGGCCATGGTGGGAGATGGAGAGGGTAAACTTCACAGAGTGGGTGGCCCTTGAGCCGGATCTTGGAGGAATGACAGATTTTGGAATGTAGACCAGGAAAGGAAAGAACATTAATCTAGACAGAGAGAACAAAGAGTTAAGAGAAATGGAAGAGAATGTGGAGGAACAGAAAAGAGGAGTCCCGACCTACGTAGCATAAGCAGCTCCGTCTGCAGAACACGGGTGATGAGTAGAACGCATGGCACCTGAAGTGGAAGGAAGGTGGGGCCGGATCCTGGACAGCTTACAACTTCAGGCTGGGGGGAAAGAGCTGGAATTTGACCAGCTGTTGGGAGTATTGAGAATTGACAGGTTTACACTTTGCTTCTGGAAGTTTTAAAATGTATTAAAAAGGCAAGGCTGGGTTTTGAAAAAACAGGAGGGTATAAATGTGGAGAATAATAAGCACTGCAGTGTAGCAAAAACGCGAATGGAGAGAAGGGGAAGATGTCACAGGTAAGAGGGCTGTTCTCAGGCTCAAGAAGGAAAGCACAATGAAGTATTGATTGTTGTGGACGGACTGGCTGGGGCCGCTGTCGCAGGCAGTAAAAGAATTTACCAAGACAGTCGTAGGTAAAGAAAGGCAGATTTATTAGAGAAAGTGTGAAGATGTGTTGCAAGGGTGCAATGGGCAGCACAGCAGAGAAGGGGCTGTCTGCCAAGAGGCAGGGGCTTGAGGGAAGTTTTATGGGATCATACTGGAGGGGCTACGTCCAGATAGGGTGTGCAGACGAGGTCATGCTTCTGGAGTTACTTGCAGAATGAGGTATTTGGGAACAGGTTGTTGTGATTGTCTGTGATTAGCCGTCTCTCAGAACAACTGTTATCCCCCACCTGGGACCCCCTCCTCGTTGTTGCTTACTTATTAGGACTCCACACTGATATGTGTGGCAGCATAGATGAGCCTTGAACATGATGCTAAATGAAAGAAGCCAGACACAAAGGTCACATATTGTATGAGACATCCTGAATAGGCGAATCCATAGAGACAGAAAGCAATCAGTGATTGCCAGCTGCTAGGGGGAGGAGGCAAGGGTTCTTGACTGCCTAATGGGAGTAGAGCCCCCTTTGGGGGTGATGAAAATGTTTTGGAACTAGATAGAGGTACTGGTTGCACAACATCGTGAATGTGCTAAATGCCATTCAATTGCCCACTTTAAAATGGTTAATTTTGTGGTATGTGAATTTCACCTCATTAAAAAATAATAATAAAGCAAAGGAAAGCACAGGCACCTCTACACCCTGCCCAAGAGTAGTCTTCTTCCAGCTAGGAAGCTTTCTGTCTTTGGCAGAAAGGATGTGTGTGGCCAGGAAAGTGAAGAGGAAGACAGGAATATCTGTCCACAAAGTAGGAAATGAGGAGAGAATGCTGTTACAAAAGTCAAACGTTGGAAAAGCTTTAAGATAGAATCGGTGGTCGAAAGGGTCTAAGGGCCAGGCACTGTGGCTCAAGCCTGTAATCCCAGCACTTTGGGAGGTCAAGGTGGGCAACTCACTTGAAACCAGGAGTTCAAGACCAGACTGGGCAACATGGCGAAACCTTGCCTCTGCAAAAAATGCAAAAATTAGCCAGGCATGTGGTGCACACCTGTGGTGGTCCCAGCTACCTGGGAGGTTGAGGTGGGAGGATCGCTTGAGCCCAGGAGGTTGAGGCTGCCATGAACTATGATTGCACCACTGCACTACAGCCTGGGCAATAGAGTGAGACCCTGTCTAAAAAAAAAAAAAAAAAAAAAAAAAGGCAGGGACAGGGGACAGGGGTCTAAGCTTGCAGAGAAGCCAAGGAATATGCAGAGAGAAAAAGCCCTGTTGGAAGCAGCCACTTAAAAGTAAAAAAAAAATTATTTGACCCACTAGAGTGGAGTCAGTGTAATGTTCTCTTTTTATGACCTCTGCAGAGGGTCTGCCCAGAGCTCCAAATGAAGGAGTAGCCTGCATCTGTTGGGGGACCTAACACTGCCCTCAAACTCCTGAGTGAGTCTGCACTCAGTCATTCTAAAGACAGTCATTCACAGAGGGGCAGTCTCCAAAGTGTGGAATGCGGACCCCTCCCCCTTACTGCCAAGGCTGGGGCTGTATGTAAGAATGGCTACCCAGTGGGGGCTCAGCCAACAGGTGACCACTAAACTCAGCCAGAGCATGGGGATTTCCAACAAGTTTATATGAGAGGGAAAGATAAAGGGAAAGGGTCATGTGCACTTACTCTAGGAGGGCCCTGCATAGACTCTCAATTAAGATAAGTAATGCTCCAAGCTGGGCCTTTGGGGATGAGTAGCTCCACGCTGGAGGAGTCCTCCTGGTCCTTGTCAGAAGTGTTTCTCACACACAGCCTGATGGTAAGAATGCATCCTTCCTTTATTCTTTGTGCTTTCACTGAGGAAGGCACAATTGTTGTGTACTTTCTCCAAGAGTCTCTCAGTCCTTAAATGGTAGGTGATCAAACTGGACAGTGGAGCAGTATATCCACCTTTTTTTTTTTTTTTTTTTTTTTTTGAGCTGGAGTCTCACTGTGCCGCTCAGGCTGAAGTGCAATGGTGCGATCTTGGCTCACTGCAACCTCCGCCTCCCGGATTCAAGCGATTCTCCTGCCTCAGCCTCCTGAGTAGCTGGAATTATAGGCGCAGGCTACACCACACCTGGCTAATTTTTGTATTTTTAGTAGAGACAGGGCTTCACCATGTTGGTCAGGCTGGTCTCGAACTTCTGACCTCATGATCCGCCCACCTCAGCATCCCAAAGTGCTGAGATTACAGATGTGAGCCACCGCACGCGGCCCCCACCCATTCTTTTCCTTTGTGTTTGTCCCTCCCTTTAAGCCTGACCATGGCTCCCTTCTTCTCTGAGCCTGCAAGCCCTCGTGTGGAGGAGTAGAGTGTAAGAAGTAGGACTGAACACCCAATAAGTGTTCATTACATTGTCAGCTGTCAACAGTTTTTATTTTGCTTTAAAATAAAATGCATCTAATTTTCTCAGGTTGGTACTTTTTTACTCTCTCTGCAATCAGTTCTTAGAAAATCTGAACTGTGCCTGCTGAGTATCCAAAAAATCATCATTTAAATTGTCTTCCTTTCCTTTCAGATTTGTGTTTCATTGGCAGAGGGGATGTTGGACACATATCCAAAGAAATGTTCTTATAATGCAATCAACCTTTTAGTGAGATTCTAGCCTTCCTGAAAGTCTGGTGTTATGTGCTGTGCTGCTTTGCTCACTGTTATTCAGAGTGGCACCTGCATTCTGTACAACAGAACATCCACTTCTCAGTACTATACTCTGGCGGCGTTTGAAAAATTGTTTTATTTATTGCTTAGTCTGAGGTTCAACATCTTTAAAATGTCTTCTTTCTTGGCCTCATCCCTGTAATCCCAGCACTTTGAGAGGCCAAGGCAGGAGGCCAGGATTTCAAGACCAGCCTGGGCCACAAAGACCCCATCTCTACAAAAAATAAAATAAATTAGCTGGGTGTGGTGGTGTGTGCCTGAGTCCCAGCCACCTGGGAGGCTGAGATGGAAGAATCTCTTGAGCTCAGGAGTTCAAGGCTGTGGAGAGTTATGATAGCATTACTGCACTCCAGCCTGCACGACAGAATGAGACCTGGTCTCCAAAATAAAAAATTTTTAAAAATTTCTGGTCCTTTAAATAATTACAAACCACCTACACTGCTTTGGACAATGAGATTTATTCTAAATAGACGTTGGATATAAATGCCCCCAAGATATTTTATGAACTAGGTAAATAAGGAATGTTTTTGTTTGTACCCAATGATTTTAGTCTTCTCTTGGTATTACTGGATCATTAATAAAGTCATATGATTTTTTTTACAGTCAGCCATTGAGAAATTAACCCATGATTACATAAATTTGTTTCACTTCCCACCACTAATTAAGGTAAGTAAGGTTTTTCTTACCGACACTAATGCTACCTTTATTGACACATGCACCTGCTGCATCCACACCTAAATTTGCCAATGTCAGTAATGGTTGTTTGAAGTGAAATTTCATCATATCTGTCTAACAAAAGGCCCTTTGAAGCAAGGGAAGTGTATAAATTGAACACCCTTGTTCCCCACAAGTTGAAATATTAACAATTTGTTCATGATAAGAACAACACACCTTACTTTAGTGGCTAGGAGTTGTAAGTGCCAACATTATCGGTGAGGTCCTGTGGCCTCCCACCTGGCCCTGGATACTTTTCAACATGTAAGTCACTGAGAGAATTCATACCCTGGAGCGCTCGATCGTCAACTTTCATAGGGGATGGGAGGTTTACTGTTTGAATAACATATTAGTATACTTAACATTTTGAATCTAGTTTAAAGGAATATGGCATACTTTGTTTAAAATCAGCAAATACTTGCAATTCATACACAGAACTTTACTTATTCACTAACAGCTATAGTTTTTCATCTCTAAGCCCTCAAAGACTCGTTTTGTTCCTCTGCTTCATCCTCCATCCACATTTGCATCCTCCATCCACTGCGTAATCCGTCTTTGGGAATAGCTTGTAAATGCCCTGGGTATTGTGAACCTCTGAAGTTGAAATCTCACAATGCATCTCTAGGTGCTAAGTGCATTTCTAGGGTAAAATTGCACAATGCAAGATGCACTGTGATAAATGTAAGACAGTGACATTCAATTTGAACTGCATGAAATAAATCATTTGGCAAAGTCCTGAAAGGCATAATATGTCATTTCTGTTGGTTGATGTAATTAGAATTTGTAGCTTAATCCAAAATAACCAAAAGTTAATAGATTAGAATAGAAAAAAAAAAAAAACTAGTGCCAAGATATCATCTTCTTTACATGAGAAGTAAAAACAACATCTAGAATAATTGGTGCTTGGTTTCCTGTTTTAGGACTCAGGAGGTGAACCTGAAGAAAATGAGGAAAAAATAGTGAACCTGGAACTGGTTTTTGGTTTTCACTTGAAACCAGGAACTGGCCCACAGGTAAATCACATTTTAAATCCTTTGGATAAATCTCAATCGAACTACTCTTTTTTCTCTTCTGTAACTCCATGGTTTTATACACCCCCTACCAGCTGGTAACTGGATTTTGAGTAAATTTATAGACTTTATAAAATAGAATTTAGCTGAAAGGCTGCCAGCTGCCTCTGTAATCCAGTCTAGGAATCTTACTTTCTCAGTCAGCTGAAGACGCCCATGTGAGGCCACCCAAACATCAGGGTAACTCACAGTAAAGTATGGACAGGGAAGGGGGGCCGTGGATACCAGACTGTGTATACCACTCATGTCACAGCTTCCTGCTGATTCATAAGAGAAAGCAGCTTTATAATACCAAGAATAAAAACTAAGAATGAAACTGTAGGCCATGTGGAGACCCAAATTATCAGCTCTAAATAGGGTGGCAGGGCATTTGAGCAACACTTCTTCAATAAGCCTCTCAGTTTATGTCATTTTGAAAGTCTGCAAAAATTATTTGGCCTAGGTAGCCTGTGAATTAGAATTATAGTAGGTTTGTGTTACTTTTGATTACTATAAATAGCTAATGATAATAATGATAACTTCTGTTAACTGACCACTTATTGTGTACCAGGCATACAGTACTGAAGTGTGAAAACTACTTTCCCCCATTTTGCAAATGAGGAAACTGAGGCTCAGACAGGTTAAATAACTTGCCCAAGGGTTACATGGCTAGCAAATAGCAGAATAAAGATTTGAATGCAGGTTGCTCTGGTCTCAGAACCGAAGTTCTTAACTACTCATAATGTGGAAGCCTTCCCTTGAGGGAAGCCAAGGGACCTTATAAATACACCTTACAAGCTGTGTAAGCCTACCGATTGCTCTGGTAGGCTCAGCTGGCCCTGGCCTTTCCTCAGTGAAACCATGCTTGCTCCAGGCCATTCCTGGGAACCAGTGCCTGGGAATGACTGGAAATTGTTGTGAGGGGTTGAGTTTTTCCTGGGCCTTCCAAAGATGCTCTTTCTAATAATCCAGTTAAAAATGGGCAAAAGATCTGCATAGGGATTTCTCAAAAGAAGACATACAAATGGCCAACAGGTATATGGAAAATGGCTCAGCGTCACTAATTATCAGGGAAATGCAAATCAAAACCACAATGAGATATCATCTCACCCCACTTAGAATGGCTTATATCCAAAAGACAGGCAATAATGAATGCTGGTGAGGATGTGGAGAAAGGAGAACCTTCGTACACTGTTGGTGGGAATGTAAATGATCCAGCAATCCCACTCTAGGTATATAACCAAAAGAATGGAAATCAATATATTGAAGAGATATCTGTACTCCTATGTTTATTGCAGCACTGCGCACAAAATCCAACATTTGGAAGCAAACCTAAGTGCCCATCAACAGATGAATAGATAAAGAAAACATGGTACATATACACAATGGCATACCGTTCCCAAACAGAATGAAATCTTGTCATTTGCAACAATATGGATGGAACCGGAGGATATTATGTTAAGTGAAATAAGCCAGTCGCAGAAAGACGGAAGCTAAAAATTAAAACACTTGAACTCATGGAGATAGTAGAATGATGATTACCAGAGGCTTGGAAGCATAGCAGGGGAGGGCAAGAGGATGCTGGGATGGTTAATGGGTGAAAACATAGACAGAATGAATAAGATCTATTATTTGATAGCACAACAGGGTGACTACAGTCAACAATAATTATATGTTTTTAAATAATTAAAAGAGTGGAACTGGGATGTCCGTAACACAAAGAAATGAGGTAATGGATGCCCTCAGTTATCCTAATGTGATTATTACATATTATATGCTTGTATCAAAGCATCACAAAGACTGGGCGCAGTGAATCACACCTGTAGTCCCAGCACTTTGGGAGGCTGAGGCTGGGGGATCGCTTGAGCCTAGGAGTTCGAGACCAGCCTGGGCAACACGGTGGAATCCCATTGCTACAAAAAATACAAAAAGTAGCTGGGTGTAGTCGTGTAAGCCTGTAGTCCTAGCTACTTGGAAAGGCTAAAGTGGGAAGGATCACTTGAGCTCAGGAGGTCAAGCCTGCAGTGAGCCAAAACTGTGCCACTGCACTCTAGCCTGGGCAACAGAGTAAGACATCATCTCAAAAAAAATAAAAAATCACATGTACCCCCAAAATACATACACCTAGTGTATACCCAAAAACATTAAATTTTTTTTTAAAGATGCCCTTTCTAGACATCTATGCAAGAATGTGTCTTGCCTGCACCACTGCAGTTATTTCTTTACCTGCTGAATGAAAATCTTTACCTCCCTTGTTTCGGCCACAGACTTTGGTTGAGTGAGAGCTGCTCTGGATACAGGTTTCTTACATAAGAATAGTTTTCTCTCTGTGAATGGATCACTGTCTATTCATTCCTGTTGTTAGAAGGAGCTACAGAAAGGGGACAGGAAAGTAAGTTCTTCTGTCTCCAACAATATCAGAAGCACTTCTAACCCTGAGATTCTGCAGCTGTGGCCACCCCTAAGTTCATCTGATGGTAAACAAATTGCACATTTCAATTGCCTTTTCTGGTTTTCTTGATTCCATGACATTGAATTTATGAGTTATCTTTAAGCTTTGTTATGGCTTGTAGGTGGTAAAAGAAGAGAGAAAAAATTTCCTTGGAAAAGATTTGTGAACAGAGATCTCAACCAAGAAAAAAAAATTTTTTTTTTTTTTTGAGACGGAGTTTTGCTCTTGTTGCCCAGGATGGAGTACAATGGCGCGATCTCGGCTCACTGCAACCTCCGACTCCCTGGTTCAAGTGATTCTCCTGCCTCAGAAGTACCTGGGATTACAGTCGCGTGCCAACACACCCAGCTAATTTTGTATTTTTAGTAGAGACAGGGTTTCTCCATGTTGGCCAGGCTGGTCTCGAACTCCCGACCTCAGGTGATCCGCCCACCTCGGCCTCCCAAAGTGCGGGATTACAGGCGTGAGCAACTGCGCCTGGCCAAGAAAATATTTTCAATTAAAAAAGAAATAATTTATTAATAATGGAAAACTGAAAAATCTATTTTTTAGTAAAAATAAGGAGCTATGGATAATATTTGAAACTGAATACAATGGTCTGTTTTTGGTAATAATGATGTAGACTTCTTGAGTCATAGATTATCTACAAGCCCTAAAGTTGCTGCAGGTTTTGATCCTCTGCTGTTCCTTGGTCACCCATCCAGAGTAATCTTTCTTTTTTTTTTTTTTTTTTTTTTTTTAAGACAGAGTCTCCTTCTGTTGCCCAGGCTGGAGTGCAGTGGTGCAATCTCGGCTCACTGCAACCTCCGCCTCCCAGGTTCAAGCAATTCTCCTGCCTCAGCCTCCTGAGTAGCTGGGATTATAGGGGCACACCACCACACCCGGCTAATTTTTGTATTTTCAGTACAGACAGGGTTTCACCATGTTGGTCAGGCTGGTCTCGAGCTCCTGACCTCGTGATCCACCCGGCTCGACCTCCCAAAGTGCTGGGATTACAGGCGTGAGCCACCGCGCCCAGCCCAGAGTAATAATTTTATCTATTCATTTGGCAGGCATTTACTGAGGACCTACTTTGTGCCTGGCTCTAAGGTAGATGCTAGATTTTGATACAAAATCAAAAAGTACAATCCCAGCCTTTACAGAACCTACAGCTTATCATAAGCAATAGACAAAATCCACAAAACGCTATGGTACATACAGAATGATGAGTTTTTACAAAGCCATTTACATGGTTCCACGGGAGTTCACTGGATGAGGATCTACAACAGATGGGAAAGGGGTGAGGGAGGGTCCTTGAAGTCTTCTTGGTAGAAGTGTTGCTTAAGCTAAAATGTTAAAGCCACTAAGAATGACTAGGTAAGGAGAGGACATTGAAGGCAGACGAAACCATGTGTGCAAAAGCTCAAAAGCATGAAGCCAGGAAAACACAGGGAGCTCTTTCTTGGAATAATTTTGAGGGGACTTCACGACTCAACTCAAGCATCCTCCCTCTAGAAAGACTTACCTTGGAACAGGGGGATGCCAAAGGGAGTGCCCAGAAAGGGGGCTGGCGACCAGAAAAAGCACTGTCTTATGTGCTAAGCCAAGGAGTTTTAAGGATTTTAAGAAGAGAGCAGATAGGATCAGATTTATGTTTTTTTGTTTGTTTTTTGAGACGGAATCTCGCTCTTTCGCCCAGGCCAGAGTGCAGTGGCGCTATCTCGGCTCACTGCAAGCTCCGCCTCCCGGGTTCACGCCATTTTCCTGCCTCAGCCTCCCGAATAGCTGGGACTACAACTACAGGCTCCCGCCACCACGCCCGGCTAATTTTTGGTATTTTTAGTAGAGACGGGGTTTCACCGTGTTAGTAGCCAGGATGGTCTCGATCTCCTGATCTCGTGATCCGCCCGCCTCGGCCTCCCAAAGTGCTGGGATTACAGGCGTGAGTCACTGCGCCCGGCCCAGATTTACGTTTTTAACAGATCTTTCAGAAGCACAGAGAAGGATGAATTGGAAAGGGGCCGCCAGGCTAGAGTGAGAAAGATCTGTGAGTGGGCAGCGCAGACAACCAGGTGAAAAATGTCAAAGCGCTGAGCCTGTGACAGTGCCATGGGTCCCAGGACACACTGAAACGGAATTAGATTGTGTCACTAGCTGGAGACGCAGCAAGTGGGAGGGAGGGGCCAGGAGGGTGCTGAGGTTTCTAGTGTGGGCAACTAGAGAGATGATGTTATAAAGTGGTGGATCAAAAGTGAAATATACAATGTGAATATCATGCTAAGGTGCTAAAAGTATAAAGAAGTGACTGGAATGGGTGAGGTTCATCAGGAAAAGCTTTTTTGGAACCATGAGTATTTTATTGGGGCTTGAAGAGGTTGGTGGGCAGTTGCAGAATAATTTCCTGAATATAATGCTTAAAGCTTTTGCTTAGATAATACATTTCTAAAGAGCTCAGGTATTCAATAAATGTCATCTCCTTTATCCCGTTAGCATTTGGGTGAGATGCATAACTCATAGTATCATCGTTGCTGATTCAGAAAGAGATAACAAGAGAAAGTGTATGACTTGCCTGGGATGAGGCAAGGACAGAGCTAAGACCAGAAATTACATCTTTATTATTGTCTTTGTAGTAAATATGTGCTAGATCTCACACCTGACCCACAACATTTAAGCCATCTGTAAACCTATATAAAACAGTCCTAGAATAAATTACTATCCTGTTCTGAATTATACCAGCTATGCCAGCCTATGTCTTAGCATTATGAAATATTTTCTGATTAATGTGCTTTGAATTGAAATTTCAGTTCCCCACACGAAAACCTTGTTGCCTTGGGCCTTAAAGATAGAACCCAAGAAAAAAAGGCTTCCTCCACATCCCAATTAACCAAGTTCTCAGAAACCCTCTTCATGGGAAAGGTGAAGCCTTTAAGTCCACCCCCACCTCCATGACCGGAATAAGCTTTCCAAGAGAAAATTGGAGCTTTGCAAGTTCTCTCCAACCTAGGAGTTTGCATAGCAGAGGCATTTGCTGGATTTCACCTTTTCTTTTACAAGTAAAATGAAAAATGTGTTGTAATGGCAGCCATTGAGAATAAGGTATGACAGTGACTTTATCATGAAAATAGTAGCTACATTTTCCCTTTGCATTTGAGAAGGACCACCCACTAACTACCCCTTAAAATTATGTCATTTCCACAACTTGAAGCCTACTAAGAGCAAGCCAGGAAAATATTACCTTATACACAAATAGGTAAAGGAAAAACCCTGTCCACCTTTGTCCTAAGAATTCAGATCAAGTTATTTTTCTTAGCTTCATTTTACAAGCAGATGGATGATGGCACAAAGCGAGGTTGATCTGCAGAACCCTGGAAGGTGATCTGTGTTTGAGTGCCTGCCCTGCTATCATAATCAGGAGTGGCTGCAGGGCCATCTTGCCCATGCGCTTAGTCTTCACAGCCACATCCCTCCAAAGAGCCAGGACCTGACCAGGCTCCAGCCCCATTGATGCTTACAAGAATTCTCCCACAAGTGAAATGTGCTTTTTCTGAAACAACCTAGCAGGGAAAACATCATGATTAGACCAAAGGCTTCACTGGCAATTTAAATTAATAAGCGAAACAGGTTTTACCCCCATTTACTTGACCTGCTCCTAAGTAGTAAAGTTAATTATTAATTTAAATGACATAGGCCAGACACAGTGGCTCATGCCTGTAATCCCAGCACTTTGGGAGGCCAAGACGGGCAGATCACTTGAGGTTAGGAGTTCGAGGCCAGCCTGGCCAACATGGTGAAACCCCATCTCTACTAAAAGTATAAAAATTAGCTGGGTGTGGTGGCCTGCGCCTGTAGTCCCAGCTACTTGGGAGGCTGGGGCAGAAGAATCGCTTAAACCCAGGAGGCAAGGTTGCAGTGAGCCAGGATCGCACCACTGCACTCCAGCCTGGGCAACAGAGCAAGACTCATCTCAAATAATAATAGTAATTTAGATGACATCATATGTGGAGACAACCTGGAAGTTACGACAATCAAACTGGCAGAAATTGTGTCTTTCTCTGCTTGAATGTTTCCCATGCTAGGGATAATTATTATTCCTTCGTACTTCTGGTGAGCACTTTGCAAAGGGCATATTTGTGTAATTGTTTCAACTCAACATGACAGGGAACATTATCTCTGTATCATCCTCTTCATGAGGAAACTGAGGCACAGAGGTGAAACTCCTCACCAGAGGCTCCAACCTAGTAAGGGGCAAATTCAGTCTAAAGGTCTAACTACTGTGTCACACTGCCTCATTTTGGAAGATACCATTGTCCTCCAAAATAAGGATATTGGTAATGAAAAGGCATTTGGGGGTCAGTTAATTCTACCTTACCACTATTTTTGTTTTTGCAATCAAAGTGCCCTGTGTTTTACAATCTAAGGCCTTTGACTTGGCACAAAAGGAAAGCGGCTTCCAGAATCTCAGGCGACTTCATGCGCTCCCCAGGGTGGCAACCACCCCTTTTTATTAAAATATTCGGCTGCCTAGATTTTATTATTATATCTCTTATCAGCTCACCACGCAGGAATATTGATTCTCAAATTGCCAAGAGATAAACTATCAAATCACCCAGCAGTTTTCTCACCAAGATCTTTTTGAGACTTCGTGTGTCATAAAAATTCAAAAGCAGAATTAGGAAGGAACTCTTTGGGGAGTCGTCCATTCCTTACAAATGCTCAACCGCCACAGACTTTGTTCCTTGCATCCTTATTTCCTCCTCTCCCCAATAAGGCAAAGGAAACCTGATTGAAGCTGGGTTCCCATGGGTCTAAACTGATAACCTGACATAGATAAGAGACTGAGGTTAGGGGAAAAGTAACGGAAACAGCACGCTGCCCCTCCCAACTCTCCGAACACGCCGGCTACCTATGAGTGGGTCCTTAAATAAAGACCAGGCTTCCAGACTGGAGCCACTCCTTCCCAGATGACCATCACTTCCAATTTCCTATTTCAAAGGGGCAAGAAAAGTAGGAAGAGTAAATGAGAGGAACCTTTGGAAGAGGTAGAAGCAGAATTACTGATGCCCACAAAGTGGAAGCTTATCAATAGAGGACTTTCCTGCCCAGCCAACTCCCTCTCCTGCCTTCCACCCTTGCCATTGTTAACACCTGGCCTCTTCTCCCACTCCGCAGTGGAAGAAATTCAATCAATAGTTCTGCTTTTCCAGCCATGTCATCTATAGGTTAAAAATTCGGCTTTTTACAAATGCTTCCCACTTGTATTGTGCTTTTAAGTCCTTATTACATTGCTTATAAAATGTTGCTTTTAATAAACTTAGTTGAATCTCCAGGCCCTTTCTCAGAGCACTATAAATATCAAAAACTGTCAAATAGGGCTTTTTTTTTTCCCTATTGTGCAATCTTTATAAATGGATAGATAAACATGAATAAAATAACAGGGCACAAAGAAAAGGATTTTGTAAGTATAAAGCCAACACTTTTTGGAAATTTCAGAAGAGCAGAAAGCAGCACTTTACTTTGATGTATCTTGCGTTTATTAAAAATTAAGTGAAGGGAAGTTTATTTCCATGATCAACTATTTTTTGAGAGAAAAACATACATGTATGCACACATGAATTTGTGTCCCTAAGTATCTAAGATGAATAAGTTCTAGAGATCTACTGTACAGCATAGTATCTACAATTAACAGCAGGTTGTTATATACTTAAAATTTGCAAATTTGATCTCATGTTAAGCATTCTTATAAAAATAATAACTAATAAATAAGAGGGCAGGAGGAAACTTTTGGAAGTGATAGATAAATGTTTATGGCATAGGTTGTGGTGATGGTCTCATAGGTGCATACATTACCTACCTGTTCTTGAGTTCTCATGCAACAGAAATTAACATGAGGGTGAGAAAGTTTCCCAGACACGGCTTTACTGGGGCCTATGCTCAAGTCCAAGGGAGACAGCATGGGAGCAAGAGTTCTCTGACTGGCTCTCTGAGGGCAGGTCTTGCAGTGTTTTAAGAAGGGTGACATGAATAAGCATGAGGTAAGCGAAAGTCATTACATGTGCAGGACAGAGCACAGGGTGTGCAGGCGAAGTGAGAAATCATGTTAATACATGCATCGCATGATCAAAAAATGGCAGATAAGCTCCTGGGGCGGGGATTTTAGTAGTATAATGAGGCAAGAGGTTAGGATGGGTCATTTTCTTGGTTTTGTGTGCATGCGGGTGACAGGGTTAACTCCCTTGAGATTGATGGTGGAATGCTGCTTCTCAGTTTCGTCACACATTTTACAAGTTCTCACGGTCAGTGAGGATGTATGGAAAAAAATATACTAGTTGGGAGGGTAGGGTTGAGCCCCGTCCCTACCCTGTCTTATATATGTATCTCCAAACTCATCAGGTTATATACATTAAATAGGTAGAGCTTTTCATATATCAGTCATATCTCAATAAAGTGGTTTTTTAAAAATGAGAAAGAAACACAAGTTTTAATTGAGCAAAGAAGCAAATGCAGTTCAGAATTTTACAACTGCATAAGTCACTGCTGATTTCTAATTACAGAGTGTGGCAATGTACTTTGTCAAATGGGTTGGACAGCCACCTATAGAGCTAGAGAGCTAGAGCAGAACTAGGCGAGGTGCTCAGTGCATACCTGCTGAATGGATTGACAGTCCTGCATACAAGCTAGCATGCCAGGAAGTGTCTAACAATGGGAGAAAGCCCTGGTTTGTAGCATGTGTAGATCTCCATGGTGTGAAAAATTCCCACTATGGCCGATTTCAAGTTACCAATCTGGCATCACTGGATTTGAAGTTGGGAATGGCTGTAAGCAATCAGCTCATGAGAGCTGGCTCCAGCACACTATTGGGTCTCTCTTAGTCTTCTTAATCAAGATTACGAATTCCTTTTAAAATAGTGATGTACATGATAAAACATAGGCTCAAATAAATTACAAGCACATTATTGCTGGTTACCAACTATAATAATAAGTGTCTTTAACTCAAAGAGAGCTCCAGTCTCCTAATGAATCCATTGTCAGTTGGCTTAGGTCTCTGGATCACCATTGTCTCATTTTGTCATATTGTCTCATACTGACCATAATGCATAAATCAAAAATTGGGATTCAATTTTGTAAAAAGTAAGAATATAGTTTGGAAACAGAAAAACAAAATGTAAGTTTGTGACTGTCTTTAAAAAACGTGGAAACAGTCATAGTTGTGACTCCTTGATGACAGGCACAGTTGTCTATAGGAGAGAGATCTTTGCTTTTAGAAGAAAGTTTTCAAAAGCTTCTGAGGATCACTGCAAGTTCTGCAGCTAGAGACCTCAGTACTCACAGTGGCTTCTGTTTTCTAAACCAAAAATTAGGTGTTGAGAATAATCAGCTATAAAAGAGACAGACTATTTGAAGTAAAATTAAAAAGCACTATGTTGGAAAATCAAGGATGTAGGACAACCGTATCAATCCTGGACATTAGGATTTGAATCGATAATAGCTCAACTGGTAAACAATGCCTACTAACTAGGTTAGTGTTTCTTTGAAAATCATATTTCTTCGAGTCACCCCTAAAGTCATGGGGTGGGAGGAGAAGAACCTAGGAGGTAGAACAGCTGTTTTTATATTTTGAGGATCCTGGATAAAACTTTATTTGCAGTAGATGTCCCAGTATTTAAAAATGTTAAAGCAGTGCTTAGGCAAGCGAGATCAACTTCTATATTCGTTAAGAAACCCACTCTGACATAGAATAGATTCTTAATTATTCAGAAATCAATAGCAAGACTTACTATTATTTTTTTCCATCATGAAGACCTAGTACTTTCCAATTTCAAATACAGTTAAGGGGAAAAAAGCCCTTTCCAAACATGTCAACTAACATCTGAACCATTTTAGACAGTCAAGTGTGTAATGCATCATATGAAAGTATGTCTCACTTGATTTGTTTCACTTTATTTTAACATCATCCTTAAAGCCCCTTTTTCATACATAACTCAAATAACAACCCCCCAAAAGGCAATATAACAACCTTATCTCCACCGGTGTCTACTTGGCACCAGTCTGCCCTGACCTTAGACACAAGCCATTGTTAAGGGTATAACGCATTTACATATTTTGCAATAAAACATCAGTTATTTGCATTACTGTGTCAAGTTTTATTTGATTCTTTCACCTAAAAATGACTCATTTTCCTTTCTTGTATTTTAAAAACCAACTACTCTAAGCTTGTTTGAGAATAATCAAAAATTGCCCATTTAGCTAGAAGTCATTTTCTTTTCAAAAGGCAAATGTTATTTAATCTTTCAGCTGTTCATTGTGCCATCATAAATACTTTCTTTTCAGCACAGTTGTGGGGACTGAAATGAGCCCACTAATTGCCTCCCATTTCGACTGACATGTGGTGGTTTAGTGGAAAGAGAACACAGCAGGGAGAAGGAAATAGGAGGCTGAGAAAATGAGAGCTAATTATTTTCACTGCCTCATGTCAGGCTCTGTGTCAGCCTTGTTTTTACAAACTGGAAGGTTTAGCACTAAATAAAACAAACTGGCGTCATGTTTTTATATACTGGCAGTGTCATGGAAGCAGCTGCACATCTCAAAGACAATATAATGCCTGCGTTCGCATGGACACCATCTGACAGACACTGTGAGCCACGGCTAATGAGGATATCACAGTGGTGCCAAGTGAAAGGTGCTGAATTATGTATGATTCTTCATCAGTACAGCAATAGTCCTGTACATCATTATGAGACATTGTTTTGCTGAAGAGATTAAAACATTCTTAGTTCCAGACCCTGCAACCTATACGCGCTGAAAGAGGTTATTAATGGAATTTTTAGGGAGAGTTTCTTGTGGATTTCTTTTTGGTTAAAAAAAAACAAATCTCATGGGACAAAGCCATGGTGGGTCATGACACTGTATAGATAAAGAAGAGAAGCAAATTAACCATACTTGTATTATCTTTTTTTAAAGGCAGCATAATAAAATATAGTGTAGCAGGGTTATACTTAATGATAAATAACCCAGGTGCTATCACGGGATGTTCCACTCTCCTGCCTTTAAAACTGCAGGTTTCAGCAGCTGAGCTAGATAATAGCAACGCATATAAAGGAGCCTTCAGAGGCCTAAATTGTCAACATCTTACTACTTTTAATACCAGCATGAACAAAATTTTTATCGTATTCTTATTTCATCTTGCATTACTTCATAGATGCCACAACAGTCAGTTGTGACTCTTGTGGCTCTTCCAGTCTTCCCTTGAATCTTAAAAAGTTTATTCTGACCTCTGTATTTTATATTTTAAATTGCTTCCTCAAGACAGGCCTTTTTTGCTGAAACCCTGAGCATTCTTGGTTGATTTTACTTTTTCTCCATTCATGGTTTTGGGGAGTGGTGGTGGATTTTGAAAATTAACCTCTCAGCTTAGATTTGGCATGCGTGGACTTGAATTCTTATCCTACAAAGCCAAATGACCTGGCTACAAATCTCCCCATTTTCTGAGCCTCAGTCTCCTCATCTGTAAAATGGGGGCAGTGCTCTCTATAACAGGGTAAGGCTGCGAGGATTAATTAACATAGATAAATCTCAAAAACAACATACAAGTACCTGCTGTAAAATTCTAATTTTGTGATATTCCAGAACAGTCAAATTTCATCTATGGTGATAGAAGCTGGAACAGTGTCCTGGTTACGCAGGCAGCTTGTTTGGGAATAGGCACGAGGGAAGGTTCTGGGGTACCGTAAATACCTTGCTTATTCTGGTGGTTACACAGATATATACTATTGTCAAAATGTACTGAACTGTACAATTAAAAATCTGTGCATTTTATTATATGCAAATTATACCTCAATAAGAAAATACACTTAAAATTGTTTAAATGTCTGTAACATCAGGTAAAGGTGATCTATAAAAGCCTGAAAGGCTAATTTTGGGAGTCTGTTTCTTTCTGAAATATCCTGAATGATCTTGGTCTTGATTGTTTAATGGTTTTATGTATAATGTTGATACATGCAATTAAATTTTGATAGGGAAAAATAGAGAGAGAGAGAGAGATTGAGATTATTGTCTGTGAATTGCCCAGAACTTTAAACTCTAGTTTTTTGTGCTACCTTTTAATCTCTTTTCCTCTTTGGAACATTTACCTCTATCTTATTTCTTTTTATTCCCTCACCTCTTCCCCCATTTTCTTCATTCCCTTTTTTCTTCCTTGTGGGAGATCACTTGTCTGTGATGTTTGGCATCACTTGTACTAGCTTGGAACTCTAAAAAAATTTAAACAGCTTGCAGAGAGTGTAATAGTGATTTCTCACAAAGAGATACTTAATTTAGCATCAACTGAGTGTCGTTTAGGATTTTATCTTCACAGTGTAAGAGTTTCTGTTTTAGTTGGCCAGTAGTCTTAATTCAGAAAATTTTTTCACTTGGTGATCCTGAAGCAGTTCAGATAGAATGCTTTCTCATCCTCCATTAGCCACACACGTGCTCCTAAAATTACCCAGGTATTTCAGCAGATAAACATGCATATTCTGGGCACCCACCAGAATTGTTGTATTTTTCATTCATGTCAAACACACACATTCCCCTCGCCCCAACAAAATTCCATTTGTTTCCTGTAGATTTGCATTGAGAGGCAGATTTTCTAGCTAGTGGAAAGTTCCGGGTAACTACTTTTTGCTACTCGAAATCCTAGCAAAAGCACTTCCCAGTGCCCACCTCCGCTCCTGGGCTAGTTCCCTTTTCCTGCTGAAGAGTAATTAGCACTCCCTGCAAATGCCCGTCAAGCACTTGTGCCCCACCACTTGCTACCTGTGTGACCTCAGTCAAATTACCTCATCTCTCTGTGCTTTGGTTTCCTCATCCAAGATAATGCTCTCTGGCTGCCAATCATACACAATACCTCCAGGCATCTGGTGCTGCTTCTTAGTAGTGCTGAATCAGGATATGTGGAAGCAGGGAAGGTCAGAATTGGTGTTATATGATCCATCTATGTAAGAAGATACGAATTTATTCCTTCTTTGCTTCATTTCATGAAACTGGCCATTGTTATGTTGCTGCTTGGCTGCATCTTCTCTTTTTCATCTCTGATCACTCCCTGGTACCCAAATGATTCACAGCCCCCTGCACGCCCAGACTCCTGCCCAAGTGAGACGCGCTGACCCAGCCTGCCCACTCCAGCAGGGTCCCTCCTCTAGCCCACTCTTCACACCTTCCTGCCCATCAAAGCTACCTTGTTCTCGGTCCCATTCCCTTTTATGGCTGCCAGATGACAAACCAGCTAATTGGAGCTGTGTTGGTGACCATATTGGTAATAATGATAATTATTCCTTTTTGAGCTCCTAATTCGGTTCTGGCACAATGCTGGGAACTGCATTTACATTATCTTAATCTTCACATGACACCACAATCCACTTCTGAGTAAAGAATGCTGAGGTTCAGAAAGGTTACATAAGTTGGCTATGGTTGGGAGGAAAAGGGACAAAACTGGAATTCAGGCCCAGGTAATCAAACTTTAAACTTGTGATCTTGCCCCACCTTGCCCCACAATGTCCCACTAGTAATGACTTAATGTATGGTTTTTTTCCATACTGTTTCCATTTTAATAGGAATCATCAACACCTTAATAAGAGGAGTGAATAACAGGAGCATTTCAGACTACCAGGGTGAGATGGTTTTGAAAAAGGAGTACTTTGCAGTTCCCATAGGACCTCAGAATAGAGAGATGTTTGCTTTTGAGAGTTGTTCACAGACATTCAAAGTGACCCTTGAATATTTCTAATTCAAAAGTCAGTGCCCACATTTCTATCACTCACCTCAAGCTAAAATCAGTAGTTTACCTGGGCCAGGTGCAGTTGCTCATGCCTATAATCCCAGCAATTTGTGAGGCTGAGGCAGGAGGACCACTTGAGCCCAGGAGTTCCAGACCAGCCTGGACAACATAGTGAGACTTCATCTCTACAAAGAATAAAGGCGAAATTAGCCGGGCATGGTGACACACGCCTGTGGTCCCAGCTACCTGGGAGGCTGATGTGGGAAGATCGCTTGAGCCCTGGAAATTGATGCTGCAGTGAGCTGAGATTGCACCACTGCCCTCCAGCCCGGGTGACAGAGTAAGAACCTGTGTCAGAAAAAAAAAAAAAAAATCTTACCCTGGTCAAAGTGAATGGTTTTAAAATCAGAGTCCACTAGGCCAGGCAAAGTGGCTCACGCCTGTAATCCCAGCACTTTGGGAGGCTGAGGCAGGCGGATCATGAGGTTAGGAGATCGAGACCATCCTGGCTAACATGGTGAAACCCCATCTCTCCTAAAAATACAAAAAAAAAACACAAAAAATTAGCTGGGCGTGGTGGCGGGCGCCTGTAGTCCCAGCTACTCTGAATCTGAAGGCTGAGGCAGGAGAATGGTGTGAACCTAGGGGGTGGAGCTTGCAGTGAGCCAAGATTGTGCCACTGCACTCCAGCCTGGGCAACAGAGTGAGACTTCGTCTCAAAAAAAAAAAAAAAAAAAAAATCAGAGTCCACTGTGCCCATTACCTGGTCCCTGCCACAGCCAAGGTACTGAAAAGGTTGCAGATATGTAAGTAAAATCCTATATTAGGCTCATAAACTTGTGGAATTGTTATTTTTAGTGATATTATTGATGACTTAATTCATTTTATTTGTAATGATAGCCTTTTCCGGGGTTGATCAGTTAAGTACTGGTTTCATGGCATCTCAATGTCTGCAGTGTGTCCAGTCCAATTCAATAACCATTTGAATCCCAGAGTTGTGGACAATCCTCACTGACAATTTATGACTCACAAGATGGCAAAAACATTAAGGATACCTTAGGCTAATTTGAAACTGAGCAGAATATAAGGAATTCCATTACTTTATTTGTGGATTACTTTTGTTAACTAGGCAACGATGACATCATAGATGCCCTGAAGCTACCTGGAGTTAGGTCAGGCCATTGTCAAATTAACTTAATGATTTACATGGGCACTGCATGTTGCAGCATATTCTCTTTCTCTCTTACCCAGCTTTGTAACAAGCAGAACCTACTTTTTAGTGAAATGAATGATGCCCTCCTTGTCTTATGACTTCCTTGATTATAGTTTTATTCCTTCTGTAGCTACCTTCTTTTATGGTTCAGGTAAAAGCCTTTCTTTAGTAGAAGGGAAAAAGAGAATTTAAAAATAAAAGGTCTCTAACCCTATTATTTGTATCAGTGTTTCTCCAAAAGTTGGACTTTGGGGAGCAGGGAAGCAGTTGCTGCAGGGAGGATGATGGCCACTAGCTTTCTTGGTTGTATCAACGAAATCTCTGGTCCTTCTTCCGCCTGCCTGTTGTCCATGGCTGGACCCATTTATGGAGCTCAACAAAATCATCCAGCAGGTTCACCTGCCACCTCTCCCGCTTGTCTGTCCCCATTAGTATCTCCTCCAGCTTTGGAGTCACACAGCCTTGTGCTGATGTCAACCACGTATTGGTCATGAAACCCTAGGAAAGTTCTTTAATCTTTCTGAGCCTCATTTTTCTCATTCGTCTAAAGGGAAAATAGTCCTGACTTTCAGGGTTCTGATGGATATCCAATAAAACAGCATGGTGTAAGTGCCCAGCAACATGCCTAGAGCATAGTAAGCACTCCACAAATTTGAGTTCTCCTCCTGTCAGCCGCTTCTTCACACAGAGCCGTTCTGACGGTGTGCAGAGGAGGGTCTGATTTCTAGCTTGAAGTCATGGGAGAGCTCCCTGGTTAGGAGATGAGAGTGAAGCAGGGGAAGTTCAGGCGTTTTCACACAGTTCAAGGTCTTTTGACTGTGCTTTTGACTAACTTAATTCCCAAACTTGACAGGCAAAAGAAACTGAACTAAGTAAACTCATCTCTTCTAAGGCTTTTTATCCCAGCTGCTGCCTTGAGGAGGTTCTTGCTATTTCAGAGAAGAGCAATCATGACACCAAACAGTCATTATCCTGCCCACTTACCTCAGGACCCACATTGCCTGGGTGGCAGTGGCTCCAAAACAAAGAAATACTGAGAGATTTGTCAATTCTGAGAAACTAATTTGACTTATGTTAGCCAAGAACCAGGTTTTCATTTTATTGAACGGACCTTTTCCTTCACTAATCGGCTTTCCGTCTTGTGAATGTGGCTGGCCAAAGAGGGCCAGACATGGGCCCTGCTTGGCTTGCGATTCATCTAGAGGCTTTCCGAAAACATCAGGCACCCCCAGCTTCCTGTTGAAGCCGACAGGCTTTCAACAGCCTCTTTGTGGATGCCTTTCCATATGAATTATGTCTGAGCTTGCTCTAGGAAACATTCCAGGTCCACTCTTATTTATGAGGGCATTTTCAGCATGTGAGGTGCTTGGTACATTAGCCTTAATCCTCAGGATTCTTCATTCTTCAAAAAACACAGAGCCAGGAGCAGTGGCTCATGCCTCTATCCCAGCTACTTGGGAGGCTGAGGTGGGAGGACTGCTTGAGGCCAAGCGTTCAAGACCATCTTGGGCAACATAGCGAGACACTAACTCTAAAAAAGAAATTTAAAAAAATAGATAGATAGATAGATAGATAGATAGATAGATAGATAGATAGATAGATAGACAGACAGACAGACAGATAGAGAGAATGTGCATTTATGGTCCAGGGGTCAAATTTGGTACAAAGACATGAGTTTATTTTCCTTTGTTTATCCCCAAACGTTTTTATTATTAAATTATTTATACAGCAAAGTTGAAAGAATTTTACAGTGAACCCTCCTAGCCCCCATTCAACCACTAACATTTTACTATACTTGGCTTATCACATATACTTGGCTTATCCATCTACCCCTCCCTCTAGCCATCCATCAATCTTTATTTTTTGATACATTTTAAATTAATTTGCAGACATCAGTATACTTCCTCCTAAATATTTCAGTGTGCTAGAATAAGAAATGCAGTTCAGGTGCAGTGGCTTACACCTGTAATCCCAGCACTTTGGGAGGCTGAAGTGGGAGGATCACTTGAGCCCAGGAATTTGAGACCAGCTTGAGCAACAACACAGTGAAACCCTAGCTCTACAAAAAATTAAAAATAAGAAAATATTAGCTGAGCATGATGGCACGTGCTTGTGGTCCCAGCTACTTAGGAGCCTGAGGTGGGAGAATCGCTGGAGCTTGGGAGGTCAAGACTGCAGTGAGCAGAGATCATGCTACCATACTCCAGCCTGGGTGACAGAGCAAGACCCTGTCTCAAAAAAATTGTTTTAATAATCACTATAAAATTAATTAAAAAGAGAAATACACAGATTTAATATATATATTCACTAAGTTTTGACCAATGCATGCACCTATGTAACCCAAACCTCTATCAATAGAGCACTGCTACCCCCAGAAAGTTTCCTCATACCCCTTGTAAGTCCCCATCTGCTGAAGCAAGCACCCTTCTGAATTTTTCTACCATTAATTAGTTTTGTCTGTTCTAGAATATCACATAAATGGAATCATTAGGTTGTTCTTTTTTTCTGTGTGGTTCTTTCACTCACTATAATGTTTTTGAGATTGATCCAAATTGTTGCATGCATCAATAATGTCTTCCTTTGTATTGCTAAGTAGTATTCCATTCTATGCATATATCACAGTTTATCCATTCTCATTTTGATGGACACTTGGCTAGTTTCAAGTTTCCTAGTCAACATGATAAAGCTGCTAAGAACACATCTAGACAAGTCTTTTTTCTTTTCTCTTGGGTAAATACCTAGGAGTAGAATTTCTGGGTCATAGAATAGGCATATATTTGGTTTTATAATAAATTACCAAAATTTTTCTGAAGCAATTGTACCATTTACATTCCCACCAACAATGTATTAATATTAATATGAGAGTTCCAGTAACTCTAAATCTTAGCCAACATTTGATGTTATCAGTCTTAGCCATTCTGATGGGTGTATAGTGGTACCTCATTGTGGATTTAATTTGCATTTTCCTGGTAACGAATGGTGTAAAGCACTTTTTCATTATATGGTGATTTTATTAAAAATTTAATTAACATACTATCGTTTAAAAATCTAGAGTTTTACATAAGGATCCTAATTCTCAGCTGTTCATGAAATATTAAAGGACCTAGCAAAACTGGGCTCATATTTCCACATGGGAACAATCAACAGAAGCCACGAAGTAGCTGTGCCTTTAGGGGAACTGTTCTTTGGTTTCCCAGAGTCCCTCACCCACCCCATAACTCCCTAGTTGTCCGTTATCATACATCATCACATTTGCACTGTTGTTTTCTTTCGTATTAAGAGGAAAGTGAGAGTTTCTTGAACCCACATCATTATCAATCTAGGAAAATTAAAGGTGGATCAAGAGGGCCTTATGTTTCAAGAAAGGTAGAAAACCCACATTTCTTTGTGGCAATGAGAAAATGTTCCTACAATGTTTAATATGTAAATTAAATGGGTCTATTTTAAAAGGTTGCCACTTAAAGCTTTATAAGGAAACTGCCTGGTTTTACTCCTTTTTATTATCTGCCTAGTCCCTTCAGGATTTTGAGTTTGTAACTCCTATAATAGAACACTTAACACTGATACATTATGTCTCAAGGCTGCACTAACTGGGGCTTATTTAGATATACATAGGAATCTAATTTCATGTCCTTTTATTGAAAAAGGAAAAAAAAAAAAGCCACTCCAATAATACTTCATTTAGAATATTTTATGTGTTAGGAAATATTGAGACTAAAAAAAAAATTGTTTCACTTTCTCAAATTCTGTAATTTTGTTTTTAATTCCAGGATTGTAAGTGGAAAATGTATATGGAGATGGATGGGGATGAAATTGCAATAACCTACATAAAAGATGTGACATTCAACACTAACCTACCTGATGCGGAGATTTTAAAGATGACAAAGGTAGGGTTCTATTTACGGCTTAAAAGCTCTTTTGAATTCACAGATATCAAACAAAGACATTAAAATACCCCAGCAGTGTGCTTTTGTGCTTGTCCATGCTCACATCAGCTCAGCCTCGAGCTGGCTGTTGAAAGGCACATTTTATTTAGCAGACTGAGATCATAATAGGTTTTTGTTAAAATTCTACTTATGCTGTGTGAACTAAAAAGCACTGCAAAAAGGTATCGTTTAATTTTTTTTTAATTTTTTTGTCTATTATTTCTTTATGCTTACTCTGCCATTTATTAAAGGAGGGAAAATGTGAACGATGAAAATATTTACTTCAAATTTTGACTATTTAAACTTTGGAAAACTTTTCCCGGAGAATGACTTTCTTGGTTGAGGTCAATTTCCTGAAGGACTGAGATGAGGTTAATTATGAGGCACACAGTGAAGTCTTAATGGCTTCCTTAAGTTCACACCTATGAATTCCTGGAGTGGCCAGAGAACATGTTACTACTCCAGGGTCAATGGTGGAAGCATGTTGATGGAAGCATGCTGATGAAAACAAGAAAGACTTGTGGAAATGCTTAGCTTGCTCCTCAAAATGGAAAAAAATTCAATTCTGTCCCAATCATACTGGAACAATACATATGAGACTTCAATTGTAGAAGGTCAACAACTTCAGGTAAATAACCATGAAGTCAACAGGATAGTCACCATAACCTCACATAATCCATTAACTGTAATACACTATTCACCAGGTCTTTGGTTTCAGTGAAGAAAGTGGGGCGTGTAGCAAAGGACCCAGATACAAACACAAATAGGGAACTAAAATGGTTCTTCAAAGACATGCATTAGAGTGCACATCAGAGTGCTAAACCACCAAGTCCTTTTAATTTGCAAGTGGACATCAAGCAGATTGATTTGATATTCATTGTTGGATTCCACTGTGCATCTAGGAGTTATTTCCATGGCATTATTTATCTGTAAGGGTTGTCACTTGGTTTTACCTTTTTCTTATTTTGTCAGGACACAGTATGTTGTCTTGAAGACTGGAAAGATATTTCCTTTCTTCCCCACCCATACCACGGAGTTGTAAAACTGAATATAAGTGTTTCTGCTATCATGCCATACATACAAAATCACACAGCAACATTAACAGGCTTATAAGAAAACTAGAACTGGGACAGACCAATCGAAAGTTATAGAATTTTTAAACATCAACCGAAACAATAATAATCCTAATTTAAAACAAACAAACGACAGCAACAACAAAAAACTAGCCCAGGCTGGGTGCAGTGGCTCACACCTGTAATCCCTGCCCTTTGGGAGGCTGAGGTGAGCAGATCACTTGAGGCCAGGAGTTGGAGACCAGCCTAGACAACATGGTGAAACCCCATCTCTACGAAAAATACAAAAAATGAGCCAGGTGTGGTGGCGTGCTCCTGTAATCCCAGCTACTTGAGAGGCTCAGCCTTGAGAATCACTTGAACCCAGGAGGAAGAGGTTGCAGTGAGCCAAGATCGCACCACTGCACTCCAGCCTGGGCGACAGAGTGAGACTCAGTCTCAAAGAAAACCTAGCCCAGCTAAATCTCTATCACATTTTCTTTGAACCCAGCTCACAGCCAGTCATTCCTTTGCAGCCTTAAACCTGAAGTGAAAGGGGGATGGCAGGAGAGTACAGCTTATTTCTGAGGCTGTTTTTATCATAATTAAAATAGGATCAAAGCTACAGGCTTCCTCACTAATCCTTTGTTTTAATATAGTGGGAAAACATAACCATGGTTTCTTCATGTGTATGTGCAGCTTTGCTGGATAGTGTGATGTCATGGAAAGCAGAGCGATTGTTGAAGCCACTAAACCAGCCACGGCTTTACTCAAGGAAAGCACTTCTGGGTCTTCTCATATTGCTATGGATTTCTCTTAATTGTTGGGAAGTTTTCCAACTGATGCTTCAAACTTTAGCAAGAATTAATGACCTAATGATAGGATTGAGTGATAGCAAATGTTATATCGGAAAAGAAGATTGTGGGAGGCCATGACTAGCTGTTTACAAATATACAAAAGGATGTCTTATGAAAAGCAAAACTTCAAACATTAGCATGTTGTGAGTGATCACATGAGAACCAACAAGGCTTTCATGATAATCTGATATTATGCCCCTATTTGCTAATTGTGTATGGCACAACCGGCCTCAAAGAAACATACTATAGTAGAGCAGACTGTGTTATGGTACTACACCATCCTAACTTTTGTTTTTCAGCCACCATTTGTAATGGAGAAGTGGATTGTAGGAATAGCAAAAAGTCAGACTGTGGAGTGCACTGTCACATATGAGGTAAGCTCTGGGGGCAAGAGGCTGGTGGCCTCACCATCAGTTAATGAATATAAATTTATCTGTTATCTCAGAGCATATAATTTATTGGGAGATATACCCAGAGCATATAATTTATTGGGAGTAAACCAACCAACATGAACATAGGAAGATCAATATAATTTCTCTCACAACGTGTTGGGAAGAAAAGAGAACAGGATAAACTTACCCAGATAGCGACTGAGGTAGTACTTCAGTCATTCATTAGTTATGGATTGAACACCTTCTGTATACCATGTAAGATGTTTGGTATTGGGGATACTAATAGTTAATACTAATTTTTTTTAAATCAACAAGATCTTCATGGCTGGTAGGACATACACCTTACAAGGTACGTAGACCCGGTGGGAGTGGGTGGAAGGCAACAGTTATAGTACAGTCTTGGCACACCTGGAAATATTAGTGTGCACCCACCATCAAAGGGACATGCATTTCATTCATTCATCAATTCATTCATTCAAGAAACATTTATTAAGGATCTACCATGAACCAGGCACTATTAGAGGTGCTTACACCAGTTTGATCACACTAACTTCATGTAAATCAATACTGAAAAATATCGTCCAGGCGCAGTGGCTCACACCTGTAATCTCAGTACTTTGGGAGGCTGAGGTGGGCAGATCACTTGAGCCCAAGAGTTTGAGACCAGCCTGGGCAGCATTATGAAACCCTATCTCTACAAAAAATACAAAAAGTAGCCAGGTGTGGTGGCACATGACTATGGTCCCAGCTACTCGGGAGGTTGAAGTCGGGGGATTGCTTGAGCCCAGGAGGTTGAGGCTGCAGTGAGCCGAGATCACACCACTGCACTCCAGCCTGGGTGAGACAGTGAGACCCCTGTCTCCAGAAAAAAAAAAAAATACTGAAAGATATTATTATCCTCATTTTGCAGATAGGAAGAATAGGCTCAGAGAGATGAAAGGAAGTCTTGAGGTGTGAGGTCCTCACTGACAGAATTGTTGAAGTCAATTCCATGTTTTCTGACTATAAAAAACACTTTCTGCGCTTCCCTGGCTACCCTGTTAGCTCCCAGTGGCTGCAGTAAGATGAAGTCCACCTCAAAGAGGACTCTGTGAGTGTGGCATTTTGATGGTTTCCTGGGCTGCCAGGATTTGGCTTTTCAATATTAGAAATACAAACCCTGGGCCAGGCACGGTGGCTCAAGCCTGTAACCCCAGCACTTTGGGAGGCCAAGGCGGGTGGATCACCTGAGGTCAGGAGTTCGAGACTAGCCTGGCCAACATGGTAAAACGTCATCTCTACTAATAATACAAAAATTAGCTGGGCATGGTGGTGCATGCCTGTAATCCCAGCTACTCAGGAGGCTGAGGCAGGAGAATCGCTTGAACCCTGGATGCAGAAGTTGTGGTGAGCTGAGATTGCGCCATTGCACTCCAGCCCAGGAGACAAGAGCAAAACTGTCTCAAAAAAGAAAAAAAAAAAGAAAAGCAAAGCAATACAAACTCTGGCCAGTCCACTTATCCAGGCTGGAAGCCAAAAAGTTTTACAGCAGTTATTTATCCTCACCTGCTGGGGTGCACAGGTTGTCAGGGATGAGGCATCTGAGAAGTTATATTACTTGTCAAAGCATTGCTTGCAAGGTGCAAAACCCAAACAAAAGAGGCTGGTTGGTCTTGAGGAACTTGGAAACTAGACTACTCTACAGCCTGTTAACTGGTCCTCACTACCCAGGAAAAGCCCTCTTGTTAGTAATCGGACAATTAGAACAACCAGATTCTACCTCTGCCTGCCTTAGACAGTTTTGGAGACAGCACACCCAGTTCTCTTTTTCTTCTTCTCTCTCCCTCCTCCTCCTTTTTCAGACCCCATGATGATATGCCACTTTTGTCTGGGTTTTTCACTTCAGAGTTTTTTAAAACAGATTTCCCTAACCATATTGAATCCTGGAGACTCTTTAATTGACACTGATTGGTGACAGCTAGTGAGGAGGGAGATTTCAGAACAAGAAAGTAATGTGTCTTGACCTAGTGTCCTCTCCTTTTCCTGGTCCCCATTTCTTACTTCTTGATCCTGTCTCACTTTTGCATCTGAGACCCTTTCCCCTCCGTGCAGGTAATTCACCCCACCACCTTCACTCAGTTTCCTTGATGATCCAAATTCAGTCTTAGGCAAACATGGTGGTCAGATTTTCATTTATTCAACAAAATAGCTGTCATCAAGTACTATAAATAGAAGATGTAATTTTTTATTTCTTATTAAACAAAGAGGTAAGTTGAGATTTGTCAAATATAATAAATTCTGGGAAAAGACAACCATATTTTTTAGCTACTATAGTTTACTAAGAAATTTATGTTATAATCCATTAAGGAATAAGTGCTATAACCCACTAAGAAATAAAGTGGTTAAAATTTTTCTTTTCATTGAATTAGCATATTTGGGCCAACTGTTCAGAATATTTTCCTAGTGCATTATGATAGTGTTCTAAGAGGTGAAACTGAAGTGATATAATAACCTGGATGACTTTCTTTCCCATTTTATATATGTGTGTCTATTTGGTCATATGTTTCTATTTGTCTTTTTTTTGTCTTTTTCGTTTGTTTGTTTTACCAGAGTGATGTTAGAACTCCAAAAAGCACTAAACATGTCCATTCGATTCAGTGGAGTAGAACAAAACCTCAGGATGAAGTGAAAGCAGTCCAACTTGCCATTCAGACATTATTCACCAATTCAGATGGCAACCCTGGAAGCAGGTCCGACTCAAGTAAGTTAGTGTTCCCGTATTAGATGTGTGCTAGATTCCAGAAACTTAATTATGACATTTCCAGATGATCTAAAGACTCAGAGGATACCACCTCAATCAGTTAAGATCTATCTTTGAGCTTCGAGTAGCAGAAAACCCAGTTGCAACTGGCTTACTCCAATAATTCCCCAAGTGTGGCCCCAGGACCAGGAGCATCGGGATCACCTGTGAACTTGCTAGAAATCCAGATGCTCAGGCCCAAACCCAGACTTACTGAATCAGAACTCTGGGGATAGGAGCTGCAGTCTGCATTTTAAGGAGCCTTCCCAGTGATTAAGAACAACTCTAAAGTCCTTAAGCCACTGATTTAAACTGTAATAAAATTTATTATCTTCCATAACAAGAAGCCCAGAGGTAGGGCAGGCTCCAGGTGCAGTAAGATAAGCTGGCTCAACCATATTCAGAGAGTGGAATGAACCTTCCCTTCTTTCTGCCCTGCCATGCTCAATAGGCTGCCTTTGCCCTCGGCTCCTCTCCTGTTTACAGTCATCACACAAAGATATCACAACGCCCAGAGGAAATAACGGGTTAGGTCCCTACCTGTTCTTATATATAGGAGTAAGGAAAACTTTTCTAGAAACCCCCAACAGACTACCCGTCAGCAATTCTGCTTTGGCCAGAATGGAGCAACCTGTCCGTTCCTAAACATAGCATGAGCACATCTGACTTAAACTAATTAAAGTCGATCCCTGGAGCCAGAATGCAGTCAACTCTCCCGATCACGTGGCTACATGGAGGGGGATGGAGACTGAGCAAAATCAGGGTTCTATTGGAAGGCAAAATTCCAGAGAAGTCAAGGCGAGGAAAGAAGGCATTGTGATTCTGTATGCTACTGCTCATGTGACGTATGTAAAGTAGTCAAAGTCACAGAAACAGGAAGTAGAAGACAGTTAACAAGTGGCGGTCAGGGGGCAGGGGAGAAGGGAGGGGAAATGGAGAAAGAGGAAGGTAGAGATTAGTGGGTATAGAGTTTCAGTGTTGCAAGATGAAACAGTTACAGAGATCCGCGCAACAATGTGAATATACTAACACTACTGAACTAGAGGCTTAAAAATGGCTAAGATGGAAAATGTGGTTTTTACCACAATAAAATACACACATACACACAACAACAACAACAGAAGAAGGCATTGTGATGGACTGAAGCCTGGGAGGAGTCTCTGGAATTGTCTGGACAAGTCACTCACTTCAGAGCTCGGGGTCACCTGTGCCCAGGCAGTGAGGAGACAGAGACATGTGCATGCTCTGATACTCTCCACGCGCACTATCTGCGTGAGCAGGGGGTGGAGTAGCTGAGGAAGCTGAGGCTGGGAGGACCACCCAGGAACTCTAGAACATGGGTAACGTTGTTCAGGCTCGGGGGAAAACAGAAAAGATCTCAGGTGTGAGGAACTTGCTTATTCACTGAAATATAGCTTACTAAATGGTTCTTGTTAATTCACCATTTTCTTTTATCTTAACTTCTTCCTATCTGCCAATGCAGCTTCATTTTTTTATGCTGAAAATACTTCTTATTCCCGAGCCTCAGGATCTCTCCTGTGGACACGTGAACGGTCTTTCTTCCAAACAATCTCTAGCTGTCTCAACCTTCGGAACCTCATTTCTCTTATCTGCATTTAGGGTCCTTGAGGTTTTAAAAATGCAGGTGGCAAAACAAACCTTTTGTTTACTAAACATGCCCCTGCCACCTGAACATACTTTCTAGAAGTAACAACACAACTATGTAGGAAGAAGATGGGATTTAGATGCAGAAGGACTTGGTATTATTGACTGAGTGATCTTGGGCAAGTCATTTGACCTCTCAAGCTTCCTCATTTATAGAATAAAACTATTAGTGTTTACCTAAGAAGATTACTGAGAGGATTAAATGAGATAGTGTAAGTAAAGCCCATGGAACAATGCCAAGCACATAGCATATATTGAATAAGTGTAAATGTCCTTATTTTTTAAAGTATTTGTAATAAAAGAAACGTCCTTATACATAGCCTAGAATTTCTATGAATGGTAAAGCTTAGAGCATCCCAAACAGCCCTGAATTATCCTAAGACAGGCGTATGAATTAGACATGCAGCTTTAGTGTGGCTTAAAAGATGCTCATTTCCATTTCTCCCGCAGGTGCTGATTGCCAGTGGTTAGATACTCTGAGGATGCGGCAGATTGCATCCAACACTTCTTTACAGCGTTCCCAGAGCAATCCTATTCTGGGGTCACCGTTCTTCTCACACTTTGATGGCCAGGATTCCTACGCTGCTGCTGTGAGACGGCCCCAGGTGCCCATTAAGTATCAACAGATTACACCTGTGAACCAGTCCAGAAGCTCGTCTCCTACTCAGTATGGACTGACCAAAAACTTCTCTTCCCTACATCTCAACTCTAGGGACAGTGGCTTTTCCAGTGGCAATACTGACACCTCTTCAGAGAGGGGTCGATACTCAGACAGAAGCAGGAACAAATATGGACGTGGTAGTATATCACTCAATTCTTCTCCTAGAGGAAGATACAGTGGAAAGAGTCAGCATTCCACTCCTTCAAGAGGAAGATACCCTGGAAAGTTCTACAGGGTTTCTCAGTCAGCACTCAATCCTCACCAGTCGCCTGACTTCAAGAGAAGCCCCAGGGACCTCCACCAACCCAACACCATACCAGGGATGCCTTTGCACCCTGAGACTGACTCAAGAGCCAGTGAAGAGGACAGCAAAGTCAGCGAAGGGGGCTGGACAAAAGTGGAATACCGGAAAAAGCCCCACAGGCCATCTCCCGCCAAAACCAATAAAGAGAGAGCCAGAGGGGACCACCGTGGATGGAGAAACTTTTGATGAATTGAACTACATAGCTTTTCTAAGCAGGTTAAAAAAAAAAAAAAAAAGAAATGTAATGGTTTTTGATAATATGATCCCTTCAGATTGAATTAACGAAAAGACAACACTTCCAGTTTTTGGATTGGGAAATACCTTCTAATTGAGACTATAGCCAAACCAGGGCCAAAATTATGGATATTGGTCACCCAGTGATCATAACTAGGCTTGAAAATCACTACACATATTTTCTGCCTTGAGTGAACATTTTTAGAGGAAAGGTTATGCCATCTTTTTACCCTAACCACTGATATTCTGGTTAGCAGGGCCAGGACAAGGGGAAGGAAAATGAGGTCAACAAAAAAATCAAATTTTTAGGAAAAGATAAGATGAATGTTACTGATTTTTCCTTTTGGCTGAGGCTGCAATATGGCCTGGCAAGGCACTGTTACTGATCTTGTCTTTAACATTTTGATATTTTGTTCATCATAATTTTTGCATTTATTTTTTTAAATATTGCATTAAAATATCATTTAGCTTGATTATCGAGTTTTTTGGTTTGAGGTTTTTTGTTGCTTCTTTTTTCTTTTCTTTCTTTCCCCCTCTTTTTTTTGGATGTCCCCTTAAATTTTGTGCCCAAGGCAGGTACCTCACTCATCTCATCCTTGGCTCAGCCCTGCTGGTTAGTATTTAGTATTTATTTTAGTAAGATATTTGTGTCTGTATGATGGTCAGAGTTGAACTGATCTGGCTTGTCATTTTTCAGTAATAAAAAAAGTTACTGAATTTAATGTTGAATATGATGCATATCTCATTCATTACGATTTATCAGAAACCAAAGATTTAAATTGCCTAGATTTGTGGTTCTTTCTCTTCCTAAGTTCCCAGCGACTGCTTTCAAATACTATTTTCTAAATTTCACCAAAGGAGCAAAGAGGATAAAACAACACTCCATAAAGGCCTCTTGGGATGTCAGAAATCTAAAATCTAAAAGAAAACAGACACAGAGCAAGACAATAACATCACAAGCTAAAAGCCAGAGAAATTTAAAATTACCAACATCCTTGTTGGAGTAAGACAGTAAATATCAGCCTTGCAGCAAGACAGCTCTGAGCAGCTGTGGGCAAAGAGGTAAACCAGTGGGGGTGCAAGGAGACTGTCTGCAGCTTAGGGCAGAAATGGTGGGATCCAACTTGTGAAATGCTTCATGTTTTACAAACCAAAAAGTCAGGTAGCAACAAACTTATTGTATGTCAAATCAATAAATGTTACTTTCAATATTCTGAGATTCTGTTCAGCATTCACTAACCCTGTTTAGCATTCACTAAGCCCTACATAGGATTCTCAGTGCTCTGTAGAAATCCAGAGGACACTCTTCTAATTCTGTGGGTTTGAATTCTTTTTTAAAAGAAGCTGGTCATCAGAGTACATGCATTTGTTCTCAGGGTAGCTCCCCTGCTGTGTGTGATACATTACTTGAGGCCTGGTGGGGAAAACTGTATTTCGGTAGCATTAAAGTCAACGTGGGTGGGGCATGGTGGCTCACGCCTGTAATCCCAACACTTTGGGAGACTGAGGCAGGAGGATTGCTTGAGCCCAGGAGTTCAAGGCCAGCCTGGGTCACCAGCCTATCTGGGTCAGATAGGGAGACACCATCTCTACAAAAAAATACAAAAATTAGTTGAGCATGGTGGCATTTGCTTGTAGTCCCAGCCACTCAGGAGACTGAGGCAGGAAGATCACTTGAGCCTGGCAGGTCAAGGCTGTAGTGAGACGTGACTGCACTGCAGTCTGGGCAACAGACCAAGACCCTGTCTCAATCAATCAATCAATCAATCAATACTAAAGTCAAAATTATAGGAAATGACCTTTATTTACAAGGGAAGTTGTCATCACCTAAACATTGATTCAACAACTTGATTTTATAAAGTTTTACTGGGTGCCAGATGTATTTACAAGCAAAAGCAATGGGAATGGTGTAGTCAGTTAGTGAGGGCCTCTTTTCCATCATGTGTAACCAACTTCTAAGGTTTTCAGCTCCACCATGATTCTTTCTCATGAAGCTATCAAGCACAGCCTGTTTTCAATTATTTTTGCTTTTTGTCCTTCATTTAAAGTAGACTAATGCAAAATATGCTATCTTAATATCATGCTGTTTCTAAATAAGCAATAAAATATTTTCTGTGATCGGAATTTTTGGATAAATAGATGAACAGTCTTGACCGAGTCACTCTGAAAGGAACACAAAGTATGGCCTTCATTGTGAAACAAAATTTGCATTCTGGGGAATTGCTGAAGAGTCTAGTTTAAAAGGCACTATGCAGATCGTTGCTAGTTTCATGCCACTTTCTTCCATCTTGCTTTCTTCGGTTATGGGGTAGGGAATCCAAGCTGGTAATAAAATAACTCAATGATCTCAGCCCTATTTAGTGCAGTCAGTGACTGCAAAGAGGTTATTCCACCAGCCCACAAAACTGACCACTTTGTAATATCTCATGGAAAAATACTTGTCAGCATCAATGCTCCCAGACAAAATCAGAGTAAGAACATCTGCAGTCTGCTTCTTGACTGTAAAGAAATAATAAGTTGGATGTTCTATTTTTTTCTTTTCCTAATGATGCTTATTCACCAAAAGTCACTTGCCAGGTTGAAAGATCAATGTAAGTCAAGAGCAAAGCAGGGATTAACAGGATTTTTTTTTCCCCATAAAAATAAATTAGTAGCCAACAATGAGAAACTATTAGTTGCAAGGAGTGAGGTGGTTAAGACCAAAAAAAAGAAGAAGAAAATAAAAAGGAAAGGGATATTATTCTAGGATTAGGAGAAAAAAATTACAGTAGAACCAAATCGAAAGAGTATATCTTGGACAGGGAACCTCTAAATGTGGAGATTTTCCCTAAATAGGCTTCAGAGCTAGTTTGGAAGTGCCAAGTCTACACTGGTTGCTACCATCGAGGCAGTCTTTAGTCCAGGCAAGGCCCAGACAAAGCAGGATGTTTAGCTCTTTGCACAGTCACCACATTAGCAATACCATGGACCTAGGCTGAATAACTGGATAATCCCAAATCTGTCTAGGAGAACTGGAGATTTTTTTTTTAATCAAGGACTACTTCTGAAAGAAATACAATTAGCAATTGTTTTCAGCCAATTTATAATGAATATTGCTCATAAAAATAAAAAGTATAATATTTAAAACTATTTACAGTAAAATTCAGAACAGTAAAATCTGACCTGGGAAAATTAGGTAAGAAACAGTAACTATAAACGAAAACTCACAGTGGCAGAAGCTATAATTGGTAACGAGCAGTATGAATAACAACAAAAAATTGATATGCAAATCTTCATTGTAAAATTAAAATTGAAAATAATCGATTCCATGGGAAAAAAATCAGTACAATAAAAAATCTGGCCAGGTGCAGTGGCTCACACCTGTTATCCCAGCACGTTGGGAGGCTGAGGCAGGAGGATCCCATAAGCCCAGGAGTTTGAAACATGGGCAACATAATAAGACCCTGTGTCTACAAAATATACAAAAATTAGCGAGGTGTGCTGGCACATGTCTGTAGTCCCAGCTACTGGGGAGGCTGAGATGGGAGGAGCTCTTAAGCCCAGGAGGCTAAGGCTGCAGTGAGCCAAGATCATGCCACTGCACTCCAGCCTGGGTGACAGAGTGGGAACTTGCCTGAAAAAAATAATACACAAATGGGAAACAGCATTATGTTGGATAGGAAACCAATCAGGAAATTAAATTGACATGACATTCATTCCATGAAATGCTTTCTTGACAAAAACATTTCTCAATATTTATATAATTCCGATCAAAATGTTTCATGTATAAGTAAAGTCAAAATGTCTCCAGGATCAAAACAGTAGGGTCAGAATCTCCAATAGTTCAAAATGGCAGGGTCAAAACATCCTGGATACACCTCAAGGCATTCTGACTTAACTGCAACTTTTCCAATTCAGTTGTACCAAAATATTTTATATTTGATAAGCTTTTTAAGTACCTTCTCTACAATTTATCCTTTTACTTCAACAAGTTGGTACAGATGTGGTATGCTTCTACAACTCTGGTTCTCAGAAACTACTCAATTTTAAGATGTCATGATGTAGCTGTGCCACCTTGTTCAGGATGTAACCTCCCTGAAATTTTAAATTATAGAGACTGCACTTAGGAGGTGTATCAACTCTCTTGCCATCATTGGATCTGAGAAACTACAGTGAAGCTGGGGTGCCCTGGGGAAATTAGAGCGAAAGACCTGGACTCAGCTTCTTACTATTTGCTGTTATTGGAACCGGCTTATGAGATTGCTAAAGTGGAAAAAGTGCCAAATGGAGGGTCAAAACTGTCAAGGCTTTAGTGTACCAGCTGACCAAATAATGCATGACCGAACCAACAGAGTTACAGAATGAAAAAGATTTATAACCTCATAGTTCATTCAACACTAAAATCAAGATTCAGTTTCTATAACCAATGTCCCATTACTCAAATCTACCAGAGAAACTCCTTGCCTACCACCACCCTGATGAAACTTACTCAGCTTTCAGGGTCCTGCTGAAGTCCTGCCTCCCTGGAGACCTCCCCCACAGCTCCAGCCACTTCTCCATTCTGCTCCTCTCCAAGGCCCTTTATCACACACTCTCTTGCACCGTTACTTCACCCTGACAAACCCACTCCCTTGCAGGTGCTCTGTGAGTACAGTGCAGTGCTGCCCAAGAACTTGACAATAAGGGAAATAAGACTAAGCTCTGAGAATTAATTGATGAAATGGCTACAATACCTCCCAGGCATGGAAACGTGCTGCAGGTACCAAGCAATCCAAAGAGAGCATGGGTCTTTCAGAGGCTGTGGTGAGTTGGAACAGCCAAAGCTGGTCGTCAATGGAAGCCTAGAAGAACGCAATCCACAAAGGAAAAGGTTAGCCATACTGGGCAAGCAAGACTTTCATGCAGGGCACGACCTGCCCAATCTCAGGTAGTGGCCCTGTAAACTAGATACTATTGTCCAGCATAATCCCTCCCAAAGTGATGTGAGAATCCATTCAGCCTGAGAAATATGTACCTGGTGTCGAGATGGTGCTATAATCCCGCTCCTCTGAACCTCTTCTGCGTCACCCCCACAGTGAAGCAACCACACATCACACTGCAGCCACACTGAATTAGCTGCCAAACCCTCCTTTGTCTTCAAAACTTTGTACTCCTTCTCTCCCCCTACCCCCGATCCAGCTGCCCCTGTATTGTCTGCTTAAGTCACCTTTCAGCTCTCTGCTGAGACATTACCACCTCCAGGAAACCTTTCCAGATCCCCGTGTCTGAGTTAGGCCCGCCCTTGTGACTCACATAGCAACTTTTGGTTACTCAATCATATTTATCCCCCTCTATTGTAATAAATCTCCCAAGATTTGCTCCTCTGTATGCCTCACTGGACTATCGGCTTCATGAAAGCAGGATTGTGCCTATCTTGATCCCCTGTGTATCTCCAATACATAGTTGATAATCTTTCTCCAATACATAGTTGATACTCTATTTGTTGAATGGATTAATTGATTAACTTATTAATCAGGCTAACACACATCAAATCATCTAAATTCTTGTTCTAATTTCTTGTTCATTAAGTGACCTTAACAGAAGTCTCCAATCCAGCTAGGAGTTAGGTCTAATGTTGAAATAATTACCATTCTAATTTTATACATCACTCTCCTGTGAGCTTTGCTAATGTGAGTTGGCCCCTAAGTACAACTCTGAGACATTGATTAAGATTTGGAGTGTATTACTGAGAGCAGATTCTGGGTATGCCATAGACCCCAAGGGAAAGGCCAGTCTATTTTTCCTAAGAAGCCCCTTGTATCATAGTGAACTGTGCTAATTTTCCATTTTGAATTTTGACACCTAGCATAGCACTATAAATGCAAGTTCTCAATAAACACCTGTCATAGGAATAAAAAAGAATAGAAATACTATGTATGTTCACAAATAGTCGTGTGTGACTCTACTTATAGATAAAATATTTTGATCTGAATTATATAAATATTGAGAGATGTTTTTGTCAAGAAAGCATTTCATGGAATGAATGTCATTATGTCAATTTAATTTCCCGATTAGTGTGAAATTCGCACATAGATATGTGTGAAATTCACACACAGTCGTGTGAATGTCCTTTTGGACATTCATACAATCTCACTATTTGGCTTTCCTTTTCAGAGGCCCAAAGTTCTGTCTTTTTAATGAATATGAATTGTTCCTGATCCTAGTGCCCTCTACAGTCCTGCTGTGACTGCTTCTAAAAGTACACAAAGCTTTACTGAAAGTCTGACCCTGGCAGTTTTCCTTTCCTTTCTCTTACCCAAAGACACCAGCACCCTCATTAGTTGCCAGATGATGCCTCTTCTGGCTGAGACTGGAGGACGCTTTGTGTTGGTGCGGGGACAATTCAAGATTTGTCAGCTGGTAGTGGCTGATTATCAAGATGTCCAAACTGGCTCCTTTGCTATGTGTAAGCAATTTAATTTTGTGCCTAATTTTAATCTGCAGTGTACTGTATGTCTGCATCTGCTGTGTTAAAGCATTCATTAGCATTTAAAGGGGGAGCTGATGGTATTGATCACTCTTATTAAAAGTAAAAACAATAATGTGGCAGTAACTGATGAGCATTCTCTTCAACCACTGAAGTCACAGCCAAAGTTTATGTACTCAAAACACTGGCAGAAACAGAAAATGAGATGTTAAAGCAAGAATACAAGGGGCATCTGTTATAGGCATTTATAGTTGACTACCACCCACCCAACCCCCAGCTTCCCAGATTATAAGCTTCTTGAAGGTAGGAAACTTTATTACTGAATTTCTATCACTTGGCTCAGAGTAAGTTTTCAATACATTTTCGGATGAATGACTAAATTAAAGAAGGAAGGTGAGGCCGGGGCAGTGGCTCACGCTTGTAATCCCAGCACTTTGGGACGCTGAGGCAGGTGGATCACCTGAGATCAGAAGTTCGAGACCAGCCTGGCCAACATGGTAAAACCCTGTCTCTACTAAACATACAAAAATTAGTCAGTCATGGTGGTGGGTGCCCATAATCCCAGCTACTCTGGAGGCTGAGGCAGGAAAATCACTTGAACCAGGGAGGCAGAGGTGGCAGTGAGCCGAAATCGCATCATTGCACTTCAGCCTGGGCAACAAGAGCAAAACTCCATCTCAAAAAATAAATAAATAAATAAATAAATAAAAAGAAGGTGAAAAAACCAATGCATGGTATATAAACACTCAACAAGAACAACTATATTTTTCTTACAGACAGCATAATAGCTATGTAATACTATGTAACAAATCACCCCAGAACTTAGTGGTTTAAAATAAGAACAAGCATTTACTATCTCACAGAGTTCTTGTGGGTCAGGAATTCAGGAGTGGCTTAGCTGGCTGGTTCTGGGTTGGGTTTCTAATGAAGTGTCAATCAAGACATTGACTGGAGCCACATTCATCTGAAGGCTTGACTGGGGCTGGAGAATCTGCTTTCAAGATGGTCCTCCCAAGAGTGTGCTGGTGTTCTTAGGAGGCATCAGCTCCTCCCCATGTGGACCTTTCCACATCTTTAAGGATCCTCATGACATGATGGCTGGATTCTCGCAGAAAGAGTGATCAGGAAGATAAGGTGCAAGTTACAATATCTCTCATGACCTAGCCTCAGAAGTCACACCCAGCCATTTCTGTAAGATCCTAGTGTATAGACAGCTATACACAGGTCAGCCTACTCAATGTGGGAGGACTGCACAAGGGTACAAACACCAGGAAGTGAGAATTATTGAGGGCAGGGGCTGTCATCTCATAGGCTTGCAACCACAGGTACCAGTTAAATCTCTGGCCTCCCCATTGTAATTTGGTGTCTTCTTTTCTAAGCTTTGCTGTTTCTGCTTGTTTCACGTTTTCCCAGTCTAAAATCTGGACCTAAGCATAGTTCAACTGAGTGTTAGAGCAGGAAGGCATCTTGAAGACCATTTACAGAAGTTCAATGTGCTCATTTTGCAGATAAAGAAACCAAAGCCTGCAGGGTTCTGAAGCACCTGCCCCATCACTCAGCCAGCTATGGGCAAAGGCAGAGCTCAAGGCTACCCAGCTCTGGCTCTTCTCTGTTCTCATTGAAGCTTATGCCTTGTGAAATGTTTAATCTCCAGTAAAAACAGTGTTCATGAGGTCCATCAGCTGTAAGTTAATGCTTTTGTTATGGTACAGTTGAATTTTCTTGGGTCTCCATAAACAGCGGAAGAGTCTTCATGAATTAGTAGATGAGTAAATGCTTCTAAAAGCAAGACATGAAGGCAATTACATTTCTTCTTTCCTTCACCAGGCCTGTGTTGGTTTCCTCCAGATTTCATGGTGCTATACAGAGATTATGTGTTTTATGGAATAAATATTTCTAACAAAGTCGTCTTTAAAATAAGTTTTAATGCTCAATTCAGTCAAGCAAACATTAGCTGACACCCACTGGGTGTTAGGTATCAGCCTTGCATTCTCTCTGGTTTCCACTGTTAATTCAGGAACAAGTCTCAGAGGTAAGGAGAATTATTTCCCTATTGACCTAATTGGAAACTTGGAAAGAAAGAAATTGAAACATAAAATGGCAAAAGAAAAAGCATTTATTTTGTGGAACAGGAATAATTTGTTCCCCACTCCTTTGCCGTTCTTTGGTTCCTTCTGCATTCCTCTCCACTCTCCACTCCCCCTTCCCCTGTTTGCACTTCATCCTTGCCTGAGGGACCTGAGGCTCTGAACCTGAAGTTCTTGGGACTTAGCCTACTCTGTTATTCTTTGTCTTTGTCTTAAAAATGTCTAACAATCACTAGCTCCTGCATTTAATATAACACACTCAATGATGACCTTTCCTTAAATTTGAGCCATTTTAGCAAATCACTATCTTATTTTATCAAAGGCTCAAAATAAGTTTACCAAAAATAAGAGCTCTATTAATCCAACACTAGATGGTTGTTATGAACTGGATGTTTGTCCTCCCACAAATTCCAATGCTAAAACCCTAATCTCCAATGTGACAGTATTTGAAGATGGGGCCTGTATTGGTCCATTCTCACACTGCTATAAAGCACTACCTGAGACTGGGTAATTATAAAGGAAAGAGGTTTAATTGGCTCAGAGTTCTGCAAGCTTAACAGGAAGCATGGCTAGGAAGTCTCAGGAAACTTACAATCATGGTGGAAGGCAACAGGGAAGCAGGCACCTTCTTCACAAAGCAGCAGGAGGGAATGTAAGCAAGAACGAGGAAGTGCCACACTTCAAAACCATCAGCTCTCTTGAGAACTCACTCTCATGAGAACAGCATGGGAGAAACCATCCCCACGATCCAATCACCTCTCACCCAGTCCCTCCCCTGACATGTGGGGATAACAATTCCAGATGAGATTTGGGTGGGGACACCAAGCCAAACCATATCAGGGGCTTTTGGAGTAATCAGCTTACGAGGGTGGAGCCCTCATGATGGAATTAGTATCCCATAAGGAGAGTCATGAGAGATGAGAGCTTCGTTCCTCTCCCCTACTCTCCTCTCCCCTTCCCTCCTCTCCTCTCCTACATGAGGATACAGCAAGAAGATGGCAGCCTGCAACCCAGAAGAGGGCCCTAACCAGAACCCAACCATGCCTGATCTGACTTTCCAGCCTCCAGAACTGTGAGAAATAAATTTGTGTTGAGACAAGACACCCAGTCTATGGTAATTTGTTAAAACAGCTCAAACTGACTAAGACATTCGGCAATTTTCAGAAGTCCCATTCTTCTTTACCAATACAGATGAAGTTCCAAGGAAACTCAAAAGGAAATCAACAATATCTGCTTGGTTATGTTGGTTTTTTGAGACAGGGTTTCAGTCTGTCACCCAGGCTGAGTGCAGTGGAGCAATCAGAATTGACTACAGCCTTGACCTCCCAGATTCCAGCGATCCCCCCTCCTCAGCCTCCTGTGGAGCTGAGACTACAGGTACACACCACTACACCTGGCTAATTTTTTTTTATTTTTTGTAGAGATGAGAGGTTGCCCAGGCTGGGGTCTCAAACTCCTGGATGCAAGTGATCCTTCCACCTTGGCCTCCCAAAGTGCTGGAATTACAGGCGTGAGCTGCCACACCCAGCTTCACCTGCTTGTTTTAATGAGGTTTCTCTATAAGAAACAGTCTCATTCTATCTAGTTCAAACACAATTGAATTTTCTGTAGCGTAGTATAAAACATATAATGGAAAGAATGATTATGATTAGAGTTAACATTTATTGAGTATTCATTATGTATGTGCCAAGCCTGGCTCTAAAACCTTTCCTCATTTAATCTTCACACCAACCCAATGAGGTAGAGTCTATTATCATCCCCATTTTACAGTTGAGGAAACTGAGACATAGAGAAATTAGCTATTTGCCCAAGGCAGTCCAAGAAATGGAACTGTAATAGGGTAGAACCCCATAAAGACTGGAGCTGGAGATGGTTCAGAATGTGAGGTGGCTCTAGCGGCAGATCCTTGCCCTTGTGCTCTGCCATTAATGTGATTCCACTACCCCCACAGGGCTGCTGCTTTCCATGCCACCACCATCTGATCTTCATTGCTCTCCCTCCTTCAGCTTGCAGCCACAGCCTTCCCATCCTTGCTGCTAGTTCCTGAACTTTTAGCTGCAGCTCCCACCTTTAACCAGTAAAACCTTCAAGCCTTCCATATTTCTTGTTTCAAAGTGCCAAGAGAGTCTATTTGGCCCAGCTCATATTTTTTAAACAGACCACAGAGGTTGCGGGTTGCTCAGCAGACCCTATGTTGGGTAGGTGTCCATTCCTGGTCTTGTCAGCTGTGGCCCATAAAGAGAAGAGTACGAGAATAGCAAATGATATAAAGCATGGCTATTTAGGCTACAAGGGCCTGCAGGTGCAATAATTTCTCTTAGAACAGAGTAAAGGCGTAACCTTTTCAGCACATTGTTATTCTCTAGTGATTAATTTACACAGTTTGCTACAAGGGCATATTTCGACAAATTTGCTGAATTTAATGTCTATTTTTATGTGGCACTTATAAGAACTGTACCAGGAAAATTACGCAGATAAAAATCTCTGCTTTTTAAGAAAGATCGGATCAGATAATTTTATATACCAAAGTGTAATCAATTTAAACCAGTATTAAACTGAGTACCTACTATGTGTAAGTTATCATCGAGGACAGACTTTTTTTTTTTTCCATACAGGATCTCACTCTGTCACCCAGGCTGGAGTGCAGTGGTGCCATAATGGCTCACTGCAGCCTCAACCTCCCAAACTCAAGCTATCCTCCCACCTCAGTCTCCCCCGTAGTTAGGACTATAAGCACTCACCACTAAACCTGGCTAATTTTTGTGTTTTTTTGTAGAGACAGGGTTTTGCCATGTTGCCCAGGCTGGTCTTGAACTCCTGGGCTCAAGTAATCCACCTGCCTTGGCCTCCCAAAGTGCTGGGATTACAGGCATGAGCCACCGTGCCTGGCCAACAGAATTATTATTATTATAATTATTATTTTATTTATTTTTATTTTTTGAGATGGAGTCTTGCTCTGTCATCCAGGCTGGAGTGCTGCAGCACAATCTTGACTCACTGCAGCCTCCACCTCCCGGGTTTCAGCAACTGTCCTGCTTCAGCCTCCCAAGTAGCCGGGATTACAGGCGTGTGCCACCATGCCTGGCTAAGACTCTTTTTAAGAGTAAGAATTAGGCCAGGGACGGTAGCTCATACCTGTAATCCCAGCACTTTGGCAGGCCAAGGCGGGTGGATTGCTTGAGGCCAGGAGTTCGAGACCAGCCTGGCCAACGTGGCAAAACTGCATCTCTACTAAAAATACAAAATTAGCCATGCATGGTGGCACGTGCCTGAAATACCAGCTTCTTGGGAGGCTGAGGTATGAGAATTGCTTGAACCCAGGAGGCAGAGATTGCAGTCAGTCAAGATCATGCTCTGCACTGCAGCCTGGATAACAAAGCAAGACTCTGTCTCAAAGGAAAAAAAAAAAAAAAAAAAGAATAAGAAATACAGTTTGTAGAATTTTAGGGATCACTTAGTTCAGTGTTCCTTAAACTGAGATCAGACGTGTTCTAAAGGTCACACATTCTGTAAGAAATGTTTTAAAGTTTTGTGTTCGTATTTCCAGAACAATCTAAAAAATTAGTATGAATGTATTCTGGAGTATCCATGTGGCCACCTCAAAACTATACACTGCCATGCAAATTATTAAGTGAGTCTGGGTTTTTCTTAATGCCAAATAGTATTAATATTACTCTTGGTGGGCTAAAAATACAAGGGGAAATTTTAAACACACATGAAATGCATTTATGCCAAAGCTCACTGCATGTAGTAGTTTGGTTTCCCAGTAATTGGAACACAGAAAAACGATGACAGAATTGAGTAGGTGAAGACACTGTATTCATGATGGGAACAACAATTTTGCTCTAAAAAACATCCCCTTTCATATCCAATTAATGCTATTAAGTTTGATTTTGTTTATATTCAGTTTGTAAGTCTGTGAGAGATGTATATAGTTGAATGACAACTCTCAGGAAAGAGGTTTCTGCTTTTTGGAGTGGTGGTTTTCTTTTAAGTAACATCATAACCAAAGTAATTGAGTAATCCTAGGAGAATCTCATAATTCTTTCCCTTTAAAAGGATGTCATACATTACTCAAGTTTGAGAAATGCTGATTTAAGTCAACCCTACTGAGTTTTAGATGGTAGCCACAGGGCCTAAAATAAGCTACAATTAAATCATAGTTACAATTACTACTACTACTGAAAATGGGAGAGAAGAAAAAAAACAAGAAAAAGACATCAGAAAGTGACCAGTAAGATGATCAAGATAGGCATGGTAAACAACCCTGTAAACTAATACTTAAGACAGGGACTGTAACTTTTTCATCCCGAGTGCCCAGAATGTTAGATCCTCTGTTAAGTGGTAGTAAACTCAAGTGCCCAAGACCACGCAAGGTGGAGACAGAGCCAGAACTGGAGTTTTAGACCTGTATTCTCTCAACTCCACTCCTAGAGCCTTTAAACACCTGCCTGCCCGGATTACCTAACTGTCATCACTTTCTCATTTCTTTTTCCTGCCTTTTTTCTTTCCTCAGTTCTCAGTAGTAATAATAAATTTAACTATACTTTATAGCTAACTCTGTGCCAAGTGCTTTAAAAACATGTTCTTGTGCCATGTTTAATTAGACTCCGCAAATCCTGGATTGTCTTTACTTTTGTTTTCTTTGCAATTTTGTTTTTCCCATGTCTTCGTCTTGAAGTTTCTTGAGCTAGGCGGCTTTTCAAGCTGAATGGCTGCCGGTGTTCCTGAAGGGTGTGCACTTTCAACCTGAATTAGGCCATTGTGCCTATTATTGGGATCATGAATTAATGATACTTGTCAGTCATTATCTTGAGAGCTTTTTGTTGTCCTTAAAGACAGTTCATTTTGCTTGCTATTGTGACTGTGACAATTTGGTTCTCAGTAAAAGACAGTTTACATGCGAGTGGAAACCTTTGTGTTTTGTAGTGTTCTGCTATGAGTTATGTTTTCCTCAGCCAAGTTCCCTGAAAGAAAACACCCTTCCTGTTCTCCCCTCAATCCATTATTTCTACCATGACAGGTTTCTCAAGCAAACAGGAAAACCATCAAATGTAACAAACCTTTTTCTTTATGTAGCGCTTCACAGCCGAGCACAGAGGCTGGCCCCCATAACAGGCAACATTACCACCTTAGTTAAACACCGTTATCTCTGTTCTACAGAGGTGAAAAGATTTCCCTGGTGGTATTAGAAAAATCTAGAGTGCTGTCCAAATTTTAATGCAGAAGAACCAAAGTTTAGTCTTTTATCCAGATCATTGTGGTCCCATGTACATCAACCTTGCAAGACTGATTCCATTTATAGCTATAGAAAGATAAAAATGAGCATTCTATTCAACCTGCAGGGCCGTAATCAGACTGTGCTAGGTCTTGCTGCTACAAAAAGACAGCACTTGGCTTCCCTGAGTGGGAAATTAGCATGAACTCCATTAGTTTGTGTTTTATAAAGACACGAACATTTCCCCTAATACATATCTTAAAAGAGAATTTCTCAAAAGATAGCTATTCTCCCCAGCCTTGCTACCAATCACTCTGTTATAGCGGGATGGATATCTCAAGTTTTATTAACAAATTATTTTACTAAATAAAGCCTAGATAAAAGATACACTCGTTCTGAGCTCCCTAAAAAGTTAGTGTTCTATCAGTGCTGGAAAGAGCGACTGACTAAACATTGATTCTAGTTTTTTGTTTGGTTTGGTTTTGAGACCGAGTCTCGCTCTGTTGCCCACGCTGGAGTACAGTGGCGTGATCTCAGCTCACTGCAACCTTCACCTCCCTGGTTCAAGCGATTCTCATCCCTCAGCCTTCCGAGTAGTTGGGACTACAGGGGCCTGCCACCATGCCTGGCTAATTTTTGTATTTTTAGTAGAATCGGGGTTTTGCCATGTTGGCCACGCTGGTCTGTAACTCCTGACCTCAAATGAGCCACCCACCTTGGCCTTCCAAAGCGCTGGGATTACAGGTGTGAACCACCGCGTCCAACCTGATTCCAATTTAAAAACAAATGATTAAGAACAAAGACAACAAAGAAAAGCAATCATAACCAGCACACACACTCTTCTTAAAATTGCCATTCCTGAGTTTGCTGCAGCATGTGGAAACCAAAACATTACCATTAATAGACAAGGAAAGGAAAATAATCCCAATCCTTTCTGCACTTCCAGAGTTTGACCTTTAACAGAGTCAGAGCTGGGTTGAAGGTAAGGAGAAGCCAACATTAGCTCAGCTGGTTGTCAGACCCACCACTGAAAAGTACTGGCTCCTTTACCATAGTGAATAGCTTCTCTGACAAAATTAGGGTCTTTGGCAGGGGTGGGGGTCACTATTTTATTTTTATTTTTATTTACTTACTTATTTTTGAGACAGGGTTTCACTCTGTCACCCAGGCTGGAGTGCAATGATGCATTTGTGTCCGGAATTGGTGGGTTCTTGGTCTCTGCGACTTCATGAAGCCGCGGACCCTCCAGGTGTTACAGTTCTTAAAGGCGGCGTGTTTGGAGTTTGTTCCTTCTGATGTTCGGCAGCGTCTTCCTCCTGGCGGGCTGGTGGTCTCGCTGGCTCAGAAATGAACCTGCAGACCTTCTCCGTGAGTGTTACAGCTCACAAAAGCAGTGCGGACCCAAAGAGTGAGCAGCAGCAAGATTTACTGCAAAGAGTAAAAAACAAAACCTCCACAGCGCGGAAGCAGACCCGACCAAGTTGCCACTGATGGCTGAGGGAGGGCAGCCTGCTTTTATTCCCTCATCTGGCCCCACCCACGTCCTGCTGATTGGTCCATTTTACAGAGGGCTGACTGGTCTGTTTTACAGAAAGCTGATTGGTCCGTTTTGACAGGGTGCTGTTTGGTGCGTTTACAGTCCCTGAGCTAGACACAAAAGTTCTCCAAATCCACCCTAGATTAGCTAGACACAGAGCACTGATTGGTGCATTTACAAACCTTGAGCTAGACACAGGGTGCTGATTGGTGTGTTTACAAACATTGAGCTAGACACAGAGTGCTGATTGGTGTATTTACAATACCTTAGCTAGATATAAAGATTGTCCAAGTCCCCACCAGATTAGATAGATATAGAGTGCTGATTGGTGCATCCACAAACCTTGAGCTAGATACAGAGTGCTGATTGGTGCATCCACAATCCCTTAGCTAGACATAAAGGTTCTCCAAATCCCTACTAGACTCAGGAGTCCAGCTGGCTTCACCTAGTGGATCTCGCACAGGGGCCACAGGTGGAGCTGCCCACAGTCCGGCCCGTGCACCCGCACTCCACAGCCCTTGGGCAGTCGATGGGACCAGGGGCTGTGGAGCAGGGGGCAGTGCTCGTCTGGGAGGCTCGGGCCGCGTAGGAGCCCACGGCAGCAGGGAGGCTCAGGCATGGTGGGCTGCAGGTCCCGAGCCCTGCCCCGCGCGGAGGCAGCTGAGGCCCGACAAGAATTCCAGCGCAGCCCCGGCGGGCTGGCACTACTGGGGGACCTGGCACACCCTCCGCAGCTGCTGGCCCGGGTGCTAAGCCCCTCACTGCCCGGGGCCGGCAGCGCGGCCGACTGCTCCGAGTGCGGGGCCCACTGAGCCCACGCCCACCCAGAACTCACGCTGGCCCGCAAGTGCCAGCCGCAGCCCCAGTTCCCACCCACGCCTCTCCCTCCACACCTCCCCGCAAGCTCAGAGAGCCGGCTTCGGCCTTGGCCAGCCCAGAGAGGGGCTCCCACAGTGCAGTGGTGGGCTGAAGGGCCCCTCAAGTGCAGCCAGAGTGGGCGCCAAGGCCCAGGAGGCACCGCAAGCGAGGGGTGCAAGGGCTGCCAGCACACTGCCACCTCTCGCCTTCACAGCTCACTGCAGCCTCAGCCTCCCGGGCTCAAGCCTCAGCCTCCCGGGCTCAAGCCTCAACCTCCTGAGCTCAAGCAATCCTGTCACCTCAGCCTGCCAAGTAGCTGGAGCTACAGGCAGGCACCACTACGCTCAGTTAATTTTTGTATTTTTTATAGAGACACGGTTTCACCATGTTGCCCAGGCTTGTCGCAAATTCCTGAGCTCAAGCAATCTGCCCGCTTTGGCCTGCCAAAATGCTGGGATTACAGGCATAAGCCGCCATGCCAAGCTTTTTTTTTTTTTTAAGTTTGTTCTGGTGATATTTTATCTTCTCCTTACCTGAGGAAGAAGAATGCTCAGTAATTATTTCACTATGCTTACTAATTGTTTCACTAATAATTCACTTAGTAATTATTTTAGATTTGCTCCAAAATAAAAGTAAGATAAGTATCTTTAAAAGAATAAAGTGTATCTATGTAAAGTGCTCCATTCACCTGGCTCTTGTCATCATAACATAGCTGTTATTATGGTATTTGCTGTTGTTGTTGCTAGTATATTATTATATCTTAAAATTCAAAATAAAATGGTCAGGCCTGAGACAGAAATAGTAAGGCTCTAAACCAGCTTTCACTAGCAAAATAAGCATTTTTGCTTTGCTCTTTTTGTTAATCATCTTTGTTTAAACCATTCTCCCCAACCCTTTTCTTTGTTTTGTTTTTAAATTGCCTTATGCGGAGCTTGCAGTGAGCTGAGATCATGCCACTGCACTCCACCCTGGGTGACAGAGCTGGACTCCATCTCAAAAAAAAAAAAAATTGCCTTATGGGTAATAACTGTGTTTGTAGTGGATCAATATTAAAATTCCTTAAAATATTATAATCTAGTAAGCTTACTCCCAAAATAAATATACCTATTGTCTTCAGGCTTTGGCTACTGTAAAAGGATTGTATGTCAGGGACTTAGTTGTACAAGTTTACATGTTCCTAAACATTAAACACTATGGTGACTTAGTAAATTGAATAAAATTCTGTAAATTTTTAATGGATCCCCAAGATTCCAATCTGATATTATTACATTATTACTTTTTAGTCAAGTTAAAAAAAAAAAAAGTGTGTGTGTGAGTGTGAAAACAAAAGTCTGGAAGGATACACAATAGAATATTAATTTTGTTTATCTCTGGGTGGTGAGAGAGCAGCTGTGTATTTTTTCTTGTTTTGCCTATTTGTCTAATATGTCAAAAATGAGCATGAATTGCTTGTCTTTTTTCAGTTAAAAAATGTATTTCTGGCTGGATGTGGTGGCTCACACCTGTAATCCCAACACTTTCGGAGGCTGAGACAGGAGGATCACTTTAGGCCAAGAATTCCAGACCAGCCTAGGCAATGTAATGAGACCCTATCTCTACAAAAAAATAAAAATAAAAAAATAAAAAAATTAACTATATTTCTGTTAATATTATAATCTAATATATTTAGATAAACCTTCGAAAGAGAGCTTTCTACCTCCTTGGCCCAGTGGATTCTTTTGGTATCTCCCTACCCTCTGAAGGAATCACAACAGTTATCCATGAGAGTCTTTGTTGTCAGCACCCCTAATTCTAGCCAGGCATTTTCAAGGGGGTATCCAATAAGCCCTAGCACAAATCTGTACCACTGCTAGTAAAAAAACCCTCTGAGTTTTTGTTCTATCAGATGTGAGCTGACAATTTCATCTTTGAGATTAAGGCAACCCTACATTTTAACACATCACTTAGGAGCTGTATGGAGTAGGACATACTTTCCCAATCTATGAAATGGGGACAAGGATATTTACTTCACAGGAGAGTTATGAGTGTTAGGGACAATGAGTGTAAAACTCTGAACAAAGTGTCTCGCAAGTGTGAGCTTTCAACCCACAGAAGCCACTCTAATAATTCTTTTCTGTGGGTCAAACAGCAAGAGGTTCTTGCCCATTCCCCCACCTGAGACGTTAAGTGTTAACATCTCAAAAAAAGGGCCGGGTATGGTGGCTCATGCCTGTAATCCCAACACTTTGGGAGGTTGAGGTGGGAGGATTCCTTGAGCCCAGGAGTTTGAGACCAGCCTGGGCAACATAGTGAGACTTTATCCCAACAAAAAAGAAAAAAAGAAAAAACACAGGAAGGCAGACTTTCCTTTCACACAGCCTTGCCCGAGAAAAGGAACAGCCTGCACTCATTTGCTGTTGAAATGATTAAGATGTCTGTATTGGCCAAGCGTGGTGGCTATACCTGTAATCCCAGCACTTTAGGAGACCAAGGCAGTTCAGTGGGCTGAGGCAGGAGAATCGCTTGAACCTGGGAGGTGGAGGTTGCAGTGAGCCAAGATCACGCCATTGCACTCCAGCCTGGGCAACAAGACAAAACTCTGTTTCAAAAAAAAAAAAAAAAAATGTGTGTATCTCTTAAGACAATACCCTTTCAATTTTAAATAACTAAAACCTGTATTTAGTTCAGCTGCTTATAGTCATTTAGCAGCTGATTAAACGACTACCAAATCATAAATATTACTGCTAATTCCTGAATAATTTAGCTTCTGTCCTGCTTACACTTCTAATTTATAAACCACCCATATTCTTAAAGACCTTTTCCCTCTCTAAATAATTAAGTCAATAAAATACTCCTTGGGCAGTGTTCATTTTGAGACTCTTCAAGACACCTGCTTTTCTTCTTTTTTTTTTTTTTTTTTTTGTTTACAATTGTCTTCTAAGTCCATATCTAAAACTCTTTGGGCTAGAGCCCAAGGTCTCTCAAATCAGCCTGCTCCAACTCACCACTTTAACACTACTATGTTTCGGTTTCCTCAACAGTATAAGATAATAATAGTACCTATCCTATCTCATGAGGTAAATTTCTTAGACCAGTGAAAGCTCATCATACAGTAAGTGGCTATTATTATTATTATAAAAGTGAAATATACTCCACTTAACATTTGCAACTCCATCAGTCCATCAGAATGGCAAACTGCCTACATGAGTGATTCTGTTTCATGATACCCATTGTTAGAAAATCACTACGTATGCATGCCAATGTCATAGGCAAGAGAACAGGCCATACATAGACGATCTCTAAGGTGATTTCTGCATGACCGTCGTTACTGGAAGTTGAGTGGCAGAACATTATTCTGTCTCATAGAGAAACTTGGTTTGGGGGTTTCCCATAAACTAGAGTAGTAACTAGTTGATTCCATACCCAATCGAGTTTCAGTCCTCTCAGATGTGTTTGAATGCAGAGTCCCTTATTATTTTTTAATCTTGGGTTTCTTCTTCTTTATTCCAGCCACCCCCAGTAGATGTCCCCACGTATAGGGAAGTACTTGAAGAAGACTAACAGAAGCCATCTCTGCAGGGGACACATCAAAATGATTCCCTGTCCATTAGCTAGAAACTTGCTGAGCTGATTGAACCCCACAAAGTTTTCAGATCATTGTTCCTCCCCTTCCTCCTGTGTGCAGTCACTCAAAACAAGGACCTCTGTGTGCACTGGCATTCAGTGACAGTTTTGTTATCAGGTTCAAGCAGTACTGCTGAGGATCAAAACTTTACCTTAATTTAAGCTCATGTTTTCCACAAACCCAACTCCAAAGTATCCTGGTAACATGCTTCAAAGATACTCCATCGAATTTTTACTTTCACAGCAATATGCCTTATGACCTAATTACCATTATTATTCTGATCCAAAATAAGACAAATTGCTTTATTTGGTAATAGAGAGGGAAAAAAATCTGAGCTAGAAAGACCTCCTGACATGTCATAGCAATAAATTGAAAGAAAATAGCCATGCTCCCCTGAAGAAGATAGAGATCAGCAGAAATCTTTTGTAATGGGCAATATACGATGTGGAAGAATTCTCTTTAACTTTTTTTTTTTTTTTTTTTTTTTTTGAGACGGAGTCTTGCTCTGTCGCCCAGGCTGGAGTGCAGTGGCGGGATCTCAGCTCACTGCAAGCTCCGCCTCCCGGGTTCACCCCATTCTCCTGCCTCAGCCTCCCAAGTAGCTGGGACTACAGGCGCCCGCCACTACGCCCGGCTAATTTTTTGTATTTTTAGTAGAGACGGGGTTTCACCGTTTTAGCCGGGATGGTCTCTATCTCCTGACCTCGTGATCCGCCCGCCTCGGCCTCCCAAAGTGCTGGGATTACAGGCGTGAGCCACCGCGCCCGGCCCTCTTTAACTTTTTATCCATTTTGTTTGTTTGTTTTGGAGACAGAGTCTTGCTCTGTTGCCCAGGCTGGAGTGCAGTGGTGCAGTCTCAGCTCACTGCAACCTCAAATTCCTGGGCTCAAGTGATCCTCTCCACTCAGCATCCCGAGTAGCTGGGACTACAGGCATACGTCACCATGCCCAGCTAATTTTTAAATTTTGTAGAGATGGGGTCTCCTTATGTTGCCCAAGCTGCTCTCAGGCTCCCAGCCTTAAGTGATCTCCCCACCTCAGTCTCCCAAAGTGCTGGGATTACAGGCATGAGCTCTAATTTTTTATTATAATAAACTTCTAGAGCTCCAAGAATCACACCCTTGCTTGTGACAGGTTGGAGGTTATGTAGAAGGAGTTTTATATGTCTAAAGTTAATAACAGTCTGCAGAGATTATATTTAACTATGTGTAAACATCTTGTGTGGAAAAACAGAATAGGCCTGATGTTAGACCCAGCTGGAAAGGACCAGAATGTTCTAACTGAAAACTGCAGGAACAGCCAAATGTCCATCTGCCTCTTCTTTAGGAGTTTACCAGCGTAGGCAACACCACCCGAATGACTTTCTGGGCTTTTCTGAGTATTCAGGCTCACAAAGAGTTTGTTGTTTTTTTTTTTTTTCTCAAAAATTCTGTTAAACTCATGGTCCAACGTTTATATCCTAACATTTTATTTTAATACAGAATACGTAATCAAGCGTTAAAATAGTTGGCTTCTGTAGATTGGTCTTTTCTCACTACACAGTATCTCTCTCTTCAGCAGAGTCATTGATAATATCCTTTGAATATCCAATAACGCCACAAAAATCATAGGTACTAACAGACTCAATGTTTGTGGCACCCCCAAAACTCATATGTTGAAATCCTAACCTCCAATGTGATGGTGTTAGGAGGTGGGGCCTTTGGGAACTAATTAGGTCATAAGGGTGGCTACCTCATGAATGGGATTGGTGCCAGGCCTGTAATCCCAGCACTTAGGGAGGCTAAGGCGAGCGGATTGCCTGAGCTCGGGAGTTTGAGACCAGCCTGGGCAACACAGTGAAATCTCGTCCCTACTAAAATACAAAAAATTAGCGGGGTGTGGTGGCATGCGCCTGTAATCCCAGCTACTTGGGAGGCTGAGGCAGGAGAATTGCTTGAACCCAGGAGGCGGAGGTTGCAGTGAGCCAAGATCATACCACTGCATTCCAGCCTGGGCAACAGAGCGAGACTCCATCTCCAAAAAAAAAAAAAAAAAAAAAAAAAAAAAGGAACCCCAGAGGGCTCTCTTGCCCTGTTTCTTCCATGAGAGGATATAATACTGAAGAGGGTACTCACCAGAACCCAACCATGCTGGCACCTGACCTTGGACTTCCAGCCTCCCAGATTCCGAGAAAGAAGTTTCTGTTGTTTATAGGCCACTGACTAAGACAGGCACAGAGCCCCTGACGCTATCGACATGACTGAAGTGATGATGATTCAGGATAAAACCATGAATGCCACACTCAGTTCAGCCCACTCTTTTCTCACTACCACATATCAAAATGCAAACAAAACATGTGCTTAATCATGTAAAATACATTTAAGCATTTTGATACATTGATTGCATTATTCTAGGATGTTAGAGAGATTTCTTAGCCAGGTGACCTGGTTTCCATTCCTAGCTCTGAAAATTATCTGTGTGACCTTGGGCAGATGTCTTACCCTCTCTGTGTTACAGTTATTAGTCTATTTAGTCATTTAACAAATCTTTCATTATGGTTTCATTTGCAAAGAGTATGGTGCTAGAAATGGATACAGAAGTGATCAAGATTTCCCTACATCTGTCTTCCAACTCTTCTATTGCAGTTTTCATTTCCACAATTTTATTTTTTATTTTGAAAAGCTTTTCTTTTGTTGTTTTCTGAATAGTCCTTCTTTAATATTCTTGTTTAATATAATCTTATCTCTGAGCATACGGAGGCAGTCTTTTTTTTTTTTTTTTTTTTTTTTTTGAGACAGGTTCTTGCTCTGTTGCCAATCTGGAGTGCAGTGGCAGATCACTGCAACCTCCGCCTCCCGGGTTCAAGTGATTTTCCTGCCTCAGCCTCCCAAGTAGCTGGGACTACAGGCGTGAGCCACCAAACCCAGCTAATTTTTGTATTTTTAGTAGAGATGGGGTTTCACCATGTTTGCCAGATGGTCTCGATCTATTGACCTTGTGATCTGCCCACCTCGGCCTCCCAAAGTGCTGGGATTATAGGTGTGAACCACTGTGCCTGGCCCTTTTTTTTTTTTTAAATACAGATGGGGTCTCGCCATGTGGTCCAGGCTGGTCTCGAGCTCCTGGGCTCAAGCAATCCTCCTGCCTCAGTATCCTAAGAAGTGCTGAAATTACAGGCATACGCCACGACGCCCAGCTGCAGTCTCTTTTCTTTTTTGAATATTTTTTTGAGATTGAGTTTTGCTCTTGTTGCCCAGGCTGGAGTGCAATGGTGCCATCTCAGCTCACTGCAACCTCTGCCTCCTGGGTTCAAGCAATTCTCCTGCCTCAGCCTCCTGAATAGCTGGGATTACAGATGCCTACCACCACGCCTGGCTAATTTTTGTATTTTTAGTAGAGACTGGGTTTCACCATGTTGGCCAGGCTGGTCTCCAACTCCTGACATCAGGTATCCACCCCCTTCAGCCTCCCAAAATGCTGGGATTACAGGCGTGAGCCATTGAGCCCTGCCTTTTTTTTTTTCCCCCCTCTGGAGTCTCTGTTTTCTCCAAGTTGCTTTTTCTCCATTTTTTTGTGGGTTTTTTTTCTGTTTTTGTTTTTTATATTCCATGCAATCCTCCAATGTCATCTTTTAGACTGAGGAAGAGAAGCTGATGGAAGCTCATAACATATGAATGTGGCTTATCAATTTTTATCTCACCACAGAGCAGTGGCTTTCAAAACGTTTTGATCAAGTCAACAGTAAGAAATGTATTTTACATGATAACCCTGGGTATGTGAATGTGTGTGCGTGCATCTTAGAAAAGGTTCACCATACTTTTTTCACAATACTTCAATACTTCCCTTTATTATTGTGATATAATCTGATACTTTTTTCCTATTGTATGGACACAATATACTAAATTTATTTCATGACTCAGTAATGTGTGGTCACCTCCAGAGAGAGGGCCTGTTTTCCTGAGGAATCGCAGATCAGATCTCTCTGTTGGAATTATCAGAGAAGTACCCAAAAGATACTTTTCCCTTTTTCCTGCCTGGAAAATACTTGCCTGGTGGCTAGAAGTCTGAAAGCCAAACTGGGTAGAAGCTGGAGCTTTGATATTTGAAAAGTGAACTGTCATTAATCACCTCTTTTCAAGTTCAAGTCCCTCACTTCAGAGACCCTTATCTTATCTTGTAAAGATGACAGACCTCTAGTCTTGTGATTGAGGGGCAGCCACTCAGCAGCTGCAGAGCAGGAGGGACTTGGGGCTCCACCTCCTCCTTAAAACTAATTTCAGGGCCAGGCGCGGAGGCTCTCACCTGTAATCCCAGCACTTTGGGAGGGGAGGCGGGAGGATCACGAGGTCATGAGATCGAGACCATCCTGACTAACATGGTGAAACCCCGTCTCTACTAAAAATACAAAAAATTAGGCAGGTGTGGTGGCTGGCGCCTGTAGTCCCAGCTACTTGGGAGGCTGAGGCAGGAGAATGGTGTGTACCCGGGAGACAGAGCTTGCAGTGAGCCAAGATTGCGCCACTGCACTTCGGCCGGAGAGACAGACAGAGACTCCATCTCAGAAAAAAAAAAAAAAAAAAAATACTAATTTCAGGCCAAACATGGTGGTTCACACCTGTAACCCTAGCACATTAGAAGGCCAAGGCAGGCAGATCACTTGAGTGCAGGAGTTCAAGACAAGTTTTACAGTTTCACCAATGCACCACAACGTAGTAGTCTCTCGTTGTGAGGTATCACTCGAGTTTTTTCTCTCATGACCAAGAAATTTAAGAAGCGTGGTCACAAAGGATGAGGTTGGAGTGAACGTTTAATAAGCAAAAAAAGAAAGCTCTCTGCCATGGAGGGGGGTCCAGAAGAGGATAGCCATTTTAACAGTTGAATGTAAAGGCTTTTATAAGAAACTGATGAGGCCTTGGCATCTCATTTGCATAAGGCACAAACTTCTGCTAGCTCCACCCTATCCTCCTAGTGCGCATGTAGGTCCTTAGCTTGAGTCACTCCATATTGCTTTGTTCCCCTTACCGTGCATGTGTCAGGGGACAGAATTTTCCATTGCAGGCGTGTCCAGGCAAGTCACCTGTGTAGGCTTTCTTATCTGTGTGGCTGTGGGCATATCTTAGGCAAGCCCTCCTATGCAGGTTCCCTTATCTGTGCTTGCAGGTTGTTCTTCTGTTTGAAATAATTCAACTGAGGACCCAGCTAACTGCCTGCCTAATCAGTTTCTTCCTTTCTACTCTTTCATTTCCCCCCCCCCCGCCTCAGGAGTGGAGACCCTAAGTGCTGTTAGGGAGATGGGGCGATGAGCCTTGCGGCTACTTGCTGCTACAGAGTAGCTTTGTGTGGGGAACAGCAGCTACGATTCCTCCTAGGGCTGGTCTGAGAGTCCTTGGAAGAAAGGCGTGTCCATGTGTGATTTCATTTGCATTACCATTTGGAGCTTGATAGCCTTTAGGTAAGAAGAAACAATTTAGGTTATTACAGGACATGTATTAAAATGAAACAAGTGGGGGCGAGGTAAGAACAGCTTAAAAATCCCAAGGCTGCCAACACGCCCAGATAAGTAGTGGCTATAGTTATGCTTCTAAGATTTAGGTGAATGGGGCTCGGCTTTGGTTAACTTCCTTAGTTTTATTTTCCCAAACAAAGAAATCTCTGAGTAATGGACACCCTATTTACTCCCATCACCATGCAGGATTTGCACGATAATTAACCAGAACTAAAATATCGATCCAGATTTTTACATTAACCATCCCTTTTTGTTTCTTCTGAGATGCTGGTTGGTTTACATGAATAAGCAGGCTTAGTCTAAAATGTAGGCAAGAACTTCAAAGCAACTAATGAAATTAGAATTTAATGACAAACATGTAAGAAGTTTTGAAACATAATTTTTCTCTTTCCAGTCCTCATTTTTGTTAAAAACAAATCATGATAGAAACTTTACTTTTATACTTGGTCTGATTATTTACATAAGGTGCAATAAGAATAATTATTTTTACATAGGCTTTTTAAATTGGCTTTGATGAGGCTTGTGGAACTTCAGACAGGACCTTTTAACACCAAGCCTAGCCATGCGTTTGTACCCTCAAATACCTATGAGTTAGGTGAATTCTTCTCTTCTTAAGGTCCCAAGAATATGGGGTTCCTGGGCCTGTTAGACAGTGACATTCTTTACTCACCACAGGTTAGGAACCCTGTACAGGGACTGTATAGACAAGGTATGAAGCCAGTTTCCCCAAGGGGCTTTTATTGGCTCTGTACGCCAAGCTTGATTCCTCAAAGGGAAGCATATCCTTCCAGTCAAAGCCTTAGTAAAACAACTAGTTTCTGCAATTGTGTCCTGTTGTAAAAGAAAATAGATCGTTATTGCACAGAGGCAAACAACTATACTGCCATAAGTTAAGAATACTCCCAGCTTCCAAATTCTGGAGAAGCCAGGCAGAAAGAAGCAAGCATGCTCCAAATTTTGTTTACAGGAGTATGCCTTATGTAATTACGAAAGGCTGTAAATAGCTTAAGATAAGTTTCCTTGATTCTGAAAAAAAAAACAAGGATCAGCAACATTTTGAGCAAAAACTTTAAAAAGCCCGTTTTTTTAACTGTTGTTTTGCTCGATATTCATGAACATTTCAGCTCTTCATGGGTCCTGAGCACTTTTCCTTTATTCCAATGTCATAATCTACAAACTGATTAGAAACTTGCATTTGAGGGCACCTGTCAAAGTCCTATAGCTGATTATGAACCAATCTTTGAAGAGGATTAAAGTAAGATAACAATTATCTGTGAATGATGAAATGTCCAGGGTAGTTACAGTCAAGAACACAATTGACAAAGAAATTTGGTTATTTCTGTGGTTTACAATAACTTAACATAAAAATCTTAATTATGATTGATGGTATACACTCAGACATTAGAATTTTTGAAATCCTGTACAATTTTTGAGTGTATATTAATATTATTCACTAAAATATAACCTGAAGAAGATTAAACATCATTTTGGAAACCCCACATACCTAAACATGTTAGATAACCCTGCTTACCTCTCTTCTGGATGCTTCAGGGGCCCTCTGTAGCATCCAAAAGCTAGGCGTCAGGAAAGACAATTCTGAAACTGAAATTCAAAATTGACAAAATTCCCAAAACTGATTTTGAGAAGCCTCTTAAATAGGTTAGAGATTTAAAACACTTGATGTTATGAAATAGAATTCCAGATTACTATAAGTTATTTATTTGCCAAAATAATGACTCAAAAATTTTAAAAGGCAAAAACGTTTCACTAGCCTTTACTATTACATGAAAATCCTGTTCAAAGCCAAATTTCACCCTTGCATTAGTTTATTAATGTTAACCCCATTTTTTAAATGAAAACTTACAGACAAGTTCATCTAATCTTAATCAGTTTAACCATGAGGTGAGACTCTTATAAACTTTTTATAACCCTTTACAAACTTTGCTAAAGAGCAGATTATCTTCTTTTTTTTTTTCTGAGATGGAGTCTTGCTCTGTCACCCAGGCTGGAGTGCAGTGGCGAGATCTCAGCTCACTGCAAGCTCCACCTTCCGGGTTCACACCGCTCTCCTGCCTCAGCCTCCCGAGTAGCTGGGACTACAGGGGCCCACCACCTCGCCTGGTTAATTTTTTGTGTTTTTAGTAGAGATAGGGTTTCACCAGGTTAGCCAGGATGATCTCGAACTCCTGATCTCGTGATCCACCCGCCTCAGCCTCCCAAAATGCTGGGATTACAGGCGTGAGCCACTGCACCCAGCCCAGAGCAGATTAGCTTCTTAAAAAAACCTTGGCCTGGCATGGTGGCTCAGGCCTGTAACCCCAGCACTTTAGGAGGCCAAGTCAGGTGGATCATGAGGTCAAGAGATCAAGACCATCCTGGCCAACATGGTGAAACCCTGTCTCTACTAAAAATACAAAAAAAATAGCTGAGCATGGTGGCGGGCGCCTGTAGTCCTAGCTACTCAGGAGGCTGAGGCAAGAGAATCGCTTGAACCTGGGAGGCAGAGGTTCCAGTGTGCCAAGATTGTGCCACTGCACTCCAGCCTGGGCAAAAGAGTGAGACTCCATCTCAAAAAGAAAAAAGAAGGCTGGGCACAGTGGCTCACACCTGTAATCCCAGCACTTTCGGAGGCCGAGGCAGGTGGATCACGAGGTCAGGAGATTGAGACCATCCTGGCTAACATGGTGAAACCCTGTCTCTACTAAAAATACAAAAAATTAGCCAGGCCTGGTGGCGGCCGCCTATAGTCCCAGCTACTTGGGAGGCTGAGGCAGGAGAATGGCGTGAACCAGGAGGCGGATCTTGCAGTGAGCCGAAATCGCGCCACTGCACTCCAGCCTGGGTGACAAAGCGAGACTCCGTCTCAAAAAAAAAAAAAAAAGAAAAAAGAAAAGAAAAAAAGAAAACCTTGTTGGGCTTTTATTTCAATGCTTAATTTACACAAAAATTTAATAATACCCTTTTAACTTTAGCTGATGTCCACATAGAATTTCTACAGTATCTCCACAACTTGTTTAAACCTTCAGCTTTATATTATCTGATTCAAAACAATCCCTTAACCCTAGGCAAATATATATTTCCATGCCTTCTTATAATCTTTTACTAAAAACACATTTTACTATTTTTACACATCTTGCATGTAAATCTATTTTCAGTAGTCTCAATTACACGTTATAATGGTAACTCTTAGCAATTTTAAATTTTAATGTGAAACCTGGTAAATTATTTTAGTGATGTACTAGGCACAGATAGAATCTGAACCTAGTATCTGACTTGCATAATTTAGACCATCTATTTACATTTTGAACACATTTGTATTTTGCCAATAATCCTTAAGACTGTTTTTGTTTCTCAAAGATTAAAGTTCTGTGAACCAAGAAGCATTACAGCTTTTACTTTTTATTTAAAAAAAAATTTGAACTAAGCACTTATTTTTCTTTAAGCCAATTAATTACAGCTCTTTTTGTAGACATCACATGCAACACATATATAACTACACCAAAAAACACAAGCAGATCTAGTAGTTATAAGATATTCATTTGCCAATTTTTAAATTGGATTATCGGCCTCCAGGTGGCCCCCTTTAAGAGCAGGGCTAGGAAAACATGCAGTTTTTAGGGCCTAATAAACAGGCATAGCTGGAGGACAGAAACAGATTTTGAGAGGGATCTATTTGCCTCTAATTCCTGGGGCTCCAGGAGGAAAACAAAGGTTTCTCCCAAAATGGAATCTATGGCACCTTTTCTGTTTTTCCCAAGGAGTCCCAGGCCACCAGAAGTTATCTTGGGGCCTCTGAGGTGTGCATTAAGAGTGGTAAGAAGCTGGTTGCAGTGGCTCATGCCTGTAATACCAGCACCTTGGGAGGCCGAGGTGGGCAGATCACCTGAGGTCAGGGGTTCAAGACCAGCCTGGCCAACATGGTAAAACCTCATCTCTACTAAAAATACAAAAATCAGCTGGGTGTGGTGGTGAGTGCCTGTAATCCCAGCTACTCAGGAGGCTGAGGCAGGAGAATTGCTTGAACCAGGGAAGCGGAGGTTGCAGTGAGCTGAGATCATGCTACTGCACTGCAGCCTAGGTGACAGAGTGAGACTGTATCTCAAAAGACAAACAAACAAAACAAACAAACAAACAAAAAAAAACAGTGGCAAGACAAAATGGAGAAAAAGAATTCAGGTGACTGAAAAAAACCCTTTTCCAGAAAAACAAGATCCAAGAAGAGAAAAACAAAGGCCTTTTAAATATACGTGTAACTTAGATATCCACTTTTAATTAAACTGAGCACGCTTTAAGAAAATCCTTTTAAATCCCTTGTTATCCAACTTTAGCCACACCAAGTGGTTAGTATTTCTGGCTTTTGAGCTTTACCAGAAGTAACCTCACAGGTGAAAACCACAAGCCTCAATAAAGATTATGATTTAACCACAAGTGTATGAGGTGTTTTCAAAGTGGGGTAAGCAGTTCTTACAAAATATAGAACCTTTAAAGATAACTCAGGGAAATGAAGATTTAAGAAAAAAGGTAAATGTTGTTCATAGAGGAGAAGAGAATCAGGAAATGGCAAAAGTCACACAGATATTAACCCAAAAGTGCTCATTCCTCAAGTCAGGATTGAACTCAGGCCACCATTGTAAAATAGCAGAGGCCAAAACAAAGTACCACCACATCGCAAGGTCACGGTCCCAAGGACATAAAACAAGATGGAGGCCTGCAGCAAAATTTGTTACTGACCAACTTACCAGGCTGGCTGGAACAGCAGGCTTATGGAGTCCCAGGCCTGCATTCCATTTCAAGGTATCCCTCTCTCTGCCTTTTTCTTGTGTTTCCTCTCCTTTTCCTGGGCCTCCTCTTGGTCCCTATTATAAAAGACCAAGGTGGGTACTCTTAGGAGGTTTTCTGTGGTGCTATGTGATCCGATAGCCTGTTTCTGCAGCTTCCTTCTGATACCAGGGGCCACCTGAGTAAATCTGTCTTTCAAGATTTGCTGTCCCTCAATTGAATTAGGAGATAGGTGTGTTTTACCAAGGCTTCTCTCAGCCTTTCTAAAAATGCTGAGGGATTTTCATCTAGCTTTTGATCTATCATAGATAGCTTAGAGTAGTTGAGGGGTTTGGCTCTGGTCCTCTGTAAGCCCTCTAATATACGCATCTGAAAGTGTTTTCTTTTCCACTCATCTATGGGATCACTAGTGTTCCAATTAGAGGTTTCAAGGGGCACTGCCTCTCTTCCTACTGAGAATGGGGATTTTGCGTCTTTCTCACTCTCTTTCCCCTTTTGACTGGCTTTCTTTCTTGAATGGCTAGAGGAAATATGTTATTCATCTCCAAATTTCTCTGCTACCTGTAGGGCTGCGTGTTTCTCAGCAGCAGTTAGAGTTTGATTTAAGAGTAACATAACGTCCTTCCAGGAGAGTTTAAATAGTTGGGTTAAATAGTTGGAAGATCTCTATATATGAGTTAGGGCTTGCCCAAAGCGAACTTCAGGATCTGAGGTTACACCAGGTTACATCCAGGCTATGCTCAAGGGGAGTGCAGGCTTGAAGATGGGTTGTTGCCCATCTAGAAAAGAGAGAAGGAACTTCTCCAAGAAAACACCAAATGGCAGATGATGCTGGTGCAGGAGTAGGGGGCCGGAGGCCCCGGGGGCCTAGGATGGGGAACCGTGGTGGCTTCCACAGAGGCTTTGGTAGTGGCATCCGGCACCAGGGTTGTGGCTGTGGACAGGGCCAGGGCCAAGGCCGTGGAGTTCGTGGAGGCAAGGCCGAGTATAAGGAGTGGATGACCGTCACCAAGCTGGGCCACCTGGTCAAGGACATCAAGATCAAGTCCCTGGAGGAGATCTATCTCTTCTCCCTGCCCATCAAGGAATCTGAGATCATTTGACTTTTTCAAAACCTCGTCCTCTCTCAAGGACGAGGTTTTGAAAATTATGCTGGTGCAGAAGCAGACCCATACCAGCCAGTGTACCAGGTTCAAGGCATTTGTTGCCACTGGGGACTACAATGGCCACATCAGTCTGGGTATTAAGTGCTCCAAGGAGGTGGCCACTGCCATCTGTGGGGCTATCATCCTGGCCAAGCTCTCCATTGTCCCTGCGTGCAGAGGCTACTGGGGGAACAAAATCAGCAAGCCCCACACCATCCCTTGCAAGGTGGCAGGCTGCTGTGGCTCTGTGCTGGTGTGCCTCATTTCTGTGCCCAGGGGCACTGGCATTGTCTTGGCCCCTGTGCCCAAGAAGCTACTCATGATGACTGGTATCAATGACTGCTACACCTCAGCCAGGGGCTGCACTGCCACCCTGGGCAACTTTGCCAAGGCCACCTTTGATGCCATCTCTAAGACCTACAGCTACCTGACCCCCGACCCTGGAAGGAGACTGTATTAACCAAGTCTCCCTATCAGGAATTCACTGACCACTCCATCAAGACCCACACCAGAGTCTCCATGCAGAGGACTCAGGCTCCAGCTATGGCTACAACATAGGGTTTTTATACAAGAAAAATAAAGTGAATTGAGCCTGAAAGAAAAAAAGAAAAGAGGGGAGGAGAAGGTGTCCGTTAGTCTTCCTCCTCCTTTCAGAGTGACCCAGAGTGGAGAGAAAGATAGAAAGAGTGCCCCACTTCTCCTCTTTCATCCCATCTCCTCAGGGTCCCAGCAACCATCATAGATGCCACCCATGGATGCAAGCATAACCTTCGCCCATGGATCTAGAGGAGCTAGTCGGCAAGAGTAGTCATGTTTACCTGTATGAGGCCCTAGCTCTCCACCCTGCTGGTTTCCCAGACCCACATGACCCATAAGGCTCCCAGGGTACCCCAGGGGCCCAGAAGAGATTGCACAATAGTTGAATTTGGGCAAGACCCTTTAATGGAGGGAGTGTCTTAACTCTATCCATACATTCTGTTACTACTGCCCGGGCAAAGTTATGAATTCCTAGAGAATGGGACCAATTGACTTCTAAACATAAGATCCGTTTCTCACTTAGATGCCAATGTAGCTGAATGCACAACAGATGTCTCAAAATAATGTAAGAATTGAATGGCTGTCCTCCCTCTGATAGGGATAGCACTGAGGCAAAAATCTGTCTTGCCAGGATGGCTTCCTCCCAGCTGCTGAAAGGGGAGATTTTCTGCTTACAAATAGGGCATGGGGCCTGATCACTGAGAGAGGGACGTAAGAGGGAAAGGAATCAGGGAACTAGAGGTTCTGGAAGGACTGACAAGGCTCCCCATGGAGAAGATTCCCACCCCACTAGGTAGCACTGGAGTGCTTAAAATGTCAGGAAAAAACTCTGATTCCAAATTCTTTCCAAGCAGATGTTAGAAAGAGAAGTTGGGGCTTAATAGGATGTCCCCACAACATGCCTACTAGCAGGAAAAAATTAACTTGTCATAGAGGAACTGCTTAAATTCACTGGGGAATGCTGAGCTCTTACATGAGGAAAAAAAAAATGGAGCAGAGGGTATTCACTCGGGGTGAAATATCCGCACATACAGTGCCAGGAACGCCTATCACTGGGGGACAAGAAGGCCCTTACTAGGTGAAAGTTTAGACTGAAATCTTGAAATCCCCCCATCTCAAGGAAATCACAGAAGCAGCAATTTTTTAAAATTTACATTCTTGGTTACCAAGGCACCTGCTAACTGTACCCAACAAGATTACCTCCCAGGCTGTAAAAAATCCTTCAACGTAGTACATAAAGAAGGGATAGGAGATATGATAGCTGTGAAAAGAGAAGAAATAAATTCAATAGAAAAGTCTGGAAGTCCTGATGCCGACGCCCTGATGGGCTGTTGGGGGCCAGAGGTAGTCCAGGGGCCAGAGCTTGTCCAGGGACCTATATAGCCTTGGCCAGATGCCTTCAGTTGCCCCAGGACCTCCTTCCAAAGGAAACTGGATTGGAACAGAGCCAACATTCCCACCATGTGAGGGCGATAGGGGATTGAGAAAGTCCTCTCCAGCAAGCCTGTCCCCTGAGTCTTGTAAGGATGGCAGCCACTCTAGAAGCTTTTAACTGGCTGAAGGGCGCAGTGTTTTGTTTAATTAAAAAAACTGAGGGCAAGAAGCCCCCAAACAAAAATGAAGAATCGGAGGTCCCTCCTACTCAACTTTCCAATGTTTCCTTTCCCTGCCAATGCACTAAAATGTTACAGTTTTGCCAATGCACCACAATGTTACTGTTTTGCCAATGCACTGCAATGTAGCAGTTTCTCATTGCCGGGTATCACCTGCATTTCTTTGTTTCACAACCAGGAAAATTAAGGAGCCTGGACACAAACGGTGAAGTTGGAGCGAAAGTTTAATAAGTGAAAGAAGAAAGCTCTCTGCTGTGGAGAGGGAGCCTGGAAGAGGGTTGCCATTTTTACAGTTAAATGCAAAGGCTTTTATAAGAAACTGAAGAGGACTAGGTGTCTCATTTGCATAAGATGCAAATTTATGCTAGCTCCACCCCATCCTCCTAGTGTGCATGGGGGCTCTTACCTTGAGCTATTCCATATTGCTTTGTTCCCCTTACTGTGCATGAGTCAGGGGATGGAATTTTCCATTGCAGGCATGGCTGGGAAAGTCACCTGCGTAGCCTTTCTTATCTGTTCAGCTGTGGGCATGTCTTAGGCAAGCCCCTCTATGCAAGTTCCCTTATCTGTACCTGCAGGCTGTTCTTTTGTTTAAAGAATTCAACTGAGGACCCACCCTAACTGCCTGACCAGTTTCTTCCTTTCTACTCTCTCACTAGCCTGAACAATGTGGTGAAGTTCCCTCTCTATAAAATATACAATATTTTATGCATAAATATGGTGGCATGCATCTCAGGAGGCTGAGATGGGAGGATTGCTTGAGCCCCGGAGGCAGAGGCTGCAATGAGCCAAGATCGCACCACTGCACTCCAGCCTGGGCGACAGAGCATGACCCTGTCTCAAAAAAAACAAACCTAATTTCAAACATTCCTTCTCTTTGTAACTCACCTGTGCCACTACTCGGAAAGATACACAATGTTGTGAATTCCTGCAGGGGGGATTCTGCTCTGTTAGTGAATGTTTCCTCACTGCTGGCTAGGGAATTCATCTGAAGTTGCTTGCCATTCCACCATCTTCCAGCTCCTAAAATGCTGGTGTTATTGTGTCCGGAATTTAGTCCTTCTGGTGGGTTCTTGGTCTTGCTGACTTCAGGGATGAAGCCGTGGACCTTCATGGTGAGTGTTACAGCTCTTAAAGATGGTTTGTCTGTAATTTGTTCCTTCAGATGTTCGGATGTGTCCGGAGTTTCTTCCTTCCAGTAGGTTCGTGGTCTCGCTGACTTCAGGAGTGAAGCTGCAGACCTTCGCAGTGAGTGTTACAGCTCTTAAAGGTGGTGTGTCTGGAGTTATTTGTTCCTTCTGGTGGGTTTGTGATCTCGCTGACTTGAGGAATGAAGCCACGGACCCTCACGGTGAGTGTTACAGCTGATAAAGGCAGTGTGGACCCAAAGAGTGAGCAGCAGCAAGATTTATTGTGAAGAGCAAAAGAACAAAGCTCCCACAGCGTGGAAGGGGACCCGAGTGGGTTGCCGCTGCTGGCTGTAGTGGCCAGCTTTTATTCCCTTATTTGGCTCTGCCCACATCCTGCTGATTGGTCCATTTTACAGAGTGCTGATTGGTCCATTTTACAGAGTGATTGGTGCTGATTGGTGAGTTTACAATCCTTTAGCTAGACACAGAGCGCTGAGTGGTGCATTTACAATCCTTTAACTGGACACAGAGTGCTGATTGGTGCATTTTTACAGAGTGCTGATTGGTGCATTTACAATCCTTTAGCTAGACAGAAAAGTTCTCCAAGTCCCCACTCATCCCAGAAAGTCCAGCTGGCTTCACCTCTCATTATTGTCTCCTCTCCTACCCTCATCACTCTTGTGCTTTTCTACTTTAGAAACAAATAGGCTGGATGCAGTGGTTCCTGCCTGTAATCCCAGTACTCTGGGAGGCCGAGGCTGGAGAATCACTTGAGGCCTGGAGTTTGATACCAGCCTGTAAAACATAGCAACACCCCTATGGCTATCAAAAATTAAGAAATTAAAAAATAACAAGGGAAACTCCTGTTACTGTGGTTTTAGAGGGGTTTGAGATGGAACATAGCTAACTACTGGTATTAAAACCAACATTTTAAACCAGCCTCTTTTTTTGAGATGGAGTCTCATTCTGTCACCAGGCTGAAGTGCAGTGGTGCAATCTCGGCTCACTGCAACCTCCACCTCCCAGGTTCAAGTGATTCTCCTGCCTCAGCCTCCCGAGTAACTGGGACTACAGGCATGTGCCACCACACCCAGCTAATTTTTGTATTTTTGGTAGAGACGAGGTTTCACCATGTTGGCCAGGATAGTCTCGATCTCTTGACCTTGTGATCCACCTGCCTTGGCCTCCCAAAGTTCTGGGATTACAAGTGTGAGCCACTGTGCCCGGCCTTAAAGCAGCCTTTATGTACAATTTTATATTTCCTTTAAAAATTTTTTATTTAGTATTGTAGTATAATCATTTCCCTGTGTGATTAAAAATGTAATGTTGACCAAAAGAGTCAAACTCTGTAAAATATTTGAAGAGATTTATTCTAAGCCAAATATGAGTGACCATGGCCCATAACACAGCCCCCAGGAGGTCCTGAGAACATGTGCCTAAGGTCAGTGTACAGCTTGGTTTTATACATTTTAGGGAGGCATGAGGCATCAATCAAATACATTTAAGAAATACATTGGTTTGGTTCAGAAAGGTGGGACAATTCAAAGCAGGGTGGAGGGCTTCCAGGTTATAGGTAAATTTAAACATTTTCTGATTGACAATTGAGTTTGTCTCAAGACCTGGAATCAATAGAAAGGAATGTCTGGGTTGTGATAAGATGTGGAGGCTGGGCACGGTGGCTCACGCCTGTAATCCCAGCATTTTGGGAAGCCAAGGCAGGCAGATCACCCAAGGTCAGGAGTTCGAGATCAGGCTGGCCAACATGGTGAAACTCCGTCTCTACTAAAAGTACAAAAATTAGCCAGGCGTGGTGGTGCATGCCTGTAATCCCAGCTACTTGGGAGGCTGAGGCAGGAGAATTGCTTGAACCCAGGAGGCAGAGGTTGCAGTGAGCCGAGATTGCACCACTGCACTCCAGCCTGGGCAACAGAGTGAGACTCTGTCTCAAAAAAAAAAAAAAAAAAAAAAAGGCCAGGTGCGGTGGCTCATGCCTGTAATCCCAGCACTTTGGGAGGCTGAGGCAGGCAGATCACAAGGTCAGGATATCGAGACCATACTGGCTAACACAGTGAAACCCCGTCTCTACTAAAAATACAAAAAATTAGCTGGGTGTGGTCGCGGGCGCCTGCAGTCCCAGCTACTCGGGAGGCAGAGGCAGGAGAATGGCGTGAACCCGGGAGGCGGAGCTGGCAGTGAGCCGAGATCACACCACTGCACTCTAGCCTGGGCAACAGAGCAAGACTCCATCTCAAAAAAAAAAAAAAAAAAAACAGTTGTGGAGACCAAAGTTTTATCATGCAGATGAAGCTTTTAGCTAGCAAGCTTCAGAGAATAGGTTGCAAAGTGTTTCTTTTCAGACTTAAAGTCTGTGTTGAGTTTAATGCTGGAGAGGTATAATGAAGCATGTTTGATCCCCTACTTCACATCATAGCCTGAAACAGTCTCTCAGGTTACATTTCAAGATCCCTGGTTGAGGAGGAAGTCCATTCAGATGGTTGGGGGGCCTTCAAATTTTATTTTTGGTTTACACTAATAACATCATTTCAGTTGCTACTTATAGTCCACTGTCCTTTTTTTCTTTTGAAGGGGAACAGGGTCTGGCTTGTTGCCCAGGCGGAGTACAGTGGTATGATCATAGCTCACTGCATCCTTAAACTCCTGAGCTCAAGCCATCCTCCCGCCCTGGCCTCCCAAGTAGCTGGGACTACAGGTGCATGCCCAGCCATCATTGTCCTTTCTTAATAATTTCATGGACATTGGGCTTCTTTCCAGTTTTTCCCAGTTATAAATAATACTGTAATAAACATCTTTGTGTAAGTAGAAAACTGTGTCCTCATTTTAGGTTATGTGAACCCTGAATATCTGAGACAGGTCTCAGTTAATTTAGAAAGTTTATTTTGCCAAGGTTGAGGAGGTGCACCTGTGACACAGCCTCAGGAGGACCTGATTTTCATGTGCGTCCGTGTGAAGAGACCACCAAACAGGCTTTGTGTGAGCAATAAAGCTGTTTATTTCACCTGGGTGCAGGCAGGCTGAGTCCGAAAAGAGAGTCAGCAAAGGGAGATAGGGTTGGGGCCGTTTTATAGGATTTGGGTAGGTAAAGGAAAAAGGGGGGTTGTTCTCTGGCGGGCAGGAGTGGGGGTCACAAGGTGCTCAGTAGGGGAGCTTTTTGAGCCAGGATGAGCCAGGAAAAAGAATTTCACAAGACAATGTCATCAGTTAAGGCAGGAACAGGCCATTTTCACTTCTTTTGTGGTGGAATGTCATCAGTTAAGGCAGGAACCAGCCATCTGGATGTGTACGTGCAGGTCACAGGGGATATGAAGGCTTAGCTTGGGCTCAGAGGCCTGACACTGATGACATGTGCCCACTGTGGTCAGGCCACAGCTTGGTTTTATACATTTTAGGGAGACACGAGACATCATTCAATATGTGTAAGAAGTACATTGGTTCTCTCCAGAAAGGTAGGACAACTTGAAGCAGGGAGGGAGGCTTCCAGGTCACAGGTAGGTGAGAGAAAAATGGTTGCATTCTTTTGAGTTTCTGATTAGCCTTTCCAAAGAAGGCAATCAGATATGTATCTATCTCAGTGAGCAGAGGGAAGACTTTGAATAGAATGGGAGGCAGGTTTGCTCTAAGCAGTTCCCACCTTGACTTTTTCCCTTTACCTTAGTGGTTCTGGGGCCCCAAGATTTATTTTCCTTTCAGTTATTTCTTTCGGATAAATTTTCCAGAAGGGGAAATATTATGTGAAACAGGGGAGAAAATGAAGACAGACGAAAGAAGAACAAGGAAGTCCTCAGAGGAGGAGGTCTACACCAGTCTCAAACAGCTGCCCCAGCATCACCTGGAGGGCTTCTTAGAACAGTCTGCAGGTCCATCCCCAGAGGAAGTCTGGGGTGAGTCCAATGATAATTTACATTATTAACAAATTCCAAAACCTTTGCTGAAGCTATTGTTCCCGGAACCAGGCATGGGAACAGGTTGGAGTTAAGAATACATGAAACTGCAGAGGTGTTCGTAGGTGGAACCTCGGTGGGAAATTGTACCTTTATTTCCTATCAGAGTAGGAGGTGGGATCCCTGGCCAAAAGAGAAGCAGGAGGGGGCAAATACATGATGAAAGGAGTGAATGGTTTGGATAAGCCTCAGCAGGATTTAAGGAAGGAACTGGTACACAAAAATTATGAGAACCCATTGTTTTGGACTAGGCTTCTGCACTAGGCCTCAACAGACCAGACCACACCAAAATGGAGTCACTCATGCTAAATGTCACATAATCAGACTGAAACCAAGGTAGCAGGTAGATTCGAAAACGGTTTTTTACCCTGGAAACAGGACATTCCAGCCTACCTGAATCAGCATATTCAGGAGGTCCTCTTTGCCTTAATCTTTACAAAAAAGTAACCAGAAGTTAACCAATCAGCTTTTTTTTTTTAATTGTTCTGTTTCCTTCCTTGTTCCCACCTTACAAAACTGGCTGTTCTGCCATTGCCCAGTGGGAGCTCTCATTCTGTTTTATAGAATGGAACCTGCCTTGATTCATGAATCACAAATAAAAGCCAATTAGATCTTTAACTAAACTTGCTGTAATTTTGTCTTTGGACAGAACTGATCTGAAATCCTATAAAGCGCTGAATAGAAGAATTGAGAATCCAGCCTAAATTAGACATCATAAATTGAGTGTAATATTAGCCTTCATTGTCATGTAATTTTTTTCCAACAGCTCTCAGCTGCCAGAGAAGGCCTGGGTAGAGGTTGTGGGGGAATGGCACAGCAGCACAGAGAGTAAAGGGCTAGTAGTTGGAGAGAGGTAGGTTTTCTTTAACTGTAAAGCAGCCCTCGAGGAAGTGAGGCAGAGGGCCAGGAGTTTGACGTTGAGTGGTGTCATTAGAGTTGACCATTAGGCAAATGGAGCTGTTCTCAGGTGTGACAGGAATTTGGCCATCTTTAGAATCTTTAGAATCACATTAAGGAAGTCTGAAGGCAAGCTGTTGGATGGGTCATTTGCACGGGCTCTAAAATTCTTGAGGATAATGACAAATCCCTGGTAATCTGCTGGTTGATGAATGAGATCAATGCAAAGGGATGTGGAATTGAAGGCAGAGGCAGTGGGAGCTTCAGAAGGCTTTTGCCTGAAAATGAGAGACTGATGAACTGAACTGAGCCATAAAGCAATAGGAGAATTCATGACCTGTCTTCTCATTCATGGTGGGTGAGGTGTGGGGAGCTGAAGGGTGTCACCTAGAGACCCTGGAGTTCCCCAGGCCATCTCGATTAGGGGCTGGGCCTTACAAAGATACAGGTGATGAAAGCTGCAGTGAAGGCCATTTTGCTAGAGGCCTGGAGGATAACAAGAGTTCTTGCAGGAAAGCCTAAAGTCTGCAGAATTGTTATGGTACATAAGAAACCTAAATGGTTCTCAGTGAGGATGAAGGCTCACCAGGACAAGGCAAATGCACATTTGTGACCATAAGTAATTCCTATCGAGCAGAAGCTGCTAGGTGGCTACTGTGCTCTTCCACCTTCCAGGATCACAACCACTCTCAGTGCCCCATGCAGCCACCTCAGGTCAGAGTTTGTGCTCAGAATCAACACTCCATCATTCTTGTGCTAGGCATCGGAATACTCAGTCCCTGTTTTCAAGAGTCTTAGTGACTGGAGCCAGAACAGTCTAGGAGACAAAACACTCTTTAAGGGAGCTTGGGAAAGCATCCCCTAAGTCTAAAAAGAGTGATTTAAAAATGCTCAGGCTTTTGAGTGCTCTCACCACAAAGAAATGTGAATGCATGAGGTGATAGATAAGCTAAATACCCTGATTTGATCATTAGACAACAGATATATGTGTCAAAACTTCAAATGTTACCCCACGAATAAGTACAATTACAATTTTTTTTTTGAGACAAGATCTGGCTCTGTCGCCCAGGCTGGAGTGCAGCGGCACGATCTTGGCTCCCTGCAACCTCCACCTCCCGGGTTCAAGCAATTCTCATGCGTCAGCCTCCCGAGAGCTGGGACTATAGGCGTGCGCCACCACGCCCGGCTAACTTTTTATTTTTAGTAGAGATGGAGCTTCGCTACGTTGGCCAGGCTGCAATCTGTCAATTAAAAAAAAAAGCCGTCTCAGAACACGTTTCTTTTTTGAAGCAAAAGCTGTTTGAGATAGGCATTTCCTTGGAAGGAAGTTGTCAAAATGCAAATCACCCACTCAAGACAAAAGTACCTATTGTTTCTCTTTGGCTGCTGTTTCTAGCCTACTTTGTGTGAAGAGGAGTTAGCCAGGGGCTGAGTGTGTGGCAGCCAAGCAAATAAGCCACACCCCTGTCACAAGTCCTGTGAGGGGAGACTGATTTGGGTAATAATAACACTGTGATCTTCCACACAGCCAGCTCTGCATGAATTACTCTTTCTCTATTGCAATTTCCATGTCTTGAGAAATTGGCTCTGTCCAGGCAGCAGGAAGGTGGACCCACTGGGTGGTTACAGAAGTACCAAGACAAAAGAAAAGGACTTGGAGTTTCCAGGGGTGACAAATTGCGAGAAGGCAAATACATGGGGGAAACTGGTGGGGCAAGGTTTGTTTCTGCAGATCCATTTTAGCATCAACTCTTTGTGGTCTTCATGGCCATAAAACTGAATAATATTAAACAAGACAACAATTGTCTGTGAGTGACACAATGTCTTAAAACCTCCCTGGGAGAGGGGATTTATGGAAATCCTCATTTTTCAGAAGTGTCTGCTTTTGGTCAGATAAGTAAAGGTCCAAAAGGCTTCTTTCAGCCTCCGTAACTGATATGGACAGGAGGCAGGGAAATACTGGGTAGAAGAGGGCAGTTCCCCAGCAAAGGCCCCACCCTCAAGCCTGGAAACCCATGGCCCTAAATGGGAACAGACATTCCTCTTTTCAGTTCAAAGGTTGCCTTTTCCAAGACCACTATGGCTCACTACGCCCCTATCCTGTGCTTATATAAATCCCAAGCTCCACAAGCAGGTACAGAAGACCAGAAGAGTGGCAGAGCAGCGTAGCAGAGAAGAGAAGAAGAGAAAGAGCATCTGAATGTCAAGAGGAGTTTGGCTGGGGACAGTTGGAGAAGAGATTGGTGGGGGGACAGCTGAACTCCAGGGGAAGATCATCTTCCCACTCCATTCTCTTTCCAGATCCCCATCCATCCCACTGAAAGCCACCTCCATCACTCAGTAAAATCCTTGCATTCACCATCCTTCAAGTCCGAGTGACCTGATTTTTCCTGGACACTGGACAAGGCCCCAGATACCAAGGTGGCAGGATGTAAAAGGCTGTCACTCTGACTCTCCATTGAGCTGGTTTAACAGTCATCTGTGGATAGTAACTGCTAAAAAAGCATTAATTGTAACATAGCTCTAGACGCTACCATGGGGCCGGAGCCCAAAAGTGCTTGCCCTGGCTCCTGCACCTGCCTGTCTGCATGCCCCCCATCCTGTAAGGGGTTTGAGTGTGTGTGGCAGCCAAGCAAATAAGCCACACCCCTGTCACAAGTCCTGTGAGGGGATCAGGGTAAGGGAGGATACCACCCCTCATATTGTCTTATGCCCAATTTCTGCCTCCAAAGAAAGAAAAAGTAAAAACTAAAAGGCAGAAATGAAATCCACAAGCAGACAGCCCGGCGCCACACCCTGGGCCTGGTAGTTAAGATTGACCCCTGACCTAATCGGTTATGTTAACTATAGATTCCAGACATTGTATAGAAAAGCTCTGTGAAAATCCCTATCCTGTTTTGTTCCGATCTACTTACCGGTGCATGCAGCCCCCAGTCACGTACCCCCTGCTTGCTCAATCGATCACGACCCTCTCACCCACACCCCCTTAGAGTTGTGAGACCTTAAAAGGGGCAGGAATTGCTCACTCGGGGAGCTCGGTTCTTGAGACAGGAGTCTTGCCGATGCCCCCGGCCGAATAAACCCCTTCCTTCTTTAACTCGGTGTCTGAGGAGTTTTATTTGTGGCTCGTCCTGCTACAAGGGAACTCTCCCATTTTGTAACCGCCCAGTGGGTTCACCTTGCCTGCTGCCTAGACAGAGCTGATTTCTCAAGACAGGGGAATTGCGATAGAGAAAGAGTAATTCATGCAGAGCTGGCTGTTCAGGAGACCAGAGTTTTATTATTACTCAAATCAGACTCCCCAGTATTTGGGGATCAGAAGTTTTTTCTTTTTTTCTTTTTTGACAGACTCTTGCTCTGTCACCCAGGCTAGAGTGCAGTGGCACAATCCTGGCTTACTGCAACCTTCACCTCCTGGGTTCAAGCAATTCTCCTGCTTGAACCTCAGCCTCCTGAGTAGCTGGGATTACAGGCATGCGTCAGCACTCCCAGCTGATTTTTTTGTATTTTTAGTAGAGAGGAGATTTCACCATGTTGGTCAGGCTGGTCTTGAACTCCTGACCTCAAGTGATCTGCCCGCCTCAGCCTCCCAAAGTGTTGGGATTACAGTCACGAGCCACTGCGCCCGGCTGGGGATCAGAGTTTTAAGGACAATTTGGTGGGTGTGTGTGTGTGGGCTGGGGTGCGGGGGTGGGTGGGGGGAGCAGACAGTGAGCCAGGAGTGCTGATTGATTAGGTAGGTAGGAGATAAGATCATAGGGAATTGAAGCTGTCCTCTTGTGCTGAGTCAGTTCCTGGGTGGGGGCCACACGATCAGATGAGCCAGTTCATTGATCTGGGTGGTCCCAGCTGACCCATCAAGTACAGGGTCTGCAAAATATCTCAAGGACTGATCTTAAAAGCAGTTTAGGGAGGATTGGAATCTTGTAGCCTCCAGCTGCATGACTCCTAAACCATAATTTCTATTCTTGCAGCTAATTTGTTAGTCCTACAAAGGCAGTCTAGTCCCCGGGCAAGAAAGAGGTTTGTTTTGGGAAAGGGCTTTTATTGTCTTTGTTTTAAACCATAAACTAATTTATTCTCTTATTATTGATTCAGCTTATACCCAGGAATGAACAAGGACAGCTTGGAGGTTAGAAGCCAGATGAGTTGGTTAGGTCAGATCTCTTTCATTGCCTCAGCTACAATTTTGCAATGGCGGTTTCATATCTGTTGATTCTCATTTGTTTCCAGCTCAAAACAATCTTTATGTCAAAGTCACACATTTGGGAGTAGCATTTTTCGATCCCCTACATCTACCCTACATGGGTTGCTCGGGAAATGTGACCCATTCCATAGCCAGCCTTGGGAAAGCAAAAAAAGAAATTGAAGCAATAGAGGATTATGGATGGTAGAATTTTAAGAAGAAAAGAAAAGCAGGCTGAGTCACTGGCAAGAACAAAGAAATAAAGACTAATAAATGGCCTGGGCTGAAAATCATGAGTTTGTATTCAATATTTGATGAAAAGTCATTGAGGAATTGCAAACAGGGGAACTATACAGTCACATGTGTGTAATCAAGGCCAGGGAGAGGTTGGGTTGGGTGGGTGGGTTGTGGTGGTGGGAGTGAGACAAGAGGCAGGGAGATGATTTAGCTTCTTAGTCCATCTCCTTTGTTCTTTGTCCATCTTTGTTTCTCTCTCCGTCTCTAAGAGCCTTGAGAGGCCTAGTCCAGAAGTTTATTTTTCCTCCCAGAATGTGTGAGATTGTGTGGATTAATTTCTCCTTTTTATAGCTGTCAAAAACGAGAGTAACAAACCCAGCATTTTTTTTTTTTTTTTTTTTTTTTTACTAAATCAAAAGATCACTTAGTAGGTTTTAACGAAAAGGAGATTGTTACAAATAGTACAACCAGGAAACTCTCAGTTGGCTGTCTTGGCATCCCCTGGTATTCCTTAACTGAACTCATTCAACATTTAGGATATACAGGCCACCACACAAAGATGACAGCTATGAATTAGACAGACAGGGTCTTTGCTTTTCTGGAGTTTACATTCTAGGTAGGGGTGTGTGTGTGTGTGTGTCTCTCTCTCTCTCTCTCTCTGTGTTGGGTACTGTAGGCGAAATGTTATAAACATATAACTATAAAAATTTCAGATTCTGAAAGGAACTGTGGTGAAAATAAATAGAAACGCAGAGTGTCTCAGTCCGTTTTGGTTTTGTTTGGATTTTTTCAGAGACAGGGTCTCACTACATTGCCCAGGCCGGTCTTGAACTCCTGGGCTCAAGTGATCCTCTCAGCTTGGCCTCCCAAAGGGCTGGGATTAAAGGCATGAGCCACCACACCTGGCCCACTTTGTTTTGTTATAACAGAATACCTGAGACTGGGTAATTTATAATGAACATAAATTTATTTGGCTCACAGTCCTGGAAGCTGGGAAGTCCAAGATCAAGGAGCCGTATCCGCTGGGAGCATTCTTGTTGCATAACACGGTAAAAGGCATCACAGAGTAAGAGAGAGCAAGAGAGAGCAAGAGATAAAAGGAGACCAAACTCATCCTTTTATCCAGAGCCCACTCCCACAGTAAATAACCCACTCCTGCAATATCACCATTAATCCATGTGTGAGGGCAGAGCTCTCATGACCTAATCACTTCTTAAAGGTCCCACCTCTCAACACTACTGCATTGGGGATTAAGTTTCCAACACATGAACTTTGGAGAACACATTCAAACAGTAGCACTGAGGTAGAATATAATAGGATTTAGGGGAGACCACTCTGAAAATAATATAGGACCTAAGGGAGGTAACATTTAAACTTAGAAAGACTTAATGCTAAGAAAGAATCAGAGCACAAAGATCATTTCACGCAGACAGAATAGCACGCACAAAGGCCTCAAGGTAGTTTTGAGATGTTCCTGTGCCGACCACATTAATCAGGTGGCGCACTGGTATGAGATGGGGGAGGTGGGCAGAGGCCAGATCACGTAGTACCTGGGGCACTGGAAACCTGATAAAGGACTTTTTGAACAGGAACGCGACACAAACCAAGTTACTTTTCTAAAAATCTGCTCTGGCTTATGAAGTCACTGGAGCACTCAGAGTGATAATGGTGGTTTACACTAGAATGATAGTAGCAGAGAAAAGAAGTAGATGGATTTGCCATATTCATAGTCCTTCCTCATCCTCAGGGGATACATTCCAAGTTCCTCAGTGGATACCTGCAAATGCAGATAATATCAAACTCTATATATGCTTTTTTTAAAGACATGACTATAATAAAGTTTAATTATAAACTAGGCATAGTAAGTGATTAACAAGATTAACAAACAATAAAATAGAACTATTATAGTAATATGCCGGCACCACTACTCTTGCACTTTGGAGCCATTATTAAGTAAAGAAGAGTTACTTGAACACAAGCACTACAATACGTCCAGTTGACCTGATGATTGATCTGATAACTGAGATGGCTACTAAGTGGCTCACAGGTGGGTAGCATACATAGCAAAATATATATGCATCCAGGGATGATTCATGTGCTGGGTGGGATGGAGTGAGACAGCACAAGACTTTCTTATGCTACTCAGAATGGCACACGATTTAGACGATTCTCACTCACTGTCCCTTCAGTCCAAGGGACCAGGGCTCAGGAGCCATGACCTGGTGTCTCCTGCCCACCCTGGTCCCAGGTAAATGTGAATGGAAACAGGTATGAGAGCCTGTCCTCCTTTTTGGTTCCCCCCAGCCCCACCCCAGGCCTCACGATGGTGCTACCTGAAAAAGCCTTCCTCCCCACCCCCCACTAGCCTGGTCAGTGGTCAGTGAATTGGAAGAGGATCTGATGGGAGTGTAAATGTGAGACAACAATGTCTTGATTGTACCTGTTTGTAGTTTAGCTTTGTATTTAAACAAACAAGCAAGGAAATAAACTTGAAAATTATTTGTCATCATAAAAATGAAACAAAAATTAAAATATTTATTGCCAGGCCAAAAAAAACGTATAAACTGTTTCTTTCTGGAATTTTCTATTTAATATTTTCAAATTGAGGTTAACTGTGGGTAACTAAGACTGTGGAAAGCAAAACTGAGGATAAGGAGGAACTACTGTATCTTAGAAGCAGAATCAACAGTATTTGGTGACAGATTAGATGTGAAACATAAGAAACAGAGAGAAATTGGCCGGGCGCGGTGGCTCACACCTGTAATCTCAGCATTTTGGCAGGCCGAGGCAGGTGGATCACGAGGTCAGGAAATCAAGACCATCCTGGCTAACACGGTGAAACCCCGTCTTTACTAAAAATACAAAACATTAGCCAGGGGTGGGGCAGCTGTAGCCCCACCTACTCGGGAGGCTGAGGCAGGAGAATGGTGTGAACCTGGGAGGCAGAGCTTGCAGTAATCCAAGATCGCGCCACCGCACTCCAGCCTGGGCGACAGAGTGAGACTCCATCTCAAAAAAAAAAAAAAAAAAAAAAAAGCAGAGAGAAATTAAGAATAATGCTTAGGTTTTTGGTTTAAGCAACTGGGTAAATGATAATGCCATTTATTGCAGTGGAAAAGATTTGGAGACAAGTAGATGTAAGGAGGGAATCAACAGTCCCATTATTGATATGTTACATTCAAAGTGACATCAAGTTGCTTATTAAACATATGAATTTGGCATTCAGAGGAAAAGTCTTGGCTGGAGACATGTAATGGTAGTAATAGGCTGGGCACGGTGGCTCACGCCTGTAATCCCAGCACTTTGGGAGGCCGAGGTGGGCAGATCACCTGAGGTCAGGAGTTCGAGACCAGCCTGGCCAACATGGTGAACTCCCGTCTCTACTAAAAACACAAAAATTAGCCAGATGTGGTGGCAGGCGCCTGTAATCCCAGCTACTTGGGAGGCTGAGGCAGGAGAATGGCTTGAACCCGGGGGGTGGAGGTTGCAGTGAGCTGAGATCGTGCCATTCGCCATTGCACTCCAGCCTGGGAGAAAAGAGCGAGACTTCGTCTCAAAAAAAAATGATAATTATTATTATTATAGTAATGGCACTAATAGCACACAGTGGCATCACTGCCTTTGGTTCAGACAGTCTGTCCTCAAAAACAGTTAAAGTCACATCTTTGCTAATTCAAGAATGTCATCCCTCGTGCCATCTTTCACTTAATCCCCATATTCTGTAGGCAATCACTATTCTGATTTTTATCACCATTGTTTCATTTTGCCTTTTCTAATGTACTGTTTTTCTTTCTTTTCTTTTCTTTTTTTTTTTTTTTTTGAGACAGAGTCTCACTCTGTCTCCCAGGCTGGAGTGCAATGGCACAATCTTGGCTCACTGCAACCTCCACCTCCCTGGTTCAAGTGATTCTCCTTGACTTACAGGCACCCACCACCACACCCAGCTAATTTTTGTATTTTTAGTAGAGATGGGGTTTCACCATGTTGGCCAGGCTCGTCTCAAACTCCTGACCTCAGGTTATCCTCCCACCTCAGCCTCCCAAAGTGCTGGGATTACAGGCATGAACCACCGCACCAGGCGCTCTAATGTACTTTTATCATCATTCAGTACAAAATATTTTTCCCCTTATAATTTATGACTCATGGATTATTTAATTGTGTGCTGTTTAATTTCCAAATATTTGAGACTTTTCTAGATATCTTAATAGTATTGATTTCTAACTTAATTCCCTGTGGTTAAGAAATATGCACAATTAGAATTTCTTTTGAAATTTATTAAGATTTATTTCTGACCTAACACATGGTATGGTATATCTAGATGAATGTTCCATTTGCACTTGAAAATAATGTATATTTTGCTATTCTATAGTTACTGGGTGAAATGTGTTATAAATATCAATTGAGTAATTAAAGTTTCTTGATTGTGATTTTCAAATTCTTCAAATTCTGTTTGTTTGTTTACTTTTTTTTTGAGACAGGGTCTCACTCTCTTGCCCAGGCTGGAGTGCAGTGGCGTGATCATGGCTCAGTGCAGCCTTGAATTCTGGGTTCATATAATCCTCCTACCTCAGCCTCCCAAGCAGCTGCAACTATAGGTGTGCACCACTACACTTGGCTAATTTTAAAATTTTTTGTAGAGACAGGGCTTCTCTATATTGCCATTTAGGACTGAAAGATCTTCCTGGTGACTTAACCCTTTTATCATTATAAAATGTGTCTGTTTGTTTCTGATAATACTTTCTGGTTTTGAAGCTTAATTTGTCTGGCATTAATATAGCCTCTCTTACTTTTTTATACTTACTGTCTACCTGGTATATCTTTCCTTATCCTTTTATTTTCAACCTATGCCTTTCCATTTAAAGTGGGCCTCTTTTAGACAGCACACAGTGGGTCTTCCTTTTTTTCTGAGATAGAGTCTCACTCTGTCACCCAGGCTGGAGCGCAGTGGTACGATCTCAGCTCACTGTGACCTCCACCTCCCGGGTTCAAGCAATTCTCCTGACTCAGCCTCCTGAGTAGCTGGGACTACAGGCACACACCACCACATCTGGCTAATTTTTGTATTTTTAGTAGAGACGGGGTTTTACCATGTTGACCAGGCTGGTCTCAAACTCCTGACCTCAGGTGATCCACGCCGCCTTGGCCGCTGAAAGTGCTGGGATTACAGGCGTGAGCCACTGTGCCTGGCCTGGGTCTTCCTTTTTGATTCAGTCTATAGTCACAGCCTTTTAATTGATGTGTTTAATACATTTACATCTGATATAATTATCAGTATGTTGAATTAAATTCTACTATTTTGTTCTTTGTTTTCCAATTGTCTCAAATATTTTTTGTTCCTTTGTTTCTCCTTCCCATCCTTATTTTTGGTAAGTCAAATATTTTTAGTACTCAATCTTAGTTGCTTGATTGGCTTTTTAACTATACCTCTTGTATTATTTTCATACTTGCTTTAGGGATTACAATATGGATTCTTAATTTATTAGTACATTCTGAGTTAATATTGTACCACTTCACATAAAATTGAGAACCTGGTAATAGTATAATTTTGTTTACTTTCCTCATTATTTTTGTTATTGTTGTCATATATACTTTTTATAGGTTTTATATTATGTTAAAATCCCATAATACAATATTATTTGCTTTCAGCAATCAGTTGCTTTCTAAAAGAAATTAAGAAAGAAAAAAAGTCAGGGTATGGTGGCTCATGCCTATAATCCCAGCACTTCGGTAGGCTGAGAAAAGAGGATCACTTGAGGCCAGTAGTTTGAGACCAGCCTGGGCAACACAGCCAGACCCTGTCTCTACAAAATAAAAAAAAATTAGCCAGGCCTGGTGGTGTGTGCCAGAAGTCCCAGCTATTTGGGAGGCAGAGGCAGGAGAATCACTTGATCTAAGAAGTTCAAGGCTACAGTGAGCTATAATGGCACCACTGTACTCCAGCCTGGGTGACAGAGTGAGACTTTGTCTCTAAAGAAAGAAAGAATGAAAGAAAAAAGTTAGCCCTTTCTATTTATCTGCACATTTATCATTTCTTATACTCTTTCTTCGCTCAGTAGATCCAAATTTCATATAATGTCATTTCTTTCAGCCAAACTCTTTATTTTTTTGTACTATATGTCTACTGTTGATGAGTTTTATCACCCTGATATTTCAAAACGTCTTACCTTATGCCCCATTTTTGATGATACCTTCACTCCATATTGAGTTTTTGCCAGAGATTTTTTCCCCTAGCGTTTTTAAAGATGTTGTTTCATCACCTCTGGCCTCCGTTGCTTCAGATGAGAAGCTGGCAGTCCTTCTTAATGTTGTTCCCCTGTATGTAATGTGTTTTTCTTTCCCTCTGGCTGCTTTCAAGAAATTCTTTTTCTCAGCTGGGTGCAGTGGCTCACACCTGTAATCTCAGCACTTTGGGAGGCTGAGGCGGGCAGATCACCTGAGATCAGGAGTTTGAGACTAGCCTGGCCAACATGGTGAAACCCCGTCGCTACTAAAAATACAAAAATTAGCTGGGCATGGTGGTGTGCACCTGAAATCCCAGCTACTCGGGAGGCTGAGGCAGGAGAATTGCTTGACTCCAGGAGACGGAGGTTGCAGTGAGCTGAGATTGAGCCACTGCACTCCAGCCTGAGCGACAGAGCAAGACTCTGTCTCAAAAAAAAAAAAAAAGAAAGAAAGAAAGAAAGAAAGAAATTCTTTTTCTCTTTGATTTCAGTAGTTTGACTATACTGTGATTAAGTGTCTTTTTCTTTGTATTTATTCTGCTTGGGTTTGCTGAGCTTTGTATATCTGTAAAGTGATATTTCTCACTAAATTTGGCAAAATTTCAGCCATTACAATTGTCCCTTCTTCTTTGCAGTCCCACTTTCCACAGTTTCAGCTACCTGCAGTCAACTAAGATTGGAAATATTAAATGGGAAATTTCAGAAATAAACAATATAAGTTTTAGATTGCATGCTATTCTCAGAGGCATGATGAAATTTTGCACCATCTCACTCCATTCTGCCTGAGAAATGAATTATCCTTTTGTCCAGCATATCCACGCTATATATATTACCTACTACTAGCTGTCTTGGTTATCAGATCTGTTATCATGATATTGCAGTGCTTATATTCAAGTAGTCCTTATTTGACTTAATAATGAGCCTAAAGTACAAGAGTAATGTGTTTAATTTATACATTCAACTTTATCATAGGTATTTATGTATAGGAAAAAGAGTGTATATATAGCATTAAGTACTGTCTTAGTTCATTTTCTGCTGCTATCACAGAATACCACAGACTGGGTAATTTATAAGGAACAGAAGTTTATTTGGCTCATGGTTCTGGAGGCTGGAAAGTCCAAGAGCATGGCACTGGCATCTGACAAAGTCATTCCAAGGTGGAAGGCATCACATGGTGAGCAAGCGAGAGAGAAAATCAGGCCAAACTTCTTCTTTCTATCAGGATCCCACTCCCACTCCTGCACTATTTATTTATGAGAGCAGAGCTCTCACAACCTAATTACTTCCTTAATGACCCACCTCTCAAGACTGCTGCACAGGGGATTAAGGTTCTAACATATGAACTTTGGAAAACATATTCAAACCATAGCAGGTACTATTCATGGTTTTAGGTACTACTGGGGGTCTTGGAACATATCCTCCAAGGATAAGGAGGAAGACTATTTTATTTATTCAAATTCTTTTCTGACTCATTTGTTCTCTGAGTTTTTTCTCCTTGGATGTCAATTACATGTATTTTAGTCTGTTTGATATTGTCTCATATGTCACTGAGTATTTGTTTTATTTTTAAAATTGATTTTTCTCTTTTCCTCAGATTGGATAATTTATACTGATCTGTCTTAAAGTTCTGACTCCTTCTTTGTGTTGATGAAAAGAGTCAAACTGTAAAATATTTGAAGAGATTTATTCTGAGCCAAATACAAGTGACCATGGCCTGTGACAGCACCCTCAGGAGGTCCTGAGAACATGTGCCCAAAGTGGTCGGGGTGCAGCTTGGTTTTATACATTTTAGAGAGGCATGAGACATCAATCAAATACATTTAAGAAATACATTGGTTTGGTCCAGAAAGGCGAGACAACTCAAAGCAGGGGGTCTTCCAGGCTACAGGTGAATTTAAACGTTTTCTGGTTGACAATTGGTTGTGTTTGTCTAAAGACCTGGGATTGATAGAAAGGGAATGTTCAGGTTAGGATAAAGATTGTAAAGATGAAAGTTCTTTTAAAGTCTTATAGTGGCTGCCTTTAGGGACAATAGATGACAAATGTTTCCTATTCAGATCTTAGTTAATCTCTTTAGGATTGGGAGGGTCTGAAAGAAAAAGATCTAACTACGTTAATAGAGATTCATTACAGGTGCAAATTTTCCCCCATGCAGAACAGCTTTGCAGGGCCATTTCAAAATATGGCAAAGAAACATGTTTTGGGGTAAAATATTTGGATTTTATTCCTCATCTCATAATAATTATTAATTTTTTTGAGAAGGAGTCTTACTCTGTTGCCCAGGCTGGAGTGCAGTGGTGCGATCTTGGCTCCCTGTGCAACCTCTGCCTCCTAGGTTCAAACAATTCTCCTGCCTCAGCCTCCCAAGTAGCTGGGACTACAGGCATGTGCCACCAGGCACAGCAATTTTAGTATTTTTAGTAGAGATGGGGTTTCGCCATGTTGGCCAGGCTGGTCTCAAACTCCTGACCTCAGGTGATCCACCCGCTTCGGCCTCCCAAAGTGCTGGGATTACAGGTGTGAGCCACTGCACCTGGCCACCTTGTCTCGTAATATTATGCTGGAGTCAGGTTGGAAAATAAATCATGATCTGTAGGGTTAAATAAAGCCCATCTGATGAGAATTTATGGTTTGTAGGGCATGACTCTCCTGACCCCTTAGACAGGAATTTGGGCAAAATAAAAATCAGAGTTTAGTCCTCATTTGACTATATGAAATCTCTTTGTCAGCTCACCCTGTACATTGTTTATTACAGCAATTGTACCTTTTATTTTAGAATTTCCAATTTATTTTTTCTTATAGTTTTCATTTCTCTGTTGATACTCCCCATCTGTCTACTCACTATGACTATCTTTTAAGTTCTTGAAACTACATATAATAGCTACTTTAAAATCCTTGTCTACCAATTACATCTGAGTCATCTTAGGGTATATTTTTATGTCACAATTTTTTTTCTTGAGTCTGGGTCAAATTTTCCTGTTTTTCCACATGTCTAGTAATTTCATATTTATAATGGACATCCTGGATGATACTTTGTAGAGACTCTGATTTCTGTTAGATTTCTCTGAAGAGTGTTGATATTTGTTCTGCAGACAATTAGGTTCCTGGCAGATCACCTTAACCTTGTGAAGTCTTGATTTTATGATTTTTCAGTGTGAGCCTATTCAAAGACCAAGGTGTTTACTGAGTCTCTTAACTATGCAGCGCTCAAACTCCTTCTCTCCTGCAGTAGATAGTAGCTGACATATCTGCTCAGTTCTCTCATCCTTTCAACTATTGCTTTCCAGTGGGCCCCTTGAAATAATTTCTGCACATGCACAGGTTGGGGGGTCAGCCAACTAGTTGACAGGAGTTTATATGCAGATTTGGGGACTCCCTCTTTCATGGCTTTTTTCTCAGATTTCACTTTAGATTTCTAGCCACTCTTGCAGCTCTGAAATCCCAGTCTTTGACACCTCCAGCAAATAAGACTGCATATTTCTACTTGAGTTCTAACTGCCCCATGCTGTAAAAATATAGGAAAATATGGATAAATGTAGATCCCATCAAATTAGTATGGTTCCCCTTATTTAACTTTGAAATCCCTTCTAATTTCTGCCTGCTTTTGGTCCCTCTCCAGTGTCTTAAAATAGTTGGTCACATTTTGTCCAGGATTTATCATCGTTTTCTGTGGGAGAGTTATCGTAGTACTAGCTACTCTGATGTTATCAACACCAGAACCCTCAGTTCTCTCTCTCTTTTTATAATGAGACAATAACAGTATATTTTAATTGGGATTTCATATTAAAATAGCATTATACTAGAACAATACAATAATAGTTTCAGATTTTAAAACAATTACAATTCTCCATTTCACCCTATATGCTACAGTAAACTTTTGGAAAGAACTTGTTTTATGTTCGTTTTCTCTCTCTCTCTCTCTCTCTCTCTCTCTCTCTCTCTCTCTCTCTCTCTCTCCCCCTCTCCCTCCCTCTCGGTAGATTGTATTTAATAAAATAAAATCTTAGGCCGGGTACGGTGGCTCAGGCCTGTAATCCCAGCACTTTGGGAGGCCGAGGGAGGTGGATCACGAGGTCAGGAGATCGAGACCATCCTGGCTAACATGGTGAAATCCTGTCTCTACTAAAAATACAAAAAGTTAGCTGGGCCTGGTGGCAGGCACCTGTGGTCCCAGATACTCAGGAGGCTGAGGCAGGAGAATGGCATGAACCCAGGAGGTGGAGCTTGCAGTGAGCCAAGATCGCGCCACTGCACTGCAGCCTGGATGACAGAGTGAGACTCCATCTCAAATAAAATAAAATAAAATAAAATCTTGATATATTTCATTTAATTCTCTTGTTGAATAACCTTTATAAAATGACTTTTAAATTTTTTATGTAGAATAAACATCAATCTAAAGTCAATTGATTGTTTAAATTTTGCCAGCAGTTGTTAGTTTAACCTTATTAGCCTGCAATGGTTATATACCTTATTCAAAATGTAAAAGGAAATATCAAACTTATCTGAAAGCACAATAAATATAGTTAATTCCACTTAGAGAAAATTAGATTTTGTACATTGTCAGACAAACAAAAAAATCAAACTTATTCAGAAGAATTTCTACCAAATATAAGCACCTTTTACTGCATTTTGCAGAATTTTATAAGTGCCACTGTTTTGATTATTTTAATTTACTTCCTATCATTGCAAATATGATATTCTCTATTCAAAGCATAATCAAAGGGAACATGGAGGTGAAGACAGAGCATAACTCACGGAATAGATTTTTTTTTTTTAACTATCCAATTCTAGTCATGCCTCCATTCTCTTTAATAGTATATTAGAATTTTTTTCTGTTGATACTTGAGTGTAACTTTGGACCATGCTCACTTTTCTCTTCTCCCTCTCTTCTTTTTTATGTTGTCAGTTTTCATTTAATCCTGTAAAAATCTTTCCAATTGTATCAAGGAGAAAGGCTCAGTCTGATATTAATGTTATTTAACATCGGATAGTTTTTGTTTTATCTACGACAGAACAGGTGTCAGACTTTGGAAGACAACAACATCTAATTAGAACCTAATTATGTTTTATATTACATTTATTTCTCTATAATTTTATTGATGCTAATTGCACTGCTTTTCTCATTGCAGCTATGATTTTCAATTACACACAAGTAAAAAATGTGAGTCAACTTAAAGAAAACTAATAAATAATAGTACAAGGATTGTACACTTATGGCAAAACATGAGACAACAGTGCTGGAATGACTGAAGTTAGGAAAATAGTGCTCAGTAACATACCTCCTCTGACCATGAGACGGTGGTGAATGGCAATCTAGAGTCAGGAAGAAAAGACAGGATAAGAAATACAGATTTGAGAATTCAAAAGCTTAACACCTTCAGTCCAGTGCCATTGTTAGAATCAGGTTTTACAACTTTAATGTGAAAGGTTGTTGAGAATACAGCCATTCTAAGAGGTTCTATCTTTGGTCCCCTGAGATGTTTTTATCCTTATAGGTTGTTAAATTTTGTAAGATTCACTATAACATGCTCAATTCCACTTCTGATTTATGTTTTATATTTGATTTTTTGCTTTCTATTTCTAACCATTGTGAAGATAGCTTTAAAATAGCTCTGTAAGTTCATTTGTTTGAATGTCTCTGATGAAAACTTCTTCAATTTCAGAAATCTCTATTGTTACCTTTCTTTTTTTTTTTTAATCATTGATCTTGATCCTGAAGAGACTTATAAAATTTTCTTTTAAGTCATCTGACTCTAGTCCTGGATCAGGTCAATATCACCTGAAAACTAACACTTCTGTTATCCAAAGAATATAAAGAAAATAAACCCCCAGGGAGAAAGCACTGGCTAAAGATTAGAAGAAGGGGACATCAGGATGATAATCCAATTTAATCAGCTATCTTTTTTCCAAACTGTCTGCTACCAATCCTTTCTACCCTGGCCTTTCAAGGGCTGATATGACAACCTGGTGCTAATACTTATTTATATATTGAAGGCACAGTTTTATTTTCTTAAGCAACTAGGTTTTTGTCAGTTTACTATGGAGTAACTTGCTCTTTGATCTATTTTGAAGGATGTGACCAAATAAAAAATTCCCAATAATTATGTAAAGGGCTTGGCATCATGGACACATGTCCAACTGCATTTTTTTTTTTTTTTTTGGCTGGTGGTACACTAAAGTTGAATTACAGCTAAGACACTGACTTTGAAACACTTAAATAACAAATACTTTTGATGAGAAGTCAGTGGTCATTTGTATTGTAATTTGCTGTTTATAATGTATTGATTTTTAAAAATTGTTTTTAAGATTTTTCTCTCATCCTTGCTTTTTAGAAAATTTACAAAGACACTACAGATGTGGTTTACTTGGTATTTGTTCTGCTTGGGGTTCAATGAGCTTCTTGAATCTACAAACTTGAAAGTTTTTCAGCTGTTATTTCCACAAATGTTTTTTCTTTTTTCTTTTCTTTTCTTTTTTTTTTTTTTTGTTTTTTTTTTTGAGACGGAGAGTCTTGCTCTGTCGCCCAGGCTGGAGTGCAGTGGCTCGATCTCGGCTCACTGCAAGCTCCATCTCCTGGGTTCACGCCATTCTCCTGCCTCAGCCTCCCGTGTAGCTGGGACTACAGGCGCCCACCACCACACCCAGCTACTTTTTTGTATTTTTGGTAGAGACATGGTTTCACCGTGTTAGCCAGAATGGTCTCGATTTCCTGACCTTGTGATCCACCCGCCTCGGCCTCCCAAAGTGCTAGGATTACAGGCGTGAGCCACCGTGCCCAGCCCACAAATGTTTTTTCTATTCCATTCCTTCCTCCCAGGACTCTAATTAGTCATATGTTAGAAATGTTTATATTGCCCCTTAGGTCACTAAGCCCCATTTCTATTGTCTTTCTTTTCCCACTTCCCAATCTTTTTTCTCTCTGTTCTTGAAATTTGATAATTTCTAATGATCTGTCTTTATGTTCACTTATTCTTATAACCTCTCTAGTCTTCTATTAAGACCATCCATTAAATATTTTGTTTTGGTTCTTCATTTTTTAGCTCTAGAATTTCCTTCTCCTTCCCCTTCCCCTTCCCCTTCCTTTCCTTCTTTCATAGAAGTGATCTTTCCTCCTTCACCTCCCAAAGTGCTGGGCTGGGATTATAGGCATGAGCCACCATGCCTAGCCTCAGCTCTAGAATTTCTGTTTGATTTTTAAAAATACTTGTGATTTCTGTGTTGATATGTCCTATTTGTTTATTAATTATAGGATATTGTCCTTTATGCTCTTGAACATAGTTTTAATAGCCATCTTAAAAATCTTTGCTAACTCAGTATAGGTGAAATCTTCTGGTCAGCCTGCAATGATTGCTTATGAGTTACAATTTCTTTTTCTTCCTAAGTCTAGTAATTTTTGATTTTATTCATGACATTGTAAATTATACATTGTAGAGATTTCAGATTCTGTTCTATTCTATCAAATAGTCTTGATTGTTTTAACAGGAAGTTAATTAGTCCTGCCTCAGACTCTAAACTCAAACTTCCTTCCAGTTGGCAGCAGCTGAAATCTTTGTTTAGCTCCTTTATCCATGGCTGAACTCTTTGGATATGTTCTGTATATGTGGCTTAGAGATCAGCCAGAGATTTGAGCAGAGTTTATGTGCAGAATTCTTTTCTTTCTTTTTTTCCAAATGTACCCACTTTTTAATGGGTGCCTGTATGCCCAGCACCTTGGCTGTAAGCCAGAACTGCCAGGGCTCTGTCCACCCTCACAAAGCTGTGATCTGTGATTCTGGCTCCAACACACCCTAAACCCAGACCCAGATCTTTACTCTCCTGAGGCCATACATGCAGCTAGAGACACCAGACCCATCAGAAGAGACTGGCTGCCCAAAACACAGCAAACAGCAAAAGTATGCTTTCAAAGGGGAAGGCATTGCAAAAAAAAAAAAAAAAAAAAAAAAAAAAAAAAAAAAAAAAGAGGCCTTAAGAGAAAAACCATTATGAAGGGAGGAATAAAACCAAAGTGTCACATATGCTTAAAGTATTAAGTAAAAATATTGCATTTTTTAAAATTTAGAGTAAAAACATCAAGATTCTTTGACAAGATTCTTTGAGCCATGATGTCTCCCTGCTTGGCCTGTAATACTGTGACTGTGGCGGAGGGGTGAGCAGCCACTGTGCCCACTCACCTTGCTGTCCAGCTGAAATGTAAAAGGTGGCACCCTATGCCCCTGGGGCTTCTCACTCTCTCCAGGGGAGCCACTGTTATGTGCAGAATTCTTACATGCAGGGTTTTTTGCAGAATTGGAGGCCACTCCTCTGTCACTGTCTCCTTTCTGAGGTTTTTCCCTCAGTTTCCAGTTGCAGTGGCCACTTTGAACTCTGTCAATCTGTTTCTTCAAGCCAGTAAGACTGCAAATTTCTTTTCTTTCTTTTTTTTTTTAGATGAAGTCTTGCTCTTGTCCCCCAGGCTGCAGTGCAATGGTGTGATCTTGGCTCACTGCAACCTCTGCCTCCCAGGTTCAAGCAATTCTCCTGCCTCAGCCTCCCGAGTAGCTGGGATTACAGGTGCCTGCCACCACCCCCAGCTATTTTTTTTTTTTTTTTTTTGAGACGGAGTTTGGCTCTTGTTGCCCAGGCTGGAGAGCAATGCCACAATCTTGGCTCACTGCAACCTCTGCCTCCAGTGTTCAAGCGACTCTCTTGCCTCAGCCTCCCGAGTAGCTGGGATTATGGGCGCGCACCACCACACCCAGCTAATTTTTTGTATTTTTAGTAGAGATGGGGTTTCACCATGGCCAGGCTGGTCTCGAACTCCTGACCTCAGGTGATCTGCCCGCCTCAGCCTCCCAAAGTGCTGGGATTACGGCGTGAGCCACTACGCCCGGCCAAGACTGCAAATTTCAATTGAAGTTTTAGCCAATCTGTCTGGTATGGACTAAGGACTGCCTTCAAGTGAAAAGCCATTCCCTTCTTCCAACTACAGCCTTCTCTGCAGTTCCCACCTACTTTTAGTCACTTTCAAGTGCCTTCAGGTAATTGTTTTTTAGATCTTGTCCAGGAGTGTGGCCCCACAGGAGTTACTACACCATTTCTGAAGCAGAATCTCACAAGTTTTTTTCCTTCTTATGATATTGATTTAATTTGTCTTTGCAAAAATAAAATTGGGCTGTTTTATGGGCAGAATCTTTACTTTAGGCTTTAATAGACAACTGTTCAGTGTTTTTATGCTTAGCCTTAATTTTAAATTAAACTTTTTATATTGAGGAAATTATAGATTTATGTGTAATTGTAACAAGTAATAGAGGTCCCATGTACCCTTTACCCAGTTTTCCCCAGTGGTAACATTTTGCAAAACTATTCACAACCAGGATATTGACATTGATACAGTGAAGACAAAGAATATTTCCATCACCACAAGGATGTGTCATGTTGCCTTTTTATAACCATGTCCACTTTCCTGCTGCCTCTATGCCTTCCTTAACTCCTGGCAACCACTAGTCTCATCTCAATTTCTATAATATTTCCATTTCAAGAATATTATAGGGTCAGGCATGGTGGCCTACACCTGTAATCCGAGCACTTTGGGAGTCTGAGGTGGGAGGATTGTTGACACCAGAAGTTCAAGACCAGCCCAGGCAACATAGTGAGACCCTATCTCTACAAAAAATATAAAATTAACCAGGCATGGTGGTGCACATCTGTAGTCTCAGTTACTTGGGGGTTGAGGCAGGAAGACTGCTTGAGCCCAGGAGGTCAAGGCTGAAGTGAACCATGATCACACCACCACACTCCAGCCTGGGCGATAGAATGACACCCTGTCTGAAAATAACAACAGCAAAAAGAATGTTACATAAATGAAATGATACAGCACGTAACCTTTTGGAATTGGTTTTTTTTCACTCAATATAATTCTCGTAATGCATTATTGTATGTATCAGTAGTTTGTTCCTTTTCATTTCTGAGTAGTATTCCAAGGTATGGATGTATCATGGTTTGTTTAACCATTCATCTATTGAGAGATATTTGAGGGCATTTTTTCCTTCAATTTTTGACTATTAGGAATAAAGCTGCTATGAAAACTCATGTACAGGTTTTTGTGTGAACACAAGTTTGCAATTCTCTGTTTTTCTCTTGGTTTTTCTCTTAAGGCCATTTTCTTTTCTTTTTTTTTTTTTTTGCAATGGCTTCCCCTTTGAAAGCATACTTTTGCTGTTTGCTGTTTTTTGGGCAGCCAGTCTCTTCTAATGGGTCTGGTGAGATTTATTGCAGGGAAATCTCTGTGACTAAGTCATATGGTAGTGTCATGCTTTGTTTCTTAGGAAACTGTTAAAATGTTTTCCAGAGTAGCTGTCTCATTTTCTATGCCTATCAGCAATGTATAAGTGATCCAGTTTCTCTACATCCTCACCAGCATTTGGCAGTGTTGCTATTTTTAATTTTAACCGTTATGATAGGTGTGTAGTGATATCTCATTGTGGTTTTAATGTACATTTCCCTAATAGCTAATGATACCAAAGATCTTTTCATGTGCTTACTTACTATCTGTACATCTTGTTTTTTGTGGAGTGTCTCTTCATGTGTTGCACTTGTTCTGATTGGATTGTTTACTTTTTTTTTTTTTTTTTGAGACAAGGTCTCACTCTGTTGCCCACGCTGGACTACAGTGGCATGATCTCAGCTCACTGCAACATCTGCCTCCCAGGCTCAAGCAATCCTCTTACCTTGAAGCAGAAGATGCAAGAAGAAAAAAAACAAACTTTCTTCCTTTCCTGTGGTATGAACAGTTTCCCCCTTGAATCCCTCCCCACCCCGTGCAATTGTATCCTGCACTGCAAGTTTTGAGCAAGCTTGAGAAAGCTTAGACTGTAGCCATCTGGGTGCCATAGGGAAGGACACGAGATAAGATTATGCGGGCATCTTCAGCAAGCCTAGATAACAGCCACCTGGCCCGCATAGCAAGAATCACATGAAAGCCTGAGTTATGAGCCTGTTGCTGTTTAATAAACTGCCTTTATTCTGCTTCTATAAACCTGCTTTCGCACCACTGCATTTTGCACCACTGATGCATGTATAAAAGTCAAGCCAAGTCTTTGTTTGGGGCTCAGCCTTTTGGATGCAAATCTGCTGTGCCAGTGCACCTAAATAGAATCCTCCTGTTCCACCCATTGGTTTCTTCAGTTCCTTGGTTCCTGCAACAACCTCAGCCTTCTGAGTAGCTGCGACTACAGGCACAGTCCACCATACCCGGATAATTTTTATATTTTTTGTAGAGATGGGGTTTCACCATATTGCCCAGGCTGGTCTCGAACTCCTGAGCTTAAGTGAGCTACCTCTCTAGGCCTCTGAAAGTGCTGAGATTATAGGCATGAGCCACCATGCCCAGATGGATTGTTTACTTTGTCACTGTTGAGTTTTGAGAGCTCTTTATACTTTCTAGATACTAGCCCTTTCTCTGATATGCAACTTGCAAATACTTTCTTGCAAACTGTAGCTTGTCTTTTCAAACTTATAACAGGATCTTTAGCAGTGTGTAATGGTTTTAATTTTGATGAAGTCAAATTTATCAATTTTTCTTTTATGAATTATGATTTAATGTCAAGTCTAAGAACTCTCTACCTAGCTTAGGTCCTGAAGATTTTCTCCTATGTTTATTTCTAAAAGTTTTATAGTTTTACATTTTACAGTCAAATTCATAATCCATTTGGAGGTCATTTTTGTATAAAGTATGAAAAGTGGGTTGAGGTTCATTTTTTTTTTTTTTTTGCCTATGGATGCACAATTCTCCAGCACTGCTTGTTGAAAAGGCTATCTTTCCTTTATTGAATTGCTTTTGCAGCTTTGTCAAATATCAGTTAGGTATATTTGTGGTGGTCTATTTTGGGGTTCTCAACAGAAATTCCACTGATGTATGTGTCTATCCCTTCACCATACCACACTCTGATTCTGATTACTATAGCTATATGGTAAGTTTTAAAATTGGATAGACCAATTTCTCTCCATTTATTCTTTTTGTTTGTTTGTTTTTGAGACAGAGTCTTGCTGTTTCTCTCAGGCTGGAGTACAGTGGCTGTGATCTCGGTTTACTGCAACCTCTACCTCCCAGGTTCCAGCGATTCACCTGACTCAGCCTCCAAACAAGCTGGGATTACAGACATGCCACCACATCTGGCTAATTTTCTGTGTTTTTAGTAGAGATGGGGTTTTACCATTTTGGCCAGGCTGGTCTTGAATTCCTGTCCTCAAGTGACCCACTCGCCTCAGCTTCCCAAAGTGCTGGGCTTATAGGCTTGAGCCACCAGGCCCAGCCCCATTTATTCTTTTTAAAAATTGTTTTAGCTACTCTACTTTCCTTCCTTCCCTCCCTCCCTTCCTTCCTTCCTTCCTTCCCTCCCTCCCTTCCTTCCTTCTTTCCTTCCCTCCCTCCCTCCTTCCTTCCTTTTTTTTTTTGTTTTGATACAGAGTCTCCTTCTGTCACCCAGGCTGGAGTACAGTGGTGTGATCTCAGCTCACTGCAACCTCTGCCTCCCAGGTTCAAGCGATTCTCCTGCCTCAGTCTCCTGAGTAGCTGGGACTACAGGCGTGTGCCAGCACGCCAGGCTAATTTTGTATTTTTAGTAGAGGCAGGGTTTCACTATGTTGCCCAGGCTGGTCTTGGCACCTGACCTCATGTGATCTACCTGACTTGGCCTCCCAAAGTGCTGGGATTACCAGCTTAAGCAACCGCACCTCGCCTGCTTTTTATTTTCTATACCTTCAAAAACTTTGCTGGTATTTGGCTAGGAATTGTATTAAACTGTATATCAATTTGAGAACTGATATCTTTAGTGTATCAGATCTCTAACTCAATAACACAGTATTTCATTTGTTTATATATTTTTAAATTTCTCTCAACAACATTGTGTGGTTTTCAACATGTAAGTCCTGTACACATTTTGTTAGATTTACACCTATTTCTTTTTTATTGGTACTATTGTGAATGATAATGTATTTTTATTTATTTATTTTTAGGAGTCAGGGTCTCATTCTTTCGCCCAAGCTGGAGAGAGATGGTGTGATTATAGCTCACTGCAGCCTTGAACTCAGGTGATCCTGCCACCTCAGCCTCCCAGTGTGCTGGGATTACAGGCATGAGCCACCACACTGGCCAGTAATGTATTTTTCATTTCAATGTCCATGTGCTCATTGTTAATATATAGAAATACAATTGATTTTTTATATTAACTTGTTTCCTGCAATCTTGCCATAAATATTCATTCTAGAAAGGTTTTGGGGTTTTTTTGTAGATTTCTTGAGACTTTATACATAAATAATCATGTCATCTGCAAATAGAAACAATTTTATTTCTCCCTTTTTGAACTGTATGGCTTTTATTTCTTTTTCTTGCCTTATTGCACTGGCTAGACTTCCAGTACTGTATTAAATAGAAGTAATTAGAATGAAGAATGGACAACCTTGCCTTTTCCCAACTGTACAGAGTAGGATTCAGTCTTTTACCATTAGGTGAAGTGCTAGCTGTGGGTTTTCTGTAGATGGTCTTTATCAAGTTAGAAAGTTTCCCTCTTTGAATATTGGTCTGTAGTTTGCTGGGTTTTGTATTGTCTTTTTCTGCTTTTGGCATTATAGTAATACTTATCAAATAAGTTGGGAGGTGTCTCTTCCTTTTCTATTTTCTGGAAGTGATTGTATAGAATTGGTGTTAATTCTTCTTTAATTTTTTGGTAGAATTTCTCTAAACTATCCAGGCCTGGTTATGACTTTTGGGGAAAATTTTAAAATTACATCTTCAATTTTATTAATAGTTATAGAACTATTCAAACTATTGATTTCGTGTTTGGTGAGCTGTGGCAATTTGTGTTTTTTGATAAATTGGTCCACTTTATCTAAGTTGCCAAATTTTTGTCTGGCAGGTTTGTTAATAGTATTTCCTTATTTTCCTTGTGTTGTCTGCAGAGTCTGTAGTAATATCCCCTGCTTCACTCATGATATTGGCCATTGTGTATTCTCTTTTTTCTTTGTCAGTCTAAAAAGAGATTTGTCAATTTTATTGATCTTTTTGAAGACCCAGCTCTTCCTTTCATTGATTTCCTTTATTGGTTTCCTGTTTTAAATTTCATTGATCTATACTTGAATCATTGTTCTTTTCTTCTGGATATTTTTGGTTTTGTTTGCCCTTATTTCTCAGAGTTCTTGAGTTGGCAGCTTTTATTACTGATTTGATACTTATCCTCTTTCCTAATATATGCATTTAGGTTATTAATTTCCCTATCAACAGGGAGTGTCTGGCACATTTTAATATGTTGTATTTTTATTTTCATTAAGTATTGTGTATTTTCTAATTTCCCTTGGTACTTCCTTTTTAAGGATTATTTAGAAGTGTGTTGTTTAGTTTCCAAGTGTTGGAAGATTTTCCTCTTAGTTTTACGTTATTCATTTTTAGTTTGATTTCATCATGGTAAGAGAACACATTCTGTGTGATGTACATTCTTTTAAATGTCTTAGGGATTGTTGCTCTGACCTACGATATGATGTATCTGCTTATGTTTGCTGAGCACTTGAAAAGAGAGTGTATAATGTTGTTATTCAGTGAGGTATTCTATAAAAGTTACTTAGCTCTTATTGGTTGATGATGTTGAGTTCTTCCATATCTTTGTTTTCTGTCTACTTGTATTATTACTTGTTGAGAGGAGTGTTGAAGTCTCCAGCTATAATTACGGATGTATTTGTTTCTCCTTTAAGTTCTATCAGTTTTTGTTTCTCACATTTTGCAGCTCTATTCTTAGCCATATACATATTTAAGATTATCATATTTTGCCGGGCATGGTGGCTCACATGGGTAATCTCAGCAATTTGGGAGGCCAAGGCAGGTGAATCACTTGAGCTCAGGAGTTCAAGACCAGCATGGGCAATATGGCAAAACCCTGTTTCTACACAAAATACAAAAATTAGCTGGGCATGGTGGCACATGCCTGTGCTCCCAGCTACTTGGGAGGCTGAGGTGGGAAGATCACTTGAGCATGGAAGGTGGATGTTGTAGTGAGTTGACATCATGCCACTGAACTCTAGCCTGGGCGACAGAGTGAGACCTTGTCTAAACAAAAAAGGTTACTGTGTTTTATTGGTAGAGTGACTGATTTGCCATTATAAAATGTCCCTCTCCCTCTTTGTTAATTTTCTCTACTCTGAGTTCTGCTTTATCTGATACTGATATAGCACTCTTACTTTTTAAAATTAATGCTTGTATAATATCTCTTTCATCCAACATTATTATATATGAAATACATTTCTTATAGATGGCATATAGTTGGGTCATATTTTTTTAAAATCCACTCTGCAATCTCTGTCCTTTAGTTGGTATATTTAGACCATTTATATTAATGTAATTCTTAATATGCTAATGATTTAGTGTGGCCAGGTGCAGTGGCTCACACCTGTAATCCCAGCACTTTGGGAGGCTGAGGCAGGAGGATTGCTTGAGCCTAGGAGTTCCAGACCAGCCTGGGCAACATAGTGAGACCCCATCTCTACAAAAAATAAAAAATTAGCTGGATATGGGGGTGCACACCTGTGGTCCAGCTATGTTGGAGGCTGAGGTGGAAGGATTGCTTGAGCCCAGGAAGTTGAGGCTGCAGTGAGCTGCGATCGCACCACTGCACTCCAGTCTGGGCAACACAGAGAGAGAGATGCTGTCTCAAAAAAATTAATTAATTAATTAAAAATAAAGGATTAGGTCTGCCATTTAACACTTGATCTAGCCAAACGGCTGAGAAACAATGTGTCTGCCATTTTATTATTTCATTTTCTGTTTTTCTCTTTTCTTTTTGTTCATTTCTCTATTTATGTGCCTTCCTGTGGGTTGCTTGAACATTTTTTAGAATTCCATTTTGATTTGTCTAATGTGTTTTTGAATGTAGCTCTTTGTGTAGCTTTTTAAGTGTTTGCTTTAGATATTACATTATGAATACATAACTTATCACAGTCTACTAGTGTTTTCATTTTAGTAGTTCAAGTACAGTATAAAACCTTAAATCTTTACATCCCTTTGCCCTCCCCTGCTTATAATTGTCTTAAGTATATCCTTTGCATACATTTGGAACTACATCAGCCATTGTAAATTTTGCTTCAATCATCAAACATAATTTACAAAACTTAAGAGAAGAAAAGGCATTATTTATCCATACTTTTCCTTAATATGTTATTTCTTCCTTCCTGATTTCTCAAACTTTCCTCTTTTGTCATTTCCCTTCTGTTTAGAGAACTTTTTTTAGCCATTCTTTGAGAATAGGTCTGTTAACCACAAATTTTTCTAGTTTTTTTTTTTTTTTTTCTAATCAGAGAATGTTTTGGTTTCTTCTTTATTTCTGAAAGATATAGTTTTGCTGGGTATAAAGTTCTGAGTTGACAGTTGTATTAGTCCATTTTCACACTGCTGATAAAGATATACCTGACACTGGACAATTTACAAAATAATGAGGTTTAATTGGACTTACAGTTCCACGTGGCTGAGGAAGCCTCACAATCATGGCAGAAGGCAAGAAGGAGCAAGTCACGTCTTACATGGATGGCAGCAGGCAAAGAGAGAAAGCTTGTGCAGGGGAATTCCTCTTTTTAAAACCATCTGGTGTTGTGAGACTTATTCACTATCATGAGAACAGCACGGGAAAGATTTGCCCCCATGATTCAATTACCTCCCATCAGGTCCCTCCCACAACATGTGGGAATTCAAGATGATATGGTTTGGCTGTGTCCCCACCCAAACCATATCAATAGTTTTCTTTTTTAGCACTGAAAAAATATTGTGCCTGTTCCTTCTGATCTCCATGCTTTCTGAAAAGAAGTACACTATCATTTTAATTGTTTCCCTTATTGATAAGGTATTATTTTACTCTGGCTGCTTTCAAGATTTTTCTTTGTCTTTAGTTTAATTATTATATATCTTGGTATGGTTTGTTTGTTTGTTTTTTACAGACAGAGTCTCTTTATGTTGCCCAGGCTGGTCTCAAACTCCTGGGATCAAGTGATTTTCCTGCCTCAGTCTCCAAAAGTGATGGGATTATGAGCATGAGCCACCATCCCTGATCCTTGGTATGTTTTTTTGAGTTTATCCTTTTTGGGGTTTGTTAAGCTTTTTAAAAAACATATTTAATTTTTTTTTTTTTTTTTTTTTTTTGAGACGGAGTCTCGCTCTGTCGCCCAGGCTGGACTGCGGACTGCAGTGGCGCAATCTCGGCTCACTGCAAGCTCCGCTTCCCGGGTTCAACGCCATTCTCCTGCCTCAGCCTCCCCAGTAGCTGGGACTACAGGCACCCGCCACCGCGCCCGGCTAATTTTTTGTATTTTTAGTAGAGACGGGGTTTCACCTTGTTAGCCAGGATGGTCTCGATCTCCTGACCTCATGATCCACCCGTCTCGGCCTCCCAAAGTGCTGGGATTACAGGCGTGAGCCACCGCGCCCGGCCATATTTAATTTTTTAAGTTTAATCTTGTCTTACCTTATTTTATTTTTTTAGAGACAGAGTCTCACATTTTGCCCAGGCTGGAATGCAATGGTACAATCATAGTTCACTATAGCCTCAAACTCCTGGGCTTAAGTGATCCTTCTGCCTCAGTTTCCCAAGTAACTGGGACTACAAGCATGTGCCATCATGCCGTTTTTTGATTTTTTGAGACTGGGCCTCACTATGTTGCCCAGGCTGGTCTTGAACTCCTGGCCTCAAGTGCTCCTCCTGCCTTGGCCTCCCAAAGCACTGGAATTACAGGCATGGGCCAAGATGCCCAGCCATGCCCGGCTTCTTAAATCTATTAATTTATGTCCCTTGACACATTTGAAAAGTTTTTAGCCATTATTTTGTTGAGTACTTTCTCAATTATCTTTTGCTTCTGCTTATAGGATTCTAATTATACTAATATTAGATACTTTATTATAACCCACAGGTCCCTGTTTGACTTTCTTTCTTTCTTTTTTTTAGGCTATGTTCTCTCTGCTATTCAGGTTAATTTCTATTGCGTTATCTTCAAGTTCACTCCTTTCTGCTGTTAATTTCAGTTACTGTATTTTTAAACTTTAAGATTTCAGTTTGGGTCATCATCCTCCTGCTCCTTCTCCTTCTCCTTCTTCTTCTTCTTCCTCTTCTTCGAGATGAGGTCTTTCTCTCTTGTCTAGGCTGGAGTGCAGTGGCATTATAGCTCACCACAGCCTCAACTGTCCAGGCTGAAGCAATCCTCCCACCTCAGCCTCCCCAGTAGCTGGGACCATAGGCATGCACTACTATACCTAGCTAATTTTTTAATTGTTTGTAGAGACAAGGTCTTTCTATGTTGCCCAAACTGGTCTTGAACTCCTGGGCTCAAGCAGTCCTCCCACCTTGGCCTGCTCCAGTGCTGGGATTACAGGCATGAGCCACTGCACCTGGCCAACTGTTTTGTTTTTTGAGAGGGGGTCTCACTATGTTGCCCAGGCTGGTCTTGAACTCCTGGGCTCAAGCAGTTCTCCTACCTCAGCCTCCCAAGTAGCTGGGACTTCAGGTGCATGCCACCATGTCCGGCTGAAACACTTTTTATCATGGCTGCTTTAAAATTTTGTGAAATAATGCTAATATCTCTCTCATTTTGGTGTTGGCACATATTGATTGTCTTTTTTCACTGGTTTGAGGTTGCTATGGACCAAACTGTGTTCCCAACAAATTTATATGTTGAAGTCCTAAGCCCCAGTGTGATAATGCTTGGGAGATGGGGACCTTGGGGGGTCATAAGTGTGGAATTCTTATTATGGGACTGGCACTCGTAAAAGAAGAGACATTAGACAGCTTGCTTCCTCTCTCCCTCTCTCCACCCTTGTGCACCAAAGAAAGGCCATGTGAGGACACAGCAATCCAAGGAGAAGACCCTCATTAGACACTGACCTGCTGGCACCCTGATCTTGGACTTCCAGTCTCCAGAATTGTGAGAAATAAATTCCTGTTATTTAACCTACCCAGTCTATGGTATTTTGTTATGGCAGCCTAAGCTAAGACAGAGATCTTTCTAGTTTTTGGCATGATGAGTACTTTTCCACTGGAACCTAGACATTTTGTATTGTGTTCTGAGACTCTGGATTTTATCTAAACTTTTTGTTTTAGTTGGCTTTTTCTGACACTACTCTGGTAGGGGAGATATGTGTGATGATGCTGCCTCTTTATGACTGGTAGAGGTACAAGTCCATGTTCTCTACTTGGCCACCATTGAGACCTGAGGGGAGCAGGCTCCTTCTGCCTCAGTTCCCCATGTGGTCTCCACTGACACCTTGGTGGGAGTGACCTAATTACTGCTAGACAGTGGTCAAAGTTCTGACTCTTCACTAGACCCTCTGATACCACCCTGGCAGGAATGGCAAAGGGTGCCTCATTAGTGTTGGAAGGGGCTGGAAGTCCAGGCTCCCCATATGGTCTCCACTGACACCATGGGGAGGGGAAGGTCCCTGTTACTGGCCAGCAGAGATGAAGCTCTCAGCTCTCTGCTTGTCCCTCTCTGACACCAGCCCTTTGGGATTGTGTGTTGGGATACCTTGTTATGCTATCTGCTGAGTGGAAGTTTAGGCTTCTTGACTTTTGCTAATGGGGGTAGGGATGGGGCCACAGTTGTTTTCTATGGTGTTTGGATGGAGTAGAGTGGGTATCGTCTAAAATTCTTGTCTTATTTGGCTACATCTTTCTTGGTCTTTTGGCTGGAGAGAATAGACTTTTTTTGGGGCTCTTTTGTTCTGGAATCACTGACAATATGGGTTGCTGGCTTCCTCCACTTCAAGTCTGGGATCGTGAGGCAAAAAGGAAATCAAAGGAAATCCCCCGTGTGTGGGTTCTCAGGTTCCACTGTACCTTGTTGGTCTGCTTTCTTCTTTCTATCTTTTGGAGTCTCCTTATGTTTGTATCTAGGTATATATAGTGTCCAGGGTTTTTAGTCGTAATTAGTAGGAGAAATAGGGAAAAAATATGTCTGTTCTATCTTCTCAGAAGTGGAAGTCCCCACAAATACTTTTTTTGTACAAGTACTTTTTTAAAAAAATAAATAACTGCCTGATTTTTCAAGACTTAACTCAAATTTTACCTTTGATAGTTTCTTCCTAATCAAAATGTCAGACAAACATTAATTTTAGTTTAGATCTTTCAGTTCCAAGGGTAATGTGGGGTCCCACCAAAGTCTGAGTTGACGTTTGCTTACCCTAGGCTGTAGGATTAGGTGATTGAATTGGTTCAGACTCAATTATAAGCAATAGAAACCCACTCAAGCTGGCTTAAACAGAAAAGGGGAATTCATTACAAGATAGAAGCCAGGGGCAGGATGGTAGAAATAAGTTTAAAGACTGAAGGGGCTCTGTCAGAAGACAGGTTATAAGGAGGGAAAAACATGGTGGCAAAGAAAAATAATCAACGTTTATGAAAATGGTCATCAGACAATAAGGCCTAGAATAAAGAAGAGTTCAGACAAAAGTCCCAGGTGATCCTGTCTGTACATTTACAAGGTACTGCAGGTAAAACTTCGTAGAGCTGAATTCTCTGGTTTTGGTTTCCTAGCTTTGAAATGGATGAGTAAATAGCCATAGAAATCATCTCTGAATCCATGGAAGCTATTGAAGATGAAACTATAGATTTTTTAATCTCTAGGCAAAATTTAATATTCTGGTCTTAGTAGCTGATCAACACCACATGGCTCTAGATTTGCTGACTATCCAATAAGGATGCTTAAAGATTACTTTTGATCAAAAGGGGGAATGTTTAGGAGAATTATGCAAAACTTAGAAATAAAGCAACGATATGATTCTATGACATTTTTTTTGATTGTGTGAATTTTTAGTGTCATGCCAAAGCTTTGACTTAAGCGTCACCTAACTCTCTAGGGAAATGGACTTTGTTTACAGAATTGATTAGAAGCTAGACATTCTATAATTGTGTAAAATGGATAAGATGTGATAACTTTCTTTTCTGTTAATAGAGAAGATAATTCTGAAAAAGATGGTTTCATGTTCCTGTGGGACATTAACCAGTTGTGTACAAAACTTAGCAAACTATAAGAATTATGTTTCCAAATTTCTGAAAATTATATTTGACATCAAGAGACAGAAACACACAGTGGTGTATAGGCCAGTCATGTTATGGGTGGAAAAGCAGGTGAAGATCCATGAAATCCTGGAGCTGCTACAAATCCAAACCCCATTCCCCACATGGCCCAGACCTGTTACAGCCTAATATTTGATTCTGGGTTTGCATGAGTCTCTTTGTTGTTCCCCATGTATCTTTTACTCGAGTTATCTTGGGTAGATCTCTGTTTTATCTGAAACCTGAACTGTCTCCTAGTCAACACCAGTTTGTGATCCTAGGTAAGATTTTTTTTTTTTTTTGAAGAGTTCACTCTTCAAAACATTACTTCTTCAATAATGTAATGTTTTAATGGGTACACAGTGCTTTCACTTGGCATCAATTATGAGTTGTTTTCTGAACAATTCAGTGTTATACCAGCTGGGATGCCTACTTATCTCTCCATTCCTTTGGGGTGACTCTGCCAACAGGGGACATGTTCCATTCTATTCCAGTTTGTGTTGCTATACATATCCGTACAGCAATACAGAAAGTGGTTTCACTAGCTCATACAGCGTTACCGTGTTTGTCATGAAAATCAGGTGTATGCTTCTGGTGGCTCTGCCTTGCTGTTGTTCGCTGGGTGCTTCAAACTTGGAGATGACTTAGTGCCTTTTTGAGCAAGGGAAACATTGTGAAGGTGAAGCTAGAACTGTGGAAATGCAGCTGCTGCTTTGGTGCAAATTTGCATCAGGTCCCTCGGGAAGGTTTCTAAGTCCACTAGATCAGGAACGTTCACTGGTCAAATGGCAGGATTTCAGCTTTTTTTCTTATTATTTTATCTTCTGGGAGTCCCCAAAGTTAACTGTGGGAAGAGTTAATCGAATTGTTTGTAAAGGTTTTCCCCATGCTTCAGACATAAAACATGCAGAATATTGTGGGCTGATACTTTCTCTAGCAATCCTTCTGGAATTGCATGGGCCCAACCCATAGAGTTCATTAAACAAAAGAAACACTGACGGAAACCTGAAAGTGTATTACTCTCCTTTGTCTTTCCTTAGGCTTTTAGAAAAACAGTGGCACCACACCACACCCAGGACCTGGAATAGGTGGAATGGCAGCCCCTCAAAATATATGTCCATGTCTTAATGCCGAGCCGCTGTGAATGTGGCCTTATTTGGAGAAGGGGTTTTTGCAGATTAATTAAATTAAGGACCCTGAGATGAGATCATCCTGTATTACCAAGGTGGGCCCCAAATCCAATGACAGATGTCCTTATAAGAGACACAGGAGGAGAAGACACAGACACAGAGGAGAAGGCCCTGTGAATACAGAGGCAGAAACTGGAGTACGCAGCCACCATTCAAGGCATTTGGTCAGCCACAGAAGCTGGAAAAGGAAGTGGAATCTCTCCTAGAGCCTGTGGAGGGAGCACAGCCTTGCCAACACCTCGACTTCAGATTTCTGTTTTCCAGAACTCTGAGAGAATAAATTGCTGTTGTTTAAGCCACTAAGTTGACAGGAATTTGCTATGGCAGCCCTAGGAAACTCACATAACACCACAGCCAGGCTTCCAGTCTCTCACCTGAAAAAGAGAGGTCCAAACACAAACAGCGTGGCAGGGAATGCTAGAGATGCCCTCATAACACTGGTGACAAACTAGACGAGATCTTTCAAACCCTCACTCTGAAAGACAACTAGAATAGCTAGGCCTTACCAATTTCCAACTAGGATTCATGACTGATGGAATCAGGTTTTACAGTTCCTAATTTTTCCAAGTTTTGAGTAGTTTTTTTTTTTTTTTGAGACGGAGTCTCGCTCTGTCGCCCAGGCTGGAGTGCTGTGGCGCGATCTCGGCTCACTGCAAGCTCCGCCTCCCGGGTTCCCGCCATTCTCCTGCCTCAGCCCCCTGGGGTAGCTGGGACTACAGGTGCCGGGCTAATTTTTTTGTATTTTTTTTTTTTAGTGGAGACGGGGTTTCACTGTGTTAGCCAGGATGGTCTCGATCTCCTGACCTCGTGATCCGCGCACCTCGACCTCCCAAAGTGTTGGGATTACAGGCGTGAGCCACCGCGCCCAGCCTTGAGTAGTTCTTAATGCTTCCCTAAGCAGCCCAGCCTCCTCGCTGGCCATTGTGTCTTTTCTGCTTCCTCATAAAGCCTCATAAAGCCTGCTCACAGCAGGCTTTGGTCTGCGGTAAAACCAGGGCATGGTTTTACCTTTAATCTTACCATTGACCAGCATTATCTCTTAGTATTAGAAGAGATTAATGAAGCCAAGAGAAGGAAAATGACTGGCTTAGTTCACGTCATGCATGTGTGTTTCTGAATCAGCAGTCCCTATGTCATCAGGCGTCCAATCTTTGGTGACTGGAAGTAGGGGAGCAGTATCACATGGTGTCAAACGCAGTGCTTAAGCTGCCAGGGATGGGTATTCAGATGCTGTCCCGCTCGGGACAAAGGTAAAGAATGTAGACTTCACCTGAGCTAGAAAAGTAGCTCTGCCACTTATCACATGTTTTATGAACTTCGGCAAATTAATCTCTCTGTGTCTCAATGTACTTATTCCTAAGTAATAATCCAAGGCTACCTCACAAATTGGCATTAGGATAAAATGAGTACATCTCTGGAATGAATGCAGTGCTCAATATATTTTAGCTATTATTATCAAGTCTGATAAACACATATGTTTTCTCATTCTACAGTTCCAAAGTAGCCCTAGGCCAATATAATTCAAATATACTTTTCTAATTATAAGCTCTCATGCCTGTTCCAAAAGAAAAAAGCTCCTAGGCTGGGTGTGGTCACTCATGCTTGTAATCCCAGCACTTTGGGAGGCTGAGGTGGGCAGATCACTTGAGGTTGGGAGTTCGAGACCAGCCTGGGCAACATGGCAAAACTTAGTCTCTAGTAAAAATACAAAAAAAAATTAACCGGGCATGGTGGCACATGCCTGTAGTCCCAGCTACTTGAGAAGCTGAGGCAGGAGAATCGCTTGAACTTGGGAGGCAGAGGTTGCTGTGAGCCGAGATTATGCCACTGTGCTCCAGCCTGGGCGACAGAGTGAAACTGTGTCTCAAAAAAAAAAAAAAAGAAAGAAAGAAAGAAAGAAAGAAAAAAGTCTCCTAAAATCATAGCCTCCTAAAATCATAGCCAGCTACTGTATCTAGAGATGATATCATGGGGCAATATTAAAGTATGCTTTTCAGTCTCAGAGTACATAACCTCTTGACAACGTCCATTATATCTCAAGTTCTGCTCCAATTCCTTCTTGCCACATAACCTATGGACTAAATGGTACTTATATCAACATTGCTGATATATTATTTAAATATTTATTATTTAAATATATATTGAAGTATATTAATTAAAGAGTAAAGTAGTTGGGTGTGGTGGCTGACACCTGTAATCCCAGCACTTTGGGAGGCTGAGGCAGGTGGATCACCTGAGGTCAGGAGTTCGAGACCAGCCTGACCAACATGGTGAAACCCAGTCTCTACTAAAAATACAAAAATTAGCTGGGCGTGGTGGTGGACGCCTGTAATCCCAGCTACTCGGGAGGCTGAGGCAGGAGAATTGCTTGAACCCGGGAGGTGGAGGTTGCAGTGAGCCAAGATTGTGCCATTGCATTCCAGAGTGGGAGACAGACTGAGACTCCATCTCAAAAAAAAAAAAAAGAGTAAAGTATATCAAGTATCCATTAAATGAATGAGGAAATTTAAAAAATAAATTACTAGGCGGGGCGCAGTGGCTCACGTCTGTAATCCCAGCACTTTGGGAGGCCGAGAAGGGTGGATCTTGAGGTCAGGAAATCGAGACCATCCTGGCTAACACGGTGAAACCCCGTCTCTACTAAAAATACAAAAAATTAGCCGGGCGTGGTGGTGGGCGCCTGTAGTCCCAGCTATTCCAGAGGCTGAGGCAGGAGAATCACTTGAACCTGGGAGGCCGAGGTTGTGGTGAGCCAAGATTGTGGCATTGCCCTCCAGCCTGAGCAACGAGAGCGAAACTCCATCTCAAAAAAAAAATAATAAAATAAATAAATAAATTTCTAAGAATTAAAGTATTGTAGGGATGAGCTCAGCTCACTATGAGTCTTGCCCCTAGAAAACTAGATCCTGTTTTCTCCTGCCTTAAGTGATTTTATGTTAGCAAAGCACTGGGCACAGAGTGAATAGTACAGACAGAGTAAATCCACTAACATGGGGTCTTTCTTATACTTTATCACCCTAGTAATTATATCATTCCAATTGAAGACCAATGTTGTACTTTTACTTCTAACTTTGATTTGATTATTGGAATCATATACATGGTTTTCAATTTTTCACACATTTTTAAAAATATATCTCCAAACTCATGTGGCATTAGGAATGTAGTTCATTGGCTTGTTTCGCGAGGACATGAGTGAGATTCTCTTTCTTTTATGACACCACTCTAAATCTCTGTTAATTGTGCCATTTTGTACTTTTCTCCCACTGCTTATATTCTTGTTCCCTCTGACTTTCTTAGTATCTCTTATGACCAGTTTCATGCTCTCCCCTCCCTTTAATTCCATCCAAAGAATGTTAATTTAGGCCCTCATCATTTCTTGTCTAGATTGCTGGAATTGCTTTCTAACTGTTTTCCCAGCATCCAGCCTTGCCCTCTTACAGGACAGTCTTCCCTGGCTGCCAAAGTTATTTTTCTAAAATGCAAATTGTATTATATTGTTTCTTTGCTCATAACCCTATTGCCTTCAGGATGAAACCCAAATTCCTTAAGCCTTTCAAATTCTAGCTCAAGAGGCGCCTGTGATGTCCTTGCTTGCCATTAAATTGTCCCTGTGACACCTGTTAGTGCCTCTTTTCTGCTCCACTGCCTGGTGGTCCTCATGGGCAAAGTGCCTTGCTGTTATTACTCATGTCACCTCATCACGCCCTCCGTCATCAATGAGAGTCTGTTTGATGACACTTGTAATTGCAGTTTCTAGTCTTCATGAGATAGAAAAAGCCTTCTCCCCATTTTTACAATTGTTTCATTTAATCCCCAAGGGAGCAGTCCATTCTTAGTTACAACCCCAGGAGGGACAAGTTCCACCCAGCCCATTGCGAGACCATTTGAGTAGATCATTGTGTGCCACTTCAAAACCTTTCCGGCCAGGCACGGTGGCTCATGCCTGTAATCCCAGCACTTTGGGAGGCCAAGGCTGGTGGATCACCTGAGGTCAGGAGTTCGAGACCAATCTGGCCAACATGGCGAAGCCCTGTTTCTACTAAAAATACAAAAATTTAGCTGGATGTGGTGGCAGGCACCTGTAATCACAGCTACTTGGGAGTCTGAGGCAGGAGAATCGCTTGAACCCAGGAGGCAGAGGTTGCAGTGAGCTGAGATCATGCCACTGTAATCCCAGCTACTTGGGAGGCTGAGGCAGGAGAATTGCTTGAACCTGGGGGGCGGAGGTTGCAGTGAGCTGAGATCTCGCCACTGCACTCCAGCCTGGGTGACAGAGTGGGACTCCGTATGAAACAAACAAACAAACAAACAAACAAACAAACAAACCCTCTTTCTTTGGGCCAGATATTCCTAGGTGTTCCAGGAGGAACCTAACTCAGCCTGAGTATCCTATAGCTTGTTTCCCTCATGCTAGGTGACACCCACCAAGGGACAGGGATGCTAGTTCTCCCAGGGCCGGATCTCTGTGCATGTGGGCTAGTTGACAATTCTGAATGTTTTCATCACATTTCTTCCTGATGGCCCAAGAAGTGAATACATCTTTGTGGGTATAGAGATTATGTGTCATAATAGTGAAACATTTTTATCATTATTTTAAAAAATTGCAATCTTGGCCAGGTGCAGTGGCTCACACCTGTAACCCCAGCACTTTGGGAGGCCGAGGTGGGCAGATCACGAGATCAAGAGATCGGGACCATCCTGGCTAACACGGTGAAACCCCATCTCTACTAAAAATACAAAAAATTAGCTAGGTGTGGTGGCACATGCCTGTAGTATCAGCTACTCAGGAGGCTGAGGCAGGAGAGTAACTTGAACCCAGGAGGCAGAGGTTGCAGTGAGCCAACATCGCGCCACTGCACTCCAGTCTGGGTGACAGAGCAAGACTCTGTCTCAAAAAAAAAAAAAAATTGCAATCTTTACACACTATTAAAACAAAAAGGAGATGTGAACTATGATTTCTTTATACCTTATTAATAATTCTATCATATTTCCAACAGTAATCTCTTCTCCTCTCTGGAAAGCTGGGAGTGGCTGGCATGAGAATGTGGTTCTCCTCTTTGTTCTCAACACCTTTAACCTGACCCCATGAAACCTCATGGAATCTGCAAGGTGTGGTGGCTCATGCCTGGGATGACATGCTTGTAGTTCTTGCTACTCGGGAGGCACATGCTTGTAGTCCTTCCTACTCGGGAGGCTGAGGCAGGAGAATCACTTCAACCCAGGAGGTGGAGGTTGCAGTGAGCCAAGATTGCACCAGTGCACTCTAGCCTGGGTGACAGAGCTAGAACCTGTCTTAAGAAAAAAAAAAAAAAAAAGGCCAGGCATGGTGGCTCACACCTGTAATCCTAGCACTTTGGGACGCTGAGACGGGTGGATCACCTGAGGTCAGGAGTTCAAGACAAGCCTGGCCAACATGATGAAACCCCGTCTCTACTAAAAATACAAAAAATTAGCTGGGCATGGTGGCAGGTGCCTGTAATCCCAGCTACTTGGAAGGCTGAGGCAGGAGAATCGCTTGAACCTGGGAGGCGGAGGTTGCAGAGAGCCGAGATTGCACCACTGCACTCCAGCCTGGGCAACAAGAGCAAAACTCCGTCTCAAAAAAAAAAAAAAAAAGAAAAAGAAAAAGAAAAAAAAAGAAACCTCATGGAATCAAGATTTCTGGTAGGCTTTTATTTAAAAAACATGTGATAAAACATACAAAACAGAACAGACTGGGCATGGTGGCTCACGCCTGTAATCCCAGCGCTTTCGGAGGCTGAGGTGGGTGGATCACTTGAGGTTAGGAGTTTGAGACAAGCCTGACCAACGCAGTGAAACCCGTCTCTACTGAAAAAGCAAAAATTAGCAGGGTGTGGTTATGCGAGCCTATAATCCCAGCTACTCGGGAGGTTGAGGCAGGAGAATCGCTTGAACCCAGGAGGCGGAGGTTGCAGTGAGCAGAGATCCCACCATTGCATTCCAGCCTGGGCAACAGAGTGAGACTCCATCTCAAAAAAAACCCCAAAAAACAAAAAACAATAAAAACCCCTCACAGAACATATAACTTACCATTTTAACCATTCTTATTAAACACTTCTTTTTACTTTTTAATTTTTTAATTTTTATGGGTACCTAGTAGATGTTAACCATTCTAAAGTATACAATTCAGACCAGGCATGGTGGCTCACGCCTGTAATCCCAGCACTTTGGGAGGCCGAGGTGGGTGGATCAGGTCAGGAGTTTGAGACTAGCCTGACCGACATGGTGAAACCCTGTCTCTATTAAAAATACAAAAATTAGTCAGGTGTGGTGGTGCGCACCTGTAATCCCAGCTACTTGGGAGGCTGAAGTGGGAGAATTGCTTGAACCTGGGAGGTGGAGGTTGCAGTGAGCTGAGATTGCGCCACTGCACTCCAGCCTGGGCGAGAGAGCAAGACTCCATCTTGAGAAAAAAAAAATTAAATTAAATTAAAGTGTACAATTCAGTGACATTAAGTATATTCAGTGCTGTGCAAACATATCACCATTTCCAGAACTTTTTCAACATCTCAAACAGAAACTTTGTATCCATTAAGCAATAATTTCCCATTCACTTTCCACCCAGTCCCAGGTAACAGGTATTCTACTTTCTGTTTCTATGATTTTTTTTTTTTTTTTTTTTTTTTTTGAGACTGTCTTGCTCTGTCGCCTGGGCTGGAGTGCAGTGGTGTGATCTCAGCTCACTACAATCTCCACTTCCTGGGTTCAAGCAGTTCTCATGCCTCAGCCTCTGGAGCAGCTGGAACTATAGGCATGCACCACCATGCCCAGCTAATTTTTTCATATTTTTAGTAGGGACAGAGTTTCACCATGTTGGCCAGGCTGGTCTCAAACTCCTGATGTTAGATACAGCTAGGTTCCTCTTCAAACAGTTTGCCAAGTTCCCCCATTCTTTATTCTCTAAATTCCAAGTACCCCCCCACCCCGGCTTTTGCTGGGCATTAACCTGTCTAAATATGCCTAGATATGATAAGCCCCAGTCCACATTCCTTTCCTTATGTGGGAATAGGTTAGCTTTTTAGTCCCCCAGAAGTGACTGCTTCCTCCTCTCCCTCTCTCCTCTATTACGCGCCTACCTTATCTAAGAAAGTTTGAATATTTCACCAATCAGGACTAGTTTAGACTGTGCAGTCCAACCCCAGCCAATGGGGGAAAGACACAGAGGTAGAATCTGCATTACGAATAAAAATCCCTACTCTACTTTGTTCTGTGTGCTCTTGTGATCGTGACTGACACAGGCAGCACCCTTCTGCCAAAGTAAATTTGCCTTGCTGAGAAATCCTTTGTCTCAGTGCTGGTTCTTCTTCGCGGCAACTGACCTCAAGTAATCCACCCACCTCAGCCTCCCAGGCTGAGTGCCAGGATTACAGGTGTGAGCCACTGTGCCTGGCCTGTTTCTATGAATTTGCCTATTCCAAGTACCTCATATGAGTGAAATAAGGCAATATTTATCCTTTTGTGCTTGGCTTATTTCACTCAGCATAATATTTTTAAGTTTTATCCATGTTCAAAGGATCGAAATTTTATTTTATTATTTTATTTTATTTTTTTTAGACAGGGTCTCGCTCTGTCTCCAAGGTTGGACTTGGAGTGTAGTGGTGCTATCTCAGCTCATTGCAACCTCTGCCTTCTGGGTTTAAGTGGTTCTCTTGCCTCAGCCTCCTGAGTAGCTGGGATTACAGATGCCTGCCACCACGCCCAGCTAATTTTTTGTATTTTTAGTAGAGATGGGGTTTCACCATGTTGGCCAGGCTGGTCTGGAACTCTTGACCTCAGGTGATCCGCCCACCTCAGCCTCCCAAAGTGTTGGGATTACAGGCGTGAGCCACTGGGCCTGGCCCTGTGTTTAACTTTTGAGGCCTGCTGGGGGACTAATTTTGAATTCTAGGTTGATAGGACAATGTGCAGATTAGCCTCTTCCCTGGGACCCCCTACCAATATCTTGCATTGGTTTACTTCAGAAATTAAACCACCTACAAATGAGCCCTAAGTCTCCATTTAGTTAATAAAGTTCTTCTCTCTGCAGCAATTCTCTTTCCAAAGAGTTGCTTGAAAGGAACAGATCTGAAGAAGACATAAATGATTTATATAATTCACAACTAGGACAATTTAGAATAAGTTGCCTAAGTGATGAACAAAGACATTTAACACCTTTTATGGGTGTTTCCAGAGAAAAAAATGATCAAATTAAAAACAATGAAAAATTCTTACATAAAAACAGACAAAAACTTTGCCAAATGGAAAAAAGAAATTATGGAAAGGTGAACAAGTGACAGGGAAACTGTGGATGGTAAGAAGTAAGCTGAGTTAGGTTTTGGCTGTAATTCAGCTTCCATAGTGTTGGAACTGACTGATTCAGTAATCAAAGCTTGACTTTCCCTTGTGCAAAGTGTTTAATGATGTTTTAACACTAGCAGTTAATATATTTCACAATAGACAATGTTCATCCACGGAAAAACAAATATTTCTTCTTGCCAAAAAAAGGTCAGATTTGCACTCATTTTTCCATATTCCTTTTTCTAATCAGGTGTCAGATGTCAGCAAACTGATCTACTTAAAACAGTGTTGACATACAATGCAAAACAAACATACCAATATGGCTTGGAGAGCCAGCATTTGTGAACCAAACAGCCAGGGTGATAATGGGCTGGGCCCTCCAACAGAGCAGCTTTTGACAATTGAAGCCTAACGTTAGGCCTTTTAGCTATATTGCCTTTATGCATCCTGAAAGCAGGCACTGGAGACGTAAATCTGTAATTAGGGGTTATTTAAAACAGAGATTTGTGACCTGACAGACTGCAAACTGTCTATATCCACAAACACAGTGAAATTGCTCCAGCCCTTTGTCTCCAGGGGTATCTGGTCTATTGAAGGTCTCTGGTTTACAGGGGCGCTTGGGTTCATGTTATACCGCCTGAGAGATGGGTGCATGGGACCGAGAGCAGCACATGAAACATTAGCATTGTTTCTAAATCTCATCTAAAAATGATACATGCTATTAGCGGTTGCATTCTTTGTCCGAAAACCAGTCATTCTGAGTTGAAGTTTAACTTACCTCATTATGTAAGTGCTCTGAACCTCACAGTCAAGTTTCAAACTTAATAATAGGAAATGGAATTCTTTGTGCAAGGTGAATAAAAGGTATAGAGAAACACAGAATTCTTAGGGTTTGTAGTAGCCCAGGGAATTCAAAGCTCTTTAACAAGAGATTGATATTTTAGAATATTTTGAAGATTTAAAATTCCAGGGCTGGGGATGGTGGCTCATGCTTGTAATCCCAGCACTTTGAGGGGCCAGGGCAGGCGGATTGCTTGAGCCCAGGAGTTCGAGACCAGTCTGAGCAACATGACGAAACCCCCATCTCTACAAAAAATAGAAAAATTAGCCAGATGTGGTGGCCTACATCTGTGGCCCCAGCTACTTGGGAGGCTGATGTAGGTGGATTGCTGGAGCGCAGGAAGTTGAGGCTGCAGTGAGCCATGGCTTGAGCACTGCACTCCAGCCTGAGTGAGAGTGAGACCCTGTCTCAAAAAAGAAAAAATGTAAAAATAAAATAAAATTCCACCTACAACCACTTTAGTTGGAAAAATAGCTAATGCATGCAGGACTTAATACTTAGGTGATGGGTTGCTAGGTGCAGCAAACCACCCATGGCACAGATTTTCCTGTGTAACAAACCTGCACATCACATCCTGCACATTTACCCTGGAACTTAAAAAATAATTAAATTAAATTATACAAATAATACTTATAAATATAATAAGTATTTACTGAGTACCTGTTGTATTAACAGCCCTCATATCAAGTAGTGTCTGTGTAAGTATGTACTTATAAAATGTCATTTCCTTTTACCTTTTGCTGTGGCCTGTGCCATCATCTTTCCCTGGACACTGATTTTCCATGCTTATTCATTTTGTGTCTTTCATTTAAAATGAAAATATTTACCAGTGTGTGATTAATACAGTGACTTAAAACCTTTATGAGGCATCTAAAATTGCATGACAAACTTGCATTCCTATTTATAGGACCCTGTAAAGGAACTGTATATTTAACACAATAAATATATTGATATTGATTGTCAGAACAAACTCTCCAAAACTTAAATATTTTAAAATTATTAAATGTTTCAGATTAAAAAAAAAAAAGAAAAAAAAAAGCACAGAAAGTAAACATGTAAAAGACACCCATGTACTAATCACTGGCATTTGTCACATTTAACAATTTGCCATATTTGCTTCCCATGGTTTTTATTTTTCAAGAAAGCATTGTTAAAGCACTGACCTTAGACAAATTAAATTTAGCAGTTTAATGGAGCAAAGAATGTTTGCAAATCGGGGATCCCCTGAACCAGAGTAGGTTCAGAGAGGCTCCAGAGCAGCTGCATGGTGGAAAAAGATTTATGGACAGAAAAAGTGAGGTACAGAAAACAGAAGTGAATTACACCAACAGCTGGATTGGTTACAGCTCAGGGTTTGCCTTATTTGAACACAGCTTGAACAGTTGGTCACCCTTGACTGGCCAAAACATGGTGGTTGGTACAAGAGTAAGTTAGTCTGTTTATATACCCAGTTGGGTTACAGTTCATTGTGTATGGAGAAGCTTTAGGCTGAACTTAAAATATGTAAGGAGGCGGCTTTAGGCTAAACTTAATTTAACAGCATTAATGATAGCTGGGTGCAGTTATGTACACCCATAGTCCCAGCTATGTGGGAGGCTGAAGTGGGAGGATCACTTGAGGCCAGAAGTTGGAGGCTGTAATGTGCTATGATCACACCACTGCACTCCAGCCTGGGCAACATAGCAAGACCCAGCCTTTTTTTAAAAAAAAAAAAAGAAAAAGAAAAGAAGAAAGCATTAATAATAGAATCAAAGGACCCACCCTTGCCTCTTTCCTCCATCTTTTCCACCTTAAGTTAATTTCTGTGCTATTCTGCTTGTCTAGGTTTTTATACTCTCCCAACTTAGGTATGTTTTGTGTTTCTAAAATTTGCATAAAGGGTACACTTTACAGACACTTTTACTATTTGCTTTTTCATTGAACACTGTTAAGATTTCTCTACAATGATGCCAGTAAGCTATGCCATTAATTTGAACTACTGTTCAGATTCCATTGTACAAATACACCACTGTTCATGTATCCATTTCCCTTCTGAGGGGCATGTTGACTGCAGTATTTTACTATGATACATAATGCTAATATGAATGAACCATCCATCCCTCAAGTCCAGTTAGCTCTAACTTTTATAATAATCATATATCTTAAATCTGACTTCATCTGACCCCACAACTATCCCAGTCCAAGCCATCATTTGCTTCTCCAGGAGCCCATAGGTCTCCCAGCTTTCACTCTTGGCTCTCCTTCAGTTTACGACCCACACAGTTCATGGGGTCGGATTGGGTCTTTCTTTTTCTCAGAATCCTTCAATGACTTCCCATCATATCTGGAATAAATCCAAAGTTCTTCCCATGGCCAAGAAGGTCCCACATGATCTGGGCTCTCTCCCTCTTTGCCTGGCTTTCTGTAGTGTGCCTTGCTGTGCACTGCCTTACAGCCTTTGGGCCAGCTGTGTACTGTGCCTGAAACCAGCACTTTCCTCTTCTTCCTGTAGCTTCCTTCCTGACTTTGTTCATGTTCCTCCTCAGGTGTCACCTTCTCAGAGAAGCCTTTTCTGTTTCTCTTATTTAAATTTGTACCTCTTTCATTTTCTCTCCCCTTGTCCTGTCTTTAGCTTTCACCTTGCTTTTATTTTTCTTCACGGAAGTTAGCACACCTGAAACTATTTTTTTGTTGTTGTTTACTTCTGCTCTCCTACTAGAATGTAAACTCCTGGAATCACAAATTTCTCAATAGTATGTAGAATGATGAATCCGTTTCAGAAGGTTTTCAATGGACTCTGTTCAGATCCATCAGAGGAATCACTATCTATGGCAGCTACAGACTTATGAAATGTATTTCTTTTTTTTTTTTTTTTTTTGAGACGGAGTCTCACTCTGTTGCCCAGGCTGCAGTGCAGTGGTGCAATCTTGGCTTGCTGCGAGCTCTGCCTTCTGGGTTCACGCCATTCTCCTGCCTCAGCCTCCCGAGTAGCTGGGACTACAGGCGCCCACCACCACACCCTGCTAATTTTTTGTATTTTTAGTGGAGACAAGGTTTCACCATATTAGCCAGGATGCCCATGTCCTCAGGCATTATTTACTTGCTCCATCTCCTGACCTCATGATCTGCCCATCTCAGCCTACCAAAGTGTTGGGATTACAGGCATGAGCCACCGTGCCCAGCCATGAAATGTATTTCTTAAATAATAAGACTTTAAAGTCAAAATTACTCCCTGGTCCACGGACTGCAGAATGGATGCTGTGTTACCAGGCATGAAAACATTCATCAATCTCCATTAGAGCTCTTGGGTGAATAGGGGCACTGTCAATGAGCAGTAATATTTTGAAAAGAATCTTTTCTTCCGAGCAGGTCTCAAGAGTGGGCTTAAAATATTCAGCAAACTACGCTGTAAACAGATGTGCTCTCATTCAGGCTTTGTTGTTCTGTTTATAGAACACAGGCAGAATAGGTGTCGCATAATTCTTAAGGAATTAAGAACGTGGAATGGTAAATGATCAATGGCTTCAATTTAAGGTTACCAGCTGCATTCATCCCTAACAAGAGAGTCAGGCTGTCCTTTGAAGCTTTAAAGCCAGACATTGACTTCTCTCTAGCTATAAAAGTCCTGGATGGCATCTTCTTCCAACAGAAAGCTGTTTTGTTTACTTTGAATATCTTTTGTTTAGTGTAGCCACCTTCATTAATTAGCTTAGCTAGGTTTTCTGAATAATTTGCTACTTCACCTTGTACTTTCATGTAATAGAGATGGCTTTTTCTCTTAAACCTTGTGAATCTTAAACCTTGTGAATTGACCTCTGCTAGCTTTCAACTTTTCTTCTGCAGTTTCCTCATCTCTCTCAGCCTTCACAGAGTTTGAAGAGAGTTAGGGCTTTACTGTAGATTAGGTTTTAGCTTAAGGGAATGTTGTGGCTGGTTTGATCTTCTCTCCAGACCACTTAAATTTTCTCCCTATCAGCAATAAGCCTGTTTTGCTTTCTTATCGTTCGTGTGTTCTTTGGAGTAGCACTTTTAATTTCCTTCAGGAACTTTTCCTTTGCATTCACAACTTGGTTGTTTGGCACAAGACGTCTAGCTTTCTTCTTATCTCGGCTTTCAACATGCCTTCCTCACTAAGTGTAATCATTTCTAGCTTTTGATTTAAAGTGAGAGATATGTGACTCTTCTTTTCATTTCAATACTCAGAGACCATTGTGGAGTTATTAACTGGCCTAATTTCAATATTGTTCTATCTCAGTGAATAGGGGGGCATGAGGATAGAGAGACAGGATGGTTGGTCAGTGGAGCAATCAGAACACATACAACATTTATTGATGAAGTCTGCCATCTTATATGGGTACAATTTGTGACTCTCCAAAATTATTACAACAGTAATAGCAAAGATCAGATTGCAGATCACCATTATGGATATAAAAATAATGAAAAAGGTGAAATATTGCAAGAATTACCAAAACGTTACACAGAGACACTAAATGAACATGCGCTTTTGGAAAAATGGCACTGATAAGCTTGCTATACTTAGGGTTGCCACAAACCTTTAATTTTAAGCATAGTGCAATAAAATGAGGTACGCCTCTATTCCCAAATTGCTCTGCAAAGTTAAAAATTTACACTACTAACATCATTGTGGGAGTTTCTCATATTCTTAACAATATCTGGTCTTATCAGGCGCTTTAAATTTTGCCAGTCTGAGTGAAATTGTATCTCCTGTGTCAGAGGCATTTGAACTACAGCAACTCCATCTTGAATAGGAGCTGGGCAAAATAAGCCTTGAGACCTGCTGGGCTGCATTCCCAGGAGGTTAAGGCATTCTATGTTACAGGAAGAGGTAGGAGGTCAGCACACGACACAGGTCATAAAGACCTTGCTGATAAAACAGGCTGCAGTAAAGAAGCCAGCCAAAACCAAGATGGCGAGGAGAGTGACCTCTGGTTGTCTTCACTGCTACACTCCCACCAGCGCCATGACAGTTTACAAATGCCATGGCAACATCAGGAAGCTACCCTATATGGCCTAAAAAGGGGAGCCATGAATAATCCACCCCTTGTTTAGCATACAATCAAGAAATAACCATAAAAATGGGCAACCAGCAGCCCTCGGGCTGCTCTATCTACGGTGTAGCCATTCTTTTATTCCTTTACTTTCTTAATAAACTTGCTTTTTCACTTTACGGACTTGCCCTGAATTCTTTCTTGTGCAAGATCCAAGAACCCTCTCTTGGGGTCTAGATCGGGACCCCTTTCCAGTGACACTTGTTTTAATTTGCATTTTCCTGATTACTAAAAAGACGAATAGACCAGAGATCTTATCCTTAAAAAACACATACACCAAATTATTTTCTTGTGCTCCCAGGAAGACTAAAAATTTCCCTATCAGAACCTTTCACAGGCAAAGTGACTTAATCTTCCCCTGCTTCATGGATCTAGTAATTCCAAATTTTCATATATTTAGCTTTAGTGGCACAAAATTATATTCCCAAATGTTTATTCATTCAACAAATACTTACTGAGGGCCCTGTAATTCCGTAATTTCACCACCCACCGATAGCCTCTCCTCCTGGCACTCACCTTCTAGACCTTGAGCTCTTTGTCCCTTGCACAGTGGCAGAGTGATTACTGGGTAGGTATATTTAAGAAAGGCTGGAAGACTCCTTCCAATCCATTGTCCTCGGGCATTATTTACTTGCTCACAGTTTTTGTATTCAGTACACCAAGAGAGGAACACAGTATGTCCATGCACTCTCTTACTGCAAAGGAATTAATTATTCCCCAGAGAAAAGTTTTGAAATGAGGGGGAAATGCGAATGTTTTCATTTCAAGCGCTTGTTTTAAATGTTAAGAGTATAATTAGTGTCTTCTAAAGAAACTAAATTTACTTTTTCTTGTAGAAGCAAGTTTTGCTCTTCACGCACACAAAAAGCCTCGCTTTATTTCATTTTTTCGTTGTAATGCCAAGTTTGGTTAAAAGGGCAATGAAAAGTTTTCTCGTTCGCACTGACTCAGGGTAGTTCTCAATTCTGAAGACAGAGAAGATCATCAAGCCACAATTGTTCAATCTTTAGTTTCAATCCCCAACAGATAATCGTTAAAGGTTAACTATACTATAGACGTCTTCATCAAGCTGCTGCGGCTTTTCTTCTACTTTGAAAACCACAAGTAAACAAGTCGGCTTCCTGTGCTTTTTGGAAAGAAAGATCAGGATTTAACTCATTTTATTGCTTCAGATAATGGTGTGGTTCCCAGATAAGAGGTGCTACATCCAGGGGCGGTGAACTCGATTATGAAGGGTGGAGTTCGTGCTGGATTCTATGATTTTTTAAATCTTGTAAACCGCACGCAGCAATGAAAGTGCTAAACGCCATGGTGCGTGACCCGCGCCACCCTCACGCTGCTCTCCTTTACCCCCCAGACTCCACTTTTCCTCCGCCACCACGAAAATTCTTGCAAATCAGACAGCTAACCCCGGGGCAATACGAACCATTTTCGCGCCACTCGCTCAGGACCGCGCAGCTGCACAAGGAGAGTGGTCCCCGTAGCCCCTAAAGCCCCCCTTTCTCAAAGGGGATTTTAGGAGTGCCCAAGGCTATCCTTTGAGGTCAGAATATATAGGGGGGTCGTGTTTTTTCCAGGGGGCCACCTAGTCTTGCGCCATGTCTGGCCGTTACCACAGCTTGCAGGACCTGTGTCCCAACGCGGGAAAGACAGCCCGAGCCCCGCCCCTCCGGGCCCGGGTCGGCGCGCCCAGCCTGCCAGCCGCGCTGCTGCTGCTCCTCCTGCTGTGGGACCGCTGACCGCGCGGCTGCTCCGCTCTCCCCGCTCCAAGCGCCGATCTGGGCACCCGCCACCAGCATGGACGCTCGCCGCGTGCCGGTGAGGGCTGGGCGGGCGAACCCGAGGGGCGGGCGCGGTGGGTGCTGGACGCAGGCGGGCGCGGGCCGACCCTCTCCAACTCCGCAGCCTAGCGCTGCCTTAACTGGTGGCCTGCCTAGGCGTTGCCCGCTTGGGCAAGCCCCTGATTTTGTGCACCTGGGATAACTGAGGGCCATGGGGACGTTCCTGCGTGGCGTGCGCACCCGAAGTGCGGGCGGCGTGGAGACTTGAGTCGTTTGCAGGATGGCTAGCAGCGCTGGAAAGCCCTAGGCACGTGCGTCCGCCAAAGGCCGGACAGCGGCCGGGAGCGCTGGCCGGTCCCGATTTTGCCTGCCAGGCAGAGCCAGCCTGCCTGCCCCCTGGGAGGTTGTCCCGCAGCGGCCCAGCCCTTTCCCGCACACAACTCGGAGCCAGTGCGTGGCTCGCCGCGTCTATACCCGCGCTCAGTGGGTGGCCCTTGGGCGCGCACCCCGCCCGGCAAGAGACGCGTCCGCTTCTAACCGCTGAGGGCCAGCGCGTCTGAGGTTTAAGGTCTTGCGAACCGGTCTCCTAGAACTTGGGCTGCGCACGCAGTGTGAAGCGACCGTAGTCCCGGGCGGTGGTTAAGTGCATTTAAAGGGCTTGGTGGGTCAAAGCGTTCGCCGACCATTTGCTCGTTTCCTACTTCCTCCACCCCAACCCCCAACCCCCCACCCCCCACCCCCCAGCCTTACTCTTAGCTGCAGGACGTTGCTCTGAGTGGAACGTTACTTTTTGCTCTAACGGAAGCCAGAACGTAGGGTCGGGCTCCTGGAGAGGGTAGAAGAGTGGGGGTTGGGTGAAACGGAAGACAATGACATGTTTAAAATAAATATCAGGGGTTAGGGACCCTCGCGGGGGTGGGTGCGATGGGGCGTGGTTTCAGAGCTGAGTCGCCGCCCCGGTGGAGCTGGGCATTGGCTTTCCGGATGAAGAAAACCATGTGTAGCTGGTCTTGGAACCTGACATGCCTGAGTTCAAATCTGAGCCACCATGGGACTTGAGTAATCCATTTCGCTTTCCTGAGCCTCAGTTTCCTCATTGGCTAAGTGAGAATAACGATAGCACCTTTGTTGCAAAGAATTAAACCTGACGTGAAAGTGTACTTAACATAGTGCCTGGCACGAAAAACGCCTACTATAAATGGTATTAGTTATTACTTACCTGCCAAAGAAGTTCATCTCCGTCTTGACTATTTGCCTTGCTGCTTTTTTGTGGCTTTTCCTCCAAAGATACGTTTGCCTGGTAAATAACTCTTGGCTTGTGCTGACTTGTTAAAGCTCAGCCTGTATTTCTCGGACAGCTTCCAATAGAATGCCGCCTTTGAGGCTGTCTGGGGCCTCTGACTGCTTGCAGGTAGATTGATGAGTAAAGGGTGGTAATTCCTGCAGTAATGCGATGAACACTGCTGCTTAAGAAGATGGCAGACTTGAGTTCTCCTTCCTGCCCCTGTGATCTTGCAGTCTATTACACCTTCCTGGGGCCTTGAATATCCTCATCTGGAAAATGGGATCTGAGATCCTTTTCAGCTCCCAACATTCATTGTGTCCCAGGCTGGAGTGCAGTGGCACAGTCACGGCTCACTGCAGCCTACCGGGCTCAAGCAGTCTTCCCACCTCAGCCTCCCAAGTAACTGGGATTACATGTACGCACCGCCACATCCGGCTGATTTTTGTGTTTTTAGTAGAGACGGGGTTTCACCATATTCCCCACGCTGGTCTCGAACTCGTGGGCTCAAGTGATCCTCCCACCTTGGCTTCCCAAAGCGCTGAGATTACAGGTGTGAGCCACCCCCCTACACATACACCTAACCTTTATATTTAGTAGCTCTACCTTTTACACGTTGTCCTGCCTTGTTAAGAGGGCAAAAGACAAAAACTTCCTAAGATGATTGAACGGAGTTTACTTAGGGGTATAGGGATGTTGGGAGTGCCATCATCATGAAAATAACTTTATCTGCAAGAGACTGAAATGCGTAATGTTAGGCCAAGAAGGAGGGCAAGAATGTTCTGGTCACCTGACATCTTACATCTTAGCATATTTTGTAGAATCTATACCAGAGCTTGCCCTTTCAAAGTTTTCAGTGTAAGGAATCACTTCTGCTATTCCATGGCCCCATTTAAGGAATAAAAACACAGGACCTAATGCAACACTTAGGAAATCTCGTTAAATATTAAGAAATGACAAACCACTATCCTTTTTTTATACAAGATAGATGCCAATTACATTTTCTGAGAGCAGTGCCAGGCTGTTCAGTATTTATGAATGAATGAAGCATTTCTATGTAAGTAATTTGCACTTTATAAAAGGACTTTTAAAAACTTAAGTCTTGTATAGCAAAGGGACAGCAACAAGAACTGAATGACAGCCTCAAGTAATAGAGTGCTAAAATGGAATCCGGTATCCCACCTGCATTTGGAGTGCTATTTGATCTTTAACTTGGCTCCTTGTACCATTTGTTGAAGCGTTTGATGTATTTGCTTTGTAAGGACTTCTGTGGAAATCACGATAGCCCTCTTGATTGGAAAGGGGCCTGCTTGGAAGCCTGCCATCTTGAAGTAGAGGTCCTGCCCAGTTTTTGTAGTTTGTGAAATTAGCATCACAGTACATAGCCCAAAGCTTACATAAAAATACCTCATTAGCTTGATTTTGGCTGAGGGAGAAAAATCTTTCTCCCCTTTTGTACTTTTGAAATTTCCTTTTAGAAGTACAGTTTAATTTTTTTAAAAAAACAGGTTGGATTTTAGGAGTTTAGCATTAAAATCTCCTGTGGGGCTCAGTATAATGCTAAGAGCTAAAGATTAGGGGCTCATAAAGGTGGGTTGAGAGGTAGCTCTACAGATGTTTGAATAAATTGATAAATGTCTTTACAATTTTCCTGCAAAGGGATCCCTTCTTAGAATTTGACCTGGTTTTGGCCGGGCGCGGTGGCTCACGCCTGTAATCCCAGCACTTTGGGAGGCCGAGGCAGGCAGATCACGAGGTCAGGAGATTGAGACCATTCTGGCTAACACGGTGAAACCCCGTCTCTACTAAAAATACAAAAAATTAACCGGGCGTGGTGGCGGGCGCCTGTAATCCCAGCTACTCTGGAGGCTGAGGCAGGAGAATGGCGTGAATCCATGAGGCGGAGCTTGCAGTGAGCCGAGATCGCGCCACTGCACTCCAGCCTGGGCGACACAGCGAGACTCCGTCTCAAAAAAAAAAAAAAAAAGAATTTGACCTGGTTTTAAAGATTTTTGGGTCCAGATACAGTAGCTAATGCCTGTAATCCAAGCCCTTTGGGAGGCTCCGGTGGGAGGATCACTTGAGCCCAGGAGTTTGAGACCAACCTGGGCAACATAGCAAGACCCCATCTCTAAAAAGAAATAAAATAAGTTAGCTGGGCATGGTGGCACATGCATGTAGTCCTGTCTACTCAGGAGGCTGAGGCAGGAGGCTTGCTTGAGCTCAGGAGTTCCAGGTTGTAGTAAGCTATGATCTCAGCACTGCACTTTAGCCTGGAAGACAGAGCGAGATCCTGCTTCTTACAAAAAAAAGAAAGAAAAAATTTTTTGTAGCAGTTAACAAACTTCCTTTTCTATGTAGGGTATGATAAATGGACATATCTACTCTGTGCTGTTTGAACCTACTAAACTAAAAAAAAATGATGTCTTTAGTTAAATAAAGTAAGCATCACGCTTAATAGGATTGCTATTTCCATTTGCAGCAGAAAGATCTCAGAGTAAAGAAGAACTTAAAGAAATTCAGATATGTGAAGTTGATTTCCATGGAAACCTCGTCATCCTCTGATGACAGTTGTGACAGCTTTGCTTCTGATAATTTTGCAAACACGGTAAGTGCTGCCTGAGAATAAACAGAATTGAGTCTGCAGTGCTCAAAATGCCCCAGATGCTTTGTGCGTGATTAAAACTGCTTGCTTTTTGCCTACATTTCTATACAGCCGTTATGAAAATACAGTATGCACTATAATTTCATTTCACTTTTTGCTGTGGTTCTAGGTAGTAATTGTTGGAGGTAGATTAGCTACTTATTCTATCCTTTTGAAATGTCGCCTAACCTAACATGCATGATGATTTGCCATAACAACTCAGAAATCATTTGTAAACCTCTGAACCATTTTTCTTTGTAACAAAAGCTGTTCTCTTGTAGTGCACTTGTAAATGTGATTTGCTCTCTGCACGGTTTATGGAAAATTGGTTCTTGAAAAAGAAAAAAAATGCACAACCGCATTTATTTATTTATTTTACAGAAACCTAAATTCAGGTCAGATATCAGTGAAGAACTGGCAAATGTTTTTTATGAGGACTCTGATAATGAATCTTTCTGCGGCTTTTCAGAAAGTGAGGTGCAAGATGTATTAGACCATTGTGGATTTTTACAGAAACCAAGGCCAGATGTCACTAACGAACTGGCCGGTATTTTTCATGCCGACTCTGACGATGAATCATTTTGCGGTTTCTCAGAGAGTGAGATACAAGATGGAATGGTGAGTTCGAGAATTTCACCAGTTTCAAGAAGTAAGATACATTTAGAGGCATGACATATTTTTAGAAATTTTTTTCTTGTGATTTTGATTTTAGTCATGCCAGCAGACTTTGTTGACCTTTTAAAAATTTTTAGTGTTTTCTTCATGTCTTAAAGCAGTGTTTACTAATGTAGTCGGACTTACAAATCATGAACATTTTGTAGGCTCTGAAAATTTGGAAACTGGTAAGATAAAATTGGCCAATCTCCAGATTTTCGTTTCCACAAAAATCCAGCCTAATCAGGAAGCACACTAGTTCTAAATATTATCTACATTTGCATTTAAGTTCAAGTGCCCAGCCTAGTGCCTGTCATAGAGCAGACCTTTGATAAATGTTGGTCTCATAGTAGATCTGTGGCTGCATCTTGAAAACCTGTGATAACTTACGTGCAGGAGCTCCATTGCAGATAATGACATTGAGGGCCCTTCCTGCTGCTACTTTTGCTCCTTGGTTGGCTTTTCCTATGCACGCTACCTTCCTTTAACTGCCGCTGCCACTGTTGTGCTGTGCCTCGGTCCCACTCTTCTGAGCATACTGCTTAATTCTGCACACATTTTCCTGTTCCAAAGACTTTCTTGACAAAGGAAGCAGTGCATTCACTGATAATCAAGTGCATGCTCTTCAACTCACTGGTCTGACATGGATCCACTGCCTGAGGTTCATGGTTTGAGTAACATTGATAGAAGTGGCAGTGCCTGGCCAAGGAGTGTTTTGGTCCAAATCAGTGCATACTGGAGTTTGTTGCAGGGGGTCCAGTCTGCAGATCTGGATGCGACACAAACATTGTCAATAGCCTGAATAATTTCTGGGCAGTGTTTCAGTTCTTTGAAGATACTGTCATGATTAATAAAATGCCAATTCATTATAATTGTTAGGAACTCATGAAAGGTTTTTGTTGTTTTGTACTCTCTCAATCCATGGACACTAAAAGTACAAAAAGCTGTTTGTGGGCATGTAAGACTTTTGAGACAGGGTCTTGCACTGTCAACCAGGCTGGAGTGCACTGGTGTGATCATGGCTCACTGCAGCCTCCACCTCCTGGGCTTAAGCGATTCTCCCTCAGCCTACCCAGTAGCTGAGACTACAGGCGTGTACCACCATGCCTGGGAACTTTTAAAAATTTTTTATAGAGATGTGGGCTCACTTTGTTGCTCAGGCTGGTCTCGAACTCCTAGGCCCAAGCAATCCTCCCGTCTCGGCCTCCAAAAGTGCTGGGATTACAGCCAAGAGCCACCTTGCTGGCCTTGATAAATATTTTAATGTTAAAACTGAGTCTTTATGGGTGAAATTCTGGGATTTATGGGTGATTTTTTTCTTCTCTCTCTCTTTTTTTTTAACCTGCAACCATTACCATAGTCAATTTTGGAATAACTTTATGACCCCAAAAAATGACTCTGTACCCATTAACAGTCACTCCCTATTCTTTCCCAACACCCCCAGCTCCTGGCAACCATCAGTCTGCTTTCTGTCGTCATAGATTAGCCCGTTGTGGATATTTCATAAAAATTGAATCATGATATGTGGTCTTTTGTGACTGGCTTCTTTCACTTAGGATAATGATGTCAAGGTTTATTTATGTTGTGGCATGTGTTAGTTCTTCATTTTATTGCAGAATATTCTGTTGTGTGAATCAGCCACATTTGATTTACCCATTCATCAGTTGATGGATAAGTGGGTTGTTTGCACTTTTTTGGCTATTATGAATAATGCTACTGTGAACATTCATGTACAAGTTTTTGTGTAGTTTTTGTGTATACTCTTAGGTATATACATAGGAATAGAATTGTGGGTCATGTAGTAACTGTTTAACCTTTTGAGAAATAGACAAAGTGGCTACACCAGTTTACATTCCTACCAGCAGTGTGTGAGGGTTACAGTTTCTCCAAATTTTTGCTAATACTTTTTTTTATTTTCCTTTTGCTTTTTTTTTTTTTTTTTGAGACAGAGTCTCACTCTGTCACCCAGGCTGGCGTACAGTGGCATAATTTTGGCTCACCACAACCTCCGCCTCCTGGGTTCAAGCGATTCTTGTGTCTCAGCATCTGAGTAGCTGGGACTACAGGCATGTGCCACCACACCTGGCTAATTTTTTATATTTTTAGTAGAGACGGGGTTTTGCCATCTTGGCCAGACTGGTCTCGAACTCCTGACCTCAGGTGATCTGCCCATCTCAGCCTCCCAAAGAGCTGGGATTACAGATGTGAGCCACCATACCCAGCCTTCTTTTGCTTTTTAGCTCTACTATGAAGTGGTGTCTCACTATGTTTTGTGTTTTTTTTTATTTTTATTTTTCGGAGACGGAGTCTTGCTCTGTAGCCCAGGCTGGAGTGCAGTGGTGTGGTCTCAGTGATCTCTGCTCACTGCAACCTCCGCTTCCTGGGTTCAAGCGATTCTCTTGCCTCAGCCTCCCAAGTAGCTGGGATTACAGGCGTGTGCCACTGTGCCTGGCTAATTTTTGTATTTTTAGTAGAAACGGGATTTCACCATGTTGGCCAGACTGGTGTCAAACTCCTGACGTCAGGTGATCCGCCTGCCCCGGCCTTCCAAAGTGCTGGGATTATAGGCATGAGCTACCGCACCCAGCCTTGCATTGTGATTTTGATTTACATTACCCTATGGCTAATTTGGATAAATTTTTAATGATGAAAACCTATATTACTTTTGGAATCTGGAAATATTTTCATTTTGAACTTCTAAAAGTAGATTAGAGAAGTACCTAGAGAAGTCAAATGTATAGACAGAAAATAGGATGATGGTTGCCAGGGGCGGAGGGAAAGAGGGAATGAGGAATTACTGTTTAATGGGTATGGATGGAGTTTTAGTTGGAGAAGATGAAAACATTCTGGAGATGGATGGTGGTGATGGCTGCACAACAATGTGCATGTATTTAATGCCATTGACTTGTATACTTAGAAATGGTTAAAATGATAAATCTTATGTATATTATATTATATATTTTTTAAAGTAGAGAATTGAGATCTGTTAATATAATTTAATATTGCCATAAACATTGAAGCCATATTTATAGGGGAACACATTTTTTTCCCTTTTTTTTTTTTTCAAGACAGGGTCTGGCTCTGTAACCCAGCCCTGGCATACAGTGGCACGAACACGGCTCACTGAGCCTCTGCCCCCTGGGCTCAAGCCATCCACCCACCTCAGCCTTCCAAGTAGCTGGGACCACAGGCATGCGCCACCATGCCCAGCTAATTTTTGTATTTTTTTTTGCAGAGACGGGGTTTCACCATGTTGCCCAGGCTGGTCTCGAACTCCTAGGCTCAAGTGATTCACCCGCCTCAGCCTCCCAAAGTGCTGGGATTACAGATGTGAGCCACTGCACCCAGCCAGGAGAACACATTTGTTCTTGTCAGAATTCTTTTAAAATACATAAAGATCTGTTTCTAAAGAAATGAAAAGCAGGTGGTAGGAATTTTAACATTTTAAAAAAAGGCTCAGAACCACAGGCCTAGGGACTATGAAAATAGCTTATAACAGTGTGGTCCAGATGGGCTACATGGAATTAAACTGCACTCTGTTGATGTACTCTTTGTGGTTCCTGATTTTGTTACCCAGAGGTATCAATGTTCAGTTAAAATTCATTTCATACAAGTGTCTCATTGAAAAGGGACTTTGTAGTTATACTGATGCAGCTTGTCTGCTGATCAAGTCCTAATGACTCAATTGTTGTGATTAGAGGCTGCAGTCAGTTCGGGAAGGCTGTAGGACCCGCAGCCAGTGCAGGCACTCTGGACCTCTCAGGGTGGCGATGAAGTTTCCAGCGCGGAGTACCAGGGGAGCAACCAACAAAAAAGCAGAGTCCCGCCAGCCCTCAGAGAATTCTGTGACTGATTCCAACTCCGATTCAGAAGATGAAAGTGGAATGAATTTTTTGGAGAAAAGGGCTTTAAATATAAAGCAAAACAAAGCAATGGTAGGTATCTGACTTTGTGTTAGAATTAATTTTTCCTCTCTAAGCGACTCATTACTTAAATCTGTTCCATCACGCAAAAGTTATTTTTTTCTGTTACATGAATAAAAAGTTATTTTTGTTTACCTGTGAAGTCTTCAATGTGTGCCTCAAAATGTGTTTCTTTCCCTGAACTACTTTTTTTAAATCTGTTAAAGGCCTGGTTAAGTGTATAGGGGAAATCAGAAACTCTGAATGTGTCAGCTTACTATCAAATATAAAACCATGAGATGTACTTGAGTATTTTCCAGAAGTTAGTTGCTCATTTTCGACAGTTATTCTAAGCCAATGATATCAGTTTAATTTCCTCCCTTTTTAGCTTGCAAAACTCATGTCTGAATTAGAAAGCTTCCCTGGCTCGTTCCGTGGAAGACATCCCCTCCCAGGCTCCGACTCAGTAAGTACCAGTTCTTGTTTATATACAGTAGTGTTTTGGGCACACCTAAGGTCGATCTGTGTTGTATTTAAAAATCTAATTTCTTTATTTGTGTGGCCTTCTAGACAAACGAAGGGGACCTAGAGGAAACCCCCTGACAGATCTCTGGATGATCCTCCTTGAATCCTGGGCAGTTTGGTCTCTCCTTGCTGTGCTCCTGTGGCACTAAACTCCTTTTGATTGGTTCTTTCTTTCCTTCCCAGCTAGACTAAGCCCCTCATGGGCAGGTAATGAAGATTGAAAACTTTTTTCTGTTCTCCAGTGTGAGCACATTCCTCCTACATGGTAGATGTGCAATAGATGTTTTTAAAATTGGAGAATGAAAATAAAAGAAGAAAATCACAATTTCTTATCAAGTTGTAGCTTGGTATCATACACAATTGCATTCTGAGGAATTAAGGTGGTACAACTTAGGGAGATTTGGTGTGTCTGCTGTGATAGAAAAGATTTCTTTTTCCTGGCTTTCCCTGAGGAAAGGAAAGATGGAAAGAGGGAAGCCATACAGATATCCCTCTATTTTGCAGTGTAGAAACTGAATGTGTTTCTACAGGGTCAAGAGACATCAGAGAAAATTTTTTTTTTTAGAACAGAAGATCATTTCTTACATCTTCATTAAGTAAAAGAATAAATAGCTCATCTCTCAAGTTGAAAGAAACTGGGCTTGGTATTACAAAAGCAAAATTAAGATGGCCATATAGGTTTTAGGCTCATTTTGCCATGCATTATGCAAAGGACAAAGAAAAAGAAAAAATAGAGCTCTCTTTACTTAAAACATCCTTAAGGAGAAGCTATGAATTCCCCAAAGTACTACTTCTCTTTATTATGGAATAAATGGATTCCCTTATACGTGCTTTGTTTAGCAATCAAGGAGACCGCGAAGGCGTACATTCCCGGGTGTTGCTTCCAGGAGAAACCCTGAACGGAGAGCTCGTCCTCTTACCAGGTCAAGGTCCCGGATCCTCGGGTCCCTTGACGCTCTACCCATGGAGGAGGAGGAGGAAGAGGATAAGTACATGTTGGTGAGAAAGAGGAAGACCGTGGATGGCTACATGAATGTGAGTTCTCCGCATTGGTACTTGCTCTTCTGATTCTCATCTTCGGTAGGCCTGGCATCATACACAGCACAGGTACACGCACATCCTTAACACCAGGCGATCCATAGTAAATGTTTTCCTCTAACCATTCAGAACTGTAAACGTCACATAAGCTTACTTGGTAATTTTATTAGCAGGCGAGAATTGGGTTTTCTTCATCTCTTCTTAATTGTAGGCATCGTTTCCAAAATGTCCAGTTAGGCTACAGTAAGCGTATGGCCTGTTCCCCTACCATAAGCTCTAGGAGAGATTTCCAGGTTGAAGTTTGTGTGAAGAAATTACAAGTCAAGTATCTGAGATTCAAAGCTGGGGAGAGCCAGTTTTGAATCTCTGTGTTTCATATTTGAATCTGTTTTTTCAGTTTTGAATCTCTTTCAGTTTTTCAGTTTTGAAGTTCTGTGTTTTGTATTCCTTGTAATGCAGGAAGATGACCTGCCCAGAAGCCGTCGCTCCAGATCATCCGTGACCCTTCCGCATATAATTCGCCCAGTGGAAGAAATTACAGAGGAGGAGTTGGAGAACGTCTGCAGCAATTCTCGAGAGAAGATATATAACCGTTCACTGGTGAGAGCCTCTAAATTACACCTGAGAATGTAAACATCTGTGAGAGGAAGAGAGCTTCTGTCCCTAAGCGTTGCCCAGGTTCTAAAGGGCCTAGCATGTGAAATCTGTACCTATATGTTTTTTTCACACAAGGAAGGAAAAGTTTTACAGTATCCCTGGGATTTAGCCCTCTTTCACAGTGGAATTATCTGCTTAGTAAGTCTGTAGTCATGGTAAATCTTTTCTCCTAATTTAGAAATCAATTCATTCAACATATATTTACTGCATATCTATTATGTGTGTATACATAGCTAGGTGCTGGAGTGTGGTGGTACACCAAAGATAAAAGTGGATTTGGGTAGGTTATTTTTTAATAAGACCTTTTCTTAAAGGGAAAGCGGTTTTACCACACCAGGCTAATTTTTATATTTTTAGTGGAGATGGGGTTTTGCCATATTGCCCAGGCTGGTCTTGAACTCCTTGGCTCAAGCGATCCACTCTCCTCAGTCTCCCGGAATGCTGGGGTTACAGGTGTGAGCCACTGCACCTGGTTGAGTTATTTTTCATACCCTGGCATATACATGTGTATGTAGAGATTCATAGACAAAATGTAAGCCTATACTACGAAGAGGGACATTCTGTAAATATGCCATTTCCTCTGTTGAAAAACAGTGGTTTTTTTTGTTTTTTTTCTTAATGGCTTATTTGTAGGGCTCTACTTGTCATCAATGCCGTCAGAAGACTATTGATACCAAAACAAACTGCAGAAACCCAGACTGCTGGGGCGTTCGAGGCCAGTTCTGTGGCCCCTGCCTTCGAAACCGTTATGGTGAAGAGGTCAGGGATGCTCTGCTGGATCCGGTAGGTGCCTGCCAGGGGTTGGTCCTGTGGGCTTGAAGGTCAGCCACAAACTGTGATGAGGCCAGAAAAAGGCATTGGTGAAGGGGTGGAGCCCTTTCTGTTATGGGGTGCTCTTCTTTTTTTTTAAGATGGAGTCTCATTCTGTCGCCAGGCTGCAGTGCAGTGGCGCGATCTCAGCTCACTGCAACCTCCTCCTCCTGGGTTCAAGCGATTCTCCTGCCTCAGCCTCCCAAGTAGCTGGGACTACAGGCACGCGCCACCACACCTAGCTAATTTTTGTATTTTTAGTAGAGACGGGGTTTCACCACATTGGCCAGGATGGTGTGGTGGTACAAGATCTCTTGACCTCGTGATCCACCCGCCTCGGCCTCCTGAAGTGCTGGGATTACAGGTGTGAGCCACCACGCCCGGCCCAGGGTGCTCTTAATTCAGAACACAAATGAATTCAGAGGGATGGTGCTGCATAGGCATGAGCCGCTTCTACGATACTCGGGTCTGAACTGTCCCTGGGAAGTTGCTGCTCCATTTATCCCTGGTAGCTGCTTGTAACTTCCACTCCTGGAAGGAAGCATTAGGCATTAGGAAACATTAGGCATGACTAATGCCTATTAATCATATAAATTTTTAACCATAAAGAAGGGGTTAAATGTAATGTAGATAAGTTGGTGGGGGAGGTAAGGTTTAACTTAATTGTGCCGTTTGACAATCCTCCTTCAGAACTGGCATTGCCCGCCTTGTCGAGGAATCTGCAACTGCAGTTTCTGCCGGCAGCGAGATGGACGGTGTGCGACTGGGGTCCTTGTGTATTTAGCCAAATATCATGGCTTTGGGAATGTGCATGCCTACTTGAAAAGGTAGTGGGTGTTTTTTTTTCCCTTCCACATCTGAATTTTATATTCATTTATGTCTTAATGAGAAGATGATAGATGTCAGAAGAGTGGTTATCTCTGGCGGGGTGGAGACTGACTGGAACGGGGCACACTGGAAGGGATGGGAACATTTTCTGTCTTCACTTAGGTGGTGGTAACCCGGGTGGGTGGGTGTGTATGAAAAAGTCAGGTAATATACTTGAAGATGCGCACACTTGACCATAGTGATGTTATAACTCAATAAAAATGGTTTTAAAAATGAATTAGGCTTTCAAAAGAGAATTCTTTGGTTGAAAACTATGTCCTGACACATTTCCTTTTGTTTTTCACAGCCTGAAACAGGAATTTGAAATGCAAGCATAATATCTGGAAAATTTGCTGCCTGCCTTCTACTTCTCAAATCTTTCTTGTAAAAGTTTCCAATTTTTTCACTGAAACCTGAGTTAAAAATCTTGATGATCAGCCTGTTTCATAAGAAACTCCAATCAAGTTAATCTTAGCAGACATGTGTTTCTGGAGCATCACAGAAGGTATATTGCTAGTTACACTTTGCCCTCCTGCAGTTTCTTCTCTGCTCCCAACCCCCATCTCACAGCATCCCCCTCTATTTCCAATGCTCCTCTCCAACCGCTTAGTTTCTGAATTTCTTTTAAATTACAGTTTTATGAAAGCATATTTTATTTACTTGGTGTTGAAATAGCCCTCATAAAACCTAAGCACTTGGAAACACAATAATAGTATTAACTAACTAGATCTATTGAATTTCAGAGAAGAGCCTTCTAACTTGTTTACACAAAAACGAGTATGATTTAGCATTCATACTAGTTGAAATTTTTAATAGAATCAAGGCACAAAAGTCTTAAAACCATGTGGAAAAATTAGGTAATTATTGCAGATTGATGTCTCTCAATCCCATGTATTGCGCTTATGTTACAAGTTGTTGTCACAGTTGAGACTTAATTTCTCCTAATTTCTTCTGCCCGAAGGGTAAGTGGTGCGTCCAGCTTACACAATCATAATTCAAAGGTTGGTGGGCAATGTAATACTTAATTAAAATAATGATGGAAGAGCTATCTGGAGATTATGAGTAAGCTGATTTGAATTTTCAGTATAAAACTTTAGTATAATTGTAGTTTGCAAAGTTTATTTCAGTTCACATGTAAGGTATTGCAAATAAATTCTTGGACAATTTTGTATGGAAACTTGATATTAAAAACTAGTCTGTGGTTCTTTGCAGTTTCTTGTAAATTTATAAACCAGGCACAAGGTTCAAGTTTAGATTTTAAGCACTTTTATAACAATGATAAGTGCCTTTTTGGAGATGTAACTTTTAGCAGTTTGTTAACCTGACATCTCTGCCAGTCTAGTTTCTGGGCAGGTTTCCTGTGTCAGTATTCCCCCTCCTCTTTGCATTAATCAAGGTATTTGGTAGAGGTGGAATCTAAGTGTTTGTATGTCCAATTTACTTGCATATGTAAACCATTGCTGTGCCATTCAATGTTTGATGCATAATTGGACCTTGAATCGATAAGTGTAAATACAGCTTTTGATCTGTAATGCTTTTATACAAAAGTTTATTTTAATAATAAAATGTTTGTTCTAACTTGTCTGCTTTTTTAAAAATAATCTTACTGTACTTAATTCTAATTTTTTCCTCATATTTAAATAAAAGGCCATTTCCACCTTTTCTAAAAAAGTCTCCCTTTTGACTGAAGTTTCTGAAGTTCTAAGGTCAGCTTGTTTGAAAGGACCTCACTAGGTGACAGGACTAATACCTGTGATCAGAAAACGGGCGGAGACAACCACAGTGCCTGATAGAAAACAATATGTGCCCATGAAGTTTTGTAGTGTTTTCTTTTCCTTTATGATGTGCTTTGCAATACCTGGCTTACTTTTATCAACCATTCAAACATATATTAAATGCATGCTGTGCCTTGAGGCTTGTTCCAGGACTGTGAGAATCAACAAAAAAGGCATGGTCTAAAAGCTCTCATAGCCCAATTCTTTTTTTATTTTTTGTAGAGACAGGTCTTGCTATGTTGCTCAGGCTGGTTTCAAACTCCTGGGCTCAAGGGATCCTCCTGCCTTGGCCTCCCAAAGTCACAGGCAAGAGCCACCACCACACCGGCTGTCCAATTCTTTAGACCAGGGATTGGCAAACTACAGCCTGTGGGCTACATGCTGCTGCAGAGTTTATTCGTATGGCATATGAACTAAGTATTTTTTTTTCCATTTGGAAAGGGTTGTTAAATAAGCAGAGACAATATGGTTCACAAAACCTAAGATATTTACAACCTGGCACTTTACAGAAAAAGTTTACTGTGTCTGCTCTAGAGTTATTTGAGAAGCCATGTTTACCCCATGCTCATCTGGGGAGAAGAACAAGCTAAGTGAAATTGTACAACTGGTATTCTGTGTAGATCCAAAAGAAATCAGTAACTTTGTTTTTGTAAACTTTTTGGATCTTAACCCAAATTATAATCCAACCTTATTGGATATGTAATTGGGAAGCTTAAATGTTTAGAGTTCATATAAATTGATGCTTATTTGGAAAAGTTCAGGTGATACCATGTTTTAATAGGAAGTAGAACTAATGGTGGTTTTCATTAAAAATTAACTGTAACAGTTGATTTGGATGCCTTATCCTTAAAGGATTTACAATCTAATGGGGGAACTAAGATGAAAACCCAAAAATAATGTTCTCAGCAGGAATGAAGGGAAAAAAACAAATTGGCATTTTCCCATCACCAGACATTTTAAAACATGGGTGAGCTCCTGGGTTTTGTGATGATCCCATTTTATAATAAGGAGCCTTAGGTCAGTTGCTCAGCCTCAGCCTTGACTGTGGGAGCCCACGGGGCCCACTGCAGAGCTCCACAGGCCATCCTGAGTGGAGAGAACTCCGGTTTTCACAGCTAGCTGCAAAAAATGGTGTTAGGGTGGCTGTGCCCCAGGAACTGCTTTCATATTTGTTTCTTCAACCTGAGGTAGAGTTTTCTGAGGTAGAGATGGTATTTACGTTTTGATTCTTACTTAGGAGTTAAGAAATGACATACGAACTAAAAAGGCTTTCACAATGAAGGGCAAAGGCTGCAGTTAGAGGGTTTTGCTGGAAGGTTTTGTTTTTGTTTCATTTTGCTTTTAGAAGAAAGTGAGAGGGGACTTCTGATTGCCCCAGGAAGGAAATGAGGTCACTGGGAGAATGGAACTAGAGGTCTCAGTGCTTTAGGAGAAGATGGGAGTATGGGGACAGTATTAGGTACTCAGTCCTGAGGGGAATAGGAGGTTTTATGTTAATGCTAACCTCACATCCATTAGATGTCTGAAAGAATGGGGAAGTAAATCCAGATAAGTTGAGAAAAATGCCCAGTATCACACAGCTCCAAAGAGGCAAAGCTAGGCCAAACACCAGAGAGAGGACTTTATTCTTTTTTTCCCTCTTTAAGCTGACTTTGCCTTAGGAGTCAAAGAAGAGCGGGTTGTTGATAAGGTTCTGGCAGGGAGAACAAGGGCATCTTGGGTGCTGGGTACAGCCTGGCTGATGTGGCTTACTGTAGAAACCCTGCTGAACAGGGAGGCTGGCAGGGCTGGAAGGGGTCTGAGCGTTTGTGTGGATCAGGGGGTTGCACTGGGGGCGAAGATGGGTGGAGAGCAGGTTCAGAAGGAATGAGGCAGTGGGACAGTAGGAAACCAGGGCTTTGGATGATCCTACATGGATGTTAGAAACCCCCGAGGTTTTAACTGAAGGGCATGGGAATCCTGTGGGTGGAGAGGACTCCTTAGATAACTACAAGGTTGGGGAAGGAGGAGGAAAAGCAGGGGGCAAGAAAACTTTCTAGGAGCCGTTGCTGTGAGACAACGGAAGAGGGACTAGAGCTTGGGGTGGCAATAAAGAGCCAGCAATCTGACTGGGACTGTAAGGGATGGACTCCTGGTTGCAGAGGAACTGGCACATTCCAGAGAAAGTCCTTTATCTGTTATAACATCCAGGTGATGTAAGCATTTGAGGGAAGGAGCAAGGAACAAAAGAGATACCACTCAAAGCTGAAAGCCATGAACATTTTGTTTTTTTCTAATCTGTATTTTGTTTTGTATGGTAGCACTTACACTACATATGCAACTATTAGCATTAAAATTTGGCCCCAGTGTGGTCTTTGGTAGCTTCTTTTGTTTTCTGGTAAGATCCAATGTTACAGGCTCACTCTTACACATTCTCTACCCTAAGCCTGGAGTCAGCCATTTCTCCCAAGTGCTTTGCTTTCAAAACATTTCTTTTATATCTATCTATTAATTGTTAGTATATTTGTGTATATATACATGTATACACATGCATACATATACATATTGGTATTTATATGTAAAAATAATGTGGCTATGTATACATATGGCTTCAGAATTATAATATGTATATAGTATAATACATATAATATAGAATATAAAATTGTATATTTAAATTATATAATATAGTTATATATTAAAATATATAATATCAAATTAATATGTAATATAAAATTATAATTACATAATAATTATATAGTAACACAGAATTATAGTACATATAATATGGCTTCAGTATAATTAGGCTGGGCGCGGTTGGCTCATACCTATAATCCCAGCACTTTGGGAAGCTGAGGCGGGAGGATTGCTTGAGCCCAGGAGTTCAAAACCATCCTGGGCAACATAGTGAGACCCTGTCTCTACAAAAAATAAAAAATTAGGCCTTGTTAGCCTCCTATTGCCTTTCAGATAAATGGTAGCATACTACTTACTACATACTCTTTTTACCCTGCCTTTTTCACTTAACTATATATATGGGAGATAAACATAATTTTATTATACAAAGAATTCTGGCCGGGAGCAGTGGCTCATGCCTGTAATCCCAGCACTTTGAGAGGCCGAGGGGGGTGGATCACCTGAGGTCATGAGTTTGAGACCAGCCTGGCCAACATGGTGAAACCCCATCTCTACTAAAAATACAAAAATTAGCCAGGCCTGGTGGCACACCTGTAATCTCAGCTACTTGGGAGGCTGAGGCTCAAGGATTGCTTGAACCTGGGAGGTGGAGGCTGCAGTGAGCCAAGATCGTGCCATTGCACTCCATCCTCAGCAAGAGAGCGAGACTCTGACTCAAAAGAAAAAAAAAAGAATTCTGAAGTTATAATCAGTACTCACAAGTACGAACATGGAATTAAGCTTTAGAGTTTCAGAGGAAAAAAAATATTGTAGATAATTGTTTTCTGTTCTAGTCAAATGCCCAAGGACAGACTATTCTGTGGGCTTATGCTAGGAAAGTCAAATTTCAGCCGGGCTCAGTGGCTCACACCTGTAATCCCAGCACTTTGGGAGGCCAAGGTGGGCGAATCACTTGAGGTCAGGAGTTTGGGACCAGCCTGGCCAAAATGGTGAAACCCAACCCAGTCTCTACTAAAAATACAAAAATTAGACAGGTGTGGTGGTGTGTACCTGTAATCCCAGCTACTCGGGAGGCTGAGGCAGGAGAAGCAGGAGAATCATTTGAACCTGGGAGGCGGAAGTTGCCATGAGCAGAGATTGTGCCACTGCTCTCCAGCCTGGGCAACAGCCAGACTCAGTCTCAAAAAAAAAAAAAAAAAAAAAAGTAAAATTTCCTCTCCTCACACACTTAGTAGGCAAGCCATATCAACAGGAACCAGTATTTCAGTTTTATTTTTATTTGGTTTTCCATACTTTAATAGACTAATCCTTAAGTTTGTCTTCTAAATTGAATAGCTATAAATGTTTTTCACTGCTTAATGACCATCCACTGTGTTTTTTTGAGATGGAGTCTCGCTTTGTCCCAGGCTGGAGTACAGTGGCACAATCTCGGCTCACTGCAACCTCCGCCTCCCAGGTTCAAGTGATTCTCCTGCCTCAGCCTCCCGAGTAGCTGGGATTACAGGCGCCCGCCACCACACCCGGCTAATTTTTGTATTTTTAGTAGACACAGGTTTTCGCCCCATGTTGGCCAGGCTGGTCTTGAACTCCTGACCTCAGGTGATCCACCTGCCCTCAGCTTCCCAAAGTGCTGGGATTACAGCCGTGAGCCACTATGCATGGCCTGTTTTTTTTTTTTTTTTTTTTTTAAACTGGTAATCACCACTGGCACTTGCCTGAATTTCCAAGATGTGACCATTTCGAGTACCCTAGTGCTTAAGGAGGAAAAATATGTAAATAAAATTCCTTTATGCAAATGCTTTCTGCAACTCTCATTGCCAGCCAAATTCTTGTAAATCATGATAAACAGATGCTACTGAACTAAATGAGTAAGTAAAATTATGGAGATAGATTCTATTTATCTTATTTTTCAGTGTTGGGGAGGGAGAAAAGGATATTAACTAAATTTTTTCTGTGCATGATGATTAGGGCAGACACCAAGAACTCTATTAATTGATTTTAGCAAGGCAGGATTTGGGACTCAGCTAGAGAGCTGCCCCTGGTAAGGGAAAAGTTCTATTGCAACTTTGCTTGACCAGAGAACTGGGTTTGGAAATAATTCAATATCAAGCTTGCTAGGTTCTGCCTATTGTTCAGCTTTTTGTTGCTTTTTTTCCGCCAACGTTTAAAAAAATTGTAGTAAAATTCACATAACATAAAATTTACCACTTTAACCCTTTCAAAGTATACAACTAGGTGGCTTCCAGTACATTCACAATGTTGTGCAACCATCATCACTATGTAACACTAGAACATTTTCATCACTCCCAGAAGAAACCTCGTACCCATTAAAAAGTCACTCCTTTTTTTCCTCTCTCCAACCCATGAGAACCTATTGCTTTCTGTCTCTGGATTTGCTTATATGCTGGACATTTGGAAACATACAATATGTTGCTTTTTGTATCTGGCTTTTTTGTTTTTCTAAACAGACAGGGTCTTACTGTGTCACTCAGGGTTGAGTGCAGCAGTGTGTGATCACAGCTCACTGCATCCTGGAACTCCTGGACTTAAGCAATCATGTCACCTCAGCCTCCCAGGTAGCTGGGAATTACAAGCATGAGCTACGACACCAAGCAGGGTCCTTTCACTTACTAATTCATTCATGTTAGGCCGGGTGCAGTGGCTCATGCCTGTACTCCCAGCACTTTGGGAGGCCGAGGCAGGTGGATCACTTGAGTCAGGAGTTTCAGACCAGCCTGGTCAACATGGTGAAACCCCATCTCTACTAAAAATATAAAAATTAACCAGGCATGGTGGCAGGTGCCTGTAATCCCAGCTACTTGGGAGGCTGAGGCATGAGAATCGCTGGAACTCGGGAGGCAGAGGTTCTAACGAGCCTAGACTGCACCATGGCACTCCAGCCTGGGTGACAAGAGCGAGACTCCGTGTTAAAAAAAAAATTAATAAATAAGATTCATCCATGTTGTATGTATCATCATTTTATTCCTCTTCATGCCCAAATATTCCATTGTATGGATATACCACAATTTATCCATATATCAGTTGGTGGACATTTTGGTTGTTTTCACCTTTTGGCTAGTGTGAATAGTGCGGCTATGAACATTTCACTTACACATTTTAGTTTGAACACCTAATTTCAGTACTCTTTGGTATATACCTAGGAGTGGAATCACTGAATCATATGGTAATTGTATGTTTAACTTTCTGAGGAGCTACCAAACTTTTTCTTAGTGGCTGCACCATTTTACATTTCCACTAGTAATGTGTGAGGGCTCCAGTTTCTCCACGTCCTTGCCAACACTTGTTATTTTCTGGTTTGTGTGTTTGTTTTATAGACATCCTAGTAGGCATGAAATGGTATCTCATTGTGATTTTGGATTCCATTCCTTAATGACAGATGATGTAGAGCATACTTTTATGTACTTGTTGGCCATTAGATTATCTTTGGAAAAAAGTCTACTTCAGCCCTTTGCCCATTTTATTTATTTGTTTATTTAAGAGACAGGGTCTTGCTCTGTCACCCAGGCTGGAGTACAGTGGCATGAGCATAGCTGACTGCAGCCTCAAACTCTTGGGCTCAAGCGATCCTCCCACTTGGCCTCCCAAAGCACTGGGATTACAGGCGTGAGCTACTGTGTTCAGACCCTTTGCCCATTTTAAATTGGGTTCTTTTCTTTTTGTTTTGAGTTTAAGAGTTAATATATTCTGGATATTAGATCTTTAGCAGATATGTGATTTGCAATTATTTTCTCCCATTTCTGTGGATTTTCCACTTTTATTTTTAACAGCTTTATAGAGATATAATTCACATACCATACAAACATTTGAAATGCTCCATTAAAGAATGCAATCAATGGTTTTTAGCATATCCACAGATATGTACAACCATCACTACTGTCAACTTTAGAACATTTTCAGCACCTCAGGAAGAAACCCTGTATCCTTTAGCTATTATCCCTACCTCTCATCCCTGCTTCCCCTAGGTCTAAGCAACCACCGACCTGTTAATACTTTCTGTCTGTATAGCTTCCCCTATTTCGGACTTTCATATGAATAGAATCATAAAGTATGTGGACTTTTGTGGCTGACCTCTTTCATGTGGCACATAGTGTTTTCAATGTTATCCATCTTATAGCGTGTATGAGTACTTCATTTCTTTTTATGGCCAAATAATATTCCGTTGTGTGGGAATATCACATTGTCATTTGCCCACTGATGAGCATTTGGGTTGCTTCTACTTTTTGGGGATTATGAATAATGCTGATATAAACATGTCCAAGTTTCTGTATGCACATATATTTTCATTTCGCTTAAGTATATATCCAGGAGTAGAATTGCTGGGTCATATGGTAACTGTTTTTAATTGTTTGAGGAACTGCCAGACTGTCTTTTCACTGGCTTGATTGTGTTCTCTGATGCACAAAAATTTTAATGAAGTCCAATTTATCTTTTTTTTTTTTTTTTTGCTGCTTGTTCTTTTGGTATTATATCTAAGAATCCACTGCCAAATCCAATGTCATGAAGATTTACCCCTATCTTTTCTTCTAAGAGTTTTATAGTTTTAACTCTTACATTTAGGTCTACAATCCATTTCGAGTTAACTTTTGTATGCAGTGTGAGCTAGGGATCTACCTTCATTCTTTTGCATATGAATATTGAATATCCCAGCACCATTTGTTGAAAAGACTATTCTTTCCCCCATTGAATGCTCTTGGCACCCTTGTTGAAAATCAGTTGACCACCAATATATGAGTGTATCACTGGACTCCCAATTCTATTCCATTCATCTTTATGTTCTTATGCCAGTCCCACACTGTGTTGATTACAAAACTAGTTTTTTTGTTTGTTTGAGACAGAGTCTTGCTCTGTGGCCAGGCTGGAGTGCAGTGGCGCGATCTCGGCTTACTGCAACCCCTGCCTCCCGGGTTCGAGCGATTCTCCTGCCTCAGCCTTCCAAGTAGCTGGGACTATAGGTGCGTGCCGCCATGCCCAGCTAATTTTGTATTTTTAGCAGAGACAGGGTTTCATCATGTTGGCCAGGATGGTCTTGATCTCTTGACCTCGTAATCTGCCTGCCTCGGCCTCCCGAAGTGCTGGGATTACACGCGTGAGCCACCGCGCCTGGCCACAAAACTGTAGTTTTATAGGTAAGTTGTGAAATTGGGAAATGTGATCCCTCTAACTTTGTTCTTTTTCAATATTGTTTTGGCTATTTGGGGTCCTTTGCAACTTGATGTGAATTAAACTATCACTTGTCCATTTCTGCAAACATGGAAGTTGGAATTTTGATTGGGATTATACTGAATCATAGTTCAACTTGGGGGAATATTGTCATTTTAACAATATTAAATTTTCCAATCTGTGAACATGAGATGTCTTTCCATTTATTTAGGGCTTCTTTAATTTCTTTCAACAATGCTTTAGTTTCCTTTGTCCATATCCCTGGTTAAATTTATTCCTAAGTATTTTATTCTTTTTGATACTATTGTAGCTGAAATTGTTTTCTTTTTTCTTTTAAAATTTTATTTAGAAATAAATGTTGTGTAGAGGCAGGGTCTCGCTATGTTGCCCAGGCTGCTGTCGATCTCTTGGTCTCCAACAGTCCACCTATTTTGGCCTCCCAAAGTGCTGGGATTAAAGGCAGGAACCACTACACACCCAGCCTGGAATTTTTTTTTTTTTCCTGAGAAAGGAGTCTCACTCTGTGGCCCAGGCTGGAGTGCAGCAGCATGATCTTGGCTCACAGCAACCTCCACCTCCTGGGTTCAAGCAATTCTCCTGCCTCAGCCTCCCCGTGTAGCTGGGACTACAGGCACGTACCACCATGCCCAACTAATTTTTTTTGTATTTTTGGTAGAGAGGGGCTTTCACCATGTTGGCCAGGCTGGTCTCGAACTCCTGACCTCAGGCCATCCACTTGCCTTGGCCTCTCAAAGTGCTGGGATTACAGACGTGAGCCACTGTGTCCAGCCAAATTGTTATCTTAATTTCATTCTCAGATCATTCATTGCTTGTAAATAGAAACACAACTCATTTTTGTATATCGATGTTACTGTTATTTTTAAGGGAACTGCTTTCCCATCGGTGCATTCTTGAGGACTTTTGCTAATTCTCTGAGTTTATCAGTCACTCTCTGATCCTCACTCAGTCTTTCTAAATGCTGAAGGATGTTACAACCCTACTTAGTCCCACCCCATCTTGATATGAGGATTCAACACTACCTTATTAACAAGAAGTTCCCACTTTTTTTTTTTTTTGAAATGGAGTCTCTCTCTGTCGCCCAGGCTGGAGTGCAATGGCACGATCTCGGCTCACTGCAAGCTCCGCCTCCAGGATTCACGCCATTCTCCTGCCTCAGCCTCCTGAGTAGCTGGGACTACAGGCGCCCGCTACCACGCCCGGTTAATTTTTTGTATTTTTAGTAGAGATGGGGTTTCACCATGTTAGCCAGGATAGTTTCGATCTCCTGACCTTGTGATCCGTCTGCCTCAGCCTCCCAAAGTGCTGGGATTACAGGATACAGGTGTGAGCCACTGCACCCGGCCAGTTCCCACTTTTAAATTAACCATAGATAGCACTTCATTTGAAGATGTTAAAATGTCAGGGCAGACATAAAGAGGGATATGGGAAATAAGCCTATGTTTATTATATTTTAAATTATTATTAATAATATTATTTTGCTCAATATCTTTTGATGGTTATAAAAGTATATTTTGCACTTTGGGAGGCTGAGGCAAGAGGATTGCTTGAGACCAGGAGTTCAGGAGCAGCCTGGGCAACATAGCAAGACCCCATCTCTACAAAAAATTTAAAAATTAGCCAGGTGTGGTGGTGCATGCCTTATAATTTCAGCTACTCAAGAGGCTGAGGCAGGATCCCTTGAGCCAAGGAATTTGAGGTTACAGTGAGTTGATGGCACCACTGCACTCCAGCCTGGGTGACAGAGTGAGACTCTGTCTCAAAAACAAAAATTATCTTTTAATTACTTATTATAGAAAATTGGAATGTCATAATTAAAATCACCCATAATCCTTCCACTTACAAGTAACTGCAGTTAAGAATTGGGTTATTCGTGGGTACTGAACCTGAGTATTATTAAGATTATATGGCCGGGCACAGTGGCCCACACTTCTAATCCCAGTACTTTGGGAGGCTGAGGCAGGCAGATCACTTGAAGTCAGGAGTTCAAGACCAGCCTGGCCAACACGACAAAACGCTGTCTCTACTAAATATACAAAAATTAGCCAGGCTTGGTGGGGCATGCCTGTAATCCCAACTACTTGGAAGCTGAGGCACGAGAATTGCTTGAACCCGGGAGGCGGAGGCTGCAGTGAGTTGAGATAGCGCCACTGCACTCCAGCCTGGGCAACAGAACGGGACTCTGTCTCAAAGAAAAAAAAAGATTATATGCTACATATAACTTTTATCCCTCCACCCTTTGTTTCACATCTAAATTATGTGATAATAACTTACTTTTAGGAAACATCAATTTAAATGCATTATTAGAAGTAATAGTAATTTCTTTATTCGGACAGCTACTTGTGGCATGTCTTTCATGGATTATTTTTCTTTTTTAAAATTAAAGTAATAACATGGACTTGGTATCTTCGTCCATTGTCTGTTGCTTACAATACCTGAAACTGGGTAATTTATAAAGAAAAGGAATTTATTTCTTATAGTTATGGAGGCTGAGAAGTCCAAGTTCGAGGGCCCATATCTGGTGACGATCTTCTTGCTGGGGGGCACTCTGCGCAGAGTCCCAAGGTGGCACAGAGTGTCATGTGGAGAGGAGGCTGAGCTTGCTAGCTCAGGTCTCTCTTCCTCCCCTTGTAAAGCCACTGACCCACTCCCATGATAAACCATTAACCCGTTACTTCACTTACACATTAATCAATGAATAGATTAATTCATTATTGAGGGCAGAACCCTCATAACCTCATCACTTCTTAAAGATCCCAACTCTCAACACTGCCACATTGGGGATTAAGTTTCAACATGAGTTTTGGAGGGAACAAACATTTAAATCATAATATTTGGCTAAAACAATCAAATAGCTCTGAAGGATTTACAATAAAAAGCAACAGCTCCTTTCTCCACCTCTCCAGAACCCCAGCCCTATTTTCCAGGGAGCAACCACTTTTAACTTCAGTTTTTATAACTTTTGAGGAATAACCTGCATATCTCAACTAGTAATTCTTTCCTGATATTTCTTGATGTGTAAACTTTGATTTACTCACTGACTTCCTGACCTCTTTTCCTCACTTCTGCTACTAACCCTGGTAACTCTCCTTTTATTTTTGCATAATCAAGGCTGATAATATTTACCTTTTGATCTAAAAATGTCTCCTGAACCTTGTCTATAGGATCGTTCAAAAGGTTGAGAAAAAATAAACAATGTACATTAATAAGATGATATAGCATCCTTTACTACAGTTGTGAGTGATATGTTTGGGTTTTTTTTTCTTTTTAGAGAGGGTCTCACTCTGTCGCCGAGGCTGGAGTGCAGTGGTGTGATCTTGCCTCACTGCAACCTCTGCCTCCCGGGTTCAGGTGATTCTCTCACCTCTGCCTCCCAAGTAGCTGGGACTACAGGTGCATGCCACGACACCTGACTAATTTTTGTATTTTTTGTTAGAAACGAGGTTTTGCCATGTTGGCCAGGCTTGTCTCAAACGTCTGACCTCAAGTTATCCTCCTGCCTTGGCCTCCCAAAGTGCTGGAATTACGGGCCTGAGGCACCGTGCCTGGTGTGATACATTATTATTACATTGCCTTCCTTTCAGTTCTTGATGACAACCTGTGGCCAGCCTCTCAAAGGAGAATATTCTCAGTGCCACCATCAATTGGATTGTCTGTTCTTATACTCCAGTGATTATTTAAAATTATCCCACATTTTATTTTCTTAACTTTCTTATAGACATGTCAAATTTTCTCCTAGGTTTTTAGATTGCCTTTATTCTTGAAAGGAAAATGAAATACACACTTTATCACATATTTAATCTTTCTTCTTTTTTATTCTACTTATTGCTTGGATCCCTCTTCATTCTTCTCTTGAAGCCACTAAATTACTCCCCTGTTTTGCTACAAAGCTGTCTTCCTAAGAAGAGCAAGTTCCATCATTTCTTGCAACCCACATTTTTCCCTCCCTTAGTTTCCATTCTGATTGTACCGGGGTACATCCTCAGGCAATTAAATCGGCCAGGTTAAGAGGTAAGTCATTGCACACGTTGAAAATTATTGTGTTCAAACTTAGTTATTAGTTTGATTGGAAAGAGAATACGAAGTCAAATTTCTCTTCGGATTTTTGTAGTTTTGTTCCCTCACAGAGGTCTTTGCTGGTGATAATCTTTTTTTTTTTTTTTTTTTTTTTTTTTTTTTTTTTAAACAAGTGACCTGTATTTTTCTCAAAGTCTTTTGGGGATCTCTCTATTTTTCTTTTTATTTTTTGAGACAGTCTCACTCCATCACCCAGGCTGGAGTGCAGTGATGTGATCTTGGCTCACTGCAACCTCTGCCTCCAGGGTTTAAGCAATTCTTGTGCCTCAGCCTCCCGAGTGGCTGGGATTACCACCACAGTGCATGCCACCACCCCAGCTAATTTTTGTATTTTTAGGAGAGATGGGGTTTCACCATGTTGGCCAGGCTGGTCTCCAACTCCTAACCTCAGGTGATCTACCTGCCTCGGCCTTGCAAACTGCTGGGATTACAGGCGTGACCTACCATGCCTGGGCAGGATCTCTCCATTCTTTTTTTTTTTTTTTTAAATTATACTTCATCAAAATTATAATCTTTTGCTTCATGAAAGACCCCATTAAGAGGATGAAAAGAAAAGCTATAGACTGGGAAAAAATATTCGCAAACCACGTATCTAGACATATCTGGAATATACATTTTTTTAATTTTCAAAATTTAACAGTAAAAAAGAAAAAAAAAAATCCAGTTAGAAAACAGATAAAAGACATGAACAGACATATCACCCAAGAGCATGTTTTACATTGAACATCAAAAGATGTCCAACATCATTAGTCATCAGGGAAATGCAAATCAAAGCCACAGTAAGCTATCACTACACACCTACAATAATGGCTAAAATAAAAAATAGTGACAACATCTAATGCTGGCAAGGATATGGAGAAATTAAATTATTCATGTATTGCTGGTGGGAATGTAAAATGGAACAAACATTCTGGACAATAGTTTGGCAGATTCTTATAAAACCAAATATGCAATTACTACTGTACAATTATACTCTTGGGCATTTATCCCACAAAAGTGAAAACGCGTGTTGACACAAAAATGGGCACATACATATTTACAGCAATTTTTTTCCTAATAGCCAAAAAAATACCCCACTGCGCTTCAATAAGTGAATGTTTAAATAAACTGTGATACATCAATACCATCATGGAATATTATTAAGCAATAAAATGGAACGAACTATTGATACATGCAACAGCTTGGATGACTCCAAGGAATTATGCTAAGTGAAAAAAGCCCATTTTCAAAGGTTACATACAGTATAATTTCATTTACGTAATGGTCTTGAAATAAACAAATTATAGAAATGGAGAAGAGATTGGTAGTTACCAAGTGTTAGGGATAGCAGAAATGGCAGAGGGTCATGGGAATGGATGTAGCTATAAAATGGCAAAACAGAATTTTTGTGATGATGGATTGTTCTAGGTCTTGACTGTAGTGGTAGATACACACACCTACACGTATTACCAAAATAGAACAAAGTACACACATACTTACACAAAAATGAGTACAAATGAAATGGGAAATCTGAATACGATCTGTAGGCCATACGAAAGTCCATTCTTTTTTATTTTTATTTTTTTTGATACAGGGTCTCAAAAAAACTACTTTGTTTTTCTTTTTTTCTGATTACAAAGTTAATCTGTGTTTATTGTAGAAAATGTGGGAAATGCTTGAAAGCATAAAGAAGAAAATAAAGGTAACTCTAATCTTGCTGCCTGAGATAATAAACATTTTTAACATTTTAACATATTCTGTTTTCTGTGTCTGGGTATATATACATTTTTTTGCTTAACAAAAATGGGCCAGGTGTGGTGGCTCACGCCTGTAATCCCAGCGCTTTGGGAGGCTGACGAGGGCTAAGGCGAGATGATCACTTGAGGCCAGGAGTCTGAGACCAACCTGAGCAGCATAGCAAGACCCTGTCTCTACAAAAATAAAAGATACTAGCTAGGTGTGGTGGCACACACCTGTAGTCCTAGCTACTTGGGAGGCTGAGGTGGGAGGATTGCCTGAGCCCAGGAGTTCAAGGTTGCAGTGACCTGTTTGCCATTGCACTCCAACCTGGATGACAGAGCAAGACCTTTCTAAAAAAAAAAAAAAAATGGTGAGGGAAGGGGGCATATTGGAGACACTGTTTTGCAACTTGCTTTTTTCAAATTAGTTTTTTGCCCTGAACATTATCTTTTCTTCTTTTTTATACAAGAAGATACTCCTGAGAATGCTGAAGCATCAAACGACTGAATTAATGGTGACTGGGGAGTACCAGGTTCTTATTCTTGGGTGACTGGTGGGAAGGCACTGAGGCAAAGGGAGCCCTCGGGAGGTGGTGGAGGTAAGTTTTAAGCAAGGGGGCACTGTACTGGGTCTGTCTGGAGAGGGTGAGTATGAGAGAGGAAGGGGATGGAAGTGGATGCTAGGATTCTAGGCAGGTGGGAGCAGCTTCAGGGTACTCTGAGGCTTGTGATCATCCCTCAAGGCCTGGCCAGAATAAGCATGCTTATGCCAGATAGGAAGAGTAAGTAGAATTTTCTGAGCACTTACTAGGTGCCAGGCACTGTGCTCTAGATTTGCCATTTTAATCCTTTCAACAACCAAGTTTACATTATTCCATTTTAAGGATGAGAATATGCAAGTTCAAAGAGGTTAAGAAAAATGTCCACATAGGGCCAGGTGTGATGTCTCAGGCCTGTAATCCCAGCACTTTGGGAGGCCAAGGTGGGCAGATCACCTGAGATCAGGAGTTTGAGATCGGCCTAGCCAACAGGGTGAAACCCCATCTCTACTAAAAATATAAAAAATTAGCTGGGCGTAGTGGCACGTGCCTGTAATCCCAGCTACTCTGGAGGCCAAGGCAGGATAATCATTTGAACCCAGGAAGCGGAGGTTGCAGTGAGCCAAGATTGCACCACTGCACTGCAGCCTGGGCGACAGAGAGAGACTCCATCTCAAAAAAAAAAAAAGAAAAATGTCCGAGTATGGCAGATTGCATTTTCCCAAAAATGGCCACAACAGTATCACTGGTCCCACCTGCTTTCCCCCTTGCTGTGGGCTTGCTTTTCTGAACGCCGTCATTCCCCTTGCTATGGCATCCATTTCCTCTCACTCAACCTGGGCAAGCCTTTGTGACTTCCTCGAAGACTAGAATATGGTGGAAATGTCACGGCGTGACTTGCAAGACTGGATTTAAAAAGGCCGAACATGTCTTTCTGTGAAGAACCTGACCGCCATGTTGTGAGGAAGCCCAGGCTCTGAACAAAGGCCACATGCAGGTATTCTGGCTAATAGCTCCAACTAGGGCCCCAAGCCAGCCCCTGGCATCGATCATCAGACATGTGAGAAAATATGCCTTCAGAAGATTTTAGACTCAGCTGTTGAGGCACCTTCATCCTTCCAGTCTTCCAGCTGAGGCCTCGGATGTTGTAGAACAGAGACAGATTGTCCCTATTACGTCCTGTCCAAATTCCTGACCCATAGAATCCACGAGAATGAAAAAGGGTTGCTTTATGCCACTAAGTTTTGAGGTAATTTGATACGCAGCAATAGGTAACCAGTATAACAGGTGCACACAGACCCAGAATGTGAAGCTCCACCTCCAGCATCTCGGCTGTAGCCACTGGCTTCTCCCATCCCGTCTGTGAAGACCACAGTGTTAGTTTGCCAGGGCTGCTATAACAAAGTGCCACAGATTAGGTGGCGGAAACAACTGGAATTTATTTTCTCACAGTCTGGGGTGTACAAGTTTGAGATCAAGATGTTGGTAGGGTGGCTTTCTTCTGAGGCCTTCCTTCTTGGCTTGTCGATGGTGTCTTGTGTCCTTCATGTCGTCTCTCAGTACCTGTGTCCTAATCTTTTGTATAAGGACATCTGTCCTATTGGATTAGATCCCACCCATATGGTCTCATTTTACCTTAATTGCCTCTCTAAAGGCCCTGTCTCCAAATACATTCTGACGTACAAGGGATTAGAAATCAATGTATGAGTTTTGGGAGGACACAACTGAGTCCATAGCAGCTATGCCTAGGGCATTTTGGAGGTCTGAAGGGGCTGGAGGTCTGGCTCCTCCTATCCCATCTAGCTGGCCTCTGGCTTCATCCGTTACCTTCTAGAGCAGGGGTTTTAGACCTTGGCTCCACATTAGAATCATCCGGTGAGCTCCAAAAAGAACAGTTATAACCTAGCCCTGCCCCAGATTAATTAAATCAGAATCTCTGAGGCAGGGCCTGGGTATCAGCAGGTTTTAAAAGTTCCTTCATGATTCTAACATGCAGCCAGGGTTGAGGCCCACAGCTCTAGGGGTGAAAGAGGTGACAAGAGCGGCGAGCCAGGGAATGACGGTGCCCCGTTGTAGCAAGCACACTGCTGCTGTGGCTAGAGGGAGAGAAACCAAAATCAGAAGCATCCTGACACGTTTCACATGCCTCTTCCTTCACAGTATGAAGAGGTTGGGGCATTACGAAGAATGAAAAACAGGCCGGGCGTGGTGGCTCACGCCTGTAATCCCAGCACTTTGGGAAGTTGAGGAGGGTGGATCACCTGAGGTCAGGAGTTTGAGACCAACTTGACCAACATGGTGAAACCCCATCTCTACTAAAAATACAAAAATAGCCAGATGTGGTGGCGCGTGCCTGTAATCCCAGTGACTTGGGAGGCTGAGGCAGGAGAATCGCTTGAAACTGGGAGGTAGAGGTTGCAATGAGTCGAGATTGTGCCACTGCACTCCAGCCTGGGTGACAGAGCAAGACTCCATCTCAAAATAAATAAATAAATAAATAAATAAATAAATAAAAACAGAAGAGGTAGGGAAATACCCATCCCACCAGTTAAAATGAGAAATTCTATTACATAAAATAAGAAACAAAACCAAAAAAAGGAAAAGCAGGAAAGCACAAGATACCTAGTGGAAGTGAAGAAACAGATGCATAAGTAGGGGCTGATATGAGTCTCCTCTGTGATAGCCTGGTTTTCGTGTTTTACTTTAGAAATTTCCAACTGAGCTTATGGACTTGATTTTATAAAATGCAAAAATCAACTGTCAGCTTTATTGTTCAGCCTGGGAACTCACCACCCAGCAGTCAGAAATCACAGGCTCAGAATGGGAAGCCGGGGCAGCACCAGCCCGTCCTTAACCGGCTTCATCCTTGGCCGCACGCACTCAGCAGACCCTGACTCTGCTCAGATCTTTCCTTCCTTTCCACTCCCAACCCTCCCCATGGGCTGCTTCTGGGGCTAGATGCTGCTTGTGAATTGCCACGGGGGATGTTGCCTATTCCCGAAGTCATTTATATTGGTATTACTACCGTAAATTCTTTATGAAATAAAAATCAATAGTCACCGACATCCTGAGTAGTGAGGAAAATAATTGTTTATGGCACTCAGCTTAAGCTGTTCTGGTAATCACGTTGAAAAATACAATATTTATTCATTAGATCAAATTTAATGAGGCCTCCTGGCAGTAATTATAAAAATTACTGTAGCAGTAAATTACTAATGAGTTGTGATGTGCTTCCTACCTGTGAAGAAGGACTGGGGGTTGAAAAAGCCTGCTACCCAGATGAGGAGGCGAGGGAGGGAGCCCTGCGGCCCGCGCTGCTCTCTCACCCAAGCAGGGAAGGATCAGTGTACCCAGACCACAAAAGCAAACAAGAAAAAAAGACTTGAGGACACACAACCAGGGGGATTCCTGCAGCCGTCGGAGCAGGATCAAGATTACAGCATTCTTTTCCCCAAAGGTGAGCATCGTCTCAGCGACTTGGTGTTGCTGGCGTGCTGGGGTCACAGAGGATCACTCATCTGACGCCTGGGAAGGACAGGGCTTCTTATTAAGGCTGGGAAATGATTCCAGGCACACGCCGCCCTTCAAGTCTGAGGCCTTGACTCCGACCGCCGAGGTGCAGGTTCTGCTCAGCTCTTTCAAAACCAGCCGCAGAGCATGGCGCCTGCTCTAATGCAAGCACAGTTGATGGTTTTTACAAGCTCCTGGGGGTTTCTTCCTGCTCTGAAGGATCAGAACTGGCTAGAATTTTGCTCTTTTATTTATAGCAGGGAGCTAAGTTTTTTTTTTTTTTTTTTTTGGACGCAAGTAATTAATTTTGATTGAGGAGCTATATATAAAAAAGCCAGAAAATCTGATCTGAGGGCAGGCACAGTTTTTAGAGTTAGCAGAGTTAAATGGAAACATTAAATCTTAGGGAAGTATGGCTGGATACGGCATTGTTGTGCAGTTTTCTGGATTAATATGGACGGTAAATAGCAGCCTTACCACATAGCAGGGCTATGTCAATTCATCACCGGTAGTCTTTGTTCCCTAGACATAGAGCCATGGCCTGCTGATGAGGGACTAGCTAAACCAGGTTACAGCCTCCCACCCCATGGGCAGCTGGAATCTGGGAACCAGCCGAAACACCCTCTGAAGCCTCAGCATAGCCCTTCCCTGAAAAGTGTCTCTCAATAGTGGGCAGGCTGTCGTCTGGAGTGACAGCTGTCTATTCAGGTAGTGGCTGCTATTGTCTTCACACTTGTAACACCAAGAGGATTTTTGTTTAATTTTAAGAATTCTGACAGCATCTCAGAATGTCGTACTCCAAGTGGGTCCAACCCCTCCTCTCATGGGGAGGGCACAATGACATTAGAGTGTACATTTTTTTCTTTAAATTGCAGATGCCTTAAAATGAGATTGTCAGGTTTGTTGGCTTGTCAGACTAAAGTATCAAGATTGTCACAGTGTATTATATCACTATAATATGATCATTGTACACGAAACTAATGAATAATATTGTACTTAGTGGTGGGATGGAGTCACATTAACATTAAAAACGGTGAGCAGCCTTGCATTTTACCCAGGAGAATCTGGGAGGGATGACTCTACACTGTGGGGTGTCAGGCCAGAATTTCATCACCCAGGGGAGGTCAGGAAGCCCTCTTTGGACAGAGAGGTAAGGAGGTGGCCAGCTGAGTGCTGTGTTGGGAACAGCAGAGCAGAAGGGAGGCTGGGGGCTCCTCAGGGAGGCTGATTGAAGTGTTTGCACCCTAATAGGTGCACAGAAAATGGTTTTTAAAGGAAGGCATAAATGTCAATTGCGAGTTTTCTTCACAATTAGAATCACATGCAGCTAAACTAGAAGCAGTTTGATGAGGATGCAGTGGAAGCTGCAGTGTCTGCCTTGCTTACGCCCTCATTGACCATTAATTAATTCATTCATTCATGCATTTATTAGATGTCAATAAGCCCTACTACGTGCCAGGCACTGTGCCAGGCCCTATGTCTGTGTAGCAGGCCCAGCCTTGCCTTTGTAAGGCAGGAAAGGCAGCATTGCAGACACTGAACAAGGACATGTACAAAACAATACCGTGAGTCCCTACGGCATAAGTGCTCTGAAGGAAAGCAGAAGAGGGGAGGCTAACTTATTTTGAGGGAGTGATACTGAAGTGAGATCTCAAAGAGTGAGAGGGAGTTAGGATGGGAAAGAGCATTTGAAGCAATGGAAGCAGAGGCTTAGAGCCCCTGTGAACTGAAGGAAGGTCAGAGGGTCTGGAAGGAAGCAGGAGCACCACAGTCACTATGTGGGGAATGTGGCCGCTGGGGTCAGACAGGCCTGAGTTTGAGTTTGGGCCAGTTTACCTCTCTGAGTTGTCAGGGACTAAATAATATCATCGGTCAAGCCCTCAGCACAGGCCCTGGCCCATAGTAGAAATCCCATACATGAAAACAATCATCATGGTTACAGGGAGGCAGGCTGGGGAGCTTATTGCATGTGGCAGTTTGAAGACACCCAAGTGCTTGTTCTATGGTACATGGGCTTTGGGGGGATACAGCAGGCGAAGGCACAGGTATGTCAAGGCATGGCACTGCCATGTTACCTGAGTTAGGATGCAGAAGAAAACAGGAGAGTGAGTACTTACATTGACTCAGGATAACAATATCCCACTGTAAACATTCATTTACTTTGTCAGCATCAAGCAATGTGTCTTCCTACTGTAGATTAGATTGCACGTGACAGTTAGAGAAGTGCCTCCGGGGTTTGCTCCATTCACAAACTGTACAACCATACTCAGAAGCCAGGAATTCAATACAAATTCTTTTTTGAGTGCCTGCAAGGTGGTAAATTTGAAGTCTGTATTTTTTTCAAGGCAGACTGCTCTTGTGCCTATTACAGAAAGTCTATTTCCTAAAATGGATAGGATTTATAGGCTTTGTCTTTTCCAAAAGATGCAAGTACATTCCTCTCACTAATGTTACTGCAAATTGCACTCGTATTTGAAGGAGGAAAGTCTTCCGCAAGAACAGCAACTTAAACATTTGTACTCAGAGCCCTCGCAGAAGTCAAATACTTAGGTGTTTGGAGTCTGTGGAGTCAGCTCTGCGTGACCCGTGACCTCTATTTCTCCACACTCAAGAGCAGCATGGTAAGATGCAGTTTGGGAGTTTCCTCATCTCTCCTACCTCAGCAGCATAGCAAAGGCTGGTTGAGATTCATTTTTCATGGGTGGGTTGTGAACATATTGATAAAGGATTAACCTGGGCCTGGTATTCCATGAAAACGATTGAGTGAAAACACATATTTTATTCCACTTGTCTTCATCTATCTCTTCCCCTAGTTATTCTGGATGTGAGTCATTGTCATTGGGAGTGGAGGGTACATCATTGGTATTCCTGCTAGGTATGACACAGCTTTTTCCCACTATACTTCCAGAAGATCACAAGCTCTTATTTTCTGAGAATTTTCATCCGGAGGCAAAGCATTCACCGGTGGGTTGACTGAGCTTTGTAACCAAAATGGCTGAACAAATGAGATGTGGGAATTCTAAACTGGCTTATCACTTCAAAATGCATAAGCCAGGGAGTGCTGGGGAGGGGAGAAGAGGGAAGAAGCAGGAAGAGAGCAGACACAGGGTGGAGACTCACCAGTCCTGCCAGGTGGGGCTTTGTCTGGTCCGGACTGTCTCTGGTACGAGAGGGCACATGCACATTCTCACGCAGCTCCACTCTCCCTGGCCTTCAAGCCTGCTGCCCCCGAGCTCCTTTTACAGTGCCAGGTCTGAGTGTGGCTGAAAGAGCCATCTGCAGAGCCTGCTCCATGCACATGGTCAGCTCTTTGTGGAAGCTGCTTACTGGGGGGACTTTAGAACTCAGCCTTTTTGTCCCACGGACCGCATACTTCTGTGGGTTTTTTCCCCCTAAATTGAACCACTCCTGTCCCTAATTGTGTCACTCCTGCTGTCACCTCTAGCCATCAGAGCCAGTGGCATGGTTCTGATTGTGTTGCAATGTGTCCTTGAAGCATTCTTTTTGTTTGTGTTCAATGGCTCTCCTTCAGCTCACAACACAGTGGTGGCAATGGTTTCCTAGGGTCACCCATTCTCCTCTGAGGACCAGCCCAGAAAAGCTCAGTCGTAATGAACGGGGCTTCAGACGGATGGACACACACATGGGCTTGAGAGCCCTCCTGGCTTTGGCCACTCTAACAAGATTTTGTCATTTGTGGCTTTTGCACATTGGAAAAACTTTCATCTCTGAGTTTCTATGGGCTATAAATACTTGGTAGGTTAAAAAGGAATCATTCAGAACATGAAATAAACATAACCTGGCACGTACACAGCAACACACCTCAACGGAGCCCTTCAACTTCTAGGCCAGAGCTGCAGGAATCGGAGCCGGGGCTTCCTTCATCCCGTCTCGCATTCACTTCCCTCCCGGGCTGGGCACTGCTCTGGTTTCTGACCTCTTTTGGTTGGATATTTTCCTAATGAGGCAGGAGGATGAGGTCTCCATGTTCCTTACGCCTTTTAACCACAGAGTGAAAACTGTTGATTTTGTTGGCATTGGGGAAAATGTTTAGAATGTATGGAAAACATGTTATGGATATTATATATCTACCATAAACCAAGAAAAGAGTCTGGCAGAGGGAAATTCTATGTTGATTAGGAAAAGTCACCACGATCCTGGTCTTTATGGCTTTATTTTTTTTCTAAACAATTGCTTTATTCTTTTTTTCAGAATATAAAAGAAAGGCTAAGAAAAAGAAAAACCAATCATGTCTTTCAAAGATAGCATTCTTAACATCTTGGTCCTGTGCTTTTTTAAAAAAAAAAAATTGAGGTAAATGTACATAAAGAAAGATGCATAAATCATAAGTGAACATCTCAACATTTAAAAAATCCTAAAAATTATGTATACCCATGTCACCACCCCCTAGATCAAAACATTTCGTGTACTCTAGCAAACTCTGTTGTGTCTGTTCTTAGAAATATCCACTCAGAAGTCTCTCCCCCATGGCTGGCCATGGTGGCTTATGCCCATAATCCTAGCACTTTGGGAGGCTGAGGTGAGAGGATCACTTGAGCTTAGGAGTGCGAGACCAGCCTGGGAAACATGGTGAAATGTTGTTTCTACCAAAAATACAAAAATTAGCCAGATGTGGTGGCACATGCCTGTCATCCCAGGTACTCAGGAGGCTGAGGTGCAGGGATGGCTGGAGCCTGGGAGGTCGAGGCTGCAGTGAGCTGAAATTGTGCCACTGCACTCCAGCCTGGGCAACACAGCGAGACCCTGTTTCAAACAAACAAACAAGCAAACAAACAAAAAAGCAAAAACAACAAGAACAACAAAAGAAGTCTCTCCCCTAGAGGGAATCACCTTCTGATTTCAGGCTTATCCTTTTGTCACCGGTTGAGGGTGGCCGGGTTCTTGGCATCTTGAACAAAGAATTGAACAAAACACACAAAGCAAGGAAGGAATGAAGAGGTTTACTGAAAATGAAAGTACACTCCACAGTGTGTGGAGTGGACCCAAGCATAGGGGCTCAAGGGCCCCGTTACAGAATTTTGGGGAATTTAAATACCCTCTAGAGGATTCCATTGGCTACTTGGGGTACACCCTATGTAAATGAGGAGGATGAAGTAAAGTTACAAAGTTGTTTATTGTGGAGAGGATATTTGCTGTCGTAGCTGAAGGGTGAATCAGCCTTATGTTCCCTGCCTCCAGACCCTGTTTTCATGCCATATATATATATATATATATATATATATATAGCTATATATAGTATTTGCATACATTGTTCTTTCTATATTTAACTTTTATACTTTATTTTATGTATATCACACATTTTAACAAAAATGTATCAAACTACTCATACGGTATTACAATCTGATCCTCTCACTTTAAATAAATTTTTATTATATAATATTTATGAAATAAAATTTGGTACAGTATTACTACATAATATAATAAAATGTCACATTTATGTGATATATAAATATATAAATTATATAATTATCACTTTATATATTATCTTTCTGTCAATAAATATAAAACGAAACCATCACTTTGAATGACTGCATCCTATTGTTGAGTATGGCATAATTTGTAAACTACTTTCCTGCTAATGAACATTTTAGCATTGTTCCTTTGTGATTATATTTTTAAATTGCCATTAGGGTGACATCTATGAATGGATTTATTCCAAAGGCTTTGTAATCCTATTTTACTGTTATTAACTGTGAGTATTAATGCTTCTACATTTTATATTGTCCATCTCTTTTTGTTCCATTTCTTTCCCTAGCATATATTCATCTTGTGGCTCGTGCTAAAGGACAGTGTGTGAATGTGTGTGTGCCTGTGCACACGCATGCACGCATGCATGCCTGTGTACATACATTCTATGTTGTTATTGTTATTCTAGTGGTCCCAATACAGCCCAGCCTTGGAGCAGGAGATGTAAAGTATGTTTGCATCCACACAGCATGTCATATAGCTTTAAAAGTCATTAAAGAAATTCTCACCAGATTTCATTTCTAGTTGTTGGAGAATTTCTTCCACAGACCATTCAATTCTTTCAATTTATAGGGGGAAAAAATATCTCTGGCTCCAGTCCTCTGAGTGAAGTTGTTGTAATGTCACCCCTTCCACTTGAGTGGAAAGCACGCCCATGAATGCACACACGAATTTCCTTCCACTCTAATCCATGAATATCACTGCCCTTGTTTCCCAGCCCCAGCCCCTAGGGTTTTTGTGTGATACGCCACGCTTTCTATCAGGAGTTAGATTCTCTGTCACAAAACTCCAGTGCTGTGGGTTGGCACGTTTGCTGAATTTTCAAATCAGGGGTTTATTTTCCTGGTCAGTTATTTAATTTATTTTTTAAAGACATCTTTTATTTTCAGTCAAAAAGACAAGTAAAAATAATTCTCAGAGATATGTGTTTAAAGTGAAACGGGTTTTTATTAGGATGTTTGTTTACATCGACTCTACAGAATTCTTTTTAATCTAGAAGCCCCAGGGATTATTATTTCTTTGTCATGGGATCCCTAGATCTTTGTGGGAGGCCTAGAAGCACCAGTTTCTCTTCCATTTAAACAAATTCTATTCAATTCACTTGCATTGGCAGAGCACACCAAAATCTTAATTTTCTCAGCCATGGAGAGTGAAGTCAGCTTGGGAGCTTTTTAAATGTGGATTTTGTTCTTTTTTTTCATCCTAACACATGCCCAGAAAAAGAAAATACACCCTCTTCTCTAAAGCAATGAAAGTGCATAAAGTTTTTCTCCTAAAACCCTTCCTGGCCAGGAGATTATGTGTGAGTGAACCTAAGTATATCTTTCCTATTGGCTTAAAAGAAAAACCCAAGCAAATAAACACTTGTTTTTAAAAATTCAAATCTAAAAAGTGAAAATAAAATTTTCTCTCTCACAGTCTCATTACCCCAGGGATAGTGATTAATAATTGGCATTTGTATCATGCTTTTGAAATAAAAGGTGGGTTGCATTGTCCATAGTGTAATGCAAAAGGCCATTTTCACTCCCTGTTAGACACTTCTCTGTGGCAGAACACAAAGATCCACCTCATTCTTGAGTAGCAGCCAAGGATTCCATAGTTTGGCTCTCTATAATTTATTAACCATTTTCTATCGGATATCTGGCTTTCTACAGATTTTTCCATTAAAAACCTAGATATTGAATCTAATTTTGTCTGAGATCCAGTTGTAATTCTAGCCAGAGATCTTACTTAGAGAGATCTTGGAGACAATCATAATTGTTGGTTGATGATGGCTTTTACCCATTTCTATTCCCAGAAAAGAAGGAAGGCGGCAATCCACAGCCAGTGCATGGCCTGCCTAACATACACAAACGTCCATATAAAACCTCTTTCCTTTTTGCACCCCAGCCTCTTCCAACCTCTTTCCCTACAGGATCTCCTTCTTCTTTCAGATGGAAAGGAAAAGGTTCCAAGAACAATTTGGGGGCCTGGACTTGGCTGATTTACCCAAACTTGTTTGGAGAAATGACTTCATTGTATGTTTCTGGCTCTATATTCCTGGTTTTCTCCTACAGGTTCTCTGGCTTGCTCTGCATCTGGGAAGTGAGGACTGTTGTCTATAGGAAGATTTCCAGTGGCTGGAAGCTTATGGCTGATGATGTAACTCAGCACCAAGTTCACACCAAATCCAGCATTCCTAATTCTAACAAGGTGCTCTTGATCCAAACTTAGGGCATTTGAGGCTCTACGTTCTTTCTCCCCTTCCTTTGTCAGCAAAAACAAGAGTAGGTCAGTAAACTGAAAACAGCGCAGAGAGGACAGCTTTCAGACTTGCTTAGTCAAAGAGCAGAGCTGCGTGTGTTGTGTTTGCACTGTCAGCCCACAAAAAAACAGAGAAGATTTAGGGAGAAAGGAAGGCTATTTACTGGAACAAAATACACGACAGTTCACATTACATATTTTCTTGATGGACACAAAGTGACATCCATACTGATTGACTGTCGGCATGTGCCTCTCCACGGAGCCAGGTTCTGTGTGATGGATAAGCCAGTCTCTGGCAAGTGTCAGGAAGATTATCAAAAGAAAGAGCTGTCTGTAGTTGTTCCCTTTCTGAGGAGATTGACAACTCACCCTAACAAAGGGAAACATTAGTGTGCTATTTGCGTCTCCCAAAGAGACTGTGATAAGATGATGTGATAAATGGTGGGGTGGGGGTGGGAGGGAGGTTGCCATAAAAACACATAAGGTAGCTAAATCGTGAAGTGCAAAGAAAACCTCGGCTCCCACAATTGATGAGGCTTGTTTATTTTAAAAAGGTGAGCTCTTCTGAACAACAAAATTGCCTGCAGCATAAGCACTGGTTGGAGAACAGCAGAAGTTCTCCAACCAGTGTTGCCAACAGCTTCAAGGGAAATCTTAAGTACTCCATGTCCTACCCTTTCCTCTAGTTGCTTTAACACGACCACCGAGAGCATGCGAAAGAAGACACGCCGTGATGTGGAGCAAACCTTAGGTACATCTTTCTCCTCCATGAAATTCAGAGTGGGCTCTGGGTCTGGCATAGCCCCAAGAACAGGGGTTTGTATATGAAATTCACAGAGGGAGTTTATTATGATTCAGAAACAAACAGGGTGAACTTGAGTGTATCCAAATAGGAAATTGTCCGCCAGAGAGGATTTACCCACAACTGCAGCCACTGTCACCCCTCATTAATTGCAGGGATGGCACCAATTTCCAGTGTTTTCAGGTCATCTTGGCAGGCTTGCTTCCCAAGCTAATATATGTGGAAGTCGATGTGCGGTGAACAGGTTGGACTTGGAGATGAAAAGTACTTTGACGGATTGCTAAAGTTCACTGGCACCTTCAAGGATGTTAAAAGAAAAACTTCAGCCGAATTACGAAGTTTAATTGAGCAACGAACGATTTGTGAATCAGGCAGCCCCCAGAATCACAGGAGATTCAGAGAGACTCCAGGGATGCCTCGTGGTCAGAACAAATTTATAGACAAAAAACGGGAAGTGACATACAGAAATCGGAGGTGAGCTAAAGAGACAGCTGGACTGGTTACAGGTTGGGGTTTGCCTTATTTGAACACAGTTTGAACACTCAGCGGTGTGTGACTGGTTGAAGTATGTCTGCTGGGATTGGCTAAGACTTAGCGATTGTTACTGGTGCAGACTCCTAAATTAGGTTTTCAATCTCATCTACCTATTAAGTTAGGTTGCAGTTCATCCACAAGGGCTCAAATATAGAAGTACGGAGTCCTTCTCAGGCCACATTTAGTTTGCTTTAACAGGGAGCACCTACTTTTTTCCTGCCTGACCCTGCATTTTCACAGCATTCCCAGCCCCCGAGTGCTACCGGGAAGTCTCTGGCTCATGGCAAACCAGACCCTGTCTAGCAGGCAGGGACGTCTCCTTTGGCCTGAGTTGTACTGAAAAGCCAGGCACTGGCAGGGATGGAAAAGAAAGACTCTTCTGAGCTTTGTGTGCTGTCAGCCATAAGAGCATTGACTAGTTGGCGAGTATCACATTCTGTCCACATGTTGGTGTCGGTAGAAAACATGGTCAATATAAAAAACCAGTAATAACACCGGGAAGCCTTTCTAATTTATCAGTGTTTCTTCCTACTCTGTGGATACTGGCCTCTACTATTACATTCTTTTCATGACCTATTTTTCTATATTTTTTCAATGTCATACTTTCTCCTGAGACTTAAAGCCGTTTGAATCTTGGAGTGGTTATCCTTTAATCCCTGTGTGGTTTGCATTTTCTCTTTTCTTTTCTTTTCTTTTTTCTTTTCTTGAGTTTTGCTCTTGTTGCCCAGGCTGGAGTGCAATGGAGTGATCTCAGCTCACAGCAACCTCCGCCTCTTGGGTTCAAGCGATTCTCCTGCCTCAGCCTCCCGAGTAGCTGCGATTATAGGCATACACCACCATGTCTGGCTAATTTTGTATTTTTAGTAGAGATGGGATTTTGCCATGTTGGCCGGGTTGGTCTTGAACTCCTGACCTCAGGTGATCTGCTCGCCTCAGCCTCCCAAAGTGCTGGGATTACAGGCATGAGCCACCGCGCCTGGTCTGTTTGCATTGCATTTAAAGCTGTTCCCTTAAGGACGACTGGATGGGAGGCTGAGGTGACTCTTTCACTCACTCCCAATTGATGATGGGAGGGCTACAAGAAACAGGAAGACAAATTCCACTAGTGTGTCTTTGTTGATCAGTGGGAATGACATGATCAGGTTATGCCACTCACCAACTTGGTGCTTTCCAAGACATTGGGAAGCCCTCACCTGGCCTATGGAGGAGGCCAGATATAGGGGTGTTTCCCTCCACATTTAGGTGGCCTCCAGGAGAGAAACTGGCTCCTTCTCCCTGGGGCCAATATTTATCTTCTGAAGGCTTCTCGGATCCATGGATTCCCTAGAGAACGTACGTCATGCTGTTTCCTCTCAATTGATCTTCTTTCAATTCATGCCTGTAGACAACCACGATTTTTGGATAAAATCCAACTCTTTTTTTACCCTAGAGAGTGTCTGGATTACATTACAGGTTATGGGGCCCTCTAACCCCTAGGATTATTGAGGCAAACCAAAAAATGTTTAAGAAAGCCTAGATCTAAAGTGGCCTGTATTTATTATTTATTATTTTCAGACTTGGTAAACAGAAAGTGAGATCCAAAGTGATTTAGAAACAAGTATAGTTGAGGGGAATGGCAAAGTGAGCAGTCAGTCAAAGAAGAAAAGTTTTGCAAGGAGTGGAGAGAAAATGGGTGGCAGGCAATCAAGCTAGACAGAGGAATCAGGGACATTGGAAGGAAAGAAGAGGGAGAATGTATGTGTGTGTGTGGAGGGGGGCGAGGGTGGGAGTGGGGAGAGTGAGAACAAACAATAAGAAGGCCAAGGAGAGAAATCATATTACTTGAGCAAAAACCGGAAACAATAGCATCAAAACAAACAAAACCCAGAGAACAGAGTCCTTCCCAAATTTTCCAGGGTTAGCAGCATCCACCAGGTGATCTGACAGTGACACCAGGTGGCTGATGACACCACGTAGAGGCCTTACCTTAAATCATTTTACCCTAAAAAGCCAAGCTTTGTTTTATAAACCCATCCTTAATGGAAACGGAATGGAAAGAAACCTGGAGATTCTGTATTCCAACTCCTTTACTTTACATTTGAGGACACCAGGTCCTCAAGTTATCAAAACTGACCCACCAACCGAACAAACAAAAAATACAGTCCAAGCGTGCAGACACAGCACTTCATTTTAACCAACTCTGTGACTCTAGCTTTTGTTACTTTTAATCTTTAAAAATAAAATATATCTTAGAGTTAGTTGCCTTCTGGTCAATAACAGGCAACGAATATTAAAACACAAATTGTGACCATTGTATTTGACCAATTCAGATGCACAAGGATATTATGATATAAACTTAATTATGGAGAAAATAATCACAAACACATGTGTAGTACCTTTTGACTTAAACTGATTATTGAAGAGAAAGCATAATTTGACTAGTATTGCCTTTCTTCCATATTTTTAAATGGTTAACAAAAATTACTGCAAACCATTTGCCATTCTAGGAGTAATATCAGATACAGAACATATGTTTTTGTCAGTTTTTAAAGAATATCATGCAGTAAGAGACAGCAGAGGAATTCTAAATGTTTTTAGTGTTTTATATGGTAAAGTGGAATGCAGGGGGTCTATTTTCCCTGGTTAAATCTTAATATGGTTTCATCTAAATTATACATCAAAGGAAGCATTTGGATTATATATAAAAAAATCCACCCTCAATATAAGAATGTGAATCAGCTGGGCACGGTGGCTCATGCCTGTAATCCCAGCACTTTGGGAGGCCAAGGCAGGCGGATCACCTGAGGTCAGGAGTTCGAGACCAGCCCGGCCAACGTGGTGAAACCCCGTCTCTGCTAAAAATTCAAAAATTAGCCAGGCATGGTGGCATGCACCTGTAATCCCAGCTACTCGGGAGACTGAGGCAGCAGAATCGCTTGAACCCGGGAGGCAGAGGCTCCAGTGAGCTGAGATCGTGCCCCTGCACTCCAGCCTGGGCGACAGAGCAAGGCTCTGTCTCAAAAAAAAATAAATAAATAAATAAATAAATAAAATAAAATAAGAAAAAAAAGAATGTGAATCAGCAAATATTAGGTGTGAGGAACATTACAATGGACCTTTATAAAGCAATTTGGCTTTTGGAAAGTAACAACAAACATTCTTGTAGGGAAGAAAATGAAGAAATAAAAATATTTGGGGATAGTTACACCTTATAATGATACATTGAGAACTGGTTCTTTACCTTAAACAAAATTTCTTATATGGCTAACTCTTATAAATTATCAAAAATGAAGGAAAAAATCTTTACAAGGAGTGGCTTAAGTATTTTGACTTGTTTTCTTGGCTAATTTTATTTTTATTTTAAAGCTCTAAAGCCATTTCCTGCTTTGCTTTGGTCAAATTAAAGGGAAAAGAAAAATCAAACAAGAAAATAGAGATGTTGAGTGAAGTTGATGACCATACAGAATAACATATGTGCTTTGTCACTTGTGAACAATTTTCCATCTCTGCACACTTACGAACCCTCTGAGCACCTCCGTGTATTTACTGCTGGCCATGTGGTGATGTCTTCTTGCCAGTGATATAGAACAAGCGGTCCAGGGTAGAGAACAAGCTGCCCCTGTCCTTGGCAGGAATTCAGTCTGTACCTTAGGGTACAGGGCACGCAGGGCCAGGCCCTCCTGAGGCAGTATTTCATCCCTGCCCCAAGGTCAGCTCTGGAAATCTGGGATAGAGAACACCACAAAACAGAGTGGGGAGCAGAAGAACCAGTAGCCTGTCTAGCTCTCCTAACAAAACCCTAGTTATTTTCATCATTGCTCCCAGTAGATGCCCTGATCAGATGCACAAACCAATGATTATGTTGGTAAAGACCCAACATTTCTAATGTGTCTGTGCCTGCGTAGATTCATTTAGACGAATCCATATTATTAAAACAACTTGCACAGAACACGATCACAGATCCTTCATTGACAAACAAGCGAACTGGGCTGCTGATGAGTCTCTGAACTGTCTTTTAGCTGAATTGTTGTTAAATACAAACATGGTCCTTTTTTTTCTAAAGGGGCGCATGTTAAACAATTTAATATTTTAGAAAAATACTTTCCCTTATTTAAATGAAAATAAGTAATGTAGTTTGCAAAGTAAAAGGCAGGGTTTCATCTTTTAGACAAAAAAAAAAATTAAAAGAGAGAGAGAAAGACATGTATTGTCTATTTAACAATCAAAACACTACAATAAAATAAAATAAAATCGTGGTATCATAATAATGAGTTCTCTTTCAAATGGTTTGCTCTGAACTAAATTGTGCTCTTTATGTAATAGAATGACAAATTGTTTAATTCAGTATCAAATATTCATGAGCTGTAAATGTGCTGCATCACCAGAACGGGTGCAAAATCATAAACAAATACTGTAGCATGCACAGAAATGGAAGCTAACAGAAGTGGACGTCTGCACAGATTTTCAACATTGTTGTGGCTTTGCGTCTATGAGAGAGAGAGGGGAGAGAAAGAGAACACCTCCTTCTCCAGCTATCTCCAAATGCTGCCGTGGGAGAATAAAAGGGTGAGAAAGGAACCTGGATGTGGATTCGCATAGCTCCGATTCTCCTGCAGATCAGAAGGCTAAAAGCAAATCAGAGATTAGACCACAATATGACGGAAATTCCTAGACATTTCAAAATGGTGCAGGGCAGTATTTATTTATTAGAAAAGAGTATGCATGTGAACTCTTTTTTTTTTAAAGGTTAGAATGGCTAATTATTCTGAGTATGAATTTTAAAGTGAAGCGTCTTCGATCATTCAGGGAGAAATACATGAGAAACCCTCATTTGCATCATCTACATGGTCATTTGTTTGCCCTTTGCATGGCAGGGCTTCAGAGGAAAATCCAGCTCCAGGCTGCAAGGCTCCGAGAGTCTTCTTAGACCTCTCTGGAACAAATGTATTCACTTAGAATTAGGTTTCTTCTTTTAGCTTCAGCCAAACGCCCTCAGTGCCACACAGGTTTCCCTCTCCTCCCTTTCTCCTTCCCCTCCCCTCCTCTTCTCTCCTTTCTCCAGTATTTATCCTCATAGAAGTGGAAGGACTGGCGTTTAGAAGGAGAGAGGAATATGTCAGTCCTTCAAGGACAACGTACAGGTTCCCTTTGCCCTACAGGGGGCAGACCCTATCATTTCCTAGCTGACACATTTGGCCTCACGGGCTCTCTTCTGGAACCCTTGAGTTCAGAAAGGGTTGAACACTGCCCATTTCCTGCTGCAGTCCCTTCCAGGAGTTCTGTTCCCATGCCTGTAAGCAGTCATTTGGAGTTGCCTAAGAAATCTTTAAGAACTTCACAATATTGAAATCAACTCTTTCAAATGGCATGAAGAATTTTTTGGTTATTAACTCCACCATCTCCCGTTAGCTAAGCTCATTTGTTTTCCCTTGAGAGAAGAGCTCTTCTAGCATCTAATCATACCTAATCTTTCTGCAAAGTTGTTTTCCTAAAAAATTGTGTAAATCAAGTTTTTGTAAATCTAGTCATATGTTTTATGCATCAGGGGAACTTGGAATGTAAAGGAATCTCATGGTGTATGCATACTTCTGTAAAATGAAGATTTGCTCCCTTATTTATTCATTTTTGTAAATCTGAATAATTATTTACTGAGTTGAAGGAGGTATGCCTTTATTTAGGCTTTTGCATTTGGTATCTTTCCATTTTTTATTTTCAAGGTGCCCCAAAATGGCCACACATTCCACCTTTGGAGGAGGAAAACACAGCCAACATGCTCCCTAATTCTAAGTCATAAAGAGCCTCGAAATTCTGTGCCAGTAGTTCATAAGGAGTCCTCGTTTGATCTAGAAAACCAGCAGAAAACCTTGCCGCTGTCCCACAGGAGAGATACACATTTCACACTGACTGGGTTCTACTCCTTCCTTCTTTCCCTTCTTCTTCTCCTTTAGCAAATGAAAAGATGCACAGTACTTGCGATTTCAAATAGAATGGTGTCTGTTAAAGCTTTACCTAGGAGGAATTCCCCAAATCAAGGGACATGGAATTACTCAGCCACAGGAATTCTGGAGAATCCGGTCTCTGAAGATGAAGCTAGAAATGAGCAAAGGTTTACTGTTCGTTGTTTTCCTCGGCAGACAGCGCAGGGTCCTTATGGCATGGAAAGGCTGAGCTGTTGGAGCAGAGTGAAACCTGATTCCCAACATCTGTGCTCTAGACCCCACTCCGAAGGGGGACTTTCTGGAGGTATTTTTCTACTCTCCGTCCCCTGGGTCCCAATTAAGGGAAACACTTTTTTTAGACATGTTATTATCCCATGATAGAAAAGCAGGACTCACTGTTCCTCCTTCCCTCCTTCCCTCCTTTCTTCCTTCCCTCCCTCCCTCCCTCCCTCTCTCCCTCCCTTCCTCACTTTTTCCTTTCTTCCTTTCCCCCATCTAGATGAGCAATGCAAAAGGTCTGGTATTTGAGAAATGTAATTATATTAGTGATAAACTTCATGGTTTAATTTGGGAAATCTCCCAAACCTAAATTCCCAGCCCGGAGGAGTCCAATTAGATCTGGGCTGGGAAAACTAGAATATATTTCAGCGAAGGGGAAATAACCAAGGGGAAGCGAGAACCGCGAATGGCCAAACACTGATGTCGGCTCAAGTCCTCCTCGGAAAATGCCTGTGTATGAGGATAAAGTGGCTGGTGGAAAGTTCACTCAATCAGGGCTGCACGGTCTTGTGGAATAAAATACGTCCAGACAGGGTTACGACGTGCTTTGGATTCCAGCAGGGGGAGCTCTGACTCTGGAAACCGGTCAGTGGCCACCGAACGCTGTTTCACCGGGTCTAGACCTTTGGAGATCAGCGTTCTCTGGTCGCCAAGGTTGGTAACAAGGTCCGTGGGTAATGTCGCTGAACCAGAAACAGAGGTCTCCCTTTGCACAGTCCCCGGTGAGGAAAGCAGTTAACACCTCTGTAGAAACACAGCTGAAGAGGCATTTTAGGAGCAGGTGACCAAAGTCTTACAAAGGCAGCCGGGAAAAAGTCAGGGATGGAAATTAAAGCCCCCGTTTCCTCCTCTTTTTCCCTTCCATACCCCTAGGCATAACTGTTTCTCACTCGGGGGCTGAGCTCTGATATGACATCCTGTGAGGATACCTTTAGCAGGGGGAGCCACAACCCCAATTTTAAAAACTGCCTGTGGTTGGGATGAGCTAGATTTCCTGATGCCATCAGTCAGCTCTGGGCACTGCTGCGCCCTGCTGCTCTCACTTTGGGTGCCTAGGAAGGAGAAACACAATACCTTCGTGCTGTAGCTACATCAGTGCCAAGAGACCCCACTTCCCACGTCTTCTGGACTTGGCTCAGAAGCATCTGCAGAGAGACAAGGAAGCCCCACAAAATGTGGACAAATGCCATTCCAGCCCATGAAATAGCTGAGAAAGAGGGGCTCGGCACAGCATTTTCTAAGCTACGTTGTGTGAAAGGTTGCTGGACCCTAAGGGGCTCCCAGGTATTTATTTCATGCGGTAAAAAGTGTTCTGATGTCAGAGTCTGAGAAAGCCTGTAGGCACTATCTGTGCATTCCCCACTCCCCCAACTTTTGTGGAAAGAAATCTTGTTACAAGTCCTATAAGTTCTACAGTCCAAACAAACAAATGAAAAAGCCCACTTAAATTTGTCTGATCCAGCACTTCCAAAACTTATCTGACCATGACGACCATGACATTTTGTCTTTTCCTTTCCACAAAGCACCTATGTTCTAGGCACTTGTGTCTTGTGGAGCATACCTTGAGAAATACTGAGTATGCATAAAAGAGCAAAGTTCTAGGGGTGAAGAAACTTCTGCATTCCTGTAGATCGGTTCTGATCCTAACGTCTGCTATGATTCTTTTTTTAAGATGGTATTTCGCTCTTGTTGCCCAGGCTAGAGTGCAGTAGTGCAATCTCGGCTCACTGCAACGTCCGCTTCCCAGGCTCAAGCGATTCTCCTGCCTCAGCCTCCTGAGTAGCTGGCATTATAAGAACCCACCACCACACCTGGCTAATTTTTGTATTTTTAGTAGAGATGGGGTTTCACCATGTTGGCCAGGCTGGTCTCGAACTCCTGACCTCAGGTGATCCGCCCCCCTCAGCCTCCCAAAGTGCTTGGATTACAGGCGTGAGCCACTGCGCCAGGCCTGCAGCTATGATTTTTGACATCACGTAGCCTCTCTGAACCTCAGTTTCCTCTTCTGTAAAATGATGACTCCTCCATTCCTACACATCTGCATGGCTCCTGGCTGAAAGGGGAAGGATGGATGTCCGAATATACCTAAAATTTGTGCTCCTGGAGACAGAAATGGATCACACATTTATGTTGAAAGTAGGTTGTAGACTTTTGTCTACAAATAGACAAAATGAACAAAATCTTATGACCAGAGGAGACACTATTCCCCTCTCTTCCTATTTGGCTTATAAATCACAATTCACACCAGTCCTGTGGCTACTTGTATATCTTTATCTGTCTGCTTTGCTTAATCTATGGACTAGCTGCATGCAGCATTCCCTTTGCTATTTATATGCAAGACTGCGAGTTTAAAAAAATTCATGTAATGAATGAATTTTAATTGTTGAGGACATTTATTCAGAGCTTTAATGGGGATTCTACAGATTGCAAGGATTTACAGTCTTTTCTGAGGAATAGCAGGAGCCAGAGTGCATGACGGTGGTATTATAGTTGGGACTGACATTAATGGCATGGTCCAAGTTGTAAAGTGTACACCTGAAGGTTTATTTCTAAATTGCTATAAAGGACAGTGGCGAGGGTGATCAGGTCCTCTGTGCTAAAAGGGCGTTTCTTCTTTCCCCCCAGATCTCTACCTCTCCTTCACTTGAGAATAGAAATGGCAAAAGGAAACAGAATCACCTTAACTGCCTTTCCTTGGGGGTGTTGATCAGATGCATCAGAAGGAAGATAAGGCAGTGTGGCTTTGCAGTATGGCATGACCGGCCACCCAACCACCTTGCTCATGCCCAGCTGCATGCACTTTCTCAGCAATGTTTATCCAACAAACATTGATTGAGCACCTACTATGTGCCAGGTATTTATTCCCATCAAGTGGAAAGTCCTCTTTTCCAAGCTGCAGCTAAGTTCTGGCTCCTCTATGGAGGCTTCCCTGATATTTCCAGGCTTCACTAATATCTGCCAAATTCTAAATTGTTATAGTTGGGGTTACACAATTGAGCAGTCATTATATACTTCTTGGTTGCTGTGGTTTCAAATAAATGTCTAAGATGTAAGCTTCAAGAGAGCAAGGGCTGCGTCCTAATAATCTTTTACTTGCTCTTGGTGCTTCTATAAACACAATTCACCAAATCAGATCAACAAACAACAGACTCTGGACAATCCTTCAGACTACATGTCTCTGCACCTCGAGGTAATACAATGTGTTTTTCAGCCAATAGTGTATGCCGTGCTGTAGGTGCCCTGGCAACTATCCCTAATGTCTACTCTCTTTGTTCTAGTTGGTTTCTGTTTGTTTCAGAATTAGAGGGTCAGATTTGGTGTTTACTTCTCACTATTTGTTATTGATCATGTTGTGCATTAAGATTTGGTAAACTCAGCAGAACTGAGTGGCTTTCTGGGTGGTCTGAATTCATCTCCAAAGGCAACTTCCACTGATGTGGTCTTTTTTCCTGGCTTTCTGTTTTACTAGTTTGTGGCTAATTACGAGGGCTTCAGTCAGTCGATGTAGCCACAGATGACACTAACACCCTAGGTGGCCCAGGGGAGGATTTGTGGAGCTGTGGTGTCTGGGCTTTTTCAGAGAGGCCTGCAGGGAAATTACCGACGTGGGTGTGGACTTTGTCTCTGTCCTTCCTACGCCTCTCCTACTGGCATCCTCCCCCAACTGAGGCTCTGCCTCCACCTGTCCTGGAGTCTGATCTAGGTATTCCCTGCCACAAGCATCTTGCCTAAGTAACTTGGGGCTGGTAAGTGTTTACAGTGGGCCACCTCCCGAGAGCATACTTATATGAAAAATTCATCTGGAATACCCAAAAGTGTTTCATAAAGCCTAACTTGGCTGGTTTTCCCCAACAAATTGTAACCTTTGCACACGTTTTCACAGTCTACAAAATGCTTTCATGCACAGTGTCAGTCGAGCTGTAAAACAACCATGTGAAGTCAGGGGAGTGGTGGAGAGGCAGGGATCAGATGACTTGCACAGTGAGTGCAGAAGAGGTGGCAGGGCTGGAACCCACCAGTTCTTCTGACTTGTCCCTGCCCTGTTTTGCCTTGAATTGTGGTTATTGGAGTAGACATCCTTTATTCTCATAGACTGTAATATGATGTAGTGGAAAAGTAGTCAGTCTGAACACCTGAAACTAAAGCCAGGTCTATTCCTCATAAGCAAGTGGATACTACTACCAATAATAATTATAATAAATCACAGCTCCAGTGTATCCAGCACTTACTATGTATGAGGAATTGTACTCATATTATCTCATTTAATACTCAAACAGCCCTCTGCAATGGAGCTTAGAGCAAGGTTTCACCATCACTAACTGATGCTCAGATTGAAGCCAAGTTTTCTCTGTTTCAAGCCCATGATTATTCAGTTTCTGCCTTGGTTGTTGAGAGGTTTAAGCAAGATAACCATGTGTCTCACATGGTGCCAGATTGATGCAAGTTAAGCTTACAAGAAACAGTAGGTCTGTCTCTCCTTTTCCTTGAGTCTAGGGATGTAATCACCACCCCACCCCACCCCTTGGTATTCCTCATAGCATAGTGTTTTGCATAAGTCAGTCCTAGGTGAACGTTCATTGAGTTAAATGGAAATCAAAGCTGAGAATGAGGAAATTAGTCTGCTCTCCTCAGCAGGTAGGGGAAGTAATGAAGACCAAGCAGTTCCATTGCAAGAGTTGCTGGCATCTAGGTTGGTGCATAATGAGACTAGGGTTGTGGCTTTGGTCCCCAACCACTACCTCCTGGTTCTTCACCCACCACCCTGGCTGCCCCTCTTACAAAGGAAACATCTTTTGTAAGCATCTTTCTGTCTTTCCCCTTCATGTTACTGTATCTACGAGTTCTGTCTACATCGAAGCCTTGCAAATGCCATTCGCATTACCAACTCCCCTGCTATAGGTGCATATATATCCCAACACCTACTCAGCCTGGAGTCCCATACCTCATACTTAGCACGTCTTGTACTGAATTCATTATTCCCTCATCCCACTTAGCTGCTTTTCATGTTAAGCTCATTTGAATCACTTCGAATAATGTTGGTTTTATTGTAAGGATACATAGGTGGGAGAACCTAGTTAAAGCTGAAAAAGCAAAAACCAAAACCAGGCCCCAGGGGAAGAGAAACTGTAATGGGTCAGGAAAAGTGAGAGCCCAGAGCAACTCTTGGATGTTAAGAGCAGGAATCAGGGTGGCTTTTGCATGTGTCGCTAACCTAACTCAGCTATCCCACTTGACACTTGCTTCTGAGTGGCTGGTCCATGCCTGGGATGTGCATTGTTTCTTTACCTGACAACTCTGCTAACTTGTTTCCTCGTTCTCATCTTACTCATATTTCCACTTCTGCATAACTCGTGCATGCCTTGACGCCTCACAAGCCAACTCTAGCTCATGGAATGTCCATGCCAGTTTTAGATCCTACTGAATGCTGCCTCATTCTCTCAGTATTTTTGTGGTTCAAATTGGAGAGAATATGATTTTCTGGCACATATTTTCATGCCATACCTCCTTATCGGTTCTTGACCAGCCTGTGGGCTGGCTACCCTCAAGGGCCCACTGATCCAATCTGTCACTGTGGCCAAAGGTAGGACACTTGGCTGCCTTTTTCAAGAATGTTTTAATCACCCAACTGCCCTATGCTAAGTGAAATAAGCCAGTCGTAAAAGACCACATATTGTGTGATTCCATTGATATGAACTGCCCAGAACTATATATAAAGGCACATCTCTATATAAACTAGATTAGTGATTGCTTAGGGCTGTGGGTGGGGGTGGGGGATTGGGGCATGACAGTTAATGGGTATGGAATTTCCTTTTGGGGTGATGAAATGTTTTAAAATTGATTGTGATGAAGGTTGCACGACTCTGTGCTAAAACTCTATTCTAAAAGCCACTGACTTCTACATCAACATAGAAGCAGTGCATGGTAAGTGAATCATATCTCAATAAAGCTGTTTAGAAAAAAGAGTTTCGTAGAAGCAAATTTCTTAGGAAGGACCGAGGATATGGCAGACATCACATCCTCCTAATTGTTTATCTTCATAAATGCCACCACTTTTTAATCCATTTTGCCAAACCAAAACTCTGAAATTTATCTGACACCCCCCGCTTCCTTTTTCAGTTCAGTGGTTACCTCCTTCCTTGATTCCAGCTATTAGTTTTTTTATTATTTTATTTTATTTTTGTTTTTATTTTTAAAATAGAGAGAGAGAGTCTTGCTATGTTGCCCAGGGCTTGAACTCCTGGGCGCAAGTGATCCTCCTTCCTTGGCCTCCCAAAGTGCCGGGATTACAAGCATGAGCCACAGCTCCCGGCCCTTGATTATATTAGTGAAGTAGTTGGGTCAGATGCCCTACTTTGTGCTCCAAAAGCATCTGACACACGAGCCTGGAACCGTTTATTATCCTCTATTATAATTGGTGCCTTGCTGACAAGTCTCTGCTACTGGACTCTAAACTATTTGGAAGCCCTTCCCCTCCCTATCCTGGCATGCTGCCTGACACCATAGGTACCTAACAAGGTTTCTGCTGTGGCTGACTGGCTGGGTGGGATGGGATGAGGGGATGGATGGAAGGAAAGGTTGATTATCATCTCTGCCCATGACTGCTGCCTGCTCTTAGAAATCCTGCCAATTCCATAATAGGTGTGTGTGCCAATGGGAGAATGAATGAGGAATGGGTGGCTTAGTGCAGTTCCACCCTGTCATCTACCGAAGAATCCAAAACACAAGTGATACTGATGCAGTGTGGCCCACTGCTGTGGGAACAGTTTATCTGTGGCAGCTGGCAACCTTCCAAGGACTCAGTTTCCACTCACTGTGATTTGACTTGAGTTTCCAATGGGCCCTGGGACACGATATATTCCTTAGAGTAAGGGCAGACCTAGTGCTCAGTTACACGGAATAGGCCTGGTGTTTCTAGTCATTTCTCTTCTGGGCCAAGCCCCTTGACTGAAAGATTTGGGGCAGTGGGAGGGCAAGAGAGTGGGAGAAGGAGAAGTAGGGAGAGGAATAGCCTTCTCAGAACAACAATTGATTTGGAATATGAAAATCTTATTGATAAAAGCAAAGCCCAGACGGAAGGAAGCAGTTTGATATGTGCACTATTTGAAAAAAATCATGTGCATCTGTTTAGCACAATATACAACATAATGACAGCAATCTTCCCTGTTTGTATCTATTCATCTGATTATACAGAGTAACAATTCTTTTAGTTACACATTTATTTACCCAGGGATTTTTTAATGGATAATAAGTTAGTAAATCAGATAGCATGTGTTCTGGATAATACTTTAGTAAACTGTCTACCACACAAGACAGTTGCAATTCACATTTTATATAATATCCAATGTTCCATTAATACACATAGCACAATGTGAAGCTATGAACAGCTCTTCAAGAAGGACAAAGCAGATTTTAATGATTATTTAATACTGTTTGATCTAGACACATATTATGTTGAAAAGCTACAGATTTCAGTCCTGCAATGCACCACAGATGTAACGAAAAATGTGGACTTATTTGAAGTATAATCCAGTGGATTTCTTTTGATGCAGTTGCCATGGCTGTTTGTGCTAAAGTTTCTTGTCTTTGACCCAAGGAGAGATACATTGTATGCTTTTACTGACTTTTTCCAAACTTAAACCCCAAAGCATATATATCATTTCATGGCAAAATAATGAACTTGAAGGAAGAAAGAGAGAATAGTACTGCATTTACCTTAGGCCATTGAAATACGATAATAAAAGTAAAAATAGTTCTTTCTTTCTTCCTGGAGGGAAGATAGAAGTCAACACAATTTCTTTCCAGAATGCTGAATGGGCCAGGAAGTCTTGTGGCTTAAGACTGGAATTAAAGATGGCAGAAGAGCACATCTAAAGAGGGGCTCCGTCCTTAACTCCCCACACTACTGGGCCAGGCTAGCAGGAAAGAGCACAGGCTGCTGTTGCGAGGCCAGCAACAACCACCTCTGAGATTAATCCAGCAATAGCAGCTTGCAAAATGTTCACTTCTTCTGCGTCTCCTGATGAAGCTCATGGGGTTTCTCAACGTCATTAAGATGAGATCTGTTGTGGTCTTAAGATCACATTATATATCTTATTTCAAAGAAAATTCCTGTGTCAGATTCCCATTACATGCCACTTTGTAGGGTACTATTGCAAGTGGAAATCAGCATCCTTATTATTTAGTGAGTCACGAATGAGGAACATTTGCAGGCATGCTTTGGCTGCATCGAGGGTGGAATCTAAACGTTAAATCTGATCAGATACAGACAACAGCCAGACCTTTCTATTCCTTTCATGGCGTGGCATGTGACAGTATTATTGAAGATGGACGCATTGCTCCCAAAGCGATGCTCAGACTTTGCTTGTTGTTCCACAATGCTACCTGTGAGCTGCCTAGCCAGCAATCCCACAGTTTTGAAAGCTCAATTTCTTGGGGCAGAATGAAAAGACATTGAATATCTGAGCGACTGTCTTGAAATAATTTAGCAAAACTAGATTTGTTTTAGAGCACACAAAACATGAAAGATATAAAGGGGAGGACCTGGCATGAACGAGTGGCCACTATTTCCCAAGCATTCTCCATATATTTTTTTCATTTAATAGTTACAATTACCTTGTGAAGTAGGTATTACCATCTCCCATTTCCAGATGAGGAAACAACACTCAAATTTGCACAATTAATCAGGGGCAGGGCCACTATCTGAACCCAGCACCGGCTGACTCAGAAACTTGAGCTGTTTGTTTGTACCGGTGCATCTCAAACTACACAATAGTATCATCTGGAGTTAAAAATACATCATTGCCTCAGCTCCACAGCCAGAGACTCTGAAGTCATTGTTCTGGGCTGGGGACAGGGCATTAGTATTTTTTTAGAAACTCACCCAGGGATTCTAACAGACGGCCAGGTTAAGAACCATGATTATATCATACCACCTGCAAAGTTACAAACCCACTGTAAGTCACTACATTTACTTGAACCACATAAGTCATAACTAATGAATACCCTGCCATCTATACTGTGGGGCATACAATAAAATGTGGATGTCGTTGAACACGACTCATTATCAATCCTTTCTATGAAGTCTTCATGCATTTGCCATTCCACAGTGGATTGTACTGTCCCCTTTTTTTCTCACTGCAGTTCAACATCTTAAGATGTTTTAAACAAGTTCATTGAGCTGTATTCTGGTAGTATTCTGGTAGTGGTTCTATCATACCAAGCCCATTAAATAAACTCAGGAAAGGAAATAATCAAATTAAGCTGTATATCTACAGGGTCAAAGATTGGGTTAAAATCTTAAAACTTAGACATTTCCAATAGTTAATTTCTTTCTTTCTTTTCTTTTTTTCTTCTTCTTTTTTTTTTTTTTAGAGAGTCTCACTCCTTAAGTGATCCTCTCACCTCAGCCTCCTGAGTAATTGGGTAGTACACCACCACTCCTGGCTAATTTTTTGTATTTTTAGTAAAGACAGGGTTTCACTATGTTGCCCAGACTGGTCTTGAACTCCTGGGCTCAAGCTGTCCGCCCGCCTCTGCCTGCTAAAGTGCTGGGATTACAGGCGTGAGCCACCATGCCTGGCCAACGGTTAATTTCTTTTGTTCATTATCGTGACCTCAATCATGATCTCAAAACTAATTTGATTGGATTTTTGGTTTGTTTCTAACTCGAATCTAGCTATTTGCCTGACAAGTTCTTCTGGTGCTGCAGAAGTGCATTCTGTGGATGAGAAATGGTAAAATCTAAACCTGAGATATTATTCTTTTTACATATTAATGCCATCACTTTCTCCCAAGTCTATGGAGGGCTATTTATAAGGCACAAAAATCCTCAAAACCAAACCCCCAAAAAACAAACACTCATAGCCTAAGAGTTAAATTATGTAAGCAATATTGTTGTGCTTGTGGTTAGAAATAGTAACACTTTTTGGAAGAAACGCTTCAAAATGCTAACAGTGGCTATCCCTGTTGATTAGAGGTATATGTAGAAAATATACAAACTAAACCCAAAAACTTGTTTGAGATTCTTAAGTCTGCTTACATCAGTGGTCCTAGTGGTCCTACTTATTATCCTTTTTTTTTTTTTTTTTTTTTTTTTTTTTTTTTTTTTTTGAGACGGAGTCTCGCTCTGTCACCAGGCTGGAGTGTGCAGTGGTGCAATCTTGGCTCACTGCAACCTCCGCCTCCTGAGTTCAAACGATTCTTCTGCCTCAGCCTCCCAAGTAGCTGGCACTACAGATGCCCGCCACCATACCCAGCTAATTTTTGTATTTTTAATAGAGACTGGGTTTCACCGTGTTGGACAGGATGGTCTTGATCCCTTGACCTTGTGATCGGTCTGCCTCCACCTCCCAAAGTGCTGGGGTTACAGGCATGAGCCACCATGCCCGACCCCTACTTATTATTCTTTCCAAGGCAATGGCTCTGGGTCATTTTCACTTTTTTTTTTTTTAAACTGTTTGCATCTTAGTGCAATGACTTGCTCTAATAAAAGCCTTCTGTTTTAAACATATGGGAGAAGAGATTAAAAACACTTACATTTTTGCCGAAAATCCTTTAACATGAAAAAATGTTTCCAAAGCTTTCTCAGACTTGAATTTCTTTGAACTACTGTTTCTCTCTATATGTTTTTTACCTGATTCTGATTCCAGATTTTATTGAATAAATAAAAGCAGAAGTATTGTATGTGGTTTAACAGGAAGAAGATAAACTAAAATAAGGAGGCTTAATTCCAGCAAAAGCTTTCAACATCACACAGTGTACAGATTGAGAAGGCAGATGCTGGAAGCAGAGGCCTGTGGGCTGATCCTGGTCACGTGGCCTGGGCACCTCACTTAACCTCATTTTCCTCAATTTCATCTGCAAAGTGGGGACTAATATTTAGCAGCTTCCTAATAGAGTTGCTGTGAGGATTAAATGTGTAACTGTATGTAAATGCTTAGAACACTACCTGGAAGTGCTCAATAGGTGACAGATGTTATTGCTGTTGTTAGATCTGTAGGTCAGTGGCAGAGCTAGTAAAACTGTGCAAAGTCTAACGTGGGTAGCCTGTATTTTTAAAAAGCATTCTATTTCCTTTCGTTGAGCTGTTCTTTGCAAGGAGGGGCCTCGTGAGGGGCAGGGATTGGAGAACGGAGGGTATCAGAGTGACTATTTGGTGTCCTTGCTTCGGTGCCATACAAAAACTTGGTCATTTGTTTTTATCCCTGGATGCTGCTCTAGGAACTTCAACAGATACTAAAGACAGGTGCAGAATTATGTCCTGGTGACTAGCAGTTTACTCTCTTGGCCAGGACCACAGGCTAGAATTTTAGTAAGAGATCATCCTCTGAGCCTGGACTTAGGAAATAAAAAGACCTTTTTTTTTTTTTTTTTTAACATAAGGGTACCGAAGCGTTGCAGCACATAGCTGTCCTTCCTTCCTTTTTTTTTCTCATTCTTTTTCTTTCCTTTATGATCAATTCTTTTAAAAACAATCACTTATAAAAACTTGGTTGCCAACTGATCAATAAAAAGCATTGACTAAAAATAGAATAAGTTAACGAAAATGCAACTAAAAAGTTAATTATGTTGTTAACGTAGTTAATAGCACACATGACTTGCCCATTGTTGGTGTTTTGCTGCAGTATCCTAGTACCCTGGGCCTTCCCAGGAGATGTAAACCCCTCTCTTGCTCCCATCCCCTGAACATGCTCATACACAGAGCTCATTCCCCCAGTCTCCTTTTCTTTTCCTCCTTCTACCTCAGGGAACTCTCCTACAGCCTGCTCTGGGGACCAATTTTATGCTGAGGGCAGGAGCTGCTGGCTCTGACGCGGCTGGGGCGCGTTGACCTGGAGCTTTTGTCTGGGATTTCTCACCCCTGTCTCCGCCATGAGGGCTCCTCAGAACCCATGGGCTCGGAAGAAATGCATTTCATTATTTCGACCAGCTTTTACTTAACTATTGTGTTAGATTACAAGACTTTCCAGCAAAATTAAATATTAGAATAAAAATTATTTGCAAAAGTACTCCTCATGTCTTCTCTTGCAACTTGGACCACATTTTGAGTGCATGCAGTTAACTATAAGGCATTCTTTCTTTGGCTACGAGTTCAGATGTCTTGTCTTTATTAGAAAACAGCCCTGTGCAAGCCCCAAATTGCTCATATTTCACTTTTTATCTTTTGATTCACTTAGTATATTATTCTCAAATCACTTTTTCCAATTCTTAACTAAGTTGTCTTTTTTTTTTTTTTTTTTTTTTTTTTTTTTTTGAGACGGAGTCTCGCTGTCGCCCAGGCTGGAGTGCAGTGGCGCAATCTCGGCTCACTGCAGGCTCCGCCCCCTGGGGATCACGCCATTACTAAGTTGTCTTTAATTTTTGCCTTTGCACCTTGGTATCCCCTCAACCCTAAGGCGTATACTCTTATTTGCCTTAAAGAAATGGAGTAGGCTGGGCGAGATGGGTCACACCTGTAATCCCAGCACTTCGGGAGGCCGAGGTGGGTGGAGCACCAGGTTAGGAGTTTGAGACCAGCCTGGCCAATATGGTGAAACCCTGTCTCTACTAAAAATACAAAAATTAGCCAGGTGTGGTGGCACACACCTGTAATCCCAGCTACTGGGGAGGCTGAGGCAGAAGAATTGCTTGAACACAGGAGGTAGAGGTTGCAGTGAGCTCAGATCACACCACTGCACTCCAGTCTGGGTGACAGAAAGAGACTCCATCTCAAAAAAAAAAAAAAAAAAAAAAAAGAGAAATGCAGTAAACCTAAGCAACTGCCTTTCTGCATGTAGTCCCTTCCCTAATACCCCCTGAAGATTGTGCTTTCAGTAACTTCTAGTCATGGGCTTCCCCCCCTACCATGGGATAAAGAAACTTACATGTCATTGTCCATATTTGCTTAGAGGACTGGTAAATTTGATTAGTCACAACTAAGCCATCAGACCAGGAACCAAGAAAAAAATCTTAAGTCTCAGATAAAGCCCTCTTTCATTAGAATATAGATTTGCTGGATCTGGATGGATCTCAGAAAGAAATTAGATTTGTCTCAACACTTTCTAGATGAAGAAACCAAAGACCCAGAGGTTACTTTTTTTGGCCAGCTGCCACATGACTAATGGCAAATGGCAAAGTTATAACAAAAGCCTAAGCTTTCTTACATCATCTGCAGAGTACGAACATTCATTCATTCATTCATTCATGTCTTTCTTTCTTTTTCCTTTCTTCCTTCCTCCCTTCTTCCCTCCTTGTCTCTTTCTCTTCCCTCCTTCCTTCCTTTTTTTCTTTCTTTCCCAACATTTATTCATGCCCACTATGCACGTATTTCATCATAAACAAGTGATTTATTTTCAGAATTGAAAACCTGGTGACATATGGTCTGATGAGTAGGAGTGCACTAATAGACCTACAGAAGCAGAATGTTTGAAATGGGAACTGCCCGGGAAAATCTGATTTACGTGGTTATTGTCATCAGAGCTTGCCACTTTCCCTGTAACGCACACCACACCAGTTTTACTGTGGTGCCATAGAATCCTGATTCAAAACAAGGCAAGAAGGACCAAAGAATAATAAGAGAGTACGTGTACACGTCCAAACCCATGCATAGAGATGGAGCTGCCTCGGATGTAATTCAGCAGACAATTAGCACACTGACATTTTGGCAAAATTTCCAGACATTTCCATAAATCCTTTTTAGATTCTTCTTCCCTCCAGCTCAGCAAGACAGTCACATTTTTTTCCGGGCCTCAGACAAACAATAGCATCCAAATGATATTTAAGAACAACCTCCCAGCATGACAACTGAGGCTCAACCCATCTCGGAGAAAGGAAGGTCACCATATGCCCCGCACTCTTTGTGCGCGGCCTCGCTGCCATTTTACAGGGGCCTTGGCCTCTTTATTTTACTTTGGGAGACAAGAGCTCTACTAAAACGCACAAAGGGGATTTGAGATTAAGGATCGTCTTCTATCTCTCTAACCTACAGCATCTTTCATCCTAACAAAGGTGGGAGGAGCTGAAGAGAAAGATGGGGCTAACAGGAGGGGGCTGCGGAGGAAGCCAGGCAGCCGAGGGGGAAGGGGAAGAAAGCGAGCTTTTTAAAACTTGCTGTCCCCCGGCCCTCCTGTTTTCTTCATCTTACAGAAGCACCATCTGTTCCCAGACTTGATGTGCTTGCATTTGTTTTCCATTCAGCAACAGCTTATGTAGGAAGCAGATTATGAAGTGAGCAAATATGTCACCGACTGGATCAGCAACTGTATTTTGTTCGCCCCCTTAAAACTTTACAGAAACCCTGCGGCCCGTGCACACGGGGCCGGACCCGTCGCCAGCGCCAGTGCGCCGGCCGTGATTAGGGCCACCTGACTTCGATTATCCTTTGTGCTCCAGCCTGTCAGTGTTTATGCACTTCATTTATACTGTATTTTAAAGTACCCTTAAATTATGTTTTCAAAAATTTTTCTAGTGTGCAAGCCTAACGAGAGCATAAACAATTCAAGAACAGGGAATTTACTATTTCTTGCCATATTCTCTTTTCTCTAGTCAGCCATACAGACAACTTTATAATATAGTGACATTTTGGCAAAATTTCCAGGCATTCTCTTAACTATGTAGACTTATTTGATCATACTTCCAAAACTAACAAGATGGGGATGAATCATAGGAGATCAGTTGTAGACATCAAAAAGTCACCTTTTGCTGTCTCAAAAAAGAAAATCCCGTCTTCAGCTTTTAAAAATATTCTGGGCCGGGTGCGGGGGCTCACGCCTGTAATCCTACCACTTTGGGAGGCCGAGGCGGGTGGACTGCCCGAGCTCAGGAGTTCAAGACCAGCCTGGGCAACACGGTGAAACCCCGTCTCTACTAAAATACAAAAAATTAGCCGGGCGTGGCGGCGGGCGCCTGTAGTCCCGGCTACTCAGGAGGCTGAGGCAGGAGAATCGCTTGACCCCGGGAGGCGGAGGTTGCAGTGAGCTGACATTGCGCCACCGCACTCCAGCCTGGCGACAGAACTAGACTCCATCTTAAAAAGAAGAAGAAAAAAAAATTCTTGGCAGGGCGGGTGGCTCACACCTGTAATCCCAGCACTTTGGGAAGCCGAAGCGGGTGGATCACCTGAGGTCAGGAGTTCGAGACCAGCCTGGGCAACATGGTGAAACCCCGTCTCTACTAAAAATACAAAAATTAGCCGGGCGTGTTGGCGCATGCCTGTAATCCCAACTACTCGGGAGGCTGAGGCAGGAGAATCGCTTGACCCTGGGAGTCAGAGGTTGCAGTGAGCTGAGATCGTGCAATTGCACTCCAGCCTGGGTGAAAAGAGTGAAACTCCAACTCAAAAAAAAAAAAAAAAAAAAAAAATTCCGGAAGATATGATCCAGATACTGTGATCTTCACACTGGGCTGTGGTGTCTTCCAGTGACAAGACTCTGAAATGCAGAAAGGACCACATAGCATTGTGTGGAGCTGATACACTTTACATTCTCATTCTGCTATTGTTGGACATTTTAGTATAACATTCCAATGATAAATAACGCTGAGGTCAACATCTTTAAGCACGAAGCTTTTTCTATTTTTATAATTTTTTTAGACTACATTGTGAAAAGTGGAATTAAAAAATAAAGTTAGTGACATTTTGAATTTCATCTTCAAACCACCATTTAAGAAAAGTTTACTGTTTTGAATAGGTATATAAAAGTTGGGACTACTAATCGTCATTGCATGTACATGTTTTTACCCAAACTTTATTGGAGAGCCTTGGCACATCCCTTAACTACAGTCTTCACCTGTCTGACAGAAAATTTAATATTATTTACCTGAAGTACCCTTAATATCTTGGAATATAAGTTGCTGTTAAACTTATTCATTATTTTCTCTAAGGGCTCATTGAACATTTAAACACCTTGGTAGAGAATATGAATGACTAAATTAGATACTTTAAGTTCAAACTTGGTTGTACTATTCTGGCATTATAATACATTCTATGCATACTACAAATTGCTGAGGCATCAAATTACAGAAGTTCAGTAAAGAAATGTTAGATTTTAAACTTCAAATGTCATGGATTAATGCTAGACAATGGTTTTCTTTAAAGTGCTAAATTTAAATCTGATATAATTATTTTATCCCATTTCATATTTTCCTGGGAAATTTTTACTGTGTGTTTAAAAATGAATTAAATTAGTGGAAGGAAAAATTTCAGAATGTCTATTTTATTTTGTTTATTTTATGTTTTATTGAAACAGGGTCTTGCTGTGTCATCCAGACTGGAGTACAGTGGTATGATCACAGCTAACTGCATGGTTGACCTCCTGGATTTAAGCCATCCTCCCACCTCAGCCTTCCAACTAGCTGGGACTGCAGGTGGGCACCACCATGCCTGGCTAATTTTTTATTTTTTCTAGAGATAGTCTCACTATGTTGACCTGGTTGGTCTTGAACCCCCGTGCTCAAGCAATCCTCTTGCCTTGGCCTCCCCAAGTGCTGAGATTATAGGCATGAGCCACCATACATGGCATCAGAATGTTCGTTTTAAATTGAAATTGCTGTGTAGATTTTAAGAAATATTAGAAGTTGAACTATTTGTCATACTCAAACTTTTTCTTTGATTAATGCACCAAGTTGCCTTGTTTTGATATTGTATACTTCTTGATTAATAATTTCTCTTTTACACTCTTGAGCATAAACATTCTTTTGTTGACTGGAGCTTTTATTTTTTCACCCAAAATTATCTGCATATGAAATATGTGTACAGAACAACTTTAGTGGAAAATCACAACAGCCAGGCCTGATGCAAACACATGGTTGAACCCCTGGACCTGCATTCCTCAGTGTGCTGCTGTCCCAACACAGAGTATAACACAACACCAAAAAATCCCAACACAAACATTTTTTTGTTGTTGTTGTTGGATATCCCAACACAAAAAATCTATAAGCATAAAACTCCTATAACTTCCCACAAAATGCCGTTGGCCTCGGCAATGTAAAGCTTACACTCACTAAAGGAATAGGCTTCATTTATTAGACAGAAGGTGGTCCCTGGGAAGGGTTGCGAATTTTCATTAAACTCTGCATTTTCCACATGTTGACTTTTTCTAGATCTGCTTTAATTTCTTTTGAGTTCTGAGTCCATGCTAGTGTGCATGACTGAGATAGAGTTATATAGAGTGAGGTGGGCTGTGGGGCAAAAACCTTGGAGTATTGTCCATTTTGGGGAAAGAAGTGTAGATAGTCTTCAACTGTTCCTGCCAACAGGTTACAGCACTTAAACACAGACAGGGATCAGATGTTTCTCTTAAAGTATTAATACTTTATCTCATGCTCTACTGGGACAACAGGAGATAAGCAGTCGTCTCTTTTTCCTCTGATCTGTGGATATGCACATTATTTAGAGCAGAACATTATTCTCTCGTTTTTCTTCCCTTGCAAAAGTTAAGGCCAAAACCAATTTCTCAGAGAATTAAAGGTGATCCTAAACCAATTCATCTTTATACTGCCTGCTTTTATTCCTCATCTGTATATATTCCAGTTGTCATAATAATAAACAGAAGCGGAAAAGACAGTAAAACCAGAATGCTTCTGACAGTAAAACAGGAACTCCTTGCTCTTAAAAATGAAGGAGGCATGTGCTTTGGCTCTGGGTGCCTTTTTTGGGAGGTATGGCCTCTGCAGAGGAAACCTGGAGCTATTGTCTTATGCAACAGTCTCTTTCATTGTACACAACGTCTGAATCATCACTTCTGCTGTCCTACCTGTATGAAATCTGGGTGTTATTCAATGGTGTGTTGATAACTTATCAACCACCTCTTCAGAAAAAAGAAGCTCTGATACGTAGCATTTGTCGATTCCCATGATGTAAATACTCCCACCATTGCTGATTTTAAGCTACCAGTGTGATTTCACTGACATAGAGTTAGGAAGAAATGTGCAAAATTGACTCTTGTGAGCTGATGTGAGCTGGTTCCAGTACAGTTTTAACTTCCTGAGCACCATGAACCCTCTCCTTTCATCCAGCTCATGAATCTCCTCCTGGTCATCTCAGATTCTTTATCCAATCTTGACTTCATGGTCAGCTCACCTCACCATCTTAACCTTTTCTCTATATCAGACATTTATTGTGTAATTACCATGCTGCAGACACAGCACAACACATTATGGCTACCAGGTCAACTAAGACAAGGTCCCTTCCTCCAGGAGTTTATCATGTAGTGGGGACACAGATTAGTTATCAGGCTAGCCAGGGATACCAATTCAGAGTGTAAGTGAGCGGTACGGGCAGGCTCAGGGTGCTTTAGGAGCCTAGGGTCACCTCTTGGGGTGATTCATATATCCCTAGACTTCTTTTCCTTTTCTGGAAGTTTGGAAAAGCAGGTTCCATCATTCATTCCACCCAAGCTGGCCTGAGGAGCATTGCTAGTGAGGGGAGTTCCTGCTGTTCATCTTCAGAGGGGCAATGTCTGTGTTACTCTTGCTGTGTCTCACAGAAGGTATTCCTGACTTCTGGAGCCACCTGCTGCCCTAGTCGCTGACATCCCAGGGGACTATTTCACCTCTTGTATTAGTCCATTTTCACACTGCTGATAAAGACGTACTTGAGACTGGGTAATTTATAAAGAAAAAAAGGTTTGACGGACTCGCAGTTCCACGTGGCTAGGGAGGCCTCCCAATCATGGCGGAAGGTGAAAGGCACGTCTTACATGGCGGCAGCAAGAAAGAATGAGAGCCAAGTGAAAGAGGTTTCCCCTTATAAAACCGTCAGATCTCATGAGACTTATTCACTACCATGAGAACAGTATGGGGGAAACTGCCCCCATGATTCATGTGTCTCCCACCAGGTCCCTCCCACAACATTTGGAAATTATGGGAGCTACAATTCAAGATAAGATTTGGGTGGGAACACAGCCAAACCATATCACCTCCTCCTTTGACAATTAGATTGAGGCCAACCAGAATAAGTTCCCACCTTTACCTTGTCCTCCCTCAGGGGTGTTCTTTCCCTCTGATTAGCCTTCATTTTTGTCCAGTCTGAGACGAAGAGCTGCCCATTTGTCTCATTAGGGCAAACCAACCTATTTCCTCCTACCTCACAGCCTTCCTGCACCTCTTGGAAGCCCTTTCTGTCTCAACTAATGCCTCTTCCCCTTGGCCTTTTCCCTCTTTTTCTCTTCCCTGGCTTCCTTCCCTTGACTTCATATCCTTAGCAGGCATTCCCCTGCCTGCGTCCACTCTCCTCGTCCTCGTGGTTCCCAGCTCTGCCACAACAGACAGTGGAGGAGAGCCTCCTGCTCATTCAGCTCTCTGAATCCCAGTTTCCTCGTCTGTAAAATGCCGATGTCCACAGCACTATAGTGAATAGATAATGAAATACTAATTAAATGAGATCATTAGATAATGTGTTATTTACCAATCTTTTACTCTTGAAGTCCTAGAATGTTCTTGCAGTGGCCAATGGTAAATGGCTTCTTTTTTTGTGGTTTTCTTCTCTGACCTCTGCAGCATTTGACATCTTGCTGACACCAGTTCTTCCTGAGACTCTTTTCTATCCTGGATTTAGGCACTGCATGGTCTGGAGACTCTTTCTGCAGCCATGAGTGCTGCTTTCCTCAGCCGGCTTCCTGGTTGTGGGAGTTTCCCAAGGGACAGTTTCCACCCTCCTTGCTACCCATCTTGGAAGAACCAACGTGCTCCCTGGCTGATGCTCTAGTTTCTGTGCAAAAGATTTACAGTCTACGTTCTCACTTGCCTAGGATGACCGACTGTCCCAATTTTCCTGGGACTGCGGGATTTCCCAGTGCAGGGCTCTCAGGACTCAAACCCACAGTCCCTAGCAAACCAGACCATTGTCTGCCTAGTCCTCAGTTTCTACCTGTTTTGTGAGGTCTCTCTCTCCACTACGTAGCCATTTGGATCACCTGTCATTGCATTAAGCCAAAGAGTCGAAGATCAAACTCATCGTCTCTTTTTTCCTTCTCTCTGAACTGAATCCATCCCTTCTCACTTTTGGTATTTGTTAGATTTGTGACCCTGGGAAAGTAACCCACTCCTTTGTGCCTTGGTTTCTTCATCTAGAAAATGGAAGTAATAAAAGTTCTCATGTATGAGTTTGGGACTGTTAAATAAGTGATTAATGTAAGCAGTTAGAACGGAGCTGACAATAGTAAGACCTCAGCAACTGTTAATGATCAATAATACTATCAGCACTTCTTCACATTCATGGGAACGTCATTGTCTGAATTCCCAGTTTCAAAGCATGTGAATTATCATTGATTGTTTCACCATTTCTGGGCATTTGCTGAATTGTGTGGATCATTATTTGCAACTCTCACATGCACCTGCTCTTTCCTTTCCTTCCCCAGAGCCGCTTCTGGGCTCTCATCACTTCCTATCTGTGTAACTGTCAGAGGGTTCTCACCACTTTTCCTGCTTTCTGTCTCCACATTTGGTTCCATCCTTGGCATGACAACCACATTAATCTCCCTACAAAATGCTTTTTTTTTTTTTTTGGAGATGGAGTCTTGCTCTGTTGCCTAGGGTGGAGTGCAGTGGCTCTATCTCAGCTCACTGCAACATCCACCTCCAGCATTCAAGCGTTTCTCATGCCTCAGCCTCCTGAGTAGCTGGGACTACAGGAGTGCACCACCACACCTGGCTAATTTTTGTATTTTTAGTAGAGATGGGGTTTCATCATGTTGGCCAGGCTGGTCTTGAACTCCTGACCTCAGGTGATCCACCCACCTTGGCCTCCTAAAGTGCTGGGATTATGGGTGTGAGCTATCACACAAGGGAGACAGGAAGGAGGGAGCCCAGTTACAAAGCTCGAATCCCTCAATTCCCTCCTCTCTGGTTGGCCCATTGTTGTGATAATGTGAGATAGCACAGGAGATGAAAGCTGTGGAGCCTCATGTCCTTGTCCAGTATTGTTGGTAGCTATTACAGGGTGTATTCCATCTTCTCTGATCTGCATGGCAAGCCATCCAGGCTCCAACTCCAATCACCTCACCTCATTTCCTCCAACTGTCTCCCACAAATCATCCTTGGCTCCAGCCATGCTGCTACCCTTCTGTGCCACGAGCAGACCTTTCGCCTCACGTATCCTCTTCCTCTCTAGGCCCTCAGGCCTAGAAAAACTTTCAGTTCCAACAGAAAACTTCTCCCCATCCCATGAGCTCACAGTGCTGTCAAACCCTCTTCTAAACCCCAGCAGAGCTGTCTGTTTTATTTCTGCAGCTGGACTTGACCAGACAGTGCCTTAGAGCAGGGTGTCCTAAAGTATTGCTCCTGGGAATGCTAGTGCCACTGGATGCAAGAGAGCTCTTTCTCCAAGCCTTTAATTAGGTGGTGAACATCATGAATCTTCAAGAGGGGGCTATAAAAAGCAGCATTTCCCAAATCATATTTGTCCATAGAAACATTTTTTTTAAAACATGGAGCATTCACAAAGACTGATGTTCTATCAGCTACTCTGGGAAACACTGTCTTAGAGTGTTACTTGAGTTGATTTGTTTGGTTACCTGTGGTCACAAATTCTTTGAGGTTAATATTATAATCTTTGTTTTTACTACAATAATCATATGGCCATTTGTTCAAAATCTAATAAGAGATGGATATTGAACTTAAAGACATTGAATTCCAGTTCCTCTGTTTTTATTTTATTTTATTTTATTTTTTATTTATGTATTATTGAGACAGTCTCAGTCTGTCGCCAGCCTGGAGTGCAGTGGTCCGATCTTGGCTCACTGCAACCTCCGACTCACTGGTTCAAGTGATTCTCCTGCCTCAGCCTCCCAAGTAGCTGGGATTACAGGCACGCACCACCATGCTCAGCTAATTTTTGTATTTTTAGTAGAGACAGGGTTTCTTCATGTTGGCCAGGGTGGTCTCTATCTCCTGTTCTCATGATCTGCCTGCCTTGGCCTCCCAAAGTGCTGGGATTACAGTCGTGAACCACTGCGCCTGGTCAGTTCTTCTTTTTTTAATAGGGGGATTATGAACAAATTATTTAGTCTCTAATATAGGCTTCATCTTTCTTATGGGGATAATAATACCTGTGTAAACTGGATTACATAAGGATTAAATAAGATAAAATATAAAGTATCAAGCGTAAAGTCAGAAAAAATATAAGTTCAATTAATTTCAGTTTTTTTCTTTCTTTTCCCAGATAGTTCATTTTGATAGGTTTACTCTGGCTTAGTTTTTTTTCTTTTGTTTTGTTTTGTAAATATACTTCTAAGAGAACCCTCTAAATCATCCAAATGTCTTTTTAAAATTTTAATATTGTAAATCTGGTTATTATACATCAATAGTCTTTACTATCAGAAGAAAAAATAGAGCCACAATAAATTTTGGCTCACGATCTGTTTATACCAATATGTTCACATGGTTAAATCACAAGAAATCATCAAATTAATATATTGTTGATGTTGCCTTTAATGTTTTACATATTCACATTTTTCATTTTCTTCTTGTGTACCCATTATCTTTGATTTTGACAACTTAAACCGGAAAGGTACAAAGATGATACGAAGCTGTGGGTAAGAGAGTCATAGAGTCGCCAGGCGCAGTGGCTCATGCCTGTAATCCCAGCACTTTGGGGGGCTGAGGCAGGCAGATCACCTGACATCAGGAGTTTTCAAGACCATTCCGGCCAACATGGTGAAATCCTGTCTCTACGAAAAATACAAAAACCAGCAGAGCATGATGGCACATACCTGTAGTGCCAGCTACTCAGGAGGCTGAGGCAGGAGAATCACTTGAACCTGGGAAGCAGAGGTTGCAGTGAGCCGAGACTGCGCCACTGCACTCCACCATGGGCAACAGAGTGAGACTCTATCTAAAAAAACAAAGAGATTCATAGAGTCACACTCCGGGCAAGGATGAGAGAGCCAACCAAAAGCTGAGATGTCTCTCTCTCATACACATCCCATATACTGACTGAGGCCATAGATTGTGCTCCAGGCATGCACACACCAGAAAAGCTACAAGGATGCAAATATATAACAGGCTTACTATGCATTTTGTGCCAGAGAATGTCAGGGCAGCCAGCCAGTATATAGTTGTCTCTAAGTGACCTGTCTACAGGGTCTCATTTTGTTGGGGGTGAAATTATTTCCTTCTTTCGAAAGCCTGCAAGGAAAGCAAAGAAACTTCTGGTCTGATGGTGACTGCCAAATACTTTGTGGGTGAGAAAGAAAGCGAGATCCATGCATCCTCACCACTGGGAAGTCATTTCTGGCAGGATGCAGTTAATTTATTGCTTGAAGAAATGATCAATAAAAATGGCAGAACTTGAGCTGCTCTTGCTTGGAGGCAGGTAGTGTGTTAAAGCTCACTGGGCAGGTCAGGCAACCGAGGCTCCATTGACTTAAGAGACTTGCTTGAGGTTATAGAATTTGTGAAGATGAGCGGTGGGGCCTGGCTCCAATGTGCTGCTCTTCCAAATGTACCATGATATATAGCAGCTTTCTCCTTAGACATGAGTCCCTGTTCTTTGAGCACATTAGGTCTGAAAAATTCCATCTTAGATTGGCACAGAGAGGGGAAAATCAGAATGAAAAGTATTACTCTTTTTTTATTTTTTGAGACGGAGTCTCGCTCTGTCGCCAGGCTGGAGTGCAGTGGCGCGATCTCGGCTCCCTGCAACCTCTGACTCCCTGGTTCAAACGATTCTCCTGCCTCAGCCTCCTGAGTAGCTGGGATTACAGGCACATGCCACCACGTCCAGCTAATTTTTGTATTTTTATTAGAGACGGGGTTTCACCCTGTTGGCCAGGATGGTCTTGATCTCTTGACCTCATGATCCACCAGCCTTGGCCTCCCAGAGAGCTGGGATTACAGGCATGAGCCACTGTGCCTGGCTGAAAATCATTACTCTTATGACATGCATTGGAGAAAAGAAGCCATTGTAGTTGATGTTATGTGTGAAGACAGCCAAATCTTCTCTGGGGCAAGGAATGCCCACTAGCCAGTTAATCCTTCTCCACTTTTCTTCAAAGAGAGGGAGGGGGAATCTAGAAACCGATTCAAGGGATTGGCACCTACTGAACCAGTTTAGCGGGAAGGGGCATTCTGCTTGCCTAAGCTGAATTCCAGTGCACGTGATTTCACTTGGGTGGTGTCTTTGCTGTCACTTCTCCCTTTACAGGCCTAACCTCAAAACATTCCCTTACCGACCCCTCTCCCCTAAGCAAAATACACAGGCAAAAGGTTTTTGTTGTTACTATACAGGCAAATTATTATTATACAGGTGATATCACAGGCAAAATGTTTTTGTTGTTATTATACCCAGCATCATATAACGGAAGGATGGTGTGTGAATCCACTCTGAGGTGACCTCACAGATGCCCCTTCAGGACCTGGAAGGGGAATTACCCTTGGCCAAGGCCACACTCCTCTCTGGAGGCAGCCCCCATCAATGGCTGGTCCTGGAAGGAAGAAGGATAAAAGGCAGCCCCAGGCAGTTCAGAGCTCCCTGTATAATTGGCCGAGACTGCATCTACATCATAGTTCAGCGCCTCCTCTCCCTGCCTGTCTGTCCTGCCCCAGCTCCCTCACAGGTGCCTGCTTCTGAGAAGATCCTCCTAACCACTCCCGGTAGAAACCTTCCACATGCAAATGTCATCATCTTAGGGTCTGTTTCCCAGGGAATGTGACCCGCAGCAGAAGGTAATTTGGGTAGTGCTACATGCTACTTTGTAACAAGCTCATTTTTACTAATTACGGCATGAGTAGGTGGTGCTTGAACTCAGCAGGGACAGATAAATAGTTTTGATTCAGGCTGAGTGGGGTGGCTCACGCCTGTTAATCCCAGCACTTTGGTAGGCCAATGCGGGTGGATCACTTGAGGTTAGGAGTTTGAGACCAGCCTGGGCAACATGGTGAAACCATGTCTCTATAAAAAATACAAAAGTTAGCTGAACGTGGTGGCATATGCCTGTAGTTCCAGCTACTAGGGAGGCTGAGGTGGGAGGATCACTTGAACCCGGGAGGCAGAGGTTGGAGTGAGCCAAAATTGTACCACTATACTCCAGCCTGGGCAACAGAGTGCGTTTCTGTCTCAAAACAACAACAACAACAACAAAGAGGCAAGTGTAGGATTGAAATATCACCTTTGCTAGTGAGCCAGCTGATCCTGAGAATAGGACCTATATCTGCAGGAATTTGATGGAAGTTCCTCTGCCCCCAGCCATGGCAGTGCTGGACCATAGCCCTCAGCATGGAGAGCATGGAAGGCAGGAGCAGAGCGGAGGTGGCTTCCTGTGGGCAGCTTGTGCCTGAGGGTGACTGAAGAAGGCCCGATTCTTTGTCCTAAACACATCATTGTGTACATTGCTGCACCTTCCCATGGCGGGGCTGGAGTTTGGGGGAAATGAAGTGGAGAGGAGCCCAGGAGTGTTCTGCTGGGCAGCTTCCTACCTGTGGAAGATGGCATAAAGAGTGGGGGGACATTCTGTCCCTCACAGATAGCAATTCCCTTAGGAGATTGTATCTCTTTCTTGGGAATTCGGTCCTCAGCAAATTGATTTCACAGATATTATTAAGTGCCTATTCAATGACATACATTATTTTGGGGGAATCAGAAATGAACAAAACAGGCAAAATCCCTGCTCTCATGGAGGTTACAATCTAGTGGGAAACACAGAGAGTAAATGAGAAAAGCAAGTAAAATATGTTGGGGGATGGATAGCTATCAGTGATCTATTACAACCCCAAAGTGGGAAAGAGGAAATGAGGAATTATGAGGAATGGCATCAAAAAGGGACACAATAAAAGCCTCCATCTGTTTGGGTAGAATAGGGAATAGGGAGTTAATATTTGCCACTCAAACTGTGCTTCAATTTCAGTTGTCCTTTCTGCTGACACTTGTAACACACTTCTCTCTCCCAGCTCCCCTACATCCAAATCCTGCAAGACCCTTATTGCTTTTGTGAACTTGAGCTCTCTCTGCAACCCTCTAGCCCATCCTCTGTAGGCTCAGTCACAGTTAATGACCTTGACTGTAGCCTTGAAGATACGGACATTCCAGGTGCTCTGCCCTGGCAGGAGTTCAGCATTCCTTTCTGTCCACAGTTTTGCTCTTTGGCCTACTTCAGTGCTGATCCAGCTGGCTGTGACTCCCCACCAGATGTGAAGGGACTTGCACCACCTGAATCTGGTTAGAAGCTGGCTCACATAGCCAGGCTTGTAGTTTCAGCTTTGCTACTGTCATGTGAACCCTGGGCCAGAAGATTCTGTTGACACCTGGAAACTAGGAATGGTTTGGCGGTGTCCTGATATGGTGGATATTTATTGTTTTGTGTTTCTGGTACTCCTACTACTTTCTGGGAATAACACTCCCTTTATTTGGGGGAGCTGTTCTTGCTACCCAATGTGAACCAAATGAGTAATTTGTATTTTACATGACCCCACTTGTCTGTACAAAGTGTTTGATCCAAAGGTAGGCCCCTGGCCAAGCTGAGCTAATCATGGGAGCCCCTGTTCTGGCCACAGTGACATGTGTCTAATGCATGACTCAGAACACACCAATCACTCCCCTGGGATTTCAACAACTAAACCTGCGGGGAGAAAACGTTTTTCCCTTGAGGAAAAGCTGGCAGATATAAGCCAGTAGCTGTAGCAGCCATGTCTGACTTCTGTGAGAAAACCAAGCCGTGGTTAGGGGAGAAGAAAGCCGATCCACAGAGAGAGGCAGAGACAAGAGAGTCGGAGAGAGTCTGAGTCCCCGGCTCCAGGTGTCTCAGTCACGCTCCTGCTCTTCAGGGACTTAGGTCAGTACATTCCAATTTTTTCCTTACCTAGGTCAAGTAGGTCAGGTCAGATTCCAGTCATGACTATTAAACATTGAGTCATGGCAACTATATTTGGGAAGACCCAGAGGGTTCAAGTGAGCATCCCCATGTCTTCTACCTGCCCATCTTTGGAAGATTACTTCTTCCATGAAACGTTTTCTTTTTTTTTTTTTCTTGTTTGATACAGGGTCTCTCTGTGTCATCCATGCTGGAGTGCAGTGGTGTGATCTCGGCTCGCTGCAACCTTCTCCTCCTGGGTTCAAGTGATTCTCATGCCTCAGCCTCCCAAGTAGCTGGGGTTACAGGCGCCCACCACCATCCCTGGCTAATTTTTGTATTTTAGTAGAGATGGGGCTTCACCGTGTTGGCCAGGCTGGTCTCAAACTCATGAGCTCAAGTGAGCTGCCTTTCTTGGCTTCCCAAAGTGCTGGGATTTACAGGCATGAGCTACCTACCTGACTCCTCCTCCTTCCTTCCTTCGTTCCCACATAGCGCTTCGGTTCTGCTTCTCTCATGGTACTAGTAATCCTTAGTGTACTTGCTGGTTTAACCATTTGTCCCCACCAAGAAGGTAGAAATTGGTTCTTATTCTTATTCGTATTCTCTAAGTTGGGCATGGAGATGCTTAGTATGTGTTTGTTGGATGAAAGGATAAACAGATAGATGGATGGATAAGTATCATTACCATTAAGTGGGTGCCTCTGTGTGTCAATCCTTTAATAAAGATGTCAAAAGCCCAGAGACTCTCTGGGGACTGAATTAATTCTGGGGCTTTGGAGGGGTTCTGAAAAGGCCTGGGGAATGTGAATTCCCCTGGAACTACTCTGGAGTTGCCACAGGGTGATGCAGAGTTGGTTCAAGTCTGCACAGGACACTTGGTGATTATCAGCTTTCTCTGATTTGTTCAGGGTGCATGAGAGTGGTGTTTCAGCCTGGAGCGGTGGCTCACGTCTGTAAACCCAGCACTTTGGGAGGCCAAGGCGGGCGGATCACCTGACGTCAGGAGTTCGAGACCAGCCTGGCCAACATGGTGAAACCCTGTCTCTACTAAAAAATACAAAAATTAGCCAGGCATGGTGATGTGTGCCTATAATCCCAGCTATTTGGGAGGCTGAGGCAGGAGGATCTCTTGAGCTGGGAGGTAGAGGTTGCAGTGAGCTGAGACTGTGCCACTGCACACTCCAGCCTGGGTGACAGAGTGAGATTCCATCTCAAAAAAAAAAAAAAAAAAAAAAAGAGTAGTGTTTCTTCTGAGGCTTAGGATGCCAGCTTGGGGAACTCCAAACTTGGGCATTATGTGGTGGCAAAGCACCTCAATCCACAGAGACACCCAACATTGCCATGGCAAGTTAGACATAGCAGGGAAGACTGGGCTTTCCCTGATTTGCTCTTGAGTTCTCACTTTTCCCTCCAAACCTCCCAGAAGGGACTGGGGCTCCATTCCCTGGGGTCATTCGTAGCCACACTGCCTCTCCTTAGCCATTTTCTCTTAGCACAGTCATTCTTACTGGTATAAGTGTTTCCCCAAACTGCTTCCTTGATCTTAATCTCTCTGTCTCTCTGTCTCTGTCTCTCTGTCTCTGTCTCTGTCTCTCTCTCTCTCTGTCACACACACACACACACACACCATTTATGGCATTAGCTACTTTCTACCTGGCATTTTAGTCATTCTTTTCCATGGAGACTATGTGTTTTTTGAGGACAACTACTGTATTTTCTTCATCTTTGCAGCCCCTAGGGTGCTCAGCACAGTGCCCGAAAGAAACGGAGTTACATGTTTTTGAATAAACTCTCTGTTCTCACATTTAGGTTTCTCTAATTGCTTTAATTCAGGTTATCTACATAGGTTTCTACATAGGGATTCTCTTAAGAATATATTGTGAACAGCTCTCTTTTGCTGATATGGACGTTTCTCCAAATTTATTTTTCATGCTGACAGATTGTTTTCTGGTCTGAATGTACTGCCATTTATTTTCCCAATTCCCTAGTGCTGGAGCTTCTGGGTGCATCCAACATTTATAATTATTAACTGTGCTGCTGCGAGCCACCTTGCTAGACCTTTGTGTAATCCATCTTTGCTTTCTTAGGATAAATTCTTAGAATGGAATCTACATTTTAAAATCTTTTGACATGTCCTGACAAACACCGTTCCCCATAGCCTTCAATCTGGGCAGCTTTTATAGCTTTCCTCATAGCCATTATTCCATCAATAGGTAACATTGACAGACTTCAGCGAATGGAATCCTCCAGCCCTTTACCCTGATCCTTTCTCCGAGTTACATATTTTGTGGTTTCAAGACCATCTTGAAATCATTGAGAAACAAAGACACAGGAAAAGTTTTTTAAAGCGAGGAAAAGTAGAAAAACCTTTAGAGGTCTTCACAGGGATAGCATAGAAACCATGTAGTTGATATTTTGTCTTTTTATTTATTTTATTTATTTTTTAAAAGTGCTTCCTTTTTAATGAAATAAATTCAAAAGATGTACAGTCAGGCTCAAGTAGTGCAGTTCACAAGCATGGGAGAAACAAACAAAACAACGAAGTTCAGGATGGTCAGAGCAGAGTTAACCCAGGATGAGGCTGCACTTGCCACCAGGGGGATTTCCTATGGATGGTCCTGGGGCCAGGGCCACGGGGCTCAGCACAGGTGCAGCAGGTGCAGGCTTCTCTTCCCTCGGCCCCAGGCTGCCTTGCAAGTCTGTGTCCACATTTTCATGAATGTCACCTTCTCCCTTCAGATCTAAGAATCTGCAGAGTTTGCTTCAGAAGCGTTCCTTCCCTGCAGTCCGGATGACTCCAAGTCTTCTCCGCCACCTCTAGACTTGGCACCTGCCAATGTGGCCCAAGAAGGTGGATTTTCTTCAGGTGTCCCAAAGATACTAGAGGACATTTTGTTCTTTCTCACAGGTTGTTCTGTTGGTTCATCAAAACCCAATGAAAAATTGGATCCACCACCCAGCAGCCGCAAAACCCGGGAGCTATTCCTGCTGTTGGGGTTAACACCCTTGAAGGTAGTGGTGGTGGTCATGGCGCAGAGGAGCAAGTTAGGCTGGCGTGGAAGCAGAATGCTGACAAGGTCGGACCGAGGGGCACAGGGAGGCTCCATACCCCACAGACTGGCCCCCGCTGGGGGAGTCTCCTGCCCACGTTAGCTTTTCAAATGCTATTTGGAATATGTTTATTATGTCTCTTTAAATGTTATTTCGAAATGATACTTATTACTACCTAAGATGTAAATAACTCATCCTAGGTCAAAAACGGCATGGTTAGTGGGCTTCAAACATAATCTCTTCTGTACGGCTTTTTAAATATGGGACACCATGGCTATTCAGTTAGGTCCCTTGCTGGTGAGTCAGGCAGCCAATACCATCAGAAGCTGACCACATACGTGCCCCCCATGGAAGCTTCTGTAGCACAACCATGTGAGGCAAGCCTTGGACACGACGTCCCTGTGCCCAGTTGACTCACAGCTCCACTTATCTCTGCATGAGATCAAAATACAAATGCCAAAATTTCACTTCCCCAATTTTCTATTTTTGCTAATTGCCTCCACCTTGTTCTTTTTCTTTATATCCTATGCATGTTTGACATTTTAAAAAGGTGTTTTTAGCTCTGAATTTAAGCAAACTGGCCCACAGATCTCCCCAGTGAGTAGCAGACTCTGAGTTAATATTCACGGTGTCCTAAATGTTAACACTGCTTGGTTTTGCCTTGTTGCCTTTGCCTTGGCCCCAGCTAGTTTTAAATTGTGTTTACACAATTTTACAGAGTTACTTGCGTTTTTTCTTTAATGAGTCATGATATCTAGTATCAAGTTCAGTTTGGTCGGCTGTTTCACTACTATTCTGTACATAAGACAGTTAAATTATAATGTTAATTTAAAAGACAGAGAATCTATAGTAGGTATATATTTGAACAGGAGAACATTTTTCTGCCAGACCTGAGGACCTTCTGGGCTTTATCTTCTAGAATATCTTCTTTTGTAAAGAAGAGAAAATAAATCTCTGGAACTACTGGGGAACATCTTTCATTCTGGTTTTTTAAAATGTTTGCTTCTTTAATCCCCTGTGATTGAGAAGGCATAGAGGACTGCCAACTGAAGTGGAGGGGACCAATCACAAGGTGTACAGCATGCTTACTTCAAAACGGCTCTGAGAAACAAGGCAACGATTCCTTATCAACACTGACATAATAAAGGCAGTTGGCTCCAAGTATACGTGGGAGTAAAGGACTGTCCTTTATATGTTGATCACTACTATTTGTATTGTCATTCTTGGCTGTGAAGACTATTAATAGACATTTCTGTCAAGATGATATTTTCTTAGAGCCTTTTCTATTTTCTTATTCAACAGAAAAATAGACGAGGGGCTGGGCATGGTGGCTCACGCCTATAATCTCAGCATTTTGGGAGGCCAAGGCGGGTGGATTACCTGAGGTCAGGAGTTTGAGACCAATCTGGCCAACATGGTGAAACCCCATCTCTACTAAAAATACAAAAATTAGCCAGGTGTGGTGGCGGGCGCCTGTAATCCCAGCTACTCTGGAGGCTGAGGCAGGAGAATCACTTGAACCTGGGAGGCGGAGGCAGCAGTGAGCCGAGGTCGTACCGTTGCTCTCCAGCATGGGCAACTAGACCAAAATTCCATCTCAAAAAAAAAAAAAAAAAAGGAAAGAAAAATAGATGAGCAATGTTGGTATATCCCAAATGTTCCCAATTCATCACTCTGGTGTTCATATCACACTCATCTGAGACCCCATGTTGTCTGTCCAGCCTTGTAATTTCCACATCTGTCTCCTGCTTGTTTATTGCCTGATCCAGTTGTCCAGTCCTGGACCACAACCCTGCTCTTCCCCCTGTCGCAGCTGGTGTCCGGCTCTGTCCCTCTTTGTCCTGCTTCCTCCTGAATGTGGTGGACACAGACACTTCCCACAGTCCCCCTGTGGAAGTTGATAACAGGCTGTAATTTTTGAGGGTTTGGGAGTAGCAGAAGTGAATTAAACCCCAGGGACCAGAACTGCAGGCAGGACTGCTCTCAGCATCTGGCTCTCCATCATCACAGGGATACCCACCTGAGTACCATTCTTTCTAGACTGTCAGCAGCCATTCTTCCCCTTACACGTAGCACGGTTATGTTTCCCGCCCTGGGGTCCAGAGCCCATCTCTTACAGATCAGGAGAAATGAAAAGATTCTTCAACCAGATTTGCCTCCTCATTCCCTGCATAAGAATTGCTCTCTTCCCAAGATTATGGTTACTTGAGTTACATTTATTTCTTTTAGCAGAGCCCCATCCCTGGAACCTTCCTCTTTGTCATCTAAAAGATGCTAGAATTCAATGGTTTGATGTCATATATTTCCCAAAGTTTGGGTTAGTTGCTCAGGTTGGAATTTTTTGTCAAAGGGTCAAGGTTGGGATTCGGCAATCCTAGTCTTCCAGTGTGAGGGCACTTCCAGAGAGGACAACAGGGCCTGTCTGGAGTCTGTGTTGTCTAAACCCAGATTTAGTAAGGGAACATTTTTCCTAAGGAAAACCTAATTTGCAGAAGCATAGGTCCCATTAAAAGCCTTACCCAACTGACATTGCTGAAAAAGACACTTAACTTCCCAGTTAGAATTATTTGCATTCTGGTCTTTCCCAGAAAGAGGAGAACATGCTATACATTTGCACATCTCTGAGTGATGGGTCTGGAAGTGGGTACCGGCAGGGCTAGACAAGAGGCTTATCTCCCACTACACTATAGCAATGATTTCCCAAATGCAAGCCAAAAAAGGTTCTGTGACTCAAATTAATATGAAAACTACTGAGATAACAAGATGTTTTTCAACTCAAATAGGCCTAAAGGACTTTATTTTGCTCTGTACATTATATGTCTCTGAGAAGGGGATGATATTATGAGTTTCTTAAACTTTCTGACCATTTAACTCTCTCTCTCCTCCACAGAGAATTACTCTTCTAAAATTCTAGTCAAGATTGGATGGATAAAGACCCATTTGCCTTCCTTGGTTAAGGACACTTAGTTTACAACCCAAAGATAAAAATAATTACCATGACTATACTTAGAATTATATTTCTAGCCTGCCCAAGGGGATAGAGAGAAATCCCAGAAATCCTGTGACCTGGCAGCATTTGCAGCCTGAAACAATCTGTTCTATTCCAGATGGTTTTGCCCTGTGAGCCCATGCAGCATGGCCTACTGCAGCCTCTATGGTCTCTGCTTTCCTTCCTTGTTCTTTCGCTCGCTCCATTCTTTCTCAACTTGAGAGGTTCAGGCAAGATCCCTTAATTTCTGTACATGTCCGTTAGGGGAGTTTTCCCCTCTCTTTCCTATTACTTCAGATGCTGAGAGCAGTCCTGCCTGCAGTTCCAGTCCCTGGGGTTTAATCCACTTCTGCTGCTTCCAAACACTCAAAAGTTACAGCCTGTTCTCAACTTCCACAAGGGGAATGTGGGAAGTGTTCTGCATTTACTGCATTAAAAAATAGGTTCTCCATAAGCTTTTTGAGGGACAACTCTGTCACTATTCAGACTTGAGAAGATTTCAGTTTTTTTTGGTGAGGCAATAGTGTGACGTCTGGTTTCTGGGAATAATTACACAGAGTAATATATTAGTAGTCAATGATTCATTTATGCAAAATATAAAAATACAGACATTGTCATGTTACAAATGTTAATATTTAATACCTCCTTCAGTATTTCTGCAATCATCCATCATTCTTAGTTGATGAATCTTCTATTTTTTCCATAAACTTTCTTTCTTGGTGAAAGGTACTTGTTTTGCCGTATAGCTCAAGTTAATTCTATATCAAGAAGGCATATGCTACCCAAAGTGCTGTTTCTAACTGCAGATGCCTTTCTTTAACCTTTTGGAGATCTGTAGAATGACTTATCTTCAAGAAATGTGAATGCAGAAGTAATGCAAGAGAACCTATCTATGTTAACTGAAAAGTTAGGGTGTAGAGTCCCAGTTTACTCTAATACATGTGCTCTCAAAATGTACACACATGCATACACAAGTGTTTTATTTTAAGATGTGGGAAAACAAGACACCTACCAGAAAAGCTGAATGAGATATATTCATCTTAGGAGGCTACAATGGACAAGACCGAGAGTCAAATGGATAACTCATCAATCAGATTATTGACCTTCTCTGTCACGATGTTGATGAGTTCCATCTACAGCCTTGTTTGGGTTGGGATTAAAGATGAAGAACTGTTGTGGGGAAGAAAGAGACAGAAAGGTTGTAGGACAGTCAGTGAATAGATTTCCCCTAGAGTAAACTCATTGTTCACACAAACATTTTGATCTACTATTATATGGTCAACTTGAAGAAGAATTAATGTTTTTTGTCTTGAATGTACAAAACTAATCTGTAAAGAAAGAGAACAACAAAGACTTTATTGTAGTTACTTGTCATTTCCTTAGTGGTTTTATTTCTAAAACTTGCCAGTGACAGAGACCTAGTCAGAACAAAGGAGTTTAGACTCCATTGCCAGAAGGAAACAGGAGGTGGTGGAAGATTAGAGGGTGGGAATTTCCCAGTTGCTGAAAAGAGAGAACGCAACACACTTCAGATTTCTCAGTATTGGTAGTAGTTATTTTGTATGTGTGTGCTCCTGGAGCACCTTATCAAAATCTCCAATATAACACGTAACACATTGCATTATAATTTTTTACTTGCATTCCTCTGTTACATTTATTTATTTATTTTTGATATGGAGTTTCGCTCTTGTTGCCCAGACTGGAGTGCAATGGCACAATCTTGGCTCATTGCAACCTCTGTCTCCTGGGTTCAAGAGATTCTCCTGTCTCAGCCTCCTGAGTAGCTGGGATTACAGGCGCACGCCACCATGCCTGGGTAATTTTTATATTTTTAGTAGAGACAGAGTTTCGCCATGTTGGCCAGGCTGGCCTCGAACTCCTGACCTCAGGTGATCTGCCCACCTCGGCCTCCCAATGTTCTGGGATTACAGGTGTGAACCATTGCGCCCAGCCTCAGATACATTTATGAACAATCAGGTCACACCAAAAGACTTAATGCAGAAATTTATAGGCCTAGAAAATCTCAAGTTTTCTTCCCTATGGGACTGTGAACTCTTATAATACTATGAAGACATACCATAGGAGAGGTGTGGCTGAACACAGTAGGTGGTAAAGAGGCAATAATGAAAAGAATATGACCTCTGTATTGGTTTCTAAATCAATAGGGGTGATTTAAAATGGTGATTTAAATCCACAGGTGTTTGCTTTTCTTATATAAGAAGAAGTCTGGAGATAGACAGAGTCTGGATGTTGCTTCAGCAGCCCCATATATATCTAGGAGTCTCAGCCTTTCCTTCTTGGTGGCAAGATGGCTCCTGCAGCACCAGCCATCACATCCACATTCAAGGTAGTGCCAGGGCTTTACCTACAGTTGTCCCTGATACTTATTCATTCATTTTTTCTTTCATCAAATATTTTCTGAACACCTGCTATGTGCCAGATAATAAACTAGGCACTGCGAATAGAAAGATGCTCCAGCCAAGATGTAGAAAAGGGGACATCATATGTTTTTGTTCTTATGAGGAAAGCAAAAGCCTTCTTTGGAACCTTCTACAGGCTTCCTTTATGTTTCATAGACAAGAAATTCATACCTGCCTCCTTGTAATTCAATCACGGGTAAAAGGTAATTGGAAGATTGAAGCCTTAGAACAATCATAACTCATTTTCTGAGGCTGGGGGAGGGGCTACCCTTCCCTAAACCATATGACAGTCATAATCCTGGACTTTACACGCAATTGCTACCCCTACTGCTCATTCATTCATCTATTCAACAAATGTTATTGAACACCTGCTGTCTGCCAGGTACAAGTTAGGCACTGAGAATACTAAGATGCATATGACCAGGAGTTCCCAGACTGCTGGAGAATGAAAGCAATGAAAACAAATCATTGTAAAGCAATGTGATAAGATGTAGTAAGGTGATATTGGGAGTGGAGAAAAGCCCACAAGTACTTATGAATTTCTCAACCAGAGAATATGGGGTAGATTGAGATAAATGACGCCTGCATAGAAGAGAGGGTATTACAGCAGGCCCTTGAGGAGAAACGGGATTTCACAGAGCACAGATGGGTTGAAGGTAGAAGGGAGGCAGTGAGGGACTCAGGAGGCTCTGATCTAGTTGCAATTTATCATAGGGTGCTGGGAGTATTTATTTCCCCATGGAATTCAGTGATTTCCTCTTGTCTGTATGTTGACTTCCCATGCCACTGATTCAAGGGCTGTGAAGCAGAGTAGTGGGTACAGGGGAAGGCTGATTCTACTTTGGAGACTTCTCTCTGGGCAAAAATGTCTTCCATTAAAATTATAATCTCTTTATCCTTTCCCTAATCCTGCCAAACTAAGAGATAGGAGAGTTAACGTTGTCCGTCTGGTCCAGAAAGATCTAACCTTTCAAAGCATCAGAGGGGAAGGGGCACGATTCCCCTCATTGTTCATGCTACGTTTCTAACATGTCACCCTCACTTTAGCAACTTTAATGGCATGACAAGGCATACAGGAGCGCCGTCTGGTCATGCAAAGAGCTTTCCAGCTGCAAGCTCCATTTTTCCCAAAAAAGGGAAAGCCTGAAGTTCCCCAATACATTCATGAGGGGGCTTCAGAGGAGGAGGGGCCCAGGGTCTGTCTGCATTTTAGAGAAGTCCAAACATGCCAGACAAGGAAGACATCCATGGTCCCCCAGCTGCTAATCCACAAAAGGCCGGGTTGGTCTTCTTTATAAACCTAATCCTCCCGTCCACAGTGATTAGGTGTCTGAGGACACTCTGCATCAGAAGCACCGGGTTCTTTCTGAATCAGTCGATGAGCCAATACCCAGCAATCCCTTTAGAAAGCAGGGGGTTATGACATCTGACCTTAGAGAAACCAGATGACATAATCCAACCCTATACAACTCTATTTTGGGTCTCACTAATCACAATCCCCTATTGAGGGAGAGGGGTCTACTATCTTAGGATGTGTCTAGGGAGATAGGAAGAGATGACCTCTGGAAGCTTTATTTTGACTTAAAAATATTGTAGCTTAAAAAATATTCTTGATCCCTTTAAAAAGTAAATTAAATGTGGTTTGGGGAGGTGTGTCTTGAATTGGATTAAATATTGGATGTTGTAGCCCGCCAGGATAATGCTGAAACTAAGGCCACACATGCTCTGTCTGAGCTAAAAGAAGGGATGCCAAGTGCACCAGTAATGTCCTCAGCAGCAGAGGTTCCAGATGCCTGGCAACCTGCTGGGCAGAGAATTCAGAGGCACCAGCTCTTCCCACTATTACATGAATTACATCTGCAAACTGAATACATGAAGATGAACAAAATCCTGTATCATTCTAAGTTCTACAGATTTATTTGTCCAAAATTTAAATAGGAAAATGGAAAATAATAATGAATGAATATTTCTAGAAATCCAGATTGATAAATTACAGACAATGAAGAACATTTTCTACTAGAATAGTCTTTTTGGCTGGGCATGGTGGCTCATGCCTGTAATCCCAGTGCTTTGGAAGGCTGAGGTGGGAGGATCCCTAAGGGGAGACCATCACTTGAGCCCAGGAGTTTGAGATCAGCCTGGGCAACATAGTGAGACTTTGTCTCTGCAAATAATTTAAAAAATTAGCTGGTGGTGGTGGTGCATGCCTGTGGTCCCAGCTACTCAGGAGGCTGAGGCAGGAGGAGCACCTGAGCCCAGGAGGTTGAGGCTGCAGTGAGCCGAGATAATGCACTCCAGCCTGGGTGATGAAGCAAGACCCTGTCTCAAAACAGCAACAGCAGCAGCAACAACAACAACAACACAATTTTGATTTTGTGTAAGTTGTAAGTTGTGTAAGTTATTTCATGCCCTAAAATGGAAACATTTTACATTTTATTGTTTAATTATATACATTTGGCATATTAGGAAAAGTGATTATTTAAATAAAGTTTTAAATTTTAGAATAGTTTTAGATTTGCAAAATAGTTGCAAAAATAATACAGAGCTCTCTTATACCTCTCACCACTTTCCTCTACTAACAACTTCTTACATTAGTATGGTACATTAGTTACAATGAATGAACCAGTACAGATACATTATTGTTATTATTATTTCTTTTTAAGTAGGGTTTCACTCTGTCACCCAAGCTGGAGTGCAGTGGTGCAGTCATAACTCATTGCAACCTCAACCTCCTGGGCTCAAGCTATCCTCCCACCTCAGCCTCTTGAGTAGCTGGGACCACAGGTGCACACCACCATGCGCAGCTAATTAAATTTTTTTTTTTTTTTTTTAGAGACAGGATCTCCCTGCATTGCCCAGGCTGGTCACAAATTCCTGGGCTCAAGTGACTCTCCCACCTTGGCCTCCCAAAGAGCTGGGATTATACACGTGAGCCATCACGCCTGGCCCAAGTCCATTATTATTAAAGTCCATACTTTCTTCAGATTTCCTTAGTTTTTACTTAATGCCCCTTTTCTGTTCTGGGATCTCATCCAAGATACTACATTACCTCTAGTCATATATCTCCTTAGGCTCCTCTAGACGATGACAATTTCTCAGATGTTCCTTGTTTCTTGATAACCTGAATAGTTATAAGGGGCACTGGTCAGGTATTTTGCAGAATGCTCCTCAAAAAAAAAAAAAATTCTTCCTCATGATTAGCCTGGGGTTGTGGGTTTTTGGTGGGGGAGTGGGCACCGCAGAGGTGAAGTGCATTCTCATCGCATCATTTCTAGGGCACATCCTATCAACAGAATCCGTCACTGTTAATGCTGACCTTGGCCACATGGCTGAGGAAGTGTTTGGTCAGGTTTCTACACTGTAAAGTGACTCTCCGGCCCCCTACCCCCTGCCCTTCACATACTGCACTCTGTGGGAAGGAGGGTCCCACAGATATTTGATATTTATTCTCCTAGGTTTTATCTTATTCTTGTCACATTATATCCTGTCTCCTTTCCTCTCAGTTTTTAGCAGTCTAGCTGAAGTAGGAGCCTGGCATTCAGTGCAAGAGTAAGGGAGATATCTACCTTCTACGCTCTTCAACTTAGAAATTATAAAAAGGAGAAAGATTATCTAAAAGGTAATTGAAACAATTTGTACCTTTTAAAAGAAGTACTTAATAAATCTTTTCTGCACATATAAGAAGATACGTGGAATTTACTATAAGACAGATAATTGGATCATCGTGAGGGTAGGTATTAATGGGAATGGCAATGAACGGGGGATGGGGATGATGAGGTTATTACCTCTCCCTACAAAGCTGGACCTTGATGACAGTGTTGGAGTGATATTTTGTTGCACATTTTCACTATTAGACCATCTCTGTTAAACCCACCCTTGGTACCCACTTTGCCAAGAACAAACTGTAAGACCTTGGGGCAAATCATTTCACCTTTTGAACCCTTAGGCCCACATTGTCATATGGGGAAGTTATCACCTGCTTTTTACTAGTTTTAGTGCATCACTGACAGATGCTCATGAAATTTGTGTGTGATGCTGCATTGAAAAGGGGAGAACAGATGTACAACCTCTTAGCCACTATTCTGGAATAAAAAAAAATTCTAAAAACTGGAAGTTATTGCATAACTCCCTTGGCAGCCAAACATGGCATGACCTAATATGAGGCCACTGATCATTTTTCTTTATCCCATTTAATATAAACATCTATATATTTAGCTGCAGAAATGTGAATGTTTGATTGTGGATTGCTGCCCAGAGTACAATGGGGACATTATGTAATATATGACATATGTACTGGGTTATAATTCTAAATTCCTGACATTTCTGAATTCTGAAACCCATCTGGTGCAAAGGAATTCAGATAAGAGGCTGTGGGTCTTTATTTCTAGATATCATTATTATTTCCCTGCCATGAAGTAGGACTTTTCTCAAATCTTTCTAAAACCACAGCCACTAACATTTTTCCTTCCTTTTCAGAGAGTCACAGCAAATTTCTTATTCATGTTTTCACTTATAGAATCGTCTCAAAATTCTTCAATGTCAGAGCTAAAGGGTGTATGGGAACCATTGTTCTAGTTATCAGATGGGTGAATTAGGGCCCGAAGCATGTATTGAGGAGGCCATTCCATGGCAGAGAGGTGTCCAGATAATGCGAAAAGCCACCTGAGTCCCATACCCACGTTCCACCTTCTAGAGTGTGCAGCCTCCGTTCCTAGTTGGTAATCTCTTCCCTGCAATTAAATTCATTTGATGGTGCATCTTAAATCAACTTTAATTGGACACTTGCTGTGCTTTAAAAATACTACTTTTCCTTGTCTATGTAAGTTTCTTTGCACGCTATCACTTTTTTTTTTAAGCAGAAGAATTTGTATGTGTAGTATGTGTGTGTGTGTGTGTTAGAGTAAAACAGTCTGTAAAATTATTATCTGGAGGCAAGAGTTCTTTTTCCAGTTACTTGGTTAACTTTACCTGTTGATAGCCTGGGACACATTGTAAATATTTTTCAACCCCATGTAAAGAACTATCTTAATTAAGTGCAATGCATCCTTTAGAACTTCAATGAGCTGTAAAATCAGCTCTTCACCTTCAAATGCCTGATATAGCTAATTTCACGCGATATGCCAGCAACAGGCAGCCATAAGGTAGAAACCAGAACAGAGTGCTAGAAATAGAGACAAAAGTTTTATGTTGCTTTAAACAACAAAACAAGACAAAAAACAACTTTCCCTCTTTACTCTCAGTTTTATATGGCAAACTGGGTATCATTTGACCTCTGACTTTTATTCCTCTTATTTTGTATTCCAGATGATTCTGGGTACAAATAACAGAAGCACAAAAAAGGCTACTCTGATTAATAATTTTTGCTTTCTAAAGAATGTATGCATCAAAATGTGGGTGGAAATTTAAAGGCCACAGTAGACCTATTAGCACTGTATGTTCACTGGAGGAGGATTGATTGGAGCTAACTGCATGAGTTATGCGTAGAACATTATCCTTGAGTGGAGTTATATGTATGTCCTGAATATTATGCTTTGTTACAGTTTATTGGCCTTGATTCTACTTGTGAGGCCAGAGTATATTGCTCAGTTTTAGGGGAGCATTAACTATTTCAATCTGCCCTGATGAATCATAAAGCAAGGAAATAGACAGCACTGGATTTTTCTGGATTTTTACGTACACATTAGGACCCACTGCTTGAGTCTCTAGGGGCCTTTATGCATTCAGAAATCCCCAAATGACAAGGTGAAATCATGCCTAGGTGACAGTAGCCAATAGGTCCCAGACAAATCTTCTATCAATCACATCCAGCTGGAAACAAAACTCCTTCCCAATAAAATATTCCCAGCTAAGGTTTGAGTCAAGAAGAGAATCTTGCATTCAAACTAGGATGCCCCTCTGCTCACATTTTGCAAAGGTACTTCCATTTCCCACAGATCATTTTTTTTTTTAAACAGACTCAGGTATTCTAGCCGGGATGGTTTTGAAAGCATAACGTGCTGTCTGTTGTCTAGAAAGATGATGTGCGTGCCCCACTGCCAGAAGGGCATGCTCTTTGAATTGCTTTTGCTGCAGTGGGAAAAGGAGTTTCTCTAATTCATCCACACATTCTCTTCTATTGTCTCTGGGCCTGTGGAGGCCCCTAGTGAAGACTGGGGAACACGAAATAAGGCTGCGGCTCCTTGGAGAGGTTCCTGGGGGCAGAGATTTGGGTGGCTCTCGAGAAATAGCAGAATGTTCAAGGAAGAACAATCTGGAGAAACTGGGATAGGTAAGAAGCTGCACAATCATGTTTACATGTTTTTGGTTTTGTTTTTGTATTTTAGAAACAGGGTCTTGCTCTGTCTCTCAGGCAGGATTGCAGTGGTGCAATATCAACTCACTGCAGCCTTGACCTCTGGGCTCAGGTAATCCTTCCTCCTCAGCCTCCCAGCGGCTGGGACTACAAGTGTGCACCACCATGCCTGGCTAACTTTTTGATTTTTTGTAGAGACAGGGTCTCACTTTGTTTCCCAGGCTGGTCTTGAACTTCTGGGCTCAAGTGATCCTCCCACCTCGGCCTCTCAAAATGTTGGGATTACAGGCATGAGCCACTGTGCCCAGCCCACAATCATGCTTAAATTTTTTTTCTTTTCTCACTCAAGTATTAGGATTATCATACATCTTAAACATACACTACTCCTTTATTAGCAATTTTATCTTTTGTTCCTATGAAGAGTCCATTTTGCATTTTGCTAAAGGTACTCTGATTTTACTTCATATATTTGTTACTCCTTCATACTGGAAACTGGAGGATGAGGTGAAATGAATTCAGGGAGGACAAGAGTTGGAGAAACCTGAAATCTCAACATAAGCACAAGACCCCTTCCATCTCTGCTCCACCCACTCTTTCCTTTGGGAGTCTGAAGTATGGAGAATGTTCTGTGAAAAACCAAGAGCAGAATAACAATAGAAGCTGATTTGTTTCCATGTTCAAATCTGATGTTAATGGTGAAGAGGCAAGCTATACTTCCATCTATATCTCCCAAGGAGCATACTTCCCTCTAAAATACAGAGCCTGTGTCTTAAAATGTAAGGATGGGATCCCTGCAGGTACAATGGGCATCACTTGCATATACTTTGTATATATTTGCATAAAACTGCATGCTAAGATTAAGTGACTTTAATTCCATGTTTATAGAATAAAATCAAACAAATTGATACTGCAGCCAACTACAATACCCACCAGCTTCAATATCAGGAAAAATATATATAAAGTACACAGTAGACTTTTTTTTTTTTTTTTGAGACAGAGTCCAGCTCTGTCACCACGGCTGAAGTGTAGTGGCATGATCTCAGCTTACTGCAACCTCTGCCTCCAGGGTTCAAGAGATTCTCCTGCCTCAGCCTTCTGAGTAGCTGGGATTACAGGTGCCCACCACCATGCCCGGCTAATTTTTGTACTTTTAGTAGAGACGGGGTTTCAGCATGCTGACCAGGCTGGTCTCAAACTCCTGACCTCAGGTGATCCGTCCACCTCTGCCTTCCGAAATGCTGGGGTTACAGGTGTGAGCCACCGCGCCTGGCCCACAGTCGACTTTTAAATGAGCTAATTTGATTATATCACCACAAAGACCTTTGAGCAGAAAGAAAAAGAAAATCCGGCTAATTTCATACTAGTGACTCAAAATGGCGGGTTGCTAAAAATAACAGATTTCTCCAAAATGCACGCGAGAAGCTATATTTGGGCAACTGCAAGAAATGTATAGTATGGAAAGTAGGGTTAAGGTGTTTGCTCTTTTATATTGTATGCTGGAGAAGAGTGAAATCCTCACTTTTCAGTGGGCAGTTTCATCATTTAAAAAGATATGCACACAATACACTTACAGCAAATAACCATCTCCAGACAAATTCTGTTATGGCCTCTTTGCGTCCCTGTCCATGTTCAGTAGAATGGAACATTAGGTCATAATTGTGGGGGCAGCAGCTCTTTGGTTTGGCTACCACGGTGAAATGGGTGTGGCAAGGGACCTCGTTTCTGGACTTTGCAGAGTGAATTGGGGCAGTACCATGCAGACATCTCTGGTTTGCTCCTGGGTCGAAAGGCCTTGTGCGACCCTGCTCGTTGCCCCTGCTTCAAACCCCCTGTCATTTTCACAATGGGTCTAAGGGTCATGGGGATGCAGTGCTTGCCAAGAGCACTCAGTTAAGAGCAAGGAAGGGAGAATCATAACCATATCCGTTTCCGAGGAAACAAGATGCCATAACAAAGTGCCACAAACTGGGTGGCTTAGACCAGCAGAAGTCTGGATTCAAGGTGTGGGCAGAGCCTTGCTTCCTGTGAAGGTCCTGGGAAGGATCGTTCGGTCCTCTGTCCTAGCTTCTGGTAGCCCCTTGTCTTGGCAGCATGACTTCAATCTTCACATCGCCTTCTCCCAGTGTGTCTGTCTCTGTGCCCAAAATTGCCCTTTTTCCAAGCACACCTTATTGGTCATATTGGATTAGGGGCCCACCTTCCTCCAACGTGAGCTCATCTTAACTCATTCCATCAGCAATGACCTTAGATCCAAATACGACCTCATTCTCAAGTACTGTTAGTTCCCTCAATGTACGCCTTTTTGGGGACACAATTCAACCCATAGCACTCATCAAGTAGATGTCCTGTGGGTTTAACCTTCATTCTGACTTGTATGACTGCCCTGGGCTGTTTCCAGTTTCTCCAGTGGGAAAGTGCTCCCAAGGAAATTACCTTGCACAGAGGAAAGGCAGATGAAGAACTCATCTCCTAGCTGAATTTTCAACTCGATTTTCAAATCATTTTCCTTCTTGGTGAGCACAGATTGAAACAGCAATAAAGACTTTTCAAACTTACAATGTCAGTCTTGTCAACAGAGAAAGCATGCATCACTGCCCTTCCAACTTGATCATCTCAAGGAGTTTCACTGATTTCACGGCTTCTGTAATTCAATCCCCAGTCAGCTATCCAAAGGGAAATAAAGTGTTATTTTGCCTTATTGTTGACATGGCTATAGGAAACTAGAGAAATAACTGTTTGTAGAGTTATTTGGAATTAGTGGACCAGGATTAATACCTATTAGGAAACTGGCATAAAAGCAACTCGCTCAGAGAGCAGAGAAAGCCCAGCTGGTGGGTGGGAGGTCCCATGGCAACTCCTGTCCCAGGGGAGCAATTTTGCTTTTTACTTTGGTGACATCATATAAATTCAAAGTGACAAACTTCTCTTAAGGACTTTCCAAATTATTTACCCTCTATTAAGAGCTTAGCTCTCCTCTCATTACTTGTAGAAATCATTTAAAGTGATCTCAAACCAGATTTCAAACTGTTATTGAGGACTTGAAAGCTGATAAGAAAAATCACTTAAAGTTTCCAATAACTTGTTTATACCTCTTATTTCCTTATACCCTTGCACAACTGACCAAAAATAAAAAAGAAAGTGGAAAAAATGGCTACACACATCAAAAAATAATGATAATAAAAGCAAAAAGTAACCAGATTAGAGAGATTATATTAGGAAGATAAGGGCAAAAAGGACTATGAGAAAGGTGGAAGGGGTAGGGGAGCAGGAAACAGAGGTAAAAGAATGTTAGAAAACAGAGACCTATTACTGAATAAGAGATGATTCCATTTCAGAACCATAACCAAAATATGAGAAGTACTAGTCATATCTCAAGTCTTTGCTCACCATGAAGTCACTCTTTGTAAACATATCCTCAAGGGAAGAAAAGCAATCTAGTACGGCCAACCACTAATCCACAGACTCTGTAATCCAGAATATTAATCCCTAATCCAGAACACTGTGTGTGTTGGTAGTGGGGAAGGGTTATTCAACAAGGACAACCATATGGATGTATGGGAATTAAGGGTCATAATCCCAAGGAATATGTTGTACCTTCAAGGGGCTTATAGTCTGTGTCACTGAACACTGGAAAATAAGTGGCATCCAGCTAGATCCAATGTTTGCTTTTTAGTCACTGTATTCTAATCTGGAGGCCTGGGCTTCCAGTCTCTTTCAGATTGTTGGCAGAATTCTGTTCCTTGTGGCTGCAGGACTGAGGTCCTTGTTCCCTTTCTGGCTGTCAGCTTGGGGCTGTTTTCACCTCCTGGAGACTGCCCACATTCCCCACCACTTGGCTTCCTGCATCTTCAAAATTCACACATGGTGAAGTTGAATCCCCCTTGGGCTCTCAACCTGACTTGATCCTCTTTTGCAACTAGCCAGAGAAAATCCTCTACTTTTAAAGGGCTCATATAATTATGTCAGGCCCGCTGGGATAATCTTCCTATCTTAAGGTCAACTGGCTTGGGACCTTAATTACATTTGCAAAAATCCTTTCATGGCAGTGTTTGATTGAATAACTGGGAGAAGGAGTGTGTACTGCAGGCTGAGTATCTGGAAAGCTATCTTTGAATTTTGCCTACCATGGCTTCCTTCTTACATTAGTGGTACTTCTGCTGAAACAGCAACAAGCCAATTTGCTATTTGTATAGAAATGTCTCTCTAAAAAGCAGAAGGCTGCAATAACATTGCATGATGTATTTTTCAAGATGAATATAGTACTCTTAAAAATCATTGGTCTGGGTGTTGTGGCTAACAACTGTAATCCTAGGACTTTGAGAGGCCAAGGCAGGTGGATCAGTTGAGCCCAAGAGTTTGAGATCAGCCTGCGCAATATGGCAAAACTCCATCTCCGCACACACACAAAAAATTAGCTGGGCATGGTGGCGTGTGGCTGTGGCTGTAGCTCTAGTCCCAGCTACTAGGAAGGCTGAGGTGGGAGGATCACCTGAGCCTGGGAGGTTGATGCTGCCGTGAGCTGTGATCATGCCACTGCACTCTAGCCTGGGTGACAGAGTGAGACCTTGTCTCAAAAATAAAAATAAAAATAAAAAAATCGCCGTACTATTTACAAAAACAGTTCTTAATACTTTTGCATTAAAAGGGTGACTTTAGTGCTCACTTTGGCAGCACATATATTAAAATTGGAATGATACAGAGATCAGCAATTTCAGTTAAATAAGAAAAAAATTTTTTTAAAAGGCTGACTTTAAAACCAGAGTTCAGACATTAAAACCCAAGGTTCAGGGAGCTGAGAGTGGGTGATCCCTGTATAGAGGCCAGTTCTTAGTAGGAATTACATGGCTCTGTGTGGTCCCACTGTCAGGCAAGCTTCACCCAATTTGCTCACTGAAAAGACAAACTAACACGATCATTTTGGTTTTGAATCTGAATTTTGTAGCAACAACATATACTATCAAGACTCAACTTTTGCTAGCACAATAATCTTATTTTATTTTACTTTAAGTTCCGGGACACACGTGCAGAATATGCAGGTTTGCTACACAGGTAAATAGGTAGCACAATAGTCTTAGAAATAGAAACTAAAATAAGTAAATGAAATAAAAGCTCTTTACAAAATATTATGGAAAATATCGCAAATCACAAAGGCCAGAATAAAAACAACCTCTAATTATACTACCCAGAGTTAACCACTGTTAACGTTTTGGCTTTTTGTTTCAGTCTTTTTTTTCCTCTCTTCTACATAAACATGTTTATTAGTCATAGGCCAATCAGGAGACAGAAACCACACAGTAATTTGAACAGGGAAAATTTATTATAAATAATTGTTAACTATAACGTAGGCCTAACTAGGAAGGTGAAAACAATGCTCTAAACAATATCCTAGGGCTGAGGATGAAAATCGGGAGGAACCACTTTGAAGGAGGTCCTTTTCCCCACGACGGATTCAGACAGTGAGGGAAAAGAGATTCTCAGCTCCATTGAATGGTGGAGCTCTCCTGGCTGCCTGAGACAGAACTGGTGCATGGTTGCAGGGAAAAGGGGGAACATATGTCTGCAGGGCAGGTCCTCAGAGACAGCCAGGGCACAAAGAGTCATCTTGTTGGCAGGACAGATAGAGGCCCGGGGTGAGTGGTGTCTCTGTTGGGGGTCACCGGCTGGGGCTCTCTGAGAACTTGCAGAGAAACTGCATGCTCTGGGTGTGTGGCAGGGGCAGAGGCTTCTGGCAGTGGTGCGCTAGGAGCAAGTAGAAAAACAACGGCCGTCCGACGGACGTCCGGGAACCTTGGGCGGGGCTCGTGGGGTAGCTTCTTCCTCCTGCAGTGTCTCTCCTGCGCCCTCTACCGACAAGCTAAACCTCATTCTCGCTGCAAAGGAAAAAATGCTTGAAGGGTCCAGCCTATGAAAGCAAAACAGGTCATGAAAGTAGATTTGGAGGTGAGAGGCAATGTACTACTAAACTGAGATCACAACATGTATCTTATTTTGTAAACTGTTTTATTTACTTCAAAATATACTCAAAACATTTTCTCATATGATGAAAAATATTCTTCTACTATATATATATATATATGTATATTTATTTTTTTCTTTTTCTTTTTTTGAGACGGAGTCTCGCTCTGTCGCCCAGGCTGGAGTGCAGTGGCGGGATCTCGGCTCACTGCAAGCTCCGCCTGCCGGGTTGACGCCATTCTCCTGCCTCAGCCTCCCAAGTAGCTGGGACTACAGGCGTCTGCCACCACGCCCGGCTAATTTTTTTGTATTTTTTAGTAGAGACGGGGTTTCACCGTGTTAGCCAGGATGGTCTCGATCTCCTGATCTCGTGATCCGCCCACCTCGGCCTCCCAAAGTGCTGGGATTGCAGGCGTGAGCCACCGTGCCCGGCCTACAATATAATTTTTAACAGGTGTATGATAATTTATATAATGGATGACCCTAACTTTTTTAGCCAGTATTCAGTTTTGGGCCATTGAGGTTATTTCCACTTTATAGCTATTATAAACAGTGCTGTAACAAATATTCTAGTGGTGAATGCTTGCCATATTTGTATTTCCTTAGGATAAAGTCCTAGCAATGGGATTCCTGGATTGAAGAACATATATACTCTTAATATTTTTATTCATGTTCTGAGATTTCCCCGCCAAAAGACAGCAGTATATTTTAAAGCAACGAGTCTTAGTAACATCTCTACATTTTATTTTTAAAATTTGTACTAATTTTACAAGCATACTAATTAAATGAATTTCATGATGGTAATAAAATAGTCTTGGAGAAAACAATTCTCAAAACAACATTTAATAATGAATTATACCAAAGAATTATTTAAAATGATAATGAAGTGGCTATTAGTACAATACCAAAGAGAGAGAAATGAACAGAACTTACAAATGCAGACACTGATTATTCCAAAATAAATTTTAAACTGTAAACACAGAGCTTATTGTAACAGACCATTTTTTTACAGGAACAGTTAATAGTTTGCTTTAAAATAATTATCTTTTTAAAAAATCGTAGTAATTAGATTTATTCTTAACTCAGAAAAATGCAGTAGAAAAAATACTAGAAAGAAAAACAGAATGAAATGAGAAAGGAAAAGAGGGAAGGAAGGAAGGACAAGAAGACAGGAAGATTTTTCCGAAAGAGGCAGGAAGGAGAGTGTATTGAAGAAAAGAAGAAAAACTAGAAGGAAAGAAAATATGAAAGAGTATATGAATAGAGCAGAAGCAAAAAAAAAAGAAAAAAAAAAGGGAAAAGAAACATTTTAAAGCAAATTCCACCTCCAGAATGGTAATATTTAATGGGCTAACTATCAAAACATTTTTAAGTACTAAGAACACACAACTTAAGAAAGAAAGACATACTTGTAGGAAATAAGCCTTAATTGTCCAATTTGCCAGAGAAGCAGAGATGGCAGTGTTTCTGTGACACTTACGTGGTTGGCTTCTGTCATCATGGAAGTAAGTACAGAAGCACATGCATTTCCACATGGCTACAGAATCCCCAACGCTTCGGTTTGCTATAGGATGCCTCCAAATAAATGGCACAAGTATTTCCACAAAGAAGGTTTGGAGTAGACACATTGAGCATTTCCACCATGGGGTGGTAGAATTTACTTGACGGGTTAGTTATGGCAATGTGGTTTCTCAACAGGCTGCATGGGGGTCTGGCTTGCAAAGGAGCTCGCATATAAAGTGAAAGCTGCTCAGGAGAGCCAGGTCTCCCCACAGGCGTCCTGTGTTCACAGTCCTCGTAAATGTTCTCTGGAGGCCACAGATTCATTATGTCGGAAAAGGTAGAGCAACAGACAGAAAATGCTGGCAGAGGTCCAGCCCTCTGTGGGCTTCGAGTGTGGTATTGCCTAGAGTTTGTTCCTACAGGTATTTTTGCATAAAGACCTCTGTCTGAGGAAGTGAGTCTAAGACAGCAGAGCTCAGGACGGTCTTTTAGAGTATTGGGTGCCCACGACTCTTTTGAAAGAAGTCCATTGATACTCCTCTACTATTTCCCCCGATCTATTTGAGAGCCAGCAAACTGATTTGATAAAACAGTGATAGATTTGTCAGATTAAGATAGTAATTTGCTTCCATTAATTTGAGAGGCATCAGTGTCTCACAGTGAGAAGAAATATGGCCACCCTGGTGGGATACATTTAAATTCATTAAATTTTCTGGCTTTCATCTGAGACACTGAGACTTTTTCTTCTCAGCCCATAAATCCTTTCAGTTTTTACTTCAAATGGCACCAAACAAGCACTCATCAATTTATATTTTAAATTCTCCTAACAATATCCAGTTGGATAAATCTGTTTAATTAGCAGTGGGTTGATGCTTTCTTGGCCCACTCTACGTCCAGTTACCAAAATAAAAGAAAGGCATGGAAAGCTGCTGGTTGCAAAAAAACATGCCTCCTACAATGGCAGGGAACAAGAAGAGACATTCTCCCAACACATGTTAACCCAGGGAAAAAATTTGAATATATACAAAAGATGAAATTAACAATAGATGAATGGCAAATGAGAAAGCTGCCAGTGACCAGACTTTCTCAGGAGCCAACCTTTAACAATATGGATTATTTCGGATAATTCATGGTTTGCCACTCTTTATCCTTTGTCTCCTCTGTAATATCCAGGGCACATCTTAGACAGATAATTAGGGCATTATCATATTCCTTAACTAAGTCGGACAAATTGCATTGCGCTTCGTGGAAAACCAACCTAGGGCTCTGTCATTAGCATTGTCTAATTGTTCCAAATAAAGTCTTTGCTTTTTTTTATTGCATCAACTTTATTTGTCAATACTCAGGAAAGAGCGGCTGTTCCCTTTCCTGTAGGGTTTCGTGAATATGCTAGTCACTAGGTAATCTTACAGTTAATACAGGCCGCAGCATGGTAAAATGTAAGAAAATGTAAAGGTCAAAAACATGTTTCTATTATGAAAAAAATGAATGATAATGACATAATTTTTTCAGCTCATCAGGCTCTTTGCTAAGTGCTGCTGTTATTGCCAGATCAGTAGTGTATAACAAAGAAGTGCTTTCTGCAGCCTGCTTCATTAGTCTGCCCTGTAGGACCTCACCTCCAGACCTTTCACTAATCTGTTGGCGCGCTCAATAGTCTTGTTAGTTCTATTCACTTCTTCCTGACAGCGGATTTTCTCAGCTGTAGCCCTCCCAGAGGCCGTGGTTAAAGCAGCCAGGTTTGTGTCTAGTTCCTTTAAATAAAAACAGTGAGAGACAACTTTGGACATTGTCGGAACAAGTAAAAATATCGCCGCAGACTTATTTTATATTGCAGAAACTTAAATTATACAGTATGCCCAGAAGTAAACACAATTGCGTTCAGGAGACTGTGCCAATTCACACAATGAGAAGGTGCAGTAGGGAAAATGTGAAGAAAAGGATATTCGACAGTTTATGTAATTTTTGTTGTTTGTTCAAAACAGCACCGAGGTGGGAAAAAGAACATACAGACAAATTCAAAATCCTAGGGGGAAATGGAGAATGTCATTTTCCCAGACAAATTACCTGAAGTCATGAAGATTTAATACAATTGATTTTTATGTACCATTAGTGCCAATAACACACTTAATACAAAGTGTCCCAAAACATTTTGCATTGAGAGCTGCCGCCAAAATGAAATGTAGGGGAAGCTTTTAAGGTGAGATTTGAAGAGCTGCGGCATATTGGTGTATTGACTGCTCAGAGGGAGGGAGCCAGGGCTGGGGAGCTGGGGCAGCGTGTGGCAGCAGAACTTCCTGCTGGGGGTGTGATGGGGAAAGGGGGCCAAGGAGATGGGGCTCTAATTGAGCCAGTTGCAATGGCGGTGGAGCTCACCAGGGATAAGTGGAAAGAATGGGTAGGGAAATGAAGGTTGTGAGTGTACATGTGTTCAAGAGAGTTGGCTGTTTCTTTGGTAGAGGGGGATGGTGAGAAGAGGAAGAATTGGAAAAGAAAAGCCGTGTTTAGGAAGAATCATTGTTCAAATAGCAAAAGAACAATTTTTTTTTTTTTTGGCTGGGCACGGTGGCTCATGCCTGTAATCCCAGCTCTTTGGGAGCCCAAGGTGGGAGGATTGCTTGAGGCCAGGAGTTCAAAGCAAGCCTGGGCAACAAAGGGAGACCCTGTCTCTACAAAAAAAAAAAAAAAATTAGCTGGGCGTGGTGGCGGGCACCTGAGGTCTCAGCTAGGTGGAGGATTGCTTGGAGCCCAGGAGTTTGAGGTTGCAGTGAACTGTGATCACATCACTGCACTCCAGCCTGGGTGACAGGGCTAAACATTGTCTCAAAAAAAAAAAAATTAAAAAAAGAACATTTCTTTTTCCTTGTGTGCTTGTTTCTAACTTGCTGCTCTCTTTCAACAAATCATCTGCTCATTTAACATTTGTAAAGAACTTCTATGAAGAAAGGAAACTGTTTATGCTCACACAGCATATTGGGAAGGCATTTGTAGACACAGCATTATGTATAATTTTGCTCATGATATTTTAATGAAAAACATTTAACACTGAAAATAATAGTAAAAATGATGATAACTCTCCCCAGATATGCAACTTAATATGAGCATCTCAAAGTCCCTTTGGGGACTACTGAGCTGTCATAATAGATAAAACAGACTGTTTTTATTATTTATTTATTATTTTTTGAGATGGGGTCTCACTGGGTCACCCAGGCTGGAGTACAGTGGCAAAATCTCAGCTCGTCACAGCCTCAACCTCCCAGGCTCAAGCGATCCTCCCACCTCAGCCTCCAGAGTAGCTGAGACTACAGGCACATGCCACCATGCCTGGCTAATTCTTTCATTTCTTATAGAGATGAATCCTTCCTATGTTACCCAGGCTAGTCTCAAACTCCCGGGCTCAAGCGATCCTCCTGCCTTGGCCTCCCAAAGTGCTGGGATTACAGGTGTGAGGCACCACACCTGGGCCCCATCAGTCTGTTTTATATCTAGGGAAACTGAGGCCAAGTACCTGATAGGAAATGGGAAATAATTGCTTACGGAACTGAGGAAAGAAATTAAGTCAGTATTCCTTGGGCGTGTGGAATTATTTTTTAGGCTGGCCCTGATCTAGCCACCACTTAAAATTCCTCAAGCAGTTAACAAGTCCCCCTCCAACCCTCCGCCATTTCTACACCCCTCCCTTCTCCCCAGACAGCTGGCTCTTAGTTGTGCCCCCACAGAACTGAGCTAGACCATTAAAACAAATTAGGATGAAGGACCAGATACTGCAAAGTCTATCTAATATGTCTTCAAACTGCACTGATGGCAGCACATCTGGCAAGGTGGGCAATCTTTCACCAAGAAGAACATCCTTCTCCTTCTAGAACCTTCTGATTAAACAATCTATTAGACAAATAGGCTGCTGTATTCCTCTGCAAGGCTGCCATAACAAAGTACCACAAACTGGGCAGCTTCAACAGCAGAGACCTAATTGTCTCACGGTTCTGGAAGGTTAGAAGTCCAAGATCAAGGTGTTGGCAGAGCTGGTTCCTTTTGAGGCCCGTGAGGGAAGATCTGCTCCAGGCCTCTTCCGAGCTGCTGGGGGTTTGCTGACAAGCATTGCTGTTCCTTGACTTGTAGAAGCATCACCCTGACCTCTGCCTTCGTCTTCACGAGGCGTTCTCCTTAGAGAGACAGTGCACGTGTCTGTCTCAAAACTCCCCCTTTTCATAAGGACACCAGTCATATCGGATCAGGGCTCATCCCAAGGACCTCATTTCAACTTCTGCTAAAATGTAAAAGTCTATATAAACCCTATCTACAAATACTGTTACATTTTGAGGTACTACAGGTTAGGACTTCAACACAGAATTTTGAGGGAACATAATTCAACCCCTAACAGCTACCAAGAGCTGGACACAGTGCTATAAACCTGAAGGGGAGGATGGTAAAAAGATGGATAAGTTGGCCCCTGACCTCACACCCTCACAATTCAGTGAAGGGGTGGGTTGATGTGTACATGAGGGAAAAGAATATCAGTATCAAGGGATTCATGGCTCACTGGGGCCCTACTGAGCCCGAGGGACCGAGAAGCCCAGATAATTTCTTCCTGGGAAGAGGGGAGGAGAGTGTAGTGAGCCAGGCTTTTATTTCAATCCTCCCTGGAATAATGGACCTGAAGGGACAGTGGTCCCCATTCCTCTTGGAATTAGTTGCAGTGGGTGTCCTGCCAGAGAACGGGGGCTTCAATTCTTACTGCCTCACTGTCAGCCAGTGGGGGTGTGTATTCATCTGTTCTTGCATTGCTGTAAACAAATACTTAAGACTGGGTAATTTATAAAGAAAAGAGGTTTAGGTGGCTCACGGTTCTGCAGGCTGTACAGGAGGCATGTTGGTTTCTGGGGAGGCCATGAGAAACTTTCAATCATGGCAGAAGGCAAAGGAGAAGCAGGCACATCTTACGCGGCCAGAGGAAGAGGTGTGGGGAGAGAGGTGCCGTATACTTTTTAACAACCGGATCTCATGAGAACTCACTCACTAGACAGTACCAAGGGGAGATGGTGCTAAACCATTACGAAGGATCCACCCTGTGATCCAGTCACCTCCCATCAGGCCTCACTTCCAGCACTGGGGATTACAATCGAACATGAGATTTGGGTGGGGACCCAGATCCAAACCTTACCAGGGTGACACCTCGTTTGGCAACTAAGGCGGGCCAGTGTGCAGGGCACCTGATATTTGGGGTCAGGAGGAAGGGAGAGCACCAAGGGCAGGCACTATGTGGATGAGGGTTCTGGCTTCAGCCCAGGTGCCCTGGAAGCCCATGGGGACCCCATGCTGGGGGCAGGGGACAGGAGTCTCCTCAGCAGTCTCCATGGCTCCGTAGCCCTTGGGGAAGACTGGGCCCAGATGTTTCTTTCTTTCTTTCTTTCTTTCTTTCTTTCTTTCTTTCTTTCTTTCTTTCTTTCTTTCTTTCTTTCTTTCTTTCCTTCTTTCTTTTTGAGATGGAGTCTTGCTCTGTTGCCCAGGCTGGAGTGTAGTGGTGTGATCTCGGCTCACTGCAACCTCCACCTCCCAGGTTCAAGCGATCCTCCTGCCTCAGCCTCCTGAGTAGTTGGGACTACAGCTGTGTGCCATCACGCCCAGCTAATTTTTTGTATTTTTAGTAGAGATGGGGTTTCACCATGTTGGCCAGGATAGTCTCGATCTCTTGACCTCGTGATCCACCTGCCACGGCCTCCCAAACAGCTGGGATTACAGGCGTGAGCCACAGCACCCGGCCTGGCCCAGATGTTTCTTCAACTGTCTTCCTAGTCTCTAACCGAAGTCCTTCCTGCTGGGCCATTCCCTCCTACCCTCTCCTCGGTGGGAACGGAGAAGAGCAGGGAACTCGCTGGAACTGCAGGATGCTCTGGAGACGAACCTCTTTACTGACTGTTACCAAATTTCAAAGATTTTTGTTCAAAAATTATTTGGAAGATTATTTGAGTTTATTTTGGAGGGAAAGGGAAAAGGTGGGAATGGAAAAGAGAAAGGAAAGAAAGAACACAGGAATTCAGGAATGTAAGGGGGTGGGATGGCCACAGAAGAGAGGGGAGGGGGAGGGCTTGTGCAAGAGCCGCTGAAATCTGAAATCCCTTTCTAGACTTTCGCTATTCTTTTCTCATTCAAATCCGTTCCTCACACCAGCGATCGGGATTACACTACCAAAACACAGGCCATTCCTCCAGCCAGCCCTCTTCCACCTTCCCTGTCCTCTCTGGGAGAGCGCGGACGCCTTGGCTGGCCACCCTGGGACCTCTGCGGGCTGGCTCCTGTCTACCCCTCCAGCTTCACTCCCCTTCTTTCCTGCCCTGCCTCTACCCCTGCTTCGCAGAATTACTTTCCATACCGAACCTAAGTCATGCTAGTTCACACCCGAGAATCTTGCAAATGCCGTTTTCTCTATTTAACTTTCCAGGCTTCCAAAGTATCTCCTCATTTGAGTATGCCACCTCCTTTGCAAAAGCTTCCCGGAACCCCAGGCAGAGGTCGTCCCATCTCCACCCTCTGCTGAGTGGTACAGCCTTGTTGCTCATCAGTACAGTACAAACAGCATTATGCTGTCATGACATGCTTCTCCCCCGTCTTCCCCGTGGGACTCCTGTGGGAGGGAAGCTTTGTCTTAGGCATCTTGGAGGCCCCTGTGCTCAGCACCAGGCCTGGCCACGTAGCAGATGCAGAGTAAACTTCTGCTGAGTGAATGAATATTTGCAAGGCTTAGAAGAGAGACAGAAAGAAAGAAAAAAGGGAGAGATAAGGCAGAAAGACTAGGTGAGGGGAAGGGAAAGACAGGTGAGGAAGAGCAGGAGCTTCTGATTCTCTACTCTGAGCGTCCGCCCTCCCCCCATTCCCACTCACTGAATAACTGTGGCCCTCAGGGTTAGCCGTGAGGCACCCCTCTGGGAAGGGGGGATATGGACACGTAGGATGTAGTGTCCGTGGTCAAGGGCCCCCCAGTCTGGGTAGTATTGCAGGGGTGGCGTGAGGAGGAGGTGATGAGTAAGAGGGCAACCAATGAGCAAATCAGTGTTTACTGACAGTCACATGGGGAGAGAGGCAGAGGGTGCAAACACCAAGCCTGCAGGAGTGGAGGATTTTGATAATTGAACAGGTTTGTTGACCAAGGGTAACGAGTGGAAAGCAAAGAAACAACAGTGGGGCTGGGTGCGGTGGCTCACGCCTGTAATCCCAGCACTTTGGGAGGCCGAGGCACAGGAGATCGAGACCATCCTGGCTAACACGGTGAAATCCCGTCTCCACTAAAAATACAAAAATTAGCCGGGCGTGGTGGCGGGCGCCTGTAGTCCCAGCTACTCAGGAGGCTGAGGCAGGAGAATGGCGTGAACCCGGGAGGCGGAGCTTGCAGTGAGCCAAGATTGTGCCACTGCACTCCAGCCTGGGCGACAGACGGAGACTCCGTCTCAACAACAACAAAAAAAAGAAACAACAGTGGGCCAGGCGCGGTGGCTCATACCTGAAATCTCAGCACTTCAGGGGGCTGAGGCGAGACAATGTGTTGAGACCCCCATCTCCACAAAAAATAAAAAAAGAAGAAACAATAGTAACTGTTAATGTTTTTTAAATTTTATTTTAATTAAGAGTGCCAGAATTCTAGTAACTATTCATGTTTGATTTGTAGAGGAAAGTCTTTTAAAATAAGTATTTTAACATTTTTTTCTCACATCTGAAACTAACAGAACTTGCAGAGTGTTTCTTGAGATCTAAATTTTCTGATTCTTTCTAGAATATTTATAAAGATATTTGAGGTATTTGAGATTGGCCAAGAAATATAGGATTTAGCCCCATGAGCAATTTCCTAAGGTTGGATATTGTTCATTTTATAGGTTATAAACCTTTTACAGAAAGGTTTATAATTTTATTTTGGAAAATCACTTTCTCTTGTTTTTCATCCTCCTCGATTCATTTGGGTTTTTGTAAGTGAAGCAAAGGAAGAGAGAGAAAGAGGATCATTTTGAATCCTGTCTTCTACCCTCATTTACGCCCAGGGTCTGTGTCCCCCCGGGAGAGTTGAACTCTGGTGGCAGAGATGCCCACACTCCCGGTAAAGGCAGCAGCAGCAGCTTTCCCAGCATAGAGAGCAGCGCCATGAGCCCACATCACACTGCAGTTTCTTTAGAAGGATTGGAGATTTCAAGCTGGCATGATTTGCTTTTAGGCCCTCTTTTTTGAGTCTGTTTCGTGTAACTATAGACTTTTTTGACACTCTGAAAAAAACTGTGCTAAACAGATAAAAGATAATGCCATTATTCCCCCATTTTTCCATGTGGCTGATAACAAGACCTACCCCTTCCCTTACAGGATGTGCATATCAATGTGATTAATATGAAAAAAAATTAAGAGTCTAAGCCCCTTTCTTTTCCAGCCCCCCCTCTCTTTTTTTTCCTTCCTTCTTTCTTTCCTTTTTTTTCTTTCTTTTTCAAAGCATTGCCCTTTTCAAAACAAGGGGAGATTCAGTATCGTTCCCGTGCCACAGTGATCCAGTGGTGTCACATCACTATGGCAATTGCTGCCCAGGGCAGGAATGCAGAGCAGCTGTAATTGTGCAACGCCTTATTGCTGGTGCATGTCAATCAGAACCTATGAATTGAGAAAAATTTGCTCTGTTCATTCTGTTAAATGATGTATCCAATTAAACCTGTTAGAATTCATGATCTTCAGTCAAGGTTAAATGAAAGTAGTTACTCCTGTCAGCTAGGTGATTAAATGCTGCCTACATCAGGCACATTTATGTGCAAAATTAAAATTTTGGTATAAAGCATGAATCTTTATGCATGCCAGTTAATTATCTTGCGGTTCCTCCAGTTATTAAATGCCCACTGCATTTCTTCTTAATCATCAGCTTCCTTTCAAAACTTATTTCATACTTCACATTACACCAGATTTCAATGTTTAAATGAAATGCCTTACCAATGAAAACTTCCTCTTTTTGAGGGCTTGGCTGTACTATGCTACTGAAAATAATCACGATGAACATTTTCTCATTATTATATACAAGTATTTCTAGAAGACAGGTTGACTAATGCCAAGATATTTTGAAAGTGATTCTGTTCAGGCTGGACCAAGGCTTGGTTTTGACCTGGGATTCAGCTTCCTGCATGCCCCTTTACTTCACCACTGCAGGTGGCCACTGCACGGTGACTTGCGCTGATTGTAAGGCATTGCTTCTTTTTCCTCTCTCATGTACTTTGAGTACATACAAAATGAATTCATATGTAATAACAAAATGATTTACATCCAAAATACATTAGGGCTGGGTGCAGTGGCTCACGCCTGTAATCTCAGAACTTTGAGAGGCTGATGTGGGAGGATCACTTGAGGCCTGGAGTCCAACCAGCCTGGGCAACATAGTGAGACCCTGCCATCTCTCCAGAAAATTTTTAAAAAATTGGCCAGGTGTGATGATGTGCACCTATAGTCCCAGCTACTTGGGAGGCCGAGGCAGGAGCCCAGGAGGTCAAGTCTGTAGTGAACCAAGATAGCACCACTGCATTCCAGCCTGAGTGACAGAGCAAGACCTTGTCTCTAAAATAAATATACAAAATACATTAGAAATAGATAGGGGAAAAGACTTCTTTTCTAAAAAATAAGACAAAGACCCGATCATTCAAGTCTCAGGCATACACAAATGTTGCTTCTTCTATTGGGTATAAAAATGAATGAAAACTACAAAGTAGAAATGACATGATTCCATAGTACCCATGGTTCCCAAATGCTGCATTATCAGAGCAGTAAGATGTCATGAAACACTCCATCAAATACTTCTCTTAGAAGCATTTCACACTACGAAATCCACCTTTTTTTGACCTTTTATTTATTTTTACTAAGAAAAACTCAATAATAGTTGCATATAATTAAAAATTTTGCAACACGATTTCCCATACTGATGTTATTATTCCAGACATTTATTTCTTTCTGTGTGAGGCAGATGATAAGCTTATACATTTTCAAATGTAAAAATAAATTCCTACTATTTAATTGATATATAATACATAATACCAATGGAGCCAATGTAACTGAAATTAATTTCCTTTTTGTTTAATTTTCTGTGTCATGTTTAATAGTTTCACAATCTTTTATAACCACAAAGCATTCATGAACCACAAGGAAAATACCTTTAAAGATGAGAGGTTTAAGTCCTCCATTTAGTTATTGCAAATATTTAAATAAAAATACTTCCCACACTAGAAAGTTATGAAATATTCCTCTTAAATGAACTTGGAAGGGACTGATTTCCATGAAAATGAAAATAAATTTATCAACAAATGAAATGGAAGAAATGTTTTTCGCTGAATAATATTAATGAATTAGCCAGTGGTTGGTGACACTGAGCAGCCGCCTATAAGAAAATGTGTTAGAAATTAATCTTCACTGCAAATATGCCCTCAGACACACCCTGTGTCAATAAGGATGTCCTATTATCCTTCCTGATTTTATAGCTCTCGATAATACATACTAATATTCAAATGTCGACATTAAAAAAAAATGGAACTCTAACACCAAGGGGTTCAAGAAATGATGAAACTTGAGCTCAAGTGAATATACATCCTTTCATTTGTTGCAAAGACCAGACTTATGTGGGTGGGTGGGTGACTCTCATCCTGGGGAGGGAGTGGGGCTGTCTGTGTGGCAAAGGTGATTCAGGGAGTCTTAGGGGGCAAGACTACCTCAGAGCCCTCCAGTGACTGTAACCCTTATCCCAGCCCCAAGAGAGGTGCAGGGTGTAGGTGGCTCCTCAGCTTGTTAATGCTCTTTGCTTCTGATACTAGTGTCCTCTCCTTACTTGCTCCTCAATTGTTACTGCTTGGATCCCTCAGTTCTTCCCCATGGAATCCACCCCAGGTCAGATCTCAGCTCTATTCAGAGCTGAGGTAGGATAGAACATTAGAATTGGAATGAGGGTTGAACTGGGCAGGTGGTCCTGGAGACATCCACTTTTAAGGACTTTTTAAACAGAGTAGAAATGGAAGGGATGGAGTAAATTGTATTTAGGATGCATTTCAGGGAGAATAATGTGTCCTGCTGGAAGGAATCTGTTGATGTACCCTTTAGGGTGGGGGAAAGGTTTGGAGAACTCTCTGGTGCGAAGAGCATGCTTGAGGTAACCACAAGTGGTGAACAAAGTGCCCCCAAGAAGGGGAGGTCAGCTAAGTTCAAGGCTTTGGTGTTATGCAAAGGACTGTCACAGTGTCCTCTTATGCGCTTCTCCTATGCAGCCCTCTCTTTTTTTCACTATATGAATGCTGAGTGATTCTTTAAAGGATATTGACTTAAAGTGGTCCCAAGTCATGACCCGGGAAACCCACATGTCTCATTCTGGCTCTTAGGAGGTGGGTTAGGTGGAGTTCTGGCAAAGAGAGGTGTAAGCTGGAGCTCCCCTGAGTTCTGTCTGGGCTGAGAGGCCAGGGGAGCGGATACACACCACTGTTGGACAAAAACAGTGTGCGGGGTGACACCAGCAGCTAGTGAAGAGCAGAGTGAGCAGATACCTCTTTAAGTTAATTCTTATAAACTGGCCTTTTTTTTTGTGTCACCATATGTGTATATTATGGATTAGATGTCAGAAAAGCAGTATCTTTCCTGAGAGATTCTTTTCTCCCTTTCTTTCTTTCTTTCTTTCTTTCTTTCTTTCTTTCTTTCTTTCTTTCTTTCTTTCTTTCTTTCTAAAAATCATTTAGAAACAGGAACAATTTTCTGTTCAAATGGTTGCTGTCCCTAAGTGGCTTAAAAACTCCCAGTGGGAAGGACAACAGCCTCTCTGAGGCAGAGTGGCCTCTGTCTGTGAGAAATATTCACCTACGGGTATGCTTTTCTGGCTTGCTTTATCGCTGGCTTTGCAACTTGGAGATGTAACGTAGCTTGAAATCAACCGTGTGTTTAGCCCTGCTTTGGTCAGCCTACCTAGTGACAGATTGGGCTGTTTTGTAGCCCTGCTGCTTTCCCGGGTCACACAATGCCATGGCAAGTAGAAGGACTGGGTCCGATTTAATCAAAGGCTTTTGATTGTACAAAGCTTAGAGCCTCGTTCCAACAGAGAAGCCTCTTCTGGGACAGGGGAAGAAAGGGCTCGGTGTGTAGCACATACACACTAGTTTAAAGCTCCATGCAGAGAGATTGATTCACCTAAATCTGCCTGGCAGCAACATCAGCAGACCACCACTGCTGCACATGGGTCACCCTGGGAATGGCAGGAAGCCAGAGGAGGGCCACCACTTCCTTTCAGGGAGCAGCTGTCCGGACAGCATGGTCTGTGGCTCTCACGATCTCACACTGCCGCCATCAGGCTAGTTAACTTCCAGGTGAGGGTGAATTAAACAAGAACAGGTAGTATCACACCTCGGAGCTGGTACACAGGCTGGCGCACCCTTTTGCACTGTGAGTCAGGAGGGGAACAACTTCAAAGGCACACACTGGTAGCAGGGAGATCTGTGTTTCTAGCCTGACAGCCTCCTGACCTGAGGTCAGAAAGGAGAGTCAACCAATAGGTGCCTGCCCCTCCACCCCACTTTTTGTTTTTGCTTAAAATAGAGATAAAAATAATTTCCAGTTTTCAGTCCCTTGGGGTGTACATCAGATGGCTTATATAATGCCTATAAAATAAAAACACTAAGACTCTCATTGCCTTTATTGATGTGCTGTGAATAATTTTCCAGCGAATGAGAAGTTTACGTTGAACGTTAAGTAAAGAAGAAAAAAGCAAAGTCCACCTAAAACAAAGCAGACACTGTAAAATGGACAGCTAGCAACTTTCCCTGGTGGTCTTTGATTCATCTCATGAACTCATGGTAACCTGCGATGGTATATGTGTGGGGTTATATGGCTTTATGGGCAGACAATCAGTTATTTTAAGACAAGAGGTGCTCAATCTTTATTTATGAGTGAGACAATTCTTAGTGCTCTCGGATTCGCAGTATTCAAGGGTGCTAGAGAGAGAGAACAGAGAACAGTTAAATGTGGGTGTGGTTTGGAATAATTTATGTTTGGCCACAAAGATATTTACTAAAATATCTTTTTCATTTAAAATGTACACAGCATGGCAGTGGTTACACCCGAATTGCATTTATTTATTTATTTATTTTTTGAGACTGTCTTGCTCTGTCGCCCAGGCTGGAGTGCAGTGGTGGGATCTCGGCTCCCTGCAGCCTCTACCTCCTGTTTTCAAGAGATTCTCCTGCCTCAGCCTCCTGAATAGCTGGGATTACAGGCGCCTACCACTAGGCCAGGCTAATTTTTGTGTTTTTAGTAGAGACAGGGTTTCACCATGTTGGCCAGGCTAGTCTCGAACTCCTGACCTCAGGTGATCTGCCCACCTCAGCCTCCCAAAGTGCTGGGATTACAGGTGGGAGCCACCACGCCCAGCCCCCAAATTGCATTTAAACTCAAGAAAATTACAGTAGATCACTACAGTTTCTTGATGTACTTTCTAAAGGGTTTTCTGTCACTTCGGCCAGGCATGACCTGGTGTAGGGGAGTAGTTCATATTCTTTCTGTAGGTTTGAACAAACATCAGCATTGGGAAACTGGAAAACAAATTGAATACGGAAGTAAAGGCAGAAGGCTGTTTTAAGGAGAAGAAGCCAGTGCACTGGGACGGCTAATAAACACAAGAAAGGACAAAGAATCCACTTCCTGGCTGTTTTCTAGACTAGAAGAGCTCAGCGACACACTCAATTAAAGATCCGGTTGCTGCTTTCCCTGCGGCACTGTGACAGGGATAACAGAACAGCGTTGTCCCCTGCAGTTTTCTCACACCTATTTATGCCGTTAGGTAGGAGGCGGTTTTTTGGCCCTAGGAAGTGATGGGGTGGGGGTGAAGGTTTCATGAAGATCTAAGCTGGGGTTCATGTATGAGACAGGAACTATTTGGTAGAATACACGATAGGGTAGAAGCAGCCTCTCTGCTACCAACTGTATTCCCCCAAGAGTTAAAGAAGATCAAAATAGTTAGAAGTTAGTGACCGTCTCTCCCACAGGGGTTCTACGCTGTGCCTGTGTCCCGTACACGCAGGTGACAGACCCTTAGGTAAGTTAGCAGCTCTACTTGCCTGGCCTGCAAGGCAGTGCGGAGCTGGGAGTGTAGCCACGGTGGCCTCTTACTCCTGTGCTGCTTGCGGGCAGCTGGGGCTGAGGCCACCTCCCGGAGCATTTTCAGGCCCTGAGAGGACACAGAGGCCTGAAACCTTTTCCTGCGTGGCCTGCAGCAGTTTAGACCTGTGTCAAGATCTGTCAGAACTGGGATGTCTTACAACTGGTGTAGGGGAAGGCAGTCACAGGTACAGGCTGAGTGCCATGGCTGGAGGCCAGATGGGAACATCACCATGCTGGTGGGTACCAGCAAGAAGAGATGAGGATAGCAAAGAATCAGGCAGGATCCCTACAATTCTGAAGATGCCCGGTGGACAGATGGAGGCTGAGGACCCGAGGCCTCCCCCGACGGGAGGGAGCATAGATGACATGCCTCCTCTGGGTGAAGGGGAGACTCTAACTTTGACCAAATTTACCATGAATCCATTAGGCAAGCTCTGATCTGACTATGTTTCTATGAATTGAAAAACATTTTCCTTTAGAGGACAGAAGGAAGATTTGAGTTTCTATTGAGACAGATACTCAGTTCAGTTGCAGAAAAGTAAAGAGAGTTACAGTTTCTGAAAACCTGAGTGTGGAGTAAGAAATATTAAGAAATATCATACCCATTTCAACACCAATTCAATACTGAATTTTAAACAGATATTTGGAGTAGAAGAGACACAGCCAAATGCTTGAATTTCATTTGAAAACCTTTAAGATACATGATTAGCATAGCCTCACAATTGTAATCTGTGTGAGGCTGAATTTATCTCATTTTCCTTTGAACCCTAAATTTAAAAAATTTATTTATTGGTTAAAATGCCTATTAATGGTTGCTGTCCCTAAGTGGTTTCAAAACTCCCAGTGGGAAGGACAACAGCCCTCTCAGAGGCAGAGTGGCCTCTCTCTGTGAGAAATATTCACCTACAGGTATGCTTTTCTGGCTTGCTTTATCGCTGGCTTTGCAACTTGGAGATGTAACGTAGCTTGAAATCAACCGTATGTGTATTGTATTTATATACATGTGTAGATACAGGGAGGATAAAGTCACATAAAATGTCTTCTTTGACCTCAAAGGGCTTAAAGTTTATTGTTTTGCAAATAGCGTATCGATATTTTGCTCAACACATTTATGTCATTAGAGTAAAATTAAAGCAAAATGATAAAAAGATCATTGAATGTAAGTAAAATCAGAATCCTAGCTTAGACTTCATGCATATTTAATGTACTACCATTAAATGATGAAGTTCATTAGGAGTTATAAATACGAGAGGCAGCATGGCAGAATTAAGTCCACGAGCTCTGGAGTCAGGCTCCCTGGGCCTGGATCCACACACTCACTAGCTATGTGGTTTTGGGCAAGTTACTTAACCTCTCTGTCTTTCTGTTACCTCAGTTGTAAAATGGAAATAATAATAGGACTATGACCTCATAGGGATTATTATGAGATTAAATGAGTTATCATATATAAAACACTTTTAATAAAAACAACAGATAGAAAGAACACTAGATAATATGTATGTATTTATGCATCTGTGTAATACATGGCAATGCATGTACTTTTTTAACATGCTCTTTCTTTGCTGTTACCTAAAAGACTATTCTATTCAGTTGATGCTGTACTGCAGAATATAAATACATCTTTGGAAAGTCTTTTTATTTAATTTAGCAAATGAATTATATTAATCCCATACACTAAAAGAAAGGTGAACCAAATCATCCCCTTAATATTGTTTTTGCAGTTTTGCATCCAATATGAAGTCCCACTGTTTGGAAACTGCCACAAACATTAAGAAACATAGACAGTAAAATACTTTTAAAATGAAGCACCAGATTTAGTTAAATATATGTCTTTTTGAATTAGCTGTGTGATAAGAAGGAGCTGGTTGATAAAGGACAAGAGAAATGCTAAATACGCATCATGACAAACAGTGAAAAATTAAGGATTGTAACTAACATTAATTACATTCCAGTAAGATGAATAGGCTGCTCATCATTAATGAGAACATACACCTTTGTCTAAGTTTCACATCCACCTGTGATGAATGTGCTAATGGGGATAAAATACATCATAGTAACATTTGAATTAACAGCACACTAATAGATTGACATATGAGTATGAATAAAGCATTTAATCATAGAAACTATACCACACCCAAGAGCAAATTTTTCCATCTCTCCTACATCACATCCAAGTGAGTGTAGAAAACATTAGAGACTTATTTTAAATTATATATTTAAGACACTATCCACATTGTGTAACACTACAGAAAAAAGAATTTACTTATTGCATTCCAATGAACTTCACTAAGGTGAATAAAAAGATTCAATCTAACTCTGATGAGATAAAGGGACGTCAAATCCTGTGTTATGCAAGCTGTAGCATTGTGTCTTGTGTATGTGCTGCTGATGAAATGTTATCAGTTTAATACCAAACATAAAGTGTACTGAGCTAAGGTCAGGCTTCTGTTTTGGGGAGAGTTCTATGAGAAGTCAAATCTATCCTTTTTGTTGCTATCTGATATCATTTCTATTGCTATAGACTAGTACCTCATAAATAAGGCAGTGCCACATTATTTTGATGGATGTTGGATTTCTAATATATTAAGTAATATTATTTAAAGCTGCACCCACTGTGATTAAATATTCTTGGAGGAGAGCAATTATGCATATATCACAACAATGGGGATAATAAGCATATGTGTATAATCTAAATCCATTTCTGGTGAAGATAATAAGCATGCTATGTGATATTTTCAAGCAATCCCAAGATCATGTATAAATCACTTTAGTCTTTATTCTTATTTAAAAATTGTGAGTCAAAACCATTTCATTGCATAACAATAATAGCTAGAAGCCCTTTGAAAAGTATTATAAACCATCAATCATTTATTCAGCCACTGAGCTCCTATTAGGTCATGTACAATGGCAGTGCTCAGATAGGTATGTGGACACTGAAGACAAGGTTTTGGCCCTCGAGGAGCAAATAGACTCACTGTGGAGGACAGAAGTACCAACAAGTGTGCTGAAGATCTCAAACACAGACTTAAGCTGTGTGGATCCTAGCATGGAGGGAGGGAATTGCTTGGAGGTAGGGTAATCACTTACAAGAGGATAGAAGGATATTCTGCGGAAAAAGGATAATTAAAAAATTTTTAATTGACAAATAAAAATTTTATAGATTATGTACAACATGATATTTTAAAATATGTATACACTGTGGAATGGTTAACTCAAGCTATTAGCATGCGTTACCTCACATACTTACCATTTTGTGGTGAGAACACTTAAAATGCACTCTCTGCATTTTCAAGAATATAATACATTGTTATGAACTACAGTTACCATGTTGCACAATAGATCTCTTGAACATATTCCTCCTATCTAACTGAAATTTTGCATCCTCTGACCAACAGCTCTCCCCTACATCCCAGTTGCAAGACATTCCAGTTCTGCCAGCTCTTGACACAGGTCTAAACTGCTGCGGGCCATGCAGAAAAGGGTTTCAGGCCTCTGTGTCCTCTCAGGGCCTGGAAATGTGCCCGGCCTGAGTTTGACTTTTTTAGATTCCACATATAAGTGAGATCATGCAGTACTGGCCTTTCTGCTCATGGCCTATTTCACCTAAAAAAACATCCTCACAGTTCATCTGTGTTGATGCAAATGTCAGGCCTTCCTTATTTTATTTTGTTATTTATTTTTTTAACTACTCCCTTGAAACGGCATGAAACTTCCTTATTTTTTTAAGGTCAAATAGTATTTCATTGTACATAAATGCTACATTTTCTTTATTCATCCACTGTTGAACATTGAGGTTAATTTCATATCTTGGTTATTGTGAATAATGCTGCAATAAATATGAGGGTACAGGTATCTCTTGGAGATACTGATTTCATATCCTTTGAATACATTCCCAGTAGTGCGATCACTGGATCACATGGTAGTTGTATTTTGAATTTTTTGAGGAACCTCCATACTGTTTTCCATAATGGCTGCATTAACTTACATTCCTATCAACAGTGTGTGAGGTTTCTTTTTTCTTCACATCCTTAACAAATCTTTTATCTTTTTGATAATAGCCATTCTAACAGGTGTGAGGTGATATGTTATGGTGGCTTCAATTTGCATTTTGCTGATGATTAGTCACGTCGAACATTTTTTCCTAGACCTTCATCAATTTATGTGTCTTTTGAGAATTGTCTGTTCTCCTTTACCCATTTTTTAATTGAGTTATTCAGTTTCTTGCTATTTATTTGTTTGAGTTCCTTATATATTTTGGATATTAAGTTTTTGTATTAGTCCATTTTCATGCTGCTGATAAAGACATACTTTATCAGCAATTGCCAGCAAGACTGGGCAATTTACAAAAGAAAGAGGTTTACTGGACTTACAGTTCCACATGGCTGGGGAGACCTCACAATCATGGCAGAAGGCAAGGAGGAGCAAGTTACATCTTACATGGATGGCAACAGGCAAAGAGAGAGCTTGTGCAGAGAAACTCCCATTTTTAAAACCATCAGATCTTGTGAGACCCATTCGCTACCACAAGAACAGCATGGGAAAGACCCACTTCCATGATTCAATCATCTCCCACTCGGTCCCTCCCACAACATGTGGGAATTATGGGAGTTACAAGATGAGATTTGGGTAGGGACACAGAGACAAACCATATCAGTTTTTATCAGATGCGTAGTTTGAAAATATTTTCCCCCATTCTATAGGTTGTCTTTTCACTCTGTTGACTGTTTTCTTGATTGTGCAGAAGAATTTTAGTTTGATACAATCCCATTTATCTATTTTCAGCTTTGTTACCCATGGTTTTGAAGTCATATAAAAAAATAATAGGCTGGGTGTGGTGGCTCACTTTCATAATCCCAGCACTTTGGGAGGCCGAGGCAGGTGGATCACTTGAAGCCAGGAGTTCAAGACCAGCCTGGCCAACATGGTGAAACTCCATCTCTACTAAAAATACAAAAATTAGCTGGGCCTGGTGTTGCACGCCTGTAATCCCAGCTACTTGGTGGCTGAGGCACGAGAATCACTTGAAATTGAGAGGCAGAGGTTGCAGTGAGCCGAGATCACACTGCTGCACTCCAGCCCAGGCAACAGAGTGAGGCTCTATTTTAAAAAACAAAACAAAACAAAACAAAAAACCAAAACATCATTGCCCAGACCAATGTCATTGAACTTTTTTTTTGAGACAGGGTCTCATTCTGTGAAACCAGCCCAGACTAGAGTGCAGTGGTATGATTTTGGCTCACTGCTGCCTCAGCTTCCTAGGCTCAAGTGATTCTCCTGCTTCAGACTCCTGAGTAGCTGGGATTACAGGCGTGCACCACCATGCCATGCTAATTTTTGTAGAGACAGGGTTTCACCATGTTGCCCAGGCTGGTCTCGAATTCTTGGTCTCAAATGATCTGCCTTCCTTGGCCTCCCAAAGTGCTGGAATTAGAGACACGAGCCACCGCACCTGGCTAGAGCTTTTCTAAAAGGGAAAAATTGGAGTTCATCATGCAGCTTTTCTTTTTTGCCTCCTTCCTGAGACTTATGCCCAAGGGACTAAAATAAGACCAACATTAAAAGTAGTCTCCTAAAATGTCTTGACCTAGAGGAGCTCAACAGTGTAGCCTAAAAACAGAGTGCATCTGAAGTCCTTCATCCACTGGGGGTTACAGGCAAAGTCCATGGGAGTGTGGAACAGACAGAATGGGAAATTGGATATAAAAATCAAATCTACACAAATAATTACAATGAATATATTACAGTAACAGAGGTAAATAAAACATGCCATAGGCAGACAGAAGATAACAATGAATCCTGTTCTTAATATTTGTAGACATTTTCACAAAGGAGATAATATAAGTTGCACCTTGAAAAAAGGATAGGAGTTCTTCAGATAGAGGAAAGAGGAGAATTCCTAGTAATGGAAGAGAAGGCACAAGGCCAAGGCCATGGATATTTAGAAGAGGGCGAAGAGTTTGATATGATTGGCATATAGGCTGCATGAAGCTGGAAGTGAGAGAGATAGGACTGGCTATAAAGTGTAGAGTATATCATTTAAAAATATATATTCTTGTTTTTGAGAGAAAATAATATTCATCTCCGTATCTATAGGAAGACAGTTGAGGAAAAACAAAGCAGACTGATTTATTTACCTATTGTATAGTGCCTTTATTTTTTTCCCAACAAATACATGGAATATTTTCAGCAAACGTATCAGATTTGAGCTAGTTGCTGAGAATTATCATAGGAAACAAGGGACAGTAGGGACAATGTCTATCCTCCAGAAGCCTGCAGTCTACTGTGGATCAGAAGAAAATAGACAAGGAGAGTCAGTCAAAGGAAAAACCTGCTGAAACTATGATGTGGTAGGCCTAGGTGTTACAAGCCACAGTAGGAGAACTTCAGAAGTCTGAAAGTGAATGACATATGAGGTAAACTTTCTAGAGGAGGAAACATTTAAGTTGACATAAGAAGGATGGTGAAATTGGATAGGGAAAAGTACAGAATTAGGACAGGTGCAGTGGCTCACGCCTGTAATCCCAGCACTTTGGGAGGCTGAGGTGGGCAGATCATGAGGTCAGGAGATCGAGACATCCTGGCCAACATAGTGAAACCCTGTCTCTACCAAAAATACAAAAAAAAATTAGCTGGGCATGGTGGCATGCGCCTGTAGTCCCAGCTACTCAGGAGGCTGAGGCAGGAGAATCACTTGAACCCGAGAGGAGGAGGTTGCAGTGAGCTGACAGTGCACCACTGCACTTCAGCCTGACGACAGAATGAGACTCTGCCTCAAAAAAAAAAAAAAAAAAACAAAAAGTATAGACTTAAAACAATACATTTCTGAGGTCTTAAATATCTTTCTACTCTCCACCTCATCGATCCCAGTGCTTTACACACAGTGGGCACATTCCTACTAGTCGCAGCTGCTATTGTTGCATTAACAAACCCCTCCAAAACCTAGCCATTTTATTTATGGATTCTATGAATTAGATATTTGACACAGCAGGAATGGTTTGTTTCCATTCCATGATATCTGGGGCCTCCATGATATTTGAGAAGAAGCCAGGTGTGACCAGATGTCTAAGGGCTGCAATCATCTAACGGTGTCTTCACTCACACGACTGGGTGATGCTGGCTGTTGGTTGAGGCTTTAGCTGGACTGTCAGCCAGAATATTCACACATTAACTAGCTATTGGAATACCCAGAGGTGCCAACTGGGTGGCATCCACCTATGTGTTTGTTGATTGGTGTTGGCTATTGGTCAGAGCCTCAGTTGGACTGTCAGCCAAGATAGCTACATGTGATCCTTCCACATGATCTCTCCACATGGGCTAGCTGGGCTTCCTCATGACATGGCAGCTGGGCTCCAAGAGCAAGTGTCTCAAGATAGCAAGACAAAGTGCTTGGCATTTTAATGATCTAGCTTCAGAAGTCACAGAACATTCGTTTCACAGTACTCTGTTTTTCAGGAAGTCACACTCTCTCTGATTCTCAGAAAAGGGACACAGACCCCTCCACTTGACAGAGGAGTGTCAAGGTCACGCTGGACACAGGCTGTGTGGGATGGGAGGTATTGCTCTGGCTAGCTTCGGAAAACATGATCCGCTCTAGCACTCAACAAGTATCTGTTGAATGAATGAATAACTTGTAAAAATTGTGTTTGAAACTAATGGCAGTTAATGAAAGACTAACAGACCTTTTAAAAAGGAAATTTCTGAGGCCACAGCAATCACTTATTAAGAAGTTGTCTCACTGTGATTTAGACATGTCCATCATGTTAACTACTTAGATCAGCATTTCCAAGAATCTGTTAGGTAGAATAGTGTTACAGAGAAAAATTTCATAATCAAATAAAATGCACAGAATACTGCATCTATTTACCCCTGTATCAGTTATCTATTGCTGTGAAACAAACTACCCCCCAAATCACTGGCTCAAAGTAGCCACCATTTTATGGTTCTCGCTTCTGTGGGTCTGGAATTTGGGCAGGACTCAGCAGAGACAGTTCATCCCTGCTCCTTGGGCTACTAGGTGGGGTGGTTCCACTGGGGCTAGGCATCTCAGATGGTCTCACACTCACATTTAAAAATTTTTACTTTACCTTTTCTTCCTTCCCCCTCCCCCAGCCCAGAGTTCCTTTATAGCCCTATTTAAAATCAGTGCTCCAGAGACTACAGAAACGGCATGTATTTAAATTCTGCTTCAATTGTATTTATCTGGGCATCAGAGGCAACAAATCACCCATGGCAGAGTTAGCTGTGTAATATCAGTCAGTGTTGAGACAATTGTCCCAACTTTGGTTTAAAGCTGAAGTCCGCAAAAATGGTGTACAGGGCACTCTGTGGGATGTGCAGTGCTGGTTATGCCTTTGCATATGCATGTGGATGTGCATGCACCCTTTCTTCCCCCCATACTCATGAGGCGTTCTTAGAATGATGTGATCTCCCCAATCCTTTCATTTTCTTCCTTGAAGGGAACTCAGAGAATGTAACTTGTGACCTCCCTGTGCCCTTTTACCAACTCTGCCCTAGAGAGGTGGGATGGCTTATTTGATTGGTCAATTTGAGAAGAAGAGCTGGGCTTGCTTGGTTCCTTCTTTCCTTTTGGGCATGTTGCTCTGCTCCCTCATTGATGTAAGCCCCTCCGGCAGGACCCCTCTGTACTGCTTCCCAGGGCTGAGAGCACAGGACTGCCAGATCTGGAGTTCAATGTTAACGTCTACTTTCCTGAAAGGCCTAATGCTCAATGTCTTCCAACTTGGCCTCCATCAATTATAAAGATAACATTTCCATCCCCGTTATTGTTCTTTTGTTTTATTTCTCAAATTGTTCAGAGCTAGGCTGAAAAGAGGGTGAGTATTGAAGGGACCCCTTTATAGATTGAGCATGATGTCTGGGTTCAAAGTCTAGTTCCTTTTCTTGTTGGAATGGTGACTTTGAGCAAGTAACTTAACTTCTCTGGGGCTCACTTTCCTCCTCTATAAAATGGGAATAATAATAGTACTTATCAAGTTATTTTGAAGATTAAATAAAAAGCACTGATAATACTGTAAAACAGTCAATACATTTAGCTATTATGTGTTCATTTATTCATCCACTGATCAAATTATATTTTAGGTGGATTTTTCTGCATGCTATGGATAATAAGAGAGAGAGGGTGGCTACATTTGTATCATTTAGAGTTTAGTCGGGAGAGAGGCAGTGAACAAGTAACTAACCACATACACCATGCACAAGAACATTTCAGAGAGTGATAGATGTTACGGAGTAAAACGCCAGGGGATCAGGTGGGGTGTGGAAAAAGAGTGCTTTAGCTAGGGTAGTCAGGGAAGGTCTTTCTGTGATTCTCATGCAGTAGCTGTTTAGTTGGCTGAGTGAGGGCCTCAAAGGAGAATGGATGGTTAGTAGCGAAAAGCAAAACTACCCCTGCAAAGGCAATCTGCAAAGTCTGTAACAGAACATTCTTTTGCTTTCCTCATGAAATTAAATGCTGTCACTTATCTCAAAACAGCTGTGGGTGGTTTTGTGCAAAAATTTTGGGATAGTTTCTGGGTTCTTCAGATGGTTTCCTTTGCCTAAGAATGATTTTCGGGGTGTGGGGATTAGTTCCTTATCAAGATTAACAAGGCATCGAGAGCCATCATATAGTCAGAAAAGGAAGTGCAGAGGGTTTAGTGAAACTTTCAGAGCTCTTCCAAGGACCACAAATAGTAACCTAGTAAAATGGGTCAGAGTGTTGGGAGAGTGGCATCATACTCATATAGGTAAGCAGAGAGGTTAACAAAGAGTTAAAGCTAAAATCTCCACAAGAGGAAGCTGGAGAGGAACACCTTGTTCACCAAGCTGTCCAGCTCCCAACTCAATGGAGGGTAACTCCTGGCTGGCTGAGGTTTAATTTGTCCTGCTGGGTGTTCACAGTAGAAGCTTCTTGCTTGGCATATGGACATATGGGTCTGTTTACTTTGACTCTGGCTACTGGGTTTGTTGGGGGTACATACCAGTTCCTTGATATGGTAGTGCCCCCACTCTCCCTATTACATTGTTTCACCAATTTACAAATCACACTGGCAGATTCTTCTTTAAAGAACATATTAAGAGCATGTGGAGAAATGAAAATCTTAATGATCAATATAAGTTATTTAACAAGAGGGCTAATAAAAGACATCCAGGTAATATCCAAATAAGAAAAATGACAAGTAACTCAACAATATGTACTAGAAAGGGCACAGATCTGGGTATTAGCACCTTGGTTCTAGCTCTGCCACCTGTTAGCGGAGCAAGTAAATCGGGAAGAAAACTAAGATTTATTGGGCACCTACTATGTGACAAATTTTGTGCTAGTAACTTTCTATAAAATATTGCATTTAATCTTTACAACACCTTATAAAATAAGTGTTAATCCTCCCATTTTATAGATGAGGAAACTGAGGCATGGTGAAATTAAGTGTTCACACAATTAGAAATGGGAGGCCAAGTTTGAAGCTTAGGGCTGTCACATCTACAAGTGAGCTCTTCCTAGGATACTATGTTTTCATTAGACTCAATACTGCCTTTGGTTACTTTTACATTTTCCCATGGGGCCATAATGTACACTCTCTAATGCTTTCTTCTAGTTCTAAAGTTTACTCATGGCTGCCTGAGGTTTTAGTTGAACCTAGAACTACTTCTAGTTCTAAAAATACTCCTCTGAGTATTTTAAAAATATTAATAATCTGTTGGTTTAAAACACGTTCACAAGTTCTTTGACATTCCCTTAAAAGATAGAGCCTTATTTCCCTCCCCTTGAATGCAGCTGGGCTTAGCAACTTGCTTCTAACGAATGGAACAAGGTATAAATGGCAGCATGTGATCTTTAAAGCTAGGTTATAAAAGGCAATACTATTGATTCTTCTTTGCTTTTTCTTAGATTTCTTGTGTTCTGGGAAAGCTGGCCATGCTGTGAGGACACTCAAGCTGCCTAATGAGAGGTGCCTTTGGTGGGGAACCCAGGCCTCTTGTCAACAGCCATGTGAAGGAACCCCAGTTAAACCCTCACATGAGACTGCATCCTCGGCCAACATCTTGATCATGACCTCATGAATTTCTGACCCACAGAAACTGTGAACTTATAAGCAATTGTTTTCTTAATCCACTAAGTTTGGGGTATTTTCTTACACAGCAACAAATAGCCAATACAATAATAAATGGGCCAGGTATAAAGTCAAACATGGCCTTTAAAAAAGTGTTATATACTCATTGAAGATATATTAAGGAAATCTGAATGGATTAGTCAAAAAATACAAGGAAAATGAGAAAGAGAAGTTTATAAGGCCATGTCACACTTTTAGCAGCACCAGTCCCTTAAGTCTAAAGTTTTGGCCCGACAATATTCATGCCTTTTTTGCTGAAAGTTATCAGTAGGATAAGAGAAGATTTGGCATAAGAGTTTGGGTGAATTCTATCTATTTGTGATTGTCTTTAGTGCTCTGCTCATAGAATACAAATCTCCGGATAAGATGGGAGGAGAGAAAACTTGATAGTGTTGACTTTCTACCCCACTGCATTCATAAAATCTAGCTAGATTGTATCTGCAATATAGAATATCAGTGTTGGAAGCAACCTCAAGAACCATCTAATATTTTCTTTAAGAGATTTAGGAGTGGGAGCACTAAAGTGTAGTGGTTGTCCATAGTCACGGGGCAGGTGGGTGCTTTTCCTGAGACTCCAGGTGGCTGAATTCCAGAGCAGTCCTTGTGCTTCTACTGGAGGCTGGAGGCTGCTTAGGGTCCAATTGCTGAAGTGACTTCTGTAGGTATATTTATCTGAGCAGAGGTGACAAAGTGGCTTCCAGTGCTTCTACAGGTTCTCCATACTTCTCTTCTCACACACCTTGCCATGTGTCTTGGGTAGTAAGATTTGCATTTTGTTGGGAAGCCTCTCCTTTGATCATAAGGAAGCCTAAAAGATCACTGATGTAAGCTAAAAAGAACTCAGATGGGAATTGATGAAAGCAATTCAAATGTTGGAGAAACAGCATTGCTCAACAAAATGCTCCAGAGTCACTGATTTTAATGGCTATTTCCTTAGAGAGGGTGGCCTTCTTACTACTGGAGGATTGACTGGTGACATTCCTAAGAAAGACATTTCTAGAGAAATTCTGAAACTGACTCAAAGAAACACGAGACTTCATTTTCATGGACTTAAAAATAATTTTAACATCAATCATTTAATGAAAAAGAAGTAGTGTGAACAGGAAGTAGCACAAAATACAGTGTTGCAGTGGAAGATTGGTGCATGCTGTTGGGAAGCGGAAGCCGAGGAGGTTGTGGATGTGGGGAACAAGTACTCTGTAAGGACAGGGAGAGAGTGGTCAGAGGGGCAGAGAACCAAGAGAGCCACTCATCCAAGCAGCCCTAATATGGGCTCTTTTGAACTGGCGTAGTGCCCCAAACACTAAAGGGGATGAGATGATGAGCTCCAGCTGCTTCTCCCGATGGTGTCCGTCCAACATGGTGATTCTGGGACATGGACATTTGCATGCTTACATGTGTGGAGGGCACCCCAAGGCTTATCATCACCCCCAGATCTCCCTGAGGTTTTCTTTACAGGCTGGCATCCCTAGCAGTGCATCTGGAGTGACTTTCTGGTTACTGCCCTGGCCTGGAGGCCTGGTTTCCTCCATTAAATTTCACCATCTTATTGCCAACCCAAGGGTATCAGTGCCTATTGGCTACATTATATGATACTGTCTCTCAGGACCTAATCCGCTAGTCTGCTAGAAAACAAACAACCCCTACCCCCCCCGCAAAAAAAAAAAAAAACAAACAAACAAATAAAAAAACCCTGCTTAGCCACATCTACTCCCCTGATCAGTGGCTTTCTCCCTGCTCTCCTAACGAAAGTCTTTAGGGTCTTCATTTTCTCCTCTGGCTGACACTCTTCCATGCATCCAATTCCTTCTCCATTAAAAGGGATTTAGCAGTGGTCTCTGAAAACATGTCCAGCAGGATGTCCACTTTCAGCTGCAAGAGACTGTTCTCTTCCTCCAGTTGCTAGTTCTGCCTGTGAAGGCACTGGGCCTCCCTCCGGTCCACACCTCCACTAATCCCTGTCTCTGCTATCCACCGGCCATTTTCAAACTTCTGGCTTTGTGTTTGTTTTTGTTTTATGAACATTTTCCAGGTTCATAGTGGGAATTCCAAGTCCAGGCCCAGCTCCACCTCCTGGGTTGACTGATCAAAGGAATGCAGGTTGGAGAGAGAAGCAGACGTCCAAGGAGGCATCTCCTTGGGACTAAAGATACCCCCAAAGAGGGGCATCTTTGGCTTGATGATGGAAAAGCCAATGCTCCCTTCTCCTGACATGTCCCAGAAGCCAGGGTCCAAGCATACCTCAAGACTTCCTGCAAGGACCCCATCCAGGTTCCCATCACCCACTGTGACCATAGCCTGCCAGCCTTCCTCATGGATTATTCTAATTATTAATTGGGAATAAGCGAAGTGAAGACAAAAGGTCTCCAGAAATGCTGGAGACATTGTTGTTGACTCTTCTCTTACTCTCACACCCACTTTTGGTCTCTCAGCAACTCTTCCTAGCCCTAACTGAAGATTATGTTTATGTATGTGTGTGTGTGTGTGTGTGTGTGTGTGTATATATATATATATATATATATATCATAGTGATAAGAGCTATTATATATATAAGAACTAATATATATATCTCCAAAATTCTGGCACTTTTCACTAAACCCTACCCCACTGCCACCATCTTGGTCAAAGCCACATTTCTCACCTGGATTACTGTAGAATACATTATAGCAATACTGCAATTACTAGATTACTTTCTGTAATAGATTATTTTCAACTGACCCCCCACTTGCACCTTTGCTGTCTGTAATCTATTCTCAACACCACGGCAGAATGCTCCTGTTGAAAGTAAGCCATTTCTCCGTTCAAAACTTTTCAATGGCTCCCCACCTCACTCAAAGTGAAAGCCCAAGTCCGTTCCGTGACCTACCAGGCTCTGTGTGTCCTGGCCACGGGGCTGCCCCACACCCCTGTCATTCATGACCATTCTGAGCTCATCTCCTGCCTCTCCCAGCCTTTAACTACTCCAGCCACACGTGTCTTCTACTGGTGCTTGAATGAGCAGGCATATTCCCATCTTAAAGCCTGAGACTCCCATAGCTGCACTGGCTCAAATTTCAACCCCTTCAATCCAACACTTTCTACCCCGACTCCTTGCTTTACTTTTTCTCCTTAGCTCTTATCACTATGAAACATGCTGTATATTTAACTCATTTTTCTTGTTTGTTGCTCTTCTGGTGGTCCAAGGGAGAGAAGACGATGGTGTAGACTGAAGAATTTGCAGTGGAGATGACCAGAAGAGTCTGGATTCAGGATAAATTTTTGAAGGTCATGCTGACAGGGCTTGCTGTGGGGTTGAATGCAGAGTTGAGAGAAAGAAATCCAAGGAGATGACTCTGGTTTTGACCTGAGAAATTGGGTGTATGGTGGTACTAGGATAGGAAAATAATTTAGGAATGATTTTTTTTGATAGAGAAGATCAATAGCTCAGTTTCAGCCGTGTTAATTTAAGACACCTATTAAACGTACAGAGATGTAATAAAGATGTATTTATACATGCAAATCTAAACCTCAGGAAAGAGATCTGGACTAGTAAAATGAATTTGGGCATCATCAACATTTGGATGATATTTGAAGACATGGGGGCTTTTGGAATCACTAAAGAAAAAAGTGTAGCCAGAGAAGAGACTTATAAAAAAAATTGCTGGAGGAGCTAGTGCTTAAAGATTTAGTTTAGGAAGGAATAGATGATACAGAAAAGAAGAAACTGTTTCAGGAGCCCAGCTCATGAGAAGGAGAGCAAGCTGGGAAATAGGGCACAAGTTTACCAGAGCATGTGACTACAGATATGAATAAGCTTGTGGAATGAAGGTGGGAAGTTGAAATGGTTTTCACATGATTGCATCTATATTTCTGCATGAAATATATGACAAAGTCTTCGGCTGAAGTTGAGTGGGAGGAGATGTTGGAGATTTGAGGACTGAGGAGAAAGTGTGTAATAGTCATCTTGGGAGTAGGTTAATGAATTTACTAGGGAAGTTTAGTTGTCAGATAGTGTTGAGTGCTCACTGAAGATTTTTGGTCATAAATTTGAAATGGGTCCTGATAGCCTTGGTTGTGTGACTTTTCTCCAGCAACATTTAGCCGCTTGGGTATGGGGGTACAGTAAGCGATTAGTTGAGTTGAAGAAGAGTTGGAGTGGGGAGAGGGAGAAATGGAGAGTTTCTATTCAATGGGTATAGCTGCCATTATGCAAGGTGATCAAGACTGAGAGATCTGCTCTACAACATTGTGCCTGTGGTTAGCATTATTACATTGTATATTTAAAATTTGTTAATAGCGTAGATTTCATGTTAAGTGTTCTTACCACAATAAAAAAATAAAAAAAGACAGGTTCCATATAATATCAAATAACATTAGATTTGGTTGCAGACCTGAGAGAAAATTTCTAACTCTGGATATGCATATTAAAAAATAAAAGTAAAAAGCTAAAGAGTAAAAATATAAATAAACCTTCAAATAAAGGTTCAGAAAAATAAAGCTCTGGAAAGCAGATTTGGATAAATGGACTTTATAAATCAGGAAATAGAATAAAATGTACAATAGACGGCTGGGTGCTGTGGCTCACGCCTGTAATCACAGCAGTTTGGAAGGCCGAGGTGGGCGGATTGCCTGAGCTCAGGAGTTTGAGACCAGCCTAGGCAACATGGTGAAAACCCATCTCTACTAAATACAAAAAAAGTTAGCCAGGCATGGCAGCGTGCACCTGTAACCCCAGCTACTAGGGAGGCTGAGGCAGAATTGCTTGAACCCGGGATGTGGAGGTTGCAGTGAGCTGAGATCGCTCCATTGCACTCCAGCCTGGGCTGGATATTTGAGCAAAGGTTGGAAAGAAGGGACTGGAATTGACATACAGATATCTCAGGAAGTGCAGTCCAGGCAGAATGACAACAGATGCAAGGTAGGCCTGTGGCTAAAGCGAGGTGCCCTGGGTATCTCGGAGGGCTCATACTCTCTGCAAGGGAAGAGTAGTAAGAGAGGAGGTCAGAGACATGATGGGGGGAAGGGATCAGATTGCATGGAGCATGTGCCAGCTTGAGGAGGGCTTTGCAGGTCATTGCAAAGATTTGGCTTTTACCTTGTGTAAGATGGGAAGCCACTGGAGGGTCTGGAACAGAGATGAGACATACTCTTAGAAGGAACACTATGCCTGCTGTGTTGAGAGGAGACAGAAGAGGGACAAGATCGAGGGAGGGAGGCCAGCTGGGAAGCTCTTGCAATAATCCAGGTGAAAGCAGATAGTGACCTACACCTGGCTAGTAGTGCTGGCGATGGAGAAGAGAATCTGGCCAGAATTTGGATGTGTTGTGAAGGAAGAAGAAGAAGTGTTTGCCAATGGGCTGGAAGTGGGACATGAGGCAGAGAGGAGACAAGGGAGAGTCTAAGAACTTTGTCCTGAGCAACTGGAAGGTTGGAATAAATATTTACTCAGGTAGAGAAAACTGAGGGGTAGTTAGATTTGGTTTCAAATCAGGTTTTGGTTTTGTTCATGTCAGGGTTGAGATTCCTTTTAGACTTGAAAGCAGAGGTGTGGAATAAGCAGTTGGCTGTATGAGACTAGAATTCAGGGTTCTGAGCTCTAGTTCAGTTCTATTTTATACTGAAGTTAAAAAAATTTGAAACTCATCTGAAGCCATGAGACTGCATGAGATCTTTACAGGAATGTGTGTGAATAGAGGAGAGAAAAGGCCAACAATACAAGAGGCATACCAATGTTCAGAGGTCAGAGAGATGAGCAAGGAGGTCAGGGAGATGAACAAGGAGAACATGGTGTCTGGGAGCCAAAGGCTGCAGTTATTGGCAATGGCAGGGTCTAGGTTTCACATGGTCTAGGTCTAGCGAAATAGTGGAACACTAGTTTGAAGATGATATTTTGCTAGACCTAGACCAACGACCATGTGAGTGAATGGCTGAGGTGGGCTGGAGGAAAAGGTCACTGGAGCAAAGGAGGACAAGGAGGTGAGTCTCAGGATGTTGGTTGACTCCAAAGTCAATGATGGGGCTTATGGCAGTAAGTCATAAGCTGACATCACCCATGACTCCATGAACCAGGAGGCAGCCAGCACACAGCAATGAGAGGCTTGTGAGGCTGCATAGTTTGGTGATTGGCTTCAAAAAAGCTGGGGTTTTTGAAGGAGAAGATCAGACATTTGAGAAGTTACAAGGGGGCACCAGATGAGCATTTACCCCTCTCCCAGCCTTCAGGTGCTTGGGGAAGAGGAGAGGCAGTCTTTAGCTGAGAGGGCTGCTGGAAGTAGAATCCTCAGAGGACAGCCTGGCTTCCCTGGGCAGGAAGATACATTTATTTTTAAATTTATTTTTATTTTAAATTTTTTTATTTTAAAATTTTATGGGTACTTAGTAAGTGTATATATTTATGGGGTACATGAGATATTTTGATATAAGCATGTAATGCATAATAATCACATCAGAGTAAATGGGGTATCCATCCCTCAAGCATTTATCATTTCTTTGTGTTATAAACAATCCAATTATACTCTTTTAGCTATTTTAAAATGTACGATAAATTATTGTTGACTGTAGTTATCAAATCCTAGACCTTATTCATTCTATCTAACATTTTTGTACTCATTAACCATCCCCACTCCCCTGCTCCGCTATACTTCCCAGCCTCTGTAACCATCATTCTGTCTCCCTGTGTTCAATTGTTTTAAGTTTTAGCTCCCATGAATGAGTAAGGACATGTGAAGTTTGTCTTTCTGTGCCTGGTTTATTTTGCTTAACATAATGTCCTCCAGTTCCATCATGTTGTTGTAAATGACAGGATCTCATAGGAAGATACATTTAGAAGTGGAAAAAGGTGTAGGAAAGTTTGCTGATCAGTGAGTTCCTAAGGGTGCCATGGAAAAGCTTGGGAAGAGAGGAGGGTTTGTGTTAGATTAGATAATACCTGTCTGTTGAGGGATGATCTGCTGGTGACCCAGGTTAAAGTGTGTGTTGGGAGGGTGGGTAGCGGGAAGCAGCCACAAATGGCTGGTATTGGTATGAGGTATTTGAGATTAGTCCAGAGCAGTAAGGGGCAAGATCTCCGGGCAGCTGATCTAGCCTGAGGCTGGAGACGTCATGACAGGAGGAAGACAAGATGATTGAAGACCCTCTTGAGGCTGGTCACACCCCATGGGTAGGGTGGTGGAGAGTAGAGTAAATCTCTCTATGATAGCTAATTATAATATTGCTATAGTCATCACGGTTGAGGGAAATTTATCAGCAACTAGGCCACAGACTGAGAGAAGTTTATCTGCAACTAGGCCAAAGACGGATGAATTGCTTTTTGTCCCCACCCACTGACTATCCTAATAAGTGTTGACAAACATGAACCAAACTTTTGCTGATAAAAAGAAGAAATATTCAGGGAAACCTGGAGAAAGAAAGAGGTGAGCATTTTACAAACTTCAGGAAATGGCCAGACCACTCTTTCCTTTAGTTTTCATGGTAACTGTTGGCCAGTAAAGTAGAGCTGCCCTGGGCTTCTGCGTCTGTCTTATCCCCATCAAGGGTCTACTGAGCAGGGAGATTCTAAAGGCTTATTTGACAACAAAAGGTTGGGATGGCCAAGAGTTGCTTCTTTTCCGTTTCTTTCCATTTACTTTCATTTTCAAGTCTCGTTCACTATGGCTATAGGACTCTATTGCTCATGAAGGGCAAAGGGGTCCTTCTCTGTTTTCATCATGTGGGTTTTCAGAAGGGCCCCTGGCCTGGCAGTTAGGAGGTAGGACCCAGTTCTGACTATTTTCCTTACCTCCCTTGTGACCTGAGCCAGGTCACTCATCCTCTGTAGACCTCAGTCGTTTCACCTGAGGTCCTTTTCACCTCTCACATCCTATGTCTTGAAGTTACTCGAGTCAGCAGGAAGTGAAGTAGAATCTGCAATGTCTTGGTACAAACTAAGGAGAGAGCACAGGATTTTAATTCAGAATAAGAAACTCGTTATTCACTCTAGGGTTAATCATTTTATAGCAACTTGACTAAGTGACATCACTTCTCTGAATCCATTTAAAAATTGTATAAAACAGGTTGATATTTGCACTTTTCTTGGCTTCTTAAGAGAGATTTTGATACTATAAATAAGATTATTAGTAGGGACAAATATGGAAATGATAAAGATGCTTCCAAAATTCTTACAGGTACCATTAACTGGCATAATATCATTGATTGTTGATTGAATTGGCAACCAATCAATCAGTAGTAAGCATCTATTTTTTCCATCAAAGTGTATTTATTGAGGGACAGGATTATGTTGGGGGAATATAGATAAAGTAGAATAACATAGTAGTACCTCACAGCTGGGGTCACCGAAATGAGATAACTTGTTTAAGGTCATACACTACTAAGAAGTTAGGATTTGAACTTTGATTTGTCTGCCCCAAGGTTGATGATCTTTCTAGTCAACCCCCAGCCCCTTCTCATATTTGTATGTTAAGTAAGTGGCAGGCACTGTGCTAGGAATTAGTGTTGTCCTGGCAGCATTTGGCACTGGAAATGGGATCTTATTTCAGCCAATCGTTAGTTGTCCCATGAATTAAAACTGGCTGTATTATTTTGATTCTTGGCTTAGTCTTAGAGCCTTATGATAAGAATTAGAAGCTGACATGACCAACTACAAGGGTTCTTCAGTGAACATTCATGTCCTGCAATAAAATGAGCATCTCAGGTGGTCTTTTCTCAGTGGGTGAGTGGTATTCCACATGTTCCTCTCACTGATAGCCTGTGGGAACATGGAAGTTAGAGCGTGAAGTAAAAAGTCAGGACAGCTACAGAAAGCCTTGTCTGACCCAAATCTACCCTTATATGGGATATGTGGATATAAATATTCCACATAAATAATGTGCTTGTGTCATTCACTTACTTTTTGCTTTTTAAGAGAACCAGAATCACTGTGATTCATACTGAAACACAGACACACATGTATCCACACACAAACCCACACTATCATGTGGCCAAATTACCAACTGCCCAACCTTCATCTGACACTTGTGGAAAGAGAAATATGCGTTGTAGAGAGTTCCCAACTTGAAAGAGTCAATTGGTATAAATACGGGCTTCATGACCTCAAATTCGCAGGGTTTATTTCAGGCAAAATTGTCTCTTTTTTATCAAGCAAGAAAGTAGAAAACAGTACAGTGTATCTGTTTAGATTCTGGCGTCTGAGGTCTTTGTGGACTTGAATGCTGATAGGGCGATAATGCATCTAAACATTTAACCCAAGGGCTGCCAGATAGTAAAATTGTAATTAATTTACTAATTTAATAATTTCTTGCATCTTCAAGTAGACTAAATAGCTTAATGACTTGGAGTAAACCAACTTAAGAAATTAGTGTCTTCTACTAACTATGGAGTTTTGGGGACAAGGATTCATCTTTCTATCTCCAGTGCCTACAGTAGTGCCTGGAAGTGAATTTTTTTTTTTTGTTTCTTATTTAGTTTTCATTTCATAATCACAAACTTAACTCTGCCATCTAACTAGGCATGGAAGGGAACAAGGAAAACATGGAACCCAAAGGGAACTGCAGCGAGAGCACAAAGATTCTAGAATACTGCGAGCAGATGGGGTGGAGGGCTGCTCTCCTGAGCTGCAGAAGGAATGGTCCAGTGGTTAAGATAAAACACAAGTCAAACTTATTCGAGTTGTCCAAAGTCAGGAATGGTGACCTTCTTGCTGGTCTTGCCATTCCTGGACCCAAAGTGCTCCATGGCCTCCACAATATTCATGCCTTCTTTCACCTTGCCAATGACCACATGCTTGCTATCCAACCACTCAGACTTGGCAGTGCAGATGAAAAACTGGGAACCATTTGTGTTGGGTCCAGCATTTGCCATGGACAATATGCCAGGACCTGTATGCTTCAGGATGAAGTTGTCATCATCAACTTTCTCCCCGTAGATTGACTTGCCACCAGTGCCATTATGGTGTGTGAAGTCACCACCATGACACATAAACCCTGGAATAATTCTGTGAAAGCAGCAACCCTTGTAACCAAATCCTTTCTCTCCAGTATTCAGAGCACAAAAGTTTTCTGCTGTCTTTGGAAACTTGTCTGCAAACAGCTCAAAAGAGATGCGGCCCAAGGACTCACCGTCGACAGAGATGTGGAAGAACACGGTGGGGTTGACCATGGCTGGTAATACAGAGCTCCCGACGGCAGCATCTGCAAAGCACTCAGTGAATGTTTATGGAATAAAGTGGAGTCCTGTTCCCTCAACCTTGCTACTACTGTTTCCCACATTCATTTTCCAGATAAATTCCCAGACAAGTTAGAGAGGGATGCTATGGAGAAACATACATTTCTCCAAATCCTTTGGTAGTAGAAAATAACCTTGGACACAGGTCTTCAATGAATTGGTATGTAATTATTCAACATCTGAGTCAAAATGCAAACAGTAGCTCCAGTCTACACAGAGTAATCCGAATTAAATATAGCCCATATTTGTTGTGCTGACATCCATGTTGTTGAGAACACGCATACATATGATGCAGCTCAAATAACATAGGGAGAACAATGGTTAAAGTCTAAGGCTCTTGGCTGCTCTAATGAGATGGGGAATGGGGAGTTTGGGCATGGAGGTGCTCATTATGTGAGAGATAATATTTCTATTCAGCATCATAGAGCATCCATTTCAGCCGAGATCTCACTCTGGGAGCTCCTTTTCCGTGCAAAATATAGAATATACGCATTCAGAGAGAATGCTTAGAGAGAGAGGGGAAAGCTCTAAGCCTGTAACGGTGGGGAAAAAGTCTTTCCTAGCTATAAGTAACTGGCAGCGATGTACAGTAGAGAACATTAGAGCAAATCTTATGTTATAAATACAGTTGATAAGCAGACTGTCCTTTACTAGGACTTGAAGCTATTGCAGTCAGAGACTGAAAATTTCCTTCAAATCCTAATGAGGGCCATGGTACAAGGAAGCTTTGAGGGCTGAGAGCAGTAAAGGGTGCATAAGAGCACTTCACGTGAGCCTAAATGACAGATATGATAGAGGCCTTGGGTGGGAATCAGACAAGATTATTTCACAGCAGCTTAGGATTTCCATTTGTAGGAAACTGGGAACAGTGAGCAGAATCCCACCATTCAGCCTTGCTGTATTCACTTAGGCTCAAAATTTGGTGACTTAGAGTTCTTATATATTGTATCAGTCATTCCCCAACAATCCTATTCTTTAATTTTGTTTTCTTAAATTTTCGTTAAAGAACTATCATCATGTATTCTTACGCTTAAGAGATAAATGCTGAAGTATTTAGAGGCAAAGTGTCAGATGTTTGTAGATTACTGTCAAGTTGTACACACACAGAGACAAAGCAAATATGATTGCCGTCTTTTGAACTATAATTCTTCTTCTCACTTTTTATATGTTAAAAAATCTCATACTAAAAAGTAGAAAGAGAAAACCACATCTGATATTGGTACAGATAGATATCTAGACTAAGTGCACCTCACTTATCTATTTTCATCAAGATTTGACTGCCCATAGTGATCAATCCAAACTGGCAAAAACTTCTATAGAACATTCCTCTACAAAGGCTTATTTCTGTCAGTTCCATTCATTAATTCATTCAGGTATTGTTGAACGTCTACTATATACTGTGCACAATTCTAAGTCCTGGCTATATAGCAGGGAGCTTAATCCTGTGCACTTATATTAACTACTATTTAACAAAAATACCCTTTAGAGAAAGTAAGTCTTTTGGAAGGTATATAGGTTTATTTTTAAAAATGTCTTCCTTTTAAAATACCAGTTCCTTTAAACGTCCTTAGTAAACCTATGTATTACAAGAAAAATGATTTGAGTTTCACTGGAAAAGCACTTATAAAATGTACTTTATTTCTCTCTTTATGGTTTTCTGGCTTCTATAACTTAAAATATTGCCCTGGGGAGACAGGAAGACCAAAAATTCCAATCCTGTAAGAATCAGAGGCAGGAAACTAGGAAAAGTTGTTAGTTCAGTCAAGTTTAAATGAGAAGGAACACAAAGGTTAGGCTGGTAATTATTTTAACCAGAATAATGGGATAATCTAAGAGTGAAAATGAACCTGTTTACATTTCATATCAAACTTATAAAAAAAAACCCCATGTACTCGGGAAGCTGAATTGGGAGAATCACTTGAACCTGAGAGGTAGAGATTGCGGTGAGATCCTGCCATTGCACTCCAGCATGGGTGACAGAGTGAGACTCTGTCTCAAAACAAACAAACAAACAAACCCCATGCACAGAGGTGCATAGTGTTTCTAGGCACATTTGTGGTATCCAGGGCAAGCTCTTCAGGGCAAGGGCGTTTTTAGATACTTGTGACTGTTTTATCACTTACTCCTGAAGATCAGCAATTCATAAAACTTAATACCTGCTGATTTCAGCCTGCTGTAATGTCACCACCCCAGGGCACACAATACCATTTCAAATGATGTCTTTGGTTTGCCAGGTTTCATATGCCAAAGAACCTTCAAATGGTGCATCCTACCCTCCACGCTGCCTTTTACACACTATTCCTATAGTAGGCCAGCAGGAGATCTACTCCTTACCATGAGCAGGAGTGTTTTAATAGCAGAATATGGGAAACAATGATTGCTATGTTGGGTTTATATGCTTTGTTTGCAAAATAATGGGTTTTAGGTTAAATTGAGGCAGGTGTGCAAATGTTCTGGTGAAGTCCATGCAACCTCCCTCCAAAACAGCAAACTATAAAAAGACTCTCATAATAGTGGTCACCAGCATCAATAATTGTAACAAGGGGCTGGAATATCAATCACAGGAAAGACAAGCATTTTGATAGCATTAATCAGAGCTGGTTTTCTCTTGCAAATCATGCCAAAGCTCTTGGATTGCTGCCTGTTCCCATTGTTTTCTGTCTGGTGGTTTGTACACAGATTCCTCTCCCCTTCCCCAGTGTGGCCATAATGAAATTGGGGAATTAACTCAGAGCAGAGTTGTTCGAGTTTGGATGTGAAGGTAAACACAAATGGAGAAAGTTCAAATTTTTGAGAAGAACAAACAGCCCTAGTTACTAAACATTAGCTGGCAAATGCAATAGACATGTACAATGGGCAGATATCATGGATGATTTCTCATACTGGCCAAGACGAAAGATGGTCACAGGCTATAAGGCTTGTGTGTAGTATCTGCAGAAAGAATTTTTAGGTATTTTCATTTTTAGCAGCCAAGGCAATATATTTAGTCTTCTGATTTTGAGTAACACTCTGCCATCACTAACAAAAAGAGATGAGAGGAAACTCATGTGCTTGAATCTCTTCAGTTATCATCCTGCACTTATTTCTATGCAATGCTTAGAGCTTCCATGGGGACTGATCTAATCTTTTTGCTTCCCCTTATTGCTCATTAGACCCTCCTCCAGATATGAAATCTGTACAGGTCTATTTACTTATTTTGGATCCCAGTCGGACCAGTTACAAATGACAGCCAAGAGCATGACTTGGAAATTTAAGCACTGCAAGATTGGAATTTTCCCAAATCATAAATGGCTTAAATATTGCTTGAATGGAGGTAATGATGTAATTTTATGTTAAAAGGAGAATATAATATAAGAGGGAGGACTTTTGAAAGAATCACACATCAGTGAAAGAAGATGAGTTAAAATAGAAAAATCTACCCATTCCATTGGAGGCTTCATTCCGGGTCTCTCTGTCAAAGTGATACTTCCTTTGGATTCATTCAAAGGAGATATTTTATTTTATTTTTTTGAGACAGAGTTTCACTCTCTTGCCCATGATGGAGTGCAGTGGCATGATCTCGACTCGCTGCAACCTCTGCCTTGAAGGTTCAAGAGATTCTCTTGCCTCAGCCTCCCGAGTAGCTGGAATTACAGGCACCTGCCACCATGCCTGGCTAATTTTTGCATTTTTAGTAGAGATGGGGTTTCACCATGTTGACCAGCCTGGTCTTGAACTCCTGACCTCAGGTGATCTGCCCATCTTGGCCTCCCAAAGTGCTGGGATTACAGGCATGAGCCACTGAGCCTAGCCCAAAGGAGGTATTTTAAAAAGTCCTTGAAGACAAGAAGCAAGAGCAAGGCCTTTACCCACACACATATCAAGTATATTACATATAAATAAGTGTGGAATTATATATCTTCCCATGGGATTAAAGCCATTGAAATGGGAAAAAAATCCATGTATTATAAGCACAAATGTATGTACATTTATATGCCTACACAAAACCAAAATAAATGTTGAAAATGAGATTCAATAACTCAAACAATCATTTTGATTAACATTTTTTTCACTGAATTGACGGATATTTTGTAGTGACTAGAATGAATTGTGACTTTGTATAGACATTTCATATATGGAACTGATCCTTGAAAAATTAATTGGTCAGGTTTTGCTATAATGGATAACAACCTACGTTAGAGATACCGCATATGAACAAATTATTAGTCTTTATAGCATACATTGACTAATTAATTTTCCAGGGAGCTATAAAAGTCTTAGATAATATTATTAACTAGTGGTAAATGAAAATGTGTTTGCTTCCAGCTACTGGGGAGGCTGAGGCAGGAGGATTGATTGGGTCCAGGAGGTCAGGGCTGCAGTGAACTGTGATTGCACCACTGCACTCCAGCCAGGGCAACAGAGTGAGAGGCTGTTTCAACAACAACAACAACAACAACAAAACAACAACAACAAAACAGAAAAGAAAAGAAAATGTGTTCAAATGTCAAATGTTCAAGTTTCTTGTGCCTTTTATTTCATAATAAGGAGCCCATTTTTTCTAAGTGCCAATAAATTATTGTCTTTAAAATGGAGTATACATTGGACGCTAGCTCCTGACTTTGTTCGTTGTTCTTTTCCACATTAACATAAGCTGATCTTTAGATATGAAACACACACACACACACGCACACACACACCCACACACGCACACACACACCCACACACGCACACATATTCTAGACAGACTTTCGAAGGAGTAATTAAATTGTTATGAAAAGAATGTTGCCCCGAAATTATATTGACCTTAATTTGAAAAAGACAAGGAAAATATGGAAAATGAAAGAGGGAGAAATGGTTAATTTGGTTTATAATCCACAATGATAATAATATGTGCTTCCAAGAAATTATAGATTAAAATAATTAACATGGCTCATATATGAATATTAATGTTTTTTTCTCAGAGGGCCTCTTTGTCTCAGTGCCCAACATGGCTCCATCCTGACAGAATTTCTTCCGTTGTCCTATTCGGGCAATCAGTGCCTAAATGTCTTTGTTTGTCTGATGAGGTTCTGTTTTCTGAATGGCAAGTTTAGACTTTATATCTTCCACCTGAATTATTACAAGAGAGATTTGGTAATTAAGTTCTAACAAGATTTAAATGATATTAAAAACAGTCAGTTAAAAGGAAACACAGCCTTGGGCTTTGTTGTAAATTTGTATAATTATTTTTAGTCCTCTAGAGGATGCATAATTATGTTTCTGTATTTATAAAAATACTGCCTCGGAGGCACCAAAATGAATTTTTCTGTATGCTAATTTACATATTAATGTTACTCTTTGTATGTCAAAATTTCTTTGGATGGATAAAAAGAGATTTTCTAAGGAAATTTTCAAAGTAATCACGAAGAGTGTAAAGTCTTTTGATTGGTAAGTCTGGAAAAACCACTGTTCAGGGAGAAAGTTTGACAGTCCAAGAAAAAAAGAAACTTAAGAAGGCAGACATATAACCTTAAACTTCAAGTTTAATTTGATCTTAACTTGGAATGGGGCATGGTGGCACAGCCAGGAATAATACCCAGTGACATTTATTGAGTACTCTTCAGGTGCTAAGTGAGACCTGGTCACTTCACCTGCTTCATGCAAGGATCATAGAGGTAGGTACTATACTTATTTTTCCCATTTCAAACATGGGAAGACTGAGGCACAGAGAGATCAAGTTGATGGCTCCGGATCACACAGCTGGCATTTTAACCTAGGCAGTTTGATGCCAGTGCCTTAACCTCATGATTAATTAATAGTTGACTAATTTTCTGTATTGTTTTCTGAACAGAATCATAAGGAAGCACCAAGGACCTCTTTGTGCTGTGATGGAGAAACCATTTTCTCATGAAACCTACACGAGACGGCTGCTAAGTCTGAGTGCAGTACTGGAAACACCACACAATCCCAGGGCGTGGGCTCAGCTTTCCCTGCATGGACTCTCTTCACTATTTTACAAGCAAGTGAGCTCTCTGCACCAGATTTTAGGCTCCTCCAGAGCCAGAACTGTTCTTTGCTTCCTTCTATGCTTCTCCCTTAGGGTTCAGAGTTGGCCTGGCTGTTCACTGAAATGAAATCCGGGAGTGAGTCTCAGGAAACACCTATGGTCCTTCTGTGATAAGTTAATTTTTCATTGTTTTTGGTGGTAAAATATACATAACATAAAATTTATCATTTTAACCATATTTAAGTATGCAGTTCAATGGCATTAAATACATTCACATTACCGTGTGGCCATCACTACCATCCCCCTCCGAAATGTTTTGTGGTTCTGCCCCAGCCTCCCAAGTAGCTGAGAATACAGGCACGCGCCACCACGCCTGGCTAATTTTTTGTATTTTTAGTAGAGACAGGGTTTCACCATGTTAGCCAGGATGATCTCGATCTCCTGACCTTGTGATCCACCTGCCTTGGCCTCCCAAAGTGCTGGGATTACAGGCATGAGCCACCATGCCCGGCCAGTTTTTTCCCAAAATAAAACTTGGTACCTACTATATATAACAACTCCCCATTCTCCTCTCCCCATAGTCCCTGGCAACCACCATCCTACTTTCTGTTTCTAGGAATTTGACGACTCCAGTGGAATGGTTAGTATTAAATTGAAGGTAATTTTTACATGAAATGGGATCTCCAGTATTTTTATGCAGGAGACAAGTTCATCTGTTCTCTTGAACTGTGTTCTAACCATGGAAAGGAAATTGGTAGAGCTAGGAAAGGTCAGAAGGTGCGGCCGAGGGACAATTTCCCTTCCTCTGTTGTTAGAGTGGAAGGATTAGAAGGATTGGTGACAGCCATTGACCATGACAGCACAGTGATGGGCAACTGGGACATCACTGTGGAGGCCAGAGAGGGAAGCCAAGGTGAAGGGCCGTCTTGGGGCTTGTTTCTGCACCTAGGTGAGGCTGCCGCTGGGGTGCTGGAAATAGCTGGGAAGTCCTATGTGAGGGGCAGTTCATAGTGAAATGGCTGCACGGCCTTGTGCCATTGTCATTTGGGTTATGCATGTGCTTCTTCATTTAATGCTCCCAACACAACTACCAGTTGGTTGGTTCATTGCTATTTTTTAGGTGAGCGTAATGTGATTTAAAAAAAGAGGTCACGAAACTTGCCCAAAGTTACAGCTTCAAATGGTAGAGCAAGGATCTCAACCCAGAACGACTCCAAACCCCATGTTCTTTCCACTCTGTCACTCTGCTGCTTCTGGGGTTAATGAGGAGACTGCAAATCCTGTGTGTATCCTGAAGGTCAAGGTGAGAAATAGAATACTGGCCTCTGAGAAAGCACTCTGAGAAACCTACCACATTGCTCTAGAAGTCTACAGCTTTAGACAGGAAGGGAATGCTCAGAACCATTGTTTGGTCCAACTCCCTCAGGTTGTGGTTGAGGAACCCAGGATGCCAAGGCCACTCAGAGGTTGGGTGCAGAACTAAGGTTGGTGCAAAAGTAATGGTGGTGTCTGCCATTGAAAGTAATGGCAAAAACCGCAATACCTTTCGCACCAACCTAATATAACCAGAATTCTATTGCAAGATCCTAGTCTGTGCCTTTGATTATATAATAAAAGAAGAGCATTCAGTATTGGTTTCATCTATCTTTGAGGCCCTCTGCTTGCATTTCAACACTCCATCCACAGGAGGCTCCTCTGCAGCATCCTGCTTTCTGCTGGTTGTCATTTAATATCTATAAGATTAGCCAACAAGAAAAATGTTACCTTATAATACTTTCAACCCCTTCAAATTCCCTACAAGGAAAAAGTTTCCTACAAGGAACTTTTGCCTTTTAACTGAAGCCTGTTAACATATTCTGGATGAAAGAAAACACATTTTATGAGGAGAGAATTACAGGCAGTCGAGTAGTCTATTTTGGGCAGGACTCTTTCTGTAATCGTACTATGTCTGTCTACTTCTTTTTTGTTAGTTTGTTTTTTGTTTTAAGACAGGGTCTCCATCTGTTGCCCAGGCTGGAGTGCAGTGGCCCAATCATAGCTCACTGCAGCCTCAACACCCCTGGGCTCAAGTGATTCTCCTGCCTCAGCCTCCTGAATAGCTGGGACTACAGGGGTGTGCCACCATGCCTGGCTAATTTTTAATTTTTTGTAGAGATGGGGTCTCTCCATGTTACCCAGGCTGGTCTCAAACTCCTGGTCTCAAGCGATCCTCCTGCCTTAGCTCTGAAACTGTTGAGATTACAGGTGTGAGTGACTTGGCCTGGCTTCTGTCTACTTCCAAAGCTGTGCTAAGGAATAGGAAGGCCTTTGCTGAAATCTCTAATTCTCCACTCACTCATTACTTATATGACCTCAGGCCTCTCTGAGTCTCAGTAAACTGCTTTGTAAAACATATTATTAATAGCACTTATTTTGGGGGTGGTAAGAATTATATGAATGTGATAGGTAAAGTGACTAAAATAGCTGCTTAATAAATGTTACATCCCTTTCTTTTCTCTCTTGGAATCTATGTGAAGGCCCTTTGTGAAAAGGTGCACCTATTACAAACCCATTGCTTAACCTAGTTCTGATTGTATCTTTCACTACATTGCATTTTATTTCTATTTGCACAGGAGGAAATAGAAGTCTAGGGGTTAGACAGAATGGCCTGGTTTTTGGCTTAGTTACACTGCCCCCAAGTGTGAGTTCCTAAGGACCTACTGCTAGGGTGACCGAACGTCCTAGTTTGCCCAGGACCGAGGGATTTCCAGGACAAGAGAATGCAGTGCTAAAACTAGGAAACTCTCAAGCAAAGTGGGACAAGTTGGTCACCCTCCCTACTATATCCATATCTAGATAAAGCCTTCATTGCTTTCCTAAAGATAAATGCCTCTGAAATCCCATGATCATTTCATGATGGAGATGTAAGAACAGTGATCATTCTGTGCCTACATAAAAAGGGAGACCTTAATTCAACTGGCAGGGACAGGGAGAATGAACCTAATAAGAAATTGCTGATAACCATTTTAATTCCATTGAAGTGCCAACAATATTACTTGGGGATGTTTTATTTATGGAAATATTAATCATGATATTTTTTGGCTATATAGAGTGTAGCGAAGAATGAAGGATTCCTGAATCAAACTTTTCTTTACTATTTGGCTAACTCTCCTATTTATGCAAAATTAAAATTTTGTTGTTAAGATATACAGGATTGGTATGTCACCAAAAAGATTTGATTGCCTGTGCTGCCTCCCCACCCATGCAATTCTAGGAAGTTCTATCTTTTTTTTCACTACAGTTGTGAATAATTTCTCATGTTGCTGATGGGGAGATTTAGGTACAAAAGGGTCCATTTCATGCCATTGGAGTCACAGCCAGGGAAATGCTTTCACTAGACTTGTGGCTTCTGAAAGATGCTGGAGAAACTGTGGAATTGCTTATAAACACTTGGTCTCTTGATAAATGAGGTACACAGGTATCTGAGAATTAAGAACTCTTTTCATATTTCATTTTCAAATCTTCTCATTTTCTGGGTCAATTCCCTCTTAAGACATGTAAGTCCTGGAAAGGCTGGATAAATGGGAGCGCCTGAATGAGGGATAGTTATACTTTCCTATGTATTTTATGTCAGTGCTTTAGGTAACTTCATTTATGCTCTTGTGTGCCAAGGCAATGTAGACACTAGTGAAAGTGTTCACTTGAGCAACAAAAAGCAAACTGGAAGTACATGGTTTCAGCAAATTCTCAGCAGTGAATATTTAAACAGTTCTTATTTACACATACTCAACTGGGGGCCCTGATGATGGACTGTGGCCTATATCATTTGCTGACTTGAAAGATTTGTGTAAAGACAATTCTAGTCATCAACAGTAAAGATTAAGATACATAAAATGCTGTTGGGGATGGATTTGATTTTTCAGAAATACATTAGTAAGAAATTGATGTCCTGAGTTTGATCAATGACAGCAATACTTGTGCATGATTCTGTACCCCCTTATTAAACCTGCTGAACTGGGTCTGGAAAACCAATATCTATTTCAAACCACTCAGTGTTGAAGTCTTTCTCAGCCCTGAGTAGGTCTCTGTCAAGCCTGCACAATGCTCCATGTGCCCTAGGATTGTCTCTATTCTGGCCAGAGCCATCTTGGGGTAATAGATCGTCAGAGCCCTAGGCTTGGTTGATGCATTACTCCAATGTGTCAGAACAACATCTGGCTCAGTTTCTCTATCCTGGAAGCCCAGCAACAGCTAACTACTATGATGGATTACATGTGTGGTACAGCCTATCACGGTAATACATCAAGACATGGCACTCATTTGAAGGTGAATTAGTCAAAAGATGGAGTTCTTGCAAGCTCCAAACCCAAGAAAAGGAATCCTGTTTAATTAAAGAATGAAAGACAAAGTAACTGGCATGAGGGCCGTAACTGTCAAATGGGGGGCAGTTTCTAAGATACGATCCACATTAAGTGTGCATCATTACCAGATGAGGTTTTATTGTTGCTCTGCTTTCTTGAGGTGTGATTCATATCTTCCATCAGCACCCCCACCCCCACCAGAGCAGCTGGACTGCAGTTTGGGCATACTTTTTTCATGTGTGTTTGTAAGGACTTTCTAAATCCATCCCTACTATAAATAACCAGATTCCTTCTGTCCTAAGTTCCAGTGCTCTTTCAGTTTCTTTTTCTTCCCTTATACCCCGTTGCTCCAAATCCCTGTGGAATAAAATGAAACTATAAAATGAAGAAGCCTGTGCCTTTCTGTCTCTCATGATGTGGTTGAGCTCTTTGGCATCAATTTGTTCAGTTATTCATTTAATAGGACTGATTGTGCATTGAACGTGTTAAGATGTTTCAGTTTCATGTAATAAAAAAATTGAGTGGTTAAAAAGTAAGGATATTTATTACTTCACTTAATGAGATGTTCAGAAAAAGCAGTTCCAGGGTTCAGTGGCTCAGTGAAATCATCAAAGATTCAGGTTCTTTCTGTCTTTATGTTCTGTGGTTTTTGCCTTTAGGCGTATTACTTCATGGTTGCAGGATGGCTGCTGCAGTTCCAGCCATCACATGTAGACATAATAACACTGATCAAAGGAAGAGACAGAAGAAGGAACATTCTCTTATATTCTTAAGAGTAGAAAGGCATTCTTAGAAACTCACAGCAGACTTCCCCTCAAGTCTCACTGGCCAGAATTGTGTCCTTTAACCATGTCCAAACCACCACTATAAGGAGAATGAGACCATCATGAATGGCAGGCTAAAGCCTGCCCTCTCTACTCCCTGAAGTACATGGCTGCTTGACAAAAGGTGGATAAAATGGAGATTTTGGAAACAAGGAAGAAGAGGAGTGGTCATTTGCTGTTCAAAAATTGATGACGTCTGGCTGTTCTGCCTATGGAGTAGCCATTCTTTATTCCTTTATTTTCTTAATAAACTTGCTTTCACTTTACTGTACGGATTCTCCTGGAATTCTTTCTTGTGAGAGATTCAAGAACCCTGCGTTGGGGTCTGGATTGGGACTTCTTTCCAGTAACATCTTTCTCGTGACCAGGGAAGGGACAATACTGAGGAAATCCCCGAGCCAAAAGCTAACTTTGGGTAAGTGGCGGAGTCCGGTAACATCTTTCTGGTGAACCCCAAAGGGACGATACTGAGGAGACCCCCAACCCAAAGGAAAATCATCTGCATGCACCAGTTGGCTGACTTTGGGTAAGTGGGGTGCATTTACCCAAGACAAGGATGGGATTGGGTTAGAGGCCCAACTTAAGGAGGTTTGAGCTACTCCTAAGACAGAGTGGGTTAAAGACCCCACTTAATAAAAGTCTAGGATGCTTGATGGAACTTGGGTTCGAGGCTCAACTTAGGAAGGTTAGAGTCCTTCCTAAGATTGAGGGGATTAGACGCCCCTCTCAGTAAAGTCCTTATTGGCTAAGAACAAGTTTGGCAGTATGGGATGTAAACTGCTATTCTCTTTGGATTAATCTGCCCTGCACTCTTTGCTGACGGCTATGGGTGACAGGATTAGGCATGTACAGGATCATGGGACATGGAGAGCTTTTTCTCCCCAAAGGAAAACTTGAGAGCTGATGTGGCTACTGAAAAAGATCCCTTTGTGACTGACAAGTGGCTGCCTGAGCTTTTCAGTGTCGCTGGGACGGTTGGCCCTTTCTCTGGTCTCCGTGAGTTGCTTGCCTTCCCCACCCTGCTGCAGGCAGTGCTTTTCTCTCTCTCATTCTCTTTCCTACCTTTTCTGTTAATCAGGGTGACCATCTTGCCCAGAGACCACAAGTTGAAACTGGTAGGAGATTGGATTAACAAAGACAGGGCCCAACTGGGGGCAAGTTTGAGCCTTGCCAGTTTGATATTGGGTCCTAAGCAGAGTAGCTAATGTCTATGTTTTGTCACATGTATTTTGCTCCAGCCAGCATGGAAAGGGATAATTTTCCTTTGTGTTGTGACTTGGCCCCGGGAGCTGTGGTGCAGCCAGCTGGGTCACTAGGGCCATTCAGGTAAAGGAAACCCAGAAACCCATCATGCTGGCAAAAGGGTAAGAATTTCTTTTCTTTTCTTTTCTTTTTTTTTTTTGAGATGGAGTCTTGCTCTGTCACCCAGGCTGGAGTGCAGTGGCACGATCTCGGCTCACTTGCAACTTCTGCCTCTGGGTTCAAGTGATTCTCCTGCCTCAGCCTCCCAAGTATCTGGGATTACAGGTGCTTGCCACCATGCCCAGCTAATTTTTGTATTATTATTATTATTTTTATTTTTATATTTTATTTTTAGAGGCAGGGTTTCACCATGTTGGTCAGGATGGATCTCGTGATCCACCCGCCTTGGCCTCCCAAAGTGCTGAGATTACAGGCATGAGCCATCGCACCCGGCCAAGGGTAAGAATTTCTTACCAGTAAGACTTCTGGTTTCTCTCTCTCTCTCTCTCTCTTTCTCTCATGTCTCTGTGCAAACTAGTTGAATGAATGGTAAAAATCACTATCTCCTCTGTAAAGTTTTGATTAATGGAAAAAGGATTTGTGAGGCTAGTCATAAACTGCAGTGAATTGGGTGTGCTTTGTGTGTCTTTCTGTATTGCTCTGTCAAAAGAGAAGTACATGGGCTTAGGATCCATGTACTCAGATAGAACATAGGCTTAGCACCCCATGAGCCCACCATTCAAGACAGCCCAGCAAATTGGTTGTCATGTCCTTGGAAGCTTGACCATGTAACCACGTGGCAGTACTTTCTCTTGGTCTCTGCCGTGACATTGGTGGCCTGGGCTCAGGGTTCAATTCCTGGCTTAGGGAATGAGTCGTTTATCTTCTGTCTCTCTGTGTATTTTTATGTGTTGTGTGTATGATATAAAAAAGCTTTAATTGGTTTTAAAATAATAAATGCTTAAAGACAATATTTTGTCAGAAAAGTAAAAGATGTAATTCCTTTTAGTTCATGTGACTTAAGTAATCTTTGGGAAATAAAAACTGTTCTACATGCAAGCTGTATAAGGACAGTGAAATATGTTTTTGGTAAAAGATTATAAGAAGTCGTGGGAATGTGGATTTCTTGCCTAAGTTTAGAGGGTTAAAGGATTGCTTTAAGTTAGGAAAAAGCTAAAAGTTTGAGTAAGTTGGAAAGGGCTTTTGAAGGGTTAATCTCGTAAAAAAAAATTCTATGTGAACATATTCGCTAAAAGTAAATGGGTATTATTCAGTTTTTCTGTAAACTGAACATTAAAAGCACAACAAGTTTGGCTGTGCACGGTGGCTCATGCCTGTAATCCCAGCACTTTGGGAGGCCGAGGTGGGTGGATCACAAGGTCAGGAGATAGAGACCATCCTGGCTAACATGGTGAAACCCCGTCTCTAATAAAAATATAAAAAATTAGCCTGGCGTGGTGGCGGGCGCCTGTGGTCCCAGCTACTCAGGAGGCTGAGGCAGGAGAATGGCATGAACCCAGGAGGCGGAGCTTGCAGTAAGCCGAGATTGTGCCACTGCCCTCCAGCCTAGGCAACAGAGCGAGACTCCATCTCAAAAAAAAAAAAAAAAAACACACACACACACAACAGGATTTTCTAAGAGCACTGCTCTGCTCTTTAACAAAAATTGTAAAAGTGTAGAAGGTTTGTGAAAATCTTATCTTATGGTCATACTGATTAAATTGAACAGATTTGTCTATAAGATTTTATTAAAATTAGGTTTAACATTAATAGTATACTAATGTAAATGTGAAATTTGGCTTATTTGATATTAAAATCATACAGGAAGCATTGTCAAATGTGAAATGGTGTTTGGCTTTCTTTGGGCTATATTTGTATAAATACGTTATTGGTATGTGTTCTAAAATTATGCAAAACTCCTATAATCCTGATATGACATAGTGTATGTTATTAATAACTATAATTTTTATGCAAAATTTTGTATGCCACAGAAGTAACCAAATTTTGTTATCAATTGTGGTTTTAATAGTGACTGTCCTAAAAGTTTTTATCATCTACAGACAATTGTTGTCTTGTTTTAATCCTCTTCAAAACATGGTTTATAATCAGCTACAAGATTTTGACAGATGCTCTTAAATGCGGGTTTTTGGTGACTTTGGAGATTGTGACGTTAGAATAAGGAAAAAACTTTCAGAACTCTCATGGAGAGCTGGAATGTTCATGAATATCAAACAGAACAGGAGTAAACTGCATGGACTGAACTAATAGAAGACTAAAGTAATCTTTTTAACTTTACTTAAAATGTTGCTGATCCTTTGCTTTGTTCTTTTAGAGTCAAGAAAACTTTTCTTTTGAGCTATTTACAGCTTTAATAATTGAGTAAATTAGACTCCTGTGAACAAAATTTAGAGCATATTTGTTTCTTTCTACCTGATTTCTCCAGAATTTGGAAACTGTTTGTGAGTATTTTTAACTTATGGCAACATAGTTATTTGCATAAGTGTAATAAGACTGTTTTCTTTTGCACAATTGGAGAAACTGGTTATTTTACCAAGGCTTTGACTGGAATGGTATGCTTTCCTTTAAAGGATCAAATTTGACTTCTGAAGCCAATAAAAGCCCCTTTGGAAAACTGGCCTCATACCTTGTCTACACAGTCTCTGTACAGGGTTCCTGTAGTAAAGAATGTCACTTTCTGACAGGCCCAGAAGACCCAAGTTTTCTTGGGATCTCAAGAGGAGAGGAATTTTACCCAACTCATAGGTATTTGAGGGTACAAACCCATAGCAGGGCTCAGCTTTAAAAAGTCTTATCTGAAATTCCTTCTAAGGAACAGAGTTTCATCAAAGCCAGTTTGAAAATAGTTTATGTGAAAAATAATTGTTCTTGCTGCACTTTGTACAAATAATCAAGCCAAGTGTAAGACTAAGGCTTCCTTTTGCAAACAAAACAGTCTTACCATGACTTGTCTTTAGTGAAAATGGGAAACTGGAGGGAGGAAAAAATTATGTTTCAAAAACTATGGTACACTCGTTACTAAATTTTAGACTCATCAGTTGTTTTTAAGTTTTTTTTTTCTACAATTTAGACTGACTGCTTATTCATGTAAATCAATCAGTGATCACTGACTTCAGCTCAGAAGAAACAAGAGGGATGGGTAATGTAAAAATCTGGATCAATATTCTAATTCTGGGCACATATTGGACTCAGCTAGCAACCCCATATCAGCTTGGTTTCTAACAATTACCCAGTTCAGGGAAAGCCTTCTTATTACTTGGAATAATTTTATTTATTTTGCTTTACTGTTGTGGAGTATATTGCTATTGTATTCTTTGTGTAGCAATGCAGGAGGATCTCACCTCAGTGATCTCTTAAATTGAACACTTATTAATCTTCCAGATATCACCTTCTTTTGGAACTCAAGAACTGTGAATGTCACTCACCATACTGATGCTTTCTGACTGAACTCCTCTCTATCCTAATTACAAGAGACCCTAATAGTTAGGCAGGAATATCGTCACTCCTATTCATTATGAAGAAGTTACAGAAGATGGATCTTCATTCCTCTGCAACCCTTAGGATTAAGGGTTCTCTTATAAAAGGGAGGGAGGAAATGTCAGAGCGTTTGAACAAAAGTGACTCCACCTTGAATAGGGGTTAGGTAAAATGAGGCCGAGACCTGCTGGGCTGCATTCCCAGACGGTTAGGCCTTCTAAGTCACAGGACAAGACAGGAGGTCGGCACAAGACAGAATTCTTAAATACCTTGCTGATAAAACAGCTTGCAGGAAAGAAGCCACCAAAGCCCACCAAAACCAAGATGGTGACAAGAGTAACTTCTGGTCGTCCTCAGTGCTATACTCCCATCAGCACCATGGCAGTTTACAAATGCCATGTCAATGTCAGGAAGTAACCCTATATGGTTCAAAAAGGGAAGGCATGAATAATCCACCCCTTGTTTAGCATACAATCAAGAAATACCATAAAAATGGGCATCCAGCAGCCCTTGGGGCTGCTCTGCCTATGGAGTAGCCATTCTTTATTCCTATACTTTCTTAATAAACTTGCTTTCACTTAAAAAAAAATGATAATGTCTGTTATAGGTTTCTAGCTCTGAAGACCAGGTAAAGTCTTTCTTTAGATCCTTGGGAGCCCCTGGAGGGCAGTTTGTTGTAGGCAAAGTTATGCACTACCCAGATCCCCTCTTTAGAAATAAAGAACTTATTCTACCAGCTACTGGGCAGCCCCAACTGTCAGTCCTTTGCAGAAGAAGGCTGCCTTGCTCAAGGTCATGTCCTTTCCAAGGTCAGCCTGCATTCAATGACTGATCAACACAAAGGTAGAAAGGTCTCATCCCCTGGCTACACTTGGAACAACTCTAAAGGGCCATTTGTCTTCAGGGCTCCTGGTCACTAAGGACTTCCCTATGCCTGCATCGTAGCTCAGTGTCTCCTTCTGCCCAATCCTACTTCTTCCCCTCCCACCACAGGTGTTGGTCCCAAGAGCACTCTGTATTAAAGATCCTGCTTGCTGATCTCCATCTCAGAGACTGTTTTCTGGGAAATCTGCAACTCAGGGTTTCTGATCTAAACTTGATGTTTCTGACCTGAGTCCCTTCAGACTTTTAATGCCAAACTACCCAGACAGATGGCCAGTTTTTCAGGCCATACACACAGTAATTTGGAGCATCTCAAACAAGTGGAGGATTCCTGAAACAACTGAAAAGTCTAATCTGCTAAGAAGATTCTCCCCACACCCTAATAATAATAATAATAATAATTTATTACTCACTTTTGGCTTCCTGAGGAGGAGCAAAATGTGAGAACTCATTTAAGCGTAGATATTGGCCAGAAGCATATCTGTGTTTCTGCTGTTGCCCTGAGAAGTGGATCAACAGAAAGGTCATTGCTAGTATGGTATGTCATGACAGCACTCTGGTCCTTGCTACTCAAAGCAGGGTCTGTGGACCGGCAGCATGGACATCACCTGAAAGTTTGTTAGAAATGCAGAATCCAGGTCACATCCTTAGACCCATTGAATGAAAATCTGCATTTGAACAAGCGATTCACATATGCTACTTTCCTACCTTCCCTCCTCCAGCTAAGCCAAAAAGATTCCCTCCACTTAGTTACCACAGGCCCTGAATTTTTACTATTACTGTTATTACTCTTGGGTTTGGATACTTTAAAAAGATTACAAATGTTTTCAAGGCTAACGTATGCATTCACTAACACTTTATTTCAATTAGTTTATCCAGGTAACCCAGGCTTCTTGAGTACTAGCTCTGTGCAAGGCTCTATGCTTTGTCAGACTTTTCTACTCTTCAGGAGCATCAAAAGGCAGTTGACCACCTAATGGAGAAGGAAGGCTAGACAAGAGGCCCTAGGGTAGAAATGTGCTATGGGAGGCTCCAAAGTCAAACTTCACAACTTCCCTCAAGGACAGAAAAGTGTTTGATGCTTCTCATTGGTGAAATCTGCAGGCATGAACTCCTAACCACAAGCACCTTTTGGCTCATGGGGGCATTCAGCTTTCTGCTTGTTTGATCATTAAGTTGAAAAAGGCAGATCATGGGCCAAGTTCTCACTGACATCTGATTTCAGGGAGGGCACGAATGGTATCTGGCATGGGAAACAGGCAAAATGACTTCAGTTTAACTATGGAAGGTATAGTGAACATTCAGTCAGAAGCAGGCAGAACAGTCCTGCTGCCGCCAACTGTTTATCGGGAATGGTGGCCGTTGGACTGATGCTACTGCCTTCCCCAACAGCAGTGACTCAGAGGCATGTGATGCACTGAGGCCAGGGCGATGGCATTGAGCACTTGCTAGAGGAAGGCAGGTGATGGAGGGTTCTGAGGGGCAATCTCTAGGACCTTTAGCAGTGGTCAGTGAGAAAATAGCCAGTCCCAGAGTTACAGGAAAGGGGTCCCGATCCAGACCCCAAGAGAGGGTTCTTAGATCTCATGCAAGAAAGAATTCAGGATGAGTCTGCACTGCAAAGCAAAAGCAAGTTTATTAAGAAATTAAAGGAATAAAAAGATTGCTATTCTATAGGCAGAGCAGCCTCGCGGGCTGCTTGTTGCCGATTTGTATGGTTATTTCTTGATTATATGCTAAACAAGGGTGGATTATTCATGTCTCCCCTTTGTAGACTATATAGGGTAAATTACTGACGTTACCATGGCATTTGTAAACTGTCATGGCACTGCTGGGAGATAGCAGTGAGTAGAGCAGTTGAGTGTCCTCAATCAGAAGTCACTCTCATGGCCATTTTTGGTTTCTGTGGGTTTTAGCTGGCTTCTTTACTGCAAGCTGTTTTATCAGCAAGGTCTTTATGACCTGTATCTTGTGCTGACTGCCCATCTCATCCTGTGACCTAGAATGCCTTAACCATCTGGGAATGCAGCCCAGTAGGTGTCAGCCTCATTTTGCCCAGCTCCTATTCAAGATGGAGCTGCTCTGGTTCACACGCCTCTGACACCTGGCCCCAGAAATCTCCTGCCTACTGAAGGGCCTTTAGGACATATGCCACTGTGAAAAAACATTGCATTTATGGGGCCCCTCACTACTTGAAATCCTGTGTCTTATGGGTCTTGCTACTTGGATCCTGAGGGTCTTGACCTCTGGATCCTTCTACCTCCCAAATTCATGGCAATACCAACTCTGAGAGTAATTCACTTTGTCTTAGTTTCCTTATCCGTAAAATGGGCATAACTAACTTCACCCTGATGTAAGGTTCTCAAAATGTAAAATATTAGAAAGAAATTTTAAAATTTTGATGTAAGGTCCTATTTTTCCATTAGTAGCCAGGAAGTTAGCAGGAAGGGCAGCTGGGAATGAGGGTGATTGTTGGTAAGCTAGGAAGTGTAACCCTGATCCCTAATAGAGAGAGCCCAAGCACTGTGGCACCTGAAGAGTATTAGAGATAAGGCAGGGGCCCAGGCACCTTCTATTAATATATTACTGTTCCACTTTTCACAGTGTGTTACCCTTGTGGGCATGTCCTAAGATGGCGTCTACCACATGCAGCCAATGGGAGGTAGAAGGGAAGGACATGCTCCTTCTTTTTAAGGGCACAGTCTATAAATCGTGTTAATTGATTCCACTCATATCCTACTTACACACATGTACATCTTTACCTGTAAGAGAGGATGGGAAATGTAGTCTTTTTTTCTAAGTGGCCATGAGCCCATCAAAAACCAGAAGTTCTACATCTTTGAGAAAGAAAGGTAAAAGTGATTTTGGAGGACAGTTAGCAGACACTGCCATACCCAGTCCAATTCAAAATAATGAGACCATGTGAGAAACAACCAAAGAGAGAACAAAAGTACACCTTTTTCTCATTCCTCTCTTTCAATAGCTCCTAATGAGTATGTAAGCCTGGATGACAGGACTCTTTCAGAGTCCAAATAAATTTCTTTGCATAATTCATTCCATTCTGTATTTAGAATGACAGAAAAAGTTTTCTCCTCTAGCATAATCAAAACATCAAAGTAAGATTATTTCTAAATGGTAAGAGTTAAAAATTCCTTGGGTGACAGGACAAGATGCTCTTGGAACTGAATTGGTAAAAGAGGCTGTAAATGAGGGTGTTTGAGAATTGGAAAGTAACTGCTACCTCTTCCTCTTTTAATTGTTCTCAGAAGGAGAAAAATGGAAGTTAGTGTTCCTCCAAGATCATACTTAAGCCAACAGACACCATTATTGAGTCACAAAACTCTAAAGTTTGAGTATGGTTTGTGCTCTATAGAAAAGTTAGCAATCCTGGTAAGACATTCTAGGGAGTGGCAATTTGGGGACTCTGACACTTGCCCACCAGCAAAGGCAGCAGGATTAACACAGAGGTTCTAAAGAAGATATTGACAGTTAGCTTTGAGACAGATGTCACTTACGTTGCTGTGCACAACAGGGAGAATGATACAAAACAACATAATTAATAACCAGTGGGGTCCGAATCACTAGGGGCCCTTACACACACTTTATAAAGATGAACAAAAGCTTCCGCTGTAAGTAATGCAGCTTTAGCTGTGAACATTGCTTGGCATGTCCTTAGCTGTGGCAACACATTGCTTTATTGTTGTTGGAGATTTTGCTGGGGAGATGAAGCAGGGGGAGAAACAAAAGAGATACAGAATGAGGCAGATGAATATTAGAGTTTTCATGTTTGGCTCACAAAGACAGTGCATATGGGTCAAGCATGGAAGTATGCAAAGCAAGGATAAAGCCCCTGGGTTATTGGCAGGGAGGGAGAGAAGATGGCAATTATTGAAGCTATTTCATCCTCTCTGGCTATCTTTTAGGGCACCATTATGAATACTAAATGAATTTCTATAAGACACCCATAGTTTTTCCTCTTCTCATCTGTTTGTATTTTATAAGTCAGGGAACTCACCAAGAATAAATATTATACTAAGGTAAAAGACAATTATTGTGGAAACAACAAAGAACCACCATAGGTCATTTGATGAATTTCCAGGTAAATGTTATACATGTTTGAGCATTTAATCATACCTTGTATTGTATTTTTCACCACTGAGCAACATGTTGCCCTAAGAGTCAGTCTTGTTTATGTGACTATTTTGGATTTAGTCTTAGCCCTTTCTATTGTTTTAAGGCACATAGAAATTTAATGTAAATAGAAAGACTCTTGGAAGATAGAGGGTGGGGTGCTGCCACTGTAGCTTCCCAGGGAGGAGACAGGCTGATCAAATACATGCAAACTTTTCCAAGGGCCCCCTATCTCTCTCTACCCCTTCCCTCCTCCCATATTTAAAGGGCACTGATATGTGCACACCTTGGGGAGACAGAGTTGAATAAGCTGTTGTCCATGTCCTCAGCATATTCAGTCAAATGGAGAAGAGAGACCTAGAAACAAACATTACAATACACTGAACAACGGGCAGAAGGAACCATGTGTAGAGTGTTCTCAAAGCACAGAGGATGGAGAGGATGGCTAAACTACCTGTCTTTGGGAGTGACATTTGGGCAGAATTTTAAAGTAAAAGTGAGAATTTTATGGGTAACTAAAGAGTGAGAGGTCTCTTCTGGGAAAAAGGAAAAGCAAGTAAAAAGGTCTAAAGGCTTGAAATAGTAAGATGTATAAGGGGAATGTCACCCAAGCCATTGCAGATCGAGGCAGGACATGGATGGAAGTTGAAAACGAGGCTGGCAAGGAACCTTGATACTCTGCTAAGCAGTCTGGGTAATTTGTTTTTAGACTTATGGGTGTTAGGATTGTGGTGGAGGGAGGCGGTCGGGCTGACTGAGTCCCTGAGCAGTGGCAGGTGGGCACTGCTGCTCATTTCCCAGCTCAACCCACTAGGATCCTAGCAAGCCAAAGACAGGGCCCACTGATGACAAAACAGGAGTTCTAGAAAAGAATTCCAAGCCGAGTACTGGTAGGTGGCCACTGGTCTGGTGACGCAGAAAACAGTTGCTGTGCACATCAGTCAGGGGCCCACAGGAGGTCGAATCTGCGCCAGATAGTCAAGGCGAAGAGACTTATATGAAGGACTCCCTCAGAGCTGTGGACAGGCAAGGGATATGGAGGCTCTCAGAAACTGGCCACAGCAGGAACTACTCCTTGGGCTTAAGAGGCAAGAGTAGGACATCATTAGCAGAGTGAAGTGAGGAGCTGCCCAGAGGAGCTGTAGTCACGGAGGGACAGAATTAGCGCCACAGACATGACCCAAAGCAGGAAGGAAGTCGGGGAGAAAAACACCACCTCTTTCTTCCCCAGGCCTTTGATCCCCTACTGGTGCCTCCATTGGTCAAAACCAACCAGAGCCAGCTGATAAGAAAGTCCAAGTGATACAGTTCATGGGCCCTCAGTCCAGGGCCTAGAGAAGGGTAAGGAAGGATGAAGAATGAAGCTGAGTTGGGAGTGGAGGCAAACAGAGGATAGATGATTCACTGCTTATCTGCTCTCTTCCCCCAAAGACCCTCAGGGATGGGAAATTGACTCCAGTGGTCATCTTGGCCCTTTTATTTTTTTGTCAATTAATCCCATACAATATCTGTTTTAAATCTTTTTGTTTGCACGCCCCTGTGAGAATCTGATGAAAACAATGGGCCCTTTCCTACACACACACACACACACACACACACACACACACACACAAAACAAAACACATATGGATGAAATTTGCATTCAATTTTTATATCCTCTAGAACCTTGAGACTCAGAGTGGTCCATGGACCAGCAGAATCGGCCTCACTGGGGATTTTAGAAATGCAGGCTCTCAGGCCCCACCCAAGTTCTACTGGATAAGAATCTGCATTTTCATAAACTCCCAGGTGATTTTTACGCACCTGAAAGTTTGAGAAGCACTGCTCTAGGAGTCATTGGAACCCAGCTTGATCATGGCTGGTTGAATGAATGTAGTTATGTCAGTTTAGGATGTAGGTTTAGCTACAAATAGAAGAAAACCCAGCCAAACAACTGCTTCTGCAAAATAGAGGTTTTGTTTTTCTCATGTAACTGGGAATCCAAAGAGAAAGCCAGTTCAGGGCTGTTGTCCTGATTGCCCCACTCCCTAACTGAATTTCCACTCAGCCATTTTTTAATCTGTGGCTTTTGTCTTCAGCATTGCCAGATGGGCTCTAGAACTCCAGGCAGCATCTTTGCAGCCTAGGCAAAGGGCAAAGGATGAAAAGAAAAAAACCACTGAGCCCTTGCAAATATCCTTTCCAGAGCTGCCGGCTAGAAACTCCCGCTGGCCATGATTTCAGATAGCTGCCTCTGGCTGCAAGTGAGGCTGCGAGATGGAGTTTTTTGTTTTTTTGTTGTTGCTTTATTGCTTTTTTTGTTGTTATTTGTTTGTTTAACTACCAAACAAAATAGGATTTATGTGGGCAAGAAAAAAGAGGGAAATTGATAGTGAGGAGGCAGTTATCTCAATCTGTTATCATATAACATAATGAAAATTATTAGTTCTGAAAATCTCATTCCATCTTGCGTTGCTGATGAAAACCTATTATGTGCATTCTGTACTTTGGAATCTCCTTTAGTAAAATAAAGGAAATTCAAAACTTCTTAATGGGGACAACATAGAATATAGAAAGAGAGAAGTGGGAGATAAAATTAAAAACAGATCAATTTGGGCTTCAGTTGTTCATAATTGGTAGTAGTTTCTCTGGTATTAGAACTGAAATAGACTTTTTTCCTGTAAAGAATAACTGCCTAAGTAAAATAGAAATATAGCTAAGAAGACAATTAAAGGATACTTTATATTTTTTAAAGAAATTGTGCCCAAGTTTCATTTGTGTGGGCTTTTTCACTTCTTATTGCAGGTACTCTCAGAATTCTTGTAGCCCATTCAGAGTAGTATATACTATCTGAAAGGAATAAAACTCTGACTTTTAAAAATATTCTGCATTTCACAATTTTTTACTTCAGACAGAATCTCTCCAATTAATCTAAATTAGTGATTTTTACTGGATTCAAGTAGCCAACTTCTCCATGATCTTTGAACTGGTATGGTTCAAAGATATGGTATGGTCTGTATGGTATTACACAGTATTGTCGTAAATATCACCCAGATAGAGAGAGCTGGATTCTAAGGAAATGTTAGACTTAGATTAATGTTCTGGATTCTGGAAAAAAAATTGCCCTCAAAATACTTTCAGTGTTTTATGGGTCTCCATGCAAGGACATTTGAAAGTGGTTAGAGTTTTGTTTGAAAGGTTTTTCTTCTCTGAAGAGTCAAAGGTCCCAGCTAGACCCTAAAGGAATCTTGAGCATGAGAGTCAGGCTCAGCTGAAAAAAGCTTTTGGAACAAGACTCTGCATCCAGGACTCAAAAACAGGCTTCTGATCATCAGCTCTTGGAGCTAAAAGGACTCACCACTACAATATCACAAGACTTTGGGCAACAGGTGTGTTCTAAGATATGTGTGTATTTTTGTCAGTCTGTGGTTTATTTTGCCATCTTCTCAGACTAAGAATATAGAGAAGCACTTAATTGGGTGACTCCACTATGGTTAGTAGTTTCATTCATTCAGTCAGTGTTCATTCAACACCAGCTATGTCGCCGTCTGTCTGCTTGAGCCTGGCAGGAGGATGAGAAGATGTGCAGACAGCTAAGGGGCGTGCATAGTCCCTGCCTTCAAGTGATGTACATGTACGGAACTGGTCATGCATAACTGGTATAACTAAACGCTAAATATTTTGCAGATGTGTAAAGATTTTCCATTCTCCCTAGAAACCCTGGTCTAATGCTGAACACATAAAATAAAAACCTATGAGATTTTGATTCAGCTTTCTAGTTTATAGATATGTTGGAAAAAGGAGATAGAGGAGATAGCCAATATTGAACCCCTATTAGTAACTATTAGTAACTGCTGGTTTTAAAGAATCTGTACTAAATAGAGTCATCCCTCAGCATCTGTGAGGGATTGGTTCCAGAACCTCCTTTGTATATCAAAATTCAAGGACCTTCAACTTCCTGATATAAAATGACATAGTATTTGCATACAACCTATGCATATTTTCTGTATACAGTCACACATGACATAATGACATTTCAGTCAATGACAAATTACATATACAATGGTGATCCCATAAAATCATAATACTATTTTTATTGTACGTTTTCTATGTTTAGGTATGTTTAGATACACAAATACTTACCATTGTGTTAGAGTTGCCTTCATTATTCAGTACAATAACATGCTGTATGGGTTTATAACCTAGAAGCAATAGGCTGTATGGTACAGCCGAGGTGTGTAGTAGGCTATACTATCTAGGTTTGTGTAAATACACTCTATGATGTTTGCACAATGAGGAAATTGCCTAAGGACTCATTTCTCAGAACATATCCCTTTCAGTAAGCCATGCATGATTGTACTTTAAATCATCTCTAGATTACTTGAAATATACGTAGTAATACTATGTAAATAGTATTTACATATTGCTATGTAAATAGTTGTAATACTGTATTATTTAGGAAATAATAACAAGAAAAAAATCTGTAAATGTTCAGTGCAGACACAATTTGTTTTTCAACTTCTTTCAGTCCTTGTTGGTTGAATCCATGGATGTGAAACCCATAGATATGGAGGGCTGACTGTATTTACCAGGATATCTTTTCAAATCTAAATAAATTCATCAAGTTTGTGCAGTCTGTGTAAGTCTGCAATATTAATGGTTGGTTCAACTGTTTTTGGACAGCTGGATTACAACTTTTGAGAACTGTACTACTCATTCTTATTGTACCCAACTAAAACAGAGTTGCAAGGCCAGGAAGGAAAGCACTCAGGACTTATACTATTGCTCCAACAATGTACTTCTCTGCAAGTCTGACTGCTGAAACTGCTTGCTGTAACCTGAAACCAGTTTTATCTCAGGGCTACTGAAACTACCTGCTGCAATCTAAGACTAGTTTTGCTGACCACTACCGTTCACCAATAAGAGCTTGCCAGCTCCCTGAAATCTTGCTAGTGTCAGTGAACTTTCCTGAAGACAAATACATAATATTTCTCCTTTTTATTAAACCTCTAACCTTCTCTTTGTTCTTCAGACCTACCAAAGACTTCCCAGTCTGCATGTGTGCTCCAAATTGCAATTCTTTCTTCCCAAGTAAAACATGTTAATTTCAGAGATTTGTTTCTATACATTATTTGACTTGAGCAATACTGAGGTGACGTTACATTCCTCACTACACTTTTGAAAAGCAGCCCTTCTAACCTACCAGGGTTGCCATGTTATATGCTGTTCAGACATTCGGGCATGATCCATCCTGTTTCCAAGGCTTCCGTGGTGTTATTGGCATGTTAATTATTACAGCAAATGATAAAATGTGCAAAATGGTACCCCCTTCTTAATGACATAAATAAATGAAGCAATTAATTTTACACAATAAAAACAAGCAATACAATAACTTACAAATTTGGAGTTTCTTCATTATTACATCAAATTGCAAAATGGAAACATGTAATTTCAAAAAGCTCATAAGTAAAAATGGAAACACAGCTGATGCTGCGTCAGCTTGTGGGCTGCAAAATAATGTGGGACTTGCACAGTGTGGAACAGTCAACATCTTTTAGATACACCAGGCCAGATATGATTCAGAAACTATAAATCTTCCTAGAGCTGAGACATCCCAATAAGCTAAGGCATTTATGTGCTGTAAAGAAAAACAAAACAACTTTTTCTTATTTCCCTTATATATTAGTTTGGAATTCCAGAAGTTACTTTGCTTAGGATCCTCATCGCCATGTATCTGCAGTTACAGAAGCTGGAAGCCTATGATTGATCTTGTAACTTCAATATCTGGAGAAAGATAAGTAGGAAAGCAAATTTCCTGGGAGAGCTGACAACAGTTTTTAAAATGAAATGTGTATACACCAAGCCTGACATACTATATTGCCCACCATGTTTGAAACCGTCAGTTTCAGGACTGACATTTGGTTCTGTGTGTTTGTTTTGGTGAGTGAGAAAGTAACACATATTTTCTTTGACATCTTGTGCAATTTTACAAGTATTCAGGGCACATTCCCTGCTTTGCATGGAAAATGTATTTGCACAGTTGTCAGAATGATGGACAGGGGAGCGAATGATAGGACAGAGCGCTGATCTTTGCTTGTTATTACATACAATAGCTTGGTAGGAACCGTGATGTGTTGGTGAGACAAACTGTGTCCCATTCTGGAACATATTAAGTTTGTCTCCAGGACACACATGACTTCGCTAGGGTGTCGAACCTCATTCATAATAGATGCTAATCTTTTCAGGGCTGACTGATGACAGCACTTCCTGCCCTTCACGGAATTAGAGCTGGGTTTTATCAAAGGACTCAAACTGCCTGCTAATTAGACTAATTCCCTTCATCATGAATTATTTATTTCCATTGGTAACCGATCACTGTGACATTAATGGGTTCTGCTCAACTTAGTTTCACACTAATACACACTAGGAGTTAAATGTTTAAAAATTCGTGATACTTCACTCCAGGTCAAGTGTATCTTTGTCTAATATTTGACAGATTCAGTGAAGTTTTGATGATTATGTTTTAGGTACAAATAAAATGGGACAAAATTCCAGATTTTGTTGATAAGAAAACAAATCAATTTCTTTCTCTGCTCAGGTGTCTCCTGTCTTAGCTAGAACAAGTTGTCTTATTCTGGGACACGCTGTCTGTACTATATAGTATTTTATCAAGGTCAAACCATCACGTAAATGTGCTGGCGATTCTCTTTGGTATCTCAAAGTTGAACTAGACATAATGTCAGCTAGCTAAGTTGAAATTCAGTTATTGATATCTGTTGACAAAAATCAGTGTAATATCTTGTTTACTTATTTGTAAAATGCAAAGTGGACTTTTAAAAAATGGAATTTACAGATAATATATCCCAAAGGTTACAGATAATATAGCCCCCTTACTTATTATCTTCTGAGGTTGTATAGATCAGTGTTTCTCAACATGTAATCAAGGCATCACCTGTATCCTGAAAGTGTTATTAAAATTCAGATTTCTGGGCTACATATACAGCCTGTTAGAATCTCTGGGAATAGGATCCCAACATTTGCATTATTACAAGTTCTGTGATTATTGAGCAGTGGTAGAATCATTGACATTGGTTATCCAAAACAACTCCATAATTGATCAATATTTTATCAGAAATACTGAATCAGTTCATCCAACAGGTGCAGGAAGGATCCTATAAGCTTAGTAGTGCCTTTTGGAATTGGCTTCTGTTGTAGTTTCATCAACACATATAAAACAGGCAACATTTATACTGACTGATCATCAGGGAGCTCTGTGAATGGTGGGCATCACACCTTTGCTCAGAGGACACATGGGAAGAAGGTGTCAAGGGAGAGGCATACACAGTCACGATTCAGCAAGGCAGTTGGTATCAGATGGGAAGGCTTTCTGTACGCACCCCACTGAGGCACATGATTGTGCTCGGTAGTTCAGCTATTAAATATTGAATTGTGGAAAATGGTAAAAGAAAAAGTAAAAAGCAGCATAATAGATGGAAGCTGGAGATTAGATGACAAACATTGGACAAAGGCATTATGTAGCCCACGATACAATGAGGCAAAACCACAAATAATAGGTTCTATTAAAAGCAGCTACAGTTCTAAACCAAAGATTGGTTTTTACATGTGTCCCACATGTCAAAGATTACTGGTCTCAAATCACATACACCTGGGTGGGCAAAAAGCAATGCTTTTGTCAGAATTAAGGTTGAATATAAGAAGCAATAGGTTATACACACTGATTAACCCCTGGTAAATTATATCATACTTTTATTTTGAAGCATAGGTGATCTATTCTTTCAGATTTTCTAAGGAAAGTGGCAATATTGCATAGTAGGAGTTTTTAATAGTCAAAGACACCTGAGACCTATGTAACCAATAAAGCATGCTTTGATTTGTAGTTACACAGTACACTGTATTATTATCGTCAGAACATCCATTCATACATTCAACAGATATTCATGAAATACTTACTAGGCTCTAGGCACCTACATCTGATAAAAATAGGCTTACAAAAATACACATGGAGAGATGACGGATTCATGAAGAGTTTATAGATGTTTTTGGAACTATTTATGTGTGCCAGTGTCTCATTCTACCTGCAACTGCAGAAGTTTTTCAAGTTTAGAAAAAATTGGGAAACATAAGGTTATTAGTTAAATGGGGAAGTGTTTTTATTTTGTTTAGTTTTTTTTTTCTCATGGAAATACTCAGATTATGTTAGCTCTGTATTTTCGCACACACATGTACTTACATATATTTAAGTCAATCTTGAATCTGATTTCACTGTCTTACACCCCTCCTTAAGTCATTGTTTCTTGATTCATTTCATTGATCTAACCTTGTTTACGAAATTGTTTTCCTCTGTCCTCTGCTTCCCTTTTCATCCCTTCTATAAGTCACATCGCAGCTGGAGTAATTTTAGCTTGAGAAGTTAATTCATAGTTAATATTTGGTATTTTGAATGGATCTAACCTTCGAAACTTCTATAAGGCAGGGTATCAATTAATACATCTCAGATATAAAAATTTTTCTTAAAAAAGGTATCAAGGGCTTCTGGCTAGGGATTGTAGAAGTATCCCCTGAGGTGCTGGCCTGATTGCATTCTGCTGGTTCTCACATAATTGGAGGAGATCAGCTATCAAGAAAACTTCCCCAAAATACTTTATATTGTACATCTACATGCCTAACATGTATTAAATTGACCAAAGGTTTCCAATGGCTTTAGCAAATCATGTCCCAGCCTCTCCTCACCTGTATCCTGAGATTCTGCCTGACCTCAAAAGAATTCTTTCTTTGTTTTTGAATTGTATTTTTTTAACTTAAAAAATGTTGTTAATGCAATGTTGAAAATGTGACAAAGGGAAGGCAGTGGGGAAGGACATGAGGTCTGAAAAGGAAATTAGCCTGTAGCCCAGTACTGAGCTCTGGGTGTCATGGAGACTTCAGACACCTGGAGTTAGAGGTAGTAGCTGTGATTGTATACAACATCGTGTTTCACATTCCTCCCAGGGAAAAATAATGTGACCTACCAACTGGTGAGGTCTGGAACCATTTGGTCACCGATGCAAACATCCCTGATTATTCTTTAACATAATTATGGAGGAGACGTAAAAATTACAAAATTCCTGCTAGTCAATTAACTGGAGGCTTAGAGTATTGAATGAAAAATCTGCTAATTATATTAATTTGGTGCCTAAATATTGGGAGAAATTTTGCAGCATCGTTTCCCCTTATAACTAAATTATTCAATCAATATAAGATACTTAACTATAAGTAGAAACTAAGCATAAATCAATAATTAAAATTATAAATCCAAAGAATAAACTAAACCAAACTTATTGGCAAGATGAATCATTTGTAGAAAAACAACTATATTAGAAATGTGCTAAGCCCATACAATTGTTCTCTCTAATAGCTTACATATTCCTTGATCTATTTTTAAGATCGTGCTCCTAAAGCAAAGTTTTCCAAGATGTATTTCAAGGAATAATAATTGCTAAAGATATTAATAGGTATTCTGTAAGAAGTGTTTCATGGCCAAATATATTTGGGAAATGTTGAGATAACTTTCAAATTAAAAATATTCCTTACTGGCTTCTGTTTCCTTCCAGAATGGTGTCATAGGGATCAGATTTACTTTTCTACCACAAACAACTAGCAAACTGGCAAAGTTTATGAAACAACCATTTCCAGACATTAGACAGAGGCAGCTCAGGGCTGTGATTCCTGAGAGAAGGGAGACAAATAAGGTAAGTCCCACTGTCACCTTGGTTTCTGTTCGGAGGCAATTTCCAGACAACTGTGCAGGAAAGAGAATCCCAAGCAGAGTATAATGGCCTTGATGAATTAAGGAGAAGGCTTTCAGGGAGATTGAGGAGGCTGAAAGTTTCTAGACATCCACAACATTCATAATGTTTAGAATATAATGTTAAAAAGTCACTAGACATGCCACGAAATGGGAAGATGTAACCCACAACCAGGAGAAAAATCAGTCAATAGATACAGGCTTGTTCAATAGGTAGAACTACCAGTAAAGGATGTTAAAACATCAGTTATAAATACGCCCATGTAGTTAAAGAAAAGCATGAACAAATGAGAAAAATGGAAGATAAAAAGAACCAAATGGAATTTCTAGAGATCATAAATACAATATTTGAAATTAACAAAAGATCAGGCACTGAAGAAGACAAGATAATTGAACTTGAAGATATAAAAATAGAATTTATACAAAATGAAGTACAGAGAGAAAAATCACTGAAAAAACCCAAAGCAGTTGGCTCACGCCTGTAATCCCAGCACTTTGGGAGGCTGAGGTGGGCAGATCACGAGGTCAGAAGATCGAGACCATCCTGGCTAACACGATGAAACCCCGTCTCTACTAAAAAAAATACAAAAAATTAGCTGGGCGTGGTGGCGGGCACCTGTAGTCCCAGCTACTCAGGAGGCTGAGGCAGGAGAATGGTGTGGACCCGGGAGGTGGAGCTTGCAGTGAGCTGAGATCACACCACTGCACTCCAGCCTGGGTGACAGAGTGAGACTCCATCTCAAAAAAAAAAAAAAAAAAAAAACCCAAGCAGAACAACAGTGACTTGTGAGATATTAAGTGATTTATCATACATGTAATTTGAGTCTCAAAACAAGAGGAGAGAAAAGAAGGAAACACTAGTATATATGAAGAAATAATGGCTGAAAATTCCAAATTTGGTGAAAATCATGAACCTTTAAATAAAAGAAACTCAATGAACTTCAAGCAGGAGAAACATGTACATACACACACACCACAAACCATATCATAATAAAATTCTTTAAAATGAATGATTAAGAGAAAATCTTAAAAGCAGACAGAGATAAAAGATATTACATAAAATGAACAGAAACTAAGACTATCCAAGGACTTCTTTCTAGAAAATATATAAGCCAGAAGAAGGTAGAATGGCATCTCTAAGGTGCTGGGTAAAACAAGAGCAACAACTATAAACTTAGAATTTTATATCCAGCAAAAATATCCTTCAACATTTAATGCAAAATAAAACTCTTTCACACAAGAACTGAGGGAATTTATTGCTAATGGACATTTACTATAAGGAATGTTGAAGGACATTCTTCAGGCAGAAGGAAAACTGTACCAGATGGAAACTTGGATTACATAAAGGGATAAAGAGTACTAGAAGGGGTAAATATATGAGTAAAAATAAAAGACATTTTTCTATTTTTTGTGTTTCCTTCACAGGATATGAATAATTAAATGATTTGAACACTCCACTTAAAAACCAGAGATTGTCAGGCTGAATTTAAAAATTAACAATATGGTTTCTATAAGAAAACCACTTTGACTGTAAAGATATGTTAAAAGGCAAATGATAGAAAAAGACATAATCTTAAAAAGTTAGTCACAAGAATGGCAGGTGGCTATTTTAACATTAGACAAAGTAGATTTCAGGAAAAGAATATTTCTAGAGATAAAAAGAGGTACTTTATGATGATTAAGGAAACAGTCTATCAAGAAAACATAAACTTCTATAAGCATGTGTCCCCAGTAACAGTTTAAAAATACGTGAAGCAGAAACAGACAGAACAAAAAAGAAAAAAGACAATCACAATTATTGTTGAACATTTCAACAGTTCCTTCTCAGTAATTGACAGAAAGGTAGATGGAAAATCAGTAATGATACAGACCACTAGAACAACACTATAAAGCAATCTGATCAAATGGACATATAGAGCATTCTATCCAACAATAGCAGACTATACACTCTTTTCAACTGAACATGGAAAATTCACCAAGATATATAATGTGTTGGAACCATAAAACCAGCATCAATCCATTTAAAAGAACTGAAGTCATAAAGAGTATATTCTCTGACCACAAGGGAATTAAATTAGGAGTGTAGCCGGATGAGATGGCTCACACCTGTAATCCCAGCACTTTGGGAGGCCAAGGTGGGTGGATCACCTGAGGTCAGGAGTTCGAGACCATCCTGGCCGACGTGGCGAAACCCTGTCTCTAATAAAAATACAAAAAAAAGATTAGCCGGGTGTGGTGGCACATGCCTGTAATCCCAGCTACTTGGGAGGCTGAGGCAGTAGAATCTCTTGAACCTGGGAGGTGGCGGTTGCAGTGAGCCGAGATCGTACTATTGCACTCCAGCCTGGGCAAGAAGAGCAAAACTCTGTCTCAAAAAAATAAATAAATAAAAATAAATGAATTAGGAATGAATGGCAGACAGATATCTAGAAGATATGGCTAATGTTTTACTCCCCTGGACAAACATTTTATTGGCTTTAGAGGTCCTACTTATTTCCTAGACAAATATGTTGTGTATTATCAGTACTTCTTTCAAATAGCTTTTTGAAGTTGCTAGCTTATGCCTACCAAGTTCAATTTCCCCACCCCTGCGGAGTTTCCAGCATCTCATCTCTCTAAGGGAGTGTCATGAGGCACATTCCTCCTGCTGACCATAGAGCAGATCTCAGGCATAAATGAAAGCCTGGAAGTCTGTGTAAACTTGACATGCGGTGGTCCTCAGGCTCGGCCCTTGCTGCCGGCACTCTTCTCAGTCTTTCTTGCAAGTAGTTCTTAGAAACAGCAAAGTCCTGTGGTCTTTTTTCCACAGTAGCGGCCTAGAGCCCAGGCCTGAAACTAAACACATCCTCAGGAGTGACAGGACTCAGTGAATCAGGGCAGACCTACTGGAAATTAGACAGTGGGCAGGCGAGTGGTCTCAAAGCACCTGCCATTTGCTTCATAGAGTAACATGCAATTTAGCTCAGTCACTGGAGCATAATTGCCTTATTTTTACAATGCTAGTATTCACATAATCTGCCATTCTTTTCATTAAATTTTCGTGGGCCATTTATCTTTTTCAGAGGACTCAGGACATCTCCTGAAAGCAGTTGTTATATTTTAGTCCTTTTCCGTAGGCATCAGGAGATAAAAAGTGAGAGAACTTTGAAGATTCACGGGTTGAGGACATGAGTAACGTAGGTAGGGCAAATGCAGTGGAAAGTTTAATTATTTAGGAGGCAGCCATGGTGTGGTAGTGTAGCCTCAGAAGGAGCCAGGCCCAGCTGTGTTTCTTACTTGCTATGAGATATTTGGCAAGTTTCTTATATCCTGAGCATTGGTTTCCTAATTTATGAAACAGTGCAAAATAGGCCACACACATACACACATATAATTTCATATTATTTACTTAAGGAAGTAATATTTTTAAATTGCCTATTATTCCTAGGACATAGAAGGTTCACAATAAACAGGAGCTGCCATCACTATTTCCAAAGCCACTGTAATGGTTTAAAATAATAAAAATTCCTGTACCCCCTGAATCTAAAATAAAGTAGAAATTGTAAAACAACAAAAAATAAATGAGAGCATAGAGTGCCTTCTATAGAAGGAGTTCTAAAACAGTCTCAAGAGAGGCTCTTTAAAAACTTTTGCTTAAGGTAGGGGCAGAAAGGAGAGAGAATTTAAAATTAACAGAGCTGTCAAGAAAAACTGAAAACGATTCCACATTATTTTCAGAGGCAACCGGATCACACCTGGATCTTCTGGGAGGTGTAAGTAACTTCTTTAAAGTGTTCCTATAGTTCCGTGGTTCTAATAGAAAGCCCATTTTCTCTTAAAAGCAGATACTACTCTGCTCCTATGCAATGGTGTCCCCTGAAGATAAACGCACCATTTAGAGCTCTCTATACATTCTGTAGCCTGCACACGCTTTCTAAATATAGTAGCCAGATGATTACTTAATTTAGCTAGAAATGGCAGATTGTTGACAAAGAATCCCTGCTGAGTTCCAATGCCTTGAAATGCAGCTTTTATAAAGCAAATCATATCTGAAGAAATGACTAACAATGCCATTTGCTTCATATAGTGACACAATATTTAGCTCTGTCACTGGAGTATAATTCCCTTATTTTTACAATGTTAGTACTCTATTGATAAATATAGATTACCTGGAACAAGTCAGTCCTGCTGTGGGGGGTATAGCAGTTACAAAGAACAGAGACTTTAGACAAGGAAACTATCTCATATTCAAACATATCATCTGTTCTCCATCACTTGGTTACTCAAATGATGTCTATTTAGTTCGTAGGTAGGATCAACTAATAGAGGATTATTTAATTGACATGGAACTTAATAAATGTTAGGTAAAGAAATATAAACAGTTTCACATGACAGCCAGAGATGGGAAGAGACCTACAAATATAAATCCTGTTGCCATTTTGCTACTTGGTCATAATATGTGGTGGGGGCTGTGGGCATTAGAGTCAACATTGCCCCTACCCTCTCACATGTCCATATATGTGCTCCCTTATGTCTCCTTCCTCCTGGAGTTAACGATTGTTTGATAATAGTGTGTCATCCCTCAGGAATGTTGGAATATAGGAGGGTGGAGAGAACCCATAGAACTAACTGAATAGTCCAGGTGTTCAGATAATCAAATCCATCTGTATGTGTCTCTATCTCTCAAGTTTGCTTTCCTCATAGGTGGTCCATGAATACAAGATGCCCATGGACAGATAGCATCCTTACAGCTTGCAGTCCCAGTAGAAGAATAAATGTAGGAATTTAGGAAGCCCTCTGATTGGTCTGGCTTGGGAGACAGGATAAAGTGCTCAGTTTGGCGAGGCCAGCTTTACCTGACCACTCCACTCCTGGAGTGCATGGCTGGGTGGGGAGGCACTTAGCCCTTCCAAAGCCACATGACTGAATAGGTCACTGTGGACTGAGGTAGGCTAATGCCCTGAAGGAACAGCTGATGGGCAGGTGAAGGAGATGGTACTCACCGTGTCTCCGCAGGATAAAGGGTGAGTAGGGAGAGCCACAGAGCACTGTGGGGCTTTCTGAAGGAAAGGTTATCTTGGATGCAGAAATGTTTTATGGAGGAGGGAGTCTCTGAGATGAGGCTTGAAGATGGATAGGATTTACCTTGTTGAAAAAAATTGTCTTTATATACTTTTCTGTTAGTCTGTACAACACTTGACCTCTAGAATTATTTTATGAATATGGAATTGTCCCTCTAAACTGTGAAGTCAAGAGTCATGCCTAATACTTCTCTGTATAGAACCCAAAGCAGGCACTCCATAAGTACAGCTGTACTTGTTAGAATTGGAGCTCTTCTGGCAAATGTACTGCTCATGCTCGTGCTTTATTTATGTCAGCGAGGCCTCGATTGCCCCTATGTTTATATGTTAGGGTGGAGATTCTCCGGTCTCTTCAGAGCAGACACTAGATAATGTCTGTTAGGCATCGGTCTTTTTTTTTTTTTTTAACTTTATGAGATGATGTCATCTCTTTGCCTTGCTCTAATTGTCAATGTGTATGACTTTGCCCTTAATCAGACACAGTGAATATCTACACCTCAGATTATTGCTAGAGAATAAAATCTCCAATTACTCTGTTCTATTAAAAGCCCTGTGGTACAAACTATATCAGCAGAAGATTCCCTAAAGTTACATACAGTCCCGACATCTAAATAGACATTGTAAATTGCCTGGTTGGACCAAGGCAGATAATTAAAGAGCTCGGAGAGTTTTGATTCCTCCCCTGGAACTGCTTTTGCTGAAAAGTGCTCTGAGGTTATACTGTCAGCTGCATTGACATGGTTCCCAAAATTTGCTCTTGGGAACACTCCCTTTCCCCTTCATAAATCACTACAGGAAAAAATTTTCTCAGGAAAACTGTTCTTTCCAAGCAACCATTTTTGTTTGTTTCTTTCCTTTTCTACCTTTTTTTTCTATTTTTTTGAGACGAGTCTCGCTCTGTCGCCCAGGCTGGAGTGCAGTGGTGCGATCTCGGCTCACTGCAAGCTCCGCTCCCGGGTTCAAGCCATTCTCCTGCCTCAGCCTCCTGAGTAGCTGGGACTACAGGCGCCTGCCACCACACTCAGCTAATTTTTTGTGTTTTTAGTAGAGACAGGGGTTTCACTGTGTTAGCCAGGATGGTCTTGATCTCCCCTTTTTTGCTGTTTTTTTAAGTCCGTTGAACTTTGTGAATCTTTCAGAGACATGCTTTGGCTAATTTAGAAGGTCAGAGACAAATTTGTTGTCCACCTATAGCAACTGCATAGGATATTATAAGACCATTTTATATACTAACCTTACCCTATATTTATTTTATTTTCCTGCCTTTACTCTTATTTTTGTTTGATTTCATCTGTTTACTTAATCCCATTTATCCTAAGTATTTTAAAGCACCTCAAATCATTTTTGGAGGTGAGATATAAATAGAGTGTTAAGGCAATATGCCCAGTATCCATTAAATACTTTTTTTAAAATGTAAAAATATCCTATGGATCCCTCTGTGGCTCTTTCACTGAAGCCTGAGTGGTCAAACTCAGGAGCTTTTATTTTGAATGGTTCTAACCGGCAGATCTGCAAATGCTCACTCAGCACTTCGGGGAAGCAGAAGTTCAAACATGAGGAGGCAAGCGACTGTGTAGGAAGATGTTCTAATTCTGGTCACACCCTGATGTGACCAAGACCTCTTATTGGCAATGGCCAGAATTCATCCTTAGGTCCAACGATTGTAGGGAAGTGGGGGTGTTCCTGAGTGATCCCTTTCCTCTAGATGCCTGGGATATTGTTCAGTGAATACCAAGGAATCCTGTAGATTGCAGATTCATGTAGAACTCAAATCTCAACCTAAAATTCTTGTGGACAGGTTCCTGGAAGAGTTTTAAGGACCCTAAAGATTAGGGCCTTTTAGGGGGTGGCGACAATATTCCAGGCTAACTGTTGGAAAAGAAATCTAGGAATTTGCATGTAAGGTAGCTAGACATCTATGGGCTGACAATTAGTTTTGTGTTGTTGGTCACTGTAATCAGTTAGGATGCATTTGGTCATATAGAAGAGAAACCTAACGCAAATGGGCTTAAACAATTAAAGGGAATTTATTGACAGAAAAATCCAGAATTAGAAAAGTTGTATGCAAGAATTGATCCAGAATTGAGACTCGAGCTCAACAAGGCCACCAGTGTCTTTCAGTCTGTGTCCTCTCTCTACTGAACCTCACACTGTGGCAGTTTCTTCTCAAGGCTGGTTCTCCTTATTGCAGAATAGTTGTCAGCAACAACTGGAGTTGTTAATTCTCATCTCCTGGGAGAAAGCACCAGCGATTTCTCCACATCGGAGCTTCCTTCTGCTCGGACCGATTTGTGTCACATGCTCACCTCTGAGCCAATCAGAGGAGACGCAACTAAGGACAATCAGGTCCCACCAGGGTAGGGACAAGGACATCTATACCACATAGCTAGAAATGTGGAGTCCTGATAGGAAGATGGGAAGAAAGCAAAAAAAGAATACTTGAGGAGTGTATGTGGTTGGGAATGGGGAAAGAAACAGACAAAAAAGCTCACTATTGCTATTAGAGTCTTAGAGGAACAATGCAGTTTATCAGTCCACGAAAACCCTCTAGTGTCTGCCTATAGAATGTTGCAATGGCTTCTACTGGTAGAACTGACTGCCTCATTGCTAGTTTTGAACTTCCTGCATGATGTTATGCCGTAAGAAAATCTATAATTAGAAGATGGACAATGTATTTTAGGGAAGTTCTAAGCAGATTATATTAAGGGAAAGGAAAAAAGATCTGTCTCACTCATACTAAGTACATTCATCTTCTCAGCAAGTGACCACTGCTGGACTGAGAGACTCTGGTAACCAGCTAAGAACCAGGTGATGGTTGTGAAGTGGGAGAGAGGAGTTGCCTTTGTATTTAGTGCAGACCAGTGGAGGAGATGCATAAAACACCCTAAAAACCCAGGAATGAACATGCTGCCTGGCAGGACCTACTGAATTGCCCCTCTTTGGGCAATAGGACTCAAGGACCCTCCAACAGAGTATGATTGACAGGTCTGGGATGGCTTGTTAGACTTGGGTTTAAGTTGGGGGTATCCCAGTTAACTGTGTTGTTTGCACCAACAGAACCTTTTGGGCTTGCCCAAGTCTTAAAATAAGCCCTCCCTCCTCCCACTTCTGCCTGATCACTAAGATTGGGATGGTTTCACCTTTTCACTGGGTATGGAAAAAAATGCAAATCTGTCTCTCTTTGTGATGTGTATATATATATATATATATATATATATGTGTGTGTGTGTGTGTGTGTGTGTGTGTGTGTGTGTATATGTATATATATATGTCTGTGGTCTGTGATCTGTGTTGTGTATATATATATGTGTATATATATGTGTGCATATGTGTATATATATACACACACACACACATACACACACATATACATGGCCTGGCTTTTTAATCTAAGGATTAAGCATTCTTCAAATTGATTTCACAAAATTATTTCTACTGAATTCCTTTCCTTGGGGTCTTTCTGGCTCATAAATGGTTTCCCAAAGTGTATAACAGCCTCTATCTTTGACTAAGAGTTTGCATGAATAATAAAATCTTCCAGGAGTAAACAAGCTCATATTTTTACCATTTGTAAACTTTATTGCTATTATAAAATCAATGTTTTGAGACCATAACTCTGGGCAGATCTTATTGATGGTGGTGGGGACTGTCCTCAAGGCACATGGAATTTCTTTTCATATAAAACATTAGTGTAGTTTTATATATGTGATAATCCCTCTTCATCATAAATATCTCAGCGTGCCACTTAGTGAGGCAAGCATGTGATGTACATAATGATATGCAAAGCAGTGTCTACACCCAGGGATGAATTGCCCTCCCAACACAGATCACAGACCACAGACATATACCCACCTCAAGAGGGATAAAGGCTTTCAATGTAATGAAGATTAGAAACCGGCAAACTCTGGTGGAGGCTCTTCCCAGACACTTGACCTTCTTCCCTGACCCTCAAACTTGTCTAGATTGAAAACCCCAGAACTGCCTTATCTGTTTCCCATTTTTGCCTTTGGCTTCTCTTGGGAAGCCTTCAGCTGTCCTCTAGGGCAGGTATTCCCAAACATGTCTGTTAATGAGAATTATCTGATGTTTCCTTTTTTTCTTAGTGATGTATAAAATAATTATAATAAAATAATTCATGCACATGGAAATAACATTTCAAACAGTATAGATGAGAAGGAAATGAAAAGATCACTTTCTCTCCCTGCCTGGTCTCATTTCCTAATCATTTTAAAACCATTTCTGTGTTAAGTTCTTCTTCTGGTGTTTACCTACATAATATTCAACAATATGTTTATACTTGTATAAATATAAATGAAACATACAAGAAAATGTTATGTTCTTGGTGCCTTTATTGAAAATCAGTTGGCTACAAATATGTGGACTTATTTCTGGATTCTCTATTCTGTTCCTTTGGTTTATGTGTCTGTTTTTATACCAGTACCATGCTGTTTTGGTTACTATAGCCTTGTAATATATTTTGAAATCAGGTAGTGTGATGCCTCCAGCCTCCTTCTTTTTGCTCAGGATTGCTTTGGCTTTTTGGGCTCTATTTTGGTTCTATAAAAATTTTAGTTTTTTTTTTTTCTATTTCTGTGAGAAATGTCCTTGGTATTTTGACAGGGTTTCACTGAATCTGTATATTACTTTGAGTAGTATGGTCATTTTAACCATACTAATTCTTACAATACATGAGCATGGGATGTCTTTCCACATGTTTGTGTTCCCTTCAGTTTCTTTCATCAGTGCTTTGTAGTTTTCCCTGCAAAGGCATTTCCCCTTCTTGGTTAAATTGATTACTAGGTATTTTGTATTTTTTATAGCTATTGTAAATGAGATTGTTTCTTGATTTGTTTTTCAGTGAGTTTATTATTGGCATATGAAAATGTTACTGATTTTTGTGTGTTAATATTGTATCCTGCAATTTTACGGAACTTGTTTATCAAATCTAAGAGTTTTTGGTAGATTCTTTAGATTTTTCTAGACATAGGATCATGTCATCTGCAAAGAAGGACAATTTGACTGCCTCTTTTCCAATGTGGATGCCTTTTATTTCTTTTCCTTGCCTGATTGCCCTGGCTAGGACTATGTTAAATAGGACTGGTAAGAGTGGACATCCTTTTTTAGTTGCAGTTCTTTTTTTTTTTTATTATTATACTTTAAGTTTTAGGGTACATGTGCACTTTGTGCAGGTTAGTTACATATGTATACATGTGCCATGCTGGTGCGCTGCACCCACTAACTCGTCATCTAGCATTAGGTATATCTCCCAATGCTATCCCTCCCCCCTCCCCCGACCCCACAACAGTCCCCAGAGTGTGATGTTCCCCTTCCTGTGTCCATGTGATCTCATTGTTCAATTCCCACCTATGAGTGAGAATATGTGGTGTTTGGTTTTTTGTTCTTGCGATAGTTTACTGAGAATGATGATTTCCAATTTCATCCATGTCCCTACAAAGGACATGAGCTCATCATTTTTTATGGCTGCATAGTATTCTATGGTGTATATGTGCCACATTTTCTTAATCCAGTCTATCATTGTTGGACATTTGGGTTGGTTCCAAGTCTTTGCTATTGTGAACAGTGCCGCAATAAACATACGTGTGCATGTGTCTTTATAGCAGCATGATTTATAGTCCTTTGGGTATATACCCAGTAATGGGATGGCTGTGTCAAATGGTATTTCTAGTTCTAGATCCCTGAGGAATCGCCACACTGACTTCCACAATGGTTAAACTAGTTTACAGTCCCACCAACAGTGTAAAAGTGTTCCTATTTCTCCACATCCTCTCCAGCGCCTGTTGTTTCCTGACTTTTTAATGATTGCCATTCTAACTGGTGTGAGATGGTATCTCATTGTGGTTTTGATTTGCATTTCTCTGATGGCCAGTGATGATGAGCATTTTTTCATGTGTTTTTTGGCTGCATAAATGTCTTCTTTTGAGAAGTGTTTGTTCATGTCCTTTGCCCACTTTTTGATGGGGTTGTTTGTTTTTCTCTTGTAAATTTGTTTGAGTTCATTGTAGATTCTGGATATTAGCCCTTTGTCAGATGAGTAGGTTGCAAAAATTTTCTCCCATTTTGTAGGTTGCCTGTTCACTCTGATGGTAGTTTCTTTTGCTGTGCAGAAGCTCTTTAGTTTAATTAGATCCCATTTGTCAATTTTGTCTTGTGTTGCCATTGCTTTTGGTGTTTTAGACATGAAGTCCTTGCCCATGCCTATGTCCTGAATGGTAATGCCTAGGTTTTCTTCTAGGGTTTTTATGGTTTTAGGTCTAATGTTTAAGTCTTTAATCCATCTTGAATTGATTTTTGTATAAGGTGTAAGGAAGGGATCCAGTTTCAGCTTTCTACATATGGCTAGCCAGTTTTCCCAGCACCATTTATTAAATAGGGAATCCTTTCCCCATTGCTTGTTTTTCTCAGGTTTGTCAAATATCAGATAGTTGTAGGTAAGCGGCGTTATTTCTGAGGGCTCTGTTCTGTTCCATTGATCTATATCTCTGTTTTGGTACCAGTACCATGCTGTTTTGGTTACTGTAGCCTTGTAGTATAGTTTGAAGTCAGGTAGTGTGATGCCTCCAGCTTTGTTCTTTTGGCTTAGGATTGACTTGGTGATGAGGGCTCTTTTTTGGTTCCATATGAACTTTAAAGTAGTTTTTTCCAATTCTGTGAAGAAAGTCATTGGTAGCTTGATGGGGATGGCATTGAATCTGTAAATTACCTTGGGCAGTATGGCCATTTTCACAATATTGATTCTTCCTACCCATGAGCATGGAATGTTCTTCCATTTGTTTGTATCCTCTTTTATTTCACTGAGCAGTGGTTTGTAGTTCTCCTTGAAGAGGTCCTTCATGTCCCTTGTAAGTTGGATTCCTAGGTATTTTATTCTCTTTGAAGCAATTGTGAATGGGAGTTCACTCATGATTTGGCTCTCTGTTTGTCTGTTGTTGGTGTATAAGAATGCTTGTGATTTTTGCACATTGATTTTGTATCCTGAGACTTTGCTGAAGTTGCTTATCAGCTTAAGGAGATTTTGGGCTGAGACAATGGGGTTTTCTAGATATACAATCATGTCGTCTGCAAACAGGGACAATTGACTTCCTCTTTTCCTAATTGAATACCCTTTATTTCCTTCTCCTGCCTAATTGCCCTGGCCAGAACTTCCAACACTGTGTTGAATAGGAGTGGTGAGAGAGGACATCCCTGTCTTGTGCCAGTTTTCAAAGGGAATGCTTCCAGTTTTTGCCCATTCAGTATGATATTGGCTGTGGGTTTGTCATAGAAAGCTGTTATTATTTTGAAATACGTCCCATCAACACCTAATTTATTGAGAGTTTTTAGCATGAAGGGTTGTTGAATTTTGTCAAAGGCTTTTTCTGCATCTATTGAGATAATCATGTGGTTTTTGTCTTTGGCTCTGTTTATATGCTGGATTACATTTATTGATTTGCGTATATTGAACCAGCCTTGCATCCCAGGGATGAAGCCCACTTGATCATGGTGGATAAGCTTTTTGATGTGCTGCTGGATTCATTTTGCCAGTATTTTATTGAGGATTTTTGCATCAATGTTCATCAAGCATATTGGTCTAAAATTCTCTTTTTTGGTTGTATCTCTGCCCGGCTTTGGTATCAGAATGATGCTGGCCTCATAAAATGAGTTAGGGAGGATTCCCTCTTTTTCTATTGATTGGAATAGTTTCAGAAGGAATGGTACCAGTTCCTCCTTGTACCTCTGGTAGAATTCGGCTGTGAATCCATCTGGTCCTGGACTCTTTTTGGTTGGTAAGCTATTGATTATTGCCACAATTTCAGATCCTGTTATTGGTCTATTCAGAGATTCAACTTCTTCCTGGTTTAGTCTTGGGAAAGTGTACGTGTCGAGGAATTTATCCATTTCTTCTAGATTTTCTAGTTTATTTGTGTAGAGGTGCTTGTAGTATTCTCTGATGGTAGTTTGTATTTCTGTGGGATCGGTGGTGATATCCCCTTTATCATTTTTTTATTGCGTCTATTTGATCCTTCTCTCTTTTTTTCTTTATTAGTCTTGCTAGCGATCTATCAATTTTCTTGATCCTTTCAAAAAACCAGTTCCTGGATTCATTAATTTTTTGAAGGGTTTTTTGTGTCTCTATTTCCTTCAGCTCTGCTCTGATTTTAGTTATTTCTTGCCTTCTGCTAGCTTTTGAATGTGTTTGCTCTTGCTTTTCTGGTTCTTTTAATTGTGATGTTAGGGTGTCAATTTTGGATCTTTCCTGCCTTCTCTTGTGGGCATTTAGTGCTATAAATTTCCCTCTACACACTGCTTTGAATGCGTCCCAGAGATTCTGGTATGTTGTGTCTTTGTTCTCGTTGGTTTCAAAGAACATCTTTATTTCTGCCTTCATTTCGTTATGTACCCTGTAGTCATTCAGGAGCAGGTTGTTCAGTTTCCATGTAGTTGAGCGGTTTTGAGTGAGATTCTTAATCCTGAGTTCTAGTTTGATTGCACTGTGGTCTGAGAGATAGTTTGTTATAATATCTGTTCTTTTACATTTGCTGAGGAGAGCTTTACTTCCAAGTATGTGGTCAATTTTGGAATAGGTGTGGTGTGGTGCTGAAAAAAATGTATATTCTGTTGATTTGGCGTGGAGAGTTCTGTAGATGTCTATTAGGTCTGCTTGGTGCAGAGCTGAGTTCAATTCCTGGGTATCCTTGTTGATTTTCTGTCTCGTTGATCTGTCTAATGTTGACAGTGGGGTGCTAAAGTCTCCCATTATTAATGTGTGGGAGTCTAAGTCTCTTTGTAGGTCACTCAGGACTTGCTTTATGAATCTGGGTGCTCCTGTATTGGGTGCATATATATTTAGGATAGTTAGCTCTTCTTGTTGAATTGATCCCTTTACCATTATGTAATGGCCTTCTTTGTCTCTTTTGATCTTTGTTGGTTTAAAGTCTGTTTTATCAGAGACTAGGATTGCAACCCCTGCCTTTTTTTGTTTTCCATTTGCTTGGTAGATCTTCCTCCATCCCTTTATTTTGAGCCTATGTGCGTCTCTGCACATGAGATGGGTTTCCTGAGTCAGCACACTGATGGGTCTTGACTCTTTATCCAATTTGCCAGTCTGTGTCTTTTAATTGGAGCATTTAGTCCATTTACATTTAAAGTTAATATTGTTATGTGTGAATTTGATCCTGTCATTATGATGTTAGCTGGTTATTTTGCTCGTTAGTTGATGCAGTTTCTTCGTAGTCTCGATGGTCTTTACATTTTGGCATGACTTTGCAGCGGCTGGTACCGGTTGTTCCTTTCCATGTTTAGTGCTTCCTTCAGGAGCTCTTTTAGGGCAGGCCTGGTGGTGACAAAATCTCTCAGCATTTGCTTGTCTGTAAAGGATTTTATTTCTCCTTCACTTATGAAGCTTAGTTTGGCTGGATATGAAATTCTGGGTTGAAAATTCTTTTCTTTAAGAATGTTGAATATTGGCCCCCACTCTCTTCTGGCTTGTAGGGTTTCTGCTGAGAGATCCGCTGTTAGTCTGATGGGCTTCCCTTTGAGGGTAACTCGACCTTTCTCTCTGGCTGCCCTTAACATTTTTTCCTTCATTTCAACTTTAGTGAATCTGACAATTATGTGTCTTGGAGTTGCTCTTCTCAAGGAGTATCTTTGTGGCGTTCTCTGTATTTCCTGAATCTGAACGTTGGCCTGCCTTGCTAGATTGGGGAAGTTCTCCTGGATAATGTCCTGCAGAGTGTTTTCCAACTTGGTTCCATTCTCCCCATCACTTTCAGGTACACCAATCAGACGTAGATTTGGTCTTTTCACATAGTCCCATATTTCTTGGAGGCTTTGCTCGTTTCTTTTTATTCTTTTTTCTCTAAACTTCCCTTCTCGCTTCATTTCATTCATTTCATCTTCCATTGCTGATACCCTTTCTTCCAGTTGATCGCATCAGCTCCTGAGGCTTCTGCATTCTTCACGTAGTTCTCGAGCCTTGGTTTTCAGCTCCATCAGCTCCTTTAGGCACTTCTCTGTATTGGTTATTCTAGTTATATATTCTTCTAAATTTTTTCAAAGTTTTCAACTTCTTTGCCTTTGGTTTGAATGTCCTCCCGTAGCTCAGAGTAATTTGAGCGTCTGAAGCCTTCTTCTCTCAGCTCGTTAAAGTCATTCTCCGTCCAGCTTTGTTCGTTGCTGGTGAGGAACTGCGTTCCTTTGGAGGAGGAGAGACGCTCTGCTTTTTAGAGTTTCCAGTTTTTCTGTTCTGTTTTTTCCCCATCTTTGTGGTTTTATCTACTTTTGGTCTTTGATGATGGTGATGTACAGATGGGTTTTTGGTGTGGATGTCCTTTCTGTTTGTTAGTTTTCCTTCTAACAGACAGGACCCTCAGCTGCAGGTCTGTTGGAGTACCCTGCCGTGTGAGGTGTCAGTGTGCCCCTGCTTGGGGGTGCCTCCCAGTTAGGCTGCTCGGGGGTCAGGGGGTCAGGGACCCACCTGAGGAGGCAGTCTGCCCGTTCTCAGATCTCCAGCTGCGTGCTGGGAGAACCACTGCTCTCTTCAAAGCTGTCAGACAGGAACATTTAAGTCTGCAGAGGTTACTGCTGTCTTTTTGTTTGTCTGTGCCCTGCCCCCAGAGGTGGAGCCTACAGAGGCAGGCCGGCCTCCTTGAGCTGTGGTGGGCTCCACCCAGTTCGAGCTTCCCGGCTGCTTTGTTTACCTAAGCAAGCCTGGGCAATGGCGGGCGCCCCTCCCCCAGCCTCGCTGCCGCCTTGCAGTTTGATCTCAGACGGCTGTGCTAGCAATCAGTGAGACTCCGTGGGCGTAGGACCCTCCCAGCCAGGTGCCGGATATAATCTCGTGGTGCGCCGGTTTTTAAGCCCGTCGGAAAAGCGCAGTATTCAGGTGGGAGTGACCCGATTTTCCAGGTGCCGTCTGTCACCCCTTTCTTTGACTAGGAAAGGGAACTCCCTGACCCCTTGCACTTCCCGAGTGAGGCAATGCCTCGCCCTGCTTCAGCTCGCACATGGTGCGCGCACCCACTGACCTGCGCCCACTGTCTGGCACTCCGTAGTGAGATGAACCCGGTACCTCAGATGGAAATGCAGAAATCACCCATCTTCTGCGTCACTCAAGCTGGGAGCTGTAGACCGGAGCTGTTCCTATTCGGCCATCTTGGCTCCTCCGCTCTATTTGCAGTTCTTAAAGGTAAGGCTATCAGCTTTTCTTCATTCAGTACGTTGTTAGCTGTGGGTGTATCATGTATGGACTTTATTAGGTTGAGGCATGTTCCTTCTATGCCTAGTTTGTTGGGCATTTTTGTCATAAAAGGATGTTGAATTTTATTAGATGCTTTTTCTGTGTCTATGAAGATGATAATATGATTTTTGTTCTTTGTTCTGTTGATGTGATGTAGCACATTTATTGATTTGCATATGGTAACCATCCTTGCATCCCTGAGGTAAATCCCACTTGATCACAATGTATTATCTTTTTGATATGCTCTTAGATTTGATTTGCTAGTATTTTGTTGAGATTGTTCACATCTATGTTCATGAGTAATGTTGGCCTGAAGGTTTTTGTTGTTGTTATTCCTTGTTTGGTTTTGGTATCAAAGTAATGCTGGTTTCATAGGATGAGTTAGGAAGAATTCCTTCCTCTTCTATTTTTTGGAATAGCTTGAGGAGAATTGGCATTAGTTCTTTTTTATCTGTAAATTTTGTAGAATTCAGCAATGTAGCCATCAGGTTCTGGGCTTTTCTTTGCTGGGAGACTGTTTATTACCGTTTTAATCTCATTACTTTTTATTAGTCTGTTTCTATTTCTTCCCGATTCAATTTTGGTAGGTTGTAGGTGTCCAGGAATTTACTCATTTTCTCTAGGTTTTCCAGTTTGTTAGTGTGTAGTTCTACTCATAGTAGTCTCTAATGATGATTTGTATTTTTGTGGTATCAGTTGTAATGTTTCCTTTTTCATTTCTGATTTTGTTTGTTTGGGTCTTCTTTCTTTTTTTCTTGGTTAGTCTAGCTAATTGCTTATCAATTTTGTTTATCTTTAAAAAAACACTTTTCATTTCGTTGATCCTTTGTATTTTTTTTGTCTCTGTTTTGTTTAGTTCTGCTCTGATTTTATTATTTATTTCCGTCTACTATAGTAATTTTGGGTTTGGTTTATTCTTGCTTTTCTAGTTCCTTGAAGTGCATTGTTAGGTTGTTTATTTGAAATCTTTCTACTTTTTGATCTCTACTGTATTTGCAACAGGTATCAGAGTTGGGTAGGGAAAAATAGATTATTTATTCATTTTTCAAGGGTGGGCCTGTCACATATTCTGAGTACCTTGGTGTCATCATGACTTCATCAGCCATACCTTTCTTGATTCTTCATGTTCATCTTGACCTCCAGACCTTTAACTTTAAAAAAAAAATTGTGTGTCCATTTCTGGCTCCACCTGACTCCAGGCAAATCCCCAGCTCTTGGCATCCCTTGCTGTTCACTTTCTCTGCTCCTGCTTTCTTCCCTGCCAAACTTCTTGAGAGTGCAACTTGCACTGGCTGTCTCAGTTTCCTGTTTTCTGACATCTCTTTAATCCATGACCACTTCTCTTACATTCTGGAAGGTCACAGAGACTTCCAAAGGCTAACACCCAATAGATCTTTACGTCAGAGCTTATTCTGCCTGACTTATTTACGTAATGTACCGTAGTTCCCCAACTCTACTCAAGTTTGTATCCCTCCTCTTTCATGATACTATATGACCTCCTCCCATATCTCTAACTGTTCTTGCTCTGAATTGTTCACAGCATTTTTTTGTTTTTTTGGTGTGGGGGAAGCAGAGTTCACTCCCAGGCTCTTGAATCTGGCATCACCCAGGAAAGGAGACTTACATGGTAGTATGGTGATACGGTTTTGTTCTGTGTCCCCACTCAAACCTCATCTCAAATTGTAATCCCCACCTGTTGAAGGAGGGAGGTGATTGGATCATGGGGCGGTTTTCCCCATGCTGTTCTCATGATACTGAGTCAGCTGTCATGAAATCTGATGGTTTTATAAGCCTCTGGCATTTCCCCTGCCTGCACTTATCTCTCCTCCTGCCATGTGAAGAAGGTGCTTTCTTCCCCTTCACCTTCCACCATGATTGTTAGTTTCCTGAGACCTCCCCAGCCATGAGGAACTGTGAGTCAATTAAACCTCTTTCCTTTATGATTTACCCAGTCTCGGGTATTTCTTTATAGCAGTGTGAAAACGAACTAATACATATGGTTATTTGTGGGCTTCCCATGCTAGGTTGTATATATCTCGAAACAGAGATTTTTGCCTTACTTAATGTTGTATCTGTCACAGTTATTGAATAATGCTTTCTATTATTTCTTTAAAAAGTTATTTGGTTCTCTTCATCCTAACCGTGGAAGTGCATTTCTAATCTGAATACATAAGTCACTGAGGGAAAAATAGCATTCAATGTAGTATGCAGAAATTTGCTTTATAGTCATATTTTTAGGATTTTACTTATTATTTAACAGCACTACTAACATAAAACAATATATAAATCAGTTTACATCAGAGAGTGATGCCTAGTTCTTCTGAGTTAGAAAGCTGTATCTTATTTTCTAAACCAACAAATTGTCCTCTCAACTTTGTATCTGCGCTTGACATCTTACCCATTCTTCTGGTTCAGCTCAAATGATGTACCACACTGTATTACGGATTCTTTTCTAACTACCCGTTAGTTGAAAACTTTTGCCTCCTTCAAATTTTGTATAGTCATTATTTTCTCTCTGATGACACAATCATGTTATAATTATTTTCATACTTCCCATCTTCTACTTTCCAAGTTTCATGATATCAAGATCAATAGTTCACCTTTCATGGGGGGTTTGGGATCTTCTCTAGCTTCCTCCAGCTGGCTCTATATACTGCATGTCTTAGGTCTCTGATAAGTGTTTTAAAATTTAGATCAAATGGACAGATTTTGAAAGACAAGCTTGGAATTGAATCATAATTTGGGAAGAGGGAACAACTAATTAAGTGCAACACCAAAACCACCTGCAGAAGATGGGATGAAAAAGACCATTTTTAGGTGGTATCTCTTCTCTCCTTGGGGCTAAAAGCTCAAGCAAAAAGCTCATGAAAACCCCTAAGAATGAGCCACCTGGAAAACCAAGCCTTCCAGGTTGGGGACCTCCTTTGAGCATCTAAATGAAATCTTAGCTATTTCTTGAAATCTCAGTATTTCTTGGGACTGAAAGAAAGGGTAGAAAACAATTTGGTGAGAACTTTTCAAAGACATTTAGAAGTTCTGCTTATAGCCTTAATTTAAGACCCAGGACACTCTCATGCTGCTTCAAACTTCCCTTCCCCGAAACCAGGTCCTTACCTTGTTTAGAGCATAAACATAATTAAAGGAAAGAAAAACAATCCATTAACACCTCTTCAAGGACTCCTTGAAACAAAAAAGAACCAAATTCCCTCTTTGCTCTCAGTCTGATCAAAAGATTTTCCTTCTTATTTGAAACAGAGAGGATCATCCATCTTTCCTTAAAATATGGACATTTTTTAAGATTCTTAGGCTGAAGGTCAGTTTGGAATATCAGATAGATACAGCAAACCAGCCCAGATAAGAGTTTCCAAAGCTATTCATCACTTGAATAAAAGCCAAGCAAGCAGGTATTGATCCTAATCCTGAGGACAGGTTGAAAGAAGCAGGTACGGTCACAATAAAGTGGTTACTCAAGCATCTGAAAGAGATGAGACTGTAATGAAGCAGGAGACATGCGGGAAATGGAAATCATTATGTCACAGATAGAAAAGACACTCATCAGACAAGTCAAGTATGACCTGAAAAGCCATGTTATATCACCCAAACCAGGGAAAAGCCATTATATCACCCAAACTGGGGAAATCAAAATGGAACTCAGTGGGCTTGGGTTTGTGGGCAGAGAAGATCCTTAACCAGGGTAAGTCAGGGATGAGGATTCTACTCCAAGACTATGGAAGTGATATCATGTTGATGACAGCCACAGCCAGATTGTGGGCCTCCCATTCATGTTCAGGTCCTTGTTCTCCAGGCTACACTCTGTCCTGGTTCTCCCTTTACCTTTTGAGATGGTTCTATAAAGATACGCTACAGTTTAAAATTCCTGCTTGCCCCCATACCCTGCTCACTTTACATGTTTTCCTGGACTTATAACGTCTGGGAGTGTGTACCAAGGGCAAATCTCAGCACACAAACTCACATGTGAAAAAAATAGGTAGCTTTCTTGATTTTTCTATAACTTAATTTCTGTTTTGCATCACCATTCTACTGAAGTGGCAAAAAATTTGATTTCAATCATTTATTTTTCAGCCTAGGGTTTCTCCTTCCCAGACAAAAATGTCTGTAAAACTGTCTAAGAGCCTGCCCAACCTACACTCATAATGCAGCACCTCTTTGTGGCTGCTGCAGAGCTCACCTCTCTAGGGCCAACCAGCATCTATATTTCCAACATTTCCCTTCCCTCTACCTGTGGTCTCTCAATATAGCCAGGACACATTATTTCTGGTCTCCAAATTGTTTGAGGTAGGAGACGGAGAAGAGTGAGCATGTTCCTTAAACTCTCAAATATGATTTACTAAAACCTTAAATTTTTTGTGTTCCTTTCAGCACATAAGCTATTGAAATACAAAACCCCAGAAGAATATCTGAGGATGGCTGCTTTCTGTCCTGTCTGAGGGATGAGCCCAGGGCAAGGTTCAAATGGGGCAGGTGCCAAAGGGCAAGGAAGTGGTTGGGCAGTGCATGGTGTGGGTGTGGAGGTGCACGTTGGCTAATACTCCCCAAATGATATCCTATAGCAACAGCTGCAGAAGCCAACAGTGTTTGAACCCAGCCCATGGATCTGTTTGTGACTCCTGTCATACTGTAGTTCACATCTGGTGTTATTATTAAGGATAACTAGCCTTCTTTTACCTTTCCCCTTTTTGACTTCCCTGAGAGAAGCCACCCATTGCCAGTCCCCTGCCCCGTCGAGCTCTGCTCTTCCTCTCTCTCCCTCCACAAACTCTTGCAATGACTGTTTTCTTCTTTATACTGATCATATGTTTGCTCTAGAGTAATAGAGGATGTCACTGTTGATGGCTACATTTCTAATACATAAATCCCACATCTCATGTATCATTTCTATCAGACACTGTGACGTTCCACATAAGGCATTATTCTGGAAACCGGAAGTTTGCCTGCTTTAAGTTGCACATCTTTAACAAAGTTATAGTTTTTTGTGCTTATAAGGCACATTTTCATTGTGGTAAAACATATATAATATAACATTACCATTTTAACTATTTTAAGTGTATAATTCAGTTGCAGTAAGTATAGTCACATTGTTGTACGGCCGTCACCACTGTCAATCTCTAGAATTTTTTATCAGCCCAAAAAGAAACTCTGTTTCCTCCCTCCGGGCCCTGGTAACCACAGTTCTACTTTATGTTTATGAATTTGACTACCCTAGGAACCTCGCATAAGTGGAATCGTATAATATTTATCCTTTTGTATCTGGCTTATTTCACTTAGCATAATGTTTTCAATGTTCATCCATGTAGCATTTGTCAAAATTTCCTTCCTTTTTAAAAGGAATAATATTTAATTGTATATATAAATTACATTTTGTTTGTGTATTCATTCCTTCATAGACATTTGAGTTGTTTCCACCTTTTGGCTATTGTGAGTAATGCTGCTATGATCACGAGTGTGAGTGTACACATATCTGTTCAAGTCCTGCTTTCAGGTCCTTTGGGTATATACCTAGAAGTGGAATTGCTGGACCATGTAGTAATTTTGTATTTAATTTTCTGAGGAACTGCCACACTATTTTCTACAGCCGCGTATTCATTCTACATTTCCAACCGTAATGCACAAGGGTTATGATTTTTCTACATCTTCACCAATATTTGCTATTTTCTATTTTGTTTTGTTTTGTGACAGCCATCCTAATGGATGTGAAATGGTATCCCACTGTGGCTCTGATCTGTATTTCCCTAATGAATAAGCATCTTTTCATGTGCTTATTGGCCATTTGTATATCTTCTTTGGAGAAATGTCTATGCAAGTCTTTGCCCGCTTTTAAATTGGGTTATTTTTGTTGTTGTTGTTGAGTTGGAGTTTTTAATACACTCTAGATATTAATTTCTTATCAAATATGTAATTTACAAATATTTTCTCCCATTTTATCGGTTGCTGTTTGACTTTTTTGATAGTGTCCTTTAATGCACAAAAGTTTTTAACTTTGATGAAGTACAATTTACTTATTTTTTCTTCTATGGTCTATGCTTTTGGTGTTATATCCAAGAAACTATTGCCAAATCCAATGTCATGAAGGCTTATCCCTATGTTTTCTTCTAACGGTTTTACAGTTTTAGCTCTTATATTTAGATCTTTGATCTATTTGAGTTAATTTTTTGCATATGCTTTAAGGTAAGGGCCCAACTTCATTCTTTTGCATGTGGATATCCAGTTTTCTCAGCACCATTTGTCAAAAAATATTTTTAGATATTTAAAATGTCTATTACACATGATTCTGCTATTTTAAACAGTATGTAGAAGATGGCAAACATTTTCTCGAGAGTTCTTGGTCACCGCTAGGATCATTAACACTTGTTCCATGTTGTCTTACAGGAAGTCTCCCAGGGGCTTTTCTATACTGCTACCCTTGGACTGCTGGGATTCATTTATCCTTCTCTAGTTTTGCATGGCTTTGTTTGCTCTTTTTTGTCATCAAACTGTTGACTGTCAAACTCTGAGCTATTATGTCTTCCTCATAGGAGTGCACCCTCTTCATTTGTTTCTATAGAAACAAAACTGATAGCCAAACTTAACAGAAATTGTATATAAACTTAAAGCCAATATTCTCTAAGAAAAGATCTAGAGGATTCATGAATAAGACAAAGGGAATTATGTTTAGTTAAAGGAGAGCTATTGACTTTGCTAAGAAGTTGCTGTCATCTATGTTGAAGTCTTTGTCTGATGTCTGTGTAGTTGGGTATTACTCCTTGGTGTGTTAGTAAATGTCTAAAAACTAGCTTTCAGGGGTGGTGGTGGAGGTCTTGATTTAGAGCAGTTGCTGATTTCCATGGTGTAAATACTCCAAGTATGGCCAATTTTAAACTACGCTATGCTATCACTGCATGTAGAATTGAGAAGAGATGTGCAATGGAGTGTCATTTTTCACCACATTGCTACCGTAGTCATAAATAACATAGATAATAGTAAAACAATTAGAAGTTAAGCATTTTGAGTATTTATTACCTTTATTATTATTTTTTAAAGCTACTCATGTATTTGAAAACTTATTTAGAATGTTTTACATATTCATATGTAGAAATACAAAAGATGAAGTGAAAAGGTTAATATCACAAATACATGACATATATAGCAACATATTATATAATATAAAGGATATATTGTATTGTATATAATAGAAATAGATAGATATATAATTTAGTTTAAAAGTTTTTTTTTTTTTTTTTTTGAGACAGAGTCTTGCTCTGTCACCAGGCTGGAGTGCAGTGGCACGATCTTGGCTCACTATAACCTCCGACTCCCTGGTTCAAGCTATTCTCCTGCCTCAGCCTCCTGAGTAGCTGGGATTAACAGGCATGCATCACCACGCCCAGCTAATTTTTGTATTTTTAGTAGAGATGGGGTTTCACCATGTTGGCCAGGATGGTCTCGATCTCCTAACCTTGTGATCCGCCAGCCTCGGCCTCCCAAAGTGCTGGGATTACAGGCATGAGCCAAAGCGCCCGGCCTAAAAGGTATTTTTAACAGACCGAATGGAAAATTGGTTAAATTATTCAGATTTTAAGAGTTTTAACATGTACATACAAATAGATAAATTCCAGAATGCTGATAAATTAATTTATGACACAGACTAATTTTTGTGCATGGTAGTTATAATTAAGAAAACGTGGTTTCACCTCATACATTCTGTCTCTGCAATTTACTAGCTGCGTGAACTTGGGCAAATTATATATAACCTTTTGGTTCCTCAATTTCCACATCTGTAAAACACCAATAATTATACCCTATCTAATCAGCTTGTCACGTGAAAGGACAATAATGTGTGTAAAATGCATAGTACAGTGCCTGAAGTCAACCATAAATGATTGGTCTGTACAGTGGTTCTCAAGCCCAGATGAATGTTAGAATCACCTGGGGAGTTTTGAAAATACTGATGTCCAGGCTTCACCTAAAGTAATTAAATCAGAATCTCTGGAGGTGGGGCTTAAGCCAATAACAATTTTTAAAGAAATTCATTACATGGGCCAGGTGCAGTGGCTCACACGTATAATCCCAGCACTTTGGGGGACCAAGGTGGAGGACTGCTTGAGCCCAAAAGTTGAGATCAGCCCGGGCAACATGGTGATGCTCTGTCTGTACAAAAAATTTTAAAAATTAGCTAGGCATGGTGGAGTGCACCTGTAGTCCCAGCTTCTTGGGAGGCTGAGGCAGGAGGATTGCTTGAGCCCAGGAGGTCGAGGCTGCAATGAGCCTTGTTTGTGCCACTGCACTCCAGCCTGGGTAACAGAGTGAGACCTCGTCTCAAAAAAAAAAAAAAAAAAACCAAAAAACAAGACAACAACAACAACAACAAAAACCCCTCACTTTATGATTTCAGTGTGTTTCCAGGGTTGAGAACTACTGAATTATAATAACTATCACGTATCACATATGGGCATGTAATGTTTGTATATGTGAATTATATTCATATAATGTAGTGTCATGTCAATTAAGCAAGTGGTCAAAAGAATTTAAAAATCTGTCCAGTGATTTTTAGTTTGAAAAAAAAAAATCTAAATTGGAAGAGTAGCTATGTGATAATCAGGCCTAACATCTCTGGAGTAAGTTGCCTGCACACAATTACCAGCTGCATCATTCACTAGCTTTTAACTTTGGGCAAGTTACTCAACTACTGTTTCCTCATTTATCAACTAGGGATAATGAAGATGCCTACCTTTCATTGTGTTGTTAGAACATCACATGATTTAATATTGGTAAAATGCGTATAACATTGTTTGGAATATAGCAAGCACTACATATTTATGTTTTGGGAAATTTAATGGAACTGTTGCTGGGAATGTAAATTAGTTCAACCATTGCGGAAAGCAGTATGGTAATTCCTCAGAGAACTAAAAACAGAACTATCATTCGACTCAGAAATCCCATTACTGGGTATATAGCCAAAAGAACGTAAGTCGTTCTACCATAAAGACACATGCACGTGTATGTTCATTGCAGCACTATTTACAACAGCAAAGACATGGAATCAACCTAACTGCCCATCAATGGTAGACTAAAGAAAATGTGGTACATATACACCATGAAATACTCTGCACCCATAAAAAAAATGAGATCATGTCCTTTGCAGGAACATGGATGGAGCTAGAGGCCATTATCCTTAGCAAACTAACGCAGGAACAGAAAATCAAATGCCACAAATCCTCAATTATGAATGGGAGCTAAATGATGAGAACACACAGACACATAGAGGGTAACAACAGACCCCTGGGCCTACTGGAGAGTGGAGGGTGGGAGGAGGGAGAAGATCAGGAAAAATAACTAATAGGTACTAGGCTTAATACCTATGAAATAATCTGTACAACAAACCCCCATGACATGAGTTAACTTATGTAACAAACCTGCACATGTACCCCTGAACTTAAAATGAAAGTTTTAAAAAAAAAGAAATTTGATGGAAATAGGTATTTGGAATGAAATATTGCTAGTCACTAATATTCAATATCAGTAACATACTTTTGCATTAGAACTGAAAAACAGATGCTATATAAAAGGTCTGGGGTAATTGTGAAAAAGCATTCTCCAGACCTTATATGAAAGATCAAACTGATCCTCATTTCATGTTAGCTATTTGTCATCATAGAAAACAATATGTTAATCTTGCCGGGACCTATATAAAACACTGTGGAATATGTTTGTAAAAGTATCCAGCATCCCTGAAGCCCTGAATCTCAAATACTACATGACAAACTGCTGGGAATGTTCAAATCATGATAACCATACACAGTTCCTGTGTTGGGTGCAGGTCTTGGAAGTGGATTTTCAGTGATGAATCCCTCTGTCTCAACTGGCTTGACTTCCCCTACTTCCCCAGCCTTGCTCAAATGGCCTCACATCACCCCCTTACTCCATCTAGGCAATGCCCTCTTCCCTTTCCATAACATGTCCTACTATTTGCCTCCTCCAAGGCTTGGCTATTCTTGCTGATCCCTCTTACTAGAATGTTCTTCCCATTTCTCTCTGACCATCTCACCCCCAATCTACACATCTTTTAAGATTCAACTCAAGTACTAACCTCTTCCATTGAAGCCTTTCCCCAACGCCCAGGATTGAAGTAACAATTCCCTCTTTTTCACCTGCTTACACCATGAACAGAGCGCCATTTAAAACTGTCATTGAGCCTCCTTAAAGGCCAGAGCACTTGTCTTATTTATTTATTTACTCATCAGCCCCTGGCATAGAGCCTGGCTCGTTTAACTGATTCCATTGACTTAGAGAATGGAAGGAAGGGAGGGAAGAAAGAAAGAAGAAACAACATCCATTTGTAGAGTGTATGACCTAGAGAAAGGACACCAACAATGGGCATGAATGTATACATGAAAATCTGTGGCCCCTGGTTTCAATAAGACCAACAGAAAAACCATGCTGGCATTAAGCAATCAGTTTCTCATAAACTTAATGCAGCATCACATCTCTGCTTCATGGAGAAACACTGTTCCGGATTTCAGTAACCATCAGAAGTTTACTTTCAAACACTGGAATTCTCTAGCTTTCTATTTTTATAAATTAACTCCCATCTTTCAAAGATCTTCACTCAGGAGGCTGAGGTGACAGGATCACTTGAGCTTGGAAGGTGGAGGCTGCTGTGAGCTGAGATTACAGCACTGCACTCCATCCTGGGTGACAGAGGAAGACCCAGAATGAAGATCCTAAGTCCCTCATATAAATATGTTCTGTTAGTTCAAAGGTCTTTCTGTGCCTTTTCCACAGTCTCTCTCTCCAGATTCTTCCTCCAGCCTCCAGCCACTAGCCCAGAAATTTTGTCTTGTTGAGCAATAGGGCAGACAATTCATAGAAATAAAAAGGATTAGAAGAGAACACTATGGGCTAGATACAGTGGCTGACATCTGTAACCCCAGCACTTTGGGAGTCCAAGGCAGGAAGATCATTTGAAGCCGGGAATTTGAGACCAGCCTGGGCAAGAAAGCATGCCACCATCTCTCCTCCTCACAGAACTTCAGTTAGCCTTTTGTTGTTTTTAATACAATTCTTTTTTTTTTTTTTTTTTTGAGACAGAATTTCGCTCTTGTTGCCCACGCTGGAGTGCAATGGCATGATCCCAGCTCATTACAACCTTCACCTCCTGTGTTCAAGCAATTCTCTTGCCTTAGCCTCCTGAGTAGCTGGGATTACAGGTGCGTGCCACCACACCCGGCTAATTTTTTGTATTTTTAGTAGACACAGGGTTTCAGCATGTTGGCCAGGCTAGTCTTGAACTCCTGACCTCAGGTGATCCACTGGTCTCGGCCTGTCAAAGTGCTGGGATTACAGGCATGAGCCACCATGCCCAGCCTTTAATATAATTCTTTTAATCTTACGTTTATACGGTTTAATTTTTAACAAATGCCATGTTTAACAACCAGCTCACCAAATTCCTGAAAAGTTAACAATTTACCCTTGCAAGCAAGGATTAGCCATCTCTAGCACACCTCTGGCATGATCAACTACTTTGCAATGAGGGCAATAAAGTCATAAAATTTATTATTCCCAAGAATTTGTACAGACAAAATATAAATAGAGTTTTTGAAGGCTCATATTAATTAACAGATGACATGCATGATCAGTTACTAATGGAAACAGGAATATTTAGATGGTATTCTGCAGAATACTAGATAACTAAAATTTTCTGAGTGTTTATTTTGTGCCAGGCACTAAGATACGTTCTTTATTGTCATTATCTTGTTGAATCCTGATAAGAACCTATGGGTAGGTGCTGTTCTTATTTGCAGTCTATAGATGAGAAAACTGAGGCTGAAGGAAGTTCATGTGTTTAAAGACACGTTAGGTGTTGAGCCCGTATCTGTGTGATATCATGCCTTCAATAATTCTTTATTGGAAGTCTACTGTTTGCCAGATAAGCAGTAAGGGGAACACAGAAGGGGATAACATGGCTGGGTGGAGACTGAAAGGGACCATCGTACAAAGTAAAGCTAGAGAAACGTGGATGGCCAGACCATGCAAAACCTTCTAGGCCATGTTAAAGAGTTTGTTCTGACTCAGGAGCAGTGAAAGCCACTGTAAGGTTTTAACTGTGGGGCATGAAATATCTTCAACTCTGCCTTTTGAAGGCACTTTCTGTGGAGTGTACATAGGAAACTAGTTAAAAGGCCACCTCAGTGATCATGCAGGGGATGAGGCTAACTTGGGCTGGGGTGACGTTGGTTTGTGGTTTCTGCAGCTGGATGAATGGTGCTGTCCTTCATGGAGACAGGAAACTGCAAGAGAAGCAGCTCAGAGGGGAAATCAAGAGTTGAATTTTGGAAATGTGGACTTTTAGCTTTCTCTAAGAGTTCCCAGAAGAGAAGTTAAGTAAGAAATTGGAGACTCATGCCATTAAGTTCTAAAATATTTTCACGTATCTTATCTTTGATAATTTTGTTGTCTTCGTTTTCTCTGTTCTCTGTTGCTGGGAATTTTGTGGATAATGTCTAAGAGCTTCGAGTTTGATCTTCTAATTTTATTTTTAAAAGTTATTTTTTGGCTATCTTCCATATCTGTATTTTTATTTGAGTTTCCAGAAATATTCAATGAAATAGAGCAGAACTTGTACTAAATTTTATTAATTTCAGTTACTGTACTTTTAATTGCCAAAAAGTCTTTCTCTTCCTGTGACTATTCTTTACTTCCTTATGTCTTGGATTTCTTTTGTGAATGCATTAGCTTAATCAGAAGTTGGCTTTTTTTTTTTTTTCCTAAGGTTCCTTTTGCTCTTCTCCTCCCTATATTGCCTCTGCTTCTTTTTCCTGTTTGCTTATTTTGGTCTCTATCCTATGTGCTGAAGATTTTTCTCAAGTGTCTGCTGTCTTTCATTTCTGTTAAAGATTGAGGCACTAAACAATGGTTTGGCAAATCTGGAGTGGGGGTGGTGGTGGTGGGCGTCATTGTGGGGTGGTCTGGCTTTAAGGGCTTTTTCTGTTGGGAGATTCCTTAATGTCAGGTTCTCAGGTCTTTTCTTGGAGGCTGCCCAACTTTCCTTAGGAGTCCTCTGCTCTTGCATGAGGGACCTGGTTGCTGGCATTCGGGAGCAGGACAAGGTCAGGAGCTGAGTCTCCCCCTGTTCCAAACACAGGTTTTTATGTAATTCTCTGTTTGACCTTGAACCTTATGCCTGATCTGAAGCTGCTTTTGTTCAGTTTCTCCAAATAAGCCTCAACTGTCCCATAGGATTGATGGTGGGGGATAGGGAGGGGCAGGGGGAGAGAGATTGGTTCATTGCTTATGGATATATCTCTGAAGCATTTTGACTTGTTACTTCCTCCACTCTGCTAAGTCCATTACCAGCTTTCCAATCTAGTTTTCATCTTCAAAATGCCTGTGGAAATCTCTCTTCTGCTTTTGTTTCCTCTGTTATCCTTTCTCTCCTTGTATGTTAATACCTTTTCATTCTTTTATTGTCATTTTAGAGAAGTTTGGGGAAGAAAAGGAAACAAATGCATGTTATAATTCCGCCATATTGAACTTGAAGTATTTCTCCCTTTTTTGTTCTTTTTTAAGATGTGGAATCCATATAAGTCTTTTAAAATATTATAACCTATTTACTAATTATTGATTATCAGAATGGGATAACTTCACATTCATATGAATCACAGTTACCAAAATGAACAAACAAGAAATATGGAATATTTTCTCTGTCCCCTCCAATTATGCTACCAGAAAACATGTCCTATTAATTGATCAGACACTGTAATCACTGTGTATTTGTAGATAAAGTGTCAGCAGGAAATAGACTCTAAGAAACAAATCCACCTTTAAAAAATTCTTTAAACTCTCCTAAGATGAGCTTTTGAGTATCTGATGTGGCAAATTTCCATGATCATTTTCAGTAATTGTGAGTTTATCTGAGAGAAGTAAAGTCATTTTGATCAATGTGATGTGTTCTAATCATACGCATTTCCTTTGATTGATGAATGGCAGTGTGCTTTCCATCTGGGGGGGTGTTGAGCAGCATCTTTGTCAGCATTCAAAGTGAGGTGCTAATCTGGGGACTCCTGAAAATGGTAAAGCAGTCGGGCTTGCAGTAAAAAGCACAGGTGCCCATGGTGCAGTTCTGGATAAAAGCAAGAAATTAGCGATCGCCCACACAGACGGAGCCGAATACCTCAGAGGAGCACTCCATTGTTCTGATTGAAGTGGAAGAGAAGAAGGTAAAAGAGCTTCTACTTGGTATCTGAGTAGCAGGAAAGTAAAAGAGAAACGAAAAAGCTTTCAGTGCCTCAAGAGCAGTTAACAAACCCTGAAAGGGAAAGAGAAGTGGGCAAAACTGCACTGCCTGAAAGTTTTATTGAGAGAAAAGAGAAAGAGCTTTATACACAGGGTGAAGAAATGGCACTCTTGGTGGTTAGAAAAGATGATAATGTCAGTTATAGGTAAGAGCTGGTGGAAATAGTACTACTCACAAGTTTTTATAGAAATCTGCATGTAGCATTCAACACGTAATGAATTACAATGGATTTTTAAAAGAGATCGTAGTTTTAAAATGTAGCTTTGGGGTTGGGGAGATACTGTTCAAAGGATACAAAACCTCAGATAGGAGGAATAAGAAAAAGAGAAAAAACTTATAGCCAATATACAAAAAAATTTCATTATAACATTTGTAAGAAAATATTCTAATCTTGAGGAGGAATGTCAGGCATATTTCGTGATGAGGGAGTGGACAACCTAACTCTGTGTAATAGGGACCTGGGCAAGGCAATTTCAGAAAGAACTGCTGACAGGTTTTTATTGGCAAAATTTGCCAGGAGGCAAAGATGAGGAGAAAGATGTCAAGGTTGAAAACTTTATTTTTTTTTCCCAGTAGATAACTAAATCCTCCAGGAATGAATTCTCTTAATAACAGTATTTGTGGTAAGTTATCTTTATTAGTAAAGAATAAAAATCCATCTACTGATTTTTTTAAAAATGGGCAATACCTAGCTATCAGAGGCTTCAAAAACTCATTTGTTTAATCCAGAGATACTGTGAATAAGGAGAGTAAATTAGAGAATGAGGAAATTTAATGAGTAGTTTAATGATATTTTTATCATACAGTTGGTATGAAAGGAAAATAAAAATATTATTATAGAAAGTTTTAAGGAATACAGTAAAAGCAGGTTTATTCCCTAATCTAACACTGCTCTTCAAACTCTCAATTAATTGGTACATCTTTATGTCTGAAGAGCAATTTAAATTGTGGTTTGTAAGAAAGACCTTGAGATGGAGTGAGTTCCCAAGGCATTCCCAAAAGGGCTGAGTTCTGTAGTCTCAGAATTAGAAATATTCTACCGTTGACAGTCATTGCATTCATGTTCCTGAGAAATGGTACTGCTAGCTGAAACAATGTAAGACACCTCTGACTTGACTTAACAGCATAGCGTAACTCTCCTGTTCACAGACCCTCTTGCAGAAATAACCTCAATCACCATATTTCGTGAACTATAAATGATATGCCTGGACACCAGAAAGCATTCTAAAGTACATTTGGTCACTCAACAAGATCGCACAGTAACCAATCACCTGATAACATTCAAGGGCAAAAGCCCGCAACTAAATGTCTATCTTCATGATTCCTGCTAATTTCTCCAATAACAAAGCAGATGCAAGAGCTCCCTCAGGGCAATTAATATTCAAGGGCTGCTTTAGCGGGAGAGTCTTGGTTTTCTTTAAAAGGATTTGGTGGAAGGTGGGGGGAACTTTTGGGGTCCTTTTTTTGAAACAAATATAGATGTTTGCTACACTCTCATCTTTTATTTCTTTCTGTCCTTCCCTCCTTCTCTCTCTCCCTTCCTCCCTTTCTTCTTCACTCCCATCTTTCTGTCTCTTGCTGTTTCTCTTGCTTTCCTTTTTTTTTTTAAGAATTGCCCTTAATGAGTGTGTTCCAGTTATCTAATGCTGTGTAACAAACCACCCCACAACCTAGTGACTTAAAATAACAACAGAAAAGCCGTAGAGATAAGTTAGGTAGAGCACTAGACAGGAAGCCTGAGGTCTTGGGTTGAAGTGCTGGCCATGGCTTGTAACAAATTGATGCCATGAACGTGCCTATTTACCTCTCTGAAGATTTGCCTTTCCAAATCAGGGTCCTCTCCAGCTGCCTCCAGTCTTACAGCTATTCCCGCCCCTGCCAGGACTTCTGTTAATCAAGTTTTTGAGCACTCTGCTTCTTCAAAACAGAATTTCTTCCTCCACCTTGAGTGCAGTCCCATCAGGCAATTAGAGACATATCTGACTTAAAAATATATGACCAAATCCTGATGTACACTTTAATACTTTGATCTATTATCACATTTATACAAAGGCAAAATGGCCCAACAATGGCCACACACGGAACTACAGACTCTTACAGCTGGAAGGTGATAGAAAGTTCCATAATGTTGAGTTTAATCCTAAATCCATAAAATTAAAAGCTATATATTCTATACTCTCTTAAGATAGAAGAATGCGAAAATCCCTTAGTCACTGGCTGATTTTCTTTTTCCTTTATCAGCTTTAAGATTGAATAAAATGTATGGGTATAAAATTTTCTACAAATCTTGCTTCACTTCTAATGAAAGTTGTCCTTGAAAGGAATCTCTTTGAGAGGCTAAACATTTATTCAGAGTATGTTTTGCTTAGTCATTTTACAAGATTACTTTTTGAATTGCTTTCAGAACTTTTTACCAAATTAGCTCTTTTTACTTGATTATCCATTTGTTATTTTTATTTTCCTTCTCTTTGGGCATCACCTGGTTAGCCTTCTTATCATCTGCCCTACCACTTTGATTCTGCCACTGGTGCCTACAGCTTTGTTGTGCTAGCAAAGACAAGAGAGACTCCAGAGATGACTCAGAGGGCCTTGGAGGATGTGGACCTTGTCTAGGAATGTGAATCGAGGAGCATTTCATTAAGCAAATAAAAAACATATGGTCTAGACAACATTCATTTCAAAATGTTGATGTCTATTTTAAGTATTGTAAATACTTTGATGCAACTGACTTCCAGAAATGGGAAACATTTAATAATAAAGTGTTTATTCACTCAGCATAGTTCTAGGAGCTAGGTATAGGTCACTGGTTAAGACAGAGGAGGTCCTTGCTTTTATTGGAAGAAGAAAAACAACAAATAAACAAAAATAAGTATCAAATAGAGTTAAATGGTAAATAGAGAGAATGAAAAATGAGATATAGGCCTGTTGTGGTGGCTCAAGCCTGTAATCCTAGCACTTTGGGAGGCCGAGGCAGGCAGATCACAAGGTCAGGAGTTCGAGACCATCCTGGCTAACACTGTGAAACCCCGTCTCTACTAAAAATACAAAAAATTAGCCAGGCATGGTGGTAGGCGCCTGTAGTCCCAGCTACTCAGGAGGCTGAGGCAGGAGAATGGTGTGAACCCGGGAGGCGGAGCTTGCAATGAGCCAAGATTGCACCACTGCACTTCAGCCTCGGTGACAGATCGAGACTCCGTCTCAAAAAAAAAAAAAAAAAAAAATGGGATGTAACTGGGGGCGACTGAGTGGTAACTTTGGCTAGGGATGAGGGAAAGCCTCACCAAGGATGGGGAGTGCAAGCTGAGAGCTGAAAGAGAACACGTGGCCTATGTGGCTATTTGAGGGAAGAGAGTCCCGGTGGATAGGACAGCTGGTACAAAGGCCCCAAGGCATGATCAGAAAGAAGAGCAAAGTGAAAGGATCACAGTGGGAGGGAACTGAGATGGTCAAATAGGGGCCAGATTATTACAGTGTTGAAAGGCAGAATAAGGAATGTTTGGGTATGATGATGGGGTGGCATGTTATGACTTCTATGTCAAAAAGTCACTGAAACTTGGAAGCAAGGAAGATGTCCTTCAGCAGGTGATTAGATAAACAAGTGTTGGTAGATCCATACCATGGAATATTTATTATTCATTGATAAAAATGAATGAGCTATCAAGCCAAGAAAAGACAATGGAAAAACCTGAAATGCATATTGCTAAGTGAAAGAAGCCAATTTGAAAAGGCTACACATTGTAAGACTCCAACTATATGACATTCTGGAAAAGAAAAATTATGGAGACAGTAAAAAGATTAGTAGTTGCTAGGGATTTGGGGGGAATGAAGGAGGGATGGACAGGTGGAACACAGAGGTTTTCTAGGACAGTGAAAGTATTCTGTATAATACTGTAATTATGGATACATGTCATTATATATTTGTCAAAACCCACAGATAGTACAGTATGAGTGAACCTTAATGTAAACTATGGACTTTAATTAATTGTAATCTATTAATACTGGTTCATCATTTTTAACAAATGTACGTGTCTCAACCCACTTTTTGTTTCTATAACTGAATACCACAGATGGGATAATTTATAAAGAATAGAGGTTTATTTAACTCATGGTTCTAGAGATTGGGGAGTCCAAGAGCATGGCACTGACATTTGGTGAGGGCCTTCCTGCTGTGTCATGATATGGAGGAAGGCATTACATGGCAAGAGAGCAAGAATGTGCATATCAGTTCAAGTATCTCTTCTTTGTATAAAGCACCAGTCCCATGATGGGGGACCCACCCTGGCCTTTTCTTATTCTAATTACCTCCCAAGGTCTCCACCTCCAGTCAACATATGAATTTGGGGATTAAGTTTCCAACACATGAAATCTGGAGGAGACATTCAAACCATAGCAGTACCATTCTAATACAAAATGTTAATAATAGAGGAAGCTGGGGGAGAAGGGAGAATGGGATGGGGAGAAGGTATATGGGAACTCTTTACTTTTCACTCAATTTTTCTATAGACCTAAAACTTCTCCAAAAAAAATTAATTCAATGTTTTTTAAAAAGTCACTAGAGCTGATATTTATAACGGGATTATAGAGTGAAGAGTGGTTGTAGGAAGACTGTTGGGGAGGCAGTTGCTGCAGTCTGGGTAAGGGGTACATGGCCTGGACTCTAGAATGGAGGGGAGTCAGGAGGGAGGAGATGGGAAAATGGAAAGATCTAGAGCATATTTTGGGAACTAGGTCAACAGGACCCAATCCTGATGGCCTGAATATGAGGGCAAAAGAAAGACAGGTGTGGGGCTTAAGCAACTGAGTAAATGGTGAGAAATTCCTATTAGACACACCCGTTTAGACATCAAGCAGTTGGTTGGATATACAAATTTGAAATTCTGGGGCCAGTTCAGGACTGAAGATAGAGATCTGGAATTGATCAGAATATAAATGATGTTTAAACCCACAGGACTGGATAAAATCAGCAGGAAAGGGAGAATAGATAGAGGAAGAAAGTGGACCCAGTCTTGGCTGCTCAGCATTTCAACACGGGGAAGTAGGGCAGCCAGGAATGGGTGAGGGAGGCTGAGAAGGAGCAGCCAGGAAGTAGGAGAAATCTAGGAGAGTGTGGTGTCCAAAAGCCAAGAGAAGAACTGTTTCGCCCTGAAGAATTGTATCTAGGCTCAACTCTGAGCTGGAGTTATTCACAAACACCCAATCAGATGAAGCAGACTCCTTCAGACAGCAGGCTCTCCACATCTTTCGAGGTCAATTTTGCTTTCATCAGCAAAGGGACTACAGTGCATCTCCTCTGAACTGAGGCTTTGCCCTTGGGTCCTCACATTAAGTCTTCTTTTTCAGGGAGCCACACAAGTTTATCGGTTTACAGCAGGGGCTGGCAACATACAGCCCAAGGACCAAATTGGCCTGCCTCCTGTTTTTATACAGCCCATGAGCTTAGGATGGTTTTTGCATTTTTAGATGATTTAAAAAAAAAACATTTTGTGACACATGAACATTGTAAGAAATTTGAATTTCAGTGTCCACAAATAAAATTTTATTAAAACCTAGCCATGCTCATTTGATTGGTATTTTCTATGGCTCCTTTTACATCACAACAGCAGAAGTGAGTAGTTGTGACAGAGGCTGTATAGCCTGCAAAGCTTAAGATATTTGTTACCTGTTCCTTTCCAAAAACACACCAAAAACAAAAAACCTTTCTGATTCCTGGTTTACAGCACAAAATCTAAATTATCATGTGTGAGAAATGTCAGGACATTAGCTTATCTATGCTCATCACGGGTCCTAATGAACACAGTTTAACCCGATGTCTTTTTAAAAAATAATGTCACCATAGTTCACACACCCTTATACTACTTACAGGAGCATTTCCTCAAACAGTGACATCCAGATTTCTGCTTCCAGTTGTGACTTCTGCCCTGAGTTTCTCGTTGCATGTTCACCTGTCTGCTAGATGCATTCACTTGGGGAATCCTTAAACTCAACGTGTTCAAAATGGAACTAGTTACCTTCCCCTGAAAGTCTGTTTCACTTTATTATTTCTTAGTGTGGTATAATCAAACACATATGTTTGGCCTTTGCCCCCAGTTTCCGGCACAGACCTTCATAAACTCTTGGAATTTTCTGATTCAGAGGAGTGTCGTCTGTCTTTTGCTCCTTTCAACCACACCCGAGTTTATGCTAATGAGGTGACTCCCAGTGGGCCCTTGGATAGTTTCAAGAAAGGGGTTGGCTATGCCAGAAAGACTAAGCTTGCGATTAGAGGGCTAGAGTTTTCAGCCCCACTCCTGACCTCTAAGGAAGGGAGGTTGAGTTTAGTCATGTGGCCAATGCTCTAACCAATCATGCCTACCCGAAGAAACCCCAGAAACCCAGAACTCTGAAACGAGGAGGCTAGGGGGCTTCCTACTTGGTGAACATCCTGTTTAGGGAAGATGGTGAACCCTGAGTCCATGAAAACAGAGGTCCCTATGTTCAGGACCCTCCCAGACTTGCTCCAGGTACCTCTTCATCTGCCTGTTTATTTGTATCCTTTATAATAAAACAGTAATCCTAGGCTGGGCATAGTGGCTTCACACCTGTAAGCCTAGCACTTTGGGAGGCTGAGGCAGGAAGATTCCTTGAGACCAGCCTGGGTAACATAGGGAGACCCCCATGTCTACAAAAAATAAACAAAAATTAGCTGGGCGTGTTGGTGCACAGCTGTGGTCCCAGCTACTTAGGAGGCTGAGGTGGGAAGATTGCTTGAAGCTGGGAGGTTGAGGATGCAGTGAACCGAGATCACACCATTACACTCCAGCCTGAACATCAGAGCAAGACCCTGTCTCAAAAATAAATACATAAATAAATAAAACCCAGTAATTCTTAAGTGTAATGCTTTCAGTGAGTTCTGTGAATCATTTTAAGCAAATTATTAAACCAGAAGTGAGTTGTAGGAACCCTCAAATTTTAAACAGAACTCTGGGGGACTTCTGTTGCATGGGGACTCTGCTTGTGGTTAGTGTCTGAAGTGGGGGTAGTCACGTGGGACTGAGCCTCTTAACTTGTGAGGTCTGTGCTAATTTTACATAGTTAGTGTCAGAATTGAACTGAGTTGTAAGGTGCCCCGTTGGTATTGGAGAACTAGTGTTAGAAGGTACTTAGTTAAAAGCTGTACCATCCAAGCTGTCATCCAAGGTAGAAATCTAATATATTTCAGACTTGTTTCATCCACCTTCCACATTCAATCGCTAAATAATGCTGATTTTGCCTCCTAAATACGTATTGACTCAGCCTCCCTATCTCTGACCCCTCATCTCCCTCTCTGACTACCACTGCCCTAGTTCAGACATTTAGTGACTCTCACACGAGCAGGTAGAGTAGCATCCCTAGGGCCCTCCCTAGCAGCAGTCTTGTCCCATTTCAAATTGTTCCACTATGTTTTAACTAGTGATCTATTGAAAAATGCAGATCTGGCCAGGTCTTAACACCATTCAAACACTGCCTCCCACCAACAGCAATCGTTCTGAAGCCTGATGTGAGACACAATCACTCATGAAGTATCTGAAAAATGCAGATGCGTAGGACACATCTCCGTTAATGCTGAGATGGAGCTAGGACCCACCTGAAGGACCTGATAGCTTTTTCCTATGGTTTTTCTATTAGACTCCTCAAGTATTTGTTCTCCAGTATTCAGAATTTATGCTGGTGAAGAATTATGGAATTTTTGAGTTATTTCTGTGACAAGAAAAAGAGAAAAATCTTCCATCCTACTACTTAAATAACACTTCATGGAATTTCATCATTCAGAAACATTTAAAATACAAGTATTTGGCAAACCTTCTATACCCAGTCTTTTTTTGATTCAGACTGCAATCTGATGACTGATCAAAGCTTGCAAAATGTGAATTCAGGTTTCCAAATCTGGCTGCATCTTACCTGAGGTAAACCCTATTCTGAGACAGCTTTTTTAAACTGTCAGAAGAATGCATGTCTTCGGTAATGGGAGGGTCGCCTTCAACCAAAGAGAGAACTCAGGCAGGAGAATGCATTTGCAAGGTTCTACATTAGAATTCTGCAGATGTGGTGGGATTCAGTGCCATTCTCTATCAGGGATGTTGCTCTGTTAGACGGGGATAATTCTGTAATAGCTCACCCACATGGATTATCTATTCCTCTAACATCTTAGGTAATTTAAGCACTACTTCTATTTTAAAAGAAATCATTAACTTTATCAGCAATACACAGGTGACTTGACCTTAAACTTAGGTAATTATAATAATGAAAGAGCTAATACCACATTCACAAGCATGTGCAGACCCTCTCTCATTGCCTATTGTCTAGAAACCATTATGCTGCATGTAGCTCTCTTTCTGTTCCCCGTTTCCTTGGCTCCCTTCCAAGATTCAGTCTGTTATTATTGAAACTCTCTTTGAATGTTGGTATGTTGGTATTTTTGTGCTCTGCCTTGTATGACTTATGGATTTTTTTTCCTTCTTGGTAAGATATTTTCCATATCCATTCACAGCCATTATTCATTCCACATGCTGCAAATATAATGCCCACCTAATCAATCACCACTTCTGCATTTGAAAATAAAACCATCCTTTCTTTATTATATTAGGCAAATTAGTCAAATGAGTGTTTTCTAAAACTTGCTGCCTTTTTAGGGCCCTTGGCTCTCAGCCTGCCTTTCTCTACTGCCTCCTCCCCCTTCCTCCTCCTCCTGTTTGCAAACAGTATCAATTCCCATTTACTGGTGTTCAGGGTGGATTCTGATACTCCCGACTTTGTCATCGGCTTTGAAGATCAGACGTCCTTCCTTCGGAGGACCCCTTTCCAAGAGGCTGAGTGGGTGGCGAAACTGTCAGAGAGAGAGGTTCATCTCCTTCTCCCTCTGTGATGTGGCGGTGAAGCCCCTTGGAATGAAAAAATAAACTCTCTCCTGTCTGGCTGGTTTTACTTTCAGAAAACACAGCAACCATATAATCAATATTAATCACTGAAAATGACAAAATGCCATTGTTGATGGTTTGCTTGAAATCTAATAAAGAAAAAAAAACAAAACAAAACTCCAAAGAATGCCAAAGAATAATGCAGCTTATGTACTTAATTCTTTCCTTACCAGTTCTCCCCAAGTCCACATTTTCCTTAGTTTTTCCATTTTAGCTTATGTTTAAGAGGGATTTCTTTGTTTTAAGAAACCAGGGTCCTTTTGTGCCAATCTCAACATTTTTGTCAATTAAGCCTCTTTAAGGGAGAGAGAGCACAGTGAAGCATCTGCTACCGTAAGAAGTCTTTTGGCCAAAGCTTGTTACAGGGAACTCTGTCTAAACTATTGTCCTGGCAAAGCAAATGGCTCTTAGAATCGTGGTTCTTTCTAATGTATGTGTTTATGAGCAATTAAACTCCAGTTTTAGGGAAGACTTGCTAACAGCATACATTATTTTAATAGACATACAGTACTACTTTAAACCGTCTTCGCCATCTGCTCATCATGATTATAAATGCAAAAAGAACATATTTTACATTAGCATCAGAAACTAGTGCGATATTAGGGATTGAAATGCCCATATATGCTCTTTGTTCAATACCGAATGCATCTGTGCTATTTTCCTTTTCTTTCCACAATGCAAATTAGAGAAAGAAGATGCTTGCTCCTTGTGGACTATTTCCTGACATGGAAGATAATTTCCATGAGGGAAATTCATTAGGAGGGGATTTTGACTTACTATTCAACCAAATATGCCTTTAAAACTATATGAGCTGATGTGTCTGGCTCTTGCTGGGCGTATTTGGCTATCTTAGCTCCTAGGAAATGAAGGAGAAAAAACAATACATCAAGGGCAGTGAATCTACTGTAATCTTCTTTAATGTCCATCAGGGATACAATGTATAATGTATAATGGGGTAAGTGTTTCTTCTCTGTAAATAAAATTTAAAATACATGGGATGCACATGCATTGGTGGAACACTTAATAGAGTTGGAAAAGCATCTGGATAGGCATACGCTGTCTTTTTCATCTGCATCTTTATGGCTGGATGGTCTTTCTAAATGGAGAATAATACCATCATAATGTTGGAGGAAGCAGGGATGAAACACTCAGTTCTGTTTTCTTAGCTGGCCTAGTCAAAGCAACCATATAAACATATTCATGTCGAAAGAAATGGTAGAAATGAATTCATTAGACTCCCCACCAAGTAGGATTTTTAGCCAGAGTCTAGAAATGTAGGCTGAAGGAAAGGATGCTCAGAACGAGTTAAAAGATGCTCAGTAGTAGAGTCCACTTGAAATAATGTATCCCCCACTTCAGGAGCAAACTTGATTTATCATTTGCTTGAAGAGCTCAGTTCACACTGCATATCCAGTTCAACAGAGTTAAGATCGAAGGAGAATAACCATTTCCCCTGGGCTTATTAACTGTATTTCTGGGTTTTTGTTTTGCATTTTGGCCATGTTGGTGGGCATTGAATGATAAAGGCACGCATTGTAGGATGAGAAATGTTATGTACAAGGAAAGACGAGCTGTATGTGTTCATTGACAACCAGTGATTATAGCTATGATCTATGCAACCAGGTAAACATCACCTCAGATGACTGCCCCCCAGGTGACAGAACCAAGACCTGCACTGGTCACAGACAGAGTTCCCAGAGGCAGAAAGCCATCACTGTTCTCTCTCCTCAGTTCTAGGTTAAAAAAATATAATGCTTAAAATACGAGATGCTACAAGAAAATATCTGGTTTCCCTTGAAGTAGCCCAATCTTGTAATTCTCTGGAAGACTGCCTCCCGGCCTTGGCTGCTGTTCTTTTGTGTAAGGGCTCAATTTTTGAGACTCTGCCTCCTAAGTGTGTACAATGAACTAACCCAGCGTCAAGACCAGCTTCTCTCAAGTACCACATTCTCCACATTACTCTAATCAGAAGTATTCAGTGGTATCCACAGCTCATGTTTGAGGTCCCTGCTGAAGTCTCTGTTCACAAGATCCACCATCTTTTTGTTCTAATCCCAAGACTTGTCTGATCTATTCCATCTCTCAGGCCTTCCATGCTTCCCCTGGGATCATGACAGGACTTCTGGATCTCCACATGCAGACTGTGAGGATCTGAGGGACTCTATCTCAGACCTTCTCTGGGGGTTACCAGTACAATTACATGCCACACTGCCATATTCTCCTGCAACAATGCTTGTTGGTTTAGGGACCTGCAAGGTGGTCTCTTCCCTTAATTTCAACGGAAATCAAGACCCAAGCCCTCATTAGTGTATCTTGGGTTTCTGTCATCTTGCACGCTCTCTAGCCCAGGGCCAAGACTGAGAAACCCAGGTCTTTCTTATAGGTATAATTAGTGCTCTAACACCAGGTTTGTGTCCTCTGTACTCCTCCTCCTTCTCCTCTGCCCTCCCCCTCCTTGTCATTTTTGAAAGGACTTTTCTTCTTTCATGGTTTTAAGAATTTTCCTTACACCATACCCTGCATGCCATCCTCCCCCTGTGGTAAATTGTAAAAACTCTGCTCCTCTCACTTGAGATCCTTGAAATCCACCAATCCTTTCTTCCTTCAGCAAAGGTTAGCTCTCACAAATGAAAGCCTGGGCTTTCACAACTTTTAGACCTGAAACAGGAAGGAGAAAATAGCATCCTCCCCAAATTCAGGGCTATATTCTGCCCTTCCCTAAAAGAAGGATGATTTCAGCTCCAATGGATGGAGAATTGCAAAGTAGCAGGAATTCGGGTGAATAAAAATTACCTAAAATAACACTTTAAAGTAGTATTTTCCTACAAAATTAGTCAGGTGTGATGGCATATGCCTGCAATCCCAGCTACTTGGGAGGCTGAGGCAGGAGAATTGCTTGAACCCGGGAGGCGGAGGTTGCAGTGAGCCGAGATTGAACCATTGCATTTCAGCATGGGTAACAAGAATGAAACTCCATCTCAAAAAATAAATGAATAGGGGTGGCTGGCAAGATGGCTGAATAGGAACAGCTCTGGTCTGCAGCTCCCAGCGAGATCAATGCAGAAGGCAGGTGATTTCTGCATTTTCAACTGAGGTACCTGGCTCATCTCATTGGGACTGGTTAGACAGTGGGTGCAGCCCACGGAGGGCAAGCAGAAGCAGAGTGGAGTGTTGCTTCACCCGGGAAGCACAAGGGGTTGGGGAACTCTCTCCTCTAGCCAAGGGAAGCCATGAAGGACTGTGCTGTGAGGGATGGTGCATTCTGGCCCAGATACTATGCTTTTCTCATGGTCTCTGCAACCCACAGACCAGGAGATTCCCTCAGGTGCCTACACCACCAGGGCCTTGGGTTTCAGGCACAAAACTGGGCAGTGATTTGCGCACACACCAAGCTAGCTGCAGGAGTTTTTTTTTTGTACCCCAGTGACACCTGGAAAGCCATTGAGATAGAACCATGCACTGCCCTGGAAAGGGGGGCTGAAGCCAGGGAGCCAAGTGATCTAGCTCAGCGGATCCCACCCCCACAGTTGCAGCAAGCTAAGATCCACTGGCTTGAAATTCTCACTGCCAGCCCAGCAGTCTGAAGTTGCCCTGGGATGCTCAAGCTTGGTAGGGGGAGGGGCGTCCACCATTACTGAGGCTTGAGTAGGCAGTTTTCCCCTCACATTGTAAACAAAGCTGCCAGGAAGTTCTAACTGGGTGGAGCCCACCACAGCTCGGCAAAGCTGCTGTAGCCAGACTGTCTCTCTAGATTCTTCCTCTCTGGGCAGGGCATCTCTGAAAGAAAGACAGCAGCCCCAGTCAGGGGCTTATAGATAAAACTCCCATCTCCCTGGGACAGAGCACCTGGGGGAGGGGGGCAGCTGTGGGCACAGCTTCAGCAGACTTAAATGTTCCTGCCTGCTGGCTCTGAAGACAGCATCGGATCTCCCAGCACAGTGCTCGAGCTCTGCTAAGGTACAGACTGCCTCCTCAAGTGGGTCCCTGACCCCTGTGCCTCCTGATGGGGAGACACCTCCCAGCAGGGGTCGACAGACACCTCATACAGGAGAGCTCTGGCTGGCATCTGGTGGGTGCCCCTCTGGGACGAATCTTCTGGAGGAAGGAGCAGGCAGCAATCTTTGCTGTTCCACAGCCTCCCCTGGTAACGCCCAGGCAAACAGACTGGAGTGAACCTCCAGCAAACTCCAGCAGTCCTGCAGAAGAGGGGAGTGACTGTTAGAAGGAAAACTAGCAAATAGAAAGCAATAGCATCAACATCAACAAAAAGGACGTCCACATAAAAATCCCATCCGAAAGTCACCATCATCAAAGACCAAAGGTAGATAAATCCATGAAGATGAGGAAACGCCAGTGCAAAACAGCTGAAAATTCCAAAAACCAGAATGCTTCTTCCCCTCCAAAGGATCACAACTCCTCGCCAGCAAGAGAACAAAACTGGATGGAGAATGAATTTGATGAATTGACAGAAGTAGGCTTCAGAAGGTGGGTAATAACAAACTCCTCTGAGCTAAAGGAGCATGTTCTAACCCAATGCAAGGAAGCTAAGAACCTTGATAAAAGGTTGCAGGAACTGCTAAACAGAATAACCAGTTTAGAGAAGAACATAAATGACCTGATGGAGCTGAAAACACAGCATGAGAACTTTGTGAAGCATACACAAGTATCAATAGCCGAATTGATCAAGCAGAAGAAAGGATATCAGAGATTGAAGAATAACTTAATGAAATAAAGTGTGAAGGCAAGATTAGAGAAAAAAGAATAAAAAGGAATGAACAAAGCCTCCAAGAAATATGGGACTATGTGAAAAGACCAAACTTACGTTTGATTGGTGTACCTGAAAGTGATGGGGAGAATGGAACCAAGTTGGAAAACACTCTTCAGGATATCATCCTGGAGAACTTCCCCAACCTAGCAAGGCAGATCAACATTCAAATTCAGAAATACAGAGAACACCACAAAGATACTCCTTGAGAAGAGCAACCCCAAGACACATAATCGTCAGATTCACCAAGGTTGAAATGAAGGAAAAAATGTTAAGGGCAGCCAGAGAGAAAGATCGGGTTACTCACAAAGGGAAGCCCCTCAGACTAACAGGAGATCTCTCTGCAGAAACCCTACAAGCCAGAAGAGAGTGGGGGCCAATATTCAACATTCTTAAAGGAAAGAATTTTCAACTCAGAATTTCATATCCAGCCAAACTAAGCTTCATAAGTGAAGGAGAAACAAAATCCTTTACAGACAAGCAAATGGTGAGAGATTCTGTCACCACCAGGCCTGCCTTACAAGAGCTCCTGAAGGAAGCACTAAACATGGAAAGGAACAACTGGTACCAGCCACTGCAAAAACATACCAAATTGTAAAGACCGTTGACACTATGAAAAAACTACATCAACTAATGTGCAAAATAACCAACTAACGTCATAATGACGGATCAAATTCACACAAAACAATATTAACCTTAAATGTAAATGGGCTAAATGCCCCAATTAAAAGACACAGACTGGCAAATTGGATGAAGAGTCAAGACCCATCAGTGTGCTGTATTCAGGAGACCCATCTCATGTGCAAAAATACATATAGGTTCAAAATAAAGGGATGGAGGAATATTTACCAAGCAAATGGAGAGCAAAAAGAAGCAGGGGTTGCAATCCTAGTCTCTGATAAAACAGACTTTAAACCAGCAAAGATCAAAGAGACAAAGAAGGGCATTACATAATGGTAAAGGGATCAATGCAACACGAACAGCTAACTATTCTAAATATATATGCACCCAATACAGGAGCACCCAGATTTATAAAGCAAGTTCTTAGAGACCTACAAAGAGACTTAGACTCCCACACAATAATAGTGGGAGACTTTAACATCCCACTGTCAATATTAGACAGATCAATGAGACAGAAAATTAACAAGGATATTCAGGACTTGAACTCAGCTCTGGACCAAGTAGACCTAATAGACATGTACAGAACTCTCCACCCCAAATCAACAGAATATACATTCTTCTCAGTACCACATCACACTTATTCAAAAATTGACCACATTATTGGAAGTAAAACATTCCTCAGCAAATGCAAAAGAATGGAAATCATAACAAACAGTCTCTCAGGCCATAGTGCAATCAAATTAGAACTCAGGATTAAGAAACTCACTCAAAACCGCACAACTACATGGAAACTAAACAACCTGCTCCTGAATGACTACCAGATAAATAATGAAATTAAGGCAGAAATAAAGAAGTTATTTGAAACCAATGAGAATGAAGACACAATGTACCAGAATCTCTGGGACGCATTCAAAGCAGTGTGTAGAGGGAAATTTAGAGCACTAAGTGCCCACAGGAGAAAGCAGGAAAGATCTAAAATGGACACCCTAACATCACAATTAAAAGAACTAGAAAACAAGAGCAAACACATTCAAAAGCTAGCAGAAGGCAAGAAATAACTAAGATCAGAGCAGAACTGAAGGAGATAGAGATACGAAAAACCCTTCAAAAAAATCAATGTAGCCAGGAGCTGGTTTTTTAAGAAGATCAACAAAATACATAGACCGCTAGCCAGACTAATAAAGAAGAAAAGAGAGAAGAATCAAATAGACACAATAAAAAATGATAAGGGGATGTCACCACTGATCCCACAGAAATACAAACTACCACAGAGAATACTATAAACACCTCTGTGCAAATAAACTAGAAAATCTAGAAGAAATGAATAAATTCCTGGACACATACACCCTCCCAAGACTAAACCAAGAAGAAATCGAATCCCTAAATAGACAAATAACAAGTTCTGAAGTTAAGGCAGTAATTAATAACCTACTAACCAAAAAAAGTCCAGGACTGAATGAATTCACAGCCAGATTCTACCAGAAGTACGAGAGGAGTTGGTACCATTCCTTCTGAAACTATTCCAAACAATAGAAAAAGAGGGACTCCTCCCTAACTCATTTTATGAGGCCAGCTTCATCCTAATACCAAAACCTGGCAGAGACACAACAAAAAAAGAAAATTTCAGGCCAATACCCCTGATGTACATCGATGCAAAAATCCTCAATAAAATACTGGCAAACCTAATCCAGCAGCACATCAAAATGCTTATCCACCACGATCAAATCGGCTTCGTGCCTGGGATGCAAGGCTGTTTCAACATATGCAAATCAATAAATGTAATCCATCACATAAACAGAACCAATGACAAAAACCACATAATTATCCCAATAGATGCAGAAAAGGCCTTCAATAAAATTCAACACCTCTTCATGCTAAAAACACTCAATAAACTAGGTATTGATGGAATGTATCTCGAAATAATAAGAGCTGTTTGTGACAAACCCACAGCCAATAACTTATTGAATGGGCAAAAACTGGAAGCATTCCGTTTGAAAACCAGCACAAGACAAGGATGCCCTCTCTCACCACTCCTATTCAACATAGTATTGGAAGTTCTGGCCAGGGAAATCAGACAAGAGAAGGAAATAAAGGGTATTCAAATAGGAAGAGAGGAAGTCAAATTGTCTCTGTTTGCAGATGATATGATTGTGTATTTAGAAAAACCTATCTTCTCAGCCCCAAAACTCCTTAAGCTGATAAGCAATTTCAGCAAAGTCTCAGGATGCAAAATCAATGTGCAAAAATCACAAGCATTCCTGTACACCAATAATAGACAAACAGAGAGCCAAATCATGAGTGAACTCCCATTTACAATTGCTACAAAGAGAATAAAATACCTAGGAATCCAACTTACAAGGGATGGGAAGGACCTCTTCAAGGAGAACTACAAACCACTGCTCAAGGAAATAAGAGAGGACACAAACAAATGGAAAAACATTTCAGGCTCATGGATAGGAAGAATCAATAATGTGAAAATGGCCATACTGCCCAAAGTAATTTTTAGATTCAATGCTATCCCCATCAAGCCACCATTGACTTTCTTCACAAAATTAGAAAAAACTACTTTAAATTTCATATGGAACCAAAAAAGAGCCCACGTAGCCAAGACAATCCTAAGCAAAAAGAACAAACCTGGAGGCATCATGCTACCTGGCATCAAACTATACTACAAGGCTACAGTAACCAAAACAGCATAGTACTTGTACCAAAACAGATACATAGACCAATGGAACAGAACAGAGGCCTCAGAAATAACACCACACATCTACAACCATCTGCTCTTTGACAAACCTGACAAAAACAAGCAATGGGGAAAGGATTCCCTATTTAATAAACGGTGTTGGGAAAACTGGCTAGCCATATGCAGAAAACTGAAACTGGACCCCTTCATTACACCTTATACAAAAATTCACTCAAGTTGGATTAAAGACTTAAGATCTAAAACCATAAAAACCTAGGCTATGCCATTCAGGACATAGGCATGGGCAAAGACTTCAAGACTAAAATACCAAAAGCAATGGCAACAAAAGCCAAAATTGACAAATAGGATCTAATTAAACTAAAGACCTTCTGCACAGCAAAAGAAACTATCATCAGAGTGAACAGGCAACCTACAGAATGGGAGAACATTTTTGCAATCTACCCATCTGACAAAGGACTAATATGCAGAATCTACAAGGAACTTCAACAAATTTACAAGAAGAAAACAAACAACGCCATCAAAAAGTGGGTGAAGGATATGAACAGACACTTCTCAAAAGAAAACATTTGTATGGCCAACAAACATATGAAAAAAAGCTCATCATCACTGGTCATTGGAGAAATGCAAGTCAAAACTGCAATGAGATACCATCTCACGCCAGTTAGAATGGCTATCATTAAAAAGTCAGGAAACAACAGATGCTGGAGAGGATGTGGAGAAATAGGAATGCTTTTACACTGTTGGTGGGAATGTAAATTAGTTCAACCATTGTGGAAGACAGTGTAGCAATTCCTCAAGGATCTAGAACCAGAAATACCATTTGACCCAGGAATGGGATTGCTGGGTATATACCCAAAGGATTATAAATCATTCTACTATAAAGACACATGCACCCGTATGTTTATTGCAGCACTATTCACAATAGCAAAGACTTGGAACCAACCCAAATGCCCATCAATGATAGACTGGATAAAGAAAATGTGGCACATATACACCATGGAATACTATGCAGCCATAAAAAAGGATGAGTTCATGTCCTTTGCAGGGACATGAATGAAGCTGGAAACCATCATTCTCAGCAAACTAACCCAGGAACAGAAAACTAAACACTACATGTTTTCACTCATAAGTGGGAGTTGAACAATGGGAACACATGGACACAGCGAGGGGAACATCTCACACTGGGGCCTGTTGCGGGTGGAGGACTAGGGGAAGGATAGCATTAGGAGAAATACCTAATGTAGATGATGGGTTGATGGGTGCAGCAAACACCATAACACGTGTATACCTATGTAAGAAACCTGCATGTTCTGCACATGTACCCCAGAACTTAAAGTATAATAAAAATAAATAAATAAAATAAAGTAACATTTTCCTTCACATGCATTAAGATGGACCCCAAATTCTATCTTTTCTAATCAAACAGATTAGAAGCAATTTCTACCACCTTTTACTCTTAAAGCATGTAGTCATTTCTCTCTTATCTCTCTGAAGAGACTGTAACCCTATTATCCTCCACCTGCCTGATGCCAGTAGTTTTTTACATCTGTTTAGTTAGGGAATGGGTGACTGGTACTTTATATACAAGCAGAAAGGAGCTACACAGCAGTAAACATAGTCTCAATAAACACTGTCTCCTTGCTCCCTATAGACAGCCTCCTGGTGTCTTCCCAGCGGCAATCTCTGTTTGTCATGAAGTGGGTGGCAGGGGATGCGGATACAGCAACGGGAAACCCTGGGGGTGCGTCTGTGACTGGTCCACACTTTGCCTTTCCCACTTCACCTCGTCTTTGGGCTCTTAGGTGCCTTGATGTCCAGTGGCACATCAGTGCCTCACTGCCAGCCAGTGTATGAACTTGATATTTGGACACTGAGTGGAATTACTCAAAGGAAAAGATTTGACATCAGGAGAATGGACCCTAATCAATGCAGTCTTCCAGTGCCTCCAAATTTGAAATTCAAAAGAAGGATGAAATGAATGAATACAGTTCACTGGTCACAACATAAAAGTAGGCAGTCTTTTCTCTAAGAGATTTCATAGTGTTTAATATAGACATTACAAGTAAAACATTGTTTAAAACACTTTAAACTTATTTTAATTTGAAAAATAATTCCTGCACCTGGCCATTCAAAACTGAGCAATACAAAGATGAGATGCAAAAGGCAAATCTCTCTGTCCTTCTGAAGTCCTTTCTAGTTCCTCCCCCAGAGACGGTTACCCTTAACAGCTTCTTGTTCATCATTCCAGAAAATTTCTATACATATATAAGGTGCATATATATAGGTGAATATGTATATGTATATGATTGTCTTTTTTCCCTCACAAGTGAACCTTCTCTCTATGCTGTTCTGAATCTTGCTTTATTCACTCTAAATGAATCTTGTCCACATACCTACATCAATATGCACATACCTACATCAATACCTTCTCGCTTATTCTTACGGGTGATTACTATTGCATTGTCCGAATGTTCCATCATTTGTTTGACTAATTCTCTACTGAAGAATATTTAGATCAGTTATACAAACAAGAATTTCTTTCCTAAAATTCCTAAGCCAATCTGATTCTGAGAAACCAGGTCTCAGGTTATGCTTAGTTTCAGTGAGCTCAAATCACCACACCCTTCACCTCCATAGGATCCTTGTGAGGGAGAAGTCCCTCATCCTTCTCTGTGCAGGAGGAAAACATGGTGGAGGGACAGCTCTTCCCTGGCTAATGAGGGACATAGAAGCACTCAAGGCTGCTATGTAGCCTTATTCTGTCTATGCTCCCTCTACAGCTTGCTTAATTGGGTTCTAGCACCGGTTCTCTGATGCAGCCCTCCACTTGCCCGGGCCTGTTGCATCAGTGTGACCTGCCAGCTCTCTCCTCAGACCATCTGATGCTGCTCGGCTCACTGCTCAAGCCTGTCTTCTCAATCTACTTCTTGTGCCTCACATGTTTGCATCCAGAAGGCTTATTTGGCCTCTGGGAGCTGGGCACTTCCTGCTTTTGGGGACAGCTTCTTTCCTAAGAGTCTGAGACTTCACTCCCTGGTGTTTGGTCTCTATCTCTCTAACCAGCTCCTTTGCTCCTCCTCCTCTTCCCAGCCACATTGTGTTGGAAGGCCCCAAGGCACTGAAATTAGCAATACCAGCTTCTCCAGCCACACTCCCTCCCTAGGTGACTGTACCAATGCCACTCTCTAACATGGTTGAACAAGGAAAAAACCCAGGAATCACCCTGACTCCTCTCTTTTTCTTATATCAGGGTTCATTAGGTCCCATCGGCTCTGCTATTGACTTCAGGAGTGGAAACCACACTTGTCTCTTGTCTGAGCCTTTTCATGAGCTGCATTAGGCTGAATATAAGAAAAATCAAGGAAACAACCAGCCCAAGGAATAAAAATGTGGTTGGCACTGATAACATGAAATCTGGGGTGTTGCACATGCTTTCATGTTCTAATTTGCTCAAAATGCTATTGTACCACTGGCGTCTTTGCTCCAGCTAGGGAAGAAAGGGCAAATAAGTAGAGAAGTGACCACTCATGGCACATCCAGTCATTGCCTGTTGCTGCCCCCTGTAGTCCACCCTCGGAGGTATCAATCACAAGAAGGTACTGGCCAAGAGGGCAATGAGGCAGGCCCAGAATCTAGAACAGTGCTGCTAGTATTGGTAGCTAGCAGTCATGCATGGTTACTGAGCACGTGGAATACAGCTACTCCAAATGGAGTTGTGCTATAAACATAAAATGTATGCCAAATTTCAAAGACTTAGGACAACAGCAAAAAAGAATGTAAAAACATCAATAATTTTTTAAGCTGATTATATGTTGAAAAAAGTTTTTGCATATATGGGTTAAATTAAATGTTGTTAGCATTTTATCAAAATTAATTTCACCCTGTTTCATCTTTTTAAATGTGGCTACTAGAAAATTTAAAATTATATAAGCAGCTTGCGGTGTATTTCTATTAGAGAGCACTGGTCTAGAAAGTCCAATAATTGGGGTTTTAAGAAATCTAACAGCGTTTTAAAATTTCAATGATATGTTGTCCGTGAACACTAATTCCTGAGAAGTTTCCATTATTCAAGAAACGTTCAAGGAATGAAAACCCTACATTTGAATAGTCTTCCAAGTCCAGAGCCCTCATAGGGGAACACCTTTGTTCTCTAAGAGTGAATTTAATTTCCTAAACTCTTTGCTCATTTATTCAACAAACATCTATTGAGCACTTACTATGTGTCTGATGCAGCTAGACGGTGATGCATATAGAGGGGAAAATGAAAATCTCCTCATCTCAAGAAGTTTATTACACTGGGGATATAGATACAGAAATAAATATCCAAAAGAATTTTTCCAAATAGGAGGTGTACAAAGAATGAGGAATGTCCATTCACTTGGAGTCAGACCTGATGAATGAAATAGATGATTGAGTTAATGTTCAAAGGAAGGTATGAGTGACTCTACAGGAAGGACACTGATTGTCTTTCACAGCTTCTAAACAAGATGGACCAAAATTGGGAGAAATGGCTGCTCCAGTGTTCGAATAAATGTGTCATTTAGCCTGCTAAGGTGCTCACTTGGAAAGGGACAATGCTTATTTTAGCTTTTAAGTATTCCCATATTTGTACAAATAAAACCCTACACTTTTGTTCTGCTCCAGTGCCTCCTGCTCAGCCCAGAGTTCCCATGAACCAGCTATGCTGGCTCTGGGTGAATGGGAGGGATGACCAGGGATGGAACCTTAGGAGACAGCTGTCAGGGGTTAGGACATCTTGTACAAGATGCTTAGTGGACTGGAAGGGGAACCAGCAACGTCTGCCTCTGTACTTTCTTATTCTCTTAGAGAAATGTGGAAATAATATCCAAGGGTCCTCTCAAAAAACCGAACACCGCATGTTCTCGCTCATAGGTGGGAATTGAACAGTGAGAACACATGGACACAGGAAGGGGAACATCACACACCGGGGCCTGTTGTGGGGTGGGGGGAGGGGGGAGGGATAGCATTAGGAGATATACCTAATGTAAATGACGAGTTAATTGGTGCAGCACACCAACATGGCACATGTTTACACATGTAACAAACCTGCACGTTGTGCACATGTACCCTAAAACTTAAAGTATTAAAAAAAAACACACATGAACTTGCACTGTGAAAAAAAAAATATCCAAGTGTCCTCTAATCTAGGCCATGGCAACCTGTCCTATTGGACAGTTAGGAAATTTCTCTTATCCCAATACTCAGTGTATGAAATTCATTCTACATAGACTCCTACCGTGTGCCTCATAATCAGTTCTATTTAAATTAAAATGTTTTGAAAGAGGAATTACTCTGGTGATTAGGACAGACTAGGGAATGCCTCTGCTCATTTTTATTCCAGTATGAGACACACCTATAACTGAGGGCACTGACCAAATGGGTAAGAGAAAGCAGAACCAAGCTTCATGGCCTGGAATTACAGACTTGTCTGGCTGATGTTCGGTCACACAAACATTTTCTCATACTGGTAAATGTCGACATCACCCAGAGGGTGCTTGGTCAACTCCAGTGCAAACTATTAACCACATTAGAGAAAATAGCCCTGGAGAGGTATCGCTCAACCGTTTTAACTTCAAAAGATGTCATGAGAAGAGCCACAAATTATTATTGCTGACAATTTGTACAATATGTCCCTGGTGAAATGTGTGTGTCCCTACACTGCACCATTTTACATAACAATATGAAATATTAAAAGGGAAAAACGTTTTGTAATAAACAGCAGTTTTGCTGATTGCGGCTGATTATGTTAAGCAGCTTGTACTGTGGGTGTCAGAGGAGACTTAATAGCTCCTATAACTAATCTCCACGACTGACCTCTCCCCTCGGCTGATGAAGCCTATTCAAAAATCTGCTGCCCTTTGCTCATTTTCAGATCTTATATTTCTGAACTGTTTGGATCGTGCATATATTTGCTAAAGTTGTTGTGTACAGGATTTGTGTGTGTGTGTGTGTTTAAAAAAATATACAATCCATGAAGAAAGATTCCTGCCAGGGCTGTCTTATGCATTATTTAAAAAAAGGAACAAACTACACAAACAGTAAAAACAACGCATATTTACAACATTCATATCAGATACTGTGTCATTTATTATAGCTTAAGACCGTTTCTGTATTGAAAGTGTGCGAAGAAATATAGGGCCAACATTTTTTACTCTAACTTTAAAATAAAGGGTAAAGGATGTCTTTCTGGGGAAAAGCGTCATCTGGGCCATTTCATCAGCCTCGATGGCTGGTACTTAGAAGCAAAGTGCTATTCAATCATGAAGCAATTTCATTTTTCTGATAAAAGTTTTTGATTTAAATGGAATTTCATAGAGAACATTTCAGAGTATAGAGAACTCCTCCATCAGTAAGTGCAGATAAACATGTAAGTGCATATGTGTAAGTGTCTATGATTAACAGTTTGCTCTTCCTCTGTTACCCAAATCCAAGGATGTTTACAAAGCCACAGGGGAAATGTGGAGGTTGGTAAGAGCAGCGCTTTAAAGAGCAGAGACGTCAGTCCTCCCCACACTATTCAAATGCAGCCATCCTGGGGAAATAAAACCAAATAAAGACAAAAGAGGGAGGGAAAAAATCAACAATTCAAAAAGTAAAGTGTGTGAATCTGACTTGCTAGAGAAAGGGGTAGACTCAGTACAACAAGGTCACAAAAAGGTGCAGCCTTCGATGAGACAAATACCGGCTGAAGCTGGCTGATAAATATTTCCTGTAGGATCTGAAGCAGGTTGTCACCAGCAAAACAAAAATCCCTAGGGGGCAGTACATAATTAACAATTTGAAGATGTGGCCGCGTGTCATTGTCTCAAAAGGAGCCAGGGAATCCTGCCCCCAAAAGCACAACCCGAGTTCCCATATTAATCTTACTGTTTCCCTATAAACGAATATCAGTGTTTCCCCAGAGGCTCAGAAGACGCCTTTGCTCTGGGCTGGCAAATGTCTCCTGGCTCATGGTGTCATTTTCCTGTGATTTTAAATCAGCATCACCAAACCTGTTCCTCTAGTCTGAGCAAAATCACACAGCATGTTTAGGAAAGCAAACAAGTATTTTTTTCTATTATCAAAGACATGAATAAAATCGGGACTGAGAGAAGAAATCTATTTACACAGGGTGCCTGAACGAGTGTTTAAAGACTTTTAGAACAGTGACTCTCTAAAAACAACTGACCTTCAACTAAATTGCACCCACACACCAGAACAAAAACTCGGGAGAGATTAACAGAAGTCATAGAGAAGTTTTGGCGTGGTTTAAATATTTCTTCGGTTTATTTCAAGACAGGTTGGAGTTTGGAAGGAGGAAGAGGTTAATTGCCAGAGGTTAATAGAACAAGGAAATACTGAACTTAATCTTGGGGTGGTTCTGGCATTCACTTAAGAGAAGTCAGCAATATTTCCCAGGGGGTAGATCCAGGACAATGCCAATTTCGAGTTTGTTCTGCTGCTGAACCTTGGAAGCAGTGTGGACTACTGCTCAGAGCAACAAATTTGGAGACAGGAGACCTGGGCCACATTCCCACCTGTGACTGAAAGTGGGTGCTCCTTGGGAAGTTTCTCAGATTCTCTGTGTCTTGGTTCCTTCAATTGCAAACTGAGTTCAGATCACTTGCCACCTGCCTACCTAATCAGAATATTGTGAGGGTTAATGAGATTGCACTTGCAAGGTGATTGCCTCATCATATAACTCCAAAGTATTATTATTCATCATAAAGACACAGCTGCAATATTGTATATTGTTACATACCAGATGCCATGTTTCTATTTTTAGCAACCTAGAAATGACAGTGTCTTAGAATTATACAGTGGGAGGGGCCTGGCAATATTACCTGCCCCAAGCTCTGTTCTGGGTCAGGTGGGTGTCTAACCAACCAAAGATGGCTGGCTGTTCAGTCTCACTTTATGTCTAAAGGAGGAAACTCTTCAGCTCGCCTTTCAGAGGAAATTCCAGTGTTATCATTCTGATGGTCAAGAGTTATTGCTTAAGTCTGAATTCTCCCTTCTGTTTTAATTAAAATAATCTTTTTCATTTATTAATATGTATGTGGGTCTCCTTCATGTAGTGATCTTGAGGGGCAGAAACCATGTCCTATGCATTTTTATATTCTTTAAGTCACTTCCTGGTAAGGCAGTACCTAGTAAACACTCAAGAAATGCACTTTGGATTGAATTCAGTTGTTTGTAACTATGTGGGCAGAAAGAAAAACACTGATAGCACATTTCATACTAAGAGCATGGGTCCTGCAGTCCTAGCCCCCTGGAGGCTCAGGCTGGAGGATGACATAAATACAGTTCTGGGCTAACAGGTGGTGTGGCTATGGTGTATGTGCCCACATTTGGAAAGGAAGTTGCACTTCAACTTTCTTTTCCCTAAGACTTTCAAAAAGCCCTGTGGTTTGTGCTATGGCCTGAGTGTTTGTGTCACCTCAAAATTGATATGTTAGAATGCTAATCCCCAAGGTGATGGTAGTAGCAGGTGGGGCCTTTGGGAGGTAATTAGGTCATGACGTTGGAGCCTCTATGAATGGAATTAGTGCCCTTATAAGAAGACACGAGAGAGCTTGCTTCCACTCTCTCTCTCTGCTTTCTGCCCATATGAGGATGGCACGAGAAGACAGCCATCTGCAAACCAGGAAGCAGGCCCCAAACACCAGATCTTCTGGAGCCTTTTGGACTTCCCAGTCTCCAGACTGTGAGAAATAAGTTTCTACTGTTTATAAGCCATCTGGTTTATGGCATTTTGTTACAGTAGTCCAAACAGACTAGCACAGTTTACCCACTAGTGTTTTATGCTCTTAGATACAGTGATTAATGAAAGCTTCAATCAAATTTTCCTGGTTTTCAATGCTGTCTGGTCTATAATTACTATATTAATTCAACCCTATCTCCCATTCTTCCCTCTTTTTTTAAACTTTTATTTTAGGTTCAGGGGTATATGTGCAGGCTTGTTATATAAGTAAGTTGTGTGTCACAGGGGATTGGTGTATAGATCATTTTATCATCCAGGTAATAAACATAGTATATGATAGGTAGTTTTTCAATCTTCACCCTTCTCCCACCCTCTCACCCTCAAGTAGCCCCAGTGTCTGTTATCCTCTTCTTTGTGTGCATATGTCCTCAATGTTTAGCTACCACTTATTAGTGAGAACATGTGGTATTTGGTTTTCCGTTCCTGTGTTAGTTTGCTTAGGATAATGGCCTCCAGCTCCATCCATGTTGCTGCAAAGGACATGACTTTGTTCTTTTTTACGGCTGTGTAGTATTCCATGTTGTATACGTACCACATTTTCTTTATCCTGTCTACCATTGATAGGCATTCAGGTTGATTCCATGTCTTTGTTATTGTGAATAGGGCTGCAATAAACATTCATATGCCTGTGTCTTTATGGTAGAATGATTTATATTCCTTTGGGTATATACCAAATAATGGGATTGCTGGGTAGAATGGTAGTTCTGTTTTAAGCTCTTTGATAAATCTCCCAAATGCTTTCCACAATGCCAGTGCCCATTTTTTTAAAAGATGGGCATAACATTTGTTCACTTTTCGACTGAAAAGGAACCTCTGTCCTTCATAGTTTAAAAGAAAAATTCCACAAGCTCGAGTTCTACCTGCATGCCATTAGGGCTGGCTCCCTTACATGCAACTGGCTTTCACAGATTCTCTGTAAGCTTTTGGCCCCTGCTCTAGTATGGCTTTAACTTTTCCTATACAACTGAATGTTGATTGTTTTACAGTTCACATCTGATATTTTTCTGGAGAGACTCGTAGACACATGATGACCTCACTTTTATTGTCCTCTGGAGCATTCCTTCCTGTCGTGGAAATTGGCTTAGGCCTCCCCCTCCACCAGTGCTGGGTCCAGGTCTTGCTCTGCTGCTGCTGAAGCAGCTTCTGTAACACTTGGACCCCAAGAGGCAAGAGGCCCAAGGAGATGGGCAAAGGCATTGGGGCTCAGAATATTAAGGTCTGGGTTTGAAGGATGTTTTTGTTTGTTTTGGTACCTTCTATATTCCTTGCCAGTTCCATCCTCCTTTCAGCAGTAGTACTCTTCATTTCCGTTATACACTCTTCTATTTCTTTATAAACATCTTGAGTACTCTGGCTTAATTTCCTCCATTTTATACATTTCCATTTGCCCTTCGGCTCTCAGTGAAACCCTAAGATGACTCAGCTTGTTTCCTGACTAATTGGCTTCCACACTGCTAGAGTTTTTTATTAACTTGCAAAACTACCCTTTTGAATGGTAGTGCTGGATTACTTGGTGTGATGGCAAACTTTATGTGTCAACCTAGCTAGGCCATGGTACCCATATATTAGATTGGCCAAACACCAGTCTATATGTTGGCATGAAGACATTTTGTAGATGTGATTAACATTTAAATCAGTGGGCTAGATTTTTACAGACTGCCTCATGGAATTTCTTGTAGTTCTTCTTGTCTTCTGCCAGCTCAGAGAACAGCTCAAGGCACTTCTTAACAATGTTTGTTTGAATGACTTTTAAGATTTTGCTCTGCTTAAGCATTTCTCGAGAGATGTTGAGGGGCAGATACTGAGAGTCAACCAAACCATGAATAAAATTGAGAAACTCTTGTGTCAACTCATCACAGCTGTCCATGATGAACACACGATGGACAGCTTGATGTTGTTCTTTTTCTTCTTGTTCTCAAAGAGGTCAAAGGGAGCCCGTTGAGGGATGAGTAGCAATGCTCTAAATTCCAACTGACCTTCTACAGAGAAATGCTTGACTGCCAAGTGGTCTTCCCAGTTATTGGTGAGACTCTTGTAAAATTCTCCATATTTCTCCTGGGTGACATCATGAGGGTTTCTGGTCCAGATGAACTTGGCCTTGTTTAGCTCTTCCTAATCAATGTATTTCTCTTTAATTTTCTGGTCTTCTTTTTCTTACCCTTACTGCTATCATCTGAGCCTACATCTTCAATCTTGAGCCTTTCCTCAGCATCTTTATTTTCCTCTTTTTTCTCACCTATCTCTTCTTTTGCCTCATTGTCACCGGTTTCCTTCTCTCATTCCTTCCCCCAAATAAAGAGTGATGGGATAGCTTATGAACTATGAGTACTTCTTCACTACTTCTTTGATTTGTCTCTCTTCTAAGTACTCTATCTGGTCTTCCTTAAGGTGGAGGATCACTTTGGTATCCCTGCTGGTGGGCTCACTGTGGTCAGCACATACAGTGGAGGAAGACTCTCAGGCATACTGTTCATCAGCATTGTGATGTGTGATCACAGTCACTTTCTGTGCCACCAGGTAGGCAGGCTAAAAACCAAACTGCTCAATCTTGGAGACTTGGCAATGGTTCCAAAATTATTTATGAGGTCATCCTTGGTCATGGCAATGCCTGTGTCCACCAAAGTCAGGGTGCATTCCTGAGAGTTGAAGATGATGTCAATTTTCATCTCTTTACTGCTGTTCAACTCAGAAGAGTCTGTCAGGCTCTCAGCAAATTCTGTTTAATGCATTAAATCCATTAGAGATCAACTCCTGAAGAAAAATTTTCTGGTTGGAATAGAAGGTATTGATGTTGAGATACATGAATTGGGCAACTTCTGCCTGAAAAGCAAAAGTCTCCACCTCTTCCTTTCCCTGGTACACTTCCTCAAGCATCTTGAAAGGAAAGGGCCACAAGTACTAGAGAGCAGAGTGGGCCGGGACTGTCCAACTTGCACGTGGCATCAAGCCTGAGCAAGGATAATTGTTAATTCCCAAGCCATAAGGTTCCAGATCTTCAATTGACCTCATCATGGATCAGCCTGTCATGCCTACAAGCTGAGCCACGGGATCTTGCAGCAGAGTCCACCAGTGTCCACCTCTTCCCTGGGCTAAGGCTTCAACATGCCCGAGTTTTGCTTGAAAACTTGAGGCTGATGAATACTACTAGGCCGACCATCCCTGATGTTCTCAGTCACTATCTGGATGCCTCCCTAAGATGGGAGAGGAGGGAGGAGGTGCTTGATGGGGCACTCTGCGTGCTCGGCTGAGGAGTCTGAGCTCTATTCGAGGAGATGTTCAGGTATCATTGAGGGTTTTCATCACAGTATCATCATCTCTGGCTTTTATAACTACTGTGATCCCAAGTGAAGGTCTACAAATACCTTGTTCATACATTCCTTGCATTCTCATTGCAATATTTCAATAAGGAATAAGATCGTTAGCTATTTTCCTTTTTCACAAACAATCACTATCTAACAAGAATTTAACTTAGAATGACCAAATCTGAGTCAGAGGCTGCTATGAGTTACTTCTTTATTTCTTGAAGCAGAGTCCTGTGAACGTGTCCTCAGCCTGTTGGCAGGGGCATGGCCAGAGGGGTGGGGCATGCGGAGGGAGACACACATCCTGGTGCTGGTTGACAAGGGCTCAGAAAGGCTTGTCTCTGGAAGTTCCAGGTCTGCAAGTGGGAAAAAAGAATGCCTATAAGAAATACAATTGCCTTCACTCATAAACCTTTATTCTTGGGAAACCCGTCAGAGTTCTGGAAACAACCTCATCCTGGTTCAGTAAACCTCATTTTCTCTACAGCAGAGAAAGAGCAAACAAATTTGCTCATCACCTCTCCCTTCTTTTCCATTCTAAGGTAGCCTGGACAGGAAAGCTTTTCTTCCATGGCCTGCAGATTCTGATGGCACAGCACTAGAGGAACCACAAGTTCCTAAATTCCAGACTCCCTTGCCAAAGCTTCTCCATCCACTTCTGGCATCAGTGCCAAAGGGGCATGGGATGAGTGGGGATCCATCTAAAATTGGTCCAACTGTTTTAATAATATTAATGTTGTGTAATATGAATAACAACAAGAATAATAGTAACTACTTAGAGAGTGCTTTCTCAGAACCAGGCATGGTGCTGGCACTAAGCTTTTGACTTGCATTATTCCATCAGGGATATATTATTATTTCCATTTTCCAGATGAAAAAACTGAAGCTCAGAAAGGTTAACAACTTTTCAAGGATCCACACCTAGTACATGGTTAGTACATGGTTGGAGAGGTGGTTCTTATGCCTATTGAAAAGCACTGTGGTCTCCAGCAGGAGCTATGGCTGCCAAAGGATGAAAGTCGCTGGGGTGAACACGGAGGATGAAGCAGTTGGCTCCTATGTGCCAGGTCTAGTTAGGTGTCTTCCAGAACAGCAGTGGCTCTAGACACTCAATATCTCCAAAGTCACCCCAGAGTGGGCCTAAACTTCCTGAGCCTGAGGTATCCTTGACCTCATCTCAGGGTTTCCTGGGCCATAGGCTGCTTCTTAAATTCAGTTCTTGCAACTGCTACCCCAGTTCACCTTAGTGATGCTCATCAGACATAGCATTCCCAACACATCCTCTTCACTCTGGCAATGTAAGTCCAGGGCTGTTTAGGGATAGGGAGCATGGGAGGGGTGGTAAGGAACTGCTTCTTAATCCTCTTGTCCTTCTTTGCTTTTGATCTCTCTCCACATCTTTAACTGTGATCCAATGAGATGTCTAGATAGCCTGGTGTCCACAACCCTAGACCTCTAGGGGAAAATGGTTTGCTCTGAATGGCTGGGACAGGAACCATTCACAATTGCAGGTCAGATCAATGCATGGCCAGTGAAGGCACACTCCTCTCGCACATTCCTGCGCAGTATGTGCTTCTGTGAAGAGGTGGGAAGATGTACAATTAGGTGAAGTCTGCTCCCACGCCCTTTTAGTATTACTGTTTCAGTGACACCAGTGGGGAGAATGTGAAAACAATTAATTTCAGAACAAAAGCAGACAGTGCTGTCTTGCCAGGGCTTTAGACATAGAGTCCCTGCCTGGAGTTACTGGCAAAAAGGAACAGTAGGATCTGAGATATCCGGCCATGGAGATCTAAGGAAAACCAGAGGTTTACCCAGGAACCAAATGATTCATCACAGGAACATTGTCCATTTGCTCAGCTTCCTGCTTCCATCCCTTATCCCTAAACAGCCCTAGACTTACTTTGCCAGAGTGAAGAGGATAGGTTGGGAACACTATGTCTGATGAGCATTGCTAAGGTGAACTGAGGTAGCAGTTGCAAGGACTGAGTTTCAGAAGCAGTCTATGGCCTAGGAAACCCTGAGAGGAGGTCAAGGATACCGCGGGGCTTAGGAAGTTTAGGCCCACTCTGGGGAGTGCTGCAGGTGCTAATGGAGGTTATCGGTGCACGGATCAAAAGGGAGATGCCATGAAAAGGAAATGCACGCAGGGCATCTGAGGACAGAGAGCGCTTCTCTGTTCTTTAGCTCTTTGCATTTCAGATCTAGTGTCTTCCTTTGCAGCCTTTCAGAGCTCTGTAGCCTGGCAGGTGTGCTAGGCCTCCTGTCTAGGCCGAGAGGTTGCTGAATTCATGCTTCATTTCCTGCTGCAGGTAAGATTATTGTGAGAGAGGGTCTTTTTGTCTTTTTGGTCATTAGGTTTAAAATCCAAGCGAATCATAATATTTGTTAGGTCTTTAGATTATGTTGGCTTCGGAAAAGGCCCATTTCAACGTAGGTATTTGAGTGGAATTATCCTTTCTGCCTATGTGCTATGAAAATTTTCTACTTTCAGAACCTGTGTTTAGAACTCAGTGTGAAAAACCAGTCAACACACATACCACACAGCACTCAGTGAGTTTTCCAACAGAATAATAAATGGCCCAGAGCTAAGTTGAAAGCAGTGTGTGCTATGAAACAAGGAAAATTAGAAATCACCATTTGATTCAAAGTTTGAAGTCACAGTATGATTTGGTTACAGGTGGCACCAGCTATTGTGATGTTAGCATGGTTGAGAAATTACCTTAGCATTCCTACCCAGTTTCATGAATAATGCAACCTTTCTTTTGGGCCACTTGGAAGACTTCCAGCAAAAATGTAGCCCTTATCAATTCCTAGGAGCACAATTGTTCTCATAAAGAGATTAAAATTCAGCCAATAAAACATCTAGAGAAAATAAATCAAGTAAAATCGTTCTTTTTATTCATTTGTAAATGTTTGATTCAAAGTCAGGGTTTCTGGAAATGTGGTTTGCAGACCTCCTGCATCAGAATCACCTTGTGAATCTTCTGGGCTTCACTACAGTTGGGAATCTGAATCCCCGTTGAGAGTCTGGAGAGTGATAGGTAATAGATTGCTCAGGTGATCCGGGGACATCTTCAAGTTTGAGAACCGCCCCTAGAGTAGTTGATCACTTCACAGCCCAAACATCCATGCCTCACAAAACTTGCCAGTGGACTCATGCTTTCTTCCTGGCCTGAAATTTATAGAGTTAGAGTCATTAATCTCAGTTAATTCAATTCATCAAGCATTTATTGAGGAATATCTGTGTGCTGTCAAGGATACAAGAATAGGTAGGGCCCAGTTCTTGTCCTCACTAATCTTATAATCTAAGAAGAAGAATCAGACAAATGCAGAAATAAACACAATCCCAGGCAGAAAATGATGAGCTCTTTCAGAAGAGGGATCTCTACTTAGTACCAGAAGTTCAGAGAAAGGGGCCGCACTCTGCAGAGAAGACTAGGAAAGTTGTGGTTTTTGAGATGGGCCTTCAATGATGGGTAGAATTTCACAAGCGGAGATGCAGGGTACACTGGGATTACGTGAAGAAAGAATGATGAGAGAACAGGTATGGAACCACAGATTAGCAAATTTGAGCTAGTTCAGGGCTATCTCATGACTGCCTGGAATGCTGGGTAGAGTCTTTTTTTTATTGGGATATAATTCATTTATAAGACTCATCCTTTTAAAGTGTACAATTCAGTAATTTTAGTGTATTCACAGACTGTGCAACCTTCAACACTAATTCAGAACATTTTTATGATCCCTAAAACAAATCCAGCCCTACTGTCAATCATTCCCCATTCTCCCCTCCCCCAGGCTCTGGCAACCACTAATCTACTTTCTCACTACACGGATTGGGCACATGATTTGTTCATAATTAAATAGGGAGTAGGGAACTACTAATGATTTTAATTGAGGTAAATTTACATACAGTTAAATGCACAGATCTTAAGGGTACAATTCAATGAGTTTTGACAACATATATACTCATCTTACTGATTCTCCAAAATAAAGAACATTTTCTTCGCTCTAGAAAGTTCTCTTGTGGGCCCTTCTAGCCAATTCATGCTCCATAGGCAACCATTATCCTGATTTTTGTCATCATAAATTAGTTTTGTTTTTTCTCAAACTTTATATAAATGGAAGCACACAGTATATACTCTTTTGTGTCTGGCTTCTGTTTCTCAGAATAATATTTGGAGATTCATTCATGTTGTGTGTGTCAGTGGTTCATTCTTTTTTGTTGCTAAATAGTATGAATGTGCCACATTTTCTCTCTCTTGCTGTTGATGGACATTTGAGTTGTTTCCAGTTTATGAACACTTGTGAGCTAAGCAGCTGTAAAGTTTCTCATGCATGTCTCTTTGTGGATATATGCTTTCCTTTGGGGGTAGGGGTAAATATGTAGGAATGGAATTGTTGGTCTGCAATCTACAGCTTTTGTTTTGTTTTTTGGCAAGAATGTGATCCACCAGGACTGAACTTTGAGAAAATGAATGCAACAGCAGTATACAGTGAAAATTAGGAATGGGGAAGTTAGGAAAATCAAGAGGAATGATGTCCTTTGTGATTGGGAGTCAGCTTATATGGAACTTGGAAAATGAGTGGATATGAGCAGGCAGTGGAAACAGAAGTTTCAAAAACAGCTATTTATTTGGTCTCTACTCTCCAAGGGATTCTTAGGTTCCAGGCAGTCTGGCGGGTGGCATGATGGAGTCATATTGGTGAGAAAGATAAATATTCTGGTTTTAGACAACAAGATGGATCACTGTCCCCAAAAGGCCATTTCTCAGCACTTCCCCAAGTGCCTGGCACAGAGTGTTAGTGGAATGAATGAACTACTAACAGTCATTTGATACTTAGGAAGAACGAAAGGGCATTGGGGAGAGTGGGTGGGCTGAGGCAGCAGCTCATACACCAGAAATTAGCCCACTTACGGGACTGGTTGATTAGATTAGTTACTTGTGTAATGAGGTGGAGAATTTTATTCATCAGAAATTCTCCTCCATAATTGCTCCCAAGAAAATCAGTCAGAGTGTGCCTTGTGGTTCTCCCTCCCTCCCCCAGCCCTTCCCCAGGGAATCTTTTGGAGCTCTTGAGACATGTTTATTCTAAAAGTGTATTTATGGACACCACAGAGCACAAGAAGGGTGCTGAATTCAAATTTAAGAAATTTGGAGTGGGTTTTTTTCATTGCTATGCTGACTGTGAACAACTTTAATAATCTATTTCTCAGTTTTCCTATCTGTAGAATGGGAATAATCATAATAATACCTGTTTCATTTCTCATAAATAAGTAGATTTAAAATCAGAAGAAATTTTAAATGCTAAAGTGTTTTGAAAAAGGTAGGCTCCCCATCACTTTCCAAATAATGAAACGACCTACAACCTTTTCAGCTTGTCTTTCAAGGTTTTCTTTGCCCAGTGGTCCAAACTGCCTTCTAGTTTATTCTCTCACTATTCTCTCCACTGACAACTGGCTGGACATTAGCTGTAGCCAGACATGTCCTGGTGCTCACCCACAGCCATGCTCCATCGTAGCCTCTGCTCCATAGTAGCCTCTGCCTGGACCCATGAAATCCTTCCCAAGCTCTGTCATTCACATTAACTCTTTCATAGCGTCTCTCCTTACAATACCTTCCTCTTCTGCTTTGGCACCTAGATTATAGCAGAAGTCACCTGTCCCTGAGGTTGAAATAAAATTGACTCAACCCAATCCCACGGGAAGTGCAACACACCCTCTCTCCATTTCTCCATGTTCTGGGGAACTACAGACTCATGGGCACTTAGGCTCCAAGTTACTGCTCTGTCTAAAACTGTAAACTCTCTGTGTCTCACCTTCTGTGGCTCTTTCTTCTCTCAGCAGATATGGCAGTCACCCCACCTACCTTTTTTTAATTCCTACCACACAAACCACTCAGAGGAGAAGACATTTGTGTGTAAAGTTTACTAACAAGTTGGCGCAGTGAAGGGAGGTTTCCAGTACTACACTACAACATGGATGCATAATATTAAATCTTATTCATCTTTCATCTTAAAAGTTCTCTGGCTGCCCTGCTACAAGAATATCTCATGGCCATTCTTCCCCATGGCCAGAGCCTCTGCCCTCTGGCCTGTCCCCACTCCCCATCTTTCTTCCTCCTTCCCTCTCTTCTTTACTTTCCGTTTCTTAACCCCAAATTCTCTAGCTTGTTCTTTGTTTCATCATCTCCTTCCAGATGTCAGTTTTAGGGTCTCACCTTCACTCCTGGAAGGGTTTGTCAAGGCTTTTGGTAATTTTTTTTTCCTAAAGAAAAATGGTTCCCTCTTTAAAATGTATTTGCTAGCTTTTAAAATATTTTTTTCCAGTTATATTGATTGATGTTATTTATGAATATGTCTTACAGCCCCTTCTGTTGTATGCTCCCCTCAAGGCAGGTTTATCTGTGATTCGTCTCAGAGTTTAAACCCAATGCCTTGTATGTAGTACAGCCTCAGTGTTAAATGAATGAATAAAAAGCTGGTATTTTCTATATAACCCCAGAAAAAGCAAAGCGGAAGAAACAGAAGCACCAGGTTTCCATGTTAGGATACTAATATGATTCAATCACCACTGGAAGAGATCAATACGGGGTCCAGAGGGCTGCTCCTGAACTCACCCTGACCCTAATGAGCAGGTGAATGCTGGGGCCAAGGTCGATGCAGGCTTTGTGCTGTGCCTGTTCCTCGGGAAATGAGTTTGCAGCACCGATTCTTTTCAGAGAGGCTGCTGACCTTCAGTTGAATGATATCAATTTATGATCATTATCAATGAGAACTAGAACTGTTCCTGTGACCCGTGGGATTGGTCCTCCCCATCCCACATGTAACCCTTCAGATCAGATTTCCTTCAGTGAAATCAGAATTGTCACTAGGAGGACAAATTCAAGGCAGAATTACAAAAACCGGCTGATTGGAAGCATGAAACATGAATTTTATTATGAATGCTCTGCCATTCATCTGGCTAAAAAATGGGAAGGAGAAGACTCCGGCTTGGGCACCAATGAAAGAGGCTATCAAACAAGGAAAATGTTCTTGAAATTGTCATTGAACCCAGCGGTTCTTTAGATCCTGAAATTAAACATAGCGCTAATATTTATAGGGCTTTATAGTTCACTAGGGGATTCAAAAGGTGCATGATCTCACTAAATCCTCACAATAAGCCCATAAAGATCATTACCACTACCATTCCACAGATGAGGGAACCGAGACCCACAGAGGCCAATTTTCCAGTATTTAGGAACATACCTAGGAGATGGCAGAGCTGAAATTGGAAGCTTGTCTTCAGACTTCAATCTTTATTTATTTTTCCATCACATAATGCTACCTTGCCTGTAGCATAACTGTAGAACCTTGTCCATATATTGCATGTTCATAGTTCTGGGACGTAAGAGTCTATAATGTATAAAATCATTGGCTTAAATGAGTGATGCAATAGGCTTAGTTACCAGTAATAAAGTTACATGCTTAAAAGTAATGGTTTGAGTCAATAAATAATTTTGCTATTCTGTACATCAGTTTTGACTCATTACTTGGAGTGAGCAAACCTGGAGTGTATAACACCTGATTGAAGAGATGCACACAGGGTTTTAGAAAGCTGGAAGAGAAAAAAGTGGGATGTACTTTCTCTCCCAGCTCCAGGCACTTCTTCCCTACTTCACCAGGCTGGAATGGTCAGCATGGCATGGTCAGCTGGAATGGTCAACATGGCATCCTATGTTTTGGAGTCTAACTGGCGTGGGTGTCCTGCCTCTTCCATCCACTTTGCACAAGTTACTTATCCTCTCTAAGCTTCAGTTTCCTTTTCCTCATCTAAAGAATGGAAACACGTCTGTTAGGATTCTTTGATTGCAAGCAACAGAAACAGATTCACTTTTGCCAGAAAGGGTAATGTATTGGAATAATCTTAGTTCTCTGCCAGAAACAAAGGAAAAGGCCTTGCAAAGAATGGAAACTAGGCAACTCCATGGATCGAGATGACAGAAGAAGTATATTCTCCTCAGCATTCTGACACCAGAATGACTCCACCCTAACCATTTGTCATCCTGGGTTCTCACAGGGTAAGCTTGATTGGCTTACCTTGAGTCATGTGTCTCCACTTTGGTAGGAAGGAGGGGTAGGGGATTTTGACTGACAGGCTCCGGAACCACAAGGACTGGGGCAGAGGCAACTACTTAAAGAAAAATTGGAGTGCTGCTTTGAAAAAAGAGGAAGACAAAAACAAAAAACAAATAAAAAATCCCCCAGAGATTTAAATGGGAATTTTTAAAAATAGGACTTCATAGGACTGTTTTTACGATTAAAGATGTAATAAATTTAAAGTGCTTAGCACAATGTCTGACACACAGTAGGTGCTTGATAAATATTTAGCAATAAATAGTTGTTAGACTGGAGCAGAAGTGAGCTGAGAAGGAATACGAATAATGAAGGAGAAAATAAATAAAGAAAAGGATTCAACAGGTGGCTTGGCAGGGCAAAGAACAGACCTCCTCCTTCCCCTGATACCATGACCACCCTTAAAATACCATGAAATCTGTAGTGAATGCTTTTAATTATTTGAACATTCTATTTTGTATAAAGAATGCCAAGAATGCTAACTGCACAGACACCAGTAAATGGTCACAACCAGAGGCTGTTTCTCCTACTAAACTGAATAACAGATACATAGATACACCTGTATAGAAACAAATGGCAATAAAGATGAAGTATAAATGATTCATTTTCAGAAAATTCAGTTTTAACCATCTAAGGAGTGGAAAGGATATTTTATAATTATTATGATGAAATCATTTAAAAATTACAGTAAAATAGTTTTCACTTATTCTCGTGCAACATGAGTGAAAGGTATTGGCAATTAACAATTATACTGTGATATTTCTGCGTACCACACTAACTGCAATGAACATTAATATTTATATGTTACCTACACTCTTACTGACCAAGCCAGATTTGGTCCCTCGATCCTCATTTCTCAATTCCTAGAGACATAAATGGGAGTTGCAAGTGAGTATCTGAAGACACATTTTCAACTGCTGTAGTTTGTCATTCTTATAGTTTATATCCTGAAAGCTTCATAACCATGGCAAATCAGCTCTCACTCTGGGAATGGTCTTAAACAAGTTGGAAGCCATAAACCTATGGACAGTGCCAAATGTATCTGAACAATCACTCACCTTAATGGTGAAAACGTGGCTCTATTATTTCTAAAATCACGAAGTATTTAAATTGTGATTTTGAACAAAACAATGGTACCTATGTATCTATCAAATCAAATGGACACAGCTTCAGACGTTTACACTGGGACTACTTTGTGTGATACTAGGGAATACAGGTCTCTTTTGGTTCTCACATGTGTATGTAAATCTTGACATTTCTTTAGAATCTTAAAACAGAATAGACTTAATGCATCTCAGTTATAAGCCTTTTGCCTCAAAGTGTCCCATCCTCTACTAAGAGAACCTGCCTTTTGGGGATTAGGTAATGCCTACAAAATTTGAAACAACTCAGATTTCAGAAATGTATTTTGCATCCATGCTTACTTCATTTACAGGAATAACAGGCTAGGAACTTTACAAATCTCTATTTTTTTTTTTTTTTTAACAATCCTTGAATGTTCTCAATGAGTGGAGAACTTCTTTTTTTTTATTTTTAAGAGGCCGGGTGCTGTGGCTCATGCCTGTAATCTCAGCACTTTGGGGGAGGCCAAGGAGGGCGGACCGCTTGAGGCCAGGAGTTCGAGACCACCCTGGCCAATATGGTGAAACCCCATCTCCACTAAAAATACAAAGTCATCCAGGCGTGGTGGCAGACGCCTGTAATCCCAACTACTCGGGAGGCTGAGGCAGGAGAATTGCTTGAACCCGGGAAGCAGAGGTTGCAGTGAGCCAAGATCACACCACTGCACTCCAGCCTGGGTGACAGAGAAAGGCTCTGATGAAAAAAAGAAAGAAAGAAAGAAAGAAAAAGAATAAGTGTTGTTAACTTGAAATGCTTTTTATAATTGATATTACATGATATCTCTCTAAATTAGTAAGTTACATTTACTAATTTATAATTTATATTTATAATTTAATTGCATAAATTATATTTAGGGAAAGGCAGGACTGCAATATGTAGTTTTAGAGAACTAAAAACAGGAAAAATATGTTTACTTGTTATTTAAGTTTGAACGCATGTCTTGGTGCTTATCTTGTATTTATAAAGTGCTGAGGATTTAAAAAACTCATTCCTGTTGACTGATTTTTAATGAATTTGCAATTGAGTATTTTTGTTGGGGTCCACAACATACTTGCTGTATGGGACACTTACATGTGCCACCTAGTATCCTTAGAGAGAATAAAGTTCCCACAGTATTGAGCCCATTGCACTGCTCCAGCCCAGCTCTTAAAATTCTGGTCAGCATCTCCCAATCAGATATGGAAAAGTATCAAGTCGTCTTGGCAAAGTGGCAGCAAATTAGTGGCTTATAGATAAATACATGCTTGTCATTACCTGCAAGTAATAACATATAGGGTAAACAAACAGTACATGAAACTGTTTAAACCATTAATTATTGGAGATTTTGCATGTCCAATCTCATGTTTGAAATCAACTTTTTTCCTCTTGTCTCTGGAGAATAAATGTATAGGATATCTAAAAATAGATACATAAAATTTTAACTTTTTTTTTTAACTTTAAGTTCTGGGATACATGTGCAGAACGTGCAGGTTTGTTACATAGGTATACATGTGCTATGGTGGTTTGCTGCACCCATCAACCCATCATCTAGGTTTTAAGCCCCACATGCATTAGGTATTTGTCCTAATGCTCTCCTTCCCCTTTCCCCCCACCCCCCGACAGTGTGTGATGTTCCCCTCCCTATGTCCATGTGTTCTCATTGTTCAACTCCCACTTATGAGTGAGAACAAATTTTATGTCTTTTTTAAAAAAGAAAGTATCTGAGGAGCTAAAGTATCTCCTCTGAAGAATCATGGTTGTGTTCTTAATGGAGCCTGCCTCCTTACATTTTTCCACATGTAACATTTTCGATGACCAATGTCACAGTACCAAATGGCCCAAATGATAGGAAGTAAACATGCTCCCTTTATCTTCTGCAGTTTTAACATTTGATGTCATCTTTAGCAAAAGGTAGCACTGAGTATGCACTCCATTGTACTACTGTTATGTGGTGATTGCTTATTCTAAGAAAAGTTTATAGTAGAACAATATAAAATAGAAGCAGAGTGAGAGAGGAGAGCTCAAAAATTCAAACCGTTGTTTCCCAGACTTGAGTCATGCTCAGACGGGTAAGAAATAATTTTTAGAAACGATCATCAAAATGAAAACATAAAATTTTTAAATTCTTCTACAATTTCCAGATCCCATAGACTTTACTTTGATAACTACTTATTTAAACTATTCCAAGTGGGCAAATCGAACCCTATCATTATCTTTATTTTTCAACCTAGAAAGAAACATCACAAGAATATCTAGGTAACCCATTTGAAAGTTAAAATGTTCTTACAATTTGAAATTGTTTCCTAATTCTCATATTGCAATTTCCCTCCTTTTGATATGTCTTTGATGGCTCTTTATGGTTTTCACTTTCTAGTTAGTAAACTATGTATATATATTCTAAGATAATAATTAGGTTTCTTCAGGCTTGCCTATTCCAGGTAATAGTGTCAGATCCCATCGTCTTATTTAGGCTTCTATTCTTCTAAAAAACCATTTCTCTTCCTTTCGTTGAGACTCTCTTCCTAGTTTCTACTTCCCACCTTCCAAGTTGAAGAGCCCTAAACTAGAAGCAAGGTCTGCAGAGCAGGCAACCATCCAGGCTACTGTAATGCAGCCCTAGTGTTCTTTGCATGATCTTTATTGTGATTCTTTTAATGGCAGAAAAGTGATCCCACCAAATATTTGTGTGAAGAATCAATAAAGCTACATGAAAACAATCACTTTCTTTGTAGGTGTAAGGTTGTCCTCATGGTTGTGGGATGGTTCCTGGAGCCGTGGGTAAGCCAAGTAAGTAGGGCACTGTAGGGCCGGGCACCCAGAGCCCTGTCTCGTGCATTCTGTGCTATCCCATTTTTATTTTTCATTTGTGTAACTGACCTTTCCTGAGCAGCTTACTGCCGTGGTCTAGTTATGAGAAGATGTGTCACAGAAGTTAAAGATTGCTTGATTCACAAAAACCTGCGTGTTTTGCCTTCTTTTCTGGTATAGTTAATGACTGACAGAACAGAAAACTTTATATAATGAGGCAGCATTACTGCTTAGGAAATGTCCATCTCTTTCTGACTCATTGTGTAACGTTTTCCTGACATTTAAAAATGTCATTTCCTGTGCTCCCCTATCTTCTTCAGCTGTGCGTCAGCCCACCCTGCCTGTCCTCATCATGTCTGCTAATGGGTCCATGCGCCTCTGCTCCATGGACCGCATTGCTGCCCCATGTCAAGCATACATTTTTACACACTATGAGGCCTGTCGGTCATGCTCTTCAATATCATGGGTCTCTCTGCAATCCTTTAGCAGTCTGGACCAGCCGCTGGCTTTTGCCCCACCTCCCGCTGTAAGGTGAGCACTCCGGACAGAGGACATATTCCTGGCTCAGCTACCTAGCAGAACTTTTAACCCTTCAAACCAGCATGACTTCAACTTTGTCGCATTCTGCATTTTCAAAACTGGTTTCAGATCAGTGCCAGTGCCCCTAACAGCCAAAATAAACATTTCATTTCTGACGTTCCTGTATTATTCTCCTCCAACGTATAGTCATTAGCATTGCTTGGTTATGTTCCATGTTCAAAGCACTGTGTGTGTGTGATCAAAACAAGTTTCAACACACGTAACATAGTATGGTCTCTGCAGTTAAGTGTCAATCCAAAGTTTCCTTGGAAAAATACCCAACTTTGAAGGATCTGTGTTAAACAGTTGACTTTGCTGTTAGAGTATCTGAGTTCAGATTGTGGCTCCACCACTGACTAGTTCTGTGGCTTTTGCCAAATTTCTTAGGTGCCTTCTCTGCCAGCCAGGTGCAATGAGTACCTACCTGCAGGCTATCAGGAGGATTACATGAGCTAATCATGCAAAGCTCTTAGAGTAACATTTGTCACTGAGTAAACACTCAGTGATGCGGGTTATTACCAGACAGTATTTTTCTATTTACCTCATGAAATGTTGATTTCTGCATCAGAGGAGTGGCCTATACAAGCTTATGTAGAAAAAAATATTTTTTCATCAGGGAAACAGTCTTGAAAAATGCACATTGTCTGTTGGTTTCGTTGGTGAGCCTGTTGCTTGCTTGGAGCTGCCCTGTATTCACGGCCCTGAAGGCTGACTTCCAGCTCACCCTGCATCTGAATGAACAGGACAGCTGTCCAGAAGTAAAGTCTGTATCAGATTCCCCTGCCAATATAGTTTTTCAAAACATAGGACAGTGGTTTTTAAAATACATGGCAAGTTTTGCTTCTCACTCTGGGCAGGGTTTCTTCTTTAAACTGAGCATTTCTCTATCAACAGCATGCTTTGCAGCTGCCATTTTTGACTCCCTATGGATCCACATCCCATCCAGGCATAAAACCAGTGGCCAATTTCTGGCCTGGAAGGGCTGTTCTAGTGGGTGAGGGAACTGTTCTTTTAAGGGCGGCTGCCACTTGAGAGTGCAAGTTCATTGTTGGCAGCCCCAGCTGTCCTTCATTAGGGTAATGACTGCAGACTGAGGGGAAGGCTCCCTGCCAAAGGTGACTCAGTGGAGAGTCAGATGCCGCTCTCGGAGAATGCAGCTTCACAAAGGGCTGCTTAACCTGGACCCTGGCTTTCACAAGCCCAGGAGGGGAATTTTAGTTTCAAGTACTGTGATTGTTTTCACAGGCCCATAAAAGGGATCTTTGTCAGAGCCTAATCATTATCATAACATTTGAGTGGCCACATAATTCCATTCCGTTCTACAAATAACCAATGGTGTCAATTATGTACAGGACACGGAGCTGGGTCTTTAGGGAATTCCGAGAAACAAGACATGGTTCAAGCCCTCTAGTAGCTTACAATTTAGTAAGGAAGCTAAGACAAGTATAATCACCAATTATCCAAACAAGTGTTCATTGGTTTTCTCTTACGTGCCTGGAAATAGGCCAGAAAAGGAAAAGCAGGTGCATAAAGCCAAGTCTCTGCCCTGGAAGAATGAAAGTAAAATAGGTACCATGGTGATTTCTTTTATCATTTAAGACTTTTTATTTTGAAATAATTTTAAACTTAGAGAAAAAAGTAGAAGAGTACTCTTTGTATATCTTTTACACTGATTTCCAGTTGTTAAGATTTTACCACAGTTGCTTTATCATTATTTTCCTGTAAACTATATATATATATTCTTTCCCATCTGAATCAACTGAGAGTAAGCTGAACACTTCTAAACATTTCACTGTGTATTTCCTAAAAGACAAGGACACTCTCCCACCTAATCACAGAACAACCATCAAAATCAGTAAATTAACATTATAAACACTACTCTGTAATCCAGGACCCCACTTAAATTTTACTAAATATTCCAATAATGTCTTCAAAGTGGGAAAAAATTCCCTTTTTAAGTCATTATCCAATCCAGGATAACATATTACATTTTGTTGTCATCTTTTTGGACACTTCTTCAGTCTTTTCTTGTCTTTTGTGACCTTGATATTATTGAAGCATATTCAACAGTTATTTTGTAGAGTGTCCCTCAATTTGAGTTTGTCTGATGCTTTCTCATGATTAGATTCAGGTTGTGTGTGTTTGACAGGAATACATATGGTAGTGTTGTATCCTTCTCAGTCTATCATGGTAGAAAGGACATGATACCAGTAAAGTCCCATCCCTGGTTATGTTAACTCTGATCACTTGGGGAAGGTGGTGTTTGCCAGCATTCTCTACTGTAGAGTTATTATTTTTTTCTTTTGTAATTCATCAGTATTTTGTGAGGAGCTACCTTGCAATCATGTAGATATCTCATTCCATAAAACCTCTCAACTTGTTTTATCATCCTTGAAAGATTCGTGCCTGAATAAAATACTACCATGATAGCTGCCAATTTTGATTTTTCTAACTTCATCATTGCTTTGACATTCACTGGTTGACATCCTACTGAAAGGAAGTGCTTTCTCTTTTCCCTCACTTATATATTTATTCATTTATTTATTTTTATCAACAAGATCCATGGATTTCCATTTCACTCCATGGGCTATAATCCATTATACCATCATTTATTTTCGTGCTCAAATTGTTCCATATTTGGCTAGTGGTAGCCCCTTAAAGCTGCAAACAACCATCACCAGAAAAGAAAAGAAGTTTAACTGGCTCATGGTTCTGTGAGCTATATAGGCTTCTGCTTCTGGGGAGGACCCAGGAAACTCACAATTATGGTGGAAGGGTAGCAAGCACATATTCACATGGTGGCAGGAGAGAGAGAGAGAGCAAAGGCGGAGGTGCTGAACACTTCCCCACAACCAGATCTTATAAAAACTCTATCATGAGAACAGCAAGGAGGAAGTCTGCTCCTGTGATTCAGTCACCTCCCACCAGGCCCCCCCTTCAACACTGGGGATTACAATTTGACAGGAGATTTGGGTGGGGACACAGAGGCAAACCATATTATTCTACCCCTGGCCCCTCCCAAACCTCGTGTTCTTGTCACATTTCAAAACACAATCATACCTTCCCAACAGACCCCCAAAGTCTTAACTCATTCCATCATTAACTAAAGTCCAAGTCCAAAGTCTCATCTAAGACAAGGAAGTCCCTTCTGCCTATGAGCCTGTAAAATAAAAAACAAATTACTTAGTTACTTTTAAGATATAATGGGGCTACAGGCATTGGGTAAATGCTCCCCTTCCAAAAGGGAGAAATTGGCAAAAACAAAGGGGCTACAGGCCCCATGCAAGTCTGAAATCCAGTAGGGCAGTCATTAACTCTCAAAACTCCAAAATAATCTCCTTTGAGATTCATGTGAATCCATGTATCACATCCAGGCCACACTGATGCAAGGGGTGGGCACCCAAGGCCTTGGGCAGCTCTGCACCTGTGGCTTTGCAGGGTACAGCCCCTGTGGCTACTTTTATGGACTGGCATTGAGTGCCTACAGCTTTTGCAGGTGCGCGGTGAAAGCTGTAGGTGGATCTACCATTTTGGGGTCTGGAGGTTTGTGGCTGTCTTCTCACAGCTCCCTAATGGGGACTCTGTGTGGGGGCTCCAACCCCACATTTCCACTCTGCATTGCCTAGAAATTCTCCATGAGGGCTCTGTCACTGCAGCAGACTTTTGCCTGGACATTCAGTCAGGATGTTTTTTCCATATGCCCTCTGAAATCTAGGCAGAGAGGCTCCCAAGCCTCAACTCTCACCCTGTGTGTACCTGCAGGCTTAACACCACATGGAAGCTGCCAAGGCTTGAGGCTTGCACCCTTTGAAGCAACAGCCTAAGCTGTACCTTGGCCCATTTTAGCCATGGCTGGAGCTGGAGCAGCCAGGATGCAGGGTGCCATGCCCCCAAACTGCAAAGAACAGTGGGGCCCTGGGCCTGGCATATGAAGTCATTTTTCCCTCCTAGTCCTCCAGGCCTGTGATGGGAGGGGCCACCATGAAGGTCCCTGAAATGCTTTGGAGGCATTTTCTCCATTGTCTTGGCTATTAGCATTTGGCTCCTATTTATTTATGCAAATTTATGCAGCAGGCTTGAATTCCTCCCCCAAAAAGTGGATTTTTCTTTTCTACCACATAGGCTGAAAATTTTCCAAACTTTTATGCTCTGCTTCCCTTCTAAATATAAGTTCCAGTTTCAGATAATCTCTTTGTGCACACATATGAGTGTATGCTGTTAGAAACAGCCAGACCACAACTTGAACACTTTTTGCTGAGAAATTTCTTCTGCCAGATACTCTAATTCATCTCTCTCAAGTTCAAAGTTCAACAAATCCCTAGAGCAGGGGCACAATGCCACCAGTCTCTTTGCTAAAGCATAGCAAGAGTGACCTTTACTCCAGTTCCCAATAAGTTCCTCATCTCCATCTGAGACCTCTTCAGCCTGGACTTCATTATCCATATCACTATAGCATTTTGGTCACAACCATTCAACAAGTCTATAGGAAGTTCCAAATTTTCCTTCATCTTCCTGTTTCCTTCTAAACCCTCCAAACTGTTTCAACCTCTGTCCACTACCCAGTTCCAAAGCTGCTTCCACATTTACTGGTATCTTTATAGATACCACATTTACTAATATCTTTATAACAATGCCCCACTTCTCTGGTACCAATTTTCTATATTATTCTATTCACACACTGCTGTAAAGACATATCTGAGCCTAGGTAACTTATAAAGAAAAAAGTTTAATTGGCTCACAGTTCTGTGGGCTGTACAGGCTTCTGCTTCTGAAGAGTACTTAGGAAACTTACAATCATGGTAGAAGGTGAAGGGGAGGCAGGCACAGTCTTCATATGGTGGCAGGAGAGAGAGAGCAAAGGGGTAGAAGCTACACACTTTCAAACAATCAGATCTTGTGAGAACTCTATTATGAGAACAGCAACGGGGAAGTCCGCCCCCATGACTCAATCACCTCCCACCAAGCCCCTCCTCTAACACTGGGCATTACAGTTCATCATGAGATTTGGGTGGGGACACAGAGCCAAACCATATTAGTGTCTTTACCCGTGAACATGAAATAATAAGATTGATGTAACAGGATTACTGTGAAGCTTAAATGAGATGATGCATGTAGGTGCCTAGAACTGCCTGCCACTCTCGAGGACCTCACTAAATGCAAGTTCTTTATAGTCCTTCCTCACAGTTAGCATCTGGCCTGGTGGTGCACACACTAACAGGGGGGTTTCTTATAAGGACACAGGACAATCTCATGAATTGGCTTCCTGCGTGTGGCTCTTGGTTTGTTCTTCCCCATAATGGAGGCCCGTCTGTGACTTCATCTTGCGATGGTGCTCACTCCAGCTCTGATATTACATGCTCTTGCACCTCAGCTCTCCAAAGTTAGCCGATCATTTTCACAGAAATAGGAAAACCAATCCTAAAATTTGTGTAAAACCACAAAGGTCCCTGAATAGGCAAAGAAATCTTTGGTAAAAAGAGCAAAGCTGAAGGCATCACACTACCTAACTCCAAAATGTATTACAAAACTATAGAAACCAAAACAGCAAAACACTGGCATAAAAACAGACAAAAACCAATGAAACAGGATAGAGAGCCCAGAAATAAACCCACATGTTTATGGTCAATTGATTTTCAACAAGGCTGCCAAGAACGCACAATAGAGAAAGGACAATCTCTTTAATAAATGATGTTGGGAACATTGGATATGCATGCAGAAGAATGAAATTGAACCCTTACCTCACATGATACACAGAAATGAACTCAAAATGAATTAAAGACTTAAATGTGACACTTGAAACTGTAAAACTACTAGAAGAAAACGTAAAGGGAATGCTCCACAATATTGTTCTGGGGGCAAACATTTCTTGGATGTGACCCCCAAAGCACAGGCAACAAAAGCAAAAAATAAACAAAAAGTATGTCATCAAACTGAAAAGCTTCTGCATGGCAAAAGAAGCAATAGAATGAAGAGACAACTCATGGATTGGGAGAAAATATTTGCAAGCCACATATCTGATAAGGGGCTAATATCCAAAATATATAAGAAACTCAAATAACTCAATTGCAAGAAAATAAAGAACCCAATTTAAAAAATGGGCAAGAGACTTAAATAGACATTTCTTAAAAAAAAAAGACATGTAAATGGTCAACAGATATATGAAAAATCATCATCTTCACTAATTATCAGGGAAACACAAATTAAAACTGCAATGAGATATCACTTCATACCTGTTAGAATGGCTATTTTAGTAAAAAGATGGACAATAACTTTTATTGGCAAGGATGTGGAGGAAAGGGAACACTTGTGCACTGTTGGTGGGAATGTAAATTAGTACAGCTATTATGGAAAAGAGTATGGAGGTTCCTCAGAAACTAAAAATAGAATTACCATATGATCCAGCAAACCCACTTCAGGATATGTATCCAAAAGAACGGACATCAGTATGTTAAGAGATACCTGCACTCCCATCATATTCATTGCAATGTTACTAGCAATAGCAAAGATATGGAATTAACCTAAGCATCCACCATCAGATGAATGGATAAGGAAAATGTGGTATATAAACAATGGAAGATTTTTCACTCTTGAAAAAGAAGGAAATCCTGGCATTTGCGGCAATATGAATGAACCTGGAGGACATTACGCTAAGCGAAATAAGCCAGGCATAGAAAGGCAAAGACTGTGTGATCTCACTTACTTGTGGAATCTAAAAATGTTGACCCCATAGAAATAGGGAGTAGAATGGTGATTTACAGAGGCTGGGAGTTGGGGTTGGAGGGAGTAATGAGGAGATGTTCGTCAAAGGACACAAAATTTCAGTTCGACAGGAGGAATAGCTTTAATCATCTATTGCACTGAAAGGTGGCTATAATAAATAATAGTGCATTGCATATGTTTAAAAAAGCACTAAAGTTAGCATAGCCAATGTTTCAGTTCTCCCATTTGAAATTTCTTGGAGGGAGAATATTTTTGTCCAGATTTAGTCAGGATTTTGTCTCTGGTCTAATCAGCTGTGGTCAGAGCTATAAACATGAGCAAGAGTAAATTGCCCTAGTCAATGGTGTGGCTGGCCAGGATAGAGCTCTCCAGTGAAAGCACTGTAATTCAAAAGGATTCATTCCAGTCTCTGTAACTAAGGAGGCCTCTCAGTAGATGAGTCTCTAGAGTAGCTAATGTTGGCCCTAAAAAAATACCACATATACATTCTTATCATCAATTAAGTATTATTAACTTAAAAAAACTATGTATCATTGACTATGTGCCCACACTGTCCCAAAAGTTTTATAAATATTTACTCATTCAGTACTTATAATCAGCTGAAGAAAGGTACATGAGTGTCTTCTGCATTTTACAAATTAAGAAATTAAGGCACAGAGAGGCAGGATGATTTGTCCAAGGACAAACAGCTAGTCAGCAGCACAGCCTGGATTTGAATTCAGGTAGTTTGGCTTGCAGAGTTCATGCCTCAGACCACTCCATTATGCTGCAGCTCAGAGTAAGACCCACATAACTACTACACTAGGCTGCCTCTCGGACCAGAGATGCCAGCCTATTTACTTATGACCTAATGACCTGAGGATGTTACAACATGCAACGGCTCTCTTCAGTGCTTTCAGAGATAACCTACCAGCGGCTGATGCTCATCTCCCCACTTTCTTTTATCCTTGTCCAGGTTGATGGGTGGTGGTAGAAGGTCTACTACAGGATTTATATTACCTTGAAAGGGTTACATGTGCTAATGGTTTGGTTTTGAATTCATGTTTTTAAAGTCTTTTCACCTCAGTAACATTTTTCCATTTTCTAAGAACACTTTAAATTCTATTTCTATTACTTGAACATCAGGCACAATTATGCCATTTTGAGTTTCTTCTTTGCAATTAATGCAATCATATGATGCATCACTAATGCCAACCAGGAATCTTATCACAAAATAGTATAAATTATCATATTTCTATATACATTTGCAAATGTCTTATCAACATTCCAATCCTGTATACATTTTTATTAAAAAACACTCTGTTGGATTTCTGGAACTGTTACTATCAGCTGAACTAGATCAGTTTACATGACTGCCTGTCTCACAAAGGAAAACTCTGATTGAAACTGGCAACTTAAATCAAGCCACCCAGGATTTATTATCCAATCAAAGAAGCAATTTCAGGTGCCAGTATTGTTCTTAGGACCGCAAGACTGTTTTATAATATAGATACATAGATAAATATAGATATAGGTTTTCTACATGGATATATAGAGATATATAGAGTGTAATATCTATAAGACATTTTCTCATAGAGATGGTATTATATACCAATACATAGATGTATATAATGAACAATTTTTATATATAAAATTCTGGTACAAAGTAATAAGAATATTGGGTTAATTCTTTAGATAATGATCTGGAAAAGGCATTGGTCAAAAGTTGCCCAGGTATGTCAGATAATTGGTTGTGCTTTGGTTTGATTTCTATAAAAATGGGTGTATCGTCATAAAGTTTGTTCCAAAGGATCAATGTGATTTTAACTTCGGTAAGTCACAAGTCCTCTGCTTCACATCTTCTGTCTGTTAAATAAGTATAAAAATACTTCCTTATACACAAGTTGTTGAGAAAGTGACACAAAAATAGAGGCTCTCCTGATTCTTACCTGAAAAGACAAGAAGATATTAGCATTGCTGGAGCTATGGCTATTGCACACATTGCTATGGTCAGTATGGGAGAACTTGAAGGAATGATCACATATAAAGTCACGTGCATATTTGAGTTTAAGATCTACAATTTATATATTAACTTAGAAGCAAAAACTATAGCTATCTTTTTAAAAAGTCTGCTTTATTGTGGTACATTAACTTGTAATAAAATTAACCAATATTGAGTATGAAATTTGGTGAGTTTCAACAAATATACAGAGAGGGTCATGTAACCACCACTGCAATCGTAATATAGGTATTTTCATCATCTCCACCATTTTCTTCCATTTTCTTTGTAATCTGTCCCCTTCTCTCCCCACTGGTTCCTGGAAGCCACTGATCTGCCTTCTAACTTACAGCTTTGGCTTTTCTAGGATCTTTAAATAAATGGAATCATACTGTGTGCAGTATTTTGGGTCTGCTTCTTTCACTAAGGATAATACTTTTGAGATTCATCAACAATGGTGGGTTTATCAGTAGTCTATGCTTTTTCATTACTGAGTACTATTCCATTGTATGCATATACCATAATTTGTGCATTTACCAATTGATAGACATCTTGGTTCTTTCCAGCTATTATGAGTAAAGATGGTATGAACATTTAAATACAAATCTTACATGGCTATATGTTTTCATTTCTCTTGGATAAATGTATAAGGGGGAATTGCTGAGTCATATAGTAAGTACATGTTTAACTTTAAAAGAAATTCCAAATCTATTCCAAAGTGGCTATACTGTATTAGATTGCCATCAGCAATGGATGAGAGCTCCAGTTACTCCCTATCCTTGTCAACACATAGTACTGTCAATCTTTTAAAAATGTCAGTCATTCCTGTGGGTATATAGTGGAAACTTTATGTGGTTTTAGTTTGGATTTCCCTAATAACTAATGATAATGAGCATCTTTTCATGTGCATATTTGCCATTTGTGTGCTTTTTTTGGTAAAGTATTTATTCATATCTTTTGCCTATTAGAAAAAAGTTTATCTTCATATTGTTGAGTTGGAAGAGTTCTTTACGTATCCTGGATACGTCCTTTGTCAGATTTATGTTTTACAAACATTTTCTCCCAGCCTGAGGCTTGTCTTTTTATTTTCTTAACAGAATTTTTTAAAGTGCAGAAAGTCCAATTAATACTTTTGTATTTTGTAGTTTGTGCTCTCTGTATCCTACTTAAAGCACATCTTTGTCAATCCCAAGATTGCTAATATTTTCTTCTATATTTTCATCAGAAAATTTTTATTTCTAGCCCTCAAATTTAGGTCCATGATACATTTCAATGAATTATTTTATATGTTATGAGGTGATGGCTCAGGGTCTTTTTACACACATAGATATGCAATTTTTAAATTGTTGGATATATTTAAACAATTTTTAAATTGTTGGATAATTGTTGGAAATATTATCCTCTTCCCCATTGAATTACCTTGGAATCTTTGTTGAAAAGCAGTTGACCACATATATGTGAGTTTATTTTTAGATTCTCTGCTATGCCTCATTTATTTGTCAACAAGATAATTGCCAATTCCAGATCCTAATTTACCCACAAAAGTTTGGCCCAGATGGGTAGCCATGGAACATTCGAAGCTTCGGCTAAGAAAACATGGGGAATTTCCAGATTCACCTAACGGTAGTGGTTGTGGTGGGTTAGGGTAAGGCAAAAAGTATTCAAGACCTTAAGAAGAAAAAAAAAAACCCCACGTTTTTGCCCTGGATGAAGCTACACAATCCCTATAAAAGAGGAGCCTGCTTGGCATCTGAGGAAGCGTCTTCAAGATCCACTATCTGGATGCCCGCCTAATCCTGCTTGCTTCCTTAGTTGCAAACTTATCCTCACTTAGGACATTACCTTTTATTCCCCTTCTGGTCCACGTTTTACATTTCAAATCAGACAGTTCCAACTTTATACTGTAGAAAGATAAGCTGTAGCTTCTAGAATTCCTCTTCCCTGGGGGCAAAACCCCAAACTTCCTGTGTATGGGAAGAGGGCTTAAGACATATCGTACTTAGTTTCCTATTCAGCTCTGTCTCAGTATCCTCTCTTGATTTTGGTGTCCACTTTCCCTGTGATGAAACACTCCTTCCTTAACTCTGATCCTACATGTATCTGGGTGATCTGCCAAGCACTTAAAGAATGGGGTGACTTGCCAAAGACTTAATTTGTGATTTATTATTTGACATTTTGCAGGAAGATACCAGTCAGCACCTCCTGCTTAGCCTTTGGGAAGGAATGGTAGGTATTTCCAAAAATTCCGACTATCTTCTCCTACTCTCCCTCAGCAATGGAGAGTGAACAGGACTTTTGGTTTCTAAGGTCTAGGCCCTTCCTGTAGGCCACTGAGGCTGTTAGAAATGGACCAGTCTTCTTAGAGGACTTATAATTTAACCCCCTCTATTATGCCCTGCTTATGGGAAGAGAGCTATTCTTTTTTTAAAAAATTTATTTATTTTTATTATACTTTAAGTTCTGGGATATATGTGCAGAACGTGCAGGTTTGTTATATAAGTATACATATGCCATGGTGGTTTGCTGCACCCATCAACCCATCATCTAGGTTTTAAGCCCCACATGCATTAGATATTTGTCCTAATGCTGTCCCTCCCCTTTTCCCCCACCCCCTGACAGGCCCTGGTGTGTGATGTTCCCCTCCCTGTGTCCATGTGTCCTCATTGTTCAACTCCCACCTATGAGTGAGAACATGCGGTGTTTGGTTTTCTGTTCCTGTGTTAGTTTGCTGAGAATGATGGTTTCCAGCTTCATCCATGTCCCTGCAAAGGACATGAACTCATTCTTTTTTAAAGGCTGCATAGTATTCCATGGTGTATATATGCCACATTTTCTTTATCCAGTCTATCATTGATGGGCATTTGGGTTGGTTCCAAGTCTTTGCTGTTGTAAATAGTGCTGCAATAAACATACGTGTGCATGTGTCATTATAGTAGAATAATTTATAATCCTTTGAGTATATACCCAGTAATGGGATTGCTAGGTCAAATGGTATTTCTGGTTCTAGATCCTTAAGGAATTGCCACACTGTCTTCCACAATGGTTGAACTAATATACACTCCCACCAACAATGTAAAAGCATTCCTATTTCTCCACATTGGAAGAGGGTTATTCGATTCTTGTAGAAAGAGGCAGCAGAATGTGAGTGTAGTTCAGAAAATAAAAAGGAGGGAAAGGAGAAGTATAAGAGAGGGACTTTGTGTCCACTGACTGTCTAAGTCATATTGGAATCTTTTCTAGGGTTGTTACGTGGTCTGGGATGTGCTAGGACTCAAAGATTGCTGAGACAGAATTGGACAAGCATTCCCAGAGCACTGGTCAGACCAGTGGATCCATCCCAGCACTGAAGCCCAGGAAGACTCACCAGGAATTCTGTCCCTTTCTGTCAGTAGGATTCTTGCTGTCCCTGTACTATGGGATCTTTGTCTACTACCTTCTAGTCTCAGTAGTGTAGGTTCCTACATTTCAGAATACCACCAGGTTATGTCCTAGTTGCAAAGGGCATGCAGCCAGGCAGGGCCAATGTTATGGGTGTACCACCTGGGCAGTTGCACAGGATTCACACTCAGAAGGGTCCCATGCTTGGTTTAATGCTCTGCTGTTTGCCATCTTTTAATCCTTCATGACTTTACCATTGAACCTGTGTTTTGTATTGAAGTCCAATGGAGCAAGTGTGTGAGCAGAGGCAATATTGCAATATACACGTGCACTGTTTCTTGATGCCCCATTTGCATATAGCATTCACCATGTTCAAGAGCATAGAATTCCTATGGACCCATGATGTGAGGGAGTTCATCAAGACCCAAAAGAGATTACCCGGTAAGCCTATTACATCTACGGCTGAGTAAGTGGGGGTGCTAAAAGCTAAAACCATTGAGAGGTCATACTTTTTTTGTTTCTTTCTTTCTTTTCTTTATTATTTTGTTGTTGTTGTTGAAATGGAGTCTCGCTCTGTCATACAGGCTCGAGTGCAGTGGTGTGATCTCGGCTCACTGCATCCTCCACTTCCTTGGTTCAAGTGATTCTCTTGCTTCAGCCTCCTGAGTAGTTGGGACTACAGGCACCTGCCACCACACCCAGCTAATTTTTGTATTTTTGGTAGAGATGTGGTTTTGCCATTTTGGCCAGGTTGGTCTCAAACTCCTGACCTCAGGTGATCCACCAACCTTGGGATCCCAAAGTGCTGGGATTACAGGTATGAGTCACCGTACCCGGCCACACTTTCTATTTGAACCAGCACTTGCATTCAACACAGAATGAAGGAAATAGTGTTCTAAGAAACACGAATGGCCAAGGGACACTATTAGATTCTAACCTACTCGCATCACTTTCCTATATTAGCCAACCACTTATGCTAAAAAAGATGACATCAAAGGAAAGAGAAAGATAGAGCAACCCATAATTCTTTTTCCTTTCAGTTCTTTCTTACTCATCAGTAAGCTGAAGATAGAAAGTGTTGGTAGAATGCTTGTGTATCAAACAAGATGCAAAATAAAAAGAGTCGAGGTAGTTTTGTGTATGTGCATGTAGCGTTTCCACTGTTCTGGTAAGAACAAAATACATATGCATGTGTAAACTATGAAATACAAATTGTATAATTTCAGTGATTCTGCATACAAGTTAAATGTTCTTATATTTGCATTTAAAAGTGGCATTGCACAATATAAAGTTGAACAGTAAAATTTATGCCAATAATTTGAAATGTAAATTCTGTTTCTGAGAATGACATTAGATACATTTTTTTAAAAAAACACAGACTATAAGAAGTTGAGAGAGAGAAAGAGAGATCATGGAAGAAGGGAAAAAAACTACACTGTAGTATATTTAACAGTATTTGCATTTTGAACTGGGCCCCACAAATTATGGACAAGCAGCCCCGCATTTTCATTTTGTACTTGGACCTGCAAATTATGTCAGCGTCCTTGAGCCCAGAGTCCCTGCAAAGCACCCAAGTGGGTTGAGAGGCCTGTGAGTACTGACATTTTGGGGGCAGGCTGGCATGCCAGGGTATTCTGAGCTGGGATCAAAGGGAAGTAGACACAGACCTCAGTCAATAGGGCCAGCCTTCCTGTCCAAGAGAAACCATTGAACAAGAGGGTGAACTGGATGTAGCGAATAGGGTAGAGATTCAGTGATCTTTACACAATGCCAAACGTGACCATGCTGAGATGTTTGTGCTCTGAGAGACCTGTGAATGATCTGCCTAGGCTCTAAGGTTAAGGCTTTGATGGTCAAGCTGCTATGCCTTTGCAACTCAGAACTGAATGTAAGCATCTGAGGCCTAGGAAAATCAGAGCATTTGAAAGCTGGGCGGGACCTCCCTAAGGATTGATTCCATAGCTCAGCTCTTTAATTTTATATGTGAGGAAACTAAGGCTCTGAGTTTAATGTGAAAGGAAACCTAAACTCCAACTTAATCCCAGCTTTCTTCCTAAGGAGTTGTGAATCTTAGACAAGACACCTACCTTTTGCAAGCCTCCGTTACCTTAAATTTATATTAAGGTGGTTAAGGTATAAATCCTCTAAGGAGACTGGTTCGTTTTCAAAGCCCTAATATTTAAAAATCTCACACTGACCCCAGGAATTTATATTCATTTGTCATACTCTAAATGGCATATTACGCCATTGAAATTAGACATCAACATCTATGCTGCTGCTTTAATAAAACCTTCTTTAAGATAAAGGCATCATTGACAGGATTGTGTGCTGTAAATTCTGAAACTGTGCTCTATTTCAGGGCGAAGTCAGGAATAATCCAAGTTCACTTACTGGGATTTTGTCTAAAATTTGGGCAGTTCTCTAGGACAAAATAATGAAAAACTAACTGTGAACATGGCCTTGTAAATATAAACATATAAGATTAGATCAATGTTTCATGCAGATAGTATTTATATTTATTTCTATGCTTCCTTACCTCTTGGGAGAATAGGAAACCATTAACCCTAATTTCCACAGGAAATGAGGTGATTATGGTGATTTTGGTCAAATATTAGAGCACTGTCAGGGATTCTGTTGGTTTATGTGAGCAACCCATAATACTTGGGTTTATAGAAATAATGATGTTTATAGACGAATTCACCTGATATACTATGGTGAAGGTGAAGGGACAGATCTGGAATTGATAGCTAATTTGTGTAACTGGCCAATTAATAAATATCACTTTTACGGTCAAAAAAAGAGAGAAGGAAATAGGCTGGAGGTGTGAAAGAGCTTTGTCAGAGAGTTGCTATTGCCAAAGCTCCCAACTTTGTTCCAAGAAGACAAGTGTTTTCATGCTGCTGATAAAGACATACTCAAAAACTGGGTAATTTATAAAGAAAAAGAGGTTTAAGGAACTCACACTTCCACGTGGCTAGGGAGGCCTCACAATCCTGGCGGAAGGTGAAAGGCATGTCTTACATGGTGGCAGGCAAGGAGAAAATGAGAATCAAGTGAAAGGGGTTTCACCTTATGAAACCACCAGATCTCATGAGACTTATCCACTACCATGAGGACAGTATGGGGGAAACTGCCCCCATGATTCAGTTATCTCCCATTAGATCCCTCCCAACAACACATGGAAATTGTGGGAGCTACAAGCAAGATGAGATTTGGGTGGGGACACAGCCAAAGCTATCCTTATTGATATGGTTTGGCAAAACTATATCAACAAGGAAAGCTTTGGCAGTAAATCCTGCCACTAAATCTCACTCTGGGAACTAACCGTTTGTCTCAGTTCTTGGATTTGGCTTTGTCCTAAGGTCATGGCTTTCTGAACTGGAGGCTCTTGGCACTTTATTTGGATGCTGTGTTGGCCCCTCTCTTGCATAGGGATGACCATGCCTGGATACAACTGTGGGTTCCATCACAATTGATCTGATGTCATCCAGAGCAGAGAGAATGATCATCTTTAGAGTTCTTGCCCAACCCTAGACACAGAAGTTTATAAATATGGAGCTGTAAATTTTATTATCCCTCTCTAGCGATTCTCATGGAAGAAATAAATTGGCAAAAGTTTAATTTGTTTTATTGAAGCTCTTTCACATTCTTAAACATTTCTTTTTTTTTCTTTTCTTGAAATAGGGTCTGGGCCATCTACCTGGTTCCGCAGATTGAGGCTCATGAATGGAAGGGGGCACTAGAAAAATAAAGAGCTTGAGGTCTCCGGAAGAGATCCTGCTCTAGGTGCTGAAGTCTGCATGGGTTGATGGGGAATCATGGTTTCTTTACCTTCATTTCCTGACCTAGACTCACTGTCAGCTCCTGTGTCCTTTATCCTTGGACTTGTTTGCAAATTCTGTTTCTTGAATTAACCCCTGTTCCTTCTATCTTAACTTCTGCTGCTGAGTTGACCTTGTGTTTTGCATTGACTGTTTCTAACTCCATTTTTTACTTGACACACTGAATTTTAGCATCAACGACTCATCTTATCCAACCTGCAAGACTGGCCCATCACTAGTTTGGATTTTCATCACTTCCTGCTTGTCATGTGGTACTCTAGTCACTAAAACTGGAGAAAGGCTCCATTTTTCCTCTATTGACAGCCTTTTCTCCCCAAATCATGGATGGTGGTAGTAGTGGTAGCAGGGTATATTGGCAGCAAAACAACGTGTTTTGGTTTCCTGGTCTCATTTTCCCTGGAACGAATTTCTTAGATGAGTTTTAGTTGCTAGGAGAATTGCCTGTTTTCCTCAGGAAGATCTCGTAAGTGTGCTCTATTTAGGTTTAATTAATAAATGCATTTTCATTGGCTCTTTCTACTGTGAAATGAGCGAAGATTAGAGGCATGTCAAATCAAATAGTTCTAAAGAAATAAATTAACAAACCAATGAAAAAGCACTTTATTTTAAGCACAGAAATGTTATGCTATCAAAGCTACAGTTAAATATATAAACAATACTGTCTATTGTGTCAAATCTTATAAATCATAAACATAATTTAATCTAATGGGTATTAGCAGGAAATGCTCGTTTTTTTTTTGAAAATGAATTGTTGTTTGTATATGTAGGAAAAGAGACCAGTATCTCCCAGTGTGGAAAATGTATATTTATAATCCACTGTAGTGGTTAACAGCATGATGTTAGGAATTGAAAATCCTGGATCCTGAACCTGGCTCTGCCACTTATTAGCTGTGGACCTTGGGCAAACATCCTTATCTGGAAAATGGAAATAACAGCAGTACTGACCTCATGGGGCTGTTGTGCATTTTAAATGAATTAATATGTGTAAAGTGCTTGGTTCCATGCCCTGCATATAGTAATTACTTAATAAATATCAACTATCATCATCATTATTATTATGTGCAGGATGAAAAAGAAACTAGAGTAGAAACTCAGGAACTCTGAAAAAGACTTTAAAAAGTAATAAGAAGGCTTTGAGGTAGATTAACAAGAGCAAAACAACAAAGTAAAATGGAAGAAATAAATGTACTTTTATTTGCTTTTTAAAAATTAACAAATAATTTCAGAGATTGAAATTATTTCAAGTACTTTTCCGTGGCCAAGCATAGAGCACTGTCACATTCACTGAGTGTCTCACTCTATAAAGATTGTAATTACGATCAAGCTGGTATTAAACCAATCAAACGAGCCTGACCCAACAGTCATACATTGCTTTTCAATGTCAAGTTCTTAAAAAAAAAGAAAAATAAAGCTCTTTAATTTATGGTAATCTAATATGTGCATAGTGCTTCAAATGTTCTATTAAACCAATGTAGTCAAAACTCTAAAATTTTAAGCATTCTCAGACATAAGTTGCATCAGCCAGCCTAGGGCAGTGGCTGAAAGGTGGAGGAGGGCCGGAAAGAAAAAGAAGAGAATGCTTTATAATAGTGGGTCATTATTTCCTTTGTTATATTTTGGTTTCTTTAAAATTGTTCAGTTGCATTTAAGTCCCCAAGAACCACGAAAATTATGTTGAACAATAGCAGGGATTTGTGAAAAGATTCCTCAGATAACATTTGAAAAACACAAGCAGCCCTTGAACCTTTTTGCATCCAGTAACATCTGACAGGCTTTGTGAGCTGCAGCCACCTGCAAGAATTCTAAAATAGATGCTTTCACACAACAGAGAATTCTCAGAATTGATGTGTTAATATCATTCTCTTAATTACTTGACATCTGACCTAAGTAGTGGTAACAAGATGATTTCGGCCGAAGTGAAAGGGAGAGTTGAGGCTGTCATTCACATATTTTTGGCCACAAAATAAAGAAAGAAAAAGGACAGCTACTGAGAAAAAACTTTGTGTCATGAAAAAACATTTTATGGTATCAGTTAGACAAATTGTCTACCCAGCTGAAGTTCACTAAATAATTACTTAATCTACCACTTCATTTTTTCTGTGTATATCAGCTTAGCTTTTCAACAGCATGAAGAGTTTACTTACCATTTGGGGGTGGTGAGAAGAGAGTAGTTGGGGTAGAGGGTATGGAATCCTCAATGGAAAATGTATATTACAGTGATTTTGTTTATGGAGATTCCTCAAAGCGTGGAATAAAATATATAGAAATAAATACAGGTTTAAAAAATACTTAGAAGCCCCAGGGCTAAGAAAAACTCCAAATAATGGAAAATTCATTAAAAGATAAAAATTATAGGTCTGAAATTCAAGTTAAATCAATAACTTCTACTAATGAAAGCAAGCCTCCCTGGGTGGGTCACATCCCAGCTGCTTATTTCCCAGCCCAAGACAAGGTTTTATTTCCTATTTGTCTTCCTCTTTTTTCAAACTGTCAACACTGCAAAGCCAATACAGCTGCGGGTAAAGCAGCTGTGTGATATTCCGCCTCCCACGTCGCCAACCAAATTGCCTGCTCAGTTTTCCTTTATTACTGGTACTGGAGGGATCCCATGGCAGGGCTGGGGACTGGCTGATTCATTTACCTCTGCATCTATCAGGGAATCTCTCGCTTTAGGAACTCTCTTTCTACTCATCTTTCCCTCCCCTGTATTATTTTAGCCTTTTATTGTTAGTTATAGAAAGATCATGCTCACAAGACAGTTCTGACTCCCTGACTCCTGATTATTTCCTTAACATTTGGCCTTAAGCACAACTATGTACTTAAAAACTCCCTTTTTTGATGGCTGTATAGTACTCCTATATGGAAGAATCACAGTTCATTAACCATTTTCATACTTAAGCATGAACAATCACATAATGAATATCTATACATAAATGCCTACGTTTACTTTCTATTATTTTCATCAGGATGCCTACAAGTGCATTGCTCGATAAAAGCCTATGCAGTTTTAAGAGGTTTTTGATGCCTAGTGCCAAATTGCTTTCCTTTCTGGATCTATGAGTGTATGAGAATCTAAGCCGTTATTAATACCTCCCACATGGGAGAGAAATGTGTTTCTTTCTCTCCTTGGCATAAGGCAGGTAAGGCAGGGGCCATGTCACATCTCAAAGTTGTGGTTCCTAACTGGGCCTGACATAACCATCACCTGAGGTGCTGCCTACAAATCGGCTTCCTGGTGCCCTCACCTACAGATTCTGATGCAGTGGCTGTAGATGGGGTCTCAACTTAGTAAGTGAGTAGGCTCCCCAGGGATGCTTATGGCAGAGAAATAGGAGGTAGGAGAGATGCCCGTTGAGGGTTGGGATGAGTGGTTGAGGGAGAGAAATAACAAATTGTGTAAGGTGCTTGGGCTTGTGCCTCCAAGATACAAACTTTGAATGAAATCTTATGGCAGTGTCTGTTTCAGGGATCTATAAAGCTGGACCCCAAAGACACCCTGGGAGGAAGAAGAGGTGTGGTGAGGTGAGAGATGATATTGAAAGTAGACATCAAGAAGGGCAAGGTCAATGGGAGTGTAATAGTTAGAAAAGACTTCCTGGAGGAGTTCAGCTGAGCTTTCTGACCATGCCAGCCTGCCTAAGGATTATTCTCCAGTTGTTGAGTGTTCACACGTTTGACATTTCTCCAATTACACCACAAATTCCTATTTTGGCAAAGCTGTTGTGTGTGTGTTTGCACATACATATATACACACAGATAAATATGTAGGCTTTGCCCTTAAATCTCGTATGCATAAATTGTATGATTTCATTTGATAAGAAATGCATGAATGGATTTCTTCCTCTACCACATTAAAGTATTGCAGGTGAGTCTAAAATTATCTTTCACCATCATCACCCAGCATATACCTTGCACTCCCTGAAGTAATCAACACTGTCAACTTGGTGTGTATACTTTCATAGCTTTTTCTGTGTACGTACATCCATGTGTATGCTTGTAATGCAAATGTGTGGGACAGTGGTAAGTGTGAGCACATTTTAAATAAATAATACCAGACTGTATGCATTATTTTGCAACTTGCTAGGAAGGGATGCACATTTGGGCCCATTCTAATTTTTTTTTTTAATGCAGATACATCTAAAATCCACCTGTCCACTATCTGAATACTAGTCCGCTCTTCTTTCCAGAGGTAAGCCCTGTCATCATTTTGGAGGGCATCCCAGGCAATGGCTATATTTTATACCTCATCCGTCTCTCCACTAATTCTTTGACATCTATCTGCAGTCATAGATTCTTAGAACCAAAAGGATTTTTATAGATTATCTGCTCTAGCCCCCTTATTGTATACATGCAGAAATAGATCAAATGCCTGGTCTCGGGTCACACTTATTACCTTGGTCTTGGTTTTTGTGACCCTTAGCTAGGTGTGTTCCTCCCTTTCCCAATCTGTGTTACTCCTAGCAACTTCCACTCAAACGGTTTAAATTGAAAGCATCCTTAGTAACAACTTCATTCACAAAGAGTCTGTGAAATTCTCTCTTTTACCAAGATGTAGGCTTTGGGGAGGAAAGAATTAGACAACTAATGTCAAGCGTGAGCTGTGTCAGGAGCCGTACTTCCTGTGACTTTAAGCAACTGAGAGCACCAGGAACAGTGTGGTCCTTTGGTTTGACCTCCTGATACTGCAGGTGAGAGGAGACCTTGGCTCCAACTCTCTGAATCCCTCAGTGGGATAAGATTTTCATTTTGAGGCCAACCGTTTGAAGGCCAGCTCCCACCTTTTGGCTTTCTAACGATGTCAGAGGCAGAAAGAGCACAGCTTGACTCTTGAATTTCAGGTTCAGTCCATTTCAGGGATAAGCAGAAAGAAAAGAAGAAAGAAAGAAAGAAAAGGAAAAAAAAAACCCCTTTGGCTTACAAAGTAAGAATCTTTGAAATGAAAGTTGTGCCGAGAGTAAATATGGAGCCTCACAATACCGTCTCTGGAGCCGCGTTTCAGAACACAAGGGCACTTCCTCTCTGTAACAGAAAGCTAAGAGATGTCATGTTCCTTAATTAAAACGTATCTCAAGAGTCAGTGGGAGGCACCTGCACAGCCCCTACCTGAAGATGCCGATTTACAGAAAAACTTCCAGCCGTGGGATTCATACAAGGGACACACTGGCAATTGTGAGATTCTTTTAAAATCAGCTTCTGTCTGTCATACCTATGTAGTTACAAAATCAAAGGGGATAATAAAGTTCAATTGTATATTCACAGTTTGATATTTCTATTGACAGGTCTCACACAGAAAAACGCCATTTCAGGAAACTCTGATTCTGTGTCCCTCTATGAAAGGCACTAAAAGGCTCTCCTGGGTTGCAAATCCCCACCCAACAATCCCTGTAAATCTGAATCTATAAAGTGGCCCCATCAAGGTTCAAAGATGTCAAATTGGGCCTCCTCTCCCCAGGTTCTGTTTGTGATTTTAAAATATCCCTCTGATGGTGAGGGAAAAAGGAAACCACCCAGACCAAGGCACAACTGGGTTAAAATCCCAGATCCTAAGTAGAGAAGAGCAGTTAACCCAACCATTACCATATCCCAGAGGGGAGATTAGAACCACTTCCAGGCACTGAGGTCTGTGTAGACCACATATGACCCTTCTCTCCATCCAGCTGCCCTCTCTTCTTCTGCAGAGGGTCTGTATCAACTCTCAATGTCCTTGTGTTTTAAAAATGTCAATATATTTTGCTACTGTGGGAATATTCTTCAGGGCCACTAGAAAACCAATATGCAGGTGCTTCTAATTTTTAGAGAAGATTTTTTCTTGAAAAATTGGGGTGTGTGTTCGGCTGGATTCAAAACGAGCAAGTCTGTTCTTGTAATACTGCATGGGACTAGGCTTATGCAAGAGCAGTGCACATCTGAATGCAAAAATTAAATGGAGGAATTGGGGAGGGGGGAGAACAGGTGCTCTTTTATAAAGGCTAAATTCCATATTTACCAAACTGATTTGCATGAGGCATGTTTTCAATGAAAATATTGCTACTCATTTTGCTGCATTTGTGCAACAGAAACATAAGGATGGAGCAGAAGAAGGGTGCGGTTCTCAAGCTGTCTTCTTGTACCTACCCTTCAGCCGGCACTTACATGGCACATTTGGGAGATTAGCTCATAAAACTCTGACTTCCTACTACCAAGAGAGCAGGACTCTGGGTTTTTTCTGACCCCACGATGCAGCCTCTGGGTCAAGGTCATTTGTTCCATTGACTATCACCAAGTTAAAACACCTAAATTATCTCAAGAGAAGAATTATATTCCAAGTTAATTCCATGCCTTCTCTTAGTAATCTAAGCCAATGTTAATTCTTACTACCAAGAATGTCTTCCTCCTGTTTTAAAACTTTTACTTATGCTTTACTTCCTCCTATGTAAATCCAAAGTGAAAAAAATGCTTTCGACTGTATACATTCTCTCATTTACATTCTTAAATCAACCCTCTGATGTAGCTACTATTACATCTCCATTTCACAGATTCCCCAGTGAGGAAGAGGCAGAGAGAGATTAAGACAATGTATCTGGGTCACCCAACTGATACATGGTACAGCTTTGAACTCAATCATCTGACTCCAGAGTCTATATTCACTTCACCACAAGATGCTACCCAGCAGTCTCAGATACGATCAGCTAGTGACACCCACCAGGGAAGCTCCAGAGAAATGGAACCCATACCAGAAACAAGAGGCAGAAATTAGAATAAGGTTGGGTCAGCAAGTGGCTGATGGAAGGTGCTGGAGCAATGGTTGGTGGATTGCCGTACAAATATACATGTAGTCACTTGCAGGAGGGAAGGTGCCAGAGCCGGTATCCTAGATATTTATAACCTATGTATCCCCAGACTCCAGAGAGGGCTCTGACACGGCAAATCAAGTGGCCCTATCTCTTTAGGCAGCTCCCCAAGGAACTGAAAATTTCCAGGTCACCATGGAGTTTCTGATGATCTCTGAGAATTTGCTCTGAAAAGGTCTTTGAGAGGTGAAGCTCCAGAATGCTTCATTCTTTCTTTGTTGGAGTCGGACAAACTCAGAATCAGTTCAGGCCTCAGGGGTTTTCCCTCTCTTAAGGACTTAGAGGATCCAGGCAGAGCCTTGGGTTTCAGGATAAGGATTGGGGCCACACACTGTGGTGTCCAACATTTTGGGACAGCAACTGAGATAATGCCCCTTCTTGGCTTGCAGCTTAAGTAGAAAACACACCGGAGAGCTACACACACAGCACACCCTTGAGGAGGCTGACAGCGTCAGTGTTTATGTCTGAGGCCAATGAAAACTGGCACTCCCTCACAACCCCACAGGTTTCAAACAATCAGCTCTTCTTTTCCAATGATTGTGGACTCATCTGGTTTGCCCCACCATTTTCTTTGTGTAGCTGTGGAAACTCCATACCGGCTTGCATTTGCTTTGGTCAATGGCTCTTTAATCTTACATCTCTCTCTCTCTCTAGTATTTCTGTTTATACAAGCACCAAAACTTAAAATGGTTACAGTGGACATTGGACAAAATCAGGGCTTCCAAAATCACCCCAAATTGACCTCTAACATTTCCCATAAATGTCCTTGGACCTTCACTAAATCACCCTCTGGGATTTCCACCTGGAACCTCAGATCCGCTTGGGGAAGGCTATTAGGAAAATGTTCTATGCTTGGAAATAAACAGTTTTGGGGAAGATTTAATCCCTCACTGGGGAAAAAACAAGCAGATAAAATCAGGGTCCTCTAACTGTCCATAATCTGCAACAAGTACGATTTTAATTCTCTGCATAAAATTTTTTTATTTTTAAAAAAGTAGGACTTCAAGTGTGGAGATATGGAATTCCTCAATCCCTGCAGCCCGCCTTAAAGACACCCGTTTCTGTGACCTACACAGCACAGGTTGTGACCTGTTAATGTTGCTATCTGTATGCTTCTTAGTGGGAACTGGCAGATGGAGGAATATTATATATGACCAAGTAAAAAATCTGAAGAGTGAAACATAATTCAAGTATTTCCTTCTCACTGACTGACCTGCAGACATGAATTCATCATCCTAAAGGCAACCCCAGCGATTGCTTTCACATTTGTCTTTCAGGAGAGATTCTCTGAATATATACGTTTGTGATGTATGATGTACGTTGAGATAAGTGAGGTGTTTTTCTTTTCACTAATAGCAGCATACTATATACATTTCAGTGGTTAAAGCACAAGCTTTGGACTCTGGAGTTTGGGTCGGAATCCTGGTTCTGCTGTATAGTAGCTGTGTGACCTTGGGCAAGTTACTTAACCTCTCTGGGCCTTAGTGTCCTCATCACAGAAACTGAGATGTACCATTAGTATGGTACTACTTCATATGACTTGATGATTAAATTAATTAACAAGTGTGAAGGATTTAGAACAGTGCCTGCAACATAAATGGTAGCTTTCTTTCGTACACTATAGATCTTGGAATTTTTCCTATACTCGTTTGTTGAGATGTAGCTCTTTGTTTTTACTGGCTGAATACTGCTCTATCATATGGAAATACAAAAGTGTATTTAACCCGTAGCCCATTGATGGACATCTAGATTGTTTCCAGACATTTACTATTATAAAGAACGCTAGTACTACTGTGCATACATTCTAAAAGAATAAAGAATTCATAGAAGTGAAATTGCTGAGTCTATTTCATTACACTTAAATTTTTGATAGACATTGTCAACCGTCCTTCCAAAACCTGTCTTTCAATTTATATTCTCAGCAACGACGTACAGGACTCTTGCCTATCACAACTTCTTGATCTTTATCAATCTGACAGGTAAAAATAGTTTCTTGAAGTTTACTTTTATTTTATTATAAGTGAAGTTGAGCGTTTTTTCCCAAGTGCTATACTCGTTTTTCCATTGGGTTGTTGGTCTTTTTCTCATTGAGCAGTCTGTTTCTTAAACCAGAGAGCCCTGAGTTACATATGAAGGCTTACGTGAATGATTGGATTTGCCTCCTGCTTGATCTCACTTAAAGTCTCATTAGCCTGTGCAAAAAGGTTTTCACTATGGTAATTTTATTTGAAATGTTCAACAGTACAAATTTGATCACTGCAAGGATCCCTTAGCACTCATGCAACCTTATCTGCCATGCTGAGGAATGAGAGTTTATTGCATCATAAAAAAGTTACCCTCTGCTTGTGTTAGGGAAGTATCAAAATTTTTATGAGCTCTTCTTAACTAAAGTTATCAATAAATAACACACAGTTCTTGACGGGGCTAATCTTAGATTGATGTGACTTATTTGATAAATCAACACCATAAAGAAACTCTTGGCTCAGTGGTCTGATTGTTCAAGGAGGAAAGAAAGATTCTAACTCTGAGTTACTAAGTCAGACTCCAACAGTGAAAAATAGACTAGCATTTCAACCTTCTGAGAATTGACCCCCGCTGGCCAAGGAATTACTAGAATCGGGTTCCCTCTGCATCCAGGTTGTTATGGCGTTACAGCACAGTGCCTCCTTGTAACCGTGTTACCTATTTAATCTGCCCCCAGAGGAGGCCAAGTTTGCAAGGTCTTTTCCAGTGGTTCTCACACATGAATGTTTATCAGGATTGTCTAGGAAGCTACAGGTTTTTGTTTTGTTTTGTTTTGAGATGGAGTCTTGCTCTGTTGCCCAGGCTAGAGTGCAGTGGCAAGATCTCAGCTCACTGCAACCTCCACCTCCCAGGCTCAAGTGATTCTCCTGACTCAGTCTCCCCAGTAGCTGGGCATGCACCACCACGCCCGGCTAATTTTTGTACTTTTAGTAGAGACTAGGTTTCACCATGTTGGCCAGGCTGGTCTCGAACTCTTGACCTCAAGTGATCTGCCTGCCTTAGCCTCTCCAAGTGCTGAGATTACAGGCGTAAGCCACTGCGCCTGGCCAGGAAGCTACCCTTTTAAACAAAGCCACAGGCGATTCTGAAGCAGGTAGTCAAAAGGCACACTGGGACACTGAGTGTGCAAAAGCCATGCTAACTGAGTTTCAAGGGATACAACCTGGGAATTTCAAAATTTCAAGGGATACAACCCAGGAATCTTCATCGTACAGGCATGCCTGCTGACCCGCATGCACCCTGAAGTCAAAGAATCTCTGTGCTAGGGAGGCATGTGATTGTCACAGCTGTGAAGAGTCTGATGGAGTTGGAAGGATTTTTTGGAATGCGACCTCCAATAAATTTAGAATCCTTAATTATGATTAAATTAAAGTTTTCCTCATCCCTGCAGCTAGTCTTTGGGCTTTCAGCATCTATCGTACCTTGCTCCCCTATCCTCACCACCGCATGAAATTATAAGATGAATGAATGACAAGAGATCTGTCCACAAGGGGAACTGGCCATCATGGGACACGGAGAGTGGTGAGGGGTTTCTCCCTGACATGTTCCTCTTTGATGTCTTGCCCTTAATTGGGAAAACACAGCCTGAAACTTCATCTGAGATGTTCCCGGCACTCTCCATTTCCTCATGGAGAATTCCTGTTTTGGAATAAGTAGCTCCACACCTAAAAAGGAGACCCTCTTTTGAGAATCATCCAGTAAGGAGAATAACAGCTAACATCGAATTGTGCCAGGCACAGAGCTAAGTGCTTTTACATACGTTATTACAATACTCCTAAGAAGTAGAATTGTTATGATTATTATCCCATTTTATAGATGAGATGCTGAGACTTGGGTAGGTTAAACAACTTGGCACAAGTCACACAGCAGGTAAGTGGTAAAAGTATTTGAACTTGGTTGTCTGACTCCAGAGTCCCTACTTTACTACTCAAGGGAGTGTTGCCCAGTAGTAGTTTCTGATCCTCATTAATTGTATTTTAGAGCTACTACTCAAAATACAACTGGAACTGGCAGCATGATTTCGTTGAACAAAAGGAGCTCAAAAATCAAAAAGCTCTGGAATGCTTCTGACCTTGATACCCTGTGGAAATCAGTTTCTTTTACTCTTTCTGACCGTATGTAAGAAGTGATGATGGTTTGTTAGGATACTTGTAAAACGATTTGGTCTGTGTAACTGTATATGCATGTGCAAACATAATGCAACTTAATAGTTTAAAATGGGCCTGGCAGAGGGATCAACCCAAAAGGTGGTAGAGATCCTTTTAAACCAGCTGTGAGTGTCACAGGGGAACTAGAATAAGCGTGGGGGTAGGATGCAGAAGGCTTGCTTCTCATCTCACCTCTGCCAATAACATGTATGATTCGGACAATTAGGTCACATTTCTGAAACTCATTTTGTCAATTGTAAAATAAAAAGAATCGATTAGATAAATAGTTTAAAATGTTTAACACAATAATATCCAATATATTCTCACTATTTGAAAGACCTGAACAACATGACTGACAAGAAAGTCCTCATTGATTCCCACCCAATTCTTCCAATCCCGTGAGTGCTAACTACTGTAAACAACATGTTGCAGTGCACAGTTCCAGTTATTTTTATCAAACATGTATATTCCTTCACAAATATATAAACATTTCCTCATTGTTATTTTATATAAATGACATCAGATTAGTAGATCCTATTCACTTTTTGAATTTCAAGAACCCAGTGAAAGCTAAGGATCTTCTCTCCCCTACAATGTACATGTATACAGCATTTTGTATAGAAAATCTATAAGGATATTCATGGATCCCTTAAAGCTCATCCATGGATTTCCTATCCATGCATTCTAGACTAAGAAACATGGACTAGGGTTATCTTAGTCCATTTTTTGCTGCTATAACAGAATACCACAGACCAGGAAATACATAAAGAACAGAACTTTATTCAGCTCATGGTTCTGGAGGTTGGGAAGTCCAAGACATGGCACTGGCATCTGGAGAGAGTCTCATGGCAGAAGGGCAGAAGGTGGAAGTGTGTGAGACAGAGAGAGAAAATAGGGCTGAACTTGCCCTTTTTATCAGGAACCCACTCCTGAGATAACTAACCCCGTCCCTCAATAACAGCATTAATCCATTCATGAGGGCAAAGACTTCCTAAAGGCCCCACTTCTTACTACTGTCATGTTAGCAATTACATTTCAACATGAGTTTTGGAGGGAACATTCAAACCATAGCAAGGGCTATCCAGTTCAGAAATTATGTTCTATAATATTAAGTACAGAGCCATTCCATGTTTTTATGCTATGCTGACCTCCCCTCCCTCATTCCTTTTCACACAAGAACATATGCTTTGTGGATGAAGACAAGGATGATCTGTTAGTCAAAGTTGAACTCCCCTCCAATACAATAAGTAGCTCTTTTCTTTGTCTGCTGCTTTACTGGCCTGAGAAGCCCAAAGTAACCGGTGGCAGTACAACTTCAAGTTTCCTGGAGCCCTTACTGCAGCCCCTGGCACCTGGATGACTGAGAACAGAGCTGGCTGATATTCATATGAAGAGTCATACTGTCCACCTGGTTGTTGAAAGCCTCCTTTGTGAGGAGTGCTTTTTAATGAGCACAAAGATCCCATAGACTCAGCCATGGAGCTCTTCTGCAATACTCCCTCTCTCCAATGTTGCAGTTTTATTCCTTATGGGCTATGAGCTACCCAGCCCAGTCATTGCCACTGACCAGGAGTTCCTTCATAAACTTCCCTCATTTGAAGTGAACAGCCACGTGTACTGCTTGAATCTCTCCAGGCTGAGAGAATATCCCTTCACTGCTGTCCTTCAGAACCATCTTGGAGTGAGCCTGCAATACAGCAGAAGTCCACTCTCAGCCAGCACAAATATATAATGCCAACATGTCAGCAAATTTGGCCTAAGTTCTTTCCTTTTCCTTCATTTGGACAAAGGAGGTTCCCAAGAGCACTTAGGTGTGGGCTGAGGGGGAGGGTTTGGTGCAACAAGGTATGCAATGTGGGAGTCTGGGCTACCTTTCCATGTAATTTACTTGTGCCTTCCCGACCTGCCTGGGCTAGATCCTGAATGTATCATATCTGTTTCACAATGGATTGCTGCTGTGCTCCATTTTCCATGTCATCTTTCATTAACTCTCCCAATTATCAGTTTTATTAAAAGCATAACATGGGACAAATACTCTTGTAGAAAATTTATGCAAGAAGTTTATGCCAGAGAAAACACCTAGACTGAACACTTCATGTGAGAACTGCACTGTAGGATCTGGCAAATTCTGGGCAATTTCAGCCTGCAAAGTTCATTCATTTATCCCACAACCACTGACACTTTTCCCCTTTTCCTAAATGAATGTGAAATCTTGGGGCGCATGGGCCTCTGTGTTTGTCCTCAGCCTGGAACTTCATTCATATCTAGAATGTAAAGTTGCCCCAGAATTTGTCCTTTGGTTATATCAAGCCATGGTTTCTTGTCCTTTCAGATCTGTGAAAGCCACTGGCTTGGCCCTGGCTTTTGCTAGTCACCCAAAGGCACGAAGTTGGTTCAAGAGTCCCAGGACACCTCCCCAGTGTCAAACTTGAGCTTTCAATGGCGGCCTCAGGCTGGTTTCTGTTTTGCCCCATCACTAATTCCTCTTGACCAGGGAGGCACTTTCCTTCCCCAGATGGATTATCCACTGAGTCTTTCCTTTTCAGTCCTACATCACTTCTCTATAGCATGTCTTGCTAGTACAATCATATTAGAAGTACTGTAAGCATTTGCCCCATTGATCATGCTATTAAAAGATGTTGCCATCTAATTCTTTGGGTTTTTTTTTTTTTTTTTTTTTTTTTTTTTTTTTTTGTGAAGGAGTTTCACTTTTGTTGCCCAGGCTGGAGTGCAGTGCAATGGTGCGATCTCAGCTCACCTCAATATCCGCCTCCCCATTCAAGTGATTCTCCTGCTTCAGCCTTCCAAGTAGCTGGGATTACAGGCATGCACTACCATGCCTGGCTAATTTTGTATTTTTAGTAGAGACAGGGTTTCTCCATGATGGTCAGGCTGGTCTTGAGCTCCCGACCTCAGGTCATCTGCCCACCTTGGCCTCCCAAAGTGCTGGGATAACAGGTGTGAACCACCGGGCCTGGCCATTGCCATCTAATTCTTAAAAAGCAGAAAGCTAGCATGTAAGATTCTTCTGATACTTCTTGCTCTTAATGTTTCTCTTCTCCTGCTCTGACTTGGGACACTGAGTGGTGATTATAATTACTTTATAACACAATGGAATGGATTGTTATAGCAGAATAAAATGTTCCAAAGGAGTACTTAATTCCATCAAAGCATCCCTTATCCAAGTTTGCTAACTTAAATGAAGAATTGTTAACGTATTCTCTTTCATTTGTCAAATGTCCTTCCTGACCTTTCATTGTTTCACATTTTGAAAGGAAATTATGGTAAAATTGTCTGAGCCACCCTCCTCTGGATCCAGTGTCTTATTTAGTTCTGTATTTTGGGCTTACCACGGGCGGGAACTATCTACACAACCCAGATCCCCTTTCACCTAGGAGCCTACCAGAGCACGTGCAGGGGCAGCAGATGTGTATAAGGGCCCCCATGAATCCGTTCATTTTCTCATTGACTCTGTGACGAACTCGAGGGGGCTAGCTCTGCCCTGTGGTCCCCTGGGCGCCTGACACCGTGTGCCTCTCCTGCTGTGCTCACGGACTCTTTGTTAGACTTTTCAAATATAAAAAATCACAAACTGATAAATATAAAAAAAAGAGCAAACTAGAGTGGGGGAAATGGGTTTTGTAGAAAAGCATCTACAGAATTTTAGGGTCTATCTTTAGGAAAGGGTAAAACTCCAAGTGACTGCGTAGTTCCAAGGATCTACCTTTTCTCTGGCATGAGGTGGTCAGAGAGGCTTCCCTGCGAAGGCAGGGCTTAGAAGGGTCTGTAAATGATGGGAAGGAATCAGAAGTAGAGGCAAACTAAGCTTTCTAGATTGGGAAAGTGGGAGCACAGGGTCCAGAATATTATGGGTTTTTTTTTGTTTGTTTGTTTTTTAGATGGAGTCTTGCTCTGTCACCCAGGCTAGCGTTCAGTGGTGTGATCTCAGCCCACTGCAAGCTCCACCTCCCGGGTTCAAGCAATTCTCCTGCCTCAGCCTCCTGAGTAGCTGGGATTACAGGTGCCCACCACCACACCCAGCTAATTTTTGTAATTTTAGTAGAGAGGGGGTTTCACCATCTTGGCCAGGCTGGCCTTGAACTCCTGACCTCGTGATCCACCCTCCTCAGCCTCCTAAATTTCTGGGATTACAGGCATGAGCCACCGTGCCCAGCAACATTATAGTTTTGTGAGAGAGAACTAGATCGTTGGGGCTCTAGGACAGGAGTGGGAGGGGAGGTGGGGCAGATTTGAGAAGGGTGTGGAGGTCCTAGAATGTCACACGAGGTGGGTGGGATTGTATCCTGGAGAGGTGGGGGTTGGGGGGTTCTTGGATGATTTCTAAGAAGAGTAGCAGCATGACAAAGGGAAGTTCTGTGGAGGTGAATCTGCTGATGGGATATGGTGTGAACCTAGACTTAGGAGAGACCCGAGGTAGGAAAGCTCGCCCAGGCATCAAGGCCACAGTGACTGGAACGGAAGGGAAGAAGTGAGTCTGAGGGCCATTGTTGTAGGTGTGTTCTTTGCACAGCACCCTCACTTCCTGCATGGATGCTTCCATCCCCATTTCAATGGCCTCAGGGATTGGCTCCAGGGTGATGGCATTGGACACAAGCAGAACCAATTGAATTTTGAGTCTAGAACAGGAGGAAGCCTGGGCATTTAGGCCACAGAGGTGGAAGATACAGGCCATCTTCAGTGCCGGGAGGTCAGATGGGAATGAGGCCACCCCACAGGCAGGAGACTACTGCAACAATTTTATCCTAGGCATCAGGTGTGTTGAGCACAGTGACTAGCACACAGATGCATCTATATTTTTGATGGATGGATGGATGGATGGATGGATGGATGGATGGATGGATGGATGGATGATGCAGGACAGAGGGGGAAGTGTCAGAGTATGGACATTCATTGTTTTCAAATATGACATGTTGGCCAGACATGATGGCTCACACCTGTAATCCCAGCATTTTGGGAGGCTGAGGAGGAAGGATAACTTGAGTGGGGGAGTTTCATACCAACCTGATCAACATAGTGATACCCCTTCTCTACAAAAAAAGTTTTTAAAAATTACCTAGGTGGCCCTGGCCTGTAATCCTAGCTACTCAGGAGGCTGAAGTGGGAGAATCGCTTGAGCCTGGGCAGTCAAAGCTGCAGTGAGCTATGATCGTGTCCCTGCACTCCAGCCTGGGCAACAGAGCGAGATCCTGTCTCTAAAAATAAAAAATAAAAATATGCACACAAATATAACATATTTGATTTTTACATACTTTATGAGTAAATTTCTGTCTAATCCTACCACACAATTACATCTATTCACTGCTGTGAAATTGGTACCAATATTCATACAGGAAATAACTGAAAATACATTTCAGCCCCATTAAAAGATGGCACTGCACCGTGTGATCTGTGATCACTTATATTAGCACAGTGTTACAGTCTTTTACCAAAGATTGTCAGCTGCTTGAGGGCCTCTTCTTTAGAAGTTTGCTTTCTTTTTTTTTTTGGATGTGTACGAAACTTCAGTTGGGCTAGAGCAGCAGAAGCAAAACTTGCAGCTTTGTGAAAACACAGCCTCCAGAGGGCTTCACGGGTGGAGGAGTGTGACCATGGCGCCAAAGCACACAGCCCATGTCCTCTCTTGCCCTGTGTCACTGACACTTTTCCCATGCAGAACTGTGGTTCATACCCCTCCCCTTGAACATGGGTCACCTTTGACTTAGTTGCAACCAAGAGAATGAGGTGAAAGTGACTTTGTGTGATTTCTGAGGCCAGGTTGGAAAAGGCAGGCAGCTTCTGCCTCATTCCTGCAACACTGACACACGGACCTCCTGCTGCCATAAAAGCAGTCTAACTGTCCCAAGGCCACCATGCTCTGAGGAAGCCCAATCTAGTCCACAGGGGAGAGCACATGAAGAAGCCTAGGGCCACAAAACAAGAAGGAGAGAAATGTCTGTCCAGCCCCTGGCTGTTCCAGATCCCTCACTGGGAGTGGGTGGTTCTGGCCACTGTCTCACTGCACCTGTAGAGAGAACTGCCTGATCAAGCCCTTCCTGAATTCCTGACCCACAGAAACCATGAGGTAATTTATTACTCAGAGATAATGACCAAAACATTCATATAGTCATTGGAAGGGGGTTTTAGTTACCATAGGATTTTCTGATATTCTGGAAAATTTGCCAGACCCCAGATCTATTTTGCCAACTCTAGAATGGACCCTTCCTCAGCATAATTGCTTTCATCTGTGCCAAGAAGCAAATGCTTAGGATATCTCACATAGACAGTTTAAGGTGCCTGGAGTATGGCCCTCTGCCTCCAAAAAGAGATATGAGAACATATATTAAACCTCTATTGAAAGATATGCTTCTGTGCAATTAGGAGGACTCAAATACTAATGTAAATTGCCTAGATTTGTTTTTCATCATTACTCTAACAAAGACAGAAAAAAATGAATTATTTATTATGTTAGCTTTAACTACTAGAAATGTAAAACAGTTACATATATACCAATGTGAGGCTTGTTATCGTCTTAATTTTCCAATAACAATGAAAAATTTTTGACAGTGCACAGATTAGGCACTGAATAAATGTTCCAGTAAGATTACATTATGTAGCTTTTGTAACTCAATGTGGTGGAATATTGCACTTTCCTGCCACTGAAAATAGAGTGAAATGCGGTTATTAGAATTATTGCAATATCTATATGCACATTTTCAAATATAAATGGCATACTATAAACATAAATCATTCAACTCCACTGTGATTATGTTGAAATAATACAACATGGACATAAATGAAGAGAAATGATGTTGAACTGCCTTTACAGCTACAAGATTTAAACTTCTACCATAAAGATCAGAATTATAATTGGAAAACTGAGTAAATACTGTGGCGGCAGTTTTAACATGAGAAAAGTACCAATTTCTATGCAACTGAAATTGTAGATATACATTCCTATTTATCTCACCAGGCACTTCCTTCACACTCACAAAATAGTCACATCACTAGCAGAAATGAGGTAGGATGTTAGCTTAAGTGGAAGATAAAATTTAAATCTGGCAAGGTGGGTAAAAACTAAGAAGAAGGAATGGTTTTGTTTGAAAGGCTCCAAATAAAAAGCAAAATACAGGGGTCCCTTAATGTACCATTATCTATATCAGCCCACACGAAATCAGGAGCAGTGGTACTTACATGTCAAATATATAGATTTTCTACATTTTTCAAAATGAGTGAACTTTGTAACCTCAGCTGCACTCCAGCTGTCTGACCCCACACGGCCACCACAACACAAGAGGGTGAAATAAAGACTAGGAAAGCGTGAAAATTGCTTCTTGTCGTGAAGGGACCGAGGCAGGAAACCAGCAAGGCCTGCTGATTGATTCCAACAAGGCCATTTACAGAGTCACCAAGGCTCTTGTCCCATTTTGCAACAGTGGGCAGCAATGAACATTCGGGGTGGGGAGGGACGAGAAGAGGAGAGGCAGGAAGCCCAAGAAAAAGGGTAAAAGCCATTCTGTGACCCTCTTGGCCTCACTGATAAGGCAAATCATTTACAGCTGTAAAGAGCCCTGCTGAGCCTTCTAGAGCTTCTAGGCCAGCGGCTCTCAGCCCTGTCAAGCCAGCGCCAATGCCTGTTCATAGGATGGATCTCTTATAATGCGCCCTTTACTATCTTAACATGAAATTCAACCTGCCTAGACAAAGAATTTTTTAAAGCCCATAAAACGGATGAACCATAACATGAAGGCATATAAAAGGCAGTAATGAATAATAACATGAGATGTATTTCAATAGACAGATGCTCAGGCCTGGAGACTCCTATCAACTACATGTGGAAGCACCCTGAATGTGAGAGCAGCAAACAGACTTAGAGTGCTGGATTGTACCGGTGCATTCAATACTATCAGCTGTGTTGGAATTGGTGGTGCGATTTTCTAATTGGGAACAACTTCTGTTCAAGTTCCAAATGAAACAAAGTGCAGCCTCCCTTGGTTTACACAATATCCCTAAAAAAAAAGAGCATTTCTAAATCTATACAAAATACTTCATGCTTATGCATAAAAGGGTATATGTATTTTTAAAAGGTTGTCCATCATAGTTTCAGGTGATCACAGATGGTGTTTTACCAGTGTGAATGTCCATTAGGGAATATTTGAAAGTTGAGCAGAAGGCGTAGCAATTTTTCATTTCACAGGGCTAAAGCATCCAGCTCCCGACTCTCACTAAACGCCAGTAGCACACATATACCCCATCCCTGCGGTCATTTTAGTGATGAATTTGTCCCCACGATTTTCCAAAGCATCACCGATTTGGATGAATCAAAGCTCTGGCTTTTATTTCAATGGGGGTCACACTCTCCCAACCGACAAGAGTCTATCTTTGTTGGTTTTGGAGAAAGAAGAACTGGCGTGGAAGAGGCGGCCTGGAAACCAAGCCAGAACAGGAACCCAAACACCAAAGACTCTGAAGCTGGAGTAGAGGCGCTGCGGGCCCCAGCAGAGTGTCCTGCCAGAGTTTGCTGGGATGGAACGCCCATCCCAACAAAGCTGTGAGCTGGGAAGGCAGAATTGAAAGTCTCAGGCCTGCCTGAGCCGCTCTCCTTAGCTTCATAGAGTTAAGAATGTTCATAAAAAGCTACTCAAGACTGTTGTTCTTGAACCTCCATGTTACTTTGGAACTGTGTGGCCATGGTAAACCCAGAGAAGGGAAAGAACGATACTGTTTATAAGAATCTGATAATGTCCTTATCTTCCACTTGCAGTGTATATTCCGTCTCTGATCCTCCCATGGAGTGTAGTGAGGAAAAAACAGGATGCCAGGCCCTTGGTGGTCTTGTCCTCAGAGTACTCTGCCCCCTCCGCAAGGAGAAAAGTTCGTCATTGAGCCGATTTTTTCAGAGGGTCAGAATGGCTCTGGCCTTGTTCTCATTCCTTCACCCTTTCTAGGGATGTTGTTGTTTTTTCATGAACTGTGTTAGATTCTCAGCATGGATGCTGTTTGCCAAGAAAAATGTCTCTTTTCCACACACACAAAAACAAAAGGTTGGGGTTTCTGTGCCATGGGGTCCAAAGGTATTTCCACCAGCATTACCCATGAGCATTCCCTTCTGAAGCTGGCGGGGGGCCCTGGCCAGAGAGGCAGGCATGCCTGGGTATCCAGGAACAAGCTCCGTCTCCTCCCACTGAAGACAACGGTGATGGGGACTGTCAGGCTGGTGATCCCACGAGTAGCAAATGTGTGGGCGTAGTCACTGACCAAGTGCCCCAGCGAGTGATGGCGGGAGGCGTGGCCTGCTGGGCCACTCTTCCCCACAGCAAAGCAGCTCACCGCAACTCTGCGTCTTGGGCTCATTCTGGGTTACCCTGTGAGAAGAAGTGTTGTTTCCTTTTACTTCGCCATCTCCTCCTTCCCCTTCCCAGTTAACCTTTCCAACAGTAGGAAGACTGTGGTCCTCCATGTCCCTCAAGCAGCCCAAGTCTTTGCAGGGGTATCCAATCTTTTGGCTTCCCTGGGCCACAATGAAGAAGAAGAATTGTCTTGGGCTAGACATAAAATATAGTAACACCTACAATAGCTGATGATCTAAAAAAAAAAATCGCAAAAAATCTCATAATGTTTTAAGAAAGTTTACCAATTTGTGTTAGGCCACATTCAAAGCCATCCTGGGCTGCAGGTTAGACAAGCTTGCTCTAGAACATAATTTTTCTTCTAATAAACCCAGGAACCCCTCCCTTACTCCAACTCAGCTTCCTTTCTCCATTTAATGGCAACTTTCTATGCCTCTCTGCAAAGATCTTTCCAATCTTACTACATGTACAATGTTATTTGGCCCTATCCGAGGGATCGTAGTCAGACGTGGACTCATTAGTGAGAATCTGTTTTAGTCCTGTTAAGCCTTTGGCCATCGATTCTGAGGGGCTTGAGACCAGGCTGCCTGTAACACTAGGTTCCACTGGCTCTGGCACCCTCTGTTGCTCTTCCTCCTTCGGGCAGCCTCTTCTGCAACGTTTCTGTGGCACAGTCCAGCCTGAATTTCAAATGTCCTCCCAGGCCCTGTCCACTATTTCCTGAAAGAACACCCATTTCTGGGAGCTTGTGGCCTCTGCTGGTAAAACCAACACTTGACTGATTGCTGGTATCCCGAACGAGCTTAGCCATTTACAGATACTGTTTGAGCAGATGGAACGGAGGTGCGAGTCGCTGATTAGACCACGCAAATTCACCAACACCCTCTGTTGCCCTTTCAGGAAGTAACTCAACATTTAAATAAATAGCCTATTGATGTTGGCTTACCCGCCAACCTCCAGGGACCTTTTTGCTTGGTTTTCTGTATGGATTTCTATCAGGAACCTTCAGTCTCAAACCTCCTGCTGCCCTCAATCACAGTGAAGCTGATTTCAAAGACATTTCCACAACTTTATTCTCACACTAGATGCTATTCCAGGGTCCATCACAGCCTGTGCTGGGTCTATTTGTGTCCCTTGTATCACGGATCTACAATTTGGCACTCACTGGGAGCGTGTACCCCTGGCTCAGTTGTAAGGGAGGGGTTGACACTGAGATGTACCTGTGGACTGCCTCCAGTTCAGACTCTCCTGGATAGACTTCAGTATCAGCTGAAGTCACACTGCGCCTTATGGTAAAACTTAGTCCAAACACCAATGTGGAAAGTGCAAGGGCTTTTTGAAATTTCTGCAAATCCCGGCGGGCTTAAATTCTCATATTCACTTCTATCTGAGCTTCTGCTACCACTAAATTAGTTCAATTTATGGCTTGCTTTGTCAACTCATGGGTACTGTCCCTCCTGGGTGTGAAACTCAGCTTCTTTTCTTGACACTCAAGTACTGTGCAAGTTCCTTCAGTGATCCATTCATTCATAAATCATGCATGTTCTCATGGAGCTTATGTTTTACTGAAGGAAGACGTGCAATAAAGCAGTAAGACAATAAACAAGTAAATATATGGTCTGTCTGATAGTATTGGTGCTACAGAGACTGAGAACATTTCATGAAAATGTCAGCTCCATAAGGGCGGGGAATTTGTTCGTTTTGTTGTTTTGTTCATTAACCTATTTTCAACACCTAGAATAGGACTTGGCACATGGTGGTGAATATTTATTAGGTGAATAAAAGGGGAAAGGGAATAATGGTAAATGTTTGACTACAGGCTCTCTGGGTGAAAGTGTGTGGATGTATATGTGTACATTATAAATTGTACATTTTATTTAAACATGTGTTATATATCACGATTATATATTTTATATTTATTATGAATTTTACTATATAAAGAATTTGTAGCACACAGTTTACAAATAATAACAACATACATGATACTCTTCATTCTAAATTCCATATAGCTTACTGATTCTCTGATTTTTGCCAAACTCTTACATCCATACCTATGCTCTGGTTGAAATGGACAAATGAATGTCTTTCCAACATGAATACTAATCGATAATTTTATCTATTTTAAGAGAAGACAAAAATGAAATAATAAAGAGGTATGTCAAAACTACTCCCATTCAGCAATGACATGAATGGCTTCATTGCTGATGTGGAAAATAGTATTTAAATATCAAAAGGATATTTTCTAATGTTTTGTACTTTCCCTAATGTAATTGCTACAGATATGACACATCTGCATCATTAACGCTAAATATGGGCAATAAACAAAACAATAAAATTAAGCCCTACTTTGCACTTACAGATTTCCATGGTGTAAATACTCTTACCATGACTGATTTCAAACCATCAGCTTGATGCTACTCACCAAGAATTGGGAGAGACACAGTAGCACATCGTTGTATAGTATTTCAGCCATATGGATTAGTGGTGCTCAGCAGGAGGCAATTTTGTACCCCAGGGGAAATGGGCAATGTCTAGAGACTTTTTTGGTTGTCACTAGACATTGTGTTGGGCGGGATGCTATTTGCATCCAGTGGGTGGAGGCCAGGGATGCCACTAAACGTCCTACAATGCAGAGGAGACCCCCAAACAAGGAATTATTTGGCCCAAAATAACAACTGTGCCAAGCACATCAAAAGCATAGGCAATAGTAAAATGTAACAAAATAGGAAGTAATTTTTGAGAATTTACTATCTTTGTTTTTAGTATAATTTAGTTAATTGTGAATTTATATAATTCAATTTTTTAAATGCCGTGTTTAATAACCAGTTTTCAAAATTCCTAAAAATTCAGCAATCAGTAGTTCTTACATATCCATATGAGCTAGCTCCAATACACCACCAAGATAAGACATAGGGGGAGGTTTCAAAAGAAAGCAGCAATTAGTCTGTGTTGCCATATTATTATTTGTTTGGGGACTTAATTATTTTATATAACGTGGTCAGGGAAGGTTTTATTTAGAAAGTGACTTTTCTTTTCTTTTTGAATCAGGGTCTCACTCTGTTGCCCAGGCTGGAGTGCAGGGTATGACCTCGGCTCACTGCAGCCTCCACCTCCTGGGTTCAGGCCATCCTCCCACCTTAGCCTCCTGAGTAGCTGGGACTGCAGGCTGTGCCACCATGCCTGGCTAATTTTTGTATCTTTAGTGGAGACAGGGTTTCGCCATGTTGGCCAGGCTGGTCTCAAACTCCTGGGCTCGAGCAATCTGCCTGCCTCAGCCTCCCAAAATGCTGGGATTACAGGGTTGAGCCACTGCGCCTGGCTTAGAAAGTGACTTTTGAACTTAAACCTGAAACAAGTGAGGGGTGAGCTCTGTGGCCATCCAGACAGGTGGAATGGCATCTTCAAATGCCTGCAAACCTGAAGTTTGCTTGCCACGTGTCAGGAACAGACAGGAGGTCAGTGTGGCTGGATATGAGTGGGAGAAAATGGGCTCAGATGGGTTTAAGCAGAGAAGAATCATGGACCAGTGAATAGGACAGAAATTCCCTGAAGGTGTTAGGTGATGGGGTAGTTATACAACAGCTTGACATAGAATATTAGGTACCTCTGTTCTTAAAAGACCTATTGGCCACTCTGCCAAGTAGGTTTATCACAGGCTGCAGCATTGCACAGAGTGTAGAGGCAGGCACCTTTGTGTTGACTGTTCTTCCCCTCTTTCCTTCCACTTCTTTCACCACTATTGCCTTTTTCCCAAGGACTCTTCCTCTTTCATCACCCAGAGGACTTCAGCTCTAATTCTACCAGCAAACTCAACTCCAGATCCATTGCAAGGCTCAGTGAAACAAAAGTGGCTTCTCCAGAGGGGCCTGCAGAACTAAACAGCCATAATGAGCATCCACTTTCAAGGATGCTCACAGTAGAGATTCCACACAGTGGAGATTTACATCACTTTCCCCCTCTCTTATATTAATATACAAGTCATTTACCAAAAATTCCACTGGCAGTCCTCAAAGAATCAAATTATATCCCCACTACTAAAAAGAGGCATAATACCAATGCATTCATTTTGCCACCTTCCTTATGAGAGGTAGCACTTTGTTGAGTGCTTGCTCTGTGCTAAGTGGTAAGTGCCCACATGCACAGGGTGACCATCATCTTGGGCATATGATATCATCAACGGCGTCTTCAAGCTGCAAAAAGGAACACTGCCTGTTTCTGGTCATTATAGACACCCTGTATTATTTCTCTTATTCTTCACAAAACCTTTTGATAAGAATATCATCCGATGTTACGGATATGGAACTGAGGCTTAAACAGTGAAATGACTGGTGCAAGGTCACACCACTCTAAGGGTAGAGCTGGGATTCAGAACCATGTCTATCTGATTCCAAAGACAGCTCTTACCTGTTCTCAACTCCCAGGCCACTCCAAGCTACAACCCCATTGGATCCTATACCAACTGTTCCAGAACCTCCCACCCTCAAAAGGTGCACATGCCTTGCAGTTAAAAATAAGGAAAATATGGCTGGGTTCGGTGGCTCACGCCTGTAATCCCAGCACTTTGGGAGGCCGAGGCGGGCAGATCACCAGGTCAGGAGATTGAGACCATCCTGGCTAACACAGTGAAAGCCCGTCTCTACTAAAAACACAAAAAAATTAGCCTGGCATGGTGGCACGCGCCTGTAGTCCCGGCTACTTGGGAGGCTGAGGCAGGAGAATAGCTTGAACTTGGGAGGCGGAGGTTGCAGTGAGCCGAGATCACACCACTGCACTCCAGCCTGGGCAAGAAGAGCGAGACTCCGTCTCAAAAAAAAAAAATTAAAATAAAAAAGAATAAGGAAAACACATCAGATAGTTCTTCATCAAATGTTATAGAGGTAAATAAAAACCTATTTTCTTTTGATTATAATCACTAAAGTAGCTTCTTTTTTTGTTTGTTTATTTTTAGATGGAGTGTTGCTCTGTCATTCAGGCTGGAGTACAGTGACGCAATCTCAGCTCACTACAACCTCTGCCTCCTGGGTTCAAATGATTCTCCTGCCTCAACCTCCCGAGTAGCTGGGACTACAGGCATGTGCCACAATGCCCAGCTACAGCAGTTTCAAATCTTACAAAATATCTCCCATAAGTATAGGATAGTTTTGTAATTTTTAAAAAGAAAGCAGCAATTAGTCTGTGTTGTCATATTATCATTTGTTTGGAGACTTAAAAATTCTCTTTTAAGGGGAGTTGCCTGTGAGGCCTCATCATCAATCCTTCATTTCAGGATTTTTCCACATGTTTTTTTTTCCCATTAGTGACTCTTGATCTCCTTTTTTTGTAAGAGCTGCCAAGAATTGTCTTTCCCTCAGTGGGAGGGATGCATGAGCGTCTTGAAGGTTTCTCTGTCTCGCCCGGAGAGTTAAATATGAAATTTAGACACAGCACATTTGGGAGACAAGAAAGAGTCACAGAAAAAAAAAAAATCCCTTCAAGCGAGTCTTCCGATGCACCAAACACTGTCCCTGTCATGCTCCAGTGTCTTGCTCACTCCAGAAATATCAGTCATCCTGCTGTTTTCCCAGAGTGGTGACATTTTTCTTTAGCTGAGCCATAAAGCCTGAAGTTGGAAAGGAGATTCGTGGGAGAGTAGACGCCACTGAGCAAACACCAGCTGGGGACAGCAGGATCCTGAAACGAGCTTGCTGCAGTTCCTGAGGTCATGAAAGCAGGCTGAATAATATCACATTTCCAATCGACATGGCTTTCCCTTCCTTTTCTGGGAAAACATAAATTGTAGGATTTTGTAAGAACATGTGGTAGGCAATAAAAAAATCAAGGGAAAGAGGAAAAAATTAGATATATTAACAAATTAGAGAGGAAATAAGTAAAACAAACCAAAAAATACATAAACTTTCCAGGGAGAATTTTGACAAAGCACACAAAATTCCTCAAAGATATGTATAATTTTGACCCAGGATATCAATTTCTAGGAATTCCTTTTAAGGAAGTAATTAGGGAAGTTTATAAATATTTAGCTTCAGGAATGTTTATCCTAACATTCTTTTTAATGGTAGAAAAAAAGGAATTAATATAAATATAGAATAATAAGAAATTGTCTTAGAAAGTTCTGGTCTGTTCAAATGGTAGAATACTATACAGCCATTTAAAATAGTACTGTGAAAATCATTTTTATGTCAAGATAAATTCTTTAAATATTTTAAAGTAAAACACTGAAATTAAAAAATTTAATGGATGAAATTCTGGTTCTGGCCAAGATGGAGTAACAGCAAACAGATTTATCCTTATGTCAGAAATGACCAAAAAAATGGGCAAAATGTGTAAAAAATAATTTTCAGGCCAGGTGCAGTGGTTTACACCTGTAATCCCAGCTACTCAGGAGGCTGAGGCAGGAGAATCACTTGAACCACTTGCAGTGAGCTGAGATCGTGCCATTGCACTCCAGCCTAGGTGACAGAGCGAGACTCCATCTCAATAATAATAATAATAATAATAATAATAATAATAATTTTTACGATGCTATGTGTACATCTGTCAACAAAGGATAGTGATCTCCCAGAAATGGAAAATAAATGAGGTGAGCCCTGCTACCTTCCTAGCTTACTGCTTTGAGAGTTTCTGGACTGCAGTGCAAGGAGGAGAAACCCAGGCAGAAAGTACTTTCTCTTCCACCTCTGGAACTCATAGAATCAACTGGTCTCTGCCTGGGTTTGCAGAACAGAGCATCTGAAAAGAGAGAGCTGTACAGAGAGAAAACTGGAAATAGGCAGAGGGTCATTTTTGAGTATTCAGCTGAGTACTGATCAGTGCATGCATATGAGAAAATTAGCTGAGGCCACTCACAAGAATGAGAGAACACTGCCTGACACACAAATAGGGCCAGGCATAGTGCCAGTTGCCCTCTCCTGTACCCAGACTGACTGGAAAATTTCAAGATACATTGGGGCTTGGGTAGGGTATACAGAGAGTCTTCCTTCACTAATGGAAAATAATTAGCAACACTAACAATCTAACAATAATTAGATCGAGCACTGCTTCAATCCTGCCTGGTAAATCTTAAAAGAGGGTTTAAAAAGATTAAATTCTTTGAAAGTAAGTTAACTGTGTCAAAAACAAAGCTCAATAATACTTATAGAAATACAAAAATGTCCAGCACACAGCAAGTAATGTTCAGAATGGCTGACATCTAATCACAATTACCAGACATGCAAAGAAGAGGTGAAATGCAATCCATAATGAGGAGAAAAACCATGACACAGATGTTAGAATTGGCAGGACAAGGATGCTAAAGGAGTTGTTGTAATTGTGATTTGTATTTTTAAAAGTTATGTAAAGACACGGAAATATTTTTTAAGAAGGCCCCAGTCAAACTTTGGGGGATTAAATATACAATATCTAAGATTAAAAAAACACTGAATGGGATTAATGGTAGATTTCACATGAAGAATAAAGGATTAGTAAATTTGAAGACATAGAAATAAAAATTGTCAAAAATAAAACCTGGAGTAAAAAGATAATTTAAAAAATATGAACAGAGATTTGGTGTGCTGTGGGACAACTTTAAGAAGCCTAGTATATATATGAAGAGTTCCTAAAAGAAGAGACAAAGATGGGTAAAGAAAAGAATATTTGAATAAATAATGGCCAAAAAGTTTTCAAATTTGATGAAAACTATAATTATGTAGATTCAAGAAACTCAACAAACCCCAAGCACTCAAAGAAACAAGAAGGAGGGGCCAGGCGCGGTGGCTCACGCCTGTAATCCCAGCATTTTAGGAGGCCGAGGCGGGCGGATCATGAGGTCAGGAGATCGAGACCATCCTGGCTAACACGGTGAAACCCCGTCTCTACTAAAAATACAAAAAATTAGCTGGGTGTGGTGGCGGGCGCCTGTAGTCCCAGCTACTCGGGATACTGAGGCAGGAGAATGGTGTGAACCCAGGAGACAGAGCTTGCAGTGAGCCAAGATCGCACCACTGCACTCCAGCCTGGGCGACACAGCGAGACTCCGTCTCAAAAAATAAAACAAAACAAAGAAACAAGAAGGAAACTACACCAAGGCACATTATAATCAACTTGTTCAAAACCAGTGATAGAAAGAAAATCTCAAAGGAAGCCAGAAAAAAAATAAATAAATAAACAGACATGCTACAGAAGAACAGATAAGGATGACAGCAGGCTCCCTGCAGAAGGAATGCAAGCAAGAAGACAGGGTAGTAGCATCTTTAAGTACGGAAAGAAAAAAAATTGTCAATTTAGATTCTATGTGCAGTGATAATATCTTTCAAAAATGAAGACAAAATAAGATATTTTCAAGCATACAAAATCTGAAAGAATTTATTACTAGCAGACTTGTAGTACAAAAAATATTTTTAAGTCTTTCAGGCGAAGGGAAAATGATTATATGTGGAAATATGAATCTATACAAAGCAATGAAAAGCATAAAAAATGGTAAGTAGAATATACAAGGTATTTTTTCTTATTATTTAAATCTCTACAAAGCAACTTTAAAAGATCCTTGACTGTTCATTTTTAAAAAACAACCAAAGAGTTATACCTAATAAACTAACAAATGTGATAAAATGTAATCATAAAAAAATCAATCAATACACAAGAGGACAGAAAAAGAGAAAAAGGATAACAAAGAACACATGGAACAATACAGAAAACAGAAAAATAGAGAAGAAATAGCAAGGTGATCGATTTAAAATGAAACATATCATCAACCAAATTAAATACAGTGGTCTCAATTCTATAATTAAAAGGAATAGACTATCTGGATATATTTTTAAAAGCAAGACTCAACTATATGCTGTCTACAGAAAATGCATTTAAAATATTAAAACACATGTATTAAAAGCTAAAGAATGGGAAAAGATATACCATGTTAATGCCATTCAAATGAAAGCTGAAGTGGCTATATTCAATATCAGACAATGAAGATTTTGGAGCAAAGAATATTACCAGAGATTTAAAAAGGCATTTTATCATGATAAAGGGTTTGTTAAAAAGACTTAAGAATTCTAAATGTTTATGCCCATAATCACGTATCTGTAAAATACATGGGAACAAAAATGGAAAGAACTTCTAGGAGAAATAGAAAAATCTGCATTTATAGTCAAAGATTTCAACTGCCTTCTCTCAACAATTGATAAGTAGACAAGAAAGTAAGGGTATAGAATGTTTGAGCAACACTATCAACCAATGAGACCTAATTGACATTAGAGAACACTCCACCCAACAGCAGCAGAATATGCACTCTTTTCGAGTACTTACAGAACAGTTCTAAAGATAGACTGTCTTTGTTCATTCAGGCTGCCGTAAGAAAATGCTGTAAACTGGGTGGTTTATGAACAACATAAATTTATTTCTCACAGTTCTGGAGGCTGGGAAGTCCAAAATCAAGATGTTGACATACTCAGTGTCTGGTGACAGCCCACTTCTTGGTACACAGACAGCACTTTCGCACTGTGTTCTTACATGGTGGAAGATGCAAGGGCTTCTCTGGGATCTCTTTTATAAGGGCATTAATCCCATTCATAAGGGCTCTGCCATCATGACCTAATCATCTCCCAAAGGCCTTATCTTGTAATATCATCACCCTAGGGTAAGAATTTCACTGTAACAATTTGAGGAGGACATAAATATTTAGACTATAGCACAGACCATATTCTGGGCCATAAGACAAGTCTTACTAAAGTTAAAGGGATACAAGTTATACATGTTTTGTTTTCTAACTACAGTGGAATTAAATTCAATAACAAAAAGATTTCTGGAAAATCTCTAAATATTCAGAAATTAATAGCACACTTCTAAATAATCTATGGGGCAAATAAGCAATCAAAAATGAAATTACAAAATATTTTGGACCAAATGAAAATGAAAACACAATGTCATAGAATCTGTAGGATGCTGCTGAGGCAGTACTTGGAGGGAACTTGTAGAAATGCCTGTTTTAGAAAAGAAAAAAGATCTCAAATCAATGTCTTCAGCTTCCAGCTTAAGAAACTATACAAAGAAAAGCAAATTTATAAGAGGAAGAAAGAAAATAATGAAGATTAGAGCAGGAAATAAAAGACATAGAAAACAAAACACAAAAGGAAAAAGCAATAAAACAAAAAGCTGGATGTTTGAAAAAAATCAGTGAAATTTATAACCTCCAGTCAGACTGATCAGGAAAAAGAAAGTGATTATACAAATTATCAAAATCAGAAATGAGAGTAGTGAATTCATGACATATCCTGTTACAAGGACAATAAGGGAATATTATGAACAACTTCATGCCAAAAAATTCAACAACCGAGAAGAAATGGGCAAATTCCTTAGAAGACATGAACAACCAAAGTTAACTCAAGAAGAAATACATATTTTTTGTGAGACAGAGTTTCACTCTGTCACCCAGGCTGGAGTGCAGTGGCACGATCTTGGCTCACTGCAACCTCCGCCTCCCGGGTTCAAGTGATTCTCCTGCCTCAGCCTCCCAAGTAGCTGGGATTACAGACGCTTGCCACCACGCCAAGCTAATTTTTGTATTTTTAATAGAGACCAGGTTTCACCATGTTGGCCATGCTGGTCTCGAACTCCTAACCTCAGGTGATCCACCCACCTCAGTCTCCCAAAGCGCTGGGAAATACATAATTTTAATAGCCCTATATCTATTAAAGATATTGAATTTGGAATTAAAAATCTTCCAAAAAAGAAAACTCTGGGCCCAGATTGCTTTACTAGAATCCTACCAAATACTTAAGGAAAAAATAATGCCAATTCTATACAAACTTTCCAATAATTGAAAAGAAGATAAGACTTCCAAACACATCGTATGAAACCAGACTTACCCTGATACCAAAATCAAAGACATTGCAAGAAAACTATGGACAAACAGACCTCATGAATACAGATACAAAAAGTATAAACAAAGCAAGTCAAATTCAGTAATATATAAATGTGCTAAGATAGCATGACTCAGGCATAAAAATCAGTCAAAATAATTCACAATATTAACAAACTATAAAAAGAAAATTCTTAAGATTACCTAAAAAATGCAGACAAAGCATTGAATGAAATCTAATACTCACCCCTGAAAAAAAACTCTCAACAAACTAGGAATAAAATTGAACTTCCAACAGATGAATGGATAAAGAAAATGTAGTATATATATACAATGAAATACTATTCTGTCATAAAAAAGAATGAATTCCTGCCATTGACAGCAACATGGATGAAACTGGAGGACATTATGTTAAGTGAAATAAGTCAGGAACAGAAAGTTAAACACTGCATGTTCTCACTCATATGTGGAACTTTTTTAAAAAAGTTAATCTCATGTAAGTAAAAAGTAGAACAGAAGATAGTAGAGGCTTGGAAGAGTAGGAGAAAGGAAGAGATTGGGAGAGATTTGTTAAAGGATATAAAAGTACAGCTAGATAGGAGGGATACATTCTAGGGTTCTGTATCACTGGAGGATGACTATAGTTAACAATAATATATAGATTCAAATAGATAGGAGGAGGATATTGAATGTTCCCAATACAAAGAAAGGATAAATGTTGAGATAATGGATATGATTACCCTGATCTGATAACTCTACATTATATATATATATATATCAAAATGTCACTATGTATCCCATGAATATGTACAATTATTATTTGTCCATTTAAAAGATTTTTTAAAGTGAGCTTCTGCAACTTGATAAAGCACATCTATATGGAACCTACAACTAACAGTAAAAGACTGAATGCTTTCCTCCTGATATCAGAAACAAGACAAGGATATCCACCCTCAATGTTGGTATTTAACAGTGCACTGGAGATTCTAGGCAGGGGAGTAAGCCAAGAAAAAGAAACAAAAGATATCCAAATTAGAAGGATAGAAGTGAAGTTGTCTTTGCAGACAATGTGACTCTCTATATGGACTACAAATAAATCTCCAAGAAAGCTGCTAGAAGTAATAATAATGGTTGCAGGATACAAGATCGATATACAAAAATCAGTACTTCTATATACCAACAAAGAACAATTGAAAATTGAAAATTTTAAGCATACCATTTAGAATAATGTAAAAGTAAATCTGACAAAAAATTCGAAAGACCTGTGCACTAAAAACTGCAAAATACTGCTGATAGAAATTAAAGAAGACCTAAATAAATGGAGATAAAGACCACATTCGTGGGTCAGGAGACTCAATATTATTAAGATGTTGATTCCTTTCAAATTTATACAAAGAATCAAAATTACCCCAGTCAAAATCCCAGCAGCGTTTTTAATAGAAGTTGACAAGCTGATTTATCAAATGTATGTGTAATGGAAACACAAAAAACCTGAATAACCAAAATAACTCCGAAAAAGAGCTAAGTTGGAGTATTGCCTAATTTCAAAATGTGTTATAAAGATAGTGTGGTATTCGTGTAAAGATAGACAAGTAGATCAATATAACAGAATAGATTCCAATAACAGACTCACATATAAGGACAACTGACTTTCGACAAAAATGTAGAGAAGGGATAATATTTTCAACAAATGATGCTGGACCAATTGAGTATCCATAATGAAGAAGAAGAAGGAGGAGGAGGCAGGAGGAGAACATTGATGCATACCTCGCACCATATAAAAATTGATTCAAACCAGATCATAAACCTAATAGAATATTCAACTATAAAATTTCTAGAAGAAAGCATAGGAGAAAACCTTTATGATCTTCGGTTAGGCAAAGATTTCTTACATATGACACTAAAAGTATTAAAAATAATAACTGTATCAGAATGAAAACCTTCTGCTCTACAAAAGACACTGTCAAGCTACAGACTTGGAGACATATTTGCAAATCATATATTTGATAAAGCATTTGCATCCAGAATATAACAAGAACTCTCAAAACTCAATAACAAAAAATACCCAATTTTTAGAAGAGGATATATGTTGGCACATACGTCCATGGAAAAGATGCTCAGTGTCATTAGTCTTTGGGAAATGCACATTAAAACTACAATGAGGTATCATTATGCATCTATTATAATATCCAAAAACGTAAAAACTAACCACATCAAGAGTTGGCAAAAACATAGAGGAATTGAAATTCTCATGTACTGCTGGTGGAAATGAAAAGTGGTACAAGCACTTGGAAACAATTTGGCAGTTTCATAAAAAGTTAAACATACTACTGTGTTATTCAGTCATTCCACTCCTAGGTTTCTAACCAAGAGAAATAAAGCTTATATCCATACAAAGAATTTTATACAAATGTCCATAGAAGCTTGATTTATAATAGCCAAAAGAGGAAACAAACCAAATCTCCTTAATGGGTAGAAGGATAAACAAACTGGAATATCCACAAAATGGAATTCTATTCAGCAGTGAAAAGGGGTAAACAATTAATCACCATGCTACAACATGGATGAATCTCAAGATAATTTATGCTGAGTGAAAGAGCCAGATAAAAAACAGTACATAATGTATGACACCATGTATATAAAATTCTAGAAAATTTAACCTATAGTGACAAAAAGCAGATCTATAGTTGCCTAATGATGGACAATAAGGGGGAGGGCAGGAAATCAGAGGCAGGATGGAGGGATTGCAAGTGACAATTGCATTCCCATCACTTTGAGGGGGCTGGGTATGTCCACTGTCTTAACTGTGGTCATCGTTTCACAGGTATGTACATACGTGAAAACATTAAATTGTACACTGCAATTTATTATATGTGCAATTAATTTAACTTAATTCTATTACATATAATGTATTACATTTGCAATTTATTATATGTCAACTATTCACCAATGTAGACATTTTAGTAAAAATATGTGTACATATTTATATGGTTGGGAGAGGGCATAAGCACCAAAAGATTGAAACAGCTTGTTTTTCTCCTCCCCTTTTTTCCTCCTTTCTTCCTCCTCATCCTTCTCTTCTTTTGCTTATTTACAATTTCTGATTTTCCAAAAATGACATGTATTACATGGGTAACAAATGAAAAAGAGGAGAACAACGTGAAACAAAGGAACCAGAGAGATAAAGAGGAAAGCTAGTGATTTTGTTAACAATGGGAGCAGGAGACACAGTTTGGAGGAATTAGAAAGAACATCTCTTATTCCAGAACAAAGATTTTTACAGAAGTTCATCAGGAACAAAGAATTTAAGGACAAAATTGATGGACTTTCATGCAAACCAAGTTGTCAGAAATATCCAAGGCAGGTTCACCGATTATTACAGTTTCAGAAATATGCACATAAATAAGTAATTATGGTTGGTTGTTTTCCAAGCAGCAACTTCAATGAAATATGCAGAAGCAAAAAACTGGCCCAGTTGGTGGCTGAGGGTTTGGAAAGAACAAAATCACTTTCTACATAATGATAAATTTCCAGCTAAGAGAGGATAGATGGTCTAGGTCAGATTTATTGCCAGTGGCAGTTCTAATATACAGTTTTCTGTTTTTAAAAGAATTAGCTGCTACATTATTACAGCTGACATACTTAGTGACCTAGCTAATTTTCAGGAATCAAGAGTTGTGCAAATGATAGTTGTGTATTAGAGCTGATGGCTGGTGAAACCATGACGCGGAGGTTCTAGAAGATCAAACGTTAAACTATGTCCCAAAGATACTGTAGCACTCCAAGGCAGGGTACTTCAACTGTCTGCTGTTTCATCCAGTACACAATCGAAGACACTTATGACGGGTTGGAGAAGTGAGGAGTCAGCATAGCTCAGTGGTCATGTCCCCAGTCTCAGGAGACTGATCAAACAAGTTGAGATCCCAGCTCCACCACTTACTAGATGTCCTTGGCTACTTCATTTTTCTCATTAGCCTAATACGAATTCCAGTAGTTAGTTGTGGGTTGTTATGAGGATGAAATAATACATGAGAAGCACTTATGTTAAAAATGTCACACTTTATAATAATGTCCTTGATGAAACTTAGAAAGTTTTGGTTTGTTCATAAATGAAAATGAAAATAATAAATTAAAAAATAGAATGTTAGAGTATAAAGAGACCATGGTCCAATTCTCCAAACTGAGGCCTAGGGAATTCAAACTGAAACAGCTAGCGATAGCCCTCCATGTTTAAAGTTTGTCCCATATGTCATGCAGAACAACAGTTGCTTGATATTCCTCATCTGGATTCATGGTCAGTTCTTCATCAGCTCATAAGCTTCTACTGAGCAATGATGAGGATGTTTTAAGTAAGTGCAAAATGGTCAGCAAAGCTGAGCTCACCAGGGTGCTCAGTAAGTATTACCTGGTGATGGTAATTACACGACAATGAAGAGACAAAGCAAGAGACTAGCTCCAGAAGCTCCCTAGTGTGAAAATGAATCCCATTCTCTTTCGCTCTTCCCTCTCTCTCTCTCTCTCTCACACACACACACACACACACAGTCCCATCTTCTTTGTCTTTTTTGCCTGGTTCGATACGCATTTATGCAGTGAAACCAACTCATTCTAAAACCAGCATATTGAGAAATATGACTTAAACTTAGCTCCCACGTGAGGTTGTTCAACTGTTCATCTGTAATACCATCAAATAAGCGAAAGGGTGTTAAGTGTGGTATGGAGGAGGTGTCAGATTCTATCCTTTTCTTCCGGAACATCAGAAGGGAATATTAGAAAACTAAATATTTATATGGATGAAATGCCTGGCAAGGACTATGACTTGGCATGCCTTCTATATTTCCTTTAGTGAGTTCCAAAAAGCCTTTACCTGTTTTCCAAAAGGCTTAATCACAGTATTCCTACTCTTCAGCAAATATGCCACTCTTTTTGGATTTTAGTACATTCAGCCATCAAATGATGATGTGACAGTGAGACCTTGTTCAACCTAGAGAATATCTGCATTCAGCTCTGTCTGTGCTAGGGAACTTATGCCAGGACACATTATTTCAGATTTACAGACTGTTTCTATCTATTCTAAAATACTTGTGCTGCTCATTGTATATAAGACAGAAGAGAAATCAAGTCCTTAACTACCCCCAACCCTCTTTCATGGCAACTTCCTTCAAACTCCTACTCAGCTTGGATCTGCAATTCAGTAGATTCAATCCCAGCGTGCAATAGAATATAGGGATGAGCGGAGCCAAGTGGAGTGAAAAAGGGGGAATAGAGATTCTTCCAGCTTCTCCTGAGTAATTTCTCTACATGTGGTTTCATTATTGTTTTTAAAACAAATCCCACTTAATTGAAAACCATGCACCAAAATGTGTTCCAAATGTAAATAAACATACATTATTTTCAGACTTTCAGCTATTTAGGGCCATTCACCCACCTGCTCCTCTCTCCACTACTTAGAAATTATCAAAACTTGACTCTGTCATTCTACAAAATGCTTCTTTGTCCCAAATTTTGCATCTTGTCTCTGCTGTATTTTCACAGGATAATGGAAAATAGTGACAGGGCACCAAAAAGGGTCTGGCTGTAAATGTGAAACTAATTGAATCTTCCCAAGGCAGTTGCCAACAGCATCCTGACCCTTGCTGGGAGTGTTCCATATTGCGATGAAAAGGCAAATTGTAGTTCAAATATGTCTTCACTGTAAGTGCATTGGGTCATTTACCTTAACAATGTGAACGTGCGCTCATTATCATGTTCAACTTGATTAGTGTATGGTCTAACATTTAAAAATGCACTTCAGATAAAAGAATGTATAAATGCATGATTGGTTCCTAATAAATTGAGCAACCCCTTAATGAACTGTGAGCGATCTAGAGAGGAACTATTACATACCAGTCATAGAAATGGCAAACCAGACAAAAATAGATGGTGTATGTGTGTGTGTATGTGCGTGTGTGTGTGTGTGTGTGTGTGTGTGTGTGTGGTGTGTGTTTGGGGAGAGATCTTTCTCCATCTTCCATGATACACTGATTGCTGCCTTTATTGAAAAAAACAACGAAGAGAATTCAAGGCAACCAGGGAAATTAGTTCATTTAGGACCCAAACATAAATGAGAGCCATCTTTTGGCAAATATTCAGTATAGCTTTCCTGACATACCCAAATAGAAAAGCTTAGAGGGGCATGTTGTGAAAACTCTTAAATGAGCTTTCTTGCTGTTTTTTTTTCAAGAAAATATAAGATAGAGTTGGTGTAGGATATAAGATCTTCTTAGTCATTTAAGACAAATTCTTAGTCATTTTAGACAAATTCTGCTCTACTCTGTCTATTCTCATTTGTCTCTTTCCCCCCATGCTTTTCTTAAATTTCTGTGTGAAAGATACCTTATATTTACTTCTGATCAGAATCTAAAAATGTTCAGATGAATGAGGCGGCATGCCTCTCTACTTTATTTCTTATTCATGTTAGGTGAATTTTAAATGTGAGCTAGGAGAGCTTAGATATTTATTTGGCATCAGGCTCCATATGCATATTTCCATAAAAAACTTGAGAAAAAAATATACATGTTAAGGATCCATAACACTTCTGAAAATCTGAAATCCAAAATGCTCCAAAATCTGCAACTTTTTGACCATCAACTTGACACCACAAGGGGACAATTCTGCACCTGACTTCATGTGACAGGTCTTAGTCAAAACTGTGTGTTGTGACACACAGTTTATGTGTGTGAAAGGAAAAAGACCTTCCAAGTCCTCTTTGGCGGTGATATCTTTTCCATTCATACCTAGATTCTCCCATGCAAACACACCCACAAAGTGTAATGAAATGACATGTGAGCAGTCTGGATGTGCCAACAGCAGGTTCCCCATGATGCCCCACGTGGGATCGAGACAGTAACATCTTTGCTTTCTGATGGTTCAAGGTACACAAACTTTATTTCATGCACAAAATTATTTAAAATATTGTATAAAATTACCTTCAGGCTAAGTGTATAAGGCATATATCAAAATACATGTAGTCACTATATTTTTTGCTTATTCTCTGCTCTGTGATGCAAAGATATTATTAAAAATGTCAAAAAGACCTGAAGATTCCTTTGTGGGTAACAGTGACAAGAAAAAGAGGAAATGTTTATGTTTATTTATAGCACAGAAAGTCAAGCTGTTGGAGAAACTAGACAGCAGTGTAAGTGTGAAGCATCTTATGGAAGAGTATGGTGTTGGAATGACCACAATATATGACCTGAGAAAACAGAAGGATAAACTGTTAAAGTTCTGTGCTGAAAGTGATGAACAGAAGTTAATTTTAAAAACAGAAAAACACTGCATAAAGCTAAAAATGAAGAACTTGATTCTGTATTGAAATGTGGATTCATCGGAGTCACTAGGCCTCTTAATGGTATGATGATCATGAAACAAGAGAAGATACACCATGATGAACTCAAAATTGAAGGGAACTGTGAATATTCAACAGGCTGGTTTAAGAAAAGACATGGCATTAAATTTGTAAAGATTTGTGGTGACAAAGCATCTGTTGATCACAAAGAAGCGGACAAATTTATTAACAAGTTTGCCAGGGTCATTGCTAATGAAAATCTGATGCCAGAGCAAGTCTATAACACTGACGAAACATCACTGTTTTGGTGTTATTGTCACGGAAAGACACCGACTACCACTGATGAGACAGTGCCTAAGTAATTAAGAATGCTAAGGACAGAATAACTGTGTTTGGATGTGATAATGCGGCAGGCACACTAAGTGTAAACTTGCCATGATAAGCAAAAACTTGCATCCTTGGTATTTTCAAGGAATGAATTTCTTACCAGTCTATTATTATACTAACAAAAAGGCGTGGATCACCAGGGACATCATTTCTGACTGGTTTCATAAACATTTTGTACCAGTGACTCATGCTCACTGCAGGGAAACCAGGCTGGATGATAACTGCAAGATTTTGTTATTCCTTGACAATCGTTCTCCTCATCCTCCAGCTAAAATTCTCATAAAAATAATGTTGATGCCATGTATTTTCCCCCAGTGTGACTTCTTTAACTCAGCCATGTAACCAGGGTATCCTGGGATCAGTGAAGAGTAAATACAAAAATACACTTTCTTGAACAGCATGCTAGCAGCAGTGAACAGAGGCATGAGTGTGGAAGGTTTTCAAAAGAAGTTAGCATGAAAGATGCCATATCTACTCTTACCAAGGTCTGAAACACAGTGACTAAAGACACAGTTGTGCATGTCTGGCACAACTTCTGTCTGTGCAATTATGTTGAGTGATCATGATGGACAAGGTGGTAACTGTGAAGGATTCTGTATATCTAATGAGAAAAAAAAAGATGCCTGGCCCCCTTACTTATGCAAGGTACATACCTCAGAGTCTGTCAGCAAGCTGGAAGAAGCGGGTATCAAAGAAGTTTTTAACATCAATAATGAGGCTCCAGTTGTTCATTCATTGACCAGTGGTTAAACGGCCAAAATGGTTCTGAATCAAGGTGATCATGATAATAGTGATGATGAGACGACCTTGTTAACTCTGCAGAATTGCCTATAGACCACATGCTGAAAATGTGTGGTGGGCTTATGGAAGGACTAGAGCAGCATGCATTCATTGCAGAACAAAAAAAAATGTCAGTTTATAAAATCAAAGAGAAACTCCTAAGACAAAAACTGTTGTTAATGAGGCTGATGATTCTGGAGGAAACATCTAAAAAGCCATCCAGCAGAATGCCTCCCCACGCCTAAAGGACCCACTTCCTGGTCCCTCAACTCCTGATGTTTCTTCTCACCAGAAAAGAAAATACAGTGTATCTTTTATTCAAAGCCCAGCATCATAGATGGAGACTGAAAGCCTGCCGTTGTTGGTTGTCGTTGTTTTCTAACAGCTGACACGGGTATTCTGGTGATGTTGCTGTGCTGCTGAGTTACCCTGAACACATTATCTTTTCACTGTATTAATGGTATGCCATATTTTTTACTGTTAAGTACTTACAATTAAATAAATGTAAGAAAATGATTGCTTATCAGGAGCATATAAATCCAGAATCACGAATGATGGTGATGCCAAACAACCACAGATTGTCCCCATGGGTGGCTGAGAAAGTGACACCTTTGCTTTCTGGATGGTTCAAGGTACACAAACTTTATTTCATGCACAAAATTATTTAAAATATTGTATAAAATTACCTTCAGGCTACGTGTATGAGGCATATATAAAACACGAATAATTTTGTGTTTAGTTTTGGGTCTCATCCCCAAGATATCTCATTGTGTATATGCAAATATTCCAAAATCTGAAAAAATCTGAAATCCAAAAAAATTTGGTCCCAAATTTCAGATAAGGGACACTCAACCTGTACCATGCAGATCAACATCAAGAAATGCTTACATGGTGTTGGGGAAGCACAGGAGGAATACAAAGAAGTAGGAGTCAGGCTCCTCATCATAAGCCAGGCAGCACTTGCTAAGTGCCATATTCGTGCAATCAACAGCACACACAGGAGCAGAGTTCATTTGAGACAGGATGGTGGGGAAGGGCTCATGGAAGAGATGAAACTTGAATGTGGCCTTAAAAGATGTGACTGGACAAAGATAAATCCAGAGAGGGCAGAGGACATTGGGGCAGGAGGCCCCAACTGAGAAGGAGCACCATGTGGCTAGGGTCTACTGGGGAGCCCTGAAGAGCCTGCAGGGAGAGTCCACGGCGGGAACACAATGGCGTGAGAGTTAAGGGAAGTCCAGAGGCTGAGGATGCTGAAAGCTGGCTAAGAATGGGAAGGCGTCAAAAGCTTCAGAGGAAACCAGTGGCTCTGCAGAGAAAGATGTGTATATAGCCTATATCCATAGGCTATATAGTCTAGGCTGTAAGGGGCAAGTGACTGCAGGCAGAGAGTCCAGGGAGAGGACATTCTGAATTCAGTAGGCATGGGTGGGGAACAAAAGAAGGCCAGCAATGAGGACGAAGTAGTGTGAAGACAGAGTTTCTCTGGGTCAGAGGTCTACCCCAAGTGGCAGATTTTCCAAAGATAGAGGTATACACATATATAAAACTCCAACATATTTTTCTTAAAATGAGGCAGTGACATTCCTCTATCAACAAGTGGGGTCTATGTTGTCTCCTCTTGAACCTGGATGGAACTTTGTAACTACTGCAACCAACAGATTGCAACGGAAGTGATGCTGTCTCTGTCTCTCAGTGGATTTGTCTTTGTCCAGTCACATCTTTTAAGGCCACATTCAAGTTTCATCTCTTCCATGAGCCCTTCCCCACCATCCTGTCTCAAATGAACTCTGCTCCTGTGTGTGCTGCTGATTGCACAAATGTGGCACTGAGAGAGAGAGAAAGAGAGAGAGAGACTGCAGAGAGAGATACCTGAAGGGCACTATCTTTTGAACCCTGTTCGAGTCTTCCACACTATGAGGCAGAGACATCCTCACTGTGCCCTACCCTGAACAGAAGAATCCATGAGCATAAGGAATGGTTGTTTTATGCCATTTACTGAGTTTTGGGGTAATTTGTTCTGAAGCCATCATACCTGTAATATCTCATCTCTTGATTCTAAATCCATTAAGCACATCTTGCCCTTCGGCAGTCCCTATTCCAGTATTTGGCAAAGTTTTTCTATAAAGGACCACAGAGTAAATATTTCAGGCTTTGCACCTGCTCTGCCATTGTAGTGTGAAAGCAGCCGGAGACAATACCTAAACTAATAAGTCTAGTTGTGTTCCAATAAAACTTTATTTACAAAAACAGGGAGCCAGCTGAGTTTGGCTTGGGGGCCTAGTTTGATGACCTCCATCCTATACTTAGGGTCATCAGTAGTAAGCCTCATGATCATAGTTATACCAGGTTAGTCCTGCAGGCTGCATCAGAAAGACAGGGATGGAACGTAAGAGCCAAGTCCAGGACTGAGTCGCAGGTGCCAGAGTGAATGAAAGGTCTGAGATGACACATTTCCCACCCTCCACCCACTGAGCAACCCCAACCGTTCCCGCCACCACAGTAGTTAGGTCTTCAGAGCCATCCTAAGAAAGAATCCTTCTTCCTTCTATTTTACTTTATTCCTAATTGCCCCATATTGACCGTGTTCAGCACTGTAATCCTGAGGGTTTTCCTATAGACTCAAAGCATCACTGATTTGTAAAACCCAGTTCCCTGTCTCTAAGTGCTCAGAATTCATTTCAGAAACCAAAAAGGTACTCTTCACCCATGATACATGGAACTCAAGGATGGGTAAGAATGCATCCCATAGTCCAATTCCTATTCCTTGAAATGCCATCAACTGTGAGCTGCAAAAAAAGGGACAAGTAGACAGGAGAGTACAATGGGGCTGCGCTTTTGTTCCTGCCTCCTGAGAGCTGGGTAGCTGCTGTTGGGTCCTTGATATCTTTAAGTGCTGGTTTTGCAATGCTGGTGAAGTATGCAGTACTGAGTTCACAAGTTCACATCACAGAATACGCAGACCAAGAGGCCTTAATGAGAGACAGAAGGACTATAAGCTAGCCAGAAAACTTGCCTCTCCTTCCTCCTGGTTTTACAGGATTCTCTAATAAGGGGATAACTTGGAGAAAAAGGAAAGAAACTCAACTAAATGTAACAGCAGGAGTCCTTCAGCAATCTTCTAAGCAGCTTCCTGAGAAGGCCTCCAGCCATTCAGCGGAGCCCAAAGGCTTAATGAGAGCAGCCTTATTGCAGGGCCTGTACACAGCAGCCTGGAGGCTGGTTTCCCATCGGTCTTTGCCCTCCATACATCAGCTGGCCACGCAGAGAAAGCAGGACGGGGAGGGATTCTCGGTGACTGTTCACAGCCCTGACGCAGCTGTTATTTTAGGAGATGTATAGATCCAGTTTGCCTTATATAATGGGGTCACTGGAATGTAGGTGGTACAGGGTGCTAAGAAAATGAACTTGCAATTTCATTTCTAAGATAAATGGGGAGTAAGAATAGACTTACAAAGAAAGCTTCTATTTCATCAGTGTAGGAAAACATGGCAATCCCAAGCACAGATTGGTTAAAGGGAAGGGTCTTCACCCTTAGAAGGTACACAAATGCCTATCAGCCTGACCTAAAGCGCTCTCGTGCATTGGGTCAGAAGTTTGGCAAGCTTAAACAGCGTAAGTAGAACCGGTTTGGGAATCTTTGAATGAGGAAGACTGTTTCTTCCTCTCCTACTTGTCCCCTAAATCGTGACAACTTTGTGAGGGAGCAGGACAGCAATCGCAGTGAACTGTCACCTCAGGTCTCAGAGGGACTGATACATTCTTTCAGAAAGCACTTGATAAGATGGCTGTTTGTAGGAGAGTTGGCTTGACCCTTCTGGGAAAACTGTGTAAAAGAATTGCTTTGATTTATAAAAGGTAGCAGACTGGATTTCTGTTCTGCAGTCCCACAGCTAGACTTTACACAGAATCAGACTGTAGTTTCCAATGCAGAGGGATGCATTTGTGCCAGTCAGGGAACACTAACAGGTGATCTGGAGAACTTCACCTGGGTCCTGGGGCAGCCATGGCCTGGCCGGGTCAAGCAGGACAGGGTCAAGCCATTGACTATCCCTCAGTCTTCTCCTCTGCAAAATGGGTCTAATAAACCACCAGAGATCACCCAGCTGTTACGAGCTCCAAATGAGATCACATATGGGAAGGTACATGGTAAACTTGGGAGTGCTTTGCAAAGTTATTATTTTCATGACATTCTATATAACTGTAAGCAAAATTCAAAGGGAGGAGAGAGAAAAAGAAAATAGAGATGATCTGGTGACGAAGTGTTTTTATTATTAAACATTTAGAGAGTGCTTTATATTTTCAGAGAGCATAGCAGTCTTTTTTTCTTGAGTTCCTTTGACAGGTTAACATCACACTCACTGACCTTGGAATAATTACCAGCTCCAAAATATGGCAGAAAGGGGAAATGATTAGAAAGGTAGTAGTGTGGCTGTTTCATTTCTGCATACCCACAAACATTAGCCATCAAGAAATTGCTTTATTTTCCATGAGACATCTAAACTGAAGACAGCATAAAATGGAGCCCAAGACCAAATTTCAGCTGTAAACTATAGTTATTTCTCTTCTCTTTACCACAAAATCAGGCTAGAAACTTAAAATTCAATATTTACAAAACCTATGAACCGAAGTCCTGATTTTCCTAAGTGGTGCAGAAAAAATAGATTCCTGAGATTTGTTCTGGAAAAGCCAGATAGGCCTTCTGAGGCTCAACCCTGTGCCCTAATCAGAGCTACGTGCTTGAAGTGTGCTGGTCAAAGGGAGATAGGTCAGCTCTGATCCCTTAAAGCAAACTGACGCTGAAATCTCTGATATCTTAAAAACAAACAAAGCTTTGGCAGTTCTTTTTATTACTAGAGATGGAGGCTTAAATGAAGGGCCGGGGTGTACATATTTTAAGGGAGTAAAACAAAAACAAAATAAAACATTTCAGTGGGCGATGCAAACATCAAGCCAAAATTCTGTTCTGCATTTGGGGCAAAGAGAAGTGAAAGGACCTCATGTTCAAAGTTTGGTTTTGGCTTGAGCCGAGTTGTGGCAAAACTGGGGCGGTTGTGCCTTTTCCTCCTCTCCTGGACTGGATTCAGAGGGCAAGGCAGAAGCCTGGTCCTTTTCTAGGAAGGACATGGACAAAGATGCTCACAGTGGTGGCAGGCCAGGGTGCAGGGAGGAAGGGGACCGAGGGATGCCCAGGAGTAGCAGAAGAGCCTCCCTGTGGAGGGCAGTGGCTGCCCCGCTCCAGAAAGGAGGTCTAGCTAATACCAAATTTAAAGTTTTTCTTTTCTAATTGTAAATCTCATACATAAACACCAGTCCATTTTACTAGGTATCATTGCGTGTTGGAGGATTGACAAATGTCGACTGGGAGTAGTGGCTCGCACCTGTAATGTTAACACTTCGGGAGGCTGAGACCAGGGGATCACTTGAGGCCAGGATTTTGAGACCAGCCTGGGCAACATAGTATACTCCATCTCTACAAAAAAAAAAAAAAAAAAAAAAAAAAAAAAAAAAAGACAGTCATATATTGGTTCGCTCTTGCAGACCCAGCTACTCAGAAGGCTGAGGCAGGAGGATCGCTTGAAACCAAGAGGTCGAGGCTGCAGTGAGCTAGGATCATGCCACTGTACTCCAGTCTGGGTGACAAAGTGAGACCCTGTCTCAAAAAAAAGAAGGAAAAAAAAACTTATTTTAAAAAAAGAGAATTGTTATATGTTAGCAGTGCTTTGGTAAGTCAAGGGGAAAAAGCCTTAGAGAAAAATAACGACATATCTTTGTGTAGCAGAGAAGGGCTTAGGATACAGAACAAGGGTAGGAAACATAAAAAGCACAGAGTTGAAAGAAACCCCAGGGAACATCTTACGGCTTCTCTCACCTTGCCCCCAATACGGATAGGAAAACAGGCCCAGAGAGGTTGGTTCATCCGCTTCCCACAATTTGATGAAAAAATTCCCTTTGGTTATTTATATACTTGGGCTGGAATTTCCCTGCCAACACCTATTGCTCCCTTCTCCTCCAACAATATTTTGGGAATTCTCATTCTATTATCCCCCCAAACTGCTCATATATGTTGACTGAAAGGTAGATCAAAGCCATAAGCATCCAAACCACAACAGTCGTTCATCGGGATGACGCAGACGCTTATTAAAGATTGTGCTGAGGGTTTTTTCTCCAAATTTCCTCAGACCCTCGCCATCCTAACAGGCTCTTACTTGTAAAGCTTTCAGTGGTGGCCCTTGACATTTTCTCAGTTGCTCGGTCTGCCTACAGTCTTTAGAAAGATGTATTCATTGCCTCACACCATAAGCTAAATGAACATTTATTCAGTGCTTGGTGTAGGTGCCAAGCATTGTTCTAGACACTGGTACATGGATAGGACAATCAGACACGACCTTACTCGCATGAGGCTTACACTAGAGGCTTGTTGCACCTCCAACTTCGAGGACAGTTCTCCATGAAATAACACAGTCTTCAGTTTCCGCCAACCCCTTAATGTCCATTAGCCCCCAGAAATCTAGCCCACAGAGATAAATAATTCTGTTTCATTCAAGCTCTGTTCATTCTTCCTACTCTCTCCTTTCATTTTTAATCAATCCTTCTTTGCATCCTCCAGCTCCTACACCCCCAAACAGGTAGTGCCCCTCAAGTGCACATAATATTGTAAACCTTTAAAAATTCCCTTTCCTGTTTAGCATCCAGATGCCAATGCAAAAGGAAATTCACTGAACTGAGGATTGCCAAATGCGGACAACCTGGAAGTATTTTGGGGTTTTTGTTGTGTTGTGTTTTTTAGGCTCAAGGGTACATGTGCTTGTTTGTTACATGGCTATATTGCATACTAGCAGGGATTGAGCTTCTAGTGTACTCATTACCCACATAGTGAACACTATATCTGATAGGTAATTTTTCAACTCTCACTCTCTCCCACCTCCCCCCTTTTGGAGGCTTCAGTGTCTATTATTTCCATCTTTATGTCCATGTGTCCATTGTTCAGCTCTTGCTTATAAGTGAGAACATGCAGTATTTAGTTTTCTATTTCTGATTTAGTTCACCTAAGACAATGGCCTACAGCTCCATCCATGCTGCTGCAAAGGACATGCTTTTTTTCTTTTTTATGGCAGCATACTATTCTGTGGCATATATGTACCACATTTTCTTTACTGGAAGTATTTTTGCAAGTTAGGTCTCTACTACACCAAGGTGCTTCATCATTCAGAAAACACAGAGTGAGTTAAGGATCCGTTAAGGGAAACGAGGAAAATCTGAGAAGCCAGTTTAATTGATACTTTAAAGTTGAGAATTACCATGTATGGGTTGCCCCCTGCATTCCTCCCCACACCACCCCTATCCTCCTGCAGAACCCCAAAGTGACAAGAAGGAACATGAATTTGGTGTCAAAGGCAAAAAACCAGGAGGCTCACCCCCAAGGCTGCTTCACCCCTTTCAGGCCTTGACATGGAGGGAAAACAAAAGCTGCCACCATACCAAACCTTTCCAGACTCATCCTAATGGAATCTGCTTGAGTCATGGAAACATATTACAAAGGCTTGCCAACACCAGGGCCTTGTGTAAATCTACAATTGCAACTAGTATTGGGATTGGAGCACCCACAAGTCAGTTAGGACCATCTAAGTCCATAGATTAACCATGCCACTTGTTTGCAACTTTTTGCATTTACAAAAAGAAGAAATGATCGCAGGAAATGAACCCAGCAAATGTATCCTCTGGAGACATGTACCTCTCTCTGGGACATGCCTAAAGTTTTCTTTGACAGTAATAAATGTCAGAAATTGTTATTGAAACAAAGGCAGCTGGTTTACAATTGTGATAAATAAGTTCCCAAATTGGCAAGAATCTCTACGCATGTGTAAAAAGGCAACTTTTCCCGGCCCAAGTGACTCACCAAGGCCCTCCAGGCATTATCTAGACTTACTTTATTCTTTGCAAACACATTGAGACTGCCGTACCCCTTCTGTGCTTGCTCATTTTTTTCTGAGTCATAGCATGAGCTGACAATAGAAGCATGTCAAACAAAACCTCCACATTAAAGCAACGTTGTCTGAAGGGTGTGCCTGTGCCCTCTCAGGCCCTGGCAATGGAGATGCGTATGTATCTACCCCACTTAAAAAATAAAAACTATCCACTTTCATTGTTTTTTAGCAAATGTATGAATAGAAGGGTCATTTTCCGCGTTGATTTCTTTTAACTCCATGTGTTTAAGAAGGATAAAATGCACATTAGGAGGACGGAAAAGCACAGCCGCCACAATATCCCAGCTTTGCGGGTCCTATTCAACTCTTTCTTTTCCCCTTCAGTGAGCTTTGCATAAAGCTTACCCAAACCCACATGGATTTCTATAACATCCAAAAAGAATGACAATGAGTGATGTGATGTAGGTGGAAACTGCCTGAAGAAACCTAAATTGTAACAGGAAAAAAAATTGACATTTTAGATTTTAAATGTTACACAGTTTTTATAAAGCTTCAGTCAATTTATTTTATTTATTCTAATGAAGAGCATTACAACTGCTTTACTGCACTGAAGCAAGCATCGATCACATCATTAATCACACCTTGTGAATAGCCACAAATCAAGTTCTAACAGCAAGCACTGAATCAGGAGCAATGAAGCATAAACTCCTTCACAATTTATGATCTCTCCAATTGCATCTTTTCAACCATTAAATTGCAAGATACCATAAATTTTTATCTTCTTCACTTCAGTCACATTATTGATTCTGCCGTGTGAAATATAGAAGCGCCGTAAATCTCGGCTATTGAATTAAATTTAAAGTCTCGACTTCAGAAAAGAAACCCAACACACTGCCATGGCTGTTAATTTACACTGAGGAACAAATGATAGAAACATTAAAATTTAAATGGACAACAGGGATTTCTAAAAGCCATAGTACTGTCAATCCTAGTCCTTGTCAACCTTGAGGGCTTTTAAAAAATTATTCAAATTTTAAAAAAGAAAAAAATTAAAAATTTTAAAAGTGGAAGGTAGGTAGATTATTCATAGGAAAAAGTAATAGGGAAATTATTCCATGGGAATGGCTGCCAAGACTAGATACTTTAAAGGCAGGAAAGTGGCAGTGTCCCCCACCTCACTCCCCATGCCATGGGACAGTTCCAAAGGAACCCATGTGTCTCACATTCCACTCAGGACACCTCTGGATACAGTGGTGGTCCCACGGAGGCACTGACAGTCCCTAGACAGCTGTGCTCATTGCCCCACTTGCCATCTTGACTTCTGATCCATTTGCTGCCCTGCCGTCTCTCTCCTGCCACCCGGAAGCTGCCTTTGCAGTCTGCCTTGCTGAAGCCTCTTTGCTCTCTGGCTTTCGGTTGGGTGTGGCCAATAGGAAGCACTGGCAGAATGGCGAACGGCAGGGTGGGAGAGGGCTGGGAATGTTCGTTCCCACTCCTTCCCTGCTTTCACGTCAGGGTTTGGCAGGGGTTGGATCCTTCTCTGACTGCAGCTCCAAGTGTGGCGGTGGGGGTGGGAGGCTACTCCTTTTTGGCTCAAGTTCTCACCATCCTCCGGTAACAGCACTCCCCTCCTTTGCCCTTCCAGGACTGGGGTTAGTAAAGGCTTCTCCCTGTTACTCTTCTATAGGTGCCTCAGCCTCCTTGAAGGTCCTTTTAACCTTGCCCATAACTCTGCAAAATGTCCCTTCATTAAATACTCTTCAGCTGGATGTCTGAATGGCATTCTGCTTCCTGTTAAGATGTTGACTGATGCAGAACATGTCAGGGCACAGAGAAGATCCTAAGAGCTCCAGAAAGAGCTGACAGCAGCCAGGCCCTGCAGTAAAAGCCAGAGATACCACACCCCAAAGTGGCGAAAATCTAAGTAAACCTAAACTATATTCAGATCAAGAAATGCCCATTATGTTTTGGCAGATAGCTGTCCCTGGTATTATAAAGGACATGTATGGCACCCAGAAGTGAGACAAACGGGATCGCAACAAGTGGTCTTTTTCATAAGCCACCAGGCAAGCTGAGATCTTTTAGCCACAGAGAATAAAGGAGAGGTTGCTGAGTAAAGGCTGAGTTAGAGGAGAAAATAGGGGCTTGCCTCGGGCACATGCCATTCTAACATAGACAGAGGCAATTGCTAACTCGCTGTGGTGACCAGGGCTGGTTGGAACTCAGCAGACATAAGCAGAACCCCAGCCTGTTCTTGCAGGATCTCAGACAACCCTGTGGTGTGTGAATTGTGATCTGAGGATGCCCAGACTGGCTTCTAGCCTTACCTACTTCTAAGACGCATGAATTTTCTATGTCCTCCAAGTTTCCTTCTGGGGGTTAAGAGAGCTAAAACACAAGATAATGCTATATTATCAGTTTCAGGGTCCAACAAACACTCCAACTCCCCACAAAGGACCAAGGGCTTCTGGAAATGAATATACCAATTTCTCCAACCTAATGACAATGTTAAGAGATAAAGAGATAGAGTCTTTGCCAGAGGTCAGGATATCCCTGACAGCCAGCAAAGACTTTCTGGGACCAACTTCAGGTTCAACCTTCCCCTACAGGTTCCAGGCAGGTCCAGGCTGAACAGGATTTCTGGAATCAATCTTAATTTGATTGAAATCCACATGAGAGGTGGAAGAGCAGAGATCTACATCTCCATCACCTTCAGTATGAATGAAGAACATTCACCTTCTATGTGTGTTCTAGACCAGAGATTCCTGCCCCAGAGTGACTGAACTCCCTTGGACTATCACAGTAATGCCACAAACTACTCAGATGACTTCTGACATCCAGAATAAACAACTAACGGTCTCTCATGGTTCACAGGCCCTTCCCAAAGCTTCTGTTTGGTAAAATATTAATACATTTACATGGCCCAAAATTCAAACAATACAAAAGAGGATAAGGTAAAAAGAAGTCTTTTTCCCATTTCATCACTCAACCATCCAGTTTCCTTTCCCAGAGGCAACAAATACTAGTAGTTTATCTATTGATCGATCTATCTATCTAGATAGGTATGTGCATGGATATACATACATATATAGTCCATTTATATATAGTTTCTATCTACTTGCCAAATATATGTTCATATGCATATATGCTTTCAGAAACTCCATATACAAACAAATGCATACATGTGTGCACATATATATATATATGCATATATTTTTCCCATTCCTTTACACATATGGTAGGATATTACACACAAAGGTGCACCTAGCTTTTTTCATTTAACAATGTTGTGAAGTCTGTTTCATATTATTGCATAAAAAGCTTCTTTGCCACTCTTCCAGGCTGTAGAGTAGTTATGTAAGATGGACCACAATTTGCTGATACATTCCACTGTTGATTGACATTTGGGTTGTTTCCAATCTCTTGCTATTACAAACAACTGTTTTGTAATGATCTTATACATATGTCATTTCACAAATGCTACAGAGAGATTTTAAATTGACCCAACTTTTCAAAAAATCAGATTTCACATAAAAATGGACTTGAGGTTTTTCTCGAAAAAGGAAAGATCTAGCAGCAGTGAACTCCTGCTCTCACATGGCAACAGCTAGCTGTAGCTGAGCAGTAGATGTCCCTTTGGAAGACTTAGTGCTGTCCAGTTTGCCTCCATACACTTTTGCATAGTCCGCTGGCCCCTATGGGCATTTGAAATCCTGCCTACCTCAGAGTGTGATAAGGATTGAATGACATAATGAATGAAGGTAAAATATCCACATGGTACTTGGCACCTTCTGAGTGGTGGAGACACTGTAAGGGAAATGAGATGTCGGTTCAATGACTATTCCCTTCCATTCCCTTTCCCGTCAGTCTACACATTTTTGGTTCTTCAACTTCTTTCTAACCTTACTGGAAAGTAAGCTTCATGAAAACATAGACTTTATTTTGTTCACCACCATGGCCCCAGCACCTAGAAGAGCAAAGGTCACATAAAATGAAAGGGTAAATGAATGAATGAATAGAATGAGATAAGAGCACGTCAAGAAATAAAATTTATTAGGCTCTTCCCACCTGTTTCTTGATATTTTTATGCTTTCATTCATTTCCTATACTTTTCCATTTATTTGCCAAATCCAAGCTGTTTCATTTATAAATATTTTTCCAAGTTTGTTAGTATTTACCTTCTATTCCTTATCTTTGAATTACCTTTTCTTTTCTGTCCACTAATTCTGTTGCTTTCAACTGTTTCAACCTTACAGTTTCGAACCACAAGGAATCCGATTATTTTTTGTATGTGCTCCTCAAATCCATAAATCTAATTTTAAATTCAAAAACAAACAGCTCTACTTTCTTTGAAATGTATAACCCTATAAAATATTCACATTAGTCTAAATTATATGATTAATGTGGCATCTTCCCCATGAACACTTAAACAATTTAGATACATGACTTGAGACTGTTGCTATGTGACACAAGTTCCACCTTAGAAAATTGGATGAACAATGTTACCTGATAAATGAAATTTTAAAATAAAAACCAAAGAGGTTACCAGTTCACAGTTACTTCCCAGCATGGTTTGGTAAAGAATCAATGGATTGGCTGGGTGCAGTGGCTCACACCTGTAATCTCAGCACTTTGGGAGGCCGAGGCGGGCGGATCACGAGGTCAGGAGATCAAGACCATCCTGGCCAACACAGTGAAACCCCGTCTCTACAAAAAAAATACAAAAAATTAGCCAGGCATGGTGGCAGGCGCCTGTAGTCCCAGCTACTCAGGAGGCTGAGGCAGGAGAATGGCATGAACCTGGGAGGCCAAGCTTGCAGTGAGCCGAGATCACGCCACTGCACTCCAGACTGGGTGACAGAGCTAGACTCCGTCTCAAAAAAAAAATAATCAATGGATCATCATGGTCGCTGGGAGCTTCGAAGTTTACAAAATGCTCATCCCATGCCACCCTGGCTCATTTGCTCATAGCTACAACTCATGAGGGAGTGGGTCGGTAGGCTGGAGATGGTTTGATTTACTGAAACTCATCCAATTTATCTTCAGGTAAAAGAGGGAGTTGCTGGGGGAGAGACACGGGGACCTCACAACTTGAGGATAGGAAGAACAGCTCCACTCCAGGAGGAACCGGAAGTAAGGCTGCAGCGTCATAGGAAACAGAGACATCGGCTCCACTGACCCCTCAGCTAGGCCACAGCCTCTCATCTTGGCTTCTCTCTGTGCTTCTGTTTCTCACATCTTGACCTGCAGTGGAGCTTTCTTTGGTTCTCCCTACACATGGTAGAAAATGGCTGCCCTACAGCTCCTGGGTTTCCTCACCTTCCTTCAGGTGGTTACAAAGATGAACCAGAGCCTCTAGGCCCCAATTCCAAACGCTGAACAGAGACATACGGATAGGCCCATCTTGGGCCAGATGTCCGTCTCAATCTGACAGACAACATGGGAGAATAACGCTACTAAACACATTTTATTCTTTTATTTTCCAATTACATTAACAAAGGGCAGCTTGCTGGAGGTTTGATTGTGAGTTACAGAAACCACTCAGAAAATGTTGAGCAAAAAGAGGGAATCACCGGGGGGAGGCCTGGTATCTTGGCTCAAGGACAAGCAGTATGACTCCACCGAACATTTGTTCTGAGTGACTCACCCCCTGTGAAACAGCAGACTGCATGGCCATGCAGCCCTCCCTGCTTGGAAGGTGGATCTTTGAGAAGTGAGGCTATGGCTGGGCAAGCATCCCCAAAGGCATTGGTCCTAAGCAACTGATATTATTTTGCCCTTTTTATAAGTTTATTCTAACTAGGTGACTTTCCCAGGGCTACACGGGTAGCAAGTAGACTTCTGACCTAGACCTGCTCCACCCAAACAGACTCTTAATTTCACCTCATTCCCTCTTCTATTGCTTGGCACACTATAGGCACTCGGTACACAGAATTTTCCAGAACAGAGAACAGATAAAATGCTTACAGGTTGCTTGTTACATTGTACATTCTCTAATGTGATGTTCATCCACTTAGAAAGCACTAAGTTTTGGTAGTAGCTGAATTACAAGGCTTTTAGTTCCTTCCAAATAAAAGCACATCCTCACCATCACTGTACTTTTTATATAACTTTTCTATTGTAATTCCTGGAATTCCCTGAGCTCCAGAGTGCCAAATTGACACTCACTTTCCAGGAATTATCAAATTTTTAGGGATTGACTATTATTCTCCATTCCTCTTCCATCAAGGTATATGAATAATTCTCCAAAAATGTGCTCCCCCTTCCATTTTACTTTTAATAAACGTAATTGAATCAGTCCTGGGCTGGAGCATCTGGCCTTGGATTGCCGTGGAGTTTTTTTTTTTTTTTTCTTTTTTTGGTCCAGAGGGCACATTTCTTGTTCTAGGGTCAATGAAATAATCAAAACCTAGTCCCTGGGGAGGAAATTTTATGGTTCTCATTTATTTGATCCACAATCTACTAAACTCCATGCCATAGTCAATCAGCTGTTAAATAAAGAAGGAACGCACAGCTAGTTTGCTCTAGAAAAGGCAAAATCCACTGGATCCTGGGCTGGTTAAGTTAGAAACAGGTTGATTATACTTAAGTTGGGGGCCGATAGGGCTTCAGTGAAAATGCCTGGTAGTTGGAAGCTCACTCATTTATTTTGCCCACAAACAGAAACTGCCTTTTGAAATGAAAAGATGAATCCTAGTTAACCGGGTTTCCATCCCAGGCAATGGTCTAGATTGACAGGCTCAGATTGTCAGAAAAGAACAGCAGGGAGGTAATGAAGGGACAGCACTTTAGAAGCGACGGGCCGAGGCTCACAGAGAGCTAGCGTTTGTTCAGAGGCGCCCAGCACTGCCCTGTGGCCACCCAGGGCCATCTCCTCAGTGACCCACCCCTCTCAGCCCTCACATTGCTGGGCTGGCCCATCAATTGATCTCTAATGCCTGCCTTGGCTAATGTAATTGGAATGTCAAAGAATAAAATGTGGTTAGTTACGCGTTATTCTCCCTCTCATAAAACTCACCCTTGGACAGAGGGAATCAGCCTTTGATGAGGACTGTTACAGGCTTCCAGAGAGCACTTACTTTCTATGCATTCTCCAGGAGACATGTAAAGCGCTGGAGAATCCTAGTTGAGTATGAATTTAAATGAGTGGTACAAGGGCCAGCAGGTTCTCAGACAACGGTGTGACTGGAGGCTCTAAGAATTTTCTGCCAGTCCATAGCAACAGTCACCACCCAAAGAACCCTACATCCTTTCCTTCCCACCAGGCCTCACCACTTGCATGGTGATGGAAATCGGAAGGAGGGACCTTCTTTCCAGGGTTTGACTGGACAACAGTCTGCCTTCCCCTGGCACTGCTGGTCACCAAGTGACTAACAAACCAGAGCCGTAGGGTGCACTCCTATCAGTACTTTATAGATTCCAGAAGGGCATAAATTGTGTCCATTTTCTTACTGCTGCAGAGCTAGGGCCTATCTCAGTGCCTGGCACACGATAGGTCCTAATGTTTGTTGAGTCATTAGTGGGTCCATAGCATTTCAAAGGAAAACACTCTGAAGAGTGATCTAAGATAGAGTGACAGTTGTGATATGGGTGTTTATAGATACTACCTCTGAGGTGGGAAGATGGAAGAAAGACACCTTAGTTTTGCTGGATTTTATTTTTTATTTATGATGCTATCATCACTGTGTTGGGCTGTGACACAGAACAGAGGCTGACATTGGGGAAACCTGGGGCTAAGCAGATGAGTCTGAGGTAGAGTGGAAAAATGAAAAGAAATGGCAAGATTTTAGAAACATCCAAATTATGGGCCAAGCAGCCAATGATTCTCCCTTAGCAATGTGACCTCCCTCTAGTCTTCCAGCCAAGCCCCATCTGGAACATACCTCATGGAGTTGAAAGCTGTCGTTGGAAAGAGCCAAAGAGGGGACTCCACAGAGCCAGAGCCACAGCTGCCCCTGGCAAGCCCTGGGCAGCAGGACACCAAGGTACCTGCAGGTATGAGGCCTCAGGTTCAAGCAGAGCTAGACACAGAAAGTGTTTGTGTGGGAGCCCCTCCTCTGCCACTGAGAGGGGTGGACTCCAAACTCAAGAGCAGGAGGCCTGCCCCACTTCGACTCAGCCACAGGCTTCTTTTGTGTGTATCGTTAGAGCTATTTGCTATTAGAAAACCCACTGAAATACTCTAAATTCATCTTTCTTCCAAAGTGGATATAGCCTCATGCAAAGGATAATTTGAGCATGAACTGGTTCTTCTGTTTAGTTGAAGCTGTTTCTGGAAATCGCCAAAGTTGGAGTGGGCTGCCAGCCTGTCCAAAGGAATCCTCCTACCCAGGCTAAACAAACAGCCTCAAAAAATACCCTGAGAGGCAGCAGCCATCTAGTAACATGTAATAGAGAGGGGCTTGGTCCAGTGGGAAGTGGAGAGCAACAAGAGAGAATGGAACTCCCAGCCGCAATGAAGATTTGCAGAGTGAAAGCTGCCTTCAACGTATCATGAAGCCGGCGCACCATGAGGAACACTTTCAAAAGTCAGTAATAAATATCTCAAATGCACATATTTTATTGCACCTTTAAAATGCATACAAAAGTGCATTTGATTCGTTTTAAATACAATTATTTTAACTCTTTTTTAACGCCAGGATTAAGCCAATTCTACTCCATAAGGCTTTTGATACCAAAAAAAAAAAAAAAAAAAAAAAGAGAATCGTGTGGGAGATTCGACAACCAAGTGAAAAAGGTTTCCTGTTAACTGATTATATTGCCCAATTTTAAATTATCTTTAGATTCAGTCACTTACCTGGAAGGCCCAGACACTTGCAGATGCAAAATAGATTTCATACAGTTCAGGAGGAGAGTCTGGGGGAGTATTCTGGGCTGTCAGGAGACAATCCAGTAATGAGCAAAAAGTCTTCAATAAAGACAAACAGAATAAAAGGGCTGTGTTAAAATTACTGCAGCCTTGCATAATAGCTGAGCTGCAAAGATACTACAGAAATGGTAATGAGTACAACAATGCTGTGAACTTGGGGTGTTTTTATTTAAAAGATTTTAATTAACCAGAAAATGAGCATTAATCCCAGCAACTTGGAAAATAACAACACGCCATCCTATTGCTATGAGCAAAAAGGTAAGATAAATAACAAGAAAATGTTATCTGGGGAAATAAGCCCTTTGAAAAATTCACAATTCAGAGCTTTAGCTAGAATACGATAGTAGGTTCACTTCTAAATGGGCAACTTACCATGGTTTTTTATATTCTGAGATTTCCACCCTTAAATTCCAGAGAATACAGTTACAGTCAATGCTCTGGTTTCCCAAGCTAAATACATTTAATGAAATTTTCAGCCATATAGAATTTACATTCTGGAAAAAAATTACGCGTTGTTTCAATTATTCTCAATGCTTGGGAGTCCAGTGAGCCAACAAGCATCAGCTGCCTGCCTCCTCTCCTAAAAAAATCAAAGAAGTGGGTAAACTAGAAGACTCCAAAGGGGACTGATTTATAAAAGTCTTAGCAAAGGACATGCTGCCTCACCAAGTTCCTTCTGCTGCTCTAACGAAATCATTGTTATTTCTATCTACTACATGAGCTCTTTTTTTTTTCCCCCAATGGAAGGGCCTGGTTTTATTATATGAATAATAGAAGCAGACCTCAAAATATGAAATGATTGTCCTAAAGTTCCCCATTGGCAATTAAGCAACTACAAAATGCAGGCACTGGAAAGGCAAATTTCTCTCAAAAAAATTCCCCAACATACTCTCTACCACTTTTGCTGGATTTACATTACGGATGCAGAAGATTTCAAAGCTCTATGGTTTAAATTTTTGTCATTATTCACAATCACATGATAGCTAGAATTACAGTTATAGAGCCTTAACCCGAACATGCCTGATGCTTCACTTTACAACTGGTGCCTTGCCCTAAACTGCTGCCCTTGGTCAATGCACTACAATCCCCATGGCCTTCCAAGCTGGAAATCCCAACATTCTCTCAGAGTCTCTGGCACAAAAGCTCATCAGTTCCACCCTAGAGCTCTCTCTTTTGAATCTGATCTTTCCCCTCCATGCCCAAATTTAGGCACTCTGCCTTTCTCTCACTTGCAAAAATTCCAGTAATTGAAAAAAGTTTTCCCAGTTCCCTGATCCCAATTGTCCTATTTCTTTCTTTCTAAGTAATAATTAGTTACTTAGGTTATACATTCTCATGCTTAAAACTTTCCATTGCCCACCAAAGAGGCCATATGCTCACCATGCCCTACATGACCCTGTCCCATTTTTATCTCCTGTCCCTTACTACAAATAACTGGATTCATTGAATTTCTTAACATTGCTCACATTCACCATGTTTCTTTCACAACTTCAATCATTGAACATGGTTTTGGCAGAATCATTCTTGGACCTGGGCAAGAGGGACCCCTGCCTAGGGTCCTGCGCTTGAGGGGGCTCCTGCTGTGGTCCCCCTCTGATCACCCCTTCTCCACCAGGCAGGCAGCCCATGGGACCAAGGCTATGTTCCTGCCCAGAGGCTGCACATTCCCTTCTAGACCATGCTCCCGTACCCATGACTCCAGAGTTCCCTATTGAACCATACAACTTTGCTTCTAGAGCTCAGGCCGGCCCCTGCTCAACCACACCCTCAGCTCTAGGCATGGTCATGCTGATCATGCTGGTCATGACCACTCCTAGAGCTGAGGGTGACCCCCAAGCCTCTGCTTGCCACAGGGCTGGGGTAACGCCCAAGTGGCATATGAGGCTCTTTGTAATACAGGATAGAGCTGGGGGCAGAAAAAGAAAGAAAGATGCTTCCAGGGAGGAGCCCCAGGGAACAGGGACCGTCTTAACCTATACCATTACATTCCAGCATGTGACTACAAAAAGTGCTAGAATTTAAAATGTGAACTTGGCCTTCCAGGACACTGTGAAAGTAAATTTGTCAAGATAGAGAAGTGGGTTATATTTTATGTAACACTTTATTAGCTTGATTTATGACTTTTAAGTATTTAGATATATGGCATCTGGGCCTCTTTTTGTTCTCCTGCTTGGGCCCTGCAGTAAACTTTAGGGGCAAGCTTACTTTCCTGTCCTACTATAATGTCCTTCCTTACTATGTCTGCCTGATGAACTCCTACTCAGCCTTCAAAACCCATTGCAAATATTACCTCTTCAGGGAAGCCTTTTCCAGCTCCTTCTAAGTCAGAATTAATTACTCTCATTTAGTTGGGACTTTTGATTACAAATAGCAAGTAACATTATTTAGTAGTTACACAGCCAAAACAAACAAACAACAAAAGCGGATCTCCTTCTCCTCCACCTCCTCCTCCTCCTCCTCTTTTTCTTCAAGGCCCTCCTCCTCCGCCTTCTTCAATAAAGCTAGAGAACAGGAATGCAGTTGGCCCTAGACAGACCTGGAGCCAGAAGATGGGGTAGAGTCAGGCCCCCAGGCTGTGTGCCTAGCCATCTGCCTCTGCCTCACTTTGCAGACCAGCTCTGTCTGCCACTCGTCTACATGGTGGAATGTGGCCATGCCACGCTTCAGAAAAGGGAATTTAGGTGGGCTAGATAATCTCTTTCCTCCTTCGAAAATGCCATATTTAAATAGATGATTTGAGAGTTTTCTCATTCTGTAATTTTTACACCTCTTTTATTTAGCCAAATAGAAACAAATTCTTTAATGCCAATTCCAAATTCCTAGAAGAATTCATATGCAATGGCAGGAACATCAAATACCGTATCCTCCTAGGATGGGATAATGCCTTGAGATATTAGCCTCCTCTTGTACCCTTGTCCTTTCTTACTGAGTCAGAAGCATTCGTTGTCTTGGAAACTAGGGCTAGGGAGAGAGAAGGCTATTGAGTTTCAGGAGCGTGGTTTGCACATCATACAGCCTAGAAGCTGAGAAGACTCTGGACTTGGAAATGTGTGGGGATGAAGAGCAAGGCTTCACGCACCCTGCAAATATACCCCACCCCCAAACCACAGATACGATGGGGCCGAGGTAAAGCAAGAGAGTGTGATAAGGATGCTCCTTAGGCAGAAGAAGCTCATGGAAAACGCAGAAGCACAGAAACCGTACCAGTTTAGGGATGAATCTGGGGCAAGGACAACCTGAGTCCTATCCCAAAGTGGAGTCTTTAGCAGTGACGAGGCTCACCCCTCCACACACCCCACGGTGTCACCGCATGGGAAAGGAAGAGCAGAAACAAGCAGGCAGTGTGTCTAAGCAGATGGGCCTGAGAGCCGCAGGGAGCATGTACGGTTTGTGTGTTGAGCATCATGGGAGCAGCAGGTGGGTCCTGTGTGCCACAGCACAGGGTCCCTGCAGAAGCTGATGTCCCAGGGGAAGCATGCAAGGACAGACAATCAGTCCTGCAGGCAAGGGAAGGAAACAGCCACACACTATCTGCCTGTGGAAGAACCCCAGAACTTGTGGAAGAGAGGGAAGGAACCCCGACATGACTGCCACATGGTCAAATGGAAATTTCAGAGTTTCATGTTTTTAGCTTAATATCTTTAAAATGAAATGCATCTCTCTTGTTTACACTATATTCCCTCGTCAAGCACTCCCAGCAAATAAGAGTGATGTATGTCTTAGAATTAGCTTTTCCCCTGTGTTCTCCAGGCAGGATTTTGAGCAGAGTGAGGACAAGCCTGTGCCCAAAGAAGTTAACCTTTAAGCTCCCTAAGTGGCACATGGTCAGACGAAAACTAAGCGGGCACCTGGCAGGGAAGCCACAAAGCTCTGAGCTCTGACGTGTTAGTTGGGTGGCAAGGAGAAGCCAAACAGCAGATCCAGGGCTGGTCTGTGGAACTGGCAGCTATTTAGCATCCTGATCAGAACGGGCTAAACATATCTCACAGGCATTGCAAAACACCCCAGAGAACGAGGCACAAAGACACCCCAGAACAGGAAAATTAGTGGTACAGATAACCCGTTTCTGTTTTTAAAATTATACGTTCAAAAAATGTAAGGATTTTCCCTTTCTGACTGTTTTTCATTTGCAGCAGCTTCTGTATTCGAATAAGTGTTTTTTAAAAAAAACTAGGTGGATTACTGGCTGTGGAAATCTCTCTGCTCTTAAACTTTGTCATTGTCATACTTTTATCCAAGAACATCTGAAGTCGCTATTTCATTAAACAAATTATATTATCTGATTAGAGATCTAAGTCTCTGAAGACTTTCTAGGTAATTCCTTATTTGCCATGATTTCTGTGGATTGGGCTGGAAGTGGCAAACCCGGCCACCTCTGCTCTAAGTGATACCAGAAAGATGCTTCTAGCTCTAGCAGAGCAGTATTTTCTTTCTTTTCTTTTCTTTTTTTTTTTCAGTTGAACAAGAACTTAATAATCTTTTTTTTCTTTCTTTCGAGGATATTCAGAAAAGAAAGGGCCATTGCTCAACATGAGGGACAAATTGATACTGTCATAAAAGAGGGCAGGATATGAATTGTGCGGCTCTGGACTGATCTGACAGATGGGGCCACGTGCGTGAATGCACACTCACCTCTTGTGTGCACCAATCTCTCTCCAGGCTTCCTGGAAGGGCAACCCACTGTCACTTAAAACAACAGCAGTGAGCATTGGTGGAACAATGGATTTTGATTAGAAAAACACTAATGCCATATCTATTTGCTAATTGTAGACTCTTAACAATTTCTGTCAAATGTAGGATTCTTTTTAAAATTTCAGAGAAGTAATCACAGCCTTCTGAAATCCGGTGCGAGCCCTATCCATTCAGGCTTTTGTTTGCATAATGTGGGAAGTTTTGTGGGGGTGTGGGCCTGTGAGAGGGATGTAATAGAGTCGTTCTCTTTCCAAGGGCCCTTGAGAAGGCAAGTGTTGAGCTTACACTTTTAATCGTGAAGGACCAAAGATAACCAACTGAAAAGTTTTTGATCAAGATATTTACATCTTCATTGTAAGCACTGGAATTGAGAGGGTAAATCACAAAATACATGCAGAAGCCATGCTTTTTTATTCTTTCACATGGTGTCTGAGACACTTAGTGTCTCAGAATTTTCACATATTTATTGCCTACTTGGCTAAAACAAAGAAAGGTTAAGAAAACCATCCAAATACAGGGAAATAAAAAAGAATTAAAACCATGAGAGAAAAGGATTCTTTGGGATGGAGGAGGGTGTTTGTGCATTTTGTTCTGAGAAAACAAGAAAATTAAACTAAATATCAATAAAAACCTATCATAAAATAAGAACATTTAACAGCCACTAAACAGAGTACAATAGAGTGCAGCAAAACCATTCAGCTTTGCCAGTGCTTAAGGGTGGGGTTAGCTCAGCCTCAGCCTTCCTTAAGAACCTGCTGAGAGTCAAACATGTCTGAGTCAAACACGTCTAGGCATATTCAACAACTAGCTGGGGTTGGTCTGCATGAGATTTCTTTACATAAGGTGTCAGGGAGGCTTATGGGTAATAATTTGTCGTTAGAAAAGAAGGATCCAGGCACATTGAGCCAGACCCAGTGACAGCAGCATGAAAATAAACACGGTTCTATGTTTGTTATTTGGATTTATCCCCTGCTTTAGCCCCAGATTTGACTTGTGGCTGGGTCCTAACTGGTCATGGGACAGAAGGAAGTGTGAGTTGTCTGTAAAGAACCTCTTGAGTAAAATTTGTGCAAGTACCTGTGGCATCAGCAACTCTGCTTGGGGATCCCTCCAGCAGGTAAGACAGGAATAGGGAGAGGCCATCTTCTCATCTGAGCACCAAGCACCTTCAGTACTCTAGGGACCCCTGCTGTTCCCTCTGGGTGGACACTCATGGCCTGGCAGTACCCAATGAAGAGAAACCCCATCACTTGCCCAAACTTGCTTCAGAGCGCTTATAAAAACATGGCCTGGGGATGCTCAAAGGAGACTGAAGATCTGACCCAGCAAAGAGAAGCAGATGACAATGAAAGATTCATCGCCTACTCCCAGCTTCCTTTTCTATTGATTATGATATTTAGATAACTTTCTCTCTTCTTCAGTTTTTATATCTTTACAGATTAGTGTAATCATTCTAACACCTTGCTAAATCTCAAAGCTTTCAATGAATGAATGTTAGTTAAGTTCTATGTGGATATAAACCCATACTGTAAACACTGCTTAATAATAGCATTAGAGAGCATTTTAATTTTAGGCACAGAGCTTTCTTCCTCTACTATGTAATCTGATGTTTCTAACAATGAAAAGATCTTGACAAATACAGCTCTTAATATACTTAAAAATGCTTTGGGGGGATTATTCTTTTTCATCCTATGTCAGTTATCTATGGTTACATAACAAATCACTATAGTGGCTCACACTACAAAAATATTAAAATGCCTAAAATTAAAAGACTGACTAGCCAAAGTTGGCAAGGATGTGGAGCTACTGGAATTCTCATGCATTGTTACTGAAAATGCATAATGTGCAACCGCTTTGGAAGCAGTGGAAAGGAGTTGGGAGTTTATTAAAATGTTAAACATATACCTAACATGTTTATTCCAATCTTACATATTTACTGAAGAGAAATAAAAGCTTACAGCCACACAAAGAACTACGAATGTTGACAGCAGCTTTATTTATTGTAGACAAAAACTGGAAACAACTGCAATGTACATCCATGGGTGAATGGATAAACACATTATGATCTACTCTTACAATGGACCACTATTCAAGTAATAAAAGGAAATGAACTACTGATTCACCCAATAACATGAATGAATCTCAAAATAATGACACTGAGTGAAAGAAGACAGACAAAAAACAACACATACTATATAAGTCAATTTGTATAAAATTCTAGAAAATCTAAAGTAATCTATAAATGCAGGAAGCAATTCGTGGTTTCCTGGTTGGGAGGGGAGGGCAGAGGGAGCACAAGGAAACTTTTAGGGGTAATAGATTTGCTCATTATCTTGATTGCGGTATTCATTTTACAGATACATACATATGTCAAAGCTTATCAAATTGGACTATACATAGATTAAGTATAGTCGATGTCGATTATGCTTCAATTAAATTTTAGTAAAATTTTGAAAAGCAATGCTAAAAAAAGATTTTGTGGCTTTAAACAAATAAAACTACAATCATTTAATTTTCTCATGGATCTACAAATTTGGCAAGGCCTAATGGAGAAGGCTTATCTCGATAGCCCCATGTGGCATCAGCTATGACAACTCAATTGAGGGCTGAAGGATCAAATCCCAAGATGGCTCACTCACATGGTGACAAGTTTGCATGGGCTGTAAGCTGACGGCTCAACCCAGACTGAGCACTGGTGACCTCTGTTTCTCTCCACTTGAACCATTTCATGTGCCCTGAGCTTCCAGCCTAGTGACTAGGCACAAAAGGCAAGTGTCCTAAAAGACAGTCTAGTAGAATCTGCTTCACTTTTTATGACTTGGCTGTGGAAATCACTTAGCATCACTTCAACCAAACTCTTGTCATTGAGATAGTCACAAAAGTGCACCTAGTTTCAAGGGGAGAAGACATACACTCTGTCTCTTGCTGGGGAGTGGCAAGTTCTGGAAGAGCACATGGAATGTAAATACTATTAAAGACTTTTTTTTTGAAAACCACAATTTGACACAGTCCTCTAGCCACAGCAATTTTCATTCCTCCCACATGCAAAATATACTTCTTCCTAAAAAAAAAAAAAACCAAAGTATCTTTCCTTGATGGTTTTTGGACTCAGGCTTGAGGTCTAGGATCTCAAGCAAATTCACTGGAAAACAGGTGGCAGTTTCTTAAAAAGTTACACACACACCCGCTATATGATTCATCCATTCTACTCCTAGGTATTTACCTAAGAGAAATGAAAGCACATAGCCATACAAAGAGATAAGTTTCCTGGATGAAGTTCCTAGAGTATGATCCCCAGGTGAGATTTTTCTTGTTCTGAAAACCTGTGAACTAAAGAGAAAGTTATCTACCCCATACACACCCAACATACAATGGTAGGACAGATATGTAATAACTTACATAAACACTCGTGTTCAAAAACAGGGAAAATGAGGCATGCAGAAGTCACTGCTTCATAGCAATTCTGAAATTCCACTGGGCACATTTGTCAGTCCCATGATTAGGGTTCAGCAATACTACCTGTGTAAAATTTTCTACAGCTTATAACTTTACCCTCTGGGCTCATGATTCTACATTCTAAATTATCCTTACTGTTCAATAAAATATAACCTACATTTGCAGCTGAGTAATTTTCTCAGTCTGCTTCCTGTCCATAGAAGTTCAGGAGTCCAAAAACCTACTTACACTTTGTACAGTTCCTGTATTCATTAGCCCAAGTTGGTTTTGTTTCCAATAATATAATTCCCTTAAAAACTTGTAGATTTCTTATGAATCTCCTTGGGTTCCCATTAGATAAAGTGATACCCACAAACTCATCTAGATTAGCCCTTCCTTACCTTAAGCTACTGGTGAGAATGCTGAGGGACAATGACCTTCAGACTCTTATAAAGTCTATTTTTTAACAGGATATATATTTAAATATATTTCAATATTTAGAGAGCCTCTGATCGGTCTGAAAGGTCCTATGAGACACTGACACTGAGAAGCTCGGGTCTTAACAAATTATCTTATAGTCCTGATTTGGACTCGATCTTTGGTCCAAGGTCATTTCTTAATTTGAGAATTATGTGACATCTGGAGAGGCTAGGAAGGAAAACCAGTTTCATTTTTGAATACACGAAGTCCTAGAGCCTTTATATTTCCTTTAAATTTGCTTAAAAATCAAACAGTTCCCTTTTTTTAGTTCATTTCTCCCTATCTTTATCTAAACATACATAGATCCAGTTGGCACTTTCAAAATACTGCCTGAAAAGTTTTCATATTCACCAGTTCATTATGTATAATTTTTCTATTTTTTATGTCACTGCAGGCAAAATCCTCTTTCCACTCAATTCCAGTAACCTTTTCTCTTTCCTTTAAACCCTCACTCACAGTCCCGTAAGGGCCGTCAGACTGCAGCTAACAGTTTCTTCAAGGCCCTTCCAATATTTGCCCACCTTCCAGTTCCAAAGCCACTATCACATAATTTAGGCTTTGCTATGGCAGCACCCCAGATACCACTTCCAGATACCAAACTCCTCACTAGTTATTTACTGGTGCATAATACACTGTGCCAAAACTTAGTGGCTTAAAATGACAAAAATTATTTATTTTTGCCCCAGAATCTTCTATTTAGGCAAGGCTCAGTGGAGAACGCTGATCTCTGCTCCAATTGGCATTAGCTAAAAAAGCTCGACTGTCAGCCAGAGGATCAGGCTCCTACAGGGTGCATTTGGCTGGCAATTTGGTCCTGACTATTGGCTGGAAGTTTAGCCTGGGTTGAGGCTTAATACAGCTACAAAATGTGTTTGTGGTCATTTACTTACAAATCCAATGGAATTGAATATTTTTATACACTTTACGTGGAGCAAATTAAAATATGTGCTGTGGGGTGTGTGTTTGTGTGTATGAGTGTGTGCAGCACATATGTTTTGTGGATGCCAAAGCAACTCTACCTTGAGTGCTAAGTGTCCGTGTTGACTTCTGATTAACCCCAATTCTGGGAAAACCTCTAAGATTTCCAGTTTAAATCCTGCCCTTAGGTCACACAACCTTGATGTTATTATGCTTACCATAAGTCCTGCCTTTAAATGATTGTTTTACATATCCCTTCTGAATCATGTATACCCTTTCCCTATGGTATATAACCCCTTCATGTGGCCCGGACTTCATCATTACAGAATGACTGAAGACCAAGAGTGAGCACCCCAAGAGAGAAAGATAACCTTTTATGATCTAGCCTCAGTAGCCACAGAGCATTACTTCACCCACATACTATTAGTTGGATGGTCACAAAAGCCTGACCAGATTCAGTTGGAAGGGACACAGACTTCATCTCTTGAAGTGGGTATACTAAGATGTTGGAAGAGCACATGGAATGTAAAGAAAAGACAATCTGCCACACTTTTTAAAATTTAATTAAATGATTTTAGTTTTATTTGTTTAAAGCCACAAAATCTTTTTTTAGCATTGCTTTTCAAAATTTTACTAAAATTTTTTAATTGAAGCATAATCGACATCGACTATACTTAATCTATGTATAGTCCAATTTGATAAGCTTTGACATATGTATGTATCTGTAAAATGAATACCGCAATCAAGATAATGAGCAAATCTATTACCCCTAAAAGTTTAAAATTTAATTATATATTTTTTGATATTTAAAAATTTATATGGTTCAGAAGTCAACACTATATAAAAAGGTATCCATCGAGAGGTTTCATTCCCTTTTCTATCCCTATAGATAACATTTTCATTGTTTTTTGATTTATACTTTGGGTTTATGTTTTAAATTCCAGAAACACACACACACACACACACACATTCCTATTGCCAATTCTTTCTTACAAAAAACAGATATTATATATATTATATGATAGATGTTACATCTTGGTAATTGCTATATAACCTTTTATCAAGGTCTTCCTCATTCTCTTTTTATGGCTGTATAGTACTCCATTGTAGGCATGTACCAGAGTTTATTTCATTTTTCTTTTATAGGTAGTCATTTGTTGTCAAGCTTTTGAATTTGTGCCAATATGATAAGTAAAAAGTAATACCTCAGTGTAGTTTTAATTTTAATCACTTTATAGTATATATCTTTTTTTGAAGGGTCTCTTCATCACTTTTGCTGATTTTTTCTATTGGGTTATCTAAATTTTAATAATTTATATTAATTTTAACAATTCTTTATACACAAGAGAAATTCATCTCCTATCTGTGGTATCTATTGAAAATATTTATCTCCTATCTGTGGTATCTATTGAAAATATTTTCTGCCCATTTTCCCCTTGTCTTTTGTCTTTGCTTTTTGTGTTTTCTGCCTGACAAAATCTTTTTTCTGTAATGTCATCAATTTTACTCACGCTTTCTTATTATAAAGAGAAACAAATAATTTTAACTGTATATAAATTAGATAACATGACCACATAGGGGAAAAAAAACTGAGTTAAGTAATTTTTGAACCAAGTACTTTGGTTATACATCCTTAGTAGGATATATTGTTGTTAGTGGTGTTAATGTGTTAATTTGGAGATATATATTTTGTATACAGTATATCATAAGACAGAGCAAATGAATTACTATATTTATGTGATTGGGAGAAGGCAGAGACCTGTCATACACATCCTCAGCCTCACTAATAATTCAGCAACAGCTGTGTGAGTGGTTGCGGGCAAGCTTCAAACCAGTTCAAATTGACATCTCATTTCAAGTGTGCACCACTGGTCTCTCACTTCCTGCCCCAGAACTTCTTTGCTGTGGGATGCCTGTGGGAACCCATATGATATTCCCACATTGTGATTCAAGGGAGCAGGTGAGTTAACGCCTCCTAAGTAACTCTCAACCAACTGGGGTAGGAGCTGAGAGAAATGCTTCTCTCTTTTGTCTCTTAGACAGACAACTCTAAGAACATTTTATACACTACTTAAAGGTGCTGGGAGATCAAGCAACAAGGCCCTGTTGAGGTGACCACTTCAATAATAGAATTGTTTGGGGTTTCCCTCCTTCCCTGTTTCGCTCTCCCTGGTTCCTCATCCTTGCTTCCTGGGATCAGTTCTCAAATAAATCACCTACACACCACCCTTTGTTTCAGGCTGTGTTTTGGGGGGACCTCAGGATAGAACATTGCCCATGGAAGGGCTGAATCACTGAACTTATACTGGGAGCTACTGATCTTCCATTTTTTTAACCATATGAGACAAATAAACTTCAATTTTTTTGCTGTTACTTGCAGCTGAAAGCATTCCTAACTAACATAGGCAAATTACAGGGAATGGTAGGAGCTGAAGCTGGAGGTATGGAAAAGGACCAAATAGCAAAGGGCTCCATATGGCAAGCTGAAGTGTTTGTACTTTATTCTCTGGAATGAATCCAACACTTCTTGCCTGGCTGGCTGGTTGGATAGTTTGAACATCCGCTACTACAGAGGGAGGTGCAGCTGGTGAGATAGGGGAACACATTAGTTTGGATTGAGATGTGTTACATTTGCAATGCCACTAAACACTGGCAGATATAAAGCTGGTGAGGCACAAGGCAAAAGCTTCAAATAAAGCACATTAATTTTTTCCTGAAGTTACTCACTTTTGTCTTTTTGCCAAACCTAATTCAGATTTTTTGTTCCTGTCATGTTCTCTCCTACCTAGACTCCTTTTTGTAGTGGTGAAACACTACTTTATTATTAATCACTACCTATGAATAATCCACTTTTTAAATTGCTGTATGTTGCTTATAAAAAGCCATATGAATTACCACTACAGTTTAGTTTCCAAATTCTGAGAGATGTAATCAACATTTGAATAGAACGCAAATCCATTTGAATTGGATTTTAATCAATTGCTGACTCAATTCAGGATATTACTGAATTCTCATTGGCTGAATTTAAATATGGTCCAACTGGCAAAAACATTCATGAAAAATATGCATTCACAAGAGTTTAAATTTTGGTAACCACTCTTAGAGTACTGTCGAATCACACACACACACACACACACACACACACACACACACACAGACACATGTTCTGCAGTGGGCAGGTCTACGCAAACCTACCCCCAAGGTCTGAGGAAACTGAGAAGTCAAAGAAAAAGGCTGACAAATCCACCTTCTCAGAAAGAAATATTTCATAGGGACTTGCACACAGAAGCCATGTTTATATCTTGGGCAATGGCTGGACAAGATGGTGGATCTCTACGCCATTACTCCCTAGACCCAGGGCTTATATACCATAGGGAAAGGGTATACATGATTCAGAAGGGATATGTAAAACAATTATTTAAAGGCAGGACTTATGGTAAGCATAATAACATCAAGGTTGTGTGACCTAAGGGCAGGATTTAAACTGGAAATCTTAGAGGTTTTCCCAGAATTGGGGTTAATCAGAAGTCAACACGGACACTTAGCACTCAAGGTAGAGTTGCTTTGGCATCCACAAAACATATGTGCTGCACACACTCATACACACAAACACACACCCCACAGCACATATTTTAATTTGCTCCACGTAAAGTGTATAAAAATATTCAATTCCATTGGATTTGTAAGTAAATGACCACAAACACATTCTTCCTCCAAATGGCTGAAAATAATTTATCCTTCATGATTTAAGCAAACTTATCTTACAGGAGTGAGAATATGTTTCCGATTTGCCCTCTGCTCTTAGAGTGTTTATCGTGATTCAGAGCAAGTTTGGCCAGTTTTTTAAGACCCTTGACAGCACCTAACTCACCATTGTAGAGTCACCCCTACCAGGAGAACAATTGTAGGGAACTGGACCTCAGGAGAGATTCATGGACTGGGGACATAGATGCGGGGGTCACTACTGAGAGCTGGAATTGGCTACATGTAGAGAGATGAGAAAAAGGACCCAAGTCAGAACTATGAGAGGAGACCTTAAAACTAAAGGAGCTAGAAGAAAACCTAAGCAATTCCATTCAGGACATAGGCGCCAGCAAAGATTTCATGATGAGAACATCAAAAGCAATTACAACAGAAGCAAAAAAGGACAAATGGAATCTAATTAAACTAAAGAGCTTCTGCACAGCCAAAGAAACTATCATCAGAGTGAACAGGCAACCTACAGAGTAGGAGAAAATTTTTGCTATCTATCCATCTGACAAAGGTCTAATATCCAAAATCCACAAGGAACTTAAACAAATTTATGGAAAAAAAAAAACAGCCCCATGAACAGACACTTGTCAAAAGAAGACATTCATGTGACCAACAAACATATGAAAAGAAGCTCAACATCACTGATCATTAGAGAAATGCAAATCAAAACCACAATGAGATACCATCTCAGGCCAGTCAGAATGATGATATTAAAAAGTCAAGAAACAGCAGGTGCTGGCGAGGCTGCAGAGAAATAGAAATGCTTTTACACTGTTGGCGGGAATGTGAATTAGTTCAACCATTGTGGAAGACAGTGTAGTGATTTCTGAAAGACCTAGAACCAGAAACCCCATTGGACCCAGCAATCCCATTACTGCATATATACCCAAAGGAATGTAAATCATTCTATTATAAAGATACATGCATGCATATGTTCATTGCAGCACTATTCACAATAGCGAAGACATGGAATCAACCCAAATGCCCATCAATGATAGACTGGATAAAGAAAATGTGTTATATACACACATGGAATATTATGCAGCCATAAAAAGGAATGAGATCATCTCATTTGCAGGGACATGGATGGAGCTGCAAGCCATTATCCTCAGAAAACTAGCACAGGAACAGAAAACCAAACACCACATGTTCTCACTTATAACTGGGAGTTCAACAATGAGAACACATGGCCACAGGGAGGAGACAACACACACTGGGGCCTGGCAGGGGAGCCGTGGGGGGAGGAAGAGCATGAGGATAAATAGCTAATGCATGTGGAGCTTAATACTTAGGTTGATAGGCTCAGCAAACTACCATGGCACACGTTTACCTGTGTAACAAAACTGCATGTCCTGCACATGTATCCCGAAACTTAAATTTAAGTTAAAAATAAAAATAATAAATAAATAAATAAAACTGAAGGAGCCTGCAGAGAAATGCACTAATGAGACTCAGAAATAGTGTCAGAGATTGGAAGAGAATCAGGAGAGAATGTCACCAAAACCAAGGAAATAATTGACTTCTGGGGAGGAAGAGGCAAATCATGCCTCAGAAAAGACAAGTGGCCATTACATTTTGCATTTGGCAATGCGGTTGCAGTGGAGCCCGTGGTGGAATGAAAATTCAATGTCAGAGGGTCAAGGAATAAAGAGCAAGAAAGGAAGTTGAGACAGTACTGACCACTGTCTCAAAAATATTGTCTGTAAAAGGAAGCAGAGAGGAAATGGTAACTAGATTCAATAATAGAGTGGTCACAAGACATTTTTAAGATGGGAGAAACCAACATTTAAAGGTGAGAGGAAATGAGTCATTAGAGGAAAAAGGGAGAGTTTGAACATATAGTGAAACAGGACAATTTCTCAATCGGTAGCCTAGAAAAAATGAGGAAGGGTGGGATCCTGCCAAAATGAGGCATTAGCTGTGGCTGGGAGGAGGGACACCTTTCCTCTAAGACCAAAAGGAAAGAGTGGAGGGTGGGTATGAATCTAAAGCCATTTAGAGGAAAGATAGTGGCAAATTCAGTAGGTCCACTCCTGATGGCCTCTGTTTTCTCTACGACATAGGAGGCAGGTCACCGCCAGACTCACGCTGCCACTTAGCTTCACTCCTGCCCAAGGGAGTGAGCTCATCTCTTCCTGAAAAGCCCCACCTGCTCACAGAAATGAAGGGAGCAAAGGTGAACGTGGGCTCTGCACCAGGCCCTGACTCTGTTCTCAAGATGGCTAGCTCAGGAGAAGATACGGAGACAAAAGTTAATGAAAACCCCAGGCAGGGGTAGTGCAGATAAAGATTTTGAGAAAAGGGGAGCAAATAAAGAAAGAAGAAATCCCACCTCCAGGGGCTGTGGGTAGGGTTAATAATATTTGGAAAGACTTCTGACAGGCACCTCAAAGGAACAGAAAAATTTTGCTGTGCACAGATGAACAGAAGGTGGAAATGGGCAGTGAAGGTCAAAAGGTATTCAATCCAGTGGAATTACGATAAACAGTGCATACTGAAGTGGTTCTGATTGCAGTAAGTTCCCTAAGCATAAGATTCTAAGACTGAAAGCACATTAGTGTAATTGTAAGCCTTCGGAGTTAGGCTGTCTGGGGTCAGTTTTTAGCTCCATCACTTACTAGCCAGTATAGCCAGTTATAGATGGAATTAGTAATGGTACCCTTCAACCTCACAGGAATCTTGTTATGACTGTATTAGATAATGCATTAAAGCAGTGCTTAGCAATAGTAATTTCTCAGTGAGTTTTTTTTTTTTTATCATTCACTGTAGATGGGCATTGTATGTTAGGCTTCAGAATCTGTACCTAATATACTTAGGTAATGAGAATCTTTAAAGGTTTTTAGGTTTAAGAAATACATATAGAGGGCTATGTCCTAAGAGGACTTTCCTGGCAGGGGTGTGCAAAATATGTTGGAGTGGGGCGAGAATAGGAGTGGTAGGTGAGTTAAATTGTCCTTTCAATAGACTAGGCAAGAGTTGGTGAGACTTTCGCTTTTTGCCTACTGTTTATGCACAACTCATATTTATATTGAGTTTTCTTTGTTCATAAATTTTGATTTATAAAGTTGAAATTAAGTGAGATACATGTTCACACTAGTCAAAACCATCCTAGAAGAGTGAAAAACAAACCAGAATGACTATCAATGTGAACACAGAGGGAGGCTCCAATCAAGCAAAATTGAAAGAAAGAGGGAGAGAGAAAGAAGCAAGAGGGAGGGAGGGAAGAAGGAGGGAAGGAAGGAAGGAAGGAAGGAAGAAAGGGAAGGAGGAGGAGAGGGAGGGAGGGAGGAAGGAAGGAAGGAAGGAGGAAAGGAAGGAAGGGGAAAGAAGGGAGGAAGGAAGGGAAGGAGGAAGGGAAGGAGGAGGGGAGGAAGGAAGGAAGGAAGAAAAGGAAGGAAGGAAGGAAAGAAGGAAGGAAGGAAGACCACTTTTCCTAAGTCACTAGGTTTTCTGCTGCCAGCCCCTCCCACCTGAATTGAGGAGATCTGGTCATAATTCATAAAAAGCAAGAGGCATGCACCTCCATAGCGAATGCAGATTTAAGGAAATCCTGTCTCCACTTTCACTTTGAAAAGCTCTGATTGGAAATAAAATGAGGATTTCCAACAATAAGACAGAACTAAAAGACTGCCTTATTTGTAACAGAGCATTTTATTGACTCTTCCTCTTTGCAAAGGGAAGAGCAAATAAAAGGAAAAAGGAAAAAAAGGAGAAAGGAAAGACAGTTACCATTTTGAAAGTAGCTTTCATGTACTTACCTTACCCAACTTAATCTTCTCAACAACTCTGTAAAGAAAAGAAAAATTTATCCCATAATTTTCCAATGAAAAGCCAGAGACTAGAACAACTGGCTAACACTGAGCACTGAATGTATGTAGAGCACTATTCCATTTGCTTTTCTGATAGTTCATGTAATCCTCACAATAGTCCTAAGGAGCCGTACTATTGCCATGTCCATTTTCCATATGAGATAACTAAGGTAGAAGATGTTAAGTAACTTGCTCAAGGTTTCAAGTTTAAGTTATGGAGCTAGAATTTGAGCCTCAGCAGTTTGGCTTTAGAGCCTAGACTTTTATCCTCTCCATTAAAGGGAGTCAGACGCTGAAGTCAATTTGAAGAAGCTCCCACTGGCAAAATCAGAAACAATTGAGCATCAAAGCAATTGCGTCAAAGTAAATAATAGCAAAGGATTATAACCCATGGAATAAAATCGGGGTCCATGAGGCCATACAAATCAGAGAGAAAGACAGAAACAGAAGCGAGAGAGAGAGAGAGAAATAAGGAAAAGCTCTTCATTACATTAGAAAGACAACTAAATATAAAAGGAATGATGGGAAAGAAAAATCACCTTTTGGTAACTACCACAGCAATAATCATTTTAGGCAAAAATCATAAACAGAAGCTCAAAGTAGTGGGTAAAAGTTTGAGGAGTAGGAGGGTGTTTACATAGTCTCAAAGAATGCGACCGTGATACTTCTTAATTACAAAAAGAAAAATAGTACCTTTACAATGGAGAAACCTGACAATTAGCACCTTAATTAAATGATAAAAATTAACATCAGCAGTATGGGACAAAAGAATATTGCATGTCTCCTGATTTGATTCACTGGAAAGAACACAATACCATTTCTGTTATATTCCTGCCAAGAAATCATAACCTGAATCTCATCATGAGGAAACTTCAGACAAACCCAGACTGAGGGACATTCTATAAAATAACTTGTCTGTACAAATATCAATGTCATGAAAGACTGAGGAACTGTGTTATAGTTTAAATGTGTCCCCCAAAGTTCATGTGTTGAAAACGTAATCCCCAGTGCAACCATGTTGGGAGGGGGGACCTTTAAGAGGTGATTGGGTCTGCCCTCATGAATGGATTACTGTTGCTATTGTGAGAGTAGGTTTGTTATAAAAACAAATTCAGCCCCTTCTGGCTCTGCCTCCCTTCTCTTTCTCTCATATGTACATGTATTATCTTGCCCTTCTACCTTCTGCCATGGGGTGACCAGCAAGAAGGCCCTCACCAGATTCAGCACCCTTGATCTCAGACTTCCCACCCTCCAGAACCATGAGTCAAATAGATTTCTTTCATTAATAAATTACCCAGTCTCTGGTATTCTGATATAGCAGCAAAAAGCAAAGTAAGACAGACTGTTTCTGATTAAAATAGACTAAAGAGACATGACAGTGACTGTGCATACTCCAGAATTTTCTTTTGCAATAAAGGACATTACTAGGACAAATAATATAATCTAAATATAATCTAAACAAGGTTAATAGATGAAATAACAGCCTTATATCAATATTAATGTCCTGACTTTGATAATTACACTGAGGTTACATAAGAGAATGTCCTTGTTTTTAGGAAACACTCTGAAGTATTTAGGTGTAAAGGGGTATCATGATTGTAACCAATTCTCAATCTATTCAGAAAAAATAATCCATGTACATAGGATGGGGGGTGAGGGAAGCAAATGTGGTAAGACTGTTAACATTTGGGAAATCTGGATAAAAGGCATATGGGAAGTTTTTTGTATTATTCTTGTAACTTTTCTATAAATCTGAAATTAAGTCAAATTTAAAAAGGAGAAAGAAAGTAAAAAAGATATCAAAGCCGGGATCCAAATTCAGACTCACTATGACTAAGGACTCCTTCTGTGGCAAGTGACAGAAAATCCAATTCAAATTGGTTCAAGTAAAATAAATAAACATAAATCTTACTGGTTTATGTAGTGATGTGGCTGACAAATCCCAAGGTAGGGATAGCCTCAGGCACAGCTGTGCCAAAACTCAAACAATGTCATCAGGACTTGATTTCTTTCCCTCTTTCACCCCAGCCTTCTGCTGTGTTTGCTTGATTCTCAGCCCATACCCGGTAGCCCGTTGCAGTTCCAGGCTCATATCTTCTGGATATGCAGTTGGAAAGAAAGAAGCCTCTCTCACCAGCACCAGCAAATCTTACTGTATCTCTTTGGCTCTGATCAGGTCACATGCCCAGTTCCAGAAACAACTGCAGTGGTCATTTCCTCTGAGTTGGTCAAGCTGAATTGTCAGCTCATCCCTGGAGCCGAGGTTGGAGTCAACATTATTCAAAGTATCTGTACTGACAGTGGGAGTGGATTGGCTCCCCCAAGGAAATTAGGTACCCTTACCAGAGGAAAAGAACAAGGATTCTGTGAGCACAAACACTAGACCCCTACAGATACTATACTTTCTACAGCTGTGTAACAAGCCCCTCCAAAACTTAGTGGCTTAAAACAACAGCAATCATGTATTTGTTTACAGTGGTGTGATTTGGGCAAGACTCAGCAGGGACACATTCTGCATGCTTTCAATTAGGAGGCTTGATTGGGACTGGAGGATCCATTTCCAAGATAGTTCCTTCACATGAATGGTAAGCTGGAGCTAGATGTCAGCTGGAGCCATGATTCTCCTCCATGTGGGCCTCCCCATGTCATTGCTTGAGCTTCCTCACAACATGGTGTCTGGATTCCAAGTGAAAAAAACAGAAGCTGTTTGTCATCTGAAGAGTTAGTATATTAGTCTGTTCTCATGCTGCTTATGAAGAAATACCTGAGATGGTGTAATTTATAAAGAAGAGAGGTTTAACTGACTCACAGTTTCACATGGCTGGGAAGTCCTCAGGAAACTTACAATCATGGCAGAAGGCACCTCTTCACAGGGTAGCAGAATGAAAACCAAGCGAAGGGGGAAGCCCTCTACAAAACCATCAGATCTCGTGAAAATTTACTCCCTATCATGAGAATAGCCTGGCGGAAACCACCTCCATGATTCAATTACCTCCCACAGGGTCCCTCCCATGACACATGGGGATTATGGGAACTACAATTCCAGATGAGATTTGGGTAGGGACACAGCCAAACAGTATCAGTTAGCATTTCAACTCCCATATCCTATTGATTAAAGCATTCATAAGCCCAGCACAGATTCAAAGGGGTAGAGACATAGAATTCACCTCTCCTTGGGCAGAGTGACAAAGAATTTGCAGCTGTCTTTAATCCATCACCAAAGATATCCTGTCTTTGGTGCATATTTCATAATCCCACAACTGCCAGAGTGAAAACTAGAGATGTAGTATCTTGAAGTTTTGCTGTCACAACTGCATGTCCTGCATTCCCACTAAACTCTGGGGAGTCTCTGCTAAGCATGTAAGAACAGCCTTATCCTCTGGTCACTAAAGCAGAAGATGCAACTCAAATGCCTGCAGAGGTCAGGCAGGTAACCTATGTAAGTGAAGTGGGCAGGGGCACTGGACTTTTGAATATGTAAGAATATTCTTTCATACCTCCCCTTCCCCCACCCACAAACACATTGCACATTCTCTCATTTCTGGAAACATACAGCCGTATTTGTCTTTCTTGTTTTTCCACTTTCAAGAAAGATTCGGTACAGATATGCTTTTCTTTACCCTGAGGAAAAAAGACATGTGCAAGCATACTGAAAAATGGTGTTTGACGTGAGGAATTGATACAGAGTTGATGCCTTCTATGGGGACAGCTGGTACTCAGTTCTTGTCAAGCACAACCAAATGAAATTTAGGCCCTTTATGACCCAAATTCTGTTTTTTAAAATTTTATTTTAGGTTTGGCGGTACATGTGTAGGTTTGTTACACAGGTAAACATGTATGACCCAAATTTTCTATTTTCCAAGAGAAGCTGAAAATTTGGAGTTTTATGTTAAATCCTCCTATTTTAAAATGTTGGCTTATCCTTTTAAAAACACCGAGGCCAAACCAAACACCCCTGAGGCAAGTTCAGCCAGTAGACCACAGTTTGTGAGTAAAGATATTAAACAGAATTTAGCATTTGTTGTCAACTATTTACATACTTAAGAAACTCATAAAGTCATTTTAATTTTCTAAGCTAATGCTTTTGAGCAAGATTGAATAAGCCATTAAATATGAAACAGTATGGATTATTTTATATTTTAAAGTTATTTTCAGCATCACTTACAGTAGATTGAAGGCCTTAACACAACATTATAAACACAATAAAATGGTTGTGTTACGGTGCTAAATTTTGGAGTAATTTTTTACACAGCAGTAGGTAACTGGACCACTACCTTAATGTAGTTTCTTGCGAAAGTCAAATTTCTCATGCCTACGAAAATTTTTATCTGCCGTTAGCACTGTTTTCACTTAATTTTCTTTCTTATTGAGATTGTTAGGAAGTTTATGGATTAATTTTTAAAGAACAAAATGTCTGAAATTTAGAGAGCTCTTTTTTTTTGCCCTGATTTCTTAGTTGTGATAGTGAAAACATTACCACACCTATAAGAAATCCGCATAACATTTTCTCACTCATTTGTGGGATCTAAAAATAAAAACAATTGAACTCATGGATATAGAGAGTAGAAGGATGGTTCCCAGAGGCCGGGAAGGGAAGTGGTGGGGAGGCAGGGTGGGAGGATTGCAGTGGTGGTGCGGATAGTTAATAGGGACAAAAAAATAGTTAGAAAGAATAAATAAGACCTAGCATTTGATAACACAACAGGGTGACTACAGTTAATAATAATTTAACTGTACATTTTAAAATAACTAAGAGTATCATTGGATTGTTTGCAACACAAAGGATAAATGCTTGAAGGGATGGACACCCCATCTTCCATGATGTGATTATTACGCATTGCATGCCTGTAGCAAAACATCTCATGTGCCCCATGAATATATACACCCACTATGCACCCACAAAAATTACAAGAAAAACTTAAAAAAAAAATCAAAAGTACCTTGAAAAAGAAAAAAAAGAAATCAGCATAAGAATTACCAAAAATGTTGACTCTCTTGTCTCTTTGTGGCAAATATCATGAATTTCCAAACAACATACTTCATGGAGGCTAAGCAGACTTTCAAGATAAAGAGGTAAGGAACCCTCTTCTAGAAGGATTTGGAGATTGCTAATCAAAAGTTCTCAAAATAATAGGATAGCCAATTATCTCATTAGTAAGATTATGAACTAAAGATGCAATTTAAAAATAAAATAAATCAATTCTCCCAGTTAGGCATCATATGCATAGAAGAAAGAAGTTTCATGTCTACCTTGAGGCCAAGATAAAGGAGCTCAAGTTTTCACATATGATGTGAATTATTCTCTACAGCTGAGTTCACAGGAGCCAGTCTTTCAGTGAGAATGCCAAGCCGCCGCATTCCTTTAAGAAGGAATGCTTTATTTTGATCAGGTTAAAATAATTGTTGTGATAGCAGGACAAGATTTTCTTTTAAAGGAGTATCCTTTAAAAATTAGAGTATTTATCACCTTTCTTAGGAATATGAGGATCTGCTTATAAATGGGAAAAGGCCTGGGTCTGGTGATTTTTGACCTTGACTCTGCCGGGGAACACAACCGAAGAAGGTACAGGGACCCCAGGAATCTCAGGCACTTCCCAGCCCTTAGCAATGGGGACCTGTAGGAAATGGTCTTGGTCACATCAGTCATCTCAGACTCCTACTTTGCAGAAGTAATGCTTGTCTTCTGCAACTACTCCTTGTGTGCTAATTATATTGGCCACATTCACATCTTTTAGCCTTGTAGGGGTCACTGCAAAGCTAATGGCTCCTGACAGGGAGCAGGCAGAGACTCAGGCCCTGTCAGTCAAAGGAAAGAGGGGACAGAAGAAAAGGCTCAGATGCGAACAAAACTCAATATCCCTGGCCTCAGTGGTTCATTTTCAGCATCCTAACCCTCTTGGCTTTGGAGGAAAAAAACAAAACTCCTTCCAGTCTCACATTATGAGCAAGAGCACACACAAATCTTGTCCCAGAAGGAAGGGAATGCATTTCATTTTAGACCCTGTATAGCAGGGGCTGGGAAAAGACTTGGAAAATCTTTCACTTGCTGCATAGGTAGAAAGCTAGGCAAGATGACTGGATGTAGTGGCTTGAAAATTCATACTCCTTCTTTTTCAAAGAGAGAGATTTCAGTGTTCTTCATTTATGTTAATCTGAGAACAGAAAATCGTCTTAAAATAAGCTGACAGTGAGAATCACCTGGCGCTACGCTACTCCTATAAGTAATCCTCTTGCTGAAAACTTCAAGAGGAGGCGTTGGATGAGCCCTTCCCAAATACATCCCATAATCACAACTAGCTGACTAATGAAAAGAGAGCAGATAGAGAATTAGCAAGGGTTCCCTGTAGGGTACAAATAAAAATGCATGAGAGTGACAGATGGTGACAGAGCGCACAGCCTTCCTGGGATATCATAGTCAAGGCAGGGGACCCAGGCTTGACTGTATCAAACCCAGCTCTGTGGGGATTGCTGGGCTGCTAATCCACAGGACCAGCACCACCCCCTAAGTGGGTTTTGTGTCCTCCTTGCTCTGTATTCTGCAGCATCCTCCCAGCTCACCGTCTCCTGTGCCTTCCTTGAACATGTCAGATCAGGTATGACAGTTCTCCAGGGGTCTGGAACTGCTCCACAGGGGATGTTTTGAAATTTTGTGGGAGTGCTTTTGAGTGTCAAAATAATTAGAGGAAGGTGGTATTCCATACATTTCATGGGCAGAGCCATGGATGTTAGATGTCCTGCAAAACATAGGCACTCCCAAACAACAAAGAACCATCCTTACTTTTGCATTTTTTTTTTGTGACTTTCAAATGATCCACTGCCCATTCATACAGATGAAGGCCATTTTATTTTGAGCCTAGAACCTTCCTTCATGTTACATACAAACACAAAAGATTCTTTTGTATATTACATAATTTTATTAGGCACTGAATTTCCAGTTAACAGGGGAAAGATTATTCCTTGCTTTGTTTGAGACTTTACCAAGAGTTGTCACTGTTTCAGAATGTCAGTTCATGACAGGGACGCTGCTCTAGGTATTCGAGTCTTCAACACAGCACCCTTGTGTCAGCCTGCCTCTGGAGCTGTCACCATCATGGTGACTATAACTAGATTTTTATGCAGTTGCACACAAGCATTTACATATTAAAATGAAAAAGATTTCATTTTGTATGACTTTTATTTTCTCTTTCATATTATAGGTGGGCATAATATGATTTTTAAATTTTTGTGTATAAGTCAATTATATTGCCTATAAGTATCATTTTGGGGTGGCAAAGAGAGTGTTAACAAAACGTTTTGGATGGGAAGTACAAAGCATGTCAGGGTTGAGAACCTCTGCTCTAATGAGCTGGAGCATCTAGGAGTTTGTCATTTGTAACTTACTGATCCAAGTATTCTCCTACTCCTACCTATTCCTAATAAGACGCTAGAGAAGAAAGAAGAAAGGGAAAGGGGCCAAAAGTAACCACCTACAGAGAAAAGGCCCATAAAAAAGCTTCTCCAGTCCCATGACACACCATCACAGCCATCTTGGTTTGTAATGATGGGGTTCAGGATGCTACCCCCGAAATGCAGCGCATTGGCATTTAAGAAAACAGCAGAAGCGGACAGGCCAGTCACACCTTCTCCTTGCCCTTCTCCCCTGAAACAGGCCATACAACCATGCGGACCTTCCTCTAAAGGAAGACTTTCCTAGCAGAAGTTTCTTCCCTATCCCAAGAGGAAAGGAGTGTCTCATGGGGACGAAGGGAAGAATCTGAACAAACAGGCCTCTCTAAATTCCCCTCAGTTTATTCCTATCACATCCTGCCCCTTTGTCCTCCAATCACACTGCTGCATAACCGTCTATAAAAATACAGTTTCCTCTGTTTCTTTGGGGCTTCATTACAGAAGGCTCTTGTGTCGTGTAAAATTGATATTAAATAAATGTGCTATGCTTTTCTCTTGTTAATTTATCTTTTGTTGTAGAGGTCTCAGCCATGAAGCTTGTGATGAGTGAGGAAAATAATCTTTTCTCCCCTATAGTAGCATCCTTTGGTCTGATGCCTGATTTAGCTATTATCTGCTTTTTTATCTACTAGAATTATCCTCAACCTCTGCCTGTCCATTTGTGAGCAACTCTCATTTCTGTATTTGTTCATTGTGTAATTTTGGTTGTGTTTATTTAAAGTTCTCAATCCAGTCTCCAAATATATGAATGTCTGTCCACAGCAAATATATAATCAATTCATGAGCAAGATGTCCATAACATCTGTCACTATTTGAAAAAGCAATTTGAAAATTATTAAATGTCTTTGACATTAGCTGTTTTTTTAAGCTGATTAACTACCTTCTTTAGGCCCCAATCCAATTTATTTTAGACCTAAGATGTCATTGTACCATGTCTAAGTCTCTCTTTATAGCGTCTCAGACTTTCTAACTTAAAGCCAGTAGACCATTTACCAGACATACCCAGAATCTGAGCAATTCTGAATCAAGATCATTTCCAAAATAAAAACGTTTCCGGAATTTAAAGAGCTTACATCTGAAACAGCAGTCAAAAAAGGACTCAATTCAAACCCCAGAAGTGTTTTTTATTATATAGATTAAAGTTGGGTTCTGGAGTCTATACTTGCATGGTGCTGTAGAATAGCTGTTTCCCAGCTATTTCCCAGGACATAAACCATAAAAGTCACTTATGGTGAGCAGTGAAACAGCCGAAATGTCCCTCACACATGTCTGCACATGGCCACTTGGACTCCTTGTTTCACCAGCTGGTCTCTGGCAGCCCAGCAGCTCACATTGTCAGCAAAGCAGATGGACTCAGTCTTACCCATCACAATGCCATAATCTTTAAAATGGGTGACTATAAAAAATACCCTTTGTGTAGATGCATCTATGGTTGAGACACTGAGATTAAACTATTATCATAATTACATTTTAAAATACAAAAATAAAAACACTGGGCAGCCATGCTGAGGTTAGGAAGACAATTGACCTGTCTCTGCATCTAAAATCAAGCAATGAGCTGGGCACCGTGATTCGCACCTTTTTTTTTTTTAACTCTGTCTCCAGGCTGGAGTGCCCGGGTGTGATCTCAGCTCACTGCAACCTCCATCTCCCAGGTTCAAGCAATTCTCCTGCATCAGCTTCTTGAGTAGCTGTGATTACAAGTGAATGCCACCACGCCCAGCTACTTTTTGTATTTTTAGTAAAGACATGGTTTCACCATATTGACCAGGATGGTCTCGATTTCCTGACCTCGTGATCTGCCCACCTTGGCCTCCCAAAGTGCTGGGATTACAGACGTGAGCCAACGTGCCTGGCCGAATCACACCTTTAATCTCAATACTTTGGGAGGCTGAGACAGGAGGATTGCCTGAGCTCAGGAGTTCGAGACCAGCCTGGGTGACATGGTGAGACCCTGTCGCTACAAAAAATGTAAAAAAAAAAATTAGTCAGATGTGGTGGCACATGCCTGTGGTCCCAGCTACTCAGGAGGCTGAGGTGGGAGGATTGTTTGAGCCCACAAGGTCGAGGCTGCAGTAAGCCATGATCATGTCACCGCACTTCAGCCTGGGCAAGCAAGACCCTGCCTCAAAAATAAATTAATTAATAAATTTTTAAAAATCTAATCAAGCAATGTACACTATGTGAGAAATCACTAAGGTGGGCATTATATTTTATTTGCATACAAATGGAGGCAGGCCTGAGGCACATTAATGGTTAAATTAGGCAAGAGGAGGTTTTGGGGTTTGGGTTTTAAAAAAAAAGAAACAATTAGCTACTTTTCTTCAACATAGACATTCACAGACATCATCAAAAAAGTATTAGCACAGAACAATAGAATGTGGATATGCTTTCAAAAGTAAAACACACACACTCATTCTTATCCCCACCGGCATGGCCAAGTATACTGGAGACCAGATTTGAATTCAGGCAAGTAGCAGAGTCTGTTGCGCTGGGAAAGTGGAGCTGGCTAGCAGAGGCAGGACCAGCCAGCTGGCTCCAGGGCCTGAGGGTCCCTGTTAGATTGTCTAAGCCAACCCCAGGAATTGGGCATGTCATGGATCATATGCAAGTCCCCTGCTGCCGAGTGGGAGTGCACAGCATTATTTAAGTAGCCTGGCACTGTCTAGTTCCACAGTGAATTGATAATGGTGGAGGGGAGGGGAGGGAGAAAAGAGAGGGAACATGGCAAAAAAAAGCACTTCCCCCTCCTCATTCACTGTCTTTGAGACATTGACTCTGGTTTTCAATGTCAAGTATCTCAACCAAGTAGAAGCAGTGCAGATAGGGCAAAAGAGGCCTGGTGTCATTAATGTTTGTCAAGCACTAATTCTGTGCCAGGTACAGAGTCTTTTGCATGTGTTATCTCAGTCAGTCCTCCCAGTGACCCATATGGCCAATACAATCATCAACTCCTCATTTCACAGAAGGAACTAAGGCCCAGGATGGTTAAGTGACTTGACCAATACCACACAGTGAGGGTAGCCAGTGTGAGTGAGAGTCCAAATTCTTAACTACAAAGCTTTACTGTCTCCAACTTATGTTATTAGACCCCAGTTTTACATGATATAATACTTTATCCTATGTTCTGGGTCTTTTATCTGTGGTGCTCAAGACATCTCACCTTTTTATTCTTTATCAATCCAAAAAATTCCTAGTGAATTTGAAGAATCAATTTTTTTTTTTTTAGTCGGATTCTCCCTCTGTTGCCCAGGCTGGAGTGCAGTGGCGCGATCTGGGCTCGCTGCAAGCTCCGCCTCCCGGCTTCACACCATTCTCCTGCCTTAGCTTCCCGAGTAGCTGGGACTACAGGTGCCTGCCACCACGCCCGGCTAATTTTTTGTATTTTTAGTAGAGATGGGGTTTCACCATGTTAGCCAGGATGGTCTCCATCTCCTGACCTCGTGATCCACCCGCCTCGGCCTCCCAGAGTGCTGGGATTACAGATGTGAGCCACTGCACCTGGCCAGAATCAAAAATTTTTATTCCTGATTAAAGACTGAGAAAACCACAGCACCTCTAGCGTTTCCTCTAACCTCAGCACCTCTCTCTCTCATCAATATTGCTGAAGACTCCTGCCCAAGCCACTGCCCTTTTCCCATAACACTCCGCTAAACAGTGGTGCATTACACTTTTTCTAAATGTGCTCAAGTGCCAGTCACTCTTGGTTAGCTAAGGAATGCAACATGCATTTTTCTCTAATTCTGGTTTTTATCACACTCACATCACTAGGCCCATTATTCACGTAGATATCCACTCTGGACATGAGCAAAGTTGCTTTCTGGAATTGGCTAGCGCAAAATATTAATCGTGCTGGTGGAGTTTCTAAAATGTGCATCAGTACTTAACAAAGCACTAATACAAATACACTAGGCTATTTAAAAATAATTCTCTTATTCTATATTTTTATTGACATGAAAATATCCCTCTGTGATTGGATAGTAGAATAGTTATAAAATGCAGATTGTATTTGTAAGCATAATATGTTTATTACATACTAATATAAATGTATACATTATAGTTATATGATGTTATAAATGAAATATGTTACATAGTGTTAAGTGTAATAGGTATGTTATATATGTTTATGTACCTATCTTCTACTTATAATGAAATGATCATGTTATTCAATTACATCCTCATGCAAGAGAACACCAACATTCCTGAGTCATCAGTTCTTTGCATTAGTTTCACTTAGATTTCCTTGCTCTCTCTGTGAAAGGTTGCTTAGCAAGAGCCAACAGGCCCTGTGCTTTGCAAATTCTGGGAAAGGCTACTAGTCTTTTGGATAATATAAGGGATTTATTGCCATGGGATAAATAGTAGTAGTAATAATAGGAGCATTTTACAGTGAGGCATCTGCTTCAAATTAATATAAATTCTTTGGTGTACTTGCCTTTCAAAACTCAGGTATAAGATTGCAAAGTCTAAAGTAAGTGACGTTGTTAATGATGGATTATCATTAATTTCAAGGTAGATCCTGAAAACCATTTTCATCAAGCTGCACAGAAAAAGCAAAACGAACCAGCATGTTCAAACTTATTTAGCCAGTCAGGAATGTGAGCATACCCGAAAAGATAAAATTTAAACCTCTCAAAGGATAAAAAGCTAACATTGAATTATGCAATTTACTATTAGGAAACAGTTATCAATATGGTTTGGATATTTATAGACAGCAGCACAGATTGTGCATTAAGAAGGCAATAACAGAAGAGTCTGGGGAGAACAGATAAGAAAATACAAAATTTAGAGGTTGTAAACCCAAATGCTTCTAGGGGCCAGACGGGTACTAGCAAAGAGGGCAGGCTGGTGAAAGGCAATGGAATGTCTAATGACATTCTACCACATAATTACAAACACTGGGAGTACTGAGATATTTGCAGATGAAATGACAGGTCTGGGATTTGCCTCAGAGTAATATGGGGCAGGGTGGAAAGGGGTAGAGGGGAGGGAGGGAGGGTTAGAGGTGAAACAAGATTGATTTTATGCTGATAGTTCTTGAGGTTGATGATGGCTACGTCAATTTTATTTTACTATTCTCCTTATTCCTGTATAGATTTGAATTTTTCCATAAATAAAAAGTAAAAGCCATCTTTTTTTTTTTTTTTTTTTTTTTTTTTTTTTGAGACGGAGTCTCGCTCTGTCGCCCAGGTCGGACTGCGGACTGCAGTGGCGCAATCTCGGCTCACTGCAAGCTCCGCTTCCCGGGTTCACGCCATTCTCCTGCCTCAGCCTCCCGAGTAGCTGGGAAAAGCCATCTTTAAAAATAAACGAAGCAGGCCGGGCACAGTGGCTCACGCCTGTAATCCCAGCACTTTGGGAGGCTGAGGCAGGTGGATCACCTGAGGTCAGGAGTTTGTGACCAGCCTGACCAACAAGGTGAAACCCCGTCTCTACTAAAAATACAAAAATTAGCCGGGCGTGGTGGCAGGTGCCTGTAATCCCAGCTACTCGGGAGGCTGAGACAGGAGAATTGCTTGAACCCGGGAGGCAGAGGTTGCAGTTTGCTGACATCGTGCCACTGCACTCCAGCCTGGGTGACAGAGTGAGACTCTGTCTCAAAAAAATTAAATTAAATAAAAAATATACAAAACAGTAGTTTCATAGGGTTGCCCATTTTCAGCCTCTGTTGTAACTGAAAGCATGCACACATGTAAAAATGGCTGTAATGCTCCGTACCTGACCACAAGAATGAAGACACATAGTAAATGTGCTCTCCCAATGTCAATAGGATCGTGAGGCATGGGTGGTTTTGTTTTTACGTTTCCATGTTTATTCATAATTACATATTAAATTCAAAGTATGGAAGGACTAAGCCCTGAAATGTAATATTTAGCTTCCCTCAGATACGCACACACGGGCGCATGTGCACACACACACACACAAACATCCTCCTCTTTCCTCAGCAGCAGCCAGATGCCAAGATGCTCTGGACAGTGAATTAGTTCATAGAAGCCAAACATCTTTTTCCTGTCCTCTTGCCTGGAGAGTCAAAATCCCAGATGTCGGAACTGGGCCTTATTCATCTCCACACTCCTGTAACACAGTAGAAAAATAATAAATAGTTGTTGAACTATTAACCAAACAGCCTTCACACACTGGTAACATCACCTTGAAAGATCATAGAAGTCTACATATAGAAAATAAGTAAAATGAAGTTATTGGGATAATTAAGAAAAACTTTAGCAAAATGTAAGGTATGAAATAGAAAAACAATTGCATTTCCCCTGTTAAAAAACTAATGAACTAAATAAATAAATTTAAAAAATGTTTTTCTAAATCTATTTAGTAACTAACGTTTTCTGGAGTTGACTCCAAGCAGCCGTAACACATTTCGTTTCCCCATTTCCCAGGGCTATTGTACTCTCTGGGATTGTACGAACTTGGACTGGATTGGAACTGCAACAGAAAATCTTCCAGGCAAGTGCCAAAGACTTACATACACAACAGGGACAGCTGATGCCAGGCGCACACCTATGGGAGCTCCTTCCACCCTCTGGGAGGCTCCTTGAGCTGACAAGTGTCCTGGAGCCCTGAAGAAACTATCCTCACAGAATGACCCAACAACATGGGGCAGACACCTTTTGCACATGGGCAGGGCACTGTCCCACTCAAAGGATCATTTGGAAGGTGGTAGGCAGGGGCCCCTCAGTGCGAGCGGAATGGGGTGCCCTTAATGGGAAGACAGCACAGCTGGCTGGTGAGGCCTGTGGTTTAGCACAACCCCTGAGCCCCCAACCAGGCTCCCTAAATTTAGACCTGCAGGACGCAGGAGAGAGATGTCAGTTAAATAAAATGAAATCCAAATCAGGAGGTAATGCAAAATACCATCACCATCACAAGCAGGCCACTTACTCATATCCTGTGACATTCTGCCCCTCTCTCCATGCCTAGAAAATAATAAAGCCAGTCCCCTTCCCAGAAAGCACACACGCTACAGAGCCATTTCTCTGTGATTGTCACTAGAAATGCTATTCTTTCCACTTCTTCGATCTGCCTGATTTAGTGACAGCACAAATGATAGAATAATTCAGTTGTGACAGGAGCTCACAAGGGGACACACTTGTCAATGGGCCCATCTGTCTGCTGCCACTCTCCATCCCTTACAATGCCCTGCTACTGAGAATGATACCAGCTGAAGGAATGACACTCGCTCATCCATGTCCCAAATGGGGTGAAGGGAGGCCCTGGAGATGCATGAACTGGTGCATTAGTAGAAGAAACAGTCACCAGAAGAGCAAGTGACGACTCTAGAACTTTCAGATCCCGGGGTAACTGCAGCTCCTCATCCTGCTTGTGCTCTATAATTACAGAAAAACAATAAAATTGTAGTGTCCTGTGTTTATTTCACAAATGTTAATTTTTTAATTTTATTTTACTTTATTGCCTTTTTAAAAATTTTTATTTTTATTTTATGTTCCAGGATACATGTGCAGGATGTGCAGATTTGTTACATAGGTAAACATGTGCCATGGTGGTTTGCTGCTCCTATCAACCCATCACCTAGGTATTAAGCCCAGCATGCATTAGCTCTTTTTACTGATGCTCTCCCTCTCCCAACCCCATCCCCCCAACAGGTCCCCGTGTGTCCATGTGTTCAGGTGTGTCCCTGTGTCCCCTCCCTGTGTCCATGTGTTCTCATTGTTTAGCTCCTGCTTATAAGTGAGAACATGTGGTGTTTAGTTTTATTTTTAGAAACTGTCTCATTCTGTCACCTAGGCTGGAGTATAGTGGCATGATTGTAGCTCACTGCAGCCTCGAACTCCTGGCTTCCAGCAATCCTCCTGCTTCAGCCTCCAAAAGTGCTGAATGTTTATTGAGTAGTTACTGTAGAGATAGCAGTCTACTGTATATTACAGGGAACACAAAGCTGCAAAATGCATGATTTCTACCCTTGATGAACTTAACAGCTAGCTAAGAAAGCTATGCACCCATAAAAAGATGGTATACAAACAGCCAACAAACATATGAAAAAATGCTCAATATTACTAATTATTAGGGAAATGCAAATTAAAACCACAATGAGAGACCACCTTACTCCTGCAAGAATGGCCGTAATTTAAAAATAAAAAAGTAATAGATGTTGGCGTGGATGTGGTAAAAAGGGAACACTTCTACACTGCTGGTGAGACTGTAAACTAGTACAACCACTATAGAAAACAGTATGGAGATTCCTTAAAGAACTAAAAGTAGAGCTACCATTTGGTCTAGAAATCCCACTACTGGGTATCTCCCAGAGGAAAAGAAGTCATTATACAAAAAAGATACTTGCACATGCATGTTTATAGCAGCACAATTCAGAATTGCAAAAATATGGAACCAACCTAAATGTCCATCAACCAATGAATACATAAAGAAAATGTGTTACATATACACCATGGAATACTACTCAGCCATAAAACAGAATGAAAAATAGCATTTGCAAACAACCTAGATGGAGCTGGAGACCACTATTCTAAGTGAAGTAACTCAGGAATGGAAAACCAAATATCCTATGTTCTCACTTGTAAGTGGGAGCTAAGCTATGAGGATGAAAAGGCATAAGAATGATATAATGGATTTTGGAGACTCGGTGGGAGAAGGGTGGGAGGGGTTGAGGGATAAAAGACTATATACTAGGTACAGTGTACACTGCTTGGGGGACAGCTGCACCAAAATCTTAGAATCACCACGAATTAACGAATTCATGTAACCAAAAACCACCTGTTCCCCCAAAACTATTGAAATAAAATTTTAAAAATCTAAAGTTAAGTTATAGAATAATACAAGTCTTAAGTAATCACATAGCTCTGCAAGTCCCATTTTATCATTTAGGACCACATGAGTAGAGCATATCCTTGATATTGCGAGTTCACTATTCTTGACACCACAAATGCCACCCCTCTGAAACCCAAATGTATCTTGGGGTGTACTTCCCAATTTGGCCTTCTGTGGTTCTGTGTCATGTGCGTTCATCTGGTCTCAGCCAGACTATGAGGCCTCTGAGGGCAGGACCTTACCGCCATGTGTTCTGCAGACCTCTCAGTGCCTGGCACATTGTGGGGTGAACAGTGGCACTTGGTGAAGACTTCACTCATGAATCCCCACTGTGTTCTCTTATTTACTTCCTAATGTCCTCCCTCATAGGGCTTAACACAAGTCACTATGGTCACTCAGTGTCTTCTCTGTTAAACTGTGAGTTCCATGAGGGTGGTGTCAAGCCTTTCTTGCTAATCTCTGTGTTCCCAGCAGCAGAGCTGTCATATATTGAAAGAAAGAACTACTTCTGTAACTGTGCACTAACAACTACCAAGGTAACTAGAGAATCTGGCAGTTTGTAAGACAGGACTAAGATACAGTTTTTTTTTTTTTAAGTAAAATGAAAGAAATAGACAATGATAAAAATATAGGAAAAAAATCCCCACCTACTCAGAATTTTACAGGTGATATCATTGTCTATATAGTATTTTTCCCTCAACCACCTGAGACTTACTTGCAAACTATAGAGGCTGCCCCTATTTTTATTGCCATCTGAAAAACCATAGACCCCAAAAGGTCATCTTCATTGTTGCTGACCAGGCTGTGGCATCAACGGCTGCAAGACCTAGGCTGATATCTGGGTGGGTGCCACTTCCCCACGTTCCCGCTGACCCAGCCCTGTTTTTATGGTCTCCTCAAACACAGAAAAGCGCCCCAAAACACCAGATGCCTCCCAACCCAAGATGAAGTCACGGGTATGGCCTCTGAAAGCATGATTGTCTCAATCCCTGTGGTTCACCCAGGGGACAAAATACAAAAGAGCAGAAGGCACGAGAAGCTCATGTGGTTCTATGGATGTGCAGAGATTTATACTATGCCATCCACCGGGCCATCAGCTAAATAAGAACATTGAACAGCCTATCCTCTCTTTGCTTTGTTATCACTGGTTCTTTTGCTGGCTCAATACAGCAAAGGGTGTTGAGGAGGAGCAGCCAAATTTGGAATGTGGCTTGGCAGTATGCAGGTAAAGAAGATGAAGTTCCACATATGGCTGCTGTTCTTGCTCCTTCCCATTATGTCACACTGAGTCTATGGATGTATGCGCACACATGCGCAAACACAGACCCGCATACAGCATGCCAAGGCAGACCTCCTAGGGCCGGGTACAAATTCCAAACAGCTGGAGCAGAAAGCGGCAGTTGGCAGGAGTAGACAATAACAAGAGACACAGTATTGGGAGCAAACTGACACAGAGTTCTTGGCATAACCACATTGCAACCCTTTTTAGGAGAACTGGCAAGCTTCCAGGCCTCCCCAGCCCTTCCCCAAATGGCAAAACCTAGACCTTCTATGAAAAAAAGGAAACTTAACAGGTCAAGCCATTTGCCTCTGACTTATTTTCAAGCTACAGCAAAATATACTTGTTACACTAGGTCTTGAAATGTGTTTCCACATTAATAAGAACAATGGCATCAAGGTAATATCACCTGTGGCTTTAGCCTCCTTAAAATCAGAAGATGTTATAACTTGAAGAAACCTTGGATGTAATTCACTCTAATGCTGTCATGTTAGAGGAGTGGAAAATGAGTCTCAGAGAAGTTATATGACTTGACATGGTCACACTGCTAGTTCATGGCAATGTTCTTGCCCTGATTTTCCAGGTAGCATTCTTTATTCTCTACTGTCTGCCCTTGTCATTTATTTCACATCCATCATTAGCTCCTGGAAAGATGACAACATTGAAATTATAATTTTGTAATATTGTATTCACAGTAAAAGCAACATGCTGTGATCTCACAAATACAATTGTGTGTGTTCTGAACCAGTTGCAAGACATACAAAGATGGCCTGAAGTTGGAGCCTGGGGAGGTGGCGGTGGGTGGACGAAGCCTAGTGATAAGGAGTGATATCACTCCAGAGATAAGGAGGCAAAAGAAACAATAACTTCCTATGTAATTTTCTTTTGCTGAAGTGGTAAGAACTGATGACTTTGTAGTTAGGAAGGCTTTGGAGTTAGGGATTCAGGTCTACCACTTAATAGTTCATTGAGCTTGGGCAGGTTCTTTAATCTTTCTAAACCTCAGCATCTGCATCTGTAAAACAGGGATAAAATCAGCACCTCCCTCACTGAGGTCTTACAAGGATTAAGTGAGAGGAGGCACTAAAGGTGCTTACCACATGCTCATTGCTCTTATTTACTTAATGAGTGAAACTTTCATTTTTCTTTGATTCTGATTTTCATACACTTGTATAACTAGACCCATTATTCACCTCGATATCAACTCTGGACACTGTCAAAGTTCCTTTCTGGAAGTAGCTGATTTGAAATATTATTCTTACTGGTGAAGTTCCTAAAATGTATATTCATACCTATAAGGGCATCTAAAACACTGTGCTCTTTAAAAATAATTTTCTTACTATTTCAATTAAGGTTGGCTATCTTCCTCAACATCACCATCACCATCTTCAACATCACTATCATCAACGTCACTATCACCATCATCCTCTTCAACATTACCATCAGCATCTCCAACATCAGCATCTCCAACATCAGCATCTCCAACATCAACATCACCATCTTCAACATCACCACCATTAACATCACCATCATCCTCTTCAACATCACCATCAGCATATTAACATCACCATCACCATCATCATCATCAACATCACCAACATCAACATCACCATCTTCAACATCACCATCACCATCTTCAACATCACCATCATCATCACCATCATCCTCTTCAACATCACCATCAGCATCTCCAACATCAACATCACCATCTTCAACATCACCATCATTAACATCACCATCACTGTCTTCAATATCACCATCAGCATCTTCAACATCACCATCACCATCATCATCATCAACATCACCAACATCAACATCACCATCTTCAACATCACCATCGTCATCACCATCACCATCTTTAACATCACCATGACCATTACCACTACCATCTTCAACATCACCATCACCATCATCATCATCAACACAACATCATCACCATCATCATCTTCAACATTATCATCACCATCACCACCATCATCAACATCACCATAATCACCATCACTATCACCGTCTTCAACATCACCATCACTATCACCATCATTGACATTGCTGTCATCACCATCACCATCTTCAACATCACCATCACCATCATGATCTACTGGGTGCCCAGGAAGGGGTGAGCAGCCATCTGGAGGAATCTACCTTGATGATGAGGTTTGGTATTTTTACAGAACAGGAGAACATAATTTCTAGTAGTAGACATGCCAGGGACATTGACCATCAGAGGACTGAGTGTTTTCTTTTCTAAGCTAGCAAAGAGGAAAAAATTTCCTGATATTAGAATTATCTCCACCTCTACTCTCCCAGAAGGCTGTACTTGTTACCTTCAAAAAGTAACCCTTGTCTCTCTGAAATGTTCCCAGATAAGACATTATCTCTTCCTCTTCCTTCATTTCATAGCTTCTCACTGTATTTTCACATGGAATGTACACAATTGTAGGCTGGATATTTTCAGGCTATAACTCTGGCAACAGTCTTAGTTCTTGAAACAGCAGATTTACATCAGATAGACCCAAGCTTGCCCCTCTCTCTCTCTCTGATTCTTATTGAAATAGCTTTTGCTTCCAACAAAAAAAAAAAAAGAGAGAAAAAAAGAACAAAGAGGCCAAAAATTTCATGGTCCTTAAATCCAGTAATAATGTTTTAAAATGTGAAAGAAAATAAATCTGGGTAAAAGAATTTTAAAATGAATTTTTTAATTACTAAAAAATAAGAGAAATAACACTTAAAAATGTTAAACCTCAAGTTTTTTTAATTTTTACATTTTCTTTTTTTATGTTTCTTTTATTCTTATTTAAAATGTATTAATCATCCAAAGCCTAGATTTAAAATATCTTAGCATAATCTTAATGGTGGAAATATTTATCCGGACATCCTGCCTATATTATTATTTCTTAAATTTCAATACTTTAAAATCAAAGACAAACTGCTTAATCCAATGCAAAGGACCATACTTTTCACTGTTATCCCTTCAACCTGTTATCTCCAGAACACAAACTGTTCCCTTTTTTTTTTTTTTTTTCAATTATACTTTAAGTTTTAGGGTACATGTGCACATTGTGCAGGTTAGTTACATATGTATACATGTGCCATGCTGGTGCACTGCACCCACTAACTCGTCATCTAGCATTAGGTATATCTCCCAATGCTATCCCTCCCCCCTCCCCCCTCCCCACCACAGTCCCCAGAGTGTGATATTCCCCTTCCTGTGTCCATGTGATCTCATTGTTCAATTCCCACCTATGAGTGAGAATATGCGGTGTTTGGTTTTTTGTTCTTGCGATAGTTTACTGAGAATGATGGTTTCCAATTTCATCCATGTCCCTACAAAGGACATGAACTCATCATTTTTTATGGCTGCATAGTATTCCATGGTGTATATGTGCCACATTTTCTTAATCCAGTCTATCATTGTTGGACATTTGGGTTGGTTCCAAGTCTTTGCTATTGTGAATAATGCCGCAATAAACATACGTGTGCATGTGTCTTTATAGCAGCATGATTTATAGTCATTTGGGTATATACCCAGTAATGGGATGGCTGGGTCAAATGGTATTTCTAGTTCTAGATCCCTGAGGAATCGCCACACTGACTTCCACAATGGTTGAACTAGTTTACAGTCCCACCAACAGTGTAAAAGTGTTCCTATTTCTCCACATCCTCTCCAGCACCTGTTGTTTCCTGACTTTTTAATGATTGCCATTCTAACTGGTGTGAGATGATATCTCATAGTGGTTTTGATTTGCATTTCTCTGATGGCCAGTGATGATGAGCATTTTTTCATGTGGTTTTTGGCTGCATAAATGTCTTCTTTTGAGAAGTGTCTGTTCATGTCCTTCACCCACTTTTTGATGGGGTTGTTTGTTTTTTTCTTGTAAATTTGTTTGAGTTCATTGTAGATTCTGGATATTAGCCCTTTGTCAGATGAGTAGGTTGCGAAAATTGTCTCCCATGTTGTAGGTTGCCTGTTCACTCTGATGGTAGTTTCTTTTGCTGTGCAGAAGCTCTTTAGTTTAATTAGATCCCATTTGTCAATTTTGGCTTTTGTTGCCATTGCTTTTGGTGTTTTGGACATGAAGTCCTTGCCCACGCCTATGTCCTGAATGGTAATGCCTAGGTTTTCTTCTAGGGTTTTTATGGTTTTAGGTCTAACGTTTAAGTCTTTAATCCATCTTGAATTGATTTTTGTATAAGGTGTAAGGAAGGGATCCACTTTCAGCTTTCTACATATGGCTAGCCAGTTTTCCCAGCACCATTTATTAAATAGGGAATCCTTTCCCCATTGCTTGTTTTTCTCAAGTTTGTCAAAGATCAGATAGTTGTAGGTAAGCGGCGTTATTTCTGAGGGCTCTGTTCTGTTCCATTGATCTATATCTCTGTTTTGGTACCAGTACCATGCTGTTTTGGTTACTGTAGCCTTGTAGTATAGTTTGAAGTCAGGTAGTGTGATGTCTCCAGCTTTGTTCTTTTGGCTTAGGATTGACTTGGCAATGCGGGCTCTTTTTTGGTTCCATATGAACTTTAAAGTAGTTTTTTCCAATTCTGTGAAGAAAGTCATTGGTAGCTTGATGGGGATGGCATTGAATCTGTAAATTACCTTGGGCAGTATGGCCATTTTCACGATACTGATTCTTCCTACCCATGAGCATGGAATGTTCTTCCATTTGTTTGTATCCTCTTTTATTTCCTTGAGCAGTGGTTTGTAGTTCTCCTTGAAGAGGTCCTTCACATCCCTTGTAAGTTGGATTCCTAGGTATTTTATTCTCTTTGAAGCAATTGTGAATGGGAGTTCACTCATGATTTGGCTCTCTGTTTGTCTGTTGTTGGTGTATAGGAATGCTTGTGATTTTTGTACATTGATTTTGTATCCTGAGACTTTGCTGAAGTTGCTTATCAGCTTAAGGAGATTTTGGGCTGAGACGATGGGGTTTTCTAGATCAACAATCATGTCATCTGCAAACAGGGACAATTTGACTTCCTCTTTTCCTAATTGAATACCCTTTATTTCCTTCTCCTGCCTGATTGCCCTGGCCAGAAATTCCAACACTATGTTGAATAGGAGCGGTGAGAGAGGGCATCCCTGTCTTGTGCCAGTTTTCAAAGGGAATGCTTCCAGTTTTTGCCCATTCAGTATGATATTGGCTGTGGGTTTGTCATAGATAGCTCTTATTATTTTGAAATACGTCCCATCAATACCTAATTTATTGAGAGTTTTTAGCATGAAGGGTTGCTGAATTTTGTCAAAGGCTTTTTCTGCATCTATTGAGACAATCATGTGGTTTTTGTCTTTGGCTCTGTTTATATGCTGGATTACATTTATTGATTTGCGTATATTGAACCAGCCTTGCATCCCAGGGATGAAGCCCACTTGATCATGGTGGATAAGCTTTTTGATGTGCTGCTGGATTCGGTTTGCCAGTATTTTATTGAGGATTTTTGCATCAATGTTCATCAAGGATATTGGTCTAAAATTCTCTTTTTTGGTTGTGTCTCTGCCCGGCTTTGGTATCAGAATGATGCTGGCCTCATAAAATGAGTTAGGGAGGATTCCCTCTTTTTCTATTGATTGGAATAGTTTCAGAAAGAATGGTACCAGTTCCTCCTTGTACCTCTGGTAGAATTCGGCTGTGAATCCATCTGGTCCTGGACTCTTTTTGGTTGATAAACTATTGATTATTGCCACAATTTCAGCTCCTGTTATTGGTCTATTCAGAGATTCAACTTCTTCCTGGTTTAGTCTTGGGAGAGTGTATGTGTCAAGGAATGTATCCATTTCTTCTAGATTTTCTAGTTTATTTGCGTAGAGGTGTTTGTAGTATTCTCTGATGGTAGTTTGTATTTCTGTGGGATCGGTGGTGATATCCCCTTTATCATTTTTTATTGTGTCTATTTGATTCTTCTCTCTTTTTTTCTTTATTAGTCTTGCTAGCGGTCTATCAATTTTGTTGATCCTTTCAAAAAACCAGCTCCTGGATTCATTGATTTTTTGAAGGGTTTTTTGTGTCTCTATTTCCTTCAGTTCTGCTCTGATTTTAGTTATTTCTTGCCTTCTGCTAGCTTTTGAATGTGTTTGCTCTTGCTTTTCTAGTTCTTTTAATTGTGATGTTAGGGTGTCAATTTTGGATCTTTCCTGCTTTCTCTTGTGGGCATTTAGTGCTATAAATTTCCCTCTACACACTGCTTTGAATGCGTCCCAGAGATTCTGGTATGTTGTGTCTTTGTTCTCGTTGGTTTCAAAGAACATCTTTATTTCTGCCTTCATTTCGTTATGTACCCAGTAGTCATTCAGGAGCAGGTTGTTCAGTTTCCATGTAGTTGAGCGGCTTTGAGTGAGATTCTTAATCCTGAGTTCTAGTTTGATTGCACTGTGGTCTGAGAGATAGTTTGTTATAATTTCTGTTCTTTTACATTTGCTGAGGAGAGCTTCACTTCCAAGTATGTGGTCAATTTTGGAATAGCTGTGGTGTGGTGCTGAAAAAAATGTATATTCTGTTGATTTGGGGTGGAGAGTTCTGTAGATGTCTATTAGGTCTGCTTGGTGCAGAGCTGAGTTCAATTCCTGGGTATCCTTGTTGACTTTCTGTCTCGTTGATCTGTCTAATGTTGACAGTGGGGTGTTAAAGTCTCCCATTATTAATGTGTGGGAGTCTAAGTCTCTTTGTAGGTCACTCAGGACTTGCTTTATGAATCTGGGTGCTCCTGTATTGGGTGCATACATATTTAGGATAGTTAGCTCCTCTTGTTGAATTGATCCCTTTACCATCATGTAATGGCCTTCTTTGTCTCTTTTGATCTTTGTTGGTTTAAAGTCTGTTTTATCAGAGACTAGGATTGCAACCCCTGCCTTTTTTTGTTTTCCATTTGCTTGGTAGATCTTCCTCCATCCTTTTATTTTGAGCCTATGTGTGTCTCTGCACATGAGATGGGTTTCCTGAATACAGCACACTGATGGGTCTTGACTCTTTATCCAACTTGCCAGTCTGTGTCTTTTAATTGGAGAATTTAGTCCATTTACATTTAAAGTTAATATTGTTATGTGTGAATTTGATCCTGTCATTATGATGTTAGCTGGTGATTTTGCTCGTTAGTTGATGCAGTTTCTTCCTAGTCTCGATGGTCTTTACATTTTGGCATGATTTTGCAGTGGCTGGTACCGGTTGTTCCTTTCCATGTTTAGCGCTTCCTTCAGGAGCTCTTTTAGGGCAGGCCTGCTGGTGACAAAATCGGTCAGCATTTGCTTGTCTGTAAAGTATTTTATTTCTCCTTCACTTATGAAGCTTAGTTTGGCTGGATATGAAATTCTGGGTTGAAAATTCTTTTCTTTAAGAATGTTCAATATTGGCCCCCACTCTCTTCTGGCTTGTAGGGTTTCTGCCGAGAGATCCGCTGTTAGTCTGATGGGCTTCCCTTTGAGGGTAACTCGACCTTTCTCTCTGGCTGCCCTTAACATTTTTTCCTTCATTTCAACTTTGGTGAATCTGACAATTATGTGTCTTGGAGTTGCTCTTCTCGAGGAGTATCTTTGTGGCGTTCTCTGTATTTCCTGAATCTGAACGTTGGCCTGCCTTGCTAGATTGGGGAAAGTCTCCTGGATAATATCCTGCAGAGTGTTTTCCAACTTGGTTCCATTCTCCGCATCACTTTCAGGTACACCAATCAGACGTAGATTTGGTCTTTTCACATAGTCCCATATTTCTTGGAGGCTTTGCTCGTTTCTTTTTATTCTTTTTTCTCTAAACTTCCCTTCTTGCTTCATTTCATTCATTTCATCTTCCATTGCTGATACCCTTTCTTCCAGTTGATCGCATTGGCTCCTGAGGCTTCTGCATTCTTCACGTAGTTCTCGAGCCTTGGTTTTCAGCTCCATCAGCTCCTTTAAGCACTTCTCTGTATTGGTTATTCTAGTTATACATTCTTCTAAATTTTTTTCAAAGTTTTCAACTTCTTTGCCTTTGGTTTGAATGTCCTCCCGTAGCTCAGAGTAATTTGAGCGTCTGAAGCCTTCTTCTCTCAGCTCGTCAAAATCATTCTCCATCCAGCTTTGGTCCGTTGCTGGTGAGGAACTGCGTTCCTTTGGAGGAGGAGAGGTGCTCTGCGTTTTAGAGTTTCCAGTTTTTCTGTTCTGTTTTTTCCCCATCTTTGTGGTTTTATCTACTTTTGGTCTTTGATGATGGTGATGTACAGATGCGTTTTCGGTGTGGATGTCCTTTCTGTTTGTTAGTTTTCCTTCTAACAGACAGGACCCTCAGCTGCAGGTCTGTTGGAATACCCTGCCGTGTGAGGTGTCAGTGTGCCCCTGCTGGGGGGTGCCTCCCAGTTAGGCTGCTCGGGGGTCAGGGGTCAGGGACCCACTTGAGGAGGCAGTCTGCCCGTTCTCAGATCTCCAGCTGCGTGCTGGGAGAACCACTGCTCTCTTCAAAGCTGTCAGACAGGGACATTTAAGTCTGCAGAGGTTACTGCTGTCTTTTTGTTTGTCTGTGCCCTGCCCCCAGAGGTGGAGCCTACAGAGGCAGGCAGGCCTCCTTGAGCTGTGGTGGGCTGCACCCAGTTCGAGCTTCCCCGGCTGCTTTGTTTACCTAAGCAAGCCTGGGCAATGGCGGGCGCCCCTCCCCCAGCCTTGCTGCGGCCTTGCAGTTTGATCTCAGACTGCTGTGCTAGCAATCAGCGAGATTCCGTGGGCGTAGGACCCTCCGAGCCAGGTGTGGGATATAGTCTCGTGGTGCGCCGTTTTTTAAGCCGGTCTGAAAAGCGCAATATTCGGGTGGGAGTGACCCGATTTTCCAGGTGCGTCCGTCACCCCTTTCTTTGACTCGGAAAGGGAACTCCCTGACCCCTTGCGCTTCCCAGGTGAGGCAATGCCTCGCCCTGCTTCGGCTCGCGCACGGTGCGCGCACCCACTGGCCTGCGCCCACTGTCTGGCACTCCCTAGTGAGATGAACCCGGTACCTCAGATGGAAATGCAGAAATCACCCGTCTTCTGCGTCGCTCACGCTGGGAGCTGTAGACCGGAGCTGTTCCTATTCAGCCATCTTGGCTCCTCCCCCAACTGTTCCCTTTTTTGTTGTATCAGTTTTACTAATTCAGCCTTAGCCTGATCTAAGAACATGAACCAATTTTCCTAAATTTTTCTTGAGCTTGTTAGCAACGTGAATTTGTCTCTGACAGAGGCTAAACAGGGCTTTGAACATTAATTTAAATTATTGAGCTAAAAATGTAATAAAAATCTTGGGTTTTGAGCATAAGAGGCTGCATCATTCCCATAATAATATGCAAAAGGCTCATTTTACTAAATGTACCATGGTAAAGTTAATCCTGAAAATAAAGTTGTTCTTTCTTATTTTTTTTTTTTTTTTTTTTTGCCTTGAGACATGAGCTAGTGATACTTGCTCCTAGCATAATCCTAGCCTACTTAAAACAAAAGATCTGGGCAGGACACCCATGACGCCAAAGCTAACGGCTGTCAGCTAGTAAAAGCATTCACCAGATGTTGAAGCCCAGAGCCTTCCAACAACAGTGATTATTACAGCCTTCAATCACCCCATTTAGAATTTACAACAAACTGAGCAGAAAGCCATTATTTCCACCTTCAGTGTAAAGTTTTCCTCAGGCTGCGAGCAGAGTTCTGCAATGGAAGGATGTACCACCTGCTCCAAGTTCACTTCGCTCTTTCTTGGAACTTCCACCAGAAGAAACAAGTCCCAGAGAAAGTCCAGAAACATAGGGATGTCATTTGTCATTATTTGGTGAATATTAAAATCCCTAACGGTTCTTGATAATGCTTGGAAAAAGGACTTACACTGTAATTAAATGAAATAATAACAAATCATAATATAAGGCATAAAATGAACAAACATTATGAATTAATCATACTTAGACAATTACAACCCATATGGTTTGTTAAACTCAATCTGCTACCTGTAGTGACATCAACTGCATACTCTATATCCAATGCTGCAGCTTTTTCTCCCCCTAGGATATAATTACTTAATTTTGTGAATGAGAAAATGAATGTAAAAGGCAATGTGTTCATGATCTGGTGTCCACTTATGTCTCTCCTATTGGACCAGAGGTGCGCCTGCCCATCACAGCTCAAAAGACCCGAATTCCTTTCCTGCAGAAACAAATGCCCTTCTTCCTCTTTCTACTCCATTCTATCCTTTCCACCTTCTCTACTACAAGTTATCTACAGCAGGAAGTTAGGAGAGTAGACCTTCTGTGCACCTTAACCAGTGAGGAGAGGTCTTTCTCCTGTCTAATTTGACGCCACAGTCAAATGACAATACCAGTTTGCTGGAGGAAGCCTTGTTGTTTGTGTAATAAAATCAGCCGTGTGACTTAGAAGACTTAATGACTTTCCCATTTACCAACATCACTGCTGATCTTGAGCAAATTACATAATTTACCTGAGTGTGAATTTCATTATCCATAAAATGGGAATAACAATATCTACCTGAGCAGAACTGTTGTGAGGATTAAATCAAACACACTCTGCGAAGAACCTAACACAGTGCTAGCTGGGTGTTCACAAAAGGGGTGATGAACTCCCATTCTGAAAATGCCATTGGGAGTTGAACTGTTCAAGGGAAATTTTAAAAAACAAAAGCAACTAAGGAGTAGCTGAAAATGCTCTTACTCTGGAAGGACATGGGTTAGCTGCCCACCGGCAGTGAAATTGACAAGGAAAAATTAGGCAATGAACTAAGCTCAAGCTTGCCTTAGAGGTTTGGTGTGTTTTGCAATCACCCTGTTATCCACTAGATCAAGCCTAGAGAATTCCACAGAGTGCCATTATATCTAGGGACAAATGGCCCAGCCAGCGGAAACTTCCCCAGCAACCCTTACAAACTGGCTGCAGGGGCAACTGCAAATCAATATCCTCAGAAAGAGACAGCCGCGTGTTCCCAACATCTGAGGTCAAATTTGTCCATATATCACCAATTACCCTTGGCTGAGCAGCCCATTCTAGCCTCTCTGCACGCTTATGGGTGCAAGATCTGCCAGTCAGTTGAAGAGGTTGAATGAACAGTGAGGTTGATTCCAAAGGGGCCTGCAGAATCAGTCTCGATGAATAAGACTTAATTAAGCAATTTTCACACTATTATAGAAAAATAGATGTGTGAAGCCTGTTTCACTGTCTATCTTCTTATAATCAGGTACTTTTTGAGTAGTTCTATGATATCTCTGACAGAAAAAAAATTCCTGGGTTAGACCTTTGCAAAAACTTCAATCACAGCAACCATCTTATATTCTAATTAGTTGTTTACATGTGTCAGGTAACCCAGAGGCTTCCTTCGTTAAATCAAGCCCGAACTCTGTGTGGATAATGAGGGAGAATGGCAAGAAATCCCTCTTGGAAGGAACTCAGAGCCCACGGCCTTAATTCCTGTGTCTTGAGGTTCACCAACTCCTAGAAGAGCTCTCGCAGCTATTGTTTTACCTCCAACCCACCAGCTCGTGAATTCCCCAAGGCACGGTTGAGTCTACTTAAATAAGATGATTTGAACATGATTTTGTAAAGGAATTTAAGGAGAACAAGAAGGAAAACAAGAGAGATTTGGTATCTTACAGCCTGAGTTTGAATCTTGGCTGCTCCTTTGTGGACCTCGAGCATGTGACTTAACCCTTGATCTTCATTTATGAAAGAGACATATACATATACCTCATAGGATTGTTGTGAGGATTCCATTTTTAAAAATACATGGAACATGTTTAGCAGACAGCCTGGCACATGCTGAGAGCCAAGAAAATGTTAACTTTACTTTTGTGGTTTTGTTGGTTTTCCACCTTCTAAGGAATAGCTTATTTATCATATTCACCCTGACCGAAGCTGCCATCATCTCCCACCTGGATTGTCACAATGGCTCTTAACTGTGCTCTTTCTTTCTTCACCCATCTCCTGGAGTCTATGCTCAAAACAGCAGCCATTGTGACTATAGTTGTTTCCTCTGCTGTTATTGAGTACATGCTAAGGATTAGGCACTTTGACCCTATTGTCTTATTTGAAACTTGTGGTAACTAAGAATTGTTATAATCTTTTATATAGAGATGAAGAGTCTGATATAGAGAAAAGTTAACCAAATTGTCTAAGGTCACACAGTCCTTAAGTGGTGAAGTCAAACACAGGCACTGTGATGCCGGGACCCAGAACTATAACCTCTGTGCCACGTGGCCTTTGCCTCTGGAGGACCATAGCCATGGCAGAGCACCCAGGGGAGGCGATGGCGGCACACCAAGAAGGCCTGGACATTTCTCATTCCCATTTGTGGACGTGGCTTAGGCTCCAGTTGGGGGCCATGTTATACCAGAATATATACTATATTAATACAACAAAATACCATTTTTCTGTATGTTGCCATGGAGATTAGAACCTTTCATTCTCTTAAAAGTCTCTAAGATCACTAAGACATCTTTCTCTTTTGCCTTTAAAAAAGCAAGAATTAATGTCCTGATTTCACAGACCATAAATTCTGCCGTGACTGCTCCAAGGGGAAAGGCCTATCTTTCCAGACTGAACACATGTACCTTATTTACAATTCCCAAGTAGGAGACTTACTTCCTGCTCATATCCCTACACTCGGGAAGAGGCCACGTGACACTTTTCCCTGAGCTTCTTAGAACATGATGTGGAGGACAGGGAACAGCTGGTCATACAATAATTTGAGCCAATACGTGCAGTACAAATAATACTCCTTGCAACTAGACATGTTTGTAGTTTGCTATACTATTACTAATAAGATACTCACCGAGTTTTTTAATAGATGTGATCAAAGGTAGAGTTTGACAAGAGGTCACACCTGTCACCTGCTAAGAAGGCAAAGTGCAGAGACAGATAAACTTTCTGGCAAACATTCTGGAACCCAAAGAGTCCTCTGCCAACAGGCATTTTCCCATGAAATCAATTCTTGGAATCATAGAAACTGACAAATCACTTCTATGTAGTTAAAATACAGTGAACATTAAAAAGAGGAAATACACACTCTTATTGCTTTATAGATGCCAATAGAAGCATAAATAACTAGATAAGACTTTTTTTTTTTGAGATGGAGTCTCGCTCTGTCGCCCAGGTTGGAGTGCAGTGGCGCGATCTCGGCTCACTGCAAGCTCCGCCTCCCGGGTTCACGCCATTCTCCTGCCTCAGCCTCCAGAGCAGCTGGGACTACAGGCGCCCGCCAACACGCCAGGCTAATTTTTTGTATTTTTAGTAGAAACAGGGTTTCACCGTGTTAGCCAAGATGGTCTCGATCTCCTGACCTCGTCATCCGCCTGCCTCAGCCTCCCAAAGTGCTGGGATTACAGGCGTGAGCTACCGCGCCCGGCAACTATTTTATTATATAACATTGACATTATAATTAATGGCTAAAGAGATGTTCTAACTTAAACTGTCTTTCAAAGAACAATATGTATCTGAAATAATGGAATGCCATGTGGGCCATCTCTTAGAGAAAATTCTTTAAATTGAACCATTTGGGGCCCAGTAAAAGTTGCCAGGGTCTTCCTTTCCACACCCTCCCCATTCCACCTTAGCTACTATGTCGCTCCTTTCAATGTGGATATTGTTTACACTATGAATGGCATAAACAAATTTTTTTAGTTTTATGATTTCAAAACGAGGAGGAAAAAAAGCAAGAAATTATGCACTCAAGGGTAAAGGAATAGAATTTTGCCTTCAAAACTTTTCAGAATGAATAGGCCACTCTACACAAGTACCTACAAATGGCCTTCCTGTCTCTAAGTACATAGAGAAGTACTCTTCATGAGAAGTCTATTCTAGACATATAAGATTCTGGTCCAGGGATTGATGATTTTGCCATTCTCTTACTGATATCACAGGTATGACTGTTTAAGCATTTTCAATGGCCAATGCTTAAAAACAATTGACTCTTACTCTGAAATTTTTTTTTTTTTTTGGAGACAGGATCTTGCTCTGTCGCCCAGGCTGGAGTGCAGTGGCACAATCATGGCTTACTGCAGTCTCTGCCTCCCAGGCTCAAGCAATCCTCCGACTTCAACCTCCTGAGTAGCTGGGACCACAGGCATGCACCAGCATGCCTGGCTATGAAAATTTACTTTTAAAAGGAAGACTTAAGTCTTTATTCTGTCCTTATTATATGAACTGTATCTCAGAGTAACCAAACTAGTGCTAGCTGTTGAGAGGAAACTTTTTTTGTAGAATTCCAGCTAATACATAATAAAGAAAAGATGGAATTATAAAATTATCATTTTATAACCCTTAATGTAATAATTGATTCAGGCAACAAACACCAATAGCTACTAAGAATGAAGGATGAGTGAAGAACTAAATACTTTTGGCAGATTATTTCTAGTCCTAAGAGGAAAGCCACAGTATTGTAATGGAAGGGTCTGGCTGTCACTAACTGAACTCACTGACTAATCTTGGTGTCACTAAACTTGGATAATACAGATATCCAGATACTTTTTGCCTCCTAATATGATGCAATTGTGAAGCAAAACCCAAAATATTGCACCCAAATATATTAAAGCCTTTAGAATTAAAAGAAATATAAAAGATAGAGGAACAAACAATGAGGTAATGAGGAAGGCATCAGAAAAATCCAGAATGTGGATCATCCTACAGGACAACGAGTCTGTTTATCATTGATATGAATTTTAAAAAGGGTAGGGCAAAAAGGGGTGGGGAGTTCCTTTAAATTCAGATAATTTGACCTAAAAGACATTTAACCAAATACAACATGTGGACCTTTGTTAAATGCCAATTTGAATAAAATAACTAAAATGAAACTAGGAAAACAGTTGGGAAAAATTAAATGTGGGCAGGGTATTAAATGATACTAAGGAGTTATTGTTGGGGTGCCATAAGGCCATCATGATTATATAAGAAAATACCTTATTCGTATAGAGCTGCATACTGAAGTATTTGAGGATAAAGTCACAATGTTTAGAATTGACTTTGAAACTTTTCAGCAAAAAGAAGACTGGTAAACAAATATGGCAAAATATGAAAAACTGTTCAGTTTATGTATGTTTGAATTTTTTATAATAAAAAGTTTCTAAAATTAGACTAAATTCCATTCTCATTTCTTGAGGTTGAAAGAATGAACTATGCTAGAGTAAAACTTTTAAAATAAGATGGCTACGCTAACTTTTAGACCCGGCTTTACTACTGACTTCCTGCAAAGAATCCTTTTTGCCTTTGGAGTTTGTTAATGATACAAACACTACTAAAATGGACTCATAAAATTTATAGATATTCCTGAATCTGTATTTTTTTGACTCAAAGTTTTTAAAAAGAATAATTGTTCTCTCTAGTTGACCAGCTGCTCATCGGCAAAATGAAAAATACACACTTAATGGGCCATTATGAAAATCTAACATTATATTCAATTCTCACCCCCAAACGAGCTTTAAGGTTCTCTGAAAGTTTAATGCTTCCCACATATCAAGAATTAAGGGTTATAAATATGCCTGCTGTAGCTTTCAACACTATAGGTTCGCCTAAAAATTTTAAACTGGAGACAAGAATGACTTGTCAGCTAGTTGATCAGTTAAATTTTTTTTTCTGTTGCTGACAAGGTATGCATGGAAGAAGTTGCAAAAACTTTATTTCATTATATGCTCAAGCATTAGTCACAGCTTTCAAGCTAAATCTAATTGCTGTAGTCCTTACAGACCTCCCTGGCCCTAGGCAGTGTTGAGCTAAGTGATGATCCTCATGTTTAGAAAACACAGGAATTAGACCCTAGCAATGCACTAACAATATGACTGAGAATTATCCATCCATGCCTTAGTGTACCTCTGAAATAAGAATAAAAAATGCCTACCCTGATATATGGTCCAGAAATACAGCAAGGAGGTGGGGGATGATAGATCATGTCCTTTGTACTATTGGGAAGCAATTTCATATGTAAATTGAAAAGAAAAGAAGACCAAAAATAGGTATGTGGAATTAGTTATTCCACAAAATAGCAAAATAGTTTTTAAATAAATCCAGGCAAGCCGTGGTACATAACAAAATAAATGTCATTCGCCCGCTTTGCTGCAGACCTGTCACAAGCAGCTCCTGGCTCGGCTGCACAGATTCCTCACCATCCGCAAAAAGGAAGTTACTGGGAACTTAAAGCAGAGGGATTTGTTTTTAATTTTGAGCTGTCAATGGGTGAAAATATGTAAAACTGACAGATTTCTATGTGATCAAGATTCTTCTGGAACAAGTAAGAGAGACCCACTCAAGGTAGCTCAGGTGCAATGATGGGGGCAGGGATTGTTGTCATAAGAAACAAGTTAGATGAAAACCCAGGACAAAAAATGGAGCTGGGCCTCACAATGCACCAGGACCAAGACTCAGAAAGCTGTCCAGAGCCAAGGTAGGCCCCTTCCCTCTAGAATGGAAGTGTTTGGAAGGTAGCTTGCATATCTTGACACCACAGTGTCCCCCATGTCTAAACACAGAGTAGGCACTCAAGTCACTGTTGGATAAGTAAATAGATTTGCTTTCTCTCACGCTCTCAAGTTACATAGACTTTCATCCCTGCCTCTCTCTCCACCCTCATCATAATTAATTCTCTCTTCTCCCTAGATTGTTTTGCAATACTCCTCTATACACAGATCCAAGCATGGCTACCCCTAATATCCTGAATTTATGTGTATTTAATTAAAGTGATTGCAGAAATTGAGTAGCTCTCTCAGGACCAATTCCAAATTCCCAGGAAAAAAATCTGAGCTATCCAGCTTAGGCCAGGTGTCCATTCCTGATCCACATGACTATACCAGGGAAATGGTCAAGGTCAGAATAACACAAACATGTCCACTGGGTCCATCCTCATGGGTGGGTGAGGGCAGTCCTTAGAAAAAGAGGCCATGACCTAGATAAGCATCCCAAATGTCATCTGCTGTCATCCACTTCACTCCTGTCCAAATGACCAAGGATGAAATCGTCCCAGTTGGATCTTACATCAAATCAGTGGATAGTAGAGATCACAAGATCCTGAGCCTTATCAACATAGTGCTACAACGCGGCCAGTAAGTGTGCTGCAGCCAGTCCTGGGCTCCCCATTTCCACATGGCAGGCTTCCATCTGTCCTCAGGAGGGGGCCTTCAGCTCATCTGTTCGTTGCTGTATCTCCAGTCCTGGAACAGTGCTTGGCACATAGTAGGTGATTGATGAGTGTATTGGCTCAGAGAATGTTGGCTATTATGACCATCAGATGTACCCAACCTTAAATTTCTGACCTATGTGTGCTCATACACACACACGAAACTCATTGACAGCCATAACCACCCTCCCCTCCGATCTCAGAGAATGAGTTCGTTCTGCATCTGCTCACAGCCAATCCATCACCTGTCCTCTTAACCCCAGTGCCCTGCTCTCCTAGGCCTCGGACTGTTGCTTATGCCCTCTCCTGTATGCTTTGCGCTCTCTCTCTCTCTTTCCTGACTTCTCCTCAGCCTGTAAGACACATTTAGATCTCTCCCTTCCCAGAGTCTACCCTCGATGGGGAAAACTTGCATATTCACTTAGCCTTTAAGATTCATCTCATTTCACTTTTGCCTTTACACATTTGTGCACTGTTAAATTGGACATGGATTAACTTTGAAATTTAAAAAAGTTTCTCCCCGAAATGAGCAGACAAAAATATTGATCACATGGATCCTGGTCTTCAAGAAGCCTCACCTGACTCATGCTGGCCAGCTAAGCATCCCATAGGCCTGGCCTGAAACTAGAGCTGCATTTGCCACATGACTGAAACCATCTGTGTACGGGCCTATCTCTCCCCAGCTGTCAGCTCTTGGTGGGCAGGTTAATGGCTTTCAAAACCTTTGATTCTCTAGGTCCTGGCACAGTGTCTGATGGTAGTAGAATGCCACTAAGAGTTTGTTGAATTGATCTCAATAATTGCATTTAAGCCAGGGAGAGGCACTTTATATTATCGGCCTCTTGGGGCTACATCAAATAGCAAAATAGAAACAGCACAACTAGGTGAGTAACTAGGTAAATAAGTTGTTTTGATGAACAACTCCATGTGTGTGCCCTATAATACGTAATTAGTCACTCATCCTTACAAGGAATTTTGTTGACATTTGTTATAGTTGCAATTTTTAAGGAAGTAATATCAAGCAAAAGAATCATCAAAGACTTTTCCTATGGTCACTCATTTGAAGACCTTTACATGGAATATGAGACAAAGAACTCTGAAATTCTGGAGTTTAATCTCAAAGCCATTCTCCTTCCCTAAAAGATCATCTTTTGAGGATAGATTTCTGACATGTCTCTTTTTTTATCTCCTTCATTTCTCTGGCTTATTGTGTTGAGCATCCTGAATGATGGTGTTGACTGCCCTCCACCAGAAGCAACTCCACAGAGGAGCAGTGGGATTCATCCACAGAGTACCATGGTCTCTGCAGACACTTTCTATTCACAGATAAGGGTTGCACCAGAGGGAGGAAGAACAGGAATGCCTGTTCATACCCAGGGTTCACAGTAGCAAAATAGAATTCACCCCAAAAATGAAAACACTGCAGAATTTTGGGGATTTTTGATATCAAATCTCCCCAATCTCTGACTTAAAAGGAAACCAAAACGCTCCTTGGAAGAGGTCTGTAAGTCTGTGAGTTAGGGCAGAGCAGAGCCCTCAATATTTTAAGTATACTGCATATACTTAAAAAGCTCTAACAGAAGAATTAAACAAAGGCAGGCAGAATCCTAAATGGAATTCTTCTTTCTAGCTGGTGTGTATATGTTTAGGAGTGGAGGGGGATAGTTTTATGTGCACCTGGGAATCTGAAAATATCTGCTTCCAATGGGTGTCCATGTTCTATGAGTTTGGGAGTCACAAGAGAGAAAGAATGAAATTGTATATTAGGAAGAGGTGCATGCCAAAGAAACACTTGCAGATCTAATGATTCTTGACTACTAGAAGTCATGAGTCATGTCAAGATTGCTTTCTTGTCCGTCACATACATCCCTTCAATTTATTATATATTAAGACTTGTACACCAGTTCCTTCCAAAGGACTTACAGTAGCTTTGTACAATTGGAATCCTTTTTCCTCTTCTAATAAGTACTCAAATCGACAGCTTCCTTACTCCATGGAAGACACAGCCTTGGGATTTAGAAGGGAGCCAACTGAATTGGCAAAGGCCCATCCTCACTGTGTGCATGTACGACAGCCATTTGCATTTTTCTAATTTTGGATTCCTGCTTCAATAGGCACATAGGACATTCTTGAGGGTATCTTGGCAACCCACACCCATATTCATGCACGAAGGTGCCTAGTCTCAGGCTGACTAATCCACTCGTCTAAATTACACATGTCAGGTGACCATGGGATTTGCTGACTGTGTTCAATTAGGTGCAACTATGCAGGGCTTTTCAACATCTCAAGTTACATGAAGCATATGTTAGAATAAATCAATTGACTTTTGCTGCTCGGTTTTGGCTCTGCTTCCAGAGAACTCGTGAGTGGGAAAATGGGATATGCACTCAGTATGTAGGATCCTTTTCTCTCAGCTAGACTTGAAGTAGAGAAAACAAGGAATTTGGACTTAGCCACATCCCTCTGCAGTCTGACTCCCTGGAATCTCAAAGGGAAAAGAAGCAAAGGGAAAAGAGTCACACTAATAAAAAATTATCTATCCATTCATCTGAAGTTGGACACTTACGTCAATTTCATAGCTTGACTATTGTGACTAGTGCTATAATGAACATGGGAGTGCAGGTATCTCTTTGACACACTGATTTCATTTGCCTTGGATATATACCCAGTGGTGGGATTGCTGGATCACATAATAGTCCCATTTTTAATTTTTTGAAGAAGCTCCATACTGTTTTCCATAATGGCTGTCCTACTTTACAATCCCATCAACAGTTTGTAATTGTTCCCTTTTCTCCACATCCTCACCAACACTTTTTTTTTTTGTCTTTTGATGATAGGCTATTTTAACTGGAGTGAGATGGTACCTCATTGTGTGTTTTACTTGCATTTCCCTGTTGATTATTGATGTTGAGCACTTTTCCATGAGGTGATAAATCTAACTGCCTTGATTATACAACACATATATGTACCGAAACATCAAATTGTGCCCCATAAATATTTACAATTAAAATGTGTCAATTTTGAAAAAATTCCCAATGGGATTGGAATGTGATTTTAAGTTTACCCACATTGGTAGTCTCCCATGTGTTCTTTGATGCCTTAAATTCCTTTCCTAAGGAAGGAAGCAGCCATTACAATAAAAACTCAAACTGCAAATATCTGTGGGTAGGTCTAAGTTCCCTTCTTAGTGAAGGATGAGTCAGGCCACCACCTGGGCACCTTCCACGAAAAATCTGTGTATCCAGTGATTCATATATGGACTGAGGAGCTGTGGGGAAGTTCAGGAAAACACAGTGACATCTAATGGCCTGCAGCACTGGAGACCTGGCCCAGGGGTGGAGGGTGGAGGAGCCACAGTTCAAGAATAACAGTGCCCCTGTAAAATAATTCATCATAAGCAAAGAAGGTGTCTGCATGGTAAGACTCAGCCAATGGCCTGAGGCTGGAGAAGGATAGTCATACTGAGCACCCTCTAGAGAATCCCCATGGCCCCAGGTCTTACTCAGGCACTGGGTGCCTTGTATTTGCCCTGGAGAAGAAATGGCCCTAAGTCAATTGCTCTTTGAGCTCCAGCCTCTGGCAGATGCTTGACCTCTAGAACTGTAACACTGTGGGGTTTGGTGAACCTAAACTGGAACTTTCTTCCAATACAGTGCAACACAAATGGAGCATTCTCCTACTCTTCATGGTCTTGAAGTGGCAGTAGCAGCAGTAACCATGACCAACTCAAAGCACTGAGTAACAACCAGCAGATTCATGAACACTTTAGAGCACCCCTAGGAACGCCTGGAGGCATTGTCATCTGCAGGCAGACTAGTAAAACCCTAGAATCTCTGAATCTAGACAGGCAGCTTCATATTAATAAGACCAGACTGAATTGCCCTTACCAGCTCATGAAGACCAAGACATTTGGGTTATACCTGAAAGAAATCATTACTTATGTAACTCCATGTGTTATTAATGACTCACTCATATACTTTCCTATATGAGACTGCGACAGTCTTGGGATAGGGAGCGTATTGGGCAATTTCACTGGCTGCAGAACTTTAATGGTGAATGTGAAAAAAGGTACCCCTAGGTAAAAGGAGAAAAATATAGGAGGGGAAGAGGTTAGAAAGAGAAAGTCTGAGACCTTTTTAGTAAACCAACTCATAAATGAGAAAAATTGAAGCTACCTTTAACTGTAAACTCTAGAAAGCTCATTCTACCAACAAGAAGAATCCAGAAGGACCCAGAGTCTGTAGAATGGCACAAGCATTACATCATATTTCCTTGCCTTTTGGTCCAAAGCCAAGTTATCCTCACCCAGGAGCCAGATGTTCCTCTCCCTCAGTCTCTCCTTCTCCCCGTTTCCCTCCCCCTCTTACTTCTGAGTCCAAGACCCCTTTGTGGTTGAGTTGCAAGTGTTCTCATCCCTGGAGAAAAATCAAATTCTCCAGAGTTGGGCAGCTACAGAACAAACTGCTTTCTTATTAACATTGACCATGTTACATGGCATAACTTGATAGGCTTCTTTGCTAAAAGACTCTCTCCAAACATGGGGAGGAAGGGGAAGGAAAAAGCAGCATGATGTAGAGACGCCATCCTTACCCTGTCAACAACAGGAGCAAACAAAGAGGGAGGAGGAGACAGAGGATCCCACCTTACCTAAAACAACTAGGACAAGATCTTTGAGTCCCTCTCTTTTATTTGGTTTTTCAACTATATGCTCTGTAGATGTCTGACCTACAGGCTCAGCCACATCAAGTCTCTAAGCTAATCCTGACCAAAAAGGAAGCCACTATCCAAAATCCACAGAGTTGCCTTGTCTCTGACTCCAACACCTAACTGCATCCCTGGCTTTCAGCCATGGTCCTCCCTCTGCCCCTTCCTTGATCTTCCTTGATATGCTTGCTCCTTGCCTCTCCTTGAGAATTGCTGCTGGAAGCCTAACTGCCCATCCTACCTATTGCTTCCTTATTGATGAACTAACCCTGTCTTCTCTTTACAGAGAGTAGGGAACAGAGGGTTATAGAGGTTGGGGCAGGGGTGTCTTGGCCTTCCCCACTTCGGTAAGGAATTTGTTAGATGGAAACAAAGGCAATGTAGCCAGACTGGAGTCTAGGAGCTCAATAAAGAGGAGTCAAGAGCATGCCTGGGATTACCAAACAAAGTGTCAAGTCCAAAGGACAAGGAAGCCAGGAAGGAAGGTCAGGCATTGGGAGGCTCAGAGTCCGGTAGAATCAGGTTTGAGTAACCAGGAAGGGAAGAAGTCCTGGGATACTGCAGCGTTGTAGGGGTCCAGTGGCTTCAGGGAGCTGCCCCAAGTCAAATATTCCAATGTAAGCCAGGCTTACCAAATTACCTGCTGCTCCCTCTGCTTTGAACGCCCTGTCTCACTTTTCTGTCTGAAGACTGACATCAAACAGCACCTAAATCTGTTGGTTAATCCCACAATGAACCTGACATGGACTTTTGATGTGCTATTGTCACCGCATATTTTAATTATTTATTACCTTGGTTGGTTCTCTCCCTGCCTCCCATCCCGTCGAACTGTCAACTACTTGATGTCAAAGACTGTCATCCCATTTTTAAAACCCATGCAATCACATCCCTGGCATTCAGTCACATCCCTGGCACATGAAGATTCTCAAGAATGAATGAATGAATGGAAATGTGGTAAATGGTGCAAGCATATCTCATTTAACTTTGTCCCTAAATCCCACTAAAACTGCAACAAGAGATTTCTAAAATGCTAACAAAAAACATATAAACCTACAGAGATAGAGAAAATAAAAGAGACACAGCAAAATCAAAGTGTGAGAAGCTGAAAAACAGATGGGAAAGTGGAATTTGACTTAGTAGATCTGAAAAGGTGACTCTTAAGTTAGTGATGAAAGCCAGGACCCAAGCTGATCTACACAGAATATTCCAAAGGCTTCTACATTGATGGCATCAGATATCCTTGGAAGTAGGGGTGAAGGGGCAGATTCCTGAAGAGCTGTTTGAGGAGCAGTTAGATCCTAGTATCCTCTCTTTTTTTTTTTTTTTTTTTTTCATCAGTTCCCAGACAATCATTCCTCCCAGCCCCAGCAGATGCCTGAGGGCTAGTCCGGATCTCTAGACTTAGAGAACCTGGGCACAGGTTCTAAGTGGGTGGTGTACGTATCAACCAGGAACAGTGAGTGAAGGCAGAATGCAGGCTCCTCAGCTTGCTTCCTCCACTCAGTCTCCAGGCTGCTGGCAGCCAAATACACACTCTCCAGGAGGAAACAAAAGAACCTTCTCTGGGAATCTGATAAGCCAAGATAAAGTCCTAATGAAGGCAGGCTGTGCAGTGTCTGCATGTAGGAATCATGAGTCTCGGCTCTGACCACAACTCCAGATCTTCCCAATCCCCAAGAGCTGCCTATGTGCAGTGAAGGGTCCACACCTCCTCAAAATATATTAGTGTTGCCTAATTTGCATTTATGCTAAACCTACAACTGGAAGTGTAGGGGTGGCATAGAGTGCGTATGCACCAATCATATCTAGGACCAACTAAGGTTCACTCAGTATAACTCCAGGCTTCCACAGCTCCAGGACCCCTGCTCCCACTGCAGGGGCGCATGCTGTCTCGCCATTCTCCTAACCCTAGAAGGCTGACACTCTGGCCAGAGGCTCCGGGCCTCACCTTGATGAGACCCCTCATACCACATCCAGCCACAGAGACAGCCTAGGGAGCTGCTGGGGAAACAGGGAACACCCAAACCCTCAAGGTGACTGATGAGCCATCACAGACAACACCAAGAGATTAATGTACTGTGGCTTTCTATCCCAACCACAAAACATGGGTGGCATCGTGGCATATGAATAAACAAGGTCTAGTTTAGGTAGATTAAAGAATTCCATATTGGATAATCTTTCTGAAAGGCTATCTCTGATTGATTTCCACAATATTACATAAAGCCAACAGAGGGAATAAAGATCTTAGACCCCCATAGCTCATACAAAGGCCCAGCCAAAGGGCTGGCCTAGACTGACACAGACTGTCAGGGCTAGCCAAAACACTGACGCAGAAGTTCTCAGTTTGCAAGCCCCTCCCAGTCAAGTCATCCCACAGTTGCACTTCCCAAACTGTACACTAAGGCTCCCTAAGGCAGCACAGTGAACTCACAAGAGCACTGTGGAATATTTTGAATTTTCAAAGAAAACACAGCAATTTCTGTTGCTCATCATACAAATTATTACTATTTATTTCCTTGGGCCTACCTACCTAATAAACAGAATTATTAGGCATTTTGGAGGGTCTAGAGGTGCCGTGAAAAGATAACAGAGACTCTAGGGGATCCATGGACAAGAAAGTTTGGGAACCATTGCCCTACCGTGAAGTTCCCGGCTGGCATGCCCATCCCACCGTGCAGGGCTTCCAGTCAGCTTTTTCTCTTTCTTCTGAAATATGAGAAGATAACTGGGCATATCAGATGCCTGAGGAATGCTTCTAACATGAAATACAGAGATAGGAGACACACGCACACACACACACACACAAAGCAACATGGGAAAAACAGACTCTGCATGGGAACACTTCAGGAAAGGAAAGGAGGGGGGCAGGGGCAAGGAGGAGAAAAATCAATCAGAAGGTTTCTAAGAATGGCAAAATGGTATTCTTTCCCTCCTCTCTTTAAGCAAGGGAGTCCTTTGCTAATATCACATACACACATCAAATCACATTGATTCAAAGTATAATCTCTGATGGCTGCAAAATCCTAATCATGATCAATGCATCTCTAACTATTTCATTCAATCCCTGACACCCAAGCTCACCTTACCAGGCATGATAATTAACTAAGACTTATATCCAACTATTTTCTGGGGTGTTTCCAAGCATATTGGAAATGACCTTTTTATATTATCTGATGGGCTCTTGTATGTCCACACAAAAAGTTCTGTCTAGGGAGAAATTCCTGTAGCATATGCGCACTTCCCAATACAAATTTGGTGTTTGAATCTCATTTAAGCCTTCAACATTGTTCTACAGGTTAAAAAGCAACAACAACACACAATAACAGCAATTCATGACCGTATGAACATAAATGATAACATTCTTAAAGTCAAATATGCCTGCCTCCTCCATGTCAAACTACTGTCATCATTTTATATTAAAATTCTACTTTTGTAGATTAAATACTGCATCTATCAGACAATTATGGGTACGTTTTTGTATTCTAAGAAAAACAAAAACAAAAAACTAATGTCTATAAGAGGGTCATTTTGCTCTTTAGTTTTTTCACAGAATTGGACTAAATCATGGCAATTAGTGTAACGGAAATGTTTACAGCAATCTCTGATGGCAGTTCTACTAATGCAATGATTTAGCTCAAGCCCAGTAAAATATGAACATGTATCATTAGGATGAATCAGAATCAAAAGCAAAGCAACTTTTAGCTTACAGTAATTCAACATACATCATCTCATCAGCAGTGCCAACTATAAAATTAAGGATATACAATTAGTCAATCAGACGGTTCCTGAATTAATTAATTAAGCGAGGAAAATCAGCAAGCAAAGACAGGACTACATCCAACAACATACTTCCCCCTCTTAAAACAATCCTTTCCATTCATTTTGATCTCGTTATCCAATAAACACAGGACTCAATCTTCCCCTGATGGTATTAGTGATCAAGACACCTCCCAGATCAGCCACCACGTTAGTGTCCCATAAACTCACCCTCCAAGAGGTCACTTGGCTTTGTTCCTACAACTGAGAATTATTTGCTTTGCTGTCTGCCTGGCAAAATCGCATCTCCAGTAATCCTCAAAGGATCATTTAACAAGTGCCAATGGAAGTATGTGAAGAAATAGGGTTAAGCATACTCCTCCATTAGGAGGAATGAGGAGAAATTCAGTGAACTTGAGGCTTAGATTTTAAGACAAGGAGTATTTCTGGAAATACAGAAGAACATTTTCTAGTAATAAAAGAAGTAATTCATCAGAAATGGATAATAATGTCCCTAATAACAAGGTTTCAAAACACATTAAGCAAAAGTGAACAACCAAAGGGTCAAATTGACAATTTCACAATCATAGTTGGGGCATTTAACATCCTTCTCCAAGTAAATGACAGAAAAACTAGATTTAAAAAAAATACTAATGATATAGAAGATCTCCAGCTCTATCAACCAACTTGATCTAACTGACCCTGAAAAAAAGGCCTGGCAGTTTCTGAAAAAATAGACATATACCTACCCATTGACCCAGCTAGTTCACTCCTGGGTATTATCCAAGTGAAATAAAAGCATGTTTACAAAAAGCCATGTACAAGACTGTTTTGGTAGCTTTACTCATAATGGCTAAAAACTGGAAAAGGCACAGGTGTCTGTCAATAGGAGAAGGCATAAGCAAATTCTGATATTTTTATACAATGGATTATTGCTCTGCAATTAAAAAGCGGTGGACTACTGACACATGCAACAACATGGATAGATTTAGGTGAAAGGAGCACATACTTAATGTGATTCCGTTTATATGAAGTTCTAAGACAGGAAAAACTGACCTATGGTAGCAAACCATCAGAATAGTGATTGCTTTTGAAGTGAATAAGGAAATGGGCATTTTCTGGAAGGAGGCAAAAAGGAACTTTTGGAGGTGGTGATAGTGCTTTGTATCTTGGGAGGGTCTTGGCTTACACAAATATCTATACTTGTAAAAATCCAGCAAACAATACACTTAAAAATCTGTGCCTTTTAGTGGACATAAATTTGTGCCTTAAAAACCCCATAAATAAATGTTGAACTATAATAATATGCTGGCTGAAATGTTTTAGGATGAAATGCATTGATATTTACAACTTACTTTAAAAGGCATTAAAAAGTAAGATGGATTGATTGAGAGCAGATAGAGGAATGAATAGATATGTGATAAAGCCAGAGTTGTAAAAAGCATGGAGTCTAGGTGGTGGTATATGAGTATTCAGTGTAACATGTCTTCAATTTTCCTGTATGTCTGAAATTTTTCCAAACAAAATGTTGGAAAATATGTTATACATGTATCTATGCAGGTTTAAAATGTATAATAACAATATTATACAAAAGACAGAAGGTGGTAAATGAAGTTCAGGTGTTCTTGGGTCTTTGGACAGTTAGGAGGTGGTAACAGTAAAATTCACAATAGAAAGAAATAAGTCAGAAGTCTATATGGGTTGTTCTAGGGTAAGCACTAACAGAGTAATGGAAGATACATAACTAATGGTGGGGGTAGGATTGTAAAAAATTCACAATTAATCTTAATGAAAGTAAAAAAGGAGAGAGAGCTGAGTTAATCTCAAAAAGCTGAGTTAAATAACAAATAGTAAAATGATAGGTATAAACCCAAATATAGCAATATTTATATTAAATGTAACTAAATACTCCAATAAAAGGACAAAGTTGGTCAGACTCAATTTTAAAATCCTTATGTTGTTTGTAAAAGATTTGCCTTAAATATAAGGGCCCATAATGGTTGTATGAAAAAGGGTATTCCAGACAAACAATCAAATGGAACTGGTGTAGTTATAATAATGTCAGACAAAGTAGATGTTTACATAATAAGAATTACTAGCAATAAAGAGTCATTTTATAATTATAACAGGATTAATATACTGGAAGAATATGTCAGTTTAAATTTTTTTGCATCTAATATTATAGCTTCAAAATATATAAAGCAAGAATCATTAAAACTAAATAGATATGAACAAATTCACAATTATAGTGAGAGATTTTAATAATCCTTTCTCAGGAGCTAATAAAACAAACAAAAAAGTTTAGGGATATAGAGAATTAAAACAACATGAATAAGCAATCTTAATATATTGAGAACAGTGCAACCAACAACTGCAAAATTCAAATACTTTTCAAGTGTACATGGACTATTTACCAAAATTTACATTTACCTGGCCGTACACATATCAAAATAATTTTGAGAAAATTGAAATTATGTACATCATATTTTCTATCCACAATGGAATTAATCTAGAAATCAACTGCAAAAAGATAAATTTTTAAATCCCCAAATGTTTAGAACATAAGCAATTCACTTATGAAGAGACTAGGTCAAAGGAGAAATCACAATGGAATGAGAAAATATTTTGACTTAAATCATAAAAATATGACAAATGAAAACCTGTGAGATCCAATTACAGCATACTTAAGGGAAGATTATATTGCAACAATTATCAAGACAAAGTGAATTTTGTTCAAGGATAGATGAATAGATCAATGGAATATAATAGAGTTCAGAATCAGACCTAGACATGAACAATCACTTGATTTATGACAAAAGTGCTCCAGCGCAGTGGGGAAATTATGATCTTTTCAATAAATGATACATGGCCAGCAGGGTACTATGGCTCATGCCTGGAATCCCAGTACTCTGGGAGGCCAAGCCTGGAGGATCCCTTGAACCCTGTCTCTACAAAAAAAAAAAAAAAAATTAACTATCTGGGTATGATGGCACATGCCTATAGTCCCAGCTACTTGGGAGGCTGAGGCAGGAGGATCACTCAAGTCCAGATCAAGACTGTAGTGAGCTGTGATTGTGCCACTGTAATCCAGCCTGGGTAACAGAGTGAAACCCTGTCTCAATTAAAAAAAAAAAAAAAGATACATGGCCAACTAGAAAGCCATACAGAAAAACAAATTAATATTTAATTTTGACTCCTACCTCACACCTCACATACACAAACTTCAGACAGATTTTAGAGCTAAACGTAAAAATCAATCAATAAAATTTAATCTAAAAGAAGACAGCATAGTAGGATATCTTCGTGCTCTTGTAGACACCATGGTAGACATGAACAAAAAAACAAATTAAAAAGAAAAAGACCGACAAATTGGAGTACATTCCAATTAAAAACCTCTGTTAATGAAAAGACACTTAGAAAGGGAGAAGATACTTACAGCAAAAATATCTAATGGTCTCATATCTAAAATATATAAAGAAGTTCTACAAATTAACAGGAAAAAGACAGACTACTCAATTTTAAAAAGCAAGGGTGAGAGACTTGTACAGGTACTTTCCAAAGAGGTTATCCAAATGGCTAATAAGCATATGAAAAATTACCCAACCTCAATAGTCATCATGGGAATGCAAGTTAAAACCAGAATGCTATATCATTGAACAACCATGAGGCTAAAAGGAAAAGAGCTCACAAAACCTAGTATTGTCAAGGAGCTATTGGAATGCTCATACATCTCTGGTGGGTGTGTAAATTGTCACAACCACTTTAGAAAACCAGCAGTATTTATTGAAGCTGAAAATATGCCTGCCTCATGAAACAGCAATCCTTTCACTAGATACATGTCCAACAGAAGTACATATGAGGATCAGAGTCTTATGTACAATATTTATAGCAGCTTTATTCATGATAGCCAAAAGTGTTCAACAACAATGCAATGAATAAATATATGGTGATATATTTATATAGTGGGGTACTATGCCACAATGAAAATGAACAACTACTGCTACAACAGCAGGGATGAATCTCACAAACAAAAGGTTGAGCAAAACAAGTCGCATACAAAGGAGTACATACAATAAGATTACATTCATATATAAAGTTCAAAAAAAGGCTAAGCTCATACACCAACAACATCCAAGCCAAAAGCCAAATAAAGAATGCAATTCCATTCACAATTGCCACAAAAAGAATAAAATACTCAGTAATACAGCTAACCAGGGAGGTGGAAGATCTCTACAATGGGAATTACAAAACACTGCTCAAAGAAATCAGAGATGACACAAACAAATGGAAAAACATTCCATGCTCATGGATAAGAAGAATCAATATCATTAAAATGGCCATACTGCCCAAAGCAATCTACAAATTCAGTGCTACTCCTGCCAAACTACTAAGAAGAATGACAATCTTCACAGAAATAGAAAAAACTATTTTAAAATTGATATGGAACCAAGAAAGAGACCAAATAGCCAAGGCAATCCTTAGCAAAAAGAACAAAGTTGGAGGCATCACGTTACTCTACTTCAAACTATACTACAGGGCTATGGTAAACAAAATAGCATAGTAGCAGTACAATGGAACAGAATAGAGAGACCAGAATTAAGGCCACACGCCTACAACCATCTGATCTTCAGCAAAGCTGACAAAAACTAGCAATGAGGAAAGGACTCCTCATTCAATAAATGGTGCTGAGATAACTGGCTAACCATATGCAAAATATTGAAATGGAACCCTCTCCTTACACCATATACAAAAATCAACTCAAGATGGATTAAAGACTTAAATGTAAAACTTAAAAATATTTTTTAAAGAAAACCCTTGAAGATAAAGATAACCTAGGAAATACCATTCTGGACATAGGAACGAGCAAAGATTTCATGACAAAGACACTAAAAGCAATGGCAACAAAAGCAAAAATTGACAAATGGGATCTAATTAAAGAGCTTCTGCACAGCGAAAGAAACCATCAACAGAGTAAACAGACAACCTACAGAATAAGAGGAAAGATTTACAAACTATGCATCTGACAAAGGTTCAGTATCCAGAATCCATAAGGAACTTAAACAAATTTACAAGCAAAAGACAAACGATCCCATTAAAACGTGAGCAAAGGACATGAACAGACACTTCTCAAAAGAAGACATACATATAGCTAACAAGCTTATGAAAAAATGCTCAACATCGCTGATCATTAGAGAAATGCAAATCAAAGCTACATTGAGAAACCATCTCACATCAGTCAGCAAGGCTATTATTAAAAAGTCAAAAAATAACAGATGCTGGTGAGGTTGCAGGGAAAAGGGAATGCTTATACACTGCTGGTGGGAGTGCAAATTAGTTCAGCTGCTGTGGAAAGCAATGTGATAATTCCTCAAAGAACTAAAAACAGAATTACCATTCAACCCAGAAATCCCATTATTGGGTATACCAAAGGAACATAAATCATTCTACCATAAAGACACATGCATGCATGTGTTCACTGCAGCCTTATTCACAGTAGAAAAGACATGGAATCAATCTAAATGCCCATCAATGATAGACTGGGTAAAGAAAATATGGTACAGATACACCATGGAATATTGTGTAGCCATAAAAAAGAATGAGATCATGTCCTTTGCAGCAACATGGATGGAGCTGGAGGCTTTTATCCTATGGAAACTAAAGCAGGAACAGAAAACCAAATACCACATGTTCTCCCTTGTAAGTGGGAGCTAAACAATGAGAATATGTGGACACAAAGAGGAGAACAACAGACACTGGGACCTGCTTGAGGTTGGAGGGTGGGAAGAGGAAGAGGATCAGAAAACCTGAGAAAAACCTGCCTATCAGGCACTATGCTTAGTATCTACATGATGAAATGATCTGTACACCAAACCCCCATGACATGAGTTTACCTATATAACAAACCTGCACATGCACCTCTGAACCTTAAATAAAATTTAAAAAATAAATAAATAAAAGGAAAAAAAAAACAGGCTTAGCTAATCTAGGGTGATAAAAGAGTAGTGGTTACCTTTAGGCAGCAAGAGGAAAAGGCAGGTGGCTTTGGCTTCTAGGGTGCTGATAATGCTCTATTTCTTGATATGGGGTGGTTACATTGTTGTGTTCACTCTGCCGAAATCAATTAAATTAATCAATACAAAGTTACTTTTTTGAAAATTCAGCGGAATGTTTTAGAAGAATTTGACGATGTAATTTTAAAAGTTATGTATAAGAAATTATTAGTGACTACAATCAAAACTTCTTTAAAAATAAGGGTGACAAGTAGAATTTTTATCTGCCAAATATTAAAGCCGATTTAAAAACAATAATTAAAACAGTGAGACGTTGGTACAAGAAGAGACAAACCAGCCAAGAAAACAGAATAAAAAGCAGACATACATCATTATCTGTCCATTAAAAATAAATAAAATTTATGTCAAAGAAAAAAAAAGAAATTTCAAATGAAAAAATTAACAGATTTAATTACATTTAAAGTTCTGTACACAAATGGCACATTAAGCATTTATTATTTTAATGTATAAAGATCTCCCAAATGATGGGAATGTAAAATAAAGCACTACTTTAAATAATAATTTGACAATCTGGATAGAAGGGAGGACATGTGCTATAGACTGAATGTATGTATGTGTCCCCCCAAAATTCATATGTTGAACCCTAATCCCCAATGTGAAGGTATCAGAAGGTGGGGCCTTTGGGAGATGATTAAGTCAAGAGGTCTCTGCCCTCATGGGATGAATGCCCTTATAAAGAGACCCCAGAGAGTTCCCTCTCCCCTTCCACCATATGAGGACACATGGAGAAGATGGCTGTCTATGAACCAGGAAGCAGGCCATTACCAGAACCAAACTGTGCTGACACTCTGATCTCAGGCTTCCAAACTCCAGAATTACAAGAAATGAATTTCTGTTGTTTATAAGCCACCCAGGCTATGGTAGATTGTTATAGCAGCCCAAACAGACTAAGATACTATGCATATTCTGTGACCCAACAATTCCACTTCTAAATATGTACTCTAATTTTAGCACTTTACTCAAGGAGATAGCGACAAAATAGTAAATATCTGCCAATAAGGGAATGAGATAAATAATCTGATACATCTATAGAATGGAATACAACAGTTAAAATGAATGAACTAGACATATATGTATCAACATAGGTACCTCAAAAGATAATGTTGAGTTGAAAAAGCAGGATGCAAATTAATATGTAAATATTATATCATTTATGTAAATTTTAAAAAATCTTCCATTTTGTTATAGGGCACATACAAATGTAGAAAAAAAGCATTCAGCCAGGAGTGGTGACTCATGCCCATAATCCCAGCACTTTGGGAGGCGGAGGCAGGCCGGTCACTTGAGGCCAGGAGTTTGAGACCAGCCTGGCCAACATGGTGAAACCCTGTCTCTACTAAAAATATAAAAATTACCTAGGCATGGTGGCGCATGCCTGTAATCCCAGCTACTTGGGAGGCTGAGGCAGGAGAATCACTTGAACCCAGGAGGCGGAGGCTGCAGTGAGCCAAGGTCGTACTACTGCACTCCAGACTGGGTGACAGAGCCACACACTGTCTTTTTTTTTTTTCTGATCCTGATTTTTTTTTTATTATACTTTAAGTTTTGGGGTACATGTGCACAACGTGCAGGTTTGTTACATATGTATACATGTGCCATGTTGGTGTGCTGCACCCATTAACTCGTCATTTAGCATCAGGTATATCTCCTAATGCTATCCCTCCCCCCTCCCCCCACCCCACAACAGTCCCCGGTGTGTGATGTTCCCCTTCCTGTGTCCATGTGTTCTCATTGTTCAGTTCCCACCTATGAGTGAGAACATGTGGTGTTTGGTTTTTTGTCCTTGCAGTAGTTTGCTGAGAATGATGGTTTCCAGCTTCACCCATGTCCCTACAAAGGACATGAACTCATCATTTTTTATGACTGCATAGTATTCCATGGTGTATATGTGCCACATTTTCTTAATCCAGTCTATCATTGTTGGACATTTGGGTTGGTTCCAAGTCTTTGCTATTGTGAACAGTGCTGCAATAAACATACGTGTGCATGTGTCTTTATAGCAGCACGATTTATAATCCTTTGGGTATATACCCAGTAATGGGATGGCTGGGTCAAATGGTATTTCTAGTTCTAGATCCCTGAGGAATCGCCACACCGACTTCCACAATGGTTGAACTAGTTTACAGTCCCACCAACAGTGTAAAAGTGTTCCTATTTCTCCACATCCTCTCCAGCACCTGTTGTTTCTTGACTTTTTAATGATCGCCATTCTAACTGGTCTGAGATGGTATCTCATAGTGGTTTTGATTTGCATTTCTCTGATGGCCAGTGATGGTGAGCATTTTTTCATGTGTTTTTTGGCTGCATAAATGTCTTCTTTTGAGAAGTGTCTTTTCACATCCTTCACCCACTTTTTGATGGGGTTGTTTGTTTTTTTCTTGTAAATTTGTTTGAGTTCATTGTAGATTCTGGATATTAGCCCTTTGTCAGGTGAGTAGGTTGCAAAAATTTTCTCCCATTCTGTAGGTTCCCTGTTCAATCTGATGGTGGTTTCTTTTGCTGTGCAGAAGCTCTTTAGTTTAATTAGATCCCATTTGTCAATTTTGGCTTTTGTTGCCATTGCTTTTGGTGTTTTAGACATGAAGTCCATGCCCATGCCTATGACCTGAATGGTAATGCCTAGGTTTTCTTCTAGGGTTCTTATGTTTTTAGATCTAACATGTAAGTCTTTAATCCATCTTGAATTGATTTTTGTATAAGGTGTAAGGAAGGGATCCAGTTTCAGCTTTCTACATATGGCTAGCCAGTTTTCCCAGCACCATTTATTAAATAGGGAATCCTTTCCCCATTGCTTGTTTTTGTCAGGTTTGTCAAAGATCAGATAGTTGCAGACTCTGTCTTGGAAAAAAAAAAAAGCAAAAAAAAGCATTCGAACACCCATGGGAAATGTATATGTCAACTTCTAGAGAGTGGTTGCTTTGAGAAGAAAGAAAGGAGACTAGCATGAGCAAAGTTTTAACATTATGTTAAATATTTGATGTGCTTTTAGAAAAACAGCTGAAGCACACATAACAACATAATCATTTCCACCATTGTTAAGTTATTTTTGGTATACTTGAAATATATTATAATTAAAATAAAATAAAAAGGTCTACAAATCAATTTTAAAAAGCACAAATCAGTCTTCTACACTTCAATAGAAAAAAAGAAATCAGGAAAGAATAAAGGCACCTCACAAAAGAAGAAACACACCTGAATAATAAATGTGAAAACATTCATCATCTCCCTGGAAATAAAAAATAATTACAAATTAGAATAACTTTTTTGTTGTTGAAAAAATTTTAATGATAATATCACTCTTGGCAAAGGAAATATGTGCTGTCTATACTGCTAGTAACAGAATTTACCTTTGCGTCTGTGTGTGTGGAGTGGGGGTAATTTGATCATATGTTTTAAAATCTTAAATATATTTGTACAATTTTACCCATTCATTCCACTTCCTTGATTTTTTTCTTAAGGAAAATGTCTGAGTTAAACACAGAGATGTTCATTATGACAAGGCTCATTATCTTAAATAATCTAAATGTCCAGAAATCAGAGGTTAAGTAAATTAGTTTATATCCAAAAGATGAATTCTATACAGCCTTTAAATATCATACTGTAAAAGAATTATCACTGCAGCCGGGTATCATGGCTCACGCCTGTAATCCTAGCACTTTGGGAGGTCAGGGCAGGAGGATTGCTTAAGCCCAGGAGTTCAAGATCAGCCTAGACAACATAGCAAGACCCGTCTCTACAAAAAAAAAAAAAAATTAGGCCAGGCATGGTGGCTCATGTCTGTAATCTCAGCACTTTGGGAGGCTGAGGCGGGCAGATCATGAGGTCAGGAGATCGAGACCATCCTGGCTAACACGGTGAAACCCGTCTCCACTAAAAATACAAAAATTAGCCAGGCATGGTGGCAGGCGCCTCTAGTCCCAGCTACTAGGGAGGCTGAGGCAGGAGAATGGCGTGAACCCAGGAGGGGAGCTTGCAGTGAGCCAAGATCACGCCACTGCACTCCAGCCTGGGCGACAGAGCAAGACTCCGTCTCAAAAAAAAAAAAACAACAAAAAACAAAAAACAAAAATTAGCCAGGTATGGTTGTGTGCACCTGTAGTCCCACCTACTAGGGAGAGTAAGGTGAGAGGATTGCTTGAGCCCAGGAGGTCAAAGCTGCAGTGAGCAGTGATTGTGCCACTGCACTCCAGCTTGGGCAACAGAGTGAGACCCTGTCTCAAAAAAAAAAAAAAAAAAAAGAATTCGACATGAGAAATTATGACATTATGTTGTGAAAAACTTGTTATAAAACGGCATCTTCATTATGATCCCACCATATATGTACATATTGTTTTTTAGGTGCATTTTTTTTTTTTAAAGCTCTCACCCTGTGTCGCCCAGGCTGGAGTGCAATGGCTCAATCCAGGTCACTGCAACCTCCACCTCCCAGGTTCAAGTGATTCTCCTGCCTCAGGCTGCCAAGTAGCTTGGATTACAGGTGCTCGCCACCACACCTGGCTAATTTTGGTATTTTCTGTAGAAGTGGGGTTTTGCCATGTTGGCCAGGCTGGTCTGAAATTCCCAACCTCAAGTGATCTGCCCATCTCAGCCTCCCGAAGTGCTGGGATTACAGGCGTGGGCCACCGTGCCTGGCCCTACAAGTGCAAATGTAAAAGGATAATCACCAACATGTTAACAGTGGTTATCTCCACATGACAAGCTGGGCAAGTTTCATTTTTTTCTTTATAATTTCTGTATTTCCAATTACATTGACATATGTTATTTTCATAATCACTCAAAATAATATTTAGCCCTCATTTTTTAATTAGAAATTTTACTGGCCTAAAAATGTGCATTATTGGTCTGATATTTTAAAAAATCAGAGATCAGGATACCACTAAATGAACACATGACCAAATCACAACAAACAGCTTGATGTTTAGGTTCAGAAACCCATCCATACAGGTGTTTCTTGGTCCCTTAATTTAATCAGCAAGAATTCGTTAATTAGCACTCTTTCCAAAGGAAACCTGCATTTTATCATAAAGATGGAACAAAACATCTGCGCTTCCATTGCCCAGGAGCATGTAATGTAGTGTGTCCAGGTAAGCTCAGAATCTGGCAAATTTATACACAGCCGGTACGTGCTGTAGCAAAGAAGTATTAACAGAAAGTCCAGGAGACCTGGTTCCATTCTGAGTTCAGGCCCCACCGAAAGGAACTCTGCCCTGGCCATGGTTACAGCATTTCCTTACAGGACCTTAGGACCAGAAGCAGCAGGAGAAAGAGGAGCAGAGTTTGAGGACAGGGCAAATGGAATCTCTCTGGGGGACAATCTGGGTAAAAATGGGTAAAGAAAATGCCCTCTGACCACAACCAAAATTACTAGGGAGAGCCCAGAAAATTGGGGAATGCCAGGAAATGAACTGAATGCCCCTTCCTCACCAGGGAATACTTGAGGATTTTTTAAATGCAGAGCCACAGACTGCTAAAAGCCAAGTTAGAGGGAGTAAAGGAATTTGCTCAGGGTCACACAAGTTGGCAAACAGGTGAGCTGAGATCAAAACTCAAGCAGGTGACTCCAAAGCCTGTATTTCTCCCCACTGTCGAAACACTACCTAATAAATGGAGAAGGTAGAGTCCGATTCACCTCAATCTTCCAGCTCGATTCTGCCATGACACCATATGAAATACTGAAGGCTGCACGTTATCTATAGTATTACCCTTTGAGTATCCTAAATGCCAAAATACTAGAAGAAAACATGACTAAACAATATCCCAATCAAGTGTTTATAAGAAAACAAACAAACAAAAAAGAATGAAGAAGAAAGAATAAGAGAAGGAAACCAAGGCAGAGTTAAAAAGTGTAATTGATCTAACCAAAGTCATGCTTTAAGACCCTGTTATCAAGGCACAGAGGGGCCTCCAATTTGCACAGCATCAGGGGGCATTGTTCATTGTTGTTCATCTCCCTTAGAGTTGTGCAAGCCTTACAAATTGGTAAATAAGTTGAAATGATGCAAGTGTGCATCATGGAATATTTCTCAAACATTTGCTTATTCCAAGAACATTCCAAGACATAATTTTTCTTGTCGAGGTGCCTGCGGGAGGAAGTATTCCATGAGTTTGCTCCCAAAGTAGGGAAGTTGCCACTTCCAAAGCCATTTCATGCCACTTTGCTGCAGGTATTAAAGGAAGTCCCAAACTGACAAGAGTTCTCTCCATCAAGGACAAATGGCCAAGATGTGATTAGTGATGTTGAGCACCTTTTAACATACCTGTTGGCTATTTGTATGTCTTCTTTGGAAAAATGTTTATTCAGATCCTTTGTCCATTTTTTAGTTAGGTTATTTGGTTTTTTTTGCAATTGAATTGTTTGAGTTGCTTATATATTTTGGATATTAACTTCTTATCAGTTATATGTTCTGCAAATATTTTCTCCCATTCAATAGATTGTCTTTTCAATCTGTTGTTTCCTTTGCTATGCAGAATCTTTTTAGTTAAATTCAAACCCATTAGTCTGTTTTTGCTTTTGTTACAAATTATGTTGTGCTTATGCCAAATAATACATAATAATGCCAGAAAATACAATGGCGTTCTTGACTACCAATCCCACCCCACCATCACCATCACCACTGCCCTAATTTCATTCCTGTCCCTGGAGGTTAACCACTATAATTTCTGGCATATACCTTTCTGGACATTTTTAAGTGTATTTAAAAGATATATGTATCCATAAATATATAATTATATGGTTATATCTTTTACATGAATAGTGTCATGTCATACACATTTTTCTTCAACTTTCCTTATTTGTTTAAAAATCTGTCTTGGAAGTCTTTCAATGGCAGTACATACAGGCCTATTGCATTCCTTTTAACTGCTGTGTGGCTAATACTCCTGCATAGCCTGTGACATCAGAGTTTGTTTAACCGCTCCTTCGCTGCTTCCAATCTTTCACCGTAATAATACTGCAGAGTACTGCAGTAATGAATGTACTTGTATATAGAACTGTGGGCACATGTCCAAGTCTTTCTTTGGGACAAATGTCTATATATGGAACTGCTATAAATTATCACAGTTTCAGCAAAAATGATCATTCCTCCAAGGCCACACTTCTTCACACCCTCGCCAATCATCAATGAGAGTGTCTGTTTACCTAACCTTCACCAGCAGTGAACAGTGTTGGTGTTGCAATAAGTTCAGTGGGCAAAAATAGCACTTCACTGTTATAACTTTCATCTCCCTGAATATAGTGAGCTTGAGCAGTAATTTTTAAGTGTGTGTTTCATCTGCAGTCTCCTATATTTTATTCTACTACTTTGATAGGTTTATTTTTCTAATTAATTCCATGATCCACCTCGAGTTTAACTGCTGCGTATTTTGATATGAGGGATCACTTTAATCTGATTTTCTTTTCCAAATGGGCAGGCAGTAATCTCCCCATCATTTATTGAAGATTCCCTTTCTTCTATCCTGATTTAAACTTTCACCAAAAATTTTTCTTAAGTCTCCATTTATCATGCATCACTTTCAGAACTCCCTATTCTCTTCCGCTGATCTACTGTGATGCCAAGAATTGTTTTAATAACTAAAACTTAATTGCCTATTTAATGTTTAATAGGGTGACATTGACTATTTTGCACATTTTCTTTTCCCAATGAGTTTCAGAACCAACTGGACATATTTCTCAAGAAAATTTCATTAGGATTTGTTTAGGTTTTCTTTTCTGACATTGTTGGACTTCTAAGTTTTTTGTTTGTTTGGTTTTCTTTTTGTTTTGGGATGAGCACATATTCAACTCACAGCTGATGTGACTTCACTGCATTGTCAGTTAACTACTACCTTTAGTCACAGTACAAATAAAATCACCATTTTTGCTAAATATTCTCCAAAATTCACTCAATTATCAAATTATCATAGGTCATCTTGTTCAGCTTCCTGGATCTACATTCTGCAATTAACTTGCTCTGTAAACAGATAATGAAATAGTTCATGAGAGCACTACTTAGTGGGTGACTGGTAGACCGGCTTCAAGAAATTGCCAGTCCCACACCTCTTCTGTAATGGGCTCTTTATCTTGTTTCAACCAAAGCAGCTATGTTTTGAGCTATTTCATGCACAAGTGTTCTATATACAATTTTATTTGAAAGCAAACCCTCCTGATGAAAAAAAATGTTTTGAAAATCACTGTGTTGTGGCATGAAACTCTGGAAACAACAGTCCATTTGTTCAAGGCTGGAACAAATTCAAGGCTGCTCACTATTAATTTAAAAACAAACAAACAAACAAACAAACTGCTGGCTGGGCCTGAAGAAGCCCCTGGGATTCACTTCCTTGTAGAGTTGTGTGGCCTGCAACCTACCATGTCTCCTCAGCCTGCTAAACTACGCTTCACCCACAGCACCTGTCCTCTTAGTTGCCAAAGTCTAAAAATCTCCCTCACTCAGCAATATAGAGCTTCTGCATTATGAGTCTTTATCCAAGAGTGCAGCTTTCTATCCAGAGCCTGTCAAAAGTTTGGCTGCAACTAACAATATTTACAGAAGATTGTCTAAGGACTGTATAATCTACACACTCATCAAGGACTCTCAAGATGTATCCTTGGATGGAATTGGACAGCCAAAATGATAAATATTTTGACCTTGTAAATTCTGCTTTAAGAGAAATCACCTTCACCCAACTAAATAATATGCTCTGGTTTTGATTTAAGGTCATTGAAAGAATGGGTTGAGAATGAATAAATCACTGAATAAATGAAAGAACAATCAAATTTAAAGAGAATCTACTTGGGAAACAGGAAATGATAGGTTTTATTACTATAGGTAGCTTTGTTAAAGGTTATTAGAGGCTGGGCGTGGTGGCTCATGCTTGTAATCCCAGCACTTTGGGAGGCCAAGGTGGGCGGATCACGAGGTCAGGAGATTGAGACCATCCTGGCTAACACGGTGAAACGCCATCTCTACTAAAAATACAAAAAAATATTAGCTGGGCGTGGTGTCGGGCGCCTGTAGTCCCAGCTACTGGGGAGGCTGAGGCAGGAGAATGGCGTGAACCAGGAGGCGGAGCTTGCAGTGAGCCGAGATCGCGCCACTGCACTCCAGCCTGGGCGACAGATCAAGACTCAGTCTCAAAAACAAAAACAAAAACAAAAAACAAAAAGCAAACAAACAAAAAGTCTGTTAGAAAAAGAACTAATAATCCTAGCTTTTTCTCAATTCTATTATATACTGCACAGGCAAAATAAAGTACAATTAGAAGACATACCTCAGCATTGGTTGGAAAGTTTAAGTACTGCAAAATATGCATCCAATGTAGAACTATTGTTTACATTAACCATTACTTCTATCCTTAGTAGTGCAAGATGCTAAGACTTCAAACAAATGTTCACTACAAAGGGCTTGCTTTGTGCCCAAAAAAGTGATTTAGTCACTTTTATGGATTATTTAAAATTCTGGATTTTGTAATAGTAAATATAATGAAAATGTCAGGCTAGATTGTCTTTACAGCTTCACATTGAACAACTGCATTTTTTAAGTAAGTCATATAAAATGACAGGTATGCGATATGATGGCTCCAGGATCTGTCCATTTCTCTCACCAGAATGGAAGAGTTTACTGACCACTTACTATGTGTTTTAAAAGGTACTTCATGGTACTCCTTACACAGCTTCAATTGAAAACAAGTGATTTCTCTAAACGTGATGGAAGGAATGAATGAGAGAGAAAAAAAAAAGAGAAGGAAGGAAAGGAAGGAGAGAGAAAATAAAGAAAAAGAAAAAAGAAAGGAAGGAAGGAAGAAAGGATGGAAGGAAGGAAGGAAACAAGGGAAGAAGGAAGGAAAGAAGGAAAGAAGGAAGGAAGGAGGGAAATAAGGAAGGAAGGAAATAAGGAAGATAGGAAGGAAATAAGGAAGGAAGGAAGGAAAGAAGGAAGATAGGAAGAAATAAGGAAGGAAGGAGGGAAATAAGGAAGATAGGAAGGAAATAAGGAAGGAAGGAAGGAAATAAGGAAGATAGGAAGGAAATAAGGAAGGAAGGAAGGAAATAAGGAAGATAGGAAGAAATAAGGAAGGAAGGAGGGAAATAAGGAAGGAAGGAAGGAAATAAGGAAGATAGGAAGAAATAAGGAAGGAAGGAAGGAAAGAAGGAAGATAGGAAGAAATAAGGAAGGAAGGAGGGAAATAAGGAAGATAGGAAGAAATAAGGAAGGAAGGAAGGAAAGAAGGAAGGAAGGAAATAAGAAAGGAAGGAAACAATGAAGGAAGGAAGGAAATAAGGAAGGAAGGAAGGAAATAAGGAAGATAGGAAGGAAATAAGGAAGGAAGGAAATAAGGAAGATAGGAAGAAATAAGGAAGGAAGGAAGGAAAGAAGGAAGATAGGAAGAAATAAGGAAGGAAGGAAGGAAAGAAGGAAGGAAGGAAACAATGAAGGAAGGAAGGAAATAAGGAAGGAAGGAAGGAAGGAAGTGGGGGAAGGAAAAGGGAAAAGATTGAAAAGGAAAGAAGTTAAAAAGAGGGAGGGAGAAAGGAAAAAAAGAAGACAGTCTCTTTGACAGTATAAAACATTATCTTCAGGGATACTCTATATACCATATGTTTAAATGGGATTTCTATTAAAGTATTATAATATTCTAAAAATGATAGAATCATTGGCTGGAAGGCTTATTTCCTAGAACTTTCTGTGGGTGAGAGAGGAGGCTCCACTCTCCATGTTACTCCCAGTAAGTGGGACCAGTAAACAGCCGAGTGTTTCTACACTTTCCTACAACAGCTCTGTTTTAGCTAACTTAGGGGAAATGGCAGGAGGCAGGAGCAAGTATTATTGTGTTTGTGCAGCTCTCTGGGCACTAGTCCAAGACTGGTTGAATTTTGGGGTTTGTTATTATGCATAGTCCTCCAGATTTTTAAAGGAGGATTTTTTAACATTGCATTATTTCAGCATTAAGTTTTACCAGACTATGAAAAAGGAATTTCTCTGTAAAGCAACGCAAATGTTTTATAAGAGCCATTTTGTGCTTTCATTCAGTTTAAAGAGCTAATATCTACCATTTCTGATATAGATTGGGTCCTGACATCGTTAGGGGTTCACAGAACCCATCAGAGGAGGCCCAAAGCTCTTGGTCTCTGGTCTCTCTCCAGCCCCAGAAATGGACACGAGTAAACCATCTGCTCATGGTTGGACGCAAACACTGACAGGGACACATAAATCTAGAGGCTCAGGGGTTTAAGACATTTGGCATGGAAAATATTAGTGACTCTCTTTTACCATAATGTTTGTGTCAATATCTGCCAGGGGATTTCTGAAACATACTAAAACCAAAACTTTTCCTAGCACGTGGCTGAGGAAATGAACATTCAACCATTCCTGGCTCTGAAGGATGACAGAAACACACCAACACATTCAATTCATCGTCTTGCCTGCTTCCCTAACATTTTTAGATTCATGAAAGATGGCTGCGAAGTTTCCAGGAGAAGAAACTGCAGATATTAAAGGCCCTGTGGGAAGCCTCCTGCCAGTCTCTTTACTGCCAAAAATCTCTGAGCAAGACCTAGCAGGTGGATGAGGGACTCTGCAAGACAAGTTTATCCACGTGTGGCAGAAGATATTTCATTATCAAAGTTTATTGAAACTGGAAATTAGCTCGAAATTAGCTCAGTATGAGATATTGAGGAAGTGAAGTCAACCATAGCTGAATTTTTTTCAAGGAATAATGATAAATCTGTAACAAAGTCGGAATCTTGACTTACGTCACAGAAAGCACCTGAGCCCACTTCGGTTCCACCTCACGGTGAGTTCAGCAAATCTTTGAGTTGCTTTAGTCTGCCTCCTCATTCTGTAAATCAGAGAAATGAGACTCAGAGCAGCTAAAAGATTTGCCCAAAGTTTCCCAGCTAATTAGGAATTGGATGAAACAAGAATGGAGGCTTTCTCTGACATCCATGAACCCCTCTTTATATCCAAGGCAGAGTTCAACACTGCCTCTTTATGTGGTCCCCACTCTACACACAGCTATAGTTCCTATAGAGCTGAATTTGCAGTTGTTTCCCCATATCCCTAGGCCACAAGCCTCTAGAAGATAAGGACATGTTTTTCCACCTTTTGAGTCCAGCACCTAGCACAACACCTAACATGCGCTACCATTATCAAGTAGTACTACTACTTCCAGCAGCTAACTTTAATGAGCCCTCACTTCATACCAGTCCTGTGCTGCCTCCTTAACGCAGTACTCATTTTGTCCCCACAATATCTGGCCGAGCCTAGGCTCTTTTTCAGTATGTCTGATCACTCAATCAATCTTCATTCAGTGAGTGAATGAATGAATGAGCCTAATGTCAGGTACCATGCACTTGTCCCCACTTTAGCTTTTCTATTTCATAAGTGTCTAGGCTGGGAAAACAAAGCCATCAAAGCCTTTCATTTCTACACCATAGAGTAGAAGGTTATGTCTATGCAGAGTATGACTGGGCAGCTTACTGGGGCCTCCCTCCAATCTGCATCTGGAGACTGCTGGATCACCTCCATGTTTTAAGGTGTTCAAGGTAATAAAACACAATAAAAGCCGAAGCAGGGTTACAGAAATAACAGGATATTTTAAATGTTCAGTCTTGGCAAGGTAGCCCGTGACTACACGTAGCCTCATTTCAAGGTAATGTGAACATGTAAATTTCAAGACCCTTCATAAATGTGAGCTCAGGACCAAAAGGTCTTCTGCACCCACCTTGTGATAAGCCCCCACTAACCATAAATCCACTCATCCTGATCCATTAGTGTAGTTGCTGTTAAAACTCTTTGCTATTGTTCCAGCAAAGCATTTACTGTACAAAGACCTAAGAATCACTAATTATATTAAATGGTTATTTCAGCCACTGTTGGCATTAAGCCAACAAACGAAAATACCTTTCTGTCACGTAAAGTCACCCTCTACCTCATACCCATTTGGCAAAGTAGAGTTACCGGTGGTTGTCTCTGCAGAAGCAACTAAGGAATAATGAATATGCTCAACTTCCTTCTCACCAGTTGCAGAGGGTGGTACCAGTGGCAGCTACTGGGAAAATTGCGATGCCACAGCCATACACAATACGCCATCCTGAGTATTCAGAGACATGTCATTACAGTCAGGGTGTGCAGAAGAGGGTTTAAGTACTTACGACTACGTGAGGAAAACTCTTTAAGATGCAACTGCTATATTAACTCCTAATTAATCTGAGGATTATTCAGCAGTGGCAGGACCTTCTCTGCAGGTCAGTGAAGAGTGTGTGAATTATCTTCTTACAAATTATTATTTGAAAAAAGTATTTGTTACCCATATTTTCACTTTGGGTCTCAAAAGTTGGTGTCGATCTGACTATTAGAAATTCTAAGTCTCATCAAAATTGTAGCTAAATTGGATTTGTGTAAGTCTTCTACAACATTTTTTATCTGTAATTCTTCAGAAGTATAACAACAATTTTTAAAGTTTGTGATTTTTCAGCTTTTGATCAGTGTCTACCAAAGAACTGAGAGATGCCATTGCAGGTTTGATATTCCCAGTTCTAACCCACTTATTGTAATTAACCTTCACCCCCTAAAGTAGAACAGCTGACTGGTGACCCACACACAGAAGTGCCTTTTCTTATACAAACTTCAGCCTACCCTTTTACCAGAAGGAGCACCCTAGCCTCAAACCATTCATTTATTCATTCATCAATATAATGAGCACCTAAAGTGTGTCAGACACATCAGAAATGTGCTATTGGTACTCTGAATTGAAACTGATAATGCACTTTCCCTTGGAAATATTGTCACTGCTATTATCACTCTTAAACTCAGGAAAGCAGGAGTCCTGGCCAGAACCCAGGACTCAGGGATTCCCAAGCCTTGGAGTCCCTTCTGGTGCAGTGCCAACTGGGAAGTCACCCTGAGCCTGGACTAGGACTTGTGTGAGTCCCCATCCATGTCTCACATTCTGGCAGCTCTCCAAACCTTTACTGCTTCCCTACACTGTGCAGTCAACCAAGTGCCCCAGGGAGCTCCAGCACTCAAGCCTGTGGGGCCACCCAGGGTGCAATGGCTAAGCCCTGGTTCTGAGAGGGCAGCCTGGCAAATGCGTTGTCTCTGCTGGCCAATGTGGCATATATTTCATGTGATCAGAAGAGACTAGGCGTCAGAATGATGCTCATATGCTGATTTTGGGTGACTCAAATTGCTTATACAAACAGATGTCCCATGAGGAAAAAAAAATGACCAGGGACTCCCTCATACCCTAGGGGCAGCTCTGGTGATGAAATCAATTCAATGTTATAAAAGCAGGTTAGGTGCCCTTAAAATTTTAGCATAGGGAAATGTTTTCTGATTTTCAAACAACTAATTTTCAAATGAATTTCTAGAACCCAATCCATCCTAAACTGGAGACAGTCCATATTGCTATATACCATAAAACTAACTTATAAAGACAGCCAATTGTTCCATGACATTATCCCCCTAAAGCCTCTTGGAAACAATGCAAAGGAAACACCATGTGCATGTTTCTCTGTCTTATTTGTGTTTTCCATCCTGATGCCTCAGAATACCTAACTCCATATATTGCCCATAGTAGACACTCAACAAATATTTGCTGATCATCATTTTGAAGTAGAAAGTCTTCATTAGATATTTCCTTCAAATAACAAATATTTATAAGGTGCTTCATAACTAACTGAGTTAAGACCTTTTAATAAGAAAACAAAACAGGAACACTTATATAACAGATGAGGATATTTTCTTCAGGAAATTCTTCTGACTTAATAATCTGTCATAACTGCCAGTGTTTTTCTTGTAGCTCAGCAGTAACAAAAATGACACAGCCATCGATAGCACTAGAGAAGGTTTTTAAAAATAAAAACAAACAACGGGAAAATAACACACGAATCTCCCAAAAATGATTCAAAATCTCTCTCACTCAGGGAAAGAGTCTTTCCATCCCAGTCTCGCTCTTCTCCCAGTCTCTCTCTGACACACACACATGCACACACGCAGGCCCACATGTACACCATTTCCATCTGACCGGAAACAAGAAGACAGTGTCAAGGTATGGTTTAGGTCAGTGGGAGCCCAGTGAAAACAGTCAGCCACTTCCAAAACAGGCGCGGTAACATGAAAGGTAGGAGCCACTTCCTAAGCCAAACAGAAATTGAATTACTGGCTCAGTTAACTGAATATTTACCTGGCTCAGTTAAATGAGTAAACTTAACCAGTGAAAAATTCTCATACTCAGTATAAAAACCAATATTTAAAGAATGTTGTATGCACGTATTTGCCATCTATGCATGTATCTATGAAGACTGTCTAGCAAATTTGCTGTATCTTCTTGTGTTAAGTGCCAATGATGGTAAAACATCATTTGTCAGTAACATTCCATAGTCTCCACGAAGTAAATGAACTCTACTCTTCTTAACAGTTCCATGGCATCATTTAAGGAGACTCTTCCCAAACTGAATGTTTATGACCTATTTTTTGAAATATGCTACACATGAGCTTAACAAAGCAAAAACCCAAGAAACAATGGAAACACACCAGGCTGAAGAATCTATACCCTGCCTTTGGGGCTTCTGCAGGTCAGTGTTCTCACAGTTGAACTGAAAAAATGAAAATACCTACTAGCTCTTTTCCTTGCCAGAAAATGGATGGTTGCCATTGTCTGGTGTCCACTCAAAGAAAGTCCACCTTGCTGTTCATAGAGATGAGACCAAAAGGCTGTGTGCAAACTTAACCTTTGTTGAATAAATCATATTTAAATACGCCAAGAGAACTAGATACTGTATTTAAAAGTATCCTCTGCTGGAACACTCAAAGCTTGCTTAATACATATTTCTATATGAATGTAGACTGAAGATATCAAATTATCCCCAAGCAAAAACAAGAAATTTGAATCCTAAATCATATATCTGAGAACATGCTCCCTGTAAATCCTGGCTCTGTCTAATTTGCTTATGAAAGGGTAAGCAGTGGGTCAAATGTCCAAGTTTGGTAACTTCCATAATCACCAACACTGGGCTCATGTTGCCTCTATGGGTGTCATTCCCAGTATTCAATAATTTGAGTATCCTTCTAATGAAGAGACAGAAGCCACTGAGAAGTCACTCTAGGTTACGGGCAATTTCCAAATGATGGTCAGGAGGCTGCCGCATCGGCTGGGCATACCCACACTGAGCAGCACCGCTGTTCACATGAAGTGGAAGAAAACTGCGTGAGATTGAGCCAGGAGGCTCATGCCCAGATGTTCACCCTGCAAGATGGGACTTCTGAGGATGGTTATATTCTTGGGCAATTCCACTGACAGCGCCTCCTCTTTACCCACCCTCGGGTTACTCCCACCTGACATCTGCCTCCGTCCCTCTACTCACTGCCTCAGGAAGGCAGTGCCCCCTTTGGAGCACCGTCTCCTCCCTTCTCTCTGCAACATAGCTATAAGAGCCCTTCATCCTCACCTCCAAGATTTTCACTGCATCTTCATTTTCTGCCTCTATTTTGGCTTAATTTCCAAGAATCTTCTATCAAATCCAGCAGTTCCAACTCACAATAAGGCTTCAAAGCAAGGAACAAAAGTATGGCATATTTTTGATATTCTGTCAGATCTATAACCAGCTCCAGAAGTGTAATGGAATTCTCTAAAATAGATACATTTATTTCATGTTAACATAAAGAAAGTCTTCATGAGTGGTACTGTAGGCTGAACTGCATCCCCCCTAAAATGCGTATGTGGAAGTCCTCACCGCCCCCCATGTGGTGGTTTGGGAGACAGGGCCTTTGAGAGATAATTAGGTTTAGATGAAGATATGAGGGTGAAGCTTTCATGATGGGATTAGTGCCTTTATAAAAAGAGACACCAGAGAGTTCTCTTTCTCTCTGTCTCTCTCTCTCTCTCTCTGCCATGTGATGACACAACAACAAAAATGACACAGCCATTCAAAGCACTAAAAATTATTTAAAAAAATAAAAACAAGCAATGGGAAAACAATGTACAAATCTTCTTAAAATAATTAAACATCTCTCACTCAGGGATTCTTTTCATCTCTGTCTCTCTCTCACACATACTCACAACGCATGCGTGTGCACACACATGAACACACACCACTTCTGTCTGACAGGAAACAAGAAGACAGTGCAGAGGGTATGGTTTGGTCAGTGGGAACCCCGTTAATATAGTCACTTCCAAAACAGGCAAGAAGGCCACCACCCACAAGCTAGAGAGAGGGCCCTCACCAGAACCCAACCGTGTTGGCATCCTGATCTGACTTTCAGCCTCTACGCTGTGTTCTGCTGTGTAAGCCACCAGGTCCATGATTTTTTTTTTCTGGCAGCCTGAGCTGACTAATACAAGTGGCTTTGATGGAATTATCCCTAAAATCCTTTCCAGCTCCAAATTCTTTGAACCTATGTGTAATTCATAAATGTCTTCTTGTGTTGGTGCGGGCGGTAGATGGGTAGGGGTGAGTGAAATTGTTAAAAGTTAGATAATTTTAAAAAATGACATAACGATAACCTATCAAAACTCTCAAAGGTGGCAAAGCCCTGTTCTGAGACTTATCAGATGCAACTTCTACCTTAACTCCTTCAAATATGAGTTCTCACTATTAGAATCTTCTGATTGGCCAAACTTTCGATGCTTTGGTGGCCCCTTACCTAAATGCACACTACTGATAAACCAAACAAACAAACAAAAATACTGCTTCTTGGTAAGGTATAAAATATAAACATAACTTTTCTCAAATCTGTGTAAGTTACAGTTTCAATTAGGTAAGCTATCAAGATTGTCAAGGTTAGTGATGGGCCACTAGAGTCCTGTGTTAGCTTGGATGATAAAACTAGAGTGGGCCAGGCCCGGTGGCTCACACCTGTAATCCCAACATTTTGGAAAGCCAAGGTGGACAGATCACTTGAGGCCAGGAGTTTGAGACCAACCTGGCCAACATGGTGAAACCCCGTCTCTACAAAAAATGCAACAATTAGCCAGGCGTGGTGACACATGACTGCAATCCCAGCTACTTGGGAGGCTGAGGAAGGAGAATAGCTTGAACCTGGGAGGTGGAGGCTGCAGTAAGCCCAGATGGCGCCACTGCTCTTCAGCCTGGGCAACAGAGAGAGTGACTCTGTTTCAGGAAAAAAAAAAAAAAAAAAAAAAAAAAAAAATCTTAAAAAAGACACCTAGAAGTGGATCACTTTGACTTCAAGAGATGGTGACTGATCTCGATGCGTTTCCATGCTAGGGCTGCTTTCTCATCTGTTCTGGAAGTTTTCCCTGTCCTCTCCCCTTCACCCCACACTATCTGCAGACCAACACGCATGCACCCTCCAGCACACCCTCAAACTACTCACACACTAAAGTGTCTGCAATCTATAGAGACAAAAAGCAGATTGTGATTACTTAGGGCTGAGGGAAGGGGGCAGGGAATTTGGAATGATAGCTTAAGGGTAAAGAATTAGCTGACAAAACCATAGGGTGTCTTTTTGACGGGCGTGATAAAAATGTTCTAAAATTGACTATGGTGATAATTGCACCTATCTGTGAAATCTGTGAATATACTAAAAACCATTGAATTGTAGGCTTTAAATGAGTGAATTGTGTAATATGTGAATTGTATCTTAATAAAACTAAGTGAAGCCTGAACGCCCACTTTTGAGGACAGCGGACGAAACACAGGGTATGACAGGAGTAACAGAGCTAAAGCCCTGCCTCGTGGGCTGCACTTGACAGTAAGGAAATGAAGCGCCATAGCCGGAGATCCTATGTTAGTTTCCCATAAGCCACCCTCTTTGGAGGGTCAAGTCACAGCATATAGGATCAGGAAAGGGTCTTTTACCTTACGCACAGTCAAACCCTCCCCCAGACAACGGAGTGCTGTGTCAAAGCCTCGCTCAGAATGGATTTGAGTAGCATAAAGGATCCATATAGGTGAAGGTGGAAGAGTGAATCAAGTCTTAGAATCCCGGTGGTGTGAAGCAGGCTCCAGGGCCCTGGGCTCGCCTCTCCCATCAGGAATACATTAGCATGCAGATCTGGCAGAACGGTTTCCCCTAGTCCTTGCAACACACCTCCTGCCTGATTCCTATCCAAAATTCTAATTAATAGGAATCCATATTTTCACACAGCTCTGGCAGTTTAAATATGCAAGTGCCTATTCAATGCTCCGAAGACCCCAAGCACCCTTTCAGAGCACATGGCTCTATACAAGGGCTCCCGTGTCTGAAATGCAGACGGCGCCTCGCTGTCACCATCCTAACAGTGTGGCAGCTGCGCTTCCCAAAGCCAGCAAAGTGGGTCCTGTGTGTGCATGGAAGACATGCCTCAGCCACCATCCACCATCTGCCTGGTTGGTGGGTGCACAGCCTCAGCATAGAGAGACAGCTGCCCCTGACAATGGGGAAAACAGCAGCACTTCCTCAGCTCCTTTAGCAACAAGAAAAAAAAAATGTCTGCAGGAAGAATATGTAAAATTACTGCAAATTTCAGATGCAACTGCTATTATGTCTCCTCACAGCTAAATGATCACACGCAGTAGGATGAGGTCTGTTTAGCAACTGTAACAATTAGGCACATTTATATAGAATAAGGCACTAACAAGGCTAAAAGACTATTGTCCTGGACAAAGGGTTCCTCTCATAGGCTCTGCCATCATAAATGATACCTTTAAAAAAGCCTCTTCCTAAAGACTTCTTTTAAGTAAAATGATGATCACTAATTACTTTGTTGTGAGCACAAATAAGAATTACTTTCTTCAAAAATTCTAACTAAATAAATTACTCCAGTCAAAAAGATGTACTCAATTAATTCTTTATTAAGGGCGTTGTAAAATCTAAGTGATTGTTCCAGAGAAGTTAGGCAGTGCCAGGAAAATATTTATCACTTAGCTTAGTAATTATTTACTTAGAAAAAGTTCAAAAAAGGCCGGGCGCAGTGGCTCACACCTGTAATCCCAGCACTTTGGGAGACCAAGGTGGGCGGATCACGAGGTCAGGAGTTCGAGACCAGCCAGGCCGACATGGTGAAACCCTGCGTCTACTAAAAATACAAAAATTTAGCAAAAATTTAGCTGGGCATGGTGGGTGCCTGTAATCCCGGCTACTCAAGAGGCTGAGGCAGGAGAATTGCTTGAACCCAGGAGGTGGAGGTTGCAGTGATCTTAGATCACGCCATTGCACTCCAGCCCAGGTGACAGTGGGAGACTCTGTCAAAAAAAAAAAAAAAAAAAAGAAAAGAAAAGAAAAGAAAAAATAAAAAGTTCTAAAAGTTAAAAAAAAAACTCCAGGCTGGAGCAAGCTGGCAGCCTCTGCCAAGGCAGGCATTCATCTTTTGCCCGTTGGGTTGGGGGCTACCTGGAGGGTCTCAGGGAGTGGCCTGAGGGGGCCACACGGGGGCCTTGGGGGAAGGACTTGCTTCTGACAGGTGAGCAAATATTTCAGTATTGTAACTAGCATAGCTATGCCAGTGTATATGCCAGATGAACGAGGGGCCTAAATAGATAGGTCACATTTGGCTGTTTCATTAAAGATCCCCCGATGTCCTCCACATTCTTATGCATGAGATCATGGGTTCCCCGGAACACAGACTACTGGGGGCTTTGCCCACTGGAGAGATTACTGAAGAAACTAAATGCACACATAAGCCACCTTCCTTAGATATGTTATCTGAGCAAACATAAAACAATCTTAAAAATCATAATATACTCTACAGATTCTTGACTCTCCAGCTAGCAGTGAATAAATGTTCATTTTTTCAGCCTAATTGTTTTCGGACCACTGACTAGAATTACAGCATGAAAAGGCCACTGTCATGTTCAGTATACATTTTTAATAGACATCTTTAAACATTTAGACAAAATATTATTTTTAAATGGCAATTCTTTAACTGGTAAATGTAATTATCTAACTTTATAAAGAAAAAAAAACCTGACAATCAAAATATTCTGTCACTGCTTTAACGAAACACCTAAAATATCTTTTCAGCAAATGAAATGATTCTTTATTTTACGCTTTTAAAAATGCATTAGAATAATTGCTCTGCAACAAATCACCCTCTCTGCTCCGAGCTTGGCTGCCACATTCCTCTCATGTCCATCAATTGTGCACATTGTCATGATACCCTGATGATCACCAGGGGTGAGTCCCCCTAACAGTATGTTTATAAGAGTATTCGGTTGAGCAATCTGCAAAATAATTGTATTTCAATGGAGATATTATACTGTGAAAAAAATCTATTACATGTCAAGTGCCAGATGAAGCAGTTATAGAACCAAGACACATTTATTGGTGCTTTTAATCAACGCAAATAACTTTGCAAGCTGATCATTCCATTGTTTTCTTGTGATTTTAATTTGCTTCTTTAATAACAGAAATATACTTTTCAACTAACAGTCATCACTTGACTTCTGAATGAACAAAACACTAGATTTTTTTTTAATATTCTGGGTCATATCTCTGTATGATTGGAATCTGTTTTCCCAAAGTCCTAGGGCAAAAAAAAAAGTACAGAAGGTAGTGTCCTTACAAAGGTTGTCCAGAAGTCCACATTTTCCTTAAGTCCAAAGAGAGACTAAGGGACCCTTAACCCCATCTGCTGGTGGCAGAAGAGTTGAGGAATTTTTGCTCCAGTGCATTTTATGTGTTCCTCTGTAAAGTTTAATGTTCAAGCAGGTTTTTTGCAGCCTTTGTATTAAATACAACGTGCTTTCTTTCAGCATGTGGGTCATCACCACCACAATGGAGGGTGCTGTAAACTACCTTTTGGGACTAAATTTCAAAACGTACATTTGTATTTCCAGAAAATGTTGAGTATATAAAGCAATCACTCTTTTAAACCTGAACACGTAATAGAAAGCCATAGACTTTCACCGTGACTTGCGATGACCTTGGCAAACCTGACTATGAGCTCTTTGACCTACAATATTGATGAATTCCTCAGGAGAACAAGAGCTCACATTTCCTGAAGGCTGAGTGTGTGCCGGCTTCTGCTTTAAGTGCTCTATAAGCATTCACTCCCATCATACAACAATCCTTTGAGATAAGTCCTATGGTTATCCCAATTTCCTGATGAGGAAACTAAGACGACAGAGATTACACAACTTGCCCAGTCACCCAAACAATTTCCTGAGGTGTCCCCGCTAGATGCTCAACAGTTGTTTGCTGACAGCAACAAACCTGCTTAAGAGAATCTTCTTGTACCAAAAAAAAAAAAAAAACATTTTAAGGTCTTGTCCATGTCTCCACTGCCCACCCAATCTGAATGATGGTTAAAGTCACTCGCTTGGGAAAGTCCAGCATATCATGAAGTTATAGGGAGCTGGAGCTCCCGGGGTCTCTGGGCATCCTTTGTTCTATAGCTCAACAAGCCCTAGCCCTCGGGAAAGTTTTGAATAGCATCCCTTCCTCTTTCTGCCTTTAATCTTATTTGCAGAAAAAATTCATTTGAAATCCCATCCAAACCTCACAGTAGGATTTCCCTTTTAAATATCTGCCTGCCTGTTTTCCAAGCAGGAAGTGTGGCTAATCACAACATTGTAATTGGAAGAGCCCATAGAGGGCTCTCAGCGCCTGTGCTTAGCTCTGGTTACATTCCGCGTTCCTTGAGGCCTCAAGCAAGTGAGGTCTGCCACCAGGAGGGTGCTTCATCTCCACTGTGCCCCCAAACCTGGCCCCGCAGGGCATAGAGAGGAAAGAGGGGTGTCCTGGCTCTGGCCACCCCAGGTTACAGCCTCGGACTCTGCCGTTAGCCATACCCTCTCCACCTCCTGCTCCCAGCCTGCAGCCACGCAGCTCTGCCCACTCATTATCATTAAGCCTGAGCCATCTGAAAGGGACTAATTATCACAGCCCCAGCCCACAGTGCAGTGCAGATCTTGGAAAGGACAGTGCTGACAAGAAGCCTTTCCAGAACAAAGAAAGTCAAACAGATGCTAGACCCCGAGGAACAGCCACCTTATGAGTGGTAGAGGGGTGTGTGTGTGTGTGTACATGTGTGAGAGAGTGTGTGTATGTGACAGAAAGAACAGGTGTGAGTGTGTCTGTGAGAGACCATGTGTGAGAGTGTGTATGTGTGAGTGTGAATAGTGTGAGAGAACATGTGTGAGGGGGGTATGTGTGAGACAGAACTTGTGTGAGTGTGTGTGTGAGAGAGTGTGTGTGTGAGAAAACATGTGTGAAAGTGTGTGTGAGTGTGAGAAAGCATGTGTGCATGTGTAAGACAGGCAGCGGGTATGTGTATGTACACACACCGTGCACAGTATGTGAGCCTGTGGATGCATTAAGTCTGGAGAGGAGGACGTTTTTTGCTGGAGAAATCATTGAAGTTTAGATCAGGAAGCGTCTTGGATCTCAAGAACTGTCTCAGGATTCCAAGAGTTGTGTCTCTTTATAACTATAATATTGAGCACTGATTATGTGCCAGACTGTAGAAAGTATTTCACATGAATCCCAGCATACACCCTATGAACTATGTATACTATTATCTCCACTTTACAGATGAGGAAACAGAGACTCAGAGAGGTTAGGTCATTTCCTCAGTGTCACACAGCTAATTAATGATGGAGCTAAGGGTTGAATCGAGCAGTCTGATGACAGAGTAGTGCTCTAAACGCAATGTTAATGCTTCATCTTATTCCTAATATTAAAGATGCTGTGTGCACTAATTACCACCATTTTCACCCCTGGATCCGAATATTCACACCCATTTCCACAATAGCACAGGGTCTGGGCCAGAGGTTCTTAGATGTTGGTGAACATAAAACCACTTGGGGAGCTTGTTGGAACCCAGAGTCTCAGCTACATCTCGGTGATTCTGATTCCTTTTGTCTGAGGACCTAGGAATGTGCGTCTTCGACAAGCATTCCAGCCTGCAGTGAATTGCAGTGCTGAGATCACAGAGGTGTCTCTATCCTTGTTGAACACAGTGTCTCCCCGCCTCACCATTTCCAGCACTCTCTTGCTAGGGTCAGTGATGTGAAAGCACAAGACCAAAGCGGAGAGGTTGTCTTTTCCTCCAAGAAATTTGTTTTTATGATCCTAAAATTGAGGGAAAAAATAATCTATTTCATAGACTCCCTAAATATACCAAAAATAAAAAGCGAGCCAATTTATTTCAAGAGACTTTAAGTTCTGTGAGAGCAGGCATGGTGCCTGGCACTTACTAGACATGCAATTAAATATGTGTGAAATATTTGGAGATTCTATGAGTATGTGTGTAGTATTCGGAGATCCTATGAATGAATGCAGAACAAAACCAATCTACTCAGAATTTTTGGCATTTCTACTAATAAAGAAACTTGAAATCTTTAAAGCAGAGTTTCTCAATCACACTATTGATATTTTGGGCCTGATCATTCTTCATTGTGAGGATCTTCTGTGCATTGCAGGATGTAGAGCAGCATCCCTGGCCTCTACCCACTAGGTGCCAGTAGCAATCCCTCCCTGCCCAAAGTCAAGGCAACCTAAAATACCTCCAGGCGTTGCCCCATTTCACTGGGTGGCAAAATCACCCCTGGCTGAGAACCACTCATGTAAATAAAGCAAAAGTATTGAATATTTAATTCAGCTTCAAAAATTTCTGATACTTTCAGATATTATGTCCACTAACTAACATTCTAGCCTTCCCCCAAAGAAGTTTTTGTTTTTTTTTAATGGTCATAGAATTTCAGAAAACTTTGCATCTCTTTTCAGGAAACTTTTCTAACATGCTTTTGAAAAGAGATTAAAAGGGATAAAAAGTCTCAAATTTCAGAATACCAGGAATAGAATGCATATCGTAAGAGTTTTTAGAGAGGAAAAAAATACAGTATATATAAAAGAAAAGAAATTGGAATAATATAGGCCTTCTTCTAGATGCTAGAAGACGTACACAAATATTTTCAAAATTCTGAGGTAAAGTTATTTTCCATCTAGAATTGTATACTCAGTCCAGTATTCAATCAAATATGAGATCTGAATAAATTTATACTTGGACTTGCAAATAATCAAAAAATTTACCTCCGGCCAGGCACAGTGGCTTATGCCTGTAATCCCAGCACTTTGGGAGGCCAAGGCAGGTGATCACAAGGTTGAGACCAGCCTGGCCAATATGGTGAAACCACGTCTCTACTAAAAATACAAAAATTAGCCAGGCATAGTGGCAGGTGCATGTAGTCCCAGCTACTCGGAAGGCTGAGGCAGAAGAATCGCTTGAACCCGGGAGGTGGAGGTTGCAGTGAGCCAAGACTGAGCCACTGCCCTCCACCCTGGGTGACAGAGAGAGACTCCGTCTAAAAAAAAAAATTTACTTCCATATGCCCTTTCTTACAAAGCTCCTGAAAGATATCCTTCCACAAATGGAGAGATTCAACCAAAAAGAAACGTGAGCTCCAGGGAAGAGGATATCTGACATGGACAGAGGATGTAGACGTCCCCCACACCCAAATAGCAACCCCGTCCAAATCTGAGAGAGGGTGAGGACTCTGCGACAGGAGTCTGTGGGAGGAAAAATAGAGATGATCAAGTGTTTGCAACTGGACAAATCATTGATAGACATTGATTGACAGATGTGTTAGTAAATTTGGAGAAATCGTAATGATATGTATTTAGAACTGAGCAAGTGAAAAAGGGCAATTATTTACCTCAGAAATAATTGAGGAAAATAATTCAGAAATAAATGAGGAAAATGATTATGTTACACATTTTGACTGGGCAGTGAACAAGATTTGCACAGTCATAGCAATGTAAACACTGACTTTTTTTTTTTGAGACATTCTCATTCTGTCACCCAGGCAAGAGTGCAGCAGCACGATCTCAGCTCACTGCAACCTCAACCTCACAGGTTCAAGCAATGCTCATGCCTCAGCCTCCCGAATAGCTGGGACTACAGCCGCCCACCACCATGCCCGGCTAACTTTTGTATTTTTTGTAGAGACAGGGTTTCGCTGTGTTGGCCAGGCTGGTCTCGAACTCCTGGCCTCAAGTGATCCACCCACCTTGGCCTCCCAGAGTGCTGGGATTACAGGTGTGAGCCACTGCACCCAGGAACACTGACTATGAATTGAATTAAAATCATGATTAAGTATATACTATGGCTTGAATGCGTCCATTCCAAATTCACGTTGAAACTTATTGCCACTGTGGTGTTATGAAGAGGTGACGCCTTTTGAGAAGTGATTAAGTCATGAGGCCCTTGTGAATGGACTAGTGCCTTATAAAAGGGCTGGAGGGAACTAGCTTAGGCCCTTTTCTGCTCCTTCTCTCCTCCACCGTGTGAAGACACCTAGACAGCATCCTCTATGAGGAACAGCCCCTAAACCTGCTGGCACTTTGATCTTGAATTTCCCAGCCTCCAGAACTGTGAGAAATAAATCTCTATTGTTTATGAATCACCCTGTCTCAGGTACTTTGTTCTAGTAGACCAGCTAAGACAAAATATCCAAAGAATGTTGGTAAGAGAAGAGGGAGGGGGGGTAAGAGAGCTAAATTATTACCTAACACACCAAAAGTCCATAGAGAAGGACTAAAGCATGAAGTCACGTATGTGCATATTATTTGGAAACAGTATGTGCCAGTCAATGCCAGAAGAAAGGATTAAGAGAGTTGAAAGCGGTTGCCTCTGGAGAAAAAGACTCGAAATGGGGGGAGGGGAGTGAAGGACCACTGCTGTTTGTTAGAGGCTTTTTTCTCCCTGTTGTTTAACTGTGTGCACGTGTTACCTTCGTAAAAGCAAAGGCCATCTTAGAGATCTAATAAATGACAAACTGTATAGACATGACTCTGGTACCTGGAGCACAGTGAGTGCACTGACACCAGTAGCTGGGAGGACTATTATTACGGATGCCCCAGTGGCACTTGCCATGTGCCTGCTCCTGCCATCCAGTGAACGGCTGGCTCCCTCTCTCCTGCTCCCTCTGTCCATGCAGAATCGAGTGTTCATATTAGGAACGACATCGGTGCATTGTTTGTGGGGCTTTCTCTCCATTTTCACTTCCATCACCTACTAGCCTTCTTGCTGCCATTTGCTTCAGGGCTTTCCTGCCCCTCTGCCTGGAACGCCTGCCTCCCTGATGCTGCCTCCCAGACATGCTTATCTCTTCCCTCTTCAGCCTCTCTTGACATTTTCTCCTAGCAGAGGCCTTCCCTTGCCATCCCACCTAAAAATAGCAACTTCAACCCTCTACTCTCTCCCCTTGCCCTACTTTAGTTCATTTCTAGCACTTATCACTGCCTGAAATATCTGTTTACCTGCCAACTCCCTCTCTCTCAATTGATTATAAACTCCAAGAGGCAAGGACTTTGACTTTGCTGATATATTCCCAGCACTAGAACTATGCCTGGTGCACAGTAAGAACTAAATAGCTATTTGTTAAGTAGATGGATGATTGAATGGGTAGAAAGATGGATGAATGAATAAATGAATCATTTAATACTCTCATGGTATGAATTGGGTCTCAGCCTAGAGCTTGTGCAGTTCTAGGGTTAATTTTCAGGTGGCCTCAGATTATTTCCAGAGACTGTTTCCTCTGTCCCTGTATCTACCGCACCTATCAAAGCCTGTCCTTCCCCCACTCTTTCCCTCTACTTCCGTATATTTCTTCTAAGTGCAGGTCTCCATGTCTGAGGAAGGAACCTACTGTGAGCTTCTTCAGTTGATAGGTTTCAGCATGTATTTTGCATAGTGAAATGGCTTTTTTTTTTTTTTTTGAGACGGAATCTTGCTCTGCCACCGAGGCTGGAGTGCAGTGGCGCCATCCTAGCTCACTGCAATCTCCACCTCCAGGGTTCCAGCAATTCTCCTGCCTCAGCCTCTGGAGTAGCCGGGATTACAGGTGCCCGCCACCACACCCGGCTAATTTTTGTGTTTTTAGTAGAGACAGGGTTTCGCCATATTGGCCAGGCTGGTCTCAAACTCCTGACCTCAGGTGATCTGCCCACCTCAGCCTTCCAAAATGCTAGGATTACATGTGTGAGCCACTGCATCCAGCCTGAGATAGCTTTTTAAGCCTGGGCATCAGATTTCTAAGAGCATGAGACAAGAACAGCTACTGGTGTGATGTAATAAACAACGCAGGTGCACTTGACAGAGAGAAAGGCCCCAGGAAATTGCGCCATCATGTCTCATTTGTACCTGCAGGGTTTTAACTTATGGAGGTGACTGAGTGACAACACACAGAGGCCAATGCCACTGAAAGAAGACTGGTACTACTCACATGCATGGAAGGGGCATGCCATGCCACACAGGGCCACCTAGAGCAGCACCAAGGTTTGGTTAGAAGGCAGAAGCAGGTGTGAGGGGAAGAACTAGGCCAGACCCTTAATGGAATTTCCATGGGAAAAGCAAGGCAGGGCAGGGGAAACAGCTGAGGACTATCTAGTTTGAATAGTGTCAGTGGGCTCTGGATTATGGGGGTGGTCTCCAGCTGTCTAGTGCCTGGCCCTGGCTGATTTAGGCCAGGGGGAGTATTGGGTGGTGTGTGAGTTAGATAAGGAAGTGGTTCAGATTATGGGCTCTGGATCACATGGAGATGGAAGCAACTTTGGCTTAGTTTGGCCCTGTAGTTAATGGATGCCAGGTAGACGAACACAGACTCTAAGAAAGCATAGTTAGAACACCATCCCCACAACATTCACAAGCCTTTACTTAGCTGAAGCTAGAGATCTCAAGCTGAGAAAGACAAAGTGAATGGCAAACAGATTCTAGAATGTGATTTGCAAGCTGGTCACAGTGACATAGGCATGAGTCCCAGCTACTTGGGAGGCTGAGGTAGGAGGATCACTTGGGCTCAGGAGTTCAACACTGTAGTGTGCTCTGTTTGCACCAGTGAAGAGCCACCGCCCTCCAATCTGGGCAGCGTAGTGAGACTCATAGCTTTAAAAAATGTTTTAAATGGGCTTTGTGCCATCTATTAATTTCTGTCAGCACCAAAAATAACCTTGAAAAACATTCAATGGCATTAACAAGTACAAATATTTTATAATTCATATTTTTAAAATTCCTTTAACAAAAGCAAATTTACTATATAACTCATAAGATTCAAAAACTATACTATAGACTTCAAGGAAGTGTAAAAAATCTAAAGTAAGATGCTCTTTAGAAACTGATGGAATTTAAGCCAGTTACAGTGGCTCATGCCTATAATCCCAGCTGCTCAGGAGGCCGAGGTGGGAGCATTTCTTGAGACCAGGTGTTTGAGGCCGGCCCGGGCAACATAATGAGACCCTATCTCTAAAAAAAAATAATTTTTTTAAGAAATTGGAGGAATTTTATTTCGCAAAGAGCATTAGAAACCTCCCTTTTAAAATCAGAATAAATAATTGTATCAAATTAGTAACAATAATCCCAATTCATAAATAGGCAATTAGGCCTTCTCTAATTAACATGGGTCATATCAATATGACTGTGAAATACAAAAAAAAAAGTAATAATGAACTTGGGTTTACATATTTTGGTTTAAAAATGAAGGTTACTCTCCCACTCCCTGATGATGTTAAAATGTTTTTAGGAAAACTTAACATCTTCAAGACTGAGTATATCTGTTCTTGGTGGTCTCAGCGATGCTCAGAGACTTCCACTGAGTCTCATTGCTATCCCAGTGTTACTTCCCATTTGTGAAAACTGATGCCCAATAAACCAACAGGCATTTATTGGGCTGCACTGGGGTCGTCTTGAAGGTTGTTCATCTTTTTGCCCCTTGGACTTTAGGAAACACAACGGAGCTCAAACATGATAAGATCTGGATGAAGAACAGGTATGGAAGTGATGAGAGAAAAATTAAGATCTTAGCTAGGTTTAACTAACTAATCTAGGGATCAGATGGGCTGCAATCCTAGGACAGAGTTTCACAGGAAATGAGTCTCAGGCCAGGACCCAGTGACTGGACAGGTCTTAGGGAATGGGCGACCAAGTCTGTCGTTTTCCCAGGAGGGAAAAACGATGCTTGAAAGGGAGAGGGAGGGGCGTGAGCTGGTGGCCGGGGTGAGGGAGCAGAGGCCAGAACACACTGGGTCAGATGAGGCCTTTGGCTTGTTATGATAAGTAATAGGGAGTTCTAGAGGGATCTGGGTGGAAGAATGGCCTAAAAAGGCAGCATTTGAGCCAGATTGTTGTGAGGTCTGTGTCATTTACAGAGAAGGCTCTTAGAAGAGTCCAGGCATAAGACTATAGGCCACAGAGAAAAGGACAACCCATGGACGTATTTTAAAGAATAGCCTAATATTCTAAGTGATGAGATAGGGGGGCGGGGCAAGGTGTGTGCACCAGATAGTGGTTAAGGGCACGGGTCATGGGTTCCGGGAGACCTAAGAATCCCTGCCCCACCACTTACAACTGAGTGACCTTAGGCACACTGATTCATTCTTTCATCTGAGAACTGGAACAATGGCACCTGCCTCATGGAGTGGGAGGTTGGGGGTGGGGGGTTGTGAGGGCTAAAAGAGGGACCTGTGTTAGCAGAGGGTCTGAGGCATAGTAAGGGATCAATAAGTGGATAATAATATCTTTGATTTTTTAAATTTTAAAAGTTAGTATTAAGAGACAAGACTCCCTATAATTTTCACATTTCCAGGTGAGGAGATTGGGGCATGACAGACAGAACAGGGAGAGAAACTCCTTAGAGAGCTGGGCAGTGAGTCTCAATGAATCCAATAATACCCAAGTCCAGCCCCAGCATTTGAGAGGAGGTTCCTAGGCAATTAAAACACCACAGTTTAGATCTGGACACACGAATAGAGTTCAGAAATGAAAGGTACTCTTTAGGAAATAAAATATTAGGGAAATTGTTCGATTTTACTTCTAACCTGTGTCTTGCAAGGCATTGCTGAAAAGAATTCTATGGAAAGCATATGTTTTGCTCTGTGGATTAAACTTAAAAAATCCTCTAATTTAAATTAAAAATTAAAAAACAGGAAAGAAACGTTTCTGAAACTTGATCATTCGGTCCTGAAACTGACCATGCTTAGAACAGACGATTGAATAATTTCTGATTTTTTCTGGAGGTGTTTTTCTGTCTCTGGCCTTCTGTAATAAAAGTTTGCAATAGTCAGTTCTCAATTAGCTTTGTTAATGGAAAGGAGCAGTGACATAGATAAAAACAAACTACAGATAAGATGAAAAATGATTTACTGCCACTCATAGTTTCCCTCAACCCCCAACCTCTCCCCTTCTCAAATCCCTCCAATCAGCATCTACAGATCCCCAACGTGTGGTGTCAGAAGGAGACTGTGGGTCACACAGATAATCTACTCAAGGGTAATGGATTTGACTACAATTTAGCATTGATTAATTATAGTGTCCAATTTTAATTCAGTGCTATTCACTAACTAATTAGATAAGGATTTTCTACGTTCTATTTTTGCCTCAGAAAATTCTAAGCATAGGTACTTTAAAATTAGCAGTGCTGTTGAAATTTAATAATTATTTATCCCCAACCTCACAATGAATGCTGCTGCATGAGGGTCAGGAGACCTAGGTTCTTCCCAGTCCTACCCATGGCAGGGACTCTGTGACACCAGGTAATCAACTGCACCCCTCTGTGTTGTTTCCTTGCTTATAAAGTGGAGGTTGGGCAACGGGCTGGCTGAGGTTGTTTCCAGGGCTACCGTTCCCGTCTAGGTCATAGTTATGATGCATATCTTGTTTTTAACATTTGCCCTTAGACCTGTACTTATAAATTTATGGCAGTGGGTGTCAGCCAGGGGCAATTTTGCCCCTAGGGGACATTTGGAAATGTCTGGAGATTTTTGTTGTTGTTGTGACTTGGGGTTGCAGGGAGTCAGAGTGGTGTGTGATATCGGTATCTAGTGGGTAGAGGCCAGGGATACTATTAAATATCCTACAATGCCCAAGACAGTCCTCCACAACAAAGTATTATCTGGTCCAAAATGTCAATAGTGCTGAGACTGACAAACCCTAATGTATAAGAAAGTATTTGACACAGGTCAGTAGTCTAGGAATTACCCTATTTGGGAAGGTAAATAGAAATTTAAATTATGGGGTAATCAAATATTAAATTTGAACTTACAACTGAAGCACCAAAGATACCATAAATATAAAATTTCTAAAGTGAGGCACCAGACCACCAGGTGGAAATTTCAAAGAGTTATAAAAACTGAGCAGCCCTAAAACCGGCAAGGAGGATATAAAAGGGTTGAAAGCATGAATATTGAGAAAGGATCAATGAAAAGTGTCTTTCAGCAGAGGGCTGCTGCCCTATGTGACTCCTAATCCCGCCGCACAAGTGAAAGAGTTCCCTGGGGCTATTTTGAATTCTGCTCCTGAGAGTCTCCTGGGAGCGATGGGACTCCAAAGACTTTGTGGAGGGGAAGTTCTAGAAAACAAGGGATGAAAAGAGTGCAGCAGCTAGAGGAATAGTCTGCTTGGTCCACCTCTTGGGCCTAAAGTTGGAGGAACCCTCAGGGGAACTTCTGAACGGCCCAGCAACAGCCCCACGAGAGAAAGATTCACCTGTGAGCATCGGCCAGACCCGGACAGTGCAAAGCCATCTCTCAACCACGCCATTCACATAAGAGCTTTGCTGTACCCTTTTTCTTCTCCCCCTCGGGGCTCCGGCCCCACAGGAACATGGAAGAAAGTAGAAAAGCGAAAGAAAAAGCCACCATCTTTCCTTCTACAAAGGCACGTGGTCTGTAACAAACAGGCTATAGCTGGGGCAGGGAAAGGAGGTCTTACTTTTAAATATATATTGAAACATTGATTATATATTAGACTGGAATTCTATTTCTAATTCAAGACTGTGTTTTGGCTTAAGTGGTTAGTAGGACTTGCTACTCCTTAAGTGACTAGAACATTCCTGAAATCTATCCGGGCTTTCATCCAACAAAAAACTCCCGCACTGAATACGTTTTAAAGAGCACTGGAAGTCAAAAATAAGTTTCATTCCAATTACATCCTACTCCTTACACTTGTCAACATACCAGTTATATTTTCATTCTAGAAATGTAATCAAGGTTCCTTGTGAGCTATTTGCCTAAAGCAAAGAAAGAAAAAAAAAACCTTGTTAAACAAGCACCTTGTTTAAACAAGATGCTAAAACATAAAAATTTCTGAGTTCACAAAATATAATTTTTGGGTTCCTAATAATTTTTATTATTATTATTTTTAAGACTAGTCAACTTAAAAATTTTTAATCAACTTTATTGAACTTTGTCCTCTGAGGAAGAAACAATATCTCACGTCTCTGTCATTAGATTCAAAGCTCTCCAAAATTATAAACTCAGCTGTGAGTTCCCACCACGTATGGCCTGACTTTGGTTATCTCAATCGTCAAAATTTGACATTAATAGCATTGTCGTATTGTTTGAGGTTATGTATTTTCAGCTATTGACATATATTAAACATTTCAACTATTTTGTTAACTATAGAATCCTCGCACACTTAAAAACAATGAAACCCAGAATCTCATATTTGCATGCTCCTGGAGTAATTTCTCCTAGGTGTCCTCAAAGGCACAATCGAGAGGTTTGAGATTAGTAGAAATGTCATTCACAGATGGAAAAATGATTTTGTATTTATTTCATCTGCAACCATATGTAAATCTTCACCTAGAGATTTTTTTGAAATTAACTGTTAATATTGTTTCATTTTTTATGCTTCCCCCAAATGATTATAATTGAAGAGAAGGATAATAATAAGTGACTTTTGAATATTTCCTAGGGCCCCAGGATCCTCTATTAAATGTGTGGTCCATGAACCAGCAGCTTCAGCATGACCTGAGAGCTCATAACCTCGTCTCTACAAAAAATACAAAAAAAGTTAGCCAGGCATGGTGGTACACGCCTATGGTCTCAGCAACTTGGGAGGCTGAGGTGAGTGGATTGCTTGAACCTGGGGGTGGAGGTTGCAATGAGTCAAGCAACTACCGCACTCCGGCCTGGGAGATGGAGCCGGACACTGTCTCAAAAGAAAAAAAAAAGAAATGCAGAACCTCAGGCTGTTCCCCAGCCCTACTTAATCCAAATCTGCATTTAAACAAGATTCTTAGGTGATTCTCAAAAAGCATTCAAATTCGAGAAACACTGATGTAGACCACAAATGCAGATCTGCAACAATGCTAGATAACAATTTAACCCAAGATAACTAGGCGGAAATAACCTCGGTAGGATGAATTTATTTAGTGTCAATAAATAAATCAGCAGAAACAAAGTAAATCCATAACAATGAAAATCACTTTTAATCCAAAGAGAGTGCAAGAGGCTTTTTAGAAAGTGCCATCCATAAGCATAAGCAATTTTCCATGGAAATACAGCTAGAATTCAGTGTGTAACTCACAGAATTGTGCTGGGCAACTACTGCATAGGAATCACAGTTTTTCTAATAATCCCAACTGACTGATCATTGTGAACACTTTGTGTCCCTTTTTATGAGCTCCTAAACCAATGGACAAGGTCAGGAAGAAGATTTCTCTTTTTACGCTGGTTGGGTGATACCCACAGCTGTGGTTAAGCTGTGGTTCTTAATCTTTCCTACACATTTTCCTACACATTTTAGATTCGGTTGGCAAACTTCCCACAGTCCTATGCCTAGGCTGTAGGCCATACCAGTTATATCAGAATCTCCAGGGTTAGGACCCAGGCATCAGTAGCTTTTAAAAGTCTCCAAGAGATTGCAATGTGCAGCCTAATTTGGGGACCAAAGACCTATACAAATGAAACTGAAGGAGTTGTTTGACAATTATAGGGTATATTTATCAAAAGAAATAGCTGGCTGGGCACAGTGGCTCACGCCTGTAATCCTAACACTTTGGAAGGCCAAGGTGAAATTCAGGAGTTCAAGACCAGGCTGGGCAACATAGGCAGACCTCATCTCTAAAAAAAAAAAAAAAAAAAATTTAAATAGTGGGACATGGTTACACACACCTGTGGTCCCAGCTACTTAGGAGGCTGAGGTAGAAGAATGCCTTTGGCCCAAAAAATCAAAGCTGCAGTGAGCCATAATTGTGCCCCTGCACTCCAGCCTGAGTAACAAAGTAAGGCCCTGTCAAGAAAGAAGAGAGAAAGAGAGGGAGAAAAGAGAGAAGGAAGAGAAAGAAAGAAAGAGAGAGACAGAGAGAAAGAAAGAAAAGAAAAGAAAAGAAAAGAAAAGGAAAAGAAAAGAAAAGGGAAGGAAGGAAGGGAGGGAGGGAGTGAGGGAAAGAAAGAAAGAGAGAAAGAGAGAAAGAAGGAAAGAAAGAAAGAAAGAAAAGAAGGTTAATATTCATAAATTATGCCCCCTATTAGATTTGACAGGGATGGAGTAGGCGTAGCTGTCTACACTGACACAGTAACTCCCTCTCCCCCAACACCTATCACCCTTACTCAGATCTTCATCATCTCTGACCTAGACTACGTCTTGGCCAACCATACTCTATGTTACCCATCTCTCTACACTGCTCCCCCAACCAGCGGGTAGAGGGGAACAGACCATGCCCCTCCCCTACTTAAAACCCATCAAAGGCTCACCGTGGCCTACCTATAAGTTCCAAGCCCCTTAATCTGGCAACCCAGGCCTTCCATGGTTTATCCCATGCCAACACCTCCACCTCCATCTCCAGCTCTCCTCACCTCCAGGCTCCAGCCACTCTAGCCAGTAGCACACTCCACTTCGCCAAACCACTGCATGCCCCTGGGCCTTGGTCCATGCCTTCTCCTCACTTCTTGAACTGGCTGCCTCCTCACATCTCAAGGCCCTAGCTCAGGGATCACTCCTCCAGGAAGCCTCCACTTTCCCCACCCAACTCCCTTTAAAAGCTGCTTTTGACGGCCCTCCTTTGCACTACAAAGTCAAGGGGATAGCACATGAACAGCAGTGAGAAAGGATGATAGGTTCTGAAAAAGCAAATGAGTTCATGATTTCAGGGACAGGTGAGATATTGGTGCAAAAGAAATGAGAGTCTCAAGTAAAAACCAACTTGTGTCTATTATAAAGCAGGTGCACACAGCCAGGTGGTGGCAGGCTCTCTAAATCATAAGAGCTTGGATGAAAAAACAGACCCAAGTCACTTAAGGGGAGAATTTCTGCTGTTAAAACCACAAAAACTACATTACTCAATTTTTGAAAAACTAACTGAAGGGAGATGAATTCCTAAACTTTGGATGATAATTAGACTCTATATGACTCTATCTATAACTACCATCTAAACGTCTTCACAACCTTCAGACTGTGATGAAGTTTTAGGAGCATGTTGGTTTGGGTTACCATCTGTGTTAACTGTCCAGGAATCGCCTAGCATGGGTGATTCTTATCAAGACCTATAGAATAGGAAAAGAGGGCTATCATAGTAATCTGCTACCTAAAACAACAACAATGAAACTACCCAGCTAGATAACCGTGCTACCAGAGCCACATGGACTATTTCCAGAGCTGCCTCTGTGTGTGTATGTGTGTGTGTGTGTGTGTGTGTGTGTGCGTGCGTGCGTGCATGCCTCATTAATCACAATATTATTTTTAGTCCCTCTTCCAGTTGGTTCAGTTGAAGGATAGAAAATAACTAATGTTTATTGTGCACATATTTATACACTAAGTACTATGTTTGGAGTATTTTCCGTATATTTGCTTATGTCATTTTTACAACAACCTTGTGAAATAAGCATGATTATCTACTTCTTGCAAACAAAGAAACTGAAGCTCAGATAGCTCAACTAGGGATGGGAGGTGGATAAATGATGAGAAATCACTAAATGCGTAAAATGGGCATTATTTGAGTGATGGACACACTGAAAGTCCAGATTTCACTATATCCATGTAACAAAATTGCACTTGTACCCCTTAAATTTATACAAATGAAAGGAAAGAAAAATATAGCTTAAATAAGTTGCCCAAGATCACAGTTACTAAGATACTAATAAGTTCCATAAAACTACATCTTTATTGACAAAATAACAATGATAATAACATAATACAAGAGAAAAAAGGACACAAACTCCTCCAAAAATTTATGCCAAGTTCCAAGCAAACATGGCAACACATATACAAGTAGCTAACAGTATAGAGCTGTCCAGAGCTTCTCTGGACAGAGTGTGAGTTCATAAATAGCTCTTAAAGACACCAGCGAACCTTTGACTGCCCATACTCAACCCACAGAAGGTTCCCATGTTCCTATTTCCTTATCAGGGAATGTAATTTCTAACAGAGAGCAGAGCCTGAAAAATAAATACAAAGCCAAGGATATTCTAGGTAAGCACTAAAACATAACTTTTTAAATGTCAAATATATAGATATGTATTTTTCAGAGATCAGATGTTTCTCCTCATCTAAACATGTCATTATCAGACTTCTTTCCTAGAAATTGCCTTTTCCCTGGAAAACATGAACTTTCAAGTTAGCCGCAGAAGAGTGTGCTTAGGATTCAGACCACAATATTTCAATAAAACCCCTCCTCATGACCCAAGCCCATGTTTCAATATATAGGTTTTTCAAAAGCAGGTGTCTCATACCTCTTAGATACACTTTGAAAAATGGAGGAAAACCTCATTAGGATCTAGCTTTTTTATTATTATTATTTTATTTATTTATTTTGAGACAGAGTTTCGCTCTGATGCCCAAGCTGGAGTGCAACGGGGCAATCTTGGCTCACTGCAACCTCCATCTCCTGGGTTCAAGCGATTCTCCTGCCTCAGCCTTCCGAGTAGCTGGGACTACAGGTGCGTGCCACCACATCCGATTAATTTTTGTATTTTTAGCAGAGACAGGGTTTTGCCATGTTGGCCAAGCTGGTCCCAAACTCCTGACCTCAGGTGATTTGCCCACCTCAGCCTCCCAAAGTGTTGGGATTACAGGCATGAGCTATTGCCCCTGGCCTGGACCTAGTTTTTAAAAAAGAAATTACTAGTACGAAAAAATACATGGCCCAGTGTGGTGGCTCATACCTGTAATCTCAGCACTTTGGGAGGCCAGGAATTTGAAACCAGCCTGGCCAGCTAAGAGAGACCTTCTACCTACAAAAAAATACAAAACATATCTGGGCATGGCAGTGCGCACTTGTAGGCCCAGCTATTTGGGGGGCCGAGGCAGGAGGATTACTTGAGCCCGGCAGGTTGAGGCTACAGTGAGCCATGAGCACCTCATTGCACTCCAGCCTGGGAGGCTGGGTGACACAGCACGATCCTGTTTAAAAAAAATAAGTAAAAATAAGTACATAAACGTGCATCTCAACTTGCAGTTTGAGTGCAAGTTGACATTTCAGGGCTGACGTGACCTATTTGTGGTGATGACTGTATTATGCGCATGAACCCATTAATGTCTTCTGGATATGGTATCCTGTCCCATTCATCACATTAAGAATTTAGCAGCTGAAAACCCCAGATACACTGAGATTATCTGGCCAAAGAACACTGGTCTTACAGGATTAAAATGATAATCACACTCCAGAGACAACTAACAGTGAACTCAGATTAAAAAAAATCTCTCGACAATGGAAACCATCCTAAGATTTAAGAGAAAATCAATCAAGGAGCTACTCGACCCTAATCTGAGGTCTGTATTTGTTCACCAAGGTTCACAGTTATTTGTTTGCCTCCTGGCTTTAAGGAAAATGAACTAATAAAAAATAAAGTAAAATAAAATAAAATATTCCTGAATAACCCATGATACCCAAGAAGACCACCACACTTCCATGTTGCACGAAAGGAGCTTTTTCCAAGGTCAATGTGAGCTTTACTATATAGATTGTGTTTATATGTAAGATACAAGCACTTTTTAAACTGTCTGAAAATACTGGTAATCTGAAAACTGTGACTTGCTTAAAATCATACACTCTGTGATGTCTTTTCAATAGTCCCTGTGATCTTCTAATATGGGGAAGTGGTTTTTACCAAGCTAACCACCAGCCTTGAAATACCTAATGATGCCCTGAGACTGGAGGGAATCATTCCAAATTGCTCTAAATTGAACTTCCCATGGTAGGAACAAAGGGTGACACTTAACTCAAGGCCAACAGCCATGGACCTTGGGGGGTCTAATTTTCCACTCAGGATTCCAGTCTTGGGAACTTCAGGATTTTAAAGTACAGTGTCTCAATCTGGCATGCAGAGTGATCTTGCCCGTTTACCCAGAGAAAGAGCCTATGTGGTGGTTTTGTGATTTCCCTGAGATTCCCCATCTATGCTGGAAGCTGGAGAGCTCCAGGCTAGAGATGGAGCTAACCGGGGAAATGTCAAGTCGCTTGCCCCGGGTGTCATCATTTATTTACACAGAATCACCCAGATGTCAAAGTGTTCTCCTTAAAGATAAGCTACCTCATTCTCAAAACGCATGTCAGCCCTCTACACCAGACCTATTACAGTAAATCGTGAATGACAGAGCAAATCGACTCCCCTCTGGGAAGAATCACGCTTTATTAGGATATTTTTTGGTTGCAAAAAATAGAACTCCATTTGAGCTAGCTTAAGCAAAGGAAAGGTGTATTATAAGAATTCTGGGAGCATCTTAAAGAATACAAGAGCAGTTAAACAGCCAAGCTTCAGAAAGAGCAAGAAGCAGGAGTTGGGACATTGTTGAGAACTCTGCAAGTCTCCTTATCACAGCATCTGCTTCGTTCTTTCCCAGTCTTCCCGGTGGAAAACAGCCACTGCCAACATTTGCTTCACTTCTGTGCTCTCCATTCAAGACAGCATCCCAACTGACTTGCGTGGAGAAGTACAGGTTCTGACCCGTACTTCTGACCCACCAGCTATAAATCAGAATTCCATTTTCCCAAAGAAAGAATATGATGGACTTAGCCTGGATCACATGCCCACCACTCAACCAATCAACTGTGGATAGAGGGAAGGGTCATTTGTTCAAACATGGCTGCCCCCACTGAAACAGTGGGATGGGAAGATCAAGAAGGAATAAGGTGGACAGACTTAGCAGACAAAAATACAGAAGGCCCAGTCAAATGTAAATGTCATGTGAACAACTAATCATGTTTAAGTATTAGTATGTCCTCTGCAGGGCCCTGCTGAACCATAAGATATTAATCGATATTGCATAGAAAAGATTTCCATGATTTAAAAGGCTCAGGAAACACTGGGTAACATCTATGCGTTCATTGAATATTCGAATTCGTGCCTACTATGAGCCAGCCTCAAAATGCAACAGGATTTCTCAGAACTTTTTTTTTTTTAGAGACGGAGTCTCAGTCTCCGTCTCGCTCTGTAGCCCAGGCTGGAGTGCAGTGGCGCAATCTCGGCTCACTGCAAGCTCCGCCTCCCGGGTTCACGCCATTCTCCTGCCTCAGCCTCCCGAGTAGCTGGGACTACAGGCGCCTGCCACCACGCCCGGCTGATTTTTTTGTACTTTTAGTACAGACGGGGTTTCACCATGTTAGCCAGGATGGTCTCGATCTCCTGACCTCGTGATCCACCCGCCTCGGCCTCCCAAAGTGCTGGGATTACAGGCTTGAGCCACCGCGCCCGGCTGATTTCTCAGAACTTTTAATGCTTCAGTGTGTACTGTGACTCTCTGAGAGGGAAAATGGAGTAGACGGGGTTTCCCAAACTCATCTGACCAAATGCCTGGTGTTGCTTAGAACCCAGTCTGAGAAATGCCGATATAAGGCAAAGGAAGAATAATTATTATTATTGGCTGGGCACAGTGGCTCACGCCTGTAATCCCAGCACTTTAGGGGGGTTACTTGAGACCAGGAGTTTGAGATCAGCCAGGGCAACAAAGCAATATCCCATCTCTACAAAAAAATGAAAACATTATTAGGTTGGTGCAAAAGAAATTGTGGTTTTGCCACTGTGGCTACTTAGGAGGCTGAGGCAAGAGGATCACTTGGTCTGGGAAGTTCAAGGCTGCAGTGAGCCATGATCACATCACTGCACTTCACCCTGGGAGACAGAACAAGACCCTGTCTCTTTAAAAAAACTTATTATAATTATCATAGATTTTATATGTAGAGCGAGAGAAACAGAGAGCGAGAGAGAAGAATTATTTCAATTGGCAACCAGCTCCCAACAATCCTGGAGGTAGCCCAATGGAAATGCACATTCATGAAGTTCTTGGTATGTGCATTCTCGATAAAACTCTAAGGCCTCAAGCCTGCACCTGCCAGTTCCAGACCTGATATTTTGATTATCCTATAGACATAAGCTAACCCCAAATTTTACAGAAGCTATTTGATTATTTTATTGAGGCCATTTTAACCTCTTTTCATAGGGCTTCTAGTCCCTTTCCGATACCTTCATCCCCTACCAAAATCACTACTCTATTTGCATATTACCATATGAACCAGAAAGGAAGTTCCGATTGTGGCCAGTGACACTGCCTATAAGAAATGGCAACAAATTGTACCAGCAGCACGAGTAACTAATGGCTAAGCATTCCCCAATCATAAAAATCACCTTCTTGAAACTGCTGTCTCTTCAATACCTTTGACTTCACCCTGAAGTGCCTCCCCCACTGTCTTGTCTTTCCCCACTGCCCACTCTCACTCAGCACTGTCTGTCCCTTTAATATGTCAACTTACCCTTCCGTGACTGTTCCTTCTGAGGGCTCTGAAATGCCTCCAAAGATATAAAAGTGCAAACACAATCCAGTTTGAAACAACTGTACCACGTATACCTTCTTGAACCTGGATATACCCGTTTTCAAAATGTACATGTATCATGACAAGTATGCAAATAATCAAAACATGAAATTTGCTCCAGTTTATAAGATTCACAAGGATTAGATATTAGTGATTTAGACATAGTTCACTGAAAATTTGAAGATTGGATGTTTGATTTTTTTAAATTATTGTTAATGTTTTTAAATGTGTTAATGGTTTTTTGGTTATGTTAAAAACAAAGAAAGGGAAGAAAGAAAGAAAAGAAAAAACATGTGTGTGGGGGGGGTCCTTAACTTCTGTGAAAAGTTATGATGTCCAGAATTTGCTTCAAGATAACACAGGTAGGTGAGTGAATGGATGCAAGTGCAGATGGGGCAGGACGGGCTGGAGGTTAATGATTGTTCGTGTTGAATGTTGGTTCCATGGGGTTTAGGTGTTATTCATTATATTGCTTCTGTTAATTTTTATGTGTATTTCAAAATGCTTTTCTGAGATATAGAAAAAAAAGTGCTTTTTCTACCCTCACTCACCCGTCAACACAACAATGTGACACCAGGTTTGGGGAGGAGATGTCCTCACACACTAACAAAGCGATTCTGCAGGGGACACCAGCTAGGTATCACCTAGCACAATTCAATTCTGACATCATCTACCTAGGAATAGTGTCAGATCCCATAGGTTGAGGGCTCAGCCCCACAAGATTGCTCCCACTTTAAATACCAATCGCAAGTAGTAGGTTGTGGCCTGCACTTCCGGCCTACCAGCATTAAATTGGGATTCCCATGATCCCCCACCTCTAGTTTGACTAATTTTCTAGACAGGCTAACAGATCTCAGGAAGACACTTTACTTACATTTATCCATTTATTTAAAGGATATTACAGAAGACACAGATGAACAGCCAGATGGAATAGATAGATGCATAGGGCAAGGTATGGGGGAAGGGGCATGGAGTTTCCATGCCATCTCCAGGCATGCCACCCTCCAGAACTTCCAAGTGCTCAGTAATTCGGAAGCTTTCTGAACCCACTCCTTTCGGGTTTTTATGGAGGCTTCACTAGGTAGGGCATGATTAATTACATCATTGGTCATTGATGATCGACTCAACCTTCAGCCTCTCTCCTCTTCCAGGAGGTCAAAGGATGGAGCTGAGAGTTCCAATCCTCTAATCACAGAGTTGGTTCCCCTGGCAACCAGCCCCCATCCTGAGGCTACCCAGGAGCCCACCAAGTCACCTCATTAGAACAAAAGATGCTCCTATTACCCAGGAAATTCCAAGGGATTTAGGAGCTCTGTGTCAGGTGCTTACACCACTAAGAAAATTACAGAGGAAAGGTCTTAGGAGCACTTTTGTCTTGAGGGTGAAAAACCAAATATCGGAACAAAAGATTCCTCTAGCGCCCCTATCTACAAGGCCTTTAGGATTCTGTGCCAAGAACAGGTAGGTGGGCGGAGAGGGAAGGGCAGAGACCAAATATATGTTTTGCATTATATCACAATATCATAGCTCCATAATAAAATTTTTAAAGTAAATAAATAGGTGAGGTTAACTGATCAGAACTTGGAGCTAGAGAATGGAAGTTCTGATACGACAGCTCAGCCGTTGTCCTAGATGAAATCTGAGCTACCAAGTTGAAAGAAAGCTTGAGCAGTTGTCTTTTCCCCATTGTTCCAAGCTGTATCCTGTAGTGCTCTCATTTAAGTATTTCTGCTCTGGTGAGATCCTCTTTGCTCTGACTCCACACCAGCTGAGCACAGATGTTCACTCCCTGTGTTAGGGAATGTGAACCAGGTCTTGGTTTCTGCTTATGCAGTCACTCAAGAAATAGACATCAAGTACTGAGTCTTCTTCCATGGCTGTCTGTGGAAACCTTTGTTCCCCTCTGCTGGATGTGGCAAATGCTGGCTGTTGCTCTGAGGCTGAGCTTTCTGTCATTCTCACATGAGCTCTCTCTCTGGGTTGCTGCAATCTCCATTTTCTCATGCTGAGGTGACAAGAGGTGCTCTTCAAACTCTTCTGGCAGAGCAAGTGCCTTTCTGAGAAGAGCACAAACCTGAAGCAGAGCCATCCCTCAGAAACCACAGAAACAGTGACAGTTCCTATGGCACAGTTTTAAACACAGCAGCAGCAGCCCAGGAACGCTGAGGGCCGACATCATTCACTCCACCAAAACACAAGTTTCGAAGGCAATTCTGGTTCATGATTAGGTCTACTTCATTATCTGTCTGTAAGGCAGGTGTTTGGGAGACAGTAAGCTTTAATGAAAAGAGAGTACATCCTGTATCAGTCCAAGTTTCTTGGTTTCAAACCATAGGCACCATTTCTGGCTGATTTAAGCAAGATGAGAATTTACTGGAAGGATGTCTTGGTAGCTTACAGATTCTCCAAAAAAGCTGGGAAACCAAGTTAACAAAACAGGCAGGAACAAAGAAACAAAGTTTCCTGGGACCCACCTAAAATGAACTGCCCCTGCATCTAAATACTAAAACCTCCAGCACTGTTGCCGACACTGGTCCTAGGTCTTGTCATGGTCCCTGCTTCGTCACTTCACTCACTCCTGATTCAAGTCCAAGTCGAGGGCATCTGACAGAATAAGCCCTGCCTTCCAAGTAGGATGGCAAAGGAGTGTCAGGCCTTTTCTGCCTCCATGCTGGCTTCTACACATGGGTGTCATTCCAGTGAAGTACTAATTTCACATGTGTTGCCCTATGATGCTGAGCAGCTGATCTCCCATGCCGTTTAGATGTAGAATAGACTCCAAGACTAATGCAGAAGAAGCTACCCTTGAGGTTCTGTCGAAGACTATCTACTGTGTGGAGGGAAAGCCTCCTTCTTAGGGCAAAATTAGGGCATATGAGCAAGAAGAATGCGAAATTGTTATGCTTCAGACCCTCAAAGGGGCTGCCTTCTGTAGTCACCACTTGTCCTCTCCTCACCTGTGAACTTCTAACATTTGCATTCAATGTTTGTTACGTAATCATTTTTTATTGTAAATTTTCTTTCATTGACAAGAAAATGATGAAAGAGGAGAGCAAAGGGACCATGGTGATAACCTGCCTTTTTCAATTTTTCTCCAAAATAAAGAAGAAATGAAAGGTATTTACTCACCCTGAAAACAGTTCAAGAGCCTAGATCCATGGGCATCTGCCTTTCCTGATTTGGGAAGAAGATCTCTGCCACTCCCCAATGTGGCCAGAGAGCACAGTGGCAACACAGGCTTCTGACCACACACATTTGAATTCTCAGTCATCTTTGCTGCCATTCCGGCAGACACCAAACTCACACACAGCCTGAACACAGTTATTATAATGAGCCTGTGCTTACTTTGCAAGATCGTCAAGAGTTAAACCAAGTCTGAACTCTTCATTTGCAATATCATACAGTTCACAGATGGAATAATCCATGATTGCGTCTTGGACTACTTTAGAATTAAACTTGCAAGTTTGGAATATTGAAGCAAACCTGAACTGCCTGTTTCCAGTTCCCTTCTTCATTCATATCAATGATCAATGCCTCTGTGTCTGCATTTATAACTCTACTTGACCCCCTGCCCGACATGTGTAATTTGCCATGTAGTATATTGCCTTAGTGCAGCTCAAGGCTGTGATGGGTAATCTCACTTCTCGTAATTGAGGGCGCTTGTTTTCCCCTTTGCCAATGAGGAGAGCAATTGGAAATCCTGCTGAATCCACAGTTCCTCTTAGAACCTGAGCTGAAAGTTACAGCCACTTACTTTTTCAACCTATGCTTTCCAGGGATAAGTCATAAGCCTTAAAATATAAGGCAATATCCAAATAGGCCCAGACACGCACTGATGTTAAACAAAACATCTGATCAGACTCGAAAACCAGGAAGCTATCAAACACTACTTGGGTCATGTCAGAAAGACACAGGGCCGAGCATGGTGACTCACGCCTGTAATCCCAGCACTTTAGGAGGCCAAGGTGGGAGGATTGCTTGAGCCCTGAAGTTTGAGATCAGCCTGGGCAACATGGCAAAACCCCTATCTCTACAAAAAAAAAAAATTAAGTTAGCTAGGCATGGTGGCGTATACCTGTGGTTCCAGGTACTTGGGAGGCAGAGGTGGAAGAATCCCCCGAACCTTGGAGTTGGAGTGAGCTGTGATTATACCACTGGACTCCAGCCTGGGTAACAGAGTGAGAGACTCTGTCTCAAAACAAAAACAGAAACAAAAAAGACTCAGGGGCTAACTTGAATAGGCTCTCACAGATCAAAGCTGACACAATTTGAGTATAAGAAAAAATAATAGCAGCAAGAGATTGAATATTTAAATCCATGAGTTATAATGATAGAAAAAAATCACCATCACTAATTGATCACATGTGGGGGATGCTAGGAAACCAACTCACTATTTTTAAAACTGGTAAACACAAAGGTAAATACTTGAGCATTATGTCTCTTTTCCCATTTAAACTGTACCACTGATAACCAGTCAGTGAAGGAAAATTCCTCTTTACAGAAGTAGTCTACCTAAAAAATAAAGGATATGTGAAAGAATAAGAAAATTATCACTTTGAAACTTCTAGTAAATAAAGGCATCAAGGCAATGATCATCAGTGGCTGCTCACGTCACAGAAACAGCCACACATCACGTGCCTCCTGGTGGAGGAGCCCATCATTATCTATGAAGTAGTCTTGCCAAAAAAAAAAAAAAAAAATTAAACACAAGTTTGCTCAAGTTTGCTTCAATTTACCAATTTATAGAAAATAAACAAGTAGGACGGGCACAGTGGCTCATGCCTATAATCCCAGCACTTTGGGAGGCCAAGACGGGCAGATCACAAGGTCAAGAGATCGAGACCATCATGGCCAACATGGTGAAACCCCGTCTCTACTAAAAATACAAAAGTTATCTGGCCGTGGTGGCATGTGCCTGTAGTCCCAGGTACTCAGGAAGCTGAGGCAGGAGAATCACTTGTACCCGGGAGGCGGAGGTTGCAATGAGCCAAGATTGTGCCACTGCACTCCAACCCGGGTGACAGAGACAGACTCCATCTCAAAAAAAAAAAAAGAAAAAAAGAAAAAGAAAAGAAAAGAAACAAGTAAGAAAAACATGTTAAACGACACCTTAAAGATACAATCAGTAAAACTCAGACTTTGGGAAATACCACAGACCAAGCAACTGTATTTCTTCAATAATAACAACAAAAGTTGCAGATAAAAAAAGAAATGAAGAGGCACCTACAGAACAAACTTGCACTTGTCCATTTACCACCAAAATTGGGCAAGGAGTGTCCCAAGAGCCACCCCAGTGGACCACGTGGGTGCCAGACACATCCTCCTCCATCCCCATGTGTAACAGCATCTGTGTAACATTCTCCTGAAGCTCAGGGCCAATTGTCAGGATAATGATCCTTCTTCTCGCTTCCTGGTCCCTTAGCACAAGGAGCTACAAATGTTGAAGCAGCATTTGCAGTCTATAATTCAACAGGACTCTTTCAGTGTCCCCTTGAGGAAGTGTTTCCCATTCAGGACTCTAAAATTCTAAACCAACAGAGCCGAGTTGCAAGTTCAGGAAGCACAAATTCCCCAAGTGAATAAGTAGGAGTGGCAGTGAGTGAAACCAACTCCTGATTCCTCCCTTTGGATTCCAAATCCGTGTGTTCCTGCTATTGGAACAAGGAACCATATCAAATGTACTACATTCTCAAGAATGGTGTCCAATTTTCACAAAGCATCATCTCTGAGCTGGCACTTCAGCTGTACCTTTTAAAGGCCATTCTAAAATGTTATTAGGCCAGCAGCTTCCAGGGGATACAATACAAGATACAACCAGAGGACATCATCGTCATGGGCCCATCCCCATACCTTTTTTTCTGTGTAATGGGACCCCTGGCCTGACACTGTAAGCCCTTAGATGGTGCTGTTGGCTGAAACCCTACAAGCAGGGAAGACAAACTCATGACTGGATTATGTGTATATTCCCATCAGAATGAATTGCTGGCTCATCCAGGGAGGAAAGATCTAATGTAATCGACTTGCCACCAAGTGTCTGGTTGGACTCTTCAAGACATGGTCCCATACCAGGGTGTCAGCATTGTTCTCAGTTGCTGGCAGGTTGGACCTCTGTGGTGGTAGTAACTACATCAGCCCTGGTAAGCAGGAGTCCGTGTTGTTAGACCTATGTGTGGCCTCCATCTCTGCCATGATAGTCAATGAACTCAGGTGCCCTTCATGCCAGGCACTGGTGCAGCTGATGACAGATGCTGGGTGACATCGACAGGTTGAGTCATTTTGCCTACTTGGTTGTTTAGTGACACTTCTGTGACAGATGGTCAATTTAAACTTGTAATACAGTAATTTTCCAATTTTGACTATTCCTGTGTGTGTAGTGACATGCCTCTACACCAATAACTTTTGTCCCTGATATTATAATCTTTTTCCTTCCAGCCTCAGACCAGCCAGACAGCAAGTCATTCACCACTGCCCATGAATCCATATACATTCCAACCTTGAGTCACTTTTCTTTCCAAACAGTGAATAACTAGGTGCATCTCCCAAATCCCTGCCCACTGGGAGTGTTTTGCCTCATCAATGTCTTCCAAGGCCACCTGTGACTGGGGCTGCAGAGCAGTTGTTTTGCAACTTTCACTTGCACTCACATGCAGAGCCAACCCATCTGCGAATCAAACTGAGGATATTTCCTCCTCCATCGACTGATCTAAAGGAACCCCCATATAGCCATAGGACCCCCATATAGCCATAGGAGTGAGCTGAGGGAGAGGCATTTGTACTATCGTGGGGTTGACATGAGGCCCTGGGCTACCTGTTCATGCAGTTTACTTGTGTCCTCTGGTCCAGATCATGTTGGATTCCAAATGTTCCATTTTCCTTTTTATACAGGATGGTTATTGCCCAAACTTGTGACTTGGTGAATCTGTAGAATCTAGTTCACGATGGCTGCATGATCATTGGTGTTTATGTTCAGGCATTCCATCTCTATCAGGGCCCAGCAGCACCCAGAGTTGTTTTTCAAAAGGCTTATCATTCTCTTGATGGAGCTAGAATTCTAGGGGTCAACATGGCAATTCTTCTGTTGGGACTTGCCACAAAAGTCCATACAGCATCTTTTCTGACTGCTCACATAGCTAAAACCATAAAAGCTATTGGATCATGCGGCTCAAGCTACAGAGCTTCTTTCTTGCTTTGAGACCCACTCGAACGTGACAGCATTTCGTGTCATCTAGTTTGTCCATCATAGGTGGGCGTGATGGTTAATACTGAGTGTCAACTTGATTGGATTGTAGGATGCAAAGTATGGATCCTCGGTGTGTCTGTGAAGGTGTTACCAAAGGAGATTAACATTTGAGTCAGTGGGCTGGGGAAGGCAGACCCACCCTTCCATCTAATCAGCGGCCAGTGAATATAAATTAGGCAGAAAAACGTGAAGAGGCAAGACTTGTCTAGCCTCCCAGCCCACATCTTTTTCCCACACTGGATGCTTCCTGCCCTCAAACATCATACTCCAAGTTCTTCAGTTTTGAGACTTGGACTGGCTCTTCTTGCTCGTCAAGCTTGCAGACAGCTTATCGTGTGACCTTGTGATCATGTAAGTTAATATTTCATAAACTTTAATATATATAATATATAATATATATAATTTTTTATATATTATATATATTACATATTTATATATAATATATAAAATATATAAATATATATTATATAAACATATATAAAATATATGTTTATATAATATACAAATTATATTTTATATATTATATATAATATACAAATTATATATTATATATTATATACAAATTATATATTATATATTATATATTATATATTATATATAATAGATAGAACTAATAGGATATATAGCCTATATCCTAGAACTAATAGGATATATATATAATATATTATACATAAAATATTTAATATTTAATAAACACCCATATATCATATATTATATATCATATATAATATATATTTAATATTTAATAAACTCCCATATATATGTTTATTGTAACATATTATATGTAATATATTATATAAAATATAAAATATATCATATGATATATGATATATATAATATAAAATATATCATATATGATATATATAATATAAAATATATCATATATGATATATATAATATAAAATATATCATATATGATATATATAATATAAAATATATCATATATGATAGATATAATATAAAATATATCATATATGATAGATATAATATAAAATATATCATATGATATATGATAGATATAATATAAAATATATCATATGATATATGATAGATATAATATAAAATATATCATATGATATATGATAGATAATATAAAATATATGATATATGATAGATAATATAAAATATATTATATCATATATGATATAGATAATATAAAATATATTATATGATATATGGGAGTTTATTAAATATTAAATATTATTTAATATTATATTAAATAATATTTAATATTATGTTAAATAATATATTTATGTCATATGATATACAATATTATATTTATGTTACATTATATATGTTATATTATATATTATATTGAATAATAAATAAACTCCCATATATCATATATCATATAATATATATTATATAATAATAAATAAACTCCCATATATCATATATCATATAATATATAATATATTTTATATAATATATCACATATCATATATGAGATGTCATATATTTTATATTTTATATAATATATTACATATAACATATATAATATATGGGAGTTTATTAAATATTAAATATTATATGTTATATATTGTATATAACATATAATATATGGGAGTTTATTAAATATTAAATATTATTATATATAATATATATCTTATTAGTTCTAGGATATAGGCTATATATATCCTATTAGCTCTATTATATATAATATATCTAAAATATATAATATATAAATTATATGTTACATATTAAAGTGTATTAAATATTAACTTACATGATCACACGGTCCCACAATAAGCTATAATATAGTATATAATATATTATAATATGCTTATAATATTATATATAATATTATATATTACATAATTATATATTAATATGTAATAACATAATACAATATAATATATATTATATATTATAGTGTACATAATATATTATATCTAATATATTGTAGATATGTATATAATATATTATATACATATATAACATTATATATAATATGTACATTATAATATAATATATATTATGTATATTATTATATAATGTAGTGTGTATATTATTATAGAATATGTATTATGTATATTATTATATAATATATTGTGGATATTATTATAGAATATATACTATGTATATTATTACAGAATATATATTATGTATATTATTATAGAATACATTATATATTGATATATTATATGTAATATATGGGAGTTTATTAAATATTATTTTATATGTATCCTATTAGTTCTAGGATATAGGCTATATATATCCTATTAGTTCTATCCCTCTAGGGAACTCTGAATAATACAGTGGGATCTGTTACTTCTAGGACCTGAAGAGATCTCCCAGGTGTTCTGCTTTCTTCTTTGTGGTGCAAGATGCAATAATTTGTTCTTTATTTTGGAGATCATATCTTGGCATCACCCTGATCACTGGACTCCTTAAAAATTTCACTTATATGGCAGGACCCTAAATCTCCCAAAGGTTTATTTTCCACCCTCTGGAGTGTGTATATTTCCAAGGTCTCAAATGTGCTAGCCAGCAATTGCTTATCAAGTACAGTTAACATGATGTAATTAATAGAGTGAACCAATGTGATGTTCTGTGAGATGTCCAGATGGTCCTGATCTCGTTATTGATTAAACTTGATTAAACTTGATTAAAATAGAGGGTGAAGACAATGAACATACTCCTGGAGCAAAGCTGTAAGTGTATACTGTTGCGTATTCCATGTTAATGAAAACTATTTCTGATAATTTGTTCTGGTAGGGATTGAAAAGAATGCATATGCTAAATCAGTGGTCACATACCGTTTACCTAAGGGCATGTTCATCTGTTCTAGCAAAGTTATGGGATTTGGCACAGTGGCTTCAACTGGGGTTGACTTTGCACTGATTTACTATCATTCTTCAGGATTCTTCTGATTTTTTGAAGCTAGATTGATAAATTAAATATATGACAGGGACCACCGCATCTGTATTCTTTTGACCTTTAAGAGTAGCACTACTTTTCAACATGCCCCCAGAATATAGTTTTTTATTTACTATCTTGACTACAGTGGGGTTGAGGGAGGTGGGTAGTTTCAGGAACTTCTACCTGGTCTTGCCAACCAAAATAGCTCTTACCCTACAGGACAAAGACCCAATGTGAGAACTGTGCTAACTACCAAATATGTTTATTTCAATTATATGAGGTAATTATTGGACCATGTGTCTAATGGTGCTTGAAATGTCTGTATATTTTCCTCTCTCCAGTGCATAGTTACCCAGCACACAGTTGTCCAAGTAAATGGCTCTCAATCTCTTTGGAAAAGGCCTGGGGAAATTATTACCATTTATACTTCTTATGATGTTTCAGGGTCCTTTCTACTAGAAACCCAGATTCCTCTTCAATAAATGTGTTCCAGGTTGGGAAATTAGCTCGGATCCATTCAGAAACTGCACAAAGGATCCTGACTATTTTTGGGGGCATCTTCAGCTTCTTGATCACCCACTCTTGATATCTTTTGATGTCTTAAATTGGGTGGTATCCTTTTGGTTGACCTTTTTTACATATTTATTTAGCCATCTCATCATTCTCTCTGCATGTCAGGATCCCCTGGCTACCCACTGTGACCTTACCATTGATGGCAATTGCAATCATTGCATCCACAAAAATTCAAGAGTCTGGAGATTATCAACCCAGATGTCTTCACCCTATTAGTCAGGGTCCCATTCTTTTCCAGTCAGGGCCCTAACTTTAACATAGCAGTCCTGCATTTGTCAGGAAATTTCATCTTTGGAGCTTGATTGATTACATCTTGGGCCTGGTCCACAGCTGTTGCTGTTCTCCAGTACTAGGAGTTGAGAATTCCGAGCTAGTGCAAGATAGCCTTTCTATTCCTATACCAGTCAGTCACTGGATGTGGGCTGCCCGGGGGAGGGGTGGGACCTTGGGGAGGTGGCTTTTATTATGGATAGAATGTTTGTGTCCCCATGAAATTCATAGTTTGAAATCCTAACCCCCAATGTGATGGTATTAGGAGGTGGCACCTTTGGGAGGCAACTAGGTCATGAGGGTAGAACCCTCCTTAATTAGATTAGTGCCCTTATAAGAGAGATCCCAGAGAACTTTCTCACCCCTTATCACTTGAGGACACAGCCTGGAAGATGGCCATCTACATACCAGGAAGTGGGCCATCTCCAGACACCAAATCTGCCAGCACCTTGGTCTTGGACTTCCCAGCCTCCAGAACCATGAGAAATAAATGCTTGTTGTTTAAGCCACTTAGCCTATGGTATTTTTTGTTATAACAGCCCTAATAAGCTAAGACAGCTCTCTATACTTGAGGCTGCCCCTAAGGGGCTAACAGCTAAGACTACCTGATGACAGCACTCCCAGCAGCCAGGACAGCAAGCCCTTCACTGAAAGGGAATCTAGTGGAAGGTGGGGTTGGTGGAAGGATGCATCACATTGTCCTCCACACTCCTCTTTCCTTAACCCTGTTTGGATCCCCCCAGTTGTGAGTATGCAGTAAAGAGATTCGTGCAGGCTTTATCATTTATATTTTAAAGACTTGTTCCTTCAAGGTGCACAAATAATTTACAAATATGCCTAAGAAGTCTCATCACAAAAACGTCACTTTTTCCAGCAATTTACTTTTTACTACTATTGTTTACTAAACAAAACCTTTGAAAGGGAATTGGACATGTGCATAATGAGTGTACATAGATGTTTATTATGATTGCCATAATGCTGGGCACACCAAGAGCTCAGCTAATATGGAAGGCTGGCTTTATCCATTGGGCATTGTTATTAGATTTTCTGGGATCTCTTCTCATTGCAGGACCCCAACACTCCTTCATTTCTAAATCGCCCATCTAGAACGAGCTGTTTGAAGGATGTGGCAACATCATCCTATCCTGACAGCTGCAGGGCACTAACAATGTGCTTTTCATATAAAGCAACCACTGAATTCAATGGATGTGCAAAGCTTGCTCTCTGATGGAGACTTTTAAGATACTTGCTATGAATGACAATCAGCCACCCAATCTGTCAGAAGCTTGACCTCACGGGCAGACAGCAAAGTGTTTCCCTTGAGAAGATATTCTCTGCTTACCTGGAAAAATGCAGCTTGCTCTGAGTGAAGGAGGAGCAAGGCAGCTGGCAGGGTGTGTAGCTATTCTGGACACATCAGTAGCTTTAGTATGTCCTAAAGAGAAGAGGAGGTTGAAGTTCTGATTCAATCATCTATGGCCCTGGAGGACGTATACACTCTGTGGGGCATTCCCATGACTGAATTAGACCCTGATGGGACTCAGGATGAGCAATGCTGCTCTTGCAGAAGACAAGTGTCCATTTATTTGAGGTAGTGATTACTTATGAGCAATTGGCTAAGTACAAGTCACTGCCTTGATGCACCTTGCATCCAGGACCCTCCCCTTCCCCCAGCCTATCTGCCTGCTTAGGATTGTCACATGCTGACCATATTCTTTGTTAGTATAACTCTCATACCTCTCATTGACACAGATAAGTATGCAAACCATATTATATTCCAACTTCCTTTGTATAAAATTCTAACCTCGTCATCTTCCCAGAGCACTGGACTATTTCTTGCCACTTGTAGCATAAGGGAAAATGTGTTCTCCAGTGTTCTCCATCTTTTCTGCACTTTTGTCCCCATTCTTCTCCTTGAAGACTTTATAAATGTCAATTTCCTTTTCTCTAAATGAGGATACTGGGTTAACATTATCCCTAAAATTCCTTTTTGCTTCAAAGTTCTATGATGCTATAATTTTTAATCATTCTTTCACCCCAGTAATCTCGTTATCCAAAGCTGTTACTTTCTTATTTCACAGAATCCTCTATAGTTAGGGTTACAGCATGCTTCTATAATCCAAGCACAATATTTGTAACAGAAGTCATTTCGCAGATACAGGGTAAATGTATAAATATGTGATGAGAAGATTGTAGAGTAATAAGGTAAAATTTAATGGTTTTAATATACAGCATTTTACAATGTTGCTACACAACATAATGTATATTTTATGAGTTCTTGACAGCATTTTAAAAATTTTCTGACACTGCTTTTCAGATTAAGATGTTCATTAACTCTCTACTACTTGAGAATAATCATTCCTACCTGAAATCTGTGCCCTCAAATCAGACTATTTTTAATCCTATTTTTATCCAAACGATGTGTTTCTGCAATATGTTAATAGGTGCTCCATAAAAAAGGATTTTATAACCAAACAAATATTTGGGAAATGCTGGGTTAAGTAGAGTTAAATAGGTTTTTACTGCAGGACTTCTCAGAGCCTTTAATGTACCAATATGTACTTTGAAGCAATCCCTTTCCCAAACCTTTTCACCCAAACGCCTATGTAACATCTAGAGAAGCAGTAGCCAATGAAATACAGTTTAGAAAAGGCTGCCCTGGGCTTCTTTGATACACGCCTTGTCCTCCAATGTCGAGCTGTATTAAAACTAACAAAGGAGGATAAAGGGATATCTTTTGAGATTTTTCTATGTGTCTGCCTCTGCCCAATCTCTGAAGTGGTTAGATTCTCATCCTGACCATGACTCTGCAGGTTCCTTCCAAGTGCTGCTTTTTCCTTGACTGTTGTAATTATATCTATGAGGAGAGGGAGGATTGTGAGGAAGAAAAGGAGGAAGTAAATATGAGAAACTGCTTTAACCAAGTTCCTTTGATGTTAAAAGTGATGTTGAAAACTAGGTTAGTATCATAAGTAAATACTTTTTATTTAAAGAAGCATTTATGAGTCTTTTCCCCCTCTTAAGGCTAAGCTTAGTAGTGAAAATGATCATAAAATGATTTTAAAGGCTACTAAGTGGATTTGGAACAGTTGATGAATATTCTTCTTTTAAAAACCGGGATGTTCTCCAAGTTCTTTTAAGACATAATTTAATTAAGCTTTCCTTTCATGTGCTGCATCTTTCAGATTTCCACATTGCACACATGCAGTCTTATGACCTGAGAAGAGCTAACAGTCAGCTCTTCTCATCCCACACCTCTTCTGACATTCCAGAGGCAGCGTAACTTACTTGGGAAGACGTAGAATAGTTCCTCAATCTCCCAACATCTAATTGTCTCTGAAGCTAGATTTCTCTTAACAATTGGTAGACATTGTTCATTCAGTCAACGTACAAGAATAGACAGATGATTTAAAACAGTTCCTGCTCTCAAGGAACGTGGAGTTCAGCTACAGAAGCCCAGCTGGGGATGAGAGGGTATATAAAAGAATAGTCAGTTTTACCGAGTAAGGGTTCCCAAGAGGGCTTCTTGGAGGAGGTGGTACCTGAGCTGAATCTTACAGTATTTGCTTCGTAGACAAAGTAAGGCAGATGCATTCACAGGAGGGAGTGCAGCCTGAGAAATCTCACAGAAGCACATGGCAACTTGGCACTGTCTGGGAACAGCAAGTTGTTCGGATGGCAGAGGCATAGAGCCACAGTTGGAGTGAGAGACAGGTGGGGCTCCAAAAGGTAGGTTCTCGACTTCATTCTAAAAACAATAGGGAGCCATTCAAGGATGCAAAGCAGGAAGAGACAAGTAAGTTTTGCATGCAGAACAGTTACTGGGGCACACAGATCTGAAGGCGGCCCTGTAGAGGCTGGGGGGTGGGCCACGGGAGGGCACGGGAACTCAGCAGGGGGATGGCAAGGGCCTTAGTCATGGCGGCAACAATGGAGCTGAAGAGGAAGAGAGAGAGACGTACCAAGGAGGCAAAGTAGAGGGCACCCATTCTCTGCTGTAATCGGCCTGTGGAGAGAGGCCTGGGGGTTCTAGCATGGGTGAGTGGGAAGACAGTGGTGTCTTTCACCAAGATAAGGAACACAGGGGGAACAGTCAGTGTCATGGGGGCAGCAGAGAGGGAAAAGAGCAGAAACATGTCTGCATTTCTGAGTGTGAGGGGCTAGTGAGACCTCCAGATGAAAGAGACAAAGAACTGGATGTGTGGAACTGATGCTTGAGAGAGCTCTGGGCTGGAAATTGTGATTCTCAAATTGTTGTTGTGTGGATGAGTGGCTGGATGAGGTAGCGTGAGGCCGTGGTGCACTCTTGAGCCATTTCTCTATCACCTGCATGATCTTCTTTCACAGTCACTTACCGCTTATTCCATTATATGACCAATGCTTTTCTGTAAATAATCTCCCATTTTGCTTAATAAAATTTATTTTATAAGGAAACTTTATATCATTACTATAAATTTTTTAATATTATTTGTCATTAATAGGAAGTAAATATAAAAATAAATATATAACAACTATGTAATAATATAACCTCCCTTATATATAAAACACACCATGTGGCCAAATTACAAAAAGAAACGAACAAACCCCCAATCATAGTGAGAGATGTTGGCATATTTCCCTCAGTAATTGATAAATCAAACAGATGTAAAAGTAGTAAAGACATAGATTTGAATGCTAGTCATTCTTTTCAAGCAAATATAGACCATTTTTTTTAAAAAATCACCACATACTAAGCCACAAAGCAAGTCTCAACATATTATCTAAGAATCTCTACCCTACTGACCACATATCCTAACTATAATGTAATAAAGTTAGAAATAAATAACAAAAAAGATTTAGAGATTTTTTTAATTTCAAAATAATTTATGGGCCAAAAATGATATCATAATGGAAATTAGAGCTGAAAGACAATTATCAAAATTTTTGGGATAATGCTAAAGCAGTATTTACATAGAAATACATTCTATTAAATGAAAGCTATAAAAGAAGAAAGATTAAGAGTTACTGCACTGAGAATCTAATCAAGAAATTAGGTAGAAGAAAAGGAACAAACAAAAACAAAACCCCCAAAAAAACTCAACTCAGAGAAAGTAGAAGAAAGTAACAAAGATATGGGCAAAACTGAAAGAAACAGACAACAACAAAAACAAAGAAATTAAAAGCTGGACAACTCAAAGACTAATAAAATAGAAAGTATCTTGAAAGATGAATAAGAAAAGAGTTCTGCTACAAATAAAGGCATTAGGAATGGAGGCGGGGAAGGACATACCTGTATACAGAGATATGAAAATAAGAACCTTATACCAATAACATTGAAAAATTAGACAAAATGGATAATTTTCCAGAAAAAAAAGATATAAAATAGAAAAAAAGAAGGAAAAACATGAATGGACCTAGAAGCATTACATAATTTTAATTAATGGTTTAAACATACACACCAACTCATACACAAATATAATTCCTATACACCACCAACAATCATCTAGACAAAGTAAATTTTCAAAAGATGTATTACAATAGCAACAAAGCACTTCAGACAGTCAGGAATAAATCTAACGAAAGAAATACAAGGGAGAGTTATATAACTTTAACAAGGGATATAAAGAAAACTATGTAACATATATCGAGCTCACAAGAAAGAAGACTAGATATATAAAGATGATGATTCTCCCCAAATCATTCTATATAGATTCAATGTACTTCTCATCAAAATCCTAAAGGAACATTTCACATAGCTTGACAAGGTGATCTTGAAATTCAGGAAGAAGAGTAAAGAACAAAAAATAGCCAAGAAAAATTTGACTAAGAAGGTTAGTTTCACCCTGCAGGAAAGATTATTATAAAATCGCATTTAAATCAATGCAGATAAAGACAAACAAAAAGATAGAAAGTCTAGAAACAGACCCACGTATGAAGAAGAACGTGGTATAGACCCAAAGTGGCACTACGAGTCAGTGGGAACAGGATGGACTGCTCTATAAATGATGCTGGACTGTGGTCTACAAAACTAGATTCTTACCTCATCCCATAGATGCACTCCAAGGTAAAAAACAAAACCGGAACTTTTAGACGCAAACCTTTGATTCGTTTATGACATCAGGATAGGGAAAGATTTTTTAAATGTAAAGCCAGATCGCAATTCATAAAAAGAGATATTGTTATATTTGACTACCTTTTCTATTTCTATTTCTATAGCCAAAAAAAAAAATACCATAAGCAATGTGAAAAAATAAGCCACAGAACAGAAAAAGACATTTGTCTCCCATACACAACTAACAAAGTATTAATGTCCAGAATACGTACAGAATTTCTACAAATCACTTAGCAAACACAACAATTAAAAAAATAGACACTGGAGATGAACAGGAAATTCACAGAAGAGGATGTCCAGATGCCCAGTAAACATAAGAAAATGTGCCTAACTTTTCTATAATAAAGGAAATTAAAAACCTAATAATAATAAAATACCATTTCAATTCATCAGGTTGGTATAAATTAATACGTTTATATCAGATGTGTGGGCATAGACGTGGGGACAATTAAATTCTTGTGTATTGCTTCAGGGAGTATAAATTGGCACAAATACTTTGTAAAACAATTTGGTAATACTTAGTAAAGCTGACGGTGTGACTACCTTATAACCAGGAATCTACTCTTCAGGAATCTCGGAGAAAACGTGCACTCAAATGGGTGTGAGGACACTTGTTATGTAAGTTTGTTATAAGAACAGAAAAAGTGGAAGCAAACTATCACTGGGACTCAGAGCGTGACACTCCGAAGTATGGCACCTTGGCATACTGAGTATTTTAAGCTGGAGGAATTTGAGAATACTGCAGAAGCAAGAAGGTCACCACTTTCTAACCTTCTCCCACCTTTCTCCCTTGCAACAGACCATAAAAAATTTTCTGCCCTACCTTCCCCAAAAGTAGGTCCTAAGACCCTCATTCCAGAGAGGTCTTGCCCTATACCTAAGACCCTGAACCAACAGGCCTTGCTAAGTTCTCCACAGTTTATTACCACAAGATCAGATCCTTCTGTCCTCCAATTACGCTTCTGCACTTCTGTCCGCAAAAAATATGCAGTTTCCTCAGGGTCTGTGGCTCTTCATTTCTAAGGGCTCCTGTGTCACATAAAACACTAGAGAAATTTGTATGCTTTTCTCTTGTTAATCTGTTTTTTGTTACAGGGGCCTCAGTCAGGAACCCTGTGATGGGTGAAGGAAAGATATTCTTTCTCCTCCTCTGCACTGTTATTGGGGAAAATTGACAAATCAATTGGTTTATTCAAACACTTGAACACAATAGGAGCTGTTAAATTATCACTGCTATATATGTCAATATGGAAAAATCTCAAGTATATTTGGAGATTTTTTGAAGGGGAAAAAAAGCAAGTTGTTCAAGAATGTGTTCAATATGTTGCCGTTTATTTAAAACTTCAAACCCCATGGGAAATATTGTCTCTACTTTTTAGTATATAGCAATGTAGCAGGTACATCATGTAGGAGGATACTGGCTATGGCTGATGCTGTTGAGCCCCCACCCAGACTCTCTCCAGACTGACTATTTCTGGATACTCCAGTTTCTCACTGCAAACACCTTCCACTCTGCCTGCAGTCTGCAGGAAAGGGCTCAGCGCCCTCACAGGGTAGCCTGAACTTCCAGGGAGTTTACAGCCAATTACGGGGGAGTTGGCAGGTCAATTTCCCAAAACCTCCACAGCTGTCAAGTAGAGCAACTCTGAGGTCCTTCTACACAGCTCCCCAAATTCTCTTGTGAACTGAACTCGTTGCCCATAGAAATAACCACCCCATTACCACACTCTGCACTGGCTTCCTGCCCCACTCGGCGTCATGATAGGTCTTCCTGGGGTCAGTTCTCAAATCGACTACTGGCACTCAAATCCTTACCTCAGGATCTGCTTCTGGTAAATCTCAATCGAAGACATTTACCAATATCAGAAGGGGGGCTACCTCTACAAAAGGAAGAAGGGGAATGAATCAGGAGTACATTTTTGCCGTATTTATATGTTTTACTTATTTAAAAACGGAAAGAAATATGAAACATATTAGTAGAATGTTAGGATAGTGGATTCTTGTGTGTTCTTTTTAAGTTGAGAATAAAAAATTCTTAATAAAGTAAAAGCTTGAAAGCTTGAATCAGTGAAAAAACACAGAGACCCTGCCAGGATCACCTCCAGGGTGTCTGAGGCCTTGAGTGACTATTTTTTTGCATTTTGATTTAAAAATATTATAAAATACATGAGCCATGTGACGCAAAGTAAGTTATCAATGAAGATTTAGAATACTAGGTAGAGAAGAGGTACATATATATATATACACACACGTGTGTGTGTATATATGTGTGTGTTATTGTTCAATCAGGGCCTAAAGAGATTAATGATAGTGTTCGGGCACCATTTCTTTTCTTTTCTTTCTTTTTTTTGGAGGAGGGACAGAGTCTCACTCTGTCACCCAGGTTGGAGTGCAGTGGCACGATCTCTGCTCACTGCAACCTCTGCCTCCCAGGTTCAAGTGATTCTCGTGCCCCAGCCTCCCGAGTAGCTGGGACTGCAGGCGTGCGCCACAACATCTGGCTAATTTTTGTATTTTTAGGAGAGACAAGATTTCACAATGTTGGCCAGACTGGTCTCGAACTCCTGACCTCATGTGATCCACCTGCCTGGCCTCCCAAAGTGCTGGGATTACAGGCGTGAACCACTGTGCCTGGCCCAGGCACCATTTTTTTGTAGTTCTTATTGTCAATCGCACCAATCCTAGACAGTTTTGTTATCTCCCTTGCATTAAGAAAGATAGCAATAGTGTTATTACTCAAAATGCATGGCTCTTCAGAACCTGTTTGTGGTTTGCAGTTCTCTCATACCACTTTAAAAATTCCGAGTGCAGCATTTAAAAAACTGCATGACCTGCGTCATCTACCACAGAGACCACGAATACTGGTCTCCAATAACTCCTTCAAAAGCTGTCATGGTGCTTCATTGACCATGACCACAAATGAAGTCTTACCCAGAGTATGTAGGAAAATGCAAACAATCATTCATATTCTGGTAGAGTCTATTTACCATTGGAATTCTAGAGCATAAAGGTAGAACATTACATCCTATAGCTTCATCTTTTGTACTCCTTAGGCCAAATCACAGCCGGAAGGATGTCAGAGATGCGACTGTGGGCAAGAAGAGCTGTCCCACTACTGCAATGAATGTCCATTCCTGGCCAGCAAGGCTTAGATCAGCCAGGGGGAGCATGACTTTGCCCCATCCATCTGAGGCAAGAGACAACACAACATTGGTTGGAAGAGTCCACTGGTTTTAGAAAACAAGTCTCAGAACCCTTGGAGTTAAGCACAGCCACCCCTAGGACTGCCTGGTATGTGGCACAGAGCCTGTGGAGGAGTTGGGGTGACCCCCTTCTTGGTGCCAGCAGCAGGGGCCACATAGAGTAAAAGATACCTGCCACCACCCCTGTAGGTGCCGAGGGCCAGAAGAGGCACCACAGCTGGAGCCAACACACACAGCGCAAGTCCAAGGAGTCCGCAGCAAGGGACCATCAGTGATCCAAAGCCCAAAACACATCCTCACTCAATGTGATGTTATCTTGTAGACTAGGATGTTATGTTAGACTGTCACCCAGGCTGGAGTGCAGACTAGAATATGACTAGAATATGGATGTATCTTGGAGACTAGGATCTTTTTAATGAGTGAGGATGTCCCCATAACAGCATGTCAGCATCATTCTGGCAGCCCAATCGCATATGACCCAATGAAAAAATAGCTACTGCACTAACAAGCAAGAGCAATCTGTTTGCCAGCATGACCTCCTGAGCCCGGCCTTAGGACCACAGGCATGAGGCCTGGAGCTCCTCAGGGCATCTGGTCAACCCCACAGAAAGGGTAGGGGGTCAGAGAGAAACAGAGGCCCATGCAATCCTGGTCCTGGCTCATGGCCGTCCTGCTGGCTGATTGGTCTCAGGCACCAGAGCAGACTTCAAAATTTTTGAGGAAATCACACAAGACACAAGCCCCACTAAGGTGGGAGGCATAAGACAAGGACACTTGTCCCTGTCTAGGGGTAGAACCATGCCCTATTTCGTTCTCTGAACTTGTTTTACTTGTATCCATTTGGTATTACACCTTGACTGAGAATTATTTGTAAAGAAGGATTACATCAGTCACTGACCCCAGCATGGTGCTAGATTCATTCCAGACGCCCAGGGCGTAACTACTGATCCAAGGACTGGCCAGGATCTTTCCCTGGAAGCAAAGAATCAGAGAATTGCTGATTTAAGGGTGACGTGTGTAAAAGCACCACACAAGAAACTGATGTTGAATCAAAATTTCCCCTTTGCACATAAGCCTCTAGTCCATTGTGCAATCATCAAACAGCTCCCCACCTTTTTTTAATCTTTTTTTTTTTATTTTTTTATTTTTTTTGAGATGGAGTCTTGCTCTGTCGCTCAGGCTGGAGTGCAGTGCCTTGATCTTGGCTCACTGCAACCTCCACCTCCTGGGTTCAAGCAATTCTCCTGCCTCAGCCTCCCAAGTAGCTGGGATTACAGGTGCCCACCACCACACCTGGCTAATTTTTTGTATTTTTAGTTGAGGCAGGGTTTCACCATGTTTGCCAGGCTGATCTCAAAGTCCTGACCTCAAGTGATCCACCCACCTCGGCCTCCCAAAGTACTGGGATTACAGGCATGAGCCACTGCACCTGGCCAAGCAGCCCCTTTTATAGCAACTAGGACTCCAGCTCTCTCATCTACCTGCTTCTGCACATTCTAAAATATCTTCTTAGCAACACCAAAGAATATGGATATTATCTTGTAGACTAGGATCTTTTTAATATTCTGAAAAATCATTTTCTGTATTTTTGTACAAATAACATACTCATCATCCTTTTGCAGTGTGTGTGTGTGTGTGTGTATGTGTGTGTGTGTGTTCCACCAGCCTTTAGCAGGAAAACATTAACACAATTAATTCCTTTATCCAGCCCTTTAACTCTGTCTTCTCCTCTCAGTCTTCTGGCCAATTTAGCCTTTCCCTCACATTTTGCCTTTTCTCCATGAAACAGCAATGCTTCTACTTTTTGAGTGTCATTTCATTAAATTTCTAAAGCAGGCATCCTACATCCCCAAATTAACTCTTGTCTGGGGGGAAGTGTAAATGGCTTATCAGTGCATAATGTACTTTGTCAAAAAAAAAAATTCCTCACCGTAACGTATATTTCCTCCTTGTTGTGCTTGGGGGCATCAATTAATGTCAGCAGGCTGACAATTCCCTGAACACATTCCTTTGACTACAGATGCTAGGGTGACATTTTCTGACATCTGGGCAATGTTTTCCGCACGTGGCTCACTCCTCTTGCCCTTGATTTCCATGACATTCTTGTACTTCCTTCCTTCCTCATTCCCTTCTTCTGGGCACAAAGAGTGTCGCAGGAGCGGATCCTCAGCAGACTGGAAGCCCCGTGGTGTACCTTCCTCTGTTTCTTTCTCTCTCTTCCTTTCCAATAAGAAACTTACTCAAGCTTGAAAAATAGTAAAACAATACTATTTTAACCCTTTCTCTTACATTCTTATAGTTGCACAATGATTAGGCTTTTAAAGAAAGCCTTCAACCACATCAAGTTTCCAAAAATGACAACTTCAGAATTAGAGGCTAAGATTTTCATCAGGGCTTTCTTTTTTCTCTTTTTAAATAAGGACTACGTGATACCAAAAGGACTTCCATTTTCAAAGGAAACACGAGATACTCTCCAAGAACAGAAATTGGGACGAGACAGATCCACCCTGAATGAGTTAGAAGGGATAGGTTGACCTTAAGGAAAATAAGTCTGATTCTTATTGCATAGACAGAACTTGTGCTGGGGCCAAAACTGAGAAAGGAGTTCAGAGGTGGACTGCGGAGAAATAGTATAACCTAAGCTCACGGGGAACCACAGGTGGCATTTCTTGACTCTAAAGTCCCCACTGGCCTCAAGCATTCCAAAACCTCCTCCCGGGAGCCAGCCGCTGAATGCCACATAGGCAGGTACTCCGCCCTCATCCTGTATCCTCACTGTCTCCTTCTATTTGGGATGGCAATGGCAACCCAAGTTACAAAGGCATAAGTGATGCCCGGTGGGAAAACCTAACACATCCTTTTCAGAACATAAAATTGTTCCCTCACTGCACAGCCCTATGCGTCTTGAGATGGATGAAAAAATATAAACCAGCCAGAAAGAAACTAAAGGGAAATGTCACTAGAAATAAATGGAGAGAATTTTCTTGCATTCCTACAGAGTTTGAATGAAAAAAAAATATTGCTTGTTTATAGGAATTTGACCTTAAGCTACTGAAAAGGAAGAGGCAGTGGGGGTCATGAGCAAAGGAAATGACTTTTTCTTAGATTTTTAGTGTCAGTTTTATAAATGGGTCAAGCCAAAGTGAGCTAAGAGATCAGTAATTTGACTATTTTTCTGCCCAGGAATCAGCTTAGTCCCACTATTTTTTTATCATGCTGAAGTCTTACCCCAGATAAAAATACTGTTGCTCTTAAGATAAACTTGGAGAAGAAGGAGAATGGGGACCTGGGAGGATTATGGTTTTAAAACTTCAAAGCCTTTCCCTTTTAAGCACAAATCTAGTTAACATTTAAAGGATGCTTCCAACAATCCTTCCAAAACCAAACCAGGAGAGACGCCCAAAGCATCCCCTTAGGTCTGCAGTCCTAAAGGGATTAGAAGCAAACCCAAGAAAAATCTCCGTGGTGATAAATTGCACCAACGCCTTCACCTTAAGCCCCAGTTTAACTTAACTCCTGACTATGAAATAGCAATTTTGTAATACAGAAATATAAATATGGTCTGTACTCTAATAAAACATTTCTTCCATGCTTTCCCTAACTTCATAAACCCAAGAGATCTCAGAAATTTTACCAAGATAGTATTCCTACGAATATAACCTTGACACCAGTCCCTCAGGTCCCAGGTCTAACAATGCCCGATATTATCTCCGAATATGTTTTTGCTTTGATATTCCAGAGCACACACATACCTGGAGCACATCTACATAGATGAGCAGAAAAAAAGAATTCTAATAACGATAACAACTGCATCCTATTCAGTGACTGAAAACTGCAACTATGTTTTCCAATCTGCTCTCAGTGATGGAAGTGTCATCATGTGGAATGAAAAACCATGGATTATAGTCCCTGCGCCCATAGGCTTATGAGGCCCTGTTTGAAACAAGCCCAAAGATGACTTGATTTTTAAATTGGTTTCTGAACTCCTGCCTGTAAAGCTGGAAGACACAATATATTTATTCAAGGAGAGCTCTGTAAAGGTTAGGCAGGTGATCCATAGAGACTCTACCATAACTTTTCCCGAACTGCCTGCCGTTCATTAAGCATGTTCCATCTCATGAACCGTGAATCATTTCATTTTTAAGTACTCTTTTATTTCCTTTGAATTTATCTAAAACTTTATTAGATTCAACTGGCACAGTCCTGACAGACAGCCTGCATACATTTTAAACCTTCCCAGCGGAGAAGCATAAAACATTTAAAATCTATATTTGATCTGACAACAGCAGCACAGTGTTTGAATTAGAAACAGATTAGACATAATTGAAGATAAAGAGGACGCAAGCACCACTCCCATTTTGGTGAAGTGGGCTTTAAATTATCAGATTCATCCAGGATACATTACCAAGAAACATTGAATTGTTATCTTTAGACAGCCTTTTCTAAGAGTTTACAATTTATCAGTTCAGTGAAGCTTACAACCAGCTTGTTATCAGAACAAAAAATGAAAAATCATTCGGTTCAGAGCACAGAACCGATCTCACCTCAAAAAGTACACATTTCCTTCTGATAACAGACACTTCATTGGACAGCCAACGGGCCACTTCATGCACAACATTTTCAGATCCTTCCACTTCCCAGGTCGTTCCTGAGTAGCCTGCAAACAGGCATTGTTTACCAACAGGGCTCCCTGCAAAACCCCGCCTCCATTCTTTAATTAAACAGGACAACGTCACCCACACAGTCACAGTCACACCCATGTGAGCTCACACACACACACACACACACACACACATATCTTGGCTTTGCCAAAGTCCTCTTCCACCTTTCTCATTAGTAACGGAGCTGAACTCATTATGCAAAGCAAATTTACAAAATTTAATTAATGAAAGTTAAATAAGTTAAATTTGATACAACAGCATGCCATGTTTTCGTTTGTTTGTACAAGAAAATCAGACTTTGGAACAAAAATCAGGGCTAGGCATGGTGGTTCACGCCCATAACCCCAGCACTTTGGGAGGCCAAGGTGGACAGATCACCTGAGGTCAGGAGTTCAAGACCAACCTGGCTAACATGGCAAAACCCCATCTCTACTAAAAATACAAAAAATAGCTGGGCATGGTGGCACTCGCCTGTAATCCTAGCTACTCAGGAGGCTGAGGCACGAGAATTGCTTGAACCCAGGAGGTGGAGGTTGCAGTGAGCCGACAGCGCCACTGCACTCCAGCCTGGGTGACAGAGTGAGACCCTGTCTCAAAAAAAAAAAAAAAAAAAAAAAAAATCAGATTAGGAAGCAAGCTCCAGTGCATGAACCTGTCTAAGATTACTTTCTTCTTATTAAATGTATTTTTACTCATGTTCAATGTTCAGACATATAAATACTTTTATAAGGCATTGAATCTCAAGTTTTCAAAAGGCAAAAATAAGGAGGAAAAGAGGAGAGACATTGAATTATTTTGGAAAAATTGGGGGTCTAGCTAAATCATGGAAAGCCCAAAATCCTTTCAGTTAAGCCCATTTTGAACTTTAGTTTTCAATCCAAAATTCCTGGTGTAGGAGAGCAATAATTTTTATAGCAACTAGAAGTCTATTCTCTCTTTTTCTATCTTTCTTTCTGGGGGCGTCTTGTTTTCATTCTGCCAAGTTTTAAAGATTGAAAGAGGATCTAAGGCACTTTAGAAACCTGCTTTCCAACAAACATTAGACCTGGCACACAGTGGGTATTTAGGAGGTACTGGTGGAATTCAATGCTTAATTTAATGATTATCAGGCTTTGATTTTACCATCTCCTATTTATACGTTAATCTTTCTCTAAAGCGCATTGTTTTGTTTTCCATGTTACTTTGCTCCCTAGGAATGTTTTCTAATTAGAAAAACCTTGAAGCACTTTGTGATTCCCAAATAATTCAAATTAAATAATCAAGATTTAAATCAGGGAAAATCTTCAAGGCCTGAGAGTTAGACTGTGTGTGCAAGAGGCCGGGGTATGGGTGTGTGTGTTATTAGGATAGTCACTTGAGCTGAAAGTCAGGAAGAATTTTTTTTTAACCATGTAAGTCCTAGAAAGCAGCTTTCTTGGCAGGGAAAGAGCACAGATTTGGGAGCCAGACAAACCTATATTTAAATATTCATGCTCAGCCTTTAACCAGCTGGGTGACTGTAGGCAAATTACTAGGCCTGGTTTCCTCTTTACCTGGAAAAAATACCTTCCTCCAGACCTGTCCTGAGGTTTAAATGAGATCATATCTGTTAAAAAGCTTGGTGCTATGTAAACTCTAAAATGCACAGATAATTTAGAGCCTTATGTCCTATACATACAATGTTAAAAATTGGGGTTGTATTCCCCAAATGCCTTTGAATAATAAAAATATCAGAGTGATCAAACAAAGAAACACAAACACTTTAAAATAAATGTTTACATACACAAATGATTTTATAAACATGCATTTAAAATGTAAAAATGAACTCAGATATCAAACTCCTGAAACCACCATTGCAAAATAAATATCTGAGACAGTGTAACAGATCTGACTTAACCAACTCCATCTTGCTTCTAACCACCAAGCTCTCCTTGTTCATTTTTGGACATAAGCCAAATTCACTTTGGGAGGAACTTAGTTGATAGTTTAAAACAAAGTGACAATAGCCCTTTCCCAAAACAAACCCCCTTCTTGCCTGGGGACTAAACTGCCTTTGTAGGACTAACAAATTAGCCAAAAGATTAGAAATTATGGTTTAGGAGTCATGCAGCTGGAGGCTACAAGATTCCAACCCTCCCCAAATTGCTCCTGGAGATAACGTCACTATTATAAAACCTAAGATCCGTGCTTGAGAGATTTTGCAGACTGTGCACTTGATGGATCGGCTAGCACTACACAGATCGATAAACTGGCTCATCTGATCTTATGGCCCCCGCCCAGGAACTGACTTGGTGCAAGAAGACAGCTTTGAATCCTTATGATTTCATCTCCCACCCAACAGATCAACACTCCAGATTCACTGTCCTCTACCTACCAAATTATCCTTAAAAACTCTGATCCCTGGATGCTAAGGGTAACTGATTTGAGTAATAATAAAACTCCAGTCTCCCACACAGGTGGTTCTGCATCAATTACTCTTTCTCTATTGCAATTCCCCAGTCTTGATAAATTGACTCTGTCTAGGCAGTGGGCAAGGTGAACCTGTTGGATGGTTACACTCCCATCATAACTTTTCCTTTTCAGGGAGTTTTCCAGATAAGCTGAAACAGGGGGGATTTTATACAATACAGTGAGTTTGCAAAGTTGCAATATTCTTCCATTTCTGGAAATCCTGTGGACATTCTAAGATTCTCAATGGCTCTAATGACTTTGGGACTGCATTTAACTTAGAATCAAAAGTCTGAAATGTTTTCTAAACCTATTCTGTATCCATGAGTGATTATAAAAGTCTTTGATGAATGGTGGTAAATGCTAGAAGAAGAATGTCCTTGGCAAATTCATATTCTTCGAGGATCTCTCACTCTTCCATTTCAGTAGGTTCTTATTCCTATACCACTGATTCTAACCACTTCCCTTTTCCAGGATGCTGAAGGTACAGAAAGGTCTTCTCCTAGAGGAATCAAAATATTCTTTCTTATCCCTGAAAACACATTTGTTTGATATCTCTGGGACTCTGTGCTTCAACATAGAAAAAAAAATGCTTGCCAAATGTGATAATTAATTCTTTAGACATACAAATTTGCTGTATCCAGTCACAAATCCAGGCAAGCAAAAGCCATCCCATCATGATTTCTGATCACTGCCCCAACCTAAGCTCTCTTCACTTCCTTCAGATGTTTTCCCCTGCCCTTCAAAATCACATTCCTAGGCAAATACAACAATTGGAAATTGCAGGCTAGCTCATCGGCTTCCAAAGCCAACTCAGGGTGATGAAACTATCACGCTTTGTTTCCACAGGAATGGCTTCTCTTGATGTTTTCAGTTTATCTTTTTTGTACATATTTTCTCTTCTTAAATATATTGAAGAGTATAAATAATCCCAAATTTGAAGAAAATAAAAAACAGAGAGAGAGAGAGAGAGAAATAATCTGACACAGATTCCCTCTGTGAGGGCAGGCTCAGACTGCAGGCTGCATCTTCAGAATCACTTCCAACTGGCATGCACCCTTCAGGTTTTTACTGGAGTCAAAGCAGCCCCCATTATGAGGTACTAATTAAGTGGCCATAATCTAAGCGCAACCCAACCTTACTTATTTTAAGGTAATAACTTGCTTTTTTGTGAGCGGCAAGCTGGAGGGACCATTTTAATGAGTCTTTAGTCATGCATATATGATGCATAAGTAGGCCCATTGTTCTCAGGAAGACTCTGAGGTAGACTAGAAAGCGAAAAACCCAGACTTCAGACTGAGAGGTTGAGTATCCTATTCACAGTGTCAGCTGGGCTTTGTAGCAGTACTCTTCTATGGAATCTCAGTGGGGCTATCCTCCTATACCCAGGTTTAGACTGCCTAGAGCCTGGGACATATTATGTCTTTTGTGTCTAGTCATGTTCTTATGGGAAGTTGAGATTGAGGCTGAACTATCAGGGGTTTGCGAGCCAGATCCCCTGTTCCCCTGACTCTGGGGACACAGTGAATCCCCTGGGCTAGCCTTGGTACTGACCCGCCCTGGACTGGATGAATGGTGTCCGTCACAGGGTGTTATCCAAGGCTGAACAAGCTGAATTTAGGGAACTGTACGGTGAACTGTATCTGGGCCACTGGAGATCCCCCCTGAAGGGAATGGATCAGATCCATCACCACTGTCTGTCACCCAGAGGCAGGAAATGAACGGATGGATATTGGAGGAGGGGAGCACAGGTCCTCCCTGGGACTGCAAGTTCACTGGACTCTAGTTCTAAGTCCCTGGGAGTGCCCGTTGGCCGAAGGGGTTGAGTTGTTCCTGCCATTGGGAAACCTGTGAGGATTATGAAGGAAGATTTTGGCTTGTGAGCTTTCAGAGTGGCGCATTCTAGGGTCAGCTGGGACCCACTTTGTTTTCTGTTACCCCAAGCCTTCAGAGAAAGAGCCAAAAACCATGGCCCAACCTGAGGTACTCAGTGGAATGAGGGAGGGCAGGAGGCCCTCCCCAGGGCTGGAGTAGCTGGGTGCTGGACATGGGCCCATCAGAGTGGCTGTCGTGCCACCAGTGGCATGCCTAGCCTTCAGGATAAGAAGCCTACACAGAAAGATGAATAAAGGGACTGGTTCCCAGGGACACTCTATGGTTTTCAGGGGCCTAGGTTCCTGGCAATTCACAGTGATAACTGAGAGGACACTTTGAGGGGGATTCCCTTCTGGAAAGGAGGACAGTGGCAGCTCATCTTGTGTTAGTCTGAGTATAAAAAGGATGAGTTATTTCATTTTGTCATCACAAAATGGTTAAGTATGGCTTGGGTTCTGATGGTTACTGTGGTGTCTTCTTTGTGACTTAAAATGTACTAAAATCAGGAGATCACCTAGAAAAGGCACACAAGAAATATTTATTCTTTTTTTCCCTTTCTCCAAATTCAGATAGATCTCCTTTTCTGAGATTGAGGAGTAGAACCAAAAGGTCTCTATCCAAAGGAATGTAAGATAGTTATAAGATAGTTATATCAAGATAAATAATTACTAACAGCCTAGCACACATATTAGAAAATTTATCACTTATATTTTTGTTGGTATTTCTCATCCCTGGAAATAAGATGCCCTTGCCTTGGGTTAGCCACTTGCAAAGGAAAGTGTGTTTGTGTGTCACAGAACGCTGTCTATTCACAGATCTTGCTTTTCACAGTAGAAAACCCGCTCCATCAACTAATTTTTTGTGTATGCCAATGCTTTTCATCAATAGAGAAGCGCTCAGTGGAATATTTAGCCTGAGGACGAAAATATAAACAGAACGTTCTGCCACAAAAGATATACACCTTCTCAGAGGCCAGGGAAATAAGGAAGATGATCTTCTATATCCCTCCCTTTTCCATAACTCCATGAACCTAGTGCTGATTTTGTAGCATCTCTGCTTAATTCTGATTTCATGCAGTTTTACAAGGTCAGGTGTCAATCAGTAGCAGCCAGAAACCAAATTTGCTTGAAATCAGGCCTTCAACCTAGAGGCACACATCTATCTATTTCCCCTTGCATTTCCTCAATTTCAACAAAATTTTGTCCAGATCTCAAGTTCTGTTATATTTATCCCTACATGATAGTAAGGTTTATTCAAAGTGAGCTACAGTTTTCTAATAGATTCTTTTTTAGCCATTTCGGGGTGAGCTTTTCGTAATACAGGAATAATAAAGCCAGCTTGTTTAACAAGTTTCATAAACTGGATACATAGGTTGATTCCATTTTTGTCTTTATTAGTTTCATGGCTTTCTTGAGGTATAAGTGACATAGAATAAACTGCACTTATTTTAAAAGTATAATTTAATAAAATGTAAGATATGTATATACCCATGAAACCACCATTACAGCCAAGATAATGAACATATTCATCACCCCCAAAGTTTCCTCAGATCACCCCATTTTTAACTAAGGAGAATATATCCACAAGCTCCTATTAGACTCTCTGCCTCAGAAAGTCAAATTGCTGAGAAACCTATTTCTGAGCCTTATTTGGCTTTTATTTACACAAGTTGAATAGATAAACATAATTCGTTGACAATGCATTCATAAACGAGGATACGTGAAATCTGTCTTCCAATTGCATCTTAAAAGAACATATTTTCATAGTAAAGTCTATTTGTCCCGGGAAGCATTAGACTATTTGAAAGATGGAAATGGAAAAGTGAGCGATCATACTTAGAAAAGTCGCTGGTTTTTATCTCTTACAGGTCTGCAAATTTCTCAGAAGCTAAGCTTGAGAAAAACTACAGATTCCCGACATGAGTATTGTAGCCTCCACCCTCCCTTAGTCTCAGTGACAGAAGTGAAGCCCAAACCTCAGTTTTTACTCTGGGGAAGCACATTTTATAACTGGTCTCTAATTAAATGTTATTTAATAATTGCTTAATAAAAATTCTAACATTCCAGATAAAGTCATGGCAGCAGCACTATTAGTACTATGGTACAAAGATTTTCCCTTCTATGGTGTCTGCAGCAGCTGGATTCCTCAGTTCCCAGTTCTGCTGCTTACTAACTGTGAGAGCCCATGGCTAAGACATTGAACAGCTCCAACACTCAGTTTCCTCATCTATTAAATGGGACTAATGATAACAATAAGGCTTCCATGAAGATGAGATCGTAGGCACTCCTTTAATGTTCACTGCCATTATTGTACCTGCATTGCCTTTTCTAGTCATACTATGGGCTAGAAGTGAGAGAGAAAAGCCTCAAATTTCAGTGTTACTGACATTCTGGAGCAAGTATTTAATACACATTAATCTTTAGTGGAGCTAGCTGTCTTCTTATGCATCCGGACATCTGCCTACAGCCAAGTGGTATGTACCCTTCCAGCTCATTTTAATTTGGGACGAGAAGAAAGGACACTCATCTGCCAAAGAGGAAAGTTCCTTCACAACCTTAGCTTTTGAAGCTTACGAGAAGGAGCCGGTTGTGGAAGTGGCCCCACCCTCCATTGGAAGGCGTCTGTTCTGGACACTTGAGTTCTCCTGCAAGACCCCAGAAAAGCAGTTTTCTAACTACCTTTGAAATGTCCCCATGGGGGCCAGTGCATCCTCTGTAGATAGCCCTGAAAAAATAGAAAAGCCTCCCAGTTGGAGCAGCTCTCTTGAAATGCTTTTTCACATTGTATATTATACTGGTAAAAAGTTTAATCCATCTTAGTTCCTGGAATTTATCCTAAGGAAATCATTCAGAAAGAAACAACTGGCCTAGCACTGTGGCTCATGCCTGTAATCCCAGCACTTTGGGAAGCCAAGGCAGGAGGATCACTTGAAGTCAGGAGTTCAAGACCAGCCTGGGCAACATAGTGAAACCCCTGTCTCTTCAAAATAAAAATTTTAAAAGCTAGCTAGGCATAGTGGTGCATGCCTGTAATTCTAACCACTCAGGAGGCTGAGGAAGGAAGATCACTTGAGCCCAGGAGATTGAGGCTGCAGTGAGCTAGGATTGCACCACTGCATACCAGCCTGGGCAACAGAGTGAGACCCTGTCTATTTTTTTTTTTAAGACAGAGAGAGAGAAAGAAGCAGTGAAAAACAGCATACATTAGAAGGTATACCTCACATTGATGCTAATAGTAAAAAATTCTCAACAACCTCATGCAACATCTAAATTTTGGTACATTCATGGGCTGGAATATAAGGCAGGGATTTTAAATTATAAATGTAAAGACTACGTAGAAACAGAAGATGTTTCTGCTACAATATTTAGTAAAATAGTAGTTTGATTATTGCACATGCCATCTAACCTCATAAAAATAAATATAATATGACAAAGATGGAAAGAAATATGTAAAAAAAAACTATTTTTATGTTCCAGTAGGTGACTATTTTGGGAAAACTCTGAAACCGGGTTTTTCTCTGCTCTCACACCACCACCACAATTATCATCAACACAGAAAAAAGACTTCCGTGACCATTATAATGTCTGCAGGGTTTTCCCCACACACCAAGCAGCAGACCCCAGCTGGGTGTCCTCCAATTCAATTTTGACACTATCCACCTGGCCATAGTGTCAGATCCCACAGGTTGAGGTCTCAGTCCCCAGGACCAACTAGCTTCAAGTTGGGGCTCCCATGATCCCCTCTTGGGGTTTGATTAATTTGCTGGAGCGGCTTGCAGAACTGAAGGAAACAGGTTACTGGTTTAGCATAGAGGATATTAGGATACACATGAAGAAGTGAACAGGGTGAGGTATGGGAGAAGGGGTGTGGAGCTTCCATGACCTCCCTGCTCAAGCCAACCTCCTCCAGGAACCTCCACATGGTCAGCTATCTGGAAGCTCCCAAACTCTATCCTCTTGGGTTTTTATGGAGGCTTCATTACACAGGCATGATTGACAACTGTGTAGAAATGTGACTGGACAAAAAGCACATGATCTAAACCCAGCAGGCCTTGTCTGTTCAGACTTTTCTTGGCCTCTCTGTGTAGCATTCCTTCCTCTAGGGTATGGGGCTGGTCTCTCTCTGGAATGAGGGTCTTATGACCCACAATCAGATTAGAGTCCTGCCTTGGGCAGGTGAAAGGAAGGCAGGAGAAGATCAAAGAGAAAAAGATTTTGTTTCCTGAGGCCTGCTTCTGAGGCCTAAAGAGCCCCAGTATTATAACAAAAGACTGTAACAAGGATTATATGAGTTATGAGCTAGGAACCATGGACAAAAAGCAATATATATAATAATATCACAGTGAAATTTTTCTCTTATTTTCCAGATTTTCTGTATTGTTTTTATGTATTTTTTAATGGTAAAAATGATGGTTTGCCAGGTGGCTTTAAAAGAAATTATGAAGTCCAAGATGCTTTCTATAGGCAAGAAAGCTGTGTACTATTTTGTGGATTTTTTGCTTCCTCATTTAGCTAGGAGTGTGATGGATAACACACACAGAGTTTTCCTGTTAACTCAAGAGAATCCTTCACAGGAAGAATCTCAATTGTGAGAGATTCATAAGTGTAGACGGGGCAGTTAAATGGCAGCCAACTTGGCCCCTGGAAAAAGGGAAGCCTGGCAGATCTGGCTCTAGGCGTGAATGGAAGTCATTCTGCAGGGTGTAGTAAAAACAAAATGACTTTGGGGCATTACAGATCTGTGTTCAACTTTGTCACCTTGGGATAATCAATTCTGGTTCAGTTCAAGTCAGTTTACTTTTCTGACCCTCAATTTCTCCATTTGTAAATGGGAGTAACTATGATTATGACATCCTCCTCAGAAAGTCCCAGTGAGAATTTTAGTGAGTTCACTATACTAGTTGCTGGAGATAAAATGATGACTAAGACATCAGGCTCAAGAAGTGTACTGGGGAAGAGCATTATTAGCAAAGGGTGCAACATAGCAAAGGCAGAGAGGAGAGACATCCCATGCTGGGGGCAATTACTAACAGATCTGTATCAGGGCACAGCAGGGTGTAGCAAAAGTAGACAGGCAGGCAGGAGACAGACCCATAAATCCCATACCATTAAACTTTACCCTGCAGATAACAGAGCCACTGAAAGATTTTATGCAGAAGAGTGGTGATATGGTTTGGATTTGTGTCCCCGCCCAAATCTCATGTCTAATTGTAATCCCCAGTGTTGGAGGAGGGGCTGGTGGGAGGTGATTGGATCATAGGGGCAGATTTCCCCCTTGCTGTTCTGGTGACAGTGAATGAGTTCTCATGAGACCTGGTTGTTTAAAGGTGTGTGGCACCTTCCTCTTCTCTCTCTCTCTCCTGCTCTGCCATATGAAGATGTGCCTGCTTTCCTTTCACCTTCCACCATGATTGTAAGTTTCCTGAGGCCTCCCCAGCCATGCTTCCTGTATAGCCTGTGGTACGGTGAGTCAATTAAACCTCTTTTCTTCCTAAATTACCCAGTCTCAGGTAGTTTCTTATAGCAATGCCAGAGTGAACTAATGCAAGTGGAAATTTCTTTTTGCATTTTGTCTAGAACATGTACTAATGCAAGCGGAAATTTCTTTTTGCATTTTGTCTAGAACACTCTGGCAGCCCCATGAAGGATAAGGCTCAAGGAATAGAAATCAATTAAGAGGCCACTGGGTGCTCCAGTGAGATGATGGATCTAACAGATTCAAAACTGAGCCCTTGGCCAGGCGCAGTGACTCAGGCTCATAATCCCATCACGTTGGGAGGCCAAGGTGGAAGGATCGCTTGAGTCCAGGAGTTCAAGAGCAGCCTGGTGAGACCTCATCTCTACAAAAAATTTAGAAAAAAATAGCTGGGCATGATAGTGCACACCTGTGGTCCCAGCTACTTGGGAGGCTGAGGTGGAAGGATTGCTTCAGACCAGGAGGTTGGGGCTGCGATGAGTCATGTCTGCCCCACTGCACTCCAGCCTAGGCAATAGAGGGAGACCCTGTCTCAAAAACAAAAAACAAACAAAAACCCTGAGTCCTTAATCTCCTCCCTGTCCCTTCCCACTGCAAACCTAGTCCTCACGCAGCCTTCCCCACCTTGGTGGCAGTGATAGCCTTCCAGCCACTCCCTGTCTACTTATCTCTCATATCCTGCAGCCCTTCCCTCAGCAAATGCTCTGGTTGGTTCTACCTTCGGGTTATAGGCAGAATCCAGTGACTTCTTATCATTTCCACTATAAGCCAGCCTTATTTCTTGCCTGGGATGTGGAATAGCATTTTGTCCATTCTTCCTGTTTCTGCTTCTTTCTGTCTTCAGTTCACCTTCAACACAGTGGCCAGGGAGATCCTTTTAGGATTTGGCAGTCATGCCATTCCTCTACCCAAACTGCCCATCTTCCCCTTCACCCTCCTTGCTCCATTTTCTTCTGAGAACTGATCACCTGGTAGCACGGTAGGTACTGGGCAGATAAATATTTGTTAAAATAATGATTAGATGATTAGGGTCATGGTCTAAGGTAGTAGAAGAGGGAAACAGTGGGAGAAGACTTGTTAAGAATGACTTGGGAGGTGAAATTGACCAGATTCAGTAACTGATGGCATAGTTATAATGGGGAGTCAAGACGACCCCAGGTCCGTCACTGGGCACTGGGATGGGTTGGTGGTGTCATATCCTGGTCGAGGGAGCAAAGGCAGTGGAGCAGGGATGAGATATGGGACATCCTGGGTAAGGGGGCTCCGTGGACTGTTCAAATGCAGACATCTGGGTACAGAGGTCACAAGGGCTCCCTCTGCCCAGCCAGACTTCCCCTTGCCTGGTTTCCAGATGATGTCTGGAGAAAGGCAAACCCCAGATCAAAAACTAGGGTACCTAAGAATGCCCAAAGCCTACTATAAGGTTGTCATTACTTTTAATGATAAAAACCGCAATTTACTTCTGCATCAACCTAATAATTAAAAGTCCAGATTTCCCACCCTGCTGATTCTGATTCTGTAAGAGCTGCAGGGAGCCTAAGAATCTTCATTTTAACTAGGGCCCAGGGGATTCCGATGCAGATAATCCGCAGGCCTCACTTTGAGAAACACTGACCTCAATCTATCTCACTTTGGTCCCATTGATTACGTCTAGCTGTCTGAAAAACATATTTACATTCCTATCATTTTGTTAAGTCAGGACATTGTCAGGTGGAAACACTGACACTGATTAACATGTAAACTGTATTCCTTGCATGTATTTGATAAAGAATTTTATAACATTATCTGTCATAATTATAGAATGCAATGGCATGTTCCAGTGAGTTACACATAATTACATTAAAGCAGTATTTAGGGCAATTATATTGTTTGTTGAACTGTAATTTCATTAAGTGCAGAAACCTATAATGGATTAAATTCAGAAACACTAAGTTTTACAGTGGCTCCCCTTGAAAATATTAAGGAGATATGGGGTTTGTATTGTTCTGCCAAGTCCCAGTTAGGGCCTGAACACAATAGGGAATGAGATGCAATTTGCCTTGCACAACCCTTTTGGTTTTGTCTCACCCCCTCCCCCAACTCTATACCTTACACCTCCCCTTCTGTCACCATCAGTCACGAGCTCCAGTCTCCCTGGGCCTAAACCCCCCACCTCCCAGACACCCACAGACTCTCTCTGCCACACTCTTCATTCGAAGAAAAATACAGTATCTCATTCTCTCAGAGACTCAGAGGTCAAATTTTGGTGTGTGTGTTTTTTTTTTTTTTTAAATAGATTCATAGCAAGTGAAACATTCCAGATGTTAAAAGCGTGGACAGTGAGGTCCATGGACCGGCAGGATCAGCAGCCCCAGAAGCTCCTTGGACCTGCAAGACCCTCCGGCCCCACCACAGCCCTACTGAACCAGGATCAGACTTTAAAAAAGAATCCAATGCCAGTTTGAGAAGCCCAACTCAAAAATCTAGACCAACAACCTGGTCTACCTTCCTGGTGAGGAAACCAAGCCCCAAAGCTCCCTGGCCTAGGGTCCCACAGCTGGTGGTTAGCAGAATCATGTCAGAGCAAGAATAAAGGTTTTACTATTTTACAAACTATTGTACTTTACTAATAGCTACACTTGGGCACCAAACTATGTGCTTTACATACATTATCTCTTTTAAGCCACTCAATAGCCCTACAAGGAAGCTAGCTATTCATGTTCTCACTTTGGAAAGCAAAAACCAAAAGTCAGAAATGGAAATTTATTTGAGGTTATAGTTAACCGAGTTTCAATACCAGATCTTTTCAACTCCAACATCTATGTTCCCAAAGCAGTGCTTCTTATTTCTAACCCATGTGAAAACAAGTGGTTGGAATGTCAAGCTCATGAATCATTTCTCTGCCTTCAGAATCTATGCATGGCCCTCCCAGCCCAGGGCCAGAGGGCTAAAAAGCTTTTTCTCCTGAAGGTGAACTGCTACCTCTTCTTACACCCACCGCTCTATTATTTTCCAAATAATTTACATTATTTCATCACATTGCTAAGCCTTCACTGGGCTGAGATGCAGATGCTCCAGTTATCTTCAGACTGATTCAGCTGCAACTTCCATGTGAATACAGAGTTCCATCTTAGGACCAATGGGAGCCCCGTGCACCCTTCACTTTCCTACTACCCAAAGTAGTAGGTGTGGGGACGCTGCAGAGAGATTGAGATCTGCAGTTGAACATAATTCCACATCTGTCTTAGTTCATTCAGGCTGCTGTAACAAAATACCATAAACCACATCCCTATGGCTTATAAGCAACAGATATTTATTTCTTATAGTTCTGAAGCCTGGGAAGTCCAAGATCAAGGCACCAGCAGATTTGGTGTCTGGTGAGGACCCATTTTCTTTTTTTTTTTTTTTTTTTTTTTTTTTTTTTTGAGACGTAGTCTCGCTCTGTCGCCCAGGCTGGAGTGCAGTGGCGCGATCTCGGCTCACTGCAAGCTCCGCCTCCCGGGTTCACGCCATTCTCCTGCCTCAGCCTCCCGAGTAGCTAGGACTACAGGCGCCCGCTACCACGCCCGGCTAATTTTTTGTATTTTTAGTAGAGACGGGGTTTCACCGTGTTAGCCAGGATGGTCTCGATCTCCTGACCTCGTGATCCGCCCGCCTCGGCCTCCCAAAGTGCTGGGATTACAGGTGTGAGCCACCACGCCCGGCCGAGGACCCATTTTCTTGTTCATATAGATGCCTTTGCACTGTGTCCTCACATAGTAAAAGGAGTGAGGTCACTCTCTTGGGTCTCTTTTATAATGGTGCTAATCCCATTCATGAGAGCTCCATCCTCATGACCTTATCTCCCAAAGATCCCACCTCCTAATACTATCACCTTGGGGGTTAGGATTTCAACACATGAATTTTGGAGAGATAATTTTTTTTTTTTTTTGAGGCAGAGTTTTACTCTGTTGCCCAAGCTAGAGTGTAATGGCGCAATCTCGCCTCACTGCAACCTCTGCCTCCTGGGTTCAAGTGATTCTCCTGCCTCAGCCTCCCAAGTAGCTGGGATTACACGTGCTCACCACCACACCTGGCTAATTTTGTATTTTTAGTAAGGATGGGGTTTAACCATGTTGGGCAGGCTGGTCTCAAACTCCTGACCTTGGATGATCCACCAGCCTCAGCCACCCAAAGTGTTGGGATTACAGGCATGGGCCACCACACCCGACTTGGAGAGATACAAATAAATTCAGATCATAGCACCTTCCATGTCGCTTTGGCAATGGGTTCTCCCATCCACATTTCCTTGCTGGAATTCCTTGAAACAATCAGCACAACTTCTTCTTGAATGGGCAGTCTTAGTTTCTGTTTTTATACTGAACTACTTAACTCCTTTCTTTCCCGTGTGTTATTAGTCAAGGAAAGAGAAAGAGAACCAATAGGAAGGATGGATAGATAGGTGATAGGTACATATATACAAACAGAGGAGATCTATTAGAAGAATTAGCTTATGTGGTTATGGGGGCTGAGAAGTCCCATGACAGGCTGTCTGCAAACTGGAGAAGTAGGGAAGCCAGTAGTGTAGCTCAATCCAAGTGCAAAGGCCTGAGAATCAAGGAAGCCAATGGTGTTGGTCTGAGGCTGAAGACCTGAGAACCTGGGGGTGCTGCTTGTGCAAGTCCCAGAGACCAAAAGCTGGACAACCTGGGGTTCTGATGTCCAAGGACAGAAGAAGAAGGAAGTTCCAACTCCAGGAGAGTGAATTTGTCTTTCCCCTTTCTTTTTGTTCTGTCTGGGCCCTCAGCCAATTGGAAGGTTCCCATCGTCGTTGGGTGAGGCAGATCTTTCTATTCAGCCCACTGATTCAAATGCAAATTTCTTCTGGAAACACCCTCATAGGCATACCCAGAAATAATGCTTCACCAGCCATCTGGACATCCCTTAGCCCACTCAGGTTGACACACATCCCTCAGCATTCTACATCAGCTTTGGTTAAAATTTCTGATACCAAAGGGCCTATGGTTTCTAGCTTCACCTTTTCTCCCCACTATAAGTCTTCTTTATGGTTCTATTTCTTGGTAATCTGAACTCATTCACATTCTTAATCTCATGTAAAGCAATACTTAAGAACTAGCAACTTCAGGTTCCATAATTGCACAGCTTCTGCTCCTGTGAATCTGAGGCCAGCAAACTTGACGAATAAACTAAAATAAAAAACAGAAAGAAAAAACATTCAGTTCCTTCAAATAATCTCCAGATTCAAGAACTGAGTTTGAGGGTCAAGCGCAGTGGCTCATGCCTATAATCCCAGCACTTTGGGAGGCTGAGGTGGGTGGATCACTTGATGTCAGGAGTTCGAGACCAGCCTGGCCAACATGGCAAAACCCCATGTCCACTAAAAATACAAAAATTAGCCAGGCCTGGTGGCACATGCCCATAATTCCAGCTACTCAGGAGGCTGAGGCAGGAGAATCTCTTGAACCCGGGAGGCAGAGGTTGCAGTGAACCGAGATCATGCCACTGCACTCCAGCCGGGACGACAGAGTGAGACTTTGTCTTTAAAAAAAAAAAAAAAAGAACTGAGCTTGAACTCCTGAATAATCCATAATATTCTGCAACCTAGCCTACTATTTTTTATCTACTATTAACCTTTGCCTTCCTCTGGGCATTTTTTTTTTCCCACAGTAATTTTTTTTTTTTTTTCAGATGGAGTCTTACTCTATTGCCCAGGCTAGAGTGCAGTGGTGCAATCTCAGCTCACAGCAACCTCCGCCTCCCAGGTTCAAGCAATTCTCCTGTCTCAGCCTCCCAAGTAGCTGGGACTACAGGCACACGCTACCATGCCCGGCTAATTTTTGTATTTTTAGTAGAGATGGGGTTTTACCGCATTGGTCAGGCTGGTCTCGAACTCCTGACCTCAGGTGATCCACCCACCTCAGCCTTTCAGAATAAATATTTAATTCGATGTAGTTTACATGAAACAGTTACTGGAGATAAATGAAGTGAGAAAAATATGAGGGTAATTAGAGGGGCCAACCAACAGTAAATGTTTGCTGTTCGTTATTTCAGAAAATACTTGTGTAAGTACCCATGTCGCCCCTCCAACTCTTAGTGTGACTCCTTCCCAGGCTTGAGCTATTTTGCTTGTCCCTCTGCCTTCCTTCAAATGCCCTGTGCCACTGTTCAAATGCAGGCCTTAAAACATATTTCTTAATTATAGATAATAGTTGATTGTAAACATAACAAGAGATTTCTTTGTTGTTTGTGATATACTTAAGCATATAGAGAAGAATTACCTAATTTATACTGTGTCTGCAAGGTACCAAAGCAGGTAAAATATAAAACAGTCAAGTTGATCACTTAGTGTTGCATAGATGCACAATAGGTTATTTAGCTGAATTCAACTCTTCTTTTTTTATCTATAACTTATCTGAGTGAAAAAGATAGTAGTCTAGTGATGTTTTCCAGAGTAAAGGTGACACCACATGATGGAAAGCTCAGCTTTTTTAGCCTTGGCATTTATTTATTTATTTTTATTTTTATTTTTTTTCCTTTGAGACAGGGTCTCACTCCATCACCTACGCTGGAATGCAGTGGTGCAGTCACAGCTCACTGCAGCCTCAATCTCCAGGGCTCAAGTGATCCTCCAACCTGAGCCTCCTGAGTATCTGGGACTACAGGTGCGTGCCACCATAGTTGGCCAAATTTTTTTATTTTTTTGTAGAGACAGTGTCTTGCTATGTTGCCCAGGCTGGTCTTGAACTCCTGGGCTCAAGTGATCCACCCATCTCTCTCTCCCAAAGTGCTGGGATTACAGGTGTGAACCACTGCACCCAGCCTAGCCTTGGCTTTTCACAGGGAGTGGCAACTCCTCCTCCCAGAGCAGAGCTACTCCAAAGATTTCTGCTGCTTCCAATGTAGATTTTCAATGATTTCAGATCTACATAAGAACGTAGTTACTGTTTAGGAGAAGCCAGCTTTCATGGAGGAAACTGTATTTGTGATCCTGATGATTTTCCTTGAACAGGCCAAGTCTCGCCACATGGCATCATTTCCTCCTCACCTGCAGAATCGCTGTGACTTATGGCTCCTCTGATTGCACCTGCTTTCACCAGCAGCCCTGGAAGAGAGCTCTTCTGTGTGGATAAGAGTTGAGAGATCTTGGTTTCATTACTTGTTTAAATTGGACCCTCTCAAATGAATGTAAGCACATAATGGGGGGACTACACTATGAGATTAAAAGGAATCCAGCTGTTACCAGAAATGGGTGCCTGCCAGGTTTATCCACCAAATTCTTTCCACTTCATGTCATTAAAATAAAATTTGAGTTTTAAAATGAAAATTTCTCAGATTGATATGAATTTGTCTCATTGATTTTATTAATATAGCCAGTTAACATAACAATTCTATCATACAAGGAAATGAGAATAATACAAAAGCAAAAATAAGGGTAGGGGCCGGGCACAGTGGTTCACACCTGTAATCTCAGCACTTTGGGAGGCCAAGGTGGGCAGATCACTTGCGGTCAGGAGTTCGAGACCACCCTGGCCAACATGGTGAAACCCCGTCTCTACTAAAAATACAACAACAAAAAAATTGGCCAGGCGTGGTGGCGGGCACCTGTAATCCCAGCTACTCAAGAGGCTGAGGCAGGAGAATCGCTTGAACTCGGGAAGTGTAGACTGCAGTAAGCCGAGATCACACCACTGCACTCCAGCTTGGGTGTCAGAGCAAGTCTCCATCTCAAAAAATAAATAAATAATAAAGGTAGGGGTTTCTTAATTCTTTTAGTCAGATATCCTCACATTAATCTGTAAAGGACAAAAAAATAAGACTTTAAACTCTTAATTTGAAAAGTTATCTCCATTTAAATCTCCTTTGCTTATTTTATTGACCACCTCCTTTGTGGATTTCATTTCCTATCCTTGATTTAAAAAAAGGTTAAGGGCCGGGCGTGGTGGCTCATGCCTGTAATCCCAGCACTTTGGGAGGCTGAGGCAGGTGGATCATGAGGTCAGGAGATCAAGACCATCCTGGCTAACACAGTGAAACCCCATCTCTACTAAAAATACAAAAAATTAGCCGGGCGTGGTGGCAGGCGCCTGTAGTCCCAGCTACTCGGGAGGCTGAGGCAGGAGAATGGCGTGAACACAGGAGGCAGAGCTTGCAGTGAGCCGAGATCACGCCTCTGCACTCCAGCCTGGGCGACAGAGCGAGACTCCTTCTCAAAAACAAAAAAAAAGAAAAGAAAAGAAAAAAGGTTAAAAGCCTCATATTTCAATAAACATATACTGGTTGGCTACATCAAGGCAGCCTGTATAAGTATTGCATTTAGACCCCACAAGGGCACTGTGAAGAAATGCGCTCAGGCTAACTCACTCAAGCAAGATCACAGTGCTCAAAAGTGCTGAGCAAGGATTAGAAGCTCTCTTTTCTCCTTCCAAGTTCACAGACTGTTCTATTAAATCTTTAAAACTTTTTTAAATACCCTGTAAATACACAGAACATACTTAGAAGACCATGAGTCTCCTTTGACTTGTGGTTCAGGGCCCAGTTGGGGGAAAGTAATACTATCTCCTGGAGATAACCTCTCTCTCTTGAGTCCCTATCACTTATGCCCATATAAATCTCTTCTGGATGCTTTAGTAAAGCAGTTAAAATAGCAGAGATTTTAGGGCTATTGCCTGGCATGGTCCAGCTGCCCACAGTCCCCCAATCAGTACTCAATGGGCTGAATTCCCACTTCACGTCCTCTGCTCAATCTTTCCCTATTTCATCAATAAATTGCCCTAACTCAGTTATACTAACATATAATATGAGAAAATGCCAACAGTTAATTAGGGATGAGCCTGTGAAAACTTGGGGGAAGCTACATGTTTCAATTATATTAATGAACACGTAAATGCAATCAAATCAAATGGATAAGCATTGTGTCAAGTTTTTGCAAGAAGAGAATTGCATTTCACATGCATGAAAGCAACTCTCTTGTAACTTACAGAATACGACATTAAAAATAAGCACATAGGAGAACCATTAAAATACTTATTATTTGAGTTAAATTAGAATTCTATGAGGATAGTTTCATCAAATGATTTGTGTTATTTTAATTTCCTTTCACAATCAGATTCAAATTACTCTACCTACAGGTTACAATGGTTAAGCAGATGCTCCTTAAACATCAAATCTCATTTTTTGTAACATTCATCATGGATTTTTAAAAGTATCAAGTTGAAGCTAGCCACTAAATATCTTCTGATTTTTAAAGTTATCAATTCCTTCACATAATATTTCATAGATGTTGATCTTAAAGGAAAAGGGGAAAAAAAGGAAAGATCTCTCAGAGGCAAGAGCTTTATATCTCAAAATATTTTATGATTTAACAGCTGTCCTGGGAGTTGAAAAAGATGATGCTAGACTCAGCTAAAATTCAATACGTGTTCTGTAAAGTGTGCTAACTGCAGTGTGGAGTTCTGACACTCATAGTCCACATGCAATTCTAGTTTTTCAGCACTAAGAAATCACTCATGGAGAAGGAACTGCTTCGTGAATTCAATTTTATCATCCATCCATAAGTAGCTGTATTTCTTCAAGTAGCTTTGATACTTGTGAGCATTAATGGTGACTGATTGCACCCTGCTCGGGATTTCCTGGTGCATTTCCTCTGGCACATCCATCTGAGCCACGTTCTTTCCTAATAGAAAAATAAAATGGAAAAACATAAGTGGAGCCAATGATTTTTCTTTTAAAACCATGAAGAATTAGAGGTAGACTACTTCAAGCTAGACTACCGCCATCCAAAATCCAACCAGTACCCCATTAAGTTTGAGAGTTTATTTTATACAAGAGTTCTCAACGTGTTGTATGTTAACTAAGATTTGTAAAGATAATCACACTCTAAACACAATAGAGGATCTTGTTATTTAAGGGAATATATTGTGAATCACTTGGTAAAGTAGATAATTCTTTTGGAAAGTGAAAAATCACCAACTTACTTTATCCTTCACAGACTATGTTGGTTTTCTTAAGACCAGAAAAATAAGCAACTGAATCTCTTATAAGTAGAAAGTGGATTTTCTCACCATGAACATTCATGAACCAGCAGAATTAGACATCAACCAGTGATCAATAGAAAAGGTGAAGGTGAAGATTTCCCTCTGACAGCATCATCTCCTTACCACCTAAGGAGCTCAAGGAAGGCAGAAGAACCTCATTGCCACTGTTTCCAAAGACCTCTCTGATGTCTTTACTGTAAGCAACTCTGCCTTCAAGCAGCCAGGAGACTGATTTTACGAGGCAGATGAAGCCAAATGATAGGTGATTGCGTATGGGTGTGTTGGCCATGGGATCTTTGCCTTATAGTTCCTACTTCTTCTCTTGGCTAGATACATACCAAACCAACCAATGCCTATGGTCAATTTGTGTACTTTGGGTCTCCATTTTCTTGTTTGGTTCAACATTACGTCATCTTTATAAAATAAATTGAGAGAAAAAATTTATAAGAAAGACTTAAGTATGTTCCAAGAAAATATGCCATTTACCCTAGAGGTTGAAATATAATCAATTATTCAAAACTTGCATGCTATATATACAAGACACTGCCAGACTCTGGAGATTTAAAAAAAAAAAATAAGACCAGGTGTGGTGGCTCACACCTGTAATTCCAACAGTTTGGGATCCTGATGTGGGAGGATTGCTTGAGTCTGGGCAACACGGTGAGACCTCGTCCCCACGAAAAATAAAAAAATTGGCCGGGCGTGGTGGCTCACTCCTGTAATCCCAGCATTTTGGAAGGCTGAGGCAGATGGATCGCTTGAGCACAAGGAGTTCAAGACCAGCCTGGGAAACATGGCAAAACCCCATCTCTACTAAAAATACAAAAACTAGCAGGGCGTGGTGGGGTGTGCCTGTAGTTCCAGCTGCTTGGGAGGCTGAGGTGGGAGGATCACTTGAGCCTGGGAGGTGAAGGCTACAGTGAGCCAAGATTGCACCACTGTACTGCAGCCCTGGTGACAGAGTAAGACTGTCTCAAAAAAAAGAAAGAAAGAGAGAAAGAGTGAGAAAGAGAGAATGAAAGAAAAGAGAGAAAAAGAAAGAGAGAAAGAGAGAAAGGAAGAAAGGAAGAAAAGAAAGAAGAAAGAAAGAAAGAAAGAAAGAAGAAAGAAAGAAAGAAAGAAAGAAAGAAAGAAAGAAAGAAAGAAAGAAAGAAAGAGAGAGAGAAAGAGAGTTCCTGTTCCCCCATTCTGTGTTTTTCAAACATTTACTAATTTTTCAAAGTTCAGTGTAAAAGTCACCTCCTTAGTTGGACCTCAACAGCACCCTTCTTATTGTGATGATTGTGATGTGATGTGGCAGAAATGGGAAAGGGCTGGGATCCAGAAGGGAAGGGTTATAGTCTTGGGGTTCACTTCTTACTAGCATGACCCTAAGCGAATGGCCTCAACTTTCTGAGTCCTTTTCCTCTTCTATAAAATGGATTTAACCATCATTATTTCACAGGACCATTGTGAAGACAAAGTGAGATGAAGAATGAAAAACTATCCCTGGTACAGAAAATGTGAAATAAATATTTGTTCCACCTATTCTATAGCCCTTCATTGTTCTACTCACTCATAACTGTGAACTCCAGAAGAGCAGGAGCCACACTGTGTTCATCTTTATAGTCTGCACCTAATACTTAGGAGGTGTTTCAGTTAAAATTAGGTAAAGCTGCATTTGGCCAAAAACAAACTAACTAAGGAGACCTTAAATCCACAGTTTTTATCTCTCCCATAAAAATCTAGGGACTACTAAGAATCCAGGGCTGCTCAGACAGTTCCACAGATGAGTCAGGATCCCATACTCCTTCCAGCTTTATCGCCTGCCACCGTAAGGATGTGGCTCTCGTTAGCATTATCTAAGACGGCAGATGGGGCTCTAGGCAACATATCTGGATTCCAGGTAGTACAAAGAAGGAGAAGGGCAGGTCTCTCCCTGGAAAGACATTTCTGGAAGTTGTGCAACCACTTCTGCTTACATACCTTTGGCCGAAACTTGGTTGTATGGCTCCATCCAGCTGCATGGGAGGCTGGAAAGTGTAGTCTTCAGTCTGTGCCTCTGTATATCCAATTAATATTCAAAGTCCTGTTACTGAAGAAGAAGACAGAATTTGATGCTGCAGGGACCATGAATGGTATCTGCCCTATTACACACATGACTATGCTTTGGGAAGTTGGTTCTGGCAGGGATGTGGAGAAGGAATCAAGAGGCAAAAGCTGAAAGCCAGGAGGAGAGTTGGGACACTCCAGTAACACTGACAAACATAGGCTAGAGGAAGAGAGGAGCTCTTCCTCTCATTGAATGAGTACTGCATGCCAGACCCCGTGGGGTGCACATTACCCACACCGGCTCATTTGTCACTTCAACCTCTCAAAGCACACTGGAGTTCAGATTTTAGCAGAATATTTATTCCAACTTGGGATTGTTAGGTGACTTAAAATGGCCATCATTATATTTCACGATATTGTGGATTGGAAATATGGGCTGGGCTCAGCTGGGTGAGTCTTCTCTCCATATAGTGATGGTGTTCATCTATTGTGGGCTCACCTGGAGGATTCCAGGAGGCCTCACTGACGTGTCTGGCACCTTGGCAGGGCTGGCTAGGAGCCTGGGCTCAGCTGGGACTGTTGACCAGATTGCCTGCCCGTGGCCTCGCCAATGTGGTGGGCACAGAAGTCGGACTTCTTATATGGCAGCTCAAAGCTCCCAGAGAGAGCATCCTGAGAGACAGGAAGTTGGAAAGCTCAAGTTGTTTGTTTCTTGGAGGTCTGGGCCTCAAAACTGGTACAGCAACACTTCTGCCATATTCTATTGCTCAAAGCAGTCCCAAAGGCTGCCCAGATTCAAGGATGGGGGCAAAGACCCCGCTTCTCAATGGAAGGTAGGTACAAGTATTTGCAGCCATCTTGAATTCTCCACAGGTGACTTGCACTTAATCAGTATCCAGTAAGTGTTTGTTGAATGATTCACAGGTTTGGTTCAGTTCTAGATCCTGAAAAATAACATAAATGAGAAACACATCAAGTGTCTAGGAGTTTCTAGAACTTAACTCCTTTCTTTTGAAAAGGAGTTCAAAATACAGATTTAGGACACAGGATCTGACTGTACATTAGCAAAATAAAAGTGGAGTTTACTCCAAAACATGAAGGAAGAAAGTGAACGGCTATTCTTCTCCATTTCCTATACTGTAGCAACAGTTTGAATAGGTTGATTGCTTTTTGGTATTACCTGGGAATTTCTTCAAGATCCAAGCTGATTACTCCCTTCTGTCCTAGAGACAGGAAAACAGCCAAGGAAGAGTGAGTTACTGCCTAAATATAAGCTTCCTTGGCCAGTCTTGGGTGAAGGAGGTAAAAAGGCAGCAGCTGGAAAATGCCCCAGGGAGAGTCTCATTTTTTGAAAGAAAAGCAGTACCTGACAGGTGTCTTTTCCAAGGCGCCTAGCGACTCCCTTTACAAATGAGGCAGCGCTGAAGTCTTGATGAGACGTTCTCTCCTGCTAGTGACATTTTTATTGACAGCATGGCTCTAACAAGTTTGGAAAGTCATCTCATTGTCATTCAGGACGAGTGGGGCCCCAAAGAAAGGGATGGAGTTAGAGCTGGTCTTGAAGTTTTCCATCAGATGCTGGCTCTAACTGATACTGATATGAACACTTGAGCATCCTGGGCAACCCACATAAAACCAAATAATTGCAGTGACAACTCCCATTCATCAAAATGAGATGCGAGTAAGTTCTGCTTGTCCTGATAATGACTTGAAAATGATAAGTTAGTGAAAAAAGCACTTAGGAAGACTTTTCCTTTCCACCTCAGCTAATTGGCCACTTCGTTTGTAAGCGAGCCTTTGCTTTATTTTAAACTAGTTTTTCACTTCAGCTACTACAAGACCCTGCCTAGACTAGATAACCTTAAATCTTTTCTGGGTGAGGCTAGACTGCGCTAGCGTTAAGTTCCTTGAACATGAATTTCACACCCCTTCCATGCCATGCCTTCCAAGTCCTTTACAGGCCATGAAAGTAAATACAATCCAATCTTGTAAGAGAAATAAATGTGGGCTGAAAGGAACTTAGCCTGTGCATCTAATAAAAATCAATAACCTTTCCAGAAATATAATATATTGAATAATACGTCCGCTGTTTTCACCTGAATCTGTAAGGGACATTTCTGTGGTACCTCTACCAAAGGAAAATCAAGATCTAATGGTTTTTGCTTATTGAGTAAGAAAAGCATGAAAAGCTACTGCTTATGTTTACAGAGAAGAAGGGGCATTACAGGCCAATGTAGGAAGGACCAATGCAAATTTAGCAAGCCAGATAATAGCTGGGCGAATGTGACTTTTACCATAATGGCGGTGTTGCTCAAGCATGCTGCAGGCCTTGATTGGCTGACCTGTGAATAACCTTTTTTGACTGTGTAAACAGGGCAAATAAGTGACTTCACTGGCCCCAAATGAGTGATTAGAAGCAGTTATCCAGCCCATACTTATATTTATACAACTCCTTTGCGAAAAATCTCCAAGTTTGCCTTTTCTCTCTCACAGAGAGGTAACTTGACCTAAGTTCTGTCCTTGTGGTAAAGGGCGCAACCTGAAGGGACTTTCACCTGAACCAGCTGTACGCTGCTCAAATCCTTAGGAGTTAGTTAACTCAGACCATGAATTCTTTACCATCCAGGCAAGCAGACCCCCTAACACATTCCATCTCAAGAAAAAGAGGGCATTGCTCAATCAATGTGGCTCTCACAGAAGCAGCTCCATATTGCCCTTAGATTTCTGGACTTGGTTGTCCTGATCTCAGCTGTGTCCAGGTTTACAAGAGATTTTTCCACAGTGCATCAAAACCTGCCAAACCAGACTACGTTGTGTGGCATGGTGGGATGGCTAAGGGTGGGGATTTGGCACTGAATTGCATGGGATGGAGCCAGGCTCTGCTACTCCCTTGCCATTGTAACTTGGAGTAAGTTACTATCCTTTGTCTCTTACTTCTGCATCTGTAAAATGAGGAGCATAATGGTTGTGGGGATTATGAGAAAATAACATATAAATGGCTTTCTGTAGTATCTGCATATGGTAAGGGCTCAAGAAATATTAGCTATCATTATGATTTCAGTTGCCAGCTCATGATCTTCACTTTGGTTGCCAAAATGGGTGGGAATGGGAGTTCCTAATTGCAAGATGCTCTTTCACAGTCTAATTTCACTCAGTGACTAAATTCAGGCCCTGATATCAAAACAAAAATGTTTTCGTGGATGATAAACATGAAATATTCTTTTATCAACCACATTTTTTGCCCGTTGAAGTAGAAAATAATTCCTTACAAAAATAATTTTTTAAAAGCACATTAAAATCTGGTCGTAATAATAACCCACGTGCTCCTTCTGTCCCTACACTTCATAAAGAAAAGAAAAAAAAACAAAGAAAAAAGGAAAAAAGTGATGGGGGGTTCTCCCGAGTCATGTCCTGCACACCGGGCTGACACACGTGTTCCACCAAATCTGTGTCTACAACATGAAATGAGGTGCAGTTTAACAATCCCGCTGGCAGGCAGGCTAAACAGGTCTTAATTCATCAACATTCTTTGATTGGAGCTTGGATTGAATATAGATTAAAACTCATTACCCAGGCTGGTTCAGCTGTCCTCCAGCTTTTTGTTCTCACCTACATCTGTCAGAGAAAATGGTCCATATTTATGTCGTGGAGAATTTCTCGTTTAGGATATAAGCATGTCAAAACTTTGGGTATGTCAGGATCTTTCAAAATCTCTGCGTGTTACACTTCCTGGGGAACAGCTGAAAGCTACGCACTTTCACAGCCTGACTGCTTTTAACCCTTCACACTGAGAAGGTGATGTCTTGTTATAAAGCAGGAGAGATTTCTCACACTGTATGAGAAATATTTACCATCACCATCAGCCGCTGCTAGCCTTTAAGCTGCTCTGTGAAAAGTGTGAAGGAGGGGAGCCAGGGGAACCGAAATTCAGCTGCCAACCTCTGTAGCAGAAAAGATTTATCCCTTGGAAAATGTAGGCTATCACTGTAGAGAGCCACCTCTTAATGGCTTTCAACTCTGCAGAAATTGTTGTCAGGGAGACTGAAGCAGGTGCCTGTCATGCAGAGGCCATCTTGTCAGTTTGCTCGGCCAGAAAGAGGACTCGCTGCAAGTTTCTGGTTTCCACATCCCATTTATCCAGGCTCCATCATAATCGATATGCAATGGAACATACAAAAGACCTGATCTTGCCCATAATGATAGATTTGCAAAGTGGGCCAGACGAGCCTCACAATCAACTCTCAAAGAAAATGCAGACATCTCTCCCTGGAAGTGGGGTTGTTGGCACAAAATGCTGTGAATTGTTCCATAGTCTTAGGCTTCCTTTCTCTGAATCCCTATAGCACTCATTATCCGTAACACACAATTTAGCACTTGATTATATACTGTCTCGTATTGTTCTCTAATTGTTTCTCCACCCAGATAAGAGGTGGAGTTTCTTGAAGACATCATTTTTCCCCCTAACATGATTTCTATAATTGTCTGGAGCTGCTTCCCTTAAACCTCTGTCTAGTAATTTTTCTTCCATCATGGTATGGTCTTCAAATCCACTTAGATGAGGAGAAATAAAAACATCAGTCACCACCCCCAGAAAAACACAACTAATTGAAAAATAAAGAGCACCTGCATACATTATGCACACCCAATAATGTGTCACGTGGAGAAAATATCCTTACGGGTAAGAAATTCAGGGGACATTTGTTTCGACAGCCACTGAACATCTTAGCCTCATACTAGCACACACTTACAAAAGTCTCTTCACTCTTCTGTGTCTCCCTATCCTTTTCAACGGGGGAAAAAAGTTTTTAAAACAATGACAATGCAATATCCTGAGAGAGGGCTCCAACTTACCTCTGGATTGAAGTTAGCATCATATAATCCACACCCATTGCTCCAGGAATTGGTTGCTTGAATGCCATCTGCAGAAGCAATTAGCACTTCTTTTTCTAGAGGGAATATAATACAGCACCCCCTATCGTGGCAAAAACAACTATTTTCAAGTGCTTTTGGAAAACCAGATGATTTTTTTTACCCAGACATTTTGTGAAGGACAGAATCAGCTTCTTGATGAATTCCTTTTTGAGTCTTCAGGGTGGGTCCATCCTTCAGCCGCTCCTGGATGACATCTATGGCAGCCCTGGCAAGCTCTCCATGTGCCCTGAGGAAGCAGGCAGAGGGTGCTGGGCAGGAGACTCTCTTGTGTCTCTAAGGATCATTTCAGGTTCTCGCTAAGTTTCTCTGCAATGCACTCCTTAAAAAGGGGGAAATGGTTGAGTCACAAAATTCCTTGTAGTTCTCTGTTTTCACAAAGGATTTGTAGAGAGGCAGGCAGGTACCTCAAGAAGAATGCCCATCTCCCCGTCTTTTGGCAGAACCACACATTTAAGCGTAGCAGAAGAGTGAGGCTTTATACTATTTTCAAAACTCTTCAAAGAAAGGTAATTCCACAACCTCCTCCCAGTCCATGGTTCGCCAACTGGCCGCATGAAAAGATTACTCTACGTACTGCATGATTTGCGTTTCAACAACATGTGCTCAGGTTGCTCCGCTTGCCTCCCTCTCCCCTGGCAGGCAGGACCAGGTAAAGTGCAGAATGAAAAGGCAAGACCACTCGTTAAAAAAAACAAGTGTGAAGACTTCCAAGGTGGCAAGAACAGAGCATCAAGCCCAGGATGACCCCGTCCCAGGATGGCCCCATGTGACTGGCCTCAGGGGAGACCACAGATGGGTCTGGATCTGGCCCTTGCAAGCCCCTTTTAGCCCATCTCTATCGTACCATCTTTTCTTACTTCTTCATAGCATGATCTTGTTTTTGTTGTTGTCGTTTATTTGTAGCACTTGCCAGAAGACTCCTACCTGTGCCTGTCCTTTAATACATAGAATCTTCTTGCTTCAGCTCAAATCTTCTGGTTAAGAGAAGCAGACACCCCTCCATCTACTTTAAGAGGGCATGACCATGGGACCTGGGCTGGACCAAGACAATGCCTGGAACAGTAGCTTATGTGCTCTCTCTCTCTCTCTCTCTCTCCCCCTCTTTCTCTCTATCTGCCTCCACTTTTCCTTTGGCTGAAGCTCTATTCTGCTAACATCAGCCTTCAGATTACCCCGTTGCTTTCTCCTCATAACTTTGGCCTTCATACAGCCTCCTGGGTCCTGACTCTGTCCCACGACTTTTCAGCTGAAGATCCCACTGCTAGCACCTCGACTCAATATTCTTTAGTCCAAATTCCCAAGAGTGGTCCCAAGTGACCCAGCCATCTTCCTACACCAGATCACGGGTAGCTGACCAGGCCTATGGATTGGCTACCTTTGGATCAGATGTCATTCTTGCTCCAGCTAACTTTTTCTTGGAGGAGGGATCAGGTCATGTGATACATCACTTGACTGCCCAGGGCATATGAGCAGAGTAACTCTATTAAATAAATGAGTTTGTGGATGGGAAGGCATCTTACATGATTGCTTTACAGTGTTCAGTTCTCTCAATTCCCCCAGTGGGGTGGGCATTATCATTCTCATTCTGCAAGTATGGAGCTTGAGGACCGGAGACTTTATGCAATTTGCCCAAGTTCCCAGAGATGACAAGTGTTCGAGGCAGAAGTCGGGCATAGCTGAGACTGCAAAACCCCTACCCTGAAGCTGTCTCCAAAACTGAGAGGAACAAAACAGAAGGGACCTAAAATGCTTCTCACCTGCTCAAAACTCAGAACTAGACCTGCCCCTTCATACACAAATCCCAGAGGTGAGTGTATCAGTTTCCTAGGACAGCCATAACAAAGGAGCAAAGAGTGGGTGCTTAAATAACAGAAGTTTATCATCTCATGGTTCTAGAGACTGGAAATCCAACAGTGAGGTGCCGGCAGGGTTGTTCTGAGAGCTGTGAGGGAGAGTCTGTGCCAGGTCACTCTGCTCAACTTGTAGCTGGCCGTCTTCAGGCTCACAGGGTGAGCCTGTGTAGATATGTCTATGGTCTAAGTCCACATTTCTCATTTCCCTTTTTTTCTTTTCTTTTCTTTTTTTTTCTAAAGACACAGAGTCTCACTCTGTTTCCCAGGCTAGGATGCAGTGGCGTGATCTTGGCTGACTGTAACCTCTACCCCCGCAGGCTCAAGCAATCCTCCCACCTCAGGTTCCTGAATAGCTGGGACCATAGGCACACATCACCACGCCTGGCTAATTTTTGTATTTTTTGTAGAGATGGGGTTTCACCATGTTGCCCAGGTCTGGTTTCAAACTCCTGGGCTCAAGCAATCTGCCCAGCTCAGCCTCCCAAGGTGCTGGATTACAGGCATGAGCTACCACACCTGGCCCAAACGTCTCCTTTTTATAAAGACACTGTTGTATTGGCTTAAGGCCCACCCTAATAACCTCATCTTAACTTGAGTGCCTCTGTAAGTGCCCTATTTACAGAGGTCACACTCTACGTACTAGGGATTAGGGCTTCAACGTATGAATTTTGTGGGACACAATTCAGCCCATACCGTGAGACAATCAAAACACTCCTCACATTCCTGCTCAGTGATCCCACTTCTCATTCTTAGAATCAGGGCCAGGGAGGCAAGAGGCAGCAAAGGCACAGACACCTGCCAGCAGCCTTCCTCAGCACCTGAGTGCACAAGGGCTGCTCCTGCCTTCCCTCACAAGGCCCTCCTGCCAGCCTCATGCATCCAGCAAGCTCAGCCCCACCTAAGCTTTCTGTCTCTCCACCCAAGCCTGCTCCTCAGCCTCCACAGAAGGGCCTGGCAGAGCCAATGTCCAGCCACTTTTTCAGCCTTTTGATGCAGCTGCAGAGGCTCCACGTGCTTGGTTGTGCCATGGGATAGGCAGGACTCCCTTTTAACACATATAGCCTTCCCTGTTCAGTAGGACAAGCAGACTTAAACTGGGGTTCAGGAGACAGCCATGCATAAGGTGTGAATTGAGGATGTGCAGAGGTTTGAACTGAGTCTGGAATATATCAACCAGGGCATCTTCCCCCCCACATCAGTGGTACACAGAACAGGGATGCTGAGGGGAGAAGAGTCATTAAGACTTTGACATAGATTAGCTAGTGCTATGTTTTGAATGTGTGTCCCCTCCAAAATTCCTGTTGAAACTTAATCCCCATGGTGGTGGTATGAAGAGGCGGGGCCTTTGGGAAGTAATGCATGGAGCCCTCATGGATGAATTAATGCCCTTATCAAAGAAGCTTCAGAGAGAGTTTGCCTCTCTTGCTCTTCTACTCTTCTGCCATGTGAGGACACAGCATTTGTCTCCTCTGAAAAATGCAGCAACGAGGCACCATCATGGAAAAAGATACTGGCACCTCACCAGACACTGAGCCTGCCAGTCTGGATTTTGGACTTCCTAACCTCTGGATCTGTGAGAAATTAATTTCTATTCTGTATAAGTTGCCCAGCTTAAAGTATTTTATTATAGCAGCACAAAGACCACTAGTGTCACCTTTAATGGTTGACACAGGGTTTTAGACCTAAGGCTTGATTCAAATTCCAATTCTGCCACTGGTTGTATGGCCTTGGACACATTTTTAACCTCTCTGTTTCATCCTCTATATAATAGGCATGATTATAGCTACCATGCAGAATTATGACAAGGATTACATGAGGTGATATGTATAAAACATTAGTACTATACCAGGCAGTTAGTAAACATCCAAAAAGTGGTAAACACTATTGTTGTTATTATCATCATCACAGATTTTGCCTAGAACCTATCCATCTCCATAACAAGGTTATTTCTTGCCACTTCCTAAGTTAACTTGCTTTGGATTTGTAGAGAATGTCAATTAAATTTGAATAAGAAATCTAATAGATGAATTTGTAAGTCAATAGACAGTTAATCTATTAAGCAAAGATAATAATTCATATTTGGGAAACAATTACTGAGCATCTCCCATCTGCCAGGCATATTTTAAGATATTAGTAAAACATATTTCTTGTTTATTGCTGAATAATACTCCATTTTGCATGTGTGTGTGTGTGTGTGTGTGTGTGTGTGTGTGTGTGTACAATGCATTTTCTTACCTCTTCTTTATCCATTCAGCCATTGATGGACATTTAGGTTGTTTGTACAAACACTTTAGTTCACAAAATGCTTTCACATGTATTATCACATTTGGCTTTCACAAAGACTGGTATTGTCTCCATTTTACAAATGATAATATAGAGTCAAAAGGATTATATGACTCACCTAAAACTAAAGCCAAGAGTTTATATATAAAACTCCTGGGTTCAAGATATATATATATATATCTTCATATATATCATCTTAATGCTGGCACTACACATATATTTTCTATACAATATACACATATGTATATAAATATACATATACTACACCTATGTATTTATAAATAAAGTATACATACAAATGAATAAATATATAACCATATATATTTATATATTACTTTTATATAACCATTTATAATTTACATATTTATAAATACAAACATGCAAACATAGCACATACTCTACATATAAACATTTATTCATATGTTTATAAATATATGTATATATTAATATAATACTACATATTTTACATATATAATCTTAATGCTGGCAGTACAATTTCTTCTATAGCAGTAACCAGGAAAATAGTCTTGAGAAGTCTGCTGGGTGAGGGCAGGATGGAAGGAAGCAAGAAAAAAAGAGAAAATAAAGCTGTTCTGCATAAAAAACCAATAGCCACTTGCAGAAGAGATGACAGAATAGAGATAATAGCTAGGCAATATGAGCAAGCAGATAAAGGTTCTTCAGAAATAGGAATCTCTTTTAAAAATTAAAAATTTTAAAGATTTTTGGCAAACCTCCTCCAATTTCCTAAAATCTTTTTTTGTTTGTTTGTTTGAGACTGTGTCTTGCTCTATTGCCCAGGCTGGAGTGCACTGGCATGATCTTGGCTCACTGCAACCTCCCCTTCCAGGGCTCAAGTGATTCTCCTGCCTCAGCCTCCTGAGTAGCTGGGACCACAGGCACACGCCACCATTCCTGGCTAATATTTTTGGTATTTTTTGTAGAGACAGCGTTTCGCCACGTTACCCAGGCTGGTCTCGAAGTCCTGGGTTCAAGCCAGCAGCCCACCTCAGCCTCCCAAAGTGCTAGGATTACAGCCATGAGCCACCGTACCTGGCCCCTAAAACCTTTTGAAACATCTGCTACATACCTACAATTCTCCTGAGAGTGGGTTTTAGCAGAAATCCATGTAAAGAAACTGAAGCGTCACTTCAGAGTTGCTGTGGGACCTGATGAGATACTTGCCTAGCGAGCCCCAGAAGTGGATAGTTCAGCAGATTCGGGAGCTCAGACCAGAGGTACAAGGAAAGCAAACAATGCCCCAGGATGCCCAGAGGTCTGGTCAAGGCAGAGGTGTTTCCTGTACAGGGGAGGCCATTCAATACAATTTCATTTGAATTGCAGTAGACAGAGAATATGGCATCTAGATTATAAAGTAATTTGGTACTTTGAAGAAAGATTGGGTATAAATGGCCTTTTGACTGTTATTTGGGGAAGGTTTCCAGTTTGGAGCTTTATTGTCCAGAGATGGGGATAAGAATTGATAATTTGAACGAATAACTTCAGGCTACACTTCCAAAGAACTTTCAAAGCCCCAGAGTTTCATTGCAAGGGTAAGATTAGGCAGATGGCTCTCAGGACCAAGATAATTCTGGGCACTACTAAGTGGACAACTGCCCAGGAAATAACGAAGTGGCCAAATATGTTTTCAAATACAAACAAAAACAAAAACAAAAAAATGGAGCTGAAAGGACTAGAGCATTGGTTTTCAAGCTTCATTTTGCAATAGATTCCTTCGCTCAAAGAAAATCTTACACATTCCACACAGGGAACTGTTCTGGTTGAAGACATGATTCTGGAAATATGAAGTCCCCCTAACCAGAACCTGGGTAGCACTCTAAAACCCACATTTGGGGCCAGGGGTCAAATCAAAAAGAAAATTCATTTGTTTATGCTGTTTCGATTTTTAGTTACAACAGACGAGACAAATCCTCAAAATTACTGCCTCAATTAATCTGTGGTGGAAAAACATCGGAATGCAGAGCAGGTGGTGTTGATGGGGACTGACTAAGAAGGGGCCTGAGGAAACTTTCTAGGGTGATGGTAATATTCTATATCTTGATAGGAGTTCGGACTACATTTGCGAAAATGCAGCAAATATGTAGTTCAGACTTGTGTATTTCATAGATGTAAATGTTATATCCAATGGGGAAAAGTTATAAGCAAATATTGAACCCTCGCTGATAAGATGCACGTTGAAGTGTTTGCAGGGTTGTGTACAGAGGTCTGCAAGTTACTTTCAAATGCACCAAAAACAAAACAGGGTGGCTTGACAGAAGGAGGGATGGATAGACGGATAACGAGGTGACAACGTATAGTAAACTGTTAGCAGCAGAATCTAGGTGGTTGGGCATACAGCTTTCAACTTTGCTGTATCTTCAAATCTTTCTTAATAAAATGTTGGGGGAAAAGGATTCTTATCTTTTAGAGACACATATTGAAATACTTATGGATCAAATTACGCAGTATCTGGGATTTGCTTCAAAATAATGTGGGAGGAACAAGTGTGGGGGAGAATAGAGGAAATAAGATTGGCCAAGAATTTATAATTGAAAATGGTAATGGGGTACATGAGGACTCATTTTCCTCTCTCTACTTTCATGTATATGTTTGAAATTTCTGTAATAAAAAGTTTTTAGAAATGAAAAAATAACACTGTATTAGATATGACTTTTAAAGCTTCTTCCTAATTCTATTTTGCAAATATGAATACATAGTGTGTCAAAAAGTTTTTTAAAAAACAATAAACAGGCCAGATCCAACAGCTCACACCTAGAATGCCAGCATTTTGGGAGGTCGACGCAGGAGGATCACTTGAGCCCAGGAGTTTGAGGCTGCAGTGAGCTATGATCATGCTACTGCACTCTGCCTTGGGCAACAGAGTGAGACCCCATTCCTAAAAGAAAAGAAGCAATAAACAATACATTTTTGCCTATGATGACGGGCTCTCATTTAGAAGACCAATGTAGCAATTATGCTTTCATCAAATTTATTTGACTAAAACTATGTTTAAAATGGAGAAGGCCCAGTTTCTATTCTAAAAAGGTTTCTCACTATGAAGCATCAGTGAGGAAATTCAAGTTATTAAATTGTATCTGACTCTGGTTCCTGACATGGGCTCCCCATAATAAGAGAATAAGAAGCCTACAACTCTAGGTGTGGCTGCCCTACCCAGTTTACAGCGCACATCCTCCGCACCACCCACCTTCGTTAATGCAACCAAATGCCAAGGAGTTCAGGGCCAGTCCCTGCACAGGAGCCTAGGGTTTCTGTCTCTGGAGTCACTGCTCTTATTTGTTTCCATACTGCCTTTCTAGTAAAATGCTAGAACTCTCAAGCCAAAAAGAAAAAAAAAAAAAAACCACTTTTGAGATTCATGAAAATGGAATCTCTCCTATATGTTTCCTATGAAATAAAGCTTAATTCAAGGAAACACCCCCACATTCTGATGTTTAGCCAAACCACCTTGGGCTTTACAGTGGGGCCAGAAATATGACAAGATCTGGCAAGATCTTCTGTCCTTCCTGCTTGCCATCAAAAAGAAAAGCTCCCCCGCCCCAGCTCCTTCCTCTCTGTGCTCTCTCCCCACAACCCGGACTTTCTTATGGTGTTTCGAAACATGTCCTTAGGAACCTGGATAAAACCCAAACAATCAAGATTCTGGAAAACTGGAATGTTGTTTCTGAAAAATTTTAAACCTAGAAATAAATAAATCAGTGCCTATGTGTTTGGTTTGAGTTTTGGATGAAAGCCCAGAATGACTTTCCTTTGCACCTGAACTGGTTTGCCCATGCCTGTGCAAGAAAACCACCTGTCCCTCAGTGGAAATAGTCTTCGTTATTGTTCTGTGGGCTTTAAGCTTTTTGATATTTAATATTATTAAAGAGCACTCCTCTGAGGGCAAAAGATGTCCCTAGGCGACTTGACGGCTCAGTGGGCACTACGTGGGCATGCAGTGAGCTGGGTGTCTCTCCCTAAAGCCTCATCCTGGTAGGAGGGAGCCAGAGGGAAGCAAAAAAAGCCAGAGGGTTGTGAGAATCATCAGCATTACAAAATGGAGTCACTAATGTCCAATGCTGACAAAATGGAGCCAAGAGGCCATGAAGGAGCATCCCCATGCACATATGCCTATGACGGTAATGACACAAGGACTTCCTCTAAACCTCAATGTTCTAGGTAAGCCGCCTGCACAGCACACTTGCCTGCCACAGCTGTTGCCAATGCCTGCAGTAAGCCCCTGTAACCCATGGTTGTTGTTGCTGTTGTCTTTTCAAAACAGCTAATGTGGACTTCCCTTTGTCTTTAAGCTTCCCCTTGCCCCAACCCCTTTGGATGTGCCTATGGTTCACCATCGTGTATATCCCATATTGCAATCCCCTCCTGTTCCCAAATAGACTCTTGGCTTCAGAGAGTCCGTCTCTGTGTCACTCATTTTAGGTTGACAAGGCAGTGTGGCAGCTGTCAGTGACCATGGGGAGGTGATGAAGCTTGCAGCTGCTGGTACTGCAGATGGCTCAGGGAAAGGTTTCCAGAGCTAGGCTGCCTCGGGTTAGGAACTAAGCTTCTCCATGTTGCAGCTCAATGACCTTAAGTAAGTGACCTGGGCCTCAGTTTCTCCATTTCTAAAGTGAGGATAATCATAGCTCATATGGATCAAGCACCTTCCCCTAGCCCAGCCCTGTTCTGAGAGCCCTGTAATTCATCTTTATGACAACCATATAAGTAGATGTATGACTATCCCCACTTAAACGAGCTAAAGGAGTTCCTGAAAGTCACACAGCTGGTAAGTGTTGGAGCCAAGCAATCAGACTCCAGAGCCTGCTCGCTTAACCATCAGGCTCCCTCACCTGCCTTTCAAGACCACTGCATAATCATGATCATCCATAACACCCTCTGGGCCTAAAAAGGTATAAAGCAACCGTGGAAGGAGCAGGCCTTGTTCCCCTAAGATTGCAGCAAGGGTGAGCAACTTGCCCCTGACTAACTTAGACACTAACCAACTAAGAAAAGAGGACCAGGCACTGGAGTAGATGAAGGCATGGCCAGATCCAGGTAGGACGCCTGCAGGGAGCCCACACGAAGTGCTTTCCACAGGGAGCCCAGTGATTGTCCAGAAAAATGATGCAATCTGGGAAGACACAGTAACCAAAAAGTACTCAGAAGCTAAGAAACTTGGTTCAGTGCTGTGATATTGTGAAATACATATTTGGTCTTCATCTCCAGAGTGTCTTTTGTATGCCAACGAGACGACTGATGGGGACTGGCTGCCAGATAAACCAACAATGTGTTTAGAGAGTTGGAAATTTCAGTCCCACCCCCTAGCCCCAGCCCACCACCAGGGAGGGGAGTGGGCTGAAGGTTGAACTGATCACCAATGGTCAGTGATAATATCCACCCTGCCTGTGCAATGAAGCCTCCAAAAATCCTATTGGACTGGGTTCAGAGACCTTCCAGATAGTGGAACAAATGGAGGTTCCTGGAGGGTGGTGGGCCCTAGGAGGGCAGGGATGCTCTGCACCCCTTCTCCCATACCTCGCCCTATGCATCTCTTTATCTGGCTGTCCATCTGCATTCTTTGTAACATCCTTTATAATAAATGGGTAAATGGAAAGAAAAGTGTTTCCCTGAGTTCTGTGAGCCACTCTAGCAAATTAATTGAACCCAAGGAAGGGGTAGTGGGAGCTCCGATTTGTATAGGGGACACCTGGGGCTTTGCAATTGGTGCATCTGAAGACTGCACCCGTCTTGTGTGAACCTGTGAGATCTAACACTGCCTGCAGGTAGATAGTGTCGGAATTGAATTGAATTAGAGGACACGCAGCTGGTGTCTGCTGGAGAATTGCTGGGTGTAGGGGAAAGCCCACACATCTGTTGTCAGAAGTGTTGTATTGAATGACTGTGTAAGAGAGGAGAATAGGAAAAAAACACTTTGGTTTTTGGGGTTTTTTTTTTTCCTATATCCCTTAGAAGCATCCAACCCAGAGAAGGCTGGACAGAACAAACAACACAGGCAAAACCCAGAGGAACTGCTGCAATGCCACCTGGCTGAAAGGTTTAGAGAAAGGAGAATTAGAAGTCCAGGCCCATTTGCATCTCAGGCTAAAATTCAGGACAGTGCTCAACTGCTATTTCTTGAGTCTGTTCCTATCCAAATATTTGTAACTTGTGCAACAAGTTAACAAGTCCCTAGAGAGACTAACAGTAAAAAGCCCTTAAAAGTGAAAGATAGTGTGCATTTATTTTAGTGAAGGCAACAAAGTAGAGCCAATGGGAAAAGATGCAGCCGCTTTGAAGACAGCGCCGAGAGGGAGTATTTGGAAATCAGAGATACACAGGCCAACTCCCAAGGGCTTACAGAATGAAGGCAGAAATACATGGGAAGCCTATTGAGGCTGCTGAGAGGACCGAGGGGCATCTGGAGGGAGGGCAGTGTTCTCTGGCTCCATGTGACCCCTCAGTGACACCCACAGGCCTGGAAATGTCTGCAGAGGCCTCACATAGCAGAGCACTGTGAGCTGGCCATGTGCACACTGAGCAAGGGTCAGGGGTCGGGAGGGAGGTGGGAGGCTCTAAATAGTCTTTACTCTCCCCCCGTCCAGCATCTGTGAGTCAGCACAGTCAGCCTCTGATGAGTCTCTGTCCTTTCTCGGTCTCTGTTCCTCTGAGGGAGACATGAAGGAAAAGGGGAGGGTTTCTGTATCTCTTCAAGACTAAGAGGAGGTGGAAGTGGGGCCTGGTAGGAAGTGAGGGGAGGGGCCCAGGAGCTGGCTCTGGCAATGCTCCCTCAAAGGGCGATGAGGAAGAAATGGGAGCTGCAGGGGATGGGGTCCCCCCTGGCCACACTGCCAGGTGAGGTGAGACCCAAGACCCTCCCCCTCCAGCACCCAGAGCCTACTCCAGCAAATTCTCCTGTCAGCGCCTGGAGAGCTGGACTTGATGAGCACACACCCACCCCCCTCGGACCCTTCAACAGGAGGGACTTCAGAGACTGAGTCCTTGTTCAGGCCCATCCGCCTACTCCACATGGAAGCCAGGGTAACTAGACTGAGGAAAAGGTGGGGAGAGAAGGCGGCCCCACTGCAGCTAGTGGAACATAACGGTTGAAGACCTTTGAGGGGCTAGGTAGAGCCCCCTGGCTATGCCCGCAGCAGGCAGTAGGAGCCAGCCTCCGACTCTCATGACCTCCAGGGCACAGTGACAAGACAGGCTTGTCTTTGCTAATATTGATCACCTTGCAGGGCTGGGCTGCAGGACCAATTATTAAAAGATGCTGCTCCCACCAGATGAGGAAGATTCCAAACAAAAAGGAGGAGTGACATCAGAAAACTATCCTGCTGTACCTAAGCCACTGCTGGGGCTCAGAAAGCAATACATGGAGCACGGTGCTTTGAATACAGAGTACTCTGAACTAAAGAAGCAACCTTAGAACCAAGATCTTCCCAATCTTCTCTGGCCCTCATCTCCCGGCCCTCTGCCTCTCCCGAAGCACAGGGAGAACCTCTATCTGAGGTTCCCTTATCTGCGTAAGGGGTGCTCCTCCCAGATGAATGCAATTCCCTTAAGCCCTCTCCCTATGATCTCGTCACACAGGGAATATTAACTGTCAGGAAGATTAGAGTTGACAGCATGCCTGGAGTCCAGAAAAACTTTGTCCCAGGTTGCTATCTATTCTTTGGGCCCAGTCATCTCCCCTAAAAACCATTTGCTCTTCCTCTAAAAGTGCCCACAGCCCCCCTTTCCATCTGCCCTATGAAGAAGGGTATTTAAGCTTCTGAATCTCATGGGGCTCTTGGGTCCTCACTTTCCTGTGATGTCCCCGTGCATGTAATACATTTGTATACCTTTCCTCCTGTTGATCTGTGTGTTTTCAGTTTATTTCAGCAGACTCAATTATCAAACTTCCACAGGGAAAAGAGAAGGTTCTCTCACCCCTATACATGCATCAAAGTCAGCCTTTTGGCCTTCCCTTTATTTAGAAAAGGTCAAAAACAATGTTTTACAAAGAATAGTACTTATACCAAAGTTATATTCCAATATCTGGAACGAGGTATAAAGACAAGGACCAAATGAGATGAAATATAAAATATGTTGCGCATCTGAAGTGATTGTTTTTGTGTAATAAACACTAGTCATTTAAAATTGATTTGTAGATGATCATACGTGATTTCACATTCCCAAAACACCTATGATGCAAGAGAAACATTTTTAAAAAACCACACACATTGTCCATTTCTCTCTGTTACAAATGACTTGTTTGAGACCAATTTTCTTATAAACTATTGCTAGAATCAGAAGTAGAAATCTCAATGAGAGTTGGATAAGCCTTCCCAGAAACTGAGCAAAGATGGATCTATAAAAGCTAGTGTGCAAACACCGAGACTCATGCACAGGCAAAACAAAACAACCAATCAGCAAACACCAGGTGTTTACTCTGGACAAAGCAGAAAGCATCACCAGGGCAGCAATTGCCTTCTTGGGAAAAACAGTTCTGTCTTGACTCTATCCAGAAAACGTTCTTAATAATAAATACACATTTTCACATGTCTCCATATTAATAATGTGGTTCAAATAGATTAATATAAAAAATGCTACATGTTCAATAGAAATTTTTTTTCTAGAGACAGGGTCTTGCCATGTTGCCCCGGCTGGTCTCAAGGTCCTCAGCTGAAGCGACCCTCCCACCTGAGCCTCCCAAAGTGCTGGGATTACAGGTGTGAACCAGTGCACCCGGCCAGAAAGAATTTTTGAGGTTGACTGTATTTCTCCCACACCCATGAACAAAGCTCTGTGACCATTACTCTGCCTGAGAAAAGAAGCATATTATTTTCTGTATAAGAACATATGATCTTAGGCTAAGCTGAAAGCAAACTGAACTTTATCATAACAAAAGGCAACTGGCAATTTAGTGTAAAATTCAAGTACCTGAGTTTTGAAGTCAGAAAACCCTGCCTATGGACCCTCTTCTTCCTCCCTGGATGTGAGACGCTAGGCATATCTCTCTCCTTGCCTTAGCTGCCTCCCCTGTAAAGGGCTCTACCTCATAGAATTGCTATCAGAAATAAGGGAGATACTTGAAGCTAGCACTTAGAGATTCTCAGTGAGATACTCAGATTAAGCACAGGCACTTATCTCATTTCCCTTCTAAAAGAAATAAAACAGACATAAACTCAGGAGTTGTATGAGAGACAAGAAGATAATGGGCAAGAAGTATCAGCAAATTTTAGGGAGCTAGGAAGTGGATAGAGGAATAGTAACTGACTCATCAGAGTTTATTCAGAGAGATATGATAATGAGAAACAAGCTGAGTTGCTCCCTCAGAAGCCCAGAAAGACGTAGAGACTGAGGCTCCAGGGCCTAGGAGGACATGGAGCAGGAGCAGAATGAAAATGGGGGCTGAGTGAAAGGCTGAGGCAGGAGTGGACCTCAAGATTCCCTCCTGACCCCAAGCAGCCGCCAACTACCATTATCCCATCTCTTGAGATGATCAAAGCTAGAATCCCTAGAGACATTAACATAGAGAGGCATGAAGGAGGAGAGAGCCAGCTTTAGGGCCAACACGGGGCATCATGTGAACGGCTTCATGCTGAATGGCAGACCCAGGGCCATTCCCCGGCCCTGCCCTGAGAGGCTGACAGCCGGGCTATAGTGCTTCCTCCAAACCCAATCCCACCCCAACAAAAGACCAAAGACTCATTTTTAGAGAAACTGAACAACTTCAAAGAAACATCCCATATTTGGGTATCCCCCAACAAAAAAGCCAGCTAGCCATTCAATTGCTACAATAGGAGGGAAAAAGAACCAGCTGTCAAGCCTGTGCACTCACTCAGAGCCTCCGATCAGCTTTCTAGTGCCTCGCCTTTGACTATGAATGGAGAACCAAGGATCACCAGAAACCTTCAGGAATATGCGACCTGCAGCATAAACAACAGAGAACAAAACAAGGAAGTGGGAATAAAGGAATGAAAGGGCTAGAAACAAACCAGGGACCAAAAAAAAATTTAATCTTCAGGAATATAGAAGATAATGTAGCCATGAACCAAGAACAAGATACTATTTTTCTTTAAAGAAAAAACCAGCCAGGTGTGGTGGCTACACCTATAATCCCAGCACTTTGGGAGGCCAAGGCAGGTGGATCACAAGGTCAAGAGATCAAGGCCATCCTGGCAAACATGGTGAAACCCCATCTCTACTAAAAATACAAAAATTAGCTGGGCATGGTGGCACACGCCTGTAGTCCCAGATACTCAGGAGGCTGAGGCTAGAGAATCACTTGAAGCCAGGAAGCAGAGGTTGCAGTGAGCTGAGATCACACCACTGCACTCCAGCCTGGCAATAGAGTGAGACTCCGTCTCAAAAAAAAAAAAAAAAAAAAAAACCATTAGAGAATATAACACACGTTCTCTAGTTGGTATCAGCTACTGTTACTGTCATTTTTATTACCATGTGTTACCCCATATGGCTGCCCTACATAAAGACACCTTTTCTCAATTCTACTGCAGAAAGATTCATTCACTGTCTATCCTCCAACCCCTTGACCCCCTTGCTGTTTCTCAAGAAGCAAGCCAGCTTCCAGTCCTTTCCACTTGCTGTCCCTCTGCCTGGGCCACTGCATTATTGGATCTCCAGCAAGAGGTCTTCCTTGCCACTTAGTGACAGCAGGGCCTCCTACTCCCATCACTCTTCACTCCTTTCCCTCCTCTCCTCCACGGCACTATAGGAATTACAGGATTTCTTGATGGCCTTGTGTCACCTCCACCTCCCAGGAGAGCAGGCCCCAGCACTTAACATAAGGGCTCATATACAGTAGGCTGTCCGTAAATACTTGTTGAATGGAGAGACAGATAAATTTTAATTATGTCAGGGGGGAAAGGATGACTATAAATATTCAACAGAGCATATTAACCATTTTTTTCTCTCCTGGAGAGGTTAGAAGAGCCAGAGACAGTGAGGTTTCCACTGAAGTTGCTGCTTAAAATACAAATTATAGCTTGTCCTTCCATTAGTCTTCTGAGTTCTAGTGGAATAAAATATAAACACCAGCATCATTTACCATGAAGATAACTGGAAGTGCTGGGGACAAGTATATTTATAAAATGTGAAAATTGTTTTCTAAATTTAAAAAACTGACTTTAGGAAAGACATATATCCTGTATATGCAGGTCTTCCATTGGGCAGGAACTCAAATTCAGAATCTCCCAGTTTTTGAGTTTTTCCAAGGGGCAGGCTCATCAGGAAAGCCTTTATTTAGCAGCCTGGGAAAATATTCTTCTGTGCTTTTTCTTTTACAATAGCCACAGGCACAAACAAACAAAAAGCAACTCAATCCAAGGGTTTTTGAACAAACAGTTTCAAAAAAAAAGACAAAAACAAAATGAAAAAATAGTTTCAAATTCTTCAGACAAATCTTTTCATTCAAGCTGATGTTCACAATTACAGAATCTTCACACTTTGAAGTCCTCAAGTTCAAACTCATTTTACAGAGGAGAAATGTGAGGCCTAAGGAGGTCATTGTCCAAGTTTACAGAGACTGCCACGACCATCTGGGGTCTCCTGCCTCCCAGGCCTCCCACTCTTCCTGTTCTGTCCCTGGCTGGCAGGGGTTGGCTCTCCTCGGAGCTCCAGTCCCCCCTGGGTTGGGTGTTTAATAAGATCTGAAAGGAAGAGAACAGCACCCACCAGGGCCAAACGAGAAAGAGGGTCTGTCCTCAAGCAACTAACACTCCCAAGTGAGAGACAGACTGTGAGCTTGTACAGAAATAACATGATTTCCATTTCTGAGAAGCACTATGAAGAATAAAATAGGTTAATATTGCAAGAACAAGTGGAGTTGAAGGTGTGTGTAAAAAGCCTTCTCAGAGGAGGTGAGAATTGAGACCTGAGTGATGAGGAAGGGTCAGTTGTGGGAAGACTTAGAGGAAGAATGGTGAAGGCCTTGCAAGGAAACCAGCCAGGCTCATTCGGGGCCAGGAGAAAGCTGACGCCTAAGAGAGAAGATCTGAGATAAGATGGCGGCCCGGGCGGTGAATGGTTGAAGACGGCGAGAAGGATGTATCTTGGGAGTAGAACCAACAGGAATAACCAAAGGAGTAGATGTGGAGGTGAGAGAAAGAGAAGAATCAAATATAACCACTAGATTTGTGGATGGTGGTGCCACTCACCAAGATGGGCCATGCTTGGGGGAGAAAACCAACAGGTCCGTCTGGATGGGTTAAGTGTGTTTGTTAGCCATGGAGTAAGCCTCTGAGTTTACTTCCATGTTCTCGCTTTGTGCCCCTCTCCTTCCCTCCCTATGTTCAGCCATCTGGCCTTCTTTCAGTTCTTTAAACATGCAAAACTCATTCTTGCTTCTAAGCCCTCACACATGCCGTTCCCTGTACAAGAACACCTCACACCTTCATGACTTCTCCTTTTTATCCTTCAGGCCTCAGCTTAAATGTCCCTTCTTCAGAAAGGCCTTTTCAAGCTGTTTCAGAGTTAACTACGTTAAGTGGTAGGGCAGTAGATGAGTCTGTAGAGGCCGTTTGCCTACTTCACTAACAGAGACAGGGTGTGAGCATTGCTGTCCTAGGATTTGGTCCTCGTTGTATTGGGTGGTGATCACAGTGTTAGCACTGTAAACCAGGCTGCGTGTTTATTTATAATGAGGCACAATCTTTTCCAGTGATTGGAATACTGTCACCCATCCAGGTCTCCTCCTGCCTGAATTTGAAACAGCTGGGAAACCAAAGTAAAAATGAGAAGGTGGCTCAGTGGCCTAGGAGTTGTGGGCTCAGAAAGGGGGCAGTACTTAATTTCCAGCAAAACTAGTGTGGGCTATCAATTGACCAATGACTAGCACCGATCACAGATTTTGTTTACTTCTTCCCAAATTTTATGCTGAATAACAATCAACTTCTACCTGGTTGAAGTAGTATGTCTGCCTTCTCTAACCTAATTTCTATAAATTAGCCTTTGTTTTGTCTTAAGTTGGGGGAAAATATCTTTTCTAACTATCCCATCTAAATTAGGACCCTTCCCCTTATTCTCCATCATAGCACTCTGTTTTCCCCTTATTCTCCGTCATAGCACTCTGTTTCCTTCAAGGGACTTACCATCATCTGTAGCCACTCATCAGTTTACTCTTCTCATCCATCTTCCCTACTGGAATGTAATTGTTATAGACTCAGCACCTGGCACAATGCAAGGCACTTAGTAAGTGCACCATGAAAATGTGTTCAGATGAACAAAAGGAAAAATAAAAAATAGGACTTGGGTTTGCAAAAAGGTACAGGGGCTTTTGGGAAGGGGCAATGCAGGTATAAAAATGGGCCCATGAGGGTGTGGGGGAGAAGACCAGGAAACAGCCTGACTTTTGAGACTGCTCTCAATGGCCTTTCCTGCCAGCCTGTTCCAGCCAAAGCTGCTCACAGGCAAGAGTCTCAAGGAGAAAGGTACAAGGCTTCATTCCCTGTGAAACATTGGCTGACATCTACCTGTGCACACTGGCTTTCCTGGGGAGATCCCATGCCACAAAACCTTTCTGAAGGCCAAAAGGCAGCCCAGACAGTCCTTTGTATGAGCTGAAGGTTAAGAACTGGACTGGAATTGCAATAAACGGCATCACAGAAGGCAACATTCCCCGTCTACGTGAGGCAGTTTCAATTCATGATAAAATTATCCTGCTAGTAGAGTTTGGCCTGTTTTTTAACAGACAATTTTTAAAAATGGTTTTAGATTTACAAAAAAATTGAGATGAGAACACAGAGTTTCCATATACTCCCTACCTAGTTTTCCCTATTATTAACATCTTTGTTCAGATTAATGAATCAGTATTATTATCATTAACTAAAGTCTATATTTTATCCATATTTCCTTAGTTTTTTACCTTATGTCCTTGTTCTGTTCCGAGATCCCATCCAGGACACCTTATTACACTTTTTAAATCTTATTTTATTTTTTATTTTTGTGAGTACATAGTAGGTGTATATATTTACGGGGTACATGAGATGTTTAATACAGGCATGCAATGTGAAATAAACACACCATGGAGAATGGGGTATCCATCCGCTCAAGCATTTATCCTTTGAGTTACAAACAATTCAATTACATTCTTTAAATTATTTTAAGATGTGCAGTTATTATTGACTATAGTAACCCTGTTGTGCTATCAAATAGTAGGTCTTATTCATTCTAACCACCTTTTTTGTACTCATTAACCTTCCCCAGCTCCCCCCAGCCTCCTCACCACATCTCATTTAGTCTTCTTAGGTTTCTCTTGGCTCTGACAGTTTCTCAGATGCTTTTTGTTTTTGATGACTTTCAGTTTTGAGGACGATTGGTCAGTTATTTTGTAGAATGTTCTTCTCTTGGGGTGATGAGGATTTGGGAGATCACAGAGGTAGAGTGCCATCTTCATCACATAGTATCGGGGTGCATAATATCCACATGACATTACTATTGAAGTTGACCTTGATCACCTGGCTCAGAAAATGTTTGTCAGGTTTCTCCCATGTTAAGTTACTCACTTTTACCCCTTTCCATACTGTACTCATTGGAAAGAAGTTACTACCTGCAACCCACACATAAGGAGTGGGGAGTTACGCCCCCTTCCTTGAGAGCAAAGTATCTACATTAATTATTTGGAATTCTTATGCACAGGAGATTTGTCTCTCCTCCATTTATTTATTTATTCAATCATGTATTTATATTAGTATGGACTCTTGGATATTTATTTTATACTTGGGTTATAACTCCATACTACTTTATGTATTTTGTTGTTCAAATTGTTCCAGCTTTGGCCATTGGAAGTTCTTTCAGTTGGCTCCTGTCTTTCTTTGACCTACCCCCCAGTCAATGTGGGGTTTAGTTTTGTTTTGTTTTAATCACTTTCTTAATTTCTGGCACTACAAGAGGCAACTTGTTTCTCAAATCATTCGTATAGCAGACTCTGACTCAAGGCAGCCTCAGAAGTAGGTAATTAAAAGCATGTCTCTGCCTTTTGTCCATGGAAAGGGATATTTCTAGACTGTTTGGTTCCCTGGTGCTCACTTTGGTGAGACTTTCGCTTTGCCTCTCAAACAGAGGTCATTTGTCAAATGTCAAAGGACACCAGAAGCACTAGACTGCAGGAAGAGGAGCACCAGTAACAGCCACAAAGATTGGGATTAGCTGTGGCCTCTGTACCAGCTGAGTGACCTCAGAGCAGGTCGCGACACATCTCTGAGCTCCAGTTTCCTTATATATTCCTTGCAGGGCTTTGTGAAGATGAAAGGCACAGTGCCAAGCCCAAGATTTTTGCTTAAAAAACGGTTAACCTCGAAGGAGAAAGAGTGAGAGTGCAGGTCCATTGTACTGGGATCTCAGGGTTGGAAGGAAGAACAACCAACTTGCTCCAGCCTCTCCAGACAGCCAGGCCTCCTTCAATTCCAAGCTGAACAAATGACTCATGAATTCTAATCCATTCTTCTAGTCTCAGCTTCCCTCCTTCATGCTGGGAGGCCAAATTACAGTATTTTATTATTTTCTCTCTTTACCGTGTATTTTATTTATCTCTGTTGTGCTGCCTAGTTTGGGCATTTTTTCAAAAGCCCTACTTGTTCCTACCTGCTATTTGTATTCCTGGTAAAACCACCAAATGCTACAGTGCACCTCTCCCAACCTTCAAGAAGATTTCTGTGTTGTATTCTTGCCACGCTGCTGGCTTCATTAGTCTGGAGCTGAATGCTGAAATTCCACTTACGGTTTGGATTTTGGTCTTCCCTTAGCATGTTTATCATTTTCCAGACTAGAAATTCTGCTCCTGGACAAGTGGCTGTTCCTGGTAGTATCCACCAGCCAACCAACAAACAAATAATAGAGCAAGTCTTGGTAGAATAGAGGTGGTTTGGGTCAGACTTCTAATCCTACCTGAAACAGCAGTGCAGTGGTCAGCTGTCCACTGTGGACAGAGCCCCTGGTACACAGTGGAAATTGATGTCTGGATTTCTGGCTTTTCTTCACTAACTTCTAAGAGGTTGGAACCACCTATGTCTTATTCACTGCTATATTCCCACAATGTAGCACAGTGCCTGAAACATAGGAATAGGTGCTCAGTAAACATTTGTTGAATGAATGAATGAATGAATGAATGAATGGGTTTTTCCAAAAAGTGAACACTCCAGCTTTTCTTTCATGTCCTGATAGATGCAGAAGAGGTGCTCTTTTCCTTGGTCCAAAGATGGCTCCATTTTGTGTGCCCTGCCATGTGGATTGTTTTCTAAATATTAATTTGAGTTAGAGTTGGGAAGGCAGTGCTTCTATAATAGTAGGGGCCCTGGAAAGGGAGATGAATTTGAATACGCATGTCCTCTCACCTCCTTCTCTCTTGAACACTCCCAGCCATCCATACCCCCACATCCTTCCAGACCTGGCCCCTGCCCAACACCAAGCTGCCTCTCTTCCCAGAGCTGCTGAAACATCTTCCTTTAAACCATAGCATTAACTACCCCTGAAGTGCATCCTCATGGCAGAACATACTCTCTGAAGACACCTCTTATACTGTAATCCTCTCTCTTGTCATCTCATCCTTTATGCTGACTTCATTTCTCATGTATTCCTATTTTATCTTCCTAACCTTAGTATAAATCCTTTGAGAACAGAGATTGTGTCTCATATTTCTTTATCATTCTCTCTGTCCTGGCCCCATCCCTGGCCCATGGAAAGTTCTTTATAAAGTTATTCACCTCCAAGCCACTAATTCCTGATCACTTCCTCACTTCAAAAAAAAAAAATTAGCTAAAGGACTTCGGGAGGCCAAGGTGGGTGGATGACATGAGGCCAGGATTTCAAGATCAGCCTAGCCAACATGGTGAAACCCCACCTCTACTGAAAATACAAAAATTAGCCGGGTGTGGTGGTGCACGTCTGTAATCCCAGCTACTCAGAAGGCTGAGGCACGAGAATAGCTTGAACCTGGGAGACAGAGGTTGCAGTGAGCAGAGATTGTGCCACTGCACTCCAGCCTGGGTGACAAAGCAAGAGTCTGTCTCAAAAAAAAGAAAAGTAGCTAAAGGAGGATGAAAAGAGACTGTTAGAGAAAGGAAAGAGAGAAGATGGGACAAGGAAAAGAATCAAAGATCATCAGAAAGAACTGAGCCAAGATAAACCACAACAATACGCTAGGTTACACTGAACTGAAATATTGAGTCGATAAAAAAAAAAAACAGTGCTACTGAAAGGAAAAGGGCAAAAATTATGAGCCAGTTTAGCAATCCCCTCACTGCCTTCCTCACACACATTTCACCACAAAATAGTAGAATCCACTTGACACAATCTCCAGTGTACTCCAACAGCATCTCCTTGCACTGAAGGGTTTTTTTGGTGAGGGAGGGCTTGGTTTTGTTTGCTTTGGGGGGTTTTCTTTAAACAGGGTATTGCTCTGTCACCCAGGCTGGAATGCAGTGGTACGATCATGGCTTACTGCAGCTTGGAACTCTTGGGCTCAAGCAATCCTTCTGCCTCAGCCTCCCAAGTAGCTGGGACTACAAGCATGCACCACCACACCCAGCTAATTTTTCTTATTTTATGTAGAGACAGAGTCTCACCTTGTTGACCGGGCTGGTCTTGAACTCCTGGTCTCAAGCGATCCTCCTGCCTTGACCTCCCAAAGTGCCGAGATTACAGGGGTGAACCACTGTGCCTGGCCCATTTCACTACTAAATAGTAAAATCTCCTTGACACAATCACCAATGTACTCCAACAGAATCTCCTTGTACTGGAGTTTTGTTGAATTAAATAGATATTTTTTTAAACAAACAGACACTTAACTACCTGGAAAGCATCGAACCACAGATTTTTCAAGCTGGGAGGGATATAAAAGACCAGTCAAGGCTATAATTCTAAATCTAAGGTCCCATGTCTCCTTTCAAAATATGCATGACCCTCTGGAAATGGTATGAAAAACCAAGTAAAGGCTGTGTAAACTTTTCTGGGGAGAGGATTTATAAACTTTCTCAGAGTCTTAAAGGGGTCATGCTACCAAAAAGTTACAGATCACTACTCTGGGTTAAGCCCTTGAAGTTACAGACCAGAAGGCTCTGACCCAGAAAGGTTAGGTAGTTTACTCAAGTAAAGACAGCCAGGTGGTAAGAGAGCCAGAATTACCACCCGATTCTCCTGACTTCCGACTGCCACTTGTCCCTTGCACTGACACCTTCTCGCCTTCTTTTTTTCACTCTAAAGAGAATTTCTTTGTGACAGTATTTGCTCTTGCCGGATTTGACCTGTGGTGTGCTGGGTGCTTTGCTCTGTTATATTTTAAGTATCTTCTATTTGCCTGCTTTCCTTCACCCTAATGATGCCCACAGAGATGTAATTTTCTCACTTTGCTTTTTCTATTATCATCTTCTCTGGCCTTTGCCCACTCTCTTTTCTGCTATACATGGCATGCCTCTGTATGCCCTTTGTCCTCCCATCCCGATTTTAAGAGAAGTATTTATTCCCATGTTTTCTGTATTTGCCTGGATGTATTCTTACCGAGCTGATGGTAAGACTCTTCTGTCTCAGCAGGAAGCTGTTGCTCACGGCAATTACGCCTGCTGTCTTCCTTTTCATTTTCCTTCAGCTCTTGATGAAATTGTGTTTCCAGAAACCCTATGAATCCTTTCTCAGACTCTTACATAACTCAGTGTATTCGGCCATTTCTTTTCCATCCATATTTTTTTTGTTGTTGTTTGGTCGGGTGCTTGACTCATTTTCTCTCCAAATAATTTGGTGGCGATTTGATCTTCAGTTTCTCTCACGCGGTAGATGCTCTCCTGCATCCAAATGGGTGGCTCGAGACCCAGTCCGTTTGGGTTGGCACTTGTGGCATTAGCTGCAGAATATGTGTGTGAACTTGCCAGTTGTGTTGTTTGTGAGTCTGTTTTGTTGATTTTTTTTTTGTTTTGGGACAATTGCTTGTTTGTTTACTCTTTGGGGGGAAGCAAATGTTAATTTTAGATCCAATCTTAGGGCTAAAGTTTGAAATGTGTCCTTTTACTCTAAGTTACATCCTTTCTACCTTTAAAGAGTGCACCTCTTAAGCAAATTCAGCATACGTGTGTGTGTGTGTGTGTGTGTGTGTGTGTGTGTGTGTGTTCTGGGAATGATTCTAGAGAATATTTCATTAGGGCTGAAATGTGGATTTCAACATTCTCTATAAATAAATCAACACTTGAAGATAAGTTCTCAATTCCACTGCCTCCACCCCACCCAGCCCCAGCCCCAGCCCCTTGCCCTGTCCTACCATGCAGGTGATTCAGCCCCAAAGAAACACCAGTGAAATTAAGGCAGAAATCAGGCCCTTACATATCACACTAGCATTCAAAAGAGACCCACAGAGTCATAGAAAGGGATTGGGGATGAGGTGGATGAGAGGGTGCAACACAGCGACTCACAAATCTGGTGGCGCTTTCTTTGGGTTATGGTACTGACTGAGAGTCAATGTGCCTTACAAACAAATGACAGACTGATTGAATGTCTCTGAGCCCCTGGATCTTGGGACAGGGAAGGAGCAAAGTCATTCCAAGTCCCAGTGAATAGGCAAGGGAGTCGAGGAGGGGTGACAATGAGTCTTTGCTCTATTTCCTTGTTGGTTCCGAAGATAGGGCAGGACAGATTCCACAAGGAGCTCATGGCGACCCCCACTCAGAGGCAATGAGGCAGGGCCTGGCATCCTTGGGCTGCCATTATGGCAACATACTCACTTGCATCGCACTCGCTTTCCTCCATGTGCCATGGTACCGTGGTGAACCTTGAACCCTGCCGGGGCTGCCATCAAAGTTTGATCAATGTGTAAACTATATTTTAACTGTCATTGAGAATACATACTGGCAATGTTTGCCAGATACAATCTTGAGCTGAATGGGTCACAGTATGCAGCCTGAGGTCTTGTACAAGTTTCTGCCAGAAGAAGGAAACAGCTACATTGTAATGTCAAGCCATCCTGGTTCAGCTACCTCATCCATACAGTGAAAAGATTCAACCTGATCACCCAGAGCAGCCTTCCTTAATAAGGGCTAATTCAAGAAAAACAAACCTGTCAGCGGGTGAGTGTGTTCATTTGTTCACTCAAAATGCTAATTGCTTTATTGATCCCCATGGCAAAAAGTGAATATTATAGCAATTACTTTGTGAATAGAAGAATATGAGTGAAAATGTAATCATTGTTTTGTTCTATTAAAATATTAATATCTGGACTTTTTTAGAAGAAGCAATAAGGACACAAGTTTCTAATCTTTTAACCCTTATACTTGTTTAATGTTGCACCTGAGAATTCACAAAATGCATTCGCCATCTTTACTTCCTTTCTTTCTCCAAGACACCCTGAGAGAAAAGCACAATTGCAATCCTTATTTTACACACGGGAAAATTAAGGCTAGAAATAACTTTCTAAGGACAGGGAAGGAGAAGTGGAGCTGAAGCTAGAATTCCTTCACTACATACAATGCATGGTACAGATGTGATTTTTCAATATTGTATAATGAAATGTATCAACATTTAGAAGATTTGCAAAGCTTAACCGATATTTTCCAAATGACCCATGAATGACATCAGAAAATCATGCATGCATAAGAGACCCACTCAAAGTACAAGATAGATCAATGCACTTTAATGTAACAGAATAGGAAAAGTTCATTGCTATGGTTTCAGATTTCACATTATAACCAGCCTTTAAGGAGTCCCCTCCTGCCAAGTGTTGGTGTAGTATCAAAGATGGATGTCCATGATTATCTGAAAAGGCTCCTCCTCCCTTTTCCAACTACATATCTGTGTCAAGCTAGATTTTTTTTCATGAATTTCAACCAAAACAACACATCCCAACAAATTAGATGCAGAAGCAGCTATAAGAATCCAGTCATCTTCTAATAAACCAGACATTAAAGAAGTTTACAAAAATATAAAACAACGCCACTCTTCCTACTAATTTTTTCAGAAAATAAAATGTTTTTAATTTTCAAAAATGTATTATTCATGTTAACATGTAATGGGTTTATTACTATTATTTCTAAGTGAATTAATATTTTAACTTATTTTCAGTTTTAATTTCTAATATGGTAAATATGGATATATATAACCCATATACACAAAATTTCTTTGGAGTTCACAATAATTTTTTTTTTTTTTTGAGACAAGGTCTCACTCTGTCACCCAGATCTCGGCTTACTGCAACCACTGCCTCCTGGGTTCAAGCAATTCTCCTGCCTCAGCGTCCCGAGTAGCTGGGACTACAGACACACATTACCACGCCTGGCTAATTTTTGTAATTTTTGGTAGAGACAGGGTTTCACTGTGTTGGCCAGGCTGGTCTCAAACTCCTGGCCTCAAGTAATCCTCCCAAGGTCCTGGGATTACAGGTGTGAGCCACTGCACCAGGCCACAATAATTTTTAAGAATGTAAAAAGGACTTTTTGGTCCCGAGACCAAAAAGTTTGAAAACTGTTATACAATCAGCCGGCTGCTATATTGGCAAAATAGACTTTAAGACAAAAATCATTGTGAGGTATAGAGAAGGCCACTATATGAAGATAAAAGATTCACTTCACCAGGAAGATATAACAATTCTAAGATTGTATGCACTTAAAAAAATAGACTTAAAATACATTAAGCAAAAATATATTTGTCCCTTGGCATCCAGGAGGAACTGGCTCCGGGACCCCACCCCACCATGGATACCAAAATCCCCAGATGCTGAAGTCCCTGATAGACACTGGTGTAGTATTTGCACATAACCTGTACATATCCTCCCATACACTTTAAATCACCCCTAGATTATTTATAGCACCTTCTACAAGGTAAATGTTATGTAAATAGTTGTAATATTGTGTTACTTAGGAAACGATGACAAGAAAAACAAGTCCATACAGATTTAGCACATGATTTAGCACATATATTTTTGATTATTTTCAATCTGCAGTTGGTTGACTCCACAGATGTATAACCCAAGGACATGGAGGCTGACTCTATATATAAAGCATATAAATTGGCAAATCCACCACCATAATGGAAGATTTCATTTCGTCTCTCTCAATTATTATTAAGTCAAGCAGGCACAAGTGAGTCCAGAGATTCTGGACTCACAAAAGAGATGTTACACTCCGATGGTGAGTGGACAGAGAATAACGAAGAAATATTCACAAGGAATCGGTGAGGTTAAGAGACACCAGCTGAGGATGGCTGGAGAAGCACATCCAGAGCTAGCAACAGGAGGACCGAGGGCCCAGGCCAGGGCGTGGTCACCAATACCAACACAGGGAGAGCAGCAGCTGAAGGAGAGGGTGCACACAAGCTTGGTGGCCTTGAACAGGGCATTGCAGTCTTTGCCAAAATAGCCTGGCAGGAGGGAGCTGGGTGAATGGATACTCTGACTTTTACTCTATCACTTTCCGGTCTTCCATTGGGTGAGCCCACGGAAGCCAGGGAGCAAGGGTGTCCTTGCTACAGATCACACAGGCAGCCTGCTGATGCACAAGGCAGGGCGAGGAAACATGGAGAGGGGCTCTGGAGGGCAGAAGGAGAAGTCCAGCACACAAAGAGATGATCTGAGCAACACAATGCACTGGTCTCCTTTTCTGGATTAAAAAAAAAAAAGAACACTGGATCCAACAATTAAGGAATACACATTCCTCACAAGCACACAACTGGAACATATACAAAAATCGACCACAGTTCTAAGCCAACAAGCAAGTATGAGCAAATGTTAAAAAGTCCGTATCAAACAGAACCTGTTCTGTGATCACAAAACATTTCAATGGTGTGGGATTAAGTCAATAACAGAAAAAAAAATGCAGTGGAACCCCACATGTTTGGAAATTTTTAATACACACTTCTAATTACTCAAAGAAAAAAATGCAAACCCAGATAGACTCAGAAATTAATGATAATGAAAATACCGCATATCAAAGCTTGTAGAAGTAGCAAAATAGTACATAGAGGGAAATGTATATCTTTAAATGCCCATATTAGAAAATTTTAAAACAGAATTAATAAGCTAAGCATCCAATTTAGAACATTAGGAAAAATAAAGTGATTGCATGAGTCTGTTTTGCATTGCTGTAAAGGAATACCTGAGGCAGAATAATTTATAAAGAAAAGAGATTTACTTTGGCTCATGGTTCTGCAGACTGTACAGGAAGCATGGTGCCAGCATCTGCTTCTGGTGAGGCCTCAGGAAGCTTCCAATCATGGCAGAAGGTAAAGGGGGAGCAGACATGTCACATGGAGAAAGGGGAGCAAGAGAGAGAGGGATGGGGTGCCAGGCTCTTTTAAATAACCAGATCTCGCGTGAACTCATAGAGTGAGAAGCCACTCATTACCACAAGGATGGTACCAAGCATTCATAAGGGATCCGCCCCCATGACCCAAACACCTCCCACTGGGCCCACCTCTAATGCTGGAGGTCACATTTCAACATGAGATTTGGAGGGGACAAACATCCAAATTATAATAGTCACAAAAATATGAAAGGAGAAAATAATAAAATAGAAAACGAAGATCAAGTAAAGATGATCAAGCCAAATGTTCGTTCTTCAATTAGACTAATAAAATCTTTTTGAGACTAATTTGAAAAAAAGGAGGGCTGGCACGGTGTCTCACGCCTGTAATCCCTGCACTTTGGGAGGCTGAGATGGGAAGATCGCTTGAGCCCAGGAGTTTGAGAGCAGTCTGAACAACATAGTCAGACCCCATGTCTACAAAAAGTAATTTAAAAATTTAGCTGGGCATGGTGGCGCTCACATGTGGTCCCAGAAAGTCCAGGAGTTATAAACTGTAGTGAGTTTTGATCATGCCACTACACTCCAGCCTGGGCAACAGGAGTGAGACCCCATCAAAAAGAAAGAAAAAAAGAAAGAAAAAGAAAGAAAGGAAAGAAAGAGAGAGAGAGGGAGGGAAGGAGGAAGGAAGGGAAAGAAGAAACAAAAGAAAAAGAATAAAAGGGGAGAAAGTAAGAATACACAAATTAAACATTGCATCTCTGCTTCCCTTTTCACAGCCTCAGTCCCACATTCCTAACCTCCAGCCATCCTTTTTTTTAGCTCTGTGTGAGCTGAAAGGGTGTGTTTGAGATTAGAGGTTAAGTGAGCAAAGTATGCATCTGAATTGGGTGACTTTATAGAATCTGTTGAGATTCTGCATGCTCTACCGTATCTTCTGACGAGCCCCTCTGGGCTCTGTGCTCCTGGGTGTGTTTGAGGGTCCGGGCTGTGCAGAGAGCAGGCATTGCTATCTAAACAAGAATAACCAGAGCACTGGACGCTGAGCGCCTGAGGTGGAAGAAGTGCCCCGACGCTGCTGGAAAAACCAGCGCCGACCTGGGAAGCTAACGGAGCAGAAGACAGATCTGAGCCCTGCGCCATCGTTTTATCTATGGCCAGCTCTGTGCTTGCTATTCATAAGCCGTGTGAACACTGCCATTCAGGTGGGATTTGGGGTGCTGAAGGGCTCTCCACGGCTACAGAAAATCTTTTTGTTGTGCTGTTTAGGGAATTTTCTTTTGCTTTTTGTATTTTCCATTTTTCTTGTGCTGCTTTATAATACCTTTTCTACAGGGACCACAAATCCCTTCACAGTGCTCAGTCATCTTTGTAAAATGGAGGCCCATTTACACGTGCTATCTCAAGATGTGTGGACCAGAAATGAAATACTCACCCAAATCATCCAGACCCCGGGGTTTTATATTCATGGAAGACTGTGAAAGGTAAAAAGAACTGTGAACCAGGTGCAAAGAGTCATTTCCAGCTTCATAATTACTGAGGGGAAACGGTATTTCAAAACCATGGGCGTGGAACTGAGGTTGGCGGGGACAGAGGTGCTATAACACACATTAAATCGTTGCAAACGGCACCATCCATTATAAATTAGTAATATCAACACTCTATCACTGAATACACTTTTAAAACGGAAATGTAGTCTTTTATTTTCTCCCATCAGAACCTGGTCGAGTCCTTTTGACTCTTGAAATGACCAGTCATTAATCTGCTGAAATGTTTCAGGTAGTTGGAGAGAAATCCCTGCATTCCAATTTATTGAAAACTCAATTCAGAATTTAATTTAAAACATCAATATTCTTCATTCAGAGCAACATTCCCCAAATAACTTTTCGTTTCCAATTTTAATTAAAATAACAGTCTGAGAATGGCATATACTGTTGCTCTACACGCTCATTAAAAAACAAACATGAACTAAAATTGATTGATATTATCCCTGCGGTAATGACTTTAAAATTCTCACTCTGGCCATTTATAATCATCATAACTAAGTAAAATATGTATCTCTACTTATTTAACCACTAAGGAAAGATAACTCATTGTCCCCCAGTCATTTCTTCAACACATTAGAGCTCTGACTTGAAAAAAGAAAATTTCTGTTTTAATATTTGAGTATGATGAGATCTCCATGGACCATTAGTAGTCTTTTCTATTTTTATCTTAAACTTGGGTTATTCTTGTGTATGCATAAAACCACCTTCCATGCTTTTTAATTCTATGAACTGGAAATAAGAAACAATATTTATAGATGATCTCTGAAATTACCCAGTAAATACAGCACATAATGATTTGACTGACCTCCCCGAGGTGTGTGTCATATTGGTATTTGTATTTCTGCTATCTATCAAACCTAAGATATAGATAAGGCAATAAACCTCTAGTCTAAAGCTTATTACACAGGACCATAATTCTTTTTATTTCTTTGTAAGAATTACTATAAGCAAAATCTGAACGTTTTCTTATTTCAATCTATTTTTCCTCTTTTGAAACCTGAATGTTATCCTTGTTAAAAATTGTAATGTAATTCCATGGTAATTGATACTGCAAAGAGGTTAGAAATACACACGCAGGCCTGCCTTTAGGGTACAAGGGGCTCGTCTTATTTAATTTAGAGCATGGCTCCTATACAAGAACAATACTGAATTTACAACCAAAATTGCATAAGTCTAGCATGTAAGTGATGTGTAAATGAAGTGCTCCCTGAACAGGCATTAAATGCGCGTTAAGAGGGAAGACCATAACAGTCCATCATTTCAATGATCCCAGCCCAAAAGTGCTTGAGTCACTTTGACACAACAGAGTGTGACAGCTTCATAGGCACTGTTTCAGGCTGCTGGGTCCAAGCCCAGTGGAAAAGTGCAAATGAAAATCGGCCCAACGAGTCACCGATGGCCGTGGCCCAGGCTCTGAGTGCCAGTTGGCACAGTCCATCACTTTTCCAGACTGGACTGGCCAACTTGATCCACAGGAGGGAGGATTTTACGTGATTTTGCTCTAAATAAATGATGAGCAACTGATGTGGAAATAAGCCAATCAGATAACTTTAGGTTTGAATCCAAACCCTGGGCAATGGTTTCCAGGTGCTCGCCAAACAGATAGGAACAGCCCCTGGAACAGCACAAAGGGAACAGTCTCTTGGGAGTTGATGTTCCAATCTTTGCCTCACATACGAAGGTATGTAGGGTGAATGCCTAAAAATTCATCTTCCCCTACAGGGATTCAGAATAAAAGCATTCTATCTTTTTCCAGTCCAGGGCTAGTATCTGTGTATCTTTCACTATAAAATGAGTCCCCATGAAACAGTCCAACTTCAGTTATTAATGAAGTAATACACCCATTCATGTAGGAAAATTGATCCAATGCTATTTTGGCAGGGATGAGATTGCTACACATCCAGGACCTACTACCAGGCCTTGACCATGGTAGGAACTCAAAATTATCTTACACAAGTCAACTTTGACTCATTTCTTAACTATCAAAGATGGATTTGCACCATCTATCCATGCACTTTTATTCAAAACCCTAAGCCTGCATTTGCACCATGTTTAGCTGGAAGTGGGAATGAAATCTATACCACAGGACACAATGTCATCATCACTTTGTGAGAACATTACCCATAATATGGCCTCGTTAGTATCATTCTCCACTGATATAATCAACCCACTGAAAATTCCACTTCTAGGTTATACTGTTGAAGAAACATATCTTAGACCTAATCATTAAATATCTAAGTGTTGGCATCAAAGAATATATTCCAGGAAATAAATATATACATATATGTACATACACATACGGCACAATCATCAGACCTCATATATTTTCCAAATAACCTTTTCAAGAGAAATGTAAACTTTTGCTATTTTTATAACATTTCTTTTTAAATATGTGAATACCAATAATGTAATTTAACTTTTTCTTAATATTTAGGGTTGACCTTAGAAATATAAATTAATATTATCTCCTATAACATAGTGGTGCTCTTGAGGCCTATTGATGTACATAAAACTCGCCATTTTAGTTACGCTGACAGACTTCAGTTCAGGAGGAGGGGGTGTCTGGTTTTGGCCACTTCTGTGAGCATCCCTGTCTCCTCCCTGAATAAGAAGTTGTCACTCCACCCTGCTGTCATGTAAACTTTTCTTCTCATCTCAATCCCTACCATGTCATTGGGTTTTTCTGCTCCTAAAATGCTATTGGAACTATTCATTCATTCATCTATTTATTCTACAAGCATTTAATGAGCCTCTATTATATGCCAGGCACTGTCCTGGGAATAGCATGAAACCAGTTCTTTTTTTTTTTTCTTGAGACAGAGTCTTGCTCTGTTGCCCAGGCTGGAGTGCAGTAGCGAGATCTCGGCTCACTGCAACCTCCACCTCCCGGGTTCAAGCGATTCTCCTGCTTCAGCCTCCCAAGTATCTGGGACTACAGGCGCCCACAACCACACCCAGCTAATTTTTGTATTTTTAGTAGAGACGGGGTTTCACCATGTTGGCCAGGCTGGAAACCAGTTCTGATGAAACCCACAGCTGATGGGTGGACAAGCAATTAGCCAAAGAATCATGCAAATAAATGTAACATCACCTCAGAGAAACAAGAGGGATATGAGGCAGTAGACAACCAGGAACTGATCAGGAAGGTCAGAGGAGACTTCCTTGTGATGGTTGAGCAGATCTCCTAAGAGTTCACTGGTGAGGAAGGATGTGGAGAGAAACACACGTGCCAAAGCCCTGTGGTGGGAGAGAACACAGAATCTGCCACATAGGAAGAGGAGCCCTGTGGCCAAGACCTAGGCCTTTTGGTCTCTAAGGGCAATGGAAGGCAGTTCAGGTGTATAAGTGGGCAGTTGCATTTTGAAAACACCATCTTGGCTGCAGAGTAGAGGACATTTTGGACATGGGCAAGCTTTACATCCAGTAGGAGCCTGTGGCAGTTAAGTCCAGCAAAAACGATGGTGGCTTGGCCTAAAGGCAGTATTCTCAGTCCAGGCTCCACAGAATTCTGTGAATTTAGGTGGGAAAACAAGCGTATCTTTATTGTCATCAACCGCTAATTGAAATTTAGTATTTCCTTCCGTTATAAATGTAGGCAGCAAACCTCAGGAGTATTAGCAGCATCTGTGACCTTGCTACCGAGAGAAATCACAGGTGTTTTCAGATCACATTACAGTTGCTGCAGATATATCAAGATATCATTTATACTCAGCCAGTCGCGGTGGCTCACGCCTGTAATCCTAGCACTTTGGGAGGCCGAGGCAGGCGAATCACCTGAGGTCAGAAGTTCGAGACCAGCCTGGCCAACATGGTAAAATCCCATCTCTACTAAAAATACAAAAATTAGCCGGGCATTCTGGTGTGTGCCTGTAATCCCAGGCTGAAGCAGGAGAATCACTTGAAGCTGGGAGGCGGAGGTTGCAGTGAGCCAAGATTGATTGTGCCACTAAACTCTAGCCTGGGTGACAAAGCGAGACTCCGTCTCAAAAACAAACAACAACAACAACAAAAATATATATATATGTCATTTATACTCATCACTACTTGAAAATTACTGCAGTTGTTAGGCCTGCTACTATGTCATATTACATAATGCATTTATAAAGAAGCACATATATTATTATAAGTCAAAATTATTAATACTTTGATAACTGTATTTTAACATAATTGGTTTTCTTTGTAATCCTGTGTTTTATTTAATGCATTATAAAGCCTTATTCTTTCTGCATTAGTTTGCTAAAAAAAATTAAAAAGTTAAAAATCTTACTTTAAAAAGGGGCACATAGGCTTCACCAGACTGCCAAAGGGTTTCATTGCAAAAAGTAGGTCAAGACTCCCTGCACGTGAAGAGTGGACGATTTGAGAGCTGTGTAGAAGGTCAGTGTGGCATGACCGAAAGGTGAATGGGCGCACCCAGATGAAGGGAAAGAAGGTGCCTGGGAGAGTTTCTAGAGGTCTGGTTTATGCAAGTGGATGAGCAGTGGCGCCTTCAATCAAGGAAGAAAACACTAGAAGAAGAAGACCATAAGAACATCTATGGGTAAAGCACAAGGGCTTTCGTCACTGGGCTCTGGGCATCTCATTTGGTCATTTTTTTCCCCTCACTTTCTGGTTCTCAGCCAAATTGTAGATAGTTGAGAAATATTGGGAAGTCGGATGTCACCATGAACAGATACATACACATATAAACAGAAATCATTATCAAGAAAATTACAGGTTTCTAGTCACAATTTCCAGTTACAAGGTATTTTTTAATATTTACAAATGAAACCATTATCCAAAAGCTGCCTTTTCCTCTCTAGTACAAGATTGCTTCCCAAGGGACTGCATTTCTTTTCCTAGAGGACACCAGTTTTCATTAAAACCTTGAAGGAAGCAATGGATGTCATCGCCCCAAGTCTTCGTTTACTAGGTCCCGATCTCCATTCTATTTATTCAAGACTACCACAGCTCCTTCAAAAAATCAGAAACATCAACCCAAATATCCTCATTATTTCTGTTTCTACACAAGAGCAACATATTGACTTTGCCAAAACAATTAAATTTAAGCCATGAGTCACCAGCCAAACAGTCCCCTTGGTGACTTCATCCAAGCCTTCCTCCTGCCAGCTGTCCCTCCTGCATCTGTCGAGTCCTGGGCAGGGGAAGGGCTGCAAACAAGACAGATTAAATTCTGTGATATGTCTTCATTTTTGTTGCCTTAGAATTTGTGGAAACCTTCTAAACACAAATTGATTCCAAATCAAGTTTTGAATATCGGAGTCAGGGAAATGAACTATTGATTTGCCCTTGGCTCTGCAGAACTCAATCAGAATTTTCTCATTTTCTGCTGTTTTTTTCCTTTTACCTGTGGAAGGAACACTTCGGGCAAGAACCAATTCCAAGGCTGGTAGATGATGTTTGAGAAATAGTGGCTCTCCTCACCCCTGTCATTCTCAGGTGTCGATGCACATGTGTTGGCATTTTAACTTTTACAAATTTTTTTCTATTTATTTTCTTTTACCCACTCACCAGGCCCTAACTCCCTCCTACAGAAAAATCCTAAAGATATTAAAACCATAGGAGATTTTCTTTTTAATATACCCCATCAAGAACTATGATTTACACTATGCTGAGTGAAATCCATTTCAGATGTCCTGCTTCAAGTTTCTAGAATTTAATACAAACTTAAATATCTTATTGGATTAATGCATCCATTCAGTGTTCTGCTGTTACTTTGATCATGTACTCAGACAAAAAAATTTTCTTCAAAGGAATTACTACTATAAATAGGCTGCTTTGTGAGAGAGCCAGTTCTGCTACATACTAGAAAACATTTCAACAAAAACATTTGTATCAAACTGGTTGGTTTTTAAAGAACTTTTCCAGATTAAAGTCAGCCTGGCAGACTGGACTGCTTAGCAGTTGGACAAATTTAGCCAGGCTGCTAGACACATTTCTCAAACTTTTTCTAATTTCCTGTTACGTAAGTAATATACAGTGAACGTCAAAGTAGGAGAGAGGAAAAATAATACAGCATCCTTATAAATATCTACCTCACATACACAATGCAATCTACATTCTGGGATACAGAAGGCACATTTGCTCAACTTGTTTAGTTAACAAAGCAAAACAAAATCTTCGTATGTTAAAACTTGATCAATGGTTAGCTGCAAAGCTTCAAAACCCAAACCAGCAAAAAAGAAAAAACAAAAATTACTGGCTGATACCTGGTTACAGGAAGAGGAGAGCCTCATGCATAACTGCAACCAGGGCCTCTAACCCTGTCAAGGAGCTCTCTCCCTTTCTCTCATCCTTTGTCCTCTCTGCTTCTCTCTGCGGGCTGGCTTCATTCTTGCAGATCACCTTTATCTACCCAAGGCTACAATCAGAGCTACTTCTAAGTCATATTTTCTCAGCATCAAGACAAGAAAGTAAAGAAACTCTTCTCCTCTGCTACCAACTTCTGTTTTTTAAAAATGGCAAGGAACGACTCTGCTGGGTCTAGTTTAGGATACATGCCCCTTCTCAGAGCAATCATTGTTGCCTAAGAATATGGTGGTATAATTGGCTTGCCCATGCCAACCTCACACCCAGCAACAATCACAACACCAGGGAGTCAAGGTCAAATTTTAAAGTGCAACTCCCTTTTGCATCCTGTATTAGACCAGCAGTTTCCCAAAACAGTCTCAGAAGGAAGGGAGAGAGCTTAGCAAACAAAACAATAAATGCTCACCCTAGGTATGTGGCAATCATAACTCTACAGTTTCTACCAGGTAAGATTTTGCCCTGGTTTGACATTTAAGATACCAGAGAGCAACTTAAATTACTTTATATCAAAGATGTTGTTTCTCTAATATAAAATTATAATTGTGTGAATTGTTAGCAATGATTCAACATGAAAAGAAATAATTTTATAGTGACATTAAGTAAATATATTTTCTCCATTTCTAGTATTCTCTGATATTCAAGTACTAGGTCTTTCTGGACATAAAACATTGAAGTGTCTTTTCTTCTCTCTCTCTCTTCACTTACAATAGGCTACACTAATAATTTTAGAGAGCCATGAATGATCTTTCCACATAATAATAAATGTTCTAGAATTGTTCTAATTCAGCAATATCAGCAGTGTCCAAAAGCTAAGTGAAAATACCATAAACGTTGAGTGGAGATGGCCATTTCCTTCATCACATATGCATAACTGTGCAATCCTAGGAGCCAATAGAAAGGCAGCTTTTCCACTCAGTGTTGGGTACCACAGGCAGTTGACCAGAGGAGCTGGAGGCTAGCCCAGCGCCACCACTAACAGTGTTGCTGTCACTACTCAGGACCATCGTTTCCTTGCCTGTAAAAATGATGGGACTGGCCAGGCACGGTGGCTCATGCCTGTAATCCCAACACTTGGGAGGCCGAGGTGGGTGGATCACTTGAGGCCAGAAGTTTGAGACCAGCCTGGTCATCATGGTGAAACCCTGTCTGTACTAAAGATACAAAAATTAGCCGGGTGTGGTGGCGGGCGCCTGTAATCCCAGCTGCTCGGGAGGCTGAGGCACAAGAATCACTTGAATCTGGGAGGCGGAGGTTGCAGTGAGCCAAGATTGTGCCACTGCATTCCAGCCTCAGTGACAGAGTCAGCTCTGTCTCAAAAAAAAAAACAAAAACAAAAACAACAACAAGAAAGACTAGAGTAGATGAACTTTAAAGTTCTAAGCTATTAAAATTCCAGTAAAGATTATTGCTAATTTTCACTTTAAAAAATTAGAATTCTAGGCCAGGCGCGGTGGCTCACGCCTGTAATCCCAGCACTTTGGGAGGCCGAGGTGGGCAGATCACAAGGTCAGGAGATCGAGACCATCCTGGCTAACATGGTGAAACTCTGTCTCTACTAAAAATACAAAAACAAAATTAGCCGGGTGTGGTGGTGGGCACCTGTAGTCCCAGCTACTCAGGAGGTTGAGGTGGGAGAATGGCATGAACCCAGGAGGCGGAGCTTGCAGTGAGCCAAGATCATGCCACTGTGCTCCAGCCTGAGCGACAGAGCGAGACTCTATCTAAAAAATAAAAAAATTTAAAAAATAAAAATAAAAAATTAGAATTCTAACAGAAAAGAATGACATAGTTGTGACATAAAAGAGCATTTGCCAGGTGCCAGTGGCTCATGTGTGTAATCCCAACACTTTGGGAGGCCGAGGCGGGTGGATCACATAAGGCCAGGAGTTAGAGACCAGCCTGGGCAAGATCTCTTCCCAATTTTTAAAAAATAAATAAAAGAAAAAAAATAAAAGGGCCGTTTTATTTTAATCTCTTAACATACAGCTAGTTGTCAGTCTCTTGCTCATTAAATGCTTACATGGCCCCTTGCCACCTTCGGGGCTGGGTGTCAGGGATACAGATGAGCAAGCACGTTGCAGTCCAAGAGCTGTGGAGGGGAGACAGCGTGTAAACAGATCATGAAAGTGCAATGTCAAAAGCATTCTAAGAAGGTAGTAGGCAAAGAACCCAGCGGGGAGGTGGCGAACCCTCCCCCACGATGACCTAACCGAGGAGGGTACATTCAAGATGAGCCTAGAGAATCTGTATAGTTAGCCAAGTGTGAAGGAAGAAAATCTGGGCAAGGGAGGAAGCATGTGCCAAAGGAGCTCAGCAGGTTCTGAGAAAGGAAGTCTGGTCAGAGTGGGACAGGTGTGGGGCAGAGATGAACGGTGAGGCCAAGGGACTTTCTCCTGTTGACAGAGAGAGCCGCTGAAGGGCCTCCCACAGGAGCTCGGCACACACAGACCTGCCTCCTAGAAAGTGCCCTGGCAGCAGTGCAGAATGTGGATCAAGGGAAGAGTGGCCAAAGGCAGAGACAGTCAGCCATCACAAAGCTCCTATATTCATTGAATGAGCTGATGAGGATCTGGGTTAAGGCAGTGGCAGGAGCAAGGGAAGAGAGGGCAGGGGCTGCTGAAGGAGGAGAAGGTTTTCTGCGGCCCATTAACTGAATTACATTTATCATTGCGCGGAGAAAAACTTTTCCTCTACCCTCTTAGGTTCAGTACCTGGAGCCTGTGAATTAAACTTTAAAAAAAAAAAAGAGAGAGCGAGATTAATGGGAGAAAAGGCACAGAAATTTTGTTAATCTTTATGTGCATGAGGGTTCACAGAAGTGAAACTTGAGCAATTATACTTGGGCTTATATACCATTTTAACAAAAAAAGGGGATTTGGGGGCTTCAAGGGATGATAAATCATAGGGAAGTAACTAGGAAATATATGGGAAAACTAATGGAAGATAAAAACGAGCCAGGCGTGGTGGCTCACGCCTGTAATCCCAGTACTTTGGGAGGCCGAGCCAGGTGGATCACTTGAGGCCAGGAGTTCGAGACCAGCCTGGCTAACACAGTGAAACCTTGTCTCTACTAAAAATACAAAAATTAGCCGGGCATGGTGGCACACACCTGTGATCCCAGCTATTCAAGAGGTTGAGCTGGGAGAATCACTTGAACCTGGGAAGTGGAGGTTGCAGTGAGCCAAGATCCTGCCACTACACTCCCGCCTGGGGGACACGGTGAGACCCTGTCTCTCTCTATAGATAGATAGATAGATAGATAGATAGATAGATAGATAGATAGATAGATTACAATAAGGTCTTTTTAAACAAATTCATCTCAGGGTGGACTCCTCATCTCCAGTGATACGAGTGGCCATTCCTTTCCTATACGGGGGTGGGAAACAGAGGGCACCTTCACAAAGGGAAATTCATGCTTTTAGGCAGATAAGGGAGGGCAGAGACTACTTCCTGCCTCTGTTGATTCTCAATTGCCTTCCCTTCAAAATAATCCTCATGCCAGTGTCAGATGTTGCAGAGGTATATTCTGATCCGCTTCAACCACACGTGTGGTTTTTAGTTTAATCTTCCTGAGCCTTACTTTCCTCACTTCCAAAATGGGATAAAACTTTGCAGATGTACAGTTAAAATAAAATGCAACAATCCATTTAAACTACTCAAGACAACAGTAAGTGCTCAACAAACATAAATCATCATCATTTTAAAAATCATGCACCACTGTCCAATCACCCCTAGGGGATAGGGGCAAGCCAAGCTGGCCAGTCCACCCCACATGCGCATGAGGTCCTGCAGGCGAGGGCACCCAGATGACCAGGAGTAAAGAGAGCCAGAAAATGAGGGGGGAAGTGTCCTTTGGGTGCCAAGGTCAAAGCTAGAAAAGCCAAAATCTGTCTTCAAGGTTAGGGGACTAACACAGAGACAGAAATAAGAAACAAGGAAGCTCAGGCAGATTCAGGAACTGAGTAGGACCTAGCCAAGAGCAACGTGCTGAGAGGGAAGGTCTGGAACATGCTCCTGTAGGCGGGGCTGAAGAACCCAGCCTGGGGTGGCCCCAGTGGGTCTGCTTGATTCCAAAGACAGGAAGGAACTGAGCAGACACTACTGACCATCACCCACCAGTGAGCTTGGAGACACCTGCCAACAAAAGACTGGAGAACCTTGTTATAAAGACTCTTTCTACTTTCTGGAAAAAGAGAACATTAAACCTTCCCCCAAACCCCCAAGGTAATAGGGGGAATATTCGGTACTTCTCATTGTTTCCCCCATCTGAAACTGAAGATATGAAGGAAGAGATCATTGAACAAAACAAGAGCCTTTAACAGACGGACTGTGTGCCAAGCCTTTTTCTAAATGTTTTTCCTACATTAATCCTCAAATCCCCACAACCCTATGAAGTAGACACTGTCATCATCCCCACTTTGCAGATCAGTAACGTGAGGCTTAGTGATGGTGAGTAACCTGCCCTAAGGCATCCCGCCCTCAGACCCCAGGCTGCCTGACATCAAACCACCCCAACCACTCTGCTTGACTGCCTGTGCTGAGGCGGAGCCTTGGAGGGATAAAAACCTGGACAGAAGGAAGGACCTCTTCCTCTGAGGGCGGAGGGAAAGTGGGCAAGGTCAAGTCTGGCATTGGAAAAGGAAGTCAGCTGAGGTCTGGCTTCTATGAAAGAGTTGAAAGAGGAGTGATCGTGGTGAACACTAAGGCTGAGGATTTCCTGGAAGGGGCTGGGGCCCTGAGAGGCTGGGAGAAGGAGCAGGGAGGGGTGCTGCCGTAATCAAGAAAGGGCTGCCCAGGATGGGTGCTGCTTATGAAGTCAGGGGGCCCCGGAGGAGGGGCGGGGGGGCATTGACAAGGTCCAGTCCCAGAGCTCTGGCCTTTTTTAAAAGTTTTATCTTTAATTGACAAATAATAATTAAATACATTTACAGGGTACAAGGTGATTTTTGTTTTTTGTTTTGTTTTGTTTTTTGGTTTGTTTTGAGACAGAGTCTCACTCTGTCTCCCAGGCTGGAGTGCAGTGGTGCAATCGCGGCTCACTGCAAGCTCCGCCTCCCGGATTCACGTCATTCTCCTGCCTCAGCCTCCCCAGTAGCTGGGACTACAGGCGCCCGCCACCACACCTGACTAATTTTTTGTATTTTTAGTAGAGACGGGGTTTCGCCGTGTTAGCCAGGATGGTCTCGATCTCCTGACCTCGTGATCTGCCTGTCTCGGCCTCCCAAAGTGCTGGGATTACAAGCGCGAGCCACTGCAACGGGTCAAAGTGATGTTTCTATAGATGTATACATTGTGGAATGATCAAATCAGGCTAGTTAGCATATCCAGCACCTCAAATACTTATCATTTATTTGTGTTGAGAACATTTAAAATCCTCTTTTAGCTATTTTTAAATATACAATACATTATTATTAACTATAGTCACCATGCTGTGCAGTTGAACAATGAATTCCAGACCGTATTTGTCACATCTAACTGAAACTTTGTATCCATTGACTAACCTCTCCCCTTCCCCACACCCTCCCCCTGCCTGCAGCACCTGGTAGCCACCGTTCTCCTCTCTACTTCCGTGATTTTGACTTTTTTAGATTCCACATATGAGTGAGATCATGTGGTATTTGTCTCTCTGTGCTCTGGCCTTTTTAATTGCCCACTTTGGGGGTCTGATAAGTATTTGGGGGCTCCATTCTAATGTCTGTCTGTAGAGAAGGTGTGTGCTGGAAGCTTGCTGTTTATAATGTGGCCCCAGTTCAGCAGCATCAGCACCACGTGGGAGCTCACTGGAAATGCAGAACATCAGCCCCACTGGATCTTCTGAATCAGAATCCGCATTTTAACAAGCTCCCCAGGTGATCCGTGTGCACATCAGAGGGGGAGAAGCATGTGCTAGAAGGCAAGGTACCCACCCCCAAAGCTGCTGCTCAGCCCTCAAAGTCTAAAAAGGCTAGAGCTCCACAGTCTCATTGCCAGGATTCTCATCAAGATGTGAATCTCTGGAGAAAGAAATAAGTGTCCAAGCCTGGCTCAAAATCCAGCTATAGTCTATATATCAAATTCCAGATGAGAGATGACATGGGACAATTCCTTAACATTCTCTGAAAGGGACAGGAAGCTGATCTGAGGGTGTAGCTTTTGCAGGAGGTGTTCCTGCTGCATATTCTGCAGGCTCTGGTTAGTGTTCCCACCAACACTCGGTCATCACTGAGCACCTACTATGCATCAGGTGCTCTCCTAGCTGCTAGGGATACCACAGCAAACAAATCAGGCAAAAATCCCTGCCTCCAAGAAGCTTATACTCTAATGGGGAAAGAAAACAAATTAAGTAAAAATATACAGGATGTTAGCTGGTGTCAGTACTATGGAGGAATGTAAAGCAGGAAGGGATATAGACACTATCAGTGGTAGTTTGCACTTTTAATAGTGGAGCCCAGGTAGGCTTCCTTGAGAAGGTGACATTGAGTCAAGACCCAAAGGAAGTGAGGGAGCAAGCTAGACAGCGGGGAGTGTTGCAGGCAGAGTAAACAGCCAGTGCAAGAGCCCTGGGGCAGAAGTGTGCCTGGTTTGCATGAGTTTCAATGAGGCCTGTGTGGCTGGAGAGGAATAAACAAGAGGAATAGGAGAGGAGCTCAGAGACAGCACAGGGCCAGATCTGCTGGGCCTCGTAGACCATCATAGGAATTTTTGCTTTTACTGTGAGTGAGATGCCAGGAAGAGTTGGATTCTGGACATCGTGTAGATAGAGCCAAGAGGATTTCCTGGCCAGTTGAATGTGGGATGACTCCAGGGTTCTTGGCCTGAGTAACTGAAAAGCTGGAGTTGCCATCATCTGAAACAGGGAAGACCCGGAGCAGAGCAGGCCAAACAAAATCCAGAGCAATAGAGAATGTTGCAAAGCACTCAAGGAAAAACATTTGTCATACTGTTATTTCATATGTTCCAGGAGCAACTGGGTTTTAGTTATAGTTGGAAAAGATAGTTAGGTGTTCCCTCCTCCCCTACTCAAAAGGATAAACTAACCTGTCAGATTACCAAGTCCAAGCCAAATGGCAATAGTGACCTGGCACCAAGTACATCTGAGCTCTTACATGGCCCTGAACACGGCCCAACAGATACAATCCAGCCAACCGTGGTGGAGGCTACAGGCCAGGTCTCACCATGAAGTCAGTTAGCAGTCACTAGCAGTCATGTTCTCTGCACGCTCCTCACATCTTGATTCTCTCAGAATTAACTTTTTTTTTATTTTTTGAGACAGAGCCTCACCCTGTCACCCAGGCTGGTGTGCAGTGGTACAATCCCGGCTCACTGCAAGCTCCACCTCCCAGGTTCAGACAATCCTCCCACCTAAGCCTCCCAAGTAGCTGGGATTACAGGCAAGTGCCACCACTCCTAGCCAACTTTTGTATTTTTAGTAGAGACGAGGTTTCACCATGTTGGCCAGGATGGTCTCAAACTCCTGACCTCAAGGGATCCACTCACCTCAGCTTCCCAAAGTGCTGGGATTACAGGCTTGAACCAACATGCCCAGCCTCTCAGAATGAACTTTTAATACCATTTGGTGCTTGGCTTCTTCCGTCCTAGCGGCGAAGAGCCTTTCTCTGCTTATAGGGTCACCAGCATGGCCAGGGGACCTGCCCAGGGCACAACGCAGCCAGGCTCAAAGAGCTGTTGGAGACCTTGCTGGGTCAACTTGAGACCCTTGTAACTAACCTTTGTGAAAATCGACAAAAATATGACAGGACCACCCGAATGCAAAAGCTGGTCATCTTCTTTTTAAAAATGCATGAATGTATACTCAGTTGTCTGAAGAGTAGTTGGCTGTATCCTATACTTGCAGTGCTGGGATCCTCAAGAAGCATCGGTTTCATGATTTTACAGGTCATGAAAAAGAGTCTACAGATCAGCTGGAGGTACACAGCTGGTTAGCAGCAGAGCCTAGACAAAGACCCTGCCCTCCGATCCCATCACAGGGGTGCCTCCAATACATGAAGTGCAGCTCTCTGTGGTGCAGAAGTGTGCCAAGAAGTGGCCATGCCAAACTGTTCTTATAAAGACAGCTCTGAAACCTCTTAAAAACAGGGAGAGTTGAAATTGTATGCGAACAAGATTTGTATGGCTCTCTCTGGAAACATCCGAAGATCCTAATTCTTTTGATCCGTGAGACTTTGGGATAGCATCTTCCTCAGAACGTGATCTCGAGCAGCCACATGTCACAGCACTTCCCCCAGGTGCTGCTGAAATGTTTGTGCCATGATGCAAGAAGGGTCAGGAAACTTCCCATTATTATATTTGCTATTATTTTTTGTAATAACCTTAGAATATATCAACGTTGGTGACCACCACTTTCCAGCACTTCAACCCCCTGGCAATCTTTCTTGTTTCTTGGAGAGCTTGGCAGAGTCATCTTGGAACAGAGAATGTACACTTCAGTGCTAAAGGAAAGATGCTCTATGTGGCAGGCAAAGAGCCCAGAGGACATTCTATGTTGGAAGAAGGAGAACATCCTCTCACTCAGCATCCACCTTACGGTGACTGGACCCCATCAGGAGTACTCAGGTTTAGGAAGGAAGGTGGCAACTTTACTCTGTTAGACTGTGGCTGGTTTCCTTGTAGCAAGGTTTTAACGTTGTTCTGAAGCTCTGAAATATTTGTATTGTCTCTCAACAATCTTTCCTTCCTCACTTCTAGCTCCATTTTTTAAGTCTTCTAGAGCCAGTTTTTTAAAATGATCTTAAGAATTAGATGTGTATGAACTTGGCATGAAGAACTTGCTCAATAAGTGTGCATTGGATGAATTACTGTAGTTAAAGTTTTAAAAGCCATATGACACTGAATGCTATGGAGGAATTTTTTAAGTAGTAAGAACAATAGTAATGGGTTCATTCAGCAAAATAAACCAGGACATATTTGTTAAGCAGTTATCTTTCTCAAAAAATAGACTCATTGAGACTAAATTCAGCAGGTACCATCAATGTATTAACATCAGAATGGCGTCATGTGATATGTAGAGTATTTGCTTAATAATCCACAGGACCACCCAAAACAAATAAAATGGTAAAGTGTTCTAATCACTGCTTTACTTATTTATTTATTTTGAGTCAAAGTCTCGCTCTGTCACCCACGCTGGAGTGCAGTGGCACCATCTCAGCTCACCACAACCTCCGTCTCCTGGGTTCAAGCGATTCTCCTGCCTCAGCCTCCTGTGTAGCTGGGATTACAGGTGCACACGACTGCGCCCAGCTAATTTTTTGTATTTTTTACTAGAGATGGGGTTTCACCATGTTGGCCAGGCTGGTCTTGAACTCCTGACCTCAGGTGATCCACCGGCCTCAGCCTCCCAAAATGCTGGGATTACAGGTGTGAGCCACCACGCCCAGCCCACTGCTTTATTTCTTTATTCAAGGATGATGTAAATACATTGAAATGACAAAAGCATTTGGAACACTGAAAAAGCCTTCTATCTAGAAATATGCAGCCATAAATTAGATGAGTTTAATACTTTGTGCCACTGTGCACTCTTGTGGGATTTTGATTGTATGCAGAGTACTTAATTTCTTTGGAAGAGATGCTTAAATGAAAGTTTCATCTCCACTCTTATATTTCAGCTCTCCTCTACCTGTTTTTGTGTGTGGTTGGTAGGGGGTTACACAAAGTACTATGTCTGACTTCACATGGATACGCAATCAATATTAATCCCGAATAGTTTAAACAATATGTTCTTCATAAAAAACAGGCCTTCATTGCTTTTCATACTGTGAGTAAGCAGTCACACACACACAAAAGACAAATACTCTGACACTCTACAAATTAACTCTGTCAGTTTCCAGAGTATTCACCAAAACAATACTGTAGGAATTACACCGGCCTGGATTCCAGCCCCTTTAACACACAACTGATTTGTCCCACCTGGCAAAGGGCCAGTTTCATGCCAGACAATGAACTTCTAGGAAGACTGTGCTGTACTTATAAGTACACACATTTCTGGTGCTTCTCTACCCCTCTATCTCTTCTGTATTGTCAGGGGTCGTGCTAAACTGTTCTTTAATAAGTCACCCCTTCAGCACTGCCCGTGGCCAGTGCTGCGTGGCCCGTGAAGCCTCACCAGTGCTTAACTGGGGCACATGGCGAACTCCCCATCTCAGCCCTCTTGCAGTTGGGTAGGGCATGGGGCTAGTCCTACCCAATGAGCCTCAAGGAAAAGGGAGTGCCATTGATGGGATAAAGCTCAGAAAAGTCCATGTGGGCTCCTCCAGGGCGATGGGGAGGCAACACACCCCAGACAGTGCAGCTACAAGATAATGGGGCCTCAGTTATCGTGGGGGTCTCTGTCCAGGACTGTGTGGAGCACAGCCCCCTGCCAGCTTCAGTGGAACAGGCAGCAGAGCTAGGAGTGAAGGCAGCTGTAGGGCTGTTTGTTTCTACAGTATTCTGACGAATGCGATGAGTTGGCGTTGCTCCTGAGTCACCTGGACCAGGTATTTCCCCTGTAAAGGTTCTGCCCACTCTCCAGCAAGCCTACTTTCCCGCCCTGGAGCAGGTCACACAAATTTAGTTGCACAGATCCAGGATTCCCCAGGAGGTGCCTTCAACCTCCAGAAACTCCACCTTCCTCTAGCCCCGCCTCAGCGCTCCTCTCCTCTTTCCAAACACATTGGTGGGCATTCTTGGAAGACAATTGCTGGTAATCTCTGTGCAGCCAGGATTCACTTCCAGGACCCGCCTCCCAGAAAGCCCAGGCCCAGACACCAGCTCCCGCAGGAAGTTCTCCTGCCCTCAGCTGTCCCCCTGGCTCCTTTCCAGCCCCTCACTGAATTCAGTTCACTGCCAGCTTTTCTGAATAGCCCATGAAAACTTGCCTCCCTACCTATCAGAGATGCCACCTTCTCCCTCTGTTCATAAGTAAAGACTCATGTTTCTGCATTTTTCTCTTCCCCGTCTGGTAGAAAGAATCAGCCACTTTCCACTGGGATCCAGAAGCTGAAATCTGAAATTCAGCCCTGAGGTTACAAAGGACGATCTCACAGATTGTCTCATCTGTTCCAACTCGGGCAATTTCTGCACAGATGCTTTCAGCTAAAATGCTTCCATGCTCCACTTCTGATTTTCCAGAATTTCCTTGTCTGTTAGTTTAAGCCTACCCCCTCCTGTTATTTTTAGATTTGATTTTACTCCTTGTAAAAGGCCAGGGGTGGGGAGTTTTTGTGGGGATGGAAGAAAAGAATTGTTTTTGTCTTTTTAATTACAAGCAGCTGACAAAGACAACTCAGTCGTGGAAAATGGTTGAGTCGAACGGCCTCTAGCTCCCACTGCTGCATCTCCTCCATCAGCCGCAACTGAGCAGAGCAGCAACAAAGCTAATCAAGTGTCCTCTGCCTTTTCCAGAAGATACACGTTATCTGAGATATCTACAGGGATTCCAACAGAATTGGAATCCTTCCCTTTCCATTCATCCTCATAGGTCAGTTGTTTTGTAAAGCCAGAAGGGAACGTCCATGACTATCTTCATATTAGCAGGGAGGGGTCCGGCACCAAGGGAGGTTAAGGGAGTGACTGAGATGGTCCAGCCTATTGAAGTCTCTAGTGCCCCCTTCCAAATACTGAGCCTGTCTTTTGAATCCACACTTCTCAGCTGACCTAATATTTAAAACAGACAACAGTTCCTTCAAGCGAGGAACCTCTTCCTTGTATGGTCTATTTCCCAAGTCCTAACGAACCAGAGCAGCGTTGCATGTGCAGATAAACAGTCAGAGGACCACTGGGCTTTCACTCATCCTCCCATACCATCTTGCTGTTGTTCACCTTCTTTCCAAACACTTTCTGCTTGTTTTTCTCTCTCTCAACCAAATGTAGCCCTGTGCATACTTTATGAGCTTGGACAGTTTATTTACATGCCTTTTTGTTAACTCTAAGACAGTATAATTCCAGATTTTCTTACAAGACTTCATTTAGTTTCAGTCTTCAAAGTCATATTATTAAATATGCTTACAATTAGAGTGTTCTGCAAGTACATATAATAATTCAAAAGTCCCGTCTCTGCTCTCAGGTAATTCACACTCTGAATGGAACACAGCATTTGTTGTGGCACTAGCATGGAATACAGTTTTATATTGTCAAACTCTTGCCTTTCTTCCTTGTTCCCCCAAATGTAAGAAGGTCATGGGGTGGAAGTGACCAAATGAATTGATTACAAATTGTCAGTGGAACTAAGCCAGGGAAGTCCTGATGATGATAAACTCAATGCACGTCATATGGCAGACAGAAAAAAACATGTGATCTGGAAACTCTGTCCTGCTCACCAGCAAAATTAGGACACTTGATTGTAAAAAACAGAAACTCAACCTAAGCTAGTTGCTTGAGCAAAAAGGGAAACTTATTAGAAGGCTCACATACCCATCTGGAAGGAGGAGGTGCCACTGGACATCAGAGACGGGATCAGAGACTCGCAAGCCCCAGCATGCATCATGCTCACATGCTCACATGCACTCTCTCTCTCTCCCTCTCTCTCTCTTTCTCTGTCTCTCTGTCTCTCTCTCCTCCCCTCTGCATTTCTCTGTGATTTAGTTTTATTTCTACCAGACTGGCTTTGCCTATGTAGTGAAACTATGAGCCAGTCTTCATTCCCCAGCTTAACCATCAGGGTAGGATTAACCCTTTTTCTGCAGTTTCAGTTGCAATTCCCCTGAGAAATGATTCGGTTGGACTGACAAGAGTCAGGTGCCTATGCCCACTCCTGGGTATTGAGGGCCTTGCTCAGATGAGGGGAGATCATTGAGCCCCACAGTCACTTCAGTTTACATCCACCCCAATATGTGGCAATGGGCAAGTTCCTTCACTCCTCTGAGCCTTGGTTTCTCCATTGTAAAATGAAAAAGTGAGTGAAATGAAAAAGTGAGTGAGTAGGGACAAAAATAATACCTTCTTCAAAGAGCTGTTGATCATTTTACATAGATAACTAATGTCAAAGCCTTGGGCTGGATTGGTATATGAAGCATCAATAAATGTTCATTTTTCTTCCAAGGTGAATCTTAAAGTCAAGGAAGAAGTCAGCACGTTAAAATGGAGAGGAAAATTATTTGAAGCACAGGGAACGGAATGGGAAATGCGATACAATTCCGAGTAAGAGGCACTACAGGAGTTGTTAAATGGAAGGTAATTGAGCCTTAAGTCACTCCCACCCATAAATCATCCACAAGATCTGTGTTCTAGGAAAAGGGGCACTAGCATTAGCTATTGGGAACATGGAATGTCAAGTTGACCAATTAATCTGTAGCTTATAAGACATTCTTTGCTATTGAGGGGAAGATTATTTCAGTCAAGTAGCATTTTAGGGCCAACATAAAAAAGAATTGTAAAAGATATGGATTTTGATGAACTCTGAGGAGCAAAAGCTGCATTTGCTCATATTCCCTTTATAACTTTTTGGAGTCAGTCCAATGAGCATACCCAGCTGCGCAGTCAGATAACTTGAATTTACTACTAGTTCTACAAAAATATTCCCTATGTTGTCTTCCCTCATACATTTTATCCTTAAGTTTTATGAAAGGAAAAATAGACTTCATATTATGCATTTCTTAGGTAAGAATACTACACTGGTGGAGTATTAAAATCAGTGGATTATAAAATTTGCAGTTTCTCCACAGCTTTGCAAGTTTAGTGCATCTACGTTTTGGCCTTTCTGCATTTGAATCAATTTGACTCACACCAACATCTGTTCTTGATAAAATAACATGAAATGTAATATCTTAATGGTGGCACAGAATCAAACTCCACTGCCCTCTTGTTTCACATCCCTTTCTTTGGTATTCCCCACATCATCTTCTCCTCCAGTTTGTAACTGAGTGTGACATCTAACAACTCACTAGAATTCACCTGCCCCAGCCTTTCATTTCCCTGGGCACTCGTGGGCTACTGAGGACAACGGCCACTGCTTCATCAGTGTGGGGTGTAGAGTCTTATCCAGTTGTCTCACCACTTTGTCAACTTCATTCCCCTCCTTGAGCTTTGGCTTGACCCAGACCTACTGTTTCAAAGAAGTCTTCTCTTACTATTCCAGTGCACAGTCACATTCTTATCTAACACTTACTTAGAGCACCAGTACTTTGATCTTAATCAAAGGCTGCCTGGTATTGCAATTTAATTTTTGCATGCCTATGTCTGGGACCTTTCTGTGGTCAGCAGTACCCAACACAATGCCTAGCACAATGCCAAGGCACAGCAGAGGCTCCATAAATACGTGATGCATGAATGCATACATGAACAGAATGCTTTCTACATGGGTTGGCATTTCTAGTCTTCAGGAATTGAGGTGTATGTCAGACCTGAGTCTAAAGACAGCAGATTTTGGCTCAACTCTGTTGGTTCTTCCTATAACAAATTGTCTCTTGGATCTGGAGAAGCTAAGATCAGCATATGGAGATAGAAAGAAACCCCATGTAGAGATGGCATGGAGTTATGGCCAGGCATAGGGTGGGGACAGAGAAAGGAGATGAGCCAGCATCCCAAATCCTGCTCCAGGAAGCCAGTGACCAGCATTCTGTCCCTGGTCAATCACTAAAAAGCAGGTTCTGTAATACAGTGAAAGTCATCTAAATTCCCAAGCCCAAGAAAATTCATAGACATCTACCAATGTGTATACAGATTCCCACCTCTCCATCAGCAGAACATTTCCTGCAGGGGTTAGAAAGCATCTATTTGAAGGTCTAAGAAACAGACCTATTTTCAGCCTAGCACAAGACTTCCCAACCCAGGAGAAAAATCACCTGCAGGCCTGAGGGCTGCTGGAATAATCAGAGCAATGTGGCCAGGGCCATCAAGACCACTGGCAGGTGACCCTCAGAATTAGGGACCAGCTATCCCCTCTCCCTTGACACATTGGACACCTAAGCATTCCCTATTCCAGAAACCAGCTTGACTAGAAGAAGGTGGAAGAGGGAGAAACTCCCAAAGATTGAATATTGACCAATAAGTGCCTGAGCTAACTGCTTTAAACCAGAAAATATTGAGGTATATGTCTTTAGCTTTCAAATATAAATTCTTCCCCAGCCTCCAAACCATTTGTTGAATAGGGTTCAAAAATAAGTTGAGATCAATTACATTCTGTTTTTTTAAAGGCCTACAATACTGGCCAATATTCAGCAAGAGATTTATTGCTTTGCCTAACTCATTTCATGCCATCCACTGGAAGACCCAATAGTAATGTCTAGAGCTTGAGTTTGGGATGAAAAGAAGGGAAAGTCCTATGATATGAGGAAAGAACACTTGCAGCATTGCTCTACTAATATATTCACTTTAGCCTTTTGTTTTTCTCTGCTTCGTCAATACGTTTATTGTCTTATCTGAAAAATACTCATAGAAAATTGTTAAGTTTAGCACTCAGCAGATCTCAGAGCTCCTGAGCTCTAAGGAAGCCTGCCTGCTTTTGAGCTACCTGATCATTCTTCTGGGCAGGGGACAGTCTGGGGGACAGGTCCCACCTCTTCTTTTTAGCCTCTTTCTTGGGCTTCTCAGAGAGTGAAGTCTCTCCTACAGCAGCATGAGCTCCTCCACCAAGTCTGGAGTTATGCAGTTCTTTATGTATTGTGAGAACCGTTTCCTATAAGGATCTTCATCTTCTATTAGGTGATGCCTATAATCTGCAACATTCTGTCCTGTGATGTGCTTCTAATGCACTTGTGCATTAAATTCCTTGCTTTCAGAATCATATCCAGGGAATTGTTTGGTACTTTGTGGGATAGACAAGCCTCCATCCACAGCTTCCATGGCCCCAAAAACTTTACTGTCAGTGGTGGTTCTGGCAAGGCCTGCATCCAAATAGTAGGTGAAGGCATCAGGCTGACCATCAATGCTCTCCACATCGTATTCATCTCCAGTCACCTCCTCTTGGCCTTCCTAGATGGCGTCCATGCCAAACGTGTGGAGAAGCCTGCAGGCCAGGACGACGTGCTGAAGCATAATTTGTCAGGCCAGGCTTCACACCATATTTTGGTACTTTGTGTGCATAAGGTGCACGGACATTCATATCCCCTTGCATACAGGCATAAGCAATCTGACAAATGATAACTCTGTTAGGAGTTACATGAACTATCATCCTGGATTTGGACGTGTACTTATTTTCATCCTGTATTACCAAGCGTTTCCAAGCATAGTAATCAGTTTTACCCCCTCATCTACTAAATTTCACTTGGTATCGTTTAAAGTAGGCCTATTCCTGACAACTGTACCAAATGCCATCCTGAGGAACAGAGACCTATGTCTGAAGCTCGACACAGACCTGCGGGCCCAATATCACTAGGGGTGTTGTGGGGAGCTTTTTTTCCTTTGAATTACCATCTAAACCACTGTCAACTCTAAATACGAACATTTGTTTTTCTAACCTAGGCTTGTGTGTCTGGTTCCTCACTTGGTATTGTTTTAAGGTATTGGTTCCAGGCCCCCTGACAATAAGAACCAAAAGATGCCTGGTGACCAGATAGTCCAGGCGCCTTTCTTGGAGAGGCCAATTCAGCAGGCTAGAGTGGGACCCAAGAATCTTGGGTTATTAACAAGTGCCCAGGGAGGGTTGAGAAACACCGCTTTAAGGCGGTGGTTCTCAAAGTGTGGTCCTTGGGCCCACAGCAACAACATTTCCAGGGAACTGGTTACAAATGCACCACCTCAAACCTGTTAAACCAGAAAATCTGGGCGTGGGACTCAGTAACCTGGGTTTACAAAAGCCTTTCAGGGAATTCTTACATGCTTTAAAGTTTGAGAACCACTGCCTTCAGGAAATGATAAACAGGCAGTAAATAACAATTTATTAACTTAAACCATTCATTCATCGGTCCACAGCCCACCCACACCAAAAGACTCAGCAAGAATCTCTCCAGTGTCCTGGTGCCCCTCTGGTGTTAGGTGGCTGTGACCATGGTTCTAGACTCAGCCACACATTTAGAATCACCTGGGGAGCTTTTAATGCTCCTGCTGCCCAGACAGCACCCCACACCCATCAAATCAGAACCTCTGAGCGTGAGAACCAGGCATCTGCACTTGCTTAAGCTACCCAGGTGATTCCGATGTGCCGACCAGTTTGGGAACCACTGTCAGAGCACCTAACAAAGCCTCTGAAATCAGACTTGCCAGAAAAGATAACAATTACAAGACACAGACAAGTAAGGGGGTAGGAGAGCATAGAGAAGGCCCAGCAGGGAGCTTCCTTCATTTATTCACTACTGTGCTTCAAAAGAAGTGTTTAGAAGCAAGGGAAGACATGTAGGAAGCTATCTTTTACAGGATAAAAAGACTAGAAAGGTTTCCCGGAAGTCACTGGGGAATTTGGAACACGCCCTCATTCTCCTGAACATGCCCCAAGACTCAAGAAGTGGATAGGTTGGAGCAGGAAGGATAAAAGTTCTCAACTGCCCCTCCTGACCCTTCCTGAACACACTTGAGCACTACCAGCCCTTTAATTCACTTCTCCTGCCCTAATGGAGATTGGCAAACAGTGGCTGAGAGCACAACTGGGTCCCAGGTTGCAGGATGATCATGAAGATGATAGTGAGAAAGACAGTGGGGGAAGGGGAAGGAAGAGGAGAAGGAAGAGGAGGGAGCTCACCTTCCTGTGAGGTTCCCATATGCTAAGCCCAGGGCCTCAGTCATTTTCTTCTTTAACTTCACACAGCATCTCCATTTGGCAGTGGATGATCTGAGGCCAGAGGACTTGCCCCAGGTCATTTCTGTGAGTGACAAAAGCACTCTCCAATAGAGACAATGAAGCCTCAAAGGAATCAAGGATGTGGGGGGCAAGCAGGAAAGAGACTCTGAGAGGGGAGACACATGAGGCCCCTGGGCGGGGCCCACAGCATAGGGAGACCGTGCAGAAGTCAGCCTTACCATCTACTTTAATCCAGGGGTGAGGTTCTGGATCGTGGGGCAGGAATGGAGGCTTCCTGTGGCATCCAGAGCAGCTGGGGTGAGGGAGAGCGCACGGGAAGCGGGCCTGTGGCAGTGGCCACGTACTGACATACATGGATGGATTTCCACATCCAGACAACCAATGTAGCTACATCAGTGTGTGTCAGCGAAAGGTGAGCCCTGGTTTCACCTGGTGCGGATATAGAGCAGAAGGTTTTTTGTGGTTTCAGAGATATCTTTTAAAAGCCCTTTGGCATCTTCCTTAAGCCTCGTTCTTAATGAGGTCCCAGATGTCTCAACTGGGCCACAAGCACTAGCATGTCTAACTGCATCCGTGAAGGTGGGTCCCCCTCCCCTCCACCAGAGGGCCCATCCTGGGGGCTCTTTTCGAAAGCCAGTGCATATAATTGTTGCATAGGAAGAACCTGATGGGTACCGTGGTAGGGAGAGCAGGGGAGAAATTCCTAAAACATTACACAAATTTATCTCAAATTTCCCATCTGAGCTGGAAGAAATGCCCCAAAATATAACCCACAGGAGCAGCTCTTTGCTTCAATGTTGCAAGTTTTCAGTTAGACAGGAAAGTCTCAGCTTAGGCAACTTGAGAGCAAACCTCATTCAGTGAAGAGGCCCACAAGGTCAGAAGATTGGGACCTGGCTGGGAGTCTCAGGAGAATACAGTGAAAAGAAATCACAAGGTTGCTGCTTCAATGATGTAAATTGAATTGTGGAATAAACATTCATAAAGAAAAATATGGACTGATATATACTGTCAGGCAATATTATGACAAGCATTTTGCACAGATTTAAGGAAATCAGAGCACAAGAAAGGGGAAGCACCCAAGCCAATGCCTGCCTATGCCAGGCAAAGGGTGAAGCATGATCAGCCAAGCATCCAACCACCAGTTCACAGTTACAGGGTAAAGTGAAAACTAAGCTGTTTGGTTGTGGAATGGACCTAGCACTACACAGATCCCAATCACTGACACAGCATTTACAGTAATAACAGCCAACAATTACAGAACGCTCAAAAGTCCTTTGAGAAGCAGTCAAATGAAACTCACAGCATCTGCTGTGGGAAAAATGTTGAGGATATTGTCCACTGTATCACCCAGGTCCCCACAGGAAAGACCCCATTAAAAAATTTCTTCTTTTTTTTTTTTATTGAAAGCTGAGACGAGCTTTACTTCCCTTGAGGAAACAGTCTGGTCTGTTTTGTCATTCCTGAGCACGAAAATGATGTCCTAACTGTTCATTTCTCTTTTTTCTTTTTTTGAAACGGAGTCTCACTCTGTCTCCGAGGCTGGAGTGCAGTGGTGCAATCTTGGCTCACTGCAACCTCTGCCTCCCGGGTTCAAGCGATTCTTCTGCCTCAGCCTCCTGAGTAGCTGGGGCTACAGACTTGCACCACCATGCCCAGCTAATTTTTGTATTTTTAGTAGAGATGGGGTTTCACCATATTGGCCAGGCTGGTCTCGAACTCATGACTTCATGATCCGCCCACCTCGGCCTCCTAAAGTGCTGGGATTACAGGCATGAGCCACCACGCCCTGCCTCTCTCTCTCTCTCTCTCTCTGTCTCTCATTTTTTAAAGCTTCGGGTAGCTCACAAACTCAAAATTCAAATATAGCAGAGGTCTTGATCGCCTATACCACTCATCTCAAAACCATTTTTTAATCTCACCGTCCCCATAGGGAAAAATTTAAGGATAACTCCCTACTAGATGTATATTTATTTATTTATTTATAAATCATATACATGGTCAGGCATGGTGGCTCATGCCTGTAATGGCGGCACTTTGGGAGGCTGAAGCAGGTGGATCCCTCGCATCCAGAAGTTTGACACCAGCCTGGGTAACATAACAAGATCCCATCTCTACAAAAAAAATTAAAAATTAGCTGGGCATGGTGGCACATGCCTGTAGTCTCAGCTATTTGAGAGGCTGAGGAGGGAGCATCACTTGAGCCTGAGAGGTTGAGGCTGCAATGAGCTATGATTGTGCCACTGCAGAGTGAGACCTTGTCCCTAAATAAATAAATAAATGAAATACATGTACATCTATTATTACCCAATATTTTAAAGTGTAATATACACAGAGGCCAAGGCTTGTTGTCAATGACTGAGGATATAAATCCATATTTCAAAGGGTCTTCTAGGGGCCGGGCATGGTGGCTCACACCTGTAATCCCAGCACTTTGGGAGGCCGAGGTGGGTGGATCACCTGACGTCAGGAGTTCGAGACCAGCCTGGCCAACATGGCGAACCCTGACTCTACTAAAAATACAAAAATTAGCCGGGCGTGGTGGCAGATGCCTGTAGTCCCAGTTACTCAGGAGGCTGAGGTAGGAGAATCATTTGAACCCGGGAGGCAGGGGTTGCAGTGAGCCAAGATCATGCCATTGCACTCCAGCCTGGGCAACAAGAGTGAAACTATCTCAAAAAAAAAGAAAAAAAAAGCGTCTTCTAATAATTTCAAATTGTTTTAATTTCTTCTTTCACACCTAGCTAGTTTGGACTGTCATTGCGTTTACTTCTAATGAGGCTAACAAAGAACTTGTCTGAGTAGTAGGAGAAGCACCAGCTTTGCTATTTTCTTATTTGCTTGAATATAATGCTAGCATGTGAAGTAAAAGAAGCAGTTTCTGTGCAGAAGTATAAGTTTCAGCCGCTATCCTCCTTCTGTGAGGATTCACATAAACATGAAGAGTATAAGCTGCAAACCCATGGAACCAGACACAGGTGACATTAAATCAAGACCCAAAGGAAGTGACGGAGCCAGCTAGACAGTTATCTAGGGGAAGAGCGTTGCAGGCAGAGTCAACACCCAGTGGAAAAGCCCTGGGGCAGGAGTGTGCCTGGCTTGTGCAAGGAACAAGGAGCCCCAAGTGGCTGGAGAGAAATGAACGAGAGGAGTTGGAGAGGAGCTCAGAGACTTCACGCAAGTCCAGATCCCGCTGGGCCTCACAGACCATTGTAAAGATTTTTGCTTTGGCTATGAGTGAGAAGGCAAGCATGAGTGTACTGCAGGATACCACAGCCTGCCGAGAGCAGCCAAACAAGGGAGGTGGCCCTGCCTGCCTCCCTGTGGTGTGGAGCTCCTGCCCCGCGTTCCTCAGGGCCCTGTGGCTTCCCTTGGTGTCGTGGGCTGGTAGAGTGAAGCATATGCCAGTTTCCATGTTAAATATGACTAAATCTTCATGCCTCTCCTTTTAGGATGAAGAGTGACTGGCTAAACATACCTAAACATTCTAGTATTAGCATATGTTTTTTCCCATACCACAGTTGATTCTGAGGATACACACTACTTTGGAACTCACCTATTTGTCCCTCTATCCATTTTTACCTTTTCCTGGTCCTGACTCGTGTTTTTTTCCTTGCCCTCACTCTTGAATTTTATTTATAGTAACCATTATTTTTGCCTGGGTTCTCATTAAACCCTTTATGGGATAGAAGTACATATTTCTACATGTTGTGAACAGAATGGATGCAAGAAACTGAATGAGGCCTCCCATTCTCAATGTCCATCTTGTTATCTTGCCTAATCACACATTTGGGAACCTGTAAGTTTGGGATTCTTCCATGAGCCTTTATCTGCAAACATTTCAAGGTCATGTTCAGAGGAATAAATGAAACATGATTATCCACTACAACATGATTATCAACTGAGGAATAAATGTAACATGATTATCAACCAGCATTGATTATCAACTGAAACTGAAATACCTAGACTTTAACAAGATGTTAAGTATGTATCAAAACAAAGATTAAGGCCAGGTGCAGTGACTCCCACTTGTAACACCAGCAATTTGAGAGGCCCAGGCAGGCACATAGCTTGAGCTCAGGAGTTTGAGACCAGCCTGGGCAATAGAGGGAGACCCCCGTCTCTTCAAAAATTACAAAAATTAGCCGGGCATGGTGGCATGTGCCTGTAGTCCCAGCTACTCAGGAGGCTGAGGTGGGAAGATGGCTTGAGCCCAGGTGATGGAGATGGCAGTGAGCCGAGATCATGCCACTGCCCTCCAGCCTGGGCAACAGAGTGAGACCCCATCTCAAAAAAAAAAAAGTGCAAAAAACAAAATAAGGATTAAGACCAGGGACAAAATTAGGATTAGGATTAGATTTGGGTGACAAAAACCCTTAGAAAACAGTGACTTTAATGTACCTGGTTTTATTCATACTTGTACAAAAATGTCCAGAGGAAGGGTCTCTATGGTTAGTCTGGACACTCCATGAAATTATGTGGGGTGCAGGCACCTTCCAGTTGTTCCCAGGATGTGATCCTCATCCCTGGGATTTAAGGTGGCAGCTAGAGCTCCAACCACCATGACCGCTTTCCAGATGACAGAGAAGGGGAGAAGGGGATATGATGATGCTCTGTAAGGATACCATCCAGGAATGCCCCACGCCACTTCCCCCTACATCTCATTGGCCAGAATACAGTTATCCAGCCATACTGGTGGGTAGGAAATGCCGGCACTAAAAATCAGGCAGAATGGTTACTAGGAGAACAAGCAGTCTCTGCCACATCTGCCTTAAAACTTGAGATTTTCATTAGCAAAGGATAGGATCCCATATTAGAATTGCATTTAGTAGATTCTGACTCTAGACCATCAAGTTAGAACTGATTCCGATTTTGTATGTGTGTATCCATTCAAAGATTCATTATATATTACCACCCAGGGGTATTTAAAATAAGAAATGTCTTGGGAATACATTACACAGGATAGAGGCCCTGAACATTATCTCTCTGTGAATGTACAGTTAGTATTAGCCATGGTGTTTGGACATGACTGAAAGCACTTTTTCTGTCTAATAGAACCCTGCCATTGCTTTAGACAATCAGAAGCCTTCTCAATAAGTACATCAGGTTTTGCAAACCTGATCCTCCTTCAGAGGCATGAGGGAAGCCCACTGAGTGAAACCCACAGTGAATTTTGGAGGTAAGACTTCCGTCTTATAATGTGAACAATCACACTCTAGCACATCTGGATCAGAATTGGAAATGTTCACTTATTCAATTTTCCTAAGGCAGCACAATTTCACTAGTGATTTTAGCAGACTAAAAGAAAATCTCTAAAACAAACCCAAATGCAAACCTAATAATGGCTCATGATTTCCCTTTTGAAGTCTCATCTCAGCCACTGCTATGTGTCCCCTAGAGATCTCACTGGAGAGTTGGTCACTGGGTTTTTGCAACTTTCCCATAGACCTCACTTCAACAGCTAGAGATGTGGGCAGATGCTGAGTAACAATTTTCCTTCCATTGCGGAACATGAGTCAGGGAGGGAATTCGCTGTGCAATGACACACAGTTCGCATCTTTCAGGTGCCAAATGTTCAAAGGATTAAAATACCTCCACTGGCCACTCCACAGAATAAGATAGACAGTGGCCCAATCGTGAGCTCACACTGCACCCATGACTTCGCACTCCAATAGGGAGGGCTGTGTCGTTTAGAACTAATCAAAGAGGGAGCCTAAAAGAGACAGGTTCTCCTTTCATGGGCCTCGTGCTCCCTCACCATACCTGCTCACTCAGGTTTACAGGAATAGTTGAGGAATCCGAATTGTTCCATTGAGCTGAAGAGTAAAACATGTTGAAGATGAGGATTGAATTATCTGTGTACTTCACGAGTGATGGAATTGCCATAGCAAGAGGCGTGGTTTCCAGAAAGCTGACAGCATCTGAGCACATTTGCCCATCCCACGACCATTACCTCCAATCCATAAAGAAGGGAGGAAACCTCCCTCTCTGTTTTATATTTATTCCCCTCTGAAGGGAAAGAAGAAAATGATAAAATTAGGAGGCTGCACACTGCCTGAGACATTTACATTTAAGCTGGACCAAACACTACCCATGTATCACAGGCAACAATTTCGCCCTAACAGGGAAATGGACTAAGTGACTTAATAGGTATTTTCCATCTCTAATTTCCATGATTAAAAGAAAGAGGTTGAGAGGGGTACATGTGGAGCCTATTGTGAGTTTGCCAATGAATCCTAATTTAGATCAAAGAGAGTCTATGTGACACTGAACCATAAACACCCTAGTGTGCGTTACTTCAAGGAAGTTGTTAGTATGTCCCCCGATGGCTATTATGTGATATAGTTGCGCTCGATAGCCTGCACCCTTTAATTACTAATATAGAAGAAAATCCCATATAAGAGGGAGGAATGTAAATGAGACCTCTGCTCTTTTGAACATTTTATGCATTTGCCAAATTAAAATTTGCTGTGGACTTTGGTTTTCCCTGATTGCTGTTGGTAGTGATCATTTGGCTCATGGGATTAAATCCAACTTCCCAAAAACTATTTCCGATCAGTGTGCAGATTTCAGATATTTATATGTGCTTTGCACTGAGACATGAATCATCAGAACCAGACTGGGGACAACTTCTTTGAAGTTTTGAAAGGTATGGAAGAAATTCTCTTTCTTCTCTTTCATTCTCATCTTTCTGCCGATCATTGTTCAAGGGCAGGTTGAAGGGGCTGCAACTGAAAGAGGGGCTCCAGGAGTCCAGAGGCACAATGTCATACCACACTCATGCACTGCCTGCAGTATGTGCATGTAGCTTTCGTGCACAGAGGACACCACTTGAAGGACTCAGGTCTGGATCAGTAAGCATGACCGTACTCACTTCAGTGGGGGTTGCTCACATTGAGTTTTAAAGCACAATTGCAAGATGAGGGCAACCACAAACGTCAACTGGATCAGCACGATTTTAATGATACTTCCATCTTTAGGATTTTTCTGTCCTCAGCCCACCTGTAGAAAAAAATAATTGACTACTCGGGAGGCTGAGGCAGAGAATCGTTTGAGCCCAGGAGTTAGAGGCTGTAGTACGCTGTGATCACACCTGTGAATAGCCCCACTTTGCTCCAGCCTGGGGCAATATAGTGAGACGATGTCCCTGAAAAAAAAAGAAGAAGAAGACTTGATAACAGCTTTGCACTTAAATTAACAGCTGAGTGTAGAATCAGACCCTGTACAAAAGCAAAGGTGCTTATTAGACTGAGTGACTGTGGAAGATGTTAACCATTCAGGGAGATCTGCCATGCCCAGTACTGCATCTTGTTCAATAAAGCAAACTCCTTCTTTGCCATCTGTCTCATACTACAAAGAGATAATAATAATAAAATCATTGCTTAATGAGTAAACTAAGTAGATGATAATTCCCTAGTAGATCATATTGGTGTTCTTCTCCAAAGGCTGCCATATTCTCAATGAGGCAGAGAACACAGGGGAGAGCGCGTGATTGTGCTCAGACGGGGATGCCTAAAATCAAAAACCAAGGCAGCATATGTCAGTATTTAAAGCCCCATCAAAGAAACATCCAACTTTTCAGCTGTAACCCAAATATAAATTTTCCTTACCCTGTCAATTAGCAGATTACAAAACTTCTGTAGCAGGAAGACCATTCTGCCAGCAAAGCCGTAGTGTTTGGAATGGGTCCAGGTCAGACAGATGGTGTGGAAAGAGGGTGCAATGAGACGTTTCCTATCAGCAAAGTCAACTGTTCTTCCATGCAGCACAGGCAACCTTTGAAAGGAGGAGCCACAAGGTGAAGTGTGTCTCCCATGCAGCTGGAGAAGCGTACAGATGTCTAGAGGCACCCAAGTGACACGACAAGCACAACAGTGGGCTGCCTTAGGAGAAGCATTTAGAAAAGAAAAATATGCAAAGTATCAAATAACTGGAAACCTTGTTCTTTGATGCCTAAAAAGTGCCCCCCACCCTAAGCTGATGAGCATAAAAAGCAGAGTCATATCTTCTCCAAGCATGATATTAGGATAACAGAGAGTTCTTGACTTCTTTGGAATGCTGACTGTGCTACGTACAGTCAAAATGATATAACCATGGGAAGAACACAAAGGATATTTGCTATACTATTATTAAACGTCACCTGTGCATGTCACAGTCTATTTGCAAAACTCATTCACTTATAAATAGCACCTACTCGGTTGCACAGAAAAGCTTGATTCAGGAGTGAATGATTCATAAAGTTAGTATGCATAGGAACAATAACAGTCCACTGAATCTTAAGTTTTAAAATGAAAATACTGATGACTACTTTAACAATTTTTAACTTAAATTTCCTTTCATTATGATCAAAGAAGCAAAGCTACTTCATTAACGTAAATATTTTTAGGCCAATAAAAGTGTCTTTGGGCTGGGCTTGGTGGCTCACGCCTGTAATCCCAGCACTTTGGGAGGTGGAGGCAGGTGGATTGCTTGAGCCCAGGAATATGAGACCAGCCTGTGCAACATGATGAAACCCCATCTCTACTAAAAATACAAAAATTTGCTAGGCGTGGTAACACATGCCTGTAATCCCAGCTACTTGGGAGACTGAGGCAAGAGAATCACTTGAACCCAGGAGGCAGAGGTTGCAGTGAGCTGAGATTGTGCCACTGCACTCCTGCCTGGGTGACAGAGCAAGACTCCATCTCAGAAAAACAAGAGTCTTTGTTGCTGTCTCTCTAAATTAATCATGACCAGCCACTTGTAAACACCAACAATGCCCGAAGCACTTTACCTGTGTCAGCTGACTTAATCCTCTAAACAACACTGCAAGATGGATTTATTGTCATCATTTTAGAGGTAAGAAATTAAAGACCCAAGAAAAGAGCCTGGCCATGCTCTGACAGTAACTCACAGCACCACTACTCTAATTCCAGGGATCTAGTTCAAATGCCTACTTTTTCTCCATTCCATCACCATGCCCCACAAAGCGGGAGGTGGCTATTTGCTGCAAGTTCCAAGTCAAACTGTCTTCAGATGGAGAAGTACCACCTGATGATGCAGATTGATTGGCTTAATGCAAAAGGGCCGGTTGTAGTTCAGTCATAATTCCTGTTTCAGCTAGCTCCAGGTGTTGGCTTGTGGTGCATGATTTTGCACCTTGAAGTGTTGTGTGCCCAAGCACAAGCTGGAGTCCTACCTTGAGGTAGTTCCTCCTGAAGGTGTTCCTGTATGACCAGGAACCTGGGTCCACCTGGCTACCTGTCTTCTACCAAGTGAGAGAGAGAGAAACACAAAAGGTGGTTGTGGCAATTTTGACTTTCACAGTGCCCTCCTCCACCAAGTCCTGAGTCTTTTTCTGCTACACGTTTTGCTCACTCACCCACAGATGCTTGGGGTGCGGGGTCTCTCAGCTGAAATCGTGTAGAGAGGAGACATTGAGGCCATTATCCTGACAGTACTGGGTTAAATTCTTTTCAGCTGCTCTAGCAAAAGTGGACTCTGCCTTCACACAGAGGCTGGGTTTTCTTTGACATGATCTTGATCGAACAGAATAGGAGAGAACTCACATGTCATGCTCTGTCTACAGCAGGCCCTGATTAAAGGGAATAGAGACCTGGCATCACATTTGATGCTACAGAGATTTCAAAACCAAGGCCAGGTTGACCTGCCAAGCCTGGAGTGGAATTTTATGACTAGTACCACTATTTTCACTTCAGAGTAAACTATAAGGAAGAGGATCCAGTGATTAAAACAACAAGTAACTTGGTCATCAGTTTAAGCTTTTCAACCCAGGCCCCTGCCCTATATCCACACCCTGCAGAGGGGGAGAAAAAAAAGCACAAAAGCCTCATAGAAGTAACAATTGCTTATTTTAATGTTGGCAACTTATAACTGACAATTATGTTGTTAATTGATAGTTATTTCAATGAGTTGTCATCCATGTAGATTGTTCAGATTAGCAGTGTTGTTTTTGCATTGTGATTAAACCACTGGGTAGCTGCATAAAAACTGTTGTCATCTATTACAGATACATTCTAACATCTCAGAAGAAAAAAAGGGCCAAGCCCCATTAAAGATACAGACGATTTTTAAAAGAGGCTGGGAGTCACAAAGTCTTGTTAAAATATAATTTTCACCAGAATTCTAGATTAATGAAATGTAACATTTAATTAGAGAAATTCCTTTCTATGTAAATGAAGTATTAATTACACAAATGTCAGTAAAAGAGGGAGCAATCGTCAGCAGTGAGGTTACCAGGCACACCAAGGAAAACATTCCTCCTGCCTAGAATGAGGCTGACAGAGACCCCAGGCTTGTCCTTGGAACTGACTCTCTCAAATTCAGGACAGGTGGCCAACTACAGGATACAGCTGGTTTCTTTTTAGGACTGGAGACCAGAGCAAGTAAAATCCCACAAGTTTAGCCTGAAGGAAAGGTTTAGAATAAGTTCACAGTCCAAGACTAAATAGCATTTATTAGCTCTACATATAAAAACAAAACAAAACCCTCTACTATATCTTACTTAAAAGTTTTCTATGGCTTCAAATCTTGAAAAAAACAGATTGGATTTCTAAGTTATTCCACTGTATAGAAGCTTTAAGCTGTAGTCATTTTATTAGCAATAGAAAAGTGATCTTGGACATCCGCTGGCAACAAAGCCAGAAGCCCAAGCTGGCCCCTCCTAATCCACAGGGCAGTCCTGGCCACAAGGTGGCAGTTGCCCAAATCTTAGGCAAAGTGACCTGTTGGAACTAAAGAGTCTAGAAGACATGTCATAGAGTTTTAACATAAATTTGGATGAAAAGCATTCCAGTTATCAGCTTATTCAAGCAGCTATTTCCTCTTAACAACCCTGGCAGTAATTCTTGTTAAATTGGAGCAAGATTCCTTTTCATATCAACTGAACGTTTTTTTGTTTTTTTTTTTTGAGATGGAGTCTCATGCTGTCGCCCAGGCTGGAGTGCAGTGGCGCGATCTCTGCTCACTGTAACCTCTGCCTCCCAGATTCAAGTGATTCTCCTGCCTCAGCCTCCCAAGTAGCTGGGACTTACAGGTGCATGCCACCATGCCTGGCTAATTTTCATATTTTTTTTTTTTTTAGTAGAGATGGGGTTTCACCATATTGGCCAGGCTGGTCTCGACCTCCTGACCTCATGATCTGCTCGCCTCAGCCTCCCAAAGTGCTGGGATTACAGGCGTGAGCCACCGCGCCTGGCCCATACATCTTTTTAAATTGCTCTTTTGTGGGAGTTGCATCTATGCAGTATTACCTACATTTCTCTGACTCTCTGCTCCTGATGCCTCCGCAATGTTGCTACCCCCTCAATTAGCATTGCTGTGCTACTGTCCCGTTTGAGGATGCAGTGGATCTGTGTGGGTTTACACTGCACAGAATTTTTTCCTTTCTTCTGACAAAAGGATTCTTATTTTCTTTAGATAACCACTCCTCACCTACACTCTTCTCTATGGGTTGGGTGGGCCAATCACCACCTCTGAGGCTCAGAGCTGGGCATGTATCTCAGGTCCAACCAGTCAGGTTATTCCATTCCTCAGGCCACAGTTAATATATTAGAGATAAGCACAGAACCCAGTCAGTCCAATAAGAACCCACCTTACAGCTTTTTCTGAAACTCCTGGGAAAGAGAAAGGAAGCACTCTTTCTTTAAGGTGGGGAGAATGTAAGCTTGGAGATGCTGGGCCATCACATGGGTAGAACCTGATGAGAGACAGGCTTTCACAGGACAAAGCAGAGTCAAGGTAGAGGAGTTCCTCACAGGTGCATAGATTAACAATTGGAAAAGTGCTTTATATATTTGTACTAGGGTTGAGTAAATAGGTAAACATATTGTAGGTAAAGAAAGCCAGGTTTCTCACTGTCAAAGAAAGAAATTAAAATCAGGAAAGGGGAAAAGTCTAGAATGAACCTTGAGATTCTGGGATTAGAATTGGAGGTACTAGTGTGAACTCATGGTTTTTTCCCCAATATAGATCCAGATAGATAATACAGAAATAAATACAGATATATGTATGTGTGCATGTATGCATGGGAAAATACATATATTTGCTAGCCTTATCTGCTAAGCAGGCATAGATGCAATGACATCCCAGTAATGATGAGCACACCTACCACCCAGATCTTGGGTTCTAAATACCATTCTCCAATAAAAGGAACTGGGACTCCTTGGAGAAGTGAATGAATCCATGGCTGGGGTAGAGAAAATATAAAATGAGCCTGTAATATCTGTTGGTGCTGGAAAGTAGGCAAGAGCTCAAAAAAATGATGAAGGCATATCAGAGAGCATAAAAGAGTTCCCCAAAGCAAAACCTGGAACCATTTGAGCAACAAAATAAGTATTGGATTATAATACTTGAATAAAATAAATATTTATGATATCAATAAATTTTATTTTTTCAACAAATAAGTGAACAAATAAACAGAAAAGATACAGAAAAAATCCAACAAATGTAGAAGAAATGAGGGAAATAGAAAATTACTAATAGAAAAATATAGTAAGAAATTTTGCAGGAAAGTCCACCAATGGTCTCTAAAATTAGTGGGGAAAATTTTGAGGAGAAATAAGATAGTTGCATAGTCTCAAAGTATCTCATTCCAGGTATTTAGTAATGACAAAGGGTATAATAACGTTCCATTGGAGAAACCCAGCAGACATCACTTAAGGTTAACGTTCTCTGTAATATGATATGTCGACATCGTGTACAACTAATTTGATGGCCTCAGAAGCCTGTAATAATTCCTAAGACATTCTTACCACAAATGCATAACCTCAGGCTAATCATAAGAAAAGAGTGGACAAGCCCAACTTGAAGGACATTCTGCAAAATAACTGGCCACTGCTTTTTAGAAATGTCAAGGTCATGAAAGGTGGCAAAGATTGAGGAAATGTCATAAAATGGAGGCCACTAAGGAGGCATGACCACTAGCGGTGACATGAGACCCTCGACTAGATGCTGGAACAGACTTTAATGGAAAAACTGGTGAAATTTAGTCTCTGGTTTTATTGTATTGTACCAGTGTTAAGTTCTTGGTTTTGGTCACTGTTTTATTGTCATGCATGACGTTAATGTGAGAGGAGACTGGGTGCAGGGTATGCAGAAACTTTCTTTACTATTTTGCAGCTTCTCTATAAGTTTTAAATTACTCCAAAAGAGTTTTTTTTTTTGTTTTTTTTTTTTGACGTAGCAGGTGAAAGTAGAGGGTCACTGAAGATTAAAGGGCAAGAAAAGGAGGAAAGGAACCGGAGGACCTGATGACATCATGTGAGCTTCTGAGCCACGCTATGATGGAAGCTAATTTACTCCAGGGCTTTCTGGTAGTTCCTGGACAAGTGTGCAAATAAATTCACTACATTTAACACAATACTAAATTTAGATAAGTATAGTAAATTCACAGGCCATTGAAAAGAAAGAAGGGGAAAAGTGTTCAGCCAGGAAAGCAAATAAGAGCTGCAATTTACAAAATGTTAAAATACTGCCATTAGTATTTTTTTTAAATGAAAGTTTGAAATGTTTGTAAATATGCCTCTTCAATTTGCCCAATACTTTTGAATGCCACTTTTGGTTATCAACTGAATTCACTTTTTTTTCCATAAGTAGACCACCTACCTAAATAGTGTTCCTGAGAAATGTAAGAAAACTCAGCCCTAAAACATCATTCTATTGGCCATGCCACAGAACATGAAATTCACCTCATTCATCTAATTTTGGGTTAAGGCCTCGAAGGTCTCTCTTAAAATGTAAATGCTATGGCCCAATCTATAAATATTCATCTCAGTGCTCTCTGAAGGAGTAATATACTATTAATATATTATTAATCATTAGCAACTTAGCCCCAATTTATTAATCAGATTAATTTATGTCCCATGGTAGGGTCTTGGAGGAATGGAACATAGAGTGAGTAATTTTTAATGAATGACTAGAAGAAAGGATTTGAAGTCTGAGAGACATGTGCTGACTCTGGGGATCCCATTCAGAGGTACTAGGGGAAAAAAGAAAGAGGAGCAGAGAGAAAAGGAACAGAGGAAAAACAGCACAGTGTCAACAGCAACCCTGCCAACAATTCCTGTCCATAGCCACCATTTTCAGGAATAATATAAGCATTCTTTAAGGGACACACAGATCAGGTCCATCACTCAGTTATTCAGGTTGTTCCTGGACAACCTGTTTCAAGTAATGGCCAAATCCAGCCCAAGCTCCCTTTGTCAAGCTGCAAGTCCTGCGGGGGCCTGCAGCTGCCCAGAGCAATGCCTTCCTCTAATTCATGCAAAAGTTCTGCAAGGGCAGCCCTACACAAAAATCATTTTTAAGGCTTTTTCACCCAAGGAGGAAAAGGGCATGTTGACATTTTCTGGTTGCAAAATCCTCTTCCACTTTGGAGACTGTGACAAGAAATCTCATTGCCTTCCTCCTTGATATGGTTTGGCTGTGTCCCCACCCAAATCTGAGCTTGATTTGTAGCTCTAATCCCCATGCATCATGGGAGGAACCCCATGGAAGGTAACTGAATCATGTTGGGGAGTTTTTCCCATGCTGTTCGTATGAGATCTGATGGTTTTATAAAGGGCAGTTCCCCTGCACATGCTCTCTTGCTTGCCACTATGTAAGACATGCCTTGGCTCCTCTTTGCCTTTTGCCATGATTGTGAGGCCTCCCCAGCCATGTGGGACTGAGTCCATTAAATGTTTTTTTCTTTATAAATTACCCAGTCTTGAATATGTCTTCATTAACAGCATGAGAACAGACTAATACAGTAAATTGGTACCAGGTAGTGGGGCACTGCTATAAAGATACCCAAAAATGTGGAAACAACTTTGGAACTGGGTAACAGCCAGAGGTTGGAACAGACTGGGGGGCTCAGAAGAAGACAGGAAAATGTAGGAAAGTTTAGAACTTCCTAGAGACTTGGAGAGCTCAGAAGACAGAAAGATGTGGGAAAGTCTGAAGCTTCCTAGAGACTTGTTGAATGGTTTTGACCAAAATGCTGATAGTGATATGGACAATAAAGTCCAGGCTGATGTGGTCTCAGATGGAGTTGAGGAACTTATTGGGAACTGGAGCAAGGTGATTCTTGCTATCCTAATTTAGCAAAGAGACTGGCAGCATTTTGCCCCCGCCCTAGAGAACCATTAAACTTTGAACTTGAGGGAGATGATTTAGGGTATCTGGCAGAAGAAATTTCTAAGCAGCAAAGCATTCAAGAAGTGACTTGGGTGCTCTTAAAAGCAATCAGTTTTTTTCATTCACAAAGATATGGTTTGGAATTGGAACTTATTTTTAAAAGGGAAACAGAGCATAAAAGTTCAGAAAATGTGCAGCCTGACAATGCAATAGCAAAGAAAAGCCCATTTTCTGAGGAGAAATTTAAGCCTGATGCAGAAATTTTCATAAGTAATGAGGGGCCAGCTGTTAATTGCCAAGACAATGGGGAAAATGTCTCTAGGGCATGTCAGCAGCCCCTCCCATCACAAACCTAGAGGCCTAGGAGGAAAAAATGGTTTTGTGGGTCAGGCCAGGGGTCTTGCTGCTTTGTGCAGTTTCGGGACTTGGTTTTGTATCCTAGCTGTGGCTAAAAGGGGCCAACGTACAGCTTGGGACATTGCTTCAGAGGGTGCAAGCCCCAAGCCTTGCACTTTCCACATGGTGTTCAGGCTGCAGGTGCACAGAAGTCAAGAACTGAGGTTTGAGAACCTCCACCTAGATTTTAGAGGGTGTATGGAAATGCCTGGATGTCCAGGCAGAGGTGTGCTGCAGGGGTGAAGCCCTCTTGGAGAACCTCTGCTAGGGCAGTGCTGAAGGGAAATGTGGGGTGGGAGCCCCCACACAGAGTCCCCATGGGGCACTGCCTAGTAGAGCTATGAGAAGAGGGCCACCATCTTCCAGACCCCAGAATGGTAGATCTACCAACAGCTTGCTCCATGTGCCTGGAAAAGCCAGAGATACTCAATGGCCAGCCCATGAAAGCAGCCAGGTGTGGGGCTGTACCTTGCAAAGCCACAGTGGCAGAGCTGTCCAAGACCACAGGAACCCACCTCTTACATCTGTGTGACCTGGATATGAGACATGAAGTCAAAGGAGATCATTTCAGACCTTTAAGATTTGACTTCCCCGCTGGGTTTAGGACTGACTGTCATGGGGTCTATAGCCCCTTCATTTTGGCCAATTTATCCCATTTGGAATGGGAATATTTACCCAATGTCTGTACCCTCATTATATCTAGGAAATAACTAATTTGCTTTTGATTTTACAGGCTCATAGGTGGAAGGGATTTGCCTAGTCTCAGATGAGACTTTGAACTATGGACCTTTGAGTTAATGCTGAAATGAGTTAGGACTTTGGGGGACTTTGGGGAAGGCTTAATTGGTTTTGAAATATGAGAACATGAGATTTGGGAGGTGCCAGGGGTGGAATGATATGGTTTGGCTGTGTCCCCACCCCAATCTCAGCTTGAATTGCAGCTGCCATAATCCCCACATGCCATGGGAGGGACTCAGTGGGAGGTAATTGAATCATGGTGGTGGGTTTTTCTCCTTCTGTTCTCATGATAGTGAAGAAGTCTCATGAGATCTGATGGTTTTATAGAGGGTAGTTGTCCTGCACATGCTCTCTTGCCTGCCACCATGTAAGATGTGCCTTTGCTCCTCCTTCACCTTCCACCAAGCTTGTGAGGCCTCCCCAGCCATGTGGAATTGTGAGTCCATTAAACATCTTTTTCTTTATAAATTACCCAGTCTTGGATATTTCTTCATAGCAGTATGAAAATGGACTAATACACATCTTAACCGTATATCCAGGCTACCATCACCCCATCACCCTCTTGGTACTCAGGCCTGTTTTGAAGGTAGCAGAATGCAGAGGACAGGAGGCTCTCTAGCTGAGGAAAGAGCTTTAAAGCAGTCATCAAATTATCTCCAATGACGGAGCTACTGGTACACACTGTACTGATAATTTTTGTGCATCTTGATATATTGTTTAGGGTGGTTAAAAGTAAAGGACAATGTAAGAAAGAATCTGGCTGGAATACTACTCAATAAAAAAATCAAAACTAAAACATCATTGTCCCCTCCCTTTTCTGCTAAGTTACTTATTGCAAGAAAGGCTAGAGTCAAAGTTAGGGAAATTAAAATAAGGTACTTCTTCCTGTTGCTTTCAGGATGGTGTTAACTGCTTCTGGCATATTTTGACCAGCAGAAAGTAGTAAATTAGCACATTTTTCTCTTTAGGGCAGTGTGGATATATTAGTTCCTCCTATCATTTCACTAACACAGAGGCTCAGAGAAAATCCCACCGGGCCTTAGAGAACATTACCTGGGGATGATAACCAGCAAATGCTTGTTTTGGTTTTTCCCAACCTCTTTTCTGCAGCTTTTCTCTGGCTAATAGTTGAAGCTGAGACTTAGTTTAGGTCAGTGGTTATCTGGTGTCCTCCCAAGATTACTGCCACCCCCAAAGAGCACCATGCACTTGTAGTAAGCCCAGATGAGAGCCCAATTTCCTCTTGGCTAAGCTTCAGAGGAAGCTTAGCAACCTTGACAAGCACTTATCTCCTTGGTTTTTTCTTCCAGTTTTCCCAAAGACATAACACAGGTGTTAAATATAGATAAGGCAGCCACATAGGGGACTTTAACTTGAGGCACCATCTGCTCTTAGCTCTGCCTCCCAAAGTCTGCTGCTGCCCAAAATGTTTGATTTGGATGAAGGTATCATGTCTTCAGAGGGTCTGATGCAAGCATGTTACTTTAGAGGAACAGCACACTGTTAGCCCTTCCTTCAATCATTCAACAAATACTTATGGACTACCCACTCTACCGAAACAGGTTCTCTCTGCCAAGCCTGAGGAATTAGTGCTAGGCAAAATAGAGACATGGAGTTTCCTGTCTAGTCTGCCATTCTTGCCTAACCAACTCTTCATCTTTGGTTTTTATCACCCCCCTGGGAAGTCTTCCATGAGCCCTACCTCTGGCTTGAGGACTCCTCTTCTATTCTCCTGTAACATTCAGTACATAAGCCATGGCACTTAGCACTCAAAAGGAACTCCGAGTTCCCAGGATTTCAAAGGAGGACAAAGATTAGTTTACCCATCTCAAAATCTCCTGTCATTTTCATTTCAGTTGTAAAAGATCACATAAAATAACTCTCAAAACATCATTGTTAAGCACTACTCAAAGGAGAGAAAAATTGATATGCAGTGCACAAAATCTGGAAAAATAAAGTCTATACTGCTCATAATGGTAAATGTGGTTGTGGGTCATGAATCTGATCTAAATCACCAAAATCCATAAAGACAGTGATAACTTGCTCATAAAACACCTCTTGCGAGACTTTCCATAGGAAACCTTAGAAGGTAATGAAACAGCAGCTAATTAACTCTGGTAAAGCCTTGATAGGTTCTGCTTTATTATCTTAATTAGGAATATCATGAACACTGTCCTCACAGCACAGACACAGTTGTCTTCTTCACCCAGCTTTCTGCTCCCGACAGGCAAAGACCTAGAGCTCTTCCTGCCACCAGACTTTAATAGCCCAGATTTTGTCTTTGAGTTTTACAATGTACCTTCTTACAACTTCCTGCCTGTTCCTGGGCCACCAATAGAATGATTTTGGTAAGCAGGTCCTATCATTGAGAATTAAGAATGTGAAGGGGCCAAGTCCCATGTTCAAAATTTTAAATTAAAACCAGACCTAACAATCATAGTGAAAAATGTAAAACCAAAGTGAAACTAATGTAGAGGGGGGAAGAATTATCAAACAGACTAAGAAAACCTTTTCATGTTTAGTTTCTCTCATAAAATATAGAGTTTTAGCCTGGGCGCAGTGCCTCACACCTGTAATCCCAGCACTTTGGGAGGCCGAGGCGGGTAGATCACGAGGTCAGGAGACCGAGACTATCCTAACATGGTGAAACCCTGTCTCCACTAAAAATAAGAAAAAAATTAGCTGGGCATGGTGGTGGGCGCCTGTAGTCCCAGCTACTCGGGAGGCTGAGGCAGGAGAATGACATGAACCTGGGAGGGAGAGCTTGCAGTGAGCCGAGATTGCACCACTGCACTCCAGCCTGGGTGACAGAGCAAGACTCCGTCTCAAAAAAAAAAAAAAAAAAAAAAAAAAATATATATATATATAGAGAGAGAGAGAGAGAGAGAGAGAGAGTTAGTTTTGGGAAAATCACAGTATCTTGGGTTCGGAATCCTTTTTTTTTTTTTTTTTTTTTGAGTCACGGTCTTGCTGTATCACCCAGGCTAGAATGCAGTCGTGTGATCTTGGCTCACTGCAACCTCCACCTTCTGGGCTCAAGCCACATCCTCCCACCTTAGCCTGCCAAGTAGCTGGGACTACAGGCATGCAACAACATGCCTGGCTAATTTTTTGTTTTTTGTTTTGTTTTGTTTTTTTGAGACAGTCTCGCTCTGTTGGCCAGGCTGGAGTGCAATGGCACGATCTTGGTTCACTGCAACCTCCAACTCCCAGACTCAAGCAATTCTCCTGCCTCAGCCTCCCAAGTAGCTGGGATTAAAGGCATATGCCACCACGCCTAGCTAATTTTTGTATTTTTAGTAGAGACGGGGTTGCACCATGTTGGCCAGGCTGGTCTACGAACTCCTGACCTCAGGTGATCCACCCGCCTCGGCCTCCCAAAGTGCTGGGATTACAGGAGTGAGCCACCGCACCCGGCCATGCCCAGCTAATTTTTAACAATTTTTTTTGAGAGACAGGGTTTCTCCATGTTGTGCAGGCTGGTCTTGAACTCCTGAGCTCAAGAGATCCTCCTGCCTTGGCCTCCCAAAGTGCTGGGATTACAGGCATGAGCCACCATGCCTGGCCCAGAAAGCCTTTTATACTCTTTCTGTTCTTTGCATTAAAAAAACAAAACAACAACAACAAAAAACCTGATGGACTTGGCCCATGTTCCCAGGTTTCCCAGACCCATTAGCCATTCTGTATTATCTTGGCATTTATTATCATCTTGAGCTCATGACAAAAGTAGAGAGGCAAATATTCAACATGGCAAAACACTTGCTAAGTAATGACAAATACCATTTGCATATCTCCAAATGGAGCTAATTTTGACAAGATAAAATAACTGAGTATGTAGGCTTCATAATGACCCACTTGATTTCACAAAATATTACAAAGGAAGGTCGATAAATTCACCAATTACTAACAAAAATATATTATATTCAACTCATGGAGAGAATTTTTTTAAAAAAAGATTAAAGAAACAAACAAACAAAAACATATTAAGAGTCATTATAGCCAGTGTAAAGTTAGCAGGTGAATCTATGTAAACTTTGCTTTCTCTGGATTTTCCCCTTATCTCCTTTTCAATACTTATTCTGTTGACAGTATCTTTTAATGCCTAAGAACTGCTTTAATAATCTTGAAACAGGAAAAATAACTAGCATATACTTGTAACAAAAGGTGTGTAGACATTGATGCTATAATTATACATCATAATAAAGAATATAATTCAATGTCCTAGAAGACAGCTTGCCTGAAAACATGTAGGAGATGATTTGGGACATCTTCAGGGACATAGCAATTTGGTAGTTGGAAAATAATTTAGGCAGCAAGCAATGTGGTCTGCTTACCCAAACCACAGAGCAAATGTAATTAAAAGGGGGAATGGAAAATATTGTGGGTTGGACTAAAAACAATTGGTTAGGAACTAGGAACTTTTTCTGACTATAATCTTCTCTTGTTACAAATGTAAGCATAGGGAAGCATTGATGCAAAGAACACGATCCGTCCAAACCCTTCCTTTTAACCACCTGGTATGCAGACAAATAATAAGAAAGACAGAGGTAAGTCTAGAACATAAGGCTGGTACATTTAGGTTCCTTTTTAAGAAAACGTCATACTAGATTCTGTGATTTAACATGCAAGAAAAAGAAGAAAACTAAAGACTTTTGAGGTTAACATTAAAAAAGAAAGAATAGTGTCAAACAAAACACAATACTCCTCTTCCTTTTCTGCTACCATTGGGTTGCTGGAAAAATAGCAGAGGAGATATATGGTAGAGTGCTAGAGAAAGCCTCATACCCTCTAGTTTAATTTTTTTTTTCTTTTTTGAGACAAGGTCTCACTCCTGTTGCCCTGGCTTGAGTGCGGTGGCCCAGGCTGGAGTGCAGTGGTGTGATCATGGCTCACTGCAGCCTCCACCTCCTGTGCTCAGGTGATCCTCCCACCTCAGCCTCCCAAGAGGGTGGGACTACAGGCACTTGCCACCATGCCCAGCTAATTTCTTGGGGTTTTTTGTTTTTTGTTTTTTGTTTTTTTGTTTGTTTTTTTTTTAGTAGAGATGGGGTTTCGCTATATTGCCCAAGCTGGTCTTGAACTTCTGGGCTCAAGCAATCCTCCCATCTCAGCCTCCCAAAATGTTAGGATTATGGGCATAAGCCACTGCACCCAGCCCCTGTACTATAATTTATTCTACTTGGAATTTCTTTCTTCCTAAAGTTCAAAATGTACCTAACACTTACCAGTTAACACAAGAATATAATCCCAAGGTCTTGAAAAAAATAATAATTAGGTCAGCATAACAAGTAATACTTGTTTGTATTTTACTGTCTACCACCACCACTGCTGTACTCAAAACTGGGGGAATCAGTTATCTTTCTTTTTTTAAGGTCAGGCTCCCCAAGAGGAGGTAAGTGAGGTGGAAAGTATATAAGAACCAAGGGGGCCCTGGCTACCCAGGTGCAGTGGTGTGCACCTACAGTCCTAGCTTGAGCTCAGGAGTTCGAGGCTGCAGTGAGCTTTAATCACACCACTGCACTCCAGCCTGGCCAACAGAGCGAAGGCCCATCTCAAAAAGGCCCTGGTTGCCTACATGCAAGTCAGGAGCAAGTGGGATACTGAGCTGATTGTGCATATGTGCAGAATGGTTCTTTGCTTTGAGCTCAGGTTGACTATTGCAACCAATTCATGTTTCTCATGTTTCTTCTGGGATGGGAACTGAGAATAGATCCACTGTCTATCCTACTGGGGGCCCTTTCTGCTCTACGAGGCATAGTTTGTCTTCCCAATGGACATTTTGCTAGGTAGGGCTACCCCTCTCCTGGTGCACCAAAGGTGCACTAGAAGCAGTTGAGGCAGAAGGAATAGGATGAAGCGTCAACGTAGCCATCAGGCATAGTAGGTGCAGTGCCTAGGCTCACAACACATTTAGGGGTCCATGAACATGTTTTTAATTTCTTTTAAGATCAGGAGAATAATGAATCCAGCAATCCCATTCCTAGGTATATACCCAAAAGAATTGAAAACAGGCATTCAAACAAGCATTTGTACACAAATGTTCACAGCAGCACTGTATTAGTCTGTTCTCATGCTGCTGATAAAGACATACCCGAGACTGGGTAATTTATAAAGGACAGAGGTTTAATTGACTCACAGTTCCACATGGCTGGGGAGGCCTCACAATGAAAGTGGAAGATGAAGGAAAAACAAAGGGACATCTTACGTGGTGGTTGGCCAAAAAAAAAAAGAGAGAGCTTTTACAGGGGAGCTCGTGAGATGTATTCAGTACCATGAGAACAGCACAGGAAAGACCCACCCCCATGATTCAATTACCTCCCACAGAGTCCTACCCACAACATGTGGGAATTATGGGAGTTACAATTCAAGATGAGATTTGGGTGGGGACATAACCAAACCATATCAGCACTATTCATAATAGCAAAAAGGTGGGAAAAAAAACACAAATGTCCATCATTGATGAGTGGATAAACAAAATGTGGTAAATACATACAATGGAATATTATTCAACCATAAGAAGGAATGAATTACTAGTACATGTTACAATGTGGATGAACCTTGAAAACATTACACTAAGATTCCAGACACAAAAGGCTACATATTGTATGATTCTATTTATATGAAACATCTAGAACAAGTAAATCCATAGAGACAGAAGACAGATTAATGGTTCTGAGGGGCTGGGAGGAGGGGCTTATGGGGACATGTCTGCTTAATGGGCACAGGATTTTCTTTGAGGTAGTTTTGGAAGTAGGTAGAGATAGTGATTGCACAATATTGTCAGTGTATGAAATGCCACTCAATTGTACGCTTTAAGATGGTTAGTGTACAGCATGGTGACTATGGTTAATAACAATGTATTGTATACTTGAAAATTTCTAAGAGAGTAGATTTTAAGTGTTCTTGACACATAATAAATAAGCATGTGAAGTAATGCATATGTTCATTGGCGTGATTTAGCCATTACACAATGTATAAGTATACATTTCAAAATATGCTATATATCATAAGTATGTAAAATTTTTGTCAATTAAAATTTTTTAATGCTAATGGCTCATTTGTTTATGTACATTTATCTCAATAAAAAATGAATCCAACCTAGATTATATTCATCTTTGTACCAATATAGTCATAATTTTAAAAATATATTTATGAAGGAGTCTATAAGGCAAAAGTGCCTAGGACCTATGAAAGTCATAATGCAGCCCTAACCAAGTGCACAGGATGCAGAGACAAGTGGAAGGAACCTGAGCCATCTGAGTGAGAAAGGGTAGTTGGTCAGAGCACAGCGAGTAAGGGACAGGCTCATGTGTGCGGAGGCTGGGGAAGCCGGCAGAGGCCCAGCCAGGCATGGCAAAGCCTCGGGATGCTAGGTGAAGTGCCAATAAAGAGTTTTAAGGAGACTGACATTTTCAAAGATCACTCTGGGCTGCTGATTGGAGTGTGGACTAGTCAGAGTCAGGAAGAGTGGTTACGAGGAGCCCAGATTCCAGGATACTGCTGTAATCCAAGCAAAAAATGATGGCTGTTGCTCGGATGCTGGTAGAGGAGATGTAGAGAGATGCATGGCTTTGAGACACTTGGACAATCAACAAGATCAATATGGGGAATGGGAAGGAGAGGGTGTCAACGTTAACCTTCCCCTTTCTGGCATGAGCATCGAGAAGCATATGACGTTATTCATTGAGATAAATACTGAAGGTCCAGGTTTAGGAGTAGACATTCAGAAACTGAATTCTGAACACATAAAGTTTGAGGTACCTGTGAAAGTTCCAAAACAGGGGCCAAATAGGTAATTCAATATTTTACCTGCAACTCAGTTGAGGAGTGGAGTGAAGATGGAAAACTTGGGAGTTGCCCACGTCTGCAGTAAAAGGAAATCCCAAGAACAAATGAGATCATCCAGTAAAAGAGTGCGGATTGAGAAGAGAAATCAGCTCAGGATCAAGCCTGGGAAAAATTCGACATTTAACTGCCAGGTACAAGAAGAAAAGCTAGCAAAGGAGAGAGAGAAGCGGAAAGAGGAAGAAGGAAACAGCTGGGCCATGGGTAGATATTAGGAAAGAATCTACTTCAACAAATGGAGAACAGCCAACTGATGTGAACACTGAGGTCAGGCAGTATGTGAATGTTTCAATGTTACATGCGTTAGTGACAGGGAGGTCACTGTTGACCTTTTCAAGACCATCTTTAGTGAAGTGAAGGAACAGAAACCAGATGGGAGTTATTTGAGAGGAGAGCAGGGGAAAAGGAAGTGAAAAGTGTGTGGGCAACTCTTTCAAGAACCTGATTGTGAGTGAGGAGTAGGTGACAATGAGACAAGGCGAACCCAGACTTCACTCACCTAGCTGCCTGCCCATGGGGCAATAGGGAAACTAAGACAGAAGTAACTGCCAAAAGCAAAGGAGTTAGCAACCCGGTGCTGCTAATTCTTAGAGGTCAATGACGAGCAAGGCCTAGGTCCTTCTGCAGCTGGTTGCCTGACAGTCTAGCAAGTTGATAGAACCCATGCCGTGACCCTGTTAATTTTATGACTGTTTGCAAAGGGACAGTTTTCTCTGCCCTTGTAGAGCAAAACCAGGGAGGAATTTAAGTTTGCAGCTTGCTCCCCACCAGATCTCACAGTTGTGATGGGATAAAGTCCTCAAGAACAAAGAAGCTGCGATCACACTGAGTCAGAGTCCAAAAAGCCACCTTCAAATAATGTTAAGACTGTATACCACCTTTGGTTGTTCTTTAAGTACAGAGTGTTAAAAGAGGTCGCTCAGCACTGGCGCTGCAGGCTGAGTCCGGCCCCATGATGCTCCCGCACATTCTAGGACACCTTCTTTCTCCACAGCCATAGCTGTTAACGGCTAACTTCTTTCCTCCGAGCCTTTGCCCTCTGTGTCCTAAGTTTAAATTCTAGGACATGAGAAATATCTCAAAAAACTGTCCCTTTATCCTTTGCCAATTGAAAAAGAAACCAGCCCAGCAGAGAGGAGACTAGGTAACACAAGACCTTGGTTCCGGATGGTGTTCACACCTACTGTCGCTTTTGCTGTGCGTCATCAGTCACATAATGACTTATAGGGCAGAATATTGCTTTAAAAAGTTGGTTTTGGCCAGGCGCGTTGGTTCTCGCCTGTTATCCCAGCACTTTGGGAGGCTGAGGTGGGTGGATCACGAGGTCAGGAGATCGAAACACGGTGATATCCCGTCTCTACTAAAACTACAAAAAATTACCTGAGCGTGGTGGCATGTGCCTGCAGTCCCAGCTACTGGGGAGGCTGAGGCAAAAGAATTGCTTGAATCCGGGAGGTGGAGGTTGCAGTGAGCCGAGATTGCACCACTGCACTCCAGCCTGGGTGACAGAATGAGACTCCATCTCAAAAAAAAAAAAAAAAAAGTTGGTTTTGTGCATATGTTGCTGCCTTATAGTTTCTAGTCTCCATTTCAGGGTTGACTCACTGTCTCCAATATTGGAGTAGATTTGAGGAACACTTTGGTTAGAAAGATACATTCCCATCATCAACTTTTCTTAGTTTTTTGCTGCCCTGAATTTGGCTTATCAAGTGAGCCTCAAGTTTAACACTAGAGCCTGAGCAAGTAAGGCCCTATGTTCTTTCTTTGAAAGTCATAAAAGGTTTATTAGGTCCCCTCATGAATCTAAACGTGCCAAGTAGACAAGGCCTATACGCAGGCTCTCCCAGGCTTGGGGCACAGTGCTCCAGATGTCACATCTGTGGATATTTAGCAGAGTTATACTGTAGCTCTTAGAGGATCATGTTTAAGGAAAAACAAAAAACAAAAAAGTAGCCCTTCCCTAACATTGAAATAAAGGGAATATGTTCTTATAATGAAAAAAGTACAGGAAACTAGTGAAACCAAATGGATTTTTTTTTAAGTCAGGAAGGTGATTATAGTCAGAATGTTATCAGCTTCTCTTACTATAACCTTCAGGGTAGAAATTATGAAATGATAATTTCATCCTGAATATCGGGTATATAACATGCACTCAAATGTTTGTTGAAGAAATAAATGCCATCAATCCTGTTTTAGGTTATATGAAGACAGCTGTGATACTTGAGATAATCACACAGGATTTGAAGTCAGAAAGTCTGGAGTACATATTCTGACATCTACTAGCTGTGTGTTTTGGAGTGATACTCTGGCCCACTCAGCTTTAACTAGAAATGGAGATAATGCCTATTCCACCTATCTTACCATGTTATAAGAACTGAATAATGTTATAGTTACATGTGAGAAAGAAAAGTAAATAGTAGTCAGAAGCAGGACAGAGATGTCTGGCACCACCACTTCTGTTTAACATTAAGCTGTTGATTAAAAGTAGAGGCACAAGACTTGGAAATGAAGAGACAAACATTTTCTTCTTTGAGGACAATATGACTGTCTCCACAGAAAATCGTATAGGATCTACAGGCAAACTATTAGAACAGCAAAAGAATTATGTAAGATTATTAGACAAAATCATTTTACAAATATCAATAGCATTTATATACTCCAGCATTGATCAATTTAAACATTTAATTTTAAGAAGCCTATTCTCCAAAGCAACAACAAAAACATAAACTACATACGAATCAGTGCAATAAAGGATGTGTAAGGATTTTCAAAGAGACAATAATTTATTTTTAAAAACCATTAAAGACTTGAATTAATGGAGAGATACAGAATTATCATGGATAGAAAGATAACATTCTTTCCCCAAATTAATCTATAGATTCAATGTAATTCTAATAAAAAACCTTAACCCGATTGTTTAATTCTACATAATCATTTAATCCTAAAGTTCACAGAAAGAGCAAGGGGTCAAGAACAGTCAAAACCATTTTGAAATACAGAGAAGGGTGGGCAGAGGAGACTTCCTTACCGGATGTCAAGAATTTAGGATAAATAACAGAGAGGGCATTATAATCAGCAGGGAAACGTTGGACCATTCAATAAACTGCTAAGACAACTGATTATCCATATGGAAAATAATGGACTTTATGCCATAAACAAAAGTAATTTCAAAGTGAATTAACAAGATAAATAGAAAGGCAAAATCATAAAATTTTTAGACAAAAATTTTTATGACAGTAGGTAAAGAATTTCTTAAGACACAAAAGCCACAATTCAGATACAATAAAACTTCTGCAAAACAACACACACAAAACACCATAAACAAAATTAAAAGATAAGCCTTAGACTGAGAAAAGATACTATCAGCCTATATATCTCTAAAATATATCTTATATATAAAATAATATGTACCTGGGATTAATTAAGAATGTTTGAAGATCAATGCAAAAAATTGCAAATAACCCCAAAAAGCAAGTGGGCAAAGGATTCAAACAGGCAACTCCCATCAGAGGAAAATGGATTATGAACTTGTAAAAATATGCTCAACCTCACCAGAATATAGAAAAATTAGAATTAAAGTCATGAGTTATCATTTCACATCCATCAACCCATCATGTGCAGTAGCCTATATCCCCAGCCGTTGGATAAAATGAACAGCAGGGAAACAGTTAGTTGGACTTAAGCCTTTTTTTTTTTTTTTTTTTTTTTTGAGACGAAATCTTGCTCTGTCGCCCAGGCTGGAGTGCAGTGGTGCAATCTCGGCTCACTGCAACCTATGCCTCCTGCGTTCAAGCGATTCTCGTGCCTCAGCCTCCCGAGTAGCTGGGATTGCAGGCATGCGCCACCACCCCCAGCTAATTTTGTACTTTTCATCACCATGTTAGTCAGGCTGCTCTCGAACTGCTGACCTCAAGCAATCCGCTCGACTCAGCTTCCCAAAGTGCTGGGACCACAGGCATGAGCCACTGCCCCCGGCCAAGCCTTCTTTTCAATATTCAACTCAAGAGAGTGGTCTACTATGTGAGAAGACCCCTACAGTGAGAGACTATGAGGACTACCACACCTGGGCAGGGCTTGACTGAGAGATAGAAGGTGGAACCAGTGAGAAAAACATGCATTGTTTCTGCTACAGTTAACAAATATTTGGTTATCCCTACTGGTACCAATTTTTAAATATATCCATTGCTTAGTTTTTCAGGTCCCTTTTAAATTTCTTACTTATACTTGCTTTTCTTCCAGATGAATCTAGAATCATTTTGTCAAATCCCAAAACAAAATTTCATTGTTATTCATTGGAAAAAACATATCTGCCAAGGCAGGATTGGGAGGGTATGGAAAAAATGTGAACTCCTATAAATGGCTGGTAGGAATATAATTTGGTATGCATGTTATGGAGATCAATTTGGAAGTATCTGGTGAAACTGAAGATTAAGAATATCCTGTTGGCCAGTGATTCAAGTTCTAGATACATATCTCAAGAAATGCTCACATGTACACAAGGAAATATGTCAATTATTTCATTGCAGCATTGTTTATAAGTCAAAAATTGGAAATAACTGAGATGCTCATCAAGAAGAAAATGGATACATTGTGATAAACTTATTCAATGAACTACAGCATTTAAATGAATGATTTAGAGAAAGATGGTAGTGTGGATACATCTCAAAAACATGAGTGGTAAAACAAGTCCCAGAAGGTTTTGTACAGAATGATACCATTTATATGAAGTTTCAAAATCAGAAAAACAATCCTAGGTATGCATACATATAATAAGGATATAAAACCACTCATGGTATCATTCTGATAAACATCAAATTCAGAGCTGCAATTACTTATGTGGGTAAAGGGAGACAAATGAAATGAGACAGGGCTATACAGATTTCAGGCACAACTGTGATCATTCCTTTCTAAAAGAAAAAATATATAGGTAAAAATAAGACTATAAAAGTTGGGTGATAGATACTTAGGTATTTGTTACATTGTTTTCTGCATTTTTCTGTATTCTTGAAATGTTTCATAATAAAAAAGGCACAATACGAATACTAGCAGTTTCGTTAATAAATGTTGGCTGACAATTAGGTGGATCAAGGTGACTTAACAAGGTGAATTAACTCATTAATACAACAATAGTTGAAGACAACTATTTTCAAGTGTAGGAAGACTACTGATTCTTCCAGTGCTTACATTTACTAATACATAATATAATATGTGCCAGGCATTATGGAAAGTGGTTTACATGCATTAACTTATTTATCTCCATAATCACTCTATGAAGATGACGCTAGCATCATTCTCATTTTATAGTTAGAGAACAGGCTAAGAGTGGAAAGGTAAAGAGTGAAAGGTCACATAGGTGGTAAGCGGCAGAACTGGGAGACAAGCAAGCCCATGTGTGTCTAAGTCCCAAACCTATGCACTTAATCACTATATTATGCTATGAAAGGTTTCAACTTTACTAAATGAATAAAGATGGAAAAAAACACACAGAGTTACTAGGAGTAGAATTGAGAAAAATGCAATTAACACAACTTAAGAATTTTTAAAGGATCAGGGTGTGAGGAGGACTAAGTAATTGGGTATACATAATTAAAAGAAAGACCCAAACCTATTCTGAGTCCTAACACACAATGAAAATATACGTGACTTGGTGTGACATAGAAACACAGGCTAATGCTGGCAGAAAGTCAGTATTCCACAAGACCAACCACAGATAAAGATACAGCCATCTGTTAAGAGGGCGTCCTGAAACTGTAGAGGGACTTCTAAGGCTTTTAATCAGTTTTCTTGGACACATTCTACCAGTCTTTCAAGGCCCACCCTTTCTGATTCATCCAAGCTATATACTAAGTTCTGCCTTGTCTAAACCTGACTCACTTGGCAGGCAATAAACGTGACTTTTTGTTGGTATTTCCTAGGACGGCGGTCCCCAAACTTTTTGGCACCAGGGACTAGTTTTGAGGAAGACAATTTTTTCATGGATGGGGGTCGGGGGGTGGGGATGGTTGTAGGATGAAACTGCTCTACCTCAGATCATCAGACATTAGATTCTCTTAAGGAGGGCACTACCTAGATCCCTCGCATGCGGGGTTCACAACGGGGTTCGCACTCCTATGAGAATCTAATGTTGTGGCTCATCTGACAGGAGGCAGAGCTCAGGCAGGAATGCTCGCTTACCTCCTGCTGTATGGCCTGGTTCCTCACAGACCAGGGACCAGGACCAGTCTGTGGCCCAGGTGGTTCCTCACAGACCAGGGACCAGTACCGGTCTGTGGCCCAGGGGTTGGGGACCCTTTTCTATAGGATCAAGTCATCAACTCTATGGTGTTTTACGAGAGAATATACTGTACCTCAGTTGTCTTAGTTGGCATTATTTGGTAGCAAGTAACAGCCTTCTGACTTAAGAAAAAACTAAGTTGGGGAGTCTCTCTGTAAGGTTTTAAGGCTATCTTGTGGAACCCCAGGAGGATGAAATGCAGATAGTGAAATGCAAGACACTGGAACAAACACTGCCAAGTTATCAGGAATCAAGAAAGCCATTTTCTTTTTCTTCTGGGGTTGAATGTCATCTTTGCTTTCTCTGCCTCCCATGTATGTTCCAGATGTGACCTCCCAAGACATCAGTTTTCCAATTCCAAATTCTCAGGAGAAATCATCTAATTGGCTCAACTTTGACCAGATGTCCACTCCTTGTCTGATTTCTGAACAGCTCCTCACGGAAGGTGGCAGAAAGTAATGCTCAGAGAAGGGATGTAAGTCGGACAGATATCCTAAAAGGTCACTAAGCCAATACTTCCTGTATTTCGTTGTTGTCGATTAATCGGAGGCTTAGACTTTTTTTTGTGGGGGAAGGATGGAGGGGAGAAATAACTGCATTTCTCTGATGGCCTTTCCTAATCTTAAAAACCACTTCAGTGCTAGACTTTATCTTTCAGTCGCAATGAACCTGAAGATTCTTCGGCTGGTTTTTAGAAATGTTCAAATAGGATAGACTCTTACACAGGGGTGTAATTTCCTCAAGAAAATACACATTTAGGTGCTTCAGTCTTTTCTTCTTATTCCATCCTTTTCTGATAGGGCAGTCACTTCAGACACTTCATCCACTATCACTTTAGGTTCCAACTGTTCTTTTCACATTTTTGCATTAGAAATAAGACTTCTTCTCATTTTGGAAAAATCAATGTATGAACCATAGTCAAACAATGAAAATTCTAAAACACTTCACTACAGAAAAATGGAATCTCCAGAGTTAAGGGGGGAGGAAGGCATTGGAAGGAGGTTACCATTTGAATCTCTACCGTTAAGTCAGGCACTATGCTGAATGCTTATATTTTAATACAACAATCCTATCAACAGGGAGTACTATTGTTAGCCTCTTCATGGATGATGAAAATGAGGTTTTAAGGTAAGAAAACTACCAATATCACACATCTAGTAAGTAGCTTAGCATAGATTCAGAAGCAAGAGTTAAAAGGTGAAAAATGGGGAAAAGGACTGAAGGAGATAGGCCTTCTCAGGATATCATTCTTAACATCAAAAACTGTATCTTAAACGTATTTAATACAATGAAGTGGCATGAATCATGTTACATGACAATATACATGACACCTTTTTAAAAAATATATTCATATCATGAAGACTTTATAACATCAAATAAAAGCCAACATGGGAAAAAAAAAAACCTTGTATACCCTTTAGACTCCAGATTTGGCCAAGCGTGGTGGCTCACGCCTATAATCCCAACACTTTGGGAGGCAGAGGTGGAAGGATCACTTGAGCCCAGGAATTCAAGACCAGCCTAGGCAATATAGTGAGACCCCATCTCTACAAAACAAATTAAAATTAACTGAGCATGGTGGTGTGCACCTGTGGTCCAAGCTACTTAAGAGGCCGAAGTGGGGAGGATTGCTTGAGACCAGTAAGTGGAGTCTGCAGTAAGCCATGATTGCACCACTGCACTGTGTGACAGAGACAGACCCTGTCAAATATAGGGAAAAAACAAACAATAAACCCTGGACTAGAATGAATTTTTCTGGGGAGAAGGTGTAGGATTCCAAAAAGACTAGGAATCACTGACAAAAAAAATTCTTCTCTTTTGCAATTTGGCAGCCCCTCTTAAAAATTTTTCCACTCTGTCCCTCACAAAGTCCCCCATCACCCAACATACCACACTGTACCTTTGCAAACGCCATTTCTGCTGAGTTTCCCAGACTTCATGCAGAATTCTCCCTCTTCTAGGTTTCTACAGTACTTTGTTTCTGCCACTAATATATATATTTACATTATACGCAAATCTGTCTGAACAAGGCAAGGGGCCAATGTTGTTTCTTCAACACTAAATAAAATTATGAGGTGATTTCACAAAAATATCAAATTTGTACCAAAGATATCAATTAATTTGTTTTGTGCTTATTGTCAGACAACAAAAGACTTAGTACTCATTCATGGCAGTCAGTTTTAAACATACTGTTTAGTGAAAAATAATTCTTTTACAACAAAAACGATTGTTACCAGCTTCATATAATTAAAACTGAAAACCAAATTGTGTAACAGGTAGCATAACATGTCAGTTTATATTATTTTAAAACCAAATGTTATTCCATAATCATTTATGCAACAACCCCAAATTTCAAACAATATTGAACACAATACAAATTTTTCATAAAACAAAACTTTTGGGTCTGAGTAGGCAGTACTGGAATTTAAACTACAATTAAGAGCCTAAGGGGATGCTTGCTCTATTTTAAGTGATTGTAACGCAGGAGTGTTTAACAGAACCACTTGAGCAGCTGTTTCAAAACACATATACACTCCATCTCCAGAGATGTTGATTTAGTAAGCTGAGGTGGCTACCAGGCCTATGGAATCTCTAAAATGCTCCCCAGCAATTTCTAATGAACAATACTGTTTAAGAACTATTTTCTATGAAATAGGCTTGACATGCTTTCAGCTTATATGTATGTGTATTTTTAAGTATCTTAAGCATTGCCACTATTTTGAAAGACCAAAGTTATTTACAGGGCATCTGACTTTCTGCGGTAGGTGTAGCTCCTTTAAAAGGTTATGTGCTTTTTGGTTGAGTCACTTTTCAGTAATTAAGCCTCAATCTATAGAAAATGAGATGCTCTTTAAGTGATACTTTCTTAAATTAAAATTTGAGGTATACAGATAATCGCGTCCACTAAATGTTACAACAGGAATTATTTGTACATAAATATATTCAATATGCACTAACTCTAGCCTTTACAAAAATAAAGCAATTGACAAAACACCTATTAGAGTATACCTACCCTGAGAATTATACACAATACTAATAGGTTTTATAACCAGAAAAAGTTGACATCAGAGCAAATCTTCAAATGTTGTTTCCAGAGTATATTCAACATTTTAAAATATAAAAATAGAAATATTTAAAATTATCTACACTGAGGTTACATAACTTTGGTAAAAGTTCCAAAGTTCACTAATATATTCCTAGGGGGCACTAAAAAAATCTACAACTTTATTTAAATAATTTTCAAGACTACTTACTTTCTTCATTGCATTCATTCTCCACGAATTCATAAAATATGCATGGACACCTATCGATTCAAAGTACACCATAAACTTACTGTAAAAATCCAGTATTACTTAAAACATCTCTACTATCATTCAAATGGTTTAATCTGACTTAATGGGCAGTTTGCTCAAGTGAACCACCTGCTGCTCACTTAATTCTCTTCACATTAATCTTAATTTAAAAATTCTAAAAATTACCTAAAGGATTTTAAGATTCAAAATCTAATCCCTGTAACTTCAAAATAATTGTAAATTCTAGTGGTTCCTTTATATTATTCCAAGTAGAACTTCCTATTTTACATCACAGGCTTAAGTCTCACATTTAGAAAAACTGTCCATGTTTATGCGTGTCTAGAGTTCTCCAATGCAATCAGGTATTACAGACAGAGTCAGACTGGGCCTGGAAAACAGAAAATGGACATCTTTACCCCCACTGTATACATGTGTTAAGAAACTTGATTTTTACTTTAAAACATCTACAATACACAATCACATTAATACTCTTTCCTCCTACTCTGCCTTTATAATGATGAAACACATGCAAATTCAAAGGCAACTTTTTCAAGTAACTCCTGCCATGGTTACCAACGCTTGTCTTATCATTTTCAGGAGTCTTAATGTAAATTCAGGTTTTCGATAAATCAAAATATTCTGCATTGCTTTAAAACGGAAAACAAAAAAATTGCAAAATGGTACTGATAAAACTGATATGAATCAATGTGGGCTAAGGGCTAAGACTTTTTTTCAAAAATTTTATTTAATAAGCTCATTCTTATTTACTCTAGGTAAAAAATTAGTAAATGACCAGTGTCTCTATATATCTCTTCTTCAAATAAATGCCTGTTTACAATTCAGTGTCTAAAATCAAGAATCTAAAAATAAAAAGCCAAGTTGAAGAAAAATAAACCACCAATTCTTACCCCATACCACTGCAATATTTTTTATGCATAGGAATACAACAAACTCAAAAGAAAAAAAAATAGTGTTTTATTAACTACCACACTGTTATAATACACTTTAAACGTACAATAAGGTAGCCTTTAAATTTGAGGTGGTCTTAAGAATAACAAATGAACAGAATTCCAAATTTTTGAAATAGGTGAACTGCTGCAGTTACAGGTATACATTTAGGAAAACTGTATAGCTCTTACAAGACCAGCAATGTAACTTTATTTTGTACATTTTTGAATTGAAAATATAAACAATAATTAAAAAATAAAAAGAAAATACAGCATAATAAAAAACATACGCTTCTCAATTAAATGTACTGGATACATATAAATTTTAAGGGAAGAAGCAAAAAAGGAAAATGATTGATATTTAAGTGCAGACTGACTACCTAGACAAAAAAAAAAAAGACTTAAAAAAATATCATAAAACCTCTAGTTCTTCTATGACTAATATCCATATGGTTGGAGTATCGTCACTATGGAAGTGATTTTGTTATGTTTGCATATGTTACACTTTACTGGTAATTTACATGATGGCTTTTAAGGCCCTGGGAGACATGGTTTTTGGAAACAAGATTGGATAAAAATCACTGCTAAGACGCAATACACCTTATTTTTTTGGTCCTCCAATAGTCAAGAAAAGGGATAATTCACTATAACATTCTCTTACCACCCAAATGCCTCAACTTATACATTTTAAACTTTTTTAAACATTGGTTATATTGCCCAACTTCGTTATTGAAAGAATATTAACAAGACATTATTTTGGCAAATTAAATCTTAAACATGGCTTTTCAACAGGATTTAAAAGGTGACTATCCCTAGAGTTCCATGTTAAAATGTAGTTTTCAAAATCTTACAAGAGTAATGCTTAAAATATTGTACATAGTTAACCTAATTAAAATAATTAGCTTCAAAATGACAAATTGATAAGCTAAGTAAAGCCTACACTATGTAACATTTGCTTGGAAACTTGATTTGTCAGTTATGCATAATAAAAATTCCAGTCATCAAGAAAATTACAAAATTTTTTATCATAACATGATTTCTTTCACCCACCAGCTTTTTTATCTTACAATAGATAAATACCAACATGTTCTCATTTTTACACTAAACCACACAGGATTGATGCATTTGGTTAGACTACCATTCGCATTGTTAAATTCAATTTTCTCTTTATATAACTTGGTAAAATTTCATTTCTTCTAGATTCCAAAAGTACCTACAAAACCCATGCAATTTTACCATTTTTAATATACTATGGAATATCATACAAAGTAAGGCATTTCAGTGTCATGTATAACCAAGTTACTGTCAATCCAAAAATTTTTGCACATCAATAAAAAGATATCTAAGAACTTAGGAACAATATTCTTCTCACTACTGTATAAAAATAACCACAATGAATAAGTATTTGTGTAATATTTACTCCATTGTCTCATTTCCAGAAACTGTGACAAGCTGTAAAGGTATTTCAGTGTTGGTAAGGATATCTTGATTGCTGGTGGCGGAAGTATTAACAGTTCCTATCCCTGAAACAGAACCTTGTTGAATATTTGCAAGGATAAGCGTTGTTCCTCCTGCAGTAATCAAAGTATCATCTCGCGCAGCTTCCACAGATGCCAGCACTGTACTGCTAGAGTGAATACCTTTTTTATTCTGGTGTGTTTTAATATGTTTGGCAAGGTGGTCACTTCTCATAAAGCGTTTTGAACATTCTGGACAAACAAATTTCTTCTCACCTGTTAAGAAAAAAATTAAGTTACTTGGTTTTAAAAATTCAACTTTAATAGCTCAATCATCTCCCCCAAAACAGAAAGTAAGTCAACGCTGACAGGTGAGGATGGGAGCAGGGGTCTATTAAAATTGTATTCATTTTACGAGCTACCCCTGCCAGATTTCTCTTACAGAATATTTCTCCTTAAATCTTTCATCTTTACTTTTTGATGACTAGCAGTCTTCAAACATGTATTATATAATAGATGGATATTCAAATAAGACTTTAATATCTCAACTACGCTAAGAGTTTGTTTGAAATACCTGTGTTAAGATGCCAGCTAAAAAATAAGCATCTATAACACACTTTAAAGTCTAAATAAAAGTATATTCTTTCACGCTATAATTAAAATACTAACATGCCATGTTCATGATACTAAACCTTCAACTCTTAAATATGAATTAAAGCAACAGGGTACTTCTAGATTAAAGAAATGACACCACAAGCTTGAGATCCAAAAAGAATGAGTAATCCTTAGAAAAATGAATCTGGCTAGCTGACTTGACTTCAGCTACAACAATCAAGAACAAGCCTAATATGTTAAGATGTTAAAGCTGTTAAAATCCTGATGCCTAAATTTATTTCCCAGCATGAATAAAGTAAGTTTAAATACAAAAGACAGACTGAACTTCTATTATGTTGAAGACCGACTCTGCAAGATTACCAAAAGAGAAGACAAAAGGCCAACCTAAAAGGAATTCAGAGAGAAATCAATAAAAATCAATCAATAAATCTAGTAAATATTTTCTTAATTCCTTTCTTCAAAAATGTCTTAGCTTGTATCCTTTGTTCTAGCACCTCTACTCTACATAGGTCTTTATCAGACCTCATGCTTGAACTATACTGCAGTCACATCCTAGTCTCTCTCTCTCTCCAGACTATCTTCCTTAAAGACCAAATTTTATTACATCAGAAAACTTCAAGATTATATTAAGTGATATGGAAATGCAAGGGTAACTTGCAGATGACGTAACAGTTTAGATGCTCCACTGCCTAATTTACAAGGACCTTTAAAGTGTGCCTCAATCCTACTTAACAGAAATGTTATGTAAAATCTCATCCTCATTCACCGCTACAAAAAAAGGTCTCTCACTTCTTCTATTAACATACCACCATTTTTCTACTAAAGTATTTCCCAGTTTCTCTTGTAACATTAGTCCTGAGAGGTACTCCATGGCAAACGGCACAAGGTTAGGAAATGCTACACACACATTACATCACTAACTTATAGATGCAAGCTGTCAATCTAGCATTTAATTTAAAGGTCCTAAGAGGTACTGCCTTGAAGGTACTTATACCCTCTTTGGCCCACTATTTCCTACACTTATTTGATCATTGACCTTTTTCTCCCTTTTACATTATTCCTTTTTACAACCTGCTGATAAAATCCTACTGAGGAAAATTCTGTTAACAGGGCCATCATAAGATCTATTATCCCATACTTTACTATCCCAAGCAGTAATTATCTCTGTTTCTGAGCCTTTTCAACAGCAGACTGCAACGCAAAATCTTTTATCTACCTTTTTTTTTTTTTTTTTTTTTTTGAGACAGGATCTCACTTTGTCACCCAGGCTGCAGTACAGTGGCATGACCTTGGCTCACTGCAACCGCCGCCCCATGGGCTCAAGCAATCCTCCCACCTCAGCCTCCTGAGCAGCTGGGACTACAGGTACACACCATCCGCCCGGCTATTCTTTGTCTTTCTAGGAGAGACACGGTTTCACCATGTTGCCCAGGCTGGTCTCAAACTCCTGAGGCTCAAGCAATCTGCCTTCCTTGGCCTCCCAAAGTGCCGGGATTACAGGCATGGGCCAGCACGCCCTGCAGCCTTATCTACTTTCTTAATTGTCTGTTGCAGTTTCATGTAGGTTAATCTCATCTGTCTACCTACCCAATGAGAGACAGGAACTAAAACTATTAGAGCATCTGTATACTACTACAGACTTCATAGGTAATTTTATACAATACTGAAGGCCAAAGTAGGATATGTGAAGCAACGTCAGAGATAGTTTATTCGCTTAACCTAATAGGGAACTTGGATTGGAATCCAGATGACTTCAAAATCCATGTTGTTCTCCATTTTACCATGCTTCTTCCAAGCTCTCTAGGGATTGTAAATACATAGTTTTCAATTCTCCAGTGTTGAGCATAGACTGATGAACACTTTAATCATTTACATGGTAGTAGGAAAAAACTATCTCTAAGTTAACACTGTTAGGTTTCAGTGTAGATCAGTCACAGGTCCATTTCATTTAACAACCACACAACACTATGTAAAAATAATATAATCAGAGAAAGTCTTCACATCAACATTGCCTTGGTTATTCCTCAGTGAAATACCTTTCCCTTACCTCAGAGATACTAAAAACAAAAGAAAAGGTGAAATGCCCAAATATGTCAGAAGAAACAGGAGTATTTTTTGTTACAGTGTTAAGAGGAAAGAAAAAAAATAGGATAGATCAAGAGTAAAAGCTGACAACTAATTAAAAATGTTAACAGAATAAAAATAGTATAAATGTGGTTTAAAGCATTCAATAATGTCAACAAAAGCCACCCAAAGTCTACTTAAATATAACTTTATTTTAGAAGATAAGCCAGACTGACTTGTTCTTTGGAATTTGTGTTATTAAGATGGTGTTACTAAAGGTAAAAATTGGATGTAATTCATTGTATTTTAAATCGATTCAGTTCAGTAAGGAATGCTAATAAAAAAGAAGTCAAGGCAGTTATGTAGCCCTATAATTCATTTTTGTCTGTTAAAAGTAAGTATTAGTAACCTGTATGTGTTCTTCTGTGCCTCTGTAATTCATCACTTCGAGTAAATCTTTTACCACAGTACATCCAGTTACAAACAAAAGGGCGTTCTCCAGAATGCCAACGCAGATGAGCTCTCAGATGTGAGGTCTTCCCATAGACTTTACCACATCCTGGTATATGACAAATGTGTTGCTTCTTTTTCCCAAGATTGGTACCTCTAAAAAACACACATAGAATAATATATACTTATATGAAAATATTCAAATGGACATTACCATTTACATCATATATCCCCATGTTGAATTTTAAATAGAAGACATTATCATTACAAAGTCAATCAGAAACCAAAACCATTTAAAATCAGTTTAAATGAAAATTTATGTATTTCAAGCATATACATTTTATATATTAACCTTACTCCAGAATTAATGTGATTGTTGTCCAAATGTAAATATGCTCAAGAATTATGTAATTAAAAGGACATTTCATATGTAAAGAATGTACAATAAAGCTATTTATTCTTCTATCAGAACCATTCACAAATTCTACGCATAAGCCTGATCCACTTAATTATATAGGAAACTAAATGTGGTCTGTATTCAAAAGTCGTCAGATAATCAAAAATATATTTAAACCAAAGAATGAATACGTAACTGATCACAGGTACAATTAAAAGATATAGGCAGCTTTAGCAGACTTTAATATGATTTAAGAATATTTGTTCATATTTGTGTGGCCACACTCTGAATATACACTGACTTGGAGAAAGCTTTTTTTTAAATCTAGTTAAAGCAATGGTCTGAACTCCCTTAGCATTAGATGAGATAAATACAAATCAAAATTATCTTTACATTTAAAATTCCCTTCATATTAACCATGTAAAAGATACCCAAAATTAGACACAAGAGATATAATAAAATACAGTTTTCTCCACATCACAAAATTGGACATTTATTACATTTCAGTATTTGATACCAAGAGCAGGGTTTAGAAGATATGAGATTAGATGGGTGAACAGAGGTATCTTAGCCTAAGCAAGAAGAAAACTTTTTTGATCCCAGAATTGATCATTTGAATAGTATTAAACACTACAGAAAATGTTATTTCTCAACCTTTTAAAATAAAAAAAAAAATTAGGCTTGTTACTGAATAAAAATAAATTAGTTTTTAAAAAACATGACACTTTGGACAAAACAATTTGTATAAACTTTACAATGTTTCTGAGTTTTTTTAAAAAAGTACATTTAGCCCCCTCCCCAACTCCCCTCCTCCCCCAATCTCACAGTTTAGGCATATCCTGTAAAACTTTCTATAGCCTGTAAATCCTCCTGTATACAATACACCTATCGTTTTTCAAATTTACTGGAAAAATGCATATTTCCCCACATTTATATTTTAATGTACTCACACTCAGTAGCATGTGAAATTGCCATAGGACAAACAGTGCTAAACGGTGCAGTGCTGGCTGTTAGATGCCATAGGTGTTCTGAACAGGGAGACATCAATGTGGGCTCCAGTAGTTAGAGAAGGCTTCGTGGAGGAGGTGGGTAGGATTTAGATAGAAAGGAGGGAAGGCATTCCAGGCAGAGGAATAGCATAAGTAAAGACAAGGAGGAGTCATGCTGTTGTCTCAAGGGCAAGGATGTCATAATCTAACACAATTCTAGTTTCTGCTCCAGTCCACCCCCAATTTCTACAACTCTTCAAAGAGCTGAGTTAAGTGAAACAGGTTTTTCTGGCTCCCTTGCAATGCCAAAGTCTTACTAACCAAAGCCAATATTGATTCCATTTAATTTAGATTTTTAAATTTATTTTATTATTTAAAAATCCCTAAGAAAAACAGCAATGTTTGTGGCTACTGGTGTACAAACCAATTTTACATATCGTGTTCACCATAGCAATTTCACAGAGAACCCAATTCAGTTCACTCGTGTACTCATTATTTCATGCCTCTCCTCTAAGCCTACCACTCAGGTCAATAATCAACGCGCTTTTACAAACTCAAAAGTGCATTTCACAAACTTAGCAAAATTTAGCATGGGAACACTAACAAAGCACAAGACTAACAAATTAACAGCAACAGATCTGGGTTCTCAAAGAAGCAAGAAGCTAGGGAAGGTATTTTTAACTGAATTATTAGGAAATAAGAAATATTATTTGAAAATGGGACAGGCATCTAGGAAAGAAAAAACATAGGGGCGGGGTTGCACACATATTTAAGGAAAAAGCTCAACATCCAGGCCCAAAATTCTATTTAAAAAGAAAATTTCATTCAAAGTAAGATATAGATATGGTAGATGTGGATTTACGGCATGTCATACCAAGGCTTGAAGGGAGAGAACTGAAGTGAATTTCTCAACAAAGTTCAGGAATAAAAGATTTAAAGTTTTCTTCTTGATTAATATCCACACCACTAATGCCTATAATATAGGAAAAACTAATAATTTTACGTTTTTATTCTTGAGTGTCTAAACTTGTTCCCAATAATTTAATAATGCTAAGATAGAGTGGAAGCTAAACTGTGGGTAGAGGAGTTAAGAAAAGTTAAGTAAATACACTCTCTTCTGCTCAGGGTGGGAAAAACAGGACATAAACTGAAATGCTGACAAAGAAAACAGATTGTGCACAATTTTAAAAATATGGACTGATGTTTAATCCATACAAAACCTATATAACAATCATGCCTCTAGAATGTATTTTACTTACAATTATTTGTCTCTCACTAGGTTATCTCTCACTAGTTTAAACAGTCTCTGAAAGCTGGTTCTGCTCAATAAATATTTGCTAAATAATTACAACTTTTAAATATTTTATATTTTACACCTTACTTTAAAAGGTAAACAAATAAAATTTACTTCTCTAAAGATGAATAAAATCAGTTCTCTAAAAATGCCATCTTGCCCATATTCTTTAAAAAAATAATGGTTGCAAAAAAAGACAAATATTCTAAAAAACTTTTTTAATTACTATCTGTATCAACTTGCAGAATACTTTAGAATAGTTTGGATTTACTACCTATGTTATGCTTCTATCAATTAGGTACAATTGTCATTTATACAAGTGTGTCTATCACACATATACTGCTTGAATTTTGTTCAAACAAGCTCTAAGAAACAATATAGTTTCTTTTCTTAGGAATCTCAATTTTTATTGCTTAGAATAAGTGAGCTATTAAAGAATGAAGTCACAAAAGTTCTAGAAAAAATATAAATGAACATTTTTATAATTCTCAGAATACGGAAAACTTGTAATAGCATGGTAACAAGGCATCTAATAAAGGAAAGGCTGACCAACTTTAATTTTTTGTGCTTAAAATGTTTGCAAGGTGTAAGTGATGGAACTGTTTCTTTACTTGTGTAATAACAATGCATTCTACAAACCACTGACAAAGGCAATGTAAAACTGGGAAAAAACATTTGCACGTGACAGAGTTACATAAATTAACAGATTTACAAAAAAAAAGAAACAATTCAAAAAATAAATTTTAAAATGGCAAAATAACATCCCCAAAAATGTTCAACCTCACCAAGTAATTTAAAAATATACTAAGACAATATTAAGGTATTTTTCATCTGTCAGACTTTCAAAGGTTAAAAATAATTGTAAAATTCATTGTTGGCAAAGGTGTGGGAAACTAGATACTCTCACACACTGCTGGTTAGAGTATAAACTAGCCTTTCTAGCAGACAATTCCCTTTAACCCAGCAATTTCACTTCTGCCAACTTATACAAATAAAATAATCAGACAAATGTGCAAAGACATACGTGTAAGATTATGACAATAAATTCCCAACAAAAGATGTTAAATCACCCTACATCCATACAATAGAATACAACAGAATACTATACAGCCATAAAAATGATTCAGACTATATAGACTTGAAAATATGGTCACAAAAATTCTCAAAACAAGAACAGACATATAAAACAGTGAGAATAAGATGATTCTACTTTAAAATACATGTAACATCTTAAAGGACAAACACAAACACATTACTAGCTTAACTTGAAGAGGGGTGAGATTTTGGTGTTTTTAAATGTCCTATGTGTCTACATTTTTATGAGCATGTTTTAGTTTAATAAACATAAACTAATTAAAACATTTTCATTTTAAAATAAAGAATAAGTGAAACAAAGGCCAGGCCTCCGTTAGATTTGACTTTTGTGAATAATTTATCTTAAAAGCCCCTCTAAAATGAGTTTCAGAAAAGTTACTGCCTAGTTAGAATTCACAATTTTAATTGACCAAAATATGTCAAAAAACAAAACTTTAAACTAATTACAATAAACATGAATACCTAAGGATCAGATGTAGAAGGAGAGTCACTTGGGAGGCAGTATAGTTTAATGGTTAAGGCTCTGGAGTAAAACTAGGTCCAAATCCCTGTTGTGTGTGCTCTTAGGAGTCACTCAACCTCTCTATGTCTCACTTCTAACACCACTGGGAATACGGTAAACTCTCAATGTTACCAGTTGTTAGCAATTATTATTACTGGAAAGGGCTGGCCAATGTGCAACTCAAAGGCAGATAGAAAAGCTCTATTAGATCAAGTTTGTTAACTCTATTAAAAGTACATTTTATCTACTTAAACAGTGCATTTCTAAGAAAGGTATGTTAATTTTCACCATGACAAGGGATTTGGTTAAGTATGGCTTTAGAGTTCTATCCGTTTTTGCTCTATATATTTCAAAGCTGCACAAAAAAGGGACCGTGACTATTAAATCTTCTTGGTGGAAATTTAATATTATTAACAAGAAATACATCTCTGTCTTATTTGGGGCTTTCACCTCAATTCCGTCTCGTGTGATATATTAACACTGCTATCCAAGTTTTCTTTTTGTTAATACTTGCCTGATAAATCTTTTTCCATCCCTCATCTTCAATATTCCTGTGCCAATTATTTCAGGTGTTCTTTATAATTAACATCAGTCTGGATCTTGTTTTTTTTTTTAAAAAAAATATGATCTGAGTCTCAATCTCTTCATTATTAAGCTTAGTACATCCATATTTAACATAATTTCTGATCATTTTGAGTTTACTCCAGTCATGTTATTCTGTCTTAATGTTTACCTTTAAAAAGACTGAACTGAAATACAATCCCATTTTTTAAAAAATTCAATCTATTAAGGCTTATTTTTCACTTCTAAGAAAATGGAAATACTTATGCTTATCAGCCATTCCTGAACTTAATTTTTACGTAACTACTATTCTCAACCTAAAAAATCAACTTTTTATCTATATTTAGGCAAATTCCATTGCTGGTTTGCAAACAGGCTAATTTCTGATCAGTGTGGGCCTGTTAAATGGCATCTGCTGTACTATTTTTGAAACAGCAAACTAATAATTTTAGTTTAAAAAACATTGAGAACTGAAAATCCAATTCCATATATTTTGTTCTCTAACTTCTGCCACACGCATACACACACACCAAAAATGATCATGTAATAATTTCTCATAATTAAATGACATAGCATGCAGTATTTCAAAAATCAGAATGATATTAGCACTCTTAAAAATATATATGTGTTTCATGTATGCATACCTTCCACCACCTTCTTTACAGTTGGGACAGGTGCAAGCTACCCTCCGAAGTCTTTTTCCTTCTTGATGTTGTTGGTCCCCTTCTTCATCTACCACCTGTACTCTTAAGTGTGTTAGGTCATTGGTATTCAAGGTAGAATCACCACTGAGCTGCCACTCTTCAGGATCAGGTTCTTCTTCCTTGATCCTAATATCTAAAGGGAAAAAAAAACCAAATACAGATGAGAAGCAACCAAATGGCCCAAAAAGACAGCATGAAATTACATGTCTTCTCCCAATGTTACAACTTTGCATGCACTACTTCTCTTGCCTAGACTGTTTTCCAGTTATTTTGTTCCTCATCTAACTAACCTCTATTCTTCAAGACTAGTTGGAGAGTAATCTCCTGTATAAATGCTTATAGTAGAATTAATAACATTAATTAGTTCATATGTCCCTTTAGATAATAAATGCTTCACTCAAAGTTCTCGGAAAATACAATCTCCCTAAATGAACAAGTCTTCTGTAAGAAGGAACTTCCAATATAGGTAATAATCTACCTGGAAAAACTTTCTCCTCTACTTTTCTATGCCTTTTATGTGCAAATAATACATAAAGAGATGTTACAAGATTAAGTCAGTTCATATAGATGAGACCACAAAGTGCTCACTAAAGACAATAAATTAATTGCCCAAAAAGTGTTATACCCAATGTCTAATCACTGCACTCATTCATACACATCTGGGTATACTTTCAAATTCTCACCATAAAATCAATTAATGTAGTAAGCCCTAAATAATTCTCCTTTGCATACCAACTTAATACAGATACTTTAAAAATAAGTCTTCAGTACCAGGCACTTAAGTTTACATCTTCCTTGGTATCTCAGTATAGATGACAGGAAAACACTTTTTTTTACTGTGCTGTATTAGTGTCCTACATGGTGGCTAGTTATTCTTAGAAATCCACTATTTATAAGGCTCAGGAGAAACAAAAGTAATAATCCATCAAAATGACCCATAAAAGTAAGAAAAGGTATTCAACATTGTTAAATATCAGGGAAATAAAAATTTAATTCACAATGAGATATCATTACACACCCACAGAAATGACGAGAAATTTTAAAACAGACCGTACAGACTGTTGGCAAAGATGTGGAACAACTGAAACTCCCACAGTGATGGTAGGTGTGTAGATCAGTACAACCACTTTGGAAACTCTTTCATCTGTATCTTCTAAAAGTGAACCTATATATACCCTATAGCTCAAACAATTTCCCCCTAGGTACACAACCTACAGAAATGCATACACTTAACACCAAAATACAAGTACAAAATTTACAGCAATGTTATTTGTAATCACCCTAAACTAGAAAAACTCACATATCCCCTAGTATTGGAATGGAAAAACAAATCATATTTGTTCATACAATGGAACATGTTAAAACAATGAACATTAACAACAACTTACATGCAACAGAAATGAATCTCTCAAAGCATTTCGAACAAAAGAAGCCCCCCCGCACCCCCTATGTATTCCCTTTATATACAGGGAATGGGATCGTGTATGATATTTATATAAAGAAATTTTCATTTATATAAGATTCATAACAATTGGCAATTATTCCAACCATATGACACGTTGGAAAAGGCAAAACTATGAAGACATTAAAAAAGATCAGTGGTTGCCAGGAATTAAAGGGGAGGGAGGGATGAATAGGCACAGCACAGACGTATTTTCATTTCAGAGTACTGAAAATACTATGTATGATGTAATATAGGTGGATGCATGGCATACATTTGTTCAAACTTACAGAATGTATAAACACGAAGAGGGAACCCTAATGTAGAGTATGGACTTTGGGTGATAATACATCAAGCAAATTCATCAACTGTTAACAAATGAACCACTCTGAATGATGGGTGATGTTGACATAGGGAAGGGTATGCATGTGCAGGGGCGGGGGGTAAGGTATATCTCTATACTTCCTTTCATTTTTACTAAGCATCTCAACTGCTCTTTAAAAATTTATTTATTTATTTATTTATTTATTTTTAAGCAGAGTCTTGCTCTGTGGTGGCGTGACCTCGGCTCACTGCAACCTCTGCCTCCCGGATTCAAGTGATTCTCCTGCCTCAGCCTCCCGAGTAGCTGGGATTACAGGTGCCCGCCACCATGCCCAGCTAGTTTTTGTATTTTTAGTAGAGACAGGGTTTCACCATGTTGGCCAGGCTGGTCTCGAACTCCTGACCTCAAGTGATCCACCCACCTCAGCCTCCCAAAGTGCTGGGATTACAGGCATGAGCCACTGAGCCCAGTTTAAAAATAATTATTTAAATGTGAAGGGAGTAGGTGCTCCATGGGGATAGAAGAGTGGTGACTGCCTACTTTTGAGGGACATATATGACTGAGTACAGGGAGATTTCAGGGTTGCTGGTAATATCCTATTTCTTGATCTGGGTGGTAGTTTTCCTATGTGTTCATTTTGTAAAATTTCATCAAGTTATATACATTTGATCTCTACATTTTCTGAATGCATATTGTACTTCAATATAAAGATTATTATAAATTAAATATTTTAACGTAATTTATAGGTGATTACTTAGGAACTGTTAAAGACAATTTTTTTGCTTTACCTCTAGTTCCCACATAGTTGACTAAACCTTCCCCCATTTTTATACAAATAATAAAATGAGTGTGTCCCACAAATTAAATTCATAATATGAAATTTAGAATATGATTTTATTCACTCAACAACTATATGTATGGCTACGATGTGCCAGTCACTGTTCTAAGTTCTAAGGATAAGGCAGTTAGCAAGTTAAAAGTTCATGCTGACTGGGCAGGGTGGCTCATGCCTGTAATATCAGCACTTTGGGAGACCGAAGCGGGAGAAACGATTGAACCTAGGAGTTCAAGACCAGCCTGAGCCAAGAGAGAGCGGTCCCGTCACTATCCAAAAACAAACAAACAAACAAACAAACAAACAAACAGGCCAGGCAGGCATGGTGGCACATGCCTTGTGGTCCCAGCTACTCAGGAGACTGAAGTGGGAGAATCACTTGAGCCCAGGAGGTTCAGGTTGCAGTGAGCCATGATCACATCACTGCCCTCCAGCCTGGGCAACAAAGAAAGACCCTGACACAGTTTAGATATTTGTCCCCATCCAAATCTTATGTTGAAATGCAATCCCCAAAGGTGGAGGTGGAGCCTGGTAGGAGGTGATTGGATCATGGGGGCGGATTTCTCATAAATGGTTTAGCACCACTGTCTTGGCACTGTCCTTGCAATAGTTAAGAGATCTGGTTTAAGTGTGTGGCACCTTCCCTCCTACTCTTTCTCTGTCTCTCACCTCCCTCTACTTCTACCATGTGACGTGCCCATTCCCCATTTGCCTTCTGCCATGAGTAAAAGCTTCTTGAGGCCTTCCCAGACCCAGATGCCAGCACTATGCTTCCGGTACAGCCTGCAGAACTGAGTCAATTAAACCTCTTACAAATTACCCAGTCCCAGATATTTCTATATAGTAATACAGGAATGGCCTGACACAGTCTTAAAAAGAGATGATAGTGGCCTGAAGCTAAGGTATTGAGGAGGAGGGGTAGAATTGTTCAGTCAGAAAATATGTTTAAAGTAGAGTCAAAGACATCTGCTAACAGATTGATAACAGGTTATCATGTGAGGAGCAAGAACAGAAAGAAGTTAAAAACACTCCCAAGGTTTTTTTTTTTTTAAATCCTGAGCAACTAGAAAGATGGAGTTGCCATTAACTGAGATATGGTAAACTGAAGGTAGAAAAGATTGCAGGGGAGGGGTGCCAGTCAGGGGCCTATTTTGAAATATGAAAGTTCTGAATGCCTATTGAATATCCAGATGAAGGTGTTCATCAGACAGTCAATGGGTTTGGAGTTCAGGTAGAAATCTGGCCTGCCAATATCAGCATATACATTAGGCATTGAGAGTCATCTGGAATATAATGTAGACAGGAGGAAACCCTGCAGCACTCCAAAATTAACAAGCAGAGACTAAAAAGAACCAGCATAGGGGACTGAGAGTGCCAGTGAGATATGAGGAAACTGGTGTCCAGAAACCAAACTGAAGAAATCATTTCGGGAAGAACTTAACTGTGTCAAATACTTAAAAAGTCAAGTAAAATAAAGACTAAGAAATGATCCTTGGATATAACATTGTGGTAATCACTGGTGATCTTGACAAGAACTGTGAGCACAAAACCCTGCCTAGTATAGACTCCAGAGAGTGGAAGGAGATGAATTGTAAACAAGTACAGGTTAACTCTTTCCAAGGGTTTTGCTATAAAAGCAAGCATTATAAAATTGGCAGTACAGTTCCTAGGTTAGCCCACAAGGGTAGATTTGACACATAAGGGTACCTGAAGTATTTGTAAATCAGCCTTTATATTCTGTAGCAATAGTGCATGCTAGCAGTATAAAGAAATGAATGTGCTGACTTAAATTTGATTAATATTTGAGGAAAAGTATGCAAAAAATTTAAGCAATGAAAACAGAAATTCAAGGAAATGTGTATGACACATTTAAGAACTTTATAAACAGCACTGTTTTTTTATGTCTATTCTCCACCTCAAAATGTTTAAGTTTCCTTTTCATTTGATGAGTTATTGCACTGACAGTATCTCTGTCCTGTGATTATGGCTGTTTTCAAGGCCTACCAATAAAACAAGCTTGCGAAAGGGGTATGTACAAAAGAAAAAAAAATTCTGCATACCTGGGCAAGAATTGAAGAGAAAAAAACAGAAAATTTAAATAATGAAATATACACACACACCCACACACACAATATGGTTACAAAGATAAGGCTAATTTTCAGTATTAGTTAAGTATCAATAACTCAGGGCATGCCTAGATTTCTATTAAAAATATTACAAGAAAATCCTAAATACCTCTTCCTAAAATTAACTGCTAATTATTTATCAATAGAGCTAACAGAACATTTAAGATAAATTCTTAACCAACTTATCAAGTCTGGAACACGCATACTTAATTTAAATAGCTAACATTAGATAAATATGAATTACAGTATGGTTGATAAAATGAGACATTATCTTTTATCAATAGTGTGCCATTAAGATTTTGTTGTTCTTATCAAAGTCTTTCATATTCTCTGCCTTCAACTTTTTTAAGCACTGAAGTAATTTGATTCTAAATCAAATTTGATTTAGAATCAAATTACTTCATTTGATTCTAAAAGTTTATTTTATTTACATTTTCCCTTTAATCAGCTTCACCTGCCATAAAAATCATCTAACAGAACCACCGGATAATCCTACAATATCTCATGTATTATAAAGTTTCATTATTCCTCAGATTCCTATGGATATTTCAGAGGTACCAAGTTTTTTTTCAACTTTTCTTCTAAGGGGATAGTTCTAAATTATAGATATGAGTTCCTAAAAATATAACTTCACTAATGCTAAAAGAAGTTAACACTTTAGGGGTTAGGTTTTTAAAACTAAATGTTATCCCCTTACCAAATATAATAATAATTTTAAAAATATAGATGGATGGTTAATCACCATCTCTGCTTTAACATCAAGCAATCTCTTCCCCCAAATGCCATCTCCTTAGATTTGGATCATTACTCTTCTATAAACTGCTCCTTTCCTCCCATTTGAAATTAATCTTTTATTAACCTTTCATTTTTATAGCAGTTTTCCAAATTATTTTATATACACATACATATGAACATAACCAGAAATGACTGATTTTCTAATATGTATTACAGAAGATCTCATTTTATAGTCTTACCACAAATATGTGAGAAAAAGATGATGTGACCTGTAATTAGTAAACTGACTAGCGAGATATTCACTTCACCTTATTAAATCTGAAGTACTAGTTAAGCCCCTGTTAAGGGGACTCCTACTCTCTCCAATGATGAATATGATGGCTAAACACATAAGATAAGGATTTACTACTTGTAGAGCACTATTCTAAGTGTTTACATATATTAACTCATGTCATGCTCCCAACTACGCTGAGTTTAATATTATTTTCCCCCTCCTTTCTAGATGAGAAAACAAAGAGGTTATGTAGTTTGCCTGAAGTCACACAGTTGAAAATGGATGGAGCCAGGATGTAAGATGAAAACTGTGCAAAACCATATTGCAGATATTGCTAAAGATCAACTCCCTACCAGGCCAGTTCATTCATAGGAACAGCAGCTTTAAGTTAGCTTCCCTGTATATAAATATATGCAATTTTAATTAGTTTTAGTTTAATTAAATCAAATCAAAGTGAGTTTAAAAATCTAGGAAAGATAAAGAAACTTTAGTACATACATAGACTATTTTTTCTTTGTTTGAGACAGAGTGTCACATCGCCCAGGCTGGAGTGCAGTGGCGTGATCTCAGCTCACTGCAACCTCCACCTCCCAGGTTCAAACTATTCTCCTGCCTCAGCCACCTGAGTAGCTGGGATTACAGGCATGCAACACCACACCCGGCTAATTTCTGTATTTTTAGTAGAGACCGAGTTTCGCCATGTTGGTCAGGCTGGTCTCAAACTCCTGACCTCAGGTGATCCGCCCACCTTGGCATGATCCGCCCACCCAAAGTGCTGGGATTACAGGCGTGAGCCACCACGCTCAGCCACATATGCTATTATATGTGAAATATTCTATTGTATGTATATAGTATGTGTATGTAGCATGTGAAATCCTGTCACACGCTACAACACGGATGAACCTCAAGGACATTATGTTAAGTGAAATAAATGAGTCACAAGACAGCTATGATTCCATGAATATGAAGTACTTAAAGTAGTCAAAATCATACAAACAGCAAGAAAAAAGGTAGTTGCCAAATGGGGGAGAGATGAAAAGGGAAGTTGGTATTTAAAAGGTAGAGTTTCAATTTTGCAAGATGAAAAATTCTAGAGATGTGTTACACAACAATGTGAATACACTTAACATTACTGAACTGTACACTTAAAAATTGTTAAGATGGTAAATTTAATGTTATGTGTTTTTTACAATTTTTTTAAAAATCTGGCAAATCTTCCCTGTTGTCCCACTCCCATAGAGGACTTATTTTAGGAACCTAATGGATAAAATCCTCAATGTCACAGGTAAGAAGGTCAGAGAAACTATGAAGGATACACAGCAATATTACAAGTTATTGTAACACACAATACTCTTTCCTAAGGCTCTGCCTTGTCCCCATAAGCTTTAGGGACTAGTTTTCCCCTCCCCTTCAGATTAAAAAAAAGACTACTTTAAATTTACTATAAAGGTTTTTTTAAAAGCTGTTCTACCAGGTTAAAATAGTACACACACAAAAAGATAAAGTTCTCAGTAATTCCTAACTGCTATCCAATAAACAGCAGGAAAGTGATCTGCTATAAGCAGCTGTAACTCACAACTCTCAAATCAAATGTACTAAAATGTACTAAATGCTCATCTTAAAGGTAGACTGAATTTTTAGGGACAACTAAAGATCTGAAGCTGCCTATTATGAATAAGGTTAAGTATTCAAACTGCTCTTGATTCAAAACAAACTATGACTACAACAGAAATTGGATCTTAATGTAGTTTACCTCCTTTCCCACCTCCCAATCACCTAATCTAAACATTGTATCACAATGTCTAGTCTAACTTAGTCTAACTACTTGAGGACAAAATACACTGTTTTTCAAGCCTCCTTCTTTAGTAAGACCAATGAAGGAAACATACAAAATAGCAATAATATATATTATTTTTTAACCTCATCTCTTGGTATTTAATAGATGTACCTATTATAATCTTATTCTCGGTTTTCATGCCTTCTACCAAATAGATATATATATTTTCTTCCAGGTTCTATGTATGTATTTATGCTACTCACCAAGAATACAAAAATGAGGCAGGTGGTCCCCAGAAAAGCCCTGTCTTTCAACAGGACAAGTGCCAAGCATCCTGTAGAACGCACCAGAGGCTGGGCACGGTGGCTCACGCCTGTAATCCCAGCACTTTGGGAGGCCAAGGAGGGAGGGTCACTTGAGTCCAGGTGTTTGAGACTGGCCTGGGCAACACAGCAAGACCAGTCTCTACCAAAAATAAATTGGGCCACAATGCCCAGATAATTTTAAAATTATTTTTAAGTAATTAAAAAAAATTTTAAGAATGTAAAAATGGCTTCCACATTAATTCTATTAACTAAGTCATTCCAATTGCATATTGCAATAAAACTTAAATTGAATGGCTTGAAGTCGTTTCTTAAAATATTCTAAAAAAAATAGCCATGACAGAACAGATTTGGTTATGCTTTTTAGATAGTATTGTATTAGTCCGTTCTCCCACTGCTATGAAGAGATACCTGAGACTAAGTAATTTATTTTTTTAAAAGGTTTAATTGGCTCATGGTTCTGCAGGCTGTATAGGAAGCATGATTCTGGCATCTGCTCTGCTTCTGGGGAGGCCTCAGGAAACTTACAATCATGGCAGAAGGCAAAAGGAGAGCTGGCAAGTCACATGACCAGGGCAGCAAGAGGGTGGCAAGAGGTGCCACACACACTTAACTAGATCTCACAAGAACTCACTATCACCAAGACAACACCAAGGAGGATGGTGGTAAGCCATGGGAAACCACCCCCATGATCAAATCACCTTCCATCAAGTCCTTCCTCCCACATTGGGGATTACAATTGAACATGAGATTTGGGTGGGACTTCCAAACCATATCAACTATATATCTTTTTTTTTTTTTTTTAAGACAGGGTTCTCACTCTGTCGCCCAGGGTGGGGTACAGTGGTGTGATCTCCGCTCACTGCAACTTCCACTTCCCAGGGTTCAAGCAATTCTCCTATCTCAGCCTCCCGAGTAGCTGGGACTACAAGTGTCCGCCACCACGCCCGGCTAATTTTTGTATTTTTTAGTAGAGACTGGGTTTCACCATGTTGGCCAGGCTGGTCTCGAACTCCTGACCTCAGGTGATCTGCCGGCCTCGGTCTCCCAAAGTGCTGGGATTACAGGAATGAGCCACCCCACCCGACCTATATCATTCTTATAACTTGTTGAAATGCAATGGTAATGGCATATATCACAATATAAACTCATTTTCTCAAATTTAAGTAACTTGAGATCCTTTTAAGCTTTATAAAGTATTTTAATTAAACTTTGGAAAACAGTATTATTTACTATTTCAACTTTCAATTATTTGTGTATCGCTTTAAAAATACATCAAAAACTTCTAAAATTCAAAACCTTCAGGGCATCAGTTATTTAAGATAGTTATGATATCTTGAACAAAAATTTCTCCAGAATCAATTACACATTTACCTACTTTCCTTGGCAGGAAGCTCAGAACGTTATTTAATCTTTGTCTAATTATTCCAATTCATTATTAAAAGTAATTTATGGTATCAAATAGGCCCTAGAACACTGAACTAAAAACATTCATAATTATAGTTTTTTATTTCTTCTACTTGTTTTTCCTGCCTTCTTCCCAACTCTGGTGATATCAACTCTCCATCCTCCACCTCCCAGGTTACCGTACCCATCATCCCTTCTACTGTACATTTTCTAAGCCAGTTTTAAATTTGGAAAGCAGTCGGAATTGTTAAAACTGTATATAAACATTAAATAAATTAGGACTAAAGAAAGGATCTAAGGCTACTCTTAAGAAACTCAAACCCTTCAAAATGAAGATGGCCACGGCAGGTATATCTGCTTCAGTACAGGAAATTTCAAACTGTTAAGTGTCAGCAGAGAAGAGGGCCCCAGGCCCTCATGTAAGTCAGAGCAGCCCCATTAATATTAGTTTTATACACTGGAGTTCTGCCTAAGATGTCATTTGAGGAAAAGGCTCTGCTCTAGCACTGGACTAAAACTGATGTTTCTGCCACTGCTGCAATGGCTAGGGGGAAAACAACCAACCAACAACAACAAAAACACATGGTTTGGGGTTTTCTTCCTTCATTAAAAAAAAAAAAAAGCAGAACTGCCTGTAAATAAAATGATTCCGTTCCAACACTTTCTGCAGACTGTAAACAATCCTGAGTTGGTATCAATATAAATAGAAGAAAAAATGCTTTAAATGATCCACTAAACGACACCTATGTATTGCTTTGAACCCCTAGTTATTTACAAGCTTCATTGTTTTCTATTTTCCCGTGTCTGCTACCTAAATCATCTCTGCCGTATTACCTATATAATTAGAGGACCCTTAGTCACCATGTGGTTGGCTTTCACAAAGAATAAAAGCCAAAGACCTGGATCTTGGCAGTTTTAGAATTTATACATTTTTCTTTTGCCCTCCAATTTTTACATATTTGATTCAAACATTTATTGAACAACTATATTGAGCGAACATTTGTTGACCAAAATTATAATCTAACACATTAATCAGAATCAGTGAAGCTGTGCTACAGTAACATCAATCACAAAAGCTCAATGGCTTTGATACAACAAAAATTTATTTTTCACTAATTTCAAATGTCCAATTCAGGTTGGTAAGGGAGATGTGATCATGACAGTGCCTCAGGAGTCCAGGCTCCCCTTGATACATGCTTCCAGGCTCCACTTGATACATGCTTCCAAGGTTGCCTTGCCAAAGGTGAAAGAAAACGTGGCAAATCACATTCTGTTCTTTAACTTCCACTCACATTTTACTGGTTACAAAAAGGCACGTGGCCATGCCCGACATTAAGAATTAAAGGAAAGGGCAATTCAATGATTATTTTATGAAGAATCATGACTCCCTAGTCCCCTGCTGTCAAATATTTATTCTTCCCACATGAAAAAATACACCTGTCCCTCCATTCAGAAGGTAACCCAAATATCCCATCCAGTCTCAGCATCAAGATCAAAGGACAGGATCTGCGCTGATGGGGAAATCACCTCTATATCAAGTCCAGATGCAGCCCCTCTTCACAGAGACCTATTTATTAAAACAAGTTATCTACTTCCCTTCACACACACAATACACACTGACAGAATATAAAAAATGCTCCAGTTCAAAAGAAGAAAAGAAGACAACAGTCAGTAGTTCATAGCAATTCATAAGCCAGGCTGAACAGATTGTGCAAGGGCTCTCTGTCCTGGAAGGTGGGGAATGCTCTGACTGACCCTTGGGAGGAGTTTCTAAGTCTGCTGTTCTCTGTGCCTCTAGGTTCTGCCTTCTGGAAGGTTTTTCCTGGTCTGTTATCTTCTAACGCTACAAGTGAAGTGAGCATCAGAGAGTGTGACTCCTTAGCAGAGCAGAATTCTCAGCAGGCAGATAGGTCAGGGAGGTATGGGGCAGAGAGCAAGATCATTATGTATCAAGCAGTTATACTTTATTCAGACTTTTGTCTATGCCTCTCCCTGAAAAAATTAGAAGGCTTATCTATTTGATTCTATCCAATTCCAAGCGCCAATGTCCAGAACCAAAGCTTTTTTCTAAGATATGCCTCTTAGATTTACTACTTTTCTTTGCTTTCTTGCCCCATGAGACAGTGTGTCTATTTCTCTCTAACTATGGGTACCTTGAGTTTACCTGGCTTTAGCAGGGGTTCCATACCTTTAGTCTCTTTTCCCTAACCCAACTGAAAAGCAATTCCCTCTCAAGTTGGCCTTTACTCTGAATTACCTTAATCCTTTCAGACATTTTAACAATGGAAGTGATGGTCATAACCCTGACTGGATCCTACCAAAAGGATGAATTTTAATTATCTACTCAAAAGCCTTTTCAGTTGTGTCTCCTACTGATTGGAGGTAAGAAGCAACTACTGGTCAGGCACAGTCGCTCATCCCAGTACTTTGGGAGGCCAAGGTGGGAGGATTGCTTGAGCCCAGGAATTTGAGACTAGCCTGGGTAACACAGGGAGACTGCCTCTAATTTAATTAAAAAGAAAAAAAAAGGTGCAGCAGTAATTGCTTCTTCTAATCCTACAAATTCCCAAATTTCTGGACTCTGTATTGCTTTTCATTCATACTTGCAAACTAACCAATTATTTTCTAGCTCATCTCTTTCTTATAACACCTTGTCAAATGAAACCAGTACCAGTTAAAATACAATTTGTTTTCCAACCTTGTCCCAAAAGCTTCAAATGCATTAAATATATTACTTGCCTTCCAAGTTACTGCACGTTAAGTTTTATATAATAATATTGTTCTCTGCATCGTCATGTTTCTAGCATCTAACATCAGTTTCCTTGCTGCCTGATCCTCAGGCCAATGCCACAGTTGAAGTTTTTTGTTAGAGCATACTATTCCTTGTATAAATTTTGACTTAAGTGATGATAGGCTGTAATAATATAGGTGCTGTCTAATAGAAATACAATGCAAGCCACGTACGTTAACTTCAAATTTTCTAACAGCCACATTAAAAAAGTAAAACTCAAAGGTAAAATTAACTTTAATATATTTCATTTAACCTAATATAGACATACCTCAGAAACACTACAAATTTGATTCCAGACAAGTACAATAAAGCTAATATTGCAATTAACCAAGCCACACATTTTTTTGGTTTCCCAGTACATATGTTTATACTATACTGCAGTCTATTAAGTGTGCAACAGCATTATGTCTAAAAAAACAAAAAGTACATTAATTTAAAAAAACTTTACAGCTAAAAAATGCTAACAATCATCTGAGCCTTCAGTAAATCGTAATCTTTTTGCTGGTGGAGGGTCTTGCCTCAAAGTCAATTGCTGCTGACTGATCAAGATGGTGGTTGCTGGCTAGGCGCGGTGGTTCACATCTGTAATTCCAGCACTTTGGGATGCCAAGGCGAGCAGATCACTTGAGGTCAGGAGTTCGAGACCAGCCTGGCATTTTTGTTGTTGTTGTTTTTGAGATGGAGTCTCGCTCTGTTTCCCAGGCTGGAGTGCAGTGGTGCAATCTCGGCTCACTGCAACCTCCACCTCCCGGGTTCAAGCGATTCTTCTGCCTCAGCCTCCCGAGTAGCTAGGACTACAGGTGTGCGCCATCATGCCCGGCTAATTTTTGTATTTTCAGTAGAGATGGGGTTTCACCATATTGGCCAGGCTGGTCTTCAACTCCTGACCACGTGATCCTCCCACCTCGGCCTCCCAAAGTGCTGGGGTTACAGGTGTGAGCCACCACGCCCAGCCGGAAAATCTGTTGTTTAGTGTGGCCATTTTCATCAATGATCTTAGCTTCCGGATAACTTCTTGCAGCTTCTACATCAGCACTTGCAGCCTTGTCTTTATGTTATGGAAACAGTTTCTTTCCTTAAACCTCATGGACCAGTATTCTGCTAACTTCCAACTCTTTCTGCAGCTTCCTCACCTCTATCAGCATTCACAGAATTGAAGAGTTAGGGGCCTTGCTCTGGATTAGGCTTTGGTTTAAAGGAATGTTGTGGCTGGTATATCTGGCCAGACCACTAAAATTTTCTCCATATCAGCAATGAGACTGTTTTGCTTTCTTATCACGTGTTCACTGGACTAGGACTTTTAATTTCCTTCAAGAACTTTTCCTTTGCATTCACAACGTGGCTGTGTGGCACAAGAGGCCCAGCTTCTGGTCTATCTGGGCTTTCAATATGCTTTCCTCACTAAGCTTAATTATTTCTAAGCTTTTGACTTAAAGTGAGATATGTGCAATTCTTCCTTTCACTTGAACACTTAGAGGCTACTGTAGGGTTATTATCAATTTGCCTAGTTTTTTCTTTTTCTTGAGACAGAGTTTTGCTCTTTTGCCCAGGCTGGAGTACAATGGCGTGATCTCAGCTCACTGCAACATCTGCCTCCTGGGTTCAAGCAATTGTTCTGCCTCAGCCTCCCAAGTGGCTGGGATTACAGGCGCCTGCCATCACGCCCGGCTAATTTTTGTATTTTCTGTAGAGATGGGTTTCACCATGTTGGCCAGGCTGCACTTGAACCCCTGACCTCAACTGATCCGCCCATCTCGGCCTCCCAAAGTGCTGGGATTACAGGAGTGAGCCACCGTGCCTGGAACTGGCCTAGTTTCAATATTGTTGTGTCTCAGGGAGGAGGGAGGCCCGAGGAGAAAGATGAGGAAACGGCTGGTCGTTGCAACAGTCAGAACATACAACCTTTATATCAATTAAGTTCACCTTCTATGGGTGCATGGTCTGTTGTGCCCCAAGACAATTACAACAGTAACATCAAAGACCACTGATTACGGATCACTGTTAAGAAGTATAATAATAATGAAGGTCGGGCGCAGTGGCTCACGCCTGTAATCCCAGCACTTTGGGAGGCCAAGGCAGGTGGATCACGAGGTCAGGAGATTGAGACCATCCTGGCTGACACGGTGAAACCCCGTCTCTACTAAAAATACAAAACATTAGCCAGGCTTGGCGGTGGGGTCCTGTAGTCCCAGCTACTCGGGAGGCTGAGGCAGGAGAATGGCCTGAATCCCAGAGGCAGAGCTTGCAGTGAGCCAATATAGCACCACTGCACTCCAGGCCTGGGCGACAGTACGAGACTGTCTCAAAAACAAAAATAAAAAATAATAATGAAAAGGTTTGAAATATTCCAAGAATTGCCAAAATGTGACACAGGGACACAAAGTGATCACGTTCTGATGGAAAAATGGGGTCAACAGACTTGCTCAAATGCGAGGTTGCCACATTCTTCATTTTTTTTTAAGTAGTATCTGTGAAGCACAATAAGATAAAGCATGCCTATATATCCAAAGAATTAAATTTCAATCTTTTATCAATAATACAAATTATTCATGAAATGTTTTACATTCTATTTTTTATACTAAAACTTGAAAATTCAATTTGTATTTTATTACACTTACAGCACATCTCAATTCAGTCTAGCCACATTTCGAGTGCTTAATAGCATCACAGGGCTAATGGCTCCCCTATATAACAGAGCAGGGCAAAATTAAGTTGCAGTAACAACCCCTCAAATCACAGTGGCTTAAAACAAAGGTCTATTTTTTATTCACATCCATCATAAGTCAGCTGATGCTGCTTTCCTGACTTATGAATCAATGTTAATGGATCAATCACCATGACGTATTTCATTGGCCAAAGCAAGCTCCATGGCTACACCCAACTTCGGTGTGCCCATGAAGAGAACCAGAAATATTAGGAAGACAGTACAAATGACTAACATTTATAAAACTTTATATATATATATATATATATATATATATATATAAAAGTTATAAAGTAACATTTATAAAATCACAATTTAAAACTTTCAAACCGTTTTCAATAAATTCTACCTTTATTTTCCTTTTGCTCTGATATAACCCTGCTTCAAAAAGCAAATGAAATGATAAAGTGGTAGAGCTATACTACTTGAATAAACTACTTCCATTAACTAGATAAAACAGTAAATCTAAGACAAATAAAATTTCTTTACCATGGAACATCATTTGCCCTTCAACGAAATTCCTGAAGATTTAATAAAAGCAAATGAAAAGCGGAAATAAGAGTTGGATGTGGTGGTGTACATCTGTAGTCCCAGTTACTTGGAGGCAGAGGTGGGAGGATAGCTTGAGCCCAGGTGTTCAAGACCAGCCTAGGCAACATAGTGAGACCCCATCATTACAAAAAATTAAAACATAAAAAAATTAGCAAGGCACAGTGCGGGGCACCTGTAGTCCCACCTACTCAGGTGGCTAACACAGTAGGATCACATGAGCCCAGGAGTTTGAGGCTGCAGTGAGCTATAATCATACCCCTGTAATCCAGTCTGAGTGAGAGAGAACTTGTCTCTAAAAAAAAAAAAGAGCAAACACTTAATTGATTAGAATGGGAAAAAAAGCAAAAATGGAAACAGACATCAAATACCATTTTTTAAATTCATTTTGGCCATCAAGTACTTTAAATCCTCTTTAAAACTTTCTTACCAAGTCTTTTTGAGTGGTTACTGCTGTTGAAACAAGTATAGGCTGAAAGAAAATTAAACAGGAGTGAAAAAACCAATTTATTTATAAAAAGTAGGGAGAAAGCAGGAAATAAATGACATAATGTTAATCAAAACTAAAGATATTTTCACCAATTTTCAAAAAGATTTCCTTACACCCTTTAAAGTTAACTTTCTGCCATTTATTAACACTGTAACAAAAAAGTCAATTGCCAGGCCTGTAACTCCGGCACTTCAGGAGGGAGACAGGAGGATTACCCAAGGCCAGGGGTTCAAGACCAGCCTGAGCAACACAGCAAGACCCCATCACTATAAAACATAAAAAGTAAAAAAAAAAATTAAATCAGCACTCTACTTATTTATCAACAAATATAAGGTATTACCTTCAAGGTCAAAAGCTTTGCTTTTACAGTTCTAAGGCTGAAACTCCTTTCTTCTAAAAATAAATACATTCTATTCCATCTTCACTTAAACATTCAAGAAAGAATTTTGGCATATAAGAGGATCCAAGGTAATGAATGGCTGAATTACATGAAGTAATGGGAATTAAATACTTTAAGTGGTAGAAAATAAAAAAGCATCACAAAGAAGGTCTTATGTAAATATAGCAGCAAATTTTGCTTAGGGAATAAGTGTACTGATATGTCGACTGGTATCAGATACCAGCAATTAATTCTTTCTTCCAAAACCTGTTTTAAAGTCGATGTTCTAGGCCAGGTGCAGTGACTCATGCCTGTAATTGGAGGCCGAGGCGGGAGAACTGACTGAGCCCAGGAGGTTCGGGGCTGCAGTAAGCTATGATTATGCCACTGTACTCCAGCCTGGGTGAGACAGTGAGACCCTGTTTCCAAAAATCATAAAGCTGGGTGTTCTAACTTATTAATGATCAGTCCAGGTTAAAAGAAGCTAACTTTTAAATAAAGCAGAGGTTATCACCTCTGCTAGAACTATCTAGAACTGACAGACAATCCATGTAGATGCTTTCCTGATGGAAAATAGTAAGACAAAACCAAAACCCAACCAACAAAACAATCAAAACCAAACTATCTGAGTGCAAACTAAACTTTACAATGCCAAATGTCAGGGGAAAGAGAAATCCTGTTTTCCTGTCACCCAAAGAAATATATTACCCACTAAAACTTTATTATCCTAAAAGAGTATCTCAGAAATGGTAGAAAATGTACACACTTCCTGCACGTTTTATGGTCCACACTCCACCATCCCCAAAATTTCCCAAAACATCTTCCTTTTTATAATTCCCCTGCTCAGTTTTATCAACTCTCCTGACTTCAACTGTGTCTATCAACCATCTCCTACAGAATTCCATTCCTTTGTCCTAGGCTCAGCCCTCCATCTCTACTAGCAACAATTATTTCAACCACAAATTCAATCCATTCCAACTAGTGTCATCTTGGAGTCCCCAGATCAGTTTTCCCCTCACAAACGTGCCAATGATATAACTTTAAAACAACGGATTCATCTCTTGTATTCCTGATAGCTAATCACCAACGGATTCATCTCTTGTATTCCTGATAGCTAATCACCAATCCTATAAAATTCATACTTTGAAATGTCTGGCATTCTTCCTTCCTTCCTTACTTTCTCCCTGTTTAAATAAAGTAGCCCCTTTTACCTTTTTTGTTTTTTTGGTTTTCTTTTGAAACGGAGTCCCGCTCTGTCACCCAGGCTGGAGAGCAGTGGCACAATGTCAGCTCACTGCAACCTATGCCTCCTGGGTTCAAGCAATTCTGTCTCAGCCTCCTGAGTTGCTCGGACTACAAGCACACGCCACCACACCTGGCTAATTTTTTTCTATTTTTAGTAGAGACAGGGTTTCACCATATTGGTCAGGCTGCTCTTGACCTCAGGTGATCCACCTGCCTTGGCCTCCTAAAGTGCTGGGATTACAGGTGTGAACCACCATGCCTGGCCCCGCTCCTACCTTCTTTAGTGCTAGTTTCTTCCCATTCCACTCTGTTCTGAAGGTTATGTCTTCCAAGCATTGATTTATTCACGTTATTCCTCTGTTCAAAAACTTTCAAAGGCTCCTTAAGTAAGGTTAAAAATAGTGCAACCCTCACCAATAGTATTCAGTGCTTTTCATTCTCTCACCATACTTATTCAAATGTGTCCTATCAGCCACCAGTCACCAAACTGCCCAGATTTCTATTCATGCTATAACAGCATTTCCCAAAGTAGTTCCTCACAAGTAACCCAATGAAATACTAATCAATACAGATGTATAATCTAAAAAAGAAAAAAATGCTGCTTCCTTTCCTTAAATAGGTTTATTTCCCACAGGATTTCTCAGAAACTTTAACATGCTAATAAGCATTTTTATAACATTTAATAATACCTATTAATATCTTACGAACCATTTTTGGAGAAACACTTTGCCTTGCCTCTATTCTTACCTTTTTTTTTTTTAAACCTTGTTAGTAAACATCTTCCTCTCATCTCTCTACCTATACAAATCTAGATTCCCCATTAAACTTCTCTCTTCTCTATTAGGTCTCCTGGAGCCTTTTTTGATTTTCTGTTCCTCTGAACTTCTACACAGTTATCTGTATCATGCAATTTAGTGACTTACTATATTGATTTATATTGCAGATCACACACTGATTTATATTGTTGATTACTACTCCATGTATCTATCTTAAATACTCCAATAAATCTGTAAGCTTCTTGAGAAAATGAACACATACATACTTCTACAGACAATACAAAAAAAGCACACAGTTGACTATTTACATTTTCACAGTAAGAAACTTGTTCACCCGCTCTCTCAAGTTCTTGAGCCTTTATTAACCCTGTGCCCAAACAAGGCTGCCAAATGAAAGCAGCAAAGACATTTATTAAAAATTTATCTGACTTTCCCCTTCATATGCAAGAAAAACCAAGAACACTTCCACTGCAGTTTAGTGTGACTGGTTATCCCCTGAAATTTATCAACTACCTTCTTCATTAACACAAGAGATAATGCAGGGAAATAGCCTAAACAGTCAAAACTTCATCTTCAAGGCTTTCACAACAGAACCATAAAATCCTCTTCCACTTGTGAATCAAGTAAGTATACAAACCCTGCCCAAGCTGTTACTATGAACAAAGCTTACTAACTCAAACATCACAGGAGATGTTGGAACCAAAATTAAAGTCCAATCTTACTTTATGTTAAATTTCTTGAAAAAAAATTTTTAAATAATTCTGATGCTCACTAAAGTCCGAGAAAAAAATGTTTAAAAAGAAGTTTTAAAATATTTTTTAATCCAAATTTTCTACTCATTAAAAACATGAGGCTAAAACTCACATTCTCAAAACCTTTTTACTCTAGAAAATCTCCAATATATACCAAAGTAGGAAAGCATAACAAACTCCCATGTACCCAACACCCAAATTCCACAAACTCTGGGACAATTCTATTTCATGTATAACCCAAACTACCTCATTTTGAAACAAATCCGAGATATAACATTTCATCTGCAAATATTTCATTATGTACTGCTCAAAGATAAAGAACTTACAAAAAATCTCTCATCATGTTATTCTTAGAATAAAAATACACTAAATCTACAGTGTTAAAAAATGACTTTAGGGCAAGTCATTTAATTCTCCTAAATTCTCTCATATGCACGTAAGACTAAACCTAACGTTCCTCTTGCTTCTCTTAGTTTCTTCCCCCACAGGTTTATATGTTGGCTTCTGAAACATAATTCTTAATGTCAAGAGTTTTTAAAAAGCTACAAATTTAACACAATTACAGAATTGGTAGAGGTATGAAACACAGAATGCAACTATCACATCTGAACAAAGTTATAATCCCAGCACTTTGGGAGGCCAAGGAGGGTGGATCACCTGAGGTCAGAAGTTCAAGACCAGCCTAGTCAACATGGTGAAACCCTGTCTCTGCTAAATATACAAAAATTAGCCGGGCGTGGTGGTGGGCGCCTGTAATCCCAGCTACTCGGGAGAGGCTGAGGCAGGAGAATCACTTGAACCTAAGAGGCAGAGGTTGCAGTGAGCCGAGATAGTGCCATTGTGCTCCCGTCTGGGCAACAAGAGCGAAACTTTGCCTCAAAAAAAAAAAAAAAAAAAAAAAGCAACCAAACAGGTAAAATTTACATTACACATTTCCACACAAATCTACGTTTATTCTGTATCTATTATTGGCATCTCTTCATTTTATCCATCAAAAAAAAGAATGCAGAAAAAAAAAAGATGAGTAAGCAATGACTGCCCAATCCCAAAACAAGAAATACATGTTAGCTATAATACAAGACAAAGGACAAGTGCTATTAAACAAGCGGTAATTCAAAGGTGGCAAGAAGAAGGGAAGGCTGCGGGATAAGGCAGTATCTGGGCTAAGTCTTGAAAGATGTCAACCTGAAGGTTACTCCACTATTCCTGTTTCTAAAGTGCTGTGGGGTTCAATGTTAATATACCATTTATCACATTATACTAGAATCATGTGCATGTCTGTCTAACCCAATGATTCTTAAGGGGGAGATGAAGAACTGTCCTCCAGGGGACATCTGGCAATGTGTGAAGCCATTTTTTTTATTATCACAACTGCCTGGGGTACAGAGTGCTACCAGCATCTAGTGGGTAAGTCAGGAATGCTCCTCAACATCCTACAATGCAGAGGACAGCCCCAAAACAAAGAATCATCAGGCCCAAAATATCAACAGTGCAGAGGTTGAGAAATCATAGTCTAACTTGTTAGATTATGAGCACCTTTAGTGCAAGAATTATCATATTCATCTTTGTAATTCCAGTATCTGGCATGCACAGCAAGAGCGCTGTAAGTTATCTGTAGACTCAACAGACCTCAATTTAAAGGTAATGGAAGAGCCAGTAAAGACTTTACAGAAAGCAACATGATCTGTGTTTAGGGAAAATGACTGATACCAAAATGATGTATTGGAACAGTTTCTAGTATCTTACAAAATTTAAAATGCACATATTCTCCAACCTTGGGATTGTGCTTTCAGATGTATATGCTTCAGATATGCATACTTTAACAAAAGAAATGACACATCTGTATAAGGATATCTACTGCAGCATTTTTGAAATAAGATTAAAAATTTTTGTGACATCTGGCCAGGCACGGTGGCTCATGCCTGTAATCCCAGCACTTTGGGAGGCCGAGGCAGGTAGATCACCTGAGGTCAGGAGTTTGATAACAGCCTGGCCAACATGGTGAAACACTGTCTCTACTAAAAATACAAAAAATTAGCCAGGTGTGGTGGCATGGGCCTGTAGTCCCAGCTACTCAGGAGGCTGAGGCAGGAAGATCACTTGAGCCAGAGAGGCGGAAGTTGTAGTGAGCCAAGATTGCGCCACTGCACTCCAGCCTGAGCAACAGAGCAAGACTCCAACTCAAAAAAAAAAAAAAAAAAGTTACACTGATTTTGGGGGAGGAATTAAAAAGATTAAAAATGTAAAAATTTTTTTTAAAAATAAATTTTTGTTAATGCACCAGAAAGGAGGGGGCATGGAAAATGGAAGTTGTTTTTTAAGAGAGAGTCACCCAGGCTGGAGTGCAATGACTCAATCATAACTCACTGTAGGCTTGACCTCCTGGGTTCAATCAATCCTCCCATCTCCGCCTCTCTGAGCAGACAGGACTATGGGCACACATTACTGTGACCAGCTAATTTTTTTTTGTTTTTTGGTAGAGGCAAGGTCTTGCTTGGTTGCCCAGACTGGTTTCAACTTCCTGGCTTCAAGCAATTCTCCCAGCCTCAGCCTCCCAAAGTGCTGGGATTATGCCACCACACTCAGCCTAGATTAGATGTCTTAATAGTAGTCTAGGACAGCGGTCCCCAACCTTTTTGGCACCAGGGACCAGTTTCATGGAAGACAATTTTACTGCTGACAAGGGAGATGGTTTCAGGGTGAAACTGTTCCACTCACTCAGATCATTAGGTATTAGATTTTTCATAAGGAGCTTGCAACCTAGATCCCTCGCATGTGCAATTCACAATAGGGTTCGGGCTCCTATGAGAATCTAATGCTGCTGTTGATGTGACAGGAGGCGGAGCTCAGCCAGTCATGCTTATCGCCCACTGCTTACTTTTTGCACTGTGGCCTTGGCACCCGGGGGTGCAAGACCCCTGGTCTAGGAGACCAGTAAGAGCCAAACTAACAAACTGAGAATGGAGAGGATGAACAGATAACAAAAATATGGCAGAAACAGAACAAAAAGGACTTGGAACTTTCCACCAGGAAACAGAAGATTGAAGTTTGCATGTGTGCCCAGCAGCTAAAGGTAGCTGGAGAAAAAACACAACTGTGCTAATTATTCAAGCAGGCACCCAGTACTGCTGCAATTCTACATCTCACATTTCACTTTCCAATTCTCAGATGACCACTTCATACCTTCTTCCTTCTCAAACTTCCTAACACCTGGCCCTCTCACCCATCTTAGCTTGTTTCTTATCACAAAAGGAAATAAGGAATAATCTGACAAGAATTATCTTATCTTCCAATCAACATATCTGTATCTCTGAATGTCTATCCAATGCCCTTTCCCTGTTATAATGACCCCTACTCCTGTGTCCAACCCTTAAACCTGTGTCCTGTGTTTCACCTTGCTTGTTTTCTTAAAACATCCCTCTCTCATCCTCTTTCATACTTTCTCTCCTCTATCATTAATTTGTGGCGAGATTCTTAGAAAACCAACCTCCTCAACCAGGTCCACCTCCAGCTACCACCTATTTCAATGTTGCTCACAACACGAGTAAAAAAAAAAAAAAAAAAAAAGTCTGTAATTACTCTCACTAAATCCTCTTCACCTTTTAAATCATTCTACTCATGCTTTCCTCCCCAGCACTCTTAATGAAACCACTTGTTAAAAGTCACCAACAATCATTATCTTACTAAATCCAATATCCCGTTCTCTCTCATCTTATGTACCCTCCACAATATATGAATAGATAATGCTAGGCATGGTGGCTCATGCCTGTAATCCCAGCACTTTGGGAGGCTAAGGCAGGTGGATAACGTGAGACCAGGAGTTCGAGACCAGCCTGGTCAACGTGGCAAAACCCCATCTCTTCTAAAAATTACAAAAAATTAGCCAGACATGGCAGCACACATGTGCAGTCCCAGCTACTTGGGAAGCTGTGGTGGTAAGGTCACCTGAGCCCGGAAGGTCCAGGCCAGTGATCATGCCACTGCACTCCAGCCTGGGTGATAGTTGAGACCCTGCCTAAAAAAAAGAAAAGAAAGGGATAAGCATTCCCTCCTCCTTTCTTAAGTAATTTACACACTTGGCTTCCAGAATATACTTGGCTTTCATGGAAGCTCCTTCTGTTTCCTTTGCTAGCTCTTCCTCTACTTCTCACCCTCTATATGTTGGGAATGCCCTAGGACTCATTCCTAAGGCTTTCCCTCAATTTTGGATACTTAAGTTTCAGTTCCTGAATTTCTATTTGGTTATTTTACAAATCTGCAGTGTCATTTCTGTTACAGTCTCCAACTCTGTTAAAATTTTTTCAAGCTTGGCTTGTATTCCCTAGACCACAGTAAGTAGTTTTTAGTCTATTTCCATTGTTTCTGCTGGTTCTCATTCACGGTATCTTACCTTCTCATATGCCTGGTGGGTTACATTTGATTCTGTGCCAGACCCTGCATTTAAAAAGTCTAGAATAGTAACTTGAGGCTCAGAATATGATTTCCCAAGTTCTTCTCTATGTATATTCTTTCTCTACTAAGTTAGAAATTCTTAAACCAGCTGCACTTCAAAATCACTTTGGGATTTTTACAACACAACTTTCCTGGTTTCATGCAGAGCAATTAAACTAGAATTGGGAGGAGGATGAACACAAGTTGTTGGCACTTCTAGAAAGTTCTCTGTGAGATCCTACAATGCAGTCAAAAGTTGGGGCCGGGAGCAGTGGCTCACAAGGCCTGTAAGCCTGTAATCCCAGCACTTTGGGAGGCCGAGGCAGGTGGATCACTTGAGGTCAGAAGTTCAAGACCAGCCTGGCCAGCATGGTGAAACCCCATCTCTATGAAAAATACAAAAATTAGCCGAGCGTGGTGGCGCATGCCTGTAATCCCAGCTACTTGGGAGGCTGAGGCAGGAGAAACGCTTGAACCCAGGAGGTGGAAGTTACAGTCAGCCAAGATCATGCCACTGCACTCCAGTCTGGGTGACTGGAAAAGAAACTATGACCTGAATATTTCATCGAGTCATATCTGTATACACTAATGACACCCTAAATTCTACCTCCAGCCCAACCTGACCACTAGATTCTGATATTCCACTGTTTACTGGAACCATCCACTTGTAGATCTAATAGTCATTTCAGATTTAACAAAGCCATAACAGACTTAATTCCCACTTTACTCCACCCTTCCCTAGATTTTCTTCATTACTAGCCTAGCCAAACTATCATCTTTTGCTTGTACAGTCAGCCCTCCACAGGTTCTATATCTGTGGATCCAATTAACTGTAAATCAAAAATGTTTTTTTAAAAACACAAAAATAAAAATATAAAATTTAAAATACAGTACAACTATATATATAGCATTTACATTATATTAGGTATTATAAGTAACTAAGAGATGATTTAAAGCTTGTGGGAGGATGTGTGTAGGTTATATGCAAATACTACAAGAGACTAGAGCATCTGGGGATTTTGATATTCTAGGGGGTGTAGGGAGTATCCTAGAACCAATGCCCAATGGATACTGAGGAATGACTCTATTGCTCCATCAGCCTTATGCTTACTCTGAGGCAGGGACCTGCTGGCGTGATCTTTTAAATACATAAATTATATCAGTTCCCTATTTAAAACCTGCCAATGTTTTCCTATGAGACATGAAATAAATCCAATTTCCCTACCATGGCGTATATTATCTGGCCCCTGACTGATTCCAATCTTATTTTCTAACACTCCTCATTCATGAAATTCCAGCCACCTTGCTCATTCCCTCTTCCTGGAATACTCTTTCCTCCAAATGTCAATGTGACAGGCTCCTTTATCAATGTTCAGATCTGTAGTTCAATTTCATTTTCTCATAAGGCGGGATTTCCTAACCATCATATTTAAAATAACCACCATACTCCATGGTTATTCCATAACTCTGCTTTACTTTCCTTTTTAATTTTCTTTTTTATGAGATGGGGGTCTCACTATGTTGCCCAGGCTGGTCTCGAACTCCTGGGCTTAAGTGAACCTCCCACTTCGGTATTCCAATGTGCTGGAATTAAAGGCATGAACCACTGCTCCCTGCGCTGCTTTATTTTCTTCATAACACTAATTATTTAAAAGTATTGTATTTGCTTATTTGTCTTCATCCACTAGAATACAAGATTCATGAGAAGAGGGACTTAGTCTTTTTCACTGCTGCAAAGAACATTACCTAGAATAGTGTAATATACAACCATTTGTCACTTAATGACTGGGATACATTCTGAGAAATACATCATTAGGCGATTTCATCACTGTACAAACATCACAGTCTTTCTTACACAAACCTAGTGGTATAGTCTACTACATATCTAGGCTATAGGTATAGTCTATTGTTCACAGGCTAAGAACCTGTATAGCAAGTTACTCTACTGAGTACTATAGGCAACTGTAAACATGATGGTATGTATCTGTATATCTAAACATAACAGAAAAGGAATCGTAAAAGTCTTACATCTTATGGGACCACCATCATATATGTGGTTCGCTGCTGACTGAAACATCATTATGCAGCATGTGACTATAACCTCAAACATTTGTTGACTGAATCAATGACTGACTAACCTAGGTTGCTGGGAGAATGATGGTCCTATTTTCATCAGAGAATTTATGAGATTTATGAAAACAACGTCACATGTTAAGTACCTTCATAAAATAAAGCTGAAGGCCAGGCATGGTGGCTCATGCCTATAATCCCAACACTTTGGGAGGCCAAGGCAAGCGGACTGCTTGAGCTCAGGAGTTCGAGGCCACCCTGGGCAACATGGCAAAACCCCATCTCTAGAAAAAATACACAAGATTAGCCAGGTGTGGTGGCACACACCTGTAGTCCCAGCTAACTCAGGAGGATTGCTTGAGCCTGGGAGCTGGAGATTGCAGTGAGCCAAAACTGCACCACTGCACTCCAGCCTGGGTGACAGAGCTAGACCTTGTCTCAAAAAAACTGTTAAGTTGAATACAAAAATTGTCCCCAAGAACCACTAAAATGATGAGGCAGTTTAGAGAACAAGCTGTAATAAAGTTCTTCTCTTGGAATAAAATACGGCATTACTGAAAAATATATCAACACTCTAATGAAGAGCACACATCAGGTGATTTCCATTCTTTTATGTTCATCCAGAATCCTTATTTGCATTATTGTTGCTGACTAAATTATGGGGTAAATTTGGTTATTAAACTAAATATACTATTCCAAAAAAATTAAAGAGAAAAGTACTAAAAAACAAAACAAACCAAAAAAAACCACCAATGGTGGGACGGTGGTTCATGCCTGTAATCCCAGCACTTTGGGAGGCCAAGGCAGCTGGATCACTTGAAGCTAGGAGTTTGAGACCAGCCTGGCCAACATGGTGAAACCCTGTCTCTACGAAAAACAAACACTGAGCAGCCATTTGTTCAAGATGCATTTAATAAGTTGAATTAGTTGAGCTCTCTAAAATTCTATGGTTTAAATCACATAGCTATATCAGAACAAGTAAATGGTTATAATATTTACTAATGTTAAATTAAATACACTTCAGGTTGATGAAAGTATCATCCTTAAGGATGGGTCTCATGGAACTATGAACACTATTTTTCCATAGAATACTAAGAAACCAAAGTGTGACCAAAACCATATATTTAAAATTACTTTATTTTAAAGGTCACACAATGCATTTTAGATCTTCTAGTCTAAGAAAGTATAATTTAAAATACCCAATTTCTTCCACATACTGTTCCCACTACATCAGAAGACTTGTAAATCCATACAAACTAAATTCAAAAACTACACCTCAAAGTTTCTAAATTGTTATACTAAAAAAAGTCTAGTAAGAACTTATGTATACCTCAACTCAACATGACTAAACCTGAAGGCAAAAAAATGATGACATTATTTGTAGTGTGGGACAAAAGATTAATATCCCAGACATATAAAGACATTTACAACATCTTTATGTATACAGTATACAAGAAGTATGCTATACTAGTGGGGGAAAATAAAAAACATAAAAGGCAATTTAACAAAAAAACACAAATAGCCAATGAACATGCACATATGTTCAACTTCCTTAATAAAAACTCCACTGTACACTACTTGTGAGGTGAAAGAGGTAAATAACATCTTAATATTATGAAAATAGCTTTGACTTCACTCTCCCATTAAAGGATCACGGGGACACCTCCCCCAGGGGTCTCAGATCACACACTGAGAACCACTCCATTAGTATTTTGGGATAATATTATATGATGTCAGATTTGCTTTAAAATAACCCAGCAAACGTCAGGCCTGGTGGCTCATGCCTTAATCCCAGCACTTTACGAGGCTGATGTGGACGGATCATTTGAGGTCAGGAGTTCAAGACCAGCCTGGCCAACGTGGTGAAATCCCATCTCTACTAAAAAACACAAAAATTAGCCAGGCATGGTGGCAGGCTCCTGTAATCCCAGCTACTCTAGAGGCTGAGGCAGGAGAATCACTTGAACCCAGGAGGTGGAGGGTGCACTGAGCCAAGATCACACCACTGCACTCCAGCCTGGGTGACAGAGCAAGATACGGTCTCAAAAATAATAATAAATTGATTAAATAACCCAGCAAAAAAAAAACTTTAAATGGTAGAAATAAAGGAAACAAGAATAGCAGGGTGTTCATAATTGCTAAAGCTGGGAAAGGGGTACATGGAAGGTTCATTATATATTGTTTTTGTGTACTTTTGAAATTTTTTATATTTCTAAGTTACCAATATTACTGATTTTTTTTTTTTAAAGAGATGGGGGTCTATCTTGCCCAAGCTGGTCTTAAACTCCTGGCCTCAAGCAATTCTCCCACCTCAACCTCCGGAGTAGCTGGAACTAAAGGCATGTACCACCACACTGGGATTCAAATCATCAATTTTTTAAATCCATTTCTGTAATTACTGTTATTTCCTCATTTCCAACTCATTTCCTCAGGATCCATTTTTCCTACTTAATCCTACAGTAGTCAGTTCAATAAAGGTCTTTGAATAATAGTATTTTAAATATCTTCACTAAACTCTGAATCTTGAATAGTAGTTTAATTGCCCACTGAATTCTGGGCTGCTGGTTATTTTCTCTCAGCACTCTGAATGTTACTCCACGATCTTCTGACATCTGTGTGGCTAAAAAGAAAGATCTGCCTTTTTTTTTTTTTTTTTTTAAGACAGGGCCTCGGTCTGTCACCAGTGTGGAGTGCAGTGGCACAATCACAGCTCACTGTAGCCTCAACCTGCCAGGCTCAAGCAATCCTCCCAACTTAGCCTCCCCAGTAGCTGCGACTACAGGTGTGTACCACCACGCCTGGCTTTTTTTTTTTAAGGTAGACGGAGGGTCTTACTATGTTGCCCTGGCTGGTCTCAAACTAACTCCTGGGTTCAAGTGATCCTCCTGCATTGGCTTCCTAAGGTGGTGGGATTAGAGGCATGAGCCACCATACCTAGCTGGGCTATCATTCCTTGTAAGTAATCTGTCTTCTCTCTGTTAACATTTAAGATGTTAATGTAACATCTCTGTAATGTCTGTGATTTTAGTTCAAGTCAGAGATGAACTTATTTCTACTTATCAACATACTTGAAATAAAACTTGATCTGTAGATTGTACTTCTTCAACACAAGAAAATTCTTAGCCATTATTTCATCAAACATTGCTTCTCTTGCCATTCACTTTATTCTTTTCTTCTGAAATTCCTACACTGGTGGTTCTCAATCTATCCTCCATGTCTTAACTGCTCGTTCATTATCTCTGTGTGGTATTCTGGGTAAATTCCTAAGCATATTACTATTTGCTCAATCCATTCTAAAGGTTGTCTTTTTTCTCCCCGAAAAACTTTTATGTTTCATCTAAGAAAAAGCACTACCAGTTTAAAAAAAAAGAGAGAGAAACACTGACATGCCTTGAATAGCAAGATGCACTCCGATTTCAAAAAATTGTCTTAGAATCAATGAAATGGGTTTCTCATGTACAGGATTTGATTGTTTTTCCGTATTTATTGTTTTTGTTTCACTTCTTTTCTATAGATGCTATTGCTTCTTTTATCTCACTGACAATTGCAAGCATACTGATTTTCAAAGTCTTCAACAGAATGTTTTGTTTTCTTTAATCTGACATGAATTCATCTCCTAATTGTTGATTTTATCAGCTATCTTTCACAGATTTTGTCTTCATGTATTTTGGAATTTAGGTTTGCAGGATCATCTTGAATACAATTTTTTTCTTTCTTTCTCAGTATTACAATTTTGGGTCTGGCATTTCTGCAAGCCCCAAAACTCATATATAACTCTTGTAAGCAGTAATACTGGCTATATCACAAATCCAAACACTCAGCTAACAGTTCAATGGTTCAGATTGGTTCAGATGTGGTGGTCGTAAGACTGTGCTGATGTCCTCCTATTTTCCTGCATCATCGTCTCATCTCCGTAAATCTTCATTTAAGTCATACCTCAGGATAACAAACAGCAACAACTTTTTGTAGCTCCCCTTTAACAAAAAAGAGCCCTACTCCAGGCTCTTGTTTTCAGCAATGAATCTAACTCTGGGTTTTTCTGCATGTAGGGTACTTTTATCTATATTAATAGCTAATTAAATAGGATGTAATTCTTGACCTAAATACTTAGCAAGTATAGGAAGTCCTTATACCCTTATCCAAGGTTTTGCTTTCCACAATGGTTTGTTACCCATAGTCAATCACAGTCTGAAAACATGAAATTAAAAATTCCAGAAATAAAGACTTCGCAAGTTTTAAATTACATGCCATTCTTTGCACTAAGAAATCTCATGCTGTCTCATTCCATCCCACCTGGGACATGAATCATTCCTTTGTCCAGCCTATCCACTATACATGCTACCCACTCATTACCATATAGTAAAAACCATAGTGTATATAGGGTTTGGTACTCCCTGAGGTTTCAGGATCCACTGGGGGTCTTTGAACTATCCCTCACTGATAAGGGGGGCGACTATTCTATTTTCATCCTCCTAAAACTAAAAATTAAGCAATATTGTAAAAAGTGTATATGCAGTATAATTATGACAATATTTTAAAATATATGACACTAAGTCTTATTCCTAAGAGATAAGAGAAAATTTCACTTTCTACATTAAATATTTCCATAATGTTTTTGTTTTCCATATCAAGCCATGTATTACTTTTGTAAGCAAATCAACTTTAAGTACAGAAAATAAATAATTATAAGTCTCAAAATTAATAAACCAAAAAAATCGTTGGAAAATCAGAATATGAATAGGTTTTCCCCAAGCATTAAAATAAAAATCTTAATTTCTAAAATTTAAAGACCATAGCATGCAATACATACATGATTCACAAATGAACAGGAACTCAGACATAACCAAGCTAAGTGGTATGATACCTAAATAAACCATCCTCAGGTTATTTTTGATAAGACAACTTTAAAGTCTACAGAAAGCAACAGTGTAAAAGTCTTACACAACAACCTTTTATGTTGTGTAAGAGGGGCAAAAGGAGATCTACCAATTACTTAAAATCAGCACAGATCATAGTCATCACATTTTGTCTATTCTTTTTGTAACTCTAAAAAGACCACATTTCCATCATACACTCTACTTTTCAAGCAATAGGGTTGGCCTTTTAGCAGTATTTGTGCATTTCTATAATCAACCAGTTCTGACAGTGATCCCTTAGGTAAAATCAGTAAGGATTTATCTTTCACCTTGTTAGAATCACAAATAAAAATGTTTCAGAAGACATTTCCTCCACTTACCATGTAGAAAATACTTTATTCAAGGCTAGTATTTTACCCTCAAAAAGGAAAAAAAAAAAATCTGAAATAAAAATAACCAAAAAAAGGGAAGAAAAATACAATACTGATATAAATTAAAGAGCACACTGCCAAGACACTATAGGAGAGTGAAAAGAACAAAGCCTAGTTGTGAAGCCTTGGGCCAGTTACTTTCCTATCCAACCGTGAGAATAGTAAATAGATTAATGTAAGAAAGAATTATATGAGATAATACACCTAAAAACACCTAAACAGTACCCGATAGAGTAGGAGCCCATAAGAGATCCATCCCTCTTTCGCCTGTCAATCTTTAAATACTTAAATATTAAGTTAAAAAAGCCTGCCTTTTATAAGGCTTCTATTTTCTCAAAAAAAGATAGCTACCAGTTAACCTGCAACTATCCAGTTTTTCATGAATAATGGGGAATTCTAAACATTAAGTTGTTTGCTTTTAAGAAGAAATGACTTCTATAAACTCTTCTTCCAACTTCAAACACCTGACTCCATTTTAAATGTGCCCAGTCTTGAAAGATTAACTGTATTTTAGATAAAACAAAATCTGACAGAGGACTAAAATTTGAGAGACTGAATTAAGTCTTGGCTTAAATTTGGGGGAAATTTTGACATTGGAAAGATACATAAATTCACACTTTGCCTCCTCTTACCCAGTTTCAAATATACAGCAACGATAAAGTAAAAATGAGACAACAATGAAGTTTCCTAAAACAGCATGCATTTCTCAGTGGGCCACAAATGGACAGAAATATGTAAGATTAGTAGGGTTTCAGCTTGGCGCCTGATGTTTCCAGGAAGATGGAGATTTGCCTTCTAAAGGATAAGGAGTAGTAAAAGTACCCCAAAAAAGAAGGGAACAAAGTCAGACTTACTGCTTAATACAGGCTCGAGTAGAGGTCATTTTTGTTAAAGGGGTCCTTTAAACTTAACAAAAACAAACAAAAAGGCAAGTTCCAGAGCCCTGGTTTAAAAAAAAAAAAAGTACTTTCTCCTTTATTTTGGGAAATTGTTACATTAATGTCATGCTTATCAAAAGTAAAGTGCAGGCTAGGCACAGTGGCCCATGCCTATAATTCCAACACTTTGGGAGGCCAAGGCAAAAGGACTGCTTGTGCCTAGCAGTTCAAGACCAACTTGGGCAACATAGCAAGATGCCATCTCTACAAAAAATTTAAAACTTAGCTGGGCATGGTGGCGCTAGCCTGTAGTTCTACACATTCAGGAGGCTCAGGCCAGGAGTTTGAGATCACAATGCGTTATAATCATGCCACTGCACTCCAGCCTAGAAAACAGAGACCCTGTCTCTTAAAAAAAAAAAAAAAAAGTAAAAAAGGCAAACCAAGGATGTCAAAGTTTTCAGCATTTTCATCTGGGCATACTACACGTAACACTGAAACAAAAATGTTTTGCTCTGATTTTCTAGTGAGAAAAAGCATCTTAACATATCTCCCTTCTTGCCAATTAGAAAGATAGTATACCAAGAGAAAGTTTATATCCTCAAAATGAATTTATTACTAAATATGCTATGTCTTATACAGCATTTTTATTCTCACTTGCTTTAACTTTTACTTTCTCAAATAATTTCCCCGTTCCTTTAAAATCAGGACAAAATTCAAATTTAATGGCTTTCTGGAGTATTTATTTTACCCTTCCTGGGCAACATTCAATAAACTAAAATTCCATTTTGTATTCAATATACACAGTGTTTCTATTCTGATAACATTTGAAAAGAAATTACTTTACTGAAGAACTTGGTGCTTTATACCAACTTCATTTCATGACCAACATAAATCCACAAAAATCAAAGTTTCTAGATTTATTTTCTAACACCTATAGAACGCTGTAACATTAATTTTGTACACACATTAAAAACTAGTTTCTAAAAACTATCTTTTATGTCTTCAGTAGTCTGTCACTTAACTCAAACCTTTTAGTCTCAGAACTCCTTTCCAAACTTACACATTACTGACGTTCACAAAAAACTTCTGTTCATGTAGTATATGTGTATACTGATACTTACCATATCATAAACAGAAATTTAAATTTAGTTCATTTAAAAATAAATCCATTACACGTTAACATAAATTAACATTTTATGAAAAACATTTTTCAAAACAACAAAAAAAGTTTAATGAGAAAACCATGTTTTACATTTTCACAAATCTCTGTAATGTCTAGAGTGAATAAAAGAAGACATTTAAAGTCTCAGATCTGCTCCTGCATTCAATCTCTTGCAATATGGTTCGGGCTGAACCATATGAAGAGTATCTACTCACGGATATCTACCTGGAAAGGGCAAGAATAACTTAATATCCTTTCAGCCAATTGTGGGTTTTCTTTGAATACTACACCAAACTTAACAGGTGGCAGTTTCTTCAAGTTCAGTCCAAATGTGGAATCTGACACTACCTGTAAACTTTCTATACTGTTATTGGTCTATCTCGCACTTTGAATGGATCTTTTACTCATGCATGATTTTATAATATAATGAGTTGGTCATCTGAAAACTGCCGGTTCACTGAACTATCATACAGATCTTCCAAGTGTTAGCACATTACATTAAAATACAGTATCAAAAAAGCTTTGTTAGTATCACTATCCATCTCATCAGAAAAATATTAAGAAGGTATCAAGCTCATAATAGATTTGAGTTTTCTAAAATTCTAATTTTCACTGGAAAGCACAAATTTTGTCATCTGCAGCAGCAAATGCTTTCCAGTTTTTTTCCTTCACATGACAGGCTCACTTCATTTTTTTTTTTTTTTTGAGGAAATATCTGTCACTTAAGTACATTAATCTCAAGACCACAGTTTATCATTCTTTCAAGTAAAAACAGTATTTGATGAAAATAGCATCTAGTTCAGCTTGCAACTCACAGAACTGCATAACTGAGGGAAAAAAGTGGTTTTTTAAAGACAATTCTTATTTTGATATGCAGCAAAAATGCTTTATTAAGGCATACTTCCCATTTCATCATAAATACTACTACAAAGATATGCAGTAGGAACTACAAACCAAAACCATAAAAAGATACCACTTCACACCCACTAGGATGGCTGTAATCAGAAAGATGGGCAATAATAAGGTTGGTGGCGCTAGAGAGAAATTGGGACTCTCAACACATTGCTGATGAGAATGTAAAACGGTATGGTCTCTTTGGAAAACCGGTTAAACCCAATTGCCATATAACCCAGCAATCCAGTCCCAGGTACATACCCAAAAGAAAACATTTCCACACAAAATACTACCTACACAAATGTTCACAGCAGCAATATTCATAATAGCCAAAAAGTGTAAACAACCTAAATGTCCACCAGTAGATAAATAAAATGTGGTATATCCATACAGTGGAACAGTATTCAGCCATATATAAAGAAATGAGGTAATGACACATACCATGACACAGATGAACCTTGAAAACATCATGCTAAATGAAAGAAACCAAACACCAAAGGCCACATATTGTACAATTACACTGATACGAAATAACTGGCAAATCTGAAGGGACAGAAAGTAGCATAGTGGTTGTCAGGGTCTGAGGGGAAGTGAATGATGAGTGACTGCTAAAGGGTATGGGTTTCCTTTTGAGGTAATAAAAATGCTCTGAAATTAGATAGTGATGATGGTTGTACAACTCTATGACCATAGTTACAACCAGTGAATTGTATAAAGAGTGAGTTTTACGGTATGTGAGTTATATCCCAATAAAGCTATTATTTTTTAAAAGACATGCAGCCCTCAAGGGTCAAGATTTAGTAAATATCTTTTCTTACTGGTTCATCGAGGTCATTCTTGAGTGAAACTGGGATTTTTCTTTAACTGCAAGTGCATGGTCATGAAGAATACAGCAACAACTATTACAGTTTGCTGTCACTGCCTTGATTTATGCTAAGACACAAGCAGTTTTATCCACCACCACTGAAAGTGTCAACACAGAGAACAAGGCAAACAATTTCTTAGTGCAGCTTGATGTGAAGGACCTCTGAGAGGGTCTCAGGGATATCCAATGGTCCACAGATCACATTTTAAGAACTACTGTTCTAGGCCAGGAGCAGAGCGGTGGCTCACGCCTGTAATCCCAGCACTTTGGGAGACCCACACCTGTAATCCCAGAACTTTGGGAGGCCCACACCTGTAATCCCAGCACTTTGGGAGGCCAAGACAGGCAGATCACTTGAGGTCAGGAGTTTGTGACCAGCCTGGCCAACATCTTTACTAAACCTCATCTTTACTAAAAATACAAAAATTAGCCGGATGTGGTGGTGTGCACCTGTAATCCCAGTTATTCAGGAGCTAATCCCAGTTACTCGAGAGGCTGAGGCACGAGAATTGCTTGAACCCAGAAGGCAGAGGTTGCAGTGAACCAAGATCACACCACTGCACTCCAGCCTGTGTGACAGAGCGAGACTCCATCTCAAAAAACAAAACAAAACAAAAAAAAAAACAACTACTGCTCTAAACCAGTTTCAGAAATCCTAATCCCAACCCCTAAAAAAAAATAATCACAGCTTCAGAAGGCTTAAATGCAATTAAAGGATTTCCAAATACGGATCTGAGGTTCTAAGACCATTTCAATTTTCTAAGCATGTATCACAAATTTATCAAAAGAAAAAAGGTAATCTTTAAATGGTGATGGGAGTTATGTCAATCAGTTCAGTTAAAGTGTCCCAATTTAAGAGTTTAGAATCACTGACCTGGTGAAAGAATGTTAGTAGTACAATCTCCACAGAAATCCAAATACAAAACAGAATTAAAGTAATAAAGTTCAGGATTTACTGCACAACAAAACATTCAATCAAATGTTATCTAGACAGACAACATTAATAGGGTAAAAATGACACTATCTCTTTTTAAACTTTATTATTTAATTCTTACACAACATTCAAAGAGCAGACTTCAGAAATGTCTACCCATACTATTGACAACTATTTCTAGCACAGCTAAGTTTAATGCCCACTATCACAGAATCAAAGAATTTTTGGTCTGGAAGGTCACCTAGACAGTTACCTAGTCCAACACCTCCATTTTACACAACAAGGAAACTGAGTTTGCGAAAGAAAAATAACTTGGTCAAAATCACACACCTAGCAAGTGGCTGAGGCATATTTACTCCCTGTACCATGTTTTCACTATACCAACCTGACTCCTCAACCAAATATAATGCATAAAAATTTTAATTCACATCACACTAAGGCCAACCAAGACACCCTACCTGCCAAATAAAAATTTTATAATGCCTGACAATATCAATCAGATGTCAAAACAAATATAAAATTAAGAAAAAACTATAAATGTTAATTGGCATAATAGAAACATGAATCCCTAACTTCAAAAACTACAAACTTTCAAAGAATAATTTGGAAGATACTTTGATGTCTACTTTCATACAAACATATTTTCATACAAACATTGATCATTAATTCTAATGTGAGTCTGATGCTGATAAATACCTAAAGCAAAAAATTTCCCTCTATGTATTATCACTGAACTTATTTATGGCATGACATAACTTAAGACTCACCTGCAGGACTGTCAGCATTCTCTCCTGGATGTAGCTGTATACCAGCAGAATCTATAGAGTTCACTGTAACTGTTTGTAGATTTGGCAACTGACCAGTGCTTAGACTAACTGGAGTTGAAGTGAAGGCTCCACCTGCCGCAACTTGACCAAGTGTGAGGGTTTGAACAGGCGTCAAAGTTATTTGTTGGGCAGCAGTATTCTGTATTTGCAAATTCTGCAAGTTCTGGACCCCTTGTACTTGAAACGTTTGCCAAGTTACCTGTCCAGAAGGGGTCACTGTCTGTGCCTGAATTAAAAAGGTTCCAGGATTCAGCTGCAACTGAAGATTTTGCAAAGCCTGTTGTGATATATTTTGACCACTGGCTTGCACACCATGGATTGTCTGTGGTGTAATACCTTGCACAATTTGGGCTTGACTGGTTGGCTGCTGAGACTCTTGAAGTTGTAGATGCTGTACAACAGGCTGTGCTGTAGAAACCTGAATATTCTGTGCCTGTGTCTCTTCAGAAACAGGCGACTGGATATAATTTCCCTGAAGATCTGAAGAATGAACCTGCCCACTAGATGTAGTCAAGCTATTTGTGTTTTGTTGTAATATACCTGTACTATCTATCGTAACAGGCAACTGTGATGAAGAGGATGTTGGCACAAATAAATCTGTATCAGTATTAGTTTCATTAATATCAGGAGAAACCCGCTCACCAGTCCTTTCTGAATTGTCTGAACTATCCATAGCTTGTCCTGTGTTTATCAAATGTCCGTCGGCATTAATGCCTGCAGTCATTGTCTGAGAACTGCCCGAGAGTCCCAAAGAATCTAGATCGACACTATTGATTGGTACAAACGTAATATTTCCTGGCAGACCAAGAGGCACATTAGCAACTACTTGGGTTTGACCAGGAAAAGATGAACCACCAATTGCAACTCCCTGAACCTGGACTTGACCAGTCTGTGGTATGAGATTCTGGATGTTAGCAGAAGGTGTTCCAGAGGCAAGTAAGGTTTGATTAGAGCCAGGAATGATCTGAATTTGACTGCTTTCTTGATTTATACCCCCATTATCTGAAGAGCCTGTGAAACCAATTTGAACCTGCTGACCATCTGCTGACTGGATCTGTGGTATCACTTGATATTGAACACTGGACACTGTACCATTTGATGAATCTGATCCTGGTGCAACGGAAAATATTTGTTGATTCTGCAAATTCTGAAGGGGAAGAACATACTGCCCACTTGAAGTAGCAGCACTTGGAATCTGGACTAGATTACCAGCTTCATCTTTTATAGTTGTAGGTGTGGCTGACAAAACCTCCCATCGGTTTGGTGCTCCTCCTAACTGTGCAGAAGCCAAATCACCTGTCTGGATGAAGAAAACAAAAAGGTGATATATTTGTGGTATATTTAAATCAACCCTCAAAAAATTCTAAAAACTGGTATAAATCCTACTACCTGAAAATTCAACTTATCTTAAAACACAATGGAGTTCAAATACAGGAGCAGTACTATATGAACTACAATAATTATCACTTCCAGTTTTGTTACTGCAAAGACAATTCATCCTATTTGAGTGGGATAAAAAAAATTCTCGGAATGTTCATCACAACCACAGACCAATTTTCTAATCCTGCATCTATGATCTCTAACACTACACAGTTAAAACACAAAACAAAACAGTGGAGATGGCTATGACCAAATCAGGTGCATTATATTTGTGTATAAAAAGGAAACATAAGCATAGTGTATTAAGTCATCCGACTTAGAAAAGATTTATTGCTATAAGCCTAAAATCAAACAATGAAATCTACTCTTTTGTGGCATCTATTAACATACTCTAAAGTAAACTCATGGCTAGGGCTATTCCATTAAGCTATCAAACTCTACTTTTTCCATGAACTAATGAAAAACAAAGACCTTAAAAAAACTTAATGAGAAAAAGTCATTGCCCTGTGACCACATGACAACGTAGCCCCATTTGAAAGGTTTCTCTAGGATCAGAAGCTGGAGGATACACACTGTGACTTTACTTACTAGTCTAAGTTTTCAGTAGAATGTCTGGCATATACCTTTTGTATTCTGGTGTATTAATACAATTTGAGGGAGAGAAAGATAATCTAGGGTTTCATTATATTCTCAATGGGAATCTCAATGGGACCATAAAAATCAGTTGAGACATACACAGTTCTCTCAACATAAACCATTCTATAAAACTTAATGCAAATATGATAAACAAAAAAATCTTAAGTTTCTTAAAGAAACTCACTACCTAATTTTCATGAAGACATAGTTGAGAAATATATACAGTTATTTCAGTGGATGAACCACAGTTAAATGACTGAATTCAAACATTTGAACGTAATTTACCAAGATGAAATACACACGTGAGTAAACCCATGACATACAATCCCAATCTTCAAACGGTTCACTGTCAATCCAAGCAGACATACACACATCCATGCTAATACAATGTGAAAAGTAGCACAGACTAGTCATATGATCAAAACACTCTGTGGAAGACACAAGATTGAAAAAAAAGATTTCATACAGAGATAAAGTAGTATTAGAATATAAGATTTTCCTGTAGTCAGTTAAAAAAGAGGCACTAATAAAAGCATAGAAACAATAAAATCACAAAAAGAAACCCTAAATAATAATATGCAGTTTGGAGTTGAAGAAAAGATCCCAAAAAGGCTCATATTCATAGAGGAAAGTAATGGGGAACAGGACTAGATATTTTTATCAACGCTTGTAAATGGCTTCACAGATCCCACTAAATTGTTTAGACTTTATCCTGTAGATAGTGAGTGAAAGCTATAAAAGGTTTATAAGCAAGTGAGTGGTGCAATCACATCTGTGTCTTATAAAGATAAACTAAGGCTCAATGAAGGAGACTGAAAGAAAGGGAGGAGACTAAAGGCTGAGAAATTGTGGAACCCAATACAAATCTCTAGGCCTGAACTATAAAATAGCGATCTGTCTTAAATACACTTAAATTATATTTACTAAACAATTTTAAAATGAAGCATCAGACATTAAAGTCACATGTCACTCTGCAACTTCAATCTGGTATAGAAATTACAATGTTAAGTCACCTTTCCTAACATTACAGTGACAAATGTTTCATTTCGGTCTCTTGGCATTTTAAGTAAACTACAAATATTTAAATCTATATACTAAAATCTACACTAAAGTGTGTCTAAAATCTAACCTTTATCTTCTTAAGGTTATTGCTCACCTGGAGGATCCACTGAAATTTTTTCTGACCAGCATAAAATTTACAGGTATTGAACTTTTATCAAAGAATATAGTAACTCAGACACAAATTAATTTTATGATACTGGCATTTTGTCCCTTTTCCTTTCTTTAAAAAAAACAAAGTCAAATTTACAGCACCTAAAGTGTTTTTTTTTTTTTTTTACAAAATAGTAATAAAGGCAGATATTCAACCATCACTGAACAGCTTTCTAGTCAAGAAATTCCTTGAAAATAAATACAGCTAACGCAAATGACAAATCTGAGTAAATATTGCCCAAGTCATCCCCTCTCCAGAAGCTAGATAAAAATAAACTGTAGTGCCATTTTTCTCAGCAATTCAGGCCATTAATTGAAGGAAAATCTCTAAACCTAGAGCAAAGTGATGTATTCCGAACTTTTCTGAATAAGCCTGAAATGAAAAGCATTATTAAAATACCTGTGAAGCACAACGATGGGGGAAAAAAAAAAAAAGCAACAGGTAATTTAAGGAAAAGAATCAAGCAAGAAAAGGAACTTTTTTAATTTAATAAATTTGCAGTTTTAAAAAAATTTGCTGAATACCCTATTTTCTAAATGGAATGGAAAAAACACATTGAATCAGAAAACTACTAGATGATTTATGCCAAAACTACACTCGACAATATATTACACAAGAAAAAAAAAAAAGCTCAGAACTGAGTTCTAGTTCTGGCTACACTGTGGAATTGTGTGAGTTACAGCAACTCAATTTTCTCATGTCAACAACCGGAAAAACATTACCTTGCAGGGGCATAAGAATCAGAAGAAAAATATTAAATTTTATAAACTATTGAGCACTGTGCAATCCCAAGATCATTGTGAGTGCTAAGATTATGAGAATAGATTTGAAAAACATCCATTAAAATTAGCCTAGCACAATTCCTGGCACTCAGTAAGATCAATATATATTTACTGAATGAAAAGTTATTTTACTTTAAAATCATTGCAAACACAATGACAGAATGGATCAAAACAAATTTTGAGGTATTAAGAGCCTTCTATGAAAAAGTCTAAACCAATTTTAAGCCTATTTATTTCCACAATTCCACAATGAATCAGCTCCAAATATTTCAAAACTACAAAGCCTTGCAAAGCACAATCAAATTTCTTTGTAAAAGAAATTTCATCAGCAATATACCACTAAAAGAGATAAAGTACACTAAATACCAAATGGGAGAGGAATAAATTAGAAAATCATCTGAGACCAAAAAAAAAAAAAAGTTTGAAAAATGTTTGATGTTAGACTACTGGAAACACTACAGAAACAAAAGAATAAAAGGAGATTTAAAAACGTACAACCGTGACAGGGCCGGTGGCTCACGCCTGTAATCCTAGCACTGTGGGAGGCTGAGGCGGGCAGATCACTTGAGGTCAGGAGTTTGAGACCCGTCTGACCAACATGATGAAACCCCGCCTCTACTAAAAAGACAAAAATTAGCCGGGCATGGTGTACATCTGTAGTCCCAGCTACTCTGGGACTCTGGGGCTGTAGTCCCAGCTACTCTGGGGGCTGAGGCGGAAGAATGGCTTGGGCCTGGAAGGCGGAGATTGCAGTGAGCCGAGATTCCGCCACCGCACTCCAGCCTGAGTGACAGGGCGAGACTCAGTCTCAAAAAAATAAAAATAAAAATAAAAAAAATTAAAACAGGCAACCAAGACGAGAACTAGTATTTGGTTTAGAAGCAAGATAATCCTCTACATAACCTATGTCTACGTAAGTTTACAAACCAAATTAAAAATCCACCAGTGTTTCTCTCAGTACCTTTCTTACCGGACAATTAACAAACAAAACCTAGGCAGGTGGATCCTTTGAGTCTAGGAGTTCAAGACCAGCCTAGGCAACATGGCGAAGCCCCATCTCTACAAAAAATACAAAAATTAGCCAGGCGTGGTGGCACGTGCCTGTAGTCTCAGCTACTAGGGAGGCTGAGGTGGGAGGATCAACTGAGCCCCAGTGGTTGAGGCTGCAGTGAGTTGTAATCACACACCTCCATTCCAGCCTGGGAGACAAAGCGAGCCTTTCTCAAAAAACAAACAAAACACCATCTAACATGAATGTTGGCATTAGTACAGTAAAAAGTTGTAACTAAGGCACTCTAAGTCTCTCTACATACAAATATACCGGTGGAAACGGAAAAAGAAAAAATTCACACCACCTATTGCATAGCATTTGGAAATGATTATTAACTTAGTTCCCACGAATGCCTTTACGAAAGCCAGAAATAGGAAAGGAAGGAGTATAACTGGAAACAAGAACAGGTGTGAAGCTGAGGTGGAAACAAATTAAGAACTTAGGCAAATATTCAAGTTTCTTAAAATCTTCAAAGAGCACTAAAAGAACTCAGACTTCAAATAGAATTACCCTACCCAATGAATTAGTTACAATGACAGCACAGGTCTTATTTTAAATAATGGCAAAATAACTTTTTTGAAGTAAGCTATTACTTATTTTTTAGCTCAACATTTATGTGCCAAATTAAGGAACACTAAATTTACAACCTAAACCAAAGATCAAGCAATCACTTTCATAATAGTCACTTATTTTAGGCCAGGCGCAGTGGCTTACGCCTGTAATCCCAGCACTTTGGGAGGCCAAGGTGGGCAGATCATGAGGTCAGGAGATCGAGACCATCCTGGCTAACACGGTGAAACCCTGTCTCCACTAAAAATACAAAAAAAAAAAATTAGCCGGGCATGGTGGCACACGCCTGTCGTCCCAGTTACTCGGGAGGCTGAGGCAGGAGAATGCTGTGAACCCAGGAAGCAGAGCCTGCAGTGAGCCGAGATCGCGCCACTGCACTCCAGTCTGGGCGACAGAGTGAGACTCTGTCTCAAAAAAATAAAAATAAAAATAAAAGTCACTTATTTTATTCCACTAAAGTAAAAATGAAGTAAATTAATAATCCACAAGTTCACATAAATGCAAACTGGTCAAAGTTAATACTTGCACAAAGGTCTACTTTTTTCTATTTCCTGGTTTACTACTAAAATTAGCCACAACTTAAGTACAAAGGAGCGTTGCTATAAAACCATCTTTCAGAGTCCATGTTGTACGACATTATATACGAGACTGCTTTATGACTAGACTTCTTCAGCAATGTACTGTGGGTAACCAAACACCCTTGGCTAGGATCCTCTTTTATGACAAATTCCAAATTCAAAATCCAAATATTAAAAGCAATCTTCAGCACAGTTGATTGGCTTTTCAAGGCCCTTTTAATCTCAAAATACCAAGCTAAACTGGCATAAAGTTCATCTGTATGTGTATATTTCCACTTGTTTAAACACAACAATATATATGCAATGTGGAATCCTGGACTGGATCCCAGAAGAGAAAATGGACATTAGTGGAAAAGCTGGTGAAACGCAAACAAAGTCTGGTTAGTAATGTCATACCAATGTTCATGTCTTAATTTGGACAAATGTATCATCATTATCCTAACATTAGGGGAAGCTGGATGAAGGGTATGAGATTACTCAGTTCTGTATTTCCAACTTTTCTATAAATTTAAAATTATTCCAAAATACAATTATTTAAAAACACAGCTATAACCTCTCATAATTCCCAGTCATTTGAGTAATAAAAGATTATCTAAGCCCATGAACTCATGTGAATTTCCTTTTCTAAGATGTGCTGAAAAGATGTCTTAAGTTCATATTTGCACTGGAAAAATAAATTTTTAGCAAATTTTCTATTTGCTAAGGCAAATACACACAAGCCAGTCTTACCAATTTTACTCAAAGTGAAAAATCTTGGGTGCAGGTACCAGACATCATAAATATATGGTTTGGGTTTTTTTTTTTTTTTTTTTTTTTTTAGGCAAAACTATTTTCATTTTACTATGATTGGCAAATTATGATGTATTTGATTGATAAATCTCAGATTTATCAGATTGATTCTAGTTCGTCTTCATGTGGCAGAATATGTGTTGTCAGGAGTGATTTGGTAATTCAGAAAAGCAGCTGAAGAAGCATGGAAACTTCCCTACAAGTATATGGCCACAGCTGGCTAAGGTTGGAGACAGTATTCTATCCTTGGGCCTCAGACTCACATATGTATGTACATACACATATTATTCACCCATATTTCCTTCCTTCTCCCCTCCCCCATCTGTAAACTGATATCTAAACTTTACAAATTACAGTTACAAGAAAAGTTTTGTTCCATTTGAAATACAAAAAAGATCAGGAGAAGCAATCTGCTTTTTAATTTTACTTATGCAGTAGTTTTTTAAGATACAGTCAATTTGTTTTGGCACTTTGGAACTAGAGGGATACAGTTCATAAAAAAATCTACCAACTCTCAGCGAAGCTGAAATGAGGTGAACAGAAGGCGTACCAATCCATAAATGTATTTAAAAATAACAAAGCCTAATATAATTTTACATTTTTACATGTTAATCTGCTTATGAAAAAACAAGACATTAAAACTATTCACATCCCCTATAACGAAGCACTAAAATTACAAATTATTTACCAGTAATAGCTTAACATTGGTTTAACTTAAAAAAAAAAAATACCTGGACATACTAAGCATTTGTTGTAGACTATACCAAATACCAAACTTCTGTCTTCAGTGACTATTGAAAGTATCACTCCACAAATCAATTCCTATGATCCACCACACACACACACTCAAATGAGGGTTTTCATTATTTTAATAGGTGAACAAATCTACACAACAGTGATGACCCAAATGTAAAATTCACAATTAACAGTCTAAAAACTGTTCCTATCCTATTGGTATTAACCCCTCATATAACACAGGCGAGCTCCTCCCCTTGCCCAGACACTGAAAACACTACAGAAAGAATCCCACCATATCTTACCTGACTAGCAGTCGTAATAAAATGAAAACATACTTTTGCCAACCAAATTCAGCTATAAGTATTGTACTACTAGTATGCACGTAAATACAATTCCTTACACATACTTTTCTAACACTGTTATATTCAGTTTCAAAATCTAAAGTACTATCTAAGCAACTTGCTGATTTCAAAGGCTGCTAAATGTTTCATTTACCCCCCTTACAAAAAAAAAGTCACTGCAAATTTTAGTAGTCTGCAAAAACTAAAATTCAACGATTTTGAATGGTCAACTAAAAAAGCAGTCTTCACTCCTGCATACAAAAGGGTAATTCAAAGAATAAACCCTCATTTTTTTTAATAATGTATGATTTAAAGCAGTAAGATCCTGTAACGTCCAACAGAAAATGCTCCAGGTTCAAAAATAATAAAAACTAAAGACATTGCCTCTAGTTGATACTATCTATGGCCGATAGGCTGTGCTTGAAAATTTTGTAGTGTTAAGCGAAGGAGTTTTCAGCACTGATATGAATTGCTCAAACATCCATTTTGGAGTCCTCTACCCCCGCCCTCTCAGACTTCATTTTGTGAAGATTTTGCGCGAGGTGCTGCAGTGACAATTTCGAGAAAGCCTGGGCTGGCTTCAGATCCAAACCGGGATGCGAAAGAGCAGGAAAGGGCGCCCTGGAGCCCAGCGGCCCGTGCGGGTCGGGGGAAGCGCGGGCGCCGGGGAGGCCTTTTGGGCAGGCGCGCCACGGGTCCGGGATGGCGGGCGCCCGGCCTCGGCGGGGGCGGGCCGCGCGCGGGACTTACCGCTCCGGCGGCGGCGGGGGCCCCGGCTGCGGCGGCCGCCTCCTCCTCGTCGTCGCCCGGCGATGGCGGCCCTATCTTGCTGCAGGTAGCGGCCAGCAGAGCGAGCGGTGACGGCTGAGTGTCCTACCCCCAATGGGCGGGTTCAGAGAGGGAGACAGGGGGAGGGGGTGGCGGTTAGGGTCGGGCCGCCTTTCGCACAGGAAGTACGACTCGGTCCCCGCCGACTGCGCCCGGGCAAGCGCCAGCCCGCGCTCTCCTCCTCCTCCTCCTCCTCCTCCTGGTCCCGCCGCCAGCCCACGCCTGGCGTCCCCCGCTCCAAGCACCCCGGCTCCCCGGTCCGCGGGCAGGCGGGCGGCGGGCTGCGCGCCGGGCCTCCGCCTTCCGCCCGGAACCCACCCCCGGGAGGGCACGCTGGGGCCCACACTCACACGCGCACAAAAAGGCGGCAGGCGGGCGAGGCGGGGCGGCGCGGGCGGGGTCGGAGCGTTGGCGCCTCGGGCGGGCAGCTCCCGGGGCGGGGGGAGGGGAGTGGAGGGGAGGGGAGAGACGAGGAGGGAGGGGTGAGGCGAGGAGGGAGGGGAGAGGCGAGGGGAGGAGAAAGCGGCGCGAGGGGGGAGCCGGGCCGGGGTTCAGCCGCTCCTCACCTGGGCCGCCGCTGCCGCCGCCACCGCACCGTTTCCGTGCTGTTGCTGCTGCTGCAGATACTCGCCGTGGCCGCCGCCGCCGCCACCGCCGCCGCCGCTATCCACGTCCAAGGCAGCCATTTCCTCTTGTTTCACGGGCTTTTCGGGAGCTGCAGGCACAGCGCGGGGGGGTGGGGGTGGGGAGGAAGGCGGGTGGCGGAGAGGGAGGGGGCCCGCGGGCCGAAGCGAAATTACTCCCAAAGCCCGGACCCAGGCCCCTTCCCCTCCCCCACCCGCCCCCCGGCGGCGGCGGCGGCGGCGGCTCCCTCCTCCCCTCCTGCTGCTGCCCCCGCCCGCCGCTGCCTGTAACCCTCCTCCTCCTCCTCTTTCCCTCCTCCTCCTCCTCCCCGCGCTGCCCCTGCCCCCTCTCCTCTCCTCCCCTTTCCCTTCGCGCCGCTCGCTCTCACTCGCGCTCGCTCCTCTCGCACCGTCAGTCACTCACACACGCCCGCCCGCGCCCGCACACAGGGGGATGCGCTCCCGGCGGACCGGGCCGCCCGCCCCGGGGCCTGGCGGGGAGACGGCGTTGCTGGGGCTTCGGGGGTGGACGGTGGCTGGCGGGGAGGGGAGGGAGGCGCAGGGGAGTGCAGCTTTCTGCCTCTCACAGACACTCGGTCGCACACACGGGGCCGAGACCGGCGGCAGCGGCCCCGGGCTGGCTGTGGTCGGCGGCAGCGGCGGCGGCGGCAGCAGCAAGGGTTGCTCTCTCGGCTTTACGTACCGGTCATAGTGTGTTTAGGGCACCTCAGGCGGGGCTCCCCGCCGCCTTACACATGGTGAGGAGCGAAGGCGGCGGCGGCGGGAGAGGATGCGGGAAGCGGCGGCGGACACGGCCGGAGCGGTCCGGGGATTTTTTTTTCCTATTTTGATTGACTGTGCGGGAAACACAAAAGGTGGAGCCTCCAGCCCAAAAGGGGGGAAGAGGGTGACAGCCCGCCCGGAACTCCCGCCCCTCTTCTTGGCTCTCATTCGCCGCCGTGCTCTTTGTCGGCTGTGCTCATTGGTCCAGGCGCCTGTCCGTCGGTCTGCCAGGCGGCGCGCTTCCTGTTTGCCCCCGGGTGGAAGGGGAGAGACAATGAGCGGCCGTGGCAGCGTAGGTTTTCGAGAGCGGCTACGGCTCGCCGGTTACCCCGCTGTGCCCGCCTCCCTCGCCGGCTGCCGCTGCCAGGCCCGAGGCGCAGGCCTCCTCCACCTTGCAGGCGCTCGGAGCAGGCCTAGCCAAGCTGTAGGGGAGCTGAGCTGGGGAGGAAATTCGTCCCCGGTGACTCCTGCTCCACTGGACGCTTCCTCCATCCCGGCAGCAGTCTTGGCCGGATCTCCCCAGGGCCTCGCGCTCTTGGAGCCGCCGCTTCCCTGCGCTGCCAGGAGGCCACCGCTGCTCAGCCCCGGGGCTGCTGCTGCGGCCGCTGCCGCTACTGAGCAAACCAGACCCGCCCCACGAGCCCGGGGGGAGGGAGCTGGTATTAGGGGAGACACCCCCTCCGAGGCTGGAGGAGGATTTTTCTCTCTCACATCCAGCTTCCTGATTCAGTCACAGCCATCTCGCTCCCAGCCCCCTTAGCCCCAGTTTTCCAACCGGTCTCCCACTTTCACGTACCCTGAAGGCAGGCATTTAAAGCAAAAAAGAAATCTCAAGTCACCTCACATACGGAAGGAGAGTTTTAATTTTGGCCAGTGGCACCAAAACGGGCACTTAAAAGTATATTTCATTTTACTTGTGGTATGTGTATGTATTCAGTGGGGCAGAATTCTGTGTTTTAAAAAATCGGTCACATAACCATTTTGCTGCACAAACGTATTATTCCCGGCCTCTTTATCCTCTTGGTACCAAGTCAGATATCTCCTGAAATAAGCCCATCAACCACTGCCAACGTTTTTTAAAGTCGTGAACCGGTGAACTACCTTTTTTCCCCCATTGGAACATTTTTGTTGTATTTTAAAATCTTGTTTCTCTTACTGGATTAGGTTAACACTCCTTCCTTCTTTGGCATCCTTGGTATCTTGCTGTCATCCTGGGGGAAAATGCTCAGGTTTTAAGTGTGTGTTTTGCCAACTAAGAGACATCTCTCCCTGTTACCTTCAAGTATAGTTGCCAAGAAAGAAGTTAAATTCAAGAGGTGGAAACACTGTCCACAATACCTGTTTTTTAGAAATCTGGCTCAAGATTCAGTTTTCCCATTACTGTGATTATTATATTTTGTGTGATATGTGATGTGCTGGTGGATGAGGTTGTGAAGTCCAAGCACTTTAACCAGATTTTGTGTGTCCTAACTTAATAGGTAATCCATTTGTGAGATACTGAGTTTACATCCCAGTTCCAAAGCACTTAACCGCCTATGCTGACAGGATCAGAAACATTGTATGGTTACTTTGCTCTTAATTGTACAAAGATCAAATTTCCAGGGAATTAACCTAAAAACCACAAACATGCGGAAACGAGACTCAAAATTCTGAGTCCAAGAATAGGGTTCATCTCTTCTAATAGTCCTTGTAGTCTCATATTTAAGTGGAAAAGTCACTTTCAAAGTTGAGTCGTATAACCTATGTACTATTTTACAACAAAAACTTTTAAGGAAATAAAAGTCACAAAATAACCTGATTTGGGGTGGGGAAAATGGAAAAAGAGATGGGTGCCTTGAAGAGCGGGACAGGTGAAAATAAGTGGACTGGGAGGGAGGAAGGGAAGTCACTATTATCACTCTGTTCCTACCCGGATCTCTTGGGTGGAAGGTAGCTCTTTCCCTAGAAAGGATATTTCAGGCATTTTCAGTTTTGTTTTGTTTTTTTTTTCAGGAGTGGGGATATGTTCTACGCTATCGCCATACCCTTTTTGCAAAGTGTTAGTCCAGCCACCTTGAGAGCAAAGTACTTGGCCACAGGAGTTAAATTCGTTTCTTCATTGATACCAATTGGCAAATGATATGAGACATGAATTGTCTTTTTTCTTTCTTTTTTGGGGGGTGGGGACGGCACGTCCGCAGACCATTTTGACAAGCAAAAAAAACACTTCTGAAAAAGAAAAAAATAGCCTAGCTGAGCGTGGTGGCTCACACCTGTAATCCCAGCACTTTGGGAGGCCAAGGCAGGCAGATCACTTGAGGTCAGAAGTTCGAGACCAGCCTGATTGCCATGGTGAAACCCCATCTCTACTTGAAATACAAAAATTAGCCAGGCTTGGTGGCGCACACGTGTAATCCCAGCTACTCAGGAGACTGAGACGGGAGAATCACTTGAACCTGGGAGGTGGAGGTTGCAGTGAGCCGAGATGGCACCACTGCGCTCCAGCAAGACTGAGACTGTCCCAAAAAAAAAAACCTACCTGAACTAACTATACTGCTTTTGATGCGATGCTTTTAAGAGATACATATGGAGGTAGGGTGACAGAGGTTGGTTAATTGGTACAAACATACAGTTAGATAGAAGGAATAAGTTCTAGTGTTCAATAGCACAGTAGGGTGACTATAGTAAATAGCAATATATTTTATATTCCAAAATAACTGGAAGGGAAGATTTGAAATGTTCCCAACACAAGAAATGACAAATGTTCAAGGTGACAGGGGAGAGGGGGCGGAAAAAAAATGTCCAAAGTGATAGATACCCTAAACACTCTGATTTGATCATTACAACACTGTATGCATGTATCAAAATACCACATGTACCCCATAAATATGTACAAATATGTATCCGTTTTTTAAATTTTTTAACAAAAGATGCATATACCAAAAGCATCACTCACTACTTTAGTCAGATTCAGAGAACCCTCTTAGACCACACTTGAGTTATTGTCATGGAATAGCTTTTTAAAATGGCTGGAAATGAAGATAGTCTCTTGAAAGAACACCTTTTCCTACCTATTTCAGTATTGTAGTCAAATCTTGAAATACAAATTTTTTTTTTCAATGGCATGGTCTCGGCTCACTGCAACCTCCGCCTCCCGGCTTCAAGTGATTCTCCTGCCTCAGCCTCCCCAGTAGCTGGGATCACGTAGCGCCCGCCAGCATGCCTGGCTAAGTTTTGTATTTTTAGTAAAGACAGGGTTTCACCATGTTGGCCAGGCTGGTCTTGAACTGCCGACCTTGTGATCCGCCCGCCTCTGCCTCCTAAAGTGCTGGGATTACAGGCATGAGCCCGGCCGAAATACAATTTAATTAAAATACTTATTTTCTTATTAGAAAGCTGCCTCTCAATGGCACCTACTGCTACATTTACATAGTAACCCAAAATTGCAGTTGCTTAGCAGGGAGAGAATCACAGTGCTGGATATTATTTATACTTTTTCTTCCAAAACGATTTGAGGAAGTACTGTGCTGGCCATTGTTTACATCATATTAGGAGATCTGGATGTCACTTTCTTTTCCCATATCCTCGATTTCCTCACTTTTTAAAATGTCATGTGTTTTTGTAAGTTTTCTTAAATCCTTTGGAAATGTGATGACGGTGAAAAATCCCTGAAGGCTTCTATACACCTGTTGGCATGGAATATTTTGCAACCCGTTTCTTCCCTACAAACAGAAGAGACAACTAAATACGGTTTGATCTACATCTGCAAGAGCCTAGCCATTCAGTATTAAAAAGTGATGGCCCTGGTTGACGGTACCACACCTGAAGACCTATGCCCTTTCCTTCACACTCCCTACTTCTGCATTTCTTCCCTCCTGAACGTCTATCAAGTGGACCATATGAAATTGCCAGTATTCAACTGTTTTTTATCTTAAAAGGTGACAATTCTATATCATTCAACCTAAATTAATGTCTCAAGAACATAACCTTTGTTTCTATTATTGTGACCTTACTTTTAACCATCCTAGAGCTCTTTAACCTGTTCACACTGGATTTCAAGGATCTTAAGTTGTTCTACTACATAATCACTATCACACTTCAGAAACATTTTAGTTTACATTAAATACACTTAACCCCCTCATATTTCATCTCTTCCTTTCTCAAAAATAGTAATAAATAACCTCAAGCCATTAAAGTGTGATGTCCTTAAATGAGGAGCAACAACCTTCAGCATGGAGTGTATTCATACTTTATGATTCAATTAGATAATAGAATTTGTTTATTTTCTTTGGTCATATAAACCAGACATAAACAACAACTAATCTCAAAAGAGTCAATGATACCCAAAGCCTAGTTAGAGAAGGTAAGAGAAAGGGGAAAAAAAAAATGATGTGGTTAGGAGAAGGTTGGATAGAACTGTAGAAAATATTGAAGGCAGCTTTTACCTGCTTTAAGGAACAGAATTTTTCGAGTTCCCCCTAAAATGGCTGAGTGCTGCACCATGTCATCACTCCATTCCAACCAAACAGCTGGAATAAAAAATGCAATTATACACACACATATATATGTATAATCTATACACACATAAGTATATATGTATAATATATGCATTAATATATAAACAGAACAATCCATAATTAATTAAAAGAGATGACCATCATGGATAAATCTCAATACTGTGTGAAAAAAGCCTGGTTATAGAAGAATAAATGTTATGCTACTACTGTATTTATATAAAGTTTTTAAATGTACCAAATTATATTCTATACTATATATGGATATATACATATGTAGTAACACTGTAATTGCAAAGGAATGGTGTGCTAAATTTAAAACGGTGATTACCCTTGGTATGAAGAGGAGAATGGCATTTGAATGAGTTTCCCATGGGCTTTGTTTACATTTGCAAATTTAACTTAAGCTAGGCTGAGTGTATTATTATTGTATTCTCTATATTGTTCTCCTTGCCTGAAATACTATGAGCATTATTTTAAACTAGAAAAAAAAAAAAGTAACTGATAGGAGAAGTACTGCAGTAAGTATGCCCAGGTAACTGATCAAAGGGCTGGAGGCAAAAGAGAATGATTCAAATATACTAAGTTTCCCAGCTTTTAGTAACTGGAAAGATGAACTGAAGTAAAGGATCTTAAAAGGGCATGAGTAAGTGGTGGGCCATTATGAGTTTGTTCTTAGATGTGCTGAGCTGGAGGTGCTAGCAGGACTTCCATGAGATGGATAGCCAACAGACTGTTGTCAAATTGAGTTTAGAGCCACAGAGAGAAGCAAGGGCAGGCTTGGGTTTGGGGACTCTTACCATCTTCACAGGCCTTTGTCCATTTGTCTTCAAACATAGCTATGTTTGAAGATAAACATTCCTTCCTATCTTTAAAAATCCTCCATGTGACTGTGGTTGTCCCTAGCTACTATCTTTTTTCTTTCCTCCCTTTCCTTGTCCAAAGTCTCAGTAACTTGCTGTCTTCCTACTGCCTTCCTAATATAATTCTACACCCAATTTCAGCATTTGACACTGTAAATATTTCCTTCTTAACACTCTCCCCTCCCTTGAACATTATCAGCTTTCTGGTTTTCTCTCAAATATATATTTCTCTGTATCTTTACAGTGCAGTCCCATAAAAAGCTACCTGTGGTGATGGAAATATTCTTTGTGTGCACTGCCTATTACCATAGCCACTAACCACATGTGACCATTAGGAACTTGGAAATGTGGCTAGTATGACTGAAGAACTGAAGGTTTTTTTATTTTAATTAAAGTTAAATGTGAATGGCCACATGTGGCTAGTGGCTATCAGACAGTGCTGCTTTAGGGTTTCTTTTGTTTTTGGTTCCCCGAGCTTTTCTTCAGAAGCTGGAAACACAGCATTCTGCAATGTCAGCCCTCATCTCCAAACTCACTCCCAAATCTCTATCTCCTGTCACCTGAGTTCTTGTTCTATATCCTTTTTTTTTTTTTTAAAGACAAAATTTCACTCTTGTCGCCCAGGGTGGAGTGCACTGGCATGATCTCAGCTCACTGCAACCTCCACCTCCTGGGTTCAAGCGATTCTCCTGCCTCAGCCTCCGGAGTAGCTGGGACCACAGGTGCACGCCACCATGCCCAGCTAATTTTTTTTGCATTTTTAGTAGAGACGGGGTTTCGTCATGTTGCCTAGGCTGGTCTCAAACTCCTGACTGCAAATGATCCACCCGCCTCGGCCTCCCAAAGTGCTGGGATTACAGGTGTGAGCCGCTGCACCCGGCCATGTTCTATATGTTTAAGCACTGTGAATTCCTCTTGAATGTCTCACTTTCACCTCAAACTCAGAATGTTCAAAACTAAACTCATAACTTTCTCTACACAACCAGCTCCTCCTCCCCTCTGATGCTTCTGTCTGTGACAGTGAGGCCATCATTCTCTCAGAAGCCCATACGGGAAATTACCTTTGACACATCTCCTCCCTTCCCTCTCCCATAGGCAGCCACTTACCAGATGCTGCCTGCCAAGTTTTCCTGCAGACACTCTCAGCTACCTGTTCATTGAAATCACATTTATTGAACCCTGCTCTACAAGATGCTGCATGGTCCCTATCCTCAAGGAGTGGATATCCAGTTAAGAAACAAAATATAGGGCTGGGCACGGTGGCTCACACCGGTAATCCCAGCACCTTGGGAGGCCAAGGCGGGTGGATTGGGAGGCCGAGGCAGATGGATCACGAGGTCAAGAGATGGAGACCGTATTGGCTAACACAGTGAAACCCCGTCTCTACTAAAAATACAAAAAAATTAGCTGGGCATGGTGGCGGGCACCTGTAGTCCCAGCTACTCAGGAGGCTGAGGCAGGAGAATGGCATGAACCTGGGAGGCGGAGCCTACAGTGAGCCGAGATCGTGTCACTGCACTCCAGCCTGGGCGACAGAGAGAGACTCAAAAAAAAAAAAAAGAAAATATAGGCCAGGCACAGTGATGCATGCCTCCCAGCACTTTGGGAGGCAAAGGCAGGAGGAACACTTGAGCCCAGGAGTTCAAGGCTAGCCTAGGCAACATACTGAGACCTCAACTCTACAAAATTTTTTTTTTAATTAGCCAGACATGGGGGTGCATGCCTGCAGTCCTAGCTACTTGGGAGGCTGCGATGGGAGGATTCCTTGAGCTCAGGAGGTCAAGGCTGCAGTGAGCCATGATTGCACCACTGCCCTCCATCCTGGGCCACAGAGCAAGTAGCAAAATGTAAACATACACAAATTCAAATAATAGAGAAGAGAAATAACAAAGCCTACAATACATCAGATGCTTTGCCAAAGGACTGCCTTCCGAATTCAGAAATCACTGGGGGGTCAGTCAGCTCCTTCTGGAAGGGATCAAAGCATGCTTTGCCCTGGCCCACTTCTGCTGCCCTAGACAGGCCTCCAGACTTTCCTGCTCCTTTCTGTTCTATATCTACCATCAAATTAATCTTCCTTAACCTGGCTCAAAAAACCTGAGTGATTCAAATGATCTAATGCATATCAGGTCATCTCTCCCAACTCCTCACTGTCCTGTAGTCACTCTAACCACAAAGTTTACTGGCCCTCTGCCACCAGGATTTTCCTTCTCCCCTCCCCATGCTTCAGTTCAAGTCTTAACCTCTTTCCATAAAGCCACTGCTGGCCAGGCGTGGTGGCTCACACCTATAATCTCAACACTTTGGAATTCAAGACCGGCCTTAGCATCGTGGCAAAACCCCATCTCTACAAAAAAATGCAAAAATTAGCTGGGCATAGTGGTGTGCACCTGTAGTCCCAGCTACTCTGGAGGTTAAGGCAGGAGGATCAACTGAGCCCAGGGAGGTCAAGGCTGCAGTGAGCTTTGATTGTGCCACTGCACCCCAGCCTTGGTGACAGAGACCGTGTCTCAAAAATAAAAATTTAAAAAGCCACTGCTTCCAGCTATTGGTCATTCCCTCATCTCTAACTTTCCATTAACCTTAGAGTATACCCCTTAATATTACTCTTAATTCATGATTTAGTATTGTCACCATGATTTAAATGATAAGCACTTTGTGCACAAGCATTATCTTACTCTTTCTATGGTTCTTAAGCAGTGATTTCCAAGGAAGGAGAGGTATCATTTGAAAACAAAACAGCTCTTTGTCCCATAGGGATGTTTTTAAAAGCTATAACACTTAACTTACTGGAATTTCAAATATTAAAGGAAAATGTGAGACTTTTATGTTTTATCAAAAGAGGCATGTTGTATAATGAAAGAGTTAGGAGACAATTTTTCAGTGTTGAGCAAATAGAAGATAATTAATAGATATCTGTTGAACAATACATTGATTTCAACAAGCCATGAATTTGGATTCTTTTAGGATTAAACATTCAGACTTCTTATTTTAATGGAGAAACTGTTAGTAATATGACCTGCTGATTATAAAGGGGCCAAAAAACTGGTACTCACCAGCTGAACCAACTATTAAAAACGTAAGGATATGTTTGAATGTTTTTGTTATGAACCATTTGATATATAAAATGTGCGCAATGTATACATAAATTATAAAACAATAATAGATGGTGAAGTCACCTAATTTAAGAGATTTCTGGAACTGATTAACACCTATAATTTTTTTTTTTTTTTTGAGACGGAGTTTCACTCTTGTTGCCCAGGCTAGAGTGCAATGGTACAATCTTGGCTCACCACAACCTCTGCCTCCCGGGTTCAAGCGATTCTCCTGCCTCAGCCTCCCGAGTAGCTGGGATTACAGGCATGCGCCACCACACCCGACTAATTTTGTATTTTTAGTAGAGACAGGGTTTCTCCATGTTGGTTAGGCTGGTTTCAAACTCCCGACCTCAGGTGATCTGCCCACCTCAGCCTCCCAAAGTGCTGGGATTACAGGTGTGAGCCACCGCACCTGGCCAACACCCATAATTTAAAGGTTCTGTTACCTTTAACAGCAAATGACTTTATTTTTGCTCTAATTACATATATTTCACTGAGTTATTTTCTTAGTCTAGTATATTAAAACTGTGGCATTTCTTGGCCAGGCGCGGTGGCTCACGCCTGTAATCTCAGCACTTTGGAAGGCTGAGGTGGGTGAATCACCTGATGTCAGGGGTTCAAGACCAGCCTTACCAACGTGGTGAAACCCTGTCTCTACGGAAAATACAAAAGTGAGCCAGGTGTGGTGGTGTGCGCCTGTAATCTCAGCTACTCGGGAGGCTGAGGCAGGAGAATTGCTCAAACCTGGGAGGTGGAGGTTGCAGTGAGCCAAGATCACCCCATTGCATTCCAGCCTGGGCAACAAGAGTGAAACTCCGTCTCAAAAAAAAAGCATTTCTTTAAATTCTATAGTCAATATTCCTGTCTTACTCATTGCATTGGAATTATTTTGTTTCTGGCATGCTTGCTAACTCATGAGTTTGTACTTTTTTACTCTATTTTGAATATTCTGATTTCACATTACTGAGATAATCTTTCTTTCTTTCTTTCTTTTTTTTGAGACAAGGTCTCACTGTGTCTCCCAGGCTAGAGTGCAGTGGTGCCATCTTGGCTCACTGCAACCTCCACCTCCTAATCTCAAGCGATCCTCCTTCTTCAGCCCCCCAAGTAGCTGGGACTACAAGCATGAGCCACCATATCCGGCTAATTTTTGTATTTTTTGTAGAGATGGGGTTTCACCACATCGTTGCTCAGGCTGGTCTCGAACTTCTGAGCTCAAGCAATCCACCTGCCTCCACCTCCCAAAGTGTTAGGATTACAGACGTAAGCCACCGAGCCCAGCCTACCATGAGATAATCTTTCTACTTCATATTTCCTCCACACTGAATTGAATAAGCCACTTATCTGCTTATGTCCCTAGTCTACTCAAGTCATTTCATTCCTTCTTTGTATTGACTGACCCTCCCTCTAGTTTTGTATAACAAGCTTACTGCATGTTACTTCTTCCAAATCACTGACATATAAAAATGAACAAAGTTGGTCCTAATATTGATCCCTGGAGCGTTGTAACCCATCCATTCCAAACTATTCCACACTTTGATATCAAAGTCATTGTTTACTTAAGTAGTTCATCCCTATACTACTTATCTAACTTCTAGATTAGTTGTTTGTCTGGTATTCTTTTCATGGTATTTTATCCTAAAATACAAGTAATTGGTTCATGGCTTCCCTCAGCTGATATTTGTTATTAGACCCAGAAGTTATTTCATATCACTGAGGCAGATAAGATGTGAATCCATGCTGACTCTTTTTAAATTAAATCATAACTTTCTGATATTTCCATTTGCTGATTTCCTACAAAATTTACCAATGTCATCTTCTCTACAGAATTTAATACTTCTGAATCTCATGCTCAAGAGAAAAAGGGATATTTAGGGAATGAACAATAATTTAATGAGGGTTTTACTTATTAAAACTGACATAGACCTAGTCAAAGATAAAGTATTTCAAGTCACTTTTCTCCTTATTGATGAATTTAAACATCTATTAAGAATCAAGAAGCAGGCTAAGCATGGTGGCTCGTGTTTATAATCTCGGCACTTTGAGAGGCTGAAATGGGTGGATCATTTGAGTCTAGGAATTCATGACCAGCCTGGACAACATAGGGAGATGCTGTCTCTACAAAAAATAAAAAATTAGCTGGGTGTGGTTGCACCCGTGGTGGCATGCACCTGTGATCCTAGCTACTCTCGATGCTGAGGTAGGAGGATTGCTTGAGTCCAGGAGGTTAAGACTGCAGCAAGCCGTGATCGAACCACTGCACTCCAGCCTGGTCAACAGAGCAAGACCTTGTCTCAAAAAACAAACCAAAAAAAAAAAAATCAAGAAGAAACTATTCGCATTACAATAGTGAAAATGTATCAGAGTAGTCAAAATTCACAGAACTGTATACCTAAATAGGGTGAATTTTACTATATGTAAATTATACCTTATTTTATAAATAGAAAAAAGTAAATAGAATCTTCATTTTATGTTTGTTTTGTTTTTTTTTGAGACAGTGTCTCACTTTGTCACCCAGGCTGGAGTGAAGTGGCGCCATCTTGGCTCACTGCAACCTCTGCCTCCAGGGTTCAAGTGTTTCTCCTGCCTCAGCCTCCAGAGTAGCTGGGATTACAGGCACCCGCTACCACGCCCGGCTAATTTTTGTATTTTTAGTAGAGATGGGGTTTTGCCACGTTGGCCAGGCTGGTCTAGAACTCCTGACCTCAGGTAATCCAGCCACCTTGGCCTCCCAAAGTGCTGGGATTACAGGTGTGAGCCACCACGCCTAGCCAGAAGCTTCATTTAAAAAAAAAAAAAAAAAAAACTAGTAAATACGGAAAGTGAAACTCTGTGAGAATAGCACAGGGGATGGTTCAGGCTCCTATACCTGGGGGGTTTAACATAGACTAATTTAATTGTGGAAACTTTTTTGAAGAGGAGATGGAAGTATATGAAAAAAGGCTTAGAAATGAATATTTTGAAAGAAAGAAATCCATGGATAAACAGTGGAATGGCAAGAAATGCACATGTTAGGCCTAGGCCGGGCGCAGTGGCTGACACCTGTAATCCCAGCACTTTGGGAGGCCAAGGTGGGCGGATCACCTGAGGTCAGGAGTTCCAGACCAGCCTGGCCAACATGATGAAACCCTGTCTCTACTAAAAATACAAAAATTAGTCAGGTGTGGTGGTGCATGCCTGTAATCCCAGCTACTTGGGAGGCTGAGGCAGAAGAATCGCTTAAACCCAGGAGGCGGAGATTGCAGTGAGCCAAGATGACACCACTGCACTCCAGCCTGGATGACAGAGCGACACTCTGTCTCAAAAAAAAAAGAAAGAAAGAAAAGAAATGCACACTTTTAAAAGTGTGTTTAATGTATGCTAAAAGTAAATGCATAAAAAGGCCAAATGAATAAACCCACAGAGTTCCTCACAAACACATATATTTCTGCAAATATAACAGCAAGATTATAGAAAGAAAAATGGTATATATAAACACACACACACACATATATATATCTGTTTTGTACACTTGAAAGCAGGAACCATCAAAAAACTTTGCACCTAGTAGGACTTTAATAAATTATTTGACTAAAGTGATATTTAACTTCTTTAGGCCTATTATCTCATTATTAGTCAGCTATTCCTAACTTGTTTTTAATTTGTCTTATTATTTTTAATAAACTTTTTATTTTGGAATGCTTTTAGATTTACAAAAACAGTTACAAAGATAATATAGAATTCCCATATACCTCTAATCCAATTGTTAGATTAGAGCCAATCATTCCAGTTTGCACAGACTGTCCTGGTTTTAGCACTGAGAGTCCCACATCCCAAGAAACCCCTCTTCCACACAAACTGGAATGGTTAGTCACCCTACAATGTTAGTATCTTACCTTACCATGGTATATTTGTCAAAACTAAGAAACCAACAGAGTGCATTATTACTAAACTCCAGACTTCATTTGGATTTCATTAGTTTTTCCAGTAACATCCTTTTTCTATTATAGGATCTAATTCAGGATACCACATTCATGTGTTTAGTCGGCATGTCTTAGTGTTCTCTAGCCTGTGACTCTTTCTCAGTCTTTCCTTGTTTCTTATGACTTTAACTCTTTTAAGGAGTACAGTAGCCACCCTTATCTGTGAGGGCCATTCCAAGACCCCCAGTAGGTGCCTGAAACCTCAGCTAGTACTGAACCCAATTGCCATCAATCGGAACACGTTTTTGTTCATGTCTTCCACCCACAAACTTAATGCCTTTTGCATCTTAACTAGCATGTATCACGCACAGTGTCCATAAATTTTGCAATCTGAGGTGTGATGGCAAAACTAGCAGGAATTTCTTTTTCCTTCATCATAAGTTCACAGATAGAAGGTTTGTTCTTGTCTTAGATCTCAGCAACCCCAGCATATGATTTTTTTTCTTTTTCTGTTGAGTTGAGAAGGTTCACCTTTTCATTTAAAGAAGGCACTTTATGGCTTCTCCTTGGCATATCTGAATTGCCAGCATCACTACTCTTGGTGCTTTGGGACCATTATGAGGTCAATAAGAGTGACTTGAAGGCCAGGCGCAGTGGCTCACGCCTGTAATCCCAGCACTTTGGGAGGCCAAGGCGGGTGGATCACGAGATCAGGAGATCGAGACCATCCTGGCCAACATGGTGAAACCCCATCTCTACTAAAAATACAAAAAAAAAAAAAAAAAATTAGCTGGGCGTGGTGGCCCGTGCCTGTAATTCCAGCTACTCGGGAAGCTGAGGCAGGAGAATCCCTTGAACCAGGCAATCAGAGGTTGCAGTGAGCAGAGATCTCGCCACTGTACTCCAGCCTGGCAACAGAGCAAGATTCCATCTAAAAAAAAAAAAAAAAAAAGAGTGACTTGAACACAAGCACTGTGGTACTGTGACAGAATCCATGAAAGGGCTACTGAGTGACTAACAGGTGGGTAGGATTGACAGTGTGGATCTGCTGAACAAAAGGATGATTCACATCTGGGTGAGATGGTGTGGGATGGCCTGAGATTTCATCAAGCTACTGAGAACAGCACACAATTTAAAAGTGTAATTTTTTTATTTCTGGAATTTTCCATTCAATATTTTTTGCCACAATTTGCTGAAGGTAACTAAAACCACAGAAAGTAGAACTGTTGATAAGGAGGTGCTATTGTACTTACTGGTAACGTATTTTGTGGAATGTCCCTCAATTTGTGTTTGATGTTTTTCTGACATGTAGACTGGTCTTATGGGGCTTGAGGTCCTAATTTTATTTATTTATGTATTTACTCATTCATTCATTCACTTTTAGAACCGAGGTCTTGCTATGTTGCTCAGGCTGGAGTGCAGTGGCTATTCACAGGTGCAAACATAGCAGCTTCAAAACTTCTGAGTTCAAGCCATCCTCCCATTTCACGCTCCTGCATAGCTGGGACTACAGGTGCCCACCACCTCATCAGGCTCTTATTTATTTATTTATTTTTATTTTGTTTGTTGTTTTTTTTTGAGATGGGGTCTTGCTCTGTTGCCCAGGCTGGAGTGCAGTGGTGTAATCATGGCTCACTGCAGCCTCAACCTCCCAGGCTCAATTGATCCCCCCACATCACCCCCCCAGGTAGCTGGGACTACAGGTACATGCCACCACACCTGGCTAATTTTTGTATTTATTATAAGTGTGTAAATTTACCAGTTTATACACTCGCAAACAATTTATAAAAGTACTCATTTCTCCACACACTTAGTTTTCATTTTTATTTTTAATCTTTGCCAATTGGATCATCAAAACTATGGTGCTTTTTAAAGTTTCATTTCTTTGATTACTGGTGAGAGTGAGCATTTTTACATGGTTAGTGCCATTCGTATTATTCTATGAGTTTCTTGTTTATACCCTTTATCCAATTTTCTATTGAGACATTCATCATTTTCTTTTGATTAGAAAGTGCACATTAATGATGTTAAACGTTTTCTCTCAATAGATTTCCAATTTTTTTCCAGATTTTCATTTGTGTTTTAATAATGTCTTGATATTCAGAGGTGTGAACCACTCTCATTTGTTTTCTGCCTTTGGATGTTGTTTTTGTTTTTCGATTTGGTGTTGGTTTGATTTTAATATGGAGCTCAGTTCTGAATCCTGCTTGTTCCCAGGCAGCTCACATGAGTCTTCAAAACCTGCAGCACAGCAATCTCATCACATATGGACAGTGCTCTCCTTCCTAGTGAGGCAATACCCCTGAGTCCTCACAGCCCCAAGCTTTAGGAGATAAAAAAGAAACAAAAACAAATTCAAAAACACACTGCCCTGAAAGCTGCCAAATTCAGGCTGCCATTGACCTCCAAGGAAATAAATTCCAAAGATAGTAATAACCACAGTAAAAAAAAAAAAAATATTTTAACATAATTCAGCTCCAAAACCCCAAAACAGACTGTTGTAAAGGCTTTGGTACAGTAGAGAATAGGGGTTCCCAGCATCCTCTGTGAGCATCCCTGCCATCGAGTCTTTCCCTACAGCTTCGGCTGTCTCTGAACAGGAAACAGGAGCCTGGACTCTTAAGTCCTGCTCAGGGAGGCCAGGATTTCTCTTTCCTGTTTCCCATTCTCTTTGCCTCCATTTTAGAACTTTTAAGGTCCTGACAATTTCAGAACAGATGTCAGGACTGAAAGTTATTAGAAAGAACCAGAAAGGGGTGGGAGGAGGGAGAGCATCAGGAACAATAGCTAATGGATGCTGGGCTTAATACCTGGGTGATGGGATGATCTGTGCAGCAAACCACCATGACACACGTTTACCTATGTAACAAACCTGCATATAGACCCCTGAACTTAAAAGTTAGAAATAAAAAAAAAATTACTCCTAAGTATTTTATTATAGTGAGGCTTGATACCTTGTGGAGAAGGTCCTCCCTTCTTATCTGTTTTTTAAATTTATTTTCAGACAGAGTCTTTTTCTGTTGTCCAAGCTGGAGTGCAGTGACATGATCACAGCTCACTGCAGCCTTGACTTCCTAGGCTCAAGTGATCCTCCCACTTCTGCCTCCCAAAGTGCTAGGATTACAGGCATAAGCCACTGAACCCAGCTGTTATTCTTTTTATTCAAGAATGTCTTGGGTGGTGGTGGTTGTTGTTGTTGTTGTTGTTGTTGTTGTTGTTTTGAAATTTGCTCTTACATGTACATTTTAGAGCCAGTTGTCAGGCTCCATGAAAAATGTAGAATTTTCATTAGCATTGTTACTAGATCTATAGATCAATTTTGAAAGAATTCACATCTTTATTATATTGTGTATTTCTAGCCATGAAGATAGGGTATGTATTATTTAGATTTTCATAATGTCTTGCAATAAAGTTTCATAATTTTCTGCCAAAAAAAAGAGAAAGAACCGGCGGCTCACGCCTGTAATCCCAACACTTTGGGAGGCCGAGGCGGGTGGATCATGAGGTCAGGAGTTCAAGACCAGCCAGGCCAAGATGGTGAAATCCTATCTCTACTAAAAATACAAAAATTAGCCAGGCACGGTGGCAGGCACCTGTAATCCCAGCTACTTGGGAGGCTGAGGCAGGAGAATCGCTTGAACCTGGGAGGCGGAGGTTGCATGAGCCGAGATCACGCCACTGCACTGTAGCCTGGGTGACAGAGCAAGACTCCGTCTCAAAAAAAAAAGAGAAAGAACCAGAAACATTAAAAGATTAAAAAAGCCTTGTGCCTTCTCTTTCCCCCCACTCCTCTTAATGAAAACATTTAAGACAGCAAAAGCTTTACATTAAATTTAGGCAAGGAAAAATAAATAAATAAATAAAACTTGAGGCAAAAAGCAGGCCTAGTTCACAGATGGTATGGTTCTTTTTTTTATAATTGACAAAAGTTGTATGCATTTATGCTGTACAAAACACGATGTTTTGAAATCTGTATACATTGTGGAATGGCTAAATCCAGCTAATTAACATGTGCATTACCACACACACTTATTTTGATGTGTGTGTGTGTAATAAGAACACTTAACATCTACTCTCTTGGCAATTTTAAGTATAGAATACGTTGTTATTAACTAGTCACCATGTTGCACAATAGATCTCTTGAACTTATTCCTCCTGTTGAACTGAAATTTTGTATTCTTTAACCAACATCTTCCCAATCAACCCCCACTCCCACCCCACTACCAAGCTTCTGGTAACCACCATTCTATTCTGTTTCTAGACTTTTTAAGTTAGACTTTTTAAGATTGCACATATAAGTGAAATCATGCAGTATTTGTTCTGTGCTTAGCTTATTTTATTTAACATAATATCCTCCAGGTTTATCCATGTTTTCACAAATGACTTTTCTTCTTTTTTAAGGCAAAATAGTATTCCAGTATGTGTGTATATTTATATACACACACAACGAAATGTGACATATATATCTCTCACACACACATTTTCTTTATCCATTCATCCACTGATGGACACTTAGGTTGAACTTAGGTTGATTCCAGTCTTGGCTGTTGTTAACAATGTTGCAATGAACATGGAAGTGCAGGTATCTCTTTGACACACTGATTTCATTTCCATTGAATAGATACCCAGAAGTGGAATTGCTGGATCACATGGTAGTTCTATTTTTAATTTTTTGTAGAACCTCCATACTGTTTTCCACTATGACTGTACTAATTTATATTCCCACCAATAGTATACAAGGGTTCCCTTTTCTCCACATCCTTGCCAACACTTGTTATCTTTCATCTTTTTGAATAAGAGTCATTCTGACAGGTGTGAACATAGCTTGCTTTTGTATTATGAATCAAGGGATCTTAGGAAGGTCGCCTTCTCACATTTTCCCCAGAATATCTCCCTTCCACAAACTCACCATAAATGTTTTGTTTCTGAAGTGTCTGACCCAGTATCTAGTAGAGTGGGTATGTGTGAGTAACTGCAATAATTCTTGGAAAGAACTGAGATGTATGAACTAGATGTCTGTCCTCAAGTCTTCAGAGATACAGATTATCCTCTGGAAACAAAGGGTACCCACAGTTTTGCCTGGATTGCGCTTTCCAGTTGAGAAAGGGGGTCTTGGTAGAGAAGAGAGCCCATATGGCCTTGATTAAGGTGGGAGCAGATGATGATGGGAGGAGGTGCTGCTGGTGCCTTAAACACATGTTTACCCTCTCTATTGGGTAATCCAGCTTTGGTCCTGAGGGAGCTACCACACTGATATTCAATGGTATAAAAAATAGTAACAGGGATGTGGTTTTCACCCCCACCTCCTCACTATTCCCAAAAGTTGGTCTAATTCTAAAACTACAAATCAGAACAACTCAACATGCAGTCAGCAACCCCAGGTCACATCCTTAATTCCAAAAGGCTGCAGCCTAGCCCTGTTCAATGCAGCTGTGTTATAGAAATATTTTCTTTAACACTTGTAAACTGCCTTTTTTCTAGAGTTTCCTTGTTGGTGACCTTATTTTGCCATCCAGTTTCAGTGTAAATGCAGCACGGAAGGGGAGTGGGAGGGATGTCCTAGCCTGAGCCAAAGCCGGGCTCCAAGCCAGGATACAGATTCGTCTGGGCATGTCTGATGGGCTTGCCAGGAGTATCTCAGCATGAGGGATGGAGGAGGCCCATAGAAAATAACATCCTAAGTCAGTAGGTGTGGAGGGATGCATCACAGGTATCAGAATCACCAGGAAAACATTAAAAAATGCGTGTACCCTGCAAACTACACTCCTCATTCTGGTCGTGTGTGTACATGTGGGAACACTCTAGTGAGGAACCCTGCTTTAGCACCAAAATTGGCCCTAAGAGTTATGCAGATCAGTCTGCACTAGAGGCACTGAGAGCTCCGAGAAAACAATGTGGCTTCTGTGCATAGCAAGCGTTCCCAAGCCACTGGCAGTGTGACCTTGCTACGTTGCTGTGAACACCAATAGCTTCAGTGCCTCAGGTACAGTCTGCACCAGGATGCCTACACTAGAAACCATGGACCACTGGGAGTTCAAGAACAGGCTGCAGGGGTCCATGAACTCTGGAAAATTACATCAACTTACTGGGTATATGTTTGTATTTCTGGGAAGAGATTCAATAGGTTTTGTCAGATTCTCAAAAAAGAATGTAATCCTCAAAAGGTTGAGAACTACTGCCCTGGCAACTGCCAAAAACATACTGAGGAGAGCAGATTTTGTAAGATTCTGAGAATGCTATGATGGTAAATCTTGGCCAAAGCCAGAAAAATGTTGCTTTTTCATCTAATGTGACTTATTTTTACCTCGAGGCATCAGTGACCCGGCAAAACATTCGTTACGCGAAATCGCACCCATCTTATCCATGCTTTAAGCCCACTTTAAATGCTTCCACCTCCTCCCTAACCCAAATCATTGCTTCCTTGCCTTAACCTTGTGTATCTCCTTTGTAATAATACTTTTTCCCTAGTATGAGTACATATATCATCTCTCTTCTACAAACTATAACTTTTTTTTTTGAGACAGGGTTTTACTCTGTCACTCAGCTGGAGTACAGTGGCATGACTGTGACTCACTGCAGCCTCGAACTCCTGGGCTCAAGCAATCCTCCTGCCTCAGTGTCCTAAGTAGCTGGGACTACAGGCATGTGCCACCATGCCTAGCTAATTTTATTATATTTGTAGAAACAGCGTTTCACTATGTTGCCCAGGCTGGTGTCAAACTCCTGAGCTCAAGCAGTTTTCCCATCTCAGCCTCCCAAAGTACTGGGATTATAGATAGGAGCCACCAGGCCTGGCCAAAGTATAACCTTTAAGAGTAGGAATTATGTTTTATCCATCTTCTTTCTATCTTACAGTGTCTAGCATAGCACATTTACTTAGTTATCATTGGATGAGGAATGAACAAGTCATAAATCCATCCATCTGCCAGACCTTTTTACTCTCTCTACTAAAAACAACTAATCTTATTTATTTATTTTTACTTTTTATTTTATTTATTTATTTTTTTGAGACAGGGTCTCACTCTGTCGCCCAGATCTCAGCTCACTGCAACTTCCACCTCCCAGTTCAAGCAATTCTCCTGCCTCAGCCTCCTGAGTAGCTGGGACTACAGGTGTGCGCCACCATGCCTAGCTAATTTTTTTAATTTTTTTTATGTTTTTGTATTTTTAGTAGAGACGGGGTTTTGCCATGTTGCCTAGGCTTGTCTTGAACCTCTGAGCTCAGACAATCTACCCACCTCGGTCTCCCAGAGTGCTAGGATTATAGGCATGAGCTACTGCGCCTGGCCTAAAAACAACAAATCTTATTTCCTTGTAAGTTATGTATTTTAAATATATTCCTTATAACCTCCATTGTCCTAGTTCTTTTATTTACTTATTTACACATCATCCAATGTTTGCCTGCCTTATCTGTTTACTCAGTTGCACGCTGCTTGGAGGAACAGGATCCCATATAAGCCAAACTATGGAAACCTACATGCCTCTTGGGAAGAACGCACAGGGCTAACCAACATGTCCGATATCCTGGAGTATGTGCCTCACAGTACAGACACACCACGAGGAAATGTTTCATAAAACACAGACAGAACAGAGGCTGGTAGGAATGAAAAAAAAAAAAAACTACTAATGTAGGAATTAAGCAAAAGAGGCAAATCATCAGGTTATGGAACTGGGTTGCAGATAAACCAAATGAAGAGAAGCCTGAACCTGTCTGAAGGAGAGGGCCGATAAGGCGGCCCAGCCTCAGGGGGTAGAGCTCAGCAACAGTTCAGAGCTTTGGCATTGGCCCTGTGCAGGTTTTGCAGGAGCTGCCAGGTTTTTTCTAACCCTATTACCATATTTGGTTTGTTCCATATTTGTGTCAGGCTTTTCCTGTGTTCAAAAAGACCTGACTGCCGCTATTACATGTAAAATGTTAAGAAAATCATTTTATGTACTCTGTTTTCAAAGTAGAACACAGAGTATTTTTAAACTGATCCGAGCACATTCCTGATTATCAAAGCAGCAGAGGCACAAAGATAGGGTGGCTTTCTTCTCTTTTTCTCCTTTTCTTCACAGTTTACTATTTGTTACTTACATATCCACTCACATATCAACACACCCTTAGTTCTGTACAATCAGTGTCTCCAAAGGTCAATATGATCTTGGCGACCATTTCAGCTTACTGACTGAATTGTATTACAGCATGATTATACACAAGATGTTGATTAACTGATAATGGGCAGAGTCATAAATGTCAGGCCAACCATTCCACAGGCAAGGGTCAATGCAAGTGGTACAAGGCTACACCATTTAGTGGCTACATGGATAGTAGCTTAGCTAGTGATTCTAAATACACCACAACTACACAGAGATCAGCCCTAGGACTCAGGGTGATTTTAGAGTGAATGCAGTTAGGTAAGTCAGATAATCTCACATTGCTCATTTAGCTTATCATAAGTTTATTTATTTGTCATTCAACAAGCAGGTATGGAGTGCCTATGTGTGGAAACCATCATTAAATGGAACAAAAGTCCTACCTATTAGAATGAAGTTTACATTCCAATAGAGAAGAGTCCCACGTGGGCATCATCTGTCAATCCTGTGGTAGTTGTGCATTTTCTCTAAGTCTCAATTCTTGGAGGTTATTACCTTGCTTGTCCCTGGTATTTGTATCTCTGCGCCCCAAATGACTTTGTTTTCAGCACCTTGGGTATTTGGAGAAGTAGGGTCTCTGCATTTCTGGGCCCCAGGTCCAACCCAATCCTCTCTTATGTGTTAAAGAGGCCCCTTTCCTTACTACCTCAGGGGCTTCTTAAGCTCTTAGGCCTCGGCCTTTAGGGGCTTGTTAGGCTCTGGCCCTCAGGGATCTCTGACTTCTCCCAGAGACTTCTAGGACAGAGGCTGAGAAAATATGAGTGGGTCCAGCTTAACCCACTTACTTCCTAGATGAGGAAACTGAGACCAGAAAAGCAAAGTGACTTGCAAGTGTCACACAGAGAGATGTAGATGTGTCTGTCCCCTGCTTCCTTCCTCTCAGCCTAGTGCTTTTCTGTCACATTAGATGACATGCCCTGTGAGGTCTAACAGAAGTGCCAAAGGTGGCTGAAGAACAGAAGTGACTACAGCAGGATGCGTGATCAGACAGAGCTCATGCTTAAGAGTACAATAGAGAGGACTGATTTCTTGTTAGATGGGAAATCTTGAGTACTTTGGTATCACATCTTCTTCATCACCCCAAACAGGATGAAATCAAGGCAAGGAAGCTGGTGTTGGGTGTCCTGAAAGCTGCTGCAGATATAGGCCAGGCAATAGTTAAGTTAGAATTTAAAAAACTTTGTTCCATCAACTCATCCATTTATATGCTTTCGTAATTGTTTACCCAGTTTACTAGGATGAGCCAATTTCGAAAGGGTCCAATGTTGTCACAGCTGGGCTGGACTATGCTAAGAGGAAAGAATTTTTCTAGATCTCATTCAATATTGGGACCAGGAACAACAGCTGCCTGAGCCAACAGTTCTGATGAATATGGGACAGAGAGAACTGAAACCATGGGAAGCTTAAGCTTGCTTACCATCTGAGAAAACCCTAACAAAATTTAAAACTTTAATAAGAAACCATATGATCCAAGATACCGACACTCATTAGCTTTCAACTGTCCTTACCAATGAATCCATTAGCAATTAAACAAGACCATGGGTTTCGTGTTAGATTTAATTTCTTCAGGGTACCAGTTTTATGGCTTGGGGCAAGTTCCTTAACTTTCCTGAGGCTTTTCTACCCACGAAGTGGAGATAATAAAACTTCTCTGATCTTCCTCTCTAGGTTTGTGAAAATTAAATAAGCAAGCATATGAACACTTTTTATAAACTGTACAGCACTGTAAAATTTTAATTATCATTATCAATTAGCATTTAACTATAAAACTTCCTTAATTAAGCTCAATTTTAAATTTAGTAACAACATGAACTTGAAACTATGCTTTGGGGGGCTTACATGTTACCAATGTCAATTTTTTTTTTTCTTTTGAGATGGAATCTTGCTCAGTTGCCCAGGCTGGAGTGCAGTGGCACAATCTCGGCTCACTGCAACCTCCGCCTCCTGGGTTCAAGCAATTCTTCTGCCTCAGCCTCCCAAGTAGCTGGGATTACAGGCGCCCACCACCATGCCCAGCTAATTTTTGTATTTTTAGTAGAGATAGGGTTTCACTATGTTGGCCAGGCTGATCTCAAACTCCTGACCTCAGCCTCCCAAAGTGCCGGGATTACAGGTGTGAACCACCATGCCCAGCCCCAGTGTCAATATTTTAAAATTCAAAGAAACAAAACAAATTCCTTCAGGTATAATCATGTGAATGAAAATAGTCTTTCATTCATTCATTCATTCTTTTTAAATAAATATACAATTTCTTTTCCTTATCACAGAGAAAGTTAAAAAGAGAGCCACTAGGGTGAGTTTGTTTTACACACTTTATGGAGCAGATAACGTATTGTTTACTCAATTGCTGAGTTCTGGAGGAGAACTCCAATCTGAATTCTACTCAGTATTAGCTACCTATCCTTCAGGGCCTCACACTTGGATGACTTAAGAAAATCTTGTTCCTTCAAACCCTGTACTTTTATTTTTTACCACGGAAATGTTTATTCCTCTGTCCCAAATTGCATGAAAACCTTCTTTGCTGAGATAAGCAAAGCTTTGCCACTTTTGGTAGCTTTAATCAAAAACTGATTCTACAGATTTGGCTGCCCAGACAAGTTGACTGATGGAAAGATATTTATTAACATGCACAGGACTGAGGGATACCTGTACAATGTAATAATTCTTAAATCCACATCTGCCAACCTTTAAGGCATAATTAACGTTGTTTTATTTTTATTTTTTATTTTCAAAACTGTACCCTGTACAACACCGCCCTTGGGTGTTAGTGGAGAAAATGAACACATTGTAACAAATAAAATATTACAGAACAATAATAGTTTTCACTAATAAAAATGAGAACCCATTAAACAGTCTTATTGCCAAACTGCTGGGGGAGAAGCAAAGTCCTTTAACCACTAAGACTGGGACACAGTAGAAACAAACTCTTCCAAGCAAGGTAGGATGGCGCGTGCCTGCAGTCTTAGCTGTGCGGGAGGCTAAGGTGGGAGGATAGTTTGAGGCCAGGAGTTGGAGTCTGCAGTGAGCTATGATCGTACCACTGCACTTCAGCCTGGGTGATAGAGCTAGACCCCATCTCTAAAAAAAAAAAAAAAAAAGAAGGAAAGAAGAGAAAGAAAGAGACTTTTCCTAAGCAATGCAAGGGACGTAGGAGCTGGTACAGGGAAGAAAGGCTGGAGGAGAAAAACAGCAAGCTTTCTTAGGAACAAATGATTTCCCAGCCAGACCTACAAAAGGTTCTTGAGTACGGTAATGAGCCAGAACTGCCTTGATGACTGCAGATGGGTCAGGTCTTATTTGATGCTTAAGTGGTATAGTCCAACTTTAAATCTCTAACTGAAGACTTCCCTGTTTAACTTTCCCACCAGACTTACCTGATGTTATCGCTCTCATTTTCCTAAATAGGAAAAGGCCTATATTATTTTAAAACTTAAATAAAACTAATCTAGTCCATATATACAAATCACAACAGTGACTGAGAACATATATTATAAACCAATGCACGCATACATACAAATACACACACACACAGTATACACACACACTCAAATGTGTATATCCATGAACTTACAGGCCCTTCCGAATATCTGACAAACATAATAATCTACTGGCCAAAATACAGAGCCAGTCCACTAGGCGTCCTTAAAATAAGAGTGTATTCTAGTTTTTCTTCAAGCCTCTACAAAGTTTTGCATTGCTATCAAAATATTTTTGGAAATTCTGTAATGTTTCTCCTTTTCCCTTGGCTTCTTATTTCTGGCAAGGACTAAACCCCAAAATATCTTTCCTCTGGGACACTGAAATAACTGTCCCAACGCAGCTGCCAGAGCTATAGCTATTCAGAGATTTGAGACAGATTTCCAAGGAAGGCCACTTGTAATTTTAATTGTTTGAGTCAAAAGACCAACTTTCTGAGATGTTCAAAGAACAGGTGTATGAGAATTTTTAGTCTTTCTGGATGCTCTCATTTTCGTTCATGATTCTATCTGCTGTTTCACTTCTGTTTCATCCCTCCTTTTGTCTTCATCCCGCCCATCCTCTGGGTTTTATTTTAGACCTAGAAAAAAAGTCAGCCACCCCCCTCCCTCCCAGTGCTCTGAAGTAGTATTTCTCCTCTGCCGACTGCTCAAAAACTTTCTTGCTGTAATGATGCCACAGAATTGGGGTCTTTGTACCCAACATCACCTCCCTCAAGTTTAGGCCAAGGAAGAGGGTGTATCTGGTAGATAAAGGGAGGAAGCAAGCTGTCTCTGCCAACAAGCACAGCTGCTTGACCAGCCCAAACTGAGAGGCCTCCTGCAGATGAATAAGGTTCAGACCCATCACACAGCACACAGGAGACTTTCCTGTGCTTATGCCCAAGCTACTCACCTTTAGGTCGGTGCTTCTCATCTCTGAGAGTTGTTTTTAAAAATATCTTTGTCAAAAAAAATGTTTTAAACAAAACCTTTATTTAGACCCATTGAACCAAATCTCTGGGCCTCGGCCTGAGCGTTGCAATTTTTTTAACAGCTCCCAGATGATTCTATTGTGCAGCAGGGTTAAGAACCACTGATTGAGATTCCGCTTGTGGAAGTTATCCAACCCCGAGCTTACTCCCTTCCTTCCAAATACACCCCAGGAGATTCCTCTGCCTGTTCTCACACTAAAGATTTCTGGGAGCCAGGAAATAAAATAAGGCGGCCTAGGGAATGCAGTTAGTTTTAGAAAAGAAGAGGGTTGAAAAGAGAGGGGGTGCCACGGAGTGGAGGAGGCTGTGTTTGTGGCTCTCTCCCTACCCCTCTGTGGATGTGGGCTGCACACAGCTGGTGTAGATAAGGCTACCACCTCTCTCGAGGACTGGGCCTCCGAGGATTTGAGGATGAGATACTATAAGTGTCAGCATGCTCAGTTTCTTTCCTGCTGGGGTGGGAAAAGGGAAATCATAAGTGCTGGAGGATGCTGGAGACTCGAGAACTGTGATGCAGAGACTCTAGGGAGAAGAACATGATCCCCAGCCAGCAAAGGACAATTTAAAAATTAAGCCGGGTGCGGTGGCTCAAACCTATAATCCCAGCACTTTGGGAGGCCAAGGCAGGAGGATTGCTTGAGGCCAGGAGTCTGCAACTAACATAGCAAGACCTCATCTCTACAAAGAATACAAAAATTAGCCAGGCAAGGTGGTGCACACCTGTAGTCACAGCTACTTGGGAGACTGAGGTGGGAGGATTGCTTGAGCCCAGGAGTTGGTGGCTGCAGAGAGGTGTGATTGAACCACTGCACTCCAGCCTGTGCATCAGAGACCTTGAGTCAACAACTAAAAAATTAAGTCCCACCCATGCCAAATTATTAGGATACAGTAACGAATATGATTTTCCATGCAGAACCCAGCTTGAGAGCCACAGAGCTACTGCACTGACGCATCCACAACGGCCAGAGACTCTGCTAGCCGAGGAGGAAGCAGCTCTCAGAGCCCAACCCACATGGTCCCTTCAGACCCTCCAACTGTTCTCCATGCAGTTAGGAAAGAATAAAGAAGTCCCCTCTTGGGGTCCAGAGCTTAAACGAACCCCCAGAAATTCTAGACACCCCCTGGTTGCTTAGGCAACTGGTGGGCACCATCCAACACTTCCAGGCCAGTGACTCTGCTGGGAGAGTGGCTTGCCCTGCTGCTTAGCTTTTGCTCAGAGAATCCTGGCTCTCTGCCTGCCTGCCTCTGGCACGTTCACAGCTGCTGTTGCGCTCTTGGCTTATTCTGTCTAGAGGTCTCCCTGCCTCCACCCCTCTTTTTTCCCCCCCTTTCTCCCCAGATGTCTCAGTGTTTATGTGGGAAAGCATGTTCGTAGAGCCTGTTAGAGACTTTCGAAGTCATGCCTTCCCCTGCAGCTTTGGGAGTCCACCACGTCTAAGTAATGTGTAAAGGGGACTGAACAGGAAGGTGTATTTTGCATTCTCTGGGTAGAGTTGCTAAATGCAACTCTGGGTTTCCCCTGGCACCGTTCTCTGATTCGTGAGCATCCAAAACTCAGGTCCTTGCCCTCAGAACAACCAGCCAGATTAATGCAGACGTGCAATATGGCTGAGTTCCAGCTATGGAGGAGCAAGGGTGTTTTACATTTTCTTGTCCAGTGAAAATCCTCCCCATTCTCACAACCTTGGTGCCTCCAATTTAATGATGTTCCATTACCTGGAATTTGGGGTGTGTTTCTCTTCTTTTTTTCCAAAAGAAATTCAAGCAAAGACCAAATGCAAGTGAGTGATCTCAGATAATGAACTGCCAGGGCTTGTGCCAGATGCTGTCCCACCGTCAAACCAGCATGCGTCAGTCCGTGCTGGTCACCACAGCTTCTTACTGCAGTCAAGCCAGCCAGCCCAACTCCCCTGGGGCTGGGAGGGCCCTTAAAGCTTCAGGATAATATTGGCAAATGTGTGCACCTCCCAGCTTTAAGAACAGTTTTGTTTTGTTTTTTTAAATAAAATTAATTCATGCAATCTACTGCATTTGCACTCCAATCCAATAGTCAGACCAGGACACGCCTGAAAGGCTGAATCTGATGTAGCTTCAAAAGGTGTCAGAGCAATCACATACCTAGGATGGGGAGCGTGACTGCCCTAAAGGTAAATCTTCCTCCTGGAGGAAACTGGCAGGAAATACCCTGCCTAGAACAAATACTCCTGCTGCAGGGATTTCTTGCCATTTTCATTTTTAGAAACCAGAAAAACATGAAATGTGAAAAGGGCCCCAGTTCTAACCATCTTACTCATACCTGGCCACAAACAAAACTAAGAAATGGGCCAGGAAGGTAAGTCCAGGTTTTCAGCCCATATCTGCACCAAAGGCAAGGACCCAATCAGTGCCACCCTACTCCTCAGCCCAGGGTAGACTAAAGCCGCTCTGGGGCACACGCATTACTGAAATCTCTTCATACAGGACAGCAGAGCAGAGCAATCAGAGAAGTATGTCATGGAGTCAATATAATAATCATCACAATAATAGTAATGGCCACTAGGATTCTTGTCCTACTTCTACTCCTTATAGGCTTCGTGACCTTGGGCAAGTCATTTACCGTTTCTCTTTGTTCACCTGTAACATTGTAACATTGTCATAATTATCCGTTCTGCCCTTGTCCCAGGCTGGTCTTAAGAACAGGATGAGGCCAGGCACAGTGGCTCACGCCTGTAATCCCAGCACTTTGGGAGGCCGAGGCGGGTGGATCACCTGAGGAATTTGAGACCAGCCTGGCCAACATGGTAAAACCCATCTCTACTAAAAATAGAAAAAATTAGCCAGGCGTAGAGGCGCGTGCCTGTAATCCCAGCTACATGGGAGGCTGAGGCAAGAGAATCACTGGAACCTGGGAGGTGGAGGTTGTAGTGAGCCAAGATGGCGCCACTGCACTCCAGCCTGAAAAACAAGAGCGAAACTCCGTCTCAAAAAAAAAAAAAAAAATGAACTGGACGAGATTGTAGGATTAAAGTTTTTTTGAAAAGAAAAAGTTCATTTGTAACCTATTTAGAATATTTATTCTTATTAAGACTACTTAACACCAAATAAGTATTTCAAAAGATACCACACCTAAATATCATACCTATGGACAATATCTTAGTTATCTACTGATGACTAAATATGCAGAATTTGGTGGGTGCATCTGCCATGTTGTATTTTTCTTGTAATATTCCAAACTGTTACTGGAGATATGCAAATAGCCTCACTGCATAAAACCCATGACCATGGCATTTGCTAAAGTGGGCTTCTACCTCGTGGTGTGGTGTAGTTTCAAGGGTCCCTGAGGAGTGCTCTGCACAACTCTGAGTGGGTGGTACAAGTCTTTAACTAGACCACATAAAAATTATATATATTCTCATGGAATGCAGCTATCTCTATGATTTGTGAGTAGGCTGCTCAATGAGTTCAGAAAAACATTTCCCTTCAGCTCCAGCTGGCAAGATGTCAAGATTGAAAAACATTTTCTAGCTCTCCTTCTTGCCCCAATTGGGATAGATGACCCTAATTCTCACCACCCCATTTCCTTAAGCCATTAGCAGTGATTGAATCTCTGCCCATCCCAGTGAGCCTCATACAGATGATTTTAATGCACAGAAGCACCCATAATAGAGAGAACTATGTTGTGAAACTTCAAATTTACTTTTAATTCCATCTTTGACAGACCAAATTGAAGCCGTGGGTTATACTTTGATATGACCACTTAACGCTATCTAGAAATTCATGCCCCCTCCAGTTTGTAAAAGTTTTCCTCTCCTATTAGCCTCAGATTAGATAGAGGCATCTCCTTTTCTATCTTAATGGCTTTCAGTTCACAGAATGAGTTCATCTGGCCTGGGAGAGGGTATAGAAAGAACAGCCAGAAGCTGGTATCCCTGAGGAACTGGGGATCCAATAGGAGAGATGAGACAGTGAAGTGTCCTCTTACTGGGCATGCATTCACTATGCATTTGTTAAGTACTACGGAGCAAGGAAGGAGTTTCAAGAGACACACAAATACATCACAAGCAAAATTCACTCGTTCTTAATTAGCCAGGCATCATTTATTCTGCTGTAAGTTTTTAGAGAAAGAAAAGTTAATAACAGCAATATCACTATTGATTATCTCTCTTTATCCTCACAACAAATCCATGAGGTACCTATGATCCCGATTTTATAGATGAGGTAATGGGAGGCTTAGAAAGATTGGGTACGTTGCCCAATATTCCACAAGTATTCGGTGGCAGAGCAAAATTCTCACACTAATTTATCTGATTCCTAAGCCTTTACTCTTAACCAGTACACTTGGCTGCCTTGCAGAGTCAGGGAACCATTGAGAAGTTGAGGTTTGAATTGGCTCTTGAAGGCAGTCTATGGTTTGGATCACCTTGGATTGAGGTAAAAGGAGAGACATTCAAATTGCCTAGATTATATCCCCAGAGCTTGAAACACTGCCTAGTATATGGTAGGAGCTCTATATCTACTGAATGAATGAATGGGTGGATGGATGAGAAGAAGCATCAATAGAGTCATAGAGATGGGGTCAGAATCATGGAGATGGGACCAGGATGGAGAGCAAGGACTGGGAAAGGGAAAATGAGAGCCTGGAATGGAAAGAGGAGTCAAGAGACCAGTTTGAAGCACAGTGTTCATTCTGGTTGGGAGTAGGAGCTCAGGTCACCTAAACCTGATGGACCACTTGATGGAAGGCTTAGGACACTAGGGTGAGAAGTCTGGATTTCGTTCTATGGATTGTTGTCAAGTTAATTTCTAAAGAGATGCCCAATAAGGTGAAAGCCATGAATTAGAAGGATTAATCTGGTTCTGACATGCAGTGGGGGCTAGAAGTGGAGGGACCAGAGACCACGGGACTAGACAATGAGTGTATTGATCAGGTGAGAGCACAGGGGAACATGCCTGGGAGGACCTGGGGAGCTCTGATTGGTAAGCCAGGGTAAGAGTCAAACACAGACTTGTGTCTTCGTTAAAGAGACAAGAGAATTGGGCATCCAATTATGACTGAATCACTTACAGCAAGTAGAGGACAGCAGGGAAACATGCAAGCTATCTTCCTCACAAGAGCACCTGGATACAGAGATAATTTGAAAATATTCAGCTCAGTCTCACTACACAAATAATTACTTTGAAAAATTTTTGGTCATCAAGTCAAAGGAACCAGCCACTGGTCTAAGCAAGTGATTGCAAATGCTTTTAATGATCTTCACTGGCCTAGAGAAAAAAACCCTCAAATTAGAGCAGTTCCTTTCTCAAACTTAGGTGCATCCTCTTGCTAATAAGAGTCAAGATCCGTAAGGCAGCCCTTACATGGAAACTTCCCCAGCCACATGGCAAACTTTGGTGAGAACAATGGCAGAGTGCACTACTTTTTGGGAAGTGCCACAGTGAGTTCAGCACCAGGTACACAGAAATGAGTGGTTCACAAATATATGCTGCCTTGACTTACTAGTAACTGAGAGAGCTTCCTCCGTATGTCCTAAACAAAGTTGACACTTAGCTGCTTCCATAAACGCTCAAAGAATGACTGGAACCCCAAACATTTGTGTTCCAACACCAGTACTCAGACTATACTTTGATCACATACACCCACAGGGATTTTGTCTTTAAGAAATGCACCTAAAAATAATAATAATAAAAATAAAAGGAAATGCACCTTAGGGTTGTTGGATATTGGTAGTGTTCTATGATCTGAAGAGGATTTGAAAGTGCAGATATTTAGATGTCCATCCAATCATTCAACAAATGTTTACTGTGTGCCTACTACAAACCAGGCACTGTTTATGGCACTAAAAATATGTCAGTGAATAACACAGGCAACCCTGCCTTTGCGGAGGTTACCTTCTAGTAGAAGGAGACAGATAATAGCTAGCAAATGTAACAAATAAGTAAATTCGTAGGTTGGAAAGTGATATGTGCAATGAAGAAAAGCAATAGAGTGTAGAGGCTGCGTGTGATATCACAATTTTAAATAAGATGGTCAAAGTAGGCATTGATTGAGATGTGACATTGATGAAAGACCTGAAGGAGACAAGTGTCTATGTTGCTACTTATACTTACATTTAAAGTCCTTCCTAAAACTTCAGACTTAAGGCAAAACCAATGCATCAGCTTATATCTGGTATAAGCAAAGTTGGGGACTTGCCCTCTTATCATGAAACTAATCAGACACATATTTTATCCACTTGCATTTAACAACAAAAGCCATTAGAAAACCTAATTTTCTGAGGCAGAATGTGTTAAAATACCAACCCCCAAATCCTTTTGGTGTAACAAAGCTCCCCTTGTAAAAACTCTGGCCCTACTTGTTGGTGCCACTCTCTCTCAGGTACCATTCTTTCTCTGAAGACAACAATAACAACTGCTCTCTTATCAAGATTAAAAACAGAAACCAAATTTTTGTTGGTGATAAACAGCCAACAGCTAGTCTAAGCATTAATCCAGTAGTGTATGAATAAGTTATGAAAATTCTCTTTGCCAGAAAAACAATCAACTGTCTCACTGCTCACCTATCAGCCTTTATTTCCTACTAGGTACTATATTTATGGCTCCTATCTAGAAAAAAAGAAGTTGGGAACAATTCAAGCTTAAGTGCATATTATTGAAACTGTAAATCTCTATTCCAGATTGTAAGCTATTATCATATACTTATTTTTAAGACTTTCAGATTCCAATGTTTCTCAAATGCAGAAAATTATCTTACAAGTCAGCAGGTCAGGGTTTGATCTTGAACAGAACCAGTTTAGAGAAAGTTCCCATGGGGAGCTTTCAAGATTCCTGAACTACAACACATGTCTGAGAAATTAGAAAGTCCACAGCAAGTTTCTGTTACATGGATTATAACTGAGTTTGTGAGTGGTTGGTGTTCGCTGCCACTAAGTGGCCTTGCTCAAAGATTCTGCCCCAGGCCTCGTGTGGTAGCTCATGCCTGTAATCCCAACATTTTGAGAGGCCAAGGTGAGCAGATTGCTTGAGTTTGGGAGTTAAAAACCAGCCTGGGCAACATGGTGAAACCCTATCTCTACAAAAAATAGAAAAATTAGCCAGGCATGATGGTGTGCACCTGTAGTGAGGCAGGAGGATGGCTTGAGTCTAGGAGGTGGAGATTGCAGTGAGCCGAGATCGCACCACTGCACACCAGCCTGGGCAACAGAGCCAGATCCTGTCTTAACAAACAAACGAAGACTCATCCCCAACACCACCCCACGTGTCTACCGCCTGCCTGCATGCTTCTGGCTGCTCAGCTGTCTGCACTTCTGACTTTGCTCAACACAGCTCCGGCCTTTGCCAATCATGAGCTGCCAAGACTAGAGTGTGTGGCTGAAACACTTGAACACTCACGTGAAAGAAACTCAACTTCTGCTTTTGGGTAATTTGCTGACAGTTGCTTTATTTCCTTTTCTTCTATTAAGCAATTCTATTTGCACAGAAAAATATAATCAACAAGTGATTTTCTTAAGCAAAAGCATAAAACAATGATAATAAAATAAATGATGACAAACTTTTACAGAACCTACTCTGTGCTCACGGGCACACTTGGCAGTGTGTTGTGAGCCCTTTCAGAGGAGAAATGATAAAGAACTTAAATTTTTTAAAACTATCTTTATAAAGAAAAAGAGCACAGTTTAACTGTGATTTGAACTGACAAGAAGTACTTCTTGTTTCAAGCGAAAATACTTTGGACCACTGGGCACATTAGGTATTGAAATGTCAGGTTAACACTGAATACTCCTGTTTATTTTCTCCATCTTTTGGCAGATGCTCAATTCCAAGGCTTGGTGGAGAGCCAATGTATCCTGTTAAAGTACAGCACACACACACAAAATGGACACTTTCTTTCACAGGAAAGCTCAACATATAAACACTTTCCCTTTGACCTGTCCGTTCTCCAGGCTTCATGACTTTCTACATTCACCAAGCAGCCCTGTATCTCACCATAACCTTGACCATCCTCTTTTACTGTGTAGGCTAATTAACTGTGACAAGATGAAGTGACTTTGCCCAAGACCCAAGTGCAGGTGTCAGTACCAGACTAGAACTCAGGTCTCTGGCTCCAGGCTAGTACTCTTTTGTCCAAAGTTACACAAGTAATTAACAAAAGGTGAAATGATTTCCCCTGCTTTCCAGCTTCCAACACCCGGCTTCCCCATCTTCTCTCACCTCCTTCAATGAGAATGTCTTACTGCCGTAACACGCATTTGTACCCAGTGTCTCTTTAATGTCATCTGGTTGAGTGCTGCCTTTCCTTGCATGCAGGGCTGATATTCAAAATATTTCACAACTTGGGTGGCCTAAGCACTGACCAGTCGGAAGGAACACTGGTTTCCTGCTGGATTGAGGAGCTGGAGGCTCCCTTCCCCGCTGCAATGGATCCCCTTAGCTGCAAGTGTGTGAGGAAGTCAGAGGAATCCCCGGAAGCCCTGCTTAGAGGCAGCTTCAGAAGGGAAACTCGTGAAGGGCCCAGGCTTCTGTCATTTGTGCACCATATGCACAACCCTTCTCGTTTATTATTCACTCAGCAAATATTGATTAAGTACCTACAATGTTTAGAACCTTATGGGAAAAACAAAGTCAGTAAGACATGCCCTTATGCCTACTTTATTTCCTGGTATAATAGATAAGAAATGTACATCAATAGCTATAATTGAAATAGATTATAGCTATAATTGAAATATAGCTGTAATTGAAATAGCTATAATAGAATGTTGTTTTTTTTTTTGAAGACAGGTCCAGGAAAATGGGTATGGCAGTTGAAAAAAAAAAAAAAAAAAGAAGGATTCTTTCTGGTTGTAGATCATAGAAGGCTTCCTGGAGGGCTCGTTTCAGCTGTGGCTCTTCAAGGGTGGGGAGGATTTGGTGAGGAGGAGCTAAAATGGACAAGCAGTCCAGGCTGTGGGAAGAAGATGAGCCGCATGCACAGGTAGGAAGTGATAGGGCAGATAAAGGTGATAGCAGCAGTCCAGCCCGGCTAGACTGAAGAGCACACTGGTGGCACCTGCACGGGTGTCAGCACTGAGTAGGTATAGCAGACAGGTTAGAGTGGGGTCCACCGACCACAAGCTCCCCAGCAGCACTCCTGGGCAGCACTCTCATTTCCGCAACTAGCCAGGCACCCTTCTCCCTGGTTCTGACCAGGCTAGAGAACAAACAGGCACTTGCCAAGCAGTGTAAGGGATTACATGCCCTTTCTGGGCTCTGAGGGGCCTGGGAAGAGTTGGCAATTGAAGGCCGTGCCCAGAATCACTGCCTGGGAACAGCAGGCATTCTCCCAGGCTGCTTGGAGGCAGCCCAGTGCTGGGTCTGGCTCTAGTCCAATCCGGCTCCTGAGCTAGGAGGGAGTATGTGGCAGTGGGCGGTGGGTGCTCCCTAGTTCCTAGCACTGACTCCACTGAGCCTGTAGATGGGAAAGGGGAGGGTCAGTCAAAGGCAGATGCCGAAAAAGGGGTAAGTCGAGAACACTGGAAGAAGTCATTTGAGAAGAATGAGTGATTCTCAGACTGTTGTGGATAAAATGGAGAAAGAGATAGAAGGTTGCTTTTCCTGTCTCCTGTAGTATTTAAGGATCCCTCATGATTTAGTTCAATGAGAGAAACTAGCAACATGCTAATTGGAAAAGCCAGGGGCTCTGGAGTTCACGGATCTGGTCCAAGTCTCTTCCTTGTCAAGTGGAAAGGGCATCCTATTTACCAAGAAATGATGCAATGGCAGGGAGGGTTCACAGCTTCAAAATGAAGTCTAGGAAAATGGAAGTTAGTGAGTAATAATTTGTTGGTGCTTCTTCACCATAATGCAAGAAAGATGGTGCTCTGTTCTCCATGACGGGTAGAATCTTTGTTTGTTTGTTTTGTTTTGTTTTTTGTTTTGTGACAGGGTCTCACTCTGTCACCCAGGCTGGAGTGCTGTAGCATGATCTTGGCTCACTGCAACCTCAACCTTCTAGGCTCAAGCAATCCTCCTACCTCTGCCCCGCAAGTAACTGGGATGACAGGCGTGCACCACCACACCTGACTAATTTTTGTATGTTGCCCAGGCTGGTCTCAAATTCTTGAGCTCAAGTGATCCACCTGCCTAGGCCTCCCAGAGTGCTGGGATTACAGGTGTGCGCCACCACGCCTGGCCTGACTGGTAGAATCTTAAACAGAAATACTTGTGCCACAAATGCAGACAGGATAAGTAACTGCCCTTGTCTGAGTACCGTATTCCCTGGGAACAGCAAACTCCCTCTGTTCTTTTTCTACTCCCACCAACCCACCTTCTAATCTGCAACTCAGTTTCCTGAGTGGGCTTGCTTTAGAGCATCCTGTATCTATAAACAACCACAGTTTTCAAGCAAAGCCTTTGTCTTATTGCATTGTTTTTAAAGTTGGATTCTTAAATAATATTTTCAGAGGTCCATGAATTCTTTAGAAGAATTTTTAAATGTGGCGTTTTCATTTTAAAGATAATATAAAATTTTTAACACAAGTGTCACCACCTTTTTACAGAGTACTGCCACATAACATCAATGCCCATGCTGGATTTGCATTCATGACTGTTATGGTCAAGTGATCTAAACTAAAGTCTCCTAATGGAAGTTTGAATGCAGTGTTTCTCAAGTTGGGACATATTCAGGAATTTACGGGTTCTCACGTGTGAGAAACACTTCCTATTATAAATAATCTGACAAACTGATTTACACATCAGTCTCTTATAAGTTTGGATATGATGAATTGATCCTTTCTAGTTTAATCTCCTTGAGCACAGGGCACAGTAGTTATTGTATCTGTAAAGCTGAGGATCAGATCTGTGGTGTCCGTATCAATAAATTGCCAATCAGTGAAGCAGCCAGCCAGATTGTCTCCTCCTGAAAAGCCCTACTCTCTTCTATGTGACAGACGGATTGCAATTAGTTAATCAGACAGACTAATCTTAGATTCGAAATAGAAGACTTTTCTGACCCTGAGTAAGTCCCTTAATCTCTGTTTTCAACTTTGTAGAATACAGGCAATAAACTACTACCTATCACATGGGGATGTTGTGCTAATAATTTCAGGCTTTCTGCCATGCTGAGCTGGTCTGGCCCTGCTCCTGATACAGTGCTCTAAGGAGTTTGGCATTTGCCAAGAGACCAATTCAGTGAGATGGGAGAGGCATAAGAAAGAATGTTTTGGAAAAGTCGTCCCTGAGGTCTGAGGTCTGAGGTCTGAGGTCTAGTGCTGGTACAACTGTGAAAAGCTTCTTCAGGTGGTGCTAGAACAACAGAACATCCACATGCAAAAAAATTAATCTAGATACAGACTTTACACTCCTACCAAAAATTAACTCAATAGGGATCATAGACCTAAATGTAAAATGCAGAACTATAAAACTCCTAGAAGATAACATAGAAGAAAACCTACATGACCTCGGGTATGACAATAACTTTTTAGAAACAACACCAAAGGCATGATCCATGAAATAAATAATTGCTAAATTGGACTTCTTCAAAATTTAAAACTTCTGCTCTGTGAAAGACACTGTCGACAGAATAAGCCAGGCATAGTGGCTCATGCCTGTAATCCCAGCACTTTGGGAGGCCACGGTGAGAGGATTATTTGAGGCCAGGAGTTCAGGACCAGCCTACACAACATAGTGAGACCCCATCTCAATTACAATAATTAAAAAAAAATAAGAATGACAAAACAAGCCACAGACAAAGAGAAAATATTTGCAAAAGGCACATCTGATAAAGGATTGTTATCCAAAATATAAAAAGAATTCACAAAACCCAACAATAAGGAAACAAATGACCAAATTAAAAAATGGACCAAAGACTTTGACACCCACCAAGGAAAACATACAGATGGCAAATGAGTACACGAAAAGATGTTCCACATATGTCATCAGGGAAACGCAAATTAAAACAACAGAGATACCACTACACATCTATTTGAATGGCCAAACTCCTGAACGCTGAAAATATAAGATGCTAGCAAGGATGTGAAACAACAGGAACTCTTGTTCATTGCTGTGGGAATGCAAAATGGTACAACCACTTTGGAAGACATTTTGGCAGTTTCTTACAAAACTAAACATACTCTTACCATATGATCCAGCAATCACACTCCATGGTATCTACCCAAAAGAGTTGAAAACCTATGTCCACACAAAAACCTATGCACAGATGTTTATAGCAGCATTATTCATAATTGCCAAAACTTAGAAGCCACCAAGATGTCCTTCAGTAGGTGAATGAATAAATAAGTTGTGGTATATATCCAGACAACGGAATGTTATTCGGTACTAAAAGGAAATGAACTATTAAGCTATGAAAAGACATAGAGGAACCTTAAAAGTATATTAACAAGTGAAAGAAGCCAATTTGAAAAGGCTATATGCTGTATGATTCCAACTACATGATATTCTGGAACAGGCAAAACTTGAAGAGAGTAAAAAGATCAGTGGTTGCTAGGGTTTGGAGGGAAGAAGGAATAATAGGTGGGGACACAAAGGATCTTTAGGACAGTAAAAATACTCTGTATGACACCACTGCATAATAATATACAAAGTATATATAATTATACACTTGTCCAAACCACTAGAATGTACAACACTATAAGTGAGCCCTAATGTAAACTATGCACTTTGGATGATAGTGATGTGTCAATGTAGGTTTATCAGCTGTAACAGATACCAACCCCTCTGGTAGGGGATGTTGATAGTAAGGGAGGCTGTGCATGCGTGGAGGCAGGAGATATATGGAAAATCTGTACTTTCCTCTTCATTTTTCTATGAACCTAAAACTGCTCTTTAAAAAGTCTTAGCCAGGCACAGTGGCTCACGCCTGTAATCCCAACACTTTGGGAGACTGAGGCGGGTGGATCGCTTGAGGTGAGGAGTTCGAGATCAACCTGGCCAACATGGTGAAACCCCACCTCCACTAAAAATACAAAAATTAGCTCTGTGTGGTGACACACACCTGTAATCCCAGCTACTCAGGAGGCTGAGGCAAGAGAATCGCTTGAACCTGGGAGGCAGAGGTTGCAGTGAGCCAAGATCGTGCCACTGCACTCCCGCCTGGGCAACTAAAGTGGCCTTTGGCCTTGAATAACACCAGTGGCAGTCACGCAGATTGGCCATGGCCCTTGGGTGAACCCCAATGTTGTGCTGGTCTTCAGGGCTTCAGATGCAACTCAGCATAGTTGCAACTGTGGTGGCTACAGGAGTGCCTGTGTCACCCACCTCCAACACTGGGCAGGCCAGTACAGAGAAAGACTCCTGACTGAAGGAAAGGGAAGGTAGAGAGCAAGAGACTCTGCCTGGTAACCTGGGGAATTCTCCCAATTATCTGCCCAAGTCCATCAAGACTGTGTATGTAGGAGTAAAGTCTTTCCAAAAGTTTCTCTGGCAAACTGCATCTGAGAGACTTCTGCGACTCCGGATCAGAATAGCAGTGAGCATGCTTTTGGATGCAAGTAACAGAAAATAACCAAGGGAGCTCCTTGGTGATGTAACTGAAAGTGCAGAGGTAGATCGGGCTTCGGGTGTCGATCCAGCGGCTCACCGCTGTCCTCAGGACCAGTTTCTGCCACTCTGCCCTGCCACATGCAGCACTGGCTCCACCGTCAGGCTGGCTCTGCTTCTGGGTGTAGGATGGTGGCCAGAAACCTGCAGGCCATATGCTGTATCATTTGGGGATGCTTCTGCTCAGCATTCCAAGCCAGAATTCCAAGGTTTATCCTGAAGAGGATCCTCCTTGACATCTCTTTTCTCTCACATTCAAGTCTGTTAGTCTTTTCTCTCACATTCAAGTCAGCTGCCACTAGCCTACTGCCAGCCACCAATGTCTCCCACCCGGCTTAGCGGCTCGCCTTCTAAACAGTCTCCCTCCTTCCACACCTGTTCCCCTTACAGCAGCCTGAGTCATACTTCAAAAATGTAAGCCAGATAACGATTGGAAGCGACAGACGCTGGGGAGCCCAATAGTGAGGAGGGTGGGGGGTGGTGAGGGTTGAAAAATTATCTATTGGGTACAATGTTCACTGGGTGACGGTTTCACTAGCTCAGATCACAATATTACACAATATATCCATGTAACAAACCTGCACAGGTACGCTCTGAATCTAAAAAAAAAAAAAAAAGTCAGTCAGAGCATGTTACTGCTCAAACCCTCCAGTGGCTCCCCATCTCACTCAGGAAAAGCCAATGAACTTGCAATGGACTCCAAGGGTATGATGTGGCTCCCTTGTAACCTTTCTGAATTTAGCTCAGCCACCCTCTCCCTCTCTCACTCCAATTCAACCATCCTGGCCTCTAAATTGTTCCTGGGAAACATACCAGGTGTGTTCACCTTCTGACTGGGGACTTTACACTAGTTGTCTCCTATGCATGAGACACTTTTCTAGAGAGCCACGCTGCTCACTTTTCAGTCACTTTTTCAGTGAGGCCTACTTAGAACACCCCATTTAAAATTGCAACCTGGCCCAGGGTGGTGGCTCACATCTGTAATCTCAGTACTTTGGGAGGCTGAGAAGGATCACTGGAGTCAGGAGTTCCAGACCAGCCTTGGCAACAAAGCAAGACCTCATCTTTACAAAAAGAAATTAAAAAATAAAACACTGTGACGCCTGCAGTTCCCCACACTCACATCTTCTATCTTGCTTATTTTTTCCCCATAGTACTGCTTACCTAGTATGTTTATGGATTTAACTCACTGTTTTTCCCGGCTAGAATGCAGGGATTTTTGTCTATTTGTTTTATTGACATTTCCCTGACCCTAGAACAGGGTCTAGCAGATACTCAAAAAGTTTTGTCAAATGAATGAATGAGACTGGCTCAGGACACCCACTCTATTTCTGTATGCTTAGGGAGGAAATGCCTAAATCCGAAATGCTGGGAGTGTTTCCAAAGTAAGACCAAGCTTGATGTCTCCAGAGCTTGGAATTTGGATTCTGCTCAAGAAAAAAAACTGGTAAGAATCAACAGATAATCCAGGAGGTTAATAGTACCTGTGGTGCTTAGTTAATGTGATCATTCTTGGATCACACAAGATACCACAGGTATCCAAGATACCAAGATATCATAGATACCTTGGATACCACAGGCCTACAAATCAAAATCTCCAGAGACAGGGGTCATAAGTCTGCTTTTCTTTCTTTTTTATAACCAGCAGCCCCCAGGTGATTCTTCTAGTCACTAAAACTGAAAATAGTCCTGGACTGTATGCAAAGCCTTGGCAGGAGTGACACAGACGTGCTGTGAGACATAACTGGAATATGACTAAGAGAACTGAGATATAATAAGTGGTATTAGCACATCAGAAGCGGCCAGGAGCTGTGGCTTGTGCCTGTAATCCCAGCACTTAGGGAGACAGGATTTCTTGAGCCCAGGAATTTGAGACCAGCCTGGGCAACATAGCGAGGCCCCATTCTCCACAAAAAGAAAAAAAAAGTTTGCACATCAGAAAAAAAGGATGTAGATATAGAAAAAGGAAGATCTTGGATTTAGGAAAAGGAAATCCAAAGACCAAAATTTGAGGAGTGGTTTTTTTTTTTTGAGATAAAGTTTCACTCTTGTTGCCCAGGCTGGAGTACAGCGGCACAATCTTGGCTCACTGCAACCTCTGCCTCCCGGGTTCAAGCAATTCTTTTGTCTCAGCCTCCCGAGTAGCTGGGATTAAAGGCGGCTGCCACCACTCCCGGCTAATTTTTTGTATTTTTAGTAGAGACAAGGTTTCATCACGTTGGCCAGGCTGGTCTCGAACTCCTGATCTCAAGCAATCCACACACCTTGGCCTTCCAAAGTGCTGGGATTCCAGGCGTGAGCCACCGCGCCCGGCCGGGGAGTGTTTTTCCACTCCTGTCTGAGGAAAAAAAAGACTTAGATCTAGAGATTACAAATAATTTGGTCACAAGTCAGGGTTATAAGGTAATTTGTCAAGCTCCACAATGTGAACTAGTCCTGAAAACCATCTGTATCAGTTTGCTAGGGCTGATGTAACAAAATACCATAAGCTGGGTGGTTTAAACAATTTATTGTCTCACAGTTCCAGAAGCCAAAAGTCTGAGATGAAGGTGGCAGCAGGACTGGTTCCTGGTAAGGCCTGTAAGGGAGAATCTGTCCCATAACACCTCTCCCCTAGATTCCAGTGCTTTGCTGCTGGGCTTTGACATTCCTTAGCTTATGGACACATCATCCCAGTCTTTGTCTTCATCTTCCCATGGTGTTCTCCCTCTGCATGTGTCTGTGTCCAGATTTTCCCTTTTTATAAAGATACCAGTCATATTGGACTAGGGGCCCACCCTCCTCCACTATGGCCTCATTTTAACTACAGTTGACCCTTGAACAACACAGGTTTGAACTACATGGGCTCCACTTATATAGAGATTTCTTTTTTTTTTTTTTTTTTTTTTGAGACAGAGTCTCGCTCTGTCACCCAGGCTGGAGTGCAATGGCTCTGTCTTGGCTCACTGCAACCTCTGCCTCCCAGGTTCAAGTGATTCTCCTTCCTCAACCTCCCAAGTAGCTGGGACTACAGGTGCGTGCCACCACACTCAGCTAATTTCTGTATTTTTAGTAGAGATGGAATTTCACTATGTTGGCCAGGCTGGTCTCGATCTCCTGACCTCGTGATCCACCCACCTCAGCCTCCCAAAGTGCTGGGATTACAGCCAGTGAGCCACTGGGCCTAGCCAGATTTTTTTTTCAATAAATACATTGGAAAATGTTTTGGAAATTTGTGACAAGTGTATGTATAAAATATATGTAGATAATAGTCTATTTTACCACTACCATAAAATATACACAAATATAAAAACCTAAAATGTATTAAAACTTACAAAAACACAGATTGTATGGGGAGCCATTCAAAGTTGAGAGAAATGTAAACAAATGTAAAGATGCAGTATTAAATCATAACTGCGTAAAATTAACTGTAGTAATATTGTACTACTGTAATAATTTCATAGCCACTTCCTGTTGTTATTGCGGTAAGCTCAAGTGTTGTGAGTATCCACTTAAAATGCCATGTGACGCTCATCATCTCCGCATGAGCAGTTCATCTCTCCAGTAAATTGCATATTGCAGTAAAAAGTGATCTCTGTCAGTTCTCACATATTTTTCAACGTGTTTAGTGCAATACTATAAACTTTGAATAACACCATGGGACCCATGCAAAGTGCCACTAGTGATGCTTGAAGTGCTCCCAAGAAGCAGAGAAAAGTTATGAGTTTACAACAAAAAGCTGAATTGCTTGATATGCACTATAGATTGAGGTCTGCAGTTGCTGTTGCTGCCAATTCAGACAGACAATTCATCTTGTAGACAGGTGATGCAAACTTACGGTATCAATAAATACAGTACAGTACTATAAATGTATTTTCCTTATGATTTTCTTGACACTTTCTAACTTACTTTATCGTAAGATCATTGTATGTAATACATAAAATATACAAAATATGTGTTAATCCACTGTTTCTGTTATTGGTAAGGCTTTGGGTTGACAGTAGGCTATTTGTAGCTAAGTTTTGGGGGAGTAGAAGTTATACATGCATTTTTAACTATGCAGGTTGGCATGTCTAATGCCCACATGGTTCAAGGGTCAGCTGTAATTATATCTGCTACAAGTCTATTTCCAAATAAGGTCACATTCTGAGGTACTAGGGGTTAGGACATTAACATATGAATTTGGAAGGGACACAATTCAACCCATAACACTAGACATTTCTCTTTCGTGATCTTGCGATCACCAAACAACTTTCTGGTTACTAGCATGATTCCCCAGGTACCCAGGATTTAGCCATGGGGGTCCTGGAGAACAATCATAGAGTTTTTTGGTCACCAGAGATAAATGTCTCCATCATGAACTGGAGTTCTGTTCGCTCATGAGTCTTCAGCAAGTCTGGCTAGATGAATCCGTCCCTGAGGGTCCGGTCATTCTGGTCACATTGATGACATGAGTTTTGGGGACTACAAAACTGTGATGACTCCCCCATTAGGGCATGTTTGCAGAATTGGTTGTCTCCTCTCTCTGATATTATTGGGTCATCTCTATAATAACTGCAGGAGGGAGTTCCACCTTAGAAGATTCAGAAAAACAGCTAGAGGAGCCAAGAAATATGCCTAAGTGCACATCTCTTACCAGCCCTGCTTCCCAGCCATCTCCACATCAAACCTAAGGGTCCAGGGCTGACATCCTCAAAAATGAAAGAAGTCATAGTGTGTGCCCTCATTAAAAAGGGATATAGGTGCCTGAGTTGTAGGCAGGGATTCCTAGACATTTCTCAACAGATAATCTATCCTTTCTCTGGCCTCATCTTTCCTGAATGACAGGTATTTTGAAAAGAGGTAAATTCCTGAGAGTTATTCCTACAGATCAGGGTAAATAAAGCTATCAACCCAGGAAAACACTCACCTGATTCTACTATGCTTTCTAGCAGGATAGCCCCCAGTATCCTTTGTATCTGGGAGCCTCTACCAAGGAGGAGGAAGATCTTGATTTCAACTTAAACAAATATTCTTGCTTGCCATATCCTTCTCTGGCTCCATCAAATATCTTTCAAGTCCCGTGTGCTTGCAGAGAAAACAGAGCTAACTAAGAACTTAAGTGGTGGTTCTTAGAAGCCTTAGACATTGTCATAAACTAGGAAAAGTGTTTTCTTAGATTAGCGTGGACATTTAATCAATCAATCTCCTTGTTTTATCCTTAGAAAAGGATATAATCAAATGGCCTTAAAATGGCTCAGTTATAGTCAGTTACATGTGTAACGTGAACTTCATAGGCAATTAGCACGGACTCTAAGCTTGAGAGCTTTAGGCCCAGGCCCAGTATCTGAAAAACTCAAACTATAACAGCCAAAGCTTGAGTGCAATGAGATTTCCAAGCCTAGTGGTTGACCCAGAAATTTAATCCAACAGAATTTTAATACAGCAGAAACTCTCTTAATGGAACACTACCTAAACAATTCAGTGCATTAACAGACACTCTTTATTCCTCTCTAACAGCCACTGATGCCAGTGTGTACTGAACACTACACTACTCTTTAACACAGTATTTTTCAAACTGCAGGTCTTCATACCAATTTACTAGATGAAATAAATTCATTGGGTCATGACCAGCATTTTTAAAATGAAACAGCACAGATCAGTTGAGTTGTACGTTTAGACTTAGTGATTTGTCTTGAAACTTCTTTACGCCTATTACATATAAGAATGAGATATGAGTACAAAAAAATCCACCATGAAACAAAAAAAAAAACAAATTATGAAAATGAAGTTGAATATTTTGAAAAGACTAAAGGCAGTTTACTAAAAAAAAAAAAAAAAAAAAAAAAGTAAAAATTGTTGTCAAATTAGTTATGGGCTAAAAAACTAAAAGATTAGGAAAAGAAAGTGTAAAGCCTAAAAGACTCCACACTCATATTGTTTGTTAAGTGTCTAAGCTCACTCTTCTCTATAGAAAAACAAAGGCTGGAAACCATAAACCCAGTGTATCACAGGCAGGGTTAATGCAAGAAAAACAATGAGTAATTTCAATCAGAGGATTCCAACACTGAGCCCAACATCTAATCATTGAGGAATGAATGTACAATTATACACTTTAAGTAAAAGTAAAAAGTTTAGGGTTTTTGTATTTTACAAATTTCAATGTTACCTGATAAAATGATTGATATATTTTTAAAATTTGGTCAGTTCTTAGACTATGATGGAATAGGATTTAAATGTTATAAACTCATTGCATTTCTCAATGATGGAAAGAATCATGAAGCATATCCTTAATGTAGCAGAGAAAGTAATCAGATAGACAGTATGTAAGACAACATGATTACGACAAAGTACAAAAAAAAACAATAGCCTCACGTCAGGAAATACTACCCACTTATAAGCTAAAGATTCATAATCAGCCCAGATAACTGGTTGTCTCTGAAGTTCTTTTCTGCTCCCTCCTCTTTGCTGTCTCCCTGCCCAACTAGAACTGGCTTCTCATTTTTGTCCCACTAGCTGCTGTAAGTCTGTCTACCTGGATCTACCGAAGCCCTTGAGACAATTTTCTACATATCACTGTTTGTATATGAGTGTTCATCAACTAGACCCTAAACTTCTGAAAGATAAGGACCAGGTCTTATTTCTCATTTCCAGCATCAGCACATGGCCTGGCACTTAGTAAATTTTTGTTGAATGAATGACTCTATGCACAGATAAATTGAAGTGTTGTCCTAATTTTCAGTAAAAGTGGAAGGTAACTCCAGTTGAGTGAATTATAACTTTGTAAGTTGTTGTGTGTGTTTTTTTTATGTTACAGTAATATAAACAGAAGATCACTGGTACATCCTAAAGCCTTGAAAGAAAAAAATAAAAATAATAGTAAATAAATAAAGAAAGAAATCACAGGAGGCCAGCACGGTGGCTCATGTCGGTAATCCCAGAGCTTTGGGAGGCCAAGGCAGGAGGATTGCTTGAGGCCAGGAGTTCAAGGCCACCCTGGGCAAGACCCCATCTCTACCAAAAATTTAAAATATTAGCTGGGCATGGTAATGCATGCCTGTAGTCCCAGCTACTTGGGAAGCTGGGGCAGGAGGATCGTTTGAGCCCAGAGGTTCAAGGCTTCAGTGAGCTATGATTGCACCACTGCATTCTAGCCTGCACAGAGCAAGTCCCTGTCTAAAAAAAATAAATAAATAAAATAAATCACTGAAAAGGTGAAAGTTCACTAAGCTAGTTGAAATAATCATTAAGATAATTTGCCTCACTTTGCCTTGGCTCTGAATTTAGTCCAAGACCCTTCTACAATGCTGATTCCCTGCCTGGAATCTTGACACTTCAAAGGAAGTCCCCTAGATAGGAAAGACAAATATTCTGGTCCCTGAAAAGGAAATATCTCTACACTTCAAACTGACAAATTGATTTTCTGGCACAAATCAGTAAAGGGTGGCTGCTCTGGGGAAAAAAAATGAAGGAAAACTTAGAGGAACGCAATTGTTTTGTTCTCATGATTTTTTTTTTCCTCCAAGGTCATCACATCTCTAAATATCCAAAATGTGATCATTTTGATTGGCTAAATTATATGGATAATAGAAGTACTTTTCCTGAGCAACTCAGAAACACATATTGACCATGGAAAAGCTGGAAAGGACTAAAAAGTATAAAACAGGAGGGGAAAAAAATCACTCATACTCCTCCTACACTAAGACATCAACTATAAAATCTGGCATGTTTACTTCCAGTTTTGTTTTGCAGTTTTCTTTACATAGTTGAGATTACTCTACATGATACATTTTTATGGTTCTAAACTAACAAAGTTGACTTCATATCTCAAGTTTTATTCTACTCATCCTGCCCTATGAAGAGTTTTTCTTTTCTATACCTTCAAATTTTCTAGAAAAATCTCTTTCTAGGTATCACTGAGGTTTTATTTATCATTCAATCAACAAAAATTTATTGAACACAAGTTGTGTGCAATGCACTAAGTTGGTGCCTTTAAGTGTGCATAGAAATAAAAGTGACTGTTGAAAGAACTTAAAATGTAGGTTGAAGAAACAAGCTATCTGTACACAAAGAAAACATACTGTCAAGCAATCCCGTTTTATGAGTTAGGATCCAAAGTAAAGGGGGCGGACAGGGGGAGATACTAAGGTCAGCTTAGGAGAAAGAAGGCTCTTGACTCTGACAGGTAAGACTAGATAAACTCCATGCTAATTATTTCATTTAATCAAATCTCCAGGCAACCTTGTGAGGTGGCTGTTATTATCATCATCCCCAATTTACAGCAGTGGAAACTGTGGTGTAGGGAGGTTAAGTAACTTGCCCCAAGTCACAGAGCTATTAATACTTGGTGGTGGAGCCAAAGTCCATCTCCAGAGTTGGGCTCTTAACACTGCCTTTCAGATGTCCAAAGGCCTAGAGGAGACTGGATAGTCACAGTAAGTGGAATCCGCCGATCAACTGTTACTAGAAACAAAAGTATGAGTTTTTAAAATTATTTTGAGACAGGATCTCACTCTGCTGCCCAGGCTGGAGTGCAAGGGGCACCATCTCACTGCAGCCTCGACCTCCAGAGCTCAAGGGATCCTCCCACTTCAGCTTCCAGAGTAGCTAGGACCACAGGCGCGCCCCACCACACTCAGCTAATTTTTAAATTATTTTTTGTGGAGACGGGGTTTCTCCATGTTGCCCAGGCTGGTCTCGAACTCCTGGGCTCAAGTGATCCACCCGCCTCAGCCTCCCAAAGCGCTGGGATTACAGGCATGAGCTAGTGCACCAGCTTCTGGTGCATTCTTTAAGATGCTCAGCACTTGTTCTGTTGGAAGACAGGGCTTCCCTGGGGGCCACCTGCCCCACTGAACTTCGACAAGCTGCCCCCTGCCTTTCAGATAGGCCTAACCCTTCACCCCACCACTCGCTAGAGGTTTGGGGAGAGGGCTTCCTGAACCGGGGACCTTCACCCTTCGCGGGTGCTGGCTCGCGTTCACACCCCTTCCACCCCGGAAGAAGTGAGCTCCCTCATCTTCCTCTGCAAGTTTCCAACTTGGAGCCCACAGAAATGAAGACCCCGTTTTCAGGCCCGGGGCTCCCTGGAGGCGGTGGTTGAGGAGTCTGATGAGTCACACTGAACCCCGCCTTCCAGGTCCGAGCTCAGAACTGGGACGCACTCTGGGCCTGTGCTGTCTACCGAAAGCGTGGCTTGGCCACGCTCCGAAGCCGCAAACCCACGTGTGAGAGGCTCCCGCCTCTCTCTCCCGCGGGGCCCGGGCTCTGCCGCTCCTCCGCCGTGGGGTCCCCTCGGACTTCCGCTCCTGGCCCCGGGTGCCTCCGGCTGCGCAGTAAGAAGCCGAGGTTCACGCTGCCCTTCGACGGGAGAAACTGCCGGCGGCCTCAGCCAGCGACTTCCCAGGGCCCAGCCCGGCCTCCTCCCCTCCCGCGCCCTCTCTCCTCCCGTACCCAGGCCTTCGCCTCCTCCCCGCTGCGTCCCAACCTCCCGCTCTCCCAACCCCTCGCCCCTCCTCCCGTCCCCTTTTCTTTCGCTTCCTCCTCCCTCTCTCTCCCTCATTTCCCCTTCCCTCTCCCGTCCTGCTTCTCTCCCTCTCTGCCCTCTTTCACTCTCCCTCTGTCTCTTCTCCTCCTCTCCCCGGCGACCCTCAGGGAAGGGGGTCAGCCGTAGAGGTGAAGGCCCCTCTCCTCCCCTTCCCCAGAGCTGGAAGCTGTGGAACTCGGACCCCCGCAGCTCTGCCCGCCGGTGTCCCGGCGCTTCTGGACCCAGGATCTGCAAAGCTGAGCAAGTGGCCTCTGCCCAGCCCGTGAAAGGCTCCCCCACGGGCTCCGAGGAGGGCCTTTCGGCTCGTGATCTTTTCACATGAGTGGCTCCTCCTCTAGGACAGGGAAATAAGAGGCAAGATTCCAACTCCTTAGAGAAAATGTTTGGACGCAGATGGTACTTGGGGCCCCGAGGCACAGTGGAGACTGGGAAAGATTGTAGGTGAAGGAGCAAAAGGCCCAGGTCAGCCCCAGCTCGCCTGTGTCCTGGACTCTTCAAGGGGATCTGACGTCGCTGTGTGCCTTCCAAGCCCTGGAGGTCCAATCTGAGTGCCTTCCCCTGGTGACCTTCCATGCTTCACTACAGAACAGCAATCAGTATTTTATTTTGCGGGGAGAGATTACAACCCGCCCAAATCGTAGAAATTTCCACCCAACATTGTGATTTGGCCCAAAAGCTAAATAATATGTTCAAGAAAAAATCCGTTGGAGGTACCAGCAGAGCAGCACATCTAGAAGAAAGAGTAGTTTAGATCTAGACATTGCCTCTGGCTAGCTTAGGGCCTTAAGCAAGAAAATGGAGTAATGATCCCTACAGTTCGTGTTGTTTTGAGGAGAAACTGAGATGATGCATGTGATAATGTAAACTATAAAATGCCATACAAATATAAGCTATTGTATCTTGAGATGTATGGCCAGCCAAAGAAGAAAAAGAATAGTTTAACCCTGACTTTCGACAAGACCACAGTGAAAAAACCATGTTTCCCAATGCTGTTTTAGCAATACCCTAGGGAAGATCCCAGGGGCCTGTGGGACTGCCACAAAATTCTTGCAAAATTGTCTTAACCAGGACACTTTAATTTCACCATCATTAAAAAAATAACTTGCCATTGAGTACATCTGGGAACAGGAGATGTCAGAAAATCAAAGATTGAATGTCAAAATAGTGAAATGGTAGATGAAGATTTAGGAAGCATTCGGTTAAACCAAATAAAACAAGTTATTTGCTGCTGTTTTACTCCAGAATTCCTCATAGCCTTTGGTATGCATATTGTGATTCAAAAGAGCCATCGGATCAGCATTTCAGGACTAACCCGCCAAGAAATTCATGTGAACACCAGCCTATCCTCACAGGCAGGCTGGATTAATCTCTTACTCTGTATTTCTACACTGTCTACCTGAGGCTCTGACACTGCGATTTCAGTTTCCTCATGGGTTGCCAAATGCTTGCAAAGAATTGACCCTCCTAGATTCATTCATCAAATTTTCATTGAGTGTTTTTGTGCCAGGAACAGGGCTATAGACACACAAGCAACATAAAACAAGTAATACTCCAGCCCTAGTGTCACTGGAGGAAATAAACACAAACAGTGACCATGACAATATAATTAGCTATTCACCATGAGCAGCTGGCAGTTGGCCTCACATAGGGGTCTGGTCTCAAACTCAAGTGCTTCCAGAAACCAGACACAAAGGTGTGGGGGCAGGGGCTGTGGAGAACTGGGGAAGGTAGGCCTGGTCTGAAGGGGGAGCCCCATGAAGCATGCACCCATCGTTGGCAGCCTGGCCAAGTTACCACATCGCCCACTTTTTCAAGAGAAGCCAGCAATCTGAATTCTTGTGTGAAATCACCTAATTTTTAAATGTTGTCACCTGATTCAAACTTTTAGGAGAGGACTATCAGGACTCATTCTGTGAGCTACCAGTTTATAACTTCTACCCTCCCTGTGTCACCAAAACTGATTCAAAAATATGACAAGAATCCAAAAAGACTGAGAAATACCCCTCTATAGTGGCTATCACTAAAGGAGGCATAAATGCCAAGTAAATAATTTCTAAGCTTCATAATTATCCAAAAATATTTATTATGGGTTTAATATGTGCTGACATATCTATGAATGGGTCTTACTGTTTCAATTATAGTAACATGTGACTAAGTCATCAGACTGCTGTACCCTAGGTTATCCATAAAAAACAAAAGCAAAAAACTTGGCTCCACCTGAGTAGCAAAACATTCTAAATTTTCCAAAGCAAATGAATAGAAATGGTGAGAAGAACCGATTAATACATGTTTGCTGAAGCTAAAATACTGTTTTATGATCCCATCCCTTTGGGTTCTCAGAAGACTTGAGTTTTAGGGAGGAAGCCTGGGGTGCACATATATTATATTTATATCATTGCCAATTCTGTCTTTAAATTGCTGACCAATACACTTTGCATTTGTTTTGGGCAAATGACATGTGCCCAAAATGAGTGACATGTCACTCAATTATAGTTTGGTTTTGGTTTTTAAGGGATTGAAGTAAAGTTGCTGAAGGCATGCCAGAGAAGGACCCAAATACTATCCAGGCAGCTTGACTAGCAACGTGGCTCAGATTATATCAAGGAGGAAAAAGTAGGTAATTGATTTGTTTGGTTAAGACTGAAAATTAAATTATTTTAATTTTCATGTTGTTGGGGGCAGGCGCTGAATTTTTTGGGAAAGGAAGGAGAGGGAAAAAAGCCCTAATACAGCCCTTACTCATGCAGGCTATGAAAAGTACTATTATCCTAGTTTCACAGACAGAGGGTGTAAAATACGTATGAGATTTACCCCCATCGTTGTCTCTCAGCAGATAACCTAGCCTGCTTCATTGAGAAAATTAACTTTAAATCCCACAGCTTTCTGGCTGTCACTGTAAACTCACCTGCATTATAGCCATTCTTCCTCTAGTCTTAGCATAAACGTGTCCTTCCTTCTAAGGTCATCCTCAGCAAGTCTTTCTCAGTGGTTCGCAGCCCCCAACTCTCTGATACCTTCACCTGGGGACATTTTTAGAAAACACTGATGATGCCTGGGTCCCACCCCCAGGGATCTGAATTGAATTGGGTGGGATTCCCAGGTGCTTCTAATGTGCTTCCCAGAGCCCTTCATTGCCTCTCCCCTTTGGAATCTCCAACTTCTCTTCTCTGGCTTCTCCCGACCAGCAAGTAAACATGCTTCCTACTATCCCATATTCATATCTCATCCTCTCCTACTCTTTCATGTCTAATCTCTTATAAAAGTAGTACCTTCCCTGCCCCAAACCACATCTCCTGTTCACCATCCAGCTTCTGCCCTCACCTTTCCACAGAAAAACTCCTATGATAAGGTCACCAATGTCTTCTCTTTGGCCAAAACCTCAACGATTAACTTTCAGAACTTTTCTGAATCATCTGACACTGCTTACCAAACCCTCCATTTCTGAAACATTCTCCCTTAGAGTCTGTGTGTCTTCTATTTCTCTGAGTTCCCTTTCTCAGTCTCCTTAGTCACCTCTTTCTCCTTCCTTGCTTTATTAAAAGTTTACATCTTGGTGACTATAGTTTTTCAAAATAGATAAGAATTCAAAAAGCATAAGCGTAAAGAAAAGACATAGGCTGGGCACAGTGGCTCACGCCTGTAATCCCAGCACTTTGGGAGGCCGAGGCAGGCGGATCACCTGAGGTTAGAAGTTCAAGACCAGCCTGGCCAACATGTGAAACCCTGTCTCTACTAAAAATACAAAGATTAGCTGGGCGTGGTGGTGAGGCCTGTAATCCCAGCTACTGGGGAGGCTGAGGCGGAAGAATCACTTGAACCTGGGAGGCAGAAGTTGCAGTGAGCTGAGATCGTGCCACTGCACTCCAGCCTGGGCAACGAGCAAAACTCCATCTCAGAAAAAAAAAAAAAAAAAAAAAAAAGGCTGGCATGTTGGCTCACACCTGTAATCCCAGCACTTTGGGAGGCCGAGGCAGGCGGATCACCTGAGGTTGGGGGTTTGAGAGCAGCCTGACCAATATGGAGAAACCCCGACTCTACTAAAAATACAAAATTAGCCAGGCGTGGTGGCACATGCCTGTAATCCCAGCTACTTGGGAGGCTGAGGCAGGAGAATTGCTTGAACCTGGGAGGCAGAGGTTGCAGTGAGCCGAGATCACGCCATTGCACTCCAGCCTGGGCAACAAGAGCAAAAAAAACTCCGTTTCAAAAAATAAATAAATAAATAAAGTGCTAGCAGAAAGAAAAGGGAAATATTTAAGGAGATGGACATCCCAAGTACATGGATTCAATCTTTACAAATTATATGAATGTAATAAATTATCACATGTAATAAGTTGTTTCACCTCGAAACAATATACATCTATTATGCATCAATAAAAAAGTGAATCCCTTGGAAACAACCTAATTATCCATCAGCTGATGAATGGATAAACAAATTGTGTTATATCTATATAATTGAGTATTCTTCAGCCATAAAAAGGAATGAAGTAAAAATATATGCTACAACATGGGTGAACCTTAAAAACATTATGCTAAATGAAAAATGTCAGACACAAAAGGCCACATGTTGTATCATTCCATATACATGAAATGTCCAGAAAAGGAAAATCCTTATAGACAGACAGCAGATTACTAATTGCTAGGGTCTGGGGGTGCAGAGAGGGTGTTTAACTAGTGCAGAGTTTTCTGTGGGGGTGATTAAAATGTTCACAGATTATACAGTGGTGATGATTGTACATCATTAGGAATGTGCTAAATGCCACTGAATTATATACTTTAAAATGATTAGAATGGTGAATTTTATAGTATATGGATTTTACCATAATAAAAAATGCACCTTGTTTTGTTGGGGAAAAAAAAAAACAACTAATGCTTGCTTTCTGTCTCTTCTTCCTGGATGAGGTCATCCATACCTACAGCTGCTGCTTCTTTTTTTTTTTTTTAGACAGTCTCATTCTGTCACCCAGGCTGGAGTGCAGTGGCGTGATCTCGGCTCACTGCAACTGCCTCCCAGGTTCAAGCGATTCTACAGCCTCGGCCTCCTGAGTAGCTGAGACTGCAGGCGTAAATCACCATGCCCGGCCATCTTTGTATTTGTAGTAGAGTCAGGGTTTCACCGTGTTGGCCAGACTGGTCTCAAACTTCCGACCTCAAGTGATCTGCCTGCCTTGGCCTCCCAAAGTGCTGGGATTACAGGTGCCCACAGCTTCTTTTTATCACATGGACACTAGGACTCAGATCTGTTTCTCAAGCCCATCCATCTGTCCTGAACTCTAGGTCATGGTCTTCAAAGACTAGACATCTCCAAAAGGGTATCCCACAGATCCCTCCAACTCTTCATGTGAATAGCAGAATGCATCAGCTGGACTCCAAATCCACTCTTCCTCCCCATTCCTATCTTTGTTTATGATATCTGTTACTTGTGTTAGAAACCCAGGAGTCATAAGCTCCTCTTCTTCTTACATCCCCCGCATCGGGTCAGCCATCAAGTTTGATCTAGGTAGTCCGTTATCTCCTCTTTGCTTCCACAAACTACTTTGGTTTAGTTCATCCCTCATCTGGACCATGCAGTCAGTAGTAACATCACTGGCCTCCTGCCTCCACTTACCTGCCTCCACCCCACAGAATCTTGCGTCGTTTAACAACCTCCATCCCTTCTTTCCCCAGCCACCTTGGCTTCCATCCTCTTGGACATCGGGAATCCTAATGTTTGTCAGTGGGAACAGACATGTCCCTTAGTGTTAGAAGCGCTTGCCACCAGTATCATTGTCTTATTTTGGAGAAAACCAAGAGCCTGGTTTTCTCCTATAGGCCCTTGTCCATTCTGTTCCTGTTCCCAGCCAGGTCACAGTGGATTTTTCCAAATAGAGAGAGGAGACCCCACGCAGCCATTGGCAGAGGTCAAGTGGCATTTCTCAGTGTCATCAGAGCCCTGTAGCTCCATGGATATCATTGTTCAGGAGGAAGTGAAATTGGGCATTCATGTTTTGAAGTGAATTTATTAAAAGAAAAATGTTAAACGAATAATAACCCATATGGTTTGTGGATAAAGCAAAACCTGAGGGTTGTTCAGGGAAACGTTTGTCAAATGAACAGCTCAAATCAGCTTCCAGGAGGGAGGGCACAGTGGGGATGAGGAAGGCAGAGGAGAGTGAGATGAAAGACGGAAAGGGACTCTGCTCCTGAGCCCGGAGGACCTTCCTTCACCTCAGTTCCCCTCCACACTCTTCCTTGAGGGCAGCTTTGGCTGCATTTTCACACCAATAATAAGAAAATCCCAGTCAGACACGGTGGCTCACACTGGTAATCCCAGCACTTTGGGAGGCTGAGGCAGGAGGATTGTGTGAGCCCAGGAGTTCAAGACCAGTCTGGGCAACATAGGGAGACTCTGTATGTGCAATTAAAAAAAAAAAAAAATTAGCCAGGTGTGGTCCCAGCTACTCAGGAGGCTGAGGTGGGGGGGATCGCTTGAGCCCAGGAAGTCGAGGCTGCGGTGAGCCATGGTCATACCACTGCACTCCAGTCTCAGTGACAGAGCAAGACTCTGTCTCAAAAAAAAAAAAAAAAGAAAGAAAGATAAAGAAAATCAAAGAAAATCCCAACATTCCCGGGAGGGAAAGAGTTTTCATGACACTCTCTCCTGCAATTAAGAGAGAGCAGGAATTGCCTTTGGATGCTTGACTCTTTGTGCACAGAGGAGAGGCCACAACTGTCACCCTGCAGCAACAAATTGCCAACTTAATTATCTATTAATGTCCTGCAAATTGTAAGTCATTTGATATTTTCTCCAAGAAAACATCTCCAAATTGTCAGCAGTCTCCCCTGCGTCCTAATTATTGTGTCACTAACTGTGTTGGTTCCATTTCTTTTTTCCACAAAATGGGTCCCTCAGCATTGGCTGATCATAGTTATCATTTTTTAATGGCCAAATGTGATGGATTTACAAAGAGTTTCCCCAAAGCTGCTGGCCGTTTGGGCCTCATGCATCAGTGCGAGACAAATGTGAATTGAGTAATTCCGTCACAGCCATTTGTCAACACCTCAGAGGAGAAAATGTCAGCAGCACATGATGGCGATCTAACTAGTTATGAATTTGAATTTGGCTGTTCTCCTTCCTCCTCAGGAGAAAGGATATATGATCTGAACAATCTATTACCTTTAAATGTCATAGTTTCCTAAACTAGATAAATATTCTACCATACTGCTTGGCCCACCAACCAAGGGTAGGATAACACCAAAGGAGCCAGAGATTTAGCCTGCAAGAATAATGATCACAAGCCTGGCATGGTGGCTCACGCCTGCAATCCCAGCACTTTGGGAGGCTGAGGTGGGCAGATCCCTTGAGGACAGGAGTCCGAGACTAGCCTGGCCACCATGGTGAAACCCCATCTCTACTAAAAATACAAAAATTAGCCAGGTGTGGTGGTGCATGCTTGTAATCCCAGCTACTTCGGAGGCTGAGGTAGGAGAATCACTTGAACCCGGGAGGCGGAGGTTGCAGTGAGGTGAGATCATGCCACTGGACTCAGCCTGGGCAACAGAGTGAGACTCCATCTCAATAATAATAATAATAATAATAATAATAACAAAAACAGTAATAGCTAACAGTTAACAAGTGCTTCCTATACGCTAGACCCTACAAAGTATCTACCGTTCCAAGTGCTTTGTGTATATTGACTCATTTAATCCTCCAAAAACTCTATGCGATTATCCCCATTTTACAGATGAGAAACAGGCACGGGGAGTTGTACTAAGATTGCAGAACCAAGCAGTCTGCCTCCAGAGTCCAGGCCCTTAAAACCAATCACCCGGAGCAGAAGCAGTTGTATCTTCATTATCATCAACACTTATTAGATACTTATGACAGGCATGTGACCTGCTTCACATGCACTTAATCCTCACAAGAACCCCATAAGGAAGGAGGATTGTCATTTCCCATTTTACAGACGAGAACACTTAGGCTGACATAGAATAACTTGCCCAAAGTCACATACCTCCTACGTGCCAGGGCAGGGACAATGGGCCTGTCAGACTCTTTACCACTGTGAGAGCTGTGCTGGTAAGGAAAGGATTCTGATCCTGGCAGAGCAGCAGATCCTAACTAAAGTCACTAGCATATCAGCAGGGAAGTCTGCAATGCACCGAGAGGCCCTCTGTGAAAGGGTGCATTATAGGGCTGGGGCAGCTGGGGCAGAAAATACACAGTGAGCCTGGAGCATTTGACAGAAAGTAAAGGAGTGCTCAAAACAAACACCAAACAGAGCAAAATGCAAAAAAGGAGGAAGTCATGTCAAAAAGGACACAGGAGCAAGCCCAAAAAGTGTGCAGAGTCATAAACAGAAACCAACTGAGCAATAAAAAAAACAGTACTGGATTCTAACCCAAAGAATAAAATAAATCTCCATAGTGCATACTGATATAAAGAAATGATTGAATGAATAAATGAGTAGAAGAGAGAAACTGTCCTTACAGGATTCCCAATGATAAAGGTAGAAGGCACGAGGGAAGTAGAAAATCACCATTTGAACACCACAGTAATAACTGCTGCAGCTAAGATTCACTGATGAATACTAAAATTAGTGGGTGAAACTTTAAGCAGAAATAGAATCTTTGTATAGCCTCAAAGTATCTACCCAAAAACATTAATAAGTCACTGTGGTGGTTTTAACGTATGTCCACAAATTCTTTGATACTCCTTCCTCTAGAAAAGGAGCTTAATTCCTTTCCCCTTGAGTATGGGCTGGACTTAGTGACTTACTTCTAACAAATGGAGTATTGAAAAAGAAAATTAGTAACTTCATAGAGGCAAAACCTGGCAGACACCTCCTTAACCAAGTGATCAAGCTTAACGTCACCTGTAATCTTTCAGGCTGATACCATGTACCCCCAATAGGATGTCATGAGAAAGGCACTTCCCCTAGTGATATTCTTCCCCAAAATTCATAAGAAAACGTTAGTCAATCTCAAACTGAAAGACATCCTACAGTATACCTGACCATAACTTTTAAAAGTGTCAAGGTCACGAAAAACAAAGAAAGCCTTTAAAACCATCACATATTGGTGAAGACTAAGGAGACAGGACAACTCAATACAATGTGAGACCCTGGATTGGATTCTAGGACAGAAAAAAAGGATGAGTGGGGAAATTGGTGAAATCTGAATGAAGTCTGTAGTTCAGCTGATAGTTCCGTATTAATGTTAATCTCTCAGTTTTGATAACTATACCATGGTTATGTAAGATATTACCTTTAGGTGAAGCTGAGTGAAGGGTATAAGGGAATGCTCTGGGATGTCTTTGTGGAGGGGAATGCGCAGAAGTTGAGAGACCAGAGGTGAGGTTCAGTGGCTCATGCCTCTAATCGCAACACTGTGAGAGGCTGTGGCGGGAGGATCACTTGAGCTCAGGAGTTCAAGAGCAGCCTGGGCAACAAAGTGAGACCCATCTGTACAAAAAAAAAAAAAAAAAAAATTAAAAAATTAGCCAGGCATGGTGGAGTGCACTTGTAGTCCCAGCTACTTGGAGCTGAGGTGGGAGGATCACTTGAGCCCTGGAGGCTGCAGTGAACTATGATCACATCACTGCACTCCAACCTGAGAGACAGAACGAGATCTTCTCTCAAAAGAAAGAAAAGTTTCAACAGCCTCCTACCTAAAGCACAGCCTCCTACCTAAGCCCCTGTGCTTTAGGTAGGAGGCTGTTGAAACTACCTTGCCTTTGTTGATTGCTTTGTAACTATGCAATGCTTCCTTTGTTCTCTCACTAGACTGGACTCACTCACCACAGTTCTATGATTTTTCTCTGTTAGTTTCTGAAGACCTGGAAGAGAATTAGAGAAAACAGGCAGCAGAGTTAGGAAGCGGCAGAGTAGGCAAGGAGACAGGTCCAGTTGATGGTATAAACTAACACATACCATGCTCGTGTGAGATATTTAGTAATAGGGGAAACTGGGCCAGGTGTGGTGGCTCACCCCTGTAATACCAGCACTTTGGGAGGCTGAGGCGGATGGATCACTTGAGATCAGGAGTTCAAGACCAGCCTGGCCAACGTGGCAAAAACCCTGTCTCTACTAAAAATACAAACAATTAGCCAGGTGTGGTGGCGGGTGCCTGTATTCCTATCTACTCAGGAGACTGAGGCAGGAGAATTGCTTGAACCCAGGAGGGGGAGGTTGCAGTGAGCCGAGATCACGCCACTGCATTCCAGCCTGGGCAACAGAGTGAGACTGTCTGAAAAACAATAATAATAATAGTGGAAGCTGGGGTGGGGTATATAGGAACTCTCTCTGTAATGTTCTCAGTTTTTCTGTAAAATTAAAACTATTCTAAAAAGTAAAGTCTATTTAACATAAAAAACAAAAAACATTCCTGTCTATGCTCCTAGGTAAACAGAGCACAGAGACTCAGTTTCAGCAGAGCGGCCCTGGTTTGGCTCCAAGGCACTTGCGAGGGTGCCCAGAGAGAGAATGTGACATGTGGCAGAAAGCAGAGCCACAGAGACGACAGAAGGGCCTGGGGAAGGGGACAGAAGGTCATAGGAAGACAGGAGAAGGAGGGGTGGGGAGGATGGCGGTGAGACAGCCCCGGTGCTTCGGGCCATTCCTTTTCCTAGTTGCCCTCCCCCCAGGAGCCCTCTACTCCAAACTCTACTCCCACCCTGCTGGGTTTCCTAGACTGCATGATTTTGCCAGGTACTCCCCTCCACTCCTCTCCACCCGGCCTCTGGCTTCCCTGGGGCTGGGCCAGTGGGAGGCCAGGGAGGGGAGTGGGCTGAGAGCACTTAGGCCCCTCCCCCACCAGTTTGCCTCCAGGGCCCCCTCTCTTGCAGGGGCGTTGCTCCTGTCAGGCAGCCCCTCCCTGGCTCTTCTCACTGGTGCCCTGGCTGGGAACTGGAGCTGTGCTTGCCCCTGCAGGCCTGGCCACGGTGATGGTTCCTGCGGTGAGGACTGCACTATGCCTTGTTTCTCTGATCTCTGCCCACATCTTAGTAAATCCTCCCATTATTAAACACTTCTCAGTTACTCAATTGAGTACGTCATCGGTTTCGCCCCGGGACTGCAATGGACAGAAAAAAAAGTGACTCACACATGGTGTTTCTTTAGTGTTCACCTTCCCCTTTAGAACAGAAACTCCACGAGGGCAGAGATTTTATATGCTTTGCTCATTGTCACTGCTGAGTCACTCCATAAATTTAACTTGTGAAATGAATGAGTGAATGCTCATTTGATCCGCAGTGTCTCATGTGGCAGTCACTCCTGCATGTGGCAGTCACTAGCACGAAATGTGGCTAGTGAGACCGAAACACTGAATTTTAAATGATAATCTACAGAGCTACCTGTGGCTAATGGCTACAGCCTCCTCTCTAAGGGGATCTCCTGCACTTAGGCAATTTCCTAGCTATTCAAGTCTATTCCGCCCCAATAGGGGTTAAGAAAGTTGCTCAAGGCTGAGGCAGGGAAAGTAACTAAATCACTTTAGCTGTTTCCCTCACCCTAGGGAACTGGGCTGCTGAGTTTTCTGGCTTGTCTCTGGGCAGGCAAGCTCGGGAATGTGTGCCTTGCTTTGGGATATTTGCATTTTAATTTCGCTGCAAACTTTGTTTCTTGGATAACTGTGCTTACCAGGCCCTTAAAAACTTGCAGCTTTATAAGAGCGCTGGCCCCAAGCCAGGGGAGTCTCCAGCTGCTGACTGATCCTGCCTGGAAAGTCAACTTGGAAGAGCCACAAATGTCCTAATCCTCTTCCAAACCGCCTAAGTAGGTTTATCCAGTGACCTGTAAAACCAAATTAGTAAAGGGACACTTTAATTCCAGCTCGTTAGAGAGCTTCTAAAATCGTTGAGAAAGCCAACACAGCAAATTCTGCGCTGGGGGGCTGAGAAATGCATCCCATTTTCAAAAGAAGATGTCCTTGCTTTCTCGTGGTTTCTCTCACCCACGCAGTTCAACACACAGAAAACCTTCTCTGTGGCTTTCACAGGGATCTCCAGGGAAGGTGGGAAGCCGTTCTTGAGAACGAGAAAAATACGGTGGCCCAGCAAGGTCAACTAATTTTCCCCAAGTTCTGCCACGTCCAGTCCCAGCTCTGGTCTCCTGACTCTGGCAGGGGGAACATTTGCACTGTTCTTGTTCCTTACCCCAGGAGCTGGCCTATTGCACAACCTCAGGAAACAGCCCCTATGCAATCCTGGCCCACAGAGCGGACATGTTCTGGTTTTTATTCAGCAGCTTTTTTATGAAGTGTGTTTTCCTTTCCCATCATGTCATCTGGAAGCAATTCCTCCCAACAGCTGGATTTGCTTTCACAATTGGTAAACACCGCGAATGGAAGGCCGGGGACGATGCGGAGCTCCCCGGAGGAGCCTTGTCCCCACCCGCTTGGCTCGCGTTCTGAAGCTTATCGCGGGTGCCTGCACAAGCCTCATCAAAATCGAGGGCGTCCTCCAGCAGGCGACCCACATTGCATTCCCCGCTTAAGAGGGTCAACGTGTTCTTCGGGGGAGAAATTTTCTGAATGCTTTGCAGATAAAATTGATCAGATGCAGGCCAGATTGCCAGCTGCCGGGGCCGCGTGCGCCTGTGGAGGCCCCACCAGCGCGGGGCACCAGCGCCTCGGGGTCCGGGGGAGGCCTCTCTCTGCACCGCCGCCACCAAAGCCAGTAAGAGAGGGCAAAACCCCAAAGAGCACTGACTGGGCCGTCAAGGAAGATGAATGTCTCCCCAAAAGTGCTCCTCGGGGACAAGTTTCCACGCAGATGCAACCGGGAACGCCGGCCAGGCTCCGGAAGGCGAGGCCCCAGAGCGCAGCGGCCTCCAAGCGCGGGCTCAGCCTGTCGCCTCCGCAGCCAGGGCCCAGGAGGCCGCTCTTCCGGGGTCACCAACACGGCTCGTTCTGAGCCTAGAGGCCCAGGGCACAGTGTGAGCCGGAATACGGTGTAGGGGACACAGCTCAGGCCCCAGGCACTCCCTCCTGTCGCAGAAGAAATGCTGTTCTTTGATCAATGTTTCTAATGTGGGGAAACCAGCCGAGCACGTGGCTGAACTCTCGGAGGGAGCACGGGGTGCTGGTGAGCCCCCGCTCTGATGCACAGAGACGCTGCTGGCCAGGCTGGGGTGGGTTGCAAAGGCTTCCTTCCATGCACCACCAACCCTGTGGGCAGCCAGGGCCTAGCTCTCATGAAGGGGCCTTCCCAGGGCAAAGTGGGCCTCTGACTGCAACGTTCTCTGGGCAGAGATAGGCATCCTTCCCACTGCACAAACAAAAGGAGACCGTCAAGGGGAGAGGCTCACCAGAGGACCCTGGTGAGGGCGACGCCCAACTCCTCAGCACAAGGCTGTGCTTCTTCCATGGAGCCCGTTTGCCTGGGCCCAGCGCGTGCGGAGTGCGTTCCTTCTCGCTCCCTCTGTCCTGTGGGCCCTCCTCTCTCTCCCTCCAGCCTGGTGGAAGCTTTATTCTCGTCGGGGGCCAGAGGACAGAAACTACATCATACATTTTCCCGTGCGTCATGTTATCTTGCCTGGAATTTTGAAAATCTGTGAGTTTCTGGTTTTTCCATGGCAAGGCTCATTCCTCCAGACCTTAGTCACTCTGCTCTGGCTGCCTGGACTGCTAGAGAGGGGCCTCAGGGCGCACCTGGAGAAATTCACTGGGGCCCAGGTCAGAGGGATGGGTGGGTGAGAGCAACCCCTTCCTTAATAGTTCAAAATGGCCCTCTGGCTTAAAGAGACCGAAGCCACGTAACAACCAAATGCAATGTGTGGGCCGTGTTTGGATCCTGATTCAAACAAACCAACTGGAAGAGGAGATTTGGGGATAATCAGGAAGATTTGAATTGGGACTGCGTAGCAGAAAATAGCAAAGAATTATTGTTAATTTTGATATGTGCGATAATGGTGTGGTAGTTATAGAAGAAAACATGCTTATCTTTTAAATGGTGTATATTAAAGTATTTAAGGGTGAAATATAATGTCTGGAGTTTGTTTTTAAATACAAAGAAAAAAACAAAAGATGAACCAAACATGCTAAGGTGTTAATGGTTAAATCTAGATGATGGCTGGATGGGATTCTTTTATACTATTCTCTCCACTTTTTTTTTTTTTTGGGGGGGACAGAGTTTCACTCTGTCACCCAGGCTGGAGTGCAGTGGTGCAATCTCAGCTCACTGCAACCTCCGCCTCCTGTGTTCAAGCGATTCTCCTGCCTCATGCTCCCGAGTAGCTGGGACTACAGGCGCCCGCCACCACGCCTGGCTAATTTTTGTATTTTTAGTAGAGACAGGGTTTCACCATGTTGGCCAGGCTGGTCTTGAACTCCTGACCTCAGGTGATCCACCCATCTCTGCCTCCCAAAGTGCTGGGATTACAGGTGTGAGTCACTGCACCCAGCCTATTCCCTCCACTTTCATGCACGTTGAACATTTTTTTATAATAAAGAGTTTAAAATATAGGCTCCTCTGGGTGCATTGCCTATGGGGTAGCCCGGCTGTGCAAGGAGTAGTAAATAAATAAATAAAATATGGACAATTTTATCACAAAAACTCACAGAGGAGAACCAAATACACACCTATGCACCTGTTTATGCACGTGTAAATTTACACATTGATTACTCGATTCTGTATTTTGGTCCTTAATCCTCCCAGGTGTCAGCTCTCAGGTATAGCAGGAAAGTGACAAGCAAGGGCAGTCAACAATGACTCCTGGAAGCTTAAACATTTTTTGTTAATATCTACTTATTTATCTATGTATGTATGTATTTTTTTTTTTTACCCTACTTGTCAGCTAATCCTACAAACTTTGACCAGGGGTTGCAGTTCCACCCTGAGCCCCCTCTGCCTGGCAAGAAATGGGAAGGGAGCTTCTCACAGAATCCCAGATCTCAGCAGCTGTTAGGGCTGTGGCTTCCTCCTGCACAGGCTGCATTGCTGCAGGAGCGGTTCAGGGGCCTGTGTGAAGGAAAGTAGGACACAGACCATATGCCACGGAGTCAGGACTCAGTAAAGTTCCTGTTATCACAGCTTTGGATTGCTCCTGCTGCCCTCACCCCTCACATTTCTACACTGTCCCATCAGTGTGCCGTTGTCATCCTGCCCTGACTTTTTCAGGACTTGAATACAGGAATAATCCTATGCCAGTCCCCTTGCTAAACACCAGGTACAGAGAAGGGCAGGATAAAGACTGTCCATCAGGGGCAATGGAGAGGCCTCCTGTTAGAAGAGTTAAAGCAGGGCCTGGCCCTGGCACCAACTTTCATCTCCCCATTCTAGGTTGGTCTGTGACCTTTAGGCTTATCCTGATCCTAGGAAGGATGAGCTTCTTTGCAGTTTTCTTATCTCCTCTTTCTGGCCGGTAACATAGGCTTTTTTTTTTTTTTTTTTTTTTTTAGAAAACGCCTTTTCCCCCCCTGCATTGAAATATGCCAGCTATTCTATTTTCCTTTATGTCCATGAGTAACAGGTAAGTTCCTGATGGACTGGGCCATGTCTTGGCCCTTTCTTGGTACTGACCACAGCACCCAGCCCTCCGGCATGGAAAGGAAGGCCTCACGCATAGAGGTAAAGAATGCTGTTGCTGAGAATCTAATGGAGTGATTGCCAATATGTCATAAGAAAAGACTGCTCTTTCATAAATGAAAAACCATTTTTAAAAATCCTAATTATACTTTATCTGTTTGGCTCAATATTTAATATCCTTACAGTATTTTAAATGGGCTGTCTAATTTTGCTCTTTTTCCTTCCTAATGATTTCTATCTTCGTCTCAATTGTAAGAAGTTAACAAGAACTACAAGTCTTGCCAATAGCATCCACACTTTCAGTTTTAAAATTTCTGCTCGTTTTTTGGTGAGCAATAAGGCTATTGACACCACAGAACAGACAGAGGGCTGACACTGCAGAAACTGAGCATAGTCCCACTGGTGTGCCGTCACGAGACAACTGAGAAGTTTTGCTTGTCCATGGGCACTCGAAAGTCCAAATTCAACCTGCAGAAGGTGATTGAAGAGGGGTAAAGTACAAAGTTTGAAAGTGTGGGTTGTTCATAAGCCAAATATATAGAAGTTGAAAATGTTGTCCAGCCCCACACAGAATGTAAGTACCTTGCAGGCAGGAACATTGTCCATTCTGTACATTGCTGTATCCCAGTGTCTAGAACAGGGGCTGGCTCACAGTAGATGCTCAATACTTACTGAAAGCATCAACTGCCTATGCTTTGGAGTTTTTGTAGACACTTGTCCCATTCTACCTTGTATTACCATTACTGTATTTTATTTCAAGACCAAAAGTTTCTGAAACCAGAAATAAGTCTTCCCTCCTATTACAAGTATCTCATTCATAACTAGGATTCAATAACTCTGTAGTAAATTATCTAATTTAGCCAATGATTAAATAATTTAGAAACAAAGTCCTAAATAGGTCATGAGGAAAGTGATGGCCCATGCGATAGAAATGGACAATTGCCGGAGCCCCTAGAAGGCCTAAAGTAACTGTGTGGCAGGCAAGTAAATTTCCTGCCCCAGAAATCTGGCAAAAGAATTCACTTGAGGATTTAAGTCTCAGAAATAAAGACCCAAGGTAGGAGGCAGAGAAGGGGAGGTCTTTTTCAGGGCCTATAGATTAAGGGTATTTAGATACCAGTTAAGAAAGGGACCAGATGCCAGCCAGGTTTGTGCTTCAGTTTAACCATGTTCCTTGCAAAACTTGCTTATGGGAAGATCAGAAGCTCTGACGATCATTACTGAAGAGGATTCAGAGAAATTATCGCCTACTCCCGGTTGAAGAGAGAACAAGTCGTGGTCTTTTTTTTGGTGTCAACCTCTATTGAAATGTGCTGTTGTCAAATCAAAAAGGGGACAGATTCGGAATTTTACAACTCTGATAAAAGTGAAATAAAAGGAAATCTGTATCATCTTAATCAAAGCATGTGCCACCTGAGTCGGCTCCCCGTCTCGTCCCTTGGCCTTGGTGACTCTCGTGTGCTGGAGGTTAAGGGTTTGTTAAAGAAGATGGGTTTTGATTAAGTGTCACATTTAGTGTGATGTGACATGCTCTTTATCATTGCAAGGGAAGATTGGGGGCCAAGGGGAGCTTTATAGCTAGTTCCCAATATAAATTAGGAGTCTTGGGGAATGGGTGCTTTGCAGTTGGCCTTGATCTTTCAAGGGCCCAATGAATGTGTGTATGTGAGAGTGTGCACGCATGTATGTGTGTGTGTGTTTGGAGAGATAGCAGAAAAGTCAGTTTCCAGGTTCCTGCGCTAATGGGCTGGTTACCCCCTCTTGGAGTTTGACTTGCAATTGTAACACAAGACTCCAGTTCTAAATTTGTCCACATTCTTGATGTACCAGGCAAAGGTCTTCGTACTTTTTACTCCTTTGGAATTTCAGTGTTGCCACTGCACAAATTTGAAGATAGAGAAGCAAGAGGAAGCATTCCGAGTGCTGAATGCCATTTCTAACCAGAGGCCATGGATGATGCCTACCCTGACTTTACCCAGAGAATGAAAACGTACAAATTCCCTTCAAATCTAAGGTGCACAGCACACCTGCAGACCCTGATTCTGGCTTAACTTGGAGCAGGGAGAGCACAGAGAAAGAGGTCACAGGAAACACCCAGAGTGAGCTGGAGTTCTCACGAGGAAGGGGAGGAGGGGATGAGGATTGAGGAATACATCCCAGAAGGACACTTCCACCCAATGGATTCCCCACCTCCAACTTAATCTTCTCCAAATATCACTCGCATGGAGTCTCTTCCCTGCTCGAAATCTTTCAATAGCCCTCCTCTTCCCTCCCATTGCCTACAAATGAAAATCCACACTCTCCATCCTGGTATTCGATGCCTACATCCTGAGCACCACCAAATGAATCTTCTGTTCACTGCCCACAGAGTGACTTACTTGTTCCTGTCTTCAAGCACCCACTCATGTTGCTCCCCTACCTGAAACGCCTTCCCCCTTTCCCTCTCCCATGGAAAGGCCACCCATCTTCCTTAAGATGGAGTCACAGCCCGCTGAGATCACTCCTTTTATTTATTCCAGAAATATGAATTGAGAGCCTACTAAGTGCCCAGAACTGCTCTGGGCACCTGGGATAGGACAGAGGACAAAACAGATAAAGCTGCCTGCCTTTGGGGAGCTTGCAGTATTGCAGAAGGAGGGACTCTGATACTAAATGCTAAACGCAGTACATCAGCAGGATGACTTAGTAGCTGAGGTTGCTATGGAAAAAAGAACAAAACAGAGGAGGGAAAGGGAGACCAGGAGCTTGGGCATTGGGGGCAGAGGCCGGTTGCAGTATTAATAAACATGGACGGGCCCATCTCACTGAGGTGGAAGACTCTAGGGAGGTGAGAAGCCAGCTGAGCAGATGCCTGGGGGAGGAGAGTTCTGGGCAGAGGGAACACCTAGAGTAAGGATGTCCTCTGTCCACACAGAGTTGCCCTGTCCTTAAGAGGGATGGAGCACCCCTCCTTCTCTCCCTCCTCCTCACTTTTCTGCAGGCAGCAGGTCTCTGCAAAAGATGCCTGTGGACAAAGAAGATATAAGAAGATCCATAAGGTTGACACTGAAGGGAAAGGCCTCCAATGTTTGTTGTGGCATTAAGGCAGAGAAATTAGAAGAGTAATGGAGAAGTGCTTAGGTTTTTATTGCTGTGTTCAAAGGTAAGTTTTTTAAACATCAAATTTATAATAGTATTACCTGGCTATTGCCTCTTGATGCGGGAAAAAATGCCAACTACACTTGGGAAATAGACAACACCCCTCTGCTCCTTGAAACAGCTCCTCCTGGCTCAGTTCCTCCCTCCTGCTGACTCACCCATTGCCGTGCGGCTTGTCTTCCGCCCTCATCACTGAGACTTCATCAAAGCTTTCTAATATCCATCTCCCTGGACAGGGTGATGGTCATTACGTGCAGGTCATCTTGCCTTAATGTGGAGTATGGAGCTGAGTCTCTGCTCTTTCACTTCCTCCCTGTGTGACCTTGGGTGAGTTACTCAGCCAGTTTGGGCCTTGATTCACCTATCCATAAAATGGGGTTTATCTTAACATCCTTCTGTGGCTCACTCCATGCAAAGCACTGGGCGTAGGGCCTGGCCCACCGTCAACCGCAAAGAGCGATTGGGTTGTCACTCTGACTCTGACTCCAGGGTTTCAGGCCTCCTGTTGCAGCCGTCTTCCTCTTTTTTTTTTTTTTTTGAGACAGAGTCTTGCTCTGTCACCCAGGCTGGAGTGCAGTGGCGCAATCTCGGCTCACTGCAACCTCCACCTCCCGGGTTCAAGCGATTCTCCTGCCTCACCCTCCTAAGTAGCTGGGACTACAAGCGCCTGCCACCACACCCGGGTAATTTTTTGTATTTTAGTAGAGACGGGGTTTCACCATGTTGGCCAGGCTGGTCTCGAACTCCTGACCTCGTGATCCGCCCGCTTCGGCCTCCCAAAGTGGCAGGATTACAGGCGTGAGCCACTGTGCCTTCTTCTCTTGCTGCTTGTGCTTGCAGTCCCTGCTCCCTCCCACGTTTCTGCCCATCCCATAAGCAGCAGCGAGGTTTCCCAGAACTCTGGCTTCTCTCCCTGCCCACACTTCCTACCTGGCCTCTTCACAGCCACAGCCAGGGCTTCAACCACCCCCATTTATACTAGTGGCCACCACCCCCATTTTCTCTATCCCAGCCCCTAGCCTAAGTTCCAGACTGGTGGATCCACTTCGTGCCGAGTAGCACTCAATCCAAGTCTGTCTAGGCTGATTTCATCTCTACCTCACCCTCGCCTCCTCTTCCTAATCCCTGTATATCATTACCCCCGCTCCCTCCCAGCCTGTCTTTCATTCTTTTAATCATCAACACTCTGGAATGTCTGTAAAGTTAAACAAAGATCCCTGGGATGTGGTCCCTACCCTCAGGGATCTCCCAGGGCAACAGACAGAGGCAGTAATTACAATTCAAAGAAGAAGGTGGCTTGACAAAAGGAAACATAGGCCTTAGGTGAGTGGTAGCAGAGGGGCCTACCTGGCCTAGGGGTTCAGGGGACTTCTCTAAGAGGGCTTGAGGAACCCAGGCAAGAAGTCAACAGGAATGGCCTTGAATACATTCTTATTTTGGAGGTTGCTTATTGCCTCAGGAAAGAAATAAGGACAGGTGGATTGCAGATCTCTCTGGGCCCCAGGCACTCTTACTTGTGGAGACCACGCCCCACCATAGAATAGGCATTAAATTGCATGCCTGTCCCACATCAAGCATAGTTATTCTGTATTGCTGTTTCTGAGAGATCTCTGATAACTTTGCTTTTTAAAGTTATCTGACTACAACGCCCCTAACCCCTGCTAATTTAATATATATTGGCTATGCCTTCTCTCAAGGCCATGAATAGTCAGAAACTCTTGTATAGGAGAAAAACCTAACCTACAAATTGCTGTCAAATGTACTGAAATTTCTATGAAATCAAAAGTTAACAAGGGAGCTGACATAATTTACATTTTGGAGCCATTGAAATATTTGTTAATTTTAATTTTGCACTTTTCTTCTTGTATTTTGGAGCTACCACACCCCCACACCACCCCTTGCTTCCGGGTTTCAAGTCTTTTAGTAGGACCTTGGCAAGTTTGTAGTCCTGGTGATGAGCTTAGGGAGGTTACTGGGTAACTGGGCCATCAGAACCAAGCCTGTGTCCACCAGGATGGAGAGGACAGGCAGGACAGTTGGTATTAAAGAGACATTTAGGAGAGAGACATTTAGGATAAGACTTAGTGAAAGATCAGAGTTGTGCAGAGAGGACTTCGAGTGACTCAGAGTCTGAGTGGCTGGTGGGCCCATTCCCCAAAGACACAATGAAGGAGAAACAAATGGAGGGAAGAGAAATGGTTAATTTGGGGTGGGGCACATTAACTCCAAGACAGGCAATCAGTTTGCCTGAAGGACCCCCAAATGGAGACATCCAGGGGACTTTAGATGGATGGGTCTGGGGATGAGCAGATGCTCTTGGCTTAGGAAGGGCCAGCCCCTGCACTTTGTCCTCTCAACATCCCTTTGGGGTAGGTGCTGCTACCATCTCCACATTATCTCCAGATGAGACTGAGCTGCAGGGAGGTGAAGGAACTCGCCCAAGGCTACACGCAGATGTAGGTGGGGGCACTCTGCCCATACTCTGAGCCACTCAATCTGGGAGATGGGAGGAAGTAGGAGGTGCCCGAAGTCTTGGGAATACAAGTAAAGGTTAAAGTGTACAGAGACAAGAGATGATTCTGAGGGAACACTCACTATTTTAAGAGAGTCTGTGGAGGAGCAGCAACTAGAGAAGGAAGGGGAGACCTGGACAGGGTTGGGTCCTGGATGCCTCTGGGATGCCGGAAGGAGGGTGGCAGAGCCATCATTGTGAGGGGCTGCCACAATGGCACTGGAGGTCCATTTGGCAAATTGAAGCTAAATTAGCAGGGCTCCAACTGAGGTTTGTGGGAGTATTCAAAGGCACCCAAGTAGAGCAGGGATGAGGATGAGAGCTGAAAACTCACCAGCATCCCTCTCCCCAAGCCGGGTACCACTCCCCACCAAGTCCCGTATGAGCCAGAACACAGCAATGGGGTGCAGGTTGGGGGGTAGGCAAACGATAGATGTAGAAGAAGTGTATCAAAGACTTGCCTTTCAAGTTCTTTGGCTGGAAGGAAAGGAGAGTGAAGGTGATGTCTAGAGAAGGAAGCAGAGTTGAACATTTCTCCCTGAACCGAAAGAACCAGCAGACAGGGGAGGATGAACGAATGAACTAGGCACTGCGGTTACCTAGTGACCCAGCAGAAGACTTTCCAACTGAGTCTTCCTTACAAACCACAGAATGTAGAGCTCCATCCTGAACTCCCTACACCTTGCTTCAGTAGGGCCTTCAGGGTTGACAGTTTTTAGTCAGCCCTGCAGAAAGGAGACAGATAATCAGTTTGCTCCTAAATATCACTGGCTCCATTCATCCTGGAATGGCGATATCAGGCACCAAAGCACAGACTGCTGGGACGTGGGGGACCTGGGAGAACCATAGGCAGCACCTTCTGAAACAGAAGAGTCACACACAAGGATGACTCTGAACATTCCCTCTTTCAACAAAGCAATACGGGCTCATTAAATAACATTTGGAAAACACAGGAAAGTTAATTAAAGAAAATATCCCACTCATAGTCCTGTTATCCAAACACTAGTATTACTCATTTTTTAAGATCTTCTGGGGATTTTCTCTGTGTAGGGTTTTTTTTTTTTTTTTAATCTTAGCTGTAGTCATGTCTACAATTTCATATCCTGCTTTTCCTACTTACTATATTGTGTTTTCTTCTGTCATTACTCACTTTAGTTTATTGTAATGAGTGCATAAAATATCATCATGTGAATTTGTCAAAGTTTATTTAACCATTGCCCTAGAGTTGGACATTTAGATTACTTTCAGTGTTTTGATGTTGTCAATTTTTGTTACTATAAATGATATTGCAATGCGTATGTGCACATAAACCATTTTTTGGCATTTAGGGTTATTTCTTTAAGACAGAGTCTCAGAAGTGAAGTTATCGAATTAACAAGTATGAACGCTTCTCAAGAGTTTTACATTCATACTGCCAAATTCCTCCCCAAAGGGCACTATATTAATGTATACTGTGATTAGCAATATGTAAAAATGTTAGCTTTGTGATGGCTTAAACCACACTGGCTAGTATTACTAAAAAAAAATTGTTTTTGCTAATTTAATAGGTAAAAAGTGAGCTTGATTTTTTAATGTAAACTTTGTAGTGAAGTTTATCATGCGTTCAGAAAAGTACACAAATCACGAGTGAATTTTTACAAAGTGAACACCCCTGAGTAATCAGCACCCAGATTAAGAAACAGAACCTTACCCCTAGAGGCCACTATTGTGGCCCCGTTCCCCCTCCTCCACTCCACCCAAGGGTCATCGTTGTTCTGACTTCTCCCACCAGGGGCTAGTTTTGGAAAGTGGCGTTGCTCTAATTTTCATTTCCTGGATTACTAGTGGATCTAACCGCTTGCCACATCTTAGTTGATGAGCTGTAGTTTCTCTTTTGTAAATTGTCTTTTTAAGTTCTTTGTCTCAGAAACTGTTGATTCTTAAGCTATTTCCCAATGTCGAGTTTGGCTAAAGGCGGAGTGTAGTCATCATGACATTGTTTGAAACTGGAGAAACATGTCGTATGTGTGTCTATGTGTGTACGTTTTTTGCTCTCATGATCTTATCCTGACAATGTAGTAGTCCCCCCATCCAAAGTTCCACTTTCCATAGTTTCAGTTACCCATGATCAGCCTTGGTCTGAAAATATTAAATGGAAACACCAGAAATAAACAATTCCTAAGTTTTCAGTTGTATACTGTTCTGGGTGGCATGATTAAATCCCATACTGCCCCACTCTGTCCTGCCAGGACGTGACTCACCCCTTTGTCCAGCATCTTGGTGCCATAGACGCTCCCTGCCCGTGGTTGCTCCGTAGCCCTCTTGGCAGTATCACTATGCCTGTGTTCCAGTAACTCTTACTTCACTTAATTGTTCTATCTTGTTATTAGTTATTGTTGCTAATCTCTTACTGTGTCTAATTTATTAATTAAGCTTTATCATAAGTATGTATATACAGGAAAAAACGTAGCCTATGTAGGGTTCAGTACTATCTGTAGTTTCAGACAAACACTGAGAGTCTTGGGGTGAATTCCCTCCATGAGGGGGGACAGGTGTACTCCTCTTATTTATGCTTCTCCATTGCAAAGCAAGATGGCATCTCTCTAGGCAACACCTGGAAGCCAGGGTAACTTTTTGGTGACAAAGCTGAGCCTAAATAGTCTCTGCTGTACTTCCAGTGTCTGTGAGAATTACAGAAATAGGTCACTGAACCTTTTTAAAAATAGAACTGACACATTTGGGGAAAGCATTTTTTCTGCTGAGATAGCACACAGTACAAGATGAAATGATCCCTAGAGGGTAGATGAATTTAGACATTTGGTATTAAAAATAAATAAATAGTCTTAATGACTCACAGGGAACATAGCACCTTTCATAAGAAAGGTCTCTAAACATTGTTACCTGAACAGACCACAATAAATTTCTAATATACAAGGTACAAGCCATTGCCAGCCCCTGCCCACCTACACCTGGCAACAGCTTTTGATGGGAAGAGAAGGGCCACATTGGCTGTGGGCAGTTCCCTCAGCAATGCCAGATGTCCTGTCTCCCTGGGTTTGCTTGATCCCCTCTTAATTTCCTACACAGCCCACCAGCTCACCCTTGGACAGGCATATGGCTGCATAAGAGGCAAGAAGGGGTAGGGTTACCACACTGCCTGCGAGCATCTCCACTCCAGCTCTTCCAAGGCCTTGACCGCTTTGTGTTAGGGCAGCCCCAGAATCCTTTACCCAACGCTCCCCATGAGCTGTCTGGGACCCCAGATCTGCCTGTGCGGGGCCCTTTTCCACTTCCTCCTGAGCCATCTTCAGAAAGCTCCCTCTGGCTATTGCCCAGCCCCTCTTCACACCCCCTGCTGCCTTCAGGAGCCTCATGAATCCACAGTGGACCTCAGGTCTTCTTAAGAGATTCCTAAGGAACTCCCTCCCCTTCCATGCTGGGCTCTGCTACTGAGAAGAGCAAGGTCTGCCGGCTGGAAGGCAGGACCTCGGGGTACTGCGGGGAAGATGCTTTGATTTAGTCCAAGAATGGCAGGAGAATACCAAGAGGGATTGGCTGTCCCAGAAGTGGGGCGTGAATGGAAGCAAGGGGTGAAGTAGAGCAGGGGCAGGGCCACTCGCCTTTTAGGAAGCGTGGGCAGCAGGGAGAAAGGTATAGGGCTGTCACTACCCAGGTATCAGAGCAGTGGCTCTGGGAATGTGGGAAATAGGAGGGGACAGAGGGACAGGTATAAGACATTCTTCAGAAGTAGAACCCACTGAAGATTTGGTGACATAGAGTTGGCACCAAGGGAAAGACGAGTCACAGATGCCATGCAGCACCTTCTAACAAGAACTCAGCTCCTTTCATGATACAAGTGTCCATTCCATAGGAGTGTACTGAGTGCTTACTTTGTGGCAGATACTGCTGTAGACTCTAGAAATGACATGTAGCTACTACCCAAAGGGAGTTTTAATTCTGTTGGGAGAAAGGCAGGCAATGCAGACAACAAAGTAAACAAATAAAAAAGATGATTTCCCATGGTGACAGATGCTCTTGGAAAATAATTTGGGCCGGGGGAATTGTGGGATCGGGAGGACTTTTCAGAGAAAATGACATTGGAGCTGGATAAAAAGAAGGGGCCAGTCCAGGAGAAGCCAGGGCAACAATATTCTAGGTAAATAAAAGAGCCTCTGCAAAATGCCCCAAGGTAGCATCAACCTTAGCACACTTGAGGAGCAGAAAGAGGACCACTGTGGCATGACAAAAAGAATTTTGCAAGACTAAATTGTTTTCTGACCTCCTGCAGAGCTGCCGTTGAAGCCTTACTAACTTAGAGTTTCACCTCTGGTTTCTAGACACTACAAGCCCTTCCCGTTTCTCTTTTCTCTTTCTCTCCAGACCAGCTACAGCAAGGAGGGAGATCAGTAGCCTTAAGACCCCATGTAGGACTTAAGAAAGGACTGGAACCAGTTCAGTCCTCCCAGAAGCCAAATGGGGAGGGGGTCCTGAGGCCAGTCTGGCTCCCTTTTTCAAGAATGTGGTTCTTAACCACCTTTGAGCTATGAACTCCTATAGCAATCTGATACAAGCTGGGAAAAATTACACACACACATAATTCTGTACACAACCTCAGAGAAAGCACATTGTAGACCTTCTCCTAAGGTCGCTACTTTGGCAGTTCTTTCAAAACCAGTCCATTTTCTCATTAAGGCTGTGTCCCTTTCACAGAAGAGAGGATGTGTGAAAAAAAAAAACACCTTATAAACAGCAAATCAACCTATTAATACAGCCTATAAATACAAATTCTTGTAAGATATAGAATAGATCGGTCGGGGGTGGTGGCTCACGCCTGTAATCACAGCACTTTGGGAGGCCGAGGTGGGTGGATCACGAGTTCAGGAGGCTGAGACCAGCCTAACCAACATGGTGAAATCCCGTCTCTACTAAAAATAAAAAAATTAGCCGGGCGTGGTGGCGGGTGCCTGTAATCCCAGCTACTGAGGAGGCTGAGGCTGGAAAATCGCTTGAACCCAGGAGGCAGGGGTTGCAGTGAGCCGAGATCATGCCATTGCACTCCAGCCTGGGCGACAGAGTGAGACTCCGTCTCGGAAAAAAAAAAAAAAAAAGAAAAAGAAAAGAAAAAGAATAGATCTTCCATAGAGATGCATCCACATATAAAATATAACCATAATAATGGTGGAAATATATTTACACAGTGTTTTTACTTTGCAGCACACATATATCATTTTATCCCATTGAAATCCTTGGCACATGGTTAGGGAAGACATTGTTCCATTTTATAGATGAGGACACTGAGGAAGAGAGGGCTAGGTGGCATGCCTGCAATGACAGGGCCGGGTGGCAGCAGCACTGGGACAGGAACCAAGGTCTTGTCACTCCGAGGCCCAGGCTTCCCAAGAGGCACACGGCAGGGCAATGCCATCTTGACCTCTCTTTGAAGTCTCTCCATGGCCTTACGCAGGACCTGGAGGCGCTCACGGCAAAGGCAGTGTTTGTGCACGCACACTTGGCCCACATCAGCCTCCTGGTGAGAAACAGAGACACAGAGGAAATGATGTTTTCTAACACAGGGAAAGAAGCACAGGGCCTGCCTTCAGAAATCAAGGTTGCGTAGACAGAGGGGAACTTTTTACTAGGGCTTCCTCTTGGCCAATTAAACCTAATGACTCATTTCCTTTTTCTTCTGAAAACAAAACAGCATTTTCTCCTACCGTCCTGAAGGAGGAGAAACCTGGAAGATCGCCACCTAGTGGCCCAGACCATCAAGATCGTGGCTCCTTCTCCCCCTGCTACCCCGCCCCCACTTCATAGGCCACCTTGCCTATTAGAAAACTGGACCCATACCCCTCACCATGCAGCAAGATAATCTCAAATGGATCAGAAATTCAAACGTAAAAAATGAACACAAACAAGTATTAGAAGACACATCGGTGGACTTCTTTATACCCTGGGTGTGGGAAGTCTGTCTATGATTCAAATCCCAGACGCAAACCAAAGGGCCTCTGGGCGCTTGCTCCTCCAGCTAAGACAGGAGTTGGGGGGGAAAGGGGATGTGTGTGCAATCTTCACCTCCATGTGGCATCTGCCCTACCCCATTAGAGCTAAGTGACTGTCCCCAACCTGGGCTCCTGGGATCAAGCGGAGGGAAACAGATAAAAAACAATTAAACTGACTGGGCCCACTGCCCCCTTTGCCTTCTTGGCAGACAGGAAAAGAGGTCTCAAAGCTGTGCCTCACAAAAAGGAAGACACTTAAGATATCAAGGGGCATGGAGCTGGGCACAGTGGCTCCCACCTGCAATCCCAGCACTTTGGAAGGACAGGCAGGAGGATCCTTTGAGTCCAGGAGTTTGAGACCCGCCTGGACAAAATATTGAGACCCTGTCTCTACAAAAAGTAAAATAAAATAATTAAAAATTAGCCAGGTGCAGCACTGCATCCCTGTAGTCTCAGCTACTCTGAAGGCTGAGGCAGGAGAATCATTTGAGCCAGGAGGTCGAGGCTGCAGTGAGCCAAGATCACACCACTGCACTCCAGCCTGGGCCAGAGTGGAAGACCTTGTCTCAAAAAATAAAATAAAATAAAAAAGTAGTTTTTTTTTCAAATAAAAATTTTAAGAGAGGCATGGAAACCCAGTCCAAGCTCAGCCTGACACCAAAATGAATGCTTTGCTAATGAAAAATAAAATACTCCAACGGCATAAAATAAAGTATTAATAAATTCAACAACTTTAAAAAAACCTGCTGCATGGCAAGAAAATTGGCACATTGTGAGAAATATTTGCAACATTTTCACAGAAACAGGTTAATCTGTAATATTAGGAATGTAATGAACTTTTAAATATTGAGGGGAAAAGGCCAAAACTTGATAGAAAATTAGGCAAAAGGCGTGAACAAACAGTTCATACACACAGATACAAAAATATGTAGATGGACCTTAAAATACAGAAAGATGTTCAACTTCACTCATTATGTTATAAATATATATTAGAACTACATTGAGATACCAATCTTTATAAAATTGACAGAATTTCAGAAGTTTGACCATGCAGTCCATTGGCAAGGCTGTAATGATTCTCATAATCATTGGTGGGAATGCAAAATGATACACCCCTGTGGAGGGAATTTGGAAATATCTAGCAAAACTATATATGCAATTTACCCTTTGACTCAGTAATACTAACTCCAGGAATTTATCCTGAAAGTACACTTCTACAAATATAAAACAACGTATTTATAAGGTTGTTCACGGAGACATTACTTAAACAGCAAAATATTAGAAACAATTTCATTCAATTAGGATAGTAATTGAATAAACTGTGATGCAGTCACACAATGGAGTACTACACAGCTGACAAGTGTTGAGGAATATTTCTCTGAATTAACATGTAGTAATTTCCAGGATATGTTAAGTGAAAAAAATTAAAGTACTAAATAATGGATATATTATGCTACGTTTTTTGTATAAGAAAGAGAGATACAGGAAGAATAAACCAAAAACAAGTAGTTGCCTATAGGGGATTGGCAGGAATGGAGTGGAAGTAATAAGGATGTGAGTTTACCCTTTCGTATTAGTCTGTTCTCACGCTGCTAATAAAGACATACCCGAGACTGAGTAATTTGTAAAGGAAAGCGGGTTAATTGATTCATAATTCAGCATGGCTGGGGATGCCTCAGGAAACTTACAATCATGGTGGGAGGGGAAGAAAACACGTCCTTCTTCACATGGTGGCAGGAAGAAGTGCCAAGCAGAAGGGGGAAAAGCCCCTTATAAAACCATCAATCTCGTGAGAACTCACTCACTATCACGAGAACAGCAGCATGGGGGTAACCACCGCCATGATTCAATTACCTCCCATCAGGTCCCTCCTACAACTCACAGGGATTGTGCGAACTACAGTTCGAGATGAGATTTGGGTGAGGACACAGCCAAACCATATCAAATTCTGAGTATAGTTTTTGATATATAGTTATATATAACTACATATATAATTTTATATATACATATATATATAGTTTTGACTTTTGAACCTTGTAAAAGTTTTACATATTTAATTTTTTTTTTTTTTGATGGAGTCTCACTCTGTCACCCAGACTGGAGTGCAGTGGCATGATCTCAGCTCACTGCAACCTCCAACTCCCGGGTTCAAGTGAGTCTCCTGTCTCAGCCTCCTGAGTAGCTGGGATTACAGACGTGTGCCATCATAACTGGCTAATTTTTGTATTTTTAGTAGAGATGGGGTTTTGCCATGTTGGCCAAGCTGGTCTCGAACTCTTCACCTCAGGTGATCCACCCACCTCGGCCTCCCAAAGTGCTGGGAATACAAGTGTGAGCCACCACGCCTGGCCCATATTTAAAATTTTTTAAATTTTGAGAGATTTGTCAAAAAGAAAAGCTTAAAATTAAATGCAAATATAAACAAATGAACTTAACTGCATATAAAATTAATAATAGAACCATACAGGAAAAAAAAAAGGTTGAAATGACCTGTGAATACAGTATTCTGACTACCTACCCTTAACTGGATGTATTCTAAGAACAAATAGTATTACAAAGAAGTCTTGAACTTTTCTTAGGCCTGATGTTGGAAATGGGCTTCTGCACTACCCAGAGAGGGGTCCGTTCTGGCTTGTTCTGGATTCCTGTCTTAATTTAAAGGGAAACGTTCACAATGTCCAGAGCCCTTGATGTCCTGCCAATGAAGGAGGAGGATGTCCTCAAGTTCCTTGCAGCAGGAACCCACTTAGGTGACACTAATTTTGACTTCCAAATGGAACAGTACATCTATAAAATGAAAAGTGATGGCATCTACATCCTAAATCAGAAGAAGACCTGGGAGAAGTTGCTGCTGGCAGCTTGTGCCATTGTTGCCATTGAAAACCCTGCTGATGTCAGTGTCATATCCTCCAGGAAAACTGGCCAGAAAGCCACGCCGTTGTTTGCTGCTGTCACTGGAGCCACTCTTGTTGCTGGCTGCTTTACTCCTAGAACATTCTCTAACCAGATCTCAGCAGCCTTCCGGGAGCCACAGCTTCTGGTGGTTACTGATCCCAGGGCTGACCACCAGCCCCTCACAGAGGCATCTTACATTAACCTACCTACCATTGCTCTGTGTCACAGATTCTCCTCTGCACTATGTGGGCCTTGCCATCCAATGCAACAACAAGGGAGCTCACTCAGGGGGTTTGACATGGTAGATGCTAGCCTGGAAAGTCTTGTACATGCCTGGCACCATCTGTGAATGGGAGGTCATGTCTGATCTCTGCTTCCACAGAGATCCTGAAGAGATTGTAAAGAAGAGCAGGCTGCTGCTAGAAAGGCTGTGACCAAGAGGAATTTCAGGATGAATGGACTGCTGCAGCTCCTGAGTCCACTGCTACTCAGCCTGAGGGCGCAGACTGGTCTAAAGGTGGCAGATGCCCTCTGTGCCTATTCAGCAGCTCCCTACTGAAGACTGGAGCGCTCTGCTTGCCACGGAAGACTAGTCTGCAGCTCCCACTGCTCAGCCACTAAACGTGTAGGAGCAACCACTGAATGGGCTTAAGCTGTTTATCCACAGGCTTTTAAGCACCATGAAAAGAAGGCTGACAGAAATAAACACCAATTTATTTTAAAAAGGAAATGGTAGGCCGGGCCCCGTGGCTCACACCTGAAATCCCAGCACTTTGGGAGGCTGAGGCAGGTGGATCACCTGAAGTTGGGGTTCAAGACCAGCCTGATCAACATGGAGAAACCCATCTCTACTAAAAATACAAAATTAGCTGGACGTTGTGGCGCATGCCTGTAATCAAAGCTACTCGGGAGGCTGAGGCAGAAGAATCACTTGAACCCAGGAGAAGGAGGTTGTGGTGGGCCGAGATTGTGCAATTGCACTCCAGCCTGGGCAACAAGAGTGAAACTCCGTCTCAAAAAAAAAAAAAAAAAAAAAAGGAAATGGTATTGGAGCAGTCAGTCATTCTGAAAGTATTTGGGGTGTATTATAGAACAGAGCAAATGATTAAATATATTGATGTTTCCTTTTTGCTAACAGGTGTGTTAAAATAAACTAAATAAATGAATGTATTGATGGTGCTGGAAGTCAGCGTTCCCATTGTGGAGGAAGCAAAGATACAAATACAGATTGGGAAGATGAGGAGGAGTCCTGTGGAGCTGGGTTTTAATTGGAAGAAATTAAAAAAAAAATACTAGTTTTCTAAAAATATGCATTTCCTAGCTCTGTCCACCGAAAGGGTTTATAAACAATGGTATCCCAGTAGCAATGAGCAAACCTAGTGGCCAGAGCTTGGTTTCCCAATGCCATTTTCCACTAAAAGAAACCTTGGAGAAATGGCTGATTCCAGACCTGAAGCAGGGAAAATATGAAGTGAGCCACAAAGTAAGGAAGTGCTCAAAGACTGATGGGGTTATGTCAAAAGGATACTGACATCAGCTTGGAGGAACTTCCACTAACCAAATTTGGGACAATCTGACATCAAAAATAAGTTATTGTAGTAGATTGTAATGCAGACCTCAGAAGATTCGCCTCAAGATCCTGGAGGCCCTTCCATAGGGCTTCTTGACAGCATGGCAGCTGGCTTCCCCTAGAACAAGCCGTGTGACAGTTCCCAAAATGAAAACTGTAGTGTTTTTATAACCTCATCTCAGAAGTGACAGTCTATAACTTCTCACTTATTCTATTCTTTAGAAGCAAGTCACTAAGTCCAACCCATACCTAAGGGGAGGGGGAACCCAAGGATGTGGACACCAGGAGGTAAGGACCAATGGGGGCCATCTTAGAGGGCACCCACACCAAGTAATGAAGTGTAACCACATCATCAGTAATGGAACAAAGTGACATTATGTGCCTCCTGATACACCACAATGCATGATACAGATATAGTATTCTTGGGGGAAAAGGAAGGAAGAAACAAACAGACAAATCCAGAATGTGGGACACTCTATGAGAGAACCAGTTTGAATTCTTAAAAAGTGTCAATATCATGAAAAAGATAAAATAATTGCTGTAAGTTACAGAAGACTAAAGAGACATGACAAATCAGTGAGATTTGTGATCCTTAAAAAAGATTCAGGATCAGACGGGCGTGGTGGCTCACACCTGTAATCCTAGCACTTTGGGAGGCTGAGGTGGGTGGATCACCTGAGGTCAGGAGTTCAAGACCAGCCTAGCCAACATGGTGAAACCCCATCTCTACTAAAAAATAAAAAAAAATTAGCTGGGTGTGGTGGTGGGTGCCTGTAATCCCAGCTATTTGGGAGACTGAAGCAGGAGAATTGCTTGAACCAGGGAGGCAGAGGTTGCACTGAGCCAAGATTGTGCCATTGCACTCCAGCCTGGATGACAAGAGCAAAACTCCGTCTCAAAAAGAAAAAAAAAAAAAAGATTCAGGATCAAAAAACAAAAAGAGCTATAAAAGACATTTTTGAACCAATTTGAATATAGACTACATATTGAACTATTAAGTATATGTTAAATGTGTTGGGTGTGATAATGGTATTATGATTGTGGAAGAGAATCCCTTTCTTCTAAGAGAAACATGCTGAAATATTTATGTGCCAAGTGTACAATCTCTGCAAGTCGTTTTCTAATAGTTCAGGAAAGCAAAACCAAAACAAAAAGCCTCTAATGTATAAATACGTATACAAGTGTGTATATATGTTTGGAAATGTGAAGGATATACTCACGTTTATTGTCCTGCTCTTTCAATTTTTCTAAGTTTAAAGTTTTCCAAATAAAAGGTTGCTGAGGTGGAAGGTGGGAGTGGATATTAGGAGTTTTAGGAATTTAATCAAATATTTATGGGAAAGACCCTTGGTATGTGTTGGGCTGCCCTAGGGATTCCAGGGAACCCACAGATGGTCTCTTGGTGGTGCCCAGTGTATGTGTTGGGGATTCTCTGAGCCAGTGCTCACTCCATGTTGAGAGGTGAAAAGGCAACGTCTTAGTCTGTTTGTGCTATAACAGAATACCTGAGACTGAGTGATTGGTAATGAGCAGAACCTTATTGGCTCACAGTTCTGGGGGCTGGGAAGTCCAACTTCGAGGCACCAGCCAGTGAGCACCTTCTTGCTGCAGCATCACATGGTGGACAGCAGAAGGGCAAAAGGCAAAAGGGGACAAACTGGCCCTTTTATAACTGCATCAGTCATTAGTTCCCATCATTAGCAATCACATTTCAACATGAATTTAGTAGACAAACATTCGAACCATAGGGAGTCAAAGCAGACCTGGATTCTAAACCTTGCTCTGCCCCTTCCTGGCTATGTGACTTTGGATAAGTTATTAATCCTCTCTGACCCTCAGTTTCCTCAATTGTGAAGTGAGAGAGATCATGCCTACTCAGCAGGGTTGTTCAAATGTGCTAAATAAATAGTACTTCCCTCATATTCCTTTCCTTGTACCACCTCCCAAATCACCAATTTATTCATTCATTAACTATTTATTGTTATTCCTTACAATGGGCAAGGGGTACAAATCCGAGTCAAGTTACTCTTTACTAACAAAAGATAAGCATTGGGTGTTAAGGAGTGAGGAGTTGCCCCAGAAGACTTCATAGAGGCTGGGCTGTCGGGCAGAGTCTAGGATCATGAGCTTGGTGGCCTGCACAGGTGATGGAAGAGGAGCCTAACCTGCAATGAGGGCCCTCAGAGGCAAAAGTAGTGGGTAGTTCAGGTGTCAGGAGGGTGGCTGGACTGGGGGTGTTTGGTGAAGTGGGCAGGGCCAGGTTAGGAAATGGGTTGGGCCCCGCGTGAGCAGCGTAGGGCCTTGTCTAGAATGACAGGGTGCCCCTAAAAAATGCATTTCCAAAGATCGCTTAGTACTGACCATGACAAGCTTTGATGTTTGGTTCACAAAATGCAGTAGGTGGAGCTCAGCTGTATTATACTGGTTTAAAAAAACAACAACACTTGAATGGATAAATAGAAGGAAGCTATGGACCCTAAATTTTTCTGTGGCCTTTCTCACCACCTTCTTCCCAGAAGAGGAAGAAGAAGCCTGGCTAGGGGATTAGGCCTGACAAAATAGGGCCTGCCTTTGAGAAGGGTGATATTTTTCAGATAGAGGCACACAAAGAAAAAAATAAAGAGAGAAGGGAGGATTGCAGAATAAAGCTCTTCTGTCACCTGTTGTCACCATCTCCTTATGCAGCCTCTGTCCACAAGCACCTAATGCCCTTACCACCACCCTAGACTAGATTGCAGGGACTACCACTTTCTAAATCACATGTTTCTGTAATACATTAATTTTCTTTTTGCCGGAAATGTATATTACTTTTGTAATCTGAAAAAAAATGACCAGAGAGAGAGAGAAACCCTAAACGTCCAATTCCCATACTAATCTAGACTGATCTTCTTGAAAGAGCTGCTTCCTCCCACATCAGTCCCCTTATAATCCCTGCCATTGTTCGGTCTCCTCTGCTCCTTTCTCCATTTCTAGATTGCCAGGAAGTAAGAGAGAGGAGGGGGCGTCACAGTGGCCTGGCTTCAAGTCCTTGCTGGGGGACACATGGAGGAACCCAGCCTGTGCCAGCCCTGGTGCTGAGAACTCCAGGTTCCCGGTCCCTGCGGGGACCCCAGGGCTCACCACTGGGATCCTGGCAGAGCGGCCCTGGGGTGCCCCGGCCAGGGAGCCTCAGCCCCCGCCGGATGTGCACGCGCAGAAGGAAGCTTCTTGACTTATGCTAAATCATTTTTCTAAGAACAAAAACTATGTACAAATGAATATTTCCATCTTTATTTCAAATTCTAGGTTTCAACTGCAATATTAATGCTACTCCACAGTGTAATTTACTTGTAATAATATATCATTATTTCTATTTTACAGTTCTCTTCTTAAAGTAGTAAAGCAAATGTTTAAAACAGCACAAATCCGAAGCCCCACAATTCTCCATTCAGGCTCAGAATTTGTGCTCTCCTTTCAGAATGGCACATAATTGAAAACAATGAACACCCCCAATGTGCTAAACGCTCTAGTCATTAAAGCATTTTTTTACTTTGCAATAAAAGACTGTTCTTGTGGTTGTGGTTATTTATTTATTTATTTTTAGAAACCCCAAACACGCTGCTTCCTGTTCCCAGACTGACATCTGCTGGGGATGTCAGGCTGACCGGCTCCCCGCCAGGCCCGCAGCCGGCTGCCACTCGCGCCCACGAAGGGCAGCGGAGGGACGCGCCCGGGGCGCAACCCGCGGCGTCTGCTGGGCGCTCTCCCTCCGGCTGGCGTGCAGGCTCAGGAACTGGCCCTGGAGTCCCCAGTTTCTTTCTGGCTTGTAGCTGCTGAGTTAAATCCCAGAATGGCACTGGCTTGGCACAGGATCCTGGCTGTTGGCGGCTCAGGTGAGGTACTGATGCCCAGGTGAGGATTTGGAGGCAAAAATAGGCACACGGGCAGAGTGGGTGTCCTCTGCGTGCTGGATGCTCAAGTTTCCTTGCTTTCTGGAGGACGTCTACCCTGTGTATCTTTCACTTTTTTCTGTAGTGGTTCCTACGCCTTTGGTAGAACAGCTCCCTGTTTAGTCAGCCCTGGGCATCGGGTCCTGTAAGGGAGGATCTCCATCCATCCCCACAGATTCCAATCAGCAACCTTCAAGCTTAACAACCAGGAGCCGAGCTTCCTGTTCCACCCAGAATGAGTAGAATGAGGGCCGGTTTGTCTTCTCTTCTAACCCCTCCTTTGTCCCAACCTTGTTGTTGTTTACCCTGTGGCTGGGGCAGGGGGGTGAAGCTGTGAGGGGCAGGGGGGTGAAGCTGTGAGGGGCTGGGGAAGGGCAATGTTCCTTTTCTGTCTCCTGGAGACGTCCAACAGCTCTAGGAGCCTCTTACTATCTGTGAAAGGATGGCATCAAGCCTGAGTCTCTGACGCTGCTCTGGGCAACCTGCCCCTCCAGGCCCTTGCAGGACATTTTCTTTTCTTTCAAAAAAATTTTTTAAAATATATTTTTTACTTTTCAGGGAATGACCTAGAACATTGCAGAACATTTTTGTGAGATGCCCTTGGCCCCTCACAAAGCCAGCATCCTGCCCCAGCCAGCCCCTAACACGCTCTCCTGCACACACCTCCAGGGGGTCTGCATTCCTGCCTCTCTGAACCCTCCCGTTCACCCACATCTGTGCCTTCCTGGCCATCAGCCTGCCAGCCTGATCACTAGCCTTTCCCTCTTGCTCCCCGGTATCTTTCCTCTCTGGCCAAACTTCTCACCCCCATCCACAAACGGTACTCTCAACGGCAACCCCAACCCACTTAAACACCTTTAATGAAATCTCATTGCCACAGAAAAAGCCCTATCCTTCGGCTTAATGTCCAGAGACAACATAGCCTAGTCCAGCCCAGCCCAGCCAGGGTTTCCCAAAGCCTGGGAGCCTACCTTGGGGTCAGGGGATGCCCATGGAATCATTTTGTGGGGATGAGGTGGGGGCATTAAGAATGGAGTCACTGAATGAGAAAGTGATTGTATTAGTTCAATTTCACACTACTATAAAGATACTACCCAAGACTGCGTAGTTGATAAAGAAAAGAGGTTTAATTGACTTACAGTTTCACATGGCTGGGGAGGCCTCAGGAAACTTACAATCATGGAGGAAGGAGAAGCAGGCATCTTCTTCACAAGGTGACAGGAGAGACAGAAAAAGCCCAGGGGGACTGCCATTTATAAAACCAACAGATATCATGAGAAGTCCCTCACTATCACGAGAACAGCATGGAGGAAACCGCCCCCATGATCCAATCACTTCCCACCAGGTCCCTCCCTCAACACCTGGGATTACAATTCAAGATAAGATTTGGGTGGGGACACAAAGCCTAACCATATCAGTGATTCTGTTATGGAGAAAGTCTGGTTTGGTGTGAGTCAGCTTATTTTTTTTAAATAAACTTTAAATTTCAGAATAGTTGAAGATTTACAGAAAAATTGCAAGAACATTACATACAGTTCCTAAATACCCAACACCCAGTTTCCTCATTGTTAACATTGCTAGTGGAAGCTTTGAACACCTCCCTGATGCCAGTGAATCTCCTTTCAACAAGGATGCACCTCTGTAGCCACAGCTGGGAGGCTGAGCTGGACTCTAAGAACAAAGCTTTGTATGCAACAAATATATTTTCTGTTACCTTCTAGTTCCAGCAAGTGAGACTACTCATCCACATTCTAAAATCTACAAATCTCTGAAAAATGAAAGCTTTTTTTGTAATGTTGGGGCCAAAGCTCCTTGAGGCAAGCTATATATAGCTTCTGTCCTACTTGGTGTAAATAGTCATACATTTCTCTGAGAAATATTTATTGATTCTTTGGCTTCTGGGGGTGTTAACTACTGCAGGGCGTATGCTCTATATCTCCTTTCTAAATCAGAAAAAAATCTGAATTCCAAAACATATCTGGCACTATAGTTTTCCATTTTATGGTTGTGATATAGTTCAAAAGTAAATTTACGCCAGGAGTGGTGGCTCGCACCTGTAATTTCAACACTTTGGGAGGCTGAAGCAGGAGGATCACTTGAGTCTAGGAGTTGGAGATCAGCCTGGGCAACAAAGCAAGACCCCATCTCTATTTATTAAAAAATAAAAATGAAAATCAGTAAATAAATTTAAATAAAAAGAACAAGTCATTTAAAGAAAAACAGTAAATAAATTGTAAATACAAATTACCTGTATTTTTAAGTTTCTCTTTTACTTTTTCCCACTCTTCAAATAAACACACTAATTACTAGCACCAAAAACAAAACAAAGAATCTGCTTTGCCTTCAGGGTCCAATCTAAACTCCTCCACCCCCTGGCCATACCACGGTCCTGCTATATACCAGGCCTGCTCATGCCTCCAGGCCTTTACACGTTCTGCTAGTCTCCTTAAAATGCTTTTCCCACTTCTTTCCCTGGCAAACTCTAGGCCCTTCTTCCAAACTCAGCTCAGATGCTACCTCCTGCAGGAAGCCCTCCCTGGTTGCATCAGTCTTAATTAAGTGGTCATCCTGTGTGGTCCCGTGGTATGCTGCACACAATACTGTAGGTTAGGAAGGGGTTTGACCCCTAGCTCTGCCTCTTTTCAGCTGGATAATTCGGGTCACTTAATTATGCTCACTAAGCCTAATTAGTAAGATGAGTAATGATAGTTACTATTTATTGAATTCATGCATTATTCTAAATGCTTCACATGTGTAAATTCATGTAATCTTCACAACAAACCTGAGAGGTAGAAACTGTTATGATCCCCATGTAACATATCAGGGAATTGAAGCCCTGGGAGGGTAATTCCTTCTCAAAGTCACAATAGGCAGGGGCAGCCAGGACTTCTTCCCCTGTTTCTCTTATTCCCCACTGCAGAGTAGCTAGGGAAGAGCCTATATCACAGGTTACCAGGAGAATAAAATGAGATAGCCCAGGTCAAAGGCTTCATCTTTGCAGGCTACCCCTGGCCAAGCCTGTACTTGATACCCGAGACTTGGCAGGCACTTATTTATCTGCCTCTGAAGCTAGCTCAGCCAGGGGGCTGCAAGCCGCTGTTCTCTGCTGCTCCTCTTGGTTTTATCATTGCCTCATTGGAATCTTCCTGCCTGGCCCAAGCTGGGTGGGGCCTCTCCACAGTGCTTTCTACTGTAATCAGTATTTACAATTTTGGCCTCTCCCTCTGAGCTCAGCAGAAAGAAATGTGCCCCACGCACATTTGCCTTTCATCTAGCGCCCTGCACAGGGTTTGAACCAAAAGAACTTCATAAACATGAGAAGAATAAACGATGAAATAAATGCATGGATGAAAGGATGGATGGATGAACAAAGAAGGAATGGACACATTTTTGTCTTTAGAATTTCTAACACAAGGACATACCATAACTAGCGCAGAGTGAAAAACATTATCCAGATAACACTCTTCTAACCAGACGTTCAGAGACTGAACTTTGAAAACAAAGGGAAGGAAAGAAAACAGCTCTTTGCACTGCACTGCACTGTATGTCTGCACTTGGAGTAAAATAATGTGGTAGTGATATTCAGCTCTCATGGTCTTCCCTTGAGATGGGAAGCTGGAAAAGGAGCGGTTGACATTCATGATAAAGCTAAAACATCTTAACGGGCACTGAATAAGTTTGATGTTATAAATGCCATTTATAAGCGAATCTGAGGCAAGATCCTAAACAACAGAGAACAGCTGCGGCACATGAGCACTTACTGACAGGCTCCAGGCCACACAGGCTCTGGATTTGACGACTGCCACACTTCAGCACTGGCGCAGGAGCTGCTTATGGAAAAGCTGCATAGATGGCCCAATAACCACCCAAGACAGAAAGCCTATATTTCGATGATTTGCAAAAGGATGAAATGACATTGTCATTCAGTTTATTAGATTACTGCTTCTTATCTCCTTTCTCCTCTTTTAAATTTGGCACTAGGAGGATAACATATTCACTAATGATTGTGGTTTTTAAAGGTAAAAATGTTTAATTATGAGATAAGAGGAAATTATTTGCTGGAGAGCACGGAGCAGCCCGTGTGAGTACAGGAATGGCACCCTTAGGCACTGCTGTTTAATTTACAAGCTATTTATCTCCTCACCTACACCCAGCAGAAACAATTAGCACTTGGTAATTTGTTGATCTTATCTAAGTCATAGGATCTGTTATCATAGTTGCCACCACTGTAAAGGCTACACTATGTGAAATGAACAATTTAGAAATGGCTGGCTATTCGGTCATGCTCATTTAACTTGTTTTGAATTTATTTTAGACTGGTGAAGTCTTCACATTTTGGTCTCACTTCTAAATCAATGCATTAATTTTGGGAGGGATTTTAAGACGTTTTCAGAGACTTGTATTTAATACTATCACAGTGGGGACCAGACTCCTTTTCCAAGGAGCCACCCAGACCCCTTTTCCAAGGAGCCACCCAGACCCTCAGAAAGCAGTACCTGTGGAAACACAAGTGAACGGGATGAAGAATGATGCGATCTTGTATGAAAGTTTTCAAACAGCCGCCAAGAACAGCAACTCCTCTCCCATCGGCCCTCGGCCCCCCGGGACTCAGTGACTCCAGGTCAGCTGGGATTCCCAGGCTCTACCCTCCCTCCCCTTTAGTACCTAATCCCTTGAAGGGCTGAGATGAAAGTATTTCCAGACTGTCTTACTGTCTGTCACAGATTGTGAGCCCAGAGGTCACTCTGGCACCTCCTTGGCACCCGCTGGTTTTGCAAGAGACCATGGGAAGCACTTGCAGAGTTTCCCTGAACTGTGCTCCACAAAACTGTTCCAAAGTCAAATCAGTGTGGTGGAGGGAAAGGGGGTTTTAGATAGGAACTTTTTCTCGTCCCTCCCAATTCCATACCGTTCCTCCCCCATTGAAGCAGGCGGGGCACAGTGCTCATTACCTTCTGGAGGCTGCTGATCGGACGGAAACAAAGCCAAAGTCCTTGGGAGAATTCAGCTGACTCTCAAGCAAAGGCTGGATGAAGGGAGAGAGACTTACTCCAGCCTGGAAAGGGTTTTTGAGGAGAGAAGAAAAGGGGAAGGGAGACAGGAAGAAAAGGAGAAAAGGGAAGGGGAGGAGGAATGCGGTAGGGAAACAGGAGTCTGGAAGAGAAGTAGGGGGCGGGGAAGGAAGAGGGGAGAGGGAGGAAGCCAGGGTTTGTGGCTCAGGAGAGCCCCAGGCCCAGCCTGCAAGCAGAGCACCAGGGAGGTGGCAGAGACAAAGTGGTCAGGAAGTGCACCTAGACTGGGCTTGCAAACGCAAATGCTTTCAGGAGTCAGGCAGAACGGGTGAAACAGGCCTGAGAGGCAGTGGGAAATAGGAGAGGCTGAATCACAGGGAGGGAAGCATGCACCCCCACCCAGAGGATGAGGATCCCTTTCCCTCGAGCATCTCCCAGAAACTGAGCTCAGTCCTCAGACCTGGCAGATCCTGTGAACAGGGATTCTGGGCGTCTGAGCAGTGCCTGAGTGGATCAACAAGTGAGAACCAGGTGGTGGTGGTGGTTTTTTTCCCTCATCAATCTGGAAGAAAAGGGAGTCAAAATCAGAAATTAAATAGCTTCTTAGACACTTGGGTCTGTGCACCAAAATTTATACCAACGTCCTATGTTTGGGAAATGTTTATTTCACAAAGTTAAACAAATTTCCTTATTGTGGGACTTCTCAGAAATTTTAACATGACAAGATACTACATTCAGGATCTCAGGAAAAGGGATTCAAAAGATCACTAGTGCACTGGTAAATTATTAATAACCAACTTAAGGTTTAAATCAGGGATTTCAAAAATCCTAATTTGACTGCGTGCAGCAGCTCATGCCCATAGTCCCAGTGCCTTGGGAGGTCGAAGTACGAGGATGGCATGAGGCCAGAAGTTTGAGACCAGCCTGGTTAACATAGTGAGACAGCCATCTCTAGAAAAAGTAGGTTAGTCAGGCACAGTGGCCTGTACTTGTAGTCTCAGCTACTCAGGAGGCTGAGGTGGGAGGATTGCTTGAGCCCAGGAGTTTCAGGCTGCAGTGATCTATTAATATGATAGTGCCACTGCACTCTAGCCGTGTGACAGAGCGAGACCCTGTGTCTAAAAATAACAACAACTCTGATTTGTAGCACTGCCAGTTTTCATGGTGTAAATACTGTGATGGGCCATCCTAGCGCCAGAGCTTTCCTTGGGATTGGCTGAGGCCTTTGCTGCTCCACAATTCCCTGATCCCAATACTAGTTCCTTCGCTCCCCAACAAGCGGTGGTGATCCAAAGGGTTCTTTTCCGCAATAAACTTCTTGCATGCTAGTGTCTGCCTTGGAGATGTCTCCCAGGCAACTTGACCCAAGACTGGTCCTTTTACTCACAGTCATGAGTTATAAAAAGAATTTGCTTCCTTTTTTTTTTTTTTTTTTTTGAGATTGAGTTTTGCTCTTGTTGCCCAGGCTGGAATGCAATCACGCGATCTCTGCTCACCGCAACATCCACCTCTCGGGTTCAAGTGATTCTCCTGACTCAGCCTCCTGAGTAGCTGGGATTACAGGCATGTGCCATCATCCCCAGCTAACTTTTTGTATTTTTAATAGAGATGGGGTTTCTCCATGTTGGTCAGGCTGGTCTTGAACCCCCGACCTCTGGTGATCCGCCTACCTCGGCCTCCCAAAGTGCTGGGATTACAAGCATGAGCCACCGCGCCCGGCAGAATTTGCTTCTTGATTCATTATGATATTTCTGCATAGTTCGGGTTGATTATGCCTATGCCAGAATCTGATCTATATGGCATAACATACAGAAGGAATAAAAGACAGGGTCCCTGTGGTAACCAGCCTCTAAGATGGCCCCAAATGATTCCTGCTTCCTGGTATTCATGACCCTGTGGAGAACTGATGTAGGTACCCAATAGGATATTTTGGAAATGACAGTGTTTGACTCCTGAGCCTGGGCCATAAAAGACCTATGGCTTTTGCCTTGCTCTTGCTTGAGTCACTCACTCTGGAGAAAGCCAGATGCCATGTTATGAGGGCTCCTGAGTGGCTCTGGGAAGTAGCTCCACCAAACAGTCCACATGGTGAGAAACTGAGTAGCTCCAGTTTTGCGGTCACGAGAGTGAGCTACCTCGGGAGTACTGTCTGCAGCTCCAGCCCGGCCCTTGGATTGCTGTGCACAGATGAGCTGCTTCCACCGACTTCTGGCTTGCAAAAACTGCTAGGTCATAAATGTTATTGTTGTTTGAAGATGTAAATCTGGGGTGACTTGTTATGCAGCACTGTATAACTAATACAGCACCTAATCTATAAGAGCTTTATAACTTCACAGGGGAGAAAAGATGGATCTGAATATGTAAAACTGTGAAATAAACCAGTATGTATGAACCATATACCAACTGTCACAAGTTCTGAGAAATGAGAGGAGGAAAGAAGGAGGCTGTACAGTTGACAAACAAGGACCCCCAATTAGGAGGTCAATATTAGAAGAAAAGGAGGTTCGAAGAAAGGCAGGACCACATCTTGGGTTCTCTCCATTTTTGTTTTTTGTTTATTTTTTTGAGACGGTCTTGCTCTGTTACCTAGGCTGGAGTGCAGTGGCATGATCTTGGCTCACTGCAGCCTCTGCTCCCGGGCTCAAGTGATCCTCCCACCTCAGCCTCCCTAGCAGCTGGGACGACAGGTGCAAACCACCATGCCTGGCAATTTTTTTTTTGTATTTTTAGTAGAGACAGGGTTTCACCATGTTGGTCAGGCTAGTCTCAAACTCCTGACCTCCTGATCCGCCCGCCTTGGCCTCCCAAAATGCTGGAATTACAGGCATAAGCCACCGTGCCCGGCCATTTCCTTTTTGAAGAAACCAAATTCTTGAGGAGTTTATGCAAATATTCTTTGCAAAATGTGAAATGCACTTGAAAATCAAGAATACATCTTTAGCTGGGCACAGTGGCACACACCTATAGTCCCAGCTACTCAGGAGACTGAGGTGGGAAGATTGCTTGAGCACAGGAGCTGGAGACTAGCCAACACAGCAAGACCCCAACTAGGCAACACAGCAAGACCCCATCTCTGAAAAAAAAAAACCCTAAAAATAAAAAAATAGATATATCTTTAAAACAACATGTAAGTCAAACAAACTACTTTTGGTAAGGAAATTCAGCCTTATAAAAGTGCAAAAAATTTACCAAAACACAAAAGTGGTTTACCAGTCTGTTACATACCATCATCTATGCTGGGTTGAGAAATTAAAGGATATTTATTTGTCAGATTGATTTAAATTAAAGAATAAAATAACTCAGTTCCTGGTGGGTTGGTTTCCACACTGGAGCAATGGAGAGACTCCTAAAATAAAGGTAAAATAAAGGATATCTATTTAGATGAGAGGAGGAAACAAACAAATAAAAGCTCCTCAACCAACCAGAGAAAATTAATCCCTCTTTCCAGTCTTCACTGTTTTTCATTTTGCTTTGCTTTGTTTCCTTAAGGAAATTTAAAACATAGTGGAAGTCACGATGGCATGGAAATGATGGCTGGGAAAGCATCCCGGTACCTTTTCATGTTGCCTGAATCTCGCTCAAGATATCAGTTTCCAATGGAATGGGGAAATCTGTGTAAACCAAATAGAATATTAAAGTACACGAACAAGCAGCCTGAAAAAAAAAGTTCAATAAAGTAAATGAACAAATATATAAAACAGATAGCCAACTTCACCAGTAAAGAAATGCAAACTAAACCACAAGGAGATTGAAATGTTAAAAATCGATTGGATTGGTAAAGACTAAAAAGGTTGATAATGCTCAGTAGTTGGGGGTCTGGGAATCGAGCACACCATGGGGTGAGGTGGGAACGTTAACTGGTACAACCATTTTATTTTATTTTATTTTATTTTGTTTTGATTTATGTATTTATGTATTTATGTATGTATGTATTTATTTTTTTAAGACAGAATCTCCCTCTGGCTCCCAGGCTGGAGTGCAGTGGCATGATCTTGGCTCATTGCAACCTCTGCCTCCCAGGTTCAAGCAATTCTCCTGCCTCAGCTTCGCAAGTAGTTGGGACTACAGGTGCGCACAACCATGCCCAACTAATTTCTGTATTTTTAGTAGAGATGGGATTTTGCCATGTTGGCCAGGCTGATCTCTAACTCCTGACCCCGAGTGATCTGCCTGTATTGGCCTCCCAAAGTGCTGGGATTACAGGCATAAGCCACTGTGCCCGGCCATGGTACAACCGTTTCAGACAGCAATTTGACACCACCCAGCAATGCATACCCTTTGATCCAGCAATTCCATTCCCAGGAATTTATCCTAAATGTGAAAGTATATGTAGAAGCTCAAGCATATTCACTGCAGCCTTTTGGGAATAATGGGAAAATTAGAAATCTCAATGTACACAAGAGAGGGCTGGCTACATAAACAAATAAATGAGAACAAACACGTGGTGCCTGCTTATTCTGTGCCAGCATTCTTCTAGGAGCTCTATGCACATGAAGTCACGTGATCTCTCAAGATCCCTTAGACTTGGTTCCTGTCTTAGGAGAGTTCAGCCTTACAAACAAATATCACTCAGCCATCAAAAAGCTCAGGAATAGGTCCAGATGTGCTGACACAAAAAATACTCATGACATGGAAGTGATAAAAGGAAGTTTCAGGGAAAGCTATGGAGCACAATCTCATTTATGATTTAAAAAGAGACTGTGCATACATGTTTATATTTATACAGAAAATGTCTGGAAAGATAAACCAGAAGGAAACAGTTAACAGAGAAATCCTCTGGAGAAAGCCAGGGAAGGGAGGAGAACCCTCCATTTTTTACCTAATATCTTTCTTTTTGGTTTTATTTTTAAAAAATAAAGCCCAGAGTCAGCCAAACTGCAAAGGCTGAGGTCACAATTCCTAACCCTGCTTTCATTTTGGACACTGACCTCAACTTTGGGGGATTCCCCCAAACTACTCTCAGATTGGATAATTCACTAGGAGGACCCGCTGAATTTATTGAAAGCTATTATACTCATGGTTTTGATTTATTATAGAGAAAAGATACAGATTAGAATTAGCCAAAGAAAGAGACACACAGGGCAGTCTGGGAGGCTTATCAAACATGAAGCTTCCATTGTCCTCTCCTGTGGAGTTAGAACACATTACCTTCCTGGCATCTGTGTGTGAGGATACACCTTGAGTACTGTCAACCAAAGAGGTACAAGCAAATTTCAGTGTCCAGAGTTTTTATTGGAGCTTCATTCTGTAGGCCTGATGGGTTTATTGATTGCCCACATGGCTGATCTCATTCTGAAAGTCAGCTGACACTACATGACCCAAATTCTCACCCTAAATCACACTGCTGGGTCTTTCTGGCATGGCCAGTATGTACCCCAGGATCCAGTGTGGTTATCTCATCCCCTAAACCAAGATACTCTTATAAGTTATGACTGAGGTTAATCCCAGAAGCTGAGGGCAAAGGCCAGATCACCCTCTGGGCAAGACCAAATGCTTCACTACACATTGTTAGAATGAAGACATGGAATAGCCATGTGGCTAATTGTTTTTCCACGTGCTGCCTGGTGCATGGGCCAGTTTCTAAGCTGTGTGTTTATGTAAGATGATTCATCTTCACTGAGACGCTCTGATCATGTGGACTTTTGTTTTGTGTTTTCTTAGATTCTGTATTTGTCTGTTTGGTATTCATTAGTCACAAGGCCAAATTAATGGCCATGATTATTTCTATTTCCTCTGCAATCCAGGTTTCCCAGATGCACAAAAATCATATTACAAACCCTCTAACCAATCATTTGAGTCCATACTCCCAAACACTTCCTTATCTCACTCTTACACACCAGCCAGTATTTCCTCTGCCCGAAATCACCCAGGGCCAGGTACCAGACAACTACAGACCACTCCTATAGCCCAGAGCCTGCCCAAATTATTTGAAATAGCCAATCCTACACTGTTTCTCCTGCCCCGCCTTGTTTTTCCCAAGGCAACCGCAATAAACGCTGTGGCCTGGGCTTTCTTCTCACCACTTCTCCTTCCTGACCTAACCTGGTGCTTCCCCATGTGGCCCTGCATGCATGATGTGCCCTCATCCCTTGGCAAATACAACTCATAAATTCTTCTTCCAATGACATGGCCTCTCCATGTCATCACTCAATCCCCTCCCTGAATTAGAATCTCCAGTAAAATTGAAACAACTTTTAAATCTCTGATCTACAGGCCTGGGTTTCAGTAGGTCAATAGTCCTTACTGCCTGGTGCAGGCCTGGGCTCATGCATACTTGTTAAATCTAATGAACAGTCTGGGTGCAGTGACTCATGCCTGTAATCCCAGCACTGTGGGAGACAGGGGAAGACAGTTTGCTTGAGCCCAGGAGTTTGAGACCAGACTGGGACACATGGCAAAACCCCATCTCTACCAAAAATACGAAAATTACTCAGGCATGGTGGCATGCGCCAGTAGTCCCAGCTACTCAGAAGGCTGACACAGGAGGATCGCTTGAGCCCAGGAGGTGAGCTGTGATGGGGGCCACTGCACTTCAGCCTGGGTGACACAGCAAGACCCTGTCTCAAAAAAAAAAAAAAATATAATAAATTTTACACTATCAGTTTTTGCTCTAGTGATGAAGGAGATAAATTATTCATCTTGCTTAATGCAATCAGTACTTGATGTGGAATCTGAAAATATGTTAAGCTACTTTCAGAAATGCTCATCAGCCTGCATATCTGCACTGTAAAAGTTCCGTCCTAACTTGTTCAGTGTTCTTTTATCACCCTCCTTTCTCCTCCTTCTTCCCCACACCCTGCCCCTAATTCATTTAGTTAAGCAAATAACCTGTATCCACTGCCAATAACTAAATCTGCCTGGATCACCTTAGAAGCTAAAACCCAGAATGAAAAAAAAAAGTTATGCTTCTTTCATTTGGGCTTGTTGCATGGTTTACTTTAGGCTCTGAGTAAGTGCTATTTTATTATTGTTTTTGCTTGTTACTATCAGGGGATTTCAGGAACTGATTTTAATATAAATGCCTTAATTGTACTCTCAGGAAAAGATATGAAAACAGAAAACCTGATAAATCAGTTGATTCTGTAACTCTCCACATTGTTGTCATCTGTGAAACTGACTTAGCAGTCCCCACGATGAGGTCTGGCCATATTCCCACATTTTCAGGGACACAAGGTGTAAAGATATGAAGGAACTGGAAAGGACAAAAAGTGTGAAAAAATATCAACAAATTTAAGCCTCCAGTGATAAATATGGGTAAAGTGCTGAAGTGATAGACGAATAAGGTTAACAAAGGCCAAGCCATAAAGGATGAGGAATATTTTGGGTTTTAATAATACAGGTGAGCTTTTACAGAAAAAAAAGTTACTGCCTCAGGCAAGAGTAACTGTTTATGGTGGGTTTCCAATAATTCTCAAAGTTTGATCCAGTTAAGAACTCAAATTCTGAACCAGAAAGTTTAAAAAACATTTTAAAGAAGAAAACCTTAAAATAGCTATTTAGGCTGGGCATAGTGGCTGATGCCTATAATCCTAGCACTTTTGGGAGGTCGAGGTGGGAGGATCACTTGAGGTCAGGAGTTTGAGACCGGCCTGGGTAACATAGCAAGACCCCCATCTCTACAAAAAAATAAAAAAATAGTTGGGCATGGTGGTGGTATGCGCCTGTAGTCCTAGCTACTTGGGAGGCTGATGCAGTAGGATCACTTGAGACCAAGAGTTTGAGGCTGCAGTGAGCCATGATTGTACTACTGTACTCCAGCCTGGGTGACAGACCATGACTTTGTCTCTAAAAAATTTTTTTAATAAAATAAGATGGTTGTTTAGAAATACTGACATTCTCTTCTCTATAGATGAGTTATTAAAACATTATTTTATTTTTAATATCCCACTTAGCCAAACTGCACTAGAAAACCAGAAGAATCTAGTTCTAGAAAACACTTTGCTTTTGTAATACTCTTCGGTATTTAACAGTACTTAACAAGCTAGTAAGGAACCATAGCTTTACAGCCAAGTGGGGGATGGGGAATTGTTTTTGCTAAGCCAGGATGAAGGTGTTAGTTATATATGCTCTTGAGCATAGCAAGTTCTGTGAACTCAGATGTATCTGGAGGCTTTTAGCCACAAGTTACAGAATATTCAACTACAAGTGACTGAAATCATGAGGGCATTTAATTCTTACACAAAAGATGACGTCTGTGGGCGGCTGCTCCAACCCGGATTGGCTAACAGTCTAGGGGCTGCTTCTCTGCCTCTCGGTTTTCCTTTCCATAGCTCCAAATACAGTCCTTCATCAAATCTATTTTCAAATAAAAAAAAAGGAATGATGTCCAGCGGGCCCTGGAATTCACCCCAAGCCCTCGCAGGAGGAGGAGGGTGAATGGATAGCTTGGCCAGGCACCGTGGCTCACGCCTGTAATCCCAGCACTTTGGGAGGCTGAGGCGGGTGGATCCCTTGAGCCCAGGAGGCAAAAGTTGCAGTGAGCAACCCCTGCACTCCAGCCAGGGCAACAGAGCAAGACCTTGTCTCAAAACATTAAAAAAAAGAGACAAAATGGATAGCTTTTCTTGTCTCCCTTTTTGTATCAGGGAGGAAAAATTTCCCTGGCAAAGCTTTGCCAAGCCTGCTCCCCAGACCCTCATACTTTCCAGGCCAGAGCTGGCTCACCTGCCTAGCCCTATCACTGGCAAAGGAGAAGTGGGATATCATGATGAATTTAGAGCCATAATGATTCATTTTCTGAAGCTGAGCACACTCGCTGTCTATGGAGCAAAATGAGATTTTGTTGGCAAGGAAAAGGGGGGTGTGGTGGGTTTGTGAGACGGCGATGGTTAAACAATCAATAGTGTTTGTGATGTCTGGAGGCATTAACAGGTGAAAGGTGGGACCCTGGTCCCAATGCCTGAGTTCATCATTACTATTCAATGAGTGCATAATAAGGAAATACATCTTCCATTTGCTATATTGTGAAATTGGATAAAGCCCTCAGTCAAACCAGATATCCTACGTGGCTTTGTAGGAGTTAAGTCACAGAATAGGCTCCTTCCTTGGAAATAAAACTTGACCAAGTCTCTTCCCTAGAAATACAGTTCTTCATTAAATCTATTTTCAAGTTTAAAGTAATGATGTCCCAAGGTCCTTGGAATTCACCCCAAAATGACGCAAATACAATAAGCCAAATGGCTGAAATCACTTACACACAACATTTGACCAAAGCAAATCAGCTTGCTCTCATGCTGTGATCAGAAGAGCAGCAAACTGGAGGCTTTGTTTGAAGCAAAAAGAACACTGAATTCTAAAGACAAGGATCCTCAGGGGGAGAAGAGAGAGATTAGTAAACAGGGTTAGTTAATCCACTCAGACAAGAGCCTCAAAAGTTCAAGGGGTGGTCTGTTGCCTGCACTTCCATGGGATTTCAAAGGATTGCAGTGAGAGGCCGGGAACCAAACACGTCACTCTCCGCAGCCGCTGTCCCATTTATATCATTGATATCAGCAGCCAGGACTGCTCTATTCTACGAAAGGGATGGAACTTTCTCGAAGAAGTGTAGTTGCCCCAAATAGAGACTGCTCAGATTTGGCGGGCCTCTTGAGAGCAAGAACTGAGGAATCTTATCACAAAAATGGGAAGATAAAAGGCAGAGCCTAATGAGAGAACACTGAAACCCTCGTATTTTTTATTCCCTGGAGCAAAGTAAAGAACAGGCATAGAGGAGTCAGAGGGCCTGGTTCTCCTAGGACTGACCCCCACTGGGAAGCGCTGTAGACCGCCCAGGTTGATAAAATGTTGTCACCCTGTGAAAGCAACACAATCCAGTAACTAAAGCGTTCATGAACGGGGGGCCCTGCAGGGTTCTGTGTTAGCTCTTGGAATCTAGGTTCAAAAAACAAAAAACAACAGGGCACGTTGAAGAGGGCTGTGTCAAAATTTCTCCTTTCCCTTCACACCCACGCCTTCCACACCCACTCTGCTGATGGCGTTCACTCCAATTTCATTGAGAAAATGGAAGCTACACATCTAGCCCTGCCTTCCCTCCTATTTACTGGAAGCATTCCTGCTTCTACCAACTGTCAGTCCCTCCACCTATGCTCCAGTTCTCATCCCCTGTAGCTTCTTAAGGACTGGGTCTCTTTCGTCACCCCTCTCCCTCTTGCTTCATCAGCCTCCAGCTCTCCTCCTCTCGGGAACATTCCCCTCAACATCCAGACATGCCCCGGCACGCTCCGTTGCTAAAAAATCTACAGCCAGCCAACCAACCAACCAACCAACCAACCAACCAACCAACAAAAAAACCTCTTTGCTTCCCATCTCCCCCATTTCCATTTCTCTTGTCCCCTTTCTGGCAAAACTTCTCAAAAGAGTAATCTGAACTTGCTTTCAAATTAAACAGAACTTGTCCAGCAGCACCTTTTTTTTTTTTTTTTTTTTTTTTTTTTAGAGTCAGAGTCTTGCTCTGTCACTCGGGCTGAAAAGCAGTGGCACAATCATCACATCCAGCTAATTTTTAGTTTTTATTTTTTGATAGAGACAGTCTTGCAATGTTACCCAGGCTGATCTTGAACTCCTGGCCTCAAGTGATACTCCCATCTTGGCCTCTCAACGTGCTGGATTTTTTTTTTCTTGTTTTCTTTTTCTTTTTTTTTTTGTTGAGATGGAGTCTTGCTCTGTCGCCCAGGCTGGAGTGCGGTGGCGTGATCTCGGCTCACTGCAAGCTCCGCCTCCCGGCTTCACGCCATTCTCCTGCCTCAGCCTCCCGAGTAGCTGGGACTACAGGCGCCTGCCACCTCACCTGGCTCATTTTTGTATTTTTAGTGGAGATGGTGTTTCACCATGTTGGCCAGTCTGGTCTCAAACTCCTGACCTCAGGTGATCCGCCCGCCTCAGCCTCCCAAAGTGCTGGGATTATAGGCGTGAGCCACCGTGCCCCACCCTCAAGCAGAACATCTTTCATCTTCATTTTTTTCAACTGCTCAGCAACATTTGCTGTCTTCTTGAAACCGTTTCTGTCTCCCAGCTGCTCTGACACTAGCCTCTCTGGGTTTGCTCCTCTCTCATTGGCTTCTTCTTCTTCTTCTTCTTTTTTTTTTTTTTTTAGACAAGATCTCGCTCTGTTGCCCAGGCTGCAGTGCAGTGGCACCATTTCTGCTCACTGCAACCTCTGCCTCTTGAGTTCAAGGGATCCTCCCACCTCAGCCTCCTGAGTAGCTGGGATTACAGCTGTGCACCAGCACGCCTGGCTAATTTTTGTACTTTTAGTAGAAATGGGGTTTCACCATGTTGGCCAGGCTGGTCTTGAACTCCTGGCCTCAAGTGATCTGCCTGCCTCAGCCTCCCAAAGTGCTGGGATTACAGGCATGGGCCACCGCGCCCGGCCTCGGCAGTTTTTTTGCTGCGATTTGCTGGCCCCTCCTCTTTCCAGAGACCTTTTGCATCAGGCTCATTTCTGGGCCTTCTCCTCTTTCTGTTCTCACCTGTCTAAGGTGAGCTATTCTGGCCCTCAGGTTTTAAGTAATATCCATATAGTAATGATTCTAAATTTATATACCTGCTTCCTCAAACTTTCCTCTGAGCTTCCAATTGAGACACAACAATTGGTCTTGGTATCTACCCAGTCTGATATCTACCCAAGAGTGTTTAATGGCCATCTCCAACCTATCCTCAAGACATTGAATTGGGTTGTTCGTTTTCTTATTTTTGAGTTTTAAGTTCTTTGCATATTTTGGATAACAGTCCAGAAATGTTCTTTATCAGATATGTCCTTTGCAAATATTTTCTCCCAGTCTGTAGCTTGTCTTCTCATTCTCTTGACAGTTTTTCACAGAGAAGTTTTTAATTCTAATGCAGGCCAGCTTATCAATTCTTTCTTTTGTGGATCATGTCTTTGGTGTTGTATCTAGAAAAAGTCATCGCCAAACCCAAGCTCATCTAGGTTTTCTCCTGTGTTATCTTCTAGGAGTTTTATAGTTTTGGGTTTTACCTTTAGGTCTATGATTCATTTTGAGTTAATTTTTGTAAAAAGAGTAAGGTCTGTATGTCAAGATTTAGTTTTTTGCATGTGAATGTCCAGTTGTTCCAGCACTATTTGTTGAAAAGGCTATCTCTGCTCCATTTTATTGCCTTTGCTCCTTTGTCAAAAATCAGTTGACTACATTTATGTGGGTCTTTTTCTGGGCTCTCCATTTTGTTCTATTGATTTTTTTTTTAATCTATTTTTTCACCAGCACCACACTTTCTTGGATTACTGTAGCTTTATAGTAAGTTTTTTTTTTTTCTTTTTTTTTGAGACTGAGTTTCACTCTTATTGCCCAGGCTGGAGTGTAATGGCATGATCTCAGCTCACTGCCACCTCTGCCTCCCAGGTTCAAGTGATTCTCCTGTCTCAGCCTCCTGAGTAGCTGGGATTACAGGCATGCGCCACCATGCCCATCTGATTTTGTATTTTTAGCAGAGGCGGGGTTTCTCCATGTTGGTCAGGCTGGTCTGGAACTCTTGACCTCAGGTGATCCATCCACCTCGACCTCCCAAAGTGCTGGGATTACAGGCGATTACAGGTGTGAGCCACTGCACTCAGCCTTTTTTTTTTTTTTTGAGACACAGTCTCACTCTGTTGCCCAGGCTGGAGTGCCATGGTACAATCTCTGCTCACTGCAACCTCTGCCTCCTGGGTTCAAGCAATCCTCCTACCTCAGCCTCCAGAGTAGCTGGGATTACAGGCACTCACCACCACACCCAGCTAAATTTTATATTTTTAGTAGAGATGGAGTTTCACCATGTTGGCCAGGCTGGTCTCAAACTCCTGGTCTCAAGTGATCCACCCACCTTGGCCTCCCAAAGTGCTGGGATTATAGGCGTGAGACACAGCCCCTGGCTGCTTTATGGTAAGTCTTGAAGTCAGGTAGTGTCATCTACATTCAAAACAGTTTCTTGATTCCCGCCTCCGCACACACTCTCACACCTGTTTGACTCCCAAGTCTTTCCCATCTCAGTCAATGGCACCACCATGCATCCACGTGCTTAGGCTAAAAACCTACAAATCATTCTTGATTCTTTCCTTCCCAACTTGCATCCAGCCCATCAATATGTCTTCTCAATCCTTCCTCCAGCGAACAGTGCAAATCAGGTTGCATCTTTCTGTTTCTACTAAGTTCGAGAGTGAATCTCGTTGGTACTACTATAACTGTTGTACCTTTTGTCCTCTACAATGGAACAGGCGTGAGTGACCACACTCAGCCCGAGTGGGTTTTTTATGACATGTTGAAATCAGATGGGGATGAAGCTTCAGTGTAAGTCTCTTAGGAGAAAAGTAAAGCCCTGCACTGTCCAATTCAGTAGCCTCAAGCCATATGACGTCACTGAGCACTGGAAACGTGGCCAGTTTGAATCCAGATGTGTTGTAAGAATAAAATATACTCTAGGTTTTAAAAACTTTGTATGAAAGTAAGTATTCTAAAATCTTATTAATAATTTTAGGTTGATTACATGTTAAAATGACGACATTTTGGACATATTGAGTTAAATAAATCATTAATATGAATTTTGTTTCTTTTCAAAAATGTGGTTTTGCTGGGCATGGTGGCTTATGCCTGTAGTCCCAGCTACCGGGGAGGCTGAGGCAGGAGAATGGCGTGAACCCGGGAGGCGGAGCTTGCAGTGAGCCCAGGTGGCACCACTGGACTCCAGCCTGGGCGACGCAGCGAGACTCCGTCACAAAAAAAAAAAAAAAAAAAAAAAAAAAAAGCCAAAGCCAAAAATGCGGTTGCTAGGAACGTTTAAATTACATGTATGTGCCCCGTTAAGGGTCTATCAGGCCATGCTGCCCTGGACAGTCATGGCTGTAGGCTGCAGTTCTCTGGCCCCTGACCTCCCTGCTTCCCGCTCCCCCAGCCTCTCCTCCTCCTCTCCTCTGTACGTCAGCCAGCACCTCAGCTTCGTCCTCACAGGGGACTCTCACGGCTGGAAAGACTTGGTAAGATGGCAGAGGGGTTCGGAAGCCAGGTTATTTTTCAAAGTCTAGCTCTCATGTTCAAAACCCTCTAATGGCTATTTCAGTTAGAGTAAAATCCCAGTTCTTTATCATACATGCAAGGTCCTGCCTGACCCCCTCTCTCATTGTGCTTCAGGCTCTTTCCTGTCTCACAGCCTCTACGTTTGCTGGTCCTCCTGCCTGGGAGGCTCCCACCACACTTGCTTTGACGGCTGGATCATTTCCACTTAAGTCTTGGCTTAAATGAATTATCATTTAACTTAAATAAGTTATCAAATATGATGTAATAATTCTAGATGTATTTTTACATTGCTTTCAAATCTTCAGTTCTTTAAGAGGAAATTACATAACAAGATGTATAGGATGATCCAATTAATATGTAGATGTATACATATTTGTAAATATATTGATAACTATTTAGAAGGATACATACCAGTTAACTGAGGTTACCTCTGGGGTCACACTCTATTGTTCTGCAAGGTAGTTTTTCACAAAGCAGTGTGATTAAGAAATCTCTCTATGCCAGCTCATATAAGATGTACTTTATTCTATTTTTTTTTTTTTTTTTTTTTTTTTTTTTTTTTTGAGATGGAGTCTTGCTTTGTCACCCAGGTTGGAGTGCAGTGGCGTGATCTCGGCTCACTGGAACCTCCATCTCCTGGATTCATGCAATTCTTCTGCCACAGCCTCCCGAGTAGCTGGGATGATAGGCATGCACCACCACGCCTGGCTAATTTTTGTATTTTTAGTAGAGACAGGGTTTCACCATATTGGTCAGGCTGGTTTTGAACTCCTGACTTCAAGTGATCCACCCACCTCAGCCTCCCAAAGTGCTGGGATTACAGGTGTTAGCCACCACACCCAGCCAAGGATGTACTTTATTCTTTTAATGGCTGACAGTATTCTTTTGTATGGATGTATTACAGTACATGTCACCATTTTCCTGTATTGATGCACATTTAAATAGTTTCCAATTGTTTTTGCTACTACAATTGAATCTTACTATAACTGATATGTATTTCAATTCTTTGGATCATAGAAAATAATTTACCTTCTCTTCTACAGGAGCCAGTTCTTTATTATAGTTTGAAATAATATTATAGTATGAAATAATATACCCTGTTCAATTGTGAAATGTGGTCATTCTAAGCATGAACAATTTTTTTGTGTGCACTTTATATGTTGATATAATTTCTAGTCAACATCTTTAAAATTTTACTGAACATATGCAGTTTATGAAGCCTCAATATTCTCATTTCTTTAGGATGAGTACTTCTTTATGATTTTTCTGGTACTAATAATTTGGAGAAGAGAGAGTAAGGTTAAAAAAAAAAGAGAGAACCACAAGGATGTTTGTTTTCTCATCTCTACTTACCCTTAATCGTTTACTTTTTTTTAAAAAGAAACTGCTTCTGAGTGTACTAGGCAGGATTCAATGGGAAAATCATGAATTGCTGAAAATTTTCAAGCTTATTTGATCAAAACTGATGGAATCTTCATTGTACTCACCCAACCTTGTTTTATTCATTAAGGCCAATATGAATCATTCAATGCAAAGAATGCTATACTGTACTGGTTTTAAAATTATGGACAATCTTTTTTTTTTTTACAGAGGAAATAATTAGCTCTGCAATTTTGGTTAGGTAATTTATCTGTATCTGTACAAGAAAATGAATAATGGCAGAGAAAACCAGAGACGTACGCTGTAGCCAGATCATCAGCTGTTAAGCTGAGATGTTTGGACTTCCTGACTCTTTTTCTTTTTTTTCTTGGTTGTCCAAGACCCCCTAAAGCACTTCAGTAACACTGTGTTCAATAGAATTTTGTGGCTACTCTGAAAGTCTAATCACAATTTTCTGTGAGAAAATTAATTCCAACTTACAAATAACTAATTTATAAATTAATTTTTGGCAGTTTATTATTTCACTACTGGTCATTGTGGTTAGTATTATTTAATCTAGCTATGTGACTTCAGGTAAGCCACTTAATCTTCCGCCTTCTCAGTAACTTCTTTCATAGTAGATGAGTTAAGCAAGATACTCTCAAACGACATTTTCAGTCTGAAAATTCAGTGATTTACCTGAAATCCTGACGTGTTATTAGCAAGATGTCAACACTTACCACTCAATACCCAAATTTCCTTTCAGAGTATTCTTTAGCAACGTTAAAATATTAACATTTCTTCCTCAGGGTAGGTAAAGTAACAGAAAAACATGCTCCGTAATTTCCTTGTGTGTTATATATAAAGATTGGGCCTGTTAATGGTGCTTCCTTTTAGGTGATGTTAAAAAGAACTGTACGGGAATTGGCATTTCTTGAGCGGCTTATATCTGGAATTCTCCTCAGTCCTTTGATACTAGGCCATTTAATCCACACATTAGCGTTATCTTCATTATACATAGGAAGAATATAAGGCCGGAAGAGTTAACTCACACAAGATGACATCTAAGTGGCGGAAGTGGAATCTGATTCCAGATCTGATCAAAAGCTCTTTCCACTCTATAAAGCTGTGTTCATAACACAACAGGAGTTATAAACTCCAAATATAGTATAACGGAAACGAGTACAGAAAACGTGTCTACGTATTTGCTAGGGTAAAAAGCTAAGCTGTTACGATGGAAATATGGTAGCTCAAATACAGTAGCTTAAAGAACACTCAAATTCATTTTTCTTTTTCTTTCATGTACCAGCCCCAAGGTAAGCAGCCAAGTTACTGGGTAGCTCTGCTCCCCACAGTCATTCAGGGACCCAAGTTGCTGCCATGCTGCTCCACTGTCCCCTGGGTGTTGTCCCCGTATGCATTATTAATGACATGTGCTCTTCCAGAGCATGTGAGGGGAGCATGCATCCAGGTGTGTAAGACCTATCTCTGGAATCAGCCTGCATCACTTTGTTCATATTCCACCGATGAGAACTTAGTCATGTGGCCTTCATCTGGCTGCAAGGAAGCCGGGAAACAGTCTACAGCAGGACAGCCACGCACCCCTCTGTACTCTACTCAAATTAGAAAGAGGAACGCGTTCTGGCAGACAACTAGCACCCCCTCAGACCTCCTCCAATATCCTTTCCTCAGTGTTAAATCAACATAGACAGGATGAAACAATCTGCAAATAACCCCCTTCAAACAGATAGGAGTTTATTACGATCCCAAACACAGTGTTTTATAAAACTGTATCAAGAGGACCAGGGAAATATGCTATCATGTAACTAAATGAAGATGTGACCTATTCCTTGTACCCTATGGCAACCAAAATGCGTTATCTCACCAGAAAAAAAAAAAAAGGCAATTTATAAGACCAGAGGAAGAAGAGTCAAAGAATAGGACATCTCACTGTTTGTCCATCTTTCCCAGGTTCTATGGAAACAGAACGCACTGATTCACTGATGAGCTCCATGGAGCTTCAAACACAGGCCACATACACGGGCACCTTATGAAGACTGCTTCCTACTTAGTTGCTTGCCAAAGTGTGAAAGCAACTCTATAATCCATAGTAAGAAAGAAGATACAGAAATGTTCCCCTGGAATGGCATTGAATAAGCCATTCTCTGATACAAGCAGCATACATTTAGAATGAAAGGAAGAAATGGATTGGAGAATCCCAACTCATATGACTGAGTTCCTTTCCTTTTTTTATTTTTTGTAGAGACAGGGTATTGCTATGTTGCCCAGGTTGGTCTCAAACTACTGGGCCTGCCTTGGCCTTCCAAAGTGATGGGATTACAGGCGTGAGGTAATGTGCCTGGCCAGTTCCTCTAAGGTTTCATTAAGAAGTCTGTTGGTCATTCTAGAGCTGGTGGAAGTCTGTGATGCTGATTAGGCAAATCGTTATCTCCTATTCTCATGTTTCTTTAGAAGAAATACCCATAATTTAGTATTTGTGCTCATGTTTTCATTGTGACCTTACAGAGAAAGAATAATAAACTGACTTGTTGATTAAGTAGACAGAAGTATCCTCAATCGGGGATACTTTAGATCCATTTAGAGAGAGATCCTGGAAGTGATTTCCTAAAGAACATTTATGTTGCTCTCTTCTAATTTTACAAAGCAACATTCTATAGTTTTGTCTCTCGAGTGGACACAAGAAGCAAGCACCTCAAACAAGTTAAAAGAATTGCTAACATTTGTTGAGCACTTACTAGGTACTAAGCAGCTTTAGCCTTTTCCATGTATACATAAGTTAATTTAACCCTCACAAAAACCCCATGAGGGTGGTCCTATTATCCCCATTTTACAGGCGAGGAAACAGATTCTGAGTGGTTAAGTAGCTTGTATAACTAAGGTCATACAACTAGGAAGTGGTACAGTCAGGTACAGAGCCTGGCCTCCTGACTCCTGAGGATGGGCCTTAACCAGCATCTGTTACTGATATATCAGGAACATCTACTGTAAGTGAAGAACTTGTCATTCTAATTTATAAATTAGGCTCTTAGATGTTTGGAAAGTGTTATAACACGGCATTGCTGAGCTGAAGAAAATCAGTTCCTAGACCTGCAGGGCCAAAGAGCAGATTAGATGTGTGGTTTGAGAACTCTGTGAAGCGCTTGCTGCCTGGGTGGTCACGTGAGTCCCTTTTTTGTATTTCCTAATTGCAACACAAGGCTTTTCACTGAAGCACTAATTTACAAGTGGTTTGGGAAATTCATAGACCATGAAGGTGATTCAAGAACGGTCAGTTTTTATAAGGGGCCCAAAACCAGTTAGGAAGACAAAAAAGTCACTCAAAAGTCAAACCCAGCTCTTTTATTTTATCACCACAGTGTATTTTACAAGCTTAAAATAAGTTGAAATGAATTTTCCCAGCTAAAGTAGTTTGCCATTAGGAACAACCGACATTTCTCAAGTCTCTTGTAAAATAAAAAGAGCATCAAGTGAATTTAAGTAGACTAATCAGAACAATAGAAGAGGCAGGAGGAGGAGATACCGTCTCTGACTCTCTGAATGAAAGGAGACGGGGTTTACAAAGGAGCTTTGGAAATATTATACACAGACAACTAGAGACAAACATCAAACTGGAATTTTAATATAGGAATATTGATGAATCATGAGTAAGGGGACTTATTCCACCAATGAAACTGGCAAGTTATAAGTGAACAGAGGCTTCACTCATAACTAAGTTAGCGACAAAAACTATTTGTGCTTCCTTGGGAGATCCGGCTCTGCTCTGAGCCATATGCAAAATGCATGTTATGAAGATAACATGATAAAACACAACTAAATGCTATTACAATCTTTCTTCAAGCTTTGGGCACAAGCCTTCTCAAGTTTCTCTTTCTCTTTGGAGACAGGGTCTCACTCTGTTGCCCAGGCTGGAGTGCAGTGGCATGATCATGGCTCACAGTAGCCTCCACCTCCCAGGCTCAAGCGATCGATCAATCCTCCCATCTCAGCCTCCTAAGTAGCTGGGACTACAGGTGTGTGCCATGATGCCCAGCTAATTTTTGTATATATGTATTTTTTTATGTAGAGATGATGTTTCATGATGTTGCACAGGCTGGTCTCAAACTCCTGTGCTCAAGTGATCCTCCCACCTCGGCCTCCCAAAGTGTTGGGATTATAGGTGTGAGCCTCCACGCCTGGCCTCAAATCTCTTTTAACCATAAATTTGATTAAGATGGAGCTACAGATACATGCAAAAATATTTACATAACATCCTAAAATATATTAACTTTATCAATATTAAAGGAGGGAAAACGTTTAGATATAGGCATATATATGATTATATGTAACAGTTCTTGGAATTCTCGACTTTCAGAGAAAATGAAATTTTGTATATGTACATACAATGTTGTAGAACTTCTAACCAAATTAAACATTTTTAACATTTATTTTCAGCCCCTAATGAATGCAGTTACCTCAAAACTAACTCCTTTCTTTTATTAATGGTTCTGTTGCACAATGTGCAATTTACCACATTAGAAGCTAGACAAAGTAAAATTGCATGATCCTAATGTCTTTTTACTGATTTCAAACTTCTTTAAGAAGTCCATGCAATTTACTTTGGAGAAGACCCAAAAGCAAGATATTTGATTCTTTCTTATACTGCTGAAATCCCTAACAATCCACTAATCTACACATTACTCCAATACAGAAATAGATATAACAAGGATTTTTCACAGCAAACTTGGTCAGCTATACCTGTAGCCTAGTTTTATTTGTTTTATTTAGTTCTTTTAAAAAACCCTTCATTAGTTTTATTCTTATTTCTCTGCTGTAGTTTACTCATTTTTATGTTAGCAAAAGAAGATCACTATTTGATACTAAAAAAATACTCACTGGAGAGCTTCTAAATTATACTCACGACTCAACCTCATCCTCTTTAAATATCTTAAGTATAGCCAAATCTTTAAAAAATCACCCCTTTTCTTGCCTCTAGTGCTACATTTGGTAACTTTCCATTTTAAGTTTGTGTGTGTTCTAATACTTCTGCATCTTTAAAGTCCCAAAGCGATACAGTAGAGGCAAAGGCTGGCTGGGTATGAATCTGCATTCCATGGAAATGGTCCTGTGATCACAGAAGAGCACAAAAGGGCAGAGGACAAGGACAAGGAAGGGAGGTCTCACAGGAATGGAAACATGGGAGAGAAAGGGAGGCTCAGGGCCGAGAGAGCTTTCAGGCCATCATCACAAGAGAAGGCTAAGTGGCAAAGGGTCTCCAAATTACCAATTTGTTCTAGTCTTTCTTTTGGAATTTTCTGCTACAATGTTAAGAAGTGCTTAACTTACCCATACTACCACTTCGACTGCTCTCAAATATCTGAAAAGTAAGAATGAAAGAATTTTTAAAATTTTCAAAGTCTGATCTTAGTATTTCAAAATCAGTGTAGGAACTTTTATACACATTGCTGAATTGAAGCAAAACATAACCCACCAGACATCAATGGGTCAGTTTTTACAATTTAATAATTTCAAAGGAAAGATTAAAAGTGAACCTCTTTTCAATATGGTCAGAACAACAATAACAAACAAAATTCTTTAATTTTTGAGACAGAATTTTCTTCTTTGTGGTCAGTCACCTATCTCATATCCCTCATAATATCATTGCTATCATCTTTCAATAAATGTTGATCTATAAATTAATTAACTTTTTTGAGACAAATCCCTGGTATACTATTCTTCTGATTCCCATGAAAGACTCACTTTTAAGATACAATTGCAGCTGCCCCACACTGCCAGTTACTGTGTCATACACACGCCTTAAAATTCTGTAATCAGCAACCACCAGGTGCCGTATCGCATTCAGCACACCACAGTCAGTCAATACAGACATCCCCAAACACACCAAGGCTGGTTTTGTCAAATGTTTTATTGAGTGTAGACATCTGGAGTACTGTAAAACATGCATTATCTGTAGATTCAAAAAGGAGCAAGCCACATTGTCCTCACTGTCAAATGTGTCAGGCTTGGCATACATGATGGAGATTAATGAAGTATCATGAGAGTAATATGGTTCCTGAAAAGCTTCTACAATTTGGAGTAGGGTCTTAATCACGTGAAAAGCAAAGCTGTTCACATTTAGTGAACCTGCATTTCATGGGGGGGGGGGGGTACACAGTATTTTAATTTTAAAACAAATAAAAATAATTTGTTTGTCAAAGATTCCCATCTCCCCAACTTTATTTGTCGCATTGGTTTTCAGAAATTTTAATTTTTTAAAAATCAGATGCCTTTTGGAAGTTGTATGTTTATCTGAGCAATAACTAAATTTTATTTCTTCTTCGGTTGTTGAGGTGTGTTAAATTTGAAGAAGATAATATCTCCATCTTCAACAATATAATTTCTGCCTTGTTGTCTGTACTTTCCAGCAGCCTGCAAACAGAAAATATAGAGGAAATGGGTTATTAGTTTACAACTAAATACATGGGGTAAATGGTGGCAGCAGATATAAAAAGTATTATACTACTTGGGTGATATAAAAAAAGAAAAAATGAAATATAGGAAGGCATACAAGTTCAAAACTAGACTTGGAGAGAAGCAAAGTATTCTTGATTTGGGCAGAACTAGATTTTCCATATATACATAATCATAATGTATTCTCCACTAAATTGTTGGTACATAAATGTAATTATACCAATATCATTAAGTTTCATTACACGCTGTTTATGGTACATTTCTGATGTGTCTGCAAACATCCAGCAAGTCACTGTAACAAAACAGATCAAACCAGGCAGAAAGAAAAAGACTATATAACTAGTTAAAAGCTGCTTTATTTGCTTAAAGAAATCCTTTGGTGACACTGGTGATGCCAAAAATATAGTTGGTATAAGGAAAATTATGATCAGTTGTTGTGTAAGATTCTGAACTACTTCCTTGTAGTTTTTAAAATTTAGTCTTGACAATGTGTATACATAGAAGTATGTACTAGAATTCATCATACGGTTTCCTGACTAATGGCCCTAGTTACAAGGAGACTCTAACAGGTTGCAGTTGCAAAGACAGATATTTCTTCCACTTGTAAATTAGTCAGCAAAGCAACTGATTCCACCTGCTGGTATGCAGATCCAGACATGCAATCTGCTGGTAATTTTAATAGAAGCAAGCAGCAGTTCCAGAAAACCAGGTTTAGTCCATGGCATGAACTTTACTTTACCATAAGTAAAACAGGCTCTGCAGCACCCACACTTAACACTGCACACAGCTGACATGGTCCCACATGACCCCACCATCGACTCCTCAACAATAAGGACTTGAGGATCTTTTGGGGGAAATTCTCAAAAGTTTTTCCCTTCTGTTAGAATGTATTGAGAAGAAACCTTTGCCCAACAGGATTAGTGCTTCTCTTTGAAGATATTGATAAGAATGTTCAAAGCCAAGTGAAATTATACTAATCTGTAACAAAAACACTAATAAAGATCATACATCTGAGGGTAAAATCAACAAACCAGATTGCAGAGCCCTAGTAAGCATATTTTCAATTATCTAGACCACATATAAAACTGTCCTGATTTTAACAGAATATAAATATATGAAGAATATATAAAGCTTATTTCTAGAAAGCCAACGTAACGTACCCTACAATTAAAGGCATATGTGTGTGTGTGTATACATATATATTTATATTTATATATATTTCATATATATGACACATATGTGTGTGTGTATATATATAAAAATACATATTTTCACATGTTTTTATAAAGACATGCAATGTATTGAAGGCCATAAGCTACTTATTTCTAGAATCTATAGCCCACTGTTATAAAACTATATAGACAATATAAATCAAGTACATATTGACATGACATATTAATGTAACTTTATATACTTTGTTACCACTCAAGTTTACTATTAATTAAAAGTGACAGTGTTCCTTTAAATTCTCTAGAGACCATTTAATCCATTTCCACTGCTATCAGAAACACTGGTTGAAAAAAAAAATCAATACCCATTTGTGAATCTTGAGTATGTATTAAACAAGACACGTCTAACCAGTTCATTTGCACTTGAAAGCAGCCATCTGTAGAAGCCAGCTTTGCCTAAGCAGATATGATTGCTAATAATGTGATATCCCTGTAGACTACAAAGCCCACACAGAGCTATTCAGTATATAGTTCACAGCACTGGCATTAAATTAGTTATGCTGCACTGGTGTTAGAAATACATATACATACATACATACATACATACATACATACATACATACATACACACACATATACACAATTTTGCTCTCAAATCTAAAACCTACTTGATAATCTGCAAGTAAACATTTGTTGAATAAAGGAGCAGAGAGCAATTCCTAAATGCTTCATTTTACTTGGACTTCAAATTTTGAAATATTAGTTTTGGAGGTTAAAACAACGTAAAATATTTAATGGTATCCTAGGTGAAAATGTCAGAGTCAACCTTTTCTAATTTATAGTATAAAAGCTGCCAGTTAGTGGTAAATAGTCTTACAAGCAGGAAATATTATTTTATTGGATATTATAAAGTTTCTCTCAATTGTTAAAGGAAATATTTACAATTCATCTATCAAGTTTATTACAACATAGATCTACTAAGGATTGGTAAACAGGCTTACCATTTTAAGAGTATAAAAAAAGAAGCATCTGATCTCTGAATTCTAGTAATAGAAAACATCCTCATTTTTATCTTCCTTATGAAAAATAGATATGCCAACATGATGTAGCATGTTGACAAATAATCTGAGATTTTTGTTCGTCTAATTAGTATTCCTGACAAAGTTCAATCTCAGTATTTTTGCACACCTACCTATATCTATACAGATGCCACCATCAAAAAATTAACAACTGTGTTTACTTGTAAACTGTTATTCCTTCCACTCTTTCAAAAAAACAAAATGGTTCTCATTCAACATTGAACCAATTATACCAAGATTTTCCCCCTCCTCTTCCTGGTGTTCCAACAGTTCTATTAAAGTCCTGCTGTTCGGTATGACCTTTCCAATGATACCAGTGAAAATAAAGTAAACCTGAAATAAACTTTTTTGTATTCCTTTCAACTTATGAAATAGTAAACACAAGAATCTTCTTTAAATTCTATAACATTTACTATAGTAGTCTTCAAATATTAAATTAAATTAAAGAACCTTCCTACAATGTCAGTTTAACCAGCTAATCTGTCTATATTAGAGATTGCTAGATTTCTCTAAGTAACATCTAATAAATCAAACAAAATTAATTTTGCAACAGAATTTACATTTAACAAGTCATCTACTACTCATGTATAAAACTGCTTCACTATTAGTGTCTGCAAACCAAATTATCCTTATTAGCTAAAATAAAGCACAATTTTGGACCTGCCCTCTAGTGTTGAGAAAGCAAATCAAATCCCCAAGTATCTTTAAACAACAAACAAGTAAAACCATGAAGTTTTAGAAAGAACAGCTTTTATTTAACTAACTTTCTATCTCTATTCTTGAAGTAATTATAAGCATATATATTATACTTCAGCTATTCAAATGTAATAAGTACAATTTTTCATTGGCCATGAGTGAACAAATTCTTCGAAATTATTTACAATTACTTAAACCTAATTTATTTTATTTTCAATTATAGAAAAAAACCTCCACAAAACTACTGACAATTCACACATTTTTAAAATGATCTAAAAGTATGTAAACATCTATAGCTCTTAAGTCAGTTGATAGTAACACTAAACGCTGATCATCTTATTACTTTATTTTAGACTACACTCAGTTTAAAAGATAATTATCATTCATTTTTATCATGACTAACTTCGCATCAGTGGAAACATTGTGAAATACAAAAATAAAAACAATTCTTTACCTTGACTGCATTTTCAGAACCTTCCTCTTTAAAATCTTCGTATTTCATTACTTCAGCCATAATGAATCCCTTTTCAAAATCTGTGTGAATCTTTCCTGCAGCCTGAGGAGCCTTAGTCCCTTTCTTTGAAAAGAAAGACCAGAGAAAACTAATTGCATTTAAGATGACTGATTGTAAGCACAGAGTTTCTTTTCTCTGATCTGCAGTTGGGCTCAACTAGAACTTAGTTTAATATCTGTTAAGATGTCAGGTATATAATTAGTACATTTTCAACACTGGGTAGTATCTGTGCAGCAGATTTAGCATAGATCAGTAGATATTAAAGAAGCGTGGCTTTGTTTTTCCTAACAGTCATCCACTGTTTTATTGATTTAGAAGCAGTGGTCTGGTTTTGGTGTAGGTTTCATTTCGATTTTCTATTCTTCACAGTGGAAAAAAATAGATTTTTAAGTAACTTTCAAGCTGAATTATCAAAGGTTTTAAAAAGATAAAAAGCTCTCAAAATTTCAGCTCATCTAAAGAACATATAAAAATCAATATACAAAGGGACATTTTAAAGGCATTTCCAACAAATCATATTGGAAATCTACATTCAGCAAATAATTGTGAAACTCTCAAAAAATTTCGATAATAAAATTTTTGAACATTTTGCATAATATTCCCTGCCTCTAACCATCATGAAGGAAATTCAAGTTGATATAGGGAGAGAAATGTCTTATAATTAACCCATATGTTATATTACAAGGATATATATTCCACACACACATAACCATGGAAAGAAATTTGAGAAATAACGGTGACCTAAAGGCTGCTTAATAAAGCATGTTAAAGTGATAAGGAGTCTGACACTAGAAAGCACAGTTTTTACAATAAAAGATGTATTGGGTTAATATAGCTACTCACTGATGCTTACCTGACTAAATATCTTAGCACATTAAATCATGGATACTTACAATCAGTCTTAAGATAAACCAGCTTTCACATTTTCAAGCCCAGAACATGCTATCTTTCCTACCTCCACATACTTAAGTTAGAAAGTTTTAAGGCTTTAAAATACATCTTTAAAATATATAGTAAAAATAAATCCTGGCAATTTGTTTACCAACTTGGATTTGCTTTGACATTATTTTTAAAATCTATATAAAAGGACCTTGGTTAGAAGTCAATCAAACATTTTTTTACAAAGGGGAGAGGAGATAAAAGAAAAGTAAATCTCACATTCACACAAGGCATTTAACATTATGTTAACTGCCTCCATGTTTCTATCCATATTAAATCAAAATACATGTAACAATAAATTACAGTAGTCACTGAAAACAGGAATCAAAGCACCACTAAAATTTATCGTGTAGCATATATTTAAAAAGCATAATAAAAGACTGAATAAGACACTATTTCTAAAAGTTCTGGTATTATTTTTATATTCTGTAACATACTATTTAGGATCACATATATTTCAAAATATTTTTCAATAGTAACTACTATGTTACAATATATTTAAATTTAAAAGCAAACCATTACAGTTCAGTTTCTATTGTCCTCTGGGAATAAATTAGTCATTCTCTCTGTTGTATTCAGTATACATCAATTTTTAAAATACATATCACATTTTTAAAGAAGTAAGACTGAACATATAACACTGAAAATAAACATTACTTCTATGAATTCAAATTTAAAAAGGCATGAATTATTACACGTTGAGTTTAGCTTTTTGAGCCCAACTGTGTATCTATGAAGAGCATAATGATGTCATATTGCTTTTATTGCTGAAAATGTAATCCGAGCAAAGCAAAGGAGGAAAGAACCACCCGCAACCCAAACAAACTTAGCGAATACAAAATGAAAAGCAACATCAATTTCACTGCAGACAAACCCAGTCACACAGATTAAGCAAGCACAATACTGGTGCGTCTTATCTCTGACCACAGGAGGAGGGTAGACAGATTCTACAGGATGAAGAAATTCAGACTATGTAATAGGCAGAATCAATTGTTACCTGCCTCAATCAATGCCGCTCCACTTTCACTGTTCAGCAGCTCACAAATAATTAAAGTTATCCTGGACAAAAACCTCATCTGTAATGACTAGCTAACCGCCACCATGACAAACTTCAAAGTCAGTGATATCAATCTGAATTCAATAGTGTGGAACTGGATATAGCTGATGAATAAGTATGAATCTTACCCTGATGGTCCATGCACGCACTTCATCTGGGCCTGCAGTGAAAAAGTATTCTAGTTGGAGTGCTGCAAACCCAGCCTTAATGATCTTTGGCAAAGCACTGAAATCAAATGAAACAAATTCACCCAACACATAAGTTGATTGTGCCAGAAATTGGTATAGAGCTAAAATTATTCATTTCAAGCAGAAAATGTTAAAGATAGTAGTAAATGACCATTCATCTTTCAGAATACACTGGAAGGGTTCAGAAAGCAAGTAACTGTTTTTAAAAACCTCTCTTCTAAAATTGGTTTTAATTGTATTAGCCTGAAGATATTATTTTGAATTGTTTGCTATTTAAAAAAAGAAAAATTATGACTATTTTCATCCAAAATTAATTATTTCCAGGACCTGGCCATAAAAGCAAAATTATTTGATTGAAATCTGATATTTAAACAATATATTACTGTTACTCAGAAAAAATTATGGCAACTGATTCACCCTTTCCCCTCCCCCACTGAACATGACGAAAGAGTTTTGGCGATCATTCCTTCTCAAAAATATACATAACTAATACCTATGTTATAATTAAAACACTGTACGGAGATGACAGATGACAGTTAAAAACTTAATTTAAAATAAATCTTTTCACTCTGTCTCATGGTAAAGAAAGGAGAAGATTCCCTCTTTATAATGGTAATTACTCTGTCATTTATTATTCTATCAGCGCAAGCAATTAAATTACTGCAAGGAAATAGTTGATAATAAAGTGTAGGGAAAATGAATGCTAATTAACCTTTGTGTCATGTTCGCTTCCAGATACTTCTGTCTCTCCTCAGCACTCAATTCTTGCAACTTGAGTTCCAAGGCCCCACTAAAAGGAATGACCAAAGCACCTGGGTCATACTTGTCCACCCACTCTTTAATTTTTATCAACCTGTAGACAAAAAAGGGCACAACATTATCTTGTAGTGCATGCATGACTGTACCACATTCATTATTATCAAGTAGCACATACATATTCATAAGAATTGCACGGTTTTATGATGCCATCTTTTTGTATATAGCTTTCCAAGGTCAAGGCATTAACAGGCAGCAACTGCTTCAGGTATACGCCATAGTATTTTACTGTAACCTAGTTTTACTTTAGCACATTATCTATGGAAACTATTATACAAATATTTAAAAACTTTTTTTAGTTACACTAAAATTGTTCAGCATTAACACCTGTACCCTTGAATAAAGCTTCCATTTTATAATTTTTTGTTTTCCTTACTTTACAAAGTAAATTTTTAAAAGAAGACATAAAGTTCTGTTTGTACAGGAATCATACCTAAAAATACCAGCTAATTCTGAAGAGCCCTTCACAAATAAATAATTTGTTCCAGCCAGATATCTATATGCCTGGTTTAGTTCCTTCATGGACTAACAGAACTCACAGTGGTCACTAGTTTTGAGGAAGCTTTTTCCTAGCCAGAACAAGCACGTGCAGAAATACAGATTTACAAATATGGTTGATCACGTACGCAGCTGTATGAACCTGACTTTTGTGAGAACAAGAATAATAGAACTGCAGAGGAAAGAAATTCCTTTAATCACAAAGGATTTGGAAAGCCAAATCAGTTAGGAAACTGATCCTAGTTGTTACCTGAAAAGACATTATTGAGTCATTTTTTTTCCTTCCAAAGCATGGAGTATTTGGCAAAGTAGTAATTAGAACATAAATGAAATAAGTGTAGTGAATATATTAATTAGGTTCAGAGCCTAACACTTTCCTAGCTTTTTATTACTGGGCAGGTTACTGAACGTTTCTAAGCCTCAGTTTCCTCACTTGTAAAAATAGAGATAATAATAGTACATATTATATTGTAAGGAACCTAGAAAAGCCTGCAAATAGTAAAGAATTAACAGCAGTTACTATTATTAATTTTCCTTCTCAGATAATCATAGCATACATTCCTATGAATCTGGAACTGAGTTTAGTGTGAGACTATACATTCCATTAAAATTTTTATAAAATTATGCTATAGGCTTACATAATTCCACTAGACTGCTATATTTAGACAAAGGTTTTAATAGTTATTATGGCAAAATGCTGTGGCAGAAGTCCTTTAAATAATTAATGTAAATGCCACTTTAGGGGAAAAGAAAAACAAGAACTAAGTCACAAATCCATCAATGGCAGGGGAGCAGAGTTATTAGAAAATTAAGACTATGGCCCATTGAGCAGGATTTAGGATGGGAGAAAGGAATGAAAAACAATCACACAAGAGTTTGTATATGTTTGTTATACAAAGGTAACTACTTATTTAGTATGTTATTTGTGGTTTTCAATCTTCATAATAGTATTTTTTCTTTTGTTCATATCCCAAAAAATGGACCAAGTCCTATGATTTATGTTGCCTTTAACATAAAATTCAAACTAGATGTTTTCTTAACCAAAATTAAGAAGGACAGGTTAAAAAAAAGGTGGGGGGACTGAAATTGGTGCTTCTGTCTCCGTTAACATTATGGTATTCTAAGTTACTTCACAGACTTACACTATTCAAACAAAAGTCTATATTCAAATGTTATCATCAATGGTTTAGTAACTTACTTTCATTATACAAGTTAAAATCAAATATGTAATTTTAAAAAAGCAGATCACATACCAAATAGATTCAATGAAAGTGAAATAAAACAAGCCCATGTAAAAGGAGAATATAAAAATATCATACACACTTTATTTCATAAATATGGTCAACAGAACTAATAAAACTAGAACTGTTATGAAACAACAAGATAAGAAATAATTACTTTAGCTAACACATCAATTCAGAATAACAATAGTCCTACCCTGTCATTTTAACAGCCTTTCCTGCAGAGTTCTCAGAGGGATTATTTGCATTCCTCAGGTGTTCTATTGTACAATTCAAATGAATAAAGACTTACAAATCATTCCTCTACCGCCAATGTGAGACTTTGATCTGGTGAATACACTATTGTACCTTAACTATAATTGGCAAAAAACCTGACAGTGTAGAGCATCACAAGCTTAATAACAAAGGAGAATATCTCAAAGTGTTGACAGATGATCTTCATAATGCAGAAGCAGAGCTGGTACATTTTAGCAGTAAATGAGCACTGAGGTCTAAAGGTCTCTAAAGTGACTGACATCAGACCTGCTATAGCCTCACTAAAAGAAAAAGGTACCGTAGCACTCTCCCGTAAAGTGAGTTAGGCTCTTTGCCTGCCAGCTTCACTTTTGTGACTTTCACTGTCATAGAAAACACAGGGAAGATGAAAAGTGAGTGAGGTTCTTTGGCTGTCTGCTTTACTTTTGTGACTTTTACTATCAAACAAAAGTGGGAAATGTCCCAAAATGATTTTTAATTACATCTATGAAATAAACCTAGGGTAATTAAAAATATTATTTGATTTCAAGATTATAGACTGAAATATATGTGGTGTATCTATTAGGTCTGATGGTTACAAAAGTGTGATAATGAGGCCAAGATCACAAATCTGAACCCCATGGGGACCAGTTACCTTTTGCAGAAAAATGTCTATTCTCTTTCTACAAACCATACCCCAAACTATAGCTAGTCATCTCAAAAATGTGTGCTATTGGCACGAGGGATATAGAAAATTAAAGTTGAGCTCAGTACCACTACTAGAAAAACAATTCCAAGCCATTCTGCCGAAGTGCCTGAATAATAATCTCTATGTACAAATGTTAGCAAATGTCTAAAGAAAGTCATCCAGTTGCTAGTGATCAAAATAATAATGATATTGTCAAAGAATATCAAATTATATGGTGGGTGGGAGGAGAAGGAACAGTAAAGACAGTAGACCCCTAAAGAGTTAAACTGTAAAGCCTTTCATAGACTTCATTTTGCAAATCTGTCTGAGCAGATTACTGCAAAGGGATCCATCCTTCCTCATAAGCAGCCAAAGACACACTTGATTTCCTCAGTCTTAGGAGTAACAAATGGAAAGTGGAAATGCCATTAGTTGTATTTTTCTTCCCGGTAGTGATTCCACAGCAAGGGGACAAAGAAAGGACAACTAGTTTTAAGACAAAAAGGATGATACTTTGAGATACACTGGCAAGTTGTGGTCTACAATAGGAGTCCTCAACCCCTGGACTGTGGACTGGTACCAGGCCATGGCCTGTTAGGAATCAGGCTGCACAGCAGGAGGTGAGTGGGGAACGAGCATCACCACTTGAGCCCTGCCTCGTGTCAGATCAGCGGCAGCATTAGATTCTCACAGAAGCCCAAACCCTATTGTGAATTGCACGTGCAAGGGATCCAGGTTGTGCGCTCCTTACAAGAATCTAATGCCTGATGATCTGAGGTGGAACAGTTTCATCCTGAAACCACACCCCCATCACCCACCCATGGAAAAATTGTCTTCCATGAAACCAGTCCCTGGTGCCAACAAGGTCGGGGACCGCTTGTCTACAGATTCTTCGGCAGAATGAGACCATTAGTATTAAATTAATATCAAATTTCCAAAAGATCATGTCTCAAATTTACTTTTAGCCTTGTGATCTGACTTTCTTAGCCAGCCTTAAAATTCCAGATGCCAAAACTTGATTTTCCCAGGGTTAGTTTACATTGTTTATATTTCTTTTCCCAGATATGAATTTTATTACTAAACATTCTATTTGTTTCTTCCAAATCTACTTGCTTTAATTGGGTAATATTTTAAACTTGTTTAATAAGTTCTTTGTCCCTTTCAACATTAATTTGCAAGTTCTTTTCAGACTGCTTTGACTTATAGTTTCTTAACTCCCCTCTCAAATCCCCCTGTCCCCATTTGTCATCTGCTAATGATCTTTCAGGACAGTTGGTTCCTGCATATGGGCTATATTTGTGTATGTGTGGTCATTTTGGCAGCTGCAGATATTTCTAAGGGAGTCTGGTGGTCCCCAGGATTGAGATGTATCTATGGGGTAGTCTTGTGGTTACTTCTTCTAGGGAGAGATCTACGGAGGGTCCTGGGATCCAGGGAAGTTTTATTAATGTTTTTAGGCTTAGTGTTTCTGCACTAGGTTATGGGTAATGCTTCTTACAGTGCAGTCTCAGTTTCTAATTTCCTGAGAATAACAGTTTCCTCCCTTGTTTGGAAGCAGGGAGGGGTATTTTTCTAGTATCTGGTCATGGAAATGACAGCTTCTTCTGGGCTTTATGAGTGGGCCTCGCTCTAGTTATCTACAGCCTGGAAACTGTTCCTTGACTCTTATTCCTATATGGACACTAAAGCCTCTAAACCACATACGGTAGCCCCCATTTTTCCGATGGGGATATGTTTCAAGATCCTCAGTGGATGCCTAAACCCTCGGACAGTACCAAACCCTATATATACTATGTTTTTTCCTGAAGCTGAAAACTTTCCACCTTTTCACTTAAAGGAAGCACTTTATGGCTTCTCTTTGGCAAATCCAAATTGCCAGCATCATATACTTAATAATGCCTTTGGGGCCATTATTAAGTAAATTAAGGGACGCTTGAACACAAGCACCATGATACCTTGACAGTCTGGATAACCAAGACGGCTACTAAGTGACTAATGGGCAGGTCGCATCCACAGTGGATACGCTGGACAAAGGTACAGTTCACATTCGGGGGTGGTGGTTCAGGATTTCATCAAACTACTCAGAGCGGTGTGTAATTTAACACTTAGAAATTGTTTATTTTTGCCCATTTAGTATTTTCAGACTGCGGTTGACAGCGGGAACTGAAACGGCAGAAAGCAAAACTGCAGATAAGGGGGAGCTGCTATATTAGCTCCGTTTTCTCTGAAGGCCATGCACCATCAACTTCATTCTCTACTGTTACTGAGTTTCGTTCTTGTTTTTGGCACCTAGAGAGTCCTTTTCTTGCTTTCAAGTCCTATTGTATATTCTTTCTTTTTTTCTTTTTTTTTTTTTTGAGACAAAGTCTCGCTCTGTCGCCAGGCTGGAGTGCAGTGGTGTGATCTCGGCTCACTGCAACCTCTGCCTCCCAGGTTCAAGTGATTCTCCTACCTCAGCCTCCTGAGTAGCTGGGATTACAGGTGCCCGCCACCACACCCAGACAATTTTTGTATTTTAGTAGAGATGGGGTTTCACCATGTTGGCCAAGAGGGTCTCGGTCTCTTGACCTCAGGTGATCCACCCGCCTCGGCCTCCCAAAGTGCTGGGATTGCAGGCGTGAGCCACTGCACTCGGCCCCTATTGTATATTCTAAAACTACCACACCATCATCAATACCAATTTTTTCTGATTATTGTTTCTGGTGTTTCTACGTATTAGGAACAAGAAGGAAGGAAGCTTCCTGTATTGGCCCAGTTCACCATCTTAACAGGAAGCACTTCATACTACAGTTAAATGTCCATTCTATAATGTTCTAATACAATATCTTTCAAACTTTTTTTTGACCACACCCCCTAGTAAAAAATAGATTTTACACTTTGACTCAAACATATGGTATACAGACATATTATTTTCACACACATTATAAAGGGAACAGAGAAATCCCAGTAGTGCTATTTGATATTTTGCATAAAATCCAAAACCAAATTCTTGCAACTTAAAACACAACCCTGAAATAGTTTTCTCCAGCATACGTTAATAAGAAACTTATTGTATTATTTTCCCCACCTCATGCCTTTCTAACCTTTCAACTACCTCTAGCCACTCAAATTCTGATTATAATTTCTGAAAATCCTTTAAAGATGGGTCAATCCAATAATAAAGCCAAGTTATATTACCATTTATGGCATCTTTGTTGATATACATTAGGACATTCTCAAATCTGATTTTTTTAATATCAAAGTATACTTAAAATATATTTTTAAATGTTACATATGGTATTATTAGACATTTACAAACACCTTATATAGTTACCTGTTTGAACTTACATCTTCACTTTAAAAATAAATCAACAGTGATATCTTGCTTCTCTAATTGTATATAACTGGTGTCAAGAACCACATCTCAATATACACAAAATGATGCAACTTACATAAAAGAGGCTCCAGGGCTGGTTAATTAAGTAACGTAGCATCATTCAGTCATTAAGGACTTGGCTTTTACTAAGCTAGCTCCCCTCATGTTGTCCATGGTATGGATGTACCATTAATCCAGGGGGTTCTGTTAAACACTGATGTCATTTCTACTTTTCTCCCTTGAAGGTTTACACTCATTTCTATTACAACTGCTCAGAGTCCCAAAGCATGACTTCAAGATATCAGAGTCCTCTTTACCACTTTCCAAATAAGATTACTATAAATTAATGTCAGTTTATAGTATTAACCTGTAAACCTGTTATAGCAGGTTTATAACCTGCACTAAAATCAATACCACAAACAATATACAAACTAAAATATGTCATAAATAATATTCTTTCAAAGTCAAAATTCCAAAATTCTCAACTCTTCAAAATTCTTTGAATAAAATTATTAAAATTCAACACATCTTTACTTTTATTTTACTTCTGCTTATAACCATTTTCTGAATGGAGGTTATTAAGGAAGTCTGTGGTGAAAATAAGGAGAAAGAAGAAATACCAAAAAAGTAAATTCTAGTTTAACTAATGTTTGAAAGTCTAATCCCTCTTCTAAAAGAGAGCTAAGGCCGGGCTTGGTGGTTCATGCCTATAATCCCAGCACTTTGGGAGGCTGAGGCGGGAGGACTGCTTGAGCCCAGGAGTTCAAGGCTACAGTGAGCTATAAGAGCACAATCATACTCCAGCCTGGATGACAGAGTGAAATCCTGTCTCAAAAATAAATAAATAAATAAATAAATAAATAAATAAATAAAGCTCCATCTTCCATACATGTAAGAGACTTCAAGTTTCAATGTTCTTGTCTGACTTCACGGAGTTGTACAGAATAACATAATTGCAACTTTGCTACGCAAAGTGTGATCATATCACTTGAGTGTGTGATAGAAATGCAGGAATCTTAGCTGGTCATGGTGGTTCACACATGTAGTCCTAGCTACTTGGGAGGCTGAGGCAGGAGGATCCCTTGAGCCCAGGAGTTGGAGGCTACAGTGAGCTATGATCCTGCCTGGCCAAATGAGTGAGACCTCATCAAAAAGAAAAGAAAAAAGAATAAAAGGAAATGCAGAATCTTGAACCCCACCTCAGATCAGAATCTGCACTTTAACAAGCTCCCTGGGTGATTCATATGCATGTTAAACTTTCAGAAGCACTGAACTAAAGGACTTTGAAAATAAACGCACATGAACTGAAAGTACAAAAATGTCTGAGATAACTATGCAGACCAACTGATAAACTAGAGGCAGATATTGACTACCTATACTGCTGATAGTGGAGAACAGTAAGGATAGGAAAATTCCTGCTTATATTTCCCAGGTTCAAAACCAGAAAAGGAAAATGTCACCAAAATTTCAGGAAGTATAAGGAAAATGTTTGCTCTGAATCCTCTGCAATGTCAAAGAAGTCTCAGATTCACATTACTATGGTCAACAGTGTCTTACTTTATAAGACATAATTATTGGCTGGGTGCAGTGGCTCATGCCTGTAATCCCAGGACTTTGGGAGGCCGAGGCGGGGGGATTGCTTGAGCTCATGAGTTCGAGACCAGCCTGGGCAACATGGTGAAACGACGTTTCTACAAAAAATACAAAAATTATCCAGGCATGGTAGCCCATGCCTGTAGTCCCAACTACTTGGAAGGCTGAGGTGGGAGGATCGCTTCAGCCCAGGAGGAGAAGGTTGCAGGGAGTCGAGATCATGCTACCGCACTCTAGCCTTTGCGACAGGGCGAGACCCTGTCTCAAAAAAAAAAAAAAAAAAAGGACATAATTATGCTTTTCTTATCCTAATAACCTCAATACCTGGGGAAACATCTGTAGTAAGTTAGCTTTGGAGTCTAGATTCAGAATATAAGAAGTGATTCCAGCACAGAGGACTGTGAAATCTAAATTTATATCAAGTGAAAGATACATTACCACAAGTTGTTCCCTATGAGAACCTCACAGAACTACTGGCTGAAAAACCCCATTCATTTTAGTGACTATAATAAGACAGCATGTGTGTGTGTATGTGTAAGAAAATAAATTCTAGAGAAATGGCCATTTCTTTTGCAGCATATAAAAATTGGATTTCAGACTTTCTGTTTTGAGGATTAACGCACTTTCTGATTCCAGTGATAACTGGAAGGCTACCACAAAATTGAAATGACGAGTGTTACAACAGGCAGGCAACCTTAAAAGCAAATTAGAATGTTTAGCAAAAAGGCTCCACTTAAAAAAAGTTCTTTACAATGAATGAATAAACAGGTGGAAAGAAAACATTAGGGTAAATTCTAATTAGTTTGAGTTAATCATAGTTCCCCATTCTCCAGCTGGCAAACGGTTTGAGGGGGCATGTGAACCAGTTCTAATCAAAGGAGCCAATGGAGTTTGTGGGAAGGCCTGCTAAGAGACTTTAGGAAAAAGAACCAAAAGGCTCCTCTGGCTCTTAAAAAGAGAACAGAAGAGGCTCTCTGGTGGAGACTATTTTGGATTTCATCCTTGGAACTCTAGTGGCCATTTTGTGACCGTAAGAAGGGAAGTGGGGAAAGATGGGAAAACCCTTGTTCTTGAAATCATAGGAACACTTAATTAACCAACCCAGGAGACAAACTACCTCGGGTCTTAGGTACTGGGATTATAATATTTGTAGCTGAAGGCATCCCGATACTGATAATGATGACATTTAGGGTTATTTTCAAGTAAGTATATAACTGTAGCTCCTCTTAACTGGTCTAACTCTAATTTGTTCTTTAAGATAAGAATCTCCTTGAGAGCCTTCCCTGAACTCCCATGTGGGCCAGAGCTATCACCACATTCCACTGTATACTATAATATTGCCCATAGTTTTCTGTTTATCTCTTCACACTATAGAAAACAATTTCTTGAGGTCGGAGACTGTGGCTTTACTCCCTATTGTATCCACAGAAATCTCCTAGCACAATGCCTGGCACATAGTGGGTGCTCAAATATTTTCTAAATAGATAATAAGGGGGAAAGAGTCTCAGCTAATACCTAGCTGAGTGACTCCAGGTGGTTATTTAACATCTCTTAGCTTTAATATACTCATCTGCAAACTGGTCTAGATAAGTAGTTTTCAACCTCTTCTGAGTTCTGTAAAAGGATTTCCCAATGTGGAAGGAAGAGAAAGGGCAGGGAGAACAAGGGAAGAAGGGACAGTGAGGTTTTGGATTTTCCACTCTTGCATTTTAACCAGAAATGCTTCATTTTTATATGATGGGTTTCTGCATAAGATTTTATCTGAAGATTTTATCTGTCATCATCTGTTTTATCTGTTGTTTTTAATGACTCTAAAGTTCACTGGTTAAATTATCTCTTTCAGATGGAAAATTCTGTAACTTTATGGCATATGCCAGAAATTAAACAAGTACAAGTGCTGAAATCTTCAGGTACTTCATTCAGATTTCTGCTTAAATGTTACTTTTTAACATCTTTTAAAAAATAGCAGCTGGGTACGGTGGCTCATGCCTGTAATCCCAGCACTTTGGGAGGCTGAGGTGGGCAGAACACCTGAGGTCAGGAGTTTGAGACCAGCCTGGCTAACATGGTGAAACACCATCTCTACTATGAGCCGGGTATGGTGGCGGGCACCTGTAGTCCCAGCTACTCAGAGGCTGAGGCAGGAGAATCGCTTAAACCTGGGAGGTGGAGTTGCAGTGAGCGGAGATCATGCTACTGCACTCCAGCCTGGGAGACAGCGAGACTCTGCCTCAAAAAAAAAAAAAAAAAAAAAAAAAAAAAAAAAAAAAAGCCTCTCCCTTCTCATTTTCTGCCAATCTCTATTCCCTTACATTGACTTATTTTTATTCATGGCACTTATTATATTATGTACTTAATGTTAACTGTCTTCCACCTGGCATTAGTGGATAGATAAACAGAGAATCACTTGAACCTGGGAGGCGGAGGTTGCAGTGAGCCAAGATCATGCCTCTGCACTCCAGCCTAGGCAACAAGAGCAAAACTCCATCTCAAAAAAAAAAAAAAAGAAAGAAAAGAAAAGAAAAAAGGAAAGGAGAGGAGAGGAGAGAGGAGGGGAGGGGTTATTGACCAGTTATTGAGCCAAGGAACTTTTCGATTATTTTGTACACTGCAGTAAATCTCCAGCACCACCTATAATAGTGCTTGGCATAAGCAGATGCTCAATAAATGTTGGATCAGTGAATATGAATAAATTGAGTTGAAACTTAATCTAAAAAAGACTAGGTAAAAGAACATTTAGGGCCAGGTATCTGGGTGGTGGCTCACGCCTGTAATCCCAGCACTTTGGGAGGCAGAGGCAGGTGGATCATTTGAGGCCAGGAGTTTGAGACCAGCCTGGGCAACATGGTGAAACCCCGTCTCTATAAAAAAATACAAAAATTAGGTGTGGTGGCATGTGCCTGTAGTCCCAGCTACTAGGGAGGCTGAGGTGGGAGGATCACCTGAGCCCAGGAGTTCGAGGTTGTGGTGAGCTGTGATCGCACCACTGCACTCCAGCCTGGGTGACAGAGTTAGACTCTGTCTCAAAAAGAACATTCAGAGAAGCATGTATTATTCTTACATACCTTATCTACTTGTCTTCTACCAGAGTCAACCTTCAGAAATTAATATGCTTGTTTAGTTTAGAAATTAGTATGCTTGTTTTTTAGCTGGAACTGTGAAGTGAAAATCACAACAGGACCTGGGGAGGCATATCTGATTGCTATAAGGCTATATATAAAAAAATCATAGTACAGTGGGGTTATTTTCATTCCCAGGTTATATCTGTTGCTTGACCTACTACAATTCAAGTCTGAACCGTCAAGCTACTAACCACCTCAAGGTTCACTGTGAATGTACAAAACAAGCACCTCAAACTTTTAGATCATTCCCGAATCTCCGGCTTCTTACTCTGCTTCAAGGCTACTAAGACTTGTGTTCAGACTAAGTGGCCTCCAGCAGGTTACATTTTTGAAACTTTAAAGCAGTTTTTCTCAAAATATCGTTTGTGAACAACCTGTGAATCCAGGCTTTACAAAAAAAGCTAAATTGGCTGGGTGCAATGGCTCACGCCTGTAATCCCAGCATTTTGGGGATTTGGTGGGAAGATGGCTTGGGCCCAGGAATTCAAGAATAGCCTGAGCAACATAGTGAGACCCCATCTCTATGAATAAAAAATAAAATAAAATAAAATAATAAAAAAATTAGCCAGGCATGGTGGTGAGCACCTATAGTCAAGCCACCCAGGAGGTTGAGGTGGGAGGATCACTTGAACCCAGGAGAGGCTGCAGTGACCCATGATTGCACCGCTGCACTGCACTACAGCCTGGGTGACAGAAGAAGACCTCTTCTCAAAAAAAAAACCAAACAAACCACCAACCAACCAACCAATCAAACACCGCCACCACCAACAAAAAAACAACTAAATTTACGATCTCTAGAAGCAAGGAATATGCATTTAACTCTTACAACACTTTGTACTCGGACGTCTGAAAATCACTATTTTTTAATCTGTATCTATTCCTTGTAATTTTATATTCTGGTTGTAAACATCGCACATGGAAACATTCTGTAATTATAGTTGTCACGAGATATGAAGCCAATATTTGTATCTAGAGACTGTGAAACTCAGTTAGCTACAAGAAAATTTCCCAACCCTATATTATGTTCCTATATACAAGATAAACTTATATCTGGCCATGAGGCCGCAGGATAAACTATCTCTCTTTTCCATTTTTGTTCAAAGAGGACAACAACAATAGGCTGATGTAGTTTATAATCAAAATATAAGTTTATAGGGAGAGCCACAAATCTTGATTTAACTACCACTACATATCATTTTCTTAGAATGTGATCAGAGATGGAACTTCCATATCCAAACTATTTATGAAGATGGAAGAAAGTCAAAAGAATCCCTCTGATATACCGGGATAGATGAGGAGAGGATGCTGAGACTAGAGAGGGCCTGCATCACAGCATGTGTGGCCCAGTGGTACATAAGGAAGAAACACTACCTTAAAGAAGACAAAAACGTCAGTAGAGTCTTTCTGAGACTGGCTGAAACTGCAGGGTCTACAAATGACACAAACTAAACTGAGACAGAAATATATTTAACAAAAGAAGTGTAAGACTCTTACATGGAAAAAGACAAAGCATCACTGAAAGAGATTAGAGAGCTAAGTAAATGGAAAGACATCCATGTGAGTAAACTGAAAGACTTAATCTTAACATGGCAACGTTCCTCAAACAGATCTACAGATTCAATGCAATTCTTTTCAAAATCCCGGATTTTTTCCCCCAGAAACTGACAAGTCAATCCTAAAATTCATATGAAAATGCAAGGGCCAAGAATAGCCAAAACAATCCTGAAAAAGAACAAAGTCGCAGGGCTTAACCTCCCCTCTTTTAAAACTGACTATATAACTACAGTACTCAAGACTCGGCAGCACTGGCACGAGACTAGACGTAAAGATCCGTGGAAGAGAATTGGGAGTCCAGAAATAAATCCATACACTTATGGTCAACTGATTTTTTAAAAAATTGGGGTAAAGAACACTTGCATTTACTATCTTAACACTTGTAAATTTACCAAGTATACAGTTCAACAGTGCTAACTCTATTTACATTGTTGTGCAACGGCTCTACAGAACTTTTTCATCTTGTAGATCTAAAACTCTATAGCCATTGAATAACACCTTCCTGTTCCCCTGACAACCACTATTCTATTTCTGTTTTTATGAGTTTGACTACTTTAGAAACTGCACATAAGTGGAATCATATAGTATTTGTCTTTTTGTGACTGGCTTATTTCAGTTAGCATAATGTCCTCAAGGTTCATTCATGTTTTAGCATGTGACATGATTTCCTTAATTTTAAAGCTGAAAAATATTCTATTGTTTGTATGTCTATACTACATTTTCTTTATCCATTCACTTATTGATGGATATTTGGGTTGCTTCTATCGCTAGCTGTTGTAAATAATGCTGTAATGAACATGGGTGTGCAAATATCTCTTCAAGCCCCTGCCTTCAATTCTTTAGGATATTTACCCAGAAGTGGGCTTGCTGGATCACATAGTAATTCTATGCTTAGCTTTTTGAGGAACCATCAAACTGTTTTCCATAGTGGCTGCATCACCTTTTACATTCCTACCAGTACTGCACAAGGGTTCTAATTTCTCCACATCTTTGCCAGCACTTGTTATTTCCTGTTTTTTTTTTTTTTTTTTTTTTTTGTTGTTGTTGTTGTTTTTATAGTGGCTTCCCAATGGGTGTGGGATGATGTCTCATTGTGGTTTTGATTTGCATTTCTCTTATGATTACTGACGTTGTGCATCTTTTCATGCTTGTTGGCCACTTGTATATCTTCTTTGGAGAAATGTCTACTCAAGTCCTCCGCTCTTGTTTTTAACTGGATGGGTTGTTTGTTGTAAAGTTTATTTGTGGTTAATTGATTTTTGACAAAGGTACCAAAACAATTCAATGGGTAAAGAAGAGTCAACAAATGGTGCTTAGACAACTGGATATCCACATACAAAAATTAAAATGGACCAAAGATCTAAATGTAAGAGTTAAAAAGTAAAAAGTTTATGTAACAAAAGATACTATCAAGAAAGTGAAAAGGCAGTCCACAGAATGGGATAAAATATTTGGAAGTCATACATATGACAGAGGTCCAGTATCCAGAATATATAAAGAACTCTTATAACTCAACGATAAAAAGACAGAAATTAAGTTTAAAAATAGGCAAATAATTTGAATAGACAGGTCTCCCTGGAGAATATATAATAACAACAACAATATTATATAGCAATAAACATAAAAATATAATAATATAGCAATAAACATAATAAAAAGATGTTCATCATTAGTCATTACAAGAATGTAAATCAAAACCACAGTGAGATACCACTTCACATCTACTAGGATGATTATAATTAAGAAGACAGACAATAAGTAGTATATCCATACAACAGAATATTATTCAGCAATAAAAAGAAATGAGGTACTGATACACACTACAACATGGGTGAACGTTGAAAACACTATGCTAGACACAAAAGGCCACATATTGTGTGATTCAATTTATGTGAAATAGCCTCAATAGGCAAATCCAAAGAGACTGAAAGTAGGTTAGTGGTTACCAGGGATTAGGTTGGAGAGGCAATGGGAAATGCTTGTTAATAGGCATGGGTTTCATTTTTGGGGTGATGAAAATGTTCTGGAATTAGTGATAGGGACACAACAATGTGAATATACTAAAAACCACTGAATTGTGTGCTTTAAAAGGGAGAATTTTGTGTATGTGAATTATATCTAAAAAATAAAACCCCAAAAGTAAACTGAGAGCTAATCTAAAGATTACAAAACAGAAATGCTAATATTCCCCACATTATGATCATATGACGTCTGACCTTCCTTTGGAAATAGTATGGGCCAATAGAAAAAGCAGAGATTTTGGAGTAAGGTGAGTATCAATTCAAATTACAGCTCAATTACATACTAGCTATAAGATCCTGGGGAAGCCATTTAAGCCTCCCCAGCCTCAGTTTAATCACATGTAACTAAAATAATACCTACCCTCACAGGTGGATGTTAGGATTAAAATCCCTTGAATATAGGAGGCCTGCACACAGTAGCCCCCAATTTTAACTGTCTGCTGTCAGTGAGTGGGTCATTCTCAATAGTTACTGTAGAGTTAAAAATACTGTTATATTGCCTATGAATAAAGAATGGGAGCTCTTTTGAAAAATCAGGTCTTGGTTGGGAGTGGTGGCTCACGCCTGTAATCTCAGCACTTTGGGAAGCCAAGGCGGGCAGATCACGAGGTCAGGAGTTCGAGACCAGCCTGGCCAACATGGCGAAACCCCGTCTCTACTAAAAATACAAAAATTGGCCGGGCGTGGTGGCAGGTGCCTGTAATCCCAGCTACTTGGGAGGCTGAGGCAGGAGAATCGGTTGAAACCGGAAAGCGAAGGTTGCAGTGAGCCGAGATCGCACCACTACACTCCAGCCTGGGCGAAAGAGCAAAACTCCGTCTCAAAATAAATAAATTAATTTTAAAAAATAAAAATCAGGTCTTTATTTCTGAGAAGTCTTGCCTAACTGAATATTTATAGATAGGGAGGTAACTGGAAGGGAAAGAATTCAAGCACAATGACTGGAAAAATACATTTAAGCAACTATGTGTATTAATAAGCATTATGCTGGATCTTGAGGATGCAACTTTGAAAAAGGAGTGTAGGGGATGGGAAAGGAAAGCAATATATTTAATAGTCTTTTCAGTGACATACATAAAACTTTTTTAGGTTAAATTCAGTTAGAACAAGAAAAACAGAAAAGGAAAGGTTTTTGTTCATAACAGAGCTGGGATTCTGTGGGGCCAGTAAGAAAGTGAGAAACTCCTGGCTGGGTGCAGTGGCTCATGCTTGTAATCCTAGCACTTTGGGAGGCCGAGGTGGGTGGATCACTTGGGGCCAGGAGTCTGAGACCAGCCTGTAATCCCAGCTACTTGGGAGGCTGAGGCATAGAACCTGGGTGGTGGAGGTTGCACAGAGCTGAGATCACGCCATTGCACTCCAGCCTGGGCGACAGAGTGAGACTGTCTCAAAAAAAGAAAAAAAAAAAAAGAAAGTAAGACACTTGCAAGGGAAAGATAAATGTGGATGCGTATGACAGAACCCACTTGCACAGACATCCCTTCCCAAGTGGATCTTTCTTCCTGAAGTTGTTCTTAATTCATCCTCTGGAGGATGCTTCCTTATTCTAATAAAAGAGTCCATTCCATGATCCCATTTATCCAAATCGTCTCACTATTTACCATGTGGGGTATATGTAGTTTCATAAAGGAGTAGACACTGAAGGATACAAAGCCAAGGCAAACAGTCATTGTAAAAAAGGGAAAGTCACTGTTTCTGGATCTTTAGAGAAAAGGAATTTGAGCACAGGGGAGAAACAAGAAGCACTAAAAAAGGACTGGTGGCTCTTATTCAAGCTTTAATAGTTACAAAGTTTCAATAGTTTAGTTACAAATAGGCACGTGAAACAATTCCTATTGACATATATTTTCAGTGGAACCATGTTAGATGAGAAATAAAATATTTTGGGAAAAACATTTACTCTATATACTTTTCCCTACGAGCAGTACGCATGCAACCTGTGGCAAAACTTTCAGCTGCTTCTGAAAGACTTATTCTTTCTTAAAGAAATGTTTATTTTAACATAATTTGGTGTTTACGGTCTTATACAAAGTGCCACTGGCTTAATGGAATATTCTGACATGAGAAAAGGAAGGATCGGGAAATGTGTGAGTAGAATCATACCCACCAAAATTTGTAGTTGGCTTCATAGCTTATAGTTTTACAAAAAGAATTTTACAAAAAGAATTTTTGTAAATAAAATACAAGAGTTAATTTAATTTCATTAAAGAAATTCTATAATTAAAGAACTCCCACAAGCAACCTGTTTGCAAAGGAGGTAGCATGGAATATGGTTATAGAACACTGGGGCCAGACAAGGGGGATACGGGCCATGCCATGGAACTTTCTAAAGTCTCAGTTTTCTCACCTATAAATGGAGGTAATAATAGTAGCTACTTCAGAGGGTTATGATGAAGATTAAATAAGGACGTACACAGAAAATGCTTAGCATGGTATCTGATACAAGGTAAATGCTCAACATGTATTAGCTATTATTATTATTTATAAAGTGAAGAATGGCTTCCACAATGTTCAGGTCACATTTTCCTAAACAGAATTCTGTTGTATTTACCTGTGATGTGGCTATTAATCAGTTTTATCTGAGAAGGCAGGTCTAAGCACTAATCACTTCAAAGGCATTTTTTTTTCTTTTCCTCCTTAAATTATTCTGTCCGTTGTATAGACAAAGCAAGTTTTGCTATTCATTAAAAATCACTGCTGAGTGATCACCCTGCAGTTTCTAAGAAGGGGCAAAAAAACTATGTAGAGTTGCAAATACCATACAAGAAATAGATTTGAGGTAAACCAGTAGAAAGCGTATTTGAGTTTGACTTTGTTATTTTATTTATTTTTTTTTTTTTTGAGACGGAGTCTCGCTCTGTCACCAGGCTGGAGTGCAGTGGTGCGATCTCAGCTCACTGCAAACTCCACCTCCTGGGTTCAAGCGATTCCCCTGCCTCAGCCTCCCGAGTAGCTGGGACTACAGGTGCGTGCCACCACGCCCAGCTAATTTTTGCATTTTTAGTAGACACAGGGCTTCACCATGTTGGCCAGGATGGTCTCGATCTCTTGAACTTATGATCCGCCCGCCTTGGCCTCCTGAAGTGCTGGGGTTACAGGCGTGAGCCACTGCGCCTGGCCGACTTTGTTGTATTTTCTAAATCAATACCACTCTAAGTAGCCAGTGAAGGAACTATTTGTTACTTGGCCCTGTGTATGAAAAGCTGTTTCATATACTCCATTCTCTGGCCATATTAGGGAAGACAAACACCGATGAAACATTTATTCCTTTGCTACTATCCCCATTGCAAAGTTCTTTCCATCATCCAGACACATTGCCTTTATGTTTACCTACTGTTTACATATAAATTAATTCACTTGAAAATAAATTGCCAAAATAATTTTATTAATGACATATAATAAATATTCTTGAGTGGTTTCTCATACTTTAAGATTTCTGCTCTTAGTATCAAAATAATAATCATAAATGAGAAATCAAATGCTATGTAATTGACTTAAGTCCATTTTAAATTTTGTTCCCAGTGGAGACACAGAATAGGTTTCCATCTTCTAATAATTAGTCTAACAGTTATTAAATGCATCTTATCTTTCCATTGTAATCAAAGAAATAAAATGAAAACAATATATCACTATTTGTCTATCAAATTGGTACAGATTAAAACAATAATAACAACCCAGTGTTGGCTGGGGTTAAGACAAATGTATTTCCTAGAATGGCTGCATAAGTGTTTAATGTATCTTATTTTTTAAAAAAGTAAATAACCAAAGCAAGAAACACTGGGGGACCTGGATCAATAATATGTAGTACATCAAAATAATAATATGTCACACAGCAATGAAAATATGTGGAAAAACATTCATGGTAAATTGAGAATATTTATTCACACAAGAAGTATTTATTAAATATTTACTATGTGTCAGATACTGTGCTAGCTGGGTAATGGGTTGGTAGGAATAAGTAAGACCGACATTGTCCTTGTCTTCACAGAGATGACCAAGTCTGCTGTTGATTGACCTCTCTAGGTATTTTGTATGTATATTTATATATACCTAGTAGGAAACAAGGAGACATTAATAACTTTTTTTTTGGAAACAGGGTCTCACTCTGTTGCCCAGGCTGGAGTGCAGTGGCACAATCATGGTTCACTGCAGCCTCAAATTCCTGGGCTTACCAATCCTCCCACGCTCAGCCTTCTGAGTAGCTGGGACTACAGGCATTCACCACCACACATAGCTAATTTTTAAATCAATTTTTTAAGAGACAGAGTCTCACTGTGCTACCTATGCTGGTCTTGAACTCCTGGCTTCAAATGATCCCCGCCTCAGCCTCCAGAAAAAAATATTTTCTATTGAGGTAGAATTAACAAATAATTAAAATGTACAGATCTTAGATGTTCTGTTGAATGAGTTTTGAAAATTTTATATGCACATATAACTATCCCCCCACAAAGATATGGAACATTTCCACAGAAAGTTCCCCTATGCTCCCTTCCATGAATCCTCACCTTCTTTCCAAGTTGCTCTGTGTATTTTCTTGGTGAGGTGTATGATTTCCACAGCAAAAATAGACCACAACTTATCCATTTTCCTATTGATGGACATGTGAGCTGTTTCCAGTTTTGAACTATCATGAATAAGGCTGCTACTCTGTGTAGTAAATGCATGTATAAGATATGAACATGTTTCTATTTCTTTTGAGTAAATACTGAAAGTTGGAATTACTGGATCACAGTGTAGATACATGCTTAACTTAAATGAAAACGCCAATTTTCCAAAGCAGTTGTACCACTTTATATTCCCACCAGCAATGCATGACAGTTCCTTTTGTTCCCCTTCCTTATCCACACTTGGTGGTGTTATTTTCATTTTAGCCATTCTATTAAGTATGAAATCATATTCAATTATGGTTATAATCTGCCTTTCCATGATCGCTTAAAGATGCTGAGTACTTTTCCATGTTTATTCATTTATCTTCTTTTATAAAGTATATGTTCAAGTCTTGCTGATTTTAAAAGCTGGGTCATTGGTCTTTATATTGTTCATTTGCAGAAAATTTAAAAATATACATTCTGAAAACAAGTCCTTTGCCAGATATTTGTGTTGTGAATATATTTTTGTAGCTGGTGGCTACTCTACTTAATGGTGTTTTTTGATGAACAGAAGTTTTTCAACATAATGAGGTCCATTTATTTTTCCTTTTATGGTTAGTGCTTTTTGTGACTTATCCAAGAGATCTTTGCCTATCCTGGGTTGTGAAGATATTCTTCTATGTTTCAGTGAAGGATTCTGACATGAGAAAATGGCAGAGTGGAAGTGTTTGAAGCTAATCAGAATGCCCTGCATAGGAAAAGAAGCAACAGAGTCAAGGACAGTAAGTTAGGAGGCAGTTACCTAATTTCAAAATGAAGTGATGCAGTTTTAGTCTTGCTTGACAAGCAGTGTAACTGAAGAGGAAGAGATGAATAAAGGTGAGATTTAGAAGAAAAAAACATGAAACTTGATTAACTGAATATCATATATAAAAGAAGATATGTTAAAATGATTTGAAGAGCCCAAGCCTAAATGACTCACAGGGTGCCAATACTAACAAAGACAGGAAAGTCCGAAAGTAGATTCCATTGTGGATATTACTATAGAAAAAATAGGCAGTTTAGTTTTATATATCTTACATTTAGTACGATAAGAGAATATTCAAATGAAGATTTCTTGTTGACAATCAGGAATAATGAAACTTGAAAAGGGCAAAGAGGAGAAACTAAGGCTAGGTTTATAAGTCATTAGCAGAGAGCAATCCTTCTCAAAGTATCATCCAAGTGTCAGCAACATCAATATCACCTGGGAGCACGCTGGACAACTGTCAGGCCCCATCTGAATCAGAAACTTGGAAGGTGAGGTCCTGCAGTCTGTTTTAATAAAGCCTCCAGATGATTCTAATGCACACTAAAGTGTGAGAACCAACAGCACACAAGCTACAGCTGAGGCATAAGCACAAAAGGCAAGTGAAAAAAGTTAACAATTCCACAATTACTAATCCCTAGGGAAGAGTCATGGCCGACAGAGAAAACTCAGTAGAGACGAGATTAGAAATGAAAGGCTAATAAGCCTGTCATCCAAAAGCCAAGCAGAAGAGGGTGTCATGAAGTTTCTAAGTTTGGTTTATTCTGAGAGAGAAAGAGACAGAAAGAGAAAAGCACATAGAATGAAAGTGCTCTTTCTCCATTCAAGACCCCCACCCCCAAAATGAAGGTCATATAGTTTTGAGGAAGAACATTAATCATGATCTACTTTCCAGACTAGCTTTCCTTCGAATAAGGGAAATCTGCAGAGTAATAATAAAACATATATTGCTACACAGCCACATGTTTTTGAAAGGGAAAGCAGAAACTGACAGGCATTTTACATATGCCATTTCATTTACTACTTAATGATTTCAGATTGGTATCATTTGTCTACAGTGGTAAATGCAGGATTCAAGCCCATCTAACTTCAAAGTTCCTGATCTTCCTATTGTATCAAGTTGCCTGTTTATTTTCAAAAACTCAATTTGTGAATTGAGAGCTATACTTTTCAAATGATATTTTTTCCTTCATTTGTACACAGAAGACTGCTGAGCTTTTTATGGGGGCCCAAGTGACAATGAGTAATATGCCACTTTCAAGGAAGAAGGAGAGAAATGAGCAGTAGTGTGAAAGGCAAGCAGGGTCAAAATATGCTGTTGTTCTAAGATCGGAGAAATAACATCATGCTTATATGCTACTGGGGAACATCCACTGAGGGAGGAAGAACTGATGATGCAGGAGAGAGAGATGAACTACTTCAGGAGATGAATGGAGATATATAATCATGTGTACATGTGTATCATGTGTATTTGGCTAATAGCATAACTGGGGGTTAAGCAAATCACTGCACATATTTTTGTGCAGCGAATGGCCTGTAGGCTTTTAAATGACTTAAAAAAAAGAAAAATATTTTGTGACAGTGAAATTACATAAAACTCAAATTTCAGTGTCCATAAATAAAATTCTGTTTGAACAACGACATGCCCATGCCCATCTGTTTACACTATTGTCTATGGCTGCTTTTGCATTACAATGACAAAGTTGAGTAGCTACAACAGAGACTGTGTGGTCCTAGACAAAAATATCCTGATCTATTATAGACAGTATGTGCTAACCCTGGCATACACAGCCTATCCACCTGTGCTCTAAACTGTAGATGTATCTAACCAGAATAGATTGACTTCAAATCATCCAAATAGTTTATTAATGAAGACTAAAAGTCAGTGTTGAACAAAAGGGATACATTCAATGGATTTCATCCAGCCAGCTATTTGATCAATCAACAATATTTACTGAGTCCAGTGCCAAGCATTGGAAATACAAAATGAACAAAACATGCATGGTCCTTATTCTCATGGAATTTAAATTCTTACAAGACAAAAAACAAAACAAAAACAAGAGACAAGTAACCAAGATGATACAGCTTGTGATAAGTGCTCTGAAGGAAATAAACATGATGCTATGATAGAGAACAAAAGGGAATCTGGGGGTGTTATTCTAGACAAGGCAGTCACACAAGGTGTTTCTGTGGAAGCACAGAGTCATCCATCGTAGGGGGAAGTGGTATGGGTAAAGCAGACCATTAAATACTCTGAGATTTCCGTAGACATAGAAACAGGAGGATGGAGAAATTTATACATTGTGAAGAGCATATGCAGAGACTACTTTCCCTGATGAATTTTCCAATGGTATTTTTACTACAAAGTACACACAGTGTAATTATATAATGGGTCCAAATGGTTCAGGAACAAAATACAAATTAAAAAAAAAAACACAACACTATATAATTACTTAATTACCCGAAGGACAAGAATGGTTCCAGAGAGCCATTTCTGCTTATCAGGTATATACAGTAACACTTTTGTCTTTTTTAAAATGGGGGAAAAGCATTCCACACAATGTAAGTTTTCAGGATGCTGGCAAATGTGCACATACCAAAGAAAGTATAAATGGTAGGCACTGCTTAAAATAACATTAAACTTTTCCTACTTTTTAATTCTAAGAACACATTACAACAATTAAATATCAAAATGATCATAAAAGAATAAATATTAGAAAGAGTAGAATATTCTTTGGTTGTAATTCATACATAGCTAATGCAGCATAACATAGCAGTTGAAGCTTGACAAACGATAAGCTATGAACTTTGGGAAAGAGCTAGCGTCACTTGGTTCTTAATTTCTTTCTTGGCATATACCAGCATAACTACTTAAAATACAATCTGTCCATTTTGTGGGATGGTTATGCAGTTTTTTCCATGTTTTAAAATAAATCTTAAATTAACCTGTTTCTAGAGTAAAACCAACTTTCTACTTAAAATTTAAGCAGTTTGAAGCAGCACAAAAACTGTTCAGTAGTCTTTTAAATATTTATAAAATAATTATGCAATTCCGGTTTATTTCTCCTGATGAAAAATGATAAAAACACATGATTTTCAACCACTTGAAAAGCCAGACACACAGGTCTATTGAAACATAGGTACAATTCAATGTAATGATTCATAGTGTCTCTAATAGAAAGATTCAGCAGTTCTCAATCGAGACCTTTATTCCTTCTCTGAATAAATGATGCCTGAAATTTTTATTCTTGTTCTAATGGAATTTCAATGGCCTTCACTGCAAATCTACTGGAAATTTTTGCATATTAAGTGGAAAAAATTAAATGATGTTAACCACATTTTAATGTGATTAAGGCTGACAGGGTCATTATTTCTGCTAATCACTCAGTTTAAAAAGCTCAAACAAAACTTTATAACAGACAAGGTTTTTAATTTTATGTATATCTTGTTGAAATAGAAAAAAAAAGGTAGAAGAAAAAGAAGGGAAAAACTACACTATAGTCCTTGAGAAAAATCAATGAGTAGTTCCTACAATTTGCAGATGGGTTTCATTATACTTAATCTGGTGATGTAAAAACAGAAATGCAAAACAATCTTATACTGCACATCATCCTCTGGTTTCTTTCCTTTTAAATACGAAGATGGCAAGAAAATGTACTTTGTAGAATTTTGAGTTCTGTGTTTTCTATTTGCTGCTAAATGAAAACAAATATAGTTTTTTCTTTAGATCTTATAGCAAACTAAAAACAGAATTAATGTATAACACCACCTCAAACAATTCTTCAATGTTCTGTTTTCTAGATTAATCTATGCCATACAACTACGAATATTTCAAATATGTCAGGGTAAACTGAAAATCTTCACTGACAGAAAATCTCCAAAAAGAGTGACCCTAACTGCTATCAGAAGAATAATAAGGATTCTAATGAACAGCAGTACTTACAGATAATCTGTTTGCTGATAAGTTTACTTTTCTCACTGGTTATTCTATACTAGAAGCTTAATATTAAATTAATTCTTTAAGATTGCAGGTGTATTTGATATAATTTTGGTGCTCCAATTGCAAAGGACTGTTTTTAAAAGTACGTTATAATATTCTTGAAGCAAAAATGAGTACGAACCTAGCCAAAAAGACTTAACGAGTATCTTCTCTAACTTTCTGAGCATTTCAATATTTTCCGTAAACGGCAACAATTAAGCTAGGTACATACACACACAACTATACAAGAATGAATCAAATATCTCAGTATCTCTTTTTGTTGGCTGTCAACTGCTTAACCAATACTTGTTGAAAATTATCTTTATCTTTCAGCTATTAAAATGGTAATTTCTAAAAATCATTTGAGGACATATGAAAGTAATATCACTATTCCTAATCTAGTAGTTATAGTGTTTTACACAAACAAAATTAATTTGCTTTTTAAAAATAGGACAAGCAAATTGTTTTTAAAAAGAAATACACACCTGAAGTTCAGACAATCTAATTCATACTAATTCATCCCAATCTGGTAAACTTAAACCAAATTCATTAACTAAAAACAAAACATCTCATATATAAATAAGTAAATATATTTTGTATTGTCGTTTTCTAAAGCAGTATGAAACTACGATCATTGCAAATAATAGTCAAACCAACAATTATAAAACTTAAGCTACAGGTGCAGTACCTTTATCCAAAACCCGATCATTCTTTTCATGGTAAATTACTCAATTGCATGCAAATAGATAAATGAGTTTACCTCACTGATCACAATCTAAGCAGCTAACAAAAGCAGAGCACCTGGCCACAAACAAGTCTTTTGAAATGCAATTTAGTATTAAAGTTTGAGAAATTGCTGTTGTGCTTTCGTATTAAAAATCATAACCAAACTGTTTTCAGCAAGAAGTTCAGCCGTTTGTGAAGAGAAAGTGATTGGAGCCTAGTAGATTACATAAATATCAAGAAAAGAAGTCAATAATAATGCTGCATTGTGGCCATAATCTTTGGTGTCCACAGACAGGATTATTGTTAAGCTATTCTTATTTTAGTGTGATGCTATGCACTGGTGCATCAACTAATCACCCTCCAGAATTTCTGTGCTCATCTAAAAAGAGTCCCTGCTGAATGTTCTAATGCATCTTATTGTGAATCTTCAGCAAATAAAACTTCATGTATCAGCTCATGATGTGCTTTGCTGCTGGAAAGTCACAGACTCTGTGGGAGGCTCTTTATCTTCCCAGCAGTCAGTTCTCTGAGAACATCAGTGCAGCTACTGTAGTTACCTGTAGATTACTTGTATTTTCTCACATCTGTGTCCAGCAATCTAAACCATGATGATAAAGGGTCATTAGGTTTTGAGTGAGGAAGGGGATGGACTAGACAATTTGCTCTGATAAGCTCCTTGTTGGGAGCTCCAGTTTAGAATGTGAAATGTCGATTATGTACAGTTTTACACTAAAAGGAAAAAAGGATTTCACTTTTCTGCATTAACAATTAAAAATGATGTGGTTTAATGTCTCACTCTTGTCTACTGACTCACATTTTACTTGGGTACTTTATAATTAAAAGTATTTAAGAGAAATAATTTTCTGTTTGTAAAATGGACGTCCACGCTCTATTAGCCACAAAGAATTCAGGTACAATTACTAAGATAACTGCTGTTTGGAGCACAGCAAAGCAATTTCCCACAGTGGGACTTACAGTTCAATTTACCAGTTGGGCAAATATTTTGTGCTCTGTAGTGGCCTAGAGAGTTAAAAGCTATAGGTAACATTCGAGTAGTGTTATACTTGGAGAAAAGTTTCTTCAATCTAAATGAATGGTTTAGATTTCAAAGCAAAGACAGTATCCTAAAAACATTTCCCCAAATTAATAGTATAAATTTTAAAACCAACATAAAATACAGTTGTCACAGAAACCCTGACTGACCTCTCGTTCCCCTAAAACAGGGGCTGAGAATTTGGAACTTCATTATTTTCATATTTGTATTGGATCCTAAATCATTCTGATATTTAATCACATTTTGGAAGTCATCAGCTGATAGAATATACTATATTCTCGATTAGATTATAGAATGAGAATATGAATTGCTTAATTTCAAATGGTTTAGGATAATTGTGTCAGATTACAAAAATATAAAAATAATTTGGACAGGGCATCCTTCAGATATTATACACCATATAGATAGGATAAAAAAGGGAGGTGTTTTAAAGAAAGATAGAGGGGCTTAAAATATGCTCTCTAAATTTACTTTCATAATTTACCCCTTTATTTAGGTATGCTTATTGTAGTACAATATTATCTCTTTTCAAAATTTCTACCTATCATCCTTTGAAAGGAAATTTTAAGAGAAAATAGTGACTGCAACAAATAAAATACTGCCTTGCCTCAAAGAACTATGTTAAAATAACAAAAGTATGTGAATAAAAGCGTATAATATTTTAAAATGAAACATCAGTGATTTGGTTTTTTTGGAAATAGTTTTAAAATGGTATTCATTTAGACTGTTTGAAGGCTTTCCAATGTTGCTAGGGAAGAAAAATAAAAATACTTATTTTCAAAATCGTTTGCTAGCACTAAACATAAGCAAGCAATATTTTCCAACAGATTAAAGATAATGTAAGCATTTAAAAACTCCTGTTCTTCCTTTCAATTACATGAATTGTCTAAAAACCTTTGATGAAAGTCTGTAAGATAGAAGATATGTCACAATTATCAATATAGAGACATTTCTTAAAATAAAAATTATCATAAAATATAACATTTTGGTAACTAACATTAACATCCAAAGGCAATATGAGAACTCAAATCCATAATAATTATTCATACACCAAACCACTGTAAACCTAAATCATTTCTGAAGACCTGAATGTGTCAAGAACTTTGACAATTATGACTGGAGCCAGGAAACTGGAGCAGTGCAGAATTTCTTATGAATTTCTCCAGTTACTTTTTATAAATGCTGTCTTGGATGACAGCTTAATGTGTACCACATGCAATATTTATTCTTCTTCAGTGTCAGACTGTCTAGCCATCCAAGGGAATACAAAGAATGTCACTTATTAGGATAAAAGCACAAGGAAGGTAATCAAGGACATATGTAACATCAGCCAATCATGCCCTATTTCAACATCCTATTCCATTCATAACAGTTCAACAATTATTTGCTTACTGATAACTTGCTTTCAGGCTGTTTGTGTTCACCATAATGGTGGTTTGCATTTATTTTGCTCTTTAGAATGGGACACTTGCTGTGCCACACGTGTTTGTCAAAACTTTGTATCTTCCATCAGAAATGGCTTAGAGTATCAAATAATTTCTATTTGTCAGGAACTACTAATGCAACAATTAGTAACCCTTGATGTTAACAGGGCAGGGAAATAACTATAAAATAGCAAATGTGTAACTATTGAATATTTCATAGCAAAAAAAGTCTATTAAGTGATACATAGTAAGAAAGTAGGTATTATTAGCTAAGCCACACTCACATATCTTCTTATGGCTAAGAATGTTTAATCAGCATTGTTTTTTCTTTTTTTCTGTTTTCCAAAATTATGAAGCTGACAAAACTTCCCAGTCTACCCCACTGGTCTTTAAGCTATATATGCAAAATGTCCAAGATATAGCAAGTTGTACTAAAACTTATACTTGGCCACCAATACATATTTTACTTAATAATAGATTTTAAAAAAATAATGTCCCATCACATACCATAATCATGAACTGTGTAATTGCTGAAACAATTATTTAATTGTGCTTAATCAGAAAATTTCAACCAGATATGGCTTTAACAATGTATTCCAGTAACACTTAAAAGCTTTTACAAGTACTAATTTCAAGAGATCCAGGCAACTGAGATGTTTGTCTTTGAATACGGGAAAGGAAACAAATGGCTGATATTCTCCATATCCTCTTTCTTGGTCTCTTTCTTTTCTGTCTCTATTTCAATTTGGCCTGAAGCAGAGCAAGTTCTATGATGCAAGGAATATGCCATGCAAACTATTCTGTATAATTTTTCAAAATAAGACTCAGGAAAAAAAAACACTTTTAAATAATAAAAGCATTATCACCCATTTTTCTCTTCCAGTCCTAAAACATGATGAGAGTTAACAAAATTTTTATTTTGGGTTTGGGGCTACATGTGAAGGTTCGTTACATGAACACATCACAGGCTTTTTTTGTACCTATCACCCAGGTATTAAGCTCAGTAACCAATAGTTATCCTTTCTGCTCCTCTCTCTCTTCCCACCCTCTTTCCTCAAGTAGACCCCAGTGTCTACTGTTTCCTTCTTTGTGTTCATAAGTTCTCATCATTTAGCTCCCGCTTATAAGTGAGAACCTCTGGTATTCAGTTTTCTATCCCTGTGTTAGTTTGCTAAGGATTTTTTTTTTTTTTTTTTTTTTGAGACAAAGTCTTGTTCTGTCGCCCAGTCTGGAGTGCAGTGGTGCGGCATGATCTTGGCTCACTGCAATCTCTGCCTTTTGGGTTCGATCTCCGCTCACTGCAACCTCCACCTCCCGAGTTCAAATGATTCTCTTATGTTTCAGCCTCCCAAGTAGCTGGGATTACAGGCATGTGCCACCATGCTTGGATTTTTTTTTTTTTTTTTTTTTGTATTTTTAGTAGAGACGAGTTTTCAACATGTTGCCCAGGCTGGTCTTGAATTCCTGGTCTCAAGTGATGTGCCCACCTCGGCCTCCCAAAATGCTGGTATTACAGATGTGAGACACCGTGCCCGGCCAATTTTTTTTTGAGACAGGGTGTCACTCTGTCACCCAGGCTGGAGTACACTGGCACAATCAAAGCTTACTGCAGCCTCGAATTCCTGGGCTCAAGCAATCCTTCCACCTCAGCCTCCCACATAGCTGGGACTACAGGTGCAGGCCATCACAAGAGGCTAATTTCTTTTTAATTTCTGTAGAGGCAGGGTCCCACTATATTGCTCAGGCTGGTCTTGAATTCCTGGGCTCAAGTGATCTTCCCGCCTCAGCCTCCTGAGTAGCTGGGACTATAGGCGCATGCCACTGTGTCTGGCTAATGTTTTTATTTTTTGTAGACGTAGGATGTACCTATATTGCTTAGGCTGGTCTCGAAATCCTGGCCTCAAATGATCCTCCTGCCTCGGTCTCCCAAAGCACTAAGATTACAGGAGTGAGCCACTGCACTTGGCCTAATTGCAACGTTTTATATAAGCAGGACTCAAGTTAGTTAAGAGAGTTTATTATGTAATTACAACTGCCAGGAACTAGCCAATTAACTGTCAATCTATCTATGTTCATACACATACATATGCTTTTCTCTTAGAATTATGATAAATAAATTATATTTCAAGTCAAACAGATCTGACACAGAATAATTTCTGCCACAGGATAATTTCATTTAATATATGTAACATATTTTATTTAATTCTCATAATTCTATAAGAAAATCATTACTCTCTCTGACAGGTGAGGAAACCAAGGGCTATAAGGCAACTAACCAAACATTCTTGAGTCATGCTTACACAAAATATTGCAATTATGTTTGCTCTCCGATAGGTATAAGTTTCTGTGTAATTTTCACTAGGATACAAACAACATAAAAAACTCCTTGTCTACTTTTGTTGCATGAAAAGCATGCTATAAATGCATAAAATGTTTTATACTTTCTCTCATGAATTTGAGCTAAAAGAAGTTTCCAAAATATTTAACTAGATTTCTTACTTCACTTCTCTGAGCCTTAGGTTCTCATTAGTAAATGGATAGAAATTTGCCTTCCAAGGTTGTTATGGGGATTAAACGAAATGATAGAACATATGTAAACACCCCAAAGTGCAGCATATAATAGATGCTCAACAAATGGTAGTCATTAGTTTTGCCCGACCTGGATGTACATGTACATATACATATACATATACGTATACAATGTTCATTATATTGCTATGCACTAATATAGTACTAAACCAGAACATTATACAAAACATCCATTTGTATTTCAGCTAATAAAGGAGATATGTACAAACACACACAGTCTCACACACTTCCCTACTCCCAAAGTAGTTCTCAAAAACAAATCCAAGTTAGTGAAAATGCAAGGAAACAGAATAAGTCAGTACATGGTTAAAAACAAATACACAAATAAAACAAGTGGTTGAAGAAAGTAGTTTTCTTGAGAAAAGTAGCAATAATATGTATTTTCAATATAAAAATATATAAACTCTTTTATGTACTGTCCCTACAATGGCTATTAAATTGGAAAATAGTTTTTAGAGAGAAGTCCATACAATTAAAGATACAATTTTAGGTACAATTTTTTAAAAAATACCACTCTCAGTTGGCATTTTCTAATTAGGTTATAATGAATTTTTAGTCTCAGATTTTATAGTGCATGAACTGTCTAACAACAAAACCTTACCTAAATGAAATTCATAGTAATAGGAAATGTGACTGGTATATGACACATTTCTCAGGCCTTGTCTACCTTTCCAGCATCACCAGTGCCCCAGTGCTGAGATACTATGGCTTAGCAGTTAGTGAGGAACATGAGCTCTGCAGATGAACTGCTTACAATTGGATGTCGGCACCACTGACTGGTTATGTAACTTTGGCCAAGTTCCTTAATCTCTCCATACTTGCTTTTCATTTCCTTAAAATGTGGGTAATAATGGCACCTACTTTACAAGCTTGTTGGGAATCTTAAATATAACTGGCATAAGGTCAAGTGTGAAGTGTTGACTGAATGACGACTACTACAAATACAACATTAGGCATACAAATTATCTGCCATTGCTCTACCTCATAGTGCTGTGGTTTGAATGTGCCCCCCAAGGTTCGTGTGTTAGGAATCCTAAGCCCCCAGTGCAATGGGATTGGGAAGTGGGACCTTTAAGAGGTGGCTAGGTCATGAGGGCTCACCCCTTATGAAGCAATTAATGCTGTAATCATGGGAGTAGGTTAGTTATTTCAGGAGTGGACTCCTGATACAGAGAATGAGTTTGACCCACTTTGCTCTCTGTCTCCCACTTGTTTCTGCCTTCTGCTCTTCTGCCATGGGATGACCCTCAGAAGATGCCAGTGACATACTCTCAGGCTTCCTGGGCTCCAGAACCATGAACCAAATAAATTTCTCTTCTTTATAAATTACCTAGTCTGTGGTATCTGTTACAGCAGCAGAAAACAAACTAACACGTGATATTCTCTCATTTCCCTATTTCTATAACATCAACTCCCTCACCCCATCACTGAAGAATTATTATTATTACTATTTTTGAGATGGAGATTCACTCTTGTTGCCCAGGCTGGAGTGCAATGGCATGATCTTGACTCACTGCAACCTCCATCTCCCAGGCTCAAGCGATTCTCCTGCCTCAGCCTCCCGAGTAGCTGGGATTACAGGTGCCCGCCACCAAGCCCAGCTAATTTTTTTGTATTTTTTAAGTAGAGATGGGGTTTCACCATGTCGGTCAGGTTGATCTCAAACTCCTGACCTCAGGTGATCCACCCTTCTCAACCTCCCAAAGTGCTGGGATTACAGGCTTAAGCCACTGTGCCCAGTCAAATAATTATTTTTAACAAATTATGGTTTGCTATAACAGAAAAAGTTAAATCCTGTTTATCATATCAATATATAAAAACCAATCTGTGGTTACAGGTATGTTTTTGGGGGGTTTATTCTGTACCACTATTTTAGACTTGGCAATTTCATATAATTTTTAATTTCGGTTTCAATAAGAGCCATTGTATTTTCTCCACCAAAATTTTTATACATGATATTGCGTAAAAATGCAAGCTAAGGTGGGTCCTAAAATATATTGCTGTTGCCTCTTAACAATGTTATTAAATAGTTAATAAAATTACGAGACAAGGCAAAAACAGCAGCAGCAAATGCTTATTATCCTAAAAAAAAACCCACAAATGTTGTCTTGAGAATTGTTCTTTTTAACTAAAATCCTAATTTAGTTTATTAACTAAACAATTGGATGGAGATTAAACTTTCTGAGATAAAACAAAGCAAAATGCTAAAGTTGCTGACGTGATATTTTCAAAGATTTCTGGAGATTCACAAACATATCTTGTACTGTCGCTTAGCTGTCAGTCATCCTGTGTGGAACAGTCGCATTCAGGTCAAATGGATCTATTTCTACCACTTACCTGCTCCAAGAACTTGGGCATGTTTTATAATCTTTCCAACCGCCTGCCCTATCTGTAAAATGGGCATGATAATATCTGCTTGATAAGTATAATATCATACATCTCAGCAATTTCCAAGCTCAGAATGCCCATCACATAGCAGGAACTCAACAATAAATAATGGTTTGCTATGTATGTCTTTTAGTTTGGTATAAGAAAAGCTAAATCGGCCGGGCGCGGTGGCTCATGCCTGTAATCCCAGCACTTTGGGAGGCTGAGACGGGCGGATCACGAGGTCAGGAGATCAAGACCATCCTGGCTAACACGGTGAAACCCTGTCTCTACTAAAAATACAAAAAAAAAAAAAAAAAAAAATTAGCCAGCCTGGTGGCGGGCGCCTGTAGTCCCAGCTACTCGGAAGGCTGAGACAGGAGAATGGCGTGAACCCGGGAGGAGGAGCTTGCAGTGGGCAGAGATCGCGCCACTGCACTCCAGCCTGGGCGACAGAGCAAGACTCCGCCTCAAAAAAAAAAAAAAAAAAAAAAAAAAAAAAAAGCTAAATCAATTATATTAAATGGAGGAAGCGGGGAAGCAGGACATACAAAAGAAAAATGACAAAACTTAAAAGTCATGTTTGAAAACTGCTAGTGACCTTCATGTTGGACATCCATATACGTTCCTGGGGAAAAATCTTTTAAAATTTCATTTAAAAAGGCTAAAAATGATTACCAATGAACAGATGCTATTTGATCTTTTCCTTTTAAATTTCAAAATGGATTAAATCCAACAACATTTCCCACAGCCCCATAATACATTCTTTTAAAAGAATCTCTAAGGAAAATGCTGATTATCACCCAGGAATACTGATGACTACCCCTTGATTTCAATGACAAATATTTAAAGTACTGAAAAGGCACTGCTAAATCTTTGCTAATGAAAAGACAAAGCTTATTTCTCTCTCTGTTGGAGTAACCCATTCCTAAACTAATATGCAGAACTCTTATTCCAATGATGCAAATGCTTCATTTTGGCCAGGTATAGTGGTTCACACCTGTAATCTCAGCACTTTGAGAGGCCAAGGCACGTGGATCGCTTGAGCCAAGGAGTTCTAGACCAGCCTGGGCAACATGGGAAACCCTGACTCTTACAAAAAATACAAAAACTAGCCAGGTGTGGTAGCCTGCGCCCGTCAGGGAGGTCCAGACTGCAATGAGCTGTGATTGCACCACTGCACTCCAGCCTGGTCAAGAGAGTGAGACCCTGTCTCTGAAAAAAAAAGAAAAGGAAAAAAATGCTTCATTTTAGTAAACATTCAATTCAAGGCCAATGTAATAGTGTAATGAGGGTCATCTCGGAATTTGAGGATCAAATGAAATAAAAAAGCTGAAACACCGTAAGGCTCTAGACAAATGTTGGCTGCTGTTATTTCTTAATAAAGTTCAACCTATTTCTTTGAAGTTGTACATCGAGGGGCTTTTAAAAAGTGCTTCATAATTGGTAGCATGAATCAACAAGTCACTAGACAAGCATGGAAAAGGAAAGATGAAATTTGAAATAAATTGCAATTATTACTTTAAAGGCTGTTTAAAACACTTAGCAATCAAAAATATTTCTGGACTATAAGAAATCAACGAAAGCAAACTAGAAAATACATTATGGTTATTCTTAAAACCCAAATAAAATTTTAGAACACATTTAGAACATGTTTAAAATGTTTCAATGGTATGTACTTAAATAAAAACATATACGTTTTTTCAAGTGGTTGTCTTCACATTTTATTCCTTTTTGATGGCCCATTATGCTCTACATCAACTGACTCCTGTTTCCTTCTCCAACTTCAATTCCTATAACTCGTATTCTGTTTTATTCCATCTAGCTACCTCAGAGCCTTTGTACTTGCAGTTTCCTCTCCCTGAACTGAGCTTTCCATGGATTCTCTCATGGCATGTATCCTTATTTCATAAGGTCTTCCCCAGCCGCCCTAACTAAAACAGTTTCCTCTTACTCTGCTTTGTTTTTATTCACGGTCCTAATCATTCCCTGCATTATATTAAATGTCTGTTTGTTGGATGTCTATTACTCCATGAGACTGTAAGTCTTCCAGGAGAAAGGGCTTTTTCTGTTCACCACCTAAGATAATACATGACACACAGAAGGGCTTAATAATTCTTAATAATTATTTGCTTAAAAAGGAAAAAGAAAACAGTACCCACCTCCTCAATGAGCTCACAGTCTTCAAAAGGAACATAAATTTGAAATTTGCATTTATAATGACAGTTTTTTTTACCAAGTTTTGCTTTTCTTGATGTAAAGCATTAAAAATACAGATTGCACAGCAATGTGCAGTCCCAGCCTTATATAAACAGGAGTATATGCAAAGTTCATAAGTCGGTTATTTTAAAACACATTTTTAAAAAGCAGAATTTTAAAACTGGTCGTAAAAATGGTCACAGATACAAAAATATTTCTCAAATTGTTCTATTTCTACTACATTGTGAATTAAATAGGCTTTTGAGGGTGAGTCTCACATTCTAATGTTTTTGATGGGACATGCTTTCTAGGTCAATTTAGAATAAAGGAATATAATAGTTTAAGTAATGTTACTGATCTCAAATATAGATATGCCAATTCACTTTGCTCTTATTCTAGCCAAAGCAACAGCTGCCCACTAAGATAAAAGATGGGAAGAAACATGGTGAGATGCAGAAAAGGCTTATTTTCAAGGCCCTGAGATATGGAAGAGGGAATGAGAGTAGGAAAAAAGATCAGGTCTTATCTGTAACCCAGCCCAGAAAAGTTGCTCTTAAATTGGGCTGCAACCTCAGGAATGCTCTGTACGCAATTAGGAAAAGTTACTATGGCAAACCTAGATATTTGCATGGGTATCTTTTCTTTATGAATTCATTACACTTCATTAAAATCATAAAATTCTAGCCCTGGAAGGGAACCTTAGAGATGATCTTTAATTCTTTACTAACTTGCACTGCCTCACCCCCAACACATACATACATACATTCATACTCAGAGAGACTGAGATATATGAAATCACAATGAAACTGTTTTAAAAGGTTTTTAAAAGAATAAACAATTTTCTTTAAAAAATCATGCTACTGTAACATGATTTTACATAAAGACTGTACATATTGTAACAATGTAAACAAAGAATGATTTACTCTAATGGAAGCCAAGGGTGACAATAAAATCCTCTAAGCTGCAAATGGTGAAGTTATAGGGCCCAACCTGAAAGAGGGGATGGGGTTGTAGAGAACATGGCAGTGATATCATGGGAGTCTCACTGTTATATTTATACATGTAATAAATTTTGTTCCTTAATCCAATAACAGAAATAAAAACCAAGGTAATGTATCCAAAAGATGCATTCACAAGGCCAAAACAAGTTCTTTTTCCATTATTGAATACTTTTTGAGCTATAAGTAAATTTGGGAAACATTATTTATACAGAACACATTTTATATGAACAATCTCAATGAATTATCTTCTACATGAAAGGCTAAGTAATTTAAATGGCCAAGTTCAAAGAGCTACTTATAGTAGCAAATAAAGACCATAGCACTTGTATTTCAAATTCTAAAGTAGTATTCTTCTTAACACACCCAACTCCTTGATAGTTTCTACTCCCTAGGTTACAAATAGACCATATTCTCCAGTTTTTTAGGATTCGTTTTCTTTATAGAAACAATATTATTAATGGTCCCTAACATTTTGGGCTAGGCTTCAAGTCTATTTAACTCATCAAATAGTTAAACTACAACATTAAATCCAAAGGTAGATGCTGTGTCTGGGGAACATGCTGCACAGGAAAGAACGGTAGAGACAAATAATGCTCTTCCTCCTATCCCACACAAGCAGGACACATTAGGCTGTAAAACACTGACATTGTTCACCTTTCCTTTTCTCCACCCTTCTCCCAGGAAAACCTGTTATTCAAATCCTACAAACTATCTTGAACCTCCATTCTAAATCCTTCCCGAGGTCCTGCCCTATATTTCCCACTCCCAACAGTCCTGAGATTTCTGAGCTTCAAAATTCTCCACTACCCTCTTCACCAACTACTAAACTCCTGTATTAGTCCATTCTCACATTGCTATAAAGAAATACCTGAGACTGGGTAATTTATAAAGAAAAGAGGTCTAACTGGCTCACAGTTCTGCAGGCTGTGAGGCACGGCTGGGGAGGCCTCAGGAAACTTCCAATCATGGCAAAGGTAAACAGGAAGCAGGCACAGCCGGAGAAGGAGGAAGAGAGCAAAGGTGTAGGTGCTACACACTTTTAAACAACCAGATCTCATGAGAACTCACTCATTATCACGAGAACAGCAAGAAGGAAATCCACCCCTGCGGTCCAATCGTCTCATACCAGGCCCCTCCTCCAACACTGGGAATTATAATTCAACATGAGATTCGGGCAGAGACAAAAATCCAAACCATATCAACTCCGGTTGTAAAAGTGTAGCTCATCCCAACTCAGTGTTTTGGTAACAAAATATGACTCAGAGATCCTTAATCTCTAGTGCAGATTTTTAAGGGGATTGTTTTTGAATTATTCAACAAAGTGAGTAGGGTAGGGAAGCAAAGAAATTCTTTGTGTAGATGAATCATTTGTAATTTGAAGAACACTGGATAGCTATAAACCAAACTTTATATTTCATTTCCTAGAACATAGATGTGTGTACATGTATAGAGAATATATATTTTAATTTCACATGACAGAATCCTAAGGAACACTTAATTTTTTAAAAAGTACTTATAAACCTTTTAATCTGTGGAAGCTAGAAAAAATTTTATATAACTTTTCCTGTTTATGTGGAGTGAAATTCTTCAGCTAGTTTGAAAAAGATGAAAGTCCTGACATATTTGATAAATTACATCACTCACAAATCAGTAAGTCAGCAGATGGTGCTAATGAAGATTACAACGGGCACTCCCAAATGTATCACTTTCTTGAATTCAGTGAACCATCTGGCAAATAGAAATCATTGGCTATAAATAGTATTGCAAAAAATACAAACAGGCCAAGGGAAATTCCTAATATGCATAGGGTCAGTAGCATTATGTTCATATAAAAAAAGTGCTTTCGTATATAATTATCTCTTTCATAAGAAACCAGAAGTGCACTACTGTATTGTTATCTCTCGATAAGAATATGAAATTGTCGAAAGAATATTCAAAACCCATTTAATGAAAACCAAATAGGAATTCACAAATATTATTACATGTAAAAATATATTCAAATGCAAAAGTACATTTGACCAAAAAAGAAAAAAAAAAAAGATTCCTGAATGGGCAAAGGTTTTTCCCCATCCCCACTTCTTTCAGCCTTCCATCTCCTGTAATAAAAAGATCATTTTTCTTTATCATATTCTTTTTAATTCTAAAGATTCTGATCAGAGAAAGAAATAATCAATTCCACAAAATTCATTCACCAAAAAATTATTTGAAATCCTAATTCATAGTATAAATAATACTGTTAACAATAAGCTTTATCATAATACAAAGTAATCTTTCCAAAGCAGAATGTCTGTGTTATATTTCTAGCTTAAATGATCTTGTCAGAAACTGATGACCTCCTACAATAGTTCTATAGAAATAGTTTTTTATATTTATATGCATATATGTGTTTGTATATATATGCACACATACAGAAATAGAAAATTGTGTGTCAAAAATATACACACTTCCACCTACATATACACTTACTGAGATATAGTAGCTGTAATTTTTATAGGCAGCTCAAGAAATCAAGAAAATATATTTATTCCATGATTCCCCCCAAACCAAGCACATAATGTGTAGTATCCCCAAACTATTTTTAGTTGTTATGTACAAATTATGTGGAAAACTAATGAACACATAAAGATGGGAAAGGGGAAGGAACTGAATCATGGTATAATAAGAATAATAAAACATTTTTCTATTTAAAATGCATTTAGTGAACTTGACACATTGCCCTTCATTATTAAACAACTTAAAAGACTTTCCAAGTATTTGTCTACCTATCTTGAATCAATTTCATCACTCAGATTAATTGACTCATATAATATTACCCAAAAGGTAATGTTAAATGACTACAAGCCCACCAGGGCATATGAAAATGTGTGTATAACACACACACACACAAACACACACACACACACACACACAGTCTGCGTATCTAAAAGTTTAGTTATATTTTCCAGTTGAACATAAATATGTAGTATAATAAATAATAAAATATAATTATCCTTTATTAACAGTTTCAAGAAAGGTAGGATCACAAAAATGAAACATAATTGATGGCTGGTAGGTGTAAAAAATATGTAAAATTAGTTTATTCTACTGATTTCATAATTGGATGGCATATTCTACTAACAGAGCAGCAAGGGTGCAAAGATTGAAATTTAAACCCCTAATTAAGCAGTAGTTTGACAGTTCTAATGTCCTGTACCTGCTTGACACCATGACTCAGTAAGCAATCTCAAATGAAAATTAATACCGTCTATAGTATAATCTTAGTTATAAGTAACAGCTGATCGTGTTTAGAAAATGAAAACCTCAAGTGTTCAAAAATGCTTGTGCTCACCAAAAACAACAAAAACTTCTATATAGTTTTACTCATTCAAGAAACAGCAATTTGTAATAATAAAAAATGGTTTGTGGATTCACTTACAACATCTTGATTACTGTCATTTGATCATAACACAACTGCAACCAACCCGGCTGCCATGTCAGCTTCTCTTCAGGGGCTAGGTCTTTAGTCATAAATCAATGAAATGACTAATTCAATGACTAATGCTTGCAGCCATTCCAGTTTTTGCATCTCACAAAATGTCAATATAGCTACTCAATAACACAATAGACTTATCTTTCAAAATGCTTCCTTCTTTTCTAGGGTTGAAAAATAACACATTACCATTTACATTTAGGGTGAACTTCAGTAACTAAAGTGTTCAATACTTCTGAAATGGTGACCTGCTAAAATAACAACAGTTTTAGTCTCCTCTTGTGGCCAAAGTCACAAACCTCTCCTCTCCTCTTTCTTGATGGTTTAAAATAGTTTTCCAGATCTAAAAGACCCATGAAAGTATTTATTACTGTTTCCTGCATCAGTCTTATTTGCTATAGTAACATTACATGTTAATCTTAAAAAACAAAAACTTTTTCTTTTGCTAAAGAAGCAACTAATAATGCAAATGGAGCTTAGATGTAAACATTACCAAAAAACAAGATGCTAACACAATTAAAAGGATTTAGTAGTTAAAATGGATTTTAACTATTTACATCTGCTTTCAGTGTTATAAATGATGAAAACCTAGTGTTCATATCCCTCATAATAAAAATTTATTCTGCACTTTAATACAAAGGCTATGTTGCATAAACAGAGAGGATTTAAAGCTGTAGCAGAGTGGCTGAATGAAAGGAAAATGGCAATCTTTCTGGCTCCAGTAGATGCCATTCCCTATCACACAATATTTCCCACTCATAAATATATGACAAATACTTCCTCAATCATTTTTTACGAGCAGGGATGCACAGGGGGTAGTCAATGGCTAGCTTGAGGGAAAATAGGAACAGCAGGCGGCAGAAACTGTACAGAAAATGGCTATGTGGTAAATTCTCTTCTGGAACATCATTCAGTTACCCAGTCTTTGATCTTTCAGCTACAATTACACTAACTTCCACAAGATCTGGATCCCTCCCAACCCTCCCCCCAAGACATACACACACCAACCCCAAGCCAGATCATTAGTTATACATAAAACCTATTAAGATTTGGTTTTATAAAATAGGATCATTCATACCTCTACATTATTATAAATTAAAATTTGCTATTTAGACAAGGGTTTACTTTCAATTGGCTATAACCATGTCATCATCACAACTGGTCTCACAAAAAACATGGGGTGTCTGGCGACAGCTAAATCACAGACTGGCGTCTCCTAAGCAGTCTGTCTACCATTAGGGTCTGGGAAATGGTATTTACTATACAATTAGAGCCAGGGAGTTCTACCTGTAATCATCCAAATACAGGTGTGAGAAGTCCCTTTGGGCAAGGAAACTGACTCATCCCTTTTCATGTAAACTTTGATGTCTGTATTGTTTCACAGAGCCTCAGGAAACCTTACCATTCATACCACAATGAGAAGATTTATTAACTGAGGTCAAGTAATAAATTTTAAAATTCATTCCTAAAGGTAACAATTTTTAACACATTAATCATCAAATTTATAAGAATTTGAAAGGCGACAGAACTGATTATTTTAAAGTTAATTACCTGATGGAGGATACTGACCAGCTGAATGAAATCTTTATGTTAAATTTATGCTTTTTAGAACATTACCAATAAAGAGGCTAAATTCATCTTCCTATCAGGAACACAAAATGTCTTATAGTAATATCAACAGGGCATTTTTAGTTGCAGTAATTTCACAGAATTTATTCTAATGATTTATTGGAGTTAACCATCTGACATTAATTATTGTTTTGGCTTCCAGTCTATGAATGTTTATTTTTCAGTTTAAAGCCTTCTCACTCTTTGATATCATATGGAAATGAGAATTTTTAATGGAAAATTGAAACCATGTGCATCTAAGTACTTAATGAAGTACAGGGAGAAACAGACAATATAGTTTAGGAGAATTCAGATATTTTGCTTTGGATAGTTTTGATTTGTTTGTATGACTCAATAGTATAAAATACTTAAGAGTCCAGTGAGGCAAGTCAAAGTGAGTGGTATGCCAAATGTGGACATGCCCACAGGTACATGAACATATAATTTTCTGAAGTTATCAGTGATAGTAACAAATCTTGTACATTTTGGTTACATGCCAAAAATGACAATCAATACATGAATGCATAGTTTTTACCTCGATGTACTTTTAAAGCATTTGAAACAGGTACTGGTCTTTCCCCACACACAGTCTTTTTTTTTTTTTTTTTAAAGCATTCAATCTGGATTTTAAAATTCATGCCCAGCTACAACCCCAGGTGGGTATTTTAAAGTCACTTATAATATCAACACAGCTAGAAATTCCTAGTGTAAGAAGTTTTATTGTTGTGACTACATTTATTCTCATTTTGCAATGGAAATAAACGATAATGTCTAATAAACTTACATTTGATAAGTAAATGTATATAATTCAATATTGCTTATTTAATTCAGTTTTTCTTAAGTTCTCTAAGTCAATTAGAAGACTCATCTGTGAAGGTAAATACCAAGCACAGCTTTCTCATCCATTTTAAACTTTTTAATAAGGAGAAAAATATTAAAATTAAACATTGCCGTTAAGTACATATATGTGGGTGTGTGTTTGTGTGTGTACAGAGATGATGCATCTGGGTATATCTGGTGAGGAAAAACTTACCATTTGTTTTTCTTTCTAATGTAGTCTTTTTCAGAAAGATTAACCAAGTAGACCATTGGTTTTGAAGTCAAAAATAAGTGTTTATTCAACACTTCAATCTAAAGTGGGAGATGGAGAAAGAATCCCTTTTAAAAGTTTAGTAAATATGGAGTAAATCACTGAAGAATTTGAAAGTAAACATTCCTTAAAACAAGTAGGCATTTTCATTTTTATAATTCTTCTTTCCAAAAGATTAGTGGTTATGAAATATCATGAGTGGGGGAAAAGAAAAAAATAACAAGCCCAGGAATAAGCAATCACTGACAGAAATAAAAATTTAGATATAATGGTAAGTGTAAAATAACAACAACTCTAATTTGTTCCCTAGCAAATGAAAGCAAAGGCAGTAATAGATGGCATGATATTTACAACTTACCTCTTTGTCATTCCAATCATGATAGAAGCGAACAGGTTTCTTTTGATCTATAACCCAGGATTTTACTTTGCACATTATATCCTACACATGATTGAGAAAAAGGTAAATATATATGAATAACTAAACATTTAGATACTAAATATTAAAAAGTTTTCAAATTTTCAAAATAAAAATAGATTGTTTTAATGAAAGGGGGCTAGGTCACACAAATAATTATTTTCAATATCTCATTTAAAAACCAATTACTAATAAAACATTGTGGCATTAAATTTTTAATGTATAAAATGGACAATATTAGCAAAAATTAGTAACAGCCTGAAAAATGTCAAGACAATTCAATTACATCAAAGACTAATACAAGAGTTACTACCATTTCAATATTACCTAGTGATGCCATATAGAAGACAAACATGCTATTAGAAAATGGAGTGAGGGGATATACTGAAGAAAGACTAAATTATATTTTTCCCCTAAGAAGAAAAACAAACAAGACAAAATTGAGCCTATTATCGATGATCCAGCCTCCAAAATATTAAATCAACTGACCAGATCCCTTTTTATTTTAGATTAATTTTTTGCCAACACCTTCTCCCTGCCCACTTCTCCCGCAGCCGCACCCCCAATACCCCCAACTCCCCCACCCCCCGAACCTGCCAAAGCCTCCATTACACAATGGCAAGAGCCCTGCACTGGTGACCTCCAACCAGCTGCATTCACTTTCAGAACATCTCTCTCTGCTGGAAATCTAAAGGCCTTTTAGTTAGCAAGCTAGTGTGCATTCAGAAGGAGTAACTGCAGGAAGAGCCCAATGTGCTTTGTTTCTCTGGCCTTTCTTCACAGAAAGATTAATCATCTGTGAAATGGAAACGGCAAACAGCAAGTGACACAAACTGAACCCTTCAAGCCTTTCCTCATCAGTTTTGTGGTTCTGAATCTAAAAGCTGCGTGTGGCAAGGTTCTCCTTACAGGCAGGTGTTAATAAAAGGCTCTGGGGTCTGAAAGGTCAAATTTAGCTCTTCCAGAAGAAGTGCATTTGAGAGTCATCTGGGTGTCTGTTGTTGTTGTTACTAAAGATAATTTATGGATATGTTTTAAATATGCATTTCTCAAAATTTATTGTAACACAATTATTAGTAATCAATTTCCTGGATTTTTATCAATGTATTTTACTTTACCATAATCAGTTATTCTTCTTTAAATATCCATTTGTATAAATTATCTCAATATTTAGTATACCTTCCTTCCAAATTTTGCTGTTACCAACAGGAAAAATAAGGAAAAAGCCTTATATCCTTAGATCCTGATTTGAAACCCTCCAGGCAAAGGACTTCCCACAGATTTTAACAAGGAAGGGGCAAGCTGAAAACTTTTAATGAAATCTAACATGTTCGGCTTAAGAATAATCACTTTTACTCTTCTATAACTGAATTTCACTCATAAATGTTTAAAAGTGGCTAATGTAACACCATTTCCTACAAGGAGAAGATCAAAGTGCTATATTACAAATGCATTATGATTAAAAAAGCCCTGTGCAGCCTTGCTATTAACTGTTCTTTAAACCCTAAAAGGCTTCCCATAGATCTCACTTGGCACTGCATATACAACCTTTGACAAGTAATGTAGACCATTTTTATTCATTGCCTAAAATTGTAGGCAATTATGTGCGTCACACTGGCCACCTGCAAATTCTGAATGCCTGCTCTAGTTGTCAGTGCAAAAAACTAATGTCGGAGGGGATTAATCTAGGGGGAGAGAGTCCTCTTTAATGGCTCCAGCAGGTGAAATGGCCCAGCTGGTTACTATGATGAGTGGCCAGAACAGCTTATGTAGAGACACGCAACAAGATTATACAAAAGAAAGAAAAAACAGTCGTACCATCTTATATTTGGTTCCATTAGTTTTTTCAATTAAAGAAAGAAAACAGACAAAAGAAAGCCAAACAAAAAATAGGGGAAGAAATTAAATTTTAATCATATAAAAAGTATAAAATACTTCTGTAACTACAAACATTTTTACAAAACCTCAGAGCCTCAATAAGTGCTGATCACCAGTGAAGGAATTTCAGTATTTCTCTTTCATTTTAAATTAACTGGACCATTATTTCAGATATAGAAATCTTATCACAAAAGCATTTTGGCATTTGCTTTTTCTCACATTACAAATTACATTACAAATTAGAAGCACTCAAAAAATTTTTTGCAGTCAAGTTTTAATTAAATAGAATTCACTTATAATCAAAGTTCTTGAACAGCACAGTATTCCTTAAAGCCACATTCAAATATTTTTAGAGAAATTTATATATTATAACCTAGTTTTTGGACAGTTGAAATAAAAACATTTTGTACTCAGTGCTCTCTTAATTATTCCCACAAAAGATTTAACAGCCAAGAAAAGACAACTTAGATTTACTAAAAGATGTCAGTTTTATTTAAGACAAATCAAAAATAGATTGCTTTTCAGATAAGACTATCTTATATAAATGATCAGTATATGGTATAGTTTCAATGTGCTCTTTTTCTTACATAAAGTAAAAATTCTAATTTTAGCAAAAAATTAAAAGATGTTATATTCTTTATCGGAAAAACTTCTAAACAGATGAAAGAAAACATTTGGGCTTGTTTGGATATAATACTTATTGGTTGATTGAATTTATTTCCTTATGTTCATATATATAAATACATATATAAATAACGATGATTAGAACAATAAAAGGTTCCAGTTAACTGAGCTTGGTTAACTGGAAAAAAAAATTGAATACCCAATGCATTCAGAAGTTGCCTTAGGTTCCATATTTCTTTACTATCATTATATAGAAATGCAGATGTAGGGGTACTAAATTGGGCTGTTTTGGTAACTTTAACAAATCCCTCATTTTCAAAATAAATTCTGTACATTATAGAGATACATAAAAATTCCTGGTCATTTGAACTTTTCGGTTAGACTGCAGTTACATGAGTGGACTAATTCAAGAGGTAACAGTATAATGCTTAAGCATGGGAATAAATCCTAGCCACTTACCAGGTCTGTGACCTACTTCATTGATAAAATGCAGAGGATGAGATCTACCTCCTAGGGAGTGTTGTGAAGATTAAAAGAGATAGTGCATATAGTGTTTAGCACAGTTCTTGGCACAGAATGAATTCTCAATAAATGTGAGTAGTTGCCATTGTTGTTATGATTGCTGAAAGATTAAATCCCAGTGATCTACAAAATGGCAATATGTTCTCTTGGGTGCTCCTTTAAAGCATATGTATACTTTTTCATCTGTATAATTGTTCACTAGTCCTTTTCTTCAAATTTCTGAGTTTCTAAAAATACTGGCTTTTTTCATGAAATCTCAAGTCAGGCTTCTAATCTTAACATTCTGCAAGAACTAGCTTTTGCTAAATGACTATCTTTTAACTGCAAAGAAACTTAACCCAAACTCACCTTGAATACCTCACTCTTCTGCTTTGACTCTTCTTACTCAGAGCTTCACATTTAAAATTAGAAATGCTCTATTTTCTTGATATATTTTATTATTGTTATTGTTAACAGCAACTGTAATGTATTTAGACTCACAGCTTCATGTGTGACTTGCCTAAATTCCCATAGCTAGTAAGTGGCAGAGATGAGATTCAAATTCAGGTCTAAGTGACTTGAAGGTTCATGTTCTCTTCCATACCCTGGCATATTTGTCTTCCTTACTGCTTTTATAACTGTTCCTTGTTTAGCCTAGACATCCCCCAAGGTTGTTACCCAAAATCCTCATTCTCATTCAGGCTATCAGAGAAATTCAATATTCTTATTTTAATTATTTGGGTACAATAGCTGATCATTAATCCATGTATCACAAAAATAGTAATTTTTCTTTGCAGACAATTATATAATAATCCAGTCATTTATTATACATTCCTAAAATACTAGACTTCTCTATCTTGGTATCTTCAGTTCCCATAGCAGGAATTATTAACCTATGATCCATAAATAGATTGCAGGGGTTCCTTACCACCCTGAAACTGTACATAAAGTTCCGTTTATGTGCCTTTGAGGGAAGATGGCACATAACTTTCAAATGCTTTTCAAAGGGATCCATAATCCAAAAATCCAAGAACCATGGCTATTAGTGACTTTGATGGCAATACTCAAATGTCCCAACAACAGTTAATTAAGTAAATGTTCTAGGTCCAGGGACTCCCAGACCAGAGGTTGAGACACTGACCCAAAACATGCTTTAGCCAGACCCTGCACTGAAAATTTCTCTATCCTGTCCAATACTGCACTGATAAAAATTCCACCTTTTATAATGTTTATCTAACAAATTCCAGTTAAAATCATAATAGGGATGTTGGAGAATATTATATATTAAATATATCATTATTCTAAAAGAACTACTTGCTCGAGGGTAAAAAAATGTTTAGGGAGAAAAATATAGGACTTGTCCTACTAGATATTAAAATAAACCATAAAACTATAGTAATTAGAATAGTATGACACTGGCACAAGAAGACAGATATAGATTAGAAACAATCTAAAAAGCCAGGCATGGTGGCTCATGCTTGTAATCCCAGCATTTTGGGAGGCTGAGGCAGGAGGCTGGCTTGAGGCTAGGAGTTTGAGACCGTCTTGGGCAACATAGTGAGACCCCATCTCTACAAAAAATAAAAAAATAAAAAATTAACTGGGCGTGGTGGTGTGTGTCTGTAGTTCCAGCTACTCAAGAGGCTGAGGTTGAGGGGGGTATTGCTTGAGTCCAGTATGAGGCTGCAGCAAACTACGATCACGCCATGCACTCCAGCCTGGGTGACAGAGCGAGACCCTGTCTCCAAAAAAAAAATGAAAGAAATAAACATTTTTTTTTTAAATAAAATATAGGCTGGGCACAGTGGCTCATGCCTATAATCCTAGCACTTTGGGAAGCCAAGGCAGGTGGATCACCTGAGGTCAGGAGTTTGAGAACAGCTTGGCCAACATAGCGAAACCCCATCTCTACTAAAATAAATAAATAAATAAATTAGCTAGATGTGGTGACAGGCACCTGTAATCCCATCTACTCAGGAGGCTGAGGCAGTAGAATCACTTGAACCCGGGAAGTGGAGGTTGCAGTGAGCCGAGATTGCACCACTGCATTCCAGCCTGGGGGACAAGAGCAAAACTTGTCTCAAAAAAAAAAAAAATAAAATAAAATAAACAAAGAAAATCTAAAAAGCCATTAATTGGAGATTTGCTAATTAAGTTATGGGGCACTGATACAACAGAACACTTTGTAGTCATTAAGATGAGATATATCTATATGTACATTTGCATGGGAAAATGTCCAAAATATACTGCTAAGTGAGAACAGCAGGTTTAGAACAATGGAATATGGTTAAGAATATGGATTTTGGCCATATTCCTCAAGATCTGAGTTCAAGTCCTGGTTCTAACACTTTCTGGCTGAGTAATTTTGGGGAAGTTACCTAACCTCTCTCAGCTTGTTTCTGTGAAACTGTATAACTCCAATAAAATATGGTGATTGTGAAAATAAAACAAGAAAATACATGTAAAACAACTGGCAAGTTCTAGGCACACAGTAAATACTCAATAAATAATAATATTTATGGAGCTGGGCGCAGTGGCTCACGCCTGTAATCCCAGCACTTTGGGAGGCCGAGGCAGGCGGATCACGAGGTCAGGAGATCGATACCATCCTGGCTAACACAGTGAAACCCCGTCTCTACTAAAAATACAAAAAATTAGCCAGGTGTGGTGGCAGGTGCCTGTAGTCCCAGCTACTCGGGAGGCTGAGGCAGGAGAATGGTGTGAACCCGGGAGGCGGAGCTTGCAGTGAGCCAAGATGGTGCCACTGCACTCCAGCCTGGGCAACACAGCGAGACTCCGTCTCAATAAATAAATAAATAAATAAATAAATAAATAAATAAATAAATAATATTTATGGCAGAATGCATAATGTGATTCCATTTATGGTTTTGAAACTATATATAATATATATAAATAGACATACTCAAATAATGAAACTGGTTAGATAACACACTAAATAATTAGCAATAGAAATCTCTAGAAGGTTAGATGCCAGACAGCTTTTCCCTTTCTGCCTTCTTTTTAAAACTACAACATTTTAAAAAATTTTAACCAACAAATATCACTGTTATAATAGGAAAAAAATAAAGGTATATTCACAGGGTAAGGGGAGAGGGGAAACTTCATCTATTCTCTGTCCACCATCTGTAATCCTAAAATTTGATGGCTAAATGGATAGACTTGGTGGTTTATCAGGGTGACTCACTCTTATTCTGTAATAATTATAACTTCCAAGTTATACTTACCTTCAGGAAAACCTGTCACCACAATTCTAATGCTGATATCCAGATGAACTGACTTATGCTGGTTAGGTAGCTTTAACAAAGACAGCCAACAATGCACTCAGACTACAAGAATTAGGGCAAGGCTTCCGGTTCAAAACAGTCGCTAGAAGTCCACTAATACAGCATCCTCCAACTATTCCCTTTAAACACCCGAAATTGAAGAAAAAAAATCAAACTAAGCTTTCTCTTATAAAATAGACCTCCACTGTGTATTCTACTAATGATGTTTGGGATCTCTCTGAATCACAGTATTAAGCATTTGTTGCTCTACTAGATAAATGCTGCTATTTATGGAGGCAGGAGTACTGATCCCTGGACAACATCTTTCTATATACCTGAATGACTGAAACTCCCAGAAAAGGATTGGGCAATAATGAATGGAACTAGCAGTAATGCTCTACATGACTATGCGTGTATGGGGGTGAGGGGAACCCCCCAAGAATTAACACAATAGGCTAATTCTAGCAATAACCTTGGTAGAATACATGCTGCCAATTGTAGGCTTTCAGTTATATGATTCACTGAAGTAGATAGTAAGACCACCCCCAGAATATAATGTTCCTGGCCCCTGTCTGCAATAAAGTGGCAACCAAAATGGACACCAATTTACTTCTGAGGCATAGATCTCAGCAAAGGATCTGGCTATTAGTAAAGAGAAGAAGGCAACTGTCCCTATGATTCCTGAAAATAAGTTTGAATGCATTTTACCATGTTTGAGGAAGGGTCTGGAAGTTGTGGGGAAGCCAACAAATCTGATTTTAATAAAAGGAATACTGATAATTTATGGAAAGTAGAGTCATAGAAAAAACACATCTTTAAAAATGACTGAGAAACAAAAAAACCTCAATGAATTATTTGTCATACTTAGTAGAATGCAAAAAGATAAGAGCATCTACACAATAGGAGCAGATGAACTGACTTATGCTGGTTAGGAAGCTTTAACAAAGACAGCCAACAATGCACTCGAGGTCACAAAAAGAGAACAGTGAGGTTAGAAAAAAATGGATGAGATATATCTAGAGAGTTGATAAAAGTACAAATATTTTTAATGAAACCAAAATCAAAGTAGGAAAATAAATACATTCAGTATAACATATCTAAGTGCCCAAATGAACTACCAGAGAATGAACACGTCTGTAATTACCACCCTGATCAACATATAGAAGATTATTAGTAGTACAGTTACAATGTTCCACTCCTCTTCAGAGATAATCACTACTTCTGGCTTCTTTGCATCACAAATTAGCCTGTTATTGAAACTTATAGAAATAATCACACAATATATATTACTTTGCGTCTGGCTTCTTCTGCTCAATATTATTTGTGAATTCATCCATGTCATTCCATGTAGCAGTATTGTGTTTTTCTCTGTGGTATAATATTTCACTGTAGGAATAGTGCACAATTTATACATTCTACTGTTAATGGACATCTAGGCTGTTTACACTTTAAGGCTATTAGGAATAAAGTTGCTATAAACATTCTTGTACATATATTTTGGTAAATTTGTGCATGCATTTCTCTTGAGTATATACCTAAGACTGGAATTGCTTGGTTGTAGGTCAGGTATTTATCCAAACTTCATACATATTGCTAATAAATTTTCAAAAGCAGATGTACTAATTTATACTCCCATCAGCACTGTATGACAATTTCATTTGCTTCACATTCTTCCCAACACTTGGTATTGTCAGTCTTATTAATTTATGGCAAGTGTATGGTATCTCACCGTAGTCTGAATTTGCATTTCTGTGGTGATTAATGAGGAATTTCTTCTTTTGTGAAGTACTTGTGAAGTCTCTGCATATTTTTCTATCAGGCTGTCTTTTTCTTATTTATTTGTAGGAATTCTTTGTTAGATGCTGCAAATATCTTCTTTCTCTGAGGAATGGCCTTTTATGTTCATGAAAGAGATTCACCTATAATTTTTCTCTCTTACATTGTAAGATTTTGGTATCAGGACTATTCTGACCTCACACAAGTTTTTCCTCTTTTTCTACTGTATGGAAGAGTGTGATTGAGACTTTACATGTATAGTAAAGTCATCTGGGTCAGGACATTTCTTTATAGTAAGGTTTAAAATTATGAGTTCGATTTCTTTGATAGATATAAGACTATTTACATTTTTTATTTCTTTTTACACTCATTTTCTTAAGCAGTCTTTTAAATTTGCCCATCTCATATATTTTTCAAATTCATTGCCATAAGTTGCTTATAATATCCTCTTAGTAGCCTATTGATGTCTACAGAATCTACAGTAACACATTTTCGTTCATAATGCTAGTTTCGCTTTTCTTTTTCCCCGTTCACTAGTCTTGCTAAGAATTTATATTTTACTAGTGTTTTCAAACGACGAACTTTTGGCCTTTTTGATCCTTTTTATTACATGCTTCTTTCCTATTTCATTAATATTTACTTTCATCTTAATTGTTTCCCTTTATCTAATTTCTCTGGGTTCCTTTTATTGTTCTTTTTCTAACTCCTTCATAAGAATACTTTCAGATCACTGATTTCACCTTTCCTTATTTTGAGACATATACATTTATGACTAAATGTATAGAACTTGAGTTTATACATTAGAAAACAACAAATTTGGTATATTGCATGTTTATTATCATAAACTATTTTCTTTCCATAGTGATTTCTTCTTTGAAACATGACATCTTTTAGAATTATACTGCTTAACTTCCAGACATTTAGACAATTTCTAGTAATCTTCCCATTATTGACTGCTAAGTTTAATTCCATAGTGTTCAGGTAATATATTCTTTATGACTTCAATAATTTGAAATTTGTTTAATTGTTTTATGGCCAATGAAATGGTCAATTTTGGTAAATGTTCCATTTGTACTTGAAAAGAATGTACATTCTACTGTTGTTGGGTGTGGTATCCTATATATGTCAATTAGGTCAAATTCCTTGAGTTGTTTAACTCTTCTATATTCTTTACTAAAATTCTGTCTGCTTATTCTATCAATTACTAAAAGTATTAAGATTTTCTTTTAGTACTACAGTTTTTGTTTTGTTTTGTCTTTCAATCCTGCCACTTTTTGCACTATGTGTTTTGAGGTTATATTATTATGCATATACAAACTTAAGTTATTGTGCCTCCTAGTATACTGAACATTTGGCATTATGAAATGCCACTTTTAACTCCTTTAAAGTCTACTTTGATATCGTATACTACACTAACTTTTTTGTTGTTGTTAGGGCTTGCACAGTGTATATTTCTCCATTCTTTGCTTTCAACTTTTCTGCATCTTCAACTTACAATGGTTCGTTCGATTTAAGATTTTTTACTTTACTGGGACATAACCGCATTGTACGTCAAGGAGAATTTGGACCTATGATGGTTTAGCTTATGACTTCTGGGTTTTATGATGGGTTTACTGGGTTATTAGTGCTTTTTGTTTTGACATACAATATTTTCTTTTCTTTCTGAGACACAGACTCACTCTCTCACCCAGGCTGGAGTGCAGTGGCGCAACCTCGACTCACTGCAACCTCCGCCTCTCAGGTTCAAGCCATTCTCGTGCTTCGGCCTTCCAAGTAGCTGGGATTACAGGCATGTGCCAGAATGCCCAACTGATTTTTGTATTTTTAGTAGAGACAGGGTTATGCCATGTTGTTTTCTTGGCCTCAAGCAATCCACCCCCTCAGCCTCCCAAAGTACTGGGATTACAGGCGTGAGCCACTGCACCAGGCTGACATACAATACTTTCAACTTATGGTGTAACCCCAACGTAAGTCCAGGAGCATCTGTATTTAAGGTGTGTTTCTTGTAAGCAGCAGAGAGGTGGACTTTTCAAATCCAATCTGACATTCTTTGTCTTTTTTAATTTTTAAAAAAATTACATAAAATTAGCCATCTGAACATAATCTAGTACTAAAGCATTTCATGCACTCACAATGTTATACAAACCACCTCTATCTAGATCCAAAACATTTCCATCACTCCAAAATAAAGCAATGTATTCATTAAGCAGTTTCTACCCATTATTCCTCCCCCTAGTCTCTGACAACCACCAATATGCAGTTCTGTCTCTATGGATTTGCCTATTCTGAACACTTCATATATATGGAATCATTCACGATGTGACCTTTTGTGCCTGGCTTCTTTCACATGGCATAATGTTTTTGAGGCTCATGCACATTGTAGTATCAGTACTTCATTCCTTTTTGGCTATTATGAATATTGCCACTATGAACATACATGCACATATATTGTTTGAGTAACTGTGTTGGGTATATACACAGAAGTAGAATTGCTAGTTCATATGGTAAGTCTATAATTAACTTTTAGAGAAACTGTCAAACTCATTTTTTTTCTTTCCCCAGAGAAAGTAAATTTCGTTGAAGTTTTATTTTTAACTGACACATAATAACTGTATATGTTTATGGGACACAGTGTGATGTTTTGATAGACGTACACTTTGTGTAATTATAAATCTGGGTATTAAGCATATTCATCACCTCATACATTCATCATTACTTTGTAGTAAGAACATTCTTCTAGTTATTCTGAAATATAATCTTTGTCTTTTATTGCAGTATTATAACATTTTTACTCCACTACCCTCTCTTGCCCTTTCTGTATTATTGTCATGTATTTTAACTGAACTCTATACATTAAAACATGTTATCATTATTGTTTTGTTTTTACTTTTTATTTTGAAAACATTTTAAACTTACAGATAAGCTGTAAGAATAATAAAGGCACAAAGTTCCAGTATGAAATGATGAAAAAGTTCTGAAAACATATAGGGGTAATGGTTGTACAATATTATAAATGTACTTAATGCTAGTGAATTGTATACTTAAAATGGTTAATGGTATATTTTATGTTATGTATAGTTTACCACAATAAAAAAGTTGTTTTTAAGGAACAAGAAACTTTTGCTTTAGGCTATGTCTTGAAGAATGCCTAAGACATGGGAATGGGGCCGGGCGTGGTGGCTCATGCCTGTAATCCCAGCCCTTTGGGAGGCTGAGGCCGGCGGATCACAAGGTCAGGAGATGGAGACCATCCTGGCTAACATGGTGAAACCCCTACTCTACTAAAAATACAAAAATTAGCCAGGCATGGTGGCGGGCGCCTGTAGTCCCAGCTACTCAGGAGGCTGAGGCAGGAGACTGGCATGAACCCGGGAGGTAGAGTTAGCAGTGAGCCAAGATCGTGCCACTGCACTCCAGCCTGGGCGACAGAGCAAGACTCCGCCTCCAAAAAAAAAAAAAAAAAAAGAAATGGGAATGGAAGAGCACCAAACAGGTAAAGTTCTGGTAAATGACCTCATGTAAAATCAGTACGTTTAAAGTCCTACGTTCACTGTCAGGAGAGTTGAGAAAAAAGTAATGGTAAGCCAGGCAAACCCAAATCACAAAGAACTTTGTGAGCCATGGCCTTTATGTTGGCACTATCCCATAGGAAATAGGTAATTTAATCAAGGGAATAACATGATTAGTTCTTCATTTTGTATTTGTGGAAAACAAGAGCAAGCTACAGACAAAAAGATCAGTTAAACTGCAAAAATAAATTAAGCATAAGTGAGGCTCAAACCAAAGAAGTAGTAATAAAAGCAGGAGGAAGAAAGAGGTATGGGGAATATTCAAGAGATAAAATCAACAGGATGAGATGTAGATGGTGCAAAAGAGGAAGGAGTCACAGATACAGCTTTTCTGTTAAACAATTTGGTTCCACTAACTAGAGATTATGAGGACTGAGAGTTCAGCCTTACCAAAAATTAGTATCACGTTCTTTTAGAAATGATCTCTTTAAGTCATATATGAATAGACCTGAAAGGACACACAACAGTCTAAAGAGAAGAAAGAGGTAAATGTGAAGATAAAAGGAGGAAGAATATATTTTTACAGTACAACCATACCTCAGAGATACTGCAGGTTTAGTTCCAATAAAGTGAGTATCGCTATAAAGCAAGTAAAAGTAAGTGCAATAAAGTGAGTATCGCTATAAAGCAAGTCACACAAATTTTTGTTTCCTAGTAAGCATGAGTTATGCTTAAACTATATTGTAGTCTATTAAGCGTACAATAGCATGTCTACAAAAACAATGTATAAACCTTAATTTAAAAATATTTTTACTAAAAAATGCTAATGATCATCTCTGCTGTCAGTGAGTTGTAATCTTTTTGCTGGTGGAGGGTCGTGCCTTAATGTTGATGGCTGCTGACTAATCAGGGTAGTGGTTGCTGAAGGTTGGGTGGCTGTGACAATTTCTTAAAATATGAAAACAACGAAGTTTGCCATATCAATCAACTCTTCCTTTCACAAAAAAATTTCCCTGTGACATGCAGTGCTATTTCATAGCATTTTACCCACATTTCAACTTCTCTCAAAACTGAAGCCAATCCTCTCAAACCCCGCCACTGCCTTACCAACTAAGTGTATGTGATATTCTAAATCCTTTGTTGTCATTTCAACAATATTCACAGCATCTTCACCAGCAGTAGATTCCATCTCAAGAAACCACTTTCTTTGCTCACCCATAACAGGCAACTTCTCATCCATTCAAGTTTTATCATGAGATTACAGCAGTTCCATCATGTCTTCAGGTTCCACATCTACATCTAGTTCTCTTGCTGTTTCCACCACATCTGCAGTTACTTCCTCCACTGAAGTCTTGAGCCTCTCAAAGTCATCCATGTGGGTTTGGAATCAACTCATCCCAAACCCCTATTAATGTTGATGTTTTGACCTCTCATGAATCATGAATATTCTTTTTTTTTTTTTTTCCTGAGACGAGTCTTGGTCTGTAACCCAGGCTGTAGTGCAGTGGTGTGATCTTGGTTCACTGCAACCTCAGCCTCCCAGGTTCAAGCAATTCTCCTGCCTCAGCCTCTCGAGTAGCTAGGATTACAGGCACATGCTGCCACGCCTGGTTAATTTTTTTTTTGTATTTTCAGTAGAGACAGGGTTTCACCATGTTGGCCAGGCTGGTCTTGAACTCCTGACCTCGTGATCTACCCTCCTTGGCCTCCCAAAGTGCTGGGATTATAGGCGTGAGCCACCACGCCCGGCCATGAAAATTCATCTAGAATGGTGAATCCCTTCCAAAAGGTTTTCAATTTATTATGCCCAGATCCATCAGATAAATCACTACCTATGATAGTTACAGTCTTATGAAATGTATTTCTTAAATAATAAGATAGGAACATCAAAATTATTCCTTGATCTATGGGTTGCAGAATGGATGTTGTCTTAGCAGGCATGAAAACAACATTAACCTCCTAGCACATCTCCATCAGAGCTCTGGAATGATCAGGTACTTTGTCAATGAGCAGTAGGTCTCAATGAAAGGAATTGTTTTTTCTGAGCAGTAGGTCTCAAGAGTGGGCTTAAAATATTCAGTGAACCATGCTGTAAACAGATGTGCTGTCATCCAGGTTTCGTTGTTCCACTTATATAGCACAGGCAGAATAGATTTAGTATAACTCGCAAAGGCTCTAGGATTTTCAGAATGGTAATAAGCATTGGTTTCAACTTAAAGTCACCAACCGCATTAGCCCTTAACAAGGGAGTCAGCATATCCTTTGAAGCCAGGCATTGACTTCTCTTCTCAAGCAATTAAAGTCCTAGATGGCCTCTTCTTCCAAGGCTGTTTTGTTGACATTGAACATCTGTTGTTTTCATTGTCTTCATCAATGATCTTAGTTAGACCTTCTGGAGAACTTGCTGCAGCTTCTACATTAGCACTTGCTGCTTCACCTTGCAGTTTTATGTTAGGGCTATGGCTTCTTTTCTTAAACCACATGAAACAACCTCTGTAAGCTTCCAACTTTTCTTCTGCAGCTTCCTCACCTCTCTCAGTTTTCTAACTCTAGAATTAAAGAGAGTTAGGACCTTGCTCTGGAATAGTCCTTCGCTTAAGGGAATATTGTGGATAGTTTGATCTTCTATCAAGAACGCTAAAACTTTCTCCATATTAGTCAGGCATGGTGGTACACACCTATAATCCCAGCTACTTGGGAGGCTGAGGCAAGAGGATCACTTAAGCCCAGGGGTTTGGAACCAGCCTGGGCAACACAGTGAGACACCATGTCAAAACAAAACAAAACAAAAAATCCCTTTCTCCCTATCAGCAATAAAGCTGTTTTGCTTTCTTCTCATTCGTGTGTTCTCTGGAGGAGCACTTTTAATTTCCTTCAAGAACTTTTCCTTTGCATTCACAACTTGGCTAACGTGGTGCAAAAGACCTGGCTTTCAGCCTATCTTAGCTGTCAACATGCCTTCCTCACTAAGCTTAATCATTTCTAGCTTTTGATTTAAAATGAGAGATGTGACTCTTCCTTTCACTTGAACACTTAGAAGCCATCGTAGGGGTATTATTAATATTTGGCCCAATTTCAATGTTGTGTCTCAGGGAACACAGACAACCCGGGAGAGGGAGAAAGATGGGAAATGGCCAGTAGGTGGAGCAATCAGAGCACACCCAACATTTATCGACTAAGTTTGCTGTCTTCTATGTGCATCGTTCATGGCTCCCTAAAGCAGTTATAACAGGAACATCAAAGATCACCAGTCAAAGACCACTTTAACAGATACAATAATAACAAAAAGGTTTGAAACCTTGTAAGAATTACCAAAATGTGACACAGAGACACAAAGGGAGCACATGCTGTTGGAAAAATGGCATTGAGTTTCTCAACACAGCGTTGCCACAAACCTTCGATTTGTAAAACAACAACAAAAACCCCCAAAACCCACAATATCTGTGGAACCGAATAAAGTGAAGGTCAATAAAATGAAGTATGCCTGTATGCTACTCTGAATCTTTCAATGTTCGTTAAAAACAAATAGCTTAAATATTTCAAAAGTTATGTTAATACCAGTTTTAAAAATTGCCTTAAGAATATAATAAGAAATCTGCTAACAGCTACATATTACTGAGGACATTAATTTTTTACTCAGATGTTTTCAGAAAAAAAGACTCAATTATAATTTCTGGTAGTCTTTAGTTCTTCAATTAGCTAATTATTAGTTCTATGAATATTTTCTAAGTATAATGCTTTCCAAATAATCGATACAAAATAAATTGTTCCTTAAGCCCTCCTAACTTCATTTTTCAAATTTCATTTTTCCAAATGGGATGTACATACACTTAAATAGATTTAAAATTAACCTTGATCTTGATGACTTGGTATTATAGATTGAATCCCATCCCTGATACTCAGAAAGTGAACTTATTTGGGAATTAATTAAGATGAAGCCATACTTAGAGGAAGGTGGGCCTTTAAGCCAATATTACTTGTGTCCTTATAAGAAGAGAGAAATTTGGACAGAGACACACAGGAAAGGTGGCCATGTGAAGACTAAGGCAGAGATTGGAGTTCTGCTGTCACAAGGCAAGGGACACCTGGAGCTACCAGAAGCTAGAACTTCTCCCCCAGAGAGGCTTCAGAGAGAGCATGGCCCTGCCAACACCCTGACTTCAGACTTCTCATCCTCCAGAACCGGGAAAGAAGACATTGTTGTTTAAAGTCATCCTGTTCATGGTGCTTGTTACAGCAACCCTAGGAAACAAACACACTTGGCTGATACCAAGAGAAAATGCTTATCCCACTCCTGCCTTCTTTATTTAGTGCCTGGGTTTTACTTCAGACAGCAAGACTCACTATAGAAGGTGTATCTTGGCCGGGCACAGTGGCTCACGCCTGTAATTCCAGCACTTCGGGAGGCCGAGGTGGGTGGATCACGAGGTCAGGGGTTTGACACCAGCCTGGCCAATACAATGAAACCCCGTCTCTACTAAAAATACAAAAATTAGCCGGGTGTGGTGGCATGCACCTGTAGTCCCAGCCACTCAGGAGGCTGAGGCAGAAGAATCACTTCAACCAGGGAGGCGGAGGTTGCAGTGAGCCGAGATAGTGCCACTGAACTCCAGCCTGGGCAACAGAGTGAGACTCAGTCTCAAAAAAAAAAAAAAAAGAAAGAAAGAAAGAAAAAAAAAAGGTATATCTTATGTCAGAGTATATCTACCTTGCTCTCAGGAAAAACTCTTCTTTAACATTAAAAAGTCAGCTCATGTTTCATGCTAGAGTATATTTAACCTAAGTCTTTCACGCTTATTGACATAAAAATACAAATGGCATCCAAATCTAGAAACTGGAAACTTAATAGGAAAAGAGGTTTGAATGTTGAATTTCTGAAAGATTACCCAGAAAATAAAGATACATTTAAATGAACAGGAAGAATCAACAACATTAAAGAAGAATAGGTAAATACCTGGTAAACAAAATGACCTGCCTATCTTTCTCATAAATTTCAAGTAGCTATCTCTTTTATATCCATCACATTTTTGTACCTTTAGACCATTTGCTAGAGAACTTAAGAAATATATTTCTAAAAGAAACTTCCCTACAGTAACTAGTTGATATCATAATCATATAGTTATCCCTTTTCTTTTCTTTTTCTTTCTTTTTTTTTTTTAATTGAGACCGAGTCTCACTCTGTCGCCCAGCCTGGAGTGCAGTGGCATGATCTGGGCTCACTGCAGCCTCCACCTCCCAGGTTCCAGTGATTCTCCTGCCTCAGCCTCCTCAGTAGGTGAGATTACAGGCGTGCACCACCACGCCTGGCTAATTTTTGTATTTTTAGTCGAGATGGGGTTTCACAATGTTAGCCATGCTGGTCTCAATCTCCTGATCTCAGGCGATCCACCTGCCTTGGCCTCCCAAAGTGCTGGAATTACAGGATTACCCTGCCCAAAATCCCCTTTGCCATCATGGGTCTAGTACATGGTGATGGCTTAAGGTAAGCATCTGTTAGTCTGACTAAATTCTATGCTCAAACCACAAAGACATCAGGCACCAAGGAGTTAACACTCCTAGGAGTAGCCCATAGCCAGTAACTGATATAAATTGGTTGATAATTACCCCAGCTTCTTTACTCTTGCCAATGGGGGTAACCTGCTCATTTACATACTGTGTGTTGGTTACTTTCTCTTACTAGTTTCATTTTATTTTATTTTTAAAAATATTTTATTTATTTATTTATTTGAGACAGAGTCTCACTCTATCACCAGGCTGGAGTGCAATGGCACGATCTTGGCTCACTGCAACCTCCGCCTCCCGGGTTCAAGCAATTCTCCTGCCTCAGCCTCCCAAGTAGCTGGGATTACAAGCACCTACCACCACACCCAGCTAATTTTTGTATTTTTAGTAGGGACAGGGTTTCGCCATGTTGGCTAGGCTGGTCTTGAACTTCTGATCTCAGGTGATCCACCCGCCTCAGCTTCCCAAAGTGCTGGGATTATAGGCGTGAGCCACCACGCCTGGCCAGGGCACCGTTTCTTAAATGTTAAAGACAATTCAATCATATGTAAACTAAAAGCTTCAAAATACATTTTGGAACATTTATTACAATGTTACTAATAATCATTCATTATAATGTGATAGAAAACACATTTGAATATTAAGAACAATGAGGCATGTTTTCATTCCATAAAATATTAAAATGATCTGTCTACTTTAAGAGTGTATTCATTTAGTCCACCCCTATGGAGAACCAGGTCTTTGTATAAATCACTTCTTCAAATCCATGAAAACTGTATGAGTCATTTCACCAAATCCAGTAAGTTTTTCATCATAAACCACACTTTATTAACACTAAAACTTGAAGGCCTACATAGTAATCATGTAAACACTCACTATTACTGCTAACTACTGCTTGCTTAGAACCGCCTAAATAGCCTATCACCATGGCCCTTGGTTGTTTAAAAATAAAGTTCCTTAACAATTTTTTTTAACAGAAATAACCCTTGGCTTCTAAAATTCCATAACAATATTAGATGTATCATATGCATTATTTAAAAAATTTAATCAAGAAAAATAAACTCTTGAGTATCTAAAGAAGCTGTAAATTTTTACTTACATATTCAGGTTTTAGTTTTTTATCTCCTCCTCTCACAGCCACCTTTTCTAGTTTATCTATAATGGGCCCAATCATTTCCTCATCTTTAAGCTGAAGCTCTTCATGTATTATTTCTATATCTCGAATAGGATCTACACTTCCTTCAACGTGCGTGATATCATCATCTTCAAAAGCACCTAAAATGAATTAAAGGGAAGCAATTCAATAAACAAATAATACAGCGTGTTCATTATGATAGAGTGAAAGATTCCTAGAAGGTTAACAAATAAATATAATAAATAAATTACTCTGGCTTCTTGGCAAGTAGGATATAGCATTTTTCCCCCATTTAGTAATACTGAGGCTACTGGCAATAAAACTATAGTTCAAGAGCCTCCATATTTCAAAAATTGATTTAAATAAATAAAATTATGGTCTTTACAAAAACAAAATTATGTTCTAGAACTACTGGCATTTCCAAGTTTGGTAAATTAAAAGATACTGAATTCCAGGCATGAAAGATTGAAGTTCTAAACTGCACTATTAGGGTTTCCAAGGGAAACCAGATTTAGGGAGGGGGGGTCTGAAATCATCTGGCAGACCTCTTCCCTGCTTCAATCTACTTTATCACTGTGGTTCTGACGGTGATTAGATAATGAACCACTCAGACACACAATTTACACAGCAGCTAATTTCATCGGCCTGATTTGAGGGTATGGTTTTTAGGGGGCTATCAAAGAAGCAGATGAAGGTGCATTTGTCATATATGAGTGACAACCATTCACACTATCTGAACAAAATGATGCTGGCCCTTATTAGAAACACATGCTATTATCACATATTTAAAGTGCAGTTGAAGCCATAATTTCAAATTGCCAACTGGAAACATAAGGGTAAAACAACCAGATATTACTGAAGCATGTGTACTGACTTTATGCCCTTTTGAAGACATAATGTGGCAACATAATTCAACTGGGATTTACTCAAATTACCAGATAAAGAATAGTATCATAAAAAATGAACAAATACTAAGAAATATTACAAACAGAAAGCAATGATATATCCACCAAACAATACACACATTTATAAACAAATTAATTTCATTAAAACTACCAATTAGATTATAGTCCCAAAATGAGATGTTTTCAAACATAAAGTATCAATTATTTTAGACAGAGGTATCAAAAAAATCATGAGAGTTTGATTGAGTTTGGTAAGAGAAACAGTGAACACAGCTCATTCTTAAATACCAAAAACCAAGATACTCTTGATACAAGTTATAAATTGTTTTTAAATATAATTTCCCAGAATTAAAAATAATTAAGTTGTATCTAAATGTGGATTATTCAGTAACAATAAAACATAAATATACTATTACAATTAAAGTATAGGTATGTAAAGCAATATTTAAGTTTTTTGCATACAAATAATATACTATTTAATGTCAAATTCATATGAGCAAAATTAGCAGAAATGAGGAGCTATATTATGTTTTACTAACAAACACAATAGACAGTGGTTTAGGTAAATTTTTTGAATCTTTGAAAATATGAAGGAAATCTCCCTAAAAGCACAATATTATTTACTTCTTGTCAAGATTTGAGGCATCTTATGCAAATAGCATGATAAAATAGGAAAATAAAAATGGAAGCTTCCTGGCAGTCAAGCAACACAAATAACACTGTAACTTACAGGAGTGACTAAGCTTTCTGTGACACTCAGAATGAAAAATATCCTATATAGTTGTCTCTATGTAGGGTCCAAAGACTAACCATAGTGATGTCCTCAACAACATCCCTACAGTAAATGCATTAGCAGGTTTTAAATGGCAATTCTTAATTACAACCCCCAATTTTAACCAAGTGGATAATAGAGAGAAACTTAGTAACTGCAATTCTTCTGAAAGCAAAGAAAACAAAGCCCTCTGATGATCTAAAAGAATCCAAAGAAAAAAAGAGAATAAAGGAGGAAGGGGAAGAAATCATGTGTCTATCTTGCAACCTTCAAATTATCTTTTAGGTTGGGTGTGGTGGCTCACACCTGTAATCCCAGCACTTTGGGTGGCCAAGGTGGGAGGATCACTTGAGCCCAGGAGTCTAAGACCTGGGCAACAAGGCAAGATCCTGTCTCTACAAGAAATTTTTAAAAAATATAGTCGGGCATGGTGGTATGCGCTTATACTCTTGGCTACTGGGGAGGCTAAGGTAGGAGGACTGCTTCAGGTCAGGAGTGAGCTGTAACAAGCCATGATCATGCCACTACACTCTAGCCTGGGCAACAGAGCAAGACCTTGTCGAGCAAGACCTTGTCAAGCAAAAACAAAAACCTACCAAAAAAAACCAAATTATTTTCTAGATTGTACCTTACCTAGACTCTGCCAAGGACTAGCCTAGGAAAGGAGTTATGACTGTATCATCACTAATCTATTCCCCCTACTATAAGAAAAAAACTCAAGCCACAGACCTTACATATGCTGGTGGCACTGTTGCTCCCTGCCCCAAGGTTAGTATTATTGTTATATTCCTTTGTATTGTGAGGTGGTAACATACCATAAGTAGAATTTAAATTTATTTCTGAAAAAAAATTGTCAAATATTAAGATAAAAATTAAGTAATGGGAACACTAAGGCTATCCTGTCAAATGGAATACCCTAGAACGGGCCTAGAACACCCATAAACTAAAAGCTTCCATAAAATTTGGTGGCCATTTGGGTAACTTCTCATTTCTTAGAGCTGAAAAATTGGAGATTCTTTTCCAAAGACATGCTTCTGGGTCAACGAACTTCATCATACACTTATGTCATAGCATTTTTTTTGCATCTTGCCTTCTTTAGTACAAGATTTAATGCTTAAGAATATAGTCTTTGAGGCCCGGCATGGTGGCTCACACCTGTAATCCTAACACTTTGGGAGGCTGAGGCAGGAGGATCGCCTGAGCTCAGGAGTTTGAGATCAGCCTAGGCAACATTGTGAGACCTTGTCCCTAAATAAAAAAATTAGCCACGCATGGTGGTGCACGCCTGTGGTCTCAGCTACTTGGAGATCTGAGGTGGGAGACTGCTTGAACCCGGGAGGTTGAGGCTGCAGTGAGCTGTGATCACGCTGGGCGACAGAGTAAGACCCTGTTTAAAAAAAAAAAAAAAAAAAAAATATATATATATATATATATATATATATATAATCACGGAATATATATATTCCGTGAACTCAGAAAGGTTTGCTGATCATAGAATCTTAGACAAATTACCTAACCTCTATAGATCTTATCTTCACATCTTTAAAATGAGGATGCTTCTACCTCTCAGAGAATGCATATGATTAAATCAGATAATATATGTCAAGTGTTCAGCAGAGAGCCCAACACACAAAATTCTTTCAGTGATTGGGGAATATACTATTTTTTTATAATGTAGGAATTACTAATTTAGAAGAATTCCTCAGCAATATACTCAAAACATTAATTTTGAGTAATATAGTTTCAAGCTATTCAATTCACCTTGGAAAGAATTAAAATAAACAGAGTTTCTAGGGTTTTTTTTCCCCCAGAAATTCTCACTAGTTCACTAGCACACTTTTACCCTAGTCCATGGCCTAAGTTATTTCAACTTCACATGAACTAAAATAGCATTTAGTTTTAGTGCACTGGTAAATTCAGAGGACAGACTACACTACATTACACTGCAACGCTCGATGAGAAAGTTACTTTTATTACAATTCTCTTTCAATTTGTCTATGTCAAGAAGGTCTCAGTTTAATGCTGTTGGTCTTTAATGTTTATCTTTTTCTCAACAGAGCAAGCCTTAGTCTCAGAGCTTCTAAAGAGTAAAAAAAATTAAAAACTGCAATTTTCATTGTATTTATTTTTATTAGCTTCAATTTTGACATGTGATACTAATTTTCCACTTACATTAGTGACAAAGTTCCCTGTTTAAATAAATTTAGCCAAAAATGTGAGTAATTATGTATAAAGTAACAATCATATATTCTGGTAAAATAACTCCTATCAAGAGAAATGCCTGAAAATACTAACTATAATCATATTGATGATGATAGGATATGATACAGTTTTTGTGAAATTTATTTTTGGTGCCAGTCTACATAAAATAGGGCAATATGATAGAGCACGTATGTGTGTGCTGAGAAGAGTGAGGAGTTGTGCAATACTTCAGCTAGGATAGGCAGGAAGAGCTCTCTGAGATGACATCTGAGCCAAACGGCCAGAGGGAGGCAGTAATGTGAGGATCTGAGGGAAGAGGGTTCTTCTAAGTATAAAAGCCTAAAAATAGCAATAAATTTGAAGTGCTTCAGAAAGAAATATGGTCAGTATAGGTGAACCATGGCAGGGGATGGAAGATAAAGAGTTTAAGGTGGAGAGGTAAAGCAGTTCACATACATTTGTAAACCATGAGAGTTTGGATTTATTCTAGCTGTAATGGGAAGTCTGGATATTGACTGGATAGTTTTAAACAAAGGGAAGGCAGGGTGATAAGATAAGACTTATGATTTAAAGAGGACACTTTAGCTACTTTAAAAAGAACAGATTCCAAGAGAGGAGGCAAGAATGACTGCAGACAAAGTTAGGAGGTGGCTTTAGTGGTGCCAATGAGTGATAACCAGATAAGTGGTACTCAAGACTGTGGAGAACAAGAGGAGCGTTTGTACTAGGACTATATTTTAGAGATAGGCTAGATGTAGGATGTAAGATCATGAATGAAGATATAAAATTGACAGTTATCAAATGTGTTTAAAGTAACAAATCTGAGTGACATCACCTAGAGAGAGCACTCCAACACTCAGATGACTGAGGGAGGAGAAGAACTTGGCAAGAGACTGAGAAGGACTGACCTAAAGTCAGAGAAAAACTAGGAGTATGCTCTTATGAGAGCGAGGGAAAAAAATGTTTCAAGAAGGAAGGTGTATTCAACCGTCAGATACTATTTAGAGATAAAGACAGATAAAATTTCTTATAACTCAAGAGTCCAAAAGAGCTAAATTTTAGCTTTTCTAAATTCACTGAATTTTGAGAACATTTCCTCTTTCTATAAGCGCACTAATTATATAAAGTAAGAAACCCTAAGATTTCCTACAGTCTGTGAAAGTGATCCTATCAGTCAAGAAGGTGGCCTACTTAGAAATCATAGCCACTTTCAAAGGCTCACATTCCAAATAAAATGGCATAAATAAACACCAAAATAAAAAGTATACTTGACCAACTGCAGGATGGTCAACCAACTGACACCACACATACCATCAAGAGCAGCAGAAGAAAACTACACTCATACAAGCATTAAAATCAAGTCACACATTTTCAAGTTGTGTGACTGAACAGCAACAACAAAAAAGGCCAGGTGCGGTGGCTCACCCCTGTAATCCCAGCACTTTGGGAGGCCGAGGTGGGCGGATCACCTGAGGTCAGGAGTTCGAGACCAGCCTGACCGACATGGAGAAAACACATCTCTACTAAAAATACAAAACTAGCCGGGCATGGTGGTGCATGCCTGTAATGCCCAGCTACTCAGGAGACTGAGGCAGGAGAATTGCTTGAACCCGGGAGGCAGAGGTTGCGGTGAGCCGAGATCGTGCCACTGCACTCCAGCCTGGGCAACGAGAGCGAAACTCCGTCTCAAAAAAAAGAAAAAGAAAAAAAATCAAGTCCACCTAAGGCTTCAGAATTCTCTCTTATGGCCTAAAGGATCATTTAAGAACCTATCTTTTGTAAAAATAAAAACATAAAAAAACCATACTTGAGGTTCAGTAATTTCTTCTGTATTATTTCTTTTTCTTTCAAACTCAAAATAAAATTTAGTAGTCTATTTGAAATAGCACATACACTACATGATCACATTTGTATAAAGTCATTTCTCTCTCTTAATGACACCGACCAAATGCTAATGAGAATTTCTGGGAAGTGAGCTACTGAGTAATTTTTTAAAAACTTCTTCATCAGTTTTGTCTCATTTAAACTTTTTATAATAAACATGCATTGTTTATAGAAAAACAAGTCTTTTTTATTGTTTGTTTGTTTATTTATTTATTTTTGAGACAGAGTCTTGCTCTGTCGCTCAGGCTGGAGTGTAGTGGTGGGATCTCAGCTCACTGCAATCTCCACCTCCCAGGTTCAAGCAATTCTAGTGCCTCAGCCTCCTGAATAGCTGGGATTTCAGGTGCGTGCCACCATGTGTGGCTTTTCTGTACTTTCAGTAGACGGGGTTTTGCCATGTTGGCCAGGCTGGTCTTGAATTCTGGCCTCAAGTGGTCTGCCTGCCTGGCCTTTTTAAGTCACTTTTTAAAAAAACAAAATAGGCCGGGCGTGGTGGCTCACGCCTGTAACCCCAGCACTTTGGGAGGCCGAGGCGGGCAGATAACCTGAGGTCAGGAGTTCTAGACCAGCTTGGCCAATGTGGTGAAACCCCATCTCTAATAAAAATATAAATAATTAGCCAGGCTTGGTGGCATGCGCCTGTGGTCCCAGCTACTTGGGGGTGCTGAGGCAGGAGCACTGCTTGAACCTGGGAGGTGGAGGTTGCAGTGAGCCAAGACGGTGCCACTGTACTCCAGCCGGAGCGACAAGAGTGAGACTACATCTCAAATAAACAAAACAAAACAAAAAACACAATAAACAAGTTTAATTTGCACAAGGAGAAATACTCACATAATGCGTAACTAAAATGTTAACTATGGTAAACTCTCATTTAAAAAACTATTTGTTACAGAAAAAAAATTAACCATAATAGGCTTAAGCTGGATTCTATCACAGAGATTTCTTACCCAGCAATCCTACAGTGTTTCCTTTCACAACAAAGTACTCTTTTCAAACCTTCTTGACTTCCCTCACATTTCTAGTGCTTTCTAGTTCTCCCCTGCTACCTTAACCTTCCCCACTTCACAGGGAAATGCATGTCATTTCTGGAGAGCCAACCCCCTTTTTGTTGTTACCTAACTAACTTTTCCTTCTTCCCAGCAGTAAAATAGACAACATCACCCCTTCTACTATTTCTGGTTAGTCTCCCTCCCATCTCTGTGCTGGATATTAGCCCCTCCCAAGGAAGTTTGCACCATAGATTGTTGCTTCTATTTCCTCAGACCTCAATCTATTACACCTCTCTCCTGTATTTGTATCTCCTCCATTTCCACTAACACTTTCTCATCAACATTTAAGCATGCTTAAGATTCTGCATTAAATCAATCATGTCATTCACCCTGGACGTTAATTTCTCCTCTAGTTATTGCTTTCATTCCTCCAGTTCAGAGCCAAGCTTCTTGAAGGAGCTGTCTACATGTGCTCTCTCCACTTTTTCCGCCTATTTACAACTCAACCCACTATAGTCTGACATATGCCAGCACCAAGCTAACAAACTGATCTTAGAAAGGACATCAGTGATTTGCCTTAATGATTTTAAATCTAACAGCCATTCTATAGGAATCTTGAATGCCCACTCAGTAGCACCTAACTTCAGAGCACTGAAATAGTAGTCTCTTTCATTGCTTCTTTCTAACTGCATTCTCCTGATTTTCTTTTATTTTCTCTGGTCATTTCTTTTCTTGTTATAACTTCCCCATATATGTTGATGTCTTTCTTAGCTCTCTTCTCTTACCCCTCTATTACACTTTCACTAACAGAATCTCCAACTCAGAACTCCCCTGAGTGGCTCCAATATACTCTGAGGCAGTATCAAATGAAATAAACCAAAAAATATTTTTAGTTAGTTATATAAACCGTTTCTAATATAAAATCTATTCACTAAGTGAATAAACGCAAAATGTCAATGCTTACTCTAAAATTATGACTTTTCTAATTTCTGTACCTCCCTTACTGAGGTCCACTCAAAACAGATATTTACGTGGTGAGATACATTTGACTATTCCTGTGGTACTGGACATTCTGCATGCTACTTATTTATTGGTATGATTTGGCAGAAATGATGAGTTGGCTCTTTTCAATGATTATAAATGGACTGAAGATTAATCAGTTTGCTCATTCACTCAAGGCCTGTTCTTACTCCATAAAGATGTGAGTAAAAAGGATAAATCTACACTCTGTTTAGGATGCTGAATCTAACCTGAAGGACTTCAGAAACAAAAATATACTTTGGAAATTCAGGACTTCAGTGAACCACTTTCCTATATTACTACATAAACTTGGGTTGCATTCAGTTTCTAGAGTAAAGAATCCCTAGATAGACATAGAAATACATGATGTATTGAAGAGTAGAGGCTTCATTCACAGCAATACTTATAAACCATCTGTCATAGAAAACCTGGGCTATAGTTTCAATGTGTTCCGCGAAAGTTCATGTGTTGGAAACTTGATCTCCAATGCAGCAGTGTTGAGAAGTGGGATCTCTGGGAAGTGACTGGGTCATGAGGGCTCTGCCCCCACAATGGATTAAGCCATTCATGGATTTTTGGGTTATCAAGGGGGTGGGCTACTTATCACCAGAGTGGGTTTGTTATAAAAAGTTCGGCCATCTCTTATGAGCTCCACCACCATATGATGGCCTGTGCTGTGCTGCCTTGGGACTCTACAGAAAGTCCCCACTAGCAAGAAGACCCTCACCAGCTGCAGCCCGCTGAGCTTGTACTTTCCAGGCTCCATGATTGTAAGAAATAAGTTTCTTTTCTTTATAAATTACTCAGTCTCAGGTATTCAGTTACAGCAAGAGAAAACATATTAAGATACCTTGATATTCCACATAGCATGTCTAGAGTTTTCTTGGGAATAAGAGGGTATGTAATCAAAATAGACCTATCTGACTTATGCTTTTTCCATATTCTACCACTATACAATACAGAGACACAGAATTCCTTGGTATATAAACCAATGCATAAACTGCCACCCTTTCAACACATATGCAAACTACAATATGCCTTGTTAAATATAAGTTTTCCAATTGGAGAAAGCCTCCTTATATACCCAACAATGTGCTAAGTCTGTGAGAATTAAAATCAAAAGTCAAAATAAAAGGATCTTGATCTCAGTAACTGGACAATCTGGTTAGGAAACAAATTTAACCTATTAAAAAGGGAGAGCAATATTCACTAGCAAAGACTTTAAATCTAAGCATAATTAATAACAGGTAGCAGCAAGGCCTTTAAAAATAGAAAAAATTAGAATAGGTTAAGAAGAAGAAGAAAGGCATGACAAGCAACAGGAGAAAGCATCAGATAAAAAATAAAATTTGAAATGAACAAAGCTTACTGGAGAGTTGATCACAGTGAGAAATTGTGTTGAAGAGTAGAAGATGATAAAAGGTGGGCATGGAGGATAGGGAAGTCCAAATATCAGGGTAAGTCTGGAGCTCATCTTCTAGTCATAGGGAGCCAATCATGAGTCTTACATGAATGAGTAATACAGAAAGCAGCATTTTAGAAAGACTAACCAGAAGTAAAGAACCAGCTAAAAGGGAATCGCTGTTCTCTACATACGATCAGAAGAACGGCATTAGAATTCTGATGGGACACATGAAAACAGGATGAACAGTGCAAATTAACTCAAGAAAACGATGTCAACCAGATAACCACTCTTCTAAAATGCAAACTTCAGAAAAAGAGAAATAAAATTATTACACAAATATATGGTCATATCAAATCACAGCACCAAAACAAACTATATGCTACATTATTTTACATTGCTTTCCAGTTTGTCCTACGCGTTAACAGTAAATGTTTTGAGTATTTATATTCTAATCCAGAGTCCCACCACAATCATTCAGAGGTTAGGGGCCAGATTCCTAAACCAATAGAAGATCAATTATTAAATACAATGTTAGAAATCAAGACAAGAATATACTGCTAAAAAAAAAACTTTATGTTTTCAAATTTCCAATCCATTCTTCAAAACAAAGTATTACCTTATGTCAGAACTCTGGTTCCCAACTCCCTTATAGTTCTCTAGCTCATTAATATTTCAAGAGAAGGGAGAGAGCTAAACATGCATTGGCAATTCATTTAATATCTATAGTTTTATTAATAAACACTGGAAAATACAAACTCCTATTTATTTTCCATAAATGACATGACAAAAATTCTTTATTGCATTGGGGTGCGAGTGGGGATGTGAACGGGACGAGGGACGAGGTATAAAACTAGTTATTGCACACTCCAAAAGCTCTGATTTGAAAATATAGTTTAAGCCCTGGTTTACAGAAACACTTTAAAACTCTAGTCTTAATCTAGCTAAAGCTCCTTACCATCTTGGCAACAAAAGCAATTTGAGCAATTTGAGCAAAACCATAATCTAATTTAACCTAAAGCTTGTAATATGTATCTTTGCATTAAGTAAGATGTGTAGTTTTAATTACTTTCCTTAAGTTAGAAAGTAGGGCCCAGTGCAGTGGCTCACGCCTGTAATCCCAGCACTTTGGGAGGCCTAGGTGGGCAGATCACCTAAGGTCAGGAGTTCGAGACCAGCCTGGCCAACATAGTGAAACCCTGTCTTTACTAAAAATACAAAATTAGCCGGGCATGGTGGTGCCTGTAGTACCAGCTACTCAGGAGGCTGAGGCAGGAGAATTGTTTGAACCTGGGGAGGTGGAGGTTGTAGTGGGTGGAGATTGGGCCACTGCACTCCAGCCTGGGTGACAGAGTAAGACTCCGTCTCAAAAAATAAAAATAAAAAAAAGTTAAAAAGTGGGAGAAGAGCATCTCAATTTATTATATTCACTTCAAAAATCAATTTGCCTTTCTTAAAACAAGGCAAATTTTGGAATACACAAAATAACTAATAGCACATTCTGCTAACAAGATTCCACTCAAAAAGATGTAGGTTTACGTTTCTAGCCTTCAGAGTTTGAAACAAATGAAAAGAGTCGTATTAATCAGTGAATATATATTTAGATCTCTGGAGAAACAAAATATTTTGTAAATATATAAAAATGGAAATAATTGGTCTAGTAATGTAAACTGTTAATTACTTGATGCAAAAGCATAATGGAATAGTATAACTGGAATTGGTGGGTTGTACTGATTTACAATAAGATATCAATCAAAAGTAACTCTTAAGTCTTTAATATTTGTTTTCCAGGGAAAAGTCTATTAAAATAGATATAACAAAGGCCATAAAATAATCCAGTCTGTGCTAGTCTAATTGTTTAATGCTGGAATAGAAAACAGAACTACAAGTAGCCAGAAGAATGTGCTTTTGCTTTGCTTCTCTCCCCTCTCCTCTTCCTTCCTCCTCTCTCATTACAGGAAACAGCTCTAAAACTCAATCTAGACCAAGAGGAATAAAACTACCATCCCTTTGACACATTCAAAAGTTGATTAAGTTTTCAAAAAGCTTAGTAAAATAAAAGGCATATGTAGCTGACTTTGAGGGACTAGTCTAAAATTAAAGAAATTATAAATGATTCCTACAGGACTTTCACGCAAAGTAAACTTACATGGGAGCAATCAAGCAAGGCTGTAAGTAAAAATAATTCCAAACCTTGAGATAAACAGATATTTAGCATAGGAGAGAATAATAAAGTGGGTCAATTCAGTTCTGAGAAACCTTAAAAATTGTTATTTTCTTCTAATTTTAAGAGTTCTCTTAAATTAAAAATAATATACTTTAAAGCAGTGAAAAACAATATTGAATAGTAAGATGAGATAAAGAGAAAGCACGTAGAAAGACATGAAAAACATTAAAATTGGAGCTTATATTTAGTATAGTAGCAATCAAAAAAGCCTTCTGGTTATCACTGACACCACTTAACTGACAAGAAGCAACACATTACAATATTATACAGTGTAATTCTTCTAAATGTACAGAACACCAGAAAATTCTGCCTGGTATTTTACTTGTACTGTAGATAATTAGACATCCGCACCATTAAAGAATCCTTAAAGTCACTTAAAAGTTATGAATTATAACCCAGAGTCAACACCTGTACTTAATTATATTCAATTGCTCAAGGGTTTTAAATTTTTAGTTGCTGCAACATAGCAACTCTTTTCAAAGAAGTAGGCAAAAAAGAAGTATCTTAATGAGAACTAGCATTCGGCTTTCAACAAGATTTTTCACTTCTTATTCCTTATTATATAACAGATACTTTAAATGTGTAAAAGGCAAAATTAACCAATGTTATTTTGTTTTTGTTTTGAGGTGGGGTCTTGTTCTGTTGCCCAGGCTGGAGTGCAGTGGCACAATCACGACTCATTGCAGCCTTGATCTCCTGGTCTTAAGCCATCCTACTGCCTCAGCCTCCTGAGTAGGTGGAACTACGAGTGCCTGCCACTGAGTCTGGCTAATTTTTTTGTTTGTTTTCAGTAGACATGAGGTCTTGTTATCTCGCCCAGGCTGATCTTGAACTGCTGGGTGGAAGCAATCCTCCCGCCTCAGCTGCCCAAAGTGCTGGGATTACACGTGAGCTGCTGCACTCAGCCAATCAATGCTATTTTGAATTAATATTGAGATTCTGCCCTACTTCCAATATTGAGCTGACTGTTTCTGTTGTATTTACCCTTTGCAATAGCCATCTCGCTATTTTCTTAACTTACAAAACATCACTTAGCCTTCTGCCTGTAGAAATAGCCCTGTATAAACTGACCTTGCCCTCACCCTTCAAACCTTACCATCACCAACTCTCCAGAAATCCTCAGCTCAAGCCAAACTCTTGTGCTGACTCATAAAGGCCAGAAAGTTCCTCATGTTCAACTGTCACTGTATTTTTTTCCCACTGACTTTTTTGGGCCTAAAAGATAAAAAAAAATCCTTTCTTTCTATTACAAATTACATCCGTCCTTAAAATGTACAGTTTAGTTTCCCCATTTACAAGGCAATTCTAGAGGAATTCAGGTCTAAGAGATCTCTACCATACTTGAGTCATAGAGGAGTTGTAGAGACTTGTCTGGAATAAAGTACAGTAAAACTGGTGGTTACATATTTTACCTTAAATATGGCTTCTGAGAAAATCCATTTTTACACCGAAAAAAATGCAAACACAGAAATTAACAAAAACTAGAATTCTGTCTTTATTAGCAATACTGTAAGATATGGATAAAGGGGACATGTGAACCATTCATTATTCAAGAAATAAACTAAACAGCAAATCAGAGCTTAAATTTTTCTAACATTGGCACCCACAATATCCATTTTCAATCAAACTGAATTACTATCAATGCTTTCATTTCTCATCTTTCATGCTGTTACTCATCCCTCTGCTTGGAATATTCTTCCTTCTTACTTCTGCCTTTCAAAAAAACCTTACATATCTTTCATGGCCTTAATGAAATGTCACTGAAATGGTATCTCCATAGCAATATGCCTTCTCTAACCATACCCTCTATTTGAACTGCCACAATAATCTATCCATTCTATTCATCTGACCTATAGCATGTACATCTAGTGTTAGAATATGTGATTCTATGCCTAGTTACCTAAGCTTGGGGATTATGTGTATCTTAAGTGTCTTTCTAGTTCCCACAAGGGCCCTGATCAGAGCTGATGCACAACAGGCCCAAAAAAGGGGTGAGCAAAAATACAAGTGAAGACATGACTGAAGAAGGAATCAATGAATGAAAGAACGCCTCAAGCAGTTATTGGCACTTGAATGAAAAACTGTTAGAGGGAAACTACAGATTCTAGATGAAGCTAAACATGCAGCACAACAGAAAAAGATCAATTTCACAGCACACAATAAGACATTTAGTGAGCATTTCAAAGAAACTAGTGCTAAGCATATCAATCACAAAAATTACTAGAGAAGCAAAGCATAAAACATGGCAAACTACAGACTGCAATAGAAGACACAAGAAATTTCTTGTTATCTCTTCATCCCTGAATTGCTTAACTATTAGTGAAGGACAGACAATTACCTTCTGAAGACTTCTTGGGTGTTTGCATTAGATTACATATTTTAGTAAATACAAACAATTGTTTAAATGTATAAGTCAAACTAAGGAGCGGGAACACATACCTACATACTATAACTAAGACCAATGAATGTAGCAATAAAAAAAGAGAAAAAAGACAGACCGAGAGAGCAGGGATAGATCAGCATGAATCAGGATTAAGGAGGGAAGGTCAGCATAAAGACGAGGACTTTCAGGGACAGATATTTGCAAAGGGACGCAGAGAGTAAAGAAGAAATTCCAGCAGGATGGAAGTATAACAGAAGTGATTAAGGGCACATACTCTGGAATCAGAACATCTGGATTCAAATCTGGATTTCAGACTGACTGATTAGTTGTTGGATGAATTTCTCTATGCCTTAGTTTCCTCTGTAAAATGTACACAATAACAGTACCTACCTCCTAAGACTGTCCTGAAGATTTAGAGTGATAATGTATGTAAACAGCTTAGGACAGGACCTCATACAGAGCAGGCCCTCAATGTATTTAACTATTAAATATATTTATAAATGAAAAGCTAAAGACAAGGTATACCAGGGTTCCTCAACCTTGGCACTACAAACATTTTGGGACAGATAATTATTTGTCGTGAAGGGCTGACCTGTGCATTGTAGGATGTTTAATGGCACCCCCTGGCCTCTATAAACTAGATGCCAGTAACACACACGCACACAAGCACCCCAGCTATAAAGATAAAAAATCTCCAGACATTGCCAACCTACAGTTGAAATGCATTAGTACATACTGAAAGACAAAAATTGTGCTATGTAGTAACCAAAAGATATTACCATAGGTTCAAATGTGTAGATGTCAATTGATGGAAAGGCTCTAACACTGAGCTGAGGAGTTGAAATTTAATTTCTTAGATGAGAAAATTCTATGGAGATTTTCAGAGACGTATTCTTGTGATCTTGCTCATGCTGGCTTGTTTGCTCCCACACTCTTTTTTTTTTTTTTTTTTTTTTTGAGATGGAGTTTTGCTATTGTTGCCCAGGCTGGAGTGCAGTGGCGCCATCTTGGCTCACTGCAACCCCCACCTACCGTGTTCAAGCCATTCTCCTGCCTCAGCCTCCGGAGTAGCTGGGATTACAGGCGCCCACCACCACACCCAGCTGATTTTTGTATTTTTAGTAGAGACAGGGTTTCACCATGTTAGCCAGGCTGGTGTCGAACTCCTAATGTCAGATGATCCACCCACCTCAGCCCTCCAAAGTGCTGGGATTACAGGCATGAGCCACCATGCCCAGCCTGCTACCACACTCTTTAAATGATTCTGTCAATTATGTTGAAGATCTAATAGCTTGGAGAGAGACTGATGGTCACAAAGTAGTTGACTGTTGGGTAGTAGTAACAGAAATGACATCAAAATGGTCAAATCTAAAAAAAAAAAAAAATGAAAGAAAACAAAGTAGAATTTACAAAGTTTTTTGGTCTAGTGGGCAAAAAGAATGATAACAAACTGAGAAGAAATAAAATGTGGCATGTCATCCACTTGGAGGTGTATAAATAGTTAAAAAGATACATATTTTAAGAGACATATTTAACAAATGTTTACTGGATGTTAATCACAAAGAGAATGGTGCCAGGAGCTGGAAGGCAAATTTCTGAGATAAGAAAAAGCGGAACACAACTAGTTTCTGCTTTCAAAAGTGATTACAGCCTAACAGGGGAGACAGATCAGCATATAATAAAAACAAGAAAGTAAACCCAAGATGAAGGGGAACAGGGAAGGAGTCAGTATTCACACAAGTTGATGGAAAAAGACAGCCTTCAAGGTTTCAAATTTGAGCACTGGTGTTATGTAGATGCCATTTAAAAGTTATACTAAGAGTCATGTACAGGTTTTGATGAAAGTATAAACTATTTTTAATCCCATATTTAAGTGTATTTTGATGCTGTGAGAAGAGAGAAAATACTGTCTCTGCTGGAATTTGAAACTAGTGTTTAAATGCTTGGAAAATGTAAACATGGGACAGGTATTAATCAGTCAAGTAAATGCCTGGCTGTTTAAAAAAACTATTTTATAACCTTTATTCATAATGTCAATGGATTTTGACTTCTATCTAATTTTTCTAAGATATAGAAGGGGAAATACAGAAATGTAAGAGGGATGACTCACCAAGAACACCTAGTGTTATAATAGGAAGATGATGGTCTGATTAAATCCACATTACACAATAGAGATCACATTCTTGGGTCCAAATGAAAAGTACTGTGATGGTAGATGCCCTGAAACCAGATAATATACCTCACAAAATACACCATTAAATGCATTAACACACAGTTCTAAAATGAGAGTAGAAACATGTAAGAAAGGATAAGACCTAGGGAGATGAAGGACAAGCAAGCAACCACATCCTTTGGGAGCAGACTGTGTAAGGGAGGCCACTGCATCCTCAATACTTTTCTGATGTAACCCACCTCAACTGGCCCAACAAAATGGGTATGATCTCCCTGAGATCTTTCTAGAATTTCTACTGCAATCTTATAACGTCCTAGTCAGTCTACAAGATCTAGTCCTCACCAGTTAAGCTAGAGCTATCACCACCAGGTGGTGCCAAATCAAAGCCAGTATCAGAATGGATTTGGATGGGCCAGGACCTTGTGACACCCCTTATTCCCCTGTGGTCAGCTGTGCAGGTTCATCCTGTCATTTCATTCACCTAGAAATACAGTGATCGCATATTTTATGCAAATGAAACTTTTGGACCCACACAGCACGTTATGGTACAGAAGGGGTGGTTATTGTATTATATTCTTGGTGGGCGACAGACAGTACAACCGGGCTGTTTTAAGACTAGTTACAAATGAATACATTAAAAAAATTTCTTTCCTGCTTTATGCCATATTTCATTAATATAAACTCAGATACAGTCTTGAAAGTAATCAGAAAATCATAAATAAGAATGCAGTGTACAAAAAGTTCTGACATCATCAAGACTTTAGTTAAATATGAATACATTTAATGCATCAAGGCTCTTACTAAGGAGCCATGATCTTTACGACATGATTTTCCACAAAAGTGAAAGGATATTATCAACGATCCTCCTGCAAAAAGTTCAGTGATCCCATTAGCTCTTTTGTCTACAGAACTATTTTGTCTTTAGAGCAAAAAACAGGGGGACTATTGTAATAAAGTAGAGAAATCTCTCCACCTATTTACCCCTCCAATGTAAAATCAGAACGAAAAAACTATGAATATTTATCTAAAGTCCTCTAAGAATCACCTCAAATTTTACAGTAAAAGACTTCATGGCAAACTTATTCCCCTCCATTTCCATCTAATCCCCCCACCATGGGATTTTAGCACTGCTAATATGTTATACCTGTCAAGATCTGATGACTGTATGTTATGTATTCATCTGAACAGAACCACTACACTTAGTTACAGGCTATCATCAACCAATTCATTCTCTTGCTAAAATCAAGTCATCCAATTACTCCTTGACTAATCAAGGCTGTTTTGGCTTTTTCTTTTTTCAAAAGGTACTCAACAGCATAAACAGTTCACTTACAAGAAATGGAAAGGGGCTAATCAGCAGAATTATTGTTTTGCTGCTACAATTTGCAGTATTTAAATTTAGTTGCTGATTGGACTGAAAGTTTTATGATATAGCATATGAAACTAGTTTAATACAACTGTGAAGCTGTGTAGCTGTATTGTCTTGCCACGGCTATATTGGTCTACTTTGTAGGATAAATAAGTGACTACTTTCTTTAAAATAAGGATATTTTAAAATAATAAGTTTTAGTGTACTTTCCCACATACACTGATTTTATAAACAAAGGTACACAGCTATTCATTCCCCAGTATTGTTTTTAAAGTTAGCACCTGCATGCAACACCATACACATGTGTGTGTTACATGTGTACAAAAAAACCCACAACTGCTTTGGTTTTTCACCTACATTTATTTTGGATTTTAAGCAATAATAAACTAAGGACAGAATTATTATTTAAGAAAATAAGACTTATCTAAATGTTTAAAATAAATACATGTTACTGCTTATATAATAAATAAAATGATTAACATTACTTCTAAAATGGGGAGTATTACAATTATAAGAATAATTCTGGGTGCCATAAACTATAAAGTTATTATCCATCAGTATTGCTATTCCTATCTATATAGAATGTCTGAGAGAACATCCAACAAAATGACTAATGTTGGAACACCAGACTAAAGCCTTGAGTTATATTTATGTTATGTATATATTTATTACAAAGTATTTAAAGAAAATGTTTTTATATGTCACACCTTGATTAAAATCTTCAGAAAATTTTGAAAAGAGATGAGATCCAGTCTTGAGACTGAGATTTATTTACTTCATTAAATACAGCGATATATTAACCAAACTAACAAGTTTTACTTCATAGGAGAAAATAAATTTATAAAATGCTATTATATTAAAATAATTTAACTTTTTAAAACCTTAAACCATAAATAAATTCTTTGTACCTTGAAATAACAATATACATTAATCATCAACAAGAACATACATCTTAGAAAATACAACATACATATAGGATTAAAACAATTTCTGAATTTTTTATACATATGCACATAGAAGTAACATTTCATAGAAGTAATCCTCCATAGGCTTATATTTTGCATACTAAAACCTATCTGGAAATGAAATTCTATACAAAATTGTAAAACTATACTTCCACTAAATGTCTGATACGGTTATTCAACGTATAAACATTTCAGCAAAGTCTTGATTTCAGAAATGCATTAACAAGGCATATAAATGCCAGTACATTTCAAACAAATTATTCTCAATTTTTTAAAAATTGCTACCTTTTAATAATATTTTTGAAAAGAGATTCAACCTGGTTATGCTGAGATTCAAAAAAGCAAATAAATTAAAAACCAAAATAAATGAACAGAGAACTAATATTCTTTAAAGATGAATACTTCCCAGAGTAGGCACACCTGCCAATATATTAAAAATAAGTAAAATCAACTACAAAAGTAATAAATCAAATGCCATGGTAGACTTGACTTCTCGAGACAGCATTTTCAAGCCGTCTTTGTGGCTTTGTTTGGCGCCATGGTCCTTTAAGTTTTGTCTTCATAAAGCCCTAACTAGTTGTAATCATTTGCAGCCTAATTGTGGACATTTATCTGCTTTTCTTATGCATAGAACATAGCTATTAAAGCTGAATGGTGATGGTGTGAAGTATAGGTTAAATTGGGTGAAATTAAAGCAAATTACTCCGGGATGTGGAAATCTGAAAATAGAAACCACCAATGATTTGCAACCCTCTTGATGATCAGCTTCACAGAACCCTAAACGACAAGAAAACTTACATATTTTAAAGTTAACTAGGTTTTTAAAAATAATATGTATAAATGTATTTTTAACTACAGCACCTCTTGGTAATGGTGGAAAGATTATTTGTTTAACTCAGCTGCAACGTTAAAAAGATCATGAGTTTCTATTTTAAATAGTGCAGTTCATTTTTTAAATAAGATTTCCATTTCTTCATATAAATTTTTACCTATAAGAATGCATCCAACTATATCACATACATAGTTAATACAATGCCATATAATATTTTGCTAGCTAAGTTTTAATCCTGAATAAAAGTATAATATGAGACAACATAAGTTATAGTAACAAAAGCAAACTAACAATGTAAACATAAATGTATTATATGCCTATAACTTATATAGGCCTACTTATACACATGCTGTATATAAATATGCATGTGACTAGCATAAAGAAAAATACACAGTGGCCTAGAAATAAATGTAAAACAGTAAAATATAAGAACTTTATTTTCATTTATCTAAAATCTTATTGCTTGACTAACAGATTTGGATAAAGACAATAAAAACATATATTGACCAGGAGCAGTGGTTCACGCCTATAATTAGCCAGGTATGGCAGCACACACCTGTGGTCCTGGCTACTTGGGAAACTGAGATGGGAGGACTGCTTTAGCCCAAGTGTTCGAGGCTGCAGTGAGCTATGATGGCACCACTGCACTCCAGCCTGGGTGACAGACTAAGACTTTGTCTCTTTAAAAAAAAAAAAATACACACACACACACACACACACACACACACACACATAGATAGATAGACACACATACATACATTTGCACCCTGCATATTCTCTTAGGTAACCAAACAAAGTAGTCGAAAAAATGTACTAGACCACATCTAGATAAGCTTACACTGAAGTAAGAAAAAATTTCTAGCAATGAAACTGATATCCTTCCTCCTTTTATTGACTGCTATGTAAAAAGCGTATTTTAGGTATCTAGGGAGAGATGAAATTAAATGACATGGCCCATACTGTCAAGGAGTTTACAGTCTAGTAGGAGAAATAAGACAAGAATATGTAACTAAACCATGGCATCAAAAAATGATCCTACATGTAGAAGGCTCCTAATCTCAAAGGCAGGAAAAGTGAGCAAAAGGGGGACAGACGAAGTTCACAGAGGATATGGACCTTAAAGGACAAAACTTAGCTAGAGGTACAGCAAAGGCAAGGGTAGAATACATAAGGTACATTCAGGACACAGAGTAAATATGTCTGAGGAAAATTTAGAACAGAAAAGAAAGCACTGGAAAACATACTAATGTTTAACAATGAAGAGTATTGAGTACCAGGCAGAAAATGGAATTCCCAGGAAGGCACGAATGTTTTACAAGAGGCAGTAACATAATCAAATGCAATGACCCTCAAGCAATGATACATCTAATTTCTCAAAGGCCATATCACAACTAAAGGTGATATGCCAAATATGTGGTCCTATGGAATAACAGCAATACTCATGGACCTTAAGTCCTTGTCCCATACCAGGCTACGAAGGTATTATTGCTTCCTATTTAATAACTGTATGCTTATGTGTTATCTTTTTGTTTTATAGTTAGTATAGTACAAAATTGAATATTCACTGCAATGTTCAGCTACTGGTAGATTTTTATTTGTGTGTATTTTCAAACCATGGCAATAATATATACGTCTAAATAATACTATGATGCTGATAAAACTTAAGTTAGAAATTTAACAAAATACACATAATTATTTTCTGTTTTGTGAAAAATAGACTTTTAACCCCTCTATGGTATAGGAAACCAAGTACTGGGGCAGATCACTAAGTGATATAATTGTGGTTAAGAATCACTGCTCCTATAATCCCAGCCCTTTGGGAGGCCGAGGCGGGCGGATCGCTTGAGTACAGGAGTTTGAGACCAGCCTGGGCAATGTGGCGAAACTCCTGTCTCTGCAAAAAATACAAAAATTAACTGGGTGTGGTGGAACGTGTATGTAGTCCCAGCTACTCAGGAGGCTGAGGTGGAGAATTGATTGAGCCTGAGAGATGGAGGGTCCAGTGAGCCTTGATAGTGCCACTGCACTCCAGCCTGGGCAACAGAGTGAGACTGTCTCAAACAAAGAAAAGAACCACTGCTCTTAAAGGAAGAAACTGGAAGAAGACTGTAACAGTTATTCTCAAAAATCTTCTAGTGTGCAGATGATTCCCAGCCCACTCCTTGATTCTGGATTACTAGGGAGAAGCCTGAGATTCTGCATTTTAAAGCAAACATATGTCTGAGACAAGTGATTACAGGGTCACACTGATCAGAAAAAGAGAGCCCCAGCAACAATTTATTAGTAAGGGCAGTTAAATGGTAGTGAAAATAGAATAAGGCAAAAAAAGAAGAGAAGTACTTCCAGAAAAGACTGATAGAACTTGATGACAGATAATAGCAATAATATAAGGCAAATCAATTTTATTAATTAAAAATAAATATGCCGGGTGTGGTGGCTCACGCCTGTAATCCCAGAACTTTGGGAGGCCAAGGCAGGCGGATCACCTGAGGTCAGGAGTTAGAGACCAGCCTGGCCAACATGGTGAAACCCCCGTCTCTACTAAAACTACGAAAATTAGCCGGGCATGGTGGCAGGCACCTATAAATCCCAGCTACTCGGGAGGCTGAGGCAGGAGAATTGCTTGAACCCGGGAGGCAGAGGTTGCAATGAGCTGAGATCGCGCCATTGCACTCCAGCCTGGGGGAGAAGAACGAGACCTTGTCTCAAAAATAAAATAAATAAATAAATATATATATATATATATATATATATATATATATATATATATATATATATATATATATATATATAAATAAATGTTTGGGTGCCTGCTTAGAAAGCTGATCCAAAAAAAAAGTTTTTTCATTTAGAGTACAAAACTACTCTATTTAACCACATAGACTGTTTAAAAAGAAACAGAAATGAAACTTTTAAAACGTGGTGGTACAATTTGGCTGTGTCCCCAACCAAATCTCATCTTGAATTGTAGTACCCACAATCCTCATGTGTGGTGGGAGGGACCTGGTGGGAGGTAATTGAATCATGGGAGTGGTTACCCCCATTCTGTTCTTGTGATAGTGAGTTCACACAAGATGTGATGGTTTTATAAGGGGCTTTTCCCTTTACTCATTCTGTCTCCTGCCGCCCTGTGAAGAGGTGCCTTCCACCATGCTTGTAAGTCTCCTGAGGCCTCCTCAGCCTCATGCAGAACTGTAAGTCAATTAAACCTATTTTCTTTATAAATTACCCAGTCTCGGGTATTTTCTTCATAGCAGCATGAGAATAGACTAATACACACAGCATTTAATAAAGTTTCAATTTATCCTATGCTCTGACTTTCTCCCATATGGACAAGGTTAGAAGGTTAGAGTTGGCACTACGCAATACCATTCTGCATAGTGCAGAATGGATACCATTCTGTTTTATGTTTGGTGATCCCACGAAACGGTTTAATTTTCACAAACAATAAGCTTCACCACATATTTAATGAAGAGGAAACATTTTTATTACAATTCTGGTAATGAAATTTCATCAGAATTATACTGCTCTAACTCTCATAATAGTGTGATGTTTTAAACCAGTATTATGAAGTATTACCAAGATGAGATAAATGTATTTTCCAGTCAAGAATCAAAGTAAATAGGTTCTTAAAATTTTTTAAGTGTAAAATTTCACAGGTATTTTCTCCCCTCTCCAAATTCACAGAATTATCAATAACAATTTCAAGTTTATCACTGATAGGTAGAGATTTGTTGTTCAGGCATTTATCTATACTCTCTTCTAGCTCCCCAACTACTGCTTAGGAATTTACGTAACTTCAGGTAAGATTATTTTATCTGCTCACAGTGACTACTGAAGGATTGATTGGGCATGTGACTTAAGCTGGTCCAATGGAGGAAATTTCAAAATTTATTGCAAGACTTGAACAAAGTCAGTCTTTTTCCTCTGACAGATGTGAACTAAAAACCACATGGCCAGTGAAATGCAGGAAGCCATGTTACAACCATGAGAGGAATCAGCCAAAAGATGAGTAAAGCTGGCCAAAAGGTAGAGTAGAGACAGAAAGAAATTAAGACCTTAGGGAAAGTTCTGAGTCAGTGCACTGATCATGTATTGCATGAAACCATGTATCTTATCTTCTCAGTAACTGCAAGCCAATATATAGACTATCTTTATTTTCTAAGCCATTTTGAACTGGAATTCTACTGTAACTGAAAGTATTACAACTCATATATTACGCTTCCTACCTAAATAAAACATTGTAATAATGAGTATCTACTGTCCCATATTTAAAATGGGATACAGCAAAAACAAGGGTGGAATGCATAAGGTATATTCAGAAAACAAATATGTTTAAGGAAAATACATCCAACTGACATAAGAGGTGAAAGAAAGGGTATGTTCAGGCCAACAACAGTCCTGTCTTCAGAAATTGTGAGTTCTGCCATTAACTTGCCCAAGGTCATATAGCTAACAACAATCTTTTTCAAAGGTTTCTTCGTTTCCAAACACTGATAATATGTACTGAAAAACACTGTGAAGCGAAATTTCTGACACAAAGATGGTATAGAACGAATGTTGATCCTATTCCTGCCTTTGCTGGAGAGTCCACGCCAAAGAAATTCTTGTTCCCTTTCATCTAACCAAAGTCTTTCCAGTTAAAGTTTTCTTCCTTAAATGTAAAATAATTTGTTTAAATAATGTTTAAGCGCTTATCATATGCAAGAGTATCACCTATCAAAGGACCGGATTAGCTTATCAAATTAAATAATTTCAGTAACAGAGACAAAAAGAAACACACTTTATAAGAATGAGAATGCCGTTCCTCTATTCATTGTCTAGCAAATGATTTACCATTCATAACTCAAATGTCAGGCTGGGCGCAGTGGCTCACGCCTGTAATCCCAACACTCTGAGAGGCTGAGGCAGGCTGATCACTTGAGGTCAGGAGTTTGAGACCAGTCTGGGCAACATGGTGAAACCCCATCTCCACCAAAAAATACAAAAAAAGTAGCCGGACATGGTGGCATGTGCCTGTAGTCCCCAGCTACTTGGGAGGCTGAGGCAGGAGAATCGCTTGAACCCGGGAGGCAGAGGTCACATGAGCAGAGATCGTGCCACTGCACTCCAGCCTGGGCAACAGAGTGAGACTCCATTAAAAAAAAAAAAAAAACCTCAAATGTCACCTCCTATTCCTTATTAGAAGATAGTATCTGATAAATTTGTAACTAATTGATGAACATTTAATTTTTGACCTAATTCAGAACATTTCAATTCACATACTAAAAATAAGCCAAAGTATTTACAAGTGGGACCAAAATTTACCACCTGCAGAGGAAGAAAATATGATAGAGCCTCTGAGAAGCAGTTTCTTAGACAGATTGAGTTTCTTAGACAGAACAGATACCAGATTTGAGCAAGCAGATACAAGAAGACAAGGAAGCTCTCCTTAGAAACCCAACTGTGGGAGTCGCAGTACTGGTTCACATACTTGGGAAACATGATCTGAACATGAACTCTCAACAGCAATAACAACAAAGATTGGCAGCCAATTCAAATTCCTTCTGTGTATCACAGATCTAGGTAAATGTTTACTTGAATGGGTCTCTGATTTCCTAGAAGAAAGTCATTTCTATTACTACTATAGCACGGTGCAATAGTGCTTTTTGTCATTTTGCTAAGTATTGCCATTTATATGATTTTAAATATCTACAAAATTCTGTTCTGTAATAACACAGATGTCTACAAAATTTATCTAAGTGAAAATCATAACTATTATCTTTAAAGTATGGGGGCACAAAAATGCAGCAGATTGTATTTCTTGTACTGTTGATTTACCCAACTACTACTCCACCTTATGGCCCCAAATTACCCTGCTAAAAGATTGTATTAACTTTTTTAGGGTAATTTAATAAGGGGCCTTCTTTATGGGAAAAATATTTTTAAGTTCCCCTTCTTTCTCCTATAACCCCCGTTTAGTTAAGAATTCACTTAATGTCTACTTTTGTAATAGTGTCATAATAATTGTTATGCAAGATAAAGATTAACTAACATTAAAAGGAGTCAACAATTATGTCTTAAAGAAATTTTGAGTAAACTGAAAAAGAAGAGAGGGAAAGAACCCACAAGTCAACACAACATTTAGCCTATCCTCAGCAAAAAAAAAAAAGTGCCCCATTAGACATCAGTAAATATAAACTAGTTACAATTTAGTCACTATCATACTGGACTGAATCTTTTACATCTTCTTCAATTCATCCTCAAAGACTACATGAGAGATAGGACTCTGGCACAAGTAAATTCAGAATTTATAGAAATACAATCCTTAGCCCAGGCGCAGTGGCTCACGCCTGTAATCCCAACACTTTGGGAGGCCAAGGTGGGTGGATCACTTGAGGTCAGGAGTTCAAGACCAGGCTGACCAACATGGTGAAACCCTGTCTCTACTAAAAATGCAAAAATTAGCTGGGCATGGTGGTGCATGCCTGTAATCCCAGCTACTTGGGAGGCTGAGGAAGCAGAATCGCTTGAACCTGTGAGGCGGAGGTTGCAGTGAGCAGAAATTGCACCATTGCACTCCAGCCTGGGCAACAAGAGCAAAACTTCATCCAAAATATACATATATAATCCTTATAATTATCAGTTATTCACTTGATAAAATGTATTACATAGTAATTAAGGTATGATGGTAATAAATTAATACTAAAGATTAAATAGTATGTAATAATCAATATAAGAATATGATTATACTTGGTAGTAAGTTAAAATTAACTATAAATCACAAATATTTTTTCCTTAAGGTTCAAAACCCACTGTCTTAGTATGCATGCTATCACTATAGGAAGTAAAGTACTGGTACATAAAACTGATAAGAAGTACTACTGACTTATTACGTAGCCTAAAATTCCAACCAAGGGCTTTCATTTTCAATAATGACATAGTAAGATCTCACTGGAAAACTACCACTGACCACCCTGGTGGGGAAAAACACTATAAAACACAGACAAGATACAAAAAGCAGCTACCTAAGCTGCACTGGAGAGCAAAGGAAATCAGAAAGACTGCTTAGGAGTACATGCTCAAAGAAGGGGAATTATATGAAGGAAATTCATCTTTTCAAAGCTTTTAGCTCGCAACCAAGTGTTGCCAACACAGGGCAAGCTACAGATAAATCATGGTCTTTCTGTCCTAGAGAAGCAGAAAACCAAAGCTAGGGAAACTGTAGCGATGGAAGAATGCAAAGGGAAGAGAAAGAGACAGGAAAAATAGAAGAAATCCCCACCTCTTTGATTGATACCAGAACCATGCATAGGGAGGGGAGACTCAAAGCAGACCAGCTAATGACAAACTGAAGTGAGACTGGAGCTGCCATCTAAGAAATCGAGGTTGCAGTTCAAGTCCAACTGTCTACTAATACAAAACCAAAAAAAAACAAAACAAACCCGCTACACATATGAGAGAAAAACTGGAACCTAGAATCGCCATAATGTAACATTCATAATGTCCAGGATACAATCTAAAATTACCTAAAAAAATCAAGCATAATGCTATCAGAAAACAAGTGAGATTGAATTTGAGATTATCCAGATGCTGAAAGTAGCTGAAAAAAATTTTAAGTGTCTATTAAAACTACCTTCAATAAATAAAAGTAAATTATGCACACAATGAACTGGGAGACAGGCACTCCCAGCAGAGAAATAGAAATGGTGGGAGAGAAGGAAGAAGAGAAGAAGAAAGGAGGGCAGGGAGGAAGGGAGACAAATTTAGAACTGATAAACACAATATGTATATCTATCTATCTATCTATCTATCTATCTATCTATCTATCTATCTATCTAGATATATGGACATAACAGCCAAATTAAGATGACTGAGGAAAAGAATATGTCAAAGATAAATCAACAGAAACTAATCTGAACACACAGAAGACAGAATAAAAACGAACAGAGCCTCAGGGACCTACTAGATAATATAAAATGGTTCAACATGCATATAATTTTTCTTCTGTTTTGAGACGGAGTCTCGCCCTGTTGCCCAGGCTGGAGTGCAATGGCGCAATCTCAGCTCACTGCAACCTCAGCCTCCCAGGTTCAAGCGATTCTCCCAAGTAGCTGGGATTACAGGCACACACCACCACGCCCAGCTAATTTTTTGTATCTTTAGTAGAGATGGGGTTTCGCCATGTTGGCCAGGCTGGTCTCGAACTCCTGACCTCATGATCTGCCTGCCTTGGCCTCCCAAAGTGCTGGGATTGTAGGCATGAGCCACTGCACCCAGCCCCAACATGCATATAATTAAAGTCCTAAAAGGAGAGGGGAAAGAGATGGGGAGAAAAAAAAACTTGAAGCATTAATGAATAAAAATTTACACAATTTATTGAAAGCAATTTACAAATTGAAGTGCAATGCTAAGACATACAATAGCAGAGGTATGACACAAATGTCGAAGGTAAAGAGCAATTCTTGAAAGAAGCAAAAAAAGTTTCAATTAATCATTGACTTTTTCATTAGAAATTAAGGACAGAAGAGAGTGCAACAATATTTTTAAAGTGCAGAAAAAAAATTAAACAGACCTGTCAACCAAGAATTTTATACCCAGCAAAAATATTCTTAAAGAATGAATCTTGTAATAAAAACATTTTCAGATGAAAGAAAACTAAGAGAATTTATTGCCAACAGCCCTGCGCTATAATTAATGCTATAGAACGGTCTTCAAAGTTAAAAGAAATGATAAGTAGAACCTCAGATTCTCAGAAAGAAAAGAAAAGCATCAAAAATGGCAGATATCTTAGTAAGTGCAAAAGGCTTTTTGTTTTTTCTTTTCATGGTTTCCTCATAATACAAATATATGTTTAAACAAAAGTCATTTATGATGTACTAAATGCCACTGAAATGTACATTTTTAAATGGTTAATTTTAGGTAAGGTAAATTTTATCTCAATTTTTTAAATTGTGGGATTTACAAAATGTGTAGAGTATTACATACAACTATGGCATAAAAGACAGGGAGGGAATATGGGATTATATACTTTCAAGTTTTCTATATTTTACATGAAGTGATACAATATAAACTGTAAACTAACACGGTGAAACCCCGTCACTACTAAAAATACATAAAATTAGCCGGGCATGGTGGCGGGCGCCTGTAGTCCCAGCTACTCCAGAGGCTGAGGCAGGAGAATGGCGTGAACCCGGGAGGCGGAACTTGCAGTGAGCCGAGATCGCGCCACTGCACTCCAGCCTGGGCTACAGAGCGAGACTCCGTCTCAAAAAGAAAGAAAAAAAATACAAAAACAACAACAACAACAAAATAAAAATAAAGGGCACCTGTAAACAAACTGAAAAGTTAAGGAGGTATATTGTAATCACTAGAGCAATCACTTAAAAAAAGTGAAATCTAGTTGGAATCCAAGATGAATATTAAAATAAAATCCTAACAGATATTCAAATAATCAAAAAAATGTAGAGAGACAGAGGAACAAACCACAGAAGCAACAAATAAAACACAAATAAAAAGATACAAATCCAAACCTATCAAGTCCATTAGACAATGAAATAAGCACTTTAAAAGGTGTTGACTATCAGAATTGATAATAAAATAGAACACAATCATATGTTCTGTATAAGAGATACATTTTAATATAAAGACATGGCAAGCCCAGTGGCTCACACTAGTAATCCCAACACTTTTGGGAGGCTGAGACAGAAGGACTGCTTGAGGCCAGGAGTTCAAGATCAGCCGAGGCAACATAGCAAGATCCCATTTCTACAAAAACTTAAAACTAAAAAATTAGCCAGGCATGGTGACATGAGCCTGTAGTCCCACTTACTCAAGAGGCTGAAGTGGGAGGATTGCCTGAGCCCAGAAGTTTGAGGCTGCAGTGAACCGTGATTGTGGCACTGCACCCTAGCCTGTGTAACAGCATAAGACTGTCTCCAAGCAAACAAACAAACACGGATAGGTTGAAAGTAAATGGATGGAAAACAGTAAGTATAAGACGGCTATAGTAGCTGTATTAATATCAGATTAAATTGATTTCAAAATAAAAAGTACTGCATATTTTTAAATGAGAAAAAAGTAAATTCATCCAAAAGGCATAATATTCACATAAGGCATAATATACACATAATGTGTATGTGCCTAATAACAGCTTCAAATTACAGGGAGCCAAAATCAACAGAAGTAAAGATGAAATGAACAATTCTACAATCAGAACTGGAGATCTTAACGCCCTTCTCTTAACTAAATTAATGGAACTAGACAAAAAAATCAGTAAAAATGCAGAAGATATGAACAATGCTATTAATCATCTTGAACGAAATATTTATAGAACATTACATTCAATAATAACAAAACATATTCTTTTCAAGAGCATGTAGTTCATTTGGCCCAGACTACGCATAGCCAAAAGACAAGTTTCAAATTTAAAAGGACTGAAATCACACAGAGGATGATCCCTATCTATTAAAAAAAATTAAATTAGAAATCAATAACAGTAAGAATGTTAGAAAAGCTCCAAATACTTGGAAATACACAAACGTTTTAAGAATCAACAGATCAAAGAAGTCACAAGAGAAATAAGGAAATATTTTAAATTAAGGGATAATAAAAATATAACCTATCAACGTATGTGGGATGCAGCTAAAGCAGTGCTTAGAGAGAAGTTTGTAACTTTAAATAATCATATTAGAAAACAACCTCCAAAATTAATAATCTGAGTTCTCACCCTAAGAAATTAGAGAAAGAAAAAGTAAATTAAAACCAAACAGGCGTTTGATGGGCAGCAGGAGAGGAGAGTGGACTCCAGAGAGCCCTGAGCAGCCCCCAACCACTACTGCCTTCGGGGCCTCACACGGGAGGAGCCGCAGCTGGTGCAGCAGGCCCACTCACCACCTCCGCAACCACTGGGGAGACCCAGCAGACGCCGCGCCCCCGCCCTCAGCGCTGCCAACAGCCAGCCCACCACCACGGGCAGCGGCACAGGGAGCGGGGCCCCGGCGGTCTCCAGCTGGGACAACATAGACCAGCAGGGACAAGAAGGTCATCACTATGAAAGTTTTGGGAACAGTAAAACGGTTCAATGTAAGAAAAGGATATGGATTCATCAACAGGAATGACACCAAGTGAGATGTATTTGTACACCAGACTGCCATAAAGAATAACCCCAAGAAGTACCTTGGCAGTGGAGGAGCTGGAGAGATGTGGCGTTTGATGTTGAAGGAGAAAAGAATGTGGAGGCAGCCAGTACTGCAGGCCGTGGTGGAGTTCCAGTTCAAGGCAGTAAATATGCAGCCAACTGTACCTTTATAAGCTCCTATCTACCTCCTAGGGGTCCTCCAGGCAACTGCCAGCAGAATTACCGTAATAGTGAGAGTGGCGAAAAGAGTGCTCCCGAAGGCCAGGCCCAACACGCAGGGCCTACGGAAGGAAAAGTTCCCACCTTCCTATATGTGGGCAAGGAAAAGTTCCCACCTTCCTACCTCCTGACAAGGAAAAGTTCCCACCTTCCTACATGCGGAGACCCTATATGCGGGGAGAAGTGCTGGAGGGTACCCACAACCAGTGGGCAAGGGAACAAGGCAGACCAGTGGGGCGGAGTAGGTATCGGGGATACAGACCATGATTCTGCAGGGACCCTCTGCCAAAGGTAGTCTAGAGAGGACAGAAATGAAGAGGATAGGGAAAAATCAAGGAGATGATATCCAAGGTCAGCAGCCACCTCAGCAACAGTGCCACTACAACTTCAAGTACCAGTGCAGACACCTGAAAACTCTTGATATGGTTTGCCTGTTTTGTCTCCTCCAAATCTCATGTTGAAATGTAATCCCCAGTGTTGGAGGTGGGGTCTGGTGGGACATGCTTGGGTCATGGTGGCAGATCCCTCATGAAAGACTTGGTGCTGTCCTCACCATAAGGAGTTCTTGCTCTGAGTTCAGTGCGATCTGGTTGTTTAAAAGAGAGTGGCACTCTCTCTAGCTCCATCTCACTTGTTCCCTCTCTAGCCATGTGATATGCCGCCTCCCCCTTTGCCTTCTGCCATGACTCTAAGCTCCTGGGGCCTCACCAGAAGCAGATGCTGGTGGCATGCTTCCTGTACAACCTGCAGAACCATGAGCCAAAATAAACTTATTTTGTTTATAAATTACCCAGCTTCAGGTGTTTCTTTATAGCAATGCAAAAATGGACTAACACAACTCTAAACCACAAGACAGCAAAGTGGCGAAAAACATCAGATCCACCAGCAGATAAGGCTCTCAAGACTCTCTACCATCATCCTGTTTAGTCATCTAATAAGAAGAAATGATTATAAAATTCCAGCAATAAGAAATTAACAAAATATTGGAGCTGAAGACCTTAAGTACTTGCTTTCGTCGAATGGTCAGATAACTAGAACTATTTTCATTACCTATACGGCGTGAGGTTTTTATTACTTTTACCTAAATATGTTTCTTTCTGTTAATAACAAACATATTTTTAAGCCTTTTTTTCTCAATCTGACTTTAAAGAAAGGTTTTAAAATTGTTTTGTATTTGTTCAAGTTAAGATTTTTAAGAACTTCATTTTAAATCTGTGATAAAAGTTTACAACTTGATTTTTTTTATAAGTCAAAAAACTGCAAGCACCTGTTAAAAAAGGTCTTAAATAATTTGAAAATACCCAAATAGGTAGAAAGAAGGAAATAATAAAAGATATGAGAACAAACTGGTGAAATAGGAAATGAACAAAGAAAAAAAAATCAGTGAAACCCATAGTCCTTTAAAAAGCTCAATAAAATTGATAAGCCTCTAGATAGACTAATCAAAAAGAAAGACAAAAATTACACTTCATTCTAACATCACAAAGGAAAGAGGAGACATTATAGGTCCTAAGTCATTAAACATATGAGAATATTAATAACTTTATGCCCAATAAATTTGACAGCTTAAATGAAGTAATCAAAATGCTAGAAAGACAAAAATTACCAAAACTGAACTAAGAAGAAATAGAAAACACGAATAGTCCTACATCAGTTCAAGAAATTGAATCTGAAATAAAAACCTTCCCATACATACACACACACACACACACACAAAAAAAAAAAAAAAAACAAAAAAAAACTCCACGCCTAGATGGCTTTACTGGTAAATTTTATCAAGCATTTAGGGGAGAAATAACATGAATCCTCCATAAACTCTTCGAGGAAATCAAAGATAAAATACTTTACAAGTGATTTTACAAGGTTCATATTACCCTGCTATCAAATTCAGACAAAAATTACAAGAAAAGAAAACCACAGAAACAATAATCCCTCATTAATACAGATGTAAAAATCCTTTAAAATATTTTTAGCAAATCAAATTCAAAAGCACACAGGTTTATTTATAATGATGGAGTGAGTTTATCTTGGGAATAACAAAAGCTTACCAATCAAAAATCAGTCTATGTAATTTACCATATTAATAGAATAAAAAAGAAAAACCAGATCATTCCAATAGATAAAAGAAATTCATTTGACAAAATTCAACACCTATTCAGGATAAAAACTCTCAGCAAACTAGGAATAACGAGTAACTACTTCAACCTGATTAAGGGCTTCTAAAAATAACCTATAATATCACTTATAATAGCAGCAAAATATTAAACACCTAGGGATAAAATTAACAAAATATGTGTAAGATTTGTATTCTGTAACCTATAAAATACTGTTGAGAAGAGACCTAAATAAATTTAAAAATTTAATCGCCTTCATGGATTGGTAGTCTCCACTGACAGTTTCAATACAAAGTCAAAAATCAATGAAATTCCAGCAAGCTTTTTTTTCAGGTTCTTAAATTTATACAGAAATGCAAAGGAACTAGAAAAGCTAAAGCAATCTTAAAAAATAGGAAAAGGGTCAGAAGACCTACACTATCTAATTTTAAGACTTACTCTAAAGCTATAATAATCAAGACAGTATGGTATTGCCAAAACAAATAGATCAATGGAACAGAATAGAGTGTGTAAACTGACCTGCACTTGACCTCCTAAACAGTTATTTGATTTTTGACACGGTGCCAGGTTAATTCAGTGAGAGAAAAGATATTCAACAAATAATTCTGGAAAAACTATGCATCTGTATGGAAGAAAATTAACACCTTACCTCATGCCATATGCAAAATTAACTAGAAAGATGACAGGCCCGAATGTAAGAGCTAAAGTTATTTAAAATTAAACTTTAACAGAAGAAAATATCTGTAACACAGCGCTGGGTAAAGATTTCTGAACCGGACACAAAAAACACAAATATCAGAGAAAATCAACTGATAAAATGAACATCCTAATGAAAAATTTTGTTCTTTTAAAGACAGAATTAAAAAAAAAAAAAAGCCAGCCACAGACTAGGAGAAAATTTCATATAACATATACTTGACAAAGAACTTGTATCCAGTTCTTTGATACTGGATCAAAATAAGACAAACAATCCAATTAAAAATGGACAAAAGATTTAGACAGATACTTCACCAAAGAAGATATACAGTTTGGAAGTAAGCAAATGAAAAGATGGTCATCACTAATAGGCTGGAAAATAGAAATGAAAGCCACAATATTCTCTATAATGCCTAAACTAGAAACAATTGACAATATCAAGTGCTAGAAAGGATGTGGAGGAACTGGAACTCATATTGCTGGTGTGAAATCAAAATGTTACAGTCACTTTGGAAAACAGTATGGCAGTATTTTATAAAGCTAAACATACAGTTACCATACACTTCAGCTATCCCATTTCTAGATATTTACCCAAAAGAAATAGAAACATATATCCATACAAACATTTCTACACAAATAATTCGTAACAATAAAAACTGGAAACAATTCAAATGTCCACCAGTTAATGAATGGATAAGCAAAGTGATAATATTAAAGGCTACATAGTAATAAGAAAGTATTAACGTACACAATATGAATGAATATCAAAAACATTATGCTAGATCTAAAAAAAGTCAAACAGAAAAAACTACATACTATATGATACTACATGAAATTCTAAATATGATAAAAATGCAACAATAGAAAGCAGATCAGTGAGTACTTAAGCATAAGGGTTAGGGGAGAGGATCAACTGCAAAAGGACACAAATAAACATTTTAGGATGATTGAAACATTGTGTATTTTGACTGTGACAGTAGATCTACGACTGTGTACAATAAACTTCATCAAACTGTACACTAAGAATATATGATTTTTGTTACATGTATATTTTACCTTAATGATGTCTGGAGAAGACACCATACAGACAAACTTGATATACATACATTATCTTTGATAAGGTTTCATACTTGATTACTAAAGTTCAACATTATAGGCTGATATGAAATTAACTAAGATTGAATTTTACCTATTCTGAAATCTTAATATGGGAGAATAGCAGTTTATAATAATTTGCTGTTAAATGAATTTCAAAAATTATTTTGGCCTCAGGTTTCTGGAAATAAAAACAAAAGTTGATTTAATAAAAACAAAAATTGGAAAAAATATCAATTTAAAATACATGTCACAAATATGCATAATAAAAAACAATTTGAGGGGAACCAATTTGCTATAGGGGATTAATTACTTTCTACTTCTAATGATTTGGGGATTTTCCTAGACTCATTCTCAATGACCAGGGGCTTTTCTAAACTCCTTCTCAGGTGCCCCTGTGCTTATGCAAGAAGGCTCTTGAAATAGTACTCTAGGATATTAAAAGCTAAACATTTCACCGTGGTAAGGTCTTACACCTAGAGAGACAAAGAGCTCTTTACCACAAAAAAGTGGGAGGTATGGGGATGAATTAAAATAAAGTAAACAATGCATGTTTCTGCGAAAACTTTATTTTCAAAAAGAACCATTTTATTTTAGATGCTAAACTCATCAATTCAAAATTTTGTTTTCAAAAGATTCCCTCAATAAAGCAATTCATTTCTGTGCTATTTAGTTTGCTGTATTTTTACAAGCACCAGACTGAGCAAACCATGATTGAGAGAAGCCATCTTATGCACATTGCTGTTGTCCCACATCATTCAGAACAAACCTTTTTAGATCGTTAACTACCACAGGAGTGCTGATTACACAGGCACCAGCAATTTCCTAACCAATGACCACCTGAACAATGATGTGTTCAGCTTCTCAGACCCTGCAGCCTTTCAAAGGTGAATCATTTCACAGTTTGGAACTAGATCTCCATAGCAACTTCCCTTTGAGGGTTTTAGAATCACCATCCAGTAATTCTATGATCATCAAGCTCAACCATTCCCAATGGTTCTTTTCACAGCAGATGGAAAAGGAAGCCTTGAAATTTTACAGTCTATTTCAAGCAATTCATCTGGCAGCCTATTAGAATTCAAAATATTTCGACCTTCAATCACAAAGCATGTTATCTGAAGCTGTGGTGATCTCAAGTCAAGACAAGCAGACGTTTTAGTCTAATCATCCATGATGAGAAGAGACTGACAAAAACTCTTAATTCAACCACCATCAAAATGCTTATTTTAACTGCATGAAAGTCTTTCAACAGGCAATGAAAACATACCATGTGCCATTTTATCACAACCTTCTGTTCAAGGAAAATATGAATTCTGAATATTGACATGCATCTCTGCACTTCTTAGACTGCTTGGAACAAATATGTTTCTTAAAAGTTAGCATAAATCCAATTTAAGAGCACTATTATTCACTGCTGCAAAAGCTAGAAACCTTAAGCAAATAGCAATGGACTTTTGACAAAGTCAGCTAGCTTAATAAAATCAAGTACATTTGGATTTCTTAAATTTTTTTCAGACTTTTGACAAAGTCAGCCAGCTTAATAAAATCAAGTACATCTGGATTTCTTAAAGTTTTTCCAGACTTTTGACAAAGTCAGCCAGCTTAATAAAATCAAATACATTTGGATTTCTTAAATTTTTTTCAGATACAACCTAAAATGATTAATCAGAAAATTAATATCAACTCCTCAGGAAATTAATATCAATTAAAAGGAAAGAATAGATCTCAAAAAAAACTTAATTTACAAAAAGTTGTTGACTTTTCCCCAATTCAACTAATTCTCTAGTGATTTCAAAATATACTAGCCCTATTTTTAAAACACTGAATTAAACCACATAAAAAAGCTGTACATTTCAAATTGCTACTGAACAACAGTTAATTTATCCAAACTCTTTTTATACCTAAAGTATAAATGCTTTTAGGTATAAAAAGATATAAATAAATGCTATGTAATAATTTCATTAATGTTCAGTATTTATTATAGGTATTAGCCAAATACAGGCATTTATTTCAGTATTTATTATAGATGTTTGATGGCATAAGCCTACGCAAAAGTTAAAAACACCTATTTTCTATTTATTAATTAAATCAAAACACAGCTCTCTGGGAAGAACTAAACTAATTTTACAAATAAACTAAATCAAAATAAACACTGGTAAAACAAGACAATTTTAGTTTATAAATCCACTCCTTCCACAAAGGAACACTATAAATAATCACCAGTTCCAAAGCCTCAGTGATTTGGAAAAGTAAGATCAAAATTTAATTAATTCATGAGCAAGAAAAAATATAGTAAACTTACTCTACTTCCTTAAGACAAACATACACTTGATATGATCAAATTGTTACTACTTTCTGCATGCGTTATGTCAGCTAACTTAAACTGTCTTTATATGGGCCTATGAACAAAGTACATTTCAAATCAAATATAGTATATATGCTATTTTCTATTCAACATCTTTAACCTAAGCTTTATACTTGGTTTAAATGTCTAATCACAAAATGAGAAGATAGCAAAATTATTTTATGTTGTAAAACTAGTTCCAAAAAACTTGTACAAACTTGATAAATTCCTGACTTCTGAAACTAAGTACAAATTTGCAAAGAAATAAGCAATTTATCAATTATTTCAGTAAGAGCAAAATTAAAACTTTGCTCCTAAACAGCATTACCTTTTATTTGCAAAAGTTCTACTTCCACCAGAAAGGAATGAGTACAGCAAGAAAGATGCCATATCTTATCCATTTCTTACTTGCCTTATTTTGTATTGGTTTAGTTTATGATCTGAGCTATATAACTTATATTAAAACTATATTAGATATTTTAAAGAGCAAATGCGAGTAGAGATTTTAACCAAAGATAATGCTTAAGTTAAAAGGATAATGAATGAGCAGAAAATTATATGCATATGCATGCACGTATCTTTTAACTGTAAGTAGTTTATTTTACACATATCCAGGATAAAACATAACCATGAAAAAAAAAACGTGCTAACGAAATTCCTAAAGTACAATTTTATGGTTACAGTTTGATAAACTGTGAGAAATGACTGGCTATTAGTACAACACATCAAAGTTTAAATAAATAGAAACGTCTCAAAATAGTTATGCATGAGTACTCAGTATAATACACTGACTGCAGTTTATTAAATATTCAAAACTTCATGTCCATGTGCTAGATATTTAAATATATATATATTTGTTAGACTAAAGGCTTATTTATGGGAACCTTATATTAACTTAGGAATACTTCTTTAAAAAACTCTTCAATATCAACAGTTACGGAACCTGTAAATATTTTTGCTGAATTATCTGAAAAACAGAAAAAGACTCATGTGGGATAAACATATAAAGGTTTTTAGACATATCTACTGGATAACAATATTATAATAAATTTCCTAAAACTACATGCTCCTTACAAAGCAGATTTACTAACATTTACATACTGACTAAATGGTTCCACTGGGCTTTGAACTTCTTAAGGACAGATATATTATGAATTTTACTAACCCAGACCTTAGGGTTTTACATCTGACACTGTAAGCACTTAATAAATGTTTGCTATCAATTATTAGACAGTAGTGAAGCTATAATTGAAACACTCCTTGTTTCTGAAACATTCTGGACTGGCAACTTTTCACTTGCAAGTCACATAATGAGAACCAGAAATAAAAACAGATTAATTTAATGAAAAAGCATAATAAAATAGAAAAATATCTTGATAGAGCTTTGTTTTTTATTTTTATCTTCTCCTTTCCTCACAAATTTATAAGAAATCTGTTTCTAGGTTATAAGCTAACATAAAACTACTGAGTCTAACAGACTAGGGCAACCTTAAGTTTATTTTATAACATATAATCAAGCAACATACTGTAATTGAAGCACACTGAAAACAGCAGTTACTAGCTAATTAACATTAGCAGAAACATTTTTCTCAATGAAGGTTAAAAAAATCTAAAGATTCCATAATAAAATATAGTTTGTTATAAATATTATATTTATGTGGAAAACTATTAATATTTTACCTTCAGTCTAATACTGAGACAATTATAAAACAAATGTATCCATTTCTATTCTTATCAATAGCTTTATCTGCATTTTGACTACAAAATGCTGGGATCAGATAAGTAAAACCAGACTACTCAGCTTTAAGTACAGCACCAGAAATCCAGCCATATAATCTGAGTACAAATTTGTTGTATGTGTGTTAGTGCTCTATTTCTTCCATCAATATAGCAAAAGTGTAGTTACCACAGTACTTGACCTCTGACTGGGGCAGCAATCTAAAGGAAAGCACCTCTAGCAAATGTGTTATTCCTCAGATAAGACAGCAGGATGCAGTATAATGGCTAAAACCTTTTTTCCTAAAGACAGTCATGCTGCTTCAATGACATTCTAAGTATCCACTGTCCTGTGGACACAAAACTTGAGGAGAACCCTTTTCTACTGGCCTACTTGGCCCTAACCGAATATTCAAGTATGAAAATACAAGTTACACTGGAAATACTGCATATATCATTTGGTCCTGGCAGTCTGGGAAAAGATAGAAATCAAAAGTAGTAAAATAATCTGTTTTAAGAAGTGTCCATGATAAATGCCATAGTTTTAAAAACAAACAAATCCTAACTGCATGTTTTGGTTAAGGAGGTTGCTTACTAGCAAGTAATAAAAGCCCTTAAAAATGCACACACCCTTTGACTCAGTACTTTTAGGAAATTATCATTTTAGTACCTTTAGGTATTTATCTCAAAGGAAAACAAATCAGGCAAGAGGACAATGGCACATACAAGGAATGTACAAGGAGGCTGGTAGCATCATTCACTCACTCATTCAACAAATATTGAAGAGCACCCACATACCTATGGTCTTGGATCTTACATTCTAGTATGGCAAAACAAATAATAAAAAAAAACATGATTTGCTAATACTTAATCAGAGAAAACTATGGAAAAGGAGCATCTGGCAACATAGAGGTCACTGGTGACATAAACAAGGGGGCATTTTAAAATGCTCTTTTGGGAGCAAAACTTCACTGGAGTAGGTTTTTAAAAGGAATCGAATGTGAAGAAGTGGAGATGACCTCTTTTTAGCTTTGTTGTGAAGGCAAACAAAGAAATGAAACAGTAGCTGGGGAGAGGAGGGAATGAGGGCCAAGGGACTCTGTTGTTTTGGTGTTTTTCTTTTATGTTCATTTTTTAAAGATGGGTGATATTACTGCATGTTTGCAAGCTCAGGGGAACCAACTAGAGAGAAAATGTGAAATACGTAAGAGAGGGCATGACAGCAGGATCATAGTCCTATATGACAGAGGGAAGCAGATTTCACGTGCAAGTGGATGGGGTTGGCCTGGGCAGGGACAACTCACTTGTTATGATCAGAGGGAAAGGTAGAGTATATGATGCAAGTGGATGTAGGGTGACAGAACTCAGAAAGAGCAGGCCTCACTCAGCTTCACGGCACTCGCATTTGCTGTTGCCTCTGTTTACAAATATTTACGTGATTTTTTCCCTTACCTCCTTCAGTTATTTACTCAACTGTCAACTTCAGTGAGTCTCTCTCCTTGCCTTTAAAACCGCAAACTCCACCCCAACACTTACTATACTATGCTCCTTCCCTACTTTTTCTCCTCAGTATTTATTGCCATCTAATATACAACATACTTTACTTTTGAAACACCTTGTTTATTGTCTATCTCCCTCCTTTAGTATATAAGCACTTTGAGGGCACAGATTTTTGTTTCATTTGTTCACTATCATATCCTTGAGTGAATAAATTGTGGGAAAAGAGGGAGGTAATTCTTTTCTGACTGCTTCTGTTTTCTCAATAAAATAAGGAACTGAAAGAGGGAAGAAAGAGTTAAATATCTGAAGAACTAAAAATCTGAAATGACCTAAATATCCATCATTTAAGTAAACTGTAGTATGTTCCTATGACAGAATGCTACATAACCATTAAAAAGAGTAAGAGTGATCTACATGTATTATATGCAATTTAATTTCTTTTTAAAAATCTCTTTCGGCCGGGCGCGGTGGCTCACGCCTGTAATCCCAGCACTTTGGGAGGCCGAGGTGGGCGGAACACCTGAGGTCGGGAGTTCGAGATCAGCCTGACCAACATGAAGAACCCCTGTCTCTACTAAAAATACAAAAAATTAGCCAGGCGTGGTGGCACATGCCTGTAATTCCACTTACTCAGGAGGCTGAGGCAGAAGAATCGCTTGAACCCAGGAGGTGTAGGTTGTGGTGAGCCGAGATCGTGCCATTGCAACTCCAGCCTGGGCAACAAGAGCAAAACTCCGTCTCAAAAAAATAAAAATAAAAATAAAAATGAAATTAAAAAATCTCTTTCAATTTCTGTGAGGTATAAATGGGTGTTGAGGAAGGTGCACACATATGACAGCAATGGGCCACTTCACCTACAATATAAATGTATTACTGTGGTCATAATTAGACAGAAAATAATTTTTGTTTCTCCCAAATAAAAAAACCCACTGTTTTCATCCCTCAATTCACCATCTTTTCAACAACCTTCCCAAGCAGGTCTCTCCAGGTTAGGGCTATGTCTTTTTATCCTGTTTTTATAAGATGCCATGCAATATGCAAGATGTTTTGAGTTGATTTGATGGTGACAACAAAACTGCCAGTTACTCCATCCCCAATTACCTCATCTAATTGCGGGAGTTAAACTAAAAGTTTTCCATAAATGCCAGAATCTCACTGTTTGTCAAAGAATTTAGTTCACTGAAAAGTAGGTGTGTACTGCCTCAGCTAATAAAATGTTAAAGACAGTTTCACCCTTAAGTGGCTCCATACGATCTCTAAAAACGTCATTTTTTTTTAAAAGTCCAGTATCACATCTTTAATAAAATGGGACACTACTTCAGCAAAAAAAATGGTCAATCTTGGCTAATGTAACTACTGTATCTGCACATAACTTACTCCCAGAAAAAAAACACAACAAGTGCAGTTCTGAGGGAGGGATTAGTTACAATGTGTTGGCATACCAAGACCCGAAGTTAGCAGAAAGTAGGCCACTGGCATCAGAATGAGCTGGCCAATAGCAAAGTCAGACTTGATAATCCAGCCACCAGCTGTGCAATGATGAGCCAAACTAAGACCAGAAGAGTTCAGTCTCTCATGGGTTTCTTCAGATATTTCAGGAAGTATGCACTAGGGCAGAGAAAACAGGTGGAAAACAGAGTGCACAAGATCCAGGTTGGAGAAGAGAGAACCCTAGCTGGAAAATCTGAATTCACCACTTAGCATTAGTGGCCTTTATCTCTCCATGCTATCTGTTCAGTACTCCCAAATAGCTACCTTATCCCTCTATCAAATACCATACTCCTCTGATAACTAGATTGTTCTCATTGATATAGAACTAGTGGTACTGTGATGTGTAAGAGGACAAAAGCAAGCAAACAACGATTTTGATCTGGAGGCTACCACTGCATGTTGAAAGTGTTAAGCAAGTCAAAATCTAAGTCTCAGTTTCCTCATTTGTAAAATGTAGATAATAGTAGTACTTTCCTCTTAGGATTAAATGAGATGATTCATGTAGAAGGCCTTGCAGAGTCCTGACCTCAAGTGGAACTCAATAAACGGTACTCAATATCTCTTCTCATTAATACTACCAGAAATGTTCAGGTCTCTAGAGACAGGAATTTAGCTTTGATTTCCAAATCAAGATGACCAATAGAAAAACTGGGGCTTTGGGGTTGAGACACAGGTATATTCTTTGATTTCATTTCTTCCTCTCCTGTTCTCAACCAGCAGGCTATACTCCATGCAACTAAAGAAGGAAATTCCAGCCTGATTCCATGCTGGCTGCTCAGCTGTCCATAGGATGAAAATTTTTTATAAAAATCCAAGTATCCAAAGTTGGTCTGGTGAACATGAAAACTAACATCTATCAAATTAAATTTAGCATTTAAGAATGAGTGTTTCCTCCTCTGCTTTAAGAGTGGCCCAAGTTTATCCTGCTTCCAAAAGAAAAATATGGAAAGGAAAGAACAGTAACTTTGCAGGGGAGAAACCTGACCAACATTACCTTAACCAAGCAAGGAAGATCACTAATGGCATGTAGTTATCATGTACTCCAGGATATGATGTGAAGTATACTTTACCTCTATAATATTCTTTCCAAAAACCCATAACTCCAGTTTAATGATGAGGAAGATACCAGATGAGCCCAATATAAGGAATAGACTATAAAATATCTGAACAGTGAAGTATGTCAAGGTTATGAAAAATAAAGAAAGACTAAGAAACTATCAGGAGAACAGAGAAGACTAAGGAAACATGACAAGTAAATGTAATGTGATATCCTGGATTGAATCCTGGACCGGAAAAATGACATTAGTGAAACTGGTGAAATCTAAATGAAGTCTAGAGTTTAGTTAACAGCAATATACCAATGTTGGTTCCTTAGTTTTGACAAATGTACCATAGTAAAATGATAACATAAGAGGGAATTGAAACTGAGTGAGGGGTATATGAGAACTCGATGTATCATCTGTGAAACTTTTCTGTAAATCTGACACTGTTCCAAAATAAAACATTTATTTCAACAAAATGGGCAAGATATTCAGACTATGTTAAACAAGAAAAACAAGTTTAAGCATCATATGCATAATATGTTCTCAAGTTGTTTGAAAAATAGCTTTTTAAAAAAATTATAAAGTAATATGTATGTATATAATATGTGAAGAAAATGCAGGTATATTAGCTAGGATAAATAAGGCTATGGAAGTGAAAGGGATTCCAAAATACTATGGCTTAACAAACAGAAAAGTTTATTTCTCTTTAATTTCAATCTTAACATAAATGGTCCAGCTTGGTGGAGCAGATCCCCGTTCCTTGTAGTCATTCACAGATTCAGGTACTTTCCAAGTCATGGCTCTGCTCTTCACTAAGGCACTGTCATCATCTGAATGGTCTGAGTACTTCCAATTAAAACAGCATAAAAGGAAAAGAGCAACTACTAGGAAAGGCACAATGTCTTGAGATCCAGTCCAAAAAGTATCACATACCAATTCCTTTCACAACCCATTGCAGAAAACACAAACACATATTCTCAAGGTTAACTGGGAAGTGTAGTAAAAAATAAAATAAAATAAAATGTAGTAAAGATGAGCAGCCATGTGCCAAGAAGAAGGAGAGCATGGATTATGGTTGACAACTAGTAATCACCACTAAAATAGGTAGGCAAAAGAAGAAATCATCTAGAAATCTATAAATAACCACTGTCAACATTCGAATACTTATTTTTTGAGACTTTTTTCCTATGAGCATTTTTTTTTATATTCAACCTATATATTAGTCACCAAGGAAGAAAGAATATTTTTCACATTTTCCTTAGGTAATCTCTACAGTACTTAATAAAGAATTACACAAACAAACTGATCTTTTAAAGTATTTTTCAGGCCGGGCACGGTGGCTCACACCTGTAATCCCAGCACATTGGGAGGCTGAAGTGAGTGGATCATCTGAGGTCAGGAGTTCAAGACCAGCCTGGCCAACATGGCAAAACCTCGTTTCTACTAAAAATACAAAAATTAGCCAGGTGTGGTAGCACGTGCCTGTAGTCCTAGCTACTTGGGAGGCTGAGACAGGAGAATCACTACCTCCAGGAGGTAGAGGTTGCAGTGAACCAAGATCATGCCATTGCACTCCAGCCTAGATGACAAAGCAAGACTCCAACTCAAATAAATAAATAAATAAAGTATTTTTCACATATAAACAGCAATCAGAAAACATTACATAAGAGAATAACACATTTACAATACCAACAAAAAAGAGACAAGACATCTAGAAATAAACTTTACAAGAAATGTACAAAACCAACATGAGAGACCTTTAACACATTTCTAAATGCTCTAATAGTAGACTTCAACAAGTAAAAGAACATATCATGTTTTTGAATGGGAAGATTCAAAACATGTAAGTAAGTTAACATATAAATTTATTGTCTTCACAATAATAATTCCAACAAGATTTCTGCTTGTAGGATGAAGAAAGCCGATTCTTAAGTTTGTATGGAAAAAATAAACAAGTAAGACCAAACACTCTGAATATGAAAGGAAATAAGCTTGACAAGATAAGGTTGAACTCCATAATCCAAAAATCTGAAACCCAAAATGCTCCAATATCCAAAACTTTATGAGCTCCAACATGACACCACAGGTGGAAAATTTCAAACCTGACTTCTGTGACAGCTCACAGTCAAAATGCAAGTGCACAGCACACAGTTTATTCAGCATCCCCAAGAGAAAAAAAGACCCTCTTAGTCCTCTTGAGCTGGCATATCTTTTCCGATCATACCCAGATTCCCCCAGGCAAGCACATCCACAAAGGGTAGTAAAATGGCACGTGTTGTACAGGCTGGACACACAGGTTCCCTGCTGATGTTCCTACCTAAGGCCAAGACCTATGTGCATTACTCGCTATTTTTTTTTGCTTATTCTGTGCTCTGCGGTGTAAAAAATTATCGAAAATGTTGGAAAAAAGGCCTGCAGATGCCCCTATAGGTAACAGTGATAAGAAAAAAAGGAAATGTTTATGTTTATCTATAGCACAGAAAGACCTGGAGAAACTGGACAGCGGGGTAAGTGTGAAACGTCCTGCAGGAGAGCATGATGTTGAAATGTCCACCATATAAGACATGAAGAAACAAGGGCAAACTGTTGACACTCCATACCAAAAGTGATGAACAGAAGTTAATGAAAAACAGAAAAATACCAAATAAAGCTAAAAATGAAGATCTCCATCATGTATTGAAAAAGTGGATCCATCAGTATCACAGTGAACACATGCCATTTAATAATATGATCAAAAAACAAACAAAGATTCACATGAAGAACTAAAAATTAAAGGGAATTGTGAATATTCAACAGTTTGGTTGCAGAAATTTAAGACACTCTATTCAATTTTTAAAATTTTGTGGTAATAAAGCATCTGCTGATCACAAATCAATGAAAAATACACTGACACATTTGCCAAGGTCATCACTGATGAAAATGTGATGCCAGAACAAGTCTATATTGCTCGAGAAAAATCACTACTGTTTTGGTGTTATTGCCCCAGAAAGATACTGACTACAGGTAATAAGACAGTTCCTAAGGAATTAAGGATGCCAACAACAGAATACCTGTGCTAGGATGTGCTAATACAGCAGGCACATTTGCTGTGAGAGCCAAAAGCTTGCATCCTTGCTATTTTCAAGGAGTGAACTTCTTACCAGTCCATTATGCTAACAAAAAGGCATGGATCACCACAGACACCATTTCTAATTGGTTTCACAAACATTTTGTACCAGCAGCTCATGCTCACTGTAGGGAAGCTGGATTGGATGACACTGCAAGATTTTGTTATTCCTTGGAAATTGTTTTGCTCATCCTCCAGCTGAAATTCTCATCAAAAGTAATATTTATGCCATGTACTTTCCTCCGATGTGACTTCTTTAACTAAGTCATGTGATCAGGGTATCCTTAGATCAACGAAGAGTAAATAGAAAAACACTTTCTTGAATAGCATGCTAGTAGCAGTGAACAGAGGCAGGGGTATGGAAGGTTTTCAAAAGGAGTTTAGCATGAAGGAAGCCACATATGTTGTTGCCAATGTTTGGAACACAGTAACTAAAGACACAACCTCTGTCCTGTGACTATGCTGAGTGATGATGAATAAGGTGGTGACTGTGAAGGATTCTGTATGTCCAGTGAGAAAAAATGATGCCTGACCTCCTTATATATGCAAAATATATACCTTCAGAGTCTGTCAGCAAGCTGGAATGAGGCTCCAGTTGTTCATTCATTGACCAGTGGTTAAACGGCCAAAATGGTTCTGAATCAAGGTGATCATGATAAAACCAATGATGGAGAGGACATTAATTCTGCAGAAGTACATATGGACCACATGGTGAAAATGTGTGATGGGCTTATAGAAGGACTAGAACAACATGCGTTCATAACAGAACAAGGAATCATGTCAGTTTACAAAATCAGAGAGGTTGTTAAGACACAAAAATGTTGTTAATGAGGCAGATGATCTGGAGCAAACATTTTAAAAAGCCATCGAGCAGAATGTCTCCTCACGCCTACAAAACCCACTTTCTGGTCCTTCAATTGCCTCTAATGTTTCTTTCCTCCTAAAAATAATAATAATAATAATAATAATAAATACCGTATACAGTAAACTTTTTGTCAAAATACAGCATCATAGATGGAGACTGAAAGCCTGCTGCTGTTGGATGTTGTTGTCTAACAGCTGACACGGGTATTCTGGTGATGCTACTGTGCTGCTGAGTTACCCTGAACACATTATCTTTTCACATATTAATGACATGTTATATTTACTGTTAAGTACTTAGATGTAAATAAGTGTAAGAAAATGGCTGCTTATCAGCAGCATTTAAATTCAGAGTCAGGAAGGATGGTGATGCAAAACAACTACAGATTGTCCCCATGGGTGGCTGAGATACTGACACCTTTGCTTTCTGATGGTTTGACATATACAAACTTTTGTTTCATGCACAAAATTATTAAAAAATATTGTATAAAATTACTTTCAGCTATGTGTATAAGGTGTATATGAAACATAAATAAATTTCATGTTTAGACTTGGGTCCCATACCCAAGATATCTCATTATGTATATGCAAATGTTCCAAAATCTGAGAAAATCCAAAATCCAAAACACTTCTGGCCCCAAGCACTTCAGATAAGAGATATTCACCTTATATTACTATATCTTAATTATATAAAAGGTATGGCATTAAGAAAAATACATTGGCATATTGATGAAACAGAATAGGAAGATCTGAAATGGCCTAAATACTCATAGGAATCTAGCATATGATAAAAGCAGCTCAAATCCATAAATATAGACTTTTTAATACACATTATTGAATAACCAAAGAGCTGTTTTCAAAAAACATAAAAAGGTAGGATCTAGGTCTCAGTGCATATAAACTGTAAGTGGATTAGAGATTTACAAAGAAAAAAATGAAATAATAAAAGTACTGAAAGAAAATATAAGTGAATTATTTTGTAACCATGGGTTGAGGAAAACCTTTCTGATAACTCAGTTCAACTAAAAAAAACTTTGAATAGCACAAGACATCACAAAGAAAGTTAAAGCACAAATGACAAACATGGAAAAAAATCTGCAACTCATACAACATAGGGCTGATATCTATAAAGAAGTCTTAGGTGTTAAGAAATTTAAAAATGAAAGAAAGAACAATACAATAAGGGACAAGCAACTTGAACAGGCAATCCATTAAAAAAATAGCTCTTAAATATGAAGAGATGTTCGGTCTCACTCACTCATAATGAGAAAAGCAAAGTAAAACTATACCAACATATCAATTCTCTCCTAGCAAAGTGCAAAAATATGCAGGTTTAACACATTCTGCTGGCAAGGTCATAGAGAAATAGGCATTCGCATACACTGTTGGTAGCAGTACAAAATGGTATAACTCCTAAATGGGAAACTTGAATATCTACCATAATTACTGATGCATTTTCTCTTTGACCCAACAATCCCATTTTTGTAAATCTATCTCCCATTCAGTATACAAGTAGGAAATGACATATATACTGAATTATGAATTTGGCCTTGTGGCATTATAATATAATCAGAGCAAAAAAAAAAAAAACAAAACACACACACACACAACTGGAAAACACTCAAGTACCCACCAATACTGAATGATCTGAATAAACAACATTACAGCCATAAAATGAAATAAAATACATCTGAGAAGAAAAATGAAAACAATAACTGTGCGCTGCTGTGGAGGCCCTCCAGGAGACTGTAAATGCCAAAAGTAAGGTACTTCAGTGTACCTGGTAGGCTATTTTTCATTTAAGAAAGAGGAAAAAAATATTGAATTGCATTTGTTTATATTTGTATAAAGAAATTACAGAAAAATAAATAAGGAACTAGTAAAAATAAATGCTGTGGGCGTGAGGAGGGACATGGTAGATACAGACAAGGAGTAAACCTTCTCGGCATATACCTTTATGTCTGTTTTACTTTTGTGCCACATACGTAATTACCTGCTCAAAACAATTACTTTTGGATTTAAATTTGTTTAGTATTTCTCAGTAATTAATATTTGACATATATCTCATTTAATTATGACTATAAACCGAATATGAAAATCATCTCCATTTCACATATGAGGAAACTGAGACTCACGAAGCTTAAATATTACTCCTTGCACAAAACTAGTAAGTTACAAAGCTGGGACTAAAATACACAGACCTATTTCCAAATATTGGGTTATTTGAAATATATGAAATATATTCTATATTTATATATTTTATAGAATTTCATAGAATGAAATTCTATGTTGGATACATGAAATTCTATCTTCAAAGGCAGTAAGTACTGCTTCAAATGATTTACCTGAAAGTTACAAGCACAATATTAAGAACAGATTTTGATCAACCACACATTAGTAATTATCAAAGAGTAATGTGGAAGCATTCCTATTTTAGTACATTCAGCAGTATTCCAAAGGACAAAAATATACCTTAGCTCTAGGAATAATGGGTGTGTACCTAATAAAAGGTTATGTTTCACAAATCAATTCTGAAAACTTCTTACATTAGAAAGTAACTCTGGGTCGAATGGCTTGAACCCGGGAGGCAGAGCTTGCAGTGAGCCGAGATTGCGCCACTGTACTCCAGCCTGGGCAACAGAGCAAGACTTCGTCTCAAAAAAAAAAAAAAAAAAAAAAAAAGGAAAGTAACTCTGGGTCAAAGGATATAAAATAAAATTTCACTTAGACAAGAAGAATCCATTCAAGAGCTCTATTGTACATAACAGTGAGTATAGTTAATACTATATTTGTATCCTTGAAAATTGCTAAGAGTAGATTTCAAGTGTTCCCCCAACCAAAAAAATGACAAGTATGTGAGGTAATGTATAAACACCTTGATTTAGCCAATCCACAACGTATACATATACGAAAACATCATGTTGTACAACATAAATATACAATTTATACTTAAAAATATATGTATATACAGAAAAATAATTCCTGATCCAATGTCATTTAGGAAACTGACAAGACAGAACAGCTTCAGCGTATGTTTACAATAACACTTTCTCCTTTATTTCAGAAAAGTCTTCCTAAAGTCTAAAACACAATGTCCCCTTTTATCTTTACCCACATTCACCCAAGTCAATTTTTTCCCCTAAAATGAAAATTCTTTTCTTTTTTTTTTTCTTTTGTGAAGACAGGGTCCTGGCTCTGGCTCTGTCGCTCAGGCTGGAGTGCAGAGGTGAAATCACAGCTCACTGCAGCCTTGAACTACTGGGCTGAAGTGATCTTCCCGCCTCAGCCCACTGAGTAGCTGGGACTAGAGGCACCCGTCACCATACTCAGCTAATTTATTATTTTTTAAAATTTGTGTAGATATGGGGTCTCACTGTGTTGCCCAGGCTGGTCTCAAACTCCTGACCTCAAGCAATCCTCTCAGCTTGGCCTCCAACAGTGTTGGGATTATAGGCATGAGCCACCACATCCAACCAAAAATTGTTTCTTGAAAAAAAAATTACCAGTAAACTGGTGGATCACACCGTGCATTATCTAAATTCTTCCTCATGCACATGTTTATGGCTGTCTAAATTCTAGATGCACTCTAAGTCCAGGAATTCTCTCGATCACAGCACATATGTACAAACAAATGAAACTAGCCGGCAGCAGTTTGCCAATCCCTGATTTAGAATATTCACATTTAATATTATTGATATGACTGGACTAAAATCTACCATCTTGCTAGCAATTTTCTACTTACTCCAGCTATTCTTTCTTTCTTCCTCTTTCTCTGACTTGTGCTAAGGATTTTTTTATAATTCCATTTTGTCTCTTCTATAGATTTATTATTATGACTCTATTTCAAAACTTTCAGTAGTTGTCCAAAGGTTTACAATATACATTTTTCATTAATCTGAGTCCACCTTTAAGTGATATTATAAGTATCCCTTATCCAAAATGCCTGAGACCAGAAGTGTTTCAGATTTTGGATTTATTTTGGATTTTGGAATATGTGCATTATACTTATCAGTTAAGCATCCATAATCTAAAAATCCAAAATCTAAAATGCTCCTACAAGCATTTCCTTTGAGCGTCATGTCAGCCCTCAAAAAGTTTCAGATTTTGAAGCATTTTAATTTTGAATTTTTAGATTAGAGATACTCAGCCTACACACCACTTCATATTTGGTACGTGCTCATTCATTCATTCATATTTCACACGACAACTGCAAAGTTGAGTAGTTTCAAAAACCATATGACCCTCAAAGCCTATAATATTTATTATCTAATCTTTATATAAAAAGTTTGCTGATTCTTATTTCAGAAGAATTAGCAATAAAATATCAATTTTTTCCTTCATTTATTCCATCTGCCTGAAGAACTTGCTTTAACATTTCTTGTAGAGTAGGTCTACTGGCAATGAATTCCTAGTCTTTGTTTGCCTATGAAAGACTATTTCTGTTTCATTTCTGAAAAACATTCTCATTAGGCACAGATTTCTGGGCTGAGTTTTTTTCTTTCAGCACTTCCAAAGTGTCATTCCACTGTCTCCTAGCTTCCATAGTTTCGAAAAGTCAGCCATCACACAAACTTCCTATCATTGTTCTCTATACATAATGTTACCTTTTTCTCCGGGTGCCTTAGAGATTTTCTTTTTACCTTTCATTTTAAGCAGCTTGAATACTACATGTCCACGTGTGTAAGCGTATGTGTGTGGTATTTATCCTGCTTGTTATTCTCTGAGCTTTTTGGACCTATGGTTTTGTGTCTCATTAATTTTGGAAAATTCTTGGTCATTATTTCTTAAAATATTTCTTTCTTTCTTTTTTTTTTTTTTTGAGATGGGGGTCTCGCTCTGTTGCCCAGGCTGGAGTGCAGTGGCACAATCTCAGCTCACTGCAACTTCCGCCCTCTGGATTCAAGCGATTCTCGTGCCTCAGCTTCCCGAGTAGCTGGGATTATAGGCATGCACCACCATGCCCAGCTAATTTCTGTATTTTTAGCAGAGATGAGGTTTCACCATGTTGACCAGGCTGGTCTTAAACTCCTGACCTCAGGTGATCCACCCACCTCGGCCTCCCAAAGGGCTGGGATTACAGGCGTGAGCCACTGCACCCAGCTGTCTAAGGCTAGTTTCAATGATTGCTTTATCCCTGAGTGCTTTTTTTTCTTGCTTTTTAAATACATCTCATGGTTTTTTGTTGTTGTTGTTATTGGAAGCTGATCCTCTTGTGTGCAACAGTAGAAACTAAATAGTTTTTATGCCTAAAATGGGGCAAGACTTTTCTTCTCCTAGGCCTTTACTGAAGGGTTAGAGTTTATCTAGTTAGGCACTGGGCTGGGTTTGAAGTTAGCACTATTGTTACCCTGAGTATACTACAGGCTTTAAACTCCTGTAGAAATATCTTGTTTTTATGATGGGCCTTAATTTATCAGAGTAATGTCTATTCTATTGTGAGTTCAGCTCTTTCTTTTACACCAGGAATCGCTGTCTATTCTTTTTTCCTCTCCTGTCTCTAACCCAGCAGCTGTTAATTATTATTAGAAACCTGTTAGTTTGATGGTGAGAAATGGTTGGGGGCCCAGATCAATCCTCTGTTGTTCTGAGCAAGGCTCAGCCTTAGTCACATGTCAGCCTGGGTCTTGAAGATATAGCTGTATCAGTTATCTAACCTCCTGCCCTAAACTACAGTTGTGGGCCCCGCATATTCCTGACAAAGTAGACACACACACGTGCACGCACTTTCCTCTCCCCAACTGCAATGAATTTCAGAATTTCATCAAGGCCCTAAGGCTTGCTGTGCTTACTACCTCCTTTCCACTCCACTGTTCCCAGATGATGGCTTTTGTTGTATAGTGGAGAGAAGGAAGAAGCCACGTGTCACCGCTGTTCTCGTCCCCAGGGTGTGTGCCACATCGCATACTTTTGGGGACTCTTTCCCATTTCCCATCTCCTGGGATTCCTACCCCATCCACTAGTGAAGAAAGAATATACAAGAGGGTACCAGGTTCCCCAATTTCTGCAGCCTTCACGGACATCACAAATTCTTGCTGGCCTGGACTCAACCTTCACTAATCTGTCCCAATTCTAGCTGAACTCTTCTCACTGGTGTCCCGTTGTGTCTATCCAAGTTGAGTGTGGGTTCATGTCTCCTCCATCCCCATAGGCACTGTATATCCTTACATTTTAAAGTTAGTCAGGCTCTTTTTCATTGCGAGGGTGGGAGTGATACTCCTTCCGGCTCTCTACACCCCAGGGCAAAAACTAGAGGGCCTCACAACTTTTTAAAACCCCTTTTTAAAATAAAAATATTTCCCGATGACTGGTCTATATTTCAAAGATTTAAAAATCCCAATACGTAAATTAACATGTGCCCAATTCTTACTCAAACCCCCATATTCTCCTTTAATTACACTCATTATTTTCTTGTAAAAAAGTTTAATTGAACAGCTAAGTATAAATTTTTGAAGGAAAGAAGAGCCAATTTCTTCTTTCGATTGCACCCTTTAGTGAAAATTAACTATGATCACAAGAATTTGTCTCCTGTGGCTTGTTGATTATAAAGAATAAAACATACATACATTTACCACAACTCTATGTCATCATCCTCTGGTATTCTACAATGTGCTCTTGGTTAGGAGTTTTTATCTTGTATACAACATACAAACGTGCATATTCATATTTTCTCTCTCTCTCTCTGCAACTTTGAAACTATGGTAATATTCCAGATCGGAAGGGACCCACGATATGGTCTGCAGTTTCAGTTAAACATCCTATCTGAATCCTGCTGTGCTTCAGCCTTCATCTGAATTTATGTCCTGTTGTAATAACATTATTTCTAAGAATATTTCCTCAGGTAAGACATTAAGACTTATGGGTCTGTAATGTAAAATCCTACCATAAATAACCATTTTAAGGCATATAAAAGTTAAATTTTATACACTTATTGCTATCCTTTATTACTATGCTCAAAAAAAAAATCACTGCTGTAATTTTTTTATTCCAATATCACAGGCACAAATTTTCCAGTTGCATGCATGAAAAAATTTTTTTTAAATATGCTGTCTTCATATAGTAACTAATCCAAAATAGAAAACTATCCTTGTACCAACTGAAGTCTCAGGGACAGATGCACTGATTAGAGACTTCAACAACATAACTCATGCTGTCTGAAAGGCCTTCTCAGGCAGATGTTCCATCTTATGACTCATTTAATCATTTACTTATATACTAATGTCCACTACATTATACTGCTCACATCAAAGCAACCAAGCAGTGAAAAAGAAATGCCAAATCTTGTTCCTGCAAATATAAAGTTCTCATTTAGATTGTTTCTAAAAAGAACAAAAAGGTCTTATTTTAAGTAGTTTTCCTGCTTTTAATCACTGAATTCATGTAGAGTTTCTGTATGCCAACTATTATTGAGGTTTAGCAAGCCAATTATATTGCAGAGGCATACCACTGGCTACTTTAGAAAACATCCTTATACTATACCTTTTACCTGTTATTAAAATTAAAACTAAATATACCTTTTACCTATTATTAAATAACAGTGACATTCTTAAAGCTTTTTACAAAGTACAAGATAATAAACTTACTTTAAATGAGTAATTTTATTCCATTAGTCCCGAAACATGTTCAGTGAAATAATTATCTAAAAATACTTGTCAACCCAAATAATGTCAATATACTAGTACTGTTAACTTACTCAAATAAATTATAACCAGGATTATTTAACAAAACATTAAAGGAAAAAAACTCAATTACTTAGAATGCATTGGTATGGTTCTCTAAGCATCTAGATTGCTGTGTAGAGTTAATGCTCATGCGAATATAAAAGAAGTTATCTAACAGTCTAAATATTTATTCCAATATCAATCTTAAGTTTTAATCAGTTATATTTTGTTCCTTTTTAACAGAAGAAAATGAATTAAAATGAGTGCAAAATGCTTTTAACTGGGAATTTAAAAATTAGAAAAATACTATTAAAGTGATCATGAATGTATCATATTAAGAGCATTAAATTTCATTTGAAAATCAAATTGTATAATTGAAGGATTTTCACACACATGGGATTTTCCACACTTTATCTCTTAATGTAATATTTATTCAAAGTACATTTTAAAATTGAGAAATACCTTTAATATTACAACACCTTCTTATTTGCTACCAAAATAAGGGAGAGATTTTTATGAAACTGTCATTTTAAATAATAGTCAATAGCTGCACACATTAAGTAAACAAATTCAGTTCAAGGGAAGAACTTCATCACCATTTGGTGGTTGTAATTTAGATTATTCTAGCGTGTAATACTTTAATTGTATAAAACAAAGCTGATGTCACAAATACAAAAGAATTTCTTGCAAAGCAAGTACCACAAGTAATTTCTATGCTGCCACTGATGGCTGACAAGTGATGAGCACTTTGTTCAAATGTATATGCTATGCACATAAGACAACAGGTGGTTTATAAAAAGAAAATACTGAAGAGAAGCTTTTAACATGTTCACAATCAACGTTTTTATAATATGCCCTGTCAGAATATCTGCTATAATCTTTGAATAACTAAAAGAACTCTTAAATAGGGAAATATAATATTCTCAACCTAAAAAAGAAGCTGAATCAGACAAACTAGAATTAATGCTGGGCTAAAAATGTTTATATAAGACAATGTATTGATATATTACCAATGTAGTAATATGTTGCCAGTGTATTCTATAGGTTAATAATTTATGTTACAATATTTTCAAATATTTTTTAACATTTGTTCTATTAACCCATTTACACCAGAGGTGGCAAGTTGTTTTTTTGTGTGAAAAATCAGACCATGGAGAAGACCTTGTGCAGTAAGATATAAATAACTCCCACAAGCTTAGTGTTCCAATAATGGAACACTTAGGCATAAATAGGTTAATTGATATCTGGCTACTGTTACTCAGTGCTGGAGAAAACCTTCCCATAGAAGCTAAACAAAACAACAAACACCCAAGCTCTAAAGGCCTAATTAACTGCAGTGTTGGGGGCAGTTTCTCACTGATGGCAAAAATTGAAACAGATGGCAGTGTCCAGAATGATTAGCATTCCCCCCTACTACCACCACCTAAGGATTTAACCTTTTAATAAAGCGCTAGAAGGTATGTTGTTTTGATGTTGTTGGTTTGTTGTTTTTTTTTTTTATGAGAATAATTCCAAGTCAGAATGAAATTAAACTTCAAAAGTCTGAAACATAGGTACTCGCTCTCCCACCCCCAACTCCAATGAAGCCCAGGGGGGAAAATTTTTGATTAGGAATGAATTACACTGTGAAGGATTCTTCCCACTTCCCTACCTCTAAATGTTCCTGTACACAAAGGATCCTTATTTCTCTTAAGTGATTTTAGCTGTTCTAGTTCAAAGGGTGACAATTGCTGTAGTTTAAAGGGTGAAGAGGGATGGAATTAAGCTACTAAGAAATGAAGAAAAAATAAATAGGCAAATGTGATCTACAACTTCTCTTACAGTCACATTAATATAAGCAAGGAATACCTCAAACCCACATTAAAACTGTTTAATGCTGGAGTGTAGGTTTAACATCCAATTTATTGACACAGTATAGCCAAATATTAATTTGTAAGCAAGGGGTTCAAAACATACAATAGCTATTCAGTCTTTTCAAATGATCACGTAGCTGAAAGCTCTGCACATTTGCAATAAAGGTTTGTTTTGTTTTGTTTTGAGATGGAGTCTTGCTCTGTCGCCAGACTGGAGTGCAGTGGCATGATCTCGGCTCACTGCAATCTCTGCCTCTCAGGTTCAAGCGATTCTCCTGCCTCAGCACCCCCTAGTAGCTGGGATTACAGGCATGCCACCACGTCCAGCTAATTTTTATATTTTTAGTAGAGACGGGGCTTCACCATGTTGGCCAGGATGATCTCGATCTCCTGACCTTGTGATCCGCCTGCCTTGGCCTCCCAAAGTGCTGGGATTACAGGCATGAGCCACCGTGCCCAGCCTGCAATAAAATTTTATATGCAATGCTTGCAAAGCAAAAATGGTAAAACTGAGTTCTAAATTAATGTCATTTACATGCACTTGTAGGAACTGAAGAAATCCAAGTTAAAAACAAGAAAGTGGGCAGATTAATAAAGACTAATATAGGCTTCTGGATATTTTCAAATAACTTAAAGCAGGGGTTCTTAAAGTATGGTCCATAAACCCCTGGGAGTCTTCAAGGTCAAAATATTATTTTAGGCCAGGCACAGTAGCTCATGCCTGTAATCCTAGCACTTTGGGAGGCCAAGGCAGGCAAATCATTTGAGGTCAAGAGTTCCGAGACCAGCCTGGCCAAGATGGCAAAACCCTGTCTCTACTAAAAATACATAAATTAGCCGGGTATGGCAGTGGGCACCTGTAATCCCAGCTACTCAGGAAGCTGAGGCACAAGAATTGCTTGAACCTGGGAGGCAGACGTTGCAGTGAGCCAAGATCACACCACTACACTCCAGCCTGGGTGATGGAGTGAGCCTCTGTCTCAAAATTTCTCTCTGTCTATATATATATAGTTTTACATATATGTAATTTCATAATAATATTAACATGTTATTTGCCTTTTTCACTGTATTGACATCAGCAGTCATGGTACAAAAGTAATTGTGGGAAAAACTGCTAGTATCTTAGCATGAATCAAGGTCATATTGTACTTGGTCAATGTATTCATCACAATTAAAAATAAACAACCCAGTTTCACCTAAGGCAGTCCTTGATGAATCAGTAAGGGCTATTAATTTTATTGTATCTCAACCCTTGGGTATACATCTCTAACGTGCTGGGTGAGGAAACAGAAGTATGCATAAAATGTTTCTGCTACATACCAAAATAATGGTTGTTAAAGGAAAGCATTTGGGTTGCAAGCTGAACTGGCCACTTTTTTGTAGAACCCCATTTCTATGTGAAAAAATAACTGACATTCAAACTATGGTTATTTAATCTTTTGTATCTGGCAGCCATTTTCTTGTAAATTATAAAATTCAGGCTCTCAGCCACCGGGGGAAAGCTCAGGATGGGGCAGACACAGACCACACCACCCAAAAACATTCCCATGTTCCCAATTCCCTGAATTACACACTAGCAGGGGGCAGCTGCTCAAACACAGCCAATGCTCCATTCCTTGTCAAGTGTTAATAAGACCTGGCAAGATAGTGGGGGGTTGGGAGGTGGCAGGATTCAGACTTTCAAGTAAAAATTATAATTTTTGAAAATGTGCATTTGCCACTGTAACCCTGACAACTTCCCAATATTTAAAGATTTTTCTGATGAGATCTGTGGTGATATCAACAGATTTGATTTTTTTGATACTGTATCACATAAGGTCTCAAGATTTGGAATATCTGTATCACTCACCAAGAATCAGCATTTTCCAAACAACCAAATGGGTAAAAGAGTCACTCAAAGTACAAGATAGACTAAGGGACTTTAATATGAGTACAGAATGTTCATTGTTATAGTTGCAGATTCCACATTCCGATTAACTTTTAAGATACTATTATTTGTCAAGTTTTGATGTAGTATCAAAGAAGAATATTCACAATTATCTGAAAGGTTATTAAAATACTCTTCCCTTTTCTAACCACATATCTGAGGCCAGGTTTTCTTTATATACCTCAGCCAAAACAACATACAGTGTTAGATTAAATGTACAAGCAGATATAAGAATCCAGCTGTCCTCTCTTATGCTGGACATTAAAGAAATTTATTTAAAAAAAAAAGCAATCCCTCTTGGTCTCATTAAATATTTTTGTTTTAGAAAATGTAATCATTTCTCAAAAAATATATTATGTACACATATAATGGGTTTACTGTGGTTTTAAAATGAATTATTAAGTCATTTTAAAAATCTTAGTTTTAATTTTTAATACGGTAAATACTGATTGACATTTACCTACAAAAGCACAAGGTTTTGAGAGCCCTTAATAATTTTAAAAGTTTTAGAGTCTCGAGATAAAAAATTTTGAGAACCATTACTTTGGAGGCTATTAATACCAATTCCTTCCAAGATATATTTCTGTCTTTCCATAGGAAGACAGGTGGATGAAGAGTTACATTCTTTTCTATAAAAATACGTTTTTCTAGGAGCTACAAAGGATAGTTGAGTGAGAAAGATTATAGCAGTTAGAAAAAGAAACCAAGGCTCCTTGGACACTTGGCTATTTCCAGAACTGGGGAGGATATAAAAAGATAGGCCTGGAACACCCTTGAGATCATACCAGACAGCAAGAAAGCTATCAAAGACCACTAATGTGGCATCAAAAGTGCTCAGGAACCAACTTGAAGAGATTCCCCTGGAACAACTGGAATATCAATATGGATAACTGCAATGGACGGACACATAACAAATGTTTAAACCCAGGAGGTTTAAAGAAATCAGAAGGTATCATTATCTACCTTTGGAGGAGCCTAATGAACCAACTCATTATTTTAACAACTTTATCCAAAGAAAACATCAATATAATTCTTTTTTTTTTAATCCCATCCACATCTCCAAGGAGTAAGGGGAGGAGGCTTAAGACAGTAAAGCATTTCAATGGAATCCTCATTTGGTAAAAATAAGATCTTGTAACCCTTAAATACAATTGTTTAAATTCTGCAGAAAATACTGATTCATTGATACTAATCAATAGTAAGCATCTACTTTCTAAAGTAAACTATATTTCCCTTACCATACATAAATTGCCTTCAAAGAAACCTACACCAAACACCTACCTTTAAGAACCAAACAAAATTACAACTTGTCTGACTAAAGATGATCTCTCTTGCCCTCTCCACTCTATTCCTAGAAATGCTTGTCGGCATCAAAGTATCATCACGAGTATTTTAGGTTCAAAAAGAGAATGCGAAGATTTTCTTAAGTAAATGGGTTGTAAGGTAGAGGAGACTAAAGGCTTAAAGCATGTAACCATGAGTGTTATAGTCAATTAACTAAAAATGCACACAACATACAATATGAGAGAAGTTAAAATGATGGGTTTCAGGTCACAGATCCTAGATTAAACTCTCAGTTCTTCCATTTACTAACTTAAGCAAGTCACTTCATCTCTCTTTTTAAGAGACAGTGTCTGGGTCTTCCTTTAATGCCCAGGCTGGAGTGCAGTGGCACAATCATGGCTCACTGCAGCCTCAAATTCCTGAGCTTGAGTGATCCTCCCACCTCAGTAGATCCTCAGCCACCTGAGTAACTGAGACTACAGGCACACGCCACCATGCCCGGCTGATTTTTTTTATTGTTTAGTAGAGAAGGGGGGTCTCACTATGTTGTCCTGGCTGGACTTGAACTTCTAGACTCAAGCGATCTTCCTGCCACAGCCCCCTCAAAGTACTAGAATTGTTTCTTTAGTATGCAAAATGGGAATAGTACTGCGTACTTCATGCAAATCTTGAGAGAGTTAATAGATGTAATAATAAAGCCTTTATTATACTGCTTATAACACATTAATCCTCAATAAATAAAGCCTCTCATAAAAGTACATTGTTACCATTCGTATCATGTAATGGGAAAGAAAGAAGATAATGGGAAAACGCTGGGTAAAACAGCTCCTTTTACCAACTATCAAGGGATATCATTATCAGTCCAATAAAGGTAAGCTACCATTTTGCCTTTAGCCAGTATGGGTAGTTATAAAAATGACATGGAAATATAATAGAATTGACCCTGAACAACATGGCTTTGAACTGAGAGGGTTCACTTGCCTGTGGATTTTTTTCAATAAACATATTTTTAAATTTTTGAAGATTTGCAAGTTTGAAAAAAACTCACAGATAAACCGGGTAACCTAGAAATACTGAAAAATGTTTACAGTTAGGTATGTCATGAATGCATAAAAATATGCAAACACTAGTCTATCATCTACTAACATAAAATATATATAAATTATAAAAACTTAAGAATTTATCAAAATGTACACATGCGCACTTAGATTGTTATATGACACCATTCACAGTTGAAAGAAATGTAAACAAACATAAAGATGCAGTATGAAATCATAACTGCATAAAATTAACTGTACTCCATACTGTACTACCATAATAATTTCACCGCCACCTCCTGTTGCTATTGGGATGAGCTTGAGTGTTGCGAGTATCCGCTTAAGACACTGTGAGACATTAATCATCTTCCTGTGAGCAGTTTATCTCTCCAGAAAATTGTGTATTACAGTAAAAAGTGATCTCTTGCAGTTCTTGTGTTTTTTTCATTGTGTTTAATGCTATATTGTAAACCTTGAATAACACCATGGGAGCCATACCAAGTGCCACTAGTGATGCTGGCAGTGCTCCCAAGAAGCAGAGAAATGTCATGACTTGACAACGAAATGTTGAATTGGACCACAGATTAGAAGGTCCACTTAATAGGGACCGTAGATTGAGATCTACAGCTGTGGTTGCTACCATTTCAGAAGACTCATCTTGTAAACAGATAATATGAACTTATGGTATCAGAAGTACAGTACTGTAAATTATTTTCCTTATGATTTTCTTAATAATAGTCTTTCCTCTAGCTTACTTCAAAAATACGGTATATAACACATATACAAAATATGTGTCAATCAACTGTTTATGTCATTGGTAAGGCTTCTGCTCAACAGTAGAGATTTTGGGGAGTCAGAATCTCCCCAGAACTCAGTTACACACAGTTCAACTGAGTGGGAGGTCAGCATCCTTAACCCCTGTGTTGTTCAAGGGTCAACTGTACATAAATGTGCACACATTTTCACAGAAACCATCTGTAACTATACTATCTGAAATGACATCAACTTTGTCTCCTTTTCTAGATTTAATAAAATATTATCGAACATGTCATTTACTGAAAAAAAAATAGTGACGTTTAAAACATAATGATCCTTCTACGTAAATATTCAGTATAAACCTTCTATTTGCAAGTAAAATAGGCCAGTCTCCTAAGGCTTCTCAAATCAAATGAAGCAAACTAAAATTCTCTCACCATAAATTACAATGTTAGCAAAGAAAGGGTGATGAGAAGAACAGAAAGGGATTTTAACAAAGAGGGATTAAAATTCAAATTTAAATTATAGCCTGATCTTTATTTACATCAAATTCAATTCGTAAAGATTAACTGCAACACCCTGCCAATTACAGCAAACCAGGTACAAACCATCACCCTAACAAATTCAAGTGCACTCACTCCTAACTACTGTCTAGCTAACATCTTTTTTTTTTTTTTTTTAAGAGATGGGGTCTTGCTTTATTACCCAGGCTGATCTCGAACTCCTGGCTTCAAGTGATCCTCTTGCCTCAGCCTCCCAAAATGCTGGGATTACAGGCAGAAGCCACTGTGCCTGGTCTCTATCAGCTTTAGAAACAGTTCTATTCTCGGGACTTCTCCAGCTGTTTCCACATGATGGTTCCCCAGCTCCTCCATTTTACTCTAGATAGGGTAAATAGATGCTTTGTTATTTTATTTTACTGAAATACATACACTTTAAGTTATTCCCTATGTATACTGTACAATTTTATATTTACAGTTGGTTAAACGGAGTAGGATTTTTTTTTTTTTTTGACAGAGTCTCACTCCGTCGCCCAGGCTGGAGTGCAACAGCACGATCTCGGCTCACTGCAACCTCTGCCGCCCGGGTTCAAGTGATTCTCCTGCCTCAGCCTCCCGAGTAACTGGGATTACAGGTGTGCACCACTGCGCCCAGCTAATTTTTGTATTTTTAGTAGAGACGAGGTCTCACCATCTTGGCCAAGCTGGTCTTGAACTCCTGACCTCGTGATCCACCTGCCTTGGCCTCCCAAAGTGCTGGGATTACAGGTGTGAGCCACTGTGCCCAGCCAGTAATTATTTTTAAAAAGCAAATTTAGTCCAGGCGCAGTGGCTCACGCCTGTAATCCCAGCACTTTGGGAGGCCGAGGCGGGCGGATCACAAGATCAGGAGATCGAGACCATCCTGGCTAACATGGTGAAACCCCGTCTCCACTAAAATTACAAAAAATTAGCCGGGTGTGGTGGCGGGCGCCTGTAGTCCCAGCTACTCGGGAGGCTGACGCAGGAGAATGGCATGAACCCAGGAGGCAAAGCTTGCAGTGAGCCGAGATGGCACCACTGCTCTCCAGCCTGGGCGACAGAGCGAGACTCTGTCTCAAAAAAAGAAAAGCAAATTTAAAAAATCCTTTTGGAAATCAACATGGTATTGTATAACAAGAGCCACTAGAAGAGAAATATAATCTTTGATTCATTAATTTATCTCCAATAAATACTTTGTAAGGAAAAATTCAATAAAGATAAAAATATAAATGGATAAAGTCACTCACTAAAGAGCTACCTATAATAGCAAAATAACTGAAAACATCCAGCTGTCTAAAAATTAGAGAATGATAAATCGTACACCATTGAGACAATGAAATATTATTCCTTCACTAAAGCTATTATTAATAATAAAGCTATTCCAAAACAAGAAAAATGTTTTAAGATATAATATTCATAAAAAAAAACTTTAAGAAATAGATATACAGTAGAGGAAAGATAGAAGTTTTGCTAAAAATCTTGATTCCGCCACTTAGCAGCTATGTGATTTTTTGACAAATTTTTAAATTCTCCGAGAATCAGTTTCCCCATCTCTAAAATGCGGTAATAATATGAAATTCATAGGTTCCTAGGAGAATCAAATTATATCACCATAAAGTTTCTGGCCCCCTAACATCAATAAATTCCCTTCCCTGTTACTCAGTTGACTCCCTTCCCATTACAGCACCATAAGTATATAAACAGCAGGTCATATCTAAAACGGTGTTAAAGTGTTAAGATTGTGGTTCTACATTTAAATTATCGCATATAGTAAACTTCCTTATTGGTATATCTTCCTCAGTTCTTTAAAAGTCATCAACCCCTGGTATAGCTGTTACCCTGAATATAACACTGCTTCAATTTTTTAAAAATCATATTCAAAATAATTTCAATTTAGAGTTCTTTCCCAAATGAAATTGTTACCTACAATATACAAATCAGAATTCAGCCTATATATACAAAAATGGGGAAAAAAACAAGTTAGGAAAATGGGCGGAGAAGATTTCAAGACACCTGCCCTGCACCTTCACACCTAATACTTTTAAATATACTTGAACATTGAGTTAATTGGAAGATAAAGAACACTATTCCCAGAAATCTATAAAGTAATCCCTAGTTTTTGATTCTACTCATCTGGCAACCTGAAATGCAAGAGAAGACCTTCATAGCTGAACTGAACAGAAGGTGGATACAGTTGTCCTTTTCACCTCAGGAACTAGGGAAGAGGAACAAGACCATCTCCCCTGACCTAACCCCTTACCTGTGAGAAATACAAACAAAATATCTAAATCTCTGCTGGTTCAATGGGGTCTTCCTTAGGTACTATGGCAAGAGCTGAGTCAGTCAAATCCAGGACAGTCAGGTAATGTTCCTTCCTGCCACAGAGTGAGCAAGGACAGCAAAGACAGAGTTGGAGTGGGAGGAGAAGATGGACCGGTCAAGGGGACACCATGGCCCTGAATAAACAAATTCCAGGCACATGGACAGTCTGGGGATTCTGAGGGGAAGCCCTGACATCGCCAATGTAGAGACAGAAAACTTGTGATTATTTTGACCAGTCCTGCAACACAGCCTACAGCCCATAGAGCCTTAGAGCCCTATAGCCCTGCCTTTCCTTCAACTGCCAGGGCTAGCAAATGGCACTACCAAGCCATAAGCTCAAAATTATAAGTCACTGACGTAGGAAAACTGTATCTGGCATGCAATGAGTGGTGTAAAGGCATCAATGTAAAATTTGAAAAAGGACAGTTATAAGGAAATGAAGATTCACTTTAATAAAACACAAATGCTCAACTGATTTCATTCATCCAAGTTACATATAACAACAAGTGCCTTCATTTTCAAAACCAAATCAGTCTCAATACTTACATTTTTAACTTATAATGACAGCATTCTGACAAGAAAAATGAGGTTCAAACTTGATGCTAAGTTGGGCACAGTGGTGCAAGCCTGCAGTCCCAGCTACTCAGGAGGCTGAGGCAGGAAGATTGTTAGTGCCCAGAAATTTGAAGACAGCCTAGGCAACATGGTGAGACCTCATCTCTTAAAAAAACAAACAAACAAACAAAAAAAAACTGATCATTAAAGATCAAGAGACTCTCCAGTACCTTAGAAGTTGCCCTCACATCCCTGAGGAATTTCAAGATACCAGAGTTTCTGTATCAGAACCCAGTCAGCTATTTTGGGCAGAGAGGACAGGAAAGAAGACCTTCAAAAACATGTCAGAAAAGATATTCCAGAAAAAAATACAAATGCCTCAATCACCAATCACTTAGATATAAGACCACCATGAATGAATATAAGGATATATTCATGAAATTAAATTGTAAATAGCCAGTAGATTAAATAGCTTGATACAATATTACAATGCAAAGTAGAAGGAACTGCTTCCTACTGCTGCAATATTTTCCACAATAAACAGAAGTTGGTTATTAGAATGCATTGTATATGTAGATGAGAACCACTGCATAATTACTTAACCCATTGAATTTGTACTGAAGAAACAAAGAAAACATATGGTTTTTGGTCAGATTGTTTACTGCAATCCAATACTAGAGTAATTTAATAAATACTGCTGAAAAAGAAAATTACAGGACCCAAGGAAAAAACTCCATTATTTTAGGATACAATCAAAGACAGCTTTATATTGGCAATTTGTGTCTAGGCAAAAATGTGTGACTCATTTAAAACTTTTAAATGATGTGCTTATGGCGGAGGAAGGTGGGCTCTTGAAAACAGTAATTTATGTTCATGGTTACTAAAGGTGATTTACAAGACATATAAACAACACCTAACTTAACCTAAGTTGGGGGGGAGCAATTAAATGAAGGCATTTTTACCTTCTCATTTAGCAGTTCAATAAAGCTGTAATGCCTTAAGGGCTACAATTCCATATAAACTAAAAAGGCAACTTAGAAACTATTTTTTCATCAGTGCCACCTTCACCTCTTTTTAACCAAACACCCACAACAAAACTAAAGTAGCTCTCTGGAATCTTATTTTTAAAGCCCTGAGCAATTTAAACATATGAAATTCAAACAGATACAGAGGAACAGTGATATAAAACAGAATGAAGTCACATCTGTCATTAATAACAAAGGAAAAAGGATAAGGGCTTTTATTTTTCCTAGCCAAAAATTCTAACCATTTGCACAAAAATCACCTACATCGATTGATGTTAGTTCTATTTCCTTAAGAACTTGTCTGACCAGCCTATGAGTGGTGAAGGCCAAGGGAGAAGTGAAATCAGTCAATGGTGAATATCACATTTGGGGAGATGGGGGCAAGAGATGGAATTATTTTTCTAATAACTATAAAACTGTATAGATCTTTCAAAATAAAGAGTGACATCAAAACCAGTACAGCTAGCAGTTATTCAAAAAAATTGATATGCTCTACTTACTAAAATAGACTCTTTTAAGGAAAATACAGATTGAAAAGTAAAATCAAACAGAAATTAAATTATTGGCTAAAAAAACTTAAGTCTAACATTGCAAATATCACTATGAGAGAAAATAAGTAAAGTTGACTCTTGAACAACACAGGTTTGAACTGCACAGATTCACTTAAACACAGACCTTTTCAACCAAATGTGGACAGAAAATACAGTATTGGCCCAATGCAAAATATAGGCACTCGTGGAACTGATCTCCCTACATATAGCGAGGGATGACTGTAATGCATTTCTATGTTACAAAATTTGCACACTTTATTTAGATTTGCAAAGGACATTAAGGCTCATAAATACAGTTCACCTATAACCTTTATCATCCACGACTTTATAAATACAGCAAAAAAATTGATGTTACTGCTGGGAGAAGGATGCGTAGAAAACAATAAAATGATCTGCTATAATCACTTGGCTAATCAGCCTCTGAGCTCTAGCCATTCAAATTAATGGGTCAGCAAAATTACAAGTAAATATCATGTCCTGTATCTTCAGAATCGCTTAAAAATAGTCCAAACCATTATTATTAAATTAGAAAAGGTCAAGGGTCTACTATAATGCCTATATTTCTACTTTCCCTCAACTTCTTTGCCCCAAAAAGGGGTAGTATGAATTTTCCTCCCTCTGAAAAATGCACCTCTGAAAATGCGCCTCTCTAATCAGCTATACAACATACCACGTAGCAATCATCTTTGCTATTCATGACTCTCTTCCTCTCACCTCAGAAGAATATAGGGCTTGGTCTGTCCAAGATGTTTCAAAATCAAATTCGGCGTTAAAGCTTTTTTATGGTCACCAATATCAATTTACCATGTGATGGGAGCAAAGCAGTACCAGGAGTCAAATTGAAAATTTTAAAAGCTGAAAGTAGATTATACATTTCCCTCTTATTCAAAGCTCTCCCACCAAACCTGATGTTCACCAGTGGTACTATCAGCATAAGGTGTGCTCTGTTTACTCTACATATCTGTACTCCCTCCTCCATGCATATCCATCACCAACTTCCACACACACAACTTCTTATCTATTCCCTTAGCCAGGTTCTCTTCTCAGAACTTTGGCAGAAAGGACAATAGCTTTAATGTATCAGAGCATCAAATAAATGGACAATATACAAAAACTGCGTAAAGTTAGTAAAAACACTACCATCAACTCTATACTCATGTCTACGTCTTTCAAGTCTGTCCCTTCCTTTCTATTTTGAGGCCTCTAACATGGACTGTTAAAACAATGCATTCTCTGGGCATGGTGGCGCATGACTGTAGTTTCAGCTATTGCTTGCGAGACTGAGACAGTAGGACTGCTTGAGCTTAGAAATTTGAGACCACCCTGGGCAACAAACATCATGAGATCCAGCTTCTAAATAAATAAATAAACAAAACAATGTTTTCACTAATCACCCATCTTATAGTCTTCTTCAAATCTAATACATTTCCTGAAACACTTACGAAGCTATACACTTGCCAGCATAAAAATCATCAATACATTCTACTACTCATAAAAATAATTCTGTATTTTCATCCTGATATCTATATAACCTGACCCAAACTATCTCTAGAGCTTCTATCCCTCTCTGATATATGACTAATTTTATATACCATTCATCTGGCCACTTATCACATGCTGTTTTTCATATCCCAAGTATACATAATTTCCAATTTTTTTTCTAAGCAAATGAAAGGGCCCAAGAATCCTGGGCCGGGCTAGGTTTCCTGAGCACACAGAGTGGGCACATTGGGCTAGCTGCCAAATCAAGGGTCAGCAAGAAACATCAACTCCAAAGGAGCAGGGAGAGATTAAAAACTCGGGCTGAAGCAGAGGTGAACAATTTAAGATAAGGAGATTCAAGAAGTAGGGGCAAAAGAGACTCTATTGGTAGCTGCATACAGTAGAAACTTGGGCTCTAAAGAAAAAATAATCATAATGTTGGTTCACTGTCCCCTCCCAGGTGGCCTAATAAGACTGTAAAGGTGAAGATCTTAGAATTTTCCTAAATGAAGAAATAAATTGATGTAATTATAAAATGATATATTTTTAGAATAGTAATTTCACTTGGGATCTATCCTTCAGAACTATTCACATAAGTTTGCAAAAGAATAACGTGAATGTTCTGTGTAACAATGTTCACTTCAGAATTGTTTATAACAATATTATAAGGAACTATTAACCAATGATATATCCATATAATGAAATCTGTATAGCTGCTAAAAAATAAAGTATCAATATTGACAAGGAAAGATGAAAAAATTATATCAAAGATCAAATTAAATCATCAAGGAAGTATATACAGAATTATTCTACTTGTGGGAAAAAATTAACAACAATTTACATTAAGATATATTCAAGAATAAAAACAAACTTGGAGGCATATGCTCCAAAACTGACAGTAGATGTCATAGGATTTCACTTTCTACATTATATCTATCATATTTTAATTACTGAAAACGAATACTGTACAACATACATGTGCTACACATATAATCAGGAGAAGAAAAGCATATGTCCTTTCTGATTTTAAAAACAAGGAAAAGCAGTTACTTCTGGAGACTGGGAACAGGGGCAAACATGATATTTTATTTTGAACCTTAATTATTTCCTATTTTGTTTAAAATACGCATACATCATTTAGAATTTTTATATATTACATATACATTTTGTAACATGTATTACAAAGTTACAATTAATTTTTTTAAGTAATAGCATTTGTTTGGTCATTTATAATCAAAAGGAGTGCAAAACTGATAAAACCAAAACTGTCTACTCATAAGGTATAAGGGAAAGGGGTGTAAACACATAATTAAATCATAACTTTATATGTACTATAGAATGACCCTCATTTTTTCTAAAACACAAGTTTTTGTACCTAAATTGCATACAGTTAAATCTACTATAAGGGAATGCTTTTTGCTAGCAAGTAGATGACTACTGATTATATCAAACAACAGTGGCTGGCATAACTAGCATAGGTTTTCCTTTGCTTTGACAAATCAAGAAAAGAATTTTGTTTAAGTGATTCTGCACTGCATATATTAAAACAACTGGTATAAAGACAATAAGATTGCTGAAATCTACTTAAAAGGCTGTGCTTCTTCCTCTATCATCATTCTTACCTTTGAAAAAGAAAAGGCCATATGAAATGAAATACTGAATTCTCAATGATGTTCCCTCCAGCTTTGCATCCTTCTAAGTCCAGCTTAAGTTAAGTGGCCACTTCCTGGCTCTACCTGGCAGAGGATAGATAAGGCCCCTTCACACTCCTGAGGTGGAAGGAGGAAGCTAGATAATATTCCCTCACCAAGAATACACAGAATAGGGAAAAGTCAGTTGCGTGCAAAGAAATTCATTTGTTATTAGGACAAAGAGGTAAGGGCAGCCGTCCCTTCCCTTAGCCTCCCTTCCTCCTCCCCACAACACACACACACACACACACACACACTCTCTCTCTCTCTCTCTTTCTCTCACTACACTAAAGTTTCTTAGAATATCACTTTATGGTAGAACAGAGTGTACAAACATAACACTATGAGAACAATCGAGGAAGTAAGTTCTCTAACAACAGAACCCACTAAGTTCATTATCTGAGGGTAAACCCCTTACCTAAATCATCCTGGTAGAACCACCATGATTAGCCCAGCTTAAAAAACAAACATTTTAGAAATACATTATTGATAACTCCATACATCACATCATTCTAAGCCAAAATCATCCTATCATTGTTTTAATGCAGAACTCTAGAAAATTATATTTGAATCATTTGTACATATCATATCCAAAACTGGTATTTAAAATGAAAAATTCCTCATATTTAAAAATCAGAATAATACATATTCGCTTTTTTAAAAGCAAAGGGTCTAAAATGAAAAATAAAAATCACCCATTTCTCCCTCCACCCCAGTTCTATTTTTCAGAAATCTATCAATAGTATAATGTATCTTTTTCAAATTTTTTTCTATGCTTATAGTACAGGGCTTGGCTGTCCAATACTGTAGCAAATAGCCACAAGATATTAAGTACCATTAAGTTATTAAGAAGTACTTGAAATATGGCTAGTCCATACTGACATACTGACATATTGAAATAATATTTTTGGTTACATTAAATATTATTAAAATTGATTTCACCTGTTTCTTTTTAACTTTTTTAATGTGGCTATCAGAAAAATTTTAAATTACATATGTAGCTCACATTTATGGCTTTTATTATATTTCCATTGGTCAGCACTGGTACAAAGGCAAACAGTGCTGTTTTTAGAGTCAGACTTGCCTTATTGAGTACTATTCCCAACTACAGACATGAGTTGCTTAATAATGGGGACACATCTGAGAAATGCATCTTCAGGCAATTTCATCATTATGTGAACATCATAGAGGGTACTTACACAAACCTAGATGGTATAACCTACTACACACCTAGGCTAAATGGTATAGCCTATTGCTCCTAGGCTACAAACCTGTATAGCATGTTACTATACTGAATACTGAAAGCACTTGTAACACAATGGTAAGTATTTGTGTATCTAAACATATTTAAATATAAAGTACAGTAAAAATGCAGTATAAAAGACAAAAAAAATCATACATCTGTATAGGGCACTTGCCATGAATGAAACTTACAGACTAGAAGTTGCTCTGGCTAAGTCAGTGATTGAGTGGTGAGTGAATGTGAATGACTGGAACATTGACATAGACAAGTGTAGACTTTATAAACCATGTACATTTAGGCTATTCTAAATTTATGTTAATTTTTTTCTTCAATAATCAATTAGCCTTAGCTTACCATAACTTTTTACTTTATAAACTTTTTAATTTTTTTAACGTTTGGACTCTTGTAATAACAATTAGCTTAAATCACAAACACATTGTACAACTGTATAAAAATATTTTCTTTATATTATCTATAAGCTTTTTTCCATTTTTTAAATTTTATTTTTATTTTTAAACCTTTTTGTTAAAAACTAAGACACAAATACACACAGTAGCCTAAGCTTACACAGGGTGAGGATCATCAGTGTCACTGTCTTCCACCTCCACATCTTGTCCCACTGGAAGGTCTTCAGGGGCAATAACACCCATGGAGCTGTCATCTCCTATGATAACAATGGCTTCTTCTGGATAGCTCCGGAAGGACCTGCCTGAGGCTGTTTTACAGTTAACTTTTCTTTTTAATAACTAGAAAGAGTACACTCTAACGAGAAAAAGTATAGTGACTGAAATTCACACAAAAAGTTCAAAATAAATCCACAGGCAGAAAATTTAACTACAACAATTGGTGACCAGAACTCAGGAAAGAATAGGGCAATATATTCCCTACTCCCACCATCACCGTCAAACACACATACACACATACATGCACATGCAAACTTAGCTGAAAATAAATTATATTTGAAATTTTGTTTTCCACAACTATAACTAATTATATACCAGTCCCATATATGAGACCCTCCTACTATACGTTTCTAAACCGGGAAGAAAACTGTCCCATAGCTCAGAAAGCAACACTCTTGCTTCTAGTCTCCAAGGTCATATCTCTAAGTACCTATTGAGAAACCTTAACAAGTTTTATCTGTGAATAGCCTGACAGTAGGTATAGTGATACTGCCAAAGGTGCTATGCTTCAAATAACACACAAATGTCTTAGATTCCTGTTGAAATGTAACTTCAAAACTTCTAACGACAGCTTTAAAAAGTTAAGAATCTTTACTCAGTGATCTTTATGTGTCAAAAGAAAAAAAAAAGGCTAAGGATTTGGTGAAATCAATAGCTTCATCATATTCAAATATTTAAAAATCCAGCAATAGTAAGTTATATTGCTTCCAAAAACTGGCGAAGTCATATTGGCTCAATGAGCCCTAGAGAAAAAGTTAGTGGTTTTTCCAAATAACGCACCCTGCTTTCAGATAAGTTACTGTATGTATGAATTTAAAAAGAATTTGCTTCCTATAAAATGATTGCTGTTTCCTTCTCCTGTATTTAATCTTTGGCAGGCCGTTTTATCTGAGCATGATTCTGTTTACTGAAGATGAAAGAGAAAAATCTATCATAAAAGTTTTTTAAAAAGGGTATTCATTAGCAATGTCATTTGTAATTTTTTAAAAGTACATGTGAATGTACTTAATGCCACTGAACTCTATACTTAAAAATTATTAAGTAGCAAATTTTATGTTATGTATATATTACCATAATTTTTTTAAATATAAAAAATGAAAAAAAGTGTTGAAATTTAAAACCTACTTTCACCAAAAAAAAAACCCAACAATGCATCATTAAAAACAATAAAGCAAGGCCAGGCGCAGTACCTCACGCCTGTAATCCCAGCACTTTGGGAGGCCGAGGCAGGCAGATCATTTGAGGTCAGGAGTTGGAGACTAGCCTGGCCAACATGGTAAAACCCCGTCTCTACTAAAAATTCAAAAATTGGCCAGGCGTGGTGGTGCACACCTGTAGTCCCAGCTACTCAGAGGGCTAAGGCATGAGAATAGCTTGAACCCAGGAGGCAGAGGTTGCAGTGAGCCAAGACTGTGCCACTGCACTCCAGCCTGGGCAACAGAGAGAGACTCCGCCTCAAAAAAATAAATAAATAAACAGTACTAACTAAGCAAAGTGCTATAAAAATATTCATTATTATAATTGTAAGTTGCACTTAGTAGTTTGGTCAGGTAGGCCTCTTGGTTGCCCTAGGGTTATATCTTAACCTAAGATCCTGCCTCTCAAACTGGGACTGCTGGAAATACAGAAAACAAAAAACCATGAGATTCTAAAAACTTCTCCTTGAAGTAAAGTGTGTGGCACTACACCACGTACCAAAAGTCATCATGTTCCTTATCCTTTGTGGTTAGGGCCCTTGGGTGGAAAAATTTAACAAACACAAGAGTCTTGCCATTTTCATATTATCCTGTATTTTCCAGACATTTTATATGTTTCAGAAATAGGCAGCTCTGCCCGTTAGTTCAAAATTTAGTTTGGTTTAACACAAAATTTTGTTAAGCATTTTAAAAAGGGGCTGGGAGTGGTGGCTCATGCCTGTAATCCCAGCACTTTGGGAGGCCGAGGTGGGTGGATCACCTGAGGTCAGGAGTTCGAGACCAGCCTGGCCAACATGATGAAACCCCGTCTCTACTAAAAATACAAAAATTATCTAGGCATGGTGGCAGGTGACTGGAATTCCAGCTACTGGGGAGGCTGAGGCAAGAGAATTGCTTGAACCCAGGAGGTGGAGGTTGCAGTAAGTCAAGATCGCGCCATTACACTCCAGCCTGGGCGACAGAGTGAGACTATCTCAAAAAAAAAAAAAAGAATTTTTAAAAAGCAAACTTCGGAAGAAAATAAGAGCAATATTTCCAAAACAACAAGAATGAAAAGAACATTCTGGTATTTAAAGACACCTAAAAGATCCATAAAAGAATGTGAGTAGAAGGGAGCTTTTGGGGTGATGAAAGTGTTCTGTAGCCATACTCTTGTGGTGGTTTTATGAATCTATAAGCATGTTAAATTCATAGAACTGTAAACCCAGAATGTTACGTTACTGTATGACAATTTGTAAAATAAAATATGTAAACTCCTGAACTTTACAAATATTTTTAAATGCTTTACATAACAAATTTACTAATAAACTCGTCAATAAATACTTCAGTTCATCCTTGAACTTAGGTTTGAATTTCAAGGATTTGAATTTCAAGGATTCACTTACACACAGACTTTTTTTCAATAACTATAATGGAAAATTTTTTGAAGATTTGCAACAATTTGAAAAAACTTGTAGATGAAACATGTAGCCTAGAAATATGGAAAAAAATAAGAAAAAACTAGGTATGCCATGCATGCATAAAATATACATAGATACTTGTCAATTTTATCACTTACTACTGTAAAATATATACAACTCTATTATAAAAAGTTAAAATTTATCAAAACTTAGACACACTTACAGACCATACATGGAACCATTCACATTTAAGGGAAATGTAAATAAACTAAAAATGCCATATAAAATCATAACTGCATAAAGTTAATTGTAGTCCATATTGTACTACCATAATTATTTCACAGCCACCTCCGGTTGCTATTGGGATAAGCTTGAGTGTTCCAAGTATCCTTATCTTAAAACACTGTGAGACATTAATCATCATCACATGAGCAGTTCATTTCTCCAGTAAATCGTGTATTGCTGTAAAAAGTAATCCCTTGAGGTTCCTGCATATTAATATTTTTCATCATGGTCGCAATACTATAAATGTTGAATAACATAAGCCAGGCAAGTGGCTCACACCTGTAATCCCAGCACTTTGGGAGGCCAAGGCAGGAGGACTGCTTGAGCCCAGGAGTTTGAGACCAGCCTGGCAACACAGCAAGACCCTGTATCTACAAAAAAAAACATATATATATAATTAGCTGGGTATTGTGGTGCACACCTGTAGTCCTAGCTACTTGAGGGGCTGAGGCAGGAGGATAACTTGAGCCAAGGAGTTCCAGGCTGCAATGAGCTATGATTGTACCACTGCACTCCAGCCTGAGCAACAGAGCTAAACCCTATCTCTAAAACAATAATAATAAAATAAAAAATAACATTATGGGACCTATACAAAGTGCTATTAGTGATGCTGGAAATGCTCCCAAGAAGCAGAGAAGAGAAAAGTCATTGACAATACAAGAAAAAGGTGAACTGCTTGATATGGACTATAGACTGAGGTCTGCACCTGGGGTTACTGCCATTTCAGACAAACAATTAATCTTGTGAATAGATGACAGTATCAATAAAATACAGTATAGTACTGTAAATGCATATTCTCTTACTTTTTATTTTTAAGACAGGGTCTCACTCTGTCACCCAGGCTGGAGTACAGTGGCACAATCATAGCTCACCACAGCCTCAAACTCTTGGGCTCAAGCAATCCTCCTGCCTCAGCCTCTTGAGTAGCTAGGACTACAGGTGCACGCCACAATGCTGGCTAATGTTATCTTTTGTAGATGTGGATCTCTCTATGTTGACCAGGCTGGTCTCAAACTCCTAGACTCAAGCAATCCTCCTCCCTCAGCCTCCAAATGCTGCGATTACAAGCCTGAGCCACCGCACCTGGCCATGATTTTCTTGAAAACATTTTCTTTTCTCTAGCTTACTTTATTGTAAGAATATAGAATATAAATATATAACATACAAGATGTGTGTTAATAGTTTATATTACTTGTAAGGCTTCCAGTCAGCAGTAAGCTATTTGTAGTTAAGTTTTTGGGGAGTTAAAAGTTATATCCGAATTTCAACTGTGCAAGGGTCAGCTCCCCTAACCCCAGTATGTTCAAGGGTCAACTGTATTTTGGAATCAAGTTTAACAAATTCTGTAACTGAAAATATTTTGTACTTCCAAGACTGATGTATCAGAGAGAAATAATTTCACTACAATTGCACCAAAACCCAAAGTTCTTCATAAAATGTTAAGGCTCAAAAATAATCAGGTTTTATTTTTCCTTTCAATTTTTTTTTCTAGAGATGAGATCTCACTATGTTGCCCAGGCTGCTCTCGCACTCCTGGGCTCAACTAATCCACTCGCCTCAGCCTCCCAAAGTGCTAGGATTACAGGTATGAGCCACTATACCCAGCCCTATTTTCATTTTTAAATCAATACAAATAGCTGCACCAACCTGCTAATTATTATCTAAAAATATGACATTATTTCCAACGCTTACAGTGCTGAAACAGAGTACAAGCAAAGCTCCCCTAAAAGGAAAAGTATAAGAAAAGTTTTCTTTCCCACTTTTTTTGCTTTAATGAGGTGAAAGTGACATACAACAAAATGTGCAAAAAGTGTACAGTCAGATGTATACATGTCTTGACATATGCATACACCTGTGAAACCATCGCTACAAACAAGATTATGAGCATATCCACCACCCCCAAGAGTTTCCTCACAGCCCTTTATAATCCCTCTCTCTGCCCCTCCCCCAGGCTACCGTGATCTGCTTTCTAATTAGTATGCATTTTCTAGAATCTTATATAAATGGAATCATAGTATACGCTCTTTTTTTGGACTGCCTTCTTCCACTCAGCATAATTATTTTGAGATTCATCCATATTATTGTGTATAGAAAAATTTTTAATGCTGCATCTACCTGCTATATAAAATTAGTCCACATTTGCTGCAAACTGGGCTTACACACAAGATGAGAATCTTCAATTAGCTATATGTGAAGCTTCACCTAGACAGCAGATTATTAGGTCATTCTTGAATCAGTATTCTCTTTCTTTTTTTTTTAAAGAAGCAAAGTCTCCCTGTGTTGCCCAGGCTACAGTGCAGTGGCTAGTCACAGACACAATCATAACACATTACAACCTCAACTACTGGGCTCAAACAATCCTCGGGCCTCAGCCTTCTGAGTAGCTAGGATTACCAGCATGTGCCACTGCAACTGGCTTTGAATTTTTTTTTTCAGCTCCTTACTATCAATGAAGAACCAATATTTTTTTGGAAAAGTATTCCAAGGATTTAAACTAGGGCAAGAAAAATAAGTGACCCTCCGATAAATGAAGACTGATTCTGTTTTCAAATTAAATTTAATAAGCAGACATTCATTTGTACTGTAAAAACACTTCTCACAAAGCTTTCCTGATGAAAAAAAAACCACCAGAATTAAAAGATGAGCTCTTGTAATTCCTCATGCAAATTCTGACAGTTGTTATGTTTATTAAGTGTCAAAATAAGACCTAACTTTCACCTCAGCAGCACTTGTTTAGTGAAAGATAAACTCCCGTTTATATAGCTGAATCCATAGTTACGAGTTAGCATACAGTAACTTCAAAAATATACTTTAAAAAACTACAGTAACTCCAGATCTGCACATATTCAAACAAGAAAATAATCTTTCATTATTTCTACTATCTTGCATGTCCTCATTAGTACACTTTGCAAACAAACCTACTGAAAATAAAACTTCAGCGAAAACTCTAAATGACTAATGGGGGTAAGGATCTGAAATACCTTTACATTAGGCAGCAAACCCCAGGGGTGGGAGGGGACATTATTTGGGGGTAAACAAACTAAGTAACATGTATTGATTCTTTTAATCTTTTTTATTTTTTTAGAGAGAGGATCTTGTTGTCATCCAAGCTGGAGTACAGTGGTGCAATCACAGGTCATTGCAGCCTCGAACTCTTGAGCTCAAGTGATTCTCCTGCCTCAGCCTCGCAAGTAGCTGGAACTACAAGGCACAGGCCACCAAGGCCGGCTAATTTTTTTTTTTTTTTTTTGTAGCAATGTGGTCTCCCTGTGCTTCCCGGGCCAATCTTGAACTCCTAAGCTCAAGTGATCTGCGTAGGTCTCCCAAAGTGCTAGGATTATAGGCATGAGCCACCACACCTGGGCAAATACATGTTGTGTGTGAAAGAAGCTTTACACATTACTGGCCGGACACGGTGGCTCATGACTGTAATCCCAGCACTTTGGCAGGCCAAGGCGGAGGACTGCTTGAGTCCAGGAGTTCAAGACCAGCCCGGATAACATAGCAAGACCCTGACTCTTTAAAAAAAAAAAAAAAAGTATTCTAAGTATTCTATATTGTTTATGCTCATACATCATCTAGGGAAATCATTATCAGTATCTTGGAAATATAGTTTTATACAAAATGAAAATTCAAACTATTGGCAACTTACTCCATTTTATTTCCCTTTTTTTTTTTTTTTTTTTTTTTTTGCGATGGGTCTCACTCTGCCACCCAGGTTGGAGTGCAGTGGCGCAATGTTGGCTCACTGCAACTTCTGCCTCACAGGCTCAAGCAGCCCTCCCAATCCAGCCTCGAGTAGCTGAGACCACAGGCACATGCCACCATACCCAGCTAATTTTTTGTATTTTTGGTAGAGACAGGAGTCTAACCATGTTGCCCAGACTGGTCTTGAACTCAAGCAATCTGCCTGCCCCAGTCTCCCAAAATGCTGGGGTTACAGGCATGAGCCACCGTGCTCAGCCCATTTTGATTGGTTAAAACATTAAAAGTGCAACTCAACTGAATACTGTAATTGCAAAATAAGCTACTGGAACAATTTCATCTGCCTCCATCCCCACCTCAACTGTCCATTTAAAATCCTTTATATTTAGGCTGGGCACAGTGGCTCACACCTGTAATCTCAGCACTTTGGGAGGCTGAGGTGGGCATATCACTTGAGGTGAGGAGTTCAGGACCAGCCTGGCCAACATGGTGAAATCCCGTCTCTACTAAAAATACAAAAAGTAGCCTGGTGTGGTGGTGTGCCTCTGTAATCCCAGGTATTGGAGAGGTTGAGGCACGAGAATTGCTAGAACCTGGGAGGTGGAGGTTTCAGTGAGCCGAGATGATGCCACTGCACTCCAGCCTGGGAGACAGAGCAAGACTCCATCTCAAATAAATAAATAAAATCCTTTAGATTTAAGCCATTTGAGATGGATATCTTTAATATGGTGAACTTAATCACATCCCTAACTATATCCCTGGGCTCTTTTCCATCGCTCCTACTCCTCATCATTCATTCTAACCACCATGGCAGTTCTTAAGGCAGCAGGCTCCTTTCTACCATAGGGCCTTGAAACAAACCATTTACTCTGAATAATAATCTTTCCTTTCCTCCTTTTGCTAACTTAGTTCCCATTCAGCTTTTACCTCTCAGCATCACTGTCACCTCCTCAAGGTAACACTGCATACTCACACACATATTCCTTTCTCCTTGTACACAACTAGAAAGACATCTAATATTTATGTGACCATTTTATTCAATGTCTGTATCCTCCACTGTATTATAAGCTCATGAGAAAAATGGTCACATCTGTTTTTACTTACCAATACATCCCTCAGCATCTAGCACACTTATAAGAGTCAAATCAGTCAAATGAATAAGATAGAGTGATTTAAAGATTTAAAGCCAAAGCAAATCCACCAAGATGAGTATTTGCATTTTAAACAAGTATATGTGTTTGCAACAATGTATATATTTTACATATTTCTAATAGCCAAGGGAAGTAAACAAGGTGAGGCAAAAGTTAATTTTTAAAAATTAATCAAATTAATGGAGAGAAACATGATATTAATAAATTAAAATTCAGTGATAAACTAAAACTTCTCATTAACAATTTTTTCTGTCCCCTAACTTTCGGATGTTCTAATAGAAAGCTGAAAAGTACTCTAAACACTAACATATATCTGACTGTTGAAATTAAAGAATTATCAATTTTCATAGCCTCAAAGTAATCCATAATCTTTCTAATCTCTACAAGTCTTTTTTTCTGACTATAAATCTAAGGATTTTTTTAAAATTCTGATTATAAATGTATCATTCAGTGCTTTATGTACTATACAATGATATATACACTGTATTTCATCAATTCTAAGATGCGTATTTTGGCACTTTCACATTCTGAGATCAATCATACTAAGAGAGCATAGTATCTACTTTAATTGGATTTTCTTTCCTTCCTTAATGATGGTATCTTTAGCCTGACTTAAATACAATATAGTATGTATGCTCCTCACCAAATTCATTTCCCCCCCCACAAGGGTTAGAAAATCACATCAAATGAATATTATGTAAGAAACAACAAAACCAGAGATATTTTTATTACCAACATCATCAGGACCTTACCATCATCCTAAATTGCTCCAGCCTGGAAAATTTTAAGTCAAATATCCCTCCCTAACCACACGACAGCCTTACACTCAACCTACCTGTTCTGAAACCTTATCAGGGAATCAGATCCATAAGCCTTCCATTTTTCAGTGCTCTCCTATTTTCACTCCCACTCTATTTTAAGTTCTTTTCCACCCATCAACTCACTTTCTCATACCCAAATCTTCAGTTCTCTTGCCCCGATCCTTCTGTCACGTGTGTCCTATCAATTCTACTTTCTGACAGACACCTATCAGGATGCCCCAACTACAAAATTTTTTAAATTGTCCCAAACTGAACTCATCATCATCTCTCTCAATACTTGCTGCTTTTTCTGTGTTTAACGTTTCAACAAATGGTATCACAATTCATTCAAGTGACCTGGTCCAGAAATCCAGGAGTCACACTTCACTCTACCTTCTCTATGAAATCCTCACATCAGTCACCAAAACCAGAAGAAAACCAGTCAGGAAAACAGACGTTCTGCCAATGTACAGGCTTTAGTTAAAACTTCTCTACAAAACTGGATCACTTCCCCATCACAGCCTCATTCTTTTATCTAGACTTCCCAGAGGTCTCACCATACCTTCACTCAAATTTAAACTACCTAGATCAATGCTTCTCAAATTGTCTGTCATGGGGTTTTGTAAAATACAATACAAATGAATTATATGGTTGGTACAAAAGTAATTGCAGTTTTGGGCATTATGTTGGCAAAATTGCAATTACTTTTGCACCAACCTGATTCTAGGCAAACAAATCTTTTTTCTAGCCAGCTTATGCAAACCACAGAGGTAAATGGTGTTTTATAAAAGGCACACAAAAAGTACCGGCAGAATTTTATTATTACTTTATTCAAATGACCAAAAAATTAGTCAAATTGCTATATTTTCTAAATGCTTACTCTCAGTTACTATAGTTATCTAGTTGAGGACCAGAAACAAATGCACTTAACCAGACACAGCTGGCCCTCTCACCTCTAACTTGTGTTTTCTTGTTTCTATTAATTTGCTCATTATAATACTATTAACACAAAGTACAGCCTTGACCTAAGCCTTAACCTAAACTCTATTTTGTCAGAAAATTACTATGTGATTGGCTCACTTTTATAGTCAGTCAACAGAGCCCAAACTAAGCCACAGTCCTATTTTTTCTCTTTCCTTTATATTCCTCTCTCCATAAGGACTAGCTGATCTATAGTTTCTCTTTAATCCTTTCATCTCTAATAGATAACCCAGAAGCCTTTCTCTGTTGTTAAATAATCAGAATCCCCTTCTCTAACAATTCTGCCTCCTTAACACACAGAAAAGCAATAAAGTTCCACAATTTAAGATAATTTCAGAATGCCTTTACAATGAACAAAGTTCCATATAGAAACACTTCTTGATTGCTCTAATCCAGAACAGGGAATAAAGTTCAATTAGAATATAATCTCAATGCAGCATATACTTGCTATGGAATAAGCCTTCAGATACGGAGATGATACTAAGTAACATTAAAGTCACAGATTTACAGACAAACCCAAGATTCATCTGGTAAAGCAAAGCAATCTTCCATTAGTCATTTCTAATTTTATTTGTGCACTAATGGAAAGAAAACACTGATCTGAATGAAATCAATGATTAAATAAACAACTGTACTTACGTGTTAGATGAAAGATGCCATCACAGGCACTAATATGAGATAAAAAAGCATTCCCCAGGCCCTGCCCATTGTGAGCTCCTTTCACAAGGCCAGCAATATCCACCACATTTAGAAAGGCAGGAATTTTGCTGAAAAACAAAAGATGGCTTTATTATAAAACAGTACTAAAAACTTATCTATCAACCAAATGAATTCTCCAAACATTTCACATAAATTCTTTCCTTTCTAGAACAATGGAACAATAATGATTTGATAAATGAATATCCACCCCTCCCCCCAAAAAAAATTAGAAATGGCCTTGTAATACATTTGGACTTTCTTACCTAGGATAATAAGTGAGAAAACTAAAACAGAATAAATGTATTTATCGTGTTTCTGAAATTAAAACTCTTATCATTAATTTTACTATAAAGTTCTATTGGCACATGCACACACACTCAAAAGCGGTGAAGAATGTTTAGAGTATGCTGAGGTAATCATCATAAAATGAGCCAACTAACTTTGTGCCAGACACTAAATTAAGTATTCTACATGTATTATCTCACTTCAAAGTTCAAATCAACTCTATAAGATGGATGCTATTTATTAAGCCCACTTTACAGATAAGGAAATTATGCCTTAGAGGAGTTACGAAATCTATTGTATTCAAGATCACTCAGCCAGCAGTGACAAAACTGGGATTCAAACACAGGCTGTCTGGGTTTGCATTTGATCACCCACATGTTATATAGACAAAAAAAAAAAAAAAAAAAAAAAGCGTGTAATGCTGAGAACCAGTTATCAGCATAGTAATAACCTAGCTGTTGATAACAGCAACCAAATTAGGCTATATACAAAATAACCTTTGCTTTGCTAAATAAAGGCACATTTAACACCAGTTAAAAACCAAGTTAGGAAAATCAGTTTGCCATGTAAAAATGGAGATTTAAGTATATCAATAAATAAAAGCTACTTTTAATGTCATATGACAAAGGTATATATAATGTAATTGTGTATCCTTTGTCAATTTTCAAGAGCATTCATTTTTCAGAATGTCAATTTCACTACCTGATAAAATACAACATAAAAGTTCCACAAAAGACTTCCCTATTATTGGCATGGAAAATGAGTCCTTTCAAAACAATTATTCTATGAAGTATTACAGATTGAAATTACTTGATTATTGTTACCACCAAATCCACTAAAACCACATAAATGTGGTTAGTTTTTTGTTGTTGGACACAGTGACTGCCTCCCCAGCATCCACTGCCCCCTCTCGGTACCTATACGGATTTTCATTTTGGTAGCCATTCCTCTCCAGCAGAGCCCAGCGCTTTGGAGAAGCTTGCTCTACCCCTAACTCTAGAAGTGGGGCATGTAGCTCCGGCCTTCACTAAGCAGTTTAATCGCATTCCTAGGGAAAGTAAAACAATTCTAGGACCTTCACCTTGCCCTAATTGCCTCAAAGAACTTAAGAAGCCAGGCATGGTGGCATACATCTGTAGTCCCAAGTATTTGGGAGGCTGAGGCAGGAGGGAGGATGGCTTGAGCCCAGGAGTTCAAGTTCAGCCTGGGCAACATGGTGAGACTCCACCTCTTAAAAAACAAAAAAGACATGAAAAGACTTAAGAAGAGGTTTACTGGAGGGGGTGTAGGAGGCTGTTAAATAGAAGCTCATCAGTCTTCTGGGAGAACTTCTAGAAGCAATCCCGTTTCACTCTGAACATGGATGAGAAAGTACACAGATCTATCCTGTGACCACAAGGGGAAGACAACCTTATGGTCAAGTTGATAAAGTAAATTGAAGAGGGGAAAGAAGCCAGGCCTTTGATGATATCACTGAGCTAAACACTGTGCTACCTGTTACTAACTCAATAAATCAGCTCTTTAAGTCACTGTGTTAAGGGCAACTAAATTCATCCTAAATGATATTTCTAACAACTAAAACCACTCATATGATAAATATGAAGTTGATATAGTTTGGATGTTCTGTCACCTCCAAAACTTATGTTGAAATGTGATGCGTAATGGTGGAGGTGGGGCCTGGTGGGAGGCGTTTGGGTCACGGGGTGGATCCCTCATGAATGGCTTGGTGCCCTCTCCATAGTAATGAGTGAGTTCTCGCTCTGTTAGTTCACTGGAGAGCAGGTTGTTTAAAATGGTCTGGTGCCTGTCTCCACTCTCTCTTGCTCCCCCTGTCTCCATGTGACACACCCACTCCCCTTTTCATCTTCTGGCCATGAGTTAAAGCTGCCTCGTCCGGGTGCAGTGGCTCACGCCTGTAATCTCAGCACTTTGGAAGGCCAAGGTGGGTGGATCACCTAAGGTCAGGAGTTTGAGACCAGCCTGACCAACATGGAGAAACCCCATCTCTACTAAAAATACAAAATTAGAAGGGTGTGGTAGCACATGCCTGTAATCCCAGCTACTCAGGAGGCTGGGGCAGGAAATCACTTGAACCCAGGAGGCGGAGGTTGCAGTGAGCTGAGATCGCGCCATTGCACTCCAGCCTGGGCAACAATGGCGAAACTCCCTCTCAAAAAAAAAAGCTTTCTGAGGCCTCGCCAGAAGCCAAACAGATGCTGGTGCTGTGTTTATATGGCCTGCAGAACCATGAGCCAAATAAACCTATTTTCTTTATAAATTACCCAGCCTCAGGTAACCCTTTACAGCAATACAAAATGGACTAATGCAGAAGTACAGTAAGTAGCATGCATTTGGGTAGAATGGCCTAAATTTGAAGTGAGAAGCTTTGAGTTCTATTTCTGGTTGACATAACTATAAGTGTGACCATGAACAAATTATTTCATCTTTCTAGGCTTCACGTTTCTTTTTATGAGGAAACTAGACAGGAAGATATTCAGCTCTGAGATTCTATTTTCTATTGAAAATGAGCTTCTCGGCCGGGCGCGGTGGCTCACGCCTGTAATCCCAGCACTTTGGGAGGCCGAGGCGGGCGGATCACGAGGTCAAGAGATCGAGACCATCCCGGCTAAAACGGTGAAACCCCGTCTCTACTAAAAAAAAATACAAAAAAATTAGCCGGGCGTAGTGGCGGGCGCCTGTAGTCCCAGCTACTTGGGAGGCTGAGGCAGGAGAATGGCGTGAACCCGGGAGGCGGAGCTTGCAGTGAGCCGAGATCCCGCCACTGCACTCCAGCCTGGGCGACAGAGCGAGACTCCGTCTCAAAAAAAAAAAAAAAAAAAGAAAATGAGCTTCTCAATTCTGATTTGTGATTTATGGCTAGGATAAGGTTTAAACTATTAATACAATATCTCAAAAAATTAAAACTTGAGATTTAATTCAGGGATTTCTGATGTATTACACTAATGATCTCATGACTACTTGAACAAAATACTTCTAGAATAAAATACTACTTTAGAACTCTCGAGACTAAAATGATGTTAAAAATATTTTTAATCGCTATACTGTAATGAACACAGACTACCAAAAACATTTATTAATGTTCTTTTTTTTTTTGGCAGGAATTTCTTTTGTTCTTTTTTTGAGACAGTTTTGCTCTTGTTGCCCAGGCTGGAGTGTAATGGCGCCATCTTGGCTCACTGCAACCTCTGCCTGCCAAGTTCAAGCGATTCTCCTGCCTCAGCCTCCTGAGTAGCTGGGATTACAGCCATGGGCCACCACGTCCGGCTACTTTTGTATTTTTAGTAGAAATGGGGTTTCTCCATGTTAGTCAGGCTGGTCTTGAACTCTTGACCTCAGGTGATCTTCCCACCTCGGCCTCCCAAAGTGCTGGGATCACAGGCTTGAGCCACTGCACACGGCCTTATTAATGTTCTTCAATAGAAACAGGCTGGTGGGGCTCGGCACAAATTTGGGAGGCCAAGACAGGAGGATTACTTGAGCCCAGGAGTTCAAGCCAGCCTAGGCAACATGGCAAGACCTCATCTCTCCAAAAAATTTAAAAATTAGCCAGGCACAGTGGCATGTGCCTGTAGTCCCAGCTACTCAGGAGGCTGAGGTGAGAGAATCATTTGACCGTGCCCAGGAGTTTGAGGCTACAGTGAGCTGTGATCACACCACTGCACTCCAGCCTGGGCAACACAGTAAGATTCTGTCTTTAAAAAAAAAAAGAAAGAAAGAAAAGAAAGGCCAGGCACAGTAGTTCATGCCTGTAATCCCACCATTTTGGGAGGATGAGGCAGGAGGAATGCTTGAGGCCGACAGTTCAAGACCACCCTGGGGCAACACAGCAAGACCCCATCTCTATTTTAAAAAGAAAAGAAAAGGAAAAAATAAGATAAAACAACTGAACAAACACATGATCCTGGTTTAGATGCAACAAAGCATATTATTGGAACAACTGAAAAAATCTAAATAAAGTCTATGAATTAGATGGTAATATGGGGTCAGTGTTAATCCCATAGTAAACTACCCTGATTTTGATGTTTTACTATGGTTGTGTGGGAGGATATCTTTGTATTTAGTAAATACAAACTAAAGAACCGAAGTATAATATGGCACATGTCTACAACTTATTCTCAAAAGTTCTAAGAATCTGGGTATGCAAGGGTATATAAGCACTTGTGTACTTTTGCAGCTTTTATATAAATTTAAAATCATTTAAAAATAAAAAGGTTTTAGAAAGGACACTGAAGTCAGCCTGAAGAGCCAATCTGAGGGATATAATTTGAGCATCAAATCAATGTTTGTGACAGATTAAAACCAATAAAATAACACTCATCTGAATAAATACATGAATGAACAGATGAAGATGAGAAAGCTTTTCCTTACAGTACAATAGTAACAAATGAAGGAGGAATGATAGAATTACAAAATCACCATGTGAGAATCCTCATAGTAAAAATTAATTCATCAAAAAAATCAATGGATGCTACAACTAGTAAGTGAAAGTGAAAAAAGTGAATGAGTTCAGTATATACTTTGTAATTAGAACTCACAAAATTGCTGATAAGACTGGATACGGGGTGAGGGGAGAGAAGAATCAAAGATAAATGGTGGGCACTGATTTAAGCAACTGAGGAAATGACAGTGCTATTTATTGAGTTATGGCAGTCCTAAAGAAGAATTTGGTGCAAGAAGGTGAAATCAAGAGGTCATTTTGGACATATCAAGTCTAAGGCACCTATTCAGACCTCCAAGTGTCAATATCAAGGAGGCAGTTAGATATAGAAATCTGGAGTTCTGCAGAGTTCAGGACACCAGACAGAAACCTGGGATTTATCAGGACATTAAAAATAGTAAAATATTAAAAACAAATTATATTATCAATAATAAGCAAATGGTAAACTGTGCTACATTCATATAATATAGCAATAAATATAAGTATTATATTAGAAATTATTACTTAAGTCTGTATTGCTTAATCCAGAAAGATATTAATAATATCCCAAGTAAAACAAGTATTCTATTTCTGTAAGTAAGTGTGCACAAAGTCAGGAAATTATGGAAGGATATATCCCCAAAGTATTTACAACTGTTATATCAAGGTAGAGGAAGTAGAGGTGGTTTTCACCCCTCTCATTATATATTTCCCTACTGTCTGAACTTCCTACAATGAACTTAAACTATCTCACTTTTTCCTAATAAAACAGTTTTACTTATTTTTTTAATTGAAGACATAATACATGCTTATTGTAAAAAAATTCAAACATAGAGGAATATAAGAATAAAGTAAAAATCACCTAAAAATTCTACTACCCAGAGATAATCATCAGTCTATGATCATTTCATACATTTTTTATGCATATAAACAAACACATTTAGTTTTACATGAACGAGATCATATAATACAGACTAATTACTCCATTTTATACTCCCCAGAAAAAAATAATTGCAATGTTAACAACTGGGTATACCCTTCTACACCCTTCTCCATACTCTGCATTACTTTTTTCTTTTTGAGACGGAGTCTTGCTCTGTTGCCCAGGCTGAAGTGCAGTGGCGTAACTTGGCTCACTGCAACCTCCACCTCCTGGGTTCAAGCAATTCTCCTGCCTCAGCCTCCCAAGTAGCTGGGATTACAGGCACCTGCCACCACACCCAGCTAAATTTTGTATTTTTAGTAGACAGTGGTTTCACCATGTTGGCCAGGCTGGTCTCAAACTCCTAACCTTGTGATCTGCCCTCCTGGGCCTCCCAAAGTGCTGAGATTACAGGTGTGAGCCACCGCACCCAGCCCTCTGCATGACTTTTATAATCACCCAAAACAATAATGCTACATTAATTTTAAAAGAAAAACTCTTCTATATGACTTTAAACATCTGCCCAATCTACACAAAATCACCAAATAAATAGCATAAAATATCTCTTACCTTGCTGGTTTGTGGTATTGACAAAGAAAGTCAAACCTTTCATCTGGCACAGGTACTCTGCTCTCATTAGGATCAATAGTGCAGAACGGGAAGTTTTCTGCTGAAGCCTGACTATTGGTTAACACATTGAAGAAAGTAGATTTCCTAAAACAAATAAAAGCAATTTCAATCAATTCTTAGGTTAACACCAAGAAAAATTTATCTCACTCTAATTTCAATGCTCAAATAAGATCCATGAGGAATATAAAACCAATCTACAAAGAGAGGGAAAAAGGAACAATACATTTTTTACTAACAGAAGTGAATGAAATTTACAACAGTAAAGCGGCAGCTCATGACTTATAATTAGGTTATTTCCCCATCACAGTCTATTTGAAACTTGAAAAGCATGTTCTCAAAGAATCTTTGTTATAAGTTAGAGTTTCATGTCATACTACAAAATCTATTTTTTTTCCATAATATACCTGATCGTACCAGCATCACTTCATCCATACCTAACAAAACCTTCTCTAGCATGAAATGTAGAAGTCATGTCTCTAGTTAAGTCAATGACTTTCCAAAAACTCTGAATTGGGAAAGAGATGCTAAATGTCTGGTATCTGATAGGAAATGGGAGGTTGGCACTCAGAACTGCCTTCTAATCATTAGTATGTAAGGATTACTGGTAAGTCTAGAATTGTGAATTATGAAAGTCAAAATGTGAATTTTATTCAAGGTATGACTTAAATCAAGAAAATATAATATCTATTAATATGGAATAAACTAGTCACTACTTTTCTAATCATTTGACTGCTATCAAGTAATACGTGCTCAGAGAAAGCCCACTCACGTTAACATTTTTAAAAAATGTGATAACACTTTATCATTCATGTCTTAAAAAATGAAAAAAGAAATAAAATTTTAAAAATAAAAAATAAAATATGATAATACGGTGCCAAATATCATACAGAGTAAAATCCAAAACAAAATTTTAAACTCACAGTGGCCATCTTTTAAGAATGCTAGGTGATTAACTCTTTGAAGACTGTTAAAGTGGTTACCGTGTCTTTCCTATAGAAACTGTACTTTCAGAATAACCAATAGTTATGAAAAGAAAATTACTTTATAGACATATTCCAGCCAATAAATGAGGAAAGAATAAAAACTTAGAATAGCACCATTCTGCATCCCCTAACAAATTAATGGATCTTGGTAATAATTACCAATGACAGTTAGTGCTGCAAAAACAGGAGAAAAAAATAGTACCTCCTGAAAGAAGTATATACATCATCTGTCATCTTAATCTGACCAACACTTTACATGTTACTGCTAGTTTACAGGAAATATAGAGGACAGAAGAACATATTAAATGATACCATGGGGATAAAGTCAATAAAATCCAGACTCTGGAAAATTTTATAAGACTAAAAACCAGATTTCTTCAACAGGTCATCTGGGGGCTGGAAGTAAGTGAGAAACTTCTCCTTCTGGATGAGATGTAGAAGCTAACAGCAGTCCAACAATCCCAACCAGAACTAGAAAAGCCATCTAAAATGCAGGATACAGAAGGCATCTGTTTGAAGGGTCTGGGATTCTGAAAATGAAAACAAAAAATTTGGAAGAAGTGATTTGACCTCTACAGCCACTTTTACCCTGGGGACCTGTGCCCATTCTGGGCAAAAGAAGGATGCAAGGATCCAGACTTTATACACATAGAAAGCTGATGCTGAAGGAGAAAGAAACCAGCAAAACATTTGGAGGAAACTTGGAGAACCTCAGGCACACCACCAGTTTTCCCACTGGGGATATTTTCCTCAAGAGAAAACTACAAAAGCCTACTCAAGTAATTGGTAACACAGACTGGCCCACTCTCCATTCCTTCTTCCCCTCTCCATGAAAAAATTTAAAATAAAGAGTGATAGTTAAGTTGCCAGAACAGTCCAGGAATCCTTATTTATCTAAAATGTAATGAAAATATTGTATACCTACAATGGAAATATTGCAGAATAATGTTGTAATAAAAGTACTTAAGACAAAATTTAAATCTATTAATTTAAACATTTATAGGACACTTGGGCCTAACGTTATGAAGACAAAATAAAATGCTATTGCATTTTCGTATACTGTAGTTTAAAAACTGCTCATTACTATTACCACAGTCAGCTGCAATTCTAAAAAGGCCATAGGTTGTTTATGGAGTTTTTTTCAAATTTATGGCGATTACTGTGTACAGTATTTTATATCGTCTACCTGGACAAAAATAAGTATGTTTTGTGATTTTTTAAAATGTATCCCTTAAAACATATTATATGGTAAAACATAGCAAAAGAAAATTCCTTAGGCAGAAAAAATTCTTACATACATTCAAACTAAACTTAGAAGACAAATATCCATATTCACAGACTGTCTCATTTTAGATGAATATTAAATGTCGTGAAACCCAAGTCATCTGTAGCTTCTAACAGCTTTGCAGGTATAAAAAAAGTAAAAAGAAATAAGGAAGAAGGAAAAAGAAAAATTTCTAAGGATCATTACTATAGGCTTCAGTGGCAACTAAAGACATTTTGATCTATTCAAATCTATTAAGAAAAGCCTCGCGAAAGCAAAGAATTTGAAAGTTTTGGCCTATGCCTGAAGTGTTAAAGCCCATATGCTTTTTGTAAAATGAGAACTTTTTAAACACACACACACGCACCCCTAGATCCCTTGAGGTTAATATTAAAGCTTAAAAGCAGGAGAAAGATTCAAAGTTGTAGGAATTTCTCTCATGCAAGAATGGGTTTACATAACTTATTTCAGCAATGATAGATAGCATTAAAAGAAAAAAAACACAGTGACTAGACTAAATGTATGCCCCCTAGACTTAGGACCTACATACTTTATTTTGGAAATTACTATTTTACTCTGTTAAGTCAATCTGACTGAATAGATGTTTTATGTAAAACTTTACACAAAATTGCAGCATGTAATGGGAAGTAGGGATACCAGTGCAAATTCCCACAGCATTCTGAATTAACTATTTATATATAATATCCATCCAAAACATGGGAAAAGAAGTAGAAAGTTCTTTCAAAATGTTTTCAATTAGATATAACTAAACTGTTAAAAGCATCTATCTGATAGATACACAAATACGTAAGATGACAGAAATAAATGCCAATCCATGTATACATGGGTGAGTATAATTACATATTTTCTACTTCCATCGGAGAAGAAGGCCTAAAAACAGCAACACTTCAGCAGCAATGATCACACCTAGAGAAATGTCTGTTCTCAACAGATTATTTCTCCAAAGAGACACAAATGGCTAAAAAAATATGAAAAGATGCTCAACCACTAATCACTAGAGAAATGCAAATCAAAACCACAATGAGATATAACCTTACAATTATTAGGATGGCCACTATCAAAAAAACAAGATGATAAGTGTTGGCAAGAGTACAGAGAAATTAGAACTCCGTGCACTGCTGGTAGGAATGTAAAGTGGTATAGACGCTACGGAAAACAGTTTGAGGTTCCTCAAAAAAGTAAAAATAGAATTACCATACGATCCAGCAATCTCACTTCTGGGTATATATCCAAAAGAGTTGAAAGCAGGATCTCAAAGAGATATTTACAAACCCATGTTCATTGATGCATTATTCATAATAGCCAAGAGGTAGAACCAAATGTCCATCAACAGATGAATGGATAAAGAAAATGTTATCTACATATGATAGAACATTACTCAGCCCTTAAAAAGAAGGAAATCCTGTCACATGCTACAACATGAATAAACTTTAAGGACACTATGCTGAGTAAAATAAGCTAGTCGCAAAAGTATAAACACTTTATGATTCCACTTATATTCATATACTCAAATATGAATATACTTATATGAGATATCTAGAGTAGTCAAAATCATGGAAACAGTAGAATGGTGGTTTCCAGGGGCTGGGGGGAAAGAGAAATGGGAAGTTGTTCAATGGGTATACAGTTTCAGTTACGCAAGATGAAAAAGTTCTAGAGATCTGTTATACAACAATGAATACAGTTAACACAATTGAACTGCACATTAAAAAACGATTAAGATGGTAAATTGTATAATATATTACATTTTTTATTTTGAGACAGAATCTCACTCTGTCACCCGGCTAGAGTGCAGTGTCACGATCTCGGCTTACTGCAACCTCCGCCTCCTGGGTTCAAGCGATTCTCATGCCTCAGCCTCCAGAGTAGCTGGGACTACAGGTGCATGACACCACGGCCAGCTAATTTTTTGTACTTTTAGTAGAGATGGGGTTTTGCCATGTTGGCCAGGTTGGCCTTGAACTCCTGAACTCAAGTGATCCTCCTGCCTCAGCCTCCCAAAGTGCTAGGATTATAGGCGTGAGCCACTGTGCGTGGCCATATATTATGTGTTTATTACCATAATTTCTTTAAAAAGTATCAAACTCAAATGGATAAATATTATACAAAATACCTAACCAGTACTCTTCAAAAATAAATCTTTGAAGGTCAGGAAAAATAAAACATTCAGAAACTGTCAAAGATTGGAGGAGATAGGAGACATGAAGACTAAAACACAACATGGTATTCAACACTGGAAAAGACAAAGGACATTAGTGGGAAAACTGGTGAAATCCAAATAAAGTCTGTGGTTTAGTAAAGCAAATACAGTTAACCCTTGAACAACACTGGTTTGAAATGCATGTTCAAAGTGCATGTGTCCACTTATACACAGATTATTTTCAATAAAATTTACACTGAATGTGCCTGCCCCTCCTTCCTCTCCTTCCACTTCCTCTCTATCTTCTGCCTCTGCCACCTGAGACAGCAAGACCAAACCCTCCACCTCCTTCTCCTCCTCAACCCACTCAACATGAAGACAACAAAGACCTTTATGATGATCCACTTTCACTTAGTGAATAGTAGCTACGTTTTCTCTTCCTTATGATTTTCTTAATAACATTATTTTCTCTAGCTTAGTTTATTGTAAGAATATAGTATAGAATAATACAACATACAAAATATAGCTTAATCAACTGTTTATGTTATTGGTAAGGCTTCCAGTCAATAGTTGGTTATTAGTAGTTAAGTTTTGGGGGAATCAAAAATTACACACAAATCTTTGACTGGGCCAGGGGTCAGTGCTCCTAATCCCCGAGCTGTTCAAGGGTCAACTGTAATTTCTTTTTTAACTTTCTTATTTTTTGGAGATAGGGTCTCACTTTATTGCCCAGGCTGGAGAGCAGTGGCATGAACATGGCTCACTGCAGCCTTGACCTCCCAGGATCAAGAGATCCTCCCGCTTCAGCCTCTCAAGCAGCTGGGACTACACGTGCGTACCACCACCCCTGGCTAATATCTGTATTTTTTGTAGAGACAGGGTTTCACCCTGTTGCACAGGCTGGTCTTCATCTCCTAAACTCAAGCAATCTGCCAGCTTCAGCCTCGTAAAGTGCTGGGATTATGGGTATGAGTCACCATGCCCAGCCCTCAACTGTACCTTAAGGAGAAAAAAAAAAATTATTTGAAATTATGTGGTGATACAGCAATACAGACTAGATTAGAATTCTGAAAAAGAAACTCATTTAAAATTTTAAAACTAGGCGGGGCATGGTAGCCCAAGCCTGTAATCCCAGCATTTTGGAAGGCAGAGGCGGGCAGATCACTTGAGGTCAGGAGTTTAAGACCAACCTGGTCAGTATGATGAAAGCCCATCTCTACTAAAAATACAAAAATTAGCCAGGCATGGTGGCACATGCCTGTAATCGCAGCTACGTGGGAGGCTGCGGTAGGAGAATTGCTTGAACCCAGGAGGCAGAGGTTGCAGTGAGTGGAGATCGCACCACTGCACTCCAGCCCGGGCAACAGAGCGAGACTTTGTCTTGGGAAAAAAATAAATAAATAAAACGTAAAACCCATTAATCTATGAAGTACCTCTAAGGCACACAGTTACTGCTGAATACTAGGAAAGAGTGATTAGGAAAACAGATCTGTTATTCAAAAAGATCATTCAGAACATATTAAAAAGAGAAAGTAAATAAGTCCCAAATCATAGATTTCTATGAAAGAACAGGCATTCTGGAATATTGACAAGCAGACAGTAAGATTTAAATTCATTTAAAATGGTTTTGGGGAGTTTTGCTTCCCCTCTGCTACAAGAACTGCCCTCCTGCTACAAAGAGCTAGAAAACCAGACAAAAATCTATGAAATAATAGTTTTCACACAAAGGACAATATGCATCACAGGACTGTGTTCCCTGAGAGAAGAATAACAAATAAACTAAGCTCTACAATTGCTCCAGCTTACTGCCTACTGATGCTTTCAAAGTCACCATTCCAAGAGGGGAAACCAACAGAACCCAGTAGTCACACCAAGTTGAAGAGACTAAGATGAGAGTTAGGAGGCCAAGGCAGCTAGAATTTATGGGAGAGTATACTAGAAAGGTGGGAGCTGCACAGAGAAAACGCTCTGAAGAGCTGCAGAGGGTCCCCTCAAGAACGCAGCTAAGTAATGATTTGCGCATGAGTAAATTCAATCACTACAAGTCCAGGGAAAGAACCACCCAAACAGAGTAGGATGAACAGTTCTCAGGGCTCACATGGAGATTGGAACAGTTCACATTCCTATGAGCCACAGTGGAGAGATCCTGTAATACAAGGGAATTTGGATAGAGTCCTCAAAAGGGTCAAGTCTTAGTACTAGGGCTTAAGTAGCACCAGAGCACAAAATCATATTAATCCATCATAAGAAGACTCAAAACAATTAATCTGATACATAAATAACTAAATGCCATACCGAGGTCCAACACTCTTTAAAGGAAAACAACAATATTTAGCATTTAACATAAAATCCACAGTGTATAGAATCCAATAAAAATTATAAGACATGCAAAAAAGCAGAAATATATATACCAAAATCAGGATAAAAGTCAGTAAATACAAATATAGTAATGAGAGATGAAGTAGCATAAAAGGACCTTAAAATAAATGTTACAAATCTTTTAAAATTTTTCTTAAGGATATAAAAGCTAATATAAAGACAGTGAGGAAGAAAATGAAACACATAATATCCAAATAAAATTATTGTTAAAAAGATACAATATTTGAAATAAAATGAAATTGAAATGAAAAATACACTGGACATGATTAACAGAAGATTGGACACTGCAAGCAAAAGACCTTGAAGACAGCAATAAAAGTATCCAAATGAAGCACAAAGAGAGAAAAAGACTGGAGAAAGAAATAACCAGAGCTTCAGCAGGATACTATCTAGGGAAGAACATGCATTTACAGCCATACATCGCTTAATGATGGAGATACATTCTGAGAAATGGGTCCTTAGGCAATTTCATCATCGTGCGAACATTACAGAGTATATTTACACAAACCTAGATGGTACAGCCTACTACACACCTAGGCTATATGGGATAGCCTATTGCTTCTAGGCTAAACCTGTACAGCATGTTACTGTACTGAACACTGTAGACAAATGTAACACAATGGCAGGTACTATATATCTAAACATAGAAAAGGAACAGTAAAAATACATATAAAAGTGAAATAGGACGCTTACCATGAGTGGAGCTTGCAGGCCTGGAAGGTGCTCTGGGTGAGTCAATGAGTGATGGTGAGTGAATGTGAGGGCCTAGGACATTACTGCACACTACTGTAGACTTTATGAACATTGTACATTCAGGATACACTAAAATTATTTTTTAATATTTTTCTTTCTTCAATAAATTAGCCTTAGCTTACCAATACTTTTTACTTTATCAACTTTAATTTTAACTTACTGACTCTTTTGTAATAACACTTAGCTTAAAATACAAATACACTGTATAGCTGTACAAAAATATTTTTTCTTTATATCCTTATTCCATATGCTTTTTTATATCTTTAAAATGTGTGCTTTTTTTAAAAACTTTTTTGTTAAACACCGAGACATAAACACATACATTAACCCAGGCCTACATGGAGTCTGATCATGAATATCACTGTCTTCCACCTACACATTTTGTCCCACAGGAAGGTTTTCAGGGGCAATAACACACATGGAGCTGTCATCTCCTATGATAACAATGCTTCCTTCTGGAATACCTCCTGAAGGAACTGCCAACGGCTGTTTTACAGTTACTTTTTTTTTTTATAAGTAGAAAGAGTACACTCTAAAGTAACCATAAAAATTACAGTATAGGCTGGGCATGGAGGCTAATGCCTGTAATCCCAGCACAAAGAGACTGAGGCAAAGAGATCGCTTGAAGCCAGGAGTTCAAGACCAGCCTAGGCAACACAGGAAGTCCCCATCTCTACAAAAATATATCTTTTTAATTACTCAGGTGGGGTGGCGTGTGCCTGTAGTCACAGCTATACTCAGGTGGCTGAGGCAGGAGGATTGCTTGAGCCCAGGAGCTCTAGGCTGCAGTAAGCTATGATCAGGCAACTACACTCCAGCCTGGGCAATGGAGCAAGACTCTGTCTCAAAAAACAAACAAACAAAAATTAACTATAGTAAATACATAAGCCAGTAACTGTCATTTATTATCAAGTATTACGTACTGTACATAATTGTATATGCTATACTTTTATATGACTGGCAGCACAGGCTTGTTTACACTAGCATCACCACAAACGTGAGTAATGCCTTGCACTATGAAATTACCACAACTACAGTATCACCAGGTGATAGAAAATTTTCACCTCCATTATAATCTCATGGGACCTCCGTCATATATGCAGTCAGTCATTGACCAACATCATTATGCAGCACTTGTCTGTAATAGGCATCCCAGAAAGGGAATAAAGTAGAAGATTATCTTCAAAGCACTAGAAGAATAACTGTTAACCTAGAATTCTACCCAGTGAAAATATCTTTCAAAATGAAGAAGTGATAAGCACATGAAAAGATGTCAATATTCTTAGCCATCAAGAAAACACCAATTGGCCAGCCACGGTGGCTCATACCTGTAATCCCAGCACTTTGGGAGGCGGAGGCAGGCGGATCACCTGAGGTCAGGAGTTTGAGACCAGCCTGGGTCAACATGGTGAAATCCTGGCTCTATTAAAAATACAAAAATTACCTGGTGGTGGCGCATGCCTATAATCCCTGTTACTTAGGAGGCTGAGGCAGGAGAATCACTTGAACCCAGGAGGTGGAGGCTGCAGTGAGCCAAGACTGTGCCACAGAACTCCAGCCTGGGCAACAGAGTGAGACTCTATGTCCAAAAAAAAAAAAAAAAAAAGAGAAAAAACACCAATCAAAAACTTCACAACTTGGCTATAATCAAAAAGATAACAACAAATGTTGACAAGGATGTGAAATATTGGAACCCACATACACCACCTGTGCGCACATAAAATGGTGCAGCCACTTTGGAAAACAGTTTGGCAGTCCTCAATAGTTAAATATACAGTCACATGTGACCCAGAAATTCTACTTCTAAATATATACCTAAGAGAAATAAAATCATATATCTAAATAAAAATTTATGTATCCTAAGGCTGAAGCAGACAGAGTACAAATAACATATTGTACTGAAATATAAAATATGTTGTATATAACTGAAAGATACTGTGGTGTCAGAAAGTAGAAAGCACTCAAAAAATAAAGAGGACATGTCAAAAGGAATATAAGTGAACATAAAGGCTCCTAATCACCAAATATGGGCAATTAGAGTGACAAAATAACAACAGTAATGGATTATAACCAAAAGAATAAATTAAGAATCTATACTGATATAAATAAATTATAATCAAATACATGAATAAATGGGAAACTCTTTTGTACAATAGGATTTTACACAATAGAAGTTCCATTGTTCCTTCTACAAATTGTTTCTTCTAAATGTAGAAGAAATAAGGGATATTTTTTAATCACCATTTGGCAAACACCACAATAATAACTGTTTCAGTAAGAATCAATAACACATGCCAAAATTAGGGGGCAAAAGTATGAGAAACAATATATGTACAAAATTTCAAAGGACCCCCTACAAGATGCTTATTAATTGCAATGGGAAAAATAACCCTTTCAGTGAAGAAATCTGTCAGATACCAACGAGCAATCAAAGTTAATATCACCAAAAATGGACAAATCAACATCATGTGCTTTCTAATACACTGTATTGAAAAGCATATGTCACTTATGTGCTCAAAAGTACATAACTTGAAATTAATTATGAGGAAACATCAGACAAACCCCAAATGAGAGCTGTACATAATAACTGGCCAGTACTCTTCAAAAGTGTCAAGGATATCAAACACAAAAAGAGACTGAGAATGTGTTCCAGGTTAAAGGAAACTAAGGAAACAAAACACTTAAATGCAGCTGGGCACAGTGGCTCATGCATATAATCCCAGCACTTGGAAGGACGAGGTGGGAGGATCACTTGAGGCCAGGAGTTTGAGACCAGCCTGGGCAACATAGTGAGAACCCATCTCTACAAAAAAAAAAAAAAAAAAAAAAGTTAAAAATTAGCCTGACATAATAAAATGTGCCTGCAGTCCCAGCTATTCAGGTGGCTGAGGTGGAAGCATCACTTGAGCCCAGGAATTTGAGGCTGCAGTGAGCTATGATCAGGCCAAGGTACTCCAGCCTGGATGACAGAGCGAGACTCTATCTCAAAAAAAAAACAAAAAACAATTAAATGCAACATACAATTATGGATTGAATCTTGGACCAAAAAAAGGACATTAGAGGGACAATTAGTAAATCAATGTTTATTTCCTGATTTTGATCATTGTATTATAGTTATAAAGATTTTAACACTTAGGGGATCCAAGCAGAGGTTAAATAGGAATTTTTAAAACTATTTTTGCAACTGTGAGTTTTTTTAAGCATGAAATTATTTCAAAAGAAATTTTTTTTCCATATGGGTCTTACTATATTGTCCAGGCTAGAGTGTAGTGGCTATTCAGAGATCTCACTACCCATCAGGACAGGAGTTTTGATCTGCTCTGTTTTTGACCTGGACCAGTTCACCCTCCTTAGACAACCTAGTGATCCTCCACTCCTGATAGGTCACCATATTGATGCTGAACTTAGTGCTGACACTGGATCACCACTGTGGGTGGCGTTGCAGACACCCAATCAGCATAGCACAACACAGCCCAGAACTCCTGGGCTCAAGGTATCCTCCTACCTCAACCTCCTGAGTAGCTGAGACTACATGTGGGCACCACTGAGACCAGCTCAAATTTTTTTTTAATTTAATCTTAAGTGAAAAGTCAAGCAAACTGGCAAGAGATCATTGTAATACATATCCAACAAAGAACTCATATCCAGAATAAAAAACTAATCATTAAGAAAAAAAAAGACTTTTTACATAAGATATCCAATAACATATGGAAAGATGCTCAAAATCACAAGCCATCAAGAGATATCTCTGATATCCATAGATACCTGTCTTCTCGGTAGACATGGGAATCTGACTCTTAGCTTAATTTTATCAGCTCTTTAGAATGAAAATACTCAGATCATCAGTATTTGCAGCCTAGAGAATAATTTTCCTCCTGTGAGTTCCTTTGAGCAATCAAGAATGGAGCTTCTAAAACACAAGTGAGCTAAGAATCAACTAGGCAGACTTCTAGGAACACATAGACATCACATATTTTGTATCAGGAAAATAGTGGACTGCAGTGGATTGAAGATGGCCACACATTTTTTGTCACTCCTCCCATCAAGAGGTAGAGTCTATTTCCCCTCTCCCCATGTCTCTGGGCTGGTGTCATGACTTGCCTTGACCAAAAGATTTCTGTGTAAGTTTGCTATGCCACTGCCACACCTCCATTCTCTCGAGAGCCAGACGCCAAGATATAAGGAAGCTTGGTCTAGAGACCACTTAGAAAGAGAATGAGGCCAAGTATAAGAGAAGTGCCCCAGACTTCCAGTCAATCCAGCTAAGGCCCCAGATCTGTTAAAATGGCCATCTTGGATCTTTCAGTCTCAACTAGCCACCAGCTGAATGCAGTCACATGAGGGATCCCAATGAGACTGGCAGAAGACCTTTCTAACTCACTACATTCCCGACGAACAAAAATTGTTACTATTTTAAACCATGAACTTTTGGAATGGTTTGCTACACATCAACAGATAACTATACAATGGTGATAATTCTCTTGTGATTTTTTCTTTTTTTTAGCATTTTCTACAACCTTTTCCCTCAGCAATGGTAAATGGCTTTCACAGACGCTGTGATTGGTCTGCAGAAATTTGGGAGAAGGCAATTTGCAGGGACACCAAAATGCATTCCCAGAAGGATCAGCTAAACAAGACAATTACTCTCCTGGGGCAGTTTGTGAGTGTTTGAACACAGTATACTAGTTGCCCATAATATCCATTTTCCCCTTCTTTCAGAGTAATCGTTTTTTGTTTTTTCTTTTTAAGACAGAGTCGCACTCTGTGGCCCAGGTTGGAGTGCAGTGGCACAATCTTGGTTCACTGCAACCTCTGCCTCCCAGGTTCAAGCCATTCTCCTGCCTCGGCCTCCCGAGTAGCTGGGATTAGAGGCGTGCGCCACCACACCCAGGTAATTTTTGTATTTTTAGTAGACATGGGGTTTCACCATGTTGGCCAGCCTGTTCTCAAACTCCTGACCTCAAGTGATCCGCTTGCCTCAGCCTCCCAAAGTGCTGGGATTACAGGCGTGAGCCTCTGCACCCAGCCAAGAGTAACAGAATTTTTAACCAAACATGTGGCTGTCAAAATAAAGACTACATTTCCTTGCCTTCCTTGCAACTAAATTCTTGTGACTAAATTCTGGACAAAGGGATGTTGGCAGAAGTATGGTATGGCAGTTTACAGGAAAAAGGCTGCTAGTCAAGTTTGGCCCCCTGACCCTTCGGATAACCAGCTGCCTGGAATTCACAACACCTTAGACCAGCAGCCGCCAACCTTTTTGGCACCAGGGACTGGACCGTGAATTGGCTGATGGAAGCCAATTTTTCCACGGACCAAGGGTGTGGGGGATGGTTTCAGGATGAAACTGCCCCATTTTAGATCATCAGGCATTAGTTCGATTCTCATAAGGAGCGTGCAACCTAGATCTCTTGCATGCGCAGTTCACAACAGGGCCTGCGCTCCTCTGAGAATCGAATGCTGCTGCTGACCTGACCGGAGGTGGAGCTAAGGTGGGAATGCTCACTCGCCTGCTGCTCGCCTCCTGCCATGCAGCCTGGTTCTTCACACGCCACAGATCGGTACCAGTCCCCAGCATGAGGTTCGGGAACCCTAGCTCTAGACCATGAGGATGAGGCCACATCCTAGGGATTGCCAAGCTGTGAAGTGAAAGGAGCATGGGTTCCTGAGGACTTCATAAAGCAGGTCCACTATACCAAGCTATGACTGCAAAATGTACATTTTTACATGAAGAAAAAAAACTGGTTATCTGGGGTTTTCTGATGCTCTTAATTGAACCTAATCCCATCTGATGCAGTGGATAGCAACAAGAAGAGCTATCCCTCACAGAAATAAAGAAGTTTGGAACACTGTATCAAAACGTACTTTCGCCCCCAATATTCTCTAAGCCTCACAACCACAATAATACACTGCTCCAACAGGAGCTCATTTATAAAGGGTCACTCAGGTAAGAAAAAGCAGTACAGAACTAGAAACCAAATCTCCATATTCTTTCTACTTCATTAAAAGAGGTCATTTAATTGCCCAGCACGGTGGCTCACACCTGTAATTCCAGCAGGCGTGAGCCACCACACGGGGCAAGGAGACAGGCTTTTTTGTGTTTTTGTTGTTTTTTTTTTCAGATGGAGTCTCGCTCTGTCACCCAGGCTAGAGTGCAGTGGCGCGATCTCAGCTCACTGATACCTCCGCCTCCCAGGTTGAAGCAATTCTCCTGCCTCAGCCTCCTGAGTAGCTGGGATTACAGGGGCGTGCCACCACACCTGGCTAATTTTTGTATTTTTAGTAGAGATGGGGTTTCACCACGCTGGTCAGGCTGTGAAACCAGCCTCAGGGCAGCATGGTGAAACTCCATCTACAAACAATACAAAAATTAACCAGGCACGGTGTTTTGTGTGCCTGCAGTTCCAGCTATTCAGGAGGCTGAGGAGTAGGGACTGCTTGAGCCCGGGAGATTTAGGCTGCAGTGAGCCATGATCATGCCACCGCACTCCAGCCTGGGCAAGAGAATAAAATCTTGTTCAAAAAACAAAAACATGTCTCCTTATCACTAAATCTACATCCAGCCGTCAAAGGGGAAATATGTATCCCATTAACAAATAATTACTAAATATCTACTATGTTCCTAACACCATCGTGTCCCGTTAACAAATAATTACTAAATATCTACTATGTTTCTAACACCAGTCTAGGCACTAGAAATATACCAATAAGCAAGAACGAGACAATCGGTACCTTCCTACCTTCACAGAATTTAAATTGCAATGGAGGGGAATGTCAAACCACTTATTAAATTAGATAATATATATAAAGTACTCAAAATAGCGATTGGCATATAGTAAATGTTCAATATCTGATTAGCTATAAATATTACCTCTAAGTTTCTGGGTCATCAGCCTTATGCAGACTAAAAAGTAAGCCTTCCTATTCACCCAGCTAAAAACCAAGAGATTCTCTAGATGGTTTTGTACTGAATGTCCTTACTTTTGATCAGCAGGCCATCCTTTAGAGAACCGTCTCCCTCCCACAATCTATATCTTGTAGATCTATACAGAAGCACACAAGTCCGGTCGGATTTCCTTACTCAGGAATTGGAATTACAGGAGAGACAGGAAATGAGAAACACCCAGAAATCCAGGGATTCACATGGCTGAGCTCCACATGGACCCATTTCTGCCAGCACCACTTGGCTCTTATCCCTCTTGAGGCCTGGCTGTTCAGATTGTAATTCACTTATTCCAATAAACCTCTTTTTCCTGCTGAAAACAGCCAGAATTGTGTTGCTTACAAAGAATCCTACCTGATACAGTTGTGTGAAGTAAGATCATTCTACAAAAAGTAGTGTTTACAACCAAATACAATTGCCGAAACTCATTAAACTGTACCTTTAAAATGAGTGAATTTTACTATTTGTGAAGTATACCTCAATGACACTGGGAGGGGAAAGCATTTTATTTAAAAGTGTAAACAGCACACACACTTATTCTGAATAATAAAATATTTTTAGGTTACTTCCACGTACATTAATTTCATTATGCTCTATGACTAAAAAGCTATGGTCGTCCCTCCATAGCTGCAGGGGATTGGTTCTAAGATTCCAGCAGATTGAGTCCCTTATATACAATGGTGTAGTATAATACCTAATGCAATGTAAATGATAGGTAAATAGTTGTTTACTATTTTTTTTACTGTTATATTCTCATTTTTTATTTAATTAAAAAAAAATTTTTTTTTTTTGAGACGGAGTCTCGCTCTGTCACCCAGGCTGGGGTGCAGTGGCGGGACCTTGGCTCACTGCAACCTCCACCCCCCGGGCTCAAGCTGTTTCTCCTGCCCCAGCCTCCCGAGTATCTGGAATTACAGGCTCCTGCCACCATGTCCGGCTAATTTTTGTTGTGTTTTTTTAAAGTAGAGATGGGGTTTCGCCATGTTGGCCAGGCTGGTTTCAAGCTCCTGACCTCAAGTGATCCACCCACCTCGGCCTCCCAAAGTGCTGAGATTACAGGCATGAATCACCATGCCCAGCCAATTTTTTAAAAAAATATTTTTGATTTGAGATTGGTTGAATCCAAGGATGTGAAACCACAGATACAGAGGGTTGCCTATATGTACAGAAAACACTTAATATGGCCCATTTTAATATAGTCCCATTTAAAATCAAGTTGTAGTAACTGCAACAATTCTAGAATGAGAAGTATGTCAATATCTCAAAACTTAACTTCCTTACTAGTGCAATAAAGCTCACAACATAAATAATGATCATAGCTTGCTTTCACGTTTATTGATAGCACCCTACAGTATTTTGATTAATTATTTGTTTTGCTTACATTTCAACTCTCTACTTAGTCTTACTCTGCAAGCAGACTATATCACAGCAGGAAACCCCTTCAAAATGAAAACCTCTTCAAGCTCCAGGAAAGACTGAAATCAGGACAGCCACACTTGCTCATGTTTTACATTACATGAATTTAAGACATGCCTCACTTGGTCACGCCATGCTCTGTTCATTGAGGAATCTCTATGACAGGAGCTCCTCGGAATACCTAAGAACATGATTGTCCTACTTGCCACCAATCTAAAAGGCCACCCTTGATCACTTTCACAAATCCACACTGAATCTGCTACCTATTAGTACACCCTAATCACTTTTGAGATGTTTTATATTTTAAGGTTAGTGAAAGGATAAATAATGAAAAAGGAACACTTGGACCCAGTGCAGTGGCTCACACCTGTAATCCCAGCACTTTGGGAAGCCAAGGCAGGCAGATCACCTGAGGTCAGGAGTTCAACACCAGCCTGGCCAACATGGTAAAACCCCGTCTCTACTAAAAATAGAAAAATTAGCCGGGCGTGGTGGCACATGCCTGTAATCCCAGCTACCCGGGAGGCAGAGGCAGGATAATTGCTGGAACCTGGGAGGCAGAGGCTGCAGTGAGCTGAGATCACGTCACTGCACTCCAGCCTGGGCAAAAGAGCAAGACTCCATCTCAAAAAAAAAGAAGACTTTGAACACTTAAGTTGCGTGTGTATAGAGTTATGATAAACCCCACATATATTTCCTATCACTCTCTTATTTGCATATATTCAATTCACTGTAACTTTGAAAACATTACAGCTGGGCTCAGTGGCTCATGCCTGTAATCCCAGCACTATAAGAGGCTGAGGCAGGTGGATCATATGAGGTCAGGGGTTCAAGACCAGCCTGGCCAACATGGTGAAACCCCGTCTCTACTAAAAATACAAAAATTAGCTGGGCGTGGTGGTGCGCGCCTGTAATCCCAGCTACTCAGGAAGCTGAGACAGGAGAATCACTTGAACCCGGGAGGCAGAGGTTGCAGTGAGTCAAGATCATGCCACTGCATTCCAGCCTGGGCGACAGAGTGAGACTCCATCTCAAAAAAAAAAAAGAAAAAGAAAAGAAAATATTACAAAACTCAAATTTCTGCTCTCAGAACTTTCAGATTTAGACTCTTTATAACAGCAAACCTTTTACGATTTCCACTACGAAATTCAAAACTGTCACCTCCTTCTCCATCAAGCTTATTATGGTGGAGCTTTCAAATCAATTTCCTAAAGTAGCCTACTGCATGGCCTCTGGTAGACAGCCTATGTAGGTACCACACATAGCCAACCAGCACTGAAATCAATAAAATACATCTAAACTAAAGCCTAATTTTGCAATATTAATAGTCCAGCTTCCTGGCCTCTTTTCTTCAACTTAAAGTTTAATTACCTCACGGTTCCCATTTCTACAATAGGACCCAAAATATTTACAAAATGAAAATCACAAAAGCCCCAACGTTCACCTACCCAACATTTGGCAATCCAACAATACCAATTTTCAGTGAGGTTCCAAATCTTCCAATGATTGGGGGTGGTTTAATTCCATCACCTCCCTTTTTAGGGGGCATCTGAAATACCAAAGCAAACATATGAACAAAACTTTTTACTATCCACATGGACCCAAAACACATTTCATCACATACAATATATTATTGAATTAAGATTAAGAACAAAACATACTGTATATAGCGATCCAAAACTAACACAGAGCTAAATCCACTTTTTTTTCAGCAAAAATGTTTAAAAAGTTCTGTAAACATATCCGTTGTCAAAAGAGTCATTGCTGAGAAGTCCCAGAAAGACTGATCTAAAATCAATATTTGTTGGGCCGGGCACGGTGGCTCAGGCCTGTAATCCCAGCACTTTGGGAGGGGGAGGCCGAGGTGGGCAGACTGCTTGAGACCAGGAGTCGAGACCAGCCTGGCCAACACGGAGAAACCCCGTCTCTACTAAAAAGAAAAACAAATACAAAAAAATTAGCCGGCCATCAGGCGCGCAGCCTGTAATTCCAGCTACTCGGGAGGCTGAGGCTCGAGAACTGCTTGAACTCGGGAGGCGAAGGTTGCGGTGCGCCAAGATCACGCCACTGGGCTCTGCCTGAGCGACAAAGCTAGGCTCTGTCTTAAATAAATAAATAAATAAATAAAATATTTGTGGCACCAGGAATCAAAGATAAACTTAGAGTTTAGCTACCAATCTTCCATCCAGACTGCTCACAAAACACTTTATATCTTAACCTGATATATGGTTATATGAAAGAAAGCATTTGGAAGCAAGTACACAGAAGACAGTCAAAGAAAATTCCATTGTGGAACCACCAGCAGCCAAGTCACCCTTCACACCAAACCATTCCTCTATAATCTGGAATCTTATCTTTCCCATTCGCCCACAACCCCCATTTTTCACATAGATGAACACCCACCAGGTACTGGGGTCCTTCCACCAAGTCCCTCCCACCTTTGGCACTGAAGGTACGGCTCATCAGTCCTCATAAGCAACCTCCAAAATCTACATTATGGTTACTATTTCTAATGGTAAATTAATCGACGGAACCTTTTTATTTACAAGTCGAAACTTTCTCTGTCCCTTACTAGTTCTGTCTCCAAATCATGCGTGCAGAATTACTCCCACCCTTGGACTGCAAAGTGAAATCACAAAGACCGCTAAGCTCACGTCTCAGAAGCTGGGAACTAAAACTGTCCCAGTCTTCTGGCTGAGAGTTGTACCTCCTAGGACCACGCTGGGGCCCTGCCCTTGCAGTAGTATTCCAGCCTCTGATCCCTGACCCCGAGGGCCAGGAATTTCCCTTCTCAGCGTCCTGACACCTGTTCCTGGCCAACTCCCAGGCCTCCAAAGAACAGATACAGGAACAGCGCCTGTCGGGTCCTCTGGCCTACAGAGAGGTGGCCGGCAGCCCACCCAAAGTGGGCCCCACCCCCCATCCTCCTCTCCGGACTGGGCCACCGGGCGTCCTGGCGTCGGGAGAAGGCTTTCCCCAGGGCTTTCCCGCGTGAGGCGTAGGCCGATCTCCCGACGCGCGGCCTAGTCCGACAGCGCCTCATTCATCCACACATCCCCAAGCCACCCGCTGCCCTGGCCCCATCTTGGCCACTGGGCCCGGGCCCCGCGCCAGCCTCAGGGCAATGAGCCCAGGCGCCGAAGACCTGGCGGAGATCGCGCCCCCGGGCTCCCTGAGGGCCTCACCGTGCTCGGCCTGGGCGATGACACGGGGTCCCAGCGGCAGCGAGAGAAAGGTCCTGCCGGCAGCTGGAGGCGGGGAGGAAGGAGGAGAGAACGCAGGCCCGTCCCCTCCGCCGAGCGGCACGCACGACGGCGGCGACAGCGGCGGAACGGGCGGGCCGGGCGCCGAGCGGCACCTGCGCGCAGACCATGGGCCCCGCCCCTCCCCGCCTTGCCCGCGCGTCCCGCCCATTGGCCTAACCGGCCGGGGAGGCGGGAGTAGGGCGGGAGGAGCCCAGGGTGGGAGGAGCCGCGCGGCGGCAGGGAGCTGGAGAGGGGAAGGCGCTGGCTAGGCCGTTCCCGGGAGCTCTAGTCTTCCGCTTCGGCACGTGGGCTTCTCGGTTCTAGGTCTCCGCTTCCGTCTGGCTGCGCGGCCTGGGTTACCTGCTCACGTTCACTCGCGGGCCTACAGCCCCAAGCTTTCCCAGCTGGACTGCGGAGTGCCTTGGGCCCTGACTTCCCTCCGGGAGATCCGGGGCGTCTGAAGTCAGGCAAACAGCCACACCAGCCCCGAGGACCGCGTGGCCGCTAGCCCATCTCCCTTTTCTATAACTTTATTCGCTCAGTCTGTGCGGAGAGAAGCTGTTAACTAAAAGTTCTTGAAGGAAAAGGGGCTAAGGGAAACTTTGGTCTAGGGATTTCTTCCTCGCCTTATAGTTAAAGCGTCGCACACAGGTACTGGATCACAGAATGCGTTTAATTGAGCCAATTTCCCCCCTTTTCCTCTTGGTAGTTGAGAGCAGGGGCCTTTGAAATTTGGGAATTTCCAATCTGGATTTCGCCACTCATTGACTGTATGACCCTAGACAAATTAACTTCTCTGGACTTCAATTTCGTTCTGGATAAAATGAGGCTATTAAAACCACCTTATGAGGTTATTCGTGTGAGAATAAAATGAGACAATGCGTGTTGAGCTCATAACAACAGTACTCAGCACATACAGAAAAGGCTTGTGAGTAGTCGCTGTTGTTAATATTAGGATTTCATCCCATCTCACCCACATCATATCAATACCATGAGCGCCACTGGAGAAGGAATTCTTTCATTTAGGTCCTGGCCTTCAGATGTCATTCAGGTATTTGTTGTAATGAATATGATACCTGTCCAAAAATTGTGACACTAGAAGCTCCTTTTAAAGGGATTAGTTGCTATTAATATTAAAGGATGTAAATAGGTCGCCATCCCCATTTTACAAGTGAGGAAACAATATCAGAAAGGTTGATTAATTTGGATGAAGTCACACAACTAGTAAATGGCAGCAGCATATTTCAAACCACAATCTAACTGAAAATCTGGCCGTAATCCCAGCACTTTGGGAGGCCAAGATAGGGGGATCAGTTGAGCCTAGGAGTTGGAGAACAGCCTGGACAACGTGGTGAGACCCCATCTCTACCAAAAAACAAAAATTAGCTGGGTGTAGTGGCACATACCTGTAGTCCCAGCTACTCAGGAGGCTGAGGTGAGAGGATGGCTTGAGCCTGAGAGCTCAAGGTTGCAGTGAGCTATGATCACTGCCGCAGCACTCTAGCCTGGGTGTAGAGCAAGACCTTATCTCTAACAAAATAAATACAAATAAAAAGTAAAACTAAAACTATCTGAAAAATCTGTTTCCTTTCAGCGAGAATTCATTTTTATTTTTTGAGATGGAGTCTCACTCTGTCGCCCAGGCTGGAGTGCAGTGGCGTGATCTGGGCTCACGGCAACCTCCGCCTCCCGAGTTCAAGCAATTCTCCTGCCTTAGCCTCCTAAGTAGCTGGAATTACAGGTGCACACCACCACACCCAGCTAATTTTTGTATTTTTAGTAGAGACGGGGTTTCACCATGTTGGTCAGGCTGGTCTCGAATTCCCGACCTTGTGATCCACCCACCTCGGCCTCCCAAAGTGCTGTGATTACAGGCGTGAGCCACCGCACCCAGACGAGAATTCATTCAAATAGAGACTCCCTATAAGCTCTGAGCCAGTATTCATAATAAAATTGCATTAAGGCTTTTCCTTAGCCCTGTAACAGTGCTCTAGTGAGGTGAGTTAAAGAGCTTTCTCTACAATTTTGGAAATTCTCAAGGACACAGGCAACTTGATTTGGTTTTGTATTACTTTTTCTTAATATTATATATTAATGTGCCCTATTTATATTCTTGGTCTAGTACCCTTGTCACCAAAACTATATATGTATAAAACAGCTATCTTGGTGCACTTTAACTATGAAAAAGAGGGCTAACTAGCCCAAATTTTGTGGCCACTGTGAAAATAACTCTCAGGAACAGCCCTTCAAAGTGATTCCTGAATCATGTACTGATATTTTAGTAATGAAGCTCTATAGTGGATTCACACTGCTGCTTGTGGAAATAGAGAGGAACCATTACTTAAAAAGCTTGCCGGGTGCGGTGGCTCACGCTTGTAATCCCAGCACTTTGGGAGGCCGAGGCGGGCGGATCACGAGGTCAGGAGATCAAGACCCTGGGGAAACCCCGTCTCTACTAAAAATACAAAAAATTAGCCGGGCGTGGTTGCGGGCAGCTGTAGTTCCTGCTACTCGGAGAAGCTGAGGCAGGAGAATGGCATGAACCCGGGAGGCGCAGCTTGCAGTGAGCCGAGATTGCGCCACTGCACTCCAGCCTGGGCAACAGAGCGAGACACCGTCTCAAAAAAAAAAAAAAAAAAAAGCTCAAGAGGCCAGGTCTGGTGGCTCACACCTGTAATTCCAGCACTCTGGGAGGCCAAGGCAGGCAGATCACCTGAGGCCAGGAGTTCAAGACCAGCCTGGCCAATATGATGAAACCCCGTCTCAACTTAAAATACAAAAATGAGCTGAGTGTGATGGCGGGTACCTGTAATCTCAGCTACTCGGGAGGCTGAGGCAGGAGAATCGCTTGAACGTGGGAGGCGGGGGCTGTAGTGAGCCAAGATCACACCACTGCACCCCAGCCCGAGCAATAGAGCAAGACTCCATCTCAAAAAAAAAAAAAAAAAAAAAAACTCAAGAATCCCAGAGAGCCCTCTCTGCCCAGCAACCAGCCACTCCAATACTGATTGAAAATGTTCCCCGGTCATGGAGTACTAGAATCATCTTCAACTTATCACTGTCTTTTGGCCAAATCTAGATACTTCTTCAATATCAGAATCTCTCAGATCTACCCATTTCCTTAAATCTACACTATCAAGTTCTTAATCACTTGTTTCTCTATAACTACATCTTTCTTACCTGCACTTTTAACCACCTTTAAAGCGCCTTCCCAAAACAGGTTACACAAATCTCAGGCAGTATTCAGGAGTGGCCAGCTGGTGCTGCCAACACTTGCCTGATAATAGGACTCCATTTCCAACTCACTGTCACTGGGGGTAAATTTGTATTCACAAGAAAGAAGATGTGATTGGCCCAGTTCTGGTAAAGTTCTAACAAGGGTCCCATCAGCAATGGCTACGTGGGTAAGGGTCACATAGTCAAAAAGCTGTATGAGTGACCTCTCCCTGCCTACCAACGAAACACATAGTTCTCAGAAAAGACCCTAGTGGGTATCTACTATTCTACAACGCTAAAGGAAGACTCAGTGAAACAAACAGGATATTAGTAGTTAACACTGGCCCCCGCCACGGTGGCTCATGCGTGTAATCCCAGCACTTTGAGAGGCTAAGGTGGGCGGATCATCGGAGGTTGGGAGTTCAAGACCAGCCTGACCAACATGGAGAAACCCCGTCTCTACTAAAAATACAAAATTAGCTGGGCATGGTGGCGCATGCCTGTAATCCCACCTACTCGGGAAGGCTGAGGCAGGAGAATCGCTTGAACCCGGGAGGCGGAGGTTGCGGTGAGCCGAGATTGCACCTTTGCACTCCAGCCTGGGCAACAAGAGCAAAACTCTGTCTCAAAAAAAAACAAAAACAAACAAACACACAAAAAAATAGTTAACACTAATGCCAAGCCTAAAAAAGGGACTTTGAATAGAGGAAAGCATGTTTTTGAGCCTTTGCACAAAGGGAAGTCTATTTAGTACCCATTGGGCTCAATGATTAAGTTAAACCTAGAGGAAAGAATCAGATGTGGTCTAGAATGAAAACTGAGCAAAAGATTTCAGTCAGAGGGGGAATGAGAATAGACCATCAGGTCAGGTCAACAGAAGGTTGCTACTAAGGAAAGATCAATGGAATGAAAAAAAGTAGAGCCCATGGTTTCACTCTTTGCTATCGTTACCCTCTCTGGATTTTTCTTTCCTTACCAGGCTCAGCCAATGACCAGGGATCAAGTGAGTTGACCTAAGGTCACAAAGGATCTAGAGAATGGCTTGGGGTCAGTAATTTATCCCCAAATACAGAGTAGCTCTGCTGGAAATTCAGAGATTTATTGATCCTGTGCAGAAAGCTAAGCAACAGGAGACAGAAAGAGTACACAAAGAGAGAGGATGAGAAGGAAAAGAGGAAAATAGCAGCAACGTATTCACCATGTGCTAGCACGGCCTGACTACACCTGTTGGCCAGCCCCGTCCACATCTGTGAGGGGCATAACAGAAAACAGAATAATAGTAATAACTACACTAAAAGGGAAATTGAGTCCTGATAATAACTTTAGGAGGGGAAGGGGACAAGTGCACAAAAATAACTACCCTATATAGGTAGTTAACTTAAATTGCACTTTTCTTTTATTACCTGTATCAGATGTTTTTCTCTCTCTACACTAAGCTTACTATCATATCCAGAATTCAGATGAAGGACTAGGATAGTCCCATATGCTTAGAATATCCTACTCTGAACATTTTTGTTATTGTCTTTTATATAAAATTATGTTCTTGAACACCTACTCCATCCCAGGCATTGCTGTAGGCCTTGGAGTAGTGAAGAATAAGATAAATATGATTGGCCGGGTGCGGTGGCTCACTCCTGTAATCCCAGCACTTTGGGAGGCCGAGGTGGGCGGATCACGAGGTCAGGAGATCGAGACCACCCTGGCTAACACGATGAAACCCCATATCTACTACAAATACAAAAAATTAGCCAGGCGTGGTGGCGGGCACCTGTAGTCCCAGCTACTTGGGAGGCTGAGGCAGGAGAATGGTGTGAACCCAGGAGGCAGAGCTTGCAGTGAGCCGAGATTACACTATTGCACTCCAGCCTCGGTGACAGAGCGAGACTCCATCTCAAAAAAGCAAAAAACAAAACAAACAAACAAACAAAATATATATAATATATTATATATTATATATAATATATTTTATAATATATATAATATATTATATATTATATATAATATATTTTATAATATATAAAATATATTATATATAATATATAATATATTTTATAATATATATAATATATTATATATAATATATAATATATTTTATAATATATATAATATATTATATATATTATATATTTATATTTATTTATATATTCATAAATATATATTTATATATAATATATTTTATAATATATTATATATAATATATAATATATTTTATAATATATTATAATATATAATATATAATATATTTTATAATATATATAATATATAATATATTATATATTTATATTTATTTATATATTCATAAATATATATATTTATATTAATATATTATATATATGTTTTGTTTGTTTGTTTTGTAATATATATATATATATATATATATATAATCCTTGCCCTGAAGGAGCTAGCAATCTAGTGGAGTAGACAAATAAGTGACTACACAAATAATTATATAAGAAGCTGATAAAATATATAGAAGGATACCTAAATAACTACAGTTTGAAAGTTTAAAATAAACCATCTTGGTTTTCACTTACCTTCACAACTTCTGATATTATGTACGAGGCAGTGCCTAATCATCATCCCCTTTCCTTTTCCATCACCAGCAATACTCAGACCCTCTTAGGCATCAGCAAAGAAACAGATTTTCCATTTTCTTTCTTTCTTTTTTTTTTTTTGAGACAGGGTCTTGCTCTGTTGCCCAGGCTGGAGTGCAGTGGCCAGATCACAGCTCACTGCGGTCTCGACCTCCTGGACTCAAGCGATCCTCCTATCTCAGCCTCCCAAGTAGCTGGGACTACAGGTGTGCCCCATCATGACAGGCCTTTTTTTTTTGTATTTTTTGTAGAGGCGAGTTTTCTCCATGTTGCTCAGGCTAGTCTCGAACTCCTGGAGTCAATTGAGCCACCCTCCTAAGCCTCCCAAAGTGCTGGGATTACAGGCATGAGCCACCGTGCCCGGCCCAGATTTTCCATTGTCATTCTTATGCTTGAAGAGTCTGTTTCTTGAGTTATTGAATTTGGACCATAAGTTACCAGTGAAGTAAAACACAAGTAATCAATTGCTTCTATTCTAGAATTTCTCATAGTATTTGAAAGAATGCTGATTAAAAGAGCCATGTATCCTAGAAACTGCTGGAGTTTTGTAATATCTATTGTAATTCATGGTTTAAAATTTAGGAATCATTTTGTTCTTGTTGTTAAGATACAAAGTCTCCCTATGTTGCCCAGGCTGGAATGGAGTGGCTATTCACAGAAGTGCAGTGGCTATTCACCAAGGGCTGTTCATAGCACACTGCAGCCTTGAACTCCTGGGCTTAAGAGATCCTTCCACCTCAGCCTCCCAAGTAGCTGGGACTACAGGTGCATAACACCACACCCAGCTAATTTATTTTTCTTTGGTAGAGACAGGGTCTCAGTATGTTGCTCAGTCTACATTCAAAGTACTAGGGCTCAAGCAATCCTCCCTCCTCAGCCTCCCAAAGTGCTGGAATTACAGGCATGAGCCACCATGACCAGCCTCAATTTAGGAATTCTTAAAAGAAAACTATATATATTATTTTCTCAGAGGCAACATAAAAAGACATATCCTAATCCAGGAAAGTAAATATATTATCATTGTATTAGCTAGCTAATACTTTGAGATATAAATAACAGAAGTTTTGATTCAATGAAAATGTATCATATATAACAGAAAGTACAGAGCGGGAGAACAAGGGTGATAGATTCAATAGCTCAACACTATTTGCAAGGAGACTAGTTCTTTCCATATAATGTCCCTGTCTTCCTTGGGCTTCCCTGGTTTTATTCTTAAGCTAACAGCAAGCTATGATAGCAGTTCTAGGCAGCATAACCAGAATGACAATATTGGGGTAGAGTGGGACCATCTCTTTCAGTAGCTCTCTTTTAGTAAAAAGGGAAACATGTTTCAGATCTCTCCAGATAACTTCTTCTATTTCACTGGGCAAAATTGGGTCTCATGCCTGTGCCTGAACCAGACACTGGCAGGGAAAATGAACTTACCCTTAGACCATTTAGTCCATCCTTGGGACTAGAGGAGAAGTCAACTTCCTCTGAGGCACATGGCTGTGTGAAGTATGGATAGATATCTGAGCAAAAGCAGGGTTGTATAAGAAAAGGACACCAGCAATATTCACTTCCTGAACCATTTTTTCAAGATAACACATTGAGCAGAGTATGGTAATTCTGGAAAATATCAGTGGCATTGGTGGTCATCTGATATGATATATACAAATTGTAATATGATAAACGTTGGCACACCTAGTTCACTGAGAAAACATTGAAGAAAACTGATCATCTTCTAACAACACTTAATGGTGTTATAAAATGACAGCATGTGAAAACAATATGTCTACTAACCTTTACAAGATACTAAAAATTCCCATCATGGAAGTGGAAGGTTGCTTACCAAAAGGTGTCACAGTGGTCACATCGGTTGAGCTGGAAATTGGGGAATCTTGTGCATGGGCCTAGGTCACCCAATTCATGGCCTCAACATCAGCTCAGCTTAATGTATCATTTTCATTGCAGTTTTGAACCTGTGTCGTTCATTTCAAAGAATACTTGTACTACTCAGAATAGGCTATATAATAATATAATAGCAAACAACTCCAGAATTTGAGGGGCTTAACAGAATAAAATTCTTTTCTTCCATTAAGTCCACTGGAGATCTGCCAGCTGTCCATGAGTTGGCCCATTACTTTTCAGGATGCTTCCATCTCAAAACCCTTCCATATCAAGGTGCTGTTACCCAAATGTAACATGTCATTGGCCAAGTTAAATCACATGGCCACATCTAACCTCAAGGGACTGGGAATCCTCCTTGTACCCAGAAGTAGAGGAAAATTAGGTATTGATAAATAGTGATAATGCCTAACCCACTATTCATTCAGAAATAGATTCGTGAAGGACATTCTTTCTGAATGAATTTGGTATTGTAATGCACATTGGGTATCCTTTATCCAAAATGCTTGGGACCGGAAGTGTTTCAGATTTTAAATGTCTTTAAATTTTGCAATATTTGCGTATATGTAATGAGATATCTTGGGGAGGGGACCCAACTCTAAACACAAAATGTATGTTTCAGGCTGGGGGCGTTGGCTCACACTTGTAATCCCAGCAACTCAGAAGTCTGAGTTAGGAGCATCACATGAGGCCAGGAGTTTGAGATCAGCCTGAGCTACATAGCAAGAACCCATCTCTACAAAAAAATTTAAAAATTAGGCTGGGCGCGGTGGCTCACGCCTGTAATCCCAGCACTTTGGGAGGCTGAGACGGGGGGATCACGAGGTCAGGAGATCAAGACCATCCTGGCTAACATGGTGAAACCCCGTCTCTACTAAAAATAAAAAAAAAAAATTAGCCGGGCGTGGTGGCGGGTGCCTGTAGTCCCAGCTACTCAGGAGGCTGAGGCAGGAGAATGGCATGAACCCAGGAGGCAGAGCTTGCAGTGAGCCAAGATCGTGCCACTGCACTCCAGCCTGGGTGACAGAGTGAGATTCTGTCTCAAAAAAAAAAAAAAGAAAGAAAGAAAAAAAATTTAAAAATTAGCCAGGCATGGTGGTGCATGCCTGTAGTACCAGCTACTCTGGAGGCTGAGGCAGGAGGCTCACTTGAGCCCAGGAGTTCGAGGCTGCAGTGAATTGTGATTGCATCACTGCACTCCAGCCTGGGCGACACAGCGAGATCCTATCTCAAAAAAAAGCAAGTCCACAACACAAAGAAATGATAAATATTTGGGGTAATGGACATCCCACTTACCCTAATTTGATCCTTAGACATTGTATACATGTATCAATGTGTGTATCCCATAAATATGCAGAATTATTATTATTTTTTTGAGATGGAATCTCACTCTGTCACCCAGGCTAGAGTGCAATGGCACAATTTTGGCTCACTGAAACCTCCACCTCCGAGGTTCAAGTGATTCTCCTGCCTCAGCCTCCCAAGTAAACTGGGATTACAGATACGTGCCACCACGCTCGACTAATTTTTGTATTTTTAGTAGAGATGGGGTTTCACCATGTTGGCCAGGCTGGTCTCAAACTCCTGACCTCAGGTGATCCGCCCACTTCAGCCTCCCAAAGTGCTGGGATTACAGGCCTGAGTCACCGTGCCCAGCCAAATATGCAGAATTATTGTATGTCAATTTTTTAAAGTTTCAGATTTGGAAATATTTTAGGTTTTCAGATTAGGATGCTTAACCTATATATGAAATACTATAATCAAGGCTAGCCTTCTAAGATGAGTCTTGTTTTTTTTTTTTTTTTTTTTTTTTTTTGAGTTGGAGTTTTGCTCTTGTTGCCCAGGCTAGAGCCAATAGCACAGTCTCGACTCACTGCAGCCTCCGCCTCCCAGGTTCAAGCCATTCTCCTGCCTGAACCTCCGAAGTACCTGGGATGACAGGCATGTGCCACCACACCCAGCTAATTTTGTATTTTTAGTAGAGACGGGATTTCACCATGTTGGCCAGACTGGTCTCAAACTTATGACCTCAGGTGATCCACCCACCTCAGCCTCCCAAAGTGCTGGGATTACAGGCGTGAGCCACTGCACCCGGCCCTAAGATGATTCTTAGAAGTCATGACTTTGGTGGTGCCTATCATCCCATAACCCCTTCACTCTAAGAAGAGTTAATTTTCCTCATCAAACTGAGACCAAGCTTTTCTGCTTATAGCACATGAACCCTCCAGTTACAGTAGATTGGATAGGGATAGATGAAAACCTGACCCAAGCTGTGCAAATTGAGATTCTCTTTCTCTATAGAAGCTGGACTTAGAACATAGCAACAGATAATATCTGCTGCTTAAAAGGGAACATAGGATCAGGTCATGTCAGACAATTTCTTGACAGGTGGATACTCTAAAGAAAGAGAAAAATAAAATATGCAGGGAGGAAGAAGGGTACTTAATCAACCATCTGTATGGTCCTGGGGAAACTGAGAGAGGAGAGAGTCATCACAAGTTCTGAGTTTCCGGTTCCAGAGTTTAGTTCTCCTAAAGCCTTGTGTATTTTCTGGCCTCGGACTCTGTGAGATAGCACTGTGTTCTACCAAGAATTTCCATTTTCAATTTAAATACATGTGCAGTGGTTTCTGTTTCTTATAGCCAGACAATGGTTGCAATGGCCAAAGCAAACAAAAATGTATACTCTCCTGAAAACTGTTAATATGTTTTGGGGCATATTGGTCCAATGTTCCTCTTAGCTGTAGTTTTTTCTTTTGGTTTGTTTTTTTGTAGAAAGAGTCTTGCCATGTTGCCCAGGCTGGATTTGAACTCCTGGCCTCAAGCCTCCCACCTCAAGCCTCCCACATTAGTATTGGGATTACAGGTGTGAGCCACCACACCTGGCCCCTCTTACCTGTAGTTTTAGGTTATAAGACATTATTTCCCACAGTGTATTCTGTGGAACAATGACACTCCATGTTGCTCTGTGAAATAAGAGATCCAGGATCAGATAACTTTAGGAAGTGCTGTAAAACCCCTTTGGGAGACTGATAATATATATTAGTATATTTAAAGTTTTGAGAAATTCTGCAGGAAAAAAAGATCTGTTAACACCCCTTAACCCAGAATTACCAAATGTGTATAGCCTTCTTGATATAATGAGCACTAAAATCTCTTGGAACACATACTCTCTGGAGAGCAACTCTTTGAAGATTGCTACTATAGTGATTTAGGAGAACTCTTGTTGCAGAAAAAAATATTGAAGAGTGCTCTCTTCCCTTGCCTTTTAACAACTAACAAACAAAATGATTACTTAACAAGGAAAAAGAAAAGTGAGTTTCAATCCTAAGGAAAACAATGCTCCCACAAGGTGTCTATCAAGAAAAAATTTAAAATTAGAATTAAGAGTCTGGCCGGGCGCAGTGGCTCACGCCTGTAATCCCAGCACTTTGGGAGGCCAAAGCGGGCACATCATGAGGTCAAGAGATCGAGACCATCCTGGCCAACATGGTGAAACCTCGTCTCTACTAAAAATACAAAAATTAGCTGGGCGTGGTGGCGTGCACCTGTAGTCCCATCTACTCAGGAGCCTGAGGCAGGAGAATTGCTTGAATCCAGGAGGTGGAGGTTGCAGTGAGCCAAGATAGCGCCACTGCACTCCAGCCTGCCAATAGAGCGAGACTCCATCTCAAAAAAAAAAAAAAAAAGAGAGAATTAAGAGTCTTGAACTATATTTCATTCTGGATGAGAAAATGTGTTTTCAAGTGGAGTAAAAGATCTCCAAAGAGTAGGATGAAATTTGTAGCTTTTCTTAAATGACCTTGTCAAATTAGGGATCTCTCTCTAGAAACTATCTTTAGGATGTCCTGTCTGACAGCCAGTACAAGAACCCCTGATTAGAATAGCCACTTTTTAATACATTTCTGTGCCCTGTATGAGCTAGCAAGACTAAAAAGATTGCTTAATACATTGGCTTCCTGCCCAGCTGAAGTAATAAATAAGGGCTCAGTTTGGTACTTCTTTTAAATTACAGCTGGATTACACAAATGACCTAAAAATCAAGGGAGGACGGTACTAACAATCATTCTCAGGATCAAGCCATTTTTTCTGTTTATGTTTGCCTTAAGAGGTTTTTAGGTTGAGAGAAAGATAATGATTAAATCCCTATTTTATGAAATACTGTGCTAGCCACTTTACATTTGGGACCTAATTTACTGCTCAAGATAACTTTCTATGAGTATGTATTATTACAACCCGTTTACAGCTAAGGACACCAAGTCTGTAAAAAGTCAGGAAATTGTATTAGTTTTATTTATTTATTTATTTATTTATTTATTGGTCAGAGTCTCGCTCTGTTGCCCCCGCCTGGAGTGTAGTGGCGCGATCTCGGATCACTGCAACCTCCGCCTCCCGGGTTCAAGCAATTCTCCTGCCTCAGCCTCCAGAGTAACTAGGATTACAGGCATGTGCTACCATGCCCAGCTAATTTTTGTATTTTTAATAGAGACGGGGTTTCACCATGTAGGCCAGGCTGGTCTTGAACTCCTGACCTCAGATGATCCGCCTGCCTTGGCCTCCCAAAGTGCTGGGATTACAGGCGTGAGCCACTGTGCCCAGCCACTGTTTTTTATCAACTTTTAACAACTGTTAGGTTGCATAAAACCAGTTCCATCTGACTTCAGAGTTCTTGTACTTTCTATTTAAACAGTTTTTCCAACAGTAGCCAAATGATGTTACATAGTATAGTAAACAATGCAATCTGACTAACAGTATAGATGAAAAAAAAGTGACTACACACCTATTAGAATGGCCAAACTCCAGAACACTGAAAACACTGAATGATGGCAATCACATGGAGCAACAGGAACTCTCACTTATTGCTGATGCGAGTGCAAAATGGCACAGCCACTTTGGAAGACGGTTTGACAGTTTCCTACAAAATTAAACATACTTTTGCCATACAATCTAGCAAATTGCACTTCTTGGTATTTACCCGAAGTAGTTGAAAACTTACATTAACACAAAAACCTGCACATGGATAGCAGCTGTATTCATAATTGCCAAAACCTGGAAGAAACCAATATGCCCTTCAGTAAGAATTCTGGATAAATAGTGTTACATCTAGACTATGGAATATTATTCAGTGCTGAAAAGAAATGAGTCATCAAGCCATAAAAAGACATGGAGAAAACTCAAAAAGCATATTGCTAAGTGAAAGAAACACATCTAAAAAGGCTACATATTGTATGATTCCAACAATATGACATTCTGTGGAAGGCAAAAACAATGGAGTCAGTGAAAGGATCAGTGGTTGCTAGGGTTAGGGGGAAGGGAGGAATGAATAAGCAGAGTACGGAGGATTTTTACGGCAGTGAAATTACTCTGTATGATACTATAATGGTGAATATTTGTCATTATGCATCTGTCCCAACCCACAGAATGTACAACACCAAGAGTGAATCCTAATGTAAACTACGGACTTTGGGTGATATTGATGTGTCAGTGTGTAGGTTCATCAGTTGTAACAAATGCACCACTCTGGTGAGGACGTTGATAATAGGGAGGTTATGCATGAGTGGGGCAGGAGTATATGGGAAATCTCTATACCTTCCTCTCAATTCTGCTGTGAACCTAAAACCACTGTAAAAAAATAAAGTCTGTTTGTTTGTTTTAGAGAGTCTTGCTCTGTCGCCCAGGCTGGAGCACAATGGTGCGATCTTGGCTCACTGCAACCCTCACCTCCCAGGTTCAAGCAATTCTCTGCCTCAGCCTCCCAAGTAGCTGGGATTATAGGTGCCCACCACCATGCCCAGCTAATTTTTGTATTTTTAGTAAAGACAAGGTTTCACCATCTTGGCCAGGCTGGTCTTAAGCTGCTGACCTCGTGATCCACCCGCCTCCGCCTCCCAAAGTGCTAGGATTACAGGCGTGAACCATCGCACCTGGCCAGTCTGTTTTTTAAAAGAGAAGACAGCTGGGCATGGTGGCTCACACCTGTTATCCCAACACTGTGGGAGGCCAAGGAACGCAGATTGCTTGAACCCAGGAGTTTGAGACCAGCCTGGGCAATATAGTGAAACCCTGTCTCTATAAAAAATACAAAAATTTAGTTGAGCATGGTGATGTGCACTTGTAGTCTCAGCTACCTGCAGGCTGAGGTGGGAGAATCACCTGAGCCCAGGGAGGTCGACACTGCAATGAGCTGTGATCATGCCACTGCACTTTAGCCTAGGTGACTGACTGAGACCCTGTCTCAAAAAAAAAAAAAAAAAAAAAAAAAGGAAGGAACGTGTGTGGGTGTGGGTGTGGGTGTGTGTTCTTTTTACTGAAGCAAAATATTAATTCAAATATTTTATATAAAAAAAAGAATTGACCGCAAAGGGAATTTCTGGCTAGGATTTCTGTTTTTAATCATGACTATTTCAGTTCTGTAAATATGACTATTAACAGTGTTAGAAGACATATTCCATATATCAGTAGACTTCGGTATTCAAAGAGAAACAAGAGCCTGGAAACATTAAGGCTTCAATGTTCATGATGTGACCAGGATTATCTAAATTGAGGCAATGATTAAAATGTTTTGTCAGGGAGTAGTTTATTCAGGGAATCCTGGATGAATTGCCGTGAAATCAATGGTGAACTATTAAATGATGCATATAAGTAGGAAGATGAGGTCCCAGACGGTTTTGTCCCATTTCTTCTGTCTTTTAACCTCAGTTCTCATTGCAGCTTGAAAACAACTATTTTCTAATGATGCTTATAAAATAGAACAAAGAACATTGCCTGAAAAAGTACCAAAAAAAAAACTGTTCTAAAATAAATAAACTTAACTGTATATCAAGTTGACATAATAAAAAAAAACTGTTCTAAAACAAATGAATTTAACTGTGTATCGAGTTGACATAACCATAAAGGAAAGAACTATTTACAATTATTTTAGAACATAAGACTTTGACTATGTATTCTTAGAAATACGTATTCTAAGGTCAAAAAGGTGAATTTTTTTTTTTTTTTTGAGACAAAGTCTCACTCTGTCACCCAGGCTGGAGTGCAGTGGCATGATCTTGGCTCACTGCAACCTCCGCCTCCTGAGTTCAAGTGATTCTCCTGCCTCAGCCTCCTGAGTAACTGGGATTATAGGCATGCACCACCACACCCGGCTAATTTTTGTATTTTTAGTAGAGATGGGGTTTCACCACGTTAGCCAGGCTGGTCTCAAACTCAAAAAGGCTAATTTTAAACTTCATTTAGGCCAGGTGCAGTGGCTCGCGCCTGTAATCCCAGCACTTAGGGAGGCCAAGGTGGGTGGATCACTTGAGGTCGGGAGTTCAAGACCAGCCTGGCCAACATGGTGAAGCCCTGTTTCTACTAAAAATACAAAAACTAGCCGGGCGAGGTGGCATTCACCTGTACATCCCAGCTACTTGGGAGGCTCAGGCAGGAGAATGGCTTGAACCCAGGAGAGACAGGTTGCAGTGAGCCAAGATCACACCACTGCTCTCCAGCCTGGGTGACAGAGCAAGACCCCATCTTAAATAAATAAATAAAATTTTAAAAACTTCAATTAATAGTCTAATGGTTAGCAAATATATATATGTGTATGTATCATTTTGAAACTTTTGTAGCTATTATAGTAAAAATGATTATGTTAATGTGTTAGGTCTAAAACTTTCCATGTGAGAGATAAAAGATACAAATAGAAAAACGAAGAAGTAAAAGCCCTATAATCTTTTATTTCCTGAAAAAAGCTTAGATGCAGTGGCAACCTAGTAGCAATGAACAGTCATATGCCCAGATTATACAATGATCCCCCTTAACCATGGTTTCAATTTTCAAGGTTTCAGTTACCCATGGTCCAAAAAATATTAAATGGAAAATTCCAGAAATAAACAATTCATAAGCTTTAAACTGTGCAATGTTCTGAGTAGCATGATGAAATCTTGAGCCGTCCCTCTCTGTCTTACCCAGGATGTGAATCATCCCTTTGTCCAGTGTATCCATGCCCTGTATGCTACCTGCCCATTAGTCACCGACATCATCTGTTCCTGACAGCCAACCGTTGCCACTGTCAGGGCTGGGTGATCCAGGATCACCCAAAGCAAATCCTCTTTCTTTTGATGTATTTTCAGGTTAATTGTAGTCTAACACTAAGTTACAATGCCTATGTCATTCACCTCACTTCATTTAATCACATAGGGATTTTATCATCTCACATCACCACAAGAAGTATTGTACAGTACAGTAAGATATTTTGAGAGAGACCATATTCACATAACTTTTTTTTTTTTTTTTTTTGTCTGAGACAGAGTCTCGCTCTGTCGCCCAGGCTGGAGTGCAGTGGCACGATCTCGGCTCACTGCAAGCTCCACCTCCCGGGTTCATGCCATTCTCCTGCCTCAGCCTCCCGAGTAGCTGGGACTACAGGCACCCACCACCATGCCTGGCTAATTTTTTTTTATTTTTTATTTTTAGTAGAGACAGGGTTTCACTGTGTTAGCCAGGATGATCTTGATCTCCTGACCTTGTGATCCGCCTGCCTCGGCCTCCCAAAGTGCTGGGCTTACAGGCGTGAGCCACCACGCCCGGACTCACATAACATTTATTACACTATATTTTTGTATTTGTTCTGTTTTATTATTAGTTAATTTTGCTAATATTTGCCTGTTTTAATTTATGAATTAAACTTTTTTTAGGCTAGTCAAGTAAAGAAGTGGGAGTGAAGAAGGAACAAAAGGAACATATAACTGGTTGTGATCAAATTAGTTGTAAACACCACTGCACTTGGACAAGCCTATAAATTAAACTTTATCACAGTTATATGTAGGAAAAACTTCTTATACATAGGATTTGGTACTATCTCTGGTTTCCGGCATCCACTGCAAGTCTTGGAATGTATCCCCCATGGATAAGGAGGGACTACTGTACCATTTTTAAGATAGTTGCTTCCAGGTCTAGGACAGAAAATGTACCTGAAAGCAAGAGAGTTATCAAAGACTACCGGGGTTATATCAAAATGACCCAAAAATTAACTTCCTCTGGGGCTTCCTCTGGCCAAATATGGAAATATTTAAACATTCAAAACAAAAAATAACTGCAACCAATTGAAACACACTGATTGTATAAAATCCACGAATTCACAGTGATATGAAAAAGAAAAAGAAAGCTAATTAATCAGTTAAACAAAAAGTCACTGGTCATCATTAGAAGTAGCTGGCTACTATAATGAAGGACCACTGACTGGGTGGCTTAAAACAACAGGAATTTATTTTCTCACAACTCTGGAAGCTAGAAATTTGAGATCAAGGCATTGACAGGGTTGGTTTCTTCTGAGGCCTCTGTCCTTGACTTGTAGATTGCCGTCTTCTCTTGTGTCTTCATATGGTCTTCCCTCTGTACCGTCTGTACCCAAATTTCCTCTTCTTATAAGGATAGCATTTATATTGGATTACAGCCCACCCTGATGACCTCATTTTAACTTAGTTACCTCTTTAAAGACCTGTCTATAAAAACAGGAATGGAAGGTTAGGACTTCAACATATGAATTTCAGGGGACACAATGTAGTAAGGACAGGCACGAAGTGTATACTTTGAAAATTTAAAATTAAAGGAGAAGAAGAAAGAATTTATCCTGCCTCTCCTGTACAAACTGTATTTTAAAATCACTAAATAGCCCTAATTGAAAAGAGAAGGGCCAGGTGTGGTGGCTTATGCCTGTAATCCCAGCACTTTGGGAGGCCAAGGTGGGCGGATCACCTGAGGTCCGGAGTTCGAGATCAGCCAGGCCCACATGGCGAACTCTGTCTCTACTAAAAACACAAAAATTAGCCGGGCATGTGGCATGTGTCTGTAATCCCAGCTACTCGGGAGGGTGAGGGGCGAGAATGGCTTGAACCCGGGAAGCAAATGTTGCAGTGAGCCGAGATTGCGCCATTGCACACCAGCCTGGGTGACAGAGTGAGACTCCATCTCAAAAGAAAAAAAAAAAAAAAAATGAAAAGAGAAATCCAGTTAATAAATGTAAAAGGAATGATAGACTTAGAAAACCACTATTATGTGGGTTAGGCAGTGCTCATCAATGAGATGATTGATTGATAGGCAGATGATTCATACCGTAGGCGTCAAATGAAAAAAAAAAGATCAATAGATGGAAGATATTTATCATAAGGCATTGGCTTATGCAATTATGGAGACTGAGACGTCCCACGATCTCCCTCTGCAATCTGGAGCCCTGGAGATGGTATAAATCCAGTTGAGGGCAGGAGGAGACATGTCCCAGCTCAAGCATTCAGGCAGAGAGAAGGAATCTCCCCTTCCTCCACCTTTTTGTTCTATTTAGGGCCCCACTGGATTGGCTGATGCTCACCCACAATGGGGAGGGCAGTCTTTTTTGCTCAGTCTCCCAATTTAAATGCTAATCTCATCCAGCAACACCTTCACAGACACATACAGAAATAGTGCTTAATCTGCGCACCCTATGTACTGGTCAAGTTGACCTATAAAACTAACCATCACACTGAGCGTCTTTTCAAGACTCATCCATGTTTTAGCATGTATCAGTACTTTACTTCTTTTTATTGCCAAGTGATTTTCAATTATATGGATATACCACATTTTGTTTATTCATTCATCAGTTGATAGACAATTGGGTTGTTTTCACTTTTTGGCTATAAGAATAATGCTATAAACACTAATTTATAGTTTTATTTACTTTAAAATAAGGATTCCTACAGAATATTTTAAGTAAGGTTAATATTTGTTTCTGTTTTTAGTTTAGTTTCTTTTTTCTTTCTTTTTTTTGGGGGGGGGTTTACTTTAAGATCGTAGACAATATTTTAAAAAAGAAAGCTGTCTAAAGAAAAACCGATTTCTGGAGGGAGAAATTGGGGCTATAATGAATGCTTAGATGAAGTGTAGAGTGTGAAGTTAGAAATTACAGGTCCACTCTACTAATCAAACTCATAACCCCAGGAGGATGACAAGAACATAAAAGAGAATTCAAGCTGTTTTTCAGAGGTGGGGGGGGATTTATACAACAAAACTTAAATAAAATTTCTCTTGTTTCAAGATTTATAGGAAGTATAAACCAAATAAAATTGCCTTGTTATGAAGATTTGGGTAAAGAATTCTTTTCCAACTAGTTATTTAACATAGCAACAGACAGAGTGCTTGCCTCCCCGTCCTGTTTCTTGTTCTGAGAGTGTTTTGTTTTTACATGTAATTAACGGTCCCCAGATGTACTTGCTTTTCAGAGCTTTATCTTCTCACTTTCATCTTCCTTAGGGAACAGAGGTTTCCAATATTTCCTTAAGCCTAAAGTTAAAAAGGACCAAACAACAGAGCTATGTTGATAGAACTTTTATGGAATGTTTCCTTTAGGTCTAATAGAAATGTCTCTTATGTAATCTCTGCACACAGCTCCTCTCATTTAATACTGACTTTAAGACCTTGTGACTGTGTGAAACTGCTCTTCCTCTGAAATCTTTCGGCAGACTCCTCACTTTTTCACCACCACTGCCTAAGCATCTTCATTCCATGTCTATCCTGTCATGAAACCTGCTCTTCAGCCTCATCTCTACCCCTAGTATCTTAGATGTTCAGACTTCTAGCCCCTCCTGCTTCCTTTCCTTCCCCTCATGCCTGGATCCCAAATCATCAGCCACCCTCTCCCCAGCCCCCTCAATTCCCTCAGCCCAGGGTTTTGGCCCCCTCGATCCTGTCAGCCGTGCAAACAGAAATCAACCCAGTTCAATTTCTTGGGTCCAGGACTGCTGTCCTCTGGCCTCTTAGCACCCTTAAGAGAATCTTACCTCTGCTGGGGTTTCAGTGTGGCTCAGAAATGCCTATTTTCCCTTTCTACTTACAGTGACTATCCAAACATTTGCTACTCTCTTCAATCCCAGATTATCCACCATTCTCGTGGTAGAAGCAAAAGCAACAAAATAGAGGCCGTCAGGCTGGCATTTTAAGATTCTCACCCATTTACAAACGGATTTGACCCTTTCCTCATCCTCACTTTTTTTTCTCCTTTCTTCATGGATCTCTTTCTCTGTGCCTTTTGTGCCCCTTTCTTTTCCTTCAGGACCTTATTCTGTCAACTTCCTCATTTATAGACTCAGGTACTTCCACACCATTTCCTCCCCTACAGTGTCTGCATGCCATCCTAAAAACCCTCTCCTTCTAGCTTACCTGGCCTCTCCAGATTCACCTTTAACTTCTTAGTTTCTCTGCCTTCAAACACTTTTCCTTTCTACAATCCAGTCCCTACAATGCAGACAGAGCATTCAAAATTTGGTTGTGTTATTTCCATAATTTAAATTTTTCTATGGCTCCTCATAGTCTTCAGGATAAAGTCTAAACTCCTTAGCTTGGCAGGTAAGACCCTTAATCCTATGAGCCCCATCTACCTGTCCAGCCCCATCTCTCCTCCCTCTTCCAGGGGCGCATTATGTTTCTACCACAGCAAACACTCAGTGATCATGATGTGCTTTCATGTCTTCATGCCCCTGCCTACAATGTTCTGTTATGGGCTGAATTAAGTTGAATTGTGTTCAAAATTCATATGTTGAAATCCTAGCCTCCCAACCCCCACACCTTATAATGTGGCTGTATTTGGAGACAGGGCTAAGACATAATTAAGGTAAAATGAGGTTATACAGGTTGTTCAAGCCAATATGACAGGTGTCCTTATAAGAAGAGGAGATTAGGACACAGACAAAAAAGGATGACAATGTGAAGACAGAAGGAGAAGCTGGCCATCTACAAGCCAAGGACACAGGCCTCAGAAGAAACCAAACCTGTTGTCACCTTGATCTTAGACTCGTAACTTCCAGAACTGTAAGGAAATAAATTTCTGTTGTTTAAGCCACCCAGTCTGTGGCACTTTGTTATTGCACCTCTAGCAAACAAATATATTCCCTGTGCACTCCTCCAGAATCTTCTTTTAAATACCTATTATATAGGCCACCTACTCCTTCCTTCAAACTTTGTGAAGGGCCTGCTAACACATGGCCCTCTTATCTGGAGCTGCATTTTTCCGGGGGTCCTGCATGACCAATAGGCACCATTACATTATCACCATAATCTGTCATCAGTGTTCTGTATGCCTCAGTTGATTTTTAATCCAGAAGCAGCTAAAGGCCGTATGTGTATTACTGTTGTAATCAGACTTTTTCTCTGGACACTGACTATCTAGGACCATATATTTCTTTTTCTGATAGAGACACCAGTAGCCTTAGAAACTATCAAAATTTCATTCACATCCATATGAAATTTTCTCAGAAGAAGGCTTCAGATGATCAAATTACTCTGAGCTACGGGAGGACATTCAAACCAAAGGCAAAGAAGTTGAAAACTTTGAAAAAAATTTAGAAGAATGTATAACTAGAATAACCAATACAGAGAAGCGCTTAAAGGAGCTGATGGAGCTGAAAACCAAGGCTCGAGAACTACGTGAAGAATGCAGAAGCCTCAGGAGCTGATGCGATCAACTGGAAGAAAGGGTATCAGCAATGGAAGATGAAATGAATGAAATGAAGCGAGAAGGGAAGTTTAGAGAAAAAAGAATAAAAAGAAATGAGCAAAGCCTCCAAGAAATATGGGACTTTGTGAAAAGACCAAATCTACGTCTGATTGGTGTACCTGAAAGTGATGGGGAGAATGGAACCAAGTTGGAAAACACTCTGCAGGATATTATCCAGGAGAACTTCCCCAATCTAGCAAGGCAGGCCAACGTTCAGATTCAGGAAATACAGAGAACGCCACAAAGATACTCCTCGAGAAGAGCAACTCCAAGACACATAATTGTCAGATTCACCAAAGTTGAAATGAAGGAAAAAATGTTAAGGGCAGCCAGAGAGAAAGGTCGGGTTACCCTCAAAGGGAAGCCCATCAGACTAACAGCAGATCTCTCGGCAGAAACCCTACAAGCCAGAAGAGAGTGGGGGCCAATATTCAACATTCTTAAACAAAAGAATTTTCAACCCAGAATTTCATATCCAGCCAAACTAAGCTTCATAAGTGAAGGAGAAATTAAATCCTTTACAGACAAGCAAATGCTGAGAGATTTTTGTCACCACCAGGCCTGCCCTACAAGAGCTCCTGAAGGAAGCGCTAAACATGGAAAGGAACAACCGGTACCAGCCGCTGCAAAATCATGCCAAAATGTAAAGACCATCGAGACTAGGAAGAAACTGCATCAACTAACGAGCAAAATCACCAGCTAACATCATAATGACAGGATCAAATTCACACATAACAACATTAACTTTAAATGTAAATGGACTAAATTCTCCAATTAAAAGACACAGATTGGCAAATTGGATAAAGAGTCAAGACCCATCAGTGTGCTGTATTCAGGAAACCCATCTCACGTGCAGAGACACACATAGGCTCAAAATAAAAGGATGGAGGAAGATCTACCAAGCAAATGGAAAACAAAAAAAGGCAGGGGTTGCAATCCTAGTCTCTGATAAAACAGACTTTAAACCAACAAAGATCAAAAGAGACAAAGAAGGCCATTACATAATGGTAAAGGGATCAATTCAACAAGAAGAGCTAACTACCCTAAATATATATGCACCCAATACAGGAGCACCCAGATTCATAAAGCAAGTCCTGAGTGACCTACAAAGAGACTTAGACTCCCACACATTAATAATGGGAGACTTTAACACCCCACTGTCAACATTAGACAGATCAACGAGACAGAAAGTCAACAAGGATACCCAGGAATTGAACTCAGCTCTGCACCAAGCAGACCTAATAGACATCTACAGAACTCTCCACCCCAAATCAACAGAATATACATTTTTTTCAGCACCACACCACACCTATTCCAAAATTGACCACATACTTGGAAGTAAAGCTCTCCTCAGCAAATGTAAAAGAACAGAAATTATAACAAACTATCTCTCAGACCACAGTGCAATCAAACTAGAACTCAGGATTAAGAATCTCACTCAAAGCTGCTCAACTACATGGAAACTGAACAACCTGCTCCTGAATGACTACTGGGTACATAACGAAATGAAGGCAGAAATAAAGATGTTCTTTGAAACCAACGAGAACAAAGACATGACATACCAGAATCTCTGGGACACATTCAAAGCAGTGTGTAGAGGGAAATTTATAGCACTAAATGCCCACAAGAGAAAGCAGGAAAGATCCAAAATTGACACCCTAACATCACAATTAAAAGAACTAGAAAAGCAAGAGCAAACACATTCAAAAGCTAGCAGAAGGCAAGAAATAACTAAAATCAGAGCAGAACTGAAGGAAATAGAGACACAAAAAGCCATTCAAAAAATCAATGAATCCAGGAGCTGGTTTTTTGAAAGGATCAACAAAATTGATAGACCGCTAGCAATACTAATAAAGAAAAAAAGAGAGAAGAATCAAATAGACACAATAAAAAATGATAAAGGGGATATCACCACCGATCCCACAGAAATACAAACTACCATCAGAGAATACTACAAACACCTCTACGCAAATAAACTAGAAAATCTAGAAGAAATGGATAAATTCCTCGACACATACACTCTCCCAAGACTAAACCAGGAAGAAGTTGAATCTCTGAATAGACCAATAACAGGATCTGAAATTGTGGCAATAATCAATAGTTTACCAACCAAAAAGAGTCCAGGAGCAGATGGATTCACAGCCGAATTCTACCAGAGGTACAAGGAGGAACTGGTACCATTCCTTCTGAAACTATTCCAATCAATAGAAAAAGAGGGAATCCTCCCTAACTCATTTTATGAGGCCAGCATCATTCTGATACCAAAGCCGGGCAGAGACACAACCAAAAAAGACAATTTTAGACCAATATCCTTGATGAACATTGATGCAAAAATCCTCAATAAAATACTGGCAAACCAAATCCAGCAGCACATCAAAAAGCTTATCCACCATGATCAAGTGGGCTTCATCCCTGGGATGCAAGGCTGGTTCAATATATGCAAATCAATAAATGTAATCCAGCATATAAACAGAGCCAAAGACAAAAACCACATGATTATCTCAATAGATGCAGAAAAAGCCTTTGACAAAATTCAACAACCCTTCATGCTAAAAACTCTCAATAAATTAGGTATTGATGGGACGTATTTCAAAATGATAAGAGCTATCTATGACAAACCCACAGCCAATATCATACTGAATGGGCAAAAACTGGAAGCATTCCCTTTGAAAACTGGCACAAGACAGGGATGCCCTCTCTCACCACTCCTATTCAACATAGTGTTGGAAGTTCTGGCCAGGGCAATTAGGCAGGAGAAGGAAATAAAGAGTATTCAATTAGGAAAAGAGGAAGTCAAATTGTCCCTGTTTGCAGACGACATGATTGTATATCTAGAAAACCCCATTGTCTCAGCCCAAAATCTCCTTAAGCTGATAAGCAACTTCAGCAAAGTCTCAGGATACAAAATCAATGTGCAAAAATCACAAGCATTCTTATACACCAACAACAGACAAACAGAGAGCCAAATCATGAGTGAACTCCCATTCACAATTGCTTCAAAGAGAATAAAATACCTAGGAATCCAACTTACAAGGGATGTGAAGGACCTCTTCAAGGAGAACTACAAACCACTGCTCAAAGAAATAAAAGAGGATACAAACAAATGGAAGAACATTCCATGCTCATGGGTAGGAAGAATCAATATCGTGAAAATGGCCATACTGCCCAAGGTAATTTACAGATTCAATGCCATCCCCATCAAGCTACCAATGACTTTCTTCACAGAATTGGAAAACACTACTTTAAAGTTCATATGGAACCAAAAAAGAGCCTGCATCACCAAGTCAATCCTAAGCCAAAAGAACAAAGCTGGAGGAATCACACTACCTGACTTCAAACTATACTACAAGGCTACAGTAACCAAAACAGCATGGTACTGGTACCAAAACAGAGATATAGATCAATGGAACAGAACAGAGCCCTCAGAAATAACGCCGCATACCTACAACTATCTGATCTTTGACAAACCTGAGAAAAACAAGCAATGGGGAAAGGATTCCCTATTTAATAAATGGTGCTGGGAAAACTGGCTAGCCATATGTAGAAAGCTGAAACTGGATCCCTTCCTTACACCTTATACAAAAATCAATTCAAGATGGATCAAAGATTTAAACGTTAGACCTAAAACCATAAAAACCCTAGAAGAAAACCTAGGCATTACCATTCAGGACATAGGCGTGGGCAAGGACTTCATGTCCAAAACACCAAAAGCAATGGCAACAAAAGACAAAATTGACAAATGGGATCTAATTAAACTAAAGAGCTTCTGCACAGCAAAAGAAACTACCATCAGAGTGAACAGGCAACCTACAAAATGGGAGAAAATTTTCGCAACCTACTCATCTGACAAAGGGCTAATATCCAGAATCTACAATGAACTCAAACAAATTTACAAGAGAAAAACAAACAACCCCATCAAAAAGTGGGCGAAGGACATGAACAGACACTTCTCAAAAGAAGACATTTATGCAGCCAAAAAACACATGAAAAAATGCTCATCATCACTGGCCATCAGAGAAATGCAAATCAAAACCACTATGAGATACCATCTCACACCAGTTAGAATGGCAATCATTAAAAAGTCAGGAAACAACAGGTGCTGGAGAGGATGTGGAGAAACAGGAACACTTTTACACTGTTGGTGGGACTGTAAACTAGTTCAACCATTGTGGAAGTCAGTGTGGCGATTCCTCAGGGATCTAGAACTAGAAATACCATTTGATCCAGCCATCCCATTACTGGGTATATACCCAAATGACTATAAATCATGCTGCTGCTATAAAGACACATGCACACGTATGTTTATTGTGGCATTATTCACAATAGCAAAGACTTGGAACCAACCCAAATGTCCAACAATGATAGACTGGATTAAGAAAATGTGGCACATATACACCATGGAATACTATGCAGCCATAAAAAATGATGAGTTCACGTCCTTTGTAGGGACATGGATGAAATTGGAAATCATCATTCTCAGTAAACTATCGCAAGAACAAAAAACCAAACACCGCATATTCTCACTCATAGGTGGGAATTGAACAATGAGATCACATGGACACAGGAAGGGGAATATCACACTCTGGGGACTGTGGTGGGGTGGGGGTAGGGGGGAGGGATAGCATTGGGAGATATACCTAATGCTAGATGACGAGTTAGTGGGTGCAGCGCACCAGCACGGCACATGTATACATACGTAACTAACCTGCACAATGTGCACATGTACCCTAAAACTTAAAGTGTAATAAAAAATAAATAAATTAAAAAAAAAAGAAATTTTCTCTGTATCTTTCATTAGACCCACAACTTGATGTGGTCTGAAAATATATTATGTCATACAAATTTTCATTAAAGAAGTTTCAGTTGACCTTAACTGAACGTTAAGGTATAATTAATAACACGTATGTTATTTACCATGTATAATTTACCATGTATAATTAATAACATGTTTATAATTCTTAAACTGAGCTTTTCAGATCTTACTTGTAGCCTTTACACCTCCTGAGTGCATTGTTGAGCCTAGTGATTAAGGACTTGGGGGGAATTTTACATAAGAAAACAGGTGGTTATAGAGTGTTGCTTTTATAAAGACACCCCAAAGTAAAGAGTTACAACCTTTGTTGGACCAGCTGGAGTTCTTACAAGATTGCAAAAGGCATCTTCCTTTAAAGATAGCACTTTCTGCAGTAACGATGGAGACAGAATCTGGCTGCATGCTATCTGAGGTCAGAGGAGTAAAGAGAAAGGAGCGGTGACATGTGTCTGTAGCCTCACTCATTAGAGCCGGAAAGAGCATCCTAGGCAGACATACAACAAAAGAGACTACAGGAAGATCATCTCTATCATGATGAAGGCATTGGGAGAACCGTGTGCTTGCTATACAGTTTGAGGTTGAAATCATCTCACTAAAGCTTTGCTTCAAGCACTTTTCAGGATGATTGTATGGCTATCCAGCTTCCTTGTGACTCGATTCTTACATTTTAAAGGAAATGAAAAATTCGGTACACACTTCAACTGTAGAATTTAAAGGCAGAAATTCCATTTTGCAAGTAGAAGATAACACCTCCAAAAAATCTAGTCTTTTTTTTATTATAGTTTAAGTTTTAGGGTACATGTGCACGACGTGCAGGTTTGTTACATACGTATACATGTGCTGCATGTTGGTGTGCTGCAACCATTAACTTGTCATTTAACATTAGGTATATCTCCTAATGCTATCCCTCCCCACTCCCCCCACAAAAATCTAGTCTTTAAAAAACAAACAAACAAAAGACAGCTCAGGGAATTATGGAGGAAGAGTTGCCACAGAAAATAATACATGGGAGACTATAGAGCGTCATTTTCATTGCTACAAAATACTCTGGAGCAGTAAAGGAAGACAGTCCCATTTCTTGGCCTATACCTTCCTCACTTATTGCTTGAGTCACTGTCCTCTTCAGTTTCCAGCAAAAACTTCCTCACTTATTGCATAAGTCACTGTCCTACTCAGTTTCTAGCAAAAAATCAGTCTAAATCCAATCTGGATTTTGTGCTAACTCTGTTACCTTGTCTGTTTCTGACTTTGCATTATCCATCTTCCATCCTATATAAATTGCAGTATCTTATTAGTGTGGAAGAGGAGAGTGACTTAAGCAATTGGAAAAGTCATGGTCGACGTAATGGGACAGATGCCCTTTGTTCTCCAGGGCTTTAATACAGCAATGGAAATGAGATTAGGGACCATGCTTCTTCTTCCTTTGTGGTAATCAGTGTCAGATTTCTCTCTTTCTTGTCCTCTTTTCCTCTCATTTACGAGCCGAGATCGTGCCACTGCACTCCAGCCTGGGTGGCAGAGTGAGACTCCGTCTCAAAAAAATAAATAAATAAAAATAAAGTTAAAATTTTTAGGTGTGAAGAAAAGGATATCTGGGGCAAAGTAACCAAACTGCAGTACTCCCTACCAACCCTTTATGTGATCATATGTTCTGTACATTTTTCCATCCTGTTGGTAACTTTATGTTATATCTGTGGAAAACACCCTGGACTCAGAACCTGGATTTAAAGTTTAAATTTAGGCTGGGCGCGGTGGCTCACACCTGTAATCCCAGCACTTTGGGAAGCGAGGTGGGCAGATCACCTGAGGTCAGGAGTTCGAGACCAGCCTGGCCAACATGGTGAAACCCTGTTGGTGTGCCAGGTGTGGTGGCACTTGCGTGTAATCCCAGCTACTCAGGAGGCTGAGGCAGGAGAATGGCTTAAACCCGGGAGGCAGAGGTTGCAGTGAGCCGAGACTGTGCCGCTGCACTCCTGCCTGGGCAACAGAGTGAGACTCCATCTCGAAAAAAAAAAAAAAAAAAGTTTAAATGTGTTGGCCTGCACTCTTCATCCTCCTAACTGTCCCAATTGCTGCCCTGCTGTGTGTTGCACGGTCTCATAGGCAATAACTCATTTTGTTATTGTGACCTTGAAACAAAGTGATGTATTGAAAGCTCTGTATAAACTCACTTGTTATACAAATATTAGGCCACGTGCGGTGGCTCACACCTGTAATCCCAGTGCTTTGGAAGGCGGAGGAGAGTAGATCACTTGAGCCCAGGAGCTTGAGCCCAGCCCTGGTAACACAGTAAGACCTTGTCTCTACAAAAAATACAAGAATTAGCCAGACACGGGAAGCTGAGGCAGGAGTTCGAGGTTACAGTGAGCTGTGATTGCTCCATTGCACTCCAGCCTGGATGACAGAGCAAGACCCTATCTCAAAAAAAACTAATATTAGTAGTCATTTTTATTGTCTAACATGTCAGATACACTGGAAACAGTGCCCTACAATTCATTTGTTTCTTCACACATTCATTTATTCATCAACATATTGCTGACTTTAGAGATACAGAGGTAAATAAATATGTTTTATAATGATAGCTACCATTTCTTCACTTTTACTTTGTGCAAAAAACTATATAAATACTTTACATAATTTATTTTATTTAATTCTCACAAAAACTCCGTGGATAGGTATTATTCCTGTTTGCATACGAGGAACCTGTGGCTCCTATATAACCCAAGATCTCCTAACTTTTAAATGGCAGAAATGGTTCTCAACTAGTCCTTTTTTAAAAATTGTGGTAATATATGCATAACATAAAATTTACCATTTTAGCCATTTGTAAGTGTACAATTTAGTGGCATTACACATGTTCATATTATGCAACCATCACCACTGTCCATCTCCAGAACTTTTCCGTGATCCCAAATTGAAACTCTATACATTTTAAGCAATAACTCCTCATTTTCCCTTTTCCCTACCCCCCGGTAACAACTATCCTACTTTCTGTCTGCTTTCTGTCTCTAGGAATTTGACTATTCTGTGTATCTCATGTAAGTACCATCACATAATACATGTCCTTTTGTGTCTGGCTTATTTCACTTAGCATGTTTTCAAGGTTCATCTGTGTTGTAGCATCAGAATTTCATTCTTTTTTAAGGCTGAATAATATATCATTGAATGTATATACCATATTTTGTTTATCTAGTTATCCCTTAATGGACATTTAGCCCAGGTCTTTTGAATGACAAACCTCTTAGCCACTAAACCAAGCCTAATTGTTATTCTAATTGCTATTATGCTGACAGATTAAAGCTAAACTGGTGCCCTCAGAATTTTACTCTGGGTGATTCTGGGAATCATTTAATTTCCTTAGCATGGTTGGACATTAAATTTAATAGGGGCCAAGCATGGTGGTGTGCACCCATAGTCCTAGCTACTCAGGAGGCTGAGGCAGGAGGATCACTTGAGCCAGGAGTTTGAGGCTGCAGTGAGCTATGATTGCAACACTCCACTGCAACTTGGGGGACAGAGCAAGACCTCATCTCTAACAAATGAATGAAAGAATAAAATAGGATTTCTAGTCTAATATTATAATGTGAACTCAGATTATCAAGGACAGTAGGAAAAGAATACCTGGCAGAATTGTATCATTCTAAAATCAGAGTTTATTTTGGAGAATTACTTTTCTTATTTCAAAGTTAAAATCTATTAGCATATTGGCAATTGGTGCCAATCACCAATTCTTTTTTTTTTTTTTTGAGACAGAGTCTCACTCTGTCACCCAGGCTAGACTGCGGTGGTGCGATCTCGGCTCACTGCAAGCTCCACCTCCCGGGTTCACACCATTCTCCTGCCCCAGCCTCCCGAGTAGCTGGGACTACAGGTGTCCGCCACCACACCGGGCTAATTTTTTGTATTTTTAGTAGAGATGGGGTTTCACCGTGTTAGCCGGCATAGTCTTGATCTCCTGACCTCCTCTGATCACCAATTCTAATTGTATACAATAAGAAAATGTTTCATGTTCAAAAACAGATAATCTAATGGTAACATCGGAATTTAGCCTAATGGAAATTTACCAAGGGGGAGGGTGATCTTGACCAAATTCTGACCTCTCGTGTTTATCCATCCACAGGAAATCCTAACCCTGATGCATTCCAATTATGATTTCGAAGACTTCTGACAATGTCATCTGGCAATTACGTGTTTGATCTTCAGAAATTGGATATTTATTTATTTATTTATTTATTTATTTTGAGATCAAGTTTCACTCTATCACCCTGGCCGGAGTGCAGTGGCGCCATCTCAGCTCACTGTAACCTCCACCTCCCAGGTTCAAGTGATTCTCCTGCCTCAGCCTCCAGAGTAGCTGGGACTACAAGCATGCACAACCACGCCCAGCTAATTTTTTGTAATTTCGGTAGAGACGGGGTTTCACCATGTTGGCCAGGCTGGTCTCGAACTCCTGACCTTAGGTGATCCATCCGGCTTGGCCTCCCAAAGTGCTGGGATTACAGGCAAGAGCCACCGTGCCCAGCAGATCTTTATGTTGAAGTATAAATGACATACAATGAACTATATTTAAAATGTGCAACTTGGTAAGTATACACACATTCATTGTTTTGCATGTGGATATATAAGAGTTCCAGCATCATTTGTTGGAAAGATTATCTTGAATTTCCTTTATACCTTTGTCAAAAAATCTGTTGTCCATATAGTATGGGCCTATATATCTTAACTCTTTTCTATTTCATTTGTCTATATTTGTGCCAATATACCTAAACGTATACCTCAAAATACACTCAAGTAATTGTCTTGGTTACTGAAGCTTTATAAAGCCTTGAAATCAGATAGCATAAGTCTTTCAACTTTGTTCTTTTTTGGTTGTTTTGGCTATTCTAGATCTTTTGCATTTTCATGCAAAATTTAGTATCAGTTTGTCAATTTCTACAAAACAGCCTGCAGAGTTTTTTTATTTTGATTGCATTGAATCTATAGATCAATTTGGGAAGAACTGACATCGTAGCAATGTTGCATTTTCAACTCCATGAACAAAGTATAACTTTTCTTTATTTAGATCTTCTTTAACTTCTTTCAGCAGTATTACATCATTTTTAGTGTAATTGTTTTGTGGGTCTTTAGACAAAAACATAGTTTTGATGCTATTATAAATGCTTCTTTTTCTTAAAAAGTCAAATCTTTAAATTGTATTAATTCATCTTTAACTACAGAATATTTGAGTATATAAGAATATGGCTGTGGCCGGGCATGGTGGCTCACACCTGTAATCCCAGTACTTTGGTAGGCCAAGGCAGGTGGATCACTTGAGGTCAAGAGTTCGGGACCAGCCTGGCCAACATGGTGAAACCCCATCTCTACTAAAACTACAAAAATTAGCCGGGCATCATGGTGCATGCCTGTAATCCCAGCTACTCAGGAAGCTGAGGTGGGAGAATCACTTGAACCCGGGAGGCAGAGGTTGCAGTGAGCCGAGATTGTGCCACTGCACTCCAGCCTGGGTGACAGAGTGAGACTCCATCACACACACACACACACACACACACAAGAAAAACAGAAAAAAAAGAAAAGAATATGGCTGTATGTTTTGGGTGTAGATGTGTTATGGGTTTTAATGTCAAGAATCTGTAAAAGTTTCCATACTTCTGGTTCTTTTTTTTTCTTTTTCAAGACAGGGTCTGGCTCTGCCACCCAGGCTGGAGTGCAGTGGTGCAATCACGGCTCACTGCAACCTCTGCCTCCTAGGCTCAAGCGATCCTCCTCCCTTCTGAGCCTTCTGAGTAGCTGGGGGCTATAGGCACACACCACCATGCCTGGCTAATTGCGTGTGTGTGTGTGTGTGTTTGTGTGTTTTGTGTGTGTGTATGTGTATTTTGTGTGTGTGTGTATTTTGTGTGTGTGTGTGTGTGTGTGAAGATGGGGTTTCACCATGTTGCCCAGACTGGTTTTGAACTCCTGAGCTCAAGCAATCCGCCCGCCTTGGCCTCCCAAAGTGCTGGGATTAGAGACGTGAGCCACCATACCCAGCCTAGTTTTGTTTGTTAGGGCTAACAAGTAGAATAAATGGTTTTGGTGGAAAGGCTTCATCCAAATGGTTAAACATTTCAGTCCTTATTTATAGTTATACCTTCCCACTACAAAGAAAACTTACTTCTCTTTGCTGTCTCTCTCTCTCTCTTTTTTTTTTTCTGAGACAGAGCCTTGCTCTGTCACCCAGGCTGGAGTACAGTGGCATGATCATAGCTCACAGCAGCTGACAACTCGTGAGCTCAAGTTACCCTCTTGCCTTATCCTCTAAAGTAGCTGGGACTACAGGCACACCACCATGCCTGTCTGAGAAGAAAAAGGTCTCCTTATGTTGCTTAGGCTGGTCTCGACTTCCTGGACTCAAATGATCCTCCCATCTTGGCCTCCCAAAGTACTAGGATTATAGGTGTGCGCCACCACTGCACCTGGCCTTCTTTCTTTTTCTAACTAAGAAACTCATGAAATATAAATATATATATATATATATATATATATATTTCAGTGGGAATTTTGGAGCCAACTTCTATTTTCTATTTTTCTGTTGAATAAAAACATTTCCATCGAATAAAAACATTTCCATCTTTCCATCCCAATCCTGGAAGTTGCTTAACAAATATTTGTTTTGAAGGAATGCATCATTAACACATGAAGTGCAAAGGCTCTCTGGGAAGATGCTTTCTGCAGTTGGAGGAGTCACGTTCTTTTATCAAAGCTCTGCCTGGGTTTCATCACTTCACACAATTTAGTTGTACTCACTACTTGGTATTTCAAAGAACCTTTAAAATGAGAGACACTTGAAAATGCTTAAATGTCGATGGAAAGGAGTCAGTAGAGAGGGATTAAAGTTAATAAAAGGAAAAAGCAGTAACAGTTCAAGTTCTCTGAGAAAACAGAGGAGAATGGAATCCCGGGTGCAGATGGAGGGGTTGTCATTACACGGGAAGGGAGTGAAGTTGGAGGAATGTGGGTTATAGATGCAGTGTAGGCTGTAGGTGTGTTGCCAAGACATTGAGAGACCCAGACTAATGGCACCTCCTTTCTCTGAGAATGAGGAATGGGGTGGTAAGGCAGGAGAACAGGAAAGTTGTGCAGGGAGAGTCCAGTGGAGAAAAATAGCATCATATTCTACACTGTCTATTAGTGAGAGGTTTATGTTTAGACTACAGAATTATTCTGTTTTCTTCTCCCCACCACTATCCCAAACCTTTGCCAAGATGTTGGTCAGAGCTACAGTCATATGAAGGCTGCTTGGAACTAGAGGACAGCTCATTCACACGGTTCTTGACAGAAGGCCTCACTTACTCATGTGGGCTGTTGGTGGGAGGCTTCAGTTCCTCACCCAGGAGGGCCTCTCCATAGGACTGCTTGAGTGTCCTCATGAGATGGCAACTGCTTTCCCCAGAGTCAGTGTTTCAAGGGAGAGCAAGGATGAAGACATAGTGACTTTTATGACCCAGTCTCTATAGGCAGGACTCATCATTTTCATCACATGCTATTTGTCATTAAGTCCAGCCAGCTATCAAGGAGAGGGGAATTAAATGCCACCTCCTGAAGGGAAGAGTTCCAAAGAATCTGTGAAGATATTTTGAAATCACCACAGAGCTAATATTGTTTCCTTATGGTAATGCAGAGAGCAAAGCTTTGTAAAAGGACTTCCTAGTGGCCGGGCGTGGTGGCTCATGCCTGTAATCCCAGCACTTTGGGAGGCCGAGGTGGGCGGATCACCTGAGTTCAGGAGTTTGAGACCAGCCTGGCCAAAATGGTGAAGCCCTGTCTCCACTAAAAATACAAAAATTAGCCGTGCGTGGTGGCAGGCACCTGTAATCCCAGCTACTCAGGAGGCTGAGACAGGAGAATTGCTTGAACCCTGGAGGCAAAGGTTGCAGTGAGCTGAGATAGTGCCACTGCACTCCAGCCTGGGCAACAAAGAGTGAAACTCTGTCTCAAAAAAAAAAAAAAAAAAAGAAAAAAAAGGACTTTCTAGTTTAAGTTCCTCAGAAATGCCCATAACTTCCCACCCATCTTTTTTGGGGAACATGGTGAAGAAACCGGCCTTACAGGGGCTGTTTTGTGCCAGACATGACTTGCTTTTCTAATTGTGAATGGGAAGTAATCCTCACTATGCTCCTCCTTCCCCTCCAAGCAGGCTGTGGCTCAGCTAGTGGTTAAAATAGCTCAACAACCTGCAATCATAAATGTTGTAGAGCTATAGGAAGAGAGAAAAAGCTTGAAGTGGGTGTTATTTTCTCCCTCTGTGGTATACATAGCGATGGAAATACCAAGTGGAATTACCACAAGACATTGCTGCATGGTTCCAGGACCTGTCCAACCAGAGGCCAGCACTCCATAGCCCCATAGCCAATGGACATATGAGCATTCACGTTTTAATAAAAACACCTTCATTTTATACAACTTTGGACTGTGGCATCCCTTTAAGTAGCCAAGACAATTAGCACATTTAAACTATTTATTTTAAAATTTGATTTATAGGGATACATGAGAGATACATCGGCAGAGCTCTAGGAGCCTATCAAAGTTATACAGCTTCCTAAAGCATCTAGTTTATAAGCAGCAAGTAGTTTAAGTAGTGAAAGCATTGGGCTGATTCCAGGGCTGCCTTAGCTGACAATCTGAAGGGAAATTGAGTGCAGTACAAGATGGAATCAAATTCTGATCTTTCTTCGAATGCCTATTGTCCGTTTTATCAAAGACATTCGATATCGACAGTGCAGGCTATTGAGTCTCAATAAAATCTATTATTCGCTTTCTTCTACCTCATCTGCAGACTGTTGACATTTTCTTTTATTTCAACACTGATGTTTTTCTTTTACATGGGAGATTTTAGCACTGATGTTGTAATTGCTTATCACACAGCTGGCCCTGTTATGATGTTCTCGTGAATGTCCCTTCATTTTCCTGATGGTCCTGTGATCCAATCTACAATCCATTTAAAAACAAAACATTTCATGTGCCATTTTATGCGGTGGCTCTTTTGGAGTTCCATTTCAGCTTCATTAATATTGATGCTGTCTGTCTCCTTGCTTATTTCAGAAGATTCTTTTAAATTAATCTTCAGAATTTGCTGTGATTTGTTGCTGTTTTGTGCGTCAGCCCCAGTACAGCTTGTCTCTCGTTAATTTTGTTTTTCTTTATTTTTATGCGTCTGCTATGACTGTTCTCCTACTTGTACTACTGATGTGTGTCAGGTCCTTTATGGAATCCCGGTTTCGTCTCTGCCTTTCACGGTGATTTTCCATCATTAGGGACCTCTTGAATAAAAATGTAGCCCTTGTTTCTGACAGAGTCCATGTTCCTTTTCTTTTCTTTCTGTGTGATTTTCCATCATTATGGTTCTTAAATTTCTTGAATAGTGATATATACATGAACAGACGGACAGAGCAGTAATGGCTTCATCAGTGTTTTCTAAAATATATCTGCAGCTTTGAGAGCACACAGTGCCACATTAGAATCTACTATGTATGTAAAAGAATTTTTAAGATAGATTTTGTGGTCTGTTGGTGACAATGCTATGGTGCATTAATAATTCACGTTCTTGCTTACAGCATCTGCTTGTTAGAATGCCAGTTCCACGGCAGCCAGATTGGAGATTAGCCTTAGGTCTGAAAGTCTCTGAGGAAAATTGGTACAACGCTATCTCTGCTTTTCTTTCTATAACATTTTCAAAGGTAGCCAATATTTCTTTGATCAAGAATGCTAAACTGGCAATTGCACTAATTTCAAAAAATGAGGTAGATGAAGTCAAACTTTCCTAATTTGAGATATTTTGTCTGTTGGGTCAATTAATTTCATTGACCACTTCTGAATAAAATAACTCCATACCTTCAGTTACAAAGAGGCAAGGGATAGAAGAACAGGATTTAGATCTAGCAACTACTATTGACTAAATCCAAGTCAATAAATGCAATGAAATAAGAGGGTAAAGCTCAAGTATTGGCTGTCCAATCATTTCTAGAAAAATAAGAAGAGAAAGTAATACTAAAATAAGACATGTAAAATACACTTTTCACCATTGGTTATATATGCTTGCTTCATGTTCAGAATACCAATTACCAAGTGAAGAATTCAGAGTCAGCTCAAGCAGTTTGCTCTTTGAAAATGCCCTATTTAAACTATAAAAACCTATAGCCAGCAGGTCATTCAGAGAGTTATACAAATCTATGATGCTCAAGTGTTTACAAAATTAAGTTAAAAATATTTAGTGGTTTCCCTTAGATGAAAACCAATGTAACTTGGACTTGAACCTAGAATTCTGAATCTTCAGTTTTATTGTTAATACTGTATTTCATTATAATTATATTAGTTCTTTTATCAATACTTTCCATGTTTTAAATAGAAGCAAAAATAGAAAAAATTAGCCAGGCGTGGTGGCGCACACCTGTAGTCCCAGCTACTTGGGAGGCTGAGGCAGGAGAATTGCATGAACCCAGGAGGCAAAGGTTGCAGTGAGCCGAGATCGCACCACTGCACTCCAGCCTGGGTGACAGTGCAAGACTGTCTTAAAAAAAAAAAAAAAAAAAAAGAAGCAGCAAAAATGCCTTGAAAACAAATAGATATTCAAATGCAAAATAATGAAGTTGGATCCTTGTCTTACAAGATACAAAAAAATTAATTCAAAATGAATCAAAGACCTAACTGTCGGAGCTGACACTATAAAAGTCTTAGAAGAAAACATAAAAGTACATCTTCATGATCTTGGGTTAGGCAGTGACTTCTTAGCTGTGACACATAAAGTACCAGAAACAAGAAAAAGTAGATAAATTGGACCTTAACAAAATTAAAAACAATTGTGTTTCAAAGGACATCATCAAGAAAGTGAAAAGACAAACCAAAAAAATAGAAGAAAGTATTTACAAACCATATACGTGATAAAGGTCTAGGATCTAGAATATATAAAGAACTCTCATGGCTCAGTAATAAAAGACAACCCAATTTTTTTTTTTTCTTGAGATGGAATTTCACTCTCTTGTTGCCCAGGCTGGAGTGCAACGGCGTGATCTTGGCTCACTGCAACCTCCACCTCCCAGGTTCAAGCGATTCTCCTGCCTCAGGCTCCCGAGTAGCTAGAATTACAGGCTTGCACCACCACGCCCAGCTAATTTTGTATTCTTAGTAGAGATGGGGTATCTCCATGTTGGTCAGGCTGGTCTTGAACTCCCGACCTCAGGTGATCTGCCCATCTTGGCCTCCCAAAGTGTTAGGATTACAGTCATGAGCCACCACACCCGGCCGACAGCCCAATTTTTAAATGGACAGAGGAATCAATAAACATTTCTCCAAAGAAAATATACAAAAGGCCAAAAAGCACATAAATGGTGTTTAACATTAATCGTTAGGGAACCTCAAATCAAAATCACAAGGAGACACCACTTCACAACTACAAGGATGGCTATAATAAAAAAGATGGACAATAACAAGTGCTGACAAGGATGTGAAGAAATTGGATCTTTCATACATTGATGGTGGCAAAGTAAAATAATACAACTACTTTGAAAAACACTGGCAATTTCAAACAGTTAAACAGAACTACCATATAAGCCAGCAATTTCACTTTTAGGTATATACCTAAGAGAATTAAAACATATCTTCACACAAAAGCTTGTACCTTGAACTTTTATTTGAAGTAAGAATATTAATAACTTTTTTGAGAATTCCTAATTATGTGATAAATCAGATGTAAAGAATCAGAAAGTGGTGAATACTCTCAGTTCACAGTCCTCCTTTGAAGTTCCCAGGAATGCTCTCAATTCAGGGCTACATTCCTTTCTTCCTGCTCCCAACAGACAAGGCCATCAAATTAGCAGAACAACTTCTGGTGAGCAGCTGAATTCTAGGGCTACCATCTGGGCTCCTGGCTCTTGGCACAAGGTGACAGATTCCTGGTGGAGATACCTCCAATGATCCTAACAGCTCCTCACTATGGCAGCCTCCGTTACTATAGTCCACCGCCAAGTCTGAAGGCTTGAAAGTGGGTCTCATATTATACTCTTAACTTTACCACCCTTTTTTTCACCATTATGACTTAAGTGTCACCTTACCACCAATGCAGATTTGCTCCTTAAGGGAGCAATGTATGGGGAGGGTCTGAACAGTAAAGTGATTTACGTGATGCTGAGCCTTTCATCTACCACAAAATAGGCTGCAGAAGGCCAGCAGCAGACAAATTGGAGTCCTGTGTGGCACTTCAAAGGAGACAGGATAGTTGGGTGCAACTTCCAGAAATTCATCCAAATTAATTTGTAGTATTCACCAATCTTCAAATGGATCTTCTGGAATCAAATGCCTCCTGGATATTATCTTTGTGACAGCAGAAATAGAGAACGTGCAGGGAGCAATATATACTCATTATCCTTTAAAAGAAAAGGCCTGCTGGAATAGGAAGGACTGTGGAACAGCTGTTTTCTCCCCAGTTTTACACATAAAAGAATTCTATATGTAAAACACCTGCAGAGCAAGGATTATCTAATATGTTTATTATAGATCCACTACCTGATATATTGTTTATCCCATCATGAGTCTGAGCAAACATTATACCATATGAAAGCCTACCATCTGTAGACCTGGAATCTGGCCACCACTGGAAAGATTTGTTAGCTCTGAAAACATTGCCTTTTATTCTTTGATGTTGCCTATGTGAGAGTGAATTAATTCTCCCCAAACAATAGAATGAAGTCAGATTGGGAACAGGTTCAGGTTGGTGTATCCTAGTTCATAGAAATTTCCAGGGCACAAGAATTTTTTTTTTAATGGGGGTCTCATTCTGTCACCCAGGCTGGAGTGCAGTGACATGATCTCGGCTCACTGCAACCTCCATCTCCCAGGCTTAAGCAATCCTCCCACCTCAGCCTCTTGAGTATTTGGGGCCACAGGTGCACATCACCACACCTGGTTAATGTTTTGTATTTTTGGTTTAGATGGGGTTTTGCCATGTTTCCCAGGCTGGTCTTGAATTCCTGAGCTCAGGTGATTCATCTGCTTCAGCCTCCCAAAGTGCTAGGATTACAGGCATGAGCCACTGCGTCCACCTAAGAAAGACATTTTAAACTACTTAAACATATAAGTAATTTTACCTGGACCAAGCAAGAGTACTTAATCCAGAAACTAAAGTATCTAATGAAAAAGGCTAGAGAGAAAGATGACCCAGCCTTCCCCAAGGAGGCAGACCTGAGCTCATTTATGCCTTCTGCTGCACAAGTGAAGAGAAAGTACCCCAAAAAAGCAAAACGTCTACTTGGAGCAGAAGGTCCTATCATGGTACAAAAGCAAGGAAAATAAAAAATTTCATGTATTTAATTACAGTGACACCTGCCCACAAAATATTGTGATCTAGTAAGTTTCTCCAAGTCTGGCTAAAGTATCAACTCCTTCTCCCTGGAGAAAGGGGCAGGAGATTTCCCTGGCTCTTTTAAGAGTTTTAAGAACAGATTATGCCAAATTGTAAAGACTATTGATGCTAGGAAGAAACTGCATCAACTAACGAGCAAAATAACTAGCTTACAACATAATGACATGATCAAATTCACACATAACAATATTAACCTTAAATGTAAATAGGCTACAAGCTCCAATTAAAAGACAGAGACTGGCAAATTGGATAAAGAGTCAAGACCCATCAGTGTGCTGTATTCAGGAGACCCATCTCATGTGCAGAGACGCACATAGGCTCAAAATAAAGGGATGGAGGAAGATCTACCAAGCAAATGGAAAACAAAAAAAGGCAGGGGTTGCAATCCTAGTCTCTGATAAAACAGACTTTAAACCAACAAAGATCAAAAGAGACAAAGAAGGCCATTACATAATGGTAAGGGGATCAATTCAACAAGAAGAGCTAACCATCCTAAATATATATGCACCCAATACAGAAGCACCCAGATTCATAAAGCAAGTCCTTAGAGACCTACAAAGAGACTTAGACTCCCACACAATAATAATGGGAGACTTTAACACCCCACTGTCAATATTAGACAGATCAACGAGACAGAAAGTTAAAAAGGATATCCAGGAATTGAACTCAGCTCTGCACCAAGTGGACCTAATAGACAGCTACAGAACTCTCCACCCCAAATCAACAGAATATACATTCTTCTCAGCACCACATCACACCTATTCCAAAATTGACCACATAGTTGGAAGTAAAGCTCTCCTCAGCAAATGTAAAAGAACAGAAATTGTAACAAACTGTCTCTCAGACCACAGTGCACTCAAACTAGAACTCAGGATTAAGAACTCACTCAAAACCACTCAACGACATGGAAACTGAACAACCTGCTCCTGAATGACTACTGGGTACATAACGAAATGAAGGCAGAAATAAAGATGTTCTTTGAAACCAAAGAGAAAAAAGACACAACATACCAGAATCTCTGGGACACATTTAAAGCAGTGTGTAGAGGGAAATTTATAGCACTAAATGCCCACAAGAGAAAGCAGGAAAGATCTAAAATTGACACCCTAACATCACAATTAAAAGAACTAGAGAAGCAAGAGCAAACACATTCAAAGGCTAGCAGAAGGCAAGAAATAACTAAGATCAGAGAAGAACTAAAGGAGATAGAGACACAAAAAACCCTTCAAAAAATCAATGAATCCAGGAGCTGGTTTTCTGAAAAGATCAACAAAATTGATAGACTGCTAGCAAGACTAATAAAGAAGAAAAGAGAGAAGAATCAAATAGACGCAATAAAAAATGATAAAGGGGATATCACCACCAATCCCACAGAAATCAAAACTACCATCAGAGAATACTATAAACACCTCTATGCAAATAAACTAGAAAATCTAGAAGAAATGGATAAATTCCTGGACACACACACCCTCCCAAGACTAAACCAGGAAGTTGAATCACTGAATAGGCCAATAACAAGCTCTGAAATTGAGGCAATAATTAATAGCCTACCAACCAAAAAAAGTCCAGGACCAGACGGACTCACAGCTGAATTCTACCAGAGGTACAAGGAGGAACTGGTACCATTCCTTCTGAAACTATTCCAATCAATAGAAAAAGAGGGAATCTACCCTGACTCATTTTGTAAGGCCAGCATCATCCTGATACCAAAGCCTGGCAGAGACACAACAAAAAAAGAGAATTTTAGACCACTATCCCTGATGAACATGGAAGGAAAAGTCCTCAATAAAATACTGGCAAACCGAATCCAGCAGCACATCAAAAAGCTTATCCACCATGATCAAGTGGGCTTCATCCCTGGGATGCAAGGCTGGTTCAACATACGCAAATCAATAAACATAATCCAGCATATAAACAGAACCAAAGAAAAAACCACATGATTATCTCAATAGATGCAGAAAAGGCCTTCACCAAAATTCAACAACCCTTCATGCTAAAAACTCTCAACAAATTAGGTATTGATGGGACATATCTCAAAATAATAAGAGCTATTTATGACAAACCCACAGCCAATATCATCCTGAATGGGCAAAAACTGGAAGCATTCCCTTTGAAAACTGGCACAAGACAGGGATGCCCTCTCTCACCACTTCTATTCAACATAGTGTTGGAAGTTCTGGCCAGGGCAATGAGGCAGGAGAAAGAAATAAAGGGTATTCAATGAGGAAAAGAGGAAGTCAAATTGTCCCTGTTTGCAGATGACATGACTGTGTATTTAGAAAACCCCATCGTCTCAGCCCAAAATCTCCTTAAGCTGATAAGCAACTTCAGCAAAGTCTCAGGATACAAAATCAATGTGCAAAAATCACAAGCATGCTTATACACCAATAACAGACAGAGAGCCAAATCATGAGTGAACTCCCATTCACAACTGCTTCAAAGAGAATAAAATAGCTAGGAATCCAACTTACAAGGGATGTGAAGGACCTCTTCAAGGAGAACTGCAAACCACTGCTCAAGGAAATAAAAGAGGACACAAACAAATGGAAGAACATTCCATGCTCATGGATAGGAAGAATCAATATCATGAAAATGGCCATACTGCCCAAGGTAATTTATAGATTCAATGCCATCTCCATCAAGCTACCAATGACTTTCTTCACAGAAGTGGAAAAAACTACTTTAAAGTTCACATGAAACAAAAAAAGAGCCCCCATTGCCAAGACAATCCTAAGCCAAAAGAACAAAGCTGGAGGCATCACACTACCTGACTTCAAACTATACTACAAGGCTACAGTAACCAAAACAGCATGGTACTGGTACCAAAACAGAGATATAGATCAATGGAACAGAACAGAGCCCTCAGAAATAATACCACACATCTATAACCATCTGATCTTTGACAAACCTGACAAAAACAAGAAATGGGGAAAGGATTCCCTATTTAATAAATGGTGCTGGGAAAACTGGCTAGCCATATGTAGAAAGCTGAAAGTGGATCCCTTCCTTATACCTTATACAAAAATTAATTCAAGATGGATTAAAGACTTAAGTGTTAGACCTAAAGCCACAAAAACCCTAGAAGAAAACCTAAGCAATACCATTTAAGGCATAGGCATGGGCAAGAACTTCATGTCTAAAACACCAAAAGCAATGACAACAACAGTCAAAATTGACAAATGAGATCTAATTAAACTAAAGAGCTTCTGCACAGCAAAAGAAACTACCATCAGAGTGAACAGGCAACCTACAGAATGGGAAAAAATTTTTTGCAATCTATTCATCTGACAAAGGGCTAATATCCAGAATCTACAAAGAACTCAAACAAATTTACAAGAAAAAACAAACAACCCCATCAAAAAGTGGGTGAAGGATATGAACAGACACTTCTCAGAAGAAGACATTTATACAGCCAACAGACATATGAAAAAATGCTCATCATCACTGGCTATCAGAGAAATGCAAATCAAAACCACGATGAGATACCATCTCACACCAGTTAGAATGGTAATCTTTAAAAAGTCAGGAAACGACAGGTGCTAGAGAGGATGTGGAGAAATAGGAACACTTTTACACTGTTGGTGGGACTGTAAACTAGTTCAACCATTGTGGAAGACAGTGTGGCAATTCCTCAAGGATCTAGAACTAGAAATACCATTTGACCTAGCCATCCCATTACTGGGTATATACCCAAAGGATTATAAATTATGCTACTATAAAGACACATGCACATGTATGTTTATTGTGGCACTATTCACAATAGCAAAGACTTGGAACCAACCCAAATGTCCATCAATGATAGACTGGATTAAGAAAATGTGGCACATATACACCGTGGAATACTATGTAGCCATGAAAAAGAATGAGTTCATGTCCTTTGTAGGGACATGAATGAAGCTGGAAACCATCATTCTCAGCAAACTATCGCAAGGACAAAAAACCAAACACCACATGTTCTCACTCATAGGTGGGAATTGAACAATGAGAACTCTTGGACATAGGAAGGGGAACATCACACATTGGTGCCTGTCGTGGGGTTGTGGGAGGGGTGAGGGATAGCATTGGGAGAAATACCTAATGTAAATGATGAGTTAATGGGTGTAGCACACCAACATGGCACATGTATATATATGTAACAAACCTGCATGTTGTGCACATGTACCCTAGAACTTAAAGTATAATAATAATAATTTAAAAAAAGAGAACAGAGGCCAGGAGTGGTGGCTCATACCTGTAATCCCAGCACTTTGGGAAGCTGAGGTAGCCCGACCACTTGAGGCCAGCAGTTCGAGGCCAGCATGGCCAACATGGAGAAACCCTGTCTCTACTAAACACACACACACACACACACACACACACACACACACACACACACAAAGCCGGGTGTGGTGGTGTGTGCCTGTAATCCCAGCTACTTGGGAGGCTGAGACAAGATAATCATTTGAGCCCAGGAGGCAGAGGTTATAGTGAGCTGAGATCCCACCACTGCACTCCAGCCTGGCCTGGGCCACAAAGTGAGATTCTGTCTCAAAAAAAAATGTTTACAAAACACAAATTCCTTATCAAAAAGACTAGCTTTCAACCCAGGTTGGCTTTGACTAACACAGCCCTTCTTCCATGCTTTGCTCCTGCCCAGTCTTAGTTAGACACTTGGTGAAACTGCTCAGACAGCTAGCCAGAGCAAGATCTGGCCAGGTACCAATACTAGAACCGACAGAATTTTCTGTCTCTTCCAGAAATTACCTGCTGGTTCTTATCACAGGGTGTAGGCCCAAGGCCCTAGCCAGTTTCACCAGCCACCTTGTCTCTTGAGTGCCGCCTTTTGCTAACCCCTAGTAATGGAAGGGAGAGAATTCCTTCTCTGGTTTAAAAATTTCTTGTTTGAGTTGATTTTTGTATATGGCATTTGATAACGATCCAACTTCATAATTTTGCACATGGACATCCAGTTTTCTCAATACCATGTATTGAAGAGACTATCCTTTCCTCATTGTGTATCCTTGGCACTCTTGTCAAAAATCGTACATATAAAGTTGAACAGAAAAAATTTATATCTATGAAATACATGTAAATTTATAAAGTTTGTATGAATGAAATAAGTTCATACATATAAAGTTGATTGACTTTTTATGTATGAGTTTATTTCTTGACTCTATTCTGTTCCATTGGTCTATGTCTGGCTTTAGGCCAGTACCATACTGTTTTGATTACTGTAGTTTTGTAATATATTTTGAAATCAGAAAATGTGAGGCCTCTGGCTTTGTTTTTCTCACCCAAGACTGCTTGGTTATTCAGAGTCTTTTGTGGTTCCATATGAATTTTAGGATTGTTTTTCCTATTTTTGTAAAAAAAAGCCATTGGGATTTTTTTTTTTTTTTTCTGAGATGGATTTTCACTCTGTTGCCCAGCTGGAGTGCCGTGGGATGATCTTGGCTCACTGCAACCTTCACCTCCCAGGTTCAAACGATTCTTCTTTCTCAGCCTCCCGAGTAGCTATCATTACAGGCATGTGCCACCACGCCTGGCTAATTTTTGTATTTTTAGTAGAGATGGGGTTTCACCCTGTTGGCCAGGCTGGTCCCGAACTCCTGACCTCAGGTGATCCACCCGCCTTGGCCTGCCAAAGTGCTGGGATTACAGTTGTAAGCCACCATGCCCAGCTGCCATTGGGATTTTGATAGGGATTTCAATTAATTTATAGATTGCTTTGACTAGCATTGACATTTTAATAACATTAATTCTTCCAGTCTCTAAACACAAGATATCTTTTCATTTATTTGTGTTTTCTTTAATTTCTTTCATCAATATTTTATAGGTTTTGGTGTACAAGATTTCATCTCCTTAGCTAAGTTTATTTCCAAGTATTTTATTCTTTTGATGCTATTGTAAATGGGATTATTCTCTTAATTTCCTTTATGAATAGTTCATTGTTAGTGTATAGAAATGCAACTGATTTTTGCATGTTGATTTTGCATCTTGTAACTTTCCCAAATTCATTTATTAGTTTTAACAGATTTTTTTGCGGTCTTTAGGTCTTTAGTGTCTACTATATATAAGATCATGTCATCTGCAAACAGAACTTGTTTTACTTCTTCATTTGCAAGTTGGATGCCTTTTATTTCTTTTTCTTTTTCTTGCCTAATTGCTGTGACTCGGCCTTTTAGTACTAGTAACCTTAACCCTAACTCTTCTATTAATAGTACTATTCCAGTACTCTCCCACTATGGTGAGAGTGGGCATCTGAAACAATAACACTTCTAGAAGAAAGCATAGGGAAAAAAGCTTTTTGACATTGTTCTTGGCAATGTTTTCTTGGATATGACACCGAAAGCACAGGCAACAAAAGCCAAAACAGACAAGTGGAATTACACCAAACTAAAAAGCTTTTTCACAACAAAGGAAACAATCAACAAAATGACAAGGCAACCTACAAAAAGAAAAAATGTATTTGCAAACCATATATCTGATAAGGGGTTAATATTTAAAATATATAAGGAACACCTACAACTTAACAGCAAAAACAAAAACTAAAAACAATCCATCTTTAAAATAGGCAAAAGATCTGAATAGCTATTTCTCCAAAGAAGACATACAAATGGCCAACATGTATATGAAAGGCGCTTAACATAAGTAACCATCAGGGAAGTGCAAATCAAAACCACAAGGAGCTATTACTCACACACATTAGAATGACCATTATATATAAACAAAACAAAACAAAAAAACAAAAGTGTTGGTGAAATAGAGAGAAAAGAAAACCCCAATACATTGTTAGTGGGAATGTAAATTGGTACAGCCACTATGGAAGACAGTATGGAAACTCCTCAAAAAATTAAAAAGAGAACTACCATATGATCCAACAATCCCATTTCTGAGTATATATTTGTAGAGGAGCTGAAATCAGCATGTCAAAAAAATCTGCAAATATGTATATATTGCCACATATCCAAAATATATATATGGAAGTAACCTAAATATCCATCAGTGGATAAATGGATAAAGAAAGTATGGTATATGCATAAAATAGGATATTATTTAGCCTTAAAAAATAAAGAAACTCTGCCACTTGCAATAATATGGATGAACCTGGGGGATATTATGCTAAGTGAAGTAAGCCAGACATGGAAAAATGAGTAACTGCCTGATCCCACTTATATGAGGAATCTTGGATAGTAACACTCATAGGAGCAGAAAGCAGCATGGTGGTTTACAGAAACTGGTAGAAGGGGAAATGTGAAGTTGTTGGTCAAAGGGTACAAATTTTCAGTTACACAACATGGATAAGTTCTGGAGACCTACTACACAGCATAGCGCCTATAGTTAACAGTACTGTAACGTACACTTATATATTTTCTAGGAGTGTAGGTCTTATGTTAACTGTTCTTAGCACAAAAAATAATAATAAATAAATAACGGGAGAGGAAGAAAACTTTTGGAGGTGATAGATATGTATGTTTATGGCCTGGATTGTGATGATGGTTTCAGGAGCGTATACATATTTCCAAATTAATCATTATATACATTTAATACATACAGTTTTTGTGTCTCAATCATACCTCCATAAAGTGATTTTTAAAAATTCCTTGGAGGAATCCTGTATTGACTGGCTAGTCAGTCCTTTCACACTGATGAAGATGGGCTGTACTTTTGTCATCTGACCATCTTTCTCCATCCCTTTTCGGGTTTCTGAAGCCCTTTTGCTGGTGTATTGTGAAGGCTTTTAAGGAACATTTGCTTCCTCAGCAATGTCATTCATCCAAGTTTCCACAGTGAGTGTTCCATCTTATGTCAGCATCCCACCAGGGCAAGCAGAAGAATTTATGACCCTTCAAGTTCAAAGTTTATGCCTCTCTGTTGGATCATCCACTCAGTTGCTCATTTTTATCTCTCAGAAACCTCAAACTCTTCACTCATGTGCCTGGGAAAGATCACAGGCAAGTTCTTAAGCCCAAAGAACAATCTCACCTTTACCTACTGTATCAGGTCTACCTATTACCCAGAATCTCTTTGATGACTCATCTCACCCAATAATACTGATTGACACTTTTCTCTCTAAAGATAAAGTGAGAGTTTAGGGAGTGATTCTCCCATATGCACTAAAAAGCAAAATTAAGCAACAGTATCAGAAAGTTCATCATATCACAATGGAAACTGAAAAACAGGGTGGCATCAAGCAACAGATGAAAATTAAGGTATTTAAAACTACAGTGGGGCTCAATCTCTTTCAAAAACATATAAAATCTGATATCATACCAAAATTCTTGAAGCACAAATGAAGACTTAGACAATCTGTGTGGTGGCCGGGCACAATGGCTCACACCTGTAATGCCAGTACTTTGGGAGGCCGAGGTGGGCGGATCACTTGAGGTCAGGAGTTCGAGACCAGCCTGGCCAACATGGTGAAATCCCGTTTCTACTAAAAATACAAAAATTAGCCAGGCGTGGTGGTGGGCACCTGCAATCCCAGTTACTAGGGAGGCTCAGGCAGGAGAATTGCTTGAACCTGGGAGGCAGAGGTTGCAGTGAGCCAAGACAGTGTCACTGCACACCAGCCTGGGCAACGGAGCGAGACTCAGTCTCAAAAAACAAACAAACAAAAAATCTGTGTGGTAGCTGAGCTCATCAAAAACAGTTCCAGCTGGGCACAATGGCTCATGCCTATAATCTTTGGGAGGCTGTGGTGGGAGGATTGCTTGAGCCTAGGCGTTTGGGACCAGCCTGGGAAACACAGGAAGACTCCATCTCTACAAAAAAATTGAAAATTAGCCAGGTGTGGTGGTGTGCGCCTGTAGTCCCAGCCACTCAGGAGGTTGAGGTGGGAGGATTGCCTGAGCCTGGGAGGTTGCAGCTGTAGTGAGCCACGATGGCGCCACTGCCCTCCAGCCTGAGCAACAGAGCAAGACCCTGTCTCAAAAGAAAACCAAACAGGCCGAGTGTGGCAGCTCACGCCTGTAATCCCAACACTTTGGGAGGCCAAGGCAGGTGGATCACTTGAGGTCAGGAGTTCGAGACCAGCCTGGCCAACATGGTGAAATCCCATCTCTAACTAAAAACACAAAAATTAGCCAGGCGTGGTGGTGTGCACCTGTAATCCCAGCTCCTCAGGAGGGTGAGGCAGGAGAATCACTTGAACTTGGGAGGCAGAGGTTGCAGTGAACTGAGATCGCACCATTGCACTCCAGCCTGGGCAACAGAGCGAGACTCCATCTCAAAACAACAACAACAACAACCAAACAGCCGGCCACAGTGGCTCAAGCCTGTAATCCCAGCACTTTGGGAGGCTGAGGTGGGTGGATCACTTGAGGTCAGGAGTTCGAGACCAGCCTGGCCAACGTGGTGAAACCCCATCTCTACTAAAAATACAAAAAAAAAAATTAGCTAGGTGTGGGGGTGCACACCTGTAGTCCCAGCTACTGGGGAGGCTGAGGCAAGAGAATCACTCAAACCCGGGATGCAGAGGCTGCAGTGAGCCGAGAACACACCACAACACTGCAGCCTGGGCAACAGAGCAAAACTCTGTCTCAAAAAAAAAAAAAAGACAACCAACCAAACAAAAAACAGTTCCCTGCCCAAGACATGAGATGTGGATATGTGTGGCATCAGGGTAACAGTTAGCTCTGATAAGCTAAGGTGGGGGTGCAGGATGATTACCGCCAGAAGAATTGCTATAAGGATATACACTGACATTCTGCTTCAATGTGGCATCTCAATAGAATACTGGAAAAACATCAGTGACAGTGCTTCCTGAGAAAAGATTTTGAGTAGAGGATACATTTTAAGGGACAAAGTTACAAATAGTAATAAGGACTGTGAAGGGTGGTGACTGCTATACATTTAAAAAGAACATGTGAGCCATATGTGGGAAGAAATGCTTTGGGCATTGCTGTTAGAGAGAATGGTCATTTCTTTGGCAGAACTAGTGGTTGGTCCTGTTAAGGAGGTTTTTCTCCCCTATCTTTCCACCTAAAAAACACCTTAGCACTGAGTAGCAAGGGTTTGTATTTCACTATAAGATGCATGATTCTGAAATTGAAAGTGTGGTGATAAAACCTGAAAGGATATTACATAGACCACCAGGTTGGTCTTATTTGAATGCTGAGACCAGAACAGTCTGTTGAATTATTTCTTCATTTGACATATTTCTTTTAATAACTGTGGAAGACTGCATTTTTGTTCTCGATTATTCCCCACACTTCCCATAAGAGAATTTTATATCCTACATATTTCCATGTGACTTGCAGTGCCTTCCTACAGGTGCAGACTTCCCCACTCTATTAAGGTTAGGTTAACCCATGTGATTTCCTTCAGCCAATGAAATGTGAGGCATAAGCCATGTTTACCATCTAAACAGGAATTAAAGAGACATTGCATGGCTTAGCCATTGTACTCTTTTCTCTCTGTCACAGTAACGAATGTCTTTCATCTGTGTTACTCCGTCAACCTGGATTCTGAAATGAATACCCATTGAGCTAAGCTGCAGCTGACATGTACCAAGAGGGAGAAATAAACCTTTGTTGTCATAAACCACTGAGATTTGGGGGTGTTTCTTATTGCCACATAAACTAGCAAGAGCTCATTAATGCAATAATCTTACAAATTAGCACGGGAGCTATCCACTGACCGCAGTTATCAAGTATGCAATTACATATTCCAGATGAAGTGCTAGAGTCCAAATAGCTAAGATAAAAACATGCCTCACAAAGAAATGTAATTGATATTAATCTTAATTTTCTACCTAGAACTTTTCTTCACCTATTTGGTAGGTCGATAACAGGTTATAGAGTATAATATTTCCAGCTTCTGCATGTTCATTAAAAAGACCTCCATTGTACTCCATCAAATTAAGACTGTAATTAACCTAACATGTCTCCAAATAAAAGCCAACTTTTTCTGCTAACTTTTAAGGAAATCCTCACTTTCATTCAAAGATTCCTAATTCTAGCGGTGAGAAAACTATTTGCATTTACAACTTTGAATAAACAATTCAATTGACCTCCAACCTTCCCAACAGTTTCAAAAGCAAAATCATACATTAGAATACAACACAAAAGCACTAGGAGCCAGGCAACATTCCATAGGTTTTAACAGCCAATGAAACTCCAGACCATAATTAGTTCCTCTCTCAGTATTTTATCATAAAAGCCTAAGAAGTTTTTACAATTTCTAGGCTTGATATCTTTTAAGGCCAAATAATGTAGCCTCATTTATTTTTACTCTTTTTAAAAAATTTTTTGGAGGGAGGTATTCATATATTTGACATTTGAAAATCACTTTTCTTAACAACTATGATAGTGGTTTCTAGACTTTGTCCTTAAGCACAAGCCATTCTTCCTACATGACATGACCCATAACACAAAAACTTAAAGCTCCACAGAATAGTGAGACTTTGCTGTCTTCTGATGGATGATATCAAAGTTGAAGGCTAAAAGACCCTTTGGTGGTATAGCTTGGGACAGATTCTCTTTCCTTAAGATCTTCAATATAGGCTTTCATACATTCTTGTTTTTTTGAGACAGAACCTCACTCTGTCACCCGGACTGGAGTGTGGTGGCACAATCTTGGCTCCCTACAACCTTTGCCTTCTGGGTTCAAGTGATTCTCCTGCCTCAGCCTCCAGAGTAGCTGGCATTACAGGCACGTGCCACCACACCCCACTAATTTTTGTATTTTTAGTAGAGACAGGGTCTCACCATGTTGGCCAAGCTGGTCTCAAACTCCTGACCTCAACCGATCCACCTACCTTGGCTTCCCAAAGTGCTGGGATTACGGGCATGAGCCACCGCACCCAGCCTCATAAATTCTTTATCAAGGCTCATGCCTATATTTCTAACACTTTGGGAGGCCAAGGCGGGCGGAAAACTTGAGCCCAGGAGTTCGAGACTAGCCTGGCCAACATGGCAAAACCCCATCTCTACTAAAAATACAAAAATTAGCCAGGTGTGGTGGTGCACAGCTCTGGTCCCAACTACTCAGGAGGCTGAGGTGGAGGAATCGCTTGAACTCAGGAGGTGGAGGTTGCAGTGAGCTGAGATCGTGCCACTGCACTCAAGCCTGGGTGACAGAGCAAGACTCTGTCAAAAAAAAGGAGGGGATTGTTTATAAGGCTTACAAATTTTAAAGGTGTGGAGGAGTCACAAAGAGCAGCTGAAAGCTCCACCAAGTGGTCCCCATTGACGACTAACAAGGTGCGCTTCTTCAGGTTAAGCATGGGGTAAGGAAGGTAGGTCAACTTGCTTCTATACAAGAGAAAGCCCTGCGGCTCTTCCAGCCTGTATCTTGCCGCAAGGCAGTCAGGTTATTGTTGCTGATATCCAACCACTGCAAATAGACATCCTCAGGACACAGACTGGGACACTGGAAAACTTGTTTGCTGAGATATCTACGAATGCAACTGGCTTCCAATTACTTAATTCAAAAGGCAGCTCTGTGAATTCCAGATTTCCAGAACAATCCAGTCCCTCTAGATTTCACAATCTCCCAGCTCTGGAGGAATGCTCTTCAGATAGTTGAAACTCACATTGAGTTATTTCAGGTTCTTCAAACAACTGAGTTTAGCTGGAAAATGTGAGATTTGTTTCTTTGGCAGATCCTGAATTCTCATCGCTTGAAACAGCTCAATATATGTGGGAGTAATTTGAATCAGGGTGTCGCATACATGCCATTCTCTCAGGTGCGTCTGCTCCTTTAACAAATCTGGCAGCTCCGTCCAGTACTCCCCAGAAAGTCCAAACACAAACACACTGCTCCATTTGCCTCTGTCCTTGGGAAGTGAACTCTGCCTTGTGAGAGCTTTCCTTTCTATCTTTTCCAGAAGCTGCATGCTATGAATGTCTATGAAGCCACTATCCCAGCCAGTACTCAGCCCAGGAGATGCCTTTCCTCCTGCACTTGACCTCAAGGGGCCACTCCTCCTTTGTCTTTTCTGATGCACTCTTCTCAAGACTTTCTGCCTCCTTCTTCTGCCAAACTTGTGCTTCTTGACACAAGTTTCCCACAAGGCTCTGACAACAGAAATGTCAAATATGACCACTTTGTATCCCATTTTGGGAGCACGAAATTACCCGTGGGGAATGCGGATCTTTTCGGTGGGTTCTGGTCCTTGGGTGAGACAGGATTTTTTGTGGCTGAAAGGCTAGCGCCCTGGAGTTCTGGACTGTCTTCAGCCCAGCCAATACCAACATCACCAGACTGAGGGCCTCGGTTCCCTCCTCTCTTCTTTCTTTTTTAGAGACAGGATCTTGCTCTGTCACCTAGGCTGGAGTACAGTGGTGCGATCACAGTTCACTGCAGTCTCAAACTCCTGGCCTCATGTTATCCTCCTGCCTTGGCCTCACAAAGCCCTGGGATTTTGGGTGTGAGCCACTGCACCTGACCACTCAATTTTTAAAGAAAGAATTTATTTTAAATCCTGTATCTGTACAATATCCAAACAATTCATCAAATCAATGAAAAATGTTAGGCAATTCAGCTGTTCGATGCAACATTGGCACAAAGTGAGTCTCCAACTCCTGCCCTCAAGCACTCCTCCCACCTTGGCCTCCCAAAGCACTGGGATTATAGGTGTGGACCACTGTGCCTGGCTGTTTTTGTTTTCCTTAAGAAAAAAAAAAAACAATGGCTTGGTTTTATAACTACCAAATTGGAAAATTGGCTTGGCCTCTGGGCCAGACAGGTGTTATAATATTTCTACTGAGTTTAGCATACTATTCAGTCACAGGTAGAGATCCCGGGCAATGCTGAACCCCTTAGCCTCCCCTCCAAACAAACCAATGCTTTCTCCTATTGTTGTCTCACATTTTACTTCCACATATGCTGTAAACCTCATACTCTGTTATTACTTTTAACAATCATCTTTTTTTATTTTGGGTTTTCTTTGCTTTTATTATTATTTTAAATGGACACATAGTAATTGTACATATTTATGAGGTACAGTGTGATATTTAGATACATGTGTACAATGTATAATGACCAAATCCAGGTAATTAGCATATCCGTCACCTCAAATATCTATCATTTCTTTGTTTTGGGAGCATTCAAAATCTGCTTTTCTAGCTATTTGAAAATATACAATAAATCGTTGTTAATTATAGTCTCCCTGTAGTGTTATAGAACACCAGGAATTATTCCTCCTACCTAGTTGTATTTTTACTTCTGTCAACCAACTTTTGCCTATCTTCCCCTCCCCACCAACTCATCTCTGCCTCTAGTAACCACTATTCTACTTTCTATCTCTAAGAGATCAACTTTGTAGCTTCCACGTATGAGGAAGAACACACAGTATTTATCTTTCTCTGTCTGGATTATTTCACTTAACCTAACGTCCTCCAAGTTCATTCAGGTTGCTGTGAATGACAGAATTTTTTAATTTGTTATGGCAGTATTCTGTTGTGCATATACACCATGCTTTCTTTCTTTTTTTTTTGAGACGGAGTTTTGCTCTTGTTGCCCAGGCTGGAGTGCAGTGGTCTGATCTCGGTTCACTGAAACCTTCGCCTCTCAGATTCAAGTGATTCTCCTGCCTCAGACTCCTGAGTAGCTGGGATTACAGGCATCCGCCACCACGCCAGGCTAATTTTTTGTATTTTTAGTAGAGATGGGTTTTCACCATGTTGGCCAGGCTGGTCTCGAACTCCTGACCTCAGGTGATCCACCTGCCTCGGCCTCCCAAAATGCTAGGATTACAGACTTGAGCCACTGCACCCGGCCCTATACCATGCTTTCTTTATGTATTTTTATTTTTATTTGAGACGGAGTTTCGCTCTGTCACCAGGCTGGAGTGCAGTGGCCCAATCTCGGCCCCCTGCAATCTCCGCCTCCCGGGTTCAAGTGATTCTCCTGCCTCAGCCTCCCGAGTAGCTGTGCTATGCTTTTTTTTTTTTTTTTTTTTTTTTTTTTTTTGAGATGATGTTTCACTCTTGTTGCCCAGGCTGGAGTGCAACGGCACGATCTCAGCTCACCGCAACCTCCACCTCCTGGGTTCAAGCGATTCTCCTGTCTCAACCTCCTGAGTAGCTGGGATTACAGGCGCCCGCCACCATGCCCAGCTAATTTTGCATTAGCTGGTCTCGAATTCCTGACCTCAGGTGATCTGCCCGCCTCAGCCTCCCAAAGTGCTGGGATTACAGATGTGAGCCACTGTGCCCAGCCTGTACCATGCTTTCTTTATCCATTCATCTGTTGATGGATATGTAGGTGGATTCCATGTCTTAACTATTGTGAACAGTGCCACAATAAACATGAGAGTGCAGATATCTCTCTGACATATTGATGTCCTTTCCTTTGGATATATACCTAGATGTGGGATTGCTGGATCATATGGTAGTTCTATTTTTAGGGGTTTTTGGGTTTTTTTGTTTTGTTTTGTTTGTTTGTTTTTTGAGAGGGAGTCTCGCTCTGTTGCCCAGGCTGGAGTGCAGTGGCGCGATCTTGGTGCACTGCAACCTCTGTCTCCTGGGTTCAAGCTATTCTTCTGCCTCAGCCCCCTGAGTAGCTGGAATCACAGGCATCCGCCACCACACCCGGCTAATTTTTTGTATTTTTAGTAGAGATGGGGTTTCACCATTTTGGCCAGGCTGGTCTGGAACTCCTGATCTCAAGTGACCCACCTGCCTAGGCCTCCCAAAGTGCTGGGATTACAGGCATGAGCCACTGTGCCTGGCCTATTTTTAGTTTCTCGAGGAACGTCCACACTGTTTTCCATAATGACTGCTAATTTATATGGCTACAAACAGGGCATAAGAGTTCTCCTTTCTCACTGGGCGCGGTGGCTCACACCTATAATCGCAGCACTTTGGGAGGCCAAGGTGGGTGGATCACGAGGTCAGGAGATCGAGACCATCCTGGCTAACACGGTGAAAACCCGTCTCTACTAAAAATACAAAAAAATTAGCCGGGCACGGTGGCGGGCGCCTGTAGTCCCAGCTACTCGGGAGGCTGAGGCAGGAGGATGGCGTGACCTGGGAGGCGGAGCCTGCAGTGAGCCGAGATCGGACCACTGCACTCCAGCCTGGGCAACAGAGAGAGACTCCATCTCAAAAAAAAAAGAGTTCTCCTTTCTCCACCTCCCTACAAGCATTTGTTGGGTATTTTTTTGTTTTTGTTTTTTGTTTTTAATAATAGCCTTTCCAACTGGGGTAAGAGAACTTATTGTGGTTTTGATTTGTATTTCTCTGATGATTAGTAATGTTGAACATCTTTTCATATACCTGTGGGCCATTTGTATATCTTCTTGAATGAGAGATATCAGTTCAGCTCATTTGCCTATTTTTCATTTATTTATTTTTTTCTGTTGAGTTGTTTGCATTCCTTGAGTTCCTTGTATACTCTGGATATTAATCCCTGGCTGGATAAATAGCTTGCAAATATTTTCTAACATTCTGTAAGTCGTCTCTTCACTCTGTTGATTGTTTTCTTTGCTGTGCAGAAGCTTTTTCATTTGACAGAATTCCATTTGTCTGTTTTTGCCTTTATTGCCTATACTTATGAGGTCTTTTCCATAAAAATCTTTGACCAGGCAATGTCCTGAAGCATTTCTCCTGTCTTTATAGTTTTTGGTCTTACATTTAAATCTTTTTTTGTTTTTTGTTTTTTTTTCTTTTTTTTGAGATGGAGTTTCAAAGAGTTTCACTCTTGTTGCCCAGGCTGGATTGCAATGGCATGATCTCGGCTCACTGCAACCTCTGCCTCCTGAGTTTGAGCGATTCTCCTGCCTCAGCCTCCTGAGTAGCGCCCACCACCACGCCCGGCTAATTTTTTTGTATTTTTAGTAGAAACAGGGTTTCACCATGTTGATCAGGCTGGTCTTGAACTCCTGTCCTCAAGTGATCCACCTGCCTTGGCCTCCCAAAGTTCTGGGATTACAAGTGTGAGCCACTGTGCCCAGCCTACATTTAAATCTTTAATCCATTTTGAGGTTTGTTTGTTTGCATTTTTTTGTGATGGAGTTTCGTTATTTTTGCCCAGGCTGGAGTGCAATGGCGTGATCTCGGCTCACTGCAACCTCTGCCTCCGGGCTTCAAGTGATTCTCCTGCCTCAGCCTCCTGAGTAGCTGGGATTACAGGCAGGTGCCACCACACCTGGCTAATTTTGTATTTTTAGTAGAGATGGGGTTTCTCCATGTTGGTCAAGCTGGTCTTGAACTCCCGACCTCAGGTGATCCACCCACCTCGGCCTCCCAAAGTGCTGGGATTATAGGCATGAGCCACCATGCCTGGCTTTTTTTTTTTTTTAATATGGTGAGAGACAGGGGTCTAGTTTTATTTTTTCACATACAAATATTCAGTTTTCCAGCACCATTTATTGAAAAGACTGCCCCTTCCCCAATAAATGTTCTTGGCATCTTTGTTGAAAATAAGCTAACTGCAAATATGTGGATTTATTTTTGGGCTCTCTATTCTGTCCCATTCATCTGTGTGCCTGCTTTTGTGCCAGTGCCATGTTGTTTTGTTACTATAGCTCTTGTAGTATATTTTGAATTCCAGTAGTGTGATGCCTCCAATTTTGTTCTTTTTGCTCAAGATTGCTTTGGCCATTCATGGCTTCTTGTGGTTCCATAGAAATTTTAAGGTTTTTTTTCTATTTCTGTGAAGAGAGTCATTAATATTTTGATAGGGATGGTATTTAATCTGTAGATCACTTTTAATAGTATGGTCATTTTCACAATATTCTTCCAAGAATATTGGAAACATGAACATGGGATGTCTTTCCATTTTTGAGTGTGTCCTCTTCAATTTATTTCATCGGTGTTTTATAGTTTTCCTGTAGTTTATAGAGAAAGATCTTTAGCTTTCACCTTCTTTGTTAAATTTATTCCCATGAATTTTTTTTGGTAGCTATTGAAAGTTGGATTGCTTTCTTGATTCCTTCTTCTGCTTGCTCACTGTTGATGTATAAAAATGCTACTGATTTTTGTATGTTGATTTTGTATCCTGCAATGTTACTAAATTTTTTTTTATTAGTTCTAAGAGTTTTTGGTGGCACTTTTAGGGTTTTCTATATATAAGATCATGTTGTTTGCAAACAGGGGCAATTTGACTTTGACTTTCTCCTTCCCACTTGGATGCCCTTCATTTCTTTCTCTGGCTAGGCAATCATCTTTTTTTTTTTTTTTTTTTTTTTTTTTGAGATGGAGTCTTGCTCTGTTGCTCAGGCTGGAGTGCAATGGCACAATCTCGGCTCACTGCAACCTCCACCTTCCGGGTTCAAGTGATTCTCCTGCCTCAGCCTCCTGAGTAGCTGGGACTACAGGTGCATGCCACAGGCCTGGCTAATTTTTTGTATTTTTAGCAGAGACAGGGTTTCACCGTGTTAGCCAGGATGGTATCGAACTCCTGACATCGTGATCTGCCCGCCTCAGCCTCCCAAAGTGCTGGGATTACAGGCGTGAGCCACTGTGCCCAGCTTATCTTTTTAAAATATTGAAATAATGTTAAAAATTTTATTTATTTACCTACATAGTTACCATTTCCAATGCTCTTTATTCCTTTAGGTAGACTTATATTTCCCACTGTTCTTTCTGCCTAAAAGATTTCCTTTAATATTTTCTGTAATGTGGATATTCAGGTGATAAGTCCTTTCAGCTTTTTAATGTCTAAAAATGTCTCTATTTTGTCTTCATTTTTAAGATATATTTATTTATTTAGAGATGGGGTCTAAATATGTTGCCCAGGCTGAACTCAAACTCCTGGGCTCAAGTGATCCTCCTACCTCAGCCTCCTGAATAGCTGGGACTACAGGCAGGCACCACCATCCCTGGCTTAAAAGATATCTTAATATACAATTTTAGGTTGACAGCTTTTTCTTTTTAAGTACTTTAAAGATGTTGTTCCACTATTTTCTTTTGTTTACCTTGTCTCTAACAAGAAATGTTCTGTCATCATTATGTCTGTGCTTCTGTACATATCATATCTTCTTTCTCCTCTGGCTGCTTTTTTTTTTTTTTTTTGAGATGGAGTCTCGCTCTGTCACCCAGGCTGGGGTGCAGTGGCGCAATCTCGGCTCACTGCAACCTCCACCTCCCGGGTTCAAGCAATTCTCCTGCCTCAGCTTCCCGAGGAGCTGGGATTACAGGCGCCCACCATCATACCTGGCTAATTTTTATATTTTTAGTAGAGACAAGGTTTCACCCAGTTGGTCAGGTTGGTCTTGAACTCCTTACCTCAGGTCATCTGCCCACCTCAGCCTCCCAAAGTGCTGGGATTACAGGTGTGAGCCACCGCGCCCAGCCCTCTGGCTGCTTTTAATATTTTTTATTTATAATTTATTTTAAGCGACTTGATTATGATTTTGCTTTAGTGTAGTTTTCTTCACATTTCTTGTGCTTTGGTTTGTTGAGCTTCTTGGATCTGTTGGTTTATAGCTTTTATCAAATTTGGAAATGTCATGGCTTTTATTTCTTTTGAGATATTTTTTCTGTCACCCCTTTTCCTCAGGACTCCAACAACATATATGTTAGGCCACTTGATGTTGTCCCACAGCTTACTGATGATCTGTTTCTTTTTTCTTATACCCCAGACTTATATTTTGAGTTTTATTTTGCATAGCTTATATTGACATGTTTTAAAGTTCACTCATGTTTTCTGCAATGTCTAACCTGTCATTGATTCTATCCAGTGTATTTTTAATCTCAGTCATTGTCATTTTTATATCCAAAAGTTCAATTTGTATCTTTTTCATATTTCCTATGTCTTTACTTAACATATTCAATCATTCCTCTAGATCTGAGTTTCTCAACCTCAGCACTTCTGACAATTTGGGCTAGATAATTTTTTGTCGTGGGGGGCTGTTCTGTGCATGAAGAATGTTTAGCAACATCTCTGGATTCTACCTACATCATGCCAGTGTCACCACTACCCCCAAATTGTGGCAACCAAACTGTCTCCAGACATTGCCAAATGTCACCAGGGATGGGGAATCATGCCTCTACTGAAAACTATTACTCTAGATTTTGAGATATAAGGAATACATTTATAATTGCTGTTTTAATCTCCTTGCCTACTTTTTTTTTTTAGACAGGGTCTTACCCATGATAGAGTGTAGTGGTGCGATCTTGGCTCACTGCAGCCTCAACCTCCCCAGGCTCAGGTGATTCTCTCACCTCAGGGACTACAGGCATGTGCCATAACACTTGGCTAATTTTTGCATTTTTTGTAGAGATGGGGTTTCGCCATGTTGCCCAGGCTGGTCTCAAACTCCTGGGCTCAAAGGATCTGCCCGCCTTACCCTCCCAAAGTACTAGCGTTACAGGCGTGAGCCACCGCGTCCGGCCCTTGTCTACTGTTATCATCTATGTCCATTTTAAGCAGTTTTGATTAATTGATTTTTTTCTCATTATAATTTTTCTGCTTCTTTGCATGCCTTACAGTTGTCTTTTTTTAATTAAATGTCAGACATTGTAAATTTTACTTTGTTGGGTGCTGGATATTTTTATATACCTGTAAACATCCTTGAGCTTTTGAGACGCAACTAAGTTAACCTGGAAAAAGTTTGATCCTTTTGGTTCTTGCTTTTAAGCCTCATTAGGTGAGATCAGAATAGCATTTAATCTAGGGCCAACTTTCCTCCACTATGGAGGCAAGACCCTTCTGAGTACTCTCCCCTAATACCCCATGAATTGCGAGATTTTCAAGTCTGGATGGGGGAAATGGCACTATTCCTGGCCCCACACGAGCTTCTTATGAGTAGTTCTTTTCATGTGTTGTTTTCTCCCGTGCATGTGCTGATAAGCAGTCAGCTAAGTACGTGAGGGAGAACCTCTCGACGTTTTGGTGATTCTCTCTTTCTCTGAGACCCTTTCTTCTCTCCGGTATTTTATTCTGCAAACTCCAACAGCTTTGGTTTTTTGATCTTCCCCAGCATCAGCTCTTCAACTCTCAGCTCTTCTCCTTAAGTCCGGGAGGTCACTGCATCTTGCCTGGCTTCGCCTTAACTCCCCGTGCACTGCAGCCTGGAAACTCTCCTCAGGCACTAAGCCTGGACAATCACTGGGCTCACTTGACTAGCTTCCCATCTCTCAGGGATCACTCTTCTTCATTGTCTCGTGTCCAGTGCCTTAAAAACCATTGTTTCATAGATTTTGTCTGATTTTTTCAGTGATTTCAGGCAGAAAGGTAAATCTGGTCTCTGTGACTCCATCTAGGCTGGAAACAAATCTGTACCGCACTTGTTTTTAATTTACCTGGAATTTATATGGCTGTTAAATCTTCTTGAGTTATTAAATTTCTGAGAATAAGTGTGCTTTACTCTCACTCTTGATTGAAAAGTTTGAATGGAAGTAAAATTCTACACTTAAAATAACTTTCACTCTAAACTTTGAAGGTATATTTTCTGTTTTTGAGCATCCAGTGTTGATAGGAAATCTGATGTTTGTTTGATTCTTGCTCCTTTTTTTCCAAGAGAATTAAATTGTTTATTGATTACACATGATAATGGATGATACACAAGCTTCATTCCCATCTATAATTTTATCTGGTACCATTAATCAATTTAGATATATTGCATAGGATGTGCCAACAATTATTTTTATAACCAATAATTCCATGATTTTGCTTGGGTAATCCCTTTTAATGGTGAACTTCAGGTCGCAACAGTAACTGTCAGTTCAACGACACCAAGGTTTCTCAAGACAATGGCTTCTCCATCCAAGCAGGTTGTATATAAATTCCAAATATAACCTGGCATCACCCTGAAGGAATTCTAACTTCACACTGTTGGGGGAAATTTACCAAGATGGCTTCAGAGTAGACTAACTTTAAACAGCATATTAAAGAAAAAAAGGTTGTTTATTCAGCATCATGATCAGACTATTACATTTAGCAATCAACAGCATGGGTGCAAAAATAAATCTATATTAAAGCCCTTTGTTGAAATGCTTTACACTTTCCACAGAACAGAAACTAAAATAACCTGTTATACCATTAGTCACAAATACAGTCCTCGAGTTTTTTTGCCCATACACAAGAGTATTTGTCTAAAACATGTATTCTTTGTAGCAGCTAGCCCCTGCCACCACCGTGCTTGGCTGAGTTCACAAATCTGTTGTAACCTGTGGCTTTCCTGTCACTTCTCTGGCTCTCCTCTCCTGCTAAGCTTTGTGTCCTAATTAAAATATTCTGCCACTGCCACAGTTACTGCTGCTACTGGAACCGCCATAGCCACCTTGGTTTCGTGGTTTGGCAGAGTATTGGCCTCTACCACCATAGGGGCCAGAGCTTCTGTCTTCAAAGTTTCCTCCCTTCATGGGTCCAAAATTTGAAGACTGATTGTTGTAATTGCCAAAATTGTTGTAGCTTCCACCACCTCCAAAATTGCTTCCATCATTACCAAATCCATTATAGCCATCCCCACTGCCACCATATCCACCACCACCACGGCTGCCACCAAAGCCACCACGACGACTAAAGTTCCCTCCAAGACCAAAGTTGTCATTCCCACCGAAACCACCTCCGCGACCGCCACCAAAGTTTCCAGAACCACTTCGACCTCTGTGGCTGGATGAAGCACTTACCATCTCTTGCTTTGACAGGGCTTTCTTAGCTTCTCAGTTGTGGCCATTCACAGGATGGTATTTCTGAATGACAGTCTTCTCCACGGAGTCATGGTTGTCAAAGGTTACAAAGGCAAAGCCCCTTTTCTTGTCACTGCCTCAGTCAGTCATGATTTCAATCACTTCATTTTTTCCACACTGTTCAGGATAATCTCTTGGGTGATGTTCTTCAGTGTCTTCTTTAAAGCCCCCAACAAATATCTTCTTCATAGTTAAGTGGGCACCTGGTCTTTGAGAATCTCCTGAGACAGCTGTCTTTGTCTCCACAACTCTTCCATCCACCTTGTGTGGCCTTGCATTCATGGCTGCATCCACCTCCTCCACAGTGGCACATGTGACAAATCCACAGCCCCTGGAGCGCTTGGTGTTTGGATCTCTCATTACCACACAGCCCGTGAGCATTCCGTGTTGCTCAAAATGGCCCCTCAGGCTCTCATTGGTTGTTTCAAAGCTCAAGCCTTCAATGAAGAGCTTCCTCAGCTGTTCGGGCTCTTTAGGAGACTCTGACTTAGACATGACGCCAGGGAGAAGAGAAACTTTAACGATACTTCTTCGGCGGCGTCCATGATTCTTTCTCCTTTGTAAGTAACTTTTTTTCTTTCTACAGGATTTTAGAATCATCTCTTATTTATAATGTTCTGAAATTTCAGTGATCTATCTAGGTAGAGGTTTTTAAAAAATAGTATCTGTGATATTATGAGTTTGACAGTCTAATTTTGATTTTATAACCTATTATAAAATAAATATATGTTTATTAAGATAAAAATATTTGTCCATGCCACCTAAAATCCAGTATCACCAGTGTTATGTCTATCACTTTTGGAAAACTTTGGATTAAAGAATAGCATTAAGAAAAATTACATGGCGGGTGCCTGTAATCCCAGCTACTCATGAGGCTGAGGCAGGAGAATGGCTTGATCCCAGGAGGCGGAGGTTACGGTGAGCCGAGATAGTGCCACTGTACTCCAGCCTGGGTGACAGAGCGAGACTCTGTCTCAAAAAGAAAAGAAAAGAAAAGAAAAATTACAATAAATTATCAGGGAAAATTCTGAATGGGTGATGACTGGGTATCTTTTCAGTGGGAGTTGTCTAAGAGATCCTTTGGAATTATCTGACTATATGGAGAGTTGTGGTTTTCATCACAGACTGATGGTTATATGCAACTCTGTAAGTTGTTGAAAACTTATAGTAATGCAAGACCAGGGGAGGTGGCTCACATCTGTAATCCCAGCCCTTTGGGAGGTCAAGGCAGGCGGATCACTTGAGGCCAGGAGTTCAAGATCAGCCTGGCTAACATGGTAAAACCCTGTCTCTACTAAAAATACAAAAATTAGCCAGGCATAGTGGTACATGCTTGTAACACCAGCTACTCGAGAGGCTGAGGCATGAGAATCACTTGAACCCAGGAGGTGGAGGTTGCAGTGAGCCGATATGGCACCACTGCATTCCAGCCTGGACGACAGAGCAAGACCCTGTCTTTAAAAAAAAAAAAAAATCTTATAGTAATGCAAATGAGTCTTGTCCATAGACATGGCAATAAATTGTGTCCGGTGAAGATGAAATTGATGACCACTCTGTGGAAAAGATGATTCCAAGCATTATTCTATTTCTTGTAAATATTGCTCAGTTTTTCATCTATTGACAAATTCATTTTGGCATTCCTGATTGCCTCTATGTGTGTTTGTTCTTTTAATCCCCTTTGAACTGGTTTTAATGTATTGGTGTTTTCCTTACTAATTAGTGTGTTAAATAAAATCTTTGACTTGTTATTTTTATTTTATTTTTGAGATAAAGTTTCACTCTGTCATCCAGGCTGGAGTGCAGCGGTGGGATCTCAGCTCACTGCAACCTCCGCCTCCCAGGTTCAAGTGATTCTCCTGCCTCAGCCTCCCAAGTAGCTGGGACTACAGTTGCACCACCACACCTGGCTAATTTTTGTATTTTTAGTAGAGATGAGGTTTTACCAGGTTGGCCAGGCTGGTCTCGAACTCCTGACCTCAAGTGATCCACCCCTTTCAGCCTCCCAAAGTGTTGGGATTCTAGGCATGAGCCACCATGCCTGGCCAAATTTTTAACTTTTTAAAATATTTGTATGACGGTCACACTTTTGCCTTATTTTAAAAATAACATTTTATTAGTAGCATATATGAATTATAATGTATATCATTATTATAATGTTTGAGAGGAGTTGGAGAACAGACTGGCCTTTGGAACAGAGTACATTTTAGGTAAGTCCTGGCTTCTTATTAAATCCTCTACAACAAATCTGGCTGGTCACCTATTTCTATAAATAAAGTTTTGTTGGCACACAGCCAAACTCATTCATTTACATATTTTCTCTGGCTGCTTTTGTTCTGCAAAAACAAAGCTGAGAGTTGCAACAAAGACCATATGACCCACAGGCCAGGGAGCAGAAGCTCCCTCTACCCCTGTAGAACATTGGAACCAAAAGGTGACAAAAGGATTTTTGAGTCCCTACTGCCTCCTGTTTGGTAACAGTTGTTAATGGAATGAAGTCTGAGTGCTGCTAGAGAATGCACTGTTCCTTGGGACTGCAACAAGAAGTGATGTCATGATATTATGGCATGATTTTCCTGAAGTAGCTAAAAAGGGAGCAACATTCTCCTGGAGTCTCTGGTGTTTCCCTTGTGATTTTGAGGATGACTGTGCCTTTATCTCCTATCTGCCACCTGTGTCGTGTTAGGTGAGTCCTTTAATTGCTCTGGGCTCAGTTTCCTCATACATAACTTGAGGTTATTGGATGACTTCCCGGGTCTCTTCTATCTTTACAAGTTCATGTCAATTTCATATATAGTTTGTTTCTTAATTTTGTTCTCACTTATCAAACATTTATTTTATATCTATTACGTGTCAGGCATTTTACCAGTCACTAGAGATATAGCAGTGAATAATGGGACATGGACTCTGGCCTCACATTAATAAAAATGACAGCAAGCACATTATCAATAATATCTGATATCACACTATACTATAGGTTCTGAAACACTTTTACAGGCATTTTTATATTTGGCCTTCAGTACAGCACTGTTAACTGGATAGGCCAGGTATTATTATTTGTATTTTACATATGAAGAAACTCAAACACAGAAACATTAAATTGGCCAAGGTTACATGGTACTGATATCACCAACTAAGATGTAGATATTTTGATCCTGATTATTTTCAAAAAAGTTTGTTCAATGAAACATTTCAGGCTGGGAGCAGTGGCTCACGCCTGTACTCCCAACACTTTAGGAGGCTGAGGCAGGCAGAGCATGAAGTCAGGAGATCAAGACCATCCTGGCTAACATGGTGAAACCCCATCTCTACTAAAACTATAAAAAAATTACCCGGGCATGGTGGCAGGCGCCTGTAGTCCCAGCTACTTGGGAGGCTGAGGCAGGAGAATGGCGTGAACCCGGGAGGCGATGCTTGCAGTGAGCCAAGATCGTACCACTGCACTCCAGCCTGGGCGACAGAGCGAGACTCCGTCTCAAAAAGAAAAAAAAGAAAAAGAAACATTTCAAACATATAAAAAATAATAGTACAGTAAATCCCATGTACTCATACCCCCAATTTAAAAAATAAATTTTTTTTTGAGACCAGATCTCATTCTGTCACCCAGGATGGGGTGCAGTGGCATGATCCCACAGCTCACTGCAGCCTCGACCTCCTGGGCTTAGCTGATCCTCCCACCCCAGGCTCCCAAGTAGCTGGGAACACAGGCATGCACCACCATGCCCAGCTAATTTTTGTATTTTTTATAGAGATGAGATTTTTGCCATGTTGCCCAGGTTGGTCTCGAACTCTTGGACTCGAGGGATCTGCCCATCTCGACCTCTGAAAGTGCGGGGATTACAGGTGTGAGCCACTGCCCCCAACCCCAAATTAGCAATTATCAAGATTTTGACTATATTTTTTTCATCTTCCCCCTTTTTTCTTTGTAGAAGTTTTTTGTTTCTGTTTTGTTTGGGGTTGTTTGTTTGTTTGTTTGTTTGAGAGAAGGTCTTGCTCTTTCACTCAGGCTGGAATATAGTGGCTTGAACACAGCTCACTGCAGTCTCAACCTCCAGGGCTCAAGCAATCCTTCCACCTCAGCCTCCCCAGTAGCTTGGACTGACTACAGGTGTGCCACCACGCCTGGTTAATTTTTAAATTTTTTGTGGAGACAGTGTCCCACTATGTTGCTCAGGCTGGTCTCGAACTCCAGGGCTCAAGAGAATCTCCTGCCTCAGCCTTCCAAAGTGCTGGGATTACAGGCATGAGCCATTGCACTTGGCCTGTAGACGTATTTTAAGAAAATGCCAAACATCATGTCATTTCACCCCTTTATCCTCAATATAAATCTTTAAAAAGTAAGGGCATTTTTCTAACACCACCACAATGCCACTTTCACCCTTAATAACATCAAAAATAATGTTTTGTCTCATTTAAATCTAATTCTTGAATTCTTGATGTTCATTTGGGTAGAATAAAGTTTAAAATCATTTTGCTATTTGGTCACACACTGACTAACCAAGGATCATATAAATTTGTTTCACAACAGTTTATTGGTTCCTAGATCATCTCTCCTTTCCTAAAAGACTTATTTTGTGTCAGGGAATATTATATGTTAGCTCCCCTTTTTCCTTAGTGCCTTAGTCCATTTGTGCTGCTATAACAGAATACCTGAGACTGGGGAATTTATAACAAACAGATATTTATTGTTCACAGTTGTGGAGGCTGAGAAGTCTGAGATCAAGGTGCCAGCAGTTTAGGCATCTAGTGAGGGTCCGGTCTCTGCCTCCAAGATGGTACCTTGAACTCTGCATCCTCCAGAGGAGGGGGAACACTGTTCCTCACGTAGCAGAAGAGCAGAAGAGAGAGAGCCCACTCCTGCAAGCTCTTTTTTTAAAGCAGCATTAATCCACACACAAGGGTAGAGCCCTCATGACTGAAATGCCTCCCATTCAGCCCCACCTCTCAACACTGTTGCAATGAGGATTAAGGTTCCAGCACATAAATTTGAGGGGAACAAAAACATTCAAACCATAGTATTTGGTTATAGAATTTTTAGCTAGAAACACAGCCACAGGAAAAAAAAACTGTATTTCCCAACCTTCCTTGCTGCTGGATATGGCTTCTGAGTAAATTCTAGTCCATGAGATGTTAACTGAATTGTTGAGTTGAGTTTCTGGGAAGTGTTTGTAAGGGTAGACGGCATGTTTTCTTTGCCCTTTCTCCTTCCTGCTCACTAGAATAGAGAAACAGTAGCTGGACCTGAAGCATCTTGACCTATGAGGCTGTGTACCAAGAAGAATAGGTAAGACATTAAGAGAGAAGCACTCAATGAGGATGCTAAGGCATAAAAATAATACAATGCACTTTGGAGACTCAGGGGAAAGAGTGGAAGGGGGGTGAGAAATAAAAGACTACATGTTGGGTACAGTGTACACCGCTTGGGTGATGGGTGCACCAAAATCTCAGAAATCACCACTAAAGAACTTATCTATGTAACCAAACACCACCTGTTCCCCCAAAACCTATTGAAATAAAAAATGATTTTTAAAAATCATAGATGACACAAGAAATGAGAAAAAAAGAGGGAGAGAAAAACACTCAGATCCCTGATGATCCACGGAGTCACCATATCAGTTTGGAAGTAAACTTTTTTCTGCACTTCAAGCCAATGTTCTGTATTTTGGTTTCTGATTGCTTTCAAACCTGTAGCCAAACAAACCCTAACTTATACACATTGCTCTATACTTCTTTCCCCATCGCTCAATTATGGTAGGACTAGACACAGAGAAAACTGGATTTGCTCTGAGCTAAGGCCTCCTCATCTAACATAACTGTTAACTGAGATGTATTCCATTAAACTTAATGTTTTTTTGTTTTTGGGTTTTGTTTTAGAGACAAGGTCTTGCTCTATCACTCAGGCTGGAGTGCAGTGGGGCTATCACAGCTCACTGTACTCTGAAATTCCCGGGCTCAAGTGATCCTCCCACCTCAGCCTCCTGGGTAGCTGGGACTACAGGCGCACACCACCATATCACCCTAATTTAAAAAAAATTCTTTTTTTTTTGGTGGAGATGGGATCTCACTACATAGCCCAAGCTGGTCGCGAACTCCTGGCCTCAAATGATTCTCTTGTGATTTGCTGGGATTACAGACATAAGCCATAGCACCCAGCCAAACTTAATGTTTTAAAATGAAAAATGTTCAACTTTCAAAACTCCTTTCCCTTAGGTCTGTCCTTGCTATATAATCAACATCTCCTCTGCCTTCTTAATTGATTGGCTACTCAAATATAGCAGTTTCTTGGTTTTTAAAAGTAGTGTTCTGGCCAGGTGCTGTAGCTCACGCCTGTAATCCTAGCACTTTAGAAGGCCGAGGCTGATCACTTGAGCCCAGGAGTTCGAGATCAGCCTGGGCAACATGGCAAAACCCCGACTCTAAAAAAAATTACAAAAATTAGCCGGGCATGGTGGTATGTGCCTGTAGTCCCAGCTACTTGGGAGGCTAAGGTGGGAGGGTCACTTGAGCCTGGGGAGGTTGAGGCTACAGTGGGCTGTGATCGCGCCACTGCACTCCAGTCTGAGTGACAGGATGAGACCTTGTCTCAAAAAAAAAAAAAAGAGTAATGTTTTGTTCATATGGTTTGCAAAAAAGGATTTGGAGAAGGCTAGAAAAGATCTGAAATACTGAATGAGTAACAATCACTGAATGCCGGAAAAAGCCCAGCCTTGTTACCTTCTCTGATCTCTGAAAATACATCAGCAATTGCAGAGCTGTTGCTGGTGAGCTACAGTGAGCTGTCACCATTGATGTAGTCATTATTAGAAGATCACAGTATATGCACAGAAGTTCAAATATTGTTAACAGGTCTACATTTAAAAGGTTTCTTATGTAATTTTACAGCTGATAAAGCAACCCCTGATGACACAGTGAAATAGGATCAGGATATTAAAGCATTTAAACATAGGTTTTTAATTTATTAACCAAACATTAGGACATTTCCTCAGTCTCTTTTCATATTTAAAAAAAGGAAAAGAGAAAAATACTTGCGGTAACAAAGAAAAGTCTTAAGGTTTCTTTCAAAGATGCAGGCTGATTTCCAATATTCCAAACCTTTGAATTACGTAATGAAATGGGAGCTAATAAAAAAGAATGCACACCTGACAGATTGAATATTTTTTCTATGATTAATAATTCTCTATTAAAGCAATCTATTAACTTTTATTTTAAAGAGATGTGAGTGATCGAGTTATTAGATCAGCACCCTCAATTTTGGGCCAAATGAGAAACTCCTGTAGATTTTGTAATTCTAGACACCTCGTGAGCTGCTGTTCATTTGCTGATGAGATGTTTAAAGAATTGCAATGCACTAAGTTGTACATGTAAGACCAAAATGTTAATCAAAACACTGCGGCCAGATATGGTGGCTTACACCTGTAATCCCAGCACTTTGGGAGGCCGAGGCAGGTGGATCACTTGAGGTCAGGAGTTCGAGACCAGCCTGGCCAACATGATGAAACCCTGCCTCTACTAAAAGTAGAAAAATTAGCCTGGTGTGGTGGTGTGCACCTGTAATCCCAGCTACTCGGGAGGCTAAGGCATGAGAATTGCTTGAACGTGGGATGTGGAGGTTGCAGTGAGCCAAGATCAAGCCACTGCACTCCAACCTGGGTGATGGAGTGAGACTCTGTCTCAAAAATAATAATAATAATAAAATAAAAATAAAAAAAAAACTGCAAATCTTACACTTTCAAGACATTTATGGAAAATAATTCCTAATAAAGAAGGCATAGGGGATATGTAAAATTCTTCTTTATATCTTAGTCTTTGAGGAAATACTTTAAATTTCAACCACCATAGACAGTGAAAAATAACTCTCAGATGCCTATTCTTTGCACTCTGTTAGATGCTCCCTTTATGTGTTCATATATGTTTTATTGCAGACTGTATTTTCCCAAAGTGGCTGAAACAGTATCTGCTATTCCAAGTGCTCTTTTTATAATGTGACCTTAACATTTGTCTTATGGATAAGTGGAGTTTATGTCTTTTCCCCTTAAACTTGGGCAAACACTTGCGACTGTCTCAATAAAAGAGTACTGGAGAGTGATGTTACATAAATTTTGAGTCTAGATCACAAAAATGCCATGTTTCATCTTGCTGTCTTAGGACACTCAATACAGGAATTCAGCTGTATGCTGTAAGGAAGCCCGCACTTACCCATGCAGAGACCACATGATAGGTGTCCTGGTTAAAACCCAGCATGCTGCTGGGTGCAGTGGCTCACGCCTGTAATCCCAGCACTTTGGGAGGCCAAGGCGGGCAGATTACCTGACGGTAGGAGTTTGAGACCAGCCTGGCTAACATGGTGAAACCTTGTTTCTACTAAAAATACAAAATTAGCCGGGCATGATGGTGCAAGCCTGTAACCCCAACTATTCGGGAGGCTGAGGCAGGAGACTCACTTGAACCTGGGAGGTGGAGGTTGCAGTGAGCCGAGATTGTGCCATTGTACGCCAGCTTGGGCAATAAGAGCGAAATTCCATCTAAAAAAAAAAAGCCGGCATCATCTGCCAGATAAGTGAGTGAAGTCATATCCAGGTGATTCCAGCCCCCAATCGTTGCATTACCCACAGCCTTTGAGTCTTCCTGACTGAGGTTTCAGATATGGTGGAGTGAAGACAATCATCCATACCCACTGTACCCAATCTGAATTCCTAACCCAGAGAATCTGTGAGCATAATAAAATGGTCATTTTATGCCACTAAGTTTTCAGGTAATTTGTTACACAATAATGGTAACTGGGACATATATGTTACCTACAAGCCATATTAATGACAATACTCTCAATTTCTTATAAATTTCCCCTGGATAAAACCATACAATAAGCCTCATGTATTTTCAAAGTAGTCTTCAAATGTGAAAGAAGAATAATAGCAAATGACCCTAAAGGGAACCAAGATATGAAAAAGTTACAATTCATATATTAATAGAATCACATGCCTTTTCATTGGCCAGAATTAAGACCTTTTGCCTTTCAGAATTAGCCTTTTCCTCAAAATCCATGTCCTCAAACAAATTAGTCCCACTTAGTTTTTTCTTCAAATTGTTATCTTTCTAAGTAGTCTCTTTCTTGAGTTCTAGATCCTTGACTCTCAGTCTGCTGAGCCTTTTTTTTTTTTTTTTTTTTTGAGATGGAGTGTTGCTCTGTTGCCCAGGCTGGAGTGCAGTGGCATGATCTTGGCTCACTGAAGCCTCTGCCTCCCAGGTTCAAGAAATTTTCCCACCTCAGCCTCCTGAGGAGCTGGGATTACAGGGGCGCACCACCATATCTGGCTAATTTTTGTATTTTTAGTAGAGACAGGGTTTCACCGTGTTGGCCAGACTGGTTTTGAACCCCTGACCTCAGGTGATCCACCTGCCTCGGCCTCCCAAAGTGCTGGGATTACAGGCGTGAACCACCACACCCGGCCGAGCTTTTCTGCTTAGACATTCCACCATTCTCTCAAACTTAGTTGGTCTCAAACCAAACCCATGTCTTCTTTGAAAATCTGAATCTTCTGAGAGAGTAACAAAGCAAATGATGCAAAATGTTAAAACCTGGCGAATCTCCTAAAAGATAAACAGGAATGTTTCTTTGTAAGATTCTAGCAACTTTTCTGTAAGCTTCTAATTATATTTCAAAATAAGGAGCATGTTAAAACAGAAAAGAAAAGGGATAAGGACTGGAAACAAGAACTGAATTTACTACACAGCTCTCTAATTCTGGTAGTAATGTCTGTTGTTACTGGTGGTTAAATACTTCAGAGTAATCTTTCATTCCAGATTTCCTCAGCTCTTCTAATTAATCAATATTAATTTGTCTTTCTTTTTTGCTATCTGTAGTTAATATTTCTATTTCTCTCTTCCCAAAACCCAGCACCCCTTCTTATGCTAAAAGTGTCAAGATTTTCCTCTGGAGAGCCATTCTTCCCCAGTTTTAGATCTTACATAAGGGTGGGATTCAAGAATGAAAATGTAACCCAGGTATAGCATCTTGCAGATGGTCAACAAAGGAGGAGCAAATTCCTTTAATAAAGTTTAAGTAGTTAAGAAAAAGTCCTAACAGATCTTGCTGGTTTTGCTCTCTTTTACATTTTGCTTTAAAAAATGTGCTTATTAGGACTTTATATAATATGTATGTATGTGTATATATATATGTGTGTGTGTGTATACACACACACATAAACACAGAGACAGGGAGAGAGAGTTAGTGCGGGGTGAGTTTAGTATAGAAAAATTACATTTTCTGCAAAAAGAGTTGATTCTCTTTCTGTTTTTTTAGTTCTTGCCTTGGTCAAAATATAATTCCTCAAGTCAAAATATTATACTTAGGTAGGTAGGGCAATCTAAAATAAAATCCCAAGGATGAGAACCTTCATTCTTTCAAACTTTGTTGAACTGTTATATTGAAAGAATAACCTCCTGTTTTGGATTTTGGCTTCTTTTGGTCCTCTGCAGAATGACTAAGTAAATGAGCCCCAGAAGGCCCATGAAAGGCAGTCTCTTACTAACAGGGGCAGAACCACCCCATACTTCTTTTGCCATCTATTGACTTACCCACACTATAGCTCCAGGTCTTAAAACCTTCTATTCAAGAGAAAGGATATGGATATTTTTATAAAATCAGTTTGTGTGTGTGTTTTTAAGAAAAGAAACCTAGAGCTATCTGCATTACAAGCATGACTGAGAAGGGGATTTTGTTCAGAGGGAAGTAAATATTTTCACCAACATTCAGAGTCTAGTTGCTCCCAGAAGTCCTAATGTATATCTTTTTTTCCTTGCTGAGTCTTACCTACTTCACCTCCTTAAAATGCCAACCCATGAGCTGGGTGCATTGGCTCATGCCTGTAATCCCAGCACTTTGGGAGACCAAGGCAGGCAGATCACGAAGTCAGGAGTTCGAGGCCAGCCTGACCAACATGGTGAAACCCCGTCTCTACTAAAAATACAAAAATTAGCTGGGCGTGGTGGCACGTGCCTGTAATCCCAGCTACTCAGGAGGCTGAGGCAGGAGAATCACTTGAACCCGGGAGGCAGAGGTTGCAATGAGCCAAGATCGCACCATTGTACTCCAGTGCTCCAGCCTGGGCAAAAGAGAAAGACTTTGTCTCAAAAAAAAAAAAAAAAAAGCCAACCCATGGTTTATCAAATCTACAAAACTCAATGCAATGTGCATCACCCCCTTTCTTCTTCCTTTTTCTCATTAACTAGCATCATTGCCCTCTTTGGCAACTGCACAGTTACTAGGTATTGCCAGAAAGATTCTATAATAGACTATTGGCTCTTCTGCTCACTTTTTCCTCCTGCTAAGTTTTTTTTTTTTTTTTTTGAGTTGGAGTCTCGGTCTGTTGCCCAGGCTGGAGTGCAGTGGCATGATCTCGGCTCACTGCAGCCTCTGTCTCCCAGGTTCAAGCAATTCGCCCACCTCAGCCTCCCGAGTAGCTGGAATTACAGGTGTGCGCCACCACACCTGGCTAATTTCTGTATTTTTAGTAGAGATGAGGTTTCACCACGTTGGCCAGGTTGGTCTCGAACTCCTGACCTCAGGTGATCTGCCAGCCTTGGCCTCCCAAAGTGCTCGGATTACAGGCGTGAGCCACGCACCCGGCCTTTTGCTAAGTTTTTAGGGACTGTTCTAATACCCTTTAACCATCCCTCCTCTTTTTTTCTTTTTTCCCCTTTTTAAAATAAATGAAGCCTTTAGATTTGTTTTAGTTTTTCTTCTCACCTACAAGCTCCACTGGCAGGTTGAGGCCCTTGTATGGTATCCAGTGATAGACGTTGAATCCATCCTTACTGGTATTTGCTCCTTGGAGGTGAAAAAAATAAATGTTTTATAAAGGTCAAATTGGCCTTATCAAACAAAACATCTGCTAGATCAGTGAATGACTGGTGACAGCAGGAGACAGCAGTGCTGGCCTCTCCAATAGAAGTCACTGCAGTTAATGGAAGCTATTATGGGAAAATTCTGGCAAGAAGTTTTCTTTTTTTTTTTTTTCTCCTTCAGACAGCTAAAATTTTTTTAAAGAAAAAATGTATTCAGTTGCTAGGGTAACTGTGGTTTCAAAACTACCATAACAAAAGCCAGATATCACATATCAAACTACCAAATTATTAATTTGACTGGTATTTTAAAATAATTGCTTGAAAGAGATGTTTTCTCCTTATCTTAGCTATACAGAAAAGAGGGAAAGGGAGATCAGGAAGAAAAGAAGAAAAAGGGAGAAAAAAACTGATAGATCTGTTAAGAAATGTTTTTGCCTTGCTAAATATTTGTTGGAAGTAAAAATTCTTTTACATTATGGATACATTTGCATGCAGGATTTATTTAGTCAGATTCAAAACATAAGGAGGATACTGGGTTATTCTGTTTTCAATTTCTATTCCCGCATTTCAAGCCTTGCCTGGGTTTTAAGTGAACAGTTTTCCATTGGGTATTTGGTAAAGGAAATGGTTACTTAGGGGAGTCATGCATGTTCTGAAATCTTTTATGAGTGATTGTGTTTTTTCTGTGCCTTGCTTTTCATCACTTGATTTAAAGTGAATATAATAAAGCCATTAATTGCTTGGATTCTGGAATCAGTCATATCTTGGACTAAATTCCTTTTCTATCCCTTACTAAATTCCTTTAACATCTCTGAGTTTCTTTATTTTTAAAAAGAGTAAGTCCAGGCAAAGTGGCTTACTCCTGTAATCTGAACACTTTGGGATGCCGAGGCGGGTGGATCACTTGAGCCCAGGAGTTTGAGACCAGCCTGAGCAACATGGTGAAACCCTGTCTCTACTAAAAGTAAACAAATAAATAAATTGCTGGGCATGGTGGCATGTTCCTGTAGTACCAGCCACCTGGGAGGCTGAGATAGGAGGATCCATTGAGCCCGGAAGGTCAGGGTGCAGTGAGCCATGATTGCACCACTGTTCTCCAGCCTGGGCGACAGAGTGAGACCTTGTCTCTAAATTAATTAATTAATTAATTAAAACTTTAAATATAAAAGAATATCAGCTGAGGGCTGTGGTGTGCATCTGTAGTCCCAGCTACTGGAGAGGCTGAGGTAGGAGGATCCCTTGGGACCAGGAGTTTGAGCCTATAGTGCGTTATGATCCCACCTGTGAATAGCAACTGGAGTCTGGCCTGGAAAACGTAGTGGGACCCTGTCTGTTAAAAAAACAGGGTGGGGGGTTGGGGGGAGGGGGATATCAGAACAAATGACTGACTGACTTCAACAAATAAATTGCAAGGAAAGGAAAAGAGAGAGAGGAACCTATAGATTAAAAGACACTTGGGAGGTATATTAACTAAATGCAATGTGTGCATGTTTAGATCTGATTTGAAAAAAAAAACTAAAAAAATCATTTTTGACACAACTGGGGAGACTTGAACATTGATTAGATATCTAATAATATTAAGGAATCATTTTAAATGTGTTTAGATATAATTATAGAGTAACATGGTATTGGAGGATTTTTGGTGTTATTTTTTGACATTTTGATACATACCGTAACATTTACAAATAAAGTAATATAATATCTGAGATTTGCCTCAAAATAAGGAAGAGGGAAATGGATGGGATAGAGATGAAACAAGTTTGGCCATGAGCTGACAACTGTTGACACTGGGTGATGGAGATAGAGGGGTTCGTTAAAATATTCTGTCTATTTCTAAATAAATACTTGATTTTTTTTTTCAATTTTCGGACAGGATCTTGCTCTGTCTCCCAGTCTGGAGTGCAGCGGCGCAATCAAGGCTCACTGCAGCTTCGACCTCCCAGGCTCAATCTATTCTCCCATGTCAGCCTCCCCAGTAGCTGGGACCATACGCACACACAACCATGCTCAGCTAATTTTTGTATTTTTTTATAGAGACAGGGTTTTACCATGTTGCCTAGGCTGCTCTCAAACTCCTGGGCTCAAGGGATCTGCCCTGCCTTGGCTTCCCAAAGTGCTGGGATTATAAGCTTGAGCCACTGTGCCCAGCAGATATTTTCTACAATAAAAGTTTTTAAAAAGATATCAGTAAGACTCACCTGGTAAGATTATTGTGTGGATTAAATGAGATGCTGTGTGTAAAGCACTTGGCAGAATGCCTGGTATATAATAACCGCTCAATAAATATTAGCTATTACTTTTAGAGACAAGGCCTCCTCTTCCCCTCCTGGAGAACTATGAAAGCCAGACCATGAAATGTGTGGCTGACTGGAGCAGCTAACCTTACTCCTTCCAAATCAGGCAGCTGCAGGCTGTCATTGCATTCATCCTCATCCAACCTTGCTTCTGTACTAGGCCCTGTGCTTCCCACACACACACTAAAATTCTGTTTTATAGCGGCTGTTGGCTTTGCCTTTAGTTTCACAGTAAGTTTTAGCTGGGAATGTTATTTCAGTGGAAAATGGAAGGCAAGAACTTTTTTAGCTCAACTATTAATAAGTATGGAGCACATTGTTAGGAATTTTCCTATATAGTTTTATTTAACCTTCATAACAATCCTTCAAAGTCGAAATTATTAGCTTCATTTTAGAGAGAAGGAAACACAAGTTTCAAGGCCCGCCCAAGGTCACAGGGCCTTAAGTGGTGGGCCTTAAGTGGTGGGCCTTAATTCACACCCACCTCCTGAGACCTCCAAAGGGCTTGTGCTTACCCAGGAGCCCTAGCTATCAGCTCTGTTGCCTTTCTTTTCCTTATCCTAGCTTAAAAACAACTGCCATCCAGAAAAGGTTAAGTTGACATTCCTAATCAAAAGAGTCTGGACCAGACGCGGTGACTCACGTCTGTAATCCCAGCGCTTTGGGAGGCCCAGGTGGGTGGATCACGAGGTCAGGAGTTCGAGACCAGCCTGACCAAGATGGTGAAACCCCGTCTCTACTAAAAATACAAAAAATTAGGCGGGCGTGGTGCCGGGCGCCTGTAATCCCAGCTTCTAGGGAGGCTGGAGCAGGAGAATCGCTTGAACCCGGGAGGCGGAGGTCGCAGTCAGCCGAGATCACGCCACTGCATTCCAGCCTGGGCGACTGGGTGAGACTCTTTTCAAAAAAAAAAAAAAAAGAGTCTGACGCCGTATTTATCTGTCTTGTAGAGGCAGAGGCAGCACTGGTTTGCAGCCCAGCGGTAAGAGGTCTGCCCAACTGATGAGGAGAGTTACAGGCTTGGGAGTAGCTTGGGCCGGGCAGAGGGGAGGCTCTGAATGTAGTAATAGAGAGAAAAAGGTTTTCAGGATTGCACCGATATTTGTGTTTCATTTCCCCCTTGTTCCAAATGCTGTTCAACTTAAGGGAAGAAGAAAGCAGGGAGGGATACCTTATACGAAAACTGTTCCATTCCGAAAATTAAAAACAGCCAGCTGCCATCAAATACCAAGGGCCCTTATATTCAAACTTCAGCTGTAATTTAGTTGGGAGGTTGCAATGGCACCCTAAACTGTCAAATGATTTGACCTTAGAATCCTGCTTACATAAAGCCGGACAATTCCATGCAAGGGGGGTGTCTGGTTACAACTGAAGTTATTGGTTGTTTACGTCCGACTTGTCCGGGAATGGAGCAGAGAAAGAGGAACCAGAAGAAAGAGAAACTCGCGACAACAGAGTTGCCGAAAGAGAAGTGTTGGCGCCTCAAACTTGAGGATCAGCTTCTTGGGCCCCACTCCAGGGTGTCGCGGGGGTCGGGTTCTTTCCGCCGCCCCCCGAAAGATTCTCAGCTAACCCTTTCCCCGCCGAGACCAAGAGGCCCTCACTCTGACACCACTCCGGGAGCCAAGCTACTGTAAGGAGCTGATACCACCCCTCGCCGGCGCGAACCGCCCATCTCCCCAGACCCGCCCACCCCCTGCTGCGAATCCCTGACGTTCTAGCCCGGCGAAGGTCCTCTTAAATTAGGAAACAATAGCTATTTAAGAAGAAGCGCAAATAACCCGCGCTCTGCGCGCCCAATCGTGGGATTCTTGGGAGTTCCCCGCGGGCAAGGAAGTCTGCTGCTCCCCGCAGCTGCGGAGGAGAGGAGGGAGCCTGCGTGCTGGGGCAGGGTGTCGCGAACTTGGGGCAACCCACCTCCAGAGCCCCGCCCCCGCTTTCCCGCCTGCCGGGGACCTGCCGAACGCGGAACCACCCTCCTTCCTGAGGCAAATTTGGGAGGGGAGAGGTCCAGAAGCTGTAGAGTCGGGGCGCCAAGCGCCAGATTCTGCCGCTCGGAAGTTGGGGGCAGTCCCCAGTCCCGCCTCAGGCCCCCGCGCTCACAGGGCGCTCCGCCGAGGGCGCGGGCCAGGCGCGCGGTGTCACCTCCACGAAGTCATTTACTTGCCCTGAAGGAGCTGGCCCTCGACCCCTTGGAGGATGGAGATTCCTCCCATTCCCTCCTCCGCCTCCCCCAGGTCGGCGAAGAGACGTGGAATTGAGCTGGACCGATGATTCCGCGAGCTCTGTAATTATGCACACACTGAAATCTTCACCGTTGACTTAAGTTACTTGGCGCTGCGAGGGCTGGGGCCCTGCATATTGATTAAATGCAGCCTCTATTTACCTAAACAATAAATGTAGAGATTAGCAACGTTCACTTGATCACAATAATGGGATTGACAATTAAGGGGCAATGCATCCCAGATGTAGCGGAACCTATGGGCTGCGTGCAGCAGGCAGAGGGCTTCTCAGAGAGGGGCGCTGGGCAGTTGCGGCGGCGGAGGTAGTGCAGAGCAGGAAGCAGCGCGGAAGCACAGCGGGAGGCGGAGGGGGACGCCCAGCCTCGTCAAGGTCTTCGGCCACCCCGCCCGGGAGGCTCGAAACTGGCTTTGGGGTACCTGAATGCCTCGACTCCCAGGGAGACATCGGGAGCTCGGAGCCACTCTCCCTGTGGCGATGGCACCTGCCTCAAGGCCGTCTCGCTTGCTGATGCCTGGCCGGGAAGGAGGATGGACGCCGCTGGCATGTGCCCTGGTAAGTGTGTCTGTTTGTCATCAGTGTACATTCTGCATGTGGCAGCAGGGCGAGGGGGAGGCGCACGTGTCTAAAGTGCACGGAGCCTTCCTCTACCCCTATGTATATACCCTTCAGTCAATGTTCCAAGAAGCGGGTCAGGGCGGAGGGTATCCATCTGGACTCTGGAAGGGCGTGGGTTTGACATCGGTAGGTGTGACAGGAAAGTCCAGCCTGTCAGAGTTGGGCTCTACAGTGGCCGAAATCAAGAAAGGATGGACGTGTCGGCCCAGGGCTGGCCTGTTTCCGGATATGTCACGGGGGTGCCTCGTTCCTCGAGGGGAGTTTTAGGATGTATCTTTTTTTCTCACCCTCTCACTGAACTGTAGGGTTCTGAGAAGAGGTTCTAGGAAGGAGAGGGCTGAAAGGAACTAAGAAAAGAACCCAGGAGAGTGGAACATGGGGTAATAAAAGACAGATGAGCACAGTTGGGTGTGTGTGTGAAACCGTGATCCACCTGGAAGGGGTTCCAAACCCTGGACTAACATCGCATACTGGCTGCAAAAGACACATGCGTGTTGCTTCTCTGCTCTTTCCCTCTTCTGTCTGAGCCCCATTATCAACCTGGAAGGCTTCTCATTCCACATTTAGACACAAACAAAAGGATTTGTCCCAGACACTCAAGAACAAGCCAGGACGAAGCCCTTTCCCGCCAAACCACGAAGGCCGGGAAATAAACAGCGCCTGCCCAGGCTCTGGGCGCGCGAGCCCAGGAGAGGACTTGGGTGGGAAGAGGATCTAGAAGATCGGAAGGAGGGAGAGAGGGAGGGAGAGAGGGAGGGAGGGAGAAGCTTGGAAAGAGAAGAGGGAGGAGGAAGAGGAGGGACCAGCAAGGCAGAGTTGGACCCGGGGTTCTGTTATAACCGCCCTTCCCCGCCCAGGGTCTTTCCATCCCCTGTCCCCCTCCCCCATTTCAGAGCTGAAGGCCGACTGTGGGAGGAGGAGGTTAAACAAAGGGAATCCTCCTCCTCTGGGACGGGTGAAGTGCGTTTGTCTTCTCCTTGCAGGCTCTGGAAAAACTGGCAGGAATTTCCTTGTCGTGAGAAGATGGACGAGTGTGTCTGCAGCCGAGGAGACAACTACAAACAGACTTTGGGCAGGGAAGGCGGGCGGGCGGGGGTGGGGGTGGGGGCGGGGGCCTGCTTTGATCGCTCCAGCTCTGTTGTAATTTTGTCTTCGCCAGATAGATTAGCTGGAACCGCCAGCCCTAGCTTGGAGTTCCGTTCCACGGAGTACCCTCCCTCCCCACCCCCAGCGTCATCTCGCGCCTGGAGCCGGGTCGCCGCTCCTTCCGAAGTCTCGCTGGAAACTTCAAGGGCTGATGGTTCTGTGTTCTTGACGTAATTAGGAGGCCACGCAGCTCTCCAACACTCCGTTAAACAAATATGTAAGTCGTCCTCCCCCTCTCTGGGGACAGACTCTAGGGAAGGAGGCAGCTGGGCCCGCTCCGGGTGGTGTCCTTGGCTAGCGGAGTGGCGTCGCTGTGACCTTCCGCCGCCCCTCGGGGCCTTGGTCTTTCTAAGCTCTTTCTTAGGAAGCGGAGAGAGGGGCAGAAAACGTGCACCTCGCCACCCACCGGACAAGCCGAGAGGACCTTGTCTTTGCTTGAAAAGTTTTCTAGATAAATCGCTCGGGTGGTTCTAAGCTATGACGAACTAGAGGCTGGGCCCGGTTCTTCTCCAGAACAGCGTGTGGATGTAAAGGAGATGAAATCGTCCTCCCCCACTGCTTTCTTTTTCTTCCCCATATAAATCAGTCATATAATTCATTCGCATTGTTTAAGGTACATTGATCAATCTAATGGCTTGTAATAGTCTCCTAATTGCCACTTGCAGACTCCTGCAGGCTCAGATTTGAAGAGGGAAGGTTCCAGCCAAGTCCACCTTAAGCCTGAGTTTGGGCGACTACAGAATCCAGGAAGAAAATCTAGATGGCATGGTCGCTCCGGTCTCAGTTCTACAGGGGAGGGAAGAAAGGGGGTGTTAGTGGGGATATTTGCTGTTCATTTTTCCCGCAATCTCCCTTCCAAATCAGTCACTGATTAATGAGCAAAGCCCATGCCACAAGTTATAGATTACTGTGGACTGAGGATCATTTTGTTAATATCAGGCAAGAAACTTGCCTTACTTGCATCCCTGTGTCTGTATTTACAGTAACAACTTCCTTAGTCACAAACTGATATGCTTTTAGCCATACCTTTTCTTCTTACTTACTTATTTTTAGCATCATCAGGAGTTGGGATAGGAAATAACATGGGGGAGGGGTGTGTTAAAGGGAAGGAAGGAAAAGCCATCCTTTATCCCAGAGTGTCCTGGAGGTATGCCTACACTCCTGTTTAACATCTTGTGGTTGTAGTGCCTTCTCCAAGCCCTGGATGGAGGAGGAAAGAGTTGGAAGCCTCCTCAAATCTGCCTATGAAAGGGTAAAACTGAGGAAACTGGTACCCTAGCTATGAGAAGCTGAGTAATGATCAGAATCCTCTGGCCTCTGGCTTTTCTTGATATTAGTTCAGGTCTATGCAAAAAAATTGCTTTAGTGTCTCCAAAGGTGGTTCCATTAGAGTTGGCTGAGACAATACATGTGCATCATTTTGGAAGAGATGCTCTTAAAAAGAAGAAAGCCACTACAGAATGCCACATTTGCTTAGGTCTAAGACCCTTCTGTGGTAGTCGGTGAGGGAGGGAGGAAAGTAAAACCCCAAGCTGAATAGGCCCCCCATAGTTTCCGAGTGATGCAGTAAACAAATCTATGATGCTTGTTGAATAATCTTCCAATAATTGCAGTCATTAAAATCATCACACAGTCTACAGTCACCTTCCTTCCTTTGACACACCAGTCTTTCCCTTAATTGTTAATGCATTTTTGGCTCAGATAAACACATAGAGGCCAGCTTAAAATATATGGCCCAGATACATCTAACAGCAGAAAATTAGTTGTGTAACAAACGTTTGGACTGTGCTTAATAGACTAGGGGTTTTCAATTTCTTCAGCAGACCCTACAGAGGCAAGAAAGATTTGCATCTTCTACCACTGCTAAATAGCAGTGACGCCTCTGAGATACAAAAAAAAAAAAAAAAGAAAAAAAAGATGAAAGTCCCATTGGCCTATTGAATCTTCCTTGCTCTTTCATTTGCAAGGGTTGGGCTGGAATTAGGACATTATAGAACAAATATTAAAGGAAAGCTTAACAGAAACTGTGGGAGAGTTCCTCAATTTTCAATTAATTTTCTCCATCCATTTGATCTCAACAACTGGTGCTTTAAAAAATATAAATATGTGTCAACTATAAAAGATTCCCTGCTAATCAAAGGCTGTATTTCATTTTCACCCACCACTGACAAGACACCAACCGTGGAAAGGATTCACCCGACTCAACAGGCACTATGGACCTTCCTGGGCTTCCTTCTCCCTTGTTCATGGCAGGCAACATTGGTACACAAGGGCAGCTTTTTCTTTTTTTAACTCAAGTTATTAATGTATCTCCGCAACTCCCACACCGTGCTGACCTGATAATCACTGCTCTAGTGAAGATCATGCAAATGAAAAGCATAATTAATTGCACAAATGATTTAAAAAGGAGCGCTGTGGCTTTGCAAATAAATAAAGGCAGTTGGGAGGACAGGTCAGATAAATGCTTTTTATAGGCTGGGCTCCCTTCACCCCCACCCCCGCCTCCTGGTCCCGGTGGTCCAGACTTTGACTGCAGCCAGCCTGGCCAAGGCGAGCACCTTCCGTTCCTCCTCCCCTAACGCCTCCCCTTCAACCTTATTCCGGAGTCCCCCTAACTCCACCTCACCCCACCCCAACCTCACCCCACCCCAGTGGTGTATACCCGCTGCTAGACTCTGTGCTAGGTCAAAGCTCCGGGGAGACTGGGCAGCCACCTAATATTTAACCAGCTACTACATATCCAGTTATTCAGAAAATAACTGGTCCTCCCAGTCGCCACTACGCTTCCTGCACATCAGGAAGAAGCATTTTATCTGTGGCTATTGGACCTGTGAAGGAGGTCCAATCCTTCCGATTAGCGCTAATGACCGAATTGTTTCCCTGGCTTTGCCTGCTAAACAGAGCAACTTGAGCAGTTGCTCAGATCAAAGCTCCCGGGAGAGGCAAGATGGGAGAAACAATATTTGTTCAAAGGAAGTGAACTCTTCCCTTTAATTACCCTATTCTTCTTTATTAGGAATCGTATTGAATTTTTTTGCAAAAAAATTATGTTGGTTTAACCATAGTGTATTTATGATGTAAATATATTCCAAGATGAAAACGTCACGGATCAATTGTAAAGGACCCGGATACATAATTTTAAAAAATCAGTTTCAGTGTATATGAGGTTCTCACCCCACTTTCGCTGCTCAGTCAGATTTGTTTATGCAGAATCGACATTTAATAGTGCTAATTGCACTCCAGTTAAATTGCCCTGATTGCAGAAAGGGAAGCAATTTTCGTGCTCTCTGTCTGGGTTTGGAAGAAATTGTTTTATATTCACCTCTTTATAAAGAAGTGGAGATAAGGCACCGGGGCCTTTGCACAAATTGCACTTAGGGGCTGACTGGCAGCATTCAGGCGCTATAATAGAGCATTATTTGGCCGTTTTGAATAATGTAAAGCGTTTGCTGAAAGCTATTCTCCTGAAAATTGCTTTAACTTTTAAAAGGGTGATGATTCACTCCAAACCAGGCCTTTGTTACATTGTCATTATTTCCCCAAATGTTTTAACAGTCAGCTCAACACTTTAGCATAACACATTGATCTTTGTTTAAAAACTAGATTTTTTTAGAGGATGAAAAAAATCTGTCAGACGAAAAAAATCTGGACTTCCTCCGAAAGATTTCCTTGGGGCCCCACCTTAGAGTTGAAGTGGCCCGGGTGTTTGCCTGCGTTCGTTTGGAAGATTTCCCTAACTTTTATTGTGATGCAGACGCGTGTATCTAAAGGAATATGCGAGTGCCCACGTCTAGAGTCTGACAGCTGGAACTACGGGGAAAACGGCGGGAGGGGGAGGGGAGGGGATCCGAGGGGAGGAGGAGAAGAGGAAGGCGAGCAGGGCGCCGGAGCCCGAGGTGTCTGCGAGAACTGTTTTAAATGGTTGGCTTGAAAATGTCACTAGTGCTAAGTGGCTTTTCGGATTGTCTTATTTATTACTTTGTCAGGTTTCCTTAAGGAGAGGGTGTGTTGGGGGTGGGGGAGGAGGTGGACTGGGGAAACCTCTGCGTTTCTCCTCCTCGGCTGCACAGGGTGAGTAGGAAACGCCTCGCTGCCACTTAACAATCCCTCTATTAGTAAATCTACGCGGAGACTCTATGGGAAGCCGAGAACCAGTGTCTTCTTCCAGGGCAGAAGTCACCTGTTGGGAACGGCCCCCGGGTCCCCCTGCTGGGCTTTCCGGCTCTTCTAGGCGGCCTGATTTCTCCTCAGCCCTCCACCCAGCGTCCCTCAGGGACTTTTCACACCTCCCCACCCCCATTTCCACTACAGTCTCCCAGGGCACAGCACTTCATTGACAGCCACACGAGCCTTCTCGTTCTCTTCTCCTCTGTTCCTTCTCTTTCTCTTCTCCTCTGTTCCTTCTCTTTCTCTGTCATAATTTCCTTGGTGCTTTCGCCACCTTAAACAAAAAAGAGAAAAAAATAAAATAAAAAAAACCCATTCTGAGCCAAAGTATTTTAAGATGAATCCAAGAAAGCGACCCACATAGCCCTCCCCACCCACGGAGTGCGCCAAGACGCACCCAGGCTCCATCACAGGGCCGAGAGCAGCGCCACTCTGGTCGTACTTTTGGGTCAAGAGATCTTGCAAAAGAGGAGAGAAAACACGGGAGGCACAGTTCCACATCCTTGTCACTTGCACCGGCTCCGCGACAACTCGTCGTTTGCACCCGAGGGTTTGGGGTTGGTAGTTTAATTTTTTTTTTTTCCTAAGAAGCAGGGTGTGGGTTTAGTGGGGAGTGTGCTATATTAAAACCAGTGCCCAGGTCTGCCCGAGGGCGCTGGTATTTCTGGTTCAAAAACAGCTTCTGGCTACCCTGGAGAAGAAAGAGAAAGCGGGGCCCAGAAAGAGAAAAACAAGCAGGTCAGCGGTTGCTGGGGGACTCGAAGACGCACCCTGGTCTGCTTGAGGACGCCTCTTTTCACACTGACAAGGTCCAGGGAGGACTTCAGGATGCTTCCAGCCTGCAAAATGTGGAAGCGCCCACGTGTGGCCTGGTCCTCCGCCCTCCCGGGTGAAAGTCCTGGAGAGATTTCTCGGGCGCGTCCGTGAAAGCAGGGCACTAATGGGGAGCCTACCTCTTAAAACAGCGCACTTGCCCTACGGACGAGCCTCTAGGCCCTGGTGGTCTGGAATGGGAGTGGGTTGGAGCTGGGACAAGAAAACTCCACTCCAGGATGAAACGCGACATGCAAATCTTCACCGGGTTAAACAAACAGCCGAGCAAGCTGCAGCTTCAGCGGAGGTGGAGGTGGGGGCGGACGCCGCTCGCGCCGGTCTCTGTTTCCAAAGTTGTTACAGTGAGAAAATAAGCGGCTTCGTGCAGCGTGTTGTATGGGCTGATGCCTCCCACCCCCATGCCAGCCCACAGCAAAACCCGGCAGATAATCAGCACATCCCACTGTTTAGTCATATTTGACAACTGGGTTAACCTGGTATCTAAGCGCTGGCGAAACCGTACAAAGGGTGCCCTCAATTACCACCAGAAGCCTCTAGCGTGAGTGGCACTTGTATTACCCCCCGGGTCAGAGGCCAGAGCGACAATTAGGAAGTCACTTACACCGCTGGGGGGAAATGGCGGGATGCAGCAGGCTCCAGGCCCTCCCAACAAATCTGTGGATGTAGATCTGTACAGAGAGGCCTATTTCGCTCCTCTCGGAGGAGCTGTCCCTTCGCGCCCCCTCCCCAGTATAACTGTGAGAGTGAAATTGAATCTAGTGGAATAAGGAATTGGGTAGAAGACACACGAAAATGATAAAAATCACAAGCAAGAATGATAGATACAAGCTGAAGTTGTGTTCTGTAGGCAAAAGCCTGGACACACAAAGTGAGGGCTCACATTTCCGTCTCCACTTGGGCCCTGCTGGTGCGGGCTGTGTCTGGGTGTCTCCTCCCCTCCTGCCTCCTTTCCTACAAGTGGGGAGTCGAGTAGGACTGTCAGCCCTAACTTGCAACATCTCGGGGTGGTTTGTGTGTGGGGGGGTGCTTGTGGCTCGGTTTCATTGGTACTTAAACCTGGCTTGGTGCGTGAGTGTAAATTTTTAATTGCACTGTAATTTCTTCAGTCCCCAGCCCGCCCTCGCCCCCCCCCCGCAAGTATCCCCCACTACTCCCCCCCACCCCCGCGGCCCTAGCTAGCTGACTTGACTGGCACGCGCCGGGAGCCCGGGCTCGGGCCCCTCGGAGCGTCTGATTGGCTGCGGGGCAGCTCCGGTCTGCTCTGCCTGCGCCCTCATTGGGCGAGAGGCGCAGCCAGCGGCACTTCAAAGCGGGTGCTCCTCGCACTTAGGCTGAGTTTAGCCGGCGGGAGCCTGGAGTCCGCTCGGCACGAGCGCGGGGACGCGGGAGCCGCGCGGGACCCAAGCAGTTTTTCCGAGCAGCCGCCAGGCTCAGCCCCGCTCCCAGCCTCGCTGCGCAGCCAGAGACCTGCTATGGCCACGTCTATACTCGGGGTAAGTCGCAAGCGCGGCAACGCATTTGCTTGTTTTAACCGGAGTAATTTTTCGTTATGGCTTCTGGGGTCTGCGGCTCCGGAGAAACTGTTGCTGCTAGACTGCAGCTTCAGCTTCTATTAGCACTTTCCACATTTCTGGGACTGATTTTTCCCCAAGTTTTTGGAACCCAGAAAGATGCCTTTGCAAGAAAAGGCCTTCTTAATCAAGTCCTTTTTCATTTGGTTTCAAAAAAAAGCTAGAGGTTTCTTTTCTTCCCCTCGTGATTTATACCCCATCCCCCGCATTGCTTTGGGGATTTTGTTGCAATTATGCGACAATGGTGTTTCCAGAAAACAGTCTTAATCGTTTTGCAGTCCATCTAGTCACGCTAATAAACATTTACATTTCCGCGGCTCCCCAATTCGCCCATGACTTTGAAATCTGTCTCTGGCCGCTTATCCTCGGATTATTGTTTTCATAATCGCTGTTTTTGTGTGTATGTAAACTTTAAAACCAAACGTTTTCTATTAAAAAAGAAAAGTCAAGTCGTAGCCACCCTGGGAGAGCTGCAAGTTTCGCCCGTCCCTGGCAGCTGTTTCGGCCGCCTCCGCCCTCACCCGGTGTTTGTTGTCTCTGGTCTCTGTGTTTACCTTCGCGCTTCACCCCGAAGGGCGACTTGGGGTCTTCTGGGAGATGAGCCGGTTTACGGCGACAACCCAAGTCCGGTTGTAGGCAGGGTTGCAGCGGGGAACACGGAGGCATCTTTGATTTATAGCCTCAGCGAAGTGCAACTTTCCGGCGCCTGGACCTTCGCCCGGGTGATCGCCCCTGCTCCGCGCCCGGTGCGGCGACTCCTCCGCGGGCGCGTGGGGAGGAGGCGCGAGGCGGGGAGCCAGGACCCCCCGGGAGCAGCCGCAGGGGACGAGGCTGCTCACGGGTGCACTTTGTTTCTTCCCCCACTTCCTCTTGCCCTCCTCCTTCTTGCTCCCTCCCCCATCCCACCCACTCTAGGAAGAGCCGCGCTTCGGAACGACCCCGTTGGCCATGCTGGCGGCGACCTGCAACAAGATCGGCAACACGAGCCCGCTGACGACGCTGCCAGAGTCGAGCGCCTTCGCCAAAGGCGGCTTTCACCCCTGGAAGCGCTCCTCGTCCAGCTGCAACCTCGGCTCCAGCCTCTCGGGCTTCGCGGTGGCCACCGGGGGCCGTGGCTCGGGCGGCCTGGCGGGCGGCTCGGGCGCCGCCAACAGCGCCTTCTGCCTGGCCTCCACGTCGCCCACGTCGTCCGCCTTCAGCAGCGACTACGGCGGCCTCTTCTCCAACTCGGCGGCTGCCGCGGCGGCAGCGGCCGGGGTGTCCCCGCAGGAGGCGGGTGGCCAGTCGGCCTTCATTTCCAAGGTGCACACGACGGCAGCCGACGGGCTGTACCCGCGCGTGGGCATGGCGCACCCGTACGAGTCCTGGTACAAGTCGGGCTTCCATTCGACGCTGGCGGCCGGCGAGGTGACCAACGGCGCGGCGTCGTCGTGGTGGGACGTGCACAGCAGCCCGGGCTCGTGGCTGGAAGTGCAGAACCCCGCTGGGGGGCTCCAGAGCTCGCTGCACTCGGGCGCCCCCCAGGCCTCGCTGCACTCGCAGCTGGGCACCTACAACCCCGACTTCAGCTCGCTCACGCACTCCGCCTTCAGCTCCACGGGCCTCGGCTCCTCCGCCGCCGCCGCCTCCCACCTGCTCTCCACCAGCCAGCACCTGCTGGCCCAGGACGGCTTCAAGCCGGTGTTGCCCTCCTATTCGGACTCCAGCGCCGCCGTGGCAGCCGCCGCCGCCAGCGCCATGATATCGGGCGCCGCGGCTGCCGCCGCCGGGGGGAGCTCGGCACGCTCTGCCCGCCGCTACTCGGGCCGCGCCACCTGCGACTGCCCCAACTGCCAGGAGGCGGAGCGGCTGGGCCCGGCCGGGGCGAGCCTGCGGCGCAAGGGCCTGCACAGCTGCCACATTCCGGGCTGCGGCAAGGTGTACGGGAAGACGTCGCACCTGAAGGCGCACCTGCGCTGGCACACGGGCGAGCGGCCCTTCGTGTGCAACTGGCTCTTCTGCGGCAAGCGCTTCACGCGCTCGGACGAGCTGCAGCGGCATCTGCGGACTCACACGGGCGAGAAGCGCTTCGCCTGTCCGGTGTGCAACAAGCGCTTCATGCGCAGCGACCACCTGAGCAAACACATTAAGACGCACAACGGGGGCGGCGGGGGCAAAAAGGGCAGCGACAGTGACACGGACGCCAGCAACCTGGAGACGCCCCGTTCCGAATCCCCCGACCTCATCCTGCATGACTCCGGCGTCAGTGCCGCCCGGGCGGCGGCAGCGGCGGCGGCGGCAGCGGCGGCGGCGGCGGCGGCGGCCTCCGCGGGAGGCAAGGAAGCAGCGTCTGGCCCCAACGACTCTTAGAGGCCGGGCGAGAGGCGCGAGCACACAAGCGAGTAGAGACACCGAGAACGAACGAGAGGTTCGGAGGGCGAGCGAGCGGGAGGCGGGAGGGCAGGGGCTTCAGTGACGCCCCCAGGGCCCGGGCTGGGCGCGAGGTGGAGCCGCTCAGGGCTCCCGGGCTGCGGTTCGCCCGCTGTGCGAGGAGCTCCCCTCTGCCTTCCGCGCCCGGATAAGAATCGAACGCGTGGTCCGGAAACAAAAGCGAACCATCCTCCGACACAAACACTTTAAAAACTGTACTCCCAGACGTACACATACACCGGAGACCTACAACCACAAGCACGCACACTCGCGCGCGCACACACATACCACTCGCCCAAACTTCTCGAGCGAAGAGCAATACATAGAAAGGCTCCCTCTTTGCCCACTCTCCACCTCCCTCCAACACCCGTCTCTTTCCTTTTCTCAAAAACAAGCCACCACCCAGCAAAGGACTGTCAGAACATTTGAAAACAAACGGGACCGATAAAAACACCCTTTGTTTGGATTATATTATATATAAAATGCTCCAAGTCCTGCCTGATATCTACTTACAATGAGACTTTTTTCCTAAAAAAGGAAGCATCAAAAGGCTTAAGGTGAGAAATTAAACTGGAAGTCTAGCGACAGTTTCTCTGTATTTCATAACATCTGTATAAATAGGGTTCAAAAGATTGTGTTCTCTTTTATTTTCTTGTAAATGTTCATTCGAATAGAGTTTTTTTGGGTGAATCCCTGAAATTCAGGGAGTTTTTTTTAATTTTCTGATGCACTTTGTGAAAGTCAGTATATATGTAAAAGATATTTAAAATGTTGAGTTATCATTTCACTCACAAACACGTAAGTTAAGGTCATCTAAAGAAATTAAATGCGTTTATCTGTATCAAGAAAATCTTGACATCATATTTTCATTTTGGTATTATTAAAGGACTCTGAACAATACATTTCCTTTTTTAAAAATCCTGTTTCCCCCTCAATAACCTTTTCGTGGGTCGATTTTTTTTTCGGTTGGGAAAAAATTCCCTTAATGTTAGTTGTAGGTAATGTAAAGTTTATGTGGGTTATAAAAGCCATACTACATATACGTTTTTGAGAAGTCAAAATTATTTATTTGTATATCAACAACATAAATTAAATTGGGTTGTAAGGACGTGTAGTTGTATTACTTAATGTGAAGGCTCTCAAAAGGTGACATTTTAAAACTCTGGAGCGCCTAAAAAATGCAAAGGTCCTTGGCAGCTTTAATTGGGGAGGTGCCTAAACCTCTGGGAGGGGTCAGAGAAAACTCTGGTGGGTTTGTTTGTTTTTAAAAAGTGATTTAAAAACAACTGTGAAAGGAAAACGCTTAAAAAAAAAGAAGTCTTTTAGCTCCCAAGGCCCTGTATGTTGGAAGGCAACTCAAGGGAATAAATCGCTAGAGTCAATACCCCGGAAAAGACATTTCATGCCTAAATGAAAATCTTGTTAAATGTTATTAATTTTGACTTAGAGCACACAGCAGCCCCCTGTGCCTTGTATTCCCTTATTAGGGATTCATGTCTTATCAAATATCTAATTAATCTCCTAGACATCATTTGTTCTGGCCAACTTTATCTCAGCTGGTCCGCGGGGAAAACTCCAAATATTCTCTGTGACAAAGCTCCCTTGAAGATCTTTTTAATTGTCTAAATTAACTGCACCAAATTTGCATGTCAAACGGTAAAGGGCAACCTGAGATAAAATGTAAACGTTTTAAAAAGCCCCCAAACTAAGCACTTGATTTGATAACTAGGCTTTTTAATGTTATGGAAGACAACTGCTCCTTTCCTTTTCAAAGACGGCTGATCTATGCAAATAGTGAATTGGAAATGCCTAGGTCCCCGCGCCGTCAAATGGCCCTCGCAGGTTATTTGAATATCAGTGGCGCTGCTTCTGAAAAGGTTCAAGGATGCTCTCTGACTTCTTTGTGATTACTCAGTGCGGCGTCTTATTCTGAAGAAAAAAACTCAGGAATAATTAAAGGCTGGGATCAGGCCTGGGAACACATTTGGGACAGGAATCTCATTTAGACAGTCTCTTTCAAAATAAGGCACAGTTAAATTGACCAGAAGGCAATTATTGAAATGAAAATTATTTTCACTCTCTTTGTCTTCTGACCACCAACTTAACAGCCCCAGTTTAAAAGAGGGAGAAAAGAGGGAGAGACAAAAAGAAAATTGGTAAATGAGATAATTTCGCAATTCGAAAAAAATGTTAATTTAGAAAATAAAGTACATATTTACAGAATAAAAATATTTCTAAAAGATTTCCCACACAAGAGGAAATACAAGCGAAGTCAGCACCAACATATTTTTTTTTTCCATTTTTGATTACTGTCCGCCTTGGGAATTTGAGCGAAGATTTTGATTTTTAGGAAAGAAAAAATAAATTCTTGTTATTAACAATCAGCAAAATGTTTTCTCGGAAACTGTTCTGAAACACCAAGTCGCAAAGTAGCGATAAAACAGAACGAAGGTCCCCAGCAGGGAGTTTGCAGCGTGACATTCAATGGCTTCTTCCTTCTCCTTCTTGAGCTCCCCGCGGCCAGGCTGCCCCGCTCTTCTTACTCGAGTTTTTCTTCACTTTGGCCATTTTCTCTCCCCGATCAAGCTGTTCATAACCGGGAGCCCCCCACTCCCTAAGCGCCTCTGGTCGGGGGATGGTCTTCCGGAGAGCCGGCTGGCAGGGACGCGTTTTCCGGAGGGGCTTCGGGCCGGGGCACTGGAGGCCCAGAGGGTGCCTGGCGCGTTTGGGGGCCGCGGGCTGGCGGCGCGGAGTAGAGGGTGTGGTGGGTCTCCCCAGGAACGCGGGCGCCCGGGCGTCGGGCCCAGGGAGCTTTGTTTCTCGTTGATAATAAAGGCAGATCAAAGGGCCCGGTCGTGCAGGTCCCGCTGGCCGCGCGGCTCCCTCCGCAGGCCAGTGATCAAGGCCTGTGTGCGCTGCCTCTGCCCCGCGGGTCAGCGGACGTCCATCACCCAGGCTCCCGGGAGCGGCGGGCGGCGGCCCCGGACCGAGCGTCCAGCCGGGAGACAGCAGTCCGCGGAACCTGAGCCCAGAGGCAGCGGGGCCCCGGGGCCCCGGCCGAAGCCAACAGGCGAAAACAGGGCCTAGGCCCCCTGCCCGGCCTCCCCCAAGCCCTAGGCGCCCCTGGGGGCGCGGGGAACCTTGACCTGAGCGGGTGGCGACCGGCCGGCCGGTGATGACCAAATTGGAGACAGCGCGCGTGGGAGGCGAGATCCCGCCAGTTACAACACGAGTTCGGTCCCCAATTGCGGTGGGGCCTCGCCTCCCCAGGGCCACCTCGGGGCCCCAGAGGCCTGTGCCTTTCCGGCTCAGGGGCCAGAAGGAGCTGGAGGCGGTGGTCAGGGGCCCAAGCTCAGAGGCGGGTAGCGGCCTGGAGGTCGGTGGGGGCGGGGGACGCGGCCTGGGGGCCCAGAGTCTCGCCCGGGCCCGGTAAGGGCAGTGCGATTTCGAGTCCCCCGGTTTCCCTGGCATTTCCTGTCCCATAGCTTCCAGCGCAACAGAGGAACGAAAAGCAAGTTTTCCTCGGCCCTGCGCCCACCCAGCCACGATCCGCACCATCCTCCAGCGTTTCCTTTTCTGACACCAGTTTTCTGCCCTTGGAATGAATTGGATTCTACCTGATGAGGAAAAAGAAAAAGAAAAGAAAGAGATTTTCTTTCCTCGAGGAGGGAAACAACATTATTTTGACTAGATTAGATTGTGCACCTGAATGGTGCGTCTGGACTTTCCGTCAAATCGTTACAAGTCGTGTAAAATTGAATTTCTTTTTATTCGGATGGAAACTTTATTTATTTTAACTCTAATCTTATTTGCATCTATTATCTGTATTCACTAAGGCTCTCTTCCACTACAAAAATGCAGATGAAGTAAATCTCACATAAATCCCGCCCATTTGTGTAATTGGTATACTAAGTGTTTATTTTAAGTGAGAATAATTTAGCTACAAATTTTCTTAAGGAATAACATTCTTAACACATTAAAAAAACTGAAAACTCTGATTTGCTTTTATGTTTGACAGTAGCTCTTGATTCCCATAAGAGGAGCTTAGCTAGTGCGGCTCGCTGGCGCCACCTAGAGCTCCGAGGCGGAAAGGCCGTCGCCTGCCCGGCTCGCGGCTGTCAGCGCGTGGAGACCGGCTTTTGCCGCGAGCAGCAGCAACCAAGAGGATCCTGCGAAGAAACGCGACAGTTTGCGTTCCAGCGGGGAACGAGCCCTGCTATTGGGGGTGGGGAGCACTACATGGCAGTGGCTTTTGGGCAAAAGGGTCGTTTCTGGAACGTGCTAACTGAAAATCCAAACAAAACAAAATAACGACCGGTTGGCCCTGGTCTTAGAATTGTCCATTTAACATCCTTTTCAAGGCAACTTCAGGGTCTTCCAACTTAAGAGTTGAGAGGGCTGAAGCGTTGTCGGCGGCGACGTGGACCCCAGGATGTGGGGATCCAGCTGTGGACGCAGACCCCTCTGACTCTGCATCCGTGGCTCCCGGCCCGCGAGGCCCGCGTGGACTACCCGGGGCCCGGCTGGAACCAGGCCGATTCAAACAGGCCACCAAACCATCCCACCCCCCTACCCCCTCGTGGGCAATCAGGGAGGCAAGGGACCCGCCGCTTTCGCAGCCCCAACCCGAGGCGGGCCGGAGCAGCCTTCTGCATTGCCTTCGTCCTCCGGCGGACACCCCAGCCCGAGTGGGGCGCGGGGGGCGGCTGGGCAGGCAGGAGCCGGGCCGGTCGCGCAGGGCCCCCGAGGGCGGCGAGAAGCCCCCAAATTCCCCGCTCGAGGCCTCCCCAAAGGGTGCGCACACCCTCCTGGAGCAAACCGACCCCTTTTGTCCTCTCCTTTTCCCTTTGAAACCCAAATCTGAAATCGGGTAACAGTTGGGGGCGTTGGCCGATTTTCTCTCCTCTCAGCGTATCGTCCTCCCCCTGCCGCCCCTTTCCCTCCTCTTCCAGTCCACTATCTCCCCGACCCCAGCCCGTCTTCATACTGCGTGGAGTGACTTCCTCCTCCTCCATTTTTGTGCCCCCCACCCCCAGCGCGTATTTATTGTATTTTAATTTAAAAAGCGACACCTTCAAACCCTGCGCCCGAGGCGGCGGAGGCGCCGTCACCCGCAGCCGCGAGAGCCCGGCCAAGGCGCCTGGGTGCCGGGCTCCCTGAACTCGCGCCGGGGAGAAGCAGTGCGTTTCCGGGGACTCGCAGCCACCTTTGCGGCGGGTAACTCGGCTGGGTTTGTATTTGCTGTTTTAATACAAACCCCGCCGCACTGCCTATTTCAAAGATGTGCTAATTACTACTTGGATAGCAGGGCGCAAAGTCCTTGTCCATTTCCCAGTACAAAGTAGGTTGCTAGAAAATTTGAAATTGCCTTTCAGCCTAAAGCTGCCTTACCTGAATGTCATAATTACAGTAATTATGTACATCCAAATTACATGCTAATTAAATTAGAATCAAATCGTTCTAAATCGAAATCAAATGAGGTAGTGAAGAATTAATCAATGACAACATAAATAGAGAGCTTCCTTCAGAGATATTTATTGTAACGATACAAGGAGGAATTTGATCTGAAAAAGTCACCTGTTTGTTTACTTTCAAATTAGTAATCAGTTATTATCGCTTCTCCATAATTTTAACCGTTCAGTGTTATTTACCCCCCACCCTTCCCAGACGCTGGAGTGTATAGAAATATGTATGAGGTAAATACATACAGACATGCCTCCCCCATATATTGTTGATGTAAATATAGACTGTGTGTTTGCATCTCCAGTTAAGGAAAGGGTTTCAGAATGTCCGTGGGGACACGTCCCTCCAGGGCCGGCTGTCGAGGACCCGGAAAACCACAGCCCCTAAGAGTTCCAGATTTTCCAAGACCCTTATACTCTCTTCCTGTAGAATTTCATACTGGGGGTTTTGCATTGTTTTGCAGGCATGTAACCATTTCTGGGTGATTCATTTATCTATAAAGGAAATGCAAAGTGGCAGGGTGTCTGCCCCAGTCCGCATTCTGCTTGCAGATTGCTGACGAAAGTTGATATCTTCATGTTTGTCCCAGGAGCTTCATAAAGCGCCCTCTTCACCTGTGGAGCCCGAGCGACCAGAAAAATTCGCTCGCTTTCCTAACTGCTGAAGGCGAGTCCGGCCCGCGCGGGGGACTGCGCCCGAGGCCCGGCAAGCTTAGGCGGGGACTAGCAGGGCCCTCGGCGGGCGGGCCCCCAGCGAAAAGGCCTGAGAATTGCTTCTGGGGGGTGGCTTGGGCCAACGGGGGCGAGGGAGCCGCGCAGAGGGCAGGCCCCGACCCTTCCCCGCCGCACCTTGTGGGTCGGGTGTTGGGCGGCCTCCTGGCGCGGGAGGCGCATCTGCTAGGAAGGGTGTGCGCTCCCCCCTTCTCGGCCTCCCCATTTCGGTTTGGGGTGTTTTCGCAAGGTTGCCAGACGGTGCATCCAGAAGGAAACCACCAGAGCACGCAGGGGGGCGTCGCCTCAGGATGGGAAGGGGCGACCTCAGCCAGGATTCATCCCATCACCCTACTCCACCCCCATTCCGGCTTCCTTTAGGTTTAGGGCGACGTCCTCCTGGGAAGCCCTGCTCTGTCAACCCAGGAGCCCTCGGACCTCCACTTCTGTCCACCCCCTCGCGAAGCCCTTCAAGCCCAAGGGACTGGAGAAAGGCGGCTCCGGGGCAGCTCGGGCCGGAGGGTGCGTTTCTTTTCATTCCAGGCAGCTCTCCGCGTTCGTCCCGCACATCTTCGTCATTACTGCTACATTCTGGGCATTCTGGGGGTGATAAGTGTGGCGTGAAGGGAGGAGAAAGGGGAAGGTGCTGTGGAGTTACCTCTTCCTTTTCCATTAGCAGGAACCGGGTTTTAGGAGCCTCGATCAGGTAGGAGAGCTTTCAGAGGCCCCCGCTTTCCCAAACCTTAGTTTCCCCGGTCTGACTTGTTCCTCACAACTTTTTAAAGGTCTTTCTCCTTTTTGATCAGAGAATGCTCCCAAGGCCTGCAGGTATTGCATGCTTTTATCTCTTTTCAAGAAATGATAACTATAGCAGAGCTTTTCTTTTTCAGAAAACCTAAATAAGATTTTTAAATATCCTTCAGCTGCTGAAGCTAAAAATGCTACTTTCTTCCTGGTCTTACGTCCGGAGTGTGGAGTTGCGGCCCTCCAGAGCTACCTCCACCAGCGTCTTGGCCCAGTGGTCATTAGGTAAGGAGAAGAGTGAAATGGCTCAGGTGGATTTTGAACTCTGAGCTTCAATGCCAAAGCATACGAAATGTTCAGTGATTAAAACTGGGAAACGCCTGCTCCCAGCAGCGTGGAATGATTTGATTCACTATCAGCAAGCAGTCTCATGGAAGAACAGCAAGAAAGGTCTCTTCAAGCCTTTCAGATGAAAAGCTTTCTTAAGATTACAGCCCTATGGTTCAAAACAAGATCTCCGCTTCACAATGCAAGGTAAGCAGACCTGCCACTATGCTGCAGAAACCTCTGCCCATTTTGGCCTTTATTAAAATAAATTATGACTAATTTACCACAGAGACGTTCAGATAAACAAGTTCTAACCTAGCAACTTGGTATTTCCTGATTATTTATAAATCGACAGCACCTCCTACAGGAATTAATTTGTTAGTGTTATGTTAAATGTTAGGTTAGGGGAAAAGTCCCTGCGAAGGCAGAGGGAGAAATGCCTCCAAAATGTGTCCTATGCCTCGTGCAGTTCCAGGCTCATGGATAAATAAGAAACTTGTAAGTGTGCCAAGATTTTAAAGGAACTTCTCTATTAAGGGTAAGAATGACAAATTTCACCAGGCTGGTTTTCTAAAAAATATCCCCGTTGAGGACTTTTGTTTGGGTTCTTAAGTCGTAGATTTATTAAACGTGGAGGATTCTTCTTAGGCTTTAGGTACGTAGAGGAATCTCTACACGTACTAGACATCCCTTTTATTATGAGGTTCATCTTATGAGGTTCATCTCCTTGGTCTCTACCTTATATTTCAAAACAAAAGTAGAATTACATGTCCAATATTTTTATTTTAAAAAATTATTTTCCATCATTAGGGTATGTGGAACACATTAACTGAGCCTCTTTAAAGCTATTTGTTATCATGGTATGATTTTGTGTGAAAATGCCTCTCTTCCGTTTTTAAGTTTACAGTTAGAATGGTAGTTCGTTAGGGCTTTTGAGCACCCTTGGGTGACCAAGGCTGAAAGCCAAACAAAATGAACATCTTCCATAACTACATGGAAATTTTTTCTCAGAATTAGATGGTTAAAAATATTGGAGATTTTGGCAGTACTTTATAGTTTCTCAATCCTAACAATAAGGATAATTAAATCAGAGACTAAAAAAAATCTCATGGCCACTTTATAAAAAGTGGACCACATTGGCCAGGCATGGTGGTTCACGCCTATAATCCCAGCACTTTGGGAGGTTGAGGCAGGCAGATTGCTTGAATTCAGGAGTTCAAGACCAGCCTGAGCAACATAGCAAGATCTCATCTGCATTAAAAAAGTGGACCACGGTTTGTGAGTCAAATGAAAAAAGTGTAAGAAATAACGTTTTAAATTCATTTTTAATTTTAGGATGCATTTCAGCATTTCTCTTCATGAACACTGTATTGCTTCAGAAACCCTTTAAGGTAGTAAGTATTGCATAGGTTTTGACATTATAAAAATTATAAAGTCTAAAAAGGCATAAGGTAGAAAATAATCACTGCAACACTGATGAACTCAAGGTGTAAATTAGCAGTGTTTACCAATTTCAAATGCATGCTTTTTTTTAAGTGAAGAAGGGATCTTTGAGGTGCGCTGTAAGTTATTTAACAATACTGTGGAAGGAATTCAAGTTCCTCCCCGCCCCACCCCCACCCTGCGTCTTAAAAATCTAAATAATCAAGGGTTGTTTACCTCTTCACTTAAGTTTTTCTTAGAGGACACTTGTTTTGTGTGTGTGCACAGACAAGTCAAAGACATAATCAGATGATGTGGAGTGGTTTTACTTCTTTCAAATGTTACTCCTACAGAATTTATGAAATTGTGACTGCCAACTATCAAAACCATCTAATCAGTATTTGTTTTGTATTAAATAGCAGATGGTTAAAAAATATAGAACACTGATAAAAAAACTTGTGTCCAAGATGTGAAGTTATGTTTTTTGGAACTGCATGTTACTTGTGATTTGTACCAGTTCTTTCTGTAGTTTTCCTTTACCATATCCTTTGAAACACAAGGGAAAATTTGCAGCTAAATTTAAATATGCCTTATATACCTATACTGGTGAAATATCAAAACAGTTTGCATTGTTTCATTTGAAAATCTACCCCCTGCCCCCCGCCACGGACCACTGGTACGATCAACCAGGTATGAAGTAAAATCTTTAATAGTTGTATGCCAGTAATAGAAGGGCCAATTGTGGAAGGCAGAATAATAGTCCCTCATAGATGTACACATCCTAACCCCTGGAACCTGTGAATATGTTACATTACAAAGAAAAGGGGAATTAAAGTTGCAGATAGAATTAACATTGATATTAAAATTGGGAGATTATTGCATGATTCTTCAGGTGGGCCTGATGTAATCACAAGGTCCTTAAAATTGGAAGAGGGATGCAGAATGGCAAAGTGTCAGAATGATTAGATTTGAGAAGGACTTGACTCCTCTCTCTTAGCTTTGAAAACAGAGGAGGGGGGGCCAGGAGCCAAGAAATGCAGGCAGCATCTAGAAGCTGGAACAGGCAAGCAAACATATTTTCCCCTTGAGCCTCTAGAAGAAACACAATTCTATTGACATCTTGACTTTAGCCCATGTCAAACTTCTGACTTCTAGAACTGTTAATACAGCTGGACTGTTTTTTGTTTTGTTTTGTTTTGAGATGGAGTCTTGCTCTGTCACCCAGGCTGGAGTGCAGTGGCGTGATCTTGGCTCACTGCAACCTCCGCTCCTGGGTTCAAGCAATTCTCCCACCTCAGCCTCCTGAGTAGCTGGGACTACAGGTGCGCACCACCATGCCTGGCTTTTTTTTTTTTTTTTTTTTTTGAGACGGAGTCTCACTCTGTCGCCCATGCTGGAGTGCAGTGGCGTAATCTTGGCTCACTGCAACCTCCACCTCCCAGGTTCAAGCGTTTCTCCTGCCTCAGCCTCCCGAATAGCTAGAACTACACTGCATGCCACCATGCCCAGCTAATTTTTTGTATTTTTAGTAGACACGGGGTTTCACCATGTTGGCTAGGCTGGTCTCGAAACTCCTGACCTCAGGTGATCCGCCCGCCTGGGCCTCCCAAAGTGCTGTGATTACAGGCGTAAAGCCACCGTGCCTGGCCCCGTTGGACTGTTTTAAGTTTGAGGTAATTTGTATACCTGCACAGAAAACTAATATTATCCAAATGTAAACAGCTTATTCTATAGAACAAAACACCTAAAGGGGGCTTAAAAGTCTTAAAGATTTATTAATCCTTAATTTATACTAATGAATTTGAATAATTATTACAATTCACTTCAAGCAAATTCAAATCCTAGAATAACAAATTTGAATTGAAAAAAGTAAATTATACCCATTCAATGTACTGTCATTCTTTTAATGATGTTTCAGAACAAAGAAAATGTCACAGAGTTATATGCGGTTTTTATCTGGTATGGGGAACAAGAAACAGTTACCAACAGAAAATATTTCCACAGCCCCAAAATAGCTTACTTACAAATATTTGCAAAATTCATTCTTATAGTACTCATGTAGTTTTGTACTTGAATTGACAGTCTAGAGATGAAAAATTAAAATTGAGCTTTTTTATTAGAAAGACAACAGTACATAATTTACCCCTTGCTAAAGGTATTCAATAAAAAAGTGGAGATATTTTTATTCCCAGGTAATTGTCACATACAGTCTTTCTTCTCTACTTCTGCTTCATTCTCTTTGTGTCACTTTAGTATGTGTACCTCCTGGGTGCTCTCTGTACATTTTTTCTCCTCTATACAAGTCTGTGCCATGGCTTCTGCTGTCATTTCTTCTGCTTTGCTCTTCACCAGGATTTCGCTGTGCCCGTTTCCTTGTCTCCCTTTGCTTGTAACTACCAGGACTTCTGCTCCGGCTTCTCCGGCTCCTTTCCTCCCTGCCGTGGCTTCTGCTGCTCCCCTCCTTTCTTTCAGAGCCTCTCTTCTCTGGGCTATGTTTATGGGTTCTGGACTTTTTGTCAGAATCAGAATGGCTCCATTTGCTGTCCTCCCTAGAACTCTCGTGTTTTAAGAACCTGGGCTTTTCCTTGGCTTTTTCCCGGTTATGGTGACTGCTAGAAAGTTCTTCATGAAGCTTTCTCTTCTTAGACTTGTCCTTCTCTTCAGAATCACTGTTGTTATGCCCTGAACACTTGTTTTTCTTTCTTTTCTTCCTTTGTATTTTTTTTTCTTTATTGTTACTCTCACTCTCACTACTGCTTTCTGAAGTCTCAGTAGAGGAAGAGGAGGAGGAGGAGGAAGATGAGGAAGAAGAGGACTTATGTTTTTTGTGTTTACTTCTGCTCTTCTGAAACTTTTTCTTTTTTCTATCTTTTTTCTTTTTTTTCTTCTCCAGTCGATCTAATTTCCTGTAATTGGGAAATAAACAGTAACAGACTGTGTGAAAAACAGTTATTTCATCAACTGTAAGTTATGAACAAACAATATATTTTCTTAGAAGTTATTAAAAATAGTATCCATGGCAGAGCGCGCTGGCTCATACCTGTAATCCCAGCACTTTGGGAGGCCACGGCGGGCGGATCACAAGGTCAGGAGTTCGAGACCAGCCTGACCAACATGGTGAAACCCCATCTCTAGTAAAAATACAAAAATTAGCTGGGCATGGTGGCACCTGCCTGTAATCCCAGCTACTCAGGAGGCTGAGGCAGAAGAATCGCTTGAACCCGGGAGGCGGAGGTTGCAGTGAGTCAAAATCATGCCACTGCACTCCAGCTTGGGCAAAAGAGTGAGACTCTGTCTTAAAAAAAAAAAAAAAAAAAAAAAGAACTGGTATCCATATATGAACGCATTGTTTACTAAATGACAACTCATTTTCTTCCTTTAAAATTATTCAAAGCGTGAATACATTAAATTAAAAAATTAAATGCATCAAGCCAATTTTCTGACTATACTTCAATAGTAATGACTACTTTTTTGTTAAATTCTTACTGAGTTGAAATTATATAGCACTCTAAAGGGTCATCCTAAAGAAAGCCTGTGAAAGGTGTGTAACATCAGTTGGAACTACTAAAAAAGCAAATATATAGCTATAATCAGATGAAAAATTAATTTTATGTACTATTTTATAGTATATAAATATTAATCAACGTTATCAAAATTCAAGAGAATATTCTCCAGAAATTCTGAGTAAGAGTACACATTAAACTTCTGAAATATTGGTTTTATAAAATAATATAGTTAATACTTGTTTTCAACAATTGTTTAGTTTTATAAATAGGACAATCCTATTAAAACATTCTGAATTTCTAGAGTACTTCACATTCTTGGAGGAGTAACTTGTTTATATGGTATGTTTGAGTTACTCTGAAAATAAGTCTCTAGGTTCTGTCTAGCCATTCTCAAAACTCTACATACTGAAAGCATCATGAGCTCCCTCTATTGGACCCAGCAGACATTTCTTGGATTCTTTTAATTCAGAGGTAGTCTGTTTAACAAAATTCACGTTTACCTTAAATTTAAGCATTCTTTCTGCATTCTCATAAAATTTTACAAAACATTTTAAAAATGGCCAAAAATGTTTCCTAAGAACAAATTGTGTGCGAAGATACACACAAATCTATTTTGAAAAGTAAAAGCTATAAATAAGTCTAATTCTAAATTAAACATTCTGAAAAGTGCAATCGTTTTGTGGTACAATCTGAGTATACAATCTTACACTCATTTCCATGTTACTGAAAAGACAGACAAAATTGTATTAGCTATGGGTGAAGAATAATCAATAAATGTGATGCATGGTATAAGGACCTTCATGAGCTCTTAGGATCAGAGTTGAATACGATACTGAGATGAATACTAAGGAAAAAATAAATCTATTAAATATATACTTCTAAATTACCTGAGAAGTTTCTGTTTTTGTTTGGTTGTTAGTGACTTTAAAAATTCAACTTCTGGATCTTCTTCACCCTCACTTGCAACATACTCCTGAGTCAACAAAGATATCATTAAATTGCTAGATTTCAACACAAGGTAGTTAGTAGATAAAAAAGAAAACATTTATAAATAAGTTTTGTATCAGGGACACACTGTAGATGAATATGATATTTTGGATTGGGAAGTGGGAGAGAATTAAAAAATTTTTTTGTAGTCTCCCTGCCGAAGTGGATCATACAGCACTAAGAGGTTAACATGACTGCTTTGCCAGCATTAGGAAACTTTTCCAGGAAAAGGATGATAGACACACACAGATAAAATGTTTAGAGCATGACTTCCATTCTCTATCTCTTGAATGTTAACTCTTGCCAGTTTAAATACTTTATTTTTAATTTAATGAAATATAAAAAAGAAGATTATGAGTTTTACAGGAATGTCAAAATATCCACAATTTTAGCTTTTATTATAATTTCAACAGCACATTATCAAATATATAATAATATAGCCCTTCAAACTCAATCATTTTCTGGATCTATGTATAGTTTAATAAAATAAATAAGTTTAAAATATTTTCTACAATTTTTAGGAGTTTTTACATACTTCTAACCATTGGTTCTATTTAATGTCATATCAGGGGTAAGTTAGCAGGAAGGAAAAACCAACAACCTCATCACCAGTTCAGTTAGATATTTTATCCACATAAACTCAGAGGAGCAGTTTCATTTATTAAAATACAGGTTTATAAACAATTTCTCATTTAGATTAAAATAATAAAGCAAAATCAAAACACATTTTGGGCATTTTCTTTGCTCTATCTTACTTTCCTATGGATATATGCATATTGGAAAACATTAAGTAGCAATTCACAAGCAATCACATTTAGATTTATAGACATTTTCAGCTTACTGATAAAAAGATCATTACCTGTGATGGATCATTTGCGGTCAAGTTTCTCCCCAGTACATTTCGTTTCAGTGCAAACCCACTGTTTCTCATCTCCGCTATTAGCTCCGAGGGGTGCATCGATGGCCCTGTTCACAAAAATCACAGTTTGAATGTATCATTTATATCTCTCTACCTTTTTCGGACTCCACAGTAGGAATGCAGTTGAAGCTTTGTTAAGTAAAATCACAGCTAAATCAACTCAATAATCTTCTGCTGAGCAAATAATCAGATATGATTTTCTAAAACAGCAGTCTGGAGATTCAGAATAGAAAATAATTGCATTTTTCTTTACGTGCAAGGGGAGTCTTCTTATGTAACTTTGTCATATTGAAAAAGATACATTTAGATGTTATCTGGTTGGCAGTTTTTAGTATAAAATCAAAGCAAAATATTATAATAAAAAACTACAATTAAACTTTTAGTAGTTATTCTCTCAGTAAGAGTTCATTTAAAAGATGTATTTTTAAAGGTACATGAGGAATTTATCATCCTTATTTCCAATTCAAAATTCCTCATCCTTATTTGTCAAATAACAATACTGAATACATTGCCAAGTGGTTGCTAATCACACACACACACACACACACATACACACACACACACACCTATGGGTAACCACCAAGTACTTTAATTAATCTTGCTTTTATTCCCAGATTTCAAAATTTTTAATTACTAGCTTGGGTTGCTAACAAGCAGTTTTAGGCTGGCTATTGGTATGTATGTTTTATATTTTTTTACACTACACTTCCACTTTTGCAAAATCTCAGACTGAAAAGTGAGCTTTTTGTTTCCCAAATATGAACTAACAATAAATTTTAAAAATTTTCAGCTGGGAGTGGTGACTCATGCGTGTAATCCCAGCATTTTGAGAGGCAGAGGCGGGAGGATCACTTGAGCCCAGGAGGCCAACTTGGCCAACATGGCAAAACCATGTCTCTAAATAAATAAATAATTTTTTTTTAAAGGTTTGCCCCCTGCCCTCAAACATAAGGTTTATGTAAGGTAAGAGAGACTCTTATCTCATTTTGTATATTCCTGTTTCATTTTGTTTTCCCTGCAGATAGCAAACTAATGACAACATTTCATGGCAGCTATTTAAAGTTGCCAGCCTAAATCACCTACACTGGCTTAAATGACGTACTCCAGCTGATGTGTCTGTCACTTAGGGAAGAATGAGACAGTTACTGCCAAAAAGGAGTTCATACGGGAGGGTAGGGGGATAGAAAAATATTCAGAAATGAGTTCTTTAGTTTGCTGGTTGAATACTTTGTCTATTTCTTTTTACTGCTTTGTTGGTCTTTTACCACTTATTTGCGCACTCACCTGCATATTATCATGGAAAGCAAAAGGCAATCAGTTCAAATTTGTTTACCTGTCAATAGCAGATGTGGTTAAAAATTTGGTGAGAAAAACTCAGTTATAAGATAATATATTTTACTGGACTTTCCAGGCTTTACCATTCCATTCATATTGCGAAGAACAACTGTAAGTTTGCCCTAGGTACTAGGGAGATGATGGGGAAAAACTGTCTATTATTGGAGTATGGGGGAAGTTATTAATGATGTCATAGTTTTAGGAAAAAAAGCCTTATTTAGTTAAAAACAAACAAAAACACCTGTCTTATATTAATATTTCATTTTAAACCAAGAGGGTTTTTAATTTTTTTCTTCTATACAAAATGTTTAATTCCTATGTATTACTTTAATGGCCCTTTAATTATTCAGTCTGGTTGTTAACATTGATAATACAATCTTAAATAAAATTGAATTTTAAATATTAATACTGGTTGCCTCTAAATGGCATAGAGGTGCTCATACAATTAAGAGCTTTTTGTGTGTGTGTGTGTGAGATGGAGTCTTGCTCTGTTGCCCAGGCTGGAGTGCAGTGGCACGATCTCGGCTCACTGCAACCTCCGCCACCTGGGTTAAAGCAATTCTCCTGCCTCAGCCTCTGGAGTAGCTGGGATTACAGGCAACTGCCACCATGCCTGGCTAATTTTCGTATTTGTAGTAGAAACGGGGTTTCACCATGTTGGTCAGGCTGGTCTCAAACTCCTGACCTCGTGATCTGCCAGCCTCAGCCTCCTAAAGTGCTGGGATTACAGCCGTGAGCCACCGCGCCCGGCTCAATTAAGAGCTTTAAATGAATAATAGAATGTTTACTTTGGTGGCTTCTCAAATTTCACATGTAGGAACTTAATTTTATAAAGTAGAAAATGTCTCTTCTGAAGTGTCAAAACTACATTTCCTTGTCAACAATTTTATTAGATATCGAATGAATTCAGACACCAAACTTGTTAATAATTAGAATAAAAACCACTCCAATAAAGGGTCACAAAGCTTGGCCATCATGATGAGAGGTTATACTAATTTCATCAGTTTTCATCACAAGATGGGTAATTTTAATAAGATGTTATAGAAAGCATGCCTTCTTTACAGTACTTCCAACTATGTCAAGAAAATGATGTATTTCCCCAGTGTTACAGAGATTATACAGACTATTAAACAATCATTACTCTTCTAGCATTTATATTTTTCAAAAATCCCAACTGAAAACTCTGTGTAGTATATAAATTTAGCACACTTTCACAATGTATGACTGTAAATAGAGTGCTTAGTGAAGTGCTCGACAAATAGTACTTAATAAAGAGTAACAACTATTATTTTTACCAGTACCTATTCAACTTTCTTATATAAGAAATTGTCTTTTTATAAGATATATTATATATGTACATATATTACTTATATATGTACATATATATTTTATATATTATATATAATATATATTATATGATATATATAATATATTATATAATATAATATATAAAATATATATAATATATATTATATTATATAAATTATATTATATATATCATATAATATATTTTATATATTATATAATATATATTATATTATATATATTTTATATATTATATTATATATTATATATATCATATAATATATATTATATTATATATTTTATATATTATATAATATATATTATATATTTTTATATATTATATAATATATATTATATATTTTATATATTATATAATACATATATTATATATAATATAATATATATTATATAATATATATTTTACATATGTATATATATTATATATATATATATTTTTTTTTTTGGTAGAGACAGGGTTTTGCCATGTTGCCCAGGCTGGTCTTGAATGCCTCAGCTCAAATAATACACCTGCCTAGGTCTCCCAAAGTACTGGGATTACAGTTGTAAGCCACTGCACCCGGCCACTATCCAAATTCCATGACTATCTTACGGTACTTTTCATAATACAAAAAAATGCTCTTAGTAGTAATACTTTTCACAATGCAGTCTTATTCACATTTTTTTTATACTTAAACCTTCTCCTATCAACCAAAGTTCTGAGTTTAAAGTTCTAGGTTTAGGAGATGAAACAAGTCAGGTTTAATCAAGATATATTTAGCAAGTATCTTTCTACTTTCACATTATTATGACAGAGGCTACGTAGAGTTACACTGACAGAAATGACTCCAGATCTTTTGAGAACTCAAAATTTGGTTGATAAAATAGATGATTACAGATACGTTGATAAAATAGATTACACAAATATGTTCAAATGTAAAATAACTACTTTTATGTATGGTGCCTTAATAATTTCAATTATAGCTGGAGTTGGATCTTAAAAATTGTTTGGCTTATTCTTAAATTTGTCATGGTAGAATAATACTAGAGAATTCAGAAAGAAGGCATTTGTTCTAAAATGCAGATTTGTGAGGGCTCCTTTCTAGATCATCTCAGCCAAGCCTTCACAGCATTGAAAACCAATGTTCCCACTTAGAAAAGCAGGTCCACTGAAGAAACTGCTTTCAACATTCATTTATTTTACAAACTTTTCTTTGCTGTGATATGGATAAGTATCAAAATACCAATTGTGTACAGTTCCATGTTCTGATTAGACCCAGGCTCTACTAGAAAAATACCATGAAATCGAGTCTCAGGAAAGAAAAAATTCCTAGAAGGTAAATTATGCTATACAAAATTATGTGTGTAAAGCGCTTAATCTACTCACTAAGAGTATTCATTTTTACAGAACAAAAACAATGAAAGGTAAAAAAAGAATGTCCTGTTGTAAAATAGGTATTTTATCAAAGAATAATATATAAACTCAAAAGTTCTGGCTATGAGGAAATGGCATACAACTGACTCCACAATTATAGTATGGCAGTCCCAGGGGAATGCCACAAATGGCATAGGAGGGAGACTAAAGCTGAAGTCAAAGACACTTGTGTTTCACTGCAAACACTAGGTCCATCTGCTCCATTCGAAGTTCATCATTCTTTTCTTTAGCCAGGATGGTCTTGATCTCCTGACCTCGTGATCCACCCACCTCGGCCTCCCAAAGTGCTGGGATTACAGGTGTGAGCCACCACACCTGGCCCATCATTCTTTTCAAACAATGCATTATCACCTACAATTTTATGGTATTAAGTAGGAGAAAAGGGGGCAGTGAGTTGTAGGTTAGGTAAGGCTGAATTAGAAATGCCTTTCCTGGCCAGGCGCAGTGGCTCATGCCTGTAGTCCCGGCACTTTGGGAGGCAGAGGCGGGTGGATCGCCTGAGTCCAGGAGTTCAAGACCAGCTTGGGCAACATGGTGAGACCCTGTCTCTACAAAAAATACAAAAATTAGCTGGCCGTGGTGGCGCACATGCCTATACTCCCAGCTACTAGAGAGGGTGAGGTGGGAGGATCACTTGAACACAGGAGGTTGAGGGTGCAGTGAGCCTGTGATCTCACCACTGCACTCCGGCCTCAGCAACAGAGTGAGATCCTGTCAAAAGACAGACAGAAAAAAAGACAGACGGGAAGGAAGAAGGGAAGGAAGAAAGAAAGAAAGAAGAAAGGAAGGAAGGAAGGAAGGAAAGGAAGAAAGAAAGGAGAAAGAAAGGAAAGAAAGAAAGAGGGAGGGAGGGAAGAAGGAAGGAAGGAAGAAGGGGAAGGGGAAGGAAAGAGGACAGACTGACTGACTGGCCTGTCTCTCCTTCTCCCAAATTTAATATATTATGTACTTAATTTATAGGATGCCACTGTTGGCTGAAACTAAATTGCTACCCTAAAGTGAATATAGTTTTGCTTCCTATTACAGTGATGATCTATTTTTTTTCCCTTCTCATTGTGTGTGTGTTTTAATTTAACTTTATACTACGGAAAATTGCAAACCTACATCACATAGCTTCAACAATTAACAATATTTTGTCATTCTTGTCTTAGCTATTACTTCCAAATTTATTTTTTTCATAGAATATTTTAAATAAAATCTCAACCTCAATACCTTTATTATGCTTCTCAACATTGATAATTTTAAAATGTCATCGAATAGTCAACATTCAGATTTCTCAAACTGTCTCAAAAGTATCTTTTTACAGTTGGTTTGCTCAGATTAGGATACAAACAAGGTCCACATATTGTATTTGATTTATAGATCTCTTTTAATCTAAAACATTTACCTATCTTCCCCTCCCTATTGTTATTCATTTGTTAAAGAAATTGGGTAATTTGTCCTGTAGATTTCCCACATTCTGGACAGTGATGCCATTTAACATGTTTCTCTAGCTCTTATATTTCCTATAAATTGGTAGTTAAGTCTAGAGGCTTATTATTAAATTATTTTGATATTTTATACCACATACTTTGGGGGAATATATGGCAAGTTTTGTAAAGTTTGGATTTAGGAAAATGACACCTGAAAATACACTTCTGGTTAATTAAAACATGTTTCTAGCTAAAGAAAAAGGAGGCCAAGACTACTTGTATGTTCTTGTAATCACTTTCCCATGTATTTATTGCAGTCAAACTAACAGTAATATAACCATAAAAGTTGTTTTAAAATAAACCCCAACATTATCACAAATGAAAGAAAGTACAATCTTCTGTCCCTTTTTCTTTCCTAAAGTTAAATTGGCTATATCTAGCGAATAAGCCAGTCCCTGTCACTAAATGTAAAAAGGACAGTTAGACACTAGTTAGAGTATGTGATCAGGAGGGAGATATGTGTCTAATGGGACTTATCAAGAATTATCTTACACTTATATTTGATTACTAATATTACCATAACCTTTCTGCTTTTAAGAAAGCTTAAAGTTATCTTTTAAAAAGACTTAAAAAAGGGGCTCAGTAGGAACATGCAGCATAACACCCAGGAAAAAAAGTGAACAAAGCTATTAATAAAGTGTGTGGGTGATTTTTATTTATATAGATGTGAATGTTTTATGTATGATTTTCTAAAGGTTATGCAAGAACCAACTGTACTGAATTGTAATAAAACTGCTCCATACTGGGAATTTTCCTGACACACTGCCAGTTCATCTTAGTGGAGGCTGGAAACATAGGGTTTCTTATTGCCCTCATCCCAAGTTCATACTGAAGACAGCTAATTGATGTCTATTGAAACACACAATGTAAAGGAAAAACTAAACATTTCGTTTTAGTCTATGTGTCTGGAAAGTACACAAAGGCAAAGAAATATGAAACTGTCCTTATTGTATGCTAGTAAAAAAAATCACTGTTTATTAGAAACTTTGCCTTACACAATGAAGATATTTTATTTTTATTTATTTTTATTTTTTTGAGAGGGAATCTTGCTCTATCGCCCAGGCTGAAGTGCAATGACACCATCTCAGCTCACTGCAACTTCCACCTCCTGGGTTCAAGCGATTCTCCTGCCTCAGCCTCCCAGCAGCTGTGATTACAGGCGCTGGCCACAAAACCCGGCTAATTTTTGTATTTCAGTAGAGACGGGGTTTCATCATGTTGGTCAGGCTGGTCTCGAACTCCTGACCTCAAATGATCCACCAGCCTTGGCCTCCCAAAGTGCTGGGATTACAGGCGTGAGCCACTGTGCCCGGCCTAGAATGAATATAAAGATATATGACTTATATGTAATTACTTATATTTTCAACTTAATTTATATGCAAATATTTTAGTGATGATATATCTGGCAATAATAGTTAATTCATAGCCCTACAAGACTACAAAAAATCATTTGTGCTGTGATGAACCTGAAGTATTAGAAGTTAGCATTATTATTACTATTATTTTTTGAGACAGAGTCTCAGCCTGTTGCCCAGACTGGAGTGCAGTGGCACAATCTCAGCTCACTGCAACCTCTGCCTCCCAGGTTCAAGCAATCCTCTTGCCTCAGTCTCTCAAGGAGCTGGGATTACAGGTGCACGCCACCACGCCCAGCTAATTTCTGTATTTTTAGTAGAGATGAGGTTCACCATATCGGCCAGGCTGGTCTCGAACTCCTGATTTCAGCCTCTCAAAGTGCTGGGATTACAGGCGTGGGCCACTGTGCCCAGCCCAGAAGTTAGCATTATGTTTTAAATGAGTTATGGGAATATGAATGCTCTTGAAAAGTTAGGCATCCATGAGCCTCAAAAACTTGTTGAATCAAAGAAATGAGATACAAAAGAGTACCTACTGTATGATTTCACTTATAAGAAGCTCAAGAACAGATAAAATTCATATACTGGATTAGGAATTAGAAAAATGGTTGTGGGAGGAGAAGGCAGCCTGGAAAAGGACAGAAGGGCATTTTCTAGGGTGATGGCAATGCTCTGTATCTTGTCAGGGATGTTGGTTACCTGGGTGTATACATTTGTCAAATTCAAACTCTACATTTAAGACCAGTGCATTTTACTTAAAAAAAAAAAAAAAAAAGAGATTTTAAATCCATAAACAGTGATTACTGAGTGACTATGGTACTGTAGCCACTCATTATATCTATATATTATATATCTCTCTATGAGAAGACCTCTGCATAGGGAATTCAAACTTACATATCCCAAGTATATAACTTAGAAAATGGTTTAAAAAATTAGTGTGTAATACCAGTTAGAATGGCGATCATTAAAAAGTCAGGAAACAACAGGTGCTGGAGAGGATGTGGAGAAATAGGAACGCTTTTACACTGTTGGTGGGAGTGTAAACTAGTTCAACCACTGTGGAAGACAGTGTGGCAATTCCTCAAGGATGTAGAACTAGAAATACCATTTGACCCAGCGATTCCATTACTGGGTATATACCCAAAGGATTATAAATCATGCTACTATAAAGACACATGCACACTTATGTTTACTGCAGCACTATTCACAATAGCAAAGACTTGGAACCAAAGCAAATGTCCATCAATGACAGATTGGATTAAGAAAATGTGGCACATCTACACCATGGAATACTATGCAGCCATAAAAAAGGATGAGTTCATGTCCTTTGTAGCAACATGGATGAAGCTGGAAACCATCATTCTGGGCAAACTATCGCAAGGACAGAAAACCAAACACCGCATGTTCTCACTCATAGGTAGGAATTGAACAATGAGAACACTCGGACACAGGAAAGGGGACATCACACACTGGGGCCTGTTGTGAGGTGGGGGAATGGGGGAGGGATAGCATTAGGAGAAATACCTAATGTAAATGACGAGTTAATGGGCGCAGCAAACCAACATGGCACATGTATACATATGTAACAAACTGCACGTTGTGCACATGCACCCTAGAACTTAAAGTAAAATAAATAATTTTAAAAAACTGGTGTGTAATATTGAGAGTTTATTATTTTATCTCCTTAGTACTTGAGAGAGCTTGTTTTTTGCCTTCAAGTTTATAATATTTTGGGGAAAATTATTTCATAGGAAAGACTTAAATTGTAAATTTTTATTATACATTCAGAAGAGATTATAAATGGTAATGTTTAGAATAGTTAGCAAAGCCTTTCCATTCACTCACTCACTAAACCAGTAGTGGAACATGGGGGTTTGTGTTAAATTCATTAAGTATGATTTGGGTAGAAGAATTAATATTTACTGAGTGAACTAAATTTCATTCATTCTCCTTTTCTCAGGTAATCACAAGCTAATTTCTTTACTTGAAGCTGATAGACCTTGAGTAGATGAAATGATGGTAATAGGAAGAGTCATGTAAAAGAGAGTTATGACTGTGATTGGAGAATCATAATGCCCCTTTGAGATTATGGGAGGTGTAGCTTCCACTAGTACATGCCTTTAACATCAAGCAGGGTCATTTACTGACAGAACAAGATTGTAATTAAAAATTTGTTCAAGTCAACAAAATTTCAAGGAACAGCCATGCTAACAACAAATTTAATTACAAAATTATAATAATGTGTATAAATAATTTGAAATGACTTAACCATTGGTAATACCTAAAATAAAATAGCCAAAATTTGAAGTACTAATAAGGAACATCATTTTGACCTTTGAAGTACTATGACTGGACAAGTTTTACTAAAATACCTTGTTAATAGGCCAGTATTTCTTTTCAACTAACTAGCTTCCTCTTGCATAAAAAAATTTTAAACATCAAATCACCTACATATTATAAAGGAGAGACTTATAATCAACTATAATCAAGTACAATCAACTACGATCAACTACGATCAACTATATATTATAAAAGAGTTGAAATGGTGCCTAACTTCACTTCTTTATTTTGAGGTCAGTTCTTTATTTACTAGTTTCAATATTTGCCTGTTTTAGGAGTTTAGCTTTAATAAAATTCTGGTAACACAAATGTTTTTCTGCAGTAGAATTATGTTGGAGGATTAAAAAGAAGTCTGCCATTAGATACAGGGCTATGAGTAGCTATCCTGGTAGGACTTCACCTCTCCAAGGAGTTGCATAAGGGAACTGCTCTGTAACAGATTCAGGTAGGATTGCCAGAAGGGCAACTGAGTTTGTCATCTTTCTTTCTACAGGAAGTTCCTCTGGTATGCTCCTAGCTGTCTTCCTAGCAAATATTATGATCAGACAATTATTTTGGTAAATTTCCCAAATGTGTTCCCAAGCAACAAAAATGCCTTCAACACGAAAGGTTTATGAAAAGATGGAGGAGAAGCATGTGCAGCGCTTCTTGCAAAAAATGTCTATCAGTACCATGGCTTAGTGCAGCATTCTTCAAGAAAAATTAAATCAAGAATTAGGAAAAATTAGGCAAGGAGAAGAACACTGACACACAAACAAATCTTTGCAGCAAGTGTAAAATAAAACTTCCTTAGTTTAAATTGTTCATTTTCATATGGTTAGAACACACTAAAAACTATAGTGTAAACAAGATTGGATAGAAACATTTGAGGCATTAAGTCCTTATCATATTTTACCCATTTGTGGTGTGTCTAGAACTCAGACTTAGGCAATTCTTATTTTTTTTTAAAAGCAATTTTGTATATGTATAGTGTATCTGGTGACATTATTTTGAATTTGAAATTTACTTTTATTCAAATCATGAAATTTACCATATTATCCTATCTACTCAGTCCCAAATATTTGAAAAAATTAGCTAAATTTAAAAAAATTATGGCAGGGCTGGGCATTGTGGCTTATGCCTGTAATCCCAGCACTTTGGGAGGCTGAGGCCAGAGGAACACTTGAACCTGGGAGTTTGAGACTAGCCTGGGCAACATAGTGAGAGCCTGTAAATTTTTTTACAAAAAAAAATTGAAAATGAGCCAGGCATTGTGGTATATGCCTGTGGTCCCAGCTACTCTGAAGGCTGAGGTGGGAGGATTGCTTGAGCCCAGGAGGTCGAGGCTGCAGTGAGCTGCGACTGTGCCACTGCACTCCGGCCTGGGGGACAAAGCGAGACCTTTTCTCAACAAAAACAAAAACAAAAACAAAAACAAAAAATTATGGCAAAGTAACTAGAAATATATAATAAACTGAAAAATCCAAAACTCAATTAGTAAAATATGAAATAAATGTTAACAAATTTGGAGTCAATGTTTATTCACTTTTTGTTGCTTTTATAACTTTGAGCTTGAAAGTCCTCTTATTCTCATAACAAGAAAAAAGCTGAAACAACAGAAAATTTAAAAATCTTAATTAGCCAGGCGTGGTGATGGGCGCCTGTAGTCCCAGCTACTCAGGAGGCTGAGGCAGGAGAATGGCATGAACCCGGGAGGGAGGTGGAACTTGCAGTGAGCCGAGATCACGCCACTGCACTCCAGCCTGGGTGACAGAGCGAGACTCTGCCTCAAAAAAAAAAAAAAAAAAAAAAAAAAAAATCTTACATTTATCAGAGAATTGAGGTCGCAGGGCAAACCGCTGCCCTGAAAACTGGAGAGATAGGTAATACAGAGTATTATAGCTTGCTGGAATGAGAAACTACTGCTGGAGCCAGCCATTGGTAGGAATACTTAGAGTAATTTGACTAATTGTTGGAGACTGAGCATGGACTAGCTTGACAGATAAAAGCTCCTAGAGGCCCAACCATAGTAGAGCCCCCTTTCATGAGTTTTATTTCCAGAGTCTCCACCAGGTTCTCATTGTGAAGACCAAAGAACAATCTCCGTGTGCTTCCCTTCCATCAGTGGGAAGGGAAAAGTAACCATTTCCAAATATACCCAGAGCATTTTGTTTTCCTTAACAAATGCTAACTCTCAAGGGCAACTATGTCACCATAGCCAAGCCTACATGGGAAAATAAAGCTGAGAAGCACATGTGAAGGTTACAGCCCACAAGCACAGGCTCACTGAAAGACTAAGACCTAATCACAGAATAAGAGAATGCTTCCTTCTCCCCTATATCTTACTACCACATCAGGAGCATTCCTGTATAATATCAGGGGATTAAAAATGAAAGAACTGCAAGGCTCAGACCCTTAATCCTGAAAGAGGAGTCTTTTGGGAAAGCTAAAGATAAGAGCAGACAAAAACAAGGACACTAGAGGAAATTTTAGCCTCTGACATCTACAGTGACAGCAAACAGTAGACACAGTCTTAAGGCCTAGCCAGATAAACATAAAACCTCACCTTACAGGCCTGTTTACCTCAGTTCCTTTTACCTGATACACCATGTCCAGCTTTCAACAAAAAATTATAAGGTATGCTGTATTAGTCTGTTTTCATGCTGCTGATAAAGACATACCCTAGACTGGGAAATTTACAAAAGAAAGAGGTTTAATTGGACTTATAGTTCCACGTGGCTGGGGAAGCCTCACAATCATGGTGGAAGGCAAGGAGGAGCAAGTCATGTCTTACATGGATGGCAGCAGGCAAAGAGAGAGAGCTTGTGCAGGGGAATTCCTCTTTTTAAAACCATCGGATCTTGTGAGACTTAATCGCTGTCACAAGAACAGCATGGGAAAGACTTGATCCCATGATTCAATTACCTCCCACTGGGTCCCTCCCATAACACATGGGAATTCAAGATGAGATCTGGGTGGGGACACGGCCAAACCATATCATCCCACCCCTGGCCCTTCCCCAATCTCACATCCTCACATTTCAAAACAAATAATGCCTTCCCAACAGTCCCCCGAAGGCCTAACTCATTTCAGCATCAACTCAAAAGTCCACAGTCCAAAGTTCCATCCAAGACAAAGCAAATCTCTTCTGCCTATGAGCCTCTAAAATCAAAAGCAGGTTAGTTACTTCCTAGATTCAGTGGGAGTACAGGTATTGGCTAAATTCAGCCATGCCAAATGAGAGAAATTGGCCCCTTTGTTTTCACAGGGGCTACAGGCTCCATGCAAGTCCAAAATCCAGCAGGACGGTCAAATCTTAAAGCTCCAAAATGATCTCCTTTGACTCCATGTCTCACATCCAGGTCACGCTGATACAAGAGGTGGGTTCCCATGGCCTTGGGCAGCTCAGCCCCTGTGGCTTTGCAAGGTATAGCCTCCCTCCTGGCTGCTTTCATATGCTGGCGTTGAGCACCTGCAGCTTTTCCAGGCACACTGTGCAAGCTGTCAGTGGATCTACCATTCTGGGGTCTGCAGGACGGTGGCCCTCTTCTCACAGCTCTACTAAGCAGTGCCCCAGTACTGCTTAGTAGCCTCTGTGTGGGGGGCTCCAACCCCACATTTCCCTTCTGCACTGCCCTAGCAGAGGTTCTCCATGAGGGCCCTGCCCCTGCAGCAAACTTCTGCCTGGACATCTGGGAGTCTCCATACATCTGAAATCTAGGTGGAGGTTCCCAAATCTCAATTCTTGACTTCTGCACACTTACAGGCTCAACACCACATGGAAGCTGCCAAGGCTTGGGGCTTGCACCCTCTGAAGCCATGTCCCAAGATCTACATTGGCCTCTTTCAGCCACAGCTGGAGTGGCTGGGACACAGGGCACCAGGTCCCTGGGCTGCACACAGCACAGAACCCTGGGCCTGGCACACAAAACCACTTTTTCCTCCTAGGCCTCTGGGCCTGTAATGGGAGGGGCTGCCATGAAGACTTCTGACATGCTCTGGAGATACTTTCCCCACTGTCTTGGGGATTAACATTCGGTTCCTTGTTACTCATGCAAATTTCTGTAGCCGGCTTGAATTTCTCCTCAGAAATTGGGATTTTCTTTTTTATCATATTGTCAGGCTGCAAATTTTCCAAACTTTCATGCTCTGCTTCCCTTAAAAAACTGAATGTTTTTAATAGCACCCACGTCAACTCCTGAATGCTCTGCTGCTTAGAAATTTCTTCCGCCAGATATCCTAAATCATCTCTCTCAAGTTCAAACTTCCACAAATCTCTAGGGCAGGAGCAAAATGCTGCCAGTCTCTTTGCTAAAACACAAGAGTCACCTTTGCTCAGTTCCCAAGTTCCTCATCTCCATCTGAGATCACCTCAGCCTGGACCTTATTGTTCATATTGCTATCAATATTTTTGTCAAAGCTATTCAACAAGTCTCTAGGAAGTTCCAAACTTTCCTACATTTTCCTGTCCTCTTCTGAGCCCTCCAAACTGTTCCAACCTCTGCTGTTACCCAGTTCCAAAGTTGCTTCCACATTTTCAGTTATCTTTTCAGCAACACCTCACTCTATTGGTACCAATTTACTATATTAGTCCATTTTCACATGCTGATAAAGCTATACCCCAAACTTACAATTTACAAAAGAAAGAGGTTTAACTGGACTTACAGTTCCATGTGGCTGGGGAAGCCTCACAATCATGATGGAAGGCAAGGAGGAGCAAGTCACATCTTTCATGGATGGCAGCAGGCAAAGAGAGAAAGCTTGTGTATGGGAATTCCTCTTTTTAAAACCATCAGATCTCATGAGACGTATTCACTGTCACAAGAACAGCATGGGAAAGACTTGTCCCCATGATTCATTTACCTCCCACTGGGTCCTTCCCACAACACGTGGGGATTTAAGATGAGATCTGGGTGGGGACACAGCCAAACCATATCATATGCCAAAAAGCAAAAGCCACAGTCTCAAGAGAAAAGCAAGCATCAGAACCAGACTTAGATATGGCAGAGATTCTGGAAGTATCAGACTGGGAATCTAAAATACTAAGATTAATATGTTAAGGGCTCTAATGGAAAAACTGGACAACATGCAAGAACAGATGGATAATGTAAGCAAAGAGATGGAAACTCTTAGAATCAAAGGAAATGCTGAAATCAAAAACACTATCAGACTTAGATTAGTCGTAAATTCATATTTACAATGCCTTTGACGGGCTCCTCAGGAGGAAGGAACCAGTGGGCTTTAAGATATGTCAGTGGAAACTTCCCAAACTGAAAAGAGAGAAAAGAAAAAGAATATTCAAGAACTGTGGGACAATTATGAAAGGTGTTACATGTGTATAATGGAAATAATAGAAGAATAGAGAGAAAGGAACAGAAGAAATATTTGAAATAACAATGGCTGAGGATTTCCCAAAACTAACGATATATACCAAACCACATATCCAGAGCCCAGAAAACACCAAGCAAGATAAATACCAAAAAATCTATACCTAAGCATATCACATTCACACTGTGAAAAAATCAAAGATGAAGAAATTTAGTATCTAGTGCAAGTATCCTTCAAAAGTGAAGAAGAAATAAAGACCTTCTCAGACAACAAAAATGGAGGAATTTTTTGCCAGTAGACTTGTCTTGAAGGAAATATTAAAAGAAGCTCCTTAGTGAGAAGGAAAATGATATAAGCCAGAAACTCAGATCTACATAAAGAAAGGCAGAATGTTTGAGAAAGAAATGAAGTTTGTAAAATACAATCTTTTATTTTTCATATTCTTAACTGATCTAAAAGACAGGTTTGTTCAAAACAATGAAAACTGCAAAATACTGGGTATTACAGCTTAGGTATGAATGAAATGTATGGCAGCAATGTTATAAGGGATGCGAGGGAGCTATTCAGTTGTAGAACAGGAATTGGGTTACTCTGTTATGAGATACTTGTACTAACCATGAAATTGTATAGTATTCGAAAGTGGACTTAGATTAGTTGTAAATCCATATTTACAACTGTGGCATACATACAAAAGTGGTTCTAGGGCAATCGCTAAAAAAATTTTTAGAGTATAATTAATATGCTAAAAGAGGAGATAAAATGGATTCCTATCAAATGCTCAATTAACACCAGAGAAAACAGAAACTAAGAGACAAAAAAAGGAAACAAAAAATTAGGGTAATGAATAGAAAACAATTACAAATATAGTAGATATTAATCCAACTATTTCAATCATTGCTTTTGATAAGAATGGTCTTAACACACCAATTAAAAGACAGAGGCTGGGTGTGGTGGCTCACACCTGTAATCCCAGTGTTTTGGGAGGCCAAGACAGGAGGCCAGGAGTTGAAGACCAGCCTGTGCAACATAATGAGAGCCTGTCTCTCCAAAAAGTTTTTAAAAAATTAGCTGGGCATTGGGCGCGGTGGCTAACGCCTGTATTCCCAGCACTTTGGGAGGCCGAGGCAGACGGATCACGAGGTCAAGAGATCGAGACCATCCTGGCTAACACAGTGAAACCCCGTCTCTACTAAAACTACAAAAAAATTAGCCGGGTGTGGTGGGGGGCGCCTGTAGTCCCAGCTACTTGTGAGGCTGAGGCAGGAGAATCGTTTGAACCCTGGAGGCGGAGGTTGCAGTAAGCCGAGATCATGCCACTGCACTCCAGCTGGGCAACAGACCGAGACTCTGTCCCCCACCAAAAAAATATTTGGTGGGCATGATTGTGCATGCCTGTCATCCTAGTTACTTAGGAGGCTAAGGTGGGAAGATAGCTTAAGCCTAGGAGTTTGAGACCACAGTGAGCTATGACCTCGCCACTGCACTCCAGCCTGGGCAAGAGAGAGAGAGATGCTGTCTCTTAAAAAAAAAAAAAAAAAAAAGACTATTTGAGTAGATAAAAAAAAAAAAAAGACCCAACTACCCAACTATATGTTATTGCTGTCCACAAGAAACCTACTTTAGAAATAAAGACACAGATAAATTAAAAGGACAGAAAAAGATATACCATGCTAACACTAATTGATAAGGCTGGAGTAACTATATTAATGTCAGACAAGTAGATTTCAGAGCAAGGAAAATCATCAAGGATAAAGAGAGACATCACATAAATTATAAAGGGGTCAATTACCCAGGAAGACACAACAATCCCATGTGTACATGCCTAACAACAGGGCATCAAAATATATGAGGCAAAAACATATATAAATGTTTTTAGAAATAGACAAATCCACGATAATAGCTGGAGATGTCAACACCCCTCTATCAGTAACTGACAGATTCAGCAAGCAGAAAATCAGGAGGATATAGTTCAACTGAATAGTACCATCCATCAACTGGATGTACTAACATTAATAGAATACTTCCTCTAACAACAGCAGAATATACATTCTTCTCCCACTTGTATAGAACATTCACCAAATAGACCACATTCTGGGCCATATGACACACCTTAACAAAGGTAAAAGAATAGAAATCATACAAAGCATGCTCTCAGACCATAATGGAATTCAACCAGAAATCAGTAACAGAAAGATAGCTGGAAAATCCCCAAATACTTAGAGATCTAAAAACACACTTATAAATAAACACAGGAGTCAAAAAAGTAGTCTCAAGAGAAAGTTAAAAAATATATATTTTGAACTAAAGAAAATGGCTGGGCGTGGTGGCTCACATCAGTAATCCCAGCACTTTGGGAGACCAAGGCAGGAGGACTGCTTGAGCCCAGGAGTTTGAAGCTGCAGTGAGCTATGACTGTGCCATTGCATTTCAGCTCAGGCAACAGAGACCCTGTCTCTAAAAAAGAAAATGAAAATACAACTGCTGTGTAATAAGGAATTTGGCTGGTCTTTGTCCCTAGAGCTCTTGGGTCACTAGGTGCATTGTAAATGAGCAGTAAGATTTTAAAAGGCATCTTTTCTCCTGAGCAGCAATTCTCAACAATGGGCTTAAAATCTTCAGTAAATCATGCTGTAAACAGATGTGCTGTCATCTAGGCTTTGTTCTTCCATTTACAGAGCACATGCAAAGTAGATTTAGCATAATTCTTAAGGGCCCCAGAATTTTCAGAATGATAAATGAACATTGGCTTCAGAAATTACCAGCTGCATTAGCCTCTAACAAGAGAGTCAGCTTGTCCTTTGAAGCTCTGAAGCCAGGTACTGACTTCTCTGCTAGCTATGAAAGTCGTAGATGGCATCTTTTTCCAATAGAAGGCTGTTTCATCTACATTGAAACTCTGTTGTTTAGTGTAACTAACTTCATCAATTATCTTAGCTATATTTTCTGGAGAACTTGCTGCAGCTTCTACATCAGCATTTGCTGCTTCACCTTGCAGTTTTGTTAGGGTTGTGGCTTCTTCCCTTAAACCTTATGAATCAATCTCTGCTAGCTTCCAACTTTTCTTCTGCAGCTTCCTCACCTCTATTACCCTTCACAGAGTTGAAGAGAGTCTGGGGCCTTGCTTTGGCTTAAGGGAATGTTGTGGATGGTTTGAACTTCTATCCAGATTACTAAATTTTCCTCCATATCAGCAGTAAGGCTGTTTCACTTTTTTCTCATTTGTGTGTTCACTGGAGTAGCACTTTTGATTTCCTTCAAGAACTTTCCCTTTGCATTCACAAGTTAGCTAATTGGTGTAGGAGGCCTACCTTTCTACCTATCTCGGCTTTCAACATGCTTTCCTTATAAAGCTTAATCATTTCTAGCTTTTGATTAAAGTGAGAGATGTGTGATTCTTCCTTTCATTTGAACACTTAGAGGCCACTGTATGGTTATTAATTGCCTAAATTCAATATCATTGTGTCTCAGAGAACAGGGAGGCCTGAAGAAAGGGAGAGAGATAAGGGAAGAGGCAGTGGGTGGAGCATTCAGAATACACAAAATGTTTATCCATTAAGTTTGCCATCTTCTATAGGTGCAGTTTGCGGCATCTCAACACAATTACGATAGTAATGTCAAAGATCACTGAGCACAGATCACCATAATGATATAATAATACAAGTTTGAATTATTGCAATAATTACCAAAAATGTGACCCAGAGACAAAGTAAGCACATACGGTTGGAAAACTGGTGCTGATAGATTTGCTCAGCACAGGCTTACCAGAAACCTTCAATTTGTAACACAGCATCTGCAAAGGGCAAGAAAGTGAAGCATGATCAAATAAGGCATGCCTGCATTAGAGTTTCAGGGCTGGTTCATCCACTATCACTGCTGGTGTAGAGCTGAGTTCAACGGCGGGCATAATGGGTGGTTGAGAAGCAGGCTGAAGGAGAGCTAGCACTCCCAGCAACCCCAGCTCTAGCTTTCCTATACAGTAACTGTTTATTTATTTACAAAAAGTTTCTGTAGCAATAGGGTCTTGCTGTGTTGCCAAAGTTGGTCTCAAACGCTGGTCTTGAACTATCCTCCCCTCTCAGCCTCCCAAAGTGAGGAGATTATGGGTGTGGGCCACCACACCTGGCCCAGAGTGACTGTTTAGTGTTACCTGTTTGCTTTGTGAAGAAATAAATCTGCAATTCAAACATGGAAAGATGTGCAAAATCTTTGTTTGCTTGGGGAAAAGAATTACTTAATAGATAGAATTTTGCTTTATATTTATTTTGACAATCTTACTAACATTAATTTGCTTTATAGGTACCTATACACAAATTCTTATCCCCTTGTGGGTTAGAAACTTTAATTATTATAAGACTATGCACTCTGCTGTGTGTATGTGTTTAAGCATCACAGAAAAATACATTCTACGGGCTGGGCACCATGGCTCACGCCTGTAATCCCAGCACTTTGCAACACCGAGGTGGGCGGATCACGAGGTCAGGAGATTGAGACCATCCTGGCTAACACGGTGAAACCCCATCTCTACTAAAAAAAAATATTAGCCAGGTGTGGTGGCAGGCGCCTGTAGTCCCAGCTACTTGGGAGGCTGAGGCAAGAGAATGGTGTGAACCCAGGAGGTGGAGCTTGCAGTGAGCCAAGATCGAGCCACTGCAATCCATCCTGGGTGACAGAGCGAGACTCCGTCTCAAAAAAAAAAAAAAAGAAAAGAAAAGAAAAATGCTCCATGGATGAATGTGGGGCAGGTATCAGTGGTTTTACTTGTATTACACTGTGAAATTCAAAGGCAAAGAAAATGGTATTAAAACCACGTTCTTTCACTCATATTATATGATTCTATTTATATAAAAAGTACAGAGTAGGCAAATCTATAGAGACAGAAAAAATTAGGTGGTTGCCTGAGGCTGGGGACTAGAGGGTGAGGGCTAACAGGTATCTTTCTTGGGTAACAAAAATATTCTAAAATTGACTGTGGTGATGGATGTATAACTCTGTGAATATACTAAAGGCCATTGAATTGTATGCTTCAAATAGGTAAATTGTATGGTATGCAAATTATAGTTCACGAAAGTTGTTAAAAGAAAACAAACTTGCTGTTGATATATCCCACTGTGGATTTAAAAATGTTTAATTTAAATATACATTAAAAACACAAGTAGCTGACAGATGTTAAGAGTCAATGATAAGAATAAGGGCTATAGAATATAGATAAAAGCCAGGTGGGCTGGCCATTTAATTGTATTGTAGTATAAAAATATTTTATAAAAATTCAGTCAGCACTGAAGCTTACAAGTTTTACATATAATTTTGATTATCTGGAGTGGATGAAAACTTATAAAGTTAAGATGATCTTATCAGTAGAAAAGATATTCTAAACCATTTTAGCCCAAAGAAGCATTTTGATTGCCTAATTTAACTTTGCAAAGGAGAAGTAAATCTTATGCTGGTCTCTGTAAACCTCACAGCTGGAACATTCTAACAGCACCTTGCAGTTTCCAGTGATCAAAGTAAGTTACTTTATATACTAAACTAAGAATTTCATAATAGAAATAATGCAACACCAGGGGGTGTGGTTATCATGAAATAATTACACTCCTGAGAGATTACAGGCACAAGGCTGTACCCCAGGAGTGTGATTATCCCATGATAACCACATCCACTGAAATTGCCTTATTGCAAAAATAATCTCTATTCACTGGTGAGACATTATTCAATAGGTGATTTTTTTTTAAATGAAAAGACTTTTTTTGTAGCTTGAATCAGCAAGTGGATTAGAAAATTGGTCAGTTTATTTTTCATTGCATTCAAATTCAGAACACAACATCATTATTTGCTTTCCTATTTCATACAGAATTTTGATTTTGATTTTGAGAAATCTTTAAGAGTTTCTATTAGCTTTAGTTAAGTACTACTGCTAAATTTTAAGTCAAACTTTAAAGGCATTAATTGAGCAATTCAATTTTAAATAATTTACTTCTATGTACAGTTTTTAATTCTTCTAAAACAATGTTAATTTAAAAAACTTATAAATGTAATGTACCTTCACTAATGGAATTACAGGTAAGCCAAAAAGATGAAATTAAAAGTCGCAAGTAATCCTACCACCCAGACACAACCACTGTTAATATTTGTCTATCTCCTTCCAATCCTTTTTCTAAAAGTATCTGTCTCTCTGTCTACATGTCTACCTAAAGATACAAAGAGAAACACAAATGTAACTACTGTTTCATAACCTGCTTTTCTTATTTGACCAAAGGTTGTAAACAATGTCCATATCATTAAGAAATCTTCATATCATTTAATGGGATAATATTCCACTGTAACAATATTCTATAATTACTCACTTAATATCATTTTATTAGATATCTAGGTGTTCTTTCTCTATTTTTTTTTCTCTGTAGCCCAGGCTGGAGTGCAGTGGCACAATTTCAGCTCACCGCAACCTCTGCCTCCCAGGTTTGAGCGATTCTCGTGCCTCAGCCTCCTGAGTGGCTGGGATTACAGGCGCCACCACCACGCCCAGCTAATTTTTATATTTTTAGTAGAGACAGGGTTTCTCAGTGTTGTCCAGGCTGGTCTCAAACTCCTGACCTCAGATGATTTGGCTGCCTTGGCCTCCCGAAGAGTTGGGATTACAGGTGTGAGCCACCGAGCCTGGCCTCTCTTTTACTGTAATATTATATACAATCCTTTGTGACTGAATGTTTGAACATATCCATGATTATTTCCTTAGGGTAGATTCATGACTTTGTAATAAGTAAAACATAATTTAAAGAAACAGAAAAATGTACTTTGCTCCCAAATCGTCAATTGTTCTTACATATAGTTTAAGCTGATGGTTCTCAACCTTGATGATGCCTAAGAAATAGATCAGTAACTTTCATCATTTTATGTGGCATCACAGATGGTGAAAGTTACTGATTTTTTAAATCATAATTTTATCATAGAGTTCAGACATTCTAAGATACAAGATTTAAGAAATTAAAATATCCAATGTATTTACAAGTATTTGTTCTCAAACCATGTCAGTTTGAATGGAAAAACTGGAAATGGAAATTTCCCTAGCATCTTATTCTATAAGACTGAGACAAAGAATTAATTCAGTCGGCTAGTTATTTCTCATCATGAACATAGCCTTTACAACACACCAGTAACTCTGCTTTTTTTAGCTGTTCCAATTATTCTGAAAATAAGTTTAATACAGGAGTACAAAGGAAAACATTAGCCTTCTGAAGAATATCATGTGACAGTCAATGTTTGAAAAGCCTAAATTTTAAGTTTCTTTTTAATCACACATTTTAATATAAAAATAAAATTACCTGTAATTTCACCTAATTAACATACTATTTTAATTTTTCTGTTTCTTTCCAGTCCTAATTTACATGCCCATAGATTTATATTAGAATCATAGCATAGATTCAATTGTATTCCTTAGTTTACTCAAGATATCAACAGTTGACTTTGCCATTCCCCTAGGGCTGGATATTTAGACTGTTTACAATGGTGAAAAATTAGAAATGTTGAAAATGTCTTCCCTCACCTTAAAAAAAAAAAAAAAAGCTCTTTCAACACATTACCACCTTTCCTTTTCCTCAATACTATCCCCCTGTGTGTGTGTGTGTATGTTTTGCCTGTTTCTCACAAGCAAAACACACACATACACACACACATACACACACACTCTTCCATGGCATTAATTTTGCTTACAATGGTTTCACCAAACTTTCAGATCGTGAACGTCATCTTGGAGAGTAAGATGCTCAGACTTCTCCCTCCTCTCAGGGCTCTTCTACAACAGCCCCTCTGCAACAGGGGCTTGGGAACCAACATTTACACAAAATACTTAAGTGAACCTTTACATTAGGTAAGTTTGAGTAAACACTGGCTACAGCATCAGTGGCCAAGCCCTTTCGGCCAGCTTTTTGAGAGCCATTTAAATCTGTTGCTATCATTTAAAGTCATCCAAGTTAAATCTTCTGTGCTTATGTTTTTCTTTGAATCTTTCTTTTTTGGTCAACCTTTCTTTCTACCTAAGTTTTAATTCTTCAAAGCTCATTTTAGTCCCACCTCCTCTATTAGCTACATAATTTAACACTCAGTTACTCTCTATTAAATAGAGCCTTACGTAATACTGTACTTTGTTTTCCTGACTAGGTTGTAAACTGGGATTACTCTATGTTATTTTGATGTGTCTGATTAGATTGTAAATCAGGGGTTGTGCCTGTATCTTCTATGAGCTTGGGTTCAAAAAAATAAAACTTACTGGCTGATGTGCAAGATGTCAAATACAGAATTGGCAAATACAATTATTTCAAAAAGTAAGCAAAAAACTTCAGTTCTAAGAATTAAGCAAATGCAGGCAGAGAGATGTTAAGCAGCTTGCCTAAAGTTACACAGACACTAAGTAGCAAAGCAGTTAGCTACGTATGGAGCTACAAAGATGCCTGGCTGTAAACCTGGCAGCTGTGTAGCTCCACAGCTCCTCAGTCTGTGTGCTTAACCGCTAAGTACATGGCTTCTCAGAACTGATGGTTTCCTCTATACGAAAGGTTATTCCTTTTGCCTAAGATGCTCAATACTCTTTTCCCATGTCTTGCATGCCAGCATCCTTCCTGTCATTTAGGTCTCAGCTTAACATTGCTTCCTTAGAGGAGCCCTTCCTGATCACTTAATCTAAAGTAATTCCCCATTTAGTTCTTATCACAGTAACCAATTAAACATTCATCACAGCACTTATAAATACCTGAGATTTTCTTATTTATTAGTTTACTGTGTGTCATTCCCAATATAATGAAAGGTTTTGGTATTCTGTTCCTAGAGCCTAGAACAAGGCCTGGCACAGAAAAAGTGCTCCATAAATGATGATTGAATAAATATGTTTATCTTACAAACCACTGATGAACATTTAGGGTTGTTGCCAATCTTTCACTACTATAAATCTTTGAAAATCTGCCTTATCACTTTTTTAAATAAATTACTGGAGGGCAAATTTCTAGGTAAAAAGGTATGCATGTTTTTCAGGCTTTTGATATATATCAGCAAATATATAACCTCTCCAGAAAGGTTGCTCTAATTTATCAAGAGAGGATTAAAATGTTCATTTTGGCTGGGCACGGTATATCACACCTGTAATCCCAGCACTGTGGGAGGCTGAGGTGGGATGATCATTTGAGCTCAGGAGTTTGAGACCAGCCTGGGCAACATGGTGAAACCCCATCTCTACAAAAAGTACAAAAATTAGCTGGGCATGGTGGCTTATGCCTGTGAGTCCCAGCTACTCAGGAGGCTGAGGTGAGGGGATTGCTTGAGCCTGGGAAGCAAAGGTTGCAGTGAGTTGAGACCCGTGTCACTGCCCTCCAGTCTGGGCAACAGGATGACACCGTCTCAAAAAAAACCAAAAAACAAAATAAAATGTTCATTTTACCACACTTGTGCCAATATTGGATGCATACTTTTTAAAAATCTTTACCAAGGTTCGATGGGCAAAAAGGTAACATATTTAGTTTTCATTCCTTTGGTTATTAATGTTGAAAATATTTTCATATGTTTAATGGTCATCTGAATTCCTCCTTTTGTAAACTATCTTTATGTCCTTTGCTCCTTTATGTTTGCGTGTTCATCTTTTTCTTATTGACTTGAAAGAACATTTTTGTTTTTGAGATAGTCTCGCTTTGTCACCTGGGCTGGAGCACAGTGGTGCAAACCTGGCTCACTGCAGCCTCAACCTTCTGGCTCAAACAATCCTCCTGCCTCAGCCTCTCAAGTAGCTGTGACTACAGGTGCAGACCACCAAGCCCAGCTAGAATTTTTTGTATTTTTTGTAGAGATGGGGTTTCATCACGTTGCCCAGGCTGGTCTCAAACTCCTGAGCTCAAGCAATCCTCCTGCCTTGGGCTTTCAACGTGCTGGGATTACAGGCAAGAGCCACCATGCCCAGCCCTGAAAGAACATTTTATATGTTAGGGGTATCCGCCTCATGCAGAGAAACCATACTATTTCCACAAAGGTAATGTTCTCATCTTCTCCCACCCAGGTGCTCAATTCATTTAGATAGAGAAAAAGAATCACTAATATGTAGACTTCTTAAGCCTGGTTACATAAATGTTAAAACTTGATAGGAACCAAATACTTGAGCATTTTTTCTACTTCATTCACTTGATCCTGAAAAAGTTCATTTTACTAAGGAATAGTACCACAGTAAAACCCCACCATAAGAGGGTTCCAAAAATGTCAATTGTATAAATTGAGTGACTGAGTTATTATAAGGTTAATGAATAGAAATGGAGGGCTGGAGGGCCGGGCGCGGTGGCTCACATCTGTAATCCCAGGACTTTGGGAGGCCGAGGCGAGTGGATCATGAGGTCAGGAGATCAAGACCATCCTGGCTAACATGGTGAAACCCTGTCTCTACTAAAAATACAAAAAAATTAGCCAGGCGTGGTGGCAGGCACCTGTAGTCCCAGCTACTCGGGAGGCTGAGGCAGGAGAACGGCATGAACCTGGGAGGCGGAGCTCGCAGTGAGCCAAGATCGTGCCACCACACTCCAGCCTGGGTGGCAAAGCGAGACTCTGTCTCAGGGAAAAAAAAAAAAAAAAAAAGAAAGAAATGGAGGGCTGGAGAAGAGCCAATAACCAGCTTTATTATATCTGAATTCACATAATTATGGGCATGTTTTTTTGAGGTTTTAGTGTTTTCAATACTCTTAAAAACAGGTTAACTATTCAGTTAGCACAAGTTCTTTTGAATGTTAGCAGACTTTCTAATACAGACTCAAAGAAAATCAAGTCTACTGATTATTAAAAGAAAGCACTGAGTCTGGAGTCTATACTACTCAGGATCAGAGTTACACAAGGCTGAGGCATAAAGACAACCACTACTTCTGCCTGTCCCAAGTCAACCCATGAGTCATGCAGTCATAGGGGCACTATAAAGTTCGAGTGAAAGAAAAGATAAGATGCAACCCTTTCCAGAAAACAGGTTATACTTGCAGATATAACAACAAATCCCTGTGACTAAAAAAGAAGTGGTCAGAAATATTTGAGCCAACGGGTATATAACACACACCACTCCATTTTCTTTGGGGCTTTATTTCCTTTGAGGCCTTTCTCCCTTCTTCTACTAGTTAGCTGGGGGCAAGGGAGGAGGAGGCATTAGGTATGTAAGCTTTTAAGGGTACCTGTACTGGGGTATCAGTGGGATGTTCTTTTGTCAGAGATTGCCAGACCTGTTGTGTCACCTGACAATACTGAGCGAATAATTTCCTTCTACTTAAACTGCACAAATAGTTTCCTTCTACTTAAAAGGTGGTTACTGGCCAGGCATGGTGGCTCATGTCTGTAATCCCAGCACTTTGGGAGGCCGAGGCAGGTGGATCAATTTGAGCCCAGGAGTTCAAGACCAGCCTAGGCAACATGGCAAAACCCTATCTCTATTAAAAAATACAAAAACTAGCCAGGCATGGTGGTGTGTGTGTCGGTAGTCTCAGCTAGCTACTCGGGGGGCTGAGGTGGGAAGAGAGCTTGAGCCCGGAAATTGGAGGTTGCAGTGAGCCGAGATTGCGCCACTGCACTCCAGCCTGGGCAACAGAGCCAGACGCCATCTCAAAAAAAAAAAAAAAAAAAAAAACCAAACTTATTCATCAAATTCCTAAACCCCTAATAGGAGAACTGGCACTTTGAACCCTATAGCCTGAATCAGCTTGCTGGAAAGAAGCAGGATCTCTAGCTAGTGATTAGTGGCTGAAGAACGTATGTTGATTGAGGGTAAACCCTGGGCTCAGAATGAGGCAGCAGTGAAAGCCAAAGGAAGTCTAAGGAGGTGCATCACAGGCCTTGGTGGCCTGAGAGGACAGGGCTTCATGCCCAGAGCATCTGCTTCAATAGAGCAGCCCTGCTTTTATATGTTCTGTATACTGAGGTTTCATGTAAGATTTCTTAAAAGAAAAAAAAAAGGTTCTCTAGCTGCTTTAAAAATGCAAAAAATCTCTGAGTTATACTATCACCCTTATTTTAAAATAAGGAGCTGAAGTTCATAAAAGTGAAAGGACTTGCTTAAGGTTACAGGATTAAACAGATTATTTCTATTATGATCTATTACAGGTTAGGGTTGGATTATTGTGCCTGTTTCAATAATATACTAACAAAGCACTAATAAATTTAAGTTAAAACTTCTCAGTTTAATATCTCTTTAGAAAAAGAACCAAAATAATCTAAACCAAATTAGATCAATTTTTCTGAAGTAGACAGTAATATGTAGGACAGTAAGTAACTTTAAGTAAAAAACAATTTTAACATACTCAGCTTTGTTTTTACCTCTGTACTAAAAAGAGATGGCTGCTGAGGCTTTCAGTACAGTCTATTTTTATAATTCAGGATATGAGTATGAGAAATAAGCATTTTTTCCTTCCATTTTTAGGCTACTAGCCTGATAAACTATGTTTAATGTATTTTACTTTAAAACTTAGTTCATAGGGCCTTTGGCTGGAAAAATTAAACTTAATCCTATTACACAGCATTTTAATTCAACATATATGATCAGAGTTTCCCATTAATCATATTTTGGGAATGGTCTTAGTCAAAAACAAACAAACAAGCCCCACACACAAACCCAAATAAAACAATACCCAGAAAGAGTAAAGAAAAATGTTGTTTTATCTTTCCTTGTTTGTCCTCTCCCGAAACAAATCATGTCTAGTGCCTACCTGAGCCATCAGTGGGAACCGAACTTGCATTGATTCCAGAAAGACCAAACAAAGGACATTCTCGATCTGTGTTGACATGACCCCATTTGTGACATTTAATGCACCTCACATTTCGAACCTGAGAAATAATGAATGTGATTTTGGTTACTAAAAAAGTAAGAATCTAACCAATGTTCAAATTCCTATTCCTTGATAGAATTTAAGCTAAATTACATTTTTAAAAGATCTCCAGGGAAAAAGACTCCAAACTATGTTTGGTAATTTAATACAAAGACTAAAATCTTTCACTATAAATTTTGCCTAGAAACTAAGCTGAATCCCATTTCTTTTTGCCTCTCACTTGGTGGCAATATAATGTCATCCAAAAAGAAATGGTAAAATACCAAAAAGAATTAGGGCGTTATGTGAAGAATTTAAGCTTAAATTCTCTCATTTTAATAAGTAAACCTTTAAAGTTTCAAATTTCAAAACCTGGAGCTGGTAAACATTTTCTGTAAAGGTCCAAATGTAGTCAATATTTTAGGCTTTTTGGGACAGATGTTGTCTATTCTAACGACTCAACTCTGCTGCTGCAGTGGGAAAGCAGCCACAGCCAATAAGTAAATGAATAGGCAAAGCGGTGTTCCAATAAAACTTTCTTTACAAGGATTTGCCCTCTGATGATAGTCTGTCCCGATTCTAAACCAATAATAGATTTAAATCTTTTCTTGACCTTGAGCTGATTCTCCAAATTTTTTGAAAACTGCAGAGACCAATATCATTATAGCTCTCACTATAAAAGTTTGATTCCTGTCTTTTTTTTTTTTTTTTTTTTTTTTTGAGATGGAGTCTCGCTCTATTGCCCAGGCTGGAGTGCAATGGTGCAGTCTCGGCTCACTGCAACCTCCACCTCCTGGGTTCCAGCGATTCTCCTGCCTCAGCCTCCTGAGTAGCTGGGATTACAGGCGCCTGCCACCATGGCTAGCTAATTTTTTGCATTTTTAGTAGAGACAGGGTTTCACCATGTCGGCCTGGCTGGTCTCGAACTCCTGACCTTGTGATCCGCCCGCCTCGGCCTCCCAAAGCGCTGAAATTACAGGCATGAGCCACCACACCCAGCCTGATTTCTGTCTTTTATCAGCCTACTACATTTTATGTTTTCTCCTCTATTCCTTATATTATCTGATACAAATAAAAACCATAGTGCCCCTTTTCAGCTTAAACACCTTTTAGACAACAATATAAAGATACATTTATTAAATAAAAATTATTCTTACAGAGTAAAATATGTGTCACTTGCCTGAATACCAAAGGGCTGATCTCTGATGTTCATGTCATCTTTGGCATATCTATTAAATAGAGGAAATGTACAAACACAATATTAAGAATAATTTAAAAAATTAAACAGCAGTTAATCAGAAAAATAGTTTTACAGTTCTAAGAACATTATGAAATATATTACTTCAGTAAGAATACAGAACTATAAAATCTATCTAGTATTTCCAAACACCATTTAGTTATTATGTGTCTAGTCTGATAATTTGTGATATTAAAAAAATGAAAAAGTATATAAAACAAAAGACTATGAGCAAGCAGATTAGTTGAATAAGACAGCTAATTAAAATCATTAAAGATAACTTTTCACATCAGTTGCCTCCTCTAATGATTGAAAAAGCAACATAAGATGGGATATCAGTAAATGTAAACTTAATGATACATATCTTGTCTTAAAAGTAAACCAGTCCTTACTTTTCTCGTGGGGCTCCTTTCTGCCATTCAAATTTGTATTCGGTCTCTCCTTCTGTTTCTTCTTTCTAAAAACATTCATTGAAAATTCTTTTAATTTTTCCATATAATACAATCAACTGCAAGTAAATTCAGACATAGAAAATAGTACTTTACCTCTTTGTTTTCTTGATTGCATATCAAAAATATGGAAGAAAAAAGGTATGACAAGTTAAAAACTTCAATATAAAAATCTACTGTATACACTATGATATCATGTTATTTAATTGTCACTTGTAAGAATTCATTGGTTTGACTTTTTTTCTTCTTTCACATGATAAAAATTCAGACTATTGCAGGACAAAATACAAAATTAAAATTAATAAGTATGTTAATTCACAGTTTTTAAACTTTTCACTGTTCATTGACAGTGAATATTATGTTTTTTATTTACAAATGCATTAAATATTTAGTAAGAAGGACTAAAGATACATATGCAAATTATTAAAGAATAAGTGTACTTTGGACATGAAAGTTTCTTCCTTCTCAAAGGGCACATTATGAAATATTATCAGATTAGAAAGATATTTTTTAGTATTTATTCTGTTGTATGATTATAGTTTTTATTATCTTCACAGGATAACAGCAATTTTAAAAGATGGAGAGCAACTTTAAAAAAATATCTGTCATAGTACTTTTCCATGTTTAGCTGCAAACACATCAAAGACTTAAAAGAAAAGGAAGGAGGCCAGGTGCGGTGGCTCACGCTTGTAATCCCAGCACTTTGGGAGGCCGAGGTAGGTGGATCACGAGGTCAGGAGTTCAAGACCAGCCTGGCCAACATGGTGAAACTCTGTCTCTATTAAAGATACAAAAATTAGCCAGGCGTGGTGGCGTGCTCCTGTAATCCCAACTACTCGGGAGGCTGAGGCAGGAGAATTGCTCCAACTCAGGAGGTGGATGGAGGTTGTAGTGTGCTGAGATGGCACCACTGCACTCCAGCCTGGACGACAGGGCAAGACTGTGCCTCAGAAAAAAAAAAAAGAAAGAAAAAAAGAAACGGAAGAAGATAAGTACCTTTTTTAGCTCCTGGTGGGGCTTCATACATGAAATTAAGGCCATTCTTTACACGTTCATCTCCCATAAGCAATCTAAGTGAAACAAGACAAAGTTAACGATTTTATGTAGGACAAAAAAAAAAATTATAGAATAATCCACTCCCCACCAAAAAGCCTAAGGGAATTAAGATAAAATATTTTTGTTAGAAACAGAGTTCTAAAACTTTACTCCACTAACTAGATTACATCTGAATGGAAATTAAACAGTGCTGTCTCTTTAGTAACTAGTTATAAGCTCTGAGACTTTCTTACTACCTGAGAGATCCTACCCATCCTAACAAAAAAGGGGAAAAATAACATGGTCATTTTTCTTACAGGATTTTCTTAAACCCTGAAATGCTGTGGAAATTATGACAACTTTGAAATCCCATATGCCATCACAAATTTACAATTAAGTTAAATAGTGCCAACACTTTTTCTTGATTGTAAGGGATCAAACGGTTTTGTTTTTTCCCACCAAAAAAAGAAAAGGCAAAGGAATCAGTTTTGGAAAAAATAAGTCTCTCAGGGATTTCTTTAGGAAGTCAAATCCAATCAGGGCTTGTAAGAGTCACAGTAAATGAGAAAATAAAATTCTTTCGTGAGGCCAGTGAAAAAAGAATAAAAGTCTGCAGCTGGGCACAGTGGCTCACACCTGTAATCCCAGCACGCTGGGAGGCCAAAGCAAGTAGATCACCTGAGGTCAGGAGTTTGAGACCAGCCTGGTCAACATGCAGAAACCCCGTCTCTACCAAAAATACAAAAATTAGCCAGGCGTAGTGCTGCGTGCCTGTAATCCCAGCTACTCGGGAGGCTGAGGCAGGAGAATCACTTGAATGTGGGAGGCGGAGGTTGCAGTGAGCCGAGATCGTGCCACTGGACTCCAGCCTGGGCGACAGAGCCAGGCTCTGTCTCAAAAACAACAATAGCAAAAAAGTCTACACATGCCAAGTAGTATGATGGACTCAGTGTCTGGTGCATGACAAAAATCACATTCTTTATAGTTCTGTTTTAACACTCAAAGTTCCCTGTTTGAGCTCTGTTTAAAAAAAGATACACTAGGCTTTTTAGAAAAAAAAAGCTCTGTAACAAATGGAATGACTGGTTCAGTCAAAGTTTTAATTCATAAGATCCAAGTAAAAATAATAAAGAAGGAGGCTAAAGAGTGAATATAATTTCTCCTTATATTTGGAAAAGACAATCACAAAGGATATATGACATGAGTATAATTCCTCTCCTTATATCCACTGGATTCTATAAAGACCTGTAAAAAAGAAGCAAAAGGCCACAGGGATCTACATCCAATATATGTAGATATAAATAGAGTGATATTCAGCAATAAAAGGGACTGAAGTACTAGTATATGCAATACCGTGGGTCAACTTCAAAAGCATTATGCTATGTGAAAGAAGCCAGTCACAAAAGACCACATGACATATGATCTAATTTATAGGTCATGTCCAGAATAGGTAAATCTATAGAGACAGCAAGTAAATTAGTGGCTGCTCAGTGCTGAGAGGTAGAAGGAGAAAAAGGCAGGGGAATGAGAAGTGACTGCTAATGGGTAGAAGATTTCTTTTTTGGATAATGCAAATGTTCTGAAATTAGATTACAGTGATGGCTCCAAAAGTCTAAATATACTTAAAAACAACAAACACTTTAAACAGGTGTATAAGTTACATTTTAAATTCACATCATTAAAAATATCAAAATCAGCTGGGCACGGGGGCTCACATCTGTAATCCCAGCACTTTGGGAGGCTGAGGCGGGTGGATCACCTCAGGTCAGGAGTTCGAGACCAGCTTGGCCAACATGGTGAAACTCCGTCTCTACTAAAAATACAAAAATTAGCCGGGCGTGGTGGCAGGCACCTGTAGTCCCAGCTATTTGGGAGGCTGAGGCACAAAAATCGCTTGAACCTCGCAGGCAGAGGTTGGAGTGAGCCGAGATCGCACCACTGCACTCCAGGCTGGGTGATAGAGTGAGACTCCGTCTCAAAAAAAAAAAAAAAAAAAAATCAAAATCAAATACACTGAAAGCCAAGCTCGGTATCACTAGTTATTAGGGAAATGCAAATCAAAATCACAATGAGATATCACCTTGCACCTACTGGCTAGCTATCTTCCAAAAAAAAAAAAAAAAAAGAAAATAACAAATGTTAGAGAGGATATGGAGAAACTGAAACCCAAGTCCATTACTAGTAGGAAATGTAAAATTGTGTAGTCACTGTGACAACCAGTTTCATGGTTCCTCAAAACGCTAAATATAAACCTACCATGTGATCCAGCAATTCCACTCCTAGGTATATACCCAAAGGAACTAAAAACAAGGACTTGACCAGGTATTTCTATGCCAATGTTTATAGCAGCATTATTCACAATAGCCAAAAGGTGGAAGTAACCCAATACTCAAACAGATGGATAAACAAAATGTGGTATGTACATACAAAAGAGAATTATTCAGCCACAAAAAGGAATACAGTGCTGATACATATTACAACATATATGAACCTTGGACACATTATACTAAGTGAAACAAGCCAGACACAAAGGAACAAATATATGATTCAATTTATATGAGGCATTTAGAATAGGCAAATTCATAGACACAGAAAGTAGAATGGTGGTTGCCAGGGGCTGTGGGCCAAGGGGAATAGGGAATTATTCTTTAATGGTTTAATGGTTACAAAGTTTCTGTTTGAGATAACGAAAAAGTTTTGGAAATGATGATGGTTCACCACACTGAATTTAAGGGTACACTGAATTGCACACTTAAAATGGTAAATTTTATGCAATATATATTTTACAAAAAAACCCACAGACAAACCATTTCATTTATATGTGTATTTTTTATTTATTTCTCTTTGTTTTTTGGGGTTTTTTTTAGAGACAAAGTCTCACTATGTTGCCCATGCTGGTCTCAAACTCCTGGACTCAAGCAATCCTCCTGCCACAAAGTGTTGGGATTACAGGCATAAGCCATTGTGCCCAGCCCAATTCATTTATATTGAAAAAAAATAATAATAAAACCCAAACTAAAAGATTGTTTTCCACTTTATGCAAAATTCAAGACATATATAAAATAAAAGGTAAAGGTATAATATTGGTATTTTTGTTTCAACCTCAACTGAAAATTTACATAGATTTTTTTGACATCCCATAAAATCTTTGTATGTATCTAGACAGAATAATAAATGTGATTTTCAGCTGGGCATGGCGGCTCATGCCTGTAATCCCAGCACTTTGGGAGGCCAAGGCGGGAGGATTGCTTGAGTCCAGGAGTTCAAGATCAGACTGATCAACACAGTGAGTGAGAGACCCTGTCTCTACAAAAAAGAAAAAATTAGCTGGGTGTGGTGGTGTGTGCCTGTAGTTCCAGCTATTCAGGAGACCGAAGCAGGAGGATCGCTTGAACCCAGAAGTTTGAGGCTGCAGTGAGACATAATCATACCACTGCACTCCAGCCTGGGCAACAGAGTGAGACCTTCCTCTCAAAAAAAAAAAAAAAAAAAAAATTTTTTTTTTCATCTTAGGAAAAAAGTATAAAGCGACTAAGGTGATTGATATAATAAACATTAAGAAATCTCTAGGACAGTAAAAACAAAAGAGAAACAATAGATTACTGAAGAATGAAATTGGCTATCAAAAACAGTACTTTTGAATGAGGAAGAAATAAACACTTGGCAAATGACCAATTACTCATAAATTTGCATTCAAATGACCAAACCTAGAAGTAATAATATCTTAGTAGCAATGAACACACTTAGTGCTCAGATCGTGGTTTCTAAATATCATTCACCAATGAAAGGAATCTGGGTGCCTAAGAAAACTGGTTGATTCCAATGCTGCAGCAGGGAAAATAAAAGACGAGTCTGACCACCTTGTGGGACCAGAAGCAGCATTAAAAAAACAAAACAAAACAGGGTTGGTGCATGTTAAATGGATATACGAGCCAATCTAACAGAGCTCTCAATGGCCCAAACTGAAACAACTGGAGCAAGAAAATAAGTAACAATAGTATTATATTATAATCCAAAGAATTAAATAAACAGCCATGAGTCCATATTGATAGAAAATTAATAGTAACTAGATAAGGGAAATTCTTCCTTACAGAGGAATTCAAATTAATAAATGTAGAGGGAATGATAGAAATAGAAAATAACCATTAGAACATCACAGAAATATATAATTGATGCAAGCAAGATCTACTGATGAATACCAAAATTAGGCAAAAGTCCAAGGAGAAACAGGGTATTTGCAGGGCTTCAAATATTAATTAAAAGGGAAAATAGTAACTTTTTTTAAAGATAAAGAATAAACATGAACACTGTGATCTGTTTCAAACCTAGTTTTTCACCTCCACTCTGTTTTTATCCCTCTAACTCAACAACTGTTTCCTGAATACCCTCTCCATTTTCCAATATGTTTTTACTATTAATAATATAAAAATAAGGTTTTTGTTGTTGTTGTTTATCTGAGACGGAGTTTCGCTCTTGTTGGCCACGCTGGAGTTCAGTGGCGTGATCTTGGCTTAGCACAACTTCTGCCTCCCAGGTGCAAGCAATTCTCCTGCCTCAGCCTCCTGAGTAGCTGGGATTACAGGCATGCACTACCAGGTTTGGCTAACTTTGTATTTCTTAGTAGAAACGGGGTTTCTCCATGTTGGTCAGGCTGGTCTCGAACTCCCGACTTCAGGTGATCTGCCCGCCTTGGCCTCCCAAAGTGCTGGGATTACAGGCATGAGCCACTGCGCCCGACCAAATTAGGGTTTTTAAACAGTGATGCTATTGACATTTTGAACTAGATAGTTCTTTGTTGTGTGGAGCTGTCCTGTGCATTGTAGGCTGTTTTGCGGCATCCATAGTCTCCACCCACTAGATGTTGATAGCACCCCAGTCCGCAGTTGTGACAATCAAAACAATGTCTCCAAACATTGCCACGTTCCCTGGGCAGGGTGGCAGGGAGGGCGCAAAAAACGGCGCTCAGTTGAGAACCACCTATCTAAATCCTTATCATTCTTCAGAGTTCAGCTTAAATGTCACCTCTTCCATAAAGTCTTCTGTTAACCTAAATGGAATTATTATTTCCTATACTAACATGCTGTATTTTTAAAAGCAGTGTATGTTTTTAATATATCAGTTATTATATTTGGCCTTCAACTATATGTATTTGTATCTCTTACTAGGGTTTCTTAAGGATAAACTACACTTCACACACTTTTATAGGTCCCTATAATACCACTTATTGCCATGCATGGAGTACTCAATAAAAGTTACTAAGATTAAATAAAATTAGTGAGAAAGCTACTTAACTTTTATTTCTTTAACTTTCCTCTCAATATATTATATTTTAAAGAGTAGTAATAGTTTAGTATTAGTTTGCTAAATTCCATATTTTGATTGAAAACTGAACTTCATGGGCAATTTACCAAAACACCACTATTCAGTGGCTTAAGATTAACCAAGAGAAACCAGCTTCAGTGTTAGATCTGCATATACAAACACAATAGTTAAAGGCAGGTACCATGTTAGAAGACACCAATGAAGAACTCTAGCCACGAAACAGCTTTTAACAGAACAATGACATGCGTGTCAAATAAAGTCACTTTACCTTTCCTCTTGAAAGTATGCTGGGTATCTTTTGTGTTAAAGAAATAAGTCTGTAAGAGGTCTCAGCAGTTCAAGTGTAGACATGATTGTTCTTCTAAGCTTTGCCTAATTTGAGACTTGCTCAAAGACTGTATATGAGTCACGTGAATCTATATTTTACGTGAATTATGGGTAAAGCTGGAAAAAGTGGTCATCTACAGGTATGAGAGTAAAAGAGATAGCCCTCACGGAAAGACACGAATCCTATAATTGGGTATTTGATTCCAAAAAACTGACTTAATATATCATTCAGTAGGAAATTATTCCCATGAAATTGATAATTCTAGATATACTGGCATAACAGAATTTCTTACCTATTATCATATGATTCTTGTTCTTTAAGATATTGCTGCATCAATTCTTCTTGTTTCTTCTTATCATATGATATTTTCTGTTCTGCCATCCATACCTAGATTAGTGAAGTAAAAATGCAAATTAAATTGTTGGATTTAAATTAAACAAACTTTGCTTTTCTTGTATAATAAAATATAAAATGCAATTGTTTAAAGCAGGAGTGCCCAATCTTTTGGCTTCCCTGGGCCACAGAAAACACACTAATACACAGTGGAAGAAGAAGAATTGTCTTGGGCCACACAAAATATACTAACGATAGCCAACGAGCTAAAAAAAAGAAAAGGGCAAAAAAATCTCATAATGTTTTAAGAAAGTTTACAAATTTGTGTTGGGCCACATTCAAAGCCGTCCTGGGCCACATGTGACCCACAGGCCAAGAGCTGGATAAACTTGGCTGAAAGTTTACAACATAATCCAATTTGGCCGCAATTACATCATTACAAATTAACACCTGAAAAATCTGAAGTGTCTTGATACGAGTTCTTTTTATTTTTGAGACGAAGTCTGGCTATCACCCAGACTGGAGTGCAATGGCATGATCTTGGCTCACTGCAACCTCTTCCTCCCAGGTTGAAGTGATTTTCCTGCCTCAGCCTCCGGAGTAGCTGGGATTACAGGACCCTGCCACCACACCAAACTAATTTTTTTGTATTTTTAGTAGAGAAGGGGTTTCGCTATGTTGGCCAGGCTGGTCTTGAACTCCTGACCTCAGGCAATCCGCCTGCCTCAGCCTCCCCAAGTGCTGGGATTACAGGCGTAAGCCACTGTGCCCAGTCCACAGAATGCTTTATAGCAAGTTTGGGTTTTTTCAAAGCTGTATTTATAGTTTAAATTATATTAACTATATTCATAGGTAGTCAATGTTATACATTTCTTATATATCCTTCCAAGATGTTCTAATATATATATATATGCAAAAGAACATATACCACATTCTTCTTATATAAATGGTAACATATTTTACGCAAACACACACACGCACACAAAATATATATAAAATAAAATTATATATCATGGAGATCTGATATGGTTTGGCTGTGTCCCCACACAAATCTCATCTTGAATCATAGTTCCCATAATCCCCATGTGTCATGGGAGGGACCCGGTGGGATGTAATTGAATCATGGGGGCGGTTACACTTCATGCTGTTCTCATGACAGTGGGTGAGTTCTCACAAGATCTGATGGTTTTATAAGGGGTTTTTCCTCTTTTGCTCAGCACTTCTCCTCACTGCTACCATGTGAGGAAGGACATGTTTGCTTCCCCTTCTGCCATGATTGTAAGTTTCCTGTCAATTAAACCTCTTGCCTTTATAAATTACTCAGTCTTGGTCATTTCTTCATAGCAGCGTGAGAATAGACTAATATAGTAAATTGGTATAGGTAGAATGGAGGGCTGCTAAAAGGATACCCGAAAATGTGGAAGTGACTTTAGAACTGGGTAACAGGTGGAGGTTGGAACAGGAAAATGTGGGAAACTCTGGAACTTCCTAGAGAATTGGAGTGCTCAGAAAACAGGAAGATGTGGGAAAGTATGGAACTTCCTAGAGACTTGTTGAATGGCTTTAACCAAAATGCTGATAGTAATATGGACAATGAAGTCCAGGATGAGGTGGTCTCAGATGGAGATGGGAAACCTTTTGGGAAGTGGAGTAAAAGTCTCTCTTGCTAGGCAAAGAAACTGGTGGCATTTTGCCTCTGCCCCAGAGATCTGTGGAACTTTGAACTTGAGAGAGATGACTTAAGGTATCCGGTAGAAGAAATTTCTAAGCAGTAAAGCATTCAAGAGGAAGCACAGCATAAAATTCTGGAAATTCTGCAGCCTGACAATGGAATAGAGAAGAAAACCCTATTTTCTGGGGAGAAATTCAAGCCGGCTGCAGAAATTTGCATAAATAATGAGAAGTCGAATGTTAATCACCAAGACAAGGGAAAATGTCTCCAGGGTATGTCAGAGACCTTCACAGCAGCCCCTCCCATCATAGGCCTGGAGGCCTAGGAGAAGGAAAAAAGTGGTTTCCTGGGCCGGGTCCAGCCTCTCAACTGCTGGGTACAACCTTTGGTCTTCGTGCCCTGCATTCCAGCCACTCCAGCTATGGCCACTGCTTCAGAGAATGCAAGCCCCAAACCTTGGCAGCTTCCATGTGATGTTGGGCCTACACGTGCGCAGAAGGCAAGAACTGAGGTTTGGGAACCTCTGCCTAGATTTCAGAAGATGTATGGAAACACCTGGATGTTCAGGCAGATGTTTGCTGCAGGGGTGGAACCCTCTTGGAGAACCTCTACTAGGGCAGTGCGGAAGGGAAATGTGGGGTCGGAGCCCCCACACAGAGTCCCTACTGGGGTACTGCCTAGTGGAGCTGCGAGAAGAGGGCCTCTGTCCTCCAGACCCCAGTATAGTAGATCCACCAACTTGTACCATGTGCCTGGAAAAGCCACAGACACTCAACACCAGCCCATGAAAGCATCCAGGAGAGGGGTTATACCCTGCAAAGCCACAGGGGCAGAGCTGCCCAAGGCTTTGGGAGCCTACCTCTTGCATCAGCACACCCTGGATATGAGACATGAAGTCAAAGGAGATCCTTTTGGCACTTTAAGGTTTAATGACTGCCCTATTGGATTTTGGACTTGCATGGGGCCTGTAGCCCCTTTGTTTTGTCCAAATTGTCCCATTGGGGATGGGTGTATTTACCCAATGCCTGTACTCCTGTTGTATCCAGGAAGTCATTAACTTGCTTTTGATTTTACAGGCTCATAGGTGGAAGGGACTTGCCTTGTCTTACATGAGACTTTGGACTTAGACATTTGAGTTAATGCTGGAATGAGTTAAGACTTTGGTTGTTAAGGGCAGGATTGTGTTTTGAAATGTGAGGACATGAGATCTGGAAGGGGCTGGGGTGGAATGGTATGGTTTGGCTGTGTCCCCACCCAATCTCATCTTGAATTGTAGTTCCCATAATCCCCGCGTATCGTGGGAGGAACCCGATGGGAGGTAACTGAATAAAAGGGGCTGTTACCTCCATGGTGTTTTCGTGATAGTGAGTGAGTTCTCAGGAAATTTGATGGATAAAACCATCAGAAAAGGAGCTTTTCCTCTTTTGCTCGGCATTTCTCCTTGCTGTCACCATGTGAAGAAAGACGTGTTTGCTTCCCCTTCTGCCATGATTTTAAGTTTCCTGAGGCCTCCCCAGCCCTGCAGAACTGCAAGTCAATTAAAATTCTTTCCTTATAAATTACCCAGTCTCAGGTATTTCTTCATAGCAGCATGAGAACAGACTAATACTAATACAAGACTAATATGGATCAGTAAACAAACACTTTCTTCTTTTGGGTGGTAAAGTTGCATATTGTGGGACTATACCATAATTTATAATTTATTTATCTCATACTGTATAAATGGGCACTTAAGAAATTTCCAGTATTTTGCTATTAAAAATTTTGCTGCAAGAACTCAATACACAGGTAATTTCACACACATTTGACAGGGTTTTGAAAAGGATCAAGGCATGGCCAAGGAAAAAAACAGGGCAAGATATAACTGGCAGAGAGAATGACTCAGGCAAAGGCCCAGAGATATAAAATAGAACGTAAGTAGTTCAATATTACTAACATATAAAATCTTAGGTTGGGCTGAGGTGGGCAGATCACCTTAAGTCAGGAGTCTGAGACCAGCCTGGCCAACATGGTGAAACTCCATCTCTACTAAAAATACAAAAATTAGCCAGGCGTGGTGGTGTGTATCTGTAATCCCAGCTACTCGGAAAGCTGAGGCAGGAGAATCACCTAAGCCTGGGAGGTAGAGGCTTCAGTGAGCTGAGACTGCATCACTGCACTCTAGCCTGGGCAACAGAGTGAGCCTCCATCTCAAAAAATAAATAAATAAATAAATCTGAGGTGGGAGAATAGTAGGAGGGGAGAAGGAGAAAAACGATGGAGTGAGATTACTTGGACTCAATCCTGTAATATTTTAATAACAGGCTGAAAGAGATCAGATTTGTGCTTAAAAAAAGACAATTCTATCGAAATAACTTACATTCATACAATGGAATATTATTTAGCAATAAAAAGGAAAAAGTACCAATACATGCCATACCATGGATAAACTTCAAAAACATTATGGTGAGAGTAGCCAGTCAAAAAAGACCACAGATTGCATGATTCCATTTAAATGAATTTCCAGAATAGGCAAATCCACTAACAGAAAGTAGATTAGTGCTTGCCTAGGGCTGGAGAGAGGGAGAAGAGTTAAGGAAAAATGGGAGTGACTAACAGGTATGCAGGTTTCTTTTTTTTTGAGTCAGTGTCTCACTGTCACCCAGGCTGGAGTGCAGTGGCGCAATCTTGGCTCACTGCAATCTCCGCCTCCCGGGTTCATGCGATTCTCCCACCTCAGCCTCCCAAGTAGCTGGGATTACAAGCGCCCGCCACCACACCCAGCTAATTTTTGTACTTTTAGTAGAGACAGGGTTTCACCATGTTGGCCAGGCTGTCTTGAATTCCTGACCTCGGGTGATCCACCCACCTCAGCCACCCAAAGTGCAGAGATTACAGGTGTGAGCCACCATGCCCAGCGGGGGTTTCTTTTTGGGGTGATGACAAAGTTCTAAAATTGTTTGTGGTAATGATTACTTAACTCCATGAATACATTTTAAAAACCACTAAATTGTACATTTTACATGGGTGTTTGTATGATATGTAAATTTATCTCAGCAGAGCTGTTAAAATGAAAAATGACTATTCTGATGGCTGTGTAGTGAATGGATTTGAGAGGACTCAAGATTGGAGGCAGTAGAACCACTTAGGAAATGCAACAATATAGGTGAAAGATGATGAGGGTCTGAATTAAGACACAAGCAGCAGTGACAGAAAGGAAAGATGGATTCAAGAGATATTTGGAAGGTAAGACCAATAGCATTCAGTGATTGACTAGATAAAGGAGTGATGGGAAAAGGGATGAATCCTGAGCTTCTGGTTTGGGCAACAGGATGAGGGACTGTTTTACTATCTATATTTCTACCCATATGAGATAGCAAGTATAAAAAGGGCTGATTTGGGGTAAAAAACTTTTATATCAGATATGTTGAGTTTGAGGTGCCTATAGGACATCAAGATGCAAATGTCTAGTAGATAGCTGTCTTGAGCCACATCAAAGTTAAGAAGAGAAAACTGGGACTGCAGATTTGAGTCATGAGTAAACAGGCTAGTTAAAACAGGCTAGTTGGATGTGATTGCTTGGGGCAAGCATACTAAGTAAGCAAGAAGTGGGCCAAGGATGAAACTCTGGGGAACACTTATATTTTAGGAGCAGGCTAAGAATAAAGATCCAGTGAAGTTGATGGGAAAAGAACAGTCTAATAAGAGAGCTGGAAAACTAGAAGAGAGTAGTTATTACAGCTAAGGGAACAGAGAGTTTCACAAAAAAGGGAGTTTACAGTGATGCAATTGTCAATAGCCAGTTTATGAACTGTTTGCCAGTCCACAAGAAGACTAAAGAGCTTGGACCACAATGTAAATTAACTGCTTCCTTCATTAACAAAATCAAGAAAAAAAAAGAACAGCTGAACAAAACAGTGTATCCTGTGACATAAATGATTGAGGCAGCGCATAACAATACACAACAGAGTGACCAGCAGATATACAGCATTCACTCTTATTTTTGGTGAACAAATGAGACCTTAAAACCTACTGGACTTTTTATAAGCTTGGGAAACTGAAAACAAACAAGGAAAAAAAGAACCTACTGGACTTTAATAAACCCAACATGCCTAATTTTACAATTAGAATTTTCTTTCTTTCTTTTTAAATATAGATGGGGTCTCACTTTGTTGCCTATGCTGGTCTTGAATTCCTGGCCTCTCAAAGTGCTGGAATTATAGGTATGAGCCACCATACCTGGCCCTTAAAATTTTCATGGTGGAACTCTTTTGCACTCTTTGATCAAACTCCTTTGTTTCTTCCACTTCTATTAAAAAAAAAAAAAAACTTTACTGGAGTATGACATATAAAAAGCTGTACATATTTAATGTATACAACCTGAGTTTGGTGACAAGTATATCCCTGTGAAACCATCATCACAATCTACACTATAAACATATCCATCACCTCCAAAAGTTTCCTCCTACCCTAATAAATTTTTCTATTTATCTTCATTTAATATAGTTCCTTTATCCTTAGTTAATAAAGAATGCTAGAGGTCACCCCCTCTCCCCATAAAGTGTTAACTATCTAGAAAGGTCTGCTAATCAAAAACATTTCATTCTTCTCCTCTATCCTGGGAAAAGTATAAAACAGATCAAAGAGGCCAACAATATTTGGTACATTTTACATAACACTTTACACAGATGAGAAGAATGTAGGTTCTAAGCCTATAACTGCTTTACTGAATTTCTCATAGCGGACTTGCAAAAGTTATTCTCTGTGGATTTCTTTTTTCTTGTAAGAAAGCTGATACATTGAAATTTATAAAGCGAAATGTCAAAAGTTCCAGTAAAAAATTATGATTTCTCAGGTATATTTGTCTCTAAATATAAACAGCAAATAAGCAAGCACCTGAATTCCATCTAATCTCTTCATTCTTGTAAAAATAGTAACAGCTGACCCCCTAAGTATGCAGAGAAAGGAAATGTCTGTGTTTGGTGTCAAAAGTTATTGAGCCAACCAAATACAAGAAACCTCTCCCTCCCACAGTTGCAACCACACAAACACAAACTGGTGCAGTGGAAAAAAAATCACTGGGTTAATCAGGTGTTCCAGATCCTAGTTCTGGTACAACATTTAACTAGCTGTGTAACTCTTGGCAAATTTGTTTCCTCATTTATAAAATGAGGAGATGGGGCTGGATGATTACCAAAGAGCTTTCAAGGTGTATCTGTGTTATTAAAATTTCATGGGGGAGTTATTAAGAAAAAATGTTTAATAAGACTCCTTAGGAAGGTAACAGTGAAAAAAAAGTTGAGAATCACTGGTCTAGAAGTGAGAGTATATAGCAGTATCTCATCACCTCAACTCGTTCTAAAAACAAATAAAAGCTTAGTTATTTTCACAAGTTTCTATGTAGGGGCAATCAACATTTTATTGAGCACCTCCTCTCTGTAGTGGACACAGTGATAGATGCCTACGTTGTTTCAAATCCTTTATCTTCACTATTTCACTTAATCCTCACAATTAAGTCAATCATCCTTAATTTACAGATTAGAAGACTGAGGGTCAGATATTACAAATATTTTGTGCAAGGTCTTAAGGCTAAAAGTGACTGCTCGAATAACTAGAATCCAGGTTTGACTCCAAAGCTGATTCTTTCTACTTCACTCTTTTGCTTTTCATTACTATGATATTCACCAAAGTATTACAACTGGTAGACCTGTAATTATGTAAAACACTAAACTTCAACGAGTTTAGTCATCAAAAAGACACTAGATTATTAGGTAATTTTTTTAAAGATCTATCTTAAGTAAACGGGGAGGCTTCTTTGTACAGAAAAGTAGAGTTCAGAAGCCGTGATCCCTGGGATCCGAAAAGACAAAAAACCAGAATCAGCTGAAGGAAGTACTGAGGAATTTTGACATTAGTCTTCGCATATTATGGATTTGCATTCTGGCCGACAAAGATTCTCTAGGCCACCGGTCTCCTCGCTGTTGCAGAATAAACGCTGAGGACCCGCTGCGTCAGCGAGCTGCTCAGCAGAGAAAGGCGAGACCACCAGGGCTTTAGGCCTAGAGAAGCGGAGGCTGTCCTAGGGATCTCAGAGACACCATCACTTTCACTTCCAGCAGCCTCTGGGAAGGCGGTCCCTGTGGGCCTAATCCCTCCCCGGGTCTGTTTACTCACTTTTTTGATATTGGATTTGGAGGCAGGATGAAAGTCTTTCTTGCACATGAAGTTGGCGAAGGATTTCCCCATCTTGGAACTGGAACTAGGGAAAGCAGGGGCTAGATCTGTTAGCAACGTAAACAAACTCAGCCGCCTAACCGGAACTGCGTTTCCAGCAGCAAGGGGGAACTTCCGAGATCAAAGGTGACAGCTTCCGGCAACTGATGCCTCCACTGGCCACTCCTCCCTCCGTCCACCTGTCACTTCGGGTAGCTGGGAGGCCAGGTGAGGGGCGCGCACGGGGGAGGGGCGTGCATAGTTGAGACAGAAACCCGGAAGACCCAACTGTGGCGCGGCACTGCTTGACCGAGGGGCTCCGGAGCCCAGCTGCACCGGCTGCGGTTTGAGCGCCCAGGGCCGGGGTGCGGGGTGGACCGCGGCGGCCCTTCGACCAAAGGTGCTTGAAGCTCGAGCCCATTACTTTCTGTGGACTCTGACTCGAGCTGCAAAAGCTTTTCTGCACTGTTTTTCTCATCTATGTTATGAAGATAATAATTCCGGCCCTAACCGTAGTATGCTTGCGAGAATCCAACAATATGATGTTTCTGAAAGCGCCGGCTGAACTAAGAGCGCGTGAAATAGAATGACAGACAGCTCTGCAAGAACGGAGGCCCTGTCTATTTTGTACCCAGCTGTACGGTACTGGCGCCGAAAGACGTTCAATAAATACTTATTGAATGACGAATACGCGTTAGGAGTTGGTAAAATCTCTCAAGGCTTCACCTCCTCAGTGGGCTAGGTGCAATTCTAACCAGGGGGCAAGTTTCCTTAGCTTTCCCTACGACCCCAGTTAGGCAGCTCAGGTTACTATTGCAGCTTGATGGCCCTTGGGACTCCAGGTTTTTGAGTGGACGTGGCTGCTACTGCAGCAGGTGATCCACCAACCAAGTTCTCTATCAGGGTAATGTTAAGAATAAACCTTGGCCGGGCGCGGTAGCTCACGCCTGTAATCCCAGCACTTTGGGAGGCCAAGGTGGGTGGATCACCTGAGGTCAGGAGTTCAAGACCAGCCTGGCCAACATGGTGAAACCCCGTCTCTACTAAAAACACGAAAAATTAGCCGGGTGTGGTGGCACGCGCCTGTAATCCCAGCTACTCGGGAGGTTGAGGCAGGAGAATCACTTGAACGCGGGAGGCGGAGGTTGCAGTGAGCCAAGACTGCTCCATTGCACTCCAGCCCGGGCAACAAGAGTTAAACTCCATCAAAAAAAAAAAACAAAAAACGAATAAGCCTTTATGAGAAATTTTCTCTCCTACCAAATAATAACAATAACAGCTTTCATGTGAGTATCTACTATGTTCTATGCACTGTGCAAAACACTTTACGTGTTGCCTTATTAAGTTCTCATAACAGCCCATCAAATAGTGTCTTATTTTTCTGATGAGGCAGAAGGCATAGGTAAGAGAGAGATTAAATAGTCTGCCAAAGTTATATAGTGATAGAACTAACTATAAAACACAAATAGAAGGAGATCCAGGACATAAGAGTTGAAATACAGAAAGAAAATAACAGAAGCCATCAAGACATCAGACTTCTCGTCACTGAGGAGAAGAGGAAAACCCTTAAGAGTTTCAGTCTGAAGTTTTTATTTAGTCATTTTCTTTTCTTTTTAAGGAAACATTTATTATATTTAAATTTTGTTTTTAAGTTGCTAGCATCTGCCTGTGTAAAGCCATTTTAAGGTTTTGCCATTATTAAAGGAAAGAAGGAAACTCTGTAAAACAATGTGTCTGTTCTGGCAGCAAAATAAGGACCTTTAGGTGTTCTATTATAAGTGAAGATCTAAGATTTTCCAAGTTACAACTGAAGAGGTAATCTAGATATTAAAGTATATAATTGCGATTTATAAATTAAATATGTGAACTTTCTCCTAGAAATATCAGCAATTTGGAATTATATTGACATATTTTTGTCTGAATCAATGAGTCTGTTTCAAAATTTCAGTCTCATCAGAATTATAATGTGTATTATTTCCCAGCTCAAATAAGACCCCTTCTTCCTTCCTTTGAGGAAGTACTGGGCACGTAAGATTTTTTTCCATAAGACAAGTTCCAGCAAAGAGAATATAAAGATTAGTAAGACATACTCCCAGCCCTCAAGGATCTCATTGTCCAGTAAAGGGATTTATATATACACGAATGTAATGGAATCTAGCCTTTACAACAATAGAGCTAGGTACACGGATTCCCAAATATGGAAATGGTGAAACGAAATTCAGGGAAGACTTTAGGAGAGAAAGGTCTTAGAGAATAAATGTGAACTATACAGTAGAAGAAGGTAGTTCTCATTGCCATTTTCTTACTGAGTTGTAGTACCAGATTGAGTCCCAAGTCATATTCTTACTGATTTTTAGGCTGTAGTATACAAAATTTAAAACTTTAATGAACAGCCAAGCACGGTCACTCATGCCTGTAATCCCAGGGCTTTGGGAGGCAGAAGGGGGAGGATCTCCTGAGCCCAGGAGTTCCAGGCTGCAGTAAGCCCTGATCATACAACTGCACTCCAGCCTGGGTGAAAGAGCTAGACCTTGTCTCCAAAAAATAAAAATAAAAAAATCAAAGCTTTAATGAACATCCTTAATTAGATATGGCAATAATATCCTTTGGTCATTGAGTAAAACTCTTTATTTTTATATACTTAAAAGTGTTCTTTTTATTTTAAAACATCTGTATAATTTTTAGTTAAAAAAAATGGAACCTTTTTCCTGTGACACTTTCGTGGCATTACCTCCAGCAACAGTCGATAACAGGATTATTTTTGGAAAAAATTCAGATAGACTCTATGATGAAGTACAAGAGGTGGTTTATTTTCCTGCTGTAGTTCATGATAACCTGGGAGAACGTCTTAAGGTAGGTGAAATAAATGTTTTGTTAGCAATATGCCTTTTAAAAATATCATAAAGTTATTTCTATACATAGCAATTTGGAAGAAACTGTAGAAGTTAAAATTGAGGAGTTTACATTTGAAAAATAAATGAGTCAGAAATAAACTGTGATCTTTTATTTCAGTGATTCGGAGGACGTTGAAATAACAATAATAAAATTATCCATTGTTTGAATAAATATTTGAATGCTTTCCATATGCAAGCATGTTAGATAGGGCAAGAGATTTAAAGTCAGCTGTCAAGACTCTGTTCCAGGAGCTTAGAGTCTAGTATAGCAATAAGATGTGTATGCATTATACCCCATTATAAAATAGGATGGTTTAAATGCTAAATTTAAGTAACAGTAGCATGCTGTGGCAGCGGAAGAGAATGAACATTTAATTCAGCTTGGAGTTAGCTGGAATTTGATGGACAAAAAGGATTCTGATTCTGAATTGGCTTAGGTTCTACTTGATGTAGAATAGGAAAGTCATCCCAGACTTTAGGAATGACAGTTTTATGACACATCAAAAAAGGTTTATTAGGCCCTATGTTAACACTATCAATATACATTTTATGCAGTCACTTGGTAGTATACACATTAATTAAAGGATCCTTTAAAAACTTATTTTAAAAACCCATTTAATGTGGAACTTAAAATGAGAGCTTCAAATTATGCTATTGTTGCTAATTCATACTTTTTAGATTTTATTTTATTGATATTCTAATATTAAAACATATTAAATATTAGACTTTTTTCTGTATCCTATGCCATATTTTTTTCTTTTGCTAAGACCACTTATTCATCTGTGATACCACTTCCACTTTATTTCTTCATATTTAAATATAGCCTGTCCTGTAAACCAGTGGTTCTCATTCTTTTCATTGCTGTGGGCATACCTAATGGTTGACTTCAAAATGTGATGTGAGATTCCTATGACAAAACTCTTGTATTCGAAGGCTACCATGTGAGTAATTATATCACTAATCAAGAAACACTGGATATTGAGGTTGAGAACTACTTCCTTAAGCTTCAACTCACACATCTACAAAAATGTTTCAAGATATTACAGCTAGAGACCATCTTTCTCCTGAGCTCCAATAGCACCTTGTCTTCACTTCATGACCCTAATACTTTATACTTTATTTTATCTTAATGTAGAAGTTTTAGTTTCTCAAAAGTGAGATCTTTATCTGATTCATCTTTGTAACTAACATATCTCTTGGCAGAATGTTTTATAATAGGAAATGCTCAGCAAATATTTGAATGAATAAATATTTTAGGGTTATTCTGAATATGTTTTAAGGGTAATGCCTTTATTATTGAAAATTTCAATTTACTTATATTTCCTTTACCTCTTTCATAACAGTTTTGTCTTCTGACTGATTTTTTTAAATTCTGGATTTTGATAACTTTTCTGGTTTTGTGGTTCTTGCTATGACTTTTTTTTTTTTTTTTTTACAGTGTACATATATAGAAATTGATCAAGTTCCTGAAACATATGCTGTTGTCCTGAGTCGCCCAGCGTGGTTGTGGGGGGCAGAAATGGGAGCCAATGAGCATGGAGTTTGCATTGGGAATGAAGCTGTATGGGGAAGAGAAGAAGTTTGTGATGAAGAAGCACTATTAGGAATGGACCTTGTCAGGTTATTTTTTGTTACATTTTATACTACAGACCTTGTCTAAATTTATAATTTTTGTGTAACTCTTACTTGTTTTATTTTCCTATTTTTGAGGGGGCTTTGATACTTTGCAGTTTGTGTCAAAATGGTTTAAAGTACCGGCATGCAATTTCATGACTCTCAGTTTTGTTTGGTTTTTTAAAATTAATTAATTTTTATTTTTTTGAGATGAGATCTCACTGTGTCATGCAGGCTGGAGTATAATGGTGTGATCATGGCTCACTGTGCCCTTGAATTCCTGAGCTCAAGCAATCATCCCACCTAAGTCACCCAAGTAGCTTGGATCAAAGGCACGTGCCACCACACCTGGCTAATTTTTAATTAAAAAAAATTTTTTTTTCAGAGACTAGGGTCTTGCTATGTTGCTTATACTTGTCTTGAACTCCTGGCCTCTAGCCATTCTCCTGCCTCAGCTCCTGAGTAACTGGGATTACCAGCACAGGCACCATGCCCAGCTTTCAGATATTATTATTTGGGAGAAGGGAAGAAGTAGGAAATTATAATTCATTGGAAGTACCTAACATACTTTAATCACACCTTAACTAATTCTCACAATAACCTCATGGGCTATCGTGCTCATTTTACAAATGAGATATCTGAGGTTCAGAGATAAAGTAACTTGACAGTGAATTACCAACTTCGAATTTGATAGGTTTGTTTGACTCCAGAAACTTTATTTCCATGATTCCAAACTGACTTCAGAAGGAAAAGTTTTAAAGTTAGATGTCATTTCATCTGTTAACTTGGAAGAAATTTTACTTTGAATCTAAAAAATCTCATGAGCATGAAATTATTTAAAAAAAATAATGGAAATTTATTTTAATATGAGAACTTTATATTTTTGTTTTAGACTTGGCCTTGAAAGAGCTGATACAGCTGAAAAAGCCCTCAATGTCATTGTTGACTTACTAGAAAAATATGGCCAGGGTGGAAATTGCACAGAGGGTAGAATGGTATTTAGCTATCACAACAGTTTCCTGATAGCTGATAGGAATGAAGCCTGGATTCTGGAGACTGCAGGGAAGTACTGGGCAGCAGAAAAAGTACAAGGTATGGACAACTTTTTGTGATTTAACTTGTTTTTGCAATTAATAAAATACACCCTTACCTATAGATATTGCATTTAATTGCTTCCAAGATTAATAATCTAGTGTAATGAAGGGTTGAACTGCAAGGGAAATTTAAAAATTTGAAAGAACAGTGAAAAAGTGCCATAAAGAGCTTTCTTGAAAAAGATAAAAAGGTAGCATTACCTCTGGGAATATGAATTTCATATAACCTGTATATACTTTCTTTGCTGCAGCTCTTGGCCATTTCATAGTACTTTTTCACTTTAATAATCCCTTACAATTTCTTCCCCTTTAAACTTTGGGCTGCACTCCAAAATCTTATGTGTAAGTGTGGAGGTGAGGAAATGGGAGTGGGGTTAGAGACAGGTGTTTGTGAGTTGGTGGTTGAAAAAGCTGTGTTGATACAATAGTAAAACACAAAAGTTTGATATCTTTGAATAAAACAACATTATTTGATTGTTTTAGAATGCTTTGATTTTTCATTCTCATTTTCTTTGTGATCATATATTCCTCTAATTTTTCAAGTGAGGAAAGCCAGAGATGTAAAGTGATTTAAGGTGGTAAATGAAAGACCTAGAATTTAAATCTTTTCATCTTGAATCTCATCACTAGAACATAGCCTTATGTTTAAGCATAATCATGTCCTTCTCGGGTATTTAACTTCTGGACTCCTAGTTTACTAGAGAGATAAGATACACATGTGAAAATGTTAAATGGTGCACGAATGATACAGACACATAGATGATTTGAACATTTAGAGAACAGAAAGGTTATTATCGTGAGCTAGAGGAGTTCAGAAAGGCTTCATGAAGGTAGCCTTGAACTTTGGAGGATTTGGGTGTTATTTTTCAAAACAGGTCATTACCAGTTGTTTTGACGGACATTTTGTTTTATGTTTTGCATATATGTTTATTAATATATAACATTGTAGTTAGACTTTTTCTTTTTGTGATAATTGGCTTGATAATACCATTGAGCACTTTTATTTTATTAAATGTACTACGTGCAAGAGAGAACTGAATAAATACATTTTGTTGAAAAAGTGCCACCTGGCCATCTAAAATGAACACCTTCATTGGGTCTCATTGTCTAGCTGTAGATTAATTTTGCCAATTGTTTTCTCTTTCTATTACTAACTAAGCCCAAGAACTAAATTGTTAAATGATAGGGAATTATTTATTAGATGGAAAATTATTGGCTGGGCATGGTGGCTCATGCCTATAATCCCAGCACTTTGAGAGGCTGAGGCAGGAGGATCACTTCAGCCCAGGAGTGTGAGACCAGCTTGGGCAACACAGTGAGACCTCAATTCTACAAAAAATACGAAAATTAGCTGAGTGTGGTGGTGTGTACCTATAGTTCCAGCTACTCAAGAGGCTGAGGTGGGGAGGATAGCTTGAACCCAGGAGGTCGAGGCTGCAGTGAGCTATTATTATGCCACTGTACTCTAGCCTGGGCGAGAGAGTGAGACCCTGTTGAAAGAAAAGAAAAGAGGGAAGGAGAAGGGGAAAGAAAGAAAAGAAAATTCTTCCATCTGATTCTTTCATGACTTGGATCTGGTTTTTGTAATGAGGGTATCCCAAGTATGACCTCATTAGAGTAATTTCATTGATTTTTACTTGACAGACTGTCATTTCAGCTGTTTTTAAAACATTATCGATTTTTGTTTATCGTGATCTGTTTCATTTAGTATAATCTCTAAGACAGGCTTTTATTTTTTCTATTTTGTATTTTAGTTGAAAACTTTGTTTATAGCTTCATGCCATAATATTTTTGGAAGTCATATATTTTGGTTCTAGACTTATTTATAATTTAAAAAAATTTATAGAAAGGACTACTATCTGGAATATATAAAGAGCAGTCAAAACTCAGTAGTAAAAAAAAAAAAATCCAGTTAGAAAATAGGCAAAAGATATGAAGAGTCATTTCACCCAAAGGGATATACAGATTTGAAATAAGCATGAAATGATGTTCAACATTATTAGCCATTAGGGAAATGCAAAACCCCAAAGAGATTTTACTACACCTCTATCACAGTGACTGAAATAAAGGTAAGAATGTACAGCTAGCCACTCTAGAAAATAGTTTGTCAGTTAAAAAAAAAAAACTAAACATGCAACTACCATACAACTTAGCAACTGTACTCCTGTGCATTTATCCCAGAGAAATAAAAACTTACATACATTTACACAAGAACCTGTACGCAAGTATAGCAGCTTTTTCCATGATGACCAAAAACTAGGAACAATTCAGATATCCTTTACCTTGTGAATAAGTAAGCAAGTTATCATACATTCATACCATGGAATATTACTCACCAATAAAAATAATAAACTATTGATATATACAATAACATAGATGAATCTTTAGCGAATTGTGCTCAGTAAAACCAAAAGCTTACATATTATTCCATTTATATAACATTCTTGAAATTACAGTTATAGAAATGGAGAACAGAATAGCTGTTACCTGAGGTTAATGAAGGATTTGGGGTGGGAGATAAGTAGGTGTGGCTATAAAAGGGCAACATGAGGGATCCTTGTGGTGATGGAAGTATTCTTTATCTTGACTATAGCAATACCAATATTCTGGTTGTGATATTATACTACAGTTTGGCAAGATGTTACCATTGGGGGAAACTGGGTAAAGGGTACACAGTATCTCTCAGTATTATTTTTTTATAACTGCATGTGAATCTATAATTATCTTAAAATCAGTTTAATTTTAAAAGTAATTCATTTATCTTTTTGAATATGTAATAGATGCCCATGGCACAAAATTTAGAAGTCTATATTTATGTTTACATAGTGATTAGGAATCATGATATACAGATACATGCTTTATGTTAAATATGACTTTTCTTCTCCTTTCTCCTCTTCTTCTTTGAAAATAGAGGGAGTTCGTAATATTTCTAATCAACTTTCCATAACAACCAAGATTGCCCGGGAACACCCAGACATGAGAAACTATGCTAAGCGGAAAGGTTGGTGGGATGGTAAAAAGGAGTTTGATTTTGCTGCAGCATATTCCTATCTTGACACAGCCAAGATGATGACTTCATCAGGCAGATACTGTGAGGGCTACAAGCTTCTAAATAAGCACAAAGGTAATTTTATCATATAAATAATATTAGGATGACAAACTACATTTTGTGTAGATGTAATATGGGAATGATAACATCTGTTTTGGGGAATTATAATTAGTAAAAATATTGTTCTATTAAAATGAAAAATATTTATTATAAACCTATTTTTTTTTTATTATACTTTAAGTTTTAGGGTACATGTGCACATTGTGCAGGTTAGTTACATATGTATACATGTGCCATGCTGGTGCACTGCACCCACTAACTCGTCATCTAGCATTAGGTATATCTCCCAATGCTATCCCTCCCCCCTCCCCCCACCCCACCACAGTCCCCAGAGTGTGATATTCCCCTTCCTGTGTCCATGTGATCTCATTGTTCAATTCCCACCTATGAGTGAGAATATGCGGTGTTTGGTTTTTTGTTCTTGCGATAGTTTACTGAGAATGATGATTTCCAATTTCATCCATGTCCCTACAAAGGACACGAACTCATCATTTTTTATGGCTGCATAGTATTCCATGGTGTATATGTGCCACATTTTCTTAATCCAGTCTATCATTGTTGGACATTTGGGTTGGTTCCAAGTCTTTGCTATTGTGAATAATGCCGCAATAAACATACCTGTGCATGTGTCTTTATAGCAGCATGATTTATAGTCATTTGGGTATATACCCAGTAATGGGATGGCTGGGTCAAATGGTATTTCTAGTTCTAGATCCCTGAGGAATTGCCACACTGACTTCCACAATGGTTGAACTAGTTTACAGTCCCACCAACAGTGTAAAAGTGTTCCTATTTCTCCACATCCTCTCCAGCACCTGTTGTTTCCTGACTTTTTAATGATTGCCATTCTAACTGGTGTGAGATGGTATCTCATAGTGGTTTTGATTTGCATTTCTCTGATGGCCAGTGATGATGAGCATTTTTTCATGTGTTTTTTGGCTGCATAAATGTCTTCTTTTGAGAAGTGTCTGTTCATGTCCTTCGCCCACTTTTTGATGGGGTTGTTTGTTTTTTTCTTGTACATTTGTTTGAGTTCATTGTAGATTCTGGATATTAGCCCTTTGTCAGATGAGTAGGTTGCGAAAATTTTCTCCCATTTTGTAGGTTGCCTGTTCACTCTGATGGTAGTTTCTTTTGCTGTGCAGAAGCTCTTTAGTTTAATTAGATCCCATTTGTCAATTTTGTCTTTTGTTGCCATTGCTTTTGGTGTTTTAGACATGAAGTCCTTGCCCATGCCTATGTCCTGAATGGTAATGCCTAGGTTTTCTTCTAGGGTTTTTATGGTTTTAGGTCTAAAGTTTAAGTCTTTAATCCATCTTGAATTGATTTTTGTATAAGGTGTAAGGGAGGGATCCAGTTTCAGCTTCCTACATATGGCTAGCCAGTTTTCCCAGCACCATTTATTAAATAGGGAATCCTTTCCCCATTGCTTGTTTTTCTCAGGTTTGTCAAAGATCAGATAGTTGTAGTTATGTGGTGTTATTTCTGAGGGCTCTGTTCTGTTCCATTGATCTATATCTCTGTTTTGGTACCAGTACCATGCTGTTTTGGTTACTGTAGCCTTGTAGTATAGTTTGAAGTCAGGTAGTGTGATTCCTCCAGCTTTGTTCTTTTGGCTTAGGATTGACTTGGCGATGCGGGCTCTTTTTTGGTTCCATATGAACTTTAAAGTAGTTTTTTCCAATTCTGTGAAGAAAGTCATTGGTAGCTTGATGGGGATGGCATTGAATCTGTAAATTACCTTGGGCAGTATGGCCATTTTCACAATATTGATTCTTCCTACCCATAAGCATGGAATGTTCTTCCATTTGTTTGTATCCTCTTTTATTTCTTTGAGCAGTGGTTTGTAGTTCTCCTTGAAGAGGTCCTTCACATCCCTTGTAAGTTGGATTCCTAGGTATTTTATTCTCTTTGAAGCAATTGTGAATGGGAGTTCACTCATGATTTGGCTCTCTGTTTGTCTGTTATTGGTGTATAGGAATGCTTGTGATTTGTGCACATTGATTTTGTATCCTGAGACTTTGCTGAAGTTGCTTATCAGCTTAAGGAGATTTTGGGCTGAGACAATGGGGTTTTCTAGATATACAATCATGTCGTCTGCAAACAGGGACAATTTGACTTCCTCTTTTCCTAATTGAATACCCTTTATTTCCTTCTCCTGCCTAATTGCCCTGGCCAGAACTTCCAACACTATGTTGAATAGGAGTGGTCAGAGAGGGCATCCCTGTCTTGTGCCAGTTTTCAAAGGAAATGCTTCCAGTTTTTGCCCATTCAGTATGATATTGGCTGTGGGTTTGTCAGAGATAGCTCTTATCATTTTGAAATATGTCCCATCAATACCTAATTTATTGAGAGGTTTTAGCATGAAGGGTTGTTGAATTTTGTCAAAGGCTTTTTCTGCCTCTATTGAGATAATCATGTGGTTTTTGTCTTTGGCTCTGTTTATATGCTGGATTACATTTATTGATTTGCGTATATTGAACCAGCCTTGCATCCCAGGGATGAAGCCCACTTGATCATGGTGGATAAGCTTTTTGATGTGCTGCTGGATTTGGTTTGACAGTATTTTATTGAGGATTTTTGCATCAATGTTCATCAAGGATATTGGTCTAAAATTCTCTTTTTTGGTTGTGTCTCTGCCCAGCTTTGGTATCAGAATGATGCTGGCCTCATAAAATGAGTTAGGGAGGATTCCCTCTTTTTCTATTGATTGGAATAGTTTCAGAAGGAATGGTACCAGTTCCTCCTTGTACCTCTGGTAGAATTCGGCTGTGAATCCATCTGGTCCTGGACTCTTTTTGGTTGGTAAACTATTGATTATTGCCACAATTTCAGCTCCTGTTATTGGTCTATTCAGAGATTCAACTTCTTCCTAGTTTAGTCTTGGGAGAGTGTATGTGTCGAGGAATTTATCCATTTCTTCTAGATTTTCTAGTTTATTTGCGTAGAGGTGTTTGTAGTATTCTCTGATGGTAGTTTGTATTTCTGTGGGATCGGTGGTGATATCCCCTTTATCATTTTTTATTGTGTCTATTTGATTCTTCTCTCTTTTTTTCTTTATTAGTCTTGCTAGCGGTCTATCAATTTTGTTGATCCTTTCAAAAAACCAGCTCCTGGATTCATTGATTTTTTGAAGGGTTTTTTGTGTCTCTATTTCCTTCAGTTCTGCTCTGATTTTAGTTATTTCTTGCCTTCTGCTAGCTTTTGAATGTGTTTGCTCTTGCTTTTCTAGTTCTTTTAATTGTGATGTTAGGGTGTCAATTTTGGATCTTTCCTGCTTTCTCTTGTGGGCATTTAGTGCTATAAATTTCCCTCTACACACTGCTTTGAATGCGTCCCAGAGATTCTGGTATGTTGTGTCTTTCTTCTCGTTGGTTTCAAAGAACATCTTTATTTCTGCCTTCATTTCGTTATGTACCCAGTAGTCATTCAGGAGCAGGTTGTTCAGTTTCCATGTAGTTGAGCGGCTTTGAGTGGGATTCTTAATCCTGAGTTCTAGTTTGATTGCACTGTGGTCTGAGAGATAGTTTGTTATAATTTCTGTTCTTTTACATTTGCTGAGGAGAGCTTTACTTCCAAGTATGTGGTCAATTTTGGAATAGGTGTGGTGTGGTGCTGAAAAAAATGTATATTCTGTTGATTTGGGGTGGAGAGTTCTGTAGATGTCTATTAGGTCCGCTTGGTGCAGAGCTGAGTTCAATTCCTGGGTATCCTTGTTGACTTTCTGTCTCATTGATCTGTCTAATGTTGACAGTGGGGTGTTAAAGTCTCCCATTATTAATGTGTGGGAGTCTAAGTCTCTTTGTAGGTCACTCAGGACTTGCTTTATGAATCTGGGTGCTCCTGTATTGGGTGCATATATATTTAGGATAGTTAGCTCTTCTTGTTGAATTGATCCCTTTACCATTATGTAATGGCCTTCTTTGTCTCTTTTGATCTTTGTTGGTTTAAAGTCTGTTTTATCAGAGACTAGGATTGCAACCCCTGCCTTTTTTTGTTTTCCATTTGCTTGGTAGATCTTCCTCCATCCTTTTATTTTGAGCCTATGTGTGTCTCTGCACGTGAGATGGGTTTCCTGAATACAGCACACTGATGGATCTTGACTCTATCCAATTTGCCAGTCTGTGTCTTTTAATTGGAGAATTTAGTCCATTTATATTTAAAGTTAATATTGTTATGTGTGAATTTGATCCTGTCATTATGATGATAGCTGGTGATTTTGCTCGTTAGTTGATGCAGTTTCTTCCTAGTCTCGGTGGTCTTTACATTTTGGCATGATTTTGCAGCGGCTGGTACCGGTTGTTCCTTTCCATGTTTAGCGCTTCCTTCAGGAGCTCTTTTAGGGCAGGCCTGGTGGTGACAAAATCGGTCAGCATTTGCTTGTCTGTAAAGTATTTTATTTCTCCTTCACTTATGAAGCTTAGTTTGGCTGGATATGAAATTCTGGGTTGAAAATTCTTTTGTTTAAGAATGTTGAATATTGGCCCCCACTCTCTTCTGGCTTGTAGGGTTTCTGCCGAGAGATCTGCTGTTAGTCTGATGGGCTTCCCTTTGAGGGTAACCCGACCTTTCTCTCTGGCTGCCCTTAACATTTTTTCCTTCATTTCAACTTTGGTGAATCTGACAATTATGTGTCTTGGAGTTGCTCTTCTCGAGGAGTATCTTTGTGGCGTTCTCTGTATTTCCTGAATCTGAACGTTGGCCTGCCTTGCTAGATTGGGGAAGTTCTCCTGGATAATATCCTGCAGAGTGTTTTCCAACTTGGTTCCATTCTCCCCATCACTTTCAGGTACACCAATCAGATGTAGATTTGGTCTTTTCACATAGTCCCATATTTCTTGGAGGCTTTGCTCATTTCTTTTTATTCTTTTTTCTCTAAACTTCCCTTCTCGCTTCATTTCATTCATTTCATCTTCCATTGCTGATACCCTTTCTTCCAGTTGATCGCGTCGGCTCCTGAGGCTTCTGCATTCTTCACGTAGTTCTCGAGCCTTGGTTTTCAGCTCCATCAGCTCCTTTACGCACTTCTCTGTATTGGTTATTCTAGTTATACATTCTTCTAAATTTTTTTCAAAGTTTTTAACTTCTTTGCCTTTGGTTTGAATGTCCTCCCGTAGCTCAGAGTAATTTGATCGTCTGAAGCCTTCTTCTCTCAGCTCGTCAAAGTCATTCTCCATCCAGCTTTGTTCTGTTGCTGGTGAGGAACTGCGTTCCTTTGGAGGAGGAGAGACGCTCTGCGTTTTAGAGTTTCCAGTTTTTCTGTTCTGTTTTTTCCCCATCTTTGTGGTTTTATCTACTTTTGGTCTTTGATGATGGTGATGTACAGATGGGTTTTCGGTGTGGATGTCCTTTCTGTTTGTTAGTTTTCCTTCTAACAGACAGGACCCTCAGCTGCAGGTCTGTTGGAATACCCTGCCGTGTGAGGTGTCAGTGTGCCCCTGCTGGGAGGTGCCTCCCAGTTAGGCTGCTCGGGGGTCAGGGGTCAGGGACCCACTTGAGCAGGCAGTCTGCCGGTTCTCAGATCTCCAGCTGCGTGCTGGGAGAACCACTGCTCTCTTCAAAGCTGTCAGACAGGGACATTTAAGTCTGTAGAGGTTACTGCTGTCTTTTTGTTTGTCTGTGCCCTGCCCCCAGAGGTGGAGCCTACAGAGGCAGGCAGGCCTCCTTGAGCTGTGGTGGGCTCCACCCAGTTCGAGCTTCCCGGCTGCTTTGTTTACCTAAGCAAGCCTGGGCAATGGCGGGTGCCCCTCCCCCAGCCTCGCTGCCGCCTTGCAGTTTGATCTCAGACCGCTGTGCTAGCAATCAGCGAGATTCCGTGGGCGTAGGACCCTCCGAGCCAGGTGTGGGATATAGTCTCGTGGTGCGCCGTTTTTTAAGCCGGTCTGAAAAGCGCAATATTCGGGTGGGAGTGACCCGATTTTCCAGGTGCGTCCGTCACCCCTTTCTTTGACTCGGAAAGGGAACTCCCTGACCCCTTGCGCTTCCCAGGTGAGGCAATGCCTCGCCCTGCTTCGGCTCGCGCACGGTGCGCGCTCCCACTGGCCTGCGCCCACTGTCTGGCACTCCCTAGTGAGATGAACCCGGTACCTCAGATGGAAATGCAGAAATCACCCCTCTTCTGCGTCGCTCACGCTGGGAGCTGTAGACCAGAGCTGTTCCTATTCGGCCATCTTGGCTCCTCCAGAATAAACCTATTTTTTGAGGTAAGTATTATACAATTGTGAGAGGGTCATGATTCTTTTGAAGGTCAAGTTCAGATTTTCAATGCTCAGATGCATTTTTTCAGTTCTTATTAATATTCTTAAAACAAAATTGAGATTACTTTTCTTCTGAGAATTCATTGCAACCTGGAGACAGGCTTCTTTGACTATTGCTGCTGCTGCTGTTATTTATTTTTGGGTAGTACTCTTATCAGTTATTTTCTTGTATATAGAACTTCTGGCCAGAAGACAAACTGAGCAGATATAGGAATTCCCTCTTTCCACTCCAAAACTTGAGAAATGTTGAATAAAATATTTAAACATTCAAGACATATATAGCTAAGTTCAAATACAAGAAGAGAAAATCACCAGGTACCAAAAATGAAGAGAGGGCCCACACAATCCTCCTCATCTCTGTGTCAGTTGGGGGATTCTGGACCAGATATACACCTTAGAGGCTAGAGTGTTAACATCCATGAGAATGTAGGTGTACAGGTGAAAAAGATCCATTTGGGGAGCAGGAACTGGACTCCTTATTACGGCTATGAGTCTGAAAAATGCTACTCCACTCCCTACCCAGAGTTTAGGATGGAACTGAGCTGCCTGCTGCTCCAGGATGTGGATCAATACAGTTTCTTGTGAGAGATTGAACTCTCAGCCACATTTATTTTGTGGGCTCACCTGGAGCTACCTGGTGAGGAACAAACACTGGTTTGTAACCAGTAAACCAGACAAGATCCCAGCATACCTGTATTTCTATACCCACTATATGAATATTTGGTATGACAGATATTTATATTTTACTCAAATTTCCCATCCAAATGGGAAATCTGCTATAATGAATCTACATGTATTTGCCACTGAAAATATTTGTTACATGGGGGTTCAGTTGAAGATGTAGTTTCTACGACTATTATGATAGTTTCTACTGTAATGTCCTCAAGTTCACTTCTCTTTTCTTCTGCATGATTTAATCTGCTGTTAATCTCATCTAGTAATATTTTGATTTGTTATTATAATTTTAATCTCTACAAGTTCCATTGGTTCGTTCTGTATAACTCCCATTTCTCTATTCTTTACTTTCAAGTTTTTAAAAAATCGTTAAGCACGTTTAGCATCTTTATAATAATAATTAGAGTGGCTGGGTTCTGTGGCTCACGTATGTAATCCCAGCACTTTGGAAGGCCAAGGAGGGCAGTTCATTTGAGGTCAGGAGTTCGAGACCACCCTGGCCAATATGGTGAAACCCCGTCTCTACTAAAAATACAAAAATTAGCCAGGTATGGTGCAGGCACCTGTAATCCCAGCTACTTGGGAGGCTGAGGCAGGAGAATCGCTTGAACCTGGGAGGCAGAGGTTGCAATGAGCCGAGATTGCACCACTGCACTCCAGCCTGGGTGTCAGAGCCAGGCTCTGTCTCAAAAAAAATTTTTTTAATTAAAAATTAAATAATTAGAGTATAGTTCATTAACATTTAATGGAAGCTGGTTCTCGTTGCGGGTAAGATGGAATAAGTAAACTCTACTCTGTCTCTCTCTCTCTGAATATAACTAAAAATCTGGAAAGAATGCATGGAACAGCTTTCGGAGGAGTCTTAAAAGTAAAACGGAGCAGTTAGCAGGGCAAAAAAAAAACCAGAAGTCAAAGTAGGAATGATCCAGGAGTGAGTTTCATGGTTGTTGTTGTTCTTGTTTTTCTCATTTCATCCAGCCTTGTGTTAAACAGCATGAATCCCAGAACCGTGTACTGGGTGTCAACAGAAAGAGCTCCAAGAGAAACCTTCTTTTTCTTGTCTGAGGAGAGGGAAGGTGGGCACCAACAAGACATAGCATGGGAGAAATCTCCTGGGAATTTTTTTTTTTTTTCTGCTTTCTTTCTGTCTTGTCCCAGCTCCCAGGCAAACTCCAGTCCTGAATCTGCAATCTTGTGATGGTTATGTGATGAGGGTAGCAGCTGCTGGGAGGCATCTAAAACTCTGAAGGAAGGGAATTCTCTCCCATCTAGAGGAATTGTGGTCCAAATACCACAGGAGAAATTCTGTTGCTTTTTGCCCTCTCTCTGTTTTCCTGCCTCTTGGCTTCAGAGGCAGACCCAGATGTGGGAAGCAGTTGGGCAAAGAAGGGAGACCACCAAGGCTCTGTTGTTCTAGCTAGAGGACCTGGAAGGGGGATCCCTGGAAGCCAGAATGTCAGGGAGAATTGAGGAGCAGAAGTAGCTCAGGAAAGAAATCCCATGAAGTTGTGTAAGAATGCTTGGGCCTACCCTAAGCTGCACATAGGTGTATCTGACCCTAAACAGCATACCAAAGCCTTTGAGAACTAACCTATAGAGTAGACAACTGCTCAGTTTCCATATAGTGCTTTTTTTTTTTTTTTTTTTTTTTTGAGATGGGGTTTCACTCTTGTTGCCCAGGCTGGATTGCAATGGCGCGATCTCAGCTCACCACAACCTCTGCCTCCCCGGGTTCAAGCGATTCTCCTGCCTCAGACTCCCTAGTAGCTGGGATTACAGGCATGTGCCACCACACCCGGCTAATTTTGTAATTTTTTTTAGTAGAGATGGGGTTTCTCCATGTTGGTCAGGCTGGTCTTGAACTCCCGACCTCAGGTGATCCACCCGTCTCGGCCTCCCAAAGTGCTGGGATTACGGGCATGAGCCACCACACCCGGCCGATAGTGCTCTTTTAGGACAGCAAAAGAGCACTGCAAAAAGGTTTTGTAAACAACTGACATGGGAATCTAGTCCACAAAAGATGGCTCAAAACCATGATTTCTGAGGAAATGAACCAGTTCCTTGAAAGCTACAAATCACCAAAATTCACCTAAGAACAAATAGATAATTCTTGTTTTAGCAGCTACTTTAGTTGGTTGTACTCAGCCTGCAAATTCTGTCTCTTGGTTGGCAACTCAAATTTCAGTTTAGCTCTTTTATCCTTAGCTGAGCTGCTTGCAGTCTGCCCCACACATGCTTAATCAGCAATCAGATGGAGATTTGGGCAGTTCTTTTACATAGAATTTGGGAATTCTCCTCTCTGACTCTCTCTTTTATGGGATTGCCCCCTCACTTTTCTTTTTTTTTGTCTTTCCTTTTTTTTTTTTTTTTTTTTTTGAGACAGAGTTTTGCTCTGTTACCCAAGCTGGAGTGCAGTGGTACGATCTTGGCTCACTGCAACCTCCTCCTCCCGGGTTCAAGCAATTCTCTTGTGTCAGCCTCTTGAATAGCTGGGACTACAGGCACATGTCACCATGCCCAGCTAATTTTTGTATTTTTAGTAGAGATGGGGTTTCACCATATTGGTCAGGCTGGTCTCGAACTCCTGACCTCAGATGTTCCACCCACCTAGGCCTCCCAAAGTGCTGGGATTACAGGTGTGAGCCACCGCACCCAGCCTGCCCCCTCACTTCCTACTGCTTGTGGTTGAGGTCTGGTTCTTCAGGCCAGAAAGACCAAAGTTTTCTATTGCTGTCTGCATAGAATGACACAGCATTGACCATGGGCTTCCCTCAAGCTAAAGCCATAACAAAAATAAACTTACCCTATGCTTCATTCTGTCTCCCAACTTTCACCTTTCCTCCAGAATGTTACTTCATTTGTTAATTGTAAAGAGCCTTCAGGTAGTTGTTTTTCTGTATTTTGTCCCAAGTTGATAGTTATCTGCGGGAGGATTGGCCTGATAGGAGCTCACTTAGCCACATTGAAAGTAGAACTCCTTCCCATGCCATTTAATATTCTATGATATTATTTTACTTATAAAAATTAATATATTCACATGATTCAAAATTCTAAAGTACACAAGATTATACAATGAAGTCTCTCTTTCCTACCCTGTCCTGAGATACTTAGTTTTTTTTCCCATATGCAGTTCCTTATGTGTTCTTCCAGAGATGATATATGCTTAATGAAACAAATATGTAATTTTTCTTTTTTTACAGAAATGATAGCATGCTATTTACACTTTTCTCCACATAACTTTAGTTAGCAATATACGATGTAGATCAGTTAGCAATATATGATGTAGATCATTCTGTTTCAATATATACAGAACATTCTCATTTTTTAAAACAGATATGTAGTATCCTATTATTTTGTTATTCCCTTATGGTAGTATTTTAATCATTGTATAATAAAGATTGATTGTATGAATCATACTTTAGCTATCAAATCCCTGTTATTTGGGTTATTTTTAGTTTTTCATTATTGAAATTATATAACATGCTTATAGCTTATTTATATTCATATCCATGACTATTTTCTTTTCTATTTTCTTTTTTTTTTTTTTTTGAGACAGAGTCTTGCTGTGTCCCCCAGGCTGGAATGCAGTGGCACCATCTCAGCTCACTGCAACCTCTGCCTCCTGGATTCCAGCGATTCTCCTGCCTCAGCCTCCCAAGTAGCTGGGATTACAGGTGCCTGCCACCACGCCTGGCTAATTTTTTTATTTTTTGTAGAGATGGGTTTCACCGTGTTGGCCAGGCTGGTCTCTAACTTAACTGACCTCAAATGAGCCGCCCACCTTGGCCTCCCAAAGTGCTGGGATTATAGGCGTGAGCCACTGCACCCAGCCAAGCCACCGCACCCAGCCCCATGACTATTTTCTAAAAATGAGTTTGTAGTAGAATGTCAGGTCAAAGCTTATGTACATTTGAAGGTTTTTGAAACACATTGTTAAATGACCACCAGAAAAGTTACATAAATTTAAATTACTGCCAATAATATTTGAGTACCCATTTTCTAACATGCTTATCAATAGAGGATTTTTTTTCAACCTTTATAAATTTTGTAGGCAAAATGGCATGTAAATATATACACCTACTATGTACCCACAAAGAGAAATAAGAAAAAAAATGGCATGTTACAATTTTAATATTTTTTTTAGTGAAATTAGATATATTCTTACATTTACTGAAAATTTGTAATTGCTTTGTGAGTTGTTTATTAATGTATCCTTTTCCCATTTTCATGTTGGGTTATTACTAACTCTTAAAAAATAACTTCCAATGTATTTTCTCCTTTTGCTTCCAAATAATTCCAGCAAAGTAAGCTTTATTTAGATTACTGAGTGGCAGATAATTGCTAAAAGGGTCATGCTACTAATAAAAATGTGATTAATATACCCTCCTTCACTTGAAGGATAAAATGTTTGTATTAAAAAAATTTTTTTTGAGACAATGTCTCGATCCAATACTCAGGCTGGAGTGCAGTGGCGTAATCTCAGCTCACTGCAACCTCTGCCTCCTGGGTTCAAGCTATTCTCGTGCCTCAACCTCCCAAATAGCTGGGATTCCAGGTGTGCACTACCATGCTAGGCTAATTTTTGTATTTTTTGTAGAGCTAGGGTTTCACCATGTTGTTCAGGGTGGTGTCGAATTCCTGGGCTCAAACCATCTGCCCACCTTGGCCTATCAAAGTGCTGAGATTACAGGTGCGAGCCATTGTGCCTGGCTGGTAAATGGTTCTATAAAGCGGTCAGAAAGCAACTACTCTGAGATGGATCAGTGATTGATATTTGCTTCTCATGTATTCATTAAACAAATTATATGGTAGTTATTATGAGGGTGTGGCCAAAACATTAAGGAATTGATTACAACAGTACAGGATGGCTTGGTCTGGGGTCCAGGGCCACCAAGCAAGGTTATGGAGATCATGCCCTGCACAAGGGGGTAAGTAGGGCTGAAATCCAGCCCCACTATCTGCCCCAAAGAAGAGGCTCCTTTCTCTAATTTTCTTAAAGGTTAGCTAGCCCAGAAATAGCAGTGGTGGCATGGAGTTGGAGCAAAGTGGACAGATTTGGCATATACTTTGGTGGCAGAATGGACAGGACTTAATTAATTAGAGTGAAGGTTAGAGAGAGAAAGATGTCATAAATGAATACCAGGTTTCTGCTGGGAACCAGTGAACAGTTGGAAATGCCATTTGTAGAGATAGGATAGATGGAAGATTTGAGGGTAAAGAGTGTAGTTTTCCATTTTAGAAGAATCAACTACTCTGAGATAATAACCTAACCATCCCAGAGGGATGATTTGCATCTTCCTTTGTCTGAGAGGACAACTCATCCTCTTCCCTTCCTGGGTTTAGAACTTCACCCAAAAGGTGTTGGTGATTGAGGGTGGAGCATAGGGTAGGAGTAGTCTTAGGAGGTGGGCACTCCTATCTACTTGAAAGTCAAGATATTAACTCAGACCTGTAGCAAAAATAGAGTGAGACTCTAGAATAAAGCTGATGCTGTTGGATATTTTCAGTCTTTTATTGACAGGTACACAGGAAGTGGCAAAGGATCTTTTTACGTGAAGTTATGAGTACATTCCCCTGTATATATGTTTCTTTTACTTTTTATTATTAGTGTTGTTTGGTGCTAATACAGCTATTTAAATAAATCCAATCTCAGTATAAAAAAAGGAAAACGTTTGACAGAATATTTATAGAATGCCTTTACATTATTGTTTTCAAAGTAGTTAATATCTTATTTATATTTTAATTTCCAAAAGAACATGTTATAATTTGAAAAGTTTTCTGTAAAGTTTCTTAATGTTATAGTTTAATAAATAGGTTATCTAAACTATCTTTTTCCCCCATGTAGATAGATATGTAGAAAATGCTAAAGCATGTTATACTAAGGATTTTAATTTTAGACTTATTGTAAAAGGAGAGCATCAGGAAAAATAGCTAATGCATGTGGGGCGTAATACCTAGGTGATGGGTTGATAGGTGCAGCAAACCACCATGGCACACGTTTACCCATGTAACAAACCTGCATGTCCTGCACATGTATCCCGGAACTCAAAATTTAAAAAAAGAAAAAAAAAGTAGATCAGGAGTAGCTGTTGCAGCAACACCTACTCCCATTTATTAAGTGCTTTTATCAAGGGCCAGATACTGTGCTAAATGATTTAATTATATTATTCTTTTTTTTTGAGGCAGAGTCTTACACTGTCGACTGGGCTGGAATGCAGTAGCATGATCTCAGCTCACTGCAACCTCTGCCTCCCGGGTTTAAGCGATTCTCCTGCCTCAGCCTCCCAAGTAGCTGGGATTACAGGCACTCACCACCAAGCCCAGCTAATTTTTTGTATTTTTAGTAGAGACAGGGTTTCATTTTGTTGGCCAGGCTGGTGTCAAACTTCTGACCTCATGATCCGCCCACCTCGGCCTCCCAAAGTGCTGGAATTACAGGCGTCAGCCGCCGCACCTGGCCTAATTATATTATTCTCTAAGCAACCATGTGAAATAGATATCTTCATTTTACAAATGAAGAAACCAGCAGTGTTTGTGCTCTTCTCTATGAAACTGAAAAAAATGGACTTTCTTACTTGTCGTATTTTTCTCTCAGCACCTAATTCATTATGTTGTGTGTGCTTAGTAAGTATTGAATAAATTAACAAAGTATTGTTAGTTGATTTGAATTAAATTGTAATTTGCAGATAGCTTAACAAAGATCACTGTTGCATACTTTTTGCTAGTAATAAACTTAAAGGCTCAGGAAATAAATTTAGCAGATATTCTTTAAAAATGAAGAACAACAATGCATAATCAAGATGGAGAGGAAAATGCCAAGAATTCTAAGGTTTAGGGTAATTGGACAAAAGAAAGAAAGAAAAAAGAAATAATTATAAGCCAATTAGCTACTACATCATAATAATAATTCAGTTATATTTAAGAATAACTGAATCATAGATTTGAAATGCATACATGATTATAGGAATAGATGCATCTGACATGAAACTTACTTTTTCTCAAGTGTGAAATATAGTTCATCTAGCTTTCTGTGCTTTGACAAAAGAATATGTCTTTCTAATACTTTCACAGAAAATTGTCTACCAGTACGTTATAGTTAATTTTTCCTATGATTTTTCTAGTTAGAACAGCCTACCTCTCTTCTTTCCAACTATCCCTACCTGATAGCTGTTAACTGTGCTGCATGTATATCCAAATTGAATCTATATTCACTCATATATTTTAAATAACTAGCTTAAATTGCAATGAAATTACACCCTATGTTTTGCATTTATTTTACTGAACCCTGCCACTGCAGTCTCAGTACTTACTCAGTGCTTGCTAGTGGATTACTTATGGCTATCCCACTCAAGTGATCATGTAAATCCTCCTTTCATTTTGAGAATTGTAGGTTTTGAATACAGAAAATATTTTCATAATACCTGTATTATCACAGTATTATGGTTCTGACACTGTTTTTTATTAAAACTTGCCATTTATAGGAATTTGGATTTGAATCATTTTTAAGGCTCACTAGGTGTTGAAACTATGTGCCTGATATATAGGTGTGGATGGCAGGTTTTTGCTTTATTGTTTAGTTTTAATATTAAGGGCTGCTTTTAGGCGCACCTTCTTTACTGTGTTTTTCAAAACTAACAGAAATATATTATTTCTGTAACAAGTTATCTATAAATTCAATAAGTTATTTTTCTTGATTTTGAAGTAATGGCTATATTGTGGAGAAACTGGATAAGAGAATGTAGACTTGTATAAATCTGTTGTCATTAACATAAAATAGTTGGTAGCCTGCATAATTAACTGAGGGCAGAACATTAGATTATTTTATATGGAAGTCAGTTTTAATTTGAAATATTGTGAATTACAATTTGGATACAGGCTTGCTGTGAGCTTTTTCTTTTAATTCCCAATTATGGGAATAGTTGGGGGAGAGATTCTTGCTTTTCATGCTCTCTTTGTTTTTATGAGTTACTTCATTTTTTAATTCTTTTACTGTCATTATAGGGTTTTGAGAGAGAGGAAGGAGATACCTGTGTTTAATCAACCATATTAAATGAAAGTTTTTTTGTTTCTTTAGAACTCATGGAAATACAATAATTAAACATTTCCATATAAAGTATCTAAAAATATCTGTTGGCAGAAACTATGTTTTGTGATTGATTGAGTGATTGACAGGGTCTTGCACTGTCGCCCAGGCTGGAGTGCGGTGGCACGATCATAGTTTACTGTAACCTCAATCTCCTGGGCTTAAACAATCCTCCTGCCTCAGCCTCCTGAGAAGCTGGAACTACAGGCATGCATTACCACACCTGGCTAAATTTTTTTTTTTGGTAATAGACGGCGGACTTGCCATGTTGCCCAGGCTGGTCTCAAACTCCTGGGCTCACAGTATCAAGTGATACTCCTGCCTCAGACTCCCAAACTGGTGGGATTACAGGCATAAGCCAGCTTGCCTGGCCTGTGTTTTTTGTTGTTGTTGTTGTTTTTTAAACTGTACTTGTTACTTGTTACCTGGATTCACCACATTCATTACTGTTATTAAGAAATTGGTACTACTTCAGGATAAAAAGAGACTTATGTATTTAATAAATGGGAGGCATAATAGTGCAGTGGAGTGGTTAAAAAGCACAGGGCTGGTTATGAAGGAGTAACTGGTATTAGACCAACTTCCTTCCAGGAATAGCTATGAGATCTGCAGGGAAAAAACCTCTCTTGTTGGAAGACATGGATGAATACCCAAAAGAGTACACAAAAGAGTAGAGACGAAGGGCCTAGATCCTGAAGGCTGAGAGAAGACTCTACACATTGAGAAGACCTTGACTTTCTGTGTCACAGTTTCTTAACGCAATTGCCAACTTCTAAGCAGCACATAGGTAGGATGAGACACAACACTGAGAAATCAAGCAGAAAGTAGCTGCTAGGAGCCTTAAAAGCTAAGCAGAGATTTTTTTTTGCAGTCTCACAAGGCCTTAGGGACAAAAATTTGACTGGAGGGCCAGCCGAGAAGAAGGTACCTGGGAAATACCCCTAAGCTTTCAATTGAGATCCCAGAAATGCTACTCCTTAGGAAGAGTAAGAACAAACAAGGGATAGACTAGTCTCAACACTGGATCAAGGTAATCTACCTATATTCTATCTGGTTGCCAAAAGAATATTAAATGCTCTGCGAAAGAAAATATCATGCAGAGCCTCTGTAAAATTTCATTCAATGGAAAGTATCAGGCATGCTAAGAAATAAGACCAAATGACTGAAAACCAAGAGAAAAAGTAGATAGTAGAAACTGACCCACAGGCTGTCTACACATTAGCTTTATTGGAAACAGACTTTGAAATTACTATTATATATTCAAAATAATTAGAAGAAAAGATGGAGAATTTCATCAGGGAACTGGAGTCTGTAAAAGAACCAAATGGAAATAATACAACTGAAAAATTATAACTGAAATTAAGAATCCAATAGATTGATTTAACAACAGATTAGGTATAACAGGAGAAAAACATTAGTGAACTGGAGGATCAGTAGAAAAGATTCCAATTCAAACAGAAATAAAAGTTTAGAAAATATAGACAAGGATCTGAGAAGCATGTATAGGACTCAGTGAAAAGGTCTCACATACATAAGATTGGAGACTCAACAGGAAAGGGGAGAGAAAATAGGGAAGGGCAAAAGCAATAGTTGAAGGATACTGGCCAAGAATTTCCCCAAACTGATAAAAGTCATCAAGCAACAGCCTCAAGAAGCTCTGCAAATCCCGAGAAGGACAAATAAGAGGAAGCCACACCTAGGCCCATCATAGTAAGATTTCTGAGGGGGAAAAAAGACAGAAAAATCTGAAACACATCCAGAGGAAAAAAAATATCTTCAAGGAACAAATATAAAGCTGACAGCTAACTTTTCAACAGAAGGGAGGGGATTCTAAAGATTGTAAAATGACAACTTTAAGGTGATGGAGAAAGATAAACTACTAATTTAGAATTGTATATCTAGTGAAAAATATCCTCTAAAAATAGAGGTGAAATAAAACAGAGAATTACTAGCTAATTGGCACTAAAAGAAATGCTAACGGGCATTCTTCAGGCAGATAGAAGCAAGGTACGCAGGAGTAGATGAAGAGCAACAGAAACAGTAAATACATAGGTAAAACTAGACAAACATTGTTGAAAATAATAATAACTTTCTAACCAATGGCCACAGCTGCAGTGCTTAAAGTCTATTGTGCATGGATTTCATGGAGCACTCTATTTTTCACAGGATGCTTTTAGCCAGTGACTGAGAGCAGCAGGGAGACAAAGGCAGGTCCATTCTAGGGATACACAGGACTCCTCTAATGGCTGACTTGGATCAAGGACTCCCTGACAGCCTGGCCCAGCTTTCCTTAGATGGCATGGCAGCCTGGGATACTTCTCCAACTTCTCTTCCTTCTCTACTAAACTCAGACTTCAGATTGTATCATAGTCTGATGATTCTCTGAGGCTTTCCAGGTTCCCTCCCCATTTTCTGTCACAGGCATTTCTCCTAAAATATTTGATCCCATGTTGTGGCATCTGCTTCTCAGAAGACCCAGACGAACACAGTAGAAATTAAAGTGCATTAGAATAGCACAAAAGATAGGCAGTAATTGGAGCTAAGTTCTGTATGGGTCCTGCTTGCGTTAATTGGTAAGTGGTAAAGAGTTAATTTAAGGCCCACTGTAGTAAATCAAGAGAAAGTAATAAGATTTTTTTAAGTGTATAAATAATAAGCTGATGGGAGAACTGGAGTAATAAATAATTGATAAAAAGAAGACAAGAATGGAGAAAAAGAGACAAAGAATAGATGGAATATATAGAAAACTAATAATAAAATGGTCTACTTAAATCCAAATCATCAGTAACTATATTATATTTACTTAATTTTTTCAATTAAAGACAAAAGCCTAGGCACAGTGGCTCATTTCTGTAATCCTGGCACTTTGGGAGGCTGATGGGGGAGGATTGCTTAAGGCCAGGCATTGGAGACCAGCCTGGGCAACATAGCAAGACCCCCATCTCTACAGAAAAATTTTAAAATTAGCAGGCATAGGCTGGGTGCAGTGGCTCACACCTGTAATCCCAGCACTTCGGGAGGCCGAGCTGGGGAGGATCACCTGAGGTCAGGAGTTCAAGACCAGCCTGGCCAACATGGTGAAACCCTGTCTCTACCAAAAATACAAAAATTAGTTGGGCATGGTGACATGCGACTTTAGTCCCAGCTACTTGGGAGGCTGAGGCACGAGAATCACTTGAACCCAGGAGACAGAGATTGCAGTGAGCCAAGATTGCACCACTGCACTCTAGCCTGACAGAACAAGACTCTGTCTCAAAAAAAAAAAAAAAAAATTCTGTAAGGGCAATGGGATTGAATATATTTTTGCGTTATTAATTCCTTTTTCTAGGGATTTTTTTACCTGTTACAATGGCTTTGAGACTTTGCATAGTTTATATTTAAAATAACATACCTTTCCTGTGACAGTGGAATGAATCTAATTGTAGTTGATACAAAGTTTGTTTATAGTCAGTCTCTTAATTTATGTCAAGACTAATATCTCACATATTATCAGTAGAGAAAGCAGTTCATATTTGCAAGGCATCCGTATATGCATATGTATTTGATGATTTTAAAAATTATTTCTCTAGGAAATATAACTTTTGAAACAATGATGGAAATTCTTCGAGATAAACCAAGTGGCATTAATATGGAGGGAGAATTCCTGACCACTGCAAGCATGGTTTCTATTTTACCTCAAGACTCCAGCCTTCCTTGCATTCACTTCTTTACAGGGACTCCTGATCCTGAGAGGTGAAGCCACAAAATACTATAAACCAGCAAGGGGTCAGGGGATGGAGTAGAGTCATTAGTATGTTAATAATTTTGTCAGGATAAATTTTTGTTATACAACTAGGACAATAATTTTTAATATATTTTCTGTTCAGGCTTTAATCTGCAATATCCACAAATGTGTAACTGTTCTCTTTTTATGGGAAGGAAATGTGAATAGTTTCTTGTATGCGTTATCCCTACTCCTTCTTCGTACAAATAGATTTAACATAGTCAAGAAAAGAAAGTAGATAGATTTTCTTACTCACATTTCAGATATGATATTAGATAATTCATAACAGTAAAAATGTTAAATGATGTAGTTGTGCAGGATTTACTTATGCACTTGTATCTAGAAAATACATGTGAAACTTAAAATATCAATAGTTCCAGTTTTATTTAATTATTATTATTACTATTTTGAGACAGAGTCTCGCTCTGTCACCCAGGTTGGAGTGCAATGGCATGATCTCAGCTCACTGCAACCTCTGCCTCCCAAGTTCAAGAGATTCTCATGCCTCAGCCTCCCTAGTAGCTGGGATTACATGCGTGCGCCACCACACCCAGCTAATTTTTTGTATTTTTAGTAGAGACAGGGTTTCACTGTGTTAGCCAGGATGGTCTTGATCTCCTGACTTTGTGATCCGCCCACCTCGGCCTCCCAACATGCTGGGATTACAGGCGTGAGCCACCGCACCCGGCCAAGTCTTCCTTTTTTTTTTTTTTTTTTTTTTTTTTGACACAGGGCCTTGCTCTGTCACCCAGGCTAGAATGGAGTGCAGTGGCACAGTCAGCATGCTGTAGCCTTGAACTCCTGGGCTCGAGTGATCCTCCTGCCTTAGCTTCCCAAATAGCTGGTACTGCAGGTGCATGCCACCATGCCTGGCTAATTTTTAATTTTTTTGTGGAGATGGGGTTCTGGCTATGTTGCCCAAGGCTATTCTTGAACTCCTGGTCTCAAGAGATTCTCCCACCTTGACCTCTGAAAGTGCTGGGATTACAGGCATGAGCCACTGTGCCCAGCATGTGTCCTCCTTTACTGACACTGGCGCTGATGTTCACCCCAAGTCCTAATCCTCTTCTGTAACATTAAAGGTTGTTCTTATCCTCCAACTGTGGAATGTGAAGTAGGAAAGACAAACTATTACTTTGCTGACACTGTTTATGTGCCAGGTCCTCTGTTAGGTTCATGGGAACACAACACTAAATAAAGTATGGTTCCCTGCCCCAAAGGAGATCCCAGTGTCCCCAGGGAAGACAGGCATGGGTATAACTAATGTGACAGGAACAAGTTAGTATGTAGCATCATTAACAGAAACTTCTAATTGAGAGAATCTTAGAAGACTTAGACTAACACTGAATATTTTTATATATTGACATGATAATTTAATAAAGACTCTTTTTTCTAGATCTGTTTTTAAGCCTTTCATATTTGTGCCACATATTTCACAACTATTGGATACCAGTTCACCAACATTTGAACTTGAAGATCTAGTTAAAAAGAAATCACATTTTAAGCCTGACAGAAGACACCCACTCTACCAAAAACATCAACAGGCATTGGAAGTAGTAAATAATAATGAGGTATGCTAGATTATATTCTTTGTTATATCATTAAGTGTAAAGTTAGATTCAATCCGTATTTTGAACTTTGGAGTATCAGCTTTCCTCCCTTCTTATAAGAAATAGTTTTAGGAATAGTTTAGATGCTCAGACTATAGTAGAGCTGTATTATTTTTATCTTTGGTTATGAATACATGTATGTGAATCTTGTAGAGAAACTTAGTACATTAAACATAATAATAATAGCTAACATTTGTTGAACACTTACATAGCACTTTTACATGAATTATTTTATCTAATCTTCACAACCACTTTATGAAATGGGTACTATTTTGATTCCCACTTTGCTGATAAAGTATCTGAGTCTAGGAGAGTTTGAGTAACTTGCTTAGTATATATCCCACACCAAAAATTACAAAGCCTCCAAAGAGCGGTTGACCTGGTTTCTTAACGTAATGTTCTTGATGATACAGACCCAGATTAAAATTAATTGAAAGTGACTTAAAACCCCAGAGACTTAAAATAATAATGAGTTTTAGTTTTTAAAAAGTGATACATCCTCATTATTTTAAAATGTAAGCATTATATAAGAGCAATATATCACTCAAAATCTCTTCTCTAGAAATAAGGATTTATTTTTTTCTGGTATAGATAGATAGGTCATTTTATAATGTCTATACCTATTCAGCTCGCTAAAGAAAAATAATGGATAAGAAGCGAATAGAAAGGCTGCCTAAAGCCATCCATCTGTTGACCCCCTGCAATGAAAGAAAACATTAACCATCTTAAATCTTTTCTCGTCTGTTTCTACCTCCTGGTTTTTCTTGCCTGTAATTCCTTTTACTTTGTCAAGGCATATACATTTACATTCTGTCCACACTGAAACGGATTAAATGAATTTTCCTCCAGGTAATAATTTATTTATTTTTGTCTGCAGTGTTGGCATTGTTTCTATGCCTTTTTTTCTCTCACCTATTTCACTTATGCTCAAAGCAACAAGCTCTGCCAGACTTCTTATTTTTATTTGAAAATTTTTATTTAAATTTTTTATTTTTAAATAAAAATTCTAAAGCTGTAAGTATTTTAGGCTTTACTTAAAAATCATAAGATGTCGATTGACAACTTAAAGTAGTGGAAAGATAATGGAATTTGAGGGAAGAAGAGTAAAAGAGCTGGGTTCTGGTCCTGGCTCTGTAAATAACTACTTTTGTGTGTTAGGGAGAGTCAATCCTATTGGTAGTTTTAATTTACATTTCTTGATTACTAGTAAGATTAAAAGCCTTCTCCTATGTCTATTGGTCATGAGTATTTTATTTTAAATTACTTGTCTATTTTTTCCCTTAGGCTATTTTTCCATTGATTTTGGGTTATTTTTGTTTTTTGGTTTAAATAGGTAAAAATATGTGAATATTAACTGTTTGTAATAAGGCGGAATTTTATCCCAGTTTATTGTTTGACATTTAGCTTTTTTGTCAGACAAAAATTTTAAACTTAGTCAATTATATTTATTAGTCTTTTGCTTTAAGGCACCTTGATTTCATGTTTCAAAAGGCCTGCCTCACCTCAATATAAATATAACTTCTAGCATATATATGTTTTTTAAAAATTTAGTTCTTTAGTCCATCTGGAATTTACTTTTGTGTATTTGATGAAGTAGGGATTTTAACTCTGTTTTCCAAAAAGGTAACAAATTATTCCAATACCATTTATAGACAAAATCCATTTTTTTCCCACTAATATGAAATGTAGTGTTTCCTCAGAAAAAAGCTGCATACAATTTCATACTGAAGTCCATGTTAAGGTTATTTGTTTTGTAGAGTTCTACCCCATAATGGTTCAAATTTTAAAAATTATGCTCACAGGCCGGGCGCGGTGGCTCACGCCTATAATCCCAGCACTTTGGGAGGCCAAGGCGGGTAGATCAACTTAGGTCAGGAGTTTGACACCAGCCTGACCAACATGATGAAACCCCGTCTGTACTAAAACTACAAAAATTAGCCAGGCTTGGTGGCGGGTGCCTGTAATACCAACTACTCGGGAGGCTGAGGCAGGGGAATCGCTTGAACCCAGGAGGCGGAGGTTGCAGTGAGCTGAGACTGTGCTATTGCACTTTAGCCTGGGCGACAGAATGAGACTCCATCTCCAAAACAAAACAAAACAAAACAAAAACAAAAACAAATTATGCTCACTTTCTAGTAACTTTTTATTTATTTATTTATTTTGAGACAGAGTCTCACTCTGTCGTCCAGGCTGGAGTGCCCTGGTGCGATCTCAGCTCACTGCAACCTCCGCCTTCCAGGTTCAAGCGATTCTCCTGCCTCAGCCTCCCGAGTAGCTGGGACTACAGGCGTGCGCCACCACGCCCAGCTAATTTTTGTATTTTTAGTAGAGACGGGGTTTTACCATATTGGCAGGCTGGTCTCGAACTCCTGACCTCGTGATCCACCCGCCATGGCCTCCCAAAGTGCTGGGGTTACAGGCGTGAGCCACTGCGCCTGGCCAAGTTTTTTCTTACATACTTTTTCTTTAGATAAGTACCTTATAACTGATCATGGTGATTCATCAACAATTTAAAAATTACTTCTTTCTGTAAGAATCATAGACCTTTTTTCTCCCTTTATTGAATAAGGATGAAGTCATAGAGGAAATGTCTTCTTTTGGTTGATTTTTTCCTGAACATTATTGTTCTATTGTATTAATCTGATAATATTGGTTTTAAATGTAAAAGATCAAAATTGATAAAAATATTTCAGCCTCAGTTTTCAGCAACCTTCCACATACACAGTTCATATGAGATTTTCTATTGTCCTGTTGTCTTTTAGGTTTTTTACTTATAAACTACTCTTATAATTGTTTTTGTCTTTTCTACTAAAAATAATTTGGTATTCATGCATTAACTCAATCTAGAGCAATGATTTTCCCAAAGAATTTCATTTCATTCTTTCTGTCTCTAAAGAACAAGAAGGGAACCAAACCACAATCAGAAGCCAGCATGAACAAACCTTATTTGTAGAGATGGGTTGAATTTGGTTAGATTTATGTGTATATGTATATGTGTTTATCTTTATATTTTTAATTGTTTAGGAAAAAGCCAAAATAATGTTGGACAACATGAGGAAACTGGAGAAAGAACTATTCAGAGAGATGGAATCAATCCTTCAAAACAAGCATCTTGATGTGGAGAAAATTGTTAATCTCTTTCCTCAGTGTACAAAAGATGAAATTCAAATTTATCAGTCAAATTTATCAGTCAAAGTTAGTTCTTAGTGATCATATGGTCAGCTAATATTAGTTCTTAGTGATCAGTGGTCAGTAATCTTCAAAGTCAGAATCTATCACCTTGGTAAATTATATAAACCTAACTTGAGCAGATCTGATTATTCTTGGATAGTATTCAAGTGGTATCTTGACTATTAAACTACGTATAGTGTTGCTGAAATAGAAAGAAAACAGCATTGGAATTGGATTCATGTATCGTGGGATACAGGTGTTATTTCAGGTGATGTACTTGCATTATTTTCTTTAGCCATAGTAACTTTTTGTCACAATAACTAAGTATTCAATTATATATAAAGAGTGAAACATTAAAATGACGCATGGATTTATATTTATTATAATTATGTAGTACCCTCAAATCATTTTGTCAGTTACATCAAGAAAGCAGATTTTTCTTTAGTCATGAAAAATATCTCAAGTGGTAAGTTGTTTGTGCTTTAGGCAAACATTAACCAGCTCTAACAAGAAAAATGTCTAGATTTACACATTGTCAATACAGTATATTAGTTCTGCAAATGCACTTTTGTTAAACTCAAACATGCTCTTTGTCAAGACTTGGCTAACCAGTGAGCTTGTAGCTCTGATTATCTAGCATTTTTAGGGTCATTCTCCTTAATAGGCTTTTATGTTAATAAGATATATTTTTAGAAGAGCTTGTTTGGGAGATTAGAGAATAAGATAAAAGAACCAAAACCTTAGGATATACTGTTTCTGGGTCTGAAATCTCTCTCATTGTTTACTTCTGTTCACTCAGTGAAAACAGAAACAAGAATGAGGTAGTGGCAATGAAATAGAATTATTAGTATATTATGAACATTATAACATTTTGAACACTATAATGCATTATATATTATGAACTTTTATGAACTTTATACATGAGTAATAGCTTCCTAAAGTTTATAAAACATTGTTTAGGTTACATAAAGATTACCAAGTAAGACTCAAAATTGCAAATATAAACAAAAGAAAAATCCAACTGAAAATAACACTAAGTATTTTTGAGTTCCTAGAATGTCCATTTTGGTATTTGGTTACATTATCATATTTACTAGTCACTATCAGCACAATTAGGTTAATAAAGAAGTGGGTCATTATATTCAAAGAGTGCTCAGGAAGTTATGTGTTCAAAGTTCTCTCATAAATACCATCGTCTGCCTGATACTGCTCTTGTCTAATAGAGGGTTGACATTACAAAAGAAAAGATGTCTGACTCAAGAACTCAGTTGATTCTGTTTGCCTTAAGTTTGGTTCAGTGATAGGCTGTCTTCTAACCCCTATACTCCTCTTCTCTCCTTTAATAGATGAGGAAACTAAGGGCAAACAGTTCGTTACACTTACGGGAATCTTATTTCCCTCTCTAGGGGCAGCATGTTTTCACCTTCTCCTTTGCTGCCACCTTGGCCTAAACTAGCACCGTCTTTTAGCTAGACCATTGCGTTAACTGTTCTCCTACACCCATTTTTGTTCTTTATTTCCACCCACATGAGTCACTGCAGCCAATCTATTACAAATTTAAATCTGATTATGAATTCCCCTCCTAAAACTCTTTTTTAAAAGAGACTTTATTTTTTGGAGCAGTTTTAGGTTCACAGCAAAATTGAACAGAAAGTACAGAGTTCCAATACAGCCCCTATCAGCATACATGCATAGCCTCCCCCACTATCAACATCCCAGCACCAGAATGGTACATTTGTTAGAATCAATGGCCCTACATTGACACATTATCACCCAAAGGCCATGGTTCAAGTTAGAGATCACTCTTGATGTAGTACATCCTATGGGCTTTGATAATTATAAAATGACATGTATCCACCATTATAGTATTATACAGAGTAGTTTCACTGCCCTAAAAATCTTCTGTGTTCTGCCTATTTATCCCACCCTCCCTCCAACCCCTGGCAACCACTGATCTTTTTACTGTCTCCATAGTTTTGCCTTTTCCATATGTCATATCATTGGAATCATACAGTATGTGACCTCTTAAGATTGTCTTCTTTAACTTACTTAGTAATATCCATTTAAGGTTCCTGCATGTCTTTTCATGACTTGATAGCTCATTTCTTTTAGTGCTAAGTAATATTCGATTGTCTGAATATACTACTACTGAAGGACATCTTGGTTGCTTCCAAGTTTTGAAAATTATGAATAAACCTGCCGTAGACATCCATGTGAAGGTTTCTGTGTGGACGTGTTTTCAACTAATTTTTTGTAAATACTAAGGAGCACAATTGCTGGATCATGTGGTAAGACTATGTTTAGTTTCCCAAGAAACTGCCAAACTGTCTTCCACAGTGGCTACCATTTTGCATCCCTATCAGCAATGAATAAGAGCTTCTGTTGCCGTATATTCTTGTCAGCATTTATTGTTGTCAGCATTTTGGATTTTGGCCATTCTAATAGGTGTGTAATGGTATCTTGTTTTAATTTACAATTCCCTGATGATATATGGTGTTGGACATTTTCACATGCTTTTATCTGTTTATCTTCTTTGGTGAGTTGTCTGTTCAGATCTTTTGCCCATTGTTTACCTAGGTTGTTAATTTTCTTATTTTTGAGTCTAAAACTTTTTTTTTTTTTTTTGAGACAAAGTCTCATTCTTGTCCCCCAGGCTGGAGTGTGGAGTGCAATGTCGCATTCTCAGCTCACTGCAACCTCTGCCTCCTGGGTTCAGGCGATTCTCCTGCCTCAGCCACCCGAGTAGCTGGGATTAGAGGCGCCTGCCACCACGCCCGGCTAATTTTTGTATTTTTTAGTAAAGACAGGGTTTTACCAGGTTGGCCAGGCTGATCTAGAACTCCTGACCTCAGGTGATCCACCTGCCTTGCCCTCCCAAAGTGCTGGGATTATAGGCGTGAGCCACTGTGCCCAGCCTAAACCTCTTTAAATACCAAAGGGATCCCACTGATCTGCCTCATTTATATCTTATTACACCTTCAACCGTTGTTTTTTAGGTTTCTACTATGCTGCTTTTTCATGTCCTTGAATGTGCCTTCCTCATGGCCGTATTTGTCTGCTTGCACTATTCATTCCATGTGCTCCCTTTTATATAAGTAATACTTGACACCCTTTAGAGTTTTGCTAAAATATGACTTCCTCAGGGGAGTTTTCCTCACACCAGAAGGTCTCTCTAATACTCTTGGAGGCACAGGTGATCCTGGTCACAGGTCAATCATGTTTAACATCTGTTTTTCACAGAATAGAAGCTCCATGCAGATAGGAATCATATTTATTCCCACTGTTGTGTGCTCAGTGTTCAGATTGTGTCTGGCACATGCTAGATGCTCGATACATATTTGTTAAATGAATATTCAAGTACTGATGGGAAGAATTTACACAGCCCTCTTCTCTACCTGTAGAAATGTAAAGTTGAAGAAACTAGCTAGACAATCTATCTGCACAACTTGGTATCCTTTGATAAGTCTCAGGTCAACCTGTCACCTCTTAGATACTGGTATTATTTACCATTACTTAATAAGCCAGGGGAATAATACGAGTATTCTAGACAAGGCTATTTTGTTTGATCTTTGATGAAAACACCAGCTTATATATGTTAATCATGAATCAAAAGTTTTGCTTTAGAAATAACTACATAGCCTAGAATTTTGGAGAGTTAGTTTCTTCTTGTAAAGTGTGCCCAAAACAGGTCTACAGAGCTAATGTTTTCTTTTTCATTAATTATTTCAACCTTTTATCATACCAATTGCAGAAATTTATAATCTCATCTTTTCTTGAAGAATGATGATAACATTTATGATCCTGAACTTTTCTCCAGCCATCACTCATGACAGGACTACCTATGTGCAGTGGCCTAAAGTAATTTAATATTTTACATGATGAGATATGAAGGGGCAAACACTAAGAGCCGCATTCTGCTGCGTAACAAACATATAAAACACTAGTTTCACATTTTTCTTGCTTTAGAAATTTACTGACCATTAATTGTTGTTCTCAAAATGCCAAATACACTTTGTCTTAGTCTAAAAATATTGAAAGCTAAGCACAAGCTAGGCATGGAGTTACTCATTGAGAGTTAAGAAAACAATTGACTATGCTGAAGAAAAAGAGATAGGTTTTAATCAAAATTTTATCATTTTTCTAGCTGTCACTCTACATATTGGAAATGATGAAATGTATGAAAAGGACTCAATGTCATATTGACTCATTCATAAAAGTGTTTATAGAATGCGTAATTGGGAAACCCTGTTTGCAGAGCCCAGAGTCATGAAGAACAGAACTCAGGAAACCCATTTAAGAAAACATTGAGAATGTATAGAAAAGACCTCTATGATGGCTTCTGCATTATTCAGATTACTCAAAGAAAAGATGTCAGTAATGCAAGTTAAAATAGGTATTTTATTGAGAAACTTGCTTTGTCAGTGAGAAAGTTAACAGTTACAAATATTTTCATTTAATAAAATTAGCATATTTTTAATTCTAAAAATGTCTCTTAAAAGCCTTTATTATCTGAAACTGCAGATCATTCTGATCCAGGGTTTTCTTTTAGGGTCTCCCATGGAAAAAGATATTGCAGATTCCATTCATGCAAATAACAGAAGTAGTATGACTTGTTCACAAACAAATTCTCCACTTGAGTTTCAGTTGTCTGCATGCATGTGAATTAACATCTTTATTACTGTAACTAGAAAAATCTCCTGGTAACAGCAATGAGGCCTTAGACTTACCCTTGAGCATTCAGAGTCATAATATGGTCTTATTAAAAAAGGAAAGTTCCGCAGCAAGACAATTCAGCTTAAAAACATCCCCATTCCCTAATCACAACTTAAAATTGGTATAGGTTAATAGTACACTAAAGTATAATTTATTTGTTATTAATAAATATACTAGGCTTCCATGCAGGTTTTTTTTTTTTTTTTTTTGCGATGGAGTCTCACTCTGTCGCCCAGGCTGGAGTGCAGTGGCGCGATCTTGGTTCACTGCAAGCTCCGCCTTCCGGGTTCATGCCATTCTCCTGCCTCAGCCTCCCGAGTAGCTGGGACTATAGGTGCCCACCACCACGTCTGGCTAATTTTTTGTATTTTTAGTAGAGACGGGATTTCACCGCATTAATCAGGGTGGTCTCGATCTCCTGACCTCGTGATCCGCCAGCCTCGACCTCCCAAAGTGCTGGGATTGCAGGTATGAACCACCGCGCCTGGCCCCCATGCAGGTTTTTAAAAAACTGTTTATTTGTTGCATTAAAAGGGCAATGACTCTAACCCTATAAATTATTTTATAAATAACTTTTTTACATGAGACACTTAAAGTATAATTAAATAAATATCTGAAACGTTTAAAATAAGTTAAACTAGCACTGACATCTAATAATTAAGATGCTCAAAGGTCATCTAAATAGATCTCTTTAATTTACTGAAGATAAAGTTTACCTGAAGATGCTATGGTCTAAATGTCTGTGTCCTCCTAGAATTCTTATGTTGAAACCTAATCCTCAATCATGTTTAACATCTGTTTTTCACAGGAGAATAGAAGCTCCATGAGGATAGGAATCATATTTGTTCCAACTGTTGTGTGCTCAGTGTTCAGATTGTGTCTGGAACATGCTAGATGCTCGATAAGTTATTTGTTAAATGAACATTCAAGTACTGATGGGAAGAATTTACACAGCCCCACTTCTCTGCCTGTAGAAATGTAAAGTTGAAGTCACATCCTCAATGTGTTAGTATTAGGAGGTAGGGCCTTTGAGAGGTTATTAGATCATGAGGGTGGAGCCTATTGAGTGGAATTAATGTCCTTATAAGGGGCCAATGAGACCAGTTCTTCCCATCTACCATGTGGGGACACAGCAAGAAGGTACCATCTATGAGCCAGAAATTTGCCTTACCAGACACTAGATCTGTTAGTGCCTTAATCTTGGACTTCACAGCCTCCAAAACTGTGAGAAATAAGTTTATGTTGTTTATAAGCTATCCAGTTTATATTTTGTTTTAGTAGCTAAAATATTAGACTAAGAGAAAAGGCAACATTTAGTAATTTTAAAAATTATATATTTTTATACATGGACACTTTAAAAAGACTAAATTCTAAATGTAATCTTTAGAATTTTTTTTTTTTTTTCTGAGACAGAGTCTCACTCTGACACTCAGGCTGGAGTGCAGTGGCACGATCTCAGCTCACTGCAACCTCTGCCTCCTGGTTTCAAGCAATTTTCCTGCCTCAGCCTCCTGGGTAGCTGGGATTACAGGTGCACACCACCACACCTGGCTAATTTTTTTTTTTTTTTTTTTTTTTAGTAGAGATGGGGTTTCACCACATTGGCCAGGCTGGTCTCGAACTCCTGGGCTGAAGCAATTCACCTGCCTCGGCCTCCCAAAGTGCTGGGATTACAGGTATGAGTCACCATGCCCAGCCTAGGTTTAGAATTTTTAAATATTGGCTTGAACTATATAGTTTTTTTTTTTTTAACTACAGGGAATAAAGTAGAAGTTATCCTGCATTACGATGCTTTGTTCAAACACAGAAATGATACATCATATGGCAATAATTTTGTTGATAAAATTCAAATTAATCTACTCAAATTATTATTTGTAGCATGAAAGTTAAAGATCAGATTGTACTTCTGCAGGACTGTGGAGATAATAATACATATGGAGGTTCTTATTCCTTTCCTTAATGGCATAGATTAGTAATTTGGGTAGAAAAGAAAAGACAAACTTTAAAAAAAAATAGTGCCTCTAGGTTTTTTTTGCTTGTTTTTTGTTTTTGAGACAGGGTCTTGCTCTGTCACCCAGGTTGAAGTGCAGTGATGTGATCTTGGTTCACTGCAACCTGCGCCTCCCAGGCTCAAGGGGTACTCCCACCTCAGTCTCCAAAGTAGCTGGGACTACAGGCATGCACTACCACACCTGGGTATTCTTTTTTCTTTTTCTTTTTCTTTTTTTTTTTTTTTAGTACAGACCGGGTTTCACCACGTTGCCCGGGCTGGTCTTGAACTCCTGACCTCAAGCGATCTGCCCGCCTCAGCCTCCCAAAGTGCTGAGATTACAGGCGTGAGCCACTAAGCCTAGCCCTCTAGTTTTTAAATGAGTACTATTTGTCAAGGAAATGGAAAAAAGAAAAAGAACCTCTTATTAGAATCATTAAAATTCTTTTTCAAGAGATGCTATCAAAAAATATAAAGTTGTCATAATTTAAGGTCCATCTCCTGCTAGTAATACACTTGCCAAATTTGATAATTTATAGGAACAGTTAATAGGATATTAATTTTGAAATTATAGTAAACAGTTGCAGAAAGCAATGATTATATAATGTTGGCATATTCGTATTATTTATAGTACAGTTGACCCTCCATATGCACAGGTTCCACATCCATAGATTCAATCAACCGCAGATAAAAAGATGTAGTCAGGCTTAACAATGGTTGCATCTGTAGTGAACATGTACAGACTGTTTTTCTTATTGTTATTCCCTAAACAATACAGTATAACAACAACTATTTACATAGCATTTACATTGTATTAGGCATTATAAGTATCTAAAGATGATTAAACTATATGGGAGAATGTGCATAGGTTATATGCAAATACTACACCATTTTATTAATTATTTTATTTTATTTTATTTTATTTTTGAGATAGAGTCTTGCTCTGTTGCTCAGGCTGGAGTGCAGTGGCACGATCTCGGCTCACAGCAACCTCTGCCTCCCAGATTCAAGCGATTCTCCTGCCTCAGCCTCCTGAGTAGCTGGGATTACAGGCACCCGCCACCACACCCAACTAATTTTTTGTATTTTATAGTAGAGACGGGGTTTCGCCATGTTGGCCAGGCTGGTCTTGAACTCCTGACCTCAGGTGATCCACCTGACTCGGCCTCCCAAAGTACTGGGATTACAGGCGTGAGCCACCATGCCCGGCCTACACCATTTTATATAAGGGACTTGAGTATCCTCAGATTTTGGGATCTTCAGGAGTCCTGGAACCAATCCCCTTGGATACTAAAGGATGACTATATTATATTCATTATCAGAACTTTAATTTGGTTTTCTCTTTTTCCTAAGTCAGCTTCCTATGTGTTTTACATACATGTAAAATCACAGACCCTGCGCATGTGGTGGGAGCACATCTTTTCACATTTTACAGAAGAGACAACTGAGGCTCAGAGAGGTTGCCTCTGTTAACTTGCCCAAGGTCACCCAGCTAAAAACTAATGAATACGCGGCTAGAATATGATTCCATGTAGGGTTCTCCCCTGCATAATTTAGGTCTTAGGGGAATGTGAGGGTGGGGATGAATGCTCAATTTCTTTATATCTTTCCTGTTGGAGAGTGTTTGCATTAATAGCAGGAGGACTCTGTTCAGGACTCTTTTGAAGAAATCTGTAAAACAAGTACTCATCCCGGAATTCATACTCGTTGGTAATATGTTGGATGACTCCCCCTTGTACCAGCCTGTCTCCGTATATCACAGCTTCACCACGGTCGGAGGCAAGGCCGACTTCAATTAGCCAGCTCACCAGGTCACAGCCACAGAAAGTTCCAGCAGAAGTCTTTGCACCACACCTGTGTCAAAGGAATGATTCACCCATATTTTCTGTAAATCTGGTATCAGCACTGCATGATAGAGGACAAGCAAGAAAAAATAGAAGGAAACAAGGAAAGACAGCATGGTAGTTACAAGCATAGCAGGAAGGAAACTGTTCTGAATAGAAAGGGTTTGTTAACTCTCCTGACCTAGAAAGACCCACTGGAGAAAAAGAAAATATGCCAGTAATGCTTGTGAAAACAGAAATGCTTAAACAATACCAAAAAAAGTCATAGATAATGTAAATGCACTTACAAAGAAATACTTTTTATAGTAGCCTGTTATCAGATCTGTCCTGTAATAGCTGAATATGACATATTTTATAATTTATACTTTTAGTTATACTAAGTAATTTGTGTCAGGAACACTAAATATTTTTCACGAGCTCTTAAGAAGTGATTATTTTCACTATTCAAATCAAACTTTATTTTTAGCTCCATATACATCATGTATACGTATGCACTACATACATCATAGTGCCCCACAAGTAGCCTTTCTTCTTGCCCTCAGCAGGCAAGACAATCCTACTGATATGTTTGTCAGAAATTTGCTTCATTAGGAAGCAAGGAAAGAATAAGTGAGATCTAACTTGCTACAAATCTAAGATTTTTAAAATGTGCTTTGTGAATCTACTTCTTGAATATTTAAAAATCTATCTTCCTGATGCAAATATGGGATGTCTTAAGTATGTACAAATAAACAAAGGATAGAGAGATACAGGGAAAAAAATCCAATTACACGAGTGCTGTACATTTCCACACAAATACACTATAGATAGACAACATGAATCTGTCCACAAGCATCATTCAGGCTACAAAACCTAAAGTGCTTGACGTGGGAAATGGTGGATGAAGATCAAGGTGAAAGGAGAAATAGGTGACAAAAATTTAAAAACATTTCACCATAAATGAATATTCATTAGAGTTTATATAAGAATTAGAAAAAAAGGTTAATACTCATGAAAAGTTTTCTCAAATACATAAAACTACATTATTTTAACATCAGTATTTCATTTAGAGATAAGTTATCTTAATTTATGCCTTGCAACTAGAAACACCACATTCGACAAAAGCCTGGATATTATACTCTGTGTTAGCCTTCTTTTTGCTTGTTGATTTTTTTATTTATGGCCTAACACCTTTTTTTTTTTTTTTTTTTTTTGAGACAAAGTTTCACTCTTGTTGCCCAGGCTGGAGTGCAATGGCACGATCTCAGCTTACCCCACAACCTCCGTCTCCTGGGTTCAAGTGATTCTCTTGCCTCAGCCTCCCGAGTAGATGGGATTACAGGCATGCGCCACCACACCTGGCTAATTTTGTGTTTTTAGTAGAGACGGGATTTCTCCATGTTGGTCAGGCTGGTCTCGAACTCCCGACCTCAGGTGATCTGCCCACCTCAGCCTCCCAAAGTGCTGGGATTACAGGCGTGAGCCACCGTGCCTGGCCTATAGCCTGACACCTTCTATTCCAGACACCAACAGAGTATTTATTTCCTGATGACTGTGATCAGGCAGCTATAATAACAGCCCATGGCTGGGTATGGTGGCTCACGCTTGTAATCCCAGCACTTTTTTTGGGAGGCCGAGGTGGGCAGATCACTTGAGCTCAGGAGTTTGAGACCAGCCTGGCCAACATGGCAAAACTCCATCTCTACTAAAAAAATACAAAAAATTAGCTGGGTATGGTGGCACGCACCTGTAGTTCCAGCTTCTCAGAAGGCTGAGCCCAGGAGATTGGGGCTGCAGTGAGATTGCGCCACTGCACTCCAGCCTGGGCGATGGGAGTAAGACTCTGTCTCAAAGAAACAAACAAAAAAACCAGCCCATGGAGCTGTACAAAGTGGCAGAGAATGTGACACTGTACAGGCTGTAGAGCCTGGAAAGGGGCAGGAAACAGGCTGGCACGCTCCCAGCCAGTGTCCATTCAGCCAAATGGGACTGAGGCAGACTGGCAGCCCTGCAAATTGCAAAAGCTATGCTTCCTTCCCAAGAGCTGGCAATCACACTGGGCCTCAAAGAGCTAACCCGGAGTTCTCTTTTTTAATTTTAAAAAGCAGGGTTATTTTGTGGGTTTTTGTTTGTTTGTTTTTGAGACAGAGTCTTGCTCTGTTGCCCAGCCAGAGTGCAGTGGCGTGATCTCAGCTCATTGCAACCTCCACCTCCCGGGTTCAAGCGATTCTTGTGCTGCAGCCTCCTGAGTAGCTTGAATTACAGGCGCCCGCCAACACACCCGGCTAGTTTTGTATTTTTAGTAGAGACAGGGTTTCACCATGTTGGCCAGGCTGGTCTTGAACTCCTGACCTCAGGTGACCCTCCCACCTTGGCCTCCTAAAGTGCTGGGATTACAGGCATGAGCCAGCACGCCCGGCCCTAAAAAGCAGTTTTAAATTGTCGAAACTATTCATAGATGGCACTTTGAAATAATTGTGCTCAGAAGGGTGAAAAACTAACTTTTCTTCATAGTTTACTGTTGCCAGAAAGTGGGCTATGCCTATCACAGACATTCTGTCATCTAATTCAACAATCCCAAGAATTCGATATTTTAAAGAAGAGGAAAACTAAAATTTAGAGAATTGAACTTGCCCAATGTCACACAGCCAACAAGCGGCAGTTCAGGAGCTGAGTTCTAGTATTAGTCCACACCCACTGCAGCCCCTTTTCCACTCTCCGTACCAGGCTACCTTCTGATTATAATGATATATATGTTAAATACAGTGGCATAATATATGTAAATAAATTATCCTCCATATGAATTTTCATACATTTCATATTTTCAGTTATAGACATAAAAGTATTTGGTTCTTTATATTTTGTTTTGTTTTCTCTTTTATGACAAAGAGAAATACTGGTAGTATAGTATTTATTCAAAGTTCATAATTTCCTGCTGTATACTTCGTTTATAAAAAAATTTTTTTCCTCATCCAAAATTAAAAGAGAACCTGCTATATACTTCATACCTTAAGGATTAGTATAATAAATATTATGTCACAGACTAAAGATTAGAACTTGAAGTGAAACATAAGCAACAAAATTAAGAGGCAGAAATTTCATTTCATTTTCTTGACAAATACATTTGTCAAGAAATGCTGAGGTGGGAATATAACATCACTTCTAAATCCAATGTATCTCAAAGTTTTGTGAGAGACACTACTGGCCAACTTGAAATCAGTGTCAATATTCTATGACATTTTGGTTCACTCTAAACTGAAGTGTTCACATTTTATATGGCAATCAGAAGTTATATGACATTTTTAAAATATTAAAATCAACGTAAATGGTTCTTTTATATGCCATTTCTGAAACTATAAACTCACTCATAATTCCTGTAACTTTTACATGCATATGTAAAAATAATCATGTAATCAGTCACAACCACCTCATTTAGCCTATTACAATCCAAAATTAATCAATTAATCATTTAAAATATAATTGTCTAGAACCTGTACTGGCACTTTGCTTACCTTCTTTCTTTGACAATGTTTCGGATACAGAGGTCACGGTGATAATGGATAAATTGTTGACAGGTCATTTTTATTTCCTCTGAAACAGGAGAATCCCTGTTTTCTGCTGTGTCTTTATTGTTCCATAGGAATTCAAGTCTGAAAATCAAATTTATGGCCATTTTTAAGGACAGAAAAGCACTGAGAGAGAACTCTTCCTGCCTTATCACCCCATCAAAATGGCTGTTCCAAAGCTGTCGATCACCAAAGCTGTCATCTACAATACCCAGACATCGTTAGTCTCAGAAGCAAAAACATTCTACATTCCAGACATCATTAGTCTCAGAAGCAAAAACATTCTACATTCAATTTCCTATTCAAAGCATACTGGGGTGGAAGACTTAATCATTTTATAAACCCTCCAGACATGTTTGATCCATTTCAGGTTCTACTAATAAATGTTCCTTACTCTACATTCTACTGTTTTGAAATGCAAAGATAAATTAGAGATCAAATATTTTGTTTAATCACTTTTCTATTTTAGTACCACAGAGACAAATACCAAAAACTCGTACTCCAAAAACTGGAGTACGAAACAGTTTTGTTTCAGCAAGCCTACACATTAGAATCGTTGATTATTTTACCCAGTCAACAAATGAAGCTGATAACTAAGTTCAATGACTTTCCAATTATGCTTTTCTTCTTTCATGAAATGATTATGAACCTAGCAACTACATCTTGATGATAATGATAAAGATGAAGAAGAAAGAACCATTAGCATTTACTGGGCACTTTTCATAGCGCTGGTGGGATACATTTCTTTAGCACTTCCAGTTTCTACAAATTTTGACTTTGAAAACACAAGAAGTAGAAAGATTTGTCCCGACCTCTTCCTCCTACCCCCACATTGGAGTATTACTACTTGTTATTTTTCATAAAGAAATCCCTGATCTTAATTCAAAGAAACCCTTCACTAAGCTGATAAAAAAACCAACAATTTAGAAAGAAACTTGAGTTTTCCGTAAGCTGTCAGTTTGATAAAAAGAGAAATTGTGTTGTCAAAGGAGACAGACAATCAAATATAGACCATAGGGGCACACCACCTACTACTTCCATTTCCAAAGACATTTTCAAGTTTCATTTAACTTTATGTAATAGTTAATAGCATAGATAGAAATCAATGTCCATCAATTCTTGTTAAAGTGCAAATTACAATGCCAGATTTGTAATAGTTCCTCCAATTTTTTTTTGCAGTTGTTTATAACCTTTGTGTGGCATTTAGTGGTGTCTTCGCAGTTACTAAAGGTTTAAAAACATCACTATCTTTTTTTTAAGCATAATATAGCAAATTTTTATTTGACATTCAAGTGTTGAAATTAAGCATTTTATGTACCATCATTTGGACACTCAAATATATTTTCTTAGGTTTATAATTTAGGCATTAAAAATACGTCCTAGTAAAAGTTTCACCATACAAAGCCTAGGATAGGGGCATCACAGGGCTAATTTTACCAATCAAATTAAAATATATATATATTTAAAAAATTTTTTTTAATTTTTATTTTTATTATTATACTTTAAGTTCTAGGGTACATGTAAAAAACATGCAGGTTTGTTACATATGTATACATGTGCCATGTTGGTGTGCTGCACCCATTAACTCGTCGTTTACATTAGGTATATCTCCTAATGCTATCCCTCCCACCTTACCCTACCCCACGACAGGCCCCGGTGTGTGATGTTCCCCACCGTGTGTCCAAGTGTTCTCATTGTTCAGTTGCCACCTATGAGTGAGAACATGCTGTGTTTGGTTTTCTGTCCTTGCGATAGAAAAACATCAGTATCTTTGTGTGTGTGTGTGTGTGTGTGTGTGTGCGTGTGTGTGTGACAGGATCTTGCTCTGTCGCCCAGGCTGGAGTGCAGTGGCACAATCTTGGCTCACTGCAACCTCTGCCTCCCAGGTTCAAGCCATCCTCCTGCCTCAACCTCCTGAGTAGCTGGGACTACAAAAGCATGCCACCACACCTGGCTAATTTTTGTATTTTTTTTTTTGTAGAGACTAGGTTTCACTATGTTGCCCAGGCTGGTCTTGAACTCCTGAGTTCAAGCAATCTGCCCACCCTGGCCTCCCAAAGTACTGGGATTACAAGTAGCCACCATGCATGGCCCCATATCAGTATCTTAATATAATGGCTTTGTCATCACATTTACAGATACAGATTTATTTCAAAACTTAATTTACCTTCTTTTGAAAGGCAGGATGATTAAATGTTTATCTAATCCAAAGATTCCAAAGGAAATAAATCCCTAGGGAAGAAAACAAAGTTATTTTTTTCAGAATTCAACAATAACATTTTAAAACAGAGAAGTTAAGGAAGTCACCAAATTTAGTGTTTGAGGAGACAAACCTATAGTGACAAGAGCAACATTTTAAGTGGAACACACAAAGTAGGCCCTTCAAAGGCAGGTATGATGCTTTGCTGCCTTTTCCCAATCATTCTATCCCACTCATTGTGATGGGTGATACAAACCAGGGCTGAGCAGCCGCATTTACATGATAGTAAAATGAAAACGTTTAAGGGCATATATGTCTTTGTTTCCCCTTTATAAAAAGAAAATATTTCCCACTGTGCGTAAGTATTTATTATTTTTCCATGAAACCTCACAAATTATATAATTAACAAGTGTTGCAGTATCTAATAATAATGCAGTAATTGAACAGAATTTATGTAAAGTGAAACTGGCTAGTGGTTAGGAGAAGAGTTCAAGGATTTGTGAGTGTCAAGGCAAATGCCTAGCACCAGGTATCAGCCACAGGTTAGGACAATTTAAAGACTCTTTTTGAGAGATAGGAAGTTGGGAGCTGCCATCTGTGTCACACTGGGATAAGGATCTGAGTGCAACTTGATAGAAGTAGAATGGAGAATGCAGAAGGACCCAAATTTCTTCATCCCCCATACTATAAACAGCCAGAAGGGAATGAGCTTACCATACCACCTCCCCAAGAGGAAAATGGGATGGGAATGGGGTTTCTGTCTGTCTTGCTCCATTGAACCACTTCGGCCTTAAGTTGTGGGGCAGCATTTTAAATGCAACATTCCTGGCATTAGCTGCTGTTGATGACACAGCCCTATGGAATGAAGCTCATCCCAGTCCCAGTTCTGGATAGCTCAGCTTAGAATGGGCTTTCTGAATGCAAAATGCTAAGTCAGACTATGATTTTTCAACTCAGTATTTTATAGTTCTTAGATACAAAATCAGATCTTAAACAGTATCACAAAGTGAGATATCAAGTAGGATGCTCATGTCTGTCTGTAATAAACTGATTAAGGTCATTTGTCTCTGTGGGCATAGCCATTTTTGCTCCCATCATAATGGCCAAACTGTAAATATTGTAAGAAATTAATATTAGGAAAAACAGCAACATCTATTGACAAATGTTAACTCATTCATATGGCAAATTATTTTAGATTTAATAGACAAACTCAGTGATTTCAAATGTGTGGGGTTTTTTGTTTTTTGACCTGATACTCAGTCTGTGGACTAATATTCTGTAATGCAAAAGTAAGGGCTGGGTGCGGTGGCCCATGCCCGTTAATACCAGCACTTTGGGAGGCCAAGGCAGGTGGATCACTTGAGGTCAGGAGTTCAAGACCAGCCTGGCCAACATGGTGAAACCTCATCTCTACTGAAAATACAAAAATTAGCTGGGCATGGTAGCAGGTGCCTGTAGTCCTAGCTACTCAGGAGGCTGAGGTAGGAGAACCACCTGAACCCAGGAGGTGGAGGTTGCAGTGAGCTAATGCCAATGCACTCCAGCCTGGATGACAGAATGAGACTCCATCTCAATTAAAAAAAAAAAGTAAGGAGTTAAAGGTCAAAATTTGGAATTTGCACATAAAAAATATTTTCCCAATATGTAAGATGTAATTTATCCTTAAGTATCCATTTTAATAGTGACATAAACATAGACAATAGCACCTATCATATTACTTGTTTATGGAATTTTAGTTTCCTAATTCATAAACTGGGGGTGATAATACTACTTTGCAGGTGTTGTCATGATGTTTAAATGAGATAATGAATGTAAAATGCTTAACGATGGTTGGCACATAGTAGACTATCAAGGAATGGTAACTGCTATCCCTAGCCAAAATTTATTTATATACCACATGATTTTTCTTTTTAAGATTTAAGTATCTATTGTTCAAGAAACATCAAAATGTAAATGAAATGATGTCCACTAATTTAAGGAGATGGCCGGGTGTGGTGGCTCATGCCTGTAATCCCAGCACTTTGGGAGGCTGAGGTGGGTGGATCTCCTGAGGTTGGGAGTTGGAGACTAGCCTGAGCAACTGGAGAAACCCCGTCTCTACTAAAAATACAAAATTAGCCGGGCGTAGTGGTGCATGCCTGTAATCCCAGCTACTCAGGAGGCTGAGACAGGAGAATTGCTTGAACCTGAGAGGCAGAGGTTGCAGTGAGCTGAGATCACGCCATTGCACTCCAGCCTGGGCAACAAGAGCGAAACTCCGTCTCAAAAAAAAAAAAAAAATTTAAGGAGCTAAATTAAAAGTTCAGGGAAATTAAGTTATTTTCCCAAAGTGACCTTTTTTTTTTTTTTTTTTTTTGAGACAGTCTCATCTCACTCTGTCACCCAGGCTGGAGTGCAGTAGCACAGTCTCAGCTCGCTGCAACCTCCACTTCCTGGGTTCAAGTGATTCTTGTGCCTCAGCCTCTGCAGTAGCTTGGATTATCGGCATGGACTACCACGTCTGGCTAATTTTTTTGTATTTTTTTGTAGAGATGGGGTTTCACCATGTTGGCTAGGCTGGTTTTGAACTCCTGGCCTCAAGTGACCTGCCCACCTTGGCCTCCCAAAGTGCTGGGGTTACAGGTGTGAGCCAATGAGCCCGGTCCCAATGTGACTTATTAAGATCACACCAAAGTTACTACCTGGCATTTTTCTGGTGGAAGCACTCAGCGTACATTCTGATGACTTTAACCAATATAATAATTCGTCTCTACTAGAAGACAAGCAGCAGCTGTCAGCTGCCATGCATACCAGCAGCTGGCAAACAAACTAAATCCTTTTTATGTGAAAGAAAACAACATCCTAATCCACTCCCCGCTTCCCCCGACCCCCTACCAATCAACCTATCCAGGAAGACAAAAACCCCTCAAAGTTCTCCATAAATAAATACCTGACCAAAGTTAAACACGGCACAGAAAAACTGTAACTCAACATAAAGTCTTCCAGGCTCTTGGTTGAATAGCCACCATAAACAACTGGAAAGATTCTGTAAAGAAAGGAGAAAAGAGTATTTTAAAATCAAGCAAGCTGATAATTCCTCTCCATCCACAGCATAGTACAATAACTTACCTACTTAATAATTACAGGGAAAAAGACTAGACGGAAAAACACTGAGAGAATATAGAGGCTTTATCTTTTCAATAAGAAAGTTTCAACCTCTCCTCCTGACAGATGTCATTCAAACAGTTATCTATTCTGATCAGATTTGAAGCAAGAAGACATGAGCCATAATACAGAAGCTTACATAATGTATCAAGATTGCCAACTAGCCTAAGACAGGCCTGATTTTAAATTTAGTTCTACACAATGAAAACAATTACATCACTAAGCAATTCTTGGCAGCATTTCTTATTTTTTGATTTTTGTTCTTAAATGGCACTTAAAGTGGTATTGGCTGATATCACACTATCTCACGAGCATCCCAGTGTGCAAAGCGTTCCTTCATAGGTTATCTGGTCCATCTCCTACCTCTGGACGAGTTACACTTGAACCATCTCAAAGAATTATATAATAAGAACTGATAATTCACAAATAGGACATTTAGTAATCAAAGAAATGCATGTAGTCTAAAAATAAAATACTGTATTTTAATTTTCTCTATTTTGTAAGGGTCTATTATATGAAGTAGTTATGTTATTTTGATAATTGAAAATTATTTTTTAAAGTTTATCTGAGGAATATGTTCTGAGAGGTTTTTTGGTTTTCTTTTTTTTTTTCTGGTGGACACTGAGGTTTCATGTTCTGAGACATTAATGTAGGCATTTATCCACTTTGGTCAGTCAGGTATGTTAGGAATAAGTGGCCCTGTGTACATTATTGAAATAGCTGCTTTTGGGCCTGGCGCAGTGGCTCACGCCTGTAATTCCAGCACTTTGGGAGGCTAAGGAGGGTGGATCACCTGAGGTCAGGGGTTCAAGACCAGCCTGACCAACATGATGAAACCCCGTCTCTACTACAAATACAAAAATTAGCCAGGCATGGTGGCATGCGCCTGTAATCCCAACTACTCAGGAGACTGAAGCAGGAGAATCGCTTGAACCCGGGAGGCAGAGGTTGCAGTGAGCTGAGATCATGCCACTTCACTCCAGCCTGGGCAACAGAGTTAGACTCTGTCTCAAAAAAAAAAAAAATAAAAAATAAAAAGAAATAGCTGCTTTTACCAAATTCTAGGTTCAGAGCATAGAATGAATAAATGATTCTAAGCAGAATAAGCTATTGGAGCACTCAGGCCTCAGAGTAATGTGAATGATTCATCTCTTCCCCTCACACCTGCAATTATTTAGCTCAAGATCCAAATTCAGGTGACCTAGCTACCACACTTCTGGAAAGCAGCAACTAAGTTTTTCCCGGATGCCTGAATAAAACCTTTGCCAAAAATTTAAAGAAATGGCCCCAAAACAAAACCAGAAAAAACCATTACAGCGAACAGGCCAATGATGAGAAGTAAACACAGCAACACATGTCGGGTCAGTTGCTGGTCTCCACTCTGTAGATACTGTTCTTCTTCCTGGGCTAATATGCAGCTCTGGGAGTTACAGCGACTCACACAATGATTGTCTATAAAAGAGTAAGCACAACAATTTGTAATCAGAGCTTTTTATCTAAATGCATTTTAAATTTGTAATGACTTCCTAAGAGAAACAACAGAAAAGCACATTCAGCTAAGAATCAGTATATTATTTTAGATGAAATTGGAAGAAAGCTCCTTCATGTTGCTTTAGAAGAATTCTAGCTGAAATGTTTTTATCTCAAAAAACATAAGTAGAATACAATAGTTCCCTTTTACACTATTCAACAATGTTTTATATATATAATTATCTAACATAAGTTATATAATTTGGTCTTTAAAAATTATACATAATTTGCCTGGGTGCGGTGGCTCATGCCTGTAATCCCAGCACTTTGGGATGCCGAGGCAGGCAGATTACTTGAGATTAGGAGTTCAAGACCAGCCTGGCCAACACGGTGAAACCTCATCCCTACTAAAAATACACAAATTAACTGGGTGTGGTGGCGGGCACCCGTAATTCCAGCTACTTGGAAGGCTGAGGCAGGAGAATCGCTTGAACCCAGGAGGCAGAGGTTGTGGTGAGCCAAGACTGCACCACAGAGTAAGACTCTGTCTCAAAAAAAATTAAAAAAAATAATAAAAAATTATATATAATTTTTATATAATTAATATAATTAAGTATAAATTATATATAATTTTTATTTTATATATTAGTTATATAAATAATATATACACATTACATATATAATTATATAACAATTATATATTATGTTATAAATGTATATTATATATCAGTATATATTATAATCATATAAATTTATATATAATTATATATGTAATTTGTGCATATTATATAAATTACAAATTAATATATAAGCATATATAAATAAAAATTTTATATTTAATTATATTTATAATTTACATATATAAATTATATATTAAATATATAATATATATTAGATATTATATATATCCTAAGTGAATTAACACAGGAACAGAAAACCAAGTACTGCATGTGCTTACTTATAAGTGGGAGCTAAATATCAGATACTCATGGACATAAAGATGGCAACAATAGGAACTGGGGACTACTAGAGGTGAGGAGGGAGGAAGGGGGACAAAGGTTGAAAAAGTATATAATATATATTTTTATTTTTATATTGTATATATTAAAATTATATACATATAATTTTAAAGGCCGAATTAATAACTCAAGTTTTATCACTGATAAATCTACATATTAGTCATGAATACCCTATTTTGGCTAACTGTGAAACAAATTATTATTATCTCTTAACCTCTCATTAAAGAGTTTACAATTTGCCTTAACCCCTGCCTTTCACCATATACAAAAATTAACTCAAGATGGACTAAGATTTAAATGTAATGTCTCAGCCAGGCACGGTGGCTCACGCCTGTAATCCTAGCAATTTGGGAGGCTGAGATGGGCGGATCACTTGAGGTCAGGAGTTCAAGACCAGCCTGGCCAACATGGTGAAACCCTGTCTCTACTAAAAATACAAAAATTAGCCAGGCATGGTGGCGGCCGCCTGTAATCCCAGCTATTTGGGAGGCTGAGGCAAGGGAATTGCTTGAACCTGGGAGCAGAGGTTACAGTGAGCCAACATCGTGCCATGGCACTCCAGCATGGGCAACAGAGCAAGACTGTGTCTCAAAAAAAAGTAATGCCTCAAACTATAAGAATCCTAGAAGAAAACCTAGGAAACACCATTCTGGACATCGACCTTTGGGAAGAATTTATGACTCAGTCCTCAAAAGCAATTGTAACAAAAACACTATACTGGGAAGTTTTTTGTTTTTTGTTTTTTGTTTTTTTTTTTTTTTTTTGAGACGGAGTCTCGCTCTGTCGCCCAGGCCGGACTGCGGACTGCAGTGGCGCAATCTCGGCTCACTGCAAGCTCCGCTTCCCGGGTTCACGCCATTCTCCTGCCTCAGCCTCCCGAGTAGCTGGGACTACAGGCACCCGCCACTGCGCCCGGCTAATTTTTTGTATTTTTAGTAGAGACGGGGTTTCACCTTGTTAGCCAGGATGGTCTCGATCTCCTGACCTCATGATCCACCCGCCTCGGCCTCCCAAAGTGCTGGGATTACAGGCGTGAGCCACCGCGCCCGGCCTACTGGGAAGTTTTAAGGTAAAAACAAAAACAAAACCAAAAATTGACAAGTGGGACCTAATTAAACTAAAGAGCTTCTGCATAGCAGAAGAAACTATGAACAGAGTAGACAGACAACCTACAGAATGGGAGAAAATATTCGCACACTATGCATCTAACAAGGCCTAATATCCAGAATCTATAAGGAACTTAAACAATTGAACAAACAAAACACAAATAACTCCATTAAAAAATGCACAAAAGACATGAACAGACACTTCTCAAAGAAGACATACAAGCGGCCAACAAACATGAAAAAATGCTGCACATCACTAATCATCAGAGAAATCAAAACCACAATGAGATACCGTCTTGCATCAGTCAGAAGGGCTATTATTAAAAAATCAATAAACAACAGATGCTGGTGAGGCTGTAGAGAAAAGGGAATGCTTTATACCATTGGTGGGAATGTAAATTAGTTCAGTCACTGTGGAAAGCAGCCTGGAGATTTCTCAAAGAACTTAGAACAGGACTACCATATGACCCAGCAATCCCATTACTGGGTACATATCCAAAAGAAAAAAAATGGTTCTACCAAAAGACTCATGCACTTGCATGTTCATCACAGCACTACTCACAACAGCAAAGCATGGAATCAAACTAGGTGCCCATCGATGGTGGACTGGATAAAGAAAATGTGCTACATATATACCATGGAATACTATGTAGCCATAAAAAGAATGAAATAGGCCAGGCACAGTGGCTCATGCCTGTAGTCCCAGAACTTTGGGAGGACAAGGCGGGCAGATCGCTTGAGCTCAGGAGTTCGAGACCAGCCTGGGCAACATGGCGAAACCCTGTCTCTAAAAAACTAAACAAGTCCGGATGCGGTGGCTCACGCCTGTAATCCTAGCACTTTGGGAGGCTGAGGTGGGCAGATCACCTGAGGTCAGGAGTTTGACACCAGCCTGACCAATATGGTGAAATCCCGTCTCTACTAAAAATATAAAAATTAGCCGGGCATGGTGGCAGGTGCCTGTAGTCCCAGCTACTCGGGAGGCTGAGACAGGAGAATTGCTTGAACCTGGGAGGCGGAGGTTGCAGTGAGCCAAGATCGTGCCACTGCACTCCAGCCTGGACGACAGAGCGAGACTCCATCTCAAAAACAAAACAAAACAAAAATTAGCCAGGCGTGGTTGCACACGTCCGTAGTCCTGGCTACTTGGTAGGCTGAGGTGGGATGATGGCTTGAGCCTAGAAGGCAACAGTTGCAGTGAGCTGTGCACTCCAGCCTGGGTGGCAGAACCAGATCCTGTCTTGAAAAAAAAAAAAAAAGAATGAAATAATGTCCTTTGCAGCAACACGGATGCATCTGGAGGCCATAATCCTAAGTGAATTAACACAGAAACAGAAAACCAAGTGCTGCATGTGCTCACTTATAAGTGGGAACTAAACATCAGATACTCATGGACATAAAGATGGTAATGATGGAAACTGGGGACTACGAGAGGTGGAAAGGAGGGAGAGGGCAAGGGCTAAAAAACTACTGGGTACTATGCTTAGTACCTGGGTGATGGGATCATTTGTTTGTACCCCAAACCTCAGCATCACATAATATACCCAGGTAGCAAAACTGCACACGTACCCACTGAATCTAAAGTAAAAGTTGAAAAAAACTTTGCCTTAGGAAACACCTTTGAGGAACCATAAAAGTATTATATGCCATGTTTTGTTCACATATGGATACAAACACAAGTCACAGGCATGACTCTTTTCTGGCCAAAAATAGAGGTGAGGGACTTTTCACAGGAAGCCTTTGTTTTTCTACCTTAGCTCCATTCTATATATGGGAGCAAAAGCAAAGAAAAACATTTTTTTTACAAAATAGATGTCTAGTCCAACATATAGTCTTATACAAGTCAGTGATTAAAAACCACAATTCTATAGCTCTTGCCCTCAAGCTAAAAGAAAAAATTTGTATTTCCTAAAACCACATTTTAGAAAAGGCCATGTATACCCATTAAACATGGTCTAGCACAATTGCTGATGGCATGGGGGAAGGTTCATAATGTTGCTAAGTATAAAGAAAGTAGGTTGCCAAACTGTCTCTGTAGTATGATCCTATTTGAATAAAAATTATTTGTATATATGTGTGGAAAAATCCTGGAAGTATACCTATATATAATAAATCTGGTTTTAAAATATTGTGTACAAGCCAGGCACGGCAGCTGACGCCTGTAATCCCAGAACTTTGGGAGGCCGAGGTGGGAGGATCACTTGAGATCAGGAGTTTGACACCAGCCTGGCCAACATGGTGAAACCCCGTCTCTACTAAAAATACAAAAAAAAATTAGCTGGGTGTGGTGGCAGGTGCCTGTAATCCCAGCTACTTGGGAGCCTGAGGCAGGAGAATTGCTTGAACCCGGGAGGCAGAGGTTGCAGTGAGCCAAGACTGCGCCACTGCACTCTAGCCTGGATGACAGAGCGAGACTCCATCTCAAAAAAAAAAAAATTTTTTATACAGATATTACAAAAATGGATAAAAATAAATCTTCTTTCATTTGCTTTTTCATACATTGTTGCCATTCAACAATCTAAATGTGATACTTATTTTTGCCTTTGTACTATGCCAAGGGGTAGAGAATAAATTATATTGTCAACTCTAAAAATTCTAATTTGCCCATGGTTTAATTTCCTTCAGGCTTTATTTTAGGCTTAGGGATGGCACTAAATTGTATGATTAGATGAAGTCCCTATATAATGGCTCTCATTCTATATAATTTTTATAAAATATGATCAGAAAATCCAAGCCCCTACAATTTAAGAGAATTTTCAATGATCAACTTTTTGTTTGTTTATTTTTGAGACAGGGTCTTGCTCTGTTGCTCAGACATGATCATGGCCTATTGCAGCTGCAACCTCCTGGGCTCAAGCGATCCTCCCACCCCAGCCTCCTGGGTAGCTGGGATTACAGGCATGAGCCACTGCATTCAGCTAATTTTTTTGATTCTTTGTAGAGATAGGGTCTGGCTATGTTGCCCAGGCTGGTCTTGAACTCCTGGGCTCAAGCACGATCCTCTTGCCTTTGCCTCCCAAAGTGGTGGGATTACAGGAGTGAGCCACCACGCTCAGGCGAGAATCAACATTATTAATGAAGAAAATGACAGATAAGCAAAGCCTAAGGAGATTTGGGGAGGGAAAAAGAAATTTGCCAAATCAGATTACATGTTGAATTTGTTAATGGATTTTACTACTAGGTATATTGTGTAGGGAGATAACAATAAGGAGGAAAACCTTGGGAATTCTGATGTAAAGAAACGATTTTAGAAAAAAAGCAGACAGATAAAACAAAGACAGTGTAACTGCCAGAAAGGGTTTCTTGTAAAAGAAAAAAAAGTCAATGAATGTTTCATATCTGATATGTTTTCACTACTTTTTATGGAAATGTGAATTCTATTATTATTTAAGATTCATTCCTTGCCAGCAGATAGCCAAATATAAATCCCATCTGAATAACAATAATTACTACTGCTACTACATATTTTAATGACCATTTACTATGTATACCACATACTGTGCTAAGTGATTTGCATACATTGTTTTCTATAATCCTTACATTTCTTATATAAAAACATAATGCCTTTAGCAATAATACAGTTGACATAGGCCTTATCAAAAAGAGCATTTTTGGGGGTTTCCCTTTTTAGTTTGATTATAAATAAGTATAATCAACGAAAAATGCACTGCAATTCCACATAAGTATGTTCGGTTGTTTTGAATAATTTGAAATTTAGGCCACAAATGTAATTCAGCCTCTTAGTCAAAAGGTTATTACTTTTTTTTTCCCCCTAGATGGAGTCTTGCTCTGTCACCTAGGTTGCAGTGCAGTGGCGTGATCTTGGCTCACTGCAACCTCCGCCTCCTGTGTTCAAGCAATTCTCCTGCCTCAGCCTCCCAAGTAGCTGGGATTACAGTTGGGTGGGATTACCACCACACCCAACTAATTTTTGTATTTTCAGTAGAGACGGGGTTTCACCATGTTGGCCAGGCTGGTCTCGAACTCCTGACCTTGTGATCCACCCGCCTCGGCCTCCCAAAGTGCTGGGATTACAGGCGTGAGCCACCTTGTCTGGCCAAGAGGTTATTACTTTTAAAGGTGTTTGTTCCTTATTTTATAAGAATGGCCATATTTAAAGCATAAAGATTCAAAATATAATTAAGAACTAATTAATTAGTCCTGGTCCTAGGGGATGAGAATGGGGGAAAAGTCTGTTTCTAAAACAAGAAAAAAGCTTCCCTCTCTCCACCTCCCACCAAAATGCCCTTTAGGGCAAACTTCCTGGATTTGTCACTTGGGTTAAATTTATTGGAAAATGTGTGTATGACACTACCTATTATCACTTTGTGAGAACTTTATTTTTTAAAGTGAGTATTCTGTCTATGCACAATTATTCCCTATTAGCACTTCTTTGCTCTTAATTGAGGATCTATATTCTTGATGTTTGTAACTTCTATAGATATTCTATGTAGAGTTCTTTTGAGGGATAAGAATAAGGAATCTTCTGGCCGGGTGTGGTAGCTCACGCCTGTAATCCCAGCACTTTGGGAGGCCGAGGCAGGCAGATCACGAGGTCAGGAGATCGAGACCATCCTGGCTAACACAGTGAAACTCCGTCTCTACTAAAAATACAAAAAATTAGCTGGGCATGGTGGTGGGCGCCTGTAGTCCCAGCTACTCAGGAGGCTGAGGCAGGAGAATGGCGTGAACCTGGGAGGCACAGCTTGCAGTGAGCCAAGATAGCGCCACTGCACTCCAGCCTGGGTGACAGAGCAAGACTCCGTCTCAAAAAAAAGAAAAAAAAAAAAAAGAATAAGGAATCTTCTGTCCCTTAATCCCATCCTCATAGTCCAGAGGCACTTACTTTTCTCAAACGAAGGAATCACAGGCTCACTGGTGCTTGTGTTTGCTATTGGCTCTATTGATGGGCAGTGTAATTCACCATTTCCCATGGAGCAGGAGCAGCAACCTATATCAATCAAATAGTATGTGAGAGTAGAGCCCAACCACAACAGAAATGGACAATTTTAAGAAATGCCAAAGAAAACAAAACAAAATCCACTCACACACACTTCCCATGTAGCCTCAATAGTTTTCACATGGTATCTATCCAAAAGTATTCAAATGTTCTCACTCATATACAAAATAAAAAAAACTTAATCTCATAGAAGCACTGAATGTGGCCAGGCATGGTAGCTTACACCTGTTGCTTCAGGAGGCTGAGGTGGCAGGATCACTTAAGGCTAGGATTTTGTTTTGTTTTGTTCTGTTTTTTTGTTTTTTGAGGTGGAGTCTCACTCTGTTGCCCAGGCTGGAGTGCAGTGGCGCAATCTCGGCTCACTGCAACCTCCGCCTCCTGGGTTCAAGCGATTGTCCCGCCTCAGCTTCCGAGTAGCTGGGATTACAGGCACCTGCCACCAGGCCCAGCTAATTTTTGAATTTTTAGTAGAGACAGGGTTTCACCATGCTGGCCAGGCTGGTCTAGAACTCCCGACCTCAGGCGATCTGCCCGCCTCGGCCTCCCAAAGTGCTGGGATTACAAGTGTGAGCCACCATGCCCAGCCGAGGCTAGGAACCTAAGATCAGCCTGGGTAATACAGCAAGACTCTGTCTTTACAAAAAGCTTTTTAAAAAATAGCTGGGCATGCTGGCATATGGCTATAGTACAGCTTCTTGGGAGGATGAGGTGGGAGGACTGCTTGAGTCCAGGAGTTTGAGATTACAGGGAGCAGTCACGCTCCAGCCTGGGGAAAGAAGGAAGGAAGGAAGGAAGGAGGGAGGGAAGAAGGGAAGGAGGGAAGGAGGGAGGGAGGGAAGGAAGGGAAAGGAAGGAAAGGAAAGGAAGGGAAGAAAGGGAAGGGAAGGAAGGAAAAGGAAGGAAGGGAGAGGAAGGAAGGGAAAGGAAGGAAAGGGAAGGAAAGGGAAGGAAGGGAAGGGAAGGAAGGGAAAGGAAGGAAAAGAAAGGAAGGAAAAGGAAGGAAGGGAAGGAAGGGAAAGGAAGGAAGAGAAGGAAGGGAAAGGAAGGAAGGATGAGTAGTGGGTACCGGATACTTGGGCAGGTAGGGGGTGGCAGGGATGGGGTCAACAGGTACAAAGTTACATTAGAATAAGTTCTAGTGCCCTATCATACAGTATGGTGGCTATAGTCAACAAAGATACTGTACATCTCAAAATAGAAGAGAGGATTTTGTATGTTCCTACAACAAAGAAATTATACATTTTGAAGTGATAGATATGCTAATTACCCTGATTTGATCATTACACAATGATCTCCAGCCTGGGCAACAGAGCGAGACTCCATCTCAAAAAAATAAAAATAAAAATAACAACAACAACAACAACAAAAACACAAACAAATGACCAAACAGAGAAATTAGTGAGCTTCGGTTTTAAAGGCCCTGAAGAGAAGTGATAACATGAGTGCCGAGTGCTGGACGGACCAAAGAATGGAAGGTTCACTGGGTAGCTCAGGCAGCTGCAGGGAGAGGTGGCAGAATAGGCTCGGAGAGGGAATATGGCTGGCAGTGGAAGGGCTTGGGCACTACGTGCAGCGCTTTGGGCATCACGGGCACTGCAAGGCCCTTGCAGCCTCTGAAGCAGGAGCCTGATGTGGCCAGAACTCCGTGAGGAAGGTTAATTTGGCCATTTCCCTTATAAAACAGACTGGACCAGAGTGACAAGAAACAGGAAGTTCAGTTAGGAGGGAATTACAAGAATCCAGCAGAGAGACTGGAGGCCCAAGTCGGGAGATGGGAGGTCAGGGGGAGGAGGGGGACCCTGCAGAGGGAGAACTCCACGCCCTGAATGGCTAATTCACCTCAAGGGGAAACAGCAGAGATGTTGCTGAGCTGGGAAGTTCTAAAGAATGATGGAACCACTAAAAGAAAGATAATTGTTTGTTTAAAAAGCTCCAGTACCTTTGACAAAGAGAACAAGTGCTGTCCACGTATTCAGAAAGAGACGTAAATAATTTTTTATTTTTTTTTTAGATGAAGTTTCGCTCTGTCACCCAGGCTGGAGTGCAGTGGCACAATCTTGGCTCACTGCAACCTCTGCCTCCCAGGTTCAAGCGATTCTCATGCCTCAGCCTCCCGAGTAGCTGGGTCTACAGGCGTCTGCCACCACAGCCTGGCAAATTCTTGTATTTTTAGTAGAGACGGGGTTTCACCATGTTGGCCAGGCTGGTCTCAAACACCTGACCTCAAGTGATCTGCTTGCCTTGGCTTCCCAAAGTTCTGGGATTACAGGTGTGAGCCACCACGCCTGGCTGAGATATAAATAATATATGTGTAGACAGCAGGAAATCTGGGATTGGATCTGTATAAAGGGGTCAGGTTAGAGATGCAACATTAGGAACAAAGTACAAAGGGTTCACATTAAAGCCATGGGAACTTACCTATTTCCTGTGACCCAGGAATTACCATCCTAGGTATAATTTTTTTTTTTTTTTGAGACAGTGTCTCGCTCCGTTTCCCAGGCCAGAGTGCAGTGGTGCACTCTTGGCTCACTGCAGCCTCTGCTTTCCAGGCTCTGGTGATCCTCCCACCTCAGCCTCCTGAGTAGCTCGGACTACAGGCACATGCTACCATGCCTAGCTAATTTTTTATTTTTTGTAGAGATGGGTTTTGCCATGTTGCCCAGGCTGGTCTCCAACTCCTGAGCTTAGGCAATTCACCTGCCTCAGCCTCCCAAAGTGCTAGAATTACAGGTGTGAAACACTGCACTCAGCAACATCCTAGGTATAATCTTGATGTATCTTGATGTATACTCAAGGAGATGTGAATAAAGCTGTACATTACAGCATTGTTTCTAATAGCAAAATATTTTAAAGCAACTTAATCCATCAATAAGGAAATTAATAAATAAAATTTGGTATATGCATATCATTGATTACATCTACAAAATGAATTCAAAAATATTGAGTGCAAGAAGACAACTACAGTATAAGATTTATATAAAAATGTAAAAGCATATAAAAATACTATATATTGTTGATGGAAAACCACACATATTGTAAAAGTATAGTAAAATTGTGCTCTGGAAGGATACAATCCAAATTCATAATAGTGGTTACTTCTGGAGTTAACAGGAATGAAAGATTCTAACAAACATTCTGACTTTATTGGTAAGTTTTATTTCTTTTAAAAAAGAAAACTGGGCCAGGCGCAGTGGCTCATGCCTGTATTCCCAGCACTTTGGGAGGCTGACGCAGGCAGATCACTTGAGGTCAGAAGTTCGAGACCAGCCTGGCCAACATGGTGAAAACCCACCTCTACTAAAAATACAAAAATTAGCCAGGCATGGTGGCACACACCTGTAGACCCGGCTACTTGGGAAGCTGAAGAGGGAGGATTACTTGAACCCAGGAGGTGGAAGCTGCAGTGTGCCAAGACTGCTCCACTGCGCTCCAGCCTGAGAGACAGAGAAAGACTTTGTTTCAAAAGAAGAGAAGAGAAAGACTTTGTTTCAAAAGAAGAGAAGAAGAGAAGAGAAGCACCATACAATAAATAAGTTAATATATTTGATTACAAATCAAGACACAAAGAAATCTCAGTCCTGATAGGCTTAGGCAAATACTGAAGTCCTGTCTTAGACTTTTTTTGAGACAGAGTCTTGCTCTGTCACCCAGACTGGAATGCAGTGGCACGATCTCAGCTCACTGCAACCTCTGCCTCCCTGGTTCAAGCGATTCTTCTGCCTCAGCCTCTGGAGTAGCTGGGATTACAGGCACCCGCCACCACACCTAGCTAATTTTTGTATTTTTAGTAGAGATGGTGTTTCACCATGTTAGCCAGGCTGATCTCAAACTCCTGACCTTGTGATCCGCCCACCTCAGCCTCCCAAAGTTCTGGGATTAGAGGTGTGAGCCACCGCACCAGGCCTTGACTTTTTTTTTAAAGACAGGATCACGTCTATTGCCCAGGCTGGATTGCTGTGGCGTGACCATGGCTCACTGCAGCTTCGACCTCCTGGGCTCAAGCAATCCTCCTGCCTCAGCCTCCTGAGTAGCTAGGACTACAGGTGTGTACCACCACATCCAGCTAATTTTTTATTTTTTGTAGAGTCAGGGTCTCACTATGTTGCCCAGGCTGGTCTTGAACTCCTGGGCTCAAGCAATCCTTCCAAAGTGCTGGGGTTACAGGTGTGAGCAACCATACCCAGCTTTGTCCTAGACTTTTAAAAGCCAGATGCAAAAATTCAGGATTGGAGAGAAACTGTTCAGTAATGTACTCGGGGTGGGAGGCAGGTTTTTAGTTGCTCATAAATTCAAGATGAAATCATCAGAATAAGTTAATGCAATGTTAGGCAGAATTAAAAGTTTCTTTTCTAAGTAAGGACAGGAATGATTCTCTTATTCTTCACTCAGTCAACAAGCATTCATCAAATATTGAATGCTCACTGTGTCCTAGGACCATGGTAACTGGAATGTTATATTCAGATCTAAGCATCCCATTTTAAGAGGTACACTGAGAAACTAAAATGAATCCTTGGTGTCTCATGCATCTCAAACTTAGAAGGGTCAAATTGAACTCATTATCTTCCCCTACATATTCTGTTCTCTGTGAATTCTTCTTAGGTAATACCCACAATTATACATTCACTTAAACTAGATTTCTGGAAGTTGTTCTCAGTTTCTCTCTTAGCCCTCACCCAGCTTCTAATCAAGTACCAAACCCTGTCAATACAACTTTGCCTGAGTTTGGCCTCTCCTGTTTATCCAATACCTACTGCCTTAGTATAGGCCCCAAAGACTCAACTCTGCCATTATAGCATGAAGGTAGCCATAGATGATATATAAATGAATGAGCATGGCTATGTTTCAATAAAATTATGGACATGAAATTAAAATTTCATGTAGTTTTTAAGAGTCACGAAGTATTTGTCTTCTTTTAATTTTTCTTCAACCCTTTAAAAATGTAAAAAACATTTTTAGGCTGGGTGCAGTGGCTCACACCTGTAATCCCAGCACATTGGGAGGCCGAGGCGGGTGGATCACCTGAGGTCAGGAGTTCTAGACCAGCCTGACCAATATGGTGAAACCCCATCTCTACTAAAAATACAAAAATTAGCCAGGCGTGGTGGCGTGCGACTGTAGTCTCAGCTACTGGGGAGGCTGAGACAGGCGAATTGCTTGAACCCAGGAGGTAGAGGTTACGGTGAGCCAAGGGTACTGCACTCCACCCTGGGTAACAGAGCGAGACTCTGTGGCAAAAATAAATAAATAAACAAACAAAGAAAAAAAACATTTTTAGCTGGTGGACCATACAAAAACAGGTGGTGGGCCAGATTTGGCCTATGGACTATAGTTTGCCCAAAACTGACTTACATCATTAATCTGGCTTTAAACAGGCCTCCTTTAGTTCATATTATTGATGGTGCTTGCCTGATACAATATTGTTAAATTAACTTATGTATGTGCTTCGTTTCCTAGTTAGGGCCTTCCTTCAGTTGTTACTTTTTTCTATATTCTCAGGTCCAGGGAAGTTTTAGGATTTAACAAAAGTGTATACTCACAATAAGACTTATAAACAAAAATCTAATGAATAATTTTACAAGCAAGTTTGTTGACTATGATTCAAATTCTTCATTTGACAAGCACTCATGATATTCAAACTAGTTCAAGGAAGTTTCCCATAAACAAAACATTTAGGATACATGCTATAAAGGCATGTAGCAGTTTCTTTATATTTAAAGATCAGGCTGGCTCATGCCTGTAATCCCAGCACTGTGGGAGGCCGAGGCGGGTGAATCGCCTGAGCTCAGCAGGTCGAGACCAGCCTGGGCAACATGGCGAAACCCCATCTCTACTAAAAATACAAAAATTAGCAGGGCATGGTGGCAGGCACCTGTAGTCCTAGCTACTCTGGAGGCTCAGGTGGCAGAATCGCTTAAACACAGGAGGCGGAGGTTGCAGTGAGCTGAGATCATGCCACTGCACTCCAGCCGGGATGATAGAGCAAGATTCTGTCTCAAATAAATAAAAATAAAATTAAAAAGATCATACTTGTTTCTGGAATAGAGCTTGTAAAAAGTTCTGGTTCATTTACTGGTGCTGGACTCTCCTCAAAAGCAGTATTTCCAGGCTCCACCACTTTGTGGCTCTGAGACTGATCGAAACCTTCATAGCTTCCTGCTTGGGCAGTCTGGTTCATGCACATGAGGGATATGCCAGCTATCAGGATGCTGCAGAACAGGGTGACTGCTGTGGTGATCATCTGCCGACATGAAAAAAAGATATCAGGCCACTTTTCACAACTTCATCTTGATAATCTTAGGGCACATTTTTTTTTTTTTTTTTTTTTTTTGAGATGGAGTCTTGCTCTGTCGCCCAGGCTGGAGTGCAGTGACACAATCTCGGCTCACTGCAACCTCTTCCTCCCAGGTTCACGCCATTCTCCTGCCTCAGCCTCCCAAGTAGCTGGGAATACAGGCGCCCGCCACCACAACCCAGCTAATTTTTTGTATTTTTTAGTAGAGACAGGGTTTCACCGTGTTAGCCAGGATGGTCTCAATCTTCTGATCTCGTGACCCACCCGCCTCGGCCTCCCAAACTGCTGGGATTACAGGTGTAAGCCACCGCACCCAGCCATCTTAGGGCACGTTTTTGATGGACAATATATCTCCACAGTTTTAAATACTCTAGAACAGTAGCTCTTTTAAAAAGGTAAGTGTATATAAGGAATGTAAGTTACTTGGAGAGAAATTAGGGTTTGCTTGTAATTACACAAGGTTTTAGATGCTTCTTTCATGTATAACAATTGGTTACCAACACAGCCACTGGTTTCCTTTACAAGGAATCTAAATGATTTCTCTCCGATGTTTTCTTTACTCCTGTTTCTGCTCACTTCCACGTATAATTCACGCATACTTCAGTCACTAAGATGTTTTTATGGTAATGATATTAAAAATAATTATAGCTAATATTTATTGAGCACTAACCAGATGCCAAGACTACTCTAAATCTTTTATATGTATAATCTTATTTATTCTCACAAAAACACAATAAAATCCAAAATTGCAAAACAGAAAAAAAGAGTAAGAAATCAAAATTATGTGGAGAGGCTTTTTAAAAACACATCTTTGGACTCCACTCCTAAAGAATTCTGCAGGTCCCACAAGCCACCTACTCTATAGCTTTTCAAGAATATTTTTCCTAGATACGTTTTGTCCTGAAATTTATATTTATGATAGGATTAAGAGTCAAGAATTTGACCTTTATTATTACTGCTAACTTATTAAATGGTTTTAAATTAATCACTCTTTTCTCCAGCACAGGAAACACAATTCCTAAGTGTGATTAAGAACATTCAATAAGTTTTAAGCATTTAGAAATCTTCAGCTAAAAATGGACTTAGACATGTAAAATGTTCATGTTCTAGATGAGACAAAGTGATATAGGATCACCAATCTGATATGCAATAAATTGAAATAGATTTTCAAAGTTAATTTTAATATAAGTCTAGCAAGGCACATAACGAGCTAAAAAGAGACATTCTCAAGAACAGAACTGCCAGTAAACTCTTCCCACCTGTTCTTTTCCATAAAAGAAGGCTGAGTCAATGCTATCTCCATTGTGTTTTCCAGTTATCAAAAGAACACCAACAAGGAGAGCAGGAATTCTGTAATCACAAGTGATATTGGGAGAGAAAAAGAAAGGATGAATAGTAACTGTCTATATGGAAAGGTGTAAGCAAACAGAGAACTACCAACTTACCCCCAGCCAGATATTATGATTATTCCAACAGGAATTTGTACCCTCTCTCGCTTTTTCAAAAGAAACAAAGAAATTGCTAGAAGGCCTAAGAATAAGAAGATTGAAAGAGAGACAGTTACTCAACATTGATCAGACTTTATGAAACTTTATTTCCTTTTTATTTTTTTAAACCAAGCTTATTTCATAGTAGTGTGTGGTTTTTGCTTTAGAATTTCTTCCTTCTAAATAAATGCTATCCTCAATATTTTGAAACAAGTTTTAATTCAAAATCATTCATTGTTTCCCTCATATATTGTTTCTTTACTCAATTCTTTTTATCTGTGAGGATTTATTTTATTTTCTCTCTGGTTTTTGTTGTTTGTTTTTTGGATAGGGTCTCACTCTGTTGCCCAGGCTGGAGTGCAGAGGTGTGATCACAGCTCCCTGCAGCCTTGACCTCCAGGGTTCAAGTGATCCTTCCACCTCAGCCTCCTGAGTAGCTGGGACCACAGCCACATGCCACCATGCCTGGCTAAATAAGAATTTTTTTTTGTAGAGACAGAGTCATACTATGTTGCCCTAGCTGGTCTTGAACTCCTGAGCTCAGTGGATCCTCCCACTTCTGCCTCCCAAAGTGCTGGGATTACAGGCATGAGCCACTGCGTCTGGAGAAGTATTTCTCTCCAAAAGCCCTAATCATTTTATTGTTTTGATTCATGTGTTTGGAATCTAAGTATAACTGAAAAACATTTTTTTTTTCTTTAGACAGAGTCTTACTCCGTTGCCCAGGCTGGAGTTCAGTGGCATGATCTTGGTTCACTGCAACCTCTGCCTCCCGGGTTCAAGCAATTTTCATGCCTTAGCCAAACAAGTAGCTGGGATTACAGGTGTGCACCACCATGTCAGGCTAATTTTGTATTTTTAGTAGAGATGGGTTTCACCATGTTGCCCATGCTGGTCTTGAACTGCTGGCCTCAAGTGATCCACCTGCCTTGGCCTCCCAAAGTTCTGGAATTATAGGCATAAGCCATTATGCCCAGCTGAAAAACATTTTTTAATTGAATACAGGACAATTCTAAAAATAAAAACATCCCCCTCTTCTGGTGCTAAGAAGTATGGGCAACTCTTACCCAGGTTATGTTTTTAGAAAACGCCCTAAGTGTAATGATAGCACTTAATACAAACACACTCTGAATTTAATACAAACACAAATGTTTTGAAGTTCTTGAACTTTCCTTACAACTTATATGTAATTATGTATGCAAGTAACATTTTATTTAATAAATTCTACATAGTTATAGGATCTTAGAACTTTAAAGTTGAAAGGGACCTCTATTTTTAAATGAGCACCTTAGATGTGGAAATGAGGGTTTGCCCAAGTCATACAGCCAGCAGAGGGCAGAGTGAGACTAGAAACCTGGCCTTTTGACACAAGCTAAATTCTTTGTTTCTTGAATCAGTTTCTCAAACTCAGATTTGTGGACCCCTAGGGTACCTAAGACATATTCTTCAGGATCTGGGAATTTCTATGAGAAATTTTAAGTCTTTTTTTTTTCTTTCTTTTTTTTTTTTCAGTGGTAGTCAGCTGTGTATCCACCTTGCAACCAACATGCAGTCTCATGATTTCAGAATTTACATTGGGTTTATTTTTATTTTATTTTAGAGATGGGGGTCTCACTTTGTTAACCAGGTTGGGGTACAGTAGCACAATTACTGCTCAAAATTCTGGGCTCAAGGGATCCTCCTGCCTCAGCCTCCTGAGTAGCTGGGACTACAGGCATGTACCAGCATGCAAAGCTAATTTTCAAATTTTTTATAGAGAGAGGGTCTTACTATATTGCCCAGGCTAGTCTCGAACTACTGGCCTCAAGCGATCCTCCTGCCTGGATCTCCCAAAGTGTTGGGATTACAGGCATGAGCCACTGTGCCTGGCCAGAGCTTACAATGGGTTTTATATTAAGTTTGAGTCAAGTGAAGGCCAAATGATATTACAACGCACAGTCCAAATGAAATGGTAGTTTGAAGAAAGAATATCAGTGAGATAACAAGGTCAAAACCCCACATATGGAAGTAAAGGCAAGGCAAAAAAGCCATAGCAGTGAGTTCCATTTTATGTTTCAAGCTATGATTTACATTAGCAAAACAAGATCCTTTGTCATGTTAATTAATGTTGCTAATTAGAATTACTGGGTTTGTAGTTTTGTTTGAATAGAATCTGTGAATTTGCTTTGGTTTTAGAATTGCATATTAGCTGTATATAAAGAATACATACCTAGATTTAAGATTGTCCAGATTAAATAACACTGTGCTAGATTTAATATAAATTGACATTGAGGTCCTTGAGAATTGGTTTTCTTTACCACTTTTCCTCCCTCAATCCATTTGTACACTGTGTAGTTGCAGTGCCAGGGAAACAAGTAACCAATCACAAAAGGGTGCCATCTTTGTTACAGTAGCAAAGGCAGTCTTTAAAATTCTAATGTGCATCACTCCTGCCTTGTGAAAAGAACTATATACAAACAGGCAGAATCCAGCTAGCCCTGGATGTCTCACTGAAGCTGTGAGAGCTCCTGCCTAAATCAGTCTATCTTTTTGGGCCTATTTCTCAGTTTGCAAAATGAAGGATTTAAATTAGACCAGTGTTTCCTAAGGTGTAGAGATTATAGGTGTCACAAAGGTGAAAATGTTTTGACTAGTTATATGTTTATTTTAATGCATATTTGAAAAAAACTAATTAGCAAATGAAACCTGGGATTTTACTGATATAAGGCTCAACTGATTAAAGTTTAAAAAAAGTAAATCAATTTTAAGGAAAAAAGAACAAGTAGTATGCAGATATGGCAAAAATTGTGAGGATGGTATGAAAATGAGTAGAACTAAAAATGATCGAATGGGATGACTTAAAATGACATTTTCAGGTCTAAAATTCTGTCATAGCATAATAACCTGATGGTTAAAGGGCACCTTTATTGGGTTTTGGGAATTCAGAATGACTTCTTTGAATAGACTTTGGCGTGCATGCTTGAAGGGGGTTTCAGAGAGACTTAGGACATTTTAATTGATTGATCTAGTTGCTGCTCTGTTATTCTGATTATAAAGTTAACCTGAGTAAGCCTAGTTATTAGACATCAAGTTGGTCCATCGATATTTTGAAATATAAAGTCTTTAGGCTCTTTTAATTTGACATTGCATAAAAACTCATGCTATGCAAGATGTAGTTGCCTTTAAGAAGCACAAACCATCTTCTGTTTGTGCTGAATTTTTCATTCCATGATTCCTCACCACATTGTTGCTTCACTTCAAAAGGCTGTTGACTGAGATGGGACCTGCTTTTGATCCTGAAGGCATGAAATCAAAGGTCCGTCCTTTGTGGACACTTCCTGACACCTGCCTCCTACCATTCTACTATTTCCTTTCATGTGCCATTTTATAGGTTCAAATTTGTAGGATGAATACAAAACAGCCAGACAGAATTTTTCACAAACATACCAGAATGCATGCATCCACATAAATATTATACTTCAAAATAGCAATGTGCTACAACATTTTGAATATCCTTTTTGGAGCCAGCTGAAATGAGAAACAGTCTTTCTCACTGGGTCCTTTTCTATTTCCATGCCTTTTTATTCCCCTAGTTTTCTTCTTCTCTTATTACCTCTAATTCTTCTATTTAATAACTAACATAGTTCTATTTATTTAGTGCCTACCATGTACCAGACATAAATACTCAACATTTCAGTTTGTCCTCAAAGTAACTCTGTAAGGTGCTGTAACCTAGTTTTACAAATGAGGAAACTGAGGCTTCAAAAGTTAAGTAATTTGCATGAGGCAGAGCCAGAATTTCCCTGTTCAGCAGGACTCGATAGTGAGCTCTGGAACACACCTCACGCATCTTTCCCATTCCCGCCTTTCTCCATCTGCCTTCAGTATCTTCCCTCTTGTCTCCAAAAGGGAGCAGCACTGACAGCAGCCTAGAGCCACAGGCCCTGGGGAAAAGGACCATGTGACTGGACAAGGCTCTAAGCCCAGGCAGGAATAGAGTACATTAGGAAACAGAACTCAGCTTTGCCGATGGCCTCTGTGGGTGGGCTGATCTGCCTCAGTGCATGCCTTGATCCTGTACTACCAGACTTCAAATAGATCACTAGAAGCTCAGGGCTATTAGGAATGGGGTGGGGTGGGGAACAGATCTCAATTTCCATTCATAATCCAACTCACCTGTCCACAGGTAGGTGCTATAGAGGGAGCTGTACAATAGAACAAACACCAAAATTTGTCCAACAAAATTTTTTTCTTTAACAAAATTCCATATCATCATTCCAGCACAGACAATAGACTAAGGAAAAAATTATTAAAAGACTTTGTAAATAGCTAAGAAAACCATATAATTCAATACTGCAACAGAAAATTCCAATTAAGCCAGCCATATTCATCTTTCATTCACAGCAAATATAATTATTTGTTTAAAATTTTTTGTGAATAATTATCAAGTATTACACACTACTTATACTAAAACTTCAAACTTTATGTTAAAAATCCATTTTATAACAGAGCCTTTGACAATATACATATCCAATTGAAACAGATGACTTCATTCTAAATATTAATTTTATACCTGTATTTAGTAATGGCTTACATTAAAATTGCTAAAGTTCTTTCCATTATAATTTGAGACATGCAAAGATTAATTAGAAAAATGATTGTGAAAGAGTTCAATTATTAATGATTAAATTGTTTCTATTAAAAAATGCAAAGTTATCATCAAATGCCATTATTAGCCTCAACTTTAGATAGTTTAAGACATTTTGCAATATTAAATATGTTAGGCGTATAGTAGTTGTAATCAAACTGTAATTGACTGCATTTGGTAATACTTCTGACTTCATAACTAGAAAAACCTAGCAAAGTTATTTTCTCCTCTACAGTAGAATAATCCATTAGAAAAACATAGTTCTAAATATCAGTAGTTTTACTAACCTGAGCAATGAGTAAATTAGTTGTAAGCATATGAGGAAGCTGTTTATATTTCTTACTCAAAAGAAGAATAGCCAGAGACCAGATCTTGAAGACAAAAGGTTCAAAAGTTATTCATGTTTCTTAATCTTTATAATTACTTATTAAATAACACAATGATTAGCCTCTTTAAATAACCCTCTTTGTCCTGGTTCGGAAAGAATTTCCAATATTTTATTTAATCTGTCTAGTTCCAAAAAGGTAAATTATTATAACCAATGTAAAATAACAAGCATGGAGAGATCCCATAATAAATTAACTCTCCAAAAATTACAGGGTCTTTAAGAACTTATGTGGCCAGGCATCGTGGCTCATTCCTATAATCTTAGCACTTTGGGAGGCCAAGGCAGGTGGATCACCTGAAGTCAGGAGTTCGAGACCAGCCTGGCCAACATGACGAAACCCTGTCTCTACTAAAAATACAAAAATTAGCTGGGCACAGTGGCGGGCGCCTGTAATCCCAGCTATTCAGAAGGCTAAGGCAGAAGAATTGCTTGAACCTGGGAGGTGGAGGTTGCAGTGAGCCAAGATTGCACCACTGCACTCTAGCCTGGGTGACAGAGCAAGACTCCATCTCAAAAAACAAAACAAAACAAAACAAAACAAAACAAAGCAAAACAAAAAAAAACTAATGCCTTGGCCAGGTGCAGTGGCTCACGCCTGTAATCCCAGCACTTTGGGAGGCCCAGACAGGCGGATCACTTGAGGTTAAGAGTTCGAGACTAGCCTGGCCAACATGGCGAAACCCCACCTCTACTGGGTGTGGTGGTGTATGCCTGTAATCCCAGCTACTTGGGAGGCTAAGGGAGGAGAACTGCTTGAACCCAGGAGGGAGAAGTTGCAGTGAGCCAAGCCAAGATCATACCACTGCACTCCAGCCTGGGCAACAGAGGGAGACTCTGTCTCAACAAAAAAGAACTAATCCCTTGACCAGGGCCATGTTCTAACTATGCCTACCTTCCGTGTCTGGGGTGGGACACAGGGTCACAGACAACTATTCAGGGAAGGAGCTTTAGTGGGAGATAGTTATAATAATGCACTATTCTAAGTTTTTTTCCTTTTCTATTTCCAACATATTGTCTCATGGGGTATCTAAATGCCAGGCTGTTTTACTTCAAACAACACATACCACACACCTTTAAGATTAATCATCTTACATTCTTCATTTTTTATTCTTTGTGTGTGTGTGAGACAGAGTCTCACTGAAGTGCAGTGGTGCGATCTCGGCTCACTGAAACCTCTGCCTCCCAGACTCAAGTGACTCTTGTGCCTCCAGCCACCCAGGTAGCTGGGATTACAGATGCATACCACCATGCCTGACTAATTTTATATTTTTAGTAGAGATGGGGATTCTCCATGTTGGCCAGGCTGGTCTCGAACTCCTGGCCTCAAGTGATCTGCCTGCCTCTGCCTCCCAAAGTGTTGGGATTACAGGCATGAGCCACGGTGCCAGATCACATTCCTCATATTTTAAAGGATTGGGTTTCCATTCTACCTACGTATTGGCCAGGTAAGTATCCTGGCGACTTCCTTCTTTCCTCATTGCCAACTGAAATGTATATGGTCTCTTTCCCCAAACTGCCCTGTTATGAATGGGTGTAGTAGATTTTAAGAACATGTGACAGAGGTGGAATTTCTTTAAAATTAATCACACATTTATCTGTTACCAATATACATATTCACCCCCACCTCCATTAACTGTACACATTGTCTTTTTTTTCAGCCAGAATATCTGTAGTTTTACTAACATGAATTCAATAGGCCATTTGATCTGTAAGATACTCTAGCTGTCATATACTTAATTATTTAATTTTAGTTAGATATATTCAGTTTGAGAAGTAACCAAAAGTTTCATTAACATTAAATAGGCGGTTGGACTTGAACTCAAAGATACCTTCTGACCCCATGATTCTAGAACAGCTAGGAATTCTATAGTGATTCATCATTTGCAGAATGCTTTTCACATATATTATTTCATGTAACCCCTTAAAAAACCCATGGAAATATGTGAAATTATTGTCATTATTTTATGCTGGAAAACAGAAATTTAGAGAGGTTAAGGTAACTCCACAGAGGCATACAGCTAGTTTGTGAGAGGGCCAGGAATAAAATCCAGGTGTGACTAAATCTCATGTCTTGTCTGCTATAGAACTCTAACTCCCAAATAGAAAAACAAAACTCAGTTAATCAGAAGGCTGACATTATATTTTATGGGCAGGCTTTAGCTTTCTTTATTTCATAAGAAACTAGATTTTTAAATCCCTTCTGTTAACAGTCTATTCTCAAAACTCATTCTGTGGTTTCCATTCATTTTGGGATGCAACGTACTTACCAAGGAGATCAGGCTGACAATACTTATATCAAAACTAACATTCTGGATGGCATATGCCAATGGCTTAGGGTCCATAGTGGGAAAGGTCAGTAACCAGGCAGAAACGTACATGATGGGAGCAGACACAAATGTGCTTATCACCATCCCTGAGGTTATCTGCAAAAATGAAATCAAACAGAGGAGTTACAATCTCAATTAAACAGTATTTTAAACTTTAAATAACCACGGCACACTAAAGCATTCTAAAATAAAAATGAGACACAGTAAAGACATTATAAAATCCAGCATGTTATCCAATACCATACTTCCCCTTTCTGAGAATCCTTAATACAAAATACAATTGAGTTACCTTGGTTCCTCTTCTAATCTATGCTTAATTTATATTTACGCATAATAAATACTAGAAATTTACTGTTGATGGTTAGTTATCCTCTAAGTTCTAGAAAATAAACTGTAGCAATGATATAAATAAACCTGTTTCACAAACTATGTGGCAAAAAAGAAAAGGAATTCAAAAAAAGAAAATTACCATGCAAATATTTATTTTACAGATTAAATAACAGAATTGACCTCCATTAAACAACTTAGTTCCTTTGTATTATATTTAAAAATCATTTACTCTGATGCTGTAGATACCATTTACAATACATTTAGACACTGTTAATAATTTGGTGTCAATTGATTTTAGCTATCTGCTGCAGTTATTATGCAGTATTTTGCATCTGGTGCTTGAAATTATCAATGATAAAATAGGCATTTTTTTCTTCAAAATTTCAAAGTTACCTTTCTGTAAATAATTTTTAGGTTTCTGTCTAAGTACAGAAATAAAATAGTTAAAACTAAAAAAACTGATTAAAAAAAGTCAGGGCTGACTAAAGACCCCAGATTAAATGACTGTTGTTACATTATGTTACATGATGCCTATTTCTTATAATGAGATAGCTTATAGGCATCAAATTCTCATAAAAAACAATGCTGCTTGCTCTGTCACCCAGGCTGGAGTACAGTGGTGCAATCTTAACTCACTGCAACCTCTGCCTCCTGGGTTCAAACAAATCTTGTGCCTCAGCCACCCAAGTAGCTGGGATTACAGGCAACTACCACCACACCCAGCTAATGTTTGTATTTTTAGTAGAGACAGGGTTTCGCCATGTTGGCCAGGCTGGTCTCAAACTCCTGGCCTCAAGTGGTCTGCCCACCTCAGCCTCCCAAAGTGCTGGACCTCATAAAAAACAACATTGCTTTCTATGTTTAGAAATTAAAATGGGCTGGGCACGGTGGCTCATGCCTGTAATCCCAGCACTTTGGGAGGCCAAGGCAGAAGGCAGGAGTTTGAAACCAGCCTGGGGCAACATAGTGAGACCCCCGTCGTCTCTATTTTTTCATTTTTAAAAAAGAATTTTAAAAAATTTGAAATGAATTTAAAAATTTTTTTCGACTAAACACACCATCAAACTTAGAAAGTACTATATACATACAATTTCTACTTCCATGTTGAATTGTGTTGCAAAGATAGCCACTCCTGGTGCTACAGGAAATACACCATACAGAAATGCATAATTTGATAAACTTGTATGGTTCACCACACTGTCGCCCTTGTCCAAGAGTTCCACCATTTCTCTGCACAGAAGTGGCAGCACCAGACTGAAGAAAAAAGAAAAACATCATTTACCTGATATCAAAGCATGGTTGTCCCCAGTAGCAGGCTGCTCTGGTGAATTTGGCATCAGGTTCTCCTGCCCAGAAGGTATGTCTATTTGCATGCACATATTCTGTGCATGTCTACCTGGGCACATTTTGTTGAAAAAAATCAAGAATTCAACTTGGAGCCATTTAAAGTGTAACAATATTCTGGAAATACCTCACACATCAGGGATTAGGAGGGAAAAAAAGATGTTTTTGGTTCTACAAATAATTTTTGTTTTTTGCCAAAAGATGGTAAAAGTTGCAATTCTAGCTACTTTCTTGCTTCCTCTATCAGTTTACTGAAATGTTCAAAGAAAGAAAGAAGGTTGACAATCTGCATAAAAACTTCTTTCAAGAGAATCACTAAACTCTTTTTCTTTCTTTCAAAGTATTCTAGAGAGACAGAAACTCCTGTTTTGAAAAAAAAAAAAAAAAGCTGAACTTTATCATGATTAGGGGTTGAAATGGTTCAGTTAATAACAACATTGCTTAATAAGATTCTAAAATCCTGCCGGCATGGTGGCTCAAGCCTGTAATCCCAGCACTTTGGGAGGCTGAGGCAGGCGGATCACGAGTTCAGGTCAGGAGTTGAAGACCAGCCTGGCTAACATGGTGAAACCCCATCTCTACTAAAGATACAAAAAATTAGCCGGGCATGATGGCACATGCCTGTAATCCCAGCTACTCAGGAGGCTGAGGCTGGAGAACTGCTTGAACCCAGGAGGTGGAGGTGCAGTGAGCTGAGATCATGCCAGCCATTGTACTCCAGCCTGGGTGACACAGCAAGACTCTGTCTCAAAAAAAAAAAAAAAAAAAAGATTCCAAAATCCTGTAGAAAAATAGGTATCTTCAAGTAGCTCTTCATCTTTGTAAAAAAAAAAAAAAAAAAAATTAGCAAAGGAACTAAAACAACTGAGATGGAGCAGAAAACTAGTGAAATGCAGACCTGTTGAAGAGTCAATTATTAAACAAATTTTTCAGGATTTCATAGAATGAGCAAATCCACAGTAGTTGAGCAAATAGGGCTCTCCTTTAAAATCAGCAAGACCAAGATTGTTAACATTTTCACAGCAGCACCTAGCAAGGCCCTCTGGGATGGAGTAAAGAACTACTCTGATCTGTACTTTTTAAATTAAAAAACTTAAATATCTAATTAAGTATCAAAGACCCCCCATCTTTAAAATTAGAATATTTAAATTCTACTTATAAGCAAAAGTTGATAATACCATTATTGTTTAAACTATACTTATTACTTCCACAATACTAATACTTTGTTTCTGAAGAGCATAACATCGCCATAAATAATTTTCAGTACTTATATTCATTTTTATTATTATGAAAACAGTAGATTATGTTGTACTGGTCTCATGAATATAACTGTCTATACATGAGGGGAATTCCATAGTTAAGTATGCCTCAAGTACTTTGGGATAATCTTGCAGTAAAATTATGTCACCTGCACCATCATGTAGAACTCCATGGCTAATGGACCAAGTAAGCTGAAGAACTATTAACTAAGAAGTTGAGGCTGGGCACGGTGGCTCATGCCTGTAATCCCAGCACTTTGGGAGGCCGAGATGGATGGATCACCTGAGGTCAGGAGTTTGAGACCAGTCTGACCAACATGGTGAAATCCCGTCTCTACTAAAAATATAAAAATCAGCCAGGTGTGGTGGCAGGCACCTGTAATCCCAGCTACTTGGGAGGCTGAGGCAGGAGAATAGCTTGAACCTACGAGGTGGAGGTTGCAGTGAGCCAAGATCGCATGACTGCACTCCAGTCTAGTTGACAGAGCAAGACTCTGTTTCAAACAAAAACAAAAACAACAACAACAAAAAAGAAGTTGATGAGCACTTTTCATTTGGCAAGCCAGGATCATATGGCTGATAATAATCATTCATATTGACTTGGCTGTATTTAGAAAATTTGGCCAACCTCAGAACTACAAAATACTTTTCCCAAATTCATGAAAAAAAGTTTGCATTAGAAATTATTGTTCTGGTTATCACTAAGATGCTTTTGTCTTTAGGGTCTTTATGGATTTGGAAAAGTCAGAAATGCTGCAAAATTTATTTGAAAATACTGTCAAACTGGGACATGAGGAGATACTGAGTAAACTTTATGTAAAAGCTGAAGGGAAACCCATCATCTTTATCCTCTGACAGTAAGATGGAAAGAATAAGCTACTGGGAATAAGGAAATGACTTTCCACAATACACCATCACATTTTCCTTTATCTCACAACTATTCTACAAGGAGGGGTTATTAATATTCAAAGGGGAAAATGGTTGCAGACATACCCCTGATGAATTGGCTAAATACGGCTTTCAAAAAGTACAATTCTCAAGTTAAATAAGTGATGCTTACAGTTTAGCTGTGATGAGAAGAATTAGTACTACAAATGCCGACTTCTTCAGTCTCTTTATTTTTCCCACCATCGTGAGACCAAGATAAAATAGGGCTGATCCAGAAAAAGAATTTCCAAGTCCATCAAGAAAATTTTCGACATATACAGGTACCTTTCGATCAAGAATAAAATTGAAGGCGATGCCAATGAAGACCATAAATACTATTGGGTTCTGTAATACACGCAGGAGTCCGAGTCCCACAATTTTTATTTTATTTTGAGAAGCATTTTGAGTGTCTTTCCACTTTTGGATTTCACAGAAAATAAACCCTATAGGGTTTAACATCATAAGAGATATTGGTGCCACCAAATAAATGTACTGGAGATATTCTGGGTATGTAGTTTGATATAAAGCTTCAACTGCAAAACAAGAATATTGATTTTTAAATGATGACCACAGAAATACAGATATATGTTATGTATATAACATTTTCTGTACTTTATAGCAATGATAAATCTAAAATTTTCAAAATGACCCAAATAGCCTATTTTGGAAAAGTACATTTTAGTAATAAAGCTGAAAAAAGAAAAACATAATAAATATCATATAGCTTATAAAATGATAACCAAGTTTACACATTATTTTTAAACCTCACTAATTTTTACCATCTAAGGGTTAAAATTAGTCTCCAAAAATGAGCAGAATTGTAGAATTTTTAGAAGAAACAATTCAAAGTAAAAATCTAGGGACAAACTAAACATTTAAGTAGTAATAGCAAAAATGTGTTTATTGGTATCCATGGAAAGAACAGTTTTACTGGAGTGGTAAGAGACAGAAGTCAGATCACAGAGGGTTGAGGAGAGAGTAGGAGTTATTTCAGGAACTAAAAAGGAGCACGGATGTGGAATCCAAGCTGTGTAAGAAAAGAAATGAAGATGGGAGATGTTTGGAGGCCTCTAGGAATTAGGGACAGTTGGAAGTGCGGGAGTTCAGAGTAAAACAGCTAATGAGCTACTCAGTTAAATATTTTCCAGATGACAAGGTCCAGGATGTGGCTATGGGACTTAGTGGCTGAAATGGAGTAAAGGAAAACATCACTGGAGAAGAGGAGGTCAAGGAAATGACAGGGCAGAGAATTTCATGGTAGTTCACAAGACAATGACAAAACTTGGGATAAAGGTAAATGAGAGGGAATGCCTAGAATGAGGTCAGCAGGTAACAGCAGAGAGGATCAGTGGTCTAGCCGGAAAGTATGAACCTCAAAGCAGTTTTTAACAGCAGAGCAGAGGGATGGTCTAGCAATGGTCCACAGTAGCTGTGGGGATGCCAGTCCTACCTTCCACTGCTCATGTGGTGTGCTGGCAATGGGAAAATGAACAACCTCCATTTGAGAGGAATGAAAAGGAATGAATGCCTTCAAAGAAGACCAGTGGAGATACTTAAGGAGTAGAGATAGAAAGGTGGATCTTACAATGTTTGGGAGGGAAATACAGTAGAGTCACATCAATGCACATTTAGTTAACACAAATTCAACCATACCCTCTTGGGAAAACAAAAGCTTCATTTCCCCCCACCCCCCATAGCATGTTTCCAAGTGCAAACAAATTATTTCAACTGCTGTTCATTGAAGAACAATGCTAGCTAAAAAAATCTGGCTGTGTTAGACTTATGAAAAATGGTACAATATAGACAAAGTATGTGTGCTGTATTTGGTGGGCATTTTCAAGAGTTTGAATATACAAGATGACTTTAGGACTTAACCACTGCATAAGATGTGTTTTTTTAATCTCATGAGGGAGGTGAGTGAGTGGGATCAGACTTCTAGCAGTTTCCTGGTAGACGTGAGGGTTGGTGACCTAGTCTTTAGTTTATTAGAGCAACTTAGGGCCTTTCAGTAAACAACTGGTCTCTAGCACATTTTTGACAATGGGTCCCGAAATTATACAATCTAATGCAAATAAAGGCTGATTTATAATTGATTTGAAGTTGAGAAAGATAAAAAAGAACAGCCACAGTCGTTCACAAGGAGAGAGGCAAACGTGAAAACATGTAAAAGATTAGGTTTCTCGGCCGGGCGCGGTGGCTCACGCCTGTAATCCCAGCACTTTGGGAGGCCGAGGCGGGCGGATCACGAGGTCAGGAGATCGAGACCATCCCGGCTAAAATGGTGAAACCCCGTCTCTACTAAAAATACAAAAAATTAGCCGGGCGTAGTGGCGGGCGCCTGTAGTCCCAGCTACTTGGGAGGCTGAGGCGGGAGAATGGCGTGAACCCGGGAGGCGGAGCTTGCAGTGAGCCGAGATCCCGCCACTGCACTCCAGCCTGGGCGACAGAGCGAGACTCCGTCTCAAAAAAAAAAAAAAAAAAAAAAAAAAAAAAAATTAGGTTTCTCAATTTACACTAAGATAAAATGATATAGGTAGGAAAATACACTTGTTTACTTACTCAGGATATGTAAGTTCAGTTAATGTCATGCACATGTCCCATTAAAGTTATATAACTAGATTATGTAACCTTTAGAAGGTCACCTTTTTCATAAAAGCTAAAACCTATTTTTTTTTAACAGATTCAATCCCCATTTTCTCAGCTAAGTAAATTCAAGATCTATAATATCTCCAAAATGAAGCAGTGGCTAAAAAATATTTGATTACATAAAACTTTATAAGTTCTTTCCACTGGTTTCCAAATTAGATATGCTAGTTATATAAAGTTAGTGGTTTTCTTTCAGGTTTCATAAGGCTTCATCTTTTAAACAAAAAGCAGCACTTTTGATAACTATTTTTAGATAATTATATTTCTGATTCTCTTGAGATATTTTATCTCAAGAGAAAGATGTTCATACCTGCCCACCAACTTTTATAATAGAGCAGATATTTTCGAAAAGTCTTATGTTTTCATCTGAGTATCAGAATTTTTCCTAACCAGCCACAACAATAAGATGCATAACATGTTTTCCTTTGACAACACAGCTATACAGTTCTGTGATCTACTCAAAGCCCCTTATATTAATGCCTTTTTCCAGAAATTTACTTTCCTGGCACACTAGCATTTAATCACTACCGCATAATGAACTTTACATTGTTTTAAGAACTCAGTGCAAATTTAAGCAACAGTTTTTATATTTGGCCATTCACCACATTCTTTCTTTCTTCTTTGGAAGGATGTTCTCCTCTTGATTGCTACTACAATTATTAGTCAAAAATCTCAAAATTAGATTACTTCATGTGTTTACCAACCAACATTCTCTTGGATTTTCTCAACCACCTTCTTCATCCATTTTATTCACAGCTAACAGTACCATCTAAATCTAAACTTTCAAAAGGTAAGATTTTCTCACGGTTCTCACTGCCCACAGAAACAGCTACAAAACCTTTCTTTTACCGGGCATGGTGGCTCATGCCTGTAATCCCAGCACTTTGGGAGGACAAGGCAGGCAGATCATGAGGTCAGGAGTTCAAGAAGAGCCTGGCCAACACGGTGAAACCCCATCTCTACTAAAAATACAAAAATTAGCTGGGTGTGGTGGCGCACTCCCATAGTCCCAGCTACTTGGGAGGCTGAGGCAGGATAATTGCTTGAACCTGGGAGGCGGAGATTGCAGTGAGCCAAGACTGCACCATTGCATTACAGCCTGGGCAACAGAGTGAGACTCTGTCTCAAAAAACAAAAAACAAAACAAAAAAAAACCTTTCTTTTAACATCCACAGTCCAGTCTCCACAATTGGCCCCTTGCTTATCCACCCCATCCTTAATGCAAAGACTCCATCAGCCAGTTTAATAACAGTTAAACCAGACAACTACCACATTCATAATTAGTAGTTCTTTATGCTGTTCATACCGTCACCCCCTAACTTCTTAATATCTCCTTTTTTTACCTAAATCTCACCTACTACTTAAGGCCTGTCTCTGGCACTACATTTCCCACCAAGTCTTCAACCTACATCATTAATCTCCCCTCCTCTGGTATTCTGTAGTACTTTGTTTCATACTAGTGCCACCTCAACAAATTCTAAGTTCCTTGAAAGCATCATTTTAATAGCCCTCAGTCCCTGGCATAATGCTTGAGAAAATCTGAAAATACTTGCTGAATGGTACGAACACATCAATGAACATCAAAAGTTTCAGATGTAGTAAACATGTATTTTCTAATACGCAGCTCTTTACATCGAATTGTTGTCAATGAATCCATTTTTATATCCATTTTTAAACTTTATTTTTACTTTTAAAACTTTATTTTTAATTGACAAATATAAATTATATATATTTATAATGTACATAATGTTTTAAAATATGTATACATTATGGAATGGCTAAATCAAGCTAATTAAAATATGCATAATCTCACATATTTATCATTTTTTCTGATGAGAACACAAAATCTATTCTCAGCAATTTTCAAGAATATGTTGTTATTAACCATCGTCACCATGTTATACAATAAATCTAATGGAAATTTTGTAACTTTTTTTACATTTTACACATTATGAATATTTATAAAGCAGGTTACTATTGAGGTATTTTAAGTCAGCTGAACAAGCATAGAGGCAGAAGAAGTGTAGTCTAGAGGGAACACACAGAAAAATTGTGATTAAATAAATACATGTTAAATTACTAGAATAGGGTTCAACATGGGAATTTCAGTCTACTTTCTGCCATTCATTTGCATAATTAACATTACATCTTTATCTATAAATTGGCAGTGCTTTTTTTTTGCTATCAATCTGAAGATGGTTTTTAAAACCTGAAAAAATATACATGAAAGCAGTACGGTATAGTATAGTAACTAAAATTAGGTTTACAATCATTATATCAACTTTTAGGTTCTAATTAATTAATGCTTATAAATAAGGCTCTTGGAGGGCAGGGAGAATCCCATTATGAGGAGTTATTATATAGCTTTGAAGAACTAAGAGACAAAATTAGCCACCCACTGTGCTTCCTATTTTGATTCCTGCAGGGTTTCAATCCCTAGCATATAACACAAAGACCCAGATAAAATCATTCTATTATGTAATGGCATATAGTTAAATGCTTCATTTCCTTTCTGTTTACAGCTCAAGCACTAGACCATAATTATGATTAGTCAGAGTACTTATGCTATCAGCATTGTTTGAAGAATAAATTATAGGACTTAACTATGCTCTATTAGTATCTTTTAATGACAGGCAGGGAACCATTCTGATATGCTGAAATCAACATTTTGCCACGGGAGATTCTTAGTTTCTTCTCATACTTGGATTTTTAAAAGTACTTTAGAAAAGAATTGCTCTAAAACACAGTGAGCTTCTTTTATTTTTATTTTTTGAGAGACAGGGTCTCACTGTCACCCAGGCTGGAGTACAGTAGCCATCTGCGGCCTTGAACTCCTAGGCTCAACAGATCTCCTGGCTCAGCCTCCCAGGTAGCTGGAACTACAGGCTTGTACCACACCTGGCTAATTTTGCTGTTGTTGTTGTAGAGACAGGGTTTTCACTATGTTGTCCAGGATGGTCTCAAACTCCTGGACTTAAGGAATCCCTCTGTCTCAGCCTTCCAAAATGTTGGGATTACAGGCATGAGCCACCATGTCCAGCCTTCTTTTTTAGTTGCAACATGCACTATTCTGTTACTGGAGTAATAATACATCATTTTAATGTAATGTCATAGACTGTTATAGTTGTCATAGTATGTAGCGAAAGAAAACGTAACTATCTTTTTTCTTTGTTCATTAACTTATATGTCTTCTCCTTGCCAGCATTTCCTGTGTTACCTGTAAATTGGACAGATGTGGAACAAATGCAGTCTTAAAAAGGACATTTCTTATAACCCATGATCGATGCTTGTCTGTGAGCAAGAGAGTGGGAATTCCTTGGAGAGGCCAGGAAACAAAAGACAGAAAGGTCTTCTCTCTGGGGACAGTATTCTTTCTCTGTTCACCGAGAACAAGGCCAGAAGGCAGATGGGCACAGCAGCAGTAATAAGTTACCTCATCAGGCAGCAGATACTCACCCCTAATAGTTCTACATCACACCTTCCAACGTCTAGATATATGAAAAAGCACTCGTCTAATATATTGGTTTTTAGCAAAGTTATATTCTACAACTTAATATTACAAGAGCTTTTGTTATTGTGATTTAAAAAAACAAAAACATAAAAACAAAAATTATACCTCGAAATCAACAAACAACCATCAGGGAAATTTGGGCTGGCACACGGCTAGAAACATAATTATTACCAGATTCACTGACTTAATGTGGGACATAAGAAAAGCAGTGATAAAATGGCTGATTACATTTTTTATTTGGAAAGTCTGCCTCAATATGACAATAGATTAACTATTCTAATAGGTCTTTTTCCACTACTACTCATTTTATGGAATATTTTAGAGGAAAAAAACCCTTTCATTTTTTCTGGAACTAGTATATTACAAGGCTGGTTGGGTCTTCTGAAAATTGAACTGGCACATTATGTAACTGCATGGCATAAGAGAGTGCCCAGGATTTGCAACCAGAAGACCTAGGTTTGGGTGTCAGTCACCTGCTAGTTGTATGACCTGGGATAAAATAATTAAATCTCTGTAAGCCAGTTTCCTTATTTGAAAATGAGGATAAAAATATCTGCCCTACCCAAATGAGATAAGTATATAAGAAAGTACTCTGTAAACTACATAGTTATAAATGTTAGTTCTATTTCATTATCGGCTCACTAATCTATGGGAGCATGAAACTATATACTTCTAGTTTATGTCTAAAGATACATAATATTTGTCAGATATTTAACACTGTGGTGCCGAGTCAGTTCTAAGGTCCTTATACCATAAATACCTTGAGAAATTTACCTTATTAATTCTCCTGAGGAAATGGACAAACATGTTAACTCCTTGCTGTTTTCTTTCCAAAAGTCTTTATTTCCTTTTGAAATTCAATAACCTTAAAGGAACACCTATCTAGTTTCTGACTATTTGTAGCTCAATTATCTATGAGCCCAGTTTTTCCTGTCTCTTAAACCTCCAGCTTTACTGACAGTTATTTAACTTCTTAGGTGTTTCTCTCTTTCTGGTAACAAGATAGAGGAAAGTCAAAAGTAGAGACAGAAGTGAAAAGTATAGTTAAATAGAATCTTTTTGGTACCAGCAGTGAAATAAGTTGGGGTTTGAGGGGAAAGGATAAAACTGCTAGGTAAGAAACTTGAAAGTTAATTGTAGATTTCAATTGTATCCTTCAATAGGCTCAAGTCTCTGCTCAGAAGACATATCATCAGAGAGGCCTTCATTGACCACCCTACCTCAAATAGCACCTCCACATTCCTATCCTTCTACGTGACTTTATTTTTATGGCCCTTGTCACCACCTGACATGATTTTAATTTTATTATTCTCCCATTACAATGTAAATTTAATATGTGCAATAACTTTGTTCACAGCTATAATCCCAACAGTCAGCACAGCCACTGGTACGAAACAGTTCCTTATGAGTGAGTGAATGAATGAATGAATGAATATATCTATAATATTCAAGTCCTCATACTTGATAGATGATCAAAGTATATATAACTTTAATTTAAAATATAAAAAAGTAATTTAAAATATACATTTTCTTGGTGACAGAGTGTTCTGAAATATAGAATGTTTCCTTTCAAGATATGTCAATATCCCAAACTGGTACGTTTACTGTTTCATTAGTAAAACATATACACATAGAAACATAAAATTAGGCTGCTGAAAGAGTCAGAAACATAAAAAAGGAAAAGTTAGAAAGGTAAAAAAGCTCTCACCATTTTTTTTCTTAAACAAGAAATTAACTGCAACTAAAATACATTAAAATTTTGAATAACAAGCTCAAAAACAATTTTTTTTTTTAAATTTGAGACAGGGTCTCACTCTGTCACCCAGGCTGGAGTACAGTGGTATAATATTGACCCACTGCAACCTCTGCCTCCTGGGCTCAAGCAATCCTCCTGCCTCAGCCTCTTGGGTAGCTGGGACTACAGCCTTGTGCCACCACAGCTGACTAATTTTTTGTTGTTGTTATTTTTTTATACAGACGAGGTTTCACCCTGTTGCCCAGGCTGGTCTCGAACTCCTAGGCTCAAGTGATCTGCCCCCCTCGGCCTCCCAAAGTGCTGGGATTATAGGTGTGAGCCACATCTGGCCCCAGAACAATTTCTGATATAAAATAATACATATTCTAGATGGTAGGAAAAATAAATTCCTTTCACAAACACTTAATAATAACTATTTTTATATAGACATAAATCTACTTTTTTAACATAATTTAAATCACAATTGGATCCTTTCTAAAAATTAAGCTTCTTTCATATGTGCTTACCGGGAAGAAAAAAATACAATTAGGACTGTTCACAGTGGTTATTAGAATATGACCGTTTATTTTAGGTAGATGTTTAAAGGATCCTCAAACTCTGAAGTTTAGGAAAAACTATGATTCATCCTAAGACATATTTGAGAAAAAAATGAAAAACTTCTTAGATATGAGAGTAAGAATCTGTTACTAACAAATGCCTAAATAAATTAAAATTGAATTTTTTAAACACTTGAAAAATAAAAATTAACTTACCTATAGGGTATCCCAATGCAAAGTCATTACTTTGTGTAGCAAAAATAGGGAATAGTCCAGCTTTGCTAAATCGACTATCAGGACTGGCAACCAATAAGGTTAATACACATACAATGAAAAATACAGAAGCTTTGGCAATTAAGATACTATATAGGAAGGACCAGTCCACATTGGAAAAATTAAGTACAACCATGTTTTTGAATAATAAAGCTGGAAGTGCAAATCTGGAGACAAAATTTCCTAGTCCTTTGGCCTGGGTTGATGTTATGACATTGGCCCTTCCTGCTATGTAGCCACAAAGGACAATGCCAAAGCATTCCAGTAAGGCTGGAAAAAGCCTTGTAATTGACATTGAAGGTGGGTCATTAGTGGAATTAAATCCATGCGTTACTGCTGTAGGCAAAGTCTTGGTCATATTGACTGCAATGGTTAAGTTCTCTGCAGGTAAATTAGAATTCATTTTCTCTCACCCTCCAACTCCAACCAGATCTCTGGAAAGAAAGGAAGAAAGATTCAGTATGGCCATCAACAAGAATTCTAGTTGAAATAATACACTGGCAAACCTAGATTTGTTTACTTATTAAATGGCCAAATAAATATACATACCCCTAGATTTATTTACTTATTCAATGGCCAAATAAATATACATACCATCAGGGAAAATACAATGGAAAAAAAAGTGGGGGGTTGCTAACAATAATCGCTTCACTCTCAAAGGCAGGTCAGCTCAAAATATTTATGTTGCTAAGTTCTATACTCAGTATTAGACATGAGTAAAATAAGATCCGCAAATATTAGAGCTGCAGTGATGCCCTGTGGTTCTCTCCAGTGATTCTCTCCATCAATTGAGCTCCGCCTGGTGGATAAGGGCATCGGGCACACATAGTCTCCGCTGAATGTCCCCATGCATCCAAATTCTCTGGAAATTTCAGAAGTTCTCAAGGCTACATTGAGGAGTCACCCAGGGACCAGAGTCCTTTCCAGCCCGTGGTCATATTTGAATATAGGATGGGAAGAAGGGTATAGTAGAGCACTACTAATCAACTTTAAACCAATAACTTTTTTTTCTAAAGACAGGGTCTTGCTCTGTCTCCCAGGCTGGAGTGCAGTGGTGCAATCTCAGCTCAGTGCAACCTCTGTCTCCTGGGTTCAAGCGATTCGTGTGCCACCACGCCCGGCTAATTTTTGTATTTTTGTAGCGACATGTTGCTTAGGCTGGTTTTGAACTCCTGACCTCAGGTGATCTGCCTGCCTCAGCATCCCACAGTGCTGGGATTACAGGCATGAGCCACTGTGCCCGACCTGAACGAATTAACTTTAACTTTTCTGTGTCTCACCTTCTTCACCTGTAAAATGGCAATAATAGTAATACCTACCACATGGGAACTTGCGATTATTCCACTGAAGTCTTTATAATCACATCTGGAACAGAGTAATTACTTAACGGAAGTTAAATATAACTTTTGGTAGAACATGAGAGAGAGAAAAAAATGACGACCTCCCACCAATATACCTTTAGCTCCTTCTACACCCGCCACACACACTGGCCCCAGGGACTTTGTGCCACAGGGACTTTGCACATTCAGTTCACTCAAGTGTCACGGAAGCAGGGACTATGCATGTTTTTGCTCAATGTTGTGTCCTTAACATCTAGGACAGTACCTGGCATACACGAGACAGAAAAAAAAATTTTTTTTAATGAATAACTATAATTACTTATACTTAAACCTTTTACCCTTTCATGGATCAATGTTCTCTTTCAGGCACTATTTAGTTTACAGACAGAATTTTTTTTTGTTTTCTGAATGATAAAGTATTATAAGTTTTCCACTACAGCAACAGAACCAAGAACACAAAATATGTCTAAAGGTGTTCATGAAATGTTAAAAAATACAAAATGTTTTGTAAAATGTTCTAAAGAGGTTCAGAAAATGCTAAAGCATGGAACAAATTCAAAACACGAATAGTACAATAATTATCAGACCCCCTCTTGCTGCCAGGAACACAATGAACATGAGGTCTGGATAACTCTAAAGCTAATCAGCTTTTATTAGTATCTTGAAATTAAAATGACGACAATTGCCAATTTCTTTTTCTTTTTTTTTCAGATGGAGTTTTGTTCTTGTTGCCCAGGCTGGAGTGTAATGGCGTGATTGCGGCTCACCTCAACCTCCGCCTCCCAGGTTCAAGAGATTCTCCTGCCTTAGCCTTCCCGAGTAGCTGGGATTACAGGCATGCACCACCATGCCTGGCTAATTTTGAATTTTTAGTAGAGACGGGGTTTCTCCATGTTGGTCAGGTTCGTCTCAAACTCCCAACCTCAGGTGATCTGCCCGCCTCGGCCTCCCAAAATGCTGGGATTATAGGTGTGAGCCACCACGCCCAGCCAACAATAGCCAATTTCTAAGTGATTATTCTGGGTTTACCATCTAAAGTAGACTGATATAAGGTAGAAAGTAAAAAGCTCATGCTTCCAGAAATTTACAATGCTCAGGTTAAGTCCTCAAACATCTATATCACATTAAAAAGACTTAGATGGCAGCCCAGAGATCACCAACAACTGATAGCTGGCGTGGGTACAAGGGAATTTTCTCTGTGCTACCCTTGTATAAACCGAACCATTTGAAAACCTTATATTTAATCTGGATTAGGACAAGTATTTTCCTACTAGGATTAGATAGCAGTGGTCAATATAGTACATGAAACCTACACTACTCACATACTTGAAGTTTACCAAATAAGCATCAAATTATATCTTGGGAAAGCTACCGGTTGGTACAGATACACATACTTGAAGTAAGGAGCTGGTAAACAATTAAACAAAGGCGTTAAACATTTGGAGCCCTTAAGACGGTGTGTACTTGGAAAGGCAGTGCTAAACAGGAAAGTGATAAATTAATCCAGTCTTCTGTTCACTTTCAAAAGTGCCTAGAGTATTAATAACTCATTCTGCTTATAAGCCCTTACTTGTACAACACGAGCATGTCAAGGCATTCCAATAATATTTTTTAACCAACAGTTTAAACTAGCAGAAGTTCAGTGGAGAGTCAAACAGATTCTGAGCTTTATGGTTTATCAACTCATAAGTTACTTAGTCTTTCTGAACCTTTGTTTCCTCAACTGTAAAATGAGAGTAAAAACCTCCCTATAGGGATCAGTCATAGCAGCTCACGCCTGTAATCCCAGCATTTTGAGAGGCCCAGGCAGGTGGACTGTGTGAGCCCAGGAGTTTCAGACCAGCCTGGCCAACATGGCAAAACCTTAGTCTCTACAAAAAATTAGCTGAGCTTAGTCATGCGTGCCTGTTGTCCCAGCTACCTGGGAGGCTGAGGTGGGAGGATCACCTGAGCCTAGGAGGTCTCTGCAGTGAGCCATGATCACACCACTGCACTCCAGCCTGAGTAAGACCCTGTCTCAAACAAAGACCTCCTTAGAGGGATATTGTGTGGATAGAATATTTTATATACAGCTTATCACAGAGTAGGCCTTCAAAAAACGGCAGCAATTGCTATTAGGAACTGTTGTCTTACTACTAATAATGATAAAAAAGTAAACATGTTAGTTCTTCAAACATAACTGGTAAAAGATCCACCAACTAAAAAAAGAGGGATGGGATGCGTCATAAATTTATCAGTTTTTGTTTTATACCAAACAATTAAGATAAGTTGAATTTAATTTGGTTTGATAGTAAATGGTTAACAGTGAAGGCAGAGCTCTTCATTTTTCTCAGGGTGATGGTCAAATAGTTGTAGCAATGTCCAAGATTAACTTTCAATTCGTTGAAAAATTAAAAAACAAAAAAACAAAACAAAAAAAAGGGCCGGGCGCAGTGGCTCACGCCTGTAATCCCAGCACTCTGGGAGGTCGAGGCGGGCGGATCACCTGAGGTCGGGAGTTGGAGACCAGCCTGGCCAGCATGGTGAAACCCTGTCTCTACTAAAAAGACAAAAATTAGCCGGGCTTGGTGGCAGATGCCTGTAATCCCAGCTACTCGGGAAGCTGAGGCAGGAGAATCTCTTGCACCCGGGAGGCAGAGGTTGCAGTGAGCCGAGATCCTGCCATTGCCCTCCAGCCTGAGCAACAGAGCAAGACTCCGTCTCAAGAAAAAAAAAAAAAAAAAGCAATCTGCCCCTCCCCATGAGGTTTCTTTTAACGTTTCTCAGTATTATAAAAGAAATACCTGCTGAGGTAAAGTCAAAATAATCAAAATGACTTTAAAAGTTTCATTTCATCCTAATCTTTTTTAAACGGGAAGATAATATGCTTTCTAAAGCATATTTTAAAATGAACAGGAACCACAGCAAGGGAAGTTTTAAAAAAAAAATTACATCCAGCCTTTTTATCTATAAAAACAAAGCTTGTTACAGAACAAACACGTTCACAGTAAAAGACCACTCGCTGAGGCACGAACTGAAGAAATGCTACTGTACTTACAAACCGCTTCTAGCCACATCACATTTGGCTTAGATCACATAAACGAACCACTGATACTGTAAATAACTGCTATTAAGTGAAAATGCGGGGGGAAGGCGAGGGTTGACTAACTTCATAGAGAAAGCTTTAAACTCTCAGGCTATTTCTCAAACATCCAACATCCTTTATCCCGTGGGATAAGTGTAATACAGTGTGGTACTATTAGAGCACTCTTCAACATTAATAGTCGCACCATTCACCCACTCCTACCTACTTGCAGGGCGCCAAATGTCCTCCCTAGAGACCCAGGGTAGGGAGCGCTGAGCACTGCCTCCTTGCCTCGTCTGCAGGGACAGACTGTGGCCCTCCAAGATAAGGGGCGCAGAGAGTTCCTAACCGAATAGGCTGCTCGGAGAGCAGCTGCCAGCCAACCCCTGGGAAGGCAGCTGTGGAAGTGGAAAGGCAGCCAGGGGTCTTTGCCTGGCGTAAGAAAAAGGTGGTCGCTAGTCTTCCCAGGGCACGGGAGTCACAACGTCATGGTAACTAACATACCCCAAAAACGGGTAAGGGAGAAAATTTGGCGCAGTGCTCCAGGTGCCTGGGCAGAAGCCTTCGGAAGGGCCAGATACTGAGGGTACCCTCGGGATAAAGGGAAGAGTCTAAGAAAGACAGGGTGGACGCCCGTGCAGTGAGGAGCTTCCCAAACTAGGGATGGCAGTTCTGTCTCCGGAGGGGACGAGACACCCCCTCCCCCGCGCGAGCCTTCCCGGGTGATCTCACACGTTCCACAGGCAGGCGCTGCGGGGCAGAGACAGCAGGTCCAGACAACGGGCCGCGGGGCCAGGGCGCAGAGGGTCGGCGGCTGCCCACGTGCCCAGGCCTGAGGGGCAGAGGCAGGGGTACCCCGTGCCCGCAAGGGAGAACCAGGACCCAGCAGGTCCGCGCTCCAGGGGCCCCTCTCACCTGCTTCGTCTGCAACCTTGGAGTGGCGAGGAGAAGGGAGCTGGTGCTCGCAGGGTGCCAAGCAGGGAGAAGACCACCGTCATCTCCCGCCCCCAGCCCTCTTCGCCGAGCGCAACCGGGTGCCAGCTGCAGCAGCTTAGGCACGTTCCGATAAAGTAAGGTGGGGTAAGCCGATGCGGCCCTGTCAGCTCAGCCCCTCGCCGGCCGCGAGGCCCCGCCCCCGCCCCGCCTTCAGGCCCCGCTCCCTCCCAGCCCCGCCTTCAGACCCCGCCCCCAGCCCCGAACTTCCAGCAAGACGGGCCGCTTCCCGCCCTCGAGCCCCGCCCATTTCCAGGAGCCTTGAGCCCAGAGTCTCCGTCCCGCCCTCAGGCCCCACCCACAGCCTCGGGCCTCCGAGCCACACGTTCCCCAACCCCGCCTTCAGTCCCCGCCCCCTCCTCCAGCCTCGGAGCCCCAGGGTACCCGGCCCCGCCCTGCCGGCTGGGAGCCTCCCAGCCGCGATCCTCCGGGGCGGGACTTCCGGCTTCCCTGCTCCCACAAAATGGTAGCCGCCGTGGGGGATGTCCAGTTTTTTTTCCTCTTCCCAAGTACAGACGCAGAGCAGACTTGTCTTTCCGCTTAACCTCAACCTCGTGTGATCTGCCAGTTTCGCTCCCGGTTAGCCCAGGACTTTTTATAGCATAGAGTTTTAAAGCAAGGGCTTAGAATCAGACCTGGGTCAAAATCCTGCCTTCCACCTTCACCAAGGCAGTGTGACCTTGACGTTCCTACATAAGAGATTAAAATGTAAACCCTTAGCCCTGAGCTTGTTTTAGAATCTGGGCCCCGTCCATGACTGCTTCTATTCTATTGCGGTACGGGGGTGGGGTGGGGGTGGGGAACTACATGCATGTCCACTCAGTATACTGAAACTGGTTACATTGATGGAAAACTTCCAAAGCTTCTTGAAATAAAGGTATTGAAACTATCCTCACAGGGTTTATAAGAATTCTGGACAAAAATATAATTAAGCATTAATCAGGCTACACTTTGACCCACTTCCTTGTAACCCGAAAGTCGGGTAGAGCTAGATAGTACATTTGTATCCCGTTGTCCCTATAGATAGGCTTTCTGATGTTAAGAGTCGTAAGGCTTTTTAAGAATTGCTTAAAATGTTTTTCAGACGCCAAATTCCAGCGAAACAGCTGATGCCAGCCAGCTTGAAGACCCCTGCCACAGAAGAAGGGAATCAGCATGAGAATACAGCTTCTTCATCTCGCTGTCCCATGACTTCGCCCTGTACTCTTCAGCCAATTAATGATCTCCACACTTGGGACCACTCTAAAACCCTTAAGAACCTGAGACTCAAAGTCCTCCTGGAGACGAATTTGAGGTTTCCTCCTATCTGTGTTTGGTGGCCCTATGATTAAACCTCTTTCTCTTCTGCAACCTGGTGTCCCAGTGTATTAACTTGCCATGGGCATCAGACAACAAACCTATATATAGTATCCCAAATATGGTGCTCCACTTTGAAACCTGAAGAAATCCTGCAATTGAGTTAGCCTTTTGAAATAAAAATTATTTCAAATTTTAAAATATTTATATATGTTTCCACTTAAGATATCTACAAGCATTTGTTTACAACCTTTTATCTTGCTTTGCATCTTAAACATTTCTGTATGGCAATTTCCGTGTCTTCCTATCATCTCGGCCATCTTAGTGCAAAGATACAAAATTGTGTGGCTTATTAAGAAAAATTACAGTAAGCTAAGGGTAGGTTAAAGGATCTGAAACTTAGCAGGAAAAATGAGCAGAAATTAAAGCTATAAAAGGCATGGATCCTGCTCCAGTTCTCTTTGCTTCTCCTTTGTTCTCTGTCTTCCTCACTTTTAACTGCCTTCTTTGTTTCCCTTGAACCTGACTACTTAAAAAAAAAATTGAAGATCTAAATTATCTCAAGGCTAAAAGGATTTTTGTTTAGGAAGTATGAAGATTAATTCAATTAAATAAATACTTATTGAGCATTGACTATCAGGGGAATACTGGAAGATAGGCCTGCAGAGGTAAGTTACGGTCAACCTGTAGGAGGTTCCTTGGGTTAGTTTGAACCTTATCCTTTGGCCACAGTAAAACATGTAACTTTTCTTTCCCCACAGGAACATGTCAGAATGATCACACTATTTGTGGGTGTGTAATCTGGAAGCTGTACCATGATTAGTTGAAAGAGAGACTGAAGGCAAGAAAAACAGTGTGGTGACTTGGAGAAGAACCAAGACATAAGGAAATGAAGACCTACTCTTGGGTGATGACAGTAAAAATAATGGAATAGGCCTGAGAGACAGGAAAAGGGAGAACTGATGAGACTCAGTTACTGATAGGGCTAAAGAGGAGGAAGGACAGGGCAAGGTGGCTCACGCCTGTAATCCCAGCACTTTGGGAGGCAAGGCAGGAAGATCACTTGAGCCCAGGAATTCAAGACCAGCCTGAGCAACATGACAAAACCCCATCTCTACAAAAAATACAAAAATTAGGCTGGGCGCAGTGGCCCAGGCCTGTAATCCCAGCACTTTGGGAGGCCGAGGTGGGTGGATCACCTGAGGTCAGGAGTTCGAGACCAGCCTGGCCAACATGGTGAAACCCCATCTCTACTAAAAATACAAAAATTAGCCGGGCGTGGTGGTGTGCGCCTGTAATCCCAGCTACTTGGGAGGCTGAGACAGGAGAATCGCTTGAACCCGGGAGGCAGAGGTTGCAGTGAGCTGAGATCGTGCCATTGCACTCCAGCCTGGTGACAGAGCAAAACTTGGTCTTTAAAAAAAAAAAAAATTAGCGGGGTGTGGTGGCACACACCTGTGGTTCCAGCAACCCAGGCAGCTGAGATGAGAAGATTGCTTGAGCCCAGGAGGCGAAGGCTGCAGTGAGCCAAGATCGCACCACTGCACTCCACCCAGAGCAACAGAGTGAGACCCTGTCTGAAAACGACAAAAAAAAAAGAGAGAGAGAGAGAAGGAAGGATTTAACAAGCTTATGTATTTCCTCATCCATTAAAATAAAGAAAAGAAATTGAGCTAGAGAGCTTCTAGTATCCTGTCCAGCCATAAAATTTCGTTGTTTTCTATTATTCTGTTACCTGAAAATGAAAGGAAGAACTATTTCAGTGGGAGAAGCAGTTTCAAGGAGAAAATAATGAATGTGGTTTTAGACCTCAAATCTAAAACCTTGAGAAATTTTCTAGTTCAGTTTTCTCTCTTGAAGTTATCATCCTCTCCATCTGAGACTCTAGGAGATTAAGCAGTTGGTCTAAGAACACTCAACTAGTCCATGACAGAGAATGAGAATAAAAGCCCCCCCGTCCTGTAAACAAACTTCTCATAAAGGCATCAGCACATGTATGTAGAGATTTCCGGTAGACCCCTAGGGAGAAAACAGAAAAGAGAGAGAAAGAGCAGAAATAAAGATATGGTTTGAGAAGACATCCGTACAGAATTGATGAAGTTTCTTGTGGAAACCTCATTGGTGAGGTTTCCTTCCACAGAGCAGCTTGTGGAAGGAAACTCTAAGAACAAAATGTAAACAAAGATGAAAGACTTCATTAAAAAGTCACCCTCAGAGAAGTAGTTACCAATGAACGCCACGAGAAACTAACTTAATTCCACTGCCATATCTGCTAATCATTCTGTGAGATGCTGACTTATTCTATACTATTAACTGGAAAAAATGAAGAAAAGCTAAAAGTAATGCAGAATAATGGAGGGAAAACTGTAAATTAATCATAACTTTCATTTACAAATAAGTGGGACCTATAAACTTCAAGCACACTGATATCCCGATTTCCCTCAAGTCCCGCTGATCAAAATTGACAGGAGAAACAAACCAAATGGTTTGATACAATGACAAAGGTCATGTAGGATATATGTTGAGGCAATATGATGTACATGTGGATTCCTGGTGAATTTTATCTTTTCCAAAATGAAGTACTTCTAATGTTTCTTTCTATGAAAGTAATAACAATGATAACATATTCAGATAATACAGAAAGGAATGAAGAAAGTGAAAATCATACCTATGGATAACTTCTTTAATATTATACCATATATGTATCATTTTATGCAAATATAGATTATTTAAGAAAAATAGGATTATACATATGATTTTCATACACATGATTTTAGTCACTTCTCATTTAGTAATACCTTTTTAATCCATAAACAATTTATTCATATAGATAGATTTATATCATTTTTAATGCCTATTAAATACTCCCTAGCGAAATTTTGAGGATGATCTTCTTCGAAAAAGTGGAAACTGGGCCATCTATAAAGTCTAATCAAAGTTGAGTAAAGCATAGAAAAATAAAAGAGAGTGACTTAAAATGTGCTGTTTGAACATGTCTAGTACGATGCCAGATTTTGTTTAAAAACTTTTAGTTTCTTTAAAACTCCCCTTCCCCTTCCCAATAGCATCATTTTCTCTTTAGGGATTCATGTTTCCAGAGAAGTTGACTTCACTCTCCCTTCAGAGATGATGTAACTAATGTAGGCTGTCCAATCAGTGTATTTCATCCCTTTGCACTTAATGATTAGTCAGGGTAGGCACTGATCCTGAAGTAGCTCAGCTGAATAATTTTCAGGACTTTTGCAGAGAATGCTGATCTTCTCTTTCTTGCTAGACAAGAGGAAGATGCCGACAGCCATTTTAGAACCATAAGAGAAGCCAGTCTTAGAATGGTGCAGAGACCAAGGTAGCCACAGCAGAGAGAAGGAAATAAACAGGGACCTTGATGACATATTGAGTTGTGGGGTCAAGCCCCACCTAAAGCAGCCTCACCGGTTGGCCTGTGGACTCTTCATTGATGTGTACCAATCAGTTTTCTTCATTGTTTAAACAAGTTTGAGTTGGGTTTTCTATTACTTAAAATCAAATGCATAGGAAAAATGCTAAAGGAAAATGCAACAGTAATTATCTCTGAGTGGTAAGAATACACATGATTTAAATTTTTTTTTTCTGTGCAGAAAAGTTTCCCTTTTTCTTGATAAAATTAATATACAAAGTATGTATTTTGGCTATATGAAAATCTTCTAAAACAAATTTTAAAACGATGATCGTTTATTAAACCAGGAATATATATGAAATCCACCCATAAAATAGAATGATTTAAGAGCATGGATATGATGCAGCCTATGACCTTAGAGAAGACAAAGGCCTTGCTTTTGTTGATCTTTGTATTCTCAGCATTTAGAATAGTGCTTTCCCTGACATATGGCAGGCATTCTGTAAATGGTTTTTGAATGATTTAATAAAACATAATTGCCTATCAGCTATCTAGGAAGTTGGATTGTAACTATGGGAAGTATTTGATACAAGCAACTGTGACATAGATCTTTTACAGTAACTGGATTTCTTGTTTCCAGCTTTTCACTTGGCCAAGTTTTATAGCTTTATTTAAATATTCCCCCTGGCTAGACACAGTGGCTCACACCTATAATCCCAGCACTTTGGAAGGCTGAGGTGGACAGATCATGTGAAGCCAGGCTGGCCAACAGGGTGAAACCCTGTCTCCACTAAAAATGCAAAAATTAGCTGGGTGTGATGGCGCGTGCCTGTAATCCCAGCTACTTGAGAGGCTGAGGCAGGCGAATTGCTTGAACCGGGGAGGCGAAGGTTGCAGTGAGCCAAGATCACGCCACTGCACTCCAGTCTGGGCGACAGAGCAAGACTTCATCTCAAATAAATAAATAAATAAATATTCCGCCAAATTGTTGACTCCTTTTTGTGATTGTAAATGCTAGAATTAAATAATTATTTCTGATCTGTCAAGTTAAAACCCTGAGTATTATCTTTTAATATACATATATATGTTTATGTGTGCATAAATATACGATAGCTTTTTTTTTCTTTCGATCTGCTACTGAAATATTCTCACAAAAGCAATAAAGTGGAACCTAAACATCTCACGTGGCTATTGATCTTGTTATTGACCCCAAGAAAGGCTCAAATGTGATTAAATGGGCAGAGGCTTTTGTCTAGGCCAGCACTTAAGAAGTTAAGCAGAGGCCGGGCGCGGTGGCTCACGCCTGTAATCCCAGCACTTTGGGAGGCCAAGGCAGACGGATCACTGAGGTCAGGAGTTCAAGACCAGCCTGGCCAACATGGTAAAACCCTGTCTCTACTAAAAATACAAAAATTAGCCAGGTGCAGTGGAACGCGCCTATAATCCCAGGTACTGGGGAGGCTGAGGCAGGAGAACTGCTTCAACTTGGGACACGGAGGTTGTGGTGAGCCCAGATCATGCCACTGCACTCCAGCTCGGGGGCCACAGAGCAAGACTCTGTCTAAAAAAAAAAAATGTTAAGCAGAAAAACAATGAAACCAGAACTAGCTTATGAAACTGAAAGTTAAATCGATGACTTACGTAAGATAGGCTGCAGAAATCATACAATAGAAGCATGGTAACTTTGGGGGCCGCACCAGTCTGTTTCAAGACTTAGCTTCTTGATACTTGTGGTTTTGTTTTGACCACTTTTTTTTTGAAAGGAGTTAGAGATCAGGAACATGAAGATGAAAAACAAAAAAATACACTTGTTCCTACTTCTGAATTGTTCATTTAAAAGTGGGCTCACTAACAAATTTATTTAATAGGCAGCCTTTAAAGAAATAATATTTTAACTGTGCAGAGCACTTTCTAATTTGAATAATGCCTAAGTTGAAAAACTAAAACTAACCAACATTGTAAAACACAAGCAGGAAGTGGAGAAATCTCAGATTTTAACCTTGACTTTAGATTAAGAATGTTTTTAGCTGATTCTAGTTAAAACATTTTCGAGTAAATAGCTAGCTCAAAAAAAGGCTATCACATCCTCAGCACAACAGTGAAGCACATACCTCAGGTGCATTCTTCCAGTAGAGGAAATTTTTCAGGGGTTCCAGTCTCCTTCCTTCCTTGAAGGGGCAGGTCCTCTATCTGTGTTGATTTCTGTAGTCTCTTCAGTATCAGAACAGTATTTGGTAGAATAGAAAGTAGAAACTTGATCAACTTTTGTTGCCCTACTAAATCTTACAATAGAGCTAAATAAGTTGGTGACATTTTTGTATTTAGAGAATCACTCAAAACAGAAACACCTGTTCTTTTTTTTTTTTTTTTTTCCTCGAGACAGTCTCACTCTGTCGCTCAGGCTGGAGTGCAGTGGCACGAGCACAGCTCACTGCAGCCTCAACGTCCCAGGATCAAGTCATCCTCCCACCTCAGCCTCCCGAGTAGCTAGGACCACAGGATGCACCACCACACCCGGCTACTTTTTGTATTTGTTTTTGTAGAGATGGGGTTTTGTCATGTTGGCCAGGCTGGTATGAAACTCTTGGGCTCAAGTGATTCGCCCACTTCAGCCTCCCAAAGTGCTGGTATTATAGGCATGAGCCACCACGCCGGGTCCCTGCTCTTTCTTAGACTGCTTCTTTCCGCTATTAACAAAAGTAACTGATAGAGAAGAATTATCAAAACTCAAGTGTCTACATGGCAGCAGAGGAACTAGACAATTTTTATAAATGACAGTGGCTGAAACAGGATAAATCATGGGGACTCATCATTGATATTACATAGACTAAATATGATAGTGTTCCATTAATTAATTCTACAAATATTTAAATGTTCTCAGAATTTCAAACATTATTTAGACTTTTCTTCACCTTAACTCTTATGTAAGCTTTCCCTAGACCTTCCCAAAAAGTTGAGACAGGAAAGGAAACTTAAGACTTCTGAAACACAAGAGCATTCACCAGGCCTACTCACTAAGAGGTCTGGACACTAGATTGGAGATTGTTACTCTTGGAGAACAACCTTGATAAAACTATGCTTCCCAGTGCAGTGTGAATTGGGGTCTCGGTCTCTATAGTCTATAGCTAATAGCATAATTAACTATATCAAGTCTGACCTATTATTAGTCCAAATGGCGTAACTCAAATCCTGTCCCATAGGTTTATTATACTCATATATTTTGGAGACAATAAGATGTTTATAGTAATGTTAAAACTTGAGGCCAGGCACAGTGGCTCACACCTGTAATGCCAGCACTTTGGGAGGCCAAGGCAGGAGGATTGCTTGAGCCCAGGAATTTAAGACCAGCCTGGGCAACAAAGTGAGCCCTCATCTCCACAAAAAATAAAATAATTAGCCGGGTGTGGGAGTGTATGCCTGTGTAGTCCCAGCTACTCGAGAGCCTGAGACAGGAGGATTGCTTGAGCCCAGGAGTTTGAGGATGCAGTGAGCTCTAATCGCATCACTGCACTCCAGCCTGAGTGACAGAGTGAGACCTTCCCTCTAAAAAAAAAAAAAAAAAAAGACAAAATTCCTAGAGGATTCTTAAAAATTTCCTTTCATATATTGTCTCAGTGGCTGGTCAAGGATTTGTTGTTGTTGTTGTTTTAACCCAATAGTCTTTGTCAAACCAAGAACTGGTATTGAAAATTTCAGCCCAACATTTGCCATAGTGAATAAATCATTTATCCTACAGGAAAAAGAAGATCAAATCTGAGGGCAATTGAAGCAGTTTTTAGAAATCTTCAAACCACAAGCAGACATCCCAGTGAAATTCAGAAGTCCTTGTCTGAATCTCTCTTCATAACCATTTTAGTCTCACCCATCCAGCCATGAGTGTCAAAAATTAGAGTCTGTAGGTAACGTTTGTCCAAAACCAGTTTGTCCAGATTTCCTCTGTTAACTTCTGAAGGTGGTAAGCAGGGAAGGAGCATGAGCTCTGTTACAGAGAACTTAGCCTGTGTGAAGGTTAGAGAGGAAAAAGCCTTCGTGGGATTAGCTAGACATTCCAAACAGTGTAGAACATCAGTAAGAGTAATAGCAAATTAACTGAAGAAGAGGCAGTTGTCTCCTCAGCACTCAGGGAAATAACAGAAGGTTTGTATCAGTCCCATTGAGGCTGGCGACCAATGGGAAGCTGTTGCTAAGGAGACGGCTGGTGCAAGGATTACTACAGGCAGGATGAAGGGAGGAGGGTATGGGTTTATGCATTTGCTCCCATTCCTTGTTTCCTCTTTTAGGCTTGATGTGCTTCCAGGCTCTCGATCATTCTTTCTCTTTCTCAGCATTTTCTCACTGTCTCAAGTCTTCTCATTTCATTGTTATTACATGCTAGGGACTTGGTGCTACCAGGCTACCTGCTTGCTCCATACATTATTTGTTCAACATGATTTGCATATATGGGTTACTGATCAAGAACCTAGGAAGGTCAAGTGAGCAAACAGATGGAAGAATAAGGGGGCGGGGACAGTCATAAAGATTGAGGGCTATTACAGATCATTCTACCAAAAGCTTAATCACAGTCAAGAATCCAAAAGTTCTGTCACAGTAGTTCTCAACTGGAGCTTCACACCAGAATCACAGGGGGAATATAATTTTTAAAAACATGGATGCCAGGGCCCAGCCAGACTTTACTCAATCAATGCCACAGGAATCAGGTCCAAGGCCTGTATTTTTTCCGCCAGATTCTGCAGATTATTCTATTGCAAATTCCTAGTTAAGAGCTTCTGATTTAGGGAATAAACCAGAAATTATGTCTTTTTTTTTTAAGAGACGAGGTCTTGCTTTGTCACCCAGGCTGGAGTGCAGTAGTGTGATCATAGCTCACTGCAGTTCCAAATTCCTGGGCTCAAGTAGTCCTCTCGCCTCAGCCTCGGAGTAGCTAGGTGTGCGCCACCACACCCAGCTAATTTTTTTTTTGTAGAGACAGCGTCTGGCTATGGTGACCAGACCGGTCTTAAACTCCTGACTTCAAGCAGTCCTCTTGCCTTGGCCTCCCAAAGTGTTGGGATTATAGGTGTAACCCACCATGGCCAGCCTGTAAGTCTGTCTTAAGAGTAAGTAGGAATATTTATCTTAGAGGAGGGCAAAAAAATTTTTCTATGGTCTCAGTGCTCATTGGGAGAAATATGTTTTCATCATTAAAAAAGGGCACATTGAGTCTGGCATTTTCCATTAGAAATCCATTTCAGTAACTGTTTTCCTATGACATTGTTCCTCATGTGAAACCCATTTCTTTTGATTTGCTCTTTGTGAAGAAAAACAAAACAAACCAGTTGGCTGTCTTCATTCCTTGTACATATACACCATGTCTTCACTATGATGTCATTTCCAAACCCCAGTTAGAAAGTTCACATTATAGGTAAAACTAGGTGAGGTAATATTCTGACACATTCAATAACTAAGCCAATACATTGAATGTGTTGTCGATTATGTAGTAAAACCCCAGTGTAGTCTTTTCACCATCTCTTAAAGCTTTGGTTTTTGAGAAACAATTATAATTCCTCTTATCTTTCTTCAGAGATGTTATTTTCTAAAATTTGGCTTTTTAATAATCTTTTCCTTTATAGTTTGTGCATTTGGTATCTTTTAAAGAAATCCTTCCTTGCATCAAGGTCATAATGATATTTACCTACGTTTTCTTCTAAAAGCTAAATGTTTTGTAAAATTGTTTTTCTTTGTATCATTTTTCAATTCTCATCTGTTATTAGAGCCCCACTCTAGATCCAGAATGTACAAAGTTTCTGTCCCACAGAGAATAATACTTCTGCAGCTCCTGCTAGAGTCTGGATCAAAAAACTCTCAATGTAGAATAAAGTGAAATAGGAGTGTTCAAAGAGATTTTAAAATTTATAAAATGTGGTAAAAGAAGATAGCAGATGGCTGGGTGTGGTGGCTTGCACCTGTAATCCTAGCACTTTGGAGGCCAAGGTGGGAGGATTGCTTGAGCCCAGGAGTTTGAGACCAGCCTTGGCAACACACTGAGACCCTGTCTCTATTTATTTAAAAAAAAAAAAAAAGGGCCAGGTGCGGTGGCTCACACCTGTAACTCACTTTGGAAGGCCAAGGCAGGTGGATTACTTGAGGTCAGGAGTTCTAGACCAGCCTGGCCAACATGGTGAAACCCTGTCTCTACTAAAAATACAAAAATTAGCTGGGCATGGTAGCACATGCCTGTAATCCCAGCTACTTGGGAGGCTGAGACAGAAGAATCACTTGAACCTGGAAGGTGGAGGTTGCAGTGAGCCAAGACCATGCCACTGCACTCCAGCCTGGGTGACAGAGCGAGACTCTGTCTCAAAAAAAGAAAAGGTAGCAGAGCAGTAAGAGCAGTATCAGCTAATGGAAATATAAATTATCTTAAAGCCAACCCTCCAGAGATACTGAAGAGATGAGGCCTTAAACCTTGAGAAGAGTGAGCAAATGCAGTATGTGTGGTCTAATGGCCAGTAGCCATGTTGTGGATAAACTTATCACATGTTTGTCAAATGTCTAGCACAGATATGCTTATCATATATTTGTCAAATATCTAGCAGGACCTTGAAGATGCCCTTGAAGAAAAGTCACTTCACAGTCCCATGTCATGGCTAATAAGTAGCCAACCACTCAGAGTGAGGTGAGGTGTTTCATTCCTGTAATCCCAGTAACTCAAGAGGCTAAGGCAGGAGGATCATTTGAGGCCAGGCGTTCAGGATCAGCATGGAAGACACAGTGAAGCCTTGTCTCCAAAAAACAAAGTCATCTCAAAGACAGAACTCTTTGGTGGTACACTCCTGTAGTCCTAGCTACTCAGGAGGCTGAAGTGGGAGGATCACTTGAGCCCAGCAGTTTGAGGCTGCAGCAAGCTATGATTGCACCACTGCACTCCAGTCTGGGTGACAGAGTGATGGTCTGTCTCCAAAAAAAATTAAATTAAAAAAAATTAAAAATAATATAAGAAAGAAATCCTTGGATACAGTTCCTAGGTGTCCCACACAGCTGAACCCTGCTATGGCTCCAGCCTCCCATGTCCACCTGCTCCCTTAGGTCCTTGGCTCAACTTTGGAACTGGTTGTTGCACTTTGGGCTCCAGCCCTTGTGCCGCTCTGTGAATATCTATCACCTCCTGTCTTCTGCCTGCCCCAGTGGTGCTGCTCTATTATTGACTTGGCTCACTTGTACACTCAGAATCAGAGGGACTTCGTGATCCCTAATATCACCTCAAGCTGATACGAGTAAGCTTCTAGCCTTACCTGACCCGCTGTTACCTGGTGGAGACTATTGCTTGTACTGGTAAAGCCAAACCATTATGAGAGCTCCACATACTCAAATGGTCTTGATGACAGTCCTCTAGCAAAGGAGGCATTTCCATAGATACGAAATCATCTGTTTTCAAAGGTGTGACCTGTGTTAGGCTACCCTGGGCTGAGTAGGCCCATCCTTTGTAGGAAGACCTATTTTCCTCCCACCAAGTGACTCTGATAGTTTGGTGGGTTCGAGGGATGATTCCCCTCCTCACCAGCAACCGACTTCCCTGCTGTCCACTATAAGAAGTGTTACTTCTGGCTGGGTGCGGTGGCTCATGCCTGTAATAGTAGCTCTTTGGGAGGCCGAGGCGGGTGGATCACCTGACTTCAAGAGTTTGGGACCAGTCTGGCCTACGTGGTGAAACCCCGCCTCTACTAAAAATACAAAAATTAGCTGGGCGTGGTGGCACCTGCCTGTAATCCCAGCTACTGGGGAGGCTGAGGCAGGAGAATCTCCTGAACCCAGGGGGCGGAGGTTGCAGTGAGCCAAGATCGTACCACTATACTCCAGCGTGGGCAACAGAGTGAGACTCCATCTCAAAAAAAAAAAAAAAAAGAAATGTTACTTCTCTTCTGTCACTGCAACCCTGCCCAGGACTGCCTGGGCCTCTGGACGTGGGAGTGAACTGACAGTGCTGGCTCAGCTGCCTCGGCTGGCAGGGCAGATGGCCCTTTCCTTCCTCACTATTTTGTGTACTTTCCCCCAAAGTTTACCTCCTCAATAAAAAGGCACTGCCTGACAAGCTTTCCTTTCTGCCACTTCCAAATTCTCTCTGCCCTGGAATAGCCAAGGAATCTCACACAGTCAGGCTCTGACATCTTGGATCCCCTAAAATCATTGCCTGTGGGCTCTCCTTTGTGCCATGCTGCAAACTCCCCAGTGGTTAGCATTCTACATGGAAGCAAAATTTGTGCCTGGAGAAATCTCGGGCCATAGGTCTGACCTGTCACCAGGGTCCCTGTAGCAGCGTAGGGCCCTGGCCACCATAACAGCCACTGAAACTTTGCTTCAAGAATTATAGGTGTAGAGGACTCTCCTCCTGCTTCCTTAAGTCCCAGTGGACTACTAGCACTCCTGGTGTTTCTTCTCTGAAGGTAAACCTTGTAAACCAACAAGTATCTCAGAGACGTCTCCATCAGTTTAGAGGCTTATTTTGCAAATATTAAGGACCATGGTCTGTGACACAGCCTCAGGAGGTCCTGAGAACATGTGCCCAAGGTGGTTTGGTTACCGCTCAGTTTTATGCATTTTAGGGAGACAGAAGTTACAAGTTAAAAACATAAATCAATACATGGAAGGTATATATTTGTTTGGCCTGGAAAGGCAGAACATCTTGAATGAGGTGGCTTCCAGGTTATAGGTGGATTCAAAGATTTCCTGACTGGCAATTCGTTGAGAAGTTAAGCTTCACCCCTTAAGAGTTTGAAGTCAGCATAAAGAAATTCTTGAGTTAAGATAAGAGGAGTTGTGGAAGCCAAGGTTCTGGTCATGTAGATGAAGCCTCCAGGTAGCAGGCTTCAGAGAGAATAGATGGTAAATGTCTCTTATTGGACCTTAAAGGCATCAATCTTTCTGGAAAAGACCTAGTTATGGAAGGAGATTCTCTACAGAAGACACATTTCCCACAAGAGACAGCTTTGCAGGGCCATTACAAAATTTGTCAAAGAAATATATTTTGGGGTGAAATACTTTGCTTTCCTTCAGGGCCTGTGATCTGCCATGGGATGCTATACCAGAGTCCAGTTGGAATTTGGTATCTTACTGCTACAGTCTGTTGTCAGTCTTTTGAGTTAGTGCTGGTCAGTTGTGCCTAAACTCAAAAGGCAGGAGGGTAAAAGAAGGTGTATCCAGCTTTGCCATTCCCATCATGGCATGAAGTAGTTTTTCAGGTTTCTTTGGGATCCTGTTGGCCAACAGAAGGGTCTATTTAGCCAACTGGGGTGCTTAGAATTTTATTTTTGGTTTCCATTCTCCCCTTTCTGGCCAAGATTTGCCAGAAGCACCATCAATGGCCAAACTTTTATTTTGTTGCGCATTGTTGCCACGGCGGTGTGGCCACCTGACCTGCACCCATCCTGTCCCTTGCTGGGACCTCCATAGCCAAGACACTTAGATCTAAAAGACTCATAGTCAATTCAAGCATTCTAGGCCAGGCAGGAATGGAGGTGGGCAGGCGTTCATCAAACCTTTAAAATCTTCTAAGTAATATAAGAGTCAAAAAGCCGAAAGGCAAGTTTACAGAACTGATTTATCTATAAATTTTATGCATTGAGCTACTGCAGTCTTGGTTTTAGTTACAGACTTGTAGCAATTAGCTATACAGAACATAAGCATTTTGTTAAAACCATTTAAACTAGAGAGTTTAGAGACTTTGTTGTATTGCAACACTTTTTGCAGTCTTTTTAGTAATTTGTTCTAAGATGGCTAATAAAAAAATAATAAGATCTCCCCAGGCACAAAAACTATACATAATTATATCTGTCTATCTTCATAAATCTCATAACTGGGAGCACTATACCCAGGAAGCTTTTTGTCAGTTGATATCCTCTCTGCAATTTTCTTTTAACTCTACTGGAAGTAGGAAATTCTTTATGGTTGGGGTAGATGGAAATGGGCCACAGAATGACCCAGGAGGAAAAGTCTCTCATTTTGTCAGCTGTTTAGGCATCTGCATACCCACCCTTGATGTGGAGGTTCTGAACTAATTCTGTCCCTCATAATCCATACTTACAATCCCACATGCCCACTGCTTCCGCAGTAATCCCTGCCTAGAGGGAAGGTGCTTATATTTCCCCTAGAGGTAAGTTTTAGCAGTGGGACATTAGCAATGAAAGTAGATTCAGCCCAGTGGGATTCTAAATAAGTTTTAAATTTTGGAGCTTTCAGGTACAGAGAGAAAGGTAGTATTTGTTGCTTTACCCAATTTTGTAAGCTATAAATAGCTCAAAAAGAAAAAGGGGTTTTTCGTGGTTTTCCCATCCACTGCAGTGTTGGACCATAATCATGGTGGACATGATGGAGTTGCCCAGGTTGCGCATCAACGCTGGCACGCTAGCTCAGTTCATCGATAAGCCTGTCTGCTTCGTAGGGAGGCTGGAAAAGATTCATCCCACTGGAAAAATGTTTGTTCTTTTAGATGGAGAAGGAAAAAATGGAACCATCAAACTGATGGAACCCCTTGATGAAGAAATCTCTGGAATTATGGAAGTGGTTGGAAGAGTAACCGCTAAGGCCACCATCATGTGTAAACTTATGTCCAGTTTAAAGAGGTAACCATCCTTTTGATCTTGGACTTTACAATGAAGCTGTGAAAATTATCCATGAGTTTCCTCAGTTTTATCCTTTAGGGATTGTGCATCATAATTGATCTTGATGGATTTTCATATGATTGCAAATGAGCTATATTAAAGACTATTAAAGGAAGCCCCTCTTGTTTGAGGGAGAGATTTCTGTGCTTTCTCATATTTAATTTGCTCTTTTTAAGGTATTCCAGCCTAGAGTTTTTGATGGAACTGATATATTGACAGGTCTCACCTAAGTCCTTTTATAAAGAATTGCTACTCCAATTTATGGTCAGATTATATGCAAGAACAAAGCAGTTGTCTGAGTTTAGGTTTCTATTTTATTAATAAAAACTAAAATGGTAAAGAAAAGAAAAGAAAAGAAAAAGCGGTTTTTGTTTGTCTGTTTTTTCTACTGTGGAAAACAAAACAAAAGGACATAAGCCCTGCCTGGCTCTGACAATGACAGGAAAGGGAAACTGACAAACAACAAGTAAACATTTAAATTATCTAATATTAAGGCACAGAACAATGATTTTAATTTGGATAGAGGACTGTTGCCAGGCTGGAGTGCAGTGGCGCAATCTCAGCTCACTGCAATCTCTGCCTCCTGGATTCAAGTGATTCTCCTGTCTCAGCCACCTGAGTAGCTGGGATTACAGGCGTGTGCCACCACACCTGGTTAATTTTTGTATTTTTAGTAGAGACGGGATTTCACATGTTGGCCGGGATGGTCTTGATCTTCTGACCTCATGATCCGCCCGCCTTGGCCTCCCAAAGTGTTGGGATTACAGGCGTGAGCCATCGCACCCAGCCGAGGAAAAATTATTAAATCAGTATTTATGCTTTTGAATATAGGTCTTGTCCAGTGTGATTTAAAAAAATTTTTTAGCTGAATTAAATTTAAGAGTTTAATTGAGCAATGAATGATTCACGAATCAGGCAACCTCATGAGATAGGCTCTGAGACTGCAGCACAGCCACGTGGTGGAAGAAGATTTATGGACAGAAAAAGTAAGGTGATGCACAGAAAATACAAGTGAGGTAGAGAAAAAGCTGGATTGGTTACAGGTTGGCATTTGCCTTATTTGAACAGTTGGCCTTATTTGAACAGTTGAACAGTTGGTTACATCTGATTGCCCAAAACTCGGTGATTGGCACAAGTATAGGCTACAGTCTGTTTATACCTCTGTTTGTTCACAATATACAGAGAAACCTTTAGGCCAAACTTAAAATATGTAAGGAGGCAGCTTTAGGCTAAACTTGTTTTAACAAGTGTAACATGAAAGTGGTTTCTTTTGGCTGTTACCATCTCTCAGGTCTGAGGATGAGGTTTTGGTTAAATTAAGTTTGCTGCCAGATAACAGTATTGACATTTAAGATTTACTAGGAGTCAAGTGTTCCTTTGAGATGACATAGGAGTACCTAGGAGTCACACCCCTTCAACTTAACAGCACAAGAGCTAGTTAACATATTTGATAAAGACCCTATTTAATGGGAATGGAGGGAATCTCTCAACTGATGTCTAATCATCAGGCTGGAGGTGATGATACTAAAGTTTATCTTAATTGGAAGCTATAGAAAGATTCTATAACCTTGGGGTGATTTTTATAGTTCTGATAAGGTCCCAGCAATAAATCTAAGTCAGAGGCTTAAGTTAGGATTTGATTTTTGAGACTGTTTGTCAAAAAATGTTAAAAGACTCAAAACATTTTATTGAAACAGAATCACGGGTCATTATAAAATAATAGTTATTCACTTAACCAGAGTGATAATAAAAAGACTTTATTTTTATTGTTATTATTTTTGAGACAGTCTTACTCTGTTGCCCAGGCTGGAGTGCAGTGACCTAATCTTGGCTCACTGCAACCTCTGCCTCCCTGGTTCAAGGGATCCTCCTGCCTCAGCCTCCTGAGTAGGTGGGTTTACAGGTTCACGCCACCACGCCCAGCTATTTTTGTGTTTTTAGTAGAGATGGGGTTTCACTATGTTTCCCAGGCTGGTCTCAAACTCCTGGCCCCAAGTGATCCACACACCTTGGCCTACCAGAGTGCTGGGATTACAGGCGTGAGCCACCGAGCTGGCCAAAAGACTTTAAAAGCTGTATAGGAAGTTATATGGATGTAAAAACCTTAACTCTTTTAAAGTTTAGTTTTTAAGAGTAATTTTAGGACGGGTGCGGTGGCTCATGCCTGTAATCCCAGCACGTTGGGAGGCCAAGATGGGCAGATCACGAAGTCAGGAGATTGAGACCATCCTGGCTAACACAGTGAAACCCTGCCTCTATTAAAAAAAAAAAAAAAAATTAGCCGGGCTTGGTGGCGGTCACCTGTAGTCCCAGCCACTCGGGAGGCTGAGGCAGGAGAATGGCGTGAACCCGGGAGGTGGAGGTTGCAGTGAGCTGAGATCACACCACTGCCCTCCAGCCTGGGTGACAGAGCGAGACTCTGTCTCAAGAAAAAAAATAAATAAAAAATAAGTAATTTTTAAAAACCTGATAAAAACAACATAGAAATTATCTTAAAATTTTTGTTTCTTAGGCTAGTTGCCAAAAAGGAGGAAAAAAAACCTCTTCTACAGTGATTGTTTTTCCTTATGGGAAGCCCATTTGGATAACCTGAATGTCAGACTTGCTGAAAAGATAAATTAATCAGACACACAGAAAGAGTGTGTCCCAGGTTGAGTGACCACTATATTACAGAGGCCTTGAGGGGGGAAATATGTGACTCTTAGCTACAGCATGGGAAGTTGTCTGGTTATGTTGACCACTTTAGACGTATCTTGGGCTTCAGAAAACAATACCCCAAAATGATAACTGTGAACCCAGAAAATCTGAGACAGGCTCAGTTAATTTAGAAAGTTTATTTTGCCAAGGTTGAGGACCTGCCCATGACGCAGCCTCAGGAAGTCCTGACGACATGTGCCCAAGGTGGTCAGGGCACAGCTTGTTTTTACACATTTTAGGGAGGCATGAGACATCAATCAATGTAAGTAAGAAGTAGGAAGTTGCTTGGAAAGGCAACTTGAAGCAAAGGCAGGAGGACCGGAAGTCCGGAGGGAGCTTCCAGGTCACAGATAGTTGAGACACAAATGGTTGCATTCTTCTGAGTTTCTGACTGGCCTTTCCAAAAGAGGCAGTCAGATATGCACCTATGTCAGTGAGCAGAGGGATGACTTTGAATAGAATGGGAGGCAGGTTTTGCCCTAAGCAGTTTCCAGCTTGAGTTTGCCTTAGAGATTGTGGGCGGCCATGGTATCTTCCTTTCACATAACCAAAGGAGCAGCCTCAGAAGTAAAAGTTTCTCTTTGGCCTTCTCCTGCCCTCCTGTTTCTCAGTCCCATTTTCCCTTTAGGCTGGCTATAGAAACTAGAATCTTTCTTCCCCAAGGTGGGCCCCAGAAACCACAGCCCATTTTCATCAAAGCCAGCCATAACACTTAAAAATATTCCTCTAATTTTTTCTCCACTTTACTGTGTGAAAACTGGCCATGAAGAAATTCTCTGAACTTCCTTGTTGGACTATAGGTTATAAGACCCCTACACCCAGAAGGATGGAAATGCATACTCAGGGAGGTGAAGAAGAATCTAGGCAGACAGGCCTTGCTCCTTTCCCCACACAGTCTACTAGCGTTCAATTGTATCTGTAGTTTTTTACAAGGCTGTTCATACTTTGTTGAACCTAAGCATAAAAATGAACAATTTTCCCTGTATCTTGGGTCTTTACTCTGAAGATTGTCACATATATATGCCAAACAAATCTATACGCTTTCTCTTCAACCAATCTGTCTTTTGTGAGTTGATTTTTTTCAGCAAACCTTTGGGGGGGCCCTTGGCCCCTAAATATGTTAGAAAAAGCCAAGAGTACAGAATTAAGTTATACTGGAGGAAAATATGGCCTTCTTTTTTTAATTATTATTTTTTAATTTTTAATTTTTTTGAGACAGGATCTTGCTCCATCACCCAGACTGGAGTGCAGTGGCGCAATCTTGGCTCACTGCATTCTTGACCTCATGGGCTCAAGCAATTCTCCCACCTCAGCCTCTTGAGTAGCTGGGACTACAGGCGTGTGTCACCATGCCTGGCTAATTTTTTTAAAAAAAATTTTCTGTAGAGATCAGTGTTACTATGCTGCCCTTGCTGGCCTTGAACTCCTGGGCTAAAGCATTTCTCCTGCCTTGGCCTCCCACAATGGCTGGGATTACAGATGTGAACCACTATGCCCAAAATATTGCCTTCTTTAAAAACTTTCAAGATAAAACATTTTACATCAGGCCATAAAAACAGATTTAGAACTGGAGGAAAAAGAAAAAAAAAAAAGTCACAGAAGCCAACAAAATTTGAAGGAGAGCATTACCATCCTAGGCCTTTCCAAAGGGATAAAAAGCTGAAAGCAGCAGAGTATGGCAGAAGGTGAACTTCTGAGATATCAATCTGAGAAATTTTAAAAAGAAGCAGATTAGGGAAGTCGAGCAAGATGGTCAAATAGAAGCATCCAATGATTATCCCTCTCACAATCCCCTGCAGGAACAACAAATTGAACAACTATCCACATAAGAACACCTTCATAAGAACCAAAAATCAGGTGAGTAATTATAGTGCCTGGTTTTAACACCATATTAAAGAAAGAAGCACTGAAGAGGGTAGGAGAAACAGCCTTGAATCACCTACATCACCCTTACTTCATCCCCTGGCAGTGCATAGAGAGACCCTGTGCATCTGGAAGAGAGAAAGCACAGCGAGTGTCGGGGGCTTTGCATTGGAACCCAGTGCTGCCCTGTCATAGTGGAAAGCAACATGGGGCAAAACTCAGCTGGCACCCACAAAGGGAGCATTCAGACTAGCCCTAGCCAGAGGCAAATCATCCATCCTAGTGGTGGGAACCTGAGTTCTGGCAAGCCCTGCCATTATGAGCTAAAATGCTCTGGGGTCCTAAATAAACATGAAAGGCAGTTTAGGTCACAGGACCTCAATTCCCAGGCAAGGCCTGGGCTGTGCTGGCTTCAGGTCTGACCTAGCACTGTCCCATTAGTGGTGACCACAGGGGTGCTTGTGTCCACCCTCCCCCAGCTCTAAGCAGTCAGCTGAGAGAGAGAGACTTCATTTGTTTGGGGGAAAGTAGGGGAAGAGAGGAAGAGTCTCTGCCTATTGATCCAGGGAACTCTCCTGGATCTTACCCAGGTGTTGTGCTGGGCTCAGAGCCAGGAGACTTAGGAGACACACAACCCAGTGAGATACCAGCTGGGGCAGCGAAGGGAGTGTTTGCATCACCACTCCCCCAGCCCCAGGCAGTGCAGCTCACAGCTCCAACAGAGACTCCTTCCCATTGCTTGAGGAGAGAAGAGGGGAGAGTATAGAGGACTTTGTCTTATAACTTGGATACCAGCTCAGCCACAGTAGAATAGGGCAACAGGCAGAGTCCTGAAGCCTGCATTCCAGTCTCTAGCTCCCAGACAACATTTCTAAACACACCCTGGGCCAGAAGGAACCTACTGCCTAGAAAGGAAGGATCCAGTCCTGGCAGGATTCATCACCTGCTGACTATAGAGTCCCTGGACCCTGAATAAGCAGCAGCAGTAGCTAGGTAGTACTCTCTGCAGGCCTTGGGTGAGACTCAGAGCTGTGCTGGCTTCAGGTGTGACCCAGCACATTCCCAGCTATGGTGGCTATGGAGAGAGATCCCTTCTGCTTGAGGAAAGGAGAGGGAAGAGTAAAGAGGATTTTGTCTTACAGCATGAGTACCAGCTCAGCCACAGTTGGGTAGAGCACCAAGTGGACTCCTGCGGTCGCTGATTCTAGGCCTTGGCTCTTGGACGGCATTTCTGGACCTGCCCTAGGCCAAAGGGACCACACTGTCCTAAAAGGAGAGACTAAGGACTGGCAGAATTCACCACAAGCTGACTGAAGAGCCCTTGGGCCTTGAGTGAACATGGTGGTAGCCTGGCAGTGCTTGCCATGGGCCTGGGAGTGAGTGGGCTATGGTGGCCATGGTGAGAGACTCCTCTTCTTGAAGTAAGGGGAGGGAGATGTGGAAAGGACTTTGTCCTGTGGCTTGGGTGCCAGCTCAGCCACAGTAGAGTAGAGCACAAGGTAGATTTCTAAGGTTCCCAACTCCAGACCCTGGCTCCCAGACAGCATCTCTGGACCCACCGGGAACAAGGGGAACTCACTGCCCTGGAGGGAAGAACACAAGCCTAGTTGGCTTTGCCACCTGATGATTGTAGGGCCCTTGGTGCTTGAGTAAACACAGGCAGTAGCCAGGCAGTGGTCACTGCAGGCCTTGGGTGAGACCTAGGGCTGTGCTGGCTTCAGGTCTGACCCAGCACTGTCCCAGTGGTGGTGACCACAGGAGTGCTTGTGTCAACCCTCCCCCAGCTCTAAGCAGTCAGCTGAGAGAGAGAGAGATACTTCACTTGTTTGGGGGAAAGTAAGGGAAGAGAGGAAGAGTCTCTGCCTACTAATCCAGGGAACTCTCCTGGATCTTACCCAAGACTACCAAGGCAGTACCTCTATGAGTTTGCAAGAGCCACAGCATTGCTGGGCTTTAAGTGCCTGCTAAAGCAGATATGGCTGCAGTGACCAAAGACTTAGATCACAACATTCAAGTCCCTTTGAATACCTGGAAAGCCCTCCTAAGAAGGATGGGTACACACAAGCCCAGACTGCAAAGACTATAATAAAAACCTAACTCTTCAATGCTCAGACACTGACAAACATCCACAAGCATCAAGACCGTACAGGAAAACATGACCAAACGAAGTAAGCAAGTCACGAGAGACAAATCCCAGAGAGACAGAGATATGTGACCTTTCAGACAAAGAATTCGAAATAGCTGTTTTGGTGACGTTTAACAAAATCCAAGATAACAGAGAGAAGGAATTTAGAATCCTATCAGATAAATGTAACAGATTGAAATAATTAAAAAAGAGTCAGACTGGATGCAGTGGCTCATGTCTGTAATCCCAGAACTCTGGGAGGCTGAGGTGGGTAGATCACATGAGCCCAGGAGTTCAAGACCAGCCTGGGCAACATGGCAAAACCCTGCCTCTACAAAAAATACAAAAATTAGCCAGATGCGGTGGTGCACACCTGTAGTCCTAGTTACTTGAAAGGCTGAGACAGGAGGATCTATTGAGCCCAGGAGGTCAAGGCTGCAGTGAGCTGTGATCATGTCATTGCATTCTAGCCTGGGCAACAGAATGAGACCCTATCTTAAAAAAAAAATCAAGCAGAAATCCTGGAGCTGAAAAATGCAATTGACATAATGAAGAATTCATCACAATCTCTCTCTCTCTCTTTTTTTTTTGAGTGCAGTGGCATGATCTCGGCTCACTGCAACCTCTGCCTCCCAGGTTCAAGCGATTCTCCTCCCTCAGCCTCCCGAGTAGCTGGGATTACAGGCGAGCACCACCACACCCAGCTAATTTTGTATTTTTAGTAGAGACAGGATTTCACCATGTTGGCTAGGCTGGTCTCAAACTCCTGACCTCAGGTGATCTGTCCACCTTGGCATCCCAAAGTGCTGGGATTACAGGCGTGAGCCACCACACCTGGCCAACATCACAATCTCTTAACAGCAGAATTGATCAAGCAGAAGAAAGAATTAGTGAGCTTGAAGATAGGCTATTTGAAAATACACAGTTTGAGGAGACAAAAGAAAAATGAATAAAATAGAATGAAGCATACCTACAAGATTTAGAAAATAGCCTCAAAAGGGCAAATCTAAACTACTGGCCTTAAAGAGGAGGTAAAAAGAGAGATTAGGGTAGAAGTTTATTCAAAAGGATAATAAGAGAGCTTCCCAAACTTAGAGAAAGATATCAATATTCAAATACAAGAAGGTTATAGAGCACCAAGCAGATTTAACCCAAACAAAATTGCCTCAAGGCAATTACTAATCAAACTCCCAAAGGTCAAGGATAAAGAGAGGATCCAAAAAGCAGCAAAAGAAAAGAAACATACAAAGAAGCTCCAATATGTTTGCAGCAGACTTCTCAGTGGAAACCTCACAGGGCAAGAGAGAGTGGCATGACATAATAAAGCTGCTGAAGGAGAATGCAACATTTAAAACTTCCTATAATTCAATTTTATTAAGAGTAAATCAACACTTTAAAAAAATCTTGGGCTGGGCGCAGTGGCTTACGCCTGTAATCCCAGCATTTTGGGAGGCCCAGGCAGGTGAATCATGCGAAGTCAGGAGTTTGAGACCAGCCTGGCCAACATGGTGAAACCCCATCTCTAATTAGCCAGGCGTGATGGTGCATGACTGTAGTCCCAGCTACTCAGGAGGCCAAGGCAGGAGAATCACTTGAACCAGGAGGCAGAGGTTGCAGTGAGCTGAGATCACACCACTGCATTCCAGCCTGGGCTACAGAGTGCAACTCCATCTCAGGAAAAAAAAAAGAAAGAAAATATGTTGTTCTAATCAATTATTTAGTGTCTTAGTGTGTTTTTAATATCAAAGCCCAATCTCTAGAAAGATGATTATAATTTCCTTTTAATTATAGACACCTTAATCACATACAAAATTTCTTTCATAAGTTCTCCTTTTGTGAACCTTAACGTGACTTACACAGACCATTTATGACTTGCTTGGACTTTCTGTTTTGTCCTAAGCATCCCTCTTTTTAAAATAACCAGTCATTTTACCATTTACCAGGGTAAAAGGAGGCATGTCCAAACTTGCCTTTCCCATCATGGCCTGAAGTAGTCTCTCAGGTTTCTTTGGGATCCTGTTGGCCAAGAGAGAGGCCTGTTTAGCCAACTGGGGGGCTTAGAATTTTATTTTGGTTTACAACCTCCACTCAACTAACCCCTGAGTTACAGTTGCTCTGTAAGGCCCATGTGACATTCTACTTACAGTTCACAGCTCTCTCCTGGGCTTACAGGTGAGGCTTAGGTCACAGGCACATGCTAACTTCTGGCAAAAAATGCAGAGGGCCACTGAGGGTGCCCCACGGTGTGATGACTACTCCTGACTGATCTGGTCTGTGTGCTGTAAACTCCTGAGGTTTATCGGCCAGAGAAGGAACGCTGGCCGCTGGCCACAGTTCATTTAATTCATTTTATTTTATTTTTTTTTTTTTTGAGAAGAAGTTTCGCTCTTGTCGCCCAGGCTGGAGTGCAGTGACGCGATCCTGGCTCACTGCAACTTCCACCTCCTGAGTTCAAGCAATTCTCCTGTCTCAGTCTCTCCTGTAGCTGGGATTACAGGCACCCACTGCCACGCCCAGCTGATTTTTGTATTTTTTTGTAGTAGAGATGGGGTTTCACCATGTTGGCCAGGCTGGTCTTGAACTCCTGACCTCAGGTGATCCACCCACCTCAGCCTCCCCAAGTGCTGGGATTACAGGCGTGAGCCACTGTGCCCGGCCCATTTAATTAATTCTATCAGTGGGAACGAAGGTAAATTCCGTGTTCTTCCTCATAATAAGGTCTCATAGTGTCTTTATATATGTTTTTAGTGTTTTTACCCTTTAACTGTTAACTTTTGCATTTAACTAAACCTACAAAGCAACCCAAAAAGCCCAAAGTCCAAGATTTATCTCTGATCACTTCCTGGACTTTCCACACTTACTAGAGAACAAAGCTCACTCCTGCTTTTCCTCCATCTGCCTTGTCAGTATTGCCAAGAATTTTAGTTTTGTTTCTTAAAAGAACACATAAGAATTCAATTCTCTCAAGTTTTAAAAACATATTACCCTCATATTGCTACTCATTTCTGTGCCTGCTGCTCTTTCCTGAGTCTGACTCCTTCCCCCCGGGCTCTGGGAGTGGTGAGGACGTACACAGGCTTCAAAGCCAGGCTGCCTGGTGTAGAGCCTTGACTGCCACTTTACAGCTGTGTGATCTTGGATAAGTAACTCAACCTTTCTGTGCTTCAGTTTTCTTTTGTGTAAAATCAGGGTAATTATAGTAGCTCCCTCAAGATTGCTGTGAGAATTAAATGACTTTTGGGCTTTGAACACTATCTTTGCATATAGTAAGTATTCAATAAGTGTTTGCTGTTATTATTATTTTTCTATACTATGTCCTTTTCATCAATGGTCTTTCAGTTATAGTTCTCAGGTGCTTTTAAATGATAGTTTATGTGGGTACAGATTTTTAGGTTGATGGTTATTTATCATCAGCACTAACTTCCATTATTACCGGTTGTCCTCTGGCACTTGTTTTTGGCGATGAAAAGTCAGGGGTCCATCTAATCATCATTCCTTTGTAAGCAATCTCTACTTTCTTTCTGGGAGCTTTAAGAGTTTTCCTCTTCAGCTTTGATTTTCTGTTGTTCCATCGTAATGTGTAGGTGTAAGTTTACTTTCACTTTTCCTGCTCTGTACCTCCTGTTACTTTTAATCTGAAGGATTCTGCCTTTGTCAAAGTCTATCAGTGTATTAGCTATTATCTCTTCAAATAGCACTTCTCTTCCATTTCCTTTGTTCACTTCTGGGACTCCTGTTTGAAGTAGTTTGGAACCTCTCCACATATTGTCTGTGTCTCTCAATGGCTATTTTCATATTGGATAATATTATCATATTTAATATTCACTATTAGCACAGTTAGGATAATAAAGAAGTGGGTCGTTATATTTGAAGAGTGTCCAGGAAGTTATGTTTTCAAAATTATCTCATAAAAATCATCATCTGCCTGATACTGCTCTTGTCTAATATAGGGCTGCCATTACAAAGGAAAAGATGTCTGACTCAAGCATTCAGTTGATTCTGTTTGCCTTACGTTTGGTTCAGTGATAGGTTATCCCTAAATCATGAAGACCTCTGGCCAACTCCCATAGTCCTCTTCTCTCTCTCTTTTAATAGATGAGGAAACTAAGGCCAAACAGTTCATCGACTTCCGGAGAGACACGTCTGTAAATCTTATTCCCCTCTAGGGCCAGCATGTTTTCATCTTCTCCTTTGCGGCCACCTGAGACCAAACTAGCACCATCTCTCACCTGGACCACTGCAGTTAACTGTTCTTCTACACCCATTTTTGTTCTTTATTTCCACCCACATGGGTCAGTGAAGCCAGAGTGACCTCTTAAAAATAAAAATCTGATCATGATTTCCCCTCCTAAAACTCTTTTTTTAAAAAATAGACTACTTTTTAGAGCCAGTTTTAGGTTCATAGCAAAATTGCCTAGATGTTCCACAGTTTACTTATTCATTCACTTACTGAAGGACATCATGGTTGCTTCCAAGTTTTAGCAACTATGAATAAACCTGCTATAAACATCAGTGTGCAGGTTTCTGTAAGGACGTAAGTTTTCAACTCCTTTAGGTGAATACCAAGGAGCACAACTGCTGGATTGTTTGGTAACAGGATGTTTAGCTTTGTAGAAAACGACTAAACCATCTTCCAAAGTAGCTGTATCATTTTGCATTTCTACTAGCAATGAATGGAGAGATCCTGTTGCTGAACATCCTCATCAGCATTTGGTGCTGTCAGTGTTTCAAATTTTTTTGTTAGTATTAACATGGTATGTCTTTCTCCATCTGTTACTTTTAATATTTACATGTCTTTATATTCAAAGTGGGTTTCTTATAGACAACATATTGATAAGTCTTTTATGAACCACCTTGACAATCACTGTCTTTTAATTGGTATATTTAGGCCATTGATGTTAAAGTGATCATTGATATAGTCTGATGGACATCTACCATATTTGTTACTGTTTTCTATTTGTTAAGCTTATTTCTTTTCTTCTCTTTCTTTCCATGCCCCTTGCCAGCGGGGATCTATTTTTTGTCTGTCATTCTTTTTCTGCCTTTTATGGTTTTAAATAAGCCTTTTATGTTATTCCATTTTCTCTTATTTTTTGGCTATACTTCTTTTGTCACTTCTTTATAGTGATTGCTCTAGAGTTTACATTATACTTTTACAACTAATCCAAGCCAACTTCCAAATAACCCTATACCATTTCACAGGTAGAGTGAGTATCATATAAGAGCAAAATAATCCTAATTCCTCCCTCCCGATCTTTACATAATTGCTGTCATTTATTTCACATATATAAGTACATATAGACTATGATATATATGTAATATATAATGTGCATATATGTATAATATACCGAACATATACATAAGCATACACAATTGAATGCATTATTTCTGTTATTATTTTGAATGAACTGTTACCTGTTAGGTCAATTAAGAATAAGAAAAATAAAAGTTGGGTGGGCATGGTGGCTCACACCTGTAATCCCAGGACTTTGGGAGGCCAAGGCAGGCAGATCACCCGAAGTCGGGAGTTTGAGACCAGCCTGATCAACATGGAGAAACCCCGTCTCTACCAAAAATACAAAATTAGCCGGGTGTGGTGGCGGGTGCCTGTAGTCCCAGCTACTTGGGAGGCTGAGGCAGGAGAATCGCTTGAACCTGGGAGGTGGGGGTTGTGGGGAGCCGAGATTGCACCATTGCAGTCCAGCCTGGGCAACAAGAGCAAAACTCCATCTCAAAAAAAAAAAAAAAAAAAGAAAGAAAGAAAGAAAGGAAGGAAGGAAGGAAGAAAGAAAGAAAAATTTTTTTTTTTGAGATGGAGTCTCGCTCTGTCACCCAGCCTGGAGGGCAGTGGTGCAATACCTGCTCACTGCAGTCTCCACCTCCCGGGTTCAAGTGATTCTATGCCTTAGCCTCCCAAGTAGCTGGGATTACAGGCATGTGTCACCACACCTGGCTATTTTTTGTCTTTTTAGTAGAGACAAGGTTTCACCCTGTTGGCCAGGCTGGTCTCGAACTCCTGGCCTCAAGTGATCCACCTGCCTTGGCCTCTGAAAGTGCTGGAATTACAGGCATGAGCCACTGTGCCTGGCCTCTCCTTCACTTTTGAAGGATAATTTTTCTGGTTGCAGAATCTTGGGTTGGTGGTCTTTTTCTCTCAACACTTTAAATATTGCACTCCACTATCTTTTTGCTTGCATAATTTCTGATTAGAGTTGGATATAATTCTTATCTTTGGTCTTCTGTAGGTAAGAATATTTTTCCCTCTGGCTTTTTTAGAATTTTTCTTTCCTTTGATTACCTGTAATATAAAAATGATATGGTGGCCGGGCATGGTGGCTCACGCCTGTAATCCCAGCACTTTGGGAGGCCAAGGCGTCACAAAGTCAGGAGTTCAAGACCAGCCTGGCCAAGATGGTGAAACTCCGTCTCTACTAAAAATACAAAAATTAGCCAGGCGTGGTGGCGGGAGGCTACTTGGGAGGCTGACGCAGAGAATTGCTTGAACCCAGGAGGCAGAGTTTGCATTGAGCCGAGATCGGGCCACTGCACTCCAGCCTGGGTGACAGAGCGAGACTCTGTCTCAAAAAAAAAAAAAAAAATGATATGGCAAGGAGTGATTTTTTGCCCTTATCCTCTTTGGGGTTTTCCAAGCTTTCTAGATCTGTGGTTTGGTATCAGACATTAATTGGGGGAAATTATCAGATATTGTTTTTTCAAATATTTCTTCTGTTCTTTTCTGTCTTTCTTCTCATTTTAGTATTCCCATTATGAGTTTGTTATACCTTTCGTAGTTGTCCCAGTTCTTGGATATTTTGTACTGTTTTGGGGTTTTTTTTTTCAGTCTTTGTTCTCTTTGCTTTTCAGTTTTAGAGGTTTCTACTGACGTAGTCTCAAGTTCAGAAATTCTTTCCTCAGCCATGTCCAATCTGCTAACAAGCCCCACAAAGACATTCTTTATTTCTGTCACAGTGTTTTGAAAATCTCTAACATTTCTTTTTTTTTTTTTTTTTTTTTGAGACAGAGTCTCGCTCTGTTGCCCACGCTGGAGTGCAATGGGGTGATTTTAGCTCACTGCAACCTCTGCCTCCTGGATTAAAGTGATTCTCCTGCCTCAGTCTCCCAAGTAGCTGGGATTACAGGCGTGTGCCACCACGCCCGGCTAATTTTTGTATTTTTAGTAGAGATGGGGTTTCACCATTTTGGCCCGGCTGGTCTTGAACTCCTGACCTCAGGTGATCCACCCTACTTGGCCTCCCAAAGTGTTGGGATTACAGGTATGAGCCACCGTGCCTGGCCTGTTTTTGTTTATTTTAGGATTTCTGTCTCTGCTTACATTGTCCATCTGTTCTTGCACACTGCCTGCTTTATTCAGTAGAGCCCTTAGCATGTGAATTATTGTTATTTGAAATTCCCTCTCTGGTAACTTCAACATTCCTGTGGTGCCTGTTTCTTCAAACTGTGTTTTTTGCCTTTTAGTATGCCTTGTAATTTTTTCGTGATAGCCAAGCATGGTGTATTGGGTAGAAAGAAGTTATAAACAGGCTTTTAGTGATGAGGTGGTGAGGTGTGGTGGGGAAAGGAAGCTATATTTCTTAAGTTTTTCTCTTTGTCTCTTATCTAACGAGGACATGCTGGTCACATTGATATAGTTTAGACTTCCAAATGAATTCTCCCCTTCCAGTGACTCAGGCTGTCCCTCTTCTCCTTCTCACTGCCATCTCATATGCTATCACTTTGTGCCTAGTCTCCTGTCTGCTCCAGCTCCCTTCAGCATTTCCTCATTTCATGTGATTTCGCTGTGACAATGAAATACTTTCAATTTCAAGGGATAGATAACTCAGACAAATGTAAGCAATGGAAGTGATTTATTGGCTAAAAAGTCCAAGGTATGATAGGCTTCAGGGGAGGTTTAATTTAGTTGTTCAGCCATGTTATACAAGACCTGCCTTCTTTACCTTTCTCTTCTCTGTCTTCAGTCTTGTCAACTTCATTCTAGATCTTGCTTCTCTCAGAGTGGCAAAATGAATCTAGAGATTCAGGTTTCATATCCCTATACCATTCTGCCCAGAAGAGGAGAGAGTGTCCTCTGTGGTGGCTCTCAGAAAAGTAAGAAAGTGTCTTTCTAGAAGCCCCAGTGAACATCCTTTGCATGTTACTAGACAACATTTGCCAGATGCCCTTCCTGAATCAACATCTGTGCCTGCGAAAGAGCATGCACTAGTTGGCTTAGGTCTGGGTTGTATGAACCAATACTGTGGAAAGAGAGATAGGATAACCTGATGGACTTCGACTCATACAGCTGGGAGTGCAATCAGATTCTCCTTAAACATGTGAGAGAAGTAGGCATCTGATGGAAAACCTGGACAGAGTGTGGACCAAGGACAGGGAAAATGGATGCCAAGTAGCTAAAAATGCCCACTACCCTTGTACGTGGTTACTTCAAAAATCCTAATAAAACACCATTTTTATTTTATTGCTCTACTGCTCTAGCCCAAAGGCCAAGTCCAATCTGCCAGTGTTTTTGTTGTTGTTGTTGTTTATTTTTTTTATTTTTCGAGATGGGTTCTCCTTCTACCACCCAGGCTGGAGTGCAGTGGTGTGATCGTAGCTCACCATAACCTCAAACTCCTGGCCACAAGGGATCCTCCCACCTCAGCCTCCTGAGTCACTGGGACTGCAGGCATGAGCCACCATGCCCCACAGCCACCTGTTTTCTTTCTTCTTCTTCTTTTTTTCTTGAGATGGAGTCTCATTCTGTCACCCAGGCTGGAGTGCAGTGGCGCGATTTCAGCTCACTGCAACCTCTGCTTCCTAGGTTCAAGCGATTCTCCTGCCTCAGCCTCCCGAGTAGCTGGGACTACAGGCAAGTGCCACCACGCCTGGCTAATTTTTTGTATTTTTACTAGAGATGGGGAGATGGGGTTTTACCGGGTTAGCCAGGCTGGTCTCAATCTCCTGACCTAGTGATCCGCCTGCCTCAGCCTCCCAAAGTGCTGGGATTACAGACATGAGCCACCACACCCAGCCTATCTGTTTTCATTAGTAGCTTTATTGAAACAGCCATGCTTATTTTCAAAGTTTTGTGTATGGCTGCCTTCACACTACAATGAAAAAGTTGAGAGTTGAGATGAAGATTGCATAGTCTTCCAAACGAAAAATATCTACCACCTAGCCCTTTTCAGAAAAAGCTTACAGATCCCTGGCATAAAAGAGTAAATTTATTTTGTTTTATTTACGTATTTATTTTTGAGACAGGGTGTTGCTCTGTTGCCAAGGCTGGAATGCAGTGGTGTGATCTTGGCTCACTGAAACCTCTGCCTTCCAGATTCAAGTGATTCTTGTGTCTCACCCTCCCAAGTAGCTGGGATTATAGGTGAATGCCACCACGCCCAGCTAATTTTTGTATTTTTTGTAGAGTTGAGGTTTCACCATGTTGGCCAGGCTGGTCTTGAACTCCTGACCTCAAGTGATCCCCCTGCCTCAGCCTCCCAAAGTGCTGGGATTACAGGCCTGAGCCACTGCACCCAGCCTAAAAGATTAAATCTAAACTCCTCCTGGATTTCAGTCCTCTATCATCTATCCTCACTTTACTGACCTAATTTTATTGGCATTATTTACTGTATCTAAGCTCTCTAATCTGATCAAATCAGTTTACTCATCCACCCTAAATATTGCACAATCATTGTCCACTTTTCTCTTTTCTTTCGTTCATGCCTAATCCACCCTGGAATGCTCTCCTGTCTCATGTATCTTCAAAGGCCCATCTGAAGTCCATGGAGCCTTCCTTGTTACCTTTATCGGCACAGAGGCCTTCTTTCCTACCTTTATTGCCTCTATCAATCACACACTAAGGCATTCTGAGTCTGTATATATTTTATAAATATGTCATATGTATACCATCTTTTTTGTTCAATTTAATGTAAACCTCCTGAATATTAGTCTTAGTGATATAATATTTTCTATAAGGTATTCCCTTATAGAATTTCAAGTAACGGTGGACCAAGAAAAGGCACTTAACTAATAATTACTAGTCCTGTCAAACTCTACCTCACACATATCTAGAATTAGCCCACTTCTCTCCAGCTCACTAACTACTTGATTCTGAGCCCCATTTACTCTCATCTGGCCTGTGCTAGCCTCCCAGATGCACCCTACCCGCTTTGCCCCACTGCAGTTTTTTCCCACGTAGCAGGTGGACCCACTAAATGTTTAAATCAGCAGGTGTTACTCTCCTGCTTAAGATTCTCTACCGGGTGCGGTGGCTCACACCTGTAATCCCAGCGCTTTGGGACGCTGAGGCGGGCGGATCACCTGAGGTCAGGAATTTGAGACCAGCCTGGCTAACATGGTGAAACCCCATCGCTACTAAAAACACAAAAATTAGCCGGGCGTGCTGGTGCATGCCTGTAGTCCCAGCTACTCGGGAGGCTGAGGCAGGAGAATCACTTGAACTCGGGAGGCGGAAGTTGCAGTGAGCCGAGATGGCGCCATCGCATTCCAGCCTGGGGGACAAGAACGAGACTTCGTCTTAAAAAAAAAAAAAGATTCTCCACTTCTGTGATGTGTCTTAGAAAGTAAGTCATGAACTGTCTCTGCCTACATCTTCCAGTTTATCTCCTTCTGCTTGTCAATGGTCCCTCTGCTGCAGTTTCTCTCTGCTCCCTCTGCCTGGAATGCCCTTCCCTCAGCTCAAGAATGTCTGACTCCTCATGATTATTGGGTCTCAGCTCTCTTCTCCTTGCCTGACCACCAATCTGAACGGGCTCCCCACTTCCTGTCCATCATGTTAGGTCACATCATCCGGCTTTGCTCTCCTCTTGGCTCTGATCTCAACCCCAATATGTCTTGTTTACTGTTAACCCTCTGAGTACAAGCCCTCTGAGATTAGTGAGTCTGTCCCATTGGTTCACCCCTGTATTTCCAGGTCCTAGAATGTCCCAGCACATAAGAGGGACTCAATAGCTCTTTGTGGCATAAATGAACTAAACCATTCATAGATTTATTCTCTTTTGAAATAAAAAGGAATACACTGTCACAAAATGTATTCACTGTCACAAAATGCATTTGCCATGTGCCTATTCTCATGGTTTCACTTCTTAGGGTTTTGCCAAAGAATCTGCTCTTAGGGGTTGCATTAGGTTCACTGTCACAAAAATGCATTTGTATTCACAGTCACAAAAATGCATTTACCATGTGCTTATTCTCATGGTTTTACTTCTTAGGGTTTTGCCAAAAAATCTGCTCTTAGGGGTTGCATTAGGTTCCAATGGCTGCTATAACCAAGTGGCACAAAATGAGTAGCTTAAAACAACAGAAATGTATTCTGTCACCATTCAGGAGGCCAGAAGTCCCAAATCAAAGTGTGGGTAAGCTTAGTTCCTCCTAGAAGCTCCGAGGGAGAAACCTCCTCATGCCTCTTTCTTAGCTTTTGGCGACCCGGCAATCCTTGGTGTTCCTTGCCTGGTGGGTGCATTGCTCCAATCTCTGCCTCCGTCTTCACATCACTTGCTTCTCTGTGTGTCTCTGTGCTTGCTGTTTTGACTCTTATAAAGACAATCATTAGATTTACGGTCCACTCTAATCCAGTGAGGTCTCGTCTTGATCCTTAACTAATAACATCAGCAGTAACTCTATTTCTATACAAAGTTGCATTCTGAGGTTCTGCATGGATATGCACTTTTCAGAGACACTACTTGCCCCACGCTAGAGCTTTAGAATACAACACAGAAACTTACAATCTACTCTTGCTGTAATGTAATGCACATACGTTGTTTTTTCGGTGGCCAGCAACCAAGAGCACCCTTCCCAGGAGTACCCCAATTTCCTATTGCATCTTCCAGTTGGAGGACAGTCTTGATCGGAATGTAACTCAATATTTCTCATCTCCTCTCTGCAACCAAGGAGCTACATGTGACCCAAAGTAAGACAACTGGACTCCTGGGATAACTTCTTTTCCCAAATGTATGCTATTTTATGTTTTGGCAAACTTTCAAGAGAGCTTTCATTCCATACTAAATTTCCTTTTTTTTTTAGAGAGAGAAGATCTCTGTCAGTCACTCAGACTGGAGTACAGTGGTGCGATCACCACTCACTGTATGCAGTTTTGAACTCCCTGGCTCAAGCAATCCTCCCACCTTAGCCTCCCAAGTAGCTGGTACTACAGATGTGCACCACCACGCCTGGCTAACTTATTTATTTATTTATCTGTAGAGACACTGTCTCACTATGTTGCCCAGGCTGGTCTCGAATTCCTGGACTCAAGTGATTCTCTTGCCTTGGCCTCCCAAAGTGCTGGGATTACAGGCATGAGCCACTGCACCTGGTCTCACATATTTTTAGTACTATAAATCTGTGAATGCCCAGCAAACATCAAGCAGACTGTACTCTTGGAACTTTTCATCTTGAGTGGAGGCGCATAAGGAATGGGAAAATATTGGAACACATATACTGGAGGAGCAGCACCCAGATAAGATCCTTCAGTTGTTCATGCTGCCTGGACTCCAGGAATTGCCTTCATTCCTGTCTTGTGTCCTGATTTGGCTCTCCAGCCTCCCATCTATCCTGAGTTCCTAGCTAGCACCCTGTTAAAAGTCTCTTTTTGCTTCTGTTAGTCAGAATCCATTTCCATCATTTGCATCCAAAGACATTCAACTATTACACCGAGATCCAAGATTTTTTTCAGCACTGTCGCTGTTTTGCATATTTAGCTCTGAGTTCTGACATGCTGAGTTTACTACTATATGAGATACTACCTTCAAAATGTCAATTTCATCCAAACCCACACATTAGTGCAATTACAAGACAGTACATTAGCATTATTATTAATTTATTTATAACCCAGCTTGTTCCAAAAGGATTTCATTGTGTTAAATTATCCTACAGAGGTATGGCAAGAAAAAAAACATTTAAAATAAGGAACAAAAATGAAACAAAGGAAGAATAAGAGGTAGAAAAGTGAGATGAAGCCACAAGAGAACCTAATCCATAAAAATGGTTACTGCCAAGGCTAGACAATAGGTAGGGGAAAGATGCAGTATCGTGAAAAGGTCTGCAGGCTACAGTTGTTGCCATGGTATTTGGCAACAATATTTTCTATTTTTCATAGTTCCTTCTCAACCTGAATTTCTGTTAAAAGCTTGCAATCTCTCGACATTGAAATGGGACCATGAGATAATTAAGCAGTTGCCAAATGGGAACTAACTGAATAACAGAAAAGAATACATTTGCTTAAAGTCTTTACGTTATTACTTTAAAGATGGTAAAAACCCTGAGATATCTGCTTTAATCTTCATCTCTCTTTCTTTCTCTTTCTTTTGTTTTTTTTGGTTAATATTAGTCAAAACCTGGAAGCTGCAGTGCCTTATTTCAAGTTATGATTTTTTAAATTTTGCTTTTCACAATAGATGGACCTTGAAAAATTTATTCTGTTATCTGTTTTTACAAATTCAAACACTCTAAATGGAAGACAGAAACTATTTAAAAGAAGATTTATAGTCAATCTTTTTGCAAACCAGGCATTACATTTTTACTTATTATTTTAGCGATGTGGGGTTTTCACATGTTATAGAAATGTCAGTTCCCGTCTTGCAGTTTTTATCAAGAAAGCAAAGCTCAGATTTTAAATGCAAATACTGCATAAAGATATTGCTCATACATAGTAACATAGTAAACACAATCATGCTGATCTTCATTATTGTAATGACGATTTTCCCATTTTAATATTTATTGCATTTTTTTTTCTATCAAACCTTTTTCAAAAAGGATCGGAGGCAACTGTGGAATACATCACAAGTGCCACCTAGTGCTTCCTTTGAAAATAATGCTTTTTTTTTTTGGTCTTCAGAAATAGGAACAAAACAAGATGTAGAACACCCATGCTCGTAGGCTGGATCTTGCTTAAGTAGTTCTGCTTCCTAAAAATGAGTGCATTTGTTTTCAGCCAAAACATATGTTGAAAGAAGAATTTGGAAGTGAGTTTCCTTGACTGTGCTCAGACCTCCCAATACTGCTTGGTTTTAATTCTACATAGGTAGACATGGCATTAAGTAAAGGATGCTAAAGAAAGGAAACATAAAATAAGGAATTTCATTAAACAAGAAGTAGCAGTAATTATTTCAAAAAGTATTTTTTCCATCTCCCAGTAGGAGTTGGCATCTTACTAAGTTTGATTTCCATCATCATCATCATCATTATTATTATTTTTTGAGACTGAGTCTCGCTCTGTCACCCAGGCTGGAGTGCAGTTGCGCAATCTTGGCTCACTGCAACCTCCACCTCCCGGGTTTAAGCAATTCTCCCGCCTCAGCCTCCTGAGTAGCTGGGATTACAGGTGCCCACCACCATGCCCGGCTAATTTTTGTATTTTTGTAGGGACGGGGTTTCACCATGTTGGCCAGGCTGGTCTTGAACTCCTGACCTCAGGTGTTCCACCTGCCTCAGCCTCCCAAAGTGCTGGGATTACAGGTGTGAGCCACTGCACCCGGCCCCATCATCATTATGCCCCAAATGACTCCTCTTCCCCATTTTCCCCATCTATAAAGCACTGTGACATCATCATCACCACCACCACCATCAACCACACGCATCAGCTGAGTGCCTATGGTGGTAGGCCTCAGAGCTGGTTGTCAATAAAACACACTCAGGCTTTAGGCTCTGCCTTCAAGGAGCCTAAAATTAACCTGTGAAGAGGAAGAGGAAAAGAAGAAGGAGGAGGACAAGAATGAGGCTGAAAAGTATGTGTACAATGATCAAACAGCAATACTAGATAAAAGCTTTCACCATTTTCCTGGTTCACAGACCAGAAAACTTTGGAACCATCCCCTCTCCTCTATCCAATCCTGGTACTTGGGTCCTATAGCATCCTCCTTTGGAATGCCTTCCTGATTTGTTTTTTCCTTCCCTATTGTGGGTTTACTCCTCCACCTCATACCTGGAAAATGGCAACAGACATACCACTTGGCCTCCTTCCTCTCCTACTGCCAGGCTACCTTGCCTAAAATGCTGCCTTTAACTTTTCATTCTCTTCCTTAAGAACAAGTTGTGGCTCTCTGGTGCTTCTCAGACCACGGGTACACATCTCAGAGCCTAATTTTGAAGATCTTTCCTAATCTACACAGACTTTATTCAATTTGATGAGCCATTACACTGCAACACTAAATTTTTACTCCTAGAGAGCAGGTCTCTCTTTACATTGGAAGCAAGGGGGCACATTATGCTTTCATTTCCTTTTTAAAAAATTATGTTTTTGTTTTGTTTTGTTTTTTCTTTTCTCTTGAGATGGAGTCTCCCTCTGTTGCCCAGACTGCAGTGCAGTGGCACAATCTCAGCTCACTGCAACCTCCACCTCATGGGTTCAAGCAGTTCCCCCACCTCAGTCTCCTGAGTAGCTGAGACCACAGGTGCCCGCCATCATGCCCAGCTAATTTTTGAATTTTTTTAGTAGAGACGGGGTTTCGCCATGTTGGCCAGGATGGTTTCAAACTCCTGACCTCAAGTGATCTGCCCACCTTGGCCTCCCAAAGTGCTGGGATTACAGACGTGAGCCACCACTTCTGGCCAATGGTTTTTTTTTTTTCTTGTGGTATTTCTAGCTGCCTTTTTTTTTTTTTTTGCACCTCTTGTGTCATTTGCCTTTATAATATATTCAACCTTTTTTCAGTTACTTCATTTTATTACTTAAAACCATTCCCCTCCTCCATGTACACTTTTTTCACTGGTGACTTTCCTCCTGCGGCGTCACCTTCTCCTCCAATCTCTACTGGTTACTCTTTCATCTTGCCTCATAGCAAGTCACATTGCAACTTCCCTTTCCTGTTTTTTGGGTTTGTTTCACTGTTTTCTGGATCACTGGTCTTCCCCTTTCTTCATTTTCTCCTTGTTTTGCTGCAGAATATTTTTAAGCAATTTCCCAAAAATGGGCACATGGGAGGTAATTGCTTCAAGTCCTTGCATGTGTGGAAAAGTGTCTTTATTCCACCTTCACACTTAATTGTGCTTGCCTGGCCACACTATTGCAGTTCATAATCATGTTACCAATAACAGTAGCTATTTCCTCGTTGTGTTTTAGTACCTTTTTGTCTTAGTCCGATTGTGCTGTTATAACAAAATATCATAGACTGGGTAATTTATAAAGAACAGAAATGTACTTTCTCACAGTTCTAAAGGCTGGAAGTCCACAGTCAGGGTGCTGGCAGGTTCAGTTGTCTGGTGAGGGCTGTCCTCTGTTTCCAAGATGACTCTTATTGCTGCATCCTCCAGTGGGAAGGAACGCTGTGTCCTCTCATGGCAGAAGACAGAAGGGCAAGAGAGCTGAAAGCTGCCTGAAGCCTGTTTTATAACGGCCTTCATCCCATTTGTGAGGGAGAAGCCCTCATGGTCTAACCACCTCTTAAAAACCCCACCTCTTAAGAGTATCACATTGACCAACAAGGTTTAATCTAACATCTGAATTTTGGAGGGGACACATTCAAACCATAGCACAGTGTTGCTGATGAGAAGTCCAATGTCAGTCTGACTCTTGTTCTTTGTAACATGGAAGATAAATTGTTCCAATTGCACTGCTGTCAAGTTAAATCCTAACAACCCATTTCCCATTTCTAAAATTGAGACTCACAGGTCACACTGTGCTTTTAGTGCTAACTAATGACATATCAGAGTCTGGCTCTGAAAATACAGAACTTCATAATTTAAAAAAATGTCTAATAAAGAGGTGAAAAAGATATTTCTTCTCCATAGCAACTAGAGAGAGGGAGAGAAAGAGATCGTTTCATAGCTTAAAACTTTGTAAAAGAATCTGATGAGGTAAGATGTTAAATGTGAACTCTCACAAGACATCAGTCTTATTTCCAGTGTGATATAAAGTCTTGCACAAATATTCCCAACTTCTACCCACTTTTTCTGTTTTAAGTAAATTTATCATTGAAATTATTATTGAACAAAGAAGTCCTGTAGATGCTAGAAATTTTAGAAATTGTTGCCATATAGCGTAAGCATGACCTTCAACAACATTAGTAATTCTGGCTCATAGTCTTACTTGTTGGTTTGTTGCCTTGGTGATAATGTAGTTGATGCCTATGTTCCCAGTGATATAAACATTAACAGGGTTTCTCAGTCAAATCAAAAAGAGGATTGGCTTTCTCTCCTTTTTCCTATTTGCATAATGGACAAATAAAAGTCTATTCTGCTAGAGTCTTCAACACAAAAAAAAGTTTAAGGTCTTGTCCTAGTTACATCTCCACAGAGATACCAGTTGCTTCAGCATTGTGACTTCTCAAACTAAGTGTTGGTTTTACAAGATGTTTTATTTAGGATACCTGAGCACTATTCACAACATGGTACCTTTTCAGTATTATTTGCAACATGTATTGTTTAGATGCCCTTAAGGAAACTTTGGAAGGGGGAAGGAATATTTGATATCAGTGTAAAAGGCAAAGGGGGGCCGGGCATGGTGGCTCACGCCTGTAATCCCAGCACTTTGGGAGGCTGAGGCAGGTGGGTCATGAGGTCAGGAGTTCGACACCAGCCTTACCAACATGGTGAAACCCCGTCTCTACTAAAAATACAAAAATTAGCAGGGTGTGGTGGCAGGCACCTGTAACCCCAGCTACTCAGGAGGCTGAGGCAGGAGAATCACTTGAACCCGGGAGGTGGAGGTTGTAGTGAGCAGAGATCACGCCACTGCACTCCAGCCTGGGTGACAGAGCAAGACTCTGTCTCAAAAAAATAAAAAATAAAAAAAAAAAGGCAAAGTGGTAGTTCCCTTAATTTACAAAAATTCAAAACCAAAAACATTTTCTATATTACCGTAGTATTAAATCTTTACTAAATGTATTATTGTATAGAGTAACCAGCTCCACAACATAGACTAGTAGAAAAAAATAATGCTGTGGAAAGAAACCTTTTTCAGGTCCATATGAGCCTTTATATCATCATTGAAAGTGATCTAATAGACAGTAGATAAACAGAATGGAATAGAGTCCAGGCATAGACCCGTACACAGAGGATTACTTAATTTATCACAAATATGCCAATGAAATTCAGTGTGGAAAGGAAGGGCTTTTCAATAAATGGTGTTGGTTCAAAGGATATTTGCATTTGAAAATTGGATAAATGTTATCAAATTATTCCTTAGAAAGCTTATACTAATTTATAGTCTCACCAACTTGATTGAAAAGTGTTCTGTGGTCTATTCATGTAAATGTTCAAAGATGTTTGCAAAGAATGGATATTTTGTTTATTGGGCACAAAGTCCTCTTTCTATGTGTGTGTATAATGCATTGTATTTATTATTCAAGCAACAAGGGTTTATTGAATGCCTCTGTACATGCTAGGTACTGTTCTAGGCCCCAGGGATTTGGCCGAAGGCAAAGTAACCTACTTTCTTGGAGCTTACATTCTTGTAGGGGAAGACAGATAATAAAGAGACAAAAATAATATAGTTTCACATGGTTGTGTAAGTTGTGTGAGGGAAAAACCCATCAGTTTAAGAGGATAGAGGGAGACTGGGGTGAGGGCTGTATTTCAGATCCGAGAGTCAGGGAAGGCTTCTCTGCATGTTGAGAAGGAGGGAGCCACGTGGTCTGAGGGGAAGGCATGTGTCCCAGGCAGAAGCTCAGGGAGTATGTGGGAAAGGGTCAGAGGGAGGCCAGGGTGGCTGGAGAGTGTGGGAGATGCTCAGAGAGGTAGGTAGGCAGGGGCCATATCACACTGGCCTTATTGACCATAGCATGATGTTTAGGCTTTGTTTCAGTGTAATGGGAAAGCATCAGAGGCTCCTCAGTCCTGCTGTGGCATGATCTGATTTACGTTAAGAGATAATTTTGTGCTGTGGGGAAATGAATTGGAAGGGGACAAAAGAAGCAAAAAGACTGAGTTGCGGCCACGGTGACAGTAGCATGGACTAGGTGGTAGCTGGGGAAGTGGTAAAATGTGACCAAGCTTAGTCTGTATCTGGGTGATATAACGAGATGTGCTGATTGTTTGGATGTCAGAAGTGGGGTGGGGCCAAGGGAAAGAGAGGAATCAAAGGTGACTCCTAAGTTTTGAGCCTAGTACCTGGGTCAGTTGTGGTGCCACCAGCTGAGATAGAGATGACTGGGGAGGAGGGGAGTTGGGGCTGGGGTGCAATGGGAAGAAAAACTTTGGTATGTATTGACGGAAACAACCCAGTGTGTCCATCAGCAGACAAATGGATAAACAAAATGTGGTATATCCATACAGTGGAATATTATTCATCTATGAAAAGGAATGACAACATACTGATACGTGCTACCACATTAATGAACCTTGAAAGCATCATACTAAGTGACAAAAACCACACACAAAACACCCCATGTTGTATGATTCCATTTATATGAAATATCCAAAATAGGCAAATCTATAGAGATAAAAAAAAAAGCCAGGGGTTCACGTCAGTGAAAGAGTAACTGGGAATGATTGATTAATAAATATGGAGTTCCCATTAGGGGTGATGAAAAAGTCCTGGACCTAGATAGTGGAGCTGGTTGAACAGCACTGTGAATGTACAAGTGCCATGGAATTGTACACTTTAAAATGGTTACAATGGTCAATGTTCTGTTCCATGTATTTTACCATAATAAAAAAGAATCTGAGACAACAACCAAAAACTTCAGGATGTACGTAGTGAAGCTGAGAGTTTAGTTTAAGATATGTTAAATTTGAGATGCTTATCAGATATTCATGTGGATTTGGATAAAGGAATCTGAAGCTTGGGTGAGTTCAGGATGGGAGGAATAAATCTGGGAGTCATAAACATGGAATGGCACTTAAAGACTGAGGACTGGATGGGCATGGTGGCTCATGCCTGTAATCCCAGCACTTTGGGAGGCCGAGGAAGGCAGGCAGATCATGAGGTCAGGAGTTCGAGACCAGCCTGGCCAATATGGTGAAACCCTGTCTCTAATAAAAATACAAAAATCAGACAGGCATAGTTGTGCGTGCCTGCAGTCCCAGCTACTCAGCAGCTGAGGCAAGAGAATCACTTGAACCTGGGAGGCGGAGGTTGCAGTGAGCCAAGATTGCACCACTGCACTCCAGCCTGGGCGACAGAGTGAGACTCCATATACAAAAAAAAAAAAAAGTACTGAGGACTAGTGAGATCCCCTAGGAAGGCAGTGTAGAGAGAGGAGAGGAAGGAGAAAGGGAAGACTGCGTCCTGGGCTATCTCAACACTAGGAGGTCACAAACAGGAGGAGGCATCAGCAAAGCAGACTGGCCACGCTGGACCCATAAAGTAGCAGGAAAGTTAGGAGAGCATAGAATCTCCAGAGCGCAGTGCCAAATGTGTCCATTGCTGCCTGGAGGTGGAGTAAGGTGAACATAGTTGGATTTTGCGCAAGTAAGGTTCCTGCCGTCTATACAAAGTTGTTCAAGGTGGTTAAATGCACTGCTCAAATACGCTTGATGACTTCTTTTGTCTATCAATTTCTGAAATAGATGGATTACGGTTTTCCCCCATTATAATAGATTGATTTTAATTTCTTCTTGTATTTCTAACATCTTTGTTTTCTGAATTTTGAAGTTCTATATTGAGTGAATAAAAGTTCTTGGCTCTCGTGTCTTGTTAGTGAATTGTGACTTTTATCATTTGGAAATAGCCTTCTTTTCTGTTAATATTTTAGGTATCTGTTTTGTAAACAGCATACACAGTAGTCCCCACTTAGCAGAGGGGAATAGTTCCAAGGCCCCCAAGTGGATGCTGAAGCCTCGGGTAGTATCAAACCCGATTGCCATCAGTCAGAACACATTTCTTTCCTTGTCTTCCACCCACAAACTTAATGCCATTTCCATCTTAACTAAACACTTAGCATACACCGTGGCTGAGACTTTTGCAGTTTGAGGTGCACCAGCAAAATTAGCACAAATTTCTTTTTCTTTCTTCTTAATTTCAGGGATAGAAAATTCATTCTTAAAGTAGATCTTAACAACCTCAGCATACGATGTTTTTTTCTTCCCTTAAGTTGAGAACTTTCACCTTTTCACTTAAAGGAAGCACTTTACAGCTTCTCTTTGGCATATCCAAATTACCAGCATGACTAGTCTTGTAAAATAAGGGTTACTTGGACACAAGCACTGTGATACCATGACAGTCAATCCGATAACTGAGAAGGCCAAGTGACTAACGGATGGCTGGTGTCTCCAGCATGGATACGCTGGGACAGAGGGGTGGTTCATGCCCCAGGCAGGGCTGAGCAGGGCAATGTGGGATTTCATCATGCTACTCAGAACGGCTCACAACTGAAAACTTAAGACTTGTTTATTTCTGAATTTTCCATTTAACATTTTTGGACCATGGTTGACCATGGGTAACTGAAACTGCAGAATTGCTGCAGATAAAAGAGCCTACTGTAACTGCAGTCTTTGTAACCCAAATCAGGACTAAATTTTTAAATAAAGGAGCACAGAACATGCAGCCAATTTTGGATGTGTGGGTTTTTATTTTTTCCCCACTGTCAATGTTGTTGATCTTATTTAACGTCTATCTACCAGACATTTGAAAAATGTTCTGATAATGGACACCCTTTCCTATTTTCCAGAGACTCTAGCATTTGTGATTTTTAATTCGTGGTTTTAATCCAGGCATTCATGGTTTTAAATTCATTCACATTTATTGGTAGTAGTATGCTTAAATATATTTCTGTTATGTTGATACGTGCTTTCTTTCCATGTTGCTTTTTTGCTGTTTCTTTTTTCTCATTCCTCTTTCATTAGATTGATCAAGTTTTCTTTGTTCCATTTGTTTTCCTTCAAGGGTTGGCAGAGTTACGTATTCTATTTTTTTTTTTTTCAGACAAAGTCTCACTCTGTTGCCAGGCTGGAGTGCAGTGGCGCTATCTCAGCTCACTGCAACCTCTGCCTCCCAGGTTCAAGCGATTCTCCTGCCTCAGCTTCCCGAGTAGCTGGGATTACAAGCACCCACCAACATGCCCTACTAATTTTTGTATTTTTAGTAGAGACGGGGTTTCACCATGTTGGTCAGGCTGGTCTCGAACTCCTGACCTCAAGTGATCCACCCGCCTCAGCCTCCTAAAGTGCTGGGATTACAGGTGTGAGCCACCACGCCCGGCCAGAGTTATGTATTCTATTTCAATTATTTACATGGTTAACTTAAAATGTTTACTCCCACGATTATATATGGTTTCTATGAGCACCTAGAATTAATCTATCTTTATATTGTAGGGGAGGCAAAATTTGACTTCTACCCTTTTAGAGCTTTCAGTTGGGCCTGAAAATTAAATTGACATAGAACAGATTAACAGGGGAAAAGTATACAAATTTATATAAATTTTACATGACATGAGGACCTTCATGGAAACAAAGGACCAAAGAAGTGCTAAATCTACATACTAGAGAAGCAAACGAAGAAAAGTAACCAAGTCAGCCGGTAGCGGTGGCTCATGCCTGTAATCCCAGCACTTTGGGAGGCCGAGGAGGGCAGATCACCTGAAGTCAGGAGTTGGAGACCAGCCTGGCTAACATGGTGAAACCCCTTTTCTACTAAAAATACAAAAAATTAGCCAGGCATCATGGCACACGCCTGTAATCCCAACTACTCAGGAGGCTGAGGCAGGAGAATGGCTTGAACCCGGGAGGCAGAGTTTGCAGTGAGCCGAGATCATGCCACTGCACTCCAGCCTGGGTGACAGAGCGAGACTCCATCTCAAAAAAAAAAAAAAAAGAAGAAGAAAATTAACCAAGTTATGTGGGGAGGCTACAGGAAGATAGGAACTATTTTAACAAAGGCTGTTTGTACAGGATTCTCTTGGCTATGACTCCTTGTTGAAGAATGTTTCCTTTCTCCTGGTACAAGGAGGACATCTTTCATATGGGAGTTTTTATTTCCTGTTTCCAGGAAGAAAAAGGGAGATGAGAATGTGCATTTTTCATCTGCTATTTTTCAAGTGCCTTCAGCTTAAAAATAATCTTTAGGCCAAAGTGGCATTTTTTGGGTGGCATATTCTGCCACCCTTCAATATTTTCCTATTAAACAAGAAATTTACACTCTCTGACTTCCTCCTTCCTCCACTGCTACTTCTACAGGGTAAGCACTTTTACCAGATTAGTTTTATTCTTAGTTAAGTATAAGTTTTACAGTTTTTTTGGGGGGGCGGGGTGGGGCAGGGGGCACTTACCCTTTTACTTGTATCCCACATTATATTTTTCTTTGGAGTACTTTTTGTCATTATTGTTTTGTTATAGCTCATTTTGTAATTATTTTGGAGATAGTGTGTTTGTGGCAAAACTTCTGAGTCCTTGTATGTTCAAACATGTTTTCACATTTGATTGTAAGTTTACCTCCATATAGACTTCCAATTCAAGACCTGTTTTCCTCTCAGAATTGTGAAGATAATGTTTTGGCGTCTTCAGCAGCCAGGATTGTTGGTGAGAAAGTCTGATGCCAATCTGCTCATTGTTTATTTATGTGGAATTTTTCAGAACGATTTTCTTTATCTGTGGGTTTCTTAAATGTTACTAGTACTTGCCAGTGGGCCCCTTTCATCTAAAAGTGTGCTTTCTTCAGCTCTGGTAAGTTTTATTTAATTTTTTCCTTGATGATTTCACTATCCATTGCTTCTTTACTTTCGTTCTGGAACTCCTGTTAAATGGATTTTCAATCACCTGGATTAATTCCGCATACTGCTTAAGTTCTTTCTTTCTTTTTTTTTTTTTTTGAGACAGAGTCTTCCTCTGTTGCCCAGGCTGGAGTGCAGTGGCGAAATCTCGGCTCACTGCAAACTCCGCCTCCCGGGTTCACGCCATTCTCCTGCCTCAGCCTCCCAAGTAGCTGGGACTATAGGCGCCCGCCGCCACGCCCGGTTAATTTTTTGTGTTTTTAGTAGAGATGGGGTTTCACTGTGTTAGCCAGGATGGTCTCGATCTCCTGACCTCGTGATCCGCCCGCCTCGGCCTCCCAAAGTGCTGGGATTACAGGCAGAGCCACCGCGCCTGGCCTGCTTAAGTTATTTCTTATGTCTCCCATTTACTTTGTCCTTTTAATTTCTTTCTTTTCTTTTTTGTTTTTTTGAGACGGAGTTTTGCTCTTGTTGTTCAGGCTGGAGTGCAATGGTGCGATCTCGGCTCACTGCAACCTCCACCTCCCGGGTTCAAGCGATTCTCCTGCCACAGTCTCCCAAGTAGCTGGGATTACAGGTGCCTGCCACTACACCCAGCTAATTTTTTTGTATTTTTACAAAATATAAAAATACACCTTGGCCTCTCAAAATGTTGGGATTACAGGCGTGAGCCACCATGCCTGGCCTAATTTCAATTTTGAAAGTTTCTTACCTTTATTATTCAGATCACTAATTTTATTTTCTATTGTATAGGTTCCACTGATCTTTCATTCATTCAACAAATATTTAGTGAGTTTCTAGCATGCTCTACCACACCTGGATAATTAAAAACATTTTTTTTTTTTTTTTTTGTAGATATAGGGTGTCACTATATTGCCCAGTCTGGTCTGGAACTCCTGGGCTAAAGTCATCCTCCCACCTCAGCCTCCCAAAGTGCTGGGATTACAGACGTAAGCCACATGCCCAGCCTCTCAGTCAACATTCTTGATTATAAGTAACATATACTGGCTCTGGGTAATTTATGCAAGAAATAATTTATTGGCAGGCTTTAGGTAGCTCATGAAATTAACCAGAAGGCCGAGAATCAGGCTTGGAAAACCAGCAGGAACCAAGGAGGCCACAGTCTGGTCAAGTCATTGTTGCCTTGGCTGATATCACCTCAGATTCAGGTCCTGAGGGGAGCAGCCACGGCTCCAGCTGCCAAACCAGGCTGCAGGTCATCTGCCAGGCAGCCAATGACCACACGTAGGGGCAGAATAATGGCCCTGAATCCCCACAATCTGTGCACATGTTCTCTTATGTGGCAAAAGGGACTTTACAGATTTGATTAAATTAAGGCACTTAACATGAAGAGATGGGCGGGGCACGGTGGCTCACGCCTGTAATCCCAGCACTTTGGGAGGCCGAGGCGGGCGGATCACGAGGTCAGGAGATCGAGACCATCCTGGTTAACACGGTGAAACCCCATCTCTACTAAAAATACAAAAAAAAATAGCCAGGCATGGTGGCAGGTGCCTGTAGTCCCAGCTACTCGGGAGGCTGAGGCAGGAGAATGGCGTGAACCCAGGAGGCGGAGCCTGCAGTGAGCCGAGATTGCACCACTGCACTCCAGCCTGGGTGACAGAGCGAGACTCCCTCTTAAGAAAAAAAAAAAAAAAAAACATGAAGAGATGATCCTAAATTATCCAGGTGGGCCCACCCATATGATTCCTTAAAAACAGAGACTCTTTCCCAGCTATGGCCAGAGGAAGAGATGACTGTGAAAGAAGGGTCAGAGAGGTGCGACACTGCTGGCTTTGAAGGTGGAAGAAGAGGGCCAGGAGCTAAGAAACATGGGTGGACACTAGCAGCCAGAAAAGCCTCCCCTAGAGTCTCCAGGAAGGGATGTACCCTGTGGCCTGAGGGCACCTTGGTTGTAGCCCTGAGGGACCTATGGCAGACTTCTGACCTACAGAACAATAAAATAGCAAATCTGTGTTGTTTTAAGCCACCAAGTTTGTGGTAATTTATTATGGCGGTGATAGAAAACCAATACACCACACATGGGCAGGACTTCCCTGCCATGATGCTGAAGAAAGGCAGGTTTCACACTGGTGGCGGACCCTGCGCATTTTTTGGTTGTAGGGCTGCTTGGCCTCCTCCTAACACTTCCTCTTGTGCATGCGCCTCCCAAGCCCCACTTGGCACCCCAACAACACTCCCCAGGCCAGACACTACTGATGTTTTCTTTCAGCCAGCTTAGGAGTGGGGGAAGGCCATGGGCCCCATGTGCTGGCTACAGCTCTTTAATAAATTATACTGTTGGTTGGTCCAGAGCCTTCTTCTGGATTCTTGATTATTGTAATTGTCCTTCTGAGTTTGGAATCTGTCTGGATTTGTTATCTTTCCATTATTTTAATTATTTATTTGGTTCATTTTTTGCAGCCAATTTTGTTCTTTTTTTTTTCCCCCTCAATCCCTGGGAGCTCAGAACATGCAGCCAATTTTGGATGTGTGAGGTTTTCTTTTCCCACTCTTGTCAATGTTAATTTTATATAACTTCTATCTACCAGATATTTCAAAAATGTTCTGATAAGGGGCGCCCTTTCCTATTTTCCAGTGCTGAGTGGATCTCATCTTTAAAAACAACACACTCCCCCTTGTTATTGTAAAAAAAATTGGGTGGAAGGAGATAGGATCTTATGAGCTCAGCTCACTATCTTAAGCTAATCACTGCTCATTATTTAGACTGGTTGTTCTGTACCTGGGGCTCAGACAGAATGCGAAGGACTGGAACATCTCAGAAGGGTGGGCCACGTGGTCCTGCTGCAATGGCAGGCAGTGGGAGACATGCAGATGGATGGTGGGTCAGCACCAGGCCAGTCCAGGAGGAGGCAGAGGTTGGGAGGGTCTGGGTTGGCATCAAAGAAGCCCTTTAACAGAAAGAGAAAAGACAGACCTCATTTCAAATCCTGATTTTGCCCCTTGACAACTACGTAACCTTAGGCAAGTTTAGTCTCATTGAGCTTCCGTTTCTTCACTTGCAAAATCAGGATAACACCATCTGTCAGAGCGTTGCTGCAAGGATTAAGGAGATCATATTGATAAAGTTCTTACAATAGGCTTGGCATGTAATACTACTGGATATTTCCTGAGTAAATTTACATGGATTAATCTGGTATAATCCTGATCATTAAGCCTATTACACAGATCAGGAAACTGAGGAATAGAGAATTTAAGTAAGCTGCTTAAGGTTATAACCATTAAGTGGCAGAACAGGGATTTGAACCTAGGCAGCCGGGCTCTGTCATCTTTGCATATAAACACCGTGCCACAGAGCACCCTGTGGGCGAGGACTATGGGGCTGAATGCTCTTCTCTAGCTTTTTAAATTTCCTGTGCAGTTCTCGGGGTAGGGAGCCAGATTCATTTTATGAATTGGGATGGGATTGAGTCAGCAGGCTGGGATAAGTGGCCCCAGTAACAGGCAAGCTGCAGCTAGCAAGTCATTATAGGTTATTGTGTCTGTGTTTGTTTATTGGCTTGTTTGCTTTTATGATGTATTTATTTTTGTGGAGGTAACATTCACATAACAGTAACTGCGCAAATATTAAGTTTGCAGCTCAAAGAATTCTTACATATGTATACACCTGTGTAATCACCATGTAGATCAAGAAATAGAGAGTTTCCAGTCTCATAGAAGACCCGGCCAAAGGTAACTAGCGTATGAACCTCTACAGGCGAGTGTAGTCTGTTTTTGAATTTCATATAAATGGAACATACAGTTTGTGCTCTTTCATGTTTGGTTTCTTTTACTCATCCTGTTTGTTATTTTGATAAAAAACAAGATGCATTACAGGCCAGGAACTGGTGAGCAGATGGCCACAAGGAGCAGATAGCTAAGATCTCCCAGCATGGCCCCCCAGGGCTCTGGACACAGATATAAACCTTGGTGCAGCCAGCAGTGGGGGATGGAAATGAGGAGAAAAACCAGACTGGGTAGGGCCGCCATCTGCTCTGACACACCACTGGGAGGGCTCTCAGGACGCCCTGGGCCCCAGGGGAAAGTGTTCTTGGAAACTTACAGGTGTGCAGTGAATGTCAGTTCCTTTTCTCTCAGTTCCCCATGAGTCAGGTTTGAAGATGGGACAACTGCTGAGGTTTGGCTGAGGGTGGCACATTCCTCGCCCTTTTGCAGCTGTGGTGGAGCGGAAAACTCTGAATTGCTCCACACACTTGGGTGCAAGAGATGTGCACCCCTTTTTCCTGCCTCTGGGATCCCCTCTTCTTTGAGGAGCAGCGTATCTGTCTCTCCTGTGAAACAGTGGCTTCCATTGCTTTCCTTTCTGGATAATTCCATTTCTTTCCTGAAGAGCCAAGAACTTTCTTTTTTTTTTTTTTTTGAGATGGAGTCTCACTCTATCACCGAGGCTGGAGTGCAGTGGCGTGATCTTGGCTCACTGCAACCTCCGCCTCCCGGGTTCAAGCGATTCTCCTGCTTCAGGCTCCTGAGTAGCTGGGACTATAGGCGAACGCCACCACGCCTGGCTAATTTTTGTATTTTTAGTAGAGACAGGGTTTCACCATATTGGTCAGGCTGGTCTTGAACTCCTGACCTCATGATCCACCCACCTCAGCCTCCCAAAGTGTTGGGATTACAGGCGTGAGCCATTGCGCCCGGCCAAGCCAAGAACTTTCAAAAGTCCTGGTTGAACTTTTTCCAGGACAGCTTATAAAACACACAGAAGTTCTGAGAGCTCATTCACTTGAGCATACGAGAGTCTGAAACCTCAGAGCAAAAGGCTAGTTTTCTTTCCAGAGAGGAAGCGCAGGGAGAAAGCACCCTCTTCTTCTATCAAATATGTCTCCAATAGAAATAAGAACAGGGCACAAATTACCACATCAATAATTTACCCTGCCCCACTGGATCCCCAATCCCTCTGGGACTAACTTAGAGAGCCTTGAAAAATTTCCCTCTCAGCCCGTTTCTTCAGCTACAAACGGTGCTGATACTGAGCTTACAAAGACATTGTGACTAGGAAATGAAATAGCTATTTGTGAAGCTCAATACTTAGGGTTCTAATAAGTATATTTTCTTTTCTTTTTTTCTTCATAAGAGGAATTGCCTGCTTTCATGGAATTATAATATCTGAATTGGGTGGCTCAGATTACAGGGGTCTGAGAACAGAACATTGTGCTGGGGGGGTGGGGTGGGGGAAGGGGAGAGCAAGTGGGGAAGGAGCAGGGTGGGGTTCCCAGAGGCTTGTCTCCCCTTCTCTTTGCGGGGAGGTGAGGAGCAGGACTGGGGGGATATGGAAGGAGCAGGCTGGGGCTCCCAAAGGCTTGTCTCCCCTTCTCTTTATGGTTCTGAGCAGGTGTCTTAGGTATTGGGAGGCCCCTTTGTATCTTCAACGGTGGCTCCAAACCTGACTGATCACTAAAATTACGTGGAGAATCTTAAAACATTCCTACCCCAGCCCCTTACAGCCCTTTCTCTCTGGCTAAGAATCTGATTCAGTAGGGCTGGGTAAGATGAGTGAAAATGCTTATTTTTTAAAAGTCCCCACGTGATTCTGATGACCAGTAAGGTTTGATTTATTATTCTAAAATACATAAAATATACGCTATTCTAAAATATATTCCTGCCTGAAAGTCTGATAGTGAAAAATATGTCCATATTATCTCAGTGAGGTGCATAAAGAGTAGTGCAGGGAAGCCATGAGCTGCCTTGACTTCCCAGAAGGGAAGATACTTCTGTGCCACTATCAAAACCACACGGACATTGTGGCATACTTCATAAAGCCTGAGTCCTGATTTCTTTTCTGTGAGAAAATTTTCATCAAGGTAGGGAAGATCAAAGCCTACCAAGTGCCTTGCTCAAGTAATCTGAGCTGCTCTCATTCCCAAACACTTTCATGAGGGAGACCTTACTTTTTTCTTTTCTTTTCTTTTTTTTTTTTTTTTTGAGATGGAGTCTCACTCCATTGCCCAGGCTGGAGTGCAATTCTGCGATCTCGGCTCTCTGCAACCTCTGCCTCCTGGGTTCCAGTGATTCTCCTGCCTCACCCTCCCGAGTAGCTGGGACTATAGGCACACGCCACCATGCCTGGCTAATTTTTGTATTTTTTAGTACAGACAGGGTTTTGCAATGTTGGCAAGGCTGGTCTGGAACTCCTGACCTCAGGTGATTTGCCCGCCTTGGCCTCCCAAAGTGCTGGGATTACAGGCATGAGCCACCGTTCCTAGCCCGAGGTAGACCTTTAATTAGTAATTTCTTTTTATGTGAAAGTAAATCATAATGACCAGAAACACTTGAAACCTTTTTTTCTTCTCTATATTCTCTCTTTTGTTCCAGTTATTGAAAGCATGGGAACCCCTACCTCTCTAAGATGCAACCTCTGAGCATTCTGGGTTTTTTTGTTTGTTTGCTTGATTTTTTTGAGACGGAGTCACTCTGTTGCCGAGGCTGGAGTGCAGTGGCACAATCTCAGCTCACTGCAACCTCCACCTCCCAGATTCAAGCAATTCTTCCGCCTTAGCCCCCTAAGTAGCTGGGACTGCAGGAAGGAGCCACCATGCCTGGCTAATTTTTTGTATTTTTAGTAGAGACAGGTTTTCACCATATTGGCTAGGCTGGTCTTGAACTCTTGAGTTCAAGTGATTCGCCTGCCTTGGCCTCCCAAAGTGCTGGGATTACAAGTGTGCGCCACCACGCCCGGCCTCTCTGAGCATTCTGATGAGAGAAAATATGAGGATAATAGGCCTGAGGACTGTGAACTGGCTGCTGAGAGGGTCTATTAGAAGCCGGTTAATCAGATTTATTTCCTAACTACTAGATTAGATCAGCACGCTGAGAAAATGAGAATTAGAGTTTTGGCGGAAGAGAGTTTGGGGAATCAAAAGAATTTGGGAGCATTTAACATTTAGAGAAAGGCTCAGGGAGGCCAGAGGACAGGAGAGCACCGTGAGCCTAGGTGGGGAGGAAGAGGGAGGGGCCAGAGACTAAGAAGATCACAGAGGTAGAAAGCTTCCAAAAATAATAATTATTTCCCTCAGTCCCTTATGGTTCTTGCCAGCCTATTCCCATCCCACATTTCCCTCAGCTCTTGTCTCTCTCTCATCCTGGTAGAAGTGAGAATCAAGCTAGTTTCTTGAGCTAGTTTCAAAATGACCAAAGTGGAAGTCTAGGAAACCCTTGGATGTAGTCAGTAAAATGCCCAAATGTCTCTACAGCTTTGTGCCTTTGTAGAGATGCCTTAGTGGGGCCGTGCTCAGGGATCTTTCACAAGCATTCTGGAGCTTGGAGGACATCTTCATTACTCACATTTTAAAAAACGTTTAAATAATGTCTGTCTATGCTGTTTGCGGTGTGTGTATGCATTTTGCATTTTTTAATAGGGCTGGGATACTGAAGTCATGTTGAAACAAAACTGGCTCACTACTGTTAAGAGGTTTGGTTTTTGAGTTTGCTGTCATTTATAGCAGGCAAACAAAATCTAAAAATTAAGTTTCCTGATTCTAAGTGCACTGACTTACACCTTTTCAAAAGGAACAAAGGATGTACTGAAAGTGAATAAATGATTGCAGGGCTTCAGACACCAACTTTAACAGCACCAAGTAGTAAAATATTACTAGATTTTTTTATTTTTGTCTAAAAAGTTATGCTTAGGCCAGGCGCAGTGGCTCACACTTGTAATCCCAGGACTTTGGGAGGCAGAGGCAGGCGGATCACCTGAGGTCAGGAGTTGGAGATCAGCCTGGGCAACACGGTGAAACCCCACCTCTACTAAAAATACAAAATTAGCCGGGCGCAGTGGCACATGCCTGTAATCCCAGCTACTTGGGAGGCTGAGGCAGGAGAATCACTTGAACCTGGGAGGCGGAGGATGCTGTGAGCTGAGATCGTACCATTGCACTCCAGCCTGGGCAACAAGAGTAAATCTCCGTCTCACCAAAAAAAAAAAAAAAAAAAAAAAAAAGTTATGCTTAGGACCTCATTGGATAGAATTAACATTCTATAACCTATAACACTTATTTCAATGGGGTTAAGTTTACTTGGGGGTACTTAGCATAGGATAGTCAGGAAGACTTTTCTGCATTTTCTTATAATAATGATGGTGATATCAGAAGTTCTCACTTCCAGCCTGCTGCTGTAAGTACTCCCTTGAGACATCCTTGACTGGGTGACCTGGAGGAAGCAGATGGACTGTTCCCAGGAGCCTGAGGTGCACATCACTGTCAGTTTCTGCCCTGGGCCATGAAATCCCAAACTGAAGTCCATTGGCCCAAACTGGTGACTGAGTCACACAGGATTGTTTACCTGACTTTCCCTCTTTTCTTATTTTTATTCTTTTCTCATCTCTTGTGTAAAAAAATGAAATATACTTTGGGAGGCCAAGGCAGGAGGATTGTTTGAGTCCAGGAGTTCGAGACCAGCCTTGGTAACACAGTGAGACCCTGTCTCTACAAAAACTTTAGAAATTAGCCAAGTATTGTGGCATGTTCCTGTAGTCCCAGCTACTCAGAAGGCTGAGGCAGGAGGATCACACAAGCCCAGGAATTCGCGGCTGCAGTGATCCATGATTGCGTCACTGCACTCTGACCTGGGTGACAGAGTGAGACCCTTTCTCTAAAACAAAACAAAAACAAAAAAACCAAATGTATAAAAATTGTTATTTCAAAATAAAAACAGAATTGTATAAGGAACGCCCAGGTACACATCACCCAGCTTCCCAACTATTATTCACAGCCAGGCATTTCCTACCCTCACTTCCTTACTTCTACTGGACTTTTTGGAGACATTTGAGGTAAATCTCAGATGTCATATTTCTGCTATAAATATGTCAGCATGTGCCTCTAAAAAATACTAACTCTTTTAGAAGACATAACCACAATACCTTTATCCTTTCTAAAAATATTGACAATAAGTCCTTAATATCATCAAATATCCAGTCAGGTTTAAATTTCCTCAATCATTTTATAGGTGTCATTTTACAATTACTGTGTTTGAATCAGGATCCAAACAGGGTCCAAACATTAATCATTTTAATCTATAAATGCTCCTTCTCTTAAGTACATTTTAATCTAAGATGCTCCCTCTCCTTTTTTTTTGAGACAGAGTCTTGCTCTGTCGCCCAGGCTGGAATGCAGTGGCACAGTCTCAGCTCACTGCAACCTCCGCCTCCCGGGTTCAAGCGATTAACCTGCCTCACTCTCCTGAGTAGCTGTGATTACAGGCGCGTGCCACCATGCCTGGCTGATGTTTGTATTTTTAGTAGAGACAGGGTTTCACCATGTTGGTCAGGCTGGTCTCGAACTCCTGACCTCGTGATCTGCCCACCTCAGCCTCCCAAAGTGCTGGGATTATAGGCATGAGCCACCGCACCCAGCCTCCTTTTCTGTTATTCACTAAGCCAGGTCATTTGTTCTGGATTTTGCTGACTACAACCCCATGGTTGTGTTTAATAAGTTGCTTTCTTCCCTGTACTTCCTGTAGGTTGGGTGTTAGATCTAGAGGTTTAATCGGATTTGATTTGTGTTTTTGGCAAGAACACTTTATAGGTGGCATTGTATACTTCTGTAGGAAGGCATTTTGCTTATCTCTTTTTTTGTGATGTTAGCAGCAATTAATTATCACTGTCTAGAATATTTTCTTTCTTCATTTTTGATCACCCCTCAACCCAACCATCAAGTTACACACCCCTTCAGACCCCCTCCTCACACCAACTCTCTCCTTTGTACTGTTTCAACTGATTAGAAAATGATTTACTTGAGGCCGGGTGTGGTGGCTCATGCCTGTAATCCCAGCACTTTGGGAGGCCAAGGCGGGTGGATCACCAGAGGTCAGGAGTTTGAGACCAGCCTGGTCAGTATGGTGAAACCCTGTCTCAACTAAAAATACAAAAAGTAGCCAGGTGTGGTGGCGCATGCCTGTAATCCCAGCTACTCTGGAGGCTAAAGCAGGAGAATCACTTGAACCTGGGAGGTGGAGGTTGCAGTGAGCTGAGATTGCGCCACTGCACTCCAGCCTAGGCAACAAGAGTGAAACTCCATCTCAAAAAAAAAAAAAAAGTAAAGAAAAAGAAAATGGTTACTTGGTTCTAAATTCATTTCACAGATACAGTCTCCATGGGAAATAAACAGAATGCTCATTAACCTTCAGTGTATGTACATAGAGTTTTCTAAGTTCCCACTTACAGCAGCTATTTTTGGCTGTGTCCTGTTTTAAGTGCTGGTAGGGCCTCCTCCCACTATAGGGGCTGATCAGCCACTCACTATTTGAAGCCTGGGTGTTTTCTGGGGAGCTCTTTCTCCTCATCATAATGAGGACACTCTTGTCCTTTGGCCTTCAGGTGATGTATTAGGAAGTTATTAGAGCTGCAGTGGCCCTCTTCTGACCATAGAGGCAAGCTTTAGGATTAAAACCGATGTGCCCAGGATGATGGGTTGAAATGTGGAAAGAGTCTAGGTCCTCAGTAAGACACTGAGTCACTGAATTATTAAATAGGAGAATTGGAATTTGTGAATTTTCTCTCTTGCAACAAAACAGTTCCCGAGTTTCAGACTGAATGTACAAGCTTAGCAAGCAGAGCCAACCTGCAAATGCCCTACCTCCACACTTCTTATTCTAGGGGATTATGAATTTAATCTACTTTAGTTGATTACTTGCAGCTGCAAACAACCAAGCAGACACAGTGATTAAATACAAATAAATCTATTCTATGTTTCTGTTTACTATATATTTAAAGCTTTGATGGAGAGAAGAAGCCAATGGAAACTGACCTTGAGTTTTCCATAAAACTGAACTCTTCCTTGATGACCCTAATAGAGCTAAAACTATGATTGAGATTGCACAAAGCATTGAATCATCAAAAGTAACGTATTATGATGTCATATATTAAATAAACTCAGCTTTTGGTAGGATATAAGTTGAAAAAGCACACAGCAACTTAAAAGTGGAGATGGAGGCTTAGAAACTTCTATGTTGGTGAGAGGAGGTGGAATTAGAATATTTTCCAAGGATTATTCTCAAAGCACATAACTGAGAATTGACTTTGAGTGTTGGCAATAAAGGAAGACTTTTCTCCTATTACGATATGCTAGACATAACATTCTTATTAAAGTAAGGAGGAGAATTGGAGTTTCTGAATCTCCTCCTTTGCAACAAAACAGCTCCCCTGTTTCAAATTGAATGTACAAGATTAGCAAGCAGAGAGATGAAGATTTAAGAAAAAAAGTATGGGCTGGGTGCAGTGGCTTACACCTGTAATCCTAGCACTTTGGGAGGCCGAGGCTGGAGGATGGCTTGAGTCTAGGAGGTCAAGACCAGCCTGGGCAACATAGCAAGACCCTATCTCTACAACAAATACAAAAATTCACCGAGTGTGGTGGCGTGCACCTGTAGTCCTAGGGACTTGGGAGGCTGAAGTGGGAGGATTGCCTGAGTCTGGGAGGTCAAGGCTGCAGTGTGCTGTGATGGTGCCACTGCACTCTAGCTTGGACAACAGAGCGAGACCCTGTCTCAAAAAAAAAAAAAAAAGAAAGAAAAAGAAAAAAAGTATGATGTTCAAAATCTATTTAAGAGGGAGCCATAGAGCTTGAGAAAGCAGAGGATAGCTGATGATCTGCCCTGTTCTTGCTCCTGCTTCTTATATTTTGCATTCCCACATTGTGTTGTATGGAAGCAAAACATCATTGTTTTACTGGTGAGTAGATTGCACCTTTCTCCTTGCAGACAAGGTGGTGACAGCAACCGGTTCCAGGAAGCCCCTGGTAACAACCCTTCTTTGTGTTGTGTGAGGAAGCTATGGCTCATAAGTGACCTCAGCAGATTTCCCACCCACTACGCTGGGTCCCTCAACTCACAGAGACTCATTGTTAAGGGCTTTCACTCTGAACAGCTGCTGGCGCTTGCTGGCTTCATTCACTATGAAGATGGTGATCAAACACCCCAGATTTCAAATAATCTGTCCTATGATCAGACCATGGGTCAGCCCATTTGCCCTGGTGTCTGATTAGGAAAGTATGATCACTGTCACCATAGAACAACGCCTCCCAACTTCTCTACCCACTTGGATGTTTTCCCCACTCACTTCATTGTTTTGGATATCACTTTAGATTGTGGCCCTTCTCTTTCTGCCAGAAGCAAAATTCCCCCATGTGTCTACAGTAGAAATGCCCTCTCTTCAGGGATCATGCCTGAAATTCCATTTCGTCAATTAAAATTAGACAAAGTATGGCAGGAGCCTAGCTCCCTTTGAAAAGCTACCTACCTAATCAGTATTCCAAGTGATTTAAACGTCCATTATCACAATAAAGTTCAAAGCCTTTAAAGATGCATGAAGTGATGCATTCAAGCAGGTGAACATTACTTGTCTTGGAAAAGTCACTGGAGGGTGGAAGGCAGGGTTAGGGTTCAGCTTTTGAGATTAGATAAGAGCAAAGAGCAACTTCAAAACTCCCTGGGGGCAGGCTTGCTGTCACCAGTGGTGGGGCAGGCAGTGGGCTTACTGTTCTCTCTGACACTGTGGCTTGTGTGACCAGGGCACAGAATATGTCAGAATCTTGGGTATCTTCTATGGTACTTAGCCCCGTGAGTCAGATACACCAGAGGTGCTGAGGGGATGCTTGTAGACTCGCTTTTACAGATAACTTTCACGTAGATCTAATGTGTGTGGCACACCAGATCGATGCATTTGCAACCACCTTCCTGGTCCACAGCGTCAAAACATGCCTGAAATGCCAAGAAGAATGTTTGTATTTGAGCATAATTTTTCAGGGAGGCAGTGCTTTGATTTTCCTGATTTTTTTGTGTTTCATTTTTTTAACCTGACTATGTAGCAAGAATATTAGAAATAAAATTTAGGAGAGGATAGACAATCCTTGGGTGTATGGAGACAGGGAATGGCTCCCGGCAGCTGAATAAATAGCATGCATGTATCTGGCTTTCTGGGCCCTACCCAAGCCTTTTTACAACTACCAGGTGTTTTATAGACACATTTTTCTATGAAGTAGTCAAACTGTAAACAGCATGAATCCTGAATGATAATCGTGTCTTAATAATAATAAAAGAAAGAAAATAAGAGACAAGCATCACGATTTTCCCAATTGAAATGTCTTTTGGTTTTGCCTTTGGTGGCACAGGGTCAAGGGTGTGGGGGCATTTGTGTGGCATTCACTATTCTTTCAACCTGTCCTGATTATGGAACCCTTTAAGGTCCGTCCACTTGGAACCACGGTGCTCTGAGAGGACGCTGAACTCACAGCAGCCCACACACAATTCCAGTGATACTACTGCAATGTTTTGTACACAGAATCTTAGGTTTGTTGGGTAAATGTAGCATCATATTTTGTTTTAGCAATTTGTGAACAGTCTTGCTTCTCTTCACACTTATAAGCTCATCAGGCTAAGGATTAAATCGTATGCACCCAAATACCTCTTAGTATACAAACGTCTGCACTCAGTAGCGTTTCTGGCTGAGCAGGTGGAAGAAGGGCCACGTTCGCCAATGTCATGAGGGGCCAGCATCTTTAACCTTCACGCCCACATCACCAGCCTTGCCTTCTTCACAACAGAAATGTTGTCCCACTTCCTTTCCAGGTCTCTCAGATTCATGGTACGAGTTGGAAAGAGACCTGAGAGATTATTTAGGCTAAACGTTTCATTTTATAAATGACAAAATTAGGGTTGAGCAAAATGTGGTGATTTTGTCTGTGCAAAGCCAAGAAAAAAAATTAGAGCCTCTTAAAAGTCATTTTTCCCCTGAAATAAAGTATCTTCATTTCACTGTTAAATATATGTCCTCATGTAGTTGCTATAATCAACCACTTCTCAAGAAAACTCTAAAAGCTGTATTTCCCATATGACACATTTCAGAATATTACATAAGAAGCTCTCACCAAGACACCAAGGTAAAATATATATGACAAGCCAAAGACAGGTGCCATAAAAAAATAAGAAATCTTCAAAGGGGAAAGAAATTCCAAAAGTGGCAACATGACACCACTCATTCTCTGCCTACTTTCGAGGTAAGACGATGTTGAAGTTCTGAGGGGGCTCAGTAAATAACACCTCTCTTCCCCCTCCAGGTCCTGCACAAATTGAAAACATAAAAGGTAGCAGATGGACTCAAATGCCACCTTCATGACTGAGGTGCCAAGCTGGAGGGCAGGAGTTGCCCTCTGGTCCTGGTTTAGGCTGACCTTCTGAACGGGGCCTGAGGGCAGGACCACACGGGCAGGGATCAGAAAGGAGCTGGAGGAGAGCTCAGAAGGGAGGGCGGGCCCAGCTCTCTTGGCGGCCAAGGAAAAAGCCTGGCATGTTAGAGCTGGTGCAGGACTCTCCAGGGTGACCGAGCCACCCAGAAGAGGGAAAAGCCATTCTCCATAACAAAAAGTCAGGACCGGCTGAAAGCCCCTCCCAGCCCTCCACCCTCCTTCGGCGGGGCTTCTTTCTGAGCTTTGCCCCATCCCTGCCCCGTGCTGGTGACTGGTGTTTGGCTCCCTCCTAGAGAAAGAGATGGGCCTGGGTTGGTTGAGAGAGAAAGAGAGAGAAAGGGAGAGACAGAGAGAAGGCTTAGCTCTTGTCCAACAGGGCCACCTAGAGGGACTCTCAGGCTTGAGCGGGAGAAGCAGAGTTTTGAGGCAGAGCTGATCAAGGGAACCTCAACAAACAACCCCAGCCATGGAGGCGGCGGTGTCTTTGAAGACCCCATGAGAGCATCAAACAAGGGAGAGAGGTAACTTTAAATACCACAACCTAGCCCAGGAAGAAAGAATGGGCCCTCTGAGACGATCAATTAATTAAGAGCTTTTCTCCCTTTCTCCCTCCTCCTCCTCCTCCCTCTTCCTGCTTTGAGCCTGGAACAAATCATGGTAGTAAAATGGCGGCAGAGAGCTAGTAATGTGTCTGCAATTGGTGGGTTCTTGGTCGCACTGACTTCAAGAATGAAGCCGCGGACCCTCACGGTGAGTGTTACAATTCTTAAAAGTGGCGTGTCCGGAATTTGTTCCTTCTGATGTTCGGAGTTTCTTCCTTCTGGTGGGTTCGTGGTCTCGCTGGCTCAGGAGTGAAGCTGCAGACCTTCGCAGTGAGCGTTACAGCTCTTAAGGTGGTGTTTCTGGAGTTGTTCGTTCCTTCCGGTGGCTTCATAGTCTCGCTGGCTCAGGAGTGAAGCTGCAGACCTTCGCAGTGAGCGTTACAGCTCTTAAGGTGGTGTTTCTGGAGTTGTTCGTTCCTTCCGGTGGCTTCATAGTCTCGCTGGCTTCAGGAGTGAAGCTGCAGACCTTCCTGGTGAGTGTTACAGCTCTTAAGGCGGTGCGTCTGGAGTTGTTCGTTTCTCCCGGTGGGTTCGTGGTCTCGCTGGCTTTAAGAGTGAAGCTGCAGACCTTCACGGTGAATGTTACAGCTCATAAAGGCAGTGTGGACCTAAAGAGTGAGCAGCAGCAAGATTTATTGCAAAGAGAGGAAGAATAAGGCTTCCACAGTGTGCAAGGGGACCCCAACAGGTTGCCACCGCTGGCTTGGGCAGCCTGCTTTTATTGTCTTATCTGGCCCCACTGACATCCTGCTGATTGGTCCATTTTACAGAGAGCCGAGTGGTCTGTTTTGACAGGGTGCTGATTGGTGCGTTTACAATCCCTGAGCTAGACACAAAGGTTCTCCACCTCCCCACCAGAGTAGCTAGATACAGAATGTTGATTGGTGCATTCACGAACCCTGAGCTAGACAGAGGGTGCTGATTGGTGTGTCTACAAACCTTGAGCTAGATACAGAGTGCCGATTGGTGTATTTACAATCCCTTAGCTAGACATAAGGGTTCTCCAAGTCCCCACCAGAGTAGCTAGATACAGTGTCGATTGGTGCATTCACAAACCGTGAGCTAGACAGAGGGTGCTGATTGGTGTGTTTACAAACCTTGAGCTAGATACAGAGTGCTGATTGGTGTATTTACAATCCCTTAGCTAGACATAAACGTTCTCCAAGTCCCCACCACACTCAGGAGCCCAGCTGGCTTCACCCAGTGGATCATGCACCCAGGCCACAGGTGGAGCTGCCTGCCAGTCCCACGCTGTGCGCCTGCACTCCTCAGCCCTTGGGTGGTCGATGGGACTGGGCACCGTAGAGCAGTGGGCGGCGCTCGTCGGAGAGGCTCTGGCCGCGCAGGAGCCCATGGAGGCCGGTGGGGGAGGCTCAGGCATGGCGGGCTGCAGGTCCCCAGCCCTGCCCGGCGGGAAGGCAGCTAAGGCCCGGGGAGAAATTGACCACAGCAGCTGCTGGCCCAGATGCTAAGCCCCTCACTGCCCGGGGCCGCAGCCGCTCCGAGTGCCGGGCCCGCCAAGCCCACACCCACCCGGAACTGGCACTGGCCCTGGCCCACAAGCACAGTGCGCAGCCCCGGTTCCTGCCCCTGCCTCTCCCTCCTCACCTCCCCGCAAGCTTAGGGAGCCGGCTCCGGCCTTGGCCAGCCCAGAAAGGGGCTCCCACAGTGCAGCGGTGGGCTGAAGGGCTCCTCAAGTGCCGCCAAAGTGGGAGCCCAGGCAGAGGAGGTGCGGAGAGCGAGCCAGGGCTGTGAGGACTGCCAGCACGCTGTCACCTTTCAGTAGGTGGACGACAAGAAAAGATGTCTCCCGCCCCTCTTTACCTGGCTTCCTGGCTGCAGAAGGCCCCACACAGGTGAAGGGAGAAGCTTCAACTTGAAATCTGGTTTTAAGAATTGATTATGGGCCAGGAGCTGTGGCTCACCCCTGTAATCCCAGCACTTTGGGAGGCCGAAGTGGGCGGATCAAGAGGTCAGGAGATTGAGACCATCCTGGCCAACTTGGTGAAACCCTGTCTCTACTAAAAATACAAACAATTAGCCGGGCGTGGTGGCAGGCGCCTGTAGTCCCAGCTACTCGGGAGGCTGAGGCAGGAGAATTGCTTGAACCCGGGACGCGGAGGTTGCAGTGAGCCGAGATAGCGCCACTGCACTCCAGCCTGGGCGACGGAGCGAGACTTCATCTAAAAAAAAAAAAATTGATTATGACACAAAACTAGATATTCTAACTTCTCAGTTGAGACTGTTGGAGACTTAGAGTGACTATAGGACTTTTTATTACTTAAGAGTGATTAAAACGAGTTGTAAGATTATGGAGATTTTCATTCTGGAGCAAGAGAAGAACTTTTCCCCTATTGAGTAATCTGAAAAGGACAGCGGGAATCAAAAACAAGGTTGCTTTCTCCTTTGAATATATTGTTTTCTTCTTCAAATCTAAAAATCTGTTGATTTCATGTTTTCCCTTTTATTTCTCTAACCCACTGAAATGTGATTGCTTCTGGTATCCCTAAGTTTATCAAGCATACTACTAAACCAGCATTTGGGACATTAAGAACACTGGACACTCCAACTAACCAGGGGCTGAATCCTACTGACTGCACTCGCTATGTTTTGTCCAGGTGGCACGGTGCCTGGGAAGCAACTGCAGGGCTGTTCCTCCAGCAGTTTATGAACTCAAGAAGTAAAATGAGAGGAGAACCCAGGGGGCACCAGGCTGCTGCCTCTTGGTTTTGGTTCAAAAAAAAAGAAAAGAAGAACAATGATAAATGTATTACAGTCAGTAACCGTTTCTGATTTACACTCAAGGTGGTCTTGCTATGATCTCAAAGCGCTCTTCCAGCAAACAGCACTGCTATTAAAACCTGTTGGTGATACAAATTGTTTAAGAATAAAAATCGGCTGGGTGTGGTGGCTCACACTTGTAATCCTAGCACTTTGGGATGCTGAGGCGGGTGGATCACCTGAGGTCAGGCGTTCAAGACCAGCCTGGCCAAGATTGTGAAACACCTTCTCTACTAAAAATACAAAAATACAAAAATTAGCCAGGCATGGTGACGGGCACCTGTAATCCCAGCTACTCGGGAGGCTGAGGCAAAGAATTGCTTGAACCTGGGAGGCGGAGTTTGCAGTGAGCTGAGATTGCACCACTGCACTCCAGCCTGGGCGACAGAGCAAGACTCTGTCTCAAAAAAAAAAAGAATAAAAATTAAAAACACACACAAGAAAACAAAGTAAAACTTGTTGGTGAGTAAACCGAATGAAATATGTTAAATCTCTGTCCAATCCTGTCCAAAGTCAGGCAGAGGAGGCCAACTTGAGTACTTATCACCATCTCCCAGCACCTTTTGTTGTTTGATTAGAATAGATTCCCTCTGTAAGACATTAATGATTTCCAAGGCTGCTTTAAGAAGTTTCTTTGTTATACGGGAAGTGATTGAGAACTGGCAATCATGAATCTGGCTGTCTCTGCTCAGGAGCTTAAAGACTGTTCTGATGACGATAATTACATTTTTATGAATATCCTGCCTAGAGAGTAACAATTTTACTATGTCAAACCGCACCACACAAAGATGCATCAATTTCATCTGCAATGAAAAATAGAGCCTAATAGTACAGTTATATTTATATGATAGTCAAACATCAAGATGTAACGTAAGTGCTTCAACTAAAAGAATTCCGATCATTATTTAACCTTGAGATGATTAAGGTGAAAGCTTGTCAGCTTCCATGAATTACTTTTTTCATGATTTTTGCTGTTTTGGTTTGATTTTTAAAAATCCATAATTAACATTTATTAACATTTGGATTCTACTCCAACCTCCATGATGTGTGGGCAAGGGAAAAACAACAACAAAAAAGATCCATAGATATGATTAATGGTCAAAGAGAGAGTATTAGGTAATTATAAGTCATAATTATGTTCTTGGTAAAATACCATACTAACTGGTTTTCTCCTTTCTCCTTTTCTCTGCTAAGTTTCTTCAACTATAATGCAAATTATGGACAATGTATTTAGGTTAGATGCTATACATACATATTAATTTAATACAAAGAAAACTGTTTCATTGTGATTGTGCACCAGAGCTATGCCAAGTGTGGTCTGAGAACCAGCAACATTAAGCATTACTCAAAAACCTGTTGGAAATGCAAATTCTCAGGCGTTACCCCAGATCTCTTGAATCCGAATCTGTAGCAGTGGGCACAGGCCCCCGGGACTCTGTGTTAACAAGCCTTCCAGGAGGTGCGATGAGGTGTGAGAATCACTGCTCCAGCATCTTGTAACTCATTCTCCCCTGGCTAAAGTGAAACATAGGTAAGTGTGGAGGCTGCAATCCCAGCAACGCTGTACGTGTTCCCTGTTAGCTGGAGGAGGGGGCATGTGTTCCTAGAAAGGGGGCCCAAGCGAACAGCCTGTTTTGGCCACGTCTCTTGAGTCCAGGTTCCTCTCCATTGGGTTTTCTCTTCTCTTTAAATCTCCTGAGGTCCCAGTGTGCCCCAGGCCATAGTTTCTTCCCATTACCAGTCATAGTTGTTGTTTAACCTCTGTGGTAGGAGGGGTGTTTATGATACTCCTCATCATGTGAGGACTTCCACCACTCTGAAGCACCCTGTTGGTGCTTCCCCTCTATCACTGAGACTTCATTTCCTTGACATCATCTTGAGCTGCTTAAACATTTTTCTTTTTCCCAGACGGAGTCTTGCTGTTTTGCCCAGGCTGGAGTGCAGTGACATGATTTCAGCTCACTGCAACCTCCGCCTCCTGGGTTCAAGGAATTATCCTGCCTCAACCTCCCGAGTAGCTGAGATTACAGGTGCCCGCCACCACACCCGGGTAATTTTTATATTTTTAGTAGAGACAAGGTTTCACCATGTTGGCCAGGCTGGTCTTGAACTCCTGACCTCGTGATCTGCCCACCTTGGCCTCCCAAAGTGTGCTTAAACATTTTTAACATCCGCCGTGATACTCTTCTATTTTTCTTTATGGCAGAAGTAACACTATTTACCTTTTGACAGCACAATGGACCAAAATTGTTTACCAGAACTCACCAGAAAGTGGCATGGAGAGGGGCCACACATTGCCAACACACTGAAAGAAACGCAGTAGAACACACACTCAGTACAGAGTGCTGATGCTCCCTGGCCGGGACCGCACAGTGCTGTTACCGTAGGAGTTTTCTTTGGCAGAGAGGATAGGGTAGCACGTAGCATGAGGGAAAAGTGTCATCAGAATTTGGTGACAGATAGATAGACAGATATAGAGATATTTTTTATTGTGGTAAGAACATAACAAAACTCACCATCTTAAATATTTGTAAGTGTATGGTGAATAGTGTTAAGTATATTCACACCGTTGTGAAACAGATCTCCAAACTTTTTAATCTTGTAAAACTGACACTCTATACCTTTTAAACAACTCCCACTTCCCCCCTACCCTTAGCCCCTGGCAACCACCATTTTACTTTCTGTTTCTATGAATTCGATTACTTTAGATAGCTCATAAAAATGAAATCATCCAGGCAGGTGCAGTGGCTCACACCTGTAATCCTAGCACTTTGGGAGGCCGAGGCAGGAGGATTGCTTGAGCCCAGGAGTTTGAGACCAGCTGGGCAACACAGTGAGATCCCCATCTCTGTTATTAAAAAAAAAAAAGAATCACTCAGTATTTGTCTTTTCTTGAATGGCTTATTTCACTTAGCATAATGTCCTCAAGGTTTACCTAATAGAAACATTTTTGAAGGAACGCATATTCGAGACAATAGCATTCTAATGAATCAGCACACATGGGACAGTGTTAAATGAAGTGAATCAGTATGACAAAAAGTGAACACCATCTTGGTGATTTAATCTTCGTATTATTTCATATATTCTTTTTTGTTTTAATTTATGCAGGCTTGGCTGGGTTTGGTGGGTCATGCCTGTAATCCCACCACTTTGAGAGGCCAAGGCGGGTGGATCATTTGAGGTCAGGAGTTCCAGCCCAGCCTGCCCAACATGGTGAAACCCTGCTTCTACTAAAAATACAAAAATTAGCCAGGTGTGGTGGCATGTACCTGTAATCTCAGCTACTCAGGAGGATGAGGCAGGAGAATTGCTTGAACCCAGCAGGCGGAGGTTGCAGTGATCCCAGATTGCATCACTGCACTCCAGCCTGGGCGACACAGAGAGACTTTGTCTCAAAAATAAATAAATAAATAAAAATAAAAATGAAATGGATGCAGGCTCCATCGTCTATGGAGATGGACTCATCCACATTATTTCATATATGCTATATATTTTAATACTTTTTTTGTTTTATTTTTTAGTCCAGGTTCCAGGCTTATGAATACATTGTTTTAGAGGCCCAGTGCAAGGGCAAAATCTTTAGAGTGGTGCTTCTGAAATCTGAGTGTGAATCAGAATGACCTTGAAATTTGTTAAAAATACAAATTCCCTGGGTTCCAAGAGATTCTAATTTTGGTAGGTCTGAGGTGGAGCCCAGGAATCAGCATTTAACAAGCACTCCAGGTGATTCTTTCCTTCTGAGAGACACTGCAAGTCTAAATCAGCAGGGTAGAGCAGTGCCTTTGAGGGTGAAGCAGTGAGGCTCAACCCCTTTCACAGGTGTTGTACCTTCTTTGGATCCTCCTGATGCATTGTATCTGGACTTTGAATAACAATTAATGTACTCTGCCTAGTTCTAGAGTTTCTCATGTCCTTGCCTCAGCCCCGCCCAAAGACCACAGGCTTCCTGAGACACAGGCATTTTGCAGTATTGACCTGCATATCCTCAGCTGGGTTTACCTCACGCCGTCTCTGTTGTGAGAAGATGCGCGATAATATTTGTCAAATGAATGAAGACAATAAGGACAGAAATCCAATGAAAAGAATGTGACTGAAAGAGTCAGAGAGGAATTTAGTCTTGGCCTGTGAGCCCAACAGCTGTGAGGCCTTAAGTTACTTCCTCTCTCAGGCCTTAGCCCTGTACCTGTGACATGGGGATCAGTTTCTTCCTCCTTCCTCTTTCTGAGGGCTGCTGTGGGGTACAAATGACATAAGGTATGTAAAAATGCCTGAAAACTGTGGAGCCACTCTTTTCAATTTTGTTGAATATGATTGTCTTTTTGCTTTACTGAGTGTTAGGTAGTATGATGAGGCAAAGAACACAAGGTTTACTTCTGGCTATTACCGAAAAGCGAATCCTATTATTTGGTATTTAAAAGAGCCACATGGCTTTTCCAACTCCAAGGAGAGTGACAAAGAAATTTAGTACTATAAATTTATGATAGGAATGGTAGAAATATCCTATAAATAATGAACAGTACAAAGGAAGGGAGATTCATAGGAAAGCAAATTAACTAGGCACACTGCAGTTTGATTCTGACATGGGGATTTCCCGTAACCTGTAACTGCTTAATGAAATGACTTCTGGCTTCTCTGAGATCACCTTAAAAGGTAGCAGGTATCTGATAAGATGAGCTGAAAAGCAAATTTATATAATATCCTTTTTAAAACTTCAAGGCAGGGATTATAACCACCCCCTAAACTGCAAAGAACCAAAAGAAGTTGGATCACATCCAAGAAGCAATGTGTCCCAGGTGGTAAACGCAGAGCCAGTCCACAGTCCAATGAGGAAAGTGAGGACAACGGAGCAAGTTTTCCAGGAAGCTATGTTTATTCAGTTGAGCCAACTGCCTCATTCTCAAATGAGGTCTTCCATTGTCTTGGCTCACTAAGGTTCTTACTTATAGGAAATATCGGTATTTTTTTAAACTGACAAATGAAAAGTTGACAATGATATTACTCCCCATTCAAATTTGATCAGGCAGCTTTGAGTTTGAATTCTCAATCCACTTAAGGCAAGTGGCTTGAGGCAAATTTCTAATCCACTCAGGCTTTGATTTCTCTATGTATAATGATACAAAGATTGGCAATAATATTTGTAAAAAGCCTAGCTCAAATTGTAGTATTGGTGGTGGTTATATGAAAAAGAATGTGTTGTCATTTAGATACATAAATTAGGCAGTGTCTTCTTTTTAAAATTTTTTTTATTGTTTTAAGAGATGGGGTCTCTGGCACCCAAGCTGGAGTGCAGTGGAAGGATCATAGCTCATTGCAACCTCAAACTCCTGGGCTCAAGTGATCCTCCTGCCTCAGCCTCCTGAGTAGCTAGGAGTATAGGCACATGCCACCATGCCCGGCTAATTTTTAAAATTTATTTGAGACAGGGTCTGGCTATGTTGTCGAGGCTGGTCTTGAATTCCAGGGCTCAAACAATCCTCCCACCTCAGCCTCCCAAAGTCTTGGGAATACAGGTGTGAGCCACTGTGCCTGGCCATGGTAGCTTGTCTTGATGGTATAAAATTACTGTTTTCATTACTGTGTTAGATGTTTTTTCATTTTCCCATGGTGGCCTCCTTTGGGACTGTCCATGCTTTTGCTCCAAGAGTAAATCTCAAAGGAGCAAGCATGAGTAGGAATTTTCCTTGCATGCACACAGCCAGCCAAACAGCCCTATGTCCGTGATGAGGTGCATTCCAGAACCAGTGGTAGGATGGGGTTGGGTTGTACCTACTAGCTGAAGTTTTTATTAGATGTAGAATTTAAACTCACACTTGGTTCTGGGTCTAGTATTTAAAAACTTCCTATTGTATTATGTATATCTTTGTATTCCTAGTGCTTAATAAATTATAGTTCCTCAACTACTGTTTGTTGATGATTTGAATAATGTACAAATAAATATCAGGGAGTACAACAGCTCCATTAAATCATGTGGGTTTTTCCAATTATTTGCTGCTATTTGTTTCTGGAACTGATCTGAAATAGATAGCATTTTGATGTGTGACCTTTAACTTACCAAGGCAGACAGAAAACAGGAAAAGGGTGGGAGTCCCTATGACTAAAACGTTTATGTTAAGTCCATGATGGATATTCCAGGTGTTCTGGTAGGCATCTTCCTGGCCAAAATTTAAGCTGAATTTGAGCGCAACGTCTAATAACGGCTGGACTTGTTTTCCAGGGACCTCAAAGGTATTTTCTTAGATAGGTCATGTTCTGGGGCTTTTGACTCTAATGCAATGTGGGCAATGCAATGACCATGTTATTTTAGAGACATTTACAGGTCACTCAGGGAGTATGAAGGAGGCAAACACTTTGGCTCTCTTATATCTGTCACTCACAGGAAGCTGGTGGCTTAAAGTTTTTAAGACATTTGTTTTGGTTGAGTTCTCCACCAGAAGTTGAGCAAGGCAGAATTGCAAGGGCAGGTCCAGGTTTTGTGATGTCTGAAGCTTTAGACAATATAAGTTGTCCTATTTAAGAAAGATAATATAAAATCATAAATAAAAAACTAGATATGAAAATGAGTATGTAACTTGAAGCCCCAGCTAGGCACAGTGTCTCACACCTGTAATCCTTGCACATTAGGAGGCTGAGGTGGGAGCCTTGCTCGAGGCCAGGAATTTGAGACTAGCCTGGGCAATATGGCGAGACCACCCCTCTTTACAAAAAAAAAATTAAAAATTAGCCAGGCATGGTTGCGCACCTGTAGTCAGTCCCAGTGACTCAGGAGGCTGAGGCAGGAGGATTGCTTGAACTCAGGAATCTGAGGCTGCAGTGAGCTATGATAATGCCACTGCACTCCAGCCTGGGTGACAGAATGAGACCCTTTAAAATAAAAATAATAATAAATAGTTAGAAGCCAACCCCCCCCCCCCCGCCTTGCAACTGGGGGATCCTACAGCTTGAGCTTAATTAGCTTCTTATAAATGCACCTGTGTAATAATGGAAGCAACATTTTAAGACAAAGGTACTTGTGCTATAACGTTGATGAGTGGGACATTTCTAAACATTTACCAGTATGAGAAACACGTACATGCTAAATGTAACTCGACATAGACATTAAATGCCAAGTGTTCAGGCTGCAGGGAAGTGAGACTGGGGGAAGACAAAGGAGAAGGGAACTGGTGACTATTAGGTACCCAGGGAGCCTTCAGTTAGTTGGAATGTTTAGAAAACTGGGAATCCTTGAATTTACCTTCCAAATTAATCAAAACCCAAAAGATATAACTTATTGGTCATCAAAAATCTTTCCAAATACTGTTTTTTTCAAGGTTCCTGTAGGTTTAACAATTTTTAAAAAGCGAGTGTAATTTACCATGACATTGAGATTAGAAAGAAAGCAAATAAATTACTTAAGGGGGTAAGAACCTATAAAATATGTGTCTTCTCCACTAGTAGCAAGCCCTCTATGGCTTGGGTGACTGAAGTTGCCCCCATGCCTGTTTGGAATGGGTGCTGGCCTCCTTACCTGCCACTCAGAGATCACTTGACCACTACAGTCACGGTGGGGATACCAGTTAATAGGTCATTTGTGGTGAAGCTGGTAAACAGTAAGTGCTCAATAAAAACTTATTAAATGAATGAATCAAATAAATAATTCCACTTTGAACAAACGAGGCCAGACTTAAAGCAATTTTTATTCCTAAAGATTCTGCAACTGAATTTTGTCAAGACTTCTTTATTTATTTATTTATTTATTATTATTATACTTTAAGTTTTAGGGTACATGTGCACAATGTGCAGGTTAGTTACATATGTATACATGTGCCATGCTGGTGTGCTGCACCCACTAACTCGTCATCTAGCATTAGGTATATCTAAAAATATGGAACGCTTCACGAATTTGCGTGTCATCCTTGCGCAGGGGCCATGCTAATCTTCTCTGTATCGTTCCAATTTTAGTATATGTGCTGCCGAAGCGAGCACTTGTCAAGACTTCTTTGCGTTTGAGAATTCTGTCATGAATATGGCCTAGGTTTGATGGCAAAATGATTAAGAAATGAAATGGAGTTAATTTTCATTGAGTGCCTAACATATGCCAGGTATCTTGCTTGAGTTTTGCATATTTACTTATTTATTTTAAAATTTATTTTTTTTCAATAAACCACCTACAAAGCTTCTGGATGTGTATTATTTAAGCTTTGTAACCATTTTGCACTTGAGGAAGCTAGAACTCAGACTTAAATAATTTGTCTATGGCCTCACAGGGAGCAAGTGGCAGAGCCAGAATCCAAACGCAGATTTGTGAGTGCACGGCTTTTGCTGTGACGCTGTAACCTCTCATTTGGCCTGTTCTTTCCAGCCAATGTGAAAGACACATAAAACAGTGATAGAGAGAGGGGCAGGAAAGACTATGAAGATGGGACAGTACAGTGAGAAGTCACATCATTTAGGGCCTTAAATTGCCCATCTGTAAGCCCAGACGTTTGGACTGGATGACCTCTGAGTGGGGTGACCACACGGCCCCATTTTCCAAGGCAACCCAGACTTATACCTGCTTTGCCACTGCAACTATTAGCACCCCTTCCACTCTCAAAAATGTTCCATTGTGGATCATAAATTCTAAGGTTGCCCCATCTGCGAAGTTCTGGCTCTTAATTTCTGTTATTTCATACTGAACCTAATAATACTTCTCTGATGACTGAAGCACGGTAAAATTTCATTTTCCAGGCCTGGAGGTACAGGGAGGATGGTAGGTGAGGTGACCCTTATGTAGAAGTTGCTTTGCATTTCTGATATGGATATTTTTTCAATCTAGGAGCTAGTGCTCCTTTCCTTTAAAAGTACACTAGTAGATCCCCTTCTAGTGGATTTGGCTCCAGTTAATTTGGGATCATTATATAAATATTTGTTTCCTACTTCACACTAATAGTGGCTACTCCTTATTGAGTGCTTACACTAAGGCTAAATGCTGAGTGCATTATCTCATTTAATGCATATATTAATGCTATAAGATAGTTCCTCACCTTATAGATAAGGAAACAGGTTTAGTGAAGTGACTTGCAAGTAAGACACGGAGCCAGGTCTTCCTAAGCTCTTAGCCATTCTTCTATATTGAGATCTGTATGTATACATACAGCAGATAATTAAGAAAGTTATCAGACTCCTAAATTCCCATTGGCCTTTCCTGTATTTATCAGTATCCATGCCAGTCTTTGTAATTTCATCTTCCATTGCTTCAGCCATCCATCTTTACCTCCTAGTACAAACATCTGCCTCAAGTAAACAGATTTTGACTAAGATGCAGATTCTCGGAAAAAACGAAGATGGGATTAGCAAGTAGGTACAATGAATATTTACTTACTTATACAAACCTTTTTTTGTTTGTCTTTCTTTTCCACAGTTTAAAACCGAAAACAGACACTTGTTTTTTTGTTTATATTTACATAAACAATACTTAAAAGAAAAACCACCAGTTGACACCATATCATTCTGCTTTTCTTTATTGTCTGGCTAACTTACAAAGATGCAGATGTCTAGGGTAGTCTCTACCCTACCACTTACACTATCCTGATGACACAGATAGCAAAATGTGTCTGTTTACATAGTGCATGGTATGAAAAAAAAGTTTTTCTTCCTCTACGGTCCTTGACTATAAGGAGGGAAAAATTAATTTCATGCCAACATTTTTGGGGAACTTTAACAATCATCCCATTTCTGCTACTAAAATAACAAAACTGGTATTACACTTTAAAATATAAAGACCTAACAGTTTTTACAAATATGCAAATAATCTACTACTTAGACATAAAAAAAAGTTGATTTCTTTTAAATCACAAAGTAAGGCACCATTGGATTAAACATTTCTCCTGGCTTTTACTAAATAAAATGCATAGTGAAATAAATACTGAACACTGAGTTTTAATACTGTAATACATTTCAATATAAAATAAGAGGTGAATGTTAAAATACTGTATTACATGTTGAATACATTTATCTGAAAATGTTATAAAAAAACACACATGTAAGCTCTGATTTCAGGGAAGAAAAATTCATTTTTGTAATTTTCCATAGTTTAAGATTTTACCACAGAACTTATTCATAGTTTTAGATGCAATTAGGTTGCAAACTTTCAAAGAAAGGGTGTAGGTGTATTAATGAAACAGTCACTTAAACACTACATTCTAAAACAATCTATTCTGGATGAATGGCAACTTTGAGCTATCACCCTGTTTCAGATTTAGAACGGTACCTGCCAAGTTCAGATATGCAAAGGAATTGTCCAATTCTTACTACCCCTTATAAAATTCAGACCCACTTTCTCTGAGTCAGACTTTTCTCCGTCATATTTTCTAGGAAGGGCAAATTCCATCTTTTGTGAAATGGGTCATTAGGCTTTATCATAGGGATGTTTTTCACTGTTGAAATCAGATAAAAGAATCCCAAATAAATGATGCTGCTAAATTACCAAACTGCTAGAGATTAAAAAAATTTTTTTTTAAAAAGCCAACACTTTGCCAAGCTTGTTATACCTTATTATTTCTTGATTCTCTTTGAGTAAAAAGCCCAAATGACTGTATGGAAGAGAGATGAATGGTAGAGGAGAGAGGAAACACAGGTTCTCTAATGTACTAAATCAGGACTTTGGCAAGGAAGTTATAGAAATATAATATATTCAAATCAGTAACTTCATAATTTATTAGACATCCCATTTATTAGAACTCTAAGTTCTTTTGCTTTTATATAAATGAAACATTTATTCTATAAATAGAAATGTATTTTTCAGAATTTTCTTTGGGTTGGTTTCTTGGTAGCATCTCCCAGTAATACATGAATAACATACTGAAACCATGATACAATGTTTAGGTAGATATACATATACATATGTGGTCATGTGTTTTTAAAAAACAAGTAATGGTAATTTTAAACAAAACCATGTAAAATATCTAAGTGGAAATATTTTTTCCCAACTCTATAGCTAGATTTAAAAGTCCCAGTAAAATTTTGTAAACAAAATCATATAAGAAAAGGCAAGGCTGGCTCTTCCCTATGGTCCTTTAGTGGAGCTATATTTGCATAGATCCTAGACAAATGATGCAAAACAAATTCCCTCCAATTTCCACTAGCAATCTCCCTAATTCGCTCAACCCTTACATAAGCATCAGATTTAGATTTTTAGAGTTTTGCCCACCAACTCAAATCGGTTCCCTTCTTCTTCCATGTTTCTGATTTGATATATTTTCCTGACTTTTTTCCCCTCCTACCAAGCCTTCCTAGTCTCTCCCAGCCTCAGGAGCTTGCTCAGCCAGAAAGGAACAAAGGCTGCTTCCATTTCACAAGGCAGAAGTCCAGCTGACAAGTGGAGTGCGTGAGCCAGCTGGTTCTGAGCCCAGAAGTCCCGACAGGCTTTCCATTTGTTTCCAATGGCTTTATTCCACATGACTTTAGTAAACCGTACTCAATCAATTTCTGACCTTGGTACTTTGAAGCAACACTTGTATACAGATATTAAGGGAAGAGGGAAGTTAAGGGAGGAAAATCGAAGGTCAAACTGTGTGTCAAACAAGGTGCTGGGTCCTAATTTTATTTTTAGTTGCCTCTTGAATCGCTCAAGCCCATCTTGCCTTTTTTGTTTTTTAAACAAGAGGTTTCTGCACTAGCTTCCATCTTCCAGACTCGTGCTGTCTAATCCAGTAGCCACCAGCCACATGTGGCTACTGAGCACTTAAAAATGTGACTAGTCTGAATGGAGATGTGCGGTAAGTGTAAAATACACTCTGGATTTTGAAGATTCAGTACCAAAAAATAATATAAAATATCTCATTAAAATTTTATGTTGATTACAGGTTGAAATATTTTGGATGCATATTAACTTCACTTGTTTAAAATATATTAGAAATGTAAAAATTGTATATGGGGCTCACATTATATTTCTATTGGACAGCTCTGTCCTAGAGCCAAGCTCGGACTGCCAAAGATTGGACATCCTGTGACTGCAAGTTTCCAGTGAGCCCTTACTCAGCAGCTTGCTTAGGTGGTCTGTGGTTCATAGAAACAGAGAGGAGGCCAAGCATGCGAAAAAGGAACGGGAGAAAACAGCTCTCAGGGACTTTAATAATTACAGTCTGTAACAAATAAGCAGTGAATGTTTGAATTTGGTTGGTGGAAAGCTGGGATGCAAGTCATCTCTGCCTATTACGACAAAAGCCTATCGACCCCAGCAGCCAGCACAGGCAGGCTGCAGCTGAAGCAAGCAATAGCCTGGAGAATAAACACAATATGAAAAGCTAGGTGCATTTCTTACCGATTCCCACCCACACACGCATATTCCCACTCCCCCTCCCACCTTTCCTCCTGCCCATACATGAGGCACAAGGGAAGAAGCAGGGAGGAGGGTATGCAGTTCTTAGATAGCAACAGAAGCAGCTCTTGAGCTTGGGTAGAGAAGAGCAGGCAAAGATCACCTCGGGATGGGAGGGAGTGGTGGAGCACCCCTTTCTCTTCGGTTGGATCCACCTTGGTGAAAAAACAGACAAAATATAATTTTGGTTAGAAAGCTGATGTTCTCATCGTGGAAACTCGGGGATGGTTGCACGGGTACCCACTACCTCATCCCTATGACCAGGGCTGTCAGCTAACTGGCGTATGTTGTGGATGAGAAGTGAGAGGTGAAAACAAGCAAGTAATGTTCTGAATAAACATCATGGTGGGTGATCCATCACTGGCTCCCAAGTACTTGCACAAAGTTAAAAAAAATCATTTTCTTCTTATCACAGTGTGTGCTTATTATAGATTTAGAAAATATGGATGAGTAAAAACAAAGAACTCACCCATTCCTCCAGCACCCAGAGATAACCAATTATGTGTATATTTTTTACTTAGAAACAGTTCCCCGTTTTCTTCCAGAAATAAGATCATATAGTCAGTTTGAACATCTTTCGAAGGCATTACTCTTTGCAAAGATTATTAATGACAGTCTGCATTCCAAAATATGACTACACTACAGTCTACCTAGTCAATTCCCTTTTGTTGGGCATTTAGGTATCTTCTAATTAAAAATTAGAAAGCTTTTCTGACAGTAGCCATTCTAATGGGTGTAAAGTTGTATCTCACTATAGTTTTATTTGCAGTTTCATAAAAGTTAGTGATGTTGAACACCTTTTCAAGTACTCTGTCGATGTGTTCTTTTAAAAGTTATTCACGGCCCAGTTGCAGTGGCTCACGCCTGTAACCCCAGCACTTTGAGAGGTTGAGGAGGGATGATGGCTTGAGCTCAGGAGTTTGAGACCAGTCTGGGCAACATAGCAAAACCCTGTCTCCACAAAAATTAGCCGGGCATGTTGGTGTGCGCCTGTCCCATAGTCCCAGCTACCTGGGAGGCTGTGGTGGGAGGATCACCTGAACCTGAGAGGTCGAGGCTGCAATGAGCCAAGATTGCGCCACTGCACTCCAGCCTGGGTGACAGAGTGAGACCCTGTCTCAAAAACAAAATAAAAACCAAAACCAAGCTATTCATGGGCTATCAGTCCACTGTAACTAGGCTTAAAACCCATTCACATAAAAAAAATTCATTTACTACACAAACATTTGTTGAGGATTTAACAGGTGTTTGGCATGAGGTCAGGTGCTCAGATGTTGTGAACAGGTCTAACTGGGGCATGTGTCAATCAGGTAGGTCTGCTCTAACCACTGCTCTGAGACTCAGTGGGCTGGAACTGGCAGATTCCTCAAGTAGGCATCTTGATAGGGACCCTACTGGTCCACTTAGGGATTTCTGAGAAAGAACCAAATTTCTGAGCAAGGAAGGGAGTTAGGAGAAAACACTGAAAGAAGCACCTCTTCCTCTCACCATCCCAACCAAATATTTTCTTGGGCAGGCATCTGAGAAAAGACTCATCTGGATGTAAACCAGACACCTATCATGGGGCCTTGACCATCAACTGACCCGCCACAAGTGGTTAGTAGAATGAGGGCTGGCCTTGTCCAAAGCTGTAATTAGAGGGCACTCCAAGTGCATTCGGTACTGCTCAGGGCTGTCTGGGTGCGCTCTCAGGCTGTGGGCTTGGAGGCTGAGGCTGCTGCAGAGCAGAGGAAAACTTGGTACTCGACGGTGCCTTATTTATTTTTGTTAGATGATCCATTATCATTATAAAATATTAAACATGCCTAATGCTGGAAATATTTAAGGCAAATCTACAAAAAAATTTTGGTAGACTGTGGAAATTAATTCACCAATTTAAAAACTACTTTTAGGCGAGGCATGGTAGCTCATGCCTATAATCCAGTGCTTTGGGAGGTTAAGGCAGGGGACTACTTGAGGCCAGAAGCTCAAGACCAGCCTGGGTGACATAGAGATATCCTGTCTCTATAAGAAAATTTTTAAAAAGAAATACTTGAAAATGCCCTTTATGTTTCAGGCTCTGTGCCCCTCAAGGAAGGTGCAATAGTGAGCAGGACACAGTTCTAGTCCTTACATTGCCTACTCAAGTCTTAAAGGAGGATGGGAGAAGATATATGCTTAGCTATTCCATTAAAGATCTAGAGGGTACAGGGAAGATGGTCTATTACCAATTTAAAAATAGAAATAATATTTAGAATAAGAAGCAAATAATAAGTTAGGAAAAATATTTGGAGTCTATATGAACAACTCCTTAAAGTCAATTCATTTATTGGTGCCCAAGAAGGAAGAAGGGCTGTACTCTTATCAAACAGAAGCCCTTCTTCTGGTGCACACACACACACACACACACACACACACACACACACCATTCAAAGATATCTGTCCCATGTGAAAACTTACTTTTCACTAACACTTTTTTTTTTTTTTTGAGATGGAGTTTCGCTCTCGTTGCCCAGGCTCAAGTGCAATGGCGACTTCTGCTCACCGCAACCTCCACCTCCTGAGTTCAAGCAATTCTCCTGCCTCAGCCTCCTGAGTAGCTGGGATTACACGCATGCGCCCCTATGCCCGGCTAATTTTGTATTTTTAGTAGAGACAGGTTTTCTCCATGTTGGTCAGGCTAGTCTCGAACTCCTGACCTCAGGTGATCTGCCCACCTCAGCCTCCCAAAGTGCTGGGATTACAGGCGTGAGCCACCGTGCCTGGCCTTCACTAAAAATTTCAATCATCAACTCTTGTATAATAATTTTATTATAGCTATACTTCTTCATTAGGTATTGTCTATGAATGCAGTCTTCCACAGAAACAAATCTTTTCAGGAATTAAAGTTTTCCTTTTAAGCAGTAGTATTCTGTTTTCTTCTAGCATTTGTCCATGGAAATTTTCCTATATTTTCTAACTCTTTAAATTTTTCTACAGAGGCACAAAGCACAGTTTGACTCAATTAATTTAATTCCATTTAACCCAATAGAAATTCAACCCAACAGAAACATCTGGTGTTGTCCTGCGCTGTGACACACAGCACAGCCATGTTCCTGTCTCCTCCTCTGACCTGGGACTGCCATCTGTCACTTCTCTCCCATGTCAGTGATTTTGCTTCTCACCAGTCTTAACTTTAGCTGTTATTAATCTCCTATAAGGTTTGGAACCAACCAACCAAAAATTACTTTAAACTGTGTTAGGAAAGAATCAGTAGGCTTTGAGTACATGTAAGGTGCTCTGTTAGGGAGTGGGGCCATCGCTAGGGGTGTTGTGACATATTTGACTTGTTTGCTTAAGTTTTCTCTATTTCTGGTTTGGGAATTTGGCTCTGAGGCTAAGGCTGCCACGAACCTCAGCCTCATGGATGACATATGCATATTTCATGCTAATTCTTTCTTCGTTGTATACATTTTTTTTTATTTTTATTTTTTTTGAGATGAAGTCTCGCTCTGTCGCCCAGGCTGGAGTGCAATGGCGCAATCTCAGCTCAGTGCAACCTCTGCATCCCGGGTTCTAGTGATTCTCCTGCCTCAGCCTCCTGAGTAGCTGGGATTACAGGCACACACCACCATGCCCAGCTAATTTTTGTATTTTTATATTTTTAGTAGAGATGGGGTTTCACCATGTTGGTCAGGCTGGTCTCGAACTCCTGACCTCGTGATCCGCCCACCTCAGCCTCCCAAAGTGCTGGGATTACAGGCGTGAGCCACCATGCCCAGCTATTGTGTTTTTTTAAAAGTAAATTTCAGAGGCTTTCCAGCAAAACCCTGGAAAGCCTGCTAGACAAATTCTCAAAGAGCTGTAACACTTCCTATACATTTACTGTTATAAAATTCCAGTTTGTCTATTTTTCCTTTCTTGTTGACATTCTTCTTCAATGGAGGAAAAGCAATTTAGTTCTTTATGGTAGCATTACCTACATTAGCAGAACAACAGAAATAATTTAAATGTCCATGGTAATGGTAAATTACTATATGCTGAAATAAAAACCATGTGATAACATGGGCACTATTTACTAAGCAATGTTATGTAAACCCCGCCAAAAAACTGTACATCGTCATTATAACTACATAAAAAAACAGAATTATATGGATAAAAAATTGGATGAGAATCTGGTAAAATGAAAATATCTATTATGTGGAGAGATTATGGATATATTTACATTTTCATGTAATGCTCTGTAAAGCTATGATTACAATACGTTTAAAAGATCAAGGCAGTTAAAGGGAGTTTTTGTTATAATTAATCAGACATTATGCCAATTTCAAAACTAGAAGGAATAGAAGATGGCTCTACTTGTGCTGTCTCAGGAAGATGAAAACAGAGGAAGACGTCCAAAGAAGTAAAATAATAAAATTTAATACTAGCAAACCACGGTATTTTGAGCTTGTAATGACACATTAAAATAACTGTTTCTCATATGCATTCTGGGCATCTGCAATTTCCTCACTGCCTGTGGAAGGGGAATTTACTAGAATGTAGATGGCTCCAAAGGGTTCTCTACCCCACTCCAGGCAAGAAGCCTGGACTTTCTATATAGCCCGAGTGTCACTCAGGCTACTCAAGCGTGAATCTTCAAAAACCTTGGCAGAAATACTCACTCCGGCTTTCGTTTCTTGCCAGTTTGCTGGGATAACTTTTGGTCGTTTGTACATATGGCTCTGGAGGTGGCAAATCGGAAATCGGATGGAAGTAGAATCTGCTTTCCCACTCATCTGGGAAGAGAAACAAGCAGTATCTTCAGTGACAGACAATGTGCTATGAAGACTTACGTAACGAAAGGCACAGAATGAAAGAGAGAGAGAACCACAGACATCAGTGCTAGTTTTTATGCCTAGAAGTTTACAGAAAAGCTGGAAGTGCTACAAAGGTCACGAATTAGTACACTGACATATATACAGGCCTGCAAATCAAAGCAAAGTGGTTTTAGTGAGAGTGATTAGGATCCAGCCAGTCCCTCTTAGGAGCTGGGGGCTAAGGTATGGGACACCTTTTTCCCCATTGATAACAATGGCAGAGATAGGCAACTTAGTATCTGCAGGCCGTCAGGCCTCTTACCTACAGTGAACTGTTTAGAAATGTACATAATAAGAAGCTATAAAAAGATTCTTTTCAGAATCCTGGAATCTCTGGAAAGTTAACTAAAATGAGACCCAAACAAAGAACAGATCAGGGAAAAATGATCCGCCTTTTTGGGAAGTGGGGAAGGGGGATTACTATTTTTAATTTGAAATCATGGTGGGCCTTAGAATGGTTAGATAGTTAGATCAGTGCAATGGAGTGTGATAATGATGGAACAAGAAATTAAACGCAAACAAGCAAACCACATATACAAACAGATTTACCATTTAGTTGCTGCCCTATAGCCCAGGGAGCTGGGACCACACCTCACCTTCACATGGAGAGTCTTGGAAGCCATTTCTAATAGATGTTGATGGTGGAGGTGGGGGAGGTGCCCCAGCACTGGGCCTATCAGGAGGAAGGGGAGGCCTGGGTCCACTCCTGGGACTGTCTACTCCACTCCTGGATGGCAACTGAGGGGTAGCAGGCAGGGCCCGAGATGTGCTGCCGTTTCTGCTTACTGGAGGAGGTGGTGGGAGGGGGCCTGGAGCAAAAAAAGACACTTAGTGCAGAACCTTACATCCACATTCCATTACCGTGGTCACCATTGGTGTACAGCTGATGAGGACTTGCTGGACACATGCCCTTTAATTAGGGTGATTTTCTAGGATATTTGGCTGAGAAATGAGTAAACACACAGAAACACAAAAATTGCACATGTGTACACATGTATATGCAAAACAAGTGCATACTGATAGCTAAATGGGTGTTTTGGCTTTGAATTAGCACTCAGATTGGAGATGGCACAGTGAAATTGAAAACAGGTGAAAATCTGTTTACACGGACAACCGTATATTTAAAAAAACATTTTATAATCCTTTAAAGAGCTATTGAACTAATTACTGTGACATGATGAAAGAATTTTTTTAAAAAGAATAAGATAGTTATGAAATTATTTTAGGTCTTCAGAAGAACAAAGTTCTTTAAATGCATAGTTTTGTTGTTAATTACAGAAGCATGTTTCTGTGATGTATATGATCTGTTTCCAGGCAGAAGTGGCATCAGGAAACCAAATACCAGTCATCCTGAGAGCAGTAAGAGTTTCTTCTTGGTTCTTCCTCTTTGGGGAGGCAGATAAACACAGGGAGTGACAAACAGCTAATCAACATCCATGGCTATAAATGCTAATGTGAATCTTGACCCTGAGCAAGCTGGTACCCTATGGAACTTGGTTTCCTAGCTGTAAAAGAGTGCCAGATGGTCACCTGTCTCACAGCACTGCTGCCAGGAAAAACTAGTGAAAATGCAAATAAAAAATACTATGTAAGTACTTGAAACCATTTTTTAAAAAAATGTAGCAGTATGGTATAACCATAAGTTTTTAAGTTTCTAAGAAAAATTCAAGGAAATTTTTTTGATAATACAAAAGAAAACCATCTTGCTTTTCCTATCCTCCAAATGCAGGGGCTATTTGAGTAGTAAGTAAATTAAAAAAAACAAAACCAAAAACTTGAGCATTTTCCAATGTAAATCAAAATGGCCTTAGTAATTATGCCTGCTCTTCAGCAGTGTGTTCCGCTTGTAAGATGCTGACATTTTATGTGAATACAATGTCTTAAGGTGCTATAAATAAATATCTTATTAGCTATAGATTCAGAATCCAATTAGGAACCTTAAACTGAACAACCTGCCCACTGCAGATATCCCTGACAGAAAGTCTTGGCTCCAACATTTTACAGAGGTGGGAGGCACTGCCCAGCCCTGATTGGTCTCTCAAGGAGTCTTCAGTGCCTCACCTGGGAGTGGTTATTTATTACCCTATCTGCTTGTCATTGCTGGAGTCCCAGGCAGCAAGAGTTGATTTACTGAGGAAAAGTGTCTCATTTGCTGTGGTTTTAACTTCATTGGTGATACCACCACACAACTGTCACTACATGCAAACTCAACTTCCAATATTATGGGGCCCTGTACTACGTAACTTCATCTCATTTTCTTTTTAAAGTAAATGGTCATGTTCATGTTCCTAACTCTCCAACCTTGTGGCACCCTGCTCCAAATCCTGGCAGGCACAATAGAAAAGAAAACAGATTTCTATTTCCCACTGGCAGAATAACAGAAATGATCATTTATTGAATATAACTATATGCCAGGAAATAAGATAACCACTATACATGCTTGTCTCATTTAATTCTTATAACAACTCTGAGAGGTACAGGGATAGGAGACAAGGCCTCAGAGGTTTTGGAAGCTTGAAAAGCTCATCAGAAGACTGAGTGGAGGAGCCAGGATCTGACTCCAAATCTATTAGATTCCAAGGCCCACTCCCCATAACACTGAAGCCAAACAACTCAGAATACACAGGGCCTTTGATGAACTCTCATACGCTCCTTGTGGGAATGTAAATTGGTAGGAAATTCCTGGAAGGCAATTTGGCAGTACCTATTGAAATCCATAGTTTACTATGCACACTCACTGACCCAGATATTCCACTTATAGGAATTAATCCAAAGGAAATACAGAGATGTGTACACATATTTTGCTACAAAAATATATCACTGCATTATCTGCAACAGGAAAAATCTAGAGATGGCCCATATGACCAAGTGAGGGGATTGGTTAAATAAATCAAGGTACATTTGTAGGATTTAATATTAGGTAGCTGTTACAAGTCAGGCTGTAGAATAATCATATCAGCAAACATTAATGAGATACTGTTAAATAAAAAGCAAATTAGCAAACAATATATGTAGTGGGATACCAAGTTTGTAAAAACATGCATTTTAAAAAGACTGAAAGGACACATTAAAAGAATGTTATCAATGATTATTTCTGGATAGTGGTGGTAGAAGGATTAATTTTAATTTTCTTTATATTTTTCAGTATTTCTATAATAAACAAGTATGACTTACGTAATCAAAAGAAATAATAAATGTTATATGTCAATGCCTGTCATATTTTGGGGAAGATTTAATCTGCTGACTCATCCATTTGGTAGGGCCATGGCACAATGGTTTCAAGGTGTGGTTCTCACATTCTGCTGCACACTATAATCACCAGGGAGCTTTTAAATATCCTGATTCCCAGTCTGCACCCCAGACCAATTATGCCAGAGACTCCGGGAAGGGACCCAGGCATTGGTGGTTTTTAAAGCTCCGCAGATGATTCCAGTACGTGAGCAAGTTTAAAGAATGGTGATTATGAGGTTCCTGAGGTCACAGGGTCAAAGGTCTCTTATCTCTGCGTAAAGGAAAAAAATGCCCCATTTCCAGACATAATAAGGTCTGTACGATGAGATTCAATTTTAAAAGTGGGTGGTTCTACTGAGTTCATCCATAACCACTATAAAACGCATCAAGTGAGCATATTCTACTAAAAATGCCTATTATAATTCGGAGAGGGCAAACTCTAGGCAATCCTCACATTTCCTTTCATACTCTGAAAGTTTGTCCCTCAGATCAAGGTTTCTCAACTGTGGATGGGGGCATTGGAAGGGTCTCAGATGGGCTTCAGCAGGCTCTTCAAGCCATGTGACAGCAGGCAAATTTTGAGTTTATGCCTGAGTATTTTTGTAAAGATAGTCTATACCTTTATTTGATTCTCCAAGGGATTTATGTACCAGAGATTACAAAGAGCAAAATGGACTTTTTAAACATTAGTCTTTAATGAATAGGGAAATGGCCTCAAAGCCTGGCGAATGAAGAGAGAAGTACAGGAGAAGTTCATTAGCTCTTGAAGAACTTCCCCTCTTGTTGGAATAACAGAGCCCTCCTGCGGGAGGTGGGGACTTATTTTCCCAATTAAGACCGCCGAAATTCTCTCTAGGGAGGCAGGGTAGTGGACTGGCAAGTACACTTCAGAGATGGAAGATGAAAGTTCTTGCCTCTTCTTTATTAACTAGCTCGTGACCATTTAACTTTATTAGCTACTCAGTGTCCTCATCTCTAAAACACCAACAGAAATATTGGTCCCACTTTCCCCCGGGGTTTACACGAGGTCACGATCACACGTGTCGTGTGCCACTTAAAAGCACAAAGCAGTCTGAGTTTACTTATGCCTGCTTTTGTTAGACTATCTTGACTGACAGGATTATTGGTACATTTGGGCAGGCTGGGTTTTGGAAGCAACTCACTCCACGTCTTGTCATACCTGATCGGCCTGGCGGGTCCCTCACTGGAGGTGGGGGTCTCTCACTGGGCGGGGGAGGAAGAGGACCTGAACGTCCTGGCGAAGGTAACGGGGGCGTGGACGAACTGAGGGACAGATTCCGCTGTGGGAGTCTTGGGGTTTCGTCATTGCCGCTGGAACTTGGAGGCAGAGGAGGCGGCCCGGGCCTGCTGGGAGGTGGCGGCGGAGGTGGGGCCTGTGAGGAGGCCGAAGGCCGCGGAGTGGAAGGCACTGGAGGCTTGTTGTTCTGAGGAGGAGGAGGGGGAACCGCTTCCCTGTGGATGGAGGGCCTGTTGCCCACTGGAGGAGGTGGTGGAGGGGGTTTGTCATCCAAGGCCCTGCTGGGGGTAGGCGGCAGGGGAGGCCGGTTGGAGAAGGGCGAGGAGGAGCTCAAGGGGGACTGACGTATTGAGCCTCCTCCCAAAGCAGTGCCGCGGTTTCCAGGGAAAGGGGGAGGAGTGGGCCCGGGGCTGGGCTGCCTGGGGCCTCCGGGCACTGGTGGGGACCCCCGGTTGTGCGGACTTGATTGAATGGGTCTTGGAGTACTAGGTACTGGAGGAGGAATGCTATCAGGCTTTGAGCCCACGTCGGGCCTTGGGGGCGGCATTCGGTTCCTCTGAGGCTCTGGGGGACCACTTCTGTGGCCTGGAGAAGGCACAGGAAACCTCCCTGGGCCACTTGGGGGTGAAAAGGGTTTCGCAGATGTGGATCTTCCTCCCGGTGGCAACAATGGTGGTCGGCTTCCTCCAGAATCTGAAGAACAGGAAAACAAACATCAGTTAGGAAATCAGGAACCCTGAAGAAATCAGAGAGCTAGAGTCTGTTCCCAGTGACTGGAAGTCCCTTCCTCAGAGGGCTATAAAATACAGGAAACTATTATTTATATAAATTGGGTTTTGTTGGTCCTTCTTGGGAGCAGAAAATCGACCATAGCTCTATTTACCTGCGAGTCCCAACTTCTACAGCCTATGAGCTTTCAAAAGGATTCTGCAAATATCTCTTAGCATTATGTATAGGCAAGAGCCAGGATGAAGTGGGCGAGAGTTCTGGTGAGATGCCTATTCATTATGAGAGGACAAGAACAAGATGGCATTGGTAGAATCATGATTTTCATTTTTCCTCATCACCATCTCTGTCTCCCAGCCCTTGTACCTCTCAGTTTTGAAACTAAGTCAGCTGTCTTAGGTGAAAAAATTAATTATCCCAATGTAAATCTCCAAATGTGAGGGCTTATCTAGTCCCTATGAAGAGAAATGCCCCAAAAAAAGTGGAAAACTGTAAGGGGAAATTATAAGAAAAGAGTTATGACTGCAATAAGAAAAAACTAAGAAAGGAAAAAGAACCATCAGTAAAGTTTAATTGTAAGAGTTGACACCAGTGGATGGAATTCATCTACAAAGAAGCAGGCAACTACACAACTTTTTTTTGGTACCACGTCAACCTCTGCTTCAGTATTGGCAGGACAGAATAATCCCATAACTGCTCTGGTTCAACAAGGGAGAAACTAAAGGGGGAACCAAAGAGATGGAAAATTTCAAACCACCATCCCAGAATCTCTTGGAACTCAAGGTAATTCTGAAAAAAAAAAAAAAAATCTACCCATTTATGAGTTAATAAGTGTACCAAATAATTTTGAGCACTTGCTATGCGCCTGCCATTAATCTAGAGACTAGAGACAGAGGAGTAAACAGAATAGAAAAGATTCTGCATTCCTGTAGTTTACATTCTTGTGGGGGGAGATAAACAATAAACCAGGAAATAAATACTTTCAGATAATTATATGTACTAAAAAGACACTAAAATAGGCCGATGAGATCAAGAGTGCTTGGAGAGGCCAGGGTACATGGAGTGGCTGGGGACAGCTCTTCTGAGAATGTGACATGTGAGCTGAGGCCTGACAAGAAGGAGTCAGCCACGGAAAGATGAGGAAGACCAGCACTTTGGGCAGGGTTGGCCAGCAGGTGCAGAGGCCCTGAGGTGGGAAAGAGCTTCAAGTTCAAAAACGGGCCCATGTGCCCGGGGCACAGTGAGAATGGGAGAGATCCATGGGAAGTGGAGCCTGAGTGGCCAGCAGGGGTTAGTCACAAGGAGCCCTGCAGGACAGAAGGGGTTCCGATTTTATCTAAGGCACAGGAAGAAGCATTTGGACAGATGTATACAGTGGAGTATCATGAACTTAAGAGAGAACTTTCTTCTTCTTTTTTTTTTTTTTTTTGAGACAGTGCCTCCTCTGTTGCCCAGGCTGGAGTGCAGTGGTGCAATCACGGCTCATTGCAGCTTCAACTTCCTGGGCTCAGGCAATCCTCCCACCTCCGCCTCCTGGGTAGCTGCGACTACAGGCAAGAGCCACCATGCCCACTAACTTTTTGTTTTTTTTTAGTAGAGACAGGATTTTGCCATGTTGCCCAGGCTGTTCTTGAATTTTTGGGCTTCAGCCATCTGCCTGCCTTGACCTGTGAAAGTGCTGGAATTATAGGTGTGAGCCACCATGCCTGGCCCATTTTATTATTTTATTTTTCTTTGTCTTTTGCCTTAATTTCTTCACCTGTTGTTAAAGTACTAAATGTATACATTTATCAGCTGCCTTAAATCCTTTTGGTGAGTTTTAAATAAATTTAAATTCAAATTTAAATGGTGGTCTGGCAAGATAGAACCTCTCATGTGACTGAGTTTCTCTCTAGATTTGGACCATTCAGTGATAAAATAGTAGGCTAACCCTGAGGATTCAGTGATTCCATATTCATGTAAATGTGAGAGTTTCATTCTTTCCCAGGGGACATCTTATAAAAGGTCTAAAAATGAAAATTATTATAACATGATCAACATTACAAAAGCAGTTTTATGGTAAAATTTCTTGAGTTTCTGTAGTAGCTGGGAGAGAGCCTCATGCCCTCTGCAAAGTTTTTTATCTAGGCATTCATGAGCAAGTTCAGTTTTTTTCTACCATCAGGTTCATAGACAATCCTGAAGGACTCATGTCCATGGCTCCCTGCAGAGACTCCTGAGAACCACTGGCACTGAAATACCAAATATCTGTCATGCAAAACACTTTTTCAGATTTAGTGAGATTTGTAATCATATTCCACAAGATGTGCTCCATCGTGTTTGAAAAGCGGCTCACAAGTATTTACTCTACTAGACAGCTGGGCTACCTCACAAAGAAAGCTGAATCTGTCAGGTCACCAGGCAGATTTCCAGGGCCAGCAAGTTCTATTTGCTCCTCCCTTTTCTTCCCACTCCAGCTAACCCTTTAGAAAAGTAAAAAAAAAAAAATGTACAGGTTACCCCCAAAGACACTGGGTGAAAATTTCATAGTTCTGTGTAGCTGTCTGATCCTGGTTAATAATAATAATAAAGCCTAAATTGAGTCTCTTATAAAACAGTGGTAATATTTAAAACAATGTACAATATTTTAATAAGGGCGAAGAGCCTTAGAGGCTATGACCAGCCTCCAAACTGCCAAACTCTGCCTTGTCTTCAGTCACTCAGAGACAGGGAAACTCTCCTTACCATTATCCCTGTTGGCCGTGGATCTCAGCTTCGGCATTCCAGCCTGGAACAATCCTCCCAGACCTGGAGGTCCGCCCCCTCCAAAACTTCCACCGCCTCCGCCACCACCTCCTCCGCCAAATCCGCCGCCTCCACCAAAGCCACCACCACCGCCTCCAGCACCAGCTCCTTTAGGTTCTGTAGAAGAAGAGACACCCGACAGACTATGCCCCCTGGTCTGGCCCAGGTAAACCATAAAACAACAGTACAACAGGGAGCTGGCCGGCTCTCGGCCTCCAGTGGACAACTGGGATTTCTTCATTAAAATGCAGGATTTTAAGAGTTCCCTCAGCTCAGTCAGAACTGCCCGCTCCAGGCAGTCCCAAGCCCAGTGGTGGAAGAAACGAAAATAAAGGATGATTTGTCCCCACACTCCCCACTTGACTGGCTGCCACATGGGTCAGTATCTGTTTGTTCCGTATCCTAAGATTTGGCAAATAGAAGGATCTTCAGGCTGGGTGCAGTGGCTCACACATGTAATCTCAGCACTTTGGGAGGCTGAGGTGGGAGGATCGCTTGAGCCAGGGAGGTCAAGACTGCAGGGAGCCAAGACTGTGCCACTGCACTCCAGCCTGGGTGACAGTGAGACCCTGTCTCAGTAAAAAGGATCTTCAAAGAAAGAGGGTCGCAAGGGAGGAGGAGATGCCATAAAAGGCGAGAAGAAAGGAAAGAGTTAAAAAGAAAAGAAAATAAAATATCTCATAATTTCACAAATATACAAATATCCAGGCTAGGCACAGTGGCTCACACCTATAATACCAGCACTTTGGGAGGCTGAGACTGGAGGATAGCTTAGGCCCCAGAAGTTTGAGACCACCCTGGGCAACAAAGTGAGACCTCGTCTCTACGAAAATAAACAACAACAACAAAATGTAGCCAGGCATGGTGGTGCACACCTGTAGTCCCAGCTACTTAAGAGGCTGAGTGAGAGGATCACTTGAACCCACTGAGGCTGCAGTGAGCTATGATTGCACCACTGCACTCCAGCAAAAAAAAAAAAAAAAAAACACTAAGCAAATATCCACAATTGAGTTATACTTTTTCCCATCAGTATTTTTCATTTTATGTGTTTTTTCTTAAAATTAAGAACAAATTCACTAAGCAGTATTAAGCCTGCTTTTTTCATTTAACACTTTGTTAGCACTTCTTGTGTCATACTCTTTGAAAACATGAGTTTAAAGGATTCTATTGTATTGTAGAACATGAATGTATTACATTAAAATTTATTTAACTACTCATTTGATGGCCCTTTAGATTGCTATTAATTTTTTAATATCATGAAGCCCAATAGTAGGCTTTAGTAATTTAAACATTCTTTGCAATTTGAGAGGGTATAAAGATCTTGTTTTATTTTGAATTTATCTGCAAAAAATTGTGAAAGATTTTGATGGGAGGCAAACAAACAAACAAACAAAAAGATTACTGAGTATTCTGTCTAGTCTTCTGGGTTACTTTCCATTGTCTTTGAGCCACAGTATCTTATCACTCTGAAAGGCATAGAAAACTGATACTAATGCAATGGTATTTGTCCAAAGAAGTGCAAATTAGTTGTGTTTAAGCCATGCTTATACCCTCTTTAAAAAAATTATCTCTTAATTTATGTATGTATGCATGTTTGTATTTATGAGCTTAAACATTATTTAAAGTCCTCTTCCCAAAAAACTATGTTGAGTTTTTGATAAATAGTATATGAAATCTACAAATTAATCTGGGAGAACTGATACTTTTATGATATTTAGACTTTCCATTTGGAGATGTGGTATATTTTCCCATTTATTTATGTCTTCTGGATTTTTTGGCAAAGTTTTTTAGTTTTTATGATATACATTACACATGCTTTTTGTTAGGGTTACTTCAAATGTATTTTTGTTTGCTGAAATTGTGAAAGGGATGTTTTTCCTGTTATATTTTGTAATTGGTTATTTTTGGCACCAGGAAATTGTATTTAATATCTAATAAGCCACTTTGCTATGTTTTCTAAATAAAATTTACTAAAAATGTATTATCTTGCATTTTCTAGTATGCACATGGTCTTCAAATAATGACAGTTTAAAGCCTCCTCTTCTCTAAGAGTTGTATGTCTTATTTCTGTTTTATATAAGTAATTACTTTGATGGGTAAATTTCCATAACAATGTAAATTATTAACGTTTCTAAAGGCAATCATGTTCTGATATTAATGAGAATCCCTCTGATATTTCAAAGTTAATATGAATTATTGGTTTGAAATAGGTTTTTTCCCTTTCTAAATATTCAGTCTGTGGATCCTTCTATTTTAGGTTTACAAGAATTTATTATAGCATGAAATTTTATCAAATGCCTATTCAAGATCTACTGAGGCTTTTTGATGGTCTTTTTTATTTGATATGATGGATAGACTTTCTAACATTAAAAATGGGATAGGCCAGGTGCAACGGCTCACACCTGTAATCCCAACACTTTGGGAGGCCAAGGCGGGTGGATTGCTTGAGCTCAGGAGTTCAGGACCAGTCTGAGCAATATGGTGAGATTCCCATCTCTACAAAAAATGAGCCAAATGTGGTGGTGCATGCCTGTAGTCCCAGCTAGTTGGGAGGCTGAGGTGGGAGGATCCCTTGAGCTTGGGAGGTCAAGGATGCAGTGAGCTGTGTTCATACCATTACTCCAGCCTGGGTGACAAGACAAGACCCTGTCTCCAAAAAAAAAAAAGGGGGATAAACCCTGGTGTTGGTGAATTATTCTTGTAACATCTGATTGATTTAGATTTGTTTTTTGGTATTTTAGTGTTCTCTTATCTATGATGATAAGTGGTCCATAATAGGGTTTCTTAATTATAAACATTTTGGGACAGATAATTCTTTTTTGTGGGTGGCTGTCCTGTCCTGTTCTTTACAGAATGTTTACAGCATCCCTGGCCTCTACCCACTAGATGTCAGTAGCAGCCCTCCCTGTCCCCCAAAGTAGTGACTAAAAATGTCTTCAGACATTGCCACATATCCCCTGGAATGCAAAAATCACCCTCAGTTGAAAACCACTAATGTACAGCTTTCTTTTTTTATGTGCTGCCTTTGTCAAGTTTTGACATTAGGATCATGCCAATTTCATTACAATTATTAGACAGCCTTCCATCTCTTAATATATTGGGGAATGACTTATACAGCATTTGAATTAGCTGTTTCTTAAAATTTGAAAGAATTTGCTAATAAAATAATCTGGCTCCAAAACTTTTTGGAGAGAAAGTAATTTAATAAAGTTTTTATCTTTTCCCTTGCTCATTGAGGTTTCCTGAATAAATATATGCTTTTCTTAGAAAAGTACTTTCTTTAATATCTTAAAACATTTTAGCAGATAACTTTATTACACTACTTTAATTTTAGAAAATATGCTTTGAATCTCTTATTTTATCTGCTTTCTGAGTTCCACTTTTATTCATTTTTATTTCCATTTTCTGGATTAGGTTTATCATAAATTTGTGTTAGTTCTGTATCTTTTCTAGATGTGGAGCTTTCTGAGATGCTTATGGTAGCTCTGCTGTGGAAGAAATAATCTGATAATAACTGACAAGAATTACTTCACCTAACAGGATAAATCATATAAGACTAACAATTTCTAGAAGTGTATGCAAAATTGTTTCCATATAAAATTTAAAAATTTTGCTATTAACATCGCCCTTGTCATTCAAACACTATTCATTGATGAATGACACATTTTGGAATACTGCACTTCACAGGACACGTTTACATGGTACTGAAACTTTAGAGGGACTCCTGCACTATCAGACATCACCCATTACTGTTCTTTTTTTTGTTTTTTTGAGATGGAGTTTCACGCTTGTTGCCCAGGCTGGAGTACAATGGCACGATCTTGGCTCACTGCAACCTCTGCCTCCTGGGTTCAAGCGATTCTCCTGCCTCAGCCTTCCAAATAGCTGGGATTACAGGCATGCGCCACCACACCCGGCTAATTTTGTATTTTTAATAGAGATGGGGTTTCTCCATGCCTCAGGTGATCCCAGCCTCAGGTGATCGACTTGCCTCAGCCTCCCAAAGTGCTGGGATTACAGGTGTGAGCCACTGTGCCTGGCCCATTAGTGTTCTTAACCTGCAACATCTGTCCATCTTTCAGAAAGAGAAGCTAAAGCTGAGGATTAAGCTTTCAGATTATTTTTTCAGTAATTAAACTGTAGGACAGGGCTGAGTTATCACACATAACCATGGTCAACATTTTGACATACAGCCCAGGGAAGTTTCACATGCAAACAGATACAAAACTGTGGATAAACACTGCTGCTTGCAAAGAGCTTGTGACAGCAGTATAGGTGTCCAGTTGAGTGTGTGGACAAGGGCCTGCACTGGACTGTATCTTCCTTCCATCAAGGAAAGCACATTATTAAACATCATGGAAGAGAGAAGGACTAACACTATTTCCATTAAATAAGAGAAGTGGACATTGAAGAATACAATTCTTCAAGGTTTCCACTAGTGGATTCAGGAATAGGTCTAGACTGTCCAGCCTCCTTCAACAGAGCCCTAGGCTCCCTCTTGCAGTGAGGAGAACCACAGGCCTCTGTCCTAGAGGTCAGCTCCTCTGGCCTCATACCAGGGACCATGATTCAGATGGCTATTGGAGGGCTTGGAGGGCTGAGGGATTAGAGGGAATATATTATAACCACATTCGTTTTGTGGGCATTTTGACTTACAAGTCAGACTGTGTCAAGAGTTAAATACCTTAGTTCCTTTTTTTTTTTTGAGACAGAGTCTTGCTCTGTTGCCCAGGCTGGAGTGCAGTGGCACAATCTCAGCTCACCGTAACTTCCACCTCCTTGGTTCAAGTGATTCTTGTGCCTCAGCCTCCCGAGTAGCTGGGACTACAGGCATGTGCCACCACACCTGGCTAATTTTTGTATTTTTAGTAGAGATGGGGTTTTACAATGTTGTCAAGGCTGGTCTTGAACTCCTGGCCTCAAGTGATCCACCCGCCTCAGCCTCTAAAAGTGCTGGAATTACAGGTGCGAGCCACTGCGCCCGGCCATAGTTCCTTTTTGAAAGCAGTGCATTCTCACTCGCAGCACTTTGCCCGGTAACAGAACAACATTCAAAGGCCTTATCTAGGTCTTTCACTTTTCCTTTTTCCTCCCAAACCAGTAGTCCACCTAACTCTGATCCTTCTTCTTCCTTCTCTACTCATTAGGTATTTCTCCCAGAAAGTTCCCTGAAGCACTTCTAATCCTTTACTTTGCAAAGATTCTGCCTCATTATTCACTTGTTGACAAAGATCCATCTGGTGATTTTGGAAGGTCAGTCTATTTCCTGTTCCGTCCAAATGGGATCTGTAGTCTAGGATGAATCTTGGGGACATCTGGCAGGCAAAGGAAGGGTCTAGGAATGTGAGGAGACAGGCTTAAGATCTACTTATTAATTGCCAGTAGAATTCTAGTCATGGATTATTTTTTGTCCTGTTGTAAATGTTAATAAGTAGCTTTGTTCCAGAAAGTACCTCAGACTTAGGTGGGTTGATAACTGAAGTTGTGACCTCATTTTCTTTCTCTCTAAGCTCCTAATAATTGTATCTTACACTTGAATTACACTTTCCAGACAACAAAACATTTTACAGGCATTATCTCATTTGAAGCTCATGACAAACTTGTGAGGTCAATAGAACATGTATTATCATCTCCATTTTAAAATGAAGAAAACAAGGCTTGGAGATGGTACAGGATGGATGTGCCAGGTCTTGAACCCACAGCTTTTGATTCCAAGGCTAGGGCTCTTTCCATATTTTATGCTGCCTCCTCATCTGTGGTGCCAGGAGCAATGGGTTAATCTCCAGAAAGTGTTGTGAATAATGCAGAGAATTGCTGCTGTGTATGTCTTGGACAAAGAATTATTATACTGGCTTCTTGCAGCATTAGAGGGGAACCCAAGCCAAAGCTGCGGCCTACAGGGAGTGATACAGTCCCTTATTTTGCTAGCTTTGCAGCTGTTGTTAACCAAAAAATAAAATAAAATAAAAATTGAGTGGTGAGGGTAGGGTTGATTATTAGGCCATAAACTGTTCCTCTCCATGGTAGATAGCCTTTTTTTACTTACTGTCCAGTATTGGTGCACTTCTGTCATTGGTGACCGTCTTCTTTAGTTTCTTCCCTTTGCTGATATCAGAAAGGAGAGCATTTCTCCCAGCCTGCTCTGTCTTATTCAAGGTAGGCTTCTCTGTATTGGCCTGAAAGGGAGCCATACAAACAAGTAGTCATCTCTTGGGTTAAAATCATGCATTGTAACACTCGGCTGGGAAAGGTTGGGTACGGGAAGCTTGTTGTTAAGGTTCTTGGTGATAGGTTGTAAATTCTCGACAAGTTTTAGACCCCATATCTTTCTTTTTAAGATCCAGACGTTTGGAAGCAGATGCAGCAATAAATTATGTTCATTTTTAAGGGAGGAAGAGTCAGTCCTTGATTAAAGTCTCTGAAAATTCAGACCACAATCTGACTGAAACTAACAGGGCCAGGTTAGGGTGAGATGACTAGACACGAGAAAAGAATTTTAAGTCTGGGAGGATTCTGCAGGACATTACCAGACGTCATTCACTAGAGGGTACCCTGAAGAATAACTTCCTTTTCCCATCTTTTAGAACTACCCCAGTGCAAGGGAAAAACTGTCTCTAGCAAAAAGAGTCAGCTGTATGTTTTTTAAACCCACTAAAGTTCTAGAAAATAATTCCCTCTGTGTATATTGCCAAAGATGCTTTTTTTCTCTTTTTAAGTCAGATTTATTAAGGTGTAATTTACACATAGTGAAATCACCCTTTTTAGTTACAGCTCTATGAGTTTTGACAAACATATACAGTTGTGAAACCACCGTCACAATCAAGATATAGAATATTTTCATTACTTCAAAAGTTCCCTCATGTCCTGTTGGCATGAGGTGTTTCTGATGTTTAATTCTGATGAAAGCTTAGCTCATGGAAATTGTGGAATGGACAAAAATGCTGCTTTAACATGTCTGATTATTTTCTTATATTTCCAGAATTCCTAGGAAAGATCCCTACCTACTATGAAATTGGGATCTTGTTCCTTCAGGGAGTTGGGGACACTAAGAGACCAGCAAATGGACTTAGATGTAGGCACCTGCCTGTGTGCCTGTGTCTATCACACTTGGAAACTGGCTAGGTCTTGTCTGTCTCAGGGAGAGTCTGGCTGCCCCAAACCCACAGGTCCTTTCTAGGCTGGCCCCAGCCCTTCTGACAGGGATATGATTTCAGATTTGCCAGTTAGGGCCACAGGAGGAAAAGCTGGGGAAATGTATGGCTCAATACCTTACCCAGCCTTTAAAAAACAATTTTTTTTTAGAGACAGAGTCTCATTATGTTGCCTAGGCTGGAGTGCTGTGGCTATTCACAGGTGTGATCATCATGCAATACAGCCTCGAACTCTTGGGCTCAAGTGATCCTCCTGCCTCAGCCTCCTGAGTAGTTGGGATTACAGGCACGAGCTACTGCTCCTGGCCTAACTCAGCCTTTTATTAGCAGAGTTAGAGGCAAAGGAAGAACTCAGAAAAACCCTGAAGTAGGCTAACCAGAATTGCAGTGGTAAAGTTGGAAGCATCTTGAAATAACTAAATGATGAAGTATTACTTGCTTATGATAATAATAGTTAACATATACTCTGTGCCAGGCACTGTTTTCAGCACCTTATGTGTATTACTTCATTTAGCCCTTATCAACCCTGTGAGTTATTATTTCCATTTTACAGACAAGGAAACTGAGGTATAGGGAGTTTAAATCATTTGCCCCAGGCACCTAGTTAGTTGAGGAGGAGCTGGGATTCAAACCCTGGCAGTCAAGAGCCTTCCCTACAAGCTGATAGAAGGATAAATGTGGGCTCTAAAATGCCCCTCCCCATCCAGCCCCAACACACCGCTGAAGCATGCTTGTTAAAAGTTTCTCTGCTGTCCTTCCAGAAATGCTCTCTGCATACACAGTTTGCTTTTGCTAATGGGATTCTCCTCTATTGTTCTGCAACTTGTTTGTTTTCAACTTAACATACTTTGGATGTCCTGGAAAAGAGCTCTTAACATTACCTGCTGTCTTCATTTTAAGGATGAAAAAACTCTGAGGCCTAGAGAGGTTAAGTGATGTGTCACACTGGATCTCTTAACAGTTTTGGGTCAGCAACCTTCAGTAGCCTCCTGTTCTGCCTCAAAATTTATTTTGACAGCTGACCTCCCTGGGTGCTAACTTCTCTCATGTTCAGGGCCCTTAATTATGTTGTTTCACAAGGGCAGTGTTCTATGATGGCCACCAACCCACCTTTTCCCTTTCTTCATCTCTATATTCTATTTATCCAAAATCTTGCTTTGAATTAGGTAACAACGGATAGAAATGAGTTGATAAGATAAGCAAGGTTTCCCAAACTTCAAGCATTCTGGTATAAGATTCATGATTTTTGTCATCTTCTCATACCACCTGTGTTATTTATTTAATATTTTTTATTAAGTCAGTTCACTATAGCCCACACTTTTGGGGAAACATGGATAAATGAATCCTGCTATGTAAGCCAGATTGGAGGTTCTCAAACTTACCCATGTGAAGGACCAACTTTTTTTTTGTTTTTTGTTTTTTTGCGACAGAGTCTTGCTCTATCACCCAGGCTGGAGTGCAGTAGTGCAATCACAGCTCACTGCAGCCTTGACCTCCTGGGCTCAAACAATCCTCCCATCTCTGCCTCCAGAGTAGCTGGGACTATAAGCACGCACCGCCATGTCTGGCTGGCTAATTTTTAACATTTTTTTTGTAGATATGGGGGTCTCGCCATGTTGCCCAGGCTGGTCTCGAACTCCTGGGCTCAAGTTATCCTTCCAAAGTGCACGCCTGGCCAAGGACCAGTCTTTTGAAAAATATTTTCATCAGGAACTGACGCTTTTGTAAAATAACAATGAATTATTAGAAAAATGAATTAGTTTTTTAAAAAAGACACACAACATCCAATCTTAGAAACAGAAAACTACTGTCAAATTGCTAGAAATGCTTCTAAATGCTTACTTTCAACTTTTGTCCTCATCACTTTGGGGACTCTTAAAAAGCAGTTGGAAGGCCACACTCTGAGTAACAATAAGCTAATTAATAGGCAGTTCTTCTCACTAGGTTTCAACCTCAGATGAGTTATATAAATGTGTCTCATGGAAACCTGGGGCAAGAAACTTTCTCTCCAAGCCTCAGTTTCCCCATGTGAAAATGGTGAAAATGAAGGAACCATCAGTGTGAGGCTCCTCCTCAGTGAAGGCTTCACAAGCTGGAGAGGGCTTTGTAACAGAGCGTATCTTGGGGCCTTTCCATATGACCAAGTGGAGAGTTGCCAAATTCCTGAAGAGGGCACACTAACTTCCCCAAAGAGGTCTATCAAAGGAGCAGGATGAGCCGGGCACAGTGGCTCACGCCTGTAATCCCAGCACTTTGGGAGGCCGAGGTGGGTGGATCAACTGAGGTTAGGAGTTCAAGACAAGCCTGGCCAACATGGTGAAACCCCGTCCATACTAAAAATACAAAAATTAGCTGGGCATGGTGGTGCTTGCCTTTAGTCCCAGCTACTTGGGAGGCTGAGGCAGGAGAATCACTTGAACGGGAGGTGGAAGTTGCGGTGAGCTGAGATCGTGCCATTGCACTCCAGCCTGGGTGACAGAGCGAGACTCAAAAAAAAAAAAAAGACCAGGATGAATCCACTGAAGAAATTCTTTCAGGAAATAAACATCTAAATGCCTAAATGCAAGTATAGATTTAAAGGAGGATGTGAATGTGTATGGCAGAGGTGGTGGAGGGAGATATTTGTCAAAAACAGATTGGGAAGAAGAGGGGAAAAGGCAGAAAAAAAGAAAGGAGTGAGACCGGAAGACACTTTAATGGAATGCACTGCAGGCAGAGACCTGGGTTTCTAGACCGTCCAGCCCAGAAGTTAAAGGCCAGACATTGAGTTCATCTGAATGAAAACAGTGCACACTGGTCTCAGAACTGATCCTGCAAACCCTATCTTGGGCCAGCACATGTCCCTGCGCAGATGCGGCAGAAAACACCTCATCAGCCACATTCCACCCTTGTACTATCCATCACACGAGACCTTAAACAAACAAAACCCTTCGTGTTGTTTGTATTTGCTGGGTTTCAGGATTTGGCTTACCCTGGGCACTGGGAAAGCCTGTTGTATCACATGTGAGCCAGAATGCAAACACATTTAATACAAACACATGCACGCCAGGTTTTGGCTTCATTTGGCTTGCTTTATGCATAGAAAGTGTTTGGGGAGGAGACACTCACCAGTGCAAACGTCGGGGGCGGCGGGGGTGCTGGAGGGGGAGGGACAGGCATCTTGGGCAGTTATGCGTTCAACAGTCTTGCTGATAAATCTGGAAAAACAAGAATGCGATCATGTATTAGATGTAATCTTAGTAATACTGTCCTAATCTGTCTTCACTTTCCCACCAAAGTGACAGCTCCACCTAGCTCAACTCTTAGAAGAGATGGGCTTACCTTTACACCTCACTGCTAAAACATTACTGTTCTGGAAGGATCCCGGCAGAGGGGCTTCTGACCCGAGGTGCTTGGAGAGAATGGAGGCCACATCCAGTGCCTTACTCGGCTCCATTCCCCCACCCACTACAGTAGGCCATGACCGACCCAGGTGGGCCCAGTTAAGCAGGAAGGTCTCACACAACTGCTAGGATGTATCCTGGCCAAGTTTCACTGAAAACAAATTCACTTCAAGTGGCTTCTCCTCTTCGCTAATTTCCATGACAATCCTTTCATGCTCTCCCACCCCCTCTGGCTTTCTCCTCCCATTCTTCCTGACATTCGCCAAGTCTGTGTGTGCACTGCAGGAATATGAAAATGAATCTACTTCTAGTCCCGCCCTCAAAGTTCCTAGTCCTCCAGGGAGAGGGCATGGAGAATGTCAGGTGGAAAGCAGGGAGCAGCAGCTGAGGCGGGGTGGACGTGTGGGGGGTCAACCTTATGTTTGGAGCACTCAAAGACCAGCCATCCCTATCTCTGTGCTCCTTAGCATTTCCTCAGAGGATCTAAGCGAAAACAGAGCGGGCATGAGAAGTCAGACCTAGGACTCCCAGGCTGTTTACCAGAAATGCATTTCATTTAGAAGAGCCTGTCTTAGCTTTGTTTGGGTAAAAAATTATATATAAATAAAATAAAAAAGAAGAGCCTTTCTGCAGAGTGTGCTTGCTCTGAAAACAAAGGGAAGACCAGATTCCGTAGCTGGGTAGGAAAGTTTAGGGACCCCAGGTGGGTGAGGGGGCAGGGCGGAGAGGGCAGCCTGGCAAACACCAGGGCCAGGAGAGACGATGGCCAGGAAGTGCCTGGTGAGTTACACCAGCCAGGAGCCCTCTCCCCATTTCCTCTAATCCTTGCAGTCCTGTTCCTTCGCCTCACTAGAACCCCTGCTCCCTCTGCCCTGTCTAGGACAACGCCTCACCCACTGTTCTCATCCCTAAGCAATGCCAGCTTCTCCCACCCCATCCTTGCTACACAAACTGTGGTCCTGGATAGGCAGCGTGGGCACCACCCAGAAGCTGTTAGAAATGTCAACTCCCAGTCCCTTTTGCCCCCAGCTGAATTCGTTTCAGCATTTTAACAAGATCCCTGGGTGATTCATACGCACTAAAGCCCTATGTAGAGATCGAGCCTTAAGCCAGCGGGCAGTCTGGGTCACTGGCCACCTGAATAACATTATTTCTACAGGACATGTGTCCCAAATTTTAAACTGCAGAATTATATTTCTTTAAAAAATTTTTTTAAATTTTTTTTTGGAGATGAGGTCTTGCTCTGTCACACAGGCTGGAATGCAGTGGCATAATCATAGCTTACTGTTGCCTCAAATTCCTGGGCCTAAGCAATCCTCCTGCCTCACTCCTGAGTAGCTTAGCTAGGACTGCAGGCATATGCCACCACGCCTGGCTAATTTATTTTTATCTTTTATTTTTGTTGTGATGGGTCTTGCTATGTTGCCCAGGCTAGTTTTGAACTCCTGGCCTCATGCGATCCTCCTGCCTTAGCCTCCCATAGTGCTGGGATTACAGGTGTGAGCCACTGTGTCAGGCTTTTTAAACTCCCAATAGTCCCTTAATTGCAAAAAACAATTTCTTAGAATTTAAAATATTCATTTAGTTCAACCACTACAAGTTAATGTGGAAAACTGAAACCTAAACAAATACTTTCTATTGAGATAATGCTAAATGGCTTGCTTTCTGTGAACAGAAATGGACTGGAGAAGCTAAAAAAGACACTGCTGGACTTGTCACAGCCGCCGGGAAACAAGAATTAAGACAGTTCGGAAGAGTCCCATTCAAAGTGGGCGGTCTAGAAAATGAAAATTTTAAATTCCACAGCAGCAACAGCAGCTCTCATGTATGGAGAATCTGCTGGATCCAGGGCTCTATCCTTGCGTGGTCTCTGACTCCTAAGACAGCGGAAGCCAGCATCGCTGTGCTCATTTGATAGACTCAGAGAAATTAAATCACTCCCTAAAACACCCTGAAGCAATTCATTCAGTCATGTCCTTTTGCTTCCTGCTCTTCTGCTGGATAACACTGCCTCACTCACTCACTGCCCTTTTAATGGTCTGATAAACACTTTCAGGCAGGCGAATTAGTGCCACAGCTCACCTGTTAACTAGGCTGGAATCTGTTTTCAGTAAGAGACTGTCTCAGGCAAGGATTCTTTTAAAGTCTGTTTCTTAAATTGCTCTTTCTGGCATGACATCAATTAGTCACCCATAGGGCCACATGGGCATTGTGAGCAGGACTGGGTGCCTGTGTTAGGGGGTCCTCCATCAAGGGGCATCTCCAGCGGCACATTCAGAGGCCTTGGAGTCAGACGTCTCCTAGGACCAGCAGGAACGAAAGGGATCTGATTCAGGCCTGACTACTGCGAAAGATGCTGGAGCCAAATCAATGGTATGATCAGAGTTGGGAAAGGCTTACCAAGGAAGGGGGATAGCCTGGTCTGCCCGGTGGGCCCAAGAGATGGGCTGTGGGAACAGTGCATCCACGTGCTTGGTTGATGAAAAATCCCTCAAGACTATTTTGTCTGACTCCACGTTCACCGATTAACTTTCTGTCATTCTGTGATCCTAATATCTAGGAAAGGGTGGATATTCTGGTCAACTAACAGGAACCTCTTATGGGTATGGTTGTCATGAGTTCGGCTCTCGTAACAGAGATCAAATTGAACTTCTGTCCTGCACAGCTTAGGGGGCAGACTGTGGAATGGGGACCCTTTCAGGGGCTGCCACCCTGAAAGGCCTCCTTAATTATTTTACAATTCTCTGTTGCTGCTGTTTTAGTACTGTCTGTGCACTAACTGACTTGTATATTAACTTCTGGATGACAGCTCCAGGGAGGGCGTGTTAACTTCATGGTCCAGAGGGCTAGTGTGGGAGAAATGGCAACAGTCATGGCTGGGGCCAGAGCCAAGGCCAGATTGCAGAAATTAGCAGGCAAAAACAAGGTTCAGGGAGCAAGATGCTATTAAAGGGTCTGAGGTATTGAAAGAAGTGCTGCCTTTCCTTCCTGGCCACTTCAGATGGACAGTGGGGAGAGGGTCTACGGGTGAGGGCTCTCACTTTTTAGAGGGTGATGCAGAACTAAGTGCTCTTTCCTCTCTTCCTCTGCGAACTTGTTTGCATGGCTTGCTTTCCCTGGCCCCATCTCTCACTCCCCTCCAGATTAACTGTCCCTTTCCAATCTCAATGGTAACACAGATGAGGGAGGCTGCCATGTCCTCTCTCCTCCCTTCTAGCTGAACAACTGCTGGGCACGGTCTGGACTTCTCCAGGCTGGGGCCTCAAGGGAAGTGTGTGAGAAACCCCAGACTCCAATACTGCCACCTCACTCAGCCCCTGGATCAAAGACCAAGCTCGTGTGCCCCAACACTGGGCCCACCGGCCACACCAGGCCCACTTCTTGGCTGTCTTTCCACCAGCCTATGGACTCCATGGGGTCTTGCCAATACCTGGCACAAAGTAGGGTTCTTACTAAATATATATGCAGTGAAAGAACTGTGTATCACACAAACAAGCCGAGTGCTTGCCACTTGAAGGGCTCCCAGCATCACCCCACCGCACTGTGAGATCTGGGCAAAAGAATCAGCCCTATTTCAGAGGGGCTTGCTAGTGTTGCAGACTGGAACTTACTTTCCTGGCAGCCTCCAACTTCCCCAGAGAAGTAGAGCCCCAAGGCCCTGGGAGAGGAGGGCTTCCCTCCTCTCATGGACTTGACAGCCCACATCAGAGCCACAGCCAGATCTTACTGAAGGCCTTGGCCCTAGAGCACGGATCCTAACAGACCAGGCATTCCTGCCTGGATCCTCACACCCAGAGTCTGTGGATAGAATTCAAGGGTTCATGAACTTGTATGAAAAAAAAGTACATATTATTTCTACTAAGCACTAACTGAAATGTAGCATTTCCTTTGATTATGAATGCAGGCCACAAACCATAATATCTGATATTCTTTCACCCATAGTTTTCACGTGATATTTCACATCATATTACAACTACACACCAACAATTTTCAACATGCTGGCAACGTTTAGATCCATTGCTAGATCTTGTTGTTTAAACCATTAATAAAGAAGTACATATTTTAATAAATTAGTTTCCTTTGTAATTCTCTGTATTTTATTTTATGCATTTAAACGTAGACACAAAAGGGTCCCTTTGGGACTGGGAGTGGTGACTTATGCCTATAATCCCAACACTTTGGGTGGTCAAGGTGGGAGGACTGCTTGAGCCCAGGAGTTTAAGACTAGCTTGGGCTACAAAGTGAGCCCTTTATCTCTAAAAATAAAATAAAATAAAATAAAAACAAATTAAAATTAAATTTTTTAAAAAAAGGAGTCCTTTGGGCTTTACCAGTGGGTTTATAGAATGAAAAAGGGAGAACATGAGACCTTGGTCAGGCAAATTTGGTTCTGAATCCTTGCTCTGCCACCTGGCAGATTCAGATGGGAATTTGTTTTTCCCATCTGTTAAATGGGAAGTTGCTGAGCAGATTAAATGAAATGGTGTGTGCAAGGCTTTCAGCATGGCCTGGGGGAGCAAAGCTGTCAGTGGACAGGGCTTAGCTCTGTCCTTCAGAGGGTGAGGATGGGTCCTGCTGGTACAAGCTGCTGAGTGCCTGGCAGAGGAGGGATGGACCTGGAGGCTAGTCTGAGGGGCCACAGCTTTGCTCAGTGGCTGTGGGTGGATCTGCCTGGGTGGGAATGAGGCTGACTGATGACTGGGCCTCCCAGCATTTGGTTCTTCCCTTGGAGATGGGAGCATGGCAGGAAAGGCAGCTGATTCGGGTGCAGGAGAGACGCAAGAAGGGAAGGGACTCAGCAGCAGTTTCCCAGTGTGGTCAGTCATCTCCTGCATCAGAATCTGCTGTGCCTGTGTCCGGCTTCCCAGACTAGTTGGGCTCTCAGTAGTGTCGGATCACATGCCTACCCACTTGCTGGGCCTTGCCCTCCTACCCCACCCCAACCCAAGCAATGAACTTTTAAGAAGTCACACTTTTCAGAATTAATTTCTTTTTAAGAATAATTTCAATGTTAAGTAACTTTCATGATAGAAAAGCCAGACTTTCTAAAATCTTTACTTGGTGTGTTGACTTCTACAAACACAAAGAAAACTCAAGGGACAGAAAAGGCTTTTGTTTTCACATACAGTATTACGGTCTGAACTATGTCCCCTGCAAAAGTGATATGCTGAATTCCTGACCCTCAGGACCTCAGAAGGCAACTGTATTTGGAGATAGGGTCTTTAAAGAGGTGATTAAGCTAAAATGAGGCCATTGGGTGAGATCTTAATCCAATTTGACTGGTGTCCTCATACAAAGAGGAAGAGACATCAGGCATGTGCTCACACAGAGGAAAGTCTTCAAGTGAAGACGCAGTGAGAAGGTGGCAAACCAAGGAAAGAGGCTTCAGAACACACCAAACCTGCCCACATCTTGATCTTGGACTTCCAGCTTCCAGAGCTGGGAGAAAACAAATTTCTGTTATTTGATCTACCCAGGCTGTGGTATTTTATTATGGCAGTCCTAGCAAATTAATACACATGGTTTTAACAACATACGTTTGTCTATTATCCATTGTGGAAACAATAAGATAATGGCCTTTGAATAAACTATCCATCAACTGATTTCTCAGCAAGATATTTCTGGATTGTCATACGTTAAAAAATTTAAAAATCAGCCAGAACCCTAGAGTATGTAAGTGACTGCCAAAGGTTTATTTAATAAGTGAATGAATCATTCAAAAATAATGAAATTTTAGGTGAAAATAGCTGAAGTAAGGGGAGGGATCTAGCAATAACCCTTTCGTAAGGAACTGGCTTTATGGGTTGAGAGAACAGAGTGAAATAATTTGCATAAATGACTTTAAAAATTTAATTACTGTTTCTTCTTTGTTGCTTACACACACACACACACACACACACACACACACCACCCCAACATTTAGAAATTCTGGACTTCCTAGTTCATTCTGTGAATGAAATGGCTGGCATCGTTTGTCTTACTAGAATGCTATTAGGTCAACATCATGGTTTAACACTTACATTTAGACAACATTCACTGATCCCAGATCAACTAGGGCATCTTGCAGCCTCGACTCACTTGTTAAACATGCAATGTTCGCTACAACGAGCACTGTGAGAGAAAGAGAACTGCTCAGCCCACTCCCAACAGTACAGGGGACACATTCTCCTCAATGGCATGGCCAACTAGAGGTCAACCATAGCTCACAGTTCAGTCCAGACGTGCCCCAGGAAACTCAGGGTTTCTTCTTCAATGTGCTCATCTAGGAAAGCAGACTCATCCCTGAATGTAAAATGATTGCCTTCCTTGGGATCAAGAAAGTGGGGTAGTTATTTAAATAAGCTGTTTCTTAGTTTCATAGCCAACTTACAATTAATTCTAGATTGCACTGCCTAGGGCCCACACTACAGAATGACATGAGGTGGGGAGTGATTCCTAATAGTCCCCAGTGAACACAGTTGACAATCCTCCAAAGGCCGGTCTCTAATCCCAAGTGGGCAGGGGTTCTATTAGAGAAGATAAGAAGCAGCTTTATCCAATTACATTTATCATTAATTTGGACTATTCAAAAATATAAAGCATTTTGCTCTATAAATGTTGCTAAAAGTAACCCTTAAATACTATCATACCTAAAATGAATGGTGGAATATTAAACTTCTTTTCCCCAAAAAGATTGAATCAATAGAGGAATATTTTATTTGCTGGGGGTGGGGGAGGGTATCAGAAATAATATAACTGGATAGATTCAAAAATCCAACTGCTCTCTTGCCCTCATTATTTTCTATTTTTATTTACATTTATTTATTGATTTTTTTTTTTTTTTTTTGAGACAGAGTCTGGCTCTGTTGCCCAGGCTGGAGTGCAGTGGTACGATCTTGGCTCACTGCAACCTCCACCTCCTGGGTTCAAACAATTCTCCTGCCTCAGCCTCCCGAGTAGCTGGGATTACAGGCGTGTGCCATCACACTTGGCTAATTTTTGTATTCTTGGTAGAGATGGGGTTTCACCATGTTGGCCAGGCTGGTCTTGAACTCCTGACCTCACGTGATCCACCCGCATCAGCCTCCCAAGATGCTATGATAATAGGCATGAGCCACCATGCCTGAACTCATTTATATTTTACTTTATATATAATGCTCTTAACTCATTTTCATCTATGTATTTCTTGAGTGCTTTTGGCATCTTCAGGTTAGTTTTTTGTTTGTTGTTGTTTTCTTCAAGATTTCTTTTTTTTCTTTTATATTGTAGAGAATACAAAAATATACAAAGATGAAAAAAAAAAGCACTGAAGTTGTATTTAACCACTAAAGGAAGCACTGAATAATAATTAATTTTTATATGAAAAAGGGTTGGGGGTAATAACCAGAGGTAACTCTTTGTTATTTTGATACATGTCCTTCCAGCTTATAAGTACATGTACATCTCTCTCTCTCTCCCTCTCTCTCTCTGTGTCACACATACACATATACACACAATTGTTTGACAAAAAAATATTAACAGAACAAAATTTATAATACATGTAACACAAAAGTGTTTTCCTGAGAAAAGGTTTTTAAATTCATATTGAGTTATTACAACCATAAAAAATAACTGCAAGGGCATTCATTACAAAGACAGTGAATCCACTCCAAGTCACCCTGCAAAAATAAAATCATCGAGCAAACTCAAATTGCTGCTAAGACGGTGAATTTTAAAAAGCATGTCGTTTTGGGATTCCTACTCAATTATTCTTGATTCTATTCTTTAGATACTCCTCCATGATGCAAACTTAGCTGGATGTATTTAAGATCTGAAAACCATTAGAACTAATTAAGATGAATTTGGCTTTGTTCTTCAACTTCCTGTAAAAAATGCTCAACAGGAAAATTGATGCTCGCAGTAAACCACAGTCATCCTGTTTCTTTAACACAATCTTTTCACAGCTGCAGTTGCCTGGAGTTTCTATTTTATGACGCGAGTCACTGCAACAGCTCTACCATCCCTTCCCCCCAGCATGTGGTCTGGCCATTTTAGAAACTTTCAATACCTTTGCAGAAAGGTTCGTTTCTATTATTGCTACTCTTCCTCTCTCCAAGCTGAAGGTCCTTGCTCAGAGCAATAAGCCATGGATACAAGAGGGGAAACAGAAAAGGCAGCTGGACTCCAGAGGAAGCAAAAGGCAGAGAAGAGGAAAACAGCTTTATTAGCAAATCAGCAGCCTCACCCAGTTGGTTCTTATGCATTGTTAGTCTCCATTTGAGCTGAATGTGGAGCACACGCTTGCCATACACAGAATCCCTCATTTCTCAAAATGTACTGCTCTTTTCTCAGTCAATCATCATTGAAAAACAATACTTCAGCAACGTCTGATTAGGTTGTCTTCTTAATGGTAAATGTCAATTTAAGTCTGCTGAACCTAGAAATGCTTCTTTTATAGTTCTTTTAGATAAGGAGGTGATTTATTTTGGCGGGGAGTAGGAAAGGTGTTTTTCAAAGAAGACATTTTGAAGCATCTCGAACATCACTAAGACTGGCTAGGAGCTTGGACACAATTTTACTGCAAGAGTACTGCTAGGGAAATAAAGGTTGCTATGAAGTAAAATTATTTTTTAATCCACTATTGTGCACATTTAATTTTAAAATTAATACAAATTCACAGACATCGAAGACCCTTTTAATAGTGAGAAAATGAAGGTGAGCTGAATGACACGCCTACCTGTCATTATTTAACTGAAGGAAAGGGAAAGGAAACATTTTTATTTTATCCATATAATTAAAGAGTAGCAGGTTTTCTCCCATACTTCCCATCTCTTTAAGGGGTTCAAATCTCCAAGCTAAAATCTGCCTAAATCGCTATCACCACATTTAGTTCTACCAGAGGATTAAGATGTGCCACTGTTTCTCTCTCTCTCTTTCTCTCTCTCTCTCTCTCACACACACATACACACACAGCATATATGTCAGCACACTTGATATATACTGTATTCATTTTATCATTGAAAGTACAGCTTTATGATATAAGCAGAAGTGTCACCAAGTTTACCTCTGAAGAAGTGAAAAGACTTAAAAAGGAAAATATCTTACTTGAGATTGTTAGTTTTAAAGATATTTACTGTTGCTGTGACATTTAAAGCAAAACATTTGTAATCTCAGATTCCCAAGGCCGGAAAAGCACCTCAAGAAATCATACTGGCTGGGTGTCGTAGCTCATGACTATAATCCCAGCACTCTGGGAGGCCAGGGTGGGAAGATAGCTTGAGCCCAAGAGTTTGAGACCATCCTGGGCAAACATAGTGGGACCCTCATCTCTACAAAAAAAAAAAAAAAAAAAAAATATATATATATATATATATATATATATATAATTAACTGGGCATGGTGGCACACATCTGTAGTTCCAGCTACTTGGGAGGCTGAGGTGGGAGGACTGCTTGAGTCCAGGAGTTTGAGGGTGCAGTGAGCTGTGATCATGCCATTGCACTCCAGTGTGGATGACAGAGCAAAACCCTGTCTCAAAAAAAAAAAAAAAAAAAACAGAAAAGAAAAAGAAAAACAGAAATCATACAATTTATAATGTTGCTTCCAAGCTGCACTTGTGAAAAAAAGCTCTTACAATTCAGATAACTTCCTCCACATTTAGTTGTTAGGTGGCCTTGGGTAAATTACTTAGCTTATGTAAGTCCGGTTTTCAAAATAATAGCACCTACTTAGTAGGGTTATTCAAGAGTTAAATGAAGGAGTGCTTAATAAGTATTAGCCATTTTCAAAAAATAAAATAAGCAAAGGTGAAGAACGTAACACAAAATAAGTGGTCAGTAAATATCACAGTCTTTCCCCCTATTTAACCACGAGAAAGAGAAACCATGAGCTGATTTAAATCAGCCTATGTGTGTACACCCATGCAAACTTCCATATTACAAGTGAATGGTGAAGGGAGATGTGTATAAAGTGCATTTCAAATTTCTCAGAAAAGCATACTGATTAAGGCATTCCTTATTCTAGTATTTTTTTACAGTTTTAATTTTCAGGACAGACAGAGGTATTTATGGAAGTCCAGGAGAAATGCTTTCTTCAACAACAAGCACATGTTTAACAATTTGGACAAAATGAGTCAAACCTTAAAGCAGAAATATATCATAATTTAAACAGCCAGAAACTTCCAAAGTAAATGATGTGTGTTCATAAAATGTTAAGAAGGCTTCAAAAGGTCATAACACTTAAAGGGTCCAGGAATTCAGTATCACTTCATCTCATATTTTAGGTAGGCTGGGGAACTTCCAGCCTACAGGCCAGATTTAGAATTTGATCAGATCTGAAGTTGCTGCTCGATCCCAGGAACTAATTTTCACCACAGGGAGTTCTCTGAATATTTCAGTCCACCCAGAGTATGTGTAACCCTTAAAAGGTTAGATATTAGAGTAGCTGAAGCGCTATGAGCAAATAGCCCATGAATAAACTTTTCAAAGAGCAATAGAAAACCTGACTTAGTGAAAAATGACTTTCAGGTAAGTCATTTAATGACCTTAGACTGATAAAAGGAAGAGTTTTGACATGATGATATTCCAGTACAGAAGAACAAAGCTTGATAAAGTTAACACATAGCACTGTAGTCCAAGTGAATTGTAAGAGTATGATTTCCACACAGATCAACCTCAAAACCTTTTCCCAGTTTCTCATCTTCCTTTCTCACTGTCCTGTCCTATTCTTTCCCCAGTCTTTCATCTTTCTCTCTACCAAGCTGTCTTACTTTGCTTAGTTAGAATCTTTCAGTAGCCTTTTCATTTACCACCTCTCCATTCTCTACTACATATACTAGTTATGCCATTAAATTATTTAAAATAACTTGTATGCCTGTAATCCCAGCACTTTGGGAGGCCGAGGCGGGCAGATCACTTGAGGTCAGGAGTTTGAGACCAGCCTGACCAACATGATGAAACCCTGTCTCTACTAAAAATACAAAAACAAAAAAAACAAAAAACTTGTACTTAGTGACTAAAGTTATATGTGCCTTCTGAGTTTTTTAAAGCTTTATTTTATATTTCTTCACGGGGAGAAAGGAACATAAGTCAAATTGTTTCTTCCTACATATTCTAGAAAAAAGTTTTTTAATGTAAAAAGTTTCCTTAGTTCTGCTCTATAAGCCTCTGAGTAGATGGCTTGAAATTTTAAAAATCACAATATTTTATGCCAAAACATTAATCATATTAAACATAAAGTTATAACTAATGCTGTAGAATTTGATTTGCGATAGTAATTGTGCACACACTGTTATAACAGGAATAGACTTATTCTAAAAGACAAATCGTATTATAAAAGACTCTGCTTAGAAATGGTTTAGTTTGAGTTTTGAACTTAAATAGCACATTGGCAGCAACAGAACTGCAACAGCTTAGTTCCATGGTATTTTCGTTTGAAGCTTCCAATGGCTCCTTGTACTTTAAAGCACTTATTGTTGCTGGCCACACCAAAGATTCAAAGGCAGTTGTGTGGACAACTGTATCATACACCAAAAGGATATATTTACCGACATAAGCCCCCAATTTAAATGGGAAAATAAATTCCTGTGGATCCAAACTTGTCCAGTGGTCAAAAAAATTCTATTGAAAATCTTGCTTACATTTTGGCTCAAAGCATAAGTTATGAATCATTCACAATCACCATAGTGGTGAAACTAGCATTCTGGGCAACAGGAATAGCTCACATGGTGCTCTACAGAAAAATTAAACAACTTTATCTTGACATACTATGGTCCATTAAAAGCCATTTAGTTCTTCCCTGTAGCTGATAAATGAAATAAACTTAGTTTGAATATAATTTTTCTTACCGTTAAAGGGTACTGCAGGGAGCCATGGTCAGGGACACAGGCAGACAGAGGGCCAGCGGGACAGGAGCCAAGAGAGAAAACTGTCCCTGAAAAAGGTATCATCTTCTAACGCAAGTGTGGGGTCGTTTTTGGACAGCCATTTTGGACAAGCTCTGGCCTCTTGTTAAATGTGACATACTGAGTCAGAGGCAGACGTCCTTCTGTGGTTATTCGCTTCCTGTCTGATTAATTTGTTGTTTGTTGTTCCTTCCTCCTTTGCTGCAGAAAAAGAAACTAGATTGGTTTTGCTTAAGAAGCAAGCAAGAAAAAAAACCTAAATTAAAAAAAATTAAATGTTTCTCCTCCCCACAAGGTGTAATACACAGCTATTTGGTACAGTGACAAGAGGAGATGAGCACCTCCACTCAGTGAAGAGTCCAACTTTATTCTAGATATTCCCACAAAAATAACTGTTCATGGAACTTGAGATTCCTTTAGGAAAATTATATTTGAAAGTATCACTGTAAATACTGACTATTCCATTGAGTAATAGGGAAAAGAGTCACTCAAGAAAGAAAAGCTCTTACCTACCTTACCTTATCGCTTCATTAGGCTAAGGGCTTCTTCTCATTTACAGGGCATTCAAGTGTGTGGGGAGAAAGTTACAAATGCAGGTAAAGAGAGCAGGTCAGGTGTATGAAGGCAAATGAGGTTCTTTTTTTGGTTTTGTTTTATTTATTTCTTTTTTTTTAGAGAGACAGTCTTGCTGTCACTTAGGCTGGAGTGCAGTGGCGTAATCATAGCTCCCTGTGGCCCTGACCTCCTGGGTTCGAGCAATCCTCCAGCCTCAGCCTCCTGAGTAGCTGAGACTACAGGCATATGCCACTGCACCTGGCTAATTTATTTTATTTTTATATTTGGTAGAGATGGGATCTTGCTTTGTTGCCCAGCCTGGTCTTGCACTCCTAGCTTCAAAGTGATCCTTCCATCTTAGCTTCCCAGATTGCTGGGATTACAGGCTTGAGCTACCATACTTGGCAGCAAATGAGTTTTGAAACGTGATTTTGGTGCCCAAGTCAGGGTAATAATATACAGCTTAAGTCAGCTGCAGATCCATAGCTTTCTATGCCAAATGTTTCTGTCCCCCACACTTAATGGGATAACAGTAACTCTCCTAGAAGATGCTTGACAAAAGCATAGAGATAAAGAGGGTGGAAGGAAGAAAGTCAGATTTCTCATTATTAAAGAACTCAAGAGGTGGATGGCAATGGAATACATGTAGAAAACATTTTATCAAAACCTTGAGTTATGTATAGAACGATCTGAAAATGCTCATAATTTTTTCTTAACCCATCTTAAAGGTTCAGACTTACATATGCAACACATAGTATATAACTCTGAGAAAACAGTAACAGTCAAAGAATTTAAAAGAGAGGCATATTTCAGAAACTAGCTTCATTGTAAAATCTGAATGTTGGGTCCTGATTCTGCTAGGATCAGAGGCCAGAGGCATGAAAAGAACGTATGTTGTCTAACATTGCCTTACCTGTAAAGTGATGGAACTGGGCTAGATGAGTAATTTTCAACTCAGGTAGCTGTTGGGGGTGGTGAGCAGTGAGTGGGAATGGTGGGGGCAGGGGCCTGTAGCATTCAGTGGGTGGGGCCAGGAATGGGAAATTTCCTATGGTGCTTATGACAGTCCCACCCAAAATACCAGAAGTGCTCCTACTGGGGAGTACTGGGACAGATGATGTCTAAGGATCTTTTAAACTCAAAATTCCCTGAGATAGGAGTCTAATTGCATGAGCAGATTCATGATGCCAGGCCATGGGCACAGTTCCTGGAGTGGAGTACCCAAGAATAAGTGACTGAGAGTCCTCTGCTTTGCCTGGAGCCCCTTGAAGGCAGGGACCGCCTCTTGTCTAACTCTGGCCTGGTGTCCACCCGTGACTTAGGTCACAAATAAATACCTGCAGGCATGGGGCTGGACAGAGGTGGAGGCCTACAGCTATCAGCCACTTCCCGCGATACAAACCCTCAGGAAAACAGAAAACTTGATCAACTATTAAGTAAATGCCTGAGTGAATCTTTGGGGAAGTCTAATTATAGTTGGGTCTAAAAAGAGAACATGGGCGATATGACAATTTCTCTACGTATTTTCAGAATTATTTTGAAGTTCTCTAAGTAAGACACCCCAAACACACACACACACACTCTCTCTCTCTCTCTCTCTAGCTATCTCTCTCTCTCTCTCTCTCTCTCAGTACACATACCATTCATGGCTATTTCCATCCCTTAGGGGAGTGGTCCCTAACCTTTTTGGCACCAGGGACTGGTTTTGTGGAAGATAATTTTTCCACGGAGTGGGGGCAGGGGGTGGGGATGGTTTCAGGATGAAACTGCTCCAACTCAGATCATCAGGCATTAGATTCTCATAAGGAGCTCGCATGCACAGTTCACTTTAGGATTCTTGCTCCTCTGAGAATCTAATGCGCAGCTGATCTGATAGGAGGCAGAGCTCAGGAGGGAACACTTGCTCACCAGCTGCTCACTTCCTGCTGTGTGGCCTGGTTCCTAAGGGGCCATAGACTGGTTGGAGACCCCTACCTTAGGAAAAGCTCACTTAGAAGGGAGTATGTCACCTAGAAGGCTGCAGTCCCCAAGACATGCAAGGGAGTAGTTGTGTAGTTTGAGTCTATTCCTACAGTCAACTTTGGACACATTTATCAGGTGTCTACTATGCATGTTAGGACATAAATTAGATAATGTTCCTCCCCTGCTTAAAACCCTCCAATGACTTCTCATTTCACTTAAAAAGTCCAAACTCTTAGGTCCACAGGGACCCACGAGATCTGGCCCCTCCTTAACTCTCTGCCTTCATCTCAAGTAATATTCTGCCTTGCTAATTTACCTTCCAAATCTTTCTGTTCCTTAAATGCACCAAGCTCATTTGCATCTTCAGGCCTTTTACTTGCAAGCCTGGTACTCACGCCTGGTACACTCATCTTTTTGTTCCTTTTTATTCTTCAAATGTCAGCAAAAATGCTCTCCCTCATGACCCATTTCTGCTGTTTTCTTTTATGCATAGCATGCGTCACCGCTTGACACTGTCTTATTTATCTGTTTATTTACTTGTATGTTTCTCTCCACTAGAATTCAAGCTCTATGAGAGCAGGGACCTTGTCCATCTTGTTTCTGCTGTTGCTTCAGCATCTAATGCAGGTGTTTGACTGCTGTTGCTTCAGCATCTAATGCAGGTGTTTGAAAATAGTGTTTGTTGAATGGAAAAGAAAATCAATGTTTCTTACGAATTCTACTACAGCATAATGTTCCTTTTTTTTTTTTTTTTTTTTTTTTTTTTTTGAGACAGAGTCGTACTCTGTCACCCAGGCTGGAGTGCAGTGGCATGACCTTGGTTCATTGCAATCTTCACTTCCCAGGTTCAAGCGATTCTCATGTCTTGGCCTCCCTAGCTGGGACTACAGTCGTGCACCACCACGCCTGGCTAATTTTTTTTTTGTATTTTTAGTAGAGACGGGGTTTCGCCATGTTGGCCAGGCTGGTCTCCAACTCCTGGCCTCAAGTGATCTGTCCACCTCAGCCTCCCAAAGTGCTGGGATTATAGGTGTGAACCACCACGCTGCCCAGCATAATGTTCCTTTAAAAGCTTAAGACTGTTCCCCCTGAAATGGTAAATAACAAATGCCAAGACTAGACTTAAGCCTTCTTGGGAGAAGCTGTTAAAGGGAAATTTTCCAGAGAAAAGGTCAGCAGGTAAAACCCTTGGCCCATCAGTGGGCCTGGCAGTGCAGGCAGAGTCTTATGCAGTGCAGGTGGCTTACACCATTGGGCAATGTGAAGAGAAAAATGGATTAAGAAAATTGAAAACAAATAGAACAATCAGAAAGGAAGGGGGGGAAATAAAAAGATAAAGAAAATAAGGCAAGAAAAGCTGGAGATGGGGAGAGATCATGTGGTGGGTAGAGGAGAGCTACAACCACACTGCTGACCTCAGAGGCTTTGGAAGCCACCTCTGCAGTGGATGACCCACAGGTGCTGGATGTAACAGTGCTGTCTGGCCTTCCGCAGTGAAGCGGAGTTCTCAGCTCAGTGTCAGCTTTTCCAGCAGCCACGTTCTTTAAAAAGAAAAGAACTTTAAGGCTGCAGGAGACTTGCAGAGATCAAAGTCTACATCACCACTTACAGAGGAAGAAACAGGGGTCCAGAGAAGTTAGGCATCCTGCTCATGTCACACAGCTGGCAGCAGCAGAGCAGTGGCCAAAGCCTGGGCTCCACTCCACTGTCCAGCGCCATTAATGTCTTTAGCCTCATTTCAGGTTCGGGTGATACCACCTACCTCCTTTCTGTAAGTACAAGAAGAGGCAGAAGAAAGAGGGTGGAGAGAAAGGCTGTGATGCGGATGGGAGAGGTTGTTATACTATAACCAAAGGCCTGAGATAAGTGGATTGAAAGCCTGGATGAATAAAGACAATCACAATTCTGGACTTAAAGAGAATTTTAAATGCGTATCTCTTTCCCATTTAATATGCATCAGTCTGAGCTTAATGACAGAGTAAAACAATAACCAATAGGCTCGCAGACCAATCACATAAAGAATCCTCCATATTAATCTATAGAAATAAAAAACCAAGAGCAGGCAGAAGATTATAAAACAATAATGTAGGTCTAGCCAGTGTAGAAAAAGTGCTGAAGAATCACAGCCTCCTGCCGTGGCCCCCAGTCAACATGGACTGAATCAGTGCAACAGTGGCATGTGTAAAATATGGCAACATAAGTTTTAAATAATTCTGGTTTTTCAAGTTGTGTTTCCATGACTACCTGTTATGGTGCAGTATTTCCCCAGTAGTGGAAAGGTGTTTTATAATACTGCATCCCGCAGTTCTAAAACTTACATTATTCCTTCTTATACTGCAGAATGACTCCTTATAGATTTTTAGGGTGAAAAAGAAACACTACCAGATTAAAGATATGCATTAGTTGTAAGAATCTATTTTCAAAATGTTAAAATATGGGAATTATTTGATTTAAAAGAGCAGAAACAAAGGAATAATCCTCTCCACCACATAATTATCAGTACAGCTACATACAGGGTTGATCATTTAAAAATAATCTCAGAAACATAGATAAATTAAAAACAAACCTTGTAGTATTCTGCACCCTGTTAATATAAATTGATGTAATCTTACTTGGGGAAAAGTCTGCAGTGTATTCTGTTGTGTTTTGGCAGCTCAGCAACCATTCCCCCTACTTATAATCACGTCCATTTGTTTGTATGGAGAATCATCCCGTGCTCACTCTCAAACCATGTGCATCCAGAGGCATTCACTCCCATTCCAGACAGAGGAAAAGCATGTGATTCAAGGCTGGCTAATCAGAGCCTTGCATTCATTTGGCCCTAGAGACTTCTGGTGATGGCTTGTGATCATCAGAATCAAGGAAATTTGTAGGCTGAGGCGAGCTCTATCCCTGAGGGATGAGGCTGGAACCAGATCTGTTGAGGATGTAGGGGATGGGCCTGCTGCACTCATCCTTTGACCACATGGGGTCTAAAACCAAGACCAACAAAATGGGAATTGGAAGAGGGAGAAAAACCAAGTGCTGGTGTTGTTGGTTGAGCCCTGAATCTATCTATAACTGAAGATGGCCTTTTTCTAGACCTTTAATTTATGCAAATAAATTCTCTATTTTATTTAAGCTGGTATGGTCACGTTTTCTATCATTAGCAATGCAAAGACTCTTAAGTGATAAAGGAATTGGTACTAGAAGTGAGTGTTGAATGTGACTAAGCCTAAAATGTGCAACTGGCTGATTTGAGGTTGGGGAAGGCTAGCGCAGGCTGGCCTGGACTGGAAAATTGGCAGTCCTTGTTAAGTGACAACAAAATAGCTAGTTATGCTGCCACCTATTGACTCCTCGGTCTGAGACAGGAGCCTACTCATGGTACACCATTAATGGATTCACTGGAAAAGCATTTAGAATGGTGCAGTGTGTTGGCTATTTCTTGTGTCTTTTAGTAAGATCCACAGGAAAGAGATAAATGTAGGCTCAAAACTGACTAGAGGCACAGAGGGAAAAAATACGGCTTTGTTAAGAGAGGCCTTTTTTTGGCTGTGATCTGCAACCAAGATGGGTGAGAGTCAAATAATTTGGAGACTTGCAGGTTGGAAAACCCAAATTCTCTACAGCATGCTAACATTAGATAGAGTGGGGAGGGACCCGATCATAATCCTGAGAGACACAATTCCAAACACCAGAATCCTGAATACTGAAATCCCAAAAGATCAAAATCCTGAAAATATAATTCTGGAAGAAATAATAGAGAATTATTTGAAAGATATTTATTTACATTTTAAAGGAGGATTTATTTAAGAAACATATAAAAACATGACAGAACACTTCATAGGCCATTTTACACAATAAAATAGACAATAATAACACAAATATTTTTGCAAGCATAAACACTCAGGTATTCCAACGACAGTAGCACAGGTATAGAAGTTATAAGCAGACATCTGTATTCATAAAGAAATAGGGCAAGAAGAGAAGTGTACAAATGCATATCACTACAGTTGGTATTGTTTGTGCCCAGCTTTATAAATTTGGTCATCTGAAATACTGTGACAAAGAATCTTTTGATGAGATCAATAAAAAACTGTGACATGCAGTTACCACATAGGCAGTTGCCCAAAGAGCTGAGATCTCAAGAAATTTTCTTCACAAACGCAGATTTGTATAAAAGGCCATCTCTTCATTTATTGAGGATGTTTCAACATTTTTATGTATATGCGCAATGCTTACACACAAAGTCAATGCTGTGCTGATGCATTTTTATGGAGTTAAATTTGCAAAAAAGGCATTTAATGAATTAGAATTTTCCAAAAGTCTCTTCACAATGTATATGTCCAGTATTGGAAATGATGAAAAGATGAAATAGATGGCATAGTGAATTATAAAAAATCATGCTGAAACTTTAAAATAGTGGAAAAAAAACTAAAATAAGAAAAAGAACTAAAAAGAAAATTCAACATATGAAAAGAGTATTATGGGGATAGATTATGGGCAATTGCATGGAGATAGTCCGAAGAGCTGGCCTAACATGATGCAGCTATTCTGTGATTGTGATTTTGGGGATTTTAGATGTTCAGGATTTTAGACTTTAGAGATTTATACTTTAGGGATTTTCATCTTTGGGAATTTCAACATTCGGGATTATGGTGTTCTGGACTGTGTCTTTTGGGATTATGATCCAGATCTGGAGTAACTCTACTCTGACTCCAGGAATGGAAAGTGACCAGCCCTGGCTAATTAAAGCCTTGGGTTCCCTGGCTGCAGTGACTGGTTCAGAGACTACTTTTGAACCAAGGAGATGTAGTGAGACTTATTCTAAGGTGTGTGGGGCTGAATTGGTAGTATGTTATCCACATTAGAGGTGTGGGGCTGGAATGGCAGTATTATACCCACATTATAGACGTGGAGACTGAGCATGAAGCCAATGCAGTAAGAGCGAGGGGAGCCTGAGACTCAAGAGGTACAGCAATCAAAAGCAACATGTGGGCCAGCGCAGGGGCTCGCGCCTGTAATCCCAGCACTTTGGGAGGCAGAGGCAGGCGGATCACAATATCAGGAGTTCGAGACCAATCTGACCAACATGGTGAAACCCTGTCCCTACCAAAAATACAAAAATTAGCTGGGCGTGGTGGGGTGGTGCGCACCTGTAATCCCAGCTACTCAGGAGGCTAAGGCAGGAGAATTGCTTGAACCCGGAAGGCGGAGGTTACAGTGAGCCGAGATTACGCCACTGCATTCCAGCCTGGGCGACAGAGCAAGACTCTGTGTCAAACAAACAAACAAACAAAAGGCAACGTGTAGATGTTACTTGGATCCTGAGTCAAATAAACTAAAAAACAAAAATGAGGCAATTGGAAATTTGGATATTGTTCAGATATTTAATGATATTAAGATATTGATAATTGTTAGGTGTGATAATGTTACTGTGGTTATATTGTATTTTACAAAGAATCCCTAACTTTTAGAGATATATACTGAAATATTTGTGGATGAAATATGATGCCTGGGCTTGTTTCCAAAGTAATATAGAAAAGGAGGGAAAGTGGGTAGGGGTACAAATGAAACAAAATTGATCATGAAATAGCCATTCTTGAAGCTGGGTGAGGAGTACACAGCAGTTTGTTACACAGTTCTGTCTACTTTTCATATATATTTAAAATGTTTCCATAACAAAAAGCATTAAAAAAAAAAGACTTGTGGCTCATTCCCTTCCTTATCCACTAGAGGCTGTTAAAGAGGTTTGCTTAATCTAGTGTAAAAATGCTCAGACTTGTAGAGGTAACTTACAGAGTTACAGAAGTTACCTTTTACTTCTCAAAATAATTTCTTTTGCTCTTGGAGAAACTGGATAGAATGAGGGCTCCCCTACAATGGTCAAAGAACAAGTGGTTCTTCCCAGAAAAGGAGTAAACTCTCAAAATCTGAACACCCATTATTAGTGGCAATAAAAAAGTAAAAATAAAAGTCCAACCAACAAAAGAACAGACCCTTTTTTCTAGATCAGCACTGTTCAGTAGAAATATAATTTGAGTTACGTGTGCAATTCTATATTTTCTACGAGCTATGTTAGAAATAGTAAAAGTAAATAGGTGAGATTGTAATATTTTCTTTTAACACACTACTTCAAAAATAGTATCAAAAAAACCAATGAAAATCCCCCCAAATAGTATCATTATAACATGTACTAAACATTTGAAAAGAACTATGAATTAGGTATTTTATACTCTTTTTTTCACAAGAAGTCTTCAGAAACTGGTGTTTACTTTACTACTGGCAGCACTTCAAGTGCTCCAGAGCCACTACCACACTGGGCAACACAACTCTAGACAGTGAGGGCCTGACACGCAGGCCCCATCTTACTCATCTTTTATGCTGGCAGGATGCCTGAATGACACTTAACAGATGTTCAATCAATGTCAGTCCCGGAAAAGTCTTGGTCCACCTAGAGCCAACTCTGCGCTTTATAGTTATAAATTCTTAGGAAGAGTTTATTCTGCTTGAAGCCATCTCTTAAAACAAGGAATTGACTAGGTATTGTTGGATTTGTGGCCAGTAGAAGAGCTAAATTGGCTTCTCTTCCCCGAGGTCTTAGTGCTAACACTTCTAGTACCACATGTGAAGAGATACTGCAGTAAAGAAGTTTTAAATTAAGGGCTCAGAAAAAATACATTGCCTTAGTCTGTTTTGTGCTGCTGTAACAGAATACTGGCGACTGAGTAATTTATGAAAAGGCCAGATACGGTTCTGGATGCTGAGAAGTCCAAGGTCGAGGGGCCACATCTGGTGAGGGCCTTCTTGCCGTGTCATTACCATGGCTGAAGGCAAGAGAGCATGCACAATGAGAGGCAGGGAAGGAAGGAAACAGAATTCATCCTTTTATCAAGAACCCACTCTTGTGATAACTAACCTAGTCCCATGATAAGGACATTAATTCATTTATAAGGGCAGAGCACTCAGGACCTAATCATCTCTTAAAGGTTCCACCTCTCCTTTGGGAGGCTGAGGCAGGCGGATCACGAGGGCAGGAGATCGAGACCATCCTGGCTAACACGGTGAAACCCCGTCTCTATTAAAAATACAAAAAATTAGCTGGGCGTGGTGGCGGGCGCCTGTAATCCCAGCTACTCGGGAGGCTGAGGTAGGAGAATGGAGTGAACCCAGGAGGCGGAGGTTGCAGTGAGCCGAGATCGCACCACTGCACTCCAACCTGGGCAACAGAGCAGGACTCCATCTCAAAAAAAATAAAATAAAATAAAGAAGTCCCACCTCTGAACATGGTTGCATTCAGGATTAAGTTTCTGACAAATGAACTTCAAGGGACACATACAAACTACAGCATTCACGGACTCAAACACTTCAGTGGCTTTCCATTTTATACCAAGTAAAACCTAAAGTCCTTGCCATGACTAGCAAGGTCCTCGAGGATTTGACACTCCCCCACTTCCCCTCTCCTTCCTTGACCTCTTTCCCTACCTTCTCCCCCCATCTCTTTGCCTTAGGGATTTTGTGCTTGCTGTCCCCTCTTCTGAGGACACTGTTCTCTTGGCTGCTCCCCTCACTCCACTCATGTTCTGCAGTATTTGTGCCTGATCTGCTCTTCCCACCAGAGAGGCAGCTCCACGAGGGCAGAGTTTGTCTTGGTCACTGCTGCTGCCCCAACAACTTAGAACAGTATCTGGCATAATGCAGGTGCTTGAAAATATTTGTAAGTGAATTTTACAAGCTTCCAGCTCTAAGTTTAGTTCTAACTTTCACTTAACCTGGGGTTGTGATTATGCTGCTCCACGTTTGGCTCTAGGCAAAAAGGTGCCAGGATAAAGTGGAAATTGTTAGATTTGCTCTCCAAAAAGACCTGGGGAGGCTCTTGCTTCTCCCAACAGGTTGACACAAGACAGCCATTTAAAAAGACAATAATGGGGGGCCCTGCCAACAGATTTAACGACTCTTTCTCACGCAGGGCTGTTTGCCAGTGTCAGGAAGAGAATGAGTTAGAAAATAGTGAGATGACTGACTTGGAAAAGAGGCAGGGGAACCAAACTAGGGTGAAAAAAAAGAGGCCCAGGACTATCTAGAAAGGACAGTCCCATAACGGCTTCACGTACTCATATCCAACAAATCTGCATTCTATGCCCCTGTGTGCCTGATGCCAGTACCCTAGATGCTGAGGACACAGCGTGGAAGTTCACCTCTCCATGCTGAGTTTGGCAGTTTTGTGCTCAGCAAAAACCAAGAAACAAAAAGCAAACAAATACAAGTGCTGAGGTTGGAACATCACTTGCCTTATTTCTTTGAAGAGAAAATGATTTCACATGTGGAAAGACCATTCATGTTTTTTTCTTTTTTTTTTCTAAGCACTATCTTGTCTTAGGTAATTTAATTAAAATGCAAACATTTCCCAGTTACCAGCATCCAATATAAGTGGCCCCCAGGGGAAAACCCATGTGAATGATAGAAAGAGGCTTCTTGCAACCCAAGGGAGAAACTGGTGGAAAGCCCCATTTTCACATCCTGCCAGGTACATACTTGTGCACACACACTGAGAGAAGCTGCTGGCATGAAGATAGCTGTGTGTTCCCTATGGTTGCTAATCATTAGGTATAAAGGCCAGAATGGGCCTTTACAATTACTTCTGGGCTGGTGAAAGTAGCCATATTGTTCCTTATTCAGACTTCTCTGTAGCTAAATGGCTACTCAGTATCACCTGCTGGAGGACAGAACTATATGGACACTAAAGGCCCCTCCCTTGGATTCTCAGGAACAAGGGTAAATAGCTCTGCACCTCTGGGCCTGACACCACCCATCTGAACACTGTGGGAAGGGCTCAGTGACCTAAGACTCCCCTAGGGGCCCTCTGACTGCATATAAGCCAGGCCTGGCTAGTGCAGCTGCCTGGGAGAGGCAGACCCAACTACTCTGCAGGTGGACAGTAAATGGTGGGCATTTGTGAGTGCCATAAGAATGGGGGGCCTTCCTGGGATTCAGATGATCTGCAATGTACCACACTGTCTCACTCAGTAAAGAATTGTCCCACAGGACCTTCAAAGGTCCTGTTACATATTGATGTGGTTGAAAAAACTATTTCTAGTTATCTGAGCCTAGACCTTAACTCCAATTTATACATAAACTCAAAATAGTTATTGCACTGTTGTATTCATTCCCTGTATTTTCCGGTAATGCAAATGTCATACAAATGAAATACTTTGTTTTGTTCAGATATTTACCAAGAGTTAGTTGCCCCTTTGGAAAATCATGAGCCCAAGGACAATGTCAATGGTGTTACTGAAGTCTTTAACTCAAGAGAGCCTGCAATGGCAGCTGTCACACCCACCGTGATCCTACGCATACACGCAAACACCTGACCATGTACTTTTGTTTTCTGATGAGTTGTACCTGATCACTTACAAACTGAAGTTATTTTATAATAAATTACTTTCATTTCTCTTTTAAATTAAGACTACATTGATTTGGAGGGAAATTGTGTGTGAAGTCAGATTATTTTATTTGTGAAGGTTCACTGAAGATTTTGAAGAGGGCATTAGAAAATACTGTTATTACAAGTGGGCACGGGGTCAGTCGGGGCTGGGAGCCACTGCTTCTGGTGGTCCTGGGATGTCTACATGTGCCTGAGCTCCGTTTAAAGTCATGAAAGGCCAATCAGACGATTCTGCTCATCCAGCCTGGGCAGTGGAGACCACCACAGCTACTCACCTCTGATCCTGTGAAGGAGCTTCACATTTTGTTACCAAACATATCACAGAGGCGTGGGTGATTCTTTCTCCTGTTTCTCAGCAGATCCTGCTTTTCTCAGTGGCTTGGCCAGAACAGAATTTGTTCTACTCGAATGACCCCAGATTCCCTCCAAGAACTTCCCTCCTCTCATTCAGCTTCTCTGGATTCTTCAAATGACTGACTGGGGAAACAGATTGTTGGAAAAACACTTTCGGGTTGCCTCGATGGGGTCAATACCTTATCAGGCCACAGGAAAGACAAAGGAAAATGCTTCCTGCTGGAGCATGTGCACATATGTTGTTCCTTTAACTCCAAATACGTATGCAGGGGTGGTGGTAGGATCAGAAAATGTGTGATCAGAAAGTGACCAGTTCCCCACCATTTTGTGTGGGTTTTATTTTCTTTCTGCTCCGTGTTGACTCTTTTCCCCACAACACGGAAGCTGCTTAATCCAAAGACTTGGACCATTTCATTCTGTTTCAGATCCATTCCAACAAAATGATCAGTTGGTGGCTTATGTAAAAAGCAGCTCCATGACTACATTTAAATATTGACTAGTTTGGGAATAACAAACCACAAAAATTTGGGGTATAAAAACCACATGTGGTTTATGTTTTGTAGGACACCCTCAGGAAGATAAATGGACAAAGTAGAAAAAAAATATAAATGGTCTCTCCCTGCCTCACCCCCACCATCATTAAATAAAAACAAAAAACACACAAAAATAAAATGAAACAATGATTAAACAAAACTCAAGCTGGGTGCTACTCCTGGCTTTGGATGGCAGTTGTGTCTTGGCAAGGCAAGTTAAGTAGTGGTCTGGGAACTGTGGCTAAGGTCAACGTGTCAGAATAGCCCGACATAACCTCCACCTTGGTCAACAGCTCACCCAGCTCCTGACCACGGCTCCTCTCTGTCACCAGCACTTCCTCCTTCCAGATGAGCTTCTCCAACCTCTAGGTCCCTGCAGTCACTGACCTTTTCCCCCAGATCTGGCCCCACACTCAACCTCCCGGCCCTCTTCTCCAGCCAAAAGAAAAACGCACAAAACTGTAGATGACTTTCTAGAAATAGAAGTGTTTTATAATCTTTGTGTGTCTCTAATGCCACTGTTAACTAGCGAGCAGCTGTGCTAGGGCTCCATGCACAGCAGCCATTCAACAAATACTCAGTATCTTCATGTTCCAAGGTTGCTTTAGGGGATACTACAAAGATTAAACAGACAAAATTGTCCACCGTCATGGAGCTTACACTCCTATCTGCGTTGATGATGTGTGGAAGGAAATTTACCCTCTGTTTTATGCTGTGCAGGTGTTCATTTAGGCCCAGCTCATATTATATTATGAAGAGCAGCCTCACCAAGATCACTGTCAGAGCAGCACTAATCCAGGCAAACTAGGATGCAAATGGAAAGGGCTCCAAAGTCCTTTGGGGGTTAGTCGTTTCAATCCAAGGACCATTTCCATAAAACAAAAACAAAAACAAACAAACAAAAAAACTTGATGATATATTGCTAGGCCAGCCCACAAAAGTATATTTAGTTCATAATGTCACTAAACTAAAACTTCAGTTCTGAGTCCTCAAAGGAAAGGACTTTAAGGTGGTATCAGGAGGAGGAGGAGGGAGGGTCGTCCCTCTCTGGGGCTCCCCAGCCTCAGCTTCTGCCTCTGCCCCCACCTTCAGGCCACCTCCAAACTTTCCCTTGGTCTCATGCAAGACACTAAGGGGCTCCTGTCCCCCAAATATTTCTTACCCTAAATTGTAATTCCCTTTCCTGGGATAAGATGATCTCATTGAGGCATCAGGAGGAAATCAAGTTGTCTTTTATTTAAAAGAGAAGAGAGGTGTTAACCCATGTTAACCCATATGATGTTGAATTTTTTTGAGATCAGAGAAGACATTTAGTTGGAGGAAGACACCACATAGTACAGTCACACACTGTCTAGGGTTAACTTTGTTAAGTTTCTCCCACTTTTCATAGTTTGATTCCTTCACTTAAATAACTTTATTTTTTTTTGAGACAGATTCCTGCTCTATCACCCAGGCCAGAGTGCAGTGGCATGATCAACTCGCTGCAGCTTCAAACTCCTAGGCTCAAGCAATCCTCCCACCTCCTGAGTAGCTGGGACTACAGGTGCATGCTGCCTCGCTTGGCTAATTTTTACAAATTTTTTATTTTTGTAGAGACGTAGTCTTGCTATGTTGCCTAGGCTACCTTCAAACTCTTGGCCTCAAGCAATCATCCTGCCTTGGCCTCCCAAAGTACTGGGATTATAGGTGTGTGCCACCATACCCCACCTATTTTTAAAAATCACCCATTAATACCCAGAGAAAACCAGTTATCATCTTAGAATTTCTTTCCAGTGTTTTTCTTTCTTTTTGTGTTTGTATTTAAAATGGGATCATACTTTGGATGTGTACGTGCGTCTGTATATATCCTTCTTTTTCACATTTCCCCATATTATTCTCTTAACACAATTTTAATAGTTGCATATCTCATTTTCTGGATGTTCTATTATCTATGTAAATATTTTTTATTGTTAGACATTTAAATTGCATCCAATTTCATTATTACAAATCCTATTATAATTAATATACTTGCATCTGAATGTTTTGTAATCATTTTATAGTATTTCCTTAGGATAAATTTTTAGAGTACAATCACTAGAAGACATGAACAGTTTTTTTTTAAGGAATCTTGATACATACGATTAAATTATTTTCTCAAAGTTTTAGCTTGCATACTCCCATCAGTACTCATTTCTTCTTTTTAACATGTGCTATTATGACGTTTCAAAATCTTTGCCAATTTGATAGGTTTATTTATTGTCTTCTCCATTATTAGTATATCTTACTCCATTAGTGGTTTGTTATCTGGATTTAAAAAAAAATCACAGGGATTTAGTCTTTTCCTTATTTCCTCCTATTTGAACCTAAAGGTTACCTAAAAGCTCCATGATTTTTCATAAACAAAATAAAATATTCTAACCATTCGTAGACTGACTGGGTGGAAGGCAGTGACCGTTTCTGTGTGTTTATAAACCAAATGTTCATAAACCAAGGACTACCTTTATTTTATTAGCTGTGGCTAATTTTGTGCAGTCTATGAGAATTTTTACCACTGTAAGAAATGTTTCTATCCCATGCTGGGAGGAGAGGGTAGGACCTCTAGGCACATCTTACCATAGCTCTTCCTGCCTCAAAGGCAAAAGCAGGAATGCCTTGGTTTATGTTATGCACATGCAGACGTGTAAACTTCTAAAGTCTAAGGTACAGAAAACAGCAGTTGTGACCCTGAGTCACCTTATTTTAGTGTTCACAAGACCAAAGTTCCCAGAAATCAAGGTGTAATTTAGGCTGACCTAATGAATACTCAAGCTTCTCTCATTTTTACCATTTTCATTAGCCATTATGCAAATATTTTAGAAAAGGTAGAATCTAGTTTAGAATTTTTTTATGATTGCAAACTTGATGATAAAAACCTCTTTTGAGCACAGGTCATTCAAAGCAACTCTAGCAGTCTACTTGGTGGGCTGTAATTTCCAGTTGTCCTGGGCTAGAAGGACAACTGATCTCCTTTCCACCTGGCTCTTCCCAAGTGAAGACCTGTGACAGGATGTTCCTCACTTTGCACAGTTCTTCATCCTGCACTTAGGAGATATTTGATATTTCTAAATTAGACAGGCAGATGCTTTGAGATGAAGTGCCTGGTACATACTAAACACTCAACAACATTAGCTACTATTACGATTATTAAGTGAGCAGAACTTCTCCCCAGTTCGTGCTACTTGGTAAAAGAGGAAACAAGGGTAGGTTGGGCAGGGAGGGCAAGATTGATAAGTAAGAAGGCAAACATGGGAACACAGCTGGTAAAGTGGCTCCTTTTGTTTACAGAGGGATAATTCAATGCAATGTAAGAATGAAGACTTTTATAATGCTGAGTTATGGGTTATTTTTTAAAATTTTAAACAAAAAAGAATAAATAATTTACTCTTTGATATTTGAAAAAAGTAGGTGCTAATCATTTGAGTCTCCATTTATGTCATTTATCTAAAACTCATTTTCAGATACACTTAGCCCTATTTAAAAAAGCTGCACTGATCCATTCAATTTGTGCTGGTCACTCTCATTCACTAATACCTCTGTATTTTTGTGTAATTCCAAATATCACTAGACTCAATGAACACAAATTCAGAAAGAAAATGCCCTACAAATTTCCTAAAAACACAGTTGCTCCTAAAAGTTAAGAAACGGGGATTAATAAGTTGGTTTTATGTTCATTAACTTGTTTTCATTTCACCTGGAGAGAGCCATTGCTAATTAGTAGTTAAGTTAAAATTCCAAGAGCCGAATGCCGAGCCACTTGTCTCCAAATCCTCCACTGCAGAGAACAGGACTCCTCTTCATTTCACTAAGAAAATGTTCAAAGGCTTTTCGGATAGTCTCACCCAACTAGGGAATGGAAGACTGCTTATTTTCAAGTCTGCTTTATTCTAGTGGTTGAGGAGTAAACAAAGAGAACAGTAAACGTCTGGGAATGTTTTCAGAGGTGACACATAACAAACAGAGAGAAAATAGGCCTTGAGGCAAGATCTGATTTAACTACGTAAGTGAGAAAAAAAAACATGCCACAATTCCTATCATTATTCCCAAGTTCTGCCACCACAAGCTGATGGCATTCTGACGTGAAAGGTACTAGTGCCAAGAGTCAAATAAAGCTTTGGCAAAATTGAACACCACACAGAAAACAGAGTATCCAACTCTCATTGTCAGGGCATTCATGGAAAACAAGTATGAAGATCAATATGAAATCTTATTTTCCAAAGTACAAAGGCTTCTGTATACAGAATTTCCTACTATCCAAGCTATACTCTTAACCTGCTGCAAAACACCTTGTGGAGGTACATCTTACTCTTCACTAGCATTGTTCACTGCAATGCTTTCCAACCTCTGTTTGCACCAATGTTGAGATTAAGTTTTCTCCTATGTTCCCTCTGCCCCAATATCTTGAGAATATAGATGAGAGTTTCTCAGAAGTTCTAAGATGCACAAAGATGAGAATATCTCAAAAATATTTACAGCATAAGTAACATGGAGAAGTTCAAGCAATGGAGAACAATAGCGACATATATTCATTCTACTCTGGATTCTGTGACATGTATATAATCAGTCTTAAAAGCGCAGCTTTAAAAAAGTTTTAAAGTTATGACTTTATTCTAAAATGCCACCAAACCATAATAAAGACAGTGTACAATATATTACTTAGGGAAGAAACTGATACCTGTTATTGCTTTGCTAGAATTTGGGCTTAAAAAAAAATAAAGTTGATAAAAGGATGGGTCAATTCAGTGGTGATTTGCCTCAAGGATAACTCCTCCCACTTCCTATACAAAATAAGCAATTACATTAAAAAAATACAGTCAGAATTTTATGGAATCACATCAGTTTTTAATGTATGAATCAGAGAACATAACAATCACTATAAATGTAGCATGGTTATGTATTTTAAGTCTCTAGTCCTATTTTCCTTAGTGTAGGCATAAAAGTTCTTAAAGGCTTAGAATTTACTCTTAAAATACTATAAAATATTACTATTTTTATGACAAAAGCAATTTATGAATTTATGGAAAAGGAAATATTTATAAAATATGTTAGTAAAAGCACTGTTTATGTTTGTATAGCAACATTTAAAAGTATTCAAAGGTCATTCATTGCTAAAAATATTTAAAGCAAAATAAAAGGGAAGTTAAAAACAGCTTCACTTAAACTTGCAGTTTCTAAAACTTATCAGGACCCAAGAGCCTGGAAGTATCAAAGATTAAGTGGAAATCCATATTCAAAAGAGTTCTGTGGAATTCTTATAAAGAGAAGAGCAGGCAAAGGTCATCGGAGGACATTATTTTAGCTGAAATTCTGAGTATCATTCAAACAGGGGAGCCAATGCTTGGTATTAACAAAGTGCTGTTTTCTACTGCTGAGCTCAGATGACAGCCCACCCTCTATTTGCCAAAATTAGTGGATGAGAAATCATTTCATGAACTCATCCAAAAACATGAAGTGCACTAATAAAGCTTTACTGCCATCCCTCAGTCATCACTTTGCTTGGCTAGGCTGGTGGCCAGCAGGAATATCTCCCTCTACAAAACTGTTTCAAAGTAATGACTTGGAGGAAGTGGTGTGCTGATACCATGAAAAAAAATTCCCTCAAACACAAAGATAGTTCAAAAAGCATCTGTATATGGCTCAGAGGAAACAAACAGCTCAGCTCATTTCAACTCAAAAGAAACCCAAGAGACCAGTTTACCTTGGCCATGGTTACACACATGCAGGCAAACTTAAGGTTGGCATTTATCCAGGGATTTTGATCCGTGCCAAAAGGGATGATGAGTTATCCATCCTGAGGTCAAGATGGAATAAAGAAAATACACTGAAAGAGAATCATGTGTCTATAAGAGGATTTCACACCTTCCTCTTCACGAGACAGGGAGGCCTCGACCCCTGCTGGAATGGCAAGTCTGGCGTCCCTTCCTGAAGCCACTACTAGATCAGAAGTCCACTCTGAGCCTCCATCACATGGTTTCTCCCCTGCTGAGGCCTTTCCAGTCTTCCTTCCACAGTGTGGTCCTTAAGGAGCTAAGGAGGGAAGAGGATACCTAAAGCACTTGTTTGTCAAGCTTGGGCTGAAATACATCTAGAATCTTTAAGATGACCAACATTGAATTTTCCATTTTTGAGCGTTTAAAAATATTCTTCAAATTAAGGGAATACATAAGCAATAAAGACCATGTTTTACTGGGTTTTGAAAATTATTTAGAGTTTTCTGTAAAAGCAGTTACTTTTCTGAGAGAACAGGTGGCAACTGCTACCAAAATTTCAAAAAGATCCTTATTTTTATTTTCAAATAACTTTTATTTGACAAGAACTTTGTCAGTAATGGTCTTTAAATTCTTTTCAATCCTGGCTTTGTATTGCTATTTTGAGGTGTTTCTTGCTAACTGGATTAAGGAAGCCCAAAGAGCCCTCTGGTTTTGGTCATCAAGGAAATTTGTCTCACAACTGATGATTTATTTGATTTTTTTTTCATTTTTTTTAATAGGAAGACAGGAAACAGTGATAAACCTTTAATATCTGAAACTTGTGTCATTGACCTTCAACTACATAGTGAGGTTTTCAGTTCAGAACATTTAGGGCCCATGTTACATGTGGGGATAATTAAAATGTTTTAAGTGATGCTTTCTATTCTTCAAGTGTTGGCCATAATATTCAAGCTGGGTACAAGCAGCAGAGATTTTTGTCTGAGCTCAGTCCAAGCTCTGCAGTTTCTGCTGTTTGTCTTTCTAGGTGGCACCAGTCAGTCATCCTCTGCAGCTCATGAAACCCAGCATAACCTTTTGGGCTGCTCTGGAAAAACACATTGAGCAATAAGGGTTAGAATACTTTGTGTTCAATGTTTCCAGTGCTACTCTCTGGCCAGGAGAAATACCAAATCATAGGCATCTGGAAAAGAGAGACAGCCCAGAAAGAATGATGATGTTACAAAGCCTGTGAGCACAGACCCCTCGTACATGTTCATCTACCTGCTGTCTGCTTAATACTGAGCTATAGGCATCGGAGCAAATGGTAATTTCTATCAGTCATGACTCAAGTGCTGGTGTGGTCTTCAAGTAGCAATGGATTGACTTCCAGGGAGTGAAATGTCATTGTTCTGATCACCTTGTGGACACAGGGAGTGGTGAAAAGTTGAGTCCATGGCAGCATCAGAGCAAGAAGGAAGTGCGGTTGGTTGGAACGCGCACCCTGTGGTGGTGATGTTCTCCATTAGCATTTCCCAAAGGTCTCACCCAGCCATAGTAAATTATTAGGAGGCCCTCAGCATCTCTCTGTGTAGTTTAAATATCGTATTGTATTTTCTTGGCCAGTCCATGAATGGAAAGAAGTGAATAAAGATATCAGAAAGTAGACAAACTGCAATGTGACCTGATGCAGAGGTGGAAAGGGTGTGGTCTGGAAAGGCAGAGGTTCAATAAAGGCCTTTGAGGTTTCCTTTCATTTCCACAGTTCTTAGTCACACAATTTCCTTTGTGGATTTTAACGGTAACTAATAAGGCTTTGAAAAGGAATCGAATTGGTATGCTAGGTGGGAAATGACAAAGGTCATCTTGCCACTTCAGCAGGGTTATTTTAACCTTTCTTTTATACTCTTCAAGTCCTCTTTCCAGAATAATTGAAAATCCCATAATTAAAAGACCTTCCTTTGTGCCCACATTCCCCTTCTGAGATCAACTAGAGCTGGGCTCACCCCAACCATGGTCAACTGGACCAGGCCAGCCAGGCCTCAGGCTGGAGAGCAGGCTGTGAGCTGGTCTGTCCTGAAAAGCTCGGCACAGACAAGGAAAAGGTAATGCACGAGGCAACTCATGTCCTTCCTTGTCTCAGAAGTATGAACTGAGGATCAAGGAGGGGCAGGCAGTTAGCACTAGGGAAACAAGAGCAGGCAAAAATGGACAGCTGAGCCAGTCAATCAGTGGACTTAAGAGAGGAGGGGAGATCTGCCATCTCCTGGAACTGAGGGTGCACTGTGGCTTTTCAGGTACCTGAACCACATCCTAGTCCCAATAATTCTAATAATATTAATACTAACAGTAATAACAACAGTAACAATGAGCATGTACTGAGCTCTGATTATGTGCTAAGGAGTGTTCTAGGTGCTTTTATAAGTATTATCAACTCATTCAATTCTCACAACCCTGTAAGATACATCTGGGTGCTGCTGATGCTGATGAACAGACAAGTTAAGTTATTTGACCAAGGCCACAGAGCTTATAAGTGGCAGAGACATAATTTAAGCTCAAGTGGTCTGGCTTCATGCCTCTGCTCAGTCTGTGCCTCCCTGTGGGGCTAGTCCTGAGTCTCCTGTCTCCTTTATTGCCCATCTTTACAATAAAGCCCCTCCTATTAAAGAGGCCCTACAGAGGGTCTTTTACTCTTCTATTGTCTCACAATTAGCATTTTCCTTGGCTCCACTCATTATGAATCTTATTAACTGACACATACACACACACACACGCACACAGAGTTTTTGAGAAAGGGTCTCACTGTGACACACAGGCTGGCAGACAGTGGTGGAATCACTGCAACCTCAACCTCCTGGACTCAAGTGATCCTCCTACCTCAGCCTCCTGAGTAGCTGGGACCACAGACGCATGCCACCATGCCCAGCTGTTTCTTTTTTTTAGATACGGGGTCACACTATGTTGCCCAGGCTGGTCTCAAACTCTTGGGCTCAAGCAATCCTCCCACCTCAGCCTCCAAAGCATGAATGTAGTTTTGAATCCAGTTTTTGTTATCCTTTCATGCCACTAAATATTCTTTGAAAGCATGACTTTTAATGACTGCATTATATTCATTTATTTAACATTTACTTAATCACTTATTTATTTAACACTTAACATTAAGTGATCACTTGAGTCCAGGAGGACGACGTTGCAGTGATTGTACCATTGCACGCCAGCCTGTGTGTCACAGTGAGACCCTTTCTCAAAAATAGTCATCTAGCTATCTCTTACTTTGCTTTTATAATTGTGCTAATGTCAATATCTTTATACACAAATCCTTGTGCACAGGTAGGATTATGCTATAGAATAAATTATAGAAACAGAAGTATTGGATCAAAGAGTTTGAACAATTTAAGTTCACTTGATACACAGTGCAGATGGCCTTCGGGGAAGGCCTAGACCCCCTTTGGCTACATAAAAGCTCCAGGGTCTGGGCATGGTGGCTCACACCTGTAATCCCAGCACTTTGGGAGGCCAAGGTGGGAGGATCACTTGAGCTCAGGAGTTTGAGACCAGCCTGACAGTACAGTAAGACCCTGTCTCTACAATAAATTAAAAAATTAGCCAGGTGTAGTGGTGTCTGCCTGTAGTCCCAGTTACTTGGGAAGCTGAGGCAGGAGGACCACTTGAGCCCAGGACGTCGACGTTGCAAGAAGCCATGACTGCGCCACTGCACTCCAGCCTGGGCCACAGGGCAAGACTCTGTCTCAAGAAAAAAAAAAAAAAAGAAATCTCCATTCACCATACCCTTGACAACAATGAATGCTGCAGGTTTAGAAAACCTTTATCTTAATTTGATTTCTTGAATGGGTCAGAATAATGCATACATTTAAACTCTATGCTCCTTAATAAAATGTCAAAGGGCCATTTGCGTGTTTATTAAGAGCAAAAGCCTATAACCTACAGTCTCCAATGTTGAGACCACTGACGCCTTAAAATGCTTTAGAATTTCAGAAATGGAAATCAGAGATCACTGAGTAAACAGCTTCAGTGAATATCTAAGGTAACCAAAACTCAGAGAAGTTAAATGACCTGGGTAATATACTTGACTTGCAACTAGAATCTAGGTGTCTTGCCCTGTGATTCATTTCTTTAGAACAGATTCCTTCATTAACCTAATGGAAGCAACAAGCCATTGTTACCGGGGTGAAAGTATAAGGAAAAAAACTGCACAAGAATATATTTGAAAAAGAAACTACAGTTGTTCTAAACTCTATTTTATCTTCATAGTACCAAGTTAGAAAAAGTTATTTTATAGACAAAAGTAAAAATTCACACCTAGTTACTACTTTATTTTCAAGATCTCTGCTAAAATCTACAAATAATTTTTTTCCTAGGACCATTAAAATATTCAGCACATACCCATTATCCTCTCATCCAGCCAACATTTACTAGGTCTATACTATGGCCAGACCCTGTGCTAGGTGCTGTAGTAAAAGGGGGCAGAGTACCAAGGTAAGAAAAGAGGGATTCATTTTAGGGACATGTGAGCAAATCATCACAGTGAGTGTGACTGGGCAGTAACGGGGTGCACATGATGCCGTGGGGGTGCCGGAGCAATGAACATGGAAGGCTTCACAGAGGCACGTGAGCTGTGCCTGTGCTTGAAAGCAGGGGAAGAAGTGGATTAAGATAAAATAAGAAGAATAAGGAGTGGAGGGGCAGGGCCCACTGGAGAAGGCTGCTGTCACATGTGGCTAAACACAGCAGCCTGGGAAAATTAGTGCTGGTGGGAGATGAGGCTGGAAAGGTGGTCTGGGATCAGGCAGTGTTCAGGAGTTTGGACTTCGCCTGGAGGTGTTAGGACTCATGTAAGCTGTTTAAGCAGCGATGCCATGGTCAAAGTGGCGCATTACCAAGCTCATTCTAATGGCAGTACGGGGAAGGACTGGAGACTCTGAAGGCAGGAGCTTTATCTGTGTTGGTACAGACAACCAGGTTGCAGGCTTAAATTAGAGAGAGGCAGAATAAATATGAAAGAGGAGATGAGTTTGAGTAATATATATTAGAAAGAAATAATAAGACATAGAGACTAATTAGATGTGTGGGTGTCATTAATGAGACAGGCAATGAAGGAGGAAGGCCAGGTTTTGGATGAAAGGGATTTGTACACATTGAGCTTGAGATCGAGTGAGGTATCAGAAAGTGAATGAAATATCCAGAAAGCGAATGAAAATACAACTCTGGAGATCAGGAGAGGTATAAGCAGAGTCATAGATCTGAATAATTAGTATACAGCTACAACTCTCCTACCAATCTCCCCCTCCCCTCCACCCCCATCGCCCACACACTTGGATACTTCCTCTTGTCTGTATATAGGTAGAACAGCACTGTCCACTAAAAATACAATGCAAGCCCCATGCATATTTTGCAATTTTCTAATAGCCACATTAAAAAAGTGATGTGGAAAACAGGTGACATTAATTTTAAGAATATATTTTATTTAACCTAATGTATTTACAATATCATTTCAACATTAATATAAAAATTACTAACGAGATATTTTATATTGTCCTTTCATACTAAGTATTTAAAATCCAATGTGAATTTTCCACTCATGACCCAGGCCATCTCAATTTGGACTAGCCACATTTCAAATGGCCCCTGCTTTGGACTGTGCAGGACTACACAGTAGCCTACCAGGGTGATTAGGCACCAACATGAACTTTTTTAACCCTTGAAATTTGTGGAATTAAATTAAATGGAATTTAATTTTACTGATGAGAGAACAATGAGGAAGCCCGCTGGGCCCTCCAAATCACTGCCCACCCCACCCTCCCTTCTCAGAGGGAGTGCAAAGGGGCAGTGTTACATGCTGTTGGAAGTTTAGGAGACATGAAGCATAGAAAATCATTTCCTCTAAATGTTGCCTTTTAGGTTATTAAATACCCTGACAGCAACCTGACTGAATTTAGAGCCATGAATTTGTTATCTCTTAATGTGGATATATATCTGGTCTCCTGATAAATTTCCTAAGGCTGTTGTTCCTAAACTTCAAATATTTGCAAACTAACTTCATAATTTTGTCATGCCTGCATACCACCAAAACTATATGATTTGTTTAATATTTTTATTTAACTCAACTAACCTAAAAAAATCTAAAGACATATTTAGTGTCATCCTAAGTAACTATATCCATGAAATCATGAATTTCATATGTTGTTGTACATTTTTTCTACTACACATTAAAACAAATACATATTTAAATAAAGAACGTTTATCCATGTCTCCTAAAATCACCTCACAAACCACCTGTGGTATGATTATCAAACTTTGAAAACACTGTTCTTGGGGAAGGGAAAGGAACGTAACACTATAGGATCCCCTCTCTATGCCGCCAGTGCTCCGTGGGGTGCGCCTATCCTAACTCACCGAATCCCCACTCTCCTATGAGCAGGCTGATGGTCACTGCTACCCACTGGTTGTCTTTCAGGCTTGCATTTATTCTGGCTGATTAGCACTTGTGTCTGCCCCGCGGTCAGAAATTTTATATGGCAACCTGTATTAACTATAAGGAAATTCTTAACAATTTTTATTTTTGTTTTTAATTTTTGTGGGTACACAGTCTTTGTTTTGATTTTCCAGAGGTTACAGAGCTGCCAAGTCTGGGATTTGAGCTTTTACCTATAAACATCACAAGGCAGAGGCAACTACAACACCTACCATAATGCCCTCCTAAGAGGTGTTCTATTTGTTGTTGTTAACAAAATGATTTTCAATTATGAATTATCTTAAAGCCCAAAGACTTTAAGAAATAAGAGTTGGTAAATTTCAATGATGGGGATGCGTAGTACCAAAATGGTTTAAAACAAATGTGTTATATATTAACATAAGTGCTTCTTAGTGTATTAAATAACAAGATCTAGTGGCTAGTCTAATAATTACTATAATTTCAAATGGTAATACATATAAACAATATTAAAAGATATCTGAAATTGTAGTGTGTATTAGTTAGTCTATTGTTGTGTAATAAATTAGCCCAGAACTAAGTAGCTGAAACCAATAAACATTTACTTTATCACAGTTTCTGTGGGTCAGAGATTTGGGCACAGCTTGGCTGGGTACCTCTGGCTCAAAGTCTATCACAAGACTGCACTCAAGGTGTCAGCTGGGGCTGTGTTCCCATCTGAAAGTTTGGGGGAGAAACTGCTTCCAAGTTCACTCACATGTTGTTGGCAGGATTCATTTCCTGACTGGCTGTTGGTTACAGGTCTCCCTCAGTTCTCTGCACATGCATCTCTCTATAAGGCAGCTCTTAACACGGTAGCTGGCTTCCCTGAGAGTGAGCAAGAGAGTGAGAGAAAGCTCCTAAGAAAGAAGCCACCGTCTTTTTATACCCAAATCTCAGTCTATGAACTAGATGGGAAAAATAGTACCTCTTTTTCACTAACCTCTAGCTGAAATTTTGCATTTCTTTGATTATGAATGTAGCCAACAAACTGCAGTAGCATTAACAGCACTGTGACACCATCACCAATAGAGCTCATAGATATTTTATTTCATTTTGTGGCAGGCAGCTTATAAGATGGTCCCCAGTGATCTCCACCTGCTGAAATTCATGCCTTGGCATAAGTCCCTCCTCCTGAATATGCACTGGATTTAATAATTCACTTTTGGTGAATGAAATGTGTTAAATATTAACACAGAAAAAACCCCTGTGTTAAAGGATGCAGTCTATCTTGCACCATCTGAAAAATCAGTCTGGTGCTTTGTGGATGGGCACAGGGATTCCTCACATACCCCTGGAATCCACCATCTGTGGGCATTTACTGTGTTTGTGAAAGATTCTTAAAAAAAGAAAAAAAAAACATGTGGTACTGCTAGTGCAGCTCAGAAATAGATCAACTTTGAAAACTTCCCTCACAGCTGCAAAAGGCAAGTGTTTGGCACTAATAAATCAGAATTAGTGGAGCTCAACTAATAATGAACCTTTCATCTCCTCTGGGCAGGTGGTCACCAACTGAACTATGGGAGCAAACAAGCCATGGTTAGATGTAATAACCACATTTCTAATGACAGGTAGGACTAGAGCAGAAAGTGAGTGGAGGAGAAGTCTTCCCGCAAAATTCAAATCTTCTTAAACTTGGGGCCCTCTGAAAACATTAATCAAAGTTGTGTTTCTAGGGGCTGGGCTGACCTCTGCTTATTACCTTTCCAGTCATAACCACTGCAGGTATTTTTCTTCTCGCTAGTGAAAAACAGCCTGGGATGCTATCGACAGGCCCCTATCAGAGAACCAGTGAACTAGGGACACAATTATAGGTTTCAATTTTCCCCTCCTAGACGCCAATCCAAATTTGTCATCACCTGTTCAGAGAAATGCCTTCCATGTTTCATCTCACTTGGGTGGAAATTGGGTGATATTCAAAATATTTAACAACCAATGAGGCACAGGCACTAACCAATTAGGACAACATAAGATGCTGGAGCAGGGTCCAGGGGCACCCTGTGCTGTGCTGGCATTCATCCTTTAGTTGTTGAATTATGGGAGAAGTCTTAGGGGTTCTGGGGGTGTGCTCAGGGGGCTGAGGGTGATGACAATTCGCCAACTGGTTTTTAGGCATCTCATTATTTTAATACCCAGGATGTCTGCACCAGTGCACACAAGATTGAATATTCACTGTGGAGGGGGGTTGGGGCTGCTGCTCCCAAGGGCCCCCATGGAAGGCTACTGGTGTGGAAGCTGACCCCATCGCCCTACAGCGTTCTGACAACTGGCACTATGGGGACAGAGCCCTGTCCATTTTTCTGAGCCCTGAGCTCAGGCCAGAGCCTTAAGGTCCTGGACCACTTCCAAGGCTTGCAGAACCCCTCACTCAGGTCTCCTTGGGGCGGCTGGCTGGCAGTCTCCCAGTTACCAGGCACTTTCTGGGAGCAGCCAGGGACAGCTGCTGCCGGCTGGCATCAATGGGCTTCTGTGCAACTGAGGGTTGAGTGGAAGTTTCCTTGTGGGTTTGATGGAGGGCATGTTCTCAGTCCACAGGTGTCATACCACCCGAGTAGCCTCACCACTGTACAGGATACAGGCCTAAGAAAAGACTTGGCTCATGAATCCCCTCACTTCGAGGATTGGTTTAGCAACTTCCTCAGCTTTCTGAATGAGGTCTCAGGTTTTAGGCTTATCACAAAGGAGATCATTCTGCATGACCTCTTGGTCTGCATTATTTCACTGAAATGCCCGGGTTTGTTTTACTTTACTCCATGCTTCTGGAAAGCAGGCTGGGGGGCTCTGGATGCACATAGACCTGGGTCTGAATTCCAGCTCTGTGGAATGCATCACCACTTCACTTCACCTCTCTGAGGCAATTTCCACCTCTGTCAATGGGGCTCATGGGAGTGCCTGCCTCATAGGCTGGTGGAGGGTCCAATGAGATAATTTAAAGACAAATTTGATAACTGTTTTCTTGTAAGTTGAGGGAAAGATTAATTCAAAACTTTTAGTCTCAGTTTGGGCTAGGAAATGCCAGTGTTATTCCAGGGTACTAACATAGGTATTTTAAAAATAAGATGCTTTTTGCTTTCACAAGCTGACTAAAAAGTAAAGACAAAAAGTGACTTCAGAAGTCAAATGTAACTCAATAGTCTTACATGCTTAGATCCAACCCAGAAGAACTCAGGGTTCTCCTTCCTGAATGAAGATAATTTGAAGTTGCATATTTCGATCCATAGTTGGCTGAACCCACAGATGCAGAGCTTGTGAATATGGAGGGCCAGCGGTATCTCCTTTTCTACAGGAAGACGGCATAGTTTAATTCATTAAAATTTGTAAAACTACATAATATCTGTTTCAATGACAAAAAGCAATTTCAATTATATTTAAGATGACATTTACATAAACATAAAAATTATAACCGTCTCACAATACTCTCAACTACCTTGACATAAAAGCAGAGGAAAGCTTGATTTGTTAAGGTATTGCTTTTGCTCATTTTGTTTAAAAAAACTTCTTTTTCTTAAAATAAGAATTATGGAATCATTAAGTTTTAAGCAATAAGAAGCAAAGTTCGAAACAAGAATCCTGATTCTTCACTTCTGTTTACCCAAAAGAACATTCTCTCTCTGATTTCAGTCCCAGAAATCAAACCAGTGAACACATCACTATGCAGAGTCACATTCCATGTTTTTAATGGAAGTTTTAGAAGCTACAGATGAATTTAGGAGTGATATTAAACCAAGACCATTAAGAAAGATGACTTTTTTCTAGGATTCTAACTCCTATATTCAGACACACATATCCAACTGCCCACTTGACATCTCCACTTGGCTGTCTGTCTCATAGACATTTCAAACTCACTATATCCCAAACAAAAGTCTTAGTATCTCCCCTCCACCCCAAATTGCTGTACTCACAGCCCGCCCCATCTCAGTCTGATGGCATTTCTATTCTTACTACACTTAGGCCACTTCCTATTTTCCTTAACTCCTCTCTTTTGCTTATTATTTTTCAATCCAACTGCCAATCTTGCTGGTTCTACCTTCAAAATAACCAGACTCTAATTACTCCTCAACATCTTTACTGCTAACCCTTGTCCATGGCACCAGCATGTCTCACTGGAGTATTTCAATAGCCTCCTAACTGGTCCTTCTCTTCCACTCTTGTGCTCCCACAGTCTATTCTCAATACAGTGGCCAAAGGGAGCTGTTAAATTTAAAGTCAGATCATTGTCTCTTTTTGGATCAAAATCCTCCCCTCACTCCCAGACTCTGGGGGGAAAGCCAGAGTCCTACCATGACCAACATGGCCCTCCAGGATCTCACCTCCAAATTACTGGCTCCATGTTACTCCTTGAATACTCCAGGCATGTTCCGCTTCTGCGTCCTCAGGCTTTCCCCATGTGGCTACATGGTGAATTATCTCACCATTTTCTCCATGACAGCTGCCCTTACCAGCTCACCTACACCCATCCTCCACCACTGTGCTCTGCTCCTCCTAGCCCCGCTAGACTTCTTTCTCCACAGCATGTATCCCTTCTAAATTCCTAATATACATCACCTAGTATTTTTTAGATTTATTGTTTTTTGTCCACATCTTTTAACTTGAATATAAGATCCACATGGAAGATACTTAATAAATAAATCTGAATTAAGGGAAAATGCCAAACAAGAAAAACAAAGAGAAAAAACTTTGAAAACATCCAGTGTCCAAAAAAAGGTCTTATGATTTTCTTTTCTTTTTCTTTTCTTCTTTCCTTCTTTCTTTCCTTTCTCTTTCTTTCCTTTCTTTCTTCCTTTCTCTTTCTTTCTCTCTTTTTCCCTCCCTTCCTTCCTCCCTTCCTTCCTTCCTTCCCTCCCTCCTTCTCTCTTTCTTTCTCTTTCTTTTTTTTTTTTGAGACAGTCTTCCTCTGTTACCCAGGCTGGAGTGCAGTGGTGTGATCATGGCTCACTGCAGCCTTGACCTTGACCTGCTGGGCTCAAGTGATCCCCCTGCCTCAGCCTCCTGATTAGCTGGAACCACAGGTGAATGCCACCAAACCTGGCTAATTTTTAATTTTTTGTAGAGATGGGGTCTTCCTACGTTGCCCAGGCTGGTCTCGAACTCCTGGCTCAAGCAATCCTCAAGGCCATCTCGGCCTCCTAGAGTCCTGGGATTACATGCATGAGACATCACACCTGGCCAGGCCTTGTGATTTCTAATAGCAGGACCCATGTATTACATCTCATTTTTTAATTTTAATAATGTTTGTGGCATTTTGAAGAGGAGCAACAACAAAGTAAGCCTGACACTTAGGAGAGGCTGCTGTTTACCCTGAAAAGACCCCTAAGAGTGGCATTCTTGGGGAGGGGTAGAACACTACATCAAGCACAGAGCGTTATCATAGAGGTCCCCACATCTCCCTTTTATCTGGGAGCCAGAGGGATCAGACTCAGAATGTCTGAGTAAAAATTCACAAGAGGCTGCTGGGCACCCCGGAATCTACAAAAAAATGCCATTTCTTTCCAGTGACCATGTCCATTGTCCAGAATATACCTTTCTGAGCTAATGGTACCCAGGAAGTTGACTTAGCATTCAGAATGTGGTTCAGGGGTGTTGGAATCAGTGCTAAGGATGGCTAACCCTTCTGAGGACTGCTTAATCCATGCCGTGGTGAGCCCTGATAATGCATCACAACAGACACTTCACAAAAGATCTTCATCCATACTTACCAATCCACACTCATGTCCACAAGATTCAGGACCTATTTTCCAGGCCAATACTGGGCAACCATTGGAAATTTTTCCTCTCTGCTCCATGAGGACCAGTTCATTGCCCACAACCTTTCTCCAGGTAGGATGGATTAGCTTTCTACCCACAAAATTCCAACCATATGGCTGTGCTGTCTTCCAGGAATTACGTAGAGCTCACTTTGCTGGAGTTCTGGAAGTTCCTCAAATCTTCAATCTGTTACTCTACTCCCATTAGGCACAGATCTGGCCTCTGTAGATCCCAGAGGTGCACCTACTTTCAGATTCCCAAGTCCTTGGGGCCCTTCAACATTTCCCCCTTATGTCACCAGTGTGTAGCCAGGGGCCTTGTTCTGCACCCTCTACCATCATTAATGAGCTACTTTGACCATAGACAAATCACCTAATCTCTCTGGGCCTTAGTTTCCAAATCTAAAAATAAAAGGATATAACTCTCTAAGGTCCCTTCTAGTTGTAAAAAATCCAAGATTATTTTTTTCCTACCTCTTTAAGATTTAAATGATGACAACAGCATCTTTCCTAAACTTTTCCTGAGGCCAGATGTTCCTGGCACTGAAGTAGAGGAAAAAAATAGTTTTTGAATAACCTAACATTTTTGCCTTTTAGAGAAAATTATCCTCTGGCCTTTTTAGTTCCCCTTCCCTTACAGCTACCTCCTTATGGACCCTTAAAGGAAGTCTTTAAAACATAGAGAGGCTGAGGCAGGAGAATTGCTTGAGCCTAGGGGTTCGAGACTGCAGTGTGCCATGACTGTACCTGTGAATAGCAACTGCACTCCAGATGGAGTTCGGCAACATAGTGAGTCTCTCTCTATCAAAAAAAAGTAAACTATTTATCCTTCCTGATTCATCAGGATCTTATAAAAAACATTGTTATTTTCCAAATTATTTTTCTTACATAAAACCTCTTAAACAGTTTTATTCTGATAACTATGCTCATCAGCCTTGACTTTCCTCTGTTTTGCAGGGAAGGCTATTAAATGCTCTGGGGAAGAGGAATAAAAAGCTCAGAGACAGGGCCAGGGAAGGAAGCATGCTGTCCATGTAGGTAAATTCTGCCCTGAGCTTTCACAAGGTGATGGGCATGAAATGGCAGAGGCGAAAGTAGGGAGTGGAGAGAAGGGGAAAAGAAGAGGGAAGAAGAGAAAGTCTGAAAGCATATATTGTTTGCTTAGAAAAAAGTTTTAGGAGAGGTCTGGTGGCAGTTCAAGAATGTTCACTTAGTTAGATGACTTCTAAACTGGGACTTGCCTAAGAAGCCACACTGCAGGGAGGAGGCGGAGGTGGAACAGCAGTTCTCTTCCTTTAGCAGCCCTCCATCTAGCCTTCCGCGTAGCAGGCTGGTGAGGTATTGAGCAGCCCCTCTATTGGCCCCGCACCCAGTTTTCAGAAGTTAAGTTCATTCTACAGGTCTCTAAATGCTTCAAGGACGACCAAATCTATCCATTGTTGGCCTGGAAATCAAAGAAGACATTCCAAATCTTCACCATTCAGTAAAGCAGTGACTTACTGAAAGAATTACAGTTTACTAGCAAACCCCCCAAATGAATCTCTATGTATAATACATGCATAACTTCCTAGTCTGAAGATAGCAGTATTCCAAATAATTGTAGGCTCCAAGATATCACTTAGTGACTTCTAATTTAGGAAACATATGCTCTAGAGAATTCCTCCCATTATACACACACACATACACACACGTATATTTGTGTGTGCGAACACATATCCTACTATAACAAATGACTCTGTTTTTAAGCCACTCTAGGTTACAAAACAATACAATGAGTTAACTTAAAATATGTCATATTAAAATCTGGGCATGAACGCAACTAGAAAGGAAGCCTAATTCATACCAGAAAATATCAAAACAAAGTCTGGTAAGTGTCTAGCTAGTTAGACAGTCTCAAAGCAGTAGCTTCTCATTAGCATTGAGAAATAACAATCTGAGTGGTAATGTGAATACCTACTGTGGAACTGGTACTGGATGTTGTATAAGCTGGGAACAGATGCCTCTTAAATTCAGTTTGTTGCACTATGACAGGGTTCTACTTCAAGGACTCATCTTTTCCCAGTTTATTCTTTTCCAGGAAAAGCTTTCTATGCACTTTCATAGACAAATGCAACTCTTCTTGTCATTTTCTGGTTCCTTTTTTTGGGAGAAGGGGACACTTAGAGCTTTTTTTTCCCCTTTAAACAGCACCAACCTTCTGACTGATGACGAAATAGAGGGAAATTGAAATGGCAGAGTAAAAAATCAATCAGGCACATAGGCAATCCCTTCCCTGGTAGAGTTACAGAGTATACATTAGTATTCATGATATTTTAGTTAGGAGACAACATCTCCAGCAAAAGAATCACCACACAGCACTGTGTCAGGCCGTCTATCACATCTTTCCTACCACTTCCTTGCACAGAATCTGTAATCCAAACACCTACCATGGTCACCCCTCCAGAATAGCCCCATTGGTCTTGCTCCTTTTCCTGGGACAACAGCCCAAGTCCCCTCTGCATCCTTACTGCTCAGAAGCAAGACATGAACATTTTGTTTGAGGCATTCCTGAAGAAAAATGATAATGATCTTATAATATGAGGTATCTTCAAGTTTGTGTTTTGGGAGGAAGAGTGGTATAAGAAGACACAATTGCTGGATAATTCTCAGAAGCCAAACATAGAATTACCTATGATTCAGCAATTCCACTTCTGGGGACATACCAAAGGAACTGAATCCAGGATCTCAAAGATATGTGCAAACCCACGTTCATAGCAGCATTAGTCACAACAGCGAAAAAGTAGAAGCAGCCCAAATGTCCACTGATGAATGAAGGGATAAAGAAAATGTGATATATACATACAAATATGTTTGGCCTTAAAAAGGAAGGAATGTTTGACACGTGCTAACAACATGGACGGACCTTAAGGACATTACGCTAAGTGAAATAAAGCAGAAACAGAACGACAAATATTATATAATTCTACTTATATGAGGTACCTAGAAAAGTCAAATTCATAAAGACAGAAAGTAGAATGGTGGCTGCCAAGAGCTGGGGGAAAGGGAATGGGGAGTTGTTGTTTAATGGGTTTAAGTTTCAGTTTTGCAAAATAAAGAGTTCTGGAGATTGGTTGCACAATATGAATATACTTAACGCTACTGAACTGTATCTTAATGGTTAAGATGGTAAATTTTGTTATGTGTCCTTTATCACAATTAAAACTCCCCCAAAACCTATAGTTCTTAGTATTTCCCAATATGATGGTGATAACAATAATACCTTACAAATGTCCGGGAACTTCTTTCTGAGAAATCCAGAGACCTGGGCCTCCAGATTTGTTCATGCCAACTCAAAACGATACCAAGGATGAGTTCAGTTGTAAAAGTTGCACTTATCAGAGTTTAACTTTCTTTTCCCCACTAGCATGAATGTTTGGTATATATCACCATTTTATCCCTCTGAAACCAGGGTCACTCAGACATCTGTGGATGTCGACCCGCAGTGCCACTCTGGTATTATCTGGGATTCAGGGAGGAGAGGCCTGCCTATGTTGAGGAAGAAGAGAGATTTGTGAAGTTAGCCTCATTCCTCTTCTATTTAGAGAGTTCAGGAATGTGTCCATACTGTTCCTCCCCACAAAATTTACCATTTTTTCTCCAGATTAAAGGTGACTTCATCTCTTTCCACTTTGACCTTTAAACTTAACTCAGTATTCAACTTGGCAGTCATTCCTATCTAAAAATTACACACAAGATTAATACTCCAGGTGCTCTCTACCACCCAACAGGATCTGTTACCTTCTGCCATTCTGTGTCTCCACTCGTTCTTTCAGAACCTGGGGATCAGAGGTTTTGTATAATGATGACACTTTATAAGCCATTTTTTGCATCTCAAACACAATGGAACACAGCGCAGTGAAAGTGGAAAGATGGGGAAGGGGCTGAGAAATAGGAGAGAATAAGGACCCCCAGAAGAAATACAAACAGCTTTTGGAAGGATGCATTTACAAAAATGACATCAGGCAGCTGGGTGCAGTGGCTCACACCTGTAATCCCAGCACTTTGGGAGGCTGAGGCGGGCGGATCACCTGAGGTCAGGAGTTCAAGACCAGCCTGACCAACACGGTGAAACCCCGTATCTACTAAAAATACAATATTAGCCACGTGTGGTGATGCATGCCTGTAATCCCAGCTGCTTGGGAGGCTGAGGCAGGAGAATTGCTTGAACTCAGAAGGCAGGGGTTGCAGTGAGCCGAGACGGTGCCACTGCACTTCAACCTAGGCGACAAGAGCAAAACTCCATCTCAAAAAAAAAAAAAAAAAAAAAAAAAAAGACATCAGGCCCATCTGGAAAGTATTCTAACAAAATAAAAAGATAAAAAGTCCCTTTCTACTGTGAGCAGCAGATTTGCAGAATATAAAACTTCTGAAACAGCAAGGCTGTATAGCCAACTAACAAAGCAAAACAAAACTGAAAGAAGAGCTCCTTCGAGGGATGTCCAGCCACTGCTAAGTTGTAAGCCTCTTCCTGGGGCTCAAGGGCAGTACCAGGTACAAGAGGCCTTCCTACTGCAGTTCCCAAGTGCGTGTCTCCTACAGGCATTTGTGCAAAGGGCTCCAACCAGTGATAAATCCAATCTTCCCTCCATCCCTCCAAACCTGATAACAATGTGGGCTGGCTCTGTCAGAGCTAGCACGGGGTTTCTGAAACCACTAGGGCTGATATGTCCAGCTTAGAATCTTCTCTTATTCTCTGTCAGCTTTGTCTCCATTTTCTTGTACAACTTGGTGGTAAAATATGAAAAAAATGTGGCAATTGGAGGACAGAATCAACCATGATTTTTCTCTTTCATCACTGTTCTAGTTATTTGGCATTACTAGGATATAAACAAGTTGAGTCCACGAGCCCCTCACCCCTTCGTTGTTTATCATACAGACACATTTTACAACACTTTGGGCTAGAATGAAGACATGAAACAGGAAGTTCCTGATCTTGCTCTCCTCTCCTCCTTATCCTCCCTGTCTCAGTTAACACAATAACACAGTCAAAGATGCCGTCTAGTATGTTTCCCAAAAACACCCAGAAAGAGTTCAGCAGCCTCTCTGGCTAACCTGTCCTAGAGCTGCACAGCAGTCCAATAATGTAGGAACTTCCTTCTCTTAACTTGGATTTGAGACGTTTTCTTTTTCCACATACAGGTCTGAAAGCAGCAGGCCACTGCGTAATTAAACTGTCCCTCATTGGCCTCAGGAAGAATAATCTTGGGCCCTTTCTATGTTTCTGGACGGCTGCTTCCCAACCCTCTAGCCGTCTTTCTGGCTCTTTTGCAGACTCTTCTCTAGGAAGCACAAGGCTGAAGACATAAAGCTCTGGCAACCGTCACACCTCACGGCCTCTTCACGGCCTGCTGGGCTTTGCTCTGGGCTGTGCCTGCTCCTTAAACTCTGGTGCCGGGAAAAGGATTTCCTCGTCTCATATTCAAGCTGTCCCTACTGCTGCTTCTCTACTCCTGTTTTGTGTTAGTAAAAGAAGGAAGGAAAGAAAAGGGGGAAGGAGGACAGTAGAAAAAATAAAAAAAGGAAACTTAAGAATTTATAATGACATACTATTTTAACATGAAATACAAGCCAAAAGATGAGTTTTATGAGATGAAAACCCCACAAAACAACAAACTTTTGCATATAACCTCGCAAGCACGTTTTTATGCACAGTATTTCTGTATTTTCTAACACCCTTTGAATGCCCCACAGATGTCTGCAAACACAGGCTGATCTGTCCCGTTTCACATTTACATTAACAGGTAAAAATGACAAGAGGCCTAGCTGAATTCCACGAAATAAGTTATTTAAAGAACATCCGAAGTTTTGTTCTTTCAGAAGCAGAGAAGTTCTAAACAGGGAAGCAAGAGATTCTGAGAATTTCATTTTCACCATAATGGCTCAGCGTTTGTTCCTCTAACAACGTGCAGTTAACAGCTGTGCGCTGGCTCTTACATTCAAAGCCAAAAAGCAAGTTCTTCACATTAAAGAAATCGTTAAAGACAGTTCAAGGAAAGAGAATTAGGTATTTTAGAGTGGCTACGAAAAGTTTTCCAGGGGGCAAAAAGCACTAACCTGTATTGTTTTAATCTGCTGAAAACAACCAACTTCTCGAGTTCCCCTGCTGTCTTCTAGCCAGTTTCCTGTAAATGTTGCATGTGACATTATACTTCCTCACTGCACCTTCTTTGACTCGCCTCCCTAACCGGTCAGAGGCATGTGATAAGATCAATTTGCTGCTTGCTTCACATGGGGGTAACCCTGTGTCTGCAGAAATGATTGTCTCCCCCAGCTTCTTTCAGGTGTTCCCAGGACACAGGTAAAGAGGAGATAAGCCAGGGGGAAGTCATGCCTGGACTCCAGGCACTCCTGACTCCAAAGGAACCTGAAGGGGGAAGGGAGAGACAGTCTTGAGCCCCAGGGTCACCTATCTTGAGACTGGAGTTCAGCAGCTGAGAAGGGGCAGAGCGCTCACAGAGGAGCCTGGGGCTTGGGTGCTCTGCTGTCATTAGGACAGCCCCTGGGACTGCCACCCTCAGGGCAGCTGAGGAAGGGCCCTCGACAGTGCTGCACCCAGGATGTCCCCACACTCCTCTCTGGAGGGCACCAACATCAAGGGAACACACTCAGGCCTTGGTTCATATTTCTGGATCCTGCAGCAACCATGGCTACACACCCTGAATTTCCTGGGACTCTCTCAAGTTCACATGTGGTCATGCTGTCAGACAGTGTGCCCCAATTGTTGGTTCGGAAAACAAAACCACTGTATTCTCAGCCTTCCAGGGCTAAATAACTGGGAGACATTTCCCTCCTGCTGACCTCCAAAATATGCCAGCATTTTGGTTTCCCTTGAAAGGGCTGGGCATCATCTTCCTCCAGGATGGTGCTGGGTTCCTGGCAGCGTGTGAGTCCTGGCCATGGGGGCTCTGATGGTGGCCTGACAAGAGCACCAGAAGAGTGCCGGCTGTGACCCTCTCTGCCCTGTACAGCTAGAGAGGCTGGAGGAGAGCTGGAGCAGGGACTAAGCAACAAGCCCAAGGGCACCATATCTAGCTTTCTTGTTCTACTCACTGGTGCCTTCTGTTTGTTTTTTTTTTTTTTTTTTTTTTTTTGTGATTCTCTCAGCCATCAGGAGGGTCCAAACATACTGGAATTTGTGGATATAGGAAGTGGTGGTGTGTGGGAGTCAAATGATCTCCTGGACCAAGGGGAATATTCCACAATTTATAAGACTTGACTCTGCAAAAACCCCAAAGTTGCTTCTATTTGGCTACCCTGGCATGATTATTTTTAAAAAAATGCTTTTAAATGGATTTTTTTGTTTGTTTTTTAGAAAGGTAACTGTAGACATATTCCAAGTCTTGAAAATATTACCCTATAATTCCCCGATGAAGTTTTCCATGGGAGAATACCGAGTAAGGAAACCAGTCCTGGGACTCAGAACTGTGGACAACAGTAAAACCCTGAAGTCTCACCACATGATTGCACTTCTGGCTTTGAAAACACACATAACTGTTTTTACCATTTTGACAGTTGATGGCTGGTTTTCTGATTGAAATGACATTTAGATTAGACAGTTGAGTCAAAATGGCTGTCCAAGCTATAGTAGACATGGCATTAACTTTAACATAGGAATAATGGTACAATTTTGCCATCTTGGAGTCAGAAATTGTAAGAACTTTGGAAAAACAAAATACTACATAGATGAAAAATGATGATGACTCAATTTGAATGTATTTAGAAGTCTCACATTCTGGGTTAAGCTGCCAGTTCCATTTTTCAACTAAGCAGCTGCATATGTTCTGCTTAAGCCGTGTTCTGTGTGGAATTTTTAAAGGCCTTAATAAAATGCTTTATAATTTTCCATGAAAATCCCTAACCTGGCTTTCTGTCCATGATTTTTTTTTTCTGGTTAGGCATTTAAAAATTTTAATATACTTTATATTTCAGAACAGTTACAGATTTACAGAAAAACTGAGAAGACAGTACAGAGTTCCCATAAATCCTACGCCCAGTCTCCCCTATTATTAACTTCTTAAATTTAGTATGATACATAAGTACCAATTAATAAACCAATAGTGATACATAATTATTAACTAAAGTCCACAGTTTATTCAGATGTCCTTAGTTCTTACCTGCTGTCCTTTATCTGTTCCAGGAGCCCATCCAGGACTCCACATTACATTTAGTCGTCGTGTTTCTTACGCTCCACTTGGCTGTGATGGTTTCTCAGGCTTTCCTTGTTTTTGACAACCATAACAGTTTTGAGAAATACTGGTCTGGTATTTTGTAGAATGTACCACAATTGGGCACACAAATGGGTGTTTTTCTCTTGGTAAGACTGGGGTTATGGGTTATTTGGAGGAGGATCACACAGATAAAGTGCCATTTTAGTCACATCGTATCAGATATATGTACTATCTACATGATTTAATACTGCTGGTGTTGCCCTTGATCACCTGGCTGAGGCAGTGCATGTCAGTTTTCTCCACTGTAAAGTTGCTCCCTGCTTCTCCCCACCTTTCCATATCATACTCTTTCGAAGAAAGTCCTTCAGGGTAGAGTGTCTATATAAATTATTTGGAATCCTTCTGCATGGAAGATGTCTCTTCTACATATTTATTAATGTATTCAATCATTTATTTATACCAGTATGGCTGAATGGATATTTATTTTATGCCTTGCATTTTAATTCAACAGTACTTTATTCTGTTGCTCAAATTGTTCCAGCTTCGGCCACTGGGAGCTCTTACCATTGGTTTCTGTGCTCCTTTGACATACTCCTATCAATTTTTTTTTTCTTTTTTGTTTTTAAGTACTTCCTCACTTTCCAGCACTACAAGATGCTCCAGGCTCACCATGTATAGTACCTCCCCAACTGTTTATGATTTTGGTTTCTTTTTTTGTTTTGTTTTGACAAAAGAATACAAAAATAAACTGATGGGCCTAAGAAATGTGTCTTCAATTTTAATTAGTTCTGCTCATATGTATTAATAAAAAATTTTGTTTAATTACATTCATAAAATTAGTCCTACCTACCTGGCCTCTACCAGCTGCAAAACACCATAATTCCAGTGGCTCACGCCTGTAATCCCAGCACTTTGGGAGGCCTAGGCGGGTGGATTACGAGGTCAGGAGATCGAGACCATGCTGGCTAACACGGTGAAACCCCGTCTCTACTAAAAATACAAAAAATGAGCCGGGCATGGTGGCGGGTGCCTGTAGTCCCAGCTACTTGGGAGGCTGAGGCAGGAGAACGGTGTGAACCCGGGAGGCGGAGCTTGCAGTGAGTCGAGATTGCGCCACTGCACTCCAGCCTGGGCGATGGAGCGAGACTCCGTCTCAAAAAAACAAAAAACAAAAAAAACCCACCATAATACCAAGTGAGTGAAATTCTGCACTGGCTTAATCCCAAGATGCATGGTTGTGCTGGTACTGTTTTTTCCCCTACATATTTTTAACATTCCTGGAATCGAAGTGCACACTTAATGTCATGTCTTTTTTTCCTCCTTACCTGTTATTAATTTGATGTTATACCTTATAGTTGATAGTTTTCTGAGAATGGAGGAAATAGATCAGTCAATTACTTTTTGTTTGGACTAAGAGATGTAATTTATTTTCACTGATTTTTTTTCCCACTGAACAAATATTTTGACTAAAGTGGTTTGATGTGTAGCATGTGCGGACATTAAAAAAATCCCAAGATACATTGTACTCCAAACATATTCTAACTTTAACTCAAGCTACAAATTCTCATCAAGTCCTAAATATAGATAAATACAGATATTGATATAAAGTAAAAAGGGGAGTCTATTTAATTTTATTTTTTAAATTGACATTGTAACTGTACACATTTATGGGGTACAATGTGATATTTTGATACATATCTATATTGTATAATGATCCAATCAGGGTAGTTAGCATATCCATTAACTCATGCATTTATTATTTATTTATGATGAGAACATTCAAACACCTCTCTCCTGGCTATTTTATAAAATACAATATTTTACCATTAACCATAGCCTCCCTACTGTGCAAGAGTGCACCAGAATTCACTCCTCCTGTCTAATTGTAACTTTGTACCTGTTGACCCCATCTTCCCCTCCCTCCCCAATCTCTAGTAACCATCTGTTCTATTCTCTGCTTCTATGATATCAACCTTTTTTTTTTTAAGATTCCGCATATGGGTGAGAGCATGTGGTTATCTGTCTTTCTGTGTCTGCCTTATTTCACTTAATACGATGTCCTCCAGGTTCATCCATGTTGTCACAAATGACAGGAGTTTATTCATTTTTATGCCTGCATAGTATTCTATTGTGTATATATACCACGTTTTATTTGTTGGACATTTACGCAGATTCCCACATCTTGGCTATTGTAAACAGTGCTACAATAAACACGGAGGGCGGATAACTCTTCAACATAATGATTTCATATCCTTTGGATATATGTATCCAGTAGTGGGACTGCTGGATCATATGGTCATGCTATTTTTAATATTTTTTAGAAATCTCCATACTCCTTTGTTTTTTGTTCATTTGTTTCTTTTTTCTTTTTTGTAAATTCTTCCAGATCCTGACCCATACTATTTTCCATAATGGCTGTACTAGTTTACAGTTCCACCAACAGTGATGAGTATTTCCTTTTCTCCACATCCTAACCCAACACTTGTTTCCTTTTGTTCTTTTGACAATAGTCATTCTGAATAGAGTGAAGTATATCTCACTGTGGTTTTGATTTGCATTTCCCTGATGAATAGTGATGCTGGACATTTGTATGTCTTCTTTTGAGAAATGTCTACTAAGGTCTTTTGCTCACTTTTATTTTTGAGACAGGGTCTTGCTCTGTCACCCAGGATGGAGTCTTGTGGCATGATCATAGCTCACTGCAGCCTCAAACTCAGGCTTAAGTGATCCTCCTGCCTTGGCCTCTTGAGTAGCTGAGATTAGAGGCATGCATCATCACGCTTGGCTAATTTTTAAATTTTTTGTAGAGACGGAGTCTCACTTTGTCACCTAGGGTGGTCTCGAACTCCTGGGCTCCTCCCATCTCATCCTCCCAAAGTGCTGGGATTACAGTTTTGCCTGTTTTAAATCAAGTTATTTGTTTTTGGTTTTTTTGTTTTTGGTTTTTTTTGCTATTAGTTCCTTATATAGCCTGGATATTAACCCCTTGTCAGATGTATGGTTTGCAAATATTTTCTCCCATTCGGTAGGTGATCTCTTCACTCTGAATAGTTTTCTTTGCTGTGCAAAAGCTTTTTAGCTTGATGTATTCCCATTTGTCTATTTTGGCTTTGTTGCCTATGCGTTTGAGGTCTTATTTTTAAATTTTGTCCAGACCAACGTCAAGAAGAATTTTCCCTATGTTTTGTCTAGTAGTTTTACAGTTTCAGGTTTCACACTTATGTTTTTAATCTATGTTGAGTTGATTTTTGTATATGATGAAAGGTAGGGATCTAGTTTCATTCTTCTGCATGTCCTATCTAAAGCAATTAGGCAAGAGAAATAAATAGAAGCATCCAAATTGGAAAAGAGAAAATCATATTGTCCCTGTTTGCAGATGACATGATCTTAGATATAGAAAACCCTAAAGACACCACCAAAAAACTGTAAGTACAAATAAACAAATTCAATAAAGTTGCAGGATACAAAATCAACGCATAAAAATCAGTAGCATTTCTATATGCTAATAGTGAACTATCTATAAAAGAAATCAAGAAGACAATTCTATTTACAATAGCTACAAAAAGAGATACCTAACAATGAACTTAACCAAGGTGAAAGAAGTCTACACTAAAAACTATAAAACTTTGATGAAAGATGTTCTCACTCATAGGTGGGAATTGAACAATGAGAACACATGGACACAGGAAGGGGAACATCACACTCTGGGGACTGTTGTGGGGTGGGGGGAGGGGGGAGGGATAGCATTAGGAGATATACCTAATGCTAAATGATGAGTTAATGGGTGCAGCACACCAGCATGGCACACGTATACATATGTAACTAACCTGCACATTGTGCACATGTACCCTAAAACTTAAAGTACAATAAAAATAAAATTAAAAAAAAAACTTTGATGAAAGAAATTGAAGAGGACACAAATATATGAAAAGATATCCCATGTACATGGATTTTATATTTTTTATGTATGTATGTATGTATTTATTTATTATTATTATACTTTAAGTTCTAGAGTACATGTGCACAATGTGCAGGTTTGTTACATATGTATACACGTGCCGTGTTGGTGTGCTGCACCCATTAACTCGTCATTTACATAAGGTATATCTCCTAATGCTATCCCTCCCCGCTTTAATTTTAATTCTTTAATTTAAAGAATTTAAATTTAAAGAATTAATATTGTTAAAATGGCCAACCTACCCAAAGCAATCTACAGATTTAATGCAATCCCTATCAAAATACCAATGACATTCTTCACAGAAACAGAAACAAATCCTGAAATTCATATGAAACCATAAAAGATCCAAAAGAGCAAAAGCAATCCTGAGCAAAAAGAACAAAGCTGAAGGCATATCTGACTTCAAAATATACTGCAAAACTATAGTGACCAAAACTGCATGTACTAGAATAAAAACAGACACATAGACCAATAGAACAGAATAGAGCCCAGAAATAAATTTATGCACTTACACTCAACTCCCATTCAACAAAAGTGCCAAGAACACATACTGGGTAAGAGACATTCTCTTCAATAAATGGTGCTGGGAACATTGGATATCCATGTGCAGAAGGATGAGGGAAGGTGTTAAATTCTTTTCTGGGTTTACTGACTCCTTTTGTGTTTACTCCATTACTTTTCCAAGACCTCATGAGTCCATTATCATGCCTGGGCAACCTAATATTGATGCTGAGGGGTTGCAAGAATGGAGTTTCAGTCTGGCTGATGAGGAGCAAATGTGCTGACTGGTCAGCAGGCAGATCCAAAGGTCTCCTTGCTTCTGCTTTCCTACTGAGACAGATAAATAAGTGCACAGTGGCAGGACTGACCAGGAGTCCCCTCTCTGTGGCCAGGATTTTCTCTCCAGCTAATGAACCGCTGTTATTTTGGGAGCATGATGTTTTATAGATCTTTTTTCTTTTAATGGACAGAGACTAATTCAACCATTTCCCACTGGCATATCTTACAAATGGTCACAGACAAAATGCCCAACCTTTTCATCCAGGTAGGCAGAACTTGGCTACTCTAAATACTATTTACTGTCCCACTCCTGTATAAAGTGTACCAAAATACTGATAGTGCCTTACTCATCTCACCAGTACCCAGGAGGGACTGGAAGAGATGCTGCACTGACTTTTTTCAGCAACCATTTACCAAGCCTGTGCCACATGCTTTGACATTGAGCTGAGTGCTTTATATACATATTTTCATTTAATTCTCATTATAATCCTGTGAGGTAGGTACTGTGATCTCCACTTTACAGACAGAGTAATTAAGATTTACGTGGTTAACTAACCTCTCCAGAGTCTCTTGATAAGTCTGAAGCCAATATACAGGTTCAGTTCTATCGGTGCAGAGACTCAGAGCCTAACTGCTACTCTTTGCTATAGAGAGATTTACCATACCAACCATACCAGATTTACCATACCATACCAAGATAGAATACCAACTCTATATTCATAAATGACCACTTTATTGAATAGTCCTATTCTTTATTTTCTGCACATGCCTTTCACTTCAACCAAACCTAAGCTGCAAGGAGGGCAAGGACAATGTTTAACATTCCCTTATCTCAGCTTTCCATTCTCACTGCAGCAGCTCTCCTAGGGACCCTGCATTCTTGCTTTCCTGTCAATTCTAATTTTCTTTTATTTTTATGTTATTTTAAATTCTAATTTTCTTCTGCTTTATCTTCATTACTTCCTTCCTCCACCTTTTTTTTTTTTTTTTTTTTTGAGACAGAGTCTCACTCTGTCGCCCAGGCTGGAGTGCAGTGGCGCAATCACGGCTCACTGCAAGCTCCGCCTCCCAGGTTCATGCCATTCTCCTGCCTCAGCCTCCCGAGTAGCTGGAACTACAGGCACCCACCACCACGCCCGGCTAATTTTTTTGTATTTTTAGTAGAGAAGGGGTTTCACTGTGTTAGCCAGGATAGTCTCCATCTCTTGAGCTCGTGATCCACCTGCCTCGGCCTCCCAAAGTGCTGGGATTACAGGCATGAGCCGCCGCGCCCGGCCTTTTTTGTTGTTGTTGTTGTTGAGACTGGGTCTCCCTCTGTCGCCCAGGCTGGAGTGCAGAGACATGATCATAGCTTGCGGAAACCTTGAACTCCTGCCCTCAAATGATCCTCCTACCTCAGCCTCCCAAAGCAGTGGGATTATAGGTGTGAGCCACTGCACCTGGCACCTCCTCCACGTTTCTTATTTCCTTTTCCCCACTTTGTTTTGCTTTATTTTATTAGCTTCTTAAGTCACAATCTTATTTTTTCCAGTCCTTTTAAATAAAAGCCTTAACTTATTTAAGTGTATTTTTAGTCCTATTCCACACATTTTGATGCATTATATTCTCATTGTTAACTTTTAAATAGTCCATAGTTTTAGTACTGGTTTTCTTGACCCAAGGATTATTTAGAAGGATCATACCTTAATTTCTAAGTGCTTAGATGGAGGTGGGGGAAGGAACCATCTTGTGTTAATTTTCAATGCTACTATACTATTATATGTGGCCAATACATGTCTAGTTTTTGTTAATTGGACATCTTCTTTGTGGTTGAGTATTTAATCAATTTTTGTAAATGCTCCATGATCTTTTAAAAAAATTGTGTGTATGTCCTATTTGTTGGGTTAAGTCAATAATGATAATGGAAAAATGCTATTCAAATATTCTGTTCCTATTTATTTTTGTCTACTTGATGAAATATTGAAAGCATTTTGTTAGCCTCCCACTATCACGATGAAAAACTTCATTTGTATTTTAAATTTTTAAATTTTATTTATATGTATTTTGTGTGTGTGTGTGTGTGAGACAGAGTCTCACTCCATTACCTAAGGTGGAGTGCAGTGGTGCAATCTCAGCTCACTGCAACCTCCGCCTCCTGGGTCCAGGAGATTCTCGAGCCTCAGCCTCCCAAGTAGCTGGAATTACAGGCACGCAACACCAAGCTGGCTAATTTTTGTATTTTTAGTAGAGCCGGGTTTTGCATGTTGGCTATGCTGGTCTCCAACTTCTGACCTCAAGTGGTCTGCCCACCTTGGCCTCCCAAAGTTCTGGGATTACAGGCGTGAGCCACCATGCCTGGCCTGTATTATTTTATTTGTATTTTTAACAGATTTTTCAGTGCTAGGATACTCAGTGCATAAAGGTTCATTATTGTTAAATCCTCTTGTTGGATTTGTATTTCTTATTCTATGTCTCATTTAGTATTTTTTTTACATTCAATCCTACATTTTTAAATATTAATATTACTGTCCTGATTTTTGTTAGTTAGCATTCACTAACCTATCCCCTTTTCATCCTTTCTGTGTTATTTTGCTATACATATGACTCCTAAAGATGGTATATAGCTAGATTATCTTTTTAAACAATGAGAGTCACTGATTTTATTAGAAGAATTTAACCTAGTCACATTTATTTTTGTTTAACTTATTCCTGCAATTTTATCATGTGTTCAGTTATATTATTTTCTTCCTGTCTTTCCCCTCTTTTCTAGACTTTTTCTGACTGATCATGCTCTTAATTAGTATAGTACCCTCCACCCCAGCTGTGTATGTGTTTTAATATGTAATGGTTTAGAAATCCTACTTAATACTTTTTTCAAGAGATCAAATACATGTGACCTTTCTTCATAAACATCAGAGAACTACATAGTAGGACTCTATTAATTGGTAAAGTCATTCTGTTGTTTTGAGAAATGTAGTGGTAGGTTCATGTTAATAAGAATAATTGTATAAGAGGTTGTAATATTACACAGGCATCAGAAATCTTTCTAAAAGGGTATGCTGCCAGGTATCCATATTCACTCCCCCACCCCCCTCCCTATATGGAGGACAAGCTACAGCTTTCACAAATAATGTGGGTAAGTGTGGGGTAGAGGCAGCAAGGAACCCACTGGCTATGACATAACCAAAAACATCCTGGGGACTGCTTCTACAAATTTTGGACTCTTGAGACATGCAGGCAATCTGGAGATCTACAGAGGTATCTGTAGAAGGGAGGCTCTCAGGGTGGGTTTCCTACTACCTCATTTCCAGTCACTAAAAGCCATCATAACTGAGGAATCTGTTCTAGATTAGGTGATGTCACGAAAAATGTAAACATAATTGCTAAAGAGTTGAGGAGCTCAATTGAGAAAATAATGTTGCTAGACCTGCTGAATGGCTAGAATTCTGAGTTTCCTAATGTCTAATTCAGGAGGCACAGTAGTAAACAAGAATTCACAATCTTTTTTTCTTCTCTTTTAAAAAATGAAGTACTTTTCAATTTTTAAAGCTTTGATATCACTGGAGGGATATGGCGGAAATTCTGGCCATAAAATACAAATATTGTTGTGTGGTTTTTTATGTGTTTGAATGAAAGTTAACACTAAAATTCCTTATTTGATTTTTCATAGAGAAGCCTAGAGTAGAGGGGAAGGAATAGGGATAAAGGTATAGCAAGTAAACCTGTCAGTCACTCGATTTACTGAAATGAAACCTTGGTTTGGACCACGAGAAAGTGTGGTAAAATACCTTAAAAGAGTGTTTCTGTTTTAATATTACATGTTTAAAAAAATCAATTTAGCTTAAACAACCCTTTGAGTTAAATATTATATGTAATTATTCTTATATTACCAATGAGGAGATTAAGGTTCCAAGAATTGAAGAGATTTGTTCAAATAAGTAAATAAGTGATAAAATTGGAATTTGAACCCGTTTCTGACTATAAGTCAAGTGTCATTTCCAGTACACACCATAACTGCCTTCTTGTTGTTCTGTCTCTGAGAGAAATTTAAACCCATGCACACCACATGAGTTGTGCAGCAGGTAACTGTGGCAAGATATGGTCTGTGCTTTACAATGTACGTCAAATGGTCCAGCCAGACCCCAGGGCAATTGTTTCTAAAATGACCCTGAGGGATTTTTGGAGTATTATGTCATGCAAAGCCTCTCCTCATTAACAATCCTGCAAAAGCCAGCAAATGCTGTTTCTGACCCTTGGAACAGCTAAAGGAAGTTGAAAGGTCAAGAAAGTTCTCTTGCTGGTAGACTATACACTGGTACCTTGTTGATACCATTGTGATGTGATCTAAGCCAAAATTCTCAAGCCCTTTGACCAGCTGTCTTCAAAGCTAGAGCCCTACCTAGTGGGGTTATTCTTCTTCGGCATAACACAGGGCCTGATGCCAACAACCAAACTGGCGCTTTCCAACGTTGTGCAACTGAATTCCAAATAATTAGGCCCTATATTCATCTTTGTTGTTGACCAAAACATTGAAAGAAAATGGCAAATTTCCTTGTTCATAAAATGACTGGCTAGGGACACATAGGAAAGCCTTGCCATTCATCCAGGGTGAGTTTTAAGAAGGCTCATAAATACAGAACAACAGACGTAGCAGAACGACAGTACTGAGAAGCAAGACACCATCTTACATTTGGTGCTCCTTTCTTTTGGGCAGAACAGTGAAGAGATTAACATAGGCAATGTAAACAATTCAACAGCATGCGAAAAGTGTCAGGAGTGATCCTGAACAGTAAGGTGTCTCTCGTTATGGAGATTGGTGGCTTTGATTCAGAATTTGTGTTTTCCTCACATATATGTAACACGGGACCAAGAGAACACCTAATTAATAATCTATTTGTATATTCTTCCTACTCAGGAGCATCCCTCTCCTCCATATTTAGGAGCACATCAAACGGGGCAAAATTGGTAAACAAGTTCATATCACTCCCGAAAGAAAGAATTCTGAAATCAAACTGCCTGGGTTCAAATACCAAATCCATTACTTACTAGTTGCAATTAATTGCTTTATTCTTTTGGGTCACAGTTTTCTCATCTATAACATGGAGATAACTTTAGTATTATTCAATGTGAGTATTAAATGTGATGCTGCAAAGAGTTTAGCCACTGCAGCGCATAAACGGTGGTTACTGTTACTATTGTAGGTGGAAAATTTTATTCTCGGGAAATCTATATTAGAATTTCTCACAAGAAAGGCAACCAGAGTCAAGCAAAGAACTTTCTTTCTTTCTTTTTCTGAGATGGAGTCTCATTCTGTCGCCCAGGCTGGAGTGCAATCTCGGCTCATTGCAACCTCCACCTCCCAGGCTCAAGCAATCCCACCTCAGCCTCCTGAGTAGCTGGGACCACAGGCACTCACCACCACACCCAGCTAATTTTTTGTATTTTTAGTAGAGACAGGGTTTTGCCATGTTGCCTAGGTGGGTCTCGAACTCCTGGGCTCAAGCAATCTGCCCACCTCCGCCTCCCAAAGTGCTGAAACTACAGGCGTGAGCCACCACGCAGAGCCATGAACTTTATTTCTGAGGGTGTTTTGCATGCAGGAAATAAAGGATATTCAGAAATCAAACGGAACAGAGCTGCAGATTATCCCAGAGAGGTACAGTCTAGCTAGAAAGCAGGAAAGGAAATCCATTAAGGGTACTTTGAGCCTGGAGGTGGTGAAGCACATACTTTCCTAAATTTGGAAGAGTGAGAATATTTGTGTCTGATCAAAAGTAAGGAGGAAAGCTGAGGCAGGAGAATTGCTTTAAACCAGGAGTTCAAGACTGGCCTGGGCAGCAGAGCGACATCCTGTCTCCAAAACATTTTTTTTTTTTTTAATTAGCCATGCACAGTGTCACACACTTGTAGTCCTAGCTATCTGGCAGGCTGAGGCTGGAGTATCCCTTCAGGCCAGGAGTCCGAGGCTGCTGTGAACTATGATTGCACCACTGTACTCCAGCCTGGGCGACACAGTGAGATGCTGTTTTTTTTTTTTCTTTCCGAGACTGAGTCTTGCTCTGTCACCTAGGCTGGAATGCAATGGCGCGATCTCAGCTCACGGCAACCTCTGCCTCCCGGGTTCAAGCCATTCTCCTGCCTCAGCCTCCTGAGTAGCTGGGATTACAGGCGCGTGCCACTATGCCTGGCTAATTTTTGTATTTTTAGTAGAGATGAGGTTTCACCATGTTGGTCAGGCTAGTCTTGAACTCCTGACCTCGTGATCCGTGCCCCCTTGGCCTCCCAAAGTGGACCCTGTCTTAAAAAAAAAAAAAAGGCAGGAAAACGGCATATGAATTACATCTCCATGATAAAAAAAAATGAGGAAAGCCTCATGGCTAATGAGAAAATATGTTAGATAAGAAAGATAAAGAGAGGTTTCAGCAGAAGCCATGAAGGTAGGTAGAGGAAAAGGTGGCTACAAAGAATTTTGGAGAAACTGTTTATGTAGCATAAAGCATAAAACCTTTAAGCCATGCCTTTTAGAAGAACCTAGATTAAAGAGATAGGTTATTCTTCAATGCTTCTGGGATTGGGATATGTTTTGTTTGAAAGAGACTCCAGGCAGAATCCGGACCATGTGGGGTCTCAAGATTTATTCAGGTTACAATTAGAGAGTGGGTTACATCCATTTGAGCAACATCAAATCCAACCGTGTGTTAGTCACATTTTTTCTGGGTTATGATTCAGATTTTGAAATGGCCGCAGACAGGCTGACTTACATGATTCTGTGAAGGAAGCAGACTTACAAAACAGAAACATCTCTCGAGATTTTATTAATTAGTGGCAGTCATAATGAATGGGGAACATTGTACGTTGTATAGTGACATCTATTATTTTGTTTGCCTTCAATCAACTTCCAGAAATAAGGTTGGTGCTCTGGGTGGTGCCTAAAGTAGAACAAGGGTGCTATTTACTAAATTACTATCGCATACTTCTCAATGATATAAGCAAGGTACTAAAAGCAACATAATATCCACCAATTAGCTTCCAATGACACATCTGCATACAGAAATGATCAGCCATCTCTGTGTCTAATAACATAAGTGTGTTTACTGAAATATGTCTCCTGAACATTTTGTGTAAACTGCCTTTTAACCTTTGGTGCACTGTGGAGCATTAGTAACACTGATGCAAGTGGAGGGAGAATAGGAGTTAATGGAATATTGCAGTAAGTTGATAATGGTTTTTAATAAACTCTACTTCTTTTATTATTGGAAAATTAGCAACATGAACTGTAATATTCATGAAAGCATGCTGAGATTTCTAGTAACTAGGTTTTATAGGCATGAATCTCTCCCAAAGCAACAAAGAATATACAGGGGGAAAATAGGTTGTGACCAAGTCCAGTGTGCTATGGAATGTACAATTAGATGCAAGAATTCGGCTTTTAAAAAACACATCTAGCCTGATTAAAAACAAGGATTTAGGGTTATAAAAACAAAAACAAACAAAGCAAAGCAACCCCTCCCCCTTGTCATTAATGACAGACTGCCTTGGGCTATGCAAATTATTAAAAAAGAATTCGGTTAGGAATTCCCAACCAATGTAGAGATTACATTTCACATTTGTGCAGTTTGCATAACAGGCACATTTAACTTACATAAATCCAACTTTTAATGCTTGAGGGAGAAGGAGAAAGAAAGTAATTTAAACAGTGATGGCCATTTCCCCCACCACTCCTCATAGTGAACGTGCCCCCACAGTATCCTGAGATGACAGACATGAATCTGCAGGTTCTTCTTCAAGACTCTCAGTGTTTTCATCATCAGGCCATACTAGGGGTGATTCCAGCCTTTAAAAATACACGTATTTCAGATGCTGAGCCCATAAATGGCAACTAGCTACTTCATCTGTGTATTGGGTACACACACGTATATATTTCCTGTGTTTTATTATGTTTGAGACAACTTTAAAAGCTTTCTGGCTGGGGAGAGATTGCTCCTTCTGGGGCTAGCCAACTTTCAGAGATAACAAGGGTTCAGTCAGGAAAATGCTTTTGATATGCAAACTAATCAATCCAGAGTCAGCTCTCCCCTATCTGGCCCATATACCCCAGGAGACAATATTCCTCTGCCTTGGTCATCCCAGGGCTACGTGTCACCCCTATAGTTTAGAGCCTGCTGAAGTTATTCAAACTAGCCAACCCTAAACTGTTTTCATCCTGCCCTGCCTTGCCTTTCCCAAGGAAACCCCAATAAAAGCTCTGGCCTAAATGTTCCCCTTGTTCCTGTTTTCTGCCTCCTGACCACCCTGGTGTCTTTCCCATGTGGCCCTATGTGGTGTGCTGTGCCTTTATATGTAGGACTCGTAAGTACAATAAATGTTGTTTTCCTGAGCCTCTCCTGTGTCTTCTCCCAAGGCTACTCCTGACTGACCATCACATAAAAGAATACAAAACAATCTGAAAGTCAACCAAGGAAATAGTAATCAAGAATAATTCTGAATAGACGTAATTTCTACTTTATGCATGACTGTAAACCTTAACTTCACTGAACTAGACCAGGTAAGACTTTATCTCCACATGGTTCCTCCAGTCCTGACAATAACAGACTAGAACCTGTGCTGCTGCAGTGATCTTAAGGCTAAATAAATTCTAAATCACCCTTCTTTCTGAGTAGCCCCTCCAGTGTGTCAGTTCTCCTTATCCCAAGCTGATGAAGTAAAGATGAGTATTTGGGGTTTTGTCAACACTTAAGGCAGTGAGCACCTCAGAAAGAGGTGTTTTGTCTCTTGGCCTTGGTTCAGGGGACCTCTTCCTTCTAGACCCTCCCAGGTACAGCTGTGCCCCCTTACTCTACCACTGCACCAGTATAGTCCACTAGAAATCCTCCTCTACATGTCTGTCTCCTTCTGGGTGGGGAAAATGGTCTGGCACCTTGCAGGTGTTTCCTGAATGAACGAAAGATGACTGCCTCCCAGCAACTGAGAACAGAGGAATCCCTCATTCTCAAAATCTGCAGTTTAGTTTGACAGTTTTATAAATGATCAGTTCACTCTGTGTACACACAACATGTAAGAGCTTCAAAATTTTTAAATGCTGATTCAGTCTCAATTAACCTGTTGGGTAATTTACAGTTATACGGCAAACACCGGGATACGAAACCACCTTTGTTACTCCTCCTATAAGCTCCTGTATATGGGAGTTGTTTCCTGGACCTTCTACTTTCACTGAATCTTAAGACCATCCTGACTGTTCTTCTCCATGATGATTGACTCTCTTTAGCTTTTCAGTTTCCTTTTTAGTATTAAACAGTACATCTCCTGACAATATTTTAAACAGAGAAACAGGTATCTAAATAAGATAGAAAGTCTTTGACAAATAGAAAGCATCCAATCTATTATTTCTTCATCCCTATGCTAGGGACCCTTGCTCTGATTCAATGTGCGCATGAGCTCTTTCAGAAGGCTGGGCAGTGAGGAATGCCCAGGCAGGTGCCTGCCATGAGAACCTGCATGTGATCACCACACAGCTTGGATGAGAACAATACCATGGCAAACTTATGTCTACAGAGACAGCCCTACAGACTGGCATCACACGTGCTGTGGATTTGCCATCCCTAATCTAGGAACACAACTTTTGATTCACAGGGAATTGGCTTTCGCATTGCTTGTTGGGCTTTTAAACCAGTGAATGGAAAGAATAAAAAGTTTTCTCCACACAACTTCTCGGAAGAGATCTGCCCTGTGATCTGCAATGTCCTGACGTTCAAACTTCTAAGTCATCTGTGGAGACCGCTCAACTGATTCCAAGTGGAAGTACTAAGACTGTCATTTCAGGTCAGCTGCTTCTTAAGCACCAGCTACCTCAGGCCCTAACAGCCTCATCTTCCTGTATATGCTCAGATTACTCTGCAAATGCTCTTTGTAGCACAAACTAGTAGCATTATCCATTAACCTAAAATAATTATTACATTAAGTATTTACATGAATCAACACTACTATCTTTTTTAAAAAAAAACAACAAAGTACTTTTTTATGCACTAATTCATCATCACCGAGCAAAGTTGTTGTTTCTACTTCAGAATGATAACACTGAGTTACTGCTAAATGAAAAACAATAGTAACATACCTTTTCAAATACACTATAAAATTGCAGCAGAGCTTGGTTTTGTTGCCTCTCACTCTGGGTCCCAGCTCAATAAATATCTGTTAACTGGTTAGCGAACTCCCCAATGTTTATCTTGTATGGAAAAAAACTAGCAGTAATACAGCACACTTTGATGCAACCAGGTGGTTCTCACAATCAAGATCTTACAAACACAACGATGTGTTATATGGTAACTACCCAAGCTATGAAGCCAGACAACTTTATTGGATGAGTGCTCCAGTTATCTACTGCTGCATAACCAAAGGACCCCAAAACTCAGCTAGATAAAACCACTACCATTTCATTATCCTCACAGATTCTTGGCTCAGGAATTCCGAAATGGCACAGTGGAGACAGCTATTCTCTGTTCCATAATATCTGTGGTCTTAGCTGGGGTCACTTGATGAACTGGGGGCTAGAACACTGGAGCTGGACAATCTACTTCCAAGAAGGCTTCTTCATGTAGATGCCTGGTACAAGGCTAGGAAGGATAAGGTATAGACTCAACCAAGACTGTCATCCAGAGCACTTACATGAAGCCTTTATGGCATGTAGCTGGACTTTTTACATAGTGGCTCAAGTCTCGAAATGCAAGTGTTTCCAATGAACGAGGCAGAAGTATAGCTTTTTATGTCTTAGCCTTGGAAGTTACACAGGGTCATTTCTGCCGTACTCCCTTGGTCAAAGTAGTCACAACCTCTCCCCCATCACATTTAAGGGGAAGGACCACAGGCCCACCTCTCATTGTGAGGAGAGTCAACGTATTTACAATCATGTTTTAAAATACCTACAGTAAATCTTCAGCCTCTTGTCTGGTGCACTAACATTTTGAACTTGAAATTTTTAATGATAAGCCTGTGTGCTTACAGAATATGAGCCACTAAGTGTCTGCGATTATATTTCTAGAAAATCAGCTTCTGAATTGTGGGAGGCCACAGTCCCAGGGCAATATAATGCCTACATGGACGTTATGTAAATATTAATTTGGAATAACAACAAAAGGATACAACTGGTGGAAAATCTGTTGTCTATCTTTGGCCCTTTAGTATTTTCCTTTGGTGATTTTTCCCATCTCCATTAAGGCTATATAGCAATCAGATGCCCGAGGTTAAATTAAAGCATTTAAGGAGCTAGGAACCTTAGGGGGAAATAATTTAAATTTATAGAGCTAACCATTAGGCTTGAGGTGGCAAACTCAAACTCCTACCACAGCCAGGCTGGCAGAGGAGTAAGTGTGGCTGGGGTAAGTCAGTGGAAGTACTGGGGACTGAAGTTCACTGGAAACATTTGCCTTAAGGTATGTAAATTCCATTTAAAAAAAAAAAAAAAACAAAAAAAAACTTCATTTTCCAAAACTGGCCTTTGAACCATAGCTTATAATCCTTAATTTAGATTAGGTGGCGGGTATTTCCTAGATTTATGGTTTTTTGCCCTAGTTCTGTTGGTCTGTTTTCCACTCCTCTATGAGATTGGTCTGTTTTCCACTCCTCTATGAGAAAATAAACATTGAATATATAATTCTGTAGCTAATAACAAACATATAATGAGAATGTACTATGTCCAGGTGCTAAGTATTTTATTTAATGATCAGTAGTCCTTTGGGGTGGGTATTACTGGGCCCATTTTACAAATAAGGAAACTGGGCTTCAGGAAATTTAAATTAACCTGAAAAAGGTCCTAAAGCTAGTAAGTGGCAGAGATTAGGTTCATACTGAGGTATGTCTGCCCCCAACACCTATGGTGTTAACCACTCCATGTTAGAATATGGTGCTCTGGATGAACGTGGCTCCCCTAAGGTGAGTGGCCAACAAGCAGGGGCCTATCTTTGCTGACACTTCTTTGGGTGTAACCCACCCAGCTACTCTAATTTTGGGATAGAAATGGAGCTTACCTGTGTCAGTGAATATATGGGGATAGTACCTCTTACCTAGGAATCCTGTCCTGGAAGTCTAAGACTGCGTAAGAAACAGAGTTCAGGCCGGGTGCGGTGGCTCACACCTGTAATCCCAGCACTTTGGCAGGCCGAGGCGGGCAGATCATGAGGTCAGGAGATCGAGACCATCCTGGCTAACACGGTGAAACACCCATCTCTACTAAAAATACTAAAAAAAAAAATTAGCCGGGTGTGGTGGCGGGTGCCTGTAGTCCCAGCTATTTGGGAGGCTGAGGCGGGAGAATGGCGTGAACCTGGGAGGCGGAGCTTGCAGTGAGCCGAGATCACGCCACTGCACTCCAGCCTGGGCAACAGAGCAAGCCTCTGTCTCAAAAAAAAAAAAAAAAAAAAAGAAACAGAGTTCACAGTACTTCTGACCCCTGACAAAGTTTCTCTGGATACCTGAAAAGAAAGTTCGGGTCTCAGTCTTCTAGAAGATGGGCAGTGCTTTGCCACTGATCACCTGACATAAAACCATCCATCAGCAAGGTGCTACTCACATATTTATCAGAGAAAGCACAAGTCATGGACTGTGTGAGGCAGGCATTTCCGTACTCAACAACCTCTCCTGGTAGACCACCACAGATTCTCCCCTTAGTAAATCTATTTTTAAAAAGCCCCCTTTAAAAATCCTCCTCTACTTCCTTGAAGAGAAAATTCAAATAGAGTTCTCATACATCAAACATATGACAGAGGCAGTTTTTAATCATTTAAATTATTTATCCTTTATTGTTTAATGCTTTATATCATTCTTCCATGCATAATTTATTGTACCATTTATGTTTATTAAAAATTGATCATGGAGACATGCTCTCTCTCCATTCTCTGAGGCTACAGATATTTCTTTGTCAAATCACTTGGGAATAGACAACAAAGTGTTCTACTAAATTTCTTTTTCATTCACTTTAACTGTTTGTATGTCCCTTTCTTTTCTTAGGAGTCCTTTTCTTCCACTAAAAACTAGAGTTTATCTTTGTGTATTAACTGCTCAGTTTCTTTTTTATATAAAGAGAAAGCTTGTCTGAAGGCCCCCTTTCTATTCATTAAAGCTTTCAGAAAAAAAGGCTTATTTTACTTTTCTAATTTTTGAACGCAAATGTAAAAAGGAGGCACAAAAGAACAAGATTCTAGAGTCTTCTGTGCTACAGGCCATAGCTTGTGGAACCAACCCCCTTTCTCTTTGCCTTTTCTACTTTATTCCTTTTTTTTTTTCCTCCTCAGATGATTCATACTTTCCTTGCCCTTATTATGTCTGCAGTCAGTTCTTAACTCTCTTCTGACTAGTTTGGTTTTTTTCCCTTCTATATCTTCCGATTGCTCCCCAATTCCTCTCACCTTTGCGCTTCTCAACCCTATGTCCTGAACTGCTCTCTGCAACCCACCAACCCCAGTCCTGAACTGTGCATCACCAGCGTCTCTGACCCACTGCCACAAACCTGGTCATTCTACTCTTCTCTACCAGAGGACAGGGGAGAAGCAAAAAGGAGCAAAGTATGTGAGAGGCAAGGAAGCTAAGCAGAGCTAAGAAGCACCTAAGAGGCTCACAACATATTAGTCCTGAAAAAGGTTTGTGGCAGACCACTGAATTCAAAGGCATCTAACTTGGTATGTCCACGCTGGCTCTCCTCAGTATTCCAGCCCATTTCCATGAGGTCCAACCATGTTCCACTTCCAGTGTTCCCTATTGCAAGATGAGACCATGACTGGCTGCCCAAGCCAGAAATCTGAGGATCACCCTTGCCCCTTCCCTCGTATTCACCCCCATAATCCCCAACACTTGCAGATCTACTCCTTAGTATCTCTGGAATCCATCCCCTGAGATCCATACCATTGGCCATCCACCTCCCTCCCTTGCCCGGCCTTCTGTAGCATTTTCCTTCAGGTCCCAGGCCCACCTCCCTCCGTTCTTAGTATGCTATAACTAATATTATGACCACTCTGAGAGGCGGATCTGCTTAAAATCCTCTTCCCACCATGACTGGGATCAAGTCCAGTGTTCTTAACATGGCTTACTTAGCTTATAACATGTGATGAGGCCCCTGCTTAATTCTCATTAATTCTCATGCCTTTTATTTTGCAAACCCTAGGTATGACAGCTCCTCTCCCAACAGCTCTACTTTCTACATCTACTCTCTACCACCACAAAACTTCTTTCAGTTCCATGAAAGGGCCATGTTTTTCTGGTCTCTTGGCCTAGGAGCATGTTGTTCTTCTGCCAGCAACCTTCTTCAACCATCTCCACAGGATGACTCCTCTATTGGATACTTCCATGAAAAGTCCAGGCCTGGGTTATGTACCCTTCCCAAAGTGCACCCCAGACACCCAACAGTTTTTCCAGCCCAGACTCACCACACTGTGTGGTAATTTCCTGATCACTCAGTTGTGCTCCCCACAGACTATAAGCTCTATGAGGGCAGGGGCCACAGTTTGCTTGTTCACTACTATATGCTCAGTACCTGGTAAATATTAGTTGACTGAAGAATGACTATGTGGTAATCTATTCCATTGGTGGCCTCCAGTGAACCATGTCTTCTGGTATTTACATCTTGTGTGGTCCCCTCCATTAAATTTGGGCTTTAACCAACAGAATGCTGCAGAAGCGACACCCTGCCACTTGTGCTTTTGTGATCCTAGCCACCAGTAAGAAGCCCTGTGACCTTGCTGAGACCCTGAAGAGACCACATAGAGAGGCCACTTGAAGGGCAAGGGGTCCTGACTCTACATGGAGAGAGAAGCCCAGCCATCCCTGTTTCCCAGCTGAGTCCTGACCAGATAACTCACTACAAGACTGACCACAGGCAAGAACAGCAGAAGAGCTGCCCAGCTGAGCCCATCCAAGAGTGCAGAATTTCAAGCAAGTAAAATGACTAATGTTGTAAGCCACTAAAATTCTAGGGTGGTTCTTACATAGCAATATGTAACTGTGATAAACTAAATAAATGAATAAAAGGGAATGAAGAATTACTTCACAGAATAAGTTTCATGCAAAGACATCTCAATGTCTCTAAGAAACACTTCTAAGGAAGAGCAGAGTCAAGAAAATAGCAACAGAACTAACAGGAAATAGAGGAACTCATACCACCAGCTTCCATTTACATTACATCACATTTTTCCTCTGTCAGTTTCTTTGGTTTTAAGATATTCTCCAATGAAAAGATATTCCTACTCTTTTGTGAAAAAGAGATTCTAGGTTTGACATTAAAGTTAAGAAGTCCAACCAAGGAGGGGATGTGAACACTAACACACAAATGGAAACTGCTTAGAATCCCATGGCCAACCTATCCCTGCTGTTCTATTTCCTCTTACTTGCCAGCAGAGCAGATCTACAGCTGTGGATGAGGGCATAGAGGCTGCTGTGCTCAGGGGAAACTGGAATACTATGGAGACTCCTGGCTTAACTGGGCACCAAATGTTCAGTTCAGTGTGAAAAATACCATCCAAAGATCAGAATGGTTAATTTTTATACAGACAGTTAATGACTTGTCAGTGAACTAGTAAAAACAAAATAGACAGCTACTCAGTGCCTTTAACCCAGGCATCCAATCAGTTACACTATACACATATGCACATACACCCCCTAGAGACAGCTGATACACACTGTTACATAATCCAGAATATTTTCTGGCTAGACTATATTTTGAATCCTAAATATTAGCTAGCAACATTAGCATGCACATCTCAGAATGAGAAGACAGACTGCTACATTTATACTGGCTTGATGGAATCTTGGATTGCTACTTCTAATAATTGCTTTTCTTCCTGAAAGAAAAAAATCATTATGTAAGAACTATGGCCTAAGCGAAGTATCTGTCTTTTGTAAAAAACCATAAAACAAAATGCCAAGAATATTTTCTAACGTATTATACTGGACTAATGCTTTGAAATTTCTGAATGATGTTTAGTAGGTAAAATTATCAATGTATGTCTAGAATAGCATGCCTCTTAAACCTACCTCCAATTAATAAATTTTATGTGATAGATATTTAAAGTAAAGAAGTGAATTCAGGAACAAGCCAGCGGCTTGAATGCTGCATGCTTGGGAAGGGAAAAATCAGCTCCCAGGGTTTTCAAAGCTCCAGAACTAAGTGACAGAAAAGGGGCCTGCAGCATTAATGTCGATGTCCTGTCCACTAGTGAAACTGAACATGAACTCCTTTCAAACATGGCTGAGAATAAAAGCTAGACTTAAAAAAATCAGAAGGCTGGGTACAGTGGCTCACGCCTGTAATCCTGGCACTTTGGGAGGCCAAAGCAGGTGGATAACCTGAGGTCAGGAGTTTGAGACCAGCCTGACCAACATGGTGAAACCCCATCTCTACTAAAAAAAATAAAAAATAAAAAAATAAAAAATTAGCTGGGCGTGGTGGTGCATGCCTGTAATTCCAGCTACTCGGGAGGCTGGGGCAGGAGAATTGCTTGAACCTGGGAGGTAGAGGTTGCGGTGAGCCAAGATTGTGCCATTGCACTTCGGCCTGGACAACAAGAGCGAAACTCTGTCTCAAAAAAAAAAAAAAAAAAAAAAAAGAGAGAGAGAAATATTTCCTATTCTTTTTTTTCTCCCTAGATAAAAGTGCTCTTTGACTAGATGCCCCCTCGGATGTTCCCTGGGACCTAGAAACCCTAGAGAATGAAAAACTTATTCTTTAACTTTTCTTCTTCTGTGGAGTAACTTCTGGTGGAGGCATTAGGCTGTGGGGAGAGGACAGGATGCACAGGCAGGGAAAATGAGCCAGGAACCCAATTCTCGCCTTCTAGGAGAGAGAAGAAGCTGGCCTAGGAGCAGCGGGTTTCTGCAACAAAAGGAACCTGAGAGATTATCATGGTCAACCCAATAACCTCACACCCACACAAAAAAAGAGACCTATGCTTTGTCTGTAGTACAGATGAACACTTGTTCTGCTCATACGCCAGCCACTAGGCTGAACCCTTTCACATAATTTTATTTAGTAGATATTTAATTGGGTGAGTAGATGAATGATAAAAGTGAGCAAGTAACATCTAGAGAAGACCCAAGTCCATTACTGATACAGGTGGGCCTGGAATTCAGCAGGGCAAGGTGAGAAACAGGATGGAGAGGGTCATGGCTGAGCCTTAGGGAGAAGGGAAACAAGGCTCCTAGCAAAGACTGAGTTCATGCCACTGCTCCAAGCCCTGTAATGATTTGCCCAAGTGACTTGGAATCATAGTGAAGTTAATTAAATGCAACAAGCTCACATAGAATGAAATTGTGCAGAATCTCATGAGCATCCCATTTCCTTGAAATGGGTAAAACAGTGTGAGGCAGCTTAGAGAAAGTGCAGGGTTGTTCAGACCATGTTCTATAGCGGGATGGTCTGGTGGAGCCCCCCACAGAAGGCAGGTACACCCCACAGCATCCAGCAAAGCCTTGTTTCTGCTTGAAAAAAATGAGTTCTACACTTACAAAAAACATACACAAAATGAAAACTATGGGAATAGTAGAAAGATGACTGAAAAGGATCCCGCAGACATGAATGTGAATTGCAGTCCCACCACCACCTACCAGATGTCCTCGGACAAGTCATTTCAGCCCTTAAGCCTCTGTTTCAATATCTGGAAAATGGAGATAATATCTACTGTACACAGACATTTTTGAGGATCTAGTAAGATAAATTATGTAAAACACTGAAATTATTTGCAGATTCAGGTTTTAGGAAATATAAAATGTAAATCTTTTAATAAAGCCATTCCTCAGAAAGTCAACAGGTAGTTTCTCTTTTTCATAGATGAGGTCTTGCTATGTTGCCCAGGCTGGTCTTGAATTCCTGGTCTCAAGCAATCCTCCTACCTCAGCCTCCTGAGTGTGAGTAGCAAGGACTACAGACATGAGCCACCACACTCAGCTCTCAACAGCTACTTTCAATGGAGGCTCAGTTTTCTGTTTCCTGTTTCCTGTTTGTGTATTAACAAAATCCATGGGTGTCTCAAGGAGAAGCATTATTTAAAGAATATAGTGCATGGGACAATTTCATCAACACTCCAAAAGCAAGCTAGATAGGGGTGATCCTGCTGGGACTCTAAAAATCTACCTCTAGGGTTTAGCGAGTAATGGTATACGAGTGCTCAACTCACAGGAAACAGATCAAAAACTCCAAGTTCCATGTTGGTGGCTTCTAGGTGAGGATGCAGACCACTGCTTATGTAGGGAAGGTTGACAGAGGATCATAGTTTCAGGACTGGAAGGGACTCCGGATTATCAACATTATTTTGCTAATGAGGAAACTGAGAACTTGGGGTAGGAGATGACTCATCCAGGATCACATTAGTGATTACAGAACTCAGTCGTTCATTGAGCACCTTTCCACTGCACTAAGGTTGACTAAAAGCAGACAGACTTCTAAAACCTAACGATTTCCCATCCATAATTTATCTGCGTATAGTAAGTTTAACTTTCCTATATTCCACTTGAACACATCTTCAGAAGGCATTCCAAGCAGTGCCTTTCCACCGTGGCCTGGGAGTAGGGTCAAGCACATCCTCGTTTGCCCAGGACAGTCCTCATTTATGCTTGTCACTCCAGCGTAATTATTAATAGTGCGCCCTTGCCTCTCACCAGTACCTGGATGTGGATGGTAATTTATACAGTACTCTTTGTGCTTTTCTGGGAGAAACAGAGAGATCCAGGGTAGAACTGCTCCCCAAGAGCTTGGCAAGGTGGTTTGGAACCAGGAGAGATGTGATAACTGTCTTCAAATATTTACAGGTCTGTCCTATGTTAGTAAAATTAGGCCATTCTGTGGCTATCAGGATTAGAACACAGACTACCATGTGGAAACCACAGTGGGTGGAATTCTTCTTCGCTATAAAGAAGTGTATTCTAAACAGACTCCAGGGCCAGACTGCCTGGGTCCAAACCCCGGTCCTGCCATTTACTAGCTCCGTGACCCTAAGCAGGTTGCCTAAATTTTTTGTGCTTCAGTTTCTCCATCTGTAAAATAATAATAATTTTAAAAGGCAGCAAGATACATAGTAGGTGCTCTATAAACATTTGCTGCTACTATTACTACTGACTGTTACTTGGCAGGTAGTCAACATTCCCAGGGCAGAGATTTTCACATCTGCACCAGGACAGGACAGCTGGGTTCACCCTAGGGAGGGGGGAACAGGGAGCACTGGCTCAGCTGATGCTGGAGACACCAACCTAATGGAGAATGTGTTGGGTCTCGGGGGAAACAGTTCCACCCTATCTGCTCACTGCTTGAGGCACAGTGTGTCAGCAGGGAGGTACTGCACTGATGGCAGTACAGTGGTTGATGTAAGTGTATGAGGGTGGACTGGATCAGACCGTCTGCCTTTAATCTTGGCTCAACCATGTTCTAGCTATGGACTGGAGTTGCTTACTCACTCTGTGCCTCAGTTTCCTCCACTCTAAAAGAAGGTTACCAGCAGTGCCACTCTCACAGCATTGTCAAGAGGACTGAGTGCAATACAAATAAAGCCTGGGACAGAAAAAGTGCATGATAAATACTGTTATTACGATCACGCAACAACCACTGATGCCTAGGGCTGGTGCTGGAAAGCACCTGACGGAGGCTGGAACTGAAGTCAAGAGGGGCGAGGGGCATGTCCAAGGCCTCACAGCCTAGAAGGCATCTCAATATCTTCCCTGCATTGCACTGCAGTCCGGCTCACAGCAGACTGATTCACCCATCCTTTGAATCCCAAGGCATAGCTGATCAGTTGGTGCTGGGGCTGCAGAAGTGACCTGCACTAGGACAGCTGCAACAGGGAGGCCAGCGTGCAGCAGGTAGACCTGCCTGAGGGGCAGCCTGACCGGGCAGGCAGGTGTGAGGCCATGAGGTCAGAGCTGGGTGGAGATGGGATTGACGCAAGGGTGATTTTATTAAAAACATAAATCTCATTCTATCACCCCACTGGCAAAAAGCCTATTACATTAAGGTCCTCAGAGACCTCAGGAGCACCTGCCCTTGCCTACACCTCTGGCATGGCCCCCACCCCTCTCCCCACAGCCACACTCCCTCTCTCTCTTTTCCGGACTTGTCCAGTGTACTCTCCTCAGGGCCTTTGCACCAGGCATGCCCTCAGCCTGACGCACACTTCCCCAGGTATCATCCATCTGTCTCCTTGTCATTCACATCTCAGCTCTAGAAGCACTGCCCTCCCTTGACTGCCATGTCTCGAGCGTATCCCTATCATTCTTCATCCCATCAGCCTCTCTGCTTTTTTCACAGCCCTCATCACTGTCTTAATTTACCTGCATAAGCATCTGTTTGTTTCCTGTGTGTTTTTCCCCTGTAGAACATAAACTCCACTTTATGATAGGGACCTTGCCTTAAGCACACCTCAACAGTGAGCACTTAATAAATGTTTGTTGAATGAATAGATCAAGCAAAAACAGGTTGCAGAGGAGTGAAGAGGAGCAAGGGTGACCACCTTGGAGAGCTGGGTTCAACTCCATGGGTCACTGGGTGTGTGGTGTCTGGGGGGGTGTGGCTGCCTTAAAGACCAGAGGCAGGAGTGCTTACCCTGAAGAACAGGAAAATCCCTGGAAGAAAAGAACAGATGAAATGACTCTTCCTTCACCCTCTTGGGAGAGCAGAAGACTGTATCTCCATGGTTGCAGAGCACCTACCCTTGCCCCAAGTTGACAGAGTCATCCCTCCATACATATGTGGGGTTGGTTCCAGGACCCCTGCAGATATCAAAATCCTTGGGTGTTCAAGTCCCTTATATGAAATGGTACAGTATTTGCATAAAACCTATGCATATCCTTCAGTATATTTTAAAGCATCGCTAGATTACTTATAATACCTAATGTAAATGCTATGAAAACGGTTGTTATACTGTACTGTTTAGGGAATAATGACTATAGAATGTCCATACATGTTCAGTACAGGCAACCATCATAGGCATAACGACATTTTCTATCCTCGCTTGGCTGGACTGCGGATGTAGAGGGTCAACTGTTCCCCATACATCGGTGAGGCCTGAATTCGTAACTCTTTCCCTGGATTGGTGGTCTAGACTGTTAGCCTCTAGAGGACAGGATACAGGTCAGCTGGACCTTTGGTTAGTGCTGAAGAGAATCTAGCAGAGTCCCAGTCCTAGTCATATACACAGTTTAGTTTACTATGTACAGAATTACAACTATGTCCAACCAAGTAGAGCTAATCTGAGCCCCCTGAAATAGGGTGGCCAGACACGTGAGTTTCTAGTAAGTGTTTCTATCTTCATGTCATGTTTGATTTCCAGCCCGTCACGGCAGCAACCCAGATGACTCAAACCAGAGTCATAAACATGCTCTCTCCAAAGGGAATAAGAGGGCTGCTTGGACCAGAAGCTTCTACACAGGAGAACCCAGAAGCAAAACAAATAAAGAATGTGGTCCCTGCTAAGAGTCTTTTGGCATCCATCAGCCTACTGTCTTGAGAGATTTTTCCAGAAAGTATTCAGAAGGAATATCCTGGGTCTATATGAGGACATGAATGCAACACCTTTAACAAGTGTTGGTAAAATATTTACAGATTCCTAATTACTCAGATTTCATTTCTAGGAAAAATACCTCCACTTTACAAAATTAACGTTTAAATGTTAACATCAGTGGGAGACTAGGCAGTAGAGAAGTTAGAGAGAGACTGAAAGGGGAACAAAAACCACTTCTCTATAAACATGCCCTTTTCAATAATATCCTTTCCCAAGAATTACGGTCAGGAGTGAAGAGAGGGTGGGAGAAAATAAGGTCCGGAGGACCATCTATGGGGATCAGGGCCACAGCTGAGGCTTTGTGAGCAAGGTGGTGCTCTAGAAAAAGTCACTTTCCTGACCTGAATTTAGGAGTAAATGCCCTGTGCCTCCAGTTTACAAGTTACCAGATAACTGCGACCCAAACCTCCAAGGGGTGCAGAGGAGAAACACAGGTAAAGGTTTCACTTGGCAGAGAAGGAACCAATAAAACATTTTCCCCTTCAAAGCTCTTGGCTGATGTTTCAGCCAGCCATTAATAGTCTTCATTTTAACAGACCAGAGAGAAAGATTACAATAAATGTGGGAACATTATGGTCCCCTCCACGCATTCCCCTTCCCCCCACCCCGCCGCCCCCTGCAAGTTTCCTCAGGCCTGAAGTTTCCTGGGGAAAAAGGCAAAGTGGCCTTTGGCCTCAGGAGAGAAGCAGTTCACTTTGTGTTTATCAGGATTTTTCTGTGAAGTTCCCCAAACCCACTGGCACGCCCCTGCCATAGCATGGGAAAGCAAATTGCACGAGGGATTCCAGATATGAAAGTCACTGTGGGAGGAAAACAGAGGAACACGCATGCAGGTTTTTTATCTTTTTCCATTTACCACCACCAAGCTCTTCTGTTTCGGGTGAGCTCAGCAGCACTAGTGCCTTGGATAATCTAGAAATTGCTTCCATATGCGGGCACAGGAAAGAATGTGCGCACTGGCTGCCTGAGAAGGAAGCTCTGGGCAGCCTCTCTTTCCTGCCAGAAAACATTGCTCAGGCCTGAGAGCCATAGAGCGTTGGAGCCAAAGGAGATCAGAGGAAGCAGCACTAACCTTCCCAATTTATGGATAAGGAAACTGAGGCCCAAGGTCACACATACAGCGACAGAGCTGGCAGTAGAACCTGGGGCTCTCTGGCTCTATCCCTAAGTCAGGTACTGTCTTTCCCTCTCCTCCCTGCAAATCCCTGCCTCCCTCACCAGCCAGCACACCCTTCTCTCCTCTCTGTCCCTCTGTCCCTCTCTCTCACACACACACACACACCCCAAGTGCTTGAATGAAGGGCTTCAATCTAATTTAGTGTAGCAGTATGACTGGTCTGGGTCTGAAGCGCCAGGCCTTGGGGCAGGACAACCAGAACAGAGCTTGCTTTTGAGAAAGCCAGCGCAGGGAGTGCGGAGGAGCTCGTTCACTCTCTGCACTGGGACCTGTGCCAGGGTCTCCAGGGCCCCAAGACCACTCCTCAGCCTCAATGCCCCCTTAGTGCTGGGTTAGTCCAGGACTTGAAACAAAGACTCCATTTAGGATCCAACAGAGAGTGGTCTGCAAGCACCCTCATCTCTACAGAAACCTACCACACAGAAACTTGGGGTGATTTAAGCCTGAATCACACCATCTTGAACTGCTGACCCAAGTGGGAAAACTCAGTGCAGTTTCAAATGAGCAGTAGGGGAAAACCAAGAATGCCCTCTCTTGTGTTCCGTGGTGGCCAGTGTCGGGCTCGGCCCACACCACTTTGACTTCTTGTCTCTAGGCCAAGAGCCAGGGCAAGCTGTCCCAGGGCCCACTTACAAGTCAAACCAGACAAACCTCAACCTTTAAAAGCTTGCTCTAGGAGGACCTGAAACCCAGATGGGGTCTGCAGTTCTGCTACATAACCTGAACTCTTCTGGGTCTTCCTTTTTCTCATTTTTAATTTTTAAATAGAGACAAGGTCTTGCTATGTTGCCCAGGCTGGTCTCAAACTCCTGGGCTCAAGTGATCCTTTCGCCTCGGCCTCCAAAAGTGCTGGAATTACAGGTATGAGCCACCGCGCCAGGCCTGGATCTTTCTTATCTAAACCATCATATCCCATATTATGTTAATGTTTTATTAACATTAATAATATTATATTAACAATACCACTATAGAAATTGATTACCAGTCTAGTTGCAAGTACAAGTATTCTCAGGTAACACTGTCTTTCAATACAGATTTATTGAATACTTATTACAGAGGAGACAGAGGAGAGGCAGACCGAGGGTATAACGCTGCATACATCCCTATAATATGGTTTCTCCTTTCAGAGAACTCAGAATGAAGGGGCCTCAGGTTACCTGCATCATTCTGGTTTTTTGCTCCTGTTTTACTACGAAGCAAACACCTCGACTATAAGCCGCCATAGACCAGGGTCTGTGTCTCATTCGTGTCTGGACAATGCATCACAGACACTCAACTGTTTTCTGCCTGAGCAGAATTAAGACTTGGCCTCCTAACTCCTCCATCACCATCTTCTCCACTCTCTTCCTTGGCCTTCATCACCAACACCACCTCATCAACCGTGAAAGATTCAAAGAGTAAGGAAAACCATTTCTAGGACCATGAAATGTGTCACTGGATCTCCTGCAGAAATCTGCCAGAGCTACAATGTGACTGGTTTCTACATGTCTGACAAATTTCTATTTAAATAAGTATTTTTCAAAATGCAAATTGCTACCTATTCTTTGGCCATCAAATCACTTTAGTGGGTTGCAACCGGCTTTTTCTTCTTAATAGAAAAGGAAATGTGTTGCATTTGGTAAACATGGAAATTGTTTTATAAAACTTTTGTTTTTGTTTCTGTTTATCTATCCTGTATACACTGGGTCTCAATGAAAAATGTATTTCTTACTGTAGGTCATAACCAAAAAAGGTTTCAGAACCCTGGTTTAGACAATGTGTCTTTCTACAATGGACTCTGCTCAGAGAGGCTCATTTGTAGATACTGCATGCAGACACCGTCCCACTTCATGTCTGTCATTCAAGTGGAGGAATGGGGCTCTACTCTGAGCATGCTTCTTTTGCTGTTGTTTAAACTCTAACCCATACCACTTGTAGCCTCTTAAATTTTCTCTCTTAAAAATATTTTGGGCCAGGTGCAGTGGCTCATGCCTGTAATCCTAGCACTTTGGGAGGCTGAGGCAAGAGGATCACTTGAGCCCAGGAGTATGAGACCAGCCTGGGCAACACAGTGAGACCTCATCTCTACAAAACTGAAAAACTTAGCCAGGCATGGTGGCATGTGCCTGTAGTACCAGCTACTTGGGAAGCTGAGGCAGGAGGATTCCTTGGCTGCAAGTGAGCCATGATTGTGCCACTGCACTCCAGCCTGGGTGACACAGTGAGATCTCATCTCAAAACAAACAAACAAAAATTTAACTCTGGCAAGAGTTGAAGGTATCCACCACTGTCTATTTTGCCAGCCCCAGGAATCTATACAATGTAAGGTTCCTTGCCTATGGCCTCCAAATTAGGACTGAGTTTATTCCTACAGTTTTTCTGTCTTGGGTCCTTTTGATGTACCTCAGGGGGTAAAAAAGGAGGAACTCACTGGACTGTCTTATGCAACCAGGGTCAGTTATGGCACACCCTGCCCTCTAGTTCCTCAAGCAAGCAAGCCATTACTGGTTTCATGAGAGTTCATTAGTTTACATTGGAGCTGGGACAGTAAGTTTAGAAGGTAAAGCCCATTCTGCACCCAGCTCAGTGCCTGGCCTACCTGCCACAGGCCCCTCCACATTCCTTGACCACTAAGAAGGAGAGCTGGAAGCCACTTTCTGCATCATCCAGGTTTAAGGCAATAGCCTGCACATGCCCAGGGGCCTGGCTTTGCAGGAAGCTGGCTGATGCTGACACAGAATGCTCGGTGGTGGGATGTGCCTCTAAAACTGCCATTTTAATCAAGGACAAGGCAGGGAGACCACAGACATGGGAATCAGAAACTTCTCAATTTGAATCCTAGCTCTGCCTCTAGTTTCTTGTTTAATTCTAGAAGGGTCCAGGCTCACATCAGAAAAACACAAAGAGATCCCTTTGCCCTCTGACTAAGAACAATGTCCCATGGATTTGAGGCTGGAAGGGCCCCATGGGCTTGGAGCAGCTGCACTCCCTGAAAACCTTGCTGTATCAGATCGGGTTTAAGAATGCAGTTGGTTTTGTTTTAGCTTCTGCTCCTCTAAGCTTTTTATTTTGTCCTTCTCTGGACTTGAAAAGAAGACCAGATAAACTGCCAGCACAGAGCTCACCACTGGGGCTGACAGTGAGCGAGGCCCGAAGGGAGGGAAGGAATAAAGCATTTCCCACCCTCGAACAGTCTACCAAGTACGGCACCCTCTTCCTGGGACTGGTCGAGGTCTCTGCAGGAATTGTAAAGAATTCCCCTCAAGTTTCTTTGGCCTTATAGTTTCAATTCTCCCAAAATGCTCTTCCTGTGGGTGGGATCATGCAAGATCAGGGCTGAAATCAGTCCTAGGCCAATGACACTTTACAACCCTTTCCACCTCCACCCCCGTCCCTGGGCTGTTTTGAAGTGTCTAGCTCAGAGGTGGGAACACAGTTCTGGACCTCTTCCAGCCCTAGGTTTCTGTCTCTATCTGATAAAGAGCTGATCTCCTCTCCAGTCTTGCCTGTGAGGATCCCTGGTCATTGTTTTGCAGGTACAAAGGTAACCTGTGGTCAACTTTCAGCTCTGATCCCAGGAGCGGCAAATCCTGCCTAGGTTGCTGGTGATGCAGAGCACCAGGAGGGGAAGCCTCTGCAGGCCACCTCAGCCTTTCCGGGAGGGGCTTAAAGCTCTTCCTCCCAGCAGCCTAGCAAGAGCCCTGCAGCTTGCCGGCCTCCAGGCTGAGGCTAGGCTGCCTAAGAATTACTCTCCGCAGCAGGTTTTGAGATACATTTTTCTTTATGGAAAGGAAGTAGCCATTTCCCTCCTCTTCCTGCCCTCCTCCTGCTGAACTCTGCTATAAACTCCGCTAGTTTGATTCTCTCACCCCCAAAATGACTTGAGCCAGAAGTTACTGGAGAAAGGTATCTGCTTTTTTGCCTGGGACTGTCCAGAAGGCAGGGGCTGTGCAGTGCAAACTCTACAGGACAGCTACCCTTTGAACACCACCTTGCTAAGCACCCTCCCCAGCCCTACGTCTTGTTACGTTTTGTACCTGAAGGAGGTTTCCAGCTGCGTCTCTCACCTCTTTAAGGCACTGTTAACCTTGGTCCTGCCCAGTAAAAAACAGATTGTTCTATGTTTTGCCTATAATAAGAAAATCATCTATGGAACATTTTATGCAATCTCAGGCAGGGGGAAGAGAAACGAACTGGAACCCAGCAGGCCTGCGTTCTTATCTCATCTCTGCTACCAACTGGCCATTAGCCTTAGGCAAGCTACCTGACTTCTCCGGGGCTCTGTCTCTTTACCTGCGAAACGCAAGGTTGGGCAAAATGATCTTCACTTTGCTTCCCTGCTCTAATGCTCTGGGATGTTACATTTTTTTTTAGTTAAAAGAAAAAAGGGTGTGCATTTTTCAGTTGAGTATTATATTCCTTCTCTACCAGCTGAACGTAACTTACTATTATTCTTGATAATGTGACACTAGTCAGTGCCACCAGTTTTAGGCAGCATTTGTGACACTCTAGGAAGATTTTCTTCCTCATTAAAGACCACTGAAGTCTTAGGGGACATTTAGAATGTATGTCTATGATGGGTATCAGGGCAGTGTGGATGATTCAGAGCAAAGTTAATGCTGGACCCAAAACACCACACAAAGAGCTAATGGGTGGACCAGCAGTCAGCCTTCACTGCTTCCCGCTGCCCTTTCCACAGTGGATCAGTGGCCCTAACCCAGAAGCATGCATGCAACAAACAGAGGGACATGAACAACACTGGGTCAGTGGTCAGTCAGCTGCCTGAACAAAGCTGGGGCCATCTAGGTCCTTTAAACTGAATATCCTTGACCAAAGAGGCAGGAGGGCCTCATAGTTCAGACTGGGCTGAAGCCACGCTGCCTGGACTGAATGTTGACCTTGCCAGATTAGCTGTGTGAAACTGGGCCAGCTGATTACCCTCAAATTCCTCACCTGTAAATGGAAACAATAATGGTGCCTGCCTTAGAGGGTGGTTACATGGGTTCAATAAGTTCATTCAGAGCATTTAGAATTTTACCTGGTAAACAGTAAACAATGTTATTTTATCATTCCTTCTTCAAAAATGATTACTGGTAATCTAAATAGGAATAATTCATCCCTGACTTCTGTGGCCATGGCAAAGTACTGCTGAGTGGTACCCAGGCTGGCAAGAAATTAGGAAACAGTACCCAGACAGTGAATCCAGATGAAGACCCCTTATGTTCCCATGCATTCCTGAGAAATAAGTAAAATTTTGGTAAATTAATTTCATAATTCCATTGGCCTCCAATATAAGTGAAGAAGTGCTCTATCTCTAGACCTGTTTAATTGTGGTCAATAGTTTCCCAGAATTCTTAGTTAATAAACCATTAAAACAAAACTGAGATAACTGCACTAGAAGGACACATGATTTCATTCAGCTGGTATTTATTAGGCACCAGGTATATGCCAAGCATTACACTTGTCACTGGCAATAAAGAGGGTAAATTGCTGCAATTATCTGCTATCAAGTAGTTCACAATCTAATGGGGAGACAGATACTCAACATACATTAACGAAATTAACTGTCAGAGCTGGGCGCCGTGGCTCACGCCTGTAGTCCCAGCTACTTGGGAGGCTGAGAACTGCTTGAGGCCAGGTGTTCATGACCAGTCTGGCCAACATAGCAATACTCCATCTCTACAAAAATGAAAAAATGTTAGTCGAGCATGGAGGTATGTGCCTGCAGTCCCAGCTACTCAGGAAGCTGAGGCAGGAGAATCATTTGAGCCCAAGAGTTTGAGGCTGCAATGAGTTATGATTGTGCCACTGCACTCCAGCCTGGGTGACAGCATGAAACACTACTTTAAAAACAAATAAAATTTAAAAATAATTTTAAAAAGAAATGAACTGTTATGCTGGAGAGGAGTGCGGAAGTGTTTCAAAAAAGGTGACATGAATTAAGATGTAGGACATGACAAGGAGTTTTCAAGGGGAGGAGGGGAGGGCACTCTTGCAAGAGTAAGCATGAGATGGGCCTCCTCTAATCTCTGTTTCCTAATGAGTTTTCCTAAAGGCAGATCCCAGCTTAGTCCAGCTCACTGAGTTCCTGGCACCGCCAGGAGTCCAACCCAGCAGCCACACAGATGAAGATTAGGATTCCTTGCTTTTCACTCCCTGCCCCCCCATCCCACTGATGGGGGTCTCTCCCTGCAGCTCAGAACCACCAGACTCTTTGTCTTATTTCACTGCTGGCCTCTGCACCCTCCCCCATCACAAGGAACCTCCTCCCTTTTCCTCTCCCTGTCTGTGTTGCTAGGACCAGAGCTGACAGGGAGCACAGGGAAAGCTTCTATTAGGATTCTGCTATGCTCTCTTGGGCATCTAAGTTAGAATTCAGAAAGCCCTTGTCACAACCCTATCTACAAAGGGTAACTGAGTTGTCGAGGGCACTTGTCCTAAAGTTCAGCTTCCCAGGTAGACAAGTTGGTCTAACCTCTCTGCAAGGAAGAAAGTCCACAGGGGAACCATTGACCAGTGTGTTGGTCCAGAATCTTGCCATGCATAAATGGAGGCCTGTAATGTTAGCACCAATTTTGAGGAGCAAGAGCAGTACAGTTCCTGCTGGCTGGCTGCCATCTAGCATGGTCTGCTGCTGAGCCAAAACAGCAATGCGTTGTTCCTTAGACCAGGACTAAGAATTACAAATAGGAGGCTCAACTAGCCATGGCCACAGTCACCAACTAACAGTCAGGTCAGAATTCTCAATGGCAATGCCCCGCATTAAGTATTTGTATCCACTCTCAGCAATCGCTGCCATCATAGTGAATGCCCTCCAAAGCACTTACAGTCACCTGGTTAGGCATAGGGTGTTTTGTCTGAGACTGTACAAAGTATTCATTAGTTAGCGACGACCTCTGCCTTCTATGAAGCTACAAAGGCTGACACATACTGACACATAAAATGGACAGCAATATATTGACTTTTCCAAGGAAGTCCGGAATTGGTGCTTCCTGGTTATATCTGAAGTGCTCCTTAAAAGGGGTAAGTCAATGACACATGTGTACATGTGTGCAGATGCAACTGTGTGTGATAGATTGTTGCATGAAGTCAGGGACCCCGAATGGAGGGACCGGCTGAAGCCATGGCAGAAGAACATAAGTTGTGAAGATTTCATGGACATTTATTAGTTCCCCAAATTAACACTTTTATAATTTCTTACGCCTGTCTTTACTGAAATCTCTGAACATAAGTTATGAAGATTTCATGGACATTTATCACTTCCCCAATCAATACTCTTGTGATTTCCTATGCCTGTCTTTACTTTAATCTCTTAATCCCGTCATTTTCGTAAGCTGAGGATGTATGTTGCCTCAGGACCCTGTGATGATTGCATTAACTGCACCAATTGTTTGTAAAGCATGTGTGTTTAAACAATATGAAATCTGGGCACCTTGAAAAAAGAACACGATAACAGCAATGTTCAGGGAACAAGGGAGATAACCATTAGGTCTGGCTGCCTGGGAGTGGGGCAGAACAGAGCCATATTTCTCTTCTTTCAAAAGCAAACAGGAGATATATCGCTGAATTCTTTTTCTCAGCAAGGAACAGCCCTGAGAAAGAGAATGCATTCCCAGGGGTAGGTCTCTAAAATGGCCACTCTGGGAATGTCTGTCTTTTATGGTTGAAGATAAGGGATAAAATAAGCCCCGGTCTCCCGTAGCGCTCCCAGGCCTATTAGGACGAGGAAATTCCCGCCTAGTAAATTTTAGCCTAGTAAATTTTAGTCAGACAGGTTGTCTGCTCTCAAACCCTGTCTCCTGATGTTATCAATGACAATGCGTGCCCGAAACTTCATTAGCAATTTTAATTTCACCCCGTCCTGTGATCTCGCCCTGCCTCCATTTGCCCTGTAATATTTTATTACCTTGTGAAGCATGTGATCTCTGTGACCCACACCCTATTTGTACACTCCCTCCCCTTTGAAAATCACCAATAAAAACTTGCTGGTTTTGCAGCTTCAGGGGCATCATGGAACCTGCCAATATATGATGTCTCCCCCAGATACCCAGCTTTAAAATTTCTCTCTTTTGTACTCTTTCCCTTTATTTCTCAGACCAGCCACCACTTAGGAAAACAAAAAAGAACCTATGTGAAATAATGTTTAATTATCAGGGGCGGGTTCCCCCAATAATAGATGGTGAGGACAGATGGTTTCAAGGTTATGCACTAATACAGAATAAAAGTGAATATAAATGATGTGTGCTTACATATAGTGAGGTAGTGTGATTTTTATTGGATGTAAATAAAATCTGCCCAGTGTACCTGGACAGCATCTGGCTCAAATTCCATTTCCACAAATACTATTACAAAAAACAACCTCGGTGCAATAGAAAGACTTCAGTGTTTCAGCTAATATTCCTTCTTTAGCAAGTATACAATGAGATTCAAGTATAAACGAAGAACTCCATGAGTTCGCTAAAATATAAATTGATCTTTATATATTATACATACACTATTTTAGCTAAATGAGAAATGTGATGGATATATACATCTTTCCCTTATTAAATACTTAGTCAAAAACAGGCATGGTAAAATATCAGGCTTCGGCTCCTCAGGCCTCTGAATGACAAGTTACAACGTTGATTGCATTGTTAGGATGGACCTTACGTGGAGATGTTAATGGTGTGTCCCATCGGAGGCATCACAGACATGCTGGCCACCATCTTCTCCCTGTTCCTGCAGATTCTCTACTCTACTTCTGCACAGTGTTGTCAAGCCCAGCTTGACTACTAGGCAACAAAGCTGGGATTAGACTACAACTGGTGAACTCCTCATTTACTGCCCTTTTCATGTTACCTTTCTGCCTTTAACAGAGGACGCAATGCACAAGGAATCCAGTAAATGAGCTGGTCAATATCAGGTCTTAACCTGAAAGTAACTTAATTTTTTAAGATGGTTTCACTATCTGTCAGGATTGATGGACATCCCAAACCAGGGACAGTGTGAAGGTGGGCAAGAGGACATCAGCCTTCAGGCATCAGCATATGGGGGCCTCAAAAAGATGCAAGTTTTTACAAATTCCAGTGCCAAAACCACAGTATGCCGCAAGAGAAAAGGTGCCAACTGGTCCTGATTCCTCACTATGCCCCTCACTGGCTAAAATGTAATGCAGCTCCCTACCAAGGTTAGATCCACTTCACAGCAAGCCAGGCACTTGGACCTGCTAGTTGAGGCAGGCAGATTTCTGGCCTTGAAAGTAACCCACCTGTTATTTTCAAGTGGTGGAGAGTTCAGGGTCCCTTAGGATTGGGTCCCATATGGGGACTCAGGGTCTAGAGATTTTCCTTTTCTCATCAGACCTCCTGTCGCATTGTACTGAAGTCTCCGCAACACTGCCTGCTTAGAGCTATACAACAGGGCTTCATTCCATAAACTCATTCAGCCCCCATGGACCTCTGGGTTCTGCATAAGGACACATCATCTCGAGGAACTCCTTTGACCATGCTGTGTCGGAACTTCAGCCTCAGTCTTGCTTGGGAACTTCTGTCTTCTCCCTGATTCAGCGCAGCTCCCGCTAGTCAGGGACATCCATTTGCCTGCCTGGTCTGTGGCGTTCTTCCCAGCATGGGGCCCTTGGCTTGTTTCTATCCTGGACGTTTGGCAGAATGTACGCACTTATCTTTCAGGGGACACTGATCTGGACAATTCACCCTCATTCAAGGGACCCAGCCCATAGAGGGTAAAACTCTGATACATTCTTTTTAAAACAGGACTTCCTTTTGTGAATCTTCCTAACTTTGAAAACACTAATATTAAAAAAAAAAAAAAAGAGTAACACTTTTATTATGGCAGACATCAAGCATTCACAGGGTTTCTTAATTTTCAGTTCCAACTTCTGTTGCCCAAATGCAATCTTTTTGACATCTGTGTCAGGTTAGTTACAAAGCATTATTATTCTGGGCTGCACAATGTTGGCCCAACCTACCCAAATACAAGAAATTTTGCTGATTGATTTAGTTATTCCGTTCCTATAAATGAATCCAGTTGTGCAGCTGTTTCTGATTAACCAATGTACTGCTGGAGCTTTATATAAATAATTTTATAATGAACTCAGCAACGGCAAGGACATGAGAAGCAGAATCTAAACTCACCTCCCAGAAAAATAAGCAGGAGCAATGAGCGCAAGGACTTTCAACAACAGTCCAGGTTTAAATTCCTATCTGCTATGATTCACTTTTTCCTCTTTATGTAATTCAGCACAATTTATAACTAATGCTCTCAAAGAACCTTTGTCTTCAGATTTTTGGATTCAAGAGAGAAACTCAGCTTTGCAGTCTTAAAGCTCCTTTAAAATTTCCCATCTTTGTATTTTGTAAGTTTCTGTTTTTCCCATTAAAACATTTATATTTCCTGAGACAATTTCTTAAATAATGCACTTTTAGAAGAGGAAAATTGGAATTGAAAGGTCTACATTTACTTTACTATAAACAGAAATCAAGTGTTTTGTTTTATTTCAATACAGAACAATTAAGCTCTGTAAGTCCAGCCATGAACTTTTCTTTTTCAGTTCTAGAAGACAAATCATATGTATTATGATTAAGAAATTACAAAATTAAGCAAAAGACAGGTAAGAATAAATCAAATAAGTGAATTTTTTTAATGTAGAGACAGTGACAAGTGCTCCCTAAAGAAAACTTGAAACAAAACAGGAAAAAAGAGATCATAAAGTTTATACTTCTAAAATGAATTATGCTGGCAAAGATATGGGGAAACAGATATTTTCAAATAGTGTCAGTGAGACTGTGAATTACTACAGCTTTTGGAAAGTAATACTCCTTTAGAGACTCTGACAGACAGAAATAAAAAAGCTTCTGTAAGTTGGCAGGTTCAAATACACACACACACACACACACACACACACACACACACACACACACAGATGTTCCAGGAAGAATGGTTGTAGTAGAAGAAAACTTGACACAATATGAACAGTTAAATTGTGGAATATTAAGCAGCCATGCCATAAGTGAGTTTTTTATTCTGGAGAGAATGTCTATGATGCTTTATTATATTAAACGCAATTGTGGCATAATGTATTAATAAGTAATATAATTCTATTTTTAGGAGAAAAAACTATATATGTGCATATATACTTATACATAGTTATATAAGCAAGGAGAAAGTTCAGGAATTGATAATATTGATTACTTCAAAGGGTTAGTATTTAAGGGAGATAGGAGAAATTTATTAACTTTATATATTTCCATTTTCTTGTCTTCTTTATAGCAAGTACATATGCTTTTGTAATCTGAATAAATTTACAACTACAATGTAATTTTTATTTTTATCTACTTATTTTTTTTTAGAGACAGGTCTCGCTCTGTCATCCATGCTGGAGTGCAGTGGCATGATCATAGCTTACTATAACCTTAAACTCCTGGGCTCAAGTGATCCTCCCGCCTCAGCTTCCCAAGTAGCAAGGACTACAGGCATATGCCACCATGCCTGGCTAATTTTTATTTTTTGTAGAGACAGAGTCTGCTATGTTGCCCAAGCTGGTCTCGATCTCCTGGGTTCAAGTGATCCTCCTGCCTCAGCTTCTCAAAGTGCTGGGATTACAGGTGTGAGCCACCATGCTTGGTCAACAGTACAATATAATTTTTAAAGAGTGATAAAGAGTCATATTTTCAGCAAAAACATAGAAGCAAAGACTATAAATTACAAATACTGAGCACCTGGACTTGTGGTTAACAAAAACCTTTTCCAAGTTCTAAGAGACAATACGTTGTTTTTGCTTGTTTCCTCTGTGTGTGGGGTGGAGGCGGGGGTGTGAGGGGAGGAGTGGGAGGGTGGGCCGTAAGAGTTGGGAGGATGGGCATGAAGGCGTGGGGAAGAGATGTTACCCGATTTCTTTTTTTTTTTTTTGCTTTCATTTTATTTATTTATTTATTTTTGAGACAGAGTCTCACTCTATCACCCAGGCTGGAGTGCAGTGGCATGATCATGGCTCACTTGCAGCCTCCATCTCCCAGGCACAAGCGATCCTCCCACCTCAGCCTCCTGAGTAACTGGGCTACAGGCACATACAGCCACCATGCCTGGCTTTTTTTTTTTTCTTTTTGGTATTTTTTGTAGAGACTGGGTCCCACTATGTTGCCCAGGCTGCTCTCAAACTCCTGGGCTCAGCCATAGCACCTGGCTGCTTTTATTATTTTTAAGAAACATATAATAATTGTACATATTTATAGGATACAGTGTGATATCCCTCCCTCCCTCCCTCCCTTCCTTCCTTCCTCCCTCCCTTCTTTTTTTTTTTTTTTTTTTTTTTTGACAGGGTCTCACTCTGTTGCCCAGGATGGAGTGCAGTGGTGTAATCACAGTTCCACTTCCCTAGGCTTGAGTGATCCACCTCAGTCTCCTGAGTAGCTGGGACTACAGGTGTGCACCACGACGTCCAGCTAATTTTTGTATTTTGTGTAGAGATGGGGTTTTGCCATGCTGCTCAGGCTGTTCTTGAACTCCTGGACTCAAGCCATCCTCTCACCTTGGCCTCCCAAAGTGCTGGGGTTACAGGAGTGAGCCACCACACCCGGTCTTGCTTAGACTTCTTTCTAGGTTTTATCCTCTTCTCAGCCAAAGCAAGGGATGCAAAACTCCTGGGCAAAAGAGTTGAACTTCATTTATGTGGAAGTGAATCAGATACAGGTATTAGACCAGGAAATATCACTTCTTAGGTTCTACAATAATAACTTCTACTTTCCCCACAAGAACAAAACTTCCCACTTCTTAATTATTAGAATCATGGTTATTTTTTAATTTGGAACACATAAAAAGCTAATTATGTATAAGAATTTTAAAATGTCACATTGTGGCCAGGTATAATGGCTCACACCTGTAATCCCAGCCCTTTGGGAGGCAAGGCGGGAAGATCGCTTGAGCCCAGGAATTCAAGACCAAAGGGAGACCCCATTTCCACAAAAAACAAAACAAAACAAAACAAGGCACGGTGGTGCACACCTGTTATCCGAGCTTACTTGGGAGGCTAAGGTAGGAGGATCATTTGGGCCTGGGAAGTCGAGGCTGCAGCGAACTGATGGCACCACTGCACTCCAGCCTAGGTGACAGAGTGAGAAACTGTCTCAAAAAAAAAAAAGTCATCTTATATACATCACTTATCGTAAAGGACCACTCTTAGGATCAAATTTGTTTCTTGGCATCTTCAGAAACAAGATACTCTTCTGCAAAACAAAGATCTGTTTGGCTTTCATGAAAAATTCACTCAAATCTTACAGAGTGGAATAAATAAACCATCCTTTAACAAACATTGACAACCTACTATACAAGAATCTACTGTTTTGAGAAAATACAAAAGGATTTTTTAAAAAGTGATTGTCTTGAAAGAGCTTACAATCTAACAAGGAAGAAGAGATGCCTGCAAGTGACTGCAATACAGGATAGGGTGAATTTCAAGCCACATGTGAAGCCCAGAACAATAGCGATGGAAACTAAGAGAAGGCAGAATCAGCAAATGGAGAAGAGAACATTTTGGCTCTTGTTAAGAAGCATGTTCTTACAACGTGAACCATGCTTATCAAAGCTCCTAAACTAGTGAAATTTGTAGGTAATTGTGTCTCCTGTTAATTTTAGCACATTCTTCTTTTACTGAGTATCAGCAAAGTCTATTATTTCGACTTTTCAGCAAGCAATGATGATCAATCTGAAGATTCTTATAGCGTTCAACAAACAAATGAAGAGAAGGGGCAGTGTGGAGAGGAGGAATGGCAATGCAACAGCATACGAAAGGAAAGTGCAGTTTAGCTGGAACCCAGTATATGAAAAGTAGTGCATAATAAGGCTGATGTTGAAATTAAAGGTTAAAGGTGCGATGCTTGGAATCAGACTGCTCCACATTTGAATACTAGCTCTGTCACTAACTGTGGGACCTTGGGCAAGTTACCTAAGTTCTCTAAGCCTCAGGTTCCACATAAATAAACAGAACTTACCTCTCAGGGTAAGTGAATATCAAATGACTCAAATAACATACAGTAAGTGATAATGTTACAGAAAGGGAAAGAGGGAGAGAGAATAAAAGGAAGAAAGAAAGGAAAGAAAGATATTTTTAAATGTTTGGGCCAGATCATAGAAAGTTTTGAAGATTTCATTCACTTAAATTAATGTAATTGAGAGAGAAAAGGAAATTAAAAGAAGAAATTTAGTTATGCTGGAAAGATGGCTTATTAGAAGAAGAAAAATATATATACCCATAGTAAGCAATGCTAAAATGTTACATAGCAACATATTCCTTCAATGTGAACCCTGCTTATCAAGGCTAACAAACATTGTAGCTAATTGTATCTCCTGTTTAGCTACATTTTTATTTTATTGACTATTAGCATAGTCTATTATTTTTGACTTCTCAACAAATATTTGTGACCTGCAATCTCTGTAATGCTGAGCATGCTTCCTAGGACTCAAAAGTTTCTGATCCCTGGCCACGAGAAGAAGCAGTGGTACCCTCACCCCATGGCGTGGGTGCTGTAGTTGTGACCAAAGCAGCCTGGCCTGGGGCCAAGTGTTATTGGGTGTTTTACATCAGATATCTCATGCAATCTAATCTACTGTCATCTCTACACTGATGATGGCCACTGTGTGACTGCCACAACACATTAACCTGGTATTTCCCAGTGTCAAAGGGCCAGGAAAAGTGACAAGTCTGGTTTTTGCTTCCTCATCCTTTATCTGTCCAGACAACCTCAACAGAGTAGGTTTTCCTGGGTAAGCAGATACTGCGGGCTGGCAGCCCCTCAATACTAAGATTCTTTTCAGTGAGATCTCTCCTTGGGGGCTGTTAAAATATGAGATGACCGACATGAAACACTTGGTAAACTACAGACAGCTAAGGGGTTATTGTTCTATGTTAATTTACATCGAAAGCAGTTCCTGCGTTTAGGCTTTTTTGGTATTTACCTATGGAGAAAGGAATGCCAACAGTATTTTGTTCAGGCTAACACTGATAAATGTAATGCTAATGCTAATAATAATAATAGTCCACAAATACTGAGCAGTGACACTGTCCCAGCCAATCTGCTAAGTAATTCACATACATCACCTCATCTGACCCTTAGAACAATCCTTTTACAGAAGGGGTGTTACTCTCATTTCAAAATTGAAGATACAGGGCTGGGTGCGGTGGCTCACGGCTGTAATCCCAGCACTTTGGGAGGCCGAGATAGGCCGATCACGAGGTCAGGAGTTTGAGACCAGCCTGACCAACGTGGTGAAACACCATCTCTACTAAAAATACAAAAATTAGCCGGGCGTGGTGCACACTCCTGTAATCCCAGCTACTTGGGAGGCTGAGGCAGAAGAATCACTTGAGCCTGGGAGGCAGAGGTTGCAGTGAGCTGAGATCATGCCATTGCACTCCAGCCTGAGCAACAGAGTAAAAATTTGTCTCAAAAAAAAAAAAAAAGGTGAAGATACAAAGAATTTGTAAAAGACAGCATTGGGACTGGCCCATGCTTTACCCATTAGGAAACTCTGCCCTCTGGTAGCACATCAGCATCACCTGGGGAAGTTTTCAAAAAATGGATTCCTGGGCCTTACCACAGACTTATAGAATCACACCTTTATAAGCTTCTCGTCACACCCATGGCTAAGGATTAGCATACTAGTTAAAGTGTATTAAGCAGAATAGCATCACTCAACTAACTGAAGATATTCTGGGGGCTTTGGTACACCTAGAGTTTTCATTACTCAAAACTATACAAGGGACAGACTTAAGTTATTTTGACCTGACCATAATACCTACAGAGTGAGGAACAACTGACAAATGTCCGCCCTAGTGAACAAAAGTTAGAGCTGAGTGAGGAAGTATTCATCTGTCAAAGGGAGGTGAAGCCTAAACTGTTCCTCAATTGGAGAAGAGATGGTGGGACACGGTGTGAATGTGCTGATTAATCTTTCGATGCCTGGCACACAGTAAACACTTAATAAATATTTGTTAAGTGGACAAACGAATGAAGGAGTGCCTCCATCCAGCTGGACTCCTCTGAATTCCCTGTTCCCTGTATTTGGTCTGTACCTTTTTTACCTTATTTACCAAATTCTGCCTGCATACCTGCTGTTTGAAACCATGTCTCATCTCTACCAGAAAGTAAGCATTCAGGCGCAGACTTCATCTCTTTCTGAGCTACATCTTCCTTTCTACCCTTACCTAGCACAGAGGATAGCTATAACCTCTAGCAGGGACCCACAATACTCAATGAGTATCTGGCTTGATTCCAACTGTGACCTGATTCGACGTGGGTCCCTGCTAGCCACAAGGGATAAATAAGCCTACCAAGCCTTCAAGAACCATGGTATAATTGTGGCTTGCTGGGAAACAGCAGCAGAGAGAGCTTTGTGTGGAAACCATTAAGAATTCAGTAGACCACACTGGAGGGAAGGCTTCAGGAAGACCACAGCCCTGGGAGGTAAAATGACAAATATCAGATGCTTAAAAGTGAAGGGGTTATGGCAACAAATAAAAGGCACTTTTGTTTCATTTATTCTCTCAGTATGTGTTGTGGAAACCAACTATGTTCCTAAAATTACAACCATAGTTAGGAACACCTTGAAATAGCAAAGACAATGACACAGACCCAGTAATGAATACTGTCTGCTAAAAGGGTCTCATGCCTGACCATAGCACCTGAGACAGTAAATGTACAAGGTCAGGGCATACTACCCTCTCTTCACCACCCACCTTTCTGCTCATTATAGCTTTCGTGTCTTGGTGCTACACACTGCATGGTATCTGGATGGCCCCTGTATCATACTCCTTTTGCTGCTTCCTTCACACCCCATTATCCTACTAGATCCTCATACCCTGCAGTGGATGTAGAGCAAAGATTATCAAGCCCATTTCTTGGATGAGATAAGTGAGGCTCAAATTGTAATGATATGCCTAAGGGCACCAGAAAGTGGTTGAACACATTACAGACAATTTTTAAAATGAACAAATAGAAGGAGGCATGAATCCCCCCAGGAGGAAAGTCTCATTCTCTTGAAATATCCCAGAATTTGATCTTACCTTGCTTACAAATCTCTTTGCACTACGTCACACAACCTCAAAGAGTTGATGTGTTTTCATGGAGCCAAAGTTATGGCAGGGGTTGGGTAAGTCCCAGGGAGGAAGACAATATTACGGAACTGGTTTCATAACATCTGCAGAGTTTAGTCTGAACATTTCCATTCAACAGGTAATGGGCTCTCACAGGTGGCTGGGATTTGCAGACTATAGCACCTCCAGGTCCCCGAGAAACTCAGCCTTGTGCGGCTGATAGGCAGGTAGACACACACAGTCACAGTAGAAGGCAGTGTTGTGTGCACTGCAAAGGGATTAATAGGCAGAGTGCTGATAGCCTATCAAGGGTTTTCTCACCTCAAGAACCTAAAAGGTGATTTACAAACTGAAGTAGAACATTTCTTGGAGTTATTTTATCCATTACAAAAATAAGCATTTTTGAAGATGGAAAAATCTACCAACGACTCAAAATGAAGCTACAGTATTGTTTTGAAATTGCTTTGGGAAGCTGGCAAAAGAAAACCCACCCAGCGTGGAATCTGTTCACGGGCTCTGCGGCTGCATCCGACGGGAGTCTGGGGCTACACGCAGCCAGGGATGGGGGAATGGGAGTGGGGTGGGGTCCAGAGACGATCCAGGGGGCAGGACGGACACACGCTTTTCAGTAAAAGGGACCAAGTCCACTTGGTCACTGAGCCAACTTGAGAGGCTTCCCAGAGAACTCAATAAGGCCAGGAGCCCGTGGCTGAAGAAGGAATACTCCATCGGGATTTAAGCAGGACCAGAAGACCTCACCAGGCTCAGTTCCTCACACAGCCACACCCTTTGTTAATCCCAAAGAGCTCAAAGTCTAACCAACCACCAGTGGTCTGATTTAGAGCTCTTTGCGATTAACAAAGGCTCACAGCGACTGGGTCAGCTGCTTTCCCTTACACTCACAACGCTAACAGTTCTTTCTTTAAAAAGAAAAGTATGTATAGTAGAAAAAGGTAGGGGACGCGAGACTGAAGTGAAGCTGTCTCTGGAGAGTTCGGGGGATCACCCCCCCTCAACCCCCGTCCCCACTCCGGGCGAAAAGCACTGACCGGGACTGGAGATGTCTCTAAGGTCGACGCAGACCCCTAACGCGCGCGTCTACGCCGACCTGGGGCGAGCGGGCCGCCCGGGAGGGCCGGGAGGGAGGCGGGCTGGAGCGCGGGAGGGGCACGGTTCCCATAGACAGGCAGGCGGGCGGTGCCAGAACTTGAGCCGGCCCCAGGGGATGCCCGAACGTCCCCCTCTGTCCTAGCTGGGGTGTAGGTGCAGCCCCAGGGCATCGCCGCGAAGCCCCTGCTCGAGACCTACGGAGATAGTGGGTCCCGAGCCCCACGGGGCGGCCCCGGGTCCGCGGAGTCCAGCGGTGAGCTCAGCCCGAGGCGCGGGACCCAGGCTGTCCACGGCCCCTTCCTCCCCGGGCCATCAGCGGGCAGCAGAACGCGCGGGCCGCTGGCCTGGAATTGCGCCCCTCCCGAGGCCGCGCGCCCGCGCCCACCGCTCGCAGGGGACGCGGCCTCGACGTCCCCAGCCGCCCCACCCGCGTCACCGGTGCCAGGCGGCACTTCCGTGCCCCGCCGTCGAGCCCAGCCCCTCCCGGCGTCTCCCCCGGCCCCCGGGAGCCCGGAACCCGGGTCGCGCCAGAGGCGACGCGTCCCTTACCGCGCAGCGGCTCCGGACGACTCCGCAGCCCCGCGCCGCGCTGGGCATTTTTTCTGGGAAACTTCTCCCGGGGTCCGCAGGGCTGAGCCGGGCGGGCAGGAAAAGCGCTCAGCGCCGGGAGGCTGCGACCATCCGGGAACTTCGCCGAGATGTGGGCCCTCCCCTCCGGCGCCGCCGCCCCCCCGCCGCCCCGCCACATGTGGACGCGCCGCGAGGCCCCGCCGGCCCGCGCCCTGCCCTCCGCGCGCCCGCCTGCCCCGCCAGCAATGGGGCTCTGCGCCTGCAGCTTCGGCCCGCAGAGGATCGCGGCGGGGCGGGATGGTCGGGGCTGGAGTCCGCAGTTTCCTCAGTCCCGCTCCCCTGCGCGGCGAGGGGACCGAGGCAAGAGGACAGGAGTTTGCAGAGGGGCGGGAACTGGAAGGGGAGTCTAGCCCAGGGCCTTTCCCCCCAACTCTTGAATCTTCTCCACCTTCTTGCGGCTGCTGGCGGGGGGATCGGGTGGGGGTGTTCCCTCTGTTCGAGCCGGAAGGAACGCCTTTTCCCACGCTTTCCCGTCTGCTCTCAAAAAAAGAGTGTCCAACTTTCAGATATCTGAAATTCAAATTAATTTTTAAAAATGGATTTAAAATCGGGGTGAACCCCACAGAGGGCCAAGGTCCACACGCATCTGACTCCTGCCCACTATGTGGGGACAACGTGCTGCTCTTCCCTCGGAAAGATGCTGCCTCTCCTCACAAGTCGGTTGGAATTGAGTCGTTTTGCTGCCAGTGGGGATGGATTTATCATCAGCCACCCACTTCCTTAAATACGGTAGGATCCACAGCAAACATGTGGAGAAAACCGAAGCTCTACTCCATTGCCCTAGCTAACTCCTGCTCATCAGGGGGTTCTGACCAGCTCTGAGAGCTGCCACCTCCAGGCCCCAAAGAAAAGTTAACATTCACTCGCTAAGACGCTATAGCTACTGAGTGTGCATTTGAAAGGAATAACAACAAAAAGTTCTTGCTCAGTGTAATAACCATCGGATCATATTGTTAAAATATCAAGGCTGTGTATCCCTTTGAATTAAAGCAGAAAGGTGAGAATATAAAACCACCTTTGCAGAATTATAACTGAGGAAATTGTGACAGTGAAAGAAATCAGACCTACTCTGAAACAAAATTGATAATAGCACTTTCCTGAAAAGATCCCCTTCTTTCCTGGGGACCAGTCTGCCTTTGCAGGACTAACAAATTAGCTGTAAGACTAGAAATTACAGTTTAGGGGTCATGCAGCCTCTGTCTCCAAGAGTCCGAACCTCCCCAAATTGCTCCCGGGGATAACATCACTATTGTAAAACCTAAGATCTGTGCTTGAGATACTTTGCAGACCCTGAACTCAGTGGATCAGCTGACACCACCCAGAATGATAATCTGGCTTAACCAGTTCTCCCATCCCACCCAGGAACAGAAAAGAGCAAGAAAAACTCACTTCGACCCCCTGTGATTCCATCTCCAACCTGGTCAATCAGCACTCCCCACTTCTCAAGCCCCTGCCTGCCAAATTATCTTTAAAAAGTCATCCCTGAATGCTCAGGGAGACTGATTTTAGTAATAATAAAACTCTGGTCTCCCGCACAGCTGGCTCTGCGTGAATCCGTCTTTCTCCATTGCAATTCCCCAGTCTTGGTAAATCGGCTCTGTCTAGGCAGCGGGCAAGGTGAACCCATTGGGCGGTTACAAATAGATGCACTTCGGAATTGTTACACCATGCTGAGGGACCTTAACTCCCGGCTTTCTCTGCTTCTGTACCACTCCAGTGTGCACACGTGTATCTTGATATGCTTTTAACAGATACAATGACCTCTCTGGGAAAGACATTTAGTAACATGGGAAACTCTTCCCATTGGCAAATTTTTGTCTAAATGTACCCATCTTTTTAAGGTCCATTAACTATTTGCCTTTCTTTTAAAACCATTTCTATGGTAATACACATATATTATGTTTTATATAAAATGAAGACAAGCAGTTTAATATATAAATATATTACTCCAGACTTGAAAACATATCAGTAGCACTAACTGTGGTTAGCAAGGAAATTAAACCCAGGAGCTGCCTGGTCCCCTTACTAGTTCTCCAAGCCTCAATTTTTTGCTCCAGTAAAATAGGGATAACAATATTTCCTATCTCCTGGGGTTGTTGTAAGGATTAAATGGGATAATCTCCCTAAAGATGAGCAGAGTAGTGGCACACAAGTGAACAGGAAATCTTATCTTTGGTTCCCTAGTGTTCAGCAGAGCTCCTAGTACCTTGTACGGAATTGATTAAATGTTTGTTGAGATAAGGACTCTCTTGAGTTTGTGTCTCTCAGGAATCTGTGAGAATTTCAATGTTGATATACACAAAAGAAAATTGGGAAGGTAAAATACTCCCCCTTCATTTCATCATTGAAAGCCAAAAATAAATTGTGTTCTGAATTGTCTACTGTTTTAAATCACTCATAAGGCCAGTAATCAGTTGTCAAAAATGGCCCTGCTTCTCTCCCTTCCAATTTTTAACAGTTCTCTCAATTAGGTCAAAACCTAAATAGTATTTTATCAGTGATAGTTTTCTGGTTTTGTTACGGGAAAGGAGATCCAATCCAGACCCCAAGAGAGGGCTCTTGGATCTCTCTCAAGAAAGAATTCAGGGTGAGTTCATAGGGTAAAGTGAAAGCAAGTTTATTAAGAGGGTAAAGAAATAAAAGAATGGCTACTTCATAGACAGAGCAGCCCTGAGGGCTGCTGGTTGTCCATTTTTATGGTTATTTCTTGATGCTATGCTAAACAAGGGGTGGATTATTCACGCCTCCCCTTTTTAGGCCATATAGGGTAACCTCTTGATGTTGCCATGGCATTTGTAAACTGTCATGGTGATGGTGGGAGTGTAGCAGTGAGGACCACCAGAAGTCACTCTTGTGGCCATCTTGGTTTTGGTGGGTTTTAGCTGGCTTCTTTACTGCAACCTGTTTTATCAACAAGGTCTTTATGACCTGTATCTTGTGCTGACCTCCTATCTCATTGTGTGAGTTAGAATGCCTTAACTGTCTGGGAATACAGCCCAGTAGGTCTCAGCCTCATTTTACCCAGCTCCTATTTAAGGTGGAGTTGCTCTGGTTCACATGCCTCTGATGGTTTCAATAAGTTGCCTATGGTTATGAAAGATGTGAACATTTGAGGAAGCTAGGTGAAGTGCATATGGCAACATTTTTACTGTTTTTGCAACTTACTTATAAGTCTGAAATTATTTTAAAAAGTTAAAAAATTAAAGGTAAAAAATATCAAACCCTGAAATTCTTCAACAGATACCTTGTTCCCTTAGGTGATGTCAAATTTCAGCTTAAAATGAAGACATTGAAGTTAGTAGCATGCAAAAGTATTATGCTAAACCTTTGTAGTCATGTATACTTTGATATGAATGAGTTAATAAGAAAAAATGACTTAATGAATGCTGCTTGAAGACTAAGCTAGGCTAGAAATGTTACAGTGATCTTGGGGAAAAGGGAGAAGCGAGGTAGATAGAAGGATGTTGAGATGCCAAACTAGGACAAACTAAGCAGGGCACAATATCATTAAATACATATATTTGCTTACCATTTCATAACTACCATTTTGGGACTTACTTTGACCTCTAAATTAGCTTAGTGGTGCCTTAGAACTTCCCCTCTTATAACAAGCTTTTTTTTATTGTAATTACTTGTTCCCCAGTAGATAGTAGCCCCAGTCTAGAGGGAGAGAGTAGGCAAAGGGACCTGCCTGCCTGGCTCACCGCAGTCTTCTCAGCTCCAGCACATTCTCACTATTCATTACCACTTGATGAATAAGTGAGATGCTTTTACAGAGTACCTCATTGAATTCTTACAGTAACTTTGTGATTTAGATATTTGTCTTCATTTTACAAATGAGAAAACTGTGACTCAGAGAGCTTAGGTAACCTGCCCAAGACCACTCAGCTTGTGACCTTCTAAATCCAGATTATTTTGATGCTAACACCCTTGTTTTAACCACTATTTAATACTGTCTCTTGGCTTTACTTCCTATTATTGTTCCCTCTTTTGAGCTTCTGCTGGTGTGAATGACCTGAATTGACTGGCATCCAGATTCCTTGGTGCCAAATAGCAAAATAAAAAAATATTGTTTCTATTGTTGGAAGGAATTGTTGAGGTTCAGGTAGATCTGGCTAAAGGCTGTTTAACAGCCTGGGTTTTCTCTTCTGCATCAATGCAGGGAGGAAATGGAATGCTATGTGGGACGACAGCACCATGCTAGGCCAGGGATACTGTGAAGAATCAGGATGTGTTGGGAAGGAAGGAAGGAAGGAAGCTGCTTTGCACCTAAAAAATGCTCAGCATATATTTAATAGATATATCCAAAACTGAAAGGACTGAGCTCTTGAGAGCTAGATATTTTACTTATTTACACTACACCGTATTCCAAAAAAAGACTTAAGACAGTAAGAGTTGAACAAGATAAAATTTAAACTTTAGTCTGAGATAGCAAATTTAGTAAATATTTTCACTTTATCATTTTCTTCCCTTACTAAAAATAGTTCTCATTCTAAACAATTCAAATATTCCATAAGCATAAAATATAGAAAGTGAGTCTCCTGCAATCCCATTCACCAGAGATAACCACTAATGGTAGGGTATATATTCTTCCCTGTGTCTTTTTTTCTATGTATTTTTATTTTTCTTCATCAACAAATATTTAATGAAAGCCAGGTGAATGTGATTATATTGTACATCATCTTCTTCTAATTTATTTTTCTTTTTCCGCTAAATAATCTATTGCATTCATTTCCTGTTGCTGTGTAACAAATTACCATAAATTTAGCAGCTCAAGACAACATCCATTTATTATTTCATGGCTCTGTAGAAGTCAGGACATGGTGTGATTCAGTTCACAGGTATCACAGGTGGGCTGAGTTCTTATGTGGAGGTGCTGGAGAAAATAATCCACTTCCAAGCTCATTCAGGTCACTGGCCCCTGTGAATTCAATTCCTTATGGTAGTGGGACTGAGGACCCTGTTACCTTGTTGGCTGTCACCTGTGGGACTGCTCTCAGCTCCTAGAAGCCACCTGCATTCCTTGCAACATGGCTTTCGTCTTCATAGCCAGCAACAGAGAATCTCCCTCATGTGGAATCCCTCTCATACTTCTAGTCTCTTTTGCCTGGAAGAGCCTAGTTCCTTTTAAGGTCTCAGCTGATTATGCTAGGCCCATTGAAGATAATCTCCCTATCTTAAATGCAGCTCCAATCACATCTACAAAATCCCTTCACGGCAGCATCTAGATCAGTGTTTGACTGAACAAGTGAGAGAAAGTGTGCATACACCAGGGGATGAAAATCTTAGAATTCTGCCTACCACAGGTAACAAGGGTTGTCTTTCCATTTCTCTAAATATAAATCAACCTCATTCTTTTTTAAGAACTGCATAGTCTTTTACTGTATAATGTGTCATAATTCAACCAAAGCGCCTCTTAGTGGACATTTATGTTACTTCCAGTTATATGTCTTTTAAAAATTCATAATAAACACTCGTGCTCTTAAATGCTCATGCATCTACATTCTTCTTAGTATCCTGACTCACAGAAGTAACTTCCATTAGGTAGTCAGAATTGCAAGATGGAAGTGTTTGCACTTTTTGATAGATACTACTAAATTGCTCTCCAAAATGTTGGTAGCAGCCTGTACTTCCAATGACAATATACAAAAACGGAAGTAGCTAATTCTTATAAAGAAATTCCCTCATAGACTGTTTCATGCGCAATGGTTAAGAGCATCAGTGCTCAGTGAGGTTGTCTGGCTACCAATCTTGCCTTTTTGATTTCCAGTGTGACCTAGGGCAGGTATCTAAGCCTTAGTTTCTGTATCTGTAATGAGGACAATAATAATGGCACCCCCCTTTGTATTCATTTTGTGTTGCTGTGTAACAAACTACTCTAAAACTTGTGACTTACACACTTATTGTCTCCTAGTGTCTGTGGGTTAGGAATCTGGTAACTAAGCTGGGTGTTTTTGGTTCAGGATCTCTCACAAGGCTGCAGTCAAGGTGCCAGCCAAGTCTCAAGGCTTGACTGGAGGATGAGCTACTTTCCAGTTCACTTGCATGGCTGTTTCAACATTCAGGTCTTCACTGGCTGTTGGCTGGAGAGAGCAGTTCCTTGCCATGTGGATGTCTCCCTGGGGCAGCTCACAACATGGCAACTGTTTTCCCTCAGAGTGACTGAGCAAGAGGGGACACGTGAGATGGAAGCCACAGTCTTTTTGTAACCTAACTTGAAAGTGACATCACATCACTGTGCTGTATTCTACTCATTAGAAGCAAGTCTCTAAATACAACCCACACTTAAGGTAAGAGTGTGGCACATAAATATGAATATCAGCTCGCCCTGGTGATTGAGGTCATCTTAGAGGCTTCCTTCCTTGCTCTTCACTAAGGGGTCGTGGGCCGAAAGTAAGTTAATGCATGTCAACTAATACAAATAGTGTCTGACTTTAATAAACACTCAAGAAAAGTTCATTGTTTTTGTTGCTACCATGACTATCATCATCATTGTCCAGTACTCTCACCCATGTTCCTGTTAGCATCACATTAGGAACCAAAAAGTGGCTAACTAAAGCTACTGTTTGGATTGTTTGGCAGGCAGTCTCCATCAGGAAACAGAAAGCTTCTCAAATGAGGTGCTATAGGAAGGCTTAGTAAAGAAATTGTTTACAAAGGAGTGTAGGGAAAGGAACAAGGGATGGTGCCACGCTGCAGAGCTAGAACGGCAGGGGGCCATTACCACCCTGGGCCTGAAGAGGAGGGGATGTGAACCAGAACTTGGGGAGGGTGGCTTCAGCTCTAGGAATTGCAGCCCTAGATAAGGCAAGAATGATGACAAGCCATGGTGACCCAGTGGAATGAGGGAAAAAGGGGTAAATACCCTGACTTTATTCCTCTCCTGCCAGCTCGCCCATCATGTGAGCTCACTCAGGAGCCAGAGGACAGGAAACCCACAACGCTGTCCATGCAGATCAGCCTCCCTGGCCTGGAACAGGTGGAGAATGGTGACAGTGGCCTGGAGGGGTGAATGGAAAACATCTGGCTTGGGCAGGCACAGCTCCTCCCTAATGGGACTTTCCTGGGAACAGGATACCATGGTTCCTTCATATAAAAGAGGGACTGAAAGGCAGTTAATCCTGAGTTTCCAGGATTGTGGGCAGGGAGGGGTGGTGACAGGAAGCATACCTCCAGAGCTGTTTGATCCAATCATTGATTCTGGGTCCTCCTTACCTTTGGACCAGTGAGAAAGGTACAGGGGTTTAAACTCATAACTGGCAGATCCAGGGTAGATGTGTCAGGAAGCCCATGTGGGCTGCAGGTTTTATTTTATCTGGAGAATGGACTTAATGACATGAAAGGTGTCTGCTTTGCTCCTGTCTTCTGATGCCTGTCATTGCTCACTGGTCAGGTATGAATGAAGGTGTCCGCTGAAGACCTGAGGGGCTGCCAAAGGCACAAGGTTTTCCAGAGGTTGTTCTCCACCCATAACAAGGATCCAGGAGCCTTACTTCAGGAGAGAACGCAGTGCAGCTGGAGGGCCCGAGGAGAAGTGGAGACAATACAATAGCCAAGAAATGGGTGAACCCAGTTGGCTCAAGGCGGGCCTTTCCCTCCTGATGGCTACATTCACAGGGACTCCCTGTGCAAATTGGAGTGTTTTTGAACAGTTGCTTTCATGCTTTAACCCTGCTGGAGGGGAAGACATGGGAGAGGTCAGGAAAGGTTGCATTTACTTTACTGTGCTAATTGATATTTATCAATTAGCTTTTTTATGCTGTGTGAAGATGCAGTTAAAATATGAGTGATCTGGGGACAACTCTTTTTTTTTTTTTTGAAATGGAATCTCTCTCTGTCACCCAGGCTGGAGTGCAGTGGCATGATCTCGGCTCACTGCAACCTCTACCTCCCAGATTCAAGAGATTCTCTAGCCTCAGCCTCCTGAGTATCTGGGACTACTGGCACGTGCTACTGCCTCCAGCTAATTTTTGTATTTTTAGTAGAGATGGGGTTTCACCATGTTGGCCAGGCTGGTCTTGAACTGCTGACCTCAGGTGATCCGCCCACCTCGGCCTCCCAAAGTTTTGGGATTACAGGCATGAGCCACCATGCCCAGCTGGTGAGACAACTCGTTAAAAGGTAATGGGGGCACTAATTAAAACATTCCAAGAGTATTTTGAAGAGCCAAAGATAATAGGAAATTGAGGGATGGGGAATGGAATAGGATAAAAGATATACACACACACAAAGAATACTATCAATTAACATTGACTTAGATGAACTCATCCTCAGGAAGGTTCTCAACATAAATATTAATAGATCCCTTATGGTGGACATTTAGAAGATAAAAAATTAAAATCCATCAGTAAAGAAACGTGGGACAAATCCTCTTTAAAAAATTACTTGTTGCAATGCAAATGCACACACAGGACTAGCACCTCTTAAGAAGCGAACAGCATTGGTTTATTTTTGTTGTGGTTAACACTCAATAGTCCAAGGACAGAAAGCCCCTTGTCCTGCTTCTTCCTTCTGGTAACTTCCTTTTCTCATTTTTAGGGCAAATTGCCAACTGCACCAGCCCAGGGAAAGGCCAAGAAGGAGATTGTTTTGTATTCTTTTAGGTAATGGTCAGTCAGGTGTGGCCACAAGAGGCGATCAGGAGAGGTTCAGGAGAAAAGTTTACCATGATCTCACATCCTAGAAACAGGAGGCACAGCAGGGCCACATGGGAAAGCACCAGCATGGGTCAGGGGCAGAAGGGACAGGATGGGTGGGAGAGCCTAGGCCATGACCTTTTTTGGAGTTTCAGTGGGAAAGGCAGGGCAGTGCAGGGGAAGCAGTTTAAGCCTGGCTAGTTTGAATAATTTTCAAGGGCTCCGAGCTATAGGGATGGTTCCTTATTGCCTGGTACCTGTCCCTGGGATGGCAAAGGCAGAGGAATATTGCCTTTTGGGTATATGGCCAGATAGAAGAGGCATTGTTCTGGATTAGTTAGTTTGCATATCACAGGGTTGTTCCCAGTTGAGCGCTTTTGCTATCTCTAAGATTTGGCTATCCACAGGAGGAGGAGCAGTCTGTCCCTCAGCCAGAAAGGTTTTTAAGATGTCAAAGCATCATAATGTACAGAAAATTAAAAATATAAACAATACAGAGAAGGAAATAAGTATGGACAGAAGATGGTCTTCAAAGAGCAAGTAAGAAGGAATAAAGTATACACTTGAGCCTCAAACAGGAAGGGGCTAGAAAAAACTTGTGAGTGCCATCTGCTTTCCTCCTCTCACTTGCCAGATGAAGAAACTGAGGCCCTGAGGGAGTGGGCCACCAATTTCAAACCAGCTTAAGCAAAAGGTGGCATGTATTGGCTCATGTACATGAAGAGTCCAGAGGCAAAGGTCAGATGGGGCTGGACCCCTCGATTATGTGACCTCATCAGGATTTGGTCACTCCAGCTCACTGGTCCCCATTCTCCATTATGCTTGTCTCTGAATGGGCCCCACTGTCAGACAGGCCCTCTCCTTATGGTGGCCTCGGCAACTCAGGCTTACATTATCCTATTATCTCAGTGGAGAGAGCTTCTCTTTCCTGGCCCCAGTCCTGGACTGAGTCACACTGGACCTTGTGTCCATTCCAGAACCCATCCTCGAGCCAGGAAGAATGCAATATACTGACTGGCCAGCCCAGTCATGTGCCCCCTAGAACTATGGGGAGTGTCTGCCCCACTCAAAACATATGCACTGAGATGGGGAAAGAAGGAGTTCCAAAGGAAATCAGAGATGCTGTTACCACAAGAATGGAACCCATTTTGCCTGCCACCATGCAGATGAGCACTCCTCAACAAGCTAATCACAGAGCTGGGTTCCACCCATTCTGGCACTCTCCTCACACAAAGCGTCCTCCTCCATAGCAGAGCCATTGCAAATCAGTGTGAGGAGAGTGCCAGAATGGGTGGAACCCAGCTCTGTCATTAGCTTGCTGGGGAGTGCTCATCTGCGTGGTGGCAGGCAAAATGGGTTCCATCCTTGTGGAACTTGACTCAATTAAGCAACTCTTCATCTTGCTCACCCTCAGTTGTCCGCTTACCTCATTCTTCCTGGATGTGGGACAAGAACTTGGGACCTACCAAATGGTGGGACTGAAAGAGCTGTAACACAAACAGGGCTAAAACATGACCCCCCCCCCCCCAGTCACCACGTTGCAGGCAATGAGAAGGAGAGAAGATAGAAGGAGAGAAGAGCTGCAGCCCTTCAGGGAGCCCAGACCTAGGAGCTACCCAAGCCAGGGCTGTGATGCCCTCTTTGGGGCTCAGCAGGTCCTGGCATCTCCAAGCTTCCAGGCACCACTGCGTTCCCGGGTGCCCACAATGGAAGCCACTTGCTGTACACCTGGTCCAGCCACAGCCTTGCAGGGAGCCAGTGCCCATGCTAGCACCTGGAGCTGCCTGCCCCACTGCAGTGGCTGGATCCTGCACTTGCTCATTCACATACCCTCACTGCTCCGCACCTGGCTTGCCCCTGGCAGGCGTGGGATCTGGGCCAGTAGTGTGGCCAAGCACAACCCGTCAGGGTGATACTATGCACATTGAAAATGTTTGGAGCTCTCTGGACTAGTGCTTTCCTATGGAGGAAAAAAAAAAAGGAGACTTCCTATGGCTTGGTGATTCCCAGGCATTGTAGTGATGAGCGCCCTCGGAAGGTGGTGCTGGAGGATCAGTTACTGAGGCTGCCTTCCTGAATCCAGGCAGCACCAGCCAGGCAGCGTGAGAGAAAGGGGTTGGGCAGAGCAGCAGCCCTGATGGATGGGGGCTGAGGGACTCAGTTTCTGTGGAGGGCTTATGTGAACTGGACATTTCATGACCTGATCAAATGACAGGCAGGCTAGAGAGGCAGGTGTGGAACACTGGTAGAAAGGTCCTCTTGCAGGAGAGGAAGAAAAGAATGGCTTAAACAGGCAATTAGTAAATGAGGTAAGGAGTGGTGGGCAAATGGGGAATCCCAGCAAGCTTCGAAACAATGGATGTCAGCAGCAAGTTTGGTTCTACAGCACAGTGTGGGCTGTCAATACCTATAAGCCCAGTTTCTTGTTAAGGATCACCGGAGTGATAAGACCTGAGGGCTAAACTGGAGAGAATGGACCCAGAGAGGCTGGAGGGACCAGCTGGGCCAGAGGGACTGACTTCCTGGGAGGAAGGAAGCAGCTCCTGCCTTCTCACTCATCACAGAATGGAACTGGGAAATGAAACGGCCACTTCTGGGCCTGTAGAGAGAGAATGCTCCCCATGGCACCCACCTAAAGGGAGAAAACCGCCACTGCAAACTCTCCCTGATCCCTGAAATCCTGAGTTCCTTTGACATGGTGTCTCATCAGGTACAACAGTGGTTCCACGTGTCTTTTGGCCACAGGAAACTTTCTTAACACAATATGATGTAGAGCACCCAATACCTAAAGCAGATGAAGGCAGAGCTGCTCCTGGAAGGGCAGGGAGGGCTGGAGATAGAAGCTCAAATGCCTGGCCTTCCACAATGGACCCTGAGGCATGGTTTGAGAACAGCTGCATGGAGAAGCAAGCCCATGTTCCTTGATGTGGCATTCACTGCCTTCCTTGACCCTATTTTGTTCTCTCAGCTTGTCCTCAGCCAATTATAGAACTATACATACGCCTCCAAGTACAGAACTGCTTCTGCACATCCAAAGCTGTTTTCATCCTTCTGTGCTTTTGCTCATGCTGTTCCTTCTGCTTGGAATGCCTTTCCTACTGGCTGCCTCTGACCCAGTCTTCAGAATTCACCCGTGACGTCATCTCTTCTGAGAAGCCCTCTGGGCTCCCGTAGTGCTACTGATGTGCCTACACTTGAGAAGCTACCTCCTTCTACTGAGATTCTTTCCACATCTATTACCCCCACTAAACTATAAACTCCCCAAGGCCAGAAATTTCTTAGTCTGAGTCATCCATTCCCATTCACAGTACCTGGCTTAACTGATGCTCTTGTTAACTGAAGCTCTTTTTAATTGATGCTCTTGCATGGGCTTAGTATACAAGAGAGCCTTTCTGGAAAGCAAGTTTGAGAAATTAAGAGAGGAGCCTGCAGTAAAGAGGGAGCAGCACAGTACCTGAGAGGAGTTGGGGGAAGAGAGGAATAAGGGGCTGGGGACAGGAAAACAAGTCATGCCTTGTGGATTTTTGCATAGAATTACTGAGAGTTCACATCAGGTCTTGGGCTTGACATACCTGGCACTCCTGCCACTGATTAAGTTACTGATAAGTATCTCTGGAGAGATGCGCTCCCTGTCTGCAATAGAGGTGTCTTTCTAGGAGTAGGGCAGACTTCTGATTACGTCCCTGAGATGCTGCAGGCCTCCAGGGATTCTAGCCAGCATAATGGACTTTGAAAAGGGAGACAGCTTTGCTGAGAAAGTTAGTTCAAGTCTCTGGGGATGATGATGGGTTGGCTAAGGACTCTGTCAGATCTGTCTGAGACTACTAGCTTGGGAAGACTTCTCTTACTGGAATCATTTGCTAATGGTTAGGGAGGGAGAGATAGAAAAGGTTTTGTGTTATGAGAACCAGATGGATTCCAGGGCTTGCCTTAAAACATCGAATAATCTCTCCACCTAGTTATTATCCATATACAAAATGAGCTAGCAATGCCCAGTTCCCTGCAAAGACAAATGGGACCAGCTCTGCCACTTGCTGGCTTTGTGACCTTGAGCAATTTCTTTAAATTCTCTGAGCCTCAGTTTCTTCATGTGTAAAATGGAGACAATACCAGTATTCACTGAATAATAGCTAATCTTTAGTATAATATCATACTGCTATATTAAATAAGCTGACTACTTGATATCATGACTAACTGTGATGCTGCTCTTCTATAACCAACATTTTTAGTAAAGGAAAAATGGGAAAAAATAAAATGGGGACAATAACTGTATCCTACCTCATTTAATCAAAGAGATAATCCATATAAAGCTCTTAATACAGGGCCTGATATTCGGTAAGCATGCAATAGATATTAGCTAAAATTATTACTGTTAACACATGGAGCTATTTGGGAAAGCCTAACTGAGGATAAAAAGGCAGCTGAACTACCAAGAGGCAAGGATAGCGTAAAGCCTGGCTGCTCAACTCATGGCCCACAGACAAGCAGCATTGGCATCACGGTGAAGCTTGCTGGAAATGCAGGGTTTTGGGTGATACCCCAGACTGGCTGAGCCTGGATCTGCAATTTAACAAGATCCCTAGGTGATCACGCGCATGCACATTAAAGGTCAAGAAACGCTGATGAAAAAGCACTGACATCTCTGGCATTACTAACTGTGTCACTTTGGGCACTTTGTCACTCCTTATGCTTAGTTTGTCATCTATAAACCCTTACCTTGTAGGGTCAGGGCATGCTTAAGTGCCTTGGGTGGTAAGTGCTATTCAGCGCTTGCTATCTGTGCTCTCCAGCCCAGGCTTGGGCCACTGTGGGCCCCTCACAGCCTTACACCTTGGGGCCATAGTTCAGCAGGAGCCAGACTGCCGAATTCACACCCTGGCTCCCTCACCTGGAGCAAGGTGTGGCCGTGAGACCTGCACAGATACCTAACTGTTCCAAGCCTTAATTTCTCATCTGTTAAAATTGGAACAATGGCTGTGCCTAGCTCCTGGGGATGCTGAAGCACGGAGTGAAACGTGCAGCAAAGGGTCAGGCCAAGGCCGTGCTCAAAGCACATTTTAGCCTCATCAATGGGCTGTGTTGAGCAGAGTCCACGCTGTGAGCCAAGTGAGTCCCTGTTCCACAGAGACTCAATGCCTCTTGCTGCCTGACTGATAGCTGCAAGAACTCCCTGCGTCTAGAACTTGGGGACCACGGAGGACAGGGCCCAGACCATTATAGCCAAAGGAGGACTCATGTCCTTTCTAATATTAGTCCTGGAGTAAGAGGAAGCAAATTCCAACCTTGGTGTCTTCTGGAAATCAGAGGGCTTGGATGTGTGGAGATGACTATGTGGAAGAGGCAGTTGGAAAGCCTTTGGAAAAAGTTAAGCATGAGACAACTGCAAGCTGTTGTTCTGTGCTGTCCACCTTGTGGCCAGAAGAGAAGAGAAGTGCTGCTCCCAGCAAGGAGGGTCAGTTGCCTGATCCCTCTTCCCCCTTCCTCCCTCGAACACCACAAGGCCAATGCCACAAACTCCCCTACTGCCCAAACAACCAAGCCATGTGGCTGGGTCCAGAAGTGGGAGAAAGAGAGTAAAGGGTGGTGGCCATGAGGCACGCACCGGACTCCTCTCTTCTGTCCCCCCTTTCCCTCTGCTGGATGCGAGAGTTTCTTTTCACCCCATAATTCCCTCCCACAGGTTTGGGCATCAGCCAGTTTCCACTCTGGCCCCTGACCCCGGGGACCTGATTTCTTGATCACTCTCACATACTACAAGGCAAAAAAAAAAAAAAAAAGTTACTTGTTCAAGGGCATTTTAATATTTTGGGCAGGACAATGCTTGGTTGTGGCTCTGTCCTGTGCGTTGCAGGATGTTTAGCTGCATCCCTGGCCTCTGCCCACTAGATGTCAGCAACACTCCCCGTCCCCAGTAGGTTGTGACAACCAAATCGCTCCTAGTGGAGGACCTCTGGTCTAGGGGTTGGTCACAGCAGACTTTGAAGCTCAATGATGGCTCCAAAAGGCTCCAACATCTCCCAGTTAATCTCTAAGCAGTTTATTTTCTAGTGTTTTGCTCATTCCCCTAACCAAGCACAGAATTTTGTGCTTGGTTATTCAGAATTCTGTAACATATATTCACAATGCTGAATATATATCATCTTTGCTGAGCCAGGACCTACACAGAATCCTGTAAAAGTAAAGCTTGTCCTCAGATAGACAGGTAAGTCCAGTAAGGCCAGCTACTGTTTTCTTCTAAGGGGAGGAGGTACATTACCATGGCCCAAAGGAGGCCCTGCGTGTGGCTTGACTGTGGGCAGTGGTAGGCGAGAGCCTACAGGTGCTTGCTGGGGTTCTTGGCTGTGCCCTGGCTGGTTGTTAGAATGATTCAGGACAAGCCACTTATCTACCTGCAGAGATAATTAGCTTGCCTTGGTTTACACATTTCAGCCCCACTCTCTCTTCTGCAAAATGAGGGGTCTGATTTGGAAAAATCTCTGAGATTCTATAAGTGATCTAAAATTAGTTAACATGCATTCAGTTGAAAGAACTGTTTTTTATTAGAGATTATGATCTTTCTACTTTTCAGTATTAAAATTTCATTTTTTCCTTAAAACGATGATCATAATAAATGATGATTTAAGAAACTGTTTATACTTAGCAAAGTAAGACATTGGAAACCTCATGTTTGTACCTCAAAAAATTATTTTAAATATTTTACATAAAATCTCCATGACTGGGAATCACTGATGAGATGCTTGACCATCCCAGATGTGGAATGGGTGGGACAGTGACTCAGCCAGAGCACACATTGGCATTCCGATGCCTGGCATGGCGTCCAACTTTGGAATCCAGCATCCTTTTATGACAGCCAGGATTTCTCCAACACCGTGGTTTCTAGGATAAAATAAATCTTACCTTCCATTGGGGTCGTTATGTTATCACTGAAATGCATGAGAAAAATTCAACATTCATTTTGACCATGTGAAAGGAAAATAAATCTCCGGAACCCAAAATCACTAAGCTAAGGGAAAAGTCAAGTTGGGAACTATGTCAAGCAAACCTGCCTCCCATTTTAATTTCTAAATAAGATAGCTACAGAGATTAAAGAGATACCTACCTCCCTCACAATTTGCCCACAAGGAAATTCCATGTGGGCCTCAAGATTTTTACCTTATAACAGTTCTGTTGAATTTCACCCTGGCAATGTAGACTAATATAATAGCTGATCTTCACAGGTGCTAGACAGAAAGTCATCCCTTTGCTTACTGGAGACAAATGCATATCTGATTGCTTCCTCTGCCCTGCTGTCTATGTAAAAATGCAGATTCACTGAGCCAGACTCAGTGGAAGGCTGATCAAGGACTCAAAAGAATGCAACCTTTTGTCTCTTATCTACCTATGGCCTGGAAGACACCCCTCCCACCCCAGCCCGCCCCTCCTTCTAGTTGTCCCGCTTTACTGGACTGAACCAATATACATCTTACGCATATTGATTGATGTCTCATGTCTCCCTAAAATATATAAAAGCAAGCTGTACCCAACCACCTTGGGCATATGGTGTCAGGACCACCGAGGCTGTGTCACGGGCGCATCCTTAACTTTGGCAAAGTAAATTTCTAAATTGGTTGAGGCCTGTCTCAGATATTTTGGATTCACAGCAGCAACAAAACAATAGCTACATACTCCACTTTTGATGGTTATGCATACAAAGAGGTCAAATACAGTTCTTCATTGGAACCCTTTTTAAGCTATTAATAGCTGTGGGGATCTGTTGCTTTTTTATTTGTTTGAATTAAATTAAATGGAACAAATACGCATTTGAATATGAACTGGACTAATGCTGAACGAGGGACTGCAGGGAAACTGAGACTGGATGACCCTGGGCTGCTGCCCTCAAAGGAGTTATTATCCAGGAAGGGTTACAAGACAAGAAAACAACTGGCTGCAACCAAGGGGAGGCAGGGGGAACAGGCCTGAGCTGGACTTAGTCGTAGGGTAGGGGTGGGAGATGAGAAGAGGAAGGGGGCAGTTTGAGGAGGCACAGGTCACCGTTGACAGGGGACCAGCATTATGAGAAGAAGTGGCATTAGATGGACCAGAGCGTGTGAGCAATTTGGGGCCTGCAGCTGTGTCATCACCCTAATGTCCCTAGTTCCTGGCAGCCAGTGAATGCTCAACAAATGTTGGAAAAATTAATTAAATAAAAATGAATGGCAGTGGATGTGCTATTAGAATCAAGAGTTGGCCAAGCGTGGTGGCTCACACCTGGAATTCCAGCACATTGCAGGGCTGAGGAAGGCGGACCCCTTGAGCTGAGGAATTCAAGACCAGCCTGGGCAACATAGGGAGACCCCGTCTCTACAAAAAATACAAAAATTAACCAGGCATGGTGGCACGTACTTGTAGCCCCAGCTACTCAGGAGGCTCAGGTGGGAGGATCTGCTTGAGCCCAGAAGGTTGAGGCTGGAGTGAGCCATGATCATGCCAAGGCACACGAGCCTGGGCGACAGAACGAGACTTTGTCTCAAAAAGATTAAAATAAATTAAAATAAAATAGCGTAAAATAAAAAAAGTTACTGAGCACTATGCTTTTCTTGGACTTAAAATTACTGGGAAAAGCTCTCAGTTTTGGAGTGTTAATGTGCATGAAGGGATGCTTCCCCATACTTTAATTAAGTGTCTGTAGTACTTACTGTTCAACACAAGAGGGAGCTGCTGCCCAGTTTATTCAACTAAAATATTTCTGTATGTTTGCTCCATTTCTTCTCAAACTACGGTATAGTATACTGTGCTATCTAACCACCCTCCCCAAATATAGCCCACCAACCAAAAATTCCCATCACAACTCAACAAAAGTATTATCAGCAGTACCTTATTTTCCAAAATGAATTTCTCCTAAATTATATGATTAGTAGGGGAAAAAAGATAATATTTTAAATGTCTTAGGAACAGATACTCGAGGCCAGTCTGGAGTGTTCTTCAGATCCTTAAATAAACCCAGGATTTTCCAGTGATGAAAGCTGTGCTTATAAAAATGCCTTGGGACCTCATGAGGGCAGCAAGGCCAATTCAAGGGTCATTTCCGAGTGCCCAGGTTTTCATGAGGGTCAAAGTCTCCCTGAGATATTGGCTGAGTCCAGGCCTCAGACATAGAATGTGCAATTTATTTTGCAAAGAGCTGCAAAGAATAGACTATGAAGTAGCCAAAATTCAGGTGTGCCTTGAATCAAGATCATCTGACATACCTATCAGAACTTAGGGGAAAAAATAAGCAAATTAATAATTTAATTAATTTTTCCAACATTTGTTGAGCATTCATTGGCTAGGGACATTAGGGTGATGACACATCTGCAGGCCCCAAATTGCTCGCATGGTCTGGTGATTTTGAAAATCATATTTTCAAAAATATGATTTTTGAAAATTTCTTGCTTTACTAAAGGATTCTCTTCAGAAATTTTTCCATAGCAAACTCCCTAGTATTGTACATTAAAAAAACTTCAATTACCAAAATCGAATCTGCATACTATTGTTCAGAGTCACCATTTCTAGCAAATAAAGGGTGCTGTTATCATCTAAAAACAGCCCACTATAAATGCCAGTGTATAGTTCATTCAAATGTGGGAGGTCGCATTACTAAGGTAAACAGAGATCAGTGTGTCTTTAGTGATCTGAGAATGAAATCAAGAAAAGAAAGAGCTTAAAGTGAGAGAACATTTTCCCAAATCACAGTCAAATTCAGTCTTTGTTAAGGAATCTATTTTTCATCTTGAAGAATGAAAACAATTCCTTTGGTCTCCCTAGAATGGTATCATTATTAATGATTCTTTTTGGAACAAGTCACAGCTGTCTGTGATCCCCATTGGCCAGACAGACCCTCCCATGTCTGGATGTCCATGTTTATGTATCACCTTCTCTCCCTTCTATTGATGTCTCATACTCTTCACTTCCTGGGGGCGAGGACCATGCCTTCTTGACTTCTATGTGACCAACAGAGCCTAGTGCAGGCTGGTGGTGAGCAGTTCATTCGTGTTTAGAAAAAATCACAGCCAGGCCAGGCGTGGTGGCTCATGCTTGTAATCTCAGCACTTTGGGAGGCCGAGGCGGTGGATCACCTGAGTTCAGGAGTTTGAGACCAGTCTGACCAACATGGTGAGCCCCTGTCTCTACTAAAAACACAAAAATCAGCTGGGCGTGGTGGCGGGCGCCTGTAATCCCAGCTACTCAGGAGGCTGAGGCAGAAGAATCGCTTGAACCCGGGAGGCGGAGGTTGCAGTGAGCCAAGATCGTGCCACTGCACTCCAGCCTGGGTGACAGAGCGAGACACTGTCTGGAAAAAAAAAAAAAAAAAAAAACACAGCCGAGGGGAGAGTGACTGATAAATAAAGGATGAAGAAAATGGGACGTTTCATACTCGTACTTAAAGGTTGTGTGTTTTTGTTTGTTTCTGTTGGTTGGTTGGCAAATTTTAATTCTCTGCTCAAGAGGTAGCAGAGAGTGTTGAGGAGTATGGACTCAGACGTCTTGAGTTCAAATCCCAGCTCTGCCACATCTATCTGTGTAGTCTTGGGCAAGAGTCTTGTCTTTGCCATGTCTCAGTTTCTTCATCAATAGCATGAAGCTGCTGCTGCTGCTGCTAAGACTTTCCACATGGGGTTTGTAATTTATAAAGTACTCAAAACAGTGTCTGACACAAAGTTAATACTATTAGTATTTATAAAACAGAATAATTATATTTAATGGGATGTAGTCAAGTGTACTTTGATTCATTAAAAGCCAAACAGGCCGGGCGCGGTGGCTCATGCCTATAATCCCAGCACTTTGGGAGACCCAGGCAGGTGGATCACCTGAGGTCAGGAGCTCAAGACCAGCCTGGTCAACATGGTGAAACCCAGTCTTTACTAAAAATACAAAAATTAACTGGGCATGGTGGTGGGTGCCTGTAATCCCAGCTACTCAGGAGACTGAGGCAGGAGAAAATCGTTTGAATCCGGGTTGGGGAGGTTGCAGTGAGCCGAGATCGTGCCACTGCACTCCAGCCTGGGCGACAGAGCGAGACATTGTCTCAAAGAGGAAAAAAAAAGCCAAATAAATCTTTAAAAAATATAATGGAGATGGGATGATGAAAATTTTCTGGAATTACACAGTGGTGATGGTTATACCATGGCTCACTGAAGCCACGACCTCCCAGGTTCAAGTGATCCTCCCACCTCAGCCTCCCAAGAAGCTAGGTCTACAGACCGGCACCACCACACCAGGCTCCTTTTTTGTTTATTTGTTTGTTTTGTAGAGACAGGGTCTCACTACGTTGCCAGGGCTTGTCTCAAACTCCTGGGCTTGAGCAATCCTCCCACCTTTGCCTCCCAAAGTGCTGGGATTACAGGTGTACATTCCATTTCAAATCTTCCTTTTCACTTTGCTGTACTGTCAGTATTTCCTCATATCAGTCATTTTTTTCTACCATGTTTTTAGCAACTGTATGTTTACATGGCAAGGGGGATTGTAAATGATCAGTTATTGAAAAAGTGAGTTAATATGGGAAATAATAAAAATGACACATACCTACACGCTTCATTTTAAACTCAAACAAATGTACATCCATTCCCCAGTCCTTTGGCTCTAGACCGAAAACCCTTTCTTAGTGGGTGGGTTCACAGATTCAAGTTTCTTATATAAACCATATCCATAATATCCAGTTTTGATCTCAGTAGAATGGTTGGAGAATGTACAAAATATTTAAAGGCACTCAATGCAACCTCCTAGATTGTTGGCAAAGTTTTCCAGGCTCTTGCTAACAAATACAACTGGCATAAACAAATGCTTGGAATGAATGTATCTAAGTCTTGGGCAGACAAAGCTCAGATATGCTGCTGAACTTTTCAGAGAACAAATATGCAGATTTTCCAAAAGAGTTGTGTCAGTTACTAGTGTTTTATGGGACAGTGGAGAATGTCAGTTAATTCATTTAGTGGGGCTGGGAGAGCATCTGCCCTTTACACTTAATGGATGTGAAATAATTCGTTACCTAATCCCTTGTGGTTGGGGATTCTGGTGGCTTCCAGTTAAGTCTTCTCAATTTTGTACAAATCCATGATGATCTTGGGATGTATCCCTGGAGGCGTAATAAAGTTTTATGCTTGTATGTGCATAATTGTGCATGCACACACATGTCATGTCTTTGAGACATATTGTCAGATTACGTTCCCAAAAGATTGTGCCAGTTTATACTTACTGCCATCAGATTGTAGGAAAGTGCCATTTTAATGCTCCCTTTTCAACATTGAGTTCTATAATATGATTTAAAAACCCACAAAACTTGTTCAGTGTGATAGGTGAAAATTTAAATTGCATCTTGTTTTGGTTTGCATTTTCAAATTAGATATGAATATTTTCCATTTAAAACATTATATTTCTTCGTGAATTGATGAACATATACTGTGCTCATTTTTCAGTTCAGATGTTTGTCTGTGTCTTGTTGATTTGCATCCACTCTTTGTAAGTTAAGGTTATCAAACCTCTCTCCATCATTTACAGCAAAATGGTAACATTATGTTTACTTCTGTCATTCAGCAAGAGTTGGAAATACAAGCTTATTTAAATATAAGCCTAAAGAAAACATACCTTGAATTTTAACATTAAATACAGATACTTTTTAGATAGTTTAAATGTTTTTTATCTTCATTTGGTAAATTAGTATGAGGCCCAAGTTCACAATAGTAGTTTGTATATTCTTGGAACTTCTTGGGTAAATGATTACAGCATAGCATAAGGTATATAACCCATCAGATCTTTTCAGCGATTGCATAATAGTTTACTTCCTCTGTTTAAAAGTATTAATGACGTGGAGCACTTTGTATGGGTCTTATTTTCAGACTCTGCTGTTTCTTTTGCCTTTCAGAAAAATCAGCGTTGAATTTAAATATCTTATGCCACATCTATTAATAGACCCTAAATCATATTTTGCAGGAAAGAAGGATGAAGAGGGAGATATTTATGTTGAGAGTTCAACCTCTAAATTTGTCTTCATGGCTGAATTTGGGGATCAGTTATAAAGAGATATGTGTCTTTGTCTAGTGTACTTTTAGGTTATTCCATGTATTTATTAACCCAGTTATTTATTCTTGGAGGTTATTACTTTACAGCGTCTTTTGAAACTCTGTCATTAAAAAAATTTAGACTGCTTGTTTGAAACACTGTGTAACATAAAAGGCAAATGTTTGCCTTAACATTGTCCAAGTAAGTAGCCTAAGAATTGAGATGGCTATGGATTAGGGATAGTTTCAACCTCGTTTTGTGATATCTTGGATGTTCTGCCTTCCCCCAACATGCACACAGCTTGGGTAGAAGGGAAATTGCAAAATTAAACAATCTCACAGAGTTTTGCAACTCCAGAGAGCTTTGAAATCCTGATCTGTAGACTTAAAGTGGTAGCAGAGCTCTTCCAGGCTGGCAGTGGAGTCCACCTGGGATAACTTCTTCACATGGATGTGAACTTTTCTTTTGTTAACAAATGAAAAAGTGGCTCCCATTGAAGCTGCAAGACCAAATTTTATTTTGGGGAGTGGAAAGAAAGAGATAAGGAATCAATGGTGTAGAGTTTGGTGTCTTTGACCCACAGAATGATACCAGTCTGTATCTTCAGCCTCTGTGTTCAGCATCATTGGCTCATATATGGTGGTGGCAGCTCTGCTTTCCCAGACTTACAGATCATTTGAGTGACATTGATCAGATGTGGGCCATGATGCTAGAAACTCTACTTTGTCTGTACCATTTGAGCATTCCTTCCTTTGGGCCCCTGTTTTTGTGCACTGTTCAGTCTAAAAGGTGAATGGGGAGGATATTGTTCATTCCTTCACATTGTCCTTTCCTAAGCTTCCACATGGCACATCATCGTAGATTGTCATAGGGTCCCACTACAGAGTCCACTGCCAACAGCACACTGAATCTCTGCTGCCCACCCGGGGTCCCATGGCTCGCTGGACACCATCCACACCTGGCCAGGATTGCTGTTCTGCACTGACCCCAGACCACCTAGCTTCAGGAGGCCCCTAGAGGAGGGTTTTGGAGGAGCACTGCTTGGTCATTCTGTCAAAGTGCCCGTCCTTGGATCACTTGGTTTTTCTTAAAGTGGAAAGTCAAATTATTTCTAAAAAGGAAAAAAGCATCCTATCCTGTAATAACTTTTTCAAAAGAGACATTAGATTACTATATTGTTCTTTTTTAAGTTAGCTAATAAATAGGGTAGATGAATAGAGACTGTCTCTACCTCAGAAGGGTTGGTGGTGCCTTGCGATATTGGGAGTAATATTATTCTCCCCCCAACCACCGGTTATTAGGAACAGTATCACATGGGAGGTGAACACCCCCTGCGATAATGGGAATTATATTATACTCTCCTCCCCTAAATATTAGGAACAATATCACAGAAGGGGTGTACACTTCCTGTGATATTGAGAGTAATATCATCCTCTTCCCCACTGAATATTAGGAACAATATCACAGGGGGATGTACACCCCCTGGGATATTGCAAGTAATATCATCCTCTCCCCCCCAGGATATTAGGAACAATATCAGTAATATCATTCTCTTCCCGCCTGGATGTAAGAAACAATATCACAGGCTGGGTTTACACCACCTGCAATATTGGGAGTAATATCATCCTCTTTCCCCCTGTATATTAGGAGCAATATCACAGGGGGTGGTGTGCACCCCCTGAGATATTTATAGTAATATAATCCTCTACCTACCAGGATATTAAAAACAATATTACGGAGTGGTGTGTACACCCCTGCGAATTTGGGAGTAATGTTATCCTTTACCCCACCTGGATATTAGGAGCAATATTATGGGGCAGGGTATACATCCCTGCGACATTGGGACTAATATAGACCCCCCCCCACCGCCAGATATTAGGAACAATATCACAGGAAAGGTGTACACTCCTTGAGATATTGGGATCAATACTATACTCTTCTCAGTTGGATATTAGGACCAATATCACAAAGGGGGTGTAGACCCCCTGCGATATTGGGAGTAATATCATCCTTTCCACCCCTGGATATTAAAAACAATATTACCGTGTGGTAGTACACCCACTTCGATATTGGGAGTAATATCATCCTCTCCACTTCTGGATATTAGAAATAATATTATGAAGGGCGTGTACACCTCTAAGATATTTGAAGTAATATCATCCTCTCCCCACCTGAATATTAGAAACAATATCACAGGAGGGGTGTACACTCCCTGCAATATTGGGAGTAATATCATCCTCTCCCCTGCTGGATATTAGGAACAATATCACAGGATTGGTGTGCACCTTCTCCAATATTGGGAGTAATATCACCCTGACCCATCTGGATATTAGGAACAATATCACAGGGGCGTGTAAACGCCTGCAATTTTGGAAGTGTTATCATCCTCTCCCCATCCCCCCGACGTTAGAAATAATATCACAGAAAAGGTGTACACTGCCTGCGATATTGGGAGTAATATCATCCTCTCCCTCATGGATATTTGGAACAATATCACAGGAGGGGTGCACACCCCCTGAGATATTGGAAGTAATATCATTGTCTCCCTTCCTGGATATTAAGACCAATATATCAAGGTGGGGTGTACAGTCCCTGTGACATTAGGAGTAATGTCATCCTGTACCCCACTGGATATTAGGAACGATATCATGGGGGGGGTGTCCACCCCCTCCTATATTGGATGTAACAAAATCTTTTCCCCCTCTGCATATTAGGAACAATATTTCAGGAAGGTGTACACCCCCTGCGATATTGGGAGTAATATCCTCTTGCGTTCTGGATATTAGGAACAATATAACAGAGGGGGTGTACATACTTAGCGATACTGGGAGTAACATCATCCTCTCCCTCCTTGGATATTAAAAAAAATTAAAGGGGATGTACACCTGCTGCAATATTGGGAGTAATATCAACCTTTTGCCCCCTGGATATAGCAACAATATCATAGGGTGAGTACACGCCCCTTGCAATATTGGGAGTAATATCCTTTTCTCCCCCCTGAATACTAGGAACAATATTACAGAGGAAGTATACACTGCCAGCGATATTGGAAGTAATATAGTCTTTGCTCCTTCTTGATATTACGAAAAATATCACAGGGAGAATGTACACCAACTGCGATATTGGTAGCAATATTATCCTCTTTCCCTCTGGATATTATGAACAATATCACATGGGGTGTGTACACACCCTTCAATATTGGGAGTAGCATCAGCCTCTCCCTTTTTTGGATATTAGGAACAATATCACATGGGGGTGTACACCCCCTGCCATATTGGGAGTAATATAAGCCTCTCCCTTTTTGGTTATAAGGAAAAATATCACAGCGGTAGTGTACAGCCCCTGCAATAGTGCAAGTAATATCATGCTTTTTGCCCCTGGATATTAGGAAGAATAACATGGGCGGGGGCGGGGGGGCGGACATCCCATCCAATATTGAAAGTAATATAGTCCTTTCACCTTCTGGATATTAGAAACAATATCACGGGGGGGGTTGTACACCCCCTGCAATATTGGGAGCAAGATGATCCTCTTCCCCCTGGATATTAGGGACAATACCTCAGTGGATGTGCATGCCTTGTGCGATATTGGGAGTAATATCATCATTTCCCTCCCTAAATACTAGGAACGATATCAGAGGGAGGGGTGTACACCCTGCACGATATTGGGAGTAATATCTTCTCACTCCCTGGATTTAGAAGCAATATTATATGGGGGGGTGTACACCTGCAGCGGTATTGGGAGTAATATCATCCTTTCCCCACCTTGAAATTAGGAACAATAAAAAAAAGAAGAAATTAAGAACATCATCACAGTGGGGGTGTAAACACCCCATGATATTGGGAGTAATATCCTATTTACCTGTTTATTAGAAATTGTATCACAGTAGGAGTTACACCCCCTGCGATATTGGGAATATCATATCCTCCCCCCCAGATATTAGGAACAATATCACAGTGACGGTGTACACCCCCTGTGATATTGGGAGTAACATCATCTTCTCATCCCCTGGATTTTGAAACAATATCACAGGGGGTTGTACAACTCCTACATATTGGGAGTAATGTTGTCTCCAGAATTGGCGGGTTCTTGGTCTCACTGATTTCAAGAATGAAGCCGTGGACCCTCGCGGTGAGCGTCACAGTTCGTAAAAGCAGTGTGTTCAGAGTTTGTTGCTTCTGATGTTCGGATGTGTTCGGAGTTTCTTCCTTCTGGTGGGTTCGTGGTCTCGGTGGCTCAGGAGTGAAGCTGCAGACCTTCCCAGTGAGTGTTACAGCTCTTAATGGGGCTCGTCTGGAGTTGTTCCTTCCTCCCGGCGGGTTCGTGGTCTCGCTGACTTCAAGAGTGAAACTGCAGACTTTTCAGTTAGTGTTACAGCTCATACAGACAGTGTGGACCCAAAGAGTGACCAGCAGCAAGATTTACTGCAAACACCAAAACAGCAGTGTGCAAAGGAACCTGAGCAGTTTGCCACTGCTAGCTGGGGCAGCCTGCTTTTATTCCCTTATCTGGACCCACCCACATCCTGCTGATTGGTCTATTTTACAGAGAGCCGATCGGTCTGTTTTACAGAGAGCTGATTGGTCCATTTTACAGAGAGCTGATTGGTCCGTTTACAATCCCTGAGCTAGACACAAAAGTTCTCCATGTCCCCACTAGATTAGTTAGATACAGAGTGTCGATTGGTGTATTTACAAACCTTGAGCTAGATACAGAGTGCTGTTTGGTGCATTTACAAACCTTGAGCTAGATACAGAGTGCCAATTGGTATATGCATAATCCCTTAGCTAGACATAAAGGTTCTCCAAGTCCCCACCAGATCAGCTAGACACAGAGTGCCCATTGGTGCATCCACAAACCCTGAGCTAGATACAGAGTACTGATTGGTGTGTTTACAAACCTTGAGCTAGATACAGAGTGCTGATTGGTGTATTTACAATCCCTTAGCTAGACATAAAAGTTCTCCAAGTTCCCACTAGACTGAGGAGCCCAGCTGGCTTCACCCAGTGAATCTCGCACCGGGGCCGCAGGTGGAGCTGCCTGCCAGTCCCGCGCCCTGCGCCCGCACTCCTCAGCCCTTGGGCAGTTGATGGGACCGGGCAGAGCAGGGGGCGGCGCTTGTCGGGGAGGCTCAGGCCACATAGGAGCCCATGGTGGGCGGGGAGGGGGGACACTCAAGCATGGCGGGCTGCAGGTCCCGAGCCCTGCCCTGCAGGGAGGCAGCTAAGGCCCTGCGAGAAATCGAAATCGAGCGCAGCGCTGGTGGGCCAGGGCTGCTGGGGGACCCAGGGCACCCTCCGCAGGGGCTGGCCCAGGTGCTAAGCCCCTCACTGCCCGGGGCTGGCTGGCTGCTCCAACTGCGGGTCCCGTCAAGCCCACGCCCGCCCAGAACTCCAGCTGGCCCGCAAGCGCGGGGTGCAGCCCCGGTTCCCACTCGTGCCTCTCCCTCCACACCTCCCTGCAAGCCGAGGGAGCCGGCTCTGGCCTCAGCCAGCCCAGAGAAGGGCTCCCAGGGTGCAGCGGCAGGCTGAAGGGCTCCTCAAGCTCGGCCAGAATGGGCCCCAAGGCCGAGGAGGCACCGAGAGCAAGCGAGGGCTGCCAGCACGCTGTCATCTCTCAATATCATCCTCTTCCCCTCTGGATATTAGGAACAATGTCACGGGGGAGGTGTACACCTTCAGCGATATTGAGAGTACTATCATCCTCTCCCTCCCTTGATATTAGGAACAATATCACAGCGGGGGTGTACATCCCCTGCACTATTGGGAGTAATATCATCCTCTCTCCCCTTGGATATTAGGAACAATTTCACAGGAGGGGTATACAGCCTCTACGATATTGGGAGTAATATCATCCCATCATTCCTGGATATTAGGAACAATATCATAGGGTGGGTGAACCCCCACTGCGATATTAGGAGTAAGATCATCCTCTCACCCCCTGGATATTAGGAATAATATCCCAGGAATGTTATACACCCCCTGTGATATTGGGAGTAATGTCACTTCCCCCTGCTTAGATATTTGAAACAATATCACAGAAGAGGTGTACACCCGCTGCGATATTGGGGGTGATATCATCCTCTCCCCCCCGGATATTAGGAACAATATCATAAGGGGGATGTACACCTTCTGCAATATTAAAAATAATGTTATCTTCCCCCCTCCTTGTGGGGACAGTTTTTCTTCCATGCCCCCAGGCTTGGGCTCCTCCTTCATGCCACTGGGGCAGCGTGTGCCATTTTCCTGGAAGAACGCTTTTCGTATTAGTAGAAACAGGCCTTGTTTGTGGAGGAGGAGGTTGCATGGGGCATGGGATTCCAAGTAGTATTTCAGGGCCCGGGTTTAAGTCTCAGTTCTGCCATGTCCTAGGGCTATGACCTTAGGCAAAGACTTCTGCGACTCAGTTACTCATCCATAAAGTGAAGATAACAAGACTACCTTCTGCATGGGGCAGTAAAGGTTAAAGGAGGTATTGCCTTAGATGCTTGGCCTTATCCCTGGCTAAACTTTGTTGGATTCAGAAGAGTGAAATATAAGACTTTGAAGAAATTGGGGCCAGGTGAGGTGGCTCACACCTGTAATCCTAGCGTTTTGGGAAGCCAAGGCGGGTGGATCACTTGAGGCTAGGAGTTGGAGACCAGCCTGGCCAACATGGCCAAACCCCATCTTTACTAAAAATACAAAAATTAGCCAGGCGTGGTGGCTCGTGCCTGTAATCCCGACTACTCAGGAGGCTGAGTCAGGAGAATTGCTTGAACTCGGGAGGCAGAGGTGGCAGTGAGGTGAGATCAGCCTGGGTGACAGAGCAAGACTGTGCCAAAAAATAAAAAAGAGGGCGCTCATCACAGGCCTGGGCCTCTGTGAGAACTGGTTCTCAGGCATTTTTCAGCCATTAGAGGTCTGGTTTTCCCAGCCCTGTGAGTAATCTCTGTTTATCAGCCCCTCAGCTGCTGGTTTGGAGTTGGCGAGCTCTGGGGGTGGAAGAGCAGCCAGGCTCATAAGCCTCCGTTCCCTACTAGAAGTGGGTCTTGGCTATTTACTTCTCCCTACCTTAGGAGTGCCCTGATCCCCTTACACAGATTTAAATGTACAGCAGGTACTTGAATAATGTCATCTTGCTATAACGTTGATGAGAAAAAACTAATTGATTTCTGATGGGGGCCACTGTCTGTGTGGAGTTTGCATGTTCCCCTTGTCTATGTGGGTTTTCTCTGTATACATCAGCTTCCTCCCACATCCCAAAGATGGACATGTCCACATGGTCACCGCCTGAGTGTGTGTGTGGGTGTGTGCGAGTGTGCCCTGTGATGGGTTGGCATCTGGTCCAGGGCTGGTTCTCATCTTGCGACCTGAGCTGCTGGGATGGTGTCTTAGTCTGTGTTGCTATAAAGAAATGCCTGAGGCTGGGTAATTTATAAAGAAAGGGTTAATTGGCTCATGGTTCTGCAGACTGTACAAGAAGTGTGGTGGTGCCAGCTTCTGCTTCTGGTGAGGGCCTCAGGTGGCTTTCACTTATGGCGGAAGGGGAGCTGGTGTGTGCAGATCATGTGGAGAGAAAGCAAGTTGGGGAGGCATCAGGCTCTTTTTAAAAACCAGCCTTTGGTGGTGGGGGGTGGAATTATCGTGGGAACTAATAGAGTGAGAATTCACTCATTACCATGCGGACAGCACCAAGCCATTCATGAGGGATCTACCACCATGACCAGACACCTCCCACCAGGCCCCACCTCCAGCACTGGGGATCAAATTCTAACATGAGATTTGGTGGGGACAAACCATAGCCAACCATACCTGCTGGGCTCTGCTGCCTGAGGCCCTTAACTGAAACAAGTGGTCAATAGTCCTCTTGTTTGTTTTTATTAATCTTTCTTAAATGGATGTGCAGCTCCCATTTATCTCAGTGTTTAATATTAGAAGTGTTTTGGTCTTTATTTAGAAGTTTGGTGATGTTTTTGTGACCAGAAATAGGCCATAGGAACTTAACTGTTGTTTACATCAATTAGCCTGTAGCAAAATTGGTTTTGTTATACAGTGGACAGTTGCAGTTTCCAAGAACCTATTGACAATGTTAAGTGCAGATTTACTATATATGTATTTATTAATTTATTTTGTAATTGTTTTCAGCAGCAGCCTTTATCTAAAGCTCACTGGCCTACCATTGCCAGACACGGCATTGCTAGCCATATTTTTTCCACTTTATTCTTTTATCCACTTGGAATATGTTTATGTGATGAATCTTTGCTCTACTTCAAATCCTCTCCAGACATGACCTTTTTTGCACAGTCCAGCCATATCTTATTGCTTCATAATAGCACTGTGGACTCTTCCTTAAAGTGGGGGCTGTGTTGGAGCTTGTCACTGAGAAGGGCTGGGCTGGCAGGTCACCCAGCGTCTCTCTACCCTACAATTTAGTAATTTGAAACAACATTTATCACCTCAGATTCTGTCAGTTAGGAGGCTGGGTCCCCAGCCAGGAGCCTGTCACAGGCTGCAGGGAGGGTGTCAGCTGGGATGTGTTCACCTCAGATACCACCAGGCAGGGCCCCTTTTTCTCACTGGCCTGGTTCCTGGGGGTATTTGGTCTCTCATGGGCTGTTGGCTGGAGCTGCCCCAGGTCCTCGCTGCAAGGGCCTTTCCATAGGGCAGCTTGTGAGACATAGGGCAGCTTGTGAGAACCAGGGGTTGGGGGTAGGGGCGAGAGACAGAGAGAGAGAGAAAATTTCTATTTTCACAGTCTCTCACGACCTAATCTCACCTTTAGCAGACTCTGGGGGTTAGTCGCAAGTCAGTAAGACACAAGGAGGGGTCAGGCAAGGCCATGAGCTCATGAAGGCAGGATGCTTGGGGCCATCTTGGAGGTCGGCCCACCTTACCTCTCGGGGCTGGCCTTGTTTTCAAGCATGCTCTCCTGAGGTGCCAAGAGGGCTACTGGCAACTCCAGGCTGGGGCACCACAGCCCAGCACCCACAGCAACTCTGTCCCAAGGTGCCTCTCACTGGGCCTGCTTGAGTTCAGTGCTCATCCTGTGGTCAGGTGGAAGGAAGGTGCCAGTAGCCTGTGGTCCTCATTCATCCTGGAGTCTGAGGGAGGGCTATCCAGAAGCCGAGAGGATGGAACAAGTAAGGAGAGTTCTCAGAAGGAGAATCTCATTGCCAGGAGGGCCATGGGTTCCAGACAGGCAGAAACAACCTAGCCATCTCCACCAGGTTCCTGTCGGTCGGGCTGTTGTTTAGGACTGGCCTCTTTCTTACCCAGGCCTCTTCAAAATGCTCTTATTTTTCAGCTCCTAAATATCATGACCAAAACTTGTGACTGATTAAAATTGCATTTATGATGCAGTTTAATTTGCAATGTTAATTGTTTCTGCCCCATAACATGGCATGCATTTATTCCAGTCATCATATGTATCCCTCAGTGAAGTTAGGTCACTTTCTTCTTGGCTGTACATACTTTTTAGGTTAGGATTGTTCCTGGGTATTTTATGTTTTTATGGCTCCTGTGAAAGGGACTTAATTTTTATCTTTTCTGCCCAGTTATTGATATAAAGGGAAGCTATTTGATATCATAATAGTTTTTCTAATAATTTTCATGAAGGCAAATAAGGATGAATTTATGTCTTTTTGTTTCCTTGTCTAATGCAGGTCCCATCCGGTAACATTAACACTCTTCAGCACCCCTGTCTGGTCCACAGAGCGCATCCAGCCTTTAACTCATAGTCACGATGCTGGTTATAGAGCTGAGATGTATGTGTGTGTGTCTCTTGTTCAGTTGGAGTGGATGTTGACTTTATTAAGTGTGGTCCTGAGGCACTGAGGTCAGTCGTACATGCAGATTTCTAAGGTTTACACTGTGGCCTTGTCTCCACTTGGCCATTGTAACTGTTCCCGCGTGCCTGGTAAATATCCACACGGGAGATGGATTGTAGTTTTCTTATTCTGTGGCATCATTCTCAGGTTTCTGTGCATACTTTAAAAAGTCTGTACTCCTCCGTCCTTTTATTCGGCCCCCTCTCCTGGTGTTTTCTAACTTTTCTACTTGAATGTCACCTGCATTTCAGTGGGCAAACAATTGCCTGTGGGCCAAATCCCATCCACTGCCTGCTTTTGTAATAAAGTTGTGCTGGGACATAGGCCTGATCATTTGGTTACAGATCATCTGTGGCTGCTTTCTTGCTACAGTGGCAGAGTTGAGTAGCTGTGACAGACTGGGTGACCCTCAACCCTGAATTATGTATGGGGTGGACCCCTGCATTCTTCTCTTTGACTGCCCCCCGCCTCACCTCTTCTGGGCCTGGCCTATGAGCCTCTTCAATCTCAACGGCAGGACCCTTGCTTCAGCAGTTTTCTTACCAGGCAAAATTCCTGCCCTTACAGGGTGTGCACTCTAATGGGGAGAGAAAGGCAGTGGAAAACAAGTTAGTAAATTGTACAGTAAATGAGAAGTGGGGAGAGAAGAGTCCAGCAAGGAGGGCTGAGAGGAGGCAGGAGGGTGCACAGGCCTCACTGAGTTTCCTCTGGGTTTGTGCCCAGCCTGGCAGCTCCTCCTCCTGTGTGCTGGCCCCTATCCCTTCCTCACGGGGACTGGACTCTCTGCACCCCTCCTTCCTTTGTCTCCCTAGCTAGAACTGGTGCCTGACTTGGTCTCCATGACCCTGGGGGCTCCAGGGGAAGAGTCAACCTGGACTGAGTCTTAGGAGGTGCAACTGGAGGTGGGACAGGGCTGTGTGGCTGGGGGTGTTGAGGGGCTGGGACGGGAAGCTGGAAGGAAAGTGGTGTGAGGTGGGCCAGGGGGTGATGTCTCCTTCCTGAGCCATCTCTGTCTAGTCTAGGAGTTTGCACTTGATCTGTGGGTGATGCAGACAACTGCAGAATCCTGAGAATCGTGGTCACTTGTGCATTTTAAAAAATGATGGGGTGGGTGTGGTGACTCACGCCTGTAATCCCAGCACTTTGGGAGGCTAAGCTGGGAGGATCACTTGAGCCCAGGAGTCCAAGATCAGCCTGAGCAACATAGTGAGACCCCATCTCTAAAAAAAAAAAAAAAAAATAGCCAAGCGTGGTGGCATGCACCTGTAGTCCTAGCTGCTTGGGAGGATCACTTGAGTCCAGGAGATTGAGGCTGCAGTGAGCTATGATCCTGCCACTGCACTCCAGCCTGGCTGACACAGCAAGAGCTTGTCTAAAAAAAAAAAAAAGAAAGAAAGGAAAAAAAGATGGCAGTAATAGGACCCCTCTTAGAGCTGCTAAGGAACTTATATCAGTTGCGTTTGTAAAACCTGGTACATGGTGAGCACTAGTAAGGATTGCTAAATGTAGTAATATCATTCTATTCAATTTTATAGTCCTCATTTTTAATTAGTTCAGCTTTGTCTAGCAGCACGATGTGTTTTGGAAACTTGTTTTACTGTTATTGCTGCTACTAATAGTACAGTTTTATCTAATATAAGACGGAAAAGAATAATCAATTTTTATTTCCATTAACTACAGAGCCAAATGGTTGGATATAGTTTTTCTAAGAAAAATTAAGTTTAGCTGTAGCAAGGAGTATGTTTGCTATTGGTTTATATGTCAATGTACTTAGCAATTTGACATTTCCTTACTGGGAGATAAGTTTGTATCTTGAGTATAAAGACTTCACAGGTAAATAAGTCCAGTGCACTCATTTTAAAATTAATAGTAACTTCAGTAATTAATACATTTGAAAAAATAAAAGTTTGCATTTTAATGCCTGTCATCAGGTTCCTCTAGGTTATACTCTACATGCTATGAAATATAAAAAAGAAAGACTCGTGAATGGCGTGTTTCAGATGGTATAACTGTAATAATGTTTTCAAGTCAATATTTGTGTTGGTATGATTGAGGTTTTTTGTTTGTTTGTTTTTGAGACAGGGTCTTGCTCTGTTACCCAGGCTGGAGTGCAGTGGCATGACCATGGCTCATTGCAGCCTTGACCTCCCAGGCCCAAGAGATCTGCTTACCTCAGCCTTCCAAGTAGCTGGGACCAAGCGTGTGCCACCATGCCCGGCTAATTTTTTTTTTTAATTCTTTTAGTATAGACAAGGTCTCACTAGGTTGCCAAGGCTGGTCTTGAACTCTTGGCCTCAAGCAATTCTCCCAGCCTCAGCCTCTCAAGGTGCTGGGGTTACAGGTGTGAGCCACTGTGCCTGGCTGAGGTTTTATAGCATTCACTAAATATTAACCTTTAAGAATGTCTTTATATTTAAAAACACAAGATTTTTAGGGGTTATAACTGAATCTGTGTTTGTATATTATTGTACAGATAATTGTGTTTGATGATGTAATTTGTTGCATGAACTTGGACTGCCTTAACATCTTAAGTGTTAGAGGAGACCCAAACTTACACAGGGCAGGATGTGGGGGAAGTTACAGACAGGGGTGGTTCTTGAGATGAGAACTAGCAAGGTCCCTCGAGTGAAGACTGGCATGTTGGCCTTTTGCCTGGGAGAGCAGGGACTTGGATCCTGAGGCTTTGCTGCAGGAAGCTTGAACACACAGGGAGGAGGCAGTTCCCAGTGGGCCGATATGCACCCCTTGTACACAGTGTTGACACTGACGCTTGCATTAGCAGACAGATCCTGGATGGTGTTACTATTAACAGCTTCCATTGACCAACCTGCACTTTACAGGTAGCCTGGGACTTGCCTGATTTGAGCCCTGGAATTTCAGCAACCTAGGAGCCCTTCTTTGTCCCCAGAAGTCCCGACCCAGATGGTTGGTCACCCCATGTACAGGGTTTTAAATGTTTAAACATTGCACCTTAATTTTCACGGGGCGGGGGCTAGTGTGCTATCCCATTCTTCAGGCGGAAATGGAAGCCTAGGGTCCCCACGTTACTGCCCTGCTTGGGCTCCACCTTGGGAAGGAGGTGGAGCAGTTAATGGTTCTTTTCAAAGGTGGACAGCAGCGAGCATGGAATGACAAGCAAGTGCTACGTTTTAGATTGGGGCAAGGCTGACTAAACTGCACTGTGGTTGTACAGAACTTCAGTGGAGTGTTGTGGTTGACCACAAATTGAAATTAAATCAGCAACATAGTGATTTTCTTTTTCAAGGAAGACTAAAATAACTTCCTGCTAACTTAGTTGGTTCTTGCTGTACTTCACCATTGTAAGCCAGTGAGGTCTTTATATTAAAGTATTTCATTGTCCTTTGGGATTAGCTTCCAGGAGGTGGGGAGAAGTTTAGGAAAGCGAGCACAATTACGAGGAGGCTGGAGGGGCACTGCTTTAGGGGTGGAGGGTAGGATTATAGGTGACAATGCCAATGATCTTTCCATATGGAACTAAATTAATTTATGTAGGATTCATGATCCCTTCAAAAACATATTCATGACTAACCTGGTTCATGAAAAGAGGCAATTTTTTTAATGTTCTAGAAAAAATTCTAACTACTGTATTAGCTATCTATTGCTATGAATTAAACAACCTCAAAACTTAGTGGCTTACAATGACGATAAATATGTATTATCCCACACAGTTTCCATGGGTCAGGAATTTGGAAGTGGCTTGGTTTGGGTACATCTGTCCCAGGATGGCTCATGTGGTTGCAGTCAGGATGTTGCCCAGATCTGCAGTCATCAGAAAGCTTGATAGGGGCTGGAGGGTCTGCTTCCAAGATGAGTCACCCACGTGGCCGCAGGCAGGAGGCCTCCATTTCTCACCATCAGGGCCTCTCCACAGGGCTGTTTGAGTGTCCTCACATCATGGCTGCCAGCTTTCCATGGAATGAGTGATCCAAGAGAACAGGAACTATCCTAGCTTCAAAAGCCACACTCCATCACTTCCAGTTTCCTAAGGGCTACAGATGTCAGTTCAGTGAGGAGAGGATGACACAGGTGCAAATATCAAGTAGGCCTTACCCACCTGGCCTCACTCATCTGGCATTAAACTTCTGTTTTTAATATCCTGGCATTACCAACCTGGCTTACCCACCTGGCCTTAATTCCTTGGTTTTACTTACCTGGACTCATTAAACTCTTGGCCTGAACCTCTTGGGTTCACCCACCCAATGTTATCTACGTGGCTTTATTCACCAGGCCTTAACACACTGTGTAACCTCCTGGCCTTACTCATTTGTCCTTACCCAATTGGCTTATCCAGCTGGTCTTACACACCTAGCCTTAACCTTTTGACCTTACTCACCTGATGTTGACTACCTAGCTTTATTCAGCTGGCCTTAATCTCCTGACCTTAGTCTTAACTTCATGTTTTTCTCCACCTGGCCACATTCACCTGGTTTTACTCATCTGGAATTAACCTCCTGGACTTAACTTTTGGTATGTTACCCCCTAACCACCACCATAACCCTCCTGGCCATATCCCCCCTGCAAGCTGTATCACCACCTTTCCCCCGTCGTGGCCTCTCTGGGGGGTTCAGTGCATGAGTAACCAGCATGACCGGCATGTTGCTGCCTCTGTCGGAGACAATGCTCTGCATTGCTCCTGAGACTAAGCCAGGCCCAGGATTGGGTTCCCGCCTCATCCCTCCTCTAGTGTTCCTGTGAAACTCGGTCTTCCTGTGCTCCTGCCATGAGCCTGGGCTGCTGTTGCCCCATCAGGGTCCTGGTCCTGATTCTCCTAATTCTATTCCACCTCACGCCTCCTAGCACTGCAGGTGGCTCTGGGCCACTTGTTTCACCTCCTCCTCCTCCTCCTGCTACTGTGGATTTCCAGATTTCCCCCATATCTATCAGAGTTCTCCAGAGAAGCAGAGCCAGTGGGCGATATGTAATGCATGTCAAAGAGATTCATCTCTAGGAATTGGCCTACATGATTGTGAAAGCTGGCAAGTCTGAAATCTGTAAGGCAGGCTGGAAACAGGTAGGAATTGATGCTGAGGTCTTGAAGCAGAATTCCTCTATCAGGAAACGTCAGTTTTTGCTCTTAGAGCCTTCAGCTGGTTAGATGAGTCTCACTCACACCATCAAGAGTAATCTCCTTTACTTACTTAAAGTCAACTAACTATAGGTATTAACCTCATCTACAAAAGAGCTCCATAGCCACTCTGAGACTAATGTTTAGTTGAATAATTAGGCAATAGAGCCTCATCAAATTGACACATAAAACTGACCACCATACTCTTTGAGACTCAAAAAGCTCCTTGTTCCCCAGAAAAATGCACCAAACTTAATATTTTGCATCCACAGACGCCACAGGGACAAGAGCCCGTGATGTAGAGTTTCAGACAATACATTTCCACATGGGTCATTTTACTTGTGGTAGCCATTTGGGTTGCTTCTGATTTTTTTTTTTACTAGTAGAAAATGTTGGTATAGGTTCGCAGCCGCCGCCGCGCCGCCGTCGCTCTCCAACGCCAGCGCCGCCTCTCGCTCGCCGAGCTCCAGCCGAAGGAGAAGGGGGGTAAGTAAGGAGGTCTCTGTACCATGGCTCGTACAAAGCAGACTGCCCGCAAATCGACCGGTGGTAAAGCACCCAGGAAGCAACTGGCTACAAAAGCCGCTCGCAAGAGTGCGCCCTCTACTGGAGGGGTGAAGAAACCTCATCGTTACAGGCCTGGTACTGTGGCGCTCCGTGAAATTAGACGTTATCAGAAGTCCACTGAACTTCTGATTCGCAAACTTCCCTTCCAGCGTCTGGTGCGAGAAATTGCTCAGGACTTTAAAACAGATCTGCGCTTCCAGAGCGCAGCTATCGGTGCTTTGCAGGAGGCAAGTGAGGCCTATCTGGTTGGCCTTTTTGAAGACACCAACCTGTGTGCTATCCATGCCAAACGTGTAACAATTATGCCAAAAGACATCCAGCTAGCACGCCGCATACGTGGAGAACGTGCTTAAGAATCCACTATGATGGGAAACATTTCATTCTCAAAAAAAAAAAAAAAATTTCTCTTCTTCCTGTTATTGGTAGTTCTGAACGTTAGATATTTTTTTTCCATGGGGTCAAAAGGTACCTAAGTATATGATTGCGAGTGGAAAAATAGGGGACAGAAATCAGGTATTGGCAGTTTTTCCATTTTCATTTGTGTGTGAATTTTTAATATAAATGCGGAGACGTAAAGCATTAATGCAAGTTAAAATGTTTCAGTGAACAAGTTTCAGCGGTTCAACTTTATAATAATTATAAATAAACCTGTTAAATTTTTCTGGACAATGCCAGCATTTGGATTTTTTTAAAACAAGTAAATTTCTTATTGATGGCAACTAAATGGTGTTTGTAGCATTTTTATCATACAGTAGATTCCATCCATTCACTATACTTTTCTAACTGAGTTGTCCTACATGCAAGTACATGTTTTTAATGTTGTCTGTCTTCTGTGCTGTTCCTGTAAGTTTGCTATTAAAATACATTAAACTATAAAAAAAAAAAAAAGAAAATGTTGGTATAAATATATGCATACACATTTGTGTGTGGGCATGTGTGTTTGTTGCTTTGGGGCAGATACTTAGGTTTGGAATTGCCGGGTCATACAGCCAACATCAGTGGCTGTACAATTTCACATTCTTATCCAGCAACATATGAATGAGAGTTCCAGTTGCTCCACATTTTCACCAATGCTTGGTATCGTCAGTTTTTTAGATTTTCTTTCTTTCTGTTCCTCAATTGGTCCCTTTCTCTTACTCGTATCACTTCTGTGGCCCTGCAGTATTGATAGGATTCTGTGCAGATTGCTTTGCCTGTCCTTGAAGTTCCTGCCTGGCCCTCTCCCACACCCCCACTCCAGGGTGAGTTCCTTGTCCCATGCTGCTTTCTCCGACCTGCTCAGAGTGCTCTACCATCTTTCCTGATAGGTCTAATCCTTCCTATCCCTTGGCCCCATGTCCCCAAGGACACCAATCTTGGAGACTACAGCTGGAAGTATGCTCATCTTTCTCTGATCTCAGTGCTATCTCTCTGCCAGCACTTAATGATACTTAAAAATAATACATGCTCACTGAAAAACAACCTGAACTGTATCTAAGAATACAAATAGAAGTATGGACACATACTGTAATGTGAATTCAGTATTTTGGTGAATCTTTTTCTAACACAAGTGCATGTACGTGTAATGTTTTTGTGACATGCAATAACCATTTCTATACTGTATGGTGACTTCAGTTTTCCAGTCGTTGAGGTCCTTCCTGTCCTAGTTTTTAATGGCTATATGATGTTATTTGCTACCTTTTGTTATTTGACATGTGTCTGTAGATCTCTAATTTCTCTTGGTTGATTATTAATATAAATCCGTCTTTTTCCTGGAAAGCTCTAAGGCACCAAGGCCAGGGGTTGTGAGTTGTGTAGTGTGGGTTGCCCAGTCTGCAAGAGGGAAGAGCTTGGGTCCGTCCTGTGGTTCCCCGCTAATTCTAGGAGTGTCCTGCACATGTGGTCACTTGATTTTCTTTTCTCCATGCACTATTGATTTAACCCAGAATCATTGTTTCCTATGTTGTCCTCATCTAACTTATGAAAGAGCATCCTCCTTTGTTATGTTTTTATTTTCCTTCTGCTTCAGTATTGTGTCTTTCACCTTTAGAATAGGATTCTAAGAAAAAGAGAGGAAAATTTAGCAATGATGTGTCATAGAAAACTTAGTGTTGTTTACATAATTCTTGACATGTGGTAACTGCTGCTTGTGAACTGCACCCTCCCAAACACACATATACACACACAGCCTGGGCAACATAGTGAGACACCATCACTACACAAAATTTTTCAAAATATTAGCCAGGCATGGTGGCATGCACCTGAATTTGATTGAGAATTACCTGTGAAGTCCATTTCTCCTAAGTTTCCTAATGGCTGTATGATGCTATTTGCTACCTTTTGTTATTGGACATCTTTTTCCTGAGCAGCTGAAATCACCTTTGCAAAAACTATCATAGCAAGGGAAATCTGACATTCCCAGCTACTCAGGAGGCTGAGGATTGCTTTAGCCACGAGTTTGAGCCTGCAGTGAGCTGTGATTGCACCACTGCACTCCAGCCTGGGTGACAGAGCAAGACCCTGTCATAAAAAAATGAAAAAAAACAAAACACATACACGTCACATGGATTGTGGGTGAATTCAGTCTGGTCTTTCTGCAACAGTTAGGCAGAGGCACCCCTGTTGCAGGAGGAAGGGGCATAACTTTCAGTTGACCCCTTCAAATGGCTAACCACCTAGGGAACTTTCAGGAGTGGCCATCAACTTTTTCTCTCTTCCTATCCTTTTATTTTTAACCTAAAATCATTTAAAAATTCAGTGTAGTTTTTAGCTCAGTAATGACATTTATGTAGCTGTAAACCTTGTTCCTAGGCATGACATGATGACTCTTTGATGAAATGCTGTTCCAAGGAGGTAAAGGGCTGCAAACAGAGCTCTGCAGAGTTCACCTGGAGAGGTTTGTGGAAGTGGTCCGAGATGTGCTGTGAACTTGGATAAGCATATGCAGGTTCTCAGGAGGATATCCTACCAGTGGGGCCCAGCCGTACCTGGGCACAGTGGAGATATGGTTTATGCAGTTGATGAGTTCTGACGCTGCCAGAGGACAGCTATTGGATCATGGTTGCCTCAGCTTGAATTCAATTGAGAATTGTCTGTGAAGCCCATTTTTCCTAAGTCTAAGCAGCTGAAATCACCTTTGCAAAAACTATAGTAGCAAGGGAAATCTGACATAACTGACTCCATCTTGCTCCTAGCATGCTAAATTGCTTTTGCTCATTCATGCACAGAGGCTATACTAGTACTTTCCTTGAATGGATCCCTTCCTTGTTCAAAAATTGAAACCATGTTTGTAAAGACTAACAGAAGGTCACAAGGTTAGCATTATGGGAGGGGCTTGAAATTTGCTAAAATATAGGCATAGTTAAACAACCTGCCATGGCTTCACTTGCTTTTCCATAATTTGCTTACTGCCCTGAGTCAAGTAAGCAGTCACAAGATTTATAACTTCCTCAATTACTCCTGTAGACAGCATTGCTATTGTGAAACCTAAAGAACTAGGGCCAGGCACAGTGGCTCATGCCTGTGATCCCAGCACTTTGGGAGGCTGAGGTGAGAGGATCACTTGAGGCCAAGAGTTTGAGACCAGCCTGGGCAACATGGCAAAACCCCATTGATATGGCTGATATTTGTCCCCACTCAAATCTCATCTTGAATTGTAGCTCCCATGTGTCATGGGAGGGACCCAGTGACAGGTAATTGAATCATGAGGGTGGGTTTTTCCTGTGTTTTTCTCATGATAGTGAATAAGTCTCCTGAGATCTAATGGTTTTATAAAGGAGAGCTCCCCTGTACATGCTCGCTTGCCTGCTGTCATGTAAGATATGCCTTTGCTTCTCCTTTGCTTTCCACTGTAATTGTGAGGCCTCCCCAGCCATGTGGAACTGTGAGTCAATGCATTAGTCTGTTTTCACGCTGATAAAGACATACACGAGACTGGGTAATTTACAAAAGAAAGAAGTTTATGGGACTTACAGTTCCATGTGGCTGGGGAGGCCTCACAATCATGGTGGAAGGCAAAGAGGCGGAAGTCACATCTTACATGGATGGAAGCAGGCAAAGAGAGAGCTTGTGCAGAGAAACTCCCATTTTTAAAAGCATCAGATCTCATGAGACTTATTCACTATCACAAGAACAGCACAGGAAAGACCCACCCCCATGATTCAATTACCTCCCACTAGGTTCCTCCCATGACATGTGGGAATTGTGGGAGTTACAATTCAAGATGAGATTTGGGTGGGGACACAGCCAAACCATATCATTCTGCCCCTGGGCCCTCCCAAATCTCATGTCTTCACATTTCAAAACCAATAATGCCCTCCCAACAGTCCCCCAAAGTCTCAACTCATTTTGGCATTAACTCAAAAGTTCACAGTCCAAAGACTCATCGGAGACAAGGCAAGTCCCTTCCGCCTATGAGCATGTAAAATCAAAAGCAAGTTAGTTACTTTCTAGATACAGTGGGGGTATAGGCATTGGGTAAATACAGCCATTCCAAATGGGAGAAATTGGTCAAAACAAAGGGCCTACAGGCCCCATGCAAGTCCAAAATCCAGTGGGGCAGTCAAATCTTAAAACTCCAAAATGATGTCCTTTGACTCCATGTCTCACATCCAGGTCACACTGATGCAAGAGGTGGGTTCCCATAGTCTTGGGCAGCTCCACCCCTGTGGCTTTGCAGGGTACAGCCCCTTCTGGCTGCTTTCATGGGCTGGCGTTGAGTGTCTGTGGCTTTTCCAGGTGCACGGTGCAAGCTGTTAATGGATCTACCATTCTGGGGTCTGGAGGACAGTGGCCCCCTCTTCTAACAGCTCTACTAGGCAGTGTCCCAGTAGGGACTCTGTGTGGGGGCTCCCACTCCACATTTCCCTTCTGCACTGCCCTAGCAGAGGTTCTCCATGAGAGCCCTGCTCCTGCAGCAAACTTCTACCTGGGCATCCAGGTGTTTCCATATATCCTCTGAAATTTAGACGGAGGTTCCCAAACCTCAATTCTTGACTTCTGTGCACCTGCAGGCTCAACACCACATGGAAGCTGCCAAGGCACAAGCCTGTAGTCCCAGCTACTCGGGAGACTGAGGCAGAAGGATCACTTGAGCCCAGGAGGTGGAGGCTGCAGTGAACCGTGATTGTGCCACTCTCTCTCTCTTACTGTGTTGCTCTCTGGGCAACAGAGTAAGACCTTGTCTCAAAAAAAAATAAAAATAAAAAAATTGTAGAACATATAAAATGTATATATTTTTTCTAAATTTTAAAGGCACAAAAACAATCCTTATATTGTTCTTGGGTTCATTTTCATGCCTAGAAAAATATTTAAAATGGACTAAGCATGTCCATCAAGGCCCTGATCATTGCAAGGGATGCAGAGTGGAAGACAGGGGTGGGGCTGGGCCTGAGGATGTTTGGGACTGTACTTTTAGCTCTAGTCCTTGTTGTTTTTTTTTTCTTTAGTAAAATTGAAGCAAATATGATATAATGATAATAATTAATTTTAGGTGTACTGGAATAAGACTCTTTGTAATATTATTCTTTGTATTTCTTCTTACTCAGTAGAAACAAAAGGCTCACCAAGCACCCAGTATCTAGAAGTCAGCAGCCCAACCTAGCCTGCACTCCTGGGGTGTGGCCTGAGGTGTCCTGTGTCCAAAGGAGAAAGGGGCATTGTTATAACCTGGTGGGTGGGCTGGTGTGCCCTGGGAGCTTCCCATCTGAAATGCTGGTGAGGGGTTTGCACCCTGAAAGAGACTAGTTTCTTTTTCCTCTTTGTCACTAATGCATGTACCCTCTGTCCTGTGCAAATGCCCCACCCTGTGTCTTGTGCAGAGTTTGTATGGTCACACAGTGACATTTCTGGATTGTGCTGGATTGGATTTTGGCATGTGCTCAGAGGTCTTAGTTCTCATCTAGACTTAGAGGGCCACTCTGTGCTTGGCAAGTCCTCAGTGGTTGAAAAACTCCTTACCTACAGCTAATTTGGGGCTTGTCTAGGTGGCTGGTGGAGACAGGTGGGGAAGCTTAGGGAACCTTGGAGTTTCTGTGGGGATTGACTCATTCTGCCCTGAGTACCATGGATAGACCTTTTCCTTCTGCTTTTTTTCTCTCTCTTTTCTAGCTGGGAAAACCCTTGGAAATACATTCTTGAGCCTTATTGTGTTGGGCTCAGAGGCTAAGAGGGAGACCCTGGATGGAGTGACAGGTGACTTAGAGGCCAACTGGCCAGCCTGTGGGCAGAGCAGATGGGAAGACAGGGGCAGAGATTCAGCCAGCCCTCTCTGGGGGTCTCAACTCCACTTCTGCCTCACAGATCTGCTGGTCACCTGACACCTCCAGTTCTCCTCACTCCTGCTGCTGGGGCAGAAAATGAGAACCCCAGATTGGGATTCCAGGTGCATTGTTTTGTACCCGTGGCTCTGGGGTGCTGCTGCTGTTGTCCTGTGTGGTGGGTGGCTGTTGTGGCTGCCCTACAGGTCTAGCCATACAGGATGTTGCCTGGTTCCTGTGGAACAAGATGTTCTGACTTCCAAGTACTTGACATAGAAAATAAGCTTTAAAGCCTGGGCAACATGGAGAAACCTCATCTCTGAACCAAAAAAATACAAAAATTAGCTAGGCGTGGTGGCACATATCTGTAGTCCCAGCTACTCGGGAGGCTGTAGTGGGAGGATCGCTTGAGCCTGGGAAGTTGAAGCTGCAATGAGATGAGATCATGCCACTGCACTCCAGCCTGTGTGACAGAGCCAGACTCTGTCTCAAAACAACAACAACAACAACAACAACAACAAAAATAAGCTTTGAAATATGACAGTGTCATGGTGAGAACTGCCTGAGCTGCTGATGTTGACAGTGATGATTCCCTCCACAAGCTTCTGTGAACTCAGAGGGTTCTGTTTCCTTCTTCAAATTCATTGAAATGAAGAAGTCATTTGCAAATTGAAAAAAAAGGTTATATTTCTTTTTTATTAATCAATTTAGTATTGTTGGAAACTTACTATTTACTCATCTGTACATGAATCTGAATGTGAAGTCTATTTGACTAACTGTATTTTAAATTGCTCACTGCAAAGTAACTTTACGTTTGTTTTTAAAAATGGCTTTCACTAGTAATCATTATGTCAGGGGCTTTCGAACCAGAGCGACTCCATTTTGAGTGAGGGCTAGGAAAATGAGGCTGAGATTGGCTGGGCTGCATTCCCAGAAAATCAGGCATTCCTGGCCTCTGGATGTTTACAGTAAAGGGAACAGATTAATAATGTTTACTAAAACAGACCCAGACTTGGGAGTGTCCAGATATCCCGATATCTGGAGAACAAAGGCATTCTTAATTTTGCCTTAAAGATAATAATATTGATTCTTACAAAAGGTAGTAATTACGAAAATTAATCCTTTATCACAAACCCTCGTAGCAGAGCACATCTCCCCAAGATCTATTTTTATCCTATATATATAGCAGCACTGTACATAGGGTGCATGCGTTCCTCCTCTTACTTTCGGGAAGGCCCTACTCTGTCTAAGGAGTAGCTGTCCTTTCACCATTTTACTTTCTTAATAAACTTGCTTTTACTTTGCACTGCGGACTTGCTCTGAATTCTTTGTTGCTCGAGATCCAAGAACTCTCTCTTGAGGTCTGGATCCGGACCTCTGTGCTGTAACAATTACACAATATATGTGTTTAAATGTATATCATCATGTTGTATACCTTAAATATATACAATCGTTGTCAATTAAATGTTCTAAAATCAAAAAGTCTTCACATATATGAAACAATTAAAAAGTAAATACTTATTTTTCTTAAGATACAGATCTTTATTTTTTTGGAAGAAAATAAAAATCCCAAAGCAGATAATCTTATTTTAGTTATAGAAAATAATCTTATTTTAGTTATAGAAAATAATTTAAATATATTTTGGTATTCGATGGTAAAAATATTGATATTTACTTAGTTGAATTAAAAAGTGAATATCTTTCTAGTAACTTCTTATCTTTCTTGGTCAACTGAGGTTATTATTATTTTTTTTCTGAAAATATGTCAGGTTCATACAACTGAGGTTATTAAGAAAAATTATTCAGTGTTCCTGTGTAGCAGCTAAATTCATTATTTAATGCATTTTAAAGAAGCCTATTGCTTAAAAAATGCATAAAAAGCAATAGACTTCTTTAAAATGCATGGGTTGCAAAGGGCCCCAATATGAAAGTTCAGATTGAGCTAAATTGAAGATAATGTATTTGAATGTCTTATTATTTGGAAGTTATTATGATGGAATTGGTGGAAATGAAGGAAAATGTTGTCCTGGTGTTAACCTTTGTGGGAGGAAGCCTTGAGAACCATCCTCCCCCGCAGCAACAGGTGGGTGTTCCTGGAAAAGGCTGGTTTGTTGGTGGTGGTGGTGGTGTGTGTGTGCGTGCGTGTGTGTGTTTTGAGATGGAGTTTCGCTCTTGTTACCCAGGCTGGAATGCAATGGCGCCATCTCGGCTCACTGCAACCTCCACCTCTTGGGTTCAAGCGATTCTCCTGCCTCAGCCTCCGAAAGTAGCTGGAATTACAGGCGCCTGCCACCACACCCGGCTAATTTTTGTATTTTTAGTAGAGACAGGGTTTCACCATGTTAGCCAGGCCGGTCTCGAACTCCTGACCTCAGGTTATCCACCTGCCTTGGCCTCCCAAAGTGCTAGGATTACAGGTGTGAGGCACCGCGCCCGGCCAGGGCTGGTCTTGTGTAGAGAGATCAGAGTGGTTCGGAAGCTTGACAGGAACAGGGATTTCTCCTTTCCTGGTGTTGTAATGACCTGAAAATCTGTCTTGTTCTTCAGTCTACCTTGTTCTCCACCCAAGGGTGTCGGGCATTTCCCAGCTTCACTGGCCTCCCGGTCTGTGCCTGCTGCTAGACTCCATCCGGGTTCCACTCACAGTTCTCCTCCCAGGGCTTTTCCCAACCACCCTGCCTCCTGCCTCATTATCCAAGGTGCCACAACCTATTTTACAGATTTCCTTGTTTATTTCCTCTCTGCCCTCTAATGCCATTTAAAAAATTTTATCATTTCTACTTCAGTTTATTATCTATTATGTAAAATAAAATATTTCCTGATTTTGATTTATCGTTATATCCCAAGGACCAAGAATGGCGCCGGGTACGGAGAACACTCAGCATCCTTCCATTTGTGGAAGGAATAAATATTTGTGTATCTATGTAGATCTGTTTTCCCACTTGCTTTGTGATCTGTGTATTTAAAGAGGGGGCAGCTTCTTCACAAGGCATTCTTTCTGGAAACAGAAATGCAATTCTTCTTAAGGAAAAGTGGATCATTAAGATTTCTGAACTAGTTTTGCAACTATATAGAGAAATGTTGGAGTAAAAGTTAATTCCAATGTTAAAATTCTATTCTGTAATTATCATAAAAACATAGACTTTTAAGAGCGTTATTTCTGGATCACACAGTTCCACCAGCACTCTCCCTAGTAGACAGCCTCAGAGGGGCTCAGAGCAGTCGGTGATATGCCGGGGACACCCGAGTCCCAGCCAGGAAGTGCCCAGGGAGGAATGAACCAGACCTATGGGAAGGAACAAGTGAGTCCTGCCAATGCAACCCCTGTCCTCCCTTTAAAAAAAAATGACAATTAAGCTTAATGAAGGTATTTGCAATTGAACCATGGATCTAAAAAGGTAAAAGTGGGGGAAAGTTAAGAGTTTCTAATTATAAGCATCATCTTCCTGAAACTCTCACTTTTACCCTTAATTCAGAAAAGACACGTGGCTCTTAACCTCCTATGTACTTGTGTTGCAGGTGGTGTCTTTGGTGGCTGTTCACCCTTCCACAGTAAACATGCTTGGGAAGCAACTTTGCCAAAAGCCTTCGGACAGTCCAGCGTCAACACCGCAAGCCAAGTGGTAAGGCCCGCGGGGACAGAACCGTCGGACCCTGGTGGCGAATCTGGGATGGATGAATTCGTTGCTGTTGCGGCGGGCGGTGTTGGCAGGAGCGCTAGATTTGCTCGGGTTGGAGTGTGAGATGTTCCCTTCCGCCGAAGGAGCCCATGCAGACAGGGCTAGATGTACCTTCTGCAGCTTCTGCAGCGACTTGAGGCGCGTCGCTGCTAGAGGGTCCTGGTGCCCTCGGCGTGCGTGAGGTGCTGTGTGTCCCTCCCCACCCCCCGTACAATCCTCCCCGTAACTGGGCAGTGGAATCGGTGGGCACTGGAAGGACCCGACGCAGGTGATGGGATGCAGCGCTTCCAGGTGGTGACCCCGGCTGGACGTGCGTGGGTGCGAACTGCCACCCGGGCTGGGGCCAGCTTGCTGCGCCGCTGCCTCCGCAAGCCCTCCCAGCCCGGAGCTGAGTCTGACGAGGATTTCTTACGCGTTCAAGCGAGTGTGGAGCGGCGAGGCAGTGCACTTGCCCCATAGCTCCCGCGCTGGGAAACCCGGAGGGGAGGGGCTGTGGAGGGCGGGAGCCCCGGGCAGTAGGTCTGTGCTTCTTCCTTGGTCCCATTACACGGGAAGGGCAAGGTGACGCCACTCAGCCACGCAGGCCTCGCATTGGTGCCTTCCCTTCCCTAGCCAGGACGCGGCTATTAAACGCTGCTTTTAGCCGATTGTATTTCCTGTCTTTGAATCCGTTTTCTTTCTCCTCTCTGGTTGGTTGGTTCTAGCTCTAAGCCCATCAAAGACTTTAAGGATCCTACACAGAGTGCTGCAGGCTCCCTTTGTCAGAATTGGGGCCCCTAGGAGCTGAGTGCGGCAGGTTTCGCCTGTTCCTGGAGCTCGTAGTCAGGGTCGCTAGTGCACTGCCACTCTGAGGACTGGACGGAGTTCCAGACCTGCCTCCGGGGACCTCCTGCGTGAGGGCGGAGGCCCTTTCATGACCGTGAGATGCTCCGGGCCTTCCTGGTCAGCATGAGCTGCAGCCTCCACGCTGGGGCCTCCTGCCAAGTCCCGGGCTTTGGTGACTTAAGTGCCTTTTGCAGTCTCACCACCCAGGGAAAATTTATAGCGGTGTGGATTGAATTTTTGTTTTAAGTCTGATTGTGTTCTTTAATCTTGCTAAGGGAATCGCTAAGGGTAGCCATTAAATTATTTTGTGTCGTTTAATTTGATTTTCCCATAGGTACCCAATAGGACAGCTTAGGATGAGAGCACTCTTTAAAAACAAACAACTGGCTGGGCGCGGTGGCTCACGCCTGTAGTCCCAGCACTTTGGGAGGCCAAGGCGGGTGGATCGCCCGAGATCAGGAGTTCCAGACCAGCCTGGAACAACATATAGTGAAACCCCGTCTCTACTAAAAAATACAAAAATTAGCTGGGCTTGGTGGCGCATGCCTGTAGTCCCAGCTACTTGGGACACTGAGGCAGGAGAATCGCTTGAACCCGGGAGGTGGAGGTTGCAGTAAGCCAAGATAGTGCCACTCTACTCCAGCCTGGGCAACAGAGCGAGATTCCGTCTCTCAAAAAAAAAAAAAAAAAAAAAAAAAACAACAACAACAATAAAACCCTTTTAGATACAAAAGTCCAAATTTTTAGAAGTATACCTATTTCAATTGTGACTCAAAACCAACAAGCCTTTTCATGGCTTAAAACCAAGAAGCCTTTTATCACTTAACCATGGGCTCAAGAAGTGCCTCCAAGAGAGGGTGCAAAAGCACACTGTCCGCCTTGGCATCCAAATTGCTCCGAATATCCTAAGAACGGCCAGACCTTTTTAAAAACAAGGCAATGAAGTTGAGACAATTAAGACAAACTCCCCTAAGAGCTGGCACAGTGGGACAAAGAGATACTTTGGTTCTGGACTCCTAGCCAGTTGGCTAGCCGCCTGAAGCAAGCCTGACAACGTGCGACTTCTGCTGGCAAAGACCACAGAGAATATCCTCACTGGTTCCCGAGCTAAGCTCTCAAGACATAAAACAAGATGAAGGCCAAATCTTATGATTTTCCTCCTTATGACAAACTACACAAAAGACAGAGACAAGGAAAACAAGGACCATTCCTGGGAGGCTGTGATCTATAACCAATGGGTACTCAGAACCAAATTCACAAGAGTCACAATTTGAAAAATTAATTCTTATAAATGTTTTCTCCTACCAATCTGAATTGGAAAGGAAAAGACGACGAACAATGTTTACCTCCCTTTCTCGAATGGCCACTACAGACAGAGATCTAAGAGCTGACTGGGTGAGATTTCCTACTTTCTACCATCTTTTGTCAGTCTTCCCAGTCCCATCTCCAAGCTGCAGAGCTAGTGGGCATCCCTGCCTTTTAGGGTCCCTCCCTTGTCACCAGAAACTGTAGGGGAGGCAGAACTGCACCTCCATCCCCTTGGGGTCCTGGCTGGACTCAAGAATTAAATTGATATAAGATAGATCAACAGAAGAAAAACATACAAATTCACTTAATACAAGTTTTATGTGGCACAGGAGCCCTCATACGGAAATGAAATCCCAAAGAAGCCGTTAGAATCTGTTACTTATGTACTGAATTGGACAAAGCATAGTAAGTTGTGAAAATGAGGAAAGACAAAGGGACTTGGGCGAGGGAGCTAATTGGGTAGACATGTGTTCGGGAAGATGGTATAACAAGGTTTGTTTGTAAAGAATTTCTCCAGCCTCAGTTTTCCGTCCTTGATGATAGGAAGGTTGCGTCTGGCAGCAGAATCTTTGTCTGGGGGGAGCTGCTGTGCAAACCACCCCCTACCGAATTTCTCCTCTCCCGCTTTCTTATTGCAGGTAGTACTCCGTTCACGCCCAGCTGTCCTGTAGAATGGCAGCCTAAATGTGAACAAAAGCTATACCCCCTTCCTTTGATGCCTTTAGTCCAACTAAAAGAGGCTACAAGTTTCCAAATGAACTTTGCATTACAAACATGAAGATGTGAAAGTGAACAGAGGGAAGATGAGGGCAGGCCAACCCCAAGGGCCAAGGCTGCTGCTTATCTTCTCCTGAAGCCCCTTCCTCTCCTGACCTCTATGGAGAAGCCCCCCTAAAGTTCCTTTCTCTACCCCCAGGGCTAGGTTACAGCCACCTCCTAGGTAGACAGTGGGAGACTACAGAACCACAGGCCCCTCCAAATACCCTTGGCCTTGACAGGACTGCGACTGCCTGCCCACTGTCACTCCACCTGAAGTCGGGGATCACCCCCGTCTTCCCTCTGGGTTCCATGCCCTGCCCTGTTCCCGTTCTTGCCGCATCAGCACTGTTCCTTAGTTGACAAAAACCTCCCTATGCTTCTGGACACCTCCTGCCCCCAGTTAAGCCAGGATAAGCTCTGCCCAACTCTGGCCTGAAGTGTCTCTCCCCATCCTGCAGCCTCTCGTGAAAATGTCTATTACTCCCCAGACCGCACTCAGCACAAGCACGAACCTTCCCGTTTATTCCCACAAGTGCTGTGCCTGCTGGTGGAAGCATTTCTCTCCCTTTCTCAGACAGTTTAGGGCAGAACCATCCTTGCACAATCTCCTTCTAGTCTCCATTTTGGTTGTATCTTACAAAATCATAGCTCAGCTTCTTTTTTATTTAACATTAAAGCGGAAGAGTAAGTCTGGTGTCACTTTACACATCCTCGGGGCAGGGAGAGTTGTTGGGTCCCCTTCTGTCACTAGGAGCATGGAATCCCCAGAAAGGTGACCTGCTATCAAACCTGGACAAAATTACCTTGAGGAAAAAGATAAAATAGACTTAATTTTCCAGACAGATAAGGATAAAAATTTTTCCAACTGGCAACAAGATTACCAATGAACCCTTCTCTCAGAAACTATGTAAGGAAGACAAATTAGAGAAACAAATTTGCTACTCGTCTGTCCAAATATATGTTGCACTCTGTACAAACCTCACCATGGAAGAAATCAAGTGTGTGAAAGCCTGCAGCGCCAGCCAATCTGAGACAGGAGGGCCCTGGGGCCTGGACATATCTCAGCTCTAATTTTTAAAGAAAACATGTAGGTTTTTTTTTTTCTGATCAATAAGCTCTGGAAGTTTTTTCTGATATAACTTTTCCCCCTTTAACAGTTTTATTGAGATATAATTCACGTACCATACATTTTAAAATATACAACTCAATGGTTTTTAGCATCCATCACAAAATCAACTTCAGAACATTTTCACCCCCACCCTTCACATTTCTGTATCCTTTAGCTATCACCAACAACATTCCCAAGCCTAGATAACCAATAGTCTCCTTGCCACTTTGATATATTTGCCTATTCTGGACATCCTACATAAAGGGAATTACACAATATGTGGCCTTTCGTGTCTGCCTTTTTTCACTTAGGATAATATTTTCAGAGTTCAGCCATGTTGTAGCATGGATCAACACTTCATTCGTTTTCATGGCTGAATAATATTTCACTGTACAGTGTTATGAGTTGAATTTTGTCCCCAAGAAATTCATATGTTGATGTCCTAAACTCCAGCACCTCAAAATGTGGCCTTATGTGATGACCGGATCTTTCAAGATAATCATGCTAAAATGAGGTAAGTAGGGCAGGTCCTAATCCAGTAACTGGTGTCCTTATAGAGAGGGAAAATTTCAACACAGTGGTGCATACAGGGAGACAGCTGTTCGAACACAAAGACAGAGATTTATAAGCCAAAGAAAGAGGGCTGGAACAGAGGAACCAACCACCGTGACGCCTTGACCTCACCTCAGACTTCCAGCCTCCAGGGCTGTGAGACAACACATTTCTGTTGTTTAGGTTGTTGTACACTTTGTTACAGCAGCCCTAGCAAACTAGTACATATGGGTACACCACATTTTGTTTCTCTGTCTGTCACTTAGACTTTTGGCTCATTTCCATTTTTTTGGCTATTACGAGTAATGCTGCTCTGAGCATCCACACACAGGTGTTTGTTTTCATTTCTCCTGGGTATGTACATAGGAGTGGAATGGCCAGGTCAAATGGTAACTCTGTTGAACTGTTTGTGGACTGCCAAACTCTTTTCCAGTGTGGCACTGCCCTTTCACATTCCCTGCAGGAACATATGAGGGTTCTCATTTCTCCACATTCTTGTTGACACTTGTTACGATCCTTCTTTTTTACTGTAGCCATCTTAGTGGGCGACGGTGGTGTCTCACTGTGGTTTTGATTTGTATTTCCCTGAAATGATATTGAGCATCTTTTCATGTGCTTATTGGCTGTTTGTACATTCTTTGGAGATTAAATTTTTTAATCCAAAGGTTCTGGGTAATCCAGGCCCTGTGCATCTCTGCAGACACATGTTGGCTATGCCACCCTTCCCCTCACTCTGATTCCAGTTATCTGACTTTCTTTGGTCTTTGGAGGCAAGTTCTGTACATTTTACTATATCAGGACCCTTATACTCTCAAGTCACTTGAACAAAGACAATTCTCTTCCTCATCTTTGCCCTGTTAACCTCAACTCATTTTTCAGAGTTCAGTTCAAGCATCACTGCCTCAGGTAAGCCTCCTTCGGCTACCCCAGCCAAGGGTCCATCAACTGGCTGAGCTCACAGAGAGCCCCATATCAGGTAAATGTGTTCAGTCTAGAAAATGGCCTAATCGCCCCACCCAAATAAGTCCTCAGTTCCACTAGGTACAGCTTTATCACCAAATTTTAATCTTTTCACTAGGCTAGGTAATCATACAACTTTAGAACTGAGTTAACTCTTTCAAGTAGGAAGATGAATATCCCTACCTTTCACTTAGATTTTCTGAACTAAAATAAAAATTACACTATAATTTATCTTGGTATGAATTGGTTATTTTCTGAAGTTTCATTTGGGCATTTAACAATCAAACCCATATCTGAGCTAGAATCCTTTGAAGTATCCAGATTAGGGTTGGGGCACTTTAAAGTTTGAGAAAGAAATAACGTTTAAGAGTGACCAGGCACAGTGGCTTATGCCTGTAATCCCGGCACTTTGGGAGGCTGAGGCGGGTAGATCACCTGAGGTCGGGAGTTCAATACCAGCCTGACCAGCATGGGGAAACCCCGTCTCTACTAAAAATACAAAGTTAGCCGGGTGTGGTGGCACATGCCTGTAACCCCTGCTACTTGGGAGGCTGAGGCAGGAGAATCGTTTGAACCCAGGAGGTGGAGGTTGCAGTGAGCTGAGATCATGCTGTTGCACTCTAGCCTGAGCAACAAGAGCGAAACTCCGTCTCAAAAAAAAAGAAAGAAAAGAAAAAGAAATAAAGTTTAAGAATATCAAGAATAAAGTAAGGCATTATGTTCATTTTCTTAGAAAGCCACTAAGCCAATATAAGAGAAGCACCATCTGCTGTGAATTGAATCACCTCTCTAGACCCAAGGCAGCCTTCCATGTCAAACACATGCCCAGCTACAAATGACAAAGGGTGCCATGTCTTCAGGGAAAAAAAGATTTAGACCAAGACCAAGAAAGCTTTTTTTTTGAGACGGATTCTCACTCTGTCACCAGGCTGGAGTGCAGTGGCGTGATCTTGGCTCACTGCAACCTTCACCTCCCAGGTTCAAGTGATTCTCCTGCCCCAGCCTCCCAAGTAGCTGGGACTACAGGTGCGCACCGTCATGCCCAGCTAATTTTTGTATTTTTAGTAGAGCGGGGTTTCATCATGTTGGCCAGGATGGTCTTGATCTGTTGACCTCGTGACCCGTCTGCCTCAGCCTCCCAAAGTGCTAGGATTACAGGCATGAGCCACTGTCCCCGGCCTAGACCAAGAAACCTTAAGTGTTTCCCACTAAAGGGAGAACAGAAGCCCAACCAATTTTATGATTACATTTGGTTTGCTTTCCTTGTCATCCCTCCATTTTGTGCCAGGGGAGCTGTATGGTTTCTTTGCTCCATCAGCTTGGCAACACCCTAAAAACTTCTGGGACAAATAAGTCACTTGACACTGGAAAAGAAAAGGGCACCTGGTTTTAGATTTGTTTTGTAATGAAAAGGCAGATAATGGTGCCTTATTATCCTGGGGAAGGAATTACTGTCCTTCCCCAGTTAATAGTCATGCAGGCAAACAATTGTCAGCTGATTTATTTAATAAAATGACACAAATGATTTGAACATAAGGAGCTGAAGTTGGCCAGAAAATGTGGGATCAGAGCAGAGAAGACCTTGAATGCAACCAGGAAGAACTGGTATCAGGCAGTGATTCTCTCCCACAAGGAATGATGTGGAGTCACACGATTACCTAAGAGCTTCAAACTGGAATGGGCTTTGCTGTTTCCCCAGATGTTGGGGGATTTTGGTGAATGTCAATGTTCAGGATAGGAGAGATTGACACTGACACTACTGCAGGGGTTCAGATATGAAGCAGTGACAATGTAGGCCAGTACAGGTAGCCATGGGAATGACGAGGAGAAGGCAGATTTGAAAAATAGGAAGTAGGCTCAGAAAAAAGGCGGACTAGCATAAATAAAGGAGATGAAGGGGGCTTCCAGAAGTTAATGACAATGTTAAATCAAGCAAAAGCATTCCTATCTAAGGAGGATTGCCTCTCAGTGTAGCATGTCCCTTGTCTATGTTTACGCCACCCCAATTAGATCGCAGCAGAGAACAGAGCCTAGCACTCTTCTATTTTCTTTATATCTGGAACATCTACCCATAGAATGGGCTGGTGAACAACAGGGGCTCAATTACTGGTTGACCAATTCCCTTGTGCTTGGGCAGAGACTGTTGTCTCTTCAATTTAATGAACATTGACTTTGCGTCCACTGAGTGATGGGTGCTCTGCAGAAATTAGGAGAAAATCCATGCCATAGAAAACAGCTTATGGGTTAATGCAACTGTGAGGACAGGGAGTTTTTGTGTATTAGACAAATAAGTCACTAAAATACAAGACAAAATAAGACCAGTGCTTTGCTGGCCCAAGAGAGAAACTTAGACCTGTGAAGGTGAGGGATTCAGCATGAGTTTATGAATTTGGATGAGCTGAAACAAGTCTTGGAGGTTAAAGGTGGGAGTAGGGAGAGGCATCTCAGAAACAGAAGCAAAAGCAATGAAAGGGATGTGCTGACTGCAGCTGAGAGGTTCGCATTAGCACTGTGAGTAGAGAAGCCTACCCAACGTAGCCACACTCTTGACAGGTATGCTATAGCCAAGCATTTAGAACCTTTATTAGATTTTAATCATGATGCTTTTATTGGATATGCTATCACCATTAAAATTATTTTGTGTTGGAAAAATGAACTACAAATGGGATCAGAGACTTGCAAAAGTAAGACAGTGGCCCAACCATGAGCTCAGTCTGCAGTCAAGTGACACAGGTGAATGCCTAATGTGGCCTTGGAACCATCCTCCAGGACTCTCAGGCATGTAGAGTGGGATAAAGAGCAGCGGGCCAAAACAAATGCACACAGACACATGCTTTCTGTACTTGAATAACAAGTCACACAGGCCAAAAGAGGACCCTACCCTCAGCAATCACCACACCAGACCCACACCTAGTTTGTGCCTGTAAAAAAAGAAAGAGTTTTTATTTATCCCAGCTTCAGGGATAGAAGGATGTGTTGCTATTTTCATTAGATATATAAAATTGACAATAACACTCCAGTGTTAAAGAAAACACCTAGTTATTGTGTGCTCAAAATTTATACAAGTCAGTTGATGCTTCTGTAATCTTACTTTATTGAATTTAAAATAAGGCTAAAACAACATTAGTCCTAGAGCTGAATTAGATATAAGAACATTTATCTTCTGTTCTCAAGGTTTAAAAAGTTGCAAAGACCCAGATTCTTCACATTTCACTTTTATAGATATTTGTTGACAATAGTCTTATAGAAAATTCTGAAAAAATGTCATTATCCCATCATTCTAACCTAATGATTATTTCAATACTTTTTTTAAGTCTATGAATGCATGAATGTGACAATCAATTCTAGCCATTAAGGTAAATAAGTAAATAATTTTCTAAAAATGCAAATATTTTATAAGTATAGTTTAAATTTTGATAATTCAGCTTTCCTTAGATCATCATACCTTTTTATTCTAAGAGGCACCATGTGACCATTACTAGAACACGGACAGCAAAACTGGATTATAAACTGATACTAATTTTGTACAAAAGGATTATGAAAATCTTCAAAAAGATCATTGTATTATGATAATTTCCCCAAATGTTGCAGATTTGAGAGCTTTCTCCCTCCTCAATAGTAGAGAGAAATAGGAAGTAGGAAAAATAGGAAGTAGGCTCTGCCCCGCATCATGTCCTGACTTCAAACTGCACAGACAAATAGCGTTATTGAGTGTGAACCTGAGCTCCTCTTGCACACACCTGACATGCCCCAGGACCCCTCATAGGCCCATGGCACCATCCTCTCCCTGGCCAGCCAGACAGCCTCCCTCTACCAGGTCTCCCGTGTATGCAATCCTAATGCCCTTTTTGTTTTGTTCCCCGCCCCCCTCCATCTTTCTTGAAGTGTGATTGACAAACAATTTTACATATTTAAGATGTGCAACGTGATGATTTGGTACACTGCAATCACAGTAATTAATATATCCATCTCCTCATGCAGTCACTCTTTGTGTGCATGTGAGGACACTTAAGATCTACACTCTTCCCAAATTTCAAGTATCTGATTCAGTATGATTAACTATAGTCATCATGCTGTACATTAGATCCCAGCATGTATTCATCTAGTAACTGAAGGTTTGTACCCTTTGACCAATATCTTTGATTTCCCCTGTGCTTCCCAATCCCTGGTAACTACTATTCTATTCTCTGTTTCTGTGAGGTCTACATTTTTAGATGCCACAGATAAGTGAGATCATGCAGATTTTTCTTTCTCTGTCTGGCTTATTTTACTAAGAGTAATATCCTCCAGGTTCATCCATGTTGTCACAAATGACAGGATTCCTTTTTTTTTTTTTTGAGACTGAGTCTTGCTCTGTCACTCAGGCTGGAGTGCAGGGGCTCCATCTTGGCTCACTGCAACTTCCATCTCCCGAGTTCAAGTGATTCTCCTGCCTCAGCCTCCCAAGTAGCTGAGATTACAGGCATGCACCACCACACCTGGCTAATTTTTGTATTTTTAGTGGAGATGAGGTTTGGCCAGGCTTGGACTTCAGGTGATCCGCCCACCTCAGCCACCTGAAGTGCTGGGATTACAGGTGTGAGCCACCGCATCCAGCCAGGATTCCTTCTTAAGGCTAAATAATATTCGTGTGTGTGTGTGTGTGTGTGTGTGTGTGTGCGCGCGCATACGCATCACATTTTCTTTACCCATTTACCCACAATAGGCACTAGGTTGACTCCATATCTTGGTTATTGGGAATAATGCTGCAATGAATATGAGTGCAGACAGCTCTTTGAAATGCTGATTCATTTACTTTGGTGCTTATTTTACTGAGCATAATGTCCTTCAGGTTCATCCATGTTGTCACAAATGACAGGATTACAGGCTTGCGCCACCATGCCCAGCTAGTTACAGGCTTGCACCACCACAGCCAGATAATTTTTTGTATTTTTAGTAGAGATGGGATTTCAGTATGTTGGCTAGGCTGATCTCGGACAGCTGACCTCAGGTGATCCACCCGTCTCAGCCTCCCAAAGTGCTGGGATTACAGGCATGAGCCATTGTGCCCGGCCAGGATTCCTTCTTAAGGCTAAATAATATTCCTGTGTGTGTGTGTGTGTGTGTGTGTGTGTGTGCACCCGCACAGTGTGAGGCAGTGTGAGGAGTGGGAAGAGGAGGATGTGCTAATGTGATTCCAGATCACATCAATCCCAGGAGCCAGGAGATGGAGCAGGCCAAGGGAGGCGAGGTGGGAGGTGGAGAGAGGATGTGGAAACCATGGAGGACCTTCCCATCTACAGTGTACAGGGATTCCGCTTCTCCACATCCTCGCCAACCCTTGCTAGAAGTTGACTGTTTGAGAACAGCCATTCTAACAGGTGGGCCTACATCCCATTCTGCATTGGCCTCTAGCCCTTCCATCCAGTCCCCTCGGAATCACTCCCTTTCTCCAGTTCTTTTCACTATACTTTTCTGGCTTCTTGCCTCAGCTAGAACACACCTGAGAAATGAACAGCTTGAAGAGCTCCCATTCAATTAAAAGGCCCTTCCTGTAACCTTATACTCCATGCTCACTCTTGCCTGAACTCTCACTGCCTGTCTCACTCAAGAACTCCTGACTGGGCACAGTTGCTCATTCCTGTAATTCCCTCATTTTGGGAGGCCGAGGCGGGAGGATTGCTTGAGCCCAGGAGGTTGAGGTTGCAGTTAGCTGTGATCCACTATGGCACTCCAACCTAGGCAACAAGACCCTGTCTCAAGAAAAAATAAAGAGCTCCTGGTCTTCATTTTCTCACTCCCCATTTCCTCTTTAACACAGAGCCACCTGGCTTCTGCCCTGCATGTTACCAAACCCCTTTAGCTGAAGCTGATGACTTTGGCCAGTGACTCCTGTGCAACAGACCCTGAGCCCCCCTTTCAGTGCTTAGTGACAGCGCTCTCAGATGATACAGTTGACAGGGTCCTCCATGGTTTCCACATCCCCTCTTTCCCCCTCCCACTCCTCCTCCCTCGGCCTGCTCCATCTCCTGGCTCCTGGGATTGATGTGATCAGGAATCACATTAGCACATCCTCCTCTTCCCACTCCTCACACTACCTTAGCAGTCACCTCAAGCCAAGACTGTAGATCAAAATATTTACCTCCTTCCCAGGCCTGTCCTCTGAGTTCTAGATGCCTGGGGACCAGAACCTGGATGTCACATGAGAATTTTACATTAAATATGATCAGCCCTTAACTAATCACTGATTTCCCATTCCACAAACACCTGCTCTTCCCGACCTGCCTTCGCAAAGAATCACATGCTGGGTCCCCTGACTGGACCCTCCTGGTCATCTCAGCACCTGCCTCCTCTTCCCCATCCAGCAACCAATCCACACCCTCCTCCTGGACATCTCTCAAGTCTGTGCTCTGCTCAACACATACTCTGCTTTGGGCTCAGTTCAGCTCTCTCACTGGCTCTCACCTGGCTTGTTTAGAACCCTCAATGACTGTCCCTGCCTGCAGACCTACCCTCTCAGCTCACCTCTCATGTGGCCATCCATGCATCTGGTCCCATCTTTGCTAATATCCTTCTGTGGATTCTCACTGCTTCCAGGTAAAGCAGGGCTTCCGGGACATGACACCCAAGGACCTCCCGACCTGCTCCCTTGTCTCCTACCCTATGTGCTCCCCAAAAATCTTCAGTGTCCCCAACATACCCTGCATCACACTATGCAGACACACATCACACAGACATGCCCCACCCCTCCCCACGGCACTCTCTGCCTGAAACATCCTCCCTCTGCCTCCTTCCCCAGGGCCACTGCCTATGGTCTTGCAGGTCATGCACCCCACCTCTGGGTGGACCATGGGCATGTAGTATGATGTAGTATGATGTTGTGGTACCCCTTGCATGTGCATGACCTCAAGAACTCTGTGACAGCCCACACTCCCCTTGGTGCCCAAACTCCTGGTCATCCTTCAAGAATAATACTTCTCAAGGGTGGTCTGAGGACCCCAGCAAGAGAACTATTTAAGGTGCCTTCTAAAAACAGTGCTTCCTGCCAGGCACATTGGCTCACACCTGTAATCTCAGCACTTTGGGAGGCCAAGATGGGAGGGTTGCTTGAGCCCAGGAGTTCAAGACCAGCCTGGGCAACATAGTGAGACCCAGTCTCTCCAAAAAAAAAAAAAAAAAAAAAAAAGAAACAAAACAAACCCGTGTTTCTGGACCCACAGAATCAGAATAGTTGATGAATGAATGAAAAGGCAGGAAGAAAACAGCAATGGTGTTGTTTGTGATTATGGGTGCTGAAAATCTCCATGTCCTCATGTAATCATTACAAGAAGTCAATGAAAGTCCTTTAACAAATGCAGAGACTGAGGCTCAGAAAGGTTAATTAACTTTCTTCAAGGTCAAACAGGTAGCAAATAGAAAATGTAGCATTTGATTCTAGGCCATTAAAACTTTAAAGTCCAGCTACCTGCCTACACCCTGCTGTGATGGTTAATTTTAGGTGTCAACTTGACTGGATAAGGAATACCTAGAGGCCTGGTGAAGCACCACTTCTGGGTGTGGCTATGAGGGGGTTTCCAGAGGAGATTGGTGTCTGAGTTTGGTTTGATCTACTCCACCTTAGGAGTAGATCCATTATGTTTATGGCATTATGCTGCTTGGACCTAATGAGCGTGAAGTAGCAACTACTATGGACTTGTTGGTAAGTAATTTGCATGTCAGAGGGTGGAAAATAAATCCAATCAAAATTTAAGGGCCTTCTACCTCTGAAATTTCTAGGAATCCAGTGATATGGAGCCTGTTGATGTATCCCTTGTAAGGTGAAGGTTAAGTTGTTGCACCTGGCCCCTTCCACAGCCAAGAAAAAGGCACACCGCCTAGTGGGCCTACTTGGATTTTGGAGTCAACATATTCCTCATTTGGGTGTGTTACTCAGGCTCATCCACCAAGTGACTAAAAAAGCTGCTAGTTTTGAATAGAACCTAGAACAGGAGAAGGCTCTGCAACAGGTCCAGGCTGCTGTGAAAGCTGCTCTGACACTTGGGGCCATACGATCCAGCAGATCCAATGGTGCTTGAGGAGTCAGTGGCAGATAGGGAGGGTACAGAAGAATCACAGCAGAGGCCCTTAGGATTTTGGAGCAAGGCCCTGCCATCATCTGCAGATAAGTACTCTCCTTTTGACAGATAGCTCTTAGCCTTAGTAGAAACTGAATGCTTGACCATGGGCCACCAAGTTACCACGCAACCTGATCTGGCTATCATGAACTGGGTATTATCTGATCTACCAACCCATAAAGTTGGGTGTGCACAGCAGTGTTCCATCATTAAATAGAAGTAGTATACACATGATCAGGCCCAAGCAGGCCCTGCAGACACAAGTAAGTTACATGAAGTGGCCCAAATGTCCATGGTTTCTCTCTCCCCACCTGCACCCATGGCCTCATGGGAAGTACCCTATGATCAACTGAAGAGGAAGAGGAGACCAGGTCCTGATTCACAGATGGTTCTGCACAATATGCAGGCAACATCTGAAAGTGGGCAGCTGCAGCACTTTGGCCCCTTTCTGGGATATCCCTGAAGGACACTGGTGAAGGGAAATCTTCTCAGTGGGCAGAACTTCAGGCAGTGCACCTGGCCATGCACTTTGCATAGAAGGAGAATGGTCAGACGTGTGATTATATACTGATCCATGGGCTGTATCCCATGGTTTGGCTAGACAGTCAGAGATTTGGAAGGCACATGATTGGAAAATTGGTGACCAAGAAATCCTGGAAGAGGTATGTGGATAGACCTCTCGTGTGGACAAAGGATGTGAAGATATTTTTGTCCCATGTAAATGCTCACCAAAATGATCTCAGCAGAGGAAGGCTTCAATAATCAGGTGGATAGGATGACTTGTTCTGTGGGTATTAGTCAGCCTCTTTCCCCAGACACCCCTGACATGGTCCAATGCACTCATGAGCAATGTGGCCATGGTGGCAGGGATGGAGGTTATGCATGGGCTCAGCAACATGGACTTCCACTCACCGAGGTCAACCTGATTACAGTCACCCACTGAACACCCAATCTACCAGCATCAGAGACCAACAATGAGCCCCAGTATGGCACTATTTTCTGGGTGATCAGCCAGCTACCTGGGGACAACTTGACTACATTGGGCCTCTTCCATCATAGAAAGGGTAGCATTTTGTCTTTACTGGAATAGACACTTACTGAGTACTACAATACTGACACTTACTGGAATAGACATAAGTATATGGATTTGCCTTTCCTGCATGCAATGCTTCTGCCAAAACTACCATCTGTGGACTTATAGATGCCTTATCCATCATCATGATATTCCATACAGCATTGACTCTGACCAGGGAACTCACTTCGTAGCCAAAGACATGTGGCCATGGGCTCATGCTCATTGAAATCACTGGTCTTACCATCTTCTCCATTATCCTGAATCAGCTGGCTTTATAGAACAATGGAATGGCCTTTTGACATTGCAGTTACAGCACCAGCTAAGTGACAGCATTTTGCAGGGCTGAGGCAAGATTCTCCAGAAGGCTGTATATGCTCTGAATCAGTGTCTAGTATATGGTCCTGTTTCTCCCATAACCAGGATTCATGGGCTCAGGAATCAAGGGGTGAAAATGGGAGTGACACCACTCATCATTATCCCTGCTGATCCACTAGTAAAATTTTTGCTTCCCGTTTGCACAACTTTATGCTCTGCTGGCCTAAAGTTCTCAGTTTCAGAGGGAGGAATGCTTCCACCAGGAGACGCAACAACGATTCCATTGAACTGGGAGTTAAGACTGCCACCTGGCCACTTCGAGCTCCTCATGCCCTGAGTTGACAGGCTAAGAAGGCAGTTATGGTATAGGCTGGGATGATTAACCAGACTTCCAAAAGGAAATCGGGCTACTACTCCACAATGCAGGTAAGGAAAAGTATGTCTGGAATACAGGAGATCCCTTGGGGCATCTTTCAGCATTAGCATACCCTGTGATTAAGGTCAATGGGAAATTGCAACCCAATTCAGGCAGGACTGACTGCAAATGGCCCAGACCCTTCAGGAATGAAAGCGTGGGTTACCCCACAAGGTGCCATGACCAGCTGAGGTGCTTGCTGGAGGCAAAGGAAATACAGAATAGGTAGTGGAAGGAGGTAGTTACAAATACCAGCTATGACCACATAACCAGTTACAGAAATGAGGACCGTAATTGTCATGAGTGTTTCCTCCCATTTGTTAAAAATACATTTGTATGTATATATACATATATTAAGCAAATATCTTTGTTTTCATTCCTCTCTCTTATGTAACATAAGATACTGACTTTATATCCGTATTGACGTATTGTTAATTTTACATCATAGTATTTAAATTACGGGATCTCATGGGAAGAGTAAACATCAGTCAAGGACTTGACCTCCTTTCTGGGGCAGGGGTTAATGCATTTTTGGTTGAATGCAGGATAGCTGCATCACGCTGGGTGAACTATTACCTTGTTATTGTCTTTAATTGGAGACCAAGTATGGTTTAAGGAGATGGGTATGGGTGCCAAGTTGACAAGGGGTGGGTTTGTGATGGTTAATTTTAGGTGTTGACTTGACAGGATTAAGGCATAGCTAGAGAACTGGTAAAACATCATCTCTGGGTGTATTTGTTTCCACAGGAGTCTGATGTGTCAGTCAGACTGAGTGGGGGAGATCTGTCCTCAGTGTGGGTGGGCACCATCCATTTGGCTGGGGGCCCAGATAGAACACAAAAAGGCAGGGGAAAGGCAAACTCATATCTCTCTTCTTGGAGATGGGACACCCTCCTCCTCTTGCCCTTGGACATCAGAACTCCAGGCTCTCTGGCTTTTGGACTCCAGGACTTAGACTGATGTTCCCTCTGGGTTCTTGGGCCTTCAGCCTTGGACTGAGAATTATACCATGGGCTTTTTTGGTTCTGAAGCCTTCAGATTTGGACTGAGCCATGCTACTGGAATCCCAGCTTGCAGACAACCTGTTGTGGGACTTCTCAGCCTCATAGATATATTTATGATTTCTCATATATATTATTTCTTTTCATCTTGTAAATTGTAATCCATAATATAGTTTACCCAACAACTAGAAACTGTGATACACACACATATCTTATTGGTTGTGTGTTTCTGGAGAACCCTGACAAATACAGTTGGGTTATGGTGATTTGGAGGCCATCAACTAAGCCTGGCCCGTAGCTGCACAGTTTCTAGTTCTTGGGCAAACTATACTGTGGATTAAAGTTTACAATGTGAAAAGAAATCAATTTCTCTTCTACTTACTTCTTCAGAATTTTAGAAATGGTGATGATGCGTAATACATTTCTGGTTTCATTTATAGGACTTGAACCTCAAACATGATTGGAATAAGGGCTGGTGGTGGGTGGAAGGCACAAATTTTAATTGGGAAGACAGAAAGATGGTTTTTTGCTAAGACTGAAATTCTTGACAACACTGAGCAGAGTTACAGGATGGCCTAGATGGAGCCAGGGGTGGCTGGGAGAGCCAGTGAACAGATGAACTGACCCAGCCTGGAGTTGCTTTGGAATCTCAAAGTCTGGATTCAAATCCCAGTTCTTCTAGTTTGAGCAAAGAACTTAACCTCCCTGAAATTCAATTTTCTCATTTGGAAAATAGGGACATTACAGGATTTCCCTGAAATTTAATTTTCTCATTTGTAAAATAGGGACATTCTAGGATTTTATGAAGGGGATGATGATGAAGTAAACCCATACAGGCAAGACAATTTCCGTAGTGCCTAGGCCCTATTGTTTGGACTTGTTTCCTTTCAGACCCTTATCAAGCCCAGGTGCCATATGAGACTGGTAAACCTTCTCTGACTTCTCAGGTCTAGAAAGCTGCTTTAAAACATGGATTTTTTTTGTCAAGGGCAGTGGCTCACAGCTGTAATCCCAGCACTTCGGGAGGCCAAGATGGGTGGATCACTTGAGCCCAGGAGTTCAAGACCAGCCTGGGCAACGTGGCAAAACCCTGTCTCTGCAAAAAATACAAAAGTTAGTTGGGTGTGGTGACATGCACCTGTAGTCTCAGCTACCCCGGGAGGCTGAGGTAGAAGAATCACCTGAGTCTGGCAAGTGGAGGCTGCAGTGAGACGAGATCGGGCCACTGCACTCTAGCCTGGGTGATAAGAGTAAGACCCTGTCTCAAAAAACAATCAAACAAACAAAAAAACCCATGGATTTTTGATGCAGTTTGCATTTTAGTTTATTTCATTTCTACTGCTTCCTCTCTCTCCAAATCAAATGCCTTATCTCTTTAGGACTGGTAGATGGGGTTTTCTTAGTAGGTACAAAACTGACTCTTAAGCAAAGAATACACTTCATTTAGAACATCAGCAACTCCCTAGTGGTCTCGTGGTTAGACAAAATAAGTAAATATATAAATATAACAGCAATGACAATGCAACAGAAAACCTCGGTTATCCTGGCAAAAACTCTTCCAGACACTGGAAATGAACACTTTTTTTAGTGATTAGTTTCATTTACTAAAGAGGGTTCACTCTTCAGGGAGACAGCAGAACTAAAGGGAGAAGCAATATGAAAACACTTCAAGGCCATAAACTTACATAAAGGTAAATCTTATCATCAATAATAAGTATGGAATATAACACGTTTGATAAGTGCGAGTGGAGCAAGTAGACAAATCTTCCTCTCCTGCCCTTCTCTGCTCTGGTAGGTTCCAGGGCAGAGCTAAGCTCAGCTCATTTTCTGCTCATCCTTGCTGATTTAATTCAATGAGTCGACCTGCAAACACGGCTAGGGTTCCGATGATGCAAACAAGCATGAAGACTCCGAGGAGTATGTGGTCCATCACCATTGCAACGTACTTCCACTCTGCCGCCGCCTGGGAGAGAGGAAAATGTTAGACAGAGTCTCCCTAAGGTGGTTTCTGGACTCACAACGTTTGTGCTTTGCATCAACTATGGGCCCTTCAATTTGTAGATCTCAAAGTCCTCCCATCCCTTGGCTGGCATCGTCTTTATTTTTTGAATAGATTATTTACAAAGTGATAACTTACTAAGGTGGTCTAGAGGCGGTCACCAGGGTTCATCTTAGGTCAGTAGCTGCCTGTTGTATGCCACCTACTTGTTAAGTCAGACTCACCACCTGTGCTCATACATTTGACCATTTAAACCCAGAGGCATGAATTTCAAGCCACGAAGCTTACATTGTTAGACTCCTGGTCTGACTTCATGGTCTCTGCGATGTACTTGATGCCCTCGATGGCACTTTTCACCTCGGGGTGTTTGATCAGGGGAGAGTGGAAGCCCATGGGTGGAGGCCCTGGCTTTCCAGAAATGTCAGAGATATCAATGTCTTCTGTAAAAATCTTTTTGTCTTGCTTTTCTCTGGATGGTCTTTTCATTGTGGAGAAAAACATGATATTTGGGATAGTGTCGATAAAAACCTAACATAAAAAAGAAATCCATGCATGAGAATTATTGTCCAGGAGGCAAGCATAAAACTCTGTCTTTGAATTATCAATGTGATTTGGGGTAAGTCATTCAGTTTTTCTGGGCTTCAGCCTCCTTGTCCTTAAAACAAAAGAACTATACTAGATTTTTTCAAAGATCCCTCTGTATCCCGGGTCCTGTGAAATGACTATGGTTAACAGTGATGATTCTGTAATGTGAGAAGTTCGCCACTGGAGGGAGCCCATGTGCAGTCATCGACCTGGGGCCACCAATGAGCTTAAAAGCGTCAGGATCCCCTACAGGTATGGAAAATGCCTTAGCAATGTGTCACCAGGATCAAATGGTTAAAGAAGGGGCCCCTCCACTTCAAATATATCCCACAAAACAGCTAGATTGTTTTCTTCTGTTTCCTGTTCCTGAAGAAACTGCAGTACAGGTATTGCCAGCAGTCATCTATCAGCCTTTACAGAAACAGGGACTCTTACTCTCCTCTTAAAAGAGTACATTGTGAGCAGTAGCTTCTTTTGTCAATTCCTGACAAATATTTTACATTCTGGACAAAAGATCCTGGACTTCAGTGTCTCTGTAAAGTTTTGTCAAAGAAAGACATATTTGAAATGTTAAATTTTTAAATTCAATAACGTAACTATTTCAGACCTAGTCCTTCACTAAAACTCACTTTTTGACCCTCTCTCATCAGGAACCCTCCCATCTCTAGCCCTCATTCTATTCATTCTATTCTCAACAGATGATTTCACCAGCAAAAAATAAGCCAGTCTGTTCACAGATTGGAAAACATACAAAAGAAATCGCGAGAATTTCACGGCATTTCAATAAAAAGCAGCCGTTTGTTCATCTTCTCTGATCAAAGAGATTCTTTAAACTTGAATTTGGAATGAGCTTTGTTAATTCTGTTTTTCTTTTCTCTCTGGGAAGGCTACAGGAGTTATTTATTCCTAAAAAGAGGCCAAAGAAAGTTCCTTCCAAAAATTCCCTAAAGCCCAAAGAGAACTTAGTTCCTAAATAGCCCCAAGTATTAGCTAGAAACCCACTGGCTCCTCGAAGGGGAGGCCTGTAGATGTGCCTCCGTGTGAAGTCTGCAGGGGCCTCCCCACTCACCTTCCGCACCCAGTTGGGCATGACATGGGTGCTGGGTGAGCGGTGGTGTGTGTTGATGACGATGACAGTGATGATGATGGAGGCAATGACGAACACCATGGTGAACAGCATGTATTTTCCAATCAAGGGCACAGCACTGGACGTGGAGGGGATCAGCTCCACGATGACCAGAAGGAACACAGTCAAAGACAGTAAGACAGAGATGCTCAGAGTCATCTTCTCCCCTGAAAAGACCAAAAAAAAAAAAAAAAATCCCACAACTACCCATCTGGGTTGGGCTGCAGTGTTCCTCCCACCCCACCATTTATATGTGGAAGTCCTGAGTCCTGGGACCTAAGAATGTGACTGTATTTGAAGACAGGGACTTTAAGGAGGTAATTAAATGAAAACGAGGTGATATGGGGTAGTGAGTAATCAAGTATGACTAGTGTCCTTATAAGGAGAGGAATTAGGACACAGATGCATAGACGGAAGGCCATGGGACACAGGAAGAAGATGGCCATTACAAACCGAGAGAGGCCTCACAAGAAACCAACTCTACTGGCACCTTGATCTTGGAATTCCAGTCTCCAGAACTGTGAGAAATTACATTTCTGTTATCTAAGCCTCACAGCCTATGGTGTTTTGTGTGGCAGCCCAAGCAAACTAATTCACCACTGAAACCCAAGGGTAAGAGGAATGTGACTGACATGTTCTCAAAGCATTATTCTGGGAAATCTCAAAGCATTTTTTTCTGCAGAATTTCCTATGTAACCACCATACCTTAACTTTTCTGACAGCAGCCAGTGGCAAGCATTTCCATTAGAGGCTGCCAAGCAGAAAACGGAACAATATTTCATCTCATGCTCCAGATTTCTGATTCTTGGTGGAACCCAGGGAACTGAAAGGAGTTCTGGGTGGACAAGCTGGACTCGGTGTGGCATTTCCCTTCTGCAGCAGGATGCATTAAACCTCATAAAACGGAACCACCCCTGGCCTATTTCTTACCCAGCAGATGAATGGGCAGCCCAGAAGTACACATATCTTTCTGTTATTGAGGGAGCAAGCTGTAAGACCAAAACCCAAGAAAAGGACAAAATCCGGAAGGCTAAGGAGTTCTCCTTGACGTCCTGAGTGATCTTCTGATACAGTGGTTTCACACCACTCGCTGTCTCATTTTCATATAAGAGGAAGTTTGTCTTCTCACTTATTTCTTGTTTTGTTTTTTTTGCATACTAAGGGAGCAGGGATTTCCCCAGCCCCCACCTCTTTTCTGCAGGCCCTTTGATCTCAGGAGAGTTTTGGCTGGGCAAACTTGGCAGCAGGAAGGTCAGGGGCCGAATGGCACTGAGGTAGTTTTGTGAGGCTTGACCACCTTAGGTGCAGCAGAGAAGCTCTGGGAGGGACTTTCCCTGGGCTGGCCTTGCTGTTGGTGCTGCTGGAAACCCTTGTGTTACCCTGCTTTCAATGATGAAGCTGTCCCCTACTGGCTGCTTCCGGATGCTAGAATATATATAGAATATGTATGTATGTATACGATAAAGAGTGGAAACAAACAAGAAATTGTCAATTCTACCTGGTGGGTAGGAAAACCTTTCAAAGTGAAAAAGAATACAATTACAAATACAAAATATTTGTCCACTTATATAAAATTTGTTGATTAATAATAATGATAATAATAATAGCCAACATTTATCAAGCATAATTTTTGTGCTAAGTGCTTTTCTTTTTTCTTTCTTTCTTTTCTTTCTTTTTTTCTTCTTTTTTTTTTTGTGAGGGAGTCTCACTCTGTTGCCCAGGCTGGAGTTCAGTGGTGCCATCTCAGCTCACTGCAACCTCCGCCTCCAGGGTTCAAGCGATTCTCCTGCCTCAGCCTCCCAAGTAATTGGGATTACAGGCACGTGCCACCACACCTGGCTAATTTTTTGTATTTTTAATAGAGATGGGGTTTCACCATGTTGGCCAGGCTGGTCTCAAACTCCTGACCTCAAGTGATCCATCCGCCTTGGCCTCCGAAAGTGCTGGGATTACAGGTGTGAGCCACTGCATCTGGCCCCTAAGCACTTTTCAAGCACAAATCATTTAACGTTTATAGAGACTCTTGTTAGTTCCCATAATGCCCCGACAGTGTTTTTATTTTAAAAAGTTTCATTTGAGGGCCTGGTGCGGTGGATCATGCCTGTAATCCTAACACCCCGGGAGGCCAAGGCAGGGGGATCACTTGAGGCCAGGAGTCTGAGACTAGCCTGGGCAACATAGCAAGACTCCATCTCTATTTATTTATTTTTTTAATGTAAAAAAGTTTCATTTGATTAGAAAGTTGAAAGAATTGTGTTTGTGATTATTTGTTTAAAAACAAGTGCAGGGCAGGCACAGTGGCTCACACCTGTAATCCCAGCACTTTGGGAGGCCGAGGTAGGCAGATCTTTGAGCCCAGGAGTTCGAGACTGGCCTCGGCAACATGGTGCAACCCCGTTTCTACAAAAAATACAAAAATTAGCCGAGTGTGGTGGCACATGCCTGTAGTCCCAGCTACTCAGGAGGCTGAGGTGAAAGGGTCACTTGAGCTCAGGAGGTTGAGGCTGCAGTGAGCCGTGATCATGCCACTGTACTGCAGCCTGGGCAACAGAGTGAGACCCGGTCTCAAAACAAAAACAAAAATGAAACCCCAAATGCAGTCACTGGAACATGCACTCTGAGGGGTGAGGCACTTTCTGTCTTATTCTCTGCGGTCTATCTACCACATCATATTTGTTCAACAAATATTCACTGAATGAGTAAATGAATAATCTTTTTTCCTAGTTGGCAAGTTGGATTTAAGATTTTGTGGTTTTTTTTTTTTTAAAGTCATTTTGATAAAAATTGCTACCTGTCATAAGCTTGAGGTCTGTCTGTAGCATCTTTCTTTTTTTCAAACTTGTCTGCCATAAGTTGTTTATGAATAGTGACTTGCTGGCAGGCAGATGGGTACCCTTTCCTCCTTTCTGGTGGATTGTTATTGTTTGATAAAATTATGTCACAGATAGGATTACTCAGTAGGAGGTAAGTAAGTTGTCTAGGCTGATATGTGAGAAAGAACAGCCACTTGGGAAGTAGGGTCTTGTGTGTGAAGATGCCACCATCTGGAAAAAAAGATATGCAAAATCTATTTTCAAGTGGTGAGCAGTGGGTAAAGGGGCAAGACCAGGATTAGTCAGTACATAGAAAGTGACTTCATCGTGGAAGTGGCATGAGAAGTGTCTGGGATCACATGCCTTACCCAGTACACTTCTGGGCACACAGTTGGTATTCAGCAAATAGGTATTGGTGGTTAATGTACTTTAACCAGCCTAAGCTACACTGTGCATCTCTAGGGTCATGTTCAACTCCCTGCCGCTCGGGGTGTCTGCCCCAGCTGTGAGCTCCACTCACAGTGACTCTCACCACTGCGCACGCCCACTCAGCAAATGCACCCTCCTAATGATGATGGTTCGGGTCGATCTGCCTGTTTGTTAGCACATGATTATTTCTGGCTTCCCCAAAATAGCAGCACGAGACCCATCAGCGTCAGCAGCAGCAGTCATGGCAACCACACCCACCTGAGTCTGTGGGCAGGTAGAATACCAGGCCAGTTAAGAAGGAGAAGAGCAGGCAGGGGATGATGACGTTGACGATGAAGTAGAGGGGCAGGCGCTGCATGACGAAGTGGTAGGTGATGTCCAGGTAGGGGGTGTCGGGGCAGCAGGAATAGGTCACGGAGTGCTTCCAGCCCCGGGACTCCTTGATCACCCACTCCCCGCTCTCCATGAAGTTGCTCAGGTCTGGCTGGTCGCTTTCCTGAGAAAGGAAGTGAGGTTTGGAAATCCCAGGCAGGTCACCCTGATGAGGGGCAGCGTTTTGTAATCAGCAGTGACAAGGCCACAGATTCCAGCTCTGTGGGTCACACACCCAGGAGGGACTGTGGGACACTACTGCTTTGGGGTCTTAGATGCCTTTCCTATGACATAAGGGGGTTTGGACTAGTAGCATTCTCCATTTTGGCTACACATTCAAGTCACCTGGGAGCTTTAAAACATATTGATGCCCTACCGCCACCCCAGGCCCATTACATCAGAATTCTTGAGACTGAGCCTGGGTGTAGCAAATTAATTTAAGCTCCCATTTAGTTCTCCCTTCCCAATCAACTTGAACCATCAAACTAGATGATTCCTAAGTTCTAACTGGTACTGAGAGCCTATGATTGTCCAAGGAAAAGTTGGAGACCCGAATCACAATTTTCCTGAAACCACCCTTATCATATGTGGCCACCACCTACCGGGTTGATGGCCACGACAGAGCCGTCGTAGGTCCAGGTGCCCAGCTTCATGCTGCAGTTCTGTTCATCAAAGGGAAAGTGGGTGACGATGATCTCACAGTAGCTTTTAAAGATGGCTGGAGGTGTCCACGTGATGTGGCCAGTGTACTGCAGGAGCACTTTGGTGAACTTGACAATAGCAAAGTCACCATCTGCACTACAATTGGGATAAAAGAGGAAAATGGCTCCAAGTGACAGATGAGCCTTCCATTCTGCTTGGGGACGTTAACAGGAGACAGCTGTTAATTATTCAGGTGCTAATTATAGAAGCTCTGTTTCGGGCAGCGTCACTTTTTATCTATTGCAATGTTCCCCATATTTGATAATAAGAATCACTGGGGTGCTTGTTAAAAATACAGAGTTCTGCACACCCTCTAAGTAAACCCTGAATCTGAGTATCTGGGAAAGAATGTGGGAACCCACAGTTTTAAAGAAATAACAGGTAACATGGGTCCACTGCATCCCAGATTATTTTTCCAGCCCTCACAAGTATTTGTAATGTTAATCTTCATCTATCACCTCCCTGATGTACTATGTTGGGGAAAAAAAACACAGGAATTTTACATAAAACACCTCCAGCGACTCATTACTGCGACAAGCAGGTTAGGGAAGGGGCCTACTACTCTTTTTTTTTTTTTTTTTTTTTGAGATGGAATCTCGCTTTGTCACCCAGGCTGGAGTGCAATGGTGCAATCTTGGCTCACAGCAACCTCCACCTCCCGGGCTCAAGCAATTCTCCTGCCTCAGCCTCCCAGGTAGCTGAGATTACAGGCACCCACCAAACACCCAGCTAATTTTTGTATTTTTAATAGAAACTAGGTTTCACCATGTTGACCAGGCTGGCCCTGAATTCCTGACCTCAAGTGATCCGCCTGCCTTGGCCTCTCAAAGTGCTAGGATTACAGGAGTGAGCCACCGTGCCTGACTGGCCTACTACTTTTTAAAGAACGATTTAGAACTCATTGGGGTGGACTCACAAACTCAGATATCTCCAGGGCCAGGCAGGTGAGGAATGAGTGCAGGCTGACACTGCTGAACAGAGCGCCCCTCTCTCCTGTCAGGAAGGTGCCACCTTGCAGTGTCCCCTGAGGCGCCCATGTGGGAATGAAGGCCCAATCTTGCCAGATTTGGATTCTTCCTCGGAAGCTGGAAACTTAGATTTTTTTTCTTTTTTTTTTTTGAGATGGAGTCTCCCTCTGTTGCCCAGGCTGGAGTGCAGTGGCGTGATATCGGCTCACTGCAAGCTCTGTCTCCTGGGTTCCCACCATTCTCCTGCCTCAGCTCCCGAGTAGCTGGGACTACAGGCGCCCACCACCACGCCCAGCTAATTTTTTGTATTTTTAGTAGAGACGGGGTTTCACCATGTTAGCCAGGATGGTCTTGATCTCCTGACCTTGTGATCTGCCCGCCTCAGCCTCCCAAAGTGCTGGGATTACAGGCGTGAGCATTGCGCCCAGTGAAACGTAGATTTTTTTAAATCAAAAATTGCCAGACTTTGCCAGGTACAGTGGCTCATGCCTGTAATCCCAGCACTTTGGAAGACTAAGGCAGGAAGATCGCTTGAGTCCATGAGTTTGAGACCAGCCTGGCCAACAGCGAGACCTCATCTCTACTAAATTTTCTTTAAAAATTAGCGAGGCATGGTGGTACACACCAGTAGTACCAGCTACCTGGGAGGTTGAGGCAGAGGATTGCTCAAGCCCCAGAGTTCAAGGTTGCAATGAGCTATGATCACACCACAACACTCCAGCCTGAGCAATGGAGCAGAGACCTTGTCTCAAAAAAAAAAAAAAAAATCTGGAAGTTTAAATGTTGGATTTTTCTAGAGAGGCTAAAAAATAGATTTTAATGTGATGTTTCTTGGTTTTCAAATGTTGGCAATGATTTATTATTTTTAAAAAGACAGAAACCATGGGAGGTTCTAAAAAAACAAAATAAGCCATTTCTGCCGGCCTTATTCAGTGGACTACTTACTCTTCCCGTAAACAGCAGTCTGTTCAAGGGATTTAGCAGAGGGCAGGGTGTTAGAATAAGTGTTGAATGGGCAGGATGAGGTCTGTCTCAGTGGGATTTCAGGGACATCATGGCATATGTTGGTCCCTCATGTCATAAATCAAGAGGTTTTCTTCCCATTGATTTTTCCTTGGGCCTGAAGTGGGCTCTTTACCTGGAAAACTATGTGGCATTGGACCCACCCAAAGCAGCCCCAAAGGGCAGAGAGTCATAGGGTTGTCTTAGTCTCTCCCAATAAGCAACAAAACAGTGTTCTCTCCTCACCAGGGTGATCCTGAGTGAGTTTGGCAAAAGAACCAAAGGATTTTAATTGCTCTTCTCAGATTCCTACTGGAAGAGAAACTGAAAGATACTTCATCAGCCCATTTGTCCAAAAAGATTACACAAATGATCGGATAATTTGGCTCAAGCTTGAACCCCAGGTATAATTGGATGACGTGTGGCAGAAAATCAAAGCTTGAAAAGGCCCGCCTTAAAAGGTATCGTTTTCATCCACTAGCCCTGTCACCTTCCCTAAGTCTGCTAGGACACACAGCTTGTGGACCCCCGACACATGTTGTATAATGTCAGACCATAAATCCTCCCGGCCGGTGTTGCATGCTCCTGCCTGGGAAGGATGCTTTTTGAAACGAGCATTTCCTGACAAATGAAGGGCGTATGCTAATGAACGTGTCATTAGACCAGAACGTCTTGAATAATATTATAATTTCACAACATGCAGTCTGTCGTGGGGCCCAGTGGATGGGCAGTGAAGGCATCCCAGGCCAACAGCAGCAGTGGATGTCGAGAAGGTGTTCAGGATGTGATGAGTGACAACCCTAGGAGGCTCAGAAATATTTGGTAGGGAAGACACTAGATTGCAAGGAATTCAGCGATAGGACGTTTGGGTGCCTTGGAAAGTTGCCACACATGCTTCAGGGGCTCTCAGGGATCAAATGTCCCCCACCCTCAGCCTGGATTCAATTTGGCCGCAGTAATCCCTTCTCTTTAAGTCATGAGACACCATATGGCACCCCTAGCCCGTCAACTTGGCTCTTGGTTTAGAGTGATTTTTTTTTTTAATTTTGTAGAGATGTTGTCTTGCTATGTTGCCCAGGCTGATCTCAAACTCCTGGCCTCAAGCAATCCTCCCACCTTGGCCTCCCAAAGTGCTGAGTTTACAGGTGTGAGCCACCATCCTGGGTGATTTAACATTAGCAGTGGTGAGAAGCATTCCGAGCGCGCAGCCCTTCTATTAGGGCACTTTATTCCACCTGCCCCAGGAGCACCCTCCGCCACCCATGCAGTTTGCTCACTTGTTATAGAGAACAAGGTCTGGGCGCCAGATCTTTTCTGAAGGAATGTGAATTTTTTTCACACCGCCATAGTCATCTGGATTCCATTTTAGGTTGTAATCCACCCATTGCTAGAAACAAAGACATACAGCTAATTAAAAAGCCAAAAACACTTTCTAAAATCTAAGGTTATCAAGAGCCCTGATGTGCATGGGAATTCAGTATTGACAGAAATTGTGCTTCCATAAGAAAAGTTGGATTCAGAATTTAGCTTTCACTTCAGTAAATAAGAACAGCAAATATATAGCACTGACGACGTGCTCACACTGTTTCAAACAACTTACCTATATTAACTCATTTAGTCCTCACAACAATCCCGTGAGGGGAGGGTGATTACTGACCTCATTCTGCAGATGAGAAAACAAAGGAACTCCCAAAGTCACGCAGCTGGGGCGTGGCAGATCTACCATGTCACCCTGTCCACCCACAGAAAAGGAGAAAGACCTAGTGTGAACGTTTTTCTCAAGCAGGCAACATCATTTTTAAAAAGTACCATATATTTTTCTACATTATAAAAGTAAAGTCTGGGCATGGTGGCTCATGCCTGTAATCCCAGCACTTTGGGAGGCTGAGGTGGGTGGATCACCTGAGGTCAGGAGTTCGAGACCAGCCTGGCTAACATAGTGAAACCTCGTCTCTATTAAAAACACAAAAATTAGCCGGGCGTGGTGGTAGGCGCCTGTAGTCCCAGCTACTTGGGAGGCTGAGGCAGGAGAATCGCTTGAACCTGGGAGGCAGAGGTTGCAGTGAGCCGAGATCGCGCCATTGCACTCCAGCCTGGGCGACAGAGTGAGACTCTGTCTCAAAAGAAAAGTAATACAGGTTGAGGATCCCAAATCTGAAATCCAAAATGCTCCGAAATCCAAAATGCTCCAAAATCCAAAACTTTTTGAGCACCAACATGACACTCAGGAAATGTTCACTGGAGAATTTTGAATTTCAGATTTTCAGATTTGGGAAGTTTAACTGGTAAGTATATGCAAATATTTCAAAATAAAAACCAAAATCTGAAACACTTCTGGTCCCAAGCATTTTGGGAAAGGAGTACTCCACCTGTATGTGCCCATTGCAGTAAAGCTGGAAAGCACAATGCTATGGGTTCAATTGTGTCCCCCTAAAATTCATGCTGAAGCGCTAACTCCCAGTATTTCAGAACGTGACCTAATTTGGAGATAGGTTCTTTACAGAGGTAATTATGTTAAAATGAAGTCATTAAAATAGACTGTCATTCAATATGACTGGTGTCTTCATAAAAAGGGGGAATTTAAAGATATATATGTATTTAAATATACATATATATTCATATATATCATATGTATATGTATCACATACACAAGAAGAACGCCATCTGAACATAAAGACAGTCATCTACAAGCTGAAGAGAGAGTCCTAGGACAGATTCTTCCTCACAGCCCTCAGAAGGAACCAACCCTACCAATACCTAGACTTTGGACTTCTATCTTCCAGAGCTATGAGATGATAAATTTCTGTTGTTTAAGCCACACAGTTATGGCAGCCCTAGCAAACTAACACACACAGAAAAAGCCCTAAAGTTTAAAAAAAAGCAAAACCAAAACCAAACAGGATCCATGCTTTCACCATCTCAAAATATCTACTTTCAACATTTTGGTATATATCCCTGTTACCCATATTGATTTCCTCTGGGCCCAGGTTTAATTTCAGTGTGAATGAAAACGACACACATGCAATTATCTGGCTAAGTTACCTGTTTCAGACGCACATTGGTTGTCACGATCTGATTTACTTCATCCTGGAAAAAAAAATAAGGATCATTTTTATGGGGGAGAGAGGGGACCCAGGGGAGGAAACCCAGGGGTGAGAGGTGTGGGTGTGTGGGCAGGCCCCCAGTGCTCTTGTCTCACCACATTGATGAGCTGTATCAGCTGCAGGCCCACGGTGACCTCCACGACCTGGCGGTGGTCTTCCACTGGCCGCACCACGCTGCTGTAGTCTTTAAATAGCTTTGCCACCAGACGGGTCTCATGTTCGGAGCCCAGGACGAGGCCAGCTGAGACAGCAGATGACACCAACACTGTCAGATTCTTCTCCCCACCCTCCAAACACATGAACATGAGGAACTGAGGAACTGAGGCATAAGCCTCAGTTCCTTCTAACAGAAGGCACACAGGCCTCCTTGTTGAAAGGCTCCCAAATGCAGCAGTTATTGCCTTGTGTTTTTCCAATTACAGTTGCTGGTGTGGTCCCTTACCCGGTGACAGTGGGGTGTGCCAGGTAATCACAACGCTTGTACTTTGGACAGGTGACATTCCTTCATACAGCCTGGCTGAATCAAGTTTGCCAGGTACACACACACACACACACACACACACACACGAAAAAAAAGCCCACAAAAAAGCCAATCTCAGTGTTTCAGAGCAGTGTAATGAAATCTTGGACTGGCTGCATCAGATCTCAAGATGCCATGAACAGCCAAAATTGATGCTGGTTCAAACCCACTAGAGTGGCCATAACTAACAAGTGGAAAATAACAAGGGTTGGGGAGGTTGCAGAGAAACTGGAACCTCATATGTTGCTGGTGGGAATGTAAAATGGCAGTTCCTCAACAAGTTAAACACAGGTACCATACGATCCAGCAATTCCACTCCTAGGTCCACACCCAAAAGAAGAGCAGCATTATTTACCATAGCCAAAGGGTGGAAACAACTCAAGTGTCCATCAACAGGTAAATGGATGGACAAATTATGGTATACCCCTACGATGAACTATTATTCAGACATGAAAAAGGAATAAAGGAATGATGTACTGACACATGGTACAACATGGATGGAGCTTGGAAACATTTTACTAAGTGAAAGAAGCCAGACACAATGGGGCAAATATTGTATGATTTCATCTACATGAAGCATCCAGAATAGGTAAATCTATACAGACAGAAAGCAGAGCAGGAGTTACCAGGGACTGGGGGGGAGAGAGGGATCGGGTGGGACTCCTTAATGTGCTTGATGTTTCCCTTTGGGATGATGAAAACGTTCTGGAAATAGATAGTGGTGATGGTCTTATAACATGTGAATGTACTTAATGCCACTGAATTGTATACTTTAAAGTGGTTAAAATGGTAAATTTTATGAAATGGGTATTTTACCACGATTTTTTAAAATATCACTGCTGGCAGGTCCATGTCCCAGTTAAGTTGTTAAAATAGAGTGAAAACTGTGCTTTGTTGACCTGGGTTTGGGGCTCCTAGTTGGAACATAAGCGATTCCAAGGAATCTTTACTACATTTTCCTTCAGTATAGAGAGCAATATCATCTAATACTCTCAGAACCCACGGCCCCCTTTTCTATCTACACCCCTTTTCAATCTTCATCAGCCACAGATGAAGCAGGAGGGCAGACATTCTTACCTGAGATTCAGGGAGGTTGGACCACTTGTCCAAGGTCATGTGACCAGTAAGGGCAAAGCTCAGATTGGAATCCTGTCATTTTGTGCTGAGCTTCTGGGCTAATTCTTGGTACTAACAGTGTGTTGTGAGCTGTCCTGGAAACTCAGAACTGCAAGTGCCACTATTCCTATGAGAAAATGTGTTCCAAATCCCAAGTGTCTTATGAAGGATCTTTGTAATTCAAGCCTTCCGTGGGTTGGGGACTGTGTGTTCAGAGCTGGGAGAGGAAGTAGACACATGATACATTTGCCTTCATTCACGTAACCAGATCTCCCCTTTCCGCAGGTTATTGCTGAGGCTGCAGTGCAGTAGCTCAATTACAGCTCACTGCAGCCTTGACCTCCCAGGCTCAAGCAATCCTCCCACCTTAGCCTCCCCCAACCAAGCAGCTGGGACCACATCTCTATAAAAAATACAAAAATTACCTGGGTGCGCACCACCACACCCAGCTAATTTTTGTATTTTTTGTACAGATGGGGTTTTGCCACATTGTTCAGGCTGGTCTCAAACTCCTGAGCTCAAGCCATCCACCCACCTCATCCTCCCAAAGTGCTGGGATTACAGGCAAGAGCCACCTCACCCGGCTAGTTTCACACGTTTTCTGAACCCAAAATGTTCCAAGGGCACTCAGTGCCCAACCACGCAGAGATTTCACATGACATTTCCCTAAAGCCACCTGCATTTGAGGACTCTTGAAGGGAATATGTTGTTTGAATATTCCGTTTTTGCAACCACCCCATTGAGCCCCTGGGACTTGATAATCCTTCTGTCCTCTATGCATTTTCTATCCTGGGCCTCATCCATCCCATGGTGGAGTTGCAGACTGGAATGGATTACTGAGCACCTTGGCCATTGAATTTGAAGCTGTTGCTTTGGCCTTGCCTTGGGCTGCTTATTTTTAAATGACTGTTCACTCCAGTTTGACAGGAAGAACATATTAGAAAGCAGAGGGCAGAGCAGATGGTCAGCATTATGTAGCAGGAGAACTATGCAGACCAACCCTATGGCCCACTAAGAGGAAGGGGAGGATGACAGAAGCAGACATAATCAGCATTTCAGAGACAGTCACCTCCTCCTTTCCCACCCTAGCCAATAACAAGGTGCCTGTTCCTTCCATAAGGAATTTCTAAGGAAGGAGGGCTTCATTTCTTAGATTGGTTCACTGGTATTCTTTTCTTTTTTCCTCCCCAGCACAGGGTAGAGTGATAGAAAACTCACAGGGCTCAAAGTCAGAACTCTATGATTCTCTTCCCAACTCCCATATGGCCTGGAGAGTTGGATTAGTTCTTCATGGATTCAACGAATCACAGTAAATACTTTTGTAAAAAGGTAGGGTGTAAATAAACAAATATGCAAATAAAAAATTAAATAATGTCAAATTCCCCTTTTTAGCAAGATTATATTTGTAATCTTTATTCAGATGATGGTAACATTAATTTATTCATGAAATATTTGTTGAGCATTTACTGTAAGCAAAGCATTGTTTTGGGAGCTTCGAGATATTCAAAACTGAATCCTTCTTCCTACCCTCATGGAGATTGACATTTGTCATTTACGTAAATAACTGTGAACAAGTTGGAAAGTGATATGCCGTAAGAAAGACGGCAATGAAGTGCTTGAGATTCCAGAGGCAAAGAAAAGAAAAAGTTGAAATGAAAAGTGCTGTATAAATAGAACAGAGATCACGCTGTGTTAAGCTAACACAGGAAAAGAGTCCCTGATATAAATGACAATTTTGTCTACAAAGGACTGATTCTAAGAAGGGAAACTCAACCACAGTTTCAAAGTGTTCCTTTTGTACCACACTGGTTCCATTTGTATTTGTATGTAGGAAATAGCTCCCTGGGCTGGGCAAAAGAAATTTTGAACTGTTACTAGTCCCATGGATCATTATTATCTTAACCTGATTCTGTATCTCTTGCTACCTTTGGCTAGTTCAGGCTGTGTTTTCTGACTGTGCATGTAATAAACCAAGTCTCCAACTGACCACATTCCAAAATGTATAAATTAAGTGACCTTGGGCAGGTCAGCTTTAGTTTCCTTGTAATAAAAAATTGAGGATGTTGGACTGCCTGATCTAGCTCTAAATTTCTATAAAACACCCATGGAAATCAATGCCAGCAAACTCGAGATTTGACCTAAATACATATCACATACTTCTTTAATAGCTAATCATGCATTTTTGGTTAGCAATAACCAAAATCCTAAGAGATCTCTTAAGGATGTTTACATTAAAGCATATCATTTAAGAATTTTCCTGTGACTGTGGTTTTGCGTGCACGCATGTGTGTGCACGCGCGCGCACACACACACACACACACACACACACATCAGGCCAGCTTTGGCTGGACAGAGTCCAAATCCCACATGATATAATTTATCTGAGTTTAGGCTCTTTCACTCAACTCTGATATTGAAAAAAATTAATAATAAAGCTTTTTGCCTCTTGACCAGAAGGCCTGTGTTTTTCAGAGCAATATTGGAAATGAAAAATCACAGGATGTCAGCCACCTTGTTTCTCAGTTGGGATGATATCACCAGTAAACTTTTATGTGAAGCAATCAGCAAACATCTCCTGTTTCCCTCTAGCGGAAGTCTGGGATTCAGGATGGTGTTTCAGCTGCTGTGTTAGGACACATTCCAGAGTAGAATGCAGGTCAAATGCTGTGCAAGGTTTTATAGTTTCAATTCAAACCCAAACCTATATATAGTAACATCTTAAAAAAAAAAAGTAGGTAGGAATGTATTCATATGGAATTTTTTTTAACTTCAGAAATTTTGAAAAAATTAAAAAATATTTGTCTCTGTGGAGAGAGTTTAGTTATGATTATTAACTGGTTTCTATCTCCAGCACATGTAGCTGTCAATCAGTCCTCTTTATTATTAGAATTCTCCTGGAGCAGTAAAGGGACTTGTTAACTCCATTGTATGTGATTATAAGGCACTGTTCTAAGTATCCATAGTTGTTTAAATATGAACCCCCGGACACTACCATGATCCACAAGTGGTCCAGGTCCTACAAATGGTGCCGAGTGTTCAGAGGGATGAGTCGGCTGCCAGGCATGATGGAGGGAGAGACATGCGTGTCTATCTTGAAGTCTTTGACCAGGCAGTTTCTATTTTAATTAGATAAGGCAAACTAAAAATCTTTATCCAAAAACTCAATCAAGCTAACATCAGGAAGAAACTGACAGAGCAGCCCCTGGTTGGGGAGGCTCTGCCATTCTGTGGTCTCATCAAAGAAGCAAGACTTTGATTTGGGGGCCTCCAGCACTTTAGCCTCAAAGGAGAGCCCTCTCCCCACCCCTGACCCCAGCACTTACCTGAGCAAAGGCTAAAGAGCAGGAGGAGAGGCCAGGGCTCCATGGGCTACCGGAGCTTGTGTGGACCAGGGCAGAGTGGTGGCCTGTGCTTCTCACTGGCACTCTGGCTGGGTGCTTGTCTGCTGGAGGGTTTGGAAAGCGAGTCGGCTCACTAGAGCTATTGTTTTACACCACCTGTTTGTGGGAGCGACAGCTGGGCTGCCCTCAGCCCTGGAGCCCAGGGAGTTACTGGGACTGTACACCATTACAGATATGCCTCACTTTACACAATTGCTTACCCTTGACAAGCTGAGTATGAACTGCATTATATTTTAAATGCACCAGTAGTCAGATCTTAATGAAAAAAAAATGTATAGGAAGGAAGGAATTATTTTAAATGGTGAGCAAACTGCCTCTCTTTTGTGTAAACCAGAACCTCATCTCTGTGGGTTGACTTGATTAGGGTCATTTGGTCTGAGTAGATAGTCAGCTGTTTGTCCTAAACCACAAAAATCCACATTCTGCAAACATGGCTTCAGTTTCATTTCCTCTGCTTCAGTGTTAGGCTGAGGGTGCCGGGGGCTTTTCTGACTGCCTGGATTTCAGAAAAGTGTAGCTGGTGTTGAGTCTGCTGCTGGGAAGCCCCCACGTTGATTGGGTTTGGTTTTTAACAAAGACAGCTTCTTCCATAAAACTGGCTTTACTGGCCCCCAGAGTGGCTGTTCCAACCCCTGCCTCTGTATCAGGCAATACCTATCCCACACGAACCATTAGCTGGAGCAAATTGCCCACGTCCTATGCACTGTGATTCAAGCGAAGAGTAATTATTGGGAAAAAGTGTCCCACCGCATCAGCAGTCGTTCCGGGTTCCTGCCTCCTTCCATCCGTCCCTCTGCCTACTCTCACTCAGGGAAGCAAAGAGCAGAGTGGTTCAGCTTTTCAATTATCTTGCTTGAAAAACATCCTAAAAACCAGCAGTTAGTAATTTCTCAGTCTGAGAAGTATTGTTACCCTAGCTGTGCTTCTTTGCAGGGTGTGAGGTGAGTTCCCAGAAGGAGACAGTTACTTAAAGGTACCCTGCCTGTTCCTTCCAGGCCTCCTTCCCACATGGAACTAGGTGAGAAAGGTCCTCTCACCTCAAGCCCACAACAACATCCTGACAGATCCTCTCATTCCAGTGGATCCAAACAAATCATTAGAGAAGGGGCTTGGAGGGTAGAGGAGAGAGCTGCAAGCTCATACTATTTATATTTTTTGTTTAAACTGTGGGAGATCAGTTAACTGTTTGCTAAAAAAAAATTTGGTTCTCTCCCTTCCATGGAATAGCCCCGTGGCAGAAATACAACCCCCACCCTCTGACCAGCCCCTTCCATCTAAATGGAGCCATGGGACTGACCTCTGGCCAGTGGCATGAGTGGAAAAATGTTCTCAGACTCACAAACCTACCAGAGCTCAGCCCCGCCCTTCTAGTCTTCTGACCGGCTAGAATGGACATGGTCCCAAAGTTAACCTTAGAAACCATGTTCTGAAGGTGGTGTTGCTTTTGACATTCTGAATCCTTGAATGACTGCATGGAGGGGGACCCCCTATCCACCTGCTCACCACCCAGCACTATTTCAATGAAAACAAAACATGCATCGTGCTGAGCCATCAAAATCCTTGGGTTTATTTGTACAGCAGCTAGTGTTCCGTAATTAATAAAATATGTAATCCTTTGCACTAGTATCCTGAGGTTAAAAATAAATTCTAAAATATGTAGCACTGCAGCAGAAGGCAAGAAAATTGATACTGGAGGCTGAAAATATGAAGACCCATGTTATATGGTATCAAATCATTTCATAAACTGTTGTCCTCAATTACTTGGTGAACAATGTGTCTACTGAGCCTGTAGCTCCCAGAATAGAGGCTGGTAAACCCAAAGTTAGTGCACCATGGCTCTTTCTGGCTTTGTTTAGCAAGTCAGTACAAGGAAGAGCTGAGCTCAGGCAAAAATGTGCTGGTTCAAGAGCAGAAATGAAAAGAAATAGAATGAGTCCAGAAATGTGGAGTCTTCTGTTTTGAACTTCAAAAGAGTAAGTGAAAACATGGAATAAAGGCTTTGAGCAACCAAAGCCCGTTAAGACTTCTCTTTAAACAGGCAGTTTCATCACCACAGCAAAGATCACTTTAAGGGTGCTTTCTTCACAGCCAAATCTATTTTTTTTTTCAGATGGCTTCAAGATGGCTGCTATTAAGTTGAAGGAGAGAGGTATAGTGGTTAGGATGCAAAGAAATTAATCAGATTAAAGAATTGTGACCATGTGTGTATATAGGCACATGGGAATGATGGAAACAAATATTGCAGAAGCTTACTCAGTATTTGAAGGAATTATATTGCCAAAGAGTTCATTAACCCAGGCTACAAAAGTTTTGGTTGTTCAAGGCTTAAAGCAGTCCTTGAGTTCCCAAACACACACGGCCAGAAAGCAGGCTCCAAGATCTGCACAGTCTTCCAAAAAGGGTGCTTTCTCCATCCCCTCCTTCAATTGTGGCCGTGAGGGAAAGTGGGCAAGGAAGAACCTCCCCGGGGCATAGCCAGGAACCTCAAACAGCAACGGACAAGGGAGTTCCACCCACAGAGCAGAATCGGGTCGAATCGAGGAATCTGTTGAGACCTTCTCTGTGCCTACCCTGGCTTTCTGCTTACTGCCAATGCCTGCAACCCTGTAACCGAGGGATTTTTTTTTCTTTTTTTTTGGCCATGGGAACACATGAAACAAGCCTGAGATGCTAAAGTGTTACTGCCTCCAGAAACAGGCCTCAACCAATGTTGGAGGATAAATATCCCCGCCCCATCTCCCCTTGGACTGGGTAACCCCCAAGCGTGCCCTACACTCTATGTCTGTGGGAGTGAGTTCCTGTTGCCCATGATGGAAATGGCTCAATAACCCTCCCTTTATTGGCTTCCTCTCCTTCTCTGTCTCTTCTCCCCAATCTGCCACCTCTCAAGTCAACTCAATACAGGGTCAGGGGGACCTCAACTCAAGACAGAATTTCTCCCACTGCCTGGCATGGGGTCTTCACAGTGATATCATTGGAGGCTTTCCCCCTTTATTGCCACAGTTTAAACAAACTGTGATCTCCCACAATTTAAACAAAAAAATCTCTTCTAAAGGTGAACAGTTGAAACCATAGACTAAAAAAAATTACTAAAACTACTATTAATATTATCCTCAGGAGTAAACTGTTTTTTTCATTTAAAAGTTTATTATTCAAGTAATTTGAATTTATTTTAGAGAAATTAGAGAACAGATGAATGAAAAGACCTGCTATCCTTCTACCCAGAATATTTATTTTGATGTTTTAGTTTGTGTCTGTTCAGACCCTGTTTCCATGCATTCCATTCATTCATTCACTAAAAATTTTTTCACTGGGTTTTGCTATGTGCCAAGCAGTGTTCTAGGCATTTGGAATACATCAATAAACACAGCAGACAAAGATTCCTGGTTCTCAGGAAAAATGCATTCTAATTGGAGGAGATGGATGATTAAAAAAATATATATTTTTTACAATTTATTTTTATATATATTACATATGTTATATATTACATAAATAAGATATATATCCTTTTAACAATTTATTTTTATATCATATGTTATATAATATATGGTTATATATTATATATATACATATATGTTTGACTGTATATGTTTACATATATGTTTACATGTATTATATGTTTACATATATTATATATAAACATATATTATATATACATATACATATATTATAAATAAAATATATATAAATGTATATATAAATATATTTATATATTTATATATGAAATACATATATTATATATAAACATACATAATATATAAACATTATATATTATATATAATATACAAACATATACAATAAATTATATATGTAAACATATACAATAAATTATATATGTAAACATATACAATAAATTATACATGTAAACATATATAATATATAAATTGTAAAAAGATGTATATTTTTTATTTATATAAAATATATATTTTTATATATTTTTTCTTATATGTTATATAAATAAGATATATATAATTTATATAAGTAAATTGTTATAACTAATAAGTAAATTGTTTAATGTGTCATCAGGTAAAAATTGCTATAGGAAAAAGAAAAAGCAGAGCAGGATAAAAGGGGACCAGGACAGCTGGAAGGGGATTGCAATTTTAAACACAGCAGGTAGGGTGGGTTTCACTGAGGAGGTGGCGTTTGAAGGAGATGCAGACAGATATCTGTGCAGGAGCATTGCAGGCAGAGTGAGCAGCAACGCAGTCCCTGAGGGGAATGGGACTGGTGATCTCGGGCATAGCCAGGAAGCTGGCAGGCTGGAGCAGGGCGAGAGATGGGGAAACTGCTAGGAGATGAGGTCAGGGAGCAGCCCAGGGAAGGGGGACGCAACACGCATCCTCGACTTTCATTCTCTGTGAGATGAGGAGCCTCTGCAGCATTTTGAGCCGAAGGGTGACACCATCTGACATATGCTGTCAAAGGTCGACTCTGGCTGCTTTGGGGACACCAGGCTGTGGGGGTGTAAATTAGGAGCTACTACTGCAGTAATCCCTGAGGTAGATGGTGATGAATTGGACCAGAGTGGTTGCAGTGAAGGTGGTAAGAAGTCGTTAGATTTGGGAAATGTATTTTGACGTGAGGGTTAATGGGATTTCCTGAAGGATTTGATCTAGAATGCAAGAAAAAGGGAGGCATTTAAGATGATTTGCAGGGTTTTGGCTTGAGCATAAGGAAGGATTTAAATGCCAACAAGTGGATTAAGGAAGACCGTGGATGAGCAGGTTTAAAGGGGGGAAAATTCAAGGGTTCTGCCTGGGGTGTGATCAACTGGAGGTGTCCATTAGAAATGTGAGCAGGCAGTTGGATTTTTGAGTCAGTAGTTTGGGAAATCTAGAGTAGATGTTGTTTAAAGCCACAACAGGATAAGGTCAAAGGAATCAGTATGGGCAGAAAAGAGAAGAGAACTAACATTAAGTTGGAGGCTGGGCGTGGTGGCTCACGCCTGTAATCCCAGCACTTTGGGAGGCCAAGGTGGGTGGATCACCTGATGTCAGGAGTTCAAGACCAGCCTGGCCAGCATGGTAAAACCCCATCTCTACAAAAATACAGAAGTTAGCCAGGCATGATGGCGGGTACATATAATCCCAGCTACTTGGGAGGCTGAGGCGGGAGAATCACTTGAACCCGGGAGGTGGAGGTTGCAGTGAGCCAAGATCACACCATTTCACTCCAGCCTGGGCAACAGAGTGAGACACCATCTCAAAAACAAAAAGAAAAAAAAAAAAAACAGTTGGGAAATAACTTGGGAGGCTGAGGCAGGAGGATCACTTGAGGCCAGGAGTTTGAGCCCAACCTGGGCAACATAGTGAGACTCCATCTCTATGAAAAATAAAAAAAAAAATTAGCCAAGAATTGTGGTGTGTGCCATGGTCCCAGCTACTTGAGAGGCTGAGGTGGGAGGATCCCTTGAGCTCAAGAGGTTTAGGCTACGGTGAGCCATGATCATGCCACTGCACTCCAGGCTGAGCAACAGAGTGAGACTCTGTGTCATTAAAAAAAAAAAAAGTTGAGAAGAAGAGGAGGGTGCAGCGAAGAAGACTGAGAAGGAGGACACAGTGAGGCAGGAGGAGATCCACAAGAGGGTAGAGTTCTGGAAGCCTGGTAAAGGCCAGTGCAGGAGGTGGGGTGGGGGTGAGCCCATGAGATGAGGACAGAAATGGCTACGGGGCTTAGCACTATGGAGGCAGGCCACTGGCAACCTCACATGTGTGAAACCTGACTGAAATAGGTTTAAGGGGGCAGAATTGGAGGTTTTACTGAAAAAGGTAACAAAGAAATTAGGTGGGAGCTGGTGGGAGCAGAGTGAAAAGAATTTTGTTGTTGTTGTTTTGTGCCTTTTTCTGAATAGAAAAAAATAACAGCATACAGCATATTTGCATGATAATATTCAACAATAATAGAGATATAATGTTTTGATCCAATCAACAACATTACAAATGTTCCAGAGGGGGCTGGGCCCAGTGGCTCATGCCTATAATCCCAGTGCTTTGGGAGGCCAAGGGAGAAGGATCGCTTAAGGCCAGGAGTTGGAAGTTACAGTGAACTGTGATAGCTTAACCAGTGCATTCCAGCCTGAGCAACAGAGTGAGACTCGGTCTCAGAAAAACAATTTCAAATGGGATTTACTATATATGCTTTTCTTTTCTTTTTCTTTTTTTCTTAATTGAGGCAGGGTCTTGCTCTGTCGCCCAGGCTGGAGTGCAGTGGCATGATCTCAGCTCACTGCACCTCTGCCTCCCAGGCTCAAGCGATTCTCCTGCCTCACCCTCCTGAGTAGCTGGGATTACAAGTGTATGCCGTTATGCCTGGCTAAATTTTTGTATTTTCAGTAGAGACGAGGTTTCACCATGTTGGCCAGACTGGTCTCGAACTCCTAACCTCAGGTGATCCGCCCACCTTGGCCTCCCAAAGTGCCGAGATTACAGGCGCGAGCCACCGCGCCCGGTCCATTTTCATTTTCAATGCCTGAGAATGTTCTCTTTTTTGAATGTATCATAATTCATTTAACCAATTTCTTACCATTGGATGTTTTCATTTTTTATTTTTAATTTTTGCTTTTATAAATAATCATGCAGTGGACATCCTTATACATATAAATCAGCCCAATTTTCTAACTATTGCCTTAGGATGAGTTTCTAAGAGTAGAAGTGCTGGGTCAGAAAATGAAAACATGTTAAATAATTTTAACGCATATCAAATAGCTAAATCTCCATTTTAGAATCAACCAAAGTCACTTAGACCTGCTCTTCTCACGGTTATATTTTTCTATTATACCTGTCAGGGTGCATATGTTACATTTATTTGTGTGATTATCTGATTAACGTCTGTTTCTCCCACTAGACTGCAACCCAGTGAGTGCAGAGATGGCACCTGTTTCTGCTCACCGCTGTATCCTTAGCTTTTGGCTGACAGCTTGTCATCCAGTAGGCAGTCAGTAAATAACTGCTGATGAGGGAATGAATGGATGTAAAGCTTAATTCAATGAATAGGGTAGAAGATCATACTAGATAATGTCATTTGGGGATAAAATAAAATGTGACTATCAGTCACCCCCAGTGCCATGCAGGGTACCTGCATGTAGCTCCAAAAGTGTTTGCAGTTGACTAATTAATGCATGAATGAAGTATATCTCTTTTATAAAATCCACCTTCTTGTGTGGCTTAATGAATGGAATAATTGTGGATCCTCCCAAGGTCACTTCTTTGGAGAAAACACAGGCTGTCTGCATTTGGGTGCAGCTCCCTGGGGCCTGGCTAACTCTTAGCCAAACTCCTGTTTCCAGCATGGAGTGCCTTGGTCCAGTGGCCAGCAGGTGGCAACAAATGGTTATTAAAGCGGTGGCCGAGCGCTAGAGGCTCTCTCCGGATGAGGTGTCTCTCCTGCTGTGCCCCCAGGGCCTGTGTTTTGGAAACTCCAGCAAGCCAGCCCAGCAGGCCCTTTCGGGTGAGGAAGGCACCCCAGGAACTACAGGTGCTCCTCAGAAGAGTCAAGAAAGAGGGGTCAACTCTAAGCCCCTGAAAGAGCCCGACTTTGCATTTCTATTTCACAAGCTTACAGTTCTGAGTAATTGTACTGGAGGGCTGTAGAGCCAAAGGCAATTCATGTGCAAATCTAGGCTTCTTCAGGCGTGAGATTTCATCCGGTTTACACCAGATGACCTGCCTCTGTCATGTCTCACTCTGTCTGCAATGGTCAGTTTCTTCTGTTTTTTTTTTCAGCCAGGCTCAGTGCTATGCAATCACGCTGACAGTCTGTAGTAATGATTGGGTTTGTTACCACTGGATTACACAAAGGCTTCTAACTACATACAAAGAGGTTGCTGACCACTCATCATGGGTTCCCCCGACCTTGGTGTTGTTTCTTCCAGGGGCAGGGATGGATTTGCCCCCGTCCTGCTTCACAATCTCCCTTTTTCTCTGGGTCTAACGGTAGAGGGGAAATCACCCTGTACTGCAATCCTGTTAGCTACCACCTCATTCTTGCAGCAGCTCAGCTGTGCACGTGACATACGTCATGTGTCTGAGCTCACTTAGATCCAAGTACCAGGAGGGGAATCTGATATTTCTGACCCCAAACACGGTGCTCTGTCCACTACACTCATGGTTCAAACTGTGCTCCAGGAAGCTCTCCTGAGGTGGCCATGAGAGAAGGAAAGGAGGAGAGATCGTGGACAGGGAGGAGTGGCCAAAAGGGTGGTGCTCCCTGCTTCCCACCCTTCCTTCATCTAGAACAGCTGTGCTTTGATTTTTAAAATATACGTGTGCGTACATTAAATTATAAATGTAATCTTTCTCTTAACTTTCCTTTCAGAAGGAGGAGAAAAATCTGCGCCTCTTTCTCTCAAGGGATACTTTGTCTCTGGGGTACTTTCTGACCCAGTGGACCCCTGGCAGAAGTAAGCGTGGACTGTGGCTGCAGGACCACGCAGAGTCAACACGAACCGAAGCCAGGCCTTGGCCACGGCAGCTCTGGGGTCCAACCACTTGATCAATGCAGGAAATGCTTTGATGGCAGAATTCTTCCATGGCCAGCTTCTCATATTCTCTGGGACAGACACAAACCAAGAAAAATGAGTGTGGCGCAGAATCTGATGTGTCCTTCCTTACCCCGTGCTGGTAGCAAAAAGTATGTCTTGAACTTTTCTTTGTTACACACAGTCTGGGTAATAACAGACTGAAGGAAAACTAAAGAAGCTTGGGAGGCTAAGTTCAATGACAAATGAAGAACTAAGGCAGAGAAAAAAGAGAATTGAGAAAGTGTCTGGGTGTCTGGAGAGGTTGGGGGAATAGAGAGGGAGGAGATATAATTGGCCAGATAACTTGAGAGTGGGAGAGGAGTGCAAACATTATTTTTGAGGCGCTTTGTTGGATATTTAAAATGCACTCCTACCTTTGGCATTTTCTCAAAAGGCAAGAAAGATTTGTTTTCAATTCTATTTTTCTGCTGGACTGAACCAGTGCCAAGACTGGACCATGTAGGATCCTGGGTTTATTTCAGTTACATAAGCAAACGTTGCTGTGATTTGGAATAGTCAAAGTCATGAATGTTTCTCAACTTCCATTTTGTCAGCTGCTTGAGTTTCTATTCTGAGAGGTGCTAACTGTGAACATTGTTATTCACTTGTGTTCCCTAAATCACTTTTAATTAGTTTTAATTTGAACCAAGAATGTTCTACTGTTGAAACTATGTCAAGAATGATCAAAAATGAAATTAATAAAGAATTCGCGTCAAAAAAAATTTGCACTAATATTACAGTATTTTATAATGTCTATCTCAGCAGAGTCACAGATAATTTAGAATTTTTAATTTTGTTTTTAAGTGATTTTCCTCAAAGCTATAATAGCCTTGGTAAAGAGTTTAGTTAAACATTATTTTTCACCTCTCACGCATTTTGTGTAATGAAATTTTTCTATCATCTTCCAGTGGAATTAATTGCATTGGTGCAAAAAATGCAATCAAATCGATGACTGAATTTAGCCTTTGAAACCTCACGTCTAGCTGGGATAGTTACTATATTCATTACATACTGAAAAATGATAAGCAGTAAGCTTTTCTGCTAAAAAACTGCCAAAGATAAGTTTTTCAAGGCTCTCAAAATATCCTAAAGCTGACAATACAAGAAATGTTAAAATATTGTTGGAATTTTTAACGGAATCTTCCTTCTCTTCTTTTCCTGTTTAAGACAATAGTAGTTAGTTGTCCACTAATCGTTAATACACGATTTTCTAACAAAGACTTGCATATCCTTTTGGCTAAAAAGTGGCCAAATATCAGAGAGCTAGAAGTTTGGGAGACAGCCTTTAGTCTTTTCCAAAGCATGTAAGCCCTTTTGAATCATTTTGGGTAAATGGCGAAGATTAAACAGAATTCATAAAGGGTTTCTGATACATAAGTGGAATGTGCCTGTGAGGACACTACACATGACAATAATCTAAGCATGCTCTCTTTTAGTCCCAAAACGTGTAGAGTAATGTCACATGAAATTTACAGGAGGCCATTGACTTGGACTGAGCTCCTGCACCAGGCCTAACAGACCAAACCAAAATGGAGTCACTCATGCTGAAGTTCACACCACCAAGCCAAAACTGAGTTGTTTATCCGATCTTCCAAGAAATCAAGAAAGACAGGGAGATAACAGCCCAATCCCCAAACAGGCCAGTTTTTGCTGGCATGATAGGAAGGCCCCTCTGCTTCAAACTTTCCAAAGAAAGTAACTTGGAAACAACCAATCTGCTTTTTGTTCTCCGTTTCTGCTTTCCTCAACCATTTTCTGACCATAAAACCAACATCCTTTGCTCGGCTCATGGGAACATTCATTCTATTTTGTAGAATGAGGTGTTGCCCGATATTCTAGATTTGCAAATAAAAGCCAATTAAGATCTTTAAATTAAATCTGTTGTAACTTTGTCTTTTGACACTAATAAATGCACGAACAGGTTTCTTTAGAGAAAGCCCGTGATATGCAGGGTATGTTTGACAAGTGCTGTGGTCAAATGTGATACTGTTTACATTCTCATTTTCATAATTTTCTTAAGTACTATGTAATTTGGTCTTGGGAATGCTTCGCTAATTACGGGTGAGGAGGATGGGCCTTGTATGTGACAGAATGATTTAGTGTTCTGTAGTTCAGTGGAAAGAGTGTAGATGTGTTGAATATTTATGACGTTTTACCTTCTCTCTTTGTTACAGAGGCCTTACAACAAATTAAAACATGTGTGTCAGCTCCCTAATTATCTAGCTAGACTTTTAAAGATTGGCTAGTTAAGGCTGAATTTTATTCAAGCACTACTTCATCTGTCATACTATTTTAAGTACATTAGCCTTGTTAGCCTATTATATGGCCATGATCAGTACTGTTTAAATTGCCAACTTCTACAAGTCCCTTCTGTGTGCTCTGGCTCAATCAATGCATTAGTGGTACTAGCTTAGTTTTGTCACAGTTCTGGGCACATTGGCAGTCCCCGGGTGGGAGGCCTGGAGCTCCTGAGTAAACATAGTGCATCTGCCTGGAGCTTCAATTTTACTTGAGGATTTGGAAAAATATAAATTAATCGATTTAACCATTTATTTAATGTGCTCCAATTCTTTATTTAATTGGCTGCAAAGCAAACAAAATTATGCATTAGCTATGTTATGACTAAAACCCAAATGTTGTTGAATACTTTCAGTGATAGAATAACAGCGTGTAAACCCAGAAGTATGACTGCTTAGCTGTCAGATTTCCAGCCAGAAACCGGCTGAGAAAAAAATGTGATGACACTCATCCTGAGAAGTGTTGGGACGGAGCCTCACCTGGCTTCTGGGTGAGGCAGTCCAAAGCCTACTCCCATCTCATGTCAAAGTCCCCTGTCATTGCATAGGAACTCCAGGGACTGTTCAAGAAGGAACAGGAAGCCTCCAACCCAAGGGAAGGGGACTCATCCTGTTGTCAGGTGAGATCCTGAGAAGCATGGGTGAGCTCAGCATGGGCGGGGCCATTGAGGAAGTTCCTCTTTCCTCAGCTAAGCCGCACTGGCCAGGAGGTCCCTGAGTCCTGAGAGCATCCTCCCAGAGCTGTCCAGGTTACTCTCCAGACCTGGTCGTGGCACCTCTCAGCTCCTGGTGCCTGAGTCCCTGCCTTTGACTAGGATCACCATTTATCACCCCCCACTGCACCCATTGCCCCTCACCTGCCCAGTGTGGTGACACAGTCTTGCTCAGGTCCAGTCCTAGTCCTGTGAGAGAGTTTCTGCCCTTGACTTTGGTCCACATTTCCAGTTCCTGTCTTTATGTGGTCCACTGCCAGGACTATAGACGAGTTCAACCAATGAACAATATAAAGTTTGATCTTTCTGTGAAAATAAATATGAATGCAAAATTCACATGAATGCTTAAAATATCAGACCTCAAAGATGAGTGCTGTCTATCTGTGGCCCCTTTGAGCAATCCCTGTGCCCCTGGAGGATGCATTCATCCGCTGCTGTTACAGCGCCACCAGCAGTCACTTTTGAGGAGTGCAGCTCCAAGGGATGACGGTATAAGGGGAAGAATTCAGCCAAAGTGAGATGTCCTCCAGCAAAATCAGAGACAGTGCCCTTCAGAGGGCTCGTGTCCTGCTGGAATTGGGAAATTCCATAAGGCTGCAGATATTCAGCCTCCTAACTGAACTCTATGCAATGCCTTTATCCCCTCCTCCCGATCTGTGCAAAATATCAAAGGAATAAAACCTGTTTTCTTTCTTAGTGGTTGCACCAATTTTGTGCAGTCTGGTTCTTTTCTGTTTTTCTGTAAAATTGTTTTCAGAAGTACTTAAAGTTGTTGTGGTGAAAGTTAACTTTATGATGCTTGTTTTTCGTTTCAAAAACAATAAAGGCAGCTTTGGCTCATGCTGAGAACCTGAGCCAAGATAGCAGGAGATAGGATTCCAGGGCCCTTTCAGCTTCCTTGTGATGACTTGTAAAACAGCACACACAGCCTTGGCTCTATCCTCTTCCCACCCCGCACCCCCTTTCTTAGAAACATGAGGAGCCCAGGCAGTCATGAGAAACCTTTCTGAGCATGAGAGTCTCACTGAACTGAAGGGTCAGAGGATGACTAGGCCCCCCCTTGTCCTGGACAAACGGCTGCTGTCCCAGTGTTTTCCTCCTTGCTCCTAGGATGGGGGCTTTCAGGATACGTTTTGGGTGGGAAGAGATGCACCAGAAGGCATCCCTAATTTGAGGTGGGGCTGTGATAGTCTTTGCTTTAGCCAGGCCAGTTCCAGACCTGATGCAATTAATCCTGCATTAAGGTCGAAGCTGCTGACCCCTCTCAGAGGGCCCCTCAAGTTCTACCTCTTCAAAATATAAATATCAGTCCCAGAGCCTGATCTTTGGCTCATATTTCCTAGAGAAAAATACTTGAAAAATTTGCAGGCATGTACTTCTGTGCTCATTTCAATTCTGAAGGTGAATTGGCATGGTGTTGGTTAAGGAGGACCCTGTCGTTGATTAGAATGGTCACCTTAAGTAAGGACTTGTTCCTAGTGCCTGGCTCTGTGACAAGCATCCCCAGCCTGCCAGTGACACAGCATTTGTGTATCCCTTTTTGTCCTAAACCAGAGCTCATTCTTGTACCATATGTATAAAGACTGATACTTTGCAGATGGAAATTCCTCCCTGAGACAGAGACAGATCATCTGCCCCCCTCCCATATGGCTTAGGAAGGGCAAAGAAAGAGCCAGAGGAAGCAAGCTTAGAAAGTGAGAGCAAGGGAATCGGGAGAGAACAATTCAAAGACAGAACTGGGAAGCAGGTTTTAGAAATAGGAGGTTGTTGTCAGAGACCCAAGGGAGACATATGAGGGAGCTTCCTGGGTGTTGATGTGGCCTGAATCTTTACACTGGGCCTGGTGTCTGGGAGAAAGAGCCGTCCGTGCCTTCAGGGATGAGAGGCTGAAGGAAAAGCCTGGCTGCCTGCTGTGCGGATGCAGTGAAGATGTGGGGTAGGGTGGGGGCTAGAGAGAGAAAGCAAACTGGGATTAAGGAGAACATTCAGCAAGCCAGGCAATGCTGGGCTCTGCAAAGATCTGGGACCATCTCTGTATTTGGTGTCTGAATGTTCTCACAGTTTAATAAGGCAGTTCTTCCACCTGGATTGGAATAGGGTAAGTGCACACCCTTTCCTTCTTCCCTGCCATCCCCAAGGAGATGCCACAAGGATACCCCACTTTGGGACATAAATTCTAACATACTTGATTTTTTAAAGATCAGTGTCATCACCCAAAAGTTATGCTTGCTGTGTTCATGGTCTGCATTTATGCTCTCTGAATTTGCCTTGTCAAAGCCCGGCTTTTCTCCAGAATCCCACTATGGCAGGAGATCAAGGGAGGGCCTCATGCTCTCCAGCAAATGATAAAATTCCACAGCGAAGCTTTCCCAGCATCATCCAGAAAGAACCCAGAATTAGCTGGGTTCTGACAACCATAGCACATGTCCCCACACAGGCTGTGCACCTTGACTGAGCAACACCCCTGTCCTCGGCCAGCAGAAGACTCGCTTGGCCTGGTGTGGGCAGAAAACATGCCCCAGGCTTTTCTCTTGGCACAGCTTGCTTGGAGCCCTCTCTGCTCCCCCAGAGCCACAGCCCTGCCCCTCGCCCCAGTGATGGTGCTGTGGTTTGCTTATTTTGACATATTCGTTCCTAACACGCTGAAGATGAAAGGCAGGAAATGTGCAGTTCCAGTTCCCATAGCAGCAGTGGTTGGACCACGTTGCGTCACATTTACAGAAGGGTCATGGGATCCTGAAGGCAAACACAGCATAGGCTGACCTCAGGCCCAGGGGCTGGCCTGGCACAGCACATGCTGGGCGCTGCCCGCCCCTAGATGGAATCCCTCCTCACCACGGACTGACCACAGCCTGGCTCACTCCCACCACTGTCTGTGACTGAAGCCACCTCCTCACAAGGTCACTCCTCTTGGGGCTCCCCACTGTCCCAGAGAGAGCCCACTTCCTCCCAGACCACTCCCAGTCCTGGCAGTGTGACTGCTGCTGAGTGACGAATATGGAACTCTCCCTGCCTTTCCAGTTCTCTTCGAGCAGGAAGTGCCTCCAGATCTTTGGGGCAGAGATTGGAAACCCCCAGTATTCTAAAAAAGTGGCAGAACTTGACCCATCAAGACCCAAAGGGAAAAAAAAGCCAAGGCCTTGCTGTTTTCCCTCAGTGACCATCGGCCCTTCCTGCAGTCCCCAGCCAGCTAGATGATTCTTCTCTAAAACACGCCATCTTTCCCATAAGATATAACTAAGCATCACTTCCACCCACACTCAGGATGTTAAGACATTTGAAGAATAATTTGTTCTAGACCCGAAAAAAACCTTGCAGGAAGAATTCCACTTCCCTTCCTCCAGGTGTGTGCCATGTGGCTTGGTTATGGGGGCAGTGGGGGCTGTAACTGGCTTCGTATGTGGCCATTTCCTGCCTTTGGTGCAGTTAAACCAAGCCCTGGGTCATTAGGCTGCAGGAATACCATTTGTGCATTTCATTTCCTTGGGGATGATTTTTTAAAGTGGCTCTAATGCACCTGATCACACTCAGATGTGTTCCCAGGGAAGTAGGCGATTTGAGAGTGCAGTAAAGCCAGCTCGCATGTGCCCAGATCCAGCTCAGTTTCCTGTTCAACAGAAGCCACTAAAGACAGGTACTCAGGGTTGATAATGTCCTTTTGTGCCTTTGTCTGGGGCAGCTCATTAAGGTAGAGACACCTCAGCGCTGACAGGACAACCCCTTCCTGTGTGTTCCAGGGAAACCTAATTGACTACAAAACCTTTTTTTTTTTTTTTGATGTTACCACTGCCAGATACAAATCCAATTAGCAGCAGAGTTAACTCAGATGAATCCTGGAAACACGGAAATACCACATTCTACAGCTAATCAGACCCGTGGAATGATGACACATCTGGATGTCATCAGGAAGGTGGGATTCTGAGGACAATAGGAGACTGGATGCTCTCAGAGCCCACATGTTCCACTGATTTCAGAGCCCCCTTCTGTGGGTGAATTACAAGGACTTCGAGGATTAACAGTCGGAGGCCAGCTTCTGTCTGCTCAAGGCCTCTGGGTCTAGGAACATCATCGCTTTATTCTGAGGCCAAGAGATATTCAAAAGAAGTCACTAAGGTCTTATTTCCAGTAGAGCCCCTTGGTCCCTCCACAAATCCCTCCCTACAAATCTGGATGGATTTAAGAAACCCTTTGTTTCTTGTTATGTGACCCTTCTCCCAGAGACTTGGGAATCCTGTATTCTGACTCTCCTGAGAGTAGAAGCAAACTAGTAATTTCAAGGCACAGAGGGATGCTCTGGCCCTCCCTGACCTCCCTTTAAATAATTAATGTTGCCAGGCAGGTGCTAAAAGACTAGGCAGAGAGAAAAATGCCAATGCAAAAGGGCAAGTGCAAAAGGAAATACCTGCCTGGCCTTTGAGTGATCATGATGGTGACTATTCACCATTGCAATGTGGATTGTAATGTTGGAAGACACTCCAGGCTCTGGGAACCTTGCTTTTAGTAATAAAAGCCCCATTTAGAAGTAACCAGGTAGCTAGAACAGCAGGGCTAGAATCAAACCGATCAGAAGCCACGCAGGAGGCTTGTGTGGGGGCTTCTCAGGACATCAAGTTTCATCCTGATTGGTGGCCTTGTTGTTTCAGAAGTCCTCACTTGCCCACAGAACAGGTTTCTCCTCAACCTACTCGCCTGATTGGTGGGAAAACCCCCACTGGTAGAAGTGGCGGCTGTCAGGGTAGGAGGGCAGAGGCTGGTGCAAGATTTGGAGGCTTTTATCCTTCTTATGTGATGTGTGATATGCTTGGTTCATCTAAGTGTAGTGGGTCTACTCTGGCCTCAGACAGGCGGAAAGCATATGGAGATAAGCAGGGTGGAAGTCTCTGGAATCAAAGCCCAGGGGTCTGGGAAATCAGCTGGAGCTCTCAGATGTAAGCAGCAGAAACGAACAAGGGCTGTTTTCAGCAGGCAGTATCCATCACAATTACCTTAGGTATTTACTTTACCCTTCTACAAGCCTCAGAATATTTCAAGGCCCCCTTTACTATCTCTGGTGGATTCAATGGCTCAGCATTCTTCATAGCCACAGGCTTTCATGGACTTCATGTTATTATTGGATCAACGTTTCTCACTATCTGCCTTTTCAGTGGAAAAGGAGTGTATTGAATGGCTATGGGGTGGCTCAGAGTCAGCGAGGGCTGCAGCGTGAGCTTGGAAAACAGCAGGAGGGCTCTGGCGCAGCCAGGCTCATGGGCAGAACCACACCAGAAGCCTAGGGCCGGGAGGGCTCTGGGACGCCTGCTGTGGGTTCCTGGACATCACAGTCCCCTATGGGTACCGCTGGTGCTGGGCCTGGCCACCGTAGGGGAACAGCTACCTCCAAGGCCACTGAGGACACAGGGTTCCACCCCCTGCAGCCCCCTGCCATGGTGGTCCCTCGTTGTTCCTGCCACTCTCAGCTCTGGCATCTCACTTAAGTCTGTGTGTCTCTAATTGGCCCAGCTCAACCATGTGCCTGTGCCCCACGGCAAGGTGTAAATATCCACGATGCCTGAATTCCGATGCAGAGCCCACACTCTCCAGGAGGAAAGCTACTGATTGCTCTCTTTATCACCAGCGGACTACAATGAAGACTAAACGAGACAACAGCCTGGCCCTCATGAGGCTGTCCTTTCCTGCCCCTACCGCCCAGCTCCTTTGGTCCAAGCACCAAATTCCGCTTGGTGGATATCCAGGCCCTTCACTTCACTTCTCTTTCTTCCTCAGGCTGTTGTTCCTTCTGTATCTCTCCTTAGGGCCTCCATAGGGAGGGAAGGGGGCATGAGGTAAAGTCCTGTGCCATTGCTCTCCAGTTTACAGCGAGGCAGGTGCAGCTAGTGGCCAACTGATGGCCACAGCAAGGGTGTTAACTGGTTAGAAAATGCCAAGCACCTGCCTCGGAGCTCAGTCCCCACCTGTGAAATAAAGCTGCAGCCAGGGTCTGGGGCTCACACGGAGGAGGAGGGTCTCCAGCAAGGAGGTCACCCTTCAGATGCAGGACAGAGCAGCAGAAGCCAGGCGGAGTTCCACCCTAAGCAAGGTAGGAAGAAAACGGAGTGGGCTGCAGAGCACTGGGAGTTTTTTGAAAAATTATAACAAGACTTCTTTGTTTATCTTCTCCCTGGCTTCCGCAGCCGGTCTGAGTCGGGATAAATTCAGCACAGGAGGAAAATGCAGCATTTCCTCCCCCTCTCCTCCCATTTTAGGTGAGAGGAGGAGGTGGCATGGGGGATAGAGAAAGATCTGGCAAGCTCGCCAGCTGGCACTGCGGCTGGGCTGAACACAGCGAGCTTGCTCTGCGCCCCCACAGAGCGGGGCCCAGAGCAGAAATGCGGAGGTATCCTCTCTCTTTGCTCCCCTTCCACCATCTCCTTAGAAGTCAGGTTGGTCTCAGGCATAGAGGGGGTAGGTAGCCCCTTGCTCAGTATGATCCAAGCGTCCACACACCTGCAGGCCCCTGCAGAGCCCCAACAATCAGGCTCATGGCACGCAGCTTCTGGGGGGAGCCATGTTTTTAAGAGTACACCGTTGCTTTCAGAAAGACCCATTTAAAATGCAAACCGGTAGCTTGGGAACAGCAATATATGACAAGCTCAATCCCCTCACGGAGTTGACCATCATATTACTAAGGGATGGCTCACGCGACAGTTCTAAGGATGGGAGCTGGAGATATTTTGATGCAAGTGAGGACATGCAGTGGTGGGTGCCCTGGGTGTAGGGATCACATGAGGGGCTTGGATAAGAAGGGGCACCAGGAAGATTAGTAGGAATAAGGAATGAGGTTGGAGACAGGGATTGTGAGCACGAGGCCTCTTCACCCCCTTAGGCTTACACTTACAGAGCCTCGCCTCTCCCTAGCATAGGGAAGAAGTTGGAAAGCTTTGGATACTGCTGTCCAAAACCCAAAGACCTTTCACAAGAGCCTGGGTCTGGACAACATGTCTGGTCTCCTCCCGATCCCTGTGTTGATGGCGGAGAAGGTGGTGTGATGACAGAGGCCAATGCATTCTGTAGGGGAGAAGGGACTCCCCTAGGAGCTGGATCTAGGGACAGACTTAAGCAGCATTTTATTTTTTGTATCAATTTCATGCATGGTTTGTTTGTTTTAAAATCTGGTTCAAGGCATTGTAGCTATGAAGACTCAGTTATTACTGAGCCTACACTGGGTGGGAGGATGGGGAGGCCTGCGGGGCTGCTGTTGCCCTTTTGAGTAGTTCCATTCTGGTGCCCAGAGGCTGGCATCACAGGGAGTCCTTGGCCCTTGGCCACTGAACAGAATAAAGACTGAAAAAGGGACCATGGAGGTAGGTGACAGAGGTGCATTGCTAAATATTACATTGTATTTTGTTTGAGTCTGTTTGGGCTGCCATAAAGTAATACAGGCTGGATGGATCACACAACAGATACTTATTTTCTCACAGTTTTGGAGGCTGGAAGTCTAAGATCAGAGTGCCAACAGGGTTGGTTTCTGGTGAGGGCTCTCTTCCTTACTTGCAGACGGCCACCTTCTCACTGTGTCCTCACATGACCTTTTCTCTGTACACACATGGAGAGAGAGAGAGAGAGATCTCTGGTGTCTCTTCCTCCTCTTATAAGGATATCAGCCCTACTGGATTAGGGGCCTTATGACCTCATTTAACCTTAATTACTTCTTTAAAGGCCTTGTCTCCAAATACAGTCACATTGAAGATTAGGGCTTTGACACGTGAATTATGGGGTGATATCATTCAGTCCATAACATACCTATATACATACGTATGCATATATGTTAACAGTAATCTTCTGGTGGTGGAATATGAGTGCATTTTTTAGTTTGTGTTCTATGATCTCCAGGTTTCTGCATTAAGAATATCTTACTCCTGTACTTACAGGAAGAAAGCAACAGGTAATAGTTTCTAAAGAGAAGGAACACATTTTCAGTTCAAAATAACATGTACTGTAGGATTATTTCTAGAATTACATCTATAACTTGTGTGCCCATCTACGGACTCACCTGCCTACCCATCTATCTGTCCATCTGTCCATCCTTCCACCCATCCATCCATTCTTCAGTTCTTCCTTCCATTCTTTTTTCCATCTGTGTATTTGCATTGAGAGATATATGGAATGAAAATGAACAAAATGTTTGTGATGGTTGTTTCCGTATGGTGGAGTTTTAAGTGATTTTGTATTCTTCGTACTTATCTCTTCTGCTTGAAATTTGTAATAAGGAGGTACGTAAATTTTTTCTCAATTCACAACATTGAACTTTTTATTTGCTTACACACATGATCCGAATCACTTGATTCTGGAACAGTAGTTGGTCTAACACAGCATCTCTGCTCTATTCATAGGGTGGGTTCTAATCACCAAGCCTAACTGAGCGTTCCTAGCTGGCAAGACTGAGAGCAACTCTGACCCCACAGCCTTGGTCGTGCTGAGGTTGCCAAGCTCAGCGTGTAAAGTGGAGGTGTAGCTCAGTGGGGGAGAAGAGAGGGAGTTTGCAGGCTACACCTGGGCTCCATTTAAACCCACAGCCGGGCATCTCGAGCCTTTGATGTATGCTGTGCAACTGGCTGGCGGGTCTGTAGCTGGCGAGGCTCTGCCATTTACAACTCCAGGGTGACTGCTAAGTGCCCTCAGGGCCTTCCTGCCCAGCTGCAATTGTCATCTCTGTTCCAGTCTCCCCTGACTCCCACTATTCTGAAACTGGGGCAGGAGATCCTGTGGAAAGATCTCCAAGGGCCTCTGAGCTTAGAGATCTCCAAGGTCAAGGATGTGGCTGTTGAACATTTTTAGCTCCAGTGAAATAGATAAGCAGCCTTCTGTGTTCATGGATTTGCAGAGCATTTTCTGAGTGTTGGAGAGCAAAGGAGTAGTAGGCACTTTCTCACCTAGGGTGGGAGTGAGAATGACACAACAGTTTAGGAAAACAGGCTAGCATTCGTTATTTAGGAGAGGCGAAGATACATTGGCACCATGACCTAGCAACCCTGCTCCTAGGCACATGCTTTGCATCTGGAGATGTATACGGATGATCATGAGAGTGTTTTTTCTAATAGCCCCATGCTGGAAGCAACCCAATGCCCATCAACAGTTATAGATGGCCTGCATAAATTGAGCTATATTTGTACAGTGGAATGCTATCCATCTGTAAAGATGAACTGATTACAGCTAGGGCAACAACATGGTCATAACCCACAAACATAAAGTCGAGTGAACAAAGAAAATCGAAAAAGAATATATACAGCATTATATTGTTCATGTGAAGTTCAGAAACAAAGCCATATTTTTTTTAGGGATGCATACAAAAGTAGCAAAAATATGGAAAAAAATTTATAAAACACAAGATACGGATACCCAGGGGAAGGAAAGGAATCAGAATCAGCCAGACTTTCTTTCCCAGGGTGGACAGGGACTTCTGGGGTGCCTGGCAATGTTTTTCTTCTTAACCTGGGTGGTGGTGACAAAGATGTTTGCTTTATAAATTATTCATTAAACTCTTCAGTTACATGTCTTTCTTTGAATATTTTATATTCACTATGAGAATATGCAAAAGAGAAAAGCAAAATCCAGTCTCCATGTCTAGAAATGGCTGCTTCCTTTACCCCAGGCTTCCTTACTTCTGGGACCTCCAAGCAGCATTTGTCCAAGTCTATGACCAGGGTCGTGAGTCAGTGTGCTCTTACTTTCCAAGTTCTATGATGAGCTTAGCCTTATATCTGGGACTGTTGTATGTGTGGAAGTGGGAGGGGTGGGAATATGCTGCCCCAAGAAGACAAAACATTAGGAATAACAGTGAAAACACGAGACAACGCTGTAGAGACTTCCAGTGTGGTGGAAGTTTGGAGAATGAGTCCAGGGAAGGAACACTCCATTGGTCCTGAGGATGGACTGGGGGAGACAGAAGCTGGGAGTGGGGAGGGTGAGAGAGGATGTTGTGATGAAGGTCCCTGTGAATGACCGGTGGAAGCCAAGTATTGCTGGATCCACAGGAGGGTTTGGAAAAGCAGGAGAATGTTTGCTTCACCCCACCTTGTTGCCAGTTTTTGTCCACCAATCAATCAATTATCAATTCAGTGATGCCCCCAGATATGTTATATCTAACAGTCAATAGGAGAATCTTGAACAAAGAAGACATACAGAAACCTTCAGAGAAAAATAGAAAGTGAATAAGAGAATTAAAAAATAGATGCCATTGTTCTCATTGCCAAACTCTATTGGAAAACAATCCTCAGCTGCTCCAGGAAACGCATTAATCAGAAGTCTCCCGGGCTTGCTGTGGAAAATAGTTTGGTAGTTCCTTACAAAGTGAATCATAGAATTACCTTACAATCCAGCGATTCTACTTCGGTTATATATCCAAGAGAATTGAAAGCAGGGACTCAAACAGACCCTTGTGCACCATAGCCTTATTCACCATAGCCAGAGGTGGAAAAACCCAAGTGCCCATCCACAGATGAATGGATAAACAAAATGCAGCACATCTATATAATGGAATATGATTCAGCCTTAAAAAGAATGAAGCATTGAGACTGCTACAACATGGATGCACCTTGAACCCGTGCCAAGGGAAATAAGCCAGTCGCCAAGGGACAATATTATAGAATTATTCCATTTCTATCAGGTACCTAGAATAAGCAAATTCACAGAGACTGAAAATAGAACAGTAGTTAGCGGGGGCTAGGAAAAGAAGGGCATAGTTATTGTGTGTGTGTCGTTGGTTTGCTTCTTTGAGACAGAATCTCACTCTATTACCCAGACTGCAGTGCAGTGGCACAATCTCTGCTCACTGCGGTCTTGACCTCCTGGGCTAGGGTGATTCTCCCACTTCAGCCTCCCGAATAGCTGGGACTACAGGCATGCACCACCATACCTGGCTAATCTTTGTAATTTTTGTAAAGACTGGGTTTTGCCAAGCTTCCCAGGCTGGTCTTGAACTCCTGAGCTCAAGCGGTGATCTGCCTGGCTCAGCCTCCCAAAGTGCTGGGTCTGCAGGTAGCTATCATGCCCCTTGAGAGTTTTTTTTTTTTTTTTTGAGACAGAGTCTTGCTCTGTCACTTATCCTGGAGGGCAGTGGCACGATCTCAGCTCACTGCGACCTCCGCCCCCCGGGTTCAAGCAATTCTCCTGCCTCAGCCTGAGTAGCTGGGATTACAGGCGTGTGTGGCCACCCCCAGCTAATTTTTGTATTTTTAGTAGAGACGGGTTTTACCATGTTGGCCATGGCTGGTCTTGAACTCCTGACTTCAAGTAATCCACCCGCCTCATCCTCCCAAACTGCTGGGATTAGGGGCATGAGCCACCACGCCCAGCTGAGAGTTATTGTTTCACAGGTACAGTTTCTATTTGTCATGATGATAAAGTTCTGTAGATGGATGGCACAACACTGTAAATATAATTAATACCACTGAATTGTACATTTAAAAATGGCTACAATGGTAATTTTATGTATATTTTACCATATTCCAAAAAGAAGTCCACAGAAGCTCAAAAAATTGTTCCTGTGTGTTGAGATAGAGGAGAGAGGCCTGGGCTGTGGAATCATTTACTGAATACCAAGAAAGAAAACAAGGTAAACTTTCCTTGTTGAAGGTTGAAGAAGAAAAAAATGCTTTCTTTGGCCTATCCCTGGAGCTTCTGCTACTGTTGGGCCAGCCTCTGGCAGCAGCACAGAGATAGATGTTAAACAGCGCGGGTAGACCTGGGTGCTTTCAGAAAAGTGGCCCCTGCCCCTTCTTCCTATCCTCATCCCTCAACAAAGGCTGAACCCTGGTTACCCTCCAAAAGCCTGTTTTCTGGGAAATTGCCTTTTAGAATTTTTCTTTAAATGTATGAATCCACCCTGAATGCTATTTGAAAAAGAAAAGGAATTTAAAGATGTTGAAGTATGCTTACATATACACAATGGAAAAATTTGCTTCTCAAACAGCCTGAGTAGAAAACCTCGCATCCCCATGGCAACCAGATTCCACTGTGACCACACATCAAATGGGTGGGTGACCTGGCAATGTAGGCCTGGGCTCTTCAGCCCCTCCCTGCGAACATATGGGGCCCAGATGTACCACCCACTGCAGTAGGGTGCTTGAAGCTCCAGGATGGCTGGCTGAGGGCTCTGTTCTAGTCACTAAGGGATATTCCTGGAGACCCATCTAACCTGGGACAGGGAATCAGTTCTTCCTGAAAATCATAGAGGGGCAGGAGACTCTCCCTCAAGCCATTGCCCCGGGGAAATGCAAGACCCCTGTGGCTACTCAGGGGCTTGGATTACTAGGATGAGTGGTTGGGATTTAAAACAATTGTGTGCTGCTGACCAGAAAACCAGGCCCTTGGTAACACAAGAACTGCAAGTCCTGATCAGTTAAAAACCTAAAGAATAATCAGATCCTTAATGCTTCATTTCCTTGAACAGACATCTGACCCTTTTATAGAGTTTGTGTCATCTTCCCCTTTGATCATCTTCCCCTTTGATCATTCAGAACAAGTACTTCTTTCCAAACTACGGTCTCAGTCCCATTTTCAAATAGTATTTTGGAATGGCTAGCCTATGATAACCCCACCTCCCTTCCTGTTGAGCTTCCTAATGATACCGAAGGGAAGAGCGTGGTCCCTTTAAGTGATACGGAAGCGGGGGCGGGGGGGGGGGGGGAGGGAAGGGCGTGGCCCCTGGCTAGGGCTCCACCCCTACGAGCCTAGATGAGGACAGGCATTTTTGTTTTCCTGCTCAAATGCTGCATTTCCCAAGACCACCCTGGCCTGCCACGCCCCCATCCTGTGCCTATAAAAATCCTGAGGCCCTAGCAGGCAGACACACAGATGGCAGGACGTGGAGAGGAGCACAATGGCGGAGGAACTAGGCCACTGACCGGCAGAAGCAGAATGATGCTGTGGCAGTCGGATGAGAGCCCAGGCCGCTGAGCTGTCGACTCCAGGGGGGAAGCCTTCCCACTCCATCACCTTCTGACTTCCCCCATCTGCTGAGAGCTGCCTTTACTCAAAATCTTGCACTCATTCTCCAAGCCCAGGTGTGATCCGATTCTTCAGTTACAGCAAAGCAAGCACCCAGGATACAGAAAGCCCCCTGTTGTTGCAACAAGGCAGAGGGTCTAATTGAGCTGGTTAATACAAGCTGCCTATAGACGACAAAACTAAAAGAGCGCAGGGTAGCACACGCCCACTGGGGCTTCAGGAGCTGTAAACATCCACCCCTCGACACTGCCGTGGGGTTGGAGCCCGGTAGCCTTCGCGTCTGTATGCTCCCTAGAGGCCTGAGTAATGGGGCACTGAAGAAGCAAGCCGGTCCCCGTGTCGCACGCCCTGCAAGGGCGACAAGTGAACTTTTCCCATTTCACTAAGGTCTTTCTTTTACGAAATTGATGTATAATAGTTGTACATGTATATGGGGGTACGTATAATATCTTGATACCTGTATACAATTTGTAATTATCAAGTCAGCTGATTGGGAAATCTATCACTTCAAACATTTTTGAGTTGGGAGAGTCACAATTCTTCTAGCTATTTTGACATAGACAATAAATGATTAACTATAACTTCCCTGCTATACTATCGAATACTACAACTTACTCCTTCTATCTAACAGTATTTTTGTCCCCATTAACCAACGTCTCGTCATCCTCCATCCCTTCCCAGCCTCTGGTAACCACCATTCTCTCTCTATTTCTATGAGATTCACGGTTTTTTTTAGCTCCCACACATGAGTAACATGTTATTTTACTTAACATAATGTCCTCCAGTTTCATCCATGTTGCTGCAAATGACAGGAGTTTTTTATTTTTATTTTTATTTTTTTTTTTTTGAGACAGAGTCTCGCTCTGTCGCCCAGGCTGGAGTGCAGTGACGCGATCTCGGCTCACTGCAAGCTCCGCCTCCCGGGTTCACGCCATTCTCCTGCCTCAGCCTCCCGAGTGGCTGGGACTACAGGCGCCCACCACCACGCCCGGCTAATTTTTTGTATTTTTAGTAGAGACCGGGTTTCACTGTGTTAGCCAGGATGCCCTCGATCTCCTGACATCTTGATCCGCCCGCCTCCGCCTCCCAAAGTGCTGGGATTACAGGCGTGAGCCACCACGCCTGGCCCGGATTTCATTCTTATGGCTGAATAATATTCTATTTTGGATACACCACATTTTATTTATCCATTCATCTGTTGATGGACACTTAGGTTGATTCGCTGTCTTAGCTATTGTGAGTAGTGCTGTGATAAACATGCAAGTGTCTTTGGCATACTAATTTCATTTCCTTTGGATGTATATCCAGCGGTGGGATTGCTGGATCATACTGTAGTTCTAGTTTAGGTTCTTGAGGAATCTCCGTACTGGTTTCCATAATGGTAATACTACTTTACATTTTCACCAACAGTGTGCGAGTGTTCCCCTCTCTATCCTTGCCAGCATTTGTTATTTTTTGTCCTTTTGTCTACCACCATACCATGCTGAACACGGGGATCCCATCTGAGGTCTTTCCTGTGGGAGTGGCCGGAAGGCCATCATCCTTGTAGTCACCCTCCCCTGCTGACCCCAAGGAAAGCTTTGCAGGGCTTGTAGATATCAAAGCAAGCCCTCGATTTTGATATTTCGGGGGCCCCAGCCCCAGACTGGCCAGCTTTCTCATTTCTCCCACAATGCAGTTTTTATAATTGGCAAGCCTTGTTTTTACGTTCCAAGCCTGGAGTCTTTTTCCACAACATTATAGAAGACCTTGGGCATTCTGAGAACTAAGTAGCTTGCTCTTGGCATTGTCTTTGATTGGGCCAGGCTTTCAATGAAGGAAAACACATCAGGAAGAAAGTTGCTCCCAGGGTTGCTGACTGATCGCAGAGATTTTTTTTTTTCTTTACCACTTTTCTTTGTGTTTGGCCAGGTATAGAGTGAGGGTGGGGGGTGGGGAGGCCTCTCCTAGCAGACTGAGCTTTTCTGCACCTTAGGCTAAGGCTGAGTGGGGCCAGTCCTCTCCTGGCCATCTCTGAGACTTGACTCCCCACTACAGAGGAGTACAGGGGCACTGGGCATTTCTTCCTTGTGAGAAATTTTCAGCTCCCGTCAGAATGACCTTCCACCAAACCCTTTGCTTCTTCCCGTCATAAAGTTGGAAGAAGAAAAAAGAAAAGCGGTTCGTGGTATGTGGGCAGGTAAAATGTTAACAACTTTGCTATAATCCATGTTCAGTTCAGTAGACTTGGAACAGCATGAATTTCGCAAAGTGAAAAACTCTGGCTTCCTCTGTAGACGCATTGCTCTGCAATCTGAAAACTAGCAGCAAGCCAGAGTAATAAGAGCAAGGAAGGGGGAGAGGGAGGAAAAAGGGAGAGGGCAGACAAAATCAGTGTCCTAGGGCCTAGCCTGAACGGTTTAAGTTAATGCCTATCTATTAATATCTTTTCTTTCTCCTTCCTTTTTTTCGCCTTTCTCCCTCCCTCCTTCTTGCTGCCTCCCTTCCTAGAGACATGATGATGATGCTTCCCTCTGGCAGCTCTGTCTTATTTGGCTATACCCAGCCAGAGCTATAAGAATTCAAGCCTGTCTTCACAGATGTTTCCTTTTAATCACTATAATTAATATTAGTGATTGTTAATGGGGACATACTAAGAAACACACTTGCAAAATGCTCACTGGCAATTGGAATAACCTTGATTTTGTGAGCCACGCATCCTCTTTGCTTGGCCACCGGTTCCACAGACAATGCATCAGATCCTAGAATTATCTGATCATTTATTAATTTCTTCTCCCAGACCTGGGACAAAACCAGGGGGTTTCCAGAGTGGAAACAACAGGGAAGTTAGCTGTCCTGACTGAGAGACTGTGAAGGTTCTCAGTGTGGATTTCCTCTGATCTCCTGGCATCACCATCTGGAGTGGGAATGGGTATCGGGTGGGTGTTCACTGAATGCTGGTTCTGGGCTGGGCCTGTGTTAGTGGGCAGGCTGCTCAAGTGGCTTTGGGACTCTGGGGCAAGAAGGCATCCTGGCTCCTCCTACTCTGAAAAAGTGGATGGGTGCCTTGCTGGGGGTGCCTCAGCGAAAGGCTGTATGTTGACAGATCCGGGGATTCCAGTCTACTCAAACTCATTAAGCACATGGGAACTCCCGGCATAGGGCAGGCCCAGCAGAGGCTATGCTGGTGGACTGGGGACATTCTCAGCGTGGGGAGCCTGGGCGTCTTGTCACTTCCCATTAGCTGCAGGATGCCAGGATCCTTCATTTCTGATAAATCATTCATCCATCGACCTAAAGTAATGTTTTTAAAACTGATGTTAAGAAAAAAAAATGTTTTTAGATAAGTTAGTAAGTTTGCAGGAACAACAAGGCTTCCCATACACAAGTTGCCAGTTTGTATAATCTCCTCAACTTTTTAAAATGCAGAACTTCTCAGAAGCTTTATTATGCTAACATGATTCTAATTTCCACACAGGTGGAATTGGTATACAGTATTTCCCAAGCTCGTTTAACTGTCGTTCTCTTTGCTCTTGGGATACCTGTTGAACTATCTAATGCATCACCAAACCTGCTGATAAAGCAAAACTAAGCTAGCAGAACTCAAGGCGGAAAGGGAGAGAGCCACAGCATATAAGTCGTGTCTCGGGATGAGGAAGACAGGAGGATTTTGTAGGGTTCTGGGGGGACTCGGCTCAAGTTGGTTAAGGTGGTTTTTTAAGGCAGGGCATATAGTAGTTAAGACTAGCCAACCCAGCAGGGTCTGGCAGGGACTTTTGATAGATAAGCTATTGTTTGGTAAGCAAGCTGTTTGCTCAGGTGAGCAGTGTGCTGTCTCAAGTAGATTGCTCTATAGGGAGTTTCTGAAGCAAAAGTGAAATTATTGCTTCATAGTCTTATCTGCCTTGGGCAAAGATTTCCTGGACAAAACAACTAAGTCATGTTGACACAGGTGGTCTCAGTTCTTAGGACCTATAGCTGTGTTCGGTTGATGGAGGTTGTCATAGTTCTCATAACAATTCATATTTCTCACATGTACAAGAGACTAGTACATGGGATGCTAGTCTTTTCAAATGCACTCTGAGAAATACAGAATCTTTGAAGTTAACATTTCCAACAGAAAGTCCTTGAGTTTAGTGCCTATTGCATAAAAATGACTTCCTGTGTTTCTCGGGAACCTCCCTGGTCTTCCTAATTAAGGATTTTAGTTAATAAGTGTTCATCTGATTCATTCTCCTTGTGATTTGTGATTTTTATAAAATTTGATAAAGTCCCATTTCCTTTCTCTAAGAACATCTAATTTAGGTTAAGTTATGCAATTTAGAATAAAATTTGAATAAGAAAAGAAAGTATTGAGGACAGTCAGATTTGAGTCAGAAACTGGGAGGTGACTTTGAAGGGAAGTAGGAGCAATCAACTGTATGGAATATAGTTTCCGATTTTTGTTTTCTTGATGCTCTGGCATTTGATGCATTGATGGTAGAGAGCCTGCTCCTCCCAGGGCTAGCTAAGTCCTACAGAGCAAAGAATTCCCCTTTGAGGACACCTTTGACATATAAACCAACCCATCCAGAGCTCACATCCCCAATCATCTCCTTTGTCAAACTCACATACCAGACAACATTCTCCCTGCTCTAAATCACCCCAGGACCAGGTACCCAACAAATGGAGACCACTCCTATAGCCCAGAGCCTGCTGAAATTATTCAAACTAGCCAATCCTAGCTCACTCAGCTACCTACCCTGCCTCATGCATCCTTCCCTGGAGATCCCAATAAAGGTTCTGGGCCATGTTCTGCCTCCTTCTTCTGCCTCCTGAGTGACTGTGGTTCTTGCCATGTAATCCTGCATAGTCTACCGTGCCTCCTGTTTCTGGGGTCTCTATGAACTTCTTCCTTCATGACAGTCATTTCTGTGTCTGCTCTCTTACTATCCCTGAATAAAACAAATCCCAGGAACATTTTAACACACTAACAGGAAATGAAGCATAATTTAGTCGGTACAATGGCGACCCATCAGAATCACCTGGAGTGCCGTCTGCCCGGGCCTTGCCCAAAGAGCATTTGATTTAATTGGCCTGCAGTAGGGACTCAGGTGGTCCTAATGGACAGCCAGGGGCAAGAAACACGTAGCCAGTGGTCCCCAAAGTGTGATCCTGGGACTAGCAGTGTCAGCATCACCTGGGAGCTCGTTAGAAATGCAAATGTTTGGCCCCAGCCCAGACCTCCCAATTCAGAAATTCTGGAGGCAGGGCCTGGCAAGCCGCTTTATCAAGTTCTTCAGGTGATTCTGAAAGATCTAAAGTTTGAAAACCATGGCACTGACCTAAAGCAGAGTAGAGTCAGAGAAGCAGAAGCAGGCCACTAATGGATTGAGGGCCTGGAGCTTCATGGCTACAGTTTCTGCTCTCTCCTAGTGCTGATCAATGGCTTCTTCCGGTTCTAGAGTCTTAGGACAGAAATGCTGCTGATGTAGCTAAACTTAACATTATTATTGTTATTTTTGAGACAGGATCTCTGTGGCCCAGGCTGGAGTGTAGTAGTGTGATCTTGGCTTACTGCAGCTCTGCCCCCCAGGCTCAAGCGATCCTCCCACCTCAGTCTCCTGAGTAGCTGGGATTACAGGTGTGCATCACCATACTTGGCTAATTTTTGTATTTTTTGTAGAGATGGGGTCTCGCCATATTGCCCAGGCTGGTCTTGAGCTCCTGAGCTCAAGAGATTTGCCTGCCTTGGCCTCCCAGAGTGTTGGGAGGCATGAGCCACCACACCTGACCTGAACTTAATCTTTTTTATATGCCCACGTCATCACCTTCTCACAGTTTGGATACCGTTTTTAAAGAACTTGAACAAAATATTCCTGCCTACTATGTATATTCATTGGTAAGAAAAAAAAACTGTCTTAGGAAAATGTTCACTCATATAGAGAGGCTTCCAACATCAGGCTGGATATTTTTTGCATGGACAAGCCTAGGACTGTGCTCCAGTTACACCTATACACACATCAGAGGAAACCAACTGGTCGAAGCTTGAGGTAATGGCAAGCAAAGACTGGTGTGTTTTAAGAACATTCCAAATTTATGGTATTTTACCTCTAGAAGGCCCTTTTTGCTCATTTCCTTTCCTGAGTCATTTTAATCACTAAAACATGACCTCCTCTGCTTTTTGTGTCTTACCACAGTGGCATGGGCAGCTAGGTGGTTATGCTTCAGAATTAGAAAAAACAATCCTAAGATTTCTAGCTTCACATGCTCATGTTTCCTGCTACAATGTAATTGAGTGGATCTGAAAAACTGTAAAACCCCCAAAACTTCCAAGGGTTCACTAGAGCTCCAAAAACTAGGTCAGCCACGTGGCGCTTATACTTAACTCTTGGTGGTGTTTTGTGCTATTGAGTTGAATAAGCAATAGAGGAAAACATTTACATTGTGAAATATGCTATGACTGTATGAAAATATAATCTCTTCAGTAGAGAACAATGAAACTCATAAACCAGGATTTTCCTTGCAATATGTAGTGATGAATTATAATTTTTTAGCTTAGCTCTCTCTTGATTTGGTTTCAATATGTATAAATATCAATTGAGTCGTATCCTTGTATGAGATACAAAACTAGTGAAATATACTTTAAAAATTATTTAAGCATTTGCTGAGAGACCTAATGACTTTAATAAGGCAGAACAGTGATGAAACCAACAAATGTTTGAATTTGTAATGAAAGTATTAATACAACCTTCATTAAAATTGCTAAAGGATTAATTCCCTGATTATATAAAACCAAGAGAAAACAGCAACTTAAGTTTTTTTCCTTCATTACTATTTGGGAAATGTGAAGATGATCACAGCCTGTTTTAGATAAATGGTGAGTGGGATATTTTTACTCAGAACTTCTGAAACCAGATGTGTGGGTTTTTTCCACACCAAATTCTCTAACTCTCCAGACGCCAGCTAGGTGTCCTACAATTCAATTCAGTTCTGACACTCTCTACCTCAAGTTAGTGTCAGATCCTACAAGTTAAAAAACTCAGTTCCACAAAACTGCCCCAATTCAGATGCCAGTTGCAAGTCCCAGGGAACCACCCATACTTGTGCTGAGCTATGAATGAGGGGTTCCTATAACCTCCTCCCCTGGTTTGTTAATTGGCTAGAACAGTTCACAGAACTCAGGAAAATACTTTGCTTATGTTTACCAGTTGATTATGAAAGATACTACAGAACAGCCCAATAGAAGAGACGCACAGGACAAGGTATGGAAAGAGGGGTTGGGGGCTTCTATGCCCTCTGGGTGTGCCCCCTCCTGACACTTCCATGTGTTCACCCACCAGAAAGCTCACCAAATCTAGTTGTTTGTTACAGAGCTTAATCTCTGGGCCTCTCCCTCCCCTTTCTGGTGGTCAATGGAGAGAAAGTTCCAAGCCCCTAATCACTTGGTCTTTCCTATGGCCAGCCCAGAGATAACCTTTGTGAGGCTATCAAAGGGCCCCAGCCTAAGCCACCTCATTAGCATATAGTCTGGTGTACTTACAAAGGATCATTATAAATAACAAAAGACTCTCCTATCACCCTGGAAATTCCAGGGGTTTTAGGAGCTCTAGGCCAGGAGCCAGGACAGAGACCAAATATATATATGCCACAGGGAGATTTTGAGCTGTCAGGTTGAGACCATCCCTTGTTTCAGAATGAGCATCAACTGCATGGGATTGGTTAAAATGAGGTAAGTATGCCAGAATGCAATGGAACTGATAGCATCATCATCTATCCTCATCTGATGCCAGGAAGTTAGGAACTAGTGAGTCCATGGCAGAGGATACTGTAGCTCTTTCATGTGGTGGTGTCCCATTCCAGATGACACTCGCCCAAAGGCACAGGCAGCTAAACATTAGGCTTTTGATTTTTCCAAACAGACTTACACCGGCTCTGTGTGATGTCATTTTATTTGTGTTTTCCTTATCGGTTAAATGAATGTTTAAGGTCAACTTCAAAGTATCAAATGGAATTGTAAGGGTATGACTTGTGAACTCATATTTTTCCCAAAGAAACGCAAAACCATCCACGCTGTCTGGTAGCTTTCTATTGACATCTAGCACTGAGGCATACAGTACTTTAAACTGTGACTAGTCCAAATGGATCCCATGAGTTCCTCAAGAATCAGAACCAATCTTGTTCCAAGTTCTAGCACAGTGCTTGGCACACAGGATCTGTGTACGGAATGAGTAGCAGAGATGCTACAAGGGATGCAGATTTTTTTTTTTTTTTTTAAGATATAATGCAAGTGAGAACTAGATCTCTAAAAATTAGGCTGACAGATCCTTGCTGATGCCAGACTTCTTTGCATTCCCCTCTACCACAATGCATGCTAGCTAAGGGGCAGAACCAACCTGGATGTTCAGTGGGCATGTGATGCATGGTGATGAGATACACGAAGGGCACTACCAGTTCGGCTCAGCTCTAATGGACAAATGTGAGTGTCTTGCAGTTGTTATGGGCAAATCAAGCTATAAAAACACTTTGTGATCTTTTAGTGGACTTGACCATAATCTATAATCAGCTTTGGGGCAGTGCCTGTGAGTTATTTTATTTAAAATGATCAGAACTCAAAACAAAAGATATAAAAGACAAAAAACTAACAAAAAGAAATTAAAAAAAAAAAGAATGATCGGAACCCTGAACCTAATTTATTCAGCAGGCCTCTATTTGAGCTCATCAAGTAACCAGAAACATCTTGATAAATATCCATTCTTCCAATTACAGAAACGTTTTAAATCTCAATTCAGCGAAGGACTACTTCTTCTGGTCAGCTGGTATAACTGGCATTTAAAGACAAAATAATGTAAAAGGGAAGTCTTTGGTTTTGCAATAATTAAATGACATATAGAAAACTGAGAAGATGTAGACACTTAGCATTCAGGGCAGAGTATCTGTAGTGCTGCCAAATCCGTGGGTGATGGTGGAGAGGTTTATTGGTTCCCTCTCTCACTCCTGATTGTGTTAGAAATAGAAACATCTGCCTCATCATAAAAAGTCATGATTTAAGAAATCTCCCACTGGTCATAGAAAGATATGTGTAGAAGATTCTGGTTAATTATTGAGCAAAACCCTCCTTGGGCAACTGGGAATTGTTTCTTCAAGGAAGTGTCACCCAACAGTCCAAGCATGTTCACAGATGAAGTGGCTGTTATTTCTATCTATACATCCTGAGGGTATGAACCACACATCCTTCTGTGTAAAAACATGCCAAGCACATTCTTCAGAGCCAGTAAGCAATAACTTTGTCTGAAGACTTGCTCAGAACTTTCTCTGAACATCTGCTTCCTATTTACTATGACCTTCTGCTCCAAATATACCTCTAATTCTAGTAAGTGCCTGCTCTAAAGTTGAATATCTCTCTTCTCAGGAAAAAATAGTGAATCCATTCTAATAAAGCATACTCCTTTATAACTGAATTTCTCTTTTAAAAAAGTAAAACTCTGTAGAAAACTGACTTCAGCAATGAGCACATAGTAGTCCAATTGGTTTACTTAACCCAGGGACAGATTTCTTTGATCAGATTTCTCAGAAATACGAACTGTGTTTGATGTGTCCAAAGCACTGCCTTGGTGTTTAGTGCCTTTTGGTGGCCTCCATTAAAAAAAAAAACATTCTATGCTATATAAATCTCTGTGCATTATCAATCTATGTACCTGATGTTGCTCAGTGCAGTGGTGTTCTTCACAGGAGACTGGTTGACAGGAGAGCTGAGATGGAATATCTACTGAATAAACCATACTTTTCTCAATATCAAGACTGATGAAAGCATACTATGAATTTCCTACTATAGCCTAGGGGCAAAAATATGAAAACACTCCATATTTTCATTGGTTCCCATTATTTTTGGAATAATCTTCAAAGTTTGAACATGTGTCTTTTATTGTTAAAAATTTGAAAACAGGATGGAACTTTCGTTCTAGAAAGGTGTTCATCTGATAGGCACAGAAACAGACTCTGGAGGGTTGTTGGCTCCAAGCCACACAGGTGGCCAGTGGTAGTACCAGGCCCAGAATCTGGGCTCCTGGCCCCTAGCTGCAGACCCCTTCTCCAGCCACCAGGTTGGCCTCTGGGGCTCATCTCTCAGGCAGCATTGTCAGCTCAATGCATGTTGATGTCATATATTTTTGACAAATCAAATGTTTAGAAGAAGTTACTCTTTTTAGTTAGCCTCTTTCTTCTTCTGAGAGCTCTGGTAGGAACTCCTGCCCAACCTCTCATTAAAAAGTATGTCAAGAAAATATTTTCTAGATTTCTGCCAGAGTAATATAAGAAGAAAAATAAATGGAATTAATGGTTGTTCTAACTGTAAGCAGTTTTAAATGATTATTTTAGAAGCTTATCACTTTTAACAGTAAACAAAAGAGGTCAGAAGAAGTACTCAGTATTTAATAAATGGCCAAACACATTTTCCCGAATATTCTTATGAGAAAAAAGTAAGCTATCAATATTTTTTATTTCTAAAAGCCAATTTAATAAATTAATAAACGCATGCCAGAAAAAATACCAAATTACAACTGAAAACCAATAATAATTTAACAGAAAATGCTGTGTTGTACACTTTTTATTGGTATGGATAACCTTTATTAAAGTAACAAATCTGAAAACACATTTTGCTTTTGCTGGAAAGAAAGTACTATGTTAGAGAAGAACTAAGAGAAACCAGAAATCATTTGTAAAATGTAGGCATGTGATATGGTTTATGGTAATGTAACAGCCAGAGGTGCTGTTTTATCCATTTGTGTGTGCGTGTTTGTACAAGCATCAGAAACCAATGACATAGACCCCAAAAGCAAAGTCACAACAGGCTTACTCTGTGAAACATGCTGGATTACAAGCACAGACTACCCAGGACGCAGAGGCGGTGCAGGCGCAGGTTTGTTGTTTCTTCTGTATGGGGTTTCCTTGCCAGATAGGGGGCTAATCATGCAATAGCTTGAGTTTCTCTGAACGTGATAAACACCCAGGATTACTAGAACCAGAAAGCGTGTGTTCACTGTTTTACAAGACAGCTGAGCGGTGCTACAAAAACAACAGAAAGTTCCTTCACTTTAATCTGGTTATATGCCCAAACCTCTAATCAAGAAATAATGCAGCTACAGGAGCAAATTAAATTACTATAAAACATTCCTTCATCTGTAAAACATTTCTTTTCCCCTCAAATTAAAAATTTAAAATAAAATGTCTTCGTTTTTGATAAGCAGCTCCACCACCAGTCTCTGATACCGTATATCATTCAATGCAGCCATGGCGTCTAGTTCTGGAGATCTCATAAGGGTGGGTCCAAAGACGATTCCAAGGTTCTCTGCATTCATAAGATTCTCCTTTTCGTGGAGGGTCACTCTGAAAAATGCAAGTACAGGAATAAATGACTTTGTGTAAGCCATATGTTCTTCATTGTGCTTGAACACTAAAACAACAAGATTCACAATAAAAGTTTGCGTCCGCTTATCAACTCTTCCACTAGGTTATTTCTCTGTAATTTCAAAGTACTGACTTTCCTTAAAGTAAATTATGTCAAGAGATAATTTAAACTTGTGGTAATCACTGAGGCTCAAGCCTGAGTTAATGTGCTGCACTGTATGGATTCAGTTCTATCTATGGATCCTCCTGCCACAGCCCACCTACAGCCTATAGTTCTAAACCTACATTTGCAAATAGCTGAGAAGGAACTGGGTCACCTTGATTTAATCCACCCACCCTCCCTTCACTCTGGCTGTCTTTGCTATGGAGTAGTTTTGCAAGTAGACAGTTGAGTAAGTGTCTAGGAAGAGAACAGCAGCGACAGTAATAAGCAATGGGTAGGCACCATCGTCAGGGAGGGTATGTGTTTATATGCTTTTTACCACTGCACAGTAACACAGAAAATATGATTTGAGAGTTAGTCCTCTGTTTTAGTGTGGAACACTTAAATACATCCCAACAGGAAGCAATCCTGAGTTTATAAGCGAAGTTGTAAGCACATTAAACAAAGGTTTTAACTCATGGTGCTCTTAAAGAGGAAAAATGTAAACATTCATGAGTGACTAAAATATCATTTTTATATAACTCATGCCTTTGGCCACATACGTATTTTTGTTTCTGATTGGTTTTATACTTTGAAAACCTAAAACCACTAAAACTTGGTCGTGTAATTTGGAAATCTTTGCTTCAACTGATAGAGATCGAGGGTGACCAAGTAGGGAGTAAAGCTGCATGACTATCGCCTGAAAACATCAAACCACAATTAACTGAAATACTTCGTTTTCCATTCCTCCCTTTATCCCTTACTTCTTTACTCCACCACTTTTTACATCAGTTTGCAGTGTTGGCAACAATAATTCAATAATCGAAAATCCTGTCACCAAGTTTGAAGTGCTTTTTTTGGAGCAAGAAGATAGGAAAAGTGAGCTGCCTTGCAAGTTGCAAGTTGCAAGTTGCTTTCTTCTTGCTTTATTATGCAAGTGTCTTTACAGCCACAACTCTATCTTTCCACAAAAATTAGTGCATGTCCTTGGCAGAATATTGGTATTTCTAGCATATCTGAAAACATATACTGGAACTGCAAATCCATTTATAACACAATCAAGTCTGCACTCAGTATTATAGTGTAAAATATTTTTAGCATTCCTTCTCAACTAGTGCAATTTCACAAAAGACAATATAGCTATGCATTTATTTATTCATTCAATAGATTATTTGTCCTTTCTTTCACCCTTCATTTCATTTTGTCCTTAAAATTTGGATGCAATACAAGTGTAAGACTCAAAGTCTATAGCTTGCCTCTTTAGATGTGCCATGAGGTACCGGAGGGTTTCGCAGTGAGCAGGTGGCAGTAGTTTCAGTGCTTCATGAAGGGTTTCCAATTGCTCATCCGGATCCATAATTTCTAAAATAGCAAGTCGAATACCAAGAAGAAAAGAAATAACACAAAACTGATACAAATGGTTCACTGAATTCTATTCTTGTGATAATGCTCTGAAACTGGTAAGAAATGCTTTCTCGTAATTCCTTGTCCACAGCTTTGGAAATTATTTTTAAGGTTCAAGTCCAGATTTCCAAAGGCTCTTAGTTTCAATGTGGCAACACTATTTACTTGGACTTTTGGGGATGGAGGGAACATCCAGTTTTGTCACTTGAGTATCTTGGAGTCTGACAACTTTCGAAATTGGACATGGAATACAGGATGTAACTACAAAAAATTCAGACGTGTCGACACAGATAAAAACTTATACATTCAAATGAAGTGACCTTAGAATAATACTTATAGAATGGTACATTGCTTAAAATATTTTGAAAATCCCTTTTCAGCAATGGTATACTAACCATGTCACTCCATTACCCACTATGACCCCAAGAAAGTCTTATTAATTGATATTCATACTTTTTTCTTTTTAAACCAAAACATGTACCATCCAACATTTACTTGCTTGATTCATTACACTGTTTTAAATTACTTTGTTTTATATAAAAAAATCAAATCTACCTTCAAAATGCACACATTTTCTATGACTCAGACATTCAGAAGAATGCACGGCAGACTTTGAAGGCACTTCCAAATGTTTTGCCTGATGGCGAGAGCCCTGAAATAAATGTGACTCTTCCAAGGGTGTAAATTTTGAAGGGAACCATCTTAATTTGAATGTTTTAGTTCCAAATGAACAAAAACCCAGCACATTCCTTTGAGATCAGACTGCATTCAATTCATTAGTCATTTGTATAACTGAAAACAATTAACATATTTGGAATTCTGCGATCTCAAAAAAGAGCACCACAGTACATTCCTGCTTCTACTCAAAGGTCAAAAGATGGGGTGCTTTTAAAAGTTGGGTTAGGCCAGATGCAGTGGCTCACACCCGTAATCCCAGCACTTTGGGAGGCCGAGGGGGGTGGGTCATGAGGTCAGGAGTTTGAGACCAGCCTGGCCAACATGGTGAAACCCCGTCTCTACTAAAAATACAAAAATTAGCCAGGTGTGGTGGCGGGTGCCTGTAATCCCAGCTACTTGGGAAGCTGAGGCAGGAGAATTACTTGAACCCAGGAGGTGGAGGTTGCAGTGAGCCAGGATTGCATCACTGTGCTCTAAGCCTGGGTGACAGAGCAAGAATCCATCTTGGGGGGGAATTAAAAAAAGGTGGGTTTCAAGGTAATTTCAATGAGACTCCATGCTGCTGAGTCCTAATCAGGGTGGTGGCCTTGAAATGCTAGGAAGACTACATCTGACCAGAATGCACAAGATAAAAAATCCTAGTGTTTCTAACTTATAAAACAAACCAACTCAATAGTAATGAATTGAAGTCAGGTAAAAATTGGCGTGAGATGAATGTAAAAATTTCCTAGCACTGGTAAAGCAGATTTGATAAATTTCAGAAACTGAACAATGACTGAAGCTTTTTAATTCAAACAAATTTTGACCATTTTACAATCTCTACCCCAAATTTCTTCACAGTTCCTGGCTCATTTCTTTGAATGAAGAATGTATTTGCTTTTTGCCATGATAAAAAATGTATGGTCTCTGAACTTTGGGGCCTTTAAAAAGTGCCAATTTATAACAGTAGTGCCAGCTCAGATACTGAAATTTAATCATTGAATTTCTAGAATAAAAGACGAATACTCCACTTACTATAAAAACCACTAGTTAGGGTTTTTGTTCTTTGAGACAGCTCTGTCACCCAGGCTGAAGTGCAGGGGCATGATGATGGCTCACTGCAGCCTCGACTTCCTGGGCTCAGGTGATCCTCCTGCCTCAGCCTTCCAAGTAGCTGGGACTGTGGGTGTGTACCACCATGTCCAGCTAAATGTTAATTTTTTATGGAGACAAGGTCTCACTATGTTGCCCAGGCTGGTCTCAAACTCCTGGGCTCAAGCGATCCTCCTGCCTCAGCTTCTCAAAGTGCTGGGATTACAGGTGTAAACCACTGCACGCAGCTCTAGTTTTTACTACAGGATAAATTAATTTGAAGCTACACAAATCTGGAAATTAAAAAAAGAACCCAGTTTCCTTTTAATTTCCACAGTTAATCTCTGTAGGGAGAACTGTGAGATAGTGTTGTCGGGTGAGCAAAAAACATCTCCTGCACATGGGGAGCTTACTTGCTACTGAGGGTGACTGACAATAAACCATGAATATGATATATTATAGTTACACTCTATTAGAATGAGGCAAGTGCAATGGGAAAAACAGCAGCATAAGCATTGGAAGTGTTGGGGGCGTTGCAATTTTAAGTGGGGTGGTCAGGATAGACCTCAATGGGAATGAGCCATGTGGAGATCTGGAGAAAGACAGTGCTGGTGGAGGAGGAGCCATGCAGAGATCCTGAGGGGAGAGTACGCCTATAATGTTTGAGGAAAAGTGGGGAGCCAATTGTGGCTGCAGTAGAGTGAGTGAAGAGGGGGATATTAGCAGGTGTGGTCAGAAGGGCAACAGGGCACTCAATCATGTCAAGGGATGTAGGCTATTTTAAGGATTTAGTGTTTACTAAGAGAAATGGGAAGGTTATCAACAAGGAAAGGTCATGATGTGACATGTATTTTTCAGTTATCTGTACTCTGGCTGCCTAGTGGAAAACAGACTGTGGAAGGCAAAGAATAAAAGCAGAGAGACCATTCCAGTAATTATTAAAAACATCCAGGTGAAGAATGACAGTAGCTTGGACCAGGGGGTAGCAATGAAGGTAATAAGAATTTGTTGGATTCTGGGTATATTTTGAAGGTTGAGTTCATTGGATTCCTGATGAAGGATGCATGAGAAACAGAAGAATCATGAATGATCCAGGTTTTTGGCTTCAGCAGCAGCGAGGACGAGGCCTCTATTAACTGAGATTGGAAAGACTGTGGGTGGAGGAGGTTTGGTGGAGAAAAGTTCCATTTGAGATGCCTGTCAGGCATTCAAATGAACATGCTGACTGTGGATTAATCTGGTGTTCAGGTAGAGGACATTTACATCTCCAGGCTGGAGATATACATTTGGAAACAAATGACAAAATGCACTGAATATACTGAGATCAAATTGGCAGACATTCTTCTCCAGAACTCATTTCTCCTTTTCTTCCACTTACAAAAGTATTACCCATTACCATTTTTTATAGAACACAACTCTTTAGCTATAAGAAGCATAATTTAAGAGAGAAATAGACAAAATGGAATGTATTCAGAGATGAATGACCATCATCAGTTGTCAAATATACAAAATACACATGGAATAAGGGTGATGTCAAGAACACTGCCAATGGGAGAGAGTTATGAAATAAAAACAGGCAGATTTCTATTGTACACAGAAGGGCTTCATAACTGTTACATCTGTCCACCAGTGGACTGGCTGCCTCTGGAAGCAGTGAGTGAGCCTTGCAGCAACTAAATATTTCAAAAAGAATGTTTTATAGAAGACAGTCTAGCTGCATGACCCCTTAGAATATGTGCAAACTCTAACATCCTACCGTTCTCAATATAAAATTATAAGTTGACTTATTCAACAAATATTTATTATACCTATTACGTAAGTAAGGGACTATCACAGGTACTGTGGGAAAAGGAACATGAGCAAGAACTCCTCCCTTTAAAAGGGATTCCGGTGAAGTAGGAAGACAAAACGTAATTACAACCTTCCAGCATGAAGGAAGGAGGCAGTAAAGATGTCCAAGTAGAGGTGATGGGAATCAGAGGAGAAAGATGGTCTGCAGCTGAGAGGTCCAGGGAAGAGCAGATGGCATTAGAGGAGGGCCTGGAAGGATCTGGAAAATGTGAACATTGTCCGAGAAGGAAATAAAGACTCTAAGCCCATAAAGATCTAATTAAAAGCTCTTCTACAGTATGTCTAGTTAATTTTACACAGAGAAACTTGAATACAAGAAGATTAAAACTTAGCAAAAGGGGCAGCTCAGTGGCAGAGCTGAGGAAATACTAACAAGTTCTCCTTCCCAGGCTTCTCTTCCAGAGATTTCAAGTTGCTTGGGACCAAGAACCCTGGGCTTTGAGTTGATCTCAAGGTTACACACTGAGACATGTAGCTTTTTGAAGCTGCTCTGGGAACAGAGTTCTCAGAATCCTTGGCCAGAGGAAGATTTCTCCCCTCATTACCACAGGGAGCTCAACTTTGGCAGTGCTGTTTCCATCGTGACCAGGAAGCATCCATAATGTTGGGTTACTGGAGGCTCTGTGACAAGCACCTGTCCTTTTATTCTAGGGCAGCAATGTCTTAACTGCAGGGGGAGGGAGTAAGGAAGGTGGGGGTGAGTGAACACAGACTTCAGGTGGGTTCATCAGGGAGTTTCCAGGGGCTTTGGAAGAACTTCCAGCTGTAGCATGGGATGACCTGGCCTTCTCCACCCTTGCTTTCCTTTTTCATTTCTTGCAGTCACCCCCTTCCAGCTTTTAAGCTACAGGTTCCTCCAAGAAAGCTGCAAAAGCAGAGCTCAAACAGCTTTTGTAGAAGAAAGGTTTAATGTAAATTCTGATATTTTGTTGGCAAAGGATGCTAATAAATGCCAGAGACATTTTTAGGAGCTGAGAGAGAAAAAAAATTTTGGAGAATATATCCGCATTAGGAAGGATCATTTAACCCTGTCCCTCGTTTGAAAGGGGTTCTTCCTTCTTCCCTTGTGTAAGTCTCATTCCCTGTTCTATCAAGTGAGCCAGGCAGTGTGACAGAGTGGGTAAAGCAAGGGCTCTGACCTTAGAGGTGTGTGTGAATGCCATTGCCGCCGCCCCTAGTGAGCAATGTGATCTTACACAATTTACTGATACTCCATCACATCTCCTTTCTAAAATTACATCATGGATGTAAAGTGCTCGGCAGGATTCATGGCACCTCGTCTATGCTCTATAAATGTTAATTTCTCTCATCTTCCTTGTCTGCCTTTTAAGAGAATGGCCGTATCTGCACATCTAAAGAATGAAACAGACTCTACTGCCAGAAGAGAGTGTACAAGGACACAATATTCCACAAACAAGATATCGCTATTAAACATGTACAACAAACGTTTATATTATATATTGGTATTATGCCAGGGTTTTTGGTGTCATTCATAAATCAGACATCCAAATAACTGAAATTATAAGGAGAAATTTCTACCTTGATTTCCGAAAGTTTCTTTCTTATGATGTGGTTTCCAGAGTTCTCTGAGGGGTGAGATAAGGGGGCTTGCTAATTTTGGACAGGAAGGCTGTTTCAGAAACTCCATAACGATGACAAATGATTTGGAAGGATAATAAAAAGGAGAGATTTTCTTCAGCAGCTAAGGTGGGTGTGGGGAAGGAAGGAGAGGTCATTTGGAATTGTGGGGACAAAGGCCTCGAAGTCCAAGAGGAGGCTTGGCTTTTACTTCTTCCTAGATATGGCGGTGTGTGGAGTTCAGAACCTGGGTTTGCATCACTGCTTTGTCCTCTGCTGATTGTGTGCCCCAGAGTTAGGCATAGAGCCAAGCTTCAGTTTTACTTCCAGAGTGGAAGCTTACCCACTTTCAGTGGGATCGGAGTCCTCGGGATCAGAGCATACTGTGGACTAGGCAGCTTTTCACGGGCTATCTGTGTGTGTGTGTGTGTGTGTGTGTGTGTGTGTGTGTGTGTGTGTGTGTGTGTGTGTGTGTGTGTGTTGCTTTCTAGATGAGTGGCAATCAGACTTAACTGGAGAGGAAATGTCTGCCCCATGAGACAAGGACATGTGAGATCCCTCATACAAATTTTCATGATCAGCACTGCGTCCATAAGAGACCTAGAATTTTTCATGCTTTCTAACCTAATGCTTTGAAAGAAATCAGTGTAATTCTCACAGCTGTTCTCTACATGGGAGCTTGAGCTGACCCACAAGAAATCAGACCTCCATGGAACTAACCACAAAAATCCTCTACAAAAGCCCTGAGAGGGAAACTAAAATTTAGAACAAAGAAAGATTGTACTTCATGAAATTCCCAAGTCAAAAAGCAAATTAGTGTTACTAAGGAAGTGATGTTATCATCTAAAGATGAAGACAACATATGGTTTTAAAGAGAGAAAAGCAAAATGACAGAAATAGCCTATCTTTTCCAAAAAAACCAGTAATGCTAATACTTAAAACCAATAAGAATTCCCTTCTTTAAAAAATGAAGTGTGAATTACAAGTATGATTTTTACAGCATAAATGAACTTTGACAAATAAACCTTTGCTTTTTCTCATTTTCATTTCAACTAGAATTTACAAAAACTTCTTGATATAAAATAGTGCTTTTTAAAGTACAATGTGTGGGCCAGTGCCAGTTTGCTGTTAATAGTCTGAGTGAACTTATACAAGCACAGAAACTGAGAATAAGAATTTAGAAACATATAGTAATCTGATAGAAATTTTATGTTTGCTGAATTTAATAAAAGATAGTTGGTTTTTTGTTTGTTTTTGTTTTATTTCTTGAGACGTAGTTTTGCTCTTGTTGCCCAGGCTGGAATGCAATGGCACAATCTCAGCTCACTGCAACCTCTGCCTCCCGGGTTCAAGCAATTCTCCTGCCTCAGCCTCCTGAGTAGCTGGGACTACAGGCGCGTGCCACCACGCCCAGCTAATTTTTTGTATTTTTAGTAGAGATGGGGTTTCACCATGTTGGCCAGGCTGGTCTTGCACTCCTGACTTCAGGTGATCTGCCCACCTCAGCCTCCCAAAGTGCTGGGATTACAGGCGTGAGCCACTGCCAGCCTGGTTTTGTTTTTTTAATTTACTTTTCCAGTTATTCATTTTTATTTTATTTTACAAAAGCATTGGCTTACATCTAAAGAGCACTGGTATAAGCCTTATTTTGGAAAATGAGGTTTAGCACATTACAAAGAAGCTTCTGATGGTATTAAGTCATAAAATAATCTACGTTAGAGAACAATGCAAAATTCTTGTAAGTACATTAACCATAGAGAGAGGCAAAGGGGAAACATTTCATAAAATGCATTCAAGTTAGCCAGAAAACCAGGAAGGTGATTACCAAGAGGACGTTGTCAGGTTATTTGAAATACATGCATTCATACTTACTGGCAGATTCTATAAACTTAGGGTAGGCATCATATGTAATGAGTGGAATTGGCAAATCCCTGAAGTACAGTTTAAGTGCACCAGTGATAATGTTGATATCTTCATACATGTTCACAGAAATATCTGCCTTCTCACCATCTTTTAAGGATGTTGAAAGAAATAAAAGTAAATATCTGGATTCACAGCACTGTTTTAATGAATGACATATCTGTATACAAATCAGATTTTAAAGATTAGCAATTCTTCAGTTTTTAACGTAAAATTTAGTGTGCTACGTTACATATTAATGATTAATTTTCTGTGAAAGAGCCTCTTCTGATCTCCAGCATGCCTTACCTGCCCTACTAGACAGGTTAAACTCCCCAGTTATTAATATTTTCCTTTATAGCCCTTATTAAAATAAAATCAATAGCCACTGTGTGATTATTATTTAATGTGAGCCCTCCATGAGTGCAAGGACCAAGCGTACATGGTTAACCATCATATCTAAAGTGCTCGGCAGGATTCATGGCACCTCGTCTATGCTCTATAAATGTTCTAAAGAACATGGTGCCTGGCATATAGTAGCTGCTTAATATTTTTGAGTTAACCAATCAATGGAAAATAGATTTAAACAAGCTAGGGGCCTAAAAGAGTAACATGCCGGGGCTTACTATGTACGTTGTTATTAAACTGGTTCTTTTAAAACCTGCTTTTTAGTAAGTATACACAAATACACAAATATATTCTTCCATCTGTATTATCTATTTACTTATTTTCTGTTTTAAAATAATGTAAACAAATCCTGGAATCTGATATCCACATACTACATTCTAAGTAGGGCTATACCATATCAGCAAGACGTCTATAACATCTCTGTTTCCTGATTGTTTCTTTACTTTCTGCTCTTGCCTCCAGCAGACTAGGATTCTTCTGGGGTAAAGCTGATGAGATTTTATTTGTTTTGACCATGGATCTCTCACTGTACCTGTCACATAAATATCTGTGATTCCACCAAAGGACAAAATGTAGCAGAGGTATAATGGCAACTGCTGACCTCAGAATAGTCAGCTTTCCATTCAGTCACTATTTCCTAAGCTGGGGAAGATTTCCCCAAACTTGCCTTTTCACCTTGGCTCTTAAATGAGTTCATTCCAGCATCCTATGGATATTGTCTTCTTTCTTGGATCTCATTACTTGAGGTTTATGCCTCTCAGAAGTGATCATCCTTAATTACTCCAAATTATTTTGCTCTGTTTATTCAAAGGTATAGGATTATTCCTTTGAACATGCATGGAATTGGGCAGCATTTATATATAGAACTGATTTTAATGATCCGAGTCACTGGTTTCCTGTAATCCATGTTAAAATCCTTTGCATCATTACTATAGATCTTGCAGATGAGTGCTGGTACACATCCTTGGGAGGCCAAAGACTGGCCCCCAGCAGTGTGGCTACAGGGAGCCAAGGTGAGCTCTTCATGAATTTTAAAATCTGTTACTGGTGTTTTCAGGTCACAAAATGGTTGTCTCATATTTTCTATACAGGAAACTGTGTCATTTCTTTGCTCTCTGGGGTCCATAGGAACATTCAGTTTCTTTGTCAGTGTGAATTTATTTTTGAGACTCATAGCCAGAGGCTGGGAATGGACATGCTCAGTTGCAGAGCTTCCAGAGTAAAGAGATGCTTCTTCCCATTCAATCTGGCAGGGATTCAGGACTGCTCTTCCTGATGCTTATTTGGAGTGAATACACCATTAATTCACCTCCCTTTCTTTGCTCTTATCACATACATGGGCTGGCCTAGTTTCCCTCAGGTTGGTAATGAATATTTAATTACTTTTGCTTTCTGCCTCTGTTGCCTACAAGAGGTCTGTGAATGGGAGAGGTTTGTGTGATAGAACTAGAATACGTACTTGCAAAGGAAAGTGGTTCTTTAAAAGATCACTAACTCTTACTCCTTTACTTCCTGTATTCAAGGCTACAGGTCTTCTTTGGAACCACCTTGTTCTAGTCCTTGAAGCAAAGACAAATTGGAGAGCCATGGAAGCAAATCTTAATTTAAATGTTAGCTAAGAAAATTAAGCTCCACTGAGCTTTTCTTTGACTGGGCCCCTTCTCCTACAGTGGCTGATGGGTCCCCCACAGAAGGCCCCTAAAGCTTCTTTCAGCTTTCTGGCCCCAAAACTTGAGTCCGGGCTTGGGTCTCACTCAGCTAATCGAAGATGGTGATGAGGATGCCAGCGGGGCATGGATGACAGGCAGGGTAAGGTGGGTTAACTCAAGCCTGAGAAGCCTGAAATCTGTAATGGTATAGATCCTACTCTTTTCTCTATCATTTTTGGTGAATGTAATTGCTCTGTATGTATTTTGGTGAACATGGACCAGCCTTGGATACTCAAATATTGGTAACATAGTTTAATTTTATACTTCTTTCATATTCTGAAATTTGACTGTTTAATACTTACAACTCAGAAAAAAGAAGAAATTATAAGCTAAGTTTTTTAATTTGGTATAATAATCATCAATGATTTAGAAAAATAATGCAAAAAATACCTCACAAGAAATTGTGCCTTTTTAGAAAAGAGTATTATTGTCCTAAGTTATGGAACATTGTGAAAAACATACCTCTGTCGAAAGCCATCTTGACATCTTCAATTAGGTCACTAAATCCTGATACTCGGTATAGTCCTTCAGAATTAAGACCTGAAAAATAAAACTAGTTAGTTTCTTTGAATTATGCCTTTTCTTCAGATTTTAACTCCTCACACTTTAAGCTGGGAGGTAATGTGTCAGAAGAAATAAAATATACATGTTTAGAAATCTTTTCACACTCTTCTCCTAGAATAAAACGATTTCACACACAGTTCTTTAACTCTTACCTATTGTCACCTGAATATCATCTGGCTCATCATTTGGTCTAATTAAGTGAAATATGTTAAGTCTTAAGGGAAATAATTCATCACCCCAATTACATCATAAATTCTTTTACATAACAGAAGACTAAGATAAAATATAGGCCTGTTTTTCTCAAGTGGGAAAGAATAATTAGGATGCAGCTCTGTTTTTGGCTTTATAGATAGTTTTAGTAGAGCATTTATACTTTTGCTTTTTGAACCAAAGAAAAATTTAAAAACTGAAAAATGAATTTGTCTTTACCTGTCAACTTTTGCAGACTGGAAGCATCATCTATAAATATATTTTTATACAAGCACATTGGCTACACTTAGTTAAATGTACCTTGAAATCAAGCTATTTAATTGTTAAATTAATTCATTTCAGTCTTTGAGATCATTTGACATATGAAACCATTCCCCTCCAAATTACAGAAGACAACCGTATTGTGCAATGAGGTACCCAAAAGGCATCAGGATTGGTACTGGTAGTGAACGGAGACCACTGCAACCCGCACTGCAAATGGCTCACCTCTAGACTCAATCTCCCTGATGCACATGTCTACCACCATTGGCCGCTTAGTGGTATGTGCTTTCACGAGCGTCGTAAGGTCACAGCTGTACACCTTTTTGACATGCTTCAAGTCTGGCTTACAGTCATTTGGGACCATCTTGGAACACTGCTTATGAACATTCAAACCACAATCTAAGAAAAGAATAAAGAAAGGAAACATTCAATATTATTTTCAGAGTTTTGAGCATTCTGGAGTGTTAATTTTAGCAAAAGGCACTCCAGCTTGAATTAGGTTTTAAAGTGGACTAGACTCCAGCAGTTCTTTCTTGGTGGAAAAACAATAATTTTCATCTTTTCTCTTGGAACAATTTGATTATAAGCCAGGAGACCAGAATTCTAGCTCACGCTTCATCGTTTAATTGCTGTATGATCTCAGGAGAATACAACAAAAAAATCAAAATTAATGTTTTTAATTCAATGTCCACAAAATATGTCAAATAGCCAAAAAAAAAACCCATTTCTTTAAAGTTACATAAAATGTTTATTTAATGTGGGGTATAATTGCATTTTAAGTATATTTGATATAAAGCGGAATTGGACCTCCAAAAGTAGGAATATCCAGGGCCCTCTTAAAATGGTGCTGCTCATGTTTATATCTATCTGTAATCCTTTCTATATATATGATAACTAATATATAATTCCTCTAGTAGCTGGAAATAGCTGTAACTATTATTTATTGCTATACTATTACCGGCTAACATTTATTGAGGGCTTACTAGTGCCAGGCACTATTCTAAGTGCTTTACATTTATTATTTCACTTAAACTCACAAAGCTCTATGAAACGGGTACTTTTTTCCCTCATATTATATCTGAGAAAACCAAACACAGAAGTAATAAGTAATTTACCCAAGGCCATGCATTTAGTACACAGTGGAACAGAACTCAAGCCTATGGATGATTCTAGAGTCCACATTTTAAAAATGTTTACTGTTTAATTACAAAGGATATAGCTGAAGAGACGTATAGGATGAGGTATGGGGAAAGGGGTGTGGAGGTTCCAGCCCTCCCTGGGTGTATCACCCTCTAGGAACCGCCACATGTTCAGTTATCTGGAAGCCCCTAGAGTCAGTCCCCAATTTTAACACCTAGACACATACTGCCTCTACTGAAGTTACTCATTTGCTTTGTAATTTTACTTGGTTATAACTTCTAAGATGCCAGAAATGAAACATTTTCTGGTTAATATTGTGAGACACTTTATTTTCAACAAGAAAAGTACAAAGAAATTTTAGATGGGGTAGAGAGGAATACAAATATTTTGTTAAATTAGACTGCAGAGTAAACCATACCTAAATAATTCAACTAAAATAAATGTCATCTTTTTAAAAAAAATAACCCATTTGTTTTTAAGTTCATAAAAACTTTATGTTGACCTCTTGTAAATCTAGTCCAAGTGGTGCATATATGATTTATAGCCAGGTCTTAGTGAAGCCAATTTGAAAATCATACAACGCCATTCAGTTTTGCTTGCTGTTTCTGGCAGAAAGACGATCCTAATATTCACCTCACAAAATTGTTTTGAGAATTAATGAGCCAATGCATTCAGGTGCTTTGAATGTTGTAAAATGCTAGACAAATGCTGGTGATCATTATCATGACTTTTGGTAAAAGTTATTAGCTGTGATCTAGTTATATATAGTGGTAACAGTTAACAGAGACAAGGAAAATTAGCCAAAACTTACAAACAACATCATTGTTTCATTAAATGTGTAGACACTGCCAACTTGAAATAAGAACTTAAGGCCTGTGGCAACTCTCGGGAAAGAATTCATATGAACTGAGCACCTCCATGTACAAAGACAGGCTAGGTGTCAAGGGAAGCTGGGTCTCTGCATACATGTGGAAGATGGGATCACCAGTGCTAATAGTGCCAAAAGTTATCACCCCTAAGGAATGTCAGCTTGTGAATACAGAATGGCTTCCAGGACAAAGAGCTCAATCTACACTATCTGAACAAATGACCCAACACTATTCTGTATCATTAATGTCCAAATGACTTCAGAACCAAATCCCAAATTCTTCTTTATCTCTGTATTAGAGAATACATAAGAGATCTGACTCAATCATAAGGCAACCAACTGTCCACTTAAAAGATCTCCTGTCTCCTGAATATTTTAATGTTTTGGGTAACTTTTATATCTTAGAGTTCAGTCTAGAATTTATTAGCTGTGTGATTTTGAGTGAGTTGCTCAAATTTCCTGTACCTCAGTTGTGTAAAATGGGAACAATAATAGTGTTTATTAGTGTTCATGTGAGGCTTCAATGTTAATATAGGTAAAATGCATACATGTAGTAAACTGTGTTCACCATGACTATGTTGTTGTTATTTAGAAAAATGAAATAACACTTTGAAAGGCCTTTTCTATGTCGTACCTCAAGGTTGTCAATCAGCTTAAGGTCAGAAGCTAAGTTGAACTCAAGGCTAAAAATTTCATATTTGTCAGATGTGGAGGCCAGGTCCCGAAAAGGAATTGGATAACTGGGGATACAGATGCTTCCATATCTACACTGTTCTTAATGTATTTCATTTAAATAAAAGGACCCGAAGTAAGTAATGCATCATTTCTCTCTTGACTGCTTTCACCATATTTGGGGAGTTTTCAGCTATTTTTTTTTTCAAATATTTTTTCAGCCTCTCATTCTTTATCTTCTTTTGGGATTCCAACAACACAAATGCTAAAACCTTTGTTATGGTCCCACTGGTCTCTGAGGCTCAGTTCACTTTTTAAAATCTATTTTCTAAGCCAAGCATAGTGGCTCACACCTATAATCCCAGCACTTTGAAAGGCTAAAGTGGGAGAATTGCTTAAGGCCAGGAGTTTGAGACAAGCCTAGGCAACATAGTGAGACCCTGCCTCTACAAAAATTTTTAAAAATTGGTGGTTGTGGTGGTGTGCGCCTGTAGTTCCAGCTACTCAGCGGGCTTGTGGTGGGAGGATTGCCTGAGCCCAGGTGGTCAAGGCTGCAGTGAGCTATGATCACACCACTGCACCCCAGCCTGAATGACACAGCGAGACCCTGTCTCTAAAAAAAAATAAATTAAAAAATACATATTTTCTCTTTGTTGTTTAACTTGGATAATTTCTACTTATCTTCACTTCAAGTTCATCTTCACTCTGTCATGTCTATTCTGCTATTAAGCCCATAATCCGGTGAGTTCCTTTTAGTTATTATATTTTTCAGTTCTAAAATTTCCATTTGGTTCTTCCTAATATCTATTTCTTTTCGGATATTTCCTTTTTTTTTTTTTTTCATTTGTTTCAAGAGTGTTCATAATTGCTTGTTGGGGGCATTTTTATGATAGCTGCTTTTCTTGTCTGATAATTACAACATCTGTGTCATCTTGACGTTGCTGTTGGTGTCTGCCAATTGTCCTTTTTTATTTTTTTCCTGGTTATTTCCAGAGTAACTTTTGATGAGTAATTCTGAATGGTATCTTTGATATTTGAGTATTATTTGACTCTGGTTCCTACTAAATCTTTAAAATTGTAACCTGTAGTCAATTTGTTTAGATTTAGAATGCTCTTTTGTAGACTGTGATCCAAATGTCAACCTAGTTTACAAAGTTTTTTTTAAATGCTACTGCAGTGCTATTGTGCCTGCCCCACTTGTATATTACCCAAATGGCAGGACTCTGCTCCACATTCTCTGTGGCACTGGGTGGGAGGGAGAGGTATTGCAGGTAGGGTGGAAGTCAAAGCTGTGCCCACAAACTGGGTTGGGGAATAGTACTATTTTACATGTAGCTGTAGGATGGGCATAGATGATAGAGTTCTCACCAGTCTCAGCTGCCTCATTACTGCAGGTCAGGGATGAAGATACAGCTCTCCCCATAGACTTGGGCTGAGAGGTTGCTGCTTCTACTATAGGGTGGAGAAGAAAGTCAGGATCCCACTCACAAGCTCAGCAAAGGAGGGATACCAGTTTCTGCAAGGCAGGAATGGAAGGAAGCTAGAGTTCCACTCACAGGTTTGCAGCAGAGTGCACCACTGCTATTGCAAGGTGGTGGTGGAAAACTGGCTTGTACCTAGACTCTGCTGCTGCAGCATCCACTGAGAAGGTGTAGCAGAAGGGTCTCTGTTTACCTAGAGAATGGAAGGTATGACTGAAAGGTTTCTGTGCTGCTGGGCTGCCCTTTTCCCACTGCGTTAGCTAGAAAGAGCAGCCTTTTTTGGGGATTATTTTTAATCTCTGCCAGGTGGCATTTATGGTTCGTGGGCTTCTCTGGTGCCCAGGCTGGGATAATATTGGAGGTTAAAACAGACAAAATTAGCCACCAGGGAACTCGCTGCTAGGTTGTTTCTGGAATCCTGAGGTGCTTAGTCTGCCTTCCAACTTTTCAGAGTCTTCTGATAGTTGATGTATATGTTTTGTCCAGGGCCTTTTGTTATAATTATTGGGAGTAATAAAAGCATATTTATCCATCTTGTCCAGAACTGGAAGAACTCTTATAACAACGTTTTAGAAGCATGAAATTCAACAACCTTCATAATCTAATAATAGTGTTGATATACCTCATACTTTAAGTGTAATACACACAGGTCACAGATTGAGTCAGAAAGGGCTCTTGGTAAAAAGCTATCCCAATATCTTCATTTCAAGCTGAAGACAATGAGGTTGAGAGAGGCTAAATGACTTGTTCAGGTTACTCAGCCAGAAAGTGCTAGAACTGACTTTGAAATCTTAGATTGCTGATTCCCAGCCTGTCCTCTTCCCACTGGGTCACACATACCACTTTTCCCCATGTATACCATACACTACATCATGTACTCAAAGTTATATTTTCCATTATTGAAGATGTATTTGCTATTTTCAACCTCTTATTCAAAAATGTATATTGTACCCATTATTCATTGTATAGACTTGAGTTTAAAAAACATTGCTATATTTTACCCAAATGAGTCCCCTTATAGATATCTATATATATAATTGATCTGGCAGGGTTTTTAAAATGCAGTGATAAAACTTGTTTTGTCATATTCTTTCCCTATGTATAAAAATCCAGTAGAAAGCAAAAAAGTAAAATTGTGATGCATGCACATAAAACATCTGAATGGCAGTAATGGTTTGGTATTGACTTTTTTCCTTTGAATGTTTGGAGTCATCCCCCAATTTTTTTTTTTTTTTTTTAAAACAGGGTCTCGCTCTGTCACCCAGGCTGGAGTCAATGGCGCAATCTTGGCTCACTGCAACCTCTGCCTCCCAGTTCAAGTAATTCTCATGCCTCAGCCTCCAAGTAGCTGGGACTACAGACACGCGTCGCTACGCCCAGCTGATTTTTTTTTCTTTTTTTTTTTTTTTTTGAGACGGAGTCTCGCTCTGTCGCCCAGGCTGGAGTGCAGTGGCGCGATCTCGGCTCACTGCAAGCTCCGCCTCCCAGGTTCATGCCATTCTTCTGCCTCAGTCTCCCGAGTTGCTGGGACTACAGGCGCCCGCCACCACGCCTGGCTAATTTTTTATATTTTTAGTAGAGACGGAGTTTCACCGTGTTAGCCAGGATGGTCTCGATCTCCTGACCTCGTGATCCTCCCGCCTTGGCCTCCCAAAGTGCTGGGATTACAGGCATGAGCCATCGCGCCCGGCCAATTTTTTGTATTTTTAGTAGAGATGGGGTTTCACCATATTGGCCAGGCTGGTATTGAACTCCTGACCTCAGATGGTCCACCTGTCTTGGCCTCCCAAAGTGCTGGGATTATAGGCGTGAGTTACCACATCCAGTATTCATCTCCCATTTTAAACATCAGCAGGTTCCTAAGCTTATTTGGGACTCAGTGAAGACTGGATAAAGTGATGAGTGAGCTCAGATTTAGGTATTTAAGGAAGAGGGAAATGTTTTCTAAACTGATGTTCTCTCTTTTATTTAAATAAGATAAAACTATGGGAAAACATTAATATGTTATACTCAATTTTAAAAATGTATCTGATAAGGCTAAATTCTTGGCAGGACTGGATATGAAGTCTTTGCCAAAGACAGGGCAAAGTCATTAAAATAAAGCTGATTTTTATACACTTACATTCACAGTGCAATTCACTAGCCCTGAGCTTGCTCTGAAAACTGCTGCCTCAGGGACTAACGGTATATCAATATTTCAGTTTGCTATTAAGGCTTTATTTGGTTTTCATACTTATTTATTAAAGTCATATAACTCTTATATAGTTCCATTTCTCTCAGGGAAGCGCTATACTACAAATAATAATAATAATAAAAGGTCCATAAATGATTTCATTTGTTGAATCTCTTGGTTTGGTAGGTTATTTTTATGTTACTATTAAACCACATTTTTTTTTATGTTACTATTAAACCACATTTCTCCCTTCCAATTTCTCAAGTTAATAAGCATAGAATAAACATATGAAAGGAGGAATAAAAAATTCAAGTCACATTTTATTCTATACTTTCTTAATAAAATATTTCTATTACTTAGACTACCAACTTTAAATTACTTTCAGACTTTCTGGGGCTTGATTTTGCTAAAACACAGGTTTTATATCTAGAAAGCACAGAAATCAATTTTTTGAAAGGAATAGCTGATACTGACATTCTATTGACAGGATTAAAGGATAACTTTATGTTAATAAGATTTGAAATTATAATCATTATTCTCTCTGAATGTTCATATTTTAAATAATGGCAAATAAAAACTTGTTTTGAAACATATCTCGTTTTTTTTCCCCCAGGAAAGTGGAATAGCTTGAATTTTAATATGCATCAGAAGTAATTATTTTTATAAGCAAAATTAAGAAGAATGCTTTGTTCTTTGGAATATTGATGAAAATATTGTTTCCAACTAAAAGGGGCTCCATGAAACTTTTAAGCAAGTCTTACCAATTTCTCACTGGCTTACAAGGACAAACGCAACTCTTTAGGTACGATCAATCAAAACAGTAGTTAAAATAAAAAACATTACTTCCACTTATTTTCTGCAACCTAAAAGGGCTTGTATACCTGAAGTAATAAATACTTACAGTTTATTATTAGGAGAACTGCTGCCATTTCCTTTTGGAGGCAGCAATGATAATGATACACTGAAAACATGAAGTCACTTTCATAAATAACCAACATTAAACTGATATGTCTGATTTGAAATAATTATCCTTCTTAATTTCTTAGATTATTCTGGTAAGGCTAAGATGAAAACAATTCAGGAATGCTGCTGGAATAATGGTCTTTTTTTAAAGACGAATGTTTGACAGTCTCCATGATTACATAATAATAGATTACTTTAACCTATAAGCTTACTTTTCATAAAGAAAAATACTATTCAAGGGAACTATTCTAAATGAACAACGACCATCCTTTGAACTTGATTTTTTTATTATTATTATTATACTTTAAGTTTTAGGGTACATGTGCACAATGTGCAGGTTAGTTACATATGTATACATGTGCCATGCTGGTGTGCTGCACCTATTAACTCGTCATTTAGCATTAGGTATATCTCCTAATGCTATCCCTCCCCCCTCCCCCCACCCCACAACAGTCCCCAGAGTGTGATGTTCCCCTTCCTGTGTCCATGTGTTCTCATTGTTCAATTCCCATCTATGAGTGAGAACATGCAGTGTTTGGTTTTTTGTCCTTGCGATAGTTTACTGAGAATGATGATTTCCAATTTCATCCATGTCCCTACAAAGGACATGAACTCATTATTTTTTATGGCTGCATAGTATTCCATGGTGTATATGTGCCACATTTTCTTAATCCAGTCTATCAATCATTGTTGGACATTTGGGTTGGTTCCAACTCTTTGCTATTGTGAATAGTGCCACAATAAACATACGTGTGCATGTGTCTTTATAGCAGCATGATTTATAATCCTTTGGGTATATACCCAGTAATGGGATGGCTGGGTCAAATGGTATTTCTAGTTCTAGATCCCTAAGGAATCACCACACTGACTTCTACAATGGTTGAACTAGTTTACAGTCCCACCAACAGTGTAAAAGTGTTCCTATTTCTCCACATCCTCTCCAGCACCTGTTGTTTCCTGACTTTTTACTGATTGCCATTCTAACTGGTATGAGATGGTATCTCATTGTGGTTTTGATTTGCATTTCTCTGATGGCCAGTGATGATGAGCATTTTTTCATGTGATTTTTAAAGGTTACCTACTTGGGTCATAAATATTCTAGCCGGAGGAGCACCATTCCCAATCTGCAGTTAGCTATGCCCTTGCAACATCACTTTCTTCACTTCAAAGGAGGCTAGAGGAAGGGTGACTTTGGTGGGTGAGACTTTGCAATGCCTGCAATGTCACCTTGCACTGCGTGGTTTTGAATAGCCCGTGTAATGTAATGATTAGCATTCTCAGGATGGTCCCTGCTGCTCCCTCAGTTGTCCTCATCGCTGCGGTGTGCTTAGCAGCAAGCCAGCACTTTCAGTCCTGAAGGGACGGCTTGCCTGGTATTAGCTGGATTTAGTCCGACTCCTACAGCAACTTTGCCAGCCTGGTGGTTGGAACATCACCCAATACCTTTACATGATGTTTAAAAAAGGGCTGTGGCGAGGGACACAAAATTGCTGCTTTTGGCATTTAAAGCAGCTTTAAACATTTAAACATTCCTGACAAGCTCTCTTTTGCCTCGGTGGATTTTGAAAAAAGAAGGCAGAACAAAGCAAGCTGTCTCAGGAATCAAAGGCAGATAAATACATTTCTTTTCTGACAGCCCACCATTTTTCTTTGGAAAGAATACCTTTAGTGTTTAGTGGTTAGTGCATTAGTTTACAATTGCTGCTATAACAAATTATTAATACCACAAACTCCTGGCTTGAAACATCAAGCATATATTATCTTAAATTCTGGAGGTCAGAAGTTCAAAATCACTTTCACTGGGCTAAAATCAGGTGTTAGCGGGTCTGCATTTCTTCTGGAGGCTTAGGGGAGAATCCACTTCTTTCCTTGCCTTTTCCAGTTTCCAAAGACCACCTGCATTCCTTGGCTTCTGGCTCCTTCCTCTGTCTTCAAAGCCAGCAGCATAGCATCTTCTCTTCCCTCTGACCTCTGCTTCTGTCCTTATATCATCTTTCTCTATCAACCTCTCGCCTCCCTTTTATAAGGGCCATTATGATTGTGATTATACTAGGCCTCCCTTGACAATCTAGGGTACTTTCCCTGCTGTGGTTTGAAAGTGTCCCCTCAAAAATTCAGGTGTTGCTAATGTGAGAGTATTAAGAGAAGGGACCTTTCAGAGATGATTAGCTTATGAGGGCGCCTCCCCTGTGAATGGGATTAGGCGCTCTTATAAAGGGGCTTGACAGAGGGAGTTGGCCCCTTTTATACTCTTCTGCCAAATCATGAGGACACTGCATTGTAGGCACCTCCCCTCTGGAGGACATAGCTTTCCAGGCGCCATCTTGGAAGCAGAGTTGGACCCTTACCAGACACTGAACCTGCTGCCAGCTTGATCTTGGACTTCCTGGCCTCCAGAACTGTGAGAAATAAATTTCTGTTATTTACAAATTACCCAGTCTGTGGTATTTTGTCATAGCAACCCAAAACTCCCCATCTCAATATCCTTAATTTAAATGACATCTGCAACATTCTTCGTGCCATGAAAGGAACAAGGAATGTTGTTCTGGGAATTAGAAGCGGACATCTCTGGGGAGCTATTTTTCAGCTTATCACAGCTAGTGTGCACTCTCTCTTTAAATTCTCAATTCTTTGCGTTTGGATTTAGATAGTCAAAGGCCAGATGAGCCTCAAAGCCACTTCAGACCTAAGAATCTCACTGTCAATCCAAATATAATTAGTTGTCATAGAAAACAGAATGAATTCAAATTCCAACCCTCCGTGTTTTCAAAATGAGTTGACTTGTGCTTGTATTACACATTAATATGGTTCAAATCACACTGAATATAATGCTTTTAAGGACAAGATATAACATAAAATGAAAAATCTCCTCAAGGCTTTTCTTTCAATTCCTGACCTTTACTCACAATAAGAGGTAGAGGCTATTAATGTGGGTGGCTGTGGAGATGGGGATGAATTCTTTCTCCTTTCCCCCATATTATTGACATGATAAATGTTCCAAAACATTTCTTTCCAACATGATTGGGGTTGTAGCGTATTCCCAAAGATTATTCATAGGTGCTGTACCTATTCTCTATTAATAGTTAAGAATTCTTATGTAGATGGGCTTCACTTTTTCAAAATGGAAACAATATACACCCTTACTCATGAAAGAAAAGCTTTTAAGTTTGTGACAGTCATAAAACATTTAAAAAACTATTGCAGAGTATCAGCTGGACAAGACTGTCTCATAAAGGCAAACTGGGCTCATTGAGACCATTGTTCTCGAGCAGGCAATTTGTGCTTTGGAAAGAGTATTCCATCTGCCTTTGTGAAACTGCAATGCACACTGCCTCAATACCTCCACTTTATCAACACTTTCCATTCTACTGTTTCCCTCCAGTGCAAAGGCACAACCATGGCCTTCTTCATCCCAACTCTGGATAACCACCAGCCACAGCAAGGCTTTCCTCATTCACTCTGAGCTTCGACTCTGAGCTGAGGCGCTCCCTGACGAACACCTTTGCACAGCTCCAAGTCCACACGTGTAGGATTCTTATCCCACTTCCTGTGGCAGGAAGGTCCTTGAATGGTGATATATGCCTGGAACCTTATTACATTTTAGTGATACTAAGGGAATAATAACTGAAAGAAGAGCGACTTGGAACATTTCCATGCAATACATACTATATCTTGCTATTCAAAGGAAATGCAATTTAGAAATAAGAATCAGACCCCAGAAATTTCTGCACATAATGGACAACAAAAATATTCCATTTAAAAATCATGCCACAAAAGAAATGATGTTTATAGCGATAAATCTGACAGTTACTATAGTTACCATTTTGAAATACTTTACTTAGTATATTTTTTAGTGTAAAGCTTCATGCTAAAAGACATGTAAGAAGATATTTTTTAGTTTTACAAATTAAATGGCAGAAGGAAACTTTTATGACCAAATAATAGACATTTAAAATTTACATGATTATTTTTAAGCCTATGTCAGAATTTAGAGTAGTTTGGGCTGGGTGCGGTGGCTCACGCCTGTAATCCCAGCACTTTGGGAGGCTGAGGCGGGTGGATCACGAGGTCAGGAGATCGAGACCATCCTGGCTAACATGGTGAAACCCCGTCTCTACTAAAAATACAAAAAATTAGCTGGGTGTGGTGGCGGGCACCTGTAGTCCCAGCTACTCGGGAGGCTGAGGCAGGAGAATGGCCTGAACCTGGGAGGCGGAGCTTGCAGTGAGCCGAGATCGCGCTACTGCACTCCAGCCTGGGAGACAGAGTGAGACTCTGTCTCAGAAAAAAAAAAAAAGAATTTAAAGTAGTTTGGATAAATGGCCAGTATTCAGTATAGTTGCTCTATACAAATGGATTTCACGTGATATACATAAGTACTTTATTTCACAAAGTATCTCAAATACATCCTTGTGTTGGCTATTTCTGTATGTGTAAATCTTTTGGTTTCTAAATTTGTATCTAAATATTCATGGTCATATTTTACAAAAAGTATTTGATGTATTTGATTTCAAAACATCACACAGAAAATATTAGTGACTAAGTGGTTTTTCAGAATTTGGTAACCATCTTTGAAGATGAATTCACAGATTTTTAAAGCTTCAATTTGATTTCACAAAAATTTAGTAAGGACAATCCAGCTTAACAAGTTATCTTTAAAATTCAGTTTCCAAGGCAACAATCATAGGTCCCTGTACATTGCTTTAAAAAAATCATTTTTATAAATTTAGTTACTGCAACATCAAAGGCAAGTATTAAATATAACTGCCTTACTTTTATCTCCTTTTATCAGACTTTTTGAACAAGCTGACTTCTCTCTTTTCAGTGGACTAATGCCAGATCCCTAGTGTGCTGTCCATCAAGTGCCAGAAGGTTAAGAGCAGATAAAATATCAAATTTCCAAAGTGGCTGCCTGAGAATCTGGCCTACTGCATGTGCATAAGACCAAACCAGGATCCAGCCTACTGGATATGCATAACAACAAGTCTCCTTCTACCTCACCTCTTATAACTTCACAACTGACTCAATCCAGAGACAAGACAAGAGCTCTTACCTGCACATTTCACTCCCTGAGCAATGAGACCCCACATAAAGTTGGCACAGTATTCACACCAGTGTGGCCCTCTGAATGTATGCACCTGAAAAAAAAAAAGAGGGGCAAAGTCAGGAAAGGGGAAACACACGGATGAGAAGACTGCTTCATATCAAAGCACTAATATACAAGCCACATATTCTATATATATATATATATGAGAGAAAGAGAAATGGGGTCTCACTGTTGCCCAGGCTGGAGTGCAGTGGTGTATCACAGCTCACTGAGGCCTCCCTCAAGTGATCCTCCCACCTCAGCCTCCTGAGTAGCTGGGACTACAGGCACACACGACCACACCCAGATAATTTTTGTATTTTTTGTAGAGACAGGGTTTTACCATGTTGCTCAGGCTAGTCTTGAACTTCTGAGCTCAAGCATCTGCCTGCCTTGGCCTCCCAAAGTGCTGGGATTACAGGTGTGAGCCACTGCACCCAGCCCATGGTTAGTAATGAAGCGCCAACATGGCTGCATTTAAAAGAACCTTGGTTGAGTGAAACTGACAAGCAGTTAACATTTTTTTCAGAGCTTGATTTCTTCTTTGTTTTAGGAATGATAAATCAGACCAATATTCTGTAACTTACTTTCGAAAACTATATAATGGAGTTTTCCAATGTCCCCTCAGGTGCAGGCACCCTAATCTATACAAATACTGGCATTTCTATGTACTATGCTATTTCTACAGTACTATGACATGAAAAGGCATGAGTGCCCATATAGAGTATGTCTTGGGTCCTGTTAGGAATTTTGCAGATAATTTACCTTCTGTGACTATGAGTAGGATCACAGACATTAAAGGAGATACTTATTGATGGGTCACATCAGAATCATCAAAAAGGCCCAATTTCTGTTTAAAACATTTGATATTTATTATGTTAGCAAGGAGAATAAATGTATTTTAGAAACTGCAGAAACTACAGTTTATCAGGAACCTCGTTTGAGTACAGTAATTATTCACTAACCATTCCAGCTCATAAAGGTTCTTTCTACTGTATTTGATTTCTTTTCCTTAAAAAGAAAGGAATCCCCAAAGAAGAAAGGATTCAAATGTTAAGATACCTATCCCTTTTACAAACAGGAAAGAGAAGGCATTCTAGGTTAACTCAGACAAAAAAATATTGGTAGAATATTTTGCAGAAGCAATGAATCCAAACTCTGAACATTAAAAAATAATAAAAATTTCAATATTATCAGTACATTACAATTGATTCCAACATATCTGCCAAAACCACTACCATACATAATAAAATTCACAGCTAAGATTGTCATTTTTACAATTGCTGTACTAACGTATTGACTAAGTCTTAGAAACCAAGTAAGTGATTTTTAAGATATGAAACTTATTTCTTCAAATGAAAATACCATAAATGTAAGACATACCATTATGTGTTCAATTTAGAAAAACCATGCCAATTAAATCATGACAAGCCATTGGTTGTCTGACAAATCCCAAATTCAGAGACATTAAAATGGAAAATAAAATATGCATATAAGAATCAATGAAACAGAATATCAGAATTCAAAATACTACATTGGCCCAAATATCCATATAAAGCTGCAAGGGATAACCCTGGGTTCATTCAAAGCAGGTATGTGCTTGTAACTCTTTGCTGTTGCCAACTGAGTCTGAGTACAAAATTTTATGTTGATTTTGAAAAGGAGGCCATAATCCCTTCTATGTGTTTTATGGAGGAGGGTCAGGAATGCAGGCACGGTAGCCTCTGGATTGTTAATGATGTTCAGAGCCTGTAAACTCAAAGTATTTCCTGGAGTTGCTGAAGTAGAGCCCAAGATCAACATCCAGATACTCTGTAATGTCCCTGTGTTCTTCAGAGTGAATAAAACTGGATAAAGCATGCAATCGTGCTTTATTCTTATGGGAATGAGTGAAGTAGGCAGTGCTGATTCAGAAAGAGAGTTATATAATCATGAAACAGCAACAGAATTGTGAAGCTACTTTTAGAGAAAGTCTTTGGGATGCAAACTCACTTATAGGTTGCCAAACCTCAGGATAATCAGTATCATTTACTTGGTAAGGTGACTAAAGATGCAATGAAAGTATGAAGGAAGTCTCAGGAATTATTTTGTGCCGATCAGTTATCTCATGGTAAAGCATCTGAAAGTTAAACAGGGAGAGCAAAAAGAGTAGAAGGTGTTTTGTTTGCTGTTAAACAAATAGGCATTTGGGAAACAGCACTGGCTACTGAGCTGTTTTAATAGAACCAATCCTTTCCCCACCTTCCTGAAAGTAGCAGTGAATGTGGCATTTCAAAAAGCCTGGGATATTTCTTTATATTAGATATGCTGAAGAGAGGATTTTAACTGTCCGAGCAGACCCCATGTTCTCCAATTAAAGGGTTACACATGTATCTCAGAAAGCAATCTTTAGGATATTGTTATTTATTTACAGTTCATTCTTGGGCAGCTTTTTTAATGAAGGCATCCTGAGCCATTTGAGGCTGGGTTGTTTTTTTTTGTTTTTTAAATCGTTTAGAAGGTAGCTTATGTAGCTCTCCATGAAAATGTTCTAGAAATAGGCCTTGCAGAACCAGCAGCTTACAAAACTATTTGTCTAACAGGGTTTAACTGGATTCCCTTTTGAATTTTTATATCTAAAACTCACTTGAATTTTTATATCTAAAATCCATATATCTCAAGTTTCCTTTGTTCTGTAACCTCTATGACTCTATGACACTTTATTATATTTGTAAAAGGTTGATTACTGTAGCCTTTGAGTCTTTTATTCCTCTAAAGGTCATCAAAACAAATACTGATTTTCATTAATTAGTCATTTTTATTCATTCATAAACATTTATTAAATGATGATCTATACAAAAATAAAAAGGGGTTTCTCCTACTAAACACAGTGTGAAAATATTCTAATCAAAATATTTGCAAAGTGTGAGAGAAGCTGGGAAGAGACGCAACCCATGAGCTAAGTCCTGAGTTGAAAATCAAAGACACGAGGCATGAGAGAAACAATGTGGTGTTTAGAGAACTGCAAGGAAGTTCAGTCTGGGTGGAGTGGAAACGACTGGCCTGGCAGGAGATAGGAGAGGCAGACAGGGCCTTTTCAATGCCTACAAATTTGTATTCTGTCCAGTGAACAATGCAGAGCCACTGAGGATTGTTAAGGGGAGTGACACGGTCAAGGGGGCAAGGCTGAAGGAAGACAGACTAGGTAGGGTGGTGCTATGGCAGTCACCCAGACAACAGACGATATGGAGCTGAACTCGGGCAGTGGTGACTGAGAAAAAGGGACAAACTGGAGTTATTTAGGAGGCAGAATCAACAGCGCTTGGTAACTAATTGAAACAGAGGCAACGGAGAGGGAAAGAAACTGGTCTGTTAAGGGTTTAAGGTCTGGTGACTGGGGAAGAATGACATTAACAGAGGTACAAAAGTAGAGAAACTGGTTTAGAAGTGAGGTGGGGAGGACTGTGGAAGGGAAGGGGAAGGCTGACTCATAAGAAAGAGAGGGTCACTGATGGAGCAAGGCTCTGGAGAAGTCAAATGTTGGAGACAGAATCCAGGGCAGAGCAATTAGCTCTGAATACAAGGAAAATCACTTTCCCCTTCCCTGAGTTGGGAGGGAAGAGGGTAAGAGGAGAGAGGCTGGCTGTGCAGGACTGGTGGTGGGACCTAGGGTCAGAAAGTTACAGGAATTCATGCCTGGCAGTCTATAGTCTCTGAGCATCAGGAAGGAAGTTCAGTTATGGAGCAAATGAGGAGTTTTGGCAAAGTGGGGAATAGGAACTGGAGCTAAAACTGGCCAGGAATTCAGAGAAGGGCCACTGGACTTGAAAGCAAGTTTCCTTTTTGGGTGACACATTATAAAATCGTACTATACCAGCCAGTGTCAAGCACATTAAACAAAAAGTGATGAATATTTTCTTTTTACGTGCGTCGTTATGCTTTATCTAAATGTTTCACTTTATATGCAGTTTTACATTATCGGTGATGTTTACGTCACATACTTTGCCAACTCAGAAAAAGGTATCTTTAAAAAATCAATTGCACAAATTGTACAACTTAGAATAGCTTTTCAGTTGTGCTGCTCCATCTAGCACAATACTAATAGGTGCTGTTTCCTATAGATAATTCTACAGGCACTGACATCTGCAGACAATTTTGTTTACTAGACGTTGTTGTATTTTAATTACCTGTTTTAAAAATGATGAAATCTGAATACAATGAACATTCAAAATATAATTAAAAAGCCATAAGTTGCATCTTGAAGACTATTTGTGTGTTGCAGGATGCTAAGGAAGAACTAGGTGGGATATGCGGGAAAGGAGGCCTGGAAGGGTTCACAAGGGGTGCAAGGGCTTGGGCCTGAAGCTCTAGATCACAACAGAGAGTGACTTTTGCCTAGAATTGCCACACCCCCTAGAAATCTGCAACCCATTCCTCTGGGTATGGTTCCTGATAAGACATAATTCAAAAGAACAATCAGCTTCACCCTATTACATTATTAGCGAAGTCAAAAATGGTCCCAAGAAAAGCAACCTTGTAAGTGGGCCACAGATATTTTTTCTAGGCCACCTCCAAAGCTTTTGGTCCATCTCGACAAATGAAAGTGACAGAGTATAAGGCATGAATTACACTTTAATGAATAAAGGGCAAAACGAACTAGTTTCAAAGCCCTCTTGTGCAACTGGAAAAAAAAGACCATTTTATTACCATGACATTTGTGATTGCTTTTAACCTGTGAACAACTCCTTTCACATTAACTTCTCTGTTAAAACAGAGATGAAAGACTGGATTAATTAACGGATCCCCAGTACAGTCTTATCAGTGAAGGCATTGGTCAGAAGCAGGCTGCAAAGGACAGGGTGGGAAAGGGTGGGCTATTGAGGGGCCCATATGGCACAGGCCAAGTGTCATGTGTCTCCTGGGCAATGACTTAGATAAAAACTGAAGTCATTCTCAGTTGGGCCTGCCATTATTCAGACTAAAATCCTGGCTTATAAAAGGAAACAAACACCCTGCTTCTCATCATGTTTACAGCATTCATATCTCCAGTTTGAAAGCCAGTAACAGAAACTGAAAAAGAAATCCATGATATAGGAAGATAAAGAAAAATTCACCATTAATCTTCATTGTTCCTTTCAAGTCAAAACATTCCCTTTAGAAATAAGCATGAATGCAAATAGCCAAGGAGCATGCCTGCAAAGCTTGCTGCAAATGTAAGCCACGTTGGAGATGATATGAACATTACGGGAAATAAAATTTTGCTTGGGAAGGTGGCAATGACATTTCAGCTGCAGCTTCTCATTTGGGACTGTGATGAGTCAGTTCTCCAGCACAGTGTTGGGTGATGAGGGGAGAGAACAGATGAACAAAATCAAAACGAAAGGAATGTAGGTAGGCAGGCAGCTGGTCAGGAAAGTTTTTTCTTCCCTCATTTTTATGTTTAGGGTAACTAGAATGCACTCTTTTAGGTGACCAATGTTTGTCTCACCAAGATGGTCTTAAACTTTTTGGTCCATATGATATGGAATTTAGAAATCAAACCCTAATTTGGCCGGGCGCGGTGGCTCACGAGGTCAAGAGATCGAGACTATCTTGGCTAACAACGGTGAAACCCCATCTCTACTAAAAATACAAAAGAATAGCCAGGTGTGGTGGCGGGCACCTGTAGTCCCAGCTACTCGGGAGGCTGAGGCAGGAGAATGGCATGAACCCAGGAGGCGGAGCTTGCAGTGAGCCGAGATCGTGCCACTGCACTCCAGCCTGGGCTACAGAGCAAGACTCTGTCTCAAAAAAAAATAAAAAATAAAAAAATCATACCCTAATTTTACCACTTCAGTTTAAAGTACTTTGATTTATATTATTATGCCGTGAAAAGAGAATACATAACACTGGCTATGATCATTAGCAAGAAATACATACAAGAGTACTTAAATTAGGAGGAATACTTACTATAGGAGTATCTTTAGTATCAAGGCAATACCTTCTTGCCTTGTTGTTAAGTTACGTCTAGTCAAAACTACTAACCACCCTATAACTCTGGAGTAATAATGTATTAACAAAGAGCGAGGTTTTGGTTCAGTTAAGCACCACGATAATGTCAGTTAAGCACTGACACTATGCTGGCCATTCCTAGTCTTCTTGTCCTGATCAAATGGATGTGTAATTGATGACCATGGCAGGAAAGGCAGAAGAAATGCACCAGGCACTTGCTGAAACATAGCTTTAAGCACTGGCCAAGGCTAAGTACCTGGAATAGAAAGGCATGCCCACTGGCCAGCAGCAGACAGGAGTGAGGGAGGCACTAGGCGGCTGGGGAAGGGGCGCAGGTGCTAATGGCCTGTATAACCAGCTGCTATAGAGGTGGCCACACGGGAGAATTTGCAGGGTCTTTCTGCGCCACATACTTAACCACACAAGTAGTTAACACGGAAGCACCGCTTCAAAGAGAATGACAAATGACAGAAAATTGGTGACCTAATTTTAAGAGTAAGAAAACTGTTCAAAATTGAGAGAAATACCATAAAAGCCTACTAGACATACATTGACCATACCACAAATAAATGATGTAACTTTAACTGTGAGCAATAACTACAGGGAAAAGCTGGTAAAATATGATCATACTATAACAATATGACTATTAGGACAGTCACCAGGGCAATACAGTAATTTAGTTCTGCTCCCATATGAATATTATAAAAATGGTTTATGTTAATTGGTATACAAAACAATATTTTAAATATGTGCAGAAAAAATAAATTATTCTCATAAAAATACATTTACCACAATTCAATATTGGCCTTATTAACAGAGCTTAAATTCTTTTATGGTTTCCTTTATGATCCATACATTCCCAATCACCGCTATGTTTTTGAGGGAGAAGTATATCTAAAATTACAAAATGAATGCAAAGGTTGCACAGAACTTGCTTAGAATCATAAACAACCATATTAATGCTAGAACACAAACACAATTTCTGGTGTTGATGTTCTGTGCTGAGCTGAAATAGTGGCCCCTTACACAGAACCATCAATCTGAAACCCAAGAATCTGGATGTGGAAATATCAAAGTTCTCAAAGCAATCCTTTGATTATTATATGCTACAAGGTACAGATTGTATAATAATGATGAAACAATAAATATAACCATTAATTCAAAGACATTTTCCATTTCAAAATATGAGTATTTAGAGTATTATAAAATATATAATTTTAATGTTTAGGCTTCTTTTAAGTTTCAGAAGACAATTTCTTTTTGATTTCTTTTCCCCTGATAGTTTTGCCTCCAAACTGAATCATGCTCAAGGTTCAAAAATGTTAAATGCCATCACCTAAAACACTTCTACTTAGAAAGTAAGCTTCATTACTGAGATGAATGAGTTCGTATTCAAATATTAGTAAAAATCAACACTTTGAAATACCAGTCCCCTAAGGTTATATTATGTAGGTACAATAGGAAAATAAATAAGTAAATGGTTGTGCAATAAAAACCACTTACATTCCATAGCTGAGTGACAGAAAATCTCTATACCTACATTATAGATAGGTAACTGAACACTGACATACGGAAAACCCTCAGACCAGTCTACAATGTCTTGTGATCCACAATTCTTTGAAGCTAAGTCTGCATTAATATATTATTTCCACACAACCAGGTTTCAATTTCTTTTTGACTTGGTTATAAAAGTGTCATCTGAAGAAGTACTGTTAACATATATTACAATATGAATGCAAGTATTCCTATACTAAGAAAAAGATCTGACTAAAATGCACAGGAAGTTATTAAAAGTATGTAGTTAAAACCCTTTTTAAAATCCCAGTAAATTCTGGGATTTAAAAAATTCTGTTTTTCTTCTTTTTCACTGATTGCTGCTCTTACCTTTAATACTGCCTTTCCTTAAGTACTTGGTTTAATTGATTCTTCTTTTTCTAGTTTCTTAAGATGGAAGCTTAGCTCTTTGACTTAAGACCTTTTTTCTCCCTTTCTAAATATAAGCATTTAATGATATAAATTTCCTGATAAGTACTACTTTAGCCACATTCTATGAATTTTGATATGTTTTATTTTTCTTTTCAATCAGTTCAAAATATTTTCTAATGTATCTTGTGATTTCTTCTTCAACCCATGAGTTATTTAGCAGTATGTTATTTAATTTATAAGTATGTGGGAAATTTTTCAGATATCTGTTAGTGATTTCAAATTTAATTCTGTTGTGGTTGGAGGATATGCTTTGTATGACTTTAACCCTTCTACATTTATTGATACAGTCATGTGTCACTTAATGATAGGGACACTCTCTGAGAAATGCTTCATTAGGTGAACATTATAGAGTGTACTTACACAAAATCTACATGGTAAAACCTATTATGTACTAGACCTAATGGTCTAGCCTATAGATCCTAGGCTACAAACCTGTACAGCATGTTACTGTACTGAATATGTAACATTAACACCATGGTATTTGTGTATCTAAATGTATCTAAACATAGAAAAGACAGGGTAAAAATAAGGTATTATACTCTTATGGGACCACTGTCATAACTGTGGTCAGTTGTTGACTGAAACAGTTATATGACACATGGTTATATTTGTCTTATGGTCCAGAATATTATGTATCTTGGTGAATCTTCCAGTTCACTTGAAAAGTATGTGTATCCTGCTGTTGTTGAGTGGAGTACTCTATAAATATCAGTTAGGTCAAATTGGTTGATACTGTTCTTCAAGTCTTCTATACTCTTACTAATTTTCTGTATATTCTGTCTATTTCACCCTCACCTCAGTTGCTGCTTTATGTATTTTGCACCTGTTATTAGGTACATATAAATTTTAAACTGTTATATCTTCTTGATTAATTTTACATTCTTCATTCCCAATAATATTCCTTGTTCAAAAATTGTGTTTAAAAAAGTACAGTCACTCCAATTTTCTTTGAATTATTGTCTACATATACATATTATTTGCTAGATATAGAATTCTAGGTTAATGTTTCTTTTCCTTCAGTTCTTTGAAGATGTCGCTCCACTGTCTTGCATAATTTCTGATGAGAATTTTGCTTTTTCTTTCACTTCTCTCTGTGCCCTTTATATTTAATGTGGGTTTCCTGTACACAGCATATCACTGGATCTTGCTTTTTTGTCCAACCTGACAATCTCTGCCTTTTAATGGTGTGTTTGAGTCATTTTCATTTAATGTAACTATCAACCTGTTTTCTATGCATTCCATTTGTCCTTTATTCCTTTTTTTATGTTTTATACTCTGAATTAACTGCATATTTCTTATGACTCCATTTATCTCCACTGTTAGTTTAACTATGTCAATTTTAGTTTTATTCTAAGGTCTAGAACATACACATCTTTTTTTTTTTTTTTTGACAGGGTCTCACTCTGTCACCCAGGTTGGAGTGCAGTGGCACAATCATAGCTCACTGCAGCCTCACACTCCTGGACTCAAGTGATCCTCTCACCTCAGCCTCTTACGCAGTGGGAACCACAGGCATGTGCCACCACACCCAGCTAATTTTGTCTCTTTCTCTTTTCTTTTCTAAATAGAGATGGAGTCTTGCCACGTGCCTCAGGCTAGTCTCAAACCCCAGGGCTCAAACTGTCCTCCTGCCTCAGCCTTCCAGAGTGCTGGAATTACAGGCGTGAGCCACCATGCCCAGTCTACAATATACACCTTTAACTTACAGTCTACCTCCAAATAGTATACCACTTTATGTAATGCCCAAGAATCCTATACATGAATATACTTCCACTTCCCCCATCCTCTACTCTACATTACTGTTGTCATACATTTTGCTTGTATAAACTACATAATATATTACCATTTTTGCCTTAAAGAGTCAACTATCTTTTAAAGATACTAAGTCAGGAAAAATATCTTTTAAAGTTACCCATGCTTACTATTACTTCTAGTGTTCTTTATTCCTTTGTGTAGTTCTAAATTTCCACCTGGTATCATTTTCTTTCTTAAAAAGTTACTGTAATATTCTTGTAGTACCAGTCTCCTAGGGATGAATTCACTCAGCTTTTGTTTGTTTAAAAAAATAAATATTTTCTCTTCATCTCTGAAAGATATATTTGCTAAATATAGGATTCAAGGTTAATAGATTTCTTTTCCTTCAGTCCTTTGAAGATGTCACTCCATTGTCTTGCATAGTTTTTGATGAGAATTTTGCTGCCATTCTTTATTCATTTTTATGTAATGTGCATCCCCCCAACTGCTTTTAAAAAAAACTTTGTAAGATGTGTGAGTACCAGTGAAAAAGGAAAATAATTTGTTTCCTCAAAGTTGACATATCTGTCCTAACTAAAATAATCCTCGAAGATATTAACAGAGAAGATAGTAGTATAAAAATAATTTATATTCTTTTAAACAAATGTGCATTGTATTCTTGAGTGTGAGTATGCACATTTAAGATTCTATAAAACCACAAAACTATAAACACATTATGAAGCTGAAATGTGAAAATAAAACTTAAGAGAAACCAAACGTATGTATAATTTCTAGATCTGAGAGACATCCTCTGTACATTACGTGTGGGATGAACAACCTCAATTCTTAGGCTGAGGCAAAGTATGGATTCTCCTTGACTTATGATGGGGTTACATGTCAATAAACCCACCATAAGTTGAAAATATCATAAGTTGAGAGTGGGGTTTCTACTTTTGATATTTTCAATTTATGATGAATTTATCCAGATGTAATCCAATCCTAAATCCAGGACTGTACTGAATGAATATTGCTTTCAGACCATCATAAGGTCAAAAATCATAAGCTGAGCCATTGTAAGCCAGGGGCCTTCGGTATCACTTTACAGTGAAAACTGTTCTTTCCCCAAATTTTCTCACTCTCTCTGGCTGCTTTTACAATTTTCTCCTTAACACTGGTTTTCAGCAATTTATGATATGCCTTGATGTTGCTTTCACCATATTTTTTTCTGTTTAGTGTTTAGTGTTCACTGCATTTTTGGATCTGTGACTTTTCATCAAATTTATACAATTTTTGGTCACTATAGCTTTAAATAATTGCTCTGTCTCCTGGTTTCCCATCACTGTTCCTTCTGTGACCCAAATTACACTTATGTTAAGACTGCTTGCTATTGTCCCACTGGTCACTGATGTTGTGTTCATTTTTTTTTTTTTTTTAATTCTCTGTTCTTCATCTTGGATATTTTGTATTGTATTTTCTGGTTTACCAATCTTTTCTTCTGTGGTATCTAATATGCTGTTAATATAATCCAGTGTATTTTTCATTTCAGATATACTTTTCACCTCTAGAGATTCAATTTGGATTTTTAAAGACAGCTTCCATTTCTTTCCTCACTACAACCTTTAGTCTACTGTTAATTTTGGTCACAGTACTAAGATGATACCCTCTTGAAGAGTCTTAACCAATGCTCCATGTGTTGTGACTTCTTTCTGTTTCTACTAGTGGGCAGAATGAGTCTTCAGTGAGTTTCAGCCATTGTTTAGCCTATTGCTTTCTGGTGGTTTCCCAATAGTTTCTTCCCACATATATGCAGATAAGTCATCAGTAAAAGACTCAAGAAGGCTCCTCGGCAGATCTCCAGAATGCCTTTTGTGTGCAGCTCTGTCTCCTCAGGCAGTCTCTGCCCCATACATTTGAGCTGCTTTGCACCTCCCCCACGACCCCACCCTAATCTCTTTGTCCTTCACTGGGGTAGACCACAAGACTCTGCTTGGACTCCCCCTCCATGTGCTGTGGCCTGGAAACTGCCTCCAAGCAGTAAGAGTGATCTTAAGAATCATTTTGTTTGTGTTCCTTCTTTCAGTTGTCACAGTTCTATACTACCTATTGATCAATGTCTGGCTGTGGTTTTTATATACTTTTTCTGGTTTGCTAGTTGTTTAAGATGGGAAGGTAAATGTAGTTCTTCCATCATGACCAAAAGTAGAAATTTAGTTTATATTATTGGTTCTACTGATTCGTTCATGTGAACGCCAACCAGTGACTTTAATAGGCTTCAGTTTCTACACATGTAAAATAAGATTAACTTAATCAGTAATTTTCAACCCCCTTTATACAGACTGAACTGCTTCAGGATTCTTTTGTCATCCATGTTTCATGAGCACATCTCACCCAGCAAAGTGTTACATTAACACTGTCATATTCAGTAGGCTGTTCACTAAGATCTTGCAATAGGTGATTTCATTTGACATTTAATCTTGTAGAGGGCACTGCTTATTTTTCAGTACACAGAACAAGTTCTTATTTTTCATAAAAGCTCCCAATCCATGTGAATCGTATAGAGCTGACCTCTTCCCCAGCTCCAGGGGAAGACCTGGATCTAAGCCAGTACATTCCCTTCTCCTGACTGGAGCTACTGGTGCAGAGATGAGCATATGATATAATTGGTCAATGACTGCCATGCCCAGAACCTTTTTTCAAACAGTCTGTCTTTGAGGCTGACTAGAATCTGGGAGGATACAGAGCTGAAGACTTTGACAGTCATCTTGTCACCAGAGGGAGCCTAAAAATGAAGAAAGAGTTGGGAAACAGGGTTCTGGTGGCATTTTAAGCCCCTAAGTCAAAGGATACCTTCAATTAATGCTGGACTTTTTCTACTATGTGACACAACAAATTCCCTTTTTTCTTAGTCCAGTGTGGGCTGGGTTTTCTGACACTTGCAGTAAAAGTCTCTCAACTGTTCCATCAAATAGTAAATATATTCATGGTAACAGATTAAGAAAAACACACTGAAGTAATACAATTGCGGAGTAATGAGCTGTAACAGCAACCATCAAAGCAAATTAGCACACCCCCTAGAGATGGACTTCTCTTTAAGAACAAGGGCATGTGTACCAGGCAGAGCACAAGCAGAGATCAGGGTTGTGTCACATGCAAGAGGTGAAGCTCCAAACAAAGGTAGTTCTAAAAAGAGAAACAGAGAATATGATATTTTAGGCCTGATTTGGGCAAATCCATTCACATGGATAGCCAAAACGTCACCTCTAATACAAAAGACTGGAGGATATCACCTAATGTGACAACAAGCCTCTGACTACCATGACCTAAAAATAGATGTGTTCTTTTAATTTTTAAGTCTGGATAATACCTTACAAAACACGCCAGTTCTATTTTTGCTCCCCAAAGAACATAAAAATATAGAAAATAAGCAGCTGATGATATGGTGGTTCTTCAACTGTTGGGCTACTGGCCTTTTCCTTTATAGTTTTCCTATTTTGTAACCAGAAGAATCTCAAGATAATTTAAGAAGAGGGATTAGAAAACTGGAAAAAAAAATCTATTAGTATGTTGCTTGTCAAAAAAATAATTTACAGTGGTTTTCAGCTACCAGAAGTTTTTGTGTAGTAAAAATATTTAAAAAGAAAAACCATTGCTTGTCACGTTTTCATTTATTTTTTAACCTATATTCCACTTCCTTTGGTGTATATACACATCTCTTTTTCTACTTTCTATCCTTTGGGCTATTTGATGGAGGCAACAATATTTTTGTGTCATGCACTATTACATAACAAATGATGAACACCAACTAATGATACTAAGTTTACTGAGATATGGAGTACTTGACAACATAGACAATAATTGAAGCAAGATGATAAGACATGTACGTATTCTTTAGGTACATGCTTTAACCGTCCTACTAACAGTCATGGTAAACCTCACTCTTTTTTTTTTCTTTTTTGAGATGGAGTTTGCTCTTGTTGCCCAGGCTGGAGTGCAATGGCACGATCTTGGCTCATTGCAACCTCCGCCTCCCAGGTTTAAGCAATTCTTCTGCCTCAGCCTCCCAAGTAGCTGGGATTACAGGCATGCACCATCACGCCCGGCTAATTTTGTATTTTTAGTAGAGACAAGGTTTCTCCATGTTGGTCAGGCTGGTCTTGAACTCCTGACCTCAGGTGATCCACCCACCTCGGCCTCCCAAAGTGCTGGGATTACAGGAATGAGCCACTGCGCCCAGCCAAACCTCACTCTTAATAAGACTTTGTCCTATAGGGAATGTTGACACAGTGGGTCACAAAAAAGATGAAGTATGATAGCACATTTTGTCAGTTAAACAAGGCTTGAAACACAGAGACATGAAATATTACATATGGTATTTCTCCTATTAACTTACAAAATAAGCAAAAGAGAATTAAGACCCAATCCTCAGTTAAATCTGGAAGGGGTGAGTGAATATAAGATAGAAGAGATTACGAGAAGGGGCTTTAGAGTACCAACATGTCTCAAACGGGGGAAAAACCAACTCCTGAAGGTTGGACTGTTGTATGAACATGTAAACTGAAATATTAAGAATTTTACAGGCCAGGTGCAGTGGTTCATGCCTGTAATCCCAGCACTTTGGGAGGCTGAGGTGGGCAGATCACCTGAGGTCAGGAGTTCAAGACCAGCCTGACCAACATGGCGAAACCCCATCTCTATTAAAAACACAAAAATGTGGTGTGTGTTTGGTGGTGGGCACCTGTAATCCCAGCTACTAGGGAGGCTGAGACAGGAGAATAGCTTGAACCCAGGAGGCGGAAGTTGCAGTGAGCTGAGATTGTGCCACTGCACTCCAGCCTCGGCGACAGAGTGAGACTCTGTCTTAAAAAAAAAAAAAAATTTAGAAGAAGTGACAATTATTTCATTTTTAATTGATAAATAAAAATTATATTTACTGTGTACAACATGTTTTGAAATGCAAATACATTGTGAAATGGCTAAATTGAGCTAATTAATGTAAGCATTACCTCACATATTTTTTGTAGTGAGAACACTTAAAATCTACTCTCAGAGAGATTTTATTCTCAATGTATTCTTATACATTGTTATTAACTGTAAGAGGTGACTTTTAAAAATTGCGTGTTTTTCCTATGCGTTTATATCCTTAAAGAAAGTATGGTATATATATACAATAGAATATTTATTCAGCCTTAATAAAGGAAATCCTGCCGTATATGACACCATGAGATGAACCTGGAGGACATGATGTTAAGTGAAATAAGTCAGTCACAGAAGGACAAATATTGCATGATTCCACTTATATGAGGTATCTATAATAATCAAACTCAGAATAGAAGAGTGGCTGCTGTTCAATGCATATAAAGTTTCAGTTATAATAGATTGAGTATCTTCTAGAAACTTGTGAGCAACACGATGCCTTTACTTAACAATACTGTGTTGTGCACTTAAAGATTTTTTTTTTTTTTTTTGACATAGGGTCTTGCTCTATCGTCCAGGCCATATTGCAGTGGCACAATCACAGCTCACAGCAGCCTCGATTTCCTGGGCCCCAGTGATCCTCTCACCTCAGCCTTTTGAGTAGCTAGGACTACAGGCATGTGCCACCACGCCCAGCTAAGTTTTGTATTTTTGATAGAAACAGAGTTTTGCCATGTTGCCTAAGCTGGTCTCAAACTCCTAGGCTCAAGTGATCTGCCTATCTCAGCCTCTCAAAGTGCTGGGATTATAGGCATAAGCCACTGCACCTGGCCTTACTTAAATATTTAAGAGGGTAGATCTCATGTGACATGTTCTTATCACACACAAAAAAAAATCTCTCTCCAAAGTTTAAACTACCCTCTGTCGAATTTTACTCTGCATACTCACTTCTGACTGTCATTCTGTTTCAGGCAGAGATGTCATTTGTATTTGTATATGAAATATTGAACCATGAGGAATATGGCATTATTATACATATGTGGCACATAAAATTAAAGGTATTTTGCCAGTGTTTATGCATAAAACCATTCTTTTTTTTTTTTTTTTTTTTTTTTTGAGATGGGGTCCTGCTCTGTCTCCCAGGCTGGAGTGCAGTGGTGTGTTCACAGCTCACTGCAACCTCTATCTCCTGGCTCAAGTGATCTCACCTCAGCCTCCTAAGTAGCTGAAACCACAGGTGCACAATATCATACCCAGCTAATGTTTTAAATTTTTTGTAAAGACAAGGTCTCTCTATGTTGCCCAGGCTGGTCTTAAACTCCTGGGCTCAAGCAATCCTCCTGACTTGGCCTCCCAAAGTGTAGGGATTACAGGCATGAGCCACTGTGCCTGGCCCCAAACCCTTCCTATGACCTTCTCATCATTCTCATTATATTGACATTTGCTTTCTTTTCAGTCAGTTTGCATATATCCAGCAGTCAAGGACCGTACATTACATATTACTGTGTCTCCTCCCATGTCTAACAGAGTGGTCTGCACACAACAGCTGCTTGATAAATACTTGAGGGATGAGCAAGGAGGAAACGGAGCTAGGAAAGCCTGGAGAGTTTTATTTTAGGTTAGAGAATACTGTGGGCAAGATGTTTCGACACTGTTAAGGGATTTTTCTTTGAAAAGATTGAGTTAGTATGTTCAACAGCAATTTTTCATACATATATTGAAAGAGCCAATCTTTTCAGGGGCCCACATGGACATGGAACAAGAGGCTAGAAAGGAATGAGGAAGACAAAACATGTCTTCCTCATTTAAAACATTTAAAAAAGATATAGTAGAAAGCTTGAATGGAAGAGACAAAAAACATACTGATAAGTAATTTGTGTCAGCGAGGCAGTATAATACAGAGATGCCAAATTTGGAACTTGGGGAATAAAGACAGATTATAAAACATCTCCAGAATAAAGGGCCATGGTCTGTGAGAATAATATGGGTTTCTCTGAAGTATAGCAATTTAAATTCTCTAGTCCCATAAGATAGCTACAAAGAAGTATATGCAACTATGTGCAAACCAACAAGAACTTTGTGAAATGTTTCTTTTCGGATTATTAGTGGCAGGTAGTAACCTTTCTGATAACCTTAAGGATCTGAATGACTTGTACTCGGGGTGTCATACCAGTTCCCCAGCCAGCATGACAAACCATAAGGCCAGGCAGGGTGAGGTTGAGAGGGCCACCGTGCTGAGGGGCAGTGCACAGGTTCTGTGGTCCTCCTCACCAGCAGCATTGGCAGAAGTGGAAAGCAGAGCAGTGGCTGTCATTTTTGGCTTCTGCAGCATCAGATATGTACTATAATAGGCAGCAACAGAAATACAATGTTTACAGGGACTTTAAAGATGATTCTGACCAATTTCCTAGTTTCTCTTCATCAGTCCTCTACATGTCCGATTGCCTTAGGCAGACAGAACCTATGCTACATACTGATCTGCGCTATTTTTGTCTTCTCTTGCAAGTGGCCCACATTGAGAACTGGGGAAAGAGTGTGTGTGTGTGCATGTGTACAACAGAAATACATATAATTCCACTTAATTTCTTTCTTGGAGAAATTCCAAGTAAGAAATTATTTAAAATTATTTAAATTTCCAAGTAAAATTATTTAAAGGAATAATTCACATTATTCCTTTAAAATGTTTATGTTGGACACTCCTTGTTCATATCCACAGAAGAGGCAATGATGAGAGACATTATTGCAGAAGCATAATGAAGCATTCTAGATTGTCATTTCCCTTTTGTAATATTGCATTTACCTTCATTTACAATACCATTAATTCAAAACACTATTCAAATTCCTGAGCATTTAAAATATGTACACAGATTCTCTAGTCAATATCAGATAACATGATGGTATCTTGGGTTTTATTTCATTTTGAAAACTCACATAAATCTAATTAAAAGAAAACATTGTAACAATACAGATCTTAAGACCAATAGAAGACTCTATTTTTGTGTTAATTTCCTGCTGTCATGAGAAGAGGTTTTCAAGTAACAACAACCAAAGGTCCCCCGCATGTCACACTGTGTACTCATTTAGTCATTTATCAAATGCTTCTTGAGCATCTGCTAGTTACAGGCATTTTACTAGACATCGGGAAAGGGCAAGGAAGAATGGAGGGAGGCAAGGTGGTGGTGTGAGGGTTGGTGGGGATAATATGAAAGAGGTGATAGACACTGTTTCTGAATACGACATTTCACTGCTGTTAATATAAAGTTTTAAATATTCTTTCATATATAGTTAATTTTAGTTCCTTTTCAAATCAACGTATTGAAAATTTGTCTCCATAGGAACTTCAATAAAATTTTAATGAAAAATGGAATACTTGTAATAAATCTAATGGTTCACAATACACTATAATTAAGTCCGAGAATTTTAGAGCTGTAAGAGAACCCTTAGACCATGTGGTTTAAAACTTCACAGTTTATATTAAAATTATTATTTGTTCATTCATTTTGTATTAATTTTATTATAAATGTGAACCAAATGAAGACCAAAGGGGGCTTGGATTTGCCCACGTCCTCGGGAGGAAAGGAAAGACTACCCTCAGCAAGAGTGTCGGCCACTGCCGCCCTTCAGTTCACCAGACAGCACAGTGTCCAGTCTGTTGGCTAGGATTGCTGGGTTCAGTATGATCTCTTTTTCCTAGTAGGTCTTGAATCAGTAATTTTATTAACTATTATAAGGTTCATGTTACAGTGTTATTTTAATTGCAATATCAATTCACATTTCAGGATTCACTGTTTGCCTGTTATCTTGGCAACACTAAATCTATTAATACAATATCTTATATCTTTCATTTACATGCAGACTGCAAGTACCTGAAATGAAAATCAACAACTAATTCAAGACTACCTTAAAAAATTAAACTCATATTTTTAGTATCTACTCCCTATAATTCTTAATGTTGTTTTCTTTTAATTACTTAATTTGCCTAAGTAGCCTAGCTTCTGTCGTTATTATAATATTGTATCTGCTCTTGATTTTATTTTATAGAGCTATCTGAATTAAGCAACAAACCAGATGAAACATTTAACAGTTTAATTTGAAAAGAGTAAAATAAATATAGAGGATTTCACTGCATTCTGTAGTGCATGAAAAATGTAGCTTTTATTATTTATTTATTTATTTATTTATTTTTGAGACGGAGTTTTGCTGTTGTTGCCCAGGCTGGAGTTCAGTGATGTGATCTCGGCTCACTGCAACCTCTGCCTCCTGGGTTCAAGCGATTGTCCTGCCTCAGCCTCCAGAGGAGCTGGGACTACAGTCACGTGCCACCACACCCGGCTAATTTTGTATTTTTAGTAGAGACAGGGTTTCCCCATATTGGCTAAGATGTTCTCAATCTCCTGACCTTTCGATCTGCCCACCTCGGCCTCCCAAAGTGCTGGGATTACAGGCATGAGCCACTGTGCCTGGCCAAATGTAGCTATTCTTATGCAACATCTAACTCTGCCTGACAACTAGGCACAGTCCCCACGATCATGCTAAGGTTTTCAATCACATCATAATCTCTGCAACTGGACAGGAATAAGAGGATTCAGATGAACCCTTAAGTATAAATAAATGTCAGTATAGATTCAGAAAAAAAAAAAAACCCACTTAGGGGTATTTGTAGTAACAAAAATAGTGGCTACCATGTATCTACATGTACTGGGAACTCAATTTTTCCGATGTAGAGAGAGATTAAGCAATTGACCCAAGGTGGTGCATATAATAAGCAAGCTCCTGAGGGCAAAGGCTGGATCTTATTTATCATTTTACCCAGAAAGCCTCAGAATGCATGGCACAATCATTGCTGGAAGGGTGCCTGAGTTTTATTTTTAATGTTAGAGTTTGTTTTGTTCTCTCTCTTTCTCTGTGTGTGTGTGTGTGTGTTGTATGTTGTATTAGGATGAGGTAGCTCTTAAAATAAGAGGTTGATCCAGGGGACAATTACAATTATTTTCTAATTGATTTAGATAACTTATAGTGTAATAGTTTTTAGAGGATTTGGTGCATTTATCTGTAAAATAACCTCCCTAAGGGATATAACTATCCTTCTTGTGATAGATGCTTTCTCAAATCCTTATAAGTAACAATAGAAAAAAAAAAAAAGAGACCATGTTACATAACATAGCAAAAGGGAAGCCTTCCTGTTTTATTCTACTAAAAAAACCCCAAACCCCAAAAACAAACGCCTGTCTGTAGGCTGAAGTTAGGTCCAGTTGGTTTATTTGGCTTTCACCTCAGTGAGTGCTTTCACCAAAGGTAGAAGGCATTCTTGGCTTCACTCCCTGAAATAAGGTTTGACAGCTGTTCGATTCCACAGAGCAGTATTACATAACAAGGCAGTTCAAGAAGCAAAAAAGAAAACCACCTTGAAATGAGGCTTTGGTGAGTGGGCCCGTGGTTATACAGAATACACTTTTACCACCATAATGACAAGGATACATGAATGATTATCGTCATGGAAATGCTACGGTTTTTCCCCACACAAATTTCTGAACTGTACATACATAGATGTGTATATCACAATCAGTGACCTTCTAAGCGAGCGTCTGTGTGGGAGAGAACTGCACCTGCCACAGAGTCTGGGATGTTCTTGGAAGTCAAGTATGACTTTCCTCCTTTCTTATTTTTTATAGTGCCACCCCACAGAAACATTTTTAAATAACAGAGAGTAACTTCAATGGAAAGAGTCAATTCCGAGATTTCTGACCTTATTAGCAACTCTAAATAATATGTAATGCAACTCATTGTCTAAAATGAACTCTTTCTTGAGCATAAATACTCTAAGAACAAGTCCAAGCTGGTTTTCATTATTTTTCAGCTCCAGAGAAGGAAGAAGCTTTCCATTTTTTAAGGCTTAAAAAAAACACCCAAGTATCTTTAAAGCAGTTTAGATACCAAGGTAAGAGTTACAGTTGATGGCAGAGTCAGAACTTTCCAGCTGTGTAGAATTTATTCATTAAAGCCATGTGTTAAAATTGAGAAACAACTGGAAGATACAAACACAAAAAGAGTTTGTTTATGCAAATTCTTGAATAGACCTCCTAGTTGCTCTTAATCAATATTGATAAAAAGCATGTATAATGAACTTGACCTAGCACTCAAATGGCATTCTTAGTAGGTTTTTGCTGTTTTTGCTGAACAAATCAGAGTACATCTTTGGAGATATATTTAAGATCTCAGCTATTTCTAAACAGTGTACATACAATTTCCTCTTTATTAGTAACCCAAAGACTTCTTTTTTGACATAACTTCATATTGGCAAAAGGATTTATTTGGGGTCATTTTCCTGATAAAAATCCTGTTAGATCAGGTTGTATATCATGCAAAAAGAAACTGAGGCCTAGAAGCCTGAATGTATTGCTTAGGTTCCTAAATGAAAGATGTAGTGAATGCTAGATACACATATGATACCTCTTTTCTATCCGGTATTTAATCTACTAAGTTGCCTCTATTTCATTTTAAATCAAGATATTGGTTGAAAGGTAAGGTCCTTAATATGTTTAAAGAGGAAGAAGAAAACGTTATTTAGTTTATTTTAAAATATTAGCAATTTTTACATAGCCCACATATTTAAGAAACATAATTTTATTAGGTAATTTCTCCTTCATCCCAAAATGATCTGAAGATCACAAAAACCTATTCCTCACTATGGAAAATGCAGAGCATATGGGTGGGGGGGGGGGTGTTGGTATTTAGTGTTTGAGTAAAATAAATACTGGTGTTAAAAATCAGAATAAATTGCAAATGTGGAATGAAATTATCTATTTCAGAGCCTGGTGCATTATAGGTGCTGAATAAATGTTGAATAAATAAATAAATGAAAGATCATGATTTCCAGCTTTATCACATTTTGAAACCAAATTATTCCCTTTCTAAAATAAAACCTAATGATACTTTGTCTAAACTAAGAACATTCATGTCTCAAGAACCGCATCACAAAGTTGTCTAACTATTGGGAAGTTACTATAGAAATGCCAGTGCATCTACCTATTAAATGTAACTGGGTCTACTTATGCACCACCTCACGTTGTTTAATCTCTGAATTAGATTGCAAAGGACAGAAATTCAAGGCCTTATATCATGCTATAAATACAGACTAGATCTACATACAGCTTGAATCAACACACATATCACCTTGAAAGAAAATTCAAGTACAGTTGATAAACCACATTAACACAATAATTAAAAACTACACATACGCATACATGGTGAAAGCAAATACTCAAAAAGTGAGGAGAAGCTGCTAGTGTCAGCAGCATCAACAGTCCCATGGTAGCCATCCTCCTTTCATCATGGTCAATTCATTAACAGGGGAGAAAAGACAGAAACTATGAGAAATGCAAACCATCTGCTCAATCCAGATGCAACAGCACATGCCTCTTATATCCAAAGCTTTTTACCAGAAACACAGATCTAATCCTCTCATAAAATCTCCAACAGAGGTATTCAGACACATTTGTATCACAAATAAAAACAATGCCAAAATCATCATTAACTGAGACCTTTTAAATATCAGTCAAGACTTTTACCAGTGAGTACACATTGATAAAACAATATTAGAACAGCATTAGAGAAAAACAGGGTTGGATTTCTATTAGCCTTATTCAGCTATTCCTCAAGTAAAATCAGGCTGAAAACATCTCACTCCTTAAATAGCAAGAACATTTTAGTCAAGTCATCCTAGTTTTAAAAAGACATAAGATATTCCTTTAATATTATATATTTCAAGTAATATGCATTTCTTAAAAGACTAAAAGCAAATATTCTTACCTTGAAATTGTGAATCTTTTCATATTTTGGAATTTGCTCGTTTTCTTTCAGAGTTGCTCTTCTAACAAGTGATGTCAACTGCGAATAAGCAAAGAGTTTCAGAGGTTGCCAGATTGTCACAGACGACTTTGGAGAACCCAGTTTCATTCCCAAGGCTGCTATCAATAAATCTTGCTGACGGCCCTCTTGTTTTGATTTGTGAACTGCAGCCCTATTAGTTTTCCTCCCTGACCAAGACTCTTTGGATGGCATTTTGGAATTCACAAGGAAAGAAAACCTATAGTGGTCTATGTCTGTCGATGATATCTATTCAGCTAACACATGAGCATTCTGCCAGGCAGCACAGAACCCTAACCTACAGAGAGCTGCAGAGAAACACCACGGAGAGGTGGAGGAGGAGGATGAAGCACTTCTTAAACAGAGGTCGACTAACCAGCAAATTCTTCTTTCTTCCTTTTTTTTTCTTAAAGGGATCTATATTCTAGCTTCTAAAAACTTGAGTCTGAACAGAAATAAAAAGAAAGAGTCGATGCTAACATACAAAACACTCAGCATCTCTCTTTATCATTTTTTAAAAGGCATGCAATTTTGACAAATGATACATTTCTAAAAGCTTTCTTCTCTATTCAAGATATTAATGTCCATTCTGAATGAAAGATGCCTACATACTGCCTGCAATCAGTTTCTAGCAACAGACACCCTATGAAGCCCCTAGCAGGGAAGGTGGGGGGAAGGGAGGGATTTCACAAGGAAGGCTGCATTAGATTGGCCACCGTAAGAAAGGAGATAACCAATGAAAATCAAGCAACAGTATTTAAGTACTGTATTCCTAAACTCACTCTGTCTCTGTTTCTCCCTCCTCTCATGTAAGTAAGTTTCTTGCTGGCTCAAGGCAAAAAAAAAAAAAAAAAAAAAAAAAAAATCAGTGGGAAGGTAATGAGAAATGAATGAGTCATGCATTATTGCAAAATGGAATTTTTTTAACCTATTAAAAGCAGAGGAAAATTAACATACATACAGCACTAGGTTTTAAAAATAATGCAGCACCACTGCCAGGTAAATTATGAAAGGCTAATCTGTATCCTTTGCTCATTATGGACTGAGGTTAGCTAACCAAAACCCAATTTTATTAAAGACAAGGAAAAACTGGTGAGTATTTTGATGAAAGATAAAAGAAGTTTAACTAGGTATCATACTATTTTCATGCAGAACAAGGAGCATGCACATCACATTGCTAACAGCTTGCAGTGGTCAGTTTTGTCTTTGTATTATGAGTAGTTTTGTTGTGGGCTACACTTACATAGAAGAAACCATTATTTTAATTCTCTAGTCTCAACATTTTTTTTATTCAGAGAGCTTGAGGCCAGGTCATAGTGGAAGCCAGTTGGGAATAATTCCTTATTTGCACAGATCTCAATTATAGTGTAACTACTTATAGGACCCATATACTTTTTGTTTGCTGGTGTAGAAACGGGGTGGCTAGGTGAGAGACTTAGCACAACTTGACTTAGGAGCAATACCTACATTTTTTCACTAAGGTGCTACAGGATGCTTACATTTCCCATTTTGGTTCCCTAAGTACGTCCTATCATCTGTTTCTCATGCTATAATAATTAAGTTAAACCAATTATGCCAATGTTACACTGTATTTAAAGCATCTAAAATTCTATGTATTTAAATGGATTCAGTATATTTGTAGTGTAAATACTTTAATCTCAGATTTCATAATCTACAGGAGGTATGTGCCCAGTGCATATTCTACTTTAATTAGGGCATGAAGTGGTTCTTAAGCTATGCTAGACATTAAAAATAACAAATGACTGATTTTCTAAACATCCCTAAATTATTTTTGTTTACTTCAGTCTTTAGTCCCTTTTATTTTTCTAAAATTATGTCTAAGTAAATAAAAGGCAAAATTTATTTACATAGGAGTTTCAATTTCATGAGTTTATATACTTAGATAATTAATATGAGACATAAAATGCTCCCACTGCAAGAAGAAATGCAATGGAAAAAGTCTCCTTGCCTAGCCTAAATTGCTTTTCAGATTGGACCTATTTTGTCACATGATGACTAAAAATATAACGGCCAACCGACTCTTTAGACATGTACAGCCTAAAGTGAAGTTTAACCAATTCTCAGTAGGAACCAGAAAAAAACAGCTCCAAACACAAGTTGAACAGTAAAATTTTTTCTTCAACAATATTTGATATCAAGTTACTAAGTTAAAACAATCACACATGTAACCAAAGTAGCATCTTTTTCTTGAGTATTTTTGATCAACATCCTATTTTATAGATCATTCCTGGTTCTACAGCTATAGTTACTAAAATTCAAGCATAAAAATATTCATGATAGTTACCCAGAAAATTTATAGCTAGGTAAAAGTAAACATTTTGTCATTCAGAGGTAAGGTCTACTGTAGACTCTGCAGATTGTACTGTATTTCCTGAGTAATGTTCTATTTAGTCAAGAAATTCTGGATTAACTGCAATCTGAGCAGCTACCTAGGGCAGTAAGGAGATAGAAAACAACAGCTTAGGATGAAAACAGCGTTGGCTACTCTCAAATGGCTAAGGGTTTGGTCACTATTATGCCTTCAACATGGCAGTAACTGCACTTCTGCATTAATTTTGGTGAAGAACTTGTAAATAACAAAAATTGATAACTCTAAAATTCAGAACCAATATAATCAATAGTCTGACATTCTAGACAAATGTGTATCACTCATGCTTACAATATCTAGTAGATAGCCATCTACTCATATATAGAATCTATTAATTACGGTTATCACTTATTAGTTATTGAGTACATATATTCCAGACACCCAACTAAGCACTTTATACATAGAATCCCACTGAATCCACAGATAAACCCTATGAGGCATAAATTATCTTAATTTTATAGTTGAGAGGGCTGAGGCCTACAGTTTACTTCCCAAAGTTGCACAGCTAGTAGGTGGGGGGGCTGGGCTCATAAACACTACACTATATCCACCCAGGTGAGAAAATGAGAGGAAACCATGGAGTCTTCTCTCTGATTCTATTCAAGGTGGTTTCTCTAGTTACCTTCTTTCAATTTTGAGGAGTAGGAATAGATGGTAAGACAGACTAGCAGTAATTATCAATGGATGGTAAGAAAAATGTAGTAACCAAGATCTTATGATCTCAAGTTTAGCATGTAGTAGGAAATGCAGACTTCAAGGCTCAATTCAAACACCCCCTCCTACGTGATGGCTTTGATAATCTGCACCAATTAGAAGTGATATCATCCACTTGTGAACCTCACAGTCTTTCACTGGTTCATTAGTTATGGGACTGCCACATGCTACCTCATATCAGTTATCTGTGTAGCTGTTTAAATAGAATTAGGCTTTATGTGTATTTCTACACACCTTGAATCTAGCATAGCAGCTTACACAAAAAAAGGTTCAATATATATTTGGTTAAAAAATAAAACCAAATGAAGGCAGCTATTTTTATTGGGGGGCAGTGTGGTATAATGAAGAAAATATGATTTAAAATCAGAGAAACTGAAGTTTGAATACTGACCTTGGGAGTTCTGCTTTGTTTCTTGGTTACCTCATCTACATAATATGAATAATAATACCTGTCTCACAGGTTACTGGGAAGTTTAAAGAAATGACATACAAAAAAGATTATCTGCAGGGAGTAACCAATAAATGACAGGATTACAGGGGTGCTGAGCCCAATATTAGCTGTAGGTATATAGTGTAAGTATAAGACACAGGTCCCTGCCCTCAAGGAGTCTGTAATCTGCTTTAGGTCTATACCACATAAGCATGCCTGGAAACACTGCCCTTCCCATTGTGTTTTGTCTCTACCCAATTACCCATACTCTGGATCTAATCCTAATTTTTAAAAGGCATATAATGGCATATAATGACATGTATGCCAGCTGAGGAAGCAGATTAGGAGAGAAGTGGAAAGTGGCAAGAAAAGGAGATACTCAGTATTGTTAAGGATCCAGGAACACTGCTTGATGCTTCCCAAGGCTGTCTTATCTATTGTACCCACAGCCATCCTGGGAAGCATGTTGCATAATGGTCACTTTATAGATGAGGAAACTGGGGCTCACAGAGTGAGTTGCTCAAGGTCACACAGTCAGGATGTGGAGGTCTGAGCTCAGAATCCCCATCTTTTGTCTTCAAAGCCTGACAGCTCTTTCTGCTACCTTATGAGAGTAGTATATAAACATAAGGTGTTAAGCATATAGCACCTCTCATATTCTGGCTCTATAAAACAGAAGAAATAGTTTAACTGGGTGGGAGCCTAAACTGGTTGGGCACATATCTTACAAGGTCATTCTTGATAGAAACATTAACAGTATCTACCTTGTTATTTTGACTGGGAATCCTTGACCTGTTGTGGGACCTGATCCTGCCCATCCTTTTTTTTGAGACAAGGTCTCACTCTATTGCCCAGACTGGAGTGCAGTGGTGTGACCAGAGCTCACTGCAGCCTCAACCTCCTGGGCTCCATTGATCCTCCCACCTCAGCCTCCTGAGTAGCAGGGACTAGAGGCACATGCCACTACACCCAGATAATTCTTGTATTTTTTTTCTAGAGATGGAGTTTCTCCATGTTGCCCAGGCTGGTCTGGAACTCCTGGGCTCAAGTGATTCACTGGCCTCAGCCTCCCAAAGTGCTGGGATTATAGGCGTGAGCCATCGCACCCAGTGATCCTGCCCATCTTGACACAGATATCAATTCTGTAGGTTCATCTGAATGAGGCCTGGAAAATGGGATGGGGAACGGGCAGATTCCACAATCCTCTGTTTCTACCTTTGTCCATACTATCTGCAATATAGAGAGGAGGACTATAAAAACGGTAAGGAGGAAGTCCTAGCCAGAACAATCAGACAAGAGAAATAAAAGGAATCCAAATAGGAAAAGAAGAAGTCAAACTATTTCTCTTCATTGACAATATGATTCTATACTTAGGAAACCTTAAATTAGACTCTGGCAAAAGGCTACCAGAACTGATAAATGATTTTACGAAGGTTTCAGTTTACAAAATCAATGTACAAAAATCAGTAGCATTTCTATACACCAATAATGTCCATGCTGAGAGTCAAATCAAGAACATAATCCCATCTGGGCACAGTGGCTCACACCTGTAATCCCAGCACTTTGGAAGGCTGAGGTGGGAGGATCACTTGAGGTCAGGAGTTTGAGACCAGCCTGGCCAACATGATGAAACCCCTTTTTTTCCTCTATTAAAAAAAAAAATACAAAAATTAGCCGGGTGTGGTGGCAGGCACCTGTAACCTCAGCTACTTAGGAGGCTGAGGCAGGAGAATCACGTGAACCTGGGAGGCAGTGGTTGCAGTGAGCCGAGATTGCACCACAGGACTCCAGCTTGGGTGACAGAGATTCTGTCTCAAAAAAACAAACAAAACCGGTAACGAAAACATAATCCCATTTAAAGTAGCCACAAAGAAAATAAAATACCTGGGGATATGGCTAACCAAGGAGGTGAAAGATCTCTACAAGGAGAACTACAAAACATTGCTGAAAGAAATCAAAGATGACACAAATAAATGGAAAAATATCACATGCTCATAGATTGGAAGAATCAATTCATAAAAATGGCCATAATGCCCAAAGCAATTTATAGATTCAACACTATTCCTGTCAGATTACCAACATCATTCTTTACAGAATTAGAAAAACCTATTCTAAAATTCATATGAAACCAAAAAAAGAGCCTGGCTAGACAAAGCAATCCTAAGCAAAAAGAACAAAGCTGGAGGTATCACACTACCTGACTTCAAACTAAGTTATAACGTTATAGTAACCAAGACAGCAAGGTACTGGTACAAAAACAGACACACAGACCAATGGAAGAGAGCAGAATACCAAGAAATAAAGCCTCACACTTAAAACAATCTGATCTTCGACAAGGCTGACAAAAATAAGTAATGGAGAAAGGACTCCCTAAGAAACAAGTAATGGGAAAAGGATTCAATAAATAGTGCTGGGATAACTGGCTAGTCATATGCAGAAGAATGAAAATTGGATCCTTACCTTTCACCATATACAAAACTTAACATGGATTAAAGATTTAAAGATCTCAAACTATAAAAATCCTAGAGGAGAACCTAGGAAATACCCTTTTTCGTATCAACTTTGGGAAAGAATTTTTGTGTAATCCCTAAAAGCAACTGCAACAAAAACAAAAATGGACAAGTGGGCCTAATTCAACCGAAGAGCTTGTGCACAGCAAAAGAAACTATCAATAGAGTAAGCAGACAATTTACAGAATGGGAAAAATATTTGCAAACTATGCACCCGGCAAAGGTCGAATAACTGAAGTCTATAACAATCTATAACAAACTTAAATCAACAAGCAAAAAACAACCCCAATAAAAAATGGGCAAAGGACATGAACAAACACTTCTCAAAGGAAGACATATAAATGGCTGACAAACATATGAAAAAATGCTTATCATCACTAATCATCAGAGAAATGCAAATCAGAACCAAAATGAGATACCATCTCACACCAGTCAGAAATGCTATTATTTAAAAAGTCAGAAAACAACAGATGCTGATGAGGCTGTGGAGAAAAGAGAACACTTATACAATGTTGGTGGGAATATAAATTAGCTCAGCCACTGTGGAAAGCAGTTTGGGGATTTCCCAAATAATTTAAAACAGAACTACCATTCGACCCAGCAATCCCACTACTAGGTATATACCCAAAGGAAAACAGATCATTATACCAAAAAGACACATGCACTTCCATGTTCATCACAACACTATTCACAATAGAAAAGAGACGGAATCAACCCAGGTGCCCATCAATGGTGGACTGGATAAAGAAAATGTGGTACATACACACTATGGTATACTATGCAGCCATTAAAAAACATCATGTCCTTTGCAGCAACATGGACAGAGCTGGAGGCCATAATCCTAAACAGATGAATGCAGGAACAGAAACCCAAATAATGCATGTTCTCACTTACATGCAGAAGTTAAATGCTGAGCATGCACGAACATAAACTTGGGAACAATAGATACTGTGAGCTACTAGAAGGGAGAGGGTGGGATGCATCTAAAAACTACCTATTGGGTACTATGTTCGCTACCTGAGTGCAATATACCCATGTCACAAACCTGCACATGTACGCCCTGTATCCACAATTAAAGTTGAGTGAAAAAATAAATAAAAATGTAAAGTACTATGTTAATACTTCAAAAAATATGATCAAATTTTCATAGCAGATCTTTGCATTTTACAATAAAGTGTTTAAAATACTATATTCTATTTTTCTCATTTTAATACTGTTTTGTTATTATAATTACTATGATCAATTTTACTCAGTGCCAAACTGAGAACCACTTTTCACCTGTTTGTGAAGAGACATGGATTTTAAGCCACAATGTACATTGCCTATGTCACTGAAAAGAAAAAAAAAAGGTAAGGGGTGGGGTAGAGGAGCAGTGTGAGGAATAAGAAATAGAAGGTGAAATAGGTGACCTTGAATAGGAACACATTCACTGTTTTTCAAATAAATTCCCACTGATCTTACTACCCTGTCATTTTTCCAATAAGCAAAAATCCACAAATACTGGATTTGCATTGAGCTAGCGTCTCATTTTCACCAAGTGTGGTAAAATAGGAAACTCAAGGGCTCTGGGGCCAGACAAAAGTGCTAACCTTAACTCTGTCATTTATTGGCTATGGCACCTCCTTGGTCAAGTAACTGATTTATTTCTGTCTTTGTTTCTTTATATGTAAAATGAATTGAAAATACTTATGGTATAGAATTATTAGGAATCAAATGAGATACTATGTGGGAAGCATTTTTGCATTACTTCTGGCACAGAAAGGAAATCAATAAATGGAAGTTTGCCTCTCTTTCCTTGTGTCAAAGGACCTACATTTCCAAGATCAGAGTTAGCATAATTTGTGACTATGATATGGATTAAAGACCTACGGCCATTGTTCTATGCAATGTGAGCTCAGGTCAAATTATAACCAATAATTTAGGGACACATTATAAGCATCACTGTTATGCAATTTTTACTTTACCTTATTTCTGGCAATTTTATAATTAAAAGAACATCCATGCTCATACTCAGTAATCCCATCAAATCCTGCTTATAGGAAAGGGTCTTATCAATTCACACTAAAGTACAAATGACCAATTATACTCTTTTCCACAAATACCTAGTTTTTAATGTGGGATTGAGACTTAAGCCAAAGAAATAATTCTCTAACTAATAAATGTCAGGACTTATTTATAGTCAGAATGTTCTCTAGGACACTGGAAGGACCTCATGTAACATAAAAAGCCACCTCCTTTGTAACATCAAGGTGATACCATAGAATCATTAGCACAATGCTCCAGTTATCAAAGCTAAGTCAACAATCCATCCAAAAAGCACCACAGAGGAATGTTCTAGCTGGCAGGACCCTTACGATTGGGAAGGTGCTGAGTAACTGGATTAACTCTTGGGTAATATGAGTTTCTCATTCAGGTTTAGTGAAATCCTGCAATTTCTATAAAATGTTAAAATTGAGGCACAAACAACACAGCTTTCCTGAAACCTCCAAAATCAAGTTATAACATAAACATTTATGGATTCAAGCAAATTCAACTCAACTTAGATACACAGATTATTCTTACTTGCATACCCTGAATTATAATATGTAACCTATTTTTTCTCCATTAGAGCCAAGAGTGGAATATATTCCAAGGTACTTAACAATAATATGTCAGCTTCCATTAATTAACTGACAATTGCATAACACGGTACTAGTAAATGCTTTACATGTATGATAAAGTTTAGTTGTCAAACAACCAGTAAGGTAGTTATTACAATTCTCATTTTATAGATGAGAATTGTATACTTAGACTTAAAGACTTTTAAGAATTGTATACTTTAAAGACTTAAAGAAACACTATTATAGATGAAGAAACAAAAGCTCTGATAAATTAAGTATCTTGCTGAAGGTCACCTAACTAGTACATGATGAAAGTAAGACTTGAATCCATGTCTATTTGACTTCAAATTGTCTCTCCTCTAGACTATCCTGCCTCTCATATTATCTGTTATTAACATGCCATTTTGAAAGGTTGCCATTTGAATAAATTTCTGGAGCATTTATATTCCAGTGCCGCTCAGATCACTAGGCCTTTTACTACTGCTGTATTTGAATTTGAATACTGCTGTATTTGAATCTGGTGACTACCAGATTCAACAATCAAGCAAAATTTTCAAATGTATTTTAAGTCTAACATTAGAGACTTCTGTATCAGAACTCTATAAATTCCTTAAATTATGTTGGGATAAATAAATTTTTATATTACACAGAAAACTCAACATTATGCTAGGACTCAATTTTTATGCTACTGGCAGCAATCACATCATAATTCCTAACTCAGTCTTCATTACATAGCTCCTCTAGCATTAACATAATATCCATCTAAACAGATAACAATAAGGCACATCAGTGCATCCATCTCCGTATATAATAAATTTAAATCACACTATACTAACACTGCCACTACCAAATGTTGTATACTCTGACCAATTCACCTGCTCCCTGATCGATTCACATGCAATAATATTTAAACATAAGACATCTGAAAACAATGCAAACAAAAAAGGATAGCCCTTGCATTCCTCTTTCAAGAAACAATAGAAATATGAGAAATTCTCCAAGCACCAGCTGTGAAGGGAGCTTTTTCACACTACGTGAAGAACACTATGCCCAAGGAGGAGGGGGTGGAATGGCACACAGCCTGGCTTCCAAGCCTTGTTCTTACTGCTATTCGACAAGCCACTTAGCTTTTCTAAGTCTCAGGCCTGGGGACTAAATGAGCTCTATGGTCTTCTCTATATTTTTAATAGAAATGCAAAAGGAAAGAAAAGGTTCATACTCATTTAGCACACAAGTATGTGCTGAAAGATTTGGGGATGTTTATGAGGGAAAGGCCTGCTGGCTGTATCAAGTGGGTCTTCAGAAGGTAGCTCTGGCAAATTTACAATGGGCTTTTGGCTGGTACCCAATCAAGTAGGCTCAGAAATGGAGTTTGTCAGCACTATTCCTTAAGCGGAGACAAAAAATACCAAGCTCATGAAACTCATAGGTAAATCAGAATGGCACTTGTCTAGTTTATAACAAAATATAATGAGATACAGTTATTAATATCATAAAGTAGTGACCAACATGCTCTTTTTGGTAGCACACCTACACTGCAAACAAAAAATAATTAGGAAGTTGGTGGGAATGGAATTGGAGCAAGTAGAGTGAGATAAATTGAATACTTAATGTGTAGAGTTAGAACAACCTTTACAATTAGGATGGCCTTGCTGATGGACTAGAATACTCAGCGTCCATTTCGTGGGTCTCCCCTCACTTTAGGTCTGTGCTTGAATTGGCATAATCAACTTCTACCTATTTCAGTCCCCTCTTTAAGTTATTTCTTTATGATTTTACATATCATTGCTCAGATATCTTAGGTGATCTTAAAGTTAATTCATAAGATACAGTCTTATTTTTTCACTTATAAATTCTTGGAGGGTGGCAGATTGTGGTCCTGATGTATTGGTAACAACCTATACTATAAACGGAACATGTCCTTATTCTGAATTATGCAACAATATATAAATATAAACGAAATTATATAAGAATAAAATGTTCTAATCTAACACTATCTAATGTTTGGTTACCAGGAATGATGGTTGTATAACAACATTCTTCCTAGGCTCTTCCTAATCAAAAGCTGAAACTGGGCTTCATGAGAAGGTCCTCTTGATCTTCCCCCCAACCCCCATGAATCTGAGGGGATACTTGGGGAAATGTGCCATTACATTTTTATTTTTGTCAATTTTTACCCAATTTTTGACACCTATTACCTGCAAGACTTAAAGAAACACTATTATTGTTCTGTGGCAATAGAGAAGGTGAAATCAGAGAAGGTCTAACACTTTGTCAACAATAAGGAACTTTAAATCTAGTGCAAAATTCTTGAATCATAAACATTTTCACTTTTTCAAAAAGCTTTTGGATATAATATACATATAAAAAATACAACTAAAAGGCAGACTCAGATTGATATTATTAGGAGTGTTTTCAGATTTTAAACTGCTATATGAGGTTATTTCAAGTTATTGCATCTCAGCAAACACTCTATACTCACTAATTTAATGGAGGCAATCTAGTATATCAAAACAAAAGCTAAAGGTTGTATTTTTAGTTTTCTCATTCCTTTAGTGACTTCTGTTGATTAGGCTGGGATGAAGCCTAAGTGATTTGGTTATTTTAAAAAGGGCCTGTTACAGACTTCTTTAAACTTCAGTTAGAAAAGCTAATTTCCTTTCTATGGCAAAAATAAACCACAGTTTGATTAGAATATATCAATTGTAATTTATTTAAAATATTCATTTTAAGCCTCAATAGAGATATATATTGATTCATGGTATAAAGCAGATTTGTGATCTTCAAACATACTTTTGAAAATTTGCTTTTATTTTGAAAATGGCAACAGTGGCCTGAAGACAAAAGATTTAACGTTTATAAACAATTACCCTGGGAAGAAGTACAAGCATGGGCATAAATCACAGATGTGTTAATTGTCCACTGTCCTGCCATACATTTAATTTTCTTTGTAATGACTCTGCTATACTTATTGCACGTTTTATAAGATAATGATGTTTGAAAAGTAAAAGTAGCTTGCTTTTGGGCATTTTCTAAAACAAACTTTTTATATCATGTCCATAGCATTTCATTTATGAAATTCCTGTTAGTTCAAAGGATCCTAATAAAACTAATAGAAAACTTAACAACCCCTAACTTATATGCTCTTCATATAAGAGATAGTCATTAGGTTCTTATTTTTATACAGACTGTGTCCCATATGGAACTCAGTATCTTAAGAGTGATTTGAGGCATCTGTACAAGGTCCACATGTGGTCAGTATGTTAGAAAGGAAGACACAGAAAGTCAGACTGCAACAAGTGGCACTTGTGAGGAAGAAGAAAAGATTAAAGGATGATTAATATCTTTCAGTGACATTTTAATGGACTGAGAAAAATCTACCATGCTGATTTCCTCCTCTACACACACACACACACACACACACACACACACACAAAACCAAACAAACAAAAACAAAGGTTAAAGTAAGATAGCAATTGAAGATTTTAGGTTGATAAGCTCAAATGTTATTTGAGGCTATCTGGCCAGCTGAGACTGGTACATTACTACCTTGTCCACTAAAATGCCCCTAATAGCAACCAACAGTGACTAGGGATGTGCATAGATCCAGGAGTGGCTCTCCAAGCTCCTCAGAATGTACCTAAGCTTATTTAATACAAAAATATTTTCAGTCCATTACTACTGAGTAAAACTAACGCTCTAGGAAGATATGTCATATTCACCTTTAGGTTTAGCATATCCTTGACAACTAGCAGGGAAAACATAGTTTCAGGAGAACAGGCTTGGGTGCCCAAGGGAGGACTCAGAAACCTCTTCCAGGCCTAGGCCTGATTCTATAACCAGGTGGCATATCAAGAAGTAATCTGTGAGGTAACTGGTTTAATAATCCGGTACTAATTCTACTTCACAATAATTTTAATTACTGTAGTCTTCTGCCAACCCGGCTAAAAAGAAATCCAGGCACACTTTTACACTGTCCCCAAATCAGTAGCACTTAGAGCTTTACATTCCACAAAGTGATATGTCATATATACTATTTCATTGTAACTTCCTATTCTTGTTTTTCAAAAGGCAAATTCACTGATGTTAAGGTGTTTGTTCAGGGCAGATAGTAAGCAAAGCAGCCAAGATGGAAACCAGGCCTTCTGACTTCCCTATCCTCTCTCTACTCTACTGTGCTTGCCTGAGACCTAGGGATATAACAGGCTGACTCTTAACCCTAAGTAAGGCTCAGCTGTCACAAAGACCCAGAATCATCAGCAAACAGAAACACTCACAACTGAAAATGACCACTCTTAATTCAGTTCTAAGCCTGACAATTGGTTTACAACATACAGAGAAGTAAGGTCAGCCTTGGTGATTAACCTCGGCATTAAAAAAAAACTTTTCCATTATTTTGATGGTGGGGGATAGGAGGTAAAGTGATATGTTGATCTCATTTAGATACATGCAGTTTTTTGTCAGATAATATATCAGGGCTTCAAACAGAGTTACTGAGTAGCATGCCTTTTTGTTTTTGTTAATTTTGCACTGGCTTTTCCTGATCTTTAAATAAAAACAAATCAATAAAACTACCTCCAAACCAATGAAATGAGAGCGTAGTCTCTTGAGCAACTAATTAAACTGTTTTTAGAAATAGCTAATTAAGCTTTCCATTAAAATCCACCAAATAGACATACATAATTTACAAGGTGGAAAGCCATTTCAATCTCATGGGTAAAACAATTAAACAAGTCTTAAATTTATAACAGAGACTGCAGATTGGTAATTCAGTGAGTAATTATATAATTAGGATGTATTTTATCTTTAAAAGAATATAATGTAAAAAAATAAATTTTTGGGTGCTAGACATATGGCCAAAGTGTAAAAACTTCATAAAACCCACAAATTCATTTAATGAAACTACTGAAATGCTCAAAGTATATATGTACAATACTAAGTGCTCATAAATAGTTTTCACTCAGCATACATTTTATTGAGTATCTATTATATGCTAGGCACTAATGAAACTGTAGCTTCATACCAGAGACTAGGGTGGTATACTATTTTACAAGGACCAAATATTAAATACATATTTAATAAATAAATTGTAATTGAGATAAGTGCTGCATGAATAATGTATTTTTGCACCGTATTTTTGTCCCATAATCACATTTTCTAACAAAAGTTGAATTTGTCCGTGAAATCTATGACCATGCCCTCCTTCCAAACTGCTCCCTCCCCTCATGGGCTTTCTGACACTCTCACAGATGACTTCTACACCTCTCTCCATCCCAGATTTCTCGCTCTTTCCAATATGGATGTGCTTTTAAAGCCCTCTGAAGTCCAAACCACAGGGTAGTTTGTGACCATCTCATACGGTCCTTTTATCAGAAATAATACAGACAGGGAGCTGCAGTTTATAAACTCTCCTCCTCAATCTGCCTAATCCCTCCTTCCATAAAGCATTTAAAAAATTAAATTGTTTTAAATTTAAAAATTTAAAATTTTTAAAATTCAGTGTTAAGTGGTTAAAAGCTTGGCTCTTGAGTAAAAACTAGCTGTAAAAGAATCTTAGCTCCATTTACTAGTTATGGGATCTTAGATAAGTCTCAGTTTATTTGTAAAACTGGAATGAAGATAGTACCTATACTTCATGGGGACTGGAAGGATGAGATAATATAGGTAGAATGTATGGAATATACATAAGGCATATATTTTTAGTACCCAGCATGCAGAGAGCTCTCAAAACTCTCAAAGACTATGTGGTGATGCTGATATTGATACTGTTATCATCATTAGCATCAGTCTTATAGCTTAACACAAGGCTTGGGACAAAGTAGATGCTAAATAAATGTTAAAAGAATGAGCAAAATTCATGGCACATTCGTAAGCCTCTCTGAATTCTTCAGACTCATAGACGAGTGCCTGTCTGAATGATTTCAGTCTCCTGCCCTTATACTGTCAGAATAGATTTAATACAAAGAAATGTATAAATGTTTTGTCTTTTATCTAGGTTATTCAAAAAGTAATGGCAGGTCAGAGGTGCTAACAAGAATAGCATTTTAAATATTGTTTCTTCATTTGGCAGTCAAAATGTATGCAGAATATGAACTAAAAACATGTTAGAGAGAAAATTTTGATAACATAGGTATCTTAGCAACATAGCTGACTAAAGGAGACATTGAATTGAAAACAATTGTTGTGCTGAGAGAACATGTGCCACCTGAAATAAGAAGGATGTTTAGGATTCATGAACTGTAGTTTTCTATTCCACAGGTTGTTGAATCACTGTGGTTTAAACTAATCTGCAGGACCAAAACAACTATTACTGGAGGAATAATGTAAAGTGCCATGAACATTTTTGGATAAATAAAAACCCTCTGCAATAAATTCCAAGAAAATATTAGAAGGAAAAGGGAATTTAGGCAGTATCTATCATTAGTAAGCCTAAAGTCTGATCACTTTTCCTCCTATGAACTCAAACCCATAACTTGCTATAAAATTACAAAATTATTTTCATTATTTTAAAATGCATGTCTTACTAATAGAGACATGAAAATAAGAAGTATATTGTTTTAAAAAAAACTTGCCTAAAATATCTCCTCCTGCAGGATCAGCTGTAGAAAGGTTCTTAAAGGGTATGCCTTTGTTGTTTTCACTGCCAAAATATCAAACCATGTCCTCAGTTGAATAATGTTTCTTTGTTGGTTTCATTTTTCAGGGTTTTTGAGATACTAGGTATAGAATTTAATACATTACGTTATACCAACGATACTTTTTTTTTTTTTTTGAGACGGAGTCTTGCTCTGTCGCCAGGCTGGAGTACAGTGGCGCAATCTTGGCTCACTGCAACCTCCGCCTCCCGGGTTCAAGCAATTCTCCTGCCTCAGCTTCCCGAGTAGCTGGGACTGCAGGCACACGCCACCACACCCAGCTAATTTTTGTATTTTTAGTAGAGATGGGGTTTTACCATGTTGGTCAGGATGGTCTCAATCTCCTAACCTCGTGATCCACCTGCCTCGGCCTCCCAAAGTGCTGGGATTACTGGCGTGAGCCACTGCGCCTGGCCATGATACTGTTTTTAATGAACAATAGCATATTAAATTAGTTACTGTAGGCTTTTTGTTTGTTTTCATTGTCTCTTCTCCTGTAGCTTACATTAAATTTAGAGTTTTACACTTCCACATTTGAAAACCTCTCCAAAAGAGAAAGTTAGGTTCACATCACAAGATATGAAAGGTATTTCTGGGTTCCCTTTAGAGATGGTTGTCTTGAGGAAAAGTATTCTTTGTTTTAGTAGTAAGCTGAGCTAGCACTCTTCCCCACAGAAGTACCATTTTTTTACATGAAAGAATGAGTAAAACAAATTTTGGTTGTTCAGCCTTGGGTGTTTGGCATTTTCTATAAAATGAATGAAGTGCTCTGGCTACCTCAAGGAAACAACTGACAGTCAATGATAAAATTAAAACTTTCAGGTAAAATTAGAATTTTGGAAAATTTGTATCTGCCACCCTAAACTTGACAGCTTCCTACTACTTCAATGAGTTATCTGGTAAGATCAATGATGATACTAACAAATGTGACTTTTTGATATTGTATAAAATATGTCAACATTTGGAAGACCTACGTAACTCAGTGAACCAATATTTTACAAGTGATCAATGCATGATGTTTCAAAATCATGCACAGTTGAAAGATCCATTTGAAGTTCAATAGACCAATGGGTTTCAGTGTAACAGAGTAAAAAATGGCTATTAATAAGGTTTCAGACTCCACATTGCAAGTAACCTTTAAGAAATTACTACTTGTCCAGTTTGGTATCACCACAGACTGAACACAGAAGCATTTATGAGAACCCAGTTTCATTTCCTTAAAATTAAGCCATACATTTAAGAGATTCACAGAAATGTAAAACACTGCTACTCTTCTAAATTTTTTTGTTTCAAAAATTGGTTATTTAATAATATTGTTAACATGTAATTTTTATTGTTTCTTAAAGATATTTTATAAAATATATTTTAATTTCCAATATAGTAAATATCAACAGATATAACCCACATAAACAAAAGCTCTTCAAAGTCTGCAGTAATTTTTAAAGTGTAAAGGGGTCCTGACTCCAAAAAGCTTCAGAACCGCATATCTAATCTATCAGTTGTAACTTTTACTGAGCAACAGAATCACACATGTGATATAGATGTGTAGATAGAAAGATAAATACATTAATACAGATGTTTAGGCTCCATGTTGATTATACTGAATCAAAATTTCTGCAGATATCTCAATTTTATAGAAAGCTTCATTGGTGAGAACACTGATCGTCAGCACTTTAATAAAAAATTATTTATCACTGCATGTTTCAGAACTTCCCCCAAATTTAAAGTTTTATTCTACTTATTTTATTTCTCATAAGTACTAGCATTAGTAAGACCATCTTTAATTTTTTTCTTATAGTTATGAAATGCTAATCTTTCAGTGTTACTGATTTCTCTTCTTCTGAGAGATAACATAGAAAATGATAAACTGACAAACTGTGTTAAAGACCTGAGAGGGTTTCTGTTTGTTTGCTTCTGTTTTCTTTTTCTTTTTTTTAACTTCTAAATAATAATAAACTCTCTACAGTAAGTGTTACATATAGACTCTAGAGTATTGATTTGGAAAGCACTTCAACTATCTTAAAAATCTTGTTTATTTGGGAGGTGACTGTCAACTCAGAGGTCTTTTGTCAGTTTCAAAGAGCTAGGGATGCTTCAACTTTGACAATGAAATGCTAATAAGCACTTTGAAGACTGAAATGATGAAAACCTAAAACTGTCAAACTGAGTTTAAGTCAACTGTTGAAGACGTAAATGTATGCTGATTTATCTAAAATATAATAAATGCAATATGCCTTATATTATAAATCTTAGTTATCAGATTTCATTAATATGCAAATAAATTAGGTTAATCATTTAATATGGCTCAATTATTTAAAAATTTACCTGTATCTCATTCTACTAAGTATACTGCTATTTAAAATTCACATGTTCTGGCTGGGCACAGTGGCTCATGCTTGTAATCCCAGCACTTTGGGAGGCTGAGGCGGGCAGACTGCTTGAGCCCAGAAGTTCGAGACCAGCCTGGGCACTATGGCAAAACCCCATCGCTACAAAAAAATTAGCTAGGCATGGTGGTGCATGCCTGTAGTACCAGTACTTCAGAGGCTCAGGTAGGAGGATTGCTTTAGTCCAGGAGTTATTGAGGCTACAGTGAGCCAAGGTCGCACTACTGTAGTCCAGCCTGGGTTGACAGATGGAGACCCTGTCTCTAAATAAATAAATAAAAATAAAATAAAATGCACTTGTTGAATTAGTGCAATCTTATGTGTAATTTACACAACCACTAAGTCTAAATCCTTTATTTATTTATTGTTGTTGTTCCTATGAAAGGAACAAGATTATTTGAATTTGTACATCTGTGTGATACTTCATGAAGAGAGGACAGCATTTGACATAAGCAACTAAGAGAGAACTAAGCTACACTTTAAGAAAGGATATTTTATTTTTCTACATTAAAAATTCGATATCATAGGTTTTCTTATTCAATGAATTGGAATCTTCGTTCCTTCAGCATTTGGTAAGAGTTTATTTAAAAAACGGAACATAAGAGTTGCAATTCTAGAGTGACATTCTTTAATGGCCCATCTGAACCATGCTTCAACTTCCTTTGGGCAGCTCTAGAGGTACTACTCCCTTTTGGTAAACTAACTACTTAAAAGATAGTGATCTACTTAGTCTTTATTCAGTCCAACATTAAGTCTCTACAATGATACTAAGGGGCATTGTGTGGAAGGGTCTGGCTGTCCTCTATGATGTCACTCCCAAAAATAGAGGATGCACTATTAAGACAGCCCCCTAGAATATCTTGATAATTCACCATAAACCTATCACCCCCAAAGATCTCCATGTTAATACCTATCCCTAAAAGACTGCATTAAAGATTAAAGGAGATAACCTGGTGAAGTACTTCGCACAGCTTCTGAAACACCATGCTCAATAAATGTTAGTTATTTCTGTTATAATTCTAAGCTTTACAATCCTTAGAAATGTATAGTAGGGAGCTAGAACAGACTTTCAATGTTCTAAGGCCAAAGGGAATGGTTTGATTGGCTCAAAGATTTATAATCCTAGTCAGTAGCAGATTTAAGTATTCACGTCTATACTTAAACCTGTATGTGTTCAGCCTATTCTACCTCTTGGAATAAGTTGTCAGAAGTACAGAATCTTTAATCGGAAAAACCTCTTAAAGGTTAACAAAAAGAACATATGGGTAGAAAATTATGGCAGCTAGAAGGGACCTTGTGGTCATCTATGAAGCTGAGTCCTTCATTTTACTATTGAGGCCCAGAGAGGTTATTAAGACATGCTCAAAGCAAAAATCATTAGCTAAAGTGACAGACTAGGATCCAGATCTCTTCTTCAAAGTAGATGCCCCATTAAAAAGTTGGTTATTTTTCTGTGTGTGAGGGAATTGCTGGATAAACAGGACATAACATGTGATAAAGCTGCTTTTGAAGTGTTTCTATTTAAAGAGTAAATGTGGATCTTTATGTAAAACAAATCTCAAAAAGTTAAGAAATTAAGGGAGGAAAAGAATAGCAGAAAAAGAACCAGATACTGTGGATCACTCCAAGCTATGACCAAACACTTAGCATATAGGACTATAGAAATTCTTTTAGGAATCTTAACACCAGATAAAACATTAAAGATCCATTACTGTTTAAGTACCTTTTTCTAAAGAAAAATAAATGAGCTTAAAAGTTTAAAATATTTTTGTATAAAATCAAAAGTGATGTAATATTAAAAACATTTATAATCAATGTCTGTATGATTTTTAAAAATAAAACACAGAAAAAACCCATCCCCTTGCAGTAACACTGCTTCCAAAAAAAAGCATTTTCATATTCATTAGTTAGGGAAAGGCATTTTGTGGGGGTTTTTTCTGTAAGGTGACAAAGGGAATTCACTATTCACATTGAAATACTTGGTAATTAGAATGCTATAGCCACAAGATAGCAAAATAGTTCTGGTTTAAATAACAATTTCAGCTAAGCCCTTCTATGCACACTGCAGATGGAAATTATGGAAATCCTTTCCTCTCAAAATACTTTGTGAATTTAGAACTGGGCAACTCTAAAGTGTAGACAAGCTTGACTATGATTACATATGAAGCTAAAGTACAAACTTTCTATATTCAGCAAATTCAGAAAAATGTTTCTCTCATATAGTTTTATAATTTTAAAGATACAGACTATTCCAAGAAAAACAATTTGCACGTTTTTAATTATCTCCGAAAGAAATTAATTTATAAATTTAAATTTTTATTAGTTATCCTTATTTATAAATAAATGCTGCTTTTTAGCGCATTAAATATTCTGGAAACAAATGAAAAAGCCATTTTGCAAGACTAAACAAAATTCTAAACTTACAAAGACTGTTAAAATGACAACTTTTTTTTACTTAATTTTTTTTTTTTTTTTTAAAGATTACTTAAGGGCCAGGAGCAGTGGCTCATGCCTGTAATCCTAGCACTTTGGGAGGCCAAGGCAGGCGGATCAGTTGAACTCAGGAGTTGGAGACCAGCCTGGGCAACGTGGTGAAACTCTATCTTTACTAAAAATACAAAAAAATTAGCTGAGCGTGGTGGTGCACGCCTATAGTCCCAGCTATTCGGGAGGCTTGAGGCATGAGAATCACCTGAACTCGGGAGATGGAGGTTGCAGTGAGCCGAGATTGTGTCAAACTGCACTCCCGCACAGGTGACAGAGCGAGACTCTGTCTCAAAAAAAAAAAAAGATTACTTCAGGAAGATTTATTGTTAAACATAGACAGTATAGGGAAAAAGAGTACTGGTTACCAATCACTAAATAACAAAATGTCCTGGCAAGAAGAGTTTCTCTCTTTCTACTCCAATTTCCTCATCTTTAAAAATGATGCAAATAATATTTAAGTTTCTTTTTTTGTATTCTGGGTGTGAATGACAAAAATTAACTTTATGAACAGAGCCATGATGGTCTTGTTCATTACATAATGAATATTGAAAGAATGAATGAATAAAAAAATTAAAGGACTAGCTAAATTCCCTGCTTATAAAGTAATATAATATAGACATTTAAAACATAAAGCAGATATATATATACATTCACATGGAAAGATTGTTCATAGCCTAATGGTCGATAAAGCAAATTACAAAGTAGTTTATATAGAAGAAACATTCCTTGCCCCCAACTCTGGAAGGACAAACAGCAGAATATTATTAGTTATATTATCTGTCAATAGTGTGACCTGGGTTAATTTTTATATTCTTATTGTTTCTCATAGTTTTATTATTTGTGTAAGCAATGAACATGGGTTACTTAAAATAAAAATATAAAAGTGTACATTAATCTATGCGTAGGAAGACAGACTAAAAGGAAACTCATCAAAATGTTAACATAAAGTTGGCTTTGAATGGTGGAGCTATAAGTAAGCCCCTTCCTTCTTTCTTTGTTTTTCATATCTTTCTAATTTTTTATGAAGAGCTTGTATTTCTTTAATACTTGGAAAAATATCTTAAATTTATTAATTAGATATATCAACATGATTTGTTTTGAAAGTTAAGAACAGTTTTAGATAATATAATTGGACTTGCTCACAAATATCACCTACACATGTTGGCATAACATGATGAGTTAGTCAGTGCAAATGAAATATTTCTACAATTTTCTACTACTTTGGTACTCTGGTACCCTCCTCTCTGCAATAGATTCCCGGTGCTCCCAGCCTTAAGAAACACTACACCTCTAGAATATGGCCAATAAACCATGCAGAGTTCTAAAGATAGGTCACAAGAAGAGACTGCTGAGCCCCTAATGGCTGCTTCCTTAGAGAGCAAGTCCAGATCACTGGAGGGCCCACTCCAGTCAACGTGCATTGAAATCAGTTACTAAACTAATATGCAAATAATTTAATCTTTTTAAAAGAAATTAGAATGAAGTCAAGGTTCTGCCTATAGTAACATTCCTCAAACAATTACATTCCAATAGGTTTTCCTAAAGGCAACAGGAGAAAAGTTATAATCATTTCTCCAGGAATTTTACACAACCCGCAATCCACCCATGGGAGGCTGCTACACAAGAGAATGTCATTCTTCACCTGGGAATGGGTAAAGGAGAACTCCATTCTACAGGACAGTTGAGTGGGCTGCACCTACATAGTTTCAAGGAGCATAAGGAGAGAAATCTAAATGTTGTAGTGGTGTTCCATAGGAAACTCTGAAATCATACAACTGCCATAATTTTCCCATTTGAGTTAGACTGTGAGAGGGAAATGCAGAAATGATAGTTTTTCTCACTGTGGTACCTGGTACCATGAGGTAGAGTTCACACTCAGAGAGCAGGGGATGCTCTACTTTCCCATCAACTGTGATCATGAGTATCACCTGCTGGGGGACCTGTTCAGGCCAGAGAGGAAGAGCAAAGGTATAGTCAATGATTAAAGGAGGGCTGGCTGAGTGAATCTGGCTCAGGTCCAAGATCCCAACAGAGCAGAGGCTCTTCTCCCTGCACCCAGGAATCCTCCCTTGTTGTGTACTCAAATTTACTGAAGCATTTATTACTGATTAAAAGGTGAAGACTCCCTAATGATACGACTGAACTTCAACAAGTTACACTGCCTTGTAATCACTACTATACACCTCTAATTCCTTTGCTGCTCATATTTCCCTAAGAAAAATGACCTGAGAAAGTTTACATTCCAAAATTGGAGTTAAGGAAGGTAGATATTAAAGATAATTAGATGATATGCTTATAATAAATAAAAAGAGGAAAAACAAAGAAAGGAGTACTTCAAATATAAGAAACTAAAAATAAGATGTCACCTGTTAGGTCAACAATTTAAAATTTTTCTTGTCCTAATAGAAATCCTGGGGTCTGGGTGGGGGTAAGATTTTCTACAAGAGGGCATGAGAGAATTTTCTGGAGTTTCTATATATTGATTGTAGGGTTGGTTATACAGGTGCATACAGTTGTCAAAACTCATCAAACTGTACATGGAACTGTGCACATTTTACTGTATGTAAATTATACCTTAAAAAGTTATCTTTTTAAAAATTCTTGGAAACATGGAGACATGGGCTCATTTGTAGAGTTTCCACATTATAAATAAAAACAGAACTTTCTCAAGGGATGAGGACTACAGCTTTTTTCTCACTATGAACTTAGGCAGCAGCCCAAAGCCATTCTAAAGTTAATAAGCAAACTATACCCAGAACAGAGATCCCTTCCTGTTTAGTGGGTGAAAGGAACAGGGGTGTAAAATCTCTTAAGAAGGTGCTAAACAATCTGCAGCTTGCATAAAAGCCCCTGTTTTTGGAGGGAAATTTTACAGTAAAGATGACCTTTCACTAAACACTGTTAGTAAATAAGTATAAGATGAAGTAATGTAGATATTATTAACTAAAATGTTTACACTGGATAAGATGTAAAATTTAAGAATGTAAACGAAGCCATCAGCAAACCTACAGCATTTAGTGAATGTTCACTGAATGGTGTTAGAAGCTAACGAAATGAAGGATAATAAGGCTGATTCCTTCAAGTTACTGACAAACCACAGTGAAAATAATGCAGCATACTTTAAAAGGGACATAAAGACAAGGATAAGATTAGTAGCCATTATAGCTGCCTATAATTTCCTGTTGAAAGAATCCCGTTACTGCAATATAATGTCTACGTTTAAGCATTTTTGACCAGTTGTAGTAATTTGAAAGAGGCCCCCAAAGAGTTAGGGACTAATTTATGAGGCCATATTAAAAACATGTGTTTTCATAACTTAAGTAAAGGCTCAGAGGCATGGCTATTGTTTTCCAATCTCTGAGAGGTGCAAATACTAGGAGAAAGGAGAAATGATTCCAAATAAAAAAGGAAAATACGATGGAGCAAAACGCATAAGATGAAAATTACAGATCCAGAGTATGTGGTCTAAAGTGAGGATTTACAACTGGAAAGCAGATTCTTTTAGAACTGCCCGCAAAGTTAGGGTGTGAGCAACATGGCCAAGACCAGATTAACTGCTTGATAGTCTCATCTTGCTTTGTACCCCAAATGGTGTTACTCTTCTATAAGCTACCAGAGTTGATTCCTTTTGAAAAGTTTGATGAATAAAGATTTTGACATCAATGATTATTTCCTCACCAAAATAAAGACTTTGAAGTAGCAATCGTGAAAGAATTTCTAATAGCTTTCTTTTCTAACCCTTAAATCAGTAATTTAAGTGATTTTATTTGTTTAGTTGGCCCAGATACAGAAACCTTCCAAAACTGCAGCTGGCTTGGAAAATTACAATTTGGTCTTCTGTTGGCCTGGTTCTTTGGAACTGGGGAACTGATGTTTATCTTCCATCTTCCTCTTTCCATCTGGTTTTCCCTAATGGCCTTCAATTACTGATCTTTTCTGTGGGTGATAAGATGGAAGGATGGATGAGATTCACACAAATAATTTCCTGGGCCCCATTTGAGTTTTCTTTAATCATTACAGCATGGGATTCTCTGGTAAGGTGTAGATGGTCCCAACACAAAATTGATGGCCATGAGCTTGGTCACTTACCATCTTGGCTGCTTTGAACATAGCCCTAAAGAGGAGCATCTAGCCACCACCCTCACGAACTATTTCATGTCACAAAAGACAATTGTTTTCTACCTCTGATGCTTTAACCATAGAATGAAGAATGACCCTCTCCACCTCCCAAGGATATTCTAAGGATTCTGAATTCTTTAAGGGAAAAATACGTAGTAGCAAATCAAACTGAATGACTGTTTTTCTTTCTCAGTCTCAGGAGTGATTTCCATTAGGACCTTGGATTTGGCTGAACTCATTTTTAAAAAGTCATTTATGTAGTCAGTCAACAACTGTTCATATAAAACTCAAGGTGTCGAGTCACAAATGAAACAATACTGGGGGAAAAAAGCCTTGAAACTGCGGTGGAATGCCAGAATCTCATATTAATTTCTTATTCGTGATTCTGAAAAATCAGTTTTCTCATCTACAAAGGTGTTTTCTGTGGTCTGCTGGGCTATGATAAAGGCAAACTCAAATCAAAGTGAGTCCAACTTAGTATTTATTTAATGCCTGTGATAATATACAGATGATAAAGGAAGCTTGTCTCCTGCTTTCAAGATGCCTAAGTGTTATTAAATAGGGAGAAATAATGAAACATTAAAATGTAAGTTCTTTGAGACAGGGCTTAAATCTTCAACATCTTTTATTTCCTCCAGACCCTAGCCTGTTTCCTTGCAAATGGGAGGCATACAATAAATGCTGAATTAAGTGCAATTAATTTTGATAGGAGATAAGTTAGTTCAGGAGACTGAAGAAGAAATGGAGATAATATTCCTGCCTTGCTCTTAACTTGTTTAAATTCCAACATAAGGCCAGGCACTGTGGCTCACGTCTGTAATCCCAGCACTTCAGGAGGCGGAGGTGGGTAGATCACTTGAGCTCAAGAGTTTGAGACCAGCTTGGGCAACATGGAGAAACCTCATCTCTACAAAAAAATACAAAAATTAGCCAGGTATGGTAATGCACAGCTTGTAGTCCCAGCTATTTGGGAGGCTAAGGCAGGAGGATCGCTTGAGCCCAGGAGGTCAAGGCTGCAGTGAGCCATGTTTGCATCAATGCACTCCTGTCTGGGTGATGAAGTGAGACCCCACCTCAAACAAAAAAGGATCCAACATAACTTCTGAATATCAAGAAGAAATTGTGTAGATGGCTCATGAAAGACTATTTAGAAAATGAAATGTAAAGATATTAAACAGACTTACAGAAAATCTGAAAGATCTTAATGGGCTCAAGATGGAGTGCAGGTTTAATAAAAGTTCACTGAGAGGCATAGAAGCAGAAAGCTTGACTTGTCTTACATTCAGGCAAAGGAGAGTTAAAATACTGTTCGATACTAAAATGCAAATACCACAGGAAAATAATATATTTTGGCCTTAAAAGTCATTAGAGAATTATTGGACAAAGGCATACGTTTCCTGATTAGAGATAGAGCTATCACCATATTATTAAAAGAGAAACTGCTTTCTTCATAAAGCAATTAGGAGCCCTTTGCTCCTAACACAAGATAACAATCTTGTGAACTTAAAGAGCAGTTCAAGCACTCAAAAGATGGATCTTAAAGAGAAATCTGAACATGCTATTCCTAGCAAAAGCTAGGGGGACAGTACTAAGACCCAGGAATGGGCACCTGGTTGGGGACTACTCTGATCCCAGAAAGCAATAATTCTTCATGCAATGCTTCACATTTACTAGGAAGGCCACATTACAAAATCTTTGCAATACTCCTGTTCACCAGAGTAATGGTATCCATAATCCCCATTTTAGAGACTGGGGCAACTTGAGACTTAAGGAGGTTAAGGACTTGTTCAAGACCACACAGACTAATATATACTTTTTTTTTTTTTGACTTTACTTGATTTCTTAAGGAGGCTGTTTATACAGGATAAACACACTATGAGAAGTTCTGTGCAGAAATTGTAGTCTTCCTCATAAATTACTAAACTGGCTTTTTAATGCAAATCAGTAACCCTGGGCATAACTGGCAATCTCTAAGAGCCTGTTCATCCCAGAACAACTGATCTTAACCTTGAACAAGCCACATTGGAGACTTAGGCATGTAAACTTGGGGGAGAGCGAGAAGTGGATTTTAAAAGGCAGGGTTAAGAGGGAGAAGAACAAAAACAGAAGCATAGCTTGAGCATGAACAAGGAATGACAAAAAAGGCCCAAAAGACTGGGAAGGCACAAAATTAAGAAATCAACAGTTTTCTGCAAACTTCTTTGTGCCATGCACTCCTCTGGTACTGTTACCTTTATTCGTGATTAAGTATCACCTTACTGCTGATTTCTACACTGAGATTACATGGATACAGGTAATGGCCTATATTTGAAGCAAAGTAAAAACATTTAGAAGACTTGCCTTGTGAGAGACTAAGCCAATTAACAAAGCAGACTGACCATGCCCCTTTTGCTATTCCAGGGAACAAAGACTCCTATCATTCTGTGGAGGTATCCAAAGAATTCAAGTAGTTATGGCAGTTTTGGGCAAGGACCCAATTACATTTCAACTTAAAATTTCACAAGGCTTTTCAATACAACACACAGTCTGGAGATCCCAAAAGAATTCTTCAAAAATGGAACTTAAATGTTAAAGAAATTCCTTAAAAATAAATTAATATGACAATGTGCCAAGCACTGCATTCATTCCAAGCTTAGAGGGGAAGAAAAAAAATACACACACAGACACACATAGGTTATTTAGTGTGTCAAAGTTCCATAAAATAAAAAAATTCATTTTGTACACCCTTGATGTCTCAGGCATCCTTACATGTGGGACAGATTTAGATCTTAGATAACAAAATCCCAAAGTAAAGACATCCTGCCTAGATTCAGAGATCTGGCTCACAGTATGGCTTCAGAAATGCAAATTATATCATTTGTTTGATAGCTTATATTATTAACAATTATGTGAGACATTTCGAAAGTATGGTTTGGGGAAATTGAAATTATATTATTAAGTGTAAAATTATCATTAAAACTATTGCATTCAGCCATTGGTCCAGTATCTGTTGACATAAACATATTGTATTCACTACTTGGAATACCAAACTATTCAAATACAGTTCCAAGATAAATAGAAAGAAGTAACTAATAAAAGTTGGGCTCTTGGCCAGTCTGGACTGCTAACTTAAGCCATTTTAGAAGGGAAGAAAGTCTGGCTTCTCAAGATGCTGCAATTTCATGATTAAATATTTTTATCTATTTCAGTGTTTTCCAATTGATATTTCAGGCTGAGGAAGCAACTGAAATAGTTAATGAGAAAAATGACATAGCTATCACTTGGAAAAAAAATATTTTTCACACCAGATCCTAGGGACAAGTAAGAATCTTCAGGATTCACTCCTCATGGTAAAAACCTTCATGGCCATGAAACCATCCTGCCAAGCCTTTCCCGAAAGCTCAGATGCACAACTTACACCTTTAGGACTGCAACAAAAAAATAAAAACACTTGGAATTCTCATCTTTCTATTTTAAAACAAAGAAAGACCTTAGGAAATTATCTGGTTCAAAATTTCCCGAAGTGGGTTTCATGAAACATTATTTTTCAAAAATGTTCTTAATAATGGCAGGGTGATCAAATAAGTATGAGAGCACTCTTATAGAGTCATAATCATATTAAGTCATGAATAACGCAGAGAAGGCCTATAGAAAGGATCAGACTTTTATTTATTTTTTATTTATTCTTTTTTTTTTTTTTTTTTGAGACGAAGTTTCACTCTTGTTGCCCAGGCTGGTGTGCAGTGGCACGACTTCTGCTCATTGCAACCTCCGCCTCCTGGGTTCAGGTGATTCTCCTGCCTCAGCCTTCCTAGTAGCTGGGATTTCAAGCAAGTGCCACCACGCCCGGCTAATTTTTGTATTTTTAGTAGAGACGAGGTTTCACCATGTTGGCCAGGCAGGTCTTGAATGCCTGACCTCAGGTGATCCGCCCCACCTTGGCCTCCCAATGTGCTGGGATTACAGGCGTGAGCCACCATGCCCGGCCAGGATCAAACTTTTAAAAAAACTTAAATTTTCATCAAACCTATTTGAGCATAGAACCCTTTCTGCAGTATTTATTAAAATCCTGTATAATTATTGTTTTGTAGAAAATGCCTTATCTCATATGAAGAAACTGAAGTCCAGACAGGTGAGATGACTGTCCCAAGGTCATACAATTAGTTGGTGAATAAACTAAAAGCAGACCTCACTTCTCAGGACCATATCAGGTATTCCTTTTGGTACTATTGTTGTCCTTCTTCTACAATACCTACACTCCTTAAAGGATCACAGACTAGAAGAACCACATCTTGGAGACCACCTAGTCCAAAGCCTTCCCAGAAAGCTAGGGAAATACAGTTTCAGAAAAGTAAAGCAGTTTGCCCAAAGTGACATATAAAATTCATTCTTGTAGAACTAGAACATAGCTCTTAATTCCAACACTAGTATCTTTCCACAACAGCATGCTAATTCCTGCAAAGCCAACACTTTTGGCCTCTGAGGTAAAGAATTCACAGACAAGAGGGGTTTTAGCTATTAAGGGCCCATTAAATATTTATTAAACCATACTAGTGTCAATAGATACCTTAAATCAATTAAACATGATTGTCTTTACTTACAAATGTCATCCATTGTGACAGGGAATCAACGTTTCAAGCTGTTGAACAGGTCATCAACCCTGTCCTGTTGGATGACACCTGTAAATAAAATAAATCTATTTTTGAGTGAGTAGATTTTAAGCCAGCTAGATTTAAGATGCATGCGGTTTAAAGCAAAGAGTAATTTTAAAAATGATTCTTAATTATGTACTGCCGCAGAGAGATACTTCCCAGTGCCAGCAATTTCACTCTCAGTAGCTATCGCTGTCCACCAGCACAAAACAAGACCAGGGAATTCAGTACAGAAAGTTGCTAGAATACACAGGGAATCATGACTCCTGGAGCTACAAGGGTGTTCTAGGTATCTACCTCAGCTTACTATCTCTGTGAATATCAGTTCCACTTTGACTGGGGGACAACCAAGGCCTGGTGAAGTCAAATGACTTGCCTAATGTTAAACAGCTAAGTGTCTTTAGCTAAAGTCCCTTGGTGTTGGAAAGCACGTTCAGAATGCATTAACAAAGGTTTTCACTAGGCTGATCAATTTTGAAAGACTCACATGTACACATTTTTAAACATTTCACAAATGCTGACTTAGAATGTTCTAGCAAATCTGCAAAGAATATAATGTCAGTATTATTCAAATACAAGCATTACTAAAAAATGCCATAAATGGAAAATCAACCAATAGTCAGAAAATGGGAACTAGACCATGAAAAGAATATTAAATACAGCAGGTATTAAGGATTTTAAGTTCTGGCTACTTCCAAACAAGATTTGTGGTTCCTAACAATATGAATATATAAAAAAACAATTTTTATACATTTTCTACAGCTTATCCTTTTAAATGTTGTTTTCTCCGTAGCAACAAAATGCCAATGTAAGATCTGCCAAAAACTAAAATTTGAGCTGGACACAAACTTTCTTATTTCCATTCTGTACCCAAATACTCTAAGGTAATGGGAAGTTATTTGAGGATGCTGCCTTGAGGTCAGATGGCTGCTATATAATAACATTACCACCAAACTACATTGAGTGTCTACATGTGCCAAGTGCTGATGGAGCATTTTACGCTTGCTATCTCACTCACTCCTCACAGCAATTTGACCATTATTACAATTTTACAAATAAGACAATCAAAAGCACAGACAAATTAGGTATTACAACTTGCACACAAATCTTGCATAGAATCCGAGCTCAAGACCTATTGCATTTCTTTGGTTTAGCAATTGAAGATTCTTAAAAACATAAAAATGAATTGACACAGTTCCAATTACAATACCTAAAATGCCCCCAACTAAATGTCACACACTATAAAACATCAGGAAAATCTCTTACTTTTTTCTTGGGGGTGAGGAGGAGGCTGGTGGCAATTTTCAAAAGTAAAATAATCTTAATGCCAAGAAATTAAAACTTTTATGTTAACCTGAAATATATCACAACTAAAATATGACAGCTAAAAAACTTAAATTGTCTTTTAGAATTAATTGTCTTTTATAATTAAGGAAAAGTAAAAGTGAATCTTACTCATTCAATTACTTCTTAACAGATTATAAAGAGATAAATCCTCCTCCTATTCAAGAATGACTGACTCCCAAAATGTGTGTGTATACATACACACACACATAATATACACACACACATAAAATCTTGCTAAGAACACAACTATTTATAAAGTAAATTATCTTTAAGGAAAACAAAAAAGTAATTTTGAGAGATAATGCAACCCCCTCAATTACTTACGTAATAGTAGCTATCTTTTCTTGACCAGGAGTTATGCTTCTGACCAATCCCCTGAACTATTTTTTATTAGGGGCCATTTTTCCAACATAGTTTTAAAATTGTGAAACTGATAAAACAGAAAACAACCAGGAATATAAAAATTTACCTAACATATTTTAATAGAACAAGAATTAGTTATATGCAAAGCTCAGCATCACAGAAACTAGACATTAAGAAAAATGAATATACTTTCCAAAGCACTGTGGATAAATCAATCTCTTCTGGCAATAATGGCTTTCTTAAAAGAACCCCAAACAGAAAAAGATAAAGTGTGGTTTCATAGTAGCTTACCCTTTTCTCTGACACCCCATCCTGGCCTGTAGAATCTCTCTCATCATGTGTCTCTTTCAGGACTGGCATATGTTTTTTGTATGCTGGCTCTCTGTTTAAGGTTGTGTATCCTACGTGCTCATAAATTGGGTTTATCGTCATCTTGGCAATGTATTCTGCTGCCTTGGTTTCAATATAGAGAGTAATCAAGCCATCAGTCACCAGATCGTGGATGGACTCAAAGCGTTTCTCCCCAACAAAGTGCTTGCCATCGTAGTAGAGCCTGAAGTTTCTGGTTTGACTTCCAAATCTGCCTCAATGAAATGGGAAAGATGTTTTTAAGAAAAGTAAGCAACTGAATTCTTTCTGAAAAAAAAACAAAAACAAAAAAAAACTATCGCTTTGTTTTGTGTGTGTCTTCTTTGTTTAAATAAGCTGTGGCTAATCTCTCTGAATCGTCTGGAATATATAAAATTAAACCTTTGAACACAAAGAATGAGCTTGCAATAATTAGGGACAACTAGTCAAAAGCATGCCTACCATAGAAATAATTTTTTTTATTTATCTTTTTAAACCACTTTATTATACCTGTGGAAAAAATGGGAGAAAATAAACCTCACACCACATTAAAACATAGTCAATATTCAATTGGCCAACTCCATAATAGATGACATTTCTATACTAACATTTTTTCTTCAAGTTGATCAATAAGAATATTCAATGTACTTTAGACCTCAGCAGTCATGTATTTTAATAGGAAAGCTCCATTTAGGGCTAACCAGAATATGATGCCAGCAATCACTTAAAGTAGAGCTGACTCCAGAAACCTGAGCCATGCAGGGCAGGATGGCACAGAAACACACTTTCGCTACTTCTGGCCACAGGCCAAGGACTTATTCTTTCGTTTTTAAAGAGTCATTATTCTGTCTGCTGGTTAGGTCTGTGCAAGAAATGTTTGAAATACATACGGCACAAAAGTCATAAGCTATTGGACTATAGAAATTCTGTTTTCAATTTTATGTTCTGATGATGTGCTCTAACAACTGAAGAATAATGGTTTACTTTTATGATAATTTCAGTATTTTGCTTCCTGCAGCAGACCTCAGAAATGGATCCAATTTGGCATGATTAACATCAGTGTCCTTGCAGGAAGACACAGGCAAGAAAATGCACTGACTTTAATGAAAGCAGATGTCAAAAGGCAACAAGGCAACAAGAGCTGCCAGTGTAATGGTCTCCTGAAGGTAACCCCGAGTGAGACTAATTAAAAACTAAACAAGTCACAAAGGATATATTTAATTTCATTGTTAAAAGTACAACAGAACAGGGATGAACTAAAATACTAAAATAAACGCTGTTTAAGTAAAGCGTTAAATGGGACTATAAACTTGTTATATAACAAAATTGTTCTGGTATAGGTTATATTCCAAATGAATAGGAGTTAGGAACATCTTAATGTGGAAATAAAGTATGGAAAGGAAATAAAATATTTTTTAAAATAATAGCCAGACGATGTCTGTTTCTGTAGTTCAAATTAGACTTTAATAACAATTTAATCTAGAATCCAACGTACTATCCATGTTGGCCCTTCTAAAGCATAATTTATCCATCCTTTAGTAACAATCAAATTTTGATTTACACTTAAGTGAACTATCCATATAATTACACTTTCTTGTTCTCCATTTTCCTCTAATGTTAAAGACACATTTCTCCCAAGTATATTTTCATTATAAAGCCTAAAAAATTAGACAGGTGAAATTTCTACACCAAAGTTAAATATAAAAGTTTTTCAGTTTAATATACTGCTTTCATCATTTCCTTTTTTTCTAATATACATTATCTGCAACATGGAAAGCAACTCCATAGCTTTTATAAGACTCCTACAATAATAAACACACATAGCATTGAGTCCCTTTATATTTCGGTTGTATCAGACACATTTCAATGAGGGCTCAGACCATTTTACTCCTGCTGGGACTTACGATTTTACAGTGGGCATTTCTACAGTGGATACAGAACTTAAAAACAATCCAAGCAATGGTGTCAGTCATTTAGTACTCAATTGCCTTTTGAAATCTGAGAAGTATGGGGGGCACAGGGCATGAAGGGAAGATGGCTGCACTGGGAATGGTTTGATTGACTAGGAACTAGGAAGTCTAGAGTTAACTTCCTAGTTCTTTCCAATGGACGATGCCTAATTCATCCAAGAAGAGGCCTGGCTACCTGTAAGGAGCTGTGCAAAAAACCCTATTTATCCTTTTCTCTTTCTCAACTCAGTGATTTCAGGAGACCCTGCCCACAATTTCCAATTCCTGCTCCGCCTGTACTTCAGCTCCAGGCTTCCAATCCAATAAAACTTTCAGTCTAAAGGGAGATGATCACATAACCAAAAAACTTATAACATGGTTTGATTAAAACTTTGCTTCAAAGGGTAAAAATAAAAAATTTCCATTTTGGAATTATGATTGATCTTTTTAAAGAAAAACTGCATTATATTTTACTAAGAGAACTGCCAAGCTTTCCTGGCCTACTCTGAACTACTCTCTTTTACTTGGGAAGTTACCTAGGAACAGCACCACAGCACAGACTGTCAAAGATTTCTCCACTTTCTTTATCTGAAAGGCATATTGTGCTTTGTGGGATTAGAAGAAGAGAAAGAAGACAGAAAATCTTTGAGAAAGGTGGGAATGGATGTGCCCATTCTACATAAGAAGAGCCATAAAGGGGGAGATTCCAAATCTAAGGTCAAAGAAAGACTCTTTCCTTGAAGTTCACTGCTTGCAGACTGTCATTTATTCAACAAATAGTTAACAAAACATCCAGGTACTTTACTGTCAAGTATTAGGTGGTTCACAATAGAGTTCCTATCGCTTGGTAACCCCAGTGGTAAAAAGATAAAACAGGTCAATACAAATACACAAAGTGCTAAATTTAAAAAAGTCTATCTTGCCGGGTGCGGTGGCTCACGCCTGTAATAACAGCACTTTGGGAGGCTGAGGCGGGCGGATCACCTGAGGTCGGGAGTTTGAGACCAGCCTAACCAACATGGAGAAACCTGTCTCTACTAAAAATACAAAATTAGCTGGGCGTGGTAGCGCATGCCTGTAATCCTAGCTACTCCGGAGGCTGAGGCAGGAGAATTGCTTGAATCTGGGAGGTGGAGGTTGTGGTGAGCCAAGATTGCACCATTGCACTCCAGCCTGGGCAACAAGAGTGAAACTCCATCTCAAAAAAAAAAAAAAAAGTCCGTCTTCAGATTGATCTATTTTAATAACTATATACATATAGAATCTTGCTCTTATGTAGAAAGATTCTGTAAAGTGATTCACAAAACCAAGTGAATCCAGTATCTCCCTCATACCATAAAACCAAGAAACTCACTGCCTAGTAAAACAGAGCACAACAATTAGGCTTACATAAGATCTCAGAGCTACTGCTTATGTCCAAGTACAAAAGCATCCTTGCAGTCTTCTCCTGTAGTCTTGAAATATGGTTTGGCCAAGGGAAGGCAAATGTGGGTCCTATATGTTTAAGAGAAAACCTTAGGCTTTGGCATCAGACAGTTGTAAGTTTAAATCCTGGATCTGCCACTTCCTAGCTGGGTGACTTTGGGGAAATCATTCGTCAGATTCTGCATCTAAAAAATAGGAATAACATCACCCTACCCCAGATGGCTGTGAGGATTACATGAAGATATTTAAGTCAAAGCTAAATATATATAGTAGGCTCGAGTGGTAGTTCCCTTTCTCCTTCTCTGTTAGCTTAGGCCCCTGCAGAGAATGACAGAATGAGTTACCAACACTAAAGTAAAACAGCAAAAATATTCAATAGATATGCATGGAAGATGGCTAAATAAATAACTGGCAACACTGGCTGTACAGGAACATCTCTGCACTGATTTACTTTACAGTTAACAAAAGGCAAGGAGGAGCTCTTTGTGAAATTTTCTCCTGGATGTCTCTGAATAAGTTTGTATTTGCCACTTGGTTAAATAGAGTGGGAAGACAACAGAGTGCAAATCGGGTAGGAGGAGCAAGCAAAGAAGGTCTTTCCACTGTGTCCTGGGAATGAGGCCTCTGAATTCAAAGGAGAAAGCTGAGAGATTTACATATATTGAAAGCGGGACATATTAAGTGGACCTAGTGACAGCTACTGAACCCTAGACTACAGAGCATTGATTTGTAAAAACTGTTGAGGCTAAATCATTTCCCTTTGACTTTTATAAGATAATTTTCTTTTCATCTTTTCCTTTTATTATCTGACTCTGCCCTTGCTTAATAGCTGTTTATTCCTTGGTGAACATACTTGAAGCTGCATAGGCCCAACTCTCACCTAGGTAGAGTTCAGCAAGATGAAAATTCATTTTCTCCAGAGTGTTACTATAGTAAACAAATAGAAAAGAAAGGCTTTTAACTGCTACTGTTGTACATAATGCCACTTTCTAGAAAGAATATCTTTCTCCAGTGATTCCAGGTTTCGGGTTTCCTATTTTAAAAAGCTGTTTAATGCTGTGCCCAGATGCATTCAGATGCATTTCAAGATATACAATTCTAACATCTTTTTAAAAATAAACAAAATCCTTAATATACCATCTTTTCTATTTTTCAGCAAATAAATCATATCGACAAAAAATTCAGTCTAGAAGAAAAAATGATGACAAAATATATACAGAATAGCTTTCGGAATTTTACTTTACTTTATGCAAAACCAAGAATTAATTCTAATTTGAGGCCAAAGTGATTTGAAAGGATCTCTTCAAAGGAAAGCTCCAAGCTAACAGATGTTTTGTGTTAACAAACAGAAAACAAAACATATACAACACACTCGTCTAAGCTTACAATAAAATGTTAGAAGTATTTCCAGCAACCAACATACAAAAACAGTTTTATTTATCATAAATATATATTTGTCTGTTGTTTACCAGAGTCAAAAAAGCTAATCTAATGGTGAAATATAAATATACATTCATTCAATCATAAGATACTCTTGGAAGAAAATTTAAAACAGAAATAAAATATGATGATGCATTCGATTAAGTACTACAAAATAAATTTAGATGAATTCTATGAACTAAGGAAGGCTATGGAAGAGAGAGCATAGTTATATACAACATTAAAATGATATCCCATCCAAAACTTTGTCAGGCTATGACTTTTGTCTATCTTGCTATACAATTTTGGATTATGGAGAAAAGTATTAAATTATGTCAACACATAATGATATTTCCTTGGCCAAATAAATCATTTTCAGTGAAGAAGAAATCCAATTTGCCTAACTAAACTTCCAAAGAAGCCATCTTCTGAACAGTGGAACTCACATAGCTCTGGAAGGTAGAACTGATATAGAAGGATTAACTCGAAGTCCGTTTAAAAAGCAGTTAGATATTCCTCCTGCCCTCCCTAATCCTGTCCCTATTGTTATCCCTTCACCACCATGGCAGAAGACTTAAGTTCTGTTTTCTAGGCAGGATAAAACAGGGAGATAGTGAACTGAGGGAATACAAGCAGAGGTATCATCTTGAAAACTAAGTGAAAGTTTTAAATACCCAAAATTTAAATACTAAAGAAACTGATACCTCCATTTCTCTTCACCATGAGGCTATCGGAAGGCTTGTACCTTTCCTGATAGGAGACTGAAAGATTCTACTCTTGGAAATCTGATCAACTCAACAAAAAAAGACTTAAGAGTAGAGACCATCATCCTATAATTGTCAGGCTTCCTCCAAGCTCTCAGAACTACTAGCCAGCCTTTTAGGGTCCCATATGCTTCAATATGAGCAGTCAGCCAAGGGCCACCTGACATCTGAGGAAAACTCCCCTCATGAAAGACAAAGACTATGATAAACAAACAGAATCAAAGCAAGTTAGAGGAAACAAAATCATGCATGGGAATGAAAATATGCTCAAAAAACCCAAAATAAGATGTTTCCTGTTCCTATTCTTGAATAGAATTTAACCAAAAAACATTAGAATCCTGTAAAAAAAAGGAATATAGAATATATAGAAAAATAAGTAGAAAAAGGAATATAGCATAAATGAAAGTTTTTTTAAAAAAGTTGAGAAAATTTTAAAGAACAAAAAGACAAAAAGATAAAAAAAAGGAGAGAAAATAATTAAGATAGAGAATCAATCCAGAAAGTCTAACTTCTTTTTTTTTTTTTTTTTTTTTAGACGTAGTCTCGCTCTGTCGCCCAGGCTGGGGTGCAGTGGTGCAATCTCAGCTCACTGCAAGCTCCGCCTCCCAGGTTCACGCCATTCTCCTGCCTCAGCCTCCCGAGTAGCTGGGAGCTACAGGCACCCGCCACCATGCCTGCCTAATTTTTTTGTATTTTTTTAGTAGAGACGGGGTTTCACCATGTTAACCAGGATGGTCTCGATCTCCTGACCTCGTGATCCACCCACCTCGGTCTCCCAAAGTGCTGGGATTACAGGCGTGAGCCACCGAGCCCGGCCTGAAAGTCTAACATTTATAGAAAGAGAGAAGAGACAAAATGGAAGGGAAAGGAATCAAAGCGATAACTCAAAAAATTTTATTATAATGGAAGAACACACATTTACACAATGGATGAAAACAGACCTACACCAAGAACTGGTGCTCACAAAATAGTCCAGTAATTGCAAATAAATCCTCAGACTGGCAAAATTTAACAAGCCTAACAATACTAAGTACCAGCAAGGATACAGAGCAGTTAATATAACCAGTACCTGCAATATTGTTTAACAAAGGGGTTTTGTATTATTTACTAAAGTTGAATATATACATACCCTACAACATATAAATCCTACTCCTAGGTAATATCCTAGACAATGTGTGTGATTATATGTACCAGCATATATATACATCTGGCAGCAACATCCATAAATGGCCAAACCCACATTAAGTATCCAGTAAAACAGAAAAAATTACGGGACACATACTGTGATAATTAATATTATGCATTTGAGGGATCCTATCACATGATTTTTCCCTCTTGAAAATTGTTAATGGTTCACTATTGCCTATGAGTCCTTAAGAATCGGTTATTAGTTTTACTTACTTTAAAGCACCAGAGACTGGCATAGTACTTGGCATATATCATGCCTCCTAAGTAAGTGGAATAGAATTAGTAAAGACTTCATAAATAGTTTCCCCTAAGTTAGCTAGCTATATGTAACAATAAAAAGAATTTTTGAAAATACACAGAAATTAGCCGGGCGCGGTGGCTCATGCCTGTAATCCCAGCACTTTGGGAGGCCAAGGTGGGCGGATCACGAGGTCAGGAGATCAAGACCATCCTGGCTAACATGGTGAAACCCCATCTCTACTAAAAAAAAAAAAAATCAGCCAGGCGCCCGTAGTCCCAGCTACTCAGGAGGACGAGACAGGAGAATCGCTTGAACCCGGGAGGCAGAGGTTGCAGTGAGTCAAGATCACGCCACTGCACTCCAGCTTGGGCGACAGAGCGAGACTCGGTCTCAAAAAAAAGAAAAAAAAATATATATATATAGAGAGAGAGAAATTACATATAACTGCCAAAATATAATCAGGTTACCGTAGTTTTGCTGGACATAATTTAAAAAGTGATAATTACCATGATAGAGTGTTTGCCATTTACAGAGCCATAATGGTCTTAGTGTGATGACCTATATAATATGAAGCTGCTTTTTCTATTGACATTTGGGAGTAAATAAGTGATATACAATTTTTCTTTTTTTTCTGAGACAGAGTCTCCCTGACCTCAGGCTGGAGTGCAGTGGCATAATCTTGGCTCACTGCAACCTCCACCTCCCTGATTCAAGTAATCCCGAGTAGCTGGGATTACAGACGTGCACCACCAAGCCCAGCTAATATTTAGTAGAGTTGGGGTTTTGCCATGTTGGCCAGGCTGGTCTTGAACTCCTGGCTTCGTGTGACCTGCCTGCCTCAGCCTCCAAAAGTGCTGGGATTACATTCGTGAGCCTGGCCTACAAACAACTTTTCTAATTTAGTGAGCCAATTATAGTAACTTGTGCTACCTACTATGTTTCATTTTACTACTAAACCACAGGACCAATACTAAATACTGTGTCCCACTACTACATAAATTTATATTTGTACTTACAGAAAAGTATTTTACATGCATTCCAATCATTTAAAAACTAGAGTAGGCCTAGAAATAATCAACATGTTTGAATAATAGACTTGGCATATTCAAGAGTTGGTGATCAGTCCCATTAAAAGCTAATTGAAATCTTATTATAAATGAGGTTACTACTATGTCAGGATAAAAAGTCACACCATGACAGAAGTCTACAAAAGCACAGAGTAAAACATGAGTGTGAGTGCTTATAGAGTTCTATACATGTATAAGTGTGAGTGTGTGTATAAACACAAACCCACAAATTCATATGCAGGTTTTTCAGATCCCTATTTAATTCTGTTAAACAATACAATGCTTTTATTTAATCATTTCCATATAAATTACACCATCCTAAGTATCATATGTGGAATACAATTTAACATTTTTCTTGGTGACTCAAGTTTATTAACATATTAGTGTTTGAATACAGAAATATCCCAAAGACTATTGTAGTGTATTGAGTTGCCTTTCTCTTACCTAAATTGACCCCAATTATTAAACTTCTAGTTCTTAGATCTAGTTTTATATTTCTAAATCCTCCTTGCAGGTTATTAACTGTGTTCTCCTTCCAATTCGCTTTTTATCCACTGTAAGCTTGGAAACAAGACAAAAGGATTTATTAAGTTTTATATAAAACTGTCTTAAATAGACTCTGATTGGGATTATTGAGCACTCTTTTGCAATAAAGGCATGGGTTTTGTGATGGGTATTTAGGCATTTCCCATTTATTTCCAGCTTCAGGACCATGTTTTGGAGGTCTGATGCTGCCAACAGTCTGGTTTCCATATGGGCAGGATGCTACTATAAATGAGCAGACACAGGCCTAAATTTGGTCAAGTACATGCCTTAGGTTTAGGACTTAGTGTTCATTAACAATCAGCAAAGTATCACATTTTTCTCAGAAAAAAATGTCTTACTAAAAAAATCAGTTTATTAATGTATAATTTACATAGAATAAACTGCTTCCATTGCAAGTGCACAATTCAATGAGTTTTGGCATATATTATTATCATGGTCAAGATGCAGAACATTTCCAATACCTCCAATGGCTTCCTCATGCCCTTTTGCAGTTTGGCGTTGTCCTATTTAACCACTTAATCTGTTTTCTGTTACTTCTGTTACTATAATTTTCTATTTTATATAAATGGAATTACATAACATGTATTCTTTTGTGCTTGGATAGCTAAGTTTTTAAGATAAAAAATTACATTAAGCTGATGGCGATTCTTCTTATCAGACTTTAAATACAACTAGACTAGGATTTCTGACTATGGAAAAGCAATAAACCATATTTGTATTTGCTACTTAGTTTCTGGGGTTAATTAGCTTTTTCTCTCTAATGAAGATATTAGGCATCAGATATAATCAACCTATTAGATGAAAAAAAGAATTATCAACATAACAATAGTTACCACTTGTTGATTTGTAATGGCTAATAAGCAAAAGGCTTAAAATGTAATACAGAATGTATTTCTGTGTTTATTTTAATAATACTATCTAATACTTTTTGAGTGTTATATCCTAGGCACTATGTATGTATTAACTCAAATAATCCCTCCAGTGTCTCTAGGAGGTATTACTATTATTACATCCTCATCTTATAGATAAGGAAACTGAAACTTAGGGAGATAAAGTAACTTGCCTAAAGTCATATAGAAAATGTAAAAAAGAATTTGCATCCAGGACTGTCTGACTGCAAGGCATTTTCTGAATAATCAACCACCTATATTTATTTAAAATCACAGGGCCAAAAAGATTATCAAAAGCCCCATAATTAGGCTATGTATCTTTTAGAGCAACATAACAAAGAAATCATGAATATCTGTCTACTTAAGAGATCCTAAGACAAGAGTCGTAAACGGAATGAAAAATAGATTTCTGCAGTTTCCTATTTATGCAAAGAACTGTATCACAGAAAAGCGTTCTAAGTCTGACAATTTATTATTCAATGCAATTCTACTAAATAAGCCCAGTATATGCCAACCACTGCAAAAGGTTTAAGGAAACCAAGATGTACAAGACTTCATTTCTGCCCTGGAGGACCTTAGTTCATTTTTAAAGACAGATAGACTTATAAATATTTACTATAGGTAGTGCCTGCACTTAGGTATATTTATAGAATATGTGAAGATATTTTCAGAAAATAAATTAATAACTATATGATCAAAAGCACCAGGAAAAAAACATGTTCAATAGAGACTCAAATATATAACCTTGTACATTAGGTACCATCTCTAAAAATCAAAACACTTGAGTCATAAATACATTTTTTCTTTTTCTAGTGAACCTAAAAACCTGGCAGCAAACAGTTATTGGAACCCTTGGCAAAATTTTGAAAGTCCTAGCAGGAAAGGTCAATCTGCATCTTGGAGAATGACCACAATTGAGAGCAGAAGCTGAGCCAAAACCTACACAATTGTCTGAAATAAGAGCAGATGGGGAACAAGAGGAGGGAGAAACACTCACTCGGAAGGATGACAAGAACCATAAGGCGGCGATTGTAGCCTGGGGATAACATGAAGCATTCATAGATCTGTTCTACTATACTCAAGGAAGAAAGGGCAATATGGGGTTTTGAGGGGAGACAAATCAAAACAAACATTCAGTGCATTTAATAAGATAAGGGTAATATATCAACAAATCAAAATACCTTTAAGAGAACTTCAGAAACCAGTTAAGAAGTTGCAGTACTCCAGGTAAATGCAAAGCCCAGAAGGAGGTGCATTGAAAGGTAAGAAGAGCCATTTCACTTTATCCACAATAACCTCTTCCCCAAGCTGCACAGCTAAGCTCTTCTTGCAGCTTCTGGGTGATGGGGGAGAGCAGTGGGGAGAAGAGTGGAACATGCATGCAATGTTGGCTTTTTAGAGGGTTTCTTGAAGGATTGTTTTTCCTCTTGCCTCAGGGCACTCACTCAAAGCACTAATGGAACTGGTAATGTAAGGATGGTTTGCAGCAGCAAAAGAGGTCTTATGGTGCCACAGAGAAGCCAGTGCAGCCCGGTGTGAATCCACAAAAGGTGGGAGGGAGAAGAGTGGAGTATGAATATGGTGTTCCAACTTTTCAGGAAGCTATTCAAGGGACTAACGTCTCACTTGATTCAGGGGAGAGTGGGACAGCTTGCTGCTGTAGACCAAGAACCTGCAAAACTACTCACAGATACCAGAGGGAGCAAGAGATTAAAAGCTCCTGAAAAAGAAACCAGCAAATCTCTCTAACTGGGAAATTACACACACAAGCCCAGAGAAAACACATCTCCCCTAAAAGGTTTTAGAGGCCCCTAGAATCTCTACACAGGTTAATTCATAAAGGTTTTCTCCTGTATGAAACCAGTCCATAAAGGCTGGAAAAGGTGGTTTTTTTTTCAAACACACTCAGCTAAAAACAAGAATGAACTTATAAGCATATGAAGAAACAAGGAAATAGCACAATCAATGGAACAAAATTAATCTCCTGAAACTAAACCCAAATAAATGGATATCTATGAAATATCTGAAAAAGAATTCAAAATAAGTGTCTAAAAGAAATTCAATGATCTACAAGACAGCACAGATAAGCAACTGAACAATATCAAGGAAAAAAATGCATGACAAAATAAAATCAACAAAGACACAGAAACTATAAAAAAGAAACCAATAAATTCTATAGCTGAAGAATACAATAAATGGATTAAAAAGGGATTCAACAGCAGACTTTATAAAGCAGAAGAAAGAATCAGCAAACTTAAAGACAGGTCATTTGAAATTATTGACCTCAAAGAATAAAGAGAAAAATGAACCAAAAAAAGTGAAGAAATCCTAAGGGACTTATGGGATACTACAAAGTGTATCAATATATGCATTATGGGAATTCCAGAAAGAGAAAAAGCAGCAGAGCTAATTTGAAGAAATATCCCAAGTTTGAGGAAATGAAATAGAAATCCAAATTTAAGAAGCTTGAAGAATTCTAACCAGAATAAATAAATATGTGTGTGTGTGTGTGTGTGCACGCGTGTGTGTATGTATATATATGAAATACACAAAAGAAAATGAGAAGGGAATCAAACCATATCAATAAAAAAACAATGAAACAAAAATGAAAGCAACCAGAGAAGAGAGACAATAGCTATAAGATAAGCAAAAAACAATTAACAAAATGGCAATAGTAAGTCCTCCATTATCCATAATTAGTTTAAATGTAAATGGATTAAACTCTCCAGTTGAAAGATAGAGAGTGGCTGAATAAATATACAAGCAAAATGCAACTATACACTGTCTACAAAAGACTCACCTTAGATGTAAAAACACACAAGCCAAGAGTGAAAGGGTGGACAAAGATACACCATGCAAATGGTAACCAAAGGAAGGCAGGTGACCATACTTGTATCATGGAAAATAGACTTTTACTAAGTAAAAAGCTGTTACAAGAGGCAAAGAAGGACATTACATGATAATAAAAGGGTCAATTCACCAGGAAGATATAGTAAGTATAAATATAAGGCTATAGGCACTTAGCCAGCTACAGTAGCATGTACCTGCCCTAGTCCCAGCTACTCAAGAGGCTGAGGCAGAAGCATCATTTAAGCCCAGAAGTTCGGGACCAGCATGGGCAATACAGCAAGACCATCTTTAAAAAGAAGAAGAAGAAGAAAAAATATATACGCACCTATTAGAGCACCCAAATATACAAAGCTAACACTGACAGAATTGAAAGGAGAAATTCATAGTAACATAATAGCAGGAAATTTCAATACCCTACTTTAATAATGAGTAGAAAAACCAGATAGACAATCAACAAGGAATAGGAGGACTTAAACAGCATTATACCCCAACTGAACCTAATAGGCACATACAGAACACTCCACCAAACAGCAGAAGAATGCACATTCTTCTCACATATACATGGAATATTCTCCAGGTTAGATCATGTGTTAGGCCTCAAAACAAGTCTTAAAAAATTTAAGAAGGCTTAAATCATACCAAGTATCTTTTCTGATCACAATGAAGTGAAACCAGATATCAATAGCAGTAGAAAAACTAACACGGTAGGGCTAACACGGTGAAACCCTGTCTCTACTAAAAATACAAAAAAAAAAATTAGCCGGGTGTGGTAGTGGGCGCCTGTGGTCCCAGCTACTTGGGAGGCTGAGGCAGGAGAATGGTGCGAACCTGGGAGGCAGAGCTTGCAGTGAGCCGAGATAGTGCCACTGCACTCCAGCTTGGGCGACAGAGCAAGACTCCATCTCAAAAAAAAAAAAAAAAAAAAAAAAAGAAAAAAGAAAAACTAAAAAATTCACAAATATGTGGAAATCAAATAATATACTCTTGGAAAAACTATGGGTCAAAGAAGAAATCACAAGGAAAACTAGAAAATATCTTGAGACAAATGAAAATAGGCCGGGAGCGGTGGCTCATGCCTGTAATCCCAGCACTTTGGGAGGCTGAGATGGGTGGATCATGAGGTCCGGAGTTCAAGACCAGCCTGGCCAAGATGGTGAAACCCTGTCTCTACTAAAAATACAAAAATTAGCTGGGCTTGGTGGTGGGCACTTGTAATCCCAGCTACTCAGGAGGCTGAGGTACAGAATTGCTCAAACCCGGGAGGTGGAAGTTGCAGTGAGCCGAGATCATGCCATTGCATTCCAGCCTGGGTGACAGAGCGAGACTCCATCTCAAAAAAAAAAAAAGAAAAAAAAGAAAAGAAAAACACAACGTACTTTTGGGATGCAGCAAGAGCAGAACTAAGAGGCAGTTTATAGTGGTAAATACCTACATGAAAAAAGAAAGATCTCAATCAAATAATTTTGCACCTCAAGGAACTAGGGGAAAAAAAGGACCAATAAAACTCAAAGTTAGCAAAAGGAAGGTAATAGCAGTGATTAGAGCTGAAATAAACAAAATAGACACTAGAAAAACAACAGAGGAAAAAAAACCAACTATGAGTTAGTTTTTTAAAAAGATCAACAAAATTGACAAGCCATTAAGAAAAATATAGCAAAGACTAAAATCAGAAGTGAAACAAGAAATATTACAACTGATGCCACAAAAATAAAAAGTAAAAGAAATTACTATGAATAATTATATGTCAACAAACTGGATAACCTAAAAATGAATTAATTCACATAAACATATAACCTACCAAGACTGAATTATAAAGAAACAGAAAATCTGAACAGACCTGTAACTAGCAAGGACATCGAATCAGCAGTCAACAGCTTCCCAATAAAGAAAAGGACAGGACCAGATGGCTTCAGTGAAAAACTCTACCAAACATTTAAAAAAGAATAATTGCCATTCCTTCTCAAACTCTTCTAAAAATTTGAAGAGGAAGTGTTATTATTTGAATGTTTGTGTCCCCTGCAAAATTAATGTTGAAACTTAATCTCCAATGCAGTGGTATTAAGAGGTGGGGCCTTTATGAAACAATCACTTTGTAAATGGAATTAAAGCCTTTATAAAAGAGGCTTCACCCAGGGTTTGGCCCTTTTTCCCTTCTGTTCCTTTCACAATGTGAGAACACAGTGTTCAGACTGCCATCTTGGAAGCACAGTCTGGGCCCTCACCAGACACTAAATGTGCTAACACCGTGGTCTTGGATTTACCAGATGCCAGTAGTATGAGAAATAAACATCAATTGTCTATATATTACCCAGTCTGCTGTATTTTGTTACAGCAGCACAAACAGACTAAGACAGGAAGGAATATTTCCAAACTCATTTTATGATGCTAGCATTACTGTGATACCAAAGCCAGACAAAGATTACTACAAGAAAACTATAGACCAATATCCTTGATGAATATTGAAACAGAAATCCTCACCAACCTAGTGAACCAAATTAAACAGCACATTAAAAGAATTACATACATAACATGACCACGTGAAATTTACCCCGGGGATGCAAGAATGAGTCACTATACAAAATATAAATGTAATACACTACATTGACAAAATGAAGGGCAAAAACCACATGATCACCTCAATTGATGCAGGAAAAGTATCTAACTAAATTCAGCACCCTTGCATTTAAAAAACAAAAAACACCACTCAACAAACTGGGAATAGAAGGAAATTACCTCAGTATAAAAGGGTTATAGATAAAAAGCCCTCACCTTATATCAAATTTAATGCTGAAAAACTGAAAGCTCTTCCTCTAAGATCAGGAACAAGGCAAGGATGGCCACTCTCACCACTTCTGTTCAACCTAGTACTGGAAGTTCTTGGCAGAGCAATTAGGCAAGAAAAAGAAATTAAAAGCATCCAAATTGCAAAGGAACAAGTAAAATTACCTCTGTTCACAGATGACATCATCTCTTATGTAGAAAACCTTAAAGACTCCACAAGAAAACTATCAGAACCAATAAATGAATTTAGTAAAACTGCAGGATACAAACATCAACATGGAAAAATCAGCTATATTTCTATGTAGTAACAATGAACAATCCGAAAGGGTAACTAAGAAGACAACTCCATTTACAAGAGTATCAAAAAGAATAAAATACTTAGAAATAAACTTAAAAGGCAAAAGACTTGTATACTAAAAACTACAAAACATTACTGAAAGAAATTGAAGAAGACACAAATAAATGCGAAGATACTCATGTTTACAGGTTAGAAAACTTAATACTGTTAAAAATGTCCATACTATCCAAAGCAATCTAGACACTAAAGCAATCTAGACACTAAAGCAATCCCTACTAAAACCTCCATAGAATTTTTGCAGAAGTAGAAAAAAGATTCTGAAATTCATATGAAATCTCAAAAGACCACAAATGGCCAAAACGATCTTGGGAAAGACAAACAAGGCTGGATGCCTCAAATATCCTCATTTCAAAGCATATAACAAAGCTACAAAGCTACAGTAATCAAAGTTGTATGGTTTTGGACATAGACCAATGAAAGAGAACAGAGAGCTCAGATATAAACTGTCATGTGTATGGTCAAATGATCTTTAACAAGAGTACCAAGACTACACAACAGGAAAAGGATAGTCTCTTCAACAAACAGTGTTGGGAAATCTAGATATCTATATGCAAAGGAATCATCTGTATACACCATGTACAAACATCAACTCAAAATGGATTAAAGACCTAAATAGAAGACCTGAAACAACACAACTCCTAGAAGAAAACATAGGGGAAAAACATCATGACATTGGAATGGGCAGTAATTTCTTGGATATGACACCAAAAGCACAAGTAACAAGAGCAAAAACAGACAAATGGCACGACAGCACAAAAAACTTCTGCACAATGAAGGCAACAATCAACAGAGTGAAAAGGTAACCTAGGGAATGGGAGGAAATATTTATAAGCCATATTATCAGATATGGGGCTAATATCCAGAATATATAAAATATATAAAGAACCCCTATAACTCAATAACCAAAAAGTAGTAATAACCCAATTAAAAACTGGCCAAAGGAACAGACATTTCTCCAAAGAAGATATACAAATGACAAACAAGCATATGAAAAGATGTCCAACATCACTAATCATCAGGGAAATGCAAATCAAAACCATAATGAGATATCACTCCATGCCCATTAAAATGACCACTACCAAAAAAACCAGAAAATAACAAATGGTGAGGATGTGGAACAAATGGAATGCTTGTGTACAGTTGGTGAGACTGGAAAACGGTGAAAAACACTATGAAAAACAGTATGGAGGTTCCTCACAAAATTAAAAATAGAACTATTATTATGACCCAGCAATCCGACTTCCGCATATCTATTCAAAAGGATAGAAAACAGGATCTTGAAGATACTTGCACACCCATATTCGCTGCAGCATTGTTCACAATAGCCAAGATGTGAAAGCAACCAAGACGTCTATTGATGGATGAGTGGATAAAGAAAATGTGGTACAGTAGTCCACCTCATACATGGTTTCGTTTTCTGTGGTTTCAGTTACCTATGGTCAACCACGGTCTGAAAATATTAAATGGAAAATTTAGAAATAAATAATACACGTCTTACATTGCGTGCCATTCTGAATAGCGTGATGAAATCTTGCCCCTTCACTCTCTGTCTCTCCCAGGACATGAACTGTCCCTTTATCCAGCATATCCATTTTGTATAAGCTACCCACCTGTTAGTCACTTAGTAGCTCATTATCAGCTGGAAAAACATAGTATATACACACACACACGCGCGCACACACACACACACACACACAAAGGGTTTAGTACTATCCACAGTTTCAGGTATCCACTGGGGTCTTGAATGTATACACTGCAGATAAGAGAGGACTACTGTGTATACATATGTGGTTATATATAGGAGTATATATATGTGTGTGTGTGTATATATATATATATACACACACACACACACACACACACACAATGGAGTATTATTCAGCTTTTAAAATGAAGGAAATCCTTTCATATGCTACAACACGGATGAACCGTGAGGACATTATGTTAAGCAAAATAAGCCAATCATAAAAAGGATCCACTTATACGGATATCTAGAGCAGTCAAAATCATGCAAACAAAAAGTAGAATGGTGGCTGCTATGGGGTAGGAGGAAGGGAAATGGGGAGTTGTTCAATGGGTACAGATTTTCAGTCACACAAGAGGAAAAAGTTCTGGAGAGCTGTTGTACAACAATGTGCATAGAGTTAACAATACTGTAATTGCACTTAAAAATTATTAAGTTAAAAAAGATAAATAAGCAAGTTCAGAAAAACAGGGGTACAGAACCAAAAAGATAATCCATTGAGACAAGTTAATAACTGCCCTTCCCTCTGTAAATCCAAACATATCTCTTCATGCAAGACAACAGAAGTAATTATTACCCTTAATCTAAAAACTGAATGGGCCATCCGAAAAATTATGCTATTCATAGCAAAGTAGGTTTCTGAAATCTCAATCCCTTCAGATTCTACTATAAGTATTAATTATACATGGAAAGTTTCCATTTTCTCCTCAGCTCAACTCACAAAAAACTGTTCACAGAGAGTTGAAGGTTCATCAGCAGTTTCAGTGAGCAGAGGAGAGAAATGAATGTGATTAAAATCAAGACATTGAAACATTTCTGATAAAAGAGGAAAGTGACTTTGGACCAATTAATTAAGAACACCCAAAACACCTATACTGACTCTAAATCCACATCTATGTTTGCTTATATGACATTTATAAAGTTCTTAATAATTTTGGGCTTCAATTTTTTTAAATTATAGGAGTTGGAAAATGAGAAGTCACAAAGGCCAAATCTAAAATTAAAAAAAAAACTCCTTTATATATAAGATCTACATATGTTCATTATAAGCCCCAGTATAGTATAAAGAGCCTGGTTTGTATTCCTGAGGTAGAACTGAATACTGCTACATAACGCATTAACTTCTCTATGTATTAGATATGCTAAAGATTACACTTATAAAAGAGAAAACACAAACCTCTTTGCTTCACATCTTTATCTGTATTCTCCTCCCTCTTCTTAATCAAGTTCCTATTTTATCTCATACTGTTTTCAAGGCATGTTACCAGCCTGTCACTGCTTCCTGAGCTTTGCTAATTTCTTAAAATCTAAACACAATTAAATCACGGTTTTCTAAAAAGCATATGGTGACATTTGGCTGGGATAGAGAGGACAGTTTAATTGGGTAGATAACTATATGAACTTAATATATATCTTTCAATGAAAGTATTTTAGTAACCAATACATGTATTTGTGCTGAAAATCATGATGTCAGTCCAACTCAGTTTGTCACATCATGCTTTTACACAATTTTTAGAAAGACACACAGACAGCACTACACAGAAGCCCACATTTTGTATATATCATATTCATCCTCTTAATCTGCAAAGTAAATGAGTAAATTCAGTTAATGACTACATTTAACATTTAACCTTCAATGGTTATGGGTGTTGGTGCTTCTAGTTTTCCTGTTTCCAACACCACTGTACTTAATTCTGTTTATCAACAAATCCTCAAAATTTGTATTTGTTGGTTAATGAATATCACCACCATATGTATATAATATACATCTATTATCTAATGATATAAATTACCTTTTTACCTATACTGTAAATATATCAACACTCAAATCATATATATAAATTTAGTGAAATAGCTTATAATTAAATGTGAAAGAGCACAGAGAGGAGGGAAGCAAAGGAAGAAAGGGATTTCCCCTCCCACCTTCTATTGATAGATTCTGGCAAATTCTAAAATTGGTGTATTCTCTGTGTGTTCTGGCAAAATTTGGGTATAAAATGCTGGATAACCATTTGCAACCTTATGCTCTTTCTTATTCAAAATGGATGTTCCAGTTTCTGAAATGTACTGATTTTAAAGACTGAAAAGATGATTATTCCTGAATTAAGCAATATCTTATTGTGTACACTTACTGAATTTTTATTGTTTGGCACATTATAATGTAAGAGAAATGCATTTATTCTTTTGTATTTTGGCAGAGCAGAAGCCTGTCCTTGAACGGCTGTCAGCATAAACGACAAAAGATCAACATTTGCCTTAAGATCACAACAGAATTATCAACAGATAAAATAAATCTCTGTGTGCTTGTGTGTGTGTGTGTGTGTGTATATACGTATATATAAACATATATATTTTCAGATAGGTCTTAGACGTGTTTGTTCTATTGGCAGGATAGTTAAAAAAAAAAAAAATCAAAATACCCCAAAGTTTAGCTCCATGTAATAAAGTATTCCCCCCGCCTCCTGTAGTAGATCAAAAAAACAGTGTAGAGTTTCATCAGCCCGTCTAGTAGCTAGTTAAGCTACCCATATATGTATGTACTTTTATTTTGAAAACAAGCAAACTCATAACTTGATAGAAAACACAAAAATAAACACAATGAAAATGAAAGCTGGCTAAGCAAGACAGTTCAGACAACACAGAAAGAATAGGTTCCTTAGAACTGATTTACAATCTATTCTCTTCTGGGACTATTAATAAAAAAAGGCCTGTGGTGAAAAAAAGAGGCAGGGAGAAGGAAAGAACCCACTTAAAGTATTTCTCCAACTGAGTGACTTGCTCCTAAATCTGACAGAAATCTTTTATTTCTGCCGCAGAGACTGCTGACAGCCTCCCAATATCCATTTCTCTCTTTTTCCTCAGTGATAGCATCCTGATTTTCAGGTATGAACATGGCTCCCTAGACTAACTACTACATTTCTCAGCTTCTTTTACCTTACTGGTAGGAGTGACAAATGAGAATAAATCCAAATGGTATCTTCACCCCTCTGCCGTCTCATTAGCTGGAATGTGCATATAAAGTCTGGTGCCTTGCAGCTACCACGAGATAAATTTGGGTGCCACACACAGGAAAAGCAACAAAATGGAACTAGTCAGGGCCTCTCACCTTGTGGAGAGCCACACCAGCCTTGAAGTCACTCCCAATACTTTGAACATGGGAGAAAAACAAACAACTATTTTGGGTAAGAAATTGTCACTTCTGGCCAGGCGCAGTGGCTCACGCCTGTAATCCCAGAACTTTGGGAAGCCAAGGCGGGCGGATCACGAGGTCAGGAGATTGAGACCATCCTGGCCAACATGGTGAAATCCCGTCTCTACTGAAAAAAAAAAAAAAAAATAGCTGGGCTTGGTGGCGCACACCTGTAGTCCCAGCTACTTAGGAGGCTGAGGCAGGAGAATCACTTGAACCCGGGAAGCAGAGGTTCCAGTGACCCAAGATCGCGCCACTGCACTCCAGCCTGGGCGACAGAGCGAGACTCCGTCTCAAAAAAACAAAGAAATTGTCGCTTCTTATCCGGTTACTTGTAGTCAAACCTAATTCCAGTTCTCATTCCCTACTGCAAAGATAGAATAATTTCATTATTTTAAGATTTTTTTTCTACAAGATCATGTCTATCTGGGCACAATACTATAAATTTTTTAAAAGGTGATCCTATGTTAACTTTCTCCCCAACAGTGGCAGAAAATTCTTGTCTAAGAATTCTACCATAATAACAAAATTAATAAACTAAAAAAATGTATAAACAGGAAGTCCCTAAAATATTCCCGATTACCTAGTATTGCCACCCCAAAATATGCTTTTGTTTGTCTGTTACAATGATATAGGAAAAATAAAGAGTACAATTTTAGTTATTTTTATGGAGATTGGGCTTGCTTAGAAAATTCCAAGAAAATCCTGAGGGAGTCACAGAGCTTTAAAACTCCTTGGCTGTCAGTAGGACGGGCTCCTTTGGTTCCTAGACCCCCACACAGCCTTGTTACCTTCTCAGTTCCTTTTTTATATACATTTATACCAGTAGATTCTTTTTGAATGAAAAAGTGCTGTAAGAAGCCTAGTCTAAGAAAAACTTTGGTAACTGAAAAGGAGGGCACTCAGGAGAAGACAGACACGATACATATGAATTAGAAAGAGTCACAGTATAGGTAAGTTTAAAAATCAGCAATAAAAATAGTAGCAATTACATGTGAACAACAAAAGCAAAGTGAAAATAAAAACACTTACATCCTGTGAATATCTTCTTGTCCCTGTGTCTGTGACTCAGTATATATGTCAACTCTAGATTGTGTAAAGAGGTCAAAGATTTGCCAAAGATGGTAGCAGTAACAGACAGGGGTTGCCAAACTTTAGCTCTAGAGCCAAATCTAGGCCACTGCCTATTATTGTATCACCAACAAGCTAAACATTGGTTTTAAATTTTTCAGTGGTTACCTTTTAAATGGCTACACAAGCATCTATATAACATAATATTCTCAATTGGCCTGCAATGCCTAAAATATTTACTATAGGATCCTTTACAGAAAAAGTTTGCCAACACCTGATCTATGTGCTTAGCCATGTCTTTTTGACTAAAATTAAGGACAGGAAAAATAAATGTAACCTCAATTTTGAGGAGCTTGTCAAATTCCAAAGTAGAGTTGACATCAATAAGATGTTAAGAATAATTCCCCAAAATTGGGAAGAGGGGTGGAAAGGTCACCCAGATTGAATTGGAACCACTGCTTAGCCATTAGCAAACAAATCTTAAGAATTATACCATATGGTATTCTGTGAGGCATTAGTGTTATCTGTTTTCAAAAAAGTTAGGGAAATAACAAACTGTCAGTTTTTATGTGTATATGTATGTTCATTTTGTTTCACTGCAGAACTTCTCAGAGTCTTTAGAAATATCACCAGGACAGGGATACAGTATGCAACAATCCCCAAATATATTCTACTTTACTTCTGTGTACCTATTAATATTTTGAAGAAAGTATTAAATACAATACAGTTGGGAAAATATTTATCGAATATCAAAATAAATTATTGGTGGATAAACAAGTTACATGTTAACACACCATGAAATCTAGAAGAAAGTAAATGTAACTACCAAGGCCAGGGGCAGTGACTCACAACTACAATCACAGCACTCTGGGACCCGGAGAAGGGAGGATTGCTTCTCGGGCCAGGAGTTCAGGAGAAGGCTAGGAGTTCAAGACCAGCCTGGTGGCACCCTGTCTCTACATAAAAATGAAAAAATTAGCCAGGTGCGGTGATATGTGCCTGTAGGCCTAGCTACTTGGGAGGCTGAGGCAGGAGGATCACTTCAGCTGAGGAGTTCCAGGCTACAGTGAGCTATGATCATACTCCAGGCTAGACAACAGAGCAAGACCCTGTCTCATAAAAATTTTTAAAACGTAACCATCAAGGCCAGGCGCAGTGGCTCACGCCTGTAATCCCAGTACTTTGGGAGGCCAAGGCGGGTGGATCACCTGAGGTCAGGAGTTCGAGACCAACCTGGCCAACATGGTGAAACTGCGTCTCTACTAAAAATACAAAATTAGCCGGGCGTGGTGACAGGTGCCTGTATGCCCAGCTACACGGGAGGGTGAGGCAGGAGAATCGCTTGAACCCAGGAAGCAGAGGTTGCAGTGAGCTGAGATTGCGCCATTGCACCCCAGCCTGGGCAAAAAGAGCGAAACTCCATCTCAAAAAAAAAAAAAGTAACTATCAAATATCTTGTGGAGGTGTGCTATCTAGGGCAAAGAAAAATGGAATAAATTTTATAAAATAAAATTTTCACTTAGAAAAAGATTCACTGAAGTGTAACCAGGAAAAATTAAATTATGTCAAAGACCAACAAAAATAGAGAAAGCTTGCATGGTAAATATAATAAATGGTTGCATAAATACTATACACAAAATATATAGGGCAATGGACATGAAGAGGTTACTAAGAGAAAAGGTAACAAGTAACTTTCTTGTGTGCATCCACTATTGATCTACTTCAGCTGTTTATTCTTCAGAAACCAAAAGGAAATTCAAGCTTGGGTTATGTCACAGCCCAGCTCTTAGAATAAAGAGCAAAATTCTTAACCGGGCCTACAAGAAGCAGATGTGCAGCCTCACTTCTTCCCTCTCCAACTCACTGTGCTCCCGGCCACCCTCTTCTTTCAGTTCAGAGATGTGCACTGCAGCCCTTGCATGGACATGCTGGTCGGGCTTCTAGGTTCTTTCTCTTTGCCCTCTCACTCACTCTCTTTCCTTAGATCACTCTCACAACGCTTCAGTTCTCAAATCAGACTTTCCTTTCTCAGAAAAGCCTTCCCTGATTGCAATTTAGATTTAGAGTGAGACTCTGGGTTTAGATCAGATCCTCCTTTATGCACTCGTATCTCCCTTGCTTTCCTTCCACAGCATTTGCCTCAGTTTTTAGCTTGGCATTTGTGGGACAATTCATTAAAGTCTAATCCTCTCTCTACCTAATAAACTGTTAAGCTCCATAAGGCCAGGGATCTTGACTGTTTTGTTTTTCCTTGTATCTCCAGCACCTAGAAGGATATTGCAATTTTCTAAAAACAAAGCAACAGGGAGAACAACAAAAATACATTTAATAAATGCCAAAAAATAATGTTTGTCTTTGAGGGCCATGAGATTATAGGTAATATTTTCCTTTTCCTACTTTTCTGCATTTTATATATAGTACACGTGGTAATAAAAACAAAGTTACTGATAGACCTACATTTAAATAAGTAAATGTAAGTGAAAATCAGAATTTTTAAAAAGGGGAGGTGAAACTTAACCTTACGAAGAATTAATTCAAATAGCAAACTTCTCATATATTTATCAACATGGAAAATATTCATAATACACAGCTAACTGAAAAAAAGCATACCATAATATAGTGTACCTTGTATAAAGTCATTTCTGTATAACTCGGGAAAATGCTAGAATTTCATACAACACAGTTTTAACAGTGATTATTTCTGGATAGTAGAATTGGGGTGCTTTTTGCCTTTGTGTTTTCCTACATTTTAAAATATTTTTTGTATTGTATATTTGTCAGGGAAAAAATGCTAATCTTTTTGAACAGCTATCTCCTCTTGTGCTTTTACAATACAGTTCAATTTGCAACACATTTTCAGGAACACATCAATTTTTTCAAGTAAGGGATGCCTTATGTTAAACTAGCCATTTCCTACTGTGTCACATCAATTACTTTCTATGGTTTGTTTTATTAAAGAACACCTGAGCAAGGGTACCTCACATAAACTGGAATTATTATATCAATGTTTTTAAAAAGCTTTTTAGCACTGATAATATATTATATTTTAAATAAATTGTGCTATCCCCTTCATCAATATTAATTTTCTAATACTGCAGAACTAAATGTTACTGTCATCATGTGTTATCACTTACTCTTATATCTTAAAATTTTCCCATAAAATGATTCATAATCTAAACTAAGAGGAGAAAAACAGTTTTGAAAAATGTTCTACAGAACATTATTTTTCACTTATTCCAAATAGCACAACAAGAAGGTTTGCAGGAAATGGAATGAAACCATGGTAACCAACTGAACCTATCATGAGCTATCAGATCAAAAGAACACACAGTACATTACACGTCAACGCCTACTAGCAGCATAATCCTTCCCCAGTTCCTTTTGATCCTTCTTCTTTAACATGAAAAATGCTTTCAACCAATTTTCATATTTTAAAACTGCAAAAGCCCCTTTATCAGTATCTACTATGATTCTCTGGCTTTACTCAGGAACTCTTTGGCCAAGCTCACTTTATAAGTCAACCTAATGTTTTGAGATTCAATTAGGAATTGTTGGGTGTTTTCAATCATTAGCAAAATTACATTTTTTACTTCAGTGCATTTTATCATTTTCTAAGATAGCAGCAATAGTTTCTTCACACAAAATCTTCAGAACTGTAAAGATTGTATTACCCTCTCACAGAAATCCCTTGCTTAATAGAATTTTATCAGTATTCTAAACTCAAAGCCACAATAAATTAAATAACAACTACATTTACAGAACACAGATGAGTCCTTTTTGACTATCTCGTTGTCCATTCTATCACTGATCATCAACCTCCTCATAGGCACTGAAGCTAAACTCACAGAATCTGGCTCAACATGATCTTAAACTACCAATTAGCTAAAACTAAATACACAAGGTAATGATGGCTTTTGTCAGGCATTAGCTGTTTATTGCACAACTATATAGTCAGGCAGACAATAGGGCAAACCTCTGCAAAGACTAGAGATCATCTTTGCTGTTACAGTTAGCCACTCCTTAATGATTTTCATTTAAAATAAAACACAATATGCACATATGCCATAAAAACAGAAGTATATTTTATGCATGACCAGTTTCTGGAAGGATAGAAAGTAATTGTGAATGGTGTTATCTCTAGGGAGTGGAACTAGAAGTATGTCACGGTGGGAAAGTACTATAATTTATCATTCTAAACACTTTTATTTCAAAATTTTTTAACCATATCTATGTGCTGCTTTTATAACAGAAATATAATAAATTACACAGATGCAAATACGCTTATTTTTATAAAGAATTATTGCTGTTTTACTTTGATAAGTTATACAAGGTTACTATAAAATTATTTTTATAAGTACAAATAATTACCAAGTGATCGTATAATGGGATTTTTGTTTAAATTATTAAACTTCAAATGCACTTAATTTGGCTTTTTTCTTTTGAGACTACGGGGGTGGAAAGTTAACCCTTGAGAATAAGTTGGAATAAACCTTATCTTTAAAGGCTTTAAACAAAGGTATATCTGTTTATAAAAATAGTAATGTGTTGATAACTTTAAAATCTTAATTACTAAAATGGCATTGATTTAAAAACTAAGAGTAGGCTGGGCACGGTGGCTCATGCCTGTAATCCCGGCACTTTTGGAGGCTGAGGCAGGTGGATCACCTGTGGTTGGGAGTTCGAGACCAGCCTGACCAACATGGAGAAACCCCGTCTCTACTAAAAAATACAAAATTAGCTGGGCATGGTGGTGCATGCCTGTAGTCCCAGCTACTCGGGAGGCTGAGGCAGGAGAATCGCTTGAACCCGGGAGGTGGAGGTTGTGGCACGAGATTGTGCCATTGCACTCCAGCCTGAGCAACAAGAGCAAAACTCCGTCTCAAAAAATAAATAAATAAATAATAAAAAATAAATTAAAAAAATAAAAACTAAGAGTTTACTCCTGTGTCATACCTCTTGTCAACTTAGATAAAGTGCTGCATGTTTTATGACTGTTTTTGAATTTTTTGTTTGTTTGTTTGTTTGTTTGAGATGGAGTTTCACTCATTGCCCAGGCTTGAGTGCAATGGTGCGATCTCGGCTCACCACAACCTCCACCTCCCAGGTTCAAGTGATTCTCCTGCCTCAGCCTCCCAAGTAGCTGGGATTACAGGCATGCACCACCACACCTGGCTAATTTTGTACTTTTAGTAGAGACGGGGTTTCTCCATGTCAGTCGGGCTGGTCTCAAACTCCCAACCTCAGGTGATCTGCCCACCTTGGCCTCCTAAAGTGCTGCGATTACAGGCATGAGCCACCGTGCCCAGCCAGATATTGTTTTTAAACAAGTTATATTTCTCAGTTTTATTGCTGTTTGTTCTTGAGCAAGTTAAGCCTTGGTTTTCTCTTCTGTAAAATGGGGGAAAAATAGTATCTACCACATGGTCTTATTTTATAGATAAAACTTAATTTTCCAACCTGTTGCCAAGAACAGAGGTTACGGGTTACAAGACAGCAAACCTGCCCAGCCCTTTCAGAGGCCAAAGAGTGTCTGATACATTGAAGTCCTTGAGCCAGTCACACTGGGCCATGATCAATCTCATGCATTTACCTTAACGTACCACACATTATCACCTTGTATGGGTGCCAGAAAAAGTTTGGGTTATCTAAAAGATAATTCACATATTTACCATAATGCCTGGAAGAGTAAAGATTTGGAAATGTTAGCTAATATTATATTTATAAAACTGTTAAGTCCATTAAAAAAAATTTGGTGACTCCAAATCATTCACAGAAAAGGAATCACATTATCAACATAGGCTAGGACTGTATCTAGTTACTAAAAAACAGATCTTAAAGAGAATCTAGCATGTCTTCCACTGTACCTTAAAGCAGATACACACCTGAGATTCTAGTTCTTCTTTGCAAAGTAGATAACTAGAGAGACAGTCATCCTCTTTATGTACAAGTTTCTATTAGCCCCAAAATGTACTTGAAACTCAACTCTACCCTTAAATGAAATAATAAAATTTGCTTTATACAATGCCTTAAAAATACAAAAGCCAAAAATATCTTGAAATCAGCTTTTTGGCTTTCTCTACCTTCTACTTTAAATCCACTGTTATGTATGCATACTTTTGAGAGAGAATTGAAGTTTGAATAGACAGAATACTAGTGAATAAAAACCATGCTGAGGATAAAAAAAAATTTTTTTTTTTTTCTCTGAGACGGAGTCTCGCTCTGTTGCCCAGGCTGGAGTGCAGTGGCGAAATCTAGGCTCACTGCAAACTCCACCTCCCGGGTTCATGCCATTCTCCTGCCTCAGCCTCCTGAGAAGCTGGGACTACAGCTACCATGCCCGGCTAATTTTTGTATTTTTTTAGTAGAGACAGGGTTTCACCGTGTTAGCCAGGATGGTCTCGATCTCCTGACCTCGTGATCTACCCGCTTCGGCCTCCCAAAGTGCTGGGATTACAGGTGTGAGCCACCGCGCCCAGCCAGATAAAAATGTTTTTAAATGAAATACCATTCAAGAGTAAGGTGCAAATCAATCTTTAATGAGATAGCACTTCACATATACTAGGATGTCTATATTCAAAGAGATATAACAAGTGTTGAAAAGGATGTGAAGAAACTGGAAACTTCATACACTGCTGGTGGGACTATAATGATATAACCACTTTGGAAAACCATTCCATGATTCCTCAAAAGGTTACTTTTGAGTTACAATACGACCCAGCAACTTCACTCCTAGGTATATACCCAAAAGAAATAAAAACATATGTTTATACAAAAACTTGCACACAATTTTATTCATAATAACATTATTTACAGCAGTATTATTCATAATAGCCAAAAAGTAGAAACAACTCAAATGTCCATCAACTACTGGAATATTTTTCTAATATTATTCATTAGTAAAAAGGAACAAAGTACTTATACATGCCACAACATGGATAAACCTTGAAAACATTATGCTAAGGGAAAAATGTCAGTCACGAACATATATAATGTCATTTATATGAAATGTCTAGGTTGTTTACATCAATAGAGACAAAAGTAGATTAGTGGTTGCCTAGGGCTGGGAGAGCTGAGAAACAGAAAGTGAGGGCAAATAGATGTAGAGGTTCTTTTCAGGGGCATTAAATGTTCTAAAATTGATTATGTCATAATTTTGTGAATGTACCAAAAACCACTGAACTGTACACTTGAAACAGGTGAATTGCTATGCTATATAACTGAAGAAACAGTTTTAAAAAAGTAAGATATGAGAACATGCAAAAGCCATGCTTGCAAACAGAGTAAGAAAAAAAAGATGCAATTTTATAATACATAGAAACAGTGCTTGGTTGCCTTCAGTAGATGTTTCATAACACTGTTTGAATAGAAGGCAGTCTTTTTTGGTCCAGGAAAAAAATGAGAAAACAGGAAGAAAAAGAATCGGTGAGGCAATTAACCCTTAACATTTTTTTCTCTATCAAGTTAACACTTTAGCAAGCAGTCATTTTAGGTTCATTGATCAAAAACGGGTGTCTTTTTAAAAGGGGGGAAAAAATGAGGACTGGGGAGTGCATGTTTATCTGAATTTACCAAACAGAAGAAACCTTGTAGATTTTCTTCCGTCTTTTCCTCCTGGTAGTCCCAGCATTTAATCTTAATTTGTTAATTGAAAATGAGAAATAATAACTCAAAGGCTCTGAACACTCAGCCTATATATTTTAAGTTTTCTCACTCTGTAGACAGACAACACGGGAAGACATTAATCAGAAGGCTGCTTGGTGAGCATGAGGTCCAGAGCAAGAGGAAATGAGGGATCAATTGTTGAATGGAACATTTCTCAAAGTGTGTTCCACTGAGAAAGTCCATGAAAAGGGGGTCTCATGATCAAATGAGTTTGTTATTAACAATACTCATAGGCTCTGGGAACTACTGCTGGAAAAAAAATTCAATTGATTATGTTTAATGGCAGACAGACCCATGTGGCTCCTTTCTCCTCTCCATGCCAGAGACAGCACTGCCAATGCTGGTCAAGACTCCCCTCCCGTATAGACCTTGGATGGAACAGAGGCCTCTATGACTTTTCTTTCTATTGCCCCAGGGCTGACCAATCCTTCTTCCAAGGAATTATTTAAATAAATTGTTACATTCTGTTTAGTGTCAAATCTTTGGAGATTTAGGAGGTATTATCTTTTGTTTTGACCCAACATTGCAACTAATGTCTTCATTTCTTCTCAAAATAAAAATAGCTCTTTTGGTTTTTTTTTTTTTTTTCTGTTTGTAAAATGATACATGTGCACTGTAAAAAAAAAATCAGGTAACTCAAAAAATACAAAGAAGTAACAATCATGTTTAAGTTAGTCACTAAGAGATAAACACCAAACATTTTGGTGATCATTCTTTTAGACACCTTTCTATTTAAGTACCCATAGGTACGAAATTTTATATAAGTAGTATGATACTATACATACTATTCTGTATAATAAATTTTATTTTTCAGATTGATAAAAGTTTTATGTTTCTGAATTTATGAAATGTGACATATTTTTAAAAGAAAATATAATTTTCCCAAACATCATGTTTTTTCAGTGTTTATCATTTGTTCTCAATTACTAAAATTTTTCCAAATAGTTCTTACGTTATTGTCAGCATAAAATCAACAGGAAAGTGCCAAGTATTGTAGGTATAAGGCATTCTCTGGAATATGTCCAAATATGCCCTGAAATATCCAGATACAGGGTTTGGGGATTATCAAGACTCTTGCACATGTCACTTTGTTCTTCTCCCAATTTAGAGAAGCTAAAATGAGTCAGATTAACAGAAATGTCTCTGGAGTTGCCAAATTTGGAGTTAACAAGTTCTCTTCAAAGTGAACCCTTTAAAATCTGTAAGGATACAGAAGCCCTTTTAAATATCAGTTCTCCATAGTCAAAGAAAAACTGCTTACTAAATTAATTATCCAAATAATTCTGGTAAAACATAGTTCCTACCACCCTTTCCACTCAGCATTCTAATTCCTCCAGCAATGATCTTTCTAAATCATAAATGTAACCCTATTGTCTTCTACTAAAAGCCTTCAATGACTCCCATTTCCTACAGATAAAGCCCAAATTCTTAAGCATGAAATTCTAGGCTCTCCTGGCACACTAAGTGCTAAAATTTCCCATACTCCCAGTCCCTCAGCAGACTGCCATACACGAAATGCTCCATGCTGTTCTACATTCCGGCACCATTTCTTCTTCGCAAAATACTTGTTTTTCATCATATTCTACCCTTTTACTTGGTAAGCCAGTCTACCTTTAAGAGCTAGCTTCAATGTCTTCTTTCTTGACCCACTTGAATAGTATCTGGCACGATATAGAAGCTCAATAAATGCTGCTCTTTTTAATAATTCAGAATCTGGAGAATTATTTCAATTGTCCAATTTAACAGTGAAGAGCAAGCCCCTCCAATTTCCATGAAAATGCCTTGACACATATTAGTGACATACCAGGGATAAATATTTTTGGATATTAATAAAAAATCTATGGGTTTCATTATGCTAAAATTATTAATATAATTAGGTTTTCCATATCACCTTTAAAATGCTGACCTAAAGTCAGTTTGGAAAACATTTCAAATCAAATTTCTACAATATTATAGGCAAAAGAACATTATCAAAACATATTTTACAAAACTCTTTGACACCTGCCCTCACACAAAACTGTCTTTGGAACTCACACCTGGTTTTCTTACTACAGTATTTACTAAAGCTAAAATTAGACATACAACTTTAGTAAGAGATTGACCAGAGCTAAAATATTTGAAAAATTACACCATGGGTTGATCTGCCTAATAAAGAAACTGCTTTCTAAGTACAGCCTGTACTTAGCTATAGTTAACTATCTAACTGGTATACACGTTCCCTCCCTTCCTCCAACCTTCTTCCTTCACTTAAAACAAGAAAAGAAAACCAGATTTTGTTTGGTCATTCATTCTTCCTTCCAAAGCCTTACCTTCCAGAACAAGCTGACCCATTTCCCTGTTCTAGGAGCAGATGCTAGGTTAGACAAGCAATCAGTACATGCATTTCCCCGAGATGTTACTGGTCCAAGAATGGGAAAGGCAGACTCATGTTAGCCCTATCAACCTGAAGGAAAGGATGCATACTGCAAGAGAGAAGAGAGGTTCCCTTACACTCTCCTGCTGGGCATAAACAAGAAATCTTACAATTCTGATTGCACTGGCAGCCATCTTTTGACACAAGGAAAACCAACCTTAGACTGAAGCTGATGCTGTGACTAGCCATGAATACAAATAGAAAGATCACAAGTCCTTCATAACATCACTAGAATACTGACCATCCATGCTATTATTACATTTCTGAACTTAGTATGTGAGATATTACCTTAAATAACTTATGTCTAAGTGAGTAGAGTTTGCTTATTTTGAATGTCAGGTAATACTTGTGGCTGAAAGCATCTCAATGGATAAAGAATATGATTCTTGAAAGTGGGATGCTGCTAATAACAGAATTTTAAAGGGTCCCTTTTGCGATATACTGGGATTATTATCCCTGTTTTATAAATAGGAAACTAAAGCTTGAAAAGGTTAAATATACAAAATAAGGCAGGAAACTAGAACTCAGGTTTGTCTAATTCTAAAGTCTATACTACAACTTCATTTCCAAAGTTCTAACAGTGAGAATGGGTAACTGCAATTATTTTCTGAGAGTTTTCTTTTTAAATCTTAATTCCTTATTCTCTCTGATTTTCCTCTATTCTTTCAATCTATACATTACATAGAAAGTGTTCCTGTTTAAGTTGTTAACATTTTAAATGTTTCTTTTTCCAGTTTTCTTCTATAGTTTTAGTGAAATACATACAATGTTTATTTTTCTTAGTAAAAGTGAACAAATTTAGCAGGTTAAGTCATTGTGAAAAAGAAGTATTTTATGTCAAAGGGAACCAACATTGACAGACAGCCCACTAATAAGTCAAAGTTAATGCATAACTTTAGTCTTATGCCATATTAAATGTCCAACGTTGATAAAGAATTTTTTTTTTTTAATTTCCAAGAAAACTCTTGGACAGAGTCTAAACAAATGTACTCTGCAATACATGGATGACTTAGGAGAAATAATAGTAAGATCCTAATTTTAGGCTATAGTTCACCTATTTGCATTATTTTTGTTAAGGCAGGAAAAGTAAACAGCCATTAGGATAAAAATGATACAAATTTGTTGAGTTAGTAAAGGCCTTTTGGCATTTATGGCAATCCCCCCAAAAATAAAATGTTTAGATAAAAATAGCAAGAAAAAAATTAGTTCTGAATGGGTTATGATTGCATTTATACCCATAAATTGTTTGGGTTTTTATCCAGGACAGTGGTGACAATGAGAAAGTAGATATCAAAATTAGCCGGGCGCAGTGGCGGGCGCCTGTAGTCCCAGCTACTCGGGAGGCTGAGGCAGGAGAATGGTGTGAACCCAGGAGGCGGAGCTTGCAGTGAGCGGAGATCGCGCCACAGCACTCCCGCCTGGGCGACAGAACGAGACTCCGTCTCAAAAAAAAAAAAAAAAAAAAAAAAAGAGAAAGTAGATATCAAATATTTAAAAGATCATTTCATATATTCACTCATATTAGCTCTCCACAAGGTTTTTCACCTTCTTAAATTTCACTATTTCCAAAAATCAAATGAAAATTTTGGAACTAAATAACATAGTATTTGACATTAAAAACTCAACGAATGGGTCTAACAGCAGATCACAAACAGCAGAAGTCAGGAATAGTAAACCAGAAAAATGGCCCATAGAAAATGTCCAAACTCAACCTAGTATTTTTTTCTTTTAGTGAGAAAAACTAGAGTGTCTTATAAAACATATCTTTTAAATAATTAGTTCTAAAATGATGAAAGCCATGTGTTTTCAATCAAACCTCTTAAATTATTTTAGGTTACTTGTAACTGATATTCGCCATATCTCATTAAACTACAACGAATACAAATGTTGTCAAAATCAGCATACAGAAAATCCGAGAATCACTTTGAAACACTTCATGAGTCATAACCAAGTGCCTGGCTAGCATCTTCTTTTCAACTACACACTCTGAACACGCAAATGTCTGTCTATATGCTTCCCTTGTGTGACAAACTTTCACTGAGTAAAAATCATTTTTCCTAAGTCAAGAGATGGAGCATAGGTAGAAAAGCCAGACAAGGCTCAGCCTAAAATTTAGGCTGAGATGGGGCATGGAAGAAGATGCAAATGAAGAGCAAAAAATATCTCACCCATAGAAAACCTGTCATGCCACATGGTGAAAACTTCTTTTCTGACTGCAGAAAGTTGGTAGTGTGACAGCACACATACAATACACACTCCCCTAAACAGCACCTCATAGCATTCATTAGGATCCTCAGTGGAGGGCTAGTCTCCTTTAAGTGCAGGAGAGATGCCAATGCATGAGGGAGGCGTGTTCTTTGAAACTCTGTGCCCTACTTAAACCTTACAACCTTGCTGATCACACCATCAGATTTTCAGGCAGATCATTTATAGTACTGGGAAGGATAAGGCTGGACCCACAGACATTTCTTAGGCAGTTACTTAACTAGTCCAGAAAGTGGCTTAGAGTTGAAAAGGAGAGGTAATTTTGAGAAATACTTAAGAAATAAGATCGTTGGTTTCGGCTGTGTGAGATGAGCAACAAAGAAAAAGTCCTCTTAATCATTATCATACAGGTACAGCACCCAGGGCTTGCCAGGGTCCAAGAAAAGTGAAAAATACGGAAATATAAAAAATACGAAATATGAAAAGAAAGGTATGGCTCCAAAACACAAAAAAAGAAAATTATAAAACTAAAGTTAATTTCAAAAGCAATTTACATAAAATCCTTACACAATTTTCACAGCAGAAAATATGTATTTGATACGAAGTATAGTGTGTAGTATAATGTAAGGTAGGGGCCTCTGGATGAATAGTGCCAGGCCTTACAAATACAATAAAATACACCTAAAAGAAAAACTGAAAATAATTTCTTAGTTTCTGTCTTATGGAATTGACTGAATAATAATGTGACCAGCTAATAAAGGAAATATAGATATCACAGCACATTTGGGAGAAAAGTGTTGAGTTCAGTTTGAGATATACTGAGATTGAGGTGCCTATGAGGAATCAAGTTCAAGGACTTATTCCTAATTTTAGAGCCCCTAGTTGACACAGTAAATGCATAAATAACACTGATGGGTATAAAATAGACAAACTGGCTACCCCTTAATGGATTACGTGTATGTTAAAAACAAATTGATGTGAACTGGGAGAATCACCAGTTGAAATGGGAGTATCAGATAAGAATAATACATATATCGGTGCAACTTCTATTTCAGACTTTGCTTAACACTTCCTAGCCATACATCAAGTTTAAAACAAGGAAAATGTCAATCATATTTGGGCACATAAATTACTCAATGTATATTGTGAGTAAAATTCCTCTATCTATGACCATTACAGCCCCTTTTTACTCACTATTTTTTCTTTTCCAAGTAATGATTTTATGGCAATTTTCAGTAACAAAAGAAAGACTGTAAGTTACCCCAGAGATATTAATTTGAAACATTTCCATCAAGATTTACTGGGCCAAAGTGGATGGGAAGTGATTATAAATGTAAAGCCATGAGTAGAATGGGAGAGTGCAAGAAGGCAGGAATGAGAAAGAGATATGAAGGTCTGGGTGCTACTTTTCTCCAAACTAAATCCTTAGCCTTCAAGTATTTGCTGGTATCAGCTGGTGAAAACTGTGTGACAGATATAAGATGACAGGCAATGTGGTAATGTGGTGAAAGTACTTGAATTTTGTAGTTAGGAAAAACTGAGTTCAAATTAAAGTTTTATAACTTCCAAGTGATCCTGGAGAAATGCAGGGGAAATGGCAACCAAAAGGAAAGAAAGAGAGGCTTCTGTTTCTCATTTTACCTCACCTTCTTCCTTCCTTATTCTGGACCATTTACATCAAGGCTGTTTACCATAGATAATCAGATGACCAGACTATTTGGAAATAAGGTGGTGAAGAATTCTAGAATTATAATATGTTAGGAGTAGAAAGATGAAGAAACCAACTTCAAGAAATTCTGTGATTTGCCCCAAATCAGTCTTCTAATTCAATTAATGGTAAATTGAATAGGTATTTGAATTGCCATACCAGAATTTTTTTCCTGTATACCACAATTTAAACCTGAAAAAAACAGTATAATTAAGTAATTGAAGTGGAATTTACACTTTATAATTTACCATAAAAAGCAAATTTCCATGAACTCCTGTGACAAGCTCTATTCTCCAAGTATTCAATTATTTCAGCATTCAGTATGAAATAATACTGAATTGTATTCATTCTATTTAATAGAAAGATTAATATCAAATCTTGTGGACAGGAATCAGAGCAGGCCCTGCTCGCTCACACAGGTATAAGTGATTGGAGAAGGAATTAGACATGTTAGTCCTAAACATTAACATCAACTTTCTATCCTCTATTTGTGACTACCAAAAGAAATTTCATATATTTGACCTCTGTCTTCAGAAGTCTCTGCTTTTAAGTCTTTTCCAAATAGATGAATGTATATATGAATGAACAAATAAAGGGATGAACAAAGACAACGGATAAATATTCCAAGCCTTTGGTGAGGCAGCAATGTAGAATGATTAAGAGCAAAGACTCCGAAGTCAGACAATCTGGGTTCAAATAGCAGCAGCACAAGTTATTAAATGTGTGACCTTCATCAAGTTACTCAATCTCCATCCAGGTCTTCTGTTTCCTCATCTGTAAAATGGGGGTAATAACAATACATAGAGTTGTTGCGAGGATTAAATGAGGTTAGAGGCCTGGCATAAGGTAAGTCCAGTGGATAAGTATGCTCTTGTATTATTGTTCTTACAAGTTGGGTTATTATTGCAGGGTTAGCAGGAGTATTTGTTTCTGGGCACTGTACTGTAAGCCAAAACACTAAGTGAAGCTCAGCTGATAGGGAAGAGCCAAGAGCTCCCAAGAAAAACTGTTCCAACCAAAAGCCAACCTAAGAGAAATGGCACTGACTTTAGCTTTATGAGTTATGAATATCTTTTCTCTTGATCTCTTTCCTTATTCAAGAAATTGACGGAAGCCGACAAGCTAGACAAACAGGAAAGAAGGGGTAAGATGGAATGGAAGGAAGCAGCTACCGCAAAATGCTTTAAAAGCTTTTCAGGCCGGGTGTGGTGGTTCACGCCTATAATCCCAGCACTTTGGGAGGCCAAAGTGGGTGACACGAAGTCAAGAGATCGAGACCATCCTGGCCAACATGGTGAAACCCCGTCTCTACTAAAAATGCAAAAATTAGCTGGGCGTAGTGGCACACGTCTATAATCCCAGCTACTCGGGAGGCTGAGGCAGGAGAATAGCTTGAACCCGGAAGCAGAGGGGGTTGCAGTGAGCCGAGATCGTGCCACTGCACTCCAGCCTGGCAACACAGTGAGATTCCATTCAAAAAAAAAAAAAAAAAAAGTTTTTCTATTCTTAATTACTGAGTGTTACCATTCACGAGGAATTTTTAAAGGGTCTCAAAGCTATTAAAATGGTAATTAGATCCCAAGAAAACAAGAACCAATTCAATTACATGCTGAATGCTTTTAAAATTTAAAGCCCTATATTAAGAGAGTTTTAAATAAAGCACAGTAGTAATTGCAGGCCCATGACCAACCTTAAAGCCAAAGTGTAGGTCCCTGGCTGCCGCTGGCTCTCCCGGATGAGGTAGCTCCCCTCAGCCACAATCAAGAGCTGGTCGGCTGCTTCTCTGGAGATCATGCCATGAAACCTAAGAAACAAAGTCTATTCAGAAACTGTGCTTTCTACATTTTTCAATAAAACAAGATAAAACAACGTCCCACCACCACCACCTTCTCTTGTTGTTTTCAAGACAAAGTACTGCCACATAATGGAAGGGAAGCACTTGGGTTTAACTATGCTTGTGTTTCTCTGGACCTGGCCCCCAGCCAGCTTCTCTGTGGTGATAAGAACAGCACCAAAGTACTACCCAATCCAGTTAACAACCATGGAATCAAAATTCACATCCATCTAAGGGAAGATCAACCACCTCTCTCAAGAGGACAATTCCTTTCTTACGTATCCATTTAACCATATGGCTTGCTAAAGAAAAGAAAAAAAAAAAAACGCAGAAAATGTATCCTATTTTCCTTTCTTCCCATTAGTAGCACTGCTCCAAAATTTTGGCTGAGTCTATGTTGGCAATTTTCCAGGACCCTGGGTTGTCCTTAATTGGCATGATTGCCCAATAATGTGCATAATCTGCATTACTGAACACTCAAGTCCAAAGCAAACAACTATAATACTTGTTTTCATTCCCTGCTAAAACCTTATCTTTGATTAACATAGAAAAATAGAGAAAAAATAAACACAAATAACATGCTCTTTACACAAACACAGATGAACCTATAACAATCTGGCATAAAACACTGAAAAAAATGTCAGTTGTGACACATATTAAAAATAAAAAGCCACCTTACACATTTTTATAGCGATTTACAATTTACAAAGAACCTATATGTCCTTCTATAACTCAAAGATAATGAAGGAATTCAGGACATGTCACCCCAAAATATGCCACTTTGCTGTATCGAGTATTTTGAGCTAAAGGCACTTCAAAAACATCAAATGCAGACACAGGCTTTCTCTGACTCTCCCTATCTACCTAAAGATAGATCATCCAAAAGGAACTCAACTGTTACCAATGTCCTCCCATGAGTTTCAGCAACCGGGGAAGACTGACTCTTACGGAGGAGAGAAGACTAAAAGTCGACAACACATTCATACAAACTCTTTCACAAACTATCATTTACCTTCCCGTAAATGGCCAGAAACTTCCCTCCCATTCCCCTGTTATGATGGTATACAAACTCTCAAATCTCACTTTTTGGAGTGGGATTCACTTTATTTTTTTCTGTGATGCCCCTGTGCAAGTAGTATTAAAAATTAACAAATTTGTATACCTTCTCTCCTGTTAATCTGCCTATTGTTTATTTCATAGACCCAGCTCTCAAACATAGGAGGGTAGAGGGAAAGTCTTTCCTCCCCTACAATAACTGCAATGACTCATTGCTCAAAAGAAATTTTGCAGCTTTTACTGGTACTAAAGAAACAATAGTCACTTGAATTTGGAATGATACATTTAAAAGGCGTTGAAATGGCACCTTAATAATTCAGGAACATTACTAGGGGCAAGAGGAAATTTTCTGGAGTTTTTCCTGATAGGGATGGTTCAGTCTCTCAATTTAACTCTTCAAACAGTTCACAGTAGGCATGTTCAAATCATGACAGCTAGGTTTACAATGGGCTCCTGAATTTCTTATCTCCATAAATTTCCCAGTCTTTGAGAACTAGGTCCAAAGGCTAATGCTTTGAATCTGCTGCAGGCAAGGAGATGGTAACCTATCCCTTGCTATTTAGCACGTTGGTATATATTTTAACTTTACATAATATCAAATAATACAGTTGGTAAAATATAGTTATCTATCTGTTTAAAAATTCAATTAACTGGCTGGGCGCAGTAGCTCACGCCTGTAATGCCAGCACTTTGGAAAGCCGAGGTGGGTGGATCAACTGAGGTCAGGAGTTAGAGACTAGCCTGGCCAACATGGTGAAACCCCATCTCCACTAAAAACACAAAGAATTAGCTGGATGTGGTGGCAGTTGCCTGTAGTCCCAGCTACTCGGGAGGCTGAGGTGGGAGAACTGCCTGAACCCAGGAGGTTTTGTAATTTTTAAAACCTCATTGCAGTCCAGGTGCGGTGGCTCACGCCTATAATCCCAACACTTTGGGAAGCTGAGACGGGTGGATCACCTGAGGTCAAGAGTTCAAGACCAGCCTGACCAACATGGTGAAACCCCGTCTGTCCTAAAAATACAAAAAATTAACGAGGCATAGTGGCGGGCACCTGTAATCCCAGTTACCTGGGAGGCTGAGGCAGGAGAATCGCTTGAACCCGGGAGGTGGAGGTTATAGTGAACCGAGATCGCACCATTGCACTCCAGCCTGGGCGACAAAAGCGAAACTCCATCTTAAAAAAAAAAAATTCAATTAACTTAAAAGAAAATCAAACTAAAGAAAACAAATTCTGAAACAAAACTTGACAATATATTTAAAGAATTTTAAAATTATTTGCACAAGTTGATCAAAAATTTCTAACCCCCAAGACCGCACGTACTGAGATGTTTCATATGATATGGTGTTACTTCCAATAGTATGGTTTAAAAGCAATCTATTATACCAAAAGCAGAATGACTATATAAATTACAATACAACCTTAACTTTGAAATCACCCTTTCCTCAACTCATAGGTGTGCATCTGTAATCCATTTCTAAGTCTTGAAAACATAAAGAATTTTAAATAATTTAAAAATATTTATAATGTATACTTTTATCTGATATGATCTCCAGTCAGAAAAAACAAACAATTTTGAGGAATGATGAGATTATGAGTGATTTTTATTCTTTTCCCCAAAGTGCTACATTTCTGTTTTTCAATAACCTGAAAAATTAAGGACTTTAAAAATCATTGCATTTTTCACAAAACAGAAAAATGCTCATTGTCAATTTTAAATGGAACAATCAGGCTATAAAATGATATGTATAATATCTCAATTTGGTTCAAATCCATTAGGAAAACATTTCTTCAGATATTAATACTTCAAATTGTTAACATTAGTTGTTTCTGAGTAGCATGAATTATTATATTTTTCTCATAATAAAGATAATACATACTATTTAAGAAAATCTGAAAAATAAAAATATATAGAATAAATCACCCACATCCCACTGTACATACATGTGTGTGTATATACGTATCTATATACCTAATATATATGTACACAAAAACACAAATATGTACATTTTCCTCATATACATCTAAGATTACTTACTTGTACGGTTTGCATCCTTAACATTATTGCATGTACATTTTCCCATGCTATTTTCTTATTTATACTTGTCTTTATTGTCTATATTGTTCACCAATTAGATCACATTTGAAATTTTTAAGAAATAAATGCAACTCCACCAAACTTGAATACTTCATCTTGCTTTCATTTAAAAGCATCCATTTACCCTGTCTGTCTTACATATGCCAATCTATAAAACGTTTTCTAATAATCCATACTTACTCTCTTCCATAATACTTTGGTCTGTTTTCCACCTATTGGGAAAGCAAAAAAACAGGCATATTTGTAAAAATGCAAATGTGCAGAACATAACTCAACATTTTGTGCATGTGACAAAGTAAAGCATATATTAAAAAAAGAATTCAAATAACAGAGTATGGAGTCCCAGTTCTACCAGCAGGTTACCTGTGCCATTTGGACTGGTCACTTCATCTCTCCAGACCTATTTCTTATTTATAAAATGCTATGTATGTAGTTGGACTAAACTATCTTTAGTTTCTAGAATTTAACGAGCTGAAAAAAATTTCACTTTATTCAAGAGTAAAATACAACACCCCAAAACATATAGCCACAATTGTGACACACTCAATTGCAGCTTTCTCCCCCATCCTCCCCTGCTATTCCTCTCCTTCTTGCTCCAGACTCTCCATTCAGTTAGCATTTCCATATACTCTTACCCTTCTGTTGTCCCATCATCTCTTCCCTCACCACAGCTTATCAGGGCATGTGTGTTGGCTATAGCTAAGAAAAGTCCCAGCAAGATAAATGCCCAGGAATTTTCACAGGAAGATAGACAGCATTCAAAATACACTCACTGAACAGCAAATATGTGACAGGCATTGTTCTACCTGCAGGGACACATTACTGTATAAGACCAAAATTCTTTTGGAACTTACATTCTAATAGTGACAGACAGACAATAAAGAAGCTTTAAAAAGAAAATAGAAAGTAAGAGTAAGTACTATAATGAAAATAGGAGTGGGTAACAAAAGGGAAGACTAGTGAGGTACTTATTAAGCTGAGGTACTTATTAAGCTGGGTGGTTAGCAAAGCTCTCTCTGAGATGACATTTAAAGTGAGTCCTGAATGACAAGATGCCAACTCCGACTGTTCATAGGAACAGCAAAAAAGCTTTTCCCTAGTAGGTACTTTGATGACACCATGTACTATGTTATTGAGCTCTTGCTATTTACTATGTGTTTTAGTTACATTTAAAGATCACTGAATCCTCAAAATAAAATAGGAATTATTCTACTTTGTCTTTATGAAACAGTATTATCATCCTCACTTTATTTTTCTGGGCAAAATTCACCTTTTCTTTCAAATGTACTTATAACTAACAAATAAAAGGGGTGTGTGAATGTATTATGGTATATGGCATGATGTTTTGATATTTGTATATATTGTGGAATGGCTAAAATAAGCTAATTAACACACACATTACTTCACATACTTTTTTTTTTTTGTGGTTAGAACACATAAAATTTACCCTCAGCAATTTTCAAGTATATAATACATTGTTATTAACTATAGTCACTAAGTTGTACAACAGCTCTTTTGAACATATTCCTCCAACCTAATGAAATTTTGTATCCTTTAACCAATATCTCCTGAATTCCCACCCCAACCACGTTCTTTCCTTCTCCTTCCCTCTGCCCCGATAACCACTATTCTACTTCTTGCTACTACGAATTCAACATGTTTAGATTCCACAAGTGAGATCATGCAGTATTTGTCTTTCTGGGCCTGCTTTGTTTCACTTAACATAAGGTCCTCTAAGTTCATCCGTGTTGTTGCAAATGACAGGACTTCCTTTGGTATTCAATTTGAAATAAACAGTATTCCATTGTATACTGAAATGGAATATACAGTATTCCATTATGTATATATACACCACATTTTTTTTATCCATTCATTCACTGATGAACACTTAGGTTGGTTCCATATCTTGAATACTATGAATAATGCTGCAAGGAACATGGGAGTGCAGATATTTCATCAACATATTAATTTCATTTCCTTTGGGTATACACCAACTAGTGAGATTGCAGAATCATGGTAGTGGAGAAACTGAGCGTCGGAGAGATTACGTAACTTATTCAAGGTTACTTGTTCAAGTGGTGGGGCTCAAGGCACAATTAGGATTCTTACTCAAAAATGGCAAAAAGGGAAAAAGCCCTCTGTCTATTTGACACTGACTCATTTGAATTTGGTTAAATATGGCAGTTCCCAAAGCAACTCAAAGCCTATCTTTTCAGTGATCTTCTCCCTTAGTTCTGCATACAGCTTGAGTGCCAATATCAAGTCTGATACTGTTTTCAGCAAACTTGATATAGTTACTCACAGCATAGAAAAACTTTTGTGCTTCAATAAAAAATTATGCATCATCTATAGCGGTGATCCCCAACATTTTTGGCACCAGGGACTGGTTTTGTGGAAGACAATTTTTCCATGGACCAGGGCAGGAGCGGGGGTATGGTTTCAGGATGATTCAAGCACATTGCACTTACTGTGTACTTTATTTCTATTATTATTATATACTCACCATAATGTAGAATCAGTAGGAGCCCTGAGCTTGTTTTCCTGCAACTAGACGGCCCCATCTGGGGGTGATGGGAGACAGTGACAGATCATCAAGCATTGGATTCTCATAAGGGGCATGCAACCTAGGTCCCTCGCATGTGCAGTTCACAATAGGGTTCGCGTTCCCATGAGTCTAATATGGCCGCTGATCTGAGAGGAGGCAGAGCTCAGGCAATAATGTGGGCAATGGGGAGCGGCTGTAGTTGAAGCTTCGCTGGCTCACCTACCATTCACCTCCTGCTGTGCAGCCTGGTTCCTAACAGGCCACAGAGTGGTACTGGTCCATGGCCTGGGGATTGGGGACACCTAATCTATAGCATACCCTACTGGCTTATCAGATTCTAGGCCAGTGCCTTTTGTCTGAGCTATTTTGGTACTGCCTAAGTTGTAGGTAACTAATAGATACATTTTTTCCTGCATATTGGCGGTTGAACTGACTTTTTCCCTACCCTCTCTCCGAGTGGAAAAACTAGTTTTGTCTCCATGTGCAATTCATCTCAATATTCCTTGACTCCATGTAAGAGTTTTTGGAGTTTTCCTTTCAACCGATTATAACATCTGCCTAGTTCTCTCATATTTTATGAGTAAAATAAATTTTTAATATGTGTTCATTTTCATGTCTATAGGAGAGTCATGATTTTAACTTTTCATTAAAATTATATGGTATTAGTCCATCCTCACACTGTTAATAAAGGCATACGTGATGAAACTGGGTAATTTATAAAGGAAAGAGGTTTAATTAACTCACAGTTCCGCATGGCTGGGGAGGTTTCAGGAAACTTACAATTATGGCAGAAGGGGAAGCAAACAGGTCCTTCTTCACATGGCAGTAGCAAGGAGAAGTGCCAAGCAAAAGAGGGAAAAGCCCCTTATAAAACCATCAGATCTCGTGAGAACTCACTCACTATCACGAGAACTCCATGAAGGTAACTGCTCCCATGATTCAATTACCTCCCACTGGGTCCCTCGCCCAACAAATGGGAATTATGGGAACCACAATTCAAGATAAGATTTGGGTGAGGACACAGCCAAACCATATCATATACTTAAATAATACTTTATCCCTCATGAATCTTCTGTTATCTGTGAGGTTGTAGTCAGGTTATTTATTATCTTCCCGAGGTAAGTTCCACCTGATTTGGCCTTGTTCCATAATAATTTCTCTGCTTATAAAACTCAGTGTACTAAGAATATGTCAGCTGGCTCCTACAGCTACAGATGATGGCTATTCTAGTTTTAGTACAGAGCTTAGAGTGGGGTCAGGCAACTGCTTGAGAATAAACCTTTGCTTACGAAGATGAAATTTCAATGTTTAAGTCTTAGATAATTAATTTTCTATAGCATTATATGATAAAATGTTACTCAAAAGAACCATTTAGTAGTGTCCTTTCCAACTAAAAATGTGAAATGCTCAGTATTTACTCTAAATGAAGATATACATGCACATGTACACATGAAAACATGAATAAGAATGTTCTCATATGCACTGTTCATAGTCATTTTTAAAATGGGTTAGTCAGGCATGGTGGCTCATACCTGTAATCCCAGCACTTTGAGAGACCAAGGTAGGAGAACTGCTTGAGGCCATAAGCTCAAGTCTAGCCTGGCAACACAGCAAGACCCCTATCTCTACAAAATATTTTTAAATATTTTTTTGGTGGTGGCACATGCCTGTAGTCCTAGCTACTCAGGAGGCTGAGATGAGAGGACTGCCTGAGCCCAGGAGGTTGAGGCTGCAGTGAGCCATGATCACATCACTGCACTCTCAGCCTGAGTGACAGAGTAAGACCCTGTCATTCATTTATTCATTCATTCACTCATACATACATAAAAAAAAAGAAATATTTTAAATATACACCAATAGGGCAATAACTAACCTGATTTATAATGTAAATAATATACACAGTTTGAAGGAATAATGTAGATCTATTGAGACTAACATGGCAAAATCATTAAGACAAACGATTGAATACAAATATAAATTATGAAATAACAATACAGAATGACACCGTTTAGGAAAAAGCACATACACACGTAATATGTATTTATGGCATAAATAGAGATCTGGAAGTATGCATACCAAATTCAAATTGTTACCTCAAGGAAAGTGGGTGGAGAACAGACCTGAGGGGGCCAAGGAAAAGGCATAAAAGGAACTTCAATCTTGACCATAATATCATAACTCTTAAAGAAAAATGTATTCGTACATTAATTATATACCTAATATCGCCTTTAACAATATAATTTTTTTTTTTTTTCTTTTTGAGACGGAGTCTCGCTCTGTCACCCAAGCTAGAGTGCAGTGGCTTGATCTCGGCTCACTGCAAGCTCCGCCTCCTGGGTTCACGCCATTCTCCTGCCTCAGCCTCCTGAGTAGCTGGGACTACAGGCGCCCGCCACCATGCCTGGCTAATTTTTTGTATTTTTAGTAGAGACGGGGTTTCACCGTGTTAGCCAGGATGGTCTCCATCTCCTGGCCTTGTGATCCACCCACCTCGGCCTCCCAAAGTGCTGGGATTACAGGCGTGAGCCACTGCACCCAGCCAACAATATAAATTAAGATTAGCTTTTGTGTAACCTAATATCAAAGCTTGAGACACATTAGAATGGGGTCCCCCAACATTTTGAGAAGAGATCACGACCTTTCCTTCAAATCATGAGATCTTTGCAGGTAGTTGAAGGTATATGGCACTGAGGTTAAAGGAGAGTTTTTTAAAATACTCTACTTATCAAGGAAAATCCTGGACAAGTATAAAGAAGTGTGACAGTAGTGAGATTGGTGGCTGCAAATGGTGTGGCAATCCATTACATTTCCCAATCCAAGACAAATACTGATTATTTATTCAATAGTCTTACAGTAAGTCCATAATCTGCTTCCATTAACTGCCTAAGTAATCATCTTCAGAAAACAATTGATTATGGTCTTACATTACTAAATAATTATTTGCTTTACCCAAAATAATTTTGAATTAAAGGAAATTAGGTAAGCACTGATAATTAAGAGTATTTTTATATATAATGAGCACTATATCGAAAATAAAATTCACACACCAATTTCATCTTTCCTGTATTTTTATAATTGAAATGTCAATCAAAACTTGAGATTTTTTTTCTCTCATGTCTAGATAGTAAAGGGGATCACAATATACTACCCTAAAACATGCTACATTGGCATAAGAATTATTTTAAACTGAAGGCAATTTAGAAACATCAAACATAGACACTTTCTGTACTCCTCCTTTCTGTCTAAAAACATAGCATAAATTCCCTTTTGTAAAAGAAATTTACATTTGTAAAGAAAATTTCCATATGTAAAGATGTACTCTTCTACCATACTAGGAAGAGGAAACCAACTGCAGAGACAATTCTTATCTCCTGAGATGACCTGAGTCTGCATAACAAATCTTACTAAAAATTCTTATTTATCACATATTTCCTTCCCACAACTTACCACCCTGCCAAGCCCAAATCCCTTTTTCTTTGTGTAGTCTCTTATCTCTATCACCCTTTGTTAAAATGGTATATAACCCCCAAGTCTAACTGCCTCCTTGGTGTTTTCACTTCTTTTCTGTGAGATCCCCCTCTCCATGTGCATGTGAAATAAACCCTTTCTCCTGTTAATCTGCCTTTTGTCAGTATAGTCCAAAAATCCCAGCTACTGAATCTAATAGGGTAGAGAAGTTTTTCTTCCTCTACAATAGCATTTAGATGTTTTGCTGAGATCTAAGGTATGATTACTTCAGTGGTGATTTGGAATCATCTTTTCAAACTCAGAGACAATATAACAGTACTTGGATAATTAAGGAATTTGTAATATAAAAATGATTATTAATAACCCCAAATTAGTTTACTTGCAAATACATCAAATGAGGAACTTCAAGTGTTACATGCTATAGGAAAAACATCTTTATGCTTACACAAACATTTATATGCTTCTTTCTAAGTTTTATAAATTAATAATAATAGGAAACTGTTTACAGATTAAAACTGGTTGAACTCAATGTGACTAAGATATGTTTTAAAATGAGTACTTGTATTGAATTACATGCTTTGCTTTCTCCAATTTTCTGTATTTAGTAGTTAACATTTTTTCATTGATACCATAAAATGGGTAGGAAAAATGAGAAGTGAAGAGAAGAAAAATGATTTCTAACTGAAAATAAAAGGTGCCTATAAAATGTTTTACCACATAAACAAACAAACAAAAATCCTAAGGTCTCCCACCAACTAAATGGACTCCCTCTTGGCCAACAGGGCCCCAAAGAAACCTGAAAAACTGAATTCCTAGCCATGATGGGAAGAGAGGTTGGACAAGCCTCCTCATACCCCCGCCTTTTGGTGTTTAGGCACAACTGACCAGCATTAACATTGAAATAGAGATTATAAGGCTGACAACACAGACTGTGGCAATAAGATACCAAATTCCAATCCAACTCTGGTATAGTATCATATGACAGATAGCAGATTCTAAAGGAGATACAAATATTTTATCCCAAAATATATTTCTTTGACATATTTTGAAAAGGCCCCGCAAAGCCATCCCTTGTGGGGGAATTTGCAACTGTGGAGAATTTCCATTCATATAGCCAGGCCTTCCCTTTCTAGGTCTTTCCTGGACCTAGGAGTGATTAAACAAGAATGTGACACCTTTAAGGTCTAAAAGAGACATTTACCATCTTTTCTCTCCAAAGGCTGCTACCCAGAGGCTTCATCTACATAACAAGAACAAGAACCTTGGTCTCCACAACTCCCTCTACCTTAACTCAAGCATTTCTTTCTACCGACTTCAAGTCTTTAAGCAAAGTTTAAGTCTTTCAACCAATTGCCAATCAAAAAATATCTGAATCCACCTATGACTGTAACACTTCAAGATATAACACCTCTTTAGGCTGAACCAATGTTCTTCCATGTATGGATTTATGATTTTACCCATAATTTCTGTCTCCTTAAAATGTATAAAACTGAACTAACCCAACTGCCTCAGGCACATTTTCTCACAAGCTCTTGAGAATGTTCTCTGGGCCTTGTTACTCATATTGGCTCAGAATGAATTTTTAAATATTTTACAGTGTTTGGTTTTTCTGTTAACAATAGCATGGTTTGCATAAATGTTATATGCTATTTCACTGGAGAAAAAAACTTTAAGTTAATCTACCATTATTGAATGTGGCATAAAATACATAGTACAATATAGGAATTCAATAAATAACTGAACAGCAGATCAATCATTTTGCAATGTTTAAAATATCAATGAAATTCATTAAATTAACATTTACTGTGCAGTTTTATAAACAATGAACTACTTTCATTTTTTTTTTTTTTCTTTTGAGACAAGGTCTTGCTCTGTCACCCAGGCTGGAGTGCAGTGGTGATCACAGCTCATTGCAACCTTAAATTCTGGGGCTCAAGCAATCCTCCTACCTCAGGCCCCTGAGTAGCTGGGACTACAGGCACATGCCACCACATCAAGCTGATGATTTTTTAAATTTTGTAGAGATGGGTGTGAAAGAAAAATAAATTATCAGGACCCCCAAATCACTAAGCCAAAGGGAAAAGTCAAGCTGAGAACTGCATCAAGCAAACCTGCCTCCCATTTTATTCTGTTGACTTTCACCCTGGCATTGTAAATTGATAGCTCACTTTCACAAGTACTGGACAAAGGACAGAACTCCAAGTCAACCCTGTGCCAACCTGAGACAAATGCATATCTGACTGCTTCCTCTGATGGAAAAATGCAGATTCACTGAGCTAGACAAAGGCCTAAGTGACTATTTCCCTATCTCCCCTCACAAGGTAAATTGTGTATTTGGTGAAAGTCTGATCAAAGACTCAAGAATGCAACCATTTGTCTCTTATCTACCCACACCATTTTTTTTTTTTTTAGACGGAGTCTTGCTCTGTTGCCCAGGGTGGAGTGCAGTGGCATGATCTCGGCTCACTGCAAGCTCCGCCTCCCAGGTTCACGCCATTCTCCTGCCTCAGCCTCCCGAGTAGCTGGGACTAAAGGCGCCCGCCACCACGCCCAGCTAATTTTTTTGTATTTTTAGTAGAGACGGGGTTTCACCGTGTTAGCCAGGATAGTCTCGATCTCCTGACCTCGTGATCTGCCCGCCTCAGCCTTCCAAAGTCCTGAGATTACAGGCGTGAGCCACTGCGCCCGGCCTACCCACACCTTTTTCAAATTCCTTCCTCCTTCCCCAATATCTGCCCTTTACCCTTTAAATAATGATGCCCTCACAATCATCTTTAGAGAAAGGCACAGACTCCTGCCTCCCGAGCACGCATCCTTAACTCTGTCAAAATAAACTTTCTAAATTAATTAAGACCTGTCTCAGATACTTTTGGTTTACACAGGATTTTGCCACATTGCCTAGACTGGTCTTGAACTCCTGGGCTCAGGCAATCCTCTTGCCTTGGCCTCCCAAAGCGTTATGATTACAGGCATGAGCCACCATGCTGGGCCTATTTTCCTCATACATAAACATTTTAATCTAATTCACTACATTATATTTTTTCAAATTAAAGTCTACTTCTTGTATCTTATTTTCAACAAAGACAATAAAAGCTTTTTTAATGTAGAAGTATTTTGCTCTCCACAGGAAATTTGAAAACACTAGAAATAAGCAAGAAAAGTATTATAAATGTTAATTCCCTTCTCTTCTCCCCAACAATGTTATTTCTTTTTTTTATTCCTGATTATTTCTTTTAGTAAGGAAACTTTTCCATGGCTACAGTTCAAGACAGTAGTCCAAAAAAAACCACAACAATAAAATTCTGCAGGTAATGCCACTAAAACATTTATAAAATTTCAAAAATGTTTAACGTTGTTCTTGCCTACAGTGGTAGTCATTGGGTCAGAAGTCAAAGGAATCATTATCTCCTTTGTTCACCCTGTGAAAAATGATACACATAGGCAGGCAATTTAGCATTTTAAACCTAGTCTGGAAGTCTATATGATGCTTCTTAAAAGCTAGCACATTACATACATGAAAATAATATGACTACACTGGCAAAATAGTACTTTTTTTTCAGGTAACAGTCTAGAGAATATGTATATAAAGATTATACGTTAAAAAATAAGTATTCTCAACTGAAGATTTGGTTCTGCATTGTACTTCAAAATGGCTCAGTTGTCTGGAGAAGTAGAAGGGGAAAAGGAGAACAATATGCATTTGATATTTGCTATCTACAGAGGTATATTCCGAATTAAAGGCTAGTAAGTCGGTCAGCATTCAACTCTAGCTTTGGATCTATTCTAATTTCTTATACTATAAAGTAAGGAAGGAGGAAGGGCAGGGAGGAAGAGAAACAGAAGCCACTGCCACTGCCTCGTGGCTTAGGAAAATAATCATAGTAATTCTATATATACACTGCTATCATATTTTAAGTCAAAATTAGAATTGAATAACAAACTTTACAAGTTTCTTATAAATTATTCATCATATTAAGATACAGTTACATTTAAGTGAAAAAATCAAAGTAAGGGATCTAACCGTTGTTTAAAGATAATTCACAAATGAAAATCATGACTCATACAGATATAAAAATAAACACGTTAAAAGTTTAATTGTAAGCATTAATCAATGAGGGGATCAGGCAGATGATATAACCACTTCAAAAGATAATCTGAAGAACAGACACATTTATAGATTAGAAATTTTGAAATGTATGTGCAAATAAGGGCAAAATGAGTTTTTCCACAATGGTATGCATGGGAGAGGTATATGACTGAACCTTCGCTGGACAAGGCAAAATATACATGTCTATAAATGCATTACTACCAGTTATCTACAAGTTACAGAGTTTAAAATAGGCCAAAGCCAAGGAAAGGCTAGAATCAGATAACCTGAGAAAATGTGCTGCATGTAGACAAGGCAGTTTTCCATTGAAACACATATTTTCACTATGTTTTCTAAATTATTTTTCTCACTGCACTTTAAGCCATAGAAAATATCAATATGGTAATAGCTAAGCTTCAACAAATCAATAAAGTTTAAACTTACAAAATCTTCAAGAAAAAAACTGAGTACCAGCAAAGTGGAGGAATACTTATAAAAGACCTACATAGAGTTGGAAGTGACTTACAGGGAAAAAAATCAGGAAAATGAGAATCAGATATGTTATGAAACTTACACAGATTGTTTTACTTCTATTACTCCATTTGTAGTAAGATAAACTTTCAGATACCTGCCTTCCTACCCAGTGCTACAGCATTCTAGTTACCAGTACTAGAAATGCAGCTTGTTTTCCATTGTTTTACATTTTCCCAAAGAAAACCATTAACCTTCAGCATGCCAAATAAGTTAGCTCACTATCTACGATCAAATTTTACTAATTCAATAAAGAATATTTACAAAGTTGTTTTTTAATACCCTATAAATACTACTTAATAACTTGCGAAGGCCAGACATGGTGGCTGATGCCTGTAGTCCCAGCCCTTTGGGAGGCCAAGGTGGGCGGATCACCTGAAGTCAGAAGTTCAAGACCAGCCTAGCCAACATGGTGAAACCCTGCCTCTACTAAAAATACAAAAATTAGCCATGCATGGTGGCAAGTGCCTGTAGTCTCAGCTACTCGGGAGGCTGAGGCATAAGAATCACTTGAACTCGGGAGTTGGAGGTTGCAGTGAGCTGAGATCATGCCACTGCACTCCAGCCTGGGTGACAGAGTGAGACTCTATTTCAAAAAAAAAAAGGAAAAATATTTGAGAAAACCCTTTGCGAAAAACTCAGCTTCTTAAGATTAGTTTTTTGGTTTTCAGTTTTCAAAAAATCAGACTGCATTGGAAAAGGATAATACATAAGTTTCATAATTCAAACTTCTTTGTATTCACTATTTTCCTACCTTAGATTCAAGTAACCAGTAGTGGTTAAGGTGTGGAAACTACCAATCTGTTTATTTAATAATTAACTGGTAAAGAAGTTCCTTTTGGAATTGTCATCGTGATCTTCAGTTTTACAAATGTGCATCTACATTAGGATATTACAGATTTTTACTCCAGTGCATATCTTACTACTTGTTTGTGAACTCTGATGGTGTGTTTTCCTCTTAGTGTTGGAGTCTCTCTCTGGAGAGTGGCTATAAATTCAAGCCCTGCCCTAACAGGGTTCCAGGGGAAGTGGTCATGGATGCGTATAGTTTATCTTTAACAGGATACTTTTTTATCCAGTCGATGGCCTAATGCCTAAGTGTCTGACCCATGACGAGGTGTCACAGGAAACTTTTTTATACCAGCAGATATACTTGTGGCTCTTGTCTGACCTGTGTCCAATTTATTTCTCCCAAGATAGCCACTTTCTAGGAGAGCCCTGACCAGGAGGAGAGTCAGGTATGGATATGTCAGGTGAGACACAGAGAAGGAAACAAAAAAGCAAAGTGCATGACATAACAGAAGCAGTGTATTACTTGGTGATTATTGCAGAGAAGAGGACAGCACACCTCAAAATGCCAGAAAAGTGAGGCCACTTGCACATGCAACCAGCAGGTGGGATCACAAGAGAGAAAGGAAGAGATCAAAGCACTTTATTACGGCTCAGGGTGTTACCGGTGGGCTTACAAAAAGCAGGCATGAGCTCCGTGGAGTCATGCTGTCACTCAGAGGTGGTCAATGAGACATATCTGGGCAGCCCATGCAGGGTATGGGGGTTGGGGGGCAAGTCAAGTAGGTTGTACCTAGCTGGCCCAAAGGGAGGTCAACAAAGGAGTCTGCATAAGGCAAATATCTGGATTGGCAACATTAAGAAACTGGCAGGAGGTAGGAATTAGAAACTGTGTCAAGGGTGACTAAGCCCTGTTTCTGGTATGAAAAAGTCCAACTTAATATTCAAGACGGATGCCTAGGTAACAAACAATTATAGGAATTTACTATAGCTGATTTTTTTTTTTTTTGAGACGGAGTCTCGCTCTGCCTCCCAGGCTGGAGTGCAGTGGCGCGATCTCAGCTCACCGCAAGCTCTGCCTCTTGGGTTTTATGCCATTCTCCTGCCTCAGCCTCCCAAGTAGCTGGGACTACAGGCATGCACCACCTACGCCAGGCTAATTTTTTCTGTATTTTCAGTAGAGACAGGGTTTCACTACGTTAGCCAGGATGGTCTCGTACTCCTGACCTCGTGATCTGCCCGCCTCGGCCTCCCAAAGTGCTGGGATTATAGGCATGAGCCACTGCGCCAGGCCTATAGCTGAATTTTAAACAGGAGCAAAAGATAGCACTAAAAGACCACTTCAAAAGAAATATATGGCAAAAAAAAAAAAATAGCCTTTGAGTGATAGGATGATTTTTAAATAAATGGTTGGTTTCAATAATTCGCAGCTATCACTCAGCATTCATATAAAATGCTTCTATCTGCAAAGCATATTATAAGTGTTAAATAACAGATTATCACAACACCAAGATATATGAGCATGTGAATCTTTATTTTTTTGGAACCAAAAGTTGCACTATAGGCTGTGTGAGCACATAGTGCAAGCAGTGGCCAAACTCTAATTTCAATTAGAGTGTTTTCCTCCCACTCCTGTGCCAAACTCAATGCTCCCACCTAATAGAATATGTCCTCTAAAAAGGACTAAGAATAAAACAAGAACATTGTACCTCCCATCCATTCAATTAACAAGTCTTTATTAAGCACCTACTAAGTGTCAAGCACTGTTCCAGGAACCTGGGAAATACTGATAAACAAAACAGACCAAAATTGCTACCTGCATAGAGCTTCTATTCTAGTAAGGGAAAACAGCAGTAAACAATAATAAATAAGTGAACTATATAGTATGTAACAAAATGAAAAGTGTTGTGAAGACAAGACAAAGTAGAACAGGAAAAGACTGGGAATGCTGGGGGGATGATAAAGTATAATTCCTAATATAGTGGTCACAATGGGCCTCGCTGGGAAGATTTGAAGCATATGAACGAATGAGCCAAGAGTGTATCAGAGAGAACATTCCAGAAAGAGAAGTCAGCGGGAGGGCTGAGAAAGGATCACACCTGCTGTATCTGAGAAGCATGAAGACTGGTCAGGCTGAAGCAGAATGGGGGCAGGGAAGAGGAGGCAAGGAAGCAGTAAGAGATGAGTTAGAGAGGACCTTATAAGGCACTGTGAAGGTTTGGCTTTTACTCTGAGTGACAGGGAAAGCCAATGGAGAGTTCTGAGCAGAACAGTGACATGAGCTGACTGTGGTTTCAAAAAGATTACTCTGTGCTGGGAATAGACCATAAGGGGAAAGATCAGTTAAGAACTAGCTCAGTTACCCTCCTGAGGGATTACTGTGTGTTAAGGTAGGATAAGTCACTATGACAAATCAACCTTAATATATAATAACTAGACACAACAGAAGTTTATTTCTCGTTTATATAACATTCCTGTATATGTACTCAAGTTGGCAAGACAACTGTCCTACATCCATATCCCCTCCATTTTGTAGATATACCATCTCCTTGTGGAGATGTTTTTATCTGAATGCAAGCAGGATTTAAGTTGGCAAAAAGTTTTAATGGGTCTAGCATTGAAGTTAACGTCTGTTCCCCTAGAGAAAACTGTCAAATTGACGTAAGTATCTACAAGAGGCTGCGAAAATTTAGGCTACCCAGGTTTTCAAAGAAAGGAAGACTGGATTTTGCCGAGTATCTCACAGTTTCCACAGTTCATCCTTGCTTGGTAGCCATGAAACAGGTTACCACTAAAAGTTAGTGATATGGTTTAGATCTGTGTCTCCACCCAAATGTCATGTTGAATTGAAATCCCCAATGTTGGAGGTGGGGACTGGTGGGAGGTGACTGGATTATGGGGGTGGATTTCCCTCTTTGGTGCTGTTTTTGTAATAGAGTTCTCACGAGATTTGGTTGTTTAAGTGTGTGGCACCTGCCCTCTGTCTTCCTCCTGCTATGGCCATGTGAAGATGCCTGCTCTGGCTTTGCCTTCCACCATGAATAAAAGTTTCCTGAGGCCTCCCGAGCCATACTTCCTGTACAGCCTGTGGAACTATGAGCCAATTAAACACCTCTTTTCTCTATGTATTACCCAGTCTCAGGCATTTCTTTATAGCAATGTGAGAACAGACTAATACAGTTAGGATTCTGGACATATTCCAAAGATAGACCCAATATGACTTCCTGATTTTGGTCTGGGAAACTGGAATTAAGTAACTGCCATCAATTGAGATCTGGAAGGCTGTGGTAATAGAAGGTTGGGGAGGAAGGTGAAGCTCAGTTCTGTTTTGAACAGGCTATTTCTGTTGGAGATGTCTATTAGACATATGAGAGGGGATGTAGAGTAGGAAACTGGATATATATGTGTGTATATATATAGGTATATAGGAGTTTGGGAGAAAGGACTGGACATATAAAGAAATGTAAGTTACATTAAAACCTGAAACTGGTAAGATCATAATAAAGTAAATATAGGTAGAGAAGAGAAGAGGAGAGGATTTGGGGGCACCCCAAAATCAAGAGATCAGGTTGAAGCAGCACCAGAGAAATAGACTGTGGGGGCAAAAGAAAAAATAAAAGAATGTAGTATCCTGGAAACAAAGTGAGAAAAATGTATCAAGGAGGAGAAAGTCATCACTTGTATCAGATGCTCCTAATGGGATGATGAGAGGAAAAAAAAAACTACTAGATTTGTATGTATAGGGAAGTCAGTACTGACCTTACCAAAGCAGTTCTGCTTGGAGTGGCAGTGGGTAAAGTTCTGAGTGCAGACAGCAAGTACAGACAACACTTTGAAATATTTTCTACAAAAGAAAGCAAAGAAATTGAGCGAGGCAAATGGAGAAAGCAGGGTCAAGAGAACTTTTTAAGATAGGAGAAATAATAGGATATTTGTGGGCTGACGAAAATGATCTTGCAGAAAGGGAAAAGCTGTTGATGGTGGAGGAAAGGAGAAAATTGCTAGGATTATGTCCTTAAGCAGATAGAGAGGAAGTGAGGTTTAGTGTAGTGAAGAGCTAGCTATCACCTATGAGGTTAAGCAAGAATGCAGAACATACAGACACAAATACTGATGGTTGGGTGGATGTGACAGTGGAAGTTTGTGGAAGTTCTCTTCTGATGGCTTTAAGCAGGAGTAAAGTAGGATACAAAATTATGAGCTGAAAATTAGGAGAGGGAGTAAGGTATCAGAACAGTGGTCCCCAACCTTTTTGGCACCAGGGACCAGTTTCGTGGGAGACAATTTTACAATTTTTCTACAGACAGGGGTCAGAGGTGAGGGGATGGTTTTGGAATGATTCACGCACATTACATTTAGTGTGTACTTTATTTCTATTATTATTACATTGTAATATATAATGAAATAATTATACAACTCACCATAATGTAGAATCAGTGGGAGCCCTGAGCTTGTTTTCTTGCAACTAGACAGTCTCATCTGGGGGTAATGGGAGACAGTGACAGATCATCAGGCATTAGATTTTCATAAGAAGTGCACAACCTAGATCCCTTGCATGGGCAGTTCACAATAGGGGTCACACTCCTATGAGAATCTAATGCCACTACTGATCTGACAGGAGGCAGAGCTCAGGCAGTAATGTGAGCAATGGGGAGTAGCTATAAACACAGATGAAGCTTCACTTGCTCACCTGCCTGCTGCTCACCTCCTGCTGTGCGGCCCAGTTCCTAACAGGCCACAAGACGGTACCAGTCTGTGGCACAGGGGCCGGGGACCCCTGTATTAGAGGTTTGAGAAGAGAGAAAGGGCATGACATGAATAAAGGCAGTACAGGGAGCATTAAGTACCAACTTGAAGTTCAGAAATTCCGAAATATTTCATTTTCCTCCAGCCATACTGTTACTTGGCAGAATGTGCAGAATAGGCAGAGATAGCAATAGGGTTGCAGTTTTGCCAAGCAAGTATGACATGAAAGAAGATTAGGAGAGTTGACTGGTTCCTGAAAATCTACTAGACTCCCTCTCATGCAACCCATGACCATCTTGTCAGCAAGTCCTGAGAATTCTACTGCTTTAAATATTCCCCTTTCCTAATCCCTCTTGACTATTCTCAGAACCAGTGTCTTGTAGGTTCTTTTCACTTATCACAAGGACTACTGTAATAGCCTCCTAAACCAGTCTTTTTGTCTCTAAAATATCCATCCTCTTCCCTGCAGCCAGTTGTTCTTCCTAAGCCTAATCAATCACGTTTTTCTCCTGCTTAAAATACTTTCACTTCTATAGTCTAAACTCTAAGCTTAGGACATAGAACCCTTTATTACTAATGCCTGGTTAGCTTTCCGGGCTTATCTTTTACCACTCTCCCACAAGTACTCTGCCCTTGGCCAGAGGAGCTGCATACATATGTATCAAGGTAAGTACTACCAACTCTGCGCTTCTGCACTAAGTAAAGGTTGAGCTACCGCTCCATTCCCCACCTAGACTGGAAGCTCCTTCAGGAGAGGGATTTTGCTTTATTTGACTTGAAACCTGAGGGCCTGGCAGATGGTAGCCCCTCCAAGAATGCTGACTGAATGAACAAATACATACATGTGACAGAAAGAACCAGAGCATCTCTAACAGATATAGGTATTAATGCACACATTTTGTAAGCCATATTATAAGAACATTGTATTGAAAAATAAATTACACAAAGATATCTCATTCATTCATTCCACCCTATAAGCATTTAACAACCTATACTACACACCAGTCAGCATACCTAGGTGCTGAACATAATCTGCTTGGGGGAGACAGGTGAGTAAAATGATTACAGTCAATTTCCTACTTCTATAAGTAGGTCTTTAGAAAAACATTTTTAAAACATGTGTTGGCCTGGCACGGTGGCTCACGCCTGTAATCCCAGCACTTTGGGAGGCTGAGGCAGGAGGATCGCTTGAGCCCAGGAGTTCAAGACAAGCCTGGGGAACATAGTAAGACCTTATCTCTACAAGAAAACAAAACAAAACAAAAAAGCCAGGCACGGCGGTGCACACATGCAGTCCCAGCTACTCAGGAGGCTGAGGTAGAAGGATCACTTGAGCCTGGCAATGCAAAGCCACAGTGAGCTAAAATTGGGCCACTGCACTCCAGCCCAGGCAACACAGCAAGATTCTGTCTCTAAAAAATATATTAAAAGTAAATAAAAATAAAACATGTGCTACCAAAATACATACTCAGTATTACTCTAATTGGTATTGTAGTTAGAATTTGAAAACAGTGTAAATTGTGTAATTTTATCTACATTTCTCATTACACTAATAGCACTGACTTGTGTTTCAGTACATTTTGTCCAGCCTCAGTCTACTTTACCCATTTAGCCTAGAGAAAGACAACCTCATTGTTACTATAATGTGCACCTGTACTCAAAAATGCTATCCAACTCCCTGCAACACTAACTTGAAAAATGTGTCACAGGGAATAGAAATTTGGCTTTATATGTTTAAAAAAAATCATCACTACATTTCCCACTGTGTGGATAGCAGGGGGAAAAGTGCGTCCACTTTGAGGGTCCATGTTTAATAATGGTCCAGTGCCAAATACACTGTATTAATATCAGTGAACAAAAGATATGGAGCTTCTCTCATATCTCTATCTGAATTAGATAGATTTTATACCTATGTAATAAATAGATATAGCTTATACCTATGTAATTTATACTTGTGTCTACTCAGTCACTCTATATACATACATGCACACACACACATATATAGATACACATTTACTTGAATTCAACCAAGTGCTTAACATGAAATAACAAACAAAACCATTTTTACACAATAGAAAATAATAGTATATATTTTACATTTTTTATATACTGCATTTCACTGAATAAATCATATATTTATATATACCTATAAATGACAGAGTTGTATACACAAAAATATGTACCATTACTTTATGGGTGATAAGGAATTTCCAGGGGTAATTCTGACTATATAAGACTTTCACTTTACTTGCTAACTTCAGAATTAACTCTCCCATAAGATACAACTGTATCATGTAGCAACATTATTAAGAATAATTTTCAAGCTTTTAAGTATGTGCTTGGTTTTTAAAGCCTGCCTAAAATAATTAGTTGTGGCCTGGTCATCTTCTTCCTTTAAGAAGGATTATTTATATCTGAATTTCAAAATTGATCTCAACAATAACCTTTAATAAAAAAATCATTTATATTTTAGTGTCCACAATAGCAACTGGCAAGATTTTCTGGAATTAGGAAAAAAGCATTAGTTATAATTTGATTTTCTGTCAAATTATTTATTATTGCTAGATATTTTGCATTTTAGAGTTCTGCCACTAATAGTTTATGATTGTTTTAATAGTTGATAATTCAGGTTTTGAAATAAGGTGATACACATTTGGTTTCAAAATGCTAACAGAAATTCACCTAAGAGCAGAACACAGAATTCATCACCAAAACAAGGGGTAGACCACAAAAGAAAGGTCACACACACATGGCTAGTCACTAAATGTATGTTCCCTTTGAGCCTGGCATAGTTACTGAATTTGTAAGCTGTGATACAATACTATCATTAGAAGAAAATGGAATGGAAATGTGCACATGCAAACAAATAGGGCCAGTGCTCCCTTTCCTATCATTGTAAGTAAGCATAATTCCGAAAGACAAAGTCACTGGATCCATTTTAAAAATTACAATTAGCACCCATAAATAATAATTATTACTTTTTAAAAACTATCACCTTATCAATTGTATTAACTTTTCTCTTTTTCTCTCAACATTTCAGTGGAGAAACAACATACAGTGTCTGATGTGGTTTGGGTGTTTGTTCCCTCCAAATCTCATGTTGAAATATGATCCCCAATGTTGGGGACAGAGCCTGGTGGGAGGTGTTTCAGTCACAGGAGCGGATCCTTCATGAATATCTCGGTGCCCTTCCCACAGTAATGAGTGAGTTCTTACTCTCTTAGTTACCATGAAATCTGATTGCTAAAAAGCCTGGCACCTCATCCTATTAATATTTCTTGCTCCCTCAGTTACCATGTGATATGCCAGCTCCCCCTCTGCCTTCCACCATGACTGTGAGCTTCGTGAAGCCTCAGTAGAAGCAAATGCTGGCACTGTGTTTCTTCTTGTACATTCTGCAGAACAATGGGCCAAAAATAAACCTCTTTTTAAAATACATTGCCCAGCCTCAGGTATTCCTTTATAACAGCACAAAATGAACTAACACAGTAGCCCAAATCTAATTCCTCAGTTAAAAAAAAATTTTTTTAAGAGACAGGCTCAAGAACTCCTAGGCTCAAGTGATCCTCCCGCCTCAACCTCCCAAGTAGCTGGAATTACAGGTGCACACCACCACACTACCACACCTGGCTCACAGTTAAATACTTAAGGGTGAACATCAAATGGTACTTGAGTACATCTTTATCCTTACAGCTCATGATTCTCAATAATCTTTAGTTCTTCCAAACCAATCACTAATCATTTCATCAAGCCTAACTCTGAAACTTTCTTCCTTCGAAAAGTATTTTTAGATCAACTCTATCCCACTATTTAATCCTTTACTTTCATTTCTAATGGACATTCAAGTTACTTAGTTGTTATACAGATATTTAACTTAATAGAATAAGCAAACCATTAGCATTAGTGGCTTATAAATACTTCCCATGTCTCTATTTGTAAATCTAATCATTATAATAATATTATGTATGAATTTCATTTCTTTAAAGGAAGACCACTTATGCCTGTTTAGTAACTGTCATTTAGTTATCACCTGGGAAAAACAGAAAAACATTGAACAACCTAGAGAACGGTCAAATATAGAAACAAATTATCACCACTAATTTCCAAAGTAAAGACATTTATTGTATGCACACATATTTAATCCTTATTAAACAGTCAAACTTAAGGAACTGACTATAAGCTGTTAATAAGTAACAGACTATAAGTTGTGAATAATATGTAAGGATAGTTTCAATGTACAAGGAGAGCCAGTCACAGTAAATCCTTTCATTCTGAACAGCATTCCTTGCCCACCAATTTAGTCATTAGAACATGACTATTTTTTTGGAGAAAAAAATATAAATATTTTTAAATATAAACAAACATAAAATATTTACAAAAAATCTATATTTTTGTGAAACATAAATATTTCACAAAATATTGTGAAAAGTTAATACAATAAATATTTTTTATATTGCAAAGTGGAAATGATGAATACATTGCTCAATTTAAGTAGGAAAATGTCAATTGTACAATTTGCTTTTCTGGTTTTTCAATGCTTTCATGCCTGCTTTTAACCAAAGGAGAGAATACAAATAATTGGTCTAGTTCCTCAGGGGATGGCAGCATTCAATCACAGAGCAAAGGTAAATAAAAGGAAATTATTTTCAGAGACTCTAACATCCATCTATTCATCCAGTATATTATTCTATCTTGTGTCTTTGCATCAAGGTGAATCATCAGAAAGCTATCTACTGTGACCACATCAGCTTAGCTCTTCAAAAGTGAGTTCCATTGATTTATCGTACCTTAATGTCACACCAAATGAATTTTTTTAAAACAATTTAATTCAGGAAAAAACTGGATCATACTGGCCTTCAGAGTTTCATATACTTTATAACTGTGAAACACTTTTCACACAACTACATTGAGCCTCAATCAGCACTGCAATCTACTGGCATTTTGCTGTTTTTATTCCTTCAACTTTTCTTTATTCTTTTTATTATGTCTTCATTTGTGAGGTCTCAAATTATTTTAAGAAAGGAATAATATAGCTATTTTTCAACAAAGATAATAGTCTTACTAATAAATACTTCAGGACTTTCCAAAGTACTGCCAATTTCTCACTTTCAGTTTCTCACATACTTAAAAAATTAAAAAGTATGTGTGAACAGAACATGAAACAAAATGAAACATTTTATTAAATAGCATTTTTAAAATTCCCATTACATGCAAATTATTTAATCATCCTTGATCACAGCGAGCAGCAATGAAAGGCAATAATCAAGTACCTCATACTTAATTCTATGCTTACATATACACAGACTGGAAATCTACATATATCTAAACTGCAACTGGACATTCAAAAGACAATCCCATGAAACTCCTGCCTAATTCTGTAAATTGGTTCTCTTTGTTAACTAATTATATACTTTCAAAGCTATATTGTGTTTTAAACCAGAAGTCACAATAACAAAATCTATTTTAACATTTTTATCAATAGAGAAATAATTATTACTTTTATTTTATTTTATTTATTTATTTATTTTTAGACAGAGTCTTCCTCTGTTGCCCAAGCTGGAGTGCAGTGGTGTGATCTTGGCTCACTGCAACCTCCGCCTCCTGGGTTTAAGCAATTTTCCTGCCTCAGCCTCCTGAGTAGCTGGGACTAAAGGCGCATGCCACCATGGCTGGCTAATTTTTTGTTTTTAGTAGAGATGGTGTTTCACCACGTTGGCCAGGCTAGTCTTGATCTCCTGATCTCGTGATCCACCCGCCTTAGCCTCCCAAAGTGCCGAGATTATAGGCGTGAGCCGCCACGCCCAGCCGAGAGTAATTATTTTTCAATAATGTATCATCTAGGAAAGTTATTATGATTCCACATTACCTAATACAGTCCATACTCAAATTTATCCAATTGTACTCAAAATTTATAGCTTTACAATATATATATAAGTTGAGGACCCGATCAAGGTCCTTGAATCTGATGGCCATGTCTCTTTAGTCTCCTTTAATTTTATATCATCCCACCACTGTTTTTTTTTTATGATAATGACATTATTTATAAACCCAGGGCAGATGTCTTATGGAAGGTACACATTCTGAATTTGTCTGATTCGTACTTTATAACTAGATTTAAGTTAAACAGTTTTGGCAAAAATATTATACAGGTGATACCGTGTGTTTCACTGTATCACTTCAGGAGACACATGACAGTTTGTCCCATTACAGGTAATGCTAAGTTTGACCACCAGATCTCTCCACTTTAAAGGCATATTTTTCTCTATGCAATTAACAAATAATTGGTGGTGTCATACCTTGAGACCATGTAAATATCCTGTTCACCTACAGCCTTTCTTCCAATGGTTTTAACATCCAATGACTGATGATCCTTGCCTGGAGTCAATCATTAGTGCAAATTAGTGATTTTGTAATTTTATATTTTTTCTACATTTTAAGTGTCATTTCTTCTGTAAAGAACAACTGTATATTTCCCCATTTTTTCTCTTTGTAACAAAGTGAGTTTTTTTTAATTTTAAAGTATAATTACGGACTTACAAATTCTCTCTCACATAATGTGTTATAATCCATACCTACCATTATTCTTTTAGATGTTCAAATTGTTTCAAGTTTTGATGGTAGGAAACTTTCAAATAGGCTCCTGTGCCTTTTTGACATGTTTCCATCAGTTTTTGAGCACGTTCTTGCTTTCCAACACAATATGTTCCAGGACTTCTTTGCCCCACATTAAGAAATCAGGAACTTCTCTAAAAAACATTGCCTCCTTTTGGTGGGAAACCATATTTGGAACCCAAAATCTAGTCCCTGGAAATATTCATTCTTACTGGGGCTTCTAGGCCCTTTCCTTGGACTGAGATAGAAAAAAAATTTTTTTAATCTATAAGTTAATATTAATGCCACCAATTCAAAACTAATACCACAGTATACTTTCTAATTGTGTCCCATTCTCCTAATTCATTAATATCTCCTAAGAACCCTGGTTCCCCCTAATCCAGTAAAATTATTTCTTTGCTCTATCCTATATTACAAACAAAATAATTTCAAGATTACTACACATGTAGTTAAGACTTCTCTAAGTCTGTTTTTATATAGTTGTGACTTTTGAACTTTGTAAATGTTCACATGTTGAACGTTTGATCATCTACTCCTTATGATAATTGTTTTACTGGTCTCTGGTTTAATCCTTCTGTGCTTCTCTTTTGCAAAAATAAACTATTTTTTTTTCTTTTTTATGGAGAACAGGATCTCACCATGTTGCCAGGCAGGTCTTGAACCTCTGGGCTCAAGCTGTCTTTTCACCTCTGCCTTTTGCAATTTTTGTCCTTAGAATATTTCTGAGTTTGTACAGTCAGAATAATATGTTTAAAAGTTACTTAAGCCAAGAAGTATATGAAAAAACGCTCAGTATCACTAAAGATCAGGGAAATGCAAATCAAAACCACTGTTAGTATGTCACCCCAGTTAGTACAGCTACTATCAAAAAGACAAAACAAATGCTGGCAAAGATGCAGAGAAAAGGGAATTCATACACTGATGGTGGGAATGCAAATTAATACAGCCATTATGGAAAATGGTATGGAGGTTCCACTAAAAAACTAAAAATAGAACTACTGTATAATCCACCAATCTCATTACTGGGGTTATATCCAAAGAAAAGGAAATCAGTATGTCAAAGAGGTGTCTGTGTTCTCATGTTAATTACAGCATTTTTCACAATAGCCAAAATATGGAATCAACCTAAGTGTCCATCAACAGACAAATGGATAAAGAAAATGTGGTTTATTTACACAATGGAATACCATTCAGCCATTAAAAAGAATGAAATCCTGTCATTTTGCAGCAACATGGATGAACCTGGAAGACATTATGTTAAATGAAATAAGAAAGGCACAAAAGATGAATACTGCACATTCTCATTCATATGTGGGAGCTAAATAAATTGATCTCACAGAAGATGAGCAAGACAGTGGTATCTAGAGGCTGGGAGGGGTAGAGGAAAAAAAGGATAGGGAGAGGTTGGTTAATAGATATAAAATTATCCTAGATAAGAGTTACAAATAATTTATATTTTCAATTAGCTAGAAGAGAGAATTGTGAATGTCTCAACACAAAGATTTGAGGTAATGGATATGCTAATTACCCTCAATCATTACAGTGTATACATGTATCAAAATATCACTCTGTACTACACAAATATGCACAATTATTATGTGTCAATTTAAAATATTTTTTAAAAAGCAACTTAAAAGGCCAGGTGCCCTGGCTCACAACTGTAATCCCAACACTTTAGGAGGCCACGGTGGGTGGATCCCTTGAGCTTAGGCGTTTGAGACCAGCTTGGGCAACATGGCGAAACCCCATCTCTACAAAAAAGTACAAAAATTAGCCAGACATGGTGGCACATGCCTGTAGTCCCAGCTACTTGGGAGGCAGAGGTAGGAGTATCACTTGAGCTCAGGAGGTTGAGGCTGCAGTGAGCCAGATCACACCACTGGACTCTAGCCTGGGAGATAAAGCAAGACTCTATCTAAAAAAAAAAATAAAAAGTTAAGTAAATAAGTAAATAAATAAATAAAAGCTATTTAAGTTATCTTTTTTGGTGATTATGCTGTGAATTTGTAAGGTTCATTTGTTCTTATTTGTATTCAATTTTAGGGTTTGCTTGTGTGTGTGTGTGTGTGTGTGTGTGTATGTGTGTACATGTTTTTGTTTTTGTTTTTGTTTTGAGATGGAGTCTTGTTCTGTTGCCCAGGCTGGAGTGCAGTGGTCCCATCTCAGCTCACTGCAACCTCTGCCTCCCGGGTTCAAGCGATTCTCCTGCCTCAGCCTCCTGAGTAGCTGGGATTACAGGCACCTGCCACCACAACCAGCTAATTTTTGTATTTTTAGTAGAGACTGGGTTTCACCATGTTGGCCAGGCTGGTCTCAAACTCTTGACCTCGTGATCTGCCTGCCTCAGCCTCCCAAAGTGCTTGGATTACAGGCATGAGCCATCATGCCCAGCTGGGTTTGCTTTTTAAAAATCATTTTTCTTTACCTTTTTTGTTTCAATACGTGACCATTTACATGGTTCAAAAGTCACAACTCAGACTAAAAATCAGACTCAGAAAAATCTCACTCCCATCTCTATTTCCTCCACAGTGCTCTTCATCCACTCCTTATCATATTATTATGATAATAATTATGTAAATAAGGTGCTCTTCATCCACTCCTTATCATAATTATTATCATAATTATTTTACCAGTCTCTGGTTTAATCCTTTCTGTGTTTCTCTTTTGCAAAAATAAACTATATCTACAAATATACTTTTCCTTTTTGTGGAGAACAAGGTCTCACTATGTTGCCCAGGCTGGTCTTGAACTCCTGGATCAAGCTGTCTTCTCACCTGTGCCTAGCTAAGTGTTGAGATTACTGGCATGAGCTGCTTTGCCTGACCAGACTATATATTTTTTATTTTCTATTCTTTCATATGAAAGAGGGACCATACTTACTATATCTATATACATTTTATATCTGGAAATCTTTCCGTATCAGTACATAGAAATCTTCCTTATTTTAGTATTCTATTCTATTCAATCAGTCTCCTCTGGACAGACATTTAGGTTTTTTTCTGCTATTACTAACAATCCTACAATAAAAAACTTTGAGCATATGTTATTCTATATTTGTGCAGGTGGTTCATCAGGATAAATTCCTAGAATTTGGACTGGTAAGTCAAAGGCAGGTGAAGGTATAATTTGGTAGATACTACAAAATTCTCATAAAGTTATAGTATGTCACATTCCAATCTGCAATGTAAGTGCCTGTTTCCTCACAGGCTTGCCAAGTAAGTATATTCTGAGCTTTTAACTTTTGCCAATCTGCAAAGTAAAAATGATCTCTCTGTATTTTAATTGGCATTTCTCTTATTATCAATGAAATTTGAACATCTTTACATATATTGTCATACATCATATCTTTTTTTGGTGAACTATCCACATCTTTTGTTCATTTTTAAAATCATAAGCTAAATACTTATTTCAATGTAAAAAAGAATTCAATAATCCTACAATGATGGCTCCAAACTTTGTTCTAAAAAAAGAATATTAAACAATGAAAACACAATGTATGAATTAACTGAAAAGAATACGAACAACCCTTAAAACTATATGGTCATATTCTATACTGTGTTCCAAACAGTCCACTAAAAAGTGGAAGTTAAATCAAATGAGAAGGATATTAAGAAAAATGTATTCAAGTTATAATTTTATCATATCGATTAGTGTTAAGTGGTTAATCTCACAAACAACCAAGCCACTGAAGAAGGTGAAAGTTTGGGAAACAGATGGTTGAGAGACATTTTTTGGTAGCAGTTTCATTACACCCACCTCGCAAGTACAGGTAATTCTTCGAGGATGAGGGGCTTCCTGTTGTAGCTGATATACTGTGAGAAGGTAGAAACAAAAAGTGTCAATGTCCCTTACATAGAACTTATCAATATATTAGAAATAAAAACCTGGCTGCTTTTTATGTTCACAAGAAAACTGGTATAACCTTATTTACTAAATTGTGTTATGAACAAAACAAAAAAAGTAAACAAAACTACATATAGTGAAAGCCCAGGAGCAATTCAAACAGAAAAATCATAATCCAAACAAGTGTCTTTTTACCTTATAACAAGTCAGTGCTGGATATTTGGCTCTGTTCTCCATAATCTGGTCATTTATTTTCCCCAGTTCTTTGTGGGGATATTAAAGGATGTCTATGATATAAACCAATAATGGTTATATATACATATATTTAAAGCATGTTATTAAGTGTCAACCTTGAAACTAAAATCAAGATTTATAGGCTAAATGTAACGAACACACTATTTATATTGCAAACATCTATCTTCAAAGATAATTTTCCTCTTCCCCTAAAAACAAAAGGTCTGAGCCAAAGTTACCACTGCTTATTCAACTAGGGCAAATATAGCAAAAGAAAGAATTCAGATATTCAAATAACTTGCCAAAAGAGGGAATCATTTTTAGGGCATCTGAAAATGCATCAGTGAAAATTATACTGATACCATGACTTCCTTCTAGCCTCACTTCAGGCTTTTTTATTTAAAATGAAAAAAGAATGAATAGGATGTGTGGCTATATATGTCTAAGTTTATCTCTTAGAGATTTTTTTTTCTATTTCTACATATATAATCACATATAATTTAATACTCTAAATACTTAAGATATTTTGTCAACATAACATCAAACTACCCAGTAATCTGGGACTGTCAGATAACGGATGACTCAGATTTCAAATGGATATGATTACACGGACTCTACTTCTGACCACATTCATTCATATACATCATAGGGACATATATAGAATAAATACAATTAGACTATACACACATACATAATTAGCCTGTGTGTGTGTGTGTGTGTGTGTATATATATATAAATGTGTGTGTATATATATACTATCTCTCTCTACACACACACACAGTGAACACACACACATACACGTAACTGTGAGTACTTCTATGCAAAGGGGATACAGCACTGGGGTTAAGAATTTGAACTCTTGAACCAAACCATCTGGAGTCTGAACACTGGGGCTCTGTCACTAGCACTGCATTCTATGCCTTCATTTTCCTTATTTGCAAAATGGGATTAATAATAGTTTGTACTTCACAGATTACTTAAGGATATAAATAATTTATGTGAAAGATGTAAAATAGTCCCTAGCACACAGTAAATGCTCAATGAAGACTACTTATTATTATACATAGGTGATTGATATTAATACATAAAATTCTTTATAATAATACTTGATTACTAGGATGCATCTTGAGTTCATCACTAAAACATAGTATCAGGGCAATGCTATAATTTAAAAGGAACTGAGAAAATACAGCTTTATTGTTTAAAAATCAAACACAAAGCCACTTCATCAGGAATGTTTAAATTCTACTGGTAGAAATGTATTCCTTTACCTTTTTCTCCTGATGGCAAAAATCCCTAAGAGAGGTAATACATTGAAACAGTTTTAGATACCCATATTTCATTGTGAGAGTTAATAAGAAATATTCCTGTGAATATAGTTTTATATATTGTTACAGAGATGACAAAAAGGGAGTTAATTCTGAGGTAGAAAAGGGAAGAAAAAGCACTAAAGTCAAATTTGTCTGGCCCTGATAATGAAAAGTACATGTGTATCACCCCATGATATGTGTAAATCTCCATCCTCCTTAAAAATGGCCAAACCATGATTTGTAAGAAAGAAGGATTCTTCAAGGGCCAGGCACAGTGGCTCACACTTGTAATCCCAGCACTTTGGGAGGCCAAGGTGGGAGGATCATTTGAGCTCAAGAGACCAGCCTGGCAACATAGCGAGACCCTGTCTCTAAAAAATGTAAAAAAAAAAAAAAAAAAAAAAAAAATTCTTCAAGTCCATTCCTCCATATTGGTACCTATAAGGTAAAAATTTAGTTCACGTTTCTACTTTGATCAGTAATTCTCAAAATATTGGTATTTTCCTTTGTCAAGAAAATGCTCTGGAAAGTGCTGCCATCTATGAAAACCCAATTCTGAGAACTGAATGATAGTCAAGAAGAACATTAAAAGTTAATACAGAAAGTAAAATGTCGATTTTGACTCAAAGCACAAATACTGTAGTATCTGGTTATCAGCAGTAAGCATTTGCCTGTTCAGTAAGCATACATTAAGATGAGCCACTATGAAAAAAAGGGAGACAATATTGTCATATGAGAATTGATGTGGGTTTCAAATTTGCTTTCATCAGAGTTTCAAAGGGTATATAGTATTTTCTTAACATTAAGTCACATAAGGTTATTTACTTTTCAATTTCTTTCAAATCCTTCTAATCGTCTCAAAGGATAAAGCTCTGTTTCATAACGAGGAACTTTTAGACAAATGCCTCCTGATTGGCTACCAGTGGTTACTAACAGTTAATCTATCTTTAAGACTCTTTTTTTTTTTAATTTTTTTTTTTTTTTGAGACAGTGTCTCACTTGGTCACCCAGGCTGGAGTGCAGTGGCACACACATGACTCACTGCAGCCTCAACCTCCCGAGTTCAAGCAAGCCTTATGCCGCAGAACCCAAGTAGCTGGGACTACAGGCACACACCACCACGTCAAGCTAATTTTTGTATTTTTTATAGAGACCGGGTTTCACCATCTTGCCCAGGCTGGTCTCAAACTCCTGAGCTCAAGTGATACTCCCACCTTGGCTTCTTAAAATGCTGGGATTACAGGTGTGAGCCACTGTGCCTAGTCAAGTCTTGGATATTTTATAACAAATATAACAAATTTGGATTCAAAAAACACCTATCAAAAAGATCATTAAAAAGTTATACAAAGTAATGAGGTCTAATTCAGGTCCTTCTCTCTCAGTTTGGAATTTCTGATAATTTGAATTGGAACTCAGCTGAATTTAAATAAGCACAATCATTAAATGATTCACCAAAAATTAATAGCTAAATTCAAGATGAGGGAATATATGATTAAAGTACTTAATATTTTCAGTCACCTTAGAAGTGTCAATGAGTATATACTTATTAATGAAATTCTCAATCCCTACAGACAATAAATTGTTCATCAAGTCCAAAGATCACAAATTGGTATCTTGAAGTCAAAATTGGTCCACATGTGTTTTGTTTGCTGTCTTTTACATTTGAGTAGGTTTTTAACATTAAAAAATTAAGAAACTTAAGGACAACAAAAGCAAAAGAGAATTCCAGCCTCTTTTGAAAACTCAGATCTGGCAATAATGAACCCAGAGTCTAACATGACAATAAAAGGAGCTAATTTTGAGCTACTCTCTACAGACAAGGTCTCCACGGTCAACTTACTCATAGTCCTAATCTGGCTTGCTTGCCTCATTTATTACATGTAAGGTTCCTGGTTTAATTCACACAATAAGTACTGAAAAGCGACAAAACCGTATTTGTTTAAAAAGAGTCCACAACTTAGACTTCTTGCTAATTTTACTTCCCTATTGGTTTATATTTGTAAGACTTCAGAGTTACATTTTTACAAGATCAATGGAACTAACAGTAGGAAGTACAAGATAGGCATGGGTAAAATAAGTTTCTTCTAGAATCAAATTGTGAAATGCTGTTCAGATTCCACCATGCCAAAGATAGAAAAACAAAACACACTAACATGTAGCAACTTTTGACATTAAATTAAATCATCTTGTTTACTTTTATAGATCTATTACAGAAGTGAACAATTAGAACTCCTTGAATAGCTTTCAATGGGTGTGCCACCTTACATGAATTGACATACCTAATTATTTTTAAAATTTCAGCCCATTTCTATTTTATTACCATTTTAAGAATTTTTAATAACTAAATTTAAGTCACATCACAGAGATGCTGAAGCATTACAGTTTGTCGGTCCCAAAGACTATTAGTAGAAAATATTGTCAATTATCAATTCTAAACTATATATATATCTGGCCTAAGATTGTCATGGCTCACATATTAAGGATACTGAACAATGCCTACTACCTCAGTTATTTAAAATTCCAGTCTCTATTGATGAAGTCAGGGTATAACAGGTCGGTCAGTCTTTAAAATTTTTCCTACTAAAATATAAAGATTCCTAAGAGATGAAGTCCTTAAGGTACAATTAATAAACATCTTACTGAAGATTATTTAGAGCTGGTTGTAAAAACTGTAAAACTGTCTTGAGTGGTAAAAGATAATATAAACAAAAAGTTCAACTTAATCACATTTTTTTCTAAGATCAGAATTTGACAAACACATTAACCATCTATATGATCATAAAAAGTCATCGTTAGAATGCATTTATTTATTTAACATGAATGAATAAATGAATGAGACAGGGTCTGGAGTTCAGAGTACTGATCACAACTCACTGCAGCCTCCATACCCCTTGGGCCCAAGTAATCCTCCCACCTCCACCTCCCAAGTAGCTGGGAAGCAGTTCCTCCCACCTCCACCTCCCAAGTAGCTGGGACCACAGGAGTACAACACCATGCCCAGCTAATGTTTTTATTTCTTATTTTTTGGTAGAGATGGGATCCGCCTAAATTGGCCAGGCTGGCCTCAAACTCCTGGGCTCAAGTGATCCTCCCACCTCAGTCTCCCCAGACTACTAGGATTACAGGCCTGAGTCACCAAGCCTGGCTGCAATTTTTATGTTTCCTCATTTGTTAAAATTTGCACATACTCAAATCTTGGAAGATTAATATCATAATCTTATAAGAAAATTTCTAAAAAGGATTTTTCCACTTGCTTTTAACATAGTTTAATTATAAAATTTCCTTGACTCAGAAGTTTTTTTCATGTGACAAATGAAAAAGTCAAAAGATAAAATATCTATTTTAATAATTTCCTACACATTTCTACTGTTAAAATGATTACGGGGAGTTCAGACATTGAAGTCATTAAGAGAAATGATAAAACTCCGTAACAGAACTGTAGTCTTATTAAAGAAAGATTCAGCTGGGCACAGTGGCTCACACCTATAATCCCAACACTTGGGAGGCCAAGGAGGCAGGATCACTTGAGGTCGGGAGTTGGAGACCTTCCTGGGCAACACAGTGAGACCTCGTAGTCTACAAAATAAAATTTTTAAAAATCAACCTGTGGTCACAGCTACTCAGGAGGTTGAAGTGGGAGGATCACTTGAGCCCAGGGGGTCAAGGCTGTAGCGTGCCAAGATTGCGCCACTGCACACCAGCCTGGGCGACAAAGCAATAGCCTATCTCTCTCTTTTTTTTTTTAATGTCTTTTTTTTTTGACATAGTTTTGCTCTTCACTGTTGTTGTCCAGGCTGGAGTGCAAAGGTGCGATCTCAGCTCACTGTAGTCTCTGCCTCTCAGGTACAAGTGATTCTCCTGTCTCAGCCTCCCAAGTAGCTGGGATTACAGGCATGCACCACTACACCCAGCTAATTTTTTGGTATTTAGTAGAGACGGGTTTCACCATGTTAGGCTGGTCACAAATTCCTGACCTCAGGTGATCCACCCACCTCAGCCTCCCAAAGTGTTGGGATTACATAAATGCCATATTTTAAAACAAATGATAGCTACTGCAAGACATGCGAGATATGTGAAGCTACAAAAAATACCAGTTGCATATACTACATTTACTAATTGATATTTTTCATGGAGGAAAAGATCACTACAAACTCAATAATAGTCTGAGGCTTCATAAATGTTCTTACATTAAAAATGTGCAGGGTGCAAGTCAGAGTCAGGGAATAAAGATAAACTGAAAACCAGAAAATGCAGAGAAGTTTTTTTTTTTTTTTTTTTTGAGATGGAGTCTCGCTCTGTTGCCCAGGCTGGAGTGCAGTGGTGCGATCTTGGCTCACTGCAACCTCTGCCTCCCTGGTTCAAGCGATTCTCCTGCCTCAGCCTCCCAAGTAGGTGGGACTACAGGTGTGTGCCATCACGCCTAGCTAATTTTTGTATTTTCAGTAGAGATGGGTTTCACCATGTTGGCCAGGCTAGTCTCAAACTCCTGACCTCAGGCAATCCGCCTGCCTCTGCCTCCCAAAGTGCTGGGATTACAGGCATGAGCCACAGTGCCCGGCCAGAGAAGAATTTTAAATAGGCTTCCAGCCAATGAGATTATGAGACAAAATCTTTAGGAGGTAAAGAATATTAGTCATTTTTACACATTCGTATAACTATACTCCCAAGGGAAAAAGAAAAAGGCACTAGCAGCGTTGAGGGGAAGCATCTATGGCAATATTTTTAGAGACTGTTCATATTTTACTTATAATTAGCCCAAAGTGGCAACCTATTAAAAAAAAAATTATCTGTTCTGAGAACATAAGACCAATGAGAATCTGAATTGCTGTTCCTTCAGTCAGCAAATTTCAGCAACCTACAATCATCAGATTTATAATAAACCTCAGCATTTACAAAGATGTTAATCTATAATTAAAGAACAGGTTTCTTAGGCTGCTTATTCAACTACAGAAACAACGAACAAGAACTTATAGTGCTTTTCCATAATAATGCATTCATAAATTTTAAAAAACCATTTTGATTATATTAGCCCTATTTGAACTTTTAAAATCTGAAATATCCTTTACTTGGTGAAATAATATTCTCTAGAAAACAAGGAAAGGAAAATAAAGAACTAAAACCCTAGATGTTTAAAAAGAAATATCCTAACGCAGTTTAAAGAGCAGCATGGAATCAAGTATCTCCCTTATGTTTTGGGAAAGTAATTATTTAAAAGTTAGATCACCTTTTTTTGCCTCTTTTCACTTATTCTTTCTATCAACATAGCCTCCTGAATTATTGTCATTTAAATATTCCTTTCTTCACATAAAGAATCAGGACCTGAAAATAATTAGACTGTTTGAATTCTCAGTGTCTCCTTGTATTAGCTTCATTAGCCACTCTGAACAAGTGGTCTCAAGTTTCACTACATGGAATTCATATAAGCTCAGAGGGATGAAATGCATTCCAGACGGAAAACCATATACTGTACAGACTTTGTGTAAACACTTACTTAACCACAATTATTTCTATGCTACTCCCAAACCTTGTTTAAATTAATTTTTCAACAATGGGTACAAAATGGAATGAGTATTTCTATCTAATAATCCCATATTTTTATATTACTTATAAAGCACTATAACCCACACAATTATTTGTAGACTTACAGTAAGATTTCCAAACAGGAGGTCTATATTCATCTGTATCTGAAAGAAAAAACATCAAATTAACATTACTGAATATTTAAATTTTAAATGAGACATTTTAATCATTAACTCATTTAATATATATCTGTTGAGATCTATTTGTTCTAGGTATTGTGCTAGGCACTAAGGGGCATTCAAGGGTTTTTTTTTAGTCTTGGTCCTTACTTAGTTGGAGTAATTTTACAAAGATGTTTAAATAAAGTTACTGTATTTATTCAATTGCTAATTACATAAAAACATCAAGGTTAACTTTTACTGCTGGTACTCATTTCTTACTATCACTGAAGTAATAGTCAATAAAGGCTTTGTTTCTTTGGGCTTAATGATTATTTCACTGAAAGATCCCTAAAATTATTGAATTTTTCTTTTTCAGTCAAATTCACCAGATTAATCATTTTAATCACCGCAAAAGTTAAGTATTTCTATTATTTTCCCCCGTTACATTTGGGGGATTCCAATGTACATGGTTTTACTAACATGAAGAAAGAAGGAACAGCAAGGTTCAGATCTCAGTCCTCACACATCCTGGACAATCAAAACCAGGAAATGAGAAACACTTCAATGGAAGAGAGTGTATCTAGGGAACCACAACGAACATGAGGTGAACATCTGCTCTTCAAGTCCATTTCCCCTCATGTTGCCTGAGTGCAGATGTAGGAGACAGTATAAATAGGAAGTGGAAAGAGATGGAAATACAAACACATGACGGACGTGGAGTTATCAGAGAAAGAAGAAGGGGCCAGTGTAGCTTCTGGCTACGCTGTGTGGCTTCTCATCAGTAAAGCATAGCTGGGGACTAATTTTTGCCAGTCAAAAGCTCTGCCTGCAAGACTATATAGCCACGACTGCAGAAACATTTTTTGGTATAGAAAGGTATGGCCAGCCACATCACCTGGCTCTGCTGGAAACCAACATGAACCCATTAGGCAATCTGATCCAAAAATTTTGATCTCCAAGGAAGCAAAAAAAAAAAAAAAATCCCTGGAAAGTTTATTGAGAAGACTAAACAAGTAGCTCAGGTAAAATGGTCATAGACATAAGACATTCAGCCTCCAATCTGCAACCTTTAAACTGCAATATCACACTTCATTTATAATGTGTTATCATAAACCACACAAATACTTTGAGAAAAAGGGTTACAGCAAGACTGCTAATAGTGGGCATAAGAACATAACATGGAAATTTTAAATCATGTGGAAATTGCTTGGCACCCCATAGAGTGTTCAAATATGTCTGCTTCAAGAGAAAGAAATAATGGGCATCCAAATTGGTAAGTCAAACTGTTGTTGTTTGCTGATGACATGATCGCACACCTAGAAAACCCTAAATACTCATCCAAAAAGCTCCTAGAACTGGTAAATGAATTCAGCAAAGTTTCCAAAGTTAATGTACACAAATCAGTAGCTCTGCTATACACCAACTGTGACCAAGCTGAGAATCAAGTCAAGAACTCAATCTCTTATACAAAAGCTGCAAAAAACAAACAAAAAACAAAAACAAAAACCAAAAAAACTTAGGAATACACATAACCAAGGAGGTGAAAGACCTCTGCAAGGAAAACTGCAAAACACTACTGAAAGAAATCATAGATGAAACAAACAAATGGAAACACATCCCATGCTCACGGATGCATAGCATCAATATTGTGAAAATGACCATACTACCAAAAGTAATCTGCAAATTCAATGCAACTCCCATCAAAATACCACCATTATTCTTCACAGAACTAGAAAACACAATCCTAAAATTCATATGGAACCAAAAGAGAGCCTGCACAGCCATAGCAAGACTATGCAAAAAGAACAAATCTGAAGGCATTACATTACCCAGTTTCAAACTATACTATAAGGCCATAGTTACCAAAACAGCATAGTACTGGTATCAAAATAAGGATATGGACCAGTGAAACAGAATAGAGAATCCAGAAATAAAGCCAAATACTTACAGCCAACTGACCTTCAACAAAGCAAACAAAAACATTAAGTGGGGAAAGGATACCCTAATTCAACAAATGGTGCTGGGAAAATTGGCAAGCCACATGTAGAAGAACAAAAGTGGATCCTCGTTTCTCACCCTATACAAAAATCAACTCAAGATGGATCAAAGACTTAAATTTAAGACCTGAAATCATAAAAATTCTAGAAGATAACATTGGAAAACCCCTTCTAGATACTGGCTTAGGCAAAGACTTCATGACCAAGAACCCAAAAGCAAACGGAACAAAAGCAAAGATAAATAGATGGAACTTAATTAAATGAAAAAGTTTCTTCATAGCAAAAGAAATAATCAGCAAAGCAAACAGACAACCCACAGAATAGGAGAAATCTTCACAATCTATACATCCGACAAAGGACTAATATCCAGAATCTACAAGGAACTCAAACAAATCAGCAAGAACAAAACAAGCAATCCCATCAAAAAGTGGGCTAAGGACATGAATAAACAATTTTTAAAAGATGATATACAAATAGTCAACAAACATGAAAAAATGTTCAACATCACTAATTATCAGGGAAATGCAAATCAAAACCCCAATATGTTAACACCTCACTCCTACAAGAGTGGCCATAATTAAAAAATCAAAAAATAATAAATGGTGTGGATGTGGTGAAAGGGAATACTTTTACACTGTTGGTGGGAATGTAAACTAGTACAATCACTATGGAAAACCGTGTGGAGATTCCTTAAAGAACTAAAAGTAGATCTACCATTTGATCCAGTAATTCCACTCCTGGGTATCTACCCAGAAGAAAAGAAGTCATTATATGAAAAAGACACTTGCACACGCATGTTTATAGCAGCACAATTCACAAATGCAAAGATATGGAACCAGCCCAAATGCCCATCAATCAACAAGTGGATAAAGAAAATGCGGTATATACATCTATATATCTATATATATAGATCTATAGATCTATAGATCTAATATAGATCTATATATCTCTATATATCTATGTCTATATATCTCTATATATCTATATCTATATATATATATATAATTGATATATATATATATCTATATAGATATAGATATATAGAGATAAATAGATAGACATATATATATACACACCATGGAATACAACTCAGCCATAAAACAGAATGAAATAATGGCATTTGCAGCAGTTCAGGTGAACTTACCCAGATGGAATTGGAGACCATTATTTTAAGTGAAGTAACTCAGGAATGGAAAACCAAACGTCATATGTTCTCACTTACAGGAGGGAGTTAAGCTATGAGGACACAAAGGCATAAGAATGATACAATGGACTTTGGGGAGTGAGGGGAAAGGATGGACGGGGAGAGGAATAAAAGACTACCCACTGGGTACAGTGTACAATGCTCGGGTGATAGGTGCACCAAATTCTCAGAAATCACCACTAAAGAACTTATTCATGTAACCAAACACCACCTAAAAATCTATAGAAATAAATAAATAAATTGAAAAACAAACAAATGAAAAATAAAATAAAATAAAATGTGGTATGTACACACCATGTAATACTAAACAGCCATAAAAAAGAATGAAATTATGTCCTTTGCAAAAATATGGAGGCAGCTGGAGGCCATTATCCTCAACAAACTAACACAGGAACAGAAAACCAAATACCGTTATCTTCTCACTTATAAGTGGAGCTAAGTATTGAGCACACAAGGATATAAATATGACACAATGTCTATTGTGGACTACTAGAAGGTGAGGAGAGGGGTGAGTTAAACTACCTATTAAGCACTATGCTCACTGCCAGGGTGACAGGACCTGTACTCCAAACCTCAGCATCATGCAATATTCTCATGTAACAAATCTGCACATGTATCCCCATATCTAAAATAAAAGTTGAAAATTAAAAAACAATTGTGGAAAACTTAAAGACATAGAGGAAATCTTGGAAGAAGAAGAAAAATAACTTTTCCATTGGAGAATAATGATAAGAATTACAAGTAGACTTCTCACTAGAAACCATAAAAGCATTGAGAGAGGAGTAAAATATCCAAAATGTTGAAGAAAGAAAAAATAACAACCCCAAATTTTATATCCACTAGAATTATCCTTCAAATCAGAAGGAAAGATAAAGACTTTCTCAGAAAAACAACAAATGAGAGAACTCAACACAACAAACCTGGCCAAAAATAAATGTTAGAAGAAATTCTTCAAAAACAGAGGGAAAAGGATGTAAGTCAGAAACTCAAATCTACATAAAGAAAGAGCATCAGAGAAGGAATATATGATGGTAAAATGAAAAAACAAAACACACACACAAATATGTCTGCTCAAAGAATGAATAACAGGCCGGGCGTGGTGGCTCACACCTGTAATCCCAGAACTTTGGGAGGCCAAGAGGGGCGGGTCACCTGAGGTGAGGAACTCGAGACCAGCCTTGGCCAACATGATGAAACCCCATCTCTACTAAAAATACAATCATTAGCTGGGCGTGGTGGCAGGTACCTGTACCCCAGCTACTCAGGAGGCTGAGGCAGGGAGAACTGCTTGAACCCAGTGGGCAGAGGCTGCAGTGAGCTGAGATCACACCACTGCTCTCCAGCCTGGGTGACAGAGCAAGACTCCATCTCAAAAAAAAAAAAAAAAGAATGAATAACAGATTACATGAATAAATGAATAATGAATGAAATAATGCAGCAAATAGAGTCATTTCTTATTATTCACAGTAATTATATGCTATGAAGTTACCTCGAACACTGAATTTAGCAGCAAATACTGAACCACTGCTCCTGGGGGCAACACAGGGTTAGGTTCCTGTGTGCCTCTGGTCACAACATTTTCATCAACCATTAAATACATAACCTTGTGTTATATGTGTATCTCTTTAAAGACACCTTATTTCGTATATACCGTTGATTCATTAACACTGAACTCACAGCAACAACACTGGAACTCATGCCTGTATGAAGCTTATCTAACACATGCATACTCTCCAAAAGATGTATCACAGCCTTCTTGCTCTTAGGAACACTGTCTAGACAGCACTTTAGCACGAGGCTTGGGGACCATTTTAAATGGCAAAATCACTAAGAACAACAACAATAAAATCCCACAAAAATGTAAAAAAGTGTGGCCCTGAAAAGACCATGAAAAGAGGACTTGTTTACAGCGTGAGAGCTGAAACAAGGCGGAGAACTGCCTTGCTTGGCCACAGCCGGGAACAGGCAGGTCATATGACTCAAATTTTTTACTTCTCTGTGATTATTTGCAAGTGACCACAATGCCTCTGCTAGGGTGTGTGTGTTGGGGGGGGGGGCAGTTAATTATATTGAAGTTTGTCTTAATAAGTAAACCATAATTAACTCAATTGTATTTTTAATACTAGAAAAAATTTGCCTGTAAGCATTCAAGTCATGTTATTATTTCCTTGATATTCTGCTGTTATTATAATTCAATCCTAAGGAGTATGACGTGGAGCGAGTTTCCAGTTTATAACAGGACACCCATATTCTATGTGTGTCTCCACTTCCTTGTGGGGCTCCAAACCATAAGAGGTGGTGACCAGGTACCTCCTGATCCACTGTGAGGGGCTAGGAAGGGAGGGAGCACTCAATGAGACTGGGACCCTATCTAGTAAATAATTTAATCTTGTCTCAGAAGAGGTCTAGACCTTGCCTTCAAAGATAATTTTTGTTTGCCTGGGGCCAGCCAGAGAGTAACTTGGGGCTTTGGGTCACTGGTATCAGTTAAGGAACCACATGGACAGTCAATCAACCATGCTTATGCAATAAAGCCCCAATGAAAGCTCTGAACACCGAGGCCGGGAGAGCTTCTCTGGTTGGAAATATCCCACGTGGATCATCACACATAAATGCAAGAAGAAGCCAGCGACATAACTGTAATCCCAGCTACTCTGGAGGCTGAGGCAGGAGGACTGCTTGAGCCCAGGAGTTCAAGATCAGCCTGGGCACCAAGGAAGGAAGGAAAGGGAGGGAAGGGAGGAAGTAAGGAAGGAAGGACAGGAGGAGAGAAGGAAGGGAGGGAGGGAGGGTGGGCATGTGTCCTGACTCCAAGGAGAGAGGACAATGGAAACTCTGTGTTTTGCATTTCTCCTGGACGCTGTCCTGTGCCTGTCTTCCCCTGGCTGATTTTAATATGTATCCTTTCCCGGCAATAACCATGAATGTAAGTAATGTTTAGTGAGTTCTGTTGAGTCCTTCTAGTGAATTTTAGTCCATGAAGGTGGTTGGGGAACTCCCCCACTCAATTTGCAGTTGGTGTCAAAAGTGAGGGAAGTCTTGGAGATTTTGTAGTTGGCCCTAACGCCTCACAGACCCTGTGCAAAGCTGCACCTATGAGCCGTGAGGGCCTCCCGGAGATCATTCTGACTTTGGAGAAGGTGAGAAAGAAAGGCTAATTCTCAAAGTCCTTACTCTAAGAACTGTGTACTTAGTGCTAGGTGGCGCTTTCTTAGGGAACATCAACCTTTACTTGCTCTGTGACTTTAGAAAATTTACTACCTCTCTGCATCTTAATCTATTTATTTATAAAATGGAATAACAATATCATCTAAAATGGGAATAGTAACAACATAGGTTTGTTGTTGAGAATTAAATTAGGTATCATCTATAAAGCACCTTGTACTTAGGAGACCTTCAGTAAATAAGAACCCTCTCCTGCCTTCACCAAAAGTTATTCTGAAAACACAATATTACCATATTAGCCTCAAGCCGCTGTTAATGATTTCAGCCATGTATTCCCTTCTTACTATCTTGGTCTTCCATGTACACCTGCTCTGTTATAAAAGACATTATTCAAGATGCTACAGATCACAATCATGGCCAAATAAATTTAGTATTTGGCAAAAAAATAAGAAATATTAGGGGAAAAGTTTGAATTTCTTTTAATATTCTTTTAATATTTCTTTTAATATTAAAACAATTCTAATTAATGACATTTAAGAGCACTGTTTAGGTTTTAAATATATTTTCCTAGCAATCTATTTTTTGCTGGTAGAAGTCTAAACTGGCATAACCTCTCTGGAGAGCAATTAGCTATATATACCATAAGCTTAACTGTGTAACAGGTATCTATTAAGGCAGAGATTAGATGAGATGTTCTTTGAAGGAGAACACTTAAAAATTATTTTGGCCTTTCTTATGTTTATGGGTAGAGACCTTAGATCACTGGTGTGGATCCTTTTGCTGAGAGAAAAGCGGCTTGAATGTTCCTTTAGTTGACCAGTGGGTAGGTGCCACTGTCCTTAGGACTCAGGGGAGGAGGGGACACTGGGAGGGGAAAGTTGAATGGCTTAGGAAAAAGTGCCTCAATCTCTTGATATGCAGAATTAGTTGCTGAAGGCAGGAGGACCAATTTTCCAGGACGCTAAATCTTCCTGAAAAGGAAGAAACATTACCCCAATCTTTAATTCCTGAGATTCAAAATTAAAGAGTTCTGTCACAGAAGACACTCATAGCTCAAGCCAAGTCCCACTGGCAAGAAGAGGCAGAGACATTCCTGAAATAAAATGGCCTTGAAGAAGGAATAACTGAAACTGGTGATCTAAGGTCACACAAAAAGCTTCTGCGTTTATCAGGTAGGACAGATTCTGGCACAGCCTAAGGTGGATGCTGGAAGTGTCTCTGACCTCAGCCTCCCTGGTACACTAAATCCTTCAGTAAAAGAAAATGAACTTTTAAAAAACTGCAATCTTGACCTTCAACTGCGGTGACTGCTGTGACCTGGGCCATGGTCTGACCAGAAACAGGATCCTAGTGGCAGTTCAAGCAACTATTGCCAAACAGTGCAGGGCTGGTCTTAAATGCTGAGAAAAAATGATGATGGGAAGGAAGAGCAATAGTGTAGTTGGTTCTTTTTCTGGCATTTGGAGGCAGATGGGATGACTCTGGGACTGGGAAAGCCTCCTGGGGCTCAAACTTGGAGGCGGAGACTGTCTAAAAAGGAACATAATAAATTTCCTGCTGATTAATAGAAAAAAACATGAGAGTGTAACAGGTCATGCCAGTTCCTTCTGCATACCTTTAGACCCAGCAGTTCTATTTTTAGAAATTCATTGTAAACAATTAATTAAGGATGTTAGAAAAATATTAATACAGAAGAATATCACAATATTACTTTTAAAGACTAAAATACTGTACTCAACCTAAATGTCCAACAACTGAAAACCAGCTTAATCCATTATGATTAAGTATGATTAAGTATTCCAGTTTGAAGATACCTGGACTACATGAAAAGGACTTTACCTTTTAATCTCTTAGAAAGTGTGTTCTCTGTTATCTTAAATATTTTAAATCTTATAAACCAGTGGCTGTCAATCTTTTGGGTCTCAGAAATCTGGATTCTAAAGAGCTTTTAATATTTATTGATATTAGCCACACTGGAAATTAAAACACAGCTGGGGCCGGGCACGGTGGCTCATGCCTGTAATCCCAGCACTCTGGGAGGCCAAGGCGGGTGGATCACAAGGTCAGGGGTTCGAGACCAACCTGGTCTCTACTAAAAATACAAAAATCAGCCAGGCGTGGTGGTGCACACCTGTAGTCCCAGCTACTCGGGAGGCTGAGGTAGGAGAATCGTTTGAACCCAGGAGGCAGAGGTTGCAGTGAGCCGAGATCATGCCACTGTACTCTGACCTGGGCGACAGAGCGTGACTCCGTCTCAAAAAAAATGAAAATAAAAACACAGCTGGGCACAGTGGCTCATGCCTGTAATGTCAGCACTTTGGGAGGCTGAGGCAGGAGGATCACTTGAGTACAGGAGTTCAAGACCAGCCTGGGCAACAAGTGAGACCTTGTCTCTAGAAAAAAGACAAAAAGAAAAAAAAAATCAGGTGGCGCGTGACTGTAGTCCCAGCTACACAGGAAACTGGGGTGGAAGGATCACTTGAGCCCAGGAAGTGGAGGCTGCAGTAAGCTGTGTTTGTGCCACTGCACACTAGTCTGGGTGACACTGACGGAGGGAAGGAAGGAAGGGAGGAAGGGAAGGGAGGGAGGGAGGCAGGGAGGGAAGGAATGGAAGGAACAGAGGGAAGGGAGGGAAGGGAGGGAGGGAAGAAGGGAGGGAGGGAGGGAGGGAGGAAGGCAGGCAGGCAGGCAGAAACTTGAATCATATTTTTTTGTTAATTCATTTAAAAATAATTAGCCAGCTGGGTGTGGTGGCTCACACCTGTAATCCCAGCACTTTGGGAGGCCGATCACCTGAGGGTGGATCACCTGAGGTCGGGAGTTCAAAACCAGCCTGACCAACATGGAGAAACCCCGTCTCTACTAAAAATACAAAATTAGCCGGGCATGGTTGCAGGTGCCTGTAATCCCAGCTACTCGGGAGGCTGAGGCAGGAGAATCGCTTGAACCCGGGAGGCGGAGGTTGCAGTGAGGTGAGATTGCGCCATTGCACTCCAGCCTGGGCAAAAAGAGTGAAACTCCGTCTCAAAAATAAATAAATAAATAAAAATAAAAATAAAATTAAAAAAATAAAAATAATAAGCCTATTATATCTTAACATTTTTATGAAAAATAACCATATTTTTCAGAACAAAAAAATTGTTTTACATTCTGCAAATCTCTTTAATGTCTAGCCTAATACAAGACAGCTGGATTCTCATATCTACATCTGTTGTTATACCACATGCCATGTAGCTTCTAGAAGATTCAATTAGATACTAGCAAGAGAATGAGAGTGATGAAAATAATGTCTCAGTATTATTACAAAAATAGTCTTAACTTTGTAAAATCTCCCTCAGGAGTCCCTGGACCATGCTTTGAGAATGAGTATTTTAAACCGTAATTTCCTTGGCATATCTAGGATATGGGATAGAGTGGGGTTAATAAACATTTCATCGAGGGCCAGGCGCGGTGGCTCACGCCTGTAATCACAGCACTTTGTTAGGCCGAGGCAGACAGATCACGAGGTCAGGAGTTCAAGACCAGCCTGACCAACATGGTGAAACCCCGTCTCTACTAAAAATACGAAAATTAGCCGGGCGGGGTGGCGCGCGCCTATAATCCCAGCTACTCAGGAGGCTGAGGCAGGAGAATCGCTTGAACCTGGGAGGCGGAGGTTGCAGTGAGCCGAGATCACGCCACTGCATTCCAGCCTGGGCAACAGACCAAGACTCTGTCTCAAAAACAAACAAACAAACAAAGAAGAAATATTTCATCTAATAGAAGAAATACAAAAATTAGGAAGAGAAAAGAGAGAAAATTGTGTGTTCTTTTGGCAGAGAACAGCAGCTTGTTCAAAGTTATCCAGGGCTAATACTCCGAAAATGTTTGTGATTGCCTTCAGCTGAAGGTCTCAAGCGCTCACAACACCTCTTTTTGATTCTGTCAGAAAATCCGCCCAGACCCAGCTTATGAACCTGTCAAACTCCATCAGCAGAATATGACTGAGAATGAGAAGCAGATAACCTATGACTTAAGAATAGCTGCTTAAAATATCTTTATCATGGTATGGCTGGGCACGGTGGCTCACGCCTGCAATCCCAGCACTTTGGAAGGCCCGGGGGGGGGGGGGGGGGGGGCAGATCACCTGAGGTCAGGAGTTCGACACCAGCCTAGCCAACAGGGTGAAACCCGGCCTCTACTAAAAATACAAAAATTAGCCGGGCATGATGGCATGCATCTGTAATCCCTGCTACTCAGGAGGCTGAGGCAGGAGAATTGCTTGAACCAGGGAGGCAGAGGTTGCAGCGAGCCAAGATCGTGCCACTGCACTCCAGCCTGGGCAACAGAGCGAGACCCTGTCTCAAAAAATAATTATTATTATTATATACATATATCCTTATCATGATATGTACGACTATTTAAATTAAGTATATACCCATAAAATCTATTAAAAGGTTTTCTCCATTGCCATGAAGTGTCAGTAATACTTTTCATACCTAATATAAAAGATAATTTTATAAAAATATCAGTTATGCTGGCACACAGAAATGTTAAAATAATCAGAAAGTTTCATTCATTCAGTAATTACACATGAAACACCTTCTATGGGTGAGGGTGTCAGTTACGAGGCGGGTCCAGATATAGTTTGTGCCTTCAATGGCAGTAACAAAAATATGATGGATATTATTCACAAACAAGGCAATAAAGTAAGAGTAATAGAAGTTTTACAAACATTGTCTTGTCTAAATGCCTGGCAAGAATAGGTCTATAGTAAGTATTTGCTGAACTGATGAACGAATGGAAGGAAAGAAGGAATCACTTTTGGCCAGAGAGTCAAGAAACACATACCAGAAGAGGTATTATCCGACAAGACTCTTAAAGGATAGATGGTTTTTAAAATAAAGGGGCTGCGAATAACAGGCAGAAGGACACTAAACAGAGGAGAGAACACAGTGAAAAAGAGGGCAGAAACAAGAAAGTTCAGTACATGTTTGAGGAACTGCAAACAATGCAGAGTGGCTGAAATAAAGATATACTGAGGAAAGTTTGTGACTCAGGCCCTGGAGGGAACCTGGGCTGAGTTGTCAGGAGCCATCCACAAATAACGCACTATGAGTTCTTCTCTGGTTTGTATGTTCTTTCAATTAAATACTCAGCTATTTGAGGACAGAAGAATGCTGTAGTCAGGTCCAGCTCACTTCTCAAGAGTCGGAGAAAGCAAACCAGGCAACAGGAAAGCCAAAGACAGAAGACAACAAGCACAACTCATGGAGCCGACTCACAAGAGCACAAAGTAAGGAACTGAAAATTGCAGGTGGCAGCAAGGCCTGGGAAAGGGGAGAGAAGCTTCATGTCTAAGCTAGGTTCTGTGTGAGACATTCTCCTCGAGACTTGATGTAAAAACATAAACAAATCCATGAAAATGAAAGAAAAAGATGAGATCAAAATAAGCCTAAGTTAATTCGTATGTACAGTACAACCTTGTCAGAGAATTTTTTCATTTTTTTATAAATGAAAGAAAAGATATTCCTGTGTATATGTATGTGCATGTGTACACAGCAGGGAGAGAGAGGATGAAAGAACTAGAAAGACACACACTAGAAGGGTTAACAGTAGTGATCTCCAGATCAGCCTTTCTCCTCCTCTAAAGCAAGCCTGGATAATGTTTCAAGTGACTGTTTTCTTAGTTCTCCCAAGTATGGGAGATAACAAACTCTTTCTGGAAGCACAGGAGAGAAGTTACCTTATTACATGTAATGGATGTCCTATGGTCTTGGAGTATTATTCTCTCCTAGAACCAGGAGGAGAAAGGCCTCTCTATTATACAACGAATACATTACATTTGTGCTAACAGAGAACTATTAAAAACAAAAAAGTGTAAGTAAACTATCTGTAAGATGAAGAAAACATGGAAACTGAATCAGACAGAGAAAAGTCCTCTTTAACAAACTCCACAGGAGGCTCTAATTGTTTTAGGTGGGCTCTTGAACTGCATGTACTACCAGAGAAATCCCAGTCCAAGAGGCTTAAAAATCAGCTATAGCTTTGTGGCAAACTTACGCATAATAAAGCACCACATTCTTCTAAAGTCTTTGAATTCCCCCTCAGAATCCCTGTGGAGGTCTTCATTTACCTCTTCTGCCGGTTCTAATTGAATTTGCTGAATGTCAAGCATTTGTTATAGGAAATGAAAAACAGTTTCTTAATTAAATTTTCTTTCATTCTTGGTTAACTGCTAGAATTGCAAGTCAAGAAAACCTTATCTAAACATATTTTTATATATTCTATCATGTTTATGAAAAGCGATTCCAATTTTTCTTGCTTTTTTAAACTCAAAGGTATAGATTTTAAACAAGATTTAGTGTTAAACTCATTGTTGCCATAATCTTTTGTGCTGCTTTTTCTCTAAATATTAGTATTGTCAGGACATTCACTTTTCTTTAAATAACAAAAATTTCAAGATATCTGAGCCTTTAGGCAATGATTTTTAAAATCCCTAGTTAAATCCATCTTTGATATAATTTATAACATTATAGTTACTTAGGAGATACTCAAAAGTATTCATTTACTGACTGATAGGATTAAATTTACTTACAAATACCTTAATGTCCTGATTTTTTGGATTAATTTATAACATTTTATGACTAAATACATCTTCATGTTCTCTCCAATTAGATCCTATTTACATCCGCTATATCTATAGAAGTTGTTAAAAATGACCTCTGAAAACAAAAATTATTTCTTTCTTTTTATTATATATTCTTTTTGTATCATTATATAATCTATATCTTATGCATTCTTTGGTTTAGAATAATATTCCTCTGGTGAAGTTTAAACCTGCTTAACGTTTTACAAGTTAAACAGTTCATTCTAGAACAGACTAGAATGTTAAATTTAAGCTGTTTATTTTTTTAGGGCCAAACCAAAGGCTGTTACAACTTTTAAACAATATAATGAATTCTCAAAAAGGACTATATTGCATTTTAAATGTTTAGACAAATGACCTATGAACACTCAAAAATTGTGATTTAGGTTTTAAAGCATATTAGTTTCAGATTGCCTTTGGTTTGAAAATTAACAATTTTGAATTGTATAAACAGAATGACATTTATTAGCAAGAAAAAAGACCATTTCTTCCCTTCAAATGAAGAGTCGCCTTTCAACCAACTGGTGAGATTTCCTGTACTGCTTTAATCCAAAAATGTACGGCAATAATAATTAATCCCCACCTGTTGCTGTTCTGTTTCGGTTCAATATTTAGACACACCAAAATAATGACATGCTTAAACTCTTATTTGACTATAAAGTGATTTTTGAAACAAGGGCATAAACAGTAAACACCAAACAAACAACTACTATAGTTAATATGTGAAAGAGTCACAAAGAAAACATCCAAGCTCTTTAATGAAGTTTCTTGGAAAACAAAAATTCACAGTGAAAATGGCTCCTAATAACATACACGATTCTAAACTAATGAGAAACAAAAATGAGCCTTGCTAGGTTTCTAGGTATCTCACATCCTGACTAAACTTCTTTCCTAGAAGATGCTTCAAAATGTGGAAAGAAGGCATTACAACTAAGATAATTAAAATTCACTCTGCAAAGTCATGGCCAAATCAGGTCAGTTAAATTCACCCTTAGAAGCAACGAAGTCATTTAAAATTGTTCCAAGTTGAAAACTGATGTGTCATGATTCAACTCTGATGGAAATAAACTATTTTTAAAACAAAAGACAATTATTTTTAATTCTTCAGAGAATAGTGACCCAGAACCGTTAATACTCAGGAAGAAAAAAAAAAACAAACACTTCTGAAACTGTGCAACTACAGTGCTCACATTAACTTCATCAAAGATCACAGAAAAAAATATTTTGTAAATGCAGTGCTCAATTCCTGACCACGGACCCACAGCCTGGGCAAACAAAGCCTCTTAAATGAAACGTGAAGCAAATTTGGAAACCTCTCCTATTTAAAACTAAAGCTTGGTCTTTAATAAAAGACCTAAGCAGTTTCCTGTAACCAGCTTGGCAGACCTAGCAAACAGATTACACAAAGTCCTTCTGCTTACTCAAATCTTTCACTATACTCCTGAAAACAAAAAGCTATACACAGGAAATGGGTCATTTAACTCAATCCAAAGGTAAAAGAGTGTCATTCTCCAACCTACTAATTCTTCTAGACAAGTCAAATCTGAGGTGAGAAGAAGAGAACTTCTGATAATGTTTCTCCTGACATGTCGGCATATTTACAGAAAGTCCTCAGACAGGCCTGTTTACCTACAGGATTTCCAAAAGGGAACTTCAAGATGATGTTTAATTCCTGTCAGTCCTCTCAATGATATCTCAGCATTCCCAACTGGTTCCCATTTGGATTTTGTTGGGTACATTTCAAAAACTCATCATTAATAATATAATACATTCCCTGAAACCATCTGCCCCAGAAAATAGAATGCGCAAAACTCGATAACGACAATAAAGTAGATCCTTCTACTTCTCTGCATCTCACGTCTAAAATGCGGCTGGGTGCGGGGACTCACACCTGTAATCCCAGCACTTTGGGAGGCTGAGGCAGCGGATCACTTGAGCTCAGGAGTTCAAGACCAGCCTGGGCAATGTGGAGAAACCCCGTCTCTACAAAAAATACAAAAATTAATCAGGTGTAGTGGCATGCATCTGTAGTCCCAGCTACTGGGGTAGGAGGCAGGAGTGGCATGCAGGGAGGATTGCTCGAGCCAGGAAGGTCGAGACTGCAGGGAGCCCAGACGACATCATTGCACTCTAGCCTGGGCAACAGAGTGAGATCCTGTCTCAAAAATTAAATTAAATTAAATTAAAATGCAATATGTTTATGAAGTCTTTATAATTCATCCTTAAAAGAATATACTACGTTATATATGTTTTACTACAACAAAATAATATGCTTGATGAACATTTTTTCCAATGTTCGTGTTCCAATGTTCATGTTCCAATGTTTCCATTTTTTCCAATTCAACAACTTAGACTTTTAACCATTCATAGCACTTGAAATTCCAGATATTAAAAAAATGTAACCATACGAACACTCTTTGGAGAATTTTTACTTTTTATAAGTACAAGTTCTGGAAAATAATCAACTATACTTTTAGTGGAGATTTTCCTTGTCAGTTATCTTTCCAACTGTAATTCAGTGGTCTCAGATAACCCTCACCTCCTTCAGCAGACCCACTATATAACCTCCTTAACCTTTTCTTAAAAGAAAAATTGCAAATGATGTTTTTCTTCTTGCTATTATTCATTCTTTGGCAGAAATTATTCCTAACCCATGCTTTCCCCATACTCCAACATAGTTTTGTAGCACTGACCTACTTGGATTCTTGCCCTTGGAACAGGAATCGATCATATTCCCTGGCCTGGGAGTATTTAAAGTAGTGTGTTTATTAGAATGTGCATTATTCTGCAATGCGGATTCACAGGATTTTCCAATGAGAGTCAATATATCATTTTGCCAGCAGGCATTAAAATAGCAACCCTTCAAAGTCTTCCTTACATCCATGTTTTCAAGCTTTATCAAAAGGACAGTTGCTCAGAAAGTAAGATAAACTAACGCTTACATGAAACTATTGGGAAAAGAGAGATAAGGCTCCTATTACTAATACTCACATCACAGGTAACTGAGATGGGAAAAGACCACAACATTTTTCATCTTATTTTGATCATTTCCAAATGCATTTCTTTTAAACTGGATATCTCTGGGAAAACCACTCAGTCACTAAGGAAAAAAAAAGTGGATTCTAAGGAACACAGAGAGGTTTGCCTTAGATTATAAACTGTAGAGCCAAATGTGGAATAAGGCAGCTCACAGCTGTAAGGAAGAAAGCAAAGTCAGACATGGAAGTAATACTGTGGCAACCACAAATGAGCGGAGTTGGATAATTCTAAAGCACGTTAACTATCCTAAAGTATAGTAAAATGCTTGGCATCTTTTAATTAACTATGCTTTTATGGCATACACAACAGAATAAGTTGCCAAGGGGCAAAAACTCTTTATAAATGAGAAACTGTGTTTCAAATTGATAGGTACTTGTTTTTCTTCCTGAGAGCAGAACCAGAATATGAAAGATCTGGGGCTGTAACGTTTCTTGCTGACACTTGCATGCAACAAGGCCTAAAATGAACATGTAATGGACTGGTTGTCTTGAAGAAGTTCCAGCAGTGTAGGGATATGAAAAACTAACAAGTATAATACCAACAAAGGTCCGTATTTTCTCAATTATAAAATCCAAATGCCTTCAAAAGTGGAAGTATTTTTATAACGCATTTGGCAGCAAAGCCTGGTCTGACCTGAACGTCAAAGTAATTTAATAACTCTTTATAACTCATTTGGTACCAAAAACCTCACCTGATCAATGTAAGAATATTTAGTCTTTATCCCATTGAATGTGACCATTTATTTCATTGCAGAAATACTAATGTGTGATTATAGAGTAATGCCTCAGACACTGTTTTGAATGTTATAAAATATACTATATATATGTGAAATGTACTACCTTTCTAAAGTCTGAAAAATCCTGCATTCCAGCACAAATCTGTCCCAAGGGTTTTGGATAAGGGATTACAGACCTGCTACTGTTATTAATATTTACAGCTGATCGTGTTAAAACATAAATCAGAATATGCCACTCTTCTGCTGCGTTCTCTCCAATGACTTCCTGTGTCTCTCAGAATAAAAGCCAAACTCTTTACAACTGCCTACAAAGACTGCTATTTAAAGAAGACCACAACAGTGGCATCATCTGGTAACTTGGAAATGCAGAAGTGCAGAACCCAACTCCCAACTACAAATCAGAATCTGCATTTTCACAAGACCAAGTCATGTGCACGCACACCAATTTTTCAGAAACACTGACCTACAAGACCTTGGGTGACCTGTCCCCACTAAGCCCCCGAGTTCATCTACTTCACTTCCTCTCACTCACTCTTCTCCAGCCTCTTTGTTCCTCTGCCATTCATCAGACATATAAGACACACTTCCACCTAGCTGTTTCTTCGGTCTAGAATCTTCCTGCCCAGGTGTCTCTATAGTTTGCTCCGTCACCTACTTCAGTTCTTGACTTAGTGAAGCCTTCCTTGTCATTTAAAAAGTTCAAAACCCCCTGACACTTCATACTCTTTTTTTTTTCTACTTAGTACTTCTTGCTATCTAAAATACTACATATTTTATCAATTTTATATTGTTGTTTGTCTCTCTACACCAGAAGGTAAGCTCGATGAGGGCAGGATTTTTTTGTCATCTGTTGTCACACTGCTGTGTTCTTACTGCCTAGAACAGTAATTGTCAGTGTGGTCTGTAAACACTTGTGGGTCACTAAGACCCTTTCAGGAGAGGTCCACAAAACCCAAACTATTTTAATAGTAATCTTAAGAAGGATTTTGCCTTTTTCACTACACTGACATTTGTACTGGTGGTACAAAAGCTATGCTGGGTAAAACAAAGCAGTGGCAATTAGGCTGTCACTGTACTTCACCAGTACACACTCACAGTAAAAAGAAAAATCGTTTAACCTAAGAAAGCCCTTGATGAAGCAGTTTTAAAGTATTGGTTTTGTTAAATTTTGATCCTTGAGTACACTTCTTTTGGTCATTCTGTTAAAAAAAAGTGAGAAGTGTGCATAAAGCACCATCTGTTGTTGTATACCAAGTATGATGGTTGTCTTGAAGAAAAGCACATCTGAGGTCATTGGGGTTGTGAGCTGAACTAGCTCCATTTTCATAATAGTCATTTCACTTGAAAGAAGGACTCACAAACTATGACTAATCAGACTTGGGTATTTAACAGGTATTTACTCCAGAATAAGCAAAGTAAGCTTGCGACTCCAACAAAAATAACTAACTGTATTTACTGCCAGTCACAAAAATTCAAGCTTTCAAGTGGAAATAAGAATTCAAGGAAACTTGTATCCACCACCATGAGCTTGACAGTTTGTTAATATTTAAAGATTTTTCCCATGAGATCGATGGTGATATTAAAGAACATGATTCTAAGATATATTGCATAATGAAATGTGTTAACATTCACAAGATTTACATAAATCAATGAATATTTTTGAAATGACAAACGTAGGATAATACAGTATCATGTGTGGGCAAAAGATCCAGTCAAATACAAGATAGAACAGGAGATCATAATGTACGAGAGTAAAAATGTCATTGATATGGTTTCAAAGTCTACATTGCAATTGACCTTTAAAAAACTACCACTTGTCAAGTGTTAGTGTAGTATCAAAGAAAGATATCTATAACTATTTGAAAAGATTATTAAAACACTGCCCTTTTTTCCAACTATATATCTGTATAAGGCCAGATTTTCTTCATATATCCCAAACAAAACAATATATTTCAAAAGCTGACTGCAAATAGAGAATCTAGCTCTCTCCTAAGCCAGACATTAAAGAGTTTATAAAAATGTAAAAGAATGACTCTTCTTACTACATTTAAAAATATAGTCATTTTTCGACTGGGCGTGGTGGCTCAAGCCTGTAATCCCAGCACTTTGGGAGGCTGAGGTGGGTGGATCACAAGGTCAGGAGATTGAGACCATCCTGGCTAACACGGTGAAACCCCGTCTCTACTAAAAATACAAAAAATAAGCCGAGCATGGTGGTGGGTGCCTGTAGTCCCAGCTACTCGGGAGGCTGAGGCAGGAGAATGGCATGAACCCGGGAGGCGGAGCTTGCAGTGAGCCGAGATCGTGCCACTGCACTCCAGCCTGGGTGACAGAGCGTGACTCCGTCTCTTAAAAAAAAAGTCATTTTTCATAAAATGTGTTATTTATGTTAACATGTAAGGAGTTTATTTTTTAATTGATAATTTTTAAAAACTTCTCAATTTTAATTTCAAATTCAGTAAATAGCAACACATATAACCCACATAACAAATGCACCTTAGGATTCTCAATGTTGTAGAATATAAATGGATCCTGAGATTTAAAAGTTTGAAAACCACTGGCCTAAAACAATAACTAGAACACAATAGTAAATTATGTTGCACTGAACACTTACAATGTGCCAGTCTTTTGTTAAATGTTTTTATACTTATTTATGTCTCAAAACAATGTTATAAGGTATTATTACTAGTACCATTTTATGCATGAGAAAACAAGTAATTGAGAGGGATCAAGGCACCTATTTAAAGTCACAAGGAGCAGAGCCAGTCCTTGAACCAAGATCATGTGCCTCCAGATCTCATACTCCTGACCAAAATTGATAGTATAATAAAGGAATGCTAAGTTAGAAACAAGGCAAACAGTGTCATCCTAGGTGACTACATCTAAAATTATCAAGGCAATAAGAAGAAGCCAAAATACAAAGCCAAATGAATTGGGGATTGAAGGGAGATAACCTAAGCAAGCTCATATGAGCAGGAGAAAGACCAGGTCACCTTCTCAGAGGCAGATGCAGATGCCTGAGGAAATACTTCAAGTGCAGTCCACAAGGGCCCGACAACTATCACTAGGCTAAACAATGAACAATAATAACCCTGAGGTATCTGGCTTCAAGCCCAGCTTCCAGGACAACAAGCTGGTATCCCTTATGGTCAGGTTCATTCACGATGCTATTAAAGTCTTCTCCTTGCTGCTACTGGTTTCCTTGTAGCTCAAGCTTGAGTATAACCTTCAATGAAATGTTTAGGATGTTCTCTGGTTCCCGTGTCCAAAAAGAGTTGTCATCTCACTCAAACCATCAAGTCCAAGAAATATCTTCTCTCTGACCCACGGCAGGGTGATATCCTGATGCTTCATCACTCCAATAAGCTTAGTGACAAGACAGGCACTTACTGTCTGCATCTCAAGAAGGAGTCCTGTAAGGTCAAGAACAGTAATCCCTAACCCAATTTCAAATTCCCCTAAGCTAAACATTCCTGCTAGAATATGCAGACAGACTTTCTAAAATCTTGGAATTTACACTTCCTGTAATATTTAGTCTATGAATCACTTTGTTGGGGATGATTAATAAATGAGTGATCTAGGATTGGGAAGAAAAAAAGAAGGTGAAGTGGGTGGCAGAGCAGTAGTCGTAGTTTGAGCTATGCAGCATTCAGACAATGGAAGTTGGAGCAAAGAAAGTAAAGTGAGATCTTGGAACTGTCCTCCTCACTCACTCTATTAGGAGGGAGGGAGGGTGGCCATAAAGTCAGGTTGATTCAGTGCCAAGGCTAAGCGTTATCACGTAAGGAATTATACTACATAACCTTATCAGAGAGAATGTTTAACAAATTCTGACTCAGCTATGCATAAGGAAGATCAGAAATAGAAAATATAACCCCTTAGTATGCATAATATCTGCATCCACAGAAAAAGTGAACTAATAAACATATTCTCCAAATTTTAAATGAGGGAGATCCTGAAAAGTTCCTAATATAATCACTGATATTCTCTTTTTCTAGTGTTCTATCCTCATTTTATATCAAATATAAAAAGAAAATTAAAGCTTTCATAGCTTTACTAGTGACCCAGGATCACCCTAACACTATTTTTGCCTTGAACTCTTCAGTTGTTCAACCACAAATTCTTCCACACTGGGTCATCACAGTAAAAGTCTAAGAGTTAGAAAGAGAATGCTGGATAACAATGATTATGCTCTCTGGTATCTTCCACAGTTGAATGGGCTACTGTGCAATCTGCATGCCTCCTTCCTACTATAACCCATGCTTCAACATATGATATGCAGAACTATCATGACAACATTTTGCCAGATCATGAAACAGAAAACATACATAATAAGCACAGTTATTCAGTGTTTTAGATGCCACAGAGCACTGTAAATCTTCCTGATGATATCAGTAGACCAACTCAGGCTGCTGGAAGCCCATTCACAAAACACGGTTTTTTCAGGAAGGGCAGAAACCTAGGCAGGAGGTGACAAAATATACTTCAAGGCCAGGGAAGCTAATGACTGAAAGTAAGTTCTGGGATATTTTCTATGCACAAGCAAAACAAGAGAAGACAAAGTGATGAAGAAGCAGCAGCAAAAGCAAGCAAAAGATGAAGGATGCCTGGGCACTTCACTTCTGGGTGCTCAGGAGGAAGAGAAGTTACACATTTTCAGCCAGGTTGATGTGAGTTTCAGGACTGACGATGTGGACCCACCCCACTTTGTGCTGCCAGCTTTGGCAGTGCAGGACAGCGGTGAGAAGTGTGGGCCCTGGAAGTCTGGAAACCTGTCTCTACCAGCACTTACTAATTGTGAGTCTGACCCAGGGCACGTCAATTGGACAAATGAATATTAGCTATTGTTATTGTTATTATTATTACCATCAAAAAACCTTTTACCTTTATTCCTGAAGTATCTGACATTAAGGAAATTTCCAGGGAAAGAAATATAGATGTAACTAGAAAGCTATATGAAGAAATATGTGAATTAAAGTACTACAAGGTATCTCTTATATGAACATATGTAAACAGAATACCTAGAGGTCTCAAGATATCATACTTTAAAGAATTTTCCAAAATGCCCTTATTTAGAAAATATTACTTCTTTTTTTCCCATTTCCACTTCAGGACTCAAAATACCGTGACAATGCCAAACATACTTCACATATGAAATGTTACAGTCCAATAGGTTTACTAAAATGGAAAGGTGGATAATCGGTTTGTTTTAAAATATTCAAATAGAGTCTTCTTTTAACTCCAGACTTGATGTGGATTTCTAATAAGCAATATTATTTGTTATTCAAAAAGCAGACTGAGTGATTTATGTCACGCAGCTGTGAACAAGCATTTTGTTGAAAATATCGTCTGCATGCTTTACTGCACTAACACTGTTGGAATGCCCGCAAGGATGCTGAATACTAGGAATTGAAAAGCAAAAGGTCATTGTCACTGGAAAATGAAAAAGTTATCTGATTCAAACCCACATCAAGCACAGACAAATGACAGCAATGAAAAAACATTTTCATGTGCTTTTACCAGTCTGCAAGAGAGAATTATTTATCTCTAATAAGACTTTTCAAATTCCCATAATATAACAAAAAAATGAATTTTTACTGTTCACAAGTGACAATTAGATCAAATTGTTTTCTCATAAATTTTTAAATATTGGCCTACTCTTCAAAGTCAAGGCAAATATGCTAGTAGTAAATGTTTTCCCAGCACCAATAAAATGTTCAAAAATAAGGGTAATAATAAAGGTAAATAAAATAAAGGTAAGAGTCATATACTTTTGTTCATATCATTAATAAACACACAACCATGAGATTGGTTTCCTTCATGCACATATAACATATATGAAATAATTTCAGAAAACTTGAGTTCTCAGTATATATGCCTGTAACTTTAAGTTCTGATTTTCTGCAAACAGGCCATAAGAAATAATTAATACACACACACACACACACACACACACACACACACACACAGAACAAATCGACACAAGCTACACTGACCACTGGAGTTAACTGTTGTAGCAATCTTGCCTAACAGACAAGGAAAATAATGTATGTATTTTACTGCTAAATGTAACATTTTCTGAAAGCATAAGAATTTCTAAGAAAACCCCTGGTGGCAAACAACTGCATATTATTAACTTCACTATTTTATTCCTCTACTGCTCAGTAGCAAAAAGCTGACACAATCATAATTAAGCTAAACTAACAATTTAAAAATATGTATTTATAGTATAAATGCAAGTACTTCCTCTAAAAGGGACATCTACTGGGGGGAAATGGTTCTTTGCATGTGTGTTTGAGAGCCAAATTTTCATTTCTTAGATTTTTTTAATTTTTAAAATATCCAAGCCTACTAAAACATTGAAAGAATAGTACAAGAAATCAGTATTCTTTCATCTAAATTCACTAATTGTTAGTACTTTGTCCTATTTGTTCTCCCTTCTCTATATTATGCCCTCCCCAAGCACTTCAAAGTAAGTTGCAGGCATGCAACACTTCACCTTTAAATCATTCAGCACTTACCTACTAAAAAAACAAGAACCTTCTTCAATACAACCACGAAAACATTATCACACCCAAGAAATTAACCCTCTGTACCTGGAAGAGCAGTCATTACCATTTACCACCCAGGTCCATAAGCTCTTTTAATTTATATAAATTTTAGCCAGGCAAAAAAAACAAAACAAACAAAAAAAAAAAAAACAGAAGCAATGATAAGCTAGAATCTATTTGATATAAACTAGATGTATTTGAAGCCTGGAATCAGTATTTACATAAATGGATATATCCCAGGTTCATACATGACAGAATTAATGAGCAGTTAGTTGATGAGACTTCAAAGAATGCTGCCCTTTTGGGATATATATCTTTAAAACAAACAAAAGTGGCTCACACCTGTAATCCCAGCACTTTGGGAGGCCGAGGTGGGCGGATCACGAGGTCAAGAGATCGAGATCATCCTGGCTAACATGGTGAAACCCCGTCTCTGCTAAAATACAAAAAAAAAAAATTAGCCGGGCATGGTGGCGGGTGTCTGTAGTCCCAGCTACTTGGGAGGCTGAGGCAGGTGAATGGTGTGAACCCGGGAGGCGGAGCTTGCAGTGAGCAGAGATCGCGCCACTGCTCTGTAGCCTGGGCCAACAGGGCAAGACTCCGTCTCAAAAAAAAAAAAAAAAAAAAAAAAAAAAGGACTAAGATTTTGGCTTTCCTGTTTAAATTTTTATTAAAATTTCTGCCATGTTATGTTTCACTATCCTTTTATTACATCTGTAAATTATTCATAAAATGACTTCAAATTTATATAAATTTCACCCAGGCTGGAGTGCAGTGGCACGATCTCGGCTCACTGCAACCTCCGCCTCCCGGGTTCAAGCAATTCTCCTGCCTCAGCCTCCCGAGTAGCTGGGATCACAGACGCCCACCACCATGCCGGGCTAATTTTTTCTATTTTTAGTACAGACGGGGTTTCACCATGTTGGCCAGCCTGATCTTGAACTCCTGACCTCAGGTAATCTGCCCACCTCTGCCTCCCAAAGTGCTGGATTACAGGCATGAGCCACCGCACCCAGCTGCTTCTGGTTTTGCTTGCACTTGCCCTGTCAAAATGCAATCAAGATTCCAGACTTCAAAAGTATCTTCATTAAATTCTAGTTTATCATTACTTCTGGTTTTTCCTCTTGCACTTGCATCTTCAAAACAGAATACCTTAAAGAACTCAGATGGCTCATAATTTTGTTGAAGAAAAGAGAGCCATCTTCTTTGCTCCATAATTGCAAAATATTTTTATTTTTAGATTTATAAAAACCAATTAAACTGATCAATCCAATAAAATCGTTCATTTCTATATCACTCATTTCCTTCCAGTCATTGTTATACACACACCTGTCTTTGGCATCTGTCCACTAAATAACCGCATCAAGTAAATTCTGGTGCACAAACATCATAAAAGATGAAAAAATACTGTCAATGGTCCTATTAGCAAACGGGATGGTCCAGCATCTTGCTGCAATAAAATCCTTCCTGTTGAATGACTATGTGAGTTTGAATACTATTTCTCCTTCTGTCCTTAGACACATTGTTCACTGTCAATTCTTGAGTTTGATGAAATTCACCTTAGACAACTAGGTTGGCAAACTTCTGTGAAGTTTCAGAAAGTAGATATTTTAGGCTGCAAAACAAACCCGCCTGTCTCAACGACTGAACTCTGCTTTTGTAGCAGAAAAGCAGCCATAGACAATATGTAAATTAGTGGACATGGCTTTCCTAATAAAACTCTGACCAGCTTGTCAACCTTAGACCTAGGATATCATCATCTGATAATCTATATTGACATTTCTTCTATATAATCAATTTAACCATTATCATTAGAGTCCAGAGTGCCATTACCTGTTCACCTGATTTGTCTAATAATTAGAAAAATCTTCCTCTGTCAAAGAATTGCTGTTTGCCAATATGGGCTGAAAATAAACAATTAAAAGTTTTCAACTGTGTTTAACAAAGTGTGTTCAATGAAAATTTAACAGACAACAAAGACAGTGTCTTCAGGCTGCCTTTATACCTTGTTGAAGATGATGCAACACCTTGGGCAACGCAATAAGAAAACTGAAGGATGACACAATCGGATCATGTATTTCACAAATACAGAATTCTTTTGTTTGATTTTTATGTTAGTCTTTTTACTTGTAGTATAATTGGGAGTAATTCATAAGCAATGAGCAAATAATTCCTAGGATGATGGAGTGGCAAAATGTTTCAGGATAAGATCACTAAAATCCCTTCATGAGGCTTACATTTCTAAAGGGACCTGTGTGGTAATTGCAAGATATAATGACTTTTGGCTGCTCCAATGGTAGTGGGTTATCAAAATTTATTAACATTAGTTCACTAAAGTTGATATATAACCCCCCATTGCTAAATCTGACTGGCTTTAAAATGAAAAAATAAATAAAATGTTTAAAAGATATAATGACTTTCATTCTATTAAAAACAGGTAAATTGTTTTCTTTGTTCTGTGGAAGACCTCTAAGAAAAAATAAAAGTAATGAAATGTCAAAGTATATAAAGATTTAGAACTGTTCAAAAAAGAAACTCAAAAATTAATATTGGGCAAAAAGGACCCTGATGGTATATTACAGTTTAAACATATCATCAAGTATTTCCAATTACGTGAAAAATGTTATTTTATTTTGTTCTTTGATCCAGGATCCAATCAAGGTTCATGCATTGCTTTTGGTTACCATGTCTCCTTAGTTAGCGTTCTTCAACCTAGAACATTTCCCACTCCTCTAGGTTTTAAAAACATCTTTCATGACAATGACATCTTTTTAAAAATCTAGACCAGCTGTCTTGTAGAATGTCCACAATCCGTATTTCTGTGATTATTTCCCCATGATTCAGATCAGGATCTGCTAGATAATTTGCAAGCCCCTTGTTCAAAAATTATTAAAAATTTCAAAATGGCAGCACAGGGCATTAAACAAAGAATGAGGTCTCTCTGCGTGTGGGCCCTGAGTGACTGCGTAGGTCACATGCCAATGAAGCCAGCCCTGATTCAGGTTAAACATTTCTACAAACCTACTTACTACACAGGTAATGGCTCATACTTTGCCCTGCACCACATTGAGAGACTAATCCATTTTGTAAATACTAATTCCAGGCTCCAAATGCATCTCTAATCAATTCTAGTTTATTGTTATTTCTGGTTCTTTTTTCACTTACATTTGTCAAAATGCAATAAAGATTCTGGATTTTAAATATATCTTTAATAACTTTTGATAGTGTGAAATGTAGCTAACGATACACAATCATTTTAAACTGTTCCCATCATGTTATCCTTTGTCCTTCCAGACTGACCAAACCAGTAATAAAATGTTTTCAAAATACTCTGGAAATTAGAATGATAGCCAGACCTTTAGTGACTGAAGAGAAAACAAATCTAGATCACCATCAATCAGATAAAATCTCATCCATTCACTCCTTCATTCATCCATTCATCAAACATGTATTAAGTACCAACTAGGGCTAAATTGCACAGAGAAAAACATGAGTAAAGTACAGTCTCTGTATTTGAGAATTCCATAGTTTAGGGTTGAAGAAAGACATTAAATAATCACAATGCAGCATGAGAAAAGCTAGACTAGGGTTGTTAATGGATACCAGAAGGATAGCCAATTTCAAGTCGAGGCATCATCATTTACTAAATTTTATGAACAGTCAAGATATTTTACAGTGGAATTACAATGAAAGAAAGCACTTTGAAAATAAAATTATTAAGTAATATAGGAAAATGAGAGGTGTTAGCCTTATCAACCATAATAACTTGTTATTGGAATTTTTACATAGAATAATTATTCCACTTGATAAAATACTCAGCAATGGAAGGTTTTCTGGATTGCACACTTATCTATTTTTAAAAAAAGAAAGATCAATTTACTAATATATGACTTAAGCCAGAATCTCAGTCCTCTATTTTCTTTCTCTACAGTCAACTCAGGAAACCTGCTTATTGGCAGGCTCTGGTTATGTGCAACCCAAGGGGTACAAGGCAATATTTAAGATGTACATAGGGCTGGGCGCGGTGGCTCATGCCTGTAATCCCAACACTTTGGGAGGCCGAGGTGGGCAGATCACGAGGTCAAGAGATTGAGACCATCCTGGCCAACACGGTGAAACCCCATCTCTACTGGCGGGTGGATCATGAGGTCAAGAGATCGAGACCATCCTGGCCAACACAGTGAAACCCCATCTCTACTAAAAACACAAAAATTAGCCAGGCATGGTGGTGGGCGCCTGTAGTCCCAGCTACTCGGGAAGCTGAGGCAGGAGAATTGCTTGAACCCGGGAGGTAGAGGTTGCAGTGAGGTGAGATCACACCACTGCACTCCAGCCTGGCGAAAGAACAAAACTCCATCTCAAAAACAAAACAAAACAAAACAAAACAAAAAGATGTACACAGTATTAACATGGCATACCTTTTTAGAACAATTTCATTCCAAGATTTAAAATTTAAGAATTTTTATATGTACCATCTGACTCTCACTTCTCTATAGGGGAAGGAGAAGTTGTTAAAGTCCTAAGAGTAGAAATGCTTCTGTAAAATAAATAACTACAACTGTTGGCATTTTTATGTTATTAGGGTATTCTTTTTCTCAAGTCTAAGTGAACAATAAAAGCTAATGCTTTGAGAATAAGAGAGGCTATTAATACTGACCAACACACCCTCTGCTATCTCTAATTCACCCAGGGAATTACTCAACAGCAAGACTTACGTAAAAAAAAGTTTTCACTCTAGAAACCAATGTTTGGTTTCCTTGCTTGTTTACTTGAAAACAAAATACAAAAAAACTCCACAAACCCCCACATAGCAGTTTAATTTCCTGCTATAATTGCATTTGATCAAGTATTTGGTATATAAACACTGTATTTAGTTCCACTTCTTTGCCGCTGTGAGCTCCTCAGAACATAAAAATACCCAGAGTCCTGTTTATACATGTGAAAATTTTTAGTCTTTTTTCCCGTTTTTAAAATTATGATTTTAAAATTGTTTTCAAATAGGAACATGCATTATTGGTTAAAAACAATTCTTCAATTCCTAATTGAAGAATTAAGCTTAAAGTAAAATTGGAAGCACAAATGATTTAAAATTCAGGTGAGATATGCCTGGTTTCCTAAGAGTGATGAAGATGCTCTGTTTTTCCTTGACTACAACCAACCAATCAGTAATAATTAGCAGTAGACATCTAAAAAGCATGAGATACATTTTTTTAAATGTGTAGATTGTTGCAAACTTGCAAATGAATCTAAACTATGATATTCTGTATGTTAGAAATACCTGAGGAAAAACTACATTGAAATTATCACTCTTCCAGTGACTTGTAATCATGTAATTTTGAAGGAAAAACTCCAAAGATAGTTTGCAACTAAACAGAAAATATGACTTAGCTAGAAACAATAAAGTAAGACACTCAAGCTAATTTGCAAATTTAAAAACTGCTTAAAGCTTCCATAAAGAGATCAGGTTGAGAATTAACCTTAGATGTAAAATTTCACCAAATTTTGCACTGTGGATATAGTATAATCCACATTTAGCAAAAAGAAGGAAACCAAATTAAAGAAAGGTGCCATGATCAAATGATATTTTTCAATGTGCTCAAAGATCTATTTATTGAGAAAGCTAACCTGGATCTTTCACTTCGAGTTGGATAAACGAATCCTAAAAATTGGGTCTTTGTATATTTATAAAAATAATATTGATGTAGACATGTCATTTTGCAAAATGCTTGCCAATAAACAAAGAGATGTGAGATCAGCTAAAAAAAAATTCATGGGTGTGGGCTATAAGCAGGTAAAATTATTGTCAAGTTGTCAGCATTAAGGCCACTGAGCACCCCAGAAGCTACTGTATCATCACAGAACCATTATCTTTTGTTACTGAAAACATTCCTTTAACAAATTTTTGAGACAGTAAAAGATGCTAACTTTTGAGTAAGCAACTCTATTTTTCATATGACAAAGCAATTTAACTTCTCAGCAGATGAAACATCTATTGCATTCCTACTAAAGATGAAAACACCGTCTGAGCTATTCAGCATCCCTCATGACGAATGCCTGAACATGTATCACAAAGCAATAAAATAAATTCTTCTAATTTCTGTTAACAGACTTATACATGTCTGAATACTTAATTCAATGAAGTTTTCCATAAGTAACAGTTCATCAGCATTTTGCCCATTAACTTAGGAAGCAATTGTAAATATTTTTTTCCTGATGATATGAAATACTCTATTAAAAGTAGACAAACTGTGAAGTACAGTATCAAATACACACGAATTTTTTTTTTATTATTATACTTTAAGTTTTAGGGTACATGTGCACAACGTGCAGGTTTGTTACATATGTATACATGTGCCATGTTGGTGTGCTGCACCCATTAACTCGTCATTAAACATTAGGTATATCTCCTAATGCTATCCCTCCCTGCTCCCCCCACCCCACGACAGGCCCCGGTGTGTGATGTTCCCCTTCCTGTGTCCATGTGTTCTCATTGTTCAATTCCCACCTATGAGTGAGAACACGCGGTGTTTGGTTTTTTTGTCCTTGCGATAGTTTGCTGAGAATGATGGTTTCTAGCTTCACCCATGTCCCTACAAAGGACATGAACTCATCATTTTTTATGACTGCATAGTATTCCATGGTGTATATGTGCCACATTTTCTTAATCCAGTCTATCATTGTTGGGCATTTGGGTTGGTTCCAGGTCTTTGCTATTGTGAATAGTGCCACAATAAACATACATGTGCATGTGTCTTTATAGCAGCATGATTTATAATCCTTTGGGTATATACCCAGTAACAGGATGGCTGGGTCAAATGGTATTTCTAGTTCTAGATCCCTGAGGAATTGCCACACTGACTTCCACAGTGGTTGAACTAGTTTACAGTCCCACCAACAGTGTAAAAGTGTTCCTATTTCTCCACATCCTCTCCAGCGCCTGTTGTTTCCTGACTTTTTAATGATCGCCATTCTAACTGGTGTGAGATGGTATCTCATAGTGGTTTTGATTTGCATTTCTCTGATGGCCAGCAAATTCACACTAATTTTTAACATAAAACATTTAATTTAGAGAAATTCCAGAGTTCTGGCTATATCACTTTGTGACCCAGAAATGTCCCCCAGTAATCCTTAACCCCACCCATTCACTCTCTTCCTCCTTTGCTGGCGAGTATCAAAACAAGTGTAAGGTTAGGATGCTGTGGGTCACTTTTTCTGTAAGCAAGAGCACACACATACCTTTAGCTGCTATTGATATATTTCAGCAGTTTAAAATAAACAGTTATATATCAAGAAATATTGTGTTCTTTTTTTAATTTAAAATTTAAAACATATTTTAAAATACAGTTTTCCCTCACATGTACAGCCTCCTCCCTTTCCCCCACCAATGAGATTCAGAAGCATTTTACTTGGCTAAACTGGATTCTAATGAAGACTCTAGTATTACAAAAACATTTTATAACCACTACCAAAGAGAAAAAAGAAGACATTAAAAAAACACAAGGGCAAAACTAACTTATAGTGTTAGATGTCAGGATAGTGATAAACTCTGGGGAGGCAGAAGAGGGCAGTGACTAAGAGAGGTTTTGAGGGGGACTATGCTAGTAATGTTATATCTTTTGACTTGAGTAGTACTTACATAGATGTGATCAGTTTGAAATTAATCATGGAGCTTATGATTGCTGTATTTTACTTTTTTAGTTCTTTTTATGTTTTACTTAAATACACTTATGCATTGTATATTTTATATGTGTTACACTTTTGTTTTAAAAAAAGTTGTAATCTTTTAGGAATAAATGAGCATGACTCCTTACAGTTCCACTGTTCTTAGGTTAACATCAGTAGTTTTACTAGACTAAGTGTGAGGGGGATGTGATAATTATCTTAAAAAGTGCTTGCCATGGGCCAAAAAAACCCAGGGAGGTCCCACATACATGAAAACAGGGATCAGAAAAGAAATGAGCAAAATGTATCTGAGCATAGAATCAAACTTCAGAACTCATACATTCATTAAAAAAAAATAAGCTAGACGGCCGGGCACGGTGGCTCATGCTTGTAATCCCAGCACTTTGGGAGGCCGAGGCGGGTGGATCATAAGGTCAGGAGTTTGAGACCAGCCTGGCCAATATGGTGAAACCCCGTCTCTATGAAAAATACAAAAATTAGCTGGGCTTGGTGGCATGCGCCTGTAGTCCCAGCTGCTCGGGAGGCTGAAGCAGGAGAATTAGTTGAACCCAGGAGGCTGAGGTTGCAGTGAGCTGAGGTGGTGCCACTGCACTCCAGCCTGGGCAACAGAGCAAGACTCCGTCTTAAAAATAAATAAATAAATAAATAAATAAGCTAGCCAATCAGTCAGCCAACTGAAAAGACAAATCCTTTCATTGACAACTGCATACATGTCTACATTTTCACAAGAGATGATGGGAAAGACTCAGAAAGAACAAAAGTCAGTTTGAGCTATTTAATTTTCACTTGGTCTCAAATGTGGACTATAAATCTAAACAGAGAAAAAAAGGGAGCATCTACTGCTCCACGCAAGTTTTTTTTTTTTTCATTTTCAGAAATTTCTTAGAATTTAATTCTGGAAAAAAATAACTAGAAATAGGCACGTTTGAAAGCTCAATCTTCATTTTATCCATGGGGAAAATAAACACTTTTAAAATAAGATCTTTCAAAGATGTCAGTGGATGAATCTGCTCTGTGTGCTATGTGTATATCCCTTACATCTGCTCCTACATATAATACTCTCTGATCCATGTTTCTCAAGAAGTTCCTTAGTTCTAAAATTAATTTACCTTAAATTAACGTTTCTATAAATTCAATGAAAATTACAGAATGTGTTTTATAAGCTTTTTTTTTTTTTTTTTTTTTTAGATGGAGTCTCGCTCTGTCACCAGGCTAGAGTGCAGTGGCGCGATCCTGGCTCATTGCAACCTCTGCCTCTCCGGTTGAAGCGATTCTCCTGCCTCAGCCTCCCAAGTAGCTGGGACTACAGGTGTGTACCACCACACCCAGCTAATTTTTGTATTTTTAGTAGAGATGGGGTTTCACCATATTGGCCAGGATGGTCTCGATCCCTTGACCTTGTGATCTGCCTGCCTTGGCCTCCCAAAGTCCTGGGATTACAGGCGTGAGCCACTGTGCCTGGCTGTGTTTTATTAGCTTCTAAAAAGAGATCTTGTGCAAAATAGTATCACATAAATGATGGTAACCTGAAACTGAACACTAAACCCTTGACAGAAGAAAGGGCAAGCTAACAAAGGAATAGTTTTCAACGTGCAGCCTCCTCACAGAACATATTCATTATGCAAGCTTAGCAGCCAGTACATACAAAATCGTTTTTAAAAAGAAACCTGTATTGATTCTTTCTTCATATGTAATAGATTCTTTCTTCAACAAACCTTCACAAGAATGAAGAAAAAAAATGAGTGCTTTCACAACTCTCTAAAATACATGGTTATAAGCTTATATTTAGATTTTTGCAAGTCTTAGGTTTCAAGAGAAAGTTCCTTGGGCTTTTCTTATTCTATGATATGTCTTTGATACTATTTGCTTGATGATTTTTATGATGAGGCTGAGAAAAATCAGAATGCTATAGACCTAAACCTAATTTGCTCTAGATTTTAGTTGATACACTTTAATGTTTTAGTCTTCTATGAACATGTAGCTCTTTCCATTGAAATTATTGACAAGATTTCAGAAAGCAATAAACAATATAAAACTTCCCTACCAACCTCAACATAATTTCAACATCATTCCCTTCCCTAATGACAATGTTAATGTAAACAGTAAACATCTAAAGCAGTATTAATTGTCAAATATACAAGAGTAAAAAAGAAGCCTAATTTAATTAACACTGTGATTGGGTAGATTCCTGTCGTCCTTCATTACCATTCCACTTATTAAATTTCATTCATAATTAAAAATTACATAATATATTCCAACTACATCATCTTGTTTTTAAATAAAAAATAACAGTTACTTTAGAGCAATTACTAATACCCATTGTTCTAATAAATGTCCATATTTTAAGATGTCTAGAAATGAGACATATAGACTACAAGCCTCATAAATCATATTATTACTTTAAAAGTAAAGGCAAACATAGTGAATGCAGGCAGCCCTTTGTATTCTACAGATCCCAGTGTGTTTTACGGATCTTCAACAAAGGATTTTGGCTCCTATACCGGAAATGAACACTGTTTAAAATGTTAAATTGAAGCTCATCAATTTCAAGGAGTCTTGACTAAAGCTTCTAGAAATCTAAACTTTAGCATTTTAAGGGCATAAATATTTAGATGTTCCTTCTTAAATTTTGCTGCATTTCCATAAGTTAAGGAAAAACAGAGGAAACAAGTTGGCAAGTGCCATCTTGTGGACTCTCTGGAAAATGTTTTCACTCTATTCATCAGTATAATTCCAAAAGCAAATCATTATAAATGTTCAATACAATATTCCCAATAATCAAACTGTTACTTTAATTTAAATTAAAAGGTTAATTTTCCAGGGTCCAAACATCCATAACTATAATAAACTGCAATTGTGGATTTGAGATTAGATTATTCTAAATCATGTGAAATATTTATAGCCAAACCGTCACACTGGATCCCTATATTATCTTCAGGAGTTATGCCACAGAGATATATTATGTAATGAAGCTTGAGAATCTGATATACCAAAGAAATTTAAAAAGCACCTACTCAGCAGAGAAGTTAGAATTACTCTCCTAATTTTATAATATAGCGAACACAGCTATAGAATACACCTTGCAAAAGAAAAGGGGGCCCTTTGTTTTTCATAAAATATAAACCAAAAAAGTTACCAAGAATTCTAAAATATAGTGGAACTAATGAATAGACACATCCATAGATCCACCATATGTGTATGCCTAATAACCAAAAGTTTACAGATTAAGAGTTAAGATACATAGTATGTAAAGACGAAAACAAACACAAGACTAATACGAAAGAAAACACCCCAGAGTCACAATGTCCATGATTCTCTTTAGACTTTAGAAATACAGCCGACCCTTAAACAACATGGGTTTGAACCACGTGGTTCTACTTATAAACAGATTTTCTTGTGCTTCTGTTACCCTTAAGACAGTAAGACCAACCAACCCCTCCTCTTCTTCAGTCTACTCAACATGAAGACAACAAAGATGAAGACATTTACAACGATCCACATATTTTCAATAAATATCTTTTCCTTATGATTTTTTGTTTGTTTGCTTGTTTTGAGACGGAGTCTCACTCTGTTGCCCAGGCTGGAGTGCAATGGCGCGATCTGGGCTCAGTGCAACCTCTGCCTCCTGGGTTCAAGCGATCCTCCTGCCTCAGCCTCCCGAGTAGCTGGGACTACAGGCGCCCACCACCACGCCCAGCTAATTTTTTGTATTTTTAGTAGAGACAGGGTTTCACTGTGTTAGCCAGGATGGCCTCCATCTCCTGACCTCATGGTCTGCCTGCCTTGGCCTCCCAAAGTGCTGGGATTACAGGCATGAGCCACCACGCCCAGCCGATTTTATTATTTTGTTAATAACATTTTTTCTCCAGCTTACTTTATTGTAAGAATACAGTATACAATACATATAACACAAAATATGCGTTAATCAATTGTTTATGTTATTGGTAAGGTTTCCAGTAACCAGTGGGTTATTAGTAAAGTTTTGGGGAAGTCAAATACGTGGATTTTTGACAGACTAGGCGGGGCAGGGGGCAGGGGATATCTGCCCTCCTAAGCATCATGTTCAAGGGTCAACTCTAGTATGGTTTTATTATTTCACATAGCAAGAAAGAGGAAATATTAACATTCTAGATTTACATGGCACTGCCATATACATAGAAACTCAAATTATATTACGGCCTCTTGGTCATAATACTCTTTTTTCTTTTTTTTTTTTTTTATTTGAGACAGAGTATAGCTCTGTCACCCAGGCTGGAGTACAGTGGCGCAATCTCGGCTCACTGCAACCTCCACCTCCCAGGTTCAAGTGATTCTCCTGCCTCAGCCTCCCGAGTAGCTGGGATAACAAGCGCCTACCACCACTAATTTTTGTATTTTTGTATTAGCCCGCCACCAGCTAATTTTTGTATTTGTAGTACAGATGGGGTTTCACTGTATTGGCCAGGATGATCTCGAACTCCTGATCTCATGATCCACCTGCCTCGGCTTCCTAAAGTGCTGGGATTATAAGCATGAGCCACCGTGCTTGGCAGGTTATAATATTCTTTTACAGAGGTAAGTAAGGAGAAACTGCTTTTATTTCACTTTTTAGGTTGAAGGGAGACAGATTTTAATAACTGTTGAGACTACATATTTAGATGATGGCAATTTTATATAGATGTGTTGTCTTCTTAGACCTGGTTATTGACAGTCAGTTTTACCTTATCCAGGATGAGGGAGAGGGAGATGTGAGTTTTAACTATGGTGAGGATGGTCTAAACTGAGAAAGACCAAAAAAAACCCTCCAAAATTTTCACATGCTAAAGAACACTAACATGCTAGTACATAATGAGACTTTCCAAGTATGAGTAAAATTGGGCCATAAAAAGTGACAACAGCCAGGCGCGGTGGCTCACGCCTGTAATCCCAGCACTTTGGGAGCCAAGGCGGGCGGATCACGAGGTCAGGAGATCGAGACCATCCTGGCTAACACGGTGAAACCCCGTCTCTACTAAAAATACAAAAATTAGCCGGGCATGGTGGTGCGCGCCTGTAGTCCCAGCTACACGGGAGGCTGAGGCAGGAGAATGGCGTGAACCCGGGAGGCGGAGCTTGCAGTGAGTCGAGATCGCGCCACTGCACTCCAGCCTGGGCAACAGAGTGAAACTCCGTCTCAAAAAAAAAAAAAAAAAGACCAAATACTTGGGGAAAAATAGGTGAACATTTTGGCCAAGTCTAAGTTGGCGTAAGATTTGATGGCATTTTTAATTGTCTACAACTTCCCAACTCTGTTTCAATAAAATTAGCACAGAGTGTACCGTTTTGCAAATATTGCTAATATTTTTTTCTTAGTGCTTTATTAGTGATTACTTATAACAATATATTTAGTTGCCTTGAGACAATATGACAGATAATATTCTATGGCAGCTTTCTCAGCAGCTATGAATCTTCTTATAATATGGCAGTGGAAAATAAAATGAGCCTATAAAACTCATCACTGGTTTGAGCTCTTTAGAAAACAGACAGCATGTAAAGTGTTAATAAATACAGTATGAAATATACCAGTTCATCTCAGCTTAATATCTCAGCATTAACAATAAATTATTTTTATAATTTGAAAGAAGGTGTATATTGCTGTAATTTAGGGAAACAGATTTGAAAGAACACAAGGGTTTAAAGTATTAGACTTTATTTCAGTTCACATTACCATTTCTGTCTGCATTCAAATCGTAAGTCAGAAAAAGTACTGTTCAATGGTATTTATTATTAAAAGCTGCTGCATTTTTTCAAAAATAGTAGTGAAATTAATCTATTATAAAGTCTTCATCTCTCAATCTGCTAAAAGTCCTATGAACTATGTAGTTTAACTGTATTACCATAAACCTGTTTAAATTTTAAAATAAAAGATAAACAAGGCCAGGCATGGTGGCTCACACCTGTAATCCCAGCATTTAGGGAGGCTGAGGTGGGCAGATCACAAGGTCAGGAGTTCGAGACCAGCCTGGCCAACATGGTGAAACCCCGTCTCCACTAAAAATACAAAAATTAGCCAGGTGTGGTGGCGGGCGCCTGTAATCCCAGCTACTCGGGAGGCTAAGACAGGAGAATGGCTTGAAACCAGAAGGCGGAGGTTGCAGTGAGCTGAGATGGCACCACCACATTCCAGCCTGGGCAACAAGAGGAAACTCCAACTCAAAAAAAAGAAAAAAAAGATAAATACGTCAACTTTTAAAAACTGTGCCTTGCCACCTAATAATTATGACAGCTGAAAACACACAGTAAGCAACATATTAAAGTTGCATATTAGGCCTGGCATGGTGGATCACACCTGTAATCCTGGAGCTTTGAAGAATTACACTTTGAAGGTTCCTCCTAAGGTGGGAGGAGTGCTTGAGCCCAGAACTTCGAGACCAGCCTGGGCAACACAGGGAGACCCTGTCTCTACAGATTATTTAAAAATTAGCTGGGCATGGTGGCTCGCACCTGTGGTCTCAGCTACTTGGGAGGCTGAGGTGGGAGGATCGCCTGAGCCCAGGAGGTCAAGGCTGCAGTGAGCAGTGATCACACCACCACACTGCAGCCTGGGAAACACAGTGAAACCCTGTCTCAAAAAAAAAAAAAAGTTGCATGTTTATCTTAAATGTACTCTTACCAATGAAAAAAACTATTTTGGGACAGATCTTTTACAAATTATCTAATATTAATGTAAATAACATACATCAATTTTCCTTCTTCCCCTGGTACAAACAGATAAGACCTGAAAACACTGGACTTTTTCTATTAAGATTTTGATCAACCTTTAACTAAAAATTATTTCAAAAAAAAGTTTAAAAATTGTCATATGCCTCTGAAGATCAATTATTATACTTGAATAAAGGTAAAAGAAGAAGTTTTGATTAGAAGAGTGACATGAGAAGGCATCTTGAGCTGAATAAGGTCTCATCCAAATGAGTAAGTTCTGGGATCTGTGTGTTCAATCACTGCTCTTTCCTTCCCATTGCTCCTGACATTGGCAGACTTGGTGTGTGCGGGGTGTGTGTGTGTGGTGTGTCTGTGTGTGTGTGTGTGTGTGTGTGTGTGTGAGAGAGAGAGAGAGAGAGAGAGAGCGCGAGCGCAAGAGCAAGAGTGCGAGGTCGTGGGGGGGTGCGGGGGGGCGGGCAAGATGGAGAGGGAGGGAGAAGAGAGGAAGAAATAAACACTAAAAGAGAAAGCAAGAGCTCCTCTGTCTGGAGAGACCTAGGAACAGCAGATCTTCCCCTACCCACTCCAATCCCCACCAACCTGTCCCGCCCCTGCAAGAAAGGGGCTTGTGGCTCTCCAGAGAACTGCAGAGCCATGTGTCTGGAAAATTCAGGATGACAAGCCTTTAAGTATTCTGCAAGTGTCCCTACTGTATAGCGATGTCTGTTGCCCCCTTTCTTTTTACCACTGTATTATTAATCCATCTTGTTCCTTTTCTTGTTCTTTTGAAATAATCTATCCTTTTAACTTCAACTAAAAAAAATGAACCGACACGCCCAGAGAAGCATTTCTCTTCCCAGGAATATACAATAACTTTAAAATATCTAGTCAACTTTTAAACATTATGATAAAAGAAACATGAATTGCATTTTCATGGCTCTCATCTTTAATTACATATGCTGTACACATATATAATGACATCTTTATAACATCCAAATTTGAGATACAAATCTCAGAATAGTAATAAATACCATCCAAAGACTTAAGAGGCAAAATCATCTTATAGGAACAACTTACAGGAGTAGTAAAGTCAATTTCATCAAAACATTTTTTTCAGAATTAAATATTATAATAAGCAATAAGTGAAATGTCATATAAACCACTGACTGCATCTTTTAAAAGGGTCATGGTTTAATATATTCCATTCTGTAAAACAATCATTAGGGTGAGCTTTTTGGTCTACTACTTAGTGACATCTATTCAGCAACCTTCAAAACACAAGCTAGTTTTTAAGTGGAGGACTAATATGTAAACGTCCTATGAACTTGGCTAACCCACCAGGGTCTGAAAGGGAGACCTGAACAAAGAAAGGCTTCCCTTCACCAATTCCTTGCTAACAGCCTAGAAAAGTCTAAAAGAAGAGAGAACAGCTCTCAGAGCAGAAGAACCCATCATTTTTCCTACCTTTAGCATGGTCCCCCCAGAAGGTTTCTGTTTCCAGTTGACTACTGGACACATGACAACATTAAAGGGGCCAGAAAATCAACCTGGATTATAACAAGCCCTGTGTTTATAGATACTGTTTAGTGTCCCTTCTCCTCTGGTTTGAAAGTTAAAAGAAGGATAAAGAGGTTTTTATAAAATATAACAGTATAAATGTAACTGTAATTTCACAGGAAACTTTTGGGAAAAGATAAGCTAGCAAAAGGAACCAATTCCAGAGTAAGTGATATACCTGCCCTTGACATGAAACAATACTGCAGGAATACATGTATTTTTTCTGTTAAAGCCTGAAAATGAGATAATTAGTTAACAAAAACAATATATAAGAGATCTGGAAATGTTAACTGTTGATAACTTGATTAAAGTATTATAAAGCAATAGAATAACTTTAAAAATGCTTTATATTTCTACCCTGGAAATTGTTAAGCTACAGGAATACCATGGTTTAGGGGAGCTATTTTATTCATTTAACAAATATTTTCAAGTACCTGCTATGTGTGAAGCACTGTGCTAAGTTTAAGCACTGCGAGGAATACAGAAATGAAAAAGAAATGAATCTTACTTTAGAGAAACTGTCAGTCTAGAAAAGATGACAAAAATAAGATACATAACTATTACGAAAGAAATGCATTCACAAATGTCATGAGAGATTCACAGAAAAAATGATACAGAATTCAGAACATGAAGGGACTCCTTCTGATGGGTGACAGAGGGCAGAGGAAGAGGTTGCAGAACTCAAAGGAAAGGCAGAGCCACAGAAAGAAAGAAGTATGAAAGCCATGCAAAGACCAGTCTGCAAGTTAGCAGCTGGTTGGGTATCAGAGGCAAAGAAAGAGAGGATGGAAGAATAAACACAAAGAATGTGGGGCTGGAACATGTGGCGTCTGAAGTGTCTATAGGAAATCCAGATAGAGCTGTGGAGTGTATGGAAGGGCAGGCTGGAGATAGATAAAAGACTTGGGAATCATTCACACGGTGTTCACTGTTGAAACCTACATGCTTCCAAAAGAGAAAAGAAGGTCAGTTCTTGAAAAGCACTGACATAGAGGGGATCAAACAGAACAAACTGAAGCATAGGAAAGGGAGGAAAAGGAATAGCGGCAGAAAACAATGTCTCAAAAGACGAGAGAAAAAAGTTTTAAGAAGAAAGATGTAATCAAAAACATCAAATAGTGCAGAAAGAACAAATATTCAAACAAGCCACTGGATACTGGCTCCTAATGGATAAAGCACTTCCAGTTGATCAGAAGCAAATATAAGATGACACTTGTGACAAGATGCTCTCCTTGACCAAACTTTAGTCAGGCTTCTCCTAGGCCCTCTTCTCAACCAGGCCTCCACCTTGGCCCACGCCCCACCAGGCCTGCATAGCCCAGTTTTACCAAGAAGCCTGCTAAGTCAGTTGAGAGAGAATCCCTCTACTTTTGATATCTAATCACTTTTTTTTTTTTTAAGAGACAGAGTCTGACTCTGTCACCCAGGCTGGAGTGCTCACCGAAGCCTGGGCTCTAACACCTGGGCTCAAGCAATCCTCCAGGCTCAGCCTCCCCAAATAGCTGGAACTACAAGTGTGTGCCACCATGCCAGCTATTTTTTTATTTTTTGTAAAGATGAGAGTCTCACTACATTGCTCAGGCTGCTCTTGAATTCCTGGCCTCAAGCAATCCTTCAGCTTCAGCCTCCCAAACTGCTGCGATTACAGGCATGAGCCACCACACCTGGCTCCAATCACTTGCTAGCTAATGGAATTCCTCAACCCCCTACCCTTGTTATATGATCACACTGACATGCCCTCAGTAAGAATCCTGTTATGTCAGTTTAGCAATAATTCCCCCACCCTTGATGTCTCCTCTTAGTAACTGTCCATCCACCACCCCCACAACCTGCTTCATGGTTATAAATTCCTGCTTGTTCATGTTATATTCGGAATTGAGTCCAATCTCTCTCCCCTATCACAATAGTCTGGACAACCTATCATGATTATCTTAAATACAATCTTCTTTGCTGCTTTAACAAGCGTTAGAATAAGTTTTTCTTTAACAGTTGTCAATCTCTCCTTTTTCACTAGAGATGAATGACATTCACAAACACCTAAAAACTAATTATTATCTGTGGCACCGTGGCTGGGAAGAGATGAAAACAGACATGTAGAAAGTGGAAGGGGAGCATACAGAGACTTCTCTTTCAATAAGTCCTTGGTAATGGGAGGAGCACCAAAAAAACACATGACAGTGCTTGAGAGGGTACCAAAACTAAAAAAAAAAAAAAGAAAGAAAAAGGCTTTACCATATGGAATGGCAAATCACAGCTACAATCAGAGGGAAACAACCCAAAGGAGAGGAAGAACCTAATGACACAAGACAGAGAAAAACAAATTCCCATGATTATTGTTTCAATCTTCTTGCACTGAATCTTTTTGTAAATTGCCTCAAATTCTTCCTAGAAAAACAAGAGGCATTAATAAATAACAGAAATAAAAGGTTTTTTAATCCATTTAAAAATGTTAATGTTTAAACTGCTGTTTATATCTGCTCTTCTCACAACCATCTAAAAACTAATAGGAAGGTTCCTGTAGCAGACAAATTAATGAAAGATTATGTTGTTTTTATTTTCAGACCTCGAAAAGGTTAAATTAGCCATTTTCATACTGAATTCCTATTCAGTTTGATTATGTTCCCTACTGTGAGGGTAAAACATGAACAAACCAAGCTAATTTATGTACAATCCCTTTGTACCACTGAAATGAAAATGAACAATAGTTTAATGAAGTGGAATTTGTTATCTAATTATGCCAAATAATTTAGAAACATCTGCTGGTGGTTAGTAATATTAGAGTTAAACCTCACAGAATTTGATCCAGAGAGATTTCTATTTTATTCGAGCTTTTGTGAGCTTACAGTTGGGGAATCCATATTAGAATATAGAACCAAGGGATGACAGAATGACACATTTACTAAATTTTTAAAAATGCACAGAAAATGACGAAAGGAAAACAGGGAGTCCATGTCATATGGATCTGGGCCTTACAGTCAACTCCCAAATTTAATAAATACAGTAGACTCCATAACATCCAACATTTATTGAGTAGCTGGTATGCAGCAGACACTGTGGCGGTTGTTAAATATACAAAGAAAAAAACCTATAGCTTTCCCATTAGGGAACTTCATCCAATGGGGGGACACGAGACTATAAACTATTACGTCACCACACAATAAGTGCTAGGGCAGAGATGGGTAGTATAGGGCACTCTGGATGCAGAAAAGGGGTAACGCACAAAGGAAGGCCAGGTAGAAGAGACGATTATTCAAGCTGAGTTTTGCAAGATGTGTAGAGGTGAGGGCAAAGAAGGGATAGGGACATGATGGTGCCAAAGGCTCATTAAGTAAAATTTTTTCTGGAAAGTAGCCCAGCATGGCTGAAGCACAGTCTCTAAGTGGGAGACAGTGAGAGATGAAGTCAGACAGGTCAAGGGTCCTATCTTGATAGTCTTATATACAAGCTAGGGAATTTGGACTTAATGGTGACAAGGAACCACTGGACGATTTTAAGGAGGGAAGTAAATTGTAAACTAACCAATTTCTAAGAGGCAGGTTTAAGTTTCCGATTACAGACTCTCATATAATAAGCAAGGAAAATGTGAAATAATAAAGGAAGAAAAAACATAAAAGTAAATGTTTAGATTGATTGAAGGTTATTCACAAGGTACATGTATACAGTGACAGTATTGTTATATGTTTATTCTTTCTTTCTTCATTTATTTGCTTAGATTGAGTACCTATTATGTGCCAAACATTGAGTTTACAGTCCTTGATAAATTTTAAGCGTTATGAGGGCAGGGATGTAACTGATTACAGAAATCCTTATCCAAGGTTTCACTTTTCATGGTTTCAATTACGCACAGTCAACTGCAATCTGAAAAAATTAAATGAACAACTCCAGAAAATAAGCAATTCACAAGTTTTTAAGTTGCATGCTATTCTGAGCAGCATGATGAAATCTTACACTACACAGCTCCATCCCACCAAGCAGTGGTCCCCAACCTTTTTGGCACCAGTGACCGGTTCTGGTTTCATGGAAGACAATTTTTCCATGGACGGTGGGGGGATGGGGGCATGCAAAGGGAATGTTTTGGGATGCAACTGCTCCACCTCAGATCAACAGGCATTAGATTGTCATAAGGAGTGTGCAACCCAGATCCCTCACATGAGCAGTTCACAATACGGTTCACGCTCCTATGAGAATCTAATGCCATTGCTGATCTGACAGGGGGTGGAGCGCAGGTGTTAATGCTCTCTTGTCTGCTGCTCACCTGCTGTGTGGCCCAGTTCCTAAAAGGCCACCAACCAGCACAAGTCCATGGCTTGGGGGTTGGGGACACCTGCTGCCAAGAATGTAATTCCTTTGTCCAGCATATCCATGCTGTAGACACTACCTAGTAAGTCACTTAGTAGCCACTTAAAGTGCTTGTAAGTCACTTAGTAGCCATTTTAGCAGTATCACAGTGCTTATGTTCAAATAACCCTTATTTTACTTAACAGTGGCCCCAAAGTACAAGAGTAGCAATGCTGGCATACTATTATAATTGTTCTATTTTATTATTAGTTACTGTTAATCTCTTACTGTACCTAATTTATAAATTAAAATTTTGCCATCGCTATGTTTGTATAGGAAAAAACATAGTAGATAATAGGGTTCTGTACTATCCAGTTTCAGGCATCCACTGAGGCTCTTGGAATGTATCCGCTGAGGATAAGGGGAGACTACTGTATAGTCTGGGTTACCTCCCAAAGGAGAAGCAAACATTGCCTGTTGAACAGGGTATTGTTTACATTTTCAGAGAGTAACAGAAAGTGTCATAGTGGCCAGCACTATCACAGAAACCTACTTGATCTTCACTGTAAGCCCCCTGAACCAGGTCTGCAATGGCACATGGCACTTATTCAGCCACACACACAAAGTAGAAATATTACAAAACCACTTTTTCAAGTGGGTCAACAGACTTGTTAAATGGAGAAATTGTTCTGGTATCTTCAATCTTTGTTAATATTTACAATAACGATATAGGTGACAATATTAGCTACTATGTATCTTCAACCACTATACTAAGAACCTTATAAAATAATCTCATTTATTCCTGCACAGATGGGATAAGGGAACAGCCCCTGATTACCTGTAAAGAAATTGACACTAGAACATATAGCTGATCCTTGGCAGAGAAAGGAGTAAACATAGCTCCCTTACCACCAAATCCAAGCTCTTTCCACTACACTACATGCTACGAAAGTACCATCCTCCATGACATCCCATCTCACTCAGTAAAATCTCAAGTCCTTACCAGGCCATGGGAGATACACCCCAGTACTCTCTATCCCCCAGCTGCCCTCTCTCCTCTCTCTCCTCAACTCCTCCAGCTTTCCCCTTGCTGACTCCACTCCAGCCATGCTGGCCCTTCTGTTCCTCAAAACTGCCCAGCACATCCTTGCTTCAAAGCCTGCTCCATGAGGCAATTTCCCCATTTCATATGATGGGTTTCTCACTTCCTTCAAGTCTGCTCAAAATTCACCTGTCTGTGAGGCCTACCCCCTCTCCCCCGACATTGTGAGACAGGTAACCCCTTACCCCTCACTCTCCTCTATTTTTCTTCAAAGCATTTGCCACCTGGCACATTATACATGTTTTATTGTCTGTCTCCCTCCACTGCAAATATAAATTCCTTGATGGCAGGAACAAATACATACTTCGCACATATTAGGCACTCACTAAATATTCATCAGATAGATGGGTAAACAAATCACAAAATAGGAAAAGCCTCAAAGCTACTCCTTGGCAAAATTATAGAACAGTACTCATCTAGTTTCTACACCCTTCTCTCACTTAACGGTATCATCCATTCCTTCCCCAGACCTCGAACGTCCTCTGCTTTTTCACACACTTTTGCTTATGACATCACCTCTTACAAGCCTTCTTAGTAAAGCCCCACCCTCTAAAACTTCTACTTTCTTTTCTCTTACAGTATAATTGCCTCAATCAAAATGCCTGCCCTATGTTTTTACTACTTTAAGACTGTTCATCCATAAGCTGAAATAATCTTTTCATGCTAAAAGAATGTACTTATCTATGCTCAGCATGTAATTCCTCATAGGTAACATGCTAAAAATCATGTTTAATAGTGTAAATTTCACTTACATGGGAGGTCTGCAGGAAAAAATATTTCAGTCAAACAGATGTTTCCATTTTCCTCAAATGGACATCCACACCACTCACCTGCTGCCTGTCAAACCTAGCACCAACTACTTCAAAACCTAAAATCATCTTTACCAGAGTAACTTCACAGCCATTAAAGAACAGAAAACAATGGCAAAGTTCTATATAAAAGATACAAAAGGCCGGGTGTGGTGGCTCACGTCTGTAATCCCAGCACTTTGGGAGACCGAGGCGGGAGGATCACGAGGTCAGGAGTTCGAGACCAGCCTGGCCAACAAAAATTAGCTGGGTGTGGTAGTCCCAGCTACTTGGGAGGCTGATGCAGGAGAATCGCTCAAATCCGGGAGGCAGAGGTTGCAGTGAGCTGAGACGATGCCATTGCACTCCAGCCTGGGTGACACAGTAAGACTCTGTCTCGGGGGCGCAAAAAAAAAAAAAAGATACAAGATAGGGCCGGGCACAGTGGTCCATGTCTATAATCCCAGCACTTTGGGGGGCCGAGATGGGTGGATCACATGAGGTCAGGAGTTCAAGACCAGCCTGGCCAACATGGCAAAACCCCGTCTCTACTAAATACGCAAAAATTAGCCAGGCATTGTGGCACATGCCTATGGTCCCAGCTACTCAGAAGGCTGAGGCAGGAGAATTGCTTGAACCTGGGAGGTGGAGGTTGCAGTGATCTGAGATTGCGCCACTGCACTGCAGCCTGGGTGACAGAGTGAGACTCTGTCTCAAAAAAAAAAAAAAAAAAAAGATACGAGATTAAAAAAAAAAACATACTTTAAGAGCTGAAGATTATGACAGAAATGGGAAAAATCAGGAAGAATTTGCAGTTTAAAAAGCCTCAGACTCATTCAGTTTTGAAATGTCAAGTCTGTGGTCACAAAAATCTATTCAAGGAGAGATATGTCTGACATATCCTTGTGCTTGCCTTACTCCACGGAACATATGCAATCCAAAGGAATCGAAAGGTCAGAGTCAGAGTGGAAAGAGAAAGGAAACACTTTCAGCGCTGCTGGATAAAAAACAATGAGGTGGCTCTATGCCAGGCCACTGAGCAGCTGGTGACATGCTGGCCTGACTCATCTTCCCTTCTCCCACATTCTCTCAACTGTGGGTATTGGCTCTTTCCAAGAAGTGCTTACTTTTCTAAATTTAAAACAGGTAGGAACATTTTTACCTATCAATTTTTAATTTTATTTTTTGTTCTTTGAGGAAGAAAAGTAAAAAAAAATCTAAAAATGTAAAAAGCTCTTAAAGGTTCTTGGATATAAAACCATTCTTTTCTTCTATCTAATCTTTGTTTTTAAAGCTCAGGTGGTTTTTTAAATTAATATATCTCAGCTTTACTGACATAAATTCCCATACCATAAAACTCACCCTTTCAAAGTGTACAATGTAGTGGTTTTTAGTGTATTCACAAAGTATCTATTCTTTTAAAAATAAGCAGCCAAATTAGGAATGTATATTTATAACTTTATTTTGTCAGGCTTTTTTTTCTATTCAATATGACTTTTCAATGTAAATATGGTCATACTGTACCCTGTTTCCTTAGTTTTGTCCTATCCTATTTTTAAGGATAGTAGGATTATATTAATTAAAAAAAATCAAAGTTCATAGAAATTATTTTCTATGTAAGAATAACTAATGGCTGGTAATTTGGTTACAAGGCCAGGCTCAAGGACTTGCCTTGAATTGAGTTTGCACAGAAAGTTCTGTGATTTCATTTAGTTTACATATTTCAGATAAATAAAGTCTTCTAAAGATGCTGTAATTGATGCTTTCTATAAGACTGAGAAAACATCAATTGCCCATAGCAAAGGACCTCATCTTTATCAGAGGGACTTGGAGAAACGCTACACCCTCACCAGCCCCAGCAAGGTACTCTTTGTCATGGCTGCTCTCAAGATAGTAAATTCCTAGGTTAAAACAATCTTATGAAAAACCTATAACTTATTATACTAATGTCATTCCTTTAAAACTATTATTATAACATATAAAGCATGACCAAACAGTATTTTTCTGCCTCACTATTTTATGATTGCTTTAAATTAGTATAAAACATGTATTCTCAATGAGTTGAGGAGATGGAGAGTTGGGGTAAAAAAAAGTACTGTATTTACGTTATGCAGAAAGCAGATATATCTACAGTACATAAACAGATACATAGTATATCTCTGGTATTAAATTTTCATGGGGAGAACAATTAGAAAACAGGCCTAAAAGGCCGGGAGAGGGAGGATTTTTTAAAAGGTTGAGAAAAAGTAATCTAAAAGAAACTAAAATCTTTATTGACAAATATGTCAAATTTGTATAATTATACATATCACTGTCTTCTATGTTCAAAAATTAGGCTGCTTATAGGATGGTTACCTGCAGAGACAGATGTGACTCAAAAGACTGCAGTGCCAACATTCCTCTACAGTGTACACAGATGGTGACTATCAGAGTTATAACAACTATAATTATTTTATTGTTCTTACATAGTACCAGCTCTCCACACATTAAAAGACAAACTTTAAAGCTAAAATATTAGAACCACAGGCATGCATCACCACACCTGGCTAATTTTTTTTTTTTTTTTTTTTTGAGATGGAGTCTCACTCTGTTGCCCAGGCTAGAGTGCAGTGGTGTGATCTCAGCTCACTGCAACCTCTACCTCCTGGGGTTCAAGCGATTCTCCTGCTTCAGCCTCCAGAGTAGCTGGGACTACAAGCATGTGCCACCATGCCAGGCTAATTTTTGTATTTTTAGTAGAGACATGGTTTTGCTATGTTAACCATGGTCTTGAACTCCCGACCTCAAGTGATCATCCACCTTAGCCTCTCAAAGTACTGAGATTACAGGCATGATCCACCACACCTGGCCTGATTTTTTTTGTTTGTTTGTTTTGAGACAAAATCTCGCTCTGTCTCCCAGGCTGGAGTGCAGTGACACAATCTCAGCTCACTGTAACCTCTACCTCCTGGGTTCATGGGATTCTCCTGTGTCACCCTCCCAAGTAGCTGGGACTACAGACACCTGCCACCACACTTGGCTAATATTTGTATTTTTAGTAAAGGTGGGGATTCACCATGTTGGCCAGGCTGGTCTCGAACTCCTGACCTCAAATGATCCACCCACCTCGGCCTCCCAAAATGCTGGTATTACAGGCATGAACCACTGCACCCAGGCTTTATTATTATTATTATTTTCTGTAGAGATGGTATCTCCCTGTGTTGTTCAGGCTGGTCTCAAACTCCTGAGCTCAAGTGATCCTCCAGCCTAGGCCCCCCAAAGTGCCAGGAGGCATGGGCCACCCATTACAGATGTGAGCCACCATGCCCAGCTGGGTTTTCTTATTTTTACTCTTTTAGAGACAGGGTCTTGCTGTGTTGTCCAGACTGGAGTGCAGTGGCTATTCACAGGCACAATCATAGTGCAACTACAGTCTTGAACTTCTGAACTCAAGCAGTTCTCTTGCCTCAACCTCCTGAGTAGCAGGGACTACAGGCACATTGCCACCATGTCTGACTAAAATATTAAGTTTTGACACCAGTACAAGAAGGAACATGGACAAAAATTTAAATAAGGATGATGATTTAAATGACAGCTGAAAAGAATATATTCTGAAAAAGGCAGATGAGCTCACACCACTGGGCCAGCCTCTTGTATTCTTTGGACAACTGAAAAATAAAAATGTCAGCAGAGAGTATAGTCAAGTGGGAACTTCCTATAAAATTAGCTTTCAGTCAAATATGAAAATCTTCAATTGACTTGTCTTTTAAAAAATACATTTTAATTTCAGGACATTCCTATGGGAAATCAGAAAATTTCCTAACTACATCACAAAGAATATGCCATTGCTATTTAATTGCTCCAAAAGATGTCCATAGGTAGGTGTGTCAGGTTAGTGACAGATGCTGAATAAAGTGAGATAATGAAAAGGTTTCCATGGCAGAAGGGTCTGAGGAAAGATGGTACAAAATTATAGCAAAATCATAAGCATTATTAGAAGTGATCTATGGTAGTAAGATGGTGACTAAATGGTAACAAGAATAAGGGGCAAGGAGGGTGAGCAGCAACGCCAGAGGTGACTCTACCCAGATAGAGGACCATTATTCAAGGTTCAGCCAGCCCAGCCGACGGTAACTGAGTTCCCAATCGCATCAGTTGGTCTGGGCTATAAACCACAGCCCCATTAAGCTATAAATGACAGAGATTCCTGCCAAGGCAAGAGCTGGCAGAATGCTTATTCACCCAGCTCTGCCAACTAAGGCTCTATTGGTGTGGCCAATCAGGACATTTTGTCAGGTACACCAGCCACAAATTCCCATATTCAAGGATCTGAGACTTTCCTTTTATCCCAGTAATTACTAGAAAACATGTGCTCTCTACTAAGGAAGTTCTCACAAAGCCTATACGGAATTAGTTAATAGTTAAGTGCCACTCACTATACGGAATTAGGTAATTAGTGAATTAGGTGCATTCGCTATAGTTCTAGAAAAGACTCTGAAGTGCCACTAGAGGACCATGTCTCTTGTACGCTGTGACAGATGTTTGCTGAAAAAATGAGCAAGGTGAGCGAGCAGAGTCTGTAATACATTTGGATAATTTTTGAAATTGGGGGATTTAAAAACTATATCGAAGCTGATAATGAGATGTGAGTTCATTTGAAAGGAGAAGAAAAACGGGTGCAAATTCTTAAGCTTTCAAAAATGCACATTTTCAATTCCCAAATGAGACTGTAAAATCTTTCAAGATTGGGGTCTGGTTCTTCTATCCCAAAATAAAACTAATATGCATTAAAAATATGTTAAGCAGCAAAGGTGATTAACAGTGAGGATGAGAGATAAAACAGTCTTAACTATTCAGCTTAATTTAACAAGTATTCGAGTTCCTATAATATACTTAACAGGTGAAAAAAATTAAATGTATGCAAATACAAAATCAGGTAATGTTAGAGGCTCCACTTTTTAAAACTAAGTCACCAACTCCCTATAAAAAGAACATTTCTTAAATTTATAAAAAGCCTGAATGGAAAGAAAATGTAAAACACAAAGCAAATAACTAGTCTAGACTCTACTGCTGGACTGCACTAACTAATCAACCAAGATACAAAAGATAGGGCCCTGGCAGTCGTTACTCTGGGGAGCCTCAGGTATAAACTCTGCTGAGCTCTGACAAATCCTGTTGATCTGGTTAGGTCCCTGCCTCTAACTCTTTTCACTACCATCTCACAGAACTTTATTGCTCCATTGCTCTTCTGTTCTAAGTTGGTCATTAAGAGTAAATATGAAGGGACATGAGGCACTTCTGACTAAGACCAACTAGTTAAAGGTAGTAAAATCTAAAATAAAATCCATTTCTTCTAACCCTTAGGTACATCTCTCAACATACACAAAAAGCTATTTTGTATTGGGCGAGTTTGACCCAATCTCCTAGCATTTATCTTGAATACAACAGTTCTCAAACTTGAGTGAGCATAAGAATCACAAAGGGAGTCACTTTAAAATCCCCTTCCCCCATGTCTTTGGGCAAAAGAATCTACATTTTTAATAGACATCCCAGATGACTGATGAGTGGTGTACAACCACTTTTAAAAACAGCTGCTGCTCTATCACTACTTAACAAATAGCCTCTGCACTCAAGAGTGCTTTGTTTTATAACACAGAAACGTTCACACTGTAACAAACTGGATTTTGGGAAGTGAATTCTATTTTCCCATAAGTAGACTTTAAAATTTTAAAGATACATTATTCATTTTGAAGGCTGGGAGTGATTTCTTATACTTTCTTCTATAGGCCACATTCCATGCTTTTCCCTTCCTCATCTTCACCACAGTGGTTAAAGATTTAGAATTTAGAAATCCTTTTAAAAGAGCATTTTTCACCCCAATTTATCTTTTTTATTCGTCAGGAATGCGAGTATTTGAAAAGTTGACTTGTAAACCTTACTTCTGAAACCACACCTTGAAAATGCCAAATATCTCTTTAGGAAAGAAAATGTTTGTACCAAAAAGGTCCACATTTAAGGAAAATGCTGCTATTAAATAATGCTTAGATACAAGGTACTGAGAAACAGCGAGAATTTTATTATTTTTCAGAAAAAGAAGACACTTTTTTAAAGTACCTATGGAGGATCATCACCAAGTAAGAAATGGCACTTCTAGTAATGCACTTGGGCACAGTAAACACAGTCCCAGACTGAAGCCTGGTGAAGTGAATTCTAGGCTCAGTTTTGCCACAAAAGAGCCATGTGACTTTGGGAAACAACCTCTCTGGGTCTAAGTTTAATTTATAAAATAAGATAGTTAAATAAAAGTAACACTTTGATTCTAGCAGCTTAATTCACTGGGAAGTATTTACCTCAAAAAGCATTTGAGGTATGTAACACCTCTAACGTGTTTGATCAAATGACATAATTAAAACTGAACTGGAAACTTGATATTGTGAATAACTTACTTAGGCTGTTCTCGTAGCTATCAATTACATATCATTGTACTTTGCTTCTTCAAAAAAGCTGAATACTTTGAACGTCTAATGTTCACATATTGAGTTTTCTTAAAGTCAGGTACGTATGTACCATAGTCGTTTTGTAAAAGGAAAGAATGTATCTTTTCAGTCCTTTTTCCCAACCCATTGTCATTGCAGACTGAGAAAAAAACAGCTTGAAGTCTTAACCACCAAAAGCAACAGTGCTGCAGTAATTACACCACAAAAATAACATTTCATTCTTAATGAATACTCAGTCTCCTGAGATTACAGTTATCTTCTGGTAACCAACTTTATTCTGTCTGCTCTCATTCGTTAGTGCAAACATTTTCAATTTTAACCCATATTCAGTTCACAAATCATACTTATTTCCAACGGAATATACTGAGTCCAAAAAAAAAATTCCCCAATAGTCCAACAGGAAGCAACACATGCATTTGGCAATTCCAAGGAGGCTGGGGACTCACAGATACCTCGTTCAAAATAAATAAACTTTCCAAGGATTTATTTACCGACGGGAAAGGCAGGTTTGAAAACAACCAGTTAACTTCACTCCCAAGTTGGCATCTTAGAGAATCTTTGTGCGTTTGCAAAACACCCAGGACCTCTGAGCCTCCCAGCCGAGAATTGGCCAGGGGAGCACACGCCCATCGGCCCTGCCGGGAGAGGAAACAATGGGAGAGGCGCGAGGGAGCAAGCCGGCGCCCCGGGCGCCCCAACTCTGCGGCCCCGGCCCGCCCCGACCCCACGCGCCGCGCCCCCTCCCCGGGCGCCCAGGCCCCCCAGGCCCCCGCCCCCGAGCCCCGGGACGCGGCCCACCTGCGGCGGCGCGGGGAGACGGCTGCACTTACCAAACAGGGTCAGGGCCATTGTAAAGGCGCTCGCCGCCGCCCGCGAGTCCAGGCGCTCCTCCCAGGCGGGCTAGGGATCACCTCATCAGCCCGCCGCACCCACACCTCGGAGAGAGTGGGGTGCCCGATGGGGCGTGCTGGGGGCGCCGGCGCCCGGGGAGGCTGCAGGCCGGGACGCGGGGGACCGCTGCAAGAAAAAGTTATTCACGCGTTATTGTCGGGCGCACCGGGCCCAGGGAGCCCCGCTAGCTCTCCGCGAGCCGGCACTTGTCGCTGCCATCAGGCGCGGAGCGTGCGCGCGGGAGGAGGTACCTGCGAGGCAGGAGGCTTGGCCGCGGCGCAGTGGCTGGCGGAGAGGCGGCGCCGCACTGGCGGCGGCGGCGGCGGCGACGGGGAGAGCAGCAGCAGCCTCGCACAGCCCCCGGCGGGGCGCGCTCACTCCGCATCCCGCGGCCTCGCAGACGCCATCTTGCGATAGCGTCTCCCACGAGCTCGGCCGCGCCGCTGCCTCCCGCCTCTCCCTCGGGCTTCCCGGTCGAGTGCGTTCCCATGGCAACGGGCGCGCGCGGGGGTAAGAGGGTGCGCCCTCATTCCCGCGGCTGCGAGGAGCCACCAGCGCCCCCCTGGAGGCGGCCGCCCGGAGCGGGATGGAGCGGGGCCGGTGTGCGTTTTAGCTGAAAGCCCAGGTTTTTTCTTGAATGGAATTTGAGGAGGCGCAGAGAGGAGAAAAACGCTGTTACTCGAAAGAGGAAGAGTCACAGGAGGATGCTGAGTGAACGCAGCGCCCAGGCAGGGTCATCTGGGGACCTGGTGCGTGTGAGAACATATTTCTTCTCCTGGCGCCCTCCAGGCTCACTGTGGCTGGAGCCGGTGACCTGAAGCTGCAGGGCTCTGGTAGGAACAGAGGCACTGAAAGCTGCATTCCTCTCCGTTTGGACTTAGGAGCTGCTAGTAGTTCTGATGAAATTGACACACATTAGGAAAAGGAGTCGCTTAAAAAGCATCTGAGATTACCTAAGATAATTTGTTAAAAGACCAATGCTTACACCTGATTTTCTTCCCTTTACATTATACCTCTTTGATATTGTCTCAAGGAAAAAAAAATCAGCATGTGTCACTGACTGGCACTTATTTGCCACAAAAGATTGTTCCCCTGAGCTTCTTGTATTTATCTGATAATCACTGGCAACGTCCTCCTTTCTGTGATGTTGTCTCCTCACCTCTGTCTCTGCCATGAGGAGCCATACAACGCCTTGAGATTGTCAGCCAAAAGATGTTCTTGAAAAGCTGGGTTATATGTTTTTCGTCGTTGTCGTTTAATGTATTCAAAAAGTCATTCTTCTCTAGTTGCTATATGTGTTCCCTGTTTAAGAAATTCCTTCTTTTTTCTTGTTTCTCTGCTTAGGGATTTGATACTATTTTGGTATCTGATCATGTAGATCTTCTCTTTGGTTCTCCTTTCTTTCTACAGGCGTCTTTCCTCTTAGTTCCTCAGGTTCCCTAGTGTCTTCTCTCCCATTTTCAAATAATTCTTTAAGAATATTATAGAAATATCTTGTATTTAATGTATCTTAGAGATCGAATCCTGATAAAGTGGGAGATTACTACAGTACTTCCAATGGAACCACAGTTAATTCACCATCATTATTTCAAAGCAGACTTAAGCATCAGAAGAAAAGCAGGTTGGAAGGAGGAGCCAAGCCTTTTGTTTCAAGTCAGTTAACTCAGGAAGAAAGAAATATTAAAATGATTCAACATGAATGGGCAAGTGTTTAAGATGCTATATGTTTGGAATTTTGTGATGTAAAATGGCTCTCTTTAGCCACTAATCAAAATACATCTTTAAAATCCCCAGAATTTAAAATCTTTCATGAAAATGGACTCTTGATTTTGAACAACCTTTCTGCTCATAAAAAATTACAAACACACAGCTCATGAAAATAAATGAGAAACTCAAGAAAGCTTTGTGGGATAGATTTTATAACCATATAAAGATTGCTGCTAATCTGCTCTGCAGCCAAATAAATCAGAAACCGAAGACTCCATTTACTGTTTCAACTAGTGGTCTTCAACATTTTTGGACCAAATTTCCTTTTGAGGCTCTAATGAAAATACTGTCCCTCCTCTTAGAAAAGTGCTTGCATACATACACACATTCACCGGAAATTTTTCACATAATTTCAAGGGGATTATGGGCTATTCAGGGACCTTAGGTGAGCCCCTGGAAGTGTTTTTTGTAATCTCAGAAAGTTTTTGCCTTTATAATTTAAAGGAAAATATTTTCCTTCAGAATAGAACCATTGAATTTTGAATAGGAAAAGACCAAAACTCCCATGATTTATAGGTAAAAAAATTGAGTTCCCCGTAAAAAGATTTTCCCAAATGTGTTCACCTATTTAGTAGCAGAACCAATGGGAAAATCTTAGATTTCTGGTGTTCTCACCGACCACCTTCCCTACCCACATCCCGCATCAATTTAGAGGTTGCATGGTTTGAATTTCAAAAGAAAAATCTGTTTAGTATTAGAAGCAAAATAACGAGAGTATTTTGTCCTTAGCCATTCTGCATAGAGTTTGGGAAGTTGCATTTTGTCTCAAAGAGTTTTTATTAACATGCCCTTCTACTCAGAACTATGTGTCCCATCATGCTAAAAGAGAAACAATGCCTTTCTCTCCTCTTTGTTAAGCTCTGTTAGAGCATCAAGGTTTTGGTGCTGCAGCTCAGCTTGCTAGTAGCTCTCTCCATCCCTTGAGGGGTTGTCCTGGGAGTGAGACAGAGAGAAAGGAGCTGCCCTGCACTCAGATTTACCCTCCCATCATACAGCCGGCCTTTGGTTACTAGACCAGCTTTCCACTCACTAGTTTGGCCAAATACAACTGAATCCTAGTGAAATACCCTGCTTAAACTCAAGTGAAGATCCTTTTCCTCTCCCCTTTCTACTCGCACACCCACGTACACACACACACACACAGCTGTTTTTAAGGTACAATTTGGAACAAAACAGTGTGAATGTTGCTATGTTTCCCTTTAAAGCATCCTGCTTTCCACGAGCCATTCCTTTCAACTGACTTCCAAATGGTTTGATGCTCTAACAAAATGCTCTCTATACTTGATCAAAGTGCCTGTCTTGGAAATAGTATTGGCTTTTAAAATAGCGTATTTTTTTCAATGAGCTATTCCTATTCTATTGCATGTGCTTCTTTTCTCACTTAGCTGAAAATAAAGCCACAGCCTTTCAGCTACAGAGTCAATGCAAGGAAGGGCGTTAACTGCTTGGAGGTGATTATTACGGGTGGTGACTTAGATTGTTTATAAAAGAAGGGCAAAGAATGAATTGACTTCTCAAAATATTTATGTTTTCATTCAATGATTTCATTTTGTGCTTAACATGCAAGTGCTTAGAAGAGCCAGATTTGTTTATTCGTTACTAACTAGCTGTCAGATTTTTAGACAAATGTTTTACTGTTTCTAGTTCTTATCTTCCTCCTTTGTAAAATGAAAGGATGGTACTAAGGTATCTCTAATGTCCCTTTTAGGTTTATCTGTCATTGTGTGATATTTTAAAATCTTTAAATTAACTGGTTTATGGATAAAACAGAGGACATTTTTATTTGAATCTTCAATATATTTAAAGTGCTGTTATATCTAAAGTTCATAAATACCTAATGTAATAAAGAAGTCATATTTTGTCAAACCAGTGGTACTGCTATTTCTTCTGCAATGTGTTGTACTAATAATGTTATATTAATCATGTAGAAAGCAACCTTTTTCTGGTTTAACAGGATTAAAATTAAAAGTGTGCACTGAACAACCCATTTCAAATTTACTAAAACAATTTCTCATTTTTATTTAAGTTTTGTTGACTAAACAGAACCTAGACAACCCTTTAAAATGGTTTTCCTACATTTTAAACTAATGACTTATCACAAGTGTTTTGAATTTCTTTTTGTTACCCATTTAGCTTCATTCCCATTGGTAAACATTGATTTGTTCCTCAGTTTTCAATGAAGCAGAAATTAATGAGGCGGTTTCTGCCTCACAATAACAAGTTAAAATTATAGTACTTTGTCATGTCAACACAGCTTTAAACACTAGGAATACCAGTGCTATTAGCACAGTTCCCAAAATAGTGCAGAAGTTTGCTAGTGAAGAGAAAAATGTTACACAGTATACTTCTGCTAAAGTTAAAATTAAGAAAGTTAAAATTATTTAAATATTCACAATATGTGACATTCTCTCTATCCCATATTTATGTTACTAGTTACAGTGTTTGTTTCCACTGTGTGAATTTGTTTAAAGTGGATTTGTTTTTGTTTTGAGACAGGGTCTCACTCTGTCACCCAGGCTGGAATGCAGTGGCACAATCTCAGCTCCCTGCAGCCTTGAGTTCGTGGGCTCTAGCAATCCTCCTACCCCAGCCTCTGGAGTAGCTGGAACCACAGGTGCATGCCACCACACTCGGCTAATTTTTGTATTTTTAGTAGAGACAGGGTTTGCCATGTTGCCCAGGCTGGTCTGGAACTCCTGAGCTCAAGCAATCCACTCCTCTCAGCCTCCCCAAAGTGCTGTGATTGCAGGCATGAGCCACTGTATCCAGCTATTTGGTCTGTTTGGTTTTTTGTTTTTTTTTTTTTAGACGGAGTTTCACTGTGTCACCCAGGCTGGAGTGCAGTAATCTCAGAGCTGACTGCAATCTCTGCCTCCCAGGTTCAAGTGATTCTCCTGCCTCAGCCTCCTGAGTAGCTGGGATTACAGGCATGAGCCACCACACCTGGTTAACTTTTTGTATTTTTTAGTAGAAATTGGTTTCACCATGTTGACCAGGCTGGTCTTGAACTCCTGACCTCAAGTGATCCACCTGCCTTGGCCTCCCAAAGTGCTGGGATTACAGGCATGAGCCACCGCGCCTAGACTATTTGGTTTGTTTTTAACAACGTTTTCCTTAAACACTTAATTCCGATTATTTTTTACCCCCCTTCTTGTTTTTTATCTCAGACTTTCTGAATTAATAACTTACCTGATATTTGTGTGGCATTCCATGATTTACAAATAGCACTTTCACAGGACAAAGACATATGCACACAAGTAACTAAGGCAGCACTTGCCTCAAACATAAGGATTTAGACCATAACACTATTTATGACAAAAATAATATTTATGTCATAAACTGTAAAATTGCCCGTTAAGCTTAAATAACTCAATGTTTAGGAGAATTATTTGTGTTCTGTTCACCACCAGAGGGTGCCTAAATTATAATAGTAATATTGGGCCTTAGAAATGAAGTAAAACTCAATTTGAGAAATACATAAGAAACCTTAAGAATTTAAAACTTTCTCAGTTCCCCTACACAGTGCTTGCTATAGTAGCAGAAGATAGTCACCAAAAATATGCTAAAATGAGAGGTGGCTATCATCTGGCTAGGCGCAGATTAGGAATTGGATTATTACTGAGGAAACACTGCTCAGCTCTTATTATATCACTTCCGAAGTAAAAAGAAAATGTGTTTGTAGAAGCTGTGTGTGTGTGTGTGTGTGTGTGTGTGTGTGGGTGTGAAGGGAGGGGAAATTGGAATTGAAAATCAGAACCAGGAGAATGGAGTTCTTGTTCATTGCTCAGCACCAAGAGGAACTCTTAGTTCAATAGGCAATAAAACCACAGATATTACTGTAAACCCTAGGTTAGAATATTCTAAAAGACACAGGTTCTAGTTTTTTAAATTTTGTGATACAATTTCTTTTGATATACTGTCAAAATGGCTACTGGTTTGGAGTGGCACATAAAAGGAAGGGAGTGTGTAAAGAAAAGGTCTGTTTTTAATGTGTTTTGAATAGATGTTTTAGAAGAATACTTATTTCCTGGTTAATAGTACAGCAGATCTTTTGGAATTTTTTTATAGGCTTAAAGTCAAATACATTTTCAAATACACATTAGATAAAAGAAGAATGATGATGGCTGCTCTTAAGTAAAAGTTTTTGTTCTGAACTACTATCATATTATAGTACTTTAAGCCAGCATTTCTATTCAAGTGTATTTTTCTCAGGTCACCAGGCATATCTAATGCACAGTGTGGCTAAATGTCTATTTGACTGGAGCAGTTGGATTTCTGCCAGATTTAGTTTTCAAGAGGGTATAAGTGGATTTGGCTACAAATCAAATCTCCCTAACATGGCCATGGTTTTTCTGGTTAACGTGGGTGTCCACAATAAGAATGACTTATTCAAGTTGATTACATTGTGAGTGGTAAATCAGGAAAATAGCTATGAACTCTGGATTAGACTTACACAATCTCCAATTAGAAAACAGAACTGAAAAACAGACAAGTGAAATTCCATGATTAAAATCACAATCTGGACTGGAAACTCGTCTACTGCTGTGATGGAGTTTTCATAAAGCTCTTTTGTATTCTGTTGTAAAATAGGACCTGTGTCAGATATTTGAGACAATGCACATATTTAAAATCATCCATCCATCCTTTATCCATTCAACAAGTATTTGCTGAGTACCTACGATATTCCAGGCATCATGCTAGCTTCTGGCAAAGAAGCAAAAGATGAATCAAACATGTATCCAGATCTAAAAAAAAAAAAAAAAAAGTAGTCTCTTGGGAAAATGGGACAATGACAGAGGCCATAACAGGAGTACAGATTAAATTTTGTGGGAGTTCAGAAAAGAGAAAGATTATTTCTAGCTGATGAAATAGGTAAAAAGTTCATGATAGGTGAAGCTGTGCTTTGAGGTCTGAACAGGAATTAGGCAAACAGAAAAGAGAAAAAGGGAAATGGAGTTTAGGAAAGAGGGGAGAGCATGAGGAAAGTCTGAGACTTTCTAGTGAAAGCCAGAACATGAGGAAAATCGTGAGAGAAGATTTGCTGGCAGGACAATTTGTTGCAAAGGACTCATGAGAGGAAGAAGTGGGGGAAGAGGCTACACAGGCAAGTTTGAGGACAGATGTAGAAGGCCAACCTGTTGAGATGATGCTTATTATGTTGTCTGAAGCCTGCTTTCTACAAGTACTTAAGGCAACTAGGAATTTGGATTCATTATGTAAAACTCTGGCCTCGGATTATTTGTAGTGCCCTATTTTCCAGTAACACATTTTTGAGTTACAGTAAAACTGTCGAATACACACACACACACACACACACACACACTTGCCATTGTTGTAAGCTAATAAGGCACAGTATACCCTTGAGATTAAGCTCATCATTTCATCTGCTACCTCCCTGGAACTTCTAGAATGCCACAGTCATCTTGAAAAAACACTGGTCAGAAACACTTGGATCTGAATCTTGGCTTCACCTCTCACTACCTATGTGATTTGGAGAATGTTTAAACCTTTCTGGATTTCAGTTTCTTCTTCTGTAAAATGAAGGTACCTTCTGTATCAGTTTGCAACATTTTGGTTGCAACTGATGGAAAATTTAACTCAAATTGGCTTTGAGTTAAATGAACAAAGAGAATTTATTTGCTCTGTAATGGGAAAGACCAGAGTCAAGGTGAGTTTCAGGGAAGGCTGATCCAGCTGTGCAAAGAATGTCCCCAAGGACTTAGTTTCTTCATTTCTCTAGTCACTGTATCATATACCACAGGGCACCCCAACTCATGGCATCTCCAGACTCTCCCCTTTTGGTAGCAGGATGGCTTCAGAGCTTCTAGACATCACATAGTCCCACCTCTCCATCCAAGGGAAGAGAGTTGTGCATACATCTTGGAATCTCTCTCTCTCTTTTTCCTCTCTCTCTCTCTCATTGGCCTGAATTGGGTTGTGTGCCCATCCATGACTCATCACTGTGGCCAGGGGGAAGAGGCAAGTGCAAGCCAATCAAGAGTTACCCTGAACCTGAGGGGAATAATCTTCTCAAACCTCATGGCTGAGGTGAATTTCCTGTAGAAATACCAGTCAACAACTAGAGGAAGGGAAAAGTAACTAGGCAGGCAACTAGCACATGTCTGCTTCTACGGTCAGTCTGAGAGTAAAAGCACAGAGTGGACAGTCAACAAATATTTTTCTTCCTCGCTCCATGTGGATTATCTTCCTCAGTATTCAGTAAAATCTAGTTTCTTATAAAGCCTTAAATATTTTCATTTATCTTTTGTTTACTTATTTTTTCAGAGACAGAGTCTCACTCTGTCACCCAGGCTGGAGTGCAGTGGCACAATCATAGCTCACTGCAGCCTCAAACTCCTAGGCTCAAGTGATCTTCCCGCTTCAGTCTCCTGAGTAGCTGGACACCACACTCAGCTTCAGGTCCTCTTCTTATGAAACAATCTCTTTTGAAATGCCAAAGCAGTGCCTTTCTCCTTTAACCTCATAAGTATTTGCTTCCCAGACTATATACAGTCATGGCAGCATCACCAACACAACCTTTTGGAAATAAAAATTGTAATCAATTATTTTACGAAGTGTGTTTTCTACTATGCAATACCATCCAAACAGTTGGATTTTTTTTCATTAAATCAACCATTTGTTTTGTCATATTTTTCAATTTCAAAATAAGTTAAACCTCTTAAAATATAATTTATTCAACATCAGGAACATTATTTTGTATATGTTTTAGGATTTCCAGTTGAGCCTCAAATGGGATTCCACATCTACCTGTATGTGATGAACCAGTAAGCTTTATAGGAGCATACTTACATAAATTGTTATACAGGGATGGGTAAGTATTAATTATGTTCATAATTGGCTACCAGCTATAGAGTTTATAACAAGATAATAGATTCCAGGATCCCAAATGGCCTAGTCTCTTGCATTCTAAGCAAGAATCCATCTGGCAAAAGGAATTTAAAGGGAATTGTAGCCTTTACTTGCATTTCACAAGGAATATTATAGTGTATACTATTCTTCTTAAAATTTCCATCCTCCTTTTCTGCCACACCCCACAGAACACTCCAGAGTGTTCTGGAGCAGAGCACTCTCAACCCCCACAAATTCTCTCCTATACCTCAGCCTATATGACTTTCCTGCCCCTCTCTCCAGCCCCTATTTCTTATTATGTAGATTGGTACCCCTGGTTTCTGTTTACTTTCCTTAACCTTCAAGTATTACCGAAATTCTCCTATGTAAAGGGGATTCAGGAACTGGCACAGCAACCAAGAATCTTCCTCCTGGTCTTCCTGCCTCCAGTTCTAGTCTCTCTCTGGCCACCATATGGATTCAACACTACTAAAAAAGCTTAGAAATTTGATGTGGGAGGGTGAAATAGTACGAAATGTGGCCCAGATACAATTCCAATAAATTTTGTCCCCAGCTTAAAGTGAATGTTAGGAATGTGTGGAATGCTTTCCATACATTTTTTTTATTTGAATCTCTCAGCAACCTTATAAGGTAGATCCTGGAATCCAGGACTTTCAACTCAGAACTCCATTGCACGTCACCTTTCTATAGGAAAGGATCTAGCCACAGATTTTTATCATTGTCATATTCATATACATTCATATAGTTTGCTCATTCAGTATCCTTTATTGTAAAAGTTAGCCTAATACCATAAAAAAAATTTTGTTATAAAAAATTGAGTTTAGAGTTGATGCTCCAATTAGAATCCAGTTTAGAAATTCCGCCTTTATTTTCATTTGACAAAACATTCATTGATGATAATAATGTACCTGTATTAGTCTGTTCTCATGCTGTTATGAAGAAATACCCAAAACTGGGTAATTTATAAAGAAAAGAGGTTTAATTAACTCAGTTCCGCAGGGCTGGGGAGACCTCAGGAAACTTACAATCATGGTGGAAAGGGAAGCAAACATGTCCTTCTTCACATGGCGGCAGGAAAGAGAAATGAGTGCCAAGTGAAGGCGGATGCCCCTTACAAAATGATCAGCTCTCATGAGAACTCACTCACTATCATGAGAACAGCATGGGGGAAACCGCCCCCATGATACAATTATCTCCACTTGGTCCTGCCCTTGACATGTGGGGATTATTACTATTCAAGGTGAGATTTGGGTGGGGACACAGTCAAACCATGTCACTACCAGAAGTTTAGATATAAAAAAGATAAACTTCAAGTAATAAAGCAAATAACAGGTATTTATAAAATATCACTTATGAACTTAGTATTCTGCAAAGAGCTTTGACAGAAAATTTTTACATAGAATTTGAATAGACCAACTGAAAAAAACATTATATAATTGGAGTAGATCTAAATTGAAAAACTGCTGGGAGAGAGTTAACCTGCAACTCTTGCCCTTAAATCTCTCTGGATAATGGTAGTTGGTGAGACGGCTGGCTGAGAGTAGAGAGGGAAAGGAAGAAGGGAAGGGGGTCCTGAGAACCTGCCTGTCATTGGACCATCAGTGTCACTGGAATGCCCAGATATTGCTGGCCCAGGAATTACAAGATAATAGGTTCTTCAGCAGTTGAGTGACAGGATGAAATTTATTTTACTGAAAAGTAAAATTTTAAAATTCCACTCTAAAGTAGAACCAAGAGTTTCCTGTAGAGTTTCTATTGTACCCATAAGTGATTTCATTAATACCCCTTTCTTTCTGAGCTTGGGTCAGAAAGAAGTCTGGTTCTTTGGCTTTAAAAGTGTTTTAAGTGCCTGGTACCTCTTAGCTGTGAGGGGAAGCCAGCTGTCTTAGGGAATGTCTTCCTGTGTTTCCTGTGTTTCTTCTGAGGAACAATGCAAATTGGAGAAAGATAACCTCTAGAGACGGGTGAAGTAAATTACTGGTTTCAACCCAAAGAAGAAAACATCCAGAATGAGAAAAAGCTTCTCATGTCTGGTCTTCAATCAGCGTGGCCACACTTCTGTGTTCTCCACCCCTTTTCTGTGCTCAGTGCATTAGGTTAAGTTTTTCCCTCCACATTGAAGCTCGGCCTCCTTTCCAACTATAATGGGAAACATTAGGCTTTCTACCATCCAACATACATTTATATCCCATTACTTAATGGAGCAGCTAATTCATTTCTCCAGCTTATATTTTTTTAATACAGGACAGTCTCCTTAGGGAAGAGCTGGTGTTTGCTTGTCTTAGGGTAATCAGTCTCAGACCCAGGCATTTCTTAGCATAAGGGAATCAGCCTTGACAGCCTCCACGTTCCACAGTCCTTCCCACTCTCCCAGACCCTCAGGGCCTTAAAACTCCACCCTTCTTTTCCCTCCCTGAAACTTGTGAGAGTTTTATTTAATCAAAAACATTTAATACTAGTTCTTTAGGGTCCCCCCTTTTTTTAAAGCCTGTGCATCCCACTGGTAAGGGGGATATGTTAATCCAGATGCTTGGTTAAAACAAAATGAATAACAACAACAACAACTATATATATACATAGATAGATGATAGATAGATAGATAGATAGATAGATAGATAGATAGATAGATAATGATATTGTTCAGCTGAAATCTCAAAACAATCATTTAAACTGAAGTTCTCCATGAAGCCAACCCACCCAGAAGTAACTCATCCCTTTTTTAACACTCAGAGAACTATTCAAGTATGGATCTTAATGCATTTAATATTTCATACATTTTATTATAACTATTTGAGTATATATGCAAATGCAAATATATATTTTGTACACACGCACTCACACACATATTCTACCATTCTATCTACTGGATCCTTAGCTCATTCAGAGTAGGGTTCTGTTGTTTTTCTTTACATTTCCCAGCATATAGGTACTCACCAACATCAGTTAAATGAATGGATGAATATGTTAATATAAATATAAAAGCTAACAGAGCGATTTCAAATAGGCCACTGCTTTGCTGGACCTCCCAGCGGGTAGCGTGCTAGGATATTGAAGACATCCTTGTCAATGGTTTACACTGCCTGGTTTCAGCCTACATTTTGGCAAATGCAATGGATGGTTTTGTTTCAAGTTTGTATTTATTGCATGGTCACACTATAGAGGATTAAGGAGCAACAGGATGTAAGAAGGTGATACAGTTTGGATGTTTTGTCCCCTCCAAATCTCAGGTTGAAATGTGATCTCCAGTGTTGGAAGTGGGCCTGGTGAAAGGTGAATGGATCATGAGGGCAGATCCTTTATGAATGGTTTGGCACCATCCCCTTAGTGATAAGTGAGTTCTCACTCAGTTAGTTTACCTGAGATCTGGTTGTCTAAAAGAGTCTGGGACCTCACCCTTTTCTCTCTTGCTCCTGCTCTCACCATGCTTGCTCCCCCTTTGCCTTCTACCATGATTGGAAACTTCCTGAGGCCCTCACCAGGAGCAGATGCTGAAGCCATGCTTGTATAGCTTGCAGAACTGTAAACCAGTTAAACCTGTTTTCTTTACAAACTACCCAGCTCCAGGTATTTCTTTATAGCAATGCAACAATGGGCTAATAAAATTGATAAGTAGTGGGGCTTTGCTGAAAAGATATCTGATGATGTGGAAGCAGCTTTGGAACTGGGTAACAGAGTCTGGAAGAGTTCGGAGGGCTCAGAAAAAGATAGGAAGATGAGGGGAAGTCTGGAACTTCTTGCAGACTAGCTAAATGGTTGTGATCAAAATGCAGATGGAAATATGGATGATGAAGGCCAGCTTGATAAGGTCTCAGATGGCAATGAGAAACTTATTGGGAACTGGAGGAAAGATCACCCTTGTTACTCCCTAGTAAAGAACTTGACTTCATTGTGTCCATGTCCTAGGGCTTTGTGGAAGTTCAAACTCAAGAGTGATTACCTACAGTATCTGGCAGAAGAAATTTCTAGGCAGCAAAGCATTCAAAAAGTGACATGCCTGCTTCTAACACCCTAAATCAGATGCAGGAGCAAAGGAACGACTTAAAGTTGGAATTCATATTTAAAAGGGAAGCAGAGCATAAAAGTTTGGAAAATTTGCAGCCTGGTACTGAGGTAGAGAAAGAATCCAAGTGGTCTGGATAGCAACCACTTGCTAGAGAGATTAGCATGACTAAAAGGGAGCATGACTAGATGCGAAGTCATTTCAGAAAACTTTGATGCAGCCTCTCCCATCACAGGCCCAGAGACCTACAGGGAAAGAATGGTTTTGGGACCAGGCCTGGGTGCTGCTGCCCTGTGCAGCCTCATGACACTGCTTCCTGCATCCAGGCTGCTCCAGCTACACCCAAGGCTGAAAGGGCACAAGATACTGCTTGGGCTGCCACTCTGGAGAGCATAAGTCATAAGCCCTTGGTGGCTTCCATGTGTTAAGCCTGCAGGCACATAGAATGCAAGCAAGAAGGCTTGGCAACTTCTGCCTAGATTTCAGAGGTGGTACGGGAAAACCCTAGGTGCCCAGGCAGAAGCCTGCTGCAGGACAGATTACCCATAGATAAACTCTATTACGGCACTGCTGAAAGAAATGTAGGGTTAGAACTGCCACACAGAGTCCTCACCAAGGCACTGCCTAGTGGAGCTGTGGGAAAGGGACAGCTGCCTTCCAGACCCAAGAATGGTAGAGGCACCAGCAGTTTGCAGCCTCAGTGTGGAAAGGCCATAGGCACCAAGCTCCGACCCATGAGAGCATACACAGGAGCTGTACCCTGCAATGCCACAGGGGTGGAGCTGCCCAAGGCCTTGAGAGTCCACCCCTCACAGTAAGATGTGGGACATGGAGTTAAAAGAGATTGTTTTGGAGCTTTAAGATTTAATGTTTGCCCTGCTGGGTTTCAGACGTGTGGGGCCTATTGCTCCTTTCTTTTGGTCAATTTCTCCCTTTTAGAATGGGAATATTTACCCATCGCCTGTACTACCATTGTATCTTGGGAGTAAGTAACTTGTTTATCTTACAGGCTTATACGTGGAAGAAACTCATCTCCAGATAAGACTTTGGACTTTGGACCTGAGGCTTTTGAGTCAATAATGGACAAGTTAAGACTTTGGGGGACTACTGGGAAGGCATGGTTGTATTAAAATGTGAGAAGTACATGAGATTTGGGGAGTTAGGGGCAGAATAATATGGTTTGGATGTTTGTCTCCTCCAAATCTCATGCTGAAATGTGATTCCCAATGTTGGAGATGGTGGGAGCTGGTGGGAGATGACTAGATCATGGAGGTGGGTCCCTCATTAATGGTTTAGTACCATCCATTGGTGATAACCAAGTTCTTGCTCAGTTCATGTAAGATCTGGTTGTTTAGAAGAGTCTGGGACCTCCCCCTCCTCTCTCTCTTGCTCTCGTTCTCACCATGTGACGTGCTTGCTCCCTTTTCACCTTCTGCCATGATTGCGAGCTTCCTGAGGCCCTCACCAGGAGCAGATGCTGGAGGCATGCTTGTACAGCCTGCAGAACCATGAGCCAATTAAATATTTTCTTTACAAATCATCCCTGTTTAGTTTGTTTGCAATTTGATGAAATAAGCTTTGCAAAGTTAAGCCAGATTTTTTTTTTACACCAGTTTCCAGAACATCATACTTGATATGAATATTCTTCCTACAGCCTATAACTAGTGGATCTTTTATGCAGAAGACAGAAACAGGTATCTACTTTTTCTTTTTTAAAACTATATGCAATTACTAAAATATTATTAGACATATAACAATGACAAAAAAGGTATACAAAATGAAAAAGAGGAAAAAGAAACCATTGTCAATTCTACTACCAAAAAGTAACTACTGTTAACACTTTAATTTATATTCTTTGAGATTTTTTTTCCTGACTCTATAGATGTGGCACATGCAAGTATGGGTTTGCCCCCTTTCTCTACTTCTTTGAATACAAATGGTTACAGCAGGTGCCACCATATTAGTACTAAGTAACAACATTACCCTCTACTATAGTTGTTTGGTTAGGTCCATGGATTGACAGTGACCCAAACTGGACCATTCAGAGTTACCCTCTCTCTGAGGATGAAGCTGCTGGAAATAATTTTTGACCTTGTGAAATAAGAAACTGGGAAAACAGTCCAGAGTGAGAGAGATGCATAGAAAGAAAGAGACAAGAGAGAGCCCTGGCAGCATCCAAGTGTCTGGTTCCAATTATCCTAAGGCCTGGAGAAAACTAAACTTCCTTTAGTTTCCCTGGTAGAGCAGATGCTACAGTATGCTGCTTCACAGATCCTCCCCATCAGGACCAAGGTATCCACTGCCCCAGATGCCAGGAGAGTCGGTTACTGATGGCTCAAAGCTGAGTCAGTTCCCAGGATTTGCCCTTGTACTAAGGCAGTTGTTTGGACCAAGGCTGCACACCTTTCCAGGATTATCCTACAAGTAATTATTGGTTAATATGTCGATATAAAGGTCTGAGTCCCTTGCCTCAAAAGGGAACAATGCCAGAGCTCACCATGGAATTAACTGTAGCATGGGTTGCACTGGCATCTCAGTTAAACTTTGCCCTTTGCTCAGTCCTGCTTCCTTCACTCTGTTACAGGTATTGATTCAAAGAGCACTGCCCAGAAAACTTTCTGTCTCCATCTGTTTCCTGGGAAGACTAACTTAAGCCAGTGGGTTTGGCAGAGCTGTCTAAATGTCCCACATAATGCATTCTTTCTTTCTTCCTCTGTAATATGGCATATAATGTATCATAATAAATCACTCTGGTTGGGTGTGGTGGCTCACACCTGTGATCCCAGCACTTTGGGAGGCTGAGGCAGGCAGATCACCTGAGGTCGGGAGTTTGAGACCAGCCTGACCAACATGGAGAAACCCCATCTCTGCTAAAAATACAAAATTATCCAGGTGTGGTGGTGCATGCCTGTAATCCCAGAAACTCAGGAGGCTGAGGCAAAAGAATAGCTTGAACCCGGGAGGTGGAGGTTACAGTGAGTCGAGATCACTCCATTGCACTCCAGCCTGGGCAACAAGAGCTAAACTCCATCCCAAAAAATAAATAAATACATAAATAACACTCCATCATTAGTACTTAAGTTAGCACAAGTGGCTTCCTGTTATTTGCAACCAAAAGGGCTCTAACTAACATATTATTTGGTTATGATAAATTTCTCAAAGTAACTGATGTTACACAAGGACGATACATTTTTAAGATTTTAATCCCCATTGCCACATTATTCTTCAGAAATATTGCACCAACTTACATTCTCATTAATAGTATGCCAAAGTAACCATTTCTTAGACTCTGTCCAACTCTGATATTATCCTTTTTTCACTTTTTCATTCAATAAATGTTTATTGAGTGTCCACTATGTGCCTGGCTATGTACTAGGAGCTGGGGATAAATCCTTACCACAATGGAGCTTCCATTCTAGGTGTGAAGAGATAGACAATAAACAAGATAAGTAAGTGGTATTGTACACTAGAAGGTGGCAAATGTCATGGAGACACATGACACAGGAGGCAACGGCAGTGCAGGAGGTGAGGGGCATCCATGTTAAGTGCTGGGGTCAGGGATGCCCTCTCTGAGAAGATGGCTTTCAGCTAAGATTGGAAGAAGGTAAAGGAAAAAGGCGTAGACATACTGGTAGGGGTGGAGGGGGGTTCGAGGGGAAGAGCATCTGGGGCAGAGAAAACAGCCAGGACCAAGTTTTGGAGACTGGAGTACGCCTGTTATGTTCAAGCAATAGCAACAAGGCAGTATGCAAGAGGCAGGGGCAAAGGGAGCAAGTGGGAGAGTGGGGGATGAGGTTAGTGAGGTAATGAGGGCTGCCACATCGTCCTGAGGATGGTGGCTTTCTCTTGGTGAGATGGAGAGCCACTGGAGAGATTTCAGCAGAAGAGTAAATTGTTCCCATTTATGATTTGAAGGGCGCATCCTGGCATTAAGAGAAGATTACAGGCAGGCGCAATGGTTCACACCTGTAATCCTAGCACTTTGGGAGGCCGAGGTGGGTGGATCACTTGAGGTCAGGAGTTCGACACCAGCCTGGCCAACATGGCGAAAACCTGTCTCTACTAAAAATACAAAAATTAGCTGGGCATGGTGGTGCGTGCCTGTAGTCCCAGATACTCTGGAGGCTGAAGCATGAGAATCGCTTGAACCTGAGAGGCAGAGGTTGCAATGACCGAGATGGCGGCACTGCACTCTAGCCTGGGCAACAGAGGGATACTCTGTCTCAAAAACAAAGAAAGAAAAAGAAAAGAAAAGACTACAGCCTTGCATCACTTAATGATCGGGTACTATTCTGAGAAATGCATCATTAGGTGATTTCATCATTGTGTGACCACCATAGAGTGAACTTAGACAAACTTAGATGGTGTGACCTACTACACACCTAGACTATATGATATGGCCTATTGCTCCTAGGCTACAAACCTGTACAGCATGTTATTGGACTGAATACTGTAGGCAATTGTAAGACAATGGTGTTTGTGTATTTAAACACAGAAAAGGTACAGTAAAAATACAGTATTATAATCTTACGGGACCACTGTATTGTATGTGGCCTGTCATTGATTGAAACATTGTTTTGCAGCACATGGCTGTATAGTGAAAGTAAAATTGGAAGTAGGATGTGCTGGCTCTGCCAGTGCATACACTAAAATTGGAGCTATATAGAGAAAATTAGCACGATCCTGTGCAAGAATGACATGCAAATTCCTGAAGCATTTGATATTTTAAAAATACATTTTTAAAAATATTAGAAGTAGGAGAGCAGGTAGAAGACTTTGCCTATCTGCTTGACCAAAACTAATATTTCTTTATTGTTTATTTTGCATCCAAACATTTTACATATAAATTGGTTGTTTGTATTTCTTCTATTGGGAATGGCCTATTTAAGACATTGGGTGATTTTTCTATTAGAATATTTACCTTTTTGTATGAATTTTCAATGATATTAAAAATGTAGCTCTTTTTCATATATGTATAGTTCTCTGTCCCCAGTTGTTATTTCAGTTTAATGCTGTTTATGATTCTTTTTAGATAAAGACATGTTTCATTTTTATGAGAACAGATTTTTAAAAAACATTTTTTTAGGGGTTCTATATGTAATATCATACTTGGTATTTTGCCAAGATTACTGCTGCAGTCTAGGCTTTTTTGTTTGCAAGAAATAGAAGCAGGGTTAATTAAAGGGAAATTAATTATAATACAGGGGATTTGAACTGGAACCCAGACGCAGAAAATTTAGCCAGGCTTCATGAGATATTGGGAACCAGGAACTGAAACCTTGTCCAGAATCAAAACATCTTTATCCATTTCTCTAAGCTTGCCTTCTCTCTCCTCTCTGCTTCTCTCTAAGCAACTGCTTCATTCTCCTTTCCTCCTCTTTGATAAGTTGTTTATCCATACACATCGCTCTGATGTAGCCACCTCAGTTCCAAAACCACTGACAAGTGGACTAGTATCTCTGTGCCCCAATTTCAATTTGTGGAAAACAGAAGCTGATTCACACAGTTCATCTAGTAGATTGGCTCGTCCAGAGGTCAAGTTCCTGTCTCCGCCCATCTCCCAACAAATGAGCTGTGGCCAGGGAGTATGGAAGTCACAAGATACAAGGGGCTTATCTTGAGGGGGGCATGTACAGAAAGAGCTTTTCTCACAGGGAATATGGGATATGTGTTGAGTCTTTGCCATAAAAGAATATAATCCACATTCATATATTTTATTCTAGTACTTTTACGGTTTTTAAACTTTCCATATATCTAAAATAAATTTTTGTGTTAGGTATGCTTTAGAACTCTCACATTATTTTATATTGTATTTTATTGCAAAAGGTTAGCCAGTTGTCCCAAAAAGTGATAGAAAAAATAAATTGAACATGTGCCCAAATTGCTATTGAAATGAACCAGATGTCTTAATTTTTAGATTGTTTAAAATGCTTTTGACAAGTACGGCTATTTAAATAAGGTTTATCTGATTGTTGGAAATTTATCATGGTTATATGTTTGTTGTTGTTCCTTACCAATTAGAAAACAGACCAAAGGCTAGGATCATACCAACATGATTACTCTACATAATGGCTCATCAATACAAAAAGGATATGGGAGCCTCCCCGAGGCCACCATGTTTACAAAATCCTTGTCCAGAACTTGGTGAAGAAATAGCTGTTGGTCAAAGGGTACAAATGTTCAGTTATAAGATGAAAAAGTTTTGGTTATCTAAGGTACAGCATGGGTGGTCGTGGATATGTTAATTAATTTGATTTTGGCAATCCTTACACAATGCATATGTATAACAAGTCATCACATTGTACACCTTGAATATATACAATCTTTGTCAATTAAATATTTTTTAAAATCACTCAGAAAGTTTTAAACGTAAAGTTTCCCATGTTGAAAAGAAAATAAGTTAAAGAGAGAAAGAAAGAAAAGAAAAGGAAAACCCAGCTGACTTCAGAAAGGCACCATCAGGCAAGTGACAACCATATCTTTCCCATCCTTTTTTACCTGTGAAAAAGGAGGGTCTGTGCACTGAATAAATCAGAGATTGTAGAAGCAGAAACCATCCAAACAAATTTTACGATCTGACAAGATTGTTATCATTATTTATTTCTAGGGGGTGTGTCATTGCCCAACAATATCGTTTTAAAGTTCATTATATCATAAATTTAAAAAAAAAACCTAGTCAAATAACTGTAGCCTAAATGTCACAGTTGAAGTAGATGATTTCTAATGTTTCCTAATGATTTTTAATGTTCCTACAAATGTAAAAATCCTTTACAAACGTAAAAGTTCTAGTGAATTTACTGATTTACCAGTTTCCCATGTAAAAATGCATTGGGCTATATGAAACCATTAATCAGATATTGTATTCCCCAAAGGCATTTAAAATCCACCAAAGTCAACACCTTCAAAGACTAATTTACCAAAGGCTCACTAAGAAATTAGCACACATTTAATAATTATTTCAATAGAAAAGCAAACTATTTCTGTATAATGTAAACCATGAAGTGGACACTGCACATGAGCACACGATAATATGATTTCCAAGAAAGTATTATCTTAAGACTGGGCAGTGACTGAAAGAGGAGAGGGATAGTCATCTCTTTTCCAATTCTGTAATGGAGACTGTAGAAAACATTTTAAACAGCGTATTAAAAACCTTTTTAGCAGCTTTTTTGAGATATAATTGACACCTGGTTGACTATGCATATTTTAAGTGTAGAATTTGATATATTTAGACATATGTGTATACCTGTGAAACCATCACCACAATCAAGGTAATAAACATATTCATCACCCCAAAAAGGTTTCTTCTTTTTTTTTTTTTTTGAGATGGAGTCTCGCTCTGTTGCCCAGGCTGGAGTGCAATGGCACGATCTCAGCTCACTGCAACCTCTGCCTCCTGGGTTCCAGTGATTCTCATGCCTCAGCCTCCCAAGTAGCTGGGACTACAGGCACATGCCAGCATGCTTGGCTAATTTTTGTACTTTTAGTAGAGACGGGGTTTCACCATGTTGGCCAGGCTGGTCTTGAACTCCTGACCTTAAGTGATCCACCCACCTTGGCCTCCCAAACTGCTGGGATTACAGGCGTGAGCCACCGCGCCCGGCCCCAGAAAGTACTCTTTGTGTTCATTTGTAATTTTTTCCTCCAGCACTCCCCAACCCCAGAAAACCACTGATCTCCTTTCTGTCACTACAGATTAGTTTGCATTTTTTAGAATTTGATATACATGAAATCATACAGTATGCAATCTTTTTGGTCTGGCTTCTTTCATTCAGCATAATTATTTTGACATTCATCCACGTCATTGTGTACGTCAGTACTTCACGCCTTTTTATTGCTGAGTAGTAATTTATTGCATAGATATACTAGTTTATCCATTCACTTTCTGATGGGTATTTGGATTGTTTCCAGTTTGGGGCTATCATGAACAAAGTACTATGAACATTCATATTCAAGTCTTACTATGCACATATGTTTCCATTTCTCTTACATAAATACCTAGTAGTAGAATGGTTGGGTCAGACAATAAATGCATGTCTAACTTCTTAAGAAACAACTAAACTGTTTTGCAAAAAGGTTGTGCTATTTTACATTTCTACCAATGGTGTATGAGAGTTCCTGTTCCTCCACATGCTCATCAACACTTGGTATGGTCAGTCATTTTAATTTTAGCCATTCTACTAGTGTGCAGAGGTACCTCATTAATCTTGAGTGAAAGAACACAAGGAGAGAAAAAAAATTATTACTGTTGTTTCAGTCTAGCAAAGATGCCTTGAGTGAATCTCATGCTCCTTGGATCCCTAAAGCTGCCCTGGTTCTTGCTCGTGGTGAGCCTGGCTGTTTAGCTGATTTTATGAAAAACAGGCTTTTCCTCATCTTGTACTGGTAACAAATTTCACCCATCCCCCTTACTGCAGCATCTTTATCTCTAGATTCCATTGCCTCTAAACCAAAATCTATTCCTCTTAAAATTTGGACATATGAGCCAATAACTCCACTTTTTGGCTTACTCTAGTTTGAGTCATGTTTCTCTCAGTCACAACTGAAATCACCCTGTGCCCAGTCTTCCCCACATCTGTTCTGTGTGTCATGTACCCAGTGCCAAGCATAAGGCCTGGGAATCAGCAAGTACTGAATAAATAAACTAGTATCCTCTTAAAAATAAAAGACATTTTAGGCTGGGCATAATGGCTCACACCTTTAATCCCAGCACTTTGGGATGCTGAGGCAGGCAGATCGCTTAAGCCCAGGAGTTTGAAACCAGCCTGGGCAACACAGTGAAGCCCCATCTCTACAAAAACTTTAAACATTTGCTGGGGGCATGGTGGCGTGCATCTCTGGTCCCAGCTACTCAGGAAGCTGAGGTGGGAGGATTGCTTGAGCCCAGAAGGTTGAGAGTGCAGTGAGTAGAGATCATGCCACTGCACTGCAGCCTGGGCTACAGAGTGAGGCCCTGTCTCAAATAAATAAATAAATAAATAAATAAATAAATAAATAAATAAATAAATAAAATAAAAGACACTTTAACCGAATCTATAGATGACAAAAAACTGGAAGGGTTGCTTTGAGAGGCATAGTGCTTAAGCACACCTCTTCTGGAGTCAGACTGCTGGGTTTGAATCCTAGCTCATCATTTATTATATTACCTGTGTGACTCTGGGCATGTAATTAACTTCTGTGTGTCTCAGCTTCTTCAATCTTAAAATATTGATGATAATAAGACCTGTCTCATAAAGTTGTTAAGAGGATTACATGAGTTAATTTACAAAAAGCACTTAATGCCTGACACATGCAAGTATTTTTTGATTTTTGTTTTATGTTCATGCTAATAATTTTTTTTTTTTTTTTTTTGAGACAGAGTTTCACTCTTGCTGCCCAGGCTGGAGTGCAATGGCACAATCTCGGCTCACCACAACCTCTGCCTCCCGGGTTCAAGCGATTCTCCTGCCTCAGCCTCCAGAGTAGCTGGGATTATAGGCATGTGCCACCACGCCAGGCTAATTTTGTACTTTTAGTGGAGACGGGGTTTCTCCATGTTGGTCAGGCTGGTCTTGAACTCCAGACCTTAGGTGATCTGCCTGTCTCGGCCTCCCAAAGTGCTGGGATTACAGACATGAGCCACCGTGCCTGGCCCATGCTAATAATTTTTGAATGATAGAGTTGAGATGGAAAATGTGTTGATATGCTATCAATGAATGATATGCTAAAACCTCAGTTACTCAGTTACTACATGAAATGCCTAACTTCCCTGAGAAGCAGTTTTTTTCTTCACCATTTAACCAGGCAAATATAAAGTCTACATTCAGGCTCAAATACCTGGACATTAGACAGTTTAACAGAAGTTCATGGATTAAGGACTCCAAGTCTTCCCACTCCATATCTTGCTTTGAAAAAAGAAAATATGAAAAAATAAAAAAAATTTTAAAAGACTCTGAGTTAGGAAGTTGACATGAGATTAGCTGATGTCAAGTTCATTTTGAGCTGGTAAAATGGCAAGGCTATCATAAAACTTTCAAAGATGAGACTCCATTGCTAGAAGTAGTGTGTCTTAATTATGGAAGATTATAATTTTTGAGTTCTCTCCTCAGCACCCATCAAAATAGAGTATGTACTCAGCACTTTGATGGGCTGGAAAGCCCTGGAGGAGGATGAGAAGAGAGACAACCATGTAATCTGAAGAACAGTTGAGAGCCTTTAAAAGGCTTGTTCTGAAATAACACAAGATGCAAAGCAGATGAAATAACAGTCTTCGGATACCAGAAGTACCGTCCTGTAGAAGAGGGATGGGACTTCACCTGACTTGCTCCTGAAGCCCTGGGAGGAAAGGCCTGGTGCAGACTCCAGCCCAGTGGGAGACATGCTCTTTCCCAGCGGCAGCTGCCTGGAGGGCCACAGTCCACTGGCCCCAAGAGGAGCCAGGTAAATGTCATTTCAGGGACACATGAACAAGGAATTCTAAATGGGAGATAGGTGGATCATTCAGGAATGCTCTGTTTCATTTCCTATTCTAAAAACACATGACTCTTTTGAGATTTTTGTTTAGGTTTAAAGGAGGATAACCAAACACTAGACCGATGAATTGCAGTTTTTAAAAAGTAGAAGCAGCTGCCTGTTGGCTTTTGCCCTAAAGTCCCGTGGGAGTGGAAAGAGGCATGACTGTTTCCCAGGACAGATTGTTCCCAACTGGTCTCACTTTCAGGATTGTGCCCACGTGGTCAAAGTTGAGTCTACTTTCCGTATTGCTGATGCCTGTGGCCATAGCCATGGAAGGACGTGGAAGAAGCCGTGGTCCTGCCCCTGTGTAAGATGAAGACTTGTGAAACCACTGGGTCATCGTTTTTCATTTTGGTCACTTGCTGTCAGCCTTGGAGGCACAGGAAACAGAGTAGATGGTGCAAATCCGCCTGCAAGCGCATTTTCTTTCTAAAGAAAGTGTTGCCAGACTATTTGCTCACAGAACAACCACTGGCTAGATGAGCCCACACTAAGTAAACACAAAGGAATTAAATCAGGTGGATCCGAATTCCTCTGTTTATTTACTCCACAGTGAAAATGGCTTACTTTTTCTTTAAAAAAAGAACTTTGTTCTCAAAAGCTGCCCCACCTCTAATGCTACTTTTTTAAAAAGAAAAAATATACATATAAGAAGATACATTAAAAGGCTATTGTTCAAAAAATCTATTTCTTGTACGTTGTAGATTTAAATAGTGGTGAAAAACAGCCCATGAAATCTTTGATATACATGTGTGTTTGTAGGGAAAAAAAAGTAAATATCAGGCTGTGCTCAGTGGCTTATGCCCATAATCCCAACATTTTGAGAGGCCGAGGTGCAGAGATCACCTGAGGTCAGGAGTTCAAGACCAGCCTGGCCAACATGGTGAAACCCCGTCTCTAAAAACACAAAAATTAGCCGGGTGTGGTGGCAGGCACCTATAATCTCAGCTACTCGGGAGGCTGAGGCAGGAGAATCGCTTGAACCTGGGAGAAGGAGGTTGCAGTGAGCTGAGATCATGCCATTGCACTCCAGCCTGGGTGGCAGAGCGAGACTCCATCTCAAAAAAAAAAGAGTAAATATCTTGTAATATAGAAAATCTTAATTAAATACACCTTGTTTAACTAAATAGAGGCAGCAAGAGGGGGGAGTTGCCCTGGATTATTTTTGTTTGTTTGTTTTGGGGTTTGTTTTTTCTGATTATAAGAGCAATATATGATCATGGTAGGAAAATCTGGAAAATTATGAAGCTTTCTATGTTCACAGAATGAATATAAAACAAAAAAGTACATGTTTTAGGTGGCTAGTTTTACATTTATTAAATGTATTACTTAAAATAAAATGCTTTAAATGCCCTAACAATAAGTGCTGGCTGGTTAATCTCCCTCTGAGGATCTCAGAGCAATTTACCAATACCCCTGCTCTGACTGTAAAAAGGGTATGATGAGTCTTCCGGACTTTAAAAGCATATTGATCCTTTCAAGCTCTTCAAGTACTCAGCACTGATTAATTCATTGGAAAGTAGTCTCAAAAGGGCATTGTTCTGATGCAGTCTATGCTTATAACTTTGTGGACTCCTTTGCTGGCAACCAAGACCCACTCAGAAAATTCTGGGTCAGAAAATAGAAGGCTAGCATTTAAAGATCCTCAGTTAAGTATATGGCCAATTCATTTTTACTAAAATTGTGTTCTCTTGGGCAGCACATATACTAAAAAATTGGAACAATACAAAGAAGATTAGCATGGCCCCTATGGAAGGATGACACACAAATTCATGACACATTGCATATTTTAAAAAGAAAAATTAATAAATAAAATTATTTTGCTAATGGGGTTTCCTTCTTTGCATGTCTATGAATTGGAGACAGTTTAGCGCTTCCTAGCAGTCCTGAGCCCTGGGATTCCCTAAATGTGGTCCCTGAACAAGAAGCATTAATATTACCTGGGAATAGCAATCTGTGTTTCAATAAGCCCTCTAGGTGATCCGGAAGCACATGAAAGTTTGAGAATCACTGTCTTAGCTGTTTTCCCCCTGAATGCAGAAATTAGCTCCAATTGACTCATGCTGTCAGACTTCATTTACGTGTGTATACCTGGATCTGGGGGATGATTATATGGGGACACATGTCCATAAAAATTCTCTGAGCTTTACACTTAAGATACATACATTTTACTGAATTTAATTAAACCTAATGAAAAAAACAACACTGCTAAATTATATTTCTAAGAAAGTTGGTCGGGTTCAGCTTGTCTCTTGAATAAAGGTGGTGAGATCCAAGGGCCTTGCCCATAGCATCACTGCCATGATGAGAGATTCCATGATACTGACAGCCAAGGACATCTGTGTGTAGCAACCCCAAAGACATATATTGACATTGTTTAGCAGTAAGTCAATCTCCAAGCAATAACCTCAACTTGTTTGACATCATCCTGGGTACATCTCTGAGTTGTGGGGCACAGCCACAGGAAACCCTAACATGAAACCAAAAGGGGCAGGTAGAAAAAAGTGCTGGACTTTTAAACTAGAGAAGGAAAGCATGAGAAACCTAGGAAGCAGTGATTAAATGCAGCCAATCAGGTGGTACGTACAAGTGTTGGGCAAGAGAGAAGCTGTGGTCAAAGGCCGTAAGAGACACAGCAAGGACAGCAGAGCTGCCCAGGCAGCCTCTCTGCTGACATAGTCCATAGAAGACGGTTGTGGGAAAGAGGGAGGAAGAGTGACCCACAGGCCAAGAAGAGCTTCACAGGGCCACAGCTTTAGCAGCTGTCTGTCTGCTGTCTTGGCCCTAAGGATGAGGTGGAGACCCCTAAGAGCCCTGGTGTCAATTGTGCATCCAGTCTCAGAATCACAGAAATTCTGTTCCTCAGTGCTGAAGTGTTTTGTGTGTCCCTAAAGGAAAAGCACTCCCGGAGCTGCCAGGTTCCCATCCCGACCCATGAAGAACTGTCTTCTTGATTAATCACCCCCTCTTCCACTGTCATGCAGGGAACTCACATTAGGCTTTGTATCTGGGCCCATTTTTGCTCATTGCCACACTGCTGGGAAATGGGGGCCATCCACAGTGAACTGCAGTGAAAGAAAAGTTGAAGAAAAACTGCACCACCAGGTGGACCCAGAGTCCTGACTATACTGTGCCCATGTGCACAGCTGCCTGGATGCTCTCCCAGCCAGCTCCTGAGTCCTCAGAGTTGCTTCTGCTTTTCCTAGGCTCCTTATGTGAAATGTGACTTTTTTTCATGGAAGTACCCCCCATGAAGTATTTCCCAGTCCTGCCCTGCTCAGTTGAAATGTAAATAAATTTGAAATTGTTCCTATCTAAATCAGTGAAGTATCCCTAAATTTCCTAGACCATTTCAACCTGAAAAGCAGTTCTAGGCATTTTTGGTTTTAGCTTCTGATGTTTCAATTTCATATTTCACTATGGTGGATGTTTGTTAGTTCCCTTGGCTACTGAGCATCCAAACTTTATTTCTCTGTTGGGTGAGTCTTCCATTGCATAAATCTTTGTGAGAAAAGGCCTCGCTCTCACTACAGAATTTCAAGGGGAGGGTACCCATTTCTCCATCCCTGAGGAGTCAGCATGAGGAGCTTGGGGGCTGAGCTCAGCCAATCAGATGCTGCCACTTGCAGCTTTAACTCCTGAGCAATAATGCAAAGATCAAGACATCATTAAGAAATTATTCACTGGCCCAGCGCGGTGGGTCACGCCTGTAATCCCAGCACTTTGGGAGCCTGAGGTGGGTGGATCACAAGGTCAGGAGTTCAAAACCAGCCTGGCCAAGATGGTGAAACCCCATCTCTACTAAAAATGCAAAAATTAGCCAGGCGTGGTGGCGGTTGCCTGTAATCCCAGCTATTTGGGAGGCTGAGGCAGAGAATTGCTTGAACCCAGGAGGCAGAGTTTGCAGTGAGCCGAGACCGCACCACTGTACTCCAGCATGGGTGACAGAGCAAGACTCCATCTCAAAGTAAAAAAAGAAAAGAAAAGAAAAGAAATTATTCACAGGGCTAACAGTGCAGAGTCTAGTGGGTAGTGGGTAGGGCCAGTGTCCACCGGCAGGTGAACTAGTAGCAGCTTCCTAGCTGCAAACTCTTTGGATTACAGCTCTTGGAACGTCCTAAAAATTCCTGCATGGCATGTCTTCTTAGTTCTTTGTCCCAAATTCTAGCTTTTCTTCTCAACTGTAGGCTAAATCAGACTCTAAGCCCATGTTTCTCTGTTTTTGGTCTCTGTCTGAGATACACAAAAGCAGGCATAGCAGCTGGATCAGAAGCACTTGAATTAGATGGCAATAAGTTTCCTTTTGTTTTCAGTAATGCTTTTACTGTCAATCATTAGAATAGTTCAGATTAGTTTGTGTTTTAGTGTTAAGCCATTAATTATTTTTAAAATTTATACTTTAATTTTAGATTCAGGGGTACATGTGCAGATTTGTTACAAGGGTATATTGCATAATGCTGAGGTTTTGGCTTCTACTGATCCCATCACCCAGATTGTGAACATAAGTATCCAATAGGAAGTTTTTTCAGACCTTGTCCCCATCCATCCATGCCTCTTCCTGGAGTCCCCAGTGTTTATTATTCCCATCTGTGTGTCCATGTCTACCCAAGGTTTAGCTCCCACTTATCAGTAAGAACACGCAATATTTGGCTGTTTCTGCATTAATTTGCTTAGGTTAATAGCCTCCAGCTGCATCCAAGTGACTGCAAAAGATATAATTTTATTCCTTTTATGGCTGCATAGTATTCCATAATGTATATGTACCACATTTTCTTTATGCAATCCACCATTCATAGGCACCTGAGTTGATTCCATGTCTTTGCTATGGTGAATAGGGCTGTGATGTCCTTTTGGTAGAATGATTTACTGTCCTTTGTGTATATACCCAATCATGGGATTGCTGGGTTGAATTGTAGTTACATTTTCAGTTCTTTGCAAAATCTCCAAACTGCTTGCAGTAGTGGCTGAGCTAATTTACATTCCCACCAACAGTGTATAAGCATCCCCTTTTCTCTTTATCCTTGCCATCTGGTTGTTTTTTTTTAACTTTTTAATAATAGCCATTCTGACCAGTGTGAGAGGGTATCTCATTATGATTTTGATTTGCATTTCTCCAATGACTAGCGATGTTGAGCATTTTTTCATGTGTTTCTTGGCCCCTTGTATATCTTCTTTTCAGAAGTGTTTGTTCATGTCCCTTGCTCACTTTTTAATGCAGTTACTTGTTTTACTCTTGTTGCATTAAATTCCTTATAGAATCTGGATATTAGCCCTTTGTTGGATGCATAGTTTGCAAATATTTTATCTCCCATTCTGTAGGTTGTCTGTTTACTCTATTAGTAGTTTCTTTTGCTGGGCGGAAGCTCTTAAATTTAATTAGGTCCCACTTGTCAATTTTTGCTTTTGTTGCAATTGCTTTTGAGGACTTAGTTATAAATTGTTTGTCTAGGAGGGTATTTCCTAGGTTTTCTTCTAGGATTTTTATAGTTTGAGGTCTTAACATTTAACTCTTTAATCCATCTTTTTCTAAAACAAAATTATCATTTTTAATTTTTGTGGGTACATAGTAGATATTAATACTTATGGGTTATATAAGGTATTTCAATACAGGCATGCAATATGAAATAATCACATCAAGATAAATGGGGTGTCCATCACCTCAAGCATTTATTCTTTGTGTGTCAAACACTTCTCATTAGAAGTGTGCTTCTCTGGGTGAAGCAGGTTGGCACTTCAATTGAACCAAGTACCTTTCTCTTTGGCTTCCTTCTTTATCTGATCATTTTCCTTCATACGTTTCAGGAAGCGATCTCCTCTCTTAGAGTGCTTAATGTGCTCCACACACACATTCTCTTGGCAAGAATCTTGCCCTAAATTGTTTGTTTACAACAATGCCAACAGCATGTTGGGTAACATCATAGACTCTTCCAGTTTTGCCATAATAACACTTGTGGGGCATTCCTTTTTGAACAGTACTCATTTCCTTGACGTCTACAATATCATGTTCCTTACAGATTTGCATATACATGGCCAAAAGAACAACTCCATGTTTTCTAAAAGACCAACATATATTGGGTGCCTCTCTTCTTTCCCTTTGTTTTTGTCATTTTGGTGAATTACTGGAACATGGCAGCTCCAGCCAAAATGAAGCAGGAGTTTGACTATTAAATGCCTTGAGGTAGTCTTCTTTGGGTTAAATCTGCTTGGTGTTCTATAACCTTTTTGTACTTCGATATTGATATCTTTCTTAGGATATTCCTTAGGATATTCGTAATCCTAAGGGGATGCTACTCGTAATGTCACAGGGGGTGTACATCATGTGTGTATACCCCCTGCGATTTTATTTGTAATATCCTAGTGGGATGTTACTTCTATAAGTTTGGGAAGTTCTCTGTTATTATTCCACTGAATAAGCTTTCTACCCCTATCTCTATGTACACCCACTGTGATATTATTCCTAATATCTTAAGTAGTAATTACTTCTAATATCACAGTGGGTGTACACCCTGTGACATTTTTCATGATATTTTAGGGAGATACTACTTCTAACACCATGTGTGTACGCCCACTGTGATATTATTTGTAATATTCTAGGAAGATATTACTCCTAATATTAAAGTGAGTGTACACACTGTGATGTTATTTGTAATATCCAAGGGGGATGTTACTTCTAATGTCACAGTGGATGTACATCCTGTGATATTTTTGGTAATATGCTAGGGGGATGTTACTCCTAATGTCACTGGGATTGTACACCCTGTGATACTATTTGAAATATCCTAGGGGGATGTTACTCCTAATATTACAGAAGTATATGTGTGAGCAGGCCCACACATATACTCATTTCCCCAAATTTCTCCAAGCTCTTCTCCCAACCAGGAAGCGCGACTTGGTTGTCACATTCTGCAATTTCCCTTCTCAGTGTTTCATGGTACCATCTGTGATTAATTTTCCAAGCTTAGTTCTCAAGTGTTTGAAAGTACAGCAAAATCTCTTATCGCATTCAAGGGCTTAGTTCTTATAACAGAAAGCCTTCCTTGATACTATTTTTTCTACCATGGGCTTTAAAATGCCCATGTTGAAAGTCAAAATTGGGCAATAACTTCTTTGTTCTAGACTGTTTCCAGCATTCCTCTGTTGGTCGTGCATCTAGAAAACTATTACTGCTTGATGGCTGGAGTGGGAGGGGTAGAGTAAAGGAATACAAATTGTATAATTTAATTTAGGACATTAACCATCACAGAATCCTAGCGCTGTGTGACCTTGGGAAAATTATTTATTTGCCCAGTTCTACAGTGTTATCATTTACAAAGTAGAAGAAATAAACAGAACCTGCTTCTTGAGTGTGCTTTGAGGATTAAGTGAGATAATTAATGTAAAGTTTTCAGCACCATATGTACCACATAGTTCTTGATTTTGAAGGCACACAGTTACACCCCAATTCCATCTTGCAACAAGGTGGAGTTGAGCCTAAATGAACACTCAAAAGAATGTACTAAACATTTTGAACAGTATTGAGGTGGTTGTAACGTGGCAAGCACTAAGAGGTTGTAGGCTCCTCTAGGAAATCAAGCCACGTGAGTGGATTAAATATCCAGGGAGAATGTAGGAGAGTCAAAGCCATCTCCAACAGACACCAACATTTAAAGTGCAGGTGGAAGAGGAAACTTCGAAGAAGCCGCAAGTGGTAGGGGAAACCAGGAGCATGTGATGTCATAAAAGTCAAGGGACAAAATCACTTCAGTAAGGAATAAAAGACTACTTGAAGCAAATGTTGCAGAGATGCCTTGAGAGTCCAGATACCATTTGGTTAAGGCATGAATAACAGATGAAGAATTGGGGACGGCAAGTGTAGACAGTCTTTTTAAAGAAGCCTGGCTGTAAAGGACAATAGAGCTAAAGCTAGAGGGTCACTGAATAAATTTGAGGTTAGTCTATTTTTAGAACGGGAGCTATCTCTCATTTTAACAAAGCAGGGAATGAGTCAGTGGGGAGAAAAGAAGGAAGGCACAGGACAGCAGAGATGGGTAGATGGCCAAAGATCATCGGGGGCTTAGGAGAGATACCCAGGTCCTGGTGGAAGCATTAGGCTTGAGATCAGACAGGAAGAGGAAAACTATTCTCTCCTAAGAGGAGGGAAGGAGAGAAGATGGGTCTAGATGTCAGCGTACAGATCCAAGGCAGGAAGTTGAGCAAGGTCCCATCTGAAGATTCCCCTTTTCTCTGTGAAGCAAAAGCAAAGCCATCTCTTTCAGAGAGACGGGGACATGGATAAAGCCCAGAGAAGAGTGGAGGTGACTACTAGGGCTTCGCAGAGAAGGGAACACAATAGGACTCATTGATAGGCCTAATAAAGCAAATTATCATCATGTTCTGGTTCTGAAAATAAAAAATCTGAAATTTGGGAAAGATATTTTTCTGGTCTTCAAAGTAGAGACTCTATCCCCTTGGCTATCTACACTGTACTGGAACACATGCATAAAGAAGATTATTGAATGATGTTTAGTGCAAGAGGATCGTACCTGCCCGGCTATTTAGTTAGAGCCCCAAACCCCACATTTTTACAAAAAATGAATGTTCTCTTCACTTCCAAAGTATTTATTTTTCACTACCACTAGGTGGTGTTTTGTTCAATTAAATCAAGAGTGAAACTTAACCTTTGACTCCTGTTTCAGTACACGCACTGAAAAGTACACATGCTACCTGCTGCACTTTGGTTTTAATCTTTACTTTCTAATTCTAATTTTCTAGACCAGCTATGGTATAAATGAAAACTTTGCTTTTCTCAAGTGTTACACCCTGTTTTATTTGTCTTTAAATACAATGAAAATGGAATGTGCATTTTTTCTTCCCTTTAAAAAGACCAGGGGAATGGAATGATGCGGAAGGCGGCCTTCTATAAGAAGTATGAATCTATGCCTGCTTGAGAAACCATTGTGTATTTATAATTCTTGTACTCTTCTTTTCAATAAACATTTCATGTTTTTAAAAAATCAACTTTTTTTTTACATTAAAGATACATACTAACCTTTTAGTCTTCTTAATTAATAGTTTCTGCAACTCCTGTGCTGGATACACTAAATCTTCTGTAAGTTTATTACTAAAAACCCCTTGTTAAAAACCAAAGTTGCCTAATTATGGATCATGTAAGAAAGTAGTCTCAATTAATGAAAAAACTATTTAAATAAAATAAATATGTTTTCTCTCACACTGATGCAAAAGAGGACTTTATGTATTAACCCAAAGCCTTCCTTTTTCTCTATGTTGCACCGAGGTTTGCAGCCTAACTCTGCTGCTCACCTGCTCTCTGGCCTTGGGCAAGTCTCTACCTCTCTGAACCTTGGCTTTTTCATCTGTAAATGAGCATGTTTTAAAGTGTTGACATGGGGCCGGGTGTGGTGGCTCATGCTTATAATCCCTGCACACTGGGAGACTGAGGCAGGTGGATCACTGGAGGTCAGCAGTTTGAGACCAGCCTGGCCAACATGGGGAAACCCCATCTCTACCAAAAATACAAAAATTAGCCAGGCGTGGTGGTGGGTACCTGTAATCCTAGCTACTCAGGAGGCTGAGGCAGGAGAATCGCTTGAACCCAGGAGGAGGTTGCAGTGAGCTGAGATCACGCCACTGCACTCCAGCCTGAGGGTCAGAGCGAGTTTCTGTCTCAAAAAAATAAAAAATAAAGTGTTGATATGGAACACTTGATAGATAGTAGGTGTGAAGTACAAGGGCATCTTAAATTCACTGATATTTCTGCTTGAAAACATTAAATAACGTACGGGAGTTGTGCAGCTTATCTTCTCTTTGCTCTCCTTCCTCCACCCCAGGTCCAGTGTCCACCTGTTTCTATCTTGTTTTGTGTTCTGAGGGGTTGACTTGTATAGAATGCACAAACAGGTTTCTTTGCCCTCTGGCTTTTGACTGAGTTTGGCCAGGGGACAGGAGATGGGAGGGAAGGAGAAAAAAGAGCTTGGGATATTTGTTTGTCCAGCTCCCTTCCCGGGGGTGGGCGGGGGGTCATTGTTTGCTGGCTGCAACTATCAACTGAACTTCTCCAGATCTGCCATGCAGCTCTCTACACAGTTTTCTCTCTTCCTCTGCCCTCACCACCACTGGGTCCAATTACTAAACTTATAGAATCCCTATGCCTTGCCCACCCCTCTGTATATAGTTCCTTTATTAAACTCCTGTCACATTACCTAAGTGTGCCATCTTTTACCTGCTGGTCCCAATGATCCAGGCAGTAAGCTAATTTGAGGGCCACCACTAGAAAGATCCTTAGGCTATTCATTGCTTGGGGCCTCTGTGCTTCTCCAGAAATCTTAGTGAAACCTGGCCTGAACACCAATTCCGGGTTCTGGATGAGTTCAAAAGCCTCCCCACCCCATTACTTCCACTACTACGTTCTCTCTCTTTCTTCAGCTCCTCAGCTCCTGAGCCTACATCTTTTTTTTCTTTCCTTTTTTTTTTTTTTTTTTTTTTTTGAGATGGAGTCTCCCTCTGTTGCCCAGGCTCAAGCACAGTGGCATGATTTCAGCTCACTGCAACCTCTGCCTCCCGGGTTCAAGGGATTCTCCTGCCTCAGCCTCCCGAGTAGCTGGGACTACAGGCACGTGCCACCGTGCCCAGCTAATTTTTGTATTTTTAGTAGAGATGGGTTTTCACCATGTTGGCCAGGCTGGTCTTGAATGCCTGACCTCAAGTGATCCACCGGCCTTGGCCTCCTAAAGTGCTGGGATTACAGCCATGAGACACCACGCCCGGCCCAAGCCTAGATCTTCTAGATTCAGTTGTGGATCAGGCCCAGAAGTGAAGTTCCTTCCCTTCTCCTTTGTCCCAAGAATTCCAAACACGTTTCATACTGTATGATGCTCTGTGACTTTGCTGAAGAGTGAGCGGGGCACAGGGCAGAGACCTCATAGCATCCCACCCAGCTACAGCCATCTTCACTGTCTCCAAAAGCCTGTTCTCCTCCCAAATGAGCCTCTGGTATCTATCATCTCATGTCATCCAGCTGCCACTGTTTCTCTGAATAGAGCACTGGTGACTGCTTAGTCTACCTTCCCCAGACCCTTCTTCTGGAATTCCATGAAATAAAACGGTCTTATCTTGTGACCTTTGGGGAAAACAAACAGGCTCCGCAAAGTCGTAATTTACATAAGGCCCTCCACATTCATGCTAACTCCTCAGCTAATTCCACTGATAATTATACCCCTAAGATCCCACCAGCAGAATCCGCAGGAGTGGACTGTTGGAAGCAGTTGGCAAGAAACATTCCAAAGGACTCTGAGCACCAACTGTTTACCCCCAGGGCTTCCTTGATGAGACTGCAAACTTCGTGGACTTGGGGCTTTTCCTTCTGTGACCACACTGCCACTTAGCACAGTTTCAATAACTCCTCTGGACCAATGATTAAATACCAACGTCAACAGCACCCCTAGGAAAATGAGCAAGGAACAGAATCTGCTTATAAAAGGAGTCCCAGCCCAGGGGCTATGGGGGCTTTGCCTTGGGCCTCTTCCTCTTGAGCAGAAGGTACACAGGTGGCAAGGTCTGGGCCCAGAGCCTCTTTGGCCAGGGTGACCACAGGTGACTGCAGACCCAGAGCACAAGGCCCAGCCAACTCTCAGTGGCAACCACATCTGGTTACTGAGTCCGAAGAGTGCCTGAGGAGGTGTGGGAGCTAAGAAGCCAGGAGGGCTCTCTGCTTGTCACAGCCACCTCAGCCTGCTGATGCCAGACTATGTTCGCCAGCTGTGACTGTTCTCCCCACACCAACTTGGCCTCAGTTACCCACAGCAAGAGCTGAGACTAGGTGGGCACATTTAAGAATACTTAATGAAACATTCCTGTAAGTCCTGGGATGATGGGGGGGAAAGTATCTTACAGGGGAAAAAAAAAAAGGCAAAAAAAATAAAACAAAACAAACAAACCCAGAAACGTATTACTTCCACACCAGCTCAGACCTTCCCAGGGCGCCTAACCTGGTGGTCCCTTCCTCACTCTCAGCCCTCCTGAGTTAGAAGTAGCTCACTGTCCACATGCCCCAAATCCCAGCCAATCAGTGTCCTGGGACACTTGTCACATTCACTCCAGTCAAAAGCTTTTCATGTGCCCTGAGCTATTCCCAGGATGACTGGGAGTGGGAATATTCATCACTTTCAAGAAAAAAAAAAATCCATTCTCCTCACAAAGGCTTGATAGACTCAAATGGATAATCGCTGATAGGGTTTGGCTCTGTGTCCCCACCCAAATCTCATGTTGAATTGTAATTCCCAGTGTTGGGGGAGGAACCTGGTGGGAAGTGACTGGATCATGGAGCAGATTTCCCCCTTGTTGTTCTCATGATAGTGAGTGAGTTCTCACAAGATCTGATGATTTAAAAGTGTGTGGCACTTCCTTTTTCACTCTCTCTCTTTCTCCTGCTCTGCCATGGTAAGATGTGCTTGATTCCCCTTTGCTTTCCGCCATGTTTCCTAAGTTTCCCGAGGCTTCCCAGCCATGCCTCCTGTATAGCCTGTGGAACTGTGACTCAATTAAACCTTTTTTCTTCATAAATTATCCAGCTTTGGGTAGTTTTTTACAGCCGTGTGACAGCGGACTAATACACTCACCCAATAATTGTTTTTTCTTTTAGTGTTTTTAGATCCCAACTTGTGTTACCATCATCCAGTAATTATTAATACATTTCTCAAAATTTAGGTTCTTCTGTCTAATATAAGAGTATGTTTGAAAGGCCAGGGCCACAGTGGCTTATGCCTGTAATCTCAAAACTTTGGGAGGCCGAGGTGGGTGGATCATTTGAGGTCAAGAGTTCAAGACCATCCCGGGCAACATGGAGAAACCCATTCTCTACTAAAAATACAAAAATTAGCCGGGCGTGGTGGCTGGTGCTTATAATCCCATCTACTCGGGAGACTGAGGAAGGAGAATCGCTTGAACCTGGGAGGCAGAGTTTCAGTGAGCCAAGATCGCACCATTGCACTTTAGCCTGGGCGACAGAGTGAGACGCCATCTCAAAACAGAAGAAAACAAAAAAGTATGTTTGAAACATCAAAAGCTGAATTGAAATTGTATTGTGTGACAAGTTAAGTTTAACTCTTTATCAGTTTCTCTTCAAGAACTCAAAAATCTTGGGCTCCAGTTTATCCATGTTTCACTTTGTTATAAGATATTTTCATGATATTCTGAATAAGAAAGCTTACTTATATGTTTGATAGATTTTTACCATTGTAATATAAATTTAAAAAATTGTTTTTCACGTATAATACTTTAGGTTTTGAATGCTACTTTGCCTGATATTAATGTTGCTTGAGCACCCCAATTTTATTAATTTGCATTTTCCTAAGATATCTTCGTTTGTTTCTCTATTTTCAACCTCTTTTTGTTTTATACATATCTCTTGTACAGAGAACATAGTTTGAAGTTGCTTTTGTCACCCAACTATATGTTTATTGTGCTCTATTGTTGTTTCCCTATTTTATTCTATTTTATGATTTCTTCTATACAGTTTTTTTTTCTTTTTTCCTTTTAAAGTGCCTTAAAGTTTCAACAAACCTATTCTTTCTTTTGCAGAGAGAGTATTTTTTCAAACAATAATGTATTTATTTCACTCATTGTAATTGTACATATTTATTGGGTACAGTTTCTTTTTTTTAAGTTTAAGATGTTTATTAAGATGTCTATTAGACACCCGAATGCAGTTAAGTTCATAAAAGGTTTTTAAAAGAGAGGTCAAAGCTAGAGAAATAAGCTTGCATTTAAGCTTAAAGTGGCACATGAAGTGACATAATTATATAACTTGGGGAAGTGAGTATGGATAGAGAAGTCTAGGTATCAACTTTGAGAAAGTCCAACATCTTGAGATCAGTAAAGAATCCAAGCCAGATGCAGTGGCTTATGACAGTAATCCCAACACTTTGGAAGGCTGAGGTGGGAGGATTGCTTCAGGCCAGAAGTTTGAGACCAGCCTGGGCAGCAAAAGAAAACCGTGTCCGTAAAAAAAAAAAAAATATATATACATATATATATATATATATTTCTTCTAAGAAAAAAAAAAGAGATACCTGTGCAGAATGTGCAGGTGTGTTAGACAGGTATACGTGTGCCATGGTGGTTTGCTGCACCTATTGACCCGTCCTCCAAGTTCCCTCCCCTCACTCCACACCCACACTGGTGTGTATTGTTTCCCTCTCTGTGTCCATGTATTCTCAATGTTCAACACCGACTTATGAGTGAGAACATGCAGTGTTTGGTTTACTGTTCCTGTGTTAGTTTGCTGAGGATGATGGCTTCTGGCTTCATCCATGTCCCTGCAAAGGATGTGATCTCATTCCTTTTTATGGCTGTATAGTATTTCATGGTGTATATGTACCACATTTTTTTTATCCAGTCTATCATTGACGGGCATTTGGGTTGGTTCCATATCTTTGCTATTGTAAATGGTGTTGCAATAAACATATGTGTGCATGTGTTTTTATAGTAGAATGATTTATATTCCTTTGGGTATATACCCAGTAATGGGATTGCTGGTTCAAATGGTAATTCTGGTTCTAGATCCTTGAGGAATTATCATACTGTCTTCCACAATGGTTGAACTAACTTACATTCCCACCAACAGTGCAAAAGTGTTCCTATTTCTCTACATCCTCTCCAGCATCTGTTGTTTCCTGACTTTTTAATAATCACCATTCTGACTGCCATAAGATGATATCTCACTGTTTGATATGTTTGTTGGCTGTGTAAATGTCTTCTTTTAAGAAGTCTCTATTCATATCCTTTGCCCACTTTCTGATGGGGTTGTTTTTTTCTTGTGAATATGTTTAAGTTCCTTGTAAATTCTGGATATTAGACCTTTGTCAGATTGGTAGATTGCAAAAATTTTCTCCCATTCTGTAGGTTGCCTGTTCACTCTGATGATAGCTTTTTTTGCTGTGCAGAAGCTCTTTAGTTTAATTGGATCCCATTTGTCAATTTTGGCTTTTGTTGCAGTTGCTTTTGGCGTTTTTGTCATGAAGGCTTTGCCCATGCCTATGTCCTGAATGGTATTGCCTAGGATTTTTTTCTAGGATTTTTACGGTTTTGGGTTTTACATTTAAACCTTTAATCCATCTTGAGTTAATTTTTGCATAAGGTGTAAGGAAGGGGTCCAGTTTCAGTTTTCTGCATATGGTTAGCCAGTTTTCCCAGTATCATATACTGAATAGGAGATCCTTTCCCCATTGCTTGTTTTTGTAAGGTTTGTTGAAGATCAGATGGTTGTAGATGTGTGGTGTTACTTCTGAAGTCTCTGTTCTGCTCTGTTGGTCTACATATCTGTTTTGGTACCAGTACCATCCTGGTTTGGTTACTGTTGTCCTGTAGTATAGTTTGAAGTCAGATAGTGTGATGCCCCCAGCTTTGTTCTTTTTGCTTAGGATTGTCTTGGCTATATGGGGTCTTCTTTGATTCCATATAAAATTTAAAATAGTTTTTTTTTAATTCTGCGAAGAATGTCAATGGTTTGATGGAAATGGCATTGAATCCATAAATTACCTTGGGCAATATGGTCGTTTTCATGATATTGATTCTTCCTATCCATGAGGATGGAATCTTTTTCCATTTGTTTGTGTTCTCTCTTATTTCCTTGATCAGTGGTTTGTAGTTCTCCTTGAAGAGGTCCTTCACATCCCTTGTTAGCTGTATTCCTAGGTATTTTATTCTCTTTGTAGCGATTGTGAATGGAAGTTCATTCATGATTTGGCTCTCTGCTTGCCTATTGTTGGTGTAAAGGAATGCTTGTGATTTTTGCACATTGATTTTGTATCCTGAGACTTTGCTGAAGTTGCTTGTCAGTTCAAGGAGTTTTGGGGCTGAGATGATGGGGTTTTCTAAATATAAAATCATGTCATCTGCAAACAGAGACAACTTAACTTCCTCTTTTCCTATTTGAATACTCTTTATGTTGTTCTCTTGCCTGATTGCCCAGGCCAGCGCTTCCAATACTACGTTGAATAGGAGTGGTAAGAGAGGGCATCCTTGTCTTGTACCAGTTTTCAAAGGGAATGCTTCCAGCTTTTACCCATTCAATATGATATTGGCTGTGGGTTTGTCATAAATATCTTATTATTTTGAGATATGTTCCATCTAGTTTATTGAGCGTTTTTAACATGAAGCGATGTTGAATTTTATCAAAGACCTTTTCTGCATCTATTGAGATAATCAAGTGGTTTGTATCTTTGGTTCTGTTTATGTGATAATTACATTTATTGATTTGCATATGTTGAACCAGCCTTGCATCCCAGGGATGAAGCCAACCTGACTGTGGCGGATACATTTTTTGATATGCTACTGGATTCAGTTTGCCAGTATGTTATTAAGGATTTCTGAATCGCTGTTCATCAGCTATTTTGGCCTGAAGTTTTCCTTTTTTTTGTTGTGCCTCTGCCAGGTTTTGTATCAGGATGATGCTGGCTTTATAAAATGAGTTACAGAGGAGTCCCTCCTTTTCAGTTGTTTGGAATGGTTTCAGAAGGAATGGTACCAGCTCCTCTTTGTATTTATGGTAGAATTCAACCATGAATCAGTCTGGTCCTGGACTTTTTTTTGGTTGGTAGGTTATTAATTACTGCCTCAATTTCAGAACTTGTTATTGGTCTATTCAGCATTCAACTTCTTCCTGGTTTAGTCTTGGGAGTGTGTATGTGTCCAGAAATTTATCCATATCTTCTAGATTTTCTAATTTATTTGCACAGAGGTGTTTATAGTATTCTCTGATGGTAGTTTATATTTCTGTGGGGTCAGTGGTTATATCTCCTTTATCATTTTTCATTGTGTCTATTTGATTCTTCTTTTTTTATTAGTCTAGCTAGTGGTTCATCAATTTTGTTGATTTTTTCAAAAAACCAGCTCCTGGATTCATTAACCTTTTGGAAAGTATTTCATGTCTCTATCTCCTTCAGTTCTTCTCGGATCTTAGTTATTTCTTGTCTTCTGCTAGCTTTTGGATTAGTTCGTTCTTGCCTCTCTAGCTCTTTTAATTGTGACATTAGGGTGGTATTTTGAGATTTTTCTAGGTTTCTGATGTAGGCATTTAGTGCTACAAATTTCCCTCTTCTTCTTCCTCCCCTCCCCTCCTCCTTTCTCTCCTCCCATCTCTGGTAACCACTGTTCTACTCTCTGTTTCTATAATATCAATTTTTTTGTTTTAGATTCCACGTGAGTGAGATCACACAGTATTTATCTTTCTATGTCTGGTTTATTTCATTTAACATTGTGTCCTGGTTCATTCATGTTGTCATAAATAACAGTATTTCACTCTTTTTTATGACTGACTAGTATTGTCATATCACATTTTCTTTATCCATTCATCAATGGACAGTTAGGTTGATTCTATGTCTTGACTATTGTGAATAGTGCTGCAACAAGCATGGCAGTGGAGCTATCTCTTCGACATACTGGTTTCATTTCCTTTGGATATATACCCAGTAGTGGGATTGCTGAATCACATGGTCATTCTATTTCTAAATTTTTGAGGAACCCCCATACTGTTTTTTATAATGGCTATACTAGTTTACAATCCCATAAATAATGTGTATGTGTTCCCTTTTTTCCATATCTTTGCCAATACTTGTTTTGTCTTTTTGATAATAGCCATTCTAACTGGGGTGAGGTGGTATCTAATTGTGGATTTTATTTATTAATACATTTCCCTGATTATTAGTGCAGTTGTGCGAACACAGTTCACTCAACCTCATGGGCTCAGGTGATCCTCCCACTTCAGCCTCCTGAGTAGCTGAAACTACAGGTGCATGCCACCACACCCAGCTAGTTTTTGTATTTTTAGTAGAGATGGGGTTTTGCCTTGTGCCCAAGCTGGTCTTGAACAATTGAGCTCAAGCAATCTGCCCACTGTGGCCTCCCAAAGTGCTGGGATTACAGGCATGAGCCACCACACTTGGCCTGTCCCTTCACTGTGTTAATATCTCCCTTTGCTGTGCAAAATCTTTATAGTTTGATGTAATCCCATTTGTCTTTTTTTTGTTTTTTGTTTTTTGTTTTTTTTTGAGATGGAGTCTCACTCTTTCACCCAGGCTGGAGTGCAGTGGTGCAATCTCGGCTCACCACAACCTTCCCTTCGTGGGTTCAAGTGATTCTCCCGCCTCGGCCTCCCGAATAGCTGGGACTACAGGTGCATGTCACCATGCTCGGCTAATGTTGGTATTTTTACTAGAGATGGGGTTTTGCCATGTTGGCCAGGCTTGTCTCAAACTACTGGCCTCAAGTGATATGCCTGCCTCGGCCTCCCAAAGTGCTGGGATTACAGGCATGAGCCACTGCGCCTGGCTGTGAATAATCTTTTTAATGTGCTGTGGATTTGGTTTGCTAATAACTTGTTGAAAATTTTTATGTCAGTGTTCATCAGGGATATTGGTCCATAGTTTTTTATTTTGTTATGTCCTGGTCTAGTTTTGGAAACAGGGTAATTAGAGTAATGTTGGCCTTGTAAAATGAGTTCTCCTCCTCTCCCATTTTCTGGAATAGTTTGAAGAAATGGTATTAGTTCTTCTTTAAATGTTTGGTAGAATTCAGCAGTGAAGCCACTAGGTCCTGGGCTTTTCTTTGATGGGAGGCTTTTTATTACTGATTCAATCTCCTTACTCATTATTGGTGTATTTAGATTGTCTATTTCTCCGTAATTTAATATTGGTTGGTTTTATGTGTCCAGGAATTTATCCATTTCTTCTGTATTATCAAATGTGTTGGTATATAGTTGTTTATAATAGTGTCTTATGATCCTTTTATTTCTAAGATTTTATTTGTTTGAGTCATCTCTTTTTTCTTAGTCTAGTTAAAGATTTGTTGGTTTTATTTGTCTTTTCAAAATACCAACTCCTAGTTTTGTTGATGTTTTTTGTTTTCTTAGGCTCTATTTCACTTATTTCTGCTCTCAGCCTTATTATTTGCTTCTTTCTACCAATTTTGAATTCAGTTTATTCTTCCTTTTCTAATTATTTGAGCTGCATAATGAGGTTATTTATTAGACATCTTTCTCCTTTTTTGATGTAGGTGTTTATTGCTATAAACTTCCTTCTTAGAAGTGCTATTGCTGGCCGGGTGCAGTGGGATTACGTCTGTAATCCCAGCACTTTGGGAGACCGAGATGGGTGGATCAGTTGAGCCCAGGAGTTCGAGACCAGCCTGGCCAACATGGTGAAACCCTGTCTCTACTAAAAATACAAAAATTAGCCCAGCATGGTGGCAGGCACCTGTAATCCCAGCTACTCAGGAGACTGAGGCAGGAGAATTGTGAACCCCGGGGGCAGAGGTTGCAGTGAGCTGAGATTGCACCACTGCCCTCCAGCCTGGGCAACAGAGTAAGACTCTGTTTTTAAAAAAAAAAAAGTGCTGTTGCTGTGTCCCATAGAATTTGGTATGATGTGTTTTCATTCTCATTTGTTTCAAGGAAATTTTAAACTTCTCTTTAAATTTCCTCACTGACCCACTGAGTGAGCATGTTATTTAGGAGCATGTTGTTTAATTTCCATTTATTTGTAGAGTTTCCAAAATTTTTCTTATTGATTTCTGGTTTTATACCATTGTGGTCAGAAAAGATACCTTATGTGGTCTCTATCTTCCTAAAGTTGTTAAGACTTGTTCTGTGACCTAACATGTGATCTATATTGGAGAATTCCCCATATGCAGTTGAGAAGAATGTGTGTCTTGCAGCAGCTGGATGAAGGTTCTGTAAATGTATGCTACGTCTGTTGAGTCCATGGTGTAGTTTAAGTCTGATAATTTTTGTTGATTTTTTTTGTCTAGGGAAAGTGGGATATTGAAGTTCTCTACTATTGTATTGCAATCTATCTCTCCCTTCAGGTCTAACAATATTTGTTTTATATATAAAGGTGCTCCAGTGTTGGATATATATATTCATAATTGTTATATCCTCTTTTTGACTTGATCCCTTTATAGTTATATAATAACTTATTTGTGTCTTAAATAGTTTTTGACTTAAAGTCTATTTTATTGGATATACATGTGGCTACTCCTACTTGCTTTTGGTTTCCATTTGCATGGAATATCTTTTTCCATCCCTTCACTTTTAGTTTATGTTTGTCTTTAACAGTGAGGTTAATTTCTTGTAGGCAGTACATAGTTGGGTCTTGTTTTTTAATTTATTCAGGTATTCTCTATCTTTTATTTAGTTGGAGGACTTAATCAATTTTCACTCAAGGTTATTATTGACAGATAAGGACTAACCCCTGCTATTTTGTTCATTGTTTTCTGTTTAAAAAAAAAATAAAACTCTTGTTTCTTTCTTCCTCGCATTGTCTACCCGCATGGTTTAATGTTTCTCTGTGGTGCTAAGCTTTGTTTCCTTTTTCTTTCTCATTTTTGTATCTGCTGAAATTTCTCTTTTTGTGGTTACCATGGAGCTAACATTATAGAGTGTTGTAATTATAGCAGACTATTTTTAGCTGACAGAAACTTAACTTTGTTTTTTTTTCTATGCAGATGTAGCAGCAACAACTTAACTTTGGTCACATAAAGACACTGCAGATTTTTTCCCTTCCTCCCAAAATTTATATATTTGTTGTCTTAATTTACTTCTTTATCTATTATGTGTTCCCTAGCCGCTAATTGTAGCTGTTATTAGTTTTGATCATTTTGACTTTAAATCTTCATATGAAAGGATTGAGAGATTTACATAGCACCATTGTATCACTGTGGTATTCTGAGTTTGATTTATAAATTTACCTCTACTGGTGAGTTTTCTACCTCCATGTACTCTCATGATAGTAATTATCATCCTTTAGTTTCCAATTATAACTCTCCCATAAGCATTTCTTGTAAGGCCAGTCTAGTGGTGATAAGTTCCCTCAGTTTTGTTTGTCTGAGGTCTTTGTTTGTCCGTCTTTTCTTAAGAATAGCTTTACTAAATATAACATTCTTGGGTCATAGTTTTTTTTTCAGCACTTTAAATATATCATTTCATTCTCTCCTAGCCTGCAACATTTCTGCTGAGAAATCTGCTGATAGTGCAGTGATAGTGCAGTGAGGCAGGAGAATCGCTTGAACCCGGGAGGCGGAGGTTGCAGTGAGCCAAGATTTCACCACTGCGCTCCAGCCTGGGTGACAGAGCAAGACTCTGTCTCAAAACAAAACAAAACAAAAATGGTGCTGAATTGTGGCAGCTTAGGTCATGGGGTTGGGGGATGCTTAAGATGAGCTTCTACTCTGAGGCATTCCAGCTGGTTGAACTCTCAGCTACTCTCTAAACTGGACTCAGATCCTGTGAGGACTGAGGGACTCTCCTGTAGCAAGGATTGCTGGAGATCTCCAGCTTACCTTTTCCCATAAGAAGAAATCCCCCTGATTCTGAGCTGATCTTGGCAAGGCACACAGCATGGCAGAGGCAGAATGTCTCACTCCCCTCACTACAGGGCTGTCTGGAGCTTCCATGCTCCACAGGGATTTTGCTATTCCCCGGATGCTCTCCAGTGTACTTCCTCAGTTACTCTAGTCAAAATATAGTTGTTTCTTCATTGTTTAGGTCCCTTTTTGAGGAGAGGATAAGTGCCAGGTAACTCTAGTCAGCCATCTTGCTGATGTCACTCCCAATAAGCCTATTTAAATCTAAGTTTCTCCATCAATGTATGACAGCTTTGTGGTTTCAGAGACCCAGCCTGCTTTAATCTTTTATCCCACCATCCATATGGTGTTAACCTTATTTGTGTGATCACCATGGCTCACCACCACATTAACATTCCAGCAAGATGAAGGGGAGAAGGGATAGGAGAGGGAACACTCTTTCCTTAAGAGCATGACCTAAGAATTACATATGTGATTTATACACATTCAATGAGCCAGAGTTTAGTCACCTGCCTGTACCAGTGATGGGGAGGCTCAGAAATGCTAGGAAATGTAGTTGGGCCAGTTATTAAGCTATTGTCTTCCAGATCCATTTCCAGCTTTCTACACTCTGGTTTTTGATGCTGAGATTGGGGCTCTGCAAACTACGGTTGACCCTTGAACAATGTAGGCATTGGGAGTGCCTCAGTAAAAAATCTCAGTATGACTTTTAACTCCGCCAAAACTTTACTAATAGCCTCCTGTTGATGAGAAGCCCTATTGATAACATAAACAGTTGATTGTTCCAAAGTTTGAATGTTCTATGTATTATATACTATATTTTTATAATAAAGTAAGCTAGAGAAAAGAAAATGTTATTAAGTAAGCCATAGGAAGAGAATATATTTACATTCATTAAGTGGAAGTGGACCATAATAAAGTTCTTTTTTTTTTTTTTGAGACAGAGTTTTGCTCTGTCGCCCAGGCTGGAGTGCAATGGCGTGATCTTGGCTCACCGCAACCTCCGCCTCCCGAGTTCAAGCAATTCTCCTGCCTCAGACTCTCAAGTAGCTGGGATTACAGGCATGCGCCACCACCCCAGCTAATTTTGTATTTTTGGCAGAGACGGGTTTTCACCATGTTGGTCAGGCTGGTCTCGAACTCCTGATCTCAGGTGATCCACCTGCCTCGGCCTCCCAAAGTGCTGGGATTACAGGCATGAGCCACCACGCCCGGCCCATAATAAGGTTCTTTATCCTCATTGTCTTCATGTTCAGTAGGCTGAGGAGGAGGAAGAGGAGGGTGGGTCTTGCTATGTCAGGGGTAGCAGAGGCAGAAGAAAATCTGTTTATAAATGGACTTGTGCAGTTCAAACTCATGTTCAAGGATCAGCTATACCTTCTCTTTTATCAGCTGACTTCATGGTAAGTTCCACCAACACAGGGTACGAGAGGGAAACTGGAAGGTAAGAGAAGTGGAGAAGGGAATTGCTTCTTCCATATTTGCTGGCTATACATTTCATGTTGCCCAACAATGGTTCTGCACCCCAGTAGTATCAGTTGGTTCGTTTCCAGTCTCCGACTTTTTTTCTTTTTGAAACAGGGTCTTGCTTTGTCACCCAGGCTGGAATACAGTGGCGCAATCATGGCTCACTGCTGTCTTGACATCCTGGGCTCAAGTGATCCTCCCACTTCAGCCTCCCAAGTAGCTGGGACCACAGGCATGTGCCACCCATGCCTGGCTAATTTTATGTATTTTTGTTGCCCAGGCTGGTTTCAAACTCCTGGACTCAAGCGATCCACCCACCTTGGCCTCCCAAAGTGCTGGAATTACAAGCATGAGCCACTCTGCCTGGCCCTCCAACTTCTTTTGGCAGTCCCAGAACCAGCCTTATTGTCCTCTCCTCAGCGGTCTGAGTCCCTGCTCTGTGAGACCCTCCCTCTGAATTTCTGAGTTCTGTAATTTCAATCTTTTCTCTTTGTCTCCCAGCCGCAGAGGTTGTGGCTGCTTCTTGCAGTTATTACTTCTGTTTTACTTCAGTGTTCTCTTATTTTTTAGTCTTCAATATGTTTGTTTTCTGTTTTCTTGTATGGACACTACCTGAATGATACATTAGTCTATGGCTGGGTGGTTAGTTAAATCTTATTAACATTTTGTAATTCTTATTGCAATTCCAGTGTTTAATGTCCATATAGTTGCCAATACAAAGGGAATCGGTCACTTCACACATGCATTTAGAGCCGATATACTACACATTTAAGAGTAATATGAATTGTTAGTACTGCAAAATGTTTCTCAGGCAGCGTGTGCATCTTTTGACAATATACAAACTGGACCAGGAAAAGAAGAAAATAAGCATTTGAGATAACTGGGAAATGAAACTTCTTTGTGCAGGAATACATTGCATTCACATTGAGAGAAAATATTTGACAACTTAATTTTTCTTTTTTCTTACCTAAGTACTTCCACCACTCAGATCTTCCCTGAACTATAAACTAGTGTTCATCTCTGACACTGGCAATGACACATCCCACAAAAAACTTCACAACTCTTTGATGCAGTCACTTTTTTGGTGGCATATGAAAGATGTAGAGCGGTGTTTCTCTGAGGTCTGAATGGTGTGAGTTATGTGAGCAGATGTTTGAGGTTATGGGTTGTGCTGTGCTAGTGCTGAGTACCAGATCTTGAGTGACAGAAGAACCCTCTAAAGTGTGGGATTCAGGGAGCCACCTCTCTTGTCCGGGTCTGAGAGGACTAGAGTGGCAGGGTTGGAGAAGCCACCTGCTCCTAAACGCTAAAGAATAAGAGACATTGAGAAAAAAGTTGAATGCCAAAGGCCCATCAAGACTGAACCCTGAAGCAAAAAATCGAGTCTTCTCACAAGATAATGGCTTCAAGCTGCCACTAACTGGAAAAAGAGAAAGAGAAAGAGGCCTGGGAGTGAGAAAGAGGCTAATGTCGTGAACCTTACTTGATGTGTTTGGAAAGATATATCTAGGAACAAATGGTGCGTGTGCCTACTGGCTCATGAAACTGACCTGAAGCAAATAAATTTTAAGCCAATTGAGCTTTTGAGAAAGTTATATTGCAGAAGAAACCATGAGCCTGTGCTAAAAAGCCTTTAAGAGATTGAAACAATCCCTGCCTCCCAAATTTGCAGAGGCAGGAAGTAGGCTGTGAAATCTTGAGGCTCCCAAGTAAGGCATAATCTCCAATGCCCACCACAGATGTGACCGAGGAGGATAATGAACATGGAAGAACCACCAGAGGGGTGACCCAGGGGACACAAACGAAAAGGAATTCCACTAACGAGTGGAAACAGGTCTAATCAAGGAAATTCTCCAGCTGCCTCACAATGCCTGTCCTATCAGATTTCATAATTGCTACTGACCAATGATTGCTGTGTGTCCTCCACCCGTCCTTTTTACGAAGGAAAGTTTCTGTTGTAGTTATCTTGACCTTGATATGTAGTGATATAGCAGGGAGTGCTGAGGAATCCCAGGGAAGAAACCATGTTCACTCAAGACTGCTCTCCCTCCACAGTGTGGAGATACTGCTGGGGAGCCCTGCAGTCCCCATGCCAGTGAGTAGAGTCTTACCGGGATCATTCTTTCCGGGCTCTGGCTTTATAATGGAAGCCCAGTATCAGCCTCTCACTTGCAACCCTGACTCCTCTCCTCACCTGACTGTAAGGTATATTAAAAGTCTGGTATATAAGGACAGGTGAGCTCCAGAAGACATCTAACTGCAAATCCAACATTCTGCTGTGGCATCCTCTTTATTTATAACACCCTTCTTGCTCTGTAACACAGATGCATATGAAATATTTTAAATATTCTCTATGCCATTTTTACATATTGGAGGAGATAGAGTTGTATTCCACATTTGCTCTGTCTGCCATCCCGAAGCTCTAAACAATAGCAAACTTGCAAAATGAGAATTCCAAAGTTCCAAAAAATAGATGTTGAATTAAATTATTGGGAAAGAAGAGACATTAGTTTTATTTATTTTTCTTTTAAATTATATTTATTTCATCTTATCCTATGTACCTTTTGCCATAGTTGTAATTAGAACATAAATCATAATTTTAATGCTTGCATAATATTCATTGAGTTCCCATGCAATATTTTTGTAGTGAATTTCTTAGTGGCTAGGATAATATAATGCTTATTATTCATCAACTAGAACATAAATATAATCTACTAATTTATCATTATATAGCTCTGACCTTAAGTTCTTAAAAAATGTTTCTTAATCTTATTTCTTTTCTTCTAAATATAATTTCTCTAATAGGTTTTCCATTTAGAAGATACAACTTTTATTCTTCCACTTTTAGAAAGAAGTTCTGCTATATTTTGAAGGTGAGATGCTTAAATTGGGTCCATTTTGGTTATTTTGGTTTGATCTGCAGGAGTATGATGTGGTACCAGATTGATAATCTTTTCTTTGTTCAAAGGAGTGTTTCTATTTCACTCAAATGAAGAACACAGAATCTCAGAAGCTTATTGAGTATGAGAAAAACTGGCCAGCAATAGCATTTTAGGATACAAAAGCACTAGCCACTTGTTTCAGACATTAGTCAATGAAATCTACTCTTGGTATAAAGATTTGCTGATCTTTAAGTTTTTGAACAGCCTCAAGAGAAGTAACACACAGAAATTTGGTCATGGTATTTTTTAAAGCAGGCTGCTATGAGAAAAACTGGCAATAGGCTACATTCAGTATAGTTTTAGTAAAAATTATTTGTTTTTTAAATCTAGCATTGCTGAATATTTTTTTAAAATTTTATTTTATTTTCTTTTTTTTTGAGACAGAGTCTCACTCTGTCGCCCAGGCTGGAGTGCAGTGGCGCGATCTCGGCTCACTGCAACCTCTGCCTCTCAGGTTCAAGTGATTTTCCGGCCTCAGCCTCCTGAGGAGCTGGGACTACAGGCGCATGCCACCATGCCCGGCTATTTTTTTTTTTGTATTTTTAGTAGAGGCAGGGTTTCACCGTGTTAGCCAAGATGGAAAACTTGATTTTAAATTATGAAACATATATAGAGAAAATTAGGTGAAGCGAAAGTACTGAGTGGGAGGATGTGTATGCAATCAGCTTTACAAGGTGTTGCAAAGTCACTCTTCAAAGTCACTGCACAAGTTTATGCTGCCCCCAGCAATGCATGGGAGTTCCAGTTTTCTCACATCCTCCTCACATCCTACTTGGTCACATCTGATTTATTTATTTTTCTAATGTGGTAAGTCATTTTTAACTCATTTTGCTTTAATGTACATTTCTCCAGTTATTAGTGAGGTTGAACATTTGAAAACATACTCTATTTATCAGCTGTTTGGGTTTCCTTTTCCATTTGTCTTTTTGGTCCTTTATCTATTTTGTTTTATTGGAGTATTTGCCATTTCATGTTAATTTATAGGAGCTCTTTAAAGAGAATATTATTTATATCTCTTTAAATTTTAAAAATGTCTTTTATATTGACCTTCATTTTTAACCATTCCTGGAAATTTTTATTTCTTTTTGTCAATCCAAGTTCATTTCTGCTATCATATTTCTTCTTCCTGAAGAACTTCCTTGACATTCTTGTAGTGCAACTCTGCTGGTAACAAATTCTTTCAGTATTTCCTTGCCTAATAGAGTATTTATTTTCCTTTCATTTTGAAAGGTTTTTTTTTTGATATAGAAATCTGGGTTGATCATTTCCCTGCAGTACTTTATTTATTTATTTATTTATTTATTTATTTAAGAAAGACAGAGTCTCACTCTGTCGCCAGGCTGGAGTGCAGTGGCGCGATCTTGGCTCACTGCAACCTCCGCCTCCTGGGTTCAAGCCATTCTCCTGCCTCAGCCTCCTAAGTAGCTGGGACTATAGGTGCGCACCACCACGCCCAGATAATTTTTGTATTTTTAGTAGAGACGGGGTTTCGCCACGTTGGCAAGAATGGACTCTATCTCTTGACCTCGCGATCCGCCCACCTCAGCCTCCCAAAGTGCTGGGATTACAGGTGTGAGCCACCGCTCCCGGCCCCAGCAGTACTTTTGTCTTCTTCTTCTTCTTCTTTTTTTTTTTTTTTTTTTTTTTTGAGACAGGGTCTTGCTCCGTCACTTATGCTGGAGTGCAGTGGCATGATCTTGGCTCACTGCAACATCTGCCTCCCAGGTTCAAGTGATTCTCCTGCTTCAGCCTCCCGAGTAGCTAGGATTACAGGCGACTGCCACCACGCCTGGCTAAGTTTTGTATTTTTAGTAGAGATGGGGTTTCGCCATGTTGGCTAGACTGGTCTCAAACTCCTGACCTCAAGTATTCCACCTGCCTTAGCCTCCCAAAGTGCTAGGATTACAGGCGTGAGCCACCCTGCCTGGCCTCCATTGCCTTCTGGCTTGCTTCAGTTTTGGACAAGAAATCTGCTGTTATATCATCATTTTCCTTTGTACGTAATTTTTTTCTGGTTGTTTTCAAAATTTATATTTAATTTTCAACAGTTTATGTATGATGTGTCTAGGCATGGCTTTTAAAAATTTATCTTCTTGGATTTCCCTAAGCTTCTTAGATTTTGTCGTTCAATGTTGTTCATATTTTAAAAAAATTCTTAGCCATTATCTCTTCAAATAACATGTTTGCCAAGTTCTCAATATGATATTGTTCCATAGATCTTGGATGCTGTGTTCCATTTTTTTTCTTTCTTTTTTCACTTTGTATTTCACTTTGGGTAATTTCCATGTACTTATCTTCAAGTTTATTGATTTTTTCCTTGGCTGTATTGAGTCTACTGATAAGCATGTTGAAGGCATTCTTGATTTATGTTACTGTGTTATTTCTAGCATTTCCCATGGACTTGTTCTTATCCTTTCACTTTTCTGCTAAAATTCCCCCATCAGTTCCTATATATTGCCCAATTTTTCCACTAGAGCCTTTAACATGTTAATTGTAGTTATTTTAAATTCTCTGTCTGTTTGGGTCATCTTTGAGTCTGATTGTTGTTAGCTTTGTATTTTGACGGTGGATTTTTTTGGGTATATATTTCATACTTTTTATTGAAATTGTGATTCCATGAACAGATAACCCAGCTATGCCAGACTTGTGTAGGACAACTGTATTGTGAATACTTTTTTTTTCCTTGAGAAGGAGTCTTGCTCTGTCGCCCAGGCTGGAGTGCAGTGGCATGACCTCGGCTCACTGCAACCTCTGCCTCCCAGGTTCAAGTGATTCTCCCGCCTCAGCCTCCTGAGTAGCTGGGATTACAGGTGCGCGCCACCATGTCTGGCTAATTTTGTATTTTTAGTAGAGATGGGGTTTCACCATGTTGGCCAGGCTGGTCTCGAACTCTTGACCTAGTGATCCACCTGCCTCGGCCTCCCAAAGTGCTGGGATTATAGGTGTGAGCCACCATGGCCGGCCTACTTTTTTTTTTTTTTTTTTGAGACAGGGTCTCAGTCTGTTGCCCAGGATGGAGTGCAATGGCGTGATCTTGGCCACCACAACCTCCACCTCCCAGGCTCAAGCAATCCTCCCACCTCAGCCTTCCAAGTAGCTGGGACTATAGGCACACACCACCATGGCTGGCTAATTTTTGCAGAGATGGAGTTGAACTCCTGGGCTCAAGGCATCAGCCTGCCCTGGCTTCCCAAAGTGCTGGAATTATAGATGTGAGCCACCACACCCAGCTAGCTGTGAGTGTTCTTTTTAATGTTCGGTATATTATGATGTTTTGACATCTTAAAAACAAAACTAAATGAAAAAGAACCTTTCTAGCTGGGGAATGACTGCCCCTCCTGGGGTTAGCCAAGTCTTATGCATAGCAAGGGCTCAGCCAGGAGTATGCCTTTGATCTGCAAACTGACCAATCCAGAGACTCCATGCCGCCTCTAGCAGGCCTGTACACCACAGGAGACAATATTCCTCTGCCTTAGTCATCCCAGGGCCAGGTACCAGGCAACTAGGCGCCGCTCCTATAGTTTAAGTCTCTCTGAAATTATTCAAACAAGCCAGTTCTAAGCTGTTCACCCTGCCCTGCCTTGCCTTTCCCATGGAAACCCCAATAAAGGCTCTGGCCTAGTGTGTTCCTCTTGCTCCTGTCTTTTGCCTCCTGACCACCTGGTGTCTTTACTGTGACCCTGCATGGAATGATGTGCCTCCTGTCTCTAGGTCCTGTGAATATAATTCACTTTGGTCTTGTCCCACCCACCCCCATCCTTTCTGTGTGTCTCCTCTTGTGGCTACACTTGACGGGCCATATTATAAAAGAATACAAAACAATAGTACAGACAGGTAAATGTTTATGCCTAGAAATGGGCATAGCTCTTATTCTGCTAGACCATCAGTGTGGGGGTTTGAGTTAACCCAGCCAGGAGTTGAGCTGGTTTTGCTGCTGCTGTGGTTAACCTTCAGTGTACTACCAGGTTCAAATTCCCCTGGCATAATCTGCTGTGGGCTAAGTGGACTGGGGTTTTTGTTTATGTTCCTAATCTACCTTCAACTTCAAGCTGCTGTGCTTTTGTGTCTCTGAAAGGGTCTCTTTCTAGGCTCATGCCTTCACCCACACGTAGATCAGTTTTCGTAACTGGGTGATTGCTAGCCTGGCAGTGGAGGTTGGGTGGGTTTGATTCTTGTCCTAGTCTAGCCTCAGTTTTGGGCAGGCACTGCGTTGGGGTGGGGCTTTCTCAAATATCCTGCCCCTTTTCCAGTAGCAGGAAAGTGTGGATGATCTGGACTCAGGATCATTTCTTGCTACTCCTCTAGGCATAGAGGATTTTTCCTGTTTTCTTCCACTTCCCCTGTGCCCTGGGATAACATGGCTTGTTGCCCTTTTCCAGAGGAGCTTAAGATGTTTTGTTTCTTTCCTATAGGGGAGAAGGTCTGGGTGGAGCTTGGAGCTTCCCCTAACAGTTTTCCCTCAGGGCCTGCACCACTGACGGTGGTTTCCTCAAGTCTCCCACTTGCCCCCAGACTTCGTTGTGAGGGGCTGATGGAGGCTTGTGCAGAACAGCCTGCAAGTGGGTGTAAATCTCTTTATAAAGTCAGTGGCTTCCAGGGGTTGCAGGATCCCATCCTTGGCCTTAGCAATTTGCTTAAAGTGTTAGCCGAGTTCTTTCTACCCATTTGTGTGGCTACCCCGTCTCCCCACACCCCACAGCTCCCATACCCTCCTCTTGGTAGGCCAGTGCTGCTGGTTTACCTGTCTTCCTTAGATTTCATGCTACTTATTTGCTTTGCAATTGCAGCTCTCTGATGGTTCAGGGAGATTTTTGACTTTGCAGATTATCTGGCTTTTTCTTCTTAGGGTGAAGGTAACACTTTCTAGCTTTCGCCACCCTGCCTGAAGGCCCTGTATTCTGGGTATTAGTGCATTTTTAATTAATGGGTTGAAAGTGTCTCTTAGTCTGTGATTTTCCCTTTTCTCTTTGTTTATGGTATCTTTAATTGGTCAGAAGTTTAAATTTTTAATACAGTAAAATTAATAAAACTTGTCCTTTACTGTTTTTACTTTTTGCATCTTATTTTTTAAATGGGTTCCCACCCCAATTTATAGTTACTCTCTCTTAAATATTTTTCTAAAAGTAAATTCTAAAAGAATTAATTTTTGTGATTGATGCAAAGATGGGAGTTAATTTTACCTTTTTCAATATAGCTAGGCAATCACGTTCTGTGATGAACAAAACGCTAAGATGGCCCCCAAGAGTTCTGTCCCCTGGTGTCCAGACGCTGGAATCTCCTCTTCTTGAGTGTGAGACTTGAGAATATGATGGGATATTACTTTGTGATTATGTTACCTAATTGGCAGAGGGGATTTTTGCATACATAAGTATGGTTCCTAATTAGTTTACCTGTAGTTTCTCAAAAATCTAGATTAACCTGGGTAAGCTTGACCTAATCAGATGAGCCCTTAAATGATGTTAGATTCAAAGTCAATGAGATTCTCTTACTGGCTTTGTGGGAGCAAACCACCATGTTATGAAGAGGAACACATGCTGGATACTGATGGGTGCTGAAAACAATCTCCAGTTGACAGCCAGCAAGAAAGCAGTGATCTTTGTTCTACAACTGTAAGGAACAGAATTCTGCCAACACCCAGTGAACTTGGAAGAGAATCTGGAGCCTGAAGTGAGACTGCAGGCCCAGCCAACACCTTAATTTTGGCCTTGTGAGACACTGAACGAAGAAGCCAGCTATGCCATGCCCAGCCTTCTGACCTAAAAAAAACTGTAACATAATGAATGAGTGTTGTTTTAAGCTAGTAAGTTTGTGGTGACTTGCTATACAAATAGAAAACTAATATATATATAGATAACTGATAAACACAGATAGAACACTAATACATCTTTTCCTCAGTGATTTTTAATGCCAGTCTTCTCTTACATCCAGCATCCAGTTATCGTGTGTGTGTGTGTCTATTTCTGGGATCTCTATTCTCTGTTTTGTTTGCCCTTCCAATGCTCTAACTTTAACTATCTGGATATATGGTGGGGTAAGTTGGTTTGACCTTGCTGTTCTTCAAAATTGTCTTGGATGTTTTTCATAATTTCTTTTTTTTTTTTTTCTTTTGAGACGGAGTCTCGCTCTGTCGCCCAGGCTGGAGTGCAGTGGCACAATCTCGGCTCACTGCAAGCTCCGCCTCCTGGGTTCAAGCTCTTCTCCTGCCTCAGCCTCCCAAGAAGCTGGGACTACACATGCACACCACCAGGCCTGGCTAATTTTTGTATTTTTAGTAGAGACGGGGTTTTGCCATGTTGGCCAGGCTGGTCTCAAACTCCTGACCTTACATGATCTGCATGCCTTGGCCTCCCAAAGCGCTGGGATTACAGGTGTGAGCCACTGCGCCCGGCTAGTTTTAGTCATTTCTTTTCCATGTCAATTTTAGGATGAACATGCCAAGTTCCACATAAAATTCTACTAATATTTTGGTAGAAATTATTAATATAAAGAATTTATACATTAATTTGGGAAAAACTGGTATCTGAACAATACTTAACTCTTCTAATCCATAGACATGTTATATCTCTTTATTTTAAGGTATTTTATAATTTTCTCATACAAATTCTGTTAATTTTATTTTTAGATCCCTTATAGTTTTAGATTCTATTATAAATATTATATTTTAAATTAGAATTCATTTTTAGAATTTAAAACAGGAAAAACAATAAATTATATACTCATAATTCAACTCTCCATATTTAGCTATAACATTTTATTTATCCCTAGTCTTTTTTTTAAAACTTTTTATCTTGAAAAATTTCAAACATACAGAAAAGCTGAGAAAATAGCACCATGGACATATATACATTCCTTCAACATTCAATAATTATTAATACTTTCTAATATTTACTTTCTTTTTTCTGAAATATTAGAAAGTAATTTAGGGACATAATAATACTTTAACCCAAACATTTCATCATGAATATCCTAAGAATAAGGAGATTCTCTTATACAACCCAATACATGGTATGTTGACTTCCACTTTGGGAAAATATGGAGTAAGAGGAACATGATTGATACTCCCACCTTAAACAACTAGCAAATTGGACAAAACATATAAAATAATGTCTTTTAGATGTTGGACAACAGGCACTGCTGGGCTGTGGCTCCTGACAGAAGGGAAACATAAAGCGAGCCTCAAGGTCAGTGTTTCCAGGGTGCAGCAACTGGGCCGGGAAACACAGAGCCATGTTTCCTGAGCTAGGGAAACACAGCAGAGCATGGGGAAGTAAAGTAGATAGAATAATGGCCCTCAAAGATGTTCATATACGAATCCCCCAAATCTGTAAATATGATATTATCTGGCAACGTGAAAAATAAGGTTGAAAGTAGAATGAAGTCTGCTTATCAGCTGTCCTAAATTTGCTACTGGACAGGGAAGAGTATCCTGGATTATCCATGTGAGCCAATGTAGCCACCACTGTCTTTATACATGGAAGAGAGAGGCAGAGGGGCAGGGAGATTTGAAGATGCTACACTGCTGGCTTTGAAGAAGGAGAAATGGGACCATGAGCAAAGGGAGTGGGCAGCCTCTAGAAACTGGAGAAACCAAGGAAATGGATTCTTCCCCAGAGCCTCCAGAAGGAACACAGACTTGCTGCCACCTTGCTTTTAGTCCAGTGAGGCCCATTTTGGATCTGACCCCCAGGGCTGTAAGATAATAAATTTGTGTTGTTTTAATCCACTAAATTGTGGTGATTTGCTACAGCAGAAATAGAAAACTAAAACAGAAAGTGATGTATATTAGCACTAGAGATGAGGGATCTCCAGAGATCTGCAGGAGAGACTCCTTGACTCTTTGGCTGAGTACTGATTTGTGAATGTAAGTCAATTAGAAAGTAAATTAGAGACACTATAGCACTCTACCCAAGGCTGGAGAAAGAAGTACACAGAACAATTTTCTGAGATCTCATTTAAGGAAGAAATACTTCCTGAATCTCATTTAAGGAAGAAATAATGCAAAATCTTCATAAACTTTCTCAAAAACCAAAGAGGAGGAAACACTTCCTGACTGATTTTATGAAGCCAGAATTACCCTGATACCCCTACCTTATAAGAAAACTACATAGCAATAACCCTCATGAGCTGATGTATGCAAAAATCCTTAGTCAAATTTTAACAACTAGAATTTTCACACACTGCTGGTGGGCATGTAAAATGGTACACACACTTTGGAAAACAGTTTGGCAGTTTCTTATGAATATACACTTGCCATAGGATCTAAGATTCCCAATCCTAGGTATTTACCCAAAAGACAGAAAAACATGGTCATGCAATAACTTTTACTCAAATGCTCATAGCAGCTTTATTCATTGCCATCAAAAACCTAGTTACCATCTAAATACTCATCAAGGGTGAATGGATATACATATTGTGATATAACCATACAGTGGAATACCACTGAACAATAAAAATAACCAAACTGTCATAGTCTGGTTTGGGTGTTAATGTTTCAGTCTGATTTAGGTGTTAAGCTCATAAAATGAGTTGGTGAGATTTTTTTCTGCCCATCCTCTGTAAAGTTATATATTATTTTTAAGTGATTTTGTAATAACTTCCCTATAAAGCCTCTAGAAGTAGATGCTTGTCTCTCTCATTTTGTTTTTTGATATTTAATCACCAATTACATTTCTTGATTGTTTACAGATCTATTTGGTTTTCTAACTTTTACAGAGTCATCTTGGATAAATGACATTTTCTAAGAAATTATCTTTTTATCAAATATTAAATTATTCCTATAGAGTTGTCTTTTAAGTCTGTGCTGAATTAATCCCCTTTTTATACCTAACTTTTTTTTAACCTGTTTTGGTTATAATTTTATATTTTAATTTTTTGTAGAGAAAGGGTGTTAGGTTCAAGTCCAGGTTCCAGCCCATGCTGAGGTCCAAAGGGAGTGGGTGGATGAATGGGAGATAGCTGAGAGAACACTCAGCAGCAGGAAGTGGGGGGAGCCACAGGTAGGTGAAATACAGCTTTATTCAGCAGCTCTCTTACACTGTCTGTCTCTGTTGCTTGCTCTAACTCTGCAGTTCTTGTCGCTCCCACACACAGCTGCACTCTCCTGCTCGCTCTGCCTTCAGGGTCACCAGCTTAACTCTTTCCCTCTGGGTGTAAGCAAGCCGAGCTGTGTCCTGGCTCCCTCTTGCCAGTCTGCAAGACAGACATCTCTGGCTTTCTCTCTCTTTCTCTGGGCACGAGCGCCTGAACAGTGTCAGCAGGGCAATTATACCTTTTACAGACAATAGTAGCGTAAAGCCCAGTGATGACCTTCCCGTGTTATGTACATAGCTGTGTTTACATTATACATGGAATTGTGCGCCTGCGTTCCAATCCTGCTAAGTCATACAGGATGTTTACCTCAGCCTATCCTTGACCTAAGCACATCCATTACCTTACATAGGGTCTCACTCTGTCACCCAGACTGGAGTGCAGTGGTATGATCATAGCTTGCCGTAGCCTTGAACTCCCAGGGTCAAGCAATCCTCCTATCTCAGCCTCCTGAGTTGCTGGCACAATAGGCATGTGCCACTATGCCCAGCTATTTTTTTTATTTTTTATAGAGAGAGGTTCTATGTTGCCCAGGCTAGTCTTGAACTCCTAGGCTCAAGTCATCCTTCCACCTTAGCCTACCATAGTGCTGGGATTACATATGTGAGTCATCACACCTGGCAAGAGGAAAATCTTAAAAAAGAGGCTAAAACTTTTAAATTGTAAGTGATTTTAAATTATACATGCCTATGCACTTATAACAGGCATACCAATATATTTTGTGCAAGTGTTTAAATTATTGATCAAACTCATTTTCAAAAATAGCTACTTTTGGGGCACGTATAAAAGCTTCTACAGATAGTAATAAAAATAACAATGGTAGCATACATTCTTTTTAAAATGTTATCTGATGTTTCTTTGTCACAGATATACTCCAGTCCATAAAGAATTGAAGTTTTATTTGAATTGGACTTAAATGCCATAAAAAAGATCTGAAGAGTCTTGTTTGCAGTATGTTAATGTAGGCGGCTGACGTGGTTGTTTATGATTCAGCATATTACCTCATGGTGTTGAAAGTGCTCTCAGAAACCACCACCTGAGCTGAATAATTTAAGATGTAATGTAGAAGGTATTTCCCTAATAATTTAGCCATGGGAGGAAGTCAATGTTTATCTGTTGAATTATTTTTTAAATGTCCTAATTAATTACAATAGAATAGTTATATTATCTAACTCACTTTATTCAAATTGATGTTATTTAATTAGACACTATGAAAATGAATTTTAATAAGCATACCTCCTAAAAATGGACCTAGGAACTAGCCACATGTTTAAATTACATAGAGATAAAAAACTAGTAGAAAAAAATCATTCAGTAAAATAGGTAATACAGTATTAACGATAATGCAAAGTTGGTTTAAGATAATGGCATTGGCCGGGAGTGGTGGTTCAAGCCTGTAATCCCAGCATTTTATCACTTGAGGTCAGGAGTTCGAGACCAGCCTGGCCAACATAGTGAAACCCCATCTCTACTAAAAATACAAAAATTAGCCAGGTATGGTGGTGCACGCCTGTAATCCCAGCTACTCAGGAGGCTAAGGCAGGAGTATTGCTTGAACCCGGGAGGTGGAGGTTGCAGTGAGCTGAGATCATGTCCAGCCTGGGTAAAGGAGTGAGACTCTGTCACAAAAGAAAAAAGATAATGGCATTCACAAATTTTCTCATTTCCTCATAAACATCATATAATGTATTTGCTTCATGAGAAACTCCTAATAGACAATGCTACCATCTTAAATTCTGCTAAATAAATAACATTAAAAATTTGGGGAGTAGGGGCAGGGCAAGATGGCAGACTAGAAATCTCCACTGATTATCCCCACAGCAAGGGCACCAATTTAACAACTGTCTACACACACACAAAATAAAACACCTTCATAAAAACCAAAAATTAGAAAACAAAACTGACCCAAACTCAGCTGATGCCCGCCCACGAAGGGAGCATTGAAAGCAGCCCTAGCCAGAGGAATCGCCGATCCCAGTGGCCTGAACTTAAGTTCCCAAAAGCCTCACCACCGCAGAGTGAAGTGCTCTGGGGCTCCAGATAACACTTGAAAGGCAGTCTAGGCCACAAGGAATGCAACTCCTAGGCCAATCTTAGTGCTGAACTGGGCCCAGAGACAATGAACAGCAGGGAACACAACCTACTGAGACACAGCCAGGGTGACTGTGTGAGTGCTGGCATCATCCCTTCCCTAACCCCAGGTTGCTCAAAGCTCCAAAACAACCCCATTTCCTCCACTTAAGGAGAGGAGAGGGAAGAGTGGGTAAGACTTTGCCTTGCGTCTTGGATCCCAGCTCAGCTACAGCTAGATAGGGTATTGGTCAGAATCATGAGGCCCCGTTTCCAGGCCCTAGCCCCCAGATACATTTCTAGACATACTCTGGACCAGAAGGGAACATGCTTCCATGAAAGGAAGGACCCAGTCCTGGCAGAATCCTACTAACTGAAGAGCCTTTGGGCCCTGAATAACCAGCAGCGATACTCAGGTACTATGTTGAGGGCCTTCAGTGAGCCTCTTGAAACTTGCTGGCTTCAGGCAAGTACAGCACATTCCCAGCTGTGGTGGCTATGGGGTTATGGGGTGAGATTCCTTCCACTTGAGAAAGTGGATGGAAAAGCAAAGGGGGGGTTTGTCTTCCACCTTAGATACCAGCTCAGCCATAGTGGGGTAGAGCACCAAGTAGGGTCTTGGGGTCCCCAATTCCAGGACGTGGCTCTTGGATGGCATTTCTGGACCTGCCTCAGCCAGAGGGGAGCCCACTGCCCTGAAGGGTGAGTCCCAGGGAAGGCAGCATTCATCACAATCTCACCTAAGAGCCCTTGGCCCTTAAGGGAACATTGGTGGCAGTCTTGAGGTACTCCCTGTGGGCCTGTGGTGGCAATGGCCACTTGGTGAGGCTCTTTTGCCTTTGGAATGGGTAGGGAAGAGTGTGAAGGACTGTGTCTTATGGTTTGAGTGCCAGTTGAGCCACAATACAATAGAACACCAGTCTTGGCAGGTAGACTTCTAACAGTTTTGACTCCAGTCCCTGGCTCCTGGATGGCACCTCTGGACAAGCCCAGGGCCTGGGTGAACTAACTTGCTACCCTGAAGAGAAGGACAGAGGCCTGAATAGCTTTGCCACCTGCTGATTTTAGAGCTCCAGGGCCTTGAGCAAACATAGGTCATAGCCAATGAGAGGTTATAGAAAGGTTGGGTGAGACCTGGTGCTGTGCTAGATTCAGATCTGACCCAGTGCAGTCCTAGTGTTTGTGGCCACAGGAGTGCTTGTGTCACACCACCCCCAGTTCCATATGGCTCAGAACAGAGAGAATGACTCCGTTCACGTAGGAAAAATTAAGAAAACAACAGTCTCCACCTGGTAATCCAGAGAGGTCTTCTGGATCTCATCCAAGAGCATTAAGGCAGTACCTCTACAAGTCTGCAAGAACCACAGCATTACTGGGCTTGGGGTGCCCCCTAAAACAGGTACAGCTTAGATCACAACACTCGAGTCCTTTCAAATATCTTGAAAGTGTTCCCAAAAAGGACAAACAAGCCCAGACTGAGTGTCTACAATAAATACCTAACTCTAAAATGCCCAGACGCTGAAGAACATCTACATGCATCAACGCCATCCAGGAAAACATGACCTCACCAAATGAACTAAAAAAGGCAATAGGGAGCAATCCTGGAGAAACAAAGATATTCTCTGACCTTTCAGAGAATTCAAAATAGCCATGCTTGAGGAAATGCAAAGAAATTCAAGATAACACAGAAAAGGAATTCAGAATTCTATCAGATACATTTAACAAAGAGATTAAAATGATTAAACAGAAACAAGCAGAAATGCTGGAGCTGAAAAATGCAATTGGCATACTGAAGAACACGAGTCTTTTAATAGCAGAAATGATCAAGCAGAAGAAAGAATTAGTGAGCTTAATTTGAAAATACAGAGAGGAGAAAAAAGAAGAAAGATAAAAAACCAATGAGGAATGCCTACAGGATCTAGAAAACAGCCTCAATAGGGCAAATCTAAGAGTTATTGTCCTTATAGAGGAGGTAGAGACAGAGATAGGGGTAGAAAGTTTATTCAGCAGGATAACAGAGAATTTCCTAAACCTGAATAAAAATATCAATATACAAGTAAAAAGATTGAAGCTGTAATAAAGTCTCCCAGTAAAGAAATGCCCAGGGCCTGATGGCTTCACTGTTGAATTCTACCAAATGTTCAAAGAAGAACTAATACCAATCCTACTCAAACTATTCCAAAAAATAGAGAAGGAAATACTTCTAAACTCATTCTATGAGGCCAGTATTACCCTGATACCAAAACTAGACACACATACAACATAAAAAGAAAACTACCAGCCAATATGTCTGATGAATATTGATGCAAAAATCCTCAACAAAATAATAGCAAACCAAATTCAGTAATGTATTAAAAGATCATTCAACATGACCAAGTGGGATTTATTCCTGGGGTGCAAGCATGGTTTAACATATGCAAATCAATCAATGTGATGCATCACATGGACAGAATGAAGGATAAAAACCATATGATCATTTCAATTGATGATGAAAAAGCATTTGATAAAATTCAACATCCCTTCATGATAATAACCCTCAAACAACTGGGTATAGAAGGAACATACTTCAACATAATAAAAGCCATATATGAAAGACCCACAGCCAGTATCATACAGAATGGGGGAAAGCTGAAAGCCTTTTCTCTGAGATCTGGAACATGACAAGGATGCCCACTGTCAACACTGTTATTTAACATAGGACTGGAAGTCCTAGCTAGAGTAATCAGACAAGAAATAAAGAGCATCCAAATTTGAAAGGCAGAAGTCAAATTATCTTTGTCTGCAGATGCTATGATCTTATATTTAATAAAACCTAAAGACTACACCAGAAAATTATTAGGACTGATAAATTTAGTAAAATTGCAGGACACAACATCAACATATAAGAATCAGTAGCATTTCTATATGCCAGCAGTGATGAACAATCTGAAAAGGAAATAAAAAATGTAATACCACTTACAATAACCACAAATAAATACCTAGGAATTAATTTAAGATGTGAAAGATTGCGATATTGAAAACTATCACATGCTGATGCAAGAAATTGAAAAGGACACCAACAAATGGAAAGATATTCTATATTCATAGACTGGAAGAACCAATATTGTTAAAATGTTCATACTACCCAAAGTGATCTACAGATTCAACGCAATCCCTATCAAAATACCAATCACATTCTTCACAGAAATAGAAAAACAATCCTTAAACGTACATGGAAGCACAAAAGACCCAAAATAGCCAAAGCTTTCCTAAGCAAAAAGAACAAAACTTGAGGAATCATATTACCTGACTTCAAATTATACCATAGAGCTATAGTAGTCCAAATAGCATGGTACTGGCATAAAAAGGCACATAGACCAATGGAATATAATAGTGAACCCAGAAATAAATCCAGACATCTATAGTGAACTCATTTGCAACAAAGGTGACAAAAACACACTGGAGAAAAGACAGTCTCTTCAACAAACGGTGCTGGGAGACATGGATATCCATATGCAGAAGTATGAAACTACACCCCTCTCTCATCATATAAAAAAATCAAATAAAAATGAATTAAAGACTGAAATCTAAGACCTCTTAACTATGAAACTACTACAAAAAAAATTGGGGAAATTCTCTAGGACATTGGTCTGGGCAAAAATTTATTGAGTAACATCCCACAAGCACAGGCAACCAATGAAAAAATGGACAAATGGAATCACATTGACTTAAAAAGCTTGCACAGCAAAAAACAAAAACAAAAAACCCAAAAAACAAAAAGCAAACAAAAAAACAATCAACAAAGTGAAGAGACAACCCACAGAATGGGAGAAAATATTTGCAAACTACCTGTCTGAAAGAGATTTATAACCAGAATATATAAAAACCTCAACTAGATCTACAGGAAAAAAATCTAAAAATCTGATTTTAAAATGGGCCAAAGATTCGAATAGACATTTCTCAAAAGAAGACATACAAATGGCAAACAGGCATATATGAAAAGGTGTTCAACATCACTATCAACAGAGAAATGCAAATCAAAACAATCAGATATCCTCTCACCCCAGGCAAAATGGCTTTTATCCAAAAGACTGCAGTAACAAATGCTGGCAAGGACATAGAGAAAAGGGAATCCTCATACAATGTTGGTGGGAGTGTAAAAGTATAGCCACTGTGGAGAACAGTTTGGAGGTTCCTCAAAAACCTAAAAATAAAGCTACCATATGATCCAGTAATCTCACTGCTAGGTGTATACCTAAAAGAAAGGAAGTCAGTATATTGAAGAGCTATCCGCATTCCCATGTTTGTTGCAGTTCTGTTTGCAATAGCCAAAATTTAGAAGCAACCAATGTGTCCATCAACAGATCAATGGAAAAAGAAAATGTGGTAACTACATAATGGAGTCATAAAAAAGAATGAGATCTTGCTATTTCCAACAACATGGATGGAACTGGGGGTCATTATGCTAAGTGAAATAAGCCAGGCACAGAAAGATATATATCACATCCCCTCACTTTGTGGGTTCTAAAAATAAAAACAATTTAACTTATGGGGCAGAGAACAGAAGAATGGTTACCAGAGGCTGGGAAGGGCAGTGGGAGGGTGAGTAGGAAGTGGGGATGGTTAACGGGTACAAAAAAATATAACGAATGAAGACCCAGTATTTGATAATACAACAGGGGGACGATAGTCAATACTTTAATTGTACATTTAAAAATAACTGAAATAATTGATTTGACACACAAAAGATAAATACTTGAGGGGACGAACATCCCATTTTTACATGATGTGATTATGCATTGCATGCCTGTATCAAACATCTCATGTGCCCCATAAATATATATGCCTACTATAAATGCATAAAAAATGGAAAATTTATAAAAATTTGCCTAATTTTTGGGTCAGCCTATGAAAAATAGCATCTCTTCTTAATTTACATGCTTTTAAAAATTATTAAGGAAAAATAACTTTAAAAGAAGCTGTTTTGGGGGAATATTCTGTTTTTTTCTATTAATACTTTCCTAGAAAGCAAAATATACTGCAAAATGACTAAAGCCAATTCTTGACATAACTGCCATAGTTAAAATTTGAGATTCAGAGTAAGAAATATTTTCCCAAATAACTGAGATAAAGCCTGATAACACCAATACAATTGTTTTGTTCAAAAATTTATGTCTCAAGAAATGATGTCTCACATGTAAAATCTAATGCAACACAGAGACAAGGGAAGGCACTGTGACCATGACAAGGGTGTACTAGCAACACTAATGAAAATGAGGTGTCTTCTCTTCTTGGAAAGCCACTAGAAGAACTTGCATGTACATTTGAAGAAAAATGATGCAAGCCACTTGCCCATTAACAGAGCCCTTCTGGTTTGATTGCTGTGACATATTTGATATTTTTACAATTAACCTTTGATTTGGACTACAATAGAAAACTATGCATGCTTTTTCTTCCATTGTAGGTTCCAATGCCACATGGCCTTTGCTATTTCAGATTAAGTCTTTTAATTTTGGAAACATTTTCACTGATGGCACCTATTCTACGGCAATGTATGTAACTTGCAACTCATCATTTATATTTAAATGGTAGAACCATTTATTTCTTCAGAAAGGACTTTAGAAATATTCTAAACTTTGAGATTTTTTTTCCACACAGAAGGATGCTAGCTGTCTAGGATCTTAATACCAAACTATTAACTCTATGAACACCCACATTTCAATATATAGTTACTGATAATCTGGAAAGACTTGCTGTTGTTTTAAGCCATGTGAGACAATTACAGGAAAAGTTCATTTGCTTTGATAACTGTGTTCTCTAGGTATTTTGGGTGTCTGTGTTTGTTCATGTCTATCTAAGATGAGGGCCTTGGAATAAATAGGATTCTCTCATGATAATCTCAAATATGGTCATCCATCATATCCTATAGTCTCATAGATGTAGAATTAGCAAAACTACATTTAATAGTAAGCACACACCATAGACGAGATTATCTTTCCTGTCCTCTGAAGTCAAGACTAACATGAGTTTGACCTTTTGTTAACCTGTTTGATCATTTGTTAACCTGTTATAGAAATACATCAGCTTGCCTTCATGAAACTTTTTATCTATATCACATAATCTACCTTAAGCACATTGGTAGAATGTTTGTTAAAAAATAGCCATGCATCTCCTCAGATTGGTCATATCTAACAGATATGACTAAAACGGTCACTCTACACACTCTCCAGCAAAACTGGTGTAAGTCTGCTTCTTCACTTAGCTTGCACCACTTCTAATATAACACATAACTGACTTGTTGATTGCATTTCCCAACATCCTCCCACCATCTTTAGAACGTGGCCTCCACAAAGGCAGAGATTTTTGCTTTTGGCCATTGTGTTACTTCAAGTGCTTAGAGCAACCTCTGGCACCTAGTAGCACTCAAATGTTCACTGACAAAACAATGTGGCAGATGAGGTCAGAGACACAATGGGATGGGATATGGAATAAATCATCTCTGGGCTTTGTGGGCCGTCTTCAAGTTCTGAGTGAAACAGGGGAGCCACTCCAGGATTCTAGGCAGAGCAGTGCTGTAACCTGACAAAAGTTTTAAAAGCATCGCTCTGGCTGCTGTATTGAGGATGGGCTGTGGTGGGCAGGGGTGAAAGTGAAAAGACATTTATGAAGCAAGTACAGTAACTGGATGAGGAATCATAAAGGCACAGATTAGGATGAAAGTGGTATAAATGGTGATATGTGGTTGAATTCTGGATTGTTTTGAGGGGAAAGCAAATAGTATTTCTTGACGGACTGGATGTGGGCTGAGAGAAAGAAAATCAAGGGTGACAACAAGGTTGTTCTAGCTTAAGCAACTTGAAGAATTGTATTGTCATCAATTGACTTGTGAAAGTTTGTGGGAGAAATGTTTGAGGGTAGGGTGAGCTGTTTAGCAGTTCAGTGTTGGACATGTTATGTTTCAGATGTTTTGTCAGGCCATCACCAAGGGATGCCAAAGGCAGGTGGATCTGTGACTAAAGTTCAGGGGTGTGGGGAATTACATATGAATTATATAATTATATAATTCATTATATATAAATGGGATGCAAAGTGAGTGCAGAGAGGAATAAGGCCCAAGTACCCTGCAGTTAAAAGGAATGAATGAATTTTATCACAGAACTAGAAAGAATCTCAGGTTCTTCTCAGTTAATAAATGTCCTGAAGGAAAAAAAAAATCATTATCTGGTGATGTTACTTTATGAAGGAAAGGTAAGAGAACAAGCAAATTATGAACATAATTTAAAGATAGAATTTATTCTCTGATGGTTTACTCATGCAAACTGCACATAAAAGAAAATAGTACAGTTTGTGTAACATTGCAAATATAAGGACTGAAAATGCTAGGTACAGAAGTAGTATGACATCCTGAAAGTCAAAATGGAATTTGTGTTTATACAACTAATAATGATTTTTATTTGCTCAGTACAGACTGATTTACAATGAAAGTTTTGCTAACCTTGGTAAGCTTGTTAACCGTTTACATGACTTCTTACATCTATGTAGTTTTATTTTACAGTTGCAAGAATTCTGTTACCAAAGAACCTTAACTTGCATAAGTAATAAGATGAAAGAAAAATGTACTGAAGGACTTAAGAGTGAAAAATTGAGGCTTTTCCTAACCCATTCAAACTACAATAAAAAATAGCCTTCTTGCAGAATTCATATTTTGTGCCTTTGAGATAACTCCTTAGAATAATGATATCAAAATCATGATTTGAAAAACTGATTACTTTAAAATAATGAAATTAGTTAAAAATTAAAAATTTAAAAAAAATTATCAAATAAAAATGCTCTCATTTTAAAAAGCAAAACAATAAAATTCCCATTATCTTCATACTTAAAGTCCTGAAATGTCATTTATATAATTTGAATGTTTCCCAGTTTGGAACTTAGGCAGGAGGGATATTTCCTTGAATTATCAAGGATATTCCATACAGACTTTTAAAATGTCAGTCTCATTAGGAGATGGCACTGAGACTTTAGCAAATAGTGTAGTATGGATGCAGGACAAACTACACAACTTATTATAAATGCATTACAGATATTTACATAGTGGAATCCTGCTTGAATGCCAGAAGTTGCTACTGGGTAGGACTCATAACTATTTTACAAAGTTTTCTTACGCACATCTACTACTTTTAAAATTTTATGTTTAACAATTTATTCTATTTTAAAATATGTACTGTATTTTGAACATAACTGCAGAATAAAAATAGATAATGGCACATTAGAAAACTAAGTATCCCACAGATGATTGGATAATGAGAAAAATGTACCTACAATCATCTCATCAGAAACAAGCTACATCATGGAATGTTAGTTATCCAAGCCTGCACAATAATGACATTTTAAACTGCAATCATCTATTGGCCAGCATCACACTGAAGGCATCGTTAAACATTCAAGCAAAGATTGCTGGCATAAACTATTAAAAGACACACACACACGCGCACACACACACAGATACACACACACTCTCTCTCATTCATGCACACTTCCCACATTATAATTACATTGTTCTAAAGATAGATACTGATTTTTTTTTCCACGAGAAACATTATCAAAATTTGCTACTAAAAGATGACAGTGCTTTCACAAGAATAGTACAAGTTAGCTCGCAAGTACAAGACAATGGGGGTAAACAGTCTTAAATTTTCTAAGTAGTAATTTTAGGCTTTTCTGGCAACCATACCATACTTAATTATGCATAAACTTTGCAGTTTGTAACCTGAAATCTGTAAAAACAACAACAAAAAAACCAAAAACAAGAGCTAATTTCAAAAATTATTAGATATTTGATAACCCTGTATCATACATTATATAATTTCATATTTTTAGCCTCAAAACATAGGTGTAAAATATTGAATTTAAGACTTGAAAAATAAAATCATTTTTGAAATGCTGAAAATTCTAAAATTTGTTTACTTAAAATCTTAAATAAAAAAGGAAAATGATTATAAATGACCTTGATTTAGCTTAACAATGTGCATAAAAGCACTGTATGTCTTTACCATGTTTTCACTCACTTAAAAAAAAGTGTTCTTTAATGTTTTTCCTTTTGCATAATGTGCAAAATAAAAGGCAAAAAGATTAAAAGCAAATTTCTATCTTTCTCTTGCCTAGTGCTTTTATGACTCCGTTAACATTACAAAGTCAACAGGGACTATGCAAAACTTTGGTATAAATGATAATACTACTACCGTCACAGTTGAGGGTTAAGGGGTGGTCAAAAGAAATGGAAGTGGGAAGAAAGATTCAGTAACACCCCCATTTATTAAAACACCAGCAAATTAAAAGTGAAATAAATCACAATGAATTATAATACAATTTACACATTGAGCACAGAAAAATTAATAAATCTAATAATATTTATAAAAAAAGCAAAATCAGTCTTTTTCCAGAGACTAAAAACCGTTTTTCAGTCTGATCAACTGCTGCTACACCAACTTTAGAGCCAAATTTAATTTCAAGTAAAAAAAAAAAATTTACAACCACAGATTTCGCATAAATGGAAACTGGTCTTTCCTTGATTTCCCTTTGAAGTCACTAATGAGTATCTAAAACTGTTGTACTGCAGGTTTTTAATCAACTTCCTGAGGGCTGTGACTGGGAGGAAGGAGCCATAACGATCTGTGAAAGAGCAGGCTCTGTACTCTGGTCCGCCATCTGGGTGAGGACTGAAGTGGCTACAGCTTCTGCCTTGGAGGTTGAACTGACTCCATTGGATGTGCTGACCGAACTATGCTGTATAGCTTCTGTATGTGGACTACTCGGCACTGAAATGTCTTCTGAACTATCATCTTTATCAGCAGCTGGGTGGAAAAAAGAAAAATTATTCATTTTCCTAAAATCGGTAAGAATGCACCAGTATGCTGAGGCAATACACAGAGTAAAAAGTTAGAAAGTATCTTACAAAACTGATTAGACAAGTTGGTATTACAGCAATTGATATAGGTCATGAAGTAGGCAATTTTACCTGCAATAGGTCAAAAGAAGGCACAACCATGCATATGGAAACATCTGGGTGCCCACTGCCTTATGGAATAGAGCTGAAGAAATATTTGCTAAATAGTGTTAAAGAAAGAAAATGAGGGAGAGTTTGGAAGATAGTCTCTTACAGATACAATCAAACATTAAGTATCACATTTAACAAACTCAGTCTGGTTGGCCTACATGTCATTCTTATTACAAGATAAAAATGTATAACCACATGCATAAACAAAATGAATTCTTACATACAAATTATATCTTCAAATTATTCCCTCTGCATTCTCCAGAACTGTATTTATTCTGACTGATTTTCCATCTATTGCAGCCATGGATGATTATAACACCTGATTCTAATGATGCATACATAGGAGAACAAGCAGTATTTAGAATCTAAATGCCACCAGCTGTTATAGTTGCATGAATAAATTGGGATTCAAGTAAAAATCCATATAAAACTCTAAACATTGCATCTGAAAAGATATTAAGGAAAGGGCATTCTAAATATTTACGAAAATAAATCTGCAAATATTTAGACCTGAACAAGTCTCTTACATCCTTATTTTAATAGAACAGAATCCAGTAATTTCATTTAGTAAAAATTTGATATAGATAACACACAAATATTTATAGTATATGTAAGTTATGAGGAACAATGATAACATGAACACCTGGGAACCGAGCCGCCAACTTAAGAGAGAACATTGCCATTAACACTTCTGCTTCCTGGAGGTTCCTGTCCTCACCAAAGGTAATCACCACTCTGACATTTCTTTAACCATTCTCGTTTTTTCTCTGCAGTTTTACCACATAGGCATGTATCCCTAAACAATATAGTTCAGCTTTGTTTATTTTGAAACATTTTAAAAACAGTATCACACTGGATGTATTCTTTTGCACCTTGCTTTTTTCACTTGGCATTAAAACTTTTTTTATTCAGTGTTTAGGAGTGACAGTAAATAGGCTTCTAAAATCAAATCTAAGAATGTGTATTGGCCTGCTTACTAATGGCCAGATGCCCATTCTGAAAGTCAATTAGTGAAAAAAATTGTGGACATCTTATGAAGCAGGACTTAGCCTATGATTTGCAATGTAGAAGATGGAGAGGGGGATACCTGGTAGTGTCAACTTTAGCTAAAATAAAATTATTAATTTTGTGCATTTTCTGAAATATAGTTTTTACAGAATTTTTCAACATCTGCCTCAAATCCATGCATTTTTGAAAAGCAGGTTTTAAAATACATTAATGAGATGGAACCCCATCTTCTCTATAACATGCTATAAATCAAAACCATACCCCTAGATACTTGACCTCAAGGTACAATAAAACAACACCACCACCACCACCAACCACCAGAAGTAGTAATCCTTTAAAAATTATATAAAACAGAATGAATACTTAAAAAAAATTATAGATTCAGATGGTACATATGCAGGTATGTTACATGGGTATATTGTGCAATCCTGGGGTTTGGGCTTCTATTGAACCTATCACCAAAATAGTGAACATAGCACCCAACAGGTCGTTTCTCAACTAGTGCCCCTCTCCTTCACCCCCCTACTTTTCTGATCAAGCAGTAATGAATGTTATAAAATATTTATAATTCAGTTATTAAAATAGCCAATATAATCATTACATAATCATTACATGTATATAGAAAACAAAATACTGGCAATGACAGTTTAACTGGAGGGAATACTAAAAAGCTCTATTTGTTTTGTTTCACCACTATTCTTTTTTTTTTTTAAGTATTTATATGTGATTTTTAAAATTTTTTTATTTTTATCACTTTTTAAAAATTATACTTTAAGTTTTAGGGTACATGTGCACAACGTGCAGGTTAGTTACATACGTATACATATGCCATGTTGGTGTGCTGCACCCATTAACTCGTCATCCAACATTAGGTATATCTCCCAATGCTATCCCTCCCCCCTCCCCCCACCCCACAACAGGCCCCGGTGTGTGATGTTCCCCTTCCTATGTCCATGTGTTCTTATTGTTCAATTCCTACCTATGAGTGAGAACATGCAGTGTTTGGTTTTTTGTCCTTGCAATAGTTTGCTGAGAATGATGGTTTCCAGCTTCATCCATGTCCCTACAAAGGACATGAACTCATCATTTTTTATGGCTGCATAGTATTCCATGATGTATATGTGCCACATTTTCTTAATCCAGTCTATCATTGTTGGACATTTGGGTTGGTTCCAAGTGTTTGCTATTGTGAATAGTGCTGCAATAAACATACATTTGCATGTGCCTTTATAGCAGCATGATTTATAATCCTTTGGGTATATACCCAGTAATGGGATGGCTGGGTCAAATCGTATTTCTAGTTCAAGATCTCTGAGGAATCGCCACACTGACTTCCACAATGGTTGAACTAGTTTACAGTCCCACCAACAGTGTAAAAGTGTTCCTATTTCTCCACATCCTCTTCAGCACCTGTTGTTTCCTGACTTTTTAATGATCACCATTCTAACTTCACCACTATTCTTTAAAAGAACAACAGGCTGACGTTTCCCTGAATGTTGAGTTCAAGGGACACACCAGCTTTTAAAAATAAAGAGGCTGATCTGTGATGAGTGGTATAAGGAAACGTAAATACATACTGGAGTCAACAACTTAAAATGAAACAGTAAATTATAAGGGATGAATGCTTACCTACAGACTTTCAGAATTAGGTAAAGCAAATCTTTAAGCAGTACAAAGAATCAGGTACTCACAATTATGTAATTATAAACCTTACATACACATCAAATACCTTTACAATGTGATATATTTGCACCTATGTCCAGTTCTAGGTGAGGGGAGAAAATGACTGGTGTAATCACAAGCACTAGAGAGATACAGAAAACCATGCTGTACTCAAAGAGCCACTTCCAGCTCTACCTAAGCTAAAAGAAACCAGCTGTTTGGCAATTCAGTAATCTTGAAAGTTCTCTACCTATGTCCACAAGTTTCTTTTCCTTATTTGAGATAGGGTCTCCCTGTCGCCCAGGCTGGAGTGCTATGGCACGATCACAGCTCACTGCAGCCTTGAACTCTTGGGCTCAAGTGATCCTCTTGCCTCAGCCTCCCAAGTAGCTGGGACTATAGGTGTGTGCCAAAATGCCTGGCTTTTTTAAACTTTATTTTTTGTAGAGATGGGGTCCCGCTATTTCACCCAGACTGGTCTTGAACTCATGGGTTCAAACAATCTTCCCGCCTTGGCCTCCCAAAGTGTTGGGCTTACAAGGGATGAGCCACAGTGCCTGGCCTATACATATTTTCAGTAATAAAAGTATTTGTGGTTGATTAGTCCCCAAGAAGCTTTTCTTCCCATTTATAATTATAGAGACAATTATAATACAACTTTAATTATGCCCAGATCTAAAGAATGTGAATTCATGGCAATAAGATCACTTTTGTGCTTTATTTTTCATGGAACCCAAATATTTAAAATGTACTCTTAGTATTTTCATTCAGGTTTTATATTACTTAACTGTTGGGGTGACTAACTGTCATGGTTTTCCCACGACTGAGGGGTCTTCTTAGGAAGTAGGACTTTCAGTGCTAAAACTGGGCGGGACAGACCCTATGGCTGTGACTTAGTACTTCCACCTTTACTTGAAAGATTTTGTAACATTCCTTAATTTCTACTAAATCTTAGTTTTGATTCCCAAATGTTTTTAAAGATTTAGCTAGTATTACAACTCACCACTGTTAGCAAGAGCTGTGTGCTACAACATAATGAAGAGTGTAAATTTTTCAAAGGTATTCACTTAGTCAATTTCTGTATCTATTTTTACTACTACACAACAGAGAAGTCAGACTTATTTCAAAGATTTCAAACTTGAAAATATAAATTACCTGAAAATTTCTACAAAATCCAATTATCTCCCAAGATCTGAAGAGAATTAATTTTATGGTAGAACTATATTTCAGTTAATTTGATTATCTACATGACTAGACAGGAATAAAGATAGGATTATTTCCAAACAACAAACATATCCTATTCATTTCTTATATTCTCATAACTTAGTACTCTATGTACTAAAAATGTATTAATCTAGATTTTCAGTCATTTAAGTATACAGTATATAAACCTACGCATCTATACACTTAAGATATCTTGTAAATCAATTGTCAAATGAATAACTGGTTTGCATCTGCTGAGCATACATTGCCTGGATAATAGAGTCAAAACTGTTGGGATTATCTAATAAATTATCAAAGATTTAAAAATTACAGGTAATTCTGAATTGGATACAATTTAAGAGAACAGTTAATTTCCTTTTAATTTTATAAAACAATTTATTTCCTTTTAAACTATGAAAATCCAAGAGAGATTTCTTGTTAAGAAAATCACGTATGCATAAATGCTGAACTAGTAGCTTCTATAGGAAATTATGTTGTTAAGTCAGATGGGAACCATAATGGCCTCATCCCTGAAGCAATCATTGTTAATATAAATCCCAAACATATTTCTATATGGTTCCAATTTACTCCAATGTGTTTCACCATCCTGTCAAAATTACTAGATATCAAATAAGCAAGATTTATATGCTCAAAACTGACAAAAATCAGCGTTCTAAATATATATGGCAATTGAGAGTAGCTAAATCTACGGAATCTTTTAAATTAAAAAATATTGCCCATTCTGATGAAACTGCTTATAATGACTACAAGTAAAGATGGTGGCCATTAAGTTTTATCGTGAGCACCTGAGGAACTGTTTGCATCCAATACAAAATGTTTCTTTCTTTTGAATTACTGACACTGGCAAATTAAAATGAAGTGGATACATATGGTTGAAACAATCTTCACATTTACTAATATCCTGAAATATCACTAAATCATAAAGACTAAAACTGTGGGTTATATATTATAAATGTTGCCTAATGCATTCCCAACTCTGTTGTTTGTTACAAATTTGTATACTATGGACAAAATTGGCCATTTATTCAAGAGTAACAGCTGGTTCCAACACTGTGCATCTTATCAAAAAAGAAGGACATTACAAAAAGGAAAAGGCACAATTAACCTTTAAAATGCTGAAAACAAAAGAATCTCATTCTTTGGGAAAACATTTAGCAGGAAATTTACAAGCAGATAATTTAACTACTGTTCCCGTTTTAACATTTTTATAAACTAACTAGATATCTCAATATAAAGGTTTACAACAATAAAAACGTTACACAATGCTGACATTATCTAAGAAAGAACAATAGGATCTGATACCTTAAAGGGATATCATATATTGTTAAAGGCAGTCAGCTGATTTTAAAAAGAAAAATATCATCATTAATGAACGGAGGCTGGGAAAAAAGTAGTGTTTCACCCTGTCAATCTAAGACAAAGTGTTATCCTGAGAAGATGAACAAAATATCATCAAGTACTTACAGTATATTTTAAATTATTAGCTAATCCATTTTGTTGATCTATAGTAACGCTTAGGAAAAAAGCTAGAAACAGGAAAACTCAAACTCTCTAGATTCTAAAAAATTATACCTCTCTACTGCATTCTATAATAACCTTACAGAAATTCTGATATTTAATCTTGAATATTAGAAGCACAGTCTCCATTTTTAAAGTAGCAGCTCAGTTCACTCTGACGGTATTTCACTGACGTAGCCTAAGGCTATAGGTAATGGAACATTACTCACTATGATAGCCAGATTTCTTCTGCATGGCGGTTACAGGGCAATCTTTATGAGCCAGAAGAAGCTGTTTCAGCTGTGCCACTTCATTTCTCAGCAGGGTGACTTCACTCTGGAGAAGAAACAACTTATGTACCTTACCACAGACTAAACATATTTTTTACTATTTAAAACAAGCAAGGATTAAAGTATAAAATTGGACATCACTGGCAGAACATTAAAAACAAAGAAAATATGCTGATTAAATATGTCTAATCAGCACAGGGCAGCTTTTATATTTTAGCATTTATTAAAAAGCTGTAACTTGAATAAAAATTTAAGATAATGCCACAGCTGGATAGCATATTTCAAAATTGTTTCCATTTCCCTGGGACTTCTTATATATTATTGGTGACCTGTTGAAAGTATTTTTATTTTATATATGTTGCATGCTCTTCTGATTATTTAAAAAGAAACATCAAGGGAGTCAGGATGAATTTTCACTGATTCCATTCACCTAAAAATGAAAAAAATCATCCTAGAAATTCAAATAAGCAAGTTTCCAGTTTCCTAGAAACCAAGAAAAGCTCCACAGGGGAAACCAAAATAACCAAAGAATCATGGATACCTAAAATTCACTGCAAGGCACTCTTGCTGGACACTGAAACCAATGAAACTAGATATAACATTTAAATGGCTTAGCTGCCTTTGACCCAGGCAATTTGTACACATCTAAATTTAAATCTGCTAAGTCAATGGAGATTTGTCCTAATCTTCAGAATGAGTACTTCAGCCATTGTTTGGGATACATTAATCTGGTAAAAAGTTCCAAATTGAGCAAGTCCGACTAATTCCTTTGAGTCACCCCGAATATTAAAAACACGTAAGTCAGTGATCATTACCAATACTCAAGAGTTAGAAATAATATGAATTTAATAAACTGGTAATATAAAAAATTCTTAGCTTACAAATACTTCTACTTACTTGGACTCACACAGTAACTATAACCATTCAGATTTCATCCATGAACCAAAAAGTAAATTAGAAAATATAGCAAACAGGTGTACATAAAAGCTGAGGCATGACATTTTCTACCTTGTTTCTTAAGCAGAAAGCTGAATGTAAAATAATTTAGCAGGCTGACACGGTGGCTCACGCCTGTGATCCCAGCACTTTGGGAGGCCGAGGCAGTTGTATCACTTGAGGTCAGGAGTTCAAGACCAGCCTGGCCAACATGGTGAAACCCTGTCTCTACAAAAAATACAAAAATTAGTTGGGCGTGGTGGAGGGTACTTCTAATCCCAGCTACTCACTACTCTGGAGGCTGAGGCAGGAGAACTGCTTGAACCCAGGAAGCAGAGGCTGCAGTGAGGTGAGATTGTGCCACTGTACTCCAGCCTTGGTGACAGAGTGAGACTCCGTCTCAAAAAAAATAAATGAAATAATTTAGCAGACTTGGGCCTCCTTAAGTGATAAGTGACAGAAACATAAAAATTAAATAATAAAAGTTAAGCAATCTAAAGGCAAGTCTATTGGGTCAAACAGTTCCTCACACCCCAATAACAATGAACTACATCACTGTATTTAAGTACAGAACAAAAATTGATGCTCATAATAACTCTAAACCGTTAATTAAAAGATTAAATGATTTAGAATATTGTATTTGAGGCAAGAATGGGTAGATAGTAATCAAAGTACAAAAGGTAAAATTTAAAACAGTTTGGCTTGAAAAGATAAGCTGTCATTTAGGAAACACCTTCTCCAACTGGTGTCAATACTGCTAATTATAGTTCAGTATAAATGACACTATTGATGAAACCATGTTATGAATAATCCAATGTATATTACCCAATGTATATTACCCATCCTGTCAGCTTGATTTTGAGACTGATGTCTACAAGTTTCTCTCATTAAATCCTGTAACAGGAAATGGGCTGGATATTTATTTTTACTCAAGAATATACAATCTTTTACAATCTGGTGATGGTGAACATAATGATTTTCAACTCTCACTGCTCTTCCAACATACTCTATCCTTTAACACCAAACACTAGTGATGCTTCAAGCCTCTCATACCCTTGCTACCTTCACATTAGTTTGAACCATATGAAATAACCAGTATTTGTCTTGACTTACAAAAGTAAGTTTGAAATTGCTAGCTAAATACATACCGTTGTCTTTATCCCCTCTTCTTTGTCTTGCTAAATATTTTATTTAAGTGTCAACTCAGAACAGTTTAGAATGCATAGGAAAGCATTTCACAATTGCTTCAAAGAGAATAAAATACATAAGAATCCAACTTACAAGGGACGTGAAGGACCTCTTCAAGGAGAACTACAAACCACTGCTCAATGAAATAAAAGAGGATACAAACAAATGGAAGAACATTCCATGCTCATGGGTAGGAAGAATCAATATTGTGAAAATGGCCATACTGCCCAAGGTAATTTATAGATTCAATGCCATCCCCATCAAGCTACCAATGACTTTCTTCACAGAATTGGAAAAAACTACTTTAAAGTTCATATGGAACCAAAAAAGAGCCTGCATCGCCAAGTCAATCCTAAGCCAAAAGAACAAAGCTGGAGGCATCACGCTACCTGACTTCAAACTATACTACAAGGCTACAGTAACCAAAACAGCATGGTACTGGTACCAAAACAGAGATATAGATCAATGGAACAGAATAGAGCCCTCAGAAATAACGCCGCATATGTACAACTATCTGATCGTTGACAAACCTGAGAAAAACAAGCAATGGGGAAAGGATTCCCTATTTAATAAATGGTGCTGGGAAAACTGGCTAGCCATATGTAGAAAGCTGAAACTGGATCCCTTCCTTACTTATACAAAAATTAACTCAAGATGGATTAAAGACTTTAAGGTTAGACCTAAAACCATAAAAACCCTAGAAGAAAACCTAGGCATTACCATTCAGGACATAGGCATGGGCAAAGACTTCATGTCTAAAACACCAAAAGCAATGGCAACAAAAGCCAAAATTGACAAATGGGATCTAATTAAACTAAAGAGCTTCTGCACAGCAAAAGAAACTACCATCAGAGTGAACAGGCAACCTACAAAATGGAAGAAAATTTTCGCAACCTACTTATCTGACAAAGGGCTAATATCGAGAATCTACAATGAACTCAAACAAATTTACAAGAAAAAAACAAAGAACCCCATCCAAAACTGGGCAAAGGATATGAACAGACACTTCTCAAAAGAAGACATTTATGCAGCCAAAAGACACATGAAAAAAATGCTCATCACTGGCCATCGGAGAAATGCAAATCAAAACCACAATGAGATACCATCTCACACCAATTAGAATGGCAATCATTAAAAAGGCAGGAAACAACAGGTGCTGGAGAGGATATGGAGAAATAGGAACACTTTTACACTGTTGGTGGGACTGTAAACTAGTTCAACCATTGTGGAAGTCAGTGTGGCGATTCCTCAGGGATCTAGAACTAGAAATACCAATTGACCCAGCCATCCCATTACTGGGTATATACCCAAAGGACTATAAATCATGCTGCTATAAAGACACATGCACATGTATGTTTATTGCAGCACTATTCACAATAGCAAAGACTTGGAACCAACCAAAATGTCCAACGATGATAGACTGGATTAAGAAAATGTGGCACATATACACCATGGAATACTATGCAGCCATAAAAAATGATGTGTTCATGTCCTTTGTAGGGACAAGGATGAAAATGCAAATCATCATTCTCCGTAAACTATCGCAAGGACAAAAAAACCAAACACCACATGTTCTCACTCATAGATGGGAACCGAACAATGAGAACACATGGACACAGGAAGGGGAACATCACACTCTGGGGACTGTTGTGGGGTGGGGGGAGGGGGGAGGGATAGCATTAGGAGATATACCTAATGCTAAATGACGAGTTAATGGGTACAGCACACCAGCATGGCACATGTATACATATGTAACTAACCGGCACATTGTGCACATGTACGCTAAAACTTAAAGTATAAAAAAAAAAAAAAAGTTAAAAAAAAAAAGAATGCATAGGAAAATAAGTTAGGTGCCTATTTCTGGGTTCCCACAGCCACATACTTTTGTGTGTATACATATAGATCTCTTCCATAGTACTTATCACACTGGATTGTAACTTTTGGTGTACTTGCTTGCTACCTCTACCAGACTGGGAATTTCTTGAAGGCAGAACATATCTTTTCCTTGGTATCCCCAGAGCACAGCACATTGCCTGATATGGACTGAGTAGACAGACATATTTTAGAGAGGACCACGTAATTCTATGTCTAGGAGGTAAAAAATATCAAAGAAGGTGAAATGAAAAAGCTTAAATAATATGAATCTGGTCAGAGGTCCTAACTTCATCATTTATAGCAATAATCTCACCAATACAGCTACACTGTTAATTTTCTCAGTTATGTAAATTGGCATATTATGTAGTATCACCTCAATTACGGAACTCTAAAAATCACAAATGTCTTCTCTCTGAAACACTCTATACATTCATAATAAACCGTATTATGTAACAAAATGCTATATGTGACAAAAGTACTGAAAGTGTTATGTGTTGGCTAGCTAAGTGATATAAAATAAGTGATTTAAATATAGACTGGGTGTGGTGGCTCATGCCTGTAATCCCAGAACTTTGGGAGACTGAGGCGGGCAGATAACTTGAGGTCAGGAGTTTAAGACCAGCCTGGCCAACGTGGTGAAACCCTGTCTCTACTAAAAATATAAGAATTAGCTGGGTCTGGTGGCGCATGCCTGTAATCCCAGCGACTTGGAAGGCTGAGGCAGGAGAACTGCTTGAATTCAAGAGGTGGAGGTTGCACCACTGCATTCCAGCCTGGGCTACAGAGTGAGACTCAAGTCTCAAAAAAATAAAATAAATAAATAAATACATAACATACACACACACACACACACACACACACACACACACACACACACACAAATTCTCTCTTTAAATAGACAGGTCTGAAACTGATGAACAGGACATCAATTTCTACATTTCAAACTTAACGGTTGGTGGTATTCAGACTGTTGATCTAATTAGACTACCTGGTTTACTAACATATAGTTGTAACATGAAGATGCCAGTAGCTAGGAAAGGTTAATGAACATCAAGGACTGAAGAGGTACAGTACTTGATTCTTGCTACAACGTATATTTGTGCTAACTGAATTTTAATTGGCATTAACTTGGGGAAACAATGGAAAAGGCCAAGAAGAAGAAATTAAAAATAAAAACTTTTGCACATTCTTTTATTTTTTAATTTGTTACTCTTTGTTTTAAAAACTCTGCACATTCTTATATATAAATTTGCATGTATCTAAAAGGTATAATATACAAGCATGCTGTAAATTATATTTATCCAAAATTCAAATAACCAATTTTTTCCACTACACCTTTTAAATGGCAGAAATGGTTAAGAAATAAACCAACAAATTCAAGGTCTGCACAATACAAATTCAGTCCAATTTTTTACATTGTCCTGATCTAAAATGTTTTACAGTAACATTTTCCTAATGATGATTCTGAAGCTCAAAAGTGACTTTTGGATGACAGGTTACAAATTAAATATAACTTGTATTATTACTGTACTCTAATAGTCGATTTCATTAAAAGATGGTATCACCACTAGATTAAAAGCAGCAAATGAGACACAATTACTGGCTAGGAATTGGGACTGAGAGAAATACTGCAAAGCAAACATAGCTGGAGTGCAGTTTAGGCATGAGGGTGGGCCAAACCTTTAAGAAGTGGATTAGTTGAGCTGTACAGCCCTAGTAAGTATAAGCATATGCTAGTGGTCAAGACCAGGTCAAGCGTGGGTTGGAAATAGGATGCTCATGCTGGTAAAGGTTTTATAACTGAATTAGTTAGAAGAGACAAAAGCTGAGTGGTTCCTAAGTCATATATATATACACATTTATTTATTTTAGTAGAGATGGGGTTTCACCATGTTGGCCACGCTGGTCTTGAACTCCCAGCCTCAAGTGATCTACCTGCCTCAGCCTCCCAAAGTGCTGGAATTACAGGAGTGAGCCACTGCTCCTGGCCTCATTTATGATAAATATAGTAAATTCAACAAACTACTCCAAGCATTCAAGAATTTTAATCTCATAAAGAAAATACTGTATTTCTAAAAATAAAGATAGGCATGATTTATTACTATTCAGATAAGATGGCTGCATAAGTCCTGATTTTAATTCTGAAATCTTTCTATTAAGAAAGATCAGAAGACAGGTAGACAGAGAGAAGGGGCTGCTACACAAATATAATGGGAAGACTCCTTAAGTTTCTATACACAGAGACCTCAGAATATAAAAACAGAGGTTACACACACACACAAAACCAGTCTGCTTAAGCCAAAATAAATATCAAGGGGATGTTCAGCCACAAAAAGACTTAATATTAAATGAAAAAAAAATGTATACCTCTTACTATTTTGTGGATTATTTTAGACTAGATTTTAGTTGGATTCAGCCTCCAAAGTCCTTCTGGTTGTACTATCTACTATTTGTGAGTTAGTATACTTGCAGGATATGTTAGTTATCTTCCTGGGTCATTCTGAAGATGAAGTAAAATAAGGGATATAAAAGCATTTTGAAAATGTGAAAGTCCCATTCAAATGTGAGAAATCATCACTTTGTCAAAGTAAAACATATTTGGCAAGATGGAACAGATGCTAAAAGAAATTATTATTCTGGTCTAAAATCTAATGTAAATTATTTTGTCATTATCTCTACCACCGCTCCACTCTAATAATGTGGCTACTCAAAGGTTAATTACATAGCAGCAGACAAATTTTTCTTACATTGTCTATGTAATGTAAATCAGCCTGCTGAAATCATCACACGATAGCCAACTGACTAATCAATCGAAACTTTTATTGATATTTGGCCATGAATATCAGGTATTCCCTAAATTTATGATCTTTGACTTTCTACTTCAGCCATTACCCCCAAAAATAAAGAAACAGTATGAATAGTTTCTTATTTTGCGGAATTTCTCATTGCTATGAATTTTTAAAATGTTTAAGCCTCACAAAAGGCAGTTAAGTATCAAGTTTCCCTCCACACAGTTCCAAGGGTTATCGTGGAATGTAAAACCTTACATATGAAAACAAACTAGTTTTTAAAAAATTTATATTTTTAACAGAAAAAAAGACAAGAGTTCTCACTAGAGCTACAAAATATTTTGGAAACACTTTGCAAAATGAATGGGAATGACTCCTTTCCTATTCTCACACTTTAATTACTTGTTTCATGTCTGTCTCCTCTGCCACAAATTCTGTAAGTGCAAAGACAATGTCTTTTTCGCTGTTATCCACATCTAATAATATGCCTTGCACATAATAGATGCATAATGACAGAATGAAAAATAACTAGCATTTGCACAGTGTAGTTACAACACTGTTCTATACCTTATTTCAGTTGCTTTTCATAATAGTACTTATTCTATCAGTTTGACGGAAAAACAAAGGCTTAGGAAGATTCTTAGTAAAAGCTTCAAATGTAAGTATTAGATCTCAAACTCAGAATAAAATGCATGAGATGATGGCAGCTACACTAATACCCCTTTCTTTCATCTAGAATATAGTTAAAAACTCAGTGGAAAAACGTGGAAGATAGATCATAGAATTCAGAAATTAAATCAAAAAGGTATTATAATGTATCTTCCAATTATTGCTATTTTTTCCTATTTCAAGTGATAAATACTGAAATAAAATATTGTCTGGTACCAGAAATAAAAGATTTAATCTCATTTTCTATAAGTCAACGGACCAATAAAACCTTTTCCACATCATTAACTTATGAGTAAATAATTCTCTAGCTATAAAAGTGTGCTTTCATTAATTTATTGTGCTTCCACTCCACACACATTTTGCAGTATCTAAGTTATTAGGTTGGTGCAAACGGAATCACAGTTTTTGCCATTAAAAGTATGTTTTGCCGTTACCTTTAATGGCAAAAGCTGCGATTCTGTTTGCACCAACCTAATATAACAGCCAAATCCACACAAAAATAATTATCAAGTTGTACCCACAGAGTAACTGTTAAGCAGCTACTGTTAGTAAAGAAAAGGAATCTGCTTTTTGTTCATAAGGAAACATGCTACATTTATAAACTGAAAATTAACCCCCATAATGAGCATAACTGCAAGACAAAGCTATAAACAGGTAAAAACCATTTCAAGTAAAAGATAACAAAATTAACAAAATAGATATTACTTTAAAAATACAGTAATTGGCTGGGTGCAGTTGCTCATGCCTGTAATCCCAGCACTTTGGGAAGCTGAGGCGGGCAGATCACTTGAGGTCGGGAGTTCGAGACCAGCCTGACCAACGTGGAGAAACCCATCTCTACTAAAAATACAAAATTAGCCAGGTGTGGTGGCGCATGCCTGTAATCCCAGCTACTCAGGAGGCTGAGGCAGGAGAATTGCTTGAACCCGGGAGGTGGAGGTTGCAGTGAGCTGAGATTGCGCCATTGCACTCTAGCCTGGGGAATAAGAGCAAAACTCTGTCTCCAAAAAAAAAAACAATAATTTATAACCAACAGTATTCAATTTTTGGTCTAGATTACCATAAATGTCTCTAATATAATTTGATGAAATTGCTCTTTTAGCAATGATTTGGGAAAACTAAAACATGATTAAATTTAGTGAATGCGGCAATAAGGTTGAATATATTTTAAGGCCTAATATGTATTTGGTAAAAATATGAACAATCATACCTCAACACTTGTTAAACCTTGTATTACATATAAAATATATAAGTAAACTATGGGTCATTACAGCCCACTACACTGATCAGCTAAGCCTACATGTCACATGAAGGATCATCAAGGAAATACAGAATTGATTAATGTTTTCACATAAAGTAGGGTTTAATTATTTCTCTGACATTCAATTTTCTTTACAAGTCATTCTGTTCTTCACAGTTAACGGTTTTGCTGTTGGCAGACTGAAAGAAATTTTTCTCCCTGAATCTATTATAGGCATGTTAACTCTTCACATTCTGAAAGCTACAATCTGTCACTTTTAAAAAACTTATTTTACTTGACAAATAAGTAGAAAACAACAAAAAGTCAAAATAATATATTGACTTGAAGCAATAACAGAAAGTCATCATTGAAGTACCCTTTCTTCCCAAACCATCCATGCTCTCAATTCCCTCCTCACCATCGTTTGCACCTTGGTACATGTCATTTCTAAAATGCTACCTATACTTACGGAGTCATTTCTATACCAGTTCCTATACCTATACATTTACCCATCTAACTGTAAACCTTTTTATTAATAAGAAAGCATTATGCTTTATTAAGCATAATAATAATGCTTAATTTAGATGTAACTGACCTTTTTTCGTAATTTACCAAGGTGAGATTCATATAACATAAAGGTAATCAGTTTAAACTGGCATTTAGTGCATTCACAATGTTGTGCAACTACCACCCTCTGTCTAGTAACAAAATATTTCCATCGCTCCAAAGTAAAACCCTTACCCACTAAGCAGTTTCTCCTTATTCTCCCTCCCCCATTAATATGCCATCTCTCTCTATGGATTTATTTATTCTGGGTATTTCACATAAATGGAATGATACAACATCTGATGTTTGTTCTATATTCTTTCACTTAACATAATGTTTTGAGGTTCATCTACACTGTAGCATATACTTCATTCCTTTTTATGGTGGAATAATATTCCATTGTACATATAAACCACAACTTGTCTATCCATTCATCTTGGATGGACATTTGGGCTGTTTCCAACAACTTTCTTTTTGCCCATACAAATATATATATTATAGATATTTTCCCAGGTTAATATAAATAGATGGATATAATGCTTTTTCTTTTTTGGAGAAGTATTGTAAGTAAAATCCTTGATAATATATCATTTTGGATCCTATTTTAAAATGCATTTCTAAATCTAAGATGATGCCATCATCACCCAGCTTTTAATGGTCAAAAATACTGGTTTTACTTCTTCTGTACATAATTTGAGGTATTAACTAAACTCAAGTTCAAATGTAGAGCTTAATTTAGTGATTTCCTAAATTTAGCTTTCATTTAATAGTCTCATGCTTCAAAAAATGATGTCAGCAAACTTCTACCTAATGATAAATCTTATCTTTATTTCTCCAATCAAAAAACTTCTACCCAAATTAGGAAGTATATACAAAGCACTGCTACAATAATGACATTTTAATCATAGACTGTGTGACAGAAAAAACATGAAATAAATGGAGTCAAGATTATATTTATTTTGAATACTTAATTTTCCATGGTTTTCTGCAATAATAAAGGGCTAATAGTGGTAACCAGTGCTGCAGTGTAACTATGGAAACAGCAATATCTCATTAAAAGGTATTAAGATTGCTCTAAAATGGGTCAAAGCAGAAAACTTGCCCAGCTTAAAATCCCTGTAAATAATAACATATATGTATGTACTACTTCATAGTTTTCAGGTACTTTTACTTCTTAAATAAGGCATAATAAGCCAAATTACAAAGGAAAATAATGGTAAATTTGTCTTACTAGTTAAAATTTTCTGTACGAAGAAACCCTTGAATTGACTGATTTATGTAACAATACAGAGAAGTGGTATTACCACATCTATTCTACAGGTAAGACAACTGAAGACAACAGTGATTGTGTTTTATGTCATACAACTATAAAATAGCAGGTCATTCAGAAGATTTTGTTAGTTAAGAACAGAAAAAAAATACACATACCTAAATCACTTTGTTCATGTAATATTTGAAAATTTAAATAATAATAAATATTCTAACAGACTTGATATAAAATAGCCATTTTTGCAGCATAAATTAGTACCTACAGTCTGTACTATTAAAAAAAAAGAAAATTTAGAAATGTTTTCTAAAAATTTCTGAAACATTCTGGATTAAAAATTTATCAGATGATGGGCTGGGCACAGTGGCTCACGCCTGTAATCTAGCAATTTGGGAGGCTGAGGCGGGTGGATCACCTGAGGTCAGGAGTTCGAGACCAGCCTGGCCAACATGGTGAAACCCCATCTCTACTAAAAATACAAAAATTAGCCGGGTGTGGTGGTGCACACCTGTAATCCCAGCTACCTGGGAGGCTGAGGCAGGAGAATCACTGGCACCCGGGAGCTGGAGGTTGCAGTGAGCCGAGATTGCACCACTGTACTTCAGCCCAGGTGATAGAGTGAGACTCCGTCTCAAAAACAAAAAAACAATTTATCAGATGATAAATGATAAAATATATTTCTTAATAAACCCTAGAAGATAAGCACATATTTTAAGTCTATGTGATGTGGTAAGTTGTATTAAAATTTTCTTCTAAATCATTAAAATAAAATCGTTAAAAATAAGTTCTGCAAGACAATCTATTTGTTCTATCATGTCAATATTCAAAGCAAAATAAAGACTTAAAGATGTCTGCTTCACATTAAAAAAATTTAAATTATAAAACTTACATTTGGTTAAATGCTATGTCTGATGCTAAAAACTGTTTCCTAACCATTTAAACAGACAACTATATTGGTGATATCTTAAAGACAGATTTAAGAAGACAGCAGGTCTCTTACCATCAATTATGATTATACAGAAAGATTCACTTTTAACTGGGTATGGATAATTCAGAAGATTGAGCTAGACTAATAACTGCAATTCATTAACATCAATTTTCTGGTTGATACTTATCAGTTGGCAGTTTAAGATTATATAGGAGAATATTTACGTTAAAAAACACAACAAAAACAAAAGGAAGGAAGAAAAACAAAGGAAACAGATTCGGTGCTGCCTTAAAACTTTATACTCCATGAGGTTTTAAGAAATGTATCTGAGGCACATTGGCAGGGCAGTATGAAATGATCTGTACTGCCACTGGCCATATTGTACCTGGTCTGTGGATAATTAGAGTCCTTCAGTTTCCAAAGCTGTCAATCTGGCACCTTTCACGAGCAATATATTCACTTTAAATAAAACAAAACAGAACAAAATTTATAATTCAAAGAATGAAATAATTTAAAAATAAAAACTGCTACTGAAGAAACTTATAGTTGTGCTATAAACCAAAAAAATAGACAAGAAAAGTGAAATAACAGTGATATTTTTAAATTTTAAAATTCTCTGCACTTTATATCACAACTTTATAAAGTTCAAACCGGATAGTTTAGCTACTTTTGTACACAGGTAAACACATTTTAAATTTCTTCACTGTATCAGTGTTGAAAGTTTTATATTATTTCATCTCAGCATCCAAACAAACAGGTTTACAAAACTATGATTTACTATAGATTCCATACACACCCAATATCATGTCCTAAAATGTTTGGAGGCCCAACTAGGAAAAAAAAAATCTATGTTCACAATTATTAAAAAAGAAATAAAACAAAATTCACATATATGCACCATACCTGCAGCTGACCATTTAATGAACTCAAGTCTTCAGCTTTCTTCTCTAAAGACTGAACCCAGACTTTCCTTTTTTGTCGGCATCTTGAAGCTGCTGCTCTATTTCGCTCTAAAAACTTTCTCCTTTTTTCATCAGGATCTTCGTTAGCTGCTCTTCTCCGACGACCACTTGTACTTTGGGTCTGTGGAGTTGTGTGAGCTGGAGAAGCCTATTATAAACAGAGATGAAAGCCTGTTATATTTGTATCTAGTGAGTGAATTAACATAGGCAGTAAAGGGTGTCAAAGGGGGAGAGCAACTGTATTTTCTAAGTCTTGTTGAATACATCAGTATGTTGGGGCAATATGAAAATCACCCTGTGGTTTAACTTCCTTCTTGAATATACTTATGTTATGAGCTATGCTATAACACAATTCTCACTAATGCAATGTCACAGCAAATGTATTCTTTATGTATAATATTTTCATTTACATACAAATATGAAAAAATTTAAAATACAATACAAATGATATATAGAAATATTTTTCCAAGTATATTTTAACAGATTTTATTATATTATTAAATCCCTGGAAAACTAATTATAAATTTCTCAAAACGTTTAATAACTTCCTATTTAAATTCATGATAGAAAACCATGATTTCTATGCTATTTTTAAATTAAATATCTCACATTAAATGCCAATTTTCTTAAAATTTGTTTCTCTAAAGTTATGGAGTGAAAATATATATATTCTTTGGTATATTCAGCTTTTCTTCAGTTTGTGAAATTTAGGGTCAGTCTTTTTCTAAGGGTCAAGTTCTTATATTTATTAATACTCATTTTTCTGGTAGGGAGAATCCCACAGGAGCCTTAATTTTCATTTTAATTGTTCCCTCTGCTCCCCAATGAATCAGCTTGGTTATCTCAGATTAGTAAGAGAAAGAAATCTTCAGTCACTAGTAATATTGTCTAGTGTATAAGACTATAAAACAATAGGTATCTTCAAGTCTTTCACAAACCCCAAAACTGTGCCACAGAACAAATGAATATGGGTGTCAAAAAATGAACTCTTGGCCGGGCGTGGTGGCTCATGCCTGTAATCCCAGCACTCTGGGAGGCCAAGGCGGGTGGATCACTTGAGGTCAGGAGTTCGAGACCAGCCTGGCCAACATGGTGAAAACCAGTCTCTATTAAAATACAAAAAAATTAGCTGAGCGTGGTGGTGCATGCCTATAATCCTAGATAATTGGGAGGCTGAGGCACGAGAATCACTTGAACCCGGGAGGCAGAGGTTGCAGTGAGTCAAGATAACACCACTGCACGCCAGCCTGGGCAATACAGCGAGACTCAGTCTCAAAAAATACGAAAAAAAAAAAAAAAAAAAAAAAAAAGAAAGAAGAAAATGAGCTCTTGGAAATGGTGCAGAGAAAAGAACACTTTATGGCTACAGGCACACAATCCAAAGGAGAAGCCTGAAAACAATCTTTTACCTATAATTTATTATATTTAAAAATGGTATGCACAAATAAAATTTGTTTTCTCCTAATCTATGTAATACAAGTCTTATATAAAGCTCAAGATAAATTCTGCAGGTAAATTACCAAACTATTTTTCACTCTAACAAATTCCAAAAAATAAAGTTATCATTTCTTTGTCCAAATAACTAGCATTACAAAGAGAGTTATTTCATGTATAAAGTATTTCACGCCTGGGCAACATAGCAAAACCTCATCTCTACAAATAATTTAAAAAATTAGCCAAGTGCGGTGGCATGTGCTTGTGGTCCTAGTTACTCAAGAGGCTGAGGTGGGAGAGGATTGCTTGAGCCTGGGAAGTCGAGGCTGCAGTGAGCCATGATCGCACCACTGTACTCCGCATGGGCAACAGAGGAAGATCCCGTCTCAAAAAAGAAATATTTTAATTGTAATAAAGATTAAGCATTTAAATTAGAGCGTTTATTTTACTTACATAATTGCAACTTAATGTTTTAGAAAAATATTTCTATGGCTGGCTTCAAGATTTGCAATCTTGAAATTTTTTTCTTCATCCTCCTATTTTTCTTTTTCTTTTTTTTTTTGAGATGGAGTCTCGCTCTGTGGCCCAGGCTGGAGTGCAATGACGTGATCTTGGCTCACTACAACTTCCGCCTCCTGGGTTCCAAGTGATTCTCCTACTCAGCCTCCCGAGTAGCTCGGATTACAGGTGCCCACCACCACACCCAGCTTAATTTTTGTATTTTTAGTAGAGACGGGGTTTCACCAGGTTGTGGTCTCGAACTCCTGACCTCAGGTGATCCACCCGCCTCAGGCTCCCAAAGTGCTGGGATTATAGGCGTGAGCCACAACCTCCTATTTTTCTTATTGAGAATGGCAGGTTTTTTCTTTTACTCATCTGGCTGAATAAGAGAGAACAGTTTATTTTTGTTTTTAATTGATTTAACTCATTATAGCAAAGACTAATCATAAGTACTAGCAGAATAACAGAAGCTTAATTTCTGCTACTCAGAGTTACATTTGTATATTTTTATGCCTATCAAGGATTGGAGGCTTCTTAGAAGTGTATACTGCTCCTTCTCTCCCCATGTCTATTAATTCATTCTATTTCATTCAGAAAATCCTTATAGGAACTATTCTAGAAACTAAGTATAGCAGTGAACAAACAGATAAAGTCCTACCCTCATGGGGCTTCCATCCAATACAATAACATATAAGGATATAAATAAAAATTAGATCCAGGGAAACTATAGTTAGTGCAAGAAAGTAAGGACAATAAATTATATTCATTTTTTAGAAATAACCCTTTAAAAATGTAAAAAATCATACTTAACTTGCAGACCACACAAAAACACCCATGGGTTGCATATGGCCTGTGAATCATTGTTAAACCCTGAGGTATAACATTAACACATATACACAATCACTCAGCCCCTCATTTTCCCTTTTGGTCCCTAAGTAAAGTTGGTTAGTGGATGACAACCACAACTACATTTCATTATATATTAAGTTTTTAAAAGACAAGATACAGTTATGTAAATACCTATGCTTAGGTGGCAATCTAAAACTTATTTATATGTGTTTCTTTGATTGAAAACTTTTGCTTTTTAATGCCAATGCTAATATTCTTCAAGTAAAGATAAAAGGTCTAAATAGAATTCTGAAACATTTAACAGGAGTACAATAATCCTTTACTAGAAAGAATTAGAAAAGCACTGCAGGCATATAACAATATCAATCATCTCATAGGCAGTCACAAACTAGAGATAAGTGAAAGGGGTCTCTAGTATAAATAGCTGCCATAAAGCATATTTGCTCCTTTGGTGATGTTTCACAAGTTTTAATTCAGGAATCATTTGATTTATGTTAGTAATGTAATACCTACATATGTGTGTATATGTGTGAATATTTATCTACCTATTTCTCTAAAAGACTTCTGATTACCTACAAGTGAGATAAGGTTACTTATACAAATAAATAACAAAGAGTAATGTTTTACAATGAGTGAGCAAATATTAAAAGCAGAAACAAGAATTATTTGTTCTGCTAGTAACGGAAACAGAAAAAACATCTGCCTCTTTGGGACATACACACTTTAATGGTTGTAGATGGCAACACAATACTGAAATATGATATGCATTGTAATCATAAACATATGGCATTTTAGGAAAAAGGAAAATCAATAATTTTTTAAGAAGAGATCCAAAAAGATTCTTTAGAAATCTTAGTTTTGCTACTTGAAAAAGAACGTAAGATTTAGTTACATACATTTCTGAAGAACACAGCATCTCTTAACAAAGAAGTTGTTATTGTCTATAAAATTTACAGAACTTAACCTATTAAATTTTCCTATAACATCAATACTTTGGTTACATAGGAGAACAGTTCAAATCAAACCTGTTTATGCCACAGCAAGAAAAAATATCTAGTGTTAATAGTTACAGTTTATGTCAAATTTGTAGTTTTGGACAATAAGAAAACAAGATACAATTTCATTCTTCTCACTATAAGGTTCTAATATTATTTTTCTGGTTATATAACTATTTTCCAAAGTCATAACTCTATAAACTTCTTCAATCAGGAAATAGAGAGTAAAGGAAATTTCTCAAAGCAGTATTCAGTTTCACTGTCCTAAAATCAACAGAAAAAGATGTTTTCTTTAAAAAGAATTGTGACCAACATATATGGACACCCACAGAAATATTTGCAGGTGTCCTGAACAGAAACACTGCTCTATTATGTTTATTTTTGTATCAATACTTGTATACTGAGCTACCTTTTCCTGAGGCTTTTGATACATCTTTGGAATAACAACATGACCAGAGTAATATTTTTTAAATAAGCCGTAAGTTACACTGTACTTTTCTGTTTAAAGATGACAGAGTGCTGAATAATAAAAACAACACACATACCGGAGTTTCTGTAGTGGATGTGGCTGGCTGTTGTAATGACTGCGGTCGAGATTCCTCTGACTGAGTCCTAACCAATCCGCTACCATGACCTTTGACAGTATCACCATTGGTAACTGGAGGATGTTGCTGGGTCAAAGCAGCTTTTAATCTCTGCAATGCAAACACCATTAAAAATTTTTTTTAAGTCCTTAAAGATCATCATGAATATCAACAAGACAAACAATAGCACCTTGGGTAGTTTCCCTGAGTCCTTTTGCCTAGTACTACTAGAGGATTCTGTATTTTGCTGTTCCTAGTGAATTTTGAGAAAATAATAATAAAGGCCTTAAAAATGTAACATCATGTCATTGTCCAAGTAAGCACTGGCACCAAACCTGCAAACAGAGATCAAATGGGCCCAAACTGAGCCTCCTCCAAGAACCTACAGCTGGGTTTGTCTCTCTTAGGTTTTCCCTGTCCCCAGTAAGCAGATCTAGTTCTCTTTTGCTGTTGCAGGTTTGCCAGTTAATTATTGGATTGTACTGGACTCACATTCAGAGCATGACAGACCTAGTATTAGAATGAGGCCCTAGATATTTATGTCTACCACTTTATCAAGCAACAATTTGAATGAAGCTTATTATGCTATCAATAAAAATTTGTCATATGCAACTATTTTATCTCCCAACCAGTTAGTAAGCTCTCTAAGAGCAGAGATTATCTTATACTTTTGGGTATTCCTTTTAGCAACTGATATAATGATTTGCTACATAGGTACAAAACAAACATATCTGTTAACTGATAGAAATTGGTTTCTTTAGTGAAAATGGTCATATGTGATCTTTAAGGTGGTTTTGTTATGATCTGTAAATATGAAATAATTTGCACAGATAATCAGACCACAGTATCTCAGCAATGAAAGGGACTTCAGGGATCCAACAGACCTGAGACTATTATTGCTGATACTGTTCTTAATAACTGAGATGTAGTTCTTGGGCCCCAAATACATATTATTACAGGAATTGGAGTCAGAGTTATGTATATTACACTTTCCTAAGATTCTTATAGAGGTGCATCTTTGAGGGGATGGAGGCTAATAAGAGAGTGAGAGCGAGTGCAACTGAGAGACAAAAGAGAGATAGAGATGTGAGAACCATGTTGCAGCCTACCCAGTGCTTCCCAAACTTCTTAGAAATACATAACTGTCTGGGGTGTTAAGTGTTAAGAACACATATTCTTGGCAATCTTTTCCTTTCTTCCTTCCCTGAGTACAGCAGAAAGGGGTGAGTGAGAGAAGAGCTTTTAAAAAAGACCCCCAAATAATACCAGTACAAGTATTTCCATTCACTTCAACTAAGAACAATTCAGAAATTTTTATAACTATTTCAAAACTTGTAATTTCTTCCTTTTCATCTAGGCCTATCTTCTTACTGTCTATCATATGTGATCCAGATCCCATAAAAACTGAAGCATATATGAAAAGATCACCGGAATTTCAACTGAGGCAGTAATTATGCGTGAACAAATGTTAGTGGACATTTTCTCTCTCTTGTGAATCACCGTATATTCTGGGTGTGATTTTTAAAATAAAGTCAATTTGTAAAAAGAAAAGTTTTTTCTTGAGATATAAGTTACACATAGCAAGTTAACTCTGTTTAGTGTACAATCCTATTAAATTTCTTTTTTTTTTTTTTTTTTTCAAGAGGGAGTCTCGCCTGTCGCCCAGGCTGGAGGGCAGTGGCATGATCTTAGCTCACTGCAACCTTCACCTTCACGGTTCAAGCAATTCTCCTGCCTTAGCCTCCTGAGGAGCTGGGATTACAGGTGCATGCCACCACGACCGGCTCATTTTTGTATTTTTAATAGAGACAGGGTTTTGCCATGTTGGCCAGGCTGGTCTTGAACTCCTGACCTCAAGTGATCCACCCTCCTCGGCTCCTAAAGTTCTGGGATTACAGGTGTGAGCCATCGTGCCTGGCCTCTATTGAATTTTAACAAACAAATACACTCATGCAACCTACCCTACAATCAGGATACACAGCAGTTTTACCACAATAAAATCCTCATGCCCTTTCCTGTCATACTCTCCTTCTACTCCCTGGCCCTGGAAACGACTGATCTGTTTTCTGATCCCAAGAGTTTTGTCTCTTCCAGAAGATCACATACTTGGAAACATACATTGTATAGCCTTTTGAATCTGGCTTCTTTCTCTTAGCACAATGCAGTTGAGATTCACCTGTGTTGTTGTATTATCTGTAGTTTTTTAATGAGTTTTTAATTGTATAGTATCCCCATTTTACACTTTAGGAAACCAGATATCATTTGCTCAAGGATGCAGAGCTGTTAAGCTAGTTCAAATCCTGGATATAAACCCAGATCTCTTTAATTTCAAGTGCAAAATATTTCCACAGCACCATGCTGCATACTTTATCCTTGGTGCTACCAGAAAACACAGGGAAAACTCAAGACAGAGAGTCTGAAACTTTGTGGCTTAATGATTCAAAAAACAATCATAAGGATTTAGAGTGCCAAACCTGTTACTGCAACTGCTAAGCCAGGATCTGGCATGTTTTCTCCCTCTTTTCTGACAGACTACTTCTTTATGAATTATAAAAAGTACCACTTATGTAATATCCTAGTGCTTTCACTGATTAGAACATGCAATGTACTATGGTCTTATAAAGCTGAGAATACACTTTAGGTTCAGAACCTAACTCTACCTCAAACTATCTGTGACTTTGAACAAATCATTGATCTTTGAGTCTCAATTTCTTTACCTATAAAACTGGGAATAATAACTTCCTTGCAGAGTTGAATTGAAAAATAAATATAACATGTAAAACTATCTGACTCGTAAAAGAATTTTTCAGATGTCAGTTTCCTTATTTCTTTTAAGAATACTACTGAGGCCTCTATTTTCTTAGCACGGAGGTCCAAAGAATCAGGATAGTTCCTATGTTTCTGAATTTTCAAAATATCCCTAAGGGTCATCTTAAGCATTGGTTTGATCCCAGACATATTTTATATATGAGATGTAAAAAGTAAAGTAGAGGTTCCTCTTCAAAGACTCTCCTCCCCATCTAATTAGGAATAAATAGTAACTTCTCTTAGAAGCAAAATTTATTCAAAGACCTGTGCTAACATTCAAATATCTGCTAGCCGTAATAAAGAAATCAATGTACTTTATGTTCTTAGCTCCCACAATTTACCTACATATTTGCCCTGGCATGCGTATACTGGTCCAAGTAAGCATTAGGTCATAGCCTGTTCCTCTTCCTTATTTGAAGGTGTTTTTACCTTTCTTAGCATTCCACAAGTTACTTCCTCCTTCCTTTGTTCTCCTCTGCCTTTGCCTCTTTTAAAACTTCTAAGTTGCTAGCCAATCAGGACAAATACAGAATGTGAGGTCCCATTCCAGCCAATGGAAACTGGACACAGCAGTAGGGTGGATGCGTCAGGTTATAAATGACCCTGTCTCCTTTGTTCAGTGTACTCTCATGGGAAAACTGCTGGCGAGTGTACCCTTTCTGCAGAAAGTAAAAAAATTGGCCTTGCTGAGGAAATTAAATTTATGTTCAAGTGCTATTTCTTTACAGCACCGGGGAACAAGTAAGCATTCCTAACAGAGACATGCTCAAGACCATAAGAAAAACTGAATTTTTTAGAATCAAGATAAGATTCCTAGTTCCTTTTCTAAACAATCAGAAACAACTATATTAGTAGCTAAAACATAGGAAATTAGGACCCTAATTGATGGGATAATGTGGAAGTGGATGGATTAAAACTGAAATTAAATGCGGGACTAAAGTAGTAGCTGGCTAGAACCAGATAGGAATACTTAGAAAAACGATCAAGAAGTATTTAAAGTAGAAAGACCTGAGTTGGAAAAGTGTGGGTCAGAACAAAGGGAGAGAGTCTTGGGAGGTCGCCAGTCTGCATATTTATATATTTTATAAATAGAATGTTAGACATCAAAATACAATGACTAGTACCCAGTCTATAGTGATAAATTGGGGCTTTCATTTCTAGTTTTAAAATGTGCACAAATATAACTAGAAGTAGAAATGTGAGGCTTAGTAAATTATGTGTTTGGAAAAGATTTTTAAGTCCTTAGGTAGAAATTATCATAGAATTGAAGAGCATTTAAAGTTTTACAGTGAAGAGCTTAACTCTCAGAATTAATGAAATACAGTAACTGCACATAGGGGAGCCTGAAGTACATAAACATCACTCTCTTGAATAATCTTTAGTAGGGCAAGTTACTACCTTATAAAGCACTTAAAAGCAGCATCAGTATTCATTCATTATCCTTCCTTGACTGCCCTAGGGTATACAGTACTCATCCAGTGAGGAAGCTCTAATGTTTGCTCCATGCTGTTACATTGATTACAATGGGTCTGACTTGAAAAGTATGCCAGTGGGTATACAACAGAAGAAAAAGATTTTAAGGGTTAATTAACACTGTTCTAAACTGTCCATTAATTTTTCTAAAACTACAACAAAAATGCACACACGCTAAAAAAATTAGACTTAGGTCAAAAAAGCAGTCACTAAATATCATTCATATAAATTTTACAATTAATGTAAGGATATCTACAATCCAGCCATACATATTTGTTAGGAGCATTTGAAGAAGGCCAAATACTTTGGTTTAAAAAAAAAATCAATGAAAACAAATGTAATGAACATTTATTTTACAATAGAATTTTGGAGCTAGCAGAGATAATGAAAGTCAATTAGTCCAATCACCATCTTACAGATACAGAAACTCCAAAAAACTGAAGTTACTTCCCAGAATCAAAGTTAGCAGAGATAAAACCAGAAACTCTATTTGTTGACTCCCAGTTCACCAAACATATTCTAAACAAAAGCTTTGCCAAACTGGAGCTCTAGTCTAATGTTAAATTTTCTAAATCTATTAGTAATCAATTAAGTTAAGCATCTGATATTGGTCAGTCCATTACTAAGATCAAAAATCTCTCTCAATAGACAAATTTAATATATGTAAATAAGGATTAAGTACTCTAAGAAGTAAAGATTGAGCACTCATAAAAATTAAAGATTTAAGGTGGGGTGTGATGGCTTATGCCTGTAATCTCAGCACTTTGGGAGGCCAAGGCAGGACTCCTTGAGCCCAGGAGTTCCACACCAGCCTGGGCAATATGGTAAAACTCCATTTCTACAAAAAACTTAAAAATTAGCCAGGTGTGGTGGTGCATGCCTGTAGTCCCAACTACTCAGGAGGCTGAGGCAGGAGGTTTGCTTGAGCCCAGAAGTTTGAGGCTGCAGTGAGCTCTGGCCTGGGTAACAGAGCAAGACCCTGACTCAAAAAAAAGAGGAAAAAAAAAAAAGGAGGACTTTATAAGGTCTATATTATCCAACATGTACAAGAAAACTTAGGCATAATTTTAATTTAAAGTAAAGGTAGACTTTGTTTGATAAACAAAAATGTCTTCATTATGTTTCTATGAAACAGACCAGTATTTTAATGTTTAATTTTCAGTGATGTAAAGTTCAACTACTATACTGAAAACTCTTTTTCTTAGAGAGATATAGATTGTTTCAATTAATTAAAGGATGAATAATTTGTTGTGCTGACCAATCTGACACATTCGCTTTAAGAGGTGATCTCCTAGAAATAATTGTCATTCAAGTTCTATGTTGCACCCTTGAAAATAAATTTTATCACATCTGTCAGAACTTAGTAGTAGGAACAAAGTACTCCATCACAGTTCAAAGAAAAAAGATAATGTTCTCTAGAAACAATTTATGAAAAAGTCAGATCCATATTTCATATGTGCCACAAAAGCTCATCAGAGTAATAACCCTCCTTCTCCTGGGTGTTATCCTACCATCTGCTGCTCTATTACTTATCTTTATTTTGCAACTAATTAACAGCATAATCTTCTAAATTCAGCAAGTTAATTATCATTATTGTGGTCTTTGCAGCATCATCAGTCCTCATGAAATCTTGTCACCCCACCCCCAGAGAACATATGAAAATCAAGTAGGTTGAGAGAGGGTCTGTTTCTTTGGAGTGGGCTCATTAGGTATTTGCTGATTAGCTCGGCATGCAGAGGCAGGTCAGAAGAATTCTGCTGAACATGAGGTTCCATGCAGGGCCCAACCAAGTTAATGTAGGTTTCTGAACATTTGCCAAGATGCCCTCTGTCAGCTTTCAGTAGAAACCCCCTGCAGAAAACCTACTGGCTACCCACTGTGTGCAAAGATATTTCTCAGTTTGTCACACATCTTAAAAAAAAAAAAAAAAAAGATTCTGGAGGATACTATTTAAATACTTTACTAAATCTTAAAATTCCCAGATGATTAACATTTTCTTATTCAGAAGAGCTGCTTTTTGATTACAAATATTACAAAAGAAAATTGTTTTATTAGAAGAGTAATATGATTTACGGGCTTAACGACAAACAAAACCCTGAAACCAAAATTTAGTGACAACTAGTCTAATTCTGTAGAAAATTATATCCTGGGAATTTTTCTGTTGTATTAAAAAGTACTATATAGTCTTTCATTTTTCGGTCCCTATCGACATTTAACACATGCTTACTTTTCCAAAGGCTTAAAGTTCTTAAAAATTAAAAAATACAAGCTTACTCTGAAGACTTTTTTTTTTTTTTAGCAGAAAAGAAAGATCTTATTTCAGTATTCACAGCACACACAAACACAATGCATACATAATATCTTCCTGGAAAGGCACTGAACATCTGAAAATCAGAGAATTACAAAAACATCCTATGTTAGCATACAAAGTAAACTTCTCTTTAGCTGTAGTGTGCTACTCATTCTTCCATGTTCCAATCCCATTATTTTTAACCACAGGTCATTTTAGCAGAATCACTACTGCTACAATATACAGCATGTTATTAACAGATTGTGATCATAAAGGTCTAATAAATTCTTGAGAGAGATGCAGAACCCCAAAAGGATGATGTTTAAAATACTTTCAAAGATCTGAAAACAACAAAGTAAAATCCAACAAAAGCAGTAAAAGAAGAAATTACAAGTTTTAAGGTGGTGGCAGGGTGGGGGGGGCGGTGCGCAAACAGGTGAAGAGTCAGAAAAATCACTTAATGTGTAACATGAATCTAGGGAATGTGAGCTGGGAACCACTTATTTGGAGAATGTGGACTTGGAGTTCTATCTTTAAGGCATGAAAGAATCAAGTTCTGTGACCATTTATCTGGTCATTAAGAAAGCTCTGTGCACTGGGATACGAACCCATCTTCAATGTTCTTCAGTTGGGATGACAGAATTGTTTATATGGTGAGTCTTCTTAAGCCCACTGAAGCTTAAAAAAGTAAACCAATACCACTGACATTTTAATTTCAAACTTAAATTTCAAATAAACTATACCTATTTGGTATTTTACGTTCTACAAGTATAATCTAATCTAACTTGCCAAGCGGAATAACACGTTACCCTTGGACTTTAAGTGAAAATGTTTAATTAAGAGATTGACTTGGGCCTGTGATTTTAGTTGTTAAGTGCTGAGATAATGGGCCTGTGATTTTAGTTGTAAGTGCTGAGATAATCTTAAGTAAGCTTCTAAATAATTAATGAATATTTAAGAAAACTATGTATCACTAAGTTTAGTTAAATTTAAGAATTATTTAAGTACTTAAGAAAGACAATTGAGAGAATTATTGAGTACATAGCTTTACATGTATATAGCTTAGCGTGTTTAAGATTATATTTTAAGCTCTTTAAAAGCAATCATTACATAACTGTACATGTAAATTGCCTTGAGAACTTAGGAAAGCACTAGGTTTTTAAACTTGTAATCTTAATAAATCTTATATTATTTTTTAAAAGTAGTCCCTGAATAATCATTATGTGTACAAGTCACCATCAAGGGCATTAAAATCTGCCCCCCCCCCAAAAAAATATGAAATCAAAACCCAAAACAAAATAGCTCATTGATAAAATACAATCCTAATTGCTACACATGCTGGAAAAGAAAACCATAATGGTCTTCTTAGAAGAACATTCTTTTTTGACTCTCCTGATGGCTACTGAACACATTTGCAAGAAAAATCTCAAAATTTAAGATCATGTCTATTGAATTTCTTAGAACCCAAGAAATGTTTGCCATGTAACAATTGATAGAAATAGCTGTTAAATGATGTTGTTAATATAAAAAGAATATTGAAGTGTGAAATAATTTCTATGCAACAAAAAAATTCAAGTAACCAGAATTCCCTTATCCAGTACACTGACATTTTAAGTTACCAGTTCAGGTTACTGTACCAGCATAGCAATATCTACTGTTTCACAAATGAGCTGAAATAAATAGCTATGATCTATTAGAAAATGGAAATAAAGGAAAATCAAATATACCAAAGATGGTAAGTTCCCAAACCACAATGTAATTAAAATATAAATCAATATGAAAAAGATAAATAGAAAAGCCTTGAAATATTTGGAAATTATACAGTGCACTTCTAAATAACTCACAGGTCAAAGAAGAAATCACAGGAGAAATTAAAAAAGTAATGACAATAAAAGTATAGCATATCAAAATTTGTGCACAGAGGAAATTTTATAGCTTTAAATGTCTATATTAGAAAAAAGATTTAAATAGATAATCTAAGCTTCTACTTTAAGAAACCCAAAAAAGATAAGCAAATTAAGCTTAATTAAGTAGGAGAAAACAAATATTAAAGACAAAAGTAAGTCAATGGGAGTATAAACATACCATTAAGAAAAATAAAGGCAAGCTACACACTAAAAGAAAATAGACAGTAGAAATATACGTACCTCTCTCTCTAACAAAAACCTTATATCCAGTGTAAATAAAGAATTCCAGGCTGAGTGCAGTAGCTCACGCCTGTAATCACAGCACTTTGGGAAGCCGAGGCAGGTGGATCACCTTAGGTCAGGAGTTTGAGACCAGCCTGGCCAACATGGTGATACCCATCTCTAAAAATACAAAAATTAGCTGGGTGTGGTGGCAGGTGACTGTAATCCCAGCTACTAGGAGGCTGAGGCGGGAAAATCGCTTGAACCTGGGAAGGGGAGGCTGCAGTGAGCCAAGATCTCACCACTGCACTCCAGCCTGAGTGACAAAGAGAAAGACTGTCCAAAAACAACAACAAAAAAAAAAGAATTACAGTCAGGTGCAGTGACTCACGCCTGTAATCCCAACACTTTGGGAAGCTGGGGTAGGCAGATCACTTAAGGTCAGGAGTTCGAGACCAGCCTGGCCAACATGGTGAAACCCCATCTCTACTAAAAATACAAAAATTAGCTGCATGTGGTGGCGGAAGCCTGTAATCCCAGCTACTCGGGAGGCTGAGGCAGGAAAACTGCGTGAACCCTGGAGGCAGAGGTTGCAGTGAACTGAGACTGTGCCACTGCACTCCAGCCTGGGCGACAGAGCAAGACTCTGTCTCAAAAATAAATAAATAAAAATAATTATGCAATAATAAAAACAATTGGCCCGGTGCGGTGACTCTCATGCCCGTAATCCCAGTACTTTGGGAGGCCGAGGAGGGTGGATTGCCTGAGCTCAGGAGTTCAAGACAAGCCTGGCAGAGCAATCTTTACAAAAAAATACAAGTAGTCCCAGCTACTTGAGGGGCTAAGGCAGGAGGATCACTTGAGGCTGGGAGATCCAGGCTGCAGTGAGCCAAGATCATGCCACAACACTCCAGCCTGAGTAACAGAGCCAAACCCCGTCTCAATCAATCAATCAATAAAAGAAAAACAACACAATTTTTTAAATGGGCAAAAGACCTCACAACTAATGCCTGGCCAAAAAGGAAATGGAAATTAAAATTATGAGACACTGCTAAACAGCTCTAGAATGTCTATGATTAAAAAGACAGGGAGAACCAAATGTTGACAAGAATGTGGGAACAACTGGAATTCCCACACGCTGCTGGTAGGAATGTAAACCTTTGGGTAAAGGTTTAGCAATTTCTTATAAAGTTAAATGTATACCTACCCTCTGACTCGGCGATTCTACTTTTAGCTGTTTAGTCAATAAAATGAAAATATATGGCCATGAAAGTTACATAAGAATGTGTATGAGACAGACAATTGCTGAGCAGATATCCTCATAGAAGTACGTTTTGTGGCTCCCTCTCCCTCTCCCTCTCCCCACGGTCTCCCTCTCCCTCTCCCCATGGTCTCCCTCTCCCTCTCTTTCCACGGTCTCCCTCTGATGCCGAGCCAAAGCTGGACTGTGCTGCCGCCATCTCTGCTCACTGCAACCTCCCTGCCTGATTCTCCTGCCACAGCAGGCCGAGTGCCTGCGATTGCAGGCGCGCGCCGCCACGCCTGACTGGTTTTCGTATTTTTTTTGGTGGAGACGGGGTTTCGCTGTGTTGGCCGGGCTGGTCTCCAGCTCCTAACCGCGAGTGATCTGCCAGCCTCGGCCCCCCGAGGTGCCAGGATTGCAGACGGAGTCTCGTTCACTCAGTGCTCAAAGGTGCTCAGGCTGGAGTGCAGTGGCGTGATCTCGGCTCGCTACAACCTCCACCTCCCAGCCGCCTGCCTTGGCCTCCCAAAGTGCCGAGATTGCACCCTCTGCCCAGCCGCCACCCCGTCTGGGAAGTGAGGAGCGTCTCTGCCTGGCCGCCCATCGTCTGGGATGTGAGGAGCCCCTCTGCCCGGCTGCCCAGTCTGGGAAGTGAGGAGCGCCTCTTCCCGGCCGCCATCCCATCTAGGAAGTGAGGAGCGTCTCTGCCCAGCCGCCCATCGTCTCAGATGTGGGGAGCGCCTCTGCCCGGCCGCGACCCCGTCTGGGATGTGAGGAGCCCCGCCGCCCGGCAGCCGCCCCATCTGAGAAGTGAGGAGCCCCTCCGCCCAGCAGCCGCCCCGTCTGGGAAGCCAGGAGCGTCTCCGTCCGGCAGCCACCCCGTCCGGGAGGGAGGTGGGGGGTCAACCCCCGCCCGGCCAGCCGCCTCGTCCGGGAGGGAGGTGGGGGGTCAGCGTCCACCCGGCCAGCCGCCCCGTCCGGGAGGGAGGTGGGGGGTCAGCCCCCGCCCGGCCAGCAGCCCCGTCCGGGAGGGAGGTGGGGGGTCAGCCCCCGCCCGGCCAGCCGCCCCTTCCGGGAGGGAGGTGGGGGGTCAGCCCCCGCCCGGCCAGCCGCCCCATCCGGGAGGGAGGTGGGGGGCGCCTCCGCCCGGCCAGCCGACCCGTCCGGGAGGTGGGGGGCGCCTCTGCCCGGCCGCCCCTTCTGGGAAGTGAGGAGCCCCTTTGCCTGGCCACCACCCCATCTGGGAGGTGTACCCAACAGCTCATTGAGAACGGGCCATGATGACGATGGCGGTTTTGCGGAATAGAAAAGGGGGAAAGGTGGGGAAAAGATAGAGAAATCAGATTGTTGCTGTATCTGTGTAGAAAGTAGACATGGGAGACTTCACTTAGTTCTGTACTAAGAAAAATTCCTCTGCCTTGGGATGCTGTTGATCTATGACCTTACCCCCAATCATGTGCTCTCTGAAACTTGTGCTGTGTCCACTCAGGGTTAAATGGATTAAGGGCGGTGCAAGATGTGCTTTGTTAAACAGATGCATGAAGGCAGCATGCTCGTTAAGAGTCATCACCACTCCCTAATCTCAAGTACCCAGGGACACAAACACTGCGGAAGGCCGCAGGGTCCTCTGCATAGGAAAACCAGAGACCTTTGTTCACTTGTTTATGTGCTGACCTTCCCTCCACTATTGTCCTATGACCCTGCCAAATTCCCCTCTGTGAGAAACACCCAAGAATGATCAATAAAAAAAAAAAAAAAAAAAAAAAAAGACTGTGTATGGTAGCTTTATTCACAATAGCTAAACACTAGAAACCATTAAAGTGTCCATGAGCAGGAGAATGGACAAAGAAATTGTGGTATATTCACACAATGGAATACCACTCAGCAATAAAAAGAAGCAAACTGTGATCACTCAACAACATGGATAAATCTGAGACATGCTGAGCTGGACATAAGAGTATAAAGTGGCTATTTATATGAAATTCTATAACTAATCTATGGTTACAAACATCAGAATAGATGGAGTGGACTGATCGGAAAGAGAGAAACTTTTATTCTTTTTAATTTAATTTCCTGATGACCTAAAAGAAACAGTTATTCAGGTTAAGTGTAAAGTTTAACAGTTTCTAAAAATATGGCCTACTCTTGTAAATAAAGGTATTTCTTAAAACTGGATTTGTTCCTTTTGAATTAATTTATAGAAAAAAGTCCAATGAATATGTAAAAATACTTTTAGATGCAGTACACAATAACAGGATCTCCTTTTAATATCTATATCTGCTCTATTCAGTTCCCACTGCATGGTAAATTAAATTGAATTTTTCATCAATCAGTATACTAAAATAGGAAGTGCAAAAAATGCCCCTGGTGAAGCTCTTCTGCTATCAAGTGAAGAAGATTCATCTTAGTATTTCCAAAGCTCTGACCTGAACATACTATGATGTGAAAAATTTCCTCCTTGGGTTTTTAGGGTCTTCTCTAACAATCAATAACCACCTAATTTTTATACTCTTCAACCAACTGCTGTTCATTCAGATAATATGTAAGTTTTATTGCTAAAACAGGGTGTCCTGTGCAAATTTCTGACTGATTGTCTGCACTAATGGAGAATAGCAGTAAAAATTTTTCAGGCCGGGTGTGGTGGCTCACGCCTGTAATCCCAACACTTTGGGAGGCTGGGGAGGGGGGATCACGAGGTCAGGAGTTCGAGACCAGTCTGACCAACATGGTGAAAACCCGTCTCTACTAAAAATACAAAAATTAGCCAGGCATGGTGGTGCACACCTGTAATCCCAGCTACTCAGGAGGCTGAGGCAGGAGAATTGCTTGAACCCAGGAGGCGGAGGTTGCAGTGAGCTGAGATTGTGCCACTGTACTCCAGCCTGGGTGAGAGAGCGAGACTCCATCTCAAAAAATAAATAAATAAATAAATTCAGCTCTGCAATATGTTTTAGCATGTAAAAATTTGTATTTAGTATAGTGCCTAGCAAATAACTGAAGCAAATAGAAGGTGTCTAATAACTACTAATCTATTGATTTCCTAAGGATACATTAATTAATTGCTGTTGTTAGCCCTATTATGATATAGAACGTTAACATCTACCCAATTAATCGATGTTATTAATTAACTGACATTATTGTATTATAACACAGCAAGGAGAATTACACTGATTTTTATTTTATTTTATTTTATTTTTGAGATGGAGTTTCACTCTGTCACCCAGGCTGGAGTGCAATAGTGCGATGCTGGCTCACTGCAACCTCGGCCTCCCGGGTTCAAGCAAATTCTTGTGCCTCAGCCACCCGAGTAGCTAGGATTACAGGCATGCACCACCACGCTCGGCTAATTTTTGTATTTTTAGTAGAGATGGGGTTTCACCATGTTGGCCAGGTTGCTCTCGAACTCCTGACCTTAGGTGATCTGCTCACCTCAGCCTCCCAAAGTGCTTGGGATTACAGGTGTGAGCCACTGCGCCCGGCCCTGATTTTCTTTAAAAATAGAATCGTCAGATCTTCTACTAAGAAAATTAGAACGTTTATAGGATTTAGGGTTAAGAAGTACCCCAGAAACCAAAGCTTAATCTTTTTATTTTACAGATGAGGAAATGCAATCTCAGGAAAGTTACAGTTGCTTAATTAAAGGTAGTGAATAGTGGAGTTAGGATTAAAATTAAAATTAAAATACACATCTAAACATTAATTTAATAGCATCCAAACAGCACAACAGAAAAAAATGGTTTTATCATGTTTGCTAACTTGTACACTATTTCAGAATTCTTTTTAATACTGTTAAAACCACTCATCATTATTAGCAGCACTGCCTTCAGATGATCACATCTAGTTTCAGATGTAATACTCCTATTTTCCACTAGGAGGAGAAAAAGCCACAAGAAAAAGCCAGACAAACAACAAGTGACAAGAAACAGAACTTCTAATCTGCCACTAATTTTAAAGTATCACTAACTACTCACTATGCTAAAGGAAGATTTCTTTTTTCAAATTTTGTGGTTTATCTATAGTATAAAACAGTCCGTAACTTTATAAAAATGTGATCTAAATTGTGCATTTGAAGCAGGCTTTAGTGAAAACATTAATTCAAAACAGCCTCAAGCAATGTACAGAACAAATAAAATCTGGCTTACCATTTTTGCTTCTGACTGTACTGGTTGGGGAGAGGAAGGACCTGGGATTCCTGGAACACTAGGCACCATGGTGACTGGTCGAACGAGCTATGCATGACATAAGGAAAAATAATTGCTAGAGAATATATTCAAAATGAGATTTGTACTTTACTGCTGTTGTAATAATTTGAGACTTTAAGAATCAGAACATTGTAAATTTATCACCAGCTGATTTTATCTCTATACCAAATCCTTATTTGGTCTTATATCCTGACTTATCCTTCAAAAGTTGTCAATTTCTGAGACGTGTGCTTTCCTAATTTTCAGTTTCTACAATTTCTTTCTTAATGGTCCCTGTTAGAAATTCATAATATTCAAAGTGATTAATGCAAAAATTCTCAAAGATCTGTCAAACTTCCATTTTGAATATGAAAGGAAGAATGTCAAAACTTGTGACACTTAGGCATAAAAAATAATTTCAACAATGAATTTTGCTTTTCTAAAAATATATACAATGAATTTTCTTATACATACCACATAATAACAAATAACACACTGTAATAATTTCTGAAATAATCTGTAACAGGTTTTACCATTTTGGTTTTTTCCTTTTTTTTCTTAAACCTAACACTGAGTGAACACAGTTACTGTATAAATAAAGCATATCTTTTCTTTCATTTCCGGTTGCTTTCATCACTAGGTACATGTAACAGGATAATCAGAATCTCAAAAACAAGGCAAGAATGTTTCCCTCCTCAAAAAAATATTCTCAGTAAAGAGGAAGCAGATACCTTATATCTGAGTCCTTACAAAGTCTCTCAAATAATGCATTTTGAACAAAGTTCTTTTTAAAGAAGGCACATTATCTTGAAATTACGTCAATCAATGCTAATTTTGGATAGTTTGAAAGATCACGTGGAAGAATTAGTTAATTAAAAAAAGATATAAATATCAAACATTAATCCTAGTAATATTCTTGGGGGTAATCTCACCGAAAGTGTTGGAATGTTACTATAAGTAAGCTTTTAAAAATAAGTTTTATTTTTTATTATTTTTGAGACAAGGTCTTACTTTGTTGCCCAGCCTGGAATGCAGTGGTGCAATCTCGGCTAACTACAGTCTCAACCTCCAGGCTCAAGTGATCCTCCCACCTCAGCCTTCTGAGTAGCTGAGACTACAGGTGCTTCCATCACAACTGGCTAATTTGTGTTTATTTTTTGTAGAGATGGGGTTTTGCCATGTTGCCCAGCCTGGTCTTGAACTCCTGGACTTAGGCAAGCCACCCACCCTGGTCTCCCAAAGTGCTGGGATTACAGGCATGAGCCACTGCACTTGGCCTAAAAATAATTTTTAAAAGCTACACTGTAAATGATTACACTGTACTGATCAGTAACAAGCATCTTAGAAGGTAAAAGAAAAAACTATCTTTTTATTACATAAATAAGTACCTAATGCTTGGTGTAAGATTTCCAGGGAGAGAATAATAGAGAGATTCATAAAGTAATATCGTAAATGATTTAGATGAAAAAGAAAATACTGTGTTCTGGAAACTGTGCTAGATGTCTCAAAAAGTGGTTCTCAGGATGAAAATTTGAATGTCAAAGACATAACTGAAGAGTTTGTTTGAATAAAACTGTTTTATGTAATGTAAGTAAGAAAAAAGCAATTTTCTAACACACATTATTCCAAACAATGTGTTTTTAAATGTTCATTAAACTATTACTTTTTTTTTTTTTTTGACTTGGGGTCTTGCCCTGTCATCCAGGCAGGATCCATAGCTCACTGCAGTCTCAAACGCCTGGGCTCACACAATCCTCCTACCTCAGCCGCCCAATACGCTGGGATTACAACAGGCATGAGTTGCCATGCCTGGCCAAACTATTAAATATCATAAGTAGATAGTTAACTATTTTGTCTACGTCTTTCAAAATTTATATATTTAACACACCCCTCAAAAAACTTTTTTGCGGGGTCTTTTCACAGGGAAAGTGAAAGATTATTTTTCTAGAACATTTACATTTTAACATGCTGGGCTATCAAAGATTCTACAAACCCTACTTGACCACAAAAATTCAGAGTGTGTCTTTATAAACAATTTCCATACTAATAGAAATACCACAGAGTTACCTGACAAGTATTCTAGTACAAATATCTTTCTAAAATTTGAAATCTGTGTTAATATTTGAATGCTACAAGTCCAGTCAAATTGATATGGGTTGAATAAGAAGATCTCAGTATAAAAAAAAAATTAAGGTTTTGGGGAGAAGAGAAAAAATAGCTATACCTTGAATGGTATATGCTATTACAATGATAACAAATAAATACTATCAACTGCTAATCAATATTATGTTAAATTCAATTTCATAAGCCAGTCAAGCAGCCAACTTTATTTTCTGACTACAAAGATCAGTTTTGCGATAGAGATTTAAATAGTCTAACTTTCTTACTGGGACTGCAGCTGGAACATGCACATTAGAACTTGTAATTGATGCAGGAATAGCAACAGGCATGGTTTGTCCATTAGGAAGATGTAACAGAAGAGGAAATGGGCCTGGTACAGGGCTAAGAAAAACAAAAGAAGAGAAATTTTAAAAAAGAGATTCATACCAACTGTCTCTTAAAAATACAATAGTATTTTTACTCCTATAATCATATCATTTAAAAATACATTTTCTAACCACAGCAAAGCAAATAGCAAAATTTAATTATTTTTAATTGCATCTTAAATGCATAACCTGTGTAGCAGTATTGAAAAGAAGAGAAAAGTTATGGATTTACTTAGGACAATCTCCAATTTGTAAAATGAGAAAAACTGTCATCAGAGAGCTCTTGGGAGCTACCAGTAAGAACTGAAAGAAATGGAATCTGGTGATGCAGTAATTTTATATTTTGTGTGAAATAGCATGAAAATAAGACTATCTTAAATTCACATTCTATATTTGTTTTTAGTTGTATTTATCTCCCACTCTGTTAGTTAATATTTATATTAAAGAAGACTACGCAAGTACTTTTTCCAAAATTCGAAGCATGCACACACATACAAAACTAAGATCTTAGTTTGAATAATCAAATGTCTTAGGAAAAATCATTACAAAACAAACTTAATTCATGTATATGTTCAATGATTGGCCTGAATCACTTACACAATTGGCCTGTTAGAGGATGGTGCCTGGGTGATTACAGTACTTGAGGTTGGTGAAGGTACTGCCTGCTGAATAATTACACTTGAGTCAGAACTTGTAAGCAGCACATTGGGAACCTGTAATGATGCTGGACGAACAATAGCTGATGTGGGCTGTGCAGTTTGTGCCAATGGTACTTCCTATTTAACAATGAGATAAAAAAGGGTGGCATTTAAAAATACAAATCATGTACCTTAGTGAACAGAATGTAACACACTTCTAAAAGCATCTACAGAATAATAACTGCTAAAAGCAAATTAATATCTCAAATTAATTAAAAGAACATTTTAGAAGAGCTGTAAAGATTCAAATGCAATGTTCAATTAATATTTTAATTTTAAAAAGACTCGTTTTTTTTTTTTCCAGTACAACTTGTTCTCCTATCAATCCAGAAATAAGTTAGACTGGGCAACTTGGCTATGATACCAAGAGAATTTTAATAAAAAATAAAAATATAATCCATTCTCAGAGAATCACAGAACTTAAAATCCAGAAGGGACTGTTTAGTCCCCCTCCCTCATTATACTGTATGAAGAGGAAACAGGTCCAGTGAGACTGTGTTATGGCTGATACAATTAAGTAACAGAAATAAGAACTTTTAGAGCAATACAAATAATTGTTAATTCCAGTTAGCTACCTCTTCTATATCAATAATTTCTTCATATCAAAAGGCCACGTAATACTGATATCTTGAATGTAAAATAAATAATTACCGGAGTGAACTCTTTCAAGTCAGGAAAACAGAATTTGTCAGCCAAGACCTTAAAGATGGTATTTCCTCTGGTTTTACAAATTATAGAACAAAAAGTTTTAAAAGATTTTACCCAGAACTCCTTAAATAGTCAGTGTAAAAATTGGGTCTATGGTGTTTTATGAATTGGCCTGTATGCTGCCACTTATCATCAAAATCTTATTAAGCTACATAGGAAGAAGGATAAAGTAGTAGTATTGTAACTTCATTTATTCAGTAAGTTGAGAACTTATGCTCCCAAGGACTAGCTCTCAAGGAAGAGACAATAAACAAGTAAAACAAGTAAGAAAATTTCAGATTGTAGTAAATGTTAAGTGTTACAGAATAATACGTGCAATGTAACAAAGGATGAAAGATTAGCTGAAGGTAAGGAAGAGTCAGTTAATTTAGACAGCATAGTAAGAATAGGTGAGCTTCTTTGCAAAAACAGCATTCGAACTGATGATAAAAGGATGAGGAGGAGAGCATTTCATTGTAGGGAGAAGGAAGCAATACCATATATGTCATGTCCTGAGGTAGGAAAAAGCTTTGAATATTTGATGAACACAATAGAGAGGCATGAGGTAAGGATAGATGCGTAGACAGGCCCAGATCAAAGAGGGCTTATGCCAAGGAGTGTGAATTATTTTAAATACAATGGTAGACCATTGAAAGATTTTAAGCAGGTGACATATTTAATGTATTAAAAGTCATCTTACAGAAAATGGATTGGAGGTAGAAGCAGGAAGACAAGTTAGAAGGTAACTGTTAATAATCCAAACAAAAGATGATGATGGTTTGGGCTTACGTGGTGTCACTGAACACAGACATAGAGGATGAGATTCAGGTCTGATAAAATATGCTGTTAGTTTCAGTGTAAAAGAAAGAAGAAATTAAGGATGACCCCTAAATTCTCAGCTAGAACAACTAAATGGATGGAGAAAATTTACTGAGATGGGGAAAACTGGGGGAAGAATCAAGGACTCTGATTTTGACCTATTAAGTTTAAGATGTCTATTAGACATAGAAAAGGTAATGTCAAGATGGAGTTGGATATAAATCTGGCAATCTGGTGAGATACCTATGCCCATAGAAATTTGGGAGTCATCAGTATGTAGATGTTTATTAAAGTTATGGGCCTGGATGAGATCACCTAGGAAGAAAATCAAGAAAGAAGAAGAGGTCCAGATTTTTTTTTTTTTAAATCAATTTCATATGGTATACCTTGCTCAAGGAGGGCCTAATGATTGGGGAATGCAGAAAGAAGGAATACTCCTAAAAGATGCTGAAGCAGCCACGAACAATGAAAAACTGTTAAGTGTGAAAAGAATGAAATGCTCTCTAGGAAAAAAGATTTGTATCAGAGATTTAAAAAGCATTTCCAATAACTGTAATAATGTGGAAACAACCTTTATGTCCAAAAAGAACAGGATAACATAATACATATACATATCATATAATAAAATAAAGTACAATCATTAAAAAGTATGATTTGGGGAACTCTCTAATGACATGGGAAAATATTCATCAATACTGAGGGTCTAAAGCACAATATAAAATAAAGCTAGGATCTTTATATCCATCTATCCTTCTATTTAACTATTCACTTATGTATTTGTACCTATAAATGTATATATCTAGAAAAAAATGTTTCAAGATAGTAATTCTTATTCAATTATGTGCTAATAGGTGATTTTGGTTTTCTTTTCATGTTTCTGTATTCTTAGAGAAGAAGAATGAGAATGTACTTTTAAAATGAGAAAAAGAAAATGAAGAAAAAAAAACAGAAAACAAAGCATTTATTCTTAGCCAAAAAGTTATTTTTTCTGTATTTCCTTATTTCTAGCTCCTCTGCCATGACAGAAGTCCATTAATAAGTATGGTTTTAGAATAACAATCTAAAAAAGAATATTGCCACTGCCTCTTTATGTGTCCCATTGCCCTTCGCTGTGTCCTGCATGGTACTCCCAAATAAATATGTGCTTATTCTATGTGCTTGTGAACAAAAGAGTGATCAAGAAGTTCCCATAATAATGTTACTCAACACACAACTGTAGCCCAGGTGGTCCCAGATTATCTGGGTATTCAAGCTAGTATCATCATCGTCCTAATTGCCGCTAACAAAGATCCACTGCTGAGAATGAGTAACTAGTCCCTTAATCCTGTAAAAGTCTAAAAAACCACTGTTCAAATAATTTTTTGAATAGATTCTTAATTAAGCTGTTACTGTATAAAAGTAGCTAAATATAAAATAGCAAAACACAGAAAAATTAAGTTAAATTTATAAATTTATATATCTTTTAAAAATAAGTTTTATGTAACATGACTGTTCTCCCCTATAATTTTTCTATGTACAATAAAAGCTGCAGTCTTCTTACCCTGAAATATCTGAGTATTGACAGGCTTTCACATATAAAACTATTGCAAGCTGACACTGAATTTAATACATTAACATTTTATGGAGATTAAATAGTAAACTTTATTTGGGTACTGTTCCTCCCCCTTACTTTGTATTTCTAAAAATTTCTAACCTTCTCATCACTGGTAGTAGACTCTGGGTGAGGTAAAGGACTATCCTGGTGAGTTGTTTCTACAACAGAAGGCTCCTCAATTTTGCTTCTTATGATAGGTGTTGCAAGAGGGGATAAATCTAGAGGCATCTATAATTCAAATAATAAGGAAAAGGTTATAAGTTCAAAAACAGTGTGTCTAAATTTAAAAAGCAGGAAGTATAAACTATGATTACTTTTCTGTCAGAAGTACTCTTTTTAAATTTCATGGTTACAACATACTTTTTTAATGTCATCTTCTGAAGCTTTCTTGAATTCATTCTCAAATGGACTCGCCAACTCATTAAACAAACCCACTTCTTCACAGTTTTTCAAGAATCTTGTTGGTGTTGGGGTCTGATCTGAAATAAATGTCAAGAAGTAATCATGCATATTTAAATATGTTAAGACTCTAAAATATAGCTACTAAGTTAACAAATTAGCAGGACTGGTTCAGTCAGTTGTTAATTCTCTCTTTGGAAAGACCTCTTCCTTTAAAACAAACAAAATTTGGTTAAATTTTTGTTGTACTTCGTATTTCCTCCAACTTTAAGAACTATGAAATATGAAAGTAGGAAAGAAGTCCTTTTTGCTCCTTAGTCCACTGCTTCTTTCTGAGTAGAATGGCATAAACATCCTCTACTCAAGAGATAAACTATTATTATCTAACACAGTATAAAGAATTTTTTAAATTTACATTATTAAAAACTACAATTATTTAAATAAATGAAATTTGGGGAAAACTAGGATAAGAGCATGTATATCTGCTTTAACTTGGTTCTTCCACTAGCTGTTCATACTCTATTATGAAAGCAAACTAAGATAAAACAATCTTTAATAGGTAGATAAAAATATTGTAAGAAAGAAAAAAAAAGTTAAAACAGCCCTAAAACAACAAACCCTCTTTTTACCACTATCTACTGAAACTAATTTTCTAATTTAATGCATTTTACAAGCTAGGTACAAGGAATATGTGTGAGTCACATGCCTCCAGAATGTTCTAGCTTAATTCCTAAGGAGTAAAGAAAGAGTCTACTCTATTTTCTTACAACATGAAACATTTCAACTTTACTCGAATATGTACTCCTACTATGTACATTAACATAGGTACTCAGTGTCCATGTATAGGCTACAAAAAATGCCAGGTAAGATTTACACTGAATGAAAAGCAAGAAACTTATAAATTCTGCCTATTTAGTGTTACTATTTTCAAGGGTGTCTATTCATATTGATTAGAGTTGGTAGCACATTCAAATTCTATTCACATTTAATATATTTTAGAGCACCAATTTTACAGGCTATAGCAGGGATCTAGCCTAAGTGAAGTAAAAGTACTCTACTAAGGAAGACTCTTGGTTTAAGAGAAAATACTCCTAATTCCTTTTGTAAGATTAAAATTTACATATTTGTTAACCATTATGTCCCCACAGAGGGCATTACTTCCTATTTTACCTTTGCCCCCCACATGTATACCTAGAGGACTAGTATTTTTACTATGTACAAATATATTTCACACTAAAATGACCCACTTGTAATACAAAACTAGACATAATGCAGGCCTGTTTCAGGCACTGTTAGTAATATCAGAATTACTAAAAGGACTCTATTATATCATAATTTTACTAGTTTCTAGCCTATCCCTTAATTCCCACCTCCCAAAAGATCTCAAAAATCACATTACAGTAAGTAAAGTACATGTATTAGCTTAAGTCCATCATGACTAAATTAGTAGGTCAAATCTAAATGTGACTCTTCTGTTCACACCCAAAGGGTTTGTCTATCTAAGTTCATCAGAAGGCTCTTAACTTACATTAAAGGGAGGGGAAAATCTTAAAAAAATAAAATACATAAGCATAAGTCACTTTTATCAATGATTACTGGAACCATCAGACTTCAGAAAAGTCAACATAGGCACAATCATTTAACATGCACATTGCATATGGCTACTGATCACCAAAAATATACCACACACATCATGCATTTTATTTGCATAGTAATGTTAACCTATTCATCTCAACATGTTAGTGAAAAAAAAGGTCAAGTACTGTGTTTGAATGTGCTCTATTTTTCTACTGCATTAAATGTGATCAGACAGGAAAGTAATTTCTAGAAACCAATTTCAAAACATATTTGAGTTAAAGAGTTACACACAGACAGAGATTGTGCTAAGGCAGAAAGTTTCAGAGAAACAAAGAGCTTCATGCCTAGGAGAGTGAACTTTCGAGGTTGTTACTATTTTGCTTGTTTGGTTCCTTTGGTTCTAGCTCTTAATGTCTAATGTAAAATACTCCAAAAAAAAAAAAGCATTATCTCACTCTTCTGTATAAGTAACATATCTCTAAGTTACTTATGGAACTTAGTTAGGATATGTTGGAAGTTCCCCTACATTTTTCCTACGTATATTGTTTTCGATAAATTAACTTTGTTACCTTCAATTTCTTCATTACAAAAATTTCAATACTGTAAGTAGAGGGAAAACCACCGAATATTTGCTTTATTATCTATCCAAAACACTGCATAGAACAATTTGGTCTCTATACTGATTAATAATTTAAAAGTATTACAGTATTTGGGTGTAATTCCAGACTTATATGACATATAACAAGCTTTACAAGAGAAAAGAAAAATCTGGAGTTAATCTGAATATTTATGATATGTAAATCTGTGATGACACAAAGGATCTGAAATTTATATAGTTTTGTTTTATCATAATACTTATAAAATATACAAAAAAGTAGCAAAATTATACATGACATATATGTATATATACATAGATGTGTGTGTGTATATATTTAAATACCAAAAAAAGGCAGCTAATACAGCATGGAATGACAATCAACCAATGTATGAACTGGGTTTTTCTTTTCACATACAGTGAAAAATAATCATCTGCTTAGGTGATACTGTACGTTCATAGTGTCAACACACAAAAACTGCATTGACTGAATTTAGAGCCTCCTTACTGAGAATATTTTACTAATACAAATGTTTAGTCTGAAAAGAAATATAAACAACTCTAATGAACAAGTCTGCTCACTGTTCTTTCTCCAATGGGAGAAGCTTGATCATTTTCTATCTTCACACAGCCTTGTAAGTCAGTTGTACAAGACAGCTAAAAGAAATGCTGACTAAATACCATGTTAGTTCAATTATTAGTTAAATGTAAAATTTGTAGATGGTATGAATGTTCCCAGAGTTCTAATGAACTTCCACAAAATCGACATTGGAATATAAATTTGAAAACCACACAAAAAAATGAAATGAATAGTCAGAAGGAAACATGAAAATGTAATGGGTAAAATACATGTTGCCAACATTTACTATAATGAAGTCATTGGAATATCACCAGACTATATTATTTACAGAGAATACACAAAAATTGTGCACATTCCAGGTGAAATATGTATACAAGCTATTAATAAAAGCATATACTAACCAGCCACAATGACACTGTCATTACGTGCTGGACCAAATTTCAGTGTCATCTCATGTTTATGTTTATGGACAGCCAAATGATCCTCGTTGGTAAAACGCTGTGGCAAAAAGTTTTAAAATATAGTTAAGATTTTCAATTTGATCAAATAAGTAAAATGATTAGGAAATTAATTTCCACAACATGTAAAACCACCATTAACAGTGAAATAGCAGTTTTTAAACTATAAAAGAATCCGTTATTGTTAGTAGATAGCACACTAGATTGCAAACAATCACAGAGAAACCTATTACTCAAGAATAAGCAATACTGATATATTGCTAGGTCACATAACTCATTTGAGAGCATTTAAAAATAAAATTGGAGGCAAAGAAACTTTATATAAATTTCTTATGGATACTAAAAATAGACCACCATTAATTTGTCTTATCATAGTAGAAACTATACTCCATGGTTCAATGACTTTTCAAGAAAGTACTGTAGTATTAATATTTACCTAGACTTAAGGTTACTTACCACTTTTTAAAAGAGAATTTTCTTATAAAAGTATTACGCCTGGACAAAATTTAGAAATAAATCTGATTTTTATGTTACCACATAAAAAAGAATGCCTTTGTTTTAATCCAGCAAAGAAATAGCAACCGATACAATAACAAAACAGCTCATTTTAAAATAAAAAAATTTAAAGTAGCCAAAATAATTTTTTCATGAGAGTTCTTACATAAAAATGGAGCAAAGTTGTTTTTAGAACATTTTATTTTTAAAGTTATCCATCATATTTTTTCCTACCTCTAACTTGGATAAGTTTTGCATGCCAAAGGTAACATTTATGATTACAACATAATAAATGCATTATCTCCAATGTCTGAACATCAACATTTTTGAAGATGCTCATTAAGCAACATTTATAACTGAAAACAGGGAGCTGTTATTTCAGAGCAATAATTTTAAAATGCTAAGTTAACAGATCTCAATTCACTCTTTATAACCTTACAAGTGAGGATGTTAAAATATATATACTTGAACTTGGTTTGCCCAAACCATCAAAATGAATTCCATTTCTTGTGGTCTCCTTCCCCTACCCAATTCACTACATCCTTTCATGCAACTAATAATAGTAGCTTTAGGGTTACCTTAAACACAATGTAAAAGAATGAAACATTTTTAACATTTTAACATCTTTGGCCCAGTCCACTATCCGTCTGCCTGTAGAGGTGAAAATCATCTCATGTGTGCGGCACAATGCCTTGGTTATAGCACCTATCATATTTTCATATGTCTGTCCTTTTAAGTAGGCTGAGCTCCTACCGTGGTCCCCCAAACTTAGCATATAGTTAAGTACTCAATAAATGCTAACTGAAAGAATGAATTCATTACAATAAAATAGATGAATCTTAAAGATCAATCTGAGGGGGCTAAAAAAGACCCTAAACCATTGTTCATTAAGATGAATTCAACTTCAATTTAATCTTGCTACATTTTATCACTTAGTCTTTGGATTACTTCACATGCCAACAGAAAACTATTATTTTATAACCTCTCTTCAGAACCTGCCTGTATTACCACTGAAGGAGAGTGTTCAGATGCAACAACACTTCCACTACTTGACATATTCATTCACTCTTCAGACATTTACTGGGCAGCAACTATAGGCAGTAGGACCACAATCAAACTTTTCCCCACCCAGGTACTGTCTTCCTATTACTTTATCATTATAAGAATCTCCCCCAATTTTGGAGAAATAAGAAACAGTGGTACTTTTGACAGATTGCTGAATAACAAAGTTCTCAGAAAACGAACATATCTGCAGAGCATACTGACATTAATATTTTATGCTTTTTCTTTGTATTGCTGTTTTAAATATATGTGTCTTACATCCTACACTAAAAGCATCTGAAAGTAATATTTAGTTTATGTTTCAAAGAACCTCATAATGTGGCTTTTCCACTGAAGGCAATCATTAAACATTTGTGAATGAATGCATTTTGGTGCAGGTCCCAGATTTTAAAACTGCAAACTCAACAAATTAATAGATAAGAAGTTGGAATGTTGTCGCCTAGGAATTTTATTCTATCAATTTTCTTTGCTTGGATTAGTTTGACCCCAAATATTCAAATCAAAGAACTGCATGTAGAATAAATAACATTGTGTTCGTACAAAACATACGAAATGGCACCAAGTTCAATCCTAAGTGTAAAGAAGTGGCCAGAAGCAACCTAACAAATATTTAGGATCATATGAATATTAAAAGGGAGAATGCAAGGAATATGTATTTATAAACTCTCATATAAGATCCACAGATCAAATTTCCCTAAATGCAATTTACAAAGGGATTACTGATCCTGTAACAGTATTAATTATATACAGGGACAGCAACACTGCAAAGGACAAAATACACTCAAAATACAAAAACACTGCAAAAGACAAAATACACTGGCACTTGATACAGGTGAATTTGACCTTGGTTATCTGAGAAAATTTATTATTTTTAACAAGAAACTTAAGACCGTGTGAAAAGGCAATCTTGTGAAAAGGCAGTCACCAGAAGTTTAATATGAAAGAAATGCATTCTTTATTTATTTATAAAATAGCTGCAAGCTAAATTTTTTTACAGAATCTATATGAAATGTCTTCCCAGTCAAATTATATTCCAAGAATAAGTTTTGTAAAAATATCTATATTACTAGCAACACCAACATACTGAATTCATAAACTGTATTCTTCCAGGCATTTCAAAGCACAACCCCAAAGAAAATACTGTAGATATACAAAGAAACACAAGTATTTTGTTAAACAAGACTAAGACCTTGAGTATATAGCTCAATAAACAATGGAAAAAGTGAAAAAAAAAAAGATTTTTTTTTTTGATAGGTGCCTAGCAGGTAGCAATCTCTCTTAAAAGGTTAAAAAGAAAGGGTAACCTGTCAGATGGGAAGAAGGTAGATCAGTTGCTTCTATAATAATTTAAGTTCTGATATCTGGGAAATCTGTGTTACTAAGGCTTGACCACTCTCACCAGAATTAACTTCCTAAAAAATCAGTCATTCTATAGTTAATACATACACTCATATCCATGATATATTATTATTCCTTTTAAACATATTAGATAGACACAAATAAGTTTTCAAGCCATTGGGCCAATAGCTCATTTCACTACTTTTTTCACTAGTTTAAGGACTATTGAACAACAGCAGGAAGTTACACTGATATATTCACTGTCTCTCTCATGCACACACACGCACACACTCCCACACATACATCTCCATTGTCACTTTAGACTAAATATAAAATGAATCTTTATCTCCTTTATAAAACAGCTTATAATGTGTAAACATTCTACCAAAGAAACATTTTTCAATGACGGGGCACCAAAAGCAAAGATACTACCAAGTATATGGAAGACTAACAAAGATAAATGAATCTTTCACCAAATTATCTCAGTGTCTCTTTTACTAAATTCCAAGGAGCATCACTTTAAAACAAGTGAAATTAACAGGCATGTGGAAAACCTAAGAGTAACTGAGGCATACAAGAAAAGATTTAATAGCACAAGTCTAGTATTAAAAACTCTTTGTAATCATTTCTATAGGACTCTCTCTGAAGTTGTATTGTCACCAAAATAGATTTTAAATTGTAAAAATCTATTTGAAACCTTAAATTTAACTAAGACCATTGTGTTAAAGCTGAAACTCAAATTCAGAATAATGTCATTGCTTACTGGTGACAAAAAATAACAAGAAACTTAAAAAGACTGTGTGAAAAAGCAATCTTGTGAAAAAGCAGTCACCATCAAAATGATGCTTCTAAAACCAATTCTTACTAAGTAGTTCCTAGGAAATATTATATAAATCTAAAAACAGACCATACCATTTCTGTTCTCAGCAAGATTTAACAAATGGATGAGTAGCCAGGTTATATTTTGATCAGTAATACTTGCAAAGAGATTATTTTAAGTATCTTAGGGTACGAACACAGGCCCCCCTAAAATAATACTCAGGATCAAATGTTTAATGTTTAAAAGCATCACTATTAGTGAGAATTCAATTATGAGTGAGTATAAAAAATTGATTTAGCTTTTAAAAAACAATTTGGCAAAATACACGAAGAAACTTAGAAACGTGTAAACATTTAAATCCAGTTATTCTAGTTCCAAAATGTATTTTAAGAAACTAAGTAGACATATACAAAGGGTTATGTAGAAAGATATTCATCACAATGTTGCTTATAATACCAAAATTAAAAGTTTATAATAGTGGAATCAGACATGCTCAAGCAATAGTGACTTAAAGCCATGCTTTCGATTAATACACAAAATGCTGATATGTGTAATGTCATCCAAATACTAACAGAATACAAAACTGTGCAGTATGGTCCCAATTTTGTTTTAAAAATAAAACTAAATCCCATCCTCTCCTAGCTATTTAAGGACCCCACTCCTGCAATGGTCCCATTTTCTGCATTGCCAAATATGCTGTGATATTCCCACCTTAAAATGCAAAACAAAAAAGTTCCACCATCTTCAATCCTACATTGAAGCTATGTATCTCACTTTCCCTTTAGCTACACCTCCAAGAAAGAACTGTCCTATAATGTCTCCATTTCTGGTTCTTCCCATTCTCTCTTCAACCTACTCCAATTACACTGTTGTTACTGCCCCTTCATTGAAAGCTACTCTTATCATAGTCTCTAAATTCAATAGTAAATACTGAATTATCATCTTATCCTATTTAGGATATGACTATATTGTTTCTCTTACTTTGAAATATTTTTTCTAACTTTCAAGATTCAATTTTCCTCACTGGTTGCTACTTCTTAATCTTCTGTGCTACATTCTCCTCCTCTTTCTGACTTTTAAACACCAGAGGTGCCCTAAAGCTTAGCTTTCACCCTTCCATCTATACTATTGTGATACAGAAGTAAAACTAAGCAAATATGGGAATTATGGATAAGACAAAATGTAAGTATTACAAACCTCGACAATGGAAAAAATAAGAGTAATTATCAGACATTAGGGGATAGGGAAGTGGAGGTAGAAAGTATGCATGTTAACTCCTTTAATAGTAGGAAACCTAAAAAAATAATTCCCTAACTTCTTAATGTTTTTCACATATATAGTTAATGTTACAGAGGTCTTTTAACAATTCCTTATGATACACATACACACACAAATTCTAATGTTCAGCAATCAGTTTTTCTTCTGTTTAATTGTAATGCTTTTATTTAAAATGGCATGTGTATTAGTAAGAATTCAATCACAAAACCCATTCTAACTATTTTAAGCAGAAGAGAATCAGGAAAGGGCTTTTTTGAGTCTCCAAGAATGATATCTAGAACATGTCAAAACTAGTCTTTGTCCAAAGGCTGGCCCTAGAAACACATATTGCATTAGCTGTACTTCAGGGATTACAGAATCAAGTTGTTTGTTCACTCCAAGCCAGCAAAATGGATGATTTGAGTAATACTATCTCTCATTCCATTTAACTCAGTACCAAATCCAAAAAGTAAAGTGGGTCAGGCGAAGTGGCTCATGTCTACAATCTCAGCACACTGGGAGGCCAAGGTAGGCAGATGGCTTGAGCCCAGGAGTTTGAGAACAGCCTGGACAACATTGAGAGATCCTGTATCCAAAAAAAAAAACCAAGCAAAAAATTAGTCAGGTGTGGTGGTGAGCACCTGTGGTCCCAGCTACTCTGGAGGCTGAGGTGGGAGGATCACCTGAGCCCAGGAGGTTGAGGCTTCAGTGTGTCATGATCATGCTACTGCACTCCAGCCCGGGTGACAGAGTGAGACCCTGTCTCGAGAAAAAAAAAAAAAAAAGTTAAAGTAAATCTGATTTACCAGAAAGAGTAAATTTGGTTGGTGAAACCTAAAATCATATGCAGAATTCTAGGTGCAAAGAGAACTGTAGTTTTTAGCTCTCTTAACTTTACAGAAAAATATATATGTCAAATATATCTCCAAAACATATGTCAAATTAGCCTATTTCTCTCTCTGTGTCCACTGTTAACACCTAATTCAAACCACCATCATCTCTCACCTGGACTGCTGTCAGCCTCTTGTCTCCCTGTGACCACTCAGCAGTGGCTTTTCACTGCTCAGTGAATAAAACCCAAACACCTTATCATAGGATATGTCTTTTTTTCTGTCTCCTCTGACCTCCTCTCTTAACCTTCTCTCTGTTGGTCATTATATGCTCCAGCCACAGTAGTTGCGTTTCTGTTCTTAAACACACCATACACATTCCCTCCCTAGAGCTTTTACATTTGCTGCTCCTTTAGTCTAGAAACATACAAGGTTTGCTCCTGCATTTTCTTCAGGTCTTTGTTCAAATGTCACCTTAGCAGAGGCACATTCCCTGGTTAACCTATCTAAAATTGCATTAACCCTGATAACTCCTATGTTTACCTCGCTCTACATCATTAAATATCACATAAATCAAAATTACAATGAGATACCATTAAACCCTCACCAGAATGACTAAAACTTAAGAGACTAACCAAAAATATCTTGAAAAATGAGGACTAAATTGGAGAATTTACCCTAACTGACTGGAACACTAACTGTAAAGCTAGAGTAATCAAAATGGTGTGGTACTAGCATAAAAGTTGACAGAGTGATGAATGGAACAGAATATAATGCCCAGAAACAGACCCACACTTACACAATCATTTGATTTTCATTAAAGGAGCCAAAGCAGTTTAATGAGGAAAGAAAAATCTTTTCAGGAAATTATGCTGGGATATCTAAACCCGTATTTTTTAAAAACTTAGCTTCAACTGGCTGGGCGCGGTGGCTCACGCCTATCATCTCAGCACTTTGGGAGGCCGAGGCAGGCGGATCACCTGAGATCAGGAGTTCAAGACCAGCCTGACCAACATGAAGAAACCCCATCTCTACTAAAAATACAAAATTAGCCAGGTGTGGTGGCGCATGCCTGTAATCCAAGCTACTTGGGAGGCTAAGGCAGGAGAATCACTTTAACCTGGGAGGCGGAGATTGTGGTGAGCCGAGATTGTGCCATTGCACTCCTGCCTAGGCAACAAGAGCGAAATTCCGTCTCAAAAAAAAAAAAAAAGTTAGCTTCAACCCCTATCTCACACCATACACAAAAATTAATTCAAGATTAAAGAGAAATCTAAATGAAACAGTAAGTTTTAGAGGAAAACAAAGGAGAATACCTTCATAATCTAAAGGCAAGCAAAAATTTCTGACAAGTCACAGAAAGCAACAACCATAAGAGGAAAAAAATTAATACATTAGGATTCATTAAAATTAGAAACATCTGCTCATCAAAAGATATTATTACGAAAATTAAGATGCAAACCACAGAAAAAGAAGCCTCTGACAAGGACTGGTATCCAGGATATATAAAGAACTCCTACAACTCAATAATAAAAAGACAACCCAATTTTTTAAAATGAGCAAAAGATTTAAAAAGATACTTCACAAAATGTAAGGGATACAAATGGCCAACAAACACATGAAAAAAGCAGCCTGGTAATTTCCTAAAAAGTCAAACATATATCTATCAGATAATCCCATCATTATACTCCCATGTATTCCTCCAAGAGAAATGAAAGCATGTGTCCATAAAAAGACTTGTACACAAGTATTCACATCAGCTTTATTAACAACTAAAAAATAGAAGTAAACCAATATCCATCAGATGAACAGATAAATTGTGAGATAATGAAATATTATATCTCAATGAAAAGGAATTAACTATTGGTAACATAACATGGAGAAATATTGAATTATGTGGAGTGAAAAAACATACATACTATATGATTCCATTTATACAAAATTCTGGAAAATGCAAACAAATCTACAGTAACAGAAGGCAGACCAGTAATTGATGAAGGTAGGTGGGATAAGAGGAATTATAAATAGGCATGAGGAAACTTTTGGGTGATTGTATGTTTACTATCCTGATTGTGCTGATGGTTTTGAGTATACGTGTGTTAAAACTTATCAAATGGTACATTTTAAGTATATACAGTTTATTGTAAGTCAATTATATTTCAATTTAAAATATCAACTAAAGAAAATAAATGAGAAAGAATAATGCTTACTTACATTTATGGTCCGTATATTTAAGTACTTTGTAACTTTGCTATACATTACATTTATTCTTTAATTCTTCCTGTCTATAGTTATTTTAAGATAAGTATAATAGGAATAGATTAATAATTTAGTGGGTTGTTAAAAAAAAACTAAAATATTACTTTCTGAAACTGCTGCCACATGCCCAATATTAAAGACGTTAGGCTTAACAACATTAATACATTAGTGATACTCTAAGAAGTAAATACCAGTTAATTTCATAAAAGTTCAGTAAGCAAAATAATTCTCATATAATATCGATCTGATTTCTAATTAGGCAGTTTATCAATAATTTTCAACCAATAACAGTCAAATTATACTTTTATATCTTGGACTTTTGTGTAGGATTTCCACCTTTCCATTACAAGATATAATGCTCCCCCCCTCCGTATTGGATTATACTTTCTAAAGCTCAGTTGCACTATTGAAGAAAAAGCAGAATTTCTTGCCAAAAGTTTCCTGGGTTTTTTTTCATCCTAACTCTAAAATTTTACAGAATACTGTAAGAAAATACTTTTAGTGATAACATATTATATCATCAATGTTTTAATAAGTGGAAATATACAAAATAATTTAAAGTAATTTATATATTACCTGGCCACATCCAGGCGCAGTACATAGAAAGGGTTTGTCATCACTCATATTCCACAGGTCCTTGTATTGCCTATAATCAAACAGAAGACACTTTAGAGTACATATTTTAAAATAAAGAATAATTTAAAATATAAATCTCAAGATTTTTCATTAAGCTTATTAACTTTTCTATTTTAATACAAAATAAAACACTTTTCTGACATTTTAATTCTATCTTTCTTATTATGAGAGTAGATAAAATACATGTAACATGCAGATTTTGCACTATAGGAAAAAGGTTAGGAACACTGCTCTGTCAGGCAAACTTTTTCCTGCTCAACAGTGTAAAAGTACTTATGGTGAAATGAACACATTTCATTTATTCAAGAAAATTAAATGAGCAAATACTATGCAGTCTTCCAAGGATCCTACTGTACTGTTATGAAAATAATGTGGCAAAATCTCCATCTCCAGTCCTATATTCTAGTGGAATATTTGTATCTATTGGCTTAAACATTTCTACCTAAATATGCTACCAAAACATCAACATGTCTAAAAACAAACTCTTAAATCCCTTCTTAAATTTACACCTTTTCCTATATTGGAAGCACTATAGAAGACTCAGAGAAATTCAAAAATAAAAGAGAAATGGATCCCAGCCTCAGGGAATCTCTCCTCCCAGTAAAGGAGATAAGGTAGTATTAACATAACAAAATCTGTATCTCTAACTCTGATCTCTTTCTAAATCCTTAATTTCCAACTTTTTGTTAGTGGTATACTGAGGATCATAAGTTAATCTTCTGAGTCCAAGTTTAAAAGTCTTGTCAATATTTTATGCTGTTTCCTTGTAATGTATCAAAACTTTTGCCAAAGATTTGATATATCTCATTTTTAGGAAACCCATGCTGGTTCACAGTAGTCACTGCTTCATGTTTAAAGCATGTACGCAATGATCACTGAGAATACAAATGGTTTCCAGGAAGTCACCATTATTAATCTCATATACAAAATTTGTGAAATGTGTTAACAAAAGTTTTATTGCTTTATCCAAAATATTTATTGCTATAATTGTCAAATAGCCTATGGACAACTTGATATTGCACTGGTAGGTGCAAGGATGACACTTGGGGAAACACTGGTCTAGACTTCTGGTTTCTAGTCCAACACATAAAGAACTTGAAAGTCATCATTCCTGTCCTCATAAAGAGAAATAAGTTAAACAAACGGAAAATCATCAACTCTTCTTACATCCATCAGAGAAATGAGGTCAAAGGGCAGTGCCCTGAAAAGTTAAGACTGAGGCAGACACTGAGAATCACAGTTTATTAATAGCAAATGCCTGCTGCTGGTGCCAGTACTAGGCAGAGACAAAAAGCAGAGACAAGCCATTTTCTTGTACCCTGTACAAATTTTTGACCTACACAATCTGTGAGCATTATAAGCTATTTTATAACTAAATTTGGAACACCTCCTCATGATATCTGCGATTTATCTAAATAACATATTATCCTTCTAGTGCTTCTTAAATGTTTACAAACTAAGGAATACTGATATATAAATTTTTAAGTAAGAGCAAAGTATTCTAACAAGATTGGCTGTAACTGACCACTAGTAAAACTTACTAAATAATGAGTGAGAACAGTATGGCACCGCAGTTCTCAAACAGGATCCTCTACACTCTTAAAAATTTAGGCTCCCAAAGAACGTTTTTGTTTATGTACTATCAATACTGACCACATCAGAAATTAAAACTGAGAAATTCTAAAAATATTAATTTATGATTTAAAAATAACAATGAACTCACTGCATGTTAACACATATTTTTTAAAACAATATATTTTCAAAACAAAAAATTTAGTGAGAAAGGCATTATTTCCCACTTTTTGCAAATCCTTAACATCTGGCTTAACAGAGTATAACACAGCTGAATTCTCCTATGTGCTTCTGGTATTCAACCTGTTGTGATATCATCATGTATCCTCTAGAAAATGGCATCAAATCCTTGTGAGATAATGAGAATTTTAAAAAGGTAAATATTTTAGTATTATTATAAAAATGTTTTTGACTTCACAGACCGCTCTCACATTATGAGAATTCCTGGTACAGGCATATCTCATTTTATTGTGCTTAGCTTTATTGCACTGTGCAGATGCTAGTCTTAAAAATACACGTAAATCTCAGGGAGAAAGCAGATGCTGCAGATTTTTTTCGGATACTCTTTATCAGATTAAGAAAGCTTCCTCCAATTTCTAGTTTCCTGCGAGTTTTAATGATGAGTAGACATTGAGCTTTATCAAATGCTTTTTCTGCATCTATTCAGATACTATTTTTTTCTCTTATTGTTTTAATGTGGTATATCACACTGAATGTTGAACAAACAAACCAGAATTTCTTAAATAAATCCTCCCTTTTGCTCGTATTTTAAGATGTTTACAATCTATGTCATAAGAAATAACCTTGCCAGGTATCTAAGTTCAGTGGCTTTATAAGAATTGGGTCATGTTAATTCTTTTCCATTCTCTAGAAAAATCTGCATAAGATAGGTACTAATTCTTCCTTAAATGTTGGAAGAATTCACCAGTGAAGCTATCTGAGCCTGGAGGTTTCTCTTCTGGGTGGTTTTAAGTAATGAATTCAGTATCTTTAAATAGATACAAACCAAAATTATTATATCAGTTTTGTTCTTCAGCCAGGTGTGGTGGCTCATGCCTGCAATCCCAGCACTCTGGGAGGCTGAGGCAGGTGGATCACTTAAGGTCAGAAGTTCGAGACAAGCCTGGCCAACATGGTGAAACCCTGTCTCTACTAAAAATTAAAAAATAAGCTGGGCATGGTGGCACACACCTGTAGTCCCAGCTACTTGAGAGAGGCTGAGGCATGAGAATCACTTGAACCTGGGGAGGTAGAGGTTGCAGTGAGCTGAGACTGTACCACTGCACTCCAGCCTGGGCAACAGAGTGAGACTCTGTCTCAAAAAAAAAAAAAATAAATAAATAAAATAAATCCCAGTGCTTTTATGTATGTGTAGAAACTGAAAAATCTGTAACAAAATGCAAAAGACAATGAATAAACAAGGCAGTCATGAAGAATTGTAATTAAGCTAGAGGACTTTTATTACCAGATATCATGACCCATTATAAAATTACAATAATTAAGACACTGTGGTATCAGTCCAATGATAAACATACAAAGAAATGGAAAAGAAGGAGTACAGAAATGGAACCACACATAAGGCTACCTGATTTGTACAAATGCTCAACTGCAGTTAAGTGGGAAAAGGATGGTCTTTTCAATAATTGGTTCTAGAAATTTTATATAGCAAGAGTACTTGACTCAACTAATAATAATTATGTAATATTCCCTTGACAACAGTAGTTTATCAGTGCTTTAGATCAATGTTTCCCAAAGCATGGTAGCTATCATGGAAAAAAGATTTTTAGCCAAATAAATTTGGGAAATGTTGAATGTGTAGGCTTCATTTCACAGGACTTTTCGTGACCTTAATGTTATGTCAATTAAGGATTCATAACTTTAAAAAATGCCCCATGAATTCTATCTCACATTATACTAAAAATTAAGTCACAGTAGATCATAGACCTAAAAGTGAAAGGCAAAGCATAAGTTTCTAGAAGAAAAATAGGAAAGAATCTTCATGATTTTGGAGTAGGCAAAGGTTAAACAGGACACAAAAGGTCCATAAAAGAAAAGATTGATAAAACAGATTTTACTCTACATAGTGCATTTTATTCTGTTTAAATTATACCTCAATAAAAAGCAAAAAAGGAGCAAACAGTTATTTAACCTAATACTAGGAAAAAGACAAAAATTATACAGGTAACTACATCCAGAGACAGTGTGTTCCAGGAAACCTTACAGAAGCTTTGAGAAGGACACAAACTATAAAAAATAATTAAAAATAAAAGAATATGTACAGTCAGCCCTCTGTATCTATGAGTTTTGCATCCATGGATTCAATCAATCTTGGATCAAAAATATGTGAGAAAAAACTGCATCTGTACTAAACATGTACAGACTTTTTTTCTTGTCATTATTACCTAAACAATATAGTGTAACAACTATTCACACAGCATATGCATTGTAGTAGGTATTAAAAGTAATCTAGAGATGATTTAAAGTATACGGGAGGATGTGCATAGGTGATACACAAATATTACACGATTTTATATAAGTAACTGGAGCATCCTCAAATTTTGGTATCTTCAGGAGATCCTGGATCCAATCACCCACAGATATTGAGGAACAACTGTATATCTAAAAAAAACGACTGATTTTCACAGGACTCTAAGTAGAAGTGGAGTAAGAGATTGAAAGAAAAGCCTGGCATACAGCAAACCAGTAAGGGCTTGACAGACAAGTCATACAACCCAACAACTAAGAAAATGCACTCATCTGAAAACTGGTTTAAAAAAAAAAAAAAAAGAAAGAAAGAAAAAAGATCAGTGTGTTTAATCTGCCTTTTGTGCATAAAATGTATTTCCAGTAACCAAAGAGTTGATGAAGGAAAAGTCTTTTATAGAATTTCAACAAGTGCAGAAGAATAAAATAATTAGAAAATTGCCACTTTAGCTGGGTGCAGTGGCTCATGACTATAATCCCAGCACTTTGGGAGGCTGAGGTGGGAGGATGGCTTGAGCCCAGGAGTTCAAGACTAGCCTGGGAAAGACGGCGTGACCCCATCTCTACAAATAATTTAAAACAGCCACTTGTGGTAGTGTCGTGGTAGCGTCATGGTGGTGTACACCTGTAGTCCCAGCTACTCTGGAGGCTGAGGCAGGAGGATCTCTTGAGCCCAGGAGGTCCAGGCTGCAGTAACCTGTGATTGTGCCACTGCAATCCAGCCTGGGTGACAAAATAAGACCCCATCTCTTTAAAAAAAAAAAAAAAAAAAAAAAAAAGACCATCCTGGCTAACACTTTCGAAACCCCACCTCTACTAAAAATACAAAAAATTAACCAGGCATGGAGAAGGGGGAGGAGGAGGAACAAGTGGAAGAGGAAGAATACCACCACTTTAATCCCTAATGAAATAATGGATCTGGGCAACTATCATCAATGTCTGATTTTTAAAACCATTAGGAGAAAAGTTGATAGGAACTTCATAATGGTTGGACCAGGCTGACAGCATCTGAATTCACAGATTAGTCTTAAATTAACACCAAAGGTTGTTAAGGGTGGGGACAGGGAATGTCAAAAGTCGAAAGTGAATCTAATCAAGCCTCCCTAGCTCCAACTACAAGGAAATTCAGGAGACAGAAAAAGAAGTTAAACAACACCACCAGGAGGCAATCATCCAAATCCAATACAGATATTTTCAATTTACGATGGGTTTATTGGGACATAACCCCACCATGAATTGAGCAGTATACTGACTGTATTACTTTCCCACCATCGTAAAGTCAAAAAACACTAAGATGAATCACTGTAAGTTAGAACAAATGACCTGGTCTCCTCAACAAGTAAATGTCATGGAGATGAAAAGAAGAGCAAAGGAAGAGGGTTGCTGTTTTCCATTAGAAGAAATTTAATAAACATACAACCAAATTAAGGACCTTTTTGGATCCTGATTTGAACAAAACAAATGCAAAAAGACATCTCTGAGTCAGGATTACTTTCCTACTTTTAAATTTCGATTTAAAAGTTCTCAATTAATTATCCCATCCATCAACTTGTTTTCTTTCTAGAAATTCTATATAGCAAATATATTTGACTCAACTAATAATTCTGTAACACTGTTTCTTTTTCAAATAGTAGCTTGTTAACCCTTCAATAGCAATGCTCCCCAAAACATTTCAACGGGGATGTCAGTAGACACTAAAGAAAAAAAGGTGTGGCCAAACAAATCCGGGAAATGCTAAAATATACTTTTCTTTCTTTCTTTGTTTTTTTTTTTTTTTTTTGGCAGGACTCTTCACAGTCTTTAATATGCTAATGTAAAATGACTAGGGGAGCACCCAGAGTATGGCATTTTTGCCAAAGCTATTTGCTATTTGAATACTTTTTCACAGAACATCCCATGGGACTGATAGAACTCATTTTAGAGGAAATCAAAACCTTAAAACATGTTTATGTCTGTCATAGCTAAGTGTACTTAGATGCTTTTAATTTGATTATTTAAAAACAAAATAGGAGTATCAGCTAAACTACATACTAAGTAAGTGACTTGTTTTGTATGGAAAAAAACACCACAAATACTTACCTAATAGAAACAAGCTATAAAGATTTTTACAACCCAAAATGTAAAAAATGGCTAAAAATACCAAATATTGCACACATACCTGGCAGAATTCACATGTAACTTGAATTTCATAAGTTGAATAACTTATCACATTCTTTTTCTCATGGCAAGAATACTGAAAAACAAAGTGGTTTCACACTGTTAAAAATAGTTCTGAAACACTTCTTGAAACAGTAGAAAATAAAGTGCTCAAATTACTCTCTGTAACACTACTGTCACCCCAAAACTAGTCACTATTAACAATTTTTATAATAGAGTACTGCTCTTGAAATATCAACACACCTACACAAATATCCTAAACATAGGTATTAACATATCTAACTCCACCAAAGGGATTAAAAGTGGAAGAAACATTTAATTCAGCCCTTAGGGCTGTGATTGAAGGGCAGCCATTAAAAGAGTAAAAAAATCCTTACTTTGAACACTGATGAGAATGATGCAACCTAGTAATTCCATATTTCTCTTCAGAAAGCTTTTAATTTTAAAAAATGTACTTACTGATATTCAGCTTCTCAGCCTAATTCATCAAAATTTATTTGTCCCACAATGTAGTTGATCTATATAAACAGCTCCAATTGTATCAGCTTAAGGACAAGTACAGTATACTGAAACTACTCAGATTGATGACCCATTTTTAAAACTCCACCAATGGCTTCACCTTATGGTCACTGAAACCTCATCCAGTGGTAAATAAGAGTAACTATGTGGTTATCCAAATAAGCTAATGGTGCATAGAGGAAAATTGCATTTTTCATAATTTTGTTCATAAATGAAGTTTCAAGAATGTCATGCTCAGAAAAATTTGGTAATTCTTGTGGGGAAATGTGTAACTAGCCAAAGTTCAGAGTCCTGGAGTAAAGGTGGATCTGGTATAGGAAATAAGAAGAGAGAAAGTTTCTTCCCTTGTCCCATGCAAAATTTTTATCTGAGAGGGTTCCATTTCTTCACTCACATTCAACTTTACCATGCTGTCTGCGAGGAGAGGAAAAAGAACACTAGAAAAATCCAAGGAAATCTGTAATAGCCATGCTTCTGTCATTACAAGTAGAATATGAGCTCCATGAGGGCAAGGAACTTATCTTTGGGTTAACACCTACAACAGCGCCTAGCTCAGTTTAGTACAAGGAATATTTAAACATCAACTATACACAGACACAAAGATGAAGAAAACTCTCCTTGCATTTGAGAAACTTTCAGTCTAGAGGAAAGAGGAATATGGAAGTACAATTTTCAATTAATTTGGTAGGAATAAGAGTTAAAATATTATGAGAGTAGAGAGGTAGTGGAGGGATCAATCTGATAGCTCTAGAAAAACTTTCAGAGGGAGTTAGCCCTTGGTACCCTTCTCCTTAATCTTTTCTACTCTCCACTATACTATCCCCCTCCTCTACAAAACAAGTTTCTTACCTACACAGCAGCCCATTTCTTAGCCAACAAATAAAAACTCCATTCCCTTATTACCATTTTCTAATACCTAGCTAAGAGAGTTATAAATATTAACAGTTCAAGCACCCTGAGACAGAAACGATAACAATTCTGGGAGGCTTAAATGCTATCTCTTTGTTAATCTAACTGAATCTAAAGCCTATAAATCCAGGCTTATCTCCTTTTTATTGCAGTGTTGCAAATATGCTCATAACAGAAGCCTGGAAGGGAGGTTTTGCTGAGCTATAGATTGTTGGAGAAGTCAATGACTGCACATAGACAATTGTTAATATATCACATTACTCTCTGGCAAGTAACTACAATCTATACTGGTAGGAAAATCAACTGTCATGAAAAGCACCAGGAGAGTTCTAGGTAAAATTTTTTAGAAGTCGGCTTCTTTGATTTCTCTTAACTCTTCTTCTAACATTTCTTTATCTTCCTTGCTCTTGAGTTTCCATTTTGTACTTGGCATGAGTACTTCTTGCTAGATGCTGGGGATGTACTGGCAAATCAAGATAGATACCTGCCTTCATGGAGTTTCCAAGATAGTGATGGGGCTTACATTAACTAATCAAGCATCCAACTCAGAGCTCCTTTTCTTACAACCTCAAATTAAGAATCAAAACTATCACTGAATACCATAAATACAAATCTGATTATCCACTTAGTAAATCCTACAGACTCAACCTTTTAGGTATACTTTGAGAGATACAAATTTAGCTATCATTTATATCTAATCTGACCTTCTAAATGCTACTTCCAATACACCATGGCCCATTTAACAGTATCAGACTGCCTGCCATCCTCTGAAAATCACCCTCAGTTTGCATATTATTTTAGCTCTCCCTAAAATATACCCTCCCAAATGAATGTTTGCCTCCTTTGATATTACACTGTCAAGGCCCACTTCAAATAACACTTCCTTTGTGATACCTTCCCCATAATCCAGATTGAAAATTTCTTCCACAAGCTATGTTGTTTATGCTTTGCTTACAGCAACCACATTGTGTTCTGTAATGTCATCTATTATATAATCTGTGTGCTTCTCCCACCCCATTCTACTGCCTACTACTTCTTGAAGAAACATAACACAGCCAAAGGAATATGAGCTTTTGAGTCAGAACTGGCTCCAAAACCTGGTTTTGTCACTCGTAAGTTATACAATATTGTGCAAGGTTCTAAGCAACTTTGCACTTCAGTTTCACCAACTATAATACAAGGGTAGTATCACCTACCTCACAGTTGTTGTAAGCATTTTAAAATAGTATATGTAAAGTATATAGCACAATGCTCGGCACATGAGTACTGGATAAAATGGCAGCTGCAGTTCTATTATTTCTACTGTTATTAAAATTATAAGGCTGTCTCTATTCATCGTTGTATCTGCACAGTATCTTACTTGCTAACAGCAGGCACAGAGTAATTGTTAAATTGTTAAAAGAAATTATATCAGTTGGATACATTTTAAAAAATTAAAAAAACTGTAATTTGTAAAATGGGTAAGTCCATATTTACTTCACATGGAAATAATAACTCTGCATCTTGGAGAAGCTACCAACCTCTACGCTCCAAGGTTTTAAAGAAATAGATAGCCAGGCGCAGTGGCTCACGCCTGTAATGCCAGCACTTTGGGAGGCCGAGGCGGGCAAATCACCTGAGGTCAGGAGTTCAAGACCAGCCTGGCCAACATGGTGAAACCCCGTCTCTACTAACAATACAAAAATTAGTCGGGTGTGGTGGTTCATGCCTGTAAATCCCAGCTACTCGGGAGGCTGAGGCAGGAGAATTGCTTAAACCCGGGAGGCCGAGGTTGCAGTGAGCTGAGATCGTGCCACTGTGCTGCAACAGAGTGAGACTCCATCTCAAAAAAAAAAAAAAAAGAAAAGAAAGAAAGAAATAGATTACATTAAATACCACCACTCCTTTAATCAGGAAAAGTGTAAACAGATGATTTTTATTAAAGAGACAGACCAGTAAATTTGGGTAACCTAAAGTTCAAATATTATGAAAAATCTAAAACATGACTTTCCCACTTCTCAGCAAATTGTAAATACTTCCATTCCAATTCTTCAATACTGGTGAAGGCATCTTAAGTAAATTGCTGAAATATACTCACTCATGAACATAAAGTAAAATGAAGGTTAAAGCAAAATGCCCAAAAAGTTAAGCTAAAATTAAAGTGCCATACCAATGTGTGTAAAAAGCAGAATAATATAACTCCTTCTTTGAGAAAAAAATAACAAAATACATCAGGAAATCAGGAATAAATTTAAGTAACAAATAATCTTTAATTTCATAGAGGTAACTATGAAGCAGTCACTGCACAGATACACATAAGAAAAAGTGTCCTCATTCTGGAATGTTTACAATGCCTTGTGGGTTTAAAAAAAAAATCAGCTAGGCGAAAATGCCAAAGATTAAAAGTCCCAAATCAGACTGCATCTTGGATTTGCTCTTCTTTTACTAATAACTTGGTTCAAAGTGACAATGGCATTCTTAAGCGAATAAAGAGATTTTCTTGAAAACTACTGACACTACAACAATGGATGAATCTCAAAATAATTATGCCAAGTGAAAGCAGACAGTCAAAGAAATTATATTGTATGATTCCATTTATATAAAATTCTAGAAAATGAAAACCACAGCGACAGAAAGCAGATCACTGGTTGCTGAGGGACAGGAGTAGAAGGAGTGGGAGGGAAGGATTACAAAGGGGCATGAGAAAACTTTTGAGGGTGACAAATTTATCATCTTGATTGTGGTGATGGTTTTATGGGTGTATACATATAAGTCAAAACGTATCAAGCTGTATACTTTGAATATGTATAATTTATTATAAGTCAATTATACCTTAAAAAGCTGTTTTTAAAAGGATACCTTGAACTGTTTGAAAAATAATAAATCCTGCCCAAGGTGCAATGGCTCACACCTGTAATGATAGCACTTTGGGGTGCCGAGGCAGAAGGATCAGAGGCCAGGAGTTCAAGACCACCCTGGGGAACATAAGGTTCTGTCTCTATACAAAAAAAAAAAAAAGCAACTTAAAAATTAGCCAGGCATGGTGGTATGTGCGTGTAGTCCTAGCTGCTCAGGAGGCTGAGGCAGGAGAATCCCTTGAGCCTAGGATTTTGAGACTGCAGTGAACTATGCTCTTGCCAATACACTCCAGCCTGGGGGATAGAGCAAGACCCTATCTCAGGAAAAAAAAAAAAAAAAAAAAAAAAAAAAAAAATATATATATATATATATATATGTATATATATATGTGTGTGTATATATATGTATACACACACACACACACAAATATCCTTAAAATATCAACTTCAAGGTTTGTGAAATAACCTTCCTGCCATAGCTGCATGAAGTCAAAGACCAGGGCTAATGACCATTTGACCATTCATAAATGGTATCTGTCAATTACTTAAGTCAGTGAAACTCACCCTAGTTTTTTTCCCTCCTCCTATCCCACCATGGGCTGGATTCTTCATTTCACATCCTACAAAAACTCAGCATAATTTCCAGGTTTGAAATGGCAACTTTCTCTCTGTCTCCTACTGGCAGGGGCTTAATAAAGTGCCCCCGGCACTTTATCCAAATTAAATACAACATGAAGCTTTATCTTCAACACTTAAAAATTTCACCTAGGTATGTGGTTCTGGTAGAATCAACATAAAACTATAAACATATTTTTCTTTTCTTTTTTTTCTTTTCGGGACGGAGTCTCGCTCTGTCGTCCAGGCTGGAGTGCAGTGGCGCAATCTCGGTTCACTGTAAGCTCCATCTCCCGGGTTCACGCCATTCTCCTGCCTCAGCCTCCTAAGTAGCTGGGACTACAGGAGCCCGCCACCATGCCCGGCTAATTTTTTTGTATTTTTAGTAGAGACGGGGTTTCACCATGTCAGCTAGGAAGGTCTCCATCTCCTGACCTCGTGATCCGCCCGCCTTGGCCTCCCGAAGTGCTGGGATTACAGGTGTGAGCCACCGTGCCTGGTCCCTATAAATATATTTTTCAAATGTGAATCTACAAAAATCTTAACATGTATGCTATCTACATGTGTTACTTCAGAAAAAAATAAATATTCCTCCATACAAACTGTTGTCAAACTTCAAATGAGAAATATGACCAAAAACAGCTCTGGGGTAAAAGAGCACTAACAATTGCTCCCAAGATTAGAGGAAGAGATGGAACAGAAAAATAGGGAAGAGCAAATCCCTGAAAATTCTAAAAAAGAAAAGAAAAAAACCTACAAAATATATTGAGGTAATAGGCAGTTATTTTAATATAGACATAAGAGGATCCTATGAACTGAGAACACTTGCTTGATGTTCTGCTGCAGAACTTAGATCAGTACAAAAGTGAAGGCTTCCTCTTTCCAGTTTTCTTTTCTTTTTTTTTTTTTTTTTGAGACAGACTCTCGCTCTTGTCGCCCAGGCTGGAGTGCAATGTTGCGTCTCGGCTCACTGCAACCTCCGCCTGCCAGGTTCAAGCCTCCAGAGTAGCCGGGATTACAGGCACGCACCACCACTCCCGGCTAATTTTTGTATTTTTAGTAGAGATGGGGTTTCACCATGTTGGCCAGGCTGGTCTTGAACTACTGAACTCAGGTGATCCACGCCTTGGCCTCCCAAAGTGCTGGGATTACAGGCCTGAGCCATTGTGCCTGGCCCTCTTTCCAGTTTTCTAAGATAGTTCCACATACAAACATGTATATGTTCCTCGTATTTCCTCTATTTTATTGCTATAAAGCATGTTATTTTAGAACTCCATACTTGTTTAAATTCTACTTTCAATTTTGTTTGTGACAACATATAGCAATTTCTGCTATTAGGTATCCTGTATAAATGATCAATCTTACATAATTCTAAAAAACCCTAACGCTGCCGAAAGAGAGAGAGAGAGAGAGAGAGAGAGAGAGAGAGAGTGTGTGTGTGTGTGTGTGTGTGTGTGTGTGATCAATCTTACATAATTCTAAAAAACCCTAAAGCTGCAGAGAGAAACAGAAAGAGAGAGCAACAGCGAGCGAGCAAGAGAGAGAGTGTGTGTGTGTGTCTGTGTGTGTTTTAAGAGACAGAGTTTTGCTCTGTCACACAGGCTGGAGTGCAGTGGCATGATCATAGCTCACTGCAGCCTTGAAATCCTGAGCTCAAGTGATCTTCCCGCCTCAGCTTCCTAAGTAAGTAGCTGGGATTACAGGCAATGCTACCATGCCTGACTAAAAGCTGAAGTTTTCATTGGCGTTCAGAAGGAGATCACTTGTTATATCCTAATAATGTAAACTAAACTACACCTAATGAACTAAGGCATTATAAGGAACTTTAAATCTGCTCCAAGAATAATACAGAAGGGCAAAAAGAAAATAAAAGTTACCTTGAATACTACCATTCAGAGATAACTACTGTTAACATTTCAGAGTACATAGTCTAGTCTTGTCAATGTATGGTGATACATAACTTTATAAATTATAAAAACATGACTCTATGACAATGAAAAAAAGAAGAAAAATATATAAATAGTATTACAACTTCCTCTAAAATGCAATTATCTAAATTCTGCCATATAATTAAATAGTAATGTCATTAAATAGATGTCATTTTTAACGGCTATATAGTACTCCATCATATAATTATTAATGGGCTTTTATCATCAATGAATATCTTTGGGACAAATCTTTGTGCAATATCTGTAATAAATTCCACAAGATGAACTTCTAGAAGTGAAACTGCTATATCAAAGTAAAGGCATATTTTAAGGCTTTCAATTTATATTGCTAAACTGCCCTCCAAATATACAGTATTGATTTCTACTTTACCAGCAGAGAAAGACCTCATTTCTTAATACCAACACAAACAGTGGATATCATTTTTTAACATTTTTGTCATATTAGTAAAAAAAACTAATTTTTAAGTTGCATATCTTGACACACTAATGAGGCTGAACTTTTTCATATATATAATGGTTATTTGTAGTTCTATGTAAAATGCCTCCTCTGCCCAGCCCCCGCCTTTTTTTCAAGATGAGGTCTTGCTCTGTCACCCAGGCTGGAGTGCAGTGGCATGATCATGGTTCACTACAGGCTCCACCTTCTCAGACTTGAGCAATCCTCCCACTTCAGCCTCGCAAATAGCTGGAACCACAGGTGTATACCACCATCTCCAGCTAATTTTTACATTTTTTGTAGAGACAGGATCTCCCTATGTTTCCCAGGCTGATCTTGAACTCCTAGGCTCAAGCCATCCTCCTGCCTCAGCCTCTCAAAGTGCTAGGATTACAGGCATGAGGCACTGCACCTGATTCTTTGCCCATTTTTTTTAAAAAAAAATGTTAGTTAAAATTCTCTCACTTGAATATAGAATATAGGCTTTTTCTTATGACATGGATTTCTGATCGGGCACCTCGTCGTTAGGTTCCTAATATAGTCCTAACTATTCATTTTGCAAATGAGGAGACTGAGGTCTGAAAGGGTAAAATGACTTATTCGAGGTCAAAAATGGGACAAAAATATTTCTCCTGCTATTTTACGACTAACAACTATACAGAAATTTTATGTAAACCACTTTTAATAGTACAGAGAGACTTTTAGAATTTCTAGAGTTATTAGACAGGCTCATTACCAAATGGAATCATGTATTATAAAATGCCAATAAGAAAAGAGAATAATAAAGAAAAACATTTTAAGAAAAGATGAATAGAAGAAAATGGAAGAAATTAACCGGCAAAACACATCTTCCAACTTAAAATTCACATAAAAGTTAAGCCACCAGAGAAAACAAATATAGAGTGTCTGCACGGGAGGTAGCTCAGACAGGCTACCTGAGGGCAGCCCACTGCAGTGTCTGAGTCTAAGCAGAGTGAGAAAGATGTCCACTGGGAGATAGATGAGTTGAGGGTTGGGCTGGGAAAGGGGTGGTCAGCCCTGCATTTAATGTTGGAGTCTCAGAAGGATAAGAAAAGAAGGGAAGGCAGCCTGATGTGAGCTGTCAATGCCCAAGTGGGCTAAGGCGGCATCCACATGAAGTAAAGGATAGGAGTGGCACTAGTCCAGCACAGGGTGTCAGGACCCAAACAGGAAGACATCTACTTGATGGAGAGGAAAGGTGAGTGCCTAATGGCACCAGGCAATTCATTATGTAAATACGTGGATATTGATCAAATAAGTAAACATATCAAGGATGTGCTAGGTAAGAGTGAATTCATACTACAGTTGAAGGGAATTATAAATATAGAATGAACCTTGGTATTAGATGACATTTGAAGATACTAATGGTAACTTATGGCTCTCAACATAAAGATACAGAAATATAGATGTTAATGTGTATATGCACGCATATGTGGTCATGTAGGTCCCTAGCTGTGTCCACTGAGAGGGCCTGGGAACACTGAAACCCCAATAAGCACACTTAGCATCCAGACTCTGGAGTGTGATATAGGTTGAATATATGTCCCTGCCAAATCTCATGGTGAATTGTAATCTTCAATGTTGGAGGTAGGGCCTGGTGAGAGGTGTTGGGGCAGATCCCTCATGGCTCAGTGCTGTCCTCTCAACAGTGAATGAATACTCAGGAGATCTGATTTTTTAAAATTGTGTGCCCCCTGCAACTCTCTTCCTGCTCCTGCTCTCACCATGTTATGTGCCTGCTCCTGCTTTGCCTTCTGCCATGAGTAAATGCTCCTTGAGGCTTCCTGAGAAGCTGAGCAGATGCCAGTGCCATGCTTGTATAGCCTGTGGAACCAGGAGCCAATTAAACCTCTTTTCTTTATAAATTACCCAGTCTCAGGTATTTCTTTATAGCAATGCAAGAATGGCCTAATACGGTGCGTAAATACCATTCTCCACCAAAAGGGACCTCAGCTCCTTGAAGAATTGGCTGATTCTAATTCAGCAGTACAGGATGGGTCTTGTAGTGGAAATAAAGAAGTCCTTCCTTACTTTCTGGCACAAGATATTCAAGACGCATCCTGTACTGCTGCCAGATTTGGCCAGAAAGTAAGAAAGGACTTAAATCTGGGATAATATGATGATCAAAATAAATAATGATAGTAATGGATCACATCGTAAATAAAGAGGGTTCTATGAACCCATACTGATATAAAGGAATAAACTGAACATTTGATAAGAAATAGGATATTTATATCATCTCAAAGTATTATATCTCCCTATACAGCTTAATTACTAAGGGCAAAAGTAATTTACAGCACAAAAGCCTGGCAAACATCACCTTAATCAAGTGATGTGACTTAACCCCACGAGAAATAAGAAAGATAAAATCATGTGCCACTGATAGAATGTAATAAGAATGTAACAGCATCACTTCTATAATAGTCATGCCAAAGATATAGAACCTGTATCTAATAATGAAGAGTATTATATAACCCCAAATTGAGGTAAACTCTATAAATTCACTGGCATAATAATCTCCAAAAGCACCAAAATCATTATAGTCAAGGAAACATTAAGGAACTGTTTCCGATTTTAAAAGACCAATGCGACATAACAAATAATTGCAACCTGAGATTCTAGACGGAATCCTTTTTCTATGAAGTACATTATCAGAACAACTGGAAAAACTTAAATGTGACCTGCAGATTAGATAGTAGCAATATATCAATGTTAACTTCCTGACTTTCATGGACATATTGTGATTTTGTAACAGAATGTCTTATTGTAGAACCCTTAAAGAGTTTTGAAGTAAAAAATAAAAACTTATAGAAGGAGTTTAAGTTGTATGTAAATAATATGCACTGTAATAATTCATTACACAGCAGTCCTCCACTTATCTGCAGCTTCACTTTCCATGGTTTCAGTTACCCACAGTCAACAGCTGTCTAAAAATATTAAATGGACAACTCCAGAAACAAACAATTCATAGGCTTTAAACTGTGTACTGTTTTAAATAGAGTGATGAAATCGCATCTTCTTGCTCCATCCCACCTGAGATGTGAATTGTCGCTTCGTCAAGCACATCCAGGCTATATATGCTACCTGCTCATTACTACATAGGAAAAAAAATAGCATGTATAGGGCTCAGTACTATCTACAGTCTCAGGCATCCACTGGGGCTCCTGAAACTTATCCTCCACAGATAACGGGGGAGTACTGTATAACCATTATATAATTAGCATCGATGTAGTTTGTAGCAGTAGTCATGAAAAAAACACTACAAGATATATTTATTCTCTAAGAACTCTGCTTGTTTTTTGTTTATAATTTTCATGCTATGATATATATCAAAGAATAGAAAAACTACATTCTGCACTGCAAGGTTAAGAGCAAATAAAATTATACTACAGTAGAATAATTTACAAATCAGAAGACTCAAAGGGTGATATCATATAATCATTTATTCTATTAGCTCCTTGTTCCCTTTTTAAAATATGACATGTAGGTTAAGTCTGTTGAGGAAAAGGAAGATGCTTTAGGCTGTAGTATCAATATTCCCATGTCATTTTTAATTCTATCACTGAAGTGATTCACACGATAAAATATTTTATTTTCCTACATCCCTATCAAAAACAAATGAGGAAAGCAATTCACTTCATAGAAAATAGTGCTGTTAAATCAGTCTACAAAAATGGGAGGGAGCAAACACATTTCTGGTGACTAACGTTAGAAATATCCGGATTCTAAAATATGAATTTGATCTTCTATTTAGTTGGTTATAGAACTATAAACATTGCAAACTCTTAACCTTTTAAGCACGTACTCAAGTTTCCAAACAAGTTTCTAAAATATAGGTAATACTAAATGTTATAGATAATACATAGCACTCTGAGCATTTCCAATACAAATCATTTACTTTATAAAAGTTATTTGGAAAACATTTCACTACCTATTTTGTATCTAATACCATATTAAGAATAAAAGTTGCTTGATGTTACCATGGTTTTTATGAAAATACATAAACATTTTTTTAAAAAGAATAAGACATAGTCCCTGCCCTTAAAATCAGACTAGTAAGGAAGAGAAAAAGTGAAAATAGTAATTCAGTGATACATATAATAATAAAGACAGGCTATGGGAACATAAATCAAAAGCATTCATATTCCCCTCTTAAAGAGCTTGATCTGCCAACATTGGAGAAAAGGGCAATCCTACATATCCATGATCCTGACATACCTGCCTCAGGTAAACTAGGGGAGATACTGACCGAGTTAAGCCAATCAGACTACCTCTTCAGGAAATCTGTAGAAAGAAAAAATCAGTCACACAGAAGTGAGCATCAGAGATTCAAAATCATATTTTAGGACCGGTAGACATTTTCTGTCATGTTCTTACTGATAAAAAAAAAAACTAATAAAAGCCAGAATGGAGTAGGCACAGAAAAACAGAGGTGAGAAATCATGAAGGAAAATAGTTTCTGTGATGCCCAACTATGTCTTGTGATTGGATCCGAGAGTCTCCAGTACCATTAGTATGAGTCCCACCCCCTCTTTTTACTTGAATTTATCTGATTGAGTTTCCATTCCCTAAATACCTAGCCAATCCTGGAGAGGGCCCTGAAATGCTACTAAAGGAAGTAATGCCTGAGTTGAGTTTTCTCAAAGCAAGAGGCATCAGCCATTCTGGGATATTTCATAAAGAGGAGACAGCATGTTGAGGCACAATAAAGCACAGTCCACTGAGACTCTGAGAACCTCTGATAGCTGAAGTGTGGGACTGTAAACCAAAAATAAAATTCTAAGCCCCCCAACCAACAGACCCTTCCCTTGGCCCAGGGCATTCCAAAGTTAACCCGAAAAACTAGTTAAGGCCATGATGGGAAGTGGAGGTCCCACAGGCCTCATTTATACCCTCCTCCCGTTGAAATTCAGGCACAGCTGACCAACATTAATATCAACACAGAGACCGTAAGATTGATAGAACAGACTCTTTAAGTCTGGTAAGAAACATTTACAGTCTATTCTCTTGCATGATAAAACCTTATTCTCTACAACCTCTTATCTTAACCCAGACATTCCTTTCTATTGATTCCAGGTCTTTAGATAGTAACTCTTTCAACCAACTGCCAATCAGAAAATCTTTGAATCCTATGAACTGGAACACAGCACCCCACCCCCCAAACTTCCAGTTGTCCTACCTTTCTGGACCCAATCAATGCACATTTTAAATGTATTGATTGATGTCTTATGTCTCCCTAAAATGTATAAAACCAAGCTGTAGCCCAACCACCTTGGGCACATGTTCTCAGGGTCTCCTAGGTTGTGTCATTAGCCACTGGCTACTCATATTTGGCTCCAAATAAATCTCTTCAAATATTTTATAGAGTTTCACTCTTCTCATCAACAGGATAGAAGATTAAGACAGTAAGACCAGAGAGATATCCAAATCTTGAAAGGCCTTTAATAACATGGTAAAATGTTTGGATTCCACCATTACCTGCCCTTCCACCATCCTTCCTTCCCTTCCCACTGCCCCAAGGTTATATAAGCTATGGCCCTGGGTCAAAGTGCTGAGTTCTTCACACTTTAAAATTGTTAAAGGTGGGGGCGGGGACACAAAGAAGACTATGCAACAGAGATCACATGTGGTTCCCACAAGGTCTAAAATATGTATGATCAGTCTCCCAGTCTCCCACTCCCCCATTAAAGAAAAAGTTTGTCTAACTCTGTAGTAAGAAATTGAAACATTTTAAGTACGTGAACTAAATCAAGAGGAGGATTTTTGCAAGATCACTAATAAAAGTATAGAAGATGGGCAGCACACTATGCATAAGAAAACTGGCAAAAAATGACAAAAATAAGAGGTAAATCTAAACAACAACAACAACAAAACAAAGAAAACTGGCACAAGCTACTGCTAAGTTGAAGGGAGAATAATGGTCTGAACTAAAGCAGTACTATCAAAATGAGAGTCAAGGATCAGTTATGAAAAAAACAAGCAGCTCACAGGATAGTCTCAAATGCTTAACATTGTTTCTAGACCCTTGCATGGACTGACCACTACCTCCTAACCAGTCTTAGGCTTCCCCTTAATCTCTGGCTCTAGCTATGCAGGCTTTTAATCAGTTTCCTCCCTTATATCATCCATTTCCCATTCATCCATTCCTTTCTTAGTCAACACCACTAACTTCCGAGCTTCTTCCATCTACTACTCCCCTACCCTCAAATTTGGATCTCTCATTTACCCCATCATTCAGTCAATAAACATTATTGAGCACATGCAATAGGGTAGGAATGTGCTAGACTTCAGGGTATGATGACACAGACACAGTTCCTGACCTAATGGAGCTTATATTTTATGATGACTGCTTCTAGTAAACTTGATCATTTAAGTTAGTCAAGCAGCTTAAAATTATTTAATGCAGGTATCACAGAGTAAGAAAAAATTATCAAGTGTTATCACCCATTCTGCTTTATACTTGCTTTAAAATTTTTTGCTTTTTAAATATATAAATGTATTGACAGATTTAAATTATTTTCCGAATTTTTGTCAAAATTAGAATAACTATACTTTTATGCATAGTTCCTCTTTTGATGTGAACCTCCAGATCCAGGTGTGACAAAAAACCCAATCTGCTTGTATATTTTGATATATCTAACAAAGTCTATCACTATGTTTTGAAAGATTTTGTACGCCAGACTACATTTATTAAATTGGTATTTTCCTTCCATATTTAGAAGCTACATCCCCAAACTGTAAATGGCTTGAGATTAGAAAAAAAAATTTTTTTTTACTTTATACTCTAATATCACCATTCTGTGGCTGGCACACAGTATTCAATAAAGGTATGTATAAGGGACTGTATAACTTCCAATTAACGTTTCTGATCAGCATGAGACAACTGTGGTAATAAACTTAGTTGATATCATTCAATTAGAAAGCAAATAAATTTGACATTTTCATTAGCTTGTACGGCCCTAGAGTGGGTAAACTTTTTGCCCAAAATATTTTTGAAAGACAGAAAATACCTCAGATTAGTTTATATTATTATTCTTAGAAGAACTGAGACCTTTATATCGGAACCCTTTGCTAAAGAGGGGTCCCTAGTCAGATAAATTTAGGAAACTCTATGTTAAACAAAATTAAATATTTAACCTAAGTCCTCATTGTGCTTTTATATGCTCACATTCATTCTATCTCCAAAAGACATTTCCAAATTTGCTGAATCTCAGCATCTTTTTTTACTAAACACTATCAATACGGTAGGACTTCAGCATTCTGAAGACAACTGTCTGGAAACATCTACTAAATTCGGTAGTATTTGAAAGATAATCACAAAATGAAAAGAATACTTTTATGTTAAAAGCTTAAAATCTCTTACCTTTCTAGCTGGTGGGCCATGAGCTTTATTTACTCTGCTTCCAGGAATACCTTAGCTGTTATCAATAAGCAGTCCTTTCTCAAGTTTCCATCTAGTACCCTTAGGGAAAAAGAGAGGCAGAAAAGAGTGAACTTATTACCATGTGGGATCTAAATTAATAGCCTCTTGTATTTCAATTCCATAGAATTTTTAAAAATGTTTTCTTAATATTTCAAAAATGTATGTAAATTTTGCCTCCCATTCCATGTTTTTCAATATAAAACTTAAGGTTCTCCCTCCAAATTGTCAATGCTCCAGGAAGATGTTTATCCTGTAGCCTCCCGTAACTCCTGGCATATTACCACCTATTAGAGGTATTAACAATTTCAAGGATGGAAGTAAGGCAATGAAACCTTGGTGAAAGTAGAAAAATGAAAGAGGAGGAGTCATAGATAACAGGTGAAATGTCAGTGCTGAATTTGAGCATCAAAATTTTTAGAGTGGAGATTAACAGTTTTTCTTATGTCATTGCTGCACAATAAAACCCATGGGACCCAGTCTATGTGCTTATTTGGAAAAAGCTTGACTTTTAAATATATGTGTATCAGTTAGGATTAGGTTCAGCTGTTAATGATAGAAAACTCAAAATAACAACGGAATGACAGAACACTCAAAATAACTGGCTTAAATGATTCAGAAGTTTATTTCTTTCACAAAAAAACATAGGCAATCCAGAACCATGATCGCCTGGAACCAAGGGTCCTTATATTTTGTTGGTCTGCCATCCTCAACATGTGGCTTCTCCTTCATGGTTTTAAAAATAACTGTTCAAGTAAGTTCTAGCCATCACATCTGCTGATCAGACAGCAAGATGAGAAAAAGGAGATAAGCAATAGCCTCCCTTTAAGGAAATTTTTCAGAAATTTCACAGGAAACTTTTATTTACATTTCATGGCTTAGAACTTAATCATATGACCATAGCTATCGGGGGGATAGGAAATATGTCCTTTATTTCACCATATGCTTAAGAACTGGAGCATCTACCAATAAGAAAAAATAATAGGAGGAATATTGGCAGACAATTAGTTGTTTCTGTCCTCATACTTATTTCATTCTAAAATGTAAGATGTCCAGATACCTCATGGAGATGGCTTGGCAAACTACTAAAGAGAGTTTTCGAAAGCAGAAGGTCCTGTCAGGAGCCAAGACTAACATTCATAAGGACTTCTTTAATATGTAAGGCTAATCTATAGGTGACAAAAGAAAGGAAAAATATGAAGACCAGAATGACAACATAAGAGCAAAGAAACAACCTAAATTGTTGTAGTTTGGAAAGGTAAACTCACATACTCAGTCTACAAAACTCAGAAATGACTGCTCAGAATCATTATGTAAATAAATGGTGTGGTCAAGGTGAGAATGAGTAAGAACCTGGCAGAAAGCTCAGTTACCAACCGCATTAAGAAAAGGCACAATATTCAAAGAGAAAGACACTTTTCTCTACGTTTTCTCAGTGCTGAGCTTCCATTACCAGGTCATATAGGTATTGGGAGATTTCCCTATTGTGCAGAATGTTGGAAAGAAGGGTTGCACTTAACTTTGATTTCCTGACACTTTCAAGATTGCTTGAAACATGTTTAAATATTTAATATGTTTAAAACACTGTTGTATCAGAAACTAAAAACTCATTTCAAAGCTGGCAACAAAATTATGCTTTATATACAGGCTGTTCCTTAAGGGAAAAAGGACCCAAATAGTATATTCAGCCATACAAATGTAAAATAGGGACTACAAAAATGGAGCAGCAATTCAAAGGACAAATGGCTCTGTGGGATAATGTAAAGGACCACATCTTCTTGATAGAGATAAATTTCTGCAAATTGTTTCTTTCAGAGAAATGTTTATTTTTAAAGTATGGCTTCGGGTTTTCCTATTTGTATAGAGATATTTGGGTTCTTATTTCAGCAGTTACTCACAAAAGACCAGGTACAAAAGTAATTGCGGTTTTTTCCATTAAATACAATACCCTAAAAAACTGGAAGACAAACTGGTATTGTCATTTCAAGCAAAAAGAAATAAGATAGCCAGTTGTAACTGGCCTGTATAGCTTATGTCTTAACACATGCAATGTTAAGATAATCACCCAGACTTTGAACAACATTAAAAATAACATCCTTTTTTTGTAACTTGAAAGGCACAGATGTAAGGAGCCTCTGCTTTGCCCCCACTACCTGACTTATTGTAGACGTCTTTCTTACATAATCATGCATCACTTAACAACAGGGATACATTCTTTGAGAAATGTGAAGTTAGGCCAAAACATCATTGTGCAAACTTCAGACTATACTCACACAAACCTTGATGATATAGCCTATTGCTCCTAGGCTACAAACCTGTACAGGATGTTACTGTACTGAATACTGTTACCATTTGTAAGAAAATGGTATTTGTGTATCTAAACACAGAAAGAGTACAGTAAAAACACAGTACAAAAGATTTTAGGCTGGGTGCTGTGGCTCACACCCTCACGCCCGTAATCACAGCACTTTAGGAGGCCTAGGAGGGTGGATCACAAGGTCAGGAGTTCGAGACCAGCCTGGCCAATATGGTGAAACCCCCGTCTCTACTAAAAATACAAAAAATTAGCCGGGCATGGTGGCGGATGCCTGTAGTCCCAGCTACTTGGGAGGCTGAGGCAGAGGAGAATCGCTTGAACCCAGGAGGCAGAGGTTGCAGTGAGTCGAGATCACACCATTGCACTCCAGCCTGGGCGACAGAGCGAGACTCTGCCTCAAAGAAAAAAAAAAAAAAAAGCCACCACCACAAACACACTGTTCAGCTATACAAAAATATTTTCATCCTTATTCTAATAAGCTTTTTTCTATCTTAAAAATTTTTAGGCTGGGCATGGTGGCTCACGCCTGTAATCCCAGCACTTTGGGAAACCGAGGTGGGCGGATCACCTGAGGTCAGGAGTTCAAGACCAGCGTGACCAACATGGACCTCATCTCTACTAAAAATACAAAATTAGCCGGTGTGGTGGCACACACCTGTAATCCCAGCTACTCAGGAGGCTGAGGCAGGAGAATCGCTTGAACCTGGGAGGCGGCGGTTGCAGTGAGCCAAGATTGCACCACTGCACTCCAGCCTAGGCAAGAAGAGCGAAACTCCATCTCAAAAAGAAAAGAAAAAAAAAATATATATATATATATATTTTTTACTTTAAAATTATTTTGTTAAGAACTAACACACAGATACACACATTAGCCTAGGCCTACACAGGGTGACGATCATCAGTGTCACTGTCTTCCACCTCCACATCTTGTCCCACTAGGTCTTCAGGGGCAATAACATGGAGCCGTGATCACCTATGATAACAACGCCTTCTTGAAGAATACCTCCTGAAGGACCTGCCTGAGGTTGTTTTAAAATAAACTTTTTTTTAAAAAAAAGTAAAAGTACACTCCAAAATAATGATTAAAAAGTATATTTAAATACATAAACCAGTAACATCATTGTTTATCAAATATTACATACTGTACGTAATTGTGCTATTTTTTCCTTGTCTTAATGAAAGACAAATGCTATACTTTTATACAACTGGTAGCACAGTAGGTTTGTTTACACCAACATCACTACAAATGTGAGTAATGTGTTATACTATATCATGATGGCTACCACATCTTATATGTGGTCTGCTGACTCAAAATGTTGTTATGCAGCAAATGGCTATATTTGGATATCACTAACCTGTGGGTAGAATCTCTGCTGAAATGTGCAAACACTGCTAATGGCAAATTTCCTGGTAAGAGCCAAATACTGTGACAAGAAACAGGGCCCAAAAAGTAGGCATCAGTATGAGAAAGGAATTAATCCTCTCTTGGGCATGGCCTCAAAAGTGTGTAACAGATGCAAGGGCAATCCTGGGTGGTGGAGAGAAGTTAGCTTCTGTCCCTGTGGGAGGACAGGAGGTAGGCAGGAGGTGGACAGTCTTTCAAGGAGGCAGTATGGGATACAGACAAAGTGGGGTATGTATTACTAAAGGTACACACTAAGGCTTTCCAAGGGATACTTGAGCAAGACAAGTTTTAAGAAAATCAGCTTCTGTATCTTCATCTTCCCTTTGTTTGCTTTCCCAAAGATGATCTGCCTACTTTCCCAGAGCCCTCATTCTCCCACTTTTCACAAGAAATCCATACCTATCCCCATCCCAAATCTTATTAGAATGAGTTGCCCTAGGTTGTAGAAGCTTCCATGGAACAAAACAAATGGATAATTTAAAATAAGAGTGCCTTAAAACCTCCATTAATCAAGACACCATTAACCCTCAAGCTTCTGGCTTTCCCTGTCTTACAAATATTTCTATTAAAGGCAAAGCATAGCTTTAAGAATTGGTGTTCTGCTTTGTGTTTAGGAATTCAGATATACTTTATTGTATAGTGTGATGACAGAAAGAATAACAATTTTCATTTAATGATTACCTCTTCCATTGTGGAAATACCATACAAAAATGCATTGTCCAGAGAGGGAGTTCCGCAAGAATGAAGAAATCAGTAAAAAATTTTGAAAAATTAAATGTATATTTGCTACAAACAAGTATGACAGAGTCATTAATAAAGAATTTTAAAACATTAAAATACATTGGATTCAAATAAAATTATGTTGGAGAAGTCGAAAGAAAATAAAGTTTAATAAGAAAAAGGGACGCTGAAAACTTCCAACTGTGAAATGAATTAATTCAAGCTTGTTTTTTAAAACCAATGACAGCATCAAATCACTATGATATTTAGGTACTTATAAAAGTGGTGTATCTGGAAAAAACAGAAATTATATTTTTTTCAACAATTTCAATCTATGATGAAAATTGTAGGAATCAACTTTAAAATGTACAAGGGTAGAGAATTTATCAAGTTTCTTTTCAGGAGTATATGAGTGTATTAGGCAGAATGGCCTTCCAAAGATGTCCATACCCTAATCCCTGGAACCTGTTAATAGGTTACCTTCCACCACAAAAGGAACAGTGCAGATGTAAAAAGACTACACAGATCTTTGCTAGCCATGGTGGCTCACACCTGTAATCCCAGCACTTTGGGAGGCCAAGGCAGGCGGATCACCTGAGGTCAGGAGTTCGAGACCAGCCTGGCCAACATGGTGAAACCCCATCTCTACTAAAAATACAAAAATTAGCCAGGCGTGGTGGCGGGTGCCTGTAATCCCAGCTACTCGGGAGGCTGAGGCAGGAAAATTGCTTTAACCTGGGAGGCGGAGGTTGCAGTGAGCCGAGATTGCACCATTACACTCCAGCCTGGGTGACAGAGCAAGACTCTGTCTCAAAAAACAAAAAAAAAAAAAAAAAAAAAAAAAAGGACTACAGATCCAAAAATAAGATAGATTCCTGGGTTATCCAGGAATCTAATCAAGAGACCTCAAGAGCTGAGAACTTTCTCCATCTGGAGTCAGAGATTCAGCCAGAAAAAGAAGTCAGACAGGTTAGAAGCACGAGAGGGATTTGACCTGCCATTACTGGAGGGGGCCACATGGAAAGCACTTCAGCTCCTGGGAGAAAAGACCAGCCCTTGGCTCATAGCCAGTAAGGAAAGAGGGACACAAAGAAAGGAAAGACCTACTGAATTCAGCCAACCACCTGAATTAACTTAGAAGTGGATTCTTCCCTAGAGACTCCAAAAAGGAATGCAGCTCTGCCAACGCACTCATCTTGGCTTTGTAAGTCCCTAAGCTGAGGACTCGGCTGGGCCCGCCTGGACTTCTGGCCTACTAAAACTGTGAGACAATAAATCTTTATTGTTTTAAGATGTTAAGTAGGTGGTAATGTATGAGTCAGAAACAGAAAATTAATACGGTAAGAAGAGTTGTAAGGTACCAGGAAGATGGACTTGTGCCCCACGACTTCAACAGCAGCACCACCTTATAGACACAGGGTATTTTTTTTCTATTTTTGTAACATTTTACATAACTCATAAAACAGCATTTGTATAAAAATTCACATAAAGTTTCTAAAGGGCATACAATTTCCAGCAATGTCCTGGGTTTTCGTGAAATTCAGTTTTCTAAAGATGCACTCAAATCAATGGCAAAATGCAGACATTATGCAATATTTCATTGTCTTTGGTAAAACTATTCTCATTATTTTGTCTCCTCACAGTATTAACTCTGAAATCCACTTTGTGCAGGATCTGCCATTACTAGGATGTCAGAAAAACAATAAGGCTGGATCTGTAAGAGGCAAGTTATTTCCAAACAGCAGTAATAGGACCTTGGCCCCCATCCCCACTTCATGTATCTATGCAGTCTATCTACACAGCCACGCAGGGTGAGAGCTCACAATGACCAATCAGGAGTCTTGAGATCCCCTCTCGATTGGGCAAGAAGCAAACGTCTGGGAGGAACATTGGAAACTGAGGCCATCTCTACAGGAACCCAAGTGGCCATGCTGTGGTGTGGTCAGGCCAGCGACTCTTACCAATTAAACAGCCAATATGTTCACCACTAAGTAGATCCTATTGATTGGTTGATGATTGCTGCTGATGTGGCCCCTTTCCCACAAACATAAAAAAATAAAGGGAAGATCTGGGGCCAACACTGAAGGGGGAGGGGCACGCTAGCACAATGACACTAGACACGACTTTATTCCCTTTCAAACATCTGTTATCATGGGCTGGGCACAGTGGCTCATGCCTGTAATCCCAGCACTTTGGGAGGCCAAGGTGGGTGGATCACGAGATCAGGAGTTTAAGACCAGCCTGGCCAAGATGGTGAAACCCTTTCTCTACTAAAAATACAAAAATTAGCTGAGCGTAGTGGCAGGTGCCTGTAATCCCAGCTACTCAGAAGGCTAACGCAGAGAACTGCTTGAACCCGGGAGGCAGAGGTTGCAGTGAGCCGAGATCGCGCTACTGCACTCCAGGCTGGGTGACAGAGTGAGACTCTGTCTCAAAAAAAAAAAAACACCAATATCTGTCATCATGTAGGCACAGCCAAGGTGAACTGAAGCAGGATACGAACACTCAGTACATTCATGACTATCTTCATACATTCCTGAAATGATCCTAGAGATCACCTTGGGAATAGCAAAGTGGTCATAATAACAAACCTAAATCAAGGAGTTTGAAAACCTGCAGCCACGACCTAGTAGGACTTCACTTGCCTCTCAAGACTAAAGTATTTTGAATTCAGGATTTTTTTTTTTTTTTTTTTTGAGACAGGGTCTTGCTCTGTAAGTACAGTGGCCCAACCATGGCTCACTGCAACCTGGATCTCCTGGGCTCAAGTGATCCTCCCACCTCAACCTCCTCAGTAGGCGGAACCACAGGTACACATGCCACCACACCCAGCTAAATTTTTTTTGGAGTGACCGGTCTCACGATGTTGCCCAGGCTGGTCTTGAATTCCTTGAGCTCAAACTCTTATTTTAAATTATCCAGGGATAATTTTAAAATGGATAACTTAAAATGGATATTTTAAATGGATAATTTAAAATAAGAGTGCCTTAAAGCTTCCTGATCCTACGGCAAGAAGCAAACGTCTGGGGGGAACACTGGAAACTGAGGTCATCTCTACAGGAACCCAAGTGGATATTTTAAATGGATAATTTAAAATAAGAGTGACTTAAAGCCTCCATTAATCAAGGCAATGATCCTCCTGTATTAGCCTCCCAAAGTGCTGGGATTGTAGGTGTGAGCCACTGCCCCTGGCCAGGAAAATTTTAAATTGTATGATTACACTATGATCCTCTACAGTAAAAAAAAAAATACATTTCAGGGCTATCAAAATATATAAAAGTAACATATGTAAAATACACAGAATAGTGCATGACACTAAAATAGTATTTATTAAGTTCATAAATTTTACTGCATTTTACTTTGACTTTAAATGTACATTTTTCTAATGCCTAATAAATACCTAATCTTACTATCTTCTTTATTTTTAAGGCCAGAAACTGAACTACATACTCAGTTTGACTTTTAGATAAGAGTTTTGGCCAGGCATGATAGCTCAACCCTGTAATCCCAGCACTTTGGGAGGCCAAGGTAGGCAGACTGCTTGAGGTCAGGAGTTCAAGACCAGCCTGGTCATCATGGAGAAACCCCGTCTCTACTAAAAATACAAAAAAATCAGCGGGGCGTGGTGGCGGAGACTATAGTTCCAGCTGCTCAAAAGGCTGAGGCATGAGAACTGCTTGAGCCTGGGAGGTGGAGGGTTCAGTGAGCTGAGAACCTACCACTGTACTCCAGCCTGCGCGACAGAGCAAGACTCCGTCTCAAAAAAAAAAAAAAGTTTTATATTAATCTTTAACCCATGATTCTGATGCTATCTGTAAGTTTATTTGATATATAATGTTTAGTTCATCAATTTAGGTAACTCAAATTCATCAGCTGAGAGAAAAATATTAAGCCCAATGTTAACAAGGAAAGCAGCAGTATTTTTTCCCCCACTCACAGCAGACATGAGAGAGGTCCTTCACACAATTCCCAAGAGTATACTAAAATTTTGATGAAATTTCTCAAAGTTGATGGTACACGTAAAAAGTATCACAAACTTCTCCAGACTGTATTATGAGTATGTGAAGAGTGAAATCAGTTCAATATCTCAAAAATATTCAATTAAAATATCAGTAGTCCAATTTTTAAATTAAATATTTTTTAAGTGAGTCTTGATTATTCCTAGGCAATGTAAAGAAAGCAAGTAGTTTTATAGTTTAAAATTATAATAGAATAACAAATACATAAATACAAAAAATTTACAGAGTAATAATTATGAATATAAACAACAGTAGCACAAGTTGTGCTAATAACATCACCTTAGATTTGGTAACAGAATTATGTGGTCTAAGGTCCATAGCATTATTTTTGCCCAAGGTAGGTGATAAAATACCTTTCATTGCTTTTTTTCTCCTGAGAAACTTATTTTTTGTAAAAGCAAAAAGAAAATAGAAATAGAAATTCAGTTCTCCAAGAATTACAGTAATTCATAGTCATCACCATTATGAAAAATACATCAATAAAAATTTCTCATTATGAAGAGGGCACAAATAAAATACACTACCGGCTTGGTGTGGTGGCTCACGCCTGTAACCCCAGCGCTTTGTGAAGCTGAGATGGGAGGATTACTTGAGGCCAAGAATTCAAGACCAACCTGGGTAACATAGTGAGACTCCATCTCTACAAAAAATTAAAAAATTAGCTGGGTATAGTAGCACATGCCTGTAGTCCCAGCTACTCGGGAGGCTGAGGTGGGAGGATTGCTGAAGCCCAGGTGTTTGAGGCAGCAGTGAACTACGACTGCACCACCACACTCCAGCCTGGGTGATAGAGACCCTGTCTCTAAAAATGAAATAAAGTAAGACTATGGATTATGTACTATGCCCATTAAAACAATGATAAGCTCACCTCTTTCTTCCGTTTTCAAAGTATGTCAAAATTCAAGTAAGTAAAGTGTATTACTACAAAAAATATCCCTCGACCCAACATCCATATATCAACAATCATTAAAACCTACCTTACAAATGATAAAATATTTCACTGATTCTCAACTTTGTGGCCAAAAATTGATAGTGTAGTTATAATTGTATAATTAGCAGAGACTTCAAAACAACTTTAGAACTGTGGTATTTTAATCATAATCTCAATCCCACTATGGGGAAGGAGAAATGAAAGGTTTCCCTAGAATGTTTATAATAGGATTGGTGGAGTAGAAGAAAAGAATAGTTGGGGTGGGGAGCAGCCTGTAATCCCAGCACTTTGTGATACTGAGGTGGGAGGATCGCTTGAGCCTGGGAGTTTGAGACCAGCCTGGGCAACGGCAAGACCCCATCTCTACAAAAATTTAAAAACTAGCTGAGTGTGGTGGCATGTGAGTGTGGTCCCAGCTATTTGGGAGGCTTAGGTGGGAAGATCTCTCGAGCCCCAGAGGTGGAAGCCGCAGTGAGACTTAGTCGCATCACTGCACTCCAACCTGCATGACAGAGTAAGACTTTGTCTCAAAAATACAAAGATAATTGGATTTTATGAAAATCACAGTATCATAATTTTATCATCTTAAAATAAGGATATGCTATACTGAAGGAATTTGATACAGAAAATGTCTGAGAAGGGGTACATATGGAACAAAAAAATATGAGACATTCTCTCAAATGAATTTACGAAAATTCTAAGGTGGCATGTTCCTCCACAAATTATAAATTCTTAGGGAAAAATAACTTTGTTGCCAAAGCTACCAAGTAGATGGTTGCTGTACTGCTTTCAAGCTACAGCACAAGCATGCCTGGAGGGCTAGGCTAGATTATTTCTGAATGAACTTCAATAATAATTCCCACAACACAAACTGAGTACTCATTAAGTTCTTGACACTGTATTAAGTATTGTATATATATCACATGAATGCTCACAGCAAGACTATGAGTTAAATTATTCTCCTTAAAGAGAAGGAAACTGAGGCAGAGAGGTTATATAATTTACTCAAGATAACACAGTAAGTGGTAGACCCCTGATAATCTGGCTTCTAATAACTATCCTAAAATATTGATTACACACTTAACTATGTGCCAGGGACAAAACTCAGTCAATTTGGCTATCATATACTCATATACACTTTCTTTATTCCAAGTGTTTCCTACATGGAAATGAATTTGTCATTATAAATCTTAATAAATCATAATGACACATTCATAAGACAGAACTATGAAATGTATAGTTCAGAAAGTAACTCTTTTTTTTTTTTTTTGAGACACCGTCTCGCTCTGTTGCCCAGGATAGAGTGCACTGGCGTGATCTTGGCTCACTGCAACCTCTGCCTCCCAGGTTCGAGCAATTCTCCTGCCTCAGTCTCCCGAGTAGCTGAGATTACAGGCACCCGCCATCATGCCCAGCTAATTTTTGTATTTTTAGTAGAGATGGTGTTTTCTCACATTGGCCAGGCTGGTCTCGAACTCCTGACCTCAGGTGATCCACCTGCCTAGGCCTCCCAAAATGGTGGGATTACAGGCATGAGCCACCATGCCCAGCCCAGAAATTAACTCTTAAACTAGCATTAAAATACTCAGTGTACAAACCACATAAAACTGCATGAAATCTAAGAATTATTGTTACCAGTCTGTCAAAAGTTTTGGTAAACTTTAAAAGAAACAAAGACAGTAAAATGTCAGAAAATATGAAATACACAATATTTGTCACATCACATAGATCACTGGTAGATAAATAACTATAGTATGATATGGCCAACTAAATAATTTTAAAACTGCTAAATAATACAACTTATTCCCAGAAATAATTCCCAATTAGGTAATCACGCTTCATTAATCATAACTCCCAAGTTCACAAAAGTATGGCAAAGCTAACGCATTCATGCTCTGCTGACAGTGTAAACTCGCTCAAGTCTTTGGGGAGGCAAAAATCTGGCAACTGTAGAAACATTTATATCCTTTGACTAGTAATTCATTTGAGATTAGTATCCTATAGAAACAATTCATAAAAGAAAAAATGCACAGAGATGTTCAATTCAATGTCAAAATAGGCATAAACTGAAAACTATTATTTTCCTGTCAGGCATTTAGAACAAATTTAATACTTATTTTTCAACTATCAAGTAACAATCAAATATCATAAAGGTTATACAACATGGAAAAATACAATGCTATAAAAGTAAAATAAAACTTATTTGATATAATTCTGTAAAAACTGCAATATATATGCACAAACTAGAAGAAAACAAAAATAATGAACACAATTATTTGTTAGTATGGCAAAACAAGTTGATATATAAAAAAATTGTTCCGACACGTTTAATAAATAAAAGCAGGCTGGGTGCAGTGGCTCATGCCTGTAATCCCAGCACTTTGGGAGGCCGAGGTGGGCGGATCACAAGGTCAGAAGATCGAGACCATCCTAGCTAACACGGTGAAACCCCGTCTCTACTAAAAATATTAAAAAATTTGCCGGGCGTGGTGGTGGGTGCCTGTAGTCCCAGCTACTTGGGAGGCTGAGGCAGGAGAATGGCATGAACCTGGGAGGCGGAGCTTGCAGTGAGCCAAGATCGTGCCACTGCACTCCAGCCTGGGCAACAGAGCGAGACTCTGTCTCAAAAAATAAATAAATAAATAAATAAATAAATAAATAAATAAATAAATAAATGCAAGCAAACATACTAGCCCGAACAGTAAAATTAGAAAAACCAAAGCTATAACATTGGAGCAAAGCTAAAAAAATTAGAATGACAAAGGTTTCGGTTCTGCTAGCAAACTAAAGAATATTTAGGGAATATATTTATAAACTTATGGTCAATATTATAGATAAAAATACTATATATTACAAAAATAACCAAAGTCCATATGGTATTTTGCCAATTACAATTATTTCTCCCTGTCTTTCCCTACCAGTCTTGTTGAGAATCTCTGTGGTAATAAGCCACTACTACTGTTGGAAGTATTTTGTATTCCTTGGGTAGAAAGGCAAAAAAGTGGCTGAGAACCACTATCTTTGTTAAGATACAGAATGCAAATATGGGTGAATAGGCAAAGCCCCCAAAACATTGTTTACATCTCTTCTTTACTGTCAATGTCAAAATGCCAAGGAAAAAAAATCAATAAACATACTTAAAAAATGAAAAATGATGCTGGGTGGTGGCTCATGCCTGTAATTCCAACACTTTGGGAGGCCGAGGCAGGTTCGAGACCAGCCTGGCCAACATGGTGAAACCCCGTTTCTATTAAAAATACAAAAATTAGCCAGGTGTGGTGGCGGGCACCTGTAATCCCAGCTACTCAGGAGGCTGAGGCAGGAGAATCACTTGAACCTGGGAGGCAGAGGTTACAATGAGCTGAGAGCGGCACTGCACTCCAGCCTGGGTGACATAGCAACTCCGTCTCAAAAAAAAAAAAAAGAAAAGTGAAAATGAATACACTAGTTTCAAGGTTGCCAACAAGAATAAATTGAAAAGATATATATAATGAATACATATTTATTTATAATTATATAATATGTAACATTAAATACACCTGTAACACAATGTGTAAAAATAGGCCCGGGTGCAGTGGCTCATGCCTGTAATGCCTTAAAAGTGAAAATGAATACACCAGTTTCAAGGTTGTCAAAAAGTCTCAACAAATTGAAAAGACACATATAATGAATACATATTTATTTATATTTATATAATATGTAACATTAAATATATTTATATTATAAAATAATGTGTAAAAATAGGCCTAGTGTAGTGGCTCACGCCTGTAATCCCAACACTTTGAGAGGCCAAGGCGAGTGGATCACTCGAGGCCAGGAAGTCGAGATCAGCCTGGCCAACATGGTGAAACCCCATCTCTACTAAAAATACAAAAATCAGCAGGGAATGGTGGTGCACCCCTGTAATCCTAGTTATTCGGGAGGCTCAGACAGGAGAACCGCTTGAATCCGGGAGGTGGAGATTGCAGTGAGCCAAGACTGCACCACTGCACTCCAGCGTGGAAGCCAGAGGGAGACTCTGTCTCAAAAATAAAATAAGATAAAATACAATTACTGATGGCCTTAAAGATCCACAAATTTCCTTGATTTTCTATGAAACTATCTTATACCTTACTATATAACCTTTTAACCTTGAGAAACATAACAAAGGAAATAAAATGTTCTCTGGGGTTTTCCTTCAAATAGAAATAGGTGAATACTATCCTACTACTTCAACATTAAAACTTACATAAAGAGAACATGCAGCATTTTAGACAAGTTCTTAGCCTTGAGGAACAGGTGTGAGTATGAGATAAACACAGAAATACTAAATTAAACTCCAGATTATAACAATACTAAGTGAATTTTTTGGTTTTTGTTTTGTTTTGAGATGCAGTCTCATTCTGTTGCCCAGGCTAGAGTGCAGTGGCACGATCGGCTCTCACTGCAGCCTCCTGCTCCTAGGTGCTAGCGATTCTCCTGCCTCAGCCTCCCCAGTAGCTGGGATTGCAGGCGCCTACCAACGTGGTTTCACCATGTTGGCCAGGCTGGTCTTGAACTCCTGACCTCAGCTGATCCGCCTGCCTCAGCCTCCCAAAGTGCTGGGATTACAGGCGTGAGCTACCACACCTGGCTAAGGTGGGATTTTTTTTAGGGTACATTTTAATTATACAAAATAACCCAACAGGTGCTATATGCATTGACTTTTATAAAAATCAGTTGAATATTAATTATTGCTATTCACTGAATTTTTAACGAGAGGTTCTGATGAAAATCTGGTTTTCATAAGGGAGACTTCAACTACTTTATATTCTCCAATGACATTTTAGTAAGAATAAAAAAGAGAAAGAAATGCCTACTTATAGGTATATTTCATATTGGAAGGAAGAGCCTTTAGACAAAATTAGTAGAAAAAGCACACATTGGTGAGATTGTTTACCTGATCTAACACGATCTAACAATTTACCAGACAAGAACGTATGTATCATTAAAACCGAAGTTTTCCAAAATACAAAAATTTGGGTAGAAAAAATGTACATTATTTTTTGAAGAGTTAATGCTACTTACAGATAGATGTTTGATGTATGGCATATTTTTCTACCATAGTCATAGAGCTTTCAGATCCTGAATACCAATAAAGACCACCCCAACCCCACTATTTGTTAAAATGCTGACAACCATTTCTACTATTTATTTATTTGAGACGGAGTCTCGCTGTGTCGCCCAGGTTGGAGTGCAGTGGCGCCATCTCGGCTCACTGCAACCTCCGCCTCCCAGGTTCAACAGATTCTCCGCCTCAGCCTCTCGAGTAGGTGGGACTACAGGAGCCAACACACCCAGCTAATTTTTGGTATTTTTAGTAGAGACGGGGTTTCACCGTGTTAGCTAGGATGGTCTCGATCTCCTCACCTCATGATCCGCCCCACTCGGCCTCACGAAGTGCTGGCATTACAGGCATGAGCCACCGCGCACGCCCAGCCTCTACTATTATCTTAGCTTAAAAACAAAAAACGCCAAAGAAAAAAGTGCAGGAATTCCTGGGTTACATATTTAACTAATAAAAATACAGTGCCCCAAATACGAAATAAACATTCGGATAAGATATTTTAAAAAGGATTTTCAGGAAATGCACCCGGAGCTATAGAAGGTATTATGTACACTACACATACAAAAAAAAGTCCCTGAAAGCTCCTTCCTGACAATTAAAATACATAACAACTAAGTTCTAAATTTCCACGATATTACATTTTAAATCAGTTCTTAAAACTTAATGGCAGTAGCATTCTCTCAAAGCAAGATTAAACGTCTTAGGAAGGCAACATACACATCATGGTAAATTTGGAAGATTCTCAGAAACTCTTTTACACATCACGGTAAATTTGGAAGATTCCTAGAAATTATTTTACAAAGACGAGGATTCTTAACTATTACGCAACTACTGATGGCCTTAAAGATCCATGAACTTTCTTAATCTGCAGAGGGGAATCTGTATATTTAAAACGTATTTTACAAGGATGTTCCTAACATTTTTGAAACAAAGTTTTTACGGTGGATTCCTCAAGTAAGGAAAAAAAAATTAATACATGATAAAACTGCTTCTGTGTTTGTACTTTAAGACACTTAAACCTGTAGGTTTGACTTTTTAACAAGCTTTTATAAATAAAGCTTTACCTTCATAATTTTGATTCAAGAGACCAAAGCTATATGGCTATTTAAAGATCAGAACGGCTGTTACTCACAATGATAACGCCAGTGGTCATGTTTCTTCAAATAGGACAAAAAGTGTGCTCAAAGAAAGTCAGTTTTTGTTCTGATTTTAAATGTATATCTTAAATGCATGCATTGTGACCGTCTCCATAATTTAAAACCTCTAAGAAATTTAAACTTTCACATTATAATTTAGGGATTAGTCAATCCCTTAGTACCAGTTAAATAATAGCCAGGAAAGCATTAGAAAACCTGAAGGTACATGTAAAGAAATGCTTTACATCACTATTTAAAATAGGTGTTGAATTTTAAGAGAAACATTTCTTTCACTAAAATTTCTGATGCCTAAGGTCCATCAGGAGTAATCTCTTTTACTCCATGATATTCACAGTAGTTTTGCTCTTGGCCTCACCAGTTTTAAGACTCTCCATTAAAGAAAGCCAATTTTATACTACCTAGGGGCACAAAAATAGTTCCCAGCTCCTCCTCTCTTTTTCCTCCTAGGTTCGGTTAAACGAGCGAACATAGAAAACACGTACACACACTCCCTTTCGGCCCTGGTCCCTAGGGCATTGATGAAAAGCAAATTATTTCTTTACATACGCTCTGCTGTCCACCCAGAGATTTAAAAAAAAAAAAATAAGGGAAAATACCAGAATCAGTCTGCACCCACACCTAAGCCCCGCCCCACCGGGAAAAAGCTGGGGGTAGCGGGATTGTGAGGGTGGCGGAAAGGACGGAAAAGGCCGAGACTTCCAGCTCCTAGGTTCTCCACACCATTCTTTCCTTCAAGCTGCACCGCAGCCAGGGACCCTGATTCTATTTTCAGCCGCGCCTCCCGATCCTCCTCCCCGCCACCATCACCAATACACGGTCCTCAATCGCTTGAATACTGGGTGGGGAGACCAGAGTGGGCCCTCTCCCCGCCCAACCCAAGGACTGTGGGTGGGAGAGGTCTCCCTGCGCACACGGCTGACTCGACGCGCGCCCCGAGGACCTCTGAACTGACCCAAGTAGGGTGAAGATAATTCGGAGGGAGGGGTCTAAGAGGGAGCCGTTATTCCTTTTTCCTCTGCCTTAGGAAAGCGCGCGAGAGGGAGGGGCCGGAACAACGAACGCTGGTTACCTAACGGTCCGGCCCAGCCAGTCAGGTTCCCAAAGCCCACACCGCGCGGGCCGCCGAGGTGGCAGCACAGCCACAATCGCCCCAAGGGCTAAGGAGCACGTCAGGAGCACCCGAGGTGATGGGAAACGGGGGGTGGGGACTGTGCTGAGCGACGTCGCCATGTTAGCGCCTTCTTTCTCCGTATCCCTACAGTCTCCAGCCCTGCTGACCTCTGCCCATCGTTACTCACCTTTCCAGGTCACTAGTTCATGATCCTTTCGGTCACCCGCGAGCCCTGAGCACAGCCGTGTTTACAAAGCACCCCTGGAGGAAAAGGCTGAACGGCACTTTAAAGGCCACGGGCTCCCACAGGCTTCCGTCCTCTCTCGCGAGATCGGACTGACAACCCCCGCCCGCTCGCCCCGCTCCCGGCATCCCCACCTTCCTTCTGGCGCCCCTCCCCTTCACCCACACGCCCCTTCTTGCCTTCCTTCTGAGGGAGCGCCTCCGAGTCAGGTGATTCCGTCAGGCTTAAGGAGAAGAAGGCGGGTCTTCGGCAGGGCGGGTAGAGGGGACGGGCATCAAAGAGCACTCGGGCGCTCATGATTGGACAAGGAGCCCGAAGGGCGGGAAGCAGTTCTGGAGGGGGCGGGACCAGAGGGCCCAAGGAGCGTTACTTCTGTAAACCCGGAGCTGTGGAAGACTGTGATTGGCTGTCGGCTGGAGGAGGGCGCGGGTGCAGGCGGCGGTGAAGGGCTAGGCAGGGCTTTGGCGGTGTGAGGGGAGGAAAGGTGGTGAGCTCCGGAAAGGCTGCTAGAGGGAAAGCAGGATGGGTCCTCCGAGCCCAGCCCCAGGAGCCGGGTGTCTCCGTTTCCGTCACTTCCCAGCACTAGGTAGGGAGGTGGGTAAAAGTAGGCTGCGTTCCTCAGCCCACCCCTTGGCTCCCCGGGAGCCTGAGGCGGGGAGCTTCGGGTTAGGTGAGGTTTGGGGGAGGCGGAGTTTGCTGGTAATTGCCCATCCCTCCCCTCCAAAAAACCCCACACAACTTAAAGATTTTAATATTAACTGTAAGGATGTTGGTTATTCAATAAATAGGCACAAGTTGAAAAGTATGATCAGAGGCCTCTGTGAGAATTTACATTATTCAATAAAAGATTTTCAGTGTCTTATTTTTTCCATTTATTAAATACTGATTTCTAGTCTGGAACAAAATTATGAACTAGTTTATATATTAACATAAAATACACTCTCAAAATTGTTGAAAGGTTTTGGGGGATAGTATGAGAGTTAATGAGCCTGAAGTTCAAGAATGATATCTGGCATAAAAGTGAAATTGTAATGGCATTGACATTTTAACAGGTAGGTCTCTGGACCGCATACATGTGTATAAGCCAACTCAGTCCTCTTTTAAAACTAATTTTAGTTAAGAAACATTAAGCCAAATTATTAACACTTTCCTACTTAAAATGAAAGTACCGTCCCCATATAGTAACAGTAATGTAGTAGTGCCATTGTAGTGTAACACTAATTATGTCAGCAAAACCTCACAGTTCAGATTACTCATGATGGAAATGGTGGACAAAATGTTTGATTGACATCACAATTGTTAGGTCTAGAACGCATTGATTAAATAGATGCTTCTCTCTCCATCTCCCAAAACAACTAATGTGAGAAAAAGAACTGCAAATGTTACGACATTTCAAAAGAAGTTTGGGTCAATTAGAATAGATTTTTTTAAAAAAATTGTTTTTCCATTTGAAATTTTTTCCAGTGTTGATTCAATTGGGCAGTAGCTTTGGTTTTAAATTTCTCATTGCTACTTCTCCAGTCTGTTGTCAAGCAGTTAGTTATCTACATGATGCATTCGAGAAACACATTATTTTAAAGAAAGTCTTTCAGTTCTTTTTAGACAAGAGAAGAACTGTTTAGTGATATGAACAGTACTCTGATCTGTTTTGATAATTCAGTTTTAGCTAATTTTCTAAAGAGAGGGTATACCTAAAGTGAGAAAAAAAAATAAGATAGGCGCAGGAAACAGGTGGAAACTATGCCGATCTGTTATATATGCATTTTGGCAGCCCGGCATTTAACAAAGGGTCTCACTTTATCCACATATTTCTAGTTCCACAGCAGTTTGTTTACTATAGTTTTTCTACAAGTGGGGAAAACATTCAGCATTGTCAAAATGAATGTAGTTACCATATTCAGGTCTGATTCCATGAACTTGTCTCACTACTTATTCATATCCTCATAAAATGCCACCCTTTTCCATCTTTGTTCTCACTTTTGCATTCCTCAATATCCCCAAGAGTCCTAAAATTCTTTACAGTCTTCTCTTTACAAACGCAGGAAACTTCTTGTAGACCTCTTCTTTGCCTGTCTTGTTCCATGATGCATCTACCCAACTTAGTTCTAAGAGAATTAGTGAGGGTCTAGTGAATCTCCTTTAAGAACCCAGCATAACTGCTAAATAAAACTAATATTCCTTAGATACAAAATGAGGCTATTTGAAGAAAATGCATTTCTGTCATGAAAATGTTAATAAATATCACAAGAAACAATGATGGTCTCTAAGTGCCCTCAAAATCTTACAAATGCCACACAATGTGGTATTTCCACCTTAGTATGATAGGGCTGCTAATCCATAATCTGTTAAAACTGCTCACAAAAATTCTAAAACGTGTGTGTGTGTGTGTGTGTATGTATGTATGTATATATATGTGTATATATGTGTGTGTGTGTGTGTGTGTGTGTATATATATATCTGTTCTCACGCTGCTAATAAAGATATACCCGAGACTGGGTAATTTATAAAGGAAAGAGGTTTAATTGATTCACAGTTCAGCATGGCTGGGGAGGCTTCAGGAAACTCACAATCATGGCGGAAGGGGAAGCAAACATGTCCTTCTTCACATGAATGAGTGCCCAGCAAAAGGAGAAGCCCATTATAAAACCATCAGATCTCTGAGAACTAACTCACTATCATGAGAACAGGATGGGGAAACCACCCCAATGATTCAATTATCTCCACCTGGTCCCTCCCATGACATGTGGGGATTATGGGAACTACACTTCAAGATGAGATTTGGGGTGGGGACACAGCCAAACCATATCTCTCTCCATCTTCCCTTTCAACTTCCTCTCCTTCTCTCTCTCACTAATAATTGATTTTCAGAACATAGTTTCTGTTTGTCTGCAGCTAACCAAAACATAGAAGACTACAGGGCACCCCTTATGTCTACTTGGTACAACTAATCCTAGGCTTAGGGAAAGAGCCTCTACATTTTCATGATATTCTCAGGATGCAGCCCAGTACAGTGGATTAGCTGGGATTTTATCAGTGGGATCAAGGTAGGGGTGTGTGTGGTGTGTGTGTGTGTGTGTGAGATGTGAAAGGGGTGGGAGACGCAGGACATGATTACCCCACTGATATCTGAGAAATGAAATAGGATAATGTGGCCCTAGACGTTGTACAGACATTTTGGTAGCTTCTATCTCATGGCAGATCTTTTCCTCTCTCTGCCAGCTCAGGGTCTTCCTGCACATTGCTGAAATGGCCTATGTTAAAGTTACCTCTCAGCACTTGTCCTCATCATGGACATTTTAAGTGCAGGGATGTCTACCCTCCAACCCAAATCTTGGGTTTCCCAAAAGAATTTATAATTAATGGGGTGTGGCATTATGGGGAAAAAGGGCTATGTTTATCTTCACATCATACCAGTTAGCTTATACTACCTTCAACAAAACCAGCCCAGAGAGAGGGAGAATGGAATTTAAGGGCCTTGTTTTCATTCTTGATGCTAATGCCACCTCTCTCTCTCATCTGACTCACCAGAAAGAGGGATTGCCATCATTATATTCTTTTTATACAATATTATTAATAAAAATAGGATCACTCCTACCTTTCATAGCTTCCCATAACTAGTCTATTTGTCAACCTGAGGCCCACGTAACACCAAAGCCATGTGATCTGTATCCTAGAAATCAAGGGAGGTCTGTCAGCATATGGATCCTCCTGGGTCCTTAGACTACCATCCTGCTCGTTTCAGTTACCTTCTTACCTTGGATACAGCCTCATAGGTCAACTATGGCCAATGAGGTCAAGCATCAACCTAATGCTCTCCTTACTCATAAAGCATCTATATTAATTGAGCATGAACATTCCAGGCACTGTTTCTGGCTCTGAGGTGACAACTATAAATAAGACAAAGTTTTTTCAGGAGACTCTTGTGGTTGGGTGCAGGGGCAGGGGGAGACATGCTACATATATAAACAAGATAATTTAAATTGTGGTAAGTACTATGGAGAAAATAAAGCCGGGGTGTAATAACATACAATATTAGAACTTGCTTTTTAAATACAACTTTAGAGAACTTGAAAGTAACAGACACTTTAGATAGCACTAGAGTGGTCGGAGAATTCTGTGAGTTGTCCTTAAGATACAACTCTTGAGGGAAAAATACTGCGATGTCTGGCAGCTGAGAGACTCAGCCAACCTGTGTAGCTATTTGAGGAAGCAAAGCCTGGGATGCAATTATAAGAGGAGATCCTGGAGTCTCCATGGCTGGGAAGTGCTGACTAAAAGCTGTTGTTGAAGCGCCACTGACAACAATCATGGGTCCTCAGGAGTCTCTGCCATAATAAGTTGTAGGATGCTAGCTCATGCTAATGGGAGGAACAACCAAAAGCTCTTGGATTTATGAGTCTCTATTGGTCTTAGGTACTCTCTTTACTTCCTCTCTCCAATATTTAAGCTCCCTTGAGAAAGAAGATCGAAGTCACTAAATGTCTCAGAGGAGACACATTACTTTTGTCAATTCAGGAGAAAGAAGTGCAAATTCTTGCCAGGAACCTGAACCAGTTTTTAGGGAAATAATATTTTTTTGCCCTTAATAATGTAAAGAATTGGGCAAGTAACTGATGGACCATGTATTTGGGTGTTAAGTCCATAACACTGTCAGTAGAATTATAATATGAAATAACTACGTTGATATGCTCAGCATGTAGAGGAATCAACAACTCATTTATAATTTCCTATGTAGAAATCACAAAATATTTTAAAAGGCTTTGCACGTAGGACCATAACAATACAATTTTTTCCTCTTCCAAGTACCCAACACCCAAACCAAACCATATTCACTAAATTTGTCTAACAGAACTTAAAATTTACAGCAGAAGCACAAGTAGTTTATTTGGTTCTCAAATGTTATTTCCCATTTATCTACAATCCTGCCTTAAAATTAACAGCATTTACATTTATTTCTACCCAACTTCAATCACTCAGCAACTTGACCTCAAATTTTGATCATTCCTCGAGCCTACCTTATTTCCAAGATCTTGAACTCTGAAATTCTTTAAATTTCTTGTGTATTTTTTGGTTCTTATTGAAATGGCTTTTCAACATTAGTGAAACCTCTGAGCTCTTGACCCCTCTGTTATTTCAATTTATCACCTTTATTGTGTCTTCCCTTGTTCCTTACCCAGTTTGAAATGCATAGGTCATTTTGTTGAACAGTGCGCTTGTTTGCTGTCTGCCTAGAGCCACTTTGACCTTCCATCATCTCTTCTTCCCAGTGCACAACCCTGATAACCCTCACTGCTCTTTACATCAGTTTGTATTAGCAAGCTTCCCAACATTGCTGGAGAGTCACAAAACTAGGTGAATGATGTTCACTACCAATTTGTTACCTGTGTGGAGCTGGGTCCCTACTGCTGCTCTGCACTTCTCTTATGCACATCTAGTCTGTGCTGTACATACCTTTCTTCTCTTTTCAAGCCCAGATCTGTAAAATTATACCTCTTGTATTTAAAATTATATAAAAAACAAAGTTCATCATTTCCCCAAATCAGGTTTTTCCTTGTCATTGCTAACAGTCATATTAAAAAAAAAAAATCAGAGCATGGGCTTTAAGGAAGATCTGAATTTGGATCCTGACTTTGCCACTTAATAGCTATGTAATTTTGGGAACTGTTTAACCTCTGAGCCTATTTTCCTTTGCATCTTGGAAATTATTCCCAAGTTTACAGAGTTGTTATGAGGGTTAAATAACAGTATAGCTAGCACTTACTAGATGCACACACCCTCTCTTCTCCTAACTGGTTCCTGAGATCTAGGCATTAAATCCTACTGATACTACCTTTGCACTCTTTTTAAAATATAGTGGATCCTTGAATAAGGTTAGGGGTTCAGGGCATTGATTCCCCCCACCAGCCTCCCATGCAATAAAAAAATTTGCATATAGCTTTTGACTTCCTCCAAACTTAACTACTAACAGCCTACTGTTGACCAGAAGCCTTACTGATTACATAGTTGATAAACAAATTTTGTACTCTATATACATTACATACTGTATTCTTACAATAAAGGTGGAGAAAAGAAAATGTTAAGAAAATCCTAAGAGAAAATACATTTCTAGTACTATATCAATATCATTAAGTTTACAAGTTTACACCATCTGTTTACAAGATGAACTGTCTGTCTGAAATGGTGACAACTGCAGCTGCGGACGTCTTCTACCTATGGTGCATATCAAGCCATTCAACTTCTTGCAATGTCATGACTTCGCATCGTGGGACCGCTTCTAGCATCACTACTAGTACTTTGTATAGGTTCCATGGTGTTATTCAAGGTTTATAATATTGCACTAACTCAGTGAAAAATATGCAAGAAATGGCCGGGCACGGTGGCTCACGCCTGTAGTCCTAGCACTTTGGGAGGCTGCGGCAGGGTCACCTGAGGTAAGGAGTTCGAGATCAGCCTGGCCAACATGGTGAAACCCCATCTCTACTAAAAATACAAAAATTAGCTGGGTGTGGTGGCAGGTGCCTGTAATCCCAACTACTCAGGAGGCTGAGGCAGGAGAATCGCTTGAACCCGGGAGGTGGAAGTTGGCAGTGAGCCGCCATTGCATTCCAGCCTGGGAGACGAGAGAGACTTCATCTCAAAAAAAAAAAAAAAAAAAAAAAAAAAGGCAAGAACTGCGAAAGATCACTTTTTTTGTGATACACAATTTACTGGAGATGAACTGCCCCATGAAGATGATGAGCATCACAGCATTTTAAGTGGATACTCATAACACTTAAGCTCACTACAATAGCAACAGGAGGTGGCCACTAAATTATTACAGTAGTACAGTATGTTCTTCAGTTAATTTTATGCAGCTATGATTTACTCCATCTCTACGTTTATATTTCTCAACTGTAAATGGTACCATGTAGTCTATGTGCATGTTTTGATAAATTTGTTTTTGTAATAGATTTATGTATATTTTATGGCAGTAAAGTAGACCAGTATCTACATATTTTATGCATTCATACCATTTTCTTAATTTTCTCAATTATTTTTAGGCTACATGGTTTGTCTGAGAGTTTTTTCAATTTGTTACAAACCTCAAAAAACTTTCCAACATATTGAAAAAAATCTGTGTATAAGTGGACCTGCACAGTTCAAACCCATGTTGTTCAGGGGGTCAACTGTCTTCACTGCCACCATCCTAGACTAGACCTTCATTACATTTCAGCAAAGCTACTATAGTATGAACTGCTGTTCATTGCTGGCTCCAGTCCATCTCACATACTGGTCTCCTATCAACCTTTCTAAAATACAGCTCTAAACTTTGAATGACTGACAGTATCACATGAATAAAAGTCACAATCTTATACCTGCCTGTTTACATAAAATGGCCCCAGTCTTCCTTTACAGCCTTATCTCACACCATTTCTGTTTCATACTCAGGGAACTCCTTGTTTCTCATGTACCAATGCTGTGCTCATTTACTTTTCCTCATGCCGTTCACTAGCCAAAATGCCCTCTTCTGGTCTGTCCTTGTGACACGGTTCTTTAAGGTTTGTCTTAAGTTACAAATAGTACTTTTTCATGTAATTCTTCAACTATAAAATTATTTCTACTCCCTCTGAACACCTGAACACTTACTGCCACTCATTTAATTCACCATTTTACCAACACCATCTTATCAACATGGAAAATCCATTTCATGTTTGACAGAAAAATAGTACCTTTATCAGCTTCTGTTCAGAAACGAAGATGTCAGTAAAAAGCATTTAGCACTAATATTTGTTTGCAAAGCTCGTAAGCTGAGGCAGTACTTCCTATAAAAATGGTGTACAATAAACATTTCTGCTAGTAGATGCATTCCAGTGATGTACTTGCAATGTCATAACTTTGTTACTAGAAACAAAAGTTAAGTAAAAGGATGTATACTCAAGGATGTTAAACTTGTGATGCACTATTACCTTTCCCCTCTATAAAGTTTGAGTCATTGTGTGTGGTTTTTTGTTGTATTGTTTTCTCAGTAGCCTGAAGACTATGCAGCCACAGTTCAGTTAGTCCATTTTCATTCTGGGAGATTCCCTCAGCTGGGACATCTCTTACAAGAAACCTGTTCCCAAATCAACGTTTCAAGCCTTTTCAACCACCAAAACCAGCACCAAGAACAGGTCTTTACCAAGACTGTTTTTATTTAAAATATACTTGGAATAGGTGAATATTAATCTAAGCATTTTCCTATCACTTTTAAAATTTTATACTATGTACTTTGTATTAAATAGTAGTTTCAGTAAGACATGTAAAATTTGCCATTTTAACCACCTTAAAGTGTACAATTCAGTGACATTTATTATATTTACAATGTTGTGCAACCATCACCACTAATTCATCAAATTTTAATAATCTTTTAATTTTTGAGCCAGATTTAGCAGTGAGGGGCTATATACCAACTTTAATGACACTAATGTTAATAAGTTCTGATAACCCACTACCATCAGACCAGCTGTAATTCATCCAATTTTCATCATCCTAAAAGGAATCCCCATACGCATTACGCAGTCACTCCCTTTTCACCCCCTCCCTAGTTCCTGATAACTACTAATTGGCTTTGTCACCGTGGATTTGCCTATTTTGGATATTTCATATAAATGGAATCATGTGGCTGGCTTCTTCCACTTAGCATGCTTTCTTAGGGTTCACTCACATCTATTCATTATGTATCAGTGCCTCATTCCTTTTCATGGCTGAATATTCCATTATATGGATGTATTTTACTTATCCATTCATCAGCTGATAGACATTTGGTTGTTTCTACCTTTCGGCTATTGTAAGTAGTGCTTCTATGAATACTTGTATACAGGTTTTTGTTTGAATACCTATTTCCAATTCTTTTGGGTGATATAGACTAGATGATGAATCAACTAAAAACGAGGTAGCAGCTCTACCTCTTTAGCTTTTTGGGGCCTCATTTCACTTTACAGAAGGTAGGATATATATATAACTTAGTGACTCTCAAACAGTATGCACAAAAACCACCTGGGAAGCCTTTTTAAAGATGTAGATTGCTGAGTCTCATGTCCAAAGAGTCCAATTCAGTAGGTCTGGAACCTAGGGATTTTTATTTTTTAAACAAGCACTGATTCTGATGGAGGTGGTCTTCCGACACTTGAGGAACTTTGGTGACTGCTCTTTCTCAATGGAAATCAAACAGGCAAAGGGCACTAAGAAAAGTAAAATGTCACTTTCCTAATTATCAACTTTCAAAAAACCCTGAAACTTGGATGATAGATATTATGGTACAATATATTTGCTAGGGGAAAAACTGTCTATAGTAGCACCATCTTCTTCCTTTGAATGGGAAAAGTTTGACCAAGAAGCAACATAAAGTATTAGCAGCAAAATACTGTTGAACCAGCTATCATCCCCAAGACTCCCACTATAAACATGTTAGCAACAGTGATACACACTGCCTTACAGCAATTTTTGGCTGTAAAAATCTAGCCAATTCAGTTTTTTGATATTTGGTTTTTAATAGTCTTGTTCAAGTAAGAAACTAGCTGCTAGTTGGACTGAGCCTGTTCTGAAAAGACATGGAAGATTCATTAGAGGCACACAATTGCTTAATGTGAGACTTACTGAAAAACAAAAGTCACATTACCCCCTAGCTTAAGGCTTCATTTCCTAAAAAGCTGACGTGATTTATTTTTAGAACCACCTGTCAAGTCAGTCTTGGAAGGTGATTCTGATTTGAAGTATTCTAACTGATGTTAGACCTTAAAAACTCAAGACCATCTTGAGTATTAACTACCTTTAATTAATCATATTTTATAGAAGCTCAAAACACCCAAATATTTATCCTTTATATGAATAAACAAAAGCCCTATGAATTACAATATGCAGAACACTATATAAAAGAATTCCCATAAAAATTACATTGGAATATTTTTCATCAGTGGAGCAACTGCTGTAGCTTCCTCTGAATGGGACAGCATCTGCCTGAATGCACGTTCTTCTTTGTGATAATCTAAACTTAGTGTAAGTACAAATCACAGAAGAAATTAAAGTTTTCATCTTTAATGAAATGACTTTGGAAATAACGTACATTCCCATGACACCAATACTACAGTTTTCGGAGTCACAGTAAGATACACAGAATTACATCCGTAATTAATATGAATGCCAACATGTCAAGCAGTAATTTGTTACATGGCAAACAAAATCAAGAAAGCAACCATCAAACAAAAGAGACCCATAGCTTCAGACAAGGCAAATCCCAGGATAGCATATGAGAACAGCTGCTGCTTCAGCGAAGGGTTTCTAAAAGAGACCACATATGACTGTTACTTTGAAATATTAATTTCAACATGTTTGGTAAATGTTAAAGAATCAGATTACTAGTGTGGGGATTTTTGTAAACTGAAAAGTCTGCTGGAAGAGTATTTGCCTAGATCTCTCTTACACTATTCTCCTTCAATCCTGATAATATGGTGTAAAGGTAGGGAGCTGTCTGTCAATATAAATGGTTAGTTTTCATTCATTTTGATGGGTTCTGACATTCTTATCCATCTGAAAATATGATCTATACCTTTTAAGATCTGACAGTTTAGGTCTTAAATAAAATAAATTGATCCTTTTAAGGAATGTGCTCTAATAATTTTATTCCCAAAATAGCTTAACAATTAGGAATGCAGACTCTGAAGTCAGACTTAGTTAAAATTCATTTTCTGACATTTACTAGCTATGACCTGGGCAAGTAATGTGGCCTCTGTGTCTCTAGTCCTTCATAGATGTTATTCTCATAACACCCCAAATGGTGTTATGAGAATTAAGTGAGATAATGCATACAAAGCCCTTTAAATATAATGCAAGACACAGAGTAAGCACTTAATGCAAAGTAGCTATTATTTCAGTAGCTAAGTTTCCAACTACTGCAAGCATGCTCTTAACTTATTTAGGGATAGAAATGATTACCTGGCATAACCAATGATAAGGCTGCCAAAGACTGTTCCAATACCAGCACCAGAACCAGCCACTCCTACTGTTGCAGCACCTGCACCAATAAATTTGGCAGCAGTATCAATGTCTCTGCTGATTGCACTGGTCTGAAACTCCCTTTGGATTAGCTGAGACACACCATTCTGGGCCCCATTAAATACCGTAGAGCCCTGGAAAACAGAAAATAAAGGTAAAGGTCGTATCAGTAACCACAGGTAGCTATTTTAATTAAATACCATATTGTCAAAATGATAACTACTTTTTTATTTTGTAGCTGAGTGTAAAGAGACAAATCAAGAGCTTAGAATAATCTCACTCTTGTGTAACAGGGATAACAATATCTACATCTTAAAAGGGTGTTGAAAATTAAGAAACAACATATATAAATATGCTTTTAAATAAAGTAGGGTTTTTTGTTTTGTTTTTTCTTAAAAGAGACAAGGTCTCACCTGGTCTGTCACCCAGGCTGGAGTGCAGTACAGTGTGGTGTGATCATAGCTCACTATAGCCTTGAACTCCTGGGCTCAAGCCAGCTCCCCACCTCAGCCTCCTGAGTAGCTAACACTACAGGTGACCACCAGGCTGGGCTAATTTTTAAATGTTTTGTAGAAACAGGATCTTACTATGTGGCCCAGGCTGATCTTGAACTCCTGGGGTCAAGCAATCCTCCCTCCTTGGCCTCCCACAGTGCTAGGAACACAGGTGTGAGCCACCGCATCCAGTCCAATAGAGTACATTTTTCAATAACTGTAGCTATTATAATTTTAAATATAGGCAACTTAAATCAATAGACTTGAATATAAATACTTGGCCAAGTTTTGGATAGAGAAATTTCTCTATTCGTCTCATCTAGTTTTTTGGCTATTTTTGGCTATTTGGCTCATCTAGTTTTTTGGATAAAAGGGTGGGAAAGACTTGCCCTCAAACTCTTATTAATAAAGTTTTTTTCCTTCACTCTAATCAAAACCCTACCCTTATTTGGTAGTGTTACCTAATTTCAATTATTGCTACTATTACCTCTCCAGTCCTACTAGCCTCTGGTCGAGATAACACTGATGCAGAAATTGGTCTGTATGCAACTCTGGATCCAGCTCGGATCTATTAATGAAAAAAAAATAAAGATTTCAATATTAAGAAAGAATACAGGTAAGACTTCAATGACTTTTCTGGTACCATGAATTCTAAAAAAGCAAGCAGTAAAAATGAATCAGAAACTTCTGAATTGACTCTTTGCTGTTTGGTCATTTTTAATACATAAGCAATTTTAATAAAGTTTCATGCTAATGAAATTGTAACGCTTGCTACCTTGAATAAAATTTCTAATAACAGTTACAAAGAGAGTAAGAACTGCTTTTGACATTTCCATTATTGTAGTGCCGTAAGTCAAGTCAGAAAAAAGCAATAAATACCACACGTTCTTTGGCAATTTTAAGTGGACCAACAAGTATATTAGGAGCGTCACAATAAACATTTATCATTCAAAATAGCCCAGCAGTTAATAGCCCTGACCATTTCAAAGCTATTTCTATATGACCATTAATCATAAAAAAAAATTTCTAAAAAAGGAACTTAAGCAATTCTACATCAGTTTAAGAATAATCTGTGAAATATCTGACCATAAGGACATATTCCAGTCCAACTTCTCTGCCCTTGAGTGTCCACTAAATTAAGGTCACAGAAAAACCCTTCCGAACCAAAACCTGATTCTCTAAGACAAATCCTCCAGATCTAGACCTCACTTTAAGCCTGCAAAATTGTTATGAAAATAATACTCCAGAGGCAGGAAGAAAGACTTTGGGCTCGTTCCCCCACCACCTTCCTCCGCCCCCACACGGAAAGGCAAAGTCCCTCCCTCTGCAGCAACGAGTTTGACCTACAGACAGGCACTGGAAAGCGCTGCTGAGGTGAACTAGGCCTCAACGGCCCCCTACATCCTCTGCAGTACTCCAACCTTCGCGTCGACCCCAATCCAACAGAGAGGCTGAGAGAAGGTGGGGGAAAGGGCCACTCCTGGTCTAGGGACCAGAGAGTTTGACCTACACCGAGTGAGGCCTGACAGCTAGGCCTCGGCTGCTCTGCCTCGCCCTAGTGGCAAGGAGAGGGCTGAGATGCCCTAAGATTAGGAAGAAAACGGCAATGGGTTAATAGGTAAGGAGAAAGCCGTTCCCGAGAGGGCGGTGTGCCCCGCCCGAAGGTTGCCCCATTCAACAACGTGGACGCTCTAGGCCAAAACGCCCACCCCTCAATCCCCCCGACCCTGCCTGGGCTACGCACCAGAGAGGGGGTGCAGGCGAGCTTGGCGCAGGCGAACATCTTACACTCTTCGGGACTGCGCGGCTGGAGATATTGGGTGACAGGCGACGTGGGCTCCTCTCCCGCTTCCTCTCTGCGGAGGAAAAGAGGCTTAAGGTCAAGTGCCCTCCAGGGGCCTGTTCTTCCCACCCAGGCCCCGCAGGCTCCCGTGCACGCCGTCAGCTTGGGCCCCGTGCCCAGTGAGGCGCCGGCACAATGAATGGGTCCCTACTGGGCGCCGCTCCGCCCTGGCCAGGCCGGGCTCCCTGTGCCCTCCACTTACCTTCCCAGGAGGCGGCGGCGGCACGGGCTGCGGCAGAGGTCGAAGGAGTGGGACTCAATGCGCAAGCGCGGTCCGGCTCTTATTCGCGCCGCAGCACCCGGATGAAGAAGGCGGGGTTTCGGGTGCACCAAGGAAGACACTCAAGGTCACTTTGTAACAACTTTATTGGCAACTAGCCGGGAAGGACAACGACAACCACCTGGTGATGGGGCAAGAGGGAGACAAAAAGAAAAACTGTAGATTCACCCCGGCAGAGAGGACTAAACAGATTAACTTTTGATATGAGTTGGCTGCAGGATAGTGGGCCTTTTTCTTCACGTTGGCACCTTGTAAGATTTGGCCTTTTATCAGTTGCTGCTTCTCTGTAGTAGAAGTTGACTTGCTGGTCATTCTCTTCCTCTGTGAAATAGGACTGTGGCTGGCGGGAGGAAAGAAGGGTCATTCACTACTTAACAGGAAACTAGGGTCCCCAGCAAAGCGAAGATATTTATTTCAAGGAACCTGGAAAATGGTTCCAGAAGTATGGCTAATCCTTCAGGTGAAAGAGGGCCTGACCTAGAAGTACTGGTGGAGCCATAAGCAAATGAGTAGATCTAAGAGCTTTGTCATCTGGGGCACAAAATTGCCTCTGGGTAAAGTGAGGGTGCTCGACTTTTCTTCTAGCTCTAAGATTGGAAGATTTAAGGGATTGTATTTCATGTAGGGTTTGAGACTAAAAAAAGTCTTAAAAAAAGTCTGAGTATTCTCAGAACGTACTCAATTTTAACACCTGTTTTTGTTAAGTTTGGACAAATTATCTTCTTCAGAGGGATGCAGAAATATCTCAGAAAAATGGCTCTGACTGAACTTCTGGTCTTTTTAGATCCTTGAATTATGTAAATTTAATTTAGTAATTCTAACAAATGGCTAATGGAAGTGATATCAACACGTCAACATAAAAGATTAAACATCTAGAATGCCCTGCTAAGAAGATGGCTGGGGACTGAACTCCAGCCCACTCTGCCTAGAGCCCTAGCATGAGACAACATCAACCCAGAGGATCAGCTTTTTACTTGTTAGCTTAAAGGTGCAATATTATCTAGCAGCAACGCTGGTTGCTGCTAGTTCTGGGAGAAGCCCTCAGAACTAACACTTGAAAAATGAATAAGACTTTGTCACTAATCCAACTTCAAATGGATCAAATGATTCAAAATTACAAAAATACTAATCATTTTAGGCTCAATCTTTAGCTGGAAAATAGAGATAATTCACGTGTACTGTTCAACAAGCAATTATTCATATAGTTTCTCAAGTACTCAATTCTAACCAAGAACATGGTGTCCTGTGGTGTCTACAGTAGAATAAACAGTAAAGCCTTGTACTTCAATAATAGATCCTCCAGGGGAAAAAATTATTCTAAGTGGATTTATGTGTAGAGATGGTTTTAAGTGATGTTCCTATCTCTTTAGCACTAAATCAGTGGCAGTAACTATTGAGGAGGAAGCAAGAAAGAAGCCAAGATCCACAGTGGCTGCTTCCAAGTTGCATATGGACTAGTTGCTTGTGGCAGGGAGAGACATGGGTTCCGAAATCCAGTCTGTTCTTTGGAGGGGCCTGACCATGGCTGTGACTCCACGGTGCTATTCTAGATAGATTAATTCAGACTTTGCTTGGTTTTGCATCCTAAGATTGCGTTATAGAAAGAGGAGAATGAAGGCCAGGCACGGTGGTTCACGCCTGTAATCCCGGCACTTGGGAGGCCAAGGCGGGCGGATCACAAGGCCAGGAGATGGAGACCATCCTGGCTAACACGGTGAAACCCCGTCTTTTTACTAAAAATACAAAAAATTAGCCAAGCGTTGTGGCAGGTGCCTGTAGTCCCAGCTACTCAGGAGGCTAAGTCAGGAGAATGGCGTGAACCTGGGAGTCAGAGGTTGCCGTGAGCCAAGATCACGCCACTGCACTCCAGCCTGGGTGACAGAGCGAGACTCCATCTCAAAAAAACAAAAACAAAAAAAAAAAGAAAAGAAAAAGAGGAGTGAATTGGAGTAACACCAACCCATGTTGATGTTGATTGAGGGTGGATATTTGCACTGAGGAAGATTGAAGAAAAAGAGTACCTTCTGAGAGGACTAAAGTGAGGCCATAAAGATGAACAGGGACCTCCCTGAGAAGTATCTAATCTTTTCTGTGTTTTTTCATGGACAGTGGGGACAGTCATAGTAAGTTATGACATCATAATTTGGCAATATCTGATAAGACCGGGTGATGATGATAGCCTGAGTGATGATGGCATGATGAAGATAGAAATCCGATAGCAAAGAGAAGTATGACAGATCACTCCCAAATATAGCCCTCTCCAGAAACCACTTGGATAGAAAAAAGTCCAAAGAGAACTGAGGTGTCCAACACATGAGTGAGGCCTTCTTGGATCTCTAGCTCTCGTCAAGCCTTCCCAACACCACGAGGAACAAAAATGAGCCATCCAAATGAGCTTTACCCAAATTCCTGACCCACGGTGTCAAGAGCAATGAAAGGGTTGTCGTTTGGCTCTTTCCGCCATCTTTTCGTGCCGCCACAATGGTGCACATGAATGTCCTGCCTGATGCTCTCAAGAGCATCAACAATGCCGAAAGAAGAGGCAAACCCCAGGTTCTTATTAGGCTGTGCTCCAAAATCATCATCTGGTTTCTCACTGTAATGGTGAAGTATGGTTACATTGGCAAATTTGAATCACTGATGATTACAGAGCTGGGAAAAATTGTTGTGAACCTCACAGGTAGGCTAAACAAGCGTTGAGTAATCAGCCCCAGATTTGATGTGCAACTCAAACATCTGGAAAAATGGCAGAATAATCTGCTTCTATCCGGCCGGTTTGGTTTTATTGTACTAACAACCTCAGCTGGTATCATGGACCATGAAGAAGCAAGAAGAAAACACACAGGAGGTAAAATCCTGGGATTCTTTTTTTAGAGATGTAATACATATTTACAAATAAAATGCCTCATGGACTCTGGTGCTAAAAGAAAAAAAAGAAACTTTGTCATTTGAAGCTATTAAGTTTTAGGGTTGTTTATTATGAAGTGCTAATATCTATTTAGTAATACATAACTAAAACAGGAAACATTGTCTGCTAAATATTCACTACTTCTTTGAGATCTACGTGGAGGTAGCAGCATCTCTTTTTTTTGAGACAAGGTCTTGCTCTGTCATCCAGACTGGAGTGCAGTGTTGCGACTATAGCTCACTGCAGCTTTGACCTCCTGGGCTTAAGCAATCCTCCCATCTCAGCCTTCTGAGTAGCTGGGACTACAGGCATGCACCACCACACCTGCTAATTTTTAAATTTTTTATAGAGCCACAGTCTCCCTGTGTTGCCCAGGCTGGTCTCCAACTCCTAGGCTTAAACGATCCATCTCAGCCTCCCAAAGAGCTGGGATTACAGGAACGAGCCACCACATCCATCTGGTAGCAGCATCTTAAAATGGGGAATTTCAGTTTAAAATTCCAAGTGTAGCTCATAGCAAACCAGATAGAAAGAAGCCCAGGTCTTGGTTACTAACTCCCTTTCCTTGAAGTATTGAGGTGGAGTAGGATTGTCATCATTAACTTTAGTAAGGTAATTCTAACTGACCACATGGAAAGATATTTAAATTATCTACTTTTGAACATTTTAGGCCAGGCATGCTCACTCAGGCCTGTAATACCCGCACTTTGGGAGGTCAAGGTGGGTGGATCACTTGAGTTTAGGAGTTTGAGACCAGCCTGGCAACATAGCAAAACCCCATCTCTACAAAAAATACAAAAATTAGCTGGGCATGATGGTGTACACCTGTAGTCCCAGCTACTTGGCAGGCTGGGGCAGGAGGATCCCTTGAGCCTGGGAGGTGGAGGTTGCAGTGAGACAAGATTATACCACTGTACTCCAGACTGGGTGATGTAAATGAAACCCTGTCTTAAAAATTTTTTTTTTAAATGTTAATAGCCTGCAAAAGTTTCACCAGCCTTCTCATGCTGGTGTGAGAAAAAAAAATTGTTGAAATGAAAATCAGAAATATAAGTTTAAAATATTCTGGGGTCTGTTATTATATTTAGTTTTTCTTATAAAAGCTTTTGTGTCTTATTATTGGCTTTAATTTGTTATCAATTTCTCTTTGAAAAAAAAACCTCTGAACCTGCACTAGTTTTACAGGACATTCAATTGAGGTTAGCTCAAATAAATACTATGCCCTTTCTTTGAACATTGTGAGGACACAGGGAAAAGGTAAGAGTTTGCAATATAATTGGGGCATATGAGAAATTGGACTGACTTATATAAAAAATTAGAGAAAAATACAAATTAGTACACATTTCAGGACAAAGTTGTGTGATGCACTAAGGGAAATCGCATTAGAAAAGAGATTGTCCTGGTCAGAAAGTAGCTTACTGAAGAGAAACTTGAGCTAGGACTTGAAAGATGGCATGATTTGGATAGAAAAAATTTCTAGGTATCTCTTAAATAGATCCTAACACTCCCAGATCTATCAACTGCCTACACTGCTAATCAATTTCTAGTGTAGAAAATTTTGTGCTTAAATTTCATTTTTGACTGTTCTACAAATTATTTAACCACTTTAATGACATCTAGTATACTGGACTAGAATATTTACTAAATGGGCCACAAATAATTTAGTAAGAAACAAAAAGTAAATGTATGTCTCCATGTCCTCTTTAGGTCTAGGCTAAACTTTATAAAAGAGTTACATGAAAACAATGTCATAATAAAATAAATGTTATTCTGTCCTTCTTTTCTGGTAAGATATGCTAGTTATTGAGGATAAAACAATTGTATGTCATAGTGTATAATTAATATAAAAGACTACTTACATGAAAAGAAAATGAACAAGTATGTGGAAATGAAATCAAATCCCTCTGCTAATTCTTGCCCATCTCAAATGTAAGTAATTTCCTAATTTTTCAATTTGTGGCAGACACAGCTACTTGCCTATCCAATATCCATTCTCTCCTTTTTTTCTTACTTACAGAGATCTGTCCCCAGTTAAAAAAATGCTGAGCTTCTCAGATTCTCTTATGATTAGGAATGGTCAATGACATGTGAGTTGAAGTTACTCCATGAAGCCCCTAAGAATGTGCAGAAAAGGGATTGATTCAAATGGATCATTCTTTCTTTTCCATTACCTTTTTTTTTTCCTTCCTGGAATACAGATCTAATGTCTAGATGGGAGGCAGCAATATTGCAACTACAAGAACAAAAGTCACACGTTAAGGATAGAGAATCTGGAAAGTAGGAACCTGAATTTTTCACTTTTTTTTTTGGAGTATCAGCCCTTAATTGCCTATTTATGGAGTTCATGTCACATGAAAAAAATAAATCTCTGTTTGGTTAAGTCACTGAGGTCAGTTTCTGTTATATTCAGCTAAACACAACCCTAACTAGCAGATAATTTTATAGACTTACGTCTCTGAAGATCTTTGGCCTTTGGGCTGTGTTTACAGCTGAAGTGACCATTCTCCCCCCAAATTTACATTAACTTACATCTGTCTTTTCTTCCTTATTTGATGGTATGTCTGCTAGGGACCAATCAGGAGACAAAAAACATACCTGTAATTTGAATAGGGAAAATTTAACATAAAAAAAACATTAACCAGTGAAAGATGCCTAAAAGGAGTAGAGTGGACTCTAAGGGGTCTAGTAGTAGTCCTGTAGGCACAGCTACTAACCTTGGCTGAAAAAGAATGTACAACAAGAAAGAAGCTGAGAAATTTAGAGGGGAGTGTGTGGCTGCCACAGGAATGTGCAGTCCACCTATGCTGAAGAAACTTGCTGGAGGCATAGGCTGTAACTGAACTGTGAGGACTGTAGAGGTGAATACTACCAGGCCCCGCCTGCAAACCAATCCACTGGCTCCACACAAAAAAGTCTACCAGAAGAAGAATGTCAAGTTCTTTCCTCCTGCTTTGGCCTCCTAGTGTCTCCCCATCACCCTCTATTGGCAGAACCTATAATTTTACCATTGCCAAAGCAGAAATGCTTACAGGGTCCAGCTCCAGAATAACAAAGCAAGGGAAAAAAGGGTGGATTTCTAGCTGAGAAGTCATAAGTTAATAACTAGCACAGATAGTAAGATTCTCAAGGGCAGGGATTATGTCTAAGGCATGCTGTGTCCTTCACAGCACCTAACAGAGTGTTAAACATAGTAGTCACTCAATAAATGTTTGCTCAATAATAAATAGTATGTATGAAATAATTGGCAATAATTTTATTATTTTTTATTTTTAATTTATGTGGGTACACAGTAGGTGTATATATTTACGGGGTACATGAGATATTTTGGAACAGGCATGCAATGTGTAATAATCACATCATGGGGTATTGGCTACCCATCCCCTCAAGCATTTATCTTTTGTTTTACAAAGAATCCTATTATACCCATTTACTGATTTTATTTTATTTTTATTTTATTTATTTATTTATTTTTGAGATGGAGTCTCGCTCTGTCACCAGGCTGGAGTGCAGTGGCACAATTTCGGCTCACTGCACCCTCTGCCTCCCAGGTGCAAGCGATTCTCCTGCCTCAGCCTCCTGAGTAGGTGGGACTACAGGCGCGTGCCACCACGCCTGGCTAATTTTTTATATTTTTAGTACAGATGGGGTTTCACTGTGTTAACCAAGATGGTCTTGATCTCCTGACCTCAGGGGATCAGCCTGCTTCAGCCTCCCAAAGTGCTGGGATTACAGGCATGAGCCACCACGCCCGGCCCGTTTACCTATTTAAAAATGTACAATTAAATTATTATTGACTGTAGTCACCATGTTGTACTATTAAATACTAGGTCTTATTCATTCTTTTTAGTTTTTATTTTTTGTACCCATTAACCATCCCCCCTTCTCTCCTACCCCCACCCGACACTACCCTTCCTGTCCTCTGGTAACCATCCTTCCATTCTCTATCTCCATGAGTTCAATTGTTTTGATTTTTTTATTCCACAGGTAAGTGAGAACAAGTGATGTTTATCCTTTTGTTCCTGGCTTATTTCATTTGACATAATGTCCTCCAGTTCCATCCATGTTGTTGCAAATATCAGAATCTCATTTTTTGTTATGGCTGAATAGTACTTCATTGTGTGTAAGTACCACATTTTCTTCATCTATTCATCTATTGATGGTCACTTAGAGGCCACTTCCAAATTTTGGCTGTTGTGTGAACAGTGCTGCAGTAAACATGGGAGTGTATATATATCTTTGACATGCTGAGTTCCTTTCTTGTGGGTATATATCCAGCAGTTTGCTGGATCGTATGGTGGCTCTATTTTTAGTTTTTTGAGGAACCTTTAAACAGTTCTCCATAATGGTTGTACTAATTTACATTCCCACCAGCAGTGTACAAGGGTTCCCTTTTCTTCACATCCTTGCCAGCATTTTTTATTGCTCTTTTTTTGGATAAAAGCCATTTTAACTGGGGTGAGATGATATCTCATTGCAGTTTTGATTTGCATGTCTCTGATGACCAGTGATGTTTAGCACTTTTTTATATACCTGTTTGTCATTTGTATATCTTCTTTTGAGAAATGTCTATTCAAATCTTTGGCCCATTTTAAAATCAGATTATTATATATTTTTTCCTATAAAGTTGTCTGACTTCCTTATATATTCTGGTTATTAATCTCTTGTCAGATGGGTAGTTTGCAAATATTTTCTCCCATTCTGTGGGTTGTCTCTCCATTTTGATTGTTTCCTTTGCTGTGCAGAAGCTTTTTAACTTGATGTGATTCTGTTTGTCCACTTTTGCTTTGGTTGCCTGTGCTTGTGGGGTATTACTCAAGAAATTTTTGCCTGGACTAATGCCCTGGAGAGTTTTCCCAGTATTTTCTTGTAGTAGTTTCATAGTTTGACATCTTAGATTTAAGTCTTTAATCCATTTTGATTTGATTTTTATGTAAGGCAAGAGATAGGGCTCAATTTCAGTCTTCTTCATATGGATATCCAGGTTTCCCAGCACCATAATTATTCTTCTCTTTTAGCTAAGGTATGTGTCTCTTGAGAAAAATTAGGATGACCTCTAGTATTTCTTCTGAATATTGCAAAAATTTAAAGCAGTGTGTAGAGGGAAATTTATAGCACTAAATGCCCACAAGAGAAAGCAGGAAACATCTAAAATTGACACCCTAACATCACATTAAAATAACTAGAGAAGCAAGAGCAAACACATTCAAAAGCTAGCAGAAGGCAAGAAATAACTAAGATCAGAGCAGAACTGAAAGAGACAGAGACACAAAAAAACCCTTCAAAAAAATCAGTGAATCCAGGAGCTGGTTTTTTGAAAAGATCAACAAAATTAATAGACCACTAACAAGACTAATAAAGAAGAAAAGAGAAGAATCAAATAGACGCAATAAAAAATGATAAAGGGGATATCACCACCAATCCCACAGAAATACAAACTACCAGAGAATACTATAAACACCTCTAGGCAAATAAACTAGAAAATCTAGAAGAAATGGATAAATTCCTCGACACATACACCCTCCCCAGACTAAACCAGGAAGAAGTTGAATCTCTGAATAGACCAATAACAGGAGCTGAAATTGAGGCAATAATTAATAGCCTACTAACCAAAAAAAGTCCAAGGCCAGATGGATTCACAGCCAAATTCCACCAGAGGTACAAAGAGGAGCTGGTACCATTCCTTCTGAAACTATTTCAATCAATAGAAAAAGAGGGAATCCTCCCTAACTCATTTTATGAGGCCAGCATCATCCTGATACCAAAGCCTGGCAGAGACACAACAAAAAAGGAGAATTTTAGACCAATATCCCTGATGAACATCAATGCAAAAGCCCTCAATAAAATACTGGCAAACCGAATCCAGCAGCACATCAAAAAGCTTATCCACCATGATCAAGTTGGCTTCATACCTGGGATGCAAAGCTGGTTCAACATACGCAAATCAATAAACGTAATCCATCATATAAATAGAACCAAAGACAAAAAACACATGATTATCTCAATAGATGCAGAAAAGGCCTTTGAGAAAATTCAACAGCCCTTCATGCTAAAAAGTCTGAATAAACTAGGTATTGATGGGATGCATTTCAAAATAATAAGAGCTATTTATGACAAACCCACAGCCAATATCATACTGAATGAGCAAAAACTAGAAGCATTCCCTCTGAAAACTGGCACAAGACAGGGATGCCCTCTCTGACCACTCCTATTCAACATAGTGTTGGAAGTTCTGGCCAGGGCAATCAGGCAGGAGAAAGAAATAAAGAGTATTCAATTAGGAAAAGAGGAAGTCAAATTGTCCCTGTTTGCAGATGATATGATTGTGTATTTAGAAAACCCCATCATCTCAGCCCAAAATCTCCTTAAGCTGATAAGCAACTTCAGCAAAGTCTCAGGATACAAAATCAGTGTGCAAAAATCATAAGTCTTCCTATACACCAATAACAGACAAACAGAGAGCCAAATCATGAATGAGCTCCCATTCACAATTGCTTCAAAGAGAATAAAATACCTAGGAATCCAACTTACAAGGGATGTGAAGGACCTCTTCAAGGAGAACTACAAACCACTGCTCAATGAAATAAAAGAGGACACAAACAAATGGAAGAACATTCCATGCTCATGGATAGGAAGAATCAATATCATGAAAATGGCCATACTGCCCAAGGTAAGTTATAGATTCAATGCCATCCCTATCAAGCTACCAATGAGTTTCTTCACAGAACTGGAAAAAACTACTTTAAATTTCATATGGAACCAAAAAAGAGCCCATATTGCCAAGACAATCCTAAGCCAAAAGAACAAAGCTGGAGGCATCACAATACCTGATGTCAAACTATACTACAAGGCTACAGTAACCAAAACAGCATGGCACTGTTACCACAACAGAGATATAGACCAATGAAACAGAAGGGAGCCCTCAGAAATAATACCATACATCTACAACCATCTGATCTTTGACAAACCTGACAAAATAAGAAATGGGGAAAGGATTCCCTATTTAATAAATGGTGCTGGGAAAACTGGCTAGCCATATGTAGAAAGCTGAAACTGGATCCCTTCCTTATGCCTTATACAAAACTTAATTCAAGATGGATTAAAGACTTAAATGTTAGTCCTAAAACCATAAAAACCCTAGAAGAAAACCTAGGCAGTACCATTCAGGACATAGGGATGGGCAAGGACTTCATGTCTAAAACACCAAAATCAATGGCAACAAAAGCCAAAAAGGACAAATGGGATCTAATTAAACTAAAGAGTTTCTGCACAGCAAAAGAAACCACCATCAGAGTGAACAGGCAACCTACAGAATGGGAGAAAATTTTTACAATCTACCCATCTGACAAAGGGCTAATATCCAGAATCTAAAAAGAACTTAAATTTACAATAAAAAAATCAAACAACCCCATCAAAAAGTGGGCAAAGGATGTGAACAGACACTTCTCAAAAGAAGACATTTATGCAGCCAACAGACACATGAAAAAATGCTCATCATCACTGGCCATCAGAGAAATGCAAATCAAAACCACAATGAGATACCATCTCACACCAGTTAGAATGGTGATCATTAAAAAGTCAGGAAACAACAGGTGCTGGAGAGGATGTGGAGAAATAGAAACAGTTTTACACTGTTGGTGGGACTGTAAACTAGTTCAACCATTGTGGAAGTCAGTGTGGCGATTCCTCAAGGATCTAGAACTAGAAATACCATTTGACCCAGCCATCTCATTACTGGGTGTATCCTCAAAGGATTATAAATCATGCTGCTATAAAGACGCATGCACACATATGTTTATTGCGGCACTATTCACAATAGCAAAGACTTGGAACCAACCCGAATGTCTATCAATGATAGACTAGATTAAGAAAATATGGCACATATACACCATGGAATACTATGCATGCATAAAAAAGGATGAGTTCATGTCCTTTGTAGGGACATGGATGAAGCTGGAAACCATCATTCTCAGCAACCAATCACAAGGACAGAAAACCAAACACTGCATGTTCTCACTTATAGGTGGGAATTGAACAATGAGAACACTTGGACACAGGGTGGGGAACATCACACACCGGGGCCTGTCGTGGGCTGGCGGGAGGGAGGAGGGATAGCATTAGGAGATATATCTAATGTAAATGATGAGTTAATGGGTGCAGCACACCAACATGACACATGTATACATATGTAACAAACCTGCACACTGATCACATGTACCCTAGAACTTAAAGTATAATTAAAAAAAATAGTTCCTTCATGATCCTAAATATAAAATAAATTATGTAAAAAAAAAGGAATAGAAGCTGGACTTCTTTGAGTGTACTTTGCTTTGTGGATTTGAATTTGGAACCATGCAAACCATATGAGAAGTAAAATTTTTAAAAATTTCTAAAAATTAAAAATTAACGGAACAAATGAATTTAACTCTGCATAGCTGGTAGCATGATTACACAGAGTAAATAGAAAGAGTTTCTATTAAGGGATAAAAAGGCAAGTCCTTGCTCATTCTGCTTCACACATACTGGCCTCCTTGCTGTTCCTGAATCATGTGAACTACACTCCACCTCACAATGCTGTATGTTTTGTTCTTTCAGCTCGTAATACGTTTCCCCTGGATATTCACCTGTCTCTCACTTTCACTTTCTTCAGGTCTTTGCTCAAATGTCACCTCTTAAGAGAGGGCTTCCCAAATCCTTTACCTATCTTTATATTTCTTCAGAGCTCTTCTTGCTACCTAGTGTCATGTATTGATCATTAGTTTGTTTGGCTCTTGTATTAGACTATAAATCTATGAGGACAGGGACTTTGTTTTTTTCTTTTTCTTCTTTTTTTTTGAGATGGAATCTTGCTCTGTCACCCAGGCTGGAGTGCTGTGGCATGATCTCAGCTCACTGCAACCTCTGCCTCCTGGATTCAAGTGATTCTCGTGTCTCAGCCTCCTGAGTAGCTGGGATTACAGATGTGTGCCACCACGTCCAGCTACTTTTTTTTTTTTTTTTTAGTAGAGATGGGGTTTCACCATGTTGGCTAGGCTGTCTCAGGTGATCCACTCACCTCGGCCCCCCAAAGTGCTGGGATTACAGGTGTGAGCCACCGCATCCAGCCAACTTTGTTTTTTTCATTGCTGTATTCACATAGTCTAGAACATGCTTAGCTGATTAAGAGGCACTCAATGAATTTTTGAGAAATGGGGTTGGAGAAGGAAAGGATAAACTGTTAACTTTTTCTTTGTACATCTCTGTATTATTTGATATGTTACAATAAACATGAATTACTTTAAAAATTAAAAAAATGTGTTAGGAATGTTTTAATAATTCACAATAATTAATAAAATATATTATTCCTTCTGTGTGTTTGCATTAATTAAACCAAAGGGAAGCGTGGCTAAATGTTGAATTTCAGTTCTTGGTGATAGACTTGGGTGTACTTTTAGTCTATAGCCCTACCCAATACTCTTCAAATTATATTCTAGCTCTAATCTATCTATGGCTAGGCTATCCTTGTTTTAAAGCATTGTGTGTGTGTAGTGTGTGAGTGTGTGTGTACCTTTCTATCTATATATTGGCTATAGTTTCTTATATGTGATAGGAAGATGTTATGTGAATTTTGGCTATTTTTAAATAAAATCAATTGCAAGTATAAGTCCTCATTCTCCTTCAAGAAGTCAAATTCATCTATATTTAATGAACCCAGATATTCAAATTTTGGTTAAGAGATAGGAAATTTCACAACAATAACAAAATGTTTCAAAGCACTTCTACGTATCAAAATTTTCTGCTACTGTATTCCCAGTGAGGTCTGTAAGGGTTGTATTCCTAGTCAATTCCTTGTATCAATTACAGAATTCTAGGGTTTGCATGTGGTACAAGTGCATCATGCTGAGTATACTTCATTTTCTCTCCATTTTTGGATTATCATGGTCCTATGGAGGAATAACAGGGTTACACAGAACTAGTCATACTTTTCTCAGCCACCTTTTCCCATTACTGATTCCAATCATTTATTCCATTAGATGATTAGTTTCAGACTTTTCCTTACCCATCTTGCCCTTCTAAAAATTTCTGATCTCTGGACTTTGAAAATTAGGTTAGTTTCCTATGCCAGGTCCCCAAGCCAGGGAACTTGGCTTAAAGTAGTGATCGCTATATAATAATTTTAAGCGGAGTATGATGTTCAGAGGCAAAACATCAAGGAGACACATTCTACAAAATGGGGTCTGTAAGTGGTAGCATCAGGATTTGTTCATGGATTGAATTACAGTGCTTGTTAAAATTGCTTTCATTGATTTGAACTAGAGGATAGCTAAACAAAAGATGCACGTTTTAAATTAAAAACTTGTATTTGAACTTGAAGTAGAAAACATGGTCTGACAAACACCCATGATCAATAACTACAGAAAAACAAAGCAGAGAACACAGTAGTTAAAAGCTTTAATTTTTAATTTAGAGGGTCCTATCCCCCATGTTGCCCAGTCTGGTCTGGAACTCCTAAGCTCAAGTGATCTGCCTGCCTTGGCCTTCCAAAGTGCAGGGATTACAGGCATGAGCCACTGCACCTGGCCTCCATCTGCCCTTCTTGACCATTTAAGGGAATCCTCTGAACTTGTTCTACCATCAGTGGAGATAAACAGATCCCCTATGAGAGTATAGCCTTAAAGAACCAGTAAAACTTTTTTAAGGCTTCTGTTCTATTTTAGCTTAGAAAAAACTTCAAATCTTTAAAAAAATTATGCAATGTTTATATTACATTCTATTGTGTATCTGATTGAGATAATTTAAAATACTTTAAATTACCAATTAAATTACTGAATTCTCTGCCTTATTCTCCAGTAAAACTGATGTGCTAGGAGATAGGTCCTGCTTTCTTATGGTTTTGCTCACATCCTATCCCACCATTGCATACCTCAAGAGTGCAAGAATCTCAGATTTAGGTGGAGGGATTTGTTGTCAGACTTTCCTCTTTCTATCTGCTCATCCCATGGTCTCTGGCTAATAGAGGGTACATAATCTACAACAATACAGACAGCAGGTAAATTGTCCATCTTTCTGGAAACTTTACTAGACTATAGCAAACTGTGTACAAATTCTTATCTTAAGATCCTAGCAATTTTAACTTCTCAAGAGTTAACCTTAGTCAAATTTTTCCCCACCCTATTTCCTCACTATTTTTTTAACCTCTTGGCTCAGAACATCCAATTCATGCTTTTTTGTACCACACTCTTATTTTTGGTCAGTATCAGCTAACATCCGATCACACAGCATGCTGAGAGCTCTGGGGAATGAACTGGGAAAAGAAACGAGGTATAAGGAGTTCAGGGTAAATTCAGGGACTAAAGTGATAACTGCTTCCCCCATAGAAAGACTGTGACTTCTTTAGATAAATACTTTGGAGCGCGCTTTTGGTAGGCAGAATGGTTCCCCACTACCACAAAAAATATCCATGTCCTAATCCCCAGAACCTTGGAATGTGTTACCTCACATGGCCAAAGAGACTGTGCAGATGTGATTAAACTAAGGATTTTGAGGCAAGGCGATTTGCCTGGATTATCTGGATGGGCATGATGTAATCACAAGGGCCCTTATAAAGTTAAAGAGGGAGGCTGGAGGTCCAGAATCAGAGAAGGAGCTGTGATGATGGCAGAATTAGAGTGGTGCCGCATGAGGAAGACTCCACTAGCTGTCACTGGCTTTGAAGATATGGAAGGAGGCCACCCACCAAGGAATGCGGGCAGCCTCCAGAATCTGGAAAGGAAGGGCAGTGAGTTCTGTGGAGCCTCTAGAAGGAATGCAGTGCTGGCAACACCTTGATTTTAGCCTGCTGGGACCCATTTTAGACTTCTGACCTCCAGAACTGTAAGGTAATAAATTTATGTTGTTTTAAGCCAACAAGTCTGTAGTAATTTGTTACAGCAGTAGAAGGAAACTAATACAGTAGTCAAACTTTTGTCTGATTCTAGACATGGGTCATTAATCTGGGAGGACAAACGAAGGAGAGTGGATGCAGCCTTGATTTTGGAATTCAGGCAGCTGAGGTGGACTTTGTTATAAGGGATAGGTCATTTTAGTGCAAGGTCAGGGATATGAGCAGCAGGGCTGTGCCCTGACAAAATGTTGATAGGATCTACAAAAGCATAGTAGGTATACTAGCCAGTGGGTTGGGTCATAGGACCAAGCTTATTCTGGGCACCCAAAATTTGGGAAAATAGGAAAAAAAAAACACATACCCAAGAAACGGACAGAAGTGTACAAGAAGAGAAGGCTGATACCTCTAGGCAGGTAGAAACAGGAAGCTGGTACGTAATAGTGCTGCTGAAATGCTCTTGAGCATAAAGCTACACAACACTTTATGAACTACATTGGCTGTTAAAAGACAGCTGGTGGGTGTGGTGGTGCATGCTTGTAGTCCCAGCTACTCGGGAGGCTGAGACAGGAGAATCACTTGAACCCGGGAGGTAGAGGTTGCAGTGAGCCAAGAACATGCCACTACACTCCAGCCTGGTGATAGAGCGAGACTCCGTGTCAAAAAAAAAAAAAATGAAGAGCTGGAAATACATTTCCAGGTTGGGCTCCGGTGGTTTCAAGTTGCTGTTAGGTTAGAAAACCCTGCAGGAACAGGGCAGCTAGAGAAGAATCATCAATGACAGAGTTTTGGCCAGAAAGGTAATAGAAAGAAGGCCAAGAAATGTGAGACAGTGTCAGTTCAATGATGGGTCAGTTTCACTGATAGCTTACTGGAGGGTAAAAGTCATGGGTTTCTGGATTCACACTTTTTTGTCGTTGTTGTTGTTTGTGTTTTTTGAGATGGAGTCTCGCTCTGTCACCCAGGCTGGAGTGCAATGGCGTGATCTCAGCTCACTGCAACCTCCACCTCCTGGGTTCAAGCGATTCTCCCATCTCAGCCTCCCGAGTAGCTGGGATTATAGGCACCTGCCATCATGCCTGGCTAATTTTTATATTTTGAGTAGAGATGGGGTTTCACCATGTTGTCCAGGCTGGTCTTAAACTCCTGACCTCAGGTGATCTGCCCACCTTGGCTTCCCAAAGTGCTGGGATTACAGGCGAGAGCCACCGCGCCCGGCCAGGATTCACAATTTTGATCTTATAGGGGTCCTGTCCAGTGTTACTGGGGAACAAGTCTAGACACATTCCTTTATTTTCTTCCCCCACTGAAACCATTCTATTTACACTAATATCTTACTGGTGTTAATCTACTCTTATTTAATCCACTTGTCTTCATCTCCTCTCTTTAGATTCTTGTGTCTCATTCATTCATTCAACAAGCATTTTATTTATTTATTACATGCAATTGTTAGACTGCTTTCTTAAGATATTTATTTGGGCCGGGCATGGTGGCTCACGCCTGTAATCCCAGCACTTTGGGAGGCCGAGGCGGGCGGATCACAAGGTCAGGAGATCGAGACCATCCTGGCTAACACAGTGAAACCCCGTCTCTACTAAAAAATACAAAAAAATTAGCCGGACATAGTGGCGGACGCCCGTAATCCCAGCTACTGAGGAGGCTGAGGCAGGAGAATGGCGTGAACCCAGGAGGCGGAGCTTGCAGTGAGCCGAGATTGCGCCACTGCACTCCAGCCTGGGCGACAGAGCAAGACTCCGTCTCAAAAAAAAAAAAAAAAAAAAAAAAAAGATATTCGTTTGATGAAAAACCTAGAATAAAATGTATACTAATTAATGTAAGCTTAAAAGCCTTCTTTGTTTTCCTGTCCTTCCCCCACCTTGCCCATTATTGAAACCCTCTGATTTGGCCAAAATGGCCCAGTTCCCATCCTCTAGACACCCATTGCATAAGAACTTCTTTGTAACTCTGACTGCTTTGCTGTAGTAAAGTTCAGAGACCTCTGAGTCTTCAGTTATCTCTTTCATATATTAGCAAAATATAACCTACCCAAACACAGCTGAAGATTAAAAATATAATAAATTGTGGGGAATGGTAGGGGAAGGTTGAGAATTAAGACCAAGTCTTCTTTACTGTCCCTATTTGCTATTGCTGCTGCCAAATTATCTGGACAAACAGCATTACCCTTGAGATCTGCTAATTCCTTCTCACGCTCAACTCTTCTGCCTCAGAGTTTTTATTTAATTTGGATCTCTATCCTGCCGAAATATTGACTCTTGGCCTACTTGTCCTGTGCTTTCACATCTGACCAACTTTCTCTTAAAACCAAGAGCAAAACAATCCTTTTATAATTATATAAGAAATGCAGGAATATGAGCTCGTAAGTAATCTAAACAATATGAATTACGTAGAGCAAAAACCATAGCTCTTGCACAGCCTACTCCCCAGTGTTGTTTTCCTTCCCAGAAGTAATCATTATTAACAGTTTAATGTGTATCTTTCCAGATATTTTACTATGTTTTTATGTGGAAATATATGAATATGGTTTTAATTTTCTTAAATAAAAACTGATACCTTCTTTTCAATAAATGATGCTAGGAAAACTGAATATCTACATGCAAAATTATGAAGTTGGACCCTTACCTTATACCACATGCAAAAATAACTCAAAATGCATCAAAGATCTAAATGTAAGGTCTAAAACTACAAAACTCTCAGAAGAACACATAGGAGAAAATTTTCATGACATTAAATTCGGTGATAATTTCTTGGATATGACACCAAAATCACAGACAACAACAACAAATAGATAGATTGGACTTTAGCAGTATTAAAATTTCTATACATCAAAGGTTACTCTTAAGAGAGTGAAAAGACAACACACAGAATGGTGAAAAATATTTATATATCTGATAAAGTTAAAACACCCAGAATATGTAAAGCATTCTGACAACTCAACAACAAGAACCAAAACAACCCAATTTAAAAATGGACAGGCCAGGCTCGGTGGCTCATGCCTGTAATCCCAGCACTTTGGGAGGCTGAGGTGGGTGGATCGCTTGAGGTCAGGAGTTTGAGACCAGCCTGACCAATATGGTGAACCCTATCTCTACTACAAATACAAAAATTAGCTGGGCATGGTAGCATGTGTTATGTGCATTCATGTGAAGAGACCACCAGATAGGCTTTGTGTGAGCAATAAAACTTTTTATTCATCTGGGTGCAGGCAGACTGAGTCCAAAAAAGGGGTCAGCAAAGGGAGCTGGGCGGTGGGGGGGGGGGCAGGGCAGTTTTATAGGATTTGGGTAGTAGTGGAAAATTACAGTTAAAGGGGGTTTTCTCTTGCGGGCAGCGGTGGGGGACACAAGGTGCTCAGTGGGGAGCTCATTGTCCAGGAGAAGAAATGTCACAAGGTCAATTGATCAGTTAGGGTGGGGCAGGAAAAAATCACAATGGTGGAATGTCATCAGTTAAGGCAGGAATTGGCTATTTCACTTCTTTTGTGGTTCTTCAGTTGCTTCAGGCCATCTGGATGTACACGTGCAGGTCACAGGTGTTATGATGGCTTAGCTTGGGCTCAGAGGCCTGACAGTGTGTGCCTGTAGTCCCAGCTACTTGAGAGGCTAAGGTAGGAGAATTGCTTGAACCCAGAAGGTGGAGGTTGCAGTGAGCTGAGATAGCACCACTGCACTTCAGCCTGGGTGACAGAGTGACACTCCATCTCAAAAAAATAAATAAATAAATAAATAAAAATGGACAAAGGTCTTGAATAGATGCCTCTCCAAACAAGATATACAAATGGGCATTAAGCACATGAAAAAACCCACATCACTAGTCATTAGGAAAATGCAAATCAAAGTCACAATGAAATACCACTTCACACACATTAGGATGGCTGGTATTAAAAAAAAAGAAAAATAACAAGGGTTGGTGGGGACGTGGAGAAACTGGTACCCTTGTTTGTTGCTGTTGGGAATATAAAATGGCAGTCATTGTTGAAAACAGTATAGTAGTCCCTCAGAAAGTTAAACGCAGAATTACCATATGATTCAGCAATTCCACTTCTAGGCATATACTCAAAAGAATTGAAAGCAGTGACCCAAACAGATACTTGTACGTCAATGTTCATGTAACATTATTTACAGTAACCAAAAGGTGGAAAGAACCCACATGTCCATCAACAAATAAATGAATAAACAAAATATGGTATGCGCATGCAATAGAATATTATTCAGCCTTAAAAAGGAGTAAAGTTCTGATGTGTGTTACAACATGGATGAACTTTGGAAACATGCTAAGTGAAGTAAGCCAGATTCAAAAGGATAAATAGTATATGATTCTACTCATGTGGCATGCTTAGGTTTAGCAAATTCATAAGGACAGAAAGTAAAATAGAGGTTCCCAGGGCCGGGGCCAGGGGAAATTGGGAGTTATTGCTTAATGGGCACAGAGCTTCTGCTTGGGAAGATGAAAAGTTCATCTTTCATGAAATGGATAGTGGTGATGTTTGCACAACATGTGAATGCATTTAATGCAACTGAACTGTACACTTAAAAATGGTTGAAATGGTAACTTTTATGTTATGTATATTTTACCATAATAAAAATTATTTTAAAACTAATATGTATAAGTATTTTAATTTCAGTAAACACAGCACAGAGCTACCTTAATCGACCTTGACTTTTCAACTCATACGTATTAGTATTTCAATTTCAGTAAACAAAGTTACCTCAATCTTTTAAAAATAATGTTTACAATTTTATAATGGAAATTTAAAACATATTAAGAAAGGAAATAGTATAATAAATTCCCACCTGTCTTCCAGGTTTAGCACTTATCAACACGTGGTCAATCTTGTGTCTTCTATTCTTCTCATCCACGTCGTTTCCTCACTACCTCATTTTTTTTGAAACCCATTCCAGACATCATAATATTTAAATTATAAATGTTTAAGTATGATTTCCATAGGACTCTTTTCTGAAAAACATAACCACAAACCACTATCACATCTAAAATATTTAACACTTTGTTAATATTATCAAAGATCCAGCTAGTGTTGATCTGATTGCCTGATTCAAAAGGATCAGGCAATATATAAAAAATATATAATATTTTTTAATAGTTGGTTTGTTGAAATTAAAGATCTGAACAAGTCTATAAATTATAATGAGTCATATGTCGTTTAAGTCTCTTTTAATCTATAGATTCTCCCTTCCTCTTCTTTCAAATTGATTAGTTGAACAAACTAGATTTTTTGTCATGCAGTTTCCCACATTTTGGATTTTGCTAATTTTATCCTCATGGTATTACTAAACATGTTCATCTGAACCCTATATACCCTCTAAACTGGGAGTTAGAGCTACAGGCTTGGTCTGATTTGGATTTTTGCTTTCTTCAAATAGCATTCACAGGTGATGTTGTGTACTTCCTATGTGCACCATTTAGGAGACACATAACATCTGATTGTCTTTTTTGTGATGTTGTAATTAATCAGTGAGGTCAGCCTGATTTATTATAATTCCCTGTCAGCTTTTCACTTAGTGATTTTAGTGGCCATTAATGATTACTACCTAGATCCATTATTTCATCAGAATTGAAAAACGACAATATTCTTTTCCTATCATTTCTTCTTCGTCTATTAGCTGGAATTATCTTGCAAAGAAGAGCTTTCCTTTATCAACGATTTTTGTTACCCGATAATACAATTAGAACCAAAAAGCCAGAATTAAATTGTTGAGTTTTTCCTTTTATTTACTAGTTTTCAGAATAATGAGCCATATATAATTTTAAACCATCAAGTAATTAGTGTAGGGTGATTATCTCATAGAGTAAGAGTGGATGACGTGTCCCTAAGGGAATTTGGATGATTTTCTGTCTTTGAAAGAAACCTGGACTAGGTAATCTCTATGGTTCCTTTGAGCTCTTGAAGTTCATAATTTTTCTTGCTCATGAAAACCATTTATGTTTTAATTCTCAATTTTCAAAAAGAATTAGTTGATATATTTCAATGTTATTTAGAGAGCAGACATTCATTTAACATTTAACAGATATTATTTGCTAAAGAATTTGCAAAAATTTTGTGTGTTTTCTCAAAGTTCTGGATAGTTAGCTAATTTTTTTCAGGGGCTACTTCACTACCTTTTACATTTCTTTATGTACATTTTAAACGTAGGTTTTTAAACTTAAAATTTTAAACCATGAAAAGTTGCAAGTATGCTGAGAATTCCTATTTATTTTTTATGCAGATTCAATAAATTTTGCCATTTTCCATAATTTTTAATACTCTCTCTGACTGTGTGCATGCATGCACACACACACGTATGGTATTAACTGTATACATAAACATCTATGTGTCTATCATCTATACACATTTGCACAAAGACATTTTATAGATATTTTAATTACTTTTCTAAGCCATTGGAAAGTAGGTTGCCTGCATTATGCCCCTTAATATTTCTGTGCATATTTTCTCAAAACAAGAAGGTTCTCTTACATAGCCACAGTATAGTTATCAAATTCAGGAAATTTAACATTGATATAAAACTTTTACCTAGTCTGCAGTTCATAGTCCAATTTCATCAATTGTTCCAGTAAGGTTCTTTATAGAATTTTTCCCCTCTAATGTGGGCCCAGCCACATTGACATTTTTGAAGAATACAGGTCAACTGCATACTTTTTCCTGGCTATGATCATATATATTTCCCAGTTATTAGTTGTAAATAATAGAAATTGCCTGTGGCTGATTTAAGTAGGAAAGGGATTTATTGAAAAGGTATTGAGGACCTCCTAGAATTTTAATATATCAGTATATCTCAATAAATATTTTTTACAAACAATAATAAATTATATTTATTGAGCACTTACAATGTGCTGCACACTGATCATATTACGTTATTGCCTTATCCAGTAAATAACCCTACGAGGTAAATTTCCTTTCCAATACTCCTGAATTTATTTTAGAAATGAGACAACTATAGATTAGGAAAGTAAAATGAATTTCCCAAGGCCACACAGCTAGTAAGGTGCTGAGCCAGTGTTCAAAGTCAAGTTTTGTCTGACACTAAACTCCATTCTTTTTCTACTCCATATTTTAATGGCAGCATAACTTGAAAACATTTCTGAAAGACATTTGCTAGAAAATAAATGATCTGTGGTAGACTGAAACATTAAATATTGCTTCAGTTGATATTATGAGAGATGTATATTGTAAAACATACACGCGTTTTAGCTTTTCTCCATCTTTAAAATCACTTCACAGACATGACCGAATGCTAGAGGAGCTGGCGAGAAAATCCTCAGCGTGCACATCAAATTGTACCCACTTGGGGGCACCCACAATGCAGCTTTTCTGCCTGTTCTGCCTAGAAGCTTCGAGCCCTGCAGAGGTGGATTGAGCCAGCTGCTCTACAGGACTCGGACAGCCCGATCTGATATCTCAAGAAATAGTGCCCTATATCTCCAAGTTTAGGGGATATTTTACTTAGTTTGTTGCCCACATGATAAACTATTTTCTGCAGTTTAAAACATCAATAATTAATACAATTGCTACAGGCCAAACGTGCTAGATATATGTTAGGATTTAATGACCAAGAACTAAAAATAATTTGCTGACTTAAAATGATACGTTTGTCCAGAGGATTTTTTTTGGATTTACGCTATGCCAAAATTAGGAACATAATGATTAACCAATAGGGGTAAAAAATGTGCTGTAAAATCAAGCTAAGTGTTTTAAAATAGTTTTGCATTGTGGTCTCACCTGAAACATGCTCTTTGGTAGGGACATGTGTTGGCGATCTCCAGTGCTGCTGCTGATGTAATCTCCAGGCCAGCCATTTGGTCTTTAGCTCTATTTGATAGTAGAGATCCTCCTGATATATACAAATGTCTAAGATGCCACTGAACCCAGATGTAGTTGCTGTGGCTTTGCCTAGAGAGGGGTTATTATTCCAGAGCATAAGGAGAGAAGATACAGCAAACAAGATTGTACTGGATGGGGCTATCACAGTCTTTCATATCCACCACTGCTGCTAAAGAGGCAGTTGAAGGTGGCCATATTTTAAACCATATAAATCCACCTTTAATATGGCTGCTTAGACCAGAGGGAGCCAAAGTATGATGGGAGAGCAGCTCATGGGGTGATTTAGCTTAAAAAACTGTTCAAAGAGGAACAAGTTGGACCAATTATATGCTTACCTATGAGAATCTGATTCGGGATACAGAATATGAGGGGACTCATAGTAGAAACTGATATGAAATAATGTATAGTGGGGGTATAATGTAGAATAGAGGCCAAGAGCACAGCCAGATTATGAGGAAACTAAGCCTTGCAGAAGGTGAGACAATAACTAAGCTTAAGCTACTAGAAAAAGAAAAGATGAAGAGGAATTCAGTCTTTTTTTTTTCTTTTTCTTTTTATTATACTTTAAGTTTTAGGGTACATGTGCACATTGTGCAGGTTAGTTACATACGGTTTAGCTAGAAGATATGTGAAGAGAAGCAGGGACAAGAGGAGGCTGAGCAGTGTTTCTGGTGGAGCTCTTGAGGGAAGGCTCACAGTTCTTGCTCCTGAGGGTTCTTGGTACAGTCCCAGTTTCTGTTCCATTTCTGGTCCCTGCTCATTGATCACCATGAGATCCTGGCTTCCATCTTAAGTCTTGCAATAAACAGCCATTACTTGTGGAAACTTGAGTGAATATCTGTCCCTTACCAACAAAAGTAACTAACTAGAGTAGGAGAATATGAGAGAATAATATTCCTGTTTCCTGTTTTCGAAGTCCTTTTAAACAATTGTGGTAAAATATGTATGACATAAAATTTTCCATTTTTACCATTTTTAAGTATACAGTTCAGTGGCATTAAGTATAATCACATTGTTGTGCCACCATCACCACCATCCATCTCCATAACTTTTTCATCATCCCAAACTGAAATTCTGTATCCATTAGACAGTAAGTCTTCACTCCTTACAGTACCTGCTTACCATTATTCTACTTTTGATCTTTATGAAATTGCTCAGAGTCCTTTTTGAATGAATAATATAGATATTGAATAGCTAAGATTTATTTATGCAGCAAGCCTGTAAGTGACAAAGCCACTGTCCAGAGTTTTTGGGGAGCTGGAGTTATCACAAATAGCCTGGAAAGTGTAGGCTATTTATCATGTGTAGTCAGGCAACTGCAGAAGCATGCCTCACAACTTCCTTGGACTTCGCCGGTACCCTGTTCTGTTCATCTGTTAGAATGGCTGAATGACTCATCTTACAACAATAATGAAAAAAAAAAAGAGTGGTTGAATGTCCATTCCTTCAGTAGATCCATCATCACAGAGTCAGGGGAGATGGAGATAAGGGAAATGAAGTTATGGGCTAGCAGTAGGTCCACCAATGCAATAATTAAATGTAGTCAGTGTTAATAAGAACAGCGACCATTTAATCATGACTTACCACGTGCTTTTTTATATTAACTTATTTAATTTTCATAACATCCTCAAACAACTGAAAATAGAACTACCATATGATCCATCAATCTCACTGCTGGGTATATATACAAAAGAAAGGAAATCAGTATATCTAAAAGATATCTGCACTCCTATGTTTATTGCAGCACTATTCATAGTAGCCAAGATATGGAGTCAACCCAAGTGTCCATCAATGGATTAATGAAGAAAATATGGTATATATGATGGAATATTATGAAGCCATAAAAAGAATAAAGTCCTGTCATTTGCAACAACACAGATGGAACTGGAAGGAATAAGTTTTAGTGTTCGCTAGCACAGTAGGGCAACTATAGTTAAGAATTTATTGTATATTTCAAAACAGCTGGAAGAGAAGATTTGAAATGTTCCCAACACAAATAAATGATAAATGATGGGGTGATGGATATCACAATTGCTCTGATTTGATCATTACATGCTGTATATATGTATCAAAATATCACATGTACCCCATATGTATAACTATTACATATCAATAAAAGATAAATTACAAAAATTTTCCTTTTTAAAAAATATTACTTTTTTTTTGTATTTTTTGTAGAGACAGGGTTTTGCCATGTTGCCCAGGCTGGTCTTGAACTCCTGAGCTCAAGCAATTCACCCACCTCAGCCTCCCAAAGTGCTGGGATTACAAGCATGAGCCACTATACCTGGCCAACAAAACATTTCTTAATCTTATGAGACAGGTACTATTATTTCTGCATTTTGTAGTTAGGTAAATTAAAGTACAACATGATTAAATTACTTGCTCAAGGTCACATAGCTGGTAAGTGACATAACTGAGTGACTTCTACTGTAGGAAGCTAATTCCAGTCACTTAACTTCTCACCTCATTGTTTCTTATCAGCATCAAGCTGAACCTTAGCAGTGTCAAAAGTACAATAAAGGACCATCATTGTCATGTTAAAATAGATTTGTTGATGAAAACCTGAAAGGAAACAGGTATTTATTTGTTCCATTTCATTTTTCATAAAACTATGTTAACATTTCATTTGTGTATCTGCATTTTCATCGTTTCAGACCTTCCCAACAGTGAATTTGGTGTGTGAGTTTTTGATCTCTTGCCCTCAAAGCAGACAGGTGGTCAGCCACCTGTCCCATTCACTCCAGTGGATTGTGCGAATATTATCATTTCTATATGTGTTTTGATGTGAAATCAGTTGGGAAAACCTAGCAAATTAGTTGATATATCAAGTTTTCCTCCTCTTGTCTTCTTATTAAAATACTTATGAATACCAAATATGCAGGGTAACCTTGCGGCTTAAAGAGCCTTTTTTTTTTTTTTCTCAACTGAGATTGTTCGAAGTTTAAATATTTTGATATCAGGTCTCTCCCTCACTGGGAAGAAGATACAAGGAGCAGGATACCAGTAGAATAGGGGTTTAGGATATTACATCAGAAGGTGTCCAGTTCAATGAGATAAAAAAAGCACACTGAAATCAGAAGCAAAGTTAAATATAGTACTGTGAGAAAAGGTAAGCTTGAAGGTAAGTGACCCACAGAGGAGCTTTGCTGAAAGCCAGATTTTACATAAACTTTATTATATCTCAGGGCTCAAAATAAAATGATCCATCAATCAAAGAATTATTTAAGCAAAGATCTATACATATTCTCTTTCAATATAGACTTATCTGCATTTAGGAAGGTCTGAAGCATTTCTCCTCAAAGCTTGTGCTAGGTATTCTGATGAGCTAGAATGGTGCTTCTCAAACACTGCTGCACATTAGAGTCAACTGTGGACATGTAACAATTCTTGATGTCTAGGCTGCACCATATACCAATTAAATTGAAATCTCTGGACTTGACGCATAAGCATCAGTATTTTAAAAAAATTCTCAAATAATGCAAATGTTTGGGAACCAGTCGTTTAGTGCAGTGGTTCTCAAACTTTAGCTGCATTAGAATCAGCAGCTGGGCTTGTTAAACCACGTGTTGCTGGGCCCCACCCCAAGAGTTTCTGATTCAGTAGGTTAAAGGTAGGGCCTGAGAATTTGTGTTTCTAGTGATTTCCTACATGGTGCTGGTGCTGCTGGTCCAGGGAACCACAGTTTGAGAACCACTGATTTCGAGAACTATTTACTTATTCATTAATGCCATTTGAAGACATGAAAGTCAGAAATTTTTGCTGGGCAGCCTAAGTAGATGCAACATCTTTGGAAAGGAGTCTAACCACAGTTGTGAACTCATTGCACACACTGATTCTCTGGCAGGGTTACATTCAGGCCCATCTGTTAGGCTGGCAGCATGCCCACAGAGAATGTGCTATGCCAATTTCAGCAGGGCATAGGTGCTAACCAAACACGGTTTTAGAAGGGTGGCTTTCATCACACACCAAGCGCCATTTCTTGGGCCAGGCAATCCTGCTGTTTGCAAACAGCTCCAGTCTGAGGCCACATGCTTTCTTACATCTGTACATGCTTGAGGACATGATTAAAAAATAAATAATCAACAAATGGTTGATTATATTTCTCCCTCAATCTGCCTTAGTGTTGTAATTTGGCCTGTAGAGAGGCAGTCTCTCTTCAGTAAGCTGGAAGCCATTCTAAAGGACCATAGAGTACAAATGTAATGCTTTAAAACTGCAAGGTTTGGATCAGCTACATTTGTTCCTTTGAAAATATCATTATCATTTTTTGCTGTATTTTTATTTAGGCTTTTACTCTGTTCATGAGCTAGATTTATTCCCCATTTATCATCAGTATTCTGAGGTCTTCACTAATTTATTATTATCATTATTTTGAGACAGGGTTGCTCTCTGTTGCCCAGGCTGGATTGCAGTGGCCTAATCGTGGCTCACTGCAGCCTTGACCTCCCAGGCCCAAGCAATCCTCCCACTTCAGCCACCCGAATAGCTAGGACCAAATCAGTCACCATGCCTAGCTAATTAAAAAAATTTTTTTTTGTTTTTGGTAGAAACAGAGTCTTCCTGGGTTGCCCAGGCTGGTCTTGAACTCCTAGACTCAAGTGATCCTCCTGCCTCAGCCTCCTAAAGTGCTGGGCTTGTAGGCTTGAGCCACTGTGCTCAGCCTAATTTGATTTTTAAAAAACTTATATATATATACATATTTTAAAGTAGATTTAATTTTTTAGGGTAGTTTTAGGTTCATAGAAAAATTGAGTGAAAGGTACAGAGATTTCCCATGTACCCCCTGCCCTTCCCACATGTATAACTTCCTGTATTTTTATACTCCCTGCCCCTTATAGTACTACGTTTGTTACAACTGATGGACTTGCATTGACCCACCATTATCACCCAAAGTCCATAGTTTACATGAGGGTTCACTCTTGGTTAGGTTTGGACAATTGTGTAATGGCATGTATCCACCATTATAGTATCATACAGAATAGTTTCACTGTCCTAAAAATTCTCTGTGTTTTGCCTTCTCATCCCTCTTTCCTCCTTAACTCCTGGCAACCACTGATTTTTCTACTGCCTACATGGTTTTGCCTTTTCCAGAATATCATACAGTTGGAATCATATAGTAGGTAGCCTTTTCAGATGGTTTGCATTTAGTAATGTACATTTAATGTTTCTGCATGTCTTTTTATGCTTTGATAGCTCATTTTTTTTTTTAGAATTGAATAATATCCCATGTCTAGATGTATCACATTTTATTGTCCATTCACCTACTGAAGGACTTCTTGGTTGCTTCCAACTTTTAGCAATTATTAATAAAGCTGCTATAAATATCCATATGCACATTTTTGTGTGGCCCTAAGTTTTCAACTCTGTTGGGTAAACATCAAGGAATGAAATTGCTGGATCTTGTGGTAAGAGTATGTTTAGTTTTGTAAGAACTCTCAAACTGTCTTTCAATGTGGCAGTACTATTTTGCATTCCTGCCAGCAGTGGATAAGAGTTCCTGTTGCTCCACATTGTCACCACGATTTGATATTTTCAGTGTTCTGGATTTATATATATATATATATTATATATAATATATACTTTTGCATATGTTATATATACTTTTACTATATATACAAAATAATTTTAAAAGTCATCTATATGTATAAATCATATACATATAGATGACTTTTAAAACTATTTTTTATTTGTTGCTCTTGTTCTTTGTTCCTATTTTTGCTTTCTACTCTTTATGTGCCTTTTGTAGTTTTAAGTAAGCACTACATATAATTCAATTTCTTAGCATATCAGTTGTACTTTTCTTTTTAATTTTTAAAGTGGTTGCCATAGAGTTAGCGATATACGTTTACAAGTAATCCAAGTCCACTTTCAAGTCACATTCTACCATTTCACAGGTAGCATAGGTACCTTACAATAACAAAATAATCCTAATTCATCTCCCCTGTATCATTGCTGTCCATTTATTTTACTTATATATAAGTATATATAAGCATATGTGTACATAAGCATATTTAACCATATGTATACGCATACATAATTGAAAATATCGTTGGTGTTATTTGGAACCAATGAAAGGCATAACATATGTATGATGAAAATACCAGAGTATAAATAGAGTAAGAAACAAAATATTTAAAATAATAATGACTGAGAATTTTCCTAAATTAATGTTAGACAACAAACTACATATGTTTGTTATTTGAAACAAACTGTTATCTGAAAACCAACTAAGAAGAAGAAAAATAACAGTTTCTATTTAATCTTCACCTATTCCTTCTCTGATACTCTTCCTTTCTTTATGTAGATTCACATTTCTGACTTATATCATTTTCTTTCTCTCTAAAGAACTTCTTTTAACATTTCTTGCAACGCAGGTCTACTGACAACAAATTCTCTCAATTTTTGTTTGTCTGAGAAAATTTTCATTTCTCCTTCACTTTTGAAGGATAATTTCACATGGTATTCTGGGTTGGTAAGTTTTTTTCTCAACAGTTTAAATATTTCACTCCACTCTTTTCTTGCTTGTATGGTTTCTGAGGAGAAGTCAGGTGTAATTCTTATCTTTGCTCCTCTAAAGATAAGGTGTTTTCTTCCCTCTGTTTTTTTTCAGGACTTCAACTTTGATTTTCTGTAGCTTTTAAATGACAGCCCAGGTGTGGTTTTTTCAGCATTTATTCTGGTTGGCATTTTCTGAGCTTCTTTAATCTGTAGTTTGTTGTCTAACATTAATTTAGGAAAATTCTCAGTCATTATTATTTTAAATATTTTGTTTCTTACTGTCTTTATTTATACTCTGGTATTTTCATCATATATATGTTATGCCTTTTCTAGTTGTCCACAGTTCTTAGAGATATCCTGTTCTGTTTTTTAAATTTCCAGTCTCTTTTTGCTTGCTTCTCAGTTTTAGATGTTCCTATTAAGATAGCCTCAGGCTCAGAGATTCTTTCCTCAGTGGTGTCCAGTCTACTAATAAACCCATTTAAGGTATTTTTAATTTCTGTTACAATGTTTTTATTTCTAGCATTTCTTTTTGGTTCTTTCTTAGAATTTCCACCTCTCTACTTACATTGCCCAACTATTCTTGCACACTGCCTACCTCTTCCATAAGAACCTTTAGCATATTAATCATAATTGTTTTAAATTTCTGGTCGAATAATTTCAACATTCCTGTCATATTGGAGTCTGGTTGTGATGCTTGCTTTGTTTCTTCGAACTGTGTTTTTTCCTTTTAGTATACGTTATAAGTTTTTGTTGTTAGCTGCACTTGATGTGCTGAGTGACAGTAGCCTAGTACTAGTCCCTACAGAGGTTGCTACTCAGAAGTTTCTGCCTCTGGTAAGTTATGATTCTCTGTATTTGCCTGTTGCTCTCTCCAATTTTGGAGGCAGTGGTTTGTCCTGTGGCCTTACTTCTCTTACAGATCTAGAACAGTTGTTGATTTTTCAGTTTGTTCAGATTTTTACTTGTTCTTAGGACACAGTGGCAACTTTCAAGCTTTTTACATGCTGGACTGAAAACCAGGAGTCTGATCTGACTTTTAAAATCCAGAAGAGTCCTGTTATAAATTTAGACTGGGGGTAAGAGGGGTTCTGCTACAGAATTCCGATTACATTATAAATCAATGTGTATATTATTTTGTCTTATAATAAAATTTGGAATATGAGAAAATCTTTGAATTTTTAAAGATTAAAATATTAATATTTAGATTCAAAATTATTTGAGCTCCTTAAAATAAATAAATAAATATAAAACATACAAAACAAGAAATCCATTGATTTATAATAAAAAGTTCATTGATTTATAAGAGTTGCAAAAAATTACTTTCTTTTAAGAAAGCATACTGATTACTCTGGGATTGTGCATGGTAAGCTAGGGCTGGAACAATAGATGAGCAAGGAGAAACTGGAAGAAGAGCCAGCCTTCTTCCTTAACTATGGCTTTATTTTATATTGGTATAAGTGGCATTCAAAGGGGCAATGGAGGTCTGAAGCATTATGTACCCCAAATTCCAGGAAATGAGCCCTGGCTGTTAAAACCTAAAGCAAAACTGAACATAAATTGTGACTATAGAAAAGAAATCATTTTTATTAATTTTCCTCACTTGGCTGGATGAGAAAAGGAATACTTAAAGTGGATTTAGAAATGATAGAGAATCATTGGGATTCTTTATTATCCTATAAAGCCCTTGAAAGTCTAGAAGTCTCCTTCAGAATTTCCATAGGTATCTCCATTGACCATCTCTCCAACTTCTGTACATAAGTACTTTATTGAAGGCAAGTTTTGAAGTTAAATTTTAAAAACTCACTTTTTAGAATTTATTTTTTAAAATAAATTCTAAATTTAGTGATATAGTTTGGATGTTTTTTTTCCCTCCATATCTCATGTTGAAATGTGATCCCCAACATTGGAGGTGGGGCCTGGTGGGAGGCATTTGGGCCATGGGGACAGATCCCTTATGAACAGCTTTGTGCCCTCCCTATGGTAAAGAGTTTCCATGAAATCTGATTGTTAAAAAGAGTCTGGGACCTCCCCTCTCTCTTATTGCCTCTCTCATCATGTGACATGCTTGTTTCCCCATGCCTTTCAACATGAATAAAAGCTTCCTGAGGCCTCATCAGAAGCCAGGCAGATGCTAATGCCATGCTTGTACAGCCTGCAGAACTGTGAGCCAAATAAACCTTTCTTTGTAAATTACCCAGCCTGAGATATTATGAACTATCACAATTAGTAATAATTATTTTTCAAGAAAGATTTTTCATTCCTTTTTAATTTCAAGGTTGGATTTGTAACTATGCCAAAACAAAATTTGGGGAATTAGTCTATGGGATTATCTGGCATGTACAACATCATTCCTTTGAGAAAATATTATCCAGGAGCAGAGCACACAGTTTAGAAATAGGCAAAGAGCTTGAGAAGACAATCTTTCCAAAAGTTGAGAACAATCCCACTGAAACTCCTCTGATTAAAATGAATAGTTATGAATAATAATACTAACATAACTGAAGGCTAATCAGGTATTTATTTTCCTTTGCAATTTAGAAATGCAAGTCTAAATTTTTTAAGAATTAGGATTTAACAAGTAGCAAAACATGTACCTTACATATTATGTTATTTTATTTATGTGTGTATGTGTACATGATCGAACCCAGTATTTGTATGATTCTACTTGAGAAATATTGTTTTATTATGAAGTTGAGTAAAAAAGATTTTAGTGCTGCTCACTAATGCTCATTCATGTTTCTTTTATACAATTTTGATTCACTAATGAAGGAAACAAAAGGGATATCTTTTTATTGCCATTATCATTTTATGGGAGAGGTTATTATTTTAAAAGTATCATATTTAAAGTATATTGCCAAAATTTAATTTTCTGGAATGAACTATTGCAGAAGAACTTTAAGACTCATGCTGTAATTTGTTCTCTACATGAGTATCTTTGTTAGTTTTATGTAACATTTTTTACTCAGTACTTTTCTCATATCAATAAGACGAACAATTTAATCATAAGAAAGAAGAGTTTCATGAGTAGAAAACTAGATGAAAAGAAGAACACTTTAGGTACACTTCTCCTTTTTTTAAAAAATTTTTTTCCTTATCTTTGTTTCTCAGTGTGAATAGGTACACTTTTCATACACTTCTCAGTTGGGATATTATGCAGTTGATAGATTAAATTACTATTCCATTGCAATTTAGGGAAATAGTCCCTTAAAACAATTTCTAATTATATGAATAAATCCACCTCCATATAGGGACAGGAGGAAATGGAAAAAGCCAAATACAACAAATATCCAAAACATAAATTAAAAACATTTTATGTAGCATTCAAATAAATCTTTTCAAAAGGTGGAAATTACTTGATAGTAAAAATGCAAAGTCTAAAAGCCAATTAGTGACTTTTCAAAAATGGTTTTACTGAGGTACAATTGAAAAACAATAAATTACACATATGTAAGGGTATAATCTGATAGGTTTTGACATATGTATACACTTGAATTCATCACCACCATCGAGAGTAAACATAGCCATCAGCACCAAAAGTTTTCTTATTACCCTTGGCAATCCCCTCTACTCCCACTGCCCCCAAGCAACTACTGACTTGCTTTCTGTCACTATAGATTAGTTTGTATTTTCTGAAGCTTTATATAAATGAAGTCACACAGCGTGTATCCATTTTTGTCTGAATTCTCTCACTTGGCATAATTATTTTGAGTTCATCCCTAATTGGTAGCTTTTTATCTCTGATTTCAGATAGTCTCCAGGTAAAGGGAATTTTTAGTTTTTTTTGAGGACAACATAAAATCTCTCTCACTAGAAGTCCAATCGATTAGAATTGTGAGTTGGAATCTGTAGCAGCCAAGGAACTACCAGAAACTTGCCTTTACTTATAATGTCAGACTCCATATCAGTTGGGTTTTGGGTTGTAAACAAAGAAAACATTTTCTGGAACTTATGGAAAGGAGGAATTTACTGGGAGGATGGGAATTGACTTGTGGGAACAAGAGAAAATGTGAATAACCAGGGCTCTGTAGTCCAATTTTAAACCATATTTGAACCTGAGGCAAAAGAAAAAATCAGGAACACTGATCCTGTCTTTAAAGTAATGACATTTTGTTCATCATAGATTTTTGCATTAATTTTTATTTTTTAAAATATTGCCTTCAAATATTATTAACTTGATTATTGAGTTTTTTGGAGCCCTTTTAAATTTTCCATTCCAGGTGAATGCCTCACCTGTCTCATCCCCTCACCCTAATCCTGGCGCTAGCTCTGCTTGCAGGTTAGTTACATATGTATACATGTGCCATGTTGGTGTGCTGCACCCATTAACTCTTCATTTAACATTAGGTGTATCTCCTAATGCTATCCCTCCCCCCTCCTTCTACCCCACAACAGGCCCCGGTGTGTGATGTTCCCCTTCCTGTGTCCAAGTGTTCTCATTGTTCAATTCCCACCTATGAGTGAGAACATGCGGTGTTTGGTTTTTTGTCCTTGCAATAAAACTTAAAGTATAATAAAAAATAAAATTAAAAAATAAGGGTCAACTCTGGATTCTAAGTAGTGGCAAACAATGTATATTCTCTTCAGGATAGCAGAACCTCAGATCAGTTCCCACTGCATTGAATTTCACTGCTCAAGATTCAAATTCCAGGAGGCAAGATGCTGATGCCCCTTTCTCATTGGCAGATGAGGGTGGGTCACCTTGCTTGACAGTTTCCCCAGAACTGATGTTTTCTTTTTTATATATATATATATATATATTTTTTTTTTTATTATACTTTAAGTTCTAGGGTACATATGCACAACGTGCAGGTTTGTTACCTATGTATACATGTGCCATGTTGGTGTGCTGCATCCATTAACTCATCATTTACATTAGGTATATCTCCTAATGCTATCCCTCCGCCTCTCCCCCAAACCCACAACAAGCCCCAGTGTGTAATGTTCCCCTTCCTGGGTCCAAGTGTTCTCATTGTTCAATTCCCAGCCTAGGCAACATAGGGAAACCCCCATTTCCACAAATTAGCCAGGCATGGTGGCATGTGCCTATAGTCCCAGCTACTTGGAATGATGAGGCAAGAGGATCCCTTGAGCCTAGGAGGTTGAGGCTGCAGTGAACTGTGATTGTGCCATTATACTCCAAGCTAGGCAACAGAGTGAAACCCTGTCTCAAACAAACAACGCAAACACAAACACAAGCAAAACCAACAAAAGGAAACTTGGAAAATTCACAAATATATGGAAATAAGATTACATACTCCTTCTAAATAACCAACAGGTTAAAAAAATTATAAGAGAAATTAGAAAATACTTTGAGATGAATGAAAATGAAAGCATGAATACCAAAATGCATGAGGTGCAGAGTGTTTGGTGGGAAATTTACAGTTGTAAATGTCTATAATAAAAAACAAAAAAGATCTTTATGGCACTGAAGAGGAAACTAAACCCAAAGCAAGTAGAAAAAAAGATTAGAGTAGAAATAAATAAAATAGAAAATTGAAAAACAATTGAAAAAATCAGTGAACGAAAAATTTGTTATTTGAAATGAACAAAATCGACAATTCTTTAGCTAAATTAGCCAAGAAAAAAGAGAGAGATAAGACTCAGATTATTAAAATCAGAAATGAAAGAGGGAGCATCACTATTGATTTTAAAAAACTGAAAGGATTATAAATAAATGCTATGAATGATTATAAGCCAACAAATTATAACAGATGAAATTGACAAATTCCTAGAAAAATACAAACTATCAAAATGTACCCAAAAAGAAGTAGAAATCTGAACAAGCCTATAACGAGTAATGAGGCTAAATTAGTAATCAAAGAAACTTCCAGCAAAGAATAGCTCAGGACCAGATGGCTTCACTGGTGAATTCTATCAAACATTTAAAGGAGAGTCGCCAAACATTCACAAACCTTCAAAAAAACAGAAGAGGAGGAAACATTTCCCAACTCATTCTATGAGGCCAGCATTATTCACATACCAAAACCAGACAAAGACATCACAAGAAAACTACTGACCAAGATACTTTATGGATATGGATATGAAAATCTTCAACAAAATACTAGTAAACTGAATCCATTAACATATACAAACAATTGTACTCCATGACCACATGAGAATCATTCCAGGAAGGCAAGGCTGAACATATGAAAATCAATAAATAATATACTATATTAATAGATTAAAGGACAAAAACCACATAATCATCTCAATAGACAGGAAAAAACATTTGATAAAATCCAACAGCCTGTCATGACAAAAACACTCAACAAACTAGGAATAGATGGAAAGTTTTTCTAACCAAAAAGGCATCTATGAAAAACCTAAAACTCATGCCATACTTAGTGAAAGACTGAAAGCTTTCTCCTCACAATCAAGAACAAGGCAAAAATGTCTACTCTCATCATTTCTATTTAACATTGTACCAGAGGCTCTAGCTAAGGCAATTGGCAAGACAAAGAAATGAAGGCCATCCTGATTGGAAAGGAAAAAAGTAGATGTATTTCAATTGGCAGGTAACATGATTTTGTGTATAGAAAATACTAGGGGATTCACTAAAAAGCTATTAGAACTAATAAATGAATTTAGAAAGTTGCAGGATACAAGATCATATATAAAAATTTCTTTATTTTTATACACTAGCAATGAACAATCTGAAATGAAATTAAAGATACAATTTCCTCTATAATACTATAACATACTTAAATTTAATAAAAGAAATATCAGACTTATGAATTGAAACCATGAAACATTGTTGAAAGTAATTAAAGAAGTTTAAATAAATAGAAAGACATCATCCATGCACATAGATTGGAACACTTTCTATTGTTGAGATGGCAGTACTCCCCAAATTCATCTACAGATGCAACACAATTCCTATAAAAATCCCAGCTGGCTTTTTGCAGAAATTGACAATCTGATCCTAAAATTCATATGAAAATTGAAGGGACATAGAATAGCCATAGTAATTTTAAGAAAAAGGAATAAAGTTGGATTTTTCACATTTCCTGATTTCCAAGCTACGGTAATCAAGACATTGTAGTACCAACATCAGGATAGACATAGAGATCAATGAAATAGAATTGAGAGTCTAGAAACAAATCCTTACATTTCTGGTAATTTTTGTTTTTGCAAGAGTGACAAGACAATTCAACGGGAGATGGGTATTAATTTCAACAAATGGTGCTAGGACAACTGAATATTCACTTGCAAAATAATGAATTTGGATCCATACCTCACATTATACCCAAAACTTAACTAAAAAAGGATCAAAGACCCAAATATAAGAGATAAAACTATGCAATTCTTAGAGGAAAACATAGGCATAAATCTTCATGGCCTTGAATTAGTCAACAGTTTCTTAGACTTATCAACAAAAGCATAAGTAACAAAAGAAAAAATAGATAAATTGAACTTCATCGAGATGAAAAACTGTTGTGTTTCAAAGGGCACTATAAAAAAGTGAAGACAGCCCACAGAATGGAAGAACATATTTGCAAGTCATATATCTGATAAGAGCCCAGAATATGTAAAGAACTCACAGCTGAAGAATAAAAAGACAATAGCTTAATCACAAAACGAACAAAAATTTGAATAAACATTTCTCCAAAGGAGACATACAAATGAGCACATGAAAAGATGCTCAACATCATTAACCATTAGGGAAATATAAATCAAAACTACAAAGAGACACCAGCTCTTACTGTGAGTTGAATTGTGTCCCCCAAATAGGTATGTTGACCTTCTCACCCCTGGTACTTGTGAATATGACCTTATTTAGAAATAGGGTCTTTGCAGAGGTAATCAAGGCAGGATGAGGTAATACTGGATTGGGGTGGGCCCTAATTCAATATGACTGGAGAAGAGACACAGGGGAGAATGCCATGTGATGAGTCAGAGATTGGAGTGACATGCATCAGTAACCCAAGATATGGTTAGGATTACTAGGAACACAAGAAATAAGGGAAAGTCATGGAACAGCTTTTTCCCCTAGAGCCTCCAGAGAAAGCATAACCCTGATGGTGCCTTGATTTTAGGCTTCTAGCCCCAGAACTGTGAGAGAATAGATTTCTGTTGCTTTAAGCCACCTAGTTTGTGGTAATTTGTTACAGCAGCCCTAGCAAACGAATGCACCACTTCATACCCACTATGGTGGCTATAGTATTAAAAAGCTAGACAATAACAAGCGTTTGTGGTGATGTTAAATGGTACAGCCACTTTGGGAAACAGTTTGACAGTTCCTCAAAAAGTAAATATAGCCAGGCGATGTGGTGTATGCCTGTAGTCCCAGTTACTCAGAAGGCTGAGGAGGGAGGATCGCTTTAGCCCAGAAGTTAGAGTCCAGCCTGGACAACATGATATCCCATCTCTCTCTCTCTCTCTCTCTCTTTTTTTTTTTTTTTTTTTTTGAGACAGAGTTTCATTCTATTACCCAGGCAGGAGTGCGGTTGTGCCATCTCGGCTCACTGCAACCTTCACCTCCTGGTTCAAGCTATTCTCCTGCCTCAGCCTCCTGAGTAGCTGGAATTACAGGCACCCACCACCACAACCAGCTAATTTTTGTATTTTTATTAGAGATGGGGTCTCTCCATGTTGGCCAGGCTGGTCTCTAACTCCTGGCCTCAGGTGATCCGCTTTTCTTAGTCTCCCAAAGTGCTAGGACTACAGGCATGAGCCACTGCGCCCAGCCTGATACCCCATCTCTTAAAAACAAAACAAAACAAAACATAGAATTACCTTATGACCCAGTAATTCTAAGTATATATCCAAGAGAGAGGAAAATGTATGTCTACATAAAAAATTGTAGCTGTCTGTTTATAACAGTGTTAATAGGCAAAATGTGAGAACAACCCAAATGTTCATCAGTCTATGCGTTGTAGACAAACAAAATGTGGTTTAGCCATACAATGGAATATAATTTAGCAATAAAAAGAAATGAAGTACTAACTCACGCGACTACATGGATGAGCCTTGAAAATATTATACTAAGTGAAAGAATGGAGTCACAAAATATCATAGACTGTATGATTCCTTCAATATGAAACGTCCAGAATAGGCAAATCTGTGAAGGCAGAAAGTAGATTTGTGGTTGCCTAAGGCTGGGGTTGGGGGATGGAGAGTGACTGCTAATGAGTATGGGATTTCACTGGGAGAGGGGTGATGAAACTGTTATAAAATTAGATAGGGATGATGGTGGTATAACTCTGTGAATATACTAAAACCCACTGACGTGTACATTCCAAATGCGTGAATTTTATGATAGGTAAATTATATCCCAGTAAAGCTACTACAAATAAGAGTCCATTTTTTTCTGTGGGTACTTATTATTTTAGCTGTGTTGATCTCACTCTGCTGTTTCCCAACTCAGATCTTTACACATGGTGTGCTGGGAATGCTCCTCCCAATTTTGTCTACCTGGCAAATTCTCACTTATTCAACACTCAGCTTCCACATTAACCCTCCTGTGAAGCTTTTGTGCTCCCAGGAGAGCAGCACTTTTCTGCATTGCCTCTTTATTTGGTACCTGTGTAAAAACAGTTGCACATTTTTTACTCTATGGACAGTCTTTGTTTTCTTTTTGCTCGGCTCTTTTCTGTGGATGGTGTTCCTCCCTGCGGACAAGTAACGTGTCTTACCACATTTGCATCTATCCTGGGTGCTCATCATTCTGCCTGACACATATCAGGCACTCAATAAGTACTTGTTAAAATTAAACAGAATAATTTGAAAGCATTGGAACAAAGCTCAAGAGTAAACAGCAAAGAAAGGGTTACCCAAGGTTCTGTTCATGAACAGCATTTCCTAATTAGACTGCTAAGAATGTGGTAATAATATGGCATTCAAGGCACTTGCAGTTATAAAAGCTCTCAGATCTACCCTTCTATCACCCTAGCTATACTTCCAAAACCAGCTAGCTTTTTGATTTCATTCCTTCTTCCCTCCTACCTTGCTTCCCCTCCTCCTCTCTCTCTTTCTTTTTATTTATAAGCCAACATATGCATATTTGTTCCTATTTAAAATTTTTCTGACTTTCCATTTTGAAGTAATTTTAGGCTCATAAAAATATCACAAAAATCAAATAATTCTCATATGCCCTTCACCAACTCCCCAAATGTTAACATCTTATAAAACTACAGTACAATGAGCAACACTAGGAAATTAACATTTATGAATTACTATTAACTAACTTACTGACCTAATTCAAATCTTGCCAATTGTTCCATTAATGTTCTTTTTCTGGTCCAGGATCCTATACAAGATCAGAGTCATGCCTTCTTGATCTCCTCCAATCCTCCAATCTGAGGCAGTTTTTCAGTCATTCATAACCCTGACACATCTATGGAGTACTGGGCAATTATTTGAAAAATGTCCCACAATTTAACAAAGGCCTGTGGGACACTTTTGTAGGCATTATGCTAGGCTCTGAAGTGCTTTAGTTTAGGTTCAGTCTTTGCCCCCAGGAAGTTGATCTTATTGTGGAGAGGAGCTGAGATGCACAAATTAACAGATAATTACAATGCAGTATAGTAAATGCTATAATAACGGTAAACACTGAGTATGGGGAGGACCTCAGAAGGGGCAACCGGTTATGCCTTGAGGGACCTGGAAAGACTTCTTGAAAGAGATGACATCTAAACCAAGAACAGAAGCATGAGGAATGCTGACCCAGACAGAAGGTGGGGGCCCTAGAGAGAAAGGTGGTCCAGGCAAAATTTAATCCATCAAGTATAGCAGAATACTGCAGTCGTTTTAAGGAATAACCTAAATACTCCTTGTAAAAATCTTTATAATCAGGACCACATTTGAACACGTTGAGGAAATCTGCTTTGACCTTTTCTGTCTTGTCAGAGTTCATTTAAAAACCCTTGACATTCTGACATTCATCCTTGTGCTTTGGCAATTTTAGAAGTTCAGTTGATAAAATTGACTTTAAGAAGCACAATAAATGTGAAGCTAAAGAAGAAAAAACAATTTTTTAATTGAAGTGAATTAAGGCAGGTAAATTCCTAAGTACATGAGCCTCTGAAGAGTGTGATTAGGGATGATATAAAAGGAAATTAATTTATCAGAGGAACTCTGGCCTTGATCACTGCCAAGAAGCAATCACATAAATGTCATCATAAAATTAGATAAAATCATGCAATTGTGTAACCTTTTTGTATCTTATAGTACCCCATAGGAATAGTCCCCCTTTGGATACAACGGTTATAATAGGTTTGTGCAAGAGATAGCTGGCCAGACTCATTTAAAGCTGGGCATCAGCAGATTGACTGATGAACTGAAAGCCGCCATCACTCGGGTTCAAGAATTTTTGCATAGGAAACTTTGAATAAGATTCTTTTTTTTTTTTTTTGAGATGGAGTCTTGCTCCATCACCCAGGGTGGAGTGCAGTGGCACGATCTCCACTCACTGCAACCTCCGCGTCCCGGGTTCAAGAGATTCTCCTGCCTCAGCCTCCCTAGTAGCTGGGATTACAGGCACACAACACCATGCCCAACTATTTTTTGTATTTTTAGTAGAGATAGGGTTTCGACATGTTGGCCAGGCTAGTGAATAAGTTTCTTGGCTGTGATTTAGAAACAAATTATTATTTAAGGATGGGTCTATAGGTAAACTGTATACCTAAAGTGGAAAACTTCCCTCTCAGCCCCTTCCTCCTCTTTTTCTTCTCCATTTTCTCTTCTGGTAACAGCCTTTCTCTGTCTTACTCTGACTGTCAAAACTTGACCAAACCTAATTATTCGTGTCTTTGGCCACTGTGATTGGCTTGAAGGTAGGAACAATACTTTGGCAGGACCAATCAGAGCTTTTTGCTGGGATATTTCAAACTGATTCTGGAAAGAGAAGCCACCTTGCTCTCTAGCTGTGGAGTTAGATGAATAGGAATCTGGAAGCCATGACTAGCTGTATATCACTTATATGTTGGGAAAGATCTGCATCCAATGTGTGAGAAAAATAGAGAAAAGAGGCTGAGAGAGAGGTCTGATAGCATTGGCTCCGACCATTCTTTGATAGTATTACTTTTTTATTTTGTTTATTTTTTAACAGCTTTATTGGGATATCATTTGCATACCATACAATTCACTGATTCAAAGTGTACAGTTCAATGATTTTTACTACATTAACAAAGTCATTAACCACAGTCGACCTTAGAATATTTTCACCCCCCAACCCTGCCAAAAAACTGCTGTACCCATTAGTAGTCACTCCTCATTTCTCCCCAACCACCTCAGCCCTAGGAAGCCACTAATTTACTTTTATTTATGCTTTTTTTCTTTTTTCCCCTTTCTTCCCTCCCTTTCTTCCTTCCTCCCTTCCTTCCTTCCATCCTTCCTCTTTCTCTCTTTCCTTTCTTTCCTTCCTTCCTTTCTTTCTTTCTCTCTTTCCCTTCCTTCCCTTCCTTCCTTCCCTCCCTCCCTCTTTCTTTCTCTTTCTTTCTTTCTTTCTTTCTTTCTTTCTTTTCTTTCTTTCTTTCTTGTCTCACTCTCTTTCTTGTCTCACTCTCTTTCTCTCTTTCTCTTTCTTTCTTTTTTTCTTGTCTCACTCTCTCTCTTCCTCTTTCTTTCTTTCTTTCCTTCTTTCTTGTCTCTCTTTCTTGTCTCATTCTCTTTCTCTCTTTCTTTCTTTCTTTCCTCACTCTTTCTCTTTCTTTCTCTCTCTCTCTCTCTCTCTCTCTCTGTCTCTCTCTCTCTCTCTTTCTTGTCTCACTCTGTTGCCCAGGCTGCAGTGCAGTGGTACAATGATGGCTGACTGCAGCCTCGACCTCCCAAGATCAAGTGATCCTCCCACCTCAGCCTCCCAAGTAGCTCAGACTATATGGGTACCACCATGCCCAGCTAATTTTTGTAGTTTTTTGTAGAGATGGGGCTCCACCACATTGCCCAGGCTGATCTCAAACCCCTGGGCTGAAGTGATGCACCTGCCTCAGCATCCCAAAGTGCTGGGATTACAGGAGTGAGCCACTGTGCTCCAGTGATTTTCTTATCTTTGACATGGCATATAAATATAGTGGTCTACCATGTGGTCTACCATGACTGGCATCTTTCACTTAGCATGCTGTTTTCAGAATTCATCTCTCTTGAATCCTGTAGCTGTACCACATTCCTTTTTATGGCTGAATATTTCACTGTATGAAAGACAATTGGATTTGTATCACTTTCTGGCTATTCTGAATATGCTGCTGTGAACATTTGTGTACAAGTTTTTACATAGACATATGTTTTCATTTATTGTGGATATATACCTAGCAGTGGAATTGCAGGCTCATACAGCAAGCCAGTTTAGTTTTTAAGGAACTGCCAAGCTGTTTCCAAAGTGGCTGCACCAGTTTGCATTTCTATCAGCAATGTATGAGTCTTCCAGTTTCTACACAACTCTGCAAACACTTATTATTGTCTATCTTTTTTATTATAGTCATCCTAGTGGGTGTACAGGGCTATCTTACTAGAGTTTTGATTTGCAGTTCTCTAATGGCTAATGATGTTGAACATCCTTTCAGCTGCTTATTGGCGATTTGTATATTTTCTTTGGAAAGGTTTCTACGCAGATCATTTGTCTATTTTAAAATTTAGTTATTTGTCTTTTAAAAATGAATAGACTTTATTTTTTGAACAGTTTTAGATATACAGAAAAATTGAGTGGGCTTTTCATTTTTTTATTACTGGTTGTAAGAGTTTTTTAAAATAGAATTTAAATACAAGTCACACATCAGATATATGATTTGTAAATACTTTTTTGCATTTTGTAGGTTGTCTTTTCACTTTCTTGATATTCTCCCTTGGAGCATTACAGTGGTAAATTTTGAGAAAGTTTATCTATTTTTGTCCTTTGTTATTTGTGCCTTTGTATAGCCCCAGGTCACAAAGACTGAATCCTATATTTTCTTCTAGGAGTCTTATAGTTTTACCTCTTACATTTAGCTCTATGATCCATTTGGAGTTAATTTTTGTATATGGTATAAGAGAAGGAAGATTCTTTTGCCTGTGGCTATCCAGTTGTCCCAGAACTATTTTTTGAAAAGACTGTTCTTCCCCATTGAATTGTCTAGGCACCTTTGTCAAAAATTGACTGAACTTGAATGTAATAGTGTATCTCTGGACTCTCGATTCTATTCTCTTTAATTCGTATGTCTATCCTTACGTATATTTCTTTTTTTATTCACTGTTTTCCCCTGTGCTGTTTTGGAATGATACCATTTATTATATTGGTTATTATAGAAGTTTAATTATATATATTTAACTGAACAAAATCTAAAGTTACATAATAACTTAATCTCGTGTTGAATAATACAAGTCTTTCTAATGATTTAATTTGGATCATACTGCCCCCTTTCCTGAGTTGTTTGTTATCCCATATCTTAATTTTGTCCTTTTCTTTTTCTAAATTCATAAATTAGACATTATTGCTGTTGTCGTTATTATTTAAACAGATAGTAATTGGATACATCATTACCATTTTATTTTCTCACTATTCCTTCTCCTCTCTCAGAATAGCATTTTATAGAGTCATTTTTATTGTTCCCAAAGTACCTTCTTTTATTATTCCACTTTCATTCTTGAAAGATAATTTTGAAAGGTACACAATTCTAGATTAAGAGTTTTTTTCCTTCTCTCAGTATTTGAGATAAATACTAGCTCCTGGCTTTTATTATTGATATTAGGAAATCTACCATCAGTTTAATTGCCACTCCTTTTTAATCTCTCTTTTTTCTCTGACTGGTTTAAAGATCATTGTCTTTGCTGTTTTGCATTTTTACATGATGTGTCCAAGCATGAATTTCTTTTTATTTACACTTTAATTCCAGAAAAATTCCAGCCACTCTTTCTAAAAATTTATTATTTGATTCTCTCTAATCTTTCTTTCTGGGACTACAATTAAACACTTAGAACTACCTTACATAAGATACAAAAATAGTTTGAATTAAGTCTTAAATATGAAAGGCAATTTAAAAACTTTTTTAGGAAAATATTTTTATGACTTCAGGGTAAGGGAGAATTTCTTGAACAAGACATAAAGCACAGACTTAAAGGAAAATATTAGTGAATCTCACTATATTAAGGTTAAAAAAATATCTGGACACAGAAGAACACACCATTTGAAATATAAAACATTTTTTGTTTGGTGTCATTATGAACTTGTGAATTTAAACACATAAATTATATTTTAATCCTTTAATTATTATTCTTCTGAATGTTCAAACTACCTTCTTTGGTCAGTGGAAAACTCAGGTTGACTCCTGAGCACTGTTGATGCAACACTAGCAGTTTTTATAGCTTTGTCACTTTCAGTTATGATGTTGTAGACTTATTCCATATATTTATTGTTCCAGATTAGGAGATAGCCATTTATTTAAGTATCCTTAGTTTGTTCAGTAGTAAACAATATTTAGAGCTCACAACCTGTTCTTCCTTGTAGGACTATAGGAAATCAATTTATGATGTTGAAAATGGTTAAAAGAAAAATAGCATTTGTTTTGTCTTTCTTATTCATATATTGGTGCTTGTGCTTGTACTTGTACCAATATATGAGGTACTTGCACATCAGGGTACCAATAGCTCATTAGAAGAAGTTTTTCTGTTTTTTAATAGAAGTGTTCCAGCTAACAAATGAAGATGGATTGATAGCATTAGAATATCACCATTTTGCAAGCCTTAATGAATGAATGGAACTGGGCAATGATCATCAAGAGCTGCTAACATCTCACAAGGAGAGCCAGGTAGAAGTTATGTATCTCTTGATAGACTTACACTATATAATCAATGAAATACTTTATTTTATTTATTTTTTATAGAGATGGGAGTCTCACTGTGTTGCCTAAGCTGGTCTTGAACTCCTGGGGCCAATGACCCTCATGCCTCGGCCTCTTGAAATGCTGAGCTTACAGGTGTAAGCCCACCATGCCCAGCTCAAAACCATCAATGAAGTAATTTTGCCAAAAGAGTTGAAGTTCAATCTATTTAGGGATCTCAATTTAACTACCAATTTATAGAAAATACAGGGGACAGAGGAACATGCTACACTACAACCACATAGACTCAAACAACAAAATTCCAATCTTAGAAACTGTGCAGGACAAAAACCTGGCTTTATCAACAATAACAAAACATTTCAAAAAATAAAAAATAAAGACTGGGCGCGGTGGCTCATACCTGTAATCCCAGCACTTTGGGAGGCTGAGGCAGGCGGATCACGAGGTCAGTAATTTGAGACCAGCCTGACCAACATGGTGAAACCCCGTCTCTACTAAAGATACAAAAATTAGCCGTGCATGGTGGTGTGCACCTGTAATCCCAGTTACTCAGGAGGCTGAGGCAGGAGAACCACTTGAACCTGGGAGGCAGAGGTTGCAGTGAGCTGAGATCATGCCACTGCACTCCAGCCTGGGCAATAGAGCGAGACTGCGTCTCAAAGAAATAAAAATAACAATAAAAATAAAGAGGAGAGAGAGATATAAAGAGGTAACCTATAGATGAAAATGTACTTAAAAGACATATCAACCATTTATAGTGGTTATTGGATATTGATTGTTGAACATTGATGGTAATTAGTTGTTTGGATATGGACTCAAATTGTAAAAACATTTATAAAGCAATTGTGAAAATTTGAACATGGAATAATTTGATTACACTAAGGCGCTGTCTTTTTACATATTACTAGGTTGATGATGGTATTATGGTTTCAGTTTTACAGAGTTCTTAACCTCAGAGATTCATAGGAAGTGACATGATGTCAGAGAATTTTCCTCTAAATAACCTAGTGTGGGGGGATGTGGGTGGTGATATAGATGAAGCAAGATTGACTATGAGCTGGGTGATGGTATGTTGGGATTCATTATATTATTCTATTTTGTATATGATTGAAGATTTGCATAATAAGATTTTTTAAAAGTGAAGAGACAATCTACCACCTGGGAAGAGATACATTTAATGCCTAGAATTAAAAAAATTAATATCAAGTATATATTTTAAAAGTTTTTTATATCAATAAGAAAAAGGCCAAAACCCCAATTTAAAAATTGGGCAAAGAATATGAATAGGTAGTTCACAGAATAAGAAGCTCTAACAATTATAAAAATATTAAAAGATGATAAGCCTTAGGTTAATCAGGAGAATGCAAATTAAAACCACATTGAGGCATCTTTACACAACTATTAGTTTGGCAAGCATTAAAATGCTAGATGGCACTACATGTTGGAAACTGTAGAAAAGTGGGAACTGTCCCTTGTTGTGGTAGAAATTAAAATGTTTATATCTACTTTAGAGACCAACTGGGTAATAGGTAGTAAGTCTGAAAATTTGCATATTTCCCAGCAATGAAAAATTGCAAGACATATGTCTTCCTAAGCCTTCTGTAAAGATGGGATGCAGGTGTTTTACTCAGTCTGCCAAACAGATACAGCAGCTCCAAATTGTATGAAGTGTGAAGATAGTATTAAAAAGTAGGAACCCAGCAGAACCCCTGTAGTGAATGTGGCAGCAGTGATGGCACCTAGGTACAGTTTCTGGAGGCAGCAATGATGACAGTGCAGGAAACAATACCACCACCCAGCATATGTCATTTCAGAAATATAAGTTGCAGGAACTGTACCCATAAGCAGTGCAGCATCCACATTAGTCAATTCCATTCATATTTGGGTGGTTCTCAAGCACTTCCTGAGATTCTGTAAGCTATCCAACATCCTTTAAAAAAGAATTTTTCTTGTTTGAATGATCCATAATGGTGTTCTCTTGCTTATAATTAAGAATTTTGATGATGTGAAAAGCAATTTGGCGATATCCATTAAACTTGAGGATATGCATACCCTGCAACTCAGCATTTCCACAGTTACATGTACACTTTATGGCAGCATTGTCCAATAGAAGTTTCTATAATAATGGCTGTGCCATCCATTGTGCTAGCCACTAGCCACATGTGGCTACTGAACACTTGAAATGTGGCTAGTGGGCTGACCACGGTGGCTCACACCTATAATACCAGCACTTTGGGAGGCTGAGGCGGGTGGATCACCTGAGATCAGGAGGTTGAGACCAGCCTGACCAACATGGTGAAACCCTGTCTCTACAAAAACACAAAAAATTAGCTGGGCATGGTGGCGGGTGCCTGTAACCCCAGCTACTTGGGAGGCTGAGGCAGGAGAATCACTTGAACCTGGGAGGCAGAGTTTGCAGTGAGCCGAGATTGTGCCATTGCCCTCCAGCCTGGGCGACAAGAGTGAAACTCTGTCTCAAAAAAAAAAAAAAAAAGAGAGAGAGAGAGAGAGAGAGAAGGGCTATCATGTTGCCCAGGCTGGACTCTAACTTCTGGGCTAAAGCGATCCTCATACCTCAGTCTTCTGAGTAACTGGGACTACAGGCATGCACCACATCGCCTGGCAACAAGAGTGAAACATTGTCTCAAAAAAGAAAGAAAAAGAAAGAAAGAAAAGAAATGCAGCTGGTGTAATTGAGGAATTGAAATTTTAATTTTATTAAGTTAATTAATTTCAATTAGTTGTATTTAGTTGATTTTAATTAATTTAAATTTAAGTAGCCTCATGTGGTTAGTGGCTACTTTACTGAACAACACAACCCTCGCAAAATGCTTGCCCACATTCACTAAGATGCTCATTGTAGCAATATCTGTAGTCATAAAAAAATCAGGCCGGGCGCAGTGGCTTACGCCTGCGATCCCAGCACTTTGGGAGGCCGAGGCAGGCGAATCACGAGGCCAGAAGATCGAGACCATCCTGGCTAACACGGTGAAACCCCATCTCTACTAAAACAAAAATTAGCCGGGCGTGGTGGCGGGCCCCTGTAGTCCCAGCTACTCGGGAGGCTGAGGCAGGAGAATGGCGTGAACCTGGGAGGCGGAGCTTGCAGTGAGCAGAAATCGTGCCACTGCAGTCCAGCCGCAACAGAGCGAGACTCCCATCTCAAAAAAAAAAAAAAAAAAAACCAAATCAGAAAAAGCCATATTCACACACAAATATGAGAAAGCAGTCAAAATGAATAAATTGAGTTTGTATTATTGACATAGGTAAATCTAAAGAATACAATTTGGAGGGAAAAAGAAGCTGCTTTTATGGAGGGAAAATTTTGGGTCGGGGGACAAAGCAAGCTATGTTATGATATGATGTGACATCACTTTACATAAAGTCGAAGTAAACACATTGTTATTCATTATGTTGTTTATTGATTTTAAAATGTAGTAACATTTTAAATGACATAGAATTGAAAGACTCACACTAAAGGAAAATTTCCCTCTGTTAAGGGAGGGGAGAGAATTGGAGGTCTCCAACTGTATAAAGTCTAAGATTTGTTACAGCTGGGGTGAGTACACACTAATTTCTTTTATTATTATTGAAATTTATGTATATATAATATATGAAAATTTATATGAAATATTAAAAAATGTATACATATGTATATATCCTCTTGTACACTGAGAAACAGACTAGGCTGCCTCTTCAGCCTCCTTTCATTTTATTGATTATAAGGATCATCTGTCCACCCAAATCTATCTTCTTTCATAATAACATCCCATTTCCCAGCCCTCATTGCAGCTAGATGTGTGTGTGTGGCTAAACTTTTGTCAATGGAAGGTAGGTGGAGGTGATGTGAGCAACTTGCCTCTCACAAGTTCCTGGCCCTGGACTTCCAGGCTTCTGCTGTCTTGAGGCTGGAATGGCAACAACCAAAGTAATTTTGGCAATCACACGTGGAAGCAGGAGGGCTGTCACCAGCCTCAGTCCCCGAATGGCTACGTGGAACAGAGGCTGCCTCCCTACCTGTGACTGCTATCTGAGAGAGAAATCAACTCCCATGTTTCTTAAGCCTTATTATTGTTCAGTCTTATGGCCGCTTCTTTGGATATGTAATCATCTCTCTTTTTTTGTTTTCACTTACTGTGTTCAAAATTAGTTTCTGATACTTTCCTTGTTCACAGTGTTTATTATTCTACTAAGAGATAAGAAATAGGTATAAAATAATAGTATTTTTCACCCCGTTATAGAACGTAAGGTATGATACGTTTTTACAACTGCCAGACATACAGTGGAGGGAGAGTGAGTAGAAAAGATAGTACTAGTAACATTTTCATAGTAGTAAATAGGATAGTGAGGATAATCATAGGATAGTGAGTAGAAGACAATACTGGTAACATTTTCATAGTAGTTATAATTTATAAGAATTTCACACATGACACATGTGGGCCTGCCTCTAGTTCAAACCTCTCATCCATAGATAAATAAACCATGGCCCAAAGTTGTTGTACTTGACTAAGTTCACACTGTGAGTTAGTGGCAGAACCTCCTGGTTTATTTCCTGTCCCATCTCTCAGCTCCTTATACTGCCTCCCTTGCTTGGAAAGGAACTTAGAGATAATTTGGTTGATATATGATGCTTACATTCTAACCACAGTAATTTATTGAAACATAAGGAGAAGATACACACATTCCTGATAATTCATAAATTTGAGTCATTCTGAATGTTCACTTACACACATGTTAGAGGGATAAACTCAGAACTAGTAAGAAGTTTTGGGACACAGTAATAAGTCTGACTATAAATTCTAGTGTACTGACTTGAAGCTGAAGTGATATTTTTTGTAGTAGAATTTGAGAATTCACTCAAATTCTAAGGCAATAACTCTCCAACTTTTCCCTTGAAGTTTGCTAGTGACCAGCCCTTTGCATAGAGGCCAAGGTGAGAGAGGGATTCCAGGTGTAAACTCTAAACTTCCTTGCTCATGAACAAAATTGATTTGAAGGATTGTATTTTACTTTAAAAATTCATGCTGATTTCTGTGTGCTCCTCCACAATATGGCTGTAATTGCTTTAATATAAAAAGATAATTTAAATCATCAGTTAAATTTCTTAATTACTCCTTCAAAATCTTTGTGGAAACTTGATACCTCATTTGTCCTGGGTCCAAATACACTTCCTCATGTTCTCAAAGGCACAAGTTTCCAATTTTTATAGTCATTAAACTGAGATATTTGGCATGAGACTGCTTGATGATCTTCATTCCAGAGTATTATCTCTCCCTCACCCACCTGAGATTCAGGTCAAAGTTGTCCAGAATTAAAAACTTTCTGCAGGGGTTGTTTAAAAATTGGGACTAACTATACGCCCATAAGAGTCTAGAAACTTTTTTTTTTGGTAGAGGAGGAGGCCAGCGGGTTGCATTTTGACCGGGTAGAAGAATATGGACCATTGAACATTAGTACTAGAAGCGCTGGGAGAGATTATTTAATGCATAGTATTGATTTATAGATGAAGAAACTAAAGCCCTGATAGATCATAGTTCTTGTCCCAAACTACGAAATTGGCTAAGTATTAATATTTATTCCTTGATTAATAGTTAGTTAGGATATCTCTTGCCCACATTCTGTATTATTATGAGTTATAGAATGTAAAGTGGCCATCAGCTGTTTCCAAAGTTATCAAGAAGTTGTTGAACATTTATAGTTTCTTCACTCTTCAAGATGGTCATTACAATTGGGATGGCATTTTTGTAGATGAGTTTATTATCCTTTTGTACTTGAAATGCTATTTCAAATCAATGTCATTTTTTTTTTTTTTTTTTTTTTTTTTTTTTTTTTTTTTTTTTTGAGATGGAGTCTCGCTCTTTCGCCCAGGCTGGAGTGCAGTGGCACTATCTTGGCTCACTGCAAGCTCCGCCTCCTGGATTCACACCATTCTCCTGCCTCAGCCTCCTGAGTAGCTGAGACTACAGGTGCCCGCCACCACGCCCAGCTAATTTTTTGTATTTTTAGTAGAGACGGGGTTTCACCATGTTAGCCAGGATGGTGTCGATCCCCTGACCTTGTGATCTGCCCACCTTGGCCTCCCAAAGTGCTGGGATTACAGGTGTGAGCCACCACGCCTGGCCAAATCAATGTCATTTAAAGCAATATCCAACACCATCTAATTAGCATTCCTGAATTATAAAATAAATTGGCCAGGTACAGTGGCTCACACCAGTAATCCCAGCACTTTGGGATGCTGAGGCGGGCAGATAACCTGAGTTCAGGAGTTTGAGACCAGCCTGGCCAACATGTTGAAACTCCATCCCTACTAAAAATACAAAAATTAGCCAGGCATGGTGGCGGGTGCCTGTAGTACCAGCTATTTGGGAGGCTCAGGCAGGAGAATTGCTTGAAGCCGGGAGGCGGAGGTTGCAGTGAGCAGAGATTGTGTCATTGCACTCCAGCCTGGGCGACAAGAGCAAGACTTCATCTCAAGAAAAAAAAAAAAAAGAAAAAGTAATTATTTAAGTAGAAATAACATGTGATGCCATATTTCAAAGGCCTAGAGCAGAGGTTGGCAAACGCTTTCTGTAAAACATTTACAGATAGTAAATATTTTAGGTTTTGTAGATCATACAGTCTTTGTTGAAATTACTCAACGATGCCATTATAAAGTGAAGGCAGCCATAAATTATACGCAAAAGAATGAGCATGAATATGTTCCAATAGAACTTTATTTACAAAACAAGGCAGTGGGCTGAATTTGGCCTTCAGGCTGTGGTTCTCTGACCCTGGCTAAGGGTCCTGTATTTTATAGATTTTAAGTAATGTTTGTATATATAAAGTGATGCTTGCTTTAAAAATGCTTACTTTAAAAATGCAGATAATCTTTTGTTTGGTTAGTTTTATTTTTCTTTTAAATAGCCCTTACATATTTAACTAAAGTGAATGTAAATATAAGTGACAGGGTAGTTCTAGAGATATGTATGTGGTCTGGCAAGAGTTCATATAATATGACTCATCTCAGTTACCTCATCTGTAAAATGGCATACGACATAATCCTTATTTAATTGCTATTTCCAAACTAGTGAACTTGGGGATGATAGTAGGATGCACTAAAGACATGCCAGGCATACTATTTATTTAGTGATGAGTTTGTTATATGTATCTGCTTCTTTATTTTGTACCTTGAGAATGCCAAGTTTCTATGCCAGCCTCTTGTGTGGCCTTCTGTGAGTTATTTCTGCTCCTTTATCTGAATGATAAAGAATGATGCTTACCTGCATCTTATGGGTGTGGCATGGAAATCTCTAGGGATTTGCCAAATGTCATCTAGCACTTAAATGCCGTTGGAAATTGGACATGTCCGCACACTTTAATTGTTGCGTACTGATGACTACCAGGCCTCAGTCTTGTGGCTTTCCATCAGACAACCTGAGAAGGGAGATAAAAACAAAAGAAAACTAACAAAGCAGAAAAAGAAAGATGATAAAAGGTAAGGATAATGGCTGAGTGGATAATGGCAGGAGACATCTTTAGCTACCATGAAAAGTATTAAGCCAATGTGTTTGTTGAATTCATTTTGCTGGTGGTCACTTTGTGTTCATTCTGAACATCCAGCAGTTAGCTAAGTAAAGACACATGACTGATGAAAGAAGAAAGGGAACTATTTTTACAGGGGCCATTAAACTTTAACTACCATCTGGCAGGGAATGATTAGAGAAGATCAAAATTAAGGCAGTCAACACAAATGCTGTGTGAATACCTCAGGGAATTAACATGGATAAAGACAGTGAACTTGTGGTTAAATAAAGAGACAGACATAAGAGGGAAGTGGTGAACACATCCTTTATAGCTTTGGACCTCATGGTCACATTCATTGCCAAAGGAGCTTAAAGGGGGAAAATAACAAGGAGGCCATGAGAAAATCTGAAACACCTGGAAATAATCAGATGCTCTGCACCAATCATAAAAAAGAAAGTTAAAGAACTACACAGGACCACATCGTTTGGGCTTCCTCCCTACCCAGGAAGGAAATGTTTATAGGAGAGGTGTGTTGAAATTGGCAGGTAGTTAATATTCAGATTAGCCTACTATTTAAAAGTAGGAAGTGGTTGTATATACTGCTGAGAAAAACATTAGGAACTATATCCTTGTGAACACTAAAGACTCCATAATTTCTAGGAATCACTGCTTGCCCACTAATTAAACAGTCACCCAGCAGGTAGTTTGAGAGAGGATATGAAAAAGGGAAGTGCGGCCTTACTCTTGCAGGGGTGCGTCTCTGTCTTCCATCAGTTGATAGCACAATGCTTAACCCTAGGGCAGCTTCATCCTGCTAAAAGCACACATGAAAGATTCTTGGAGAAAGCTATTTTTTTAAAAAATGTAGCTTATTTCTGTATTCAGGTGGACTCAGAGGCCAACCTTCAGAACTTCTAAAGAGGAACCATGACAGGATAGCTGTGTTGGGTGGGCCATTTAGCCTGCTCTGGGTTCTGAAATAAGGATTCCCACCCTGAAAAAGTCCAGGGCTTTAAACTTTAATTACTAACGTGATCAAGACAAGTTTGGAACAATCAAACTGAAGCTAGTCCATTCCAGGTATCAAAATGGAAATGTCAGGAAGGAAGGAAGTATATGTTACCTGAATTCATTCACATGGGATTAACAATGTGTGGTTTCTCTATCACTGTGGTTTCTTCTTATTTAAGGATTTATTCTCAACCAGACGCAAAGTATCTTTCTATGTATTATCTCATTTAATCATCAACACTATCTTATGAGGTATGTATTATAATCCCCACTGTACAGAGAAGAAAACTAAGAACTAAGATATAGAGAGGTTAGGTAACTTGTCTAAGGGTAACGGCACATGGTTTACTAATGCTGGTGTCAAGATTCAAATCTAGGTCTTAGTTATAACTCTCACTCACCATTGAAAAACTTCCCTCCTGTGGCTGTACAGGGACCACAGTCCTAATGCAGTTTCCCCAGCATCATGGCCTCCACACTTTTCCCTTTTTGAAGGAGACTGGGCCTAATTTCCCTTTAGGGTAAGAGGGTTAAAGATAATATATATCTGGAATACTATGCAGCCATGAAAAGAATGAGTTCATGTCCTTTACAGGGACATGGATGAAGCTGCAAACCATCATTCTCAGCAAACTAACACAGGAACAGAAAACCAAACACCACATGTTCTCACTCATAAGTGGGAGTTGAACAGTGAAAACACATGGACACGGGGAGGGGAACATCACATACCCGGGCCTGTCAGCGGGTTGGGGGCAAGGAGAGGGATAGCATTAAGACAAACACATAATGCATGCGGGGCTTAAAACCTAGATGATGGGTTGATGGGTGCAGGTGATCACTATGGCACGTGTATACCTATGTAACAAACCTGCATGTTCTGCACATGAATCCCAGAACTTAAAGTATAATAATAAAACAAAATAATATATACCACCTAGGAAAGTGCTGGAGCAAACTTGCTGTGATCCCTCTGCAGCAGAAGGCAAAGGCTCCCCTGCACAACCAGGGAGACAGAGCCACACAGGACCTGGCAAGTCATCCCTACAAAGGCAAGAATACCTTACCCAGACTACTTCAAGGGCTTTTGCAGATGAAAATCAATGGAAAATAAAACAACAAATGTTTTCAAGCTTTGAATAATATTTAGTATAGTTTGATGATGGCAGATAAAAATATTTCCCTTATTTCTTATTTTTAGAATAAAACATTCTAGGGCAAAATTCTATTTTAATTAAAATTCAAGGAATGGCACAATTCATGCACATATACCCAATGTGCAAGAAAATGCAGTGTTTAAAAGGAAGATAATTCAAAGGTATGCCAGAAACCTCATCATTAACGCATTTCCTTCTGCCTTTGTACTTCTGGAATCTCTGAACATCTGGTAATTTTACCATCAGGAAACAGTGCAGTGTCCATCTGTTAAATCAGGCTTTGGCTTGATTCACCTGGGAGGATCAACCAGATGCGGGCGTCCTTTACATTATTAATGATTTCAGCCTTCCCTTTGTACGTGCCCTGTGAGGCCACAGTGTGGGGTACAACCTATAAATCACTAGAAAGTGAAGAAGTCATATTTTACTTCATTTTAGGCATAATGAAGAACACTTTAAAAAAAAAAGAAGTCAGAGCATAAACCATTAGAATCTATTTAAATTTTTGCCACCAAATGACTTTTAACTGTTTTTTTTTCTTTGACAGGAAAAGCATGATAAACATTACCTCAACACAAAAAATGATTCCCGGATGCTCTGACAGTGGATGCTAAGTGAGTCAATCGGGCAAAGGTATTCCCTAGATGTCTCATTTGGTGGCAGTCTATGTGATCTTACAACTTATTTACAAACAGCTTCATACAAAATTTCAGTCCAAGTCTTTCCTATCCCATCATAGTTACTAGTCATGCCCATAAGTTACAACGTCCCTGTGACAAAGCACTGACTTCAGTTGGGTTGGTGGCCTGAGAGAGCATGGCATAACGATGACATCCTGGGATCTGTCCATTATGACAGTGACCTTTGGTAAGTTACTCAATCTCTTCAAACCTCATTTCCTCCTCTGTGAAACAGAGATGCTGGTAATGATAGTACCTACTTTATAGGATTGTGTTCAGGATTAAATGTGACAAGGTGTATAACTACTTGACATATAGTAAGAAGGCAGCAAAGTTAGCTATTATTAAACCGTCACTCGGAGCAAACTGCTTATGAAAAGTTTTCTCAGCAAAATTGAGAGGAAGATGCAGATATTTTCCATATATCCCCACCCCAACACATGCAGTTTTCCTCTTTATTAAAATCCCCCCTCTGCCCAGAGTGGTGCATTTGATACAATCAACGGACCTACACTGACACATCATTATCACTCAAAGTCCATAGTTTACATGAAGGTTCACACTGTTGGTGGGATATACTCTATAGGTTTGGACAAATGTATAATGACATGTATCCACTTTTACAGCATCATACAGAATAGTTTCACTGTCCTAAAAATCCTCTGTGCTCTGCCTTTTCATCCCTCCTATCCCTCTTACCCCTGGCAACCACTGATCTTTTTACTGTCTCCATGGTTTTGCATTTTCCAGAATGTCACATGGTTGGAATCACATGGTATGTAGCCTTTCAGATTGGTTTTTTTCACTTAGTAATATGCATTTAATATTACTGCCTGTTTTTTCATGGCTTGATAGTTCATTTCTTTTTAGCATTGACTAATATTCCATTGTCTGGGCATATCACAGTTTATTATCTATACACCTACAGAAGGATGTCTTGGTTGCTTCCACGTTTTGGCAATTATGAATAAATCTGCTGTAAACATCCATGTACAGGTTTTCATGTGGATACAAGTTTTCACTTCATTTGGGTAAACATCCATGTACAGGTTTTCATGTGGATACAAGTTTTCACTTCATTTGGGTAAATACCAAGGATTGTATGGCAAGAGTATGTTTAGTTTTGTAATAAACTGCCAAGCTGTCTTCCAAAGTGGCTGTACCATTTTGCCTTCCCACCAGCAATGACTGAGAGTTCTGCTCAATTTTGCTATGCACCTGTATTAGTCCATTTTCACACTGCTGATAAAGACTAGGCAATTTACAAAAGAAAGAGGTTTAATTGGACTTACAGTTCCATGTGGCTGGGGAAGGCTCACAATCATGGTGGAAGGCAAGGAGGAGCAAGTCACATCTTACATGGATGGTAGCAAACAAAGAGAGAGCTTGTGCAGGAAAACTCCCCCTTACAGTAACTATCAGATCTTGTGAGACTTACTCACTATCACAAGAACAGCATGGGAAAGATCTGACCCTATGACTCAATTACCTCCCACTCGGTCCCTCCCACAACATGTGGGAATTCAAGATGAGATTCTAGTGGGGACACAGCCAAACTATATCATTCCACCCCTGGCCCCTCCAAATCACAAGTCCTCACATTTCAAAACCAATCATGCCTGCCCAGCAGTCCCCCAAAGTCTTAACTCATTTCAGCATTAACTCAAAAGTCCACAGTCAAAAGTCTCATCCAAGACAAGGCAAGTCCTTTCCAGCTATAAGCCTGTAAAATCTAAAGCAAGATAGTTACTTCCTAGATACAATGGGGGTATGGGAGTTGGATAAGTATAGCCATTCCAAATGGGAGCCATTGGCCAAAACAAAGGGGCTACAGGCCCCATGCAAGTCCAAAATCTAGCAGGGCAGTCAAATCTTAAAACTCCAAAATGATCTCTTTTGACTCCATGTCTCACATTCAGGTTATGCTGATGCAAGAGGTAGGTTCCCAAGGTCTTGGGCAGCTCTGCCCCCATGGCTTTGCAGGGTATAGCCCCCCTCCAGCCTGCTTTCATGTGCTGAAGTTGAGTGTCTTTGTCTTTTCCAGGCAAACAGTGCAAGCTGTAGGTGGATCTACCACTGCGGGGTCTGGAGGATGATGGCCCTCTTCTCACAGCTCCACTAGGCGGTGCCTCAGTAGGGACTCTGTGTGGGGGCTCCAACCCCACATTTCCCTTCTGCACTGCCCTAGCAGAGGCTCTCTGTGAGGGCCCCGCTCCTATAGCAAACTTCTGCCTGGGCATTTAGGCGTTTCCATCCACATTCTGAAATGTAGGCAGAGGTTTCCAAATCTCAATTCTTGACTTCTGTGTACCCGCAGGCTCCACACCATGTGGAAGCTGCAAAGCCTTGAGGATTGCACCCTCTGAAGCCATGGCTTGAGCTCTACATTGGCTCCTTTCAGCCATGGCTGGAGTGGCTGGGATGCAGGGCATCAAGTCCCTAGGCTGCACACAGCATGGGGAAACTGGGCCTGGCCCATGAAACCACTTTTTCCTCCTAGGCCTCTGGGCCTGTGATGGGAGGGACTGCCATGAAGACCTCTGACGTGCCCTTCCATTGTCTTGGGGATTAACATTCAGCTCCTCATTACTTATGCAAATTTATGCAGCCAGCTTGAATTTCTCCTCAGAAAATGGGATTTTCTTTTCTATCATATTGTCAGGCTGTAAATTTTCCAAACTTTTAGCTCTGATTCCCTTATAAAACTGAATGCCTTTAACAGCACCCAATTCACTTATTGAATTCTTTGCTGCTTAGGAATTTCTTCTGCCAGATACCCTAAATCATCTCTCTCAAGTTCAAAGTTCCAAAAATCCCTAGGGCAGGGCCAAAATGCCACCAGTGTCTTTGCTAAAACATAACAAGGGTCACCTTTGCTCCAGTTCCCAATAAGTTCCTTATCTCCATCTGAGATGACCTCAGACTGCATTTCATTGTCCATATCATTATCAGCATTTTGGACAAAGACATTCAACAAGTCTCTAGGGAGTTCCAAACTTTCCTACATTTTCCTATCTTCTTCTGAGCCTTCCAAACTGTTCCAACCTCTGCCTGTTACCCAGTTCCAAAGTTGCTTCCACATTTTTGGGTACCTTTTCAGCAGCACCCCACTCTATTGGTACCAATTTACTGTACTAGCCCATTTTCATACTGCTGATAAAGATATACCCAAGACTGGGCAATTTGCAAAAGAAAGAGGTTTAACTGGACTCACAGTTCCACATGGCTGAGGAAGCCTCACATGGCGGAAGGCAAGGAGGAGCAAGTCATGTCCTACATGGATGGCAGCAAGCAAAGAGAGAACCATCAGATCTTGGGAGACTTACTCACTGTCACAAGAACAGCATGGGAAAGACCTGCCCCCATGATTCAATTACCTCCCACCAGGTCCCTCCCACAACCCGTGGGAATTCCAGATGAGATTTGGGTGGGGACACAGCCAAACCATATCAGAACCTAAAGCTGTTCTAAATAAAAGGTACATTAAAAACTTTAAAAAAGAAGGTTTTCCCCTTGCAAAATGGTTTTCTTTCATGATATACTTGCTTTCATGGTTTGGATCAGTGGCCCCATGGTCATGGGCATGGCTAGCTTAATCATTCAAAGTTTCTAGTTCTTTGAATGTGTTGGTGACAATTATAGCATGATTATTACACTTGTGAACTCTTCTAGAGGTATTAATTTTAAGAACTATCACTGTCTTCTCAATGGCTGTTTATTGAGAGCTTCCCACACAACAGATCTTTACCAGAGGCTAAGACACATAGTGCAGGTCAAGATAGGAAAGTGGCATAGGATAATTCCCAACCTTCAGTATTGGATACTCTGTCATATACTTTGCATCCTAAATGTGTAAAAAGAAAAAGAACTTAAACACATATAAAATAATTTATATAACTCTGGCAGAAATGTAAACTTTTCCTCATTTTCTTCATGAGCATACTTTAATCTAGACAATCACATTTAACAGTGATAACCAATTCATGTCACTTCCAACCTCTGAGAGATATAAAAACTGGTCATTGAACATCTCTTTAAAAGTCAATATGAATAATGCGATAAGCCACCAGTTTTTCTGTTTGTGTTGTGTTGATTATTGTATTATATATGTTCTCAGCTCTTCACCCTCTCCCATGACCTGCAGACACATCTCACTGGGTTGTTGGCTTTAAGTATTTACTCTTTTCTCTTTCCCCCTCCCCTTTCTCTGATTTGTGATCAATTCCACTCCTGCCCTCATTCTGTTCTTGCCTCTGCCTGGGACACAACTGGGACATTCATCATCATTCTCCAGCTTCTCCAGGGCTGTACTGAATATCCAAGAGTTCATGTGGGGACCTCTCTACATTCCCCCCTTTCCAGAACTCCTCCCCTGCTTCTCAGCTCCCTTCCCCCACTTCTACTTCTTTTTTTGTTTGTTTGTTTTTAGACAGGGTCTCACACTGTTGCCCAGGCTGGAGTGCAGTGTCATGATCATGGCTCACTGCAGCCTTGACCTCCAAGATTCAAGCTATCCTCCTACCCCAGCCTCCCAAGTAGCTGGGACTACAGATGTGTGTAGCCACACATGGCTGATTTTTAAATTTTTTGTAGAGATTGGGTCTTGCCATGTTGCCCAGGCTGGTCTTGAACCCCTGGGCTCAAGTGTTCCTCCTGCCTCGGCCTCCCAAAGTGCTGGGATTACAGGAGTGAGCTACTGCTCCCAGACTCCACCCTTACTTCTTAGACCTCTGTTCCTTGTAGTTCACAGAGTCCCATCGCTGCTCATGAAGGTGGTACCTATGACTTGTATTTTAGAGCTTGGAAACCCCAACTCCCTCTATATGACAACGGAGAAGGGAAAAGATAGAGTCTCTGTGTTCTTCCAGGGTGGCAGCCAGAAGACTTACATCACTAGTACTTTTGCCCAATTTTCTGAACTCATTTTCCAAGAAAGATTGAGCCAAGCTATGTTTATTTTCTGCAGTGTTTGTAGATTCCATACTTTGTTTGGTTCATTTTTAATGGAAAATCTGTGGCTGATCTGATACACACTAATTCACAAGACAACATTAGAAACACAGCTTTTTACTAAAAAGGTATGCTGGTCACTAACAATATTTTATCCAGATTTTTCTGGATATAGCTATATTTGTGGGACCTTTATTTGATCTGAGTTGCATTCTATCAATCTAGTAACATATAGCTTTAGAGAGTGTTCTATAATTGGCCCTAGATTCAAATATATCTGCCCAATCATGAATTGGCCTTTGTCTTTTCATGTGGGTCAGTGGAGGGGAAGAGATGCAGAGAAAACTCTAAAGGTTGGATGCTGTCAGATTTGGGTCCTGTGTGGCCGCGGTCTCCTCAAACTCTTTTATGATTGGGCCATAGGTACTTTTGGGAGCACTTTCCAGATGCCCTGCAAACTATTACTAATCCAGTATTCCCAAATCCAGAATTTTACTTTCCCCCCAACCCCGAAGTCAGGCCAAACTCCTTTTTGTTTATGTAGCTAAAAACTAAATATGAGATTACGAAAAATAAGTGGACAATATTAGTCAGAATATTGTTTATATTTCTTCACTGAAAAAATACTCATTTACTGATACTGGCACACCAATATCTTAGTTATAAACATTAGCAAGTAAAAATATTAATTGAACTTGATCCCTAATATTTGGTTTATGATTTCATGATATAAAATATAAAATGTACTATTATTAAATGATAAATACTGACTCATAAAATGTAATTCAGATTTAGTGAACTATGGATTAAAACTGGAAACAATTTAAATATGATAATAATTCATATTTGAAATATTTTTCTCTATTTGTATATAAACAGAAATGGGTACGTAAAATGTGTCCTACACGTTAACCAGAAATAAAGCAAACTACTATAGAATGATACTGAACATACTTTGAATTTTTAAGGTTTTGATTGATTTTCATACATTTGGTAGTCTATTCATTATTTTGAAAAATCAGCCTCTACTTCAAGATATAAAAGAAAAAGCAAGCAAGAAGATAGGAACTCATTTAAATGAGGTAATTTCTGTTTTAACAAGTTTCTAAATAGAGATTGACCACTAAAAAATGGAGATTTCTAAGGCCATGAGAAGTACCTTTTCCATAAAGTAGTACCTTTATGGAAAATAATAACAATATTATTTATTGAGCACCTATTATGTGCCAGCCATGGTGTTAGATGTTTCATGTTAATTAATTTTGTCATATAATCCTCAATATAATTTTTTAAGATTGGCAAGTTTATCCAGAGAAACTGATGCTCAAAGAAATGAAGTAGTAGGATATAGCTTATAAACACCACAAAAATTTTGGTTAGCAGCATAGCACTTCCTTGCCTTGGAATTTACCTTCCCACTGCATTTACAGCTTTTCTTGAAGTCAGTTGAAGAGAACTACTTCCATAGCACAGCCAAGTGCAAATGCCTCCTTATTCACCTTCCCTGTTTCAGTATTACCAACCTCAGTCCATTTAGTACACAGCAGTTAGAGAAAGGTCTTTTAAAGCCATGCCACTTTCCTGCTTAAAACCTTTCAAAGGCTCCTCATTGCACTTTAGAAAACTCAAGTTAATGAGATCTTACAAGGGCCTGTGTGATCTGGCCCCAGCCCATCTCTAATGCCGTTGTAGTCACACTGCCCCTCACCTGCTCTGCCTCAGTCACACTGGGTTCCCTGGGTCCTGGGAATACCCAGGAATTCCAGAGCACTTTCTTTCTGTTCCCCCTTCTTGGAAAGCTCTGTATGTTTCTCATTTTGCAGACTGTGGCTTAAATGTCACCCCAGAGAGGCCTTCTCTATTTGACCATCAGTGTTCGCTACTCATTCCCTTCAGAGCATGTATAATCACTTGTAGTTGCATATTTATTTGTTTATCATTGGTATCACCCACAGATTGTAACCTACACATGGGGAGGGAGTACATACTTATGTATATTTAGTGCCTTGCACACAGTAGGAGCTCAAAAACACATGTGGAATGGATGAATGGGCTTATGAATGATCGGAGACTGAACAAGAAACTGAGAATTTGAAAGAAGAAAGCCCAGACCTTATATGACTTCAGGACAGTATAACAAAAGAGAGAGATTAGGATATTTGGGCCAAACTTGATGGATGACTCGGGATGAGTTCTTACACCTTATATTGAAAACAAACTAACCAAACAAACCCGATAAAGATGGCCACAGTATTTGCATCCCTCATAGGATTGTTATCTGGTTTAACCAACTATTAAATACTTGTTGTGTTATACTTCTTGATATTTTTATTCATCATAAGTTTCATGATTAAAACCTCAACACTTTGAAAAGTTAGGAAACTGGATCCTGAATGTCTTATGCTAACTTTCTTTTAGCCCTGTCTGTGCCCCAGGGGCCCAAAGGCTGTGACAAAAAAGCATTCTGCATAGAACATTTACACGCTTGATATAGTACACGGCACTTGCTAAGGCAGAAAGCCAGAGGTAATGAGCACTGTGAGAATTATGTGCAGATCTTCTTTGCAGCACTTCCCGACTGTAATTGAACTATCCTTCCTGATCCTTCAGGTGCTATCAGCATGATTTTCTGCAGACTTCAAAAAAATCCCTGAAGGGCCAAAGACACTTTCTTGGTGTTACAATCCTTATTTCAAGTGAAGCTAAATGTTTGGCTCCTGAGTATTAATACGTTTCAAGAAAAAGGAAATTCTGAGTTGCAATTCCTTCTTCCCCACCCCATACAAAAATGGAGAAATAGATCTTTACACCTGTTTATCTTCAAGGTAAAAGAAATGCATAATATTCAGCATTATACAAGAGTGAGAAGTGGAAATTTGGTTTTCCAACTTAAAAGCACAATATATTTTTGATTTGTGTTTTTATTCAACTGTTCTTTTTAAGGGGAGGTAGAAGGGAATTAATGTTCTACTAAAGAAAAAGTGCAATGTCAGCATATGAGTTCATATATGATCCTTTTTGACAATACACAATCTCTAAACCTAGTAGTGGAATACATAGTGCCTATTTAAAAGCAGAAATAGGGTTTTCTTTCACAAATGAAGACTATACGTTTCACTAAAACAATAGGAAGGTCCCCAGACTATGTCTTTGTCATAATCCATGCTTGTCTCAGACACTCTGTTAAGTTTATAGGCATTTTTTGACTTACATTAGCTTCTGTAAGTGTCTTGTATATTACCGGGAGTACAGAGACCATTTGGTACTTATGGCCTCAGCAAAGAGTCTGAGCATAAAATAAATAATGACAAAAATTCTGTCTTTTCATCTTCTGGAGTTGACTTAAACAGGATGAGGATATCTACCTATCTACACTTTGCACTTTGAAGATCTAGCATTTAGGTTTGTTTGCAATTTGTTCTTTCTCTATGTGTACTAAAAAATATTAGCTTTCTAAACATAAACCTCATTAGAGTATCCATTTACATACAAAATTCCCTAACAATAATGATGATCACTTTTTGAGCTCTTATTATACATCAATTTACAATTTACAATTACTTTACTCAGTGCTTATCACTATTCTCTGAAGTAGATGGTTATATCACCATTCTCTGAAGTAGTCTCTGAGTGAAGTAATTGTAAATTATTTCACTATTTCAAGTGTATATATGGGAATATAAATATTCCTATTAGTAAATATATAAAATAGGTGATATGGTTTGGCTGTGTCCGCACCCAAATCTCATATTGAATTGTAGCTCCCACAATTCCCATGTGTTGTGGGAGGGACCCAGTGGAAGGTAATTGAATCATGGGGGTGAGTCTTTCCTGTGCTGTTCTCATGAAAGTGAATAAGTCTCATGATATCTGATGGTTTTATAGAGAGGAGTTCCCCTGAACAAGTTCTTCTTGCTTGCTGCCATGTAAGATGTCCCTTGCTCTTCTACCATGTTTGTGAGGCCTCCCCAGCCGTGTGGAACTGTGAGTCAATTAAACCTAGTTTCTTTATAAATTACCCAGTCTCTGGTAGGTGTTTATCAGCAGCATGAGAACAAAATAATACAATAGGTATTTTTGTATATAGATATTTTTATTTTACTTTTGAAAAAGACTCAGAAGTGTGAAGAAACTTGTCAAGATCCTTCCTATATATTGGTTTAGTTGAGGCCTGGTTTTAAACCCAACCCAACTTTGTCCGGCTCTGAAAACTGGGCTCTTAGCCACCACATGATTCTGCTACCTTATCATCTATATGTTCCTATCTTTTCCTTTTCTTCCAGAATAAAAGAGAAAAGGGGAGGAAAAAAAACCCATTTTTTTCAGGCAAGGATTAATTTTTAATGACATCCTTTCCTGTGTTAAATGTGAAGTCTCTTTTGTCTCAATGCCAGTCAAGTATTTAGTTTTCAGTTTCTTTATACTATTTGTATTCAAAATATACTTGATCTTAAAAAAGTAGGGGAACACTTAATTTCATCTGTTTTCAGATTCCTGCCATTAATTTGGCACACATTCAAAATGGTTAGATGATTTAATTACTTATTATTTTTATGAGTTTAGTTATTCTAAAGTAGTTTCCAACCTGTGGATCTTAGTTTCTAGGAGTCTTTGAAGTTACTATGGTTAATCTGTGAGTAGATTTAAAATAGATTTTAAATACTGTCTCCCACATACATATATTGCTACTTTCCAAATAAATGTAGATGTTGTGATTAATTAATTGAAAGTTAATCTAAAATTAAATTAATCATTAACTTGGTAGTAGCTTTTCATCATTATATTGCTCCCTAATCAGCAGACACTAAAAGTTTAAAGACTTCCAGCAAGGAGTCCTCATACAAGGTGACTTCAAAAAGTTCATAGAAAATGCATATTATGAAAAAAAATACATGAATTTCAAAAAATTTTTGTGCCAAAATAAACTCGTAGTGACTTGTTATAACATGCCTGAACAGGATTTGGTTTGAGGCATTAAGAAGGATAAGATACCAGTTTGAAAAGAGCCCCTATTAGAGCAACATGACTTCTGCTAAAATTGAAGCAAGAACTAACATCAAATTTATTGTGAACCTTTAGTGGAAGAATGGTGAAATCATGGCGCCTTTATGAAAAGTGTATGAGGACAATTCCCCAAATAAATCAGCAATTTACAAATGAAAAACTAGCTCTAAGAAGGGAACATGATGATGTTGAAGGTGAGTCCCACAGTGGCAGACCATCCACATCAATTTTTGAGGAAAAAAATAAACTTGTTCATGCCCTAATTTAAGAGTACTGATGATTAACAGCAGGAACAATAGCCAACATCATAGACATCTTAATTGGTTCAGCTTACACAATTCTGAATGAAAAATTGAGTTGAGCAAACTTTCCACTTGATGGGTGCCAAAACCATTGCACCCAGATAAGAGCTGCAGATAAGAGCAAGAGCAGAGATGGAACATGGCTTTACCAGTACAATTCTGAAGACAAAGCACAATCAAAGGAATGGCTGCCAAGAGGTGGAAGTGGTTCAATCAAAGCAAAAGCAAATTGGTCAAGAGCAAAGGTCATGGCAACAGTTTTTTGGGGCATTTTGCTTGTTGACTCTCTAGAGGGCCAAAGAACAATAAGATCTGTTTATTAAAGAGTGTTTTGAGAAAAGGAGCTAGAGCTTTAGCAGAAAAATGCCCAGAAAAATCTTCACCAAAGAGTCCTTCTCCAGCATGACAATGCTCCTGCTAATTCCTCTCATCAAACAAGAGTTTTCAGGGGGAAATCATTAGATATTCATGTTCCAGTCATGATTTGGCTATTTCTGATTACTTTTTGTTTTCTAATCTTAAAAAGTCTCTAAAGGACACTTATTTTCCTTCACTTAATAGTGTAAAGAAAGACTTCATTGATGTGGTTAAATTCTCAGAAATGTCAGTTCTTTAGGTATGGACTAAAATGGCTGATATCATCACTTACAAAAGTGTCTTGACCTTGATGGAGTTTTTTTGAGAAACAAAGTTTATATTTTTAAATTTTATATCTTAATTCCATTTTCTACAAACTTTTTAAAAGTCCCCTTGTGATTAAGAAGGTTGAGAACCCTGTTACAAATGATCACTCTGAGATTCTTTAAATAATTTCTAGAGATTTTCAAGTGTTTTCTTAAATGTTCTCAAAGACATCCACTCAAAATTAGAAGTTTCTCTCATGATACTGTCTTTGTAAAATATTTCCATTTTTGCTGGGTTCAACATTTTGGAAGAGAATCAAAGAAACACAGGAAGTATGAAAGGCACTCTGACTTTATCAAACGAAGATATTTATGGAGAGAAAAATGGGACTTTAATTCAGTATTGAAAGGTCAATCAGCAGGATGTGTTTTATTTGGCTTTCTGTTTAAACCATGATTTATATCTTTGGGAGGATATAAAGTGCGTATCCCCTGAGTATCCATTTCTTGCTCTTGTTTGACTCTACTTTAACACCGAAAGGAGAATGCTTCCTTTACTCCCACCCTTGCTGAATGCTGCTCAAGAAGAGTGGGGAACACGGCTTTCTTGTGCCTCTGTACAAGTAGAGCAGAAGAACCTGCCATGGAGATCCTGTAGAGGTGGCCCTCTGTGGATAAGTGAATACAGGTTACATTGGCTGCCAACTCTGGCTTCTCTCTTTCTCTGCTGAGCCCCATCTGGGCCTCTGAAGCTAGATTTGCATTCAGGCAAGGAGGAAGAGACGTGTTCTCCCCTTCCTAGTGTAAACCTCGGTGGTCTCTCTCTGGATCTGTGACAGCCTGGTCTGAGCCAAGTGGTTGAGTAAATATTCCTTAGTGGAGTTAGTAGGCAATATGGACTCTTCAGTTTATTCAGCATTAAAGATTATAAGGCATACATTTTAATCTTGCTTTCTGATATTGTGACTAGACAAGAGTAGATTTTTATGTGTGTTTTACAATTTTACAATTCTCCCTTTCTCTGGACCTGAGTGGTAATTTGATTTGCATCTGGTATACATAAAATGCTGTTCTTAATGCCAGTATGCTCACTTCTAAGAATACCTTTCTTCCAGTTAACCAAGCTTGTTGGAATGTATATAAAAATAAGAGTAAATAGACTATAAATGAGGTACCAAGGAACTTTCTCACAAATACAGTGGTTGAGCTTTGACCCGATTTATTCTTATTTTTTAGATGCCTTTTTAGTTTTCTTCTGGTTCCTTGGTTGTTGCAGTCTGTAGAATGAAGTAATCAGATATGTGAGACATAGTTAAATAAAATATTACTGTGCTTTTGAAAACATAGTTAAGTCTATTTTCTCAATTGTTGACAAAATCAAGAAAATAACACAGTTTATTAATGTGAAGTCTAAAGGTCAGGTGGCCCAGATTCCATTCCAATTAAGAGTTATTGGAATAGAATTTGTGGAGTTGAACATGACAATTTCATCCACCTGTATTACCCAACATTGAAATGCAGTTGAAATTGAGTAGATCTCATGGAAGGTTTTATAGAGGCAAAATGTTTGCCAAAGCTTCTATTCAGAAAAATAATTTTTTGTCATTGAATGGGTTTTATAGTTGTAAAAACATAATAATTTCATATTTCTGATCTTTATTCTTTAAGATGTAGGTAGCACATATTCTATAATAAAATAAATTGACTTTTTAACTATGGAAACAGTAATTTCATATATATATTAAAATATAGGTAGTATCTTTTCCATAATAAAATAAATTGATGCATTTCTACATTTTTATTCAATGTTAAAAACAAATATAAATCTTTAGAACTAATTTCTGTACCAAAACATTTTTTAATGAAAAGTTGTCAATTGTAATAGTTAACAAAGACAAAATTGCAGGTGTCTTTATGTTCTAGCATATAAGCTTAGGTTGAACATTCTTACTGTCATGTCACTGCTCTTCCCTGTAACCTTGATAGATCGCCCCTATAAATATCTCTTGGGGTGAAAAGTAATTTAATCTGCGGATCTGTATATTACCTCCTCATGAACATCCTATCAATTGTGCCAGAGTGCTTTCATGATATGCACTGAACTGAAACCATCAAACTGATTTCACTGAGGATTGTTAGTTAGACCAGAATCTTTGGTCTCAACTCTGTCATTAAATTTTGCTAAAAGGTTGTGCACTTATGCATGGAAAAAAGCTAAGTTTGTGATTTGGTTTCAAAAGATTATCTGCTTATGGTCTGGGTGACTCTTGGGAACTGTATTATTCATTTGTTTTTATCTTGAGGCTGACCTAATTAGAACCCAGGTTATAGTTCTATACAATAACAGAACTCTCATCACTTCCTGAATGATCTTGAAACTTGGAGTTTTGAGAAAATAGCCCATCTTTTAAGCACCAACCTACTGGATAATGATAGAGTGGTCCCTTTTGGATCAAAAAAGTCTCTGAAGAGGACAATGCCTACATTTGCACAATTTTAGCTGAATACTAGATGGAGGTCTCTCAAGATCCTGACTAGAACTCTACCTGGCCAGTTCCCTCATGCCTTCTCTCATTCATTGACAGAACCCTTTGTTGAAATTTGTCTACAGCTCTCAGAAGATTTTGATTCATTGGGAGCTGGTCAGAATAGGGTATTGTGAAGTATAAATATGAAGAAGCCATCCAAGACAACATCATTAATAAAAAACTAGATTATTTAAATAATTTTCTTGATGCCTTTTTATTAAATAGTTCTCAAGAGACAGAGGCTTTTGAGCCTTGCTGGAAGAAACACTCTTTTCCACTAACTAGTGTATAACTTGGGGACAGTCACTTAAAATCTCTGACCTCTGTTTCTGTATTTGTCGAATTAGGTTGATAGTCTCTGCTCTATTTCTAGGGTTGTTAGGATACAATATGATAATAAATACGAAAGTATGCTTCAAAGTTAAAAGAGCACTCATATATATGAGTACTCTGTCTCAGAGATTCCACTTTGAATATTTTTTCCAATTTTTTTCTTTTCTTTCTTTCTTTTTTTTTTTTTTTTGAGGTGGAGTCTTGCTTTGTTGCCCAGGCTGGAATGCAGTGGCACTGCAGCCTCCACCTCCCAGTTTCAAGCGATTCTCCTGCCTCAGCCTCCTGAGTAGCTGGGATTACAGGTGCCCACCACCACGCCCAGCTAATTTTTGTGTTTTTAGTAGAGACGGGGTTTTGCTACATTGGTCAGGCTGGCCTCGAACTCCTGACCTCAAGTGATCCACCCACCTTGGCCTCCCAAATCCTGCTAGGATTACAGTCGTGAGCCACCTCGCCCAGCCCCAATTTTTCATGTAATATATATATTACATTGAGATGGGAATTATGTCTCAGAAAGTAATTTTTATCAGATGGTATGTGGGGTATTTGTTGTATAGGAATTATAGGGGAGAATGAAGTAGTTTGGGTAGCTACTAAATCTTCACTATGTCTCTATTAAGTGTTCCATTTTTATTTATGTAAGCTGTTGGTAATAATTTGTATAAGTGATGTTATAAATTACTGTGTATAACTCTGGCAAATATTTATTTTAAATACAAAATAGCTCAATTTTCCATGATGAAAAGACTAATTAATTCAACCACAAAATATCACTTAATCTTTAAGGGGAAAACTGGCTAGCTGTAAACCAAAACATTGGTTTTATTGCATAAGTGTCCAACAATAAATTTAGATCTAATATAAATGGCAAAATTGTGGTAATAATTGTATTGCCCTCATTCTTAAGCTCTCTGTAAATTTGTCATCTTTCACTACCAGCAGAGGGAGCCCTGAGAATTAAATCGTGCCAAAATGGCTTTGCTAATTCTTATGCGTTTACACATTTAGCTCATAATAAAGAAATAAAACCCCATCACAGATTAATGGAAAGTCATCATGCTTGGATTAGGCTGTAGATAATTTCATTCCAGCCTACCGATTATAATCAGCTTCAATAGAGGAGGAGTAGCCTGCCTCCACTCTGCCATTAAAGCCTCAGCTGCAAACTTCCACAGCCAACGAAGTTCAGTAATATAACAACGCACAATCTACCTCATAGAACATCAGAAAGAATACACTCCTCAAACCATAATTTTATCAAATAAACTATAACAGTATTATGAATTGTCTATTAAGCCACATGAGAATTGGAAAACATACACATTGTGTAATCAGTTTTTCCTAATTTAAACATAATTGTCCATATTTTATAATGTATTTTAATAGACAAATAAACTAAAATAATATGAATTAAAAATAAATCATGAAGTTCCAGCATTTATGACTCAACGTAAAGCTTCTTTATAGTATCTTATCAAAAAATGGGTTTTCCAAACCTCAAGGAAAGAGCCTGTTTACAGAGAGCATATTTTCATTGCTTTATTTCCTTTAAGTAGATACCACAGTGCAATACAATGCATATTTTATGCACCTGTGACTAAAAAGGCCTATTGAAAATGGAGACTGCAATAAGTGCACTTTGATATTGCATAGCAACTCTCATTTTAACAACGATGCAGTTTTTATATATATATATACTTCAAGTTCTAGGGTACCTGCACACAACGTGAAGGTTTCATACATAGATATACACGTGCCATGTTGGTTTGCTGCACCCATCAACTCATCATTTACATTAGGTATTTCTCCTAATGCTATCCCTCCCCCAGCCCCCCACCCCCTGACAGGCCCTGGTGTATGATGTTCCCTGCCCTGTGTCCAAGTGATCTCATTGTTCAATTCCCACCTATGAGTGAGAACAAATGATGCAGTATTTTAATATTGGCATAACTGCTAATCTAATATCAAAAACACCTTTCTCTTGGCATCAAGAAATTTACAAGTACATGTCTTTGCCTTCTAAGAGCTTACATAGTATAGTTAGAAATCCAACAATGATTGATTCTCTCCTTCATGATAAGAATTTACTTCCACAAACATTTATTGCGTACTTATTAGGAGCAAGGTATTGTGCTAAGTGCAGAGGAACAAATGTGAATGACAGCATACCTTCTCATAATCAATAGACTAAGGCTGGTAAGTCAGTGACTACGAGGCAAGGTAGTACAGATATAATGAAGGCAACCACTCTGCTGGGCTTTACGATTATTGAAGGCAGGTAACATGTCTGATCTTTGTAACTCCAGAACACTCTGACACCTAGCACAGTGTTTTGCATATAGTTAGTGTGCAATAAGTATATACTGAATTAATTAACAACATGTGAGATACATTAGTAAAACATCTTCTTGGTAATTAAGTGACTTTCATGTTTCCTACTGCTTCCTCTTCCCATCACTCCAGTTCTCTTTTCCCTAGTTCTCACAACTTGTGGGATAGCCGTGCTTTCCTTTTCTACAACATAGCAGCTGAGCAACGTAATAATTGATGCTTGATGATTTTCTATTCCCTGGATAGAACAGCTATTCTCTATGCTGTTAAGGCTTGAAATTCATGAGATGGATGTAATAAAACAACAAAAAGTACACAACAAAATAGTAGTGACAGGCATTCTGCTAGGCACCATACATTCATTATCTAATTTGATTCTTAAAATAACTCTCGTTATTTCTATTTTCAGTACAGAGATCTTGCACAGAAAAGTAGCTTGCTTCAGGTCACAGGGCTGGTAAGTAGTAGAGCTCAAATTTGAATCCAGAACTCTTTGACATCCGACTTCCTGTTCTGAATGACTGCACTATATGGTCTCTTTATTTAGGTTGCTTAGGGGCAATTTGAATTAGTAATGGAAACATTTTCCTGGAAGAGATGGTCTACTTCATCTGAAAATACTATGAATAAAAAATTTTAATGCATAAGATACACTTAAGGTTTTAGAATTATTTTATGAATACAGAAAAATAGTTTACAGAAGTACAAAAGAATCAACAACAGATAATGCTTTTTAGCAACGTATTTCTTTTAAAAATAAGAAACTAAGAAGTTTGATTTCTTTAATAACCAGAACACCTTAAAATGTATTTTCAGATGCTCAGCAGACCCCAAAAGACTCCCCCAGTCCTGGACTGCAGTGCAGTCTGCTGTGGAATGCTTAGCAGCTTTGTTTTCCCGACTAGACTCATTAGCAGCGCCAGGTGGTAATAACTATCCAACTGATTTGTAGTAGTAAAAAAATCTGCCTGAGGTCACCATGGACTCTTTCCCCCATTCTTTGCTTCATCTCTGACCTGATACGCTTTTGCAAAATAATTATGCATGGCAGGAAGTTGCCATACAACAGAGAAGGATTGTTGTGTCCTGGGATTATATGGGATCTCAGATCAAATAGGTTTTGTTGTGTGAAGAATAAATTGGAAAACATGGTTTTCCCAAGCATAGCACAGTAAAATTTATTTCTTGCCTTTTCTTCTTTCCTGTTTATTTCACCATTAAAGACCCAGTAAAGAAAATTATTCACCAATTTGGGGAATGTTATCATTAGTGTTTAGCATCAGCACAATTATGTAGATTCAAGAAACAAAAATAGCTCCAGGGTCTGTCCAAGTTAACTCAAATAAAAGAGTGGATATTTTAAAATTGACTTTTTTTTTTGACACGTTATACATTGTTGTTCATCAGGTAAAAATATAAAGTAGTGCACGAAAGCAATAAGCACTTAACCATTCTTTATCTAGGAGGAATCTTCAGTTAGCTAAATTTTGTTCATGCTTTTTTTTTCATTAAATAGAGAAACATAAGGGTAAATAATTGTGAGGCTATGTTTTAAAAAGTAACTTTCCACTATCTTCCAAAGAAAATATAGTCAAACTCCTAAATCTGCATTCTCCAGTATAGTAGCCATCAGCCACATGTGGCTATAAAGCATCTGAAATGTGATTAGTTCAAATTGAGATATGCTTATGTGTAAAATACATAGTAGATTTCAGAAATGGAATGTGAATAAAATAGAATATAAAATAGTTCATTAAAAAGTATTATATTGGCTGGGCATGGTGGCTCACTCCTCTAATCCCAGCACTTTGGGAGGCCAAGGCCGGTGGATTACCTGAGGTCAGGAATTCAAGACCAGCCTGGCCAACATGGTGAAACCCCATATCTACTAAAAATACAAAAATTAGCTGGACGTGGTAGCACACGCCTGTAATCCCAGCCACTTGGGAGGCTGAGGCAGGAGAATCGCTTGAACCGGGAGGCAGAGGTTGCAGTGAGCCAAGATCGCGCCACTGCACTCTAGCCTGGGCAACAAAAGCGAATATCTGTCTCAAAACAAACAAACAAAGTATTATATTAATTGCAGGTTGTAAAGATAACATTTTGGATACGTTGGGTTCAATAAGACATATTATTAAAATTAATTTACCTGTTTCTTGTTACTTTTAAAAACGAGGCTATTAGAAAATTTCAAATTACATGTATGACTCATATTTTGTTTCCCTTGTACAGCAATATCCTAGGGTTTTACTTTGTGACATCATTGCTTCTCGAGAACCAACTGACCACGAACAGCAACAAGGTCTTCAATCAGAATTAAAACTCAATTCAAAACACTTTCGAAGAGCATTTGGAGATACATATTAAGAGACTGCAGTGTCTAAACTTTTAGAAGTAAAAATGCCATTTCTAGTCCTATGTCCTACAAATTCCATTTCTAGGTATATACCCAAGAAAAATGAAAATGTATGTCCACATAGAAACTTCTGCAAAAATGTTTCTACTAGCATTATTCATAATAGTAATGTGTGGAAACAACCCAAATGTCCATCAACAGACAAATGGATAAACAAAATGTAGTATATATCCCTACAGTGAAATATTATTTGCCTATAAAAGGGAATGAAGTATTGAAGGCTACAATGTGGATGAGCCTTGGAAACATTATACTAAGTGAAAGAAGTTAGTTACATAAGACCACATATTACATGATTCTATTAATATAAAACATCCACAACAGGGAAATCTATGGAGACAGAATGCAGACTATTGGTAGGGGTGGTGGGAAGGGGAGAAAAGGGTAGGGAAGTGATAGCTAAAGAGTACTGGGTTTCTTTTGGAGATAATAAAAATGTTTCAAAATTGACTTTGGTGATGGTTTCATGTATCTGTGAATACACAAAAAACACATATAATTATACTGTAAAAATGGGTGAATTATGTGGTGAGTGAATAATACTCAACAAATCTCTTCAAAAATAATTATATTTATGGGAAATCAAAGTTGAGAAAATGATCCAAAATAAACCAGAAAACTCCTTTCGTGCACAGTGTTGCACAATGCTGCCTTATGTATAATAGTGAAAAATTAAAAACAACCCAAACGACCAAATAGGTGTGTGGCTAAATAATGTATGGTATAGCCTCATCATGGAATGCAGATATTAAAATGCTTCATGTAGGCAAAGTCTTATAAAAAGTTGTAGTAATGTGTATGGAATTGGTGGGTTCTTGGTCTCACTGACTTAAAGAATGAAGCTACGGACCCTTGCGGTGAGTGTTACAGTTCTTAAAGATAGTGTGTCCGGAGTTTCTTCCTTCTGGTGGGTTCGTGGTCTTGGTGGCTTCAGGAGTGAAGGTGCAGACCTTCGTGGTATTACAGCTCATAAAGCCAGTGCAGATACAAAGAGTGAGCAGCAGCAAGATTTATTGCAAAGAGCAAAAGAACCAAGCTTCCACAGTGTGGAAAGGGACCCCACCAGGTCGTTGCTGGAGCTCTGACAGCCTGCTTTTATTGCCTTATCTGACCCCACCCACATCCTGCTGATTGGTCCATTTTACAGAGAGCTGATTGGTCCGTTTTGACAGGGTGCTGATTGGCGCATTTACAAACCTTTAGCTAGACACAAAAGTTCTCCAAGTCCCCACTAGATGAGCTAGACACAGAGCACTGATTGGTGCATTTACAAATCTTGAGCTAGACAGAGTGCTGACTGGTGCATATACAATCCTCTGGCTAGACAGAAAAGTTCTCCAAGTCCCCACCAGATTAGCTAGATACAGAGTGCTGATTGGCGAATCCACAAACCCGGAGCTAGACACAGAGTGCTGATTGGCTCATACACAACCCTCCAGCTAGACACAAAAGTTCTCCAAGTCCCCACCCGACTCAGGAGCTCAGCTGGCTTCGCCTAGTGGATCCCGCGCTGGGGCGGCAGGCGAGCTGCCCGCCAGTCCCGCTCCGCGCACCCGCACTCCTCAGCCCTTGGGCGGTCGATGGGACCGGGTGCTGCAGAGCAGGGGGCGGCGCCCGTAGGGGAGGATCGGGCTCGGGCGGCGCGGGAGCCCATGGGGGGCGGGGCTTGGGCATGGCGGGCTGCAGGTCCCCAGCCCTGCCCCGCGGGGAGGCGGCTGAGGCCCCGCGAGAATTCGAGCGCAGCGCGGGCGGGCCGGTAGTGCTGGGTATCCCAGCCCACCCTCCGCAGCTGCTAGCCCGAGTGCTAAGACTCTCACAGCCCGGGGCTGGCGGCGCCAGCCCGCCGCTTCGAGTGCGGATCCTGCCCAGCCCGCACCCACCCGGAACTCGCGCTGGCGCGCGAGCGCGGCGCGCAGCTTGGGTTCCTGCCGGCGCCTCTCCCTCCACACCTCACCTCAAACAGAGGGAGCCGGCTCCGGTCTCGGCCAGCCCAGAGAGGGCCTCCCATAGTGCAGCGGCGGGCTGAAGGTCTCCTCAAGCGCTGCCAGAGTGGGCGTCGAGGCTGAGGAGACACCGAGAGCGAGTGAGGGCTGCAAGCATGCTGTCACCTCTCAGTAATTTGAGAAAATTTCTGTTTTCTATGGGTAAGTGAAACAAAAAAGCTGTGATATTTATTATTTGCATACTACCATAACTGTAAAAAAAGTCTAGAAAAAAAACTAGAAGGAAATACTGACCCCAAAATAATAGTGTTTGTGTTGTGTGCTATGTGAGAAATTTTCATCTTTACATGTCTTTATTTTCCATGTCTTCTATAATTAAGCTTTTTTTCATAAAATACATTTTGTTTAAAAATCCATATATAGGCTATTTTTTTAAAAGTCAATGTTTACAGTTATATTGCCAAGAAGGGAGAGTAGACTAATATATTTTTTATAAAATTCAAAATCAGAGTTGGAACAAGGCTAGAATTTGTTTGAAATCTTCAACAAAGCTTGACTTAACCAAAACATTGTTAGTATTCCATCCATTAATTTAGCACCACTGTCCTTAGTACAAGAACATGAAGACAATTCAACAAACTGAGGTGATAATGAAATTACCTGAAAGAAGGCATTGCATGTTATTTTACTCTGTTGAGACCAAGTCCAAATTCCAGCATTTTCAGCTTCTCTGAAATTTTCTTTTCTTCCTGTACCTAAAGTCTAGAAAGAAGAAAGTTCCTTACTCCCGTATGTGCACCTTTCTAACTCTGCTCTCTTTCTGCTGCTGATTTTTGATATATTTACAAACATGTTCAAATCTCTCCTCTTTACTATGGAAAACTTTCCTTGCCCCTGCTACTCTGTTGCCACTTCAGGTTCTCATCTCTTTTCTTCTCCTCATTTTCCAAGACCTCCATGTTCTTACCCCCTTGGAAATCCCGATGATATTGCTACGGACCCTCGTAAAATGGCGTTCCAGAATATTTCTTCTTATCTGCTTTCACCAAACCCAGTGCAGTAGGATTCTAGATGACTAGCGTTCTCCCTCCTTCAGGCAGTTGCCTCTGCCCTCAGTTACTCAGTTGCCTACTAACTTTTTACCCAACTTTCAGGCCCAACTGGTAACCACTTGTTGCTAGAGCTTTTTCAGATTCTGGCTGGCAAAAATGCTCTGACTCTGTGATACGTGAGTGAAGGGCATGGATGGGTCTTCTTCACCTTGTTCCTACTTAGTGGAATGTTTTTCAAAGACTAGCTAATGTTCCAGTGCCCACAGTATTGGAGGGGCTGACAAGACAAAGGGATGTTGACCTTTTTCATCTGCTTCTGGGGGTGTTGAAGAATTTCTCACGTCATTTGAGAATCTTATTCTTGAAATCGAATTTTAGAGTCGGAAAGAGCAGGTCTAAACTTCTCATTTATCCGTGATGAAACCAAGGGCCAGTGGCACAGAGGCCAGTGAGAGAGTTGGTTATTCTGGTTCAAGAGAACCAGAACTAAAATTTAGGCCATCTGGCTCCAAAGACAAGTTACTTTTCCCTGCTTATCTTGTGCTTCCGTTGCCTAAAAGTTGCAGATTTTTTTGTGTCCTTTTGTATCTTTCACCCTAATAGCAATAAAAGCAATTTACTGTGGACACTACTGCCCTCCCTGGTCTGTGCACTCAGAATTTCCCTTTGAAAATCACTTCATTGGATATTCCATTGAATATTTCATGTGTACAGATACATTGACTAGCTGTTTTGGTTTGTCTGGAACTGAGAGTTTTCCTAGGACTTATGTTGCTAAATGAAACTTAAGAGTCTCAGACAAACCAGGACTTTTGGTCACCCTGGTATCGGGGATGCTACTAAGGACTTTAATATATTTTATATGATTCACATGACAGCCCTGTGAAGAAGTATTCCCATTCCCATTTTACAGGTAAGGAAAACTGAGGCTCAAAGAGGTTAAATTATTTGTCCAAGGACATGTGCCTTCTAAGTGGCAGAGTCAAGATTAAGCCCTAGATGTGTTTAAGCTCATAATCTTTCCACTACAATGTAGAAATGTGGGTGCTTTACACTGTTAAAATCTGCACAGGGAAAGATAACCCTGTGAAATACTTAGTTTAAAAATTGGTTTGTTATAGGCTAGTTTCTTTGAGGTCTTGCTAATTTGCGTGAGTGACACATAAGGAGAAGAAAAGCAGCTGCTTAAAATGCATAAATTATTTGAAACTGATAATGAACCAGGTAAAACTTAAATTACTCAATCCATTTAGTTTTCCTTTCTTGGAGTGGAGGTGGAGCTGGTGAAAGACAACATGACAGTTGTTTATATATCTGGGAAGAAATAAATCCTGTTAATGTTATTAAGCTAAGTTTGAATTAATGGCAATACATTGCAGTCAAATGAGCGGAGTAAAAATAAAACATATTAGCAGCTGCAGTTGGAGTAGTAGTTTGATGAATTAGATAGTTTGATAAATTAGATCTCATTCAAGGGTTGACTTACATAGCTTAAACTTCAGGAGGGCTTGGTTTTCCTCCTTTCTCTAATTCTGAGTTTGATTTATTGATTAATTCTTTTCTTTCCCTAGAAAAAAAACCCAGTAATTATAATTAAATACTGTTTTAAAAATGATCTAAAAGTGCTTGAGTTTTATTTTTAATGAAAAGATAATACGTTGAAGTGGGTAAGAATAAAGCAGAAAAGGCAGTGAAAAGTCTCCCTTCCGCTCCCAAGCCAGACCACAAAGCGGCTCCCCTCTACACAACCAACCACCCTTTGGAGATAGTTGTATGTAAGCAAACACACAGTGATGGTCCTCTTCCTTCCACTAAGATGGTAGCACATTAAGGACGCTATTCTGATTTTCTTTTAAACACAATAACACATCTGAGAGATCTTTCTGTATCCATACATAAAGAGCTTCCTTATTGTTATTGTTTAATGGCCACGTAGTATTCCGCTCTATTAATTTACCGTATTTATTTCACTAGTTCCTGTTGATAATAGGTACATTACTTAAACAACTTTTAATTTAATTCATTAAATAAGTAATACACTAATATGTTTCAACAATTATATATGTTTTATATATGTATATATATTTATATATATACATATATACACATATATATGTGTATGTATATATGTGTATATATACACATATATATACACACATATATATGTGTATGTATATATGTGTATATATATACACATATATATGTGTGTATATATGTGTATATATACACACATATATACAAACATCTTGTGCTCATTCATGTCATCAACCACTCCAGTGCCCTCACCACCACACATACACTCAGGTAAAAACTTTATAGTTATATATATTTATTATTATTATTTTAAATTTTAATTTTTTTGGATACATAGTAAGTATATATATTTGTAGGGTACATGAAATGTTTTTATACAGGCATACAGTGTGAAATTAGCATGTCATGGAGAATGGGATATTCATCCCCTCATTTTAGATATAGTCTCCAAAGTTTCCTTATGCATATAGAAGTAAATACAAATGTAGATTTGTAATTTTCCTCTCTTATTACAGAAAAGGTAGCCTCCTAGACACAGTATTCTGTGTTTTGCTTTGTTTACTCAACAAAATACCTTGGAATTTTTTATATCACAGAGAGCTTCTTCAATTTTTGTTCATTTTAACAATTGCATAATCTTCAACTGTGTGGATATAGCATATTTTATTCAGTTGGTTCTGTATTAATTAATAGTCATCAAAAACTATTTTGCCTATTCAAATGCCCTGTGGCTTAACCTGCTGTGACTATTGTCTGGCACAGAGAATATTTGATGACTTCAGTTTAAGCTTAACTGCTTCTTTACTTTCACTAAAGGTTTTTCACACTAAGGGTTAAATATCTGCTGAATTTTGTTATTCTGCACATGGTAGAAACCTCTTACCTTAAGCATCATAAATAGTCTCTCTGAATATTATTGAAATGCTGTTGCCACCACAACGAGGAATTACAAAATATGTTGTAGCAATTATTACATTACTCTTCTCTATTGATTGAGCTGTTACAGATGGTACCAGATGTGAGTGTGCTGAGAATGCCTGACAATACCCAAGGAATTTGTTTTTAATCTTTTTTTTTTCCTTTTGGGTGTGAAGAAAGTGAAGTCTCCAATATTCATTGATTTTTAAAATGTTCCCTGATCAGGGTCCAAAATGATAATTCCCAATGATCCCTAATTAATTACTTCAAGAGCTAGAGTCCTGTATCACTAAATAATACAGAATATGTACAAACCTTTTAGATTTGTTTTAGTGGAAACAATTTACATATCACATACAATACTATAAAATCCTTCTTATGCAAGAGCCATTATTAGAAGACATTTATTAAAAAAGCTTAACATAAATTATGGTAAAGTGGCTTTGGCTCTAAGATGGTTAAAATTGACACAATCAGGGGAGGGAAGGGATTCATCTACTTTTCTAAAATAGAGACATATTTTGCAATCAAGATAGGGCAGATTTTGCTATTTTAGAGAGGATCTTCAATTCCAACGTATAGTTACAATGGTGGGAATAGTCTCTACCAAACATAGCTGGGCAGCATAAAGTAAAAGAAATAGAATTGAAATATAACAGTAGTTATTTAGTTTTCACTTAAGGATGGGTTTCTGAGGGTGTAAACTTTGTTACTAAACAGGCACGCCATAGATTTTAAGCTTCATGTTTTAAAGAATAAGGATTTAGGCTTCAGAGATAGCATGACCTGTTGGCATCTGAGAGGCAAAGTGGTGCAGTGGTTAAGAGGGTAGGCTTTGTGAAACCCCGTCTCCGCTAAAAATACAAAAAAAATAGCTGGATGCGGTGGCGGGCGCCTGTAGTCCCAGCTACTCGGGAGGCTGAGGCAGGAGAATGGCGTGGACCCGGGAGGAGGAGCTTGCAGTGAGTCGAGATCACACCACTGCACTCTAGCCTGGGCGACAGAGCGAAACTCTGTCTCAAAAAAAAAAAAAAGAAGGTAGGCTTTGGAGCTGGCCAACATGGGTTTGAATTCCAGTTCCAAAGTTTTGTAACTCTGGGAAAACCCCTGATATTCAGCTTTCTCATCCATCACATGGGGTTTTTGTGACGAACTCAGTGCCTGCAGATTTCAAGCTCTTAATAAGTGATATCTTCATACAGCTCAGCCACTTATACGCAGGCACTTCTCTAAAGCTTTTGATTCTCACTTCTGATTTGCCCCATCTTTAAGGCATGTTCTGCTGTCACATTGAGGTGAGATGTCAGATGAGATCTTGGGAAATAATTATGAAAGCCTGAGTGTTGGGAGGCCACCTCTCTCTACCCATTTGGCAAGGTGCTCTGGTTGTTTTTGTGAGAGTTACACAGAGAACAGAGATGGGGAAGGCCTAGTAGCCCCTCAAAGGCCTCTCTAATTTCTGTGCTGTGGCAGGGCACTGATTCCTTTTGTCCTGGAAGTCACAAGACTGCCATCAGAGTATTCCTTCCACTGGTTGAACAGCACAATGTGGGATAAAGAACATAAACTCAGTATCGTCTGCTGAAACTCTACTCCTTCAGCCGGTCATATTTTTCTGAGCACCCAGAGGAAATGGTGGGAAACTGATGACCAGTTTATAGGAATTTAAAAGGGTGCTTTTCATTTCTAATTCCTACATCCTAAAGTAGCTATATAGTAACCTGTCAAGCGTTTTCTTATTTCTTTAATACATGTAATAAAGAATGGAGAAAAATAGGGTTATGCAAATAAAAGCTGTATTTTGACTAGTTTGTGTATGTATTATAAAGAATTCATAAGCTATCATAAGGCTGTGTGATACATACAGAAGAATCAAAACAGCATTCAAAGAGTATGCCCTTCAGAAAAGGTCAAAGAAAGCCAAGCCTATGGTTTAGAAATGGTAACAATGTACAGATTTAATAAAAAGTTTTAGTTTATGGCTGATTTTTAAAACTATATAAAGTCTAAATAGAGGTGTGAAGTAAGCAATATATAAATATAGGTCTGAAATTTTTCTTGTGTTTATAATCTTTGATCTTCAGGAGAGGGACTACATTTTTATTCACTATTTATCCCTGGCAGATATTAGACACTTAATATGCTTGATGAATAAATGAATGAATTAATGAATTAGCTAATGTTAGGGTCTAAAAACTCTTGACAAATTATAACATTTACAATATTTTCAATGTGAAAATAGCAAGACTCATATCTACAACTTGAATGTCAAATGTCTTATGGTTGGGTGATAAATCTGAAAGCAAGACAAAAAGAATTCTTCAGTATTTTAGGAAAAAACTGTAAATGCCATCCATAAATTTGCTGCCTATATAAAATGCAGACTTTTGATTAAATATGTAACAAAAGATATGTCTTATGACCATATTACTTACAATTAGTTAATAATTGTAAATAATATGCTACAAGCAACAATGAGTTAATAATGTGTCATTAATAACATGCAAACAAAACCTAAGCTAGACTCCTAGAGTAAGTACAGTGAGGCAAACACCTATACTACTCTTTCCTCTTAGTTTTTTCTTTTTGTAGATGTTAGGAGCCAAGATAGAAACAAAAATAAAAATACATTTTCAAGTAGTACATTTAGCTCATTTACATTATTATCTGGAGATCTTATAAAGTAATATTTTATTTTGAGTGATTTTTGCAAGCAATTTGAAATTAAACCTTTTCCTTGCACCTGTAAAAATGTGTAAATGATGGAACTGGCAGCATGATGATCACTTTACAGAGAAGCATTTCCTTCATCATCTTCAAGGTCATGCAGATTTATGATCTAATCACCCATGGCTCTTTAACAGGATGCATTTGAATTTGATTAAAAAGAAAAACAAGGAGCTGTATGGATTTATTAATAAAATGTGCCTGACCTTTTCACTTATCTACCTCTTTCAACATATTGTGAGTTTAAACCAGAAGGGAGTTTCTGGGATTTTAATCTTGAATGTTTCAGCTTCAGAGTTGCTTCAGAGTTGCTTCAGGAGTCCTTGCCTACCTATCGGTGTATGTGGATCATGGAGGGCTATCTATTTTCCCCCTCTTTCTCTTTGGGGTTTAATTACTTCACCTACGTCCTAATTCAGGTAACTCATAAAGCTTAGCCTTTGTTGTAGGTCCAACAGCTGTCTTATGTCAGTAGCAAGTAAAATGTTCACAACATATCGGAATGCTGCAAGACGGTTTATAGCGCTGCAATAAAAGGTAAATTGAATTTACAAAGATGCATTTGTCACTGATTAAAAACTTACAAAGTTAATTGGAAACACTGTGGAGGTGTTACCACACAACTCGAGGTGTAATGGGTGGTTCTAATTCAGCCTGGAGGAGAGTTGCCGGTCCCATTATAGTCTCACACAGTAAGATGCCCAGCGACGCCATCCAATTTAAGTAGCAAAGCAACACAGTAAAGATTTAACGTAGTTTTAATATGAGGTGAGTGTAAATTTACTCACAATTATTCTTGAAAATAGCTAGAGGAGACAGCTTTCTGTGTTACAGAAACACTGAATGTGTTAATCGCATGACTTCCCCTTGCAAAACACATTGAAGGGATTTTATTTTCCCTATCTGCAACTTTTCTTATTTTCCTGCCGTTTGCATTGGCAGCACCATGACAAGAAGCATATCAGTTGAGAAGAAAAAAATAAGAGTGAAACAACCAGCAATGTGAAGTTAGCAGGACCCTCCCTTGGGACTTTGGTGAATTATCTCCACATAATTCACTTAACCTTTGCCATTTGGAGACTTGGGAAACTGAATGTATTTCTAAACTTGAGGCTTTTAATTGCTGGTTTTAGTGTCACTAGTCCAGCTCAGTTGGAGAGATGATGATTGAAAAACAGTTCTAGGAGGCTTTTCACCTCTGGTGCGCATCCTGGATATAATTAAGTTGGTGGCCTGGGTGGCTTTTAGATTTCTGCAGACAGGAGTGAACAGTTAAGGCCCAAGTGATGGGCCTTATGTAAACATTGTGTGTGTGTCTTGAGTTGAATACCTTTAATTTTAATTTTGGACTAGATTTTTGTTAAGAGATTAAAAGGCAATATAATGAAACTGAGTAATTGCCTTTGGTAAACTCATTATACCAATAACCAGTACCAAGTTATCATGGAGTCATCACATTTTTGGACTGGAGTCTTAGAGATCATGTTTAAATTCAATCTCTTGCACTGAATTTGATATATATTTTAATTTTAATTTTTATATAATCTATACTGTATACTTTTAAATAGTTTAATACTGTTTACCAATAGTGTTTTTGGTATCAGAGGTGGTAGTGACTATGGAATTTTCATATGTATCTAATTGGTTACCTAAGCTGGATGGACAGAGTTTTAAGTCTGATTGATTCTCCTAGTCAAGTATAGGCTATATAGTCTAAAGGAGACCATATAGCCACATAAATCTATGTATTTTTAAAACTAATATTTATTGAATGCTTGCTATGTGCTAAGTGCTTGTTGTGTTTAGCCCCATTTAATCCTCACAACAATGCTATAAGGCAAGTGCTATCATTATTCCTGTTGTACAGATGAGAAATCCGAGATTCTAAGATGTTAGGTGACTTGTCCAAGTAAGCATTGCAGCCAGGATTTGCACCTTGCATTGTCCAGTTACAGAGGAATGGCTCTTTGGTATACGGCCTTATTACCATTGCATTTGTATGTCACAGGCCTATTGCAAATATGTAGAGGCAACTATTTCCCTGACCTTTGCTGGTTCCTCAGGATTGGGGGACTAGCTGGCATCAGTAATTAGTTGAGTATTAGGAGCAAAAGTCAAGTTCATTTCTAAGAGTTAATGCAGTATGGAAGGTGCACAGAATTTGATATTTGAATCTCAAAGTTTTCCCTGACAGTCTTCTATTGATTTAAATAAGTCAACTTCTTAAAACTTCAGCTTTTTAATCCATAAAATTGGGATAGTACACCCTATGGGCATTATTGTGAGGATCAAGTGAGATAACATGGGGAAAACATTGGCTAAACAGTAAAGTCCTATTTAAATATTAGTTACAATTTTCTTCTTTTTCATATAACACCATTTTCAGGATTTTTAGCAAAATCTCTCTTATAAAGTAGTTGCACTCACAAGCTGCTTGATGAACTGACTTTAGTAGACTTGGATGGAGCAATGAATAAGGATCACTGGTTCCAATCCTAGGAGCACTAATTTGACCTGTAGTTACCTGTTTGTTTAGAATTTTCCAGCAGAGCTTAGGATACCTATGAGGAAATTGTCTTCTTGAATGATGCATATGCATTGTCAAAGGAACCAATCACTTTGTAACCACAGAGAAACTTGGAGGTAGAGGTAGATTTCAAGTTAAAAAACCGAAAGTTTGCAGAATTTCATTAGAATGTCTGAAAAAATCAGATAGGCATCATTACAGAATGAATGTTAGTTATTGTATACCTGAGATGGAAAGTGTGGTTCAGCCCAGGAAAGTGCCCCAGCCAAGCAGGGAGCTCCATTTATCTTAATTCTTTCTACTTTTCTTAAGCTTCTTTCTTTCTTTTCATCTTGTATCTGTGGCCTATTGAGTTTGTAAGGTCCTTATTTTTAAAACTGTCCTTTTGTTGATGCTGCTCATTAAATAATTATAGTGGCAAGACAAGTCTGTTATTATACTTACAATATACTGACTATCCACTGTTGCTTACTCTTGGCTTCCATTCTTTTTTTTTTTTTTTGAGACGGAGTCTCGCTCTGTCGCCCAGGCTGGAGTGCAGTGGCGCGATCTCGGCTCACTGCAAGCTCCGCCTCCCGGGTTCACGCCATTCTCCTGCCTCAGCCTCCCTAGTAGCTGGGACTACAGGCGCCTGCCACCACGCCCGGCTAATTTTTTGTATTTTTAGTAGAGACGGGGTTTCACCGTGTTAGCCAGGATGGTCTCGATCTCCTGACCTCGTGATCCGCCCGCCTCGGCCTCCCAAAGTGCTGGGATTACAGGCGTGAGCCACCGCGCCCGGCTCTTGGCTTCCATTCTTAACAAGAAGCCAGGAGCATCTGAATGATTTCAATCTAGAGATAATTTAAAGAAAACAAATTTTAATCTTCACTCTTTTTCCCACCAAGCTCTTGGTGAAACAGTCAACATGTTGTAAAATGGCCAGAAGCTAGGGTGAAATTCACAAACTTAATGATCAATTCTCAAAATCTATGTATTTGAGACCAACTTCCCCATGAAATATAGATTACTATTATTCTATTCTTTTTTATGAATAAGAAAATCAAGGTTATAAGAGATTAAAGGACTTGTCTGAGATTAGTAAAATCCAGCAGGGAAGTGCCTGGGATTTATATGACAAATCCTTTTAGAGAAGTGCTCATAGACAGTTTTCTGCCACAAAGGATAACAATAAACACATTCATATTATCATCTTTGAACCTAAGGAAGTAGCATCACATTGAACAAACAAAAATAAATTTATTGATATATATGTATTGATTCACATAAAAACAATTCTGTTTTAAAAGCATGTATCTCAACAAATCCTTATCTTTTGAAAATACGATTTAAAAGCATGTATCTCAACAAATCCTTATCTTTTGAAAATATGATAAGGCAAGTAAAAAATACAAGATAAATTATGGGCTAGAAGGAAAAGTCTGAACAAAAAAATAGTAAAATAAGTAAGAGTAAACTTTCCTTTTTTTCTAAGTAAGGTGTGTTCTCTAATCTTAGAGAGTTACCTCTGGGTGAGACAAAGATCCAAGAGATCTTAAGACTTGAATGACTTTATAATAATATTTTAAATTCTTCTGCAACCTTTTTTGATTAAGGATTTGAAAATATTTATGAACAAATGGGCTCAAATTTCTTACTACTTTTAGAAGATATTGGTAATACATACATATTATCCAAGTTATGCTAACTCCAGGCAGAGGAGCTGATCAGCTAAAAGACATCAATATGCATTTTATATTTATGAGGTAAGGGCCTTCCTTATCACTGACTCTACAGTACTATACTTCTTTTTCATATAGCTGAATTTTTACTTTAGATAGTATGGGATCATCTTTTAATTTAGAAATTAGTTTAGATACCAGTAAAGATGAGTAGCTGTGTAGTTTGAACAGTCACATAACCTCTTTGGGTCTTAGTTTTTTTCCTCTTTGAAGCACATATGTATACAGGAGTGAGGACTGAGAAAAAGGGTAAGATACACAAGCTCAACATTTCTAAAACTCTCTTCCAAGGAACACTGGCAGTGGTGGGCTAGAGCCAGAAGCTTGGGAGCCAGTGATGTCATATTGGCAGTTTGTTACTGGCCATGGTTGGGATTATTTACACCATGGAAATGGACACGTGCTACAAACCAGGCCCTCTCCCTTTCCCAAGAGCTGGTTGTTAAGCATTTGCCAGCATATCTCTAGTGTTTACAAATATTCTTTGAAAAAAAAGCGTTCTACTGTCAAATAAATTTTGGAAGCACAGGGTTAGACAAACTTAGTTCCTTTCTCCCTTCATCCCTCCTTTCCTTCTTCTTTCCTTTCTTCTTTCTCTTGCCCTGACAAGAAATGTGATTCTTAAGGACATCAAAGAAGAGATATATAGCACCTTACATTATAAAACTTGGTAGAAATGCTCGTAAGACATATCTCTTAATTTTTAAATTTACATTCCTCATTGGGACTGATCACATCTTTCCCCAAGTCTCTTCTCTTTCTTCACTTTCTCTGAGATCTATTTCATCATTTATTATACAAGTAGCATGCAATATTTTTGTACAAAACAATATTTTTATATAAAATAATAAAAAGTACAAATATATTTAGAGAGTAAAATGTAAACTCCCCCCTTGTTTTTTTTTTCAACAGCAGATCTTCTCAGCCTTATTACTGCTAAAATGTGCACCACAAGCTCCCAGAAAAAATTTTCAAATTTTATCTGAACACAGACATTGTTCCCTTAAACACCTATTAACATGTTTAAGTACATGAATATTTTTTGGAAGGCAGTTGCAGAAATAATGGATGAGTGGATTTCTAAGAAACCCCTGTGTTGCAAAATTATACCAAGTGTATGATGCTAAAGATGGCAATTACTTTAGATACAGGATGAACCACGTGATACATAGAGGTTCCGTTTTTGGATATGTTTGTGAAATAAGAACAAATGATTCTGTTGATTTACTTTTAGGATGGGAATGATTTTTACTGTTTTCAAGTGTTGAAGTGCTCAGCTCTCTTTTGGTGGTTATCTAGAGATATCATAGGTATGGAAGATTTTGTGAAATTTCAAGGAGATGCTGTTGCTCTAACCCAAAACATCCTAGAAATGGAGTCTGTATGTAGTGATTCTTGAAGTGGAAAATTAAATACATTAAGAACTAACTGTGTTTAAGAATATATCTACAGACATTTACAGATAGATATGAGATAGGCAGACAGGTCAATTGATTGATTGATCAATCAATAAATATAAATATAGTTTTAAAGTTTCCAGAAGAAACTTTGGATCCACGAATTCTATTTAAAGCCTGGCTTTTACTTCTTTTGATCCTGTTCACTAAATTTAAATTATTTCTGCGGTACATTTGCAAGTTTTTATGTCCACTGCTTCAACTAGTGTTAAGGGAGGTTATAAGACTATACTTTCCTCTTAAGAAAAATTTATCCAATTAACCCTTTTGATTTGTTGTCAGATCTTTTAAAGATAAATTGTAGATAAAGTATGGTTATGAAAACAGTTTACTTGCCTGTGAAATATGGTATAATTACTAAGTATAATATGAGTACCTGGTTCAGTACCTTACTCATACTGGGCTCATACTAGAGTTCTTGTTAGTTTGAATTAGTATATGGATTCTGATAACTGCTATTAAAATAAGGTGTAATGTTAAAAGAGTAAAGTAAAGCAAAAGGCCAAGGGAGATGACAACATGGATTAAAGGAATTATTGAACTCTTATTGTAGAGTACACACATAAATCTTAAGGATCGCCTTTTTTAAACTCACCCTGTATCTTATTGAAGTAAGCAATAAAAAACTCAGTCTGGTCTCAGTGTTCTAAATGCTACTGCTGAAAGGGTGTTAGACTGAAGGAATCCAGTGGTAAGCTGTAAGTGACACATGCACAGAACTGTTAGCAATTAACCTTTTTCTCCCTCTTGGAATTCACAAGGGACAGGGCCCACAGGAAGTTAGAGTTAGCTTTCTTCTCCTTTTAGTTAGGAGTAAATGCCTTTTGCAGAAAATACTGCCTGCTGACTATATTAAAGATAAAATTGAGAATAATTTAATGCAACCTCACTATCCACAGGTTCGTTAAGTGTTGAAAGAAATTGGCATGAATAGAGAGTGGGAAGAGTTACTCTTAAGAGTGTAGGTACTGAATTTTGAAATCCGAGGCCAACTGAACAGGGCAAATGAGGATATTACTAACAAACTCTTGTCAAAAGCAAAGATAAGTGAGGGTGATTTTCCAATTATTTCTGAATATTCCTAAGGAACAGATTATAAATTCCTGCCTACTTTGAGGATAAATGTACACAAAATGCCAGTTTTACTGCAATGGAGAGACTTTTTATTTACTCTCCTTCTCCCAAAAAGAGATAGTCTCAGCTTAACAGAACTGAGTTCTATGAAAACATAATTGTTTTTAGGAAAAGAAAGAATAAAAGATGAAATTAGCTGAATATCTGTTATAGGAAATTAAAATTATTCTTTGAAAGCTCAATACAATTTTGTGAGCTATTGTATACCTAGTGTCCAACACATATTAGGCACACAATACATATTTACTGAGTAAATCGTAAACAAATGAATGCATGATTTTTTTTTTCAATGTAGGTAGGTAGAGAGGCCAGTGAGAAAATAGAAAAAAAATATTGAAAAATAACTAGAAGTCCTTATACATACCCAATACAAGTTGACGGGTTTAATTTTCTTTTGGCAAATTAATGTTACTCTTCTTTATAATAAAACATAGTTCCATCTTGCTTAGCTAATACTTGTGATCTTATTGTATTTTTCCCTTTATTTAAAAACTCTTATTTCCACCAGTGATAACAATCAACCGTAATGCCATGAATGTTGGAGAAACCTCTCTTCCGGGGAAGTGGATAGCCCTAATTCACAGCAGGGCCATGTTGCTGTGGAGAGAACTCCTAACCCCAACGGTCTGTAAGAACCGTCCCCACGATGACACACCTCCGCTGATTGTCCAGTCACCTTCTGTCACTTCTTCAGATCCCACTTCCTGTCTGCAATCCTGTTTGCTCTTGTATCTGTGGTTCTCAAGTCCCTCCGCCCTGTGCTCTCTTCACAAGTGCACATTCTACAGCAGGAGGGCATACCCACTCTCAGCCTCACTTTCCAGCCGCAGACCCTAAAACACCAACCTCAGTTAAAAACCTAGCCCTTCTTCTATCTTTGGAGGGAAGGTCAGATTTTGTTCCCAGTTCCCTCAAGGGGATTTAACTAGCTCATCTCTAAGGTCATATTTAGCTCTAACAGAATATGAATCTTGATTTTTATGGTTCTAGGATTCTACGACATTAAGTAATAACCACAGAATATACTTTTATATTTCTGTTTCAAAGCTCTGGCCCGTATGTGATTGACCAGGTGGGTGGAAGGAGTGGAAAAGCAGCAGGATACCCCTGAGGAGGTTGCTGTGGCCAGCAGCAGACGTGGGCAGGTGACTGCTCCCCAGGGATCCTGCAGAAAGGATGCATGCAAATGTTGTCTCTTCCAGGGGTCGGGATGTCAGGGCTTGTCTGCTACCTGGTCCAGTCCCTGAAAAGATTATGATGCCCCCCATACCTGGTGTGTAGTTTGAAATTAAAATATCTCTTTGTTATAAAACTCAAAGTTTATACAGATGTTAAAATGAAAATCATGAGGGCTTATGTTTTGTTTTGTCTTATTATTAAGGTTTCCTGGTTGTAAAATTCTGTACAAGTTCATAGAAGCGAAAATTTTCTGACTGCTACTGTATGCATACATTTGGGTCTTTCTGCTTAAAACTTTCACATTGACTTTGAGCTTGGGTTTGAAATTTTGCCCCTTATTTTTGTCAAATGCCAACTTCATGGTTCTTTCAGTCATTCAGATGTGGAGAACCATGAGTCTAAGGTTCTTATCAAGGCCATGCAGCTGGTGTCTGAACTGGAATTTGAATCCACTGCGCTCTGAATCACTGGGCATTCATGCTAGATATCTCCGTGAACTAGGATGGTTAATTTATTACATTTATCATATTTAGAACAACACCTTCATAAAAAGGTGTATAAACCAGTCATCATGAGCCACACACTATATTCAACCCATTTTCAATACCTAGGTTTAACTTGCTGACTGAGATTTCCACAGCATGAAAATCAAAAGATCTGGGTTTTTATCCTGCTTCTAACTAACTGTATGATCTAACACAAGTCATTGGGCTTCTACTGACTTTCTTTTCTTGACTGAAACATCCCTCTTGGATTGGGCCGTGAGCTATTTATTCACCTACAATCTATCGAACACATTCGAAAAGACAAGTTAGACCCTGGGATAACAAAAAAAATAAGTTATAATCCCTCTCCTTAAGGAGCTCCCCTTGTAGTAGAATAAAGACCACTGGGCTTCAGGGTGCTGTGTGCTTTGACAGAGGTGTGAGCCTGGTGCTGATGAAGCTCTGAGGAAGGAGAGATGCCTCCTCCCAGCACCTCCAGCTCTGAAACGCATGACTCTAAAAATGACCGGCCTTTACACAGATATATCTCTTCTCCATCCTTTGGAATGTAATTCATTTGAAGGTGAAAAATATGTGTTTACTGAGGGCTTTAACATAAAGCCACATGAATAGTAGCTTAGCTCACTTAAACACTTCATAAGAGAAAATTGTGATGACAACATAATGTTAGCCATTTAGCTTCTTTTTAAAGGTAGAATAAAAGCTTCGATTATGTTTTTGAGTTAGTGTGTTATAAATTAAGAAATGATTTGGGCTTTACAGAATTTAGAAATTTATCATTTCTTTTTATTCCATTGAAAAATAAAGGCAAAGTACCATATAACGGTTGGACTCACCACATACAAAAGATGGATATTTGTGTTTTTTCTTTGTAAGCAGTGTTGAAAAGTATTTAGATAAATTATGTGAAATAGAAAGCTTAAATTTCATATTTCTTAGTAAAGTATCTGTAAAGGGAAAAAATTCAAATCTTATTTTGTTATAGTAAATTAAAATGCATTTTCTAAGGAGAATATTCATATTCAATTATTTTACTTACATGCTACTTCCTTCTATAAAGAGATCATACATAACTTTGCTTTTTAGTGAAATTAAATTGTAAACTCTTCTCATTGGTGTTGGAAATGATTTGCACATTGAGTTACTAAATATTGCTAAACATTCATAACCTATTGACTTTGAGACATTTTATATCCTAAGACTTTCCAAGTGTAAGCTTGAGAATACTTTGATAAATAAGATGACCAAATTATCATTCATTTGTTTAAGATACAATGAAGTAATAATATAGTTATCATAAAGACTGAGTAATTGACAATGTTTGCCTTCAATGTGAATTTAAGGAGGGATGTCTATGTGGGGAAGGAGAAGAGAAAAATGAGGGCAATATGCTTAATTCATGTTGCCTTGTGGATGACTTTGTTCACAGGGTACCCAAAGTCCCCAATCCAAGATGTCTCCTCTCTCATCCACTAATGAAATAGCATCCAAAGGTACCAGAACCCTGATCTCTTAGGTCTTGCTCTAGTGCTCTTTCTATTATACCACCTTATAAGGGCTAGTGATTTTTTTGGGGTGGGCTGGGGAACAGGCCCAAATGAACTCTACTTAGATCTTTAGTTCAAAAAGGAATAGTGAAGGTAATGGTTTTATTATTTACTCAAAATGTTTGCTAGGAACTCAAGCACCAGGTATATTTAGCCAGAAAGCCTAAAGAACAAAGTCGACGTTAAGTGATTTTAAAAGTAAATGACACGATCAGGCACAGTGGCTCACACCTGAAATCCCAGCACTTTGGGAGGCCGAGGTGGGTGGATCTCCTGAGGCCAGGAGTTTGAGACCAGCCTGCCCAACATGGTGAAACCCCGTCTCTACTAAAAATACAAAAAATAGCTGGGTGTGGTGGCAGGCACCTGTAATCCCAGCTACTCAGGAGGCTGAGGCAGGAGAATAGCTTGAACCCGGAAAATGGAGGTTGCAGTGAGCAGAGATTGTGTCATTGTACTGCAGCCTGGGTGACAAGCGCGAAACTCCATCTCAAAATAAATAAATAAATAAATTTATAAAATGCAGGAGAAAAATACAAAATTATGAACTTGGATTTCTAATTTAGTAGTCCTAAACTTCACAGCTGCCCTTTGAAAACTGAATTTGCACAGGTCGCATCTCATTGATTAGATTTCACCCTGAGCTGCAAAGTCCTTCAATGAACTTTATGCATAATATCTTTCTGGTTCTATCCTGAAGAATATTCACACTACTTTGTGATTATGCAGAGATGACAAACATTAACTTATTATTATTTGAGTGCCTTTTCTTCCAGGTGGCTGCATGTGTTTTTGGTTCTGATTTGTAGATGAAGGGGAATGTGGGCCACAGAAAGCTCCACAGTAAGAGATGGTACATGTAGAGATTAGAGAAGCCCATCATCTCCTTTTTTGATAAAAATGTTATTTGAGAAAACCATTAATTTTCTAGGTGTTTTAAAAGAATGAATAACCCTTTTCAATCTGAGGTCTCTGCTTTTGGAGACTTATCTCAGGGTTAGGCAAAGAAGATGATCACCCCTCAGCTGGGCTGTGCAACTGCTTAGCTTCCTGATTTCATTGTGGAATTGGCCTCTTAATTTTCCCCAACTGGGTCCTCTTGGCTCAGGGGAGACTTTCTTGGTTAATGCCAATCAGGATGCTGTTGTTTCTGAACAATTAAAACACAATCCACACCTCCTTTAATTGACAAACCTCAATGATTATAATGAAAGACCTTCTGATATTTTAAATCCAGAATGGCCGTGAGCTGCTGGGTACCAGGAAGCCAGGGAGAGATGGGTGGATGGGTCACCTGACACAGGGCCTGGCAATAAAAGAAGAGCTAAAGGGGGTGAGATAGGTGGAGATAAAGGTGAAAGTGTTTTATTACTTGGCAACCCATCATTTTAAGGAGGAGAGAGCCCCAAAGAATAATGGAACTATGCAGATAAGGTGAATTTGGCTGCTGAAGAAACAAACGTTACTCTACAATGGTGTTGTCAGTTGACAACATCTATTTATTGAACACAGCACAGAGCACTGTACTAGGCATTATGCCAGGGCTTAAATTACACAGACACTCTCAGACTCACACCCCCTTTCTTCCTGTAACCTGGAGAGAAGGGAAACAGGGAAGAGATGTTTGCTTCCTCCCTTTCCTTAGGGTTTGTACTATAGTGAATTACATATTCCAATGAGATGATTTTCCATAATGACAGTCTTTGTCAACACTAATATCCTGTTAAGGAAAGATGACTCTTTGCCGAAGAGAACATAATACAGTTTCATAAATGACAATTATAACACAGGATGAAACATGGATAAAATAACACTTTTGTTTATGCTGAGACAAGTTTTCCAAGTCTCTTTAGGTCTCTTTAAATATAGAGCATTGTCTGCCCTCCCCTTGACCCTTTCTCTTCCTCACCCCTCCTCCATTTCCCCCATTCTTATTTGGAATAGTCACCCCCACCTCACTCCATGACTTGGTTTCGCTTCACTCTGCAAGAGCACAGAGCCACTAACAAAAGGAAGAGGGTGTGGAAGATAAAAGCAGTTACTCAGTGAGGGGTCCTGAGTGGGCAGTTTAAGCTATGACTGAGAAATGTCTCTACCTACCTGCTACACCTCTCCCTGCCCATTTCATTAAGCACAGGTTCTTTTTGGATAACTAGGTTCTCTGGGGGGATGTGGAACACCTCTTTGGCGTGCTAAGCTTTTTACTCACTTTCATCTAATAATTAATTCAAACAAATCAACACCTGACTCAGGGCGAAGATGCTTTGATGCTGGTACAAAAAAAAATTGCAAAGATGTGAAGATGCTGGTGCAGAAGAGAAGGCCAGCAGGACCAGGACAGGAAGAAAGCATGAGAGAGGGTGCTGGGACTCCACCCACATCAGGTTTTCTACTCCAGACTGGCTGTAACTCCCACTTCTGCACACTTGGGTTCCCAACATCCTCCTTAAATGTTGGGAGGTGTCCACATATGATCTTATGTTAGGGGCTAAATTGTTTGTTTTCTACAAATTCCAGTGTTGAAGCTCTAACCCTCACCACCTCAGAATGTGACTGTATTTGGAGATAGTCTTTAAAGAGGTGATTAAGTTAAAATGAGACCATTAGGGTGGGTCCTAATCCAGTATGACTGGTGTCCTTTTATGGAGGAGAGAGACACTAGACATCAGTGCACACAGAGGAATGACCACGTGAGGACACAGCATAATAGTAGCCACCTGCAAGCAAAGGAGAGAGGCCCAGGAGAAACAAGCCCTGCCAGCACCTTACTTAATCTTAGACTTCCAGCCTCCAGAATTGTGAGAAAATAAATTTCTGTTGTTTAAGCTATCCAGCCTGTGATATTTTGTTATGGCAGCCCCAATAAACTAGTATGTGTATAATGAAGCCCTAGACAACAAGGGACTCTCATTTCTCCGCATATTTGTAGAACTCATCCCAATTATATAGAGCTCCTACTCTGAGTGCTAGACACAGTGTTAAACACTTTCCCTGTGTTATCTCGTTTAACCATTAAGCTGAATCCTCCAAAACCCTTTGGAAATCAGACTTATCTAAGAAACTCACTATTGTAGTGAAGCTGTTTTAAAGAAGAATTGAAGGTATTTTTCTTTATCTTATAATCTGTTACATTGTGTTACATTTTAAGATAATACTAATCTAAGGACTGATAACAATTTAATTTGCCAGAATCATTAAACCAAATAACATCTTTAACAGTGGCTGCTAGACAGGGGCAGCTGTATATTTTAATGCCATATTTGGGGGAAAAAAAACAGGGTAGCAAACATATCTATAAATAAGAATTAATTGCTACAAATTACCTGGGAAGGGAAAAATGTCAAGTTCATATAAAGAATATTATTGACCCATGGATTTACAGCTATATAATAATTTGGTACCTGGTTTATTTCTTAAAGACCTAGCACGTTTCTTGTTTTCTCCTGCTATATTACGTGTACATGGCGTTTCAATAATCAAGCAAAAAAGATGTATGCACTATCTTAGTCTTTGTTGTCTAATTAAAACTTTTTATGCATAGCAATTGCTTACCATTTTGCATTATCACCAGAGCTCATTTCTCATGGAAAAAAAATTAGCATCAGTTTAAAAGAATATTTCTTTAATCAACAGTTCTGATTGTCAGTAGTACCATTTTGTAGATAGTTTTTAGCTGACTAACAAATCTTTTATTTTATTGGCTGTCTCATTTTGCTCTCTTGCATATTTCACATTTATGGTCTATTCAGACATTCTCCTGTTTTGTTAAGTGGAAATCTGTGTGGTCTTTGATGTAAGACATAATTTATTTGACAAGGAAATATGAGTCTGTGCCCTGAATCCACATTTAACTGATGGATTGAGAAATTTTAAAATTGCAACAAGATAGACTCTCCTCCAGATTGCCGTACTACTTGCATTTTGCTTATCTATTTGGGAGTGAATTTACATATGTGTGTCTATATACGAATATATAGAGAGTCATACAACCATGCAGCTGTACTTGTGCAATTTTTCTACTTTGTTAATAGAAAATGCAGTCTCATTTTGTTAGTCATTAATGGTTCCTATAGAAAATTTTTAAAGAATTTTTTTCTGAAATTAAATTCAAGATACTTATTATGTTTTATCTTCATATAGATAGCTTTATAAAGAGAGTGATGTCTTCAAGTCTGTACTGCTCGCTTCTCAGCCTAGTAAATGGAAGTTTTGTTAGCATTTCAAGATTTATATATTTCATATGTTCTCCCAAGTCTATGGCCCAGTTCTGGTAATTGGAAACTTACTTTCAGCTCATTCCCTCTGCTCAGACTACTTGTCAATTAACCTTTGCAAAATGATAGTTTTAAAAAATATGACTTTCATATTTCAATCATGTTCATTTTCAATCATCTCAAAATGTAGAAATTGAATAACACCCGGGGTTCTACAGTGCTTTTTACATATCATTTAAGGTTTAAAACATCTCTTTGATGTTCAAATATGACTGCCATTTATATTCAATGGATGAGATTAAGTGGTTAAAATTACTTGTACTGGGCATGCCCCTGCTTTGTTTATAGGTATGAACAAAACACTAAGGATTTTTCATAAATATGCACCATTTCCATTGATGTTTTTGACTGCTGTCTGTGACACACTAGGTAGGCCATATTAAGTAATGGGGAAGAAATCATAGGTCCTACTGTGATATTAAAAATTTACATTTTGATGAATTAAATAGAGTTGTTGACCATTCTACACTGTTGATTATATGAAGGGAAAAAGCTAACAACTTCTAAGAATAAAAGGGGTGAAAAACAGGAAAAAAACAAATGTTAAATGCCAAAGATTGGCAAGTGCAATCATTGGTAGGTTGACAGTGGCTACTGAGTCTTGTTTTTTGAGAGGTTGGAGGTTACCGTCTCCTAGGATAGTAGCTAAATAAAGGGGAAAGAGGTCCACCATTTAGTCCAGACATGTCGACTAGAGCCTGTGAACTATTTTGCATGGTATTGTGGTTTTACAAAGATAAATTAGACCTCAATTTTCCCCACTGTAGCAGCCCCCCTCTACTTACCCTGCTGAATTATTTCCCATCCTGGACTGCTTAATCATTTATTTGCACACCTGTGTCTTCCTTGGAGTATATTTTGTTTTCCTAACCTGGCAGGTGGAGAATGTTTCACCAAGAATGTCACAACTCTTAATATTCATGCCTGAGAAGGAGAATAAGAACACAACCATCTCTCAGAGTTCTTGGGAACATCTCCACGTAAAATTTTTTGTTATTTTCCTGCCTTCTGCCCTCTTAGATCTTAGATCCTCTTTGAAACAAAAGCTCTCATTCTTAGAGTATCTTCTCCTTCTCTTAGAAAACCCACCCTATAATATTTAAACTCCGTTTAATAACCACCCTTACCGTTTGGGAAATTTTTCAAACTTTGCCTAATCTTTCCTTTGTCTTGGACCCAATTTACTCTTCAACCTGCCAGGAGAGAAATTATGTAGCACATAGACATGGTCTCTTCCTCTCTTGCCTTTTTCATCTTTTGTTTTTCCTTTTTCATTCATCATTGAATGCTAGTGGAATCAAAATCCAGTGATAATTTCTGGCCAGGCATGGTGGCTGACACCTGTAATCCCAGCACTTTGGGAGGCTGAGGCAAGTGGATCATTTGAGCCCAGGAGTTCACCACCAGCTTGGGCAACATGGCTAAACCCTGTCTCTACCAAAAAAAAAAAAAAAAAAAGGAGATAGAAAAAAAATCCAACAATAATGTCTTACACTGATGATACGTAAAGTAATAGGGGATTGTAGGGTCTGATACACATAGATTTGACTCTGGGTACTACATTACTGTGTGACTTTGGGGAGGTTCATATCCCTTCATTGCGTCTCAATTTCCCCCTCTGTCGAACCTACCTTTCAGAGTTATGCAAATAGAAATAAAACATTTAGCACAAGCCTGACACAAAATAGCATGTTCAGTAAATGCTGTCTTCTCAAAAGCAGTATAGAAGAGGTTAGTGGCATCCACCAGTTGTGTGATGTGGGCAAGCTATCCAACTTCTTGGTTTGGTAACAATTTATTTCCTGGGGTTTTTGTGAGGATTAAATTAGTTAATATCTGTAAAACAGTTAGAATAGGGCCTGGCATCTGGAAAGCATTATTTTGGTACGACGTACCATTATTTTCCTCTTCTTTCTTCAAGATATGACCCTGATCTCATGAACAAGGTTAAGTGTAACCATTGTTTCCCAATGACTTGAAGCAAAGTTGAGCTGCGAACTTGTTGGTGAAATAGAGCCTTCTTTAGCTGATTTCCAAGCAATGCTCTGATGAGAGCATGTTAACTTTTCTTGAAAGAAAGAAAGTGGCCGGGTGCAGTGGCTCACGCCTATAATCTCAGCACTTTGGGAGGCGGGTGGATCACGAGGTCAGGAGATCGAGACCATCCAGGCTAACACAGTGAAGCCCCGTCTCTACTAAAAATACAAAAAATTAGCCGGGCGTTGTGGCAGGCGCCTGTAGTCCCAGCTACTCGGGAGGCTGAGGCAGGAGAATGGCGTGAACCCGGGAGGCGAAGCTTGTAGTGAGCCAAGATCGCACCACTGCACACCAGCCTGGGTGACAGAAAAAGACTCCGTCTAAAAAAAAAAAAAGCATAGAGGGCACATTCTGTCTGTTATGAGCTATGAATTATAGTGTAGGGGAGAAAAAGGGCTATCTTTCCCTCACTTATCATAAGGCTCATGGCTGAGGCCTCTATAACAAAAGACAGATTAACAAGAGAGAAGCACATAAACATAATTAATATAAGTTTCATGTGACATGAAGGCCTTCAGAAATGAAGACCCAAAGAAACAGGGAAACCTGTGTATTTTTATGCTAAATTTGATGAAGAAGTGGATAGTCGTGCAGAAGTATGATTAGATAAAGGGTGTATGATCTAATGGTAATAAACCGGGGAACTTAGTAAGGCCTGATTGCTCAGATTCTTTTCTGTTTCCCTGTGTCTTCAAAGTCCTTCATAGAGACATTCTTTTCCTCCCTAAGGTATAGGGAGGGTGTCTCTGAAATGACTGTCTTATGACCTACTTTGGAAGATGAGATAATTTGTTGAGGGCCTACTTTAGGGAAGAAGATGAGAGTGACCATCCTGCTTCTACTGTTTTCTCAAATGCCAAGGTGCCATATTTTGAGATTGTGTGTTCTGCACCCCATCAGTGGCCTTTGCTAGGACACTGGATAGGTTGGTTGGCTATAGTTCTCAATTGTTCTTATGCATATGGGAATCCAGGAAACCAAGCTGAGATTAAGGAAAGAAAAGCCCTTAAGAGTGAATCTTTGAGTATTAAATTCTACATGTATCAGCATTCAAAAATGTGAAAGGAGAGCTTGCTAATTATTTCAGCAGTGAAATAAGCAACAGTCAACCTGGTTTATTCATGTAGGTTGGAGTTGACAGTCAAATGAAATCCCAGTGAAAACTCAGGAAAGAAATTCAAGATCAACTTTGTTTTTCTACAAATCAAAAAGACATTAAAAAATGTAACAGTGGTCAGGCATGGTGGCTCACGCCTGTAATCCCTGCACTTTGGGAGACTGAGGCGGGCGGATCACCTGAGATCAGGAGTTCGAGACCAGCCTGGCCAACATGGCAAAACCCCTTCTCTACTAAAAAAGAAAAATTAGCCAGGCGTGGTGGCGTGCGTCTGTAATCCCAGCTACTCGGGAGGCTGAGGCAGGAGAATCGCTTAAACCTGGGAGGTGGAGATTGCAGTGAGCCGAGATGACACCATTGCACTCCAGCCCGGGCAACAGAGTGAGAGTCTGTCTTTAAAAAAAAAAAAGTAACAGTGATACATGTATTCAGCTTGAAGAGACTGATATGAAGGTATGAAAACTTACCAGTCAACTCCTGGGGCTGGTGATGCATAAATTACACAGACCCTTATGAACACAAATTAAAGATAATGTATACAGCATTGAGCTTTTGGAATTCTAAGTAGTTGTTCTCATTATATCTTGTCTGAGCATCAGTGTGATTAAAGCAATTGATTTTTCCTTTATCATTTCATCTTTTTATCCTTCATCAGTAACCTCTTATAATCTTTATTCACTGCTATAAACAAAGACAATGTCTTGACTTCATAAAACCGATACCTTTTTTCCTTGGTTTTATTTTAGAGCTAGTTTTGGCCCATGATGAATTGCTGAATGGTTGATTTCCTGACACTCCTTTTTGCTAACCTTTCTTGACAGCTTCTGGATTGCTCTACCTAGTAATTTGTTCCACAATAATGGCTACTGTGAGATGTCTCCTATTTCCTTTATTTTTAACAAGGATTCTTAACACCCTCTGTAGGTAACAATATGCAATTACAGATATAAAGTGTTCCCCAGGGGATGGCTGCTCACAGATGCCACTAAGAATTTTGTAATGCAACTGTTAAAGATAATGAAAACAAAGAATCAGATTATCCAAACATCCAGTTCAAATCAAATTTTAATTAAAAGTTATGAAGGCATTTTATTGATTAACAATTTTAGTAATTAAAGAGTGTGGTTGACATTTTTTTTTCCAGTTAGATTTGTTCTTCCTTTGAGATTTCTAATTGTTGTATGGTTTTACATTTATTGATAACTCTGTTTGATGAATGCAGATGCCACCTTTTACGGCCATCGTTGACAGAGTAATCATATTGTGAGAAACACCAGGCTTATGTAGTAACAGCTGTTGCAGTTATCCATGCTGACATCCATCGGGGAAATGTGTTTGCTGCTATCATGGGTACACGATAAATGGAAGGTGCAATAAAAGCACAAGCTAACATTTTGAATATCCTTACAACTCTGGGAACTTTATTGCATATTACAAGCACTTTGATCTCTGTCCAGTACTTAAGTCTTAATTATCAGACTAATTGCACAGACTATGTTCATTTTCAGTGGTAATCCTTTTGTGATTAGCTTCTGTGTTCAATAACTGACTTATCTTTTAATTAAAAGGACTGTTAACCTTAAGGCTGCTGCTGTGTCTTGGGATTAACCCATACAGAGTTAATGTTTAATATCATTGTAAAAGCTTTTGCTGAAAGGTGTAGCATAAAAATGTGTAGAGGGAAAGCCATGAAATGTATCTCACTTTTCTGATGTGCAGAAAAGCCCTGCTAAAGATGAGAGTTTTAACAAATCCTCCTTGTAGATTAAATTTCCGAAGGGCCTACCTAACTGTGCGTGGCCACTGGATTAACCCTTTGAACCCTATTCTCATTTACAGAAAGGGAGCACTTAACTTCAGGATAAGGCACAGTTTTTTCTCAATTTTTGAAATCATTATATGTGTACGTGATCAGGGTGCTTAGCTGCTGGGAGTCCAGAATAGAGAATTTCTTTTTCTTTCTTTCTTTCTTTTTATCCCTACAGCTGAAAGTTTTTTGATATTGATTTCTTTGGAAAGGTTCACAGCAGCTTGAAAATAGACATAACAGTGGCACCTTTTTCCATGTTCCAAGCAATGTGTGATCAAAGTGAGTAAAACAGTTCACAGGTAACTAGTGAAACGATTAAGGAGCAGATGCAGGGATAATCAGTACCAAAGTGTGGAGAGCTTGCCAAAAAGCCAGATGCAGCTGCTGAAAACACTCTGTTTCTTCTTCACTTTGGCATCTGGGTTCTACAATGAACATTTTTCCCCAGTGTGCCCAATGACACAGGGTCTATTGCTGTGCCGGTCACTTAGGATGAAGGAGAAAAATGGTTTCTCCACTTCCTCCTTCTCTTGCTCATATCCCTGCCTCCCAGAGGTACAGGCCCTTCATTGATTTCTAACCCCGGATGTCTTCACATGTAAGATGCAGGCCTCTGGGACTAAGGAGCTGCAGGGATGCCTCTATTCTAAAGCTCCTAGGCCAGCAAGTGACCCAGTAGATGCTATTCTGTCTCTGTCCTCTTCCAAATTTTACTTCTTCTATCAGTAATGCAAAAGACTAGCCTGACAAGAATTTTCCTTCAATAGTGCATGTTTTTAAGGAATTTGGTGATAACATGAACTATTTACCAAATAAGCAGTGTATTCTTGCACTCTGTGATGAAGTAGGCAGTGAGAACCTGCCCTCTTGAAGCTTAGAGTCTAGCTAGTAGGATAGTAACTGCTTCCAACACGCTACACTCATTGCTAGGGAGGGTAGCATAGCAAAGGGATTGATCATACCTGAATAGATTGTTTTCTTCCTAGGTTTAGAATTCACTGGCTATTTTGTTCTTAATAATGAATAGGGAGTTTGCATGTGATGAGTAGGGCTTGTATAATTTTATCAATGTTAGTAGGGAGAAAGTCTACCCAGGTGGTTTAGCGCATCAGCTCTGGAGCTAGATACCAATTCAATCCCAGCTCCATCAATTACCAGCTGTGTGACCATGGACAAGTTACTCCTTTATGGAATTTTGGATTCCTCAATTATAGAATGGGGATAATACTAGTGTTGTTGTAAAAAATGAATGAGATGGCATATGTGAACATTTAGCACAATATCTGATGCATAGTGTTTAATAAATGGTGGCTATCACTATCCAAATTTAACTATACCTTGATACAGCAACTGGTAGCTACAAAATGAGTAGAAGTGTATTACATACAATAATTGTGATGATAATACTTGCTTATAATTCTGCCCTACAGATCTCTATTGATCTTGACAGGATTATCATGAAATAGGCTACTTGACTAATGAGGAAACTGAGGCTTGGGGTAGATACGTGGCTCGCTCAGGTTCACATGTTGGAAATGCGGGACTTAGAACTCAAACTAGAGTCTCCAAGCACTTCATTGCTAGAAATTCTGTTAAAAGAAGAGGGAGCCACATGGTTCAGGAGGTTTCATTCTTTTTCAGGTTTTCTTGCTAACTCACAGCCCAATGACTTATCTCCTTTTCTCTCAAGGCATTAAACTTTTCCTAAATAAAGTAACTTAAGTGTATTTATTAATTACATATTGACTATATAAAATCATGGTAATTTATTGTAATTAAAGAATGCATTTATATTTCTAAGGTTCAAAAATCTATCCTGCTGCCAGTATGCATTTCCAAATATATTTCAAAAGAGTTTGCAAATGAATCTGCATTTAGTAGAGAAATTCTAATTATGCATTTAATTCTTACAGCAAATCTACATTAATTATATGAGATTAACTTATATCAATTAAAATTTATCAAAGCTCAAACTGTCTTGGAAGGAAGTGACACATGAAAAATTGTGTTATTTGTAATATTACATGGTTATGTATTATGTTGTTTTAAAAACAGAGCTAGAATGCTATGATCCATATTCTTCTATTGTTAAGGAGCACATGTGAAGGAGTTTTTTAAATAAAAAAAGCTTAGTCCTTTTTATTTAAAAACTTTAATATCCCATTTCATCTAAAACGTTCCGCTTCCCTCCATACAGACTAGCCTTGGGACTCGAATAGCTTGGACTAAGTGTGTTATTGAACTGTAGATCATGTTTTCATAAAAGAAAAGTGGCCCAGCATAACACTGGGTAGAAACGAACATGTCTAAGACAACATCCTAAGGTAATTTATTAGCCCTAACAATTTCAGAGTTGGGAGTAGGAGGTTGAAATATATTGACACACATATATAGGAAAATGGCTGGAAGTTTTAAGAATAGATTCTACAAGCTAAATATATGTCTACACTTCAATTTCTGCTTACAATCTTAAGTAAAGATGAAGATACTATGATATATTTTAAAAGTAAGTTGCAGTTGCCACAATAAACAGCCAACCTCTAATAGTACAGGACGCGAATAGCCATATTAGAGAAAACCTGCCTAAAAGTGGCTATATTTTAAAAGGTTGTATTCTATGTGTGGCTCAAAGGTTTTTTTTCTTGTATGTGTGTGTGTAGAGGGTAGTCTCTCTACTATCTTTCTTAGTGTTTGAATCACACATCTTATTTATGTGGTGTGATTGAGGAATTTCAACTCATTCAGCTATAAACTGCCATCACAGAGCTCTGTACTGCAACCACTGCTGTCATGGGCTCTTGCTATTTCCTGCATAGGAGCTGCCTTGATAATGGCTCCCTCTGATTCTCAACCTTTTCAGTCACCTTTATTATAATTAGTAAAGTGGTCTCATTTTTGTTATTAAAACTTAGTCCTTTTTACTTAAAAATTTTAACATCTCATTTGATGTAAAACATTCCTCTTCCATCCATACAGACTGGCCTTGGGACTCAAACAGCTTGGAGTGACTCTGTGTGTGTGTGTGTGTGTTGCACGGTTAGCTCTGTCACATACCACTTTGTCTCTTTCTTGCTCTTATTCCTCTGGTGTAGGGGCAAGGAGGAACAAAAGAACAAAATCATGTCCTTGTAACTCTGGCGCTCAAGGTGTCTTGTCAGTTGTACTTGCTGTTTCCATCGAAGCACATCCCACATTTGACCCCTTTCTTATCACTGTTGCTCCTTCTCTGTGATGGATCAACCGTCCAAATGCTGGTCTCTTGTGTGGCTGTTAGGGGGTGCTTTGATGAGTTCTTCTGAGGGCTGAAAGGTGCCTTCACCTGAAGAGTCCTCTGTAAGAGTCTGAGAGCCCCCTTAGGCTTGGCCTCTTGCTTTGTCCCTCAGCCCTTGTCCCAGACTGTCCTCTCAGTGGATGGTCTTCCTTTATCCTTTCAGCAGGACATCAGATGTCCTTGAGAACATCCAGAATTACTGACTGGCAGCATCGGGATGTTCCAAGCCTGTTCTGATTTTTCCCTGCCTCAAAACATGGAACCATCTATCCTCCAAGTAGTTCTGATTCTTTCTAATAAAGAACAGTATCGGAGACTAAAGTCTGAGTACTCTGGGATGCTCCAAGTCTGTTCTGATTTTTCCCTGCCTCAAAACTTGAGAGTTGAGCAAAGATGCTGCGGCTTCTCTCGGGACATCTTTAGTGGTAGAGCTGGAAAAATGTTTCTTTTTAAAGGAATTCTAACTTATTTCTAAACTTTGTTTTAATATAAATAATTTCATTTTCTCTATCACATTCTTACTTTACATGTTAACTTTTCAACTAAACTGTAATTCTGTCTTTTAAAAAAAAATTCTTACAGTCTCAATACTCCAATACTCATCATTTTGTAATCACTTTATTGATACGAAGGAGGATATTCTAAAACTTTTTATTTATTTATTTATTTTTTGTGATGGAGTCTCACTCTGTCACCAGGCTGGAGTGCAGTGGCACGATCTCAGCTCACTGCAATCTCTGCCTCCTGGGTTCAAGCAATTCTCCTGCCTCAGCCTCCCGAGTAGCTGGGATTACAGGCATGCACCACCACACCCAGCTAATTTTTATATTTTTAATAGAGATGGGGTATTACCATGTTGGCCAGGACGGTGTTGATTTCCTGACCTCGTGTTCTGCCCGCCTCTGCCTCCCAAAGTGCTGGGATTACAGGCGTGAGTCACCATGCCTGGCCTAAAACGTAAGAGGGAATAATACAGTAACATGTAAATATGTAATAAATATATAATGTATACTAAATGTAGAAATATGTAGTAAGTATTTCATGTTAAAACTATTTATTTGTGGACTTAAGCAGAAAACAGCCAGATAATGGAGAGTTCTAATGAACTTCCTTGATCCTTAAATAAAGATTTCTTATTGCTACAGACACAAATAACGAGGAATTTTCATTGTAAGTTCATTTTATTTTTGTTGGCTGCTGATGGACAGACTGAAGGTCTACTTCTCATCTTTTCAGTCCTCTTTTGGCATTAATGAGGCTCCACAAATAGAAGAATTTCAAATGGCCATAGCCACGGTCAGCCTTTGGCAAGGTTTAGATGGAATTAAGTCTCAATGAATACTGCCTAACAGTGGCAGAGCCTACTTATTTCTATGCTTCTATAATGTTTTTTAGCTTGTACATTTCTCCTGCCATTACCTTACTTCGACGTTTGTTACCTCTACCTCAATTTTTGCAATCGTTTTCCTGTTCAGATGTGCCAGTTTTCTTTTTGACTATGACTAGTTAAAATTTATCCATCTGTTTAAGGGTTTTATAAAATTGCAATGATTATATTCATTTCCAGGATTTCTGAATCTTCTTTTAAATATCCCTGCACTTGATTCAGAGCTGCCTGCTTTATTTTATAACCTACTGTTGTTTTAAAAGAAAATATATCTGAGGATCTCACAAATGTTCTTTTAAAATTACTCTATTGTTTCAATTTCCAAAATAAAAGTAAATTCTTCTGTCCCTTGAGTTTGTTGACTGTCTTTCATTGGGTGAATTTTTCTTTATGTGCTTTGTAACTCTCATTTGCAAACTCATTTTAAGTGGAAATTTGATTTTGTTTGTATTTGTTCTCTTCCTGAGCTCAGCCTTTCTTTTAGTGATTTTGTAGCTGTCTCCTGCAGACTCCAGCCCATAACCAGGTCTTAAGTTATGTGAGCAACTTAGAGCTGTTACCCTGGGGGGATGTTGCTCATTCATCCCAGAACCTCAACTTCTGTTCCTGGGATGGGCAACCCCATCCAATCTCTGATTCCCTTCCCCTTGTGGGAAATGTTCAGTCTTCCTTCCCCCTCATGAATTTAATTCCCCTTCTATTCTCATTGTCAAGATATTTGTCTTGATTTTGAGTATAACTCTGCCTTTTAAAAATTTTCTCTTCTTATTTTTATCTCTTTCTTTCTTGTTTCGAGGTCATAGTGATAGTGGTGGTGAGGTAGAGCCGAGGGGTGTTTGGTGTGAGCTACTCCACTCTCTTGACCAGAAATCCCTACACTTAAATTCATAATTGGTATTCCTACCTCTAGTTCTTCTCCATTTTCATTTATACATTATGCTACTGTAAGATTCAAATTCTTAAGGCATCAGTTTTGATCTCTACATTACACCTCTTAAAAACCTTAAATGTTTCCCCACTGGCTATCAAGAAAAATGCTCTAGTGTATTGTAATTATGTATAACATTGACTGTTGGTTTAAGATTACAGAATTATTTCTAAACTTCATAATTTTTAAAATTATAATAACTAACAGACCTATTTTTTTTTTCAATTTAAGACCACGAACTTCACCCAAAATAGTTGTTACTAAATATCAAAGAAAGACAAAAGTTTTCTTTTTATTTTTCACTGGTATAATTTACAATGAGCTCTGATTATTTTTTCTACCTTAATTTATTAGAACTATACAGAAATATAATTATTATCTACCCACTGCTAATTTGGCATTTCTTTTGATTTATTTTCTAGTGTTTATAATGGATAATAGTGATTGATTTATACTTTCTTGGCCACATATAGAGGTAAGACTTAGGGACATAGTGTATGTTATGGATCAAATTAAAGTTACTGGTTTAAATGAGATTAGACTCCTGAATTTGACATCACTTATATGTTGCTCCATCTCAGACTTATGCACTTTGTGGTAATCAGGAAAAACATGGTGATTTACCTAGAAGGCCGCTGGGGTTTGCTTGATGTCAAAGGGATGTCCTGAATAGCTGTGTAACTGTGCCCCGTAGAGAGTGTTTGGCTGGAGCCATTGCCATCCAGGGTGTGATTCTCAGCTTTTCAGGTTTGCAGACTTGATTTTGTCAGTATACCTAGAGTTCTTCCTGCTTAGGGGAATTAATGTACTCTAAGGAAGCCATAGGCGGCTTGGTAAGCACATCAGTATTGAAGGTAGACAGATGATATGAATATGAATCTTGGCTCTGCTACTTACTGTACAAATACTTAGCGTATCTGAGCCTCAACTTTATCATCTCCACAATGGGAATAGGTGAGAGTGTTTACCTTTCAGGGTTGTTGTAAAGCCTAGAGATAATATATGTAAGTAAAGCATCTGGGATCGAGGCTACATCCTTGCTTTACGTGGCTCTTCCTTCCCATGACCCAAATTCCAAGTAACTTACTGAAAGGAGAAGTCCAGAACCTATCTTCTCATTGGCTTGGGGCTGTATTTGAGGTTTTAGTCTCATCCTCTTTTCCTGCCTAGACTCCCTGTATGCTGCCTCCTTTACTTCATACCTGATTCTCTCTCTCTGTCTAACATCTATAGATGACTATTCATTAGATATTCTCCCTGGATTTTCATTTGCTGTGTTCCTAAGATCTCCTCTCATCACCTCCCCAAACCATTTCCATGAACACAGTCCTTGGACAAAAGATGTGTCACTCCGGTGTCTGAGCTCGGGAGTATTCATGCCCAGCCTATGCCCAGGACCCTAATTATGTTGCATAGCAATACACATTTATCAATGGTGGGAGGCCTGAACATTTCCAGAAGGTTATGAACCCACTCTGGATGTCCCTGGTGGTTCCCCAACACTAGTGTCTCCTGTCCTTTTTCAGCCTCCTTGGATGACTGCTTTTCCTGGGCTACCTCCTTAAACGTGCCCCCAGAGTTCTGCTCTTCTGCATTGCTCTTTCTTTAAACACACCCTGGAAACTCATTTATACATACCCCAGAAACTCATGTCTTACTCTTTCTTTACACACACCCCAGAAACCTCTCACTCACTTCTAATGGCTCCAGCACTAACTATGTGCTATCAGCTTCCAAGTCTGCATCTCCAGCTCCTACCTTTCTCCTGAACTCTAGGCTCAAATATCTAACTGATTACTTCATCTAAAAGTCCCACTGGCATCTTAACCTCAATATGTGCTAAGCATATCTCACTCACCCATCTCAAACCACCTTAATGCTGCATATACTTAGTTTTCTAGGTTAGAAACATGGAATGATTCTAGACTTTCCCTCTCTCACCCTGTTTGACTCCTCCTCCTATCAGAATCTGGCCAGTCACCATGGCTTTTTATACAGCATGCCCCATTACACTCACATAGTTCAGTATCTAGTGTTCATCACTGAGTGTCTAACAAGCTTCCAGAGAGAAAGCTTTGTGCATAGTATTTATTATTTTATTCATGAATAAAAATTGGAAATATTATGACCACGTTAATTACATATATTGCTTTAAAGACCTAAGGTACCTGTTTTTCCACAAGGCTTTTGATTACTACTGTGATTACTGGAACATCTCAGAAGAAGGACCCTTAATCAAGGAGATTTATGACCAAATTTTAATGATCTTGGTTAGAAGGCCAAAAAAAAAAAGCACAAGAAATGAGAATAATGAAATGACCCCAAAGTCTCATATTAGGCAATAACTTCAATCCTCTTTCCCTCTGAATGTTTTATCAGCAGAGGCATCATGTGAGGAAGCTGTTATTGGCTTGAATTTCTGCCTCTTGTATTCCTCAAAGCAAATGAGCAGTGAAGTAGACAAGAGACCATAATTCCCATAGTCAAGGTAAGAGGAAGAAGCAAGAAACCCAAATAATTTAAAAACTAGATAAGACTCTGCATGTTCCAGTGAAAGAGAAATCAAGGCTTGAGGCGCATCAGTCTTTGTGCTTTTGTTTCACTTATACTTATCCCACTAAGTGGCATAGTGATGACTGAGTTTCTGGGCTATAGTTCTAAGATTTAAAATACTCATCTGTAGTGGTTTTCCCTGTGACTATTTATATTTTGGTCATTTGTACAATGAAGAGAAATGCTGTCCCAACAACTTAGACCCTTGTCATAACGTCAGGAGCCTTAGGCAAGATGAGAAAAGGTCAGTCAGAAAAGGAAATAGCATCTATTATTGGACAAGGGCCAGCCGTTTCAATGGGAAAATTGAATAAGACATTGCCATGGTGCCAAATCCTTCCCTTGGTTAATCTCATGTGAAGACATTGATTTCAAGTGCATGGGAATGAAAGTGCAAAATGTAGCCATTTAGAGCTGCTTTATCCATCATTATCTCAGACTTCATGATGAGGCTTATAAGCTTGGTGTAGGCATTAAACCAGTCCCTATCATTTCTCTTCTACCACTTTCCTTGATTTCTTACTGGTTTAGCCCAATAATCTGGATAGGAGCTCCCTTAATATACCTGCTCTGTTAAGCAACAACCTGATGTGAATGCCTCTAGGTTTACTGATTTCCCCACTCCCTAAAAATAAGATGATAAATACTACATTTGAGACCTGTCTTTATTTAGTATTTTGTTTGTTTATATTCTGGCAGAATATTCATATAAAGGGCCCCACAATGTGGAAGAAACTGCTGTATTGCATTTTGAATGCATGGTATTGATTGCCAGAGAATCAGTTAAATTGCAGTATGAATAATGATTGGCACTGGCCTTAACCCTTTTGGCAAAAATTGCTTATTTGTCATCCTGGCTTATGGAAGAGATAAACAATTGCTTGCTGATGATCTAACGGATCAACTGTGAGTATCATTTGGCATGTCAGATGAGAGCTAATTTAATGAGCTGCAGTTTCTGCCAATTACCTGGGAACAAATCCCTCCACAAGCTATTCTGAACGTCATCAAAATGTTTAACCAAATTCTCACTTGTGGCAGGTAAGATGATTGGGTGTTTGATTAGCCAACATGCTATCGATATTATCTCACATGCATTTGTCCTGTCTACTTATCCAATCACCTTCATTCTTTAACAATGACAAATTATAATACATAGCCATCCAATTCTTTATTTTAAATTACTCTGTTTAGTATGTGTATTAACTGTAAAACAGAAACATCCCATGTGTGTAGGTTTGTGAATTACAGATCAGTTTATTTGTGTGGTGTGTGATCTTGTTAGCTGGCTGAAATAGGAAAAAGTGACTTTATTCATGCACGGTTTGAATGCCTACGAAGAAACTCTCTAGCGAGAGCAGGAAATTGAACGAGCCTAGGAAGGGCTTCATATGAAAAGAGGGAATCTTTGGAAATGAGGTCTGTGAACTAGCATTAATAGGGCAAAGGAAAGAGATGGACAATGGGAGGATGGAGTGTGAAGAAAGGCAAGCACCAGGGCTGGGGGAAGGCAGAGGAGGCCTATGGATCATCCGAGGGAGGAAGGAGGGGAGCAAAGGCCTGGGTCACCCAGGACACATGAAGCCTACCTGGTTGAGGGAGGCTTCATGTATCCTCAGCTTCACCATCTTCCCTTCACAAATCCTCCCTGGATTTCTGTGAGTTTCAGAAATTGCACTTCCCTGGCATCCCTTCCTGGCTCTATCCTTCTGTCTCTGGCTCTTGCATTTGCATGCATCTGGGGCTCTGGTCCCACTGTCACATCAACGTAAACATGAAGCCCAGTGTGTTGACAATTAATCCACATGCACAAAGCATTTTGTGATGTCAGCAGGTTTACCTCCTGCTGTCCACCTTGCTATTGCCTCTACTCTTCCTTCTTCCTCGCTCATCCTTCTCTCTTGAGCAACCCATCCTTCCTCTGTTTCCAGAACAGGCCTGGAGGGCAGGGGAAGGGAAGCTCAGCAGCTTCTGCCTCAAGAAACCTTATCAGGGAGTTTGTGACATAGGCGCCTCTCTCCCAGAAGAGGATTTCTCAGGGTGATTGCTAAGAGAACATTTTCACCATCTTTTACATTCTGCCATGAGAAAAAAATATTTCCATTCTTGCTAATTTACTGCGCAAACTATCTAAGGCACATGGAAGAAGACAGAACCTGAGCTGTTTTTACCCACAACACCTCTGACACCAAATGTCTGGGGGCTTTCCACACCCAGCTATTCTCTAATTCTCTGATTACATCAATGAGGTGTCATAATTTAATTCAATTCTGAACGAACTACCTGGAATTAGAGCAGCCTCTGCAAGTTTAAGGACTCAGTCCCACAAGACTGCCCCTCACTTCAGATGCCAATCTCAAGTCCAGGGATTCCTATACTTCTCGCCAGCTGGTTATAAACTGGGAGTTCCCATGACTCGCTCCTCAGGTTCAACACTTTCATAGAATGACTCAGAGAACTCAGGAAAACACTTTACTTCCTATTACCAGTTATTATAATGGATACAACTCAGGAAGAGTGAAATGGAAGAGATGCATAGGGCAAGGTCAGGGGGAGGAGGGTGGGAAGTCGGACCTTCCATGCCCCCTCCAGGCACACAGCTCTCCCAGTACCTTGATGTGCTTGCCAACCTGAAAACTCTCTGAACCCCATATATATATATTTTTAAGTAAAGGTATCATTATATTGTCACTATTGATTAAATCACTGACGGTTGATGATAAACTCAATCTTCAGCCCCTCTTCCCTCCCCAGACGTCAGGTGGTGGGCTGAAAGTTCCAATCTTCTAATCATGCCTAGGTCTTTCTAGTGATCAGCCCTCATCCTGAAGTCTCCTAGGGGCCTGAGCCACCAGTCATCACTTTGGAGAGCATACAAAAGACACTTATCACTTAAGAGAGTCCAAGAATTTTAGGAGCATACAAAAGACACTCATCACTTTGGCGAGTCCAAGCATTTTAGGAGCTGTGAGCCAGTAACTAGAGACAAAGACCAAATATCTGTTTCCCATTGTACCACAGAACTCAAGATTTATTTGTGGCATCTGTGTCTCACACATTTTTTTTTTTATTCTAAGGGACTGGGCAGGACTTTTTAAAGTCCGAGGCCTTTTTGGGGGTGTTCCTTCCTGGCTCTGCTCATCACCTAGGTATTTGGAAAGGGTGTCACCTTCTTTTCACTGACTTAGTGCCATGTACCGTGCCTCCTCCATCTCTACATGCAGGCAGTGGGTTTCCTTCAACAGCAGAAGTCCTTGGTGGTCCACAGAGGGCTGGGACAGTATCACTGCTTGCTGTACAGTGGTATTGGGGACTAGAACTTCTACCATACATGCTTTGCCATCAACACAAATTAAGGTTTTCACATCACATAGTCCTGGGAAGTCCTGTGTGCTTCTGCTTCTACTGTATGCCTGGCCCCTGCTAGGTCCCACAGCATCTCATCTAGGTGTGGGATGACCCTATACTGAAGGCACATCATTGGGTATTGTCTCCACAGTCAGCCCCTGTTGTGTTCTATGGTGTAGTCTTAACCAGATATGTATAATGTAGTTGCTTCTTTCTCCTGGGACCGTGCTTTTTGACAGTTTACCCACCAGGAGGCTGAAACTTTTGCAAACCAGAACCTAGGTCTTCAATTTCAGTTTTGATGCTCTGATTTGTTCCCCGAGGACAGCTGATAACCTGGCTGCTCTTCCTCCTTCCAAATTAGCTTCCCAATAAGTGAGAATTCAGTGGCCTCTTGAATTCAGCAGTCTGTGTTTCCCCAGTAATGGTTCCCAATATTGCTCCTGCAGCAATTTGCTATAACTGGGTCTAATTCTCCAAATTGCGACCACAGCCTTGTGCCAATATAATAGACTTTCCTTCTCTTTTCCATTGGTATGATCAGAAGGTTAACATGTAAGTCCCAACACCTCTCACATTATAGAAAGCTGAGTTCACACAGCAAGTCTTCAGCCCTAGTAACAGGTACATTGGTGGTTGTGATCATTTCTTAATTCCTACCCTGTTGTTTTTTTTCCCCCAACTTTTTGTTAATCTGCATGACTACTCCACTGTCAAGGTTTGTCACATGTAACCTTTCCTTCCTTTTCAGGAGAGTGCTGTAGAGGGTGCAGTTTGAATAAGTTCAGGGTTCCACTTGGGCAAGTATCAGCATCTGGGATGTGGGAGCTCTCATTATGCCTCCTTTGTATTTCAAACTCTGGCTAGCGAGAAACAATAGCACCTTGCCCTAAGGTGTGAAATTAAATTCAAGTAAATCCATAGCAGTAGGAAACACGCTTACTATTTGTAATCAGCAGGCACCGTTCGAGAAAAGGCAATATCAAGGGGAGATGGAGGCTTATGTGCACTCCCAGTGTGCTATACATCTCAAAAGAGGGCTGCCCAATGAATGTACAAACCTTAGATATTGACCAGGATTAGGAAACCATGATTCTTGCTCACAAAGCACTGTGCAAGTGTCCCCCTTTCCCTCTGCAGCCTCAGGCAATCTTCTCTACATTCCTTAAACTCTGCAATTCATCCTAATTCTTTTCAACTAGCCAGTTGAAAAGCTACCCAGGTGAGAATGACTGGATTAGGTGTAAGAATATAGAGTTGAACATTTTATGAGGCCAGCATCATCCCGATACCAAAACCTGTCAGAGATAAACAAAAAATGAAAACTTAGGCGGGGTTTGGTGGCTCACGCCTATAATCCCAGCACTTTGGGTCAAGGTGGGTGGATCACTTGAGGTCAGGAGTTTGAGACCAGCCTGTTCAACAACTGTCTCTACTAAATACAAAAATTAGCTGGACATGGTGGTGCATGTCTGTAGTCCCAGCTACTTGGGAGGCTAAGACGGGAGAATAACTTGCACCCATGGGGCAGAGGTTGGAGTGAGCCGAGATTGCGCCACTGCACTCCAGCCTGGGCGACAGGGCAAGACTCTGTCTCAAAAAAAAAAAAAAAAAAGAAAGAAAGAAAAAGAAAAAAAAGAAAACTAGAAAACTTCAGGCCAATATCCCTGATGAACATCAATGGAAAAGTTCTCTATAAAATACTGGCAAACCGAATCCAGCAGCACATCCAAAAGCTTATCTGCCACGATCAAGTTGGCTTTACTCCTGCGATGCAAGGCTGGTTCAACATAAGCAAATCAATAAACGTAATTCATCACATAAACAGAACTAAAGACAATAACCACATGATTGTCTGAATAGATGCAGAAAAAGTCTTCAATAAAATTCAATATCCCTTCATGTTAAAAACTCTCAATAAACTAGGTATTATGGAACATACCTCAAAATAATAAGAGCCATTTGTGGCAAACCCACAGCCAATATCATACTGAATGGGCAAAAGCTGAAAGCATTCCCCTTGAAAACTGGCACAAGACAAGGATGCCCTCTCTCACCACTCCTATTCAACATAGTGTTGGAAGTTCTGACCAGGGCAATCAGGCAAGAGAAAGAAATAAAGCATATTCAAAAAGGAAGAGAGGAAGCCAAACTGTCTCTGTTTGCAGATGACATGATCCTATATCTAGAAGACCCCATTGTCTCAGCCCAAAAGCTTCTTAAGCTGATAAGCAATTTCAGCAAAGTCTCAGGATACAAAATCATTGTGCAAAAATCACAAGCATTCCTATACACCAACAATAGACAAGCAGAGAGCCAAATCGTGAATTAACTCCCATTTACAATTGCTACAAAGAGAATAAAATACCTAGAAATACAGCTAACAAGGGAAGTGAAGGACCTTTTCAAGGAGAACTGCAAACCATGCTCAAGACAATCAGAGAAGACACAGACAAATGGAAAAACACTCCATGCTCATGGATAGGAAGAATCAATAGCGTGAAAATGGCCATATTGCCCAAAGTAATTTAAAGATTCAATGCTTTTCCCATTAAACTACCATTGACATTCTTCACAGAATTGGAAAAAACTACTTTAAAATTCATATGGAACCAAAAAAGAGCCCATATTGCCAAGACAATCCTAAGCAATGAAAATGAAGCTGGAGGCATAATGCTACCCAACTACAGTACAAGGCTACAGTAACCAAAACAGCATGGTACTGGTACCAAAACAGACACATAGACCAATGGAACAGGATAGAGAACTCAGAAATAAGACTGCACATCTACAGCCATCTGATCAACAAACTTGACAAAAACAAGCAATGGGGAAAGGATTCCCTATTTAATAAATGGTGTTGGAAAAACTGGCTAGCCATATGCATAAAATTGAAACCGGACCCTTTCCTTACACCTTATACAAAAATTAGTTCAAGATAGATTAAAACTATAAAAACCCTAGAAGAAAATCTAGGCAATACCATTCAGGACATGGGCATGGGCAAAGATTTCATGATGAAAATGTCAAAAGCAATTGCAATAAAAGCAAAAATTGACAAATGGGATCTAATTAAACTAAAGAACTTCTGCACAGCAAAATAAACTATCATCAGAACCAACAGACAACCTACAGAATGGGAGAAAATGTTTGCAATCTATCCATCTGACAAAGTTCTAATATCCAGAATCTACAAGGAATTTGAACAAATTTACAAAAAAAAAAAATTTAAAAGTGGGCGAAGGACATGAACAGACACTTCTCAAAAGAAGACATTAATGTGGCCAACAAACATATGAAAAAAAGCTCAACATCACTGATCATTAGAGAAATGCAAAGCAAAATGACAATCAGATATCATCTCACACCAATCAGAATGGTAATTATTAAAAAGTCAAGAAACAACAGATGCTGGTGAGGCTGTGAAGAAATAGGAACACTTTTACACTGTTGGAGTGTAAATTAGTTCAACCATTTTGGAAGACAGTGTGGTGATTTCTCAAAGACCTAGAACCAGGAATACTATTTGACCCAGCAATCCCATTACTGGGTATATACTCAAAGGAATATAAATCATTCTGTTATAAAGATACATGCATGATATGTTTATTGCAGCACTATTCACAATAGCAAAGGCATGGAATCAACCCAAATGCCCATCAATGATAGACTGGATAAAGAAAATGTGGTACATGTACACCATGGCATACTATGCAGCCATTAAAAGGAATTAGATCATGTCCTTTGCAGGGATATGGATGGAGCTCGAGCCATTATCCTCAGCAAACTAACGCAGAACAGAAAACCAAACACTGCATGTTCTTACTTATAAGTGGGAGCTGAATGATGAGAACACAAGGACACATGGTGGGAGAACAACACACACTGGATCTTGTCAGTGGAGTGAGGGGAGGGAGAGCATTAGGATAAATAGCTAATGCATGCAGGGCTTAATACCTAGGTGATGGGTTGATAGGTGCAGCAAACCACCATGGCACATGTTTACCCACGTAACAAACCTGCACATCCTGCACATGTATCCTGGAACTTAAAATAAAATTAAAGAAAGAATACAGAGTTGAATAAAATATCACTGTGTCCTTGAGATATTCACACTCTGGTGGCTCCCCCTCTTCCTAGCTATGTGACCTTAGGGAAATTACTTAATCTCTCTGTCAGCACAGAGAAGTATAGCAATAATACCTACCTCATAGGAGTATCATGAAGGCTAAATGGCTTAATAACTATAAAGTACATAAAAGTGTGTCTGGGACACAGAAAGCATTTAGTAGATGTTATCTATTATATTTACTCAGGCAGACACTAGAGTAATTAAATATGGTTGCTGTCTTACCCATCCTTCTCACTCCCCTCACACCTCATCCTAGCTCTGCCAAAGTTCTCTGACTCTTCATGTGATGGTGATCAAAGTGACTGACCCTTTTGGGTAGAAGGCTGCACACTGGCTGGAGTAGACCTGAAATTATGGAGGAGGTTATATGAAATCTGAGGCTACTGATTCCTTTTCTGCGCTCTTTGTTCAGAGTAGGGCTAGTACAGTGTAATAGGGGTTCAAAATGACAGCATTCAGTAGGTGATGCACGTAATGCACTTCCCTGTGGTTTTTCCAAATCAAAACCCTAAGTTGGTTATCAATATACTGTTCCTGAGAAACTATGTATTTGGAATAGTCTTTTGGAATTTCTGCCCTAGCATCTTCGCAAGTGTTCTTTATTCTCAGTATTCTCTAATGCCTAGGGATTAACTTATAATTAAATTGCCTTTGGACAAGGTTTTTTTCATAAATCACCAATCATACTCTCTTGGACAGGATCCAAGTGAGACCTGTTTCTCATTGAGGTCAGCTCTACTGTTTTAGAAGGGATCAATTATATTACTGTTATTTCAAAACCAAACCAAACCAACCCCCCAAAACCTTTTGCCTCTAAGTACGTGTAACTCTGGCACTGAAAATGTAGACATCAGCCTGAAATGTTTGGATTATGGTTTCTGATTATACAGTCAGACTCCAAATTGTTGCCAGTACATGGAGGGACAGCTCCAGGCACCGTCTCCTGTCCTGCAGGAACACATCTAGAAGCACACCTAGCCCAAAGGGTTCCAGAATGGGCACATTTTCCATTTCTGCTGAGAGGCAGTGGTTCATAAATATGGTGAGAAGCACAGAATGAAAAGGTTAAACCAGTACATTTTGGCTGGATGAGGTTTAATTAGGAGATGATTTGCGAGGACCATTATGTGTGTGCTAAATTTACTGACCTTTTCCCCTCCTGTATAGAATGAAGCTCTGTGCTCTGTGCTCATTATCTTTAAATGTTTTCTTTTCTCTGTATCATCACCTCATTCATTTTATTTGGTCATTTTAAAATGCACTAATTTGGAGCAGTAGGCTTCATTGATTCTTGGGAATAGAACATTCAGTAGGCACAGCTCTGTAGGCCTTGGGAAAACATTTTATGGTCATATGGGGCTCTTTGGCATGAAGATGGGCCCCTGGTCATGTTGGCAAGGATACTGACAAATACCCTCCCACTTCTCTGTAGGTAGCAGGCATGTCTAAAGGCCCTACAAACAAGTTTTAAAACCAAGTTTAAGTAGTGACTTGCCAATTCTTGTCTATTTAGGGACAATGATCTATTTTGCTGATTAAGAAGAGTGCTTTTCCTTCTATTCTGTTTGTCAGCCTTTGGACCAATTGCTGCTCTGTGGCAACAGTCCCAAGGGCAGGCAGGAAGGAAGATTTTAAGGCGACGCTGGGCATTCTAGAAGCACCTAACTCTGCTTTGTCTGAGCATCTGACCGCAGGGTTCTCCAAAATGCAGAAGGCCTTCTTGCCTTAGAGCCCCTTAGGTCCACCCAGATGGCAAAAAAAAAAAAAAAAAAAAAAGCAGAGGAAGAGGTTGGGTATGAGAATGGGGAGCCTAAGCTGGAAGGAGAGATTGGCTGGGCAATTCTGCTGCTTCTAGACTGAGTTTGTCTAGAGAATAAATGAGTATGGAAGCAGAGGCTCCTCTTCAGCTTCTATATGGTCTTGTGTCCCAAGCTGCAGAGAATTGAAGACAATGAGAGGATCTAGATAAGGGTAATAGAAGGCCCAAGGCATAGATGGACCATCTCCTTCTGAGGTCTCATGTTTATCCCCAGCTGTTTTTCTTACAATCTTGCTGCTTCTCAGTCTTTATAATGTAATGATTTGAAAAATAAAGTTTGAACTAAAAGAGGAAACAGTTCTTTTCACTGTTGGACAACTTTCCTCCATTTGTTTCTGGCTAGAAATTCTGCTAAAAAAATGTGAGGGGGTGAGAGAAGATAGAAATAAAATCTTAAATGAGAATTTGTGGTTTTGTTTGTGTTTAATTTATCTCTGTCCCCCTATCTTGTCTACCTTAAGCAAGCAAAGCTTGATTTAAAAGGAAATAATTTTAAGAATTTTAAAAATGTATAAAAAAATTCATCATGTTCTAAAACACAGTCCCTTGGTGTGTTATAAGTATGAACCTAGGTATCAAGGAAGCAACTTACATGCAACTTCTCAAGGGTATGTCTAATTGTGGGAAATGAGCTACCTCAGTAAGGGTTGGCCACTCTTAATGCTTGCTCAAGCCTTTAGCACAAGTAGATGTTTGATAAGTACTGAGTCCATAATCAGGATGTTTTCATTCATTGGATTGCTTTGAGTTGTTGAATTTTAAATTGCCACTTTCTAGCAAGGCAAAGTTGAAGGTGAGTGCAAGTCCCACGACCAGCAGGAGCTAGATGAGCTTTCATGGGACTAAGAAAGATGGAGTTTCCAGGCTTTTGACATTTCATTCTCTTGTTATATAGCAGCTATAAAAAAGTCACTAGCATTCTCCTGTCTTCCTCACTGATACATACCAGCAATGGGAGAAATGGGGGTCCCAGTCTCAAGGCTAATTTGGTAGCTTAACTGGTGAAAGAAGCTATGAGATACCCAGGGCAGCAGGACTCACGTCAGCAGGTTCACCCAAGCAGAAGTTCCCTGTGGAGGTGATTGAAGTGGGGAACTGTCTCATGTGAAGGTCCCTTTCCTGAAAAAACTCAGTGTGAATGATTACTGAAGGCCATTCCTAAAGTTATTTCTCTAATGTGCATTTGCTGAAAGTGGAAGAAAAAGACAGATGCTAATGTTTGAATATTATGAAGCTCGATGTTGTACACATCAGGACATTTCACATTTAACTTAATGAGTTACCCAGGTGTTCACTGAGCAGTTGCTTTCTTAAACTTGGAGACTGATTTTTTTTCCTTATGCAGTGGTCTGCTCTGTAAGTGGCTTTTTAAAAATATGTGGGATATTACGGCACTGAAAATATTACTGATGCAGATTTTATTCCCAGACCATTGAGTCTATTTAGATATGTCACACTCATAAAAGCTTATGTTTATTGAAGAAGGTTACTAAATTTACCGTAAGGTTTCATAAAGACCGTTTTAGGTGAAAAATGCAGGTAGAATGGTTTGAGTGGATGCTTTATAAAGCTTTTACGAGCCCCCAAAAATTATAAATGCAAATGTCTTACATAGAAAGTAAAAGCAATTTGTTTTTCTCATTAGGTACCAGACAGTTGGCTAACATGAAGATGACAGGTTTGGAGATCAATGAAATCAGAGCTTGCTTTCTTTAACTGAGGGCTCCTACCTGTTCACATTCTCTATCAAAATGAACATTCATTCCAAGGTTAGGTACAGACATATAAATGTCTGCCTGGTTTGGGAATGGTTCCATTTGAACCCCTGAAATATTATGGAGAAGATTGCAATACATTTAGTTTAAAACATACACACATACACGCAATGTTACAGAATACAGTCCATAATTAAAGATATTCATCACTATGTTCATTCGAACTAATACAATAAGAATATCTCACACTGCTTCTCTTCATTACTATGCAAGACCAGAGCTTATATTTCTTGATTTGGAATGAAGCCAGAGAGTCATTTCAATATTTGAGCTCTACGCATTATTATTAATCATGATGATCATGCACTTTTCAATATTCATGATGCTTTGCAAAATTTTTATTAGCTGTTTCTCCTAACAGTTGAAATCAGGTCAAAGAAAATTACTTACTACTCTCTTGCAGGTGGAGAAACAGAGGCACAGAGATATGCAATGGCTTCTGTCCCACACTATGAATTGTTGGCATAGCTGGGATGAAAGTCTACAGTCTCATATTTTTACTCTCTGACCCTGCGGCTCTTCTTACAGATTTTCAGTTTTGAGAATAAATTTTTATATTAGAAATTTCAGATATATTTGGGAAACTAAAAAATATCATTGAGTAATACAGCATTGGGTATATAATAGGTTTTCAATAAATATTGGCAAAAGAAAAATATTAGTTGGAGATTTAAAGCATAAGAATGTTAAAATAATGCTTTGTTTGTGTAAAAGTAACACATTTTGAGTTAATTTGTGGGAATTGGAATAGGACACCAGTTAGTGTGTAAGACAGATATATTGTGTGTTTTGGGGTAAGTGATAACTCACTGCAGGACAATAATGAGAGTATGTGCCTCCAAGAGCTTTTCAGAAAACGTGTGATGTTCTAAATGTAAACTAGCAGACCAAGGAGATAGTGAAGATTTATTTCCCATCTGCTGTCTTAAATAGATTTCTTTCTTCAGCCTATTAATAGTGATATGTTAAAAGTGTTTATAAAATAACCTCAGTTAAAATTATAAAGCAAATATACTATAATTAAAATATCTACAAGCCCCAAAGAGCCATGACCATCAGTTTTAATATTAACAAGACAGATTGTATTCCAGGAACTTATTTGTTCCCTGTCTCTGGGGGAGATTTAACAATGTAATGCCATATAGCTTGTGACCACTGACAAGAAAATAACATTATCCCATCCCTCAGTGTCTTAAGTGTTTCACTACAATATTGCTTTTAAAATATCTGGATCTGATGTCTTGGTAAATTCTAATTTACGTGGCTTAAATATAGTTATTTCAATCTTTGCCCAAAAGTTTTATAAAACGTTCTAGGCCGGGCGTGGTGGCTTACACCTGTAATCCCAGCACTTTGGGAGGCTGAGGCAGGCGGATCACGAGGTCAAGAGATTGATACCATCCTGGCCAACATGGTGAAACCCTGTCTCTACTAAAAAATACAAAATTTAGCTGGGCATGGTGGCGCGTGCCTGTAATCCCGGCTACTTGGGAGGATGAGGCAGGAGAATCACTTGAACCCAGGAGGCGGAGGTTGCAGTGAGCCGAGATTGCCCCACTGCACTCCAGCCTGGTGACAGAGTGAGACTCCTTCTAAAAAAAAAAAAAAACACACACACACACACGCACACACACAAACAGACACACAGTCTAAATATTCTTTCTTCAAAGTTATGTCATGCAATTATATCACTGTTCAAAGAATGTGTATTCCACAGGGGAATACTGAACACTGTGGTGCACAGAACAATGTTGATCGTCGCTTCCTTCTGTACTGGTAAGGCAAACTGGACACTGCTCATGTCATCCAAGGAAGGCAGGACAGACATTTGTCTCTGGTTTTAGATGGTCTATCAGATCATTTATCATGGAGCCCACTTTTTCAAACTTTTTGGATTTTGAATAATTTAGTAAAATGAAGCAAACAAATATTCATTTTGTTTTTAAAGCTGTTATCATAGGATGTCCTGAGAGTCAGAATTCTAAGCTAACATAAACTGTGTTTATAAAATGAAAATGTTTTCTCAGTAGACTTTATTGTTTGGACATAAGTCTTACCCTTTGCTCTGTCTGAATCATCTATGGCAATCAAATAAGCAGTAGGGGAAGGACTCTGGACCATACAAAACAGCCTTTTGATGCCTGAAGGTGTTGCATATCCAGGGCATTTGAGATTGGCCTGCATTTATGGGGAAATAACTATGTAATAGCCACATGATGAATTTGAGGACTCACTCAATAAACGCTTATTGGACACCTATTGTGGGAGAGACACAATACTGAATCTACGAAGACTCCAGAATAGAGTCCTCATGAATGTTAAAAGTCTTCTGTATTTTCATCCATTAAATTTGTTTACCCGAGTTTGGGATGGCTTGAACCTAAAACCGTGGAGTGAAGATCCCATTCTGATGATTTGGCAGCTTGGGAAGAGCCACATTGAAATAGGGAAGCAGGGGTCACCCATAAAACAGGAATAACAGCACTCTGTTTATCATGTTCAGTAAAGTGTTGGGCAAAAGAATGTATCTAGGCTTGTGTGACAGCAGAGTCTACTTGTCCCTGTCACCATATCACCTGCTTTGCCAGCAATACATTTCCAATGACTGAGCACATTATTCAGAGTGAATGGGATTAGAATGTTTTCCAGAATATTTAATGCCCTCTTATCTTGTGAATGGTTTCCTTAGGCAAATACTGATTTCAAAACACCTTTCTCAAAAATAACAGTTCTTTAAGACATGATCAAATTGAATGGGTACTGCAGCTTTTCTTTTGCCATTGTTTAACCACTGTACCTGTATGCTCAAAAAAGAAACAAAATCTCACACACACACACACACACACACACACACACAAAACATAAAACTAGCCCCCCAAAATATAATGACTTTAAAAATCTATTCATAGGCCATATTGATGTGAAGTAGTTTGAGTCACATACTCTCACAAAGACTTGCAACAATTTGCAAATTTGGAATCACCACTCTTCACTCATTTAATACAATTAACTATGAAGTAGGTACCATTATTAGTCCCATTTTATGCATGAGGAAACTGATATACAGAGTTGTTTAGTAATTGTCCAAGATCACATAACTGGTAAATAACAGAGCTGCATTATGGACCCTGGCAGACTGTCTGACTCCAGAGCTTGCATTCTTCACTACCAGACCATACCCTTTTGGTAAAGTTGTTCAGTTGCTTTACTGTTGCTTATGTTTTACTAATCCAGTAGTTGACAATGAGAAAACATCTACATGCATTCATTGTTTCTTTTGGGTTTAATCTTTATTGCTTAATAATTTCCCTTTTGAATAAGGTAAGAAATTAAACCTGTATATATAAGAAATTAAAACAGTGCAAAAGAATACAGTGAAAAGTAAGTCTCTCACCCACTTCTGTTATTCTCTCTTCCCCTAGTCAGAGGCAAATCCTGTCCCCAGTTGCTTGCATATCCTTCTGGAGATATTCTACAGAGTATAAACAAGCTTATATTTCAAATAACTTTTTAAAAGAATGGTTGAGGCTGGGCGCTGTGACTCACGCCTGTAATCCCAGCATTTTGGGATGCCGAGGCAGGCAGATTACCTGAGGTTGGGAGTTTGAGACCAGCCTGACCAACATGGAGAGACCCTGTCTCTACTAAAAATACAAAATTAGCTGGGCATGGTGGCACATGTCTGTAATCCCAGCTACTCGGGAGGCTGAGGCAGGAGAATCTCTTGAACCCGGGAGGCGGAGGTTGTGTGAGCTAAGATTGCCGCGTTGCACTCCAGCCTGGGCAACAAGAGCGAAACTCCATCTCAAAAAAAAAAGAAAAAAAAAAAAAGGTTGAATTTTCTAAACCATTTTGAACACAGTCTATCAAATCAGTGACACTAAATGAGTCTTGGAAAGCCAAGCTACTCAGACCCTTAAATAATTATATTCAGTTGGGTATAGTGGCTAGCACACCTTAAGCTTATGCTGCCCCCAGCTATGGGGAGCACAGCCAAGAAGGTTATAAATGTGACACGCTTAGTCTACTGAGGCCCAGGTAGACGCTGTCTTCAGAGCTGTTGGTCATTTGCTACTTGCAGCCTAGCCAAGTAGCACCAGTAGAACCTGCTTCAAAGATAGTCTGTCAGAAGAAACACACACATTATTCCAGTGGGAACACCAAATTCTAGTTAAGATGAGAACTTGTCTACATGTAGAAATCAGTTAAAAAATATGGGGTTTAAAAATCAACTGTGGGGGAAAAAGTGCACTCATTGATCTAGGAAACTCATTTTTAGAAATTTATCCGAAGAGTCAGCTACATGGATATTCATGACAACCATTTGGGAACAAACCTAAATAATCAACAATAAAAACTTGGTTAAATGAATTACATTATATATTAATGGCTATATGTAGCCGTTAAGAAGATGACAAGGAATATCAACTGATATAGAAAGGTATTTACTAGATATGGCTTAGTGAAAACAGCAGTATAAGAAATGAATGTGTATACAAAATCATTATTTATTATATATGGAAAGTGTAATAAGAAAGAACCTGGATGAAAGCTAGCAGAATGACTTGCAACAAATATTAAGCCTTGTTTCTAGTTAAAATGGGCAATTTTAATGGCTTTTGGAAACTCTTAACTGCTAATTTAAAATCTAGAAAATTTAACAGTGAATGCTTTTTGTCTGTATGGAAATAAAACAAAAAACTTTTTTAAACTTAAGAATAATTAATTACAACCAGTTGGAGATTATTCACTAGTTATTGAAATACTTTTTTCTTGGGTATACTCTAATATTTTTTCAAACATCTGCTAGCTTTTCTCTTACCTTTGGAATTGAACTCATTCATGATTCACTGATTAAAAGAACATGTGACCCCTTCACAATGGCTTTCAATGATTATTGGGCAGACAGTTAATGTTTTTAATTTAGATATGTTGCCTGAGCTCTGTTGAACAGCCCTAGACTCTTTGAGTTTCATCTTGATGATAATATTAGCTAATGTTGGCTGGACAATCACCTGTACCAGGCACTAGACAAAGTGCCTTACAAGGAAGATCTCACTGAATCTCTAATGGGAATGGACTATTAACTACCTCTTCTTTACAGATGTGGAAACTGAGGCTTCAAGAGGTTAAGTAACATGCCCAAGGTTATAGAGTTGGTGAAGTGGAGAAGCCAGAATCCCAGAGTGTGGACTCTTCATCAGTATAAGAAGCTATGCTGGCCAGGCGCGGTGGGTCACGTTTGTAATCCCAGCACTTTGGGAGACCAAGGCGGGTGGATTACCTGAGGTCAGGAGTTGAAGACCAGCCTGGTCAACATGGTGAAACCCCATTTCTACTAAAACTACAAAAAATTAGCTGGGTGTGGTGGCAGATGCCTGTAATCCCCACTGCTTGGGAGGCTGAGGCAGGAGAATCACTTGAACCCAGGAGGCAGAGGTTGCAGTAAGCCTAGATTGCGCCACTGCACTCCAGCCTGGACAACAAGGTGAGACTCCATCTCAAAAAAAAAAGCTATGCTGCCATCTGTAAGACTGTTCCACCTCATATTTGATGACCAGACATTTTTAAAGTATCTTATAAATCCCGTTTTGTAGACAATGAAATTGAGCTGGGAAATGGGTGATGTGTACGTGCTTGGAAAGATAATCCATGGAGAGACAGTACAATCCAGCATCCCATGGGTCTCATCTCTGCACTTAGCACTAATTCGCTTTTCAGGAGAACATAAACCACCTTAGTGTCCTGCATGGCACTGTGATGAAATAACGGGAATGTGATTTTTGAGCCGCTCAATAATGGAGGAGATGGAAATCTTCCCACCTCATCTTGCTTATTGCTGATTGTACACACAACACTTGCCCATCAAGATCATTTTTGAAAGATGATTACTTCAGTGTGCCCAGGCCTGCAGGACATAAGTACGTGGGCAGTGATGGTAAGAGCTATAATTATTCTTAATGGGAAAATATGCAGGTAATGACTTGGATGATCATGTGTCTGTAATGTATAAGTTCCAAAGCCCAATGAAGTAATTAAGCAATCTGCAAACATGCAGGGGGAAAAAGCCTGAAGTGAAAAAGAACCAGAAAAGAAGAGCTCTTTCATCTATCTATCTATCTATCTATCTATCTATCTATCTATCTATCATCTATCTATCTATCATCTATCTATTTATCCATCTACCGACCTACCTGTCAGTCTTGCTTGCCTGCTTGTACAGGCAAATATTTCTAAATCTCAGAGTACTGAGTATTCATTGGAGGCCAGTTATTCCAAGTTATCATTTCAAAGGGTAGTATTTATTCTTTATGAAATGTGAATTTGCATGTAGTTATATCTTTATTGAATGCATTCACATATATAAAACTCCATCTATTGCTCAAGAGCAACAGCAGGAAGCAGTGGAAATAGCCCTGGCACAGATTGGAGTTTCCCAGTGTGAATTCAACTCCTTGGTTGACCTTAGGTTAATCTCCAATTTCTTCTTTAGGGTGATTGATGCCTGCCTCATAGACAGGGTTGTTGGAGGATTCAGAATAACAGAAAGTGCTTTATCATGATAGAGCAGTGACGTGCACACTTATTAAGTATAGCCACTATTACAAGTCTGCTAAAAGGCAGGTTTCTTATTCCTGTTTCATATATAAAAAATCCAAGGCATACAACCTGTCCAAAGCCATACAACTGGTTGGAGGTAGAGATTTCATATTTTCTGGTTGCCATTGAGTACAGGCCGTTGGTTCTAAAAACAAAAACGAAAAAGACAAAGAAAAGAAAGATGATTTGGTGGTTGATCTTGGCAATATAATGATAAGCCTGAAGTTATTTTGAGCATCAATAATAGAAGATTTATCAAAAAAAGAAATAGGCTCTTTCAAATGGATGGATGTAGAGAAACTATAACATATAAACCAATCAAATCCAGTGGGTACTTTTGGGGAATGCTAACCAATATATTAGTTTTCTGAAGGATTTATGGAGTAAAAGGTAGGGAGGAAATGGCTAGATTAGGGCTGTCTGGGGAGCAATTAGCAGCACTTACCGACTATTAAAGCACTTTGTCCTCAGAAAACAACAGAGAAATTCAGAGAAAGGTTTCTTTTTCCATTTGAATTTGGGTCTCTGAGGCTGAAAGAAAAAAATGTTTTGCTGCAAAGTTTGTAAGACATTGTCATATGATTAATTTATGCCGCAGCTTTTAAGTTTCTATATAGTAGTACCTTGGGCTACGCTGTTGTCACTGTCACTAACAAAGCAGGTTCAGGTCAAATTGAGATTGTTAAGGGGAGACCTGGAAAGGCCAACAAAAAATGTTGAAGGATGTTATTGGTGGCCCAGTAGGTGGCAGCCTCCCCTCTGAGTTAATGCCTTGCTGTTCCCTAGCAAGATGCTTGGGGGTGGAGGGGCTAGGCGGAAGAACTCTGGCTTTATTTATTTAAAAAAACAAACACACACAAAAAAACCTTCCCTTTTCTGAGGTACACTGGGGAAAATGGCAAGTAAGGAAGATATGGCATTAAAATTTTTACCCCATCTCTTTTCCATATTGGATAATTATTTATTGGCTTCTACATACATTTAGATCAAGTGCTTCTTATCTAAGGGCATGTTGTTTTGTGTTACACCATGCCGAGCTGATGCTGCATCTCCCTCCACTGTTGGATATTTTTATTATTTTGTCATCATTTTGTAAAAGGTACTGGCTTTCTTGGATAAAAAGACAAAGAGATGCACTACATGCACAGGCACAAACTCCTTTTTTTTTTTTTTTTGGGAAAAATCATTTTATGAATGCATATTTCCATCTGGGTGAAAAAAAAATGCAAACCCCTCTCTCTTCCTACGAGCACCTGTGAACACTGACCTGTAGTTTGTGGCTGCAGCCATTCCTCATGGAGCCTGATGTTCTTACATTTCGTTCTGAGGCTCACATTCTCAGTCACCCTGTGGGAGAACACCTGCCCCATCCTGGGCCGTTACAGAGTGGGCCAATCCATCTGCTGCATCTGAGGAGCTGGTTCCAGCTTCTATGGTGAATCCATATATTTCTGTATTTCCTGGATAAGGAAGAGGAAAGGAGCTGAGCTGGTTGGGGAAGAAGAGCTAATATTAACTGACTCCTTATTTTGTACCGGGCACTGCATTAGTTACATATTTTATGTCATGTAATTCTTACTAAACAGTAAGGGGGTTGGGAGTGATAGGGACAATATTGATATTATCTCCATTTTAGGGTGAGAAAATGAGGCTCAGAAAGGTTAAATAACTTGCTCAATGTCACTCGGTTGGTAAGAGCCAGGATATGAAACAGAAGCTTTACATTAGGGGGGTTCAAATTTATTTTCAGTTTCACTGCTCCATTCTAAATATGTATTGGCATTTACCCTTGAGCTATGTAGGACAAGTGTTTTGTCACCAAAACACCTATTGTGAACTCTTTCTGCCCTAGTATGATTCATGCATTTCATCTTCTTCAAACTAAAAACCTTTAAGAGCCAGGAATCTGCCATCCTGATTCTCAACTTAAACCTCAGCCACTTTTACCCTAGAATTCAGACTTGTGTAGACATCTCTAGAAGACTTGATGGACTAATCTTTAAGAGTTCATTTGCATGAGGGAGGAAGAGGAGCCCAAATTTGGACCAGAGACATGCCTAGAAGTCAGAGCAGGAGGGTCAGCAGGAAGTCTGTTTCTTAGAGTTCCTCCAGCCCAGTCTGAGTGGTAGAAATCAGGGACTGAAAATAATCTGAAAGTTGTTTGAAATCTTGGTAAGACATGGGGAACATAATATATTGGGGGCTTGTGTTATAAATGAGGCTAGAACAGTATGGAGGAGAAATGTTTCCTAATTTCACTGCTGTTCAAATATAGCTGGTCAGTGATACCAGTTTTGACTTTGACTCTGCGTGTTGTTAGCAGATGAGAATGGATGGTCTTATCTTGGTGAATGGGCTGCAATCAGAGAACTGTTGTCTCATAATTTTTATTGTGGCTGGGTGCGGTGGCTCATGCCTGTAATCCCAGCACTTTGGGAGGCCGAGGCAGGTGGATCACCTGAGCTCAGGAGTTCGAGACCAGCCTGGCCAACATGGTGAAACCCTGTCTCTAATAAAAATACAAAAATTAGCCGGACGTGGTGACACGCGCCTGTAATTCCAGCTACTCGGGAGGTTGAGGCAGGAGAATCGCTTAAACCCAGAAGTCTGAGGTTGCAGTGAGCCGAGATTGTGCCATTGCACTCCAGCCTGGGAGACAAGAGAGAGACTCTGTCTCAAACAAACAACCCAAAACAACAACAAAAAAACCATAATTGTTATTGTGGAGGTGCATCAGGAAAACCCCAATTATCCAAAGATAGCCAGATGTTTTGTGTCGGGTTTGGCATTTTAAGGCAGAGGGCCCTGTCTGGTATAGTCTCAACTGATACCATGAGGGCAGCCCTTACTTGAGCCACTCAAAAGGCAACTCTGGTTCTCACCCACTTAATGGGTCCCTTGAGGTGAGATTCATGAAGTGGTAATGAGCAGACAAGAAATCTTGCTTAATTAGGTCTTTGGTTGATATTAACATGATATTAACATGATCTGTATTCCCTCTTATTCCCCCTCCCTGGCATCTAACTCATTTCCGAAGAGCAGAGTAATTAGTAGAAGAAAAGGGGACAGACTGCACCCAGGCTTGGTGATAAGAATATGAGTAATGCTTTTCCAAAAATAACTTACAGAGAAAGGAGAACATGATTGTTGCTGCCTTCAAGTATTTGAAGGCCTATTTCGTGGAAGAGGGATTAGACTTGTTTTATATGCCTCAAGAGGTAGAACTTGGGCCACTAAAAGTTCTAGGGAGAAAGATTTCAGTTTAATGTAAGGGAGAATTTACAGACTATCAAAGCTCTGCAGAGATCGAAAGTGCTCCTTTGAGAGAGAGTGAATATCCTGCACTGGACATGTCCAAGCAGAGATCAAAAGCTACCTGGTGAGATTATCCTAGAAAATGAGGGTAGGAAGAGGTAGAATAGGTGACTTTTAATGGTCTTTCTAACCCTGAGATCCAGAGATTCTATGATCATAAATTACTGGATTTTATTGATTCAAGTAAAAAAAAATTTTTTTTAATAAAAAACTTTTTCCTGTAGTTAAAAGAAGTGGTCCAATAGCTGAGACAAAACAAGAAAGCTTAGGCTTCCTTAACTCTGAATTTGACACATGAGGGCCTCAAACCCCGTTTTATGGGCTGAAGATCTCATAAGCTTGCCTACGATTTCTGCTACTTCCCAATGCTGTTTTGGTGTTGCTTCTAAGAGCAAATATGCTGTTTGCAATCTCTTCCTGTATCACCCTCATGCAAAGATTTACCGCTTTACTGATAATCCACTGACACCAAGCATTTTGTGAGTTTTTGTAGCATTTACTTAAGATCTGGAAGTTATAGGATGAGGATACCATTGTATAACTCACAGCCTCCCTTCGTTTTGTGCCTATTCTTCTCTTTACATTTCTTTTCCTTTTTAAACTAAGACCACATTCTTCACATAGATCAATTCTGTGAGTATCCAGGCTTTTCAGGATCTGTCTTCTAATCTGTGTTAGTCAGAATAGGTGTGATGAATGTTCCATAACAAATTAACTCTAAAATCCTAGAGGCTATCATAAAAAAAAAATTTGTTTCCTACTCTTGATAGATGTTCAGTATGGGTCATTAAGGGTCTCTGCTCCAAAGAGCCACTCAGGGAACCAGGCTGACAGGGGCTCCACCATTTCAACACATCAAATGCTCCTCTATGCTTCTATGTCAAAGTGACACATGGTTTCACTTCTTATAGCTCATTGGCCAGAAGATGCCCCACATAACTCCACTAACTTTAAAGGGCTTAGAAATACAGGGAAGCCATAGAATATTTGGTGAGCGTTACTGATTCTGCTTCATACCCAAGTAGGAATTTTCACAACAAAAGTGGCTCCCTCCCTGAAAGGAATTCTTACACCTCCTACTAAAATAATGAGATTGTCTTCTTTGACTTAACATTCTTATTCTCAACTTAATTTTGCCACTATACAGCAATAATTTCTGAGATAAATCTTAAATTAGGAAGGTAGGAACTCTGCTTAGCTGTTATATTTATGTTTGTTGTGCAACTTAATGGGCACTATTTGAAAGTTTAGATGATATCACAACTATCCAAATGCAATACATTAGATTAGCCTGTAGTCACAAATTATTTCTGGCTCAGAAAGAAAGTAATTATGAAGATACAGCCTTTATTCTTTTGGTTTTACTATGCCTGTATATTTTGAGCTAGGACTTTCTTTAGTCCAATCTTGAATAGCATTGGTTTGCATGTCAGTATTTCCGCTACTCAAGAATGGATTATTTACTTCTAGTTAAAGATGCTTGAGGATTTTTATTACTTGTGACAAAATTGATGATAGAAGAGAGATATTTCAATCTAGATTTTAATAGTTTCCCAAATTTGATCTGTCTTTTCAAAGACTGCAATTTACTCTGAAAAGCTCAGGTTTTAGATTTTTCATCTGTATCAGCAGTATGTTTATGGGCGCAGAATATACTTTGCCTCTTACTTTTTTATAATTGCTACTTCTGGTCCATAATACCTGTTACAGTACTTTGTTTGTGAGGCACTTTATACCCCACTTTTTAAAAATTGCTTTTAATTCAGGCTGTCTTTCCCTGTCTGCTCTTATGCCCATTTTGGTAAAATTTTCTGAAAGATAGCTTGTACGTGGGCAGGGTGCCTCAGGCAAGTCCTATAACATGGTTAATGTTAACACAAGTGAGAAATATCTTAGAAACATATGCTATCTCAAAATGCTTTGAGGCTATTTGTGCCTCAAAGAAACATAGAGTTTACTAAAGCAATCAACTAGACAAAACCAAACAAAGTAAGAACATCCTCCAAATAAAAACTGAAAAAATCAATTTTTAAAACCTTTTAAGTTCAGGGGTACACGTGCAGGTTTGTTACATAGGTAAACTTGTGTTGTGGGGGTTTATTGTACAGATTATTTCACCACCCAGGTATTAAGCCTAGTACCCGTTAGTTATTTTTCCTGATACTCTCCCTCTTCCCATCCTCTACCCTCAGATAGGCCCCAGTGTGTGCTGTTCTCCTGTATGTATCCCTGTGTTTTCATCAGTTAACTGTCACTTAAGTGAGAACATGCAGTATTTGGTTTTTTGTTCCTGTTTTAGTTTGTTAAGGATAATGGCCTGCAGCTCCATCCATGTCCCTGCAAAGGATCTCATTCTTTGGCTGCATAGTGTTTCATGGTATATATGTACCATATTTGCTTTATTCAGTCTATCATTGATGGGCATTTAAGTTGATTCCATGCCTTTGCTATTGTGAATAGTGCTGTAATGAACATAAACTGCATCTGTCTTTATAACAGAATGATTTATATACCTTTGGATATATACCCAGTAATGAGATTTCTGGGTTGAATGGTATTTCTGTCTTTAGGTCTTTGAGGAATAGCCACGCTGTCTTCCACAATGGTTGAACTAATTCACACTCTTACCAACAGTGTATAAGTGTTCCTTTTTTTCCACAACCTCACCAGTGTCTGCTATTTTTTGACTTTTTAATAGCCATTCTGACTGGTGTGAGATGATATCTCATTGTGGTTTTGATTTGCATTACTCTCATGATCAGTGATACTGAGTTTTTTCATGTGTTTGTTGGCCACATGTATGTCTTCTTTTGAAAAGTGTCTGTTCATGTCCTTTACCACTCAAAATCACAGAGACAAGTCTAAGGACCAAATGTGGGGTTTGTGTTGATTGATGAAGAAAACATTATGTCCTTCAAAATCATGTGTGGATGTGATGAGATGGCAGAGAGACAAAGAACCAAGCAGCTTCCTGCCATGTTTACTCACTCATTTCTTCACTTAAAAATTTATAGAATTCCTATTTGTAGAATTCCTATTACGTCAGGTGCTCTACCAAGGGCTAGAGATAGAACCAAAAAAAAGGCAAAACCTCTGTCCTCAAGGAGCTTGCTCTCTCTTTTTCTAACATTGAATAGAATTTCATCACTTATTTAGGACTAGACCTCCAGACATGTAGACATTCCTCTTTATAGGTCCTAGGCTCTACAAGCCTATCTACTCCAAATGTGTTCTGCAATTTTGCCTGAAATGTTTATCTTATATACAGTATATCTTCCCTTAAAATTGAGAAATCCTATCGTGGAAAAACATTTTAAGCTGTCAGTTAATTTGTAAATTATTTTGAGTACTGCAAGGTGATGATGTTAGAACTTTGTAACACAGGCTATTGGGGCCTCCTGACTTTCACCCCTTGAGACTTTCCATTGTTTAAAAGAACCCAATTCCCTATGTTAAATCTCTTACAGGTTGAAAAACTGAGAGCAGTTTCTGTTTGTTGTATTAAATTCTGACCTTTACACTAGGCCAGTCCACTTATAACAGCAGGGACATGAACTCTTAGAATTTACCTGAAAAGAGATAGAAATGTGTTGAAACCCCAGAAGCATTGTATAGGGTAGTTAGTGATACTTGGTCTTGAAATTTTCTAAAAAAGGTGATGAGAGAATTAGTTTCAAATGATTAAGCAGTATCATTTAATAAAATGCCTGCAGGGCCGCTCAGAAAGACTATGTTCTGGAGATAATAATGCGTCAGTTATTCTTGAGTACAGGAGGGCAAGAATGGAACCCAGGAGGCCCCAGGTTCGAGGAAAGTAGTCTGAGGGCACCCCAGACTGGTGGGCCATAGTGAGAGTTGGGTAAGTTTGATAGTTCTTGCGTAGCATCACTGAACACGTTACCTTGGCTGGCTACATCAATGGTGAAAGTTGGTTATGAAAGTGTTTGCATCACATTGCAACAGTGGGGATTTGCCAACGCTGGTTTGACTGGCACTAAGCAGGACCTTGAACTCATTCAGAGTAAAGTGACCCACATGTTAGCTGGCCCCAAGGGCAACCTCCATGATTACCTCCTCTTGTCACTCCTTTAAATTCATCATAAGGAATCTTATTTGCACGAAAGCATTTGTGAACAATGCAGATTTTACTGAGGGTTTCATAGGAAAGAGTGAAGACAGGATTTACATTGCACAAATGAGTACATATGTTCCTAGACTTATGATGCTTCACCTTATAATGGTACACATTCAATTGAAAGTGTACTTTGAATTTTGATCTTTTCCCAGGTTGGCGATATGAGGTACAGTACTCTGTCAAGATGCTGGGCAGTGGCAGCGAGCCACAGCTCCCAGTCAGCTACATGATCCTGAGAGTAAAGAACTGATACTCTATAGAGGACTGTGTTGCCTGATGATTTTGCCCAACTGTAGTCTAATAAAAGTGTTCTTAGTGCGTTTAAGGTGAGCTACACTAAGCTAGGGTGTTTGGTAGGTTAGATGTATTAAATATATTTTCAACTTAGGACATTTTCAAATTACGATGGGTTTATTGGGACATAATCCTATCGTAGGTTGAGAAGCATCTGTATTACACACATACACACACACACACACACATCCCTTGAGACTTATCTCCCAAATCTTCGTCTGACCTCCAGCCATAAATTTGGCTTCTCGCTCACTTACTCAATGCAAGCCATATTCTTGACAAGTCTGTAACAGATATTGGTGAATACATTTGGGGATGGACAGAGGAGGGTTGGGGCAGTTTATGACAGTAGTAGATTCTTGAATTCAGATTAGGAAAAACTCTGCAATCATCTTTTGTAACACTTTTTCTATATTATGGTATTTACATGGTAATGCCAAGACCTTTGTATACTTTTCTTTGCAGTTGTGAAATGAGATAGCATTTTATTTTCATCTTCTTTTCTATATCCATTCCTGTCAGATTATCAGGAAACAATGTTCTATTTCTTGGCAATAAGAAAGTGGGTAGCAAAAGGTGAATACCTTTTCTTTCCCTGCTTCAGTAATTTTTGTAGATGAGAAATCATATTTAGGCTTCAGTTCCAATAGTCCGAGAGACACAGGGTTCAACTTGTCAGCATCCAAGAGCAATGGTTTCCCCACATAATTGCCACATATGTGCTTTCTGGGGCTCTACCATTTATGAATGTCTACCATGTTTTTACAAGTATTTTTCTCACTTAATTCACTCAGTACACTTTAAGGTATGTATTACCAACCACACTTAATAATTGAACAATCTGAGGTGGAGAGAAGTTAATTCATTTGTCTGGGCCAAGAGCTAACAAATAGAGGAACTTAGAGTCAGACACAGGTTTCTGAGTTAGAAGCATAACTGTGTGTGTGTGCATGTGCGCATGTGCATGTGTGTGCTGAGGAGGGCAGGGAAGAGACAGCAATCACAGCCTTTTAGCATATTCTTCAATACTGGTCCTTTTCCAACATTCAGAACAAAAGGGAAAATGCTAGCCTTACCTTGCAGTTGAGACCATGATGAATAGACAGAAGATGGAGCAATAAAGCAAGACTATGAGACGTGTAGAGAAAGTTATCTACTTTAAGTAAATAACTAGCAAAACCCTTAATTATTACAAAATCAGTGTTTTTACATTGAAGAAAGTTAGAAAATACAGATAAAAATAAGCAAAGGAAAACATCATGTTCCCACTACCCAGGGATTGCTCCTGTTTATACCTTAGTCCATATAGTTCCAAGAATACATCTATGTGTATATATGTATGTATTTTTGTAGAATGAGATCAAACTGTACACACTGTTGTGTAACTGCCTTCTTTCCGCCAGTCATCTCCATGATTCCTTGACAGTACATTTGCTTGCTGGCTCCCACACCAAACTATGTATGTGTGACCCTTACCCCTGCCGGGCCCTTCCTCCAAGCTTGTTTTCTTCCTCATAATATCAGAGTCTGGCTATGTTCTTTTTACAATAGCATCTCACTCATGAAGAAAATCTTTCATCTTGTCTTTTTAGTCTAAAAATAAAAGACAATGGGATTTAAACAAGGATTAGATTTAGATTAGGTATCATAAATTCTGTATCTAGAGTCCAAACCGAGCCTGTGTAGGCATGCATGTGTCTGTACTGAATGTTAACAAGAAATAAATGAATGACAGACAAGTGGTCTGATAGCAAGATTCAGCCTATCTTTTTATAGCTCTGAAGTTTCAGTTCTGTTCAGTGATAATGTAGGAAATGATGCTGCAGGGCCTCAAGATCTGACATGACTTCTGGATCATTACCAAAAAAGGATTGATTTATATCAGGGTTATTTTATGGTTAAGAGGTAGAGTAATTATTCTAGTACTGCAGATACTTAAACTACGTCCCACTACCTTCCTGCATTACCTCCTGAAAAGCTGAAATGTTTCTTGTTGTGTGGATCAAGCTCCTCTCTGTAAGGTGAAGCAAACATAGAGTCATTACTTGGTTTTGCTGGTATTTTACTTCATAGAGCATCTTTGAGCATTTAAAAATTAATTTTATTTTTGCATTGCTACATAATCGTTATACTTTGGGGCTCATGTGATAATTTAGCACATTCATATAATTTGTAAAGATCAAATCAGTGTAATTGGGATATCCATCACCTTAAATATTCGTCTTTTCTTTAGGTTAGGAACATTAGAATTATTTTTTCAGCTATTTTGAAATATATAATACATTATTGTAAACTATAGTGGACTATTGTTTTTCTTCTTTCCACATAGTACCCTACTTTGTTAGGCTTTATTGATTGAAAAATATGACCTCCAAAATTTGGTTGGACTGATGGGAAAATTTGTCATGAAATTTTTTTTTATGTTAAAAATCTTAGCACATATGTCAGCTGGGGATCCCCACGCTTGATAGATGATGTGCTGCTGCACAGTAGTTGACATTTGATCCTCTTTATTATGTTTTCAAATATTTAACTATTGATATTTCATTGAACAATGAATGCATGAGGCCTGTTAACTACTCTTGCAATTTTTTCTTTTAAATTTTTTCAGCACCTGAACTACACACAGGACAATTTTTTCTTGAAGCCTTCATAAGTTTGTTGTATTTCAGTTCTTTATAAATTAGCAAGAATAATAACAATGGGCATAAGAGGGGATAATAGGACCTATGTAGTGGGGGAAGGGGTTTCCTAATGAATAAACTGAGACATTATATACAAAATGCTTAATGTGCATCTGGTCAGAGATGGTAATAAATGTTATAAGTAAAAAATAAGATAAAAAACTAAACAGCATGTGCAAGATCCTCTGGTTCATAAGGTGATCAGGGGCTTGGTCTTATATCCCACGACTCCCAGTTTAGTGCTCTTTGTCCTACTATGTAGTTTTTTGCGACTGTCAGTTCTTTAAATTTGCCTCTACAGATGAGTGTTTGGTAATGATGAAAAGTGTTGAAATGCAATTTAGAGGGAGATTGTGAAACTGCCTTCCCAGCCTCTGTAAAGATTGGCTCTGCTTTGTGGATCTGCTGTAGTTCTGGATGCTCTTTCGTGTTGGGAAGGGGTGGACAAGTGGGGCTGTAGATCCTGAGATTTCTCTCCAGCCCCGACAATCTGTTAAATGTGACACAAAACTCAACCAAATGAGAACCCTATCTCCTCACTGGGGGTTGAATAGATACTATCACCCTTTCAACCCACAGCTTTAGAGAATAAGCAATATTTTACAGGTAAAGATGTAGCTGAAAAGACCAGATTATTTTGATGGTCATTTCTCTTTGACACAATTCATAGCAACCTGAGAAGCTACAAAATGGAAGTACTGAAAAAGTGATTCTAATCTAGACTAATGTGTGTTGTTTAGTATTTACTTTTGTCAGTATATTAATCATGTCTTATTACGCTTCACACTAAAGTTATATTTTAAAAAAGCCCTAATGATAACATTGATGCATTGTCCTTTGTTGTGGGTATAAAGACTTAATTTGATGAATAGAAGTTAAGAAAATGTTTAATCTTCCATTATAGTATAATGATTGAGATTCATCCATCTGTTCCACAATAATAATAATTTATCATGAATGAGCATGCTTATAAAATGATGGAGGCATATAACAGAAATTGGGTTTTCTTCCTTAATTAAAAAATTTTGACCTTGTCCTCTTTGAACTCATCCTATGCTTTTGTCTTTAAGGTTATTCATTATATAATAACCTTCTGCATTTTTCAATGTTCCCGTTGAGAGGAACTGGGAAACAGAAGAGGACAGAGACTTGTAAACACCCTAAGCACTAAATTTTCCCATTTCTATCTATTCAGCAGCCCTGTAGAAATGTGTCTATTTCTTTTATTTTCCATTTAGTGCTCTCGAAGATTTTTCAAAGAAAATTTAAATATTTGTTTTTCTGTATAGCTAACCTTGACCTGATGTTTCAAATTAGAGGTAAATTTCTTGGAGTTTGAGCCAACTATAAAGAAGATGTAGCCTGGCGTGGTAGTCATGCCTGTAATCCCAGCACTTTGGGAGGCCAAGGTGGGCGGATCACGAGGTCAGGAGATCGAGATCATCCTGGCTAACACGGTAAAACCCTGTCTCTACTAAAAAAAATACGAAAAATTAGCCAGGTGTGGTGGCAGGTGCCTGTAGTCCCAGCTACTTGGGAGGCTGAGGCAGGAGAATGGCGTGAACCTGGGAGGTGGAGCTTGCAGTGAGCCGAGAGGGCGCCACTGGACTCTAGCCTGGTCGACAGAGGGAGACTCCATCTCAAAAAAAAAAAAAAAAAAAAAAAAAAGAGGATGCAAGTGCATAGTTGGGGTAATCCAGAACAATACATTGGGTTTTCATTAAGCAACATATTTTTCAGGTTTTTAATTTACCCTTGAGAAAGCACACAGGCAGTAAGAGAATGGACAATCCTATGGAGCTATTTTGGCAACTTTAATGTCTCTACTGAGAGTAAGATCTCTCCTTCAGCTTAGGCAGAAGACAATTCTCTCCTAACCAAGAGAATCAGATAGAAACACATGATAGAGTCATTAGTGATCTGGATTAGAGAACAAACAGTACCTTCACAAATTGGCTGATGGAATTAGATGGGAAGGTGTCATGACACCCTTGGGAACAGAGAAATACCTAAGAAGAATAAGCTCTATTGGCAGAGAAGCAATTCTGTCCAGACATTGATGAGTTGATTTAATTTGGAAATGACTTTCAGTTGTCTGAACAAGAGCACTTGAGGACAGAAAGAACTTATTAGAAAATAAAATGCTCTTCCTGAACCTCAAGCTCCTTTGCAATTGAAGAATTAAAGATATTAACGATCATAAAAGAGTCTAAACATGAGTCTAAACAGAAATGTTATGTGAGGAAAAGTCTAGCTGCCCTGCCATCTACATTGTAAGGATGATGAAAGAAAGCATATGTACAGAAAGTTCAGGGAATTTAAAAAATATTTGAAGCATACAAAAGCTCAGGGAATTAAAAGAAATCATGTGTCTACCACAGTAATATTAGCCATATTTTTTCATGTCTATTTTTCAATGTCATAAATTCTTACAGAGCAGTTTTTGCCATATTTTTTCATGTCTATTTTTTAATGTCATAAATTCTTACAGATGCAGTTGAAAGCCCTATTTATTCCTCCCTGATTGGCCTCCCCTCTTCAGAGATAGCATTCTTGTGAAATTGGTGTATATGGTTCCCTTCTATATTTTTACTTTTACTGGGTATGTATGTATTTGCATATAGTCTCAACTCCACATAAATGACATCATCCTGGGAACACATCCTTCAGCAACTTGTTTTTCTCACTTAGCGTTGTTTCCAACTTTTATCTGTTTTTAAATTTTTATTTTTTATTTTTTATTTATTTTTTTATTTTTTTGAGACGGAGTCTTGCTCTGTCGCCCAGGCTGGAGTGCAGTGGCGCAATCTCGGCTCACTGCAAGCTCTGCCTCCCGGGTTCATGCCATTCTCCTGCCTCAGCGTCCCGAGTAGCTGGGACTACAGGCACCCGCCATCACGCCCGGCTAATTTTTTTGTATTTTTAGTAGAGACGGGGTTTCAGCATGTTGGCCAGGATGGTCTCGATCTCCTGACCTTGTGATCCGCCCGCCTCGGCCTCCCAAAGTGCTGGGATTACAGGCTTGAGCCACCGCGCCCGGCCATCTTATTTTTTATTTTTTAGAGACAGAGTCTTGTTCTGTCACCCAGGCTGGAGTACAGTGGTGTGATCATAACTCACTGCAGTCTTGAACTCCTGGGCTCAAGCAATCCTCCTGCCTCAGCCTCCCCCAAGTAACTGGGGGAGATTTTAGTAGCTTGGCTGAGATTTTAGTATTTTTTAGAAATGGGTTTTCATTATGTAGTCCAGACGGGTCTTGAACTCCTGGCCTCAAGCTATCTTCCTGCCTCAGCCTCCAAAAGTGCTGGGATTACAAGCGTGAGCAACTGCGCCGGGCCCAACTTTTATGCGTGTTGATGCACAAAGCTCAGCTTATTTATTTTAGCTGTTGTATTATATTATATTGTAAAAATATATAACTTATTTATCCATCTTCTGTTTGATGAACATTTCAATATTCATCAATTCATATTGATATTCAATATTTATCCAATATTAAGCTGTTAAAACAAATATGTAGTGAACATCTTCTGCTTGTCTGCTTGGGCATTTATATGAGATTCTTTCCTAAGGTATATATGTTAGAAGTGGAATATGTGAAGCAGGGGCATGTACGTATTTGAGTTTTCTAGATATTGCCAAGTCGCTATCCACAATGTGTGAACTACTTTGTATCCCTACCAGGAGTGTATTTCTGTTTTGCCACATCCTGCACAATGTATTTCTATTTTGCCACATCCTGCACTTTAAAATTTTTTGTCAGTTAATGTGGTTCTCTAAGGTTTTTAATATCAGAAGAGTCCTAAATGGCTTTTTAAGGTCCTTTTCAGGTCTAAGAATCGATTCCCAACACACAGAATTGTATTTCACTATGACACGTCTATTCTACCCTAATTAAATTGCTATTTCATTAGTGCTTGACTTTAATTGTAGCCTGGTACTGCGCCCATCTCAGGCTTTTGAATGTTGATATTTCTGAAATTTCTGGTGAAGGAATAAAACAAAATTTTATTATTCTCAGATCTTTAATGCCAGATACATAGAAAGAATTTACAACATGGCAGAAATGCCATGTGTAATTCTTGCCATTTGGGTAAAAAATAGTGTATGGCATCTAATCTCTGCAAGACAGAATGTGTCTTTTGTGGGGCCACTAGTCTTCTGCTAAGGGGCTTTGGGAAAATTAAGGAAGCCAGCCCCACCCTGGCTTACTTTCTGGGAGTATAATGGGCTCTGTAGTCTTCTCTGCCAGTCCTGATTCCAGTCATCCTACCTGCCTCTCCATGGCAAAGAGGGAAATTCAAAGGTCACATAGACTTGAAACAAGCCCCAAACCTGGTAACCTAACACACAAACAGAACCATTTCTGGATTCATTCTTCTCAGGGTAGAGAGAAGTGCTCTTAAGAAATGACATCTTGGCTGGGCGCGGTGGCTCACGCCTGTAATACCAGCACTTTGGGAGGCCGAGGCGGGCGAATCACGAGGTCAGGAGATCGAGACCATCTTGGCCAACATGGTGAAACCCCATCTCTACTAAAATACAAAAAATTAGCTGGGCATGGTGGCACATGCCTGTAATCCCAGCTACTTGGGAGGCTGAGGCAGGGGAATCGCTTGAACCTAGGAGGCAGAGGTTGCAGTCAGCTGAGATCGCGCCACTGCACTCCAGCCTGGCAACAAAGCAAGACTATCTCAAAAAAAAAAAAAAAAAAAAGAAATGACATCTTGCAGAAAGATGAGTCTCCACAAGCCATTGTAAACTTGAGAAAAGAACTTGAATTTGAGAAAGCATACCTGAGGCTAAACCAATACATTTATCACCCAGCTGAGAAGCAAATAGAAACAACCTGGTTTGGCTGAATTAGTGAATTAATATCTAGTTATATGTGCTTATTTTAATAGAAAGTTGCAGTCATATGAAGAATAAAGAAGTAACATACCACACAAAAACAAAGCCAAAATAACCAGAAGAGCTCCCAGCAGGGTTATGTTGTAGAATCCTCATCCCGTGTGTCTCTTTCCAAGTGCCACAGTGGTTGTAACCTGCCGGGAGGGCTTTTCCTCCCTTAAGCTTCTTTGGTAAACAAAAGAGTTGAAATAAAAGCTGCTGAATGAAAATAAATAAAGGTTTATGGCTAGAGAAACCTGTCTGTGTAGATGAATTAATCTTATAGAGAGTCCCCCAAAAAGAGAAAACAGTGGGCACATTATTGCCAAGTAAACCTGGCTTTTTAACACCTTTCCAGGTAAGCTCAGCCAAGAAACAGGAAGATTTGTCCAGTGTCAGGACAGGGCTTTCGAATTTAGAAGGCTTCTTGCTTTACAAAATGGAGGCAAGGTGGCCATTGGGCCAGAGACATTGGAAGGTGGTGGCTCACGGAGATTCACTCTAGGTCAAGTCCCTTATAAAATTATAGGGACTCCCTTTCCCCATTTCAAACTCACAGAATGACTGTAAAACTTGTGTTTATTTCAGGTGGGTAACTCCTCCCACATGAGTGGTCTGCCTACCCTCAGGAATATTTTTTGTCTGTGGTACCTCAGCCTATCATTGTTTGAATGGCTCTTCAGAATCTATGTGCTTCCTCTCATTCTTAGTGCCTCCTATGACCATCTACACTGAACAAGATTTATACAATCATGTACCTAAGCCCCGCAACAAAAGAGTACCCATTCTTCCTTTTGTTATCAGAGCAGGAGTGCTAGGTGTGCTGTGTGGCGGTATCACAACCTCTACTCAGTTCTACTACAAACTGTCTCAAGAACTAGATTTATACAATCATGTACCTAAGCCCCGCAACAAAAGAGTACCCATTCTTCCTTTTGTTATCAGAGCAGGAGTGCTAGGTGTGCTGTGTGGTGGTATCACAACCTCTACTCAGTTCTACTACAAACTGTCTCAAGAACTAAATGGTGACATGGAATGGGTCGCCGACTCCCTGGTCACCTTGCAAGATTAACTTAACTCCCTAGCAGCAGTAGTCCTTCAAAATCGAAGAGCTTTAGACTTGCTAACCACGGAAAGAGGGGGAACCTGTTTATTTTTAGGGGAAGAATTCTGTTGTTATGTTAATCAATCTGGAATTGTTACCGAGAAATTTAAAGAAATTCAAGATCGAATGCAATGTAGAGCAGAGGAGCTTCAAAACACTGGACCCTGGGGCCTCCTCAGCCAATGGATGCCCTGAATTCTCCCCTTCTTAGGACCTCTAGCAGCTATAATATTGTTACTCCTCTTTGGACCCTGTATCTTTTATTTCCTTGTTAAGTTTGTCTCTTCCAGAATTGAAGCTGTAAAGCTGCAAATCGTTCTTAAATTGGAGCCCCAGATGCAGTCCATGACTAAAATCTACCAAGGACCCTTGGACTGGCCTGCTAGCCCATGCTCCGTGTTAATGACATTGAAGGCACCCCTCCCAAGGAAATCTCAACTGCACAACCCCTATTATGCCCCAATTCAGCAGGAAGCAGTTAGAGCGGTCGTCGACCAACCTCCCCAACAGCACTTGGGTTTTCCTGTTGAGAGGGGTTACTGAGAGACAGGACTAGCTGGATTTCCTAGACTGACTAAGAATCCCTAAGCCTAGCTGGGAAGGTGACCACATCCACCTTTAAACATGGGGCTTGCAACTTAGCTCACACCCAACCAATCAGGTAATAAAGAGACCTCACTAAAATGCTAACTAGGCAAAAACAGGAAGTAAAGAAATAGCCAATCATCTATTGCCTGAGAGCACAGCAGGAAGGACAGTGATCAGGATATAAACCCAGGCATTCGAGCCAGCAACGGCTACCCTCTTTGGGTCCCCTCCCTTTGTATGGGAGCTCTGTTTTCACTCTATTAAATCCTGCAACTGCAAAAAAACAAAAAGCAAAAAACAAATGTTTATTTAAATAATAGCTAATACTTAAGCAGCATTTGCATATGCCAGGAAATTTATGTATATGAACTCCTTCAACTCTTACAATAATATCTATTTTGCTGATGGGGAAACCAAGTCACAGATAGGTTGAAAAACTGGACTAAGACTGCAGAGTGAGGATTTGAAATTGGGGCTACAGTCTGTGTTCTTAACCACTGCATTTTAGTGCCCCTTGCTTAAAGCATTATTTACTGCCTCTTTCAAGCTTTTATACAAATAAGAAACATAAAGCTGCACATTTCAACTCGAGTGACCATTTCCACTTGGTTCCGTTATCTTCTAACCATTTTAATAAACAAACTCATCAAACAGAAAAATTAAGTTTAAAAAAGTTGTCATATCCTGTTTAATGGCAAAATACAATTTTAGCAATGCTCTTTTGATATAAACATAAAAATATTGAAAGCATAAATAAACTGTCAGGCCAGCCAAATAGTAATTATTTTGACATTAAACAAGATATTCATCTGTTTTCCTGAGTAAATAATCTCTGACAGCATCTAAAAGACAATGAGATCACGCAGCATTCAGGCACTAATGTACTCACTACATGGGGATAAAAGAAGCAAATGTTGGTGGATCAAAGGGGGCTCAGAGCAATGAGTAATGTAACACTCATCTCAAATTAAACAGCCATCTCCATGATGTGATGCAGAGTTTTATCTACCCCACTTTCTTTAGCAGCTGGAAGAAGAGAAGCAGTATTCCTGGGAGAAAGAGAATTAGGGAGGAGGGTATTCATGGCCTGGACAGGATGGAGAAGGGGAAATCAGCAAAAGAATAGAGGAGGCCACCTTGTGTTCTGGTTCCTAGTCTCCTCCATGAAATGGATGAGTATCCATCCATTGCGCCCCATTCTAGTTTGACGGCACCCAGAGTCCTTTATCTTAACCCATGGATGTCTGCCTTTTGGAGCAGTCATGTTTAAAATGTTCTACTGTGAAGGGTCCCGCTCTAAGGGGAACCCAGAAAACTTCATCTCACTTGACAGTCTCTATCATCTGATTAGTAAAAGCCCATGTCTTCACTGGGTGCCACAAGGCAGAAATATAAGTGCCTGAAACTTATTTATTTATTTATTTATTTATGAGACAGTCTTGCTGTGTTGCCCAGGCTGGAGCGCAGTGGTGCCATCTCAGCTCACTGTAACCTATACCTCCTGGGCTCAAACAATCCTCCCACTTCAGCCTCCAAAGTGGCTGGGACTACAAGCGTGTGCCACCACACCCAGCTGATTTTTGTATTTTTGGTAGAGACGGGGTTTCGCCATGTTGTTCAGGCTGGTCTCGAACTCCTGGGCTCAAGTGATCCTCCCACCTCAACCTCCCAAACTGCTGGGATTACAGGTATGAGTCCTATGCCCGTCCCCTTGAACATTTATATTTAATCATGATAATCATCAATAAGCACTTTGAAAGCTATTGTTCCTTTATGCGTGATTTCCTCATCTATAAGATGGGGTAATAGTGCTGACCACATGAGTTTGTTCTGAAGATTTAAGCATAAAATACTGAAAACAGTGTCTGGCACACAGTAGGTACTCAACATTATTTTTGTATCGTAATTCTTTTATATTACGCCCCTAAAAATCCCATGGAGTAGTGGGAGGGCAGATTGTTACCTCCATTTTTCAGGCAAGGAAACTGAGGCTTAGTGAAGTCTTTTCCCCACAAGCTTTGGCAGTTCTGGAAGTAAAAGCTTCCAATTTTTATTTCAGTCTCTTCATTGGCCCAGAACCTAAATTAATTTTTTTCCTTAATTCTTCAAAGTCCTTTGGGAATTCCTAGTAGGGTCTTCTAGGATCACTTTTCTAACCCAAAGATTCCCTTACCCTGAGCGTGGACCTTCCGGTAGTAAAATCCAGCTTCCTCAGTTTGCTGTGAATTTGTGAAGAATCAATGGACAGTTGGGACAGATGAGACACAATGGGGCTTTCTGCGGGTTTATAAACATTCCTTACTCGAACTTGGGAAAGTGAACTAAGCTAAGGCAGAATAATCCTTTGGTTTTTGTCAAGTTGCCTTGGAGAAACAGGAAGTAGGATAATAGTTCATAGGAAAAGCAGAGTGTACTGGGTGTGATGCTGCGCTGGGGTTTGTGTTAGCTGCTATGGGGTTAGTTAGCTGCTAAATGCTAACTGATGCCAGCATTAATGCATTACACTCACATGGCGCTTTCCATTTACAAGCCATGTTCATGTGTATTAGCTTACTTAATCCTCATGAAAACCCTGTGAAACTGATGAGTCTAAAGATCAGGAGACAAGCTCCGAGAGATTAAGTGACAAGCCCAGGATTGTACAGGAGCAAGTGACGGAGTGGGGTCAAGCCACCTCTTACACCTGCAGTCAAAGGGGCTGCGTCCCAGAGCTGTAGGAGAGGGGCCAGAGGGAGGAGACATGTTGGAGGTCCTGGGTGATGTGAAAAGAGCTTTTTCCAGCAGCTAGGAAGCCAGGGTGCCCAGTGTTGGGGTCAGCAGAGAGCAGGAGGCCTGCTGCCCTGAATGGGACCTGCTTTGTACTCAGGGGGTGCTGAGATTGCCCTGTGCTCAGTGTGTACCAGGGCTAGACTCATGCATCAGACTATTGGGCCTGGCTACACTTTGTTTTTCCTTAAGGAAGGAGGGAGGGGAAACCCAACTGTGGTTAGATTGAAAAGATCACGACGGGGCAAAATCACTCCCTCTGGTGGTTACTTCTAGTAGTGGTGGGAGCAGCAAAACCAGCCCCCAAGAATAGTTTATGAAGGATAATGTAATCTGTGGGAGGAAGATCTAAACATGCAGTGTTGTTCCAATGCTGTTTTTACCCAGTATGGAAGTCGTTACAGCTGTCATCTCTGTAAATGAACTTCTCTCTCTCTCTCTCTCTTTCTGTCACACACACACACACACACACATACACACACACACACACACACACACACACACACACACACACACACACACACAATTATTTATTTAGCTCTTCTTTTCTCCAAGCCAGGGACTTTACAGTCACTATTTCATTTAAGTTTCTTATTGTGCATTATTAAGCCCAGGTAACAGGTGAGAAAACTGAGATTCAGAGACATTAAGTAAGTTTACCAAAGTCACAACTTATTAGTGATGGTACCTGGACTCAGACTCAAGTATGACTTCAAATCCCAAGCTGTTACCCACTATGCTTTGCTGGCCATCATGGGATGCTTCACTGTTAATATTTGCTAGCATTAATGCTGACCCTGACATGACATTGTCTAGAACAGTGGTTATGCATCAGGGTCATAAAGATACTTCAAAAATCAGATTCCTAGTCACCTACCTCAGAAACATCAAATCGAAATCTCTGAGTGTGAGGCCCATGAATCTCTATTTTCAAAAATTCTTCCCAGGCAATTCTGACGAAGACAGCTCAGTTCAGGTCTGTGAACTGGCGTCTGTAAACTGCTGCTCTAGTGCTTTTACATTTTCTAGCCCTGTCTTGTCTGTAACTTTGCTTCTGAAAAACAACACACATAAGAGGCAGGCACAGGAAGTATGCTGGCTCAGCACCATGGTTCAGCTTTGCCATCCAGGACAGAGAGAGGAAAAACTAGTTGGGGACTTTCTGTGGACAAGTTCTTATCCAACGTGTGTATACTGAATTCAGATGACTGTGAGGAGACAGTGTCAATTCAAAATTGAGAAAGATGAGAGAAAGGCTGGAGGCCCAGGCCATAAAGAGGCTGCTTTTCCAAGGAAATATAGTGCAGAGAGAAGATAGCTTAAACTGAGCCAGTTTAACACAATGAGAAGGTCAAGATTATGCGTATTAGGTTGGTGCAAAAGTAATTGCGGTTTTTGCCATTAAAAGTAATAGCAAAAACTGCAATTGCTTTTGCACCAACCTAAATATGTCACCAGCTGCTGTAATAATTAGAACCCAAAATATAACAATGGCCCAAACATAATAGAAGTTGATTTCTCATCCAGGCAACAAACCAAGAGACATGTTTCAGGTTGGTAGGTGGCTGTCTTCCAGAAGGTGGTTCAAAGACCAAACCTCCTTCCATTTTGTGGCTCAGGGATCCGCTAGGGCCTCACTGCCTCCAGCCAGTGGAGGAGATTGAGAGCATGCAGGGGACATACTTTACTTCTTAAAGGCCTTAGCCTTCTAGTCACAGCCTAGGAGATCTCAACTACCCGCCCATCCCTAATAGAAGGAGAACTAGGAAATACAGTGTATTTGTGTGCCAATAAAGAAAGAGAAGCAGAATATGTTGTGAGCACTATGTTCAGCTGGTCTTTGCAATATCAAGTGAGAATCCCCCTCAAAGCCTGCGATGGCAGTCCTCTTAATGGCAGGTGAAATAAAACAGAATGATCCTGGACAAGGCAGATCAGTGCTTTACATTTAAGTTTAGCCCAAGCTAATTGAGTAATATGAGACTGGATGTTTGTTACATCTGAAGGAAATTCTGCTTTAACTCCAGTGGCATAGGAAGGCACAGAAAAGAAAGCAAGAAATGACTAGTACAAGGCTTTGCCAACCAAACAAGGTAGAGGACTTTTTCATAAAAGTCATTGTTCTTATCTTTCCTCTAATTTTGCCTGAATCAGTGGCAATGTTGTCAGGGATAAACACCTGTCCAGGGCCCACACACAACACTTGGAGCAAATGCTGCCACTCACAAAATATGGGGTATTACAGTGCTCTCAGTAGGCCCTTGGTGGAAACTAGTGTCTTTCTTCTATCCTGCGAGGGAAAGGCAGATTTTTTTTTTATCTCTCCCGTATATCCCCAGAAAATAAAAACCCTTTAACCTCTTGATCTGCAAAGTCATGACACAACCTCCCTGTTTTCTCCTCAATGTCCAAAACCCAGTGATTTAGTGTATGGCCTATTCTGAGAAGTGAAAACTGTCAAATTCCATTATTGGATTTCTTTTTCATCCAAATACCAGGATCATATTCTTCCTTCTTGAGCAGAATAAATAATGAAATCTATATTTAGGAATACCTCGTGTCACACAGATATATGTTAAAAAGATCCGGCCAGGTGTGGTGGCTCATGCCTGTAATCCCAACACTTTGGGAGGCAGAGGAGGGTGGATCATGAGGTCAGGAGTTCAAGACCAGCCTGGCCAACTTAGTGAAACCCCATCTCTACTAAAAATACCAAAAAAAAAAAAAAAAATTAGCTGGGCATGGTGGTGTGCACCTGTAATCCCAGCTACCCAGGAGGCTGAGTCAGGAGAATTGCTTGAACCCAGGAGGCGGAGGTTGCAGTGAGCTGAGATTGCGCCATTGCACTCCAGCCCAGGCGACAGTGCGAGACTCTGTCAAAAAAAAAAACAACAACAACAACAACAACAACAACAAAAAAACAGTTTTGGTTGATGACATCGAACATGAGGCAATAGTATAAAGAGGCTTCTAAATCGAGCTGCATTAATAGATAGGGCCCAGATCACGATAGGTAGTTATTTCACGGTTCTCTCCATAGGAGGGTCTTGGTCAGTTTTGAGTAAACATTTTAAAAAGATCATTCTAAAACTGCAGGGTTTCCTGAAAAGAATGAATGATGATGGGAAGGATTTGAGCATCAAGTCCCATGGAAAATTGCAGACGGAAACTAAGATTTGTATCACGGGGAAGAAAAGATCAAGATGAGTCTGATAACTGAAGGCCCAGGAAGTAAGGAGTGCTTAGTGTTACTTTGAATACCTCTGGGGACAAACCAGACCAATGATAAAAGTTTTGGAGCATTAGATTTAAGCCCATATATAAAGAAGAATATTCTAATGATTTACAGTTTTCTAAAAATGAAATGGGCTCTTTAGGGACATAGAAGAGCTTTTTGTTAAGAATTGTATAAAGGGGTCCTTGATCTGGATGGGGGGTTGTCCAAGATAATACCTTTTGGTTCTGACATTTTCTGAAAGGGTATTGGATTTTGGGAAAAAAGCAAGCGCTGTGCAGGAGCAAAATAAGCACTCCCAGGAGATGCAGAATGATTAAAGACACCAAATAATGCAAACAACAGGCACAAAAACAATGTATCTTCATTGTTTGCAGGCCATCAATGTTAAATTTAACTGTTTTAGCTCCTGCTCTTCTATTATCTGACATGCCCCTCCTTCAATTAATGCATGTTTAAATCCCATTCAACCTCTCTCCTAAGACTTCCCTAATTCCCAGGATGCAGGGCTTATTTTCTTCCTTTGAATTCCTATGGCAAATTGTGTGTATCTGCTTTTAAAAAATATTAGAAGCCTTCCAGTAATAAGAATTAATACACGTTTATTATAGGACAATATAGACTTGCAGCCAGATTGAATTCAAATCCTGGCTACACAACCTAATAGCTGTGTGATGGGAAATTTACTCTAAGTCTGTTCTTCACTTGTCTACAAAGCAGGGATAACAACATACCTAACTCATAGGGTTTTTGAGAAATTAAGTAAGTTAAATGTATACAGTGCTTAAAATAGTGTCTCATTAGGTGTTGCTATTGTAAAAATAGCAATCATCAAAAAATATAGAAAAGTAGAAAGAAGTCATCCATAACTTTGCCACCCAAAGACAACCACACTGTTTTTCCTATTTTTTTAAAGATAGCAGTGACCATATTGCACATATAATTTCGTTTTCCAGTTTTTTACTTAATATTACAACATACAAATTTGTATAGCATATAAAATTCCTCATAAACCAAATATAAATGGCTACACGATGATTTACCATGTGTAGTGCTATGACTTACTAGTAATTATACTCATTTATTACATAATTATTTATTACATTATTTTCCAAATTGAGGTTGTTTTCAATCTTGACTATTAAAAGTGATGCTATAATGAAAGCCTTTCCTTTAATATCTTTTATTCTCCACCCCACCCTCCACACATTCGCTTTCTTCATCATTGATGTGAGCTTCTTGAGGCCAGGGACCAAAGTAAGGCCTTAGTCTTACTTGGTGTCCTTACACATATAGTGTCCTATACACATAATGATATATCCTGATCAATATGTCATGTGTCAAAAATCATTAAGCAAAGTTAAAAATCAATTAGTTAAAATATAATTTTTTTGGTTTCAACGACAGTTTATTTTCTCACAGTTCTGGAGGCTGGGAAGTCCAAGATCAATGTGCTGGGTGATTCAGTTTCTGGTGAAGGCTCTCTCTTTCTGGCCTGTAGATGGCTGCCTTCTTGGTATGTCCACATATGGCAGAATAACAGAGAGAAGAGAAGAGAAAGAGAAGAGAAAAGAAGACAAGAGAAGAGAAGAAAGAGAAGAGAAAAGAAGACAAGAGAGGAGAAGAGAGGAGAGGAGAAGAGGGGAGAAGAGAGGGGAGAGAAGACGACAGTAAGATCTCTAGTGTCTCTTCTTATAGGGACATTAATCCCATCATGAGGGACCCACCCTCATTACCTCATATAACCTAATTATCTCCCAAAGGCTCTACCTCTAAATACCATCAAATTGGAGCTTAGGGCTTCAGTATATAAATTTGTTGGGGGAAGAATTCAGTCCATAGTAATAGTATACATGGCCAAAAAAGAGTAAGGGAGTAATTTGAAGTGATACTGGAAATCACTGATTTTATAAATAGCCAGGAAACTTAATTGTTTCAGATGCATAGAGACCCCAAATTAATGCTGACCACATTTCCCCCAATAATTTCAGTATTTATAAATATGCAAATAATTTGCAGTGAAAAACTCTCTCTCCTGTCCCTGCTTTCTAGCCACCCATTTCTTTCCCAGATGCTGTGGCCAGTGCTTTTGTCCCTTCCAGAGACAGCATATGTGTACTCAGACCTCTTAGGGACACATGGGTTTCAGAATCCAGAACACTCCGGATTTAGGCAGTCTATAAGGTGCACATAGCATGTATTCCATAACACCTCAGGCTCTCTCCGGGACGCCTAGTCATCCCTGCTTGCCCCAGACTATCCTGGCTTCAGCACTGTATGTCCCACATCCCAGGAACTCTCTCCATCCCAGGCAAAGTAGGCTCATTTGACGACTTTTTAATTTAACCAAGCTTTTATGAATGGCTTTTCTTTTGCCTTTACTGCTTCTTAACACCAATTCAAAATTGCTTTAAAATCACTTTATTCTTCCTTATCCTTTGGTTTTCAGACTTTCTCTCTCTTTCAAACCGTTAGGCCAAATGTACTCTGACAAACATGAAATTCCACATCAAAGTAGACACAATTTTAATGCTCATTAAGAATTAACATCAAAATAGCTAGATAAATAAAACCAGCAGGATTATCAGAGGATAGTATAAATGGCAATTGCAGAATTCTTTCCCTGTTCTTTTTTGTTGTTGCTGAGAACATGTTATTACAACATATTTCTTTTATTTTTATCATTAATTTTCTATTGATACATAATATTTTATATATTTATAGGGCACATGTGATATTCTATCACATGCATAGATTGTGTAATAATCAAGCCAGGGTATTTGAGGTATCCATCATCTTGAGTATTTATCATTTCTATGTATTGGAAACATTTCAAGTCCTTTCTTCTAGCTATTTAAAAATATACAACATATTGTTGTAAACTATAGACACCCTCCTTTGCTATTAAACATTAGAACTTATTCCTTCTATCTAACTGTATGTTTGTAGCCATTAATCAATCTCCCTTTACTCCCCCCACCCATACACGCTTCCCAGCCTCTGGATACTATCATTCTATTCTCTACCTCCATGAGATCAACATTTTTAGTTCCCACGTATGAGTGAGAACATGCAATACTTGTCTTTCTGTACCTGCATTATTTTCCTGAACATAATGATCTCTGGTTCCATCCATGTTGCTGCAAGTGACATGATTTCATTTTTTATGGTCAAGCATTCCATTGTGTATATATGTACTACATTTTCTTTATCCATTCGTCTGTTGATGGACTCCTATCCGTTGATTCCATATCTTTGCTATTGTGAATAGTGCTGCCATAAACATGGGATGTATGTACTCATTTGATATATTGATTTTTTTTTTCTTCAGATAAATACCCTATAGTGGGATTGCTGGATTGTACGGTAGTTCTATTTTTCGTTTATTGAGAACTATTCATTCTCCTTCCCATAGTGGTTGTTAGTGACAGCCCACTAACAAGTGTATAAGAATTCCCTTTCCTCCACATCCTTAACAGCATCTGTTATGTTTCGTCTTTTTAATGATAGCCATTCTAACTGGTGTGAGATGATGATTAGTGATGTTGAGAATTTTTTCATATTGTTGTTGGTCATTTGTATGTCTTCTTTTGAAAAATGTCTATTTGTGTCCTTTGCCCATTTTCAAATGGGATTATTTGTTTCTTCTATTGTTGAATTATTTGTGTTCCTTGTATATTCCGGATGTTAGTCCCTATCAGGTGAATAGTTTGCAAATATTTTCTGCCATTCAAGAGGTTGTCTCTTAACTTTGTTGATTGTTTCTTTTGCTGTGCAGAAACTTTTTAGTTTAATTAAGTCTCATTTGTCTATTTTTGTTTCTGTTGCCTGAGCTTTTGGGGTCTTAGCCATAAAATCTTTGCCTAGACTAATGACCTGAAGAATTTTCCCTGTTTCCTTTTAGTAGTTTTGGGTTTTATGTTTCAGGCTTTAATGCATCTTGAGTTGATTTTTGCATATAGTAAGAGATAGGGGTCCAGTTTCATTCTTCTGCATATGATTACCCAGTTTTCCCAGCACGATTTATTGAAGAGGGCATTCTTTCCTTGTATATTCTTGATGGCTTTGTTGAAGATCAATTAGCTGTAAAATATGTGGATTTATTTCTAGGTTCTCTATTCTGTTTTATTGGTCTGTGTGTCTACCTTTATAGCAATACCATGATTATTTGTTTACTATAGCCTTGTAATATATTTTGAAATCAGGTAGTGTGTGTGATACTTCCACATATTTTGTTCTTTTTGCTCAGGATTTCTTCAGAGATTCTGGCTCTTTTTTGGTTCCATACAAATTTTAGGATTGTTTTTTCTATATTTGTGAAAAATGACACTGGTATTTTGATAGGGATCACATTGAATCTGTAGATTGCTTTGGGCAGTATGGTTGTTTTAACAGTATTAATTCTGATCCATGAGCATGAGATGTCTTCCCATTTGCTTGTTCTCTTCAATTTCTTAATCAGTGTATTGTAATTTTTCTTATAGAGATCTTTAACCCCCTTGGTTAAATTTGTTTGTAGGTATTTTTTTTTGTAGCTATCGTAAATGGGGTGGCCTTCTTGATTTCTTTTTTGGTTATTTCATTAATGGTGTATAAACACACTACTGATTTTTGTTATGTTGATTTTGTATCCTGCAACATAACTGAAGTCATTTATCAGTTCTAAGAGGTTTTTGGTGACATATTTTGGTTTTTCTAAATATAAGATCATGTCATTTGCAAAGAGGGACAATTTGGCTTCCTCTTTTACAACTTGGATGACTTTTATTCATTTATCTTGCTTGATTACTCTGGCTAGGACATCCAGTACTATGTTGAATAGGAGTGAAAATGGGTATCCTTGTCTTGTTTCAGTTCTTAGAGAAAAGGCTTCCAACTTTTCTCCATTCAGTGTGATGTTAGCTGTGGGTTTGTCAGAAATGGCCTTTATTATGTTGAGATATGTTCTTTCTATGCCTCACTTGTTGAGAGTTTAAATTATGAAGGGATATTGAATTTTATCAAGTGCTTTTTCTTCATCTATTGAGGTGATCAGATGGTTTTTGTTCCTCATTCTGCTGATATGATGTATTATATTTATTGATTTGCATATATTATAATATCCTTGCATCCCTGGTATAAATTCCAGTTGTTCATAGTATATTATCTTTTTGATGTGCTATTGGATTCAGTTTGCTAGTATTTTGTTAAAGATTTTTGTGTCTATGCTCATCATGGATATTGGCCTATAGTTTTCTTTGTTGTTGTTGTTACATCTGTGTGGTTTTGGTATCAGAAAAATGCTGGCCTCATAGAATGAGTTAGGGAGAATTCCCTTCTCTTCAATTTTTTGGAATAGTTTGAGGAGAAGTAGTGTTAATCCTTCTTTGAAAGTTTGGTAGAATTCAACAGTGAATCCATTTGGTCCTGGACATTTTTTCTCTTTGGAGACTTTATTAGTGATTTAATCTCATTACTCATGATTGGTCTATTCAAGTGTTTTATTTTTTCCTGATTTGATGTTGGCAGGTTGTATGTGTCCAGGAATTTATCAATTTCCTCTAGGTTTTCCAGTTTTTTAGTGATCTCTGATAATCTTTTTTATTTCTGTTGTATCAGTTATAATGTCTTTTTTTTATTTTCAATTTTGTGTATTTAAGTCTTTTTTTCTTAGACTAGCTAGCAGTTTATTATTTTTTTCATCTTTTCAGAAAAAAACAACTTTTCATTTTATTCATCTTTTATACTACTTTTTCAGTTTTTATTTCATTTAGGTGTGCTCTCATTTTAAAAAAAATTTACTTTAAGTTCTGGGATACATGTGCAGTATGTGCAGGTTTGCATAGGTATACCTATGTTTACATTGGTATACATGTGCCATGATTGTGTGCTGCACCTATTGATCTGTCCTCTAAGTTTTCTCCCCTTGCCTCCCACTCCCCCAGCAGGTCTTGTATTGTTTCCCTCCCTGTGTTAATGTGTTTTCATTGTTCAACTCCCACTTATGAGTGAGAACATGTGGTGTTCGGTTTTCTGTTCCTGTGTTAGTTTGCTGAGGATGATGGCTTCCAGCTTCATCCATGTCCCTGCAGAGGACATGATCTCATTCTTTTTATGGCTGCATAATATTCCATAGTGTGTATGTACCACATTTTCTTTATCCATCTATCATTGATGGGCATTTAGGTTGGTTCCATGTCTTTGCTATTGTAAATAGTGCTGCAATAAACATACGTGTGCATGTGTGTCTTTATTTTAGAATAATTTATATTCCTTTGGGTATATACCCAGTAATGGGATTGCTGGGTCAAATGGTATTTCTGGTTCTAGGTCCTTGAGGATTTGCCACACTGTCTTCCACAATGGTTGAACTAATTTACATTCCCACCAACAGTGTGAAAGCATACCTATTTCTCCACAGCCTCACCAGCATCTGTTGTTCCTCGACAGTTTAATAATTGCTATTCTGACTGGTGTGAGACGGCATCTCATTGTGGTTTCGATTTGCATTTCTTAAATGATCAGTGATGTTGAGCTTTTTTTCATATGTTTGTTGGCCGCATAAATGTCTCCTTTTGAGAAGTGTCTGTTCATATTCTTTGCCCACTTTTTGATGGGGTTGTTTGATGTTTTTCATGTAAATTTGTTTAAGTCCCTTGTGGATTCTGAATATTAGACCTTTGTCAGATGGGTAGATCGCTAACATCTCCCATTCTGTAGGTTGCCTGTTCACTCTAATGATAGTTTCTTTTGCTGTGCAGAAGCTCTTTAGTTTAATTAGATCCCGTTTGTCAATCTTGGCTTTTGTTGCATTTGCTCTTGGCATTTTCCTCATGAAGTCTTTGCCCATGCCTATGTTCTGAATGGTATTGCCTAGGTTTTCTTCTAGGGTTTTCATGGTTTTGGGTTTTACATTTAAGTCTTTAATCCATCTTGAGTTAATTTTCATATAAGGTGTAAGGAAGGGGTCCAGTTTCAATTTTCTACATATGGCTAGCCAGTTTTCCCAGTACCATTTACCGAATAGTGCCTTCCCCATTGCTTGTTTTTGACAGGTTTGTGTGGTATTATTTCTGAGGTCTCTGTTCTGTTCTATTGGTCTATATGTCTGTTTTGGTACCAGTACCATGCTGTTTTGGTTACAGTAGCCTTGTAGTATAGTTTGAAGTCAGGTAGCGTGATGCCTCCAGCTTTGTTCTTTTTGCTTAGGATTGCCTTGGCTATATAGGCTCTTCTTTGGTTCCATATGAAATTTAAAGTAGTTTTTTCTAATTCTTTGAAGAATGTCCATGGTAGTCTGCCTAGTGAAGAGGGATGGGTCAGGGCAAGCCTGAAGAGGCACTGTGGTTGCAGTTTGCCACAGCTGGTGTGTTGGGCTGTGGGGGACACCTCTTGGGAACAAGCTGTCCAGCCTCCCTGGCTCCAGCAGGGGAAAAATACGGCCTGAAGCTTAGAAATGGCTGCCACCCTTCCCCTTCCCAGGGAACGTAGTGTCTTAGGCAGCTTTCAGTCCCAGTGCTGGCTGCTGCCCCTTCCCCAAGGAGCTCAAATGGCTTAGACAGCAGGCAGATGCAGCTGTGGTGCTGGTCACCCCTCCCCACTGGGAACTCAGCAGGCTTAAGCAGATTCTAGCTGAGAGGCTGTTGAGAATCTGTGCAGCTCCAGGGGTGGGACCCTAGGACCCGGTGGCATGGGTTCACGAGTGGAATCTTCCAATCCATGGGTTGCACAGTTCCGTGGAAAAAGCACAGTTTCCCTGGCTGGGCAGCATGCTCACTCACTGCCTCCCTTGGCTAGGGGGTGGGGGGCTGTGGGTCTCAAGTGGGCTGCCACATCAAGTTGCTCTTCCTTCCTCTTTGTGGGTCATACCAGCTACCTAGTCAGTTCTAATGACAGAATCTGGATATGTTAGTTGCTGGGCAGGATTTACATGCTATGGTTCTTTTTGATGGAAGCTTCCTGTAGTGGCTGCTTCTAGTTGGCCATCTTGGCCCTATCCCCCAGCTCTCATTTTCATTATTTCTCTCATTCTACTTATTTTGGGTTTGATTTGTTGTTTTTCTAGCTTCTTAAGGTGCATCATTAGATTATTTATTATCTTTATGCTTTTTAAATACAAGCATTTATTGCTATAAACTTTCCTCTTAGCACTGCTTTTGCTGTATTCCATAGGTTTTGGTATTTTGTGTTTCAGTAAATGTTTTTTACTTCCTCCTTAATTTCTTCCTTGACCTAATGGTCATTCGAGAGCATGTTGTTTAATTTCTATATATTTTTACAGTTTCCCGAGTTCCTCTTTTTGTTGATTTCTGGGTTTATCCCATTGTGGTCTGAGAAAATACTTGATACAATTTTCTTTTTTTTTTTTTTTGAGATGGAGTGTCACTCTGTTGCCCAGGCTGGAGTGCAGTGGCACGATCTCGGCTCACTGCAAGCTCCGCCTCCCGGGTTCACGCCATTCTCCTGCCTCAGCCTCCCAAGTAGCTGGGACTACAGGTGCCCACCACCACACCTGGCTAATTTTTTGGTATTTTTAGTGGAGACGGGGTTTCATCATGCTAGCCAGGATGGTCTCAATCTCCTAACTTTGTGATCTGCCCGCCTTGGGCTCCCAAAGTGCTGGGATTACAGGCTTGAGCCACCATGCCTGGCCTGATTTCAATTATTTCCTTTAAGTTTTAAAAATTTGTGAAGACTTGTTCTGTGTCCTAACATATGGTCTGTCTTGGAGAATGTTTCATGTACTGATGAGAAAAATTATATATTCTATAGTTGTTAGATAAAATGTTCTGTAAATATCTATTAGGTCCATTTGGTCTAATGTGCAGTTTAAATCCAATATTTCTTTTGAATTTCTGTCTAGATGATCTATCTTATGCTAAGAGTGGGCTGTTAAAGCCCTCAACTATTATTGTATTAAAGTCTGTGTCTCTTTTTAGATCTACTAATATTTGCTTTATGTATCTGCGTATTCTGGTGTTAAGTGCATCTTCTTCTTACTTTTTTTTTTGACATAAAGTCTGTTTTATCTGATACAAGTGTAACTACTCCTGTTGTCTTTTGGTTTCCATTTATATGGAATTTTTTTCCACCCCCTTTCTTTCAGTTTATGTTTTATTTTATTTTTTTCCAGGTGAGATGGTTTCTTTTAGGCAGCATATAGTTGGGTCACTGAAAAAAATCCATTCAGATAGTCTGTATTATTTAAGTGAAAAGTTCAATCCATTTACATTCAAAGATATTATTGGCATGTGAGGGTTATTTCCTGTCATTTTATTAATTGCTTCCTGGTTGCTTTGTATATTCTTTGTTTCTTTCTCTTTTGTTTATTATTGCAGTTTAGTGGTTTTCTATAGTAGTAACATTTGAGTCCCTTCTTTTCCTTATTTGTGTGTTTTCTCTATCAGTGGATTTTATACTTTTGTGTGTTTTCATAACGTTATATATCGTCTTTTTGCTTCCAGATGTAGGATTCCCTTAGCATTTCTTGTAGGCCCAGTCTAGTGGTGGTAAATTATCTGTTTTTGTTTGTCTGGAAAAGACTTAATTTTTCTTTTAGTTATAAGGGCTAACCTTGATGGGTGTAGTATCCTTGGCTGAAAGTTTTTTCTTTCAACACTTTAATATGTAATCCCATTTTCTCCTGACCTGTAAGGTTTCTGTGGAGAAATCCGCTGTTGGTCAGGTGGGAGTTCCCTTATAAGTGGCTACATGCTTTTCTTTTGCTCTTTTTAGAATTCTTTCTTTGTCTTTGACTTTTGACAGTTTGAGCATAATGTGTCATGCGGAAGATCTTTTTGAATTGTATCTGTTTGGGGGTCTCTTAGCATCTTGTATCTGGATGTCTAAATTTGTTGTTAGTAGACTTGGAACTTTTTATTATTTAGTTATGTGGGTTTTCTAACTATTTTATTTTCTCTTCACCTTCTGTGACACTGAAAATTTGAATATTTGGTTGCTCTATGGTCTCTCATATGTCATTTAGGCTTTGTTCATTTTTTTAAATCCTTTTTTTTTATTTTTGTCTGACTTGGTTATTTCAAAAAGACCTGTCTTTATGTCAAGTTATTCCTTCTGCTTGATCTAGTTTATTGTTGAAGGTTTCAAATGTATTTTTAATTTCATTTAATAAATTCTTCATTTCCAGATTTTCTGTTTGGTTCCTTTTTATGATATCTAGCTCTTCACAAAATTTCTCATTCTGAATTATTTTTCTTATTTCTTAGTTTTTTTTGTATTCTCTTATACTGAGTTTCTTTAATATTATTATTATTTTGATTTTTTTTTTTTGAGTCAGGATCTCTGTTGCCTAGGCTGAGTGCAGTGGCAGTCATGGCTTATATTAACCTCGACCTCCCAGGCTCAAGCAACCCTTCCACCTCAGCCTCTCAAGTAGCTGGGACCATAGGCATGCACCACCATGCCTGGCTAATTTTTTTGTAGAGACAGGATCTCCCTATGTTGCCTAGGCTGGTCTCAAACTCCTGGGCTTAAATGGTTCTCTTGCCTAGGCCTCCCAATGTGCTGGGATTATAGGCATGAGCCACTGCACCTGGCTCAATGTTATTATTTTGAATGATTTTTCCAGGATTTCATACATTTCTTTTTGATTATAATCTGTTGCTAGAGAATTACTGTGTTTCTTTGGAGGTGTCATATTTCTTTGCTTTTTCATAATTCCTGTATTTTTACATTGCTATCTGCACATCTGATGTGACAATCATGTCTTCAAAAATTCTTTTGTATTTGCTTTGGTAGGGGAGAACTTTTTCCTGAATATATGTCTATGACATGGGTTTGGTAGAGCACTTTGGTTTTGATGCATGCAGTAGTGTAGTCTTTGTATGAGTTTGTTGGCTATAACCACTGTCAATAGTGTACATGAGTTCCTCAGTGCCTCAGGGTGCAATGGTTAGTGGAGGCTCTGATGAAGGTTTGCTGGGGACAGGGATGCCAGGTGAATTTGTCCTCAGGTTCCAATGGTGGCAGTTGTTGGCTGAGCATGCCTGTCCTTGGGCTCCAGGGTGGCATATGCTGGTACTGGTGTTAGTGGGTCCAGGTTGCCAATTCTTGAGCTTTCAGACAGCTTGCTTGGGTGCCGTTAGTGGCAGTGGTGGGCCAGGTGGGTACGCAGATTCTCAAGCCTGTGGGCAGCAGGCATAGTGCATGTATTAGCAGTAGCAGTGGCAGAACAATTATATGGCTCCTAAGTGGTCCATGTTGGTGTTGGCAGTTGCTGTGAAAGGATGGGCAGGCCAGTCCTCAGGCCTGCAGGAGGTATGTGCAGGCGATGTCAACTGTGGTGGTAGTGGCAGGTTGGGAAGGCCTGACCTCAGGTCCCCAGAAGGAGTGCTTCGGTGCCAATGATGGAGGACTGGGCTGGGCAGTCCCCAGGCCCCTGATGGCATGCTCAGGCACTGGGGAGGCAGAAACTGGCCTAGCAGACCTGTTCTCAGGCCTCTTGGTGATGTGCACAGGTGCTGGCTATGTATGTGACCCTGCTACTGGGGAGGGCAGGGTTCTTCTCAGTGGCAGCAGCTATCTGTAGGTGCCTGGGGAGCATGCGCTTCACTTGCCCTTTGGCCATAGGCAGTGGCAGCCTGCAGTGATGGTGGCTGCAGTTGGGGAGTTTGTCCTTGAGGTGTGTAAAAATGCATGGTGGTTTCTCTGCTGGGGGCAGCAGGGTCATTGCCAATGGCTCTCAATTCAGCCCTGGCAGAAGCGTCAGTCAAGGCAGTGGCGACAGGTGGGGAATGTCAATGAGGATCTAGGGAGGTGGAGATGCAGAGCTGTTGGGCTTGCAGGCAGGATTCAGTCTTTTGGTGGCTGGATCACCATATGGCACTTTGCTGTAGCTACTTAGGGCTCAGGGCGTGTGGGAGCCAGCATGGGTCCCCTCTCTGGAGCAATGCCATCCTGTGTCCTTCAGGCAGCTCCCCATGTTAGTCTCAGGGTTTATGTGGTTTGAAGGCTCTCCCATGGCTAGGATTGCAGGATTCCGCAGTGGAAATGTGGACCACTGAAGTTTGCTCACTTACCCTTTCCCCACATTGGGCTCCCAGTAGATCCTGGCCAAGCGGGCTGCCCTGTTTTCCTCTCCTTCCTTGCTTTAGGTGTTTGTTGTCACTTCTCCATTGAATTCCAGTGTTCTTTCTTAGATGATCTATTTGAAGTGTGATTATCTACTCACCATTTTTTTCTTTGTGACGGAGGCAAGTACCAGATGCCTGATGTCATTAAAATTTTAATTGAAGAAAATGTAGTGCCTGAAGGATTAAAATGAAAAGAAATAGAGGATAAAATGAGATTTGAAAAAACAGAAATTACTAGTGAGCCAAATATATCCCAACTTCTAGGCAGGGACACATACCGACATCCTCATAAGGAACACAGAAACTTTGATCTTTCATTAGAGTTAATGTTTTCAGGCTGATTTTTAAACTATGGCAGTCTCTTTGCAAAGACTGAAATCTGAAAGTTGCTTCTTGTGCTGATCTGAAAGATATGAACTGACTTTTTTTTTAATTTTCAAAAGGCATGTCCTTTGTTGTTCTAGAAATAATAACAAAAGTAATATCTTAATGTCAAGCAGTCCTTACTTCTATATACTCAGCATTTCCAGCCCTGTGTTTTTTTTACCATACATAGTCTACACTAGGGTCACTGGGAAGTTGATGTGCTTCTGAAAAGTAGTGTGCAGATAGCTTTTGGCAAATCTTAACATTTGAAAAATATCCTGGGTGACTTTTTTATTTAAGGAAATTAAGTGGTTAGTTGTTTTGTTAAATGAGTAGTTAATGCTGCAATTTATCTTTTGAGTGTAATGTTTGTACTTTGTAGTTCCCTTATATGTAAGTGACCTCAGTAGACAGTAGACACATCTCTTCTTTATTTTCTTCCCAGGGACTTCTTCTTTCTTCCTAGTCATTTATGGCTGTCACATCTTGGGCTAACAAGATGAGATAACTGATTGGTTCACTGTGGTGTCCCATTCCGCCATCTATGACCCCCATCCAGTTATCTTCCATGTTGGCCTTTGGGTGGGCTAGAACATGGAAGGATGAGGGTGACTTCTTTTCTTCATCCATAATGACCCGCTTTGGGGACAACAATTTCTTAGTCTTGACTTCCTATACCCCACCCTGGATTCTTGTGGAATGCAACTCAAGGGCTGTGAGTTTGGGGCCCTGGACTTGGGTCAAAATCATTCATGACCCTATCACATGGATCAGATCAAAGTTGGCCAGATGGAGGACTGTATTGTCTCAAGTCTCATTATTGTGCTGAAGCCTTTTTTTTTTTTTGACAGTCTCACTCTGTCGCCAGGCTGGAGTGCAGTGGCGTGATCTCAGCTCACTGCAACCTCCACCTCCTGAGTTCAAGCGATTCTTCTGCCTCAGCCTCCAGAGTAGCTGGGACTACAGGCACGTGCCACTATGGCCAGCAAATTTTTGTATTTTTAGTAGAGACGGGGTTTCAGCATGTTGGCCAGGCTGGTCTCTAACTCCTGACCTCAGGTGATCTGTCCGCCTCGGCCTCCCACAGGGCTGGGATTACAGGCGTGAGCCACCATGCCCAGCCGTGCTAAAGCTTTTAATCCAGAAAGGGACACTCTGAATGGGAGATCACATTCAGAATTTGAGTCTGGCATCCAGGCTCCCTCAGAGGATTATTGCTGGGCTGAACTTTCAATCTTTGCATGAGAGCTCAATCCACTCAGCATGACCTGTGGCACAAGACATGCAGAAAGCATGAAAACAAGAGAAAGAGAATAAAATAAATAAGTATGGGAAAGACTATGATACTATGGATACTTGGAAACAAGAGTCCAATCAACAGACTGTAGCAATAGAATGCAAAGTTCCTTTAGCAATAGGAACTATTATTTTTACCTGATTTTACATGATTTACCTTAATACAGACCCCATTTCAATATAATTCAATATTTCTTGATTTTATTGCTCAAATTGTTCCTGCCTTGGCTCTTTCAGTTAGCTACTCTATTTTTTTTTTTTTACATATCTCTATATTTTTTAAAGCACTTCCTTACTTTCTGATGTTACAAGATGTTCCAGGCTCATATTGTATATTTCCTGTGCAGTGCTAGAAACAGCCATTTTTCCAAGGAGAGCTGGTTCCTTTTATCGTAGAATAGTATTAGAAACGAAGATCTGGGTGGTATATGTGCTTGGTATAATTCACTTTTGATCACATAGGTCTGGTGTTTTGGTAAATTATGACAATACATTTGCATTGCAGCTTTGGCCACAATCCAGAATTCTGATTCCATAGGTCTGGGGTTCAAGCCTCAGGTGATGCTGATGCTGCTGGTCCATGAACCACGTTTGGAAAATCATTGTACTATGGGTTAAATTGGCTTTTGAGTTCAATTCTGGGATCCAAAGCATTCCAAGTTTAAAGCTACTGATATGCACAATGTGTCTTTTCAAATTTATCTGCTAAGAGATGTTAGGTGCTGTAACTGGGTTTACTTATGCTGGGTCATTTATGATAGGGAAGTATGCAGCTAGTGTCAGATATGGCCCAAATCACTGAAGACAAGTCACATTAGAGTTCCCAAACTCATTACTTATAAATCAGGAGTCCAAACTCTGGTTTAGCTTTTCAACTAATAAACTGGATAGTCTGATGGACTTCTCCAGTGGAGAAGTAAAAATGGAAGAAGAGATACTATTTACATGTTTATGTAGTAGAAGGGGAGTATTTTTTTCTCCTTAAGTTCAGGTATTGGGTTGCTATCAAAGAAAAAAAGTACTGATTTTTTTCCATATTAGGTTGCTCTTTAGTAAGTCTAACCTTACCCTAGGTGCCTGGAAAGAAATTTGGTAAAAGGAAGATGATTGAATATTTTCATTTTTTATTTTTTAAAATATGTATATATTTTGGTATTTAAATTGTTTTTATTATTTATAAAAGTGGCCACTTTTACATATCTATTGTCTTAGTCAATTTTCTGCCTCTGTAACAGAATACCACAGACTAAGTTATTTATAAAGAAAAGAAGTTTACTTGGTTCATGGTTCTGGAGGCTGGAAAGTCCAATAGCATGGCTCCAGCATCTGGTGACAGTCATCCCACAGCAGAAGGGTAGAGGTAGAAGTGAGCAGGAGAGGCCGAGAGAGGAAATCAGGCCAAATTTACTTTTATAACAAACCCATTCTCCTGATAATCAACCCAAACCCAAGATAATGAAATTAATTCATTCATGAAGACAGAGCCCTCATGACCCTAATCACCTCTTGTAGGGCCTCTCAACATTGTTATAATGGCAATTAAATTTCAACATGAGTTTTGGCAGGAACATTCAAACCATAACATCTGCTATAGTTGTAGATTCATAATGATTTTAAAGGAACCCTAATAAAATTACCAGGAACCTTGAAGCATTCTAAAGGGGAAAATCTAGGAACGGAGGTGGTAATAAAATTAACATTTACTGATACCTGTCATTATTTATTGTAGGCTAAATTTTTATAACAGATATACCCCCAAATACAATGGCTTTAACAAAAAAAAAGTCTTTTTCTTACACAACAGTGTAGAGTGGGTATTACAGGATGATGGGGTGGCTTGAGACAGGGGAGGGCAGCTGGCTCTGCTCCATGCAGTTATTAAGGGACCCAGGCTGCCGTGTGTAGCATGTGGCTTCAAAATCTATATGATATTGTTCCAGCCCATGGACCAATTGCTATGGCAAGGGAATAAAATAGTAAGTGATGCAGCCTAAACTATATTACTACTTGGGGGTGGGAGAGGCTTCTATAGGGGTGCTGGGTAGATATGAATAATCATTTCTACAGGATCCTTACTCCTACCAAAACTTCCCTTCACAAAAAGTTTGTAAAATTAGACATTTGTGCCTTCATGTAAATTAACACATGGAAATAGTCTTCTGGGACTTTAAAATTTTAAATCTTATCTCTGCTTATGGGGCAAAGGGCTTTATTCATGAGAAGGAAGTCCAAGGACTAGACCCAGCAGATAGGGGTTTGTTCTTTATGTTGAATTGGACCGAGGACAGCTGCTGGGAGCTCGAGGAAGGCAACATAGTATCAACAGGGCATTGCAGGCAGATAGATGGACCTGGTTTAGAATTCTGTGATCTTGGGCAATGCGCTAAAATTTTCTGGGCTTCAGTTTTCTTATGTATAAAATGGTAAGAATATAAAATTCCTTAGGAAGTTTAATGAGGAGTGGGATAATATATATATGGTGTAATGAATGTAGATTTTTTTTCCTGAAATCACATGTCAGAAGTGCCACCATTCTTTTTACATATAAGGATACCTCTGAAGAACAAAAATATATATTAATGCATCTCTCCTGAAAGTTCCAAAATAGATCTACAATCTAGGATTTGAACAATTTATAACAATACTTTAAATGGTGCTCACCCTGATAGAGGTAATCTTTCCAATGTTCTCATAGGATATGTATAATTTGGGTAATTTAGTGAATTAAATTTTTTCTTTTCTTTTTTTTACCATATCCTTTTTTGTCTGCATTTTTCCCCCTTAGCTAATGAAAGATCAAATTAATTAAATCTTTTGATGTGTCAGGACAGCTCTTAGAGTAAGTGTTAAGGTAAGGACACCGAACTTTTCCACATGGTTGTAGCTTTATAACCTGAACACAGATTTAATGCCATGTCTTTTAGCCTCTTGGAGATTAATTACTGTACCAAATGCTATACGAAGAACAGAATCCAAATCTGCTCTTTTACGAGGATATCTGAAAGCATCTGAAAGCACCTCTGTCCAGGCATGAGACCGCAGGGGATGCTCACACCCTGGAAGTTTCCCCTTTCTGCCTCTGGTTGGTCCATGGGTCTGGGCAAACCATAATTAGAAAAGGGGAATAATGATGGTTGCCACTTCCTAGCCTCCAGGATAATGGTAGTGAGCATCAGAGCCAGGCCCTTGGGGCTGGGGAACTTGCTGTGGGGAAGGTGGTATGTTATCACACGAAGCTTTTCTGCCATTTTTCTCATTTAGAACCCAGAGTATTTTGGCTTACTTAGGAGCAGAAGACATGGACTTATAAACAACTGGAAATATGTCTTTTAATCCTGCATGATGTGAATGCTATTTTAGTTTACCCCAAAATGCACCTGTAGGTCTGGCAAGCAGCAGTTTTGGGTTCCTGTACTCTCCCAGCACTGGAGAGCCATTTCATAAGTTGGTGTTGACTTTCTCACAAAACTGACAAAAGTTGGACGATTTGTGAAGGCTTTCTGATCTGTTTCTACCAATTATTTGTACTACATTTGGCTTACACATGTTGCATTCTCATACAACATAGTTCATTTCTGTTGCCCGACAGTGACTATCTTAAGAACCCTATGGAAAGTAAAAGCCGATGCTCTCTCTGCTCAATATTCATTTTCCATTTTTATGGTATATGGACTTCAAAGGAAAAAGCAAAATGAACTTGGGAGGACAATGCACATCAGATTGCATTACTGATGCCATCACAATGACAAGGTCTTGACAATCACAAACATTTGTTGACTCCATTTCAAGCACTCACTCACATAGGTAGCTCCAACACCATCAAATTTCAGGACAGTAAAAGAAGGCGGATATGTCATTGGAATTTGTTACGGTGGGACTTGACTAATCAGAAATATTTCAGAGGCTGTTATCGTAGGTCAGACCTCAGATCTGAATGATTGAGACTTCTGCAAGTGACCATTGGCAAGAAGGTAGCCTCTTTGAGCATGGTTTGACCCCTGAAACCAGAGGCATTTTTACCGTGAAGTCAAATAAAACTTAGCAATGTGGTCACATAGTTGCGGTTTTGAAAAGTTTGCTCCCAAAACTTGACATTGTTCCTTTCCACTCCCATATCCTCCCCTTTGTGCCTCTCCTTGAATTGGGTGGTGTTGAAATGGCTGCAGGAATTTTGTGTTCTGGCAAGGAAATTGAGAAGGGGATACATTTATTTTGGGTTTAGAGGGATATATTCATGTGGTTTGCAGTCACTTCTGTGTATAGTTAAGTTATTTTTAGCCGTTCTGGTGAAAGAATGACTTCCAGGAATACTTCTGGTGCCTAATAGGCTGATACACCCAAGTTTGTGAAATGAATGGGCAGGGCCGGAAGTAGGATCACAGTATGAACGTGCCTTATAGTGCGCGACACAAAGAGTAGGTGGGTGTTGGAGGAGAAACATGATTAAACATTTTTTCAAAAAATTCAGATGTAAAATTTTTGAATGTAAGGTTTGGTTTTCATCAAAGTCTCATCAAAATGAAACTTTTCCTCTGCCAGAACTATTTTTGATAATGCGGTGTGCAATTTTAAGTGCACCACACATTTTCTTTTCTGTGGGGCATCAAGAGTTCCTTTGTGGCAGGGCAAATGTTGTAGCATTACTGCCAACAGCACACACATCTGTAGGTGGGGTTGCATGTTGTATGCACCCCAAATATTGCACTGTGTCTTTAAGATACTGATGTATATTGCTCTGCTAAAGACTGGTGGTTCCAGAGAAGAAGGCATACAAAATTGTCACTGATTCAGCAAACAGAAAAGTCAAGACACAAATTGACATATACTTATCGAGTCAATGGATGTTGTGTGAGTAATTTGATTTACACAATTATTATACCTCAATACAATGTAGTGGCAGTTTAAAAATATATTTTAATTGTCCTTGTACATGCCTCAATTTAAGATTATATATTATATAATTTTTCAGAGTATGCAGCCAAAAAATAGAAAAAACAGTTGTATCAGGAAGTTAATTGTAAATACATATGCATTTTTCTGGATTTTATGAAGTTTATTGTATTTGCCAGCTTTTAAAACATTTTCACCTTTTGTGGTTAATTTTTTCCACTCCAAATAAAAATCTATAACTTCATTCAATGTTGTGTATGTAATTTTGTTTTTTCTTTCTTAAAGAAACCTCCTCAAATTGTATAACCTTCAGGTATCACAAAACCAGATTTTCCCTTGTTTGCAATGTAAGAAGATAAATAATCGTCAGAGTTACATGTGGTTTACAGTATTCTAAATCTTAAATCTTTGGTTGAAATGTTTTTAAAAATGCATTTGGCACTCTAAAGAATTGCAATGGGAGAACAATAGAAAAGTTATCCCCACACTGCCACATCTCTACTACCTCAAAACAAAACAAAACAAAACAAAACAAAAAACTCCAGGGTCCAGCTGTTAAGTTTCTAGATCTAGCCTTCCCTCAAGCTGCCTTCGGGGGTGAGTACTCTTTCTTCACATTCCTGAGGCCAGGGAGGCTTGGCATTGGCATTCAACTTGCTCTCCCATGGCCATTTCTAGACAATTACCCTTCTACCTTCTTATAAAAGTTCCTCCTCTTTTGGTCTTTCCACTGCCTGGCATTTCCTCTCCATGAATGTTCTTACTGAGCCATTCTCCCCCTTAACCATCGACTCTACCCAACTCACTGTAAAGCTATTAATAGAATATTTCAGTGTCCATAGAACACACCCAACATCCTAGTTTTATTCATTTCCCAAGGCTGCTGTAATAAATTACCACAAACTTAGTGACCTAAAACAACAGAAATGTATTCTTTCACAGTCCTGAAGTTTGGAAGTCTGAAGTCAGCATCATTGGGCCGAAATCAAGGTGCTGGCAGGAATGTTCTCTTTTGGAGGCTCTAGGGGGGAATCTATTCCCTTCATCTTCCAGCTTTTGGTGGCTGCCGACATCCCTTGACTTGTGGCTGCATCATCCCTATCTCTGCCTCTGTGGCCACATGGCCTTCTGCTCTCCTGCTTATATAAAATCTCCCTCTGCCTTTCTCTTATAGAGATACATGTGATAGTATTGAGGTCCCACCCACATAATCTAGGATAATGCCCCCATCTCAAGATCTTTAACTTAATCACACATGCAAAGACTTTTTTTTTTTTTTTTTCCTATATAGGGTTATAGTCACAGGTTCCAGGGATAAGGATGTGGTTATTTTTGGGGGGGTCTTCTTTTCAGCCTGCTATACCAGCATTGCCATTCCTGAATGCCACCTCCACCTCTGTTCCAGTTCAGCCACCCACTTCCTGAACAACCAGCACTGAGGGATCTCCCGACCCAGAACTGTTTCACATTAGAAAGTCTCCTCCTTTCTCTCTCACACTCCCACTTTCCCCAGCCCTGAGCTGTGACCTCATGGAGACTTTTAGTTGCTTGATTCCTCTATTTTCCTCCAATCTTCCAACCCATTTCTGGCTCCTCTTTCTTTCTGCTCAGCCTAGACACTTGCTGCTTGGATACCTTGAGCTTTTTTCTCACCATAACCCCTGATTAATTGCATCCTTTCAGGGCACCATTCTGGAAAACCCTGGAATCTGGATTCATGTGACTACTGACATGCTTGGCTCCTGCACTTTGTCTGCTGGGTCCTGGTGGAATGAGGAGACACAGCCTCGCTGATTCTGGTCTCTGGCCTCAGCACCCCCTGCTTCCTGCTCTGTCGGTACCCCTTCTCTTCCTCTGCTTCTCTGCCTCTGCTACAATAGGATGTCTCAAGACATGTTCTGTGGGCCTCCTCATTAGAATCTCCTGGAACACTCACAAAAGAAATTCCTAGGCCCTACTCCAGACCTCTTGGATCTGAATCTCTGGGGATGAGTCTGGAAATGTTCATTTTCGACAAGTACCCCCAGGTGATTTCCCCTCAATTCTGTATTCATTCTCAACTGTTTTCCTTTCTGGGACTCACTAATGCACTCACACCAGCAGTTAAAATACGACACGCTTTAGTACCAGTTGTGAAAGTTGTGAAACACCACTCCCAAGCTCCCTGAAGCTCCCACCCCTCTGAGACTCCCGGCCCTCCCTGTTCTGTTTTGACTGGTGGGGCCCTGCTGCCAGTATTGTGAATGCTGCCTTTACTTTCCACTCCTTGACATTGCCCTTCTCTAGCTACTGTCCCTCCTTTCTCTTCCTTTTTTAAATATAAACATTGTTAAAAATCTGTCGCAGCATGCAACAGAAAACACTTTGGCTTCTGCTGAATAGGGCTTAAATACAGGGGATTGTTAGAAAGGTTGGAGAGAGAGACTCAGCGGGATAAAAGTGTACCAGTGCTGTGGTTGTCACACAGAGGCCAGGTACAACGAACGCTGTCCTTTGACACCCAGGAGGCTGGTGACCAGATTCTGGAATGCAGAATCCAGGGGCAGCAACTTCTCTAAACATTGTGCTTCCAAGGCCCTGCTTGTCTGTAGGAAGAGGGCTCCTGCCTCACTTCCTCCTTCCAGTTTCGCTGGAGTGCATCTAATGTGCATTCAGATCCCAGCTGCAAATAAATCTGGGAAATGTAGCTTTTCTGCTTTCTCTTCTTTGGTACAGGAAGGCACTCAGAACGGAGTGGGATGGATCTTATGTGTCTTATCCAGCGCAAAAGAGTTATGGGCACTTTCTGATGTCACATTCTCACTTTCTTTTTTTTTTTTTCTTTATTTTTGAGACAGAGTCTCACTCTGTTGCCCAGGCTGGAGTGCAGTGGTGCAATCTCAGCTCACTGCAACCTCCGCCTCCCGGGTTCCAGCGATTCTCCTGCCTCAGCCTCCTGAATAGCTGGAATTACAGGCACACACCACCACACTGGGCTAATTTTTGTATTTTTAGTAGAGGCGGGGTTTCACCATGTTGGTCAGGCTGTTCTCAACTTCCTGACCTCGTGATCCACTACTTGACCAGCTGTGACTTGCCATTTGCCCCCACCACATTCATGAACTTCTGTCACTAAGGTCAGCAGTACCCTTTGAGCAGCCAGATGCAGTGGACATTTTAGTGATTATCATATTGTAGCTCGCTACTGCACTTTACTCTGTTAATCGAGGCCTCCTCAAAACACTCTGCTCCCTTGACTCCTCTGACACCACAATCTTTGCATTGTTCTCATAGCTTTCTGGCCTTCCTGTTCTTACCCTCCTTCATAGGATTTTCTTTCTACCCTTAGCCTTCAGGTGAATTATGGAGCTTGGTCCTCTGTCCACGCTTGGTTTCCCTCTCACATTCTCCTTGGGCCCTCATCTGGAGCCACAGTTTTAGCCCAGCCTAAATGCCAAGATTCTCAAATATTTATGCTGAGAATAGACTTCTCTCTCATTCCTGAACTTCTGACTTAAATATGCATCTACCTGCTAGACATATAACACTTCAAAACATTTCAAATATCACATATTCAAAACTACCCGTCTCAGTTTGTGTCACCACCCAAAATTTAATAGCCCCAGTCAGCATCTTGAAAGTAGCACTTCACTCCTCTTTCTCCCTTATACTCCACTTCTGATCAATCCCCAAGTCCTGGCATTTCACCAGCAAAATATTTCTCAGATCTATTTGCCTCCACTTCATTCCTATGAACACTATCCCAGTTCAGGGTCTTGCTGCATTTCTTCTGGATTTCTTTACTAGCTTCAAACTCATCTATCTGTCTTTAGTTTTGACCCCCTCAAATTAACCCTATGCACAGTCTTTCAGGCAGTTGATCCAAACTGCAAGCCCAACACTCTACAAACTAATAACTTGAGGCACCGAACATCAGAGGCTATTCTATAATTTCCCTAGACTGCTTTCCCATCCTCCCATGCACATCTTGGGCTGCCAGGACCAGTAGAGGACAAGTTTTCAACTTTTACAGTAAAGACACAGGGATTTTGATAGGATTCAGAGGGAAGTGCAGGGTATATGCCAACCAGGAGAGCTAGGCTCACTTCCTACCTGCAAATCTGTTTTAGAGGAGGGGAAGCTGTCACAGACACTGTGAAAACATCCAGATTCTCCTTCAATAAATGACTTGTTTTCCCAGCTACTGGGACGATGTTGGCAGACAGCCTTCAGGGGTTGCTTCGGTGGCCCAGAACTACCTCACTTAAGGTCACACCCCTTCCTGGGGCATCCCACTGATGGATGCAGGGTATAAAGGCCTGGCCATCTCAACTCAAGTTGGAAAAGTCCTGAAGGAACAGTCGAGGTCTCAGAGCTTATGTGGGGTTGGCTGAGGCCATCATTATATCTGCATCGCAGCAGGACTGCTTCTTCTGTCCATTCCTGTTGCCTTCTCCTCCTTAGGAGGAGATTTCAAAGCCAATCCAGTTGCAATCCTGCAGCTTGGGAACATGCTACCACAGTTGGTACTAGGAGCAGTCTAAGAGCGCAGGTGCTGAGATGAGATTTTGGAGCCGGATCAGTCACTTTCTGGCTGGCAATGAGGGTGCCATAACCAGTGGCAGGTGGAGCACAGAGGGCCCTTGGCACAAAGTGGCAGTTCATTTGTTAAAACTTTCACTGATGGAGAATCAGGATGGTATAGCAAGTAATGCATTAGCTAGTGTGGTGTGTCATGCATTTGAAAAATATAATAGAAATAGTAACTATATAAGTACAGTGGAATTGGGTAACTGTTGCTAAGTTCAATTGGCTTCTGGAAAAAACAGATAATAAGAAGCTGAGAGGGATTAATTCCCAATTAACAGCTAAGTATGAAAGCCAGAGAGCCTCCTTGATGGTACACAAAGCAGCTTTATCTCCTGCAGTGTGAGAGGACCAGGCCTAGGACTTAATCATCAGAGTAGCCAAGCTCTCATGAAAGTTAAATTTCCAATTAAAGCCAGTCTCTTATGCCAAGGTCAGGGCTGGGACCTTGACACATGAGATGAGGACATCTGGGTTAATAATCCTGAAAATCACAAACCCCCAGACTTTCTGGAATGCCCTGAGCCTGTAAAGGGTTGGTCCACCCCTCCCTATTAGGAGCTGTACTCCCCCATTGATTGGAGGTGATGCAGACACTGCTCCCCCAGGAGGCACATTTGCTTCTTCTGTGATCTGCCACCATCTCTGTCCCAGGCACTGGGCCTATAAGTTAAGTCACAGTATAAGCCCAGCTGGAGCTGTGCTGGACCTAATAAGAGAAGAAAAGGACTACATCCTAAATGAGTTGTAACATCTGCCATCCTGTACCTGCACGTGCTGGGAGAGGAGGCATGGGATTGGATTATAAGCCTGCTTGATCCAAGAATATACAGGATTTAACACCTTGGCATGGACTCCGGGATATGGTGCAAACTCACTTCTACAATGGCTCCTAAAGGCATGACAATAGTGATGGCCTACACTAAGTTAGGCTGCAGTGTCAGAATGCACCTGGCAGAGGGTGGAAGAAGAGACATAAAAGCTCAGCAATGTCAGTGTGCTGGAGTCAGAGCACTGCAAAAGGCTAGAAATCTCACAGTATGATTGTGTCCCATGGGCAGGTTCAAAGGATACACTATTTACCAACACTGTATGGAATTAATTGTGTGAAAAAGACATCAGCATCGCCAAGAAGTCTAATGCTGGCTGTCCTCTGTGGGCAAGGGTGGATGGTAGATCTAGACAGCAAAATCCTACAGCATAGAGGCCTGGTGGCAGTGACTAACCTGCAGAAGCCAGGCAGACACAATGACCATAATGAGTAGCAAGTGTGGAGGGGAGTGGGGTTGCTAACCCACAGAGCTGTGGGTGTTTAATAGAACACAGCATTCCTAGGAATAAAATACATGGGCAGTGACAAGAATGCTACCAATCAGGACTATTGAAAGAAATCAAGGATGGAGAGTATATTCATTACCCAGGGCTGCTGTTAACAAAGTACCTCAAACTGGGTGGCTTAAAGCAACAGAAAGTTATTCTATCACAGTTCTGGAGGCTAGAAGTCCAAAATCAAAGTGTCAGCAAGGCTGGTTCTTTCCGGAAGCTCAGACGGAGAAAGTGTCTTGTGCCTCTCTCTTGGTTTCTGGTGGTTGCCAGGAGTCCTTGGCATCCTCTGGCTTGTTGGTGCATCACTCCAGTCTCCACTTCTGCTGTCACATGGCATTCTCCCAGTGTGTCTCCATCTTCACATTGCACCTCCTCTGTGTGTTCGTTCCAATTTCTCTCTTATGAGGACACCAGTCATTGGACAAGGGCCCACTGTAGTACAATATGAACTCATCGTAACTTGATTAAATTTACAAAGACCCTGTTTCCAAAAATGAAGCCACTTTCTGAAGGCCCAAATAGGCACAGATTTTGGGGAAACACTATTCAATCCAGTAAAAATGACCAGAAGGCTGAGGGAAGTTTTCCTAATAAAAAGTCACAATTCCTTTCCAATTTTGTAGACCTGAGCCAGTTTTGAGGTCTGGTGCATATTGGCTGAAGAAAAATCTCAGTTCCCTGGTAGAAGAAGCCTGCAATACCACAGCAGGTATACCCAATAACAATCCTCCTAGTCCTTTCTTAAAGGGGTCTACTGCTATGTACTTGGCTAAGTGAGCACCAGGTAACTGAGCACCCAAACATTTCAAGAATTATTGGACATAGGATGCTAATTGACACTACTACTTGGAACCTAAGCATCATCATTGCCCTCCCGTTAGACTGCAGGCATAGCAGAGTCAGGTGATAAATGAATGAATTGATTTTAAAACATGTTACAAAAGTACAGTGAGTCCTTGCCTTGGTGGGTAAATTGGGCCTGAAGACCCCTCTGGTGGTCATTTTCCTGGTACTAAATGTGTAATTGGAACATCTGCAATAAGCAGCAGGAAGTGGTGGTGGTGATGGTGGAGTAAATGTGGTATTTTCTTTCCCCAAAGGGACTTTTTTTTTTTTTTTGAGCATCAGCCCTTACAGACATATGTGTTGCCAACTGGATCACTGGAAAGAGCAGTACACAGACAACAGGACATCAAAGTCTGCCTCCCTTCTCCTATTTTTGTGAGGTCCTTGCCTTATTTGGTATTGTGAGTCCCAGGTGTGTTGAGGCCAGTACTTAGGGGTCTATGCTGATGTGACTGCCCCTGAGACTGCCTGGTAAAGCTGAGAGATGGCATTGAAAATAAACATATAATGTTTTACTGGCATTAGGAAGGAAAATTGGCTATGTTTCAGGGATATCACCACTGCAAAAGCTGAGCTGAAAGCCAGAAGATTCTATCAGACCATCCTATTGTCATGAGTCAGAGCAAGCATCAGGCATTAACCTCCAGGAACCAGCCCAGGGGTGAGCCTCAGTGGCTGTTCAGTGACTGTATTAGATGAGAGCTCTTCCTTTTCTCTCCACCTCCCATCACCCCGTTTGCTGCCATCAGCTGTTAACCAGAGGACAGATAGGAAGAAGGCGAGACTAACTAGAGATGGTGTTCAGCACTGTGCTGAAAATGGGTCATTTTTAGCTGAAAAATCATTTTATTGTACCAGCTCTATAGTTGAAATTAGTAGGATTAAGTTTTATACCATTAGCAGAAGTGAAGGCTTGAATCAAGATTACACAATATAAAATGTTTGTCCTTCTCTCCAGTTATATCAATTTATGCCCATTTGTAATGTTTGTTCATTAAATACAAGCTGCAAAAGTCAGATAGATCCCAGTAGTCCCACTAGCCAAATATAACAACACTAACAATAGCATTAAAATGTGACATATTTCTCCAAAACAATCTTGATAAAGAAAAGTAAAGCTGAAGACCTCACATTTTTTGATTTTAAAGTATATTACAAAGTTATAGTGATCAAAATAGTGTGTTACTGGCATAATGATAGACATATAGACCAATGGAACAGAATAGAAAGTCCAAAATAAACCCTCATGCATATGGTCAAATGACCTTCAACAAATATTGTTGGAAAACTGGATATCCACATGCAAAACAATGATGTTGGACTCCTACGTTATACCACATACAGAAATTAATTAAAAGTAGATTAAAGACTTAAACATAAGACCTTTAACTAGAAAACTCTTAGAAGAAAACATAAAGGAGAAGTTTTATGACATCGGATTTGGCAATGATTTCTCAAATATGACACCAAAAACACAGGCGAGAAAAGCAAAAAAGACAAATAGGATTACACCAAGTTTAAAAACTTATGCACAGCAAAGGAAACAATCAACAGAGTGAAAAGGCAACCAATGAAATGGGAGAAAACATTTGCAAACCATCTATCTGATAAGAGGTTAATACTCAAATATATAAAGGACTCCTACACTTCAATAACAAAAAACCCCAAATAATCAAATTTAAAAGCGGGCCAAGGATTTGAAGAGACATTTCTCCAAAGAGGACATACAAATGACCAAAATGTACATGAAAAGAAGCTCAACATCACCAATCATCAGGCAAATCACAATGAGCTATCACCTCACACCCCTTAGGGTGGCCACTATCACAAAAACAGAAAATAACAGCGTTGATGAGGATGTGAAGAAATTGGAACCCTTGTGCACTGTTAGTAGAAATGTAAAATGGTGCAGCCACTGTGGAAAACAGTCTGGAGGTTTTTAAACAATTAAAATTAGAATTACCATCTAATTCAGCAGTCTCACTTCTGGCTATATATCCAAAAGAATTGAAAAGAGGATCTTGATGAGATATTTGCATGCCCATGCTCATCGAGCCATTCTTCATAAAAGCCAAGAGGTGGAAGTATCTGTCCACTGACAGGTGAATGGATAAAATGTGGTATATACATATAGTGAAATAGTATTCAGCCTTTAAAAAGAAGGAAGTCCTGTCACAGACTATGACATGGGTGAAACTTGAGGATATTATGTAACATGAAACAAGCCAGTGGCAGAAAGATAGATACTGCATAATTCCACTCATATGAGATGTCTGAAACAGTAAATCTCTTAGAAACAGAAAGTGGAGTGGTGGTTGCCACGTGACTGGGGGAAAAAGGGAGTTGTTCAAAGAGTATAGAGTTTCAGTTTTATAAGAAGAAAAAAATTCTAGAGATATATTGTACAACAATGCGCATATAATTAACATTGCTGTACTATACATTTAAATGGCTAAGATGGTGGTCAGGCGTGGTGGCTCATGCCTATAGTCCCAACACTCTGGGAGGCTGAGGCAGGTGGATCACTTGAGGTCAGGAGTTCAAGACCAGCCTGCCCAACATGATAAAACCCTGTCTCTACTAAAAATACAAAATTTAGCTGGGTATGGTGGTGCACACCTGTAATCCCAGCTACTCAAGAGGCTGAGGCACGAGAATTGCTTGAACCCAGGAGGCAAAGGCAGCAAGCGGAGATCACACCACAGCACTCCAGCCTGGGAGACCCAGCAAGACCCTGTCTCAAAAAAACAAAAAAAGGCTTAGATGGGAAATCTTGTGTTATCTATTTTTTTACTACAGTAAAAAATGTAATGTATTTCCTTTTAGTGTTTTTGTTAACACAATGTCTTTTTTAAAATAACCAACAATTATATTTACTTAGACTTGTGGCTCTAGTTGCAAATACTGCCTGAGGGAGGGAAGTGCTTTTGACTGTCGATTTGTCATTCTTAGAAACGAGACTTTTGTGATCTTTAGATTGTGTTGTGGCCAGACTCCCAAAAGCAAATGATCCATTTAAGGGCTACTGAAAAATGTCTGCAACATTCTTCAAAATAACACTAATGACAACTAACAATGCTATTAGTAGCAGCCAATGTTTTCTAAGCACTTACTAGTGCCAACAACTGTCCCAAGAATGTGATGTACATTATCTTATTTAATCCTCATAACCATTCTAAGAAGTAGACACTTGTCATTCTCATTTTACTTTTGATGAAACTGAGGCTCAGAGAGGTTACCTAACTTGTCGATGTTGCACAGTTTGTAACTTGCGGAGCCTAGATTTACACACAGTTGTAAAATAAGAGATCTAGGAAGAAAGCATTATTAAATACTTTGATTTAATAGCTTAATGACAATAATCAAAATAAAATTTAAGAGGACATAGAGTGTTCCCCATTTAATAGATTTGGGAGCTCTGAGAATTTGCCTCTTTTTCCAGAATATTTCTCTCATAAAGTAATTATCATTTCATTCTCCTTCCATTGACCTCATCTACAGTTTGGGGAAATGGCTCTGGACTTTTGGAGACTTTGATGTAAGAGATTGTTAAGTTTATATTGTAAGCTATCAATAAATCTGCTCTTCATCTCTAACTTAGCAAAGAACAAAATTCAAGCTCAGGAATCATTTCCTCATGATCTTATAGTTGTCTGGGTATTGCACAGATCTCATGGGAGAAATGTGCTCAGGAAAAAGTGCCTGCTATTTGGCATGGATGGCAGAACAAAGCATGAAGGTCTTTGGATACATTATGTCATTGGCTGAGAGGGAGTAGGAACCGTTTCCTGCCCCTGGTTGCTGTAATTTTAAAATGTCTCCTTGGTACCCCTCTATCCAGCAACACACCTCTGCAGTATTAGATCCTCCTCTGGCTGCCATTCAAGTAGGGGAGGAGCCCTGAAGGCATCAAACCTTTGGGAAAGAAGGGAGATAAGAGGAAAGCCCAAGGAGAGAGGAGAATCCGTTGTTTCTGGACTTAGCTACCCTGCTCAGGAGCATGTAAGCTGCTCGATCTGGATGAATAAGAGCTTTTAGAGTTCATAATAAATGGATTGTGAATCTTTATTCCTTTCCTGTAATAACATGAGTTGCCTTAATTGGTCTTAAAACAGATAATTCAGTTTAGTCTGGCATCTCAATCCTGGCACTATGTGACACAGTACAGAAGGAAGTCACCTTTCCTCTCCCAAACTCCAACCTTTTCATGAAAGAAAAATTGCAGTAGTTCCCAGCCCCTCCCATGAGACTGAACTGCCCCCAGCCAGGAGGGTTAATGATTTTCTGAAAGGAAATTTGGTTAGAGAGTGGCAATATTTCATGGTCTTATCATGTTATACCCATTCTGTGTGGGAGCAAAGTCAAAAGGACTTCGCCTGTGTGTCTTATGGCTGTGTGGTGTAGGTTAAGTTTGGGGAATGATGAACATGAAGAAATGGATTTATGTACTTGTGGCCTGGTTTTGGGGGGCCGTGTGAAAAATGCTGTCCTTGGTTGTTTTTGTAATGGCGCTTCTCTTTGACTCAGCTTTACTTTGTGCCAATAAGAATAGCCTGGAAAGATAATTAACGACTTTGTGTTTAAGACATTTCCTTTCAAAATGACGGGGTATACCAACAGTTATGGCACTGAAATCATTAAAATCATGCAAATGCTTAAAGTGTGTAGGCCTGGGAGATTATAGTTTCATTAGAGAAAAGGCTATAAAGTTAGACCTAGGTAATTACCTTTCCCATTAATGCTAGAAAATTCTGTGCTCCACTGAGAAGTGATCGTGGTGCATCGTGCCTTCTGTGCTTTCACATTCAAACTGCAGGAGCCTTTATTTCATCAGCACAAACTGCAAGGTAGCAGCAGCAGCTTTCCAGGTGTACTTTGCAAATTGGGGTTTAAATGTGGAACACATCAAATTAAAATTCAATATTAATTATTTTGTCTTGCTAGGAGTCTGAGTGGTTTAAAGCAGCAAGGGTAATTGTCTAATTCATTGTGTGTGTCTACGGTGAACTTAATCATTATGTCAGCTTCCTAATAAAAGGTTATTAAAGAAACAAAGATCCCAATTTTACATATGGTAGGCAAGGGAGGATTCGAAGAGCCAGTCTCTAAGGTAGACTTGAGGATCTTGACAAATGATGCCCATGCTGTGATCAGATACTTAACAAGAAATCTCGTTATTAACTAGGCCTGTACAGATAATTAGCACTTGAGCTTCAAATTTTAAATCTGGCTTGAGATGTATAATTTATCAAAAGCCTTAGCTTGCTGTCAAAGTCTGATAATAAGGTAGTGTTATTGATGAATTGAGATGAAGAGCAGATTGAAGAGAAAATTAGGCCACTGGTTAGCCTGAAAGGTCTGATTTCAATATTTACAGTACTAATTTGGTATTATTTTGGTAAATGGATGTGGTCCCCAAGTGCTGCATGGTATAAAAGAGTAAACTATGCATCATTATTCTAACAGGAAAAGTATTGTTTACTGTGTACTGGATTTTGCAGCACTAGCAGTCTGGTTAATAGGCTACTTTATAAGATGAGTGTACCTGTTTTTTATCGCATGCATATATTGTAACCCATTCAGCACCTAGAGCTTTTAGTGAAAATTAGAAAATGTAGCTTCTTTACATTAAAAATGATATTACATTAGACTAATTGCTACAGAGCCTGTCTTCCCGATTTAACTCACTTCCATTTATCTCTTGGCATTGTCTTCCAAACATTCTTGCCACTGGAATTTAGATAACTACCATTTTATATATTCAAGCTACATAAAATGAGCAATCTTTTTTTAATGATCTCTGGTTGCTTTTCATTGCAAGCGATCTTGGGGGCAGGGGAAGGAATGAGATGTACAATAAACCGTCTATCTCTAGTATCTCTCAGCTTTGAAGCACATTCTGAGTACACTTATGTGACCCTTGGCAAGTTAAATCTTTTTGATGCATGTAATAAAATGTTGTTTGGGGCAATAGCTGATTTCCAAAATTATATTAGGCATAACATAAGGCTGTGGCAAATTGTCTCCCTATTTTTCCTTGCTTGAGCTCACAAATGGGATTGGGAAAGCGTTGGAGTGTTTTATTGTATATCATATCAGGTATAAATAGACAGTACACTGCACCATAATGTATCTCTATGTAGCTCATAGCAATATCTGCCTGTGAAATAATAAAGCACAGGACTGTTGGTTTCCAGAAAATTGCTCGAAAATCCCTTGTCACGTGTTATTGGCAGCAGCTTCTCCTCTCCAGTCTCCAGCTGTCCAGTGGGGTGTGCCAACTCACAGCAGGACCTGAGGACTGTTTGCATTGAACGGTGGCACAGAGCTTTATGGTGATGTTCCTTGTATATTGTGCACTTGCAGACAAGTAGGCTTTCGGAGACTCAGCAGGAGCATTCTAGTGTTTATGCTGAGGTGGTTAGCTAGTGGGCAAATTGCTATTATTCAGAAACGTGTGGCAGAGGAAAATGTATTGCATTATGTTTTCTATCAATATTATCTTAATGCTGACCAATAACAGGCCTCCGTTCAAGCTGACCCTTCTTCCTGACTTTTCTCTTATGCGTAATTAGATTGAATGGAATTTAGTGGAGACGTTTTCTTGGGAGGAGAAAGAGGCTTTTTTTGCCCTATTGCAGCTGCGTCTCCCCAATCTACCCCCCACCTCTACTCAGCAATGCCTCCCCCTCGTTCCCCCGACAACTCCTGAGATAACATTAGTTTAGCATTCTACTTTCAGACTAAAAAGATTTGGTGTTTCAGCTGTTCCAATATATGTTGACTACTGACTAATGGATATTTATTCCACTTTATTGCTTTCTATAGGCAAAATTCAAACAAAAGGAATTGGATTTTGCTAATAGCACTGAGCGGCATTGGCATTTTTTGACAGTAGTAAGGATAATCATAATCCCACACATGGAGATGAGGCTTGTAGCCTTTCAAAGCACTTTTATATATATCATCTCCCTTGATTTTCATGTATAACACAGTCAGGGGAGGAATTATAATGCCCACTCGATAGATGAGGAGAAACAAAATAAAGAAAGAGGTTATAAAATCCACTTATGGCAGAGCTTGGATCATTTTGTTCTTTGAACTTTCTGACTTTTGCCCTTTGTTCTTTCCTCTGAACAAAGTGGTTTTATTCCTTATAATACTATTTCCTTTTATCATTAAAGTTTGCAGAAATACTGCCTGTACAGGGCACTCATCCTGCACCTCTCTGAGCTGGATAAAACAGTTGTCAAGAGCCAAGAGAGTGTGGTAGAAATGTTATTAAGTCTGTTATTTGTAGGATCATTATCTCGCTCCAAGTGTGCATTCCAGAAGTGTACTTTGTTGGGCATTGCTGGATGGCCCAGGAAGTTATCACAGAATGTAGCCTCGAGCACTCTGTATTTAAAAATCATCATTCAGTTATTAACTCTAGCAGTAAAGACAGTGCATATGTTCCAAGAAAACTACCTTTAAAAAAAACCCTCCAGGGAAGGTGGTGACAGAGGCAACGATGCTGGGATTAGAATTTAGGGGTTTCCCTTCTCTGATGTCTACATCACTAGGCCCTGTAGCTTTCTGACCTTTTTAAAATTCCATCCTCTCACCCCCACCCCAGTCACACACTCAGAACTCTACACCAAAAATGCACTGCTTCTGTGCTGGTTCTATTAGGCCACATTCACTTGGGACCTTTAGAGAGAAGGAGATGAATGTGTTTCCTAAAGGGAGAGCTCAGATCTCACAGGACCACAGTCCACATTCTTTTCCCAATCATCTCCCCTCTCAGTCTTCAGCCTGAGGGATTAAGTCTGAGCTTTGCAGTTAGAAGCAGTTGCATGTAGCAGAATAAAAATATTTTCTCCATTTCAAATAAGATTAGGAAGTCAACACAAATAAATTACACATGCATGTAGGATAGGCTGGTATGGGCAGCAAAGAAATAAATGATCATCAAATAATCATAGTGTGTGAACAGGACTTTGTATTTTATGTTGAGCTCACTGGTATCAGATTTTTATGCTCTACACTCAGGACCTCTCCTATGCTTGGAGCTTCAGCTAAAGTCAAGGCAAAGATTGCATTTTGAGGAGGAGATTGTGTGTGTGTGTGTGTGTGTGTGTGTGTTTGTGTGTGTATCGGGGAGAAAGTAGGAGGAAGGCAGAAGAAATAGCAATTTAGTTTGAAAGAAATGGAGAAGAAAACAAGTATAAAAATATTACCAAAACCAGTAACAAAGGTGATCAAGAACTGACTGTGTCTGTAATTATTTTCTAGGTTTTTTTCCATTAGCATTATTTTTGTCTAATGTTATTAAATTATTTTTATATTATATGAATATGCCAATTAAGGGATATGGACATTTCAAGACTAGGCACAAAGGCATTTTTCATCTGGTAAGTGATGAGTTTTGCTTCTTTAGAACGTGTGGCCAGGGTAGAAATTCTTAGTGTTTTTAAAGCAACTATTTGAAATAGCTCATTCACGCGGCCATTAGTCTTTTCAAAATTTATTTTTAAGGTAGCTGTGGAAAATAAAGAGGAAAAACACTGGGCAACATTCAAAATAACATTCTCAGACAATCCTACCACCTGAAATGAATGATTTATGGTACATTTGGCATTCTCTACTACCTTTTACATTATACTTACAATATAAACTGTAGCTCTTTCATCTTTTAAGCTGTCAGACTAATTTCAATATGCACATTGAAAAATGTGCTGAGGTGTTTAAGAGGTAGTCAATTCTTTATTATAAATTAATTTTTCCTTTATAATTTGAAATCAGAATTTTAAACATTCAGAGGTTCTAAACCAGTAACTCTTAGTTTAAGCAAGGTACCTTTTAAGAGCCCTGAAAAACCTAGTTATGTGTTAAACTCTATCTTAGAAATCTTGAAAAGCATAGGATATTGTTTTTAAAAGTGGACATGTGGAGTATATGTTTTACTATCTAACGCTCAGAGTTTTGAACTGTGTGAATGCTTTGCCATATTTTGATCAATATGTATTTATATAACAGCAATGCTGCATGTATCCCTATTGTGTGTTGTCTACTGAAAATGAATGGCCCTAAAATTACAGGAGGTCACATACTTTTTTTTTTTGTCATTTGTGCTGCCTTCTTATTTGGTGATGTCATATACAAACACAAAGTACAGTAAATACACACACACATTTGCTTTCATAAACTGATTAATCAATGTGCAAAAATTGCTAAAGGCATCGCTTTCTGCTCTACTGGAACCCCAAGGAGCCCAGCAGACGCGGATCCAGTTCTGTTCGCTAGGATGTCGGGCTTCGAATTCACTGTCTGAGTCTCACCAATAGGGGTCTCCAGTGTACCACAGAACTATTTACACCACTCCATTATGATTATTTACAGTATGCTGTACATGAAGACAGAAGCAAAGGGGCAGAACAGATTTATATGGGCTGGGGCTGATACTGGATTTATTCAAGGAGTGAAAGGGTGACGTCACAAGTTACAAGTGATGAGGAGAAGCAAAGACACATCTAGGTTTGGTGTGAGAACACCCTTGACCTAATGGTGTGGACATGATCTGCCTGATCTGACTGTGCCCCAAAGAGAAAAAAGAATATCCAGGCAGCTACAGTGGTATTTCCTGATATTTAAATATGTGTCTTTGTTTGGATGAAACAGCTAGAGGAATGAATGATTTTTTTCTGTCCTCATTGGAATCTTTTGGGAATGGGCTGAAACTCTAAATATCAACCATGAAGCTGCTTCATGGTAGTTTTTATGAAGTTATTTATTTTTTGTGAGACTGTAGGTATTGAAACTGTCTCCCCCTGCCATCTCAGATAAAGAAGGTAAGAGCAATTACCCTCCAAAAAGAGAAATTACAATTGATCATAATTGAATATAAAGTTTAGGTCACATTTAGAAATACCAATACTGATTCACAATATATAAAGCATGTCATAACATTCTTTGTTTTTATGCATCATGGAATTCCTTTATGCCATCCATTCTAGAAAAAAATTACATTTTAAAAGCCTTGACTAACAGGACATTTCTGGAGTTTTAGGTAGATCTATTTGTGTAGAATAGGCAACAGATATTCAAAATGCCTTTCTCATCATTCATTTATTTATTCAACAAACATTTATTTAGGCCATGCTTCGTGAAGTCACTCAGTGCCTAAAGGAAAATAGCTCTCTTCAGAGAGTGCAGTCTAGTAAATGATAAATAAAAAAGAAATTCTAATAGAAAACAGATTGGGCTAAGAGTTAGCACTGAGGCAAAAACAAGGTACTGTGAAAGGAAGCCAATTAAACAACTAATTCTAAGAGAGGAGGTTGAATGTGGTCAGAAAAATGAGTTGGCTTTTGAGATGCGTTGTGAAGTTTAGGATTGTGATGAGCTATGCTGGAGAGAAGAGCATTCCATGTGTGAAGAGTTGGAGGCTGTTCATGGAATGAGAAGTTATGTACAGAAACTGTGGAAGCTTTGTAAGATGTGTTGGCTTGTTCTGCCTGAGAAAGGAGGATAGGGGAAGCTACAGAGGATGGAGACTGCGTTGGTGAAGGTGAGATAAATTTAGAGGTCAGGGTTGTGAGAGGATAGAAAGAAACCCAGGCAAATATAGAATATGTATTAATTTTTAGAAATCAAAGTCAGGAAGCTTAGGAGGATTGTCAAGATGACCCCACTGGGAGAGAGCCCATGGCTGTGTAAAGGCTTATTCAGTAAACTCCACATGACCAGCACCATTATGGTTGATTTTATTTTTCCGCATTTAGGTGTAGTTAATTTGCTCTTCTCAGGTTTAGAAACAGGACACTGATGGTAATCCATCTATGTCACCCTAACTAGCAGGATGACTTGGAGTTAGTCCCTTCTGTCTTCCCCAGATTAGTTTCTTATCCATAAGATGAGAGATTGTATTAAGCTTATAGCTGAGGTCTCCACCAGCTCTTAAGGATCTTGTGGATCAAAGTGAGGCTGAAGTCACATTTAGGCATATCCCATGGGACAAAGGAGTTCAGAAGAGGTGCATATTTTAAAAGGAAATACCACGATGGACACAAGAAATTCTATTTCATGGTTTATGTGAGACAGATAAAAGCTACCGAGCAACAAATTTGACTAAATGAATACCAAAAGGGCTGAAGGTCAGAAAACAATACTTGCAAGACATGAAAACAAGACTAAAGTATCAGAGATGAATACTGTGGAAGATTCTAAACTCCCAGGGAATAGTTGAGTAAATACAACGAAACTGCACGTGAGCAAAACTCTGATTTCATATACAACTTCCTATCAGCGAGGCTTTTGATTCAGTCAAAATTAAGTTGCTAACACAGGGAAACAAATGAGGGTAGAGTGATTAATTCTGACTTAAGGAATCACAGAAGGTTTCCAGGAAGGGATAACAGTTGATTCCTACCACTAATAATGAATTGTGATTTTATAGGTGGAGAGTGGAGGGAAGTGCACTTTGAGTTAAAGGGCCAGCATGATCCAAAGATAATCAGAACCATGGAGACCCCTTGGTACTGGCAAGTTACATTGAGAAGCAGAGGAAAGCTGCTTGGGTGGATAGATAACAAAGGAGAAGATTTTCCTAACTCAGTATTGGCTAGGCAAATAGATGCCAGCTATCCATCTGTAACATCTATGATATTCTTGGGCACTTAGATGATGAAAGACACCAGGACAGTGGGAGGAAATGACAAGCAGAATTTGAAATCTAATAACCTTTCAAGTTGTAAAAATGGCTAGTAAGAATTGGAACAATCTTTAATAGGGATATAATGTGTGTGAAGTGCATGGGAAAAGAAATCTCAAATGAAATTTAGAAAATGATTCACTATGCACATGAAACAGGAAATTATCTGACGTTATAAAGTTGAACACGAATCAATAATAAAATTATAACACTGTTCCAAGGGCCATATTCTGTGGCCCCAGAACCTACGGGTGAGAGAGGTTTGAAAGAAGACTCTTCAGCTACACCAGTCCCCAAATTCTTTAGCTTCAGATACAATATAGACACATCACTTGCCTATTTCCACTCTTTGGTAAACATTGTCATGGAAAAATACATACATAAAGCTAAGTTAGAAGTTTGTAATTTAATTTGTTTATGACAACATTGATTGTAAATACCACAGATGCTTGTAAAAAATTCAGTATAGGGCTTAGTTTGAGTTTGGGAGTGGGAAATGATGTTAAAAGAAAAAAAGAAAAAAGTACTATGTCTTTGATTTATCTATCATTTTATGCAAAGTAGAAAGATACAAATAAATGAAAGTATCAAAAATGATTAAAGGCACAGAAAATGGGTGCTCTGAAAGAATATACTCATTGTGATTACGTAACTCAGAAAATAACTGAAGGGTGTTTCAATAACACTGTATGGGAAAGTTTTTCAACAAAACTAATGGTCAATTTTTAAAATTCGATTTAACTGGAAACATCCTCAAATTGCAGACTGACCGATATTGAAGTTAGTTGAAAAGATGCAGCTTTTGTTAATAGAAATGATTGTTACATTTAGGAATTGGCCCAAGACAACACCTGGAAGTCAAACTGCCTCACTTTGAAATATTGGCTATTCTGCCTGGCAGCTATACACTTAACTTCTCTGTGTCTCTGTATTTTTATCAGTAAGAAGGAGATAAAAAACTACTTTTCATTTCAAAGGTTTTTGTGAGGATTAACTGTATTAATAAAATAAAAGGACAGAACAATTCTGGAATATAGTAAATGCTTAATAATGATTAACTCTTATTACTATGACTTGAACCTAATTGGTGCTCATTGAATATCTATTGATGGATTACCACAGCTACTTCTGCCAGCTTTTTATGTGTAAAAAAAAAATCTTTTTTTTTTTTTTTTTGGCATGGTTTAGTTAGATCCTTGCCTGAATTATATACTGCCTTGGTGTATAGTCTTTCTTTTTTAAACAGATGTGTAGTAGATATGCACAAAATACTTCTGGATGTTAAAAGGCAAAATTAAATAACAAAATATTTGACAACTCAGGGTGAAAATAGCCTCTGATTATTAATTGAAGGCACTGAAAGCATTTTGAGGGGCCGGTCTATACTTCTGATTGCCAAGCAAGCAGGGAGGTGACTGTCTCAAAGCTTCGGACGTTTTGAAGCTGGGGCCTGGCTCCGTAGTCTGTGACAATGCACAATGGTTGATGAGTTAGTTCTGGAGGCTTCTGAATTTTAATGATGCTGGAGATGATATTGTGTGTCCTTCAGCTTGTTAGAGTGACACCAGCACTCCATAAATCATAATACCTGTGTATTGTAAAATCAATAGCCAAGTGCTATCTCAGCGCTAACCCTTAATAAGTTTTTCACAGCTCTAACAGCTTAAACTTTGCCGTAATGCCATTGGACCTGTAGGTTAGGATCAGAGCATGCTTAATTTGTTTTGTAATAGAGACTTTTCACTAATGAAGGACCGATTAGTTAAGCTTTGGTTGCCACTCTGGTGATCAGTTGGCAGAACAGCCTCTGCAATTAAACTCATGTATCTCTGTCCTGAAGCAAAAAAGCAGGCTTAAACAGTCAATAAATGTTAATCCAGTCACAACCTGTCTCTGCCTTTGAAGGCTGCCCATGAGGGTTTTTTCCCCTACATCACATTTTTTTCATCTTGTTTTAAATGTGGTGGTCCCCATGGAGTCTGGATGTGGCGTGCATGACCTCCCATGGTCCTGTAATAAGATCTGGCATGCTAACAACATTGGCTACAGATCTGTCATCTATAGGTCTGTCTGTCCCTCCCCCTCCCTCATCTCCTTATCTAAGGTTGAAGAATAAATGAGCAATTGAAGCACATGGGACCTCTAGATGAAATTGGGTAAATATGTATGCAAAGTGGAGGGTGTGCTTTTGTGTTGCTAGGACATATATTATGGTCTCTCCTTCCCACTTTCACTACACACATATGTGGTCAGTATGGTAAAGGAAAGCTGTTTCCTTATTTGCTTTTATTGAGGGAATGTGGCTTGTAATCATCCCTGATGAGTGCTGGGAAGTGAGAGCTCAGTGCAGAGCTGGCAAGCAAAGTAGAACTTCAGAATCACTCCTGGTGGGGCTGGGGGTAGGGTGGTGGAGAAAAAAAAGGAAGAAGAAAAAACTGAGATATAAAACACTTCAAAACTATTTAATACTCCCCTTCCTTGTTATCTGTGTCCTTAAAATTTCAGATACTTTTCTTTTTTCTTTATTTTCTTGCTCTTTCACTTAAGGAAGAGAAGTAAAGACTGACAGCCAGACAGGAAAGTGGCTAGTTCAGACTGTGGCCCACAGACCTGTGGGTGAATGGAAGAGAGTGGTCTGAAAATTGAAATGTCTTCTGTTGGATCCAGGGTCACATGCTTCGGGAGTCTGGTGACATTTGTTTTTTTCCTTCCCATAGGAGCTTGCTTTCCATAGGGCATGCATGAGAGTTAGCTTGTGTCCCTGATGAGAAGATTTAAGCTGTGGGGAAAGGGGGTGCAAAGGAAAGTGAGTGGGTGCAAAGACTGGGAGTGAGTTGTCCAGGAGTCACTGGTCTGCAATGGCAGTGCTGAAAAATGAAGAAAATGCTCATCAAAAGAAGAAGGTTTAGAATTTAACTTGTGGTGAATCTGGGTTTTGTGAACTGTTGTTTAGTTGGCACTTAATTTAGCATACTAGTATTTTATTATAACATTTCATCATTTAATGTCAGGTAGCAAATTATTACTCAACAGAGTATTATTGACTTAATGCAATTAGGCTTTTGAAGCGTTCTGAAGCTGGAGAGCTCTTTTACATGGGTCTTCTTCCTGGAATGCAAATCTGATAGCTATGGAGCAGGCAGGAATTAACCATGTCCCTATGAACTCATTTATGTTAGAAGAACCCCCAGTAATTTCTCTGCAACTCATTGGTTTTTCAGAGAAAAAAGTTTTCAAAGCAATGCTATGGAATATACTTGCAAGTATATTAAACCTGCCTTAGTAAAGGCAGATGTTTTCAATGATCCAATTGCTTATTTAACAAATTGATATTGAGTGCCTACTGTGTGCTCCTCACCAGGGCAGGTGCAGAGGAAACAATGAAAAATGTGACATGCTTGGTCTCTGCCCTTGGTCCTGTGCTCACTCTTGAGAAATTTAATATATGCAAAGAAATACATTTAAAGTAAAAAAAACCACACACACAAATATATTGATCATGAGCACTGAAGGCAAAAAATAATTAGCATTACTCAAGTAATTTATGATCCTAATGGGCACTGAGCCATGTGCTGCAGGCCTTAAGTCATTCAGTAACAGAGTCTTTCTGAGCTCTGGTTCTATAAAAAGCACCATGTCACATACTGTTGGCAATTGTCAAGAAAATTAAAGACATTAAGCCCTTGAACCTTATACTTGTATTTTTTTTCCTCAAGAATGCAAGATGGAATATATATCTCAGAAAAACTGTAATCAGTTTGAGACATATGATATGTATACTTAGGCTTCATTTCCTCATTTTGCATTATAGATGTTTTGCTGAGCTGTTGACTGTAAGTGGAATCATTTGAAATGCGTGATTTCAAGGAACCCTGCCGTGATTTCTTTTACTAAGCAGAGGAGAACCTTTTTAACATGGATAAATTACTGTAAATGTTCTTTCCTCTAAATCTGATTTGGTAAATTGGGTGTTTCCTGAGCAGGCCTAAATGGACAAATGTGTGCATATGCATGTATAACGTACCTTAGTCAATCTGTGTAATCAGAGGCAGGAATTGTGGGTTGACCTTGCCAGGGAATTTTTAAGCAGAACTGACTGCAGCCAGTGGTCAGCGAGGGCCACTTCTTCCTAGACTTTGCATAACTCCAAACAGCCACAAGCCAAGGACAGTCATTCTGAGTAAGCAGGAATGGAGAGAAGGAAATCAATATTATCATCAGTGTTGTTTAACATTTCTTTGTTAAGCTTCACAGCCTAACAAATATTTTACAACTCGTTTGTTCCCTAGTCTGGTTAACCAAGAAAAAAATCCGGAAGGAAACGAGCTCTGTTCTCAAGCTTCTGGGAGGGAACTTACTGTTCTCTTTAACCAGTTAAAGGCCATTAAAAGCGTGTGGTTTTCCTTTAAGGCTCTTACTTAAATAGACAAAATTCAGGACATTTTTACTGGAGGTACCCCTTACTTCTTTCATTTATGTGTAGATGGCACAAATATCATCCCTGTGGCAAGGGCTGTAGCTGGATAGAAGAATGGCATATTTTGAAATGGAAAGACAGGTTGATAGCTAGGGAGATGTCTCTCCAGCCTCTTGGCCCTTACCTGCAGCTCCTTCCCACATGGGGGCAGAGATCAATGGGGCCAAGAGCAAGTCATCTGGCAGAGTAGGGACTCCCCAGGACACTCCCAGCCATTCTTCCCAGTGTATATCATATGAATGGACAAAAGGAGGTCGCAGGTGACATTGGCCTCCAAAAGTGCAAATGCAGCTTGTTCTGTAGAGAGGTATAGCTCAGTGGTAAGTTGCAAAAAAAAAAAAAAAAAAAAAAAAAAAGCATAAAATAACTCTTTCTTAAGTCAGACGCCTTGAAGTCAAACATACTGGAAGTCAGTGTACCTTAGTAAAGAGAGACCCAGTTTCAGCTTGTCTGTAAAAGGGCTCTCATGGACATTTATTTATTTATTTACTTATTTATTTTCGAGATGGAGTCTCGCTCTGTCACCCACGTTGGAGTGTAGTGGTGTGATTTCGGCTTACTGCAATCTCCGCCTTCTGGGTTCAAGCGATTCTCCTGCCTCAGACTTCAGTAGCTGGGATTACAGGCGCGTGCCACCACCCTGGCTAATTTTTGTATTTTTAGTAGAGACAGGGTTTTACCATGTTGGCCAGGCTGACAGGGACTTTTAGAGGGCCCTTTTCTGGAGTATTCAAAGTTGCATTTAATTCTCTGTTGAGTGAACCTGAGAATCTTGACAGTTTCCTTAGAAGGGGCACTTTGCATTTCTCTGGAAGAGCCTTTCTGGTTCTTCATCTTATTGGGGTTGCCATGAAAGTAGGGCATACTGGAAATCTAATGCTCAGAAATTTAGCTCCACTCTCACCATTTTCTTTAAGAATAGAAAGTTCTGCCAACTAGAAGCAAGGGTAATATAAAAGTTATTGTGGGTAGAAACTGAGGAAATGTACCAGGCAATAGTCTTATAATAAATGAACTTAAGGAAGAGAAAGTCGACTCTACAGTAAATGATAACAGAAAGAGCACAGTCTTTAGAATCTGACACACTGACTTTGAATATCTGCTTTGTCAATTAACTTTGTGACCACAGGTAAAGTTATTTAACTTCCCAGGACCTTATTTTCATGAGATTGCTCTGAATTTTTATTGAGAATACACATATTAAGCACTTAAAACACTGGCAGGCATAAGACTAATTGCTCAAGATATATTGGTTTTCCCTTCCTTTACCTTCTTTTTGGTTTTTGGCTAAATTTGAATACTCCTTCTGTTTTAATATTTTAAGATAAAATGTCTGCAAAGAAGACACAATTATAATTAGCAAGGATAAAATAAACTAAAGCTAAGGAGATAATGTTTAATTTTATTTGTACATAAGGGTATATAATAGTAAGTATATGGAAATTGTACTTTCCCCATTTCCTCTTGCCAAGATGTATAAAATGGAGTTGTCATTTATAAGCAGTAATGGACAATGTAAAACACTAGTGTCATCCTAAAGCTTTGCTTTCAGTAAGCCTTACTAGTATTTAGAATTTTACTCTACAATGTGATGGTGGTTAACGTGCTAATCATGAGAAACCATTAAAATCCCTATGATTCAACGCATCGCACACTCTATTTCCAAACCGATTTGAGCTGGGTTAAATCTGAAACAAAATGTTAAATGTGAAACAAAACTAGTGTGTGGCAAGCAATAGTTTCTTCTAAGCCCCAATAACTCAAATATTTTTCATTAAAATACACACCAACCAAAAGAGACCTAGACCTGATGCCTGGAAAATGCATTTATTTTTTCCTTTTTTATTTTTAAACAAAGCAAGGAGTTGAAAACGTCAGAAATAATGAAACCAGCATATTTTTATTACTCTGTTCTTACAAGAACTTATTTTTAATGAAATTTAGTTTAAAACAAAAAATCTTGTTCCTAGGTTGAATTTTTTTGCGTGGCACATTCCAGCCTGGGGCTATCTTTTATTGGCTAAGTTATAAATCCCAGAAAAGGGGGTTTTATAGTGGAAATGCTGACAGAACCCGCATAGTGCTACTGGGTGCCTCTCTAATTAGTCTGAAATCCTGAAAGCTGAATTCCATAATATGTGGCCTGTACTGTAGCAAGACTACAGTGTGGCCAAACCCCCAAGCTTAACTGGGCATTTCATGTGCAATCAGGGTTTCATATAGACTATGGTGGAGCCTTTTACAGTTGTAAAATGCTAGTACTTTTAAGGGAGAGAAAGCTTTATTGGTCCTCTTACTTATTTGAATGTGAAAGAGAGTTGTTTGGATATTTTTTTGATAATCTAGGAATCCCTGGCATGAGTGCCCCACTTTGCAGACAATGAGTTTCCACCTGGGCCTGGACACTCGGATTTCTAGAGATTCATTTTAGCATCCATTTAAACGGCTTCCATAAAACCAACTTTCATTTGTGCTCAAGTGCTTGATACTAATGTTGACAGAGAAACATCCCACCAGGGAACTGAAGTGAGTGAAAGACAGGACATGTAGCTTTACACACACACACACACACACACACACACACACACACACACACACACACACACACACACACAGCTTTCCTGTTTGGTTTGCCCTCTTTGTCCTGCCTCTAGCCTGACTTGCCTGGTCTAGGCCCTCACTTGCCTGGAATGATTATAGGCTCTCACACTTGCCGGGTGCAGACCTGATAGGGCCAATGTCTCTTGCAGCTGCAGAGCCCAGTCAAAAGATCACTGAGCTTCAGTGCTGGCCTAGAAATAAGCTGGGAAAGCTCTCTCCTCAGGACCTTATAAGAAAGAAGAAAAGAAAAGAAGAGAAGAGAAGGGGAAGGGGAAGGGGGGAAGGAAGGAAGGAAGGATGGAAGGAAGGAAGGAAACGAAAAGAAAAGAAAAGACAAAAATACCAGATTCAGTTTACAAACGGACCCCATGTCAGACAGGCCCACAGCTTATGAAATTGCCCTTCCCTTGCTCCACTCTGATCTTGATTTCCCTCTTATTTCCCCTTCATCTTTTTGTTGCTTGGTTTGCTTTGGCTGTGGGTTGTAAGAGGTTAGGGACACACACTGAACAACCTTTTTAAACTTCCCAATGATTGTCCAAGAGGGTCACATCCCCAAAGTAAAAAACCAGGATAACAAAATGTCAGAAAGACTAGAAGTTCCCACAAACATCCTGGACTGCAATGCTAGCACCTTTTGGCTGAAAACTCCACAGGCATAGGGTTGGTCCCACAGAAACCTGTTAGGGAATATTTTCTTGAAATTGTGGCAACCAGGTTACCTTTTTCCTGGAACTTGCCATCTCTCAGCACAATGTTTTTGGTCCAGAAATTACTGCTTAGCAATTTTCAGGGTAAGTAGTATAAAAAGACAACAGAGATCTGTGCTAGAAATGAACTCCTTATAATAATAATAATAACAGCAATAGCAAACATAGTTTCTTCCCATCTTTTTTGTCTTGCTGAAGTACACAGTGAAGTGATTAATATGTTTGTACTTAGCTAACATGAGTTCCAATATAATTTTTAAAATAAATTACATGCTAAATAAATAACTAAAAATAATGTACTGTTTATATGCATTTATAAATTGAACATTTCACAGGAGAAAAACCTTTCAGAGAAAAATCTTGAATTTGATCAGCAAAAAATGAGGTTGCCTTTTTCCCCTCCTTTTTGTTTTTTGTTTCCTTCTTCTGTGAGAGAGCTACCTTTAACATGACCCAATGATTAGTCTTACTGAGATTTAAATGAATGTAATTTGGAAAAAAACTCATCTTGGATTTCTCAAGGTCCATTTTCATTACAAATATTCTCTTAATTCTAAGACCATAGGTTAAATCATGCACTCTGCTTTGGGGTTTGGAAATACATAATCATTTGGCTCACAATTCAACAAGCTCTTCAGAAAGTAGACAATCACTTCTTCAGTGGGGTGTGGGTGTGTTGAATGTCCATATAGTGGGGAGAAAGAGAGAAAACCAAAGAACAACATCAAAATTATTTATGCAACTATATTTACCGTATTGAAAAGAAACTATTTTACGGAAGAAAGCCTTGAGTAAAAGGAGTGATGCACGATGAGTCAACTCCCTAGGATTTAGTGGATTGAACTTGCAACAATGTACCATGCAACAAAGGCCATGAAAGCTGCTGGAGCAATGGCACTCTGCGCTCCTCATTTTTTGGGAGTAAACTGCGGGTATGAACAGTTCACCCACTAAAAGCATGGACAGAAGTTGGAGAGCTGATCCTAAAGTTTGCATGAAAGATAATAAAAAATAGTCGAGGCAGATTTGAAGATGATTAAAAGGCGAAAGTTATTTTGGAATATCTTAAAGCTTTTTTATAAAGGTACAGTAATTAAGACATTTGAGTATTGGTTAAAAGGCAGAACAATAGACCAGTGAAAGAACAGAGAGCCCCAAAACAGACACTCTGCAGAGCACTGGACACTCTGCAGAGATAGCATGAGATTTCAGTGGATTCATAATTTAAAAAATATTGTTGGGCCAAGTGGGTATCTATGTAAACGTGGAGATTACTTGTCTCATACCATATGCAGAAGTACATTTCAGTTGTGTAAAAAAGAAAAATTTTTAAACTTTTAGAATTAAATTTTTTAACTTTCAGAATTTTTTATATACATTTTAATGTATGTAGAAAATGTCTATATAAAAATGGGAAGGAAAAGGATATGTTAAATAAAAGATACAAACCATATTGGAAAATATTGATGAATTAAACTAAATTAAATGCAAACTGGGAAACAAGCTGCAGACAGGGAGAAGATATTATATTTGCAATATATATAAATGATCAAAAATATTAAACTGTGTGTATGTATGTGTGTGTACACACACACACTTATTTATTAGTGCTGGTAGTATAAATCATCCAAACCCTTTGGAAAAAATCTGGCAATATCTAATATGGTTGAAGTTGAGCATACCTATAACACAGCAATTCCTAGTCTAGGTGTATATAATAAAGAGACATTTGTTCATGTGTACAAGGAGTCCTGTTTAAGGCTATTCACTGCAGTATTGAAATGGTAAAAAATTGGAAACAACATAAATGTCTGTCAAGTATGAAACAGAAATATAAATTGTAAAATCATAAAATGAAACAATACTATACAGTGGTTAAAATGAATGAATTAGATCTACATGTATTTCCATGGATACATTTCAGAAACATGTAGTTGATTAAAAAAGAAAATTTGCAAAAGCATATATACACTATATGCACTTTAAAATAATTAATAATTTTTAAAAATCACTAGACATTTCTATTTTGTTGTGGATACGTGTATATGCTGAAAAGTATAATGATAAAGTGATGAAGAATATATTACATCTTTCCGATAGTTGTTTCCTCCGAGGAACAAGCAGCAGGAATAGTTAAATCTACATAGATTTCTTTTATTTTTTTAATAAAAGATCTGAAGCAAATAAGGCAAAATGCTAACTTTTGTTAAATCTGCATAGTATTACTGTCATAGTATTTTCTGTGCTTTTTAGTATGTTTGAAATATTATTAAAAGAGAAAAAGGATCATAAATATTAGCTCTTTTAGATCTTTGCTCTCCAAAATTGTCCACATTCTAAGACCATCTGTTGGAAACAAGAAATATAAGAATTTCTATTTGTATTTTAAATCTCCTCTTAATATTTCCATTTTTGTGTGTATAATTTATAATGTATATAGGTTATTAGCATAGTAGGACACATATTATTAATAAAAAGTCTATATGTAGGTATATGAAAGTCTCCCTGATGAGAATGTGCAATACAAAGTTCTCTGAAGACAGTCTAAATCTTTAGGCAACGTCACTCATCTATATTCCCGCAATCTCAAGATAATTCCCATTTATATTTTATATAAATATATCTTTCCAACTTTTTTCTATGCAACCTCAAGATAATTGTTGTTTATATTTTATATAAAAATATCCTTCCAACTTTTTTCTATGCAAATTCATATATATACTTAAAAATTGGAGCGTATTATGCAAAATGTTTTTGACATACTTTTTTCGCTTATATATAAACAACTTTCTATCTCAGTAAGTCATTTTCTTCAATATTATTTATTCAGCTATAACTTTTTTGCTAGACTTTTTGCAATATTATTTTTAATAACATTTCTGATTATAAAAATCATAGATATTCATTGTAGAAAATATGAAAAATACAAAGAGAAACTTCTAAATGACTCATAATCCTGCTACTCAAAGAAAACCGAGATCAATATTTTGGTGTGTTTCCATTCTTGTGTGCCCATTCTTGTCCATTTATGGTATATAGACCATAATTCCAATTTTGTAAAACTGTCAAACACTAGCATATACAGTTTTGTCTTTTTTTAACTTGACGTTTTTCATAAGCATTTCTTCATGCTTTAAATGTTCTTTTAAAACTTTAATTTTAATGTTTGTACAGTTTCCATCAAATGGATTGACCATAAGCCACTTAACCAGGCCTATATTGTTGGACATTGCCGATATTTCTAGTTTATTACTATTGTAAATAACACTGTAATAAACAGTCATATTGAAATTTTGGTAAGCCTTGGTGATTATGTCCTTATGATAGACATTGGGTCAAAGGGCAAGAACCTTTTTGAGGCTCTTAATACATATTACCAAGTTGTTTTCCAGAAAGAATATGGCAGTATTTTATACTTACACATAACTGATATGGGGATATATAAAATACATCAAAAGTTTTATTTTCATATAATTTAAATGGGCATATTAATTCATGGAATGAATCTGTCCTTAAATTTGATAGAATAATCTGTGGTTATGATTTAATTTGCTTTGAAATCCACAGATAAAAGTAATTCTTAGAAAGATAAATAATAATTGATATATTAGTCATCTAACTTAAAAGTGTCCTTTTAGGGAACACTGGAAACTAAAAGAAAAAAAAGTGAATGTCTTTTTTGTGGTTAAAAAAGACCCTGGAAATACTATAAATTTACATGTAAATTATTAAGACTGCCTCAAAAAATAGAGAAAAAATATACTTGGAAGAGGAAAAGATTCAATGCTTTTCAAATAATACAGACCATAATTGGAGCTTATTTATAAAACATTTTCATTATTAAAACCAAAACATATGGTTGTTTTTCATGAGAGTTGGCAAGTGTTTTTATTGCTTTATAAAAAATTATTGAATTATGCCCTATAAATCTAATCGGCATATAGATTTTTAATGGTATATATTCTCTTTCATTAACTTAGAGCTGTTTTCCATAAATACTGAATAGTGGTTAAAGCTCAAAATGAGGGGATATAAGGTTAGAGCTAGATGTTTAAAACTTAGACAAATCCAATTTTGAAACATAATTTTAGAACATGTTCTAGGTCCTTAGGATTTGCAGGGCAGGCTTACTAAGGTAATCTCTAAAGGAATGCTTTATCCTAACTTCTACTTTGGGGTATAAATACTACCCATAGAAAAACAAAGACGGGGTTATTAAGTAGTTTTTAACTTCAGAAACCAATAAAAGTCAGAACTCTCTGCCCACAAGAATGAGTTTGTTTACTGTGTGCATACTTTTTAACACCCAGTAGCTATGAAATTTCAGATAATTTTTGTCAGTCTCCATCCATGAAGGCAGAGTTGCATGGAGATAAAGACCAAAACTGTCACAATTGCTCTTTAGAATGTGAAAACAAACCAAAGTAAAATGTATTTTGTTGAAGTTTGGAAGTCAGTTCAGTCCATTAAAATAGCTTTTGTTTGTTTATGCCACTTCCTGCCTTTCATGAATGGGTTCTGAGTACCTCCAGAGACAGCTGTCCATCAGATTTCTTTGGGAGATGACTGAGGAGGGAGTACTTACATGCTAGGAAGACGGACAATGAATAGGGAGACAGGAAGTATGATTGCTCTTCTTGGAGCTCCTTATCCCAGCTGCCATGCCCTAGAAGATCAGTGGGTGCCATGAATATTCCAGGGGTAAAATAGGGATACTGTAATTTATTGAATTTAAATCATGATGACTTTTATTGTTGGAATGGGGTAATGGGAAGAAATAGTTTTATGCAGACCCATAGATAGATCCTTAATTGTTGGATCCAAACCCAAAATACATTGAACAATAGTATAGTATGGGAATAAACTCATATTTCTCTGTGTGTGTATTTTAACAACAAACTATATTTTTGTTTCCTTAGAAATTGAAGATGAACTTATAAATAAATACATACTTATTGATGATGATGTGTCCAGCTATGTTCAAGTGAGAAAAAGAAGTATGAGCCATGGTTTCCTGCATATAAGGAATCTTTTGTTTTTGAGATAGAGTTTCACTCTTGTTGCCCAGGCTGGAGTGCAATGGCGAGATCTCGGCTCACCACAACCTCCGCCTTCCAGGTTCAAGCGATTGTCCTGCCTCAGCCTCCTGAGTAGCTGGGATTACAGACGTGTACCACCATGCCTGGCTAATTTTATGTTTTTAGTAGAGACGAGGTTTCTCCATGTTGGTCAGGCTGGTCTCGAACTCCTGACCTCAGGTGATCTGCCCATCTTGGCCTCCCAAAGTGCTGGGATTAGAGGTGTGAGCCACCGCGCCTGGCCGGAATCTTAATCTACCTGGGAACATTACAACATGGGGAAAAATGAGACCAAAAGATGATAGCCTTGTTTTGAAACTGACATTGCCATAGGAATTAACTCAGCTAATGATGTCTATGTGTTCTTAGGGTCACTGAATCTCCTTCTATTGATGATTGAGCCAACTAATTCAAATAGGTATTCAAAAGACACAGCTAACACATTCTCAACAGAGTCAACTGTGGCCTTCGTACTAGGAAAGAGTGGCAAGGCATATCGCATAATGGCACTGGAGTTACACTAGACCCAAGCTCAAGTACTTCAGTACTTTCCTTACTATATACCTTGGGTAGGTGCCTTAAACATCCTGAGCCACAGTTTTTCTGTCTGTAAAGTGGGGTATGTATTCCATAGCATTGCTGTAAGAATTTTTTTTTTAATTTTAACTTTACTTTTGTGGGTACATAGTAGATGCATACATTTATGGGGTACATGAGGTGTTTTGATACAGGCATGCAATGTATAATAATCACATCATATAAAATTAGTATCCATCTTGTCAAGCAATTATCCTTTGTGTTACATGCTGTAAGAATTAAAAGAGTTCTGCATGAGAATGCCTAGGACATAAAGAAACATCAGATTTCCTTGAGTCAAAGATGTCATCAATTGGGCAATATATCTTTGGCCAAATAACAACTTTGGAAAAAAAGAAGCATTAGATTAAATACAACCATTGAATAAAACCTGCTAATAGTATATATTTTTGTACTTTCTTATCACACTCTAAGTTTGCAACTTAGCTTTCTCCATATTGAGATTAAGTCTTCTGAATCACTTTTGGTAATCAATAGTTATGTATATTTAGCAAGGCTGTGCCATGTGGCTTTCCATAGCTGACAGTTTTGATCTTGATCTTGTTAGGACTGAAAATATAATTTTTGAGGGTTATGGAAGAGAACTAGGTTTTATCTGTATTTCCTGTTCGGTTAAACATGTGGCATTTTTCTCCTTAGCTAAAGGAAATTAAGTAGCTTTTCTTGAAATTCAAGTGGAAATTCCTGACAGACAGATATTTGCTGCTTGAGAGACGATCCCTCATGATGCATGAATCAGTCACATCAGCCTGTCTTCTAAAAATTTGCTGGATTTGGCAAGTTCTGCTGCCTCTAGTCACATTGCCAAGCACAAAACAAGCATTCTTCTATGTTCCCAATAACTTTTTATGTAAATGCTACATCATAATGTAATCTTTTTGAAGATATTTTCAAGACAGTTAAGGATACACATTTAAATAAATTTCATCTATTTGTGCTATCAATGCAAATAACTTACTTGAGATGATAATCGGATAAACAGATACTCCTAAGTAAGCCTGATGTCACATATACTCATGCGATAAACCACTTACTTAGAAGGCAACAGTTTTCTTCTGACATCAACTGTAAGACTTTCTCCACCTCCAAAACATGAAAATGTGCCTCTTAAAATGAAGGAAATGATCAGGTAGAGAAGGAGAGAGAGGGCCTCTGAGGCAGAAGAGGTGGCTTATGCAGCAGCACAGAGATGGGGATGTGGAGCCTGTTCAGTGCAGGGGAGCAGAGAGTGTTGGGAAGAAATCACAATGGATTGGAAGCTTGAACCCATCTGTTAGCTGACTAGTTGCCATTTGCATTAATTTGGATTTAATTGTTTGAGATGCCATGAAAGGCTTATAAGCAAAGAAGTGACACAGTCTGAGCTTAGCAAAGGCATTTTTGTGATATTGGGTGGAAGACAGAAATGGAGAAGGGGAGCTACGTGGATATGTTGAAGGTACAGGTGAGAGAAAATGCAAGCCTCAATTAAATGAGACATTTAGAAGGGGGAGTTCATGAGTTGGTGACCATCCGAATGGGATATTCTACTAATTAGCTATGTTGAGTCATCCAGTAATATCTCTAGAAAGAAAATATTTTAACTTCTTGGTGTGAAGCAAAGCAAACCAAAATCTAAAATTGCAATGATAGTATCTTGCTTTTTCTAGAGTACGTGTTTTCAAGGATAAATAATTTAATTTTGTCCTGGTATATTATTCCTTGCAAGTGAGCAGTATGTTTCTTGGCAAGGTCATGGTCACAAATGGGGATTCTGGGGTCAGAGAGACTCAGATGGCTTTTCCACATAGCCAAGGAACCACCAGCACAATTGTGACAGGTCTGCAGAGAGACAGTCCCTATCTTCTTCCATTCATTTAAGTTTGGCAGGGAAGCTTTAGAAAGTAGGACAGGCAACTTGGAATTAGGAAATTGGTATGTAGACCTTAGGTGGGGTATGTAAACAAATATATTTACAGATGTGAAGTTGTAGCATTTAAGGTAGTGATAAGGCATTTAGGAGTTAAAACTTTCTTTTAGCCTGTATTCTAACTGTGAGGTAGGATGCAAAAATAAGAAACACAGTGTAGTTATCTTAATAAATAGTATGCACTGTAAAAATACCCGAGTGATATGTTTGGTTCTGTGTCTCCACCAAATCTCACCATGAATTGTAATCCTCATAATCCCCATGTGTCAAGGGTGGGACCAAGTGGAGGTAATTGAATCATGGAGGTGGTTTTCCCCATGCTGTTCTTGTGATAATGAATAAGTCTCACGAGATCTGATGGTTTCATAAGCATCTGGCATTTCCCCTGCTGGCACTCATTCTGTCTCCTGCCCTCCCTGTGAAGAGGCGCCTTCCACCATGATTGCAACTTTCCTGAGGCCTCACCAGCAATGCAGAACTGTGAGTCAATTAAACCTCTTTCCTTTATAAATTATTGTCTCAGGTATTTCTTCATAGTAGTGTGAGAATGGACTAGTACAGTAAATGGGTACTGAGGTAGTGGGGCGCTGCTGTAAAGATAACTGAAAATGTGAAGTGACTTTGGAACTGAGTAACAGGCAGAGGTTGGAACAGTTTGGAGGGCTCACAAGAAGACAGGAAGATGTGGGAAAGTTTGGGACTTTCTAGACAGTTGTTGAAAGACTTTGACCAAAATGCTGATAGTGATATGTACAATGAAGACCAGGCTGAGGTGGTCTCAGATGGAGATGAGAAACTTGTTGGGAACTGGAGCAAAGGTCGTTCTTGCTATGCTTTAACGAAGAGACTGGTGGCATTTGTCCCCTGCCCTAGAGATCTGTGGAACTTTGAACTTGAGAGAGATGATTTGGGTGTCTGGCAGAAGAAATTTCTAAGTGGCATAGTGTTCAAGAGGAAGCAGAGCATAAAAGTTTGGAATATTTGCAGCCTGATGATGTGATAGAAGAGAAAAACCCATTTTCTAGGGAGAAATTCAAGCCTGCTGCAGAAATTTGCATAAGTAATGAGGAGCTGAATGTTAATCACCAAGACAATGGGGAAAATGTTTCCAGGGCATGTCAGAGACCTTTGTGGCAGCCCCTCCCATCAGAGACCCAGAGGCCTAGGAGGGAAAAATGGTTTCATGGGCCTGGCCCCGGGCCACCCCCATCCCTGATCCAACTTGCAGCCTTGGTACATGGTGCCCAACATGCCAGCTGATTCAGCTCTAGCCTTGGCTAAAAAGGGCCAAGGTACAGGTTCAGAGGGTGCAAGTCCAAGCCTAGGGGTTTCCCCATGGTGTTGACCCTGTGGGTGCACAGAAGTCAAGAACTGAGCTTTGGGAACCTCTGCCTAGATTTCAGAGGATGTATGGAAATACCTGGATGTCCAGGCAGAAGTCTGCTGCAGGGATGGAGCCCTCATGGAGAACCTCTGCTAGGGCAGTGCAGAAGGGAAATATGGGGTTGGACCCCCACACCGAGTCCCTTCTGGGGCACTGCCTAGTGGAGCTGTGAGAAGAGGGCCACCATCCTCTAGACTCCAGAATGGCAGATCCGCTGACAGCTTGCAACATGAACCTGGAAAAGCCACAGACACTCAATGCCAGTTGTGAAAACAGCAGGGAGGAGGACTGTACCCTGCAAAGCCACAGGGGTGGAGCTGCCCAAGGCCATGGGAGCCCACCTCTTGCATCAGTGTGACTTAGATGTGAGACATGGAGTCAAGGGAGATCATTTTGGAACTTTAAGGTTTAATAATGGCCCTACTGGATTTCAAACTTGCATGGGGCCTGTAGTTTGTTTTGGCTGGTTTCTCTCATTTGGAATGGATGTATTTCCCCAATGCTTGTAACTCTGTTGTATCTGGGAAGTAACAAACTTGCTTTTGATTTTACAGGTTTGTAGGTGGAAGGGACTTTCCAGTCTCAGATGAGACTTTGGACTTGGACTTTTGGGTTTATGCTGGAATAAGACTTTGGGGGACTGTTGGAAGGGCATGACTGTGTTTTAAAATATGAGGACATGAGATTTGGTAGGGTCCTGGGGTGGAATGATATGTTTTGGCTCTGTGTCCCCACTCAAATCTCACCTTGAATTGTAATCCTCATTATCCCCGCGGTTCAAGGGCAGCACCAGGTGGAGGTAATTGAATCATGGGGGCAGTTTCCCCCATGCTATTGTCATGATAATGAGTGAGTCTCACGAGATCTGATGGTTTTATAAGTGTCTGGCATTTCCCCTGCTGGCACTCATTTTGTCTCCGGCTGCCATGTGAAGAGGTACTTTCTGCCATGATTGTAAATTTCCTGAGGCCTCCCCAGCAATGCAGATCTGTGAGTCAATTAAACTTCTTTTCTTTATAAATTACTAGGACAGGTGCAGTGGCTCATGCCTGTAATCCTAGCACTTTGGGAGGCGAGGTGGGTGGATCACCTGAGGTCAGGAGTTCAAGACCAACCTGGCCAACATGGTGAAATCCCATCTCTACGAAAAACATAAAAAATTAGCCGGGCATGGTGGCAGGTGCCTGTAATCCCAGCTACTCGGGAGGCTGAGGCAGGAGAATCACTGAAATTTGAGGCGGAGTTTACAGTGAGCCAAGATCGTGCCACTGCACTCCAGCCTGGGCAACAAGAGTGAAACTCCATTTCAAAAAAAAAAAAAAAAAACAACCCAGTCTCAGATATTTCTTCATAGCAGCATGAGAACAGACTAATACACCAAGTTAGGATCCCATAGAGCACAGATGTATCCGAAGTCCTCAATATGATGTAAGCATAAAAGTGCTACCTGTGCTACTATAATCCAATTACCTGGTACAGTGTGCAGAGTGTAATCAGAGTGCCTGGCAAGAAGGAAAGGCCTTTATTGGACTTGCCTTGCTATCTTAACCCCATTTCAATGGTAGAAATGTCTCACTGTTGCGGGAAGTCAGGGACCCCAAACGGAGGGACCAGCGGAAGTTGTGGCAGAAGAATGTGGATTGTGAAGATTTCATGGACATTTATTAGTTCCCCAAATTAATACTTTTATGATTTCTTATGCCTGTCTTTAACTGCAATCTCTAAACACAAATTGTGAAGATTTCATGGACACTTATCACTTCCCCAATCAATACCCTTGTGATTTCCTATGTCTGTCTTTACTTTAATCTCTTAATACTGTCATCTCATAAGCGGAGGAAGATGTATGTCACCTAAGGACCCTGTGTTGATTGCGTTAACTGCACAAATTGTAAAGCATGTGTGTTTGAACAATATGAAATCTGGGCATCTTGAAAAAAGAACAGGATAACAGCAATGTTCAGGGAACAAGAGAGATAACTTTAAACTCTGACCGCTGGTGAGCCGGGTGGAACAGAGCCATATTTCTCTTCTTTCAAAAGCAAATGGGAGAAATATCGCTGAATTCTTTTTCTTAGCAAGGAACATCCCTGAGAAAGAGAATGCGCCCCTGAGGGTGGGCCTCTAAAATGGCCCCCTTGGGTGTGGCCATCTCCTGTGGTCGAGACTGTAGGGATGAAATAAGCCCCAGTCTCCCATAGTGCTCCCAGGCTTATTAGGACGAGGAAATTCCCACCTAATAAATTTTGGTCAGACCGGTTGCTCTCAAACCCTGTCTCCTGATAAGATGTTATCAATGACAGTGGTGCCCGAAACTTCATTAGCAATTTTAATTTCGCTCTGGTCCTGTGGTCCTGTGATCTTGCCCTGCCTCCATTTGCCTTGTGATATGCTATTACCTTGTGAAGCACGTGATCTCCGTGACCCACACCCTATTCATACACTCCCTCCCCTTTTGAAAATCACTAATAAAAACTTGCTGGTTTTATGGCTCAGGGGTCATCACGGAACCTACTAACATGTGATGTCTCCCTCAGACGCCCAGCTTTAAAATTTCTCTCTTTTGTACTCTGTCCCTTTATTTCTCAACCCAGCCGATGCTTAGGGAAAGTAGAAAACAACCAACGTGACTATCGGGGGCAGGTTCCCAGATATCTCACCTTCCAAGAAAAAGAAAGTTAGATAGAGAGAATTTGGTGCCTGCTGTATGGATATGAATTTAGTATGAGGAATCACCAATTTTGTAATCTGGGCAAAGCTCAACTGTGAATGAAGTTTTGGTAAAAAAATAAAAATATTAAAATTTGAAATGAGAAAGAGAAGAACATTAATGCAGTTGTTTTGCAAAGATGACAGTGGATTTGATCACTTACCCTGGAACCCTGGATTCCATGTCAGGAAACTTTTTAGTTCCCTTCCAAGGACAATGACTTTGGAATTAAGCTTTTTGTATATATGAGTTTACAAGTTCACCCAGAGTAGTAACAAGGACACACAAATTTGTAGCATACTTGGGTTTTTCCTGAGTTTTATACCTCAGGAAACAGCAGAGCTGTATTTTGGTGTAGTGTTGAGCTGGGAAATGTGTGTGATATTTAAGCAGATATATAAGTGTAATGAAGCATGTACATACATATCTTCTGAAATTTATTCATAACGTAAAACCATGATGAGTTCTAATTTTACCCTTTGCTAAGCCATTTGTTCTTTATTCTAAAAATATAAACCAATGACACAATCGTAAATATAGAGGCTTTGGTGGTAACACCTGAAAGAGCAATGATGAAATTATGATTTGCTATTTGAAGAGAAGACAATAAGATGAAAAACAAATAGGTTAAAGAATAAAACAAGAGACTGTAGGACATCAGACTCTCTTCAGAAATATTCAATATGTAGAGATATACATATTAAAAAGCATACAGTTCTTAAAAGCATCTGAGTAGAGAATGTTTATGAAAGTGCCCATAAACCATAAAGCACTATACAAGTATGTGATGATTTATATGATTATTATATTTTAGGATAAGAAAGAGAAAATACTTTATAACTAATGTATCACATACATGGTGTGTTCTATTCAGAAGCCATTTAGGATCTGTCATAGAGTGATCCTTCAGTGCTTTAAGGGAACTTTCAATTCTTATTGTTTTGATGGCTTATACATTTCTAATTACTACTACTTCTATCACATATCCCTGAGAAAGAGTAAGAGAAGCATAAAGTTATGACATGAAGGTGATATGAGAAACATTTTAAAGATGGAAAGGGAAAAGGAAGTAGGAATATACAGGAGAAAAACAAAATTGGGAACATAAAACTAAAATTGAAAATCATTTATCATTCAATTAATTCAATCAACATATATTTATTGAATTAAATGTCAGTTAAATGCCAAGCATTGCTCAGACTTGGGAATACAGAAATGAAAAAATCAAGGAAATTAAATGTTTATGGTTTTCTTGAGTTCCTTGAAGGAAAGTCCTTATCTGAAGGAGACAAAATGGACTATGACTGGCTTAGAGTATCTTGACTAATACCTTTTCTTGTAGAGGGGATTCTTTCAGCTTCATGCATGACCTCAAGACAGCCAGAGGTACTGTTTTCACACAAGATGTGATATGTTGGGTCACTGGTCAAATGGTTGATCATGTGTCAGTAGCAGTACTTAGGTGCAATTTTGTGGGCTTTTTTCTCCATCATGTCAAAAAATACACAGTATTGAGGAATACACAACATCATTTATTTTGAAAAATGGACACCCCTACCCCAGTCAATGAACTGAAGGAGTGGCATCAGGAGTTTCATAGTGGCTTAGTAGGGGACAAAGAGATATGACAGAAGTCATTCATTTATGGGAGCCACAGAACAAATGGGGAGTGGAAAGATGCTGTCATTAGTCTGAGGTTGTGAAACATGTTTAACACAGCCCAGCTGCACTGATAGTAACTGAGGAAAGCTTAACTAGCAATTGATCTATACATTTGGGAAAGAAGATTTTATTCAGCAAAGACATAAATAATGAAATGTTGCCAAGTTCCTGGGTAGCTGAGTTTCAGAAAAACAACTATAAGGGGCAAGGACCTCATAGCTCTGCAAAATGATTCAGAAGGAGTGTGTGTTTGCTGTGGAATGGTGGCTGGTTGGCTTCCATTAGGTCTCACAATATGGTATTCTTTGCTTTAGTGGATATACATGGCCCAGAGACTGATCTTCAGTTTTGCAAGCTTAACAACTTGATTTTTATTGGTACATCATGAGTAGATTCGCCTCTCAGGACTGAGCTCATGGTAACCAAGTTCATGTGACTGATGTGTAAAACCATAACTGCCAATTTACTCGTTTTATTGATAGTGAAATATATCTGTCTCTAAGATGAATCTATTCCAAGTCTAGAAGATACACTCAATTTTTTCCCTCTAGGCAATCAAATTGTAATCAGAAGATGAGTTGATGAGAGTTGAATCAAAATAAAGGAAATTCAACTAAACAAATGTTTAATGATGTGACATTAATGTAACTTGATGCATAAGCTAAGAATAAAAATGGACTTCCTCAAGAGTTCTGAAAACCTAAAGTGTCCCTGCCATGGATAGTGTCATCTAATTTTTGTCTTTGACATATTCCATTTTCTTTGCTTCCACTATTAACCAAACCCCTCTAATTTATAATCAGATGGTGGGACATAAACTGGATTTGGAAATTTGTATGAGAATCAGATACAGTGTTCTAGAGGAAAAACATTGAATGCCCTGGAGAACACACAAGGAACTATTATGTCTTTTGGAGTGATTGTTAGCACTCCCCAATTCCTGGAATTGTTCTGCACAGGTAGATCATATGGCAACTGGAAAATGGACTAGACAGTTATGGTCTAGAATTGACATCGACTTCATTGTTATCAATGAAAAACTCTGAATTGTGTGTCCCAAGTGATCACGCCTTCAGTCAGGAAGACATTTACGTTCAAGTTACCAAAAAATTTGAAGGCACAAACTGAGATGCGAAAAGATCACTTGAGGAGAATCTGTAATCATTGGTGAAAGGTCAGGAGCTTAGGTAGAAAAAGTATCTTCCAAAGTGATTTTTGGTGTGTTTTACTTATGCATTTTTTGAACACTTTTTATCCTCCTGTACCCCTGCCTCTGCAGTTTAGAATCTAAACACAGTGATAAACATCTAGCCTCCTCCATACTGCTCATCCTATTAACTGGGGGAAGCTGATTTGTAAAAATGGCTCTTGAAACAAGAACAATAAGATGGGAGGAGAAAGAATGCAAGGGAAAGATGCTAGACTTTCCAAAGCTTTTAGGCCAAAACACTCGAGTTCCAGGAAGAAAGTTTTCCTCTTGGAAAGTCTTCCTTCATGTGTGTTCACCCTGAAGCCCTTAAGTAGGTCTTCTAGGCACTGCAAGGACGTTAGCCAGCATATTATATCTAATGAATGCTGGCACAGCACAGCAGCAGAGGAGGAGTAGACTCCAGGAATCAGAGAGCAAGTTAAATTAGCCCAAATGCTAAGCAGGCCCTATTGCTATTATGTATATGAAGCTTTGGGCTTTGAAATTTCCCTTCCAGAAACATTTTATTGCATTATCTCCCCAACAGAGCCCAGCTTTGTTGGTTCTTGGACAACCTTTCTTCAGAAGCACAAACACGAGGGGCTGCTGTCCCGCAGAATGACATGAATTATAGCATGAATGTATATAGTCAGGCAATGATTGACTCCTATTTGATTGTATGTAACCTAATATTAATAGGAGAACTGAGAGGGGAGAAAAAAATTCTTACTAATTTATAATTAATTAATTTTTCTTTATTTCTTTGGTGCTAGCCAGGCCTTTAGAAATATTAAATTCAATTTTAACTTCTTAATAAAAACAAGATGTGGAAAATTCAAAGGAAGTTCATGAAAGCCTTGATGCAAAAGTGCCTTCCAAGGTGTACAGGAGGCCTTTGTTTCCCAAATTCTTTACTGATGTCAACAGAGCAGCTATTCTTTAAAAGCGACAAGCTTGGAATCATTTTCAACTTTGTTTTATTTAGCTTTTAATTTCAATCAGCCTGTCTCAAATTTTACTGAAACTTCATTTCTTTTATTTGGCCATTCCTGTTCACTTTCCTCTGTCCTGATTATCCCAACTTTAGAAATTACTACAAGGGTAACTGAGTTGGGCAATGGTAACTGCTTCTGGTTCCTGTACCTCTATTTTTTACCTGAATCTCAACTTCAAAATCATTTTATTACACCAATTTTCTAAAATAGCTACTTTTTTGATCTTTGACAAAATACATACACTTCTAAGTGTCTCTGCTAATTAAATATTTCACCATCTTCAAATTTAATTAGTAGGTATTCTAACCATTGCAGTCTTTGGAAGTCATCCTAAGCAACTCACCCTATAGGGAGAACTGCAAATACACTACCAAAAAGACTGGAGCATCTCCTAAAAATATTCCCATTACAAATGAAATAAAAATAAAGATACAATCTTTTAGTGTATAGAGAAACATGAGGCAGCATGGTGACATCGGTAACATGGAAAAGAGTAGTTAAGTAGAAAAGATTGATAACAAATTGTGTCCCAGATGCGATTCTCTGATTCTACATGGCTGGTATAGGCTGATAGATCTTCATCTAGAGCCTGGGACAGGGTAATGTATTTTGGTAAAGGGGTTAAAATATTTCTTGAGGACATTCAGTTCCCTTTGCTCTCATTCTGGCTATGCTATATGATTTTATGCTAAATAAAATAATAAGAGGCTCATTGTGAACCGGGAACCAATTTGCTGATTTTTAGTTGGCACTACAAAGTTGTTGACCTGGGGAAAGCACCTATTTTGTGCATGGGCCATCCCTTCTCAGGGAGCAGATGCACTCAAAGGGTTAGGGTTACAGTTAGTATGAATTGAGCACTTGCAGATGATCAACTTCAGATGAAGTAAGAAAATAGCACTTATGAAACCAAAACTGGAAATACTGATCTCAAGACAAACTCCTGGCCCAGGAAGACCACATACCTCTAAGCCTAGCAATATTTCTGGGACAACTCCTTAAGGATCTTTATGATGATTCTACGCATTTATGTTCATAAAATTGACCTGGGGGGTTTGTTAAGAATGTAGACCTTTTGGCCCAATGCCCAGGGATTCTGAGGTAGGTGGTTCACTGTCTTCATTTTGAGAAATATTGTTTGATTGATATAAATCCTTAAATGTAGCTTAAATTGTTTGGTATTTGTCTGTCTACAACTCACTCATTTCTAAGGACATAGCTTTGCATGTGAATGTATATGAACTTAGTGTAGATCAGGCATGGTACATGTGAGACAGGTACACTGCTGATCTCTCCTACTGGATCCACGACAGACACCTTGAACTTGATTCTAACACTTTTTCCCACTGAATCCAGGTGTGATCTCAGAATCCATCTCAACACCTGTTCCCAGAAGCTGCTACTCATTGATAGGCTTTGGCATGTGATCAAACCAGTTTGCCTACTTCATTCTAGATCAGTGCCTCTCAATCTTGGCTCCTGTGAGAAGGGCTTGAGGAGACATAGAGGAATCTTCAGCTCTAACCTTGTACACAGAAGGTGTGTGGCATGGTGCCTGGGACAGAGTAGGTATTTAGTATTTCTTCTCTTTCTTTCCACATTAGTTAGGAAAGATTCTCAAGACCTCCTAGTCTCTGGCCCACCACCAAATAAGTATCTTGATAAAACACAGTGAAGTCCTTCTGGTGTCCATCTGTCTATATGATTCTGGCCATCCCCAGGATGACAGAGAAGAGGGAGGGCTCATTGATCATTCATTCTCTATGTGGTAGGATCATTTCCAGGTTAGAGGGATACCTTTGTTTTTGAGGACATGTTCACCTCAGGCTTTTGACTTATATATAATTGTATATATTACATAACGCCAGAACTGGGACTTAATTAAGGTGCAAGGCTTTGGGAAAAACCCATAGTCTTAAGTTCTAGATTTTTCACCTATCATTTCCTTTGAACCCTAGGAAAGTGCCTTTGTGGGCATTTATTCTTCTTTTTAAGTTGATAATAATTTGGAACCATTAGTAGAGAGGGTGATTTTGGTTTTTGAGATGTTCTCAAAATATAGAGATTTTCTGTTGTTGGGAATGTTGGAATTTAACAAATAATTTAAAACACACACTTCTTATTATTTTAGAAAAGCTCCATAGTCTGCTTTATTTGTGCCTTAATGGGTCAAGCTATTTGCATTACTTTTAGATTTCTCGCTGATCATTTAAGTGCCTGAGAAAGTGCTGGGACACAAAAGGTAAACTTGGCAAATCTTTCATGAATTTGTTCATTGATTTCTAGAGATTTTATGTGTTATGAGCTAGAAAGTGGCTTTATACATCCAAGCAGAGTGACAGAGATTTCTTTCATGATGAGTTGTGATTAAAAGGCAATGTTCCATCCATTAATACCAAATACCTCTGTATAACAAACACACACACACAAGCTCCAACATTATTGTCATATGACAAAGTAGAAACAAAATTTCCCCAAAGAAGATCAGACAGCGGCTGTATTTCTGGTAGTTTTATTCCCTAACTACAAAAAATTTTATGTGCACAATGGCCATGATTCTACTTGGAATTAAGAATACTCTTTATTATCTTGGTTCAGCCTGATTGAATATCTGTGTTTGGTGCCAATTTTTTCCCCTAAAAACGCAAACAGGCAGGGCATGGTGGCTCACGCCTGTAATCCCAGCACTTTGGGAGGCCGAGGTGGGCAGATCACGAGGTCAGGAGATTGAGACTATCCTGGCTAACACGGTGAAACCCCATCTCTACTAAAAATACAAAAAATTAGCCGGGTGTTGTGGCACGTGCCTGTAGTCCCAGCTACTCAGGAGGCTGAGGCAGGAGAATCGCTGGAACCTGGGAGGTGGAGGTTGCAGTGAGCTGAGATCGTGCCACTGCACTCCAGCCTGGGCGACAGAGCGAGACTCCATCTCAAAACAAAAACAAAACAAAACAAAAAATCCAAACTAAAAACATCACACAAGCCAACAAAACTATTTGTTAGTGTCTCATGACTAATTCCCACTTCTAGTTTGTTCTCAGCCTCATCATAAATTTAAGAGGAACCAAAAATGAGAGAAATTAGTATGTAATTCAAAAAATGTTTTGAAATAAAATTTGATTTGTAGAATCAATGAATTATGACATTTCAGACCAGGTAGAGATGTTAGTAATTATCTATTTCAACTCCCTCATGTTGTAGTTGTGGAAACTGAGACTCACATTAAGAAACTTCTCAGACGTGGCTGGGCGCAGTGGCTCACGCCTGTAATCACAGCACTTTGGGAGGCCGAGGTGGGCAGATCACAAGGTCGTGAGATCGAGACCAGCCTGACCAACATGGTGAAACCCTGTCTCTACTAAAAATACAAAAATTAGCTGGGTGTGGTGGTACGTGCCTGTAGTCCCAGCTACTTGGGAGGCTGAGGCAGGAGAATTGCTTGAACCCAGGAAGTAGAGGCTGCAGTGAGCCGAGATCGCACCACTACACTCCGGCCTGGTGATGGAGCAAGACTCTGTCTCAAAAAAAAAAAAAAGAAAAAAAAAAAAAGAAACTTGTCAGATGCTCCATAGTTTGTTAGTGTCATGCTCTGAATCACATGGTCTTTCACCCGTATTCCCTTAACATAATTTAAAATAAGTACTTAGAATTCTTTTTTTCGCATTGTCATTGGTTACACTTCTCCACATCCTTAGGAGGCAGATGGGGAAGCCTCAGTGCCTGTCCTCAACTTAATGGATTCAAAATGGGAATTTCTTGATTTTCAGAATGTGTAAAACCACAATTAAATGAGATAACATACGCAAAGCGTCCAGGACAGCTCTTGGCAAATAGCAGATGCTCAATAAAGATTTTTTTTTTCCATTTCTCTTTCCGCCTCAGTTCCCATTCAGACATTTGACATTTAATTATTCTTTTCAGTAATTGTACTTTGAAAACAGTGTTATTGGAATGATAGATGTATCTTCCCTTTCTGTATCATATTCTTTTGAAGACCGTTTATATTAGACAAAAACAGGTAGCGGGAGGAGGATGAAGTCTGGGACTCACAAGGTTTTGAGCAAGATTCTCCGAGACCCTATGGCACAAGGGTGTTAGTTTCTCTTGTAGTTGAGAGACTGGGTTATAATTTGTGTTGAAGCTACATGGGTTTTCAGCAGCAGGTTTTGTACATAACAGGGAGTTTCTGGATCTTGTTAGCTCAGGGCAAAAAGTCATGCTTTGGAGCAGTTACCCCAGCAGGAGGAGAAAAGATGATGGTTGGTAATTACATCAGTTTTGCACTGTTGAGCAGATGTTCTTGCAGATAGATTTTGGCTGGCATTTACAGAATATCACTGGTGATTCTCATGATAGTGTCAGAGCTGCTACAAATGGAGGGAACTGCAGGTCTATAAAACATTGCAAGAAGGAGAATGAAGGAACCAGAAGTCTAGAAGTTAAAAAACAACTTTTAAAGAGGGCTCCACCAAGATTTGCTTAGAGGCAGCAGTTTTGCTGGATTGGATAATTAGATCTAATATACATCTGGTAACTTATTTTGTTATTTAACTTTGAAAATAATTTGGTCCTCCATCAGTGTTTAAAAAAAGTAGATTATTTCTTTTTAAAATAAGGAACAATTTAGAAAATTGATGAGGGAGCTAAATGTTGATTAGGACAGAAAATTAACCAGCAAGATCAACACATACAGTGGGTAATTAAAAAGAATGACTAAAAGCGATGTTGATAGGAAGTGCTATCCATTTGGCTAGAAAATTCGGTTAACTTCACATCAGACCAAAATTGGGATGGTCAGCAATGAGATACTACTGGACAACAAAGTGCCTTTTAGGAAGGGACAGTTACAACCTCTTGGCTTAAAAATCCTTCCAAATATTTCTTGTTCAGTTTTTTAAAGTCTAGATCTATGTCCTCTTCTCTATATGCTCTGGAATATGTAGGTATACTACTAGCACTAGATCTTGAAAACTTCCTTGGTTTTGTCATAAGTAACTGTAAAGTCTTCTTTATATAAGGTGATGAAATTATTATTTTTTTCATTTACTGGCAGGTAATTTTAAAAGAAAAAAGAAACTCTAATACATTCATAATTGTATTGGAATTCATAGTGTTCATTTCCCTGGCCACAGAAACACTGACTTTCAACACTGCCACCTTGCTGTCATGAACTCTTCTGTGTAAATGATTTGAGAGAGAGAGATGAAGTGGCAGCCTTCCATTTTCTAAATGAAACATGAGTATTCACCTTACCTGTCTCACTACCTTCAGGAGTGAACGTGGGAAATGCAATACTTAGAGTAGACCAGAAGGTGCAAACGTGTAGCATGGCTGGCTCCACAGCTGGTATCTAGGATAAATGGCACATAGAATAGATACTCAATAAATGTCAGTTAAGTGAGTAAACAGGTCAAGAGTAGAGGAACAGAATGCTGTGGAGAGAGAGGGCTTCCAGAAGGAATATCTCAGCATAATTTGTATCTGTTCAGGTTGTTTGACTGCCTCATGATGTGCCACAAAAGGACATGCAGGTACAAGAGAAGATGACAAGGGAACAGCAGAATCATATTTAAGGCAACGGTAACAACAATATGCAAATTAAATGTACATCTCACCCCTTGGTCTTTAATCTCTAACGCCATGTGAGAAAAGACTCTTGGAGAACGGTGACCATAAACCACCAGATTTCACTGTCCTGCATATCTTCTAGTGCTGCGTCTCTGGCCTCAGGCTTCCATGTCATCTCACCCAGGCTCTTACTCCCCACCTTTGTAAATCATAGTCTTCTCTCTTAGACTCCATGTTGAACAAAGTCGGTTTTTTGAGAGCTTTCTTTTTCCTCATGAGTGCTCAGCTGCAGCCCCTCAGTCTCCTCATTACCTGCTGGTGAATGCCCTTCCTCTCCTTGGACTTGCCGTGGTCTCACCTCCCTGCCTGGTCCTGTCCTTTTTATCTGTCATAGGCCAACTGCCATGTGACTTCCAGAAAGTCCTTGATCACTCCTGTCCACTCGAAGTTCATCCTCCTCAGAGCTCCGTGACTTTTTATAACTTTATATTGCCTCCAGCTGTTGCTTAAGTCTTTCACAGGCAACATTTGAACCCTTCAACTAGGTCTCAGGTCTGAAAAGGAGGACTTTCTCATTTTTGTCCTTTCACTTATTCACTCAACAACTACTTGAATAAGTCACTGAGTAGTGACGTCCATATCTCATGGGCTGTTCTGCACCCTTTGCTACTCAAAAGTGTGGTCTCCCATCCAGCAACATCAGCAGCACCTGGAGTTTGTCAGAAATCTAGACTCTCAGGCCCCAACCCAGACTTCCTGAATTAAAATCTGCATTTCCCAATATCCTCATGACTCCCCTGCCCACTGAAGCTGGAGCAGCAGTAATCTAGGACAGAGGTTATCGTGGAGAGAAGGAACGGGGAGTGTCTTGCTCTGGTGATCGGTGATCGTCATAGCATCGTGGGTCAGAGCCTGAGTGTGAGTTGGAACCCTGCCTCCTTCAATTACTAGTTGCCTGAGTTTGGGTAAATTATTTAACTGTCTGTGCCTGAGTTTTCCGATTTGTGAAATGAGGATAATAATTGCATCAACTTTGTAGGAATGTTGTATAGATTACATGAGTCAAATGCATGTAAAGCACTGGCCACAGTGCCTGGCACTCAGTGAACAGACAGAAAATTATTTGTGGGTGAAACAAACATTTATCAGAAAATCACAAATAAATACATTCTGTACCTACCACTGATAGACACAACTAAGCTAATGCTTCTAAAGGCATTACTAAAGGTCCACGAGGTTCTGAGGATGTTTAATGGGGAGAGTGGAGCTGAGATCTGAAGGAAGAGAGGGTAAGAAAGGTCAGGAGGTGGGAAGAGGCGGGAGGTTATTGCAACATCTGTGCCAAAGAATGCGGCCCTTGGCTTAAGGTGGCACCACAGAGGTGGGGTGAGGTGGGTGAATATGGGAGGGCCTGGTATAGCATGCCACATATAGTAGCGCTTAATAACCACTTGAATGGGCTAATCAATGGGTAAATGAAATGACATGAGGTTCTAGGAAAGTCACTTCTGAGCACTTAGTTACCTGTTACAGCATTGCTCAAAGAATCCTCTTACACAGAGACCATACACACCTGGGTGTGTGTGTGTGTACGTGCACTATTGTTTTGTAAAGCAAATATTTGGCCTCAGAATTGATTTATCATAGCAGGAGAGCCACTTTACCCATCCCTGTGGCTCTAAAGCGGGGACCCAGCACTCCTTCCTCACACTGTTTCTTGGTTTACCAACAGCTCACATGTGCCTTTTGTGAGTTAAGTTACTTTCATCTAGCTAATCATTCAGCAATATTTATTTTTCTTCTTTTCCAGTATCTCTATTTCTGCTTTTCCACAGAACAGGACCACAGGTTGTCACTGTAATGTAACTGGATTTTTTTCAATTAACAAAATATCAAAGGCATATTTTCATATATTAAATGTTCTCCAGTGCTATTTTAATGGCTATACAGAGTATCCCATTGTATAGACCAAACAAACTGTAATTCTTGGGCATTGAAGTGGCTTTTTTTTTTTTTTAGCATTTTGTTATTATAAACTATGCTGTGATGAGCAGCCTGTTAGCTAAATTTTTGTCACATCTCTAATTATTTTCTTAAAATAATTTCATAAAAGTGGAATTATGGGATCAAAGGGTGGGATAAATCTTGAATGGCAGCCTTCAAGCACAATAACAGGTGATGGGGGAGACGTTTGGAAAACGTCAGGATTTACTGGTGTCCCCCTGTAAATGCCACCTAGCCCAGGGATAATTCTAGGCAGAAACAATAGAGTGGGGGTGGGGGAGGTAAAGATTTTTTTTTCTCCCATTTCTTCCAATCTCCTTTTTTCTGCTCTTTTTTCTCTCTTCAAAAACTCACTTTATCCTTTTTTCCAAAGAACTCAGTGTTTTTCTAAGTTATAAATTTATAAAACCTATTATAGGAAAGGATTCAATAAATCCACTTATGATTAGATGTAAATGATAACTATGGCATTATTTACAATAACTTCAGGGACTAATCTTCTGTTTTGGTAAGTCAAAAGGATGAATATCCAGGTATGGGATTGAAACATCCATTGCGGACGTTGACAAAAAGAACCTTCTGAATGCCCCAACATCACACCTCACAGACAGACATTCAGCGTGGACAGAGGCAGCTCTGCACATCTCCTAGCTAGGAGGCCACCCTTCATATAGGACATGGATCTGTTTGGTATCTGTCCTTAATGACTATCTACTATGATGTTGTTGTATTCATACCACTTGTATTAGTCTGTTCTTATGCTACTATGAAGAACTGCCTGAGACTGAGTAATTTATAAACAAAAGAGGTTTAATTGATCCACAGTTCCACATGACTGAGGGGGCCTCAGGAAACTTACAATAATGGTGGAAGGCGAAGTTGAAGCAGGCACCTTCTTCCCAGGGCGGGAAAACGGAGTGAGTGCAAGCAGGGGAAATGCCAGATGCTTGTAAAACCATCAGATCTCGTGAGACTGACCATTATCACGAGAACAGCATGGGGGAAACTGCCTCCATGATTCAATTACCTCCACCTGATCCTGCCCTTGACACTTGGGGATTATGAGGATTATAATTCAAGGTGAGATTTGGGTGGGGACACAGAGCCAAACCACATCACCACCCATATAGTAAAGGGTTCTCATTTAATTCTGGTTCTTAGGAATAGCTTTGGCGCTTAGCAATTATATACTCCTGCCGATGATGACTCCTAAAATTGAGCTTTCAAGCCAGCACAGAAAGCTGTTATTATCTAGGGATAACCATTAATAGAAAAAGGCCACTTGAAGTAAATCTATATAAAATGGGGAATCAAATTTCATAGTAGATATGGAAAACTAGCTTAAAAATGAAACAAAAATTATAAAAAATGGATTTTCTCCTAAGTTTGGCCACATTTAGATCATAATTGTAACTGTGTGCCATGTCTAAAAACAAAGGATCGATGAAGGGTTGAATGTTTTTGGTATAATTTTTCTGATGACATGGTGACAACATTACTCAGCATTCTTGATGGCATGTTTGACCTTTTCAGTATAAATGTGAAGTCGGCAAGTTTACAAAAAATATTCTAGGGTTTCATTCATTTTCCCAAAGGCCTCTTTTTATTCTTTGATACTTAAATCATCGTCTTTTGAAGTGGCTATTATATCGTCAGTTCTTAGCTGGTCTAACTTGACCAAATCCTCATGTGTCAATGGTTCTGCCTCATGATTTGAACAGTGCTGGGCTAGTGTGGAGAGGGCATTTATTTTCTGAGAAGCCAGTTCATTAGTGAATTTTTTCATGTTTCCATGACTTTTCCTTGTCTGCCTATCCAATGTTATAACCTTAGAGATTCAAATAATTAATAGCTGGTTAATGAGCAACCCTTGTTCTCAATTTCTTGGTTGATATTAAGCATCAGGATATTTGTGTTAAAGAGCAAAGGGTCATTCATCCCATTCTACAGATACGTAAACTGAGGTTTTGTGGCATCAAGTTACACCTTTAAAGTGAAAAAAGTAAAATTTGGAACAATGTGGGTTCTATCTCAATTATGTACCCACCAGCAAACCTGGTTCCATTCCTCTATTTTGTGAGCAGTTCCTCATTTTGGAGTGATGTGGCCGGCAAGTGAAAATTTGACCAGTATGAAAAATAGTATCTTTGTCCTGGCCTATATCATAATAAACTGAATGACGGAAAAACAAATGTCACTTATTAGAACACTGAGGTTTACTGTTCAAGTGATTAACTAAGAATCATTTGTATGATTAAATGCTGGAAAATAATTTGCTTTCCCTATGAACCTATAGTTTAGATCTCATTACACAGAAGTGCTGCATATTAGTTGAAGCAAATTAACATTCAAACACTTTCTGGAGTGGCTGCTAATCACAGGCTGTTAATTACTGTCATTACATTAGGCTGCTGCAGAGACTACCCAAAGAATCATTCTCATGATCTTGGTATTTGAAAGTGATCTTCACCAATAAAAACACATGTCAGACATACAGAAATTGCAAATTGCTGAAATTGCTGACGGGGTTGAAAATTCTGCTGACTATAAGTACCCATCCAGTGATGGATGCATTCTTGACACAGTTTCAGTGTTTGGACTTAGGAAATAATGAGTATCAGTGTCCTGGCAAGGGAATATGCAAAGATGAAAGAGCCCTTTTGTATCCTTAATTAAGGAAAGTAGTAGCAGAACTCGTTCACAGATAAGTGACTGTACATAATAATCATGTATTTATGTAAGGGACTGCTATGCTATATTACTGTAGTGGCAATTAGATTTTCACAAAGTCATTTTAATAAAAGGCATACTTACATAATAAATAAACGAAACCGCTCATTTTCATGGCAGGCTCTCTAATTATACACTGGCTTAAAATAAAATGTTCTGCAATGCTAAGTTAAACATATAGACTCTAGCTGCCTTCTACAATGTGCCCCAAATCTTTTTTCGCCTCACAGCCTCAGTTGCCCCAGGAACTCTGACAAACAGTGAAAGAGTATTTGTGCATTTTGCTTGTTCTGTATAAGGAAGGAATCATTTGAGAATTTAGAGGTCAAGGCTTCTGGTGCCTACTGACCTAACTTCCTTTATTGCCCAGAAAGTCTGCTGCCCATCCTGTAGCTTCCAGTAATTGGGATCAGCTCAGTGCCAGAATGGTGAGAACTCAGGTGGCCAGCACATGTGTCAGCTTTTTGGGCAAACTGATTCATTAGCAGTGCTACTACGCTAAGGAGGCCCAAGCCATGAGTCTTTGAAGATCCGTTTGTAGGTCTAATTCTAGCTTCTCAGTAATTCATTAATTCATTCAACAAATATGTGTTAAACACCTTCCTTGTGGAGGACATTATACTGTGTGCTGTGGAAATGCAAAGATGAATTAGATATGAATTTTGCCTTCAAAAAACTTACAGTTTAGTATGGGGCAATCATCTTATCAATGTAAGCCTCTGGTCCCAGAAGAACTGAGTGAGAGATTTTAAATAGATCTGGGTGAAGCTCTCCCTGATCCTGTAACTGTGGAACACCTAAGGGGACTTGCCCTACTATCTCTCAGTGAGGGAACATCAGTACTAAAGGAATCCCTGTCCCTAAGTATACAGATAGGACACTGTCTCCTAAGGACAAATTAAAGACACATCCATAGCTCTTCTTTCTCCTCTCCCTCCCTCCCTCCCTCCCTCCCTCCCTCCCTCCCTCCCTTGCTTCCTTCCTTCCTTCCTTCCTTCCTTCCTTCCTTCCTTCCTTCCTTCCTTCCTTCCATACTTACTCAGTGTTTACTGTGTGCCAGTTTCTGGGTATTTAAAAAGGAACATGTCATGTATAATCCTGCACGGAATTTGTAATCTAGTGGGGGATATATTAAGGAGACAGGCACCTTCAGGATATGTGTCTTCTGGTTGGGATGTATCTAGCATGCAATGAGAGCACATGAGAAGGACTCATGGACTTGAAGGGGCAGGTTAACTGGGATTTAAAAGAAGTATAACAGTGAGCAATAGAATTTTAGGCAAGTTCCATCATGGTATGTTGGAGGAACCAAAGGTCAGTCTGAGTAGTCTGTAGAAGGCAAGGGGGTAGGATTAATGAAGACTGATACTGGAGAAGTAGGGCTTACCAATAAAAGGGAAAATTGATTTATCTCGATTATTTCCTAAGGAAAGCTACTGATGTTTTAAAACAGAAAATGGCATGATCACTTTTGTGTTTTAAATAGATCACTCTGAATTTGACTAGAGAATGAATTGGAAAGGGGCAAAACTGGGGGCAGAGAAAGCAGTTAGGATGCTATTGAAGTGGTCTAGATTGCTTGGGTGAGGTGGTAGCAGTGGGTTTGGATACCGTTGAGTAGGAAGTAGAGATAACTGGACATGGAGCTCGATTAGATATATATGTGTTTGCGTGTGTGTATGTGCATGTGTGTATGAGTGCATGTGTGTGTGGGTGGTTGTTCTGAGGGAGAAGAAGAAGTCAAGGATGACTCTCAAGTTACTGGACTGGTGGTTTTCCCATTCCTAAAGTGAGGGACACAGCAGGTTTTGGGGGCTTTGGTGCTGAGTTTGGTTTTGAATGCTGTCTGTGAAGTCTACTTTAAGGACTTTTAAGTGGAAATGTCCAGTAAATCACTGGATTTGGAAGTCTGAGGCTCAGAAGAAAGAGCCAGTGTGAGGAATAGTCTCTGCCATTGTCTTTTTTCTTCTCTTTTTCCTTTTAGTTGCTTGGTTTCACTATATTTCATCAACAGAGGCAGAGATTAAAGTCAGTGTTTTACTCAAAAGGCGTTTTTCTCCCAGCATGCATGCATACCTTTTAATTATCTTGCTTTATGTATTATTAAATATAGGAAATTGTGCTCAGATATCATGGGCTTAATTTAAACTGACAGAAGCTAAAGACATTACAAATTAAAGTTGCTATGTTTCTCTTTAATGCCTTTAAAGTTTCCATTTACTAAAAGGAAATATAAAACAGGAAGTGGTTGTGTTCTTTTCTGGAAAAAGTATTTCTAGAATTTATTTAACCTTGAGGCAAGTTCTTGATATGGTGTCAGAAGGGAATGTATAATATACTTTCATTTGACAGTAGAATCTCAGCCCATTTTGTAGGATTGAGGTGGCATTCCACTCTTTCCTTCCTCACTAACCACTGGTAATACATGTGGTAGCCACTGGACATTGCTAAGCCACCAGCCCGCTGAAGAACAAGTTTCCATGAACTCAGAGCCACAGGGAATTCTCTACTCAGGACTCTTGGACCACTCTATTGTGTGAACGGCTCCCTCAACCCCAAGCATTTTTCTAAATGGAGGTGAAGTCTGTTTGAAATGAATATTAAAATCAGCAGTATTCAACTAAATTCAGATGATGGCTGACCAAGGTCTAGGGGTTATTTGTGGGAGATAGAGCTCAGTGGTAGGGTCTGTGGAGGTTCAGGGTTCAATAACACATTGAAGGGTACCACCTCCAGGAGTGAGAGGACAAGCATTCCCTTCTCAGATTTTCAGGTATTGGGAAAAGAACTTACAGACAAGAGACTTAAAAATTTGAGAACACTCTGGAGTCCATCGGGCAGGCCTGGAGTTGTGGCTGGGGGTGACAAAAACAGGAGATTGTAATGGGAGCAGGGTGTGTGTAGAAAAGTGGGAAGATAAACATTATCTGTAGGTGGCAGGTAGCAACTGTGTTGTTGGTGGATACGGTAGACGCATATTTACACAAGTTATAACTCAGAATGAATGGCAGATTTGAGGGCCTATTTTAATATTAGGAACCTCCTTGCCTTCCTTTTGCCGTGCCTTTCTCATCATTACACAGTTCCAAAAAAGCTAGTATTTCCCAGAATCCAAGACCCAGATCTGTCGCTACCATGTGCGTTATCCTAATTAGCTTCAGAACTCGCCAACAGTGCTGCCCAGTCAAAGATAACCAAAGCAAGCAAGGCCTCATCTCAAGCATAGCAAGTTTATTTGTTAATAACAAGTGCCATGTGCCTATTTGAATGACAGGCTTCAATAGGATGTAAATATTAATATGTCTCTAGTTTATTCTAAACATTGTTGAATAATGAGGCATTTGTACTTCAGCACAATTGAAACAATGTATTAAATCAGAATTACTCTTGTTGTACTGAAATGTTACCAACACATAGAAATGATAAATACTTAAGGTGATGGGTATCCCAAAAAACCTGACTTGATCATTAAACATTCTATGGATGTAACAAATATTCACATGTACCCCATAAATATATGAAATCTCTTGTCTCAATTAAAAAAAGAATTACTTTTCGTTGCACAAAATTAGAGTAATTAGTATTTCCTTTTATATGAGTATCAATGTAGGTAAATTTACATAACTTCCCCCAAATTAGGATGCTCCAATATCCTACATGCTGGACTTTAGCTAGAATGGCATTAATTTTCATGTCTTCTCATTTCAATTTGCTGAACACTAGTCCTTTCTTTGCAAGTCTTACCTGGTTTCTCATGAGATGCTAATGTTCTGGCATCTCGTCTCCCAATTCACCTTGTCACACATGCTTGCCCAACTTGCCCTCCAGGGCACCGCTGTACTCTGGCCTGCTTGCAGACCATTGCCCCCACTCTGGTTAAGAGTTTTCTTCAGAGTTCCCAGTTCTTAGCCTGTCCTTGGGCTGTGTTCCTGCCACCTCAGCAAGGCAACACCTCTCTCTTCTTTCACTCAGGCCTAAGCATAGACAGGAACCTCCTTCCTTGACCCCCTTCCCCTTAACACACACACACACACACACACACACACACACACACACACACACACAAAATTGGGCTGAATCATGAAACAAGACTTTTCTGAAGGCTCTGGAATAATGGAAGGAAATCACAACCCTTTATAACTTGTTCCTAGATATGTCCGCTCCAAAGCCCACAGACTCTTGCTTAATCTCATAGAATTCCTGTAAAAGCTGCTTCTAAGCTCAACTACAGGGCTTCTTCCCTTCGCAGTTAGAGAGGCACTTCTCTGGCCAACAAAGGCACAATTTCCAAGCCCAGCCCATTTCTGGATGGTTCCTGAGGCAAAAGCCATATTATTGCCAACATTTAAGAGTGCTTTTGGTGTTTAGGCTCCTGTAGTGGCTAAACCATCTCTTCCTTCATACTTTAGGAAGAAACATCTTTTCTTGTCTTAGTTTAGACTGGCCGTCCTATTTTGTGTTCAAGGATTTTCCTTTTTCCAACATGATTGATAATGGAAATGATTATTCCCTAATGCTTGTAGAAAAGCTGCATAGGCAACAACTTTCTTACTTCTCACTCTTCCAAATTACAGAAAGAAAATATGGCTCCTTTTAGTTTTGCATTCTCAATATTTGGATTATCCCTTTTAAATTAATAACATGTTAAACCAGACCAGGTTAATCCACTGAGTTCACACAATAAGTTCCCATTTTACAGTCTTTTCACCAGTGAGAGTCAGAGATCAGGTCTGCAAATCCTTAAAAGTCTCCTTGGTGTTAGCTCTTAGTGTCCTATGAACAACTGATCAACCAAGAATGATATATGCCCACAAGAACCCACTAATTGAGGCCCAGGACAACCTAAATCCATATTCTTTTATCTACTAAATCTTCATTTGGCATATACTTCGCTCTAAATCCTGTGTACATAGTCTGCAGGGATGCAACTTTGTCTCCATTATAAACAATGTATATGGTATCCTACAGATTATACCTCTGATACCATACTGCCTGGAATCCATCAAGTGAAACTTAAAATATAAGCTACTATGGTCTCTGCTTCTCAGAGAACTTAATTTCCAGTTATGATATCTCTTCTCTAAGCATAGTATCCATTTTGGTGGGATTATTTTTAAATTAAAAAAATAAAATATTCCAAAAAGATGTTTTTCAACTTTTTTCTCTTTCAAAAGAGAAATGATTTGTGTCTTTTGAGATGACAGTACACCACCCCCACTCCACTTTTCCCAGCTTCTCATCCCATCAAGGTTTCAACATCCCTGGGTCAAGTTTCAGGCAGAGCAACCTGGTTCCATAGAAGAGGGATATGGTGTAGTGGAAAGAGTGTGGTCCAGGTATGGGGAGCTGCCCTACTACTACTAAGGGCATGGTCTGCCATGACTGAGGCAAAATAGTTCATGCTTCTGAACCTCAGTTTTCACATCTCTGAAATGAAGACCTGATAACTAGTTCATAGGAATGCCATGAAGATTGAATTAAATGAGGTAATGACCTTATTTTGTGCTCTATTATTTACCAGGCACTTTGTAGAGATGGAGTGGAGTTGCATTGTAAGTGCCCACTGACTAACAATTTCAGGATTTTTTTCCAAACCCAGGAAAAGATGTGTTTAATTCTGACAGAGGTGCATATATATACACATATATATATATACACACACACACACACACATATATATATACACGCATATATATATAGTATGTACTTTTTTTTTGAGGCAGAGTCTTGCTCTGTCACCCAGGCTAGAGTGCAGTGGTGAGATCTTGACTCATTGCAACCTCCATCTCCCAGATTCAGGCAATTCTTCTGCCTCAGCCTCCCGAGTAGCTGGAATTACAGGTGCGTGCCACCGCACCTGGCTAATTTTTTTGTATTTTTAGTAGAGATGGGGTTTCGCCATCTTGGCCAGGCTGGTCTCGAACTCCTGACCTCGTGATCCACCCACCTTTGCCTCCCAAAGTGCTGGGATTACAGGTGTGCTCATATTTTATGCTGAGGTTATATCCCAGAAAAATGCAAATTGTAAAGTGAAAACTTATAAAGAAGAAGTGATTCTGTTTTAGCTGATTGTAAAATGTCTAGATATATTCCCTGACCAATTCAAAATGTTTGCAGATACATTATGTAACATGCACTTAAAAATGTAAATAGCACAATTGTTTATTTATTTTTGTATTACTTTGATATCATTTCAATATTACAGAAAAGTTGGAAGAATAGTACAAAGAACATTCATAGTCAAGCAGAGGGTATACAGATGTTAACGTTTTATTAATGTTTCTATCCATTTGCTTTACCACTTCTCTCCTCTGTTCTCTCCTCCTCCCAACGTTCTTCTCTCCTCTCCCTCCCCCTTTACACTGATTGTTTTTGGAGTCATCTGATGGCAAGTTGGAGACATCATGCCTCTACCCCTAACTACTTCAGTATTTATTTCTGAAGAACGATGACAGTCCTTTAAATACCATAGTACAATTATCAAGATCTGAATATTTAACATTAACATAATACTATTATCTAATCTACAGGCTATAAGGAAATTTTGCCAATTACATCCCGTTTCCAAATTCTAATCCAGGATCATAAATTGCATTTAGTTGTCATTTCTAACCTTAGTTTATTTTAATCTGCAACAGTGCCTCAGCCTTTGTCTTTCATAGCCTTGAATTTTTGAAGTGTATAGGCCAGCTATTTTGCAGAATGTCCCTCATTGGGTTTATCTGATGTGCCCTCACGATTAGACTCAAATTATGCATAAGGATACCACAGAGAAAATATTGTCTCTTTCTTAGTGAATCATATCAAGAGTCACAAGATGCCAACTTTTCCCCATATTAATGCTGTAAACTGCAATAATTTGATTATTTGCCTGCTGGGTTTCCCCACTGTACAGTTGCTATTTTTCTCTTTGTAATTTGTACACAGTTTGTGGGGAGATACTTTCAGACTATTTAAGTAACATGCTGTCTGTCATACTTTCAATCACAAATTTTAGCATTTATAATCTTGCTAAAACCTATTATTACTTATGATAGTTGTAAATGGTGATTTTTAACTCAATTATTCTATGTTTAAAAGTTTGTATTCTTCTGTAAATATGAGATTTTCCTTCTCCCTCTTTTACTTTTAATTTATTTATTCAAATCAATGTGACATCTAGAATCTCAAATATTCTATTATTTATTATTCATTATTTTGATGCTCAAATTGTTCCAGATTTGACCATTTAGAACCCCTTAGAGCTAGCTCCTGTAATTTTTCTGACATGTCTGCATTATATTTTGAGCACTTCCTTAGTTTCTGTCCCCTGAAATATTATGGGTTTATCTTGTATTTTTTTTAATCCCAGTCATTTCTCTAAGGAACTCCAACTACTTCTAGTGTAAAATCATACTTAGTAACTAATATCTGAGCATATATAAAAATTTAAATAAATAAAATAAATAGTAAAGAATGAATGTAACTCTTCATGTAATTTTTCTTACCTAAAAACGTTTTGCTATTTGGAATAATTGTGGGGAATTATAGCAACAGCCATAAATACATGCCCCCACGATGGAGCCAGTTAGTCAGTAAACCCCATTGTGGGGAGGCTAGATGTGGATAGAGGGTGAAAATTGAACGTCTGAATATCTTACTGCTTCTCTATTGTTTGAAACAGTCAAAAAAGACAAAAAAAATCAATAATTTCTATGTGAACTCACTTTTATTCTTCCCCGACAGTGAAGTTGCTGAACTTACCAAAAGCTAAACTTAGATTAACAATAGCATAGAAAAATGTGTTCCATTGACATGAGCAACATAAAGAAGAAAATACACATAAGCAGTTGGTATGTAAGGCAAACCTCTGAATTTATTCATTTTATAGGTGAAGACATTGAGTTTCATGGAGATTATATCATATAATGAAAATGAGAGAGCTAACCTGAGAGATGAAATTTGAATTCAGATTAGCCAATTCGAAGGTCCCTTATTATGCTGCCTTGCCCAATTAGCCTTCAACATTAAATTAAGGATTACTTTCTTTATATACATTTCTAAGGGCCCTTTGGATTGGAATTGGTCCTTGGACCTTCATTCTTTTGTTTAGCTCTACAGTCTTTGGAATGATAACAAAAGCTAAGATTTCTAGAAAGTTTTCCATGTGTTTATATGTATTATCTTATGAAACCTCCAACAACACTATGAAATGACTATCATCATCATCATTATCATCATCATCATCATTATCATCATCATCATCTTTATCTCCCTTTTTTATTTATTTTATTTTATTATTATTATACTTTAAGTTTTAGGGTACATGTGCACAATGTGCAGTTTTGTTACATATGTATACATGTGCCATGTTGGTGTGCTGCACCCATTAACTCGTCATTTAGCATTAGGTATATCTCCTAATGCTATCCCTCCCCCCTCCCCCCACCCCACAACAGTCCCCAGAGTGTGATGTTCCCCTTCCTGTGTCCAAGTGTTCTCATTGTTCAATTCCCACCTATGAGTGAGAACACGCAGTGTTTGGTTTTTTGTTCTTGCGATAGTTTGCTAAGAATGATGGTTTCCAGTTTCATCCATGTCCCTACAAAGGACATGACCTCTTCATTTTTTTATGACTGCATAGTATTCCATGGTGTATATATGCCACATTTTCTTAATCCAGTCTATCATTTTTGGACATTTGGGTTGGTTCCAAGTCTTTGCTATTGTGAATAGTGCTGTAATAAACATACATGTGCATGTGTCTTTATAGCAGCATGATTTATAATCCTTTGGGTATATACCCAGTAATGGGATGGCTGGGTCAAATGGTATTTCTAGTTCTAGATCCTTGAGGAATCACCACACTGACTTCCACAATGGTTGAACTAGTTTACAGTCCCACCAACAGTGTAAAAGTGTTCCTATTTCTCCACATCCTCTCCAGCACCTGTTGTTTCCTGACTTTTTAATGATCGCCATTCTAACTGGTGTGAGATGGTATCTCATTGTGGTTTTGATTTGCATTTCTCTGATGGCCAGTGATGATGAGCATTTTTTCATGTGTTTTTTGGCTGCATAAATGTCTTCTTTTGAGAAGTGTCTGTTCATATCCTTTGCCCACTTTTTGATGGGGTTGTTTGTTTTTTTCTTGTAAATTTGTTTGAGTTCATTTTATCTCCCTTTTTATAAATGAGGGCCCTGAGGCTTGGAGCAAGTTAAACAGCTTGCCCACAGAGAAAGTTAGTTAGTGGTGGAACTCAAATTGGAGCCTGGTAGTATGGCTCTAAGCCTACATTTTCATCCACTATGTTCCACTGAAACTTATTAAAAGGTGTGTGGGTATTATCAGTGGTCCAGTGGCTCCCCAAGACATTCCAATTGGCTATTTCTAGGCTTTCCTGTGACAACATGCTTCTATTGCTGAATTGAACCATTTTTTCTTCATGTATAGTCAACTCTCAACTAGCCAGGTAAATTGAAGAAGCAGCAGCAAGGTAGCTTACAAATCATGGATACTGATTTGGCATGTATAATCTTTTTCTTAGTATATACCACCTCTTAAATCTGTCCCTGACAATAATATTCACTTTTATTGAGGGGAAATAACTTATAAAGTTGTTGGCTGGAAGGGACATAGCAAATTAGTATTAAGATGTTGTAGATAGACTTCCAAGTAGGAAGTGCATTTATAGACAATCCAGAGTGTACCACATTTAAGAAATTTAACAAAGACCATGTCCTCTGATCATGTCCTGCAGGACTTGGGAGATAGGCTAACACTGTAGTTATAAACGTGGGCTCTGGAGTTAGACCGCTCATGTCTGAATCCTGGCTTTGCCAATTTCTTGTTGGGTGGCCTTAAGCAAGTTACTTAATCTTTCCTTGCCTCTGTCTCCTTGACATATTTTTCTCTCCCCTGACCCAGCAGGTCAGGATAGGGGTTTGAATAAGAATCCAGGTAAGAAAAGATTAGAGTGTGTGGTATCAAAAAGTTATCTAGGAGTTTATGATACTCCCAGCTGTGTCCACCTTCTTCCCACCACCCTATACCTGGATACAAAACTACTAATCTAAAAAATTCCTTGGAAAAACAGTGTATTAGTTATAATGCTAGCTGATGTAATCAACACATCTGATAATGTATAATAGTTTAAATATGATATATGCCTACTTTTTGTCCCTGTACAGCCCAAATGAGTGTTTCTAATTGGGAGTGATTCCAGAACCCAGGCTCCTTCTGTATTGTGGCTTCACGAACTTGACTTCCAAGTTCACAGTGCTTGTCTGCACCAAGCTGGTAGAAGGGAAAAGAACATGGAGGATGCATCTGAGAGGTTTTTATGAGCTAGGCTTAGAAGTGGCTTGCACTACTTCTACTCACATCCTATGGGCTGGAGCTGAGCCACAGGACCATACTTAAGTGCAAATAAGATTGAGAATGTAGTCTACCTGTGTGCCCAGGAAGAGGAGAAAGTGGGTTTAGCGAAGAGTTAGCTAGTCTCTGCTTCTCTGCTATAAGCAACACTAACAAAATTAAGGAAAAAAGTTTAGAGAAAACAAAACAGAACAAAAAACCAATAAGCAGAGCTTCGGACTTGCACTTTGTATTTGCTTTTTTCTTTTTCGACTCTAGAAAAATGAGAAAGGTTGTATTGTTTTTACAAAGTCAATAACACAGTTTTTTGCCTCTTCTGATTGAAGCCCTTCAGGTTGCACTTGCTGATTAGTCAGGCCTGATTTGACTCTTCAATTACTGAAATGAAATTTTACTATGGACATTTTCATCAAGCAAATGTGACATTGTGTAAACTCTGCAAAAAGTTGATCTAATACTTTCAATGGTATAGATAGTATAGATCAGCACATTAACGTAATATTACCATTACCCAGAGTGTGCAGAGGCCATTGTGAAACTGCTACTGCACAAACAGCCCATTGAGAAAAGTTAAATTTTGTATACTCCAGTGAGCATAAAATACATGGTTGCATTTGACTCTAATATGTGTTAATTATGAAAATCAGCTTCAAGCAAAGAAAACCATAATAATTAAAAACCATCTTTTCATCTTGAAAAAGCCTCTCTCCCCAAAGTACTTATGCACTCTAATGAAACAAATAAATATAGTTATGGCAAAACATAAATAATAACCTTACTAAAGTAGTATATACATGTTCCATAATATGTAATTATGTTGCACTTAAATAGCAACAAACATAAGAACAAATCCATTTAGTGAAGAGCAACAAAATAGATAGTAGATTATGAATGTTGCTACTTCTTTAATGTTTCTTTCTACATTATGGTATATGTAAGTTATTAAAAAGTACCACTCTGGCAAGATTCTCGTCCTATCTTATGCATACAGAATTTTCAACAGCTGAGATTCTGGTCCCAAGGCATAAAATAGGATTTATTTAATATGCTAATTCCAGCCAATCGTAGTGGCTGCTTGGAACAATACATGGAGAACTGCGTGGCTCTGTCCCAACTCACCAGGGAGACAGTGCCATGATCAATTACTGATGTCTGCCTAGGCATAGGAATAGGAGCAGTAGCATTCTTGTCAAATGTTTTCCAAGGATGGTTACATATTCATTAAATAGACTAGACATAAAAGGAAAAATAATATAAGCAAAGGTCAATTTGGGCCCTTGCATTGGGACTAAAGTTTTTCCACCTAATTTTAGGAACCAACAGGGTAAAGCAGACAAAACCTAGAACAAAAAGCAACAAGTGGTGGACAAAATTACTTCAGCTGCTTTAAAAAACATTGTTCTTTTTCTTCTAGTTTTGTGCCTTCACATTGTAGTGAGTCACCATAATGTAGCAATTTTTAACAACTTCGAATTGCATATTTTACATTGTTGGTTTCTGTAAATATATGCAAAAACAACCTTATGTATACTACTCAATATCAAGGAGAAAGTAGACATTCAAATATTCGTTTGTTTAAAGTGTTGAGAAACTAAAAGGAATTAATATATAAGAAACCTAAAATAAACTTGTAATTCAGAGAAAATGTTTTAAAAGTGCACGTTTTTGCTCTCACTGCCTTTAGAATCCAAGTTTCTCTTTCACTTCCTTTAGAATCCAGGCATTTCTGGGGCACAGCCAGAGGTGGTTTGAGTGCTTCAGGGATTCAGAGCAGACTTGCACCAATAACTCTGTCCGGCAGGGGGTTCACTCTCCCCTCATCATTGAGAAGCAAGACTACATGTGTTTGCTTTTTATTATTGCTTGTTGTGTTTATTTGTTTGTTGTTTGGGAGCACTTTGGATTTAATCCTAAATGACTCACATCTTGAACCCCTCACCTTCCAGCCTCCTTCCTTTAATGAATCACCTTTGCCTTGAAGTAAGCTCTTTGCTACAAGCATTTTGACAAATGGCATTTATTCAGACAGTCTCATTTCTAATATATCTGCACATTCGCTAGGCCTAAGACTTGCCTTCCTAAAACAGGTTTCCTTGGCCTGTAGCCCTGTGTATTCACTCTACTACTGATCTCCTATTGCCTTAAAACTAAAGCTGTAGAAAGTTAATTTTCTTTAACTTTCTTAGTATTTTCATGTTCACCATGCTAACATATCCCAAACTTTATTTCTTTTTGATATATTTTTATTTTCATTTTTAGTTTTTTAGAGATGGGCTGGAATGCAGTGGTATGATCGTAGTTTCCTGTAGCTTCAAACTCCTGGATTCAAACAATCATCCCACCTCAGCCTCAAGTAGCTGGGAATACAAGCACACATCACCACATCCAGCTAGTTTTTTTTTTTTTTGTAGAGACAGGATCTCACCCTGTTGCCTATACTGGTCTCGAACTTTCAGGCTCATGTAAACCTCCTGCATTGGCCTTCCAAAGCACTGGGATTACAGGTGTGAGCTACTATGCCCAGCCCCAGCTTTATTTCTAAAAGGAGAAAGTACTTCTTCTTTCCCTCTCAGTTGAACCTACATTTCAAGTGATGTTTAAACAAATTAGAACTTTGGAAAACAGACGCACAATAGTTTCTATACGACCTACTGAAAAGGGGAGATTTTATTGTCACATATTCCTAAATTCTGCTATTGTTTTTTAAAATTATTTTTAATTTTTGTGGATACATGATAGTTGTACATATTTCTGAGGCACATATGATCTTTTGATAAAAGCAAACAATGGGTAATGATCAAATCAGGGTAACTGGGGTATCCATAACCTCAAACATTGATCATTTCTTTGTGTTGGGAACATTCCAAATCTACTTCTATTACTTCAAAATATGCAGTAAATTATTGTTAACTGTAGTCACTCTATTGTGATATCAAACACTGGCTGTTTTTCCTTCTATCCAACTGTATTTTTGTGCCCATGAACCAACCCTTCTTTATCCCTCCCTTCCCACTGCCCTTCCCAGCTTCTGGTAGCCACCATCCTATTCATTACCTCCATGAGATCAAGTTTTGTAACTCCCACATGTGAGTAAGAAGATGTGGTATTTGTCTTTCTGTGCCTGGTTTACTTCACTTAATAGAATGTCCTCCAGTTCCAGCCATGCTGTTGCAAATGATAGGATTTCATGCTTTTTGTGGTGGAATAATATTCCATTGTGTATATACACCTTATTCTTATAGCTTCAGAGTGATCTACAGAGCTCAGGTTCTGAGTTTTCTCAATCTTGCATAGCAGCTGAGATATTCTTTTTCTGTTTTGGAGGAGAAAGCCTGTGCTAGATTCCCTTTATTCAGCCTTAAGGAGTGGTTTAAATGAGTTTTCAAGTTTATCTTCTTCACATGGACAAATACAAGTGATGGTACCATGAGGAAAGTTTATTGATGATAATTATTAAAATAATTGGAAGTTTTTTAAAGTTCTGTGAAACTTAAACCTCTTTCATCACCAAAATATCAGCCCTCTCCCCACAGCATGACTACAATTGTCTCTTTTTTTCTGCTGTTGACAGTCACTCAAAGACCAAAAGATAACTAAGAATTCTCAAACCCCTACTAGAAATTTAAGAGCCTAAACCCAGCTAACTTGGAGGAAACAGGACTTATAAGAGATCAGCATAGGAGGGCCATTGCCAGCACGTTGGTCAAACCCTGGGCAGGAATTTCTCCTTGAATGTCCTGATTTGATTCTACTATATAGAGAGAATAAAATATATATTATTAATTTCAATTCACTGCTGAATAAAGCTCCAATTGCCTTTCCATATCAAACCTTCTTTTGAATAATTGATTTTATTTAACTGCTGATTATTTTCCAGTTTGTTTTTTATTGATAATTCAATTTGTTACAGGAGTAGGGACTTCTGCAGGGCAGGAGGTAGAACCATCTGTAGAAGTGCTAAAGAGAGACCAATTGAAGAGCCAAGGATGAGGCAGACACCAACCAGCAAATGGTCAGCAGTGAAACAGACGGGAGGCCTTTATCATCTCCAGGCAGTTTCCAAACATACAAATCAATAACAATTAAAGCAGATTATGAAAAGGCAATACTGAATACTTAAATCTTTGGACTTGATTTAAACTGGGCTAAATGCTTGCATGTGGAAATTTACTTCATGGAGAGGATTCAAAGCTTTCCAGAAAGGATAATTCAGGGCTGCAGACAGGGTAAGGCTTAGAAGCATAGGTAATACTTTCTCATAAACAAAAGCTGTATATATGCACATACATATAGATACATGTGTATGTGCATATTTCTGGCATATGAGAATTGAGATATATATATATATACACACACACACATAATATATGTATGTGATATAATATGTATGCTATATGTCACATATATGATATGATGCATATGAGGATTGATACACACACACACACCCCCACACAGACACATACAGTTGTCCCTAGGTATCTATGGAGAATTAGTTTCCAGATTTCCTGCAGATACCAAAATCCGTGGATGTTCAAGTCCCTGATATAAAATGGTGTAATATTTGCATATAACCTGCATACATCCTCCCTCATACTTTAAATCATCTCTAGGTTACTTATAATACAATGTAAATGCTATGTAAATGGTTATACTGTATTGTTTAGGGAATAATTACAAAAAAAAAGTCTGTACATGTTTAGTACAGATGCAATGTATTTTTTTCAAATATTTTTGATCTGCAGTTGGTTGAATCCACCAATGCAGAACCCACGGATATGGAGAGCCAACTGTATATATGTGCCAGAAATCTCCATAACAAGATGATCTCTGTACTGTTTTTCAGGGTACATCTCTGTAACAAGATGAACTCTTACCGTTTTTCGGGTATGCCCTTTCCTGTCCACCCATATGTGATGGTGATTGCTAGGCCCTTGGAGAATGTTGGAGCTGGAACTCAAAACAAATTGCAGGCCTCACAGAAAGTCTCAGGGAAACTGAAAAACAAAGCGAAACGGAGGTGAATTACTTATCTGGCATGATGTCCTACGAGAGGGTCTGAGCAGTATAATAAAGATGCACGCTATCCTAAAATACCTTGGCACATCGCCAGGGCCCTCTCCCAAAGATTATACACATTCAATTTCCTGATATTACGTAACCTCCAGATCCATCCAAGGTAGCCAAGGTAGAAGAAAACAAAGGGCCTGCTAAATCAGTACCTGGGTTGATGGAGTTTGGAATGCTAAGTGGCAGGAACTGCTTATCAAGAGAAGCCAAGAGATTAGAGAAGACTAAGGCAGTTAAAAAGGTGAAAGGTTCACCAAATTTCATTTAGTCATTCTGCTTGTCAGAAACAGGAACTCCCAAGGCCAGAGGCAAGAGGGGCAAAATGATTGTGCACATCTGGGAGACGCAGATTGTCTCCAAATAGCTCTGGGCCCAGGAGTCAAGCCAAGGTGGTGGAGGGGAGACTGAGAAGGGAAAGCCTTCACTCCACAATGTTGACACACACAGGGCTCGCCCAAGGCAACTTGGTCTTTTCTCTTTCCCATTCACCTGCCTCCACCCCCGCCTTCCTCGACTCATCATCCCTACCTCTGCTGCCTCTGCCCTACTTCGAGCCTCCATCATTTTGCTGCACTATGGCCCAATTTTACCCCTTACTTCGAGTTTTATGTCCTCCTTATTTTATCCCACATACTGCTGATCTCATGGTCCGTCTGCAAAGTTCCCCCAGGCAGAGGTAGTCTCTTCTGCCCCTGTGAATCTGTGGCTCCCAGTGCTTGTTGATCTCAGCACCCTTATGATACTGCACCATCATTATTTATGTACACACCTACTGTGCCCACCCACCGGTGAGCTCCAGAAGGCCAGAGGTCACCTTGTATTCAGCTCTGCATCCCCAACACTGCATGCACTCATCACTGGGTTCAAAGCAGCTGTGCCATCCTCCTGTAATCATTCCCATTTTGGAAAATGGCAATGTCATCCCTCCAGTTACTTAGGCCAAGAACCCAAGAGTCATTCTAGATTACTTTTTTTTCTCCCAAGGTCCTTTAGGCTTTGCGACAGAATTCAAGATCATCTAGATCAGCATCATCTAAACCAGTGGTTCTCAACCCTGGCTGCAGATTAGAAACACTTCAGAAATTAAATTTAAAAAAATTAAAAATACTGATGCTCTGACCCACACCAGATCAATTAAATCTGAGGGGTGAGGTGCAAACATGGGTAATTAAAAATGAAACAAATAAAAACCCGCAAAAATGACTTTAAAAGATTCCAGTGTGCAGCCAGAGTTGAGGAACCTGAACTCTGGTGCTTTACTGGGAATGTGATTGTCCCCAGCTTTACCTATGTCTAGATACTGTGCCCCTTCTTGCCCATGTCCCACCTGACCTGCTGTCAGTTGCATCTTCTGTGCTCTTCCATCCAGTACCTGTGCCCATCCTCATCTGCTGCTGTTTTTAGGTATAGTTACCGAGTGCTTATTATGAACAAGGTACAATGCAAATCACTGCATCTCAAGTCTCCTCAGGAATCCTATAGGGAGGAACTACTATCATACCCATTAATCAGGTAAGGAAACTGAAGGTTAGAGAAGTGATAGACCCACGATTAAAAAGCTAGGCATGTAGCCTACCTGGGATTTGAACTCAGGTTTTTTCTTTCTTGCAGTGTCACTTCTTAGCTACTGTGCTAACCCAGTCTGACTCATTTGGGGCTTCTAATTTCCATTCCTAGTAACCTGTCCTTTCCAGATGGTTTGTTTTCTTTATTTGATTAGCTCCCCAACTATTGCTGCCGACTCCCAATGACTCCTTTAATGCACTTCTGAGTATGCATCAAAATAATCCAGGTGAAACCCCGTCTCTACTAAAAATACAAAAAATTAGCCGGGCATGGTGGCGGGCGCCTGTAGTCCCAGCTACTTGGGAGGCTGAGGCAGGAGAATGGCGTGAAGCCGGGAGGTGGAGCTTGCAGTGAGCCGAGATCGCGCCACTGCACTCCAGCCTGGGCGACAGAGTGAGACTCTGTCTCAAAAAAAAAAGAAAAAAAATCCAACATCAGCCTCTACTATTTGTAGCTGTTAATTGCACAAAATGAGATGTTATCTTGGCAGTACCTACTATGACCTCATAATTACTGAGATGCTTCAAGTCACTTATCTAGACTTGATCCCTTTTGGAGGCTACTCATGGGCTTCTCAAAAAAGGGGGTCCTGGGATAACCTGTTGAAGAGGAATTTGAGAAGGCCAAAATGGTATCTTGTACCTCATCCCTGAGACACCATCCCCTGAGGTTAGAGAGGGAGGCCTTCTCTAACCTTCAGTTTAAATCAGGTGCTTTATGTAAAAGTGAGTTGTTTGGCGCTAAGAAGAGGATTCCTACAGTTGGTCATAGTCCTCACCGTGCCCTGTTGTCTCTTGGTGTCAGTGATGAGCACTAACTGCCCCACAGCACCGTGCGTACACCAGACTATCTTTACCCTTATCTTGGAGCTGCTGTGGCCATGGCTGTCAGAGTGGTATGTTCTTCATGACCCCAGTTCATTTCTGAGATGAAGTTGCTTTTAGCTTTATTTGCTGCTGGCATTGAAAGAAGGTGAAATGAAACTATAGAACTGATCCACAAATAACCAGAGCTTTCTTCCCAGGTTCCCGAGGACACAGGAATATCAGAATAAAACCAATGCTGGAGAGTTCAACCCAAGTTCATCCCTTTAAAAGGCCCCGGTGGCTTATTGTGTCACCTTTGGATCTAGAGCGCTCCTCCACCCATTCCCTTTGCCTTTGTCAGGTGGCCTCAGACTTGCACTTCCCAGCCTGTAGAAACCTTGCTCCTTCCAGCCCAGGCCCAGCCTCTGCTCCTTCCTTTTTCTCTCTGGGAGACTCCTCTAGGGGAGATCTTTGCTCTGGAGTCTGCAATCTGTGAATAGTGGGCTGTGCTGTGTGTGTTAGGAAGGCTGAGCATAAAAAATGGGTGTAAAAAGTCCTGAGACATGTGAGCTTAGTCTATGACACTATGGTCTCACTTTGGGCCCCAGCTACAAAAAATAGATGGAGCTGGGAATGATGACTGCCAGGGAATGAAAAATGCTAGCAGGGCCTTGTGGCTCATCTGTAGGACAGCACAACGAGTGTCTGATTTAGATGCCCCTTTAAGAGCTTCCATAGCTTCCTGTGCCTCCGCCTGTCACAGCATGCATTTAGGTTGGAGACCGCCAGTTCACCAGTTTAAATCAGGTGCTTTACGTAAAAGTGAGTTGTTTGGCGCTAAGAAGAGGATTCCTACAGTTTGTCATAGTCCTCACTGTGCCCTGGTGTCTCTTGGTGTCAATCATGAGCAATAACTGCCCCCACTGCACCATGTGTACACCAGATCATCTTTACCCTGGCCCACTTCTCTCCTGGGCCTCTCCCACCAAGGGTATTCCTTTAGCACCATGAGGACAGGGACTAAGGTTCTCATCTTCAGAACTCCACCCCAAAGCTCAGAACAGTGCCTAGCACATAGAAAGGGCTTAATTAATATATGCAGGTCGAGGGAATGAATGGCAAAGAAATGAGGAAGATAGGATATAATTCCTCCTGACTTCCTCATCCCAGGCCCCTAAAATGGCCATGTTTTAGTTGCACTGTCAGAGCCCCCTTGGTTTATCCAATGCATTGCTCTTCCAAGGAGGGAGATAAAGTTTCCATCCTGTAATTAGCTGTGAATGGTAGAAAGGCAAATGGTCAGGTTGAGGTAAAACATTAGAAGTGACTCGCGCCTGTAATCCCATCCTGGCCAACATGGTGAAACCTCGTCTCTACTAAAAATACAAAAATTAGCTGGATGTTGTCGTGGGCACCAGTAATCCCAGCTACTTGGGAGGCTGAGGCAGGAGAATTGCTTGAACCCGGGAGATAGAGCTTGCAGTGAGCTGACATCGTGCCACTGCACTCTAGCCTGGCGACATAGCAAGACTCCGTCTCAAAAAAATAAATAAATAAATAAATTAGAAGTGAATTGACTTCAGATAAATGAAAAGTCAGCTTTTTTTCCTATTGTGACTTGAGGAGATAGTATTAAACAGAAGAAGGCACAGGGGTTCTGGACTTGAGGAAGACATGATAGGGATTTATACACAATGAGGCTGACAATATTCGTCTTCACTAATGTACTAAAAACAGGAATTGTGCACAGAGGTATTTTATGGATGTGCTACTGTGAAGGCCTTGATTTGGCAAGAATTATATTTGTGACTCACTAAATAACCTGGCCCTTAATTTTTGCTGCTAAAGGATTGTGTAGTAGAAAGATAAACTGGATTTGAAATAAAAATGATCTGGCCTTGAATGCCAGTTCTGTGATTTACTTACAAAGTATAACAAGGAGCACACCTCAGCTCTATAAGTCTCAGTTTCTACATCTGTGAAATGGCACATAGAAGATGACTAACAAATGTTGCTTGCCAATTGGCTGACTCACTTATGAATGGAAAAATAAATTAGGTAGTTCCGTATTAGTTCCTCAGGGCTGCCATAACACATTGCCACAAACATCATGGCTTAAAACAACAGAAATGTTCGCTCTCACAGTTCTGGAGACCAGACATCTAAAGTCACATTCCTTCTAGGGGTTCCAGGGGAGATTCTGCTCCTGGCGTCTTCAAGGTTCTACTGGCCCCAGAATTCCTGGGCTTCTCCACCTCAGTGTCACCTTGCCTTTTGCTCTTGGCTGTGTCATCTTTCTCTGCCTCACTCTATAAGGGCACTTGTCATTGGACTTAGGATCTACCTGGATTTTCCAGGATGCTCTCATATTAAGACCTTCAATATGATTAAATTTACAAAGACCTGTTTCCCAGATTAGGTCACATTCATAGGTTCTGGGGATTAGGGTGTGGACATATATTTTTTGGGACTACTGTTCAACCCACCATAGGTTCCAAATTCCATTTTTAAAGTTTTCTGTGAAGCAGGTCCTCCAGAACCATCCTGAGAAAGTCATCTCCAGCAGTGCTTCTCAAACTTTGATGTATGTGTCAACACTAAGGATCTTAGGAGAATGGAAGTCTGTTTTGAGGTCTGAGATTCTGCATTTCTGACAGCACTCAGGTACTGCTATGCTGCTGGGCAGTGACCACACCTGGAGCAGTACACACCTTTCCTGAACAAGCCTCGTCTGATCAAGGAGTTGTCTCCTGGGGAGGCAAAGTTAGGATTTATGGTGCCTGGTGCCCATCTGGTTGCTCTTCCTCCAAACTTTGCCAAGTACTTGTGTTGGGTAGCCCAGGTGAGATGACTGTCCGTTCATGAGCATGAGTGGAAGACCTACTTCCAAAGAGATTTAATTCAAGCTTTCTGTCTTCTTGGTAGAGACTTGTTACATGTGACCGACTTTTGCCAAAGGTTAAATCTTCAGATGATGGAGAGAGGTTTAGCTGAAAATCTTTTTGTACGAATAAATATTTTTTCTGTATAGTGTTTATGTCTTTATGTTGTCTATTAATTTGCAGTCTCCATCCCAGTTCTGTTTGGGGCTTAGATTTATGATTTGTTTGATTGCCTACAGAAGATGAGAAATCTTCCTGCAAGGACCAGGACTACAGGGCAAGAGCAGCATCTAGAGTGCAATATTTAAAGAGCTGCTTACTGTCATGGATGTGCAGAGGCAGGGTGGGCACATTCATGACCCTGAGGGCAAGCACCTCCTTTAATTTTGCCTCTAGGTGCCTCATTTGCCTCACCCTAATCCCAGGTCTGCTTTCTGGCTTCCCAAGCAATTGGCTTTCCATTCACTCATATCGTGGGGTTCTAGTTCTCTGTACTTTTCTTGTATTGTGATTTAATCTTTTCCCTGGTCTGCCTTTCTCCAAAGATGGAAATCTTCTTCCCAGTTAATGGTATTCCCTTTTTAAAATATGTTTACAATCTTAACCTGGTATGCAAGATCTTAGATGATCTGGCTCCTAATCACCTGTTCAGCCTCATCTTTTGCTACTCACCTCCTCTCTGGGTCCTGTCCTTGCCTTTCACATGCATAATATTCCAAGTAAGTTTTAGTTCCCTGAACATATCATGCATCTTTGTGCTTCTATGCCTTTATTCACATTAATCACCTGCCTGGAATACTTTCCCCATCTTGTCTCTCTGGCAGTCTCCTATTCCTCCATTATAAATGTACCCAAGTGTTACCTTTTCTGTGAGGCCTTTACGATTCTCCCATATGGACTAAAGCATTCTTTCCTCTACGTCTCCAGTCCTTGTGTGCATATGAACCTCTATACTGAAGTAGAATTGTCTATCTCCCCCACTACTCTTGAGCGCTGGGATGAATGGGCATTTTGTTCATTTCCTGGGGCTACAGTGGTGAGCAGAACAGACAGGTCTCCATCCTCCTGGAGCAGAACTTTTCATATGAATCTTCTCAGCCCTTTATAGCACAGCCATGGGACACATTTACTTGTTGAACAGACACATGGATGAATAAAAGTAACAAAAAAAATTTAGCACCAAAGATGGAGTAACAGAACCAGAGTTATCTTCCTGCTTGAAACAAGAACAAAAAGATGAAATATATAAAACAAGTTGTCAAGGCATGAGACATCATGCAATGAAAAACAGTAATCCCTGAGAGAAGGGAAACAATCGAGGTGAGCCCTGTACTTTCTCCCACTTACTCTTGTGCCTTGGAGAGATTCCAGGCTGTGATGTGGGCAGAGAAAACCCAAGCAAGGCCCAGAGAACACCCTGAGTTGAGGAGACAGCACAGAGTTCAGGAAGACCAAGGTGAGCCAAGTTCACCTGATAGAGTACCAATGAGAAGGGAGAGTCCTGGGGAGCTGCAGAGGGCCCCCTCAAGCATTCGACCGAGTAATCATCAGTGCATGTGGATGAGGAAACTGTCTGAGGTTAGGGGAAAATACATCTAAAAAGATTAAAGGAAACAGTATGTGCACTGACAGGGCCAGGAATAGTTTGTTACCATCAGACAAAACGGTAAAACTCACAATTAACAGGGAATTAGATAGAATACTGAGGAAGAGCTTGCCTCAGCAGTGGGGACTAATTAGCTCTAGACTGACCACTGCTCCAGAACCACGTAGCAAATTATAAAAACAAGACCTGAAAGGATCAAGCTGTTTCCAAATAACCTAACTGTATCCCAAAATAAAGCTCAGGGCAAAATTTGTAATGTTTGGTGCCTAGTCAATGATTATCAAAAATGTAAAGAGGTAGAATGACATGAACCTTAATTAGAATTTTCAACCCATTGAAAGTAACCCACAACTGATATAGATGTTACAATTAGCATAATATGACATCAAAACAGTCATTATAACTATTTCCTATATTCAAAAAGTAGATAGAGACATAGAAGATATAAAAAAGACCCAAACTGAACTTCCAGAGATGAAAACTACAATGTCTGGAATGAAAAACACATTGAAAGCAATGATCAGTATATAGACATTTTTGAAGAAACGACAGGTAAACTTGAATGCATAGCAATGGAGACTCCCAAATGAAATATGAAGAGCAAAGAGAATCCAAAAAAATTAAAAGAGCAGGCCAGGTGTGGTGGCTCACACCTGTAATCCCAGCACTTCGGGAGGCCAAGGCGGGTGGATCACAAGGTCAGGAGATTGAGAACATCCTGGCCAACACGGTGAAACCCCGTTCCTACTAAAAATACAAAAATTAGCCAGGTGTGGTGGCGTGTGCTTGCAGTTCCAGCTACTCGGGCGGGTGAGGCAGGAGAATCTCTTGAACCCAGGAATCAGAGGTTTCAGTGAACCGAGATCGCACCACTGCACTCCAGTCTGGGCGACAGAGTGAGACTCTGTCTCAAAAAAAAAAGAAAAAAAGAAAAATTAAAAGAGCATCAGTGAGCTGTGGGACTACTTCAAGCAGCATAATAAATATAACATTTGAGTCTCCAAAGGAGGCCGGGTGTTGTGGCTCCTGCCTGTAATCCCAGCACTTCGGGAAGCTGAGGCGGGTGGATCATCTGAGGCCAGGAATTCAAGATAAGCCTAACCAACGTGATGAAATCCTGTCTCTACTAAAAATACAAAAATTAGCCAGGCGTGGTGGCAGGTGCCTGTGATCCCAGCAACTCAAGAGGCTGAGGCAGAATGACTTGAACCTGGGACGCAGAGGTTGCAGTGAGCCGAGATCGCGCCATTGCACTCCACCCTAGGCAACACGAGTGAAACTCTGTCTCAAAAAAAAAAAAAAAAAAAAAATCTCCAAAAGAAAGAAGAAGGAAGGAGAGAAAAAAAATATATTTGAGAAAAAAAATGGCTGACAATTTTCCAAATTTGCTTAAAATGACAGACTCACAGGTCTAAGGAGCTCAACAAGCAACAGGCACAAGAAACATGAACAAAACAACACTAAGGCACACCATAATCAAATTGCTTAAAAGCACTGATAAAGAGAAACTCTTAAAAGCAGCCAGAAGGAAAAACCACTTTTTAGACAGTAACGAATACAAAAATGACAACAGATTTCTTCTCAGAAACAATCCAAATGAGAAAACAGTGGTGCAGCATCTTTAAAATACTGAAAAAAAAATATTATCAGCTAGAACTCTACTTAGTAAAAAAATCTTTCAAATATGAGAGTGAATTAAGGACATTTTCAGGTACATAAAAGCTGAAACAGTTCATCACCAGCAGACCAACTAAGAAATGTTAAAGAAAGTCTTTCATGCAGAAGAAAAATGATTCCAGATGGAAATATGGATCTATACAAAGAGTACCAGACAGAAATGGCAACTACATGGATAAGTATATGAGATGCTTATGGCCAAGCACGGTGGGTCATGCCTGTAATCCCAGCACTTTGGGAGGCTGAGGTGGGCGGATCACTTGAGGTCAGGAGTTTAAGGCCAGCCTGGGCAACATGATAAAACCTCATCTCTACTAAAAATACAAAAATTAGCCAGGTGTGATGGTGGGTGCCTGTAATCTCAGCTACTCGGGAGGCTGAGGCGGGATAATGACTTGAACACGGGAGATGGAGGTTGCAGTGAGCCAAGATTACACCACTGCACTCCAGCCTGGGCAACAGAGTAAGGCTCTGTTTAAAAAAACAAAAAAAAAGATGCTAATAATCTAAATAATTTTAGTTATTTCAATATCTTTAAAAATTGATCATTTAAGTAAAAAGTAATACAATACATAGCAGGGCTTATTATATATATATATATACAATATCTAGCATCTATAGTGCAAAGATTAGGAGGGAAGAAATGAAAATGTAGTCTTTTAGTGAATACATTAAAAGCCATTGGGTTGTATACTTTAAATGGGTGAATCATTTGGTATGTGAATCATATCTCAATAAAACTGCTATAAAAAGATTTAAAAAAGAAATAAGACCAACACAGTACGAACTCTTCTAAAAAACTGAAGATAACAGAATGCTTTTCTGATAGCAAAATAAGCAATAAGGAATTGATAATAATTAAATATAACAAATTAAAAAATTTAATTAATTAAATAAATGCATAATAAAATAAAATAAAGATAAATTGATAAGAAATTGAAATTACATGAGCTTATTATCCATCATAAACATAAATGTAAAATTTCTGAACAAAGCTTTAGCACATCAGATTTAATAATATATAAAAGGCATAATATACCATGATCATAGGGTTTATCCCAGGAATGTAGGGTTGGTTTACCATTGGAAAACCAATCACTATATTAAGAAACTAAAAGAGAAAAACCACATGATCATCTAGATAGAATAAAAAAATTATTTGGCAAAATCCAACATCCATGCCTCAAAAGAGCTCTAAGCAAACTAGAAAAGGACAAGAACTTACTTAACCTGACAAAAGATTCCTCCAGAAACCCTATAGATCATATCATACTTAATGGCAAAAGACTGAATCTGTGTCTAAGATCAAGAACAAGAGCAGGATGTCTGCTGTTGCTACTTCTATTCAATAATGTAGTGAAGATTTTAGCCAGTACAATCAGGCAAAAAAAAAAAAAAAAAAAAGAAAGAAAAGGAATACAGATTAAATAGAAGAAATAAAACTATCTTTAGTCACAGTTTAATTGTTTAAGTAGAGAAGCTAATGGAATCTACCATAAAGCTATTAAAACTAATACTGAATTTATAAGATGGCTGGATTCAAGGTCAATATATAAAAATCAATTGTATTTTTATATACTAACAACAAATACTCAGAAATTGAAACAAAAAGGAATAAGAATTTATTTAATTCATTGAAATTGAAAATCAATGACACCTTCAATAAAGAAAAAAAAAATTAAAAATAGGGGCCAGGCGCGGTAGTTCATGTCTGTAATCCCAGCACTTTGGGTGGCCGAGGCGGGTGGATAACCTGAGGTCAGGAGTTCGAGACCAGCCTGGCCAACGTGGTGAAACCCCATCTCTACTAAAAATACAAAAATTAGCCAGGCGTGGTGATAGGTGCCTCTAATCCCAGCTACTCGGGAGGCTGAGGCATGAGAATCGCTTGACCCTGGGAGGCAGAGGTTGCAGTGAGCCGAGATTGCGCCATTGCAGTCCAGCCTGGGGAACAAGAACAAGACTTCGTCTCAAAGAGAAAAAAAGAAAAAATGGGACAAATCTGACAAATTCTGTACACTGAAACCTACAAAATATTGCTGAGATGAATAAAAGAAGACTTAATTAAAGAAGACTTAAATAGAGAATCAAAGAAGACTTAAATAATTAAAGAAGACTTAAATAGAGAATTACAGAAGACTTAAATAATTAAAGAAGACTTAAATAAACAAAGAGAGATACCTTGTCCATGGATTAGAAGGCTCAATATTGTTAAAATTTACTTCTATCCAAATTGACATATAGATCTAATACAATCTCAATCAAAATACCAGCTTGTTTTTGTGGGACAAGCTGAGTCTAATATACATACGGAAGTATAAATGACTTAGAAAATCCAAAATAATTTTGAGAAAGAAAAATATGGCTGGAGAATTTGTGCCACCTTTCATTGACCTCTTGCAAAGCTATGGCAATAAAAACAGTGTTGTATTGGTATAAAGATAAACAAATCAATGGAACAGAAGAGACTACAGAAATAGAGCTGGTGACATACAGAAAATTTGTTTTTGACAAATGGAAAATATATTTGGACAGTTCACCAAAGAAACTGTATAGATGGCAAATAAGCACATGAAAAAAATACTTAATGCCATTAGTTATTAGGAAAGTGAAAATTAAAATCACAGTGAGATACTGCTACACATCTATTAAAATGACTAAAATCAAGCAATTGACCATATCAAATGTTGAGCAGGATGTGGAGGAACAGGAACTCTCACACACTGCTGCTGGTGGTAATGTATAAAGGTCCAACCACTTTGGAAAACAGTTTGTCAAAGTAATTCAGCCATTGTACTCCAAGGTATTTATCCAACAGAAATAAAACATATGTCCATTCCCAGACTTGTATATGAATGTTCACATTAGTTTTATTTGTGATAGCCCCAAACTGAAAATAAGTCAAATGTCCATTAACAGGTGTATTGGATAAATAAACAGTGGTATGTACATACAATGGAATGTTACTTGATAAAGAAAAGGGATGAATTACTGATACATGGAAGAACATGGATAAATCTCAAAATTATGCCAAATAAAGGAAGATACATGCATAAAAATGAGTTTGTTCTAAATGAGTCCATTTGTATAAAATTCTAGAAAATGCAAACAATCTGTAGTGACAGCATTTGACTCTTTGCCTGGGGAGGGTGAACATGAAGGAGTAGGAGAAAAGGATTACAAATAGGCATAAGAAAAATTTGGGGGTGATGGATATATTCACTATCTTGATTGTTATAATGGTTTCACAAATGTACACATATGTCAAACTTATCAAATTGTGTATCCTAAGTAGTGCATTTTGCTGTATATCATTTGTACCTCAATAAAACTGTTTTTAAAAGCCCAAAAAGTTAGTAGAGTTGATGAAAGAGTAAAAACAAATGCTCCTTTGACCCTGATTTCCATGACAGATACCCAGGTTGCCTGAGATCCCAACTTCCCAGCATCACAGGAAGCCCCAGTTCCTTGCCCCACCGCAGGTGCACAGAGCAGCTCCATTTCAGCTCACTCTGCACTCACTAGTCTGACATTTGAAGGATTTATGAGAAACTGTGAATGAAGAGCCTGTTAAGTGACTCATAAAAGTGAATTTGTATAAGAATAGTTTCTTGTGAGACAGGGAGGAAGGGGGCAGCAAATTGACAAGTTTCTTGCTTCTGGTCTCAGTTGGGAAGGTCTTGGGAGTTTGGGGATAGCATATGAAAGCTAGAAAATGTTACATCAAAGCTAACCAGAATAAGATCATATTTACATCTCACTGTAGTAAATTCATGATCAGGGAGTCAATTGTAGTTTGGAATCAGAGTTCTATCTGCCATGTGTGAATTTCAAAGATTCTTAGAGGGGCAGTCATTTACAAAAATATATTGTAAGTAATTACAATGCTTTCTAATTCAGTTTGGACTGTTGTGTCACTTTCTCGTTTTAGAGAGTTTTCTATACCATTCCAAGAACTTCTAGCCAAGACTACTCCACAAACAGCCAGCCACCCTTGCTAAGGAACTTTGAAAGTGAAAACCATAAAAGCAACATTAACTTATAAAAGGCCCTTAACAGCGTAGATATCAGGTACATAAAAAAGTCTGGACTGATTTGGAAATAGAATTAATTACATAAAACCAATCATGACCAATATTTCTTGAGCATACATTTTATTTTTAGCTAGGAAAAATCCAAGTATTCTCATAATATGCCTACTGTTTCCCCTGACCAATTGATTTACATTTTCTTTCTTATCATTGTTTTAACCAACATGAAAATATCACTAATGTTCATATTCTGCACAGGGCTCTGTTCCTGCAGCATGCAGTTATATGCAAGAGCAAGTGTTGCTGCCTGCTGTAGTGCTTACCTTCACTGGGGCTGCCTGGCTATTGTCGAGTCAGTTGAAATGATTCATGGGTCTGACAGATGTCTGGTACAGCTGGATGTGTCCTTGATTATCCCAAAAGTCTGGACAGCACTGTCATTCACCATTGCCCAAATTATCTTTGTATTGACTGTGGAACCCTCTGTGACAGTACCGTAATGGCTAATTACCCAGGATACCTTTGGTACTCACTTCATAATGGTTTAGTGGAAAAGAAAAAGACCATAAGGAAATGAGAAAAAACCATACCAATAAAAGTAACATCCTGTTCTTTGCAGAAAACACAGACTCTACTGTGATATGGAATATATATTTATTTGACATCATGCAGTTTATGCTAATGAAATCCAGGGCCACAATAGTAGAAGCATAGATTTCTCATGAAACACATAAGGAGGAAATAAAATGTAAAGAACCTTGACAGTGATAAATTATGGACAATAGAAGGAGCTATTAGCTGTGAGAGAATTGTATGTATAATATACTTGAAAAACAGATGAAGAGTGGCCATTTGCCTGCCTCATATGTTGCAAGGGGGAAAGAAAGACCGTGTTTTGTTTAGCAAATAACCTCCCCAGAAATAGAAAGGAGGGAGGGAGGAAGGAGGAGACCCTTAGTAAAGCTGCCTGAAAGAACAAGAATTGAAAGCTGAGGTTTCATTTTTCCCCATAACGCTATAAATTAGCACATTTTGACAAACATAGCTCCCACAAAGCAGATATATATTAGGGAGAAAAAAAGAAAAGGGAATAGAGGGTAAAAAATCCCATTTTGACTTTTAGTGGAGATGATGAGATCCCAGGAGGGCAGACAAAGCAGACTGGGAACAGCTTTTCACACAAAGAATACAGTAATTTGCCACATCCTGTCCAGGCTGTGTTTGAATGTCACTCCTGTCTTAATTACCAGACTAACAAAGCGATTCTGTTACTCTGGATTCTCCGCCACAGTTCCTGCAATGCAAGAGAGCAAGCTGGAAGAATTGCTCACGGATCATTACCAAGTGAGTGGGTGAGGCAGGCAGCTTCATGGGCTCAGAGTCGGGAGGCCAACAAAGGTAGAGGAAGGCAGTAGGTGTAGTTATGGAGACCTGCGGGCTCCATTGCTGTCAGCTGTGAACAGTGAACCACCTGAATTTTGGAGCATGGAGCTTGGCAGATGGAGTGCTTTAGCTTTTGTTGAGATCTGAGACCACAGTGTATGCCCTTTTGGTGAGAGAGAGTGAAGATTGTCCCACTTCTCCACCCCTGTGGCTGTGCATCAGCCTCATGTCAAGTAACCTATAAAACATAAGATACAGCCAATCTGAAGGCAAAACACAGGTTACCGACATTCTGACTCAGGGTGGGAGGGTTGGGGGATGGTGAGGGTTGAGAAATTGCTTAGTGGGTACAATGTACATTATTCGGGTGATGGATACACTAAAAGCCCAGACTTCACCACTCTGCAATATATCCACGTACCAAAACTGCACTTGTACCCCTTAAATTCATACAAATTAAAAAGAAAAAGAAATTCTGACTCATTGTTAAATTGTTCCTTTGACTAAAGGTAAAAAAAAAGCCCTTCTCATTTTGATCTATTGTTGAAAGCATTTCTAAAATATGTCATTCCACTCTTTGTGGTCTTTCTTAGATGATTCTTCATTGTTTCAGAGACGTTGTTCTGCCCACTAATTCTCACCGATGACCACAGTGGTGAGGGCCATTGAAGACCACAGTGGTTTTGGTGAGGAAGGTGCAGGAGTTTGGGCTGAATGTGCCCTGAGCCCTGTGCTTATGCATAGCCTGAAGGGTGACATTTTCAGATACAGATTAGTAAGTCTGTTTCTGTTGTACCAATCACATCCTTCTTCTTGAAAACAGTTTGTAGTAAAACAAGTCCATTAATCCAGGCCTCTGGTTAGTTGGAGTATTTTTGTATTTAAAAAAGAAGCTTGGTGCATTTCAAAAACATTCAGGTGACACAATTATGCTTCCTTTTTATCAGATTTGGGTCTGAAACAGTGATACAGTATAGCAAAAGAAGAGGAAAAATGAAACATAAATCTTTTTTTTTTTTTTTTTTTTTTTTTGAGACGGAGTCTCGCTCTGTCGCCCAGGCGGGACTGCGGACTGCAGTGGCGCAATCTCGGCTCACTGCAAGCTCCGCTTCCCGGGTTCACGCCATTCTCCTGCCTCAGCCTCCCGAGTAGCTGGGACTACAGGCGCCCGCCACCGCGCCCGGCTAATTTTTTTTGTATTTTTAGTAGAGACGGGGTTTCACCTTGTTAGCCAGGATGGTCTCGATCTCCTGACCTCATGATCCACCCGCCTCGGCCTCCCAAAGTGCTGGGATTACAGGCGTGAGCCACCGCGCCGGGCCGAAACATAAATCTTTAGTTCCGTGTTTATCCTAGCTGCATAGCAATGATCCGTCCTTTATATCCATACCATTAAAGTTGTTAAACGAAGACAAAATTTCCTAATTGCATTTCATCTACAGTAATAATAATTTTTATTTGGAGGAGATGGACATTGCCCTTAAAGTATTTTTAAAACTACATATTGGAGTAGTTACATAAAATACTAGTTTGTCAAGCTCAGTAAGGAAGTAAATTACCCTTATTCCTCCTCTACATGTTTAAAGGAGTCTAGGGAATGAAGGAGTTCAAAGCCACATCCCGCCAGGCATCTTTCTACAGAAATGCCATTTGTCCTAAGACAAAGTATGACAAAAGCTGATAGAATGGCTAATTCTGGGTATAATGTAAAGTTTGTCTTAAAGTTATTTCTCAAAACGTAATAATGATGTCAGACCCCTGAAATGTCCGCCACCAGACTACATGAATAGGATTTAGATAAGAGATGAAAGGAGGGCCTGGAAATAAAGCAGGTGGTGAAATCTTGAAAAAGCTTACATTTATCGTAAGCAGAACATCTATAGCAATAATCTTATAAGTGGGTTTTAAAAATCAATTAAATAGGCATATTACAAATATGTCATGTAGTCATATAATTGTTTATATTTCTGATTCACCTTACAAATGTGAAGCATAACTTAAAGAAATAATCTTTAAAAATGCCTTCAGTCATTATAGTAATTACCCTGAAAGATTAGAAACTTCAAAATGAAACAAGAAAAAAGTAAGGAACACAGACTGATTTATTGTTATAAAGTAAGCATATTGTCCTATGAATAAAATTATGAAAATACTTATAATGGTCTGCTTAAAACTAATTGTTTTGGATGTGATAGGCACACGTTTTATTCACTAACTCTAACTGTGACAATGACAGATCAAAATTCTATAAAGAAAGCAAAAATATCACAAAAGAAAGAAAATAAGAAAAATGGCAGCCATGTATGCTGACTTAACAATGCCATTCAAGGTTGGGCGTGGTGGCTCATGCTTGTAATCCTAGCATTTTGGGAAGCTGAGGAAGGAAGATTGCTTGAAGCTAGGAGTTCGAGACCAGCTTGAGCAACATAGCAAGAACCTGTTTCTACAAAACAAACAAAAACCATTATCATTCAAGATCTGAAAGTGTTTTCTGGGTACGATTATTGTTAGTTACATTTAAAATAAATACCTATGGCAGAGAAATATCTAGGAGCTGCAAACACAGATACTCACACAGGCCAGGCAGGAAATAATGGGGCTGGAGAGATTTGTCAAACTAGAGTGTGTCCGCACTAAACAGAGCAGCTTCTACCAATTGTTGCCATGTGGAAATGAGATCTGAGTTTTGCCAGATCTCTTGTTTTTTCAGGAAAACCTGAAAATCTAAATGTTTAGAGATTATGAGTCCCTGTGAGGGCCTCACAAGACCCTTACCTGTGTGGGTTTACTGAGCATAGGTAAGACAGCTGGGTTGAGGGGGTTGGGATGGTTGTCATGCACCCTGATCTAATGCATTCTGGTTATTGAATAAACAGTAAGAACCATAAATTAGAAAATGCTGTTTGACATTGAGCAATACATGGTTGATTACAACATTGCACTTACGTGTATATAGCTTAGTTCAGTTAATAGTGCACTTTCTTATGTCTCATATCATCTAATTCATGTCATTAGAAAATGAAGACCTTTCCACACAGCCCATTTAAGGGTTTCTCCCTCTCATGCTGGTCTCTGCCTAGCCTTCCTTTCCTCCTCTTCTTCACTTGGAGGACTCAGCTTATCTTTCAGGGCTCAGAGAAGACTCCCACCATCCCTGTAACTGGGCTGGGACCTTGTGCCATCCTCCCTGGATCTTCCCTTTGCAGCATTGTGAAAATTGTGAATATGTAATTCTTATTCTCTGTCTTGCCGGCTAGACTCCAAGCTTCATGAGGGCAGAGAACTACATTTGTACTCTCAGTACCTACTTCAGTCTGATACACATTTTTAAAATAAATGTTTGCAGAAACAGAAACATTTGAATGAATCACATAGAAACGTGTGGGTGTGTGTATACACTATATATATGTAATATATACATGTTCAGAGTCTTATTTTGAATAATAAGACTAATCTCTGAACATTACATATATATGTATAATATAATTAGAGTCTAAATGAGCTACTTCCTTTATTCACTGCCAAGTAGACTTGTTACTTATTTCTGAGAGCTCTTTTGAATTTCCTCTGCTAAACTGGAGACACCTCAAGTTTTAATTTTTGGGGGGTTTCTAATTGTCTTTTTCTGATATATGGAAATAATGGAGGTCTCCTCAAAATGCCCTCTTAAGACAAATGCTGTGCTTCTTCCAGACAATAGAAGAAATGTGGAGATTGTAAAGATGGCCACAAAGTATCTACCTTTCTTTATCCATGCCCTTGGTTGGTTCCCTTGCACACGGCTTGGCTTTGTGACTTGTTTGGGCCAATTTACACTAACAAATATGATGCAAGCAGAGGTTTATGTATTAGGACATGTTTTATCTTGCTGCTTTTGGAAACCCTGTGATCACCATCATATAAATAAGCCTGGGCTAGCCTGCTGTGGACATGCGGCTCAGTCATCTTCATTACTGCAGGCAACAGCCAGCACCTTCAGACAAACATGTGAGTGAGGTCATTCCAGACCAGTCTCCAGGTGATCTGGTATCTGGCTGCAGTTGTATGAGTAAGCCCAACTCAACCTAGCAGAAGATCTGCCCAGTTGAGCCCAGCCTCTATTTCCATTCTAACAGAATTGTGAGGTAAGCTTTGGGATGGCTTGTTCTGTAGCAAAAACTAACTTATACACACATTTTCAGGGCCGTGGTAATTTTTCAACAAGACCAGACCAGGAAAACTGAATATCAATTCTCTTCTTCCTTGGACCCACCCATGCACCATCACTCTTAGCTTTATTAAAGCAGAAGCCTATTGATATTGGAAAGCAGCCTATCAGAGTCTTTCCAGGGAATCTGACTGGAGAGGACAGAGTTCCACTCTATTCTCCCAAGAGCCCTTCTCCAAATCTTATTAACACCAGAATATAGGCAGCAGATCTGAGAGGGAGGAAAGAGGAGGAAGAAAAGGGAAGATGATGGTGAGAGCCAAGATACTGGAAAAGCTCATGCAGAGCCAATGAAAGCACCCAGTGTCCTGGCATTACATCACAGTATCCTTATTATCAGAAAAAAAATCCAGTGTCAGTTTCTAGCCTCTGAAGGCTGAAGGATGAAGCCAAGCAAATATGAGACTTTGCAGTGTATCATTTTAATGTAGAGAAAACACACACATTAGAAGTGTAAGCTTGCCTTTGTTTAAGGCCCTTAAGCCTTTCTTAGCATTTTTAGGAAAATGCACTGAGAGTAAACATTTGTTACTTTCTAAAATGCTGCTCTGAAACTTTTCATATGTTTTTGTGCTGAATCTTGATGTAGTAATTTTAAACAGCAAGAACCACACAAAATGTAGAGTGTTGTTGCAGAGCCGGGGTAGAATAGGGTGGGTGTTTATTGAGTGCTTGCTATTTGCCAGGACCTTACTTCATTTAATCTTTGCAACCATCCTATGAAGTAGCTCTTTTATCTTTATTAAACAAATGAAGAAACTGAGGTTCTGAGAGGTTAAGTAACTTGGCCAAGGGGACATGGTAGCTAGTAAGGTTGCAAATTACAAACATAGACTTCAAATCTGATTCTACTCAATAGACTTGCAAACTCAGCAAAAGTACAGTACTTCTAACATTAGTAGTAATAATAATAATTTGTACTGAGCCCTTATGTAACATATAACTTTTTATTTAAAATAATAATAGCTGACAATTATTGAGAGCATATATGCTAACAATGTTCTAAGCACTTTACACATAATAAATAATTTGGTATTGAAAAAAATCCCCTGTAAGGTAGGTATATTTATTATCTGTATTTTTAAGGTAATGAAACTGAGGCATAAGGAGGGTAAGTGATTTGCCCGAAATTGCATAAGTAAGGAATAAAACATCGAATTTAGATCTGTCAAAGCCCGACTTCTATTAAACCACATGTGCTCATTTTTATGTTTCTTCTAAAATAATTTTGTTGTATTTTGAAATTTTAATTATAATGGCTGCTAGTGTGCTAGGTTTCCACAAAGGAGGGTGATCAGCCACTATTTAGACATTCTTAAAGAAAGCAAAACCCACTGAAGTATATGCTCCATGAGGTTAGCCCTGTCTGTCTGTCTTGTTCCCAGAGACTGAACACTTTCTTACTTTCTTTCTTTCTTTCTTTTTTGGAGACAGAGTCTCGCTCTGTTGCCCAGGCTGGAGTGCAGTGGTGCGATCTCGGCTCACTGCAAGCTCCGCCTCCTGGGTTCACACCATTCTCCTGCCTCAGCCTCCTGAGTACCTGGGACTACAGGCGCCCGCCACCATGCCCGGCTAATTTTTTTTATTTTTAGTAGAGACAGGGTTTCACCGTGTTAGCCTGGTTGGTTTCGATCTCCTGACCTCGTGATCTGCCTGCCTTGGCCTCCCAAAGTGCTGGGATTACAGGCATGAGCCACCACCGTGCCCAGCCTGAACCACTTTCATAGAGCACAATGCCTGGGACATAGTAAGAGCTCAATTAATTAATATGTGCTGCCTGAATGAGTCATCAGATATTAATAATTTGGTTCTACTCTACAAGTAGTACTACAAGGATAGACATAATACTATATAGCCCTTTGTGGTTTTTTGGTAGAAAGATACTGTATTAGCTTCCTAGGGCTATGGTAACAAAATACCACAAACTGTGTGGCTTAAAACAGCAGAAATTTATTGTCTTACAGTTCTAAAGGCTGGAAGTCCAAAATCAAGCTGTCAGCAACGCCATACTTGCTCTGAAAGTGTTAAGGGAAGATATTTCCTTGCCTCTTCCTAGCTTCTGGTGGTTGTTGGCAATCCTTGGCAAACCCTGGCTATGGCCGCATCACTTCAGTCTCTGCCTCCATCTTCACAAGGATGTCTTCCCTCTGTGCATATCTGTGTCCACATTTCCTTCTTCTTCTGAGGACACCAGTCATATTGGATTTAGGGTCCAACTCTAATCCAATATGGCCTCATCTTAACTTGATTACATCTGCAAATAAGATCATATTCACAAGACCCACCTGGACTTGAATTTTTTTGGGGAAACTGTTCAACGCAGTATCAATTCTTTAATCATTTAAAACATGTTATTCCTAATGGGGCCAAACAGAAGAGAAGGCCGGGTAGAGCATGCTTGGTTAAAGCTGGGAAGGGCCTCCCCACCCCTAACAAAACAAAGCCCCAAACTCCATTTGGCATAGGCTTGATTTTTAAGTTCAAACACTTATGATGGCAAAACATAGTATACCCTGTCAACTGTAATATCTTATTGTGAATACATTTTCTTTCTATGAGAGCCAATTTGGATGAGAAATGTGGAAAAAAAGCAAAAAAGCTAAAGCAAGGAAGTAGGGAGTTGTAGGGAAGTGCCACTGGCCAAGAAAAAGGGGGAAAGTTGCCAGATGCACAAAGTCTGGGTGGATCCATGCGAAGATCAAAGAGACAATAAACTTAGAACAAAAGACAGCTGCAAGAAGAGGCCTTTCTGTTGGACATTTGTGGAGGCATCTGATTATAGGCACCAAGACCTATCACTGGCCAACAAATGGAGCAGAGGGAAGACCTCTGAAGATTTTACAAAATAAAGCAAGAAAGCCACTTGGAATGAGTAGAGTCAGAGACCCAAGCAGGGATAAAGTGACCCTTCAAAAATGTACAGGGTTCCCTAAGAGAAAGATGCTGTCTACATATGAGTTAGTATTTTCCTATTTCTTTCTGCTCAAACACCAGGCACTCATGGAAGAGTCTGCATCCCTGGCAAATCAGATATGGTGCTATGCCTGGGAAGTCTAAGTGGGTTGTGGCATAATCCTGTTTGGAACTCCCCCTACTGGAGTGAGGAACCACACGTGGTAACCATACCATGTGGCCACTGCCATGGGGCAGGGTGCAGTGGGAGAGAAAAGAGGGCATTACTAGCCTTGAGGTAGAGTCTGGGAGGGGCACCCTCTCATGGTTGGTGGTCTCTGCAGACCTCTCCAGACCACCTCTAGGAGACATCAGGGAGTGACAGAAAGAACATGGACCAGCAGTTGGAATAGCTGCATGGCCTTGGATGAATTACTTACACGGCCTAAATTTCCACTGAAAAAAATTAAATGAAAATAGTCACGTAATACCACCATTCTAGGTACATAGTCTGTGCTCAAAATTTGTTGTTCTTTCTTGCTTTCCTTGATCACCAATTTTATTCTTCAGATAAGCCTGTGCTGTGATCTAAATTTCTTTAGCTGAGTTCAGAAATGTTAATCCTAACTTTATTTGATTTGTAAGAAACTCCTGATTCATCTGGGGTCTAAAGTTTCATTATGGTTTTGATTTAAGGATTTAGATTAGCAGAGGTGGAGCAAAATATGCATTCCATAGCTGAGCAAATGGGATGCTGCTAGGATTTAAATGTGAATAAATACATAGCTTTCATGTTCTTCCCAGTTCAATTGTGCTCTGCTGTGTATTGTAGGATTTTTTTTTTAATACTCCATATTAAAGAGGGGTTTCTCTTTTGCGTTTGGATATTCTTGTGCAGGAGAAAGGGGGTAGGGTGGTGGGTGAGGATTATCAAACAATCTTCTAGGTAAATTTGGTGATACTGTTAATAAAGAGTTTAAAATGCTAATTAAGCTCCTTGTTTAACCAGTCCAAACTTTCCTCAGGATGTTTTACAATACCAATGATTAAAAGTTGCAAAGGTGTAAACTTCTCTGGGCGATATTCTTTTTTTCAATAACGCAAATGATCTTTCTAGCTCTTATAACATCACTTAAAAATGGATTTGATTACTTCTAAGCTGTAAAAAAATAGAATCATAAATATGCTCATTTCCCACAGTGGAGGGGGGACAGACAGGAAGAAGAGCAAAAGAATACATCAGATTTTTAAGTAAGCAGTCACAAAAGACCTTTAAATAACTTCCTACCATATTTTATTATCTTCTCTCTGTTTTACAGCATTATCTACCATAGAAATGCAGAGAGATTTGTAAAACACTATAGCATTTAAGTCATTACATTTTATAGCTAATTTCTAATGTGGATTTGATTTTTTACGAGCAGAAAAAGAATCTAATTTGCATTAGTGACAGTAACTAGAGAAATTTAACACCTGGCTCTGGTTGTACCAGAAATTGAATATTAGGTACTTGGGTGCTAAAAACCCATTCAGATTTTCAAGGGGGATTTTTCATTTATTTATGTGCTGCTCTCATGTTTACCATTACAAAACTGTTCATATTATGATGGAAGAAAACTCACTGCCTGCAAAAATTCTGGATATGTGTTTTTCATCCTCTGCAAGAGAAACAGAACTATTTACCCATTAGCGACAACACACCCTGAAAAAAACACCACCATTTCATGCATCTAAAAAAATATATCACAGCGGCCCCTGTGAGAAGCGCTTTGATTCCTGCTGTCCTCTCCCATCTCCCCCCAGCTCCTCAACTCCAAGCTTCCCTTTATTTTCTCTTCCCCCTCCTCCTCCCAAGCACCCTCCTTGTGGCTGTTTCCCCAGTAGAAGCTTGAGTGCTGTGTTTCCAAGCAAAATTAAACCTCTGCTAAGAAGATCACATTGTTGTTACAAGAGCAATCCATATGTTTATAAAGTGTAGAAAATTAGGAACTGCAAAAGAGGCGAAGCTGGTGTTAAATGATATGGGAAGTGACACTTTACATACCCAGTTACAATTAACACATTGATGGCATTTTGCTGGCTCCTTGCAGTGATAATGCTGTTGTCAAATGTGTTTAGTGCACCAAATCTCCTGGAGCCTTCAGCCAGGCAGCGAGCTTTTGACAGATTGAAGGTTCGGAGATAGGCTATCATGACAGATGGAAACTGGCACCGATGTTCAGCTTTCGCCCATCACAGGGGACCTGCCCCCCTTATTCTGCAGGGCTCAGCTCTGCAACCTTCCCCCTTCTGATGAAAGCAGGGGATGGCATTGTTAAATAGTGCATCTGTGTGAGTTAGACTTCTCTGATGAAAGCATAAGGCAGACGCGCTGTGAAGCAAAAGACAGCCTCTGCTCTAACTGCATTTTAGATAGACTTGAGGAAGACCCTAGGGAGCTGGGAGAAAACTTTGGTAAATTTCAGACAAAAAGGGAAAAAAGACCACCCATTAATTTTCTCTCTGCAAGATATAAAAATGCATCTCTGATGTAAAATCTGAATTAATGACTTTCATAAATAGTTCCCCAAGCTAGGACTCTTTATGGAGTCATGTGGATGTATTTTTCTTCTATCATCATTATTTCCTTGTTATTAATCAATTAATTCCTAAACAATCCAAAGAAATCTGTAAAAAGGTGCCCAGGGCAGTTGTGAATCCTCTACATGTAGGAAACCAATTCAGTTACTCTGAGATGCTCTTCATGACCCTGGGATGGGTTCTTGAGTCTCGGTTTTAAAATCCAGGTCCACGGCAGACAGAGCTTTACACAGCTGGGCATAAACGGGAGGATAATATAGTTAATTAACCTTTCACCCGCTCCCCACCAACCCTCTTTTAAAGAAAAACGTCATTTTATTTCAAATGCCTATTTATTTCAAAGGCTTTCACTTCGGCCTTTACAGCTCTTTCTTCTTCTTGCTGACAAATTCTTCTTTAATTTCCCTAAACTGGCTGAAGAGTCCTCTTTCTTTGCAGTCTTAATCTTCGATTCTGCTCTCGCCCATACAGGTTGGGAGCAGCAAGTACTGCAGCCCATTTGAGGTATGATAATCAGCTGATTAGCTAGTGGAGTCGTTTTCCCTGAGGCTCTTTTGTGTGCAAAATCCTCACACTCAATTGACATGTGGACATCATAAAGCTGATGAAATGCAATTGTAATGAACAAGAGGGAGCGGCATCTGCAGCCGTCTAAATGAAGGACCCTTTCCTCTCGCCATGCTAATTCAGAAAATCTGCTCTTAACGTGTACTCCCCCTGGATTCCAAATTGAGGCACATCTCCATGAATGCATATTCAAGGAGTGAATTAGCCTCTGTGGCAAGTGAGCGCCTAGCCTGGCCAGACTGATTCTAATTTCAAGACAGATTATACTGCATCAACCATAGTAATGATCTGACAGTTCATTTGTGATGAGAGTCCTACAGTCAGCTTTACTGCTCGGACAGACAGGTGCACAGAGAGAGCCAGCAAGACCTCTCAGAAAACACCAAAGGCTGCTGTCAAATGATTTCAGCCCAAATAGCCAGATGAAGGAGAAAAGAGGTAATGCATTAAAAAAATTAATAAGTTCTCATATGGAAACCTAGCTGTAATGGCGGTCAATGGGTGTTCTCCTACCTATTATAGGTTCATGTACACTCAGCAGTGGTTCAATTAGGAAGAGAGAGGTGAGATTTCCCTCCCACAGCCCTTTTCAGAAAACCACATCACTTGCTAAGAAATTTTCAAGCAAATAAAACTTGGCACACAAGTTTTGTTTTTTTTTTCTAATTGAATTTCACATGAATCAGTTTGTATGAAGAAAAACTGCAGTACTAGGAAGAGAAGCTGTTCATTTCTACTGCCTACTCTGCGACAGTTGCTAATATAATATGACAGGTTTGTTCATCACTATTTTGGATCACCTTTGGGTTTTCTGCACTATTCTTTCTATTAATAAATGTTAATTAATGATGGTAAGGAATGCTTGCCTTTATATCCAAAAACTCAATGCACTTTTCAGACATTGATTTATCTTTGAGAGTTAGAAAGAGGGCAAGTATTAGCACTATTATTTTTACAGGGTGGAAATAGAATCATGGTGATAAAGTGACTTGTGCAAGGTCACACTGCAAGCCAGTCCCAGATCGCTGCGTTGAACTAATTTTCACCCCTCTCTACAGCTCTAGACACAGAAAATACTCCAGGGAAAGGTGTTGTTAATCCAATGTTAAGGAGACTCCTTCATAAGCATTGCTAATAAATAATAGCACATGCCTTAAAAGCAAATGAACAAGACAAGCTTAATAAGGACTGTTGTCACTATCGGGCAATCCACCCAGTGTCTGTACAGTTCACACAGAGGTCCTTGTCAAGGAGCCCGTTTCTGAGATTACAAGAGTTACTCCTTGGCCTCTTTATGCTTCTCTTCAGCCTTCACATTGACCTTGATCTATAGCCTTTCAATTCAGTTTAACTCAATAACAGTGCAGTGTGTGCCTGTAGACATGATCATAGATTATTCTGCTTCCTCCAGTGTGTTTAGAGGCAAAATTTGGGATGGCTGATGAGAGCTGTTATTGTATATAGCCCCTCCTCTAGCAATCAGGAGTTACTTGTCAGATCACCGACTCCACTGTGGGCAAAGCAGTGCAGTAGTTACTTTAGAGAGGTAAGAAAAATGAGACAAGTTTGTTTCCAAAGACAAACATGCCTAACATTAACATACAGGAAAGACAGATATGCATGTTAGCAAACAAACCTAAAAGTGCAAATCTCATTCCAATGTGCAGAGATATGTATGCCGCTATAATCTATCAACTGGCTATCTTCCAAAATCTACTTGTGAATCAGTTGTTTCAAACTCACATTGCATAATCCTATGGAAGCTGAGTTTTAAATGGTGGTTAGGTTCTCAGGCCAGGTGTTTAAGCCATATTTAACCTACATCATAGCTGCACAGGCTACTAATGGCACCCACACAGGTGTGGCTGAGAGAGTTCCACTGCACTGAAGGGAATGCTTGAGCACTGAGATCAGGCAGCTTGTGTTTAAATCTCATCTCTGCTGCTTACCATTTTAGTATTCTGTAAAGGCAATTTAATCTCTCTGACCCTCCATTTTATCATCTGTGAAAGAGATTGATAATAGTTACCTCATAAAATTGTTGTTAGAGGGGCCGGGTTTGGTGGCTCACACCTGTAATCCCAGCACTTTGGGAGGCCAAGGCGGGCGGATCACGAGGTCAGGAGATCAAGACCATCCTGGCTAACATGGTGAAACCCCGTCTCTTCTAAAAAATACAAAAAATTAGCTGGGCGTGGTGGCGGGTGCCTGTTGTCCCAGCTAATCAGGAGGCTGAGGTAGGAGAATGGCGTGAACCCGGGAGGCGGAGCTTGCAGTGAGCTGAGATCACGCCACTGCACTCCAGCCTGGGTGACAGAGCAAGATTCCGTCTCAAAAAAAAAAAAAAAAAATTGTTGTTAGAGGGATTAAATGGAATACGACAGAGTCAAATACTTGGCCTGATAGAAAGTGCTCAATAAATGCCAAGCAGAAGTAATAGGATAGTTTACATATTTTATATTTTTCTCATTTGTTTTATTTTTCCCATTTGTTTAAGAGAAGGCATTATAACCTAGAGGTTAAGATTCGGATTCCAAAGACAGAATGGCTTTAAGTTCTGGCCCTGCCACTTACCAGCTGTGTGACCTTGGGCTTGTTACTTAGTCTCTCTGTTTCTCATCTGTAGAATGAGGATACTATTAGTATCTATCTCATAGGACTGTCCTAAAGATTAAGTTAACATAGGCAAAATTCCTGCCTTGTAAATACAATATAAGTAAATGTAGCTATCATAAGGATACCACGGCCTATTATTGGCAATGACAAATGAGCAGGAAACCAAAGCCCAGTTGGAGATTAATGACTGTCTCAAGGTTACTGTTAGTAAATAATGATCTGAGACTCCAGGTTGGTCTTCTAATCCCTAGTCACATGCTCTTTCGAGGTCACGGTGTTTCCTCCACCATGTCCCTGTGAAGCATCCTGGAGTGTTGCTCAACATTTATTGAGTACTCACTGGGTGTGCAGCATCAGGCTGGTTCCAGTAGAGTTTGCTTAAAAAAGAGAAGTTGTGCTCTAGACTCTAAACCAAGGGTTGGCAAACTATGGCCACCAGTCAAAGCAGACTGCTGCTTGTTTTTCTATGGCCTGTGAGCTAAGCATGGGTTTAACATTTTAAAATATTTGAAAAAATTCAAGATTCAGAAGAATATTTTTGTGACATGTGAAAATTATACGAAATCAAAATTTTTGTCTCTGTAAATGAAGTATCATTGGAACACAGTCACAACTATTTGTTTACATATTGATTATAGGTGCTTTTATGCCACAACAGCAGAGATGAGTAGTTGTGACCAAGATCCGATAACCAAAATATTTACTATCTAACCTTTTACAGTAAATGTTTACAGACCTCTAGACTAGACCCAAGAAGACTGATTCTGGCTTATCACTGAGAGGGCTTAAGAGGTTCAGTGATCTCACTGAAGGTACACACACTGAGCCTAGAGTGGCTAAGATCATATAGTTGTTTTCTGCCATTTGAGTACTGTCTTAACATTATGCTCTGAAATACATTGGAGGTACAGGGTTGGAGTTCATAGGAACTAGCCTGTCTGGATCTAATTCCAGTTCTTCCACTTGCTAGTTGTGTGACCTTAGGCAAGTTACTTAGTTTTTCTTTGTGTCTTGGTTTTCTCATCTATAAAATGGGGTTATTTTGAGAATTATGTAGTCTTTTACATAAAAAGCATGTTGAAGACTGCCTTGCACATTGTCAGTACTATGCTAGTGTTAGCCATTATTATTTTTGAAGTCTTATGAGTCTTTGGCAAAAGAGAAAGATACCCTCCTCAGAACCGTGGGCAGTATATGCCGAAGTCCCTCCTTCCCCTGGCTGTCCTGATCAAAATGCTGACTCAGCCTTTAGGGTAGCCCGGAGGTCTATGTTTTTCCTGTCAAACTTTCCTGGACTCTGTTTAGTTCTTTGTGCTTCTATAGAACATCGTACAGCCCTCCTTTCAAGCCCTTGTACTGAAGGTATTTTTTATACTGATTCTTAAAGAATTATACAAATTTTTGCCTATATTACATGGTAAGCTCATGGAAGAAAAAGGTTTTCTCACTTTTATCCTCATAGTCCCTGTTACGTAGACTATTTGGTATATGGTAGTATCATAGTATTGGTAAATATTTGGTGAATTACAGAATAAATAATAGGCCAGGTTTCCTTAGAGAGTTGAGAACTCTCTAAGAACTTTTCCTTTTTTTTTCTTTTTAGAGACAGGGTTTCACTCTGTCACTAGGCTGGAGTGCAGTGTTGTGATCACGGCTCACTGCAGCCTTTTACTTCTGGGCTCAAGTGATCCTCATGTCTCAGCCTCCTGTGTAGCTAAGACTAGAGGCATGCACCACCACACCTGGCTAGTTTTTAAATTTTTTTAGAGAAGGGTCTTGCTATATTGCCCAGGCTGGTCTCAAACTCCTGGCCTCAAGGGATCTTCCTGTTGGGATTACAGGCATGAGCCACCATGCCCGGCCAAGAACTTTTTAAAAAATGTGTGCAAGTTTTCTAAATATGGTAATACTTTAACTCTAGAAGGTGCTAGCTTGCAATGCAATTAGATGGGGGTGGGGAGGTTTGAGGTTTAAAATAAAAGGTAGATAGATACTTCCACTTCCTAAATTTAGAGATCACAGAGCAGAAATTCTTGGTCTGAGGAGAGGCTTTGTATGAATTGGTTAAGATACCCGCCAACCGGTGATGTGATTATATGCAGGGCACTTACTGACTTTGGACTTTTGCATTGAATTGAAAAAACCAGGAAAACATTCAATGGATAATCACTAAGGCCTCTTCTACTCTCCAGACTATGATTTTACCTTCTCCCAGCAAACTCACAAAATTCTGCTCACCTGTGAGCAAGGCTTCCACATAATGCTGGTGGGTAGAAGCTTTCTGAACCTGAGTTTGGGAAGTAAAGAGTAAAGTGATTGCTTGGGGTGTCCACATAGGATGAGAGGCCAGAAATGACTCTATAAAAGAGGTGGGGGCTGGGTCATGCTAGGCTTTGGGTGCTGTGTGAAGTGAGGAGTATGGATTTGACGTGGACAGCAGAAGCCAATGGGTGGTGTTAAGTAGTGGAGTCCTTTGTGTTTTAGAACAAGAACTCTGACCGCAGTGTGAAAACTGGGTTAGAGAGGCAGAATGAGAGCCAACATACAGCAGTGCCACAGGGGTTATGGGTTAGAGAGGTTGTTAAGAGGTTGGACTTTGGATTTGGGTATTAGGAGAAAGCTGAGCATTTGAGCAAATGAATACCATTTATGTGATGGGCAATAAGAAAAAATATGTATGGTCAACTTTTACTTCTTCTAATATATTCTTAATTAAGAAAAATTCATGGATTTATATACTTGTGGAATCACACTGGTGCCAATACAGGGTGGTGGCTAAGAACTCAGGCCTTGGATTTGAATCTCAATTCTTAATTAGCTCTGAGATCTTGGGTAATCACTTCAGTTCTTTAAGCCTTAATTTCCTTAGCTGTATCTCCCAAGGTCATAGTGAGAATGAAATAAAATGATGCCTATTAAAGTGCATATCAGAGGGCCTGGTAACCAGCAAGCAGTAGATTAATGTTGGCTATTATTACTAGAGTGCATTGGGTTTGCTCCAGCTGCAATCTCCTGAAGACTTCAACTATGTTTTCATTCTAGAAGGTTAACATGTAGAAGGCTCAGGCTTAGACTCTTCTGAGCAAACTGGATTTTTGAAAAACTAGATGACTAAAATAAAAGTTTAAAATGTCTATTCTAATAAGAGTTTAATCCTTAGAAATACTGAAACAATTGAATGGAGCTATTTGGTTAAATTAAATGCAGTTCTTTGGAATCAGTTTAAATGCATGGATTGTTACTCAAAGGTTCCAAAGATCTCCACTTGCCTGCTTGGGAAGCAGCAAACAAGGTCAGTATTGATAGCTCACGCTTCAGTGAGTGTATCAATTTAAAGCTTCATCAGTGATTCTCACTCATCTGCAGCCCTGCATGGCTGTTGTCTTGTAAGAATTAAGTAACTTCTTCACTTGTGCTCTAATGAGCCTATTGTTTCTCTGGAAGAACACAAACACCTGAGTACAAGCACAAACTGAAGGCACAAATAAGAGAGTGCAGATTTCAGCCAGGCATTTTTTTTTTTTATTCTCTGCACTTTCCAGTTGCTTTGCCAGCCCGGTGGTGTCCTGCCTCCCTCTTTCTGTGGTCCATGTGAGACGGGGTGAACACAGTGATGAAAGCCCTGAGCAGTGCCGTTCAGGTCCTCCTGTCCACTTCAAAGAGCTCTGGTTACGGCTGCTTCATCTACCGTGTGGGGTTCATATGTGTGACCTTTTAGAATTTTAACATTAGTCCTTGCTTACCTCCTGCCACCAGAAAGAGCCTTCTCAGTGAAGATTGCCATCCTCTCCATTCCCAGTTTATATGCACAAGTAGGATGAACCTGTGGCAGTGGGGAGGGGGCACGGAGCCCACCCACAAAGAGGGCCTCCTGGAGACGCCAACCAGGAAGTTCTTGTTGTTCTACCCAGGAAGGCTTTAGTCCTGTTTTTCTGTTACCATAATTCAAGGTTAGTTTCCATGTCCTCTACACACAACATACACGGTATCATAAGCAAGAGATGAAAAGTTGGAAATTAGGACCTTTTAGGATTTGGAGCCAACACCCTCCATGGAGATATAGTGAGTTAAAAACACACACAACCCCAAAACTATTTATTATCTATCTATCTATCTATCTATCTATCTATCTATCTATCTATCATCTACCTACCTGCATACCATCTATCCTATATATGTATAAATCTGTGTGTGTGTGTGTGTGCGTGTGTGTGTATTTACCATTGGCACTAGAGTTCCTCTTAGGAAGGAAAGTCTTTAGGAAACAATCTTTAAATATGATTTGAGGGCAGGGGTTGGAAGAATACAGCAAACACAGATGGCTATACTTTCCTATTTCAGAAATGAAGAGTGGTGTGGGGAGAGATAGAGAGGAGAGGAGAGAGGAAGTGGCAAGAGAACCAGACAACAGACCCATTGTAGGAGGGTGAAGCCTACTCAGAAAGATGGTCATTGAGAAGTTTTCTGTGGCAGGGCAACCAGGAGATTTTAAAGAATGTCTAATACTCAATTTTAAGTTGCATAGTGCATTCCCCATTGTTTCAGAAATTATTGTTTGAAGAGTTCAGTAGGAAAGTAAGGAAACAGGATGGAGTTCCCTGGAGCTGGGAGGACAGAAGGGTGAGCAGAGAGAAGGGAACAGCCCAAAAGGCAAGAAGTGAGTGAGTCAACAGAAGCCAACAGTGACCATGAGAATATAAGCTCCTGGGAATTTTCAGGAATTGTGGGAAGGGAACTTCCACAGGATGTGGGATAGAAAGCTAGAGAGAATTTCATTTACATTTTAAATGCAGAGTAACCTCACCTGGCTTCCACAGACTCTGTAGTGAACAGCATCCATCTGTCACTGACATCTTACCCATTGAGTCTCTGTGTAGAGCTTCATATGTCTTGTCTTTAATAAGTATTCTCTGATTATGAAAATCCACATTTACTTGGACTTTGAAAAATAATTGGATCGAATAGGACTCTGGGAAAGTAGGAACTGTAATAATAAAAATTTCTCAGACTTATTGGAAAATCATTTCCTGCTTTGTATTCTCCTGGGGCCACTTCAGGGACAGGAATGAAAACTGCCCCTTGCGGGGTAATGAGATTCCCATTGCTGGAGGGTCTAAGCAGAGCCAGAGTGACCAGTTGACCTGAAGTTGTGCTGGGGTTTCATATGTCAGGTAGAAGCTGGACAGACAGGCTTCCAAGCCCTTCAAATGTTGAGCCCTATACCTGGGGGAGGGCTTAAAACTTTCAGAGAAGTTTAAAATATTCCAAGTGTCTGTGATTGTTTCTGAAGAGTGTATATTTGGCCCATCCCACAGCTCTCTGTTAATCTGTTCCAGCTTATACTAATTGTATTCTCATTATTTGGGAGGAAGGAAAGGAGACTTGGACCCTCTCCAAGAGGTGGGGTTGGCATGCAGCTCACCCTGTGGCACTTGTGGGAAGCAGCATCTGTCATGCTGGGGGACCTTCCAAGTTCCCATAGGACTGGGGAGTTGCAAGGGACCCTTCTGGTCTGTACCTGGATCCCATGACAGTGGGGGTTTGTGAAGCCATGTCACACCTGTTTGCAAAGATTTAGATTGGGATGGCTGGGGAAGAACCACACCACTAACATCTACAGGGGCAGAGCTATGGGTCTCAGGAAGTCTTGGGACTGAGGAGCTATGGGAATGAGGGGTGAAGGTGTAATTTCATTGGTGGGGACATAGCTGGGGCTTCTCCTGACAATCTATCATTCCTTTTTTCTCTTTTCTTAAAAACTCATCGTGAAACTGAGCTAATAGTCCTGTAGATAGTTTTTTGGATAAACAAGCATAAGACCTTCTGATCTTAAAGCTTGAACCTCACATTTGTTTTATCTGAGTTCTTTCCTCAGGAAACCACCTTCAGGCCTCTCAAAAAAAAGTATCAAAGAACTGAAACTCAACAGATCACCACATCCAGACAATGAGATGCTAGACCCCTCATTCATCATGATTGCTTCCTTGCCCCTCCCTATTTCCTATTTTCTTCCACATTGCTACATTTCTTCCCTGCTATATAAACCCCTAGTCTTAGTCTGTCAGGGAGATGGATTTGAGACTGAACTCCCATCTCCTTGGCTGCAGCACCTGATTAAAGCTTTCTTCCTTAGCAATAATCATTGTCTCAGTGATTGGCTTTCTGTGCAGCAAGCAGCAGGACCTAGACCAAACCCCTCGTGTTTCTGTAACAATTGCAGATAGACATGGAGTGGGGAATCACAGCTTTGCTCACACTGCAAGTCAGATATGCAGAGAAAATTCACTTTTAAAATTTGGCTCACACCTGTAATCCCAGTAACTCCAGAGGCCTAGGTGGGAGGATTGCTTGAGGCTGGGAGTTTGAGGCTGCAGTGAGCTATGATCACACCACTGCATTCCAGCCTGGGTGACAGAGTGAGACCCTGAGTCACTGATTTATTTCCTGATCTATTTTCTCTATGAAACCCTGCTCTGAGTATCAGGGGAAAAAAATATATATATATATATATATATATATATTTTTTTTTTTTTTTTTAGACAGGGTCTCATTCTGTCACCCAGGCTGGAGTGCAGTGGCTCAAGCACAGGCCACCTTAGCCTCCCGAGTAGCTGGGACTGCAGGCGTGTGCCACTACACCTGGCTAATTTTTGTTTTTTATTTTTGTGGAGGGGTTTCACCATGTTGTGTAGGCTTGTCTCAAACTCCTGGTCTCAAGCAATCAGCCTGTCTCGGCCTCCCAAAGTGCTAGGATAACAGGCATGAGCCACCATGCCTGGCAAAATATGTTTCATCTTACTCCAGTTTATAGCTTGGTCTGATACAATGATTTGCAAATAAATTTCCCTAACTCTGCTATGGTTGGAATGTATGTGTCCCTCTAAAATTCATATATTGGAACTTAAACCCCAGTGTGATAGTATTAAGAGGTGGGGTCTTTAGAGGTCATAAGTCATGAGGGTGGAACTGTCTATGAATGGGGTTAGTGACCTTGTAAAAGGGATAGGCTAGCCAGGCCCTTTTTTGCTCTTCCACTGCTTCCAACATATGAGGACAGCATTCGCCCCCTTTGGAGGATGCAGCAACAAGGCACTATCTTGGAAGCAGAAATTAGGTCCTCATCAGACACCAAATCTGTTGCCACCTTGATCTTGGATTTCCAGCTTTTAGAACCATGACAAAATAAATTACTGTTCTTTACAAATCACCCAGTCTCACATACTTTGTTATAGCAGCACGAACAGACCAACACACTCACAGATACCTCCCTACCTCTGCTTTTCTCCCTGAGGTGCTTCTAGATGTACGGGGAGCATGTGACCTCAGGACAGTTAGGTCTAAGTAGAGTCCTTACCCTGTCCACTGGTTCGGGACAGCAGTGTCCACACAAGTCCCTGGTCGGTGGGCATCTTGTTGACATTGGCAGTTGAGGTCCTTGGCTCATGTAACTTATGGTCTTGACATGCTCCTGGCTTGATGTGAGCATGGTAGTGCCCTGACTAAAGTCTGGTGGCAGCTCTTGGTGAGGCCCATGTAAGGTTGCCAGATTTTGCAAACAAAACTACAGGACACCTACTTAAATCTCAGTTGTCTATCTGAATTTCAGTTAAACAATGAATAATTTTAGTATATGTTCCAAATATTACATGTGATATGATTTGTTATTTATTTGAAATTCAAATGTAACTAGATGTCCTGTATTTTATCCAGCGAACCTCATCCCAGACCTAGTGCCCTTGGCAACAAAGACTGTGGCCCCTGATGAGGGAACCCTTTTGGCAGACTCAGCAGCTGTACCTTCAGGAAACTGCTTGGTCCCTCCACAAGGCATAGGCTAATTTCTCGGCACGTTTTATGCCCTAAGCAGTCAGGGATTTGCTGGGAGAGTTCAACTCAGGGCCTTTCTGGCTAAAAAACTGGGCTAGGCTGCCACTGCTTCTCTGATGAGGCCACCCCACATTGGTGCTGGGAAGTCCTTGAGCCCCAGTGGGCAAGGGGCAGGAGCCCTCTCTGCCCTTGGTGTCACCTCCCTCACTATTTACCTTTCCTCTTCTTCATCTTTTGCTTCTTCCTCCTGCTTCTTGCTCAAATCCTCCAGGCCGAAAGCAGTTTCTTTTTTTATCTCCCCTGTGTTATATCCTTTTTCTACCATTGTACAGCAAGCCTCATGCCTGGCTGCCATAGCAGAAAGAATATTTTCTTTGTATGACAGGAGAACTCAGTGATCTTCATTCTCCATCCTTGCTTCTGGTTATGTTAAAATGGAAGAAATAAAGAAATGTAGGAAACCCTATGTCAAGGTAATAATCTGGGTTGCATGACTGTTGTCTTGCTACAAAATCGTATGTTGAATGTCAGATATGTAATTTTTTTTTCCTTGCATTCCTTTGTACCTACCCTGTTCTCACCTTAGATACAAGGATATTGCCAGCTGATGGGGGAGAAGATCATGAGCTCAGAGATGCAACAGAGAAAAATCACATTAATAATTTTTTACAAGATTTCTTCATTATATGCTTGTTCGGAGGCAATCCTGACATAGATACTTCTACTTTGAGCTGTGTGCCCTCCTTCTCTACTTCTTGTAATATGAACTTCTATTATGAGAGAAGTTGGCTTTGTCTCCTCAAATCTTCAGGAGACAAATTAATTTCTGGGCATAAGATATTAAGTTTTTTTTAATGGAATTATGAAATTTCTCAAAGACACATAAAGGTGAAGGAAATTAAAGTAGCAGCATGCAAGTTTCTACCATACAGATAAGAATCTTTAGATAGGACCTACGAACTTCAAGTTTATAAAGACATCAATCAACCTTAAAAGATATAGGCCTGGCATGGTGGCTCACACCAGCAATCCCACCACTTTGGGAAGCTGAGGTGGGCAGATCACCTGAGTTCAGGAGTTCAAGACCACCCTGGCCAACATGGTGAAACTCTATCTCTACTGTCTCTAATAAAAATACAAAAATTAGCCAGGCATGGTGATGCATGCCTGTAACCCCAGCTACTGGAGAGGCTGAGGCATGAGAATCAGTTGAACCCGGGAGGTGGAGGTTGCAGTGAGCCGAGATTGCACCACTGCATTCCAGCCTGGGTGAAAGAGTGAGACTCCATCTCAAAACAAACAAACAAAAACAAATATAAAACACAAAAAAACTTTAAAAGATGTAAAAAATATTTAAAACTTTTTGCTGTCAGTCCAAATATCTTCTTTAAATTCTCCTAGTGTTTTTGGCTTCAGATTGTGCCACTCTAAAGTTAATAATCTAACTACAGGGCTAAAATCAAATTATTTGATAGGACACAATTGGGAGATGCAAAAATCAGGTACATAGGATGCATTCTATTGTTGACTTCCTGAAATGCCATTTGTAGGCTGAGGATTGAGAAGAAGAATATATAATATAATTCTTTTAGTTTGAAAATAAAATCATTTCTTACTTCAGGTAATCTGTATCTCTGGCCTCCTTGTCTGACTGAGTGGATTCATTGCTCCTGTATGTGTTATCACAGAAGTGAACTTGTAAGTAAATGACACTATAGAGTATCATTTATGCATTCTCAATACATGCTTCCATTTTTGTTTATGTATTTTTATTTCAGTAGTTTTTGGGGAACAAGTGGTATTGGGCTACATGAATAAATTCTTTAGTGGCGATTTCTGAGATTTTGGTGGACCGGTCACCTGAGCAGTGTACACTGTACCCAGTATGTAGTCTTTTATCCCATACCCTCTTCCTACTCTACCCTCTAAGTCCCCAAAGTCCATTATATCATTCTTATGCCTTTGCATTCTCATAGCTTAGATCCCACTTGTGAGTGACATTTATTTGGTTTTCCATTCCTGAGTTACTTCACTTAGAATAGTGGCCTCCAGCTGAGTTACTTCACTTAGAATAGTGGCCTCCAGCTGAGTTACTTCACTTAGAGTAGTGGCCTCCAGCTCCATCCAAGTTGCTGCAAAAGACATTATTTTGTTCCTTTTTCAATACATGCTGTTTAACTGCCCATGTTTCACGATGTTTCTTGTTTAGTTCAGAGAATGTTTGTGAAGGTAAATGGAACACAATCCAATGCAATTGCCTCATTCTGTGGATTGAGAAGGGGTGGAATGATCTCTTCTGGAGCCAGTGGGAGGCAGACCTGGGATTCAGAGCCCTTTCCTGCCTGGAGCAGCCTGGTGCTCTTCCCAGAACCGCCGCCTGGCACCACACCGCCTCCCTTCTGCTGATTAACAGAAACGAACCACCATACATTCTGGTATCAAGAATGTCGTAAAGTTTAAATTGGACTATCTTGTAATTAGCTACATTTTAAAGGTTTGGAGGTGGGCTCAGCACTTTGCTTCAGCACATTAACTGCTTCACAAGGAGAAAGAGGAATTTAAACAGAAGGCAAAAAGGGAAAACATGTTCTTTATTTGGGAGCAATGAAATCGGTTTCAATGATATTGGATTATAATGGGCCAATTTTTATCTAGAATCTGTGTCCCTGGAAACACAAACCTCAAAAAAAAATTTTCACATATTTTTTAGATTTTCCTCAACAATGGTATAGAAAGTTTACCTACTTGTGGCTATTTTTATATGCCTTGGGTTTTTTTTTTACATATAGCCTTTTCTAAGAAGCACTTATGTTCTGCATTGTCTTTTTTTTTTTTTTTGACAGAGTCTTGCTCTGTTGCCCAGGCTGGAGTGCAGTGGTGCGATCTCGGCTCACTGCAAGCTCCACCTCCCAGGTTCATGCCATTCTCCTGCCTCAGCCTCCCGAGTAGCTGGGACTGCAGGTGCCTGCCACCACGCCCAGCTAATTTTTTTTGTATTTTCAGGAGAAACGGGGTTTCACATGTTAGCCAGGATGGTCTTGATCTCCTGACCTTGTGATCCGCCCGCCTCAGCCTCCCAAAGTGCTGGGATTACAGGTGTGAGCCACTGTGCCTGGCCCTGCATTGTCTTAATAGAAAGAAGATATTTATTTGTCTTAATGGAAAGAAACTTAGAGGTAGAAATACCAGTTGACCCAGCAATCCCATTACTGGATATATACCCCCCAAAATATACATTTTTCTATGATAAAGATACATGCATGTGTATGTTCATTGCAGCACTATTCACAACAGCAAAGACGTGGAATCAGCCTAAATGCCCATGAATGACAGACTGGATAAAGAAAATGTGGTACATATACACCATGGAATACTATGCAGCCATAAAAATTAACGAGATCATGTCCTTTGCAGGGACATGAATGGAGTTGGAAGCCATTATCCTCAGCAAACTAATGCAGGAACAGAAAACCAAACACTGCATGTTCTCACTTATAATTGGGAGCTGAATGATAAGGACACATGGACACATGGTAGGGGAACAACACACACTGAAGCCTGTTGGTGGCGGGGACTGGGGGAGTGAGAGCATTAGGAAGAATAGCTAATGCATGCTGAGCTTAATACCTAGGTGATGGGTTGATCTGTGCAGCAGACCACCACTGTACACCTTTACCTAGGTATCAAACCTGCACATCCTGCACATGTACCCCTGAACTTAAAATAAAAGTTGAAAAAAAAAAGAAGATCCAAATTTTTTATGTCCAAATTTAAGACGCTCCATGATCTAATTATATTTCTAAGTATGTGTACTGTATTACTTCTATTTTTGCCTCTGATTTTCAAATTGTACCAGCTAACACCGATTTGTTGCTTTTTTTGTGGGGTTGGGGGGCTTATTTGTTTTTTCCACTTTTTTTTAATTGTTAATTTTTTAGAGTACATAGTACGTGTACGTATTTGTGGCATATGTGAGATATTTTGGTATAGGCATGCAATGCATAATAATCACATCATGGGAAATTGGGTCTCCATCCCCTCAAGAATTAATCCTTCATGTTATGAACAGTTCAATTATGCTCTTTTAGTTATTTTTACATGTACAATTAAATTATTATTGACTAGAGGAGCCAGGCGCAGTGGCTCAACACTTTGGGAGGCTGAGGTGGGTGGATTGCTTGAGCCCATGAGTTCAAGATCAGCCTGGGCAACATGACGAAATCCCATCTCTACTAAAAATACAAAAAATTAGCCAGGTGGACATGGTGGCACATGCCTGTAGTCCCAGCTACTCAGGAGGCTGATGTGGGAGAATCATCTGAGCCCAGGAGGTCGAGGCTGCAGTGAGATCACACCACTAGATCGGGTTGCACTTCAGCCTGGGCAACTGGAGTGAGACCCCGTCTCAAAAAATAAAAATAAAATACAAATTAGAAAATTATTATTGACTATAGCCCTCCTGTTGTGCTATCAAATACTAGATCTTATTCATTCTTTCTATTTTTGTTTTTGGCTTCACTAATTTTTAAAACTTTACTCATACTTCAAAAAGCAGCTCAAATGCTTCTTTCTTCATAAAGCCCTTCCCTATCTGTATTTCTGTGTCTACCCTCTACAAAATGAATGTGTACATCATTGGTGTTCCCATAGTATATTATTTATAATTAAAATATACCAAATAAATAACATGTGGAAAACTTGCCCCTTTATCAAATACACTCTTACTATTTCACTTAATTGCCGCACTTGCAATATTCTGCGTTACTACTTGGGTTAGCATCTTAGCTCTTTTACTGACGTGTAAGAACCTTTATAGTGAGGCACCACTTTCCTATTTGATTTTGTGCAATCCACTGTTTTATGTTTTGCACATGGCAAGTGTCCCATTTGATATTTATTGGCACTGAGTTGATAGTGGAGTCCATACCGACCCGAAGGGATTAAGTTCCTAAATGTAAATAGATTTTTTTCTTGTCCTCAGATGAAGGCTCTAGGAGTGACCCCAGCTCTAACATTGCCCCAGCCGGCACTGCTAGCCTCAAATTCCACCTCCGACTTTGAAGTCTGGCAGCCACCTCAGAGCCTTAATAGGGAAAGCCGTGACTTGCTGGGTAATAACACACTGCCTTGGAATAATCATTTTCAAATGAATCAACAACAGCAGCTATTTGCCTGATCTAATTAGCATCACCTTTTTTGAGCAGGCAGAAAAAGGTTGGCATATTCTGTATGATGCAACATGCAGCAAATTATATAGACAAGGCAACATCACAGGGTCAGACGCTCACCTCCATGGCTGAGGGCTTTCTGGCAGTCTTTTTTTTTCCTTCCTCCTTTCTGCACCAGCTCAATAAATTGCTTGCATCATTTCAAGTATTATAGAATTGCAGGATATCCTTAATTTGAAACTTAGCCCAAATATGGTTTCTGTAGTTAAGGAGACTTGCTTCACAGGAGCGTTGCAAGAGCAAAGGTGCAATTCTCTTCACATCCAAGAATATTTGAAAGCAATTTAACCTGAGTGAGAAATTAACTCTGCTTATTTACCTGGCAGGAATGTCAAGAAAGAACACTGTTACCCTTTTGTTCCTTCTAAGAGGCTTTTGTTTCCAAAGTAGAGTTCTGTAGATATTCTGTAAGGAGGAAGGCTTCACTGAAGAGAGAACAGGCAGAAGGGATGAGAATGATTTCCTAAAACTGGAAAGAAGATGCACATACGGCTGATGGTTGAAGGCAGTGTTCTCTCTCACTTAGAGGAGGTAGCATGGCCTTGGATGGAGGAATGAATTCTAAGGTAGTGGTGTGCTGGAGCCAGCCTGGCAAAGAAATCTGTTCCCCAATGCAATCACAGTGGACTGAGAATCCAGCCTTTCCCCACATTTTTCAGGACCATGTAAGGGCTTTCTCAATCCCTGACTCTTTTAAGACTCTAAGATAGGGAATTACCACCCTACAATGACTGAAATTGAATGTTCTGTCCACCCTTGTGAGATTGAGGCCAGATATCATTTGGTTTACAAAAATAAAATGTAGGCCAGGTGTGATGGCTCACGCCTGTAATCCCAGCACTTTGGGAGGCTGAGGTGGGTGGATCACCTGAGGTCAGGAGTTCAAGACCAGTCTAGTCAACATGGTAAAAACCCATCTCTACTAAAAAAAACAAACAACAAAAAAAAAACAAAAATTAGCCAGGAGTGGTGGCAGGCTCCTATAATCTCAGCTACTCAGCAGGCTGAAGCAGGAGAATTGCTGGAACCAGGAGGCAAAGGTTGCAGTGAGCCAAGATCATGCCATTGCACTCCAGTCCGGGCGACAACAGTGAGACGTCGTCTCAAAAAAAAAAAAAAATGTAGACTCTAGAGCCAGACTTTCTGTGTTCATAAATCTGGCTCTGTCACTTGCTAGTTGTGTGAGCTTGGGCACATGCCTCAATTTCCTCATCTTTTAAATGGAAACATTATTAGGCTGGTGTAAAAGTAATTGCGGTTTTTGCCATGACTTCTTTTTTTTTTTTTTTAATTATACTTTAAGTTTTAGGATACATGTGCACAATGTGCAGGTTGCCATGACTTTTAACGGCAAAACCAATGCATCAATCTAATATATAATCTTTGATATGGTTTGAGTGTGTCCCCACCTAAATCTCAACTTGAATTGTATCTTCCAGAATTCCCACGTTTTGGGAGGGACCCAGGAGGAGGTAATTAAATCATGGGGGCTGGTTTTTTCTGTGCTATTCTCATGATAGTGAGTAAGTCTCACGAGATCTGATGGGTTTATTAGGGCTTTCTGCTTTTGCTTCTTCCTCATTTTCTCTTGCTGCCATCATGTAAGAAGTGCCTTTTGCTTCCTGCCATGACTCTGAGGCCTCCCCAGCCATGTGAAACTGCAAGTCCAATTAAACCTCTTTTTCTTCCCAGTCTTGGGTATGTCTTTATCAGCAGTATAAAAACAGACTAATATAGTTAATTGGTACCAATAGAGTGGGGAGTTGCTAAAAAGGTACCCAAAAATGTGGAAGCAACTTTGGAACTGGGTAACAGGCAGACATTGGAACAGTTTGGAGGGCTCAGAAGAAGACAGGAAAATGTGGGAAACTTTAGAAGTCTGTAGAGACTTGTTGAATGGCTTTGCCCAAAATGCTGATAGTGATATGGACAATAAGGTGCAGGCTGAGGTGATCTCAGATGGAGATGAGGAACTTGTTGAGAACCGGAGTAAAGGTGACTCTTGTTATGTTTTAGCAAAGACACTGGTGGCATTTTGCCTCTGCTCTAGAGATTTGTGAAACTTTGAATTTGAGAAAGATGATTTAGGGTATTTGGCAGAAGAAATTTCTAGGCAGCAAAGCATTCAAGAGGTAATTTGGGTGCTGTTAAAGGCATTCAGTTTTATAAGGGAAGCAGAGCATAAAAGTTTGGAAAATTTGTAGCCTGACTATGCAATAGAAAAGAAAAACCCATTTCCTGAAATTCAAACTAGCTGCAGAAATTTGCGTAAGTAGCAAGGAGCCTAATGTTAATCCCCAAGACCATGGGGAAAATGTCTCTAGGCCATGTCAGAGACCTTCATGGCAGCCCCTCCCATCACAGGCCTGGAGGCCCAGGAGGAAAAAGTGGTTTTGTGGGCCAGACCCAGGGTCCCTGTGCTGTGTGCAGCCTAGGGACTTGGTGCCCTGTGTCCCAGCCACTCCAGCCACGGCTGAAAGGTGCCAACATACAGCTCAGGCTGTGGCTTTGGAGATTGGAAGCCCCAAGCCTTGGCATATTCCATGTGGTGTTGAGCCTCAAAGCACACAGAAGTGAAGAATTGAGGTTTGGGAACCTCCACCTAGATTTCAGAAGATGTATGGAAATGCCTGGATGCCCAGAAAAAAGTTTGCTGTAGGCACAGGGCCCTCATGGAGAACATCTGCTAGGGCAGTGTGGAAGGGAGATATGGGGTAGAAGCCCCCACACACAGTCCCTACTGGGGCACCGCCTAGTGGAGCTGTGAGAAGAGGGCCACTGTCCTCCAGACGCCAGAATGGTACATCCACCTACAGATAGCACCGTGTGCCTGGAAAAGCTGCAGACAATCAATGCCAGCTTGTGAAAGCAGCTGGGAGGGAGGCTGTACCCTGCAAAGCCACAGGGGTAGAGCTGCCTAAGACCATGGGAACCAACCTCTTGCATCAGCATGACCTGAATGTGAGATATGGAGTCAAGGGAGATCCTTTTGGAGCTTTAAGATTTGACTGCCCTACAGGATTTTGGACTTGCATGGGGCTTGTAGTCCCTTTGTTTTTGTCAATTTCTCTCATTTGGAATGGCTGTATTTACCCATTGCCTGTACCCCCATTGTATCTAGGAAGTAACTAACTTGCTTTTGATTTTACAGAGTCATAGGTGGAAGAAACTTGCTTTGTCTGGGATGAGACTTTAGGCTGTGGACTTTTGAGTGAATGCTGAAATGAGTTAAGACCTTGGAACACTGTTGGGAAGACATGACTGATTTTGAAATGTGAGGACATGAGATTTAGGAGGGGCCAGGGTGAAATGATATGGTTTGGCTGTGTCCCCACCCAAATCTCAACTTGAATTTTATCTCTCAGAATTCCCACATGTTGTGGGAGGGACCTAGGGGGAAGTAATTGAATCATGGGGGCCAGTCTTTCCAGTGCTATTCTCGTGACAGTGAATAACTCTCATGATACCTGATGGGTTTATTAGGGGTTTCTGCTTTTGCTTCTTCCTCATTTTCTCTCGCTGCCATGTAAGAAGTGCCTTTTGCCTCCCGCCATGATTCTGAGGCCTCCTCAGCCACGTGGAACTGTAAGGCCAATTAAATCTCGTTTTCTTCCCAGTCTCGGCTATGTCTTTATCAACAGCATAAAAATGGACTATAACAATCTTCTTTATAAGGTTGCTGAGAGGATAGAGTTGATATGTTGAAGCCTTGAAAGCAGGGCCTAGCCTATGTGAAGCACCATCTAAACACTCATCCCACTGTTGCTGCTGGGGTCATATTACATAGGCATATTTACACATGCTGAATGAATAGCCCTAGTACTGCGTGTGTGTCCAGAGGGCAAGTAATTTGAGGGAAGTGTCAATGTCTACATTTCTTTATCTTTGCCCTTGCATTGCTTCTGCGCTTTCGTTACACTTCCTGTTACAGTTTGAACATGCACGTTTCTTACGTCCACATCTCTGTAGCTCTCCCAGTTCCTGACACATGGTAAGTACACAGCAAACAAGTTTCAGGTTGAACTGAATTTAGATCTGTTGTATGGTATTCAGCAAAGTGCTCAGGTCTAGTCAAGGGCTTTCTGATGATACTGATTGAAAAACAATCACAATGATTTATTAAAGGGCCTAAAATAATGTGGCTCCTTGGTCAAGAGGAAAGCGAGGTCCGAAGAAAGTCATTACCATAAGGTCACATGGATATTTAGAGGCAGAGTTGGCTCCCTGAGGTTTCCTCCTCAAAAGCCTCCAGGTTTGAGGAACCAACTAGTGCTTCCTTAAAGAGCAGCCCAAGGCCATAAGACCTTTGTCAAAGAATTCAAAGGAACCCTGGGTTGCTCCTGGCCCAAATGTTGGGGAAGGGGGTCAGCTTTCACAGTAAGCGGAGATTTCAGGGGGGACTGGATTTATTAACTAGAATAGCTGACAAACTTTTCTTTTCCTCCTCCAGTCATAGAAAAGCATCTGGCCAAAGATGCCATTCTTCAATTCAGAGGGAAGACTTTCTGGAGCTTCATGGCTTAACAGTTAACCGAGTATCCTTGTAACAGCTAAGTACCCTTAGCTTAACAAATAAAAAAACTGAAACGCATTTGGAAAGACAAAGGCTACGTAGCAGGAGTCAGCTTTCTAGATTAATATTACAACAACATAAACAACAATCAACATTGATTGGGCACTAGGTTCTGTGCTGGGTTTGTTCCTATGTCATTTCATTCAATCCTCACAGGAGTCCAAGGAGATGCACTATTATTTTCTTCATGTCACAGATGAGGAAATGAGAATGAAGATGTCGAGTGACTATTCCAAAGGCATAGTAAGGAGTACCCAGCCTTTGAACCCTCCTTTCTGAATGGAAGTGTCCCTCTAATCATCCTTGCTAAACATTATAGCTTCAAAATTAAAGAATGGCCAAACTTGGCCATAAAGGAGTAGGAGTAAATAAAGATGATGACTGGAGCTAAAATATAGTCACTTATCTCTGAAATAATGGTCACAGTGAGGAAGAAATTCAAAATCCGTACTTTAACTTTTGTTGTTGTTGCGTTTAGTCTCTATCAAGGTTAAAATTATAGCATTTAAAATGCCAGTGTTAAGAGAAAAAAAAAGGAAAATGCTGTGTGAAGTTAGCAAGAGAAAGAGGACCATTAAAACAGCAGGAATGAATAAAACTCAGAAAGCATGAAACAAGATGAGATCAGTCAGCTCAAGCTTCCTAGTCATGACTGCAGGGAGAGGCCAAGCTCTATTTTCCCCATTTAACTGTAAATCCAGACAAAGTGACAGAGAAAGGTTAGAAGTAAAAGGTAGAGCAAGAGGTTACCTTAAAAATACAAATAAAAGAAGGCCAAGGACATGTTATCATTAATATCGTATATTGTGGAAATCAAAGGAAAAACAAAGCATTAAGCAGAGGACAATTTTTAAGTGAAGGTTAGAGTCTCCAGTGAAGATGACAGGGGGGCCCTTATGCACAGTAGTTGCAAAACAAACTATTCTGTAGACTAGCCCAGCCTTGGAAACCACAGACCCTGCTGGTTTAGCAATAGTATTTTAGACACTTGGCCAACATATCCTCCTGCCCTGGGGCCCAAGCCCTACAAACGGTTCCAAGGTATTTCTTTATTTGCTTCCTTCCCTAACCCTTCTTGTGATGCCTGTAAACACACCGCACAATTACAAAGTCGCAGCAGCCCACAATATTGGAACAGAGACACCCTGTTAAATGTGTTCCTGACAGCTGCGAGCCCCTTTTATATTTCAATTATAAGATCAACAACTGTAACTGCTGGCAGACCATTACCACCCAGAGTTTGGGGAGTTCTGGGGATAGCACGGCTGTGCCCTGCTCACTGTGGAATCCCCTGAGGGAGGAGGACTGGCTGGGAGAGGCTCTCCATCTCCTCAGCTGGCCAAGCCTTGCATCACACCTGAAGGACAAGCTCAAGAGCAAACACGAAAGGCTCAAGGCCGCAGCGACTGAGATCGTGGGGCTGGAGCCTGCACCAGCAGCCTCGCCAGAGCCCTGAATGTGCTTTGGTTTTCTTTCGTTTTACCTTGCTCAAACTTGGACACTGAGATCCTTATACTGGAAGTTAGGAAAGAAAAAGGCTTGGTATTCCCTGCTAGTTCTTAATTCAAAAAAGGACTCTAAAAATTCTGCTGGAAAGGCCAGACCCATGCTCTCCCCGTGTGAAGGCAAAGAGCCTCATGCTGCCGCAGTGGCCATGGCAGCCGGCAATTTCCCCACTCAGCCTTGGGCTCTGGTCTGTGGTGTAGGGTCCTGTGGGCCTTCCTTCGCAATGTCACCAAATGGGGATATGCTGCCTGGTTCATGTGAGTCTCCACCTGTGCTCACGCCTGCTGGATCATCAGCCAAATGGAGCTCCTGACAGTTCCAAAATAGCGATAAGGCGGGTTTCCATTGAAGGCCTTGCTTCCTAGAACCTCTGTTCCCATCCAAATCACCCCTGTTCTTTACTTTTAAAACTTAAATTAAACTGACCCTCAACACAAAAAGATTTCACTGAATTTTCTCGTTTAAATGTCATTTGAAGTTAAGTCCAGTTAGCAAATATTTATTGAGCTTCTGCCAAGATCTGGTTTCTTCGTCTTCAAGGAGCTTAGAACCAGTAGAAAGACAATTTACTATCCATTACCTTACCTTTTGGTTATAAAGCACAGATGTATGTATTTTTTTTAGAAATTACACATTCAGAAGTGTTGCTTGCCAAAGGCCTCCTACGATTTCACCCAGAGCTCATTTAGCCATTTGCAGTGTTTCCTAAAGAGAACAGCCTGCGATTGCCGCATTCACTTCAAAACCCTGGCCACCCATATTCATTCCCTTGAGAACTCTGAAAAGCTACATTTCACAGATTAAGACTTTTATAAAGAAGCCTTACTAATTAGCCTGGCTCTCCAAAACTGGGTCCTAAAAAATCAGGCCTAGGAGGAATCAAAAACTACATGAGATGTTTTTTTAAAAACTCACATTCTTTACAGCATTCTTTTTAAGACTATCCATGCCCTTTGTGTACAGAAACACTCAGTGCCAACATTGATTTTCATGTATGGGATAAACTGAAGAGAATATGGTCAGGGTGGTGTGTGTCTTTGAAACAGATTTGTGGAGTGCACTTCATTTGTATAACTTGGATTATTTTCTTGCCAAATGTATGTTTATGGCAAAACACATGCAAATTTGAGTGTGTGTTTGTGTGTATGTGTGTATGTGATCTTAGTCAGATGCATTATTACAGAGGCCCCCTTCAATGACCCAGGGAAACCTGCACAGTATGTGAGAATGTGTCTGACACCCTGACAAAACCATTTATATTCAAAAATCTGCTTTCACAGGAATTAAATCTTTAAACCAATATATTTTAGATACTTAACTCATTGCCTGGAAAAAAAGTTTCACGTTCCACATACTAAATCCTTATTTGAATCTAGTCTGTATATCAATATTTTGATGGTGAGCTTTTTTCAAAAAAGGAGTTTTTAAGGTAAACTTCTAATTTAAAAAAATTAGAAGTTTGTAAAGTGTTTTGGCAATAAAGATTTGAAATTTGAATTTGATAAAGATAGGCTGGAGAAAGATGATCTTCCACAATAATCAAGTGTTCTTTGTGTATTGGATAAGTAGCTATTAGTAATATAGGTCTGTATTAGTCTATTCTCATACTGCTAATAAAGACATACCCAAGACCAGGTAATTTATAAAGGAGAGAGGTTTAATTGACTCACAGTTCAGCATGGCTGGGGAGGCCTTAGGAAACTTGCAATCATGGTGGAAGGGGAAGGAAACACGTCCTTCTTCACTTGGCAGCAGCAAGGAGAAGTGCTGAGCAAAAGGGATAAAACCCCTTATAAAACCGTCAGATCTCATGAGAACTCACAATCATGAAACTGCATGAGAGTAACTGTCCCCATGATTAAATTACCTCTCACTGGGTCCCTCCCAGGACATGTGAGGATAATGGGAGCTACAATTCAAGATGAGATTTGGGTGGGGTCACAGCCAAACCATATCAAGGTCCGTCTACAATTCTAAAACTCCAAAGCCTTAAACTTTTTGGAATGTATTTGGCAGCAAAATCTAAGCTAAACCAACATGAGCCTATTATAGCTTTATTTCTTCTACTTTGGGTGAAGAGTCATGTATTTTCCTGCAGAAACATTAAGTGTTGATTCTGGAGTGCTGCCCCACACCCTGTCGGGGTGTTACAGAAGTTCATGTACCACATTATCTTTTTAGCCTCTAAATAATTCTAGATTCTGAAACACATCTGGCCAGAGGTTTCAGATGGATTTTGGACCTGTAAAATCATACTGTAGTGGACACTATTACATTTTTCTGTAGGGTTCTATCTCACTATTTGTTCTTACTGAGAGAGCCCATTTATGCATGGTATTTACACAAAATTTGTACCTGGTTGCTCTGAGGATGGGGTTTATTTTCTGGAGATATTATTTCCTTACCAATTTTCTTATCAATTTTCCTCCATCTTTATAACTATTGGGTGTTTTACCCACATCTTCAGTTCAGTTCAGCATGTATTGCTTGCCTCTTCTGTCCAGGCACCATGCTTGGTGCCAGGAGGGATGCAGACATGAGTAAGATACTGTGAACCACTTAAGAGCAACCTGGTGGCAGTTGTAGACATGTAAATAACATTCATCTTTTAGGAAAGGTTAAATGTTATAAAGGGCAGAGTTACAAACAAAATGCTGAGGGATCAAAGAGGAAGAATAATACACGTCAAGGGAGGCTTCACAGAGGAGGTAACATTTGAGCTTAAGCATCCATGCCTTGAAGGATCTTGAAATTTTCACATGAGAAGAAGGGAGAAACCCTGACCTTTATTATGTTTTTAAGGATACTTATATTAAAAAAGAGAAAGAAAACAGACATTTCAAAGCAGGGCTACAAAAACGGAGATATATTTTAATGTTTACTTTGAATGCTTTTTGCATAGAAAATGCAATGCAATAAAATTGTAGTCGTGGGATAATTGGATTACCCCACGGCTATAATATCCCAAGTTGTTGGATTGCAGAAAAAAAAATGTTTATGTCAAGTATCCTATAGAGTGATCTGGTTTAAAGTGATATAATGGACCCCATCTTTGAATCCCATCAGTTATCTCTATGACTGTATGTATTGACTAATTTGAAGATGAGATAAATGTCTAAGTTTAAAGGCCCACATTAAAGTGAGACCAGTATGAAAGGAAAACTTCCAAGTCCCTTGACACCTGTCCCAGCACCCCTACTTCCCCATTAAGTCTACGATGTTTGGAGGAATCCAGGCAAGGGATGTGGCATAGACAGAGGCAATGTAAGTATGTCCTAGGGGAAGACACATAAACTATACTCAGCTATGCTCAGTTTTGTGAACATGCTTGGCTTTCTACCTCTTTTGTGCCTTATCATATGCTGACCACTCCTTGCACAAAATGTTCTATACTACTGCCAATATCAGCCCCAAAAGAATAAAATGGTCTTTTTTCCTGTTGTTACTAGACCTCTATGTTAGCTAGACTTTAACTGATCATGCCGTATTGTCATAATTCCAATGCATATTTCCCCCTTGAGGGCATGGGTCTTTTGTACACCTAGGTACAAAATTATCAAAGTTGCTGGCATATAATACCTCTCAATAAGTTAAGTGAGTGTATAAAATATAGGTTGAGGCCAGATGGTGGAAGGCCTTCAATGCCAAGTGACTGAAGCTTAGATTTTATTTTGTACATGTATCATTCAGGATATGCTGAATTATGTTACAAGCAAACTCCAAATTTCACTGACATAACACAAAGTTTATTTCCTGCTCACATCACATGTCCATTGAAACCAAAAGAAGGCCTCTGCTTCTTGTCATCACCCAGGCATCTGGGATGAGGGAGGCTTCATCTTGATGTGTGTTTCCAGTGAACACCGCACCAGTGTGGCACATCACACAGTGCTTCTTAAACATCTTGCCCTTTGTCGCTTCCACTCATGTTGTACAGACCAAAGCAATTCACATGACCACACCTCGTTTCAGAGGAGGTAGGAAAGAACAATCCTAGAACAATCCTATTCTGGAAGTTCAAAAGCCAGAATGATCAGGTCAAGAGAACGAATGACAACTTCAGCAGGGAACAGGGAGTCATACAAAGTTCTTCTAAAAACAGAAAACTGGAAACATACGGTTGAGAATACAAATAAGGTGTGAAGGAGCGCATAGATTACCTGAAATTGGGTGCTTGGGGAAAGAAAGCTGGGAGACACATCGGACTCACAGAGAGCTTGGAGTTTAGGGATCTCTTAGCAGTCCTTGCACTGAACTGTGCCTTCACATTAAGCAAGATACTTATTCTGGCTTCGCTTCAGTACCTCCAAGGGGAAAAGAGATACAAAGATGGTAATGTATACCGCCTTCCTGTTAGTCTGAGGGTTAATGAAAGTTGGGGGAAGAGGCACTTAACTCCCTGTTTGCTATTCAATTCTAGAGACAGCTGCCTCTTAAACAAAACGAGCCTTTTGCTTTGAGTCCATAGTACATTTCCACAGTGACAAATTCTGCCAAGCTCACCAAAATTTGAGCTAAACCTGAATAATAAGTTGACCATTTGTTTTATGAATTGGATGTGCATCCTGCCAAGTTTTCCAAGTGGTTATGACAACAGAATCCCTCATCTATAATATCCATCCACAGCCCTCATCTGTAGCTCCCTTGTTTGTTCTGAAGATAATATATTGATTGTGTCTCTTTCGATGGCATTCCTTCCATGCTTCTCACATGAGGAAGAGTTACTGCTGTTTTCCCCAGGAGACCTAAAATGACTGCATTTTTACACATGTTATTTACTGTATACGTTCTAATATCAAAATGGTCAATTCATTTATAATCTTTTTAACATGCCTTAGAGAATAAAGGGTCTGTTATTATGTTTTGTTTATACGAGGAGCTTTTTTCTTTTTTTGCATTTAAGTTTTACTTTACAACACATAATTGATCTTGTGCCCATGAATAGTTAACATTAATTATGCACAATTAGCATATGATAATGAATGACACACGTTTCGAGCAAATATTAGACAGCATAATTATACTATTATTGCGTTCAGCTATGCAGATTCACAAAATATGATGGTGTGTTCATCTCTATTGAATCCATTTACCTGGACTAAAGTGATGACTTAAAAATGAACACAGTAGAAAATAAATGCAGGTAAGTCAAATACTGTTAAGCACTAAAGAATATTTCCAAGCGGCAAGAGCTGAAGGTCGGTAGACCAGTTCTTTTGCTTTTAGCTAGCAGGATATTTTAGATGCACATTGTAGGATTTTGGAGCTCAGTTTAAAAATCCTTCAGAATTCAAGGGTTGTTTTATGTAAAGTGTTCTGACAGGCAAAATGATTCCTTTTTAAACATAATTCACCTCTGCTCTGCAGGCCTCTTGTGGAGAACAAAAACATCTATTCAGAGTAACAACTGTTTTTGGTATGCACAGAATTTAAGGTGCTTAAGAAGATGGGAAGCCCTACAACATTATGCCGTTGGTCTAAAAGCACCAGATGAAATCAGGTGAGAGAAATAAGGCTTGGAGAAATCCTCTCACTGGCTAGAATTATCAACAATAGCTTGACTGTCTTTTCAAGTGTTCTTTCATTATGGCACTTAATTTTTTTTCAAGTAAAACAAGATAAACAAGTAGGCTGTGATTGAACTTTGACTTTCTAGTTAAGAATTCGCTATTTGAAGAGTCTATTCGCCTCACAAAAATGAGACTTCCTTTACAAAGAACCACAAAAGCCCAAAGTAAAGATAACCTTATATTTCCCAGATTGTGAGCATAGAAAATTATTCCGAGTCGTCACACAAACCAATTTTCGCACCTGGACTTGATCCAGGTACACGGCTGATAGAGACACACTCTGCCCTCCTCCTCCTCTCTTTTTTGTGTACTCATATTAACTTTGAGGAACCCATCTTGAGAGCTCTTGGCTGACTTCTATTTTAAGAACCTAGTTCAGCCATTATAATTAGTCCCTAGTTTGTCTGGAATCCTCTCGGGCATTCAAACTGTTCCAAGATCCTAAATAAGTCCTTTTCAGAATTTTCCACTGGAATATCCCTAATGGCAGAAGAAAGTCAACTTACCTTTGGGGGCCTGGGTCCCTAACTCAAAATGGAAAATGCTATTGAAGTCCTTTATTTTGCCATAAAGAAATAGAAAGTTCTGTATACACTTTGTGTTTTTCCATATAATAGATCTGAATTGTATTTTATTTTTTAAAACCGTTAATATTTTAAATTATTTATCATTGAGTAAAATGGATGGTCCAGGATGATACACTGTGCCTATAGCTTTGAGCATTCCCCAGCACACTGTTAAGGCGTGCTCTGAGGTACCAGTTCTCAGAATGGAGGCCTAGTCTGTTTCATGGAAAATCTTTTCATAAAACAAGCTTATCATTAAATATTTGCAATTGCAAACAATACTGCAAAGCAAGTGTTCATCAATAGGGAACAGATGACATTTTTTGTTGTGCCGCATCCAGACAGTGAATATCATACAACTGTTTAAAAGGATAAATACCATCTATTGTATTGTCAAGTAAAGATGTCCATAATGTAGTGTCAAGGGAAAAAGTTACAGAATGATATTATAGGGTGATCCCATTAATATATTTGTACAGTGCTTTTAAAATCTTTGTATGGAATAGGGTCTGGGAAAATTTCACTTTCCATGGGAATGCATTAATTATTTTGCACCAACTATGGATTATTGCAAATCTAAAACAACTTACGTAATCCCATTTTGAAAAAAAAGAAAAAAGCTTTGCACAGATTGTACCTGTGGTAAACCTAAACAAATACAAACAAACTCTCTAGATTCAGTTTTTTCATGGGAAATTTGTATAATCTTAACACTAGAAGAAAAGACAAATTGTAGTGTTCTGTACAAATTAGGAGTTTTTCTTTTGAGATGGTCTTACTCTGTTGTCCAGGCTGGAGTGCAGTGGCATGATCATGACTCGCTCCTTTTGGGATCAACTGATCCTCCTACCTCAGCCTCTGGACCAGCTGGGACCACAGGTGAGTACTACCGTATCTGGCTTTTTTTTTTTTTTTTAGAAGTTCGGCCTCACTATGTTGCCCAGGTTGGTCTTGAACTCCTGGGCTCAAGCAATCCTCCTGCCTTGGCCTCCCAAAGTGTTGGGATTATAGGTGTGAGCCGTTGCACCAAAAATAATTCCAGCCAGGAATTCTTTTTGTAGTACTCTTGATGAATTGTTATAAGGATTCATTTTGAATATTTCATCTGATGGAACACTGAGGTCATGTAGAAGAGGACCAAGAAGAAAACAAAAATTTACCCTATTCCTACCATGCAGAGACAACTCATAGGTCCTTTCTCATGTTGAACCGAATCTGGGCTCCTCTTCTCAATGGTCCTGGTTCTCTGTTCTAAAGATGGATTTCTAATAATGCATCTGTGCTCCCTCTTCTAGGTAACAGCCTCCGAACAGGTAAACGCAGATTGTACATTTCTCTTCAGTCTTCTCTAAATTAAGCAGAATTGACCTTCAAATATTCCTTAAAGCACACAGTTTCCTTTTGAGGCTTATAAATTTGACATTGCTCATCTTAAAGCCTGCTCCCAAATGATTGTGACCTTGTAACTAAGGTTTGACCATCATGAACAGTGATTGTCACTCTATATCTGTGGATCTAATTCAAAATGGAAAATTTCTTGGAAGTCTTATATTTTACCACATTAGTCTATGTATCTGTATTTTTAATTTAAAATTAATATTTAAAATTACCTAGTGTATTAGTCTGTTCTCAAACTGCTATAAAGACATACCTGAGACTAGGCAATTTATAAAGGAAAGAAGCTTAATTGACTCACAGTTCACTTCCACATGGCTGGGGAGGCCTCAGGAAACTTATGATCATAGTGGAAGGGGAAGAGGCACATCTTACATGGCAGCAGGCGAGAGAGATCAAGCAAGAGCAGGGAAAACTGCCTTATAAAACCATCAGATCTCATGAGAACTCATTCACTATCACAAAACAGCATGGGGGAAACCACCTCCATGATCCAATCACCTCCCACCTGGTTCCTCCTTCCACACATAGGGATTATGGGGATTACAATCCAAAATGAGATATGGGTGGGGACACAGAGCCAAACCTTATCACTTACCAAGTAACATGGATGGTTTAGAAAGCCATACTGCACCTATGGTTCTGCATATCCCCTAACAAACTGCCATGATGCCATCCTAAATAGTGCGCTTTCAGAAGGAATTGCCATAGAATTTTTGCCATATTGTCATTAAAATAAAATTCTCTAAGTACAATGTCATTCTCATAATCATCCAGACGTTTGATACATATCAATTCTCTACTGCATACAGCTAGGTGCTGGGATACCATGAGAACCTGACCATCTCAGTTTCTGCCTTCACAGATGTTTTTTCAAGGGAGGGATACAGAAAAGTGAACAGGTAATTAATTACAAGGCAGAATGTGAGACAGTATGATGAGCTATAGGGGATCACCTATACACTATGACGATCTTGTAGGGGATCACCCAATAGGTGCTCAGAGCTCAGAGGCAGCTTCCTGGAGGAAGAGATACATAAGTTCAGATTTGGAGATCCAGGAAGAATTAGCCAGATCATTAAAGAGGGGGAGAAAAGTGTGTTTGAGGGTGCTCTAGGTACAGACCAGCATCAGCACAATCCCAGGGGCAAAAGAAAGCATGGCATATTCAGGCAACTGAAAGAAGTTGAATGTGATTGAGAGTGGAGCTTGAGGTGAGAACTGATAAAGTTTGCTGTTTGAGAGGATAATATTGGGGCCAGATCATGAAGGACCTTGAGAAACTTGGTAATGAATTTAGACTTTGTTCTAAAGGTCAAGAGAATCCACTAAGAGTATCCAAGCCTGGGAACAGATTGGAGGTGGTCCACCAGACAGGAGGCAAAAAGGCCAGACTCAGGCATTAATTTATTTGGATTTTCTGAGTTTCGATTTTCTCATCTTTGAAATAAGGACAATAGCACATATCTCAAGGACTGTTATGGAATTTAAATTGAATATTAGAAATCAAGAAGCTAAATCAGTGTTTGGCATGTTAGGAGACCAAGACTATCTCCTGGCCCCTCGTAAGTCTATGGTGTTGTATTTTTATTGGTATCTGATTTATTTTGTAACATATGATAATTAATATTCATTACTGAATGATTCTTAACTATGATCAAAGGCCCACATGTTCATATGTCCATGCAATGATGACCATGCCTATCAGCAAAAGGGCAATCAGTGTTCTTATAGAAGTTATTGGAATTGTGAACCACTTGTTAGCTTTCATGAATACTGGAAACCACCATATTGGACATTTAAAAAAAGTCTTTTGTCCTCTTAACTAAGCAAACATGTACTTTCTGAAATTTAGTTTTCTCTTCAGATTTCATACATTCTGTTTTTAAAATTGCCCAGTTGTTGCTAATACATCAAACCATATTTTTGGTAGAATGGAGAAAGGAGGAAAAGAAGGATTTGGGGAGGAAGAGGGACAGGAAATAGCTGAAGAATGATACTTTGCTTTGGCTTATGTGACATAGATAAGACTTGCCCTTTGACTATGGAAGGCCTTATGCCAGTCAGAAAGTTACACTAAACGCTAAACTGTTGATAGTTGCAATCTTATTAGCAATATGAATATTTGAAATGTACATTTTAAATGAAATTATCTTTGGGAATGTGATTTTCCCCAGAGCTGTATAAGTAGATGTCTATTTTCTTCATTATTTTACCAAGTAAGTTTGTTTAGAAAACCTATGCAATAGAAACTCTATTATTCTTGAGTATTACTTTAAGAAAATAATCTGGCTAGGGAATGCAGTCTGAAATCCAATGTCAAAGTATTTTAACCAGCCTGGAATTCTGCATAAGGTACCCTGTGAAGAGTCATAACAAGATGTCCAGGAACAGAATGAAACCTGTCTAATTCCAGTGGGGAAGTGGGGAAAACAAAATAGAAAGAAAATTCTGATATCTTCCTTTCCAAGTAATAGGCAAATTATGTAATAAAAGGCTAGAGATTTAGCAGAAACCACCTGGACCTTAAAAAAAAACTGATGTACAGAGAAAACCATTACATTCTGTGTAGCTATAAGGTTAGTGATTGTGATTCAAGAGTTGACATTTATTTTATTTTTCACATTCCATGGGCAGAATTAGTACCATATGGCAACAAACCACTGGGAGGTTAAAAATCACAAGATGATAAATTTCTGCTTTTAAAATGTAAAGTAGATCAAAATGTTTTAGGCTTCTTTTTGTTTTTATTTTATTCCACCTTGTTTTTTCCTTTCCTTTTCCTGGAAAGTTCACAATACAGTATCAGTCACCTAGAAAACATTTAATCATAATAACTGATGATGATAAATATTATATGCATATGTAAGACATGAGCTTCGGTCACTAGTGGAAGAAGGCCTTCATGGAAATACTTCTTTATAAGGGATCATCGACTTTTTATTCATTCTCCCAAAACTTTAGCCAAGGAAAACCAAGCATTTATTTACTTTGAACTTTAATATTTTCTTTATTGTTATTAAAAAGTAATAATTCTACTTAAAGGTGCCCAAAATCTCCTATCACTTAGTGCTCCAAGTTAGACTATTAGAGTTTTATTCATTTAGCTGAAGGCTGAATGCTTCTTAAAATACAAATATCCCCATAAGAAGGGTAGCAATTAGTCTTTTTGTACCATACTGGGGCTTCAAAAATCTGATGTAGGAAAGGAATCTGAGTGCCTCAGTTTATTAGATTCACCACCACAGAAGGAAGATCTGAGTAAAAAAGTGTCAGAAGAGGGAGGCTGTAGCTAACACAGATAAGCTGCGGCCCAGGTGGTTTGGCTAAGCTTGGCTGCAGGTGCAGATGGTTCCAGGGAAGGTGATTCTTCTTATCTCCATGGTGTGACTATTTGTAGGCAACAATTCTTGGAAGAGCTGGATTTGAGTCCTGGGGGGTCTTCCAGGCAGCAAGCAGTGGGAAAGCTTTCTTTGGCTGGCCCCCAAACTGACCCAGTGCGTAGTCATGGGTATTGCAGAAAGTCACAGTGCAATTACTTCCTTGAATGGACTCACACAGAAGCAACAAGAAACACTATTAAAGTAGCAGTAGCAAGAGCAAAAAAAAGTTACTGAATTTGTAGCTGAGGCGTAATGTTTAAGCTTTAAGAAAACAACCTAAAAAACTCTTTGCGGCCGGGCGCTATAGCTCATGCCTGTAATCCCAGCACTTTGGGAGGCCAAGGCGGGCGGATCGCCTAAGGTCAGGAGTTTGAGACCAGCCTGGCCAACATGGTGAAACCCCATCTCTACTAAAAATACAAGAATTAGCCAGGCGTCGTGGTGTGTGCCTGTAATCCCAGCTACCCAGCATGCTGAAGCAGGAGAATTGCGGGAACCCAGGAGGCAGAGGCTGCAGTGAGCTGAGATCGCACCACTGCACTCCAGCCTGGGTGACAGAACAAGACTCCGTCTCAATAAAAACAACAACAACAACAAAAAAAACCCACCACCACCAACAGCAACCAAAAAAAACCAACTCTTTGCAGCTGAAATCAAGACATGACTGAGGAGAACTCAAAAAACCTAGGTGAGTACATTATCCAGCCAGTCCAATCTAAAGACCTCCCTAATACCTAGAGAGGCGGGCTCCAGAGTTAACATTTTACAAGCATATTTTAGTTATACATCTACATGAATATTCAAAATGAGGCGGGGTATGGTGGCTCATGCCTGTAATCCTAGCACTTTGGGAGGCCAAGGTGGGTGGATCACTTGAGGTCAGGAGTTCGAGACCAGCCTGGCCAACATGGTGAAACCCTGTCTCTACTAAAAATACAAAAATTAGGTGGGCGTGGTGGTACCCACTGTAATCGCAGCTACTCAGGAGGCTGAGGCAGGAGAATCGCTTGAACCCAGGAGGTGGAGGTTGCAGTGAGCCGAGATCATGCCATTGCACTTCAGCATGGGGGACAAGAGCAAAACTCTGTCTTAAAAAAAAAGATACCGCATGTTTATGGCACTGTGGCAAGTACTATATTAAGCTTCTCTCCATTAATTCTCACAACAACCTGGGCATTAAAATTACCCTTATTTTACATAGGAGGACATTGAGGCTTAGAGGTAAGTAGTTTATCCTAAATTTCAGAGATAAGCAATTGTATTTGTTTGCTGGTATTATTAATGAGCCACAGGCTGACTGGCTTAAACAAGAGAAGTTTATTTCCTCACAGTTCTAGAGTTTAGAAGTCCAAGGTCAAGGTCCAGGGTCAGTTGGGTTGTTTTTTTCTGAGGCCTCTCTCCTTACTGGCTGTCATCTCCCTGTGTCCTCACATAATATTCCCTCTGTGTGTGTCTGTGTCCTAATCGCCTCTTCTTATAAGGATACTTTAAGAACTAAGGCCCACCCTAATAACTTCATTTTAGCTTTATTATCATTTTAAAGATCCTCTCTCCAAATACAGTCACATTCGGAGGTACTGGGTTTAGGATTTCAACATACGAATTTCGGGGAGACCCAATTCAATCCATAACAGGAATTCTTTTAAGTTATTTTAGGTAGATGTATATTTATTATAGATAACATGATTAAGTTATAATATTATACTCTATATCGGCCAATGAAATGAACTACCCTAGATACCTCAAAACAAGAAATCTGTCACAAGAAAATAGTTTCATGGGTAAAGAAAGAGTTGAGAAACCCAGCAGAAATAATCTAAAGACAAACAAGTACGGAAATACATTTTTTCCTCTGGGGCTGGTAGGATGAAAAGAGGAAGGAGATGGTGTCACTGGAGCAGCACGTGATTAGAGGCCACCCAGCGGATCTGAACTGCTGTGGACCTGTCCCATGGGAGCTGGGGCCGCAAAGGACAGGGCTGTTTGGCAAGACATGAAGCCAAGTAGAAAACGGGCGCTGACGAGATGCTACCTGAAACAGAGAGGAGGACCAACACTTTGACCTCTTCCTCTGCCAGAGCCTACCCCTGGTTGATTCTCTGCCAGAACTGGAGGGCCCAGGCACCCCGGAAATGCAGTGCCCTTAGTTCTCTGTGAAAAGGAGCAGAGCACAGGAAAGGCAAGGCATGGCTCCGGGAGCAAAGATCCGAAAACCAACACTACTAACTTTATAGAGTTCATTTCACAAGTTGGAACACAGTGGTTCTTGACCAGTGGTTTTGTGGGCCTGGTGAAGTCACCAGTTCAGTTCCTTTAAGAACTATGGAACAGAAATTCCTGAATTGCTTAGAACTGGTTTAAAGCCAGGATTTGGGTGTTTGCTTGTAGAAACCAGAAAAACAAACAAACAAAAAAACCCACTTTGTACCAATGAGCTTTGTTTCTTTCATCGCTTTGTTTGGATATGCTTAGCCTATAAGATTGTTCTCTAAATGAGCAAATGCTTGTAAGCAGCTTTGAGACTGTAAAGATATGACTTACCTGACAATTGCTTGGTTCACTTGCTACCTGTCTTTTGCATATTTTCTCCTCTCATCATAGTTTTTTGAGACAGGAACATGTCTTTGAAGAAATCTGTGTCTCCCTGCAACCTCAGGACTGATGATCATAAGGTGTCTGTGGAGCCCTTTGTTGGGAGAGGACTGGGAGAGGACCGGGAGAAGGGGGAGCGTGTGTTTCATGTGGCCAGAATCCTCTGCAGCCACCAGCAGGAGAAGAGAGGCATGGGATGTCAGACATATTAACAGAATCATTTAGAGCAACTTGTTTTCTATGCAGAGACTTTTTCAAGACCAGGGCTATTTTTGCCGCTTAATGTGGTCTGCATTTTCTGCAGTCAGACCCCACTGATGGTTAATGACAGAAGATCCAGGAAGCTTGGGGATTGTGCCAGTAGACACCAGAGACAGTAACCTTGTCAAAAAAGAAACAGATGACATACTTACAGCATGGTGAGACACTCAGTTCCTAAGCCCCTAAAGCAACTAGGAAGAGACTTGATGCAGAGACACTAATTACACAGCCGGATTTCTCCGAAGGCAGCATTTACCAATCCTCTCTCCTAAAAATGTAGATTGGCAGAGGGATAATTCCAAGTAATTTAATGAAACAGCAGGTGATAGTGAGAATTATCCTAGGGGTGGGGCAAGCAAGTAGCCGTGTGCAGTCAGGCACATACTAAGTTGCCTCTCATGCCCACATTCCTAGGCATAAAAGACCCATCAAAGGGTGAGCTGCGGCAAACAAGGTACATTGATTAGTATGTATCATTCAGCTGTTGGCATGCTGACACACCCACTGAGTGATATTGGACTCGTGGGATTGATATCTGTGACTCAAAAAGCCTAAGGATTTCAAACAGGTGACTCAGACATCACATGTATAGCTCTTTCCTTATTGGCAGCCTCGGCTGGGCGGGTGCTCAGCCTGCATCTCACAGGTTCCCCTGTCAACTCTTGTTGTCATCATTGACTCTAAGCCGCATTTTGGCAGGGTTCTGTCTACATTTGTGATTATTTTATCCTCAGCATCCAGCACATTGCCTGGCACATGGTGAGTCAAATTCATCTCTAGGACGGTCTTTGAGTTTGCACATAAAATGTTGGAAGTATTTTGCCATCGGTTTCAATGAATACTGTTATTGAAGTTATTTTTTCTTTCTTAGCAAATGAAATCATAATGTGAATAATCAGCTTCATTAAATCTATTCTCAAATTCTCTCCCAGATTTTTTTGGGAAAAAGGAAGTTAATTATAAACATGGATTTGGGTGAGAGGCTTTAAGTTTAGGGTGTCCCAGAGCTCTGTGGGGGCCACAGCGCCTTATTCTTCAGTTTAGGACATCTGAGAGTGGTTGGTATTTAAAATGGTTTCAAACCTGGCTGTTCTTTGGAATCCCCCTGAGGCTTTAAAAACTTCTGATGCCTTGGTCTCCGGATTCTGGAGGAATCAGTCTGAGGTGTACCTTGGGCATTGGAATTTTTTAATCTTCCCAGATGATTCTAATGTGCAGCCAAGGTTGAAAACCAAAGTAAGAATCTTCTCTTACGCCAATGTGGATACTTAATGTTACTGATGATGAGTCTCAAGTGACCCCATGCCTTTATTTTTATCTCTTAAATTACCAACAGAGGGAAATAAGTTTCATCCTCCATGAAAGTCAGTGTCTTTTCCCACAACACCATGTGTGGCAGGGCGGTGACACGGATTCACCCAGCCCGCTTTCATTTTCTCTTTATAATGGACACCTCTCCCTTTATGCTTTCGGGTTCTCTCCTCCCCTCCCCACTTATCCCTAGCCCTCTATTAACTTTGGGGTGTAATAGACTCCCCTTTCTAGCCCCTTTCTCAAGAGTATTTGGTTTTAAGGAGCATCCTACATTATAATCACTGTGAGAAAACTGATATAGAGCAATGCAAACACAGGGAAGTTAGGAAGGTTCCAGAAATTCCTAACCATCTCAACAGTGACTGTCTCTATTTTGTATCTCATGTCCCTCCCCTCTGAGCTGGTGACTGGAAGCTGTGGCACCCCTTAAGCCTTTCTCTGACTTTCGATTTCTTTCTCTCTTAGATGAAGAACATGTAAAGGTTCAGCCACCAAAAACTGCTCACTTCTGCCCACTGAGGCATCTGGGCAGATTAACAGGTGGATTTGTTGAGCTATTTGATTTGTCTGAGACCCTCTAGCCTAGGCATGGATTCCCACTTCACTGCCTTTTATTGTGTCAGCCTGGGCACTTAACCTCTTTAAAAACATTACTTCTATGAAAAAATGTATTTCAAATTGTGACTCACATGCAAATAAAATTTTTGGAACTCAACCTGTCTGTAAGTTGGAGATAGCTGGTAAATATTATTATAATTTAGTAAATATTATTCAGAAAAAGAAATCACAAAATGAATTAATCCATTGTTTTGGTCTTAAGCAATAAAAAGTATAAGCAATAGAAACAAGGTACTGAAAAGTGTCAGAAGGTTTATTATGAGCCTCATTTGTGGTGTTATTGTGTCCTAGCATAAACCATTGCTGACTGTTCAGGTAATTGTTAATGTCTGAGGAAGTGCCTGATCCTCAGAATTAGCTTAACTTTGGAATAACAATAGTTTAGAAGAATAGATCCTTTACCATAAGTCAGACCCATGCTAAGTATTATTTAATTCCCACAATGACCACATGAATTAGACTCTATTATTTCTCACATTCTACAGATGGGTAAACTGAGACATAGAGAAGTTAAATAACTTTCTTATAGCATCCAGCACACAAATGTCTAAGCTATGGTTTTCACTGGACAATGTGACCTCTGAGTCAGCACACTTAATCATGTGCAATCTGCAAGAGTCAGTAAAGGATATCATTTAAATCATCTGTTACACCTAAGGATGAAAAAAGAAGACATGGCCTTGGCCATAGTGGTACCTTGTGTTGACATTGTTGGAGGGAGAGGAGTCTCATGTGTGTGGTATGTATTTGGACATTTGCATTTTAAACATTCCTAAAGGATCGGGTTTTGAATACCTTGTTAGTATGATTTCTCTAACATTAGTCTTGCTTGAGCCTGAGGGCCATGTTAGAGAAGCTCTGAGAGCCTAGACCTTCTCATGGTCTTGAAAATAACTGATTCTTTTTTTTTTTTTGTATTTAAGTATTCACGAGATGCTGTGAACCTTTTATAAATCTCCAAAATCAACTTTAACATTTCCCTCCTCCTCTGTAAAGAACAGCCCTTTTAAGAAATAGATGATCAGCACATTAATATTAACAAAATTTATATTTTGGAAGTATCTGCAATTTTACCCCAAATGAATTGCAAATAAATACTTTGTAAGACTCTTGTATGATGAATGCCAGTTTTTAATTTTTGAAGTTTTTATTATTGGTTAAGATTTAGCTATGCCTCTCCTAGGAATAGCTTGTATATTTCCATGGCGTCATGGTAATTGGAGAATCACTGGTCTATATAAATAAGTTTCATAAACTAGTGGAGTTTTTCCTGGAGATCAAGGAAAGAAGTGTGAGTAATGTGCACCATACTGTGAATAAAATATATTAGGGACCAAGGAGTCATGGATTCAAATTTCCACACTTTTAGAAATTACAGCTCTAACATTTTAATCCATAATTCTATAATCCCAAATCCCTGAAAATAGTAAGCATTTCCATAACTCCTTCGGAAGCCAATTTGACCTGAACCTCTATGATGTTATTTGTGGTCCTGAAAACTCCTTTCCGTGTCACTGTTCGTGCATTTTAGTGCCGAAATGTTAATGTGTTTGATTACTGGGTTGTGCCCAGGCCCTGATGTAGATGTCATATGATATAAAATATGTATAGAGTATTAACTTTTCAAAAATGAAAAAAATTATAAATTCTGAAAAATTCTAAACTCTGAAATCAGACTTTCAGGATTCAGGTATGATTCAGATATAATTTTTTAAAAAAGAGCATTTGACTGACAAGTAACTTTAGCAAAACATATCAGTCTGCTTTTTAAAATTTATTCATTGATCCATTTAATTAACAAGTATTTATTGAGTATTAAGGCTGGTGATATAATTGTGATTGAAACTAGAAACAGTCTAATGGGCATGACAAAACATTATTGTCACTCAAATGAATATATACAAACTAAGTTAACTGCTCTAAAGGTATTTTGATATCACTCAGAGTGCAAAATAAATGTTTTTTTTTTTTTTTTTTTTTTTTTTTATTATACTCTAAGTTTTAGGGTACATGTGCACATTGTGCAGGTTAGTTACATATGTATACATGTGCCATGCTGGTGCGCTGCACCCACTAATGTGTCATCTAGCATTAGGTATATCTCCCAATGCTATCCCTCCCCCCTCCCCCGACCCCACCACAGTCCCCAGAGTGTGATATTCCCCTTCCTGTGTCCATGTGATCTCATTGTTCAATTCCCACCTGTGAGTGAGAATATGCGGTGTTTGGTTTTTTGTTCTTGCAATAGTTTACTGAGAATGATGGTTTCCAATTTCATCCATGTCCCTACAAAGGATATGAACTCATCATTTTTTATGGCTGCATAGTATTCCATGGTGTATATGTGCCACATTTTCTTAATCCAGTCTATCATTGTTGGACATTTGGGTTGGTTCCAAGTCTTTGCTATTGTGAATAGTGCCACAATAAACATACGTGTGCATGTGTCTTTATAGCAGCATGATTTATACTCATTTGGGTATATACCCAGTAATGGGATGGCTGGGTCAAATGGTATTTCTAGTTCTAGATCCCTGAGGAATCGCCACACTGACTTCCACAATGGTTGAACTAGTTTACAGTCCCACCAACAGTGTAAAAGTGTTCCTATTTCTCCGCATCCTCTCCAGCACCTGTTGTTTCCTGACTTTTTAATGATTGCCATTCTAACTGGTGTGAGATGATATCTCATAGTGGTTTTGATTTGCATTTCTCTGATGGCCAGTGATGATGAGCATTTCTTCATGTGTTTTTTGGCTGCATAAATGTCTTCTTTTGAGAAGTGTCTGTTCATGTCCTTCGCCCACTTTTTGATGGGGTTGTTTGTTTTTTTCTTGTAAATTTGTTTGAGTTCATTGTAGATTCTGGATATTAGCCCTTTGTCAGATGAGTAGGTTGCAAAAATTTTCTCCCATGTTGTAGGTTGCCTGTTCACTCTGATGGTAGTTTCTTTTGCTGTGCAGAAGCTCTTTAGTTTAATTAGATCCCATTTGTCAATTTTGTCTTTTGTTGCCATTGCTTTTGGTGTTTTGGACATGAAGTCCTTGCCCACGCCTATGTCCTGAATGGTAATGCCTAGGTTTTCTTCTAGGGTTTTTATGGTTTTAGGTTTAACGTTTAAATCTTTAATCCATCTTGAATTGATTTTTGTATAAGGTGTAAGGAAGGGATCCAGTTTCAGCTTTCTACATATGGCTAGCCAGTTTTCCCAGCACCATTTATTAAATAGGGAATCCTTTCCCCATTGCTTGTTTTTCTCAGGTTTGTCAAAGATCAGATAGTTGTAGATATGCGGCATTATTTCTGAGGGCTTTGTTCTGTTCCATTGATCTATATCTCTGTTTTTGTACCAGTACCATGCTGTTTTGGTTACTGTAGCCTTGTAGTATAGTTTGAAGTCAGGTAGTGTGATGCCTCCAGCTTTGTTCTTTTGGCTTAGGATTGACTTGGCGATGCGGGCTCTTTTTTGGTTCCATATGAACTTTAAAGTAGTTTTTTCCAATTCTGTGAAGAAAGTCATTGGTAGCTTGATGGGGATGGCATTGAATCTGTAAATTACCTTGGGCAGTATGGCCATTTTCACAATATTGATTCTTCCTACCCATGAGCATGGAATGTTCTTCCATTTATTTGTCTCCTCTTTTATTTCCTTGAGCAGTGGTTTGTAGTTCTCCTTGAAGAGGTCCTTCACATCCCTTGTAAGTTGGATTCCTAGGTATTTTATTCTCTTTGAAGCAATTGTGAATGGGAGTTCACCCATGATTTGGCTCTCTGTTTGTCTGTTGTTGGTGTATAAGAATGCTTGTGATTTTTGTACATTGATTTTGTATCCTGAGACTTTGCTGAAGTTGCTTATCAGCTTAAGGAGATTTTGGGCTGAGACAATGGGGTTTTCTAGATAAACAATCATGTCGTCTGCAAACAGGGACAATTTGACTTCCTCTTTTCCTATTTGAATACCCTTTATTTCCTTCTCCTGCCTGATTGCCCTGGCCAGAACTTCCAACACTATGTTGAATAGGAGCGGTGAGAGAGGGCATCCCTGTCTTGTGCCGGTTTTCAAAGGGAATGCTTCCAGTTTTTGCCCATTCAGTATGATATTGGCTGTGGGTTTGTCATAGATAGCTCTTATTATTTTGAAATACATCCCATCAATACCTAATTTATTGAGAGTTTTTAGCATGAAGGGTTGTTGAATTTTGTCAAAGGCTTTTTCTGCATCTATTGAGATAATCATGTGGTTTTTGTCTTTGGCTCTGTTTATATGCTGGATTACATTTATTGATTTGCGTATATTGAACCACCCTTGCATCCCAGGGATGAAGCCCACTTGATCATGGTGGATAAGCTTTTTGATGTGCTGCTGGATTCGGTTTGCCAGTATTTTATTGAGGATTTTTGCATCAATGTTCATCAAGGATATTGGTCTAAAATTCTCTTTTTTGGTTGTGTCTCTGCCCGGCTTTGGTATCAGAATGATGCTGGCCTCATAAAATGAGTTAGGGAGGATTCCCTCTTTTTCTATTGATTGGAATAGTTTCAGAAGGAATGGTACCAGTTCCTCCTTGTACCTCTGGTAGAATTCGGCTGTGAATCCATCTGGTCCTGGACTCTTTTTGGTTGGTAAACTATTGATTATTGCCACAATTTCAGAGCCTGTTATTGGTCGATTCAGAGATTCAACTTCTTCCTGGTTTAGTCTTGGGAGAGTGTATGTGTCGAGGAATGTATCCATTTCTTCTAGATTTTCTAGTTTATTTGCGTAGAGGTGTTTGTAGTATTCTCTGATGGTAGTTTGTATTTCTGTGGGATCGGTGGTGATATCCCCTTTATCATTTTTTATTGTGTCTATTTGATTCTTCTCTCTTTTTTTCTTTATTAGTCTTGCTAGCGGTCTATCAATTTTGTTGATCCTTTCAAAAAACCAGCTCCTGGATTCATTGATTTTTTGAAGGGTTTTTTGTGTCTCTATTTCCTTCAGTTCTGCTCTGATTTTAGTTATTTCTTGCCTTCTGCTAGCTTTTGAATGTGTTTGCTCTTGCTTTTCTAGTTCTTTTAATTGTGATGTTAGGGTGTCAATTTTGGATCTTTCCTGCTTTCTCTTGTAGGCATTTAGTGCTATAAATTTCCCTCTACACACTGCTTTGAATGCATCCCAGAGATTCTGGTATGTGGTGTCTTTGTTCTCGTTGGTTTCAAAGAACATCTTTATTTCTGCCTTCATTTCGTTATGTACCCAGTAGTCATTCAGGAGCAGGTTGTTCAGTTTCCATGTAGTTGAGCGGCTTTGAGTGAGATTCTTAATCCTGAGTTCTAGTTTGATTGCACTGTGGTCTGAGAGATAGTTTGTTATAATTTCTGTTCTTTTACATTTGCTGAGGAGAGCTTTACTTCCAACTATGTGGTCAATTTTGGAATAGATGTGGTGTGGTGCTGAAAAAAATGTATATTCTGTTGATTTGGGGTGGAGAGTTCTGTAGATGTCTATTAGGTCTGCTTGGTGCAGAGCTGAGTTCAATTCCTGGGTATTCTTGTTGACTTTCTGTCTCGTTGATCTGTCTAATGTTGACAGTGGGGTGTTAAAGTCTCCCATTATTAATGTGTGGGAGTCTAAGTCTCTTTGTAGGTCACTGAGGACTTGCTTTATGAATCTGGGTGCTCCTGTATTGGGTGCATAAATATTTAGGATAGTTAGCTCCTCTTGTTGAATTGATCCCTTTACCATTATGTAATGGCCTTCTTTGTCTCTTTTGATCTTTGTTGGTTTAAAGTCTGTTTTATCAGAGACTAGGATTGCAACCCCTGCCTTTTTTTGTTTTCCATTGGCTTGGTAGATCTTCCTCCATCCTTTTATTTTGAGCCTATGTGTGTCTCTGCACGTGAGATGGGTTTCCTGAATACAGCACACTGATGGGTCTTGACTCTTTATCCAACTTGCCAGTCTGTGTCTTTTAATTGCAGAATTTAGTCCATTTATATTTAAAGTTAATATTGTTATGTGTGAATTTGATCCTGTCATTATGATGTTACCTGGTGATTTTGCTCATTAGTTGATGCAGTTTCTTCCTAGTCTCGATGGTCTTTACATTTTGGCATGATTTTGCAGCGGCTGGTACCGGTTGTTCCTTTCCATGTTTAGCGCTTCCTTCAGGAGCTCTTTTAGGGCAGGCCTGGTGGTGACAAAATCTCTCAACATTTGCTTGTCTATAAAGTATTTTATTTCTCCTTCACTTATGAAGCTTAGTTTGTCTGGATATGAAATTCTGGGTTGAAAATTCTTTTCTTTAAGAATGTTGAATATTGGCCCCCACTCTCTTCTGGCTTGTAGGGTTTCTGCCGAGAGATCCGCTGTTAGTCTGATGGGCTTTCCTTTGAGGGTAACCCGACCTTTCTCTCTGGCTGCCCTTAACATTTTTTCCTTCATTTCAACTTTGGTGAATCTGACAATTATGTGTCTTGGAGTTGCTCTTCTCGAGGAGTATCTTTGTGGCGTTCTCTGTATTTCCTGAATCTGAACGTTGGCCTGCCTTGCTAGATTGGGGAAGTTCTCCTGGATAATATCCTGCAGAGTGTTTTCCAACTTGGTTCCATTCTCCACATCACTTTCAGGTACACCAATCAGACGTAGATTTGGTCTTTTCACATAGTCCCATATTTCTTGGAGGCTTTGCTCATTTCTTTTTATTCTTTTTTCTCTAAACTTCCCTTCTCGCTTCATTTCATTCATTTCATCTTCCATTGCTGATACCCTTTCTTCCAGTTGATCGCATCGGCTCCTGAGGCTTCTGCATTCTTCACGTAGTTCTCGAGCCTTGGTTTTCGGCTCCATCAGCTCCTTTAAGCACTTCTCTGTATTGGTTATTCTAGTTATACATTCTTCTAAATTTTTTTCAAAGTTTTCAACTTCTTTGCCTTTGGTTTGAATGTCCTCCCGTAGCTCAGAGTAATTTGATCGTCTGAAGCCTTCTTCTCTCAGCTCGTCAAAATCATTCTCCATCCAGCTTTGTTCTGTTGCTGGTGAGGAACTGCGTTCCTTTGGAGGAGGAGAGGCGCTCTGCATTTTAGAGTTTCCAGTTTTTCTGTTCTGTTTTTTCCCCATCTTTGTGGTTTTATCTACTTTTGGTCTTTGATGATGGTGATGTACAGATGGGTTTTCGGTGTAGATGTCCTTTCTGGTTGTTAGTTTTCCTTCTAACAGACAGGACCCTCAGCTGCAGGTCTGTTGGAATACCCTGCCATGTGAGGTGTCAGTGTGCCCCTGCTGGGGGGTGCCTCCCAGTTAGGCTGCTCGGGGGTCAGGAGTCAGGGACCCACTTGAGGAGGCAGTCTGCCCGTTCTCAGATCTCCAGCTGCGTGCTGGGAGAACCACTGCTCTCTTCAAAGCTGTCAGACAGGGACACTTAAGTCTGCAGAGGTTACTGCTGTCTTTTTGTTTGTCTGTGCCCTGCCCCCAGAGGTGGAGCCTACAGAGGCAGGCAGGCCTCCTTGAGCTGTGGTGGGCTGCACCCAGTTCGAGCTTCCCGGCTGCTTTGTTTACCTAAGCAAGCCTGGGCAATGGCGGGCGCCCCTCCCCCAGCCTCGTTGCCGCCTTGCAGTTTGATCTCAGACTGCTGTGCTAGCAATCAGCGAGATTCCGTGGGCGTAGGACCCTCCGAGCCAGGTGTGGGATATAGTCTCGTGGTGCGCCGTTTCTTAAGCCGGTCTGAAAAGCGCAATATTCGGGTGGGAGTGACCCGATTTTCCAGGTGCGTCCGTCACCCCTTTCTTTGACTCGGAAAGGGAACTCCTTGACCCCTTGCGCTTCCCAGGTGAGGCAATGCCTCGCCCTGCTTCGGCTCGCGCACGGTGCGCACACACACTGGCCTGCGCCCACTGTCTGGCACTCCCTAGTGAGATGAACCCGGTACCTCAGATGGAAATGCAGAAATCACCGTCTTCTGCGTCGCTCACGCTGGGAGCTGTAGACCGGAGCTGTTCCTATTCGGCCATCTTGGCTCCTCCCAAAATAAATGTTTAAAAAACTTCCAAACTGATTGTGCTGGTATCAAGTCACCATGGTTGTAGAGCTAAAGGATTCTTTCAATGCTTCAGTGTAAATGCGTGTGAAACAAGAAACATATTTGGCAGCTCAAAACATGAAATTATGAAGCCATTAATGAAAAAGTCATTTGCTTGAAAGAGGGCATTTAGGTTAAAGAAAATACACTGAATTCTACCTGTCATGGTTGGTATTTAGAGTACATGTGTATTTAAATATCTAGTTGAGAGAAGGGGAGAAATAACTTGTTTAACCATGATAACAGTCACATAAAATAAGTGATATTATTATTATTATTATCATCATCATTATAGTAGCCATTTTCTAGATAAAATAATTGAGGCACAGTATAATTGCCCAAGTTGCTTAACTAATCAGTGGCCAAGCCCTAAATTGAACACTATACTTCTCCTGAATGCTAATTGTGCTTAAAAATGTAAAGCATCAGTCAATGGGGCCTGAACTGTGGTAGACAGTGTGGTACAGTGAAAAGAACTTTGGGTTTGCAGGCTAGAGAACTGGGCTCAAGTTTTGACTTTATGAGTTACATGATTTTGAGCCTTACCTGTAAAACATAGATAATAGTTACTTCTGAGGGTGGTTGTTAAGGTTGAATTTACACCCACTAGACTGGCAAAATTATAAGTCTGAAAATAACGTGTTGATAAGGATGTCAAATAATGAAAATGCTCTTCATACACTATTGGTGGGAGTGTAAATTGGTACAACCTTGGAAAATAGTTTAGCATTATCTTGTTAAGCTGAATAAATATTTACCCCAGGACCAGAAATTTCACACCTAGGGAAAACTTGTGCATATGAACAACGGTATAAATGTACAAGAATATTCTTTGCAGCATTATTTGTAATAGCCCCAAACTGGAAACAAGCCAAATGTCTACAGACAAGAGAATGGATACATCAATTGTGGAATATTCACACCATGGAATATAATAAAATAGTAAAAGTGAATGAATTTCAGCCATGCACAGCAATGTGGTTAAAGTTTAAATGCATTGAGTGGAAAAAAAGCAAGTCTCACGAGAATACATGCAGTGTGACGCCACCATTTTTACAAAGGGATAAAACAAGCAAATTCACAAATGTCTTGTTAGAAACAGAGCCATCTAAAGTTAAATTACTTTCGAATATTAAGGAAATGATAAAGTCAAAATTCAGAATGTGGTTACTTCTGCATGGGGCAGGGTGTAGATCGGTGAGGGGGGAGCTTTAATATTATTTAATATTATTTATCACATCTTATGTTGGGTCACAGATGTAAAATTTTAGGAAGTGTATGTTACATATAATCTTTTTGTAAGCATTGAATGTTACATAGTACTCATTACAATGCCCTACTTAACACTACTGTACATTTCTGAGGAATTGCGCTCCTTGCTCCTGTTTCCCCAGCCTCATGTCCAAAAGTAGACACACATAGTAGATTCCCAGGAAAGATTTATCAAGGAAATTAATAGTAGTTGGCTAAAAAGAAGATAAAAAGATACAACATTCATGAAGAATACTTTGTAAATGAAAAACGCTATACAAACCATAGGTATTATTATTAAAAGAGAACGCTTACTGTAATATGATTTAGTTCTCACTCCCTCAAGACTGAATTGCTTTAATTGATGTTCTTGTGAGGAAATGCCTGTCAACACTTTCCATTGTAGATGCAAAATGCATTGAATCTCTGCCCTCAGACCCACTAGTTTCTGACAGAGCACCAAAGTAAGAGTTTATTTCCAGGGTGTTTCTTCTTTAGGTTTTAAGAGTGATTGTTTTCCTTAGTAGTAGTTGGGTGTTCACAATCCAAGGAATACTTGTCAGTCTGAAAATACTGAAAATGATGAGGAAAGAAAAGAAATGGACACTTGTCTTCAAAAACACTTTTGTACATTCCTACAGGAAAAACCCAAGGTGGTGTTAATGCTATCAACATTTTTAAAGCCAAAGAGGAAAAATGTAACATGTGTTGATAGTTTGTGGTCTGTGCCTAAACTTTGGCTTCACCACCTACTGCAGAGTGCTCTAAGAAGATGGACTTGAATCCTTTCACCTTTGGCCCTCTCTACCAAACATTATGTCTTTCACTTAGGTTTTAAGTGTATTTTCAATTTGATCTCTTTATTTTTGACAATCTCTTTTCTTATGCATTGAGGCATCATTCCTTTTTCAAGAATAAAGGGGAGGAACTAAGATAGAAATTCTTTGTTTAATTATCAAATAACAATTAGAATTTATTGTGTCTGTGCCTTTTAATACTCTACTGTATTTTCCTTCCTCAAAACAGAGGCAGCTCTGAAGTGCGGTTATAAGTCTGTTTACACCACCCAGATATGAAATTGACTTGCTAATGGTAACTGTTACTTGGTATCCATGGGTTACTGTGTCATGTGATTTGACATCAAGTACAGACAGTGCTGATTAGGAGCATCCAGCTCTGTCCATCTCCGTGCATCACTGAACCATCTGGTCATTTATTCACTAATAAGCCCCTAATGGCCCAAATATTCACCGGCCTGTCATTGTGACATGGCATAAAATGCCTACATCTTTCAACTCGCTTTGACATGTTGCTTGTTTCACATCAAAACCCGTCATTTACAGGAAAAGAGCTCAGAGGGGTAAAAACTTGACCTAATCTACAGTGTTAACACAAAGACAGAGGCTTGGTTATCTAGTAGCCTGACTGAAAGCATGTAAATGGGCAGGAATTCATTTTGTACTTTTTTTTTCCATTCTCATTTTACAACATTCTTTAAGTTTGGTATCATCCCTAATATGGGATTTTATGTGGGCTCTGCGTTGAAATATCTATCCTGTATCTGTTTAAATAGTAAAGAGTGCTTTAAAAGGAAAAAGCTTCCTGGAGACATAGGGCTTGCCTGTTTACATTTAAATGTGTCGGAAAAAAAATACAATATGGATCCAAAGAGCAGCTCTTCGCAATTCTCAGAAGACTCTTTACGGTTTGTTATTTTAACCCTCTCTCATTCTTTATTCTTCTTTTGTAGCCTAATATGCTTTTTCCTCCCCCATTATGTCTGCAGATTATAAAAATTGGAGATTATCCATGTTTGCAGCATTTGATATTATCACCAGAGCAATAATAAAAGGTTGGAATCCCTGCTTTTACTTATAAGCATTAGAAAAAAAAAGGCCAAAACTCAGCAAATAGTCATATTGGCATAAACAGAATTAAAATACTAAAGATTAGAAGGGAATAAGGAGGGGAGAATATAATATTCTATCCCATTCAGTGCTGTTGAAATCTTGGTTCTTAAGTGGAGTTAAAACATCATGTAACTGAGGGTCATTAATTGATTTTAGGTGCTTTATATTTTATAGACACTACTGGTGAACATTAGAAAAAAAATCTCCCTTCCCCATGTGTCTCCTTTTATTGTCTTGTTCTTTTTTTAAAAAAAGATTCTAAAAATCACATGCCGGCATAATTTAGGTTTAGAACTTCATTTTCCCATTGTCTTCCCCTGTGGTTCGCCAGGGCCCAGTTCTGATGATTTCTTCCAGCTGCTACTCAGACACCCATGGAAACCAAACAAAAAGATGGTGGTGGCAGGTGCAGGGCTCTCCTATTCATAGGTTGGCTCTCACACCTGTGGGGCCAGCTGATCTACAGTTGAGCCAAAACCAACATCCTTTTGCTCCTTGTTGCTTTCAATGGGATGAAGCTAGAACCGGGGCCTCCTCTGAAGGACGATGGGCTCCTCTGAAGAATGAGCCTGCTCTGAAGGGTGAACTGGAGGTAAGGTTCACCAAAGAATCTTCCCAAATACTCTCCCCACTCAGGTTTTCTGATTAATTGATGTTAGAAGAGAGCAGCCCCTTGCTTCAAAGCTGATTTAAAGACAATCAAAGTTCCCTACTGCCTGAGCAGCAGCTTTATAAATTTTATTTTTTTCTACATTTAAAAAAAGTATTCTGTGTTGATCATTAATGTCTTCCTTTTCTTGTGACCACTCATTATCCACTTCTAGATGCATAAAGGTTTCAGCACAAATACAAGTCAGTCTTTATCATTCCACAGGACTGCATCAAATCCTTGTCTCCTATGTATGCTGTGAAACTAAATCGCGTAAACTTAACAGAAACTCTAAAGTCCATTGTTTCTTTGGGATCTGATATTCCTGATTTCCAGAATATTCCTCATTGAAAATATTCCTTCCTTTCATGCACTGTCTTGTATGTTTTGTGTTGCTATGAAGGAATACTTGAGGTTAAGTAATTTATAGAGAAAAAAGGTTTATTTGGCTCACAGTTCTGCTGCCTGGAAAATTGGCTTCTGGTGAGGGCCTCAGGCTACTTCCACTTGTGGTAAAAGGCAAAGGGGAGCTGGCCTGTGTAGAGCTCACCTGGTGAAAGAGAGGGAGGTGAGGGGAGGTGCCTGCCTCTTTGGACAATCAGCTGTCCTGAGAAGTAATAGAGTGAGAACTCACTCACCCATTTCCCCTAGGGGGAGGGAATTAATCGATTCATAAAGGATTTGCTGCCATTCCCCAGACACCTCCCATTAGGCCCCACCTCCAATACTGGAGATCAAATTTCAACATGAGATTTGGAAGGAACAAACATCTAAGCTATGGCATGCCTTTAATCAGACTTGAATAACCACAGCCACATGGCTTGATACTTTGTAGAGAGAACTTACACTTATTTATTCACCCATTCAGTTGACAAACATAGGTTGAGGATCAGCAGTGTTCTAGACACCAGGGATATAAAGATGATTAAGACATTACCCCAGCCCTTAAGGAGCTTAAAGTCCTTTCAGAATATGGGATATTGTAGCAGGAGGGCAGAAATCAGCAATTATAAAAAAAAAATGCTGAGAATTGCCAAAACTTGGTCATATAAAATAAGAAAAAAAGTTGAAGGCAATATACAAATACAAAGGACTGGGTGCAGTACCTATGTATTCTTGTACCGTATTCTTCTATTATAAACAAAGACCCACATAACCCGCTAAGACATCTACTTCTTTCCCTCCTGTTCATACTGTGTTCTGTTAGCACCAGTAAGGGAAAAATGCCTCCAAAGTATAAAAATACTCTATCTTGGAATGAAAAGAGAAAGAAAGAGAGAGGGAGAGAGAGAAGGAAAAGAAAAAGGAAGAGGAGGAAGAAGGAGAAGGAAAGGAGGAGGAGCAAGGGGAAAAGGATGAGGAGCAAAGAGAGAAGGAGGAGAAGGAGAAGAAAGAACACAGAGAGGCAAGAAGAGAGGGAGGGAAAGATACTCTTGGAGTCCCAAGCCTTCCATACCCCAAAGTCTGTAAATTTAATGCCCAAAAGTCCCTGACTTTGTACAGTAATCAATGGCTTTTCCCCCAATGACTCATTGTCCAATCGTGTGTTCTGTTCACCAGGAAAGGAGGAAGGCCCAACATAGCAAACCACCTACTCCCTTCTCTGTCTCACGGTATGTACACTTTCATCTCTCCCTATTCTTTTCTGATACCTATGATGTCTTCATTTGTCTTTGTTATGGCCTTTTTTCTTTTCTTTTCTTTTTTTTACTGCTTCTCATTGTGTGTATTTTGAAACAGCAATGGCATGGTATTTTACTATTGCTTTATAGTTTTTTCTCTTACTGTATTGTGAACTTTTCCCTCATGTTTTTATGTATTCTTTGTTGTTGTTGTTGTTTGTATTTATTTTATTTTATTTTGCTTTAAGTTCTGGGATACATGTGCAGAACGTGCAGGTTTGTTACACAGGTATATGTGTGCCATGGTGGTTTGCTGCACCCATATACCAGTCACCTACGTTTTAAGCCCTGCATGAATTAGCTGTTTCTCCTGATGCTCTCATCCCCTCACTCACCACCCCACAACAGGCCTTGGTGTGTGATGTTCCCCTCCCTCTGTCCATATGTTCTCATTGTTCAACTCCTACTTATGAGTGAGAACATTCAGTGTTTGGTTTTCTGTTCCTATGTTAGTTTGCTGAGGATAATGGCTTTCGGCCTTATCCATGTCCCTGCAAAGGACATGATCTTGTTCCTTTTTATGACTGCATAGTATTCCATGGTATATATGTGCCACATTTTCTTTATCCAGTCTATCATTGATGAGCATCTGGATTGGGTCCATGCCTTCGCTATTATAAATAGTGCTGCAATAAAGATATGTGTGCATGTGTCTTTATAGTAGAATGATTTACATTCCTTTTGGTATATACCCAGTAATGGGGTTGCTGGGTCAAATGGTATTTCTGGTTCTAGATCTTTGAGGAATTGCCACACTGTCTTCCACAATGGTTGAACTAATTTACATTCCCACCAGCAGTGTAAAAGCATTCCTATTTCTCCACAGCTTCACCAGCATCTATTTTTTCTTGACTTTTTAATAATCACCATTCTGACTGGCATAAGATGGTATCTGATTGTGGTTTTGATTTGTATTTTTTTATTGATCAGCGATGTTGAGCTTTTTTTCATATGTTTGTTACCTGCATAAATGTCTTCTTTAGAGAGGTGTCTGTTCATATCCTTCGCCCACTTTTTGATGGGGTTGTTTGTTTTTTTCTTGTAAATTTGTTTAAGTTCCTTGTAGATTCTGGACATTAGCCCTTTGTCAAATGGGTAGATTGCAAAAATCTTCTCCCATTGTGTAGGTTGCCTGTTCATTCTGATGATAGTTTCTTTTAGCTGTTTAGTTTAATTAGATCCCATTTGTCAAGTTTAGCTTTTGTTGTCATTGCTTTTGCCATTTTCATCATGACATTTTTGCCTATGCCTATGTCCTGAATGGTATTGCCTAGGTTTTCTTCTAGGAATTTTATGGTTTGGGGCTTTACATTTAAATCTTTACTCCATCTTGAGTTAATTTTTATATAAGGTGTAAGGAAGGTATCCACTCTCAGTTTTCTGCATATGGCTAGCCAGTTTTCCCAGCACCACTTATTAAATAGGGAATCCTTTCCTTGTTGCTTGTTTTTGTCAGGTTTGTTGAAGATTAGATGGTTGTAGGCGTGTGGTGTTACTTCTGAGGTCTCTGTTATGTTACATTGGTCTATATGTCTGTTTTGGTGTAAGTACCATCCTGTTTTGGTTACTGTAGCATTGTAGTATAGTTTGAAGTCAGGTAGCTTGATGCCTCCAGCTTTGTTCTTTTTGCTTAGGGTTGTCTTGGCTGTACAGGCCCTTTTTTGTTGCATATGAAATTTAAAATAGTTTTTTCTAATTATCTGAAGCATGTCAATGGTGGTTTGATGGGAATAGCATTGAATTTATAAACTACTTTGGGCAGTATGGCCATTTTCGTGATAGTGATTCTTCCTTTCCATGAGGATGGAATGTTTTTCTATTTGTTTGTATCTTCTCTTATTTCCTTGAGCAGTGGTTTGTAGTTCTCCTTGAAGATATTATGGCTTTTCTTTATCTCCACTCTGTATTTTCCTCTATGATGTGTCTTCTCTCCTTTTCTGAGAGGGAGAGGATGTGGTGAGATGGGTGCCAACAGTATTGGTTTTGTCTTTGACTCTGTTCTCCCAGCCAGGGGAAAGGGCTAGAGAGCCATTTATCTCCATGATTCCAAGATTCTGAAAAGATTGCCAGGGTTATGAAAATGTTTAGTAGAATGCACTCTTAGTTTGTTATTCCTATATGTATGATGGCACATACTGGGAGTCAACTAGTTTTTTTCTGTCATCATCTAAATGTATGATTGTTAGAGGTTGACCATTGGGTCTCACACTGGACTTTCTGGATGCTTGGAGAACAATTACTGTAATATTTTTAATTTTTGTTATTTTTAATTTTTGTGGGTACATAGTAGGTGTGTATATTTATGGGGTACAGGCATTGCATGCCTGTATCAAAGCATTACATTGATACAGGCATGCAATGCATAATAATCACATCATGGTAAATGGGGTATCCATCCCCTGAAGCATTTATTTGTTGTGTTACAAACAATCCTATTATGACTCTACTTATTTTTAAATGTACAATTAAATTACTATTGACTAAAATCACCCTGTTGTGCTATAAAATACTAGATCTTATTTACTCCTTCTAACTATTTTTTGTACCCATTAACTATCCCACAACTCCATGTGCCCTTCCCATTCTCTGGTAACTATCCTTCTATTTTCTCTATTTCTATGAGTTTAATTGTTTTAATTTTTAGCTACAACAAAATAAGAGAGAACATGTAGTTTGTCTTTCTGTATCTGGCTTGTTTCACAACACAGTGACCTTTAGCTCCAGTCATGTTGGTGCAAATGACAGGATCTCATTGTTTTTATGGTTGAATAGTACTCCATTGTATATATGTACCACATTTTCTTTATTCACTTGTCTGTTGATGGACACTTAGGTTGCTTCCAAATCTTGGCTATTGTAAACAGTGCTGCAGCAAACATGGCAGTGCAGATATCTCTTTAATATATTGATTTCCTTTCTTTGGGGTATATACCCAGCAGTGGTATTGCTAGATTGTATGATAGTTCTATTTTCAGTTTTTTGAGAGCCCTCCATACTGTTTTCCACAGTAGTTGCAATAACTTACATTCCTACCAAGAGTATATGAGGATTTCCTTTTCTTCACATCCTCACCAGCATTTGTTATCACCTGTCATTTGGATATAAGCCATTTTAAGTGGGATGAGATGATATCTCATTGTAGTTTTGATTTGCATTTTCCTGATGATCAATGATTTTGAGCACCTTTCACATGCCTGTTTGCCATTTGTATGTCTCCTTTTGAGAAATGTCTATTCAGAACTTTTGCCCACTTTTAAATTGCATTATTAGACTTTTTTCCTGTAGAGTTGTTTGAACTCCTTATATATTCTGGTTATGAATCACTTGTCAGATGGGCCATTAGCAAATATTTTCTCCCATCCTATGTGTTGTCTCTTCACTTTGTTGGTTGTTTCCTTTGCTGTGTAGAAGGCTTTTAACTTGATGTGATTCCATGTGTCCATTTTTGCTTTGGTTGCCTGTGCTTGTTGGGTATTACTCAAGAAATTTTTGCTCAGACCAGTATTGCGGAGAGTTTCCCCAGTGTTTTCTTGCAGTAGTTTCAGTTTGAGGTCTTAGACTTAAGTCTTTAATCCATTTTGATTTGATTTTTGCATATGGTGAGAGAGAAGGGTCAAGTTTCATTCTTCTGCATATCGATATCCAGTTTCCCGAACATCATTTATTGAAGAGATGGTTTTTTTCCCCAATGTAGGTTCTTGGCACCTTTGTCAAAAGTAATTTCACTGTAAGTCCATGAATTTGTTTCTCAATTCTCGATTCTGTTTCATTGGTTTATGTGCCTGTTTTTATGCCAGTACCATTGTGTTTTGTTTACTATAGTTCTGTAGTATAATTTGAAGTCAGGTAATGTGATCCCTCCAATTTTCTTTTTTCTCAGGATAGCTTTGGCTATTCTGGGTCTTTTGTGGTTCTGTATACATTTTAGCATTTTGTTTTATTTCTGTGAAGAATGTCATTGATGTTTTGATAGGCATTGCATTGAATCTGTAGTTTGCTTTGGGTAGTATGGACATTTTACCAATATTGATTCTTCCAATTCATGAACATGGAATATATTGCCATTTTTTGTGGCCTTTTCAGTTTCTTTCATTAGTATTTTATAGTTTTCATTGTAGAGGTATTTCATTTCTTTGGTTAATTCCTAGGTATCTAGTTTTATTTGTGGCTATTGTAAATGAGATTACTTTTTTATTTCTTTTTCAGATTGTTCACTGTTGGCATATAGAAGTGCTACTGATTTTTGTATGTTGATTTTGTATCCTGCGACTTTACTGTATTCGTTTACCAGTTGTAGTAGTTCTCTGGTGGAGCCTTTAGCTTTTTCTGAAGATAAGAACATAAAATCTGCAGACAAGTATACTTTAACTTGTTCCTTTCCAATTTGGATGCCCTTTATTTATTTCTGTTGTCTGATTGCCCTAGTTAGGGCTTCCAGTACTATGCTGAATAACAGTAGTGAAAATGGGCATCCTTGTTTTGTTCTGGATCTTAGGAGAAAGTTTTTCAGTTTTTCTTCATTTAGTATGATACTAGCTGTGGGTCTGTCATATACGGCTTTTATTATGTTGAGGTGTATTCCTTCTATACCCAGTTTTTTGAGGATTTTTATCATGAAGAGATGTTGAATTTTATCAAATGCTTTTCCAGCAGCAATTGAAATTATCATTTTTTTCTTCATTCTGTTGATATAATGTACCACATTGATTAATTTGTATATGTTGAACCATGCTTGCATCCCTGGGATAAATCCCACTTGGTCATGATGAATGATCTTTTTAATGTACTGTTGAATTAGGTTTGCTAGTATTTTGCTAGGGTTTTTGCATAAATATTCATGAGAGATATTGGCCTGTAGTTTCCTTTTTTTGATGTGTCTTTGTCTAGTTTTGTTATCAGGGTAGTACTAACCTCAAAGGATAAGTTTGGAAGTATTCTCTCCTCCTCTATTTTTCAGAGTAGTTAGAGTAGGATTAGTTCTTCTGCAAATGTTTGGTAGAATTTAGCAATGAAGCCATCAGGTCCTGGGATTTTCTTTACTGGGAGACTTTTTATTATGGCTTTGACCTTGTTACTTGTTATTATTGACCTGTTCAGGTTTTGAATTTCTTCATGCTTCAATCTTGGTAGGTTGCATTTGTCTAGGAATTTATCCATTTCCTCTAGATTTTCCAATTTATTGGCATATAGTTGCTCATAGTAGCCGCTAGTAATCCTTTGTATTTTTACAGTATCAATTACAATGTTTTCTTTTTCATCTCTGATTTTATTTATTTGAATGTTCTCTCTTTTTTTCTTAATTAGTCTGACTCGAGGTTTGTCAATTTTGTTTATCCTTGAAAGAAAACCAATCTTTTGTTTCATTGATCTTTTGTATTTTTTGTTTCGATTTTATTTATCTCTATTCTGATCTTTATTATTTCTTTTCTTCTACTAATTTTGGGTTTGGACTTTTGCATCAATATTCATGAGAGATATTAGCCTGTAGTTTTCTTTCTTGATGTGTCTTTGTCTGGTTTTGGTATCAGGGTAGTACTAGCCTCATAAGATGAGTTTGATTTTCTAGTTTTTTAAGATACTCTTGTGTTTCTAGTTTTTAAAGATGCATAATTAGGTTTCTTATTTCAAGTTTTTCTTCTTTTTTGATATAGGCACTTACAGCAATAAATTTTCCCCTTAGTACTGCTTTTGCTGTATCTCATAGGTTTTGGTATGTCATGTTTCCATTGTCATTTGTTTCAAAAAATTTTTTAAATTTCCTTCTTAATTTCTTCATTGACCCACGGGTCATTCAGAAGCATATTGTTTAATTTCCTTCTATTCGTATAGTTTCCAAAATTCCTCTTGTTATTGATTTCTGGTTTTATTCTATTGTGGTCAGAGAAGATGCTTGATATTATTTCACTTTTATTGACTGTTTTCAGACTTGTTTTGTGACCTAACATATGATCTATCCTTGAGAATGATCCATGTGCTGAGTAAAAGATTGTGTATTCTGCAGCTGCTGCATGAAATGGTCTATAAACATCTATTAGGTCCATTTGGTCTATAGTGCAGAATAAGTCCAGTGCTTTTTTATTGATTTTCTACCTGGAAGATCTGTCCAATGCTGAAAGTGTGGCATTAAAGTCTGAACTATTATTGCATTGAGGCCTATCTTTCTTTTTAGCTGCTCTAATAATATTGGCTTTATATACCTGAGTGCTCCAGTGTTGGGTGCATATATATTTACAATTGTTATATCCTCTTGCTAAACTGGCCCCTTTATCATTATATAATGAACTTCTTACAGTTTTTATCTTGAAATCTATTTTATCTGATATAAGTATAGCTACTTCTGCTCTTTTTTGGTTTCCAATAACATGAAGCATCTTTTTCCATCCCTTTATTTTCAGTCTATGTGCATCTTCAGAGGTGAAGTGTGTTTCTTGTAGGCAACAGATCACTGGGTCATCTTTTTAAAAAAAAAAATCATTCAGCCAATCTATGTCTTTGAACTAGAGAGTTTAGTCCATTTATATTCAATGCCATTATTGTTAAGTAAGGACTAACTCCTGTCATTTTGTTATTTGTTTGCTGGTTATTTTGTAGTGTTCTCTTCCTTCTTTCCTTCCTTTCTTCCTTTTAGTGAAGGTGATTTTCTCTGGTGGTATGATTGAATTTCTTGCTTTCTATTTTTTGTGTATCCATTGTATGTTTATTGATCTGAGGTCACCACAAGGCTTGCATATACTATCTTATAACCCATTATTTTAAACTAATGAAAACAAGACTATATAAACAATCAAAAAGAAAACTAATAAAAACTCTAACTTCATCACCCCACTTTTTAACTTTTTGTTGTTTATCTTTCTGTCTTATTTTATTGTCTATGTCTTGAAAAGTTGTAGTTATTATTTTTGATTGAGTCATCATTTAGTGTTTCTACTTAAGCTAAGAGTAGTTTAAACACAACAATTACAATGTTATAATATTCTGTGTTTTTCTTTGTGCCTACTAGTACCAGTGAGTTTTGTACTATCAGATAATTTCTTATTGCTCATTAACATCCTTTTCTTTCAGATTGAAGAACTCCCTTTAGCATTTGTTGTAGGACAGGTCTGGTGCTGTTAAAACTCCCTCAGCTTTTGTTCATCTGGGAAGGTGTTTATTTCGCCTTCATGCTTGAAGGATATTTTCACCAGATACACTATTCTAGGGCAAAAGTTATTTCCCTCAGCACTTTAAACCTGTCATGCTACTCTTTTCTGGTCTGTAAGGTTTCCACTAAAAACTCTGCTGCCAGACATATTGGACCTCTATTGCATTTCATTTGTTTATTTTCTCTTGCTCCTTTTAGGATTATGTCTTTATCCTTGACCTTTGAGAGTTTGATTATTAAATGCTTGGAGATAGTCTTCTTTGGGTTAAATCTGCTTGGTATTCTATAACCTTCTTGTTATATCTTCTTGAATGTTAATATCTTTCTCTAGGTTTGGGAAGTTCTCTGATATTATCCCTTTGAATAAACTTTTTATCCCTATATCTTTCTCTACTTCCTCTTTAAGGTCAATAACTCTTAGACTTGCCCTTTTTAAGCTTATTTTCTAGATCCTGTAGGTATGTCTTATTCTTTTTTATTTTGTCTATTCTGACTGTATATTTTCAAATAGCCTGTCTTCAAGCTCACTAATTTTGACTTCTGTTTGATCAATTCTGCTATTAAGAGATTCTGATGCATTCTTCAATATGTCAGTTGCATTTTCAACTCCAGTATTTCTGCTTGATTCTTTTAAATTATTTCAATCTTAAGATAGTTATTGATTGAATGAACTTCTTACAGTTTTTATCTTGAAATGTATTTTCATTGGACTTAGTCTGCACTGTAGACCAAATGGACCTAATAGATGTTTATAGACCATTTCATGCAGCAGCTGCAGAATACACTAAATACAATAAATGTGTTAAGAATTTAACAAATTCAGAATGCAATAAATTTGTTAAATTTATATCATAGAATTCTGAATTACTTCTCCTTGTTATCTTGAATTTCTTTGAATTTCCTTAAAACAACTATTTTGCATTCTCAATCTAAAAGGTCACATATCTCTGTTTCTCCAGGATTGGTCCCTGGTACCTTATTTAGTTCGTTTGTTAAGGTCATGTTTTCCTGGATGGTCTTGATACTTGTGGATGTTCTTTGATGTCTGGACATGGAAGAGTTACGTATTTATTGTGACCTTCACAGTCTAGGCTTGTTTGTGCTCATTCTTCTTGGGAAGGCTTTCCAGGTATTCAAGTGGACTTAGGCCCCAAGCCCAAGAATGCTGTGGTTCTTGCAGATTCATAGAATTACTGCCTTGGTGGTCTTGGATAAGATCTGAAAGAATTCTCTGGATTACCAGGCAGAGATTCTTGTTCTTTTCCCCTACTTTCTCCCAAAGAAGTGAGGTCTTTCTCTCTCTTTGCTGAGCTGCCTGGAGCTCAGGGTGGGGTGTCACAAAAACCCCTGAGGCCACGATCGCTAGGACTGTGCTGAGTCAGACCTGAAGCCAATACAGCACTGGGTCTTGCCTATGGCCTACTGTAGCTACTGCCTGTCTACTGCCTATGTTCACTCAAGGCCCTAGGGCTCAACAATTAGCAGGTGGTGAAGCCAGCCAGGTTTGTGTTCTTCCCTTCAGGTTGGTGAGTTCCCCAGGCCCCAGGCAGGTCCAGAGACTCTGTTTGGGAGCCAATGATTGGAATCAAAAGCCTTAGAAATCTACCTGGTGTTCTATTCTACTGTGGTTAAGTTGGCACTCAAACCACAAAATGAAGTCCTTCCCACTCTTTCCTCCCCTTTCCACAGGCAGAAGAGCTTTTCCCCATGGCCACCACCACCAGCAGCCCATAAGGAGTTCTGCCGGATGCCTGCGACTCACCCTTCAGGGCAGTGGGCTCCGCTCTGGCCCAGGGCAGGTCCAGAAATGCTGTCCAAGTGCCTAGGCCAGAACTTGGGAATCCCAAGAGCCTGCTTGTTACTCTATCTCACTGTAGCCAAGTGGGTACTTAGGGTGGAAGACAAAGAACTCTTTATTTTTCCCTCTGCTTTTCTCAAGCAGATGGAGTCTTTCACTGTAGTCACCATAGTTTGAATGTGCTGAGTATCACCTGAAGCTAGCACATCTCAGAGCCTCACCCAAGGCCCACAGCATACTACCTGGGTACCACTGCTGGTTATTGAGGGCCCAAGGGTTCTTTACTCAGCAAATGGTAAATCCTGTCAGTACTGTGTCCTTTCCTTCAAAGAATCATGTTCCCTTCTCACCCAGGGTGTGTCTAGAAATGTTGTCTGGAAGCTAGGGCCTTGAGTGGGGGCCTTACATCTCTGCCTGGTGCCTTGTCCTAATGTGTCTGAGCTGGTACCCAAGGTGCAAGACAAAGTCCTCTTTATTCTTTGCTCTCCTTTCCTCAACCAGAAGGATGGAGTCACTTTTTTGCTGCAAGCTGCACTGCCTAGGGTTGGAAGGGGGTGACACAAGCCTTAGCTGCCCTGTCTGGTGTCTCCATAGGTTATGTGCTGCCCTACTCCACTGGCTCTAAGCCCATAGCAATAGGACTTGCCGAGGAATTGTAGTCCTTGTGTCCTAAACTGCCTTTCAAGTTTACCTAGGACCCCAGAGCACTTTAGCCCATTGTGGCAAAGCTTGCCAGGAAACTCAAGTTCTGACAGCTAGGATGGGTGATTTCCCTCTGGCTAGGTCTGGCCCAAATGCTCCCTCCATGGTCAGGCACCAGCTGAGGCAAGCATAGCTTTGCTCTTTGCTGTGACAGGGCAGTACTGAGTTCAATGCAGATTCCACCAATTGCTATGCTGTCCCTCCCCAAAGTGCACAGTTTCTCTCTCTCCATGCCATGTAGCTGCTGCTGGGAGATGGGGGAGGGGTGGAGTCCACATCTCAAGACTGTCCTTCCTACCCTCTTCAGTGCCTTTCAGCTATATGAAGATAAAACCAGGTACTGTGAGTTACTCACCTGATTTTTGGTTCTTATGATGGTGCTATTTTGTGTGAAGTTAGTTGTTAGAATTTGGTGTTCCAGCTGGAGGGACAATCTGTAGGGCTTTTATTTGACTATTTTGCTCTGCCCTCTCAATTAATATAACACTAAAGTGTCACCCATATTTTATTTCAAAAGCCTTACATAAACAGATAAACTAAAAAATCATAGGTCCACTAAATAAAGTTTTCTAGATAAACCAAAAATAAATGTCTTTGCTTTTTTATTGTGGTAAATATATATAACATAACATTTTCCATTTAAACCAATTTTAAGTATACAATTCAGTGGCATTAGTGACATGCACAATTTTATAGATCATCACCACTGTCTATTTCTAAAACTTTTTCATCACTCTAAACAGAAACTGTACTAATTAAATCATAGCTTCTCATTCTCCTCTCCTCCCAGATCCTGATAACTTTCTATCCTTTTTCTGTCTCTATAAGTTTGCCTATTTTAGATATTTCATATAAATGGAATCATATAATATTTGTACTTCTGCATCTAGCTTCTTTCACTTAGCAAAATGTTTTCAAGGTTCATCCACATTGTAGCATGTGTCAGAAATTCATTCCTTTTTTAAGCTAAATAATATTCTGTCTTATGTATGCATCACATTTTATTTATCTCCTCATCTGCTGATGGAATCATGGGTTGTTTCCTTCCAATTTCTTTGAGTTTGATTGAAATTTATCAGATTATGCTAAATGAAGCTCAGAAAAGAATAGTCATTACCTAATTAGAAAGGGAGTATTATAGTATAATGATGAAGAGCAAAAATTCTAGTGATAGACTTGGGTTCAAATCCCAACTGTGCCTTTTGCTAGTAATTCCTACCTTTTCTACCAAATCAACTTCACCTCTCTGAATCTTCATTTCTTTGTTTCTAAAATGGGAATAATACTGATCTCATTTGGTTCCTGACAGAATTAAACAATAATATAAAGCACTTTGAGCATTTCCTACCTATAGTTAGCACTCAATAAATATAAGCCAATAATATAAGCCATTTATAAGGCATGGGCGAGGACTTCATGTCTAAAACAACAAAAGCAATGGCAATAAAAGCCAAAATTGACAAATGGGATCTAATTAAACTAAACAGCTTCTGCACAGCAAAAGAAACTACCATCGGAGTGAACAGGCAACCTACAGAATGGGAGAAAATTTTTGCAATCTACTCATCTGACAAAGGGCGAATATCCAGAATCTACAAAGAACTCAAACAAATTTACAAGAAAAAAACAAACGACACCATCAAAAAGTGGGTGAGGGATATGAAGAGACACTTCTCAAAAGAAGACATTTATGCAGCCAACAGACACATAAAAAAATGCTCATCATCACTGGCCATCAGAGAAATGCAAATCAAAACCACAATGAGATACCATCTCATGCCAGTTAGAATGGTGATCATTAAAAAGTCAGTAAACAACAGATGCTGGAGAGGATGTGGAGAAGTAGGAACACTTTTACACTGTTGGTGGGACTGTAAACTAGTTCAACTATTGTGGAAGACAGTGTGGTGATTCCTCAAGGATCTAGAACTAGAAATACCATTTGACCCAGCCATCCTACTACTGGCTATATGCCCAAAGGATTACAAATCACGCTGCTATGAAGACACATGCACACGTATGTTCATTGCGGCACTATTCACAATAGCAAAGACTTGGAACCAACCCAAATGTCCATCAGTGATAGACTGGATTAAGAAAATGTGGCATATATACACCATGGAATCCTATGCAGCCATAAAAAGGATGAGTTCATGTCCTTTGTAGGGACATGGATGAAGCTGGAAACCATTATTCTCAGCAAAGTATCGCAAGGACAAAAAAACAAACACTGCATGTTCTCACTCATAGGTGGGAATTGAACAATGAGAACACTTGGACACAGGAAGGGGAATATCACACACTGGGGCCTGTTGTAGGGTGGTGGGAGCGGGGAGGGACAGCATTAGGAGATATACTTAATGTAAATGACGAGTTGATGGGTGCAGCACACCAACATGGCACATGTATACATATGTAACAAACCTGCATGTTGTGCACATGTACCCTATAACTTAAAGTATAATAATAATAATAATAAAGACACAGACTGGTAAATTGGATAAAGAGTCAAGACCCATCGGTGTGCCATATTCAGAAGACCCATCTCACGTGCAGAGACACACATAGGCTCAAAATAAAGGGATGGAGGAAGATCTACCAAGCAAATGGAAAGCAAAAAAAAGCAAGGGTTGCAATCCTAGTCTCTGATATAACAGACTTGAAACCAAGAAAGATCAAAAGAGACAAAGAAGGCCATTACGTAATGGTAAAGGGATCAATGTAACAAGAAGAGCTACATATATATGCACCCAATACAGGAGCACCCAAATTCATAAAGCAAGTCCTTAGAGACCTACAAAGAGACTTAGACTCCCATACAAAAATAATGAGAGACTTTATTACCCCACTGTCAATATTAGACAGATCAACAAGACAGAAGGTTAACAAGGATATCCAGGACTTGAACTCAGCTCTGGACCAAGTGGACCTAATAGACATCTACAGAGCTCTCCACCCCAATTCAACAGAATATACATTCTCCTCAGCACCACATCACACTTATTCTAAAATTGACCACATAACTGGAAGTAAAGCACTCCTCAGCAAATATAAAAGAACAGAAATCACAACAAACTGTCTCTCAGACCACAGTGCAATCAAATTAGGACTCAGGATTAAGAAACTCATTCAAAACTGCAGCACTACATGGAAACTGAACAACCTGCTCTTGAATGACTACTGGGTAAACAACGAAATGAAGGCAGAAATAAAGATGTTCTTTGAAACCAATGAGAACAAAGACACAACATACCAGAATCTCTGGGACACATTTAAAGCAGTATGTAGAGGGAAATTTATAACACTAAATGCCTACAAGAGAAAGCAGGAAAGATCTAAAATTGACACCCTAACATCACAATGAAAAGAACTAGAGCAGCAAGAGCAAACACATTCAAAAGCTAGCTGAAGGCAAGAAATAACTAAGATCAGAGCAGAACTGAGGGAGATAGAGACACAAAAAACCCTTCAAAAAATCCATGAATCCAGCAGCTGGTTTTTTGAAAAGATCAACAAAATAGATAGACTGCTAGCCAGACTAATAAAGAAGAAAAGAGAGAAGAATTAAATAGATGTAATAAAAAATGATAAAGTGTATATCACCACCAATCTCACATAAATACAAACTACCATCAGAGACTACTATAAACACCTCTATGCAAATAAGCTAGAAAATCTAGAAGAAATGGATAAATTCCTGGACACATACATCTTCCCAAGACTAAACCAGGAACAAGTTGAATCTCTGAATAGACCAATAACAGGCTCTGAAATTGAGGCAATAATTAATAGCCTACCAACCAAAAAAAGTCCAGGACCAGACGGATTCACAGCTGAATTCTACCAGAGGTACAAAGAGGAGCTGGTACCATTCCTTCTGAAACTATTCTAATCAAAAGAAAAAGAGGGAATCCTGCCTAACTCATTTAATGAGGCCAGTATCATCCTGATGTCAAAGCCTGGCAGAGACACAACAAAAAAAGAGAATTTCAGACCAATATCCCTGATGAACATCGATGTGAAAATCCTTAATAAAATACTGGCAAACCGAATCCAGCAGCACATCAAAAATCTTATCCACCACGATCAAGTTGGCTTCATCCCTGGAATGCAAGGCTCGTTCAGCATATGCAAATCAATAAACTTAATCCATAACATAAGCCAAACCAAAGACAAAAACCACATGATTATCTCAATGGATGCAGAAAAGGCCTTTGAGAAAATTCAACAGCCCTTCATGCTAAAAACTCTCAATAAACTAGGTATTCATGGAACATATCTCAAAATAATAAGCTATTTATGACAAACCCACAGCCAATATCATACTGAATGGGCAAAAACTGGAAGCATTCCCTTTGAAAACCGGCACAAGACAAGGATGCCCTCTCTCACCACTCCCATTCAACATAGTGTTGGGAGTTGCGGCCAGGGCAATCAGGCAAGACAAGGAAATAAAGAGTATTCAATTAGGAAAAGAAGAAGTCAAATTGTCCCTGTTTGCAGATGACATGAATTGTATATTTAGAAAATTCCATAGTCTCAGCCCAAAATCTCCTTAAGCTGATAAGCAACTTCAGCAAAATCTCAGGATACAGAATCAATGTGCTAAAATCACAAGCATTCCTATTCACCAATAACAGACAAACAGAGAGCCAAATCATAAGTGAACTCCCATTCACAATTGCTGCAAAGAGAATGAAGTACCTAGGAATCCAACTTACAAGGGATGTGAAGGACCTCTTCAAGGAGAACTACAAACCACTGCTCAATGAAATAAAAGAGGACACAAACAAATGGAAGAACATTCCATGCTCATGGATAGGAATATAGGTAATTTATAGATTCAATGCCACCCTCATCAAACTACCAATGACTTTCTTCACAGAATTGGAGAAAAACTACTTTAAAGTTCATATGGAACCAAAAAAGAAGCCCGCATTGCCAAGACAATCCTAAGCCAAAAGATCAAAGCTGGAGGCTTCATGCTACCTGACTTCAAACTATACTTCAAGGCTACAGTAATCAAAACAGCATGGTACTGGTACCAAAATAGAGATATAGACCAATGGAAAAGAACAGAGGCCTCAGAAATAACACCACACATCTACAGCCATGTGATCTTTGACAAACCTGACAAAAACAAGAAATGGGGAAAGGATTCCCTATTTAATAAATGGTGCTGGGAAAACTGGCTAGCCATATGTAGAAAGCTGAAACTGGATTCCTTCTTTACACCTTATACAAAAAATAATTCAAGATGGATTAAAGATTTAAATATTAGACCTAAAACCATAAGCACTCAAGAAGAAAACCTAGGCATTACCATTCAGGACATAGGCTTGGGCAAGGACTTCATGACTAAAACACCAAAAGCAATGGCAACAAAAGTCAAAACAGACAAATGGGATCTAATTAAACTAAAGAGCCTCTGCATGGCAAAAGAAGCTACCATCAGAGTGAACCGGCAGCTTACAGAATTGGGGAAAATTTTTGCAATCTACCCATCTGACAAAGGGCTAATATCCAGAATCTACAAAGAACTCAAACAAATTTACAAGAAAAAAACAACCCCATAAAAAGTGGGCAAAGGATATGAACAGGCACTTCTCAAAAGAAGACATTTACATAGCCAACAGACACATGAAAAAATGCACATCATCACTGGTCATCAGAGAAATGCAAATCAAAACCACAATGAGATACCATCTCATGCCAGTTAGAATGGTGATCATTAAAAAGTCAGGAAACAACAGTTGCTGGAGAGGATGTAGAGAAATAGGAGCGCTTTCACACTGTTGGTGGGCATGTAAGTTAGTTCAACTATTGTGGAAGACAGTGTGGTGATTCCTCAAGGATCTAGAACTAGAAATACCATTTGACCCAGCCATCCCATTACTGGATGTATACCCAGAGGATTATAAATCATGCTACTGTAAAGACACATGCACACATATGTTTATTGCAGCACTATTCACAATAGCAAAGACTTGGAACCAACCCAAATGTCCATCCATGATAGACTGTATAAAGAAAATGTGGCACATATGCACCATGGAATCCTATGCAGCCATAAAAAGGATGAGTTCATGTCCTTTGTAGGGACATGGATGAAGCTGGAAACCATCATTCTCAGCAAACTATGACAAGGACAGAAAACCAAACACTACATGTTCTCACTCATAGGTGAGAATTAAACAATTGGAACACATGGAGACATGGAGTGGAACATCACAAACCGGGGCCTGTTGGGGTTGGGGGGCTTGGGGAGGGATAGCATTAGGAGAAATACCTAATGTAAATGATGAGTTGATGGGTGCAAAAAACCAACATGGCACATGTATACATATATAACAAACCTGCATGTTGTGCACACGTACCCTAGAACTTAAAGTATTAAAAAAAAAAAATTTACCTTGGGATAGCCTGATGCAGTGGCTCACACCTGTAATCCCAGCACTTTGGGAGGCTGAGGTGGGCGGATCACGAGGTCAGGAGTTGGAGACCAGCCTGGCCAATATGGTGAAACCCCGTCTCTACTAAAAATATAAAAAATTAGTCAGATGTGGTGGCGCTCGCCTGTAGTCCCAGCTACTCGGGAGGCTGAAGCAGAAGAATCGCTTGAATCCAGGAGGCGGAGGTAGCAGTGAACTGAGATCATGCCATTGCACTCCAGCCTGGGTGACAGAGTGAGACTCTGTCTCAAAAAAAAAAAAAAAAAAAAAAAAAATTGACCTTGCAATGAAATTTATGGGATTTAAGAAGTAGACCAAGCCTTACTTAACCCAAATACATAAATGTGAAATGAAAAAAAAATGGAAATGCATGTTCTATTACATCATCAACTCCTCTACAGCTGCCATTTGGGTATGACTTAGAGGCAGTGGGCAGCAAATTATATTGGCTTAAAATTAACATCATTAAGATAAATTCATGAGTGCCATCTATTTGTGTAGTGCTTTCCACAGCACTGTTTGTGGATTAAATTAGGAATTTTTAGAGTGCCATAGACTGGAACTCATAAATTAAATCTGTGTTGAATTTGTAAAAGGTTGATTCAAATATCTATTATTATTGCTGGAAATAAGAAATATTCACTAACTAGTTGTAGAATAGATGGCCAACTCTACAAACATCCATCCTTCTCCTTTTATAACACTTCCTATGGAGCTGCCCAGCCAGGGACTGTATATCTCGGCTTCTTGCTGCTAGGAGGGACCATGTGATTCTTATCAGTGAAATGTGAGCCAAAGTAATATGTCACTTCAAAGCAAGGCAGATAGGAAGAAGGTGGGCCTTCTTTTCCCTCTTCTCCCCAGCTCCTGCCCACCATCTCCCACCCCAACCCCAGTTGTCAGGATACAAAGTCATAGGATAGAATTAGTAAGCAAAGGAAAGTCATCCACCTGCATTGGACTGCTAATTGAGCAAAAAATAAATTTCCATTGTGTTAAGCTGTTGAAATTCTGGGGTTCATCTGTTATACCGTAACATTACCCTAACTATAGACTAATAGTCATAGAGAATGATTCAAATGTCAGAGAATCACTGACGGTTGTGAGCAAATTGCTTTCTCCTTTTAGAAACTTTTGATTAACCTTTGACATTCAAAGTTCCATTTACTTAATTCTGTACCAATTATTAAAAGTTAGCTCAAAGTCTCTATTATAGAGGAACTCATAATCTCACTTGGGTGAAAAAGCATATACAAAGTTAAAGAATAATGCAAAGCACGATATGATGAAAATCAAATGAATGGAAAAGAAAATAATTCCTACTAAAATTTAGTGAGAAGAACTTTTTGCTGGGAAAATATTTGAGAAGGATGAAAGGACTTTATGAATACTTTGAAAACAAGGTAGGATTGGAAAGACAGAGATGACAGCTGGGTATGGTGGCTCATGCCTGTAATCCCAGCACATTGGGAAGCTGAAGTAGGAGGATCGTTTGAGGCCTGGAGTTCGAGGCCAGCCTGTGCAACATAGCGAGACCCTGTCTCTACAAAACAAAAACAAAAAACCCAAATTAGCAGGGCATGGTGGTTCATACCTATAGTCCTAGCTACTTGGGAGGCGTCAGGCAGGAGGACTGTATGAGGCCAGGAGTTCAGGGCTACATTGAGCTATGACCATGTCACTGCACTACAGTGGCAGGGCAGCAGACTGAGACCTTGTCTCAAATAGAAGAAAAATAAATTCTGTCTTGCTTCAGGTCTGGAAAAAGTAAAAAAAAAAAAGAGATAACAGTAAGAATATTCAAAATAAGGCTAACAGGGTGAAAAAATGCCTAAAAGTGGGAATGAACAAAAAGATATTTAGAGGACTGTAAGGCTATGGGATTATAACAAGTAAGAGAATGGAATTTAAAATTTATTCAATATTCATTTACAAAACGTTTATTGATCTCATGGGTCTGGCACTGAGCTAAGCACTGGAGAGAACAACAGCCCTTACTGCCATAGAATTTACAGTCTTTTGACATAGACAGACCTAAATTCAACTTGTATCTATCAATTACTAGTATTTGAACATGGGCAAGTCACTTGACTTTTTGTATTTCTTGATTTTCCTATGTACATAATGAGGATAACCCTACAAGGTTGTTATGAGAATTAAATGAAATGATGAATTTAACATAGTGCCTCACACATAGTAAACTCTCAATAAACGTTAGCTGGTCTTGCCTGGTGTGACAGTAGTGGTAGTGGTGATGGTGGTAGTAGCAGTCGTGGTGGTGGTGAGTGGTGGTGGTGGTAGTGAGTATAGTACTAGCAATAACAGTAGCTTATTTGGGCCAGAGCAGAGAGATTGTTTTGATAATAATGGGCACTGACATTGGAAATGAAGTTTTGAGCATATTTAAGAAGTCTTTTGAATGTCAGGACAAAGACTTTGGATTCTATCCTTAGGCAGTGGACAACCATTGAGGTTTTTCGAGCAAGGTAGTAACAAGTAACATAGCAACACTGAATAGACCAGATTGGACTTAGGAGTTAAGAAAAAAACATGATGACAAAGAAGGCTTTTAGGGTATCAACTAATGTGACATTGGACAAGAGTAGTGAAATGGAAATTGAGAGAATGTTCAAGGGTAACAGTAGGTTTTTCAAGTTTGGTTAAATAGCCTGATAGAGTAGGGTAGGAGAATAAAAAGTTTGGCTTTAGAAATTGTTGAATTTGGAGAACTCAAACAACATTCAATTGGAAATATCCAACAGATAGTTGACTATATGGATTTGAAATTTGGAAGAAACTAAGGCTAGGAATATTTTGTGAGTTTCTTAAATAGAAATAATAGCTAAACGGATGGCTTCTCCAAAACACAGTGTATATGAATAAAAGATAAAAGCCTAATTAATTATTGCAGAAGGACCCCAGTTAAGTGTGAGAGGAGAAAGAAGAACTAGCATAAAAATGGTCAATGTAGGAAGAAAACCACCGTCATAGATGTCAAGGGAAGAGAAATTTTTAGGAAGGTAGAAGTGGGCAATAGTGCCAAATGATCAGAGATGGGTAATCTATCGTATCATAAATACAATAAGAAAAACTTATTGTATTTAGTTAGCAGTATTACAATTTTAAGTCCAAAAATAACCATAGAAAGAAGAGAAGGAGCCGACCATCCTGGCTAACATGGTGAAACCCCGTCTCTACTAAAAATACAAAAAATTAGCTGGGCATGGTGGCGGGCACCTGTAGTCCCAGCTACTCAGGAGGCTGAGGCAGGAGAACGGTGTGAATTCGGGAGGCGGAGCTTGCAGTGAGCGGAGATCGAGACTCCATCTCAAAAAAAAAAAAAAAAAAAAAAAGTAAGAAAGAAGAGAAAGGAGCCTATAGAGTGTTAGCATTTTTGCTGTCATAGTCAGGAAGTTAGAATTCAGTCAAATGAAGGAGCGTCCAGCTGAAGTCAACGGTATAGGTTCTTCTGTCTGGAGGTGCCACTTTCAGAGCTGCCTCTTGTTAATGGTGCTCTCATGAGAAAAACCCAAATACGAATAAACCGTAATTAGGGATGGAGCCTTTGATATGGCCATCTCTACCTTCTGTGAAGGTCCGGAGAAGACTGTGAGAGGAGTTGTGCAGACAATACAGAATAAGATTAAAAAAAGAAAAAAAAAAAAGGACTTGAGTTGTAAATAAAACTCAGCTTGTGAATTTGAGAATTCCTTAGGAAAGGTACATCTATTGTTTTTCCACCATTGTGGGTAAGGTCAGGGGAAATAAACTTTGTACAATGTACATTCAAGAATCTACATTGCCTAACTTGTACCACCTGGGAGCCAGTGCTTCATGAATGTGGAACCCTAAGCTGGAAGTGATAGAGAGTCTGTGAATTAGCTTGGCTTGGGAGCAGCTATGGGGGCTTGCTGTCTTCATCACTCCTTCTACCCCTTGCTATGACAAGAAAAGTCAAGTTTACCAAAACGAATTAGCTTTGGGCACTGGTTCTTAAATTTTAGTGTGCATCAGAACCACCTGGAGTGCTTGTCAAAACACAGATTTTTGAGTCCCACCCACCAGAGTTTCTGACTCAGTACGTGTGGGGTGAGGCCCAAGAATCTACATTTCCAACAAGTTTCTATGTGCTATTGTTGCTGCTGCTATTGGTCCTGGGATCAGACTTTGAAAACCACTGACTTAGGTAGAAGAAGGAGACAACATCTATGGCTGCAAAAAAGTCAGGGAGAATGAGGACTAACAAAGAGTCACCCATTGGCTTTAGTAATTGCTTTTTGGTAACTTTTGAGATGGAGTTTACTAGAGTTATGAAAATTACAAAGGGCTTTGAGTATATAGCTGGTGAAGAAATAAAAGCAACATGTATATACTATTTAAAAAAAATGAACCAGTTCTACACTGGGAAGCATAATCCTAGTAGGAAATAAAAAATGTTATCCTTTGAACAAACTTTGAATATGTAGTTCAGTCATTCATTCATTCATTCAACTTATTTATTTGGTACCCTATACATGCCAGGCACTGTGTTAGACTGAGAGATCACAATAGACACTGTGCCTGATGTCTCACTGAATTTAGAGGGCATTTAGAACACAAAGTAAACAAATGCACATCTGTATAAGTATGGTGACTGGGATGCTCATTGAAGGGACATTCAAAAAGTAAGATTCAGAAAGCTTCCTAGCGTAAGTGATAACTCAATGGTACATTGAAGATAAGTCGGATTATCCAGGTGAAAATTGAGGGGATTGGAGTGGAGAGGATGGCAGAAGGAGTAGGAAGTGCAAAACTCAGAGGTAAAACAGTGGATGCCAAGATTAAGGGGCCCAAAGAAATTCACATGGTAGAAGTGGGGCATGCCATGAATAAGGCTGGGGCTGAGGGTAGATCATTAAGATCATTACAGGCAATGTCAAAAATCTTTATATGAAGACCATTGAGGAGACATCGAAGAGGTATTTTTTAAAAATAACTGCTTTATGAAGATATAATTCACATATCGTATAATTCACCTATTTACAAGTGCATAATTCAGTGGTTTTTAGTCTGTTCACAGAGTTCTGCAATCATAATCACAATCAATTTTAGAACATTTTTATCACTTCCAAAAGAAACCGCATACCCATTAGTAGTCACTCCCATTTCCCCCAACTCTTCTATCCCTAGGCGGCCACTAATCTATGTCCTGTCTCTATAAATGGAATCATGAAATATGTGGGTTTACATTAAAGACTGGGGAGTGACACCATTAGATTTCGTTTACAGAAAGATCAATCTGTCTGACATACATAGCCTGGATTGGATGGGAGAGGGGTTGGTCAACATAGAAGTAGAGAGACCCATTAGGGAGTTGTAGAAAGAGTCAGATGTGAGAATATGGTAGCCTAGACCAGAGTGATGGTTATGAGGATGGAGAGAAGAGGGTATGTTAAAGAGATATTTAAGAGAAAGTCTTGGATGGGGCTGGTAATTAATGACATGCAGCATATGAATAAGAACAAACTGAGAAGGATGGCTCTCAAGTGTTATCCTTGGCAGTGGGGAGATGGTGGTGCTTGTCACTGAGGTGGGCTCCCCCACAGGAAGATCAGGCCTGTGATAAGATAAAGAAGATGAGGAGTCAGTATTTACTAGGATATACAACTGCCTGTACTTTGGCTGACATCAGCATGTCGTAATCATGGTGACACTGGTCCTTAGGAAAAGAGAAAGACTGTGTATTTTTTCCAGTCTCATAAGATCTCAGAAAGACCAAAACAGCATGTATACAGATTTCATAGTGATTCAATACAATTAAAAGTTTATTTAAATTTTAATGGATGTCTATTGGTGTCAAAGGGGAACATTTAACTGCGTTGCCTTGAATAATTTTACTATGTCAATAATCTGTCACCTTTTAAAATCATAACCAAAGGTCCTTCAGGCCACAAGGGGCTTCCTGAAGCCACATAGTGCATGGCACTGCCCCTGGTGAGGAATGAGCCTGAATTAAATCAAAGAAATGGGGATTGATTACAGGGTCGATTTTCAATTACCTGTACTAATAGAGCAGTGGTATGAGTAATCCCAAACTGTGGCTAACCAAAAATCATTTATATTTGCTTTTGGATTGCATTATTTAAGCTATTTATAGCAGGTAGATTTCTAACTACATTTTTCTTTTGTGATTACTAGCATTAGTTTACACCCCTGACTTCACGCTAATTTTTGGTAAATGGAAGTGGCCCAAATATGCTAAGTGAGAAAGATATATCATTTTGGGATTTTATATATCCCACACATCATCTACAAGCTTGATAACTCACATACATAGATTTTTAAAAGGTCTTCAAGGACAGAGATTACACATCTCCCTTGATAACTTGCTTCTCCATTTAAGAACGTTTACAATTGGGAAATAATTTTCCAATGCTAATTTCAATCCTTGTTGAAACAGATCTTTCCTTCTTTTCTCAATGGGAAAAATAAATAAATAATCAGGCACTATCCTTTATGGACTTAAATCTGATAATACTGAAAACTCCTCTTGAGTGTTTTCTCTTTCAAGCGGAACCAGTGCCATTTTGTTTGTCATCCTTATTTCCTAGCCAATCATTAGCTGCTCCCAGAAATCAAAGATCAGAAAAAAACACAAAGAGCATAGCATTTTCTAAGAAACAAAATAATCTGCATTTTACCCATAAAAACCAAAAAGATTCTGCAATAAGAAACTAGTTAAAATTTTTTACCATTTTTTCCGATTAAGAAGTAATACATGTTCATTATAGAAAATATGAAATATATATACAAAGGAGAAAATTAAATCATTTATGATTCTGCAAGAGAGGTGTAACCACTGAATTCTTGAATCACCAGACTTTTACTGTAGCCCTCCATTACTGGAGGAGCTGGGTAGAGCAGCCACTCTAGGCAAAAACACTCTTCAGTATTAGAATGCTTAAAAGCTACACCCTGATTTTGAACCCTTAGACCTGATGACCCATAAAGAATCACGTGGAAATTGCAAAGACTCTTTTTGTGCCTTTAGTCCAATACACTAAATGCAAATGGAGCAGCCTCCTCAGTCCATTTCTTCTGTGCACACACCCTCATCTCAGTTCTCAGTCTTTGAGACTCCTCTAGGCGTTATTCACAGACCAGCTGTATTGGCATCCCTTGGAAGCTCATCATAATTGCAGAATCTCAGGCCCCACCCCAGATACACTAAATCAGAATCTGTTTCATCAAGTGTTGTGTTTTATCAAGATCCCCAGGAGCAACCTGATGGTAATTCATTGGTACTGCTGCTCAGTTGAGATGCATTGCTAGAGTTTATCAATTGGCTGATGAATAAAGGCAAATAATAAGCAAAGAAGAGCAAAAGGAAGAACAAAACAAAGAGAAGAAGATAAATTCTTTTCAAGGCCTAGAGCTGAACTGCTCCTGGTGACTCTGGCCTGGGCCTTCCCTGTACAAGGTGCTTCCCATGGAGGAGGCATCTCTAGTCTTAGTGCACCAACTGCACGTTAGAAAATGGAGACATAAATTCAAGATTTAGTCATGGTCTGCAGTAACTGTTTTAAACTGTTTCTTCCTTACGTTGAAGAACAACTTATGGGTATCATGGTGTAATGTGTGTCCTCCTACTTTTGATTTAGACTCATTTGAGAGGAGAGATGGTCCTGGGGTATAGTGGGAGTCTTGGGCACCAGGTGAACAATGCGGTATATATAATCATTTTTCCCCCTTCAATTTTTATTTTAAGTTCAGGGTTACATGTGCCCTGTAGGTTTGTTACATAGGTAAATGTGTGCCATGGTAGTTTGCTGCACAGATAATCCCATTACCTAGGTATTAAGCTCAGCATTCATTACCTATTCTTCCTGATACTCTCACTCCCCTGACCTCACAGGCTCCAGTGTGTGTTGTTAATCCTCCCACCCAATGTGTTCATGTGTTCTCATTATTCAGCTCCCAGTTATAAGGGAGAACATGTTGTATTTGGTTTTCTGTACCTGCGTTAGTTTGTTGAGGATACTGACTTCCAACTCCATCCGTGTCCCTGCAAAAGACATGGTCTTTTTCCTTTTTATGGCTGCATAGTAGTATTCCATGGTGTATACGTACCACATTTTCTTTATCCAGTCTATCATTGATGAACATTTGGGTTGATTCCATGTCTTTGCTATTGTGAATAGTGCTGCAATGAACATACGTGTGCAACTATCTTTATAATAGAATGATTTATATTCCTTTGGGTATATACCCAGTAATGGGATTGCTGGGTCAAATGCTATTTCTGCTTCTAGATCTCTGAGGAATCGCCACACTGTCTTACACAATGTTGAACTAATTTATATTCCCACCAACAGTGTAAAAGTGTTCCTTTTTCTCTGCAACCTTGCCAGCATCTGTTGTTTCTGAACTTTTTAATAAGCACCATTCTGACTGGCATGAGATGGTATCTCATTGTGGTTTTGTTTGGCATTTCTCTAATCATCAGTGATGTTGAGCTTTTTTTCATGCTTGTTGGCTGAATGGATGTCTTCTTTTGAAAAGTGTCTATTCATGTTTTTTGCCTACTTTTTAATGTGTGTGTGTGTGTGTGTGTGTGTGTTTTTGTAAATTTGTTTAAGTTCCTTGTAGACTCTGGATATTAGACTTCGTCAGATGGATAGATTGCAAAAACTTTCTCCCATTCTGTAGGTTGTCTGTTCACTCTGATGATAGTTTCTTTTGTCGTGTAGAAGCTCTTTAGCTTAGGCTTTTGCATGGCAAAGGAAACAGTCAGCAGAGTAAACATACCACCCACAGAGTAGGAGAAAATCTTCACAATCTATACATCCAGCAAGGGACTAACGTCAAGATTCTACAACAGACTCAAACAAGTTAGCAAGAAAAAACAACAACCAACAACAAACAGTCCCATCAAAAAGTGGGCCAAGGACATGAATAGACAGTCCTCAAAAGAAGATATACAAATGGTCAACAAACATATGAAAAAATGTTCAGCATCACTAATGATGAGGGAAATGCAAATTAAAACCACAATGCAATACCACCTTATTCCTGCAAGAATGGCCGTGATCAAAAAATCAAAAAATAATAGATGGTGTGGATGTGGTGAAAAGGGAACACTTCTACACTGCTGGTGAAAATGTAGGCTAGTATAACCACTATGGAAAATAGTGTGGAGATTCCTTAAAGAACTAAAAGTAGAACTAACTACCATTTGATCCAGCAATCCCTCTACTGAGTATCTACCCAGAGGAAAATAAGTCATTATATGAAAAAGATACTTGCATATGCATGTTTATAACAGCACAGTTCACAATTGCAAGAATGTGGAGCCAGCCCAAATGCCCATCAATGAATGGATAAGAAACTGTGGTGTGTGTGTGTGTGTGTATATATATATATATATATATATGCACACACGATGTGTATATATATACACACATATATATGTGATGGAATACTACTCAGCCATAAAAAGGAATGAATTAATGGTATTCACAGCAACCTGTGTGGGATTGGAGACTATTATTCTAAGTGAAGTAACCCAGGAATAGAAAACCACACACTGTATGTTCTCACTCATAAGTGGGAACTAAGCTATGAAGATGCAAAGGCATAAGAATGATACAGTGGACTTTGGGGACTCAGGGGGAAAGGGTGGGAAGGGGGTGAGGGATAAAAGACTACAAATTGGGTTCAGCACATACTGCTCAGGTGATGGGTCTACCAAAATCTTATAAATCACCACTAAAGAACTTACTTATGTAACCGAATACCACCTGTTCCCCAAAAACCTATGGAAATAAAATTTTTTTTAAAAAGGAAGCTCTTAAGTTTAATTAGATACCATTTCTCAATTTTTGCTTCTGTTGCAATTGCTTTCGGTGTTTTCATCATGAAATCTTTGCCCATGCCTATATTCCGAAGGACATTGCCTAGATTTTCTTCTAGGGTTTTCATAGTTTTAGGTTTTACATTTAAGTCTTTAATCCATCTTGAGTTAATCTTTGTGTATGGTATAAGGAAGGGATCCAGTTTCAACTTTCTGCATATGGCTAGCCAGTTCTCTCAGCACCATTTATGAAGTAGGGAGTCATTTCCTCATTGCTTGGTTTTGTCAGATTTGTCAAAGATCAGATGGTTATAGGTGTACAGTCTTATTTCTGAGTTCTCTATTCTGTTCTATTGGTCTATGTCTGTGTTCTTTTGCCAGTACCATGCTGTTTTGGTTACTGTAGTCTTGTAGAATAGTTTGAAGTTGGGTAGTGTGATGCCTCCAGCTTTCTTCTTTTTGCTTAGGATTATCTTGGTTACTCAGGCTGTTTTTTTGATACCATATGAAGTTTAAAATAGTTTTTTTCTAATTCTGTGAAGAATGTCAATGGTAATTTAATGGAAATAGTATTGAATTAATAAATTACTTTGGGCAGTATGGCCATTTTCATGATATTGATTCTTCCTATCTATGAGCATGGAATGTTTCTTCATTTGTTTGGGTCCTCTTCTTTGAGCAGTGGTTTGAAGTTCTCCTTGAAGAGGTCCTTCAGTTCCTTTGCTAGCTGTATTCCTAGGTATTTTATTCTTTTTGTAGCAATTGTGAATGGGAGTTCATACATAATTTGGCTCTGTGCTTGCCTGTTGCTGGGGTATAATAATACTAGCAATTTTGCACATTGATTTTGTATCCTGAGACTTTGCTGAAGTTGTTTATCAGCTTAAGAAACTTTAGGGCTGAGATGATGGGGTTTTCTAGATATAGGATCATGTCATCTGCAAACAAAGATAATTTTACTTCCTCTCTTCCTATTTGAATACCCTTTATTTCATTTGTTTTTCTGATTGCTCTGGCCGGAACTTCCAATACTATGTTGAATAGGAGTGGTGAGAGAGGGCATCCTTGTCTTGTGCCGGTTTTCAAAGGGAATGCTTTCAGCTTTTGCCCATTCAGTATGATATTGGCTGTGAGTTTGTCACATATGGCTCTTTTTATTTTGAGGTATGCTCCTTCAATACCTAGTTTATTAACAGTTTTTGTCAATCTTCTGTTCATATCATACTTAGGAAATTATAACCCAATGGTTCAGTCTATTGGGTTTTGCAATTAAGAAGCACAGTTTCTTGCAGATATAACTGGAAAATCAGAAAACAAATAAAGAATTTTAAAAAGCAGCATATTTTCAACAGCTCCATGTCTATCTTCAGTCCTCTCCACTATCCTTTCTCCTTTCCCTTCTCTCTTCCCAAATATGTAAATTAAATTACTCTCTTAGCTAATTCCCTCCCTCTTCCTTTGTTCTTTCTTGTATTACTTTTCTGACAACAAGCAATTACAACAAGACCTATTCTGGCAGGAAATGGAAATGCCACTGTGTGTGAGGGGGAAAGAAACGTTGGAAAAAGGAAAGGCTAGGAAAACAAACCATCTGTCATTCTCACACACACATGCGTGTGTGCACACACTTTTCCTTCAAATTAGATCATACCATTCAAATAGTTTTATACCCGTCTTTTTAAATTAACAATACTTTGTAAGCATTTCTCCAGGTTGGTAAATATTTATATAAAACATGTTTAATAGCCTTATACTATTCCAATGTATGAACACGCCACAAATAATTCAATGAGTCCCCTGTTGTTGGACATTTAGGTTGTCTCCCATATTTTTTATGTTTGTAAATAATGCTGCAATGAACAACCTTGTACATAAATCTGTTTCCAAATTTTAGTTATTCTTTCAGGATAAATTTCATTTGACTTTGATGACAGCAATACACAACCTGACCTTAAATTGAAATATCTTCATTCCGTACTCAATTATACTGTGGCTTTTCTCCAAAAGAAAACATATTGTGGGCTTTGAATGTCAGGTTTTTAATTAAGCAGGTTCCACAAGATTGACTCTTTTGTAGCTACCTGAAATTTTAGCCTCAGTCAGTGAATTGCAATAGAAATGTCAGCGCCCTAGCTCAGATAGGACAAATTTACCCCAGAATAACTCATGATTGGGACATATTGCAAGATGGTGACTCTTAAGAGGTGACATTCCATATTATTCCACTTTCACACACTCTGCTCTTATAGAAGACATAATGTTCATGATTTTAGCTAGCTCATTATCTATATATTAGCAAAATGGCTAAAGGCTCTATGTGGTTTAAAATCCTTATTTGCAAGCCTAAATACAAGTAGAGTGATTAAATTATCACTGTGTAATCTTCATTTGCACAAAGCCATTAATAACTAGAATAATAGCCATCATTTACAGATAATGTAGTAAGTGCCAGGTTCCATGCTGAGCATTTTACCACCTATATGTATGTATCTATTGCTATGTGACAAAATGCCCCAAATTTAGTAGCTTAAAATAACAAACATTTATTATCTCACCGTTTCTGCTTGTCAGAAATCTTGATGTGGCTTAGCTAAGTCCTCTGACTCAGTATCTCTCATAAGGCTAAAATCATGGTATTCATTCACTTACCTTATGGCTCAACTGGGAAGATCCTCATTCAAGCTCACTCATGTGGGGTTGATGAGATTTAGTTCCTCCTGGACTGTTGGACCAAGGGCCTCAGTTCCCCGCTGGTGTTAGCTGGAGGCCTCCTTCAGTTCCTCGCTACCTGGGTCTCTTCTCAAGGCAGCTCACATGGGGTAGCTCGCTTTTCTCAAAGCAAGCAAGCAATAAGGCAAGAAAGGGTAAGGAATATAGAAGTCAGAGTCTTTTTGTAAACAAATCTTGGAAGTGACACCCATAATTTTTGATATATTCTGTGCACTAGAAGTGAGTCACTAGGTTTGGCCCATCCCCAAGATGAGGGAATGGATACCAGGAGGTTGGGATTATTGGGAACCATCTTAGAGGTGGCCTACCACACAACCATTATCTCATTAAGCAAAAAAAACCCAGCTTTGAAGTAGATATCATTAACCCTCATTTATAGATAAGAAAACAGAGATGCTCACAGCCAGTTAGTGGGACATTGGTATTCAAACCTGTTCCTCTGATTCCAATGCATATATGCTTGATCACTGCACTATACTTTCAGTAGGATAGTGTATCTGTAAAGCCTGTGAGCTACTGGAAACATCTTAATAGAGATTCGAATCAACTCTTAGTCTCCGGTTTACTTTGGCAGTCTCAGTTTACTTCTCACTTTCTACCCCAAATCTTCTGATGTTTAAGTGAAATTGCTTAGCTTAACCTGAAGGTGTTAGGTTAGAGATAAAAGATCCAGGGCTGCTCAGTTGCCTGTATTTTTTGGGCTCTGGTGAAAGTTAACTGGCATCTACATCTCTGTCTAGAATTCTTGTATGTCTTTCCCATTCTCAGATTACATTACATATTAGCATTGAAGATGATTTGTAAAATAAATATCACAGGGAGAAACCCGCATGGTCAAGAACTAAACACACAAGCACAGTTCTCAACATGTTCTCTAGGATATATCTATTCATTTTTCCTAACCAGCAGAACTATAAATCTGGCCTTTGCTTGGCACACTGTATGTGTTTTGCTTTATGAAGGCATAAATCACCAAGATACAATTTGTGTTTGATTTTTTGGACACTTAATTTGCTTAAATGTTCAGCAGTTCATAGACGTAAATTGTGCTGGGCATAGCTCCAAGTGGAATAAGCTGAGAGCAAGAAAGCTATACATATTAGGATGTAATTCAGAAGAAAAATCATCCTGGCTGGTCAAGTAAGTCCTCTTTATAAATTACTTACAAATAACTTTCCTCCATGAGCAATATAAACACTTAGTATATACTTCTAGAAGATAGAGCATTGTAATAAATTTAGTTTAAAGAAACCTCCCATATAGTAGGCTTCTGTATGTTGATAAGGGCGTAATGTGCAGAGGGTGTGCCATGCATGTTTGATAAAGTAACCGTATTAATTGATTATTGTTTAATTCTAGAACAATGCCTCACTGAGAATCAAGAGACATGGTTTTTTATCCTGCTTGCCGCTAATTTAATGTATGAACTGTTTTGTTTGTTTGTTTGTTTGTTTTGAGACAGGGTTTCACTCTGTCACCCAGGCTGGAGTGTAGTGGTACAATCACGGTTCACTGTAGCCTTGACCTCCTGGGCTCAAGCAATCCTCCCACTTCAGCCTTCCAAGTAGCTGGGACCACAGGCATGTGCTGCAAAGCCTGGCTAATTTTTTTTTTTTTTTTTTTTTTAGAGATGGGGTTTCACCATGTTGTCCAGGCTGATCTCGAACTCCTGGGCTCAAGTGTTCCTCCAGCCTGGGCCTCCCAAAGTGCTGGAATTACAGGTGTGAGCCACCATGCCCAGCCAATGTATGAACATGAACAAGTCATTTAACTTTCTGCGTTTTAGCTTTCTCATTTGAAAATAAGTGGCTGGATTAAATGATCTCTTAATATCCTGCCAGTTCTAAGATTTTATGGTTCTAAATATTAATACTTACTGGGCACCTCCAAAACATGCACCTCAGTGCCATGGATAAGACAAAGGAAAACACACATGTGCTTGGGAACAAAATGCAAGGAACTAGTAAAAATTAAATACTAGCAGGAAGCTATTTGACAGTCTGAGTATAATGCCACAGAGAAATCTATGCAAATTTACAGAGGCCAGTATTTCCCAAAATGTGCAGTGTGTACTTTTGAAATAGTGCACTGGGCAGGAATTCCTAAAAGTGGCTCTGGGAGCTGTCTCGGAATGGTCTAGATGAGGAGCCAGCTGCAAATACGGAACACCCCGCTTCTCCCCATGGAAGATGCTGCATCTGGCTTCCCATGGGAATAATGGCTGCTTCTCACTGGAAAGAATGGATGCAACTTCCCACACGTGCTGGACATCTGGTTTTCCTAGACAACTCCTGGAAATAGCTGGCACTCAAACCCAACTGCCTTGTCTCCCCACTGACAGGTTTGTGCTCATGCTTACCTTTTTTTTTTAGATGGTGTTTTGCTCTTGTCGCCCAGGCTGGAGTGCAATGGCATGATGCTGGCTTACTGCCACCTCCACCTCTCAGGTTTAAGCGATTCTCCTGCCTCAGCTTCCCAAGTAGCTGGGATTACAGGCGTGTGCCACCATGCCCAGCTAATTTTTGTATTTTTAGTAGAGACGGGGTTTCACTATGTTGGTCAGGCTGGTCTCGAACTCCTGACCTCAGGTGATCCACCTGCTTCAGCCTCCCACAATATTGGGATTATGGGTGTGAGCCACCGTGACGGCCCATGCTTGCCTTTTAGGGAAGAGCAGAAAAGGGGCAATATCTCCCCAGCCACAGACTCACTTTGTGTCCAGCAGTATCTGGGCCAGGACATTTCTCTGTGACATGAGGGGAGTTACAGGAAATTCAGCCTTCCTATTGCTCACCTTTGGACTATGAATTTCCCCCAACAAAATCTATTCCTTAACCCAGCAGTTCTCAAACTTTCCTATGTATCAGACTCATTTGGAGGACTTGTTAAAACATGGATGGCTGGGTCCCTTTCCTAGAGTTTCTGATTCAGTATCCCTGGGGTGAGCCTGAGGATTTGCACTTTTAAGAAGTTTCCACATGATGCCAATGCTCCTGCTCCAGGGCTCATGCTTTGAGAACTCATGCCACATTATGTTATTGAATTCATCCTGAACAAATTGCAAGGCAACTGGTGGTAAGCAAGATGATTTAAAGTGTTACATGGAGGAAGTATTTTTTACTTAAATAGTTATATAATTATTTTAATGTGTATTAAATGTGTGCCTTCTATTTTTTAGGAAGTGCTAGTATTCCATTTATAGTATCAAAATCAAGTTAACTTTAAATACCTTTATTTTAGCAAAAAGGGAAGTTAAAGAAAATTTCCAAGTATTCAAGTGAATAATAGAACAGATAGTATATCAAAACAAAGTTGTAAAGGTGGCACAGGTAATACAAAATTGGCTGAAATGGGAAAAACATGCATTGTGTTTATTGGTATAAGCAAGGCATGCAATAGAAATTCCTAGAGATGGAACTACTGGATGACACTAACTAGTAAGAGTGGTTTTGCAAAGGAGGGTTCCTTGAGGTGAGTCTTAATGTGGATAGATTTAGATATGCCAAGAGGTGGTGAAAATGTGGTACATGTAGATAAATAGGGTCTGGTAAGGGTCACATGCATGTGCATGTGAGTGTCAATGAGTTGAACAGAAAAAAAATCTTCTCAGCTCAGTGTTTGGTTTACATGACAATAAACAACCATTATAGTGGATTTCATTTTTGACTTGTAATTTTGGTGATGGATGTTGGCCATAATCAGTTTTAGAAATCAGCCCTCTCTTTGAGAGTTTAGGGCTTAGTTGGCATTTTGTTTGCTTTGTTTTCACCTGCCGTTTGCTTATCTTTATCTGGTGAGTCTGCCAAGACAGAGTTTATTGCTCTAGGTTCCTTATACATTAGATCATTCTTTAGAGGTCAGCACCCCAAATGAAGACACTCTCAGACTGATAGTTCTGTCCAGCCAGTATTGTAAACCATCAGATGCTACTTCAAAGATCTCAGAAAGAGAACTGTTTTTCTGCTTTCAATTAGCTGAGTTTGCACATTTAAAAACTGCTGCTAGAAGATGATTTCATGAAAAAGTAACCATGTAGTTCATTTCATTTTGCTAGAATGTAATTTAATCTTTAGAAATAATAAGTTGTTGTTATAGCTGTATATAAACTTAAAGTATTATTTGCCATTTTCCACAAACTTGTCATATAAAGAGCAGTATAACCATTCGACCATTTATGCATCATGCAAATTCATTTTCTTCCCATAATATCCTACAATGAGAGAGTATTTTTAGGTCCCATGCAGGTCACAAACAGAAGTTTGGAAACCATTTATTCTGTTATGCCTTATACATGGTTATTGAATTGCTACTTTCAAAAGCAAATTCTGAAGACTAACAATCTAGTTAAAAGACTTCTGAGATTGTCTTTAAGAAAACTTCACCTCTCCGACAATCTAAGATAACATGCTCTAACTAGGCAACAGCACAGGAAGAAAAACTATAGAACCTTCCAAATGGACTATTCGTGACCTAGGCCAGCAGTCCTCAATTAGACTCATCTGGAGGGCTTGTTAATACACTGATTACTGGGCTCCATCCCAAAGTTTCTAAATCAGAAGGTCTGGGTAGGGATTAAGTATTTGCAGTTCTATGATGTTCCTAGGTGATGTTGATGCTGTTGGTCCAGGGACTACACTTTGGAAGTCACTGGCTTAGAGGCTACTATTTCTGGTTTGCCCTTCTCTCCTCCCCTCCTTGTACCACCTAGTACAGCCATGAAAAATATTTGCAGTTCATAAGCAACCCCATGCTCCGTGCTTCTTTGGCCTTACCCTTCCCCATCTTTATCTGCATGCTAAAATCCTTCTCGTTCTTCCAGGCTTAAGTGTCACATCCTCTGAGAAACCTCTTATCACTTCCAGTTAAAATAGACGGCACCCTTTCTGTGGTTTCTATATCTGGCATAACAGATCTGCCATAGTATCGCCATTATTACTTCAGAATTGTAGGCTTTCTCCTATCATTACTTGTGAGCTCCTGGAGACCCCTTATCTCATTTTTTTTTTTTTTTGAGACGGAGTCTCACTGTTGCCCAGGCTGGAGTGCAGTGGTGTGATCTTGGCTCACTGCAACCTCTGCCTCCCAGGTTCAAGTGATTCTCCTGCCTCAGCCTCCCAAGAAGCTGGGACTACAGGCATGTGCCACCATGTCCAGCTAATTATTGTATTTTTAGTAGAGATGGGGTTTTCCCATGTTTCCAGGTTGGTCTCGAACTCCTGACCCAGGTGATCCACCCACCTTGGATGGGTGGCCTCCCAAAGTGCTGGGATTACAGGTGTGAGCCACCACACCCAGCCTATCTCATTTTTTTCAGTCACCAATTCTTGACACACAGTAGCCACTCGGTACAAGTCTTATGAATAAATGAATATGTGTAAAATATTTAATAGTGCATGATATGTAATACAAATCCAATTGAGAGGGTATATAGCATCATAGATAAGCACATGGGCTTTTGGGGTCGGGCAGACCTGGGTAGGTCACAGAACTGCAGGAGACTAGGAAAATTACTTAACTTCTATGGGTCACAATGGCCTTATTTGTAAATTGATGATATATCACATGTTCATTATGAGACTTTAATGAGATGACGTAGGTGAAGCACTGATCACAGTGCCTGGATCACAAAATTGTCCCCAAATTATCATCAAAAATATAATAATAAATTATCAACATTATCACTAATAACAATCATTAGTGGTTAGCATATAAATCAGATTTACATGTTGAATTCCAGAGAAAACATATAAGATTTTTGTTACTGCTTTATTCATCAACAGTGCACTTTCTAAGTACAGATATTTTTGCATGATATTTCTAGTAACACAGATAACTAGATAGTCATTCACACATGAAATTGCTTACTAGTCCCATTCTAACCAGGTCAAAGGCCAGAATTATCTATTCAGTGGAGTTTTTGAAGTGTCTGCAACGTGTCCAGCACACTATGCTAGACCTAAAGTTGCACCTAGTCCCCCTCCTCAAGAAGCTCACAGTTCAGCAGGAAGCTCAACACTGATCACACAGTTGATTAATGAATGAAACTCAGCCATGATCAATACTGTAGAGCAAAGGTAGTGAATGTTCAATCTGTATATTCCCCTCCTGCATAACTCACTACTCCTTTACGCTCTGAAGCTCCATCTATACCAACCTACACAGGTCAATTTCATGAAATGAATCTTCCAAATCATGGGATGCTGACTCCAGGAAGTCAGTTTTGTTGTTGTTGCTGTTGTTGTTGTTGTTCTTGTTCTTGTTTAACTAAGTACTGAAAAACCTGACGATTTTTACTTAGTCAATGAATGACATGTTTTGGGCAAGGCTTTCCCAGTAATGTGCTGGCACGTCTGGTTCACATGGCCATCCAGGGGAGACTTAAACAGCAAAAAATCATAAAAGGAAGACTGAAAGAAAGAAGTGGGGAGGGTAGTCCCATCCTTTTGTCAAAAATAAAGACTTGGAGGCTTTTTTCTTTTGGTCTTTTTTTCTCTGCAGATAAGAACTTCAAGACTGATTTAGCACTAAGGAAGGATCTCTCTCCTTATTGCCTCCCAGGTTTCTGCTCAGCACCAAGAAGATGTGTAGATCACCCTAAGAGCTGTAGCTGTCATGGAGTCCCTCCATGGCTGGTACAACCCATGTGGGAAAACCTGTCCTTCACAGATGGGACTATCCATGAGTTGATTAACAGAGAACCCTGTTCGGGTGACAAATAATTATCTAGGACTGTTTAAAATCAACTCATGAAAATAGACTGAACACACTCATTTGAATTAAGTTGAACAATGTTCCTTCCAACCAAGAACTTGACCTTTGCCAATCTGTGTCTTTCAAGTGACCCAAACATAACCCAAACAAAGTTGCAGTATATAAAATCGTCCCTCAGTATTCGTGGAGGATTAGTGACAGGATCCACGTTGTGAACACCAAAATCTGCAGATGCTCACGTCCCATATATAAAATGGCATAGTATTTTCATATAACCAATGCACATCCTCCTGTATACTTTAAATAATACTGACTACTTATAATACCTAATACAATGTAAACGCTATGTAAATATTTATTATACTGTTTTTAATGTAATTTTTATTGTATTGACATTTTTATTCTCTTTTAAAAATATTTTTGATCCAAGATTGATGGGATCTACAGATACAGAACCCATGAATATGGTGCACTGATTATATGTAATCTTATAGCCCCAGTGAAGTGCTATCATTGCTATGCTATGTGAACTTCAAGTCTAAGGAAACTTGACTTCAGCATCTCTATATGCCCCCTTTCAAAACACTGCTGTTTCTTTAGAGATTTTTTCCCCCATACTAACCTTTGTGTGCATATTTAGATATGTATTTCATGTAGCGATAACTCCCCATAGTACCGATGGTAATTGGTTACAAATAAGGGTTGGGTTAACTACATCAGTATTTCAACAAACTTTCTGATTATTATATGTTCTACATACAATTACTGGTAAATAGAAAATAGAAAAATTTTAAATCCTCTAGAATGTCAACTCCCAGAGCTAACCATTATAAATTATTCAAAATTTTTGGTAGAATTTATTTAATAGATTTTTAGATAAAATTGCAATAATACAGTACATATAATGTGTGTATATTTGAGTATAGTTTTTTGTCTTTTTCTTCAAAAAACATGATTTTTAATAGCTGAAAATCATCCACTGTATGAAACTACTTGAGTATATTTGAAAGTAAAAATAAGCTGGATTTCAGCCAAACTTCTGTTTCCGTAAGGCAGCAGTGAAAGTACTCCAGGTACAATTCACTGTGGAATCCTAGACTCAGAGTTGGAAAGGGCCTCCAAGGTCATGCATGAACATGAGAAAGCTCCAGAGAAACTCGTGAATTTTGTTATCTTTTTCTCAGTACTATAACCATTATAGAAACCAACTTCATTTGAGAACTAAAGGTAATTAACCCCAGCTATAGCCATAACTTTTTGTATTGTGAATGATGGGTGGCTGATTTTTAGTAATTTATTCTAGATAAAAACGTAATTCAAAATTTTGCCATAGGAAGTTCATATTTGTGAACATTTTACACTGAAAAGAGGTGCCATGGGTTATTTCTAATTAGACTTTTCCTTCAAAGTTAGAGACATTCGATTTCATACAAAAATTTACTTTATAAGTACTCAATAACTTTAGCTGTTTCTTTAACCAAACAAACTGCCTGAAACTCTATTTTCATAAATATGCTAATGGTTCTCTATTAGCCCACAAACTTTGCCATTACCTTTTATACCCATTATATGGTTTGCTGAGGGAAAGGAAATGAAAGAAATAATTTCCATACAATCTTCAGAAATGGGTTCATTCTGCCTCCTTGAAATCGGTCTGGTGTAAAGAGCTCTGAAGCCAAGGAGGTTTTTATAAAAGAAAATCTTCAGTTGACCTACATGACAAGGATACAACATTATTATTAATAATATTAAGTTGGTGCAAAAGTAATTGTGGGTTTGCCATTGAAAGTACTGCCAAAAACTGCAATTACTTTTGTGCCAACTGAATAATATTAATTGAATCTATCTCAAGTATCTTAATTATTTTAGTAACATTACTAAGAATGGACAGATATAAATGCCATTAAATAACAATGATCCACACAATATTATTTCTCAACAATTCTAACTATTACCACATTTCCTATCATATCCAACTGGAGAGGTCTGGAATTTGTATTTGTCCAATTCGTCGTGAAGAAAGCTAGGACAAAGATGAAGATAGAGTTTTAGACACACTTATTTAAGGTTCTGAGAGGAAGAAGTGTCAGTTTCCCAATCCCAGTCAGACCATGTGACCTCACTGGTGGGACATATGAAGAATTTTAATTTTTTTCTTCAAAAGCATGAAGTTTATTCAAAAACATTATTTGAAAACTTTGCTTGTTGCTTTTCAATCGTTTAATGTCAAATTCACTTTTAGAGGTAGTGTTTATATTTTTTCTACTGTGAAAATAAGGCAGAACAGATGACAACATGTTACAGCTCAGCCTTGTCATTGGATGGGAGGGGTGAGTAGCTTTCCTAAATTAAATACAACAATGCCAATCTAATACCTGATGTCTAATTTCCACTGACTAAGTGTTTATCAATACGTCAGTCTAAGTGGATGGAGGGAATTAGATTTTAACTCCTCAAACTGACTCCTTTTTGGGGGTGTTCTTCCTTTCTCCTTAGTGTTCTTCAAAGTTCTATGGTTGGACCAGTACTATCCTGTTTTGATTACTGTAGCTTTATAGTATAGTTTGAAGTCAGGTAGTGTGATTCCTTCAGGTTTGTTCTTTTTGCTTAGGATTGCTTTGGCTATTCAGGCTCTTTTTTGGTTCTACATGAATTTTAGAATTGTGTTTTTCTAATTCTGTGACAAATGATGTTGGTAATTTGATAGAAATAGTATTGAATCTGTAGATTGCTTTTGAACCATATTTGAACCAGCTGAACCACACATTGTTTCTTCCAGTCCATGAGCATGGAATGTTTTCCCATTGTTTGTGTCATCTGTGATCTCTTTCAGCAGTGTTTTGTAGTTTTTCTTGGAGAGACCAATGAAACAGAATAGGGAACTCTGAAATAAAGTTGCACACCTACAGCTATCTGATTTTTGACAAAATAGACAAAAATAAGCAATATGGAAAGGACTCCCTATTTAATAAATGGTGCTGAAATAGCTAGCTAGCCATATGCAGAAGAATGAAACTGGACTCCTATCTTTCACCATATACGAAAACTAACTCAAGACGGAGTAAAGATTTAAATCTAAGGTCTCAGACTATAAGAATGCTAGAAGAAAACCTAAAAAACACCACTCTAGACATCAGCCTTGGGAAAGAATTTATGACTCAGTCCTCAAAAGCAACTGCAACAAAAACAACAATTGACAAGTGGGAACTAATTAAACTAAAGAGCTTCTGTACAGCAAAAGAAAGTACCAATAGAGTAAACAGACAACAACTTGCAGAAGGGGAGAAAATATTTGTAAATTACACATCTGAAAAGGGGCTAATACGCAGAATCTATAAGGTACTTATAAAATTCAATGAGCAAAAACGGACATACAAGAAGACATACAAGTGGCCAAGAAACATATGAAAAAATACTCCACATCACTAGTCATCAGAGAAATGCAAATCAAAACCACAATGAGATACCATCTCACACCAGTCAGGATGGCTATGATTAAAAAGTCAGAAAAACAACAGGTGTTGGTAAGGCTGAGGGAAAAAAAGTAATACACACTGTTGGTGGGAGTGTAAAATAATTCAACCACTGTGGAAAGCAGTTTGAAGATTTCTTAAAGAACTTAGAACAGAACTGTCATATGACCAAGCAATCTCATTACTGGGTATATATCCAAAAGAAAATACAACATTCTACCAAAGAGACACATGCACTCACATGTTCATCGAAGCACTATTTATAATAGTGAAGACATGGTACCAAGTAGGTGCCCAACAATGATGGACTGGATAAAGAAAATGTGGTACATATACACCAAGGAATACTATGCAGCTATAAAAAGAAAAAAATCATATCCTTTGCAGCAACATAGAAGAAGCTGTAGGCCATTATCCTAAGTGAATTCATGCAGGAACAGAAAACCAAATACCCCATATTCTCACTTAATAAATAGGGGCCAAAACATTGGGTACTTGTGGACATAAAGATGGTAACAATAGACACTGGGGACTACCGGGGAAGGAGGGGGCAAGGGTTGAAAAACTACTGGGTACTATGCTCTTGGGTGACGGGATCATTCATACCCCAAAACATCAGCGTTATGCAATAGATTCATGTAACAAACCTGTACATGTACCCCCTGACTCTAAAATAAAAGTCAAAATTAAAATTTTAAAGGTTTTATGGTTGGTACTCTTTTTCCTTCCTACATTCCTACCTTGGTGAATCAACATCTCCCAAAGCATCAGTGATCCCCTGATGCAGGTAATTCAGAAATCTGTAATATTAAATGCTTAGATAGAGTTTAGAGCTTGCCCCCAGCATTTAAATTCCATGTTTTCCACATTGAACTTTTCTTTCTTAAGCTTGCTTTTCTTCCTGACCTCTCCAATTCTGCAAATGGCACTGCTGTTCTCCCATCACACATCATCACCTTACAAGAGGTCTTTCAGATCGTTGTCTCCTTTCTCTCCTTTGCCCCCTGCATCCACTCAGCCACTCTGCTTCCGCAACCTCTCCCATGTCTATCTCTTCCTTTTCTTGGCTACAGCCCCAGTTCAGCCACATGGGGATTCTCAACAGTGGCTATACATTAGATCATATGCAGCTTTAAAAAAGAATTTAAAAAACACAAGCATTTCAGCTTCCCATTTCTGACCAACTGAGTCTGTGACTCTGAGGTAAAAAGCTAGATTGAGGAATTAAAAAAAAAAATCTCCCCAGGGAAGTATAATGTGAGGACATGCTTGACAACACCTGGGTTCGATTATTTGGGAAAAAAAAAAAAGGCCCATGGTTTTCCCTACCTCCTGTCTGTCACCAGCCCAATCTTTCGTCTACATTTCTGCCCTATGATTAACAACTTTCCTGTTATACTGCTCGGACAGGGACATTAATTTGCTTCAGTGCCTTCAATGTCTCTCCACCACTGCTTTCAGGATAAATTCATGTTCCTCAGCCTAGCCATGAATTCTTTTAGAACTGGCCCCAACTTTCCAGCCTTCTTTTGTGGTATTGCTTCTTTGTAAACTATAGGCATCTGCAAAAGTAAGCATGCCCTACTTGGTCTCATTTCTTTGGTCATTATGTTGTTCTTGTCTGAATGGATTTCATAATCTTTGTATATCGCTTAGGATGCATTCAGCTGCAGGTTATAGATATTCAACTAAAACTGGCTTGACAGATAAACTCCTTTGCATATTTAAAATGCTTGAAAGTGAGTTCAAGGATGAAAGCTGGTTTCTCTGTGATTATCTTGCTTTTCCTCTAGATACCAAGATGGTAGCCACAACTGCAAGCATCACAGCCTTGGATAACCATGTTCAAGCCAGGAAGAAAACACAGTTGCTATTTATTTATTTATAATCAAGAAGGAAATCTTGTCGACCTCCCTTCAATGCCATTAGCCAGCATTCAATCAAAAGACCATGTTCTTGCCTCAAAGAAGGCTGGAAAAGTGAATATCTGGCATTGGCAGCTTCTATACTGGGAGGCTGGCTCTTCCAGGAAAGAAGTGAGTTGAGAAGGCAAACAATATGGGGAGGCAAACAATGGGGTCTCTCACATTTTGTTTTGAAATACAGTATTTGGTTTTTAACCAAATTCCACGCAAATGCCTTCTCCAGGAAGCCCTGCTCAATCTATACCAGATAAATCCCAAAGTTTTCTCTCTTTGTGTTGTCATGGTATTTTTGTTTAAATCTCTCTCATTGCTTTTGTGTGCTTCTGCTTTAGTTTATGTTATTTGTGTACATGTGCTATTTCCTATTGAATTATAAGCTCCTCGAGGGCAGGGATTATGTCTTAGTAATCTTTGTATATCTCATAGTAGCAAGTCAATGTAAACATATTTTACTGCAAGAATAATATTCTGGCACTTATTGCCCTCATATTATTTATTCTGCTGGTGTCATTTTCAAACATGCTTTCAAAATTTGTGTTAGGCGGCTATTCAGCTAAGGGACATGAAGTCGTAGTGAGAGCAAGTCTTTGGTTACTGTGTTCTTCCTGGTTCTTTTCTTCTACCCAGTCATCTGAAGGACATGGTCCCCCTTTCCCACCCCCGCCAGTTTCAGAAAGAACAGATTCAGGTGGTAATGGCATATTCTGACCACCTCTGACAGTTCTATCAAAATATTTGGGGTTCTCTCCTTCAAGCCTAAATGCGTTCAGGCTGGAATAGACGCTGCCAGCAGGGCTATTGAGAAAAGCCCCACCAGGTGGTACTCATCCCCAGTGGGCCGCTCCAGGAAGAGTCAGCCAAGCAGAGAAGGGTGCTACATCTTCCCTCCACTCGGGGAGACGCTAGTTTCAAAGGCCTGGTCTGACAGGAAAATGAATGGAAACTGGTAGAAGCAGGGGAGCGTTGAGGCAATGCGAACTTATTAAAAGAACAGTAGTAACAATAATTCTCAAAACATTATTTATCTGAGAGTGAAAGGGACAGGGATTTCATCAGCCTGAAATGCCAGAGCTTGGTTGCGTTCAACTACCTGTGTGGTGATTCAGCAGAACCCACATGGGGTGTTATTTCATAGCAGCTTCTGGGAGAGGAAAAAGTGCATTAGATCCTCATTATATTTTGTCTAGTATGTGATGTATTGAGCAACTGTGACCCTGGAAAGTTAGATTTCTGCCCTCTCCATTGCTTATAATCAAAGGGGGAGATGTGCTCTAGGTTGTTGAGTGTGTGTATCTCTTTGGGGGTGCTTGTGGTTTCATGAAGAGTCTATGTGGGGATGTCACTTGAACATGGGTTCCCAGGCATTTTTCTGTCTTGGAGGAGAGGCTCATCTGGCGCAGCAAACACAGAGTCGTTAAATTGGATTTTCATGGAGTGGAGGCAGGGGTGATGCTAGCAGCTGGCAGAATTAAGTAAAGCAGTGGGGGGCTGCCTGTTTCCCCTAAGGAGGGATGTGGTTTGTTGCCCAATTTTAAACTGTTGTGACTCAGTTAAGAGGAAATCAATTGGAAAACTTAAAATGACTTAATTGGCCGTTAGAACACTGCAGCTCCACAACTATTTGATTTCCTCCACGTCCTGTCAGAGGATGCTGATGGGCCTTCTTCACTTCAACTTTCTTAGCAGCAATTCTTTGAGGCCCTTTCCTTTCCCATCTAGGGCCAGATGATTGCTCCCTCTACAGCACAAAGAGTGATTGATGCCTGAAACTGGTGCTGTGCCCCGTGTAAGGACAAGGACAGGGCCTAATGGGGTAAGCAGGATTCCAGCATTCAGGCTTGGCTTTTGTTGAGTTACAAGGACTTTGAAAGGATAGGGCTTAGCTGGGAGAACTTAGAAACTTAGATGAATCCAATGCACCATAAGATGATGCCAGTATCAGCAATACTTTCCAAAAGTTGCTGATCCAGCAAGATGAAGTAAATCAAAATATAATTTTTACCCTCCAATATTTTTACTGAGTGATTAATACCTTTGAGACTCTGGACTCACCACTACCCATATATTATCTAATTTCATATTTGAAACAGTGCTTTGAGTTCTCTACTGTTAGCTATAATTTGCAGATGAGGAAACTGAGGTTTGGAAAGGTTAAGTCATTGACCTCTGAACTTTAGTATGCATCAAAGTCACCTAGAAAGGTTGTTAAAACACAGATTTCTGGAATTCCTTTCTGCCTGACTACCCTTGAACTGGGACATCAGCTGTTTCTTGTATTCTGACTTGAACTGAAACATTAGCTTTTCCTGGTTCCCCAGCCTGCCAGCCTTTGTACTAGAACTGCCCCATCAGCTCTCCTGGTTCTCCAGCTTGTCAACCCACCCGGCAGTTCTGGGGCCATGCCTGAGAATGTGCATTTCTGACAAGTCTCCAACTGATGCTGATGATGCTGGTTCAGAGACCACACTTTGTGAACCACTGCCTTAGGCTAAGGAAACTCAAGCCTTCCTTAATAATTCCCCCAAACCAGATCCTGCTGCTCAGATTCTCCCAAGAGATTCAACTTCATTTAAACACACATTTAATTTGCTGTGTACATGAGATGAATAAGATACAGCTCTTTCTTTCAAGATGCTCACAGGCTAGAGCTAGGAGTGGGGAAGATAGAATCTAATATGTAAATAAATAATTTCACTAGAATGCAATAAGTGTCTGTAGAGTTCAGTGAAGGCAAAAAGGGAGCGTAATCAGGTTTACCTGAGGACAAAGGATGTCTAAGGTCTCCAAGGTAAAAGGAAGACTTATGGACTTATGCAGGAGATGAGAGACACAAGGGGTCAATGCTCAGACAAGGTGGCCAATCCCTCCTCAGGTCCTCATTTCTTTTGGTTTGGCCTGGTTGCTTTTGGCTCTATGTTTGGCCTGATTGCTGTGGTTGGTGCTTTCTACATCCACCCTGCGGTGCGTTGGTTCTCTTTCTGCCAACTTGGTCATCCACACCTGGTCTGCCTGGGCCCATCCAGGAGACACTCAGGAGGAATGCATGCTGAACCCCTTCTCCCTCAGTTGTTCTGGGGATTGAAAGAAGTTCCATGAGCTTTACAACCAGTGAAAATTGTCGCCAGCTTCGCAATTCTGGCCAACATGTCTATGCTTTGAAGTCTGGTTTCTGCCTTTTACAATTCTATTTTTAAAATGTATTAAAGATGTTTAAACGTGGCAGAGACTTCCAATAAAAGCCGTGCTGCTTGAAAATCAGGATGCTGGTCTCAATTTAAAGTGCCTGTTAAAAAATAAGATACCCATGTAAAAGGGGCTCTGAAGGACTGACCGAATAGCTCTTATGGAAATCAAGCTCACTCACCAATGGCTCTGACAGGATTTCAGAAGTTAGTATGCTCTGTGTCTATCCCGTTTATGCCCTGAAAGTGGCTTTTAATACAAAGTGATTGAATTTTTGTTTGACTTAGTCACTAACAAAAAACCGTGAAACTAAAACAGGAAAAAGTCTCTAACAAAATAGTTTGGCAAAAACTTTGGCTAAAAAACCAAACAAGGTCTAATAAATAGTACCTATTATTCTACCAGTACTGGCTCCTTGAAGAGGTGTCTGGAGCCATCCCATGCTTCCACAGAATCACAACTCTGAACATCATTTGGGGACCAATCTCTCTTGACAGTCTATTTTGTCTTGATAACTTTATTAGACCCTTTAGGAAGCTACTGAAAAGATAAGATGCGGTTCCTGACCTATGTTCTCCCCATGATACCTACGCTCAGTTACCCAAAAGCCATTACTGAGTCCGGCTTAAGTCTTCTCCCCTTTTCTCCATCCTTACTGCTATTGCCTTAGTTCTGGTTGTTACTTGTGTGCCAAATACTGTAGGTTAATTTATCCAACACCCATTTCTATACCTTTTTCTCAGGTCTCCCTAACCTTTAAAATCTAGAAAGCTAAAATTCACATTCTCAGACTCTCTTGAAGTTAGGAGTGGCCATGTGGCACAGTCTGGCCCATGAAATGTAAATCAAAGTTGGCTGGGGATTTCTGGGATGCTCTTGTTTTCCCGATATAAGCAGTGACACTTTCTTTTCACATTCTTTCCTTCTTTCAGTGGCCTGAAATATGATACACCAGTGAAATCTGTCATTGCCATCTTGTGACTATGAGCGAAATGCCAGGAGAATTGTAGAGTCCTTGGCTCTGTCATTTTGAGCTGCTGAACCAATGTCTACAATTGTCAACTTCCGGACTTCTTACCAAAGAAAAAAAACCCCTCAATTTATTTAAACTATTATTTTTCAGTTCCTCATTACTTAAAGACACAGATATTATTTAACTGAGTTATTACATGAGCTCAGAATGATTAAGTAACTTGATTAAGCCATTAATAAATGGCAGAACCAGAATTAAATCTGATAGATTTGAGGCTAACTCTAAAACTTGTATTCCATTGAATTTTCTTCTGTGAATCTCTTGCATAGTATGGTGTCTAGTTGTTACATTAATGTTTTTTCTTTTTTTGTTCAGGAAAAGATACCTCCTAAAATCTGCTGTAGCACATCTGTCTTGGTGGATATGGGTAGTTACCTTACGACATAACTTACTCTGAAAGAACCGGTGGAAAGACCCTTCTCAATTATGTAACTATCAGGCAATTGAGCCATGGTTGCCCCAAGGAAACAGTAATAGACCCTTTTTGTGGCTTAACAAAACCAGCTTCTCCAAATAACAACTTGGTGTATAGATGTGATTATTGTGGTAGAAAATGAGGACATTCTCATAGCCATGGAGTCTTCCTGGAGGAAATGATGGCATTCATTACCAATCCCACTACACCCTCACCTTCCATTTGAGATTCAGCATCTTCAGATGCCTCAGTGAGACTCAGTCTCAATTGTGGTCTACAGGCAGGAAAAGAAAGTAAAGACCATCCATGAGGGAATTTCCCCGTGAGGCAAAGCAGTATAAAGTGGGCCCCCTGATTCAACTGCAACACCTAGAGTGATGCAGAGAAGGGCTGAACCTGCTTTACGACTAAGAGCTGAGCATGTCAGTGTGAACCAGCTTTTATTGTTCCAAGCATGATAAGCTCTGTCCACAGAGTTGAACCAGCGAGATCACCACTTCACAATAAAAAATGCATCAGTGTGCACGGAACCAACAACAGTAAGTTGTTTGCAAACTGGAGTATCTGGCAGCCTGGTCCAATTCTGCAGTTCACTCTCTGACAGGCATTTGGAAGTAAGACTGGGCCTCTCTAGAATAAGGAAGTACAGGGGTTCTTAGGTAATGTAGAAGTTTGTCCTTTAAAATACCCTAGATTCCTGTTATTCTGACAAATGGAGGATCCAGCCATTTTAATTTGAAGAATATGAGATGTGGTCAAATTTCTCTCCTGAGCTGGTGAAACAGGTAGTAACAACTACATAAGTAAAAGGGCTAATAGACAAAAACCAAGGGAAAATATTATAACTGAATTTATCAAAATATGGGTTAACAGGCATTGTTCCTGAAATGTAATAATCTATTTGGATTTAGAGCCTACTGAGTCAACTAACTCATATTTCAAAGGCTCCTTTTATGTTGAATTTTCCCCCAATGGTAGACAGTCTCTGGAATCAAGAGTTACACTGGAGAGGGGGTGGGTCACTGGGAAAGTCTGTGTTACATTATTTTCAGTTCCATGTTATTCAACCTGACTTTATGTGCCAATAAATATTCATGCTGGCTAGAAGCGAAGATAGCATTAACCTCCTTGCATCACGTGGGAGGGAAGCTTCAGCTTTAATGCTAATGACTTTTGCATTATTTTATCAGGATCTTTAAACCTTGGGCCATTCTGAATCACAATATTGGAGAGTCAACATTATGTATAAATTACATATAGAAGATAGTAAAAGATAAATCCAGCAGGCGTAGATTAGGTGGCTTAATTGGTGTTTGGCTTAATTGGTAATATGGATAATACTAAGTGTTTAGGATTCTACTAACAGTGCGGTATTTAAAACTTCAGTTTTAAAAATCGTCCAGATTTTCAAGGAACAAAACATTAATGTCTAACTATCTTAAAATTCTACAAAAGGCCTTACATTTTTAAGTCCAAGTAGGGGTCTTTATTAAAAACATATCATGCCAGTTTTCGGAATGCATCCAGAATTAAGTTTGTAAGGAGGGACGTAATAGGTTTTGAACAGTTAAAAAGTTGCTGCAAGCACTCTGCTAAACACTTCATGTTCCTTCTTTTAATCTCCACAGTACTCACATGAAGTAGGTATTCCTATGTCCCCATTTCATAGATTAATAAACTGAGGCACAAAAGGACGCATGGATTGCCCCAAATTACACAGCCTATACTGAATTAGTAAGAGTTAAATTCTCATTGTCCTTGAAAATGTGCCTCCTTATGTTATGCCTAGTACCATCCTCCACCTTCACTTTCCCAAGTCTGCCTCCCTTCAGACACTTCTCAATAGGGACTAAAGAATCATCCATAATCCATACTTTTAAGATTCAATTAGAAAGAATAATTTCCAGGTACACATGGTTTTCCTGACATTCCTATTTTAGTGTCTCAAAGAAAATATCTGCTGAAATGTTAATGATTGGCCTTTATCATATGGTAGGAAATTTTTATCCATCTCTACTGCTGTTGCAGCTTCCTTGACTAATTTTGAATTTCCTTAAGATCTGACAATGGCCTTACTAGAAGATACTTAAATGTGTTGAATTGGATGATTGATATATAGTACAGGCAAAGCAGCAGTTCAAGCTTATATGATTTTGATTTTGGCTAGGTCCCTTCTTGGGCTGGAGGTCACAGTAGCTGTGGGAGACATGCTGATGGTTGCTGCTATGTCCTCATGACGGGAAGCTAGCCATGCTTCAATCTTGACTTTTTTTTTTTTTTTTTTTTTTTGGAGATGGAGTTTTAACCTTGTCACCCAGGCTACAGTGCAATAGCACAATCTTGGCTTATTGCAACCTCCACCTCCCAGGTTCAAGTGATTCTCCTGCCTCCACCTCCTGAGGAGCTGTGATTACAGGTATGTGCCACCAAGCCCAGCACTAATAATTTTTGTATTGTTAGTAGAGACGGGGTTTCACCATGTTGGCCAGGCTGGTCTCAAGCTCCTGACCTCAGGTGATCCACCTGCCATGGCCTCCCAAAGTGCTGGGATTACAGGCATAAGCTACCGCACCTGGCCTGATCTTGATTTTTATTACATGTAAATGAGAATTTGGAACTCTCTGAAGAGAGTGAATATTACTTCTACAAAATTAATTTTACTCAGTTATAACATACTGAGCATTAAATGGTTGCATAGAATAGTACTCTGGGTTTAACCCATGTGTTTTGCTGTCACAATGAATTCATTTTATATAAATAGAAATACAGAAATATGGCATTTTGTGGCTGTTTTTTTTTCACTTAGTATAATGCTTTCAAGGTTCATCCATACTGTAGCATGTATCAATAGTTCATTCCTTTTATGTCCAAATAATATTCCATTGTATGGGCATACCACATTTTGCTTATCCATTCATTAGTTGAAACATTTGGGTTGTTTCTATTTTTTTTACTCTTATGAATAATGCTGCTATGAACATTTGTGTACACATTTTTATGTGAACATATGTGTTCACATATATGAAACTCTTGGATCCCTTATCAAAAATTAATTATCCATATATTGGCTTATTTCTGGACCCTCAATTCTAGGCCATTTATCCATATGACTATCTTTATGCTAGTACCACATGGTCTTGATTATTGTACTTTACCAGTAAGTTTAGAAATCAGGAATTGCGATAGCTCAATTTGGTTCATCTTTTTCAAGGTTGTTTTAGCTACATTTGATCTTTTGCACATCCATATGAACTTTAGAATCAGCTTTCAATTTCAGCAAAAAAAGGCAGCTAGAATTTTGATAGAGATTGCATCGAATTTGTAGTTAAAATAAGTATTGCCTTATTAACATTATTAACTTTTCTGATCCATGAACATGGGAGGAAAGCATATATCTATATAGATCTTCTTTAATTTCTTTTAATACTGTTGTATTTTTAGGTGTACAGGCCTTTATTTATTTTGTTAAATATATTTTATTCTGTTTGATACTGTTATTAAAGAAATTGTTTCCTTAATTTCATTTTTGGATTGTTTGTTACTGATGCATAAAAATACAACTAATTTTTTCATAATGATCTTGTATTATGCAACCTTGATGAATTTGTTTTACCATAATAGTTTTGTTGATTCCTTAGAATTTTCTACATACAAATCATATCAACTGCAAATAGAGATGGTACTTCTTCCTTTACAATCTGGCTGCTTTTTAATTCCTTTTCTTGCCTAATTGCCTTAACTAGAACATCTAGTGCAATGTTGAATGGAAGTGGCAAGAGTGGACATACTTTTCTTGTTCCTGGCCTTATGGTCTATTAGTCCATTTTCATACTGCTGATAAAGACATACCTGAGACTGGGTAATTTATAAAGAAAAAGAGTTTAATGGACTCACAGTTCCACGTGGCTGGGGAGGCCTCACAATCATGGCAGAAGGTGAAAGGCATGTATTACATGGGGGCAGGTAAAAGAAATGAGAGACAAGTAGAAGGGGAAACACCTTATAAAACCATCAGATCTTGTGAGATTTATTCACTACCATGAGAACAGTATGGGGAAAATTGCCCCCATGATCCAATTGTCTCCCACCAGCTCCCTCCCACAACATATGGGAAATATGGGAGCTACAATTCAAGATGAGATTTGGGTGGGGACACAGCCAAACCATATCATGGGGGAAAGTATTCAGTGTTTCTGCCGTAAGTATAATGATAGCTGTGGGTTTTTTGTAAATGTGTTTTTTTCAAGCTGAGAAATTTTACTTCTATTCCTATTTTGTTGAGTGTTTTTTTAATCATCAAAGAGTGCTAGATTTTTGTCAAATGCTTTTTCTTTGTCTATTGAGATGATCACGTGGTTTTTAAACCTTTATTCTATTAATACAGCATGTTACATTGATTAACTTTCATATTTTAAACCAACCTTGCATTCCTGGGAAAATCCCACTTGGTTGTGGTGTACTATCCTCTTTATACGTTACTGAACCAGTTTCCAACTATTTGCTTGAGAATTCTTACGCCTATATTCTGTAGTTTCTGTTTTTTGTAATGTGTTTGTCTGGCATCATAGAATGAGTTGGGAAGTGTTCCCTCTCGTTCTATTTTTTGGAGGAGTTTGTGAAAAATTTGTGTTAATTCTTTAATGTTTGATATAACTTTCCAGTGAAGTCATCTAGTTCTGGGCTTTTATATGAGAAGCTTTTGGATTATCAATTAATTTGTCTTACTTGTTATCATTCTGATCAGATTTTCCATTTCTTCTTGAATCCGTTTTATTAGTTTTTGTCTTTCTGGAAAATTGTTGACTTCATCTAGGTTACCTAGTTTGTTGGCATACAATTTTTCATAGTATTCCCTTATAATCCTTTTATTTCTATAAGATTGATTGTAATGTTACTTCTTTCACCTCTGATTTTGTTAATTTAAGTCCTTTCCCTCTTTTTTTGGTCTATCTATCTAATGTTTTGTCAATTTTATTGATGTTTTCAAAGAACCAAGTTTTGGTTTCATTGACTCTATTATTTTCTATTCTTAATTCATTCATTTCTATCTTAATTTTATTATTTCCTTTATTTCATTTGCTTTGGATTTTATTTTGCTCTCCTTTTTCCAGCTTCTTAAAGTAGAAGTTTAGGCTATTGGGTTAATGTATTTATTCTTTTTTAAAATAAGTGTTTACAGTTTTAAATTTTCCTCTAAGTACTGCTTTTTATGTATATCATAAATTTGGGTATGTTGTGTTTTTATTCATCTCAAAGTACTTTCTAACTTCCCTATGATGTCTTGTTTGAGCCATTGATTGTTTAAAAGTGTGTTAGTTAATTTTTACATATTTTTGAATTACTTAGATTTCCTTCTATTGAGTTTTAGTTTTATTCTATTGTGGTCATAGAACACACAATTTTTGTATGATTTAAATATTTTTAAATATACTGAGACTTGTTTTATGACATAATGCATTATTTATCCAGGGGTGTGTTTATGTGTGCTTGAGAAGAATGAAGAATGTGTAGTCTACCGTTGTTGGGTAGAGTATTCTATCAGTGTCTGATCTAGTTGGTTTATAGCGTTGTGCAAATCTTCTGTTTCCTTGCTGAGTTTCTGACTGCTTGTTCTCATTATTCAAAGTGGGGTACTGAAACCTTCAACTGTATTGTTGAATTGCCTATTTCTCCCTTCAATTCTGTGAGTTTTCAAAGGTCGAATATCCAGAGTCTACAAAGAACTTAAACAAATTATAAGAAAAAACCAACCCCATTAAAGAAGACATACATGCAGCCAACAAACATAGGAAAGAAAGCTCAACATTACTGATCATTAGAGAAATGCAAATCAAAACCACAATGTGATACCATCTCATACCAGTCAGAATAGCAATTATTAAAAAGTCCAGAAACAACAAGTGCTGGCAAGGTTGCAGAGAAAAAGAAACACTTTTATACTGTTGGTGGAAGTGTAAGTTAGTTCAACCATTGTGAAAGGCAATGCTTCATATATTTTGGTGCCCTGTTGTTAAGTGCCTATATATTTATAATTATTATATCTCTTTGATGGGTTAATCTTTTTACATTATAAAATGTCATCATGTATCTCCAGGAATGATTTTCCGTCTTGAAATCTATTTCAAATGATATTAGTACAGTCACATCAGCTCTCTTTAGGTTATTATTTGCATGGCATATTTTTTTCTACTCTTTCATTTTTAACCTATTAGTGTCTTTGAAACTTAAGTGAGTCTCTTTGATCTGCACTCCTATGTTTGTCTGCAGCACTGTTTATGATAGCTAAGATGTGGAAGCAATCTAAATGTCCATCAACAGATGAATGAATAAAGAAAATGTGGTACATATATACAATGGAATACTATTCAGCCATACTAAAGAATGAGATCCAGTCATTTGGAACAGCATGGATGGAATTGGAGATCATTATGTTAAATGAAATGAATTCAGCACAGAAAGACAAACATTGTGTGTTCTCACTTATTTGTGGGATCTAAAAATCAAAAGAATTGAACTCATGGACATAGAGAGTAGAAACATGGTTACCAGAGGCTGGGAAGGGTAGTGGGAGGGTTGGGAAGAGGTGAGGGTGGTTAATGGGTACCAAAAAAAAATAGAAAGAATGAATAAGACCTACTATTTGATAGCACAACAGGGTGACTATAGTCAATAATAACTTAATTGTATATTTTAAAATAACTTAAGGAGTGTAATTGAATTGTTGGTAACTCAAAGGATAAATGCTTAAGGGGATGGATACCGCATTCTCCATGCTTATTTCACATTGTGTGCCTGTATCAAAGCATCTCATGTATCCCATAAATATATACACTTACTATTTACCCACAAAAATTTTAAAAAAATTAAGTCTTTCTTAGACAATATGTAGCTGGACCATGTTGTTTTCAATCTATTTATAAATTTCATCCAAAAGGCCAATATCTGTCATTTACTTGTAGTTATCTATTTATATTTAATGTAATTATTGATGATAGGATTTATGTTTGCCATTTTATTTGTTTTCTATGTGTGTATGCCTTTTTTCCCTCTATTCATCCATTACTGCCCTTTTTTGTGTTAAATAGATATTTTCTACTATACCATTTTAACTACCTTTCCTTTGTTACTATATATTTAAGCATTTTTTGGTGGTTGCTTTGAGAATTACCATTAACATCTTAATTTATAACAATCTAGATTAATATCAACTTAATTTAAATCGTATGTAAAGACTTTTCTTCTATATAGTTCCATTACCGCTCTCCTTTATCTTGGTTTTGTCACAAATTACATCTTTATATATATTGTGACCATCAACATAGATTTATAATAATTGCTTTATGATGTTGTCTTTTAAATTATATAGGAGAAAATGGGAGTTAGAAATGCAAAACAGACTTTTACCATTCTTTCTTTATATTTATCTATACAATTACCTTTACCAGTGCTCTTTATTTCTTCATGTTGAGTGGAGTGTTGAGTCTAGTGTCCATTTAATTCTGCCTCAAGACTTGCCTTTAGTATTTCTTATGAGGCAGGTCTGTTAGCAACAAACTCTGCATTTTTGTTTACAGCAATGAACACTCTCAGTTATTTGGTTTTATGAAAACTGTTTTGGTTTGTCTATTTTATCTTTATTAAATCTTATTTTTGCCTTCATTTTTAAAGAACAGTTCTACTGGTTATGAAATTATTGACTGACAGCTTTTTGCCTTCAGCATTGCATATGTCATCCTGCTGTCTTGTGGATTCTGTTTTTTGATGAGAAATAAGTTGTTAATCATACTGATGATCTCTTGTACATGATGACTCACTTCTCTCTTACTGCTTTCAAGATTGTGTCTTTGTTTTTAACAATTTGATTTTAATGTTTCCATATGTTACTCTCTTTGAATTTATTTTATGTGGAGTTTTTTTAGCTTAGATGTGTAGATTAATGTTTTTCCTCAAATGTGGGAAGTTTTTTGCCATTTTTCTTCATATGATCTTTCTACCCCTTTCTCTATCTTCATCCTCTTCTGGAACTCCCATTATGTGTATATGTATATTTCTGTGCTTGATGGTGCTCCATGGGTCTCTAGGTTGCGTTTATTTTTCTTAATTTATTTTTCTTTTTGTTCTTCAGGCTGAATAGTCTCTATCGGCTTATCTTCAGGTTTGCGAATTCTTTCTTCTGTTAGCTCAAATCTAATCTTGAGCCCTCCTGGTGAATTTTTCATTTCAGCTGATGCATTTTGAAACCCAGATTTTCTACTTTTTTAATTTTTATAATTTCTGTCTCTTTATCAATGTTTCTGTTTTTGGTGGGACATTGTTCTCATATTTTCCGTCAGTTCTTTAGACATAATTTCATCTAGTTCTTTGAATATAGTTAAAATACTCTATTTAAAGTTTTTGTCTAAAAACTTGGATTTACTCAGAGATTATTTCTATTGATTGGTTTTTTTTTCTGTGTATGGTCATAATTTTGTTTCTTTGCATGTCTTATAATTTCTAGTTGAAAATGGGACATTTAGAATACAACAATGTGTGCAACTGATTTGTATAACCCTACAAATCAGGTTTTTCTCTCTTTCTAGGGCCTACTGATGTTGCTGCTTGTTATAGTTGTAGTTATCTGTTTAGTAACATCTAAACTAAGTCTGTAAAGTTTGCATTATTTGTCATGGGTGGCCCCTGAAATCTCTGCTTTGTTAGTTTAGTGGTCAGCTAATGAGTTGACATATTTTCTTAAATTTTAGAACAATAAACCTCCCAGTCTTTGACAAGGGGTGCTGAATGTGTGTGTGAACACATCTTCAACACTGAACCAGGCAGCTGACATTTATTCCTTAGCCTTTCCTTCCTGCTTATGCAGACCCTCACAGGCAGCCAGAGATAAGAGGTTAGGGTCTTGTCAGGTCTTCCTGAATATGTGAACAGTCCTGTGTATATACATGGACTTTTAGATTTCCAGGAATATGTTGGAAATTTTCAAACCCTCATTAACATTTCATTCTTCAACTCTTTATTCTAATCTTTTTGGTTAGTGTATTGTTTATAGTGACTGTAACCCACTTCTTCAGGCAGTTATGAAGTCAGACAATTGCCTGCAACTATTTTCAACACTCATCTCCATGGAAAAGGCTTTTTGCATAGAGGTAGCTCTGATTCAGGTCAAATAATGACACCCTTGCAAAAGTGGTCTTCCAGGGAACCACAAGAAAGGTTAAATAATGACTCTACTCTGGCAATGTGGCTTTGAAGAAACTCTAAGTTCTGCCCACTGCAATGACTGCAGGTTTTTTATTTCAAGGCTACCACTGAGCTGAAAATTGGAACTGGGACTAGAGAAAGTTAAGAGCACCTCAAAGCTCATGGTTATTACCAAGATTCAGCTGTTTTTCTTGCTGCAAGCTTTTGCTTAATTTTCAGAGTTTTTAAAAAGTTGAGTGTGGGCCGGGCGCGGTGGCTCTCACGCCTGTAATCCCAGCACTTTGGGAGGCCGAGGCGGGTGGATCATGAGGTCAGGAGATCGAGACCATCCTGGCTAACAAGGTGAAACCCCATCTCTACTAAAAATACAAAAAATTAGCCGGGCGCGGTGGCGGGCGCCTGTAGTCCCAGCTACTCGGGAGGCTGAGGCAGGAGAATGGCGTGAACCCGGGAAGCGGAGCTTGCAGTGAGCCGAGATTGCGCCACTGCAGTCCGCAGTCCGGCCTGGGCGACAGAGCGAGACTCCGTCTCAAAAAAAAAAAAAAAAAAAAAAAAGTTGAGTTTGACCATTTGCCAGTTTTCAATTTGCTTTCATGGAGAAGAGAATTTTCAGTGCTTTTTTTTCTCTGCCATTTTGGCTGACATTACAGTTTTTTTTTTTAATTTTAACATTTTTTTTTTTTTACTTCTGGAATTTCTATTGGGTTTCTTTGAATTCTACCTGTTCAAATCTGTCTATTTTGTTTTTAATAATTTCTTGGGTTTTTTCCCTTTCATTACATCATTATTTCCTTAGTTCATTTCAGAATCTTAAACATACTGTTTTTGAAGTTTATCTTCAGATTACTATATTGATCTGACATAAATTCCTCTTCTGATTTATCTGAAATAAATTCCCCTTCTGATTGTTGATTTAGATGTTCTCTTTCTTAACTGGCTTACTGACGTTAATGTGTTTTGTAATTTTATCTTGGAGGGCCAAGTTGAGTTTGCATCTCTTCCTCTCCTTCTGCCTCCACCTTCTCCTCTCTCTGGTGTTCATGCTCATGCATATGTATTCCTCTCTGTCACCTCCATCAAGTTCTCCAGGTGTTGAAGTCCAGAACCAGATCTTATATTGCAGGCTGGGTTTTTCTCTCCCATAGGGATATTGAAGTTATAACAGATACATCCAGTAGGGTTGGTTAACCCAGGTCCCATTTGTCTCTCTCTTTCCCCCTACATTTTTTTCTCATCTTTCTTTTATGGCTTGGCATTATCTTCTCAGTTTCCACCTTTCCACAATGAGACAGGCTCTGTTCTTTCTAGGATATAAGCCAGTTGCCTCTGCCTTCTCCTAGACTTTATCCCCAGTAAACTTGTGCCTTCAGCCTTGCTGACTGCATTGTGTTTCTGTTTAGTTTAGTTCTGCGGATACTTATCTTGCTTTTAAGTATAGCATATTTTGTACACCTGTCATTTTTAATATTTTATCTGTTATTACTATGTTTGGGGTATTGGCAGGGAAAGACAAGGGACAAAAGATGATCTTGTGATGTCATATTGACTGGAAATTCTCTGACAGATTTTTTCAAGTTTGTCTCCTATAGCTGCGATTTAATGTTCTACAGGTCATTTTCCTTTACTATCTTCAAATGAGATTTTAATTTTGGCATTCCTGTTTTAATTTTCATGAAATCCATTATTATTTTATCATCTCCTCTTTGATCTTAACATGTTCTCTGTTCCTGTTTCATAGAAGATATTTTCCTTTCCTCTTCTTCCTCTCCCCTTCCTCTTCCTGTTTACTTTTGGTTTTTCTTCCTCCTCATCATCATTCTTCTACATTTTTAAAAAAATTGAAGGTAAAGTGAATTTACTTCTGACTCTCAGAGTAAGATGTTTTTATAGATGTGCTGTTCACCTTGATCATCCAGACAATATTCTTTTTTCCTGATTTATAATAATATTTTCAATGGCCTTGTGTTACTTTGTTTTTCTGTTCATTCAACCTCAAACAAGAAGAAATATTCCAGATTTGGTTATGTTAACAGTTTGATTACTTGGATTGCTCTTGGCTCCGTTGTTAGTTTTCTTAAAGCTGAATATGTACAACTCCTAGACCAATTATTAATGATAAGCAGGTTTTCATCTCATCTGGCAATGTGGATAGAGGGTCTTCTATCTCCATTTCCTAATTATCTTGTACTCTTAAGCTATTTAGCAAATTGAAAACTATTTTTATTTTCATTTTATTATTTGTTTATTTGAGGCTGAGTCTTGCTTTATCACCCAGGCTGGAGTGCAGTGGCGTGATCTTGGCTCACTGCAACCTCTGCCTCCCGGGTTCAAACGATTCTCATGCCTCAGCTCCCTGAGTAGCTGGGATTACAGGCACCTGCCACCATGCCTGGCTAATTTTTGTATTTTTAGTAGAGACGGGGTTTCCCCATGCTGACCAGGCTGGTTTCCAGCTCCTAACCTGAGGTGATCAGCCTGCCTTGGCCTCCCAAAGTGCTAAGATTACAGGCGTGAGCCATCGTGCCCCACCCTATATCAATCAATCTATCTATCTATCTATCTATCTATCTATCTATCTATCTATTTATCTATCTAATCTCTCTATATATCTACAAATATATATATATCTACAAATATATATTATATGTATATATATATATATAGAGAGAGAGATAGATATTTTTTGAGACAGTCTCACTCTGTCACCAGGCAGGAGTGCAGTGGCACAATCTTGGCTCACTGCAACTTCTGCCTCCCCGATTCAAGCAATTCTCCTGCCTCAGCCTCCCAAGTAGGTGGGACTACAGATGTGTGCCACCACTCCTGGCTAATTTTTGTATTTTTAGTAGAGACAGGGTTTCATCATGTTGGCCAGGATGGTCTCGATCTCTTGACCTCGTGATCTGCCCGCCTGGGTCTCCCAAAGTGTTGGGATTACAGGAGTGAGCCACTGCACCCAACAGACACCCAGTCCTATTTTTAAAGAAAAACCTTTTACACACTCCTCCCAGTATTTCCCTTCTTGGATCTATACACTTTATTTTTGTATTATGTCTTCAAAAATGCAAAGCACCACCTTCAGTATCCCCAGGATGGCTACTGAGTGTTTCAATTGGTATAGTTTTCGTGTTTCTCAACCATGGGATGGCCTAATGAGGGGAGTATATCATGTCCCTATTTACTTTTTTCGATGGCAGGTGTCATTGGTTTTCTGCTGCATAGACCTGCCATGTCTTTAGTTTTGCTTTTCATTGTATTGCCATTGGGGGAGCCACAGTTTTGAGGCTATTACCACATGTGCTAGAAATAATAATCACTCTCCTTCTTAATATTTGGGAAGCATAATAGATTTTAGTCTTTTTTGTATCTTCATGGATAATCATAGAGAAAAAAATTGAGAAACCAAATCAGACCTGAAGCCATTTAAATTGGAAGTCATATAGACAAATCCATATTTCTAGGAGCAAATTCTATTTTCTTAGTGGTGGTGCTGGGGTTTTGTTTGTTTTCAAATTTTAAACATTCTTATTACCTATGCACACTCAAACTTCAACTCTCCTTATGTATAGAACTCCCAAGGAAGTTCTATGTGGGAAAACTTTGAGAAGTTATCCTTTGGAGAAGAATTTTAGAAGAGTAAACTTGGGAAAGTTTACTCATCTAGAAAGTATGGACATTTTTCATAATTTTTAAAATTATGAGCTCCACCAGTGGTGATGTTTAAACCCTTTCACAACTGGTAGACTTAAAAATCAGAATGGATGCTGGACAAAATGCTGGGAGGGAGACCTGTTATTCCAGGCATTCATTCATTCATGCTAGATCATGGGGAAATTGAAGGAGTCATGAGGGGGAAGCTAGCAAAGCAGATGGGGGAGGGAGGTTAGGATCCACTTGGGACTCAAAACAGCAACTCTTTGCCTGTAGGAGTACGTCAATACATTAATAGATAATATGCTGGTAGCTGAACATCAGTCCCAGCCCTGGATTCTAACCACCTGTCTAAGTACCTGTCTTATAATAAGCACAAAATATGTGTGGAATAAGGGAATGGACAACAAATAGATATACGCATAAGGGTGTGCCTAACCCAAATGGAAGTGCACAGTGACGCTAGGAGATGTTTTTCTATCAATAAAACAAGATTATGATACTTGCCCTTTCTCTATTTCATAAAGAGAACTATGAAAAGACACTTAGAGAAACAATTCATTTTGCTGCTGTTAGGAGAAAAACGCCTGCTGAATCAATTCTGGGTGTTGTTGTTGACAAAATGTGTGGCACCTTGTGGGAGCCAGTTCAGTCAAGAACAGCAGTGATACTAATCATAGTCATATCATCACAGGCCTAATTTACTTTTCAGTCAGAGTTAATAAGCAAAGTGGTAGTCTGAAAATTAGCATTCATTTTCTTCTGCAAAATATTTTCAATGCCTCTTGATGAAGAGTGAACCAAAGGCAGGCAAAGGTTCCTTTCAGGTAGTTTGTACCCAGTTCTCCAGAGCTGCTTACTGTCTACCCCACCTGCCATGCAAATACAATTAATATGCAACTTTGAGAAACCCCCCTGCCCCCCAACACCCAAGTGAACACACCACCAAAGGAAATTCCTTGAATGGTTGCACACTGGCCTTGGAGAATCAGCCTCTGTGTGCTCCTGCTCGGCTTTCTCCATTCGCCTCCAGTCTTCCCAGCCCGTATGGGCAATCATCGCACTTCATTGTCCAGTACCATCATTACAATATTGTTATCATCTGAGCTGGAGTCTGACACTTTCTCTAAGACCTTTCAAATAACCCCTTTACTAGGCTTCAGTACCAAACCATTCAGGGCAAATCTCTGCTTTGTGCTTGTCAGCCTTAATAGACTGGATGTCACTTGAGCCTGTAAAAAGTGCCTGCTCCTCAGCTGTCAGTCAGTCCTGGTGGTGTCAGCTGAGAGCGTGGCTGGAGCTGGCTGGATTAGAGGGTAGTTACCATAGCTGTCAAATTACTGACAGCCTGACACCCACACTCCCAACTTCCTCTTACTGTATTTGGTTTCTATCAAGCTCTCTGGACCTTTCTTAAGGTGGATCTCTCTGTTGGAAACAGATCATAATTTGGTTAGCATCTTCAGAAGTTGGGCTCTTTTCTTGCCTGCTCTGGTTTTCAGAAAGACCCTTACTTTGAGCAGCTTTTATATTTCAGTGAATATTTTTAACCTCATTTCAGCAAAGAGTACCACTTCCCTACACTTTCCATGTTAATGGAAACTCTGTGTGTGTGTGTATTTGTTTCATCATCCTAATTCAAGAATATATAGCCCATGCCCAAAATGTTTCCTCTTATCTCTTTTACATCCATAGTATTTTCATCCTCCTCTTCAGTGATATCTTTGCTCTGGCCCTTTGTGTTAGATGTGAAGCTCAGTTTGAGTGTGTGTGTGTGTGTGTGCATGTATGTGTGTGTCTACGTGTGCATTGTCGGGTGTGGGTATATATAGAACTGTTGACTTATCTATGAATGTTTGTGGATATATAGATATTCATACCTAATGAAAGGCAGTCAGCTAACAGCCAAGGCAGGAAAAACAAATTGGCACCTCTCCAAACTGTGCCTTAGTTAACATTCACCTTCCATACAGCCAATTAGTGAATGAAGTTTACCCCTCTTTCCTACCTATTCTCCTTCTTCCCACTTTTCATTCATGCCTTTTCCTTCTTCCTCCTTTCCATTTCCCCGCTTTTACTCGTTTTCACATTTGATATGGGTTTACTATCTTGTAGTCCCCAGGCTGGACAGCAGGCAAACAAAAATGAATGTGACTATACCCGTGTACAAAAGTTCACAGCTGCCTGCTCACATTCCTCAGGTATGTTTGAATTTCACAGCCTTTTATTTCTGACCAGGGAGCTGAGCTTAATTAACACTTTCATTTACTTAGCCAATAATCAAGGCTGATTTGCTTTTATTAAACCAGGCTTTGGGACCAGAAATGCAACCATTGCACAATCTTAAATTTGCTTACTGTTCTAACCTGCCACAGAATTAAACTTGAGTCTGCATTCTGAGCACAGCTTTCAGCACACACAGGTACATGCACGTTTAGTGTTGTTTGGCTATAGGGGAGAGAAAGTACTAGGCTTCAGATAACCTACTTGTACTATGGGAAAGTCACTATATCTTGCTGAAACTCAGTTACCTTTTCTCTAAATTGAGGATAATGATTCTTATCTGCCAAACTTATAGTTTTGGTCTATGGTCCAAGTGAGACTGACCATATATATATAAGAAAAACACTTTCTAAAATGCAAGGTATCACAAATGCAAATTGTGATAATAATAAGCATTACTCTGTATGGTTATATATAGGATTGAAATCAATGCTAGATTATTTAGGCTGTTTTACTATTCTTATTTCCTCGGCCACACGTACTTTGCTCTTATTTTCCTACCATGCAACCACAGAGCTGAAAAATACGCTCCCCAGTAAAAGTAATGTTACACATTGCTTAAACTTATGAACTCATGCTCAAATCAGGAGCCTTTAGAGGTCTTCTCTGGTCCCTACAATGTGTTTTAAAATGTTGTGGCTTTTTAAGACCATTGTTTTTCAATGAGTCTAGCAAACGGTTCAACTTTAAATGAGCTAGTATCTACCTCAATTGCTCAGTAATTTTGTATTCCTTATAATTCCGGAAACTTGACAGAAAAAAGTTCAAACCAGAGACTGAAAAATGTAGTAAACATATTAGAAAAGGTGGAGGGGTGGGTGGGAGAGGAGGTACAAGAACTTTATGTTTTCAGTGCCAAGGCCAAAGACATATTTTTTCCAGCACTTCCTCCCTATTCCCAAAAATTGTTTTTAAATAAAAAGACCCTTATATTTCACCCAGTTAAATGCTGGGAAATAGCCTTTCAATATTATTTACAAGCATTCAGAAGTTTTAAATTCAACCAACTCTCCCACATTCTCGCTTTCCTCTAACACACATTCTTTATACTGTTTGCTGTTGAACTTGTCTACTCAGTACCACAATAACCATAGGCAAAATTATTCAACTAATTTAGTGAAAAGCATCATATCGAACAAATAATAAGTGGGTTGTGAAAATGTTTATTTGCAAACCAAGTGTTCTCGCCACATTTTTGCTGAACTTCCTGGGCAAGGGTTCCACTCTGCATTAGTGATTTACGTGCTGTTTCAAACCCGATTCCTTCCTGAGTCTGACTGATGAATGAAGGCTTGCATTTTGCAAGGGAACTGTCATAGGTGAGGGATGCATCTGTGGCCCTAGGGCTGAGAAAGATGGAGAAATAGAACCTCCAGCATAGCTGGGCACCATAATTAGCTGAAGTAATAGATTGGTCAGCTTTTAGGAAAAACCTCCATCTTTTTTTTTTTTTTTCTTTGAGACAGAGTCTCTCTCTGTCTCCCAGGATGGAGTGCAGTGGCACAATCTCGGCTCACTGCAACCTCTGCCTCCTGGGTTCAAGCGATTCTTCTGTCTCAGCCTCTCGAGTAGCTGGGACTACAGGCACATGCCACCACACCTGGCTAATTTTTGTATTTTTAGTACAACATGGTGAAACCCCATCTCCTGACCTTGTGATCTGCCCACCTCGGCCTCCCAAAGTGCTGGGATTACAGGCGTGAGCCACCGCGCCTGGCCTTCCATCTGATTTTTAACCATAAAGTAGTAAAGTGTTCTTCATACCTTCTTTTCATGCACTACTGTGGCCTAAATTCCCAAAGTGCAAAATTCCCAAGACTGTAGACAATGTAGGCAGTGTGAGCCTGGTGTTTTCTACCACAGACTTTGAAATAAAGCAGGCATTCCTGGGTTCACATCCTGACTCTATGACTTACTAGCTGTGGAATCTTGACTGTCAATTTCTTCATCTATAAAACAGATTAAATTATACTTATCAGATTCCTATTGATTAAGTGGGTTAATTTATGTAAATTTGGCATGGTGCCTGGCACAAGTGCCTAATGAATCGTGGTTATTATTATTACTATTATTATTATTACTACTACTATTTTCAGTCTCATCCTGATTTAGTCTCTCAGTTTTCTAAGACTTTGTGAAAAGCTAAAGAAACCTTCAAGATGTTAGTTTTCTTCCTACCTGACCCTATGCAATGGTACATTCCTATTTATTCATTCATTCACTCATTCATTCATTTATTCTTGCACTTATTTATTCATTCATCTAATAAATGTTTAAAGGTCTTCTGTGTGCCAGGCACTAGGCCAGGTAAAGATTTGCAAAGATGAACATTACTTGCCCTCCAGAGATTCCCAGTCAAGGGAAATAGACAGATATGTTAACATTCACAGAAATGTAGTTAGAGGCCAGGTGCAGTGGCTCACACCTGTAATTCCAACTCCTTGGGAGGCCGAGGCTGGAGGATCTCTTGAGGCCAGGAGTCTGAGGTTACAGTGAGCTATGATCATGCCACTACACTCCAGCCTGAGTGACACAGTGAGACCCTATCTTAAAAAAAATGTAATGTAATTAGAGTTATAACCAAAATGTGAAAATGTGACTCAAAGCATTTAGGAAGCAGCACTTTCTTCTGCTAGGAAAGACTTGCTAGAAAAATAAGACTTGTGAGCAGAGTCTGGAAAGCAGGGCATGGGTCCAAAAGAAAGAGCCTTACCTGCCAGGCTTTCCTTAAAGTTTAGCGATCTCTTCAGGTTCTGAGCAAGGGAACAGTAAGATAAGCTTTGTGTTCTAGAAAGATCACTTGTAGGATAATGGATGTTTTTTGTAGCAAGAATGAGCCAAGCAAGGAGATAACAAAAGCTTTTAATAAGGCAGAGACTGCTGAAATGGAGTGGAGGGACTGAATCCAGAGATATGAAGAACACAACCAAGCTTCCTGAGAGCCAGGGTTTGGGAGCCAAGGAAAGCAGGGGTCCTGGGTGGTTTCAGGTTTTTTACTTAGGTAACGCAAGTGGAGAGTGGAGTCCTCACAGAGTTGGCGAATACTAAGGAAGACTTGGGTTAGAGGGAGTTCCTAAGAGTGAGAAGGGCTGGGACGCAGGTGAGTTTATAATTTGGGGCAAGTTAAATAGAAGATGTCCCTGGGATAGTTGGAGAAAATGTTCAATAAACATTTGGAGCTTAGGAGAGCTCTGGAAGAAGATTTATATGTTTCAAGAGTGGTCTTGGTTTAGAAGAGATAGGTGTGGATGAGGTTATGCAGGAGACGGTAGCTGAGAAGGACCCTAAACAAGGACTGGGAATGGAACTCTCGAGCATCGAATGTTAGGGACAGCACATGGAAGAAGAGCCTGGGCAGAGCCCAAGAAAGAGCAGCTGGGGGAGCCGAGAGTATGCTGAAGAAGCCATGGTGTGGGTGTTTGGAAATGGCGGTAGGGTAGGGGGGAGGGCAATTTTTATTTATGAGAGAAGTCAAATGAGCTGAAATTCCTTCAGAGAGGAGGATTACCAGCAACCCCAGCGAGAGAAGTTCAGTTACTCCTGAAGGATAACAGGATGCTAGGTAGAAGGGTCAGAGAATAGAGGATTTCTAAGTTCATGGGGTGGAACAAGAGGCCTAGCTGAGAGGGAGAGGTTGAGGATTATTGGGTTATCAGATTCCCACTTTAGGGCTCAAGTCACACCTCTTTGCATGCTGCTTTGTTTTCCTTACCACATCTTTGATTGTGGCTTCTAAATTTTTAACCCTGTTCCTTTAGCCCTCTCAGACACCCAGTTCAAAAATATGTGATGAATTAGAAGAATTAGCATTTGTCATCTCCAAGAATCCCAGGTGGCTCAGAAAAGTCCTGAGTAGCTTCAGTTACATGTTTTTTTTCTGAAACCTCTCTTTTCAAACTGATTGCATCACTGCCTCCTGGAAAACCCGACAGGTATGATACCCCCCTCCTTGCCTAACCCTGCGTTCTTCCTCTCAGCAGGCAGGAGTGACGAGCTGCCTGGAACCAGCAGCTGAGGCACCCAAAGACCCGGTGTCTCTAAACAGCTTCTATGCTTCCTTCCCTAAACTGCACCAGTGCCTGCCTGGGCTGAGCAGCAAGAGAGACATCTGTGATATCTGATGACAATCATCTCTGATTAGAGTGTCACTATATAGCACAGGTGAGCAGGGGCCACAGCTAATTAGCTATGTGAGGCTAGCACTCTGTTTACTGGAACTGTACTAACAAGTTGCAGCTTTTTCCAACGCAGAAGAGTCATCGCACACATGCCAGCCAGGAGCCCTTTACTCCAACAGTTTAGGGACAGAGGTGCTACTTCCTTACTACACAAAAACCATGAAACATGAATATCTTTGTGCTGAGAGCCACTTTTAATCTATGTTTCCACCTTTCATAAGCTGTCACTTAAAGAGATAGTAAAATAAGTTGCTTTATAGAATCTGATATTACTCTAAGAGGATTTACACTTTTAAATGAGTATTTCTTTTTTCTTTGTTAGCAGTCCTTGGGTTGTATCAGGGAATCAGCTAAGTCTGAGAAACATAGCTAAGATGGGCCTTCTCATTTGAGTTAAAAGGGTGACAGAAGCAGAGGAAAAGACTAGAAGTTTAGTGGGAATTAAAGAGACAAGCTCTGTCTTATTCCATTGATATTTGATAGATTTGTTGTTCACAAACATAATGTGTTGAAGGATATATTTTCAACTTTTGCTATAGAACCAGCATGGTTGAAATAATTTTAAAGGTATTCTAAGTTTTTTTCAATGTAAGGGAAAATTTCCATGTAAATTTTTATTCACCTGTTAGAAGAGCTTCTCTGATACCTTCAAGAAGTGATAGGCCATTTTGTAGCTTTCATTTCCTTTAGAAACAAATGCAGACATTTCATGACAAATGAATTCGGCACATTTAGGGGAGCAGTTAATGCTGATATGTCTCTTATTATTATGGGAGCATGATCTCAAATACTTTTACACCTTGGGAATTGAGAAACTTCGGAGTACTTTGCAAAGTTAATGAAAATTAGCAGTATCATCCTCTGAATTACTTCTGCCAGAAGCCCAAATTTTCACAAATGGACCCATTTTTTCATGTAGCAAATCTACCGTCTACTCTTACACAGTCCCCAATTTTTTGGTCATAGACCAGTATTTTGCTGAGTTCCTACTCTCTTTCTTAGTCAAAATCAGTTTGCTTAGAGACTTTCAGGAAACAGGATTTCAAAATAATTCTAAAAGCCGGTATATTGTTATATAAGTGGATGACTTTTCATGGGCTCTTACACTCGGAATTGATAAATATTTTTATTCATTTTCCAGTGAAAACTATGGATTATACATCTTGAAAATATGTGCAGTGCTCCTAGCACCATTGGGTGAAATGAAATCTATTAGGAGTATAAATATTTTCAGTAAAGTCTGTTATGAATGTAGTATTTAATTTTGGCGCTGTTTAAAATTCATTTATTTATATTTATCATCAAAAGCACACTTCAGAGTGGATTTCAATAAACATCCATATTTAGAAATTCAAAAATGTATTAAACATGTTCATTCATTTCTTGTTGGTAATTTAAAACAAGCAAACTTTTTTTCTTAATAAAAGTGTTTTTTTTTTTTAATTTCTTTAACTTTAAACAAAATTCTCTCTCCAGGTGGAAAGTTGATTACCAATCTTTGGTCTGGAGGTAAATTTTACAGCTGTTTTAAACCCATGAAAGTGGGTCTTATATTGGAAGTGCTGACACAGCCTTATCCACCGTGGATCAGCATGAACTATACCGCTGTAATAAGCAGTTATTATGTATGTGTAAAAATAATGAGAGGCCGTGTCTGAAGAGAGTTAATGTAAAATGCTAAGCAATTATAGTTGGTTACACAGTATAGGTTAATATTCCTTCATATAGCTGCATTTTTTCTTCTTTTGTCCTCCAGAACTCCTAATGAAAATTTTGAGACCTGACTGTAATGATAAGCAGCCATTCACACGTCCTTTGTGTCAAGGCTGTTGCATTAATGCTTCCCTTCATATAACATTTTGCATAGCCTAAAGCATCTATTAAAATCCTTTGTAAAATTCATGAAACAAAAGTGGTGGGTTGAGTCTAGGGGGAGAGAAAGTAAGCTGCTTATTAGCAAAAAGTCAAAAACACAGGGCCAATTACAGATCTGAACAAGAAGGGCTAAGGAACAGCGTGGGGAGTAATTCTTTCTTCAGCCCAATGGGCTCAAGCGAGGGGCAGGTTAAATGAAAATAGAGCAACAGTCTGAGCAGTAATTAAACGGAAATGTTTGGAGTTAGAAACAGCTCTATAACAACAGGAAGAAATGCTCAACTAAAACAATTGTCTAGCCTCACGAACATGCTAAATTGGAAGGATTTAGGGGTTGTTCCCTAAAGGAGAGACTGCGGGTAGTGAAGGGGAGCAGGGGCTCAGGAGATATGTAAAGAATCTGTTTGGTATTTCAAATGTTATAAATTAGATTTATAAAGAGACAGAGAGACAGAGAGAGAGTATGCCTTCCTATTGAACCAGCAACATAAAACTGAATAAACCACAATAAGATTGCCCTTTTTCTGTTATAAACTTGGCATTAAGCTTGTCATGTTCAATGACAGCCTACTAGGCCTCATGCTTTACCCTTTGGAATTTGAAAGATTGGCAGGTGTCATGATTTCCTTAACATAAAAGACCTTGCAGATAATGTTCACCATGCACATTTATACTTCCATAACTCCACTTCCCTCGTTTTGGTATCGTCAGGTGAGCTTTCCACGCAGGCTGTTGGTGCTGGGGCTGCCCAGAAGCCTGTCTGGCCTGAGGACAATGTTTACTGCAAAAGGAGCTTGCAGTAGAGGCCGTACTTTTATGATTCTCCTTAGCAGTCTAAACATGCCCCACATTTACAATAATGAGCTGCTTTGTAGAGAGCGGCTCTCTGAGAGCATTGTTACTTTTCTTTGAAATGTTGAATGCAACCAGAATGGCTCTTGTCTGACTTAAGGCTAGAAACAGGGTCTCATTTAAACAATAATCCCCTCTCTTTGCAACCACCCACCCCAGCCAGATCCTTCCAATAACTCCAAGAGAAAAAAGTAAAATCAACGTTGAGGGAAATACAAACTCCCATTGAAGGCTAAGAGTTCCGTTTCAATTGGTATCACCTAAGGGCAACTGTTTGCTACCAACCAATGCCACTTGAAAATAAACAAATGGATCTTTTCAGAAGAATTAGTGTCAAGAATGAGAATCTTACATTTTTTCCAACCCGAAGAGAAAGTATGAGTAGTTGGCTAGGCATTAACCATTTACAAAATAGTTTCATATGGGATTTCAATAAATCTGGCCCCATACATTTTAATCTTTTTATTATGGAAAAAAATACATATAGAAAAGAGACAGAATAACCTAATAACTCCGTGTATACTCATCATTCAGCTTTAATGAATATCATCTCATGCTCATGGTCATTCTGGTTTCACTAATGCCCCGTCCACTCCCCGACTTGTTTAGTTTTGAAGCAAACCCTAGGCATCATTTAATTTATCACATCTATAAACATTTCAGGGCCTATGTCTAAAAGAAAAGAATTCCTTTGCTTTTTGTTTTAACAGATCAAGGAAATATTTTGAACCTCCAACCCTTTGAGAGTTTTGTGGACTTTTTTTTTCCATGAGCTGCATTTCTCAAAATAATATAATCGTATCATATATTAGAAATATAAAGAAAATCTCAAGAGCATCACTGGTCTCCGGTTTGCTTTGGAGGCGCGTTTTCTCACTTATTTCGGAGATTTGGGTAACTGAATTTTTCTTCTGTTAGCCATTGTCATATTACTTGTAAATTTTCACTTTTGGCATTCAAATCAATAACATTTTAATATATCTATCTTCTTAGAAATTGTTTTCACAAAAATCTTGACTCAAAAGTATATATTGGGCACTTACTGTGTGCCAAGTTCTGCATTAGGTACAGGAAGCCAAGCAGCCAGGCAAGGGAAGCAAGACACAGAAAATTAATCTCCCCTCTCACTGATCCCCAAACTTTGCTGGACATCTTACAGGGGTTGTGGCATTTGATTGCCTTCTATATTGGTAGATGTTGCTAGATAAAAAATAAATATGTTTTTTGAAAAAGGAATAGGAAATTTGTCCTTTCCCATCCTAATACTACTGTTGTTTCCTTAATGGCCCCAAAAGATAAATATTTTACTCAGATGTAAACCATGTGAACGCCTCAGTCATTGGTATAAGGTTTACCTAAGTCTTACAAAGAAAAATATCCCTATCCTTATGAATACATTGTAAATATACAAGAGTGAATTATTATATTTTTTAAAATCTAAATAGATTTCTTTTTTAATTAAATAAAGCATTTTTTCCTATTTTCTTACCTTGATATTTTCAATAATTGGCAAAAAATATATAGCAATTTTAAAATGGCAATATTTTTTCTCTGATTTCCTTAGAACATCAAAGGGGTAAGACTTGATCATTTGACTGGACAAGATGATGTACTTTTCTTTAAGGAATGGAAGATACTGATTCTTTAAAACTTTTTTTATTGTTATGTACAAAAGACTATTTGCAACATAAATTTGAATTACAAAGCATAATATTAAAATGAACAGTGTGACCTTCCACCCAATTCAAAACTATGACACCACCAAAGCCTTTGACACCTCCACTCTGCCCCCATTTCCAGCTCTTGAGGTAATTTTATCCTGAATTTTCTATGTATACTATTTTATAGACTTTAAAAAATAAATTTGCTATATATGTGTATATTACTATGATTGTTCAGTTTTGTTTGTTTTGAGACTTTATAAAGTAGTACCATATCCTATGTGGTCTTTTAAAACTTGCTTTTCTCATTTCATATTATTTCTCTGAGATTCATTCCGAACATATGTGCCTATGTTTTTATGTGTCATTCATTTTCTCTATTGTATAATACTCCATTTTGTGAATAGAAGATAATTATTTGTCCATTACTTTGTCAATGGGCATTGAGTGGGTTCTGGTGTGTTGGCTTGTTCATTTGCTATTATTACACACAACAGTGCTGTGAACATTCTTAATTTTGTCTCCTGGTGTGTATAAGCAAGAATTTCTCTAATACTCATTTTTTTCCTCCTAAAAATTTCACTAATGGCAGTGGGGGATATACTGGTACCCTTTTTCTATTAATAAAGCCCTATTAAGTTCCACAAATTATTTTAATTTAAAGTGAAAATGATAGTTTTGAAAGCATAGCTCTGATGTACATAGGACAATGGTATCATGACTCAACAGCTGGAAGATATAGCATGGATTGGCTCATGAAGCCCTTGAACTGGGAGAGTGAACCAAGATAAAAATGTCAGAAGTTTCTGAACTGAAGGACCCAAAAAACTGCTCAAGGAAACCATGCTGAAAGTGGCTTAGTTCCATTTGCTAAAAGAGGTTGCATTAATAAGAAGGGGGCATAAAAGGAAACAGAGTCATTTTATGCCACATGATTGTGGGAACTTCATTTAAGCTACTCTTTTTGTTTTCCAAAAGAGCATCATAAACAAAACAAAACAAAAGGAAAAAAATACTCATATGGTGTCAATCTCCAGAATATTAAATGAAAATGCATGTTTGGCAAAATACCTCAGGATTTTCTAAACTATTATCTCCCTATAGTTTCACTAACATGTTAACCTACTTAGAGCAATTAGTGCTTCATTAGTAAGGCTAACTAACTGTTGCCGGGCCCTGTAATGATTTGCCAGGCTTTCCAGATACAAGTGCATAATCAATGTTTTCCAATTACTTCTATAGTGCAACCACTATTTCAAATAAACTAGATAATAATACAAACCCATTACTGGAGCTGAAGTAGCAGAGGCATTTAATTGCTAGGCAGTTCTTCTCAGCTTTTAAAATTTTTCACACTAATGAAGTGTCATACAAAAAAGTTGTATTGATTTTTCCACCACATGGCTTCAACCACAAATATGTAATTATCCCTTTTATATCTAGCTGGGGGATTAAAATAATCTATAGTATATAGCCTTTACTTATCCCTGATGGGTTTAGTAGTACTTTTACCCTTTTCAAAATATGCAGCCCTTTGATGAATGAACTTTAGGCAAAATGTTGCTTTATCTGTTTCAAATCTTTGCTTTTTAAAGTCAGTTTGTGTGCAGGCGTTAAAGTATGAAATCTCGAGCTTCTGAAACCTCCTAAAGAACACATTCTGATATAATTTAACTTACTGACTGCATCATAGATATTTTTCTCCACTAAAGAAATCAACATGGGTATACAGTATTGCACATTAGCCATGCCTACATTTGCATTTCACTGTACTTACATTTTTATTCATAGCTAACATTTTATTAACCATGTTATATTTTTACACAAATAAAGTGTTCTCGGCATTAATTGGAGCCAATTCTTTCCCACGTTTTCAGAAAAAAAAAAAACGTAAGAATAATCCACTGGCATTAAATTTCTTATTTTCTCATCACAGTTTGGTCAATAAACGAGGGGGAAAAAGTATTTTCTTTATGAAAAGAGAAAGTCATTATAAGTATAAAATGAATTTTGCAGAGATCAGATATTAATGCCGGGAGCATAGGGCTTTTTAAAAATTAGCCTGTCTTTCTTGATCTTTTTACACATAAATTGGTTCCTTTCAGCATTTTTGCTGAAAATTCTTTTGGTTACACTTTAACATTATTTCAATTATGGTCAGTGTAAAAGTAGATTCAAAAGGGTAAAAAATACAGCTTAAATGTCTGCAAGACCTTGTTCATAACATTCATATGTCAAAAACTGTATCTCCCTATAGTTTGAGTAACACGTTAACCTACTTACCACCCTGAGTTTTCCCAGACGCAAGGATTTTTTAGATTTCTTGCCTTTCTGTGTTTTGTGGTTTGAGGAAACATTCACAGTCAAATTATATTCCAAAGTTTGAAAATTCTGTCAAGGTGACTGTGGATATTTTTTTAAATAAGTCAACATTGGAAAATGGCAAAAATTTAGTGGTGTAGAGATATAAACTTAATTTTTTGGGTGACATTTTAAACCTAGGTATTTCATGTTAACTTTAAAATTTTTCCAAGCAGAGGATTTATGGAAAAACAAGTGACTATAAAGAACTGCTTCATACCAAGAAGAACAGGCTAAAAATAAAAACATCCAAAGTTACCATGGATATGTAGATCTCAATAATAATTACAGTATGTTTAATCTGTTTTCATAAATGTTGCAAACATTCCTTTTTTAAGTATCAATTTTATATACTGTGCTATCGTACCAAATTGTAAAAGAAGCAAACATAAACAAGTATATTTTTAAAATAAATAAAACTATGAATTTAAAGGCCAGTTATGTATAATATTTGCATCTAACATCTATGGAAAATATCTTTCATGGTAGAGGTGAGATCTGCAGATGGAGGGTAAAGGCAAATGAAAAATGGGTAAAGTAGGGCAGCTTGGATACTAAGGAAAGCTACAGTTTATTTTTAAATTAATTCACACACATAATGTTTTAGTATTGATTTCTTTTTAAAAATGCCCTTGGATTTATTCTACATGATTCTTCCTATATGGAGGATTAGTGTCCCTGGCCTTCTGTTGTTTGCTTTTCTTATATTTTAAAACATTGGTCTAATCATCTTTAGGGATCCAGAGAAGCAGTGGTCATGTCCACGCTGGAACAGGTCGAGAGGTGATATTCCTTCTAATGTAACATACACTATTAGTTTCAACCTTGATTTCCACATGCTATGTACAGTATACATGCAGCCTTATGTGGTGGTAAAATACAAGTAAGAAATATGACTGTATCAAAAACAGATTATCGTCAGGAATTGTGAGAAAGATAAAAAGTGGAATTTCTGTCAAGAAGAAAGAATGAGATGAGCTCCGCACTATGGATTTCAACTCTCCAGTCTGCATGTGACTGGGAGTGGTGCATGTTTCCAAGATACTAAAACGCCATTACCTTGACCGTCGACATGAAGCGATCAGAGTCATATTTATTGATGAAACCCTCAGCTCCCAACCTGCCGCACTGAGTGTGCATCATACAGCTGTCAGCAGAGCCAGGGCACCACAGCGATGAGTGCTTGTGACATTTCCCTTTCATAATTTATGAAAACAAAAGATCTTGAAGTTTGTAGGACACCAGAGTAATTTTAAAATAGTCTTCACGAAGGCTATATTGTGGTCCGTACAATAAGCACTTTCCTGGCTTACGGTTTTTAGGAGAATCAATTGCAAACCAAATTAGAACCATAAACACGGCCATTATTTAAGGATTCTAATCCTGACATGAGGGTTACAAGTACAACCAGCTATTTAGGGTGGTGGTTAATTACCATCATGCCAGAGCATAATTCTCTTCATCGTGTGTGATGGTTTCACCTACACATGATTTCACAGGGGTTTTATGAGTTTAAGACCCTAAAAATCCACTTAAGTATTTTACTTCTTCAAGGTAATATTTTTCATCTGTGACACTGCTTGGTAGCTAAAAGAGAAAGCATTATTTAAAACTAAAAACTTTAAGCAAAGAGCAAAAGGATTGAGTCTTCCATACTATTATATTAGATTTGATTGAACAAGTCAGTAATGACCATGAACTGTAATTTTGAGGGGGGAGATCTCCCCAGTAAGAAATTACCCCTGAATGAAGAGTAGCAAATTGTGCCACACTGTGAGATTTTTTTGAATGTATACATATATTTTTAAAAAGTAGAAAAAACACAATATGTGACATGTGTGAATACATGCATTTTGGAATCAAGTGACCTTTATGCTCAAGTTGTTCAAGTTCAAACTTAACCAAGAAAACATCTTACAGAAATGCTAATCAATTGCCTGGTTTTGTTCATTTTGTGGTGTTGAGGTGGAGGAGAATGGGAAAGAAGACTGGGGAGAAAGATCACTGGACATATCCCATGTTTAGACATATATGATTAAAAAAAGTATGATTTTCACATCATCATTTCATTCTGCCTAGCGTACTTATGCACCTACCTATGAAATAGAATGTGGCTTATAACTATAGAATAACAAAATTACATCAAATAGGAATATGCTGTCCATATGTACATAAAATAATTTCATTATTAAAATTAATTTTATCTTAGTATCTTCCATCATCTTTCCAAACAGGAAAACAGGAAGCAATTTATTTTTCTATTCTACCCACTAAGTTAGAAATGCAATATACACTTCTAAGGCTAATTATTCAAACATATCAGAATTCCTGAAAATGACCTTGAAGCAATTAAGGGCATGTATTATATGTTTAAGGCTAGTATATATTCCCCAGAAAAGGCCTCAATCCTTATTCAGGGGAAGAAGCTGGGGAAAAGGTTGTCTTGCATTGTGTGTATGGAAAATGGGGGCACAATGGCACCAGGGTCTCAAACTGATGTAAGCAGCTCTTTCTGTTATTTGACAGGCAGCCCAGAAAACATGGGGTGATGCCTCCCAGGCTGCAAGATCAGGAAAAAATGCCCAGAACCACCCCTCCTCCCATGCATTGGCATCCCTGATAGAAAGGCAGTCCTTCTGTTCCCACGCTCTTAGCCCAAGGCCACAGTTTTTATCCCCTTCACCAACACCCACCTGGAAGAAGATGCAGGAATGAAGAAGAGCATTTTGGACCTGAGTGTGAGCAATGCTGGTCCTCACACCTGAAACACAACCCCAGCAGGGGCTACCGGTCCCTATGTGACTCCTCCTAAACTTCCACTGCTGACAGTCAGCGTTGAGAGAGGATTACGGATTGTAGATAAGACTGATATAAAGAGAAACTGAAAGTAGGGACATTTTGGCCTGGAGGCCATGGGCCTCTGAGGTTGTGCTCTTTTTTATTCCTAGCTGTGACTTAGATCAGCTTCCTGATCTCTACAATGAGCCTCACAGAGATGATTTGAGGATTAATTGAGATAAGGCACAGACCATAGTGGCTGGCACATAGCCCTCAAGAAGTAACAGCTACTACTATATTATTGTTGTTCAATGCACGAGATATAAATGCCTCTGTGAGTGTATGTGTGTGCATCTCTGTGTGTGTACATATGCATGCGTGTGTGTGTGCGTGTGCACCTATTTTCTCCTGGATCCAAAGTGTGCATGCCTATTATCCAAAGGAGGATAAGAAGGAGATAACTGGGTTTAAAACCGGAGAGTGGGAAGAGAGAGAGGAGGAGGAGGAGGAAGAGACAGAGAGAAAAGAGAGAGGGAAAGAGAATGGAAGAAGAAGGGAAGGAAAAAAGGTATAAGAAAGAAAAAGAAAAAATTATAAAAAGTCTTAGCACCTGACCCTCCTCCACGACGTGGGCATTCTTTCAACTCTTCCCCTTCAGACCCTCCAAACTGGGGCACCAATCCCAATAGGTAGGTGAGATCCCATCCAATTTATGCTGTCAGTTCATGTTCCAGATCCCCTCCCCCTTATTTCTATCTCGCAGTGATGAAGCCAGAGGAGCAGTGTAGCACGGGGGTTGAGATGAAGCCTGTCAGACAGCATCAGAGCTGAAAATTACAGCTGATTAAAGGAGTAAAAAAACCTCCAGGATCGTTTGGTATTCTCAAAATTGACAAGTTAAGGTGCTACCCCTTTAAATGTCTGGTTGGTCTCCCAGCGCTGAGATGGAGCTTTTTCTGGACCCCTGTTTGTAAACCTGAGAAACAGAAAGGAGTGACCTCCCCACCTTTGATGAAGCTTTAAAAGCTTTGTTTTCACTCTCCAGTGTTTTTTAATCTTAAAAACAAAACACCAGGAAACTTCAGTTTCAGCATAAACAGCCCATTTTCCTAACAGGAGTAAAGCTTCAAAAGCCTAGGAAGCGGGTGAATGTGAATACTGGCAGCTGCAGTTTATTTTCCAGGAGGTTAAAAAAGCTGCAAAGCCCTGTTTCCCTTTCCAAAGGAACATAGGAAACGATCTCCTTTGCAGTGGAAATAAAAACGTGAAGTTGGTACTTACCGACGGTCACACTAATATAATGCCCTCTAAAAAGCCTGCGATAACCGTATTCACAGCCATTAAATTCAGGGATGCAATGGAAGCTCGCAGTAATGCTGGCCTTATGGAGACTAGTGGTGCACGGCCTCACATCTTCCTACTACTTACTGTTTTTCTGTTTGCTGCTCTTTATGGGAGCGCACATTTTTATTTTTTTATGGATGTTAAAACATTGATAACTGTGCAAGGTCAATGTAGAAAGCCTTGCATAGAAACTGAAGCTGTGCAAGTAGCCACAAGGGATGGATTAAACCTAGAAGAAGCTAAAGTGAACATTGAAAATGTGTAATGGCCATTTTAGGATGCTTGTATCAAAATGGCAGGCTGGAATAGACAAGCCAACGACCATCAAGACTGTCATAGGATCAACCTGTGTCCATGGCCAAGGTGATGAGGAGAAGTTCTTAGGGCCTGGCCTGGTGACCTGTGAGGGCCTCCATTCTGCCTCTTTCTAGCCTGTTCTACCCTCAGTTTCTCTATCCCACCCCCATTTCTTCACAGGCTACCCTATGGGTACCCCCTACCTCCCTATATGGTGTTTGCCTTGTCCCCGGACTCCTACCTAGGACCCAAACTGGCCACTTGCCTTAAAGATGCCTGGGTTTTTACTTAAAGACAGCTACTCTGAGTCTTCCATCGTCTGGTATGTGTTTGATAATTAATGGATTTCTCGTGAAAAGATGAGAACACCATTGCATTTTTTTTCTTCAAACATGGGAAAGAATCGGCTTATAAACCAGCTGCACACGGTTATCTCTGATTAGCCTTCAACCCTATTTCACAGGTTGTAGGGCCTCAGTTGTTGCAAGTTAAGTCTTTCAGAGAAAATCAACAAACCCAATGAGTTAACTGACAGGGTTGTTTGGAGCCATGATAATGCAGGGAGCTGAATAGGAGGAAGGGGAGCAGGATTGTTTAATATGCCAGGTTTTCGTGGCCAAGGCTCTTGGGAAGAGCAAGAGGTTCTGTCCTTGAATCCCACCATTTACTAGCCGTGCAACCACAGACAATTCACTTTACCTCTCAGGTCATTAGTCTTCTCCTCTATAAAATGAGCATAAGCCTACCCGCCCTGCTGTCCAACTGTAATAGGCAGCACTACACAAATGTTAGATTTTGCCTATTTAGCCAACAGAAAAATAAGCAAACATCTGGAAAGAAGACTGGTCAAACAAGCAAAAGACCATCACTCTAATATCTGCTTCTTCACTGATTGAGTTCATCTGTCTCCATTTCTTCATCTGTAAAATGGAGTAATAAGCCAGGCTTTTTACTTTACAGAAGATAGCATAACGTACTATTTATGAAAATGCTTTGAAAAATGTCAAAGTTGTATAAACATGCAGTATTATTATTTCTATTTTACAATAGAAGCACTTTAAAAAAGTGTTATCCTGATGTCTGCATCTAATCTCTTTAGGCATGATTCTGTTTAAAACCTGATATTTCAATCAAATAAATACATAAACATTTAACACATTCCCATGAAACATACAAAGTCTCAAAACACTGTTGTTTATTCACAGATTTCTTTTTTCACAGGGCATATCCTCCCATAGTCTTCCTTCTGATAGTCACAGACTTCAAAGCAATGTCTAGACCACGTCAACCTTCATTCAAAAAGTAAAAAGTTCAAATTTTTGCCCGTGTGACTGGAAACAATGAGTCTGGCTGGTTGTGGTTATTAACATAGTCAATTCAGTAAGTTAACTGGACCAATGACTGGTTCCTTTACTGAAAATCAAAATGCATGGCCTCTCAGATCACAGCAATGCTTATGCCCTCAGGAGGATTTCAGTCTAGTTGGACAGAAGGATGTGCACACAAGGAAGAAATTCAACATCTCTGTCATGTGTACAGAAGTGGTCTTCTGCTGGATTTCTTTCTTTTTCTTTTTACTACAAACCACTTTCAGAAGGATAAATTTGTTCCAGCCTTCACGATAATTATTGGCAGTATTTCTAAATCCTCTAACCTTTGCCTGTTGCATGGGTAGATTCATAAGGGCTTGAGGATAGTAATTTGTGCCCAGCTTTTTTCCTCTTTTGACTTTAGTTCTGATATCACATCATGATTCAAAGCTTGGTGCACCATAAATTTTCTCCAAATGTGTAGTAATTCCTATGTGCAGTCCAAAGTTATGATTCATTTATACTGGAGTGACAGCATAATACCTAGGTGTCAGAATCCATTAAAACTGTTCAATGTCTTCTGTTTATTTTTCGAACCAATTGAGACTTAACTGATGGTGAAAAATATACAGTCAAGTGTGTTTACTTCACCTTTACAAAGAATCCGTTATAGTCCCAATTAATTTGTTATTCCTGTCACAACAGGTACTGGAAATTTCAAAACTGTCATTACTGTTTCTGCCTTTCTTTCGAGGCCTTGTGTTTATTTTTAGCCCATTCAGAGATGTCTGTCTGTTGTGAGCTAAGGATTTCTCTGTGTGTGTGTGTGTGTGTGTGCGTGTGTGTATGAGAGAGAGAGAGAAAGAGAGAGAGAGAAGAATGATAGGATATAAGATAGGTAAGGCTGCATGTTATTTTCATTTGGTTAAAATCACCGAGTATGTACTCAGAACAGCATAACTTAATACAGATTCAGCACTAGAAATCCCTTCCCTTCTTCCAAAGTGTGATGTTCTTTCTATTAACATTAAACGTTTCTTTCAGAGTATATGGAGACTCAATCCTGGTAGAATAGACAATAGCAAAAATTGAAATGTTCTAAATGTGATCATCATTGCCATTGAGGTATATTTTTTCCTGCATAATAAATATTGTTCTTCCTTATTTCTGAACATTTTATATATGTTGCTCCTAATGGGAAAGTCTGTAGTGCATGGAGAGAAATGGCTGTTAGCTCTTCCAGGCAAAAATCAAGTTTCATTCACTACTTTTTGCAGGCATGAATTCTCTTTTGTAAGGAATTATTTTGGATAACCTGAAAATATAAAACACACAAAATGGGGCTTCATGATAAGTGTGAAAATTATCAGAAAAAGTGTGCCTAAGATAATTTCATCACAAAAATATTCCATCTGTACTCAAGTCAATAATGACAAAATAATTAAAAGTAATTTAGACATAGGCATGTGAGAAAGCAACCCATCTCTTCCCTGTTACTGTTTCAGGAAGCTGATGGTATACTGACATTACCAAACGGTGAGGATCGGAATTCGCTATGCTCACTCTTTGTCATGGCATGTACCTGAGGGTAAAGAACGCTGTGAGGCTTAGAAGTAGGCACACAAGAACCAGACTGCCTTGGTTTAAACCTCAGTTCAACTTCTGGCTTGAATTCGAACTTACTTAGCAATGTGTTCTTAAATAGGCTACTTAACCTCTCTGAGTTTCAGGTTTTTCTTTGAAAATGCGAATTATAATATTTCTAAGTTCCCATGCCTGCAGTATGAATTAAATAACATAATGTATCAGAAGCACTTAGCACAATTCCAGGCATGTGATAAGTTCATAGTATGTGCTGGTTTTAATGTAACACTGAGGAAAGGCAAGATCTAAGTAACCTAGTCTGGAAAGTTTTGAGGATTCACTGGGCTCAGAGGAAGCCCAGTTCTAAAAGACAAGAAAAGAACTAGAGAGATCTTTTAGGATGAAAATGGGAACTAGGAGATGTAGCCAGAGATGGGCTTAGAGCAGGGAGCAGAGGCACCTTCAACTGCCTGAGAGGGGCACTAAGGCAAGGTCAAGAGGGAGAGGCTGCCACCTCCAAGGACCCACATGCCCTGGTTATGGCCAAGTTTCTGCTCCACAGTGGACACACCTTCAAACTTTTCTAGTGAATGTGCCATAGACAGACTGAATCAGACAGGAAGGCAAGGAATGGTGCCCGATAACTTGTTCCAGGCAGGCAAGTCAATGTGCACAGTGAGTTCAGCTGATAAGAATTTATTATGGAGAATTTACCCATAGCCCACTTCTCTGAAAGGATTTAAGATGACACATCATAAGCTTTAAAAAACAAATTTTTAGAAAGGGACTGAAGGAAAGGGGAAATTGGAGTATAGAAAACCAGAGTAAGCTCTAACATTTGTTACACTGAGTGCAAAATTTGTCTATGAGCTTCTCGATAGCCAAAGTAAAAAGTGTAGCCAGTCACGTGTTAAGAAAGGTGATAGCACATTCTTCCAGGAAGCCAAAATATTTTGACATTAAATTCTGGAAGCTATGCCTTACATAAGGAAATCTATGGGGCTACTTCTCATTGATATATGACAAGAAATCTGTCCTCTGTAAAGTTTCTTTTAAACTTTCCAAACATCTCAACCAAACTAAGGAGGTAAGAGAACTATTAATCCCAAATCCAGAAAAGAAAAGTAGAGAATGTCCCAAGAAGCAGCTAGAGAAAGATAGGAGGGAGGAATGGGGAGCTGGTGAAGATAGATTCAGGCTGCTACAGAATTAGAGGCAGCTTTGACTGTTGATCTCTCCTGGCCTGTTTCTTACAACAGCAATGGAACTAAGAAAAGTCTGAAGAAATGCATACATGAAACTCAAATATAATAGGAGGTAAACTACTCAACAATCCAGTAACTATGGTCAGTTCACGTTGGCAACTGGAGAGCTCTACATGGGAACAACAATCTAATTGTACTCATTCATTTATTTATTTATTTATTTTGAGACAGAGTCTCACTCTGTTGCCCAGGCAGGGGTGCAATGACACGATCTTGGCTCACTGCAACCTCCACCTTCCAGATTCAAGCGATTCTCCTGCCTCAGCCTCCAGAGTAGCTGGGATTACAGGCGCCCACCACTCTGCCAGGCTAATGTTTTGTATTTTTAGTAGAGACGGGGTTTCACCATGTTTGCCAGACTGGTCTGGAACTCCTGACCTCAGGTGATCCGCCCGCCTTGGCCTCCCAAAATGCTGGGATTACAGGAGTGAGCCACCGTGACCGGCCCTAATTGTATAATTTTTGATAATGAAAAATATCTAAAGAGTATCTATCATAAGCTAGTAGGGAAAAGAACTGCTTAATGTTTTTCAAGAGGTTGTATTTACATATAACCGGATAATGCACAGCAAATTTCCACTGTACCACTGGATTTACCTCTTAAATTTTGGTTATAAATATCAAGACTCCACTCTGACTTCCCCATCTCCGTACTTGGTGCTTGAGTTCAGGTTCCCAGCATTTCTGTTCAGATCTACAACAGTAGTCCCCAGTCTTCAACCTGCTGGTTCAAATCTCTGGCCTTCCTACTATCCTTCAGAGACACAAATCTTGTCATGTTGTTCCTGAGCTTAAAGTCCTGCAGGCAGCATTTCTCAGAGAGGCAAAGAAAGCTCTGCATGACTTGGGCTTTGGCCCCTTTCCCAAATAAGACTTTAGGTTCTGTCTTGCTGCGGTTCCCCAACCTGCCCCCTTTAGCCCAGCTACTTGGAACCCCTTGCAATACTCCTTGTGGACGATGGCTTCTAATGTCACTATGTCCTCCCTGCACATGCCTGGAAGGCCTTCCTGCAGGGCTTTCTTGTCAACTGGCATTTATCCTTCAAGACTCGAGATTTCAACACCACCTCTTCTCTAAGAGTCTCTGACACTTTCCAAGCTCCTGGATCCAACTTTCTAATAGTAGTCATATAGTATTATAAACAAATATGAGACTGTGCATTTGAATTGAGCTTTCAGTTCATTGTGAAGAGACAGGGTATAAATACTGAATATTTCTAATATAGCTCTCCTAATCATGGGTGTCAGAGCTTATTAGCTGTTCCAAGTCCTCAGGTAACTTGACATAGCCAAGAGGACTTATTCTGTAAGGATCAGAGGAAGTATCAGCAGCGTTTCCAGTCTGGTCATTTCTTGGTATGTTTGATACTTCAAAGAGATTAATTGCAGCTATGTGACATTGGGCAGGTTGTTAACCTCTTAAGCCTGTTTCCCCTTTTGTAAAATGGGGATAATTAGAGTACCTTCCTCATAGGATTGTGAGGATTAAACTATCTAACATCTACAAAGTTCTTAAAACAATGCAGGCACATAGTAAGAGCTACGGACTGAATTATGTCTCACCAAAATTCTGATGTTGATGCCCTAACTCCCAATGTTGACTGAATTTGGAGATATGGCCTATTAGGAAATAAGAAAGGTTAAGTGAGGTTATAAGGGTGCCACCTAGATCTCATGGGATTAGTATCCTTAGAAGAGACCATTTTTTTTCTCTCTCTCCTCACCTCCCTCCCTCTCTTTTTTCTCTCTCCCTCCTTCCATCTCTCTCTCTCACATACACGTCTCTCTCTCTCTCCTTCCCTCCCTCCCTCTCCATGTGAAGACACAGGGAGAAGGCTGTCATCTATAAGCCAAGAAAAGAGCCCTCACCAGAAACCAAATCAGCTGGCACTTTGATCTCCAGAATTGTGAGAACTAAGTTTCTGTTGTTTAAGCCACCCCGTCCGTGGTATTTAGTTATCGCAGCCTGAGCAGACTAAGGCAGTAAGCACTGGCAAATCTAGTCACTGTTGTTGTTTTTTTTTTATTCACTATCATATGTCTCCCACCAAAAGTGTCTCAAGCTCTTCTAATGGTCTTTGGGTGTTTTTTCTTTGCTTAGAAAACTATCAAAGCAAAAAAAAAAAAAAAGAAGTCAATCAGGCCTTTTTATTGCTATGGTTTCAAAGCGAAATTTAACACTGGGGTTTCTAATAGTGGAAATGACCATATGCAGAGCAGCCCGTGTCATGCTTCTTTCTTGAGGTTTCCAGCTTGAGACCATCAGGCGGGTGATGAAGGTTTTGGTTTCCTGTGCAGAGCAAAGTGCCCCAGCTGACGGCAGACTATTCTTTCAATTTTGAATAAAATGAGTGGAAGATATCTGAGAAATTCTGCTCTTTCTGCTTGAGTGAATACCTGTCATGCTTCTTACATCTACTGAAGCAATTAACACACACAAAGCTATATTTGCTAAGCCAGTGCTCCCCAACGGGGGTGTTAGCTTATACCGGTGAATAGCAAAGACCTCTCTGAATTTTTCAGCAAGTTAGCTTTTCCCTGAGCTCCTGTTCAGACAGCCACGGGGCAACTCCTGCATATCTGCTTGGCACCCTCCTCCCTGCTCTCTTCTCTTTCATGTTTACTTTCCCCACAGTTGGAGCTTCCGGTTTTCACCTGTAGACCCAACCAGACCTTGGCTCTGCTACAGATTTTATCCCCTACCCCACGCCCAACAGAGGCTTTGAGTAGCCCAGGGGCTCCCAACCCTGGCTGTGCATTAGCATCACCTGATGGAGCCTCTATTTTTTTTGAAACAGGGTCTTGCTTGCTCTGTCACCCAGGCTGTAGTGCAGTGGCTCGATCTTGGCTCACTGCAGCTTCTACCTCCCAGGCTCAAGCAGGCCTCCCACCCCAGGCTCTGGGGTAGCTGGGACTACAGGTACACACCACCAGGGGCAGTTAATTTTTGTATTTTTTGTAGAGACAGGGTTTCACCTGTTGCCCAGGCTTGTCTTGAACTCCTGGGCTCAAGTGATCCACCTCCCAAAGTGATCTGGTAGAGCTTTAAAAAAACCACTGAAGCCTAGGACCAACTCCATGACAATTATAGGAGAATCCAGTGGCTGAACATGGACAGTGATGACTCAAATATGTGGACCAAAGTTTTAATCTCCAGGAGCAGGCCGAGTTCAGAAGCTCAGCTTCACTCTGATCTTGCATTCCAGTTCTGCTCTGGAACCTCATCTTGTTTCCCAGTTTGAGTAACTGCTTCTTAGTCTCATACCTCTGTGCCTGATTTATCAGCCTGCTAACCAGGATTTTGTTCCCAGTTCTTTTGGAATGGGCCCTTTCTTATTATTCTTACCAGCCATCAGTCTCCCCCTCTCCAGGACCAACAGGGTGTTCTTGAACCCCCGTCCTTATTGAGATAATGTCCAGCTGCCAAATCTTTCTTGGCAGGCCCTAGGCCTGCCTGCGGGCTTAGCCACAGCTGCTTTCCCTGGGTGCCTGCTGTTCCCCTCGCCTCCACCCCCACTGATTCAGCAGCAGAGTTTTCTCTCTCTGGCTGGACTGCTGTAATGCAGGCTGCTTGCCTGGGCCCTCCAGGGTCACCCGCCACCTATTATCTGGACACCATACTGTGTCTACACCCGATGGAGTTCCTTCTATTAGCTGTGGGTTTTCCTATCACTAACCTGAGTGCATTCAAAGAATTGTCTTTTATTCTGAGATTATGTTATTCCTCACTTTTTGGTGTTATAATGTCCTTTCTTTTAAGAAATCATAGCCATAGTAGAGGACAACTGCGTCTTGACAAAAGAAAAAAAAAATTTAAGTGAGGAATCCTATGACTGCTCAAGGTTTTTTTGTTTTGTTTTGTTTTGTTTATTTTTCATGTATTGGACCAAAAAATCCCCAGACTTGAGAACCATTGGACTAGATGATCTGAAGCTATCTCCACCTCCAAATGGGAGTTCAAGCGTGACGGACAGGTCTTGTTTCAAGATCTCCAGATCTCTCTCTGCTTATCAAGGTCAGTGCCCTTTTACTGACACACAAGCTCCTGAACTTCCCTTTCTCAGACTACACCTCCCTGAATTACAACTCCTTTTGTAGGTTGTCTTGGATAAAGTTCTCATTTCAACAAGCAACCTAAGAGCAAAAAATATTATCAATGATCTCCAAGGGGCCACAGATTTTATGGCTAAGAGGCACTTGATATCATCTAGCTCTGTGAGTCCCAAGTCTGGGGATTTTATGGTCCAGTAAGTTAAAAAAACAAACAACTTTGGGGTAATTATAAGGTTGCTTGCTTTCTGTATCTTGGCAAGATGCAGTTGCCATCAACTATTGCCATCATCTCTTTTTTTAAGAAAGGGCATTATAACACCAAAAATCAGGATGGACATAATCTCAGATTAAAGACTATCCTTTGAATGTAATTAGTTTAGTGTTGTAAAAAAACTGCCTATACTGTTCATAGTTTACTTAGTTTGATGTACACCAGTGAAAACTTGGTCAGAGACTAGCATTAGTTCCCAGAAAGGTGATTGAGAACATAAATTTAGTTCAACTCCTACATTTTACTGGTTGAGAAACTGAGACAAATAATTTTCCCTAGGTCACCCAGAGGTCAGCAGCAGAATCTGGACTAAAACCCAGCTCTCTTGACTGCCAAACTAGGCTGGGCCAATGTCCATGTACTCTGAACCTCTCAGAGGCTGGGCCCTTCTCTCTCTTTTTTCTTCCCCTTTTTCTCTTTCTCTCTTTGTCTTTCTTTCTTTCTTTCTTTCTTTCTTTCTTTCTTTCTTTCTTTCTTTCTTTCTTTCTTCCTTTCTTTCTTTCTTTCTTCTTTCTTTCCTTCCTTCCTTCCTTCCTTCCTTTCCTTTCTTTCTTTTGTATTTTTCAGGGTCTCACTCTGTCACCCAGGCTGGAGTGCAGAGGCACAATCTCACCTCACTGCAGCCTCCACCTCCCAGATTCAAGCAATTCTCCTAATTCAGCCTCCCAAGTAGCTGGGATTACAGGCATGCACCACCACAGCTGGCTAATTTTTGTATTTTTTTTTTTAGTAGAGACGGGGTTTCAGCCTGTTGGCCAGGCTGCTCTTGAACTCCTAACCTCAAGTGATCCCCCTGACTCAACCTCCCAAAGTGTTCAGATTACAGGCGTGAGCCACCGTGCCTGTGCCCCTTTTTCTTTATAGAGTCTACCCTGCCACTGGCCCCTACTCTCTGGTGCTAGCAAAACTGTCCCTCTGACACCTCTCATGCCCTGCTACTTCAGTTAAAACAACAGATGCGAATAAGAAAAAAAAAATGATCATGACAGTTTTCATTCACTAACTGACCACTAAGTGCCAGGCACTGTGCTAGGCATATTACAAATGCTAGTTCAAAACTTTTACTAAGCCGGAAAGGTCATTAGTAGTGTCTCAATTTGTCAGGTTAGAAAAATGAAGCACGAAGCTCACTTAACCCCAATTGTGTGATAGTAAAATGTCAGAGCCCTGATTTAAAACCCACTCGGCTGTGTTCCAAAGTCCTCTCTTCTTTGCATCACTTCCCCCCTCAGAACAGATGTAGACAACCTGAATCAAAGATGCAGGTCTAGATTTAAAAAATACAGAATCACAGGCACACTTCTAGATCTTTGACTTTTTGCCTTTCCTCTTGTTGTTGTTAATATAGAGCACCAAACAACCACACCCATAATTCCTGTCCCATGATTGTAAGTGTATCTTGAAGATCCAACAAGATGCAGCTTACCACTTAAAACTAGCCCTCACAGTGCACTTGATAAATTAAATAAGTAGCTAAGGAAACCAAATCTGTGTTTGAACTTAATGATCTCAGTGACCTCTGAAGGTTCCCATGGATAATCCCAGAATTGCTCTAATCTGCATTTGTGTACATTGATTAGTACTTGTTATCTGAGCTAGTCCAGCCAACACAGCATAATCACTACAAAATGAGTTCTAGGACATGCTTTAATTCCCAGGTTATCTTATTATCCAGAGGTATTGGCCCTTATTATTGTTATTCTGGGGAGTCAGTGTCAAGAAACAGGGAATAATTTGACAATCTTGGGAAGAAAGATTGAAAACTGGGCTGGCATAAAAACCATTGAAATTTCTTGATTCAAATTTGTATAGAAATTATTCTGCTGGATCAGGAAAGAGGCACAAAAAGAGATCCATATGGAATCCCAATTCGAATGTAAACCAAAAAACATACCACTATCTATTTACATAAATGAACTTCCCTTTCTCAGAACTTCCCTTTCTCTCAACTCTTCCCTCCTCAGAAAGGGAAGTTACATTTATGTAGGCATGGGTGCATAATTTCTTTAAGGGAAAGGACTCTGTCTTATTTATATTTGCTTCCTAGCACATCTAGCAAGTTTTCAATAAATGTTTATAAAATTAAATGAAATATTTCTGAGAAAAAGTAAGTAGCATAGAAAGGTAATTGACAAATATCATATAGAAACCAAAGTATTTATTGAACACTCATGAAGTTTGTAATCAGAGGATTGTGACTGGGGAAACCAGTTTGATATCATCTCATGTATTAGTCTTCCTAGGGCTGCTGTAACAAATTACCAAGAAATGGGTGGCTTAAAACAATGGAAATTTATTCCCTCACACTTTTGAATTCAGAGTTGGAAATCAAGACATGAGCATGTCGCACCCCCTCCAGAGGCTGTAGAGGAAATTTGTTCCCTGCCTTTTCTAGCTTCTGGTGGTTGTTAGCATTCCTTGACTTGTGGCCACTCTCTTCCATTTTTGCCTTCATCTTCATGTGGCCTGCTCTTCTCCTCCATGTCTTCTCTCCTCACTCCACCTGGATAATCCAGGATGCTCTCCCATCTTGAGATCTTTAATTTAATTATATCTGCAAAAGTCCTTTTCCTAAGTAAGGTCACATTTACTGTTTCCAGGATGTGAACATACCTTTGGTGGCGGGGGCGCGGTGGGGGGCGGTCCACCATCCCAACCACTGCACCTACTATGATGCCAAACTTTATACGGAACCTGAAAGCCAGGTTCCAGCATTGACTTGGCTGTGTATTACTGAAGTATAGAGAAAAAAATATTGCAGCTGGAGAGAAGAGGTGAGCATAAAGGGGATAATATTTGAAAAACTGTTAAGTTTACTATTCCTCTTCCCTTAAGTTGTGCTCTCAACCACTGTTTCACAGACCCAGGGATGAAAGGAAAGGAGATGACACACTGAGAAGGATGATTAACTATAACAAAGGAGAAGTCCCACGCCAGGAAGTGGGAATAAATGGCCCTCATCTTTCAGGCTTTGGGGGCTTGTTGAGAAAGAGGCTAGAGGTGAGAGCATAAGCTGTGTATCTTCCCCTGCTCTGTGCTGAAGTCCTGGAGGGAAGAAGCATGCTAGGAAGGTCTGGGGAAGCCAAGAGCAGAGAGGGTTTTCTCAGCAACTTAAGTGAGAATTGGGAAGGCAATAGCCTCACAGGTTGGAACCTTCGAACAACCAGAGCTGCCACGAGGCCAAGCAAAGAAAATGCCCAAGCTAACACTCCTAAGCTGCGGGGCCGTGGGGAGCCCAACAAGATCTCTTCCACTCCACAAGAGTTCATGTGCCAATAGCAGGGATCCAACCTAATGGATCCCCAAAGTGGAGGCAGAGGAGCCCTGAAGGCACAGTCTCGAAGGCAGGCTGCCTGGGCTGGGAATAAATGGGACCCAGAGCCAGACTTCAGGGGGCATGGACAGATCTGCAAGAACCAAGGCAGAGCCAACTCACCAGACACAGATGGAGCCAGGAGCACAGGCCACAAGCCATGACCAGCCATACAAGTCAATATCAGATGCCCCTAGGGGCTTGGAGGACACGAGATACCCATTTCTCAGAAACTAGAGGACAGTACAAAGGCAGGCACCTGTCATCCCAGGACCCTTTTGCCCAGCCCCAAAAGTTTGTGTCAATCTTCCCCTCCAGACATCCCCAGAGCTGTACTGGAAAGGCACAGGAGAGTAGAAAATCAAAGTCGGCCATACCTAAATCATCTATTGACATTGTCGGTTGAGACTAAATTTAACAATTTGCACTTAATTAGGTGTCCCCCACATTCACCTTGCCCTGGCTACACAGCAGGTTTGGAGTGCACAAAGAAGTTTCCATCAGTCATGGAAAATGGAAAAGCGGAATTTTCTTTGCACACTTGTGAGGGTTGGTTGCCATGCAAACATATACAACCAAAAAATGAGTTGAACTTTACATCTTAAATGTTAGAAAAAATTATCTTGCAGCATTCAGACTGGACATCAGTAGTTTAAGATCATTAGTACAGTACTGCATAGCCTAATCCTCCACACTGGGAAGATCGAACACTAGAACCTTGCAGAATTGGAAAGGCATCTTTTGTCTTACTGCCAGAAGGTATGTCCCCAAACCATCCTCCACTTTACTTCATTTTCTACTTCATTCCATTCATTATATACGTATTTACAGAGGTCCTTCTTAGCATCAGGCAATGTGTTAGGTCCTGGGATAGAGAGAGGAATGAACTAGGGGCTCTGCTCAAAGAATGCAACTATTCACAGCCCTAAATACACAGGCCAAAGTCTTGGTAAACTAACAATACCTCTGAAAATCCAATCATACTTTCTTATTTGTTAGATAATTGTTATGTAATCAAATATTTAATAAGGCCCTTTGATTCTGTGTAGAGTCTGTCTGAACCCAACATTTACACTTTTGACTATTTTCTTGACAATATTCTATGGTCTATTTATTTACAGAGAAACTGCCTTCATTTATAACAGACAGAATATTTAGGTCATGCCAAGCATTTTTATTTTTTCTTCGTCTGATTACTAAAAAAAGGATTGTACTGAACAGGAAATAGCTACATAAATAATGCACTGAAACTTCTTGCAGGACAACCATTTTTGGAATTATTCAGGCTTTGAAGTGTTATATTTCAGACAATGGTGAATGAGTTCTTAGTGCCATGTTCAATAATTATTTAGATATTAATTTCTCCTTCATATGAGTGGGTGTTATCCTGCTAAATCCATACTTAACATTCTGAGTAGTTACTCCCTCAATGATGAAGACATTATTAATGATCCATTTTAATAAAGTTAATCATAATTTCCCATTCATTTTTCCCATGCTGCCTTGAAGTCACATTAAAGCAAAGCGTGGGAAGAAAGATGAAGGACAATGTGAAGACATGGTTTGCAAAGAACAGTGGCCTTGTCTGAGAAGGAAAAAGAGATACTGCTTTGTAAATAAAGTAAACTTTATTTACTGCTTCTCTCCTGCCTTTTCCATGTTTAAACCAAAAACCACCACTTTCAAACTTCTTTCTAGAATAATGCCAATCCTTCTATACCTCCAACCCAGAAGACTCACAAGCGACACGGATTTTTGTGCGAGTACAGTTATGGCCCATCATTATTAAATGTCTCTTGTTGGGCGGAAGAGGCACTTCATCACCAGCAGCCATTCATCAGCACTTGCCGAACCGCTCACATCTGACCTCAGCAGCAATAATGCCACATCAAATAGGCCAACTACCCAGTTTAGCAGCAGAGCAGAGAGCACAAGCTGGCTTCAAGATTAAGTACACTGCTGCAGGCTTCCATTCCCAGGAGCTCCTTGTGCTGATGTTGTATTGATTGAAAAACTTTACCAGTAAGTATCACAAACAATAGGCAGGTCAACAATCGGTGATGCCTGAATATGAATTCCCCATGGGGCTGCACTCTGGGCCAAGGTGCAGCTATCACGGTGTCTGAGCACAGGTTGAATAAGGTTTCCCAGGAAGGAAAGAGTGAGAACTTACAGTCTGAAATGACATTTAAGCAAGTCCATATGGGAACAGAATGAGAGACAATGATGTAATTATCTATTCCCCAGCTTCTAACTGCCTCAAAAACCTGTCATCTCTCAGTGTTTACATGTTCTCCAAGTCTTCTACTTCTGGCTTTTAATGCTTTTTGGGGTCTACTAAGCCCAATATGCAAACCCAGGTAGTGTTCAGATTAAACAAAAAAATAAATATTGCCATATAGCAATATCCATCCCATTTTCATTTGAGAAATCAGAAGAGAACTTTTTGGTATATATTCCCCTACCTTCTAAAAAATGCATTTAATTTTACTTCTTATCAGGTGAGCACCAAATAAGAGAATGGGCATATATCTTTCAAGCATATTTTTATATACAAATTGTATTTTTTGACAAGGTAATTCTTGTGAAAATGGTCCTTATGATTGGGAGAAGTGTTTGCAGCAAGGTAATTGCACATAACATCCACTGCAGGCAGTAATATTCAGACTCGTAGAGGGGAGTGGTATGGTTCCTGGGTGCTAAAGTGTGCACACACATACGTATGCATGTGTGTGCACATACACTCCCACCCATTGTATATGACCGTTCTCACATTCTCATATTCCAATGCATGCAGGATGAGATGCTGCTGTGTACACAAACAGATTCTATTTTTTCAGGAAAAAGGTGATGCTATTCCCCTTTCAGTGTTTCTGCTAAAGTTTCTCTGACCTCCTTTCTCACCCACTGGAAGAAAGGGTTGATCACTCTCAGCTCTGAACCCTTTCTGTCCTTTATACACACTTTATTATTGTACTAATGGTAGTTATATGTATGCTAATCTGTCTTCCCTTCTAGACTATGAACTCCTCAAGAGAAAATATTTTATATTATTAATTTGTGCCTTCCTAGGGCTCAGGGCAGGGCCCTGCACATAGTAGGTGCTCTGGAAATCTGTTCCAAACTCAACAATTGAATTGGACATGGACGATACAGCTAGTTTTTCATCCAGTATTTAATTTATTTTTCCCCTTAAGTAGGTTTTTTTAAAGGCAGCAATCTGCCTACCTAAAAACAAAAAAGCCCACTACTTTACTTCTTGTCAGATATAAAGTTTAGAGGCTGGGTCTATCTGGAAAGCTCTTACTTTCCTGATTAGAACAAGCTTATTGGACATCCACTTCCCGCACTTCACCCTTGACTCTTCTTCCATCATGAGCTGAAAATGTGGGGCTGGAAGTGAAGTAACCAGCCTCAATATTATGATCTAGATAGGTAATGTGACATTATATTAAGGTTTACCAAATATCAAAAATTGTCTTATGTAAAAGATCTAAGTGGAGAATAAAAACCAAGGGCAAAAAGACCCTTGCTTCTGAAGTTATTTTTGACACTTGCTTTTGGTGGTAAATGGCCATTCTCCACTGAGTGCCTTGACAACACTGACTATATTTTGTAGTGGCAGTTGCCAGTTGAATGACTGGCAACCTTTTCCCCTCCGGTCCTACAACTATCATATCTGTCTCATGGAGATTTATTTTATAGTCACTGAACATCATAGATCCCATTTTTGGCAATGACAGGAAGACAAACCTCAAGAGGCCCCAACTCTAGGAGATAATCTTTCTGTCATTATACCAATTCTGTTGCCCTGTGCTATGACAGGGATTGCGTATTGCCCCTCAATATCTGTACTCTCCTTTCTCCCTTTCTAGTAATAGAACACATCAAGTTTCAGCTCAGCACAGGGCAGCCCATAGCTATAGGCTATATTTCTCTATATATATATATAGCTAGACACTATATTTCCTATATTCCCTTGCAACTAGGTATGGCCACATGACTGTGTATTGATCAAAGCAATGTTAGCTGAAGTAATGCAGAGAAAGTCTGAGTCTTTCTATTTAAAGGAAGATGATTGACATTTGCTTCCTCATTCCTCATTTCACTGGGCCTGACAAGTGGGTAGAGTAGTGATGAACTATCTTTGACCTTGCTAATCAGAGCAATTGCCTGAAAAAGAGATCAATAAACTATGATCTTTGGGCCAAATCGAGCCCACTGTCTGTTTTTACATGGCCTACAAGCCAAGACTGGTTTCTGTATAGGTAAATGGTTTAAAAATAAAAAGATGAATAGTTTGTGACCCATGAAAATTATACAACATTCTAATTGCAGTGTCCATAAATAAAGTTTTATTGGAACACAGCCATACTCATTCATTTACATATTGCCCATAGCTGCCTTTGTACTCCAACAGCAGAGATGAGTGGTTGCAACAGAGACCATATGGCCCACAAGAGCCTAAGATATTTACTATCTGGCACTACAGGGAAAAAAATTGCTGACTCTTACTGTAGAGTCATATTGTGGTGCGGCCACAGGATGGATGGCACCAGGGCTCTGACTTCTGAAAGGCAACCACTCCACCTCCCAGGCTGCCTAGAGGCTCAGTTTGAAGTGAGACAAAAATAAACTTCTACAATGTTTAAAATGGTGTTATTTGGTCTCTGTTAAAGCAGCTGAACCAGACAGAATCTTGACTAATACAATTATCATAACACATTTCTTAACTATTGTCAAAGACAAGCTACAGTTGAATGGGAAGAAAAAGGAAAAACTTTCTTCAAATGAAGCAAACGCGTCATACCACTGATGTTTCCGTAACCATTTGATAGGTTATTTCTCCAAGGTATGTGAGAGGGACCATTGCTCATTCTTGAGAGTCAAAAATATGATACAATGGGGCTGGTAGAAGATTATTTTAGTAGTCCCAGTGTAAGGAAAATTGAAGTGGAAGAGAGCTTGTCAATGAGGCCCTTTTTCTTTCAAATTTCCCACACCCCTTGATATGGTTTGGCTGTGTCCCCACCCAAATTTCATCTTGCATTGTAGCTCCCATAATTCCCATGTGTCATGGGAGGCACCTAGTGGGAGGTCAATTGAATCACGGAAGTGGGTCTTTCCCATGCTGTTCTCGTGATAGTAAATAAATCTCACAAGATCTGATGGTTTTATAAAGGGGAGTTCCCCTACACAAGCTCTCTTGCCTGCTGCCATGTAAGACGTGACTTTGCTCCTCATTTGCCTTCTGCCATGATTGTGAGGCCTCCCCAGCCATGTGGAAATGCGAGTCAATTAAACCTCTTTCCTTTATAAATTACCCAGTCTCGGGTATGTCTTTATTAGCAGCATAAGAACAGACTAATATACCGCTCCAGGAGGCAGTTGAAGTAATAAGAGCAGCAGCAGCAGCAGCAGCAATAACAACAATAATAGTAATAGATGATATTTATTGAGTGCTTGCCTTGTCCAGGAAATTTTTTAAGATCTTTATATATATTAACTCTTTTAATCTTCAAATTTCCTGTATGATAGGTACTCTGGTTATCATTCTCATTTTACAGCTAAAAAAAAGAGACTCAGGGAAGGTAACTTGCTGAAGGTTACACTGTAAGCAAGTGGCAGAGCAAGTTTTTGAATCCAGGCTTACTCCAGAGTCTGTGTAAGTAATCACCTTCTATATTATTTCTAATCTTTGCATAACGTAATAAGGACCTGATTCAGGGCTTGCATATTAGCTGGAGAAGTGGAAAAGAAGGAGGAATGGAAATGCAAAGAACTCTGCAGAAAAAAAATCCCCAGACCAAGATGATGGCATCAGTGTGGGCAATGAGAGAGTCTGAAAATAGTCACACTATAAAGGGTCTCGCAAGTCAGTCTAGTCTTGTGGTTTCAGACCTGGCTGAGCATCAGAATCAACCTGGGATTTATTAAAACACAGATTCCTAGAATCCTCCATAAGATGACCAAATCAGACCTACTCAATCAACATCTCCAGGGCTAAAACACTTTTTAAAAGCCCTCCAATCTTATATCTAGCCTAACAAAAAGTTAAAGTCTGACACTACTAACTTTTGATGAAGATGTGTAACAACAGGAACTCTTATGCACTTTGGACAAAGATGTATAACAGGAGCTCTTACACACTGCTAGTGGTAGTGTAATTTGGGATAAGTACTTGGGAAAAAATTGGCACATACCCTATCATTTAGCAACTATATTTCTGCATATAAAACCGACAGAAATTCTTGCCTGTATGCACATGAAAATAAGAACAAACAAGAATGCATAAAATAGCATTTTTTATGTTAGCAATAAAATGTAAACAAATGTCCATCAACGGGGAAAAGATAAATAAATTGTGGTATAGTCACACAATGGGCTACTACTGTACATGAGTGAAAATTAGTAAACTATAGTTGCATTCAGCATGGATAAATATCACAAAATAATATATAACAAAAAGAACAAGTCGCAGAAGCATATATACAATATGACTTCATTGATATATTTGTTCAAAAACAAGCAACATCAAACAGTATTTTTAAGAATATATTTATATGTAGTCAAATTGTAACAGAAAGCAAAGGAATAGTAAAATTCAGGACAATGGTTACCTTTGGAGGAAGGGTGTCCTATGTGTGAATAGTGTATGGGGACTTTAAAGATAATGTTCTATTTTTTTTTAGGTGAGTGGTGAATATGCATGCATTTGTCATTTTATAAACTGGTCATATGCATTATATAGCTTGTATGTATTATGGCATTCATAATTTTTTAAATGTAAAAAAATGGTTCAAGATATGAGGTATTTTTTTTTCTAAATAATTTTTATTCATTTATTTATTTATTTTTATTATTATTATACTTTAAGTTTTAGGGTACATGTGCACATTGTGCAGGTTTGTTACATATGTATACATGTGCCATGTTGGTGTGCTGCACCCATCAACTGGTCATTTAGCATTAGGTATAACTCCCAATGCTATCCCTCCCCCCTCCCCCCATCCCACAACAGTCTCCGGTGTGTGATGTTCCCCTTCCTGTGTCCATGTGTTCTCATTGTTCAATTCCCACCTGTGAGTGAGAACATGTGGTGTTTGGTTTTTTGTCCTTATGACAGTTTGCTGAGAATGATGGTTTCAAGCTTCATCCATGTCCCTACAAAGGACATGAACTCATCCTTTTTTATGGCTGCATAGTATTCCATGGTGTATATGTGCCACATTTTCTTAATTCAGTCTATGATTGTTGGACACTTGGGTTGGTTCCAAGTCTTTGCTATTGTGAATAGTGCTGCAAAGGTGGCAATCTTTTTTTTTTTTTCTTTGCTTTCTTTTTTTAAATTTTTTATTATACTTTAAGTTCTAGGGTACATGTGCACATTGTGCAGGTTAGTTACATATGTATACATGTGCCATGCTGGTGCGCTGCACCCACTAACTCGTCATCTAGCATTAGGTATATCTCCCAATGCTATCCCTCCCCCCTCCCCCCACCCCACAACAGTCCCCAGAGTGTGATATTCCCCTTCCTGTGTCCATGTGATCTCATTGTTCAATTCCCACCTATGAGTGAGAATATGCGGTGTTTGGTTTTTTGTTCTTGCGATAGTTTACTGAGAATGATGATTTCCAGTTTCATCCATGTCCCTACAAAGGAGATGAACTCATCATTTTTTATGGCTGCATAGTATTCCATGGTGTATATGTGCCACATTTTCTTAATCCAGTCTATCATTGTTGGACATTTGGGTTGGTTCCAAGTCTTTGCTATTGTGAATAATGCCGCAATAAACATACGTGTGCATATGTCTTTATAGCAGCATGATTTATAGTCCTTTGGGTATATACCCAGTAATGGGATGGCTGGGTCAAATGGTATTTCCAGTTCTAGATCCCTGAGGAATCGCCACACTGACTTCCACAATGGTTGAACTAGTTTACAGTCCCACCAACAGTGTAAAAGTGTTCCTATTTCTCCACATCCTCTCCAGCACCTGTTGTTTCCTGACTTTTTAATGATTGCCATTCTAACTGGTGTGAGATGGTATCTCATTGTGGTTTTGATTTGCATTTCTCTGATGGCCAGTGATGATGAACATTTTTACATGTGTTTTTTGGCTGCATAAAAGTCTTCTTTTGAGAAGTGTCTGTTCATGTCCTTCGCCCACTTTTTGATGGGGTTGTTTGTTTTTTTCTTGTAAATTTGTTTGAGTTCATTGTAGATTCTGGATATTAGCCCTTTGTCAGAAGAGTAGGTTGCGAAAATTTTCTCCCATTTTGTAGGTTGCCTGTTCACTCTGATGGTAGTTTCTTTTGCTATGCAGAAGCTCTTTAGTTTAATTAGATCCCATTTGTCAATTTTGGCTTTTGTTGCCATTGCTTTTGGTGTTTTAGACATGAAGGCCTTGCCCATGCCTATGTCCTGAATGGTAATGCCTAGGTTTTCTTCTAGGGTTTTTATGGTTTTAGGTCTAAAGTTTAAGTCTTTAATCCATCTTGAATTGATTTTTGTATAAGGTGTAAGGAAGGGATCCACTTTCAGCTTTCTACATATGGCTAGCCAGTTTTCCCAGCACCATTTATTAAATAGGGAATCCTTTCCCCATTGCTTGTTTTTCTCAGGTTTGTCAAAGATCAGATAGTTGTAGATATGCGGCGTTATTTCTGAGGGCTCTGTTCTGTTCCATTGATCTATATCTCTGTTTTGGTACCAGTACCATGCTGTTTTGGTTACTGTAGCCTTGTAGTATAGTTTGAAGTCAGGTAGTGTGATGCCTCCAGCTTTGTTCTTTTGGCTTAGGATTGCCTTGGCGATGCGGGCTCTTTTTTGGTTCCATATGAACTTTAAAGTAGTTTTTTCCAATTCTGTGAAGAAAGTCATTGGTAGCTTGATGGGGATGGCACTGAATCTGTAAATTACCTTGGGCAGTATGGCCATTTTCACGATATTGATTCTTCCTACCCATGAGCATGGAATGTTCTTCCATTTGTTTGTATCCTCTTTTATTTCCTTGAGCAGTGGTTTGTAGTTCTCCTTGAAGAGGCCCTTCACATCCCTTGTAAGTTGGATTCCTAGGTATTTTATTCCTTTGAAGCAATTGTGAATGGGAGTTGACTCATGATTTGGCTCTCTGTTTGTCTGTTGTTGGTGTATAAGAACGCTTGTGATTTTTGTACATTGATTTTGTATCCTGAGACTTTGCTGAAGTTGCTTATCAGCTTAAGGAGATTTTGGGCTGAGACAATGGGGTTTTCTAGATATACAATCATGTCATCTGCAAACAGGGACAATTTGACTTCCTCTTTTCCTAATTGAATACCCTTTATTTCCTTCTCCTGCCTAATTGCCCTGGCCAGAACTTCCAACACTATGTTGAATAGGAGTGGTGAGAGAGGGCATCCCTGTCTTGTGCCAGTTTTCAAAGGGAATGCTTCCAGTTTTTGCCCATTCAGTATGATATTGGCTGTGGGTTTGTCAGAGATAGCTCTTATTATTTTGAAATACGTCCCATCAATACCTAATTTATTGAGAGTTTTTAGCATGAAGGGTTGTTGAATTTTGTCAAAGGCTTTTTCTGCATCTATTGAGATAATCATGTGGTTTTTGTCTTTGGCTCTGTTTATATGCTGGATTACATTTATTGATTTGCGTATATTGAACCAGCCTTGCATCCCAGGGATGAAGCCCACTTGATCATGGTGAATAAGCTTTTTGATGTGCTGCTGGATTCGTTTTGCCAGTATTTTATTGAGGATTTTTGCATCAATGTTCATCAAGGATATTGGTCTAAAATTCTCTTTTTTTGTTGTGTCTCTGCCTGGCTTTGGTATCAGAATGATGCTGGCCTCATAAAAAGAGTTAGGGAGGATTCCCTCTTTTTCTATTGATTGGAATAGTTTCAGAAGGAATGGTACCAGTTCCTCCTTGTACCTCTGGTAGAATTCGGCTGTGAATCCATCTGGTCCTGGACTCTTTTTGGTTGGTAAGCTATTGATTATTGCCACAATTTCAGATCCTGTTATTGGTCTATTCAGAGATTCAACTTCTTCCTGGTTTAGTCTTGGGAGAGTGTCTGTGTTGAGGAATTTATCCATTTCTTCTAGATTTTCTAGTTTATTTGCGTAGAGGTGTTTCTAGTATTCTCTGATGGTAGTTTGTATTTCTGTGGGATTGGTGGTGATATCCCCTTTATCATTTTTTATTGCTTCTATTTGATTCTTCTCTCTTTTTTTCTTTATTAGTCTTGCTAGCAGTCTATCAATTTTGTTGATCCTTTCAAAAAACCAGCTCCTGGATTCATTAATTTTTTGAAGGGTTTTTTGTGTCTCTATTTCCTTCACTTCTGCTCTGATTTTAGTTATTTCTTGCCTTCTGCTAGCTTTTGAATGTGTTTGCTCTTGCTTTTCTAGTTCTTCTAATTGTGATGTTAGGGTGTCAACTTTGGATCTTTCCTGCTTTCTCTTGTGGGCATTTAGTGCTATAAATTTCCCTCTACACACTGCTTTGAATGCATCCCAGAGATTCTGGTATGTTGTGTCTTTGTTCTCGTTGGTTTCAAAGAACATCTTTATTTCTGCCTTCATTTTGTTATGTACCCAGTAGTCATTCAGGAGCAGGTTGTTCAGTTTCCATGTAGTTGAGCGGTTTTGAGTGAGATTCTTAATCCTGAGTTCTAGTTTGATTGCACTGTGGTCTGAGAGATAGTTTGTTATAATTTCTGTTCTTTTACATTTGCTGAGGAGAGCTTTACTTCCATGTATGTGGTCAGTTTTGGAATAGGTGTGGTGCAGTGCTGAAAACAATGTATATTCTGTTGATTTGGGGTGGAGAGTTCTGTAGATGTCTATTAGGTCTGCTTGGTGCAGAGCTGAGTTCAATTCCTGGGTATCCTTGTTGACTTTCTGTCTTGTTGATCTGTCTAATGTTGACAGTGGGGTGTTAAAGTCTCCCATTATTAATGTGTGGGAGTCTAAGTCTCTTTGTAGGTCACTCAGGACTTGCTTTATGAATCTTGGTGCTCCTGTATTGGGTGCATATATATTTAGGATAGTTAGCTCTTCTTGTTGAATTGATCCCTTTACCATTATATAATGGGCTTCTTTGTCTCTTTTTATCTTTGTTGGTTTAACGTCTGTTTCATCAGAGACTAGGATTGCAACCCCTGCCTTTTTTTGTTTTCCATTTGCTTGGTAGATCTTCCTCCATCCTTTTATTTTGAGCATATGTGTGTCTCTGCACGTGAGATGGGTTTCCTGAATACAGCACACTGATGGGTCTTGACTCTTTATCCAATTTGCCAGTCTGTGTCTTTTAATTGGAGCATTTAGTCCATTTACATTTAAAGTTAATATTGTTATGTATGAATTTGATCCTGTCATTATGATGCTAGCTGGTTATTTTGCTCGTTAGTTGATGCAGTTTCGTCCTAGTCTTGATGGTCTTTACATTTTGGCATGATTTTGCAGCGGCTGGTACCGGTTGTTCCTTTCCATGTTTAGCGCTTCCTTCAGGAGCTCTTTTAGGGCAGGCCTGGTGGTGACAAAATCTCTCAGCATTTGCTTGTCTGTAAAGGATTTTATTTCTCCTTCACTTATGAAGCTTAGTTTGGCTGGATATGAAATTCTGGGTTGAAAATTCTTTTCTTTAAGAATGTTGAATATTGGCCCCCACTCTCTTCTGGCTTGTAGGGTTTCTGCCGAGAGATCCGCTGTTAGTCTGATGGGCTTCCCTTTGTGGGTAACCCGACCTTTCTCTCTGGCTGCCCTTAACATTTTTTCCTTCATTTCAACTTTGGTGAATCTGACAATTATGTGTCTTGGAGTTGCTCTTCTCGAGGAGTATCTTTGTGGCGTTCTCTGTATTTCCTGAATCTGAATGTTGGCCTGCCTTGCTAGATTGGGGAAGTTCTCCTGGATAATATCCTGCAGAGTGTTTTCCAGCTTGGTTCCATTCTCCCCATCACTTTCAGGTACACCAATGAGACGTAGATTTGGTCTTTTCACATAGTCCCATATTTCTTGGAGGCTTTGCTCATTTCTTTTTATTCTTTTTTCTCTAAACTTCCCTTCTCGCTTCATTTCATTCATTTCATCTTCCATCGCTGATACCCTTTCTTCCAGTTGATCACATGGGCTCCTGACGCTTCTGCATTCTTCACGTAGTTCTCGAGCCTTGGTTTTCAGCTCCATCAGCTCCTTTAAGCACTTCTCTGTATTGGTTATTCTAGTTATACATTCTTCTAAATTTTTTTCAAAGTTTTCAACTTCTTTGCCTTTGGTTTGAATGTCCTCCCGTAGCTCAGAGTAATTTGATCGTCTGAAGCCTTCTTCTCTCAGCTCGTCAGTCATTCTCCATCCAGCTTTGTTCCGTTGCTGGTGAGGAACTGTGTTCCTTTGGAGGAGGAGAGGCGCTCTAGTTTTTCTGTTCTGTTTTTTCCCCATCTTTGTGGTTTTATCTACTTTTGGTCTTTGATGATGGTGATGTACAGATGGGTTTTTGGTGTGGATGTCCTTTCTGTTTGTTAGTTTTCCTTCTAACAGAAAGGACCCTCAGCTGCAGGTCTGTTGGAATACCCTGCCGTGTGAGGTGTCAGTGTGCCCCTGCTGGGGGGTGCCTCCCAGTTAGGCTGCTCGGGGGTCAGGGGTCAGGGGTCAGGGACCCACTTGAGCAGACAGTCTGCCCGTTCTCAGATCTCCAGCTGTGTGCTGGGAGAACCACTGCTCTCTTCAAAGCTGTCAGACAGGGACATTTAAGTCTGCAAAGGTTACTGCTGTCTTTTTGTTTGTCTGTGCCCTGCCCCCAGAGGTGGAGCCTACAGAGGCAGGCAGGCCTCCTTGAGCTGTGGTGGGCTCCACCCAGTTCGAGCTTCCCAGCTGCTTTGTTTACCTAATCAAGCCTGGGCAATGGCCGGCGCCCCTCCCCCAGCCTCGCTGCCGCCTTGCAGTTTGATCTCAGACTGCTGTGCTAGCAATCAGGAAGACTCTGTGGGTGTGGGACCCTCCGAGCCAGGTGCGGGATGTAATCTCGTGGTGCGCCGTTTTTTAAGCCCGTCGGAAAAGCGCAGTATTCGGGTGGGAGTGACCCGATTTTCCAGGTGCCGTCCATCACCCCTTTTTTTGACTCGGAAAGGGAACTCCCTGACCCCTTATGCTTCCCAAGTGAGGCAATGCCTCGCCCTGCTTCGTCTCGCGCACGGTGCGCGCTCCCACTGACCTGCGCCCACTGTCTGGCACTCCCTAGTGAGATGAACCCGGTACCTCAGATGGAAATGCAGAAATCACTGTCTTCTGCGTCGCTCACGCTGGGAGCTGTATACCGGAGCTGTTCCTATTCGGCCATCTTGGCTCCCAAGATATAAGGTATTTAATTCGACTTTTTTTGGTAGCAAAACGTGAAAAATCTGAAATTATATCAATGGGGGACTGGTTAAACACATTATGATAAACCCATATGATAAAATAACATGTAGCTCTTAAAAGGAATACGTATAATCTCTGTAGATTGATCTGAAGGAATGTCAATAATATATTAAGAGAGAAAGAGCAAGTTACAGAAAAATGTTTAATATTATTCCATTTTAATAAACAACCACAACAGAATGACCAAATGAATATCTATATATTCAAATATGTTTGTATGAGCATGAAAAAAATTATGGAGCGATATACACTGAAGAAGTGGTTGCCAATTGACTTCTCCTTCAACCATTCTCTCTTTCTTGTTTAGAATTGTAATTACTGGGATGGGTGCGGTGGCTCACGCCTGTAATCCCAGCACTTTGGGAGGCTGAGGTGGAAGGATCACGAGGTCAGGAGTTCAAGACCAGCCTGTCCAAGATGGTGAAAGCCCATCTCTACTAAAAATACAAAAATATTAGCCAGGTGTGGTGGCAGGCGCCTGTAATCCCAGCTACTCAGGAGGCTGAGGCAGGAGAATTGTTTGAACCCAGGCAGCAGAGGTTGCAGTGAGCCGAGATAGCACAACTGCACTCCAGCCTGGGCGACAAAGCAAGACTGTCTCAAAAAAAAAAAAAAGAATTGTAATTACTTTTTAATCTCTACACAGTGCCACCCATAATAAAAGACTATGTTTCCCAGCCTCCCTTGCCATGGGTATGGCCACGTGATTCAGTGTCAGCCAATAAGGTATAGACAAAGTTGTGTGCTTAAAGGGAGACATTCTTTTTATTTCCTCTGCCTTTCCTCCTTCTTCTGGCCTGCAATGTGTTTCTGTTGGCTTAAGTTCCAACAGCCAATTTTGGATCATGAGGTGACTTTGAGGATGGCAGCCATGAACTAGGATAGTGGAACGTAAAGACAGAATCCTGAGTCCCTTATGACACCGTGGAGCCATCATACCTGTCTTGTTATTACACGGGAACATCTGGACATCTTTTAGGTGTGGAAGAAATAAGCCTGTGTTGTGTTTAAGTCATTGTTGTCTGGTATATTTCAATTATATGCAACTAAGCCTAATCCTAACTGATACAAATGCCAAATTTAACATTGGTTGTCTCAGGAGAGTGAGACTGGAAGCAAGTATGGTGAAAAAGGAACTAATTTTTTTCTTTATGTTTTCTGATTGTTTTGTTTTGTTTTTAAAAATAAGTACAAATTACCCTTATAATTTAAAGAATGTATAAACAACTTTACACAATTTAAAAAGGCCTTGCAAATGCACATCATGTGATTGATATTAGGTTTGGGAACCTTCGCTCTCATTTTACAGATTAGAAAACTGAGGCCTAAAATATGAACTCACTGTTCATTCAGTGAGTCAGAAGTGGGATTAGAACTGGAAGCCAAATCCTTGAACTCCCAGTCCAGTGCTCTTCCTCTCATATCATAACAGAAAATATTTTAAAATATGAGGCCTTGAGAAATCCTGTGGTTGGCAGAAACAAAGTAGAAATAGCCAGGTTTGTGATAGGTTTCAGGCTTGCCTGTGATATCCAAGTGGCTTATTCAAAAGAGGTAAAAAGCAGGTTTGAATCTAGATGAACTAACAGTTTTGTTCTAGAACCTTTTCTATGTAAGACTTGGTATTGTTTTAAGTAACTAAAAGCTGTCTAGTAATTTAGATATGTGACAAGCTTCAAATTAGAAATCTTTTGTTTTCAGACTTATTTGTCGCTGCAAAAATATTAACATTCCAGCCAAAACCTGAAATGAGGACTTACTTCACTCTTCACTAAAGGAATACTTTATTATTTTATTTTATTTATTTTATTTTCAACTCTTAATTTAGATTCAGAGGGTACATGTGCAGGTTTGTTACATGGGTATATTGCATGATGCTGAGCTTTGGGGTATGAAACGGAGCATAATACACAACAGTTAGTTCAATCCTTGCCTCACTCTCTCTCTTCCCACCTAGTAGTCCCTAGTGTCTATTGTTGCCATTGTTATGCCCATGAGTATCTAGATTTAGCTCTCACTTATAAGTGAGAACATACAGTATTTGGTTTTCTGTTCCTGCGTTAATTTTTTTAGGATAATGGCCTATGGCTGCATCCATGTTGCTGCAAAAAATAGGATTTTGTTCTTTTTATGGCTGTGTAGTATTCTTTGGTGTATATGTATCACATTTTCTTTACCCAGTCCACCACTGATGGTCACCTAGGGTTCATTCTGTGTCTTTTTTATTGTGAATAGTGCTTTGAAGAACATGTGAGTGCATATGACTCTTTGGTCAATGATTTATTTTCTTTTGGATATGTACCCAGTAAGGTAGTTCTGTTTTAAGTTATTTGAGAAATCCCCAAATGGCTTTCCACAGTGGCTGAACTAATTTACATTCACACCAACAGTGTATAAGCCTTCCCTTTTTTCTGCAGCCTCGCCAACATCTGTTGGTTTTTGGCTTTTTAATAATAAGCATTTTTACTCGTGTGAGATGGTATCTTGTGGTTTTGATTTGCATTTCTCCAATAATTAGTGACGTGGAGCATTTTTATATATGTCTGTTAGTCACTTGTATATCTTCTTTTGAGAAGTGTCTGTTCACGTCTTGCTCACTTTTTAATGAAGCTATTTGTTTTTTGCTTGTTGAATTGTTTAAGTTCTGTATAGATTCTGAATATTAGGCCTTTTTCAGATGCATAGTTTGCAAATATTTTCTCCAATTGTTTAGGTTGTCTGTTTACTCTGTTGATAGTTTCTTTTGCTGTGAAGGTCTTTAGTTTAATTAGATCCTACTTACTGAATTTTTGTTTTTGTTGCAATTGCTTTTGAGGGCTTAGTCATAAATTCTTTTCCAAGGCCAACATCCAGAGTGGTGTTTCCTAGGTTTTCTTCTAGCATTCTTGTAGTTTGAGGTCTTACATTTAAATCTGTAATCCATCTTGAGTTAAATTTTGTATATACTGAAAGGTAGGAGTTCAGTTTCATTCTTATGCATATGGCTAGCCAGCTATCACAGCAACATTTATTAAATAGGGAGTTCTTTCTCCATTGTTTATTTTTGTTGACTTTGTCACAGATTAGATGGCTGTAGGTGTGCACCTTTATTTCTGGGTTCTTTATTCTGTTCCATTGATCTATGTGTCTGTTTTTGTACCAGTACCATGCTATTTTGGTTACTGTATTTTTTTTTTTTTTTTTTTTTGAGACAGAGTCTCACTCTGTCACCCAGGCTGGAGTGCAGTGGCACAATCTCGGCTCACTGCAACCTCCACCTCCTGGGTTCAAGCAATTCTCTGCCTCAGCCTTCCGAGTAGCTGGGATTACAGACGCCCGCCACCATGCCCGGCTAATTTTTTTGTATTTTTAGTAGAGATGGGGTTTCATCATCTTGGCCAGACTTGTCTTGAACTCCTGACCTCATGATCCACCCGCCTCAGCCTCTGAAAGTGCTGGGATTATAGGCGTGAGCCACTGTGCCTGGCCTACTATATTCTTATAGTATAGTTTGAAGTCAGGTGATGCCTCCCAGCTTTCTTCTTTTTGCTTAGGATTGCTTTGGGTATTTGAGCTCTTTTTTGGTTCCTTATGAATTTTTGAATAGCTTTTTCCAATTCTGTGAAAAATGACATTGGTACTTAGAAACAGCGTTGAATCTGTAGGTGTTGTGGGTGGTAGGGCCATTTTAACTATATGTTTCTTCCAATCCACGAGCATGGAATATTTTTGCATTTGTTTGTGTCATCTATGATTTCTTTTAGCAGTGTTTTGTAGTTCTTGACTAAAGGAATTTTTACGTTCTTAAATATGAACATACAGATAAAATTAGACATCTAAACAGTAGGATATAAATTAAACATCTAAACAGTAGGATATAAATTAAATATAAATTAAACAGAAGGTTTTTTTTTTAAGCACTTAAAAAAGAAAATGCAGTCTTCTCTCTTTCCCTAAGATAGAAGTTGGCTTAGGGTCATAATTTTTAACCATGACTTCCTACACATTTCTAAAGTTTTATTTTGTTCTCAGTAGATTTTAGCTTTCATAATATGATTCTTGTAATGTTCTTTTGTTCAACCATAGAAACTTAAGAAAAAGGTAAGACTATTTGAAGATTAAAATATAAAAATAAAGATAAAAATCATTTCAGTTCATTCAAATTCATTGCCTTTAATCACATGTTAATTACTATTTCCTACTGTGAACAAATGGATGGTCAGACTTCAGTACTACACTACTTCTTTACTAATTCAGCCATCTCTCATTGTCATGCCTCTTGTACATTTTTATCATAGAATTGATAAAAGGTTGTGTACAAACTCTTCAGCACTTTTTCACATCTTCAGCTCAAAATATATAAATAAAAGATAGGTTTATTTCCTAAATATTGACTTTTCCTAAGTTTTGCTTTCATATACAAAGATGCCAAGAATTGCATATGCATCATTACAAACCGTTTTTAATTGTTACTTTGTTGAAATCGAGCCCTCCTCATCTACTATCATGAAGAAAGAGCTTGCTTCATTATTTATTTTCTATCATTCTGGAAAATGGAACTAGCTAAACTTCATTGTTACCAATGCAAGATCAATATCATGTATTCTATAGAGTTAAAAAATATGTACTGTACTTATAATTCTTCTTATTTTCTCTAAAATGTAATCAGCTTCTTAATAAACTAAGAAGCTTGGACCATTAAGATCTGAGTGTTTGGTGACACTTCAACATTTCAGGGAACACGTGTTGCTAATGGCCTTTCTACTCATCTCCGTTCACTCACATGCATACCTGTGGACAGAGCACATATCGAATCTGAGTACCAAACACCAGAGCCAATTTACAGCAGGTGATAAGGAAGCAGCCTTACCTCTAGGAGCAGTTCATTTTTCAGTGCAAAGGCAAAGTGTTTAGTAGGTATTTTATAGGTCATATATCCAATACACCATAAGACATCTGTAGTTGCTCAAACTAAAAGTCCTTCACTAGAGATGAATTCACATTGTGTGTGTGTGTGTGTGTGTGTGTGTGTGTGCGCATGTGTATGTGCACAAAAGAGTTCTCAGCAGAATCTTCTTTGGGAATTTTACAGGAAATTGTTTTGGTGGCTAGCTTTGCACACACTATGTGATGTTCACGGGAGCAACATACTAGCTGTTTTTGGTGCTGAGTTCTGGCCCAAACGTGTAACCTGTGTGATCTTGTCCCATTCTCTTCACCTCTCTGGCCTCGAGTTTCTCACGTTTCGAATTGGAATGGCAACACATCCTTCACATAGCTCATAGGATTGTTTGGCAGTCCGAATAAATGTGATCAAGTCCTCTAAAAATTAGATAGCACTATGAAATCTGATGTGCTCTTATCACTCCTTCTTCAAGGACAGACTTAGCAAGAGAAAGTAAACTCCTTGTCCATTGCTTGACAAGATCACCATATAACTATTTCAGAGTAATCTCTTAAGCAAGGAGGGTGAGTCATAAAACAAAAGGTTTTCATTAAATCATATTTGGGAAAATAAAACAGGCCCATAATTTTATAGCCTCCCTCTGTGCCAAAGACACTGTTTCCACAGACAGCAGAAAAGAATGAAAAGAATGTGAGTGGCCCTGGCAAGCCTTGGTCACCATCCCAACAGGCCCTGAGAGGCTGTCCCAGACCCTGGGTGGAATGTGTCACTGCTCTCCCTAGCCCACGTAGTGAATCGCCACATTGTATAGTGTTCAACAGTTTTTACATTAATAAAATAAAAATTAAGTTTCCTGGGCTTGTATGGTTTATCACAGTAAGTCTGTGTTAATATTTCCTAATCATAGTGACCTCAGCCTGCCAGAATGCACAGGCCCCTAATCCTCACTGTAATGTTTTCTCATTAGCTACGCAGCATTGCCACACCAGTGGCAGCGACCAAGCACTGCCTCAGGCACCACTGGAATTAATTACTTAGAAGAAACACTGCTGTTTTGAATTGTCATCTTGAATTTATCACTTGCCACTTAATGTAACTCATCTGACCTAATACCTCCATTGTGTCACCAGAGGCCTTGGCATGGGTTTCACCAGGGTAATAGCAGTGGGGTTCTGTATACCTAATGTGGCTGAGACGCCAAACACACAGCTGCTGGAGGCCTGGTTAAAATCCTACCCTGGAGGCGATGCATGCTAACAATGCCCCTAGCAAATTGCAGATTACCCATACGTCATGTTCCATCTGAAGCTAAGAGTGATTCAAAGGTAGGCCCAATACATCTCATTTCTGCTGCTTGGAGAAGATAATCTTTCATTTCTTTGGATGTAACAGCCCTCCCCATTTGTTTCTCTCTTGCTTTGCTTTTGAACATAATGAAACTGGCTATTCATGTATGGAAGGAAAAGTGGCTCTGGGGGGACCTGCAGTGCTAGGTCTGGGGCCTTTTTCTTATAAATTCTGAAGAAATTGCTCATTAAATTACTCACACAAAGAAATACAATTTCACCATAGGTTATGTTACCCCAGGAACTGGGACAAAATTGTAACCCAAGTTGGAATCTGTGCTGTACTTTTGCAGGGCTACATTTTGTCCTGCACTTATGAGGTTGATTCTGCATTAGCTATTGAAAAATGCACATTTAATAAGGGAATTCATGATTTGGTTATTTTCATTAAGCCTGAGAAATTATTTCAGTATGAAAAACAAGCTTTGACACACACTCTGAACAATAGTCTAATCAAATTTTTCATCTACGAAAACCACACACTTGAAACCAACATTTTTCAAATTTTCTGCCCGTTTTGGATTTACCCAAATGTAATTATTTCCATTGAAAATTTAGTCTTCTAGTTCTGCTATAGCTTTTATTTCAAAACATGATATATACATGCATGCATGCAGTATGTGCATATGTACGTTTAAATGCTTAGCTTCTAGAAGCTTATAGACATAATACCATAATGTAAGACCAAAGCATGAAAATCCTACTGATGAGATAATAAATAAAATAGATTTACTTTAATAATGACAATTCCCAGTGTATTTCATAGATAAAAACATTTCCTTTGGTTACCACACTCTATACCATGCATAGTAAACTTTGGGAGATGTATAATGCAATATAAACATTAATAGTTACACAATTGTGTTGTTTTAGAAAGACTATTTATAGAGAAAATACAAAATGCCTCCCCATAGTATACTTAGACCTAAGCCACCATAATCTTCCTGCTCATACAGCAGGAAATCTAATACACCAGTTCAATAAACCTATAGGAAACAAAGGTTTTATGTAGCATTAAGTGTCACAATATTAAAATGCCCATATTACTTTCAATTGCTCTTATAAGCCTCTTTTTAACCATCCAGAAAGTTGAATGCCATTATGAGAAGAATATTGTCTTATGTAGTAAAGGACAAAGAAGGTGAAATAAAAACATTACTCCTTTACCTGTGTTTATCTCTGATCTTAATAGCATTGGTGCTTTTACACAAAAGGCTCTCTTCTTCAAACTCTCCTATTTCATACCTTTTTGTGTTGTTAGATTATGTTCTGTCAAAGGTGACATAACATTTAAAAGGGTGTCAAAAAGCCTTTACTGTAATGGCAGATCAGCCACATAACATCTTTGGGGGTAGGTTTCCTTTCCTGTAAATGTAGTATTGTGTGCTATGAGCTCTTGAGACTATAATTAGAAACCGTAAAGCTCTTTCAAAATACCAAGTCCTTCATTCCAAGAATGCTCATTACAAATGGTAATATAGCAACAACAAAGATCACCACCCCCAGAAGTGTAAGTTTCCCCCAAACAGAGACAGTCGTTTTTGTGAGTTTTGCAGAGTGTCTAGCACTCTGTAGCTGCCTAATTAATACCTAATGACAATGATGAACCACTTGTGATATTCAGCTAACTAACTGGGGTCTTATAGTACCTTGAAAGTTTCAACTTAATGGCCATTAAAATATAGTATCTTGTATTTTCTATTACACCTGCCAACTCCCCAAACTTTCTGCAAACAGAAATTCATTAACTGAAATTCTTTAATGAAATATTAATAGTACAAAAGTACATTTTGAAGACTTATGAAATACCCAGGGTCTTTTTGCTTAGGATTGTCTTGGCTATATGGGCTCTTTTTTGGTTCCATATGAAATTTAAAGTAGTTCTTTCTAATTCTGTGAAGAAAGTCAATGGTAGCTTGATGGGAATGGCATTGAATCTATAAATTAATTTGGGCAGTATGGCCATTTTCACAATAATCATTCTTCCTATCCATGAGCATGGAATGTTTTTCCATTTGTTTGTGTCCTCTCTTGTTTCCTTGAGCAGTGGTTAGTAGTTCTCCTTGAAGAGGTCCTTCACATCCCTTGTAAGTTGTATCCAAAGCTGGAGGCATCACACTACCTGACTTCAAACTATACTACAAGTCTACAGTAACCAAAACCGCATGGTACTGGTTCTAAAACAGATACATAGACCAATGGAACAGAACAGAGGCCTCAGAAATAACACCACATATCTACAACCACCTGATCTTTGACAAACCTGACAAAAATAAGCAATGGGGAAAGAATTCCCTATTTAATAAATGGTGTTGGGAAAACTGGCTAGCCATATGCAGAAAACTGAAACTGGACCCCTTCCTTACACCTTATAAAAAAATTAACTTAAGATGGATTAAAGATTTATACGTAAGACCTAAAGCCATAAAAAGCATAGAAGAAAACCTAGGCAATATCATTCAGGACATAGGCATGGGCAAAGACTTGATGACTAAAACAACCAAAGCAATGGAAACAAAAGCCAAAATTGACAAATGGGATCTAATTAAGCTAAAGAGCTTCTGCACAGCAAAAGAAACTATCATCAGAGTGAACAGGCAACCTACAGAATGGGAGAAAATTTTTGGAATCTATCCATCTGACAAAGGGCTAATATCCAGCATCTACAAGGAACTTAAACAAATTTACAAGAAAAAAACCACCCCATCAAAAAGTGGGTGAAGGATATGAACAGATACTCCTCAAAAGAAGACATTTATGTGGCCAACAAACATATGAAAAAAAAGATCATCATCACTGGTCATTAGAGAACTGCAAATCAAAACCACAATGAGATACCATCTCATGCCAGTTAGAATGGCAATCATTAAAAAGTCAGGAAACAACAGATGCTGGAGATGTGAAGAAATAGAAATGCTTTTACACTGTTAGTGGGAGTGTAAATTAGTTCAACCATTGTGGAAAACAGTGTGGAGATTCCTCAAGGATCTAGAACTAGAAACACCATTTGACCCAGCAATCCCATTACTGGGTATATACCCAAAGGATTATAAATCATTCTACTATAAAGTCACATGCACATGTATGTTTATTGCAGCACTATTCACAATAGCAAAGACTTGAAACCAACCCAAATGTCCATCAATGATAGACTGGATAAAGAAAATGTGGCCCTTATACACCATGGAATACTATGCAGCCATAAAAAGGAATGAGTTCATGTCCTTTGCAGGGACATGGATGAAGCAGGAAACCATCATTCTCAGCAAACTAACACAAGAACAGAAAGCCAAACACTGCATGTTCTCACTCATAAGTGGGAGTTGAACAATGAGAACATATGGGCACAGGGAGGGGAACATCACACACCAGGGCCTGTCAGGGGTGGGGAGCAAGGGGAGGGATAGCATTAGGAGAAATACCTAATGTAGATGACGGGTTGATGAGTACAGCAAACCACAATGGCACATGTATACCTATGTAACAAACCTGCAAGTTCTGCACATGTATCCCAGAACTTAAAGTATTAAAAAAAAAAGAAAAGAAAAGAAATACCCAGGGTCAATTTAAGCAAAATTGTCTTTTAAGTGTCTTTAAGCGAAAATCCCTCCCTTTTTATTGCTTGGGCAAGCTCAGTCAAGGGAGCCTAACAATTGTGAACTGGAGTTAGTGGATCCAAATCCACTGGGCTCCCTTTTGCATTGCTCAATGTGAGGGTGAGCTGAAAGTATTTTTAATAAACATACAACCTCTCAAGGTTGGGTGAACTATCAGACTATAGATACTTTATGATATTCACACATAAAGAAGCATAATGTTGTAACACATAGAGGACTGGGGTAGTTTGCATCCAGGTTTTGGCAATATTCTTCTTCCCCTGGGCAAATAGTCCAAAGAGGGCGTCGGTCTATGGGGAGCCCTTGCTGCAATCTCTTACAGTAAACCGTGTAAGCTGGATTATCTTTTTTCCACCCTTCTGGAATATCCAAACTGTTAACTCATGGTCCCACACCCATATAAACCCTCTTCAGGAAGGCCTCAATGCAGAAGCTCTGTGAAATCTTTTGCTAATCTTTAGATATTTTTAAATGACTTAAAATGAAATGTTTTAAAATCCTGACTGTTAGCATTAAAAATATACCAGTGCATGCTGGGAATCGATGACATTTAGTGCTGCTGCCTTGTAAAAAACCAAATCCTAAATGGTTCGTCATAATGTTATTGGCAGATGTGGTTTTATACTTTTAAATTCCTTGGAGCTGCTGAAAAAAAAAAAAAGAACATATAGATATGCCTATGCAGATGAAATGACATCATAAAATCCAGTTACCTGACTGTAAAGTAAGGGGACTCTCTGTGGCTGAATTGCTTGTTAATGAAAAAGAGAACCAAAGCAAAGGAGAAAGTGCATCATTTGCAATTGAATGTTTTCAATTACTTTTTATCGTTGTCGGGCATTCTCATCACAACATATATTTTGGGATGAAAGATTATTTTACATTCTAAATGAAAGCAATGCACATGCAACATTTACTTTGCAAATGGAGACCCTGCTGCCTCTCGCCACTCTACTAAAATATGGCAAATTTACACACAGTTACGTAAATGATTTTTTGGGTCAAATTTTTCTCTTTCATCTTAATGTCTAATTTTGTCACAATTAATTGTGTTAACCACATCATGCATGGACTGAATACCCCTATGTAACACTTGTCACATTGGAATTTAACATCAAATATACTCAGTTTCCCCCTGGACTGGCAATACAATTATAGGAGATTCACATTTTTCATTTCTTTTTAAAAAAAGACAACTGCGAAACAATCGTACGTTGTAGCTTAAGGACCAAAGGCAAAGAAGCTTTGCCCTCTAATGGAAACTGCAATCGCATTGTAAACAACCCTAATGTAAATAATTGTTCCAACTGGAACTTGCTAGGGCAGGAATTAGGCACTGAGGGACACAGCTCAGGCTGTTTGGCATGAGGGTTACTGAGCATATATCCCTGAGCATACACCTTTGCCTTGTCCTGGTCTCTAAGGAACAGCATAGACCCCCCTCCACCTCCCACCTTGCCCCCTTGATTCATTCGTAATTTCTTATTTGGCAATAGGAAGAGGGAAATTTCAAACAAAATATTTTTCACCACCTGGAAAACAATCTACCTGAAAGCAGATTCCTAGTGCTCATTACTGCGAGGCTGGGCTCATCGCAGCCATTGTCATGCAAGCACAGTTGTAAGTAATAATGTGGCCTTTAATGACGGAATGATGGACCTGCCAAACACTTGCTCCTGCCATGGACTGCTTGCATTTCCCTGCTGGAGAGCACAGAGATGCCCATCTGGGAGTTATTAACATATCCTCGTCAATTCAGAACCGACTTTAACATAATCCATATTTGTTGGAGAAAGTCCAACATCAGCTTGAGAACAGCAGTCACGTGCCTCAATGACACATTTCAAACAGCACACACCGAGCATGCTTGGGCAGCTAAGCAATTCAGAAATGCAAATAGCTGAAGCACTCTCCTGACTAGATAAAAAGGACAAATCCCTTTTGGCAAGAGACTGGATAGCCTCTTAATGTTGCAGGAAAACAACCAAACTGGGAAAGGTACAAATTCCAGAAGCATCAGTTTGGGTTTGGTGAGTCACCAGGAAGGCATCTCTTTTTTGGTTTATTCCAATCATGTTGGTACAATCAATCTCGGGTCGAACTTTGGACTTCAGCTGTTGTCAGGCAGAGCTGTTTGTCTGGGATTCAGGAATACAGATGCTCTTAAACCAACAATGTTGCACGTTGTACGCTTGCTTGTTGACATATGTACAGTATAAGCACACATCTCTCCCTTTAAAACACAACAAAGAGCTATCAGTTCCAATTCAACATCATCTTAGTTCTCGTTCTGAATGGGTTACCTAATGTGAATAAATCTGTGGAAAAAGCTAGATTGGTTATGGTCCTTAATATGAGTCCTCATAAAATTAATTTGTATCAAAATATCATGTAAAGTCTGTGGAAGTTATCTCCAAATTAGGCACTGGTTTTTGTGAGTATAGAATATGTGCCTGGATACTTTTTGAATTATTTTAACGTGCTGAAAATACATTTCATCAACTAAATGCCTTTGGTTGATAGATACTATTGGTGTTATCTGTACCTTGTAGTGAAATAAATTAAGAAATAAGGGGTAAAAAGCACTTCCTTGAGGCCACCACCCATTTCTATTGAGGTGGATTTTGGTAAAATTGCAATAAAATCCTATTTCAGATTACGTAAACCAAAGCCAAATGCAAATTCTTCCTTCAAATATTTAAATAGATGCACAGGGCTAGATCACTAGATAATAGCATTGTACCACTATTAGATTTTCTTCATTTGATAATCATATTGTGGTTATGCAAGAGAATGTTTTTGTTCTTAAGAAATACATGTTGAAAGTATCTAGGAATAAGGGGTTATGATATCTGCAATGTTCTCAAATAGTTCAGCAAGATAAAAATAATGAAAATACATACACAAAGAGAAGACAAATGTGGCAAAATGTTTACAACTGATCAACATAGGCAAGGGCTGTATGTGTGTTCCTTGTGCCATTGTGGCAATTTTCTAGTAGGTTTGAAATTTTTCAAAATAAAAAATCAGAAATAAAATCAATTAGACTCACAGCTAATAATATGGACTTCTTAAAAATAAAATTCACTGTTTGGAAACTTTCTCTTATTCACTGTTCTTTGCTTAATGATAACATTTTCTTTATGTTCTTTACTTAATGATAACATTTTTAATAAGGTGGGGAATGACCTGGAAGAAGAGGAAGACAGGAAGTGAGAAATAGCTTACCAAGGGACAGGAAAATGAGGCAGAGAGACAAAAAAGGTGGGAAAAGTGAGATAGAATAGGAGAGAAGAAAATACCAAAGGGAGGACAAAGCGCACCTCAGTGCAGTTCTGAGCCAGAACATCTGGGGCAACCAGGGGTAATGCTCCAAGGCTGGGAAGAAGACGGGGCAGAGATCTTACCCACATGGTAGGGACCATGCAAAAATGTTCACTCTTCCTGCAAGCAGAAGTGGCTTGGGCAGCACAGCTTCTAATGGTAGCATGCAATTTCTTCTAGTAGAAAATATAATTCAGCCAAAAGGCAAGGTAGAGGCTAGATTGAGGGTTTCACCATAGGACTGAGCACAATGCTGTGGAGGGAAGCCACCCACACCCCTCCCAGGCATGGGAACTGATCCGACCCTATTAGGATAAGAAGAGTTGGGCTGGGGGAGGTTAGTGGGGATGGAGATGGGAGGTGAGTATCTTTAGCTGAATTCTACCTTTGTGGTGCTATAAAAGTTTTGACTGTAAATATAAACATTAAGAAATAGAAAATAATTTGCCTTTATTAGAATATGTGTATAATTTAAAACATTTTTTAAGTTTATTTTTGTAGAGACAAGGTCTCAAACTCCTGTAATTTTGTAGAGACAGGTCTCAAGTAATTTTCCTGTCTCAGGCTCCCAAAATGCTGGGATTACAGGTGTGAGCCTCTGCACTTGGTGAGGTATGTAGTTTTTTGTTTGTTTTTTGTTTGTTTGTTTGTTTGAGATGGAGTCTCACTCTGTCACCCAGGCTGGAGTGCAGTGGCGTGATCTCGGCTCACTGCAAGGTCCGCCTCCTGGGTTCACACCATTCTCCTGCCTCAGCCTCCCGAGTAGCTGGGACTACAGGCACCCGCCACCACACCCGGCTAATTTTTTTGTATTTTTAGTAGTGACGGGTTTCACCGTGTTAGCCAGGATGGTCCCGATCTCCTGACCTCGTGATCCACCCGTCTCAGCCTCCCAAAGTGCTGGGATTACACGCATGAGTCACTGTGCCCCGCCCAGGTATGTAGTTTTTAAATCATTCATGTGAGCTGCAGAAAATCATGGCAGTGACAGAGGTCACTGCAGTTGTTCAGCCTAGGTTATCAATTGAGAAAGGCCCAAAAAAATTGCCTGTAAGAGTGAGTAGACATCAGTCCAAGAAGAGATAGGGACATAGAAACCTGGGGGAAGAAAAGGGCAGGGACAGATGGGGAGCATGCTGGCAAGAGGTCAGACATGTGGGGGCCATCAGCCAGCTGTGGGCAACCCTTTCCATAGCATGGCCATGTTTAATTGGGTAGGTCACTGCAGCAAGCCACCCCAAAACAGAGTAGCTTGGAGGATCTCTTTCACCTCAGAATTCCAGGAGGAACCTCTCCTCTGTTGGCTCATCAGCCCCAGAGCCCAGAAATTTCTATGAACTGATCCCAATAAAGCCAAGTAGGCCAACACGTGCCCCCGGCCCCCACCTCGGTCTCAACATACAATACCTTCAGGCAGGCAGAAGTTTCAGGAAGCTGCTTGCCTTTGTCTTATTTGTCTTAGTCTTCCCACAGCTACTAAATAGTTTAGAGCAATACCGTTTGTTCCCAAGGAAAGAAAGAATCTAAAATAAAGGTTTAAAATTCACTGTCAAGGCCGAGTAACCAGTGTTAAACAGAAGACCCCAGGAGTTCTCAGACCCACAAGCAGAAGAGACGCTGGGTTTGGGTTCCTTCCCTGCCTTCGGCCCAGCTTCCTTTGTTCCTACTGTCAACCTCATGATGTGCTTGTGTGACATCTTCTGGTTTTCTGCCCCCTTCATTACTGCCCTTGAGATTCCCTCAAATCTGATTTTCCTTTATAGAAAAATATCAGGGGATGGTGGGGATGATTTGTTCTGGGCCCTGCAACTGCCCTGGAGATGTCTCTGGACAGAGGCTCAGGGGTCAGGCCCGGAGCTGTTTCCTCTGTGTTTTTCCCCCATGGCGTTCAGGACATTTGGCTTCTTTGCAAGGAGCATTCAGTAGGACGGAGACAGTGTGGGTTCCACGTGGGCTCTAAGGAAAATGCCACATAACTAATAGAAAAGCTTAGCGTGAAAACTGACCGTAGCACATGAAAAGTTGTATCCTGGGGAAATTGTGTTTGTTCTTTTAAGTATGGCAACTATTCAGCCTAGGGCAGCAAATGAGGTGCTTGCTCCTTCATGCAATGGAGAGGTTTGCTTGGTTCACACTGTGAGGCAAATGTATGTAGAATATTGCCAATTCAAGGTAAATTGCCACCTCATTAGGGTTATTTGGTATTTTTTTTTCAAACCTGAATTTCTCACAAACCCAGAGGAGGAAATACATTCACTTGCCTGGAGTGAGGAGGGATATCAGTGCCACCTCTCCTCTACTTGCCGAGGTTTCTGGGCTCAAGCACCACACCCTGCTTTGACTGGATTTCCCATCGTGGTCTATGGGAGGCTTAATCCTGTGAACATCTCCTAACACCTGTGCAGAGGGCACTCTCATTTATAGGTTGGCAGGGTTGAGAAAACCCTACATCTAGAAGAGCCACACGCAGCATACATCTTGGTTTCAGCCTATTTCTCTCATGACTCCTCACCTGGAGTCTTGAGAGAGTGAGAACTGGGAGGAAGGTGGATAGTTAGAAAACATCTAGAGCATGGAGTTCTGCTTGATAGATCAGAGTAATCCAGACAATGTGGACGTTCTGACAGGGAGTGGAAAATGGGCACTGAAGGCTTTCTGTGAGGATGTATCCATTGCTCATTTCCAGCCCTGCAGAGCCACAGCCTGGCAATTTCTGGGGCCAGCCTCAGATCCTGCTCTCAGCAGGATGCAGACACTGTATATTGACCCACATGTCAGCCATGTTTTGGAACAACCTAGGGTGTCTCAACTGTTTTGAGGTGGTATTGTCTGGAAAAAGTCAGATATAGGCCATTTAATAGGGCAAGTTACTTTCATGTTCAAGATACGTTGTTTTAGTGCTTTGTGTGCACTCCAGCTATAACAATAGGGTGCCATAAGGTCAAAGAAGTAAGACATAGATTTCTAAGGTATGGCTCCACTCCTGCAGCTTCAAGCCTATGGGAGTAACCGTTTCTCTTCTTGCAATAACTGGATTTCTCACTGGAATGAAGAGTTGTGATTCACAACTTCTGTAGCTGTGGTCTCTTCCTTTAGGGCTAAGGTCACACCAAATGACAGGAAGATGCCGCTTCCCCTGTTGTAGTCACTGAATCTGCTGCTTCTCTCTCTCCTCTCTGGAGGAACAGATGGCAACCCCTTCTCCCTGTTTTTGCCTTCATGTGTGATAGAGATAGTCAGTCCCCCCTGTATCTGTCTAAATAGGCCAGAGCACTGGCTGTCACACTTAGCCCAATTTAGAATCTCTCTTGGTTTAAGAAGGAAGGACTTGTTAAACCACTGATTGCTGGGTGCTGCTCATGTTTCTAATTCAGTAAGTTCAGGTTGAGGCTGAGCATTTGCATTCTAACCAATTCCCTAGTGATGCTGATGCTAATGGTTTCGGAATTGCACTTTGAGAATCACTGAGTTCGGTTATGCTGCAGTAACAAATGTCCCCAAATCTCAGTGGCTTCCGATCACAGAGCTCTATTTTCCACTGGTGTCTCATATCTGTGATAGGTTAGTGGCAGCTGTGCTTCACGTCATCATATCCAGGACCCGAGTGGCCGAACAGCCTCTGACATGTTGCCAATCTCAGGGCATGGGAGAAAGAGGACATGGTAAACCATCACTCAGCTCTTAAAGCTTTGCCTTATATCTCATTGTCTAAAGCAAATCACAGGGCCGAATATGACGTTAGTGGCAAATGAGGGGCCAAACATTTTTGTGAGAATTGTACAGTCTACGGCATCCTCCCTCATATCATTTGTCCCATTCTACCATTGTAAATGAGCTCAGGTTTTGACTGAACAAATGGCTTCCCAGAACAAAGATTGTTTTTTTTCAGACTCTCCTGCAGCTAGGTATGGCTGTGTGAGTTCTGGCCAATGGGTTGTAAATAGAAGGTTGTATAGTTGTTCCAGAAACCTTCCTGAGAGGACAGCACACATGTGCCCTTTTTCTCTTCCCCTCTTCCTCTCTTTAATTGCTTTTTTCATCCTATTCCTTAGCATGCAGATGCTAGCATTTTGAAGCATGAGGTGGTCAAAACTACATGTCTCAGCCTCACAGAAAAGAAACAAGGTGTGTGGAACACCATATCACCATATCAGCCCCAGACCACCTACCTGCATTTCTACATGAGAGAGAAATAAAATTCAATCTCGTCTAAACCACTGTTATCTTGGGTTCTTTGTCACTCACATCTGAAGGTAATTCTAAGTAATGCACCTGCAGAAAGGTTTTCTTTTGAAATTTGCTCACTTCTGTCTGCAGTGTCTTGTGTTCCACTCATCCATCGAGTGTTTTCTGAGCTTCTGAGCTTATTTCTTCCCTTCTTTATTAACAATGCAGTGATAATGTCTACAGAAGGAAGTTAAATACAGCTTTGTTCTTGCTAGGAATATAAACTAAGATTGTAGATGCATGGAGTCTGACAGTGGGAAATATGACAAAGAAAAGGAAAAGCTTGTCTGTTTAGAACTTTCCTAAGGAGCTTCCAAAACTGTCTTCATCTCATCGCAAGAAAGCGGACAATGCTATTCTTTATTGCTAACCCTCCCTTGCAATGTGGAAGTCTTTCTGATGTCAGGGCTTAAAGTGACTTGCATGCCACATGACATGTCGTCTGACCACAGGATAAACAACCACGGCATGCATGTTGAAAGATGGCTGTTAGAGGCCTGTGGTCAGCGTGTCTCTCTCCTCTGTCTTTACTATTAACTCCTCACCTCCATCTCTGTTTCTCTTTGCCAGTCTTTTCGCACTGTGCCTGCTTTTACCTTTTTCACAGTTAAATGTCTGTATGTCTGTATCTCTCCACAGATAGAGGGAGCAGCTGGAGAAGAGGAAAGGGAAGAGTGTTAACAAAACTCAAAAGGCTGAAAAGGGGGAGTGGACTCAAGTGGGAGAAGACCAGCCCCAGGGCTGCAGACTCTTGTTTTGTTTTTGAGACGGAGTCTCGCTCTGTTGCCCAGGCTGGAGTGCAGTGGCGCTATCTCGGCTCACTGTAAGCTCTGCCTCCCGGGTTTACGCCATTCTCCTGCCTCAGCCTCCCGTAGTTGGGACTACAGGCGCCTGCCACCATGCCCAGCTAATTTTTTGTATTTTTAGTAGAGACGGGGTTCCACCATGTTAGCCAGGATGGTCTCGATCTCCTGTCCTCGTGATCCACCCACCTCGGCCTCCCAAAGTGCTGGGATTACAGGCGTGAGCCACCGTGCCCGGCCCAGCAGGCTCTTCTTAGGTAGATCAGGGCCATGCATGTTCAAGGCCTCTCTAGGTCACAATACACAGCTTAACAGGGTAATTCACTGTGTCCCATCAATGCACTGGAATAAGTTATCACTTCAGCCACACAAATGCAGTTTGTAAACTACAAATATCTATGTTTACTTTCAAGAGTGTTTCTTTTCTGATGGAGAGCCATTTGTTGGGGGATCTTTCATATTCATAATCTATTGTACTAGACATCATCAGTCATCTAAAGAAACAGAATGTCCCTGGATGACAATGGCTGTATTTCTTAAAAATAAACTAACAGTATCCCAGAACTTAAAGTATATATATATATATATATATATATATACAACAACAACAACAAAACTCATTTTCATAGTCAAATAGGTTTGAGAGCCACTGCATCCAATGTGCTCCAAAAAATTCACAATGTTTGTTGGCATACTAAAGTCTCTGAGAATTTTTCGAGTAAAGTAGCCTATTTATTCCTTTATATACAAACTTACTGAAGCATAGAATTATTTTTTAGTACAATATCTACTAACATCTTCTGGAACTTCTCCTTGGAACACAGCTTGGGAAACAGTCTTAAAAGAATAAAAACTATTACATACTACGTGCCACATTATTATTTTTAACTATTTTTAAATTTTAAATATTTAATTGACAAGTAAAAATCGTATATGTTCAAAGAGTACAATGTGATGATTTGATATATGTGTAATAATTGCCACAATCAAATTGGTTAACACCTCCACCACTACTCATGCTGTCCATTAGCTCCATAGAACTTGGTCATGTTATAACTGAAAGTTTGTACACTTTGATCAGTGTCTCCCCATTTCCCCCACCCTGCAGCCCCTGGCAGCCACCATTTTACTCTGTTTCTATGATTTTGGCTTTTCTAGATTCCACATGTAAGATCATGTAATCATGTCTTTCTGCATTGGCTTATTTGACTTAGCATTACCACATTAGTTTTTGTAAGAGAAGTTACAGCAAACCAAAATTTTGTGAATATTCATAACCTATTGACATTTCAGTGGGACCACATAAGAATTAAAATATAGTTTAGACATTCCAGTGGTACAAAACTCACAATTTTTGATTTGTGCCAGCTGCCAGAATCCCAGGGCAGTACTGCAAGAGTATTTACTTTAGAAGTAAGCTAAATAAACTGATATAGAGAATTAACATGATTAGAGATTGATAATAAGGGAATAAAGAATCTAGATATGGACGAGACCATGACAAGGAGGGGTGATTTAGACCAATGTATGAAAAAAACAAAACCAGGATAAGTTTGGAAGGATACAATTCACCTTAAGATGACATTAACTTAAGACTTTTAGCCCTGCATCTCTCTCTGCCCAGAGGCTTTGGGAACTAGGTAGAGCTTGGGCTTTAGCATCCATTCATCCTCATCAATCCTTGCTTTTATTACTATTACACCATTTCCTATAGTGCATTGTAGTAATGACTTTTTGGTAGTTTACCTTATTATTCTGTGAGATCCCTAAGGGCAAGTGTTGTAACTTACAGATCTCACTATTTCCAATCTAGGCATTCAATAGTAATTTAACAAGTACTCGAGGTCACTCTGCGTGGGGGTTCTCTCGGATGGTGATTTGAAAAACATTGCACCCAATCCAGGGTTTTAAGCCCCTGATCTACATGTTAGAACCACCTGGGGAGGTTTGAAAACATACCTGTATAAAATCAGAGCCCCACATCTGAGATTCTAATTTACTTTTTTCAGGTGGGCCTGGGATCTCAATATTTAAAAAATATCATCACTGGTGATTCTACCATACAGCCAGGGTTGAGGTTGAGAACACCTGTGCTAACAGTCTGTATGTTGTTTAAATATGTCTATTTAAGGATATTAATATACAGCTGAAATGAATGCCTTTTGAAATAGATTATATAAATAAGGATTCCAAAGACTTAATTTTTATTTAAGTTAATCAAAAGTTAGAAAAGATAAATATAATCCAGGTATATAGTGGTCAAGTGGCCATTCCTCTTGCATTAGTTTGACTTAAAAACTTATGAGACAAGTGTCAATTGGGGAGCCCCACCAAACATCAGCATGCCTCCATCAGGAAAGAGAAAGCAGTTGATTGGCAGTGACGTTTGCAATGTGCCTATTATTTGGTGCATGCAGTTCTTGGATTATTTTCTGAAGTCCAAGGCATGTTAACTTCTGTGAGCTTTTTAGGCATGCATTTACATGTTGAACAATGAAAAAAAGTACTTATGTTTTTAATGAAAAGAAGCAAGCAAATTAATCCCATTGATATAGTTTGGATCTGTGTCCCCACCCAAATCTCATACAGAATTGTAATCCCCAGTGTTGGATGTGGGGTCTGATGGGAGGTGACTGGATCATGGGGGTGGCTTTCTCATGAATGGCTTAGCACTATCCTCTTGGTGCTGTTCTTGTGATAGTGAGTGAATTCTTGTGAGATCTGGTTGTTTAAAAGTGTGTGGCACCTCCACCTTTGAGGTCTCTCTTGCTCTTACTCTGGCCATGTGAGGAGTCTGCTCCCCCTTCACCTCTGGCACCCCCTTTGCCTTCTGCCATGGTTGTAAATTTCCTGAGGTCTCCCCAGGAGCTGAGCAGATGCCAGCATCATGCTTCCTATACACCCTGCAGTATCATGAGCCAATTAAACCTCTTTTCTTTATAAATTACCCAGTCTCAGGTATTTCTTTATAGCAATGTGAGAACAGACAAATACACCCATCAAGACCCCAATCTTTGCATAAATCTGTAGACCAAAGTTCTAAAAATGGCATTTTTTATTTTGTAGTCTTCCAAAAATTTCAGTCCAAACAGACTAAAGTAAAACATGAAGTGAATCATCAGGATAAAAGGGCAAAATTGTTAAGGAGAAACAGATTTTGTTTTAAAGCCAATAAGAAATAGCCTACTCTTAAAAAAATTAAGACTCATGGTAGGCAGCAAGTAATATGTGTGAGGTGGACAATATTACTCATCAAATTGAGCCATTCTGGGTACCTAATGACAGTGAAAACTATCAGTGTATAACAGCTAAAGAACAAGTCCTTTATTGAGATTTGTCAGGAAAGAAAATGATGTGATTACAAAAATATGGAAATGAATTTTTCCCATTGTGAGTTTCTTGTGAGTTTCCTTAAAAATGTGGGTATTAAATGAGATACGAGCCTATCTTCAACAAGATGACAATTTGGCTCAAATCTGAAAGATTAAACACATGCTCTTTTTTTATAATATGTAGGAAACTAGCTCCTGAATTGAGTCTGGTAACTGCTATTCTTTGGAATCATGAATGGAATCATTTCCAAACTTTAAAATCAAGCACCTTTTCTCAAAGACCTGATTAAACCTTGGATTTTACATTGGTCATTTTGTTAAAAGCCCACATGGCCATCTCCTGAAGTTCTTTGTCTTTTTTCCCCCAAACTGGCCAGCAAATATCTCTTTTATTTTATTTTTCTTTTCAAATTTTATATATTTATGGGGTACACAATGTGATTTTTGATATGCGTAGACATTTTAGAATGATTAAATCAAGCTAATTAACATACTTATCACCTCACCTTCTTACCATTTTTTTGTGTTGTGGATATTTAAAATCTACTTTTAGCAACTTTTAAGTATACAAGGCATTATTATTAACTATAGTCACCATGCTACACAACAGATCTCCAAAACTTATTTCTTTTGTCCAACTGAAACTTTGTACCCTTTGACCAGCATCTGTCCAACCATACTCACTCCAGACCCCAGTAGACACCATTCTACTCTCTACTACTAAGTGGTTGACATTTTTGGATTCCACATGTAAATGTGATCATGCAGTATTTTTCTTTCTGTGCCTGGCTGATTTCACTTAGCATAATGCCTTCCAGGTTCATACATGTTCTTGCAAAAAAAAGGAATTCTTTATTCTCTACAAAATTATTTTTAGGGATGGGATCTTGCTCTGTCATCCAGGCTGGTGTGCAGTGGTGCCATCGTAGCTCACTGCAGACTCCAATGCCTGGTCTCAAGCAATCCTTTCACCTCAGCCTCCCAAATAGCTGGGGTCACAGGTGGGAACACCTCACCCAGCAAGATTTCCTTCTTTATAAAGGCTGAAAAGTATTCCATCATGCATATATACCACAGTTTCCTTATCCAGTCATTCACTTTTGAACAGTTAGGTTGCTTCCATATCTGGACTACTATAAACAATGCTAAAATGAACATTTCAAATGAAATGAATGCAGATGTATCTTCAACATACTGATTTCATTTCCTTTGGATATATATTCAGAAACGAAATTTTTGGATCATATGGTAGTTATTTTTAATTTGGGGGGGGAACCTCCTATATTAGTCCATTTTCATAGTGCTGTGAAGAAATACCCAAGACTAGGTAATTCATAAAGAAAAAGAAGTTTAATGCACTCACAGTTTCACATGGCTAGGGAGGCCTCACAATCATGGTGGAAGGCAAAGGAGGAGTAAAGGCACATCTTACTTGGTGGCTGGCAAGAGAGTGTGTGCAGGAGAACTGCCCTTGATAAAACCAACAGATCTCGTGAGACTTATTCACTGTCATGAGAACCACATGGGAAAAACCTGCCCCCATGATTCAATTACCTCCCAACAGATCCCTCTCATGACATGTGGGGATTATGGGAGCTATAATTCAAGATGAGATTTGGATGGGGACATAGCCAAACCATATCACTCCATACTGTTTTCCATAATGGCTATACTAATGTACATTCCCAGAAACAATATATGAGGGTTCCCTCTTCTCCACATCCTTGCCAGCACTTACATTTCATCTTTTTGATAGAAGCCATTCTAACAGGTGTGAGGTGATATCTCATTGCTGTAATTTGCATTTCCCTGATGATTAGTAATGTTGAACATTTTTAATTTACCTATTGATCATTGTTATGTCTTCTTTTGAGAAAAGTCTATTCAGATCCTTTGTCCATTTTTAAAATTGGGCTATTTGTTTTCTTGTTATTGAGTTGTTCAAGTTCCATATATATTTTTGATATTAGTCCCTTATCAGATGTATGGTTTGCAAATATTTTCTCCCATTCCATAGGATGTCTCCTCACTCTGTTGATTGTTTCTTTGGCAGTGCAGAAGCTTTTTAGTTTGATGCAATCCTATTTGTCTATTTTTGCTTTTGGTGCCTATGCTTTTGTGGTCACAACCGACAAATTATTGCCCAGACCAATGTCATGGAGACTTTCCCTATGTTTTCTTCTAGTAGTTTTACAGTTTCAGGTCTTAACTTTAAGTCTTTAATCCATTTTAAGTTTGTGTTTCTTATGGGGTGAGATAAGGGTCCTATTTTATTCTTTTGCATGTGGTATCCAATTTTTCCAGCACCATTTATTGAAGGTGTTATCCTTTCCTCATAATTTGTTCTTGTCACCTTTGTCAAAGTTGCTTGTAGTTGACTGTTGTTGTGTAGATTTATTTCTAGATTCTCTATTCTGTTCCACTGGTCTCTATGTCTGTTTTTTGCCAGTATCATCCTGTTTTGATTATTATAGTTTTGTAGCAAATTTTGAGATGTCTCCAGCTTTGTTCTTTTTGCTGAAAGATTCCTTTGGCTATTTGAGATCTTTTGTGGTTCCATAAGACTTTTAGTATCATTTTCTCTATTTCTACAAAAAAATGGTCATTTGAATTTTAATAGGGATTGCACTGACTTTATGGATTGCTTTGGGTAGTATGGACATTTTAACAATATTAATTCTTCCAATCAATAAACATGGAAAATCTATTTATTTGTGTCTTCCTCAGTTTCTTGTATCAGTGTATTATAGTTTTCAGTGTATAGATCTTTCACCTTCTTGGTTAAATTTGTTCTTAAGTATTTTATTTTATTTTATTTTATTGCTATTGTAAATGGGATTCCTGGGTTTCTATTGTACTGTATTCTCTGGAATATTCCTGGGACTTCCAAGATAATGAAACATTGTGGAAATTCCATACTTGGGCAAGTAGGACTTGGCTAAATACTTTAATGTACAGCACCTGAGCTTGTCACTGCCAAGATACCAAATCCCCTTTTTACTCTAAACTCAGTACTAGCTGATGCTTACTGTTTTCAGATATCCAGTCATAAACAATTAAAAAGATATTCCTTTTTCTCTTCATAGAAATCTCCTCACCCCCTGTGCCAAGATAAAGATACTTCCTGTTGTGACTTTCAATGTTCAAACCACTAGAATTGATGATTTCTGGTAACCTCAAAGAAAAGACCGCAGTGTGTGTACATGTGGCTACAGCCATCACCAGAGGTTTCAACCTAGGCCCATGAGCCTCAAAGGGCAAGTGTAAACAAGAGTTCCTCATTAAATCTGAGTTTGGCATTAGTAAGATTGTCCAAAGATTATATTTAAGTAACTAAAGTGTTACTATATTCCTTCTTGCAGCCCAGCCATGACCCTAATTAATGTGTCTAGGGTGGACATGTATTTCTTCAAGTAATGGGTGGTTTTGTTTGGACAATTAGACCAAGCTGACAAGGAAATTTTCCATCAAACCAAGTCATAAAAAGTACATTATTCAGCATTATTATGAGTTAAGCAGTATTTATTACCTGAACTTTACAATACTCTATTATCAATCATTACCTGCCATTAAGGTATGTTAACATGAGATCAAAGAGAGAAACCAAGCTAAACAAACAGTCATGTCTACAAGTTGCTTTAGTGCTGTTCCTTTAAAGAGAGGCAAATGTCATTGAACTGAAGGATGGACAATTTGCATTTAACCAGAAGATGCTAATCAGTTGTACTGTGACAAGGCAGTGATTATATAAATTCCGTGCTTGTTATTCAATTGACAAGACAAAGCTGGTTTCCAGGGAATTTCTAAAAAAGGCAAAAAAAAAAAAAAAAAAAGCCCAGAGTAAAATGTGAGATACAAAAGTCCAGTTTTGATGGGCACTAGTAAAGATTCATTGCTGTATCAATTCTTAGCAACAATACTGCCTCGGAAGTCACTAAAAATGATATCAGCCGAATAGATCTAAAGAGGAGACCAAATGTTTTTAGCAAAGTTGTAAAACCTTGGAAACCACCTCCTGAACAAACACTCTAAAAGCTCAGAAGTCTAAGACAAGCTAACAACGCCCTGGCTTTAAAATATATTCTTGTCACCACCTCTTCCCTCTTACTCTGGAGCCAAGCACACAAACAAGGGTTCTGAAAGGTTTCCCTTTAAAAAGCACATTCCTCCTCCTTCATTCCAGAAGCACATAATCCCATCCTTTCTGAAATCAAGCTCTTCCATTCATGCCCATTGGCTTCCTTCCCTGTATGTTAAAGCTGATGCTTGAGAAGAGATAGCTAGTGTTCAATTTGAGCTCAAAGGCATCTGCAAGTAATTGAGGAGATATTGAATACTTTTGTTTATACAAAATACAGGAAGGTGTCCTTCTGAGGATCAAATATTCTTCTAAAACTGTAACTACATTCTCTGACTGATCTAAAATGGACAGTGCACATCCACAGCAGAGAAAAAGGGTAAAGATTCTTAGTTTGTTACTTTTAACATTAGGCAATCCTGCCTGCTAATGTAGCATAATTGTCCACTAGCTGGACAATTGTTTTTCAAGTTATGTTACTTATAGGGATTCTCAAGGGTGACTAAAGAAGCCACTTAGTACAAATTATCAATCAATCAACAAAGTATATTGAGTGTCTCAGTGCAGTGGGGGGGGGGGGTCACAATAGGATAAAACTTGGCCTCTGTCTCCATGAGATGCAAGGTGACATACACAGAAAGACGGCCAACACCATTGACCAGGCAGGGGGAATAGCAGTGAGGACAGGGGGAGGAGTGAGCACCGCTATGTTGGAAGGCGAGCCACTGAGTGCATATTCATTCAGTGCGAGCGGTGCAGAACTCTGAGTTACCCCCTAGGCAGACAGGACCAAGCTGGAATGGGTAGACTTCAGACAAGCAAACAGGAGCAAGGCTTGGCCCTTCTCAGTGGTCAATGACTTAAGCAAAATGCCTGTGTCAATATATAGATGACTCTTCCTTTTCTATCCAGACAGCTGAGTTTCAGGAGTACACATGGCATAATTAGATCAATCTGAAAGGTGTAGAGAGTTTCGTGTGGCCCTGAGGAGAGATCTGTAAGTTTGAAATATATGTTTGGAACCAAATGATGAAGAGGCCTGAAAGCCAGGCTTAGAAGGAAATTGATCCAATTAAGAGGTGCTTCTCCTCTGGGGATTTCTAAAGAGGGGCATGGCAGAACAAAAGTGGTATTTGGGGCAGATTCTTTTGGTCAAGAGGTATCTGGGAGGCTGGGGTGTGGAAAAGTTGGAAGCCAGGAGGTTAGACCAGAAGTTACCATGGTAGCCATTTCTGCAGGGATGTGAGGCAGGGGCTGTAGGCTGTTGTGAATAGGAGTGTGCTGGAAAACTAGAAGGAATAGAGGGACAAGGGAGAGAATTCCAAAGCTTGGAGCCATCGCTGTGGGTGACAAATGTGGATGCTGGAGTGCAATAGTAGTGATAACTGTTGTCCTCCAGTTTTCATTCTCCCTCTCTTCCTTTAGTAACCAAACCCTGGATTTTAGAGGCAGCATTGCAGAATGGTCAAGATCACAAATTTCGGATTCAGCCTGTGAGGGTCTGAATTTCACCACCATCAATTACTATCTGATGACCTTGCTGAGGTATTCTACCTCTCTGTGCCTCAGTTACCCTACCTGAAAAGTGGGAATAACAATTGTGCTTACCTTATAGAATTGTTGTAAGTCAGTTTGTATAAAGCTCTTAGAATAGTGCTTGGTTTCCAGGGAGCGCTATGTACATGTCAGCTATGTTATGAGCTGAACACACAGCTGTAGCATTTCTAGCTCTGTGTAGCATTTGTCCAAGTATTAACCAATGGGATGTGAGAGGAAGCAGTGTGTACAACTTTCAGATTGCACCCTTAGAGGGCGCCTCTTCTTCCTGCTGGTGGGACCATGGACACACTGAGACCATGAGATATAGTGTGTAAAGGAGCTTAAATGACTGATACTGTGAGGCACCACACCAGCCCTGGGCTGCTTATGTTTCTATTACTACCTGAGAAAAATAAAACTCTATCTGATTTGAGTCACTATTGTTTTGGGGTCTCGGTTATAGCAGCTGACCTGTATTTAAATTAATACACATGGACACAGATGAAGCCTAGTGGAGGCTTCTAAGATACAAGATGGGGGCTTGTGTTTGGACATGTCTCAGCTACTAGAGGTGAAAGAAGAGTCTCCACCCAGCCACTGCTCAAAAGATTTGGGGCTCCTGTCTGCTGATTGTCTGCATTGGGACTTTTAGCTCATTCCACCTGGCTCACATGGCCTACACAGAGGGTGGGCTGCCCTATGCCTCTGAATCCAGGACCTAAGGCTGCAGATGACGTTTGTGTGCCTTGTCTCCCCTCCCAGTTTGTCCTGCATGCTCATTTTAACTTGATTTCTACCCACATAAAAATGCTAGAGTTAGAGGAAGTTATTGTGATTCACCCAAGTTGGTATCTATTCCTAGGAATGACCATGCCTAAATTGCTAGTGATGCCTTCACAAAAAGAGGAGCCGAGAGGAGGTACTGAGTGTGAGGTGGTGATGGGACATACAAGGAAATGTCCAGCCATTGGTTAAAATACATAGACCTGAGCATAGAAAACAAGACAGAGCCATGTGATACACATAAAGTTTGATATTGGCTTCCAATCTGTAGCCATCATCCAAAACCCTGTGTAAGAGACTTAGAGCTTTACTTTAAAAAAAGCAATCTTGGCCTGGCGTGGTGGCTTGCACCTGTAATCCCAGCACTTTGGGAGGCTGAAAGGGGCGGATTACTTGAGGTCAGGAGTTTGAAACCAGCCTGGCAAAGATGGCGAACCCCATCTCCATTAAAAATACAAAAAATTAGCTGGATGTTGTGGTGCATGCCTGTAGTCCCAGCTACTAGGGAGGCTGAGGCAGGAGAATCGCTTGAACCTGGGGGTGGAGGCTGTAGTGAGCCAAGATTGTGCCACTGAACTCCAGCCTGGGGACAGAGTGAGAATGACTAAAAAAAAAAAAAAGCAATCTCATTCCTTCTAGTCACACATTCAGGATGCCCTGCTGTCCCCCATTTATCTATGGTTAGGTTTCATTTCTTGAAATTGTGTTAAGTAGATTCTCTATCCAGTCCTTCCTCCTTATCACTGCCATCAAAACTCTGACGAATTACTTGATCCTGCCTCTGCTTGCTCTAAAATCTTCACTGACTCTACAAAGCTTTCTGGGAAAAGTGGAAATAATTTAGGTTAAAGCTGAAAACTTACAGTCTTCTATGATCTAATATCAACATTTCTGACTAACTTTAGCTCAGAATTCTTTTTAAAATAAAATCTATATTTTATTCAAAACAAGCTCCTAACTCTTCCCTTTTTCCTGCTTCTTTGCCAATCTTTATACCATGGCTTCTTCCTGGAATGACTCTCCCCTTGCCCCTCCTTCTCCATCACTTAAATAGAAGCTACTCTTCAAAAAACATGAAATATTTTTCTTCATGAAAACGCTTGCGGGACTGGGCGCAGTGGCTCACGCCTGTAAACCCAGCACTTTGGGAGGCCGAGGCGGGTGGATCACCTGAGGTCGGGAGTTCGAGACCAGCCTGACCAACATGGTGAAACCCCATCTCTACTAAAATACAAAAAATTATCTGGGCGTGGTGGCGCGTGCCTGTAGTCCCAGCTACTCGGGAGGCTGAGGCGGGAGAATTGCTTGAACCCAGGAGGCAGAGGTTGCAGTGAGCTGACATCACAGCACTGTACTCCAGCCTGGTGACAGAGCAAGACTCCGTCAAAAAAAAAAAAAAAAAAAGAAAAAAAAAGTGCTTGCGTCACATTCAGCTGACTTGTCTGATTTCCATCATTGTTTTAGTTGTCTCTTCTCTATATATCACCTGCTGCCTCAAATTACATATTTGTTCATGTCCTACACCTTCTACATTCTTGTTGGAGATCAAGGATATTTTTCAGTTTCTTCATACGGCCTGAACCAGTGTCTTAAACATTTATTGAAATGGTGAGCTTGTGTTTAGCATATAACACTCCTGGACAAATTGAAGTCCTTTTAGATTTTATGTAAGACTCTGAGAGAATGAAGCTTTTTTTAGTTCTTCATGGGACTGTTAAACTGGATGATGTAATTCTAAAGCTGTCTACATGAAAGAAGGAAGCCCTTGGGCTGAAGGAGAAAAGCAAGAGCAAGTAAAAGACAGAAAAAGCCAACAACATCATTTGGATTGTTGTAGCCTACAAAGACAGTTCCAGCCTTAGGCTTCCCCTGATCTACACCCCAGCAAGTTTCCTTTGTTGCTCTTGTTTATTTGAGGTGGATTTCTATTCTTGTGAATAAAAGAGTCCTCACCATTTACACATGCTGAGAGGCTTCTAGTATTCTGAAGCATATAAGATTAAGTTACCCTAAACACATTCCAGCTGTGTCCCTGAACATCTGTGAGGCACAACATATGTTCTTCTAAAGCCTCTCACTATTCTTGTTTCATTTAAGATGAGGGTATTTGATAACACATCAGATTGTTTGCAAAAGGGCTTATTATCTGTTCTATCAATTATTGTTAAGGAACTTAAATTTCATAAAAAGAATCCACAGACTGATGAGGGTATTACACTACCAAGAACTGCACCCTTTTCTCAACCCTACAATTTGGGGAATTTCTGAGCCTGTTGGTCAATCCAAATGTCACATTTCTAATGACCCAATAAAATACCCTAGTCTAGCTCCATGTGCCTCAGAAACTAGGGGGCAGCTTCTAATAGACGGGCTGTCTGCTCTTACTAAAAGGAAATACTCATCCCCAGAAAGCCTGCATGTCATCGTGGATAAACCAACTTTTGCTCATGCTGCCAAGAATTTCATCGGTGCTCTGCGTACAAATTCAGCAGTCCAAATGCAAATTCAAAAGCAGAACAGTCATGCACTCTTCACACCTATTAAAGTGAAGTCAAGGAAGAGTTCCCACAACCTGGCACTACGACAGTAAAATCTAGGAGTTGTATCATCTTCAGAAGTTCAAGAAAAAATGCCTCTGGCTAAATTGAAAGTAGAAATGGCTATATATGCAACCATAAGTCAACTCTAAAATGAATAAAGACACTTTTTAAGACAACATTATTTCAGAAGTACTTTTTATTGCCCAAGATTGAAACAGAGACGAATTAGTCAAGTTTGTATCAGTAATACAGCTGATAGTTCTTGAAGTTTTGTTGTGAAATGCTACCTTCACAGGAAGCTCCAATTTGTCAGTGCAAGGGACAGTGAAAAGTCTCTTGGGAAAAAATCGGTTCACACCTCCAGGAATCCTGGCCTAAAAGATTCACACCATTGGAAAAATCTGCAATTGGAAAACTGTCACATGATTTCCCTGGGCATTTGCTTAGGAAGATGAAAGAGGTATCAGTGTATTTCCATCTGGTTCCATTCATTGCACAAAATCATTTGAAAGTTTTAAAAGGAAACAATAAAGAGCCTGAAAATCTAATCAAACTAGGTATCCAGTAGCCAATAGGTGACAGCAATTGGGCAGATTTTGCAACTTACTAAGATGAGACTCTGAGATGGCTCCTGACCAAGGCATGGGGATACCATTCATTGTCAAAGCCTGTAATTCTTTCAGCCTTTCATGGTCTTGTTGGTGGAATTTCTTTTTGTTTTTTTGCAAAATGTGGCTCTTTCAAATTTATTAACAGTTGATTATTGATGCCACTCTTCGAATCTTTTCCTAATACTTCATAGACAACATACTTTCTGAGATCCCAAGGGTGCTATTATGTTTTGAAGTGTTCCATATCCAAACTTCAACCAAGGAAAAACTTGATGACAGATTTCAAGAACTCTTGAATCATTTCAATGCATCAAATATCAAAGAAAAATAAAGAAATGTAAGGTCAAACATTCTAGGGTCACAGTACCATATCCAATAACTATCTGGGTGACTGTAAGCACACTACTTAACCTCTCTGAGCTTTAGCTTCCTCATCTGTAAAATAGGAATCCTACTTTACTCACAGAACCATTACAAGGATTGAATAAGACACAATATATGTGAAAGCAAATAGCACAGTGCCCAGCAGTAAAGTTTTAGTAAATAGGGTTGCCATGTGTCTGGTTTTAAACCAGACAGTCCGGTATTTGAGTTTTCTTTCTGAGAAACAGATAGAGAAAAGACCAGACATATAAATGTAAATGTGAGTAAGTGTTATCGTTACTGTCATGGAATGTCTTGTGCATGAGTATTAGAGCTTTCTCTCACTAGGACAATTTGTCCCAAGGAATGAGAGGGAACACGCGTCACTGAAACTTGCTTCTGGTACCATGAGGCAGAAGAAAGCTCAGCATGCACTTTGCTGGGTACTAGGTTCCACCATTGCTGTTGGCCAGGTGCATGGGATGGGCACTGCAGTGGTGCTCAGTGTACCATTCGTGACAGTGTGGTCCTTGCCCAGCTCTCATTTTCCTCTATCTCCTTGTTCTTCTTTTTGGTAGGGGATATTTGGCCGTTTTATACTGAAGGGCAGACTACTTAAGAATGAAGAATATTGAATTTTTCATTAAATTTCCAAATTGTTTAAGACAAAAACCATTTTTTTCCAGTAAGAAATTACATTTTAACCAAAATTACACTTGCCAGTTCTTGTCATTAAATCGTCAGTGTTCTGGGCAGGTCAGCACAGTATCTCCTCTGCCCGACTTTTCTTAAGTTTGAATTTATTCTGCCTGAAGGTCCCCGTTCAGGAAAGCCCAAATGGCCTATTGTTACCTGGAGTGGCACCCCTCCAGGAGCTCAAAGTGTGGTCATAACCTCAAAACCCACTAGAGACTGAAGTCCAATTTACTTTGCTTATCTGAGTGATACTTGCTCAATTAGTATTCTATTTCACTTCCACCAAAGAGAGACAAGAATCATTTAGCCTATTCATTGCCAATTGGAAACATTGTCCCACACTGTTGGATTCAACAGCCTAAATTTGCTTTCTAGAATGTCAAACGTGTTTCTTTCTAATCTAATTGTAGCAGACTTCAGTTTCTCTCCAAAGGCATTTCACCTAAGAGTGTTGGGTCCTTGATTATCCTCAAGATTTCAGACACACCAAACGGTCCCTCCTCGCGAAGAATAGCCTATAGATCACACCATGCCCCACTTGAAAATTTTTAAACACTTCTCAGGAATAAAGATTTTCAAAGAATGTGGGGTTATCCCTTTACGGTTTGTTCTGAAAGCAATCTGGGGAGAAAATCTCCTTTCTCAGGAAAAGCCAGTTCCTTGAGTTGTTGCCTACAAATGTAGCCATAACATCTCTGACCAGCTGTCTAAGCTCAAGCTTAGAAAAGTTGAATGTGGTTCCCAGATTCTGTGGCACCCCTGTCCACTGGAAGTTTTGAATGTCCCAGGATTTGACTGACTCACTTCTTTAGAGTAATTAGGTTGAGCAGTTAATTGCACAGATGGCTTGTTGCTTCATTCCTTTAACTTGGATGAAGGGGATTCCCAAAAGGGCAAGCATCTGAATCATTCAATGGTTATACAAACTATCCTAATTCAGTTATCTTTTCAAAAAGGAAATTTTATGAAGCATTTGTTATTTTAGAATCTGACATCATGCTGTCCTTGGTTCCCCCACAGAAGTAAAGGAAGAATAGGGTGGAGACTAAAGAAAGCTAGAAGCTACATTTGGTGGCCTAAATTATATTCTTTTTCATTCTAGTAAAATCTGATCCATATTTTCTTTTAAAAGTAATACTAACTCATTATAGAAAAAATTTTAAAATACAGATACAATTTTTAAAAAGGGACAATCACCACTGAGTTAATCAAAATTAAGCAGAGTTTTTAAAAAAACTTCAGGACTTCTGAGATCCTTGGGTGTTCTTGACAAGAACATTTGTGTGTTTCATCAAGAATGCCTGTTCTACCCATTACCTATTCATAGTCCCTGGAAACACAGTTTGGAAAATACTATCCTAGGGAGTAGTCATAGTTTAAGATATAATTTACACTAGCTAGCAATTAATTTTTGTAAATATTTTCTCGGTAATTATTTTGCCAGTGGGGTAGAGCTTGAGGAGATAGAAAGTTACAATTCACTCCACTGAGCAAAGAGCCCATCAAAATCCAGAAATAAGATGAAGACAGTTGTGGGTTGGCTCCAGGATGATAAACATTACTTGCTTCATAACTGGCCCCAGCACACAGTATCTTTGTAAATATATGTCTCATGTTGTGATGGTTAATTTTATGTGTTAACTTGACTGGGCCAAAGGATGCCCAGATAGCTGGTTAAACTTATTTCTGGGTATGCCTGGAAGGGTGTTTCTGGAAGAGATCAGATTGAATTGGTAGACTGAGGAAAGCAAATTGCCCTCCCCATTGTAGTCATGACTCATCCAATCTGTTGAGTGAGTGAATAGAACAAAAAGGCAGAGGAAAGTTAAATTTGCTTTCTGACTCCTTGAGCTGAATGTCAATCTTCTGCCTTCAGCACTCCTGGTCCTCAGGCTCTGAGACTGAGACTGGAATCTACACCAGTCTCCAGCTCTCCAGCTCTCAGGACTTCAAAAGACACCTTCAGACTTCCTGGGTCTCCAGCTTACAGATCGTGGGACTTCTCAGCCTCCATAATTGCATAAGACATGGGCCAAAAATATATTATCTATGTATTTACATAGATAAATATCTATCTTCTTTGGCTCTGTTTCTCTGGAGAATCCCGACTAACACACTTGTACAAAATGCTGCATCCCTCTGTTGTATGCTGCTCTCCCTGGTTTGTGTAACCTTTATCCTTTTACTTATAAAGCCCATTTAGAAAAAAAGTCCACTAACCTCTGCATATCTGACACTTTATTGGAATTTACATGTGAAATGCTAATAGCCCCAATGGTCAGTTCAGGATTCCCATTTCAATCCCATCTTCCTAAGGCATCTCTTGGTGGAGAGTGACTTTCTCACTGCTTATTACAAAATAGATACCTTTGCTTGTTTTCTTTTCTATTTCCCAAGACATCAGAAAGCCTTAAGGAATAGAAGTCCCATGGTCTTCGTTTTACTGATTCTTCTCTCCTACATTTTCTCTGACTTCTTAACTTTAAAGAGATTCCTTAAGCTTGGTGTCTTTGCCCTAACATGCGGGCCACATTACTTGAGGCCTTGCTCTAAGAGGCAGAATATATCAATAGCATGAGCTCACATCTGTAATGTCACCTCCATGTGCCTGGCACTGTGCTAAGCACTTCACATAGATTATCTCATTCAGTCCTCACGAAACCAAACCAAAACAGAACAAACAAAACGTTTGTAATTCCCTTTCTACAGGTGAGGAAGCCTGGGCTTGGCAGCTTTTCTAGAATTTCACAGTGGCAGAACAGGATTTGAATTCAGAGCTGTCTAACTCCCAAACCCATATTATTAACTGCTGCCCTTATAGTCAGTTTAAGGCAGTAGTTTTCAAAGTTTGGCTCCTGAAACAGCACCATCAGCATCACCTGGGACCTTGTTACAAATGCAGATTCTCAGGTACCACCGTAGACCTATGAAATCAGAAACTCTGAGCAGGGGGACCAGCAATTTGTGCTATAACAAGCCTTTCGGGTGATCTGATGTACGCTAATATTTTAAAAACCACTGCTCTGAAAACCTAGCAGGAGGGCTTTAGGTCAATGGTGAGAGATAATTTTTTGGCAGCATTGTTAACACTGGTGTAGGCCACCTCAAAAAGCTCCACTCAGACTTCTTTTGCTGGGGTCTTGAACATGTTTGAGCCTGATGAGTGCGGAGGGGCCAGTATCTCCCGCTACTCCCAACCTTATGGACCCTTCTCTCAAGTACACAGCACCACGCTGCTGAATCTGAGTGGCAGCCCAACTCTCTCAACGACACCAGAAAAAAATCTGACCTTAAAATTAAGCCTAACAAAAAACAGGATTCTGATTCCTTGTATAGGTGCTGGAAAAATAATCAGCGGCAACAGGGGGGAACATCATCATTGCTTTCTCCCTTCCTACTCACCCAGTGCAGTGGCATGCCATATATTAGCAGGCACTTTACATCAGACTAATTCAAATCCCCCTGTCAGACAAATCCCACCTATGAGCACTGCTGTCTACACCACATAACACCACATAGATCAAGAGCGGGAAGAGGCCAAAGTCATGAACGCCATAGCTTTCCATAAAACTTAATTAATGACAGAAGCATATTGCTGGGAATGGCAACACGATCATTATTTACGGTTCAGGAAACCCCAAATGTAGGCACTTCCCTTTTCCTTTTCCCCAGCCCCAGGTCTACCCATGAGAAGTTTACTTCATTCATTTCAGTAACTTTGTGAATCATTTGCCAAGTCAGCGAGAACATGTAGCATGGTATACATAAACATTAATATGACAGCTGAACATCCAACACATGTCCCAGGAGAAATGGACCACCCATTGGATGCTGCCCTGTTCTTTTCTGTCCCTGTATCTGAACACTTTTCACACTTCACATTTCTACGGTCGTTAACAGTTCTAACCTGGCACCCCCAAGAACACAATTTCCCCAAGGAACCTTACTGCTAAAAGCTTCAAAAAAAAAAAAAAAAAAAAAACCCTTTCCACCTTCCCAGCCACACCACCGCACACAGGCATGGGCCAGCGACCAGAGAAACAACTCAGCACTGACACGTAGTTATCACTTTGGGAGGCTGTGTAGCAGAGTGGGGGAAAGTGGACATCTGGCTTCGAATTCAGGTGAGATGTTCTTAGTGTCCTCATCCATAAAATGAATCCAATAATAACACTCAGCTTCAAGAGTTGTTGTGGGGTTTGAACCAACATGACGTGTGCAGTGCAGCACCTAGTGTTGAGTAAGGGCTAAGTAAACATTAATGGTATGCTGGCTCCTGCTTTTGTCTTCTTTACTGAGAACGCCAGGTGCCCCCACCCGGCTGGAGTCAAGCCCAGGCTAGTATTTTACCAGACACCCTATTCTATTACCCAGGCAGATTTTAGGAGACGGCCTGAAGGTGAATGTCAATTTTTACCTGTGTGAGTATGTCCATTTTTTCTCTGAAGACAAAGTCTAGGGCTTTCAGCTTATTCTCCAAGGCACTCATGACCACCCCAGCATCTCAGGGAGAGAAAGAAAACTGTACTCTTGGAAAGCACAGAAAGTAAGAACATACATTTATGTTTGAGAAAACAGTTCCATATGTTGGAAAGAGCATTACACCATGAGTCATAAAACTCAACTTTTAGTCTTGCCTCAACCATAAAAGGACTATGACAAATGCCTTATCAGAGCTCAGCTTCCATTTATTTGTTTGAAGAGGACATCATAATAACTCCTTCCCTTGCCTCTTACAGTTGTGGGGATTGTACTAGGTAATGGATGTGAAAGCACCTTTTAAAGCAGAAAACACCACACCAATACATACATGATAATGTAAGGTTCAGATGCTTCATCAGGTGAACTGTTTGCAGCTGGCCTGTGTAGTACAAAAAATTATGAGAAAATAAAGCTTAAGTTATACTTTTCTTCTTGCTCTACTTATGTAAAATAACATCATTATCTCTGAAATAATTTATTAAAAATAAGCAAGCAGAAATTCTTTGTGAAAGGAGAGAATTCTATAAATATTGTTTGATTTGACCCAATCTACTATAATCCTTAGAGGTACCTGGCTTCCCCCAAAGGTTTGCTTTAATTGCATGTCACTGCTAACTTCCTTGTAAAGAGACAGGCCTCTGCCATTCCTTCTAATTATCCAAATCACTGGCCACTGTGTGTGGCCTTACCTAAGGCTTTTAACCAGAAGTAATGTCACTAAATTAAAGCAGGTGGGAGGTGTCCCTATTGCAATGACTGTAATAAATGCTACATGACATTCCTTTAAGACCATTTGGAAATATTCTTTGCAGAGATACACCAATTCCAACATAATTCATCAGTTAAAAACATTAATAACCACAAGCCTACATGTAAACTGCCTCTCACTAGAGGAAACATATTCCATCTATAAAGAACATAACTTTGGCAACCTCACTTCAGGCCTAGGCTGTCCTGAAAAAGAACATTACATAGTCAGTACAATTATGTGGCTATTTCTGTTGCTTCCCCAAACCCAGAAGCAATGGCATTAACTGATATTGGCATTCATAATGTACTAATAACAAACAACATTCATTAACGTATTCCTACATGCAAATGTCACGTACACCTCTTTATATACATTTTATAATTTCATATGCACAATCCTGTGTGTACAGTTATTGTGCCCCATCTACAGCTGTGACAACCGAGGCCTTGAGAGGTTAAGTTACTTCTGCCTGAAGTGCCAGAGAAGCACTAAGGAGAAATAGAGCATATGTGGAACCGACCAGGAGACTGCACAGAGGAGGCTGAGACAAATTGCTCTAAATTATCATGATCTATGTGACAGTTGTATAAACATCAAGAATGTGCAACATACAGTTTTAACATCTGGAGCTACATGGTAAAAATGCTGAAATAATAACATTTCTTATTAATAACAAGCATTTCTTCAGTGCTTCTACAATTTTACATTTGTAAGTTGGAAATAGGAGGTTGTCATGTTTTTTAGATTCTTAAATATTTCAGCTCAATTTTAAACGAAAATATTTAAGAGGAATAACACAAGATGCTTGAATTTTCATAATTCTTCATTCTTAAGTTGTAACATGGATGTTTTTGGCTTGTGAAAATTCATCAGAGTGTATACTTATGGTCTAGACACTTTCCTGTGTGTATGCTATACTTTAACAAAGTTTCAAAACTGTATCTATATACCTATATACTCATGTTTCATCACTATTTTCTATACTTTCCAAGAAGTGAACATCAGGCTGTTGCTATACCTTTTAATTTTCTCCACAATAATTTTCCTTTACAATGAAAATCTCTGGAACAGCATCTTGGTAAATCTCTAGGTAAATTTTTGTTGACATCAGAAAACTTATAACCCACACATCAAGCCTGAATTCCTGATCCAGAGACTCAAACAGCTCTCTGTGTGGTAGCTCTTGCTTAGAAGGTCAAAAAGCAGTTTGTTACAAATAAAAAGCAGAGATCAAAAGGGGCTGCTACTCTTTTTCTGTGGACCCTGTTTTTCAGGACAAGCACTGTGCTAGCCAACAGGAGAATGGGGTAGGGAGGAAGCTTGTTTTGCTGAGATGAGGGCAGTTGCCTGGCAAAACCTTGTCCTTCCTGCCCACCTAAACGAGATTTGAATAGAAACACTTCCTAGGATAGGCACTGCTCCCCGCCCTCAGTCCTGTAACAGGGTGTGTCTAACCTTTTATTCCTCTTCCCTCATCACCAGTTGGAGTAACCATCAGGCACCTGGGAATAGAGTGATAATAACAGAGTGACTTTATTAAAATCATTTAAAAATGATTTTTTAAATAGCTAAACTAAAGCCTTTGTTTCTGTATTTCATCCACAAACTTGCTCAATTCTAACCAGCGGTGTAATCTAATTCACATTTATTTTTATCAATAGTATCTACAGTAGAAAATTATCTATCAAAGGTCAGGGCTTAAGTAAATGTAGCTCTGTGGACGGTGTATTAGGAGATGGCTCAGCTACTGAAACAAAGACTCACCAGCCACCCTGCCCAATACAAACAACCAAAGCAACACAGTGCTCCAAACAAGAGAGAAATTTCTCTTTTACATAAAAGTCTGAATGCAAGCAGCCCAGGGCTGGTTCCACAGCTCTACATCGTTAGGAACCCAGGGATTGTTAAATCTTGCTCTGCCATCCTCAACACGTGCCACCCTTAACCAGTGCCATCTGTCTCACAGTCTGAGTTGGCTGCTCCAGATCTCACCATCTCAACCAATTCCATCCAGAGATGGCAGGAAAATGGAAAATGGAGGATATGCCTCTTTCTCTTAAGGGAATAATCCATAAGTGGAACACTACACATTTCCCATTGGCCAGAACTTCCACAGATGGACACAACTAGCTTAAAGGGAGGCTGGAAAATGTGATTATTAGCTGGACAGCCACATGCTCTGCTAAACTTTGAAATACTAAAGAAAGAAGGAGAGACCGGACGTTGGGAAACAACAAGTGAAACATGCATTCATTCATTCATCCATGTAATTATTCATTTATCCATAAACACTGGATGCCAGGCACTGTTCTGGTGTTAGGGATATACAAATAAAGCACCATCCTCTATCTCCTACCTCAAGGGGTTTACAGTCTTTGAGGAAACATACATAGGAACAAACTGATAATAATTTTAAAAATTGGTACAAAAATAAAACAAAACAAATGGCTCTACCAGAATTATGCACAAAGTACAAAACTGCCTGGGAGAACCAAGAAAGCTCAGAGAGGAGGCAGCCTTTGTGCTGATATTTGAAGGATAAAAATACCTACAACAATATTATAGCATTTCTTTAGCAATTACTCTGTACCAGACACAGTACTAAATCCTTTATATATATATTAATATTTTATCCCTACAAAAACCCTACATGACAAGAAAATTATTATCATCCCCACGTTGCTGATGAGAAAACTGAGGCATTGTAAGTAGCAGAAGAGGGATTTGAATGTGAACTGACTCCAGAACCTGAGCCTGCACTACCTTTCATGAGTAAAGAAGGAATTCACCTTCATCACCTAAATCTTCTAATGCCTTTTTGCCATGTAAAGGAAAGGAACCATAGCACAAGAGGGGAAAATGAAAGATTAGAGGGTCCCAGAAGCCTGCCTAAGACACAACGAGATGAAACTCAAACTGCAATGCAAGTGTCTGTCTTTCACTTCTCTCCCTGAGAGGGGCTGGTTCTCAATGCACAGTCCAGGGAAACACTGGAAGATCCCAAGGGTCTGTGAAATGTTCTCCAGAATATTATGACTTACAAATTATATGGCCATGTTTGTACCTTTATTCCAAAACCATATTTATTTGTATTAACTAGAACTCAGACATCCACTCCTTTGAGAATATAATCCATTCACTTAATTCTGGGGCAATAAATTTTTGTGTTGCCATGAGGGGAAGCAATTTTCCAATATAGAAACAGTCCACAACCTAAAAAAGAGTTTGACCTTCAATGAAATAAATGATGCATTTGGAGAAGCTCTTCTGCCTCGATGATCCTATTGGGCAAAACAGAATTTGTTCATTTGCAGCAGTTATTTACTATGCTTCTTCTATTATTCTAAACAGATTGTCTTCCATTTGAAAGATGCTGGCCCTAAAGATGAAGGGAAAAAACACAAGTGAAGGCATTCAGTGAAAGCTTGGGAATATTTTGGCATGTTTCAATGAGTCTCTTTTTCTCTTGTTTTCTTCTGGTCATTTCATACCCTTGATTAGTAATTTTACACCCAAATAGTAAAATATGAAATACTTTTTAATACTGCCATGGTGGTAAAAGTGTTTAGTTTTTATGATGTGTCTCCAGAGATAGATCTTTAGCAGTATATAGTGAGGTTAATTCAGCATAAAATAGTATAATACCTTTCTTATTTCTGTTCATTCATTTAGAAATTATGAGCTGAATTCTAGCAAAATCTCCACCCCACTGGCTGGAGACTAGTGTTTTAAAACATTGGGGGTTCTCTTTTTCTCTTTCAGGGAGGTTAAAAGTGTTTCCAATCAATTTTTTAAAGAATCAAATAAACATGAATTATTTCCCATTTTATTTTCTCAGATTCCTAGGAGAAGTTACCATTATTGAAAGCTAGCCACTGACCCCTCTCCTCCTCTTCAGGCTCTCCCGCTCCCTGCATATTTGTGAAATGAGATCTGGAAACCCAACCATCATTTTCCACTGTGCCATTTTGTGAAGATACTAATAATATTTCCCTTGGTTGTATTGTGCAATTGTGTGAGGCAGAGAAAGAAATTGAGTTAGCTACTTGGTAACATAGTAGTGGGGCCAGAAACATTTTTTAAAAAGAAACAAAGAAAGGAAAGAAAACAGGAAGGCTCCTTTTTGGTCCTTGGGCTATACTTAAAACAGATCCCTGGACTCAGGTGCCTGGAGGCAGTGACACCCACCTGTGGAGATGCATTTTCCCCCCAGAAAGTCACGTCCCAGGAAGTCACGGAGATCTGTTTCCAAACGCACTAGCATCATGCTCAGGAGTGGGCGGAGGGCGGGGGTGGGGGGCAGGAATGAAGGTACCTTTCATATATGCAATTATGTTCACTCCTCCTAATGCCGGCACCTCCAAAAGTCCAAACTGGGCTTGTACAATGAGCTACATTCTAACTTAATCTCACAGTCGCTTCTAATTTCAATCTCTAATGAATGCTTGGCACTCCTGTGCTTCCTTTCATAAAAAGACAAAGTTCCTGCTTCTCACTTCGTAAAAATAGCAAGAACAAGTTAACCTTTAGCTAATATGGATAAGAAAAGGTTAATATGAGTAGAATGAAAACACAATTTCCCCACAAGTTTAATTTTACAGTGAAATACAAAGCTCTTTAGACTAGATAATTGTTAGTTTTTCTGGGTACTTACTGCATTACCCCACTTGGAAACCTATTAAGAATTAAAAGTAAACATGTCAAACAAGAACTGCTCCCTAATTAATACTAAGACATGTATGAAAACATTCTTGAATATTAGGCTTAGTAGTATTGTATATTATACTGTCCTTGCTGATAAAAATTTAAATGTTTCTTCAAATGAAAATGCAGACCAATAAAAGATAGCTAAATATGCAAAATGTAGCAATCCATTTGACACACCACAAACCAGTTCTGATAATGTTAAACTGCCTATCTTCATTTTAAAGATTAATTAATTCTAACTACCTTCCTGTGAGAGAACTGATAAACAAAGAGATTGATTAATAGAGAAGTTAAAAAATATATAACATCATGCCAAGGTGCTGAACCTGAAGTCAGAACTCATTCAGTTGTGACAAAGAGACTGTGATTCTAAAGCCTGATTTCTAGCTCCATGTTCCAAACACCATGTCACAAGGAGACATAAAGAAATGTGAGGCAATGCTTCTCAAACCCAGAGAATTTGTTGCTGGTGTTTAAGAGCAGAAACTAGAACTAACCATAAATATATAAAACCCAAATAAACATAGTGATCTCTTAAACTCTGACCCAAACTTAATCCAAGTAGTAATGATTTTCTCAAAACTAAACCAAAAGTAATTTTCCAAGGAACAGAACCTAACTTACTAAAACATCAAAGCACAGAAAACTGTGGTGTGTAGAAAAGGTTGTGGGGTCTAGTCATGATATGGTCCCCGCACCATGATCTGTATCCAGTCATGTCATCTCCTGAGGGCATTGCAGAATCTCAAAGCGTGTCTTCCTGCCATGACACAATATTTCTTTTCTTCCCACACCTGTCATGTTTTGAGACAGTGTGGCCAAGTCTAATGAACTAAAGAAGGACAAGAAAACTAAAGAGCATTAGAACTTTGTAGAAAATCATGTATGGGGAAGAGAGTGGTACTTCGGAAACAATGTCAGGGAAAGTTTAGTCCAGTAGTCAGACCACAGCCTCCCAACCACCCACAATTCTGCAACAGCATGTTACCACGTGATACAAGGCAAAAGCATATGTAACCCACCTTCACACTTCACTCTTAAGTAGTGGAAAATGGATTCATCTGTGCTGTTCAGACAGCAGCCCACATATTGGTCCATGGGATAATTCCATGTAGATGAAAACCCTAGTCTTTCTGGCACTCCATAGCTGTTTGTCAAACTAAATTACTGTTCCTAGACACCAAACTGTATTCTTCTGGTCTGAAAAGGCTATCATGTCTCTGAAAGTACTTATCATGGTTACATGCTTACCACACTTAAAAGAGTCTGCAGCCTATTAATAGAAACATGTGTAGAATAAAAGGGAGTGGCTGGGTTGTAACCAGAAGAAAGAGCATCAAGACAGATTTTAAAAGTCATAAAATGCAGGTTTTGTTCTTCGGGTCATTAAAAAACCTGAGCCTATTTTATTGTAGTGAACCTACTGTTTAATACAATAAAATATAACAGTGAGGATCATAGCAGTTTAGTCATATACTAGGGTACAGAAATTAACTAACACACTGAATTCAGAAAGTCTACTGAATGACACAAAACCTAGATCATGGTAGTAATTTTGTGACGAGCAGCCTCAGATGACTTTGGACGGTTTGCACAGATAAAGGGGAGCAACAGTTTCATTTCCACTGAGGAGGAATCTATAAATGCCTACCCATATCTCTAAGGTCTAGATTCCAAGCTAGCCAGCAAGAATTCTGGTGCAGCAAGAATTCTAGCCAGCAAGAATCTGGCCAGCAAGAATTCTGGTGATAGGAGAAAAGCAAGTCACTAGATTCCATTGCTTTTATTCTATAGTATTTGCCAAAATTGTCAGAGTTGATAGCAAGTGTTTTATATTAAATGTAGAGTATGTGATTCAAAAAAATTGATTTATAGAAATAGTTTCCAACATTGTCATAATTCCATTAGGACATGATTTTATGAGCTAGCAAGAGAGATGGAGAATTATGTCTAAGTTAATAATAATATACACAAAAGCAACTTATTCCTAGATAGTCAACAATTGGCATGTCCATTGAAGAATGAAAGCCCATGATTACCATGTGTTATGTGATAAGAAAAAACTAGCCTGTACATTAAATTTTTAAAAATTGTGCCTCTTACTAGTGTTCATAATTGAAGTGTTAAAAATCTAATATACTCTTTCAATAAGGAAATCTAAACAGTTTTCTGTCAGTAACAGCAACGTACAGTAGTCTGGAACCTCCTTGAAGTTAATTGCAGCACAGCTCACTAATGAAACTTTCCGTCTATTAAATCTTAACAGGCATAACTATAAAAATGGCGCCAAGCTTTCTCCTGCTCTGGAATGTCCCAGCCAGCACTTTGTGGGTTTTACCCTTTATCTTTGTAATCACTGTAATTATTTCAGAGTTGGAATAGAATCAAGATCTAAGGATACATTTTTTTCCCAAAGCCTAATTTTTTTCATATTCTCAGGATGGGAAATGTTTGAGATGGGCTACAATAGATGTGACAACAAGGGCCAGTTATGTTAATTTCAGTGCAGAACCCATGATAGTGTCCGGGCCTGTTGGATTTTCATTGAGTTCCAGAATACATATATGATACACTAATAACTTTTACAGAACTTTGATTTGTTGGTAAACTAATTTTATATCTTATTTTTGATAATTTAAAGATCCAGTTTTGTAAATAATATAAAGGCAGAGGAGACATCAAAATCATTAGTTCCAATTTTATAGCCTAAACTAGAAAATGCTTCCCTCTTTTCTCTCTTTAAAATATTATTCACCTGAAAATAGGCATTATTCTTAATATTGTGAGGTCGTTGGGTGAAAATTAAAAGTAAATTGCAGTTCTTCCCTATATGACTTGTTCTCATTAAGTAAAAAGTCTTATTTTACCGTCTCTAAATTGTCCCTATGTCCCAATGTTGGAAGGATGACATAACTCTTGCATCAGTTTTCTTAATTTTGCTCAATTCTTCCTAATATTAAAAAGAAGTACTTTAGGGCAGCACTCCTGGAAAGTACAATTATTTTGTTACTGGTTCTAAGCCTTTGCCCTAAATAGCGGCAGCTAGAGAAAGGAAATGTCTCATTAAGAGATTAATTTGGGGGCCAACTGAGGATGAATTGTATGCATAATGCAGTATAGTTATCTTTATAAATTAATGTTTTGCTGCAGGATAAACGTACTTGCAGTCTAATGCCCGTTGGGCATTTTATTCCATTTCTATTTTCTCTTCACGTGGCAAATTGGAGCCAAAAAGACAGCATGTTCATATATAATTTTGGCTAAGATAACTAGGACATAAAACATGTTAATTAACTTCTGAAAAATAAGTTTTGATTAGTTTTATAATATCTGCTTGGCACTTCAACGATAAAGTGAATTTTTGAATGACCCTGCAAACCAAATTTTCACTTAAACAATTATCAATTCCTACTTTACATATTATGTGGGCATCTCTTTACAACAGGACACAGCATGATATGGATGTATCCACTAAAGCACGGTTTCTCTAAATGTTATCAATACATGAACCAACTGCATCATAATTACCCAGGGAATTTGTTACAATGGATATCCCTAGGCCAACTGAATCAGAATCTCTTGGGGTGGGAGGTGGTGTACAGAAATCTGTGTTTTACCAAGCTCCCCAGGTCACTCTAATGCACTAAAACTTATGCATGACTGTGTTAAAGGAACTTCAGCATGGTTTATCACCTTTCAATCATTCCACATATAGAGTCATCTTCATTGAACAAAGATTTTTACTCGGCTCCTATCGAGTGCAAGACATTATCCGGAGGGCTGTAAGGATTACAAAGGTGAAGGCATTGGCATGTTTGCCCTCCAGGCAATCACTATCCAGTTGGAGGGATAAATTAAAGGTAAACAGGAATACAACATAACATATCTCAAGGCCAAATAACAATAGTAATAGTGTTCACTTTTAGCAATCCTAAGAGTGGTAAGATAGTAAGAGTGGTCACTTTTGAGCTTATAATATCTGCAGGTCTATTTATATATTATATTGTATCTCTATTTCTCATAATCCTGGGCAGAAGGTATAATTTTGTTACAAATAAAAAACTCTAAGCTCAGGCAGTGTAAATGACTTTTACAGTGTCCTGCAGCTTGTAAATGAAAGAGGTAGAGTTGAGGGCAGACTCTATGGCTCCAAAGTCCATGAGCTTTCAGCTCACTATGCGGGCCTAGCAGGAGCTCACATGGAACAGAGTTGGGATATAGTCTTGTTCTTGTTGATTACTGAAAAACTACCATTGTCACAAACAAAGCTGCGGAGCCTTAAAGCACAAAGTACCCTTCTCCCTAATATCTACACAGGGGATGTGATTTACTCACAGTGAAACCCCATTCATGACACAGCAAGTGTATTATAGTGGGGTTTTCTGTGCTTTGTCTCCAATATTCAAGAACAAATTATTTTGTAAAAAAAGTTACAGTTCATTGTGGCCAAAAGTACCATTATTGGAACATAGACTTTTCCAAGCTATGAATATTCTTTCTGAATTCCTTAACACAGGTATTATTTGGGGCAGATGGAGACCAGTTATAATTCAGATTATTAAAGAAGCATGATTCTTCTTCAAATGTTGCATTATAGCTAAAAAATCTTACTCTAGATTTTTAAAGACATGGATTCTTAAAATAAACAAACAAAACTAAGCAAAGAATAAAAAAACCAACATAGGCAGAAATAGGCAGAAATTTACCTCATAAAAATAGTAAGTTAAATGGATCAAATGAATTTTGTGCCATCAAAACTTACGCTGTTTTAACTCTGTTAATATTAACATAACCCAAATTATTATTATTGTTATTTTTGAGACAAAGTCTCACTCTGTTGCCCAAGCTAGGGTGCAGTGGCATGATCTCGGCTCACTGCAACCTCCGCCTTCTGGGTTCAAGCAATTCTCATGCCTCAGCTTCCTGAGTAGCTGGTATTACGAGTACCCACCAACATGCCTGGCTAATTTTTGTATTTTTAGTAGACATGGGGTTTTGCTGTGTTGGCCAGGCTGGTCTTGAACTCCTGGCTTCAAGTGCTCCACCCACCTTGCCTTCCCAAAGTACTGGGATTACAGGTGTGAGCCACTGCGCCTGGCCCTATACTAATTTTTCTATGTATTACTGTATTAGTCCAATCTCACATTGCTATAAAGAAACACCTGAAACTGGGTAATTTATAAAGAAAAGAGGTTTAATTGGCTCACAATTCTGTGGGCTGTATAGGAAGCATGGCAGCATCTGCGTGGCTTCTGGGGAGGCCTCAGGAAACTTAGAATCATGGCAGAAGGCAAAGAGGGAGCGGGCACTTCATGTGACTGAAGCAGGAGGAAGCAGGGGGTGGGGCGGTACACACTTTTAAACAACCAGATCTTACAATAACTCACTCACCCACTCACTATCATGAAAACAGCACCGAGGGGATGTTGCTAAACCGTTCATGAGAAACTGCCCCTATGATCCAATCGCCTCCCATCAGGCCCCACTTCCAATATCAGGGATTATAGTTGATACGAGATTTGGTTGGGGACACAGATCCAAACCATATTTATTATTATCTTGAAAGTGTTAAATAAAATTATTTTAAATTGTGGTTTTAGTGGGTTTTTAAACTTATTTTTTAGAGCTGGTTTTGGTTCACAGCAAAATTGAGAGAATAATGCAGAGATTACCCATATAACCCCACACATGCATAGCCTCCCCAGTTGTCAACATCCCCACTAGAAGGATACATTTGTTACTATTGATGAACCTATACAGACACATCATAATCACCCAAAGTCTGTAATTTATGTGAGGATTCACTCTCAGTACATTCTATGGGTCTGGATAAATGTGTAATAATGTGTATCCATCATTCTAGTATCACAGGATTATTTTCACAGCCCTAAAAATCTTTTGTGCTCTGCCTGTTCATTTCCTCACCTCACCTGCCCCTAATCCTGGCAACCAATGATCTTTTTTTTTTTTAACTGACTCTATAGTTTTGCCTTTTCCAGAACTATGCCATAGAGTTGGAATCATCCAATATGTAGCCTTTTCAGATTGGCTTCTTACACTTAGCAATATGCATTTAAGGTTCCTCCATGTCTTTTCTTGGCTGTATGAAGCTATTTACAAAGCTAATTTCTTTTTAGCACTAAAGGATATTCCAGCATCTGTATATACCGCACTTTATTTATCCATTCACATACTGAAGAATATCTTGGTTGCTTCCAGGTTTTAGCAATTATGAATAAGACTGCTATGTGCAGATTTTTGTGTGGACATAACTTTTCAACTCCTCTGAAAAAAACACCAAAGATCACAATGACTGGATTGTGTTGTAAGAGTAGGTTTACTTTTTAAAGAAACTACGGCCGGGCGCAGTGGCTCATGCCTGTAATCCCAGCACTTTGGGAGGCCAAGGCGGGCGGATCGCCTAAGGTCAGGAGTTTGAGACCAGCCTGGCCAACATGGTGAAACCCACATCTCTACTCAAAATACAAAAATTAGCTAGGCATAGTGGCAGGTGCCTGTAAGTCCAGCTACTTGGGAGGCCAAAATACAGAATTGCGTGAGCCCGGGAGGCAGAGGTTGCAGCGAGCCGAGATCGTGCTACTGCACTCCAGTGTGGGCAACAGAGTGAGACTCCATCTTAAAAAAAAAAAGAAAAAAAGAACTACTAAACTGTCTTCAAAAGCTGCCGTACCATTTTGCATTCCAACCAGCAATGAATGAGAGTTCCTTTTGCTCCATATCCTCACCAGCATTTGGTGTTGTCAGCATTCCAGATTTTGGCCATTCTAATAGATGTGTGGTGATATCTCACTGTTTTAATTTGCATTTTCATTTCCATAATGCAGAGCATTTTTTTTGAGACAGCGTCTGTATTAGTCTGTTTTCACGCTGCCGATAAAGACATATTCAAGATTGGGAAGAAAAAGAGGTTTAATTTGACTTATAGTTCCACATGTCTGGGGAGGCCTCAGAATCATTGCAGGAGGTGAAAGGCACGTGTTACATAGTGGCAGCAGGAGAAAAATGAGAGAGAAGCAAAAGCAGAAACCCGATAAGCCCATCAGATCTCGTAAGACTTATTCATTATCACAAGATTAGCATGGGAAAGACCAGGCCCATGATTCAGTAACCTCTCCCTGGGTCCCTCCCACAACACGTGGGGAATTCTGGGAGATACAATTCAAGTTGAGGTTCGAGTGGGGGCATAGCCAAACCGTATCAGTGTCTCTCTCTGTTGCTTAGGCTGCAGCGCAGTGATGCGATCATAGCTCAATTCAGCCTCAAACTACTAGTCTCAAGTGATCCTTCTGCCTCAGCCTCCCAAGCACCTGTGACTATAGGCCTGTGCCACTGGACCCAGTTATTTTTATTTATTTTTTGTAGAGACAGGGCCTTGATATGTTGCCCAGGTTGGTTTCAAACTCCTGGCCTCAAGTGATCCTCCTGCCTCAGCCTCCCAAAGTGCTGGGATTGCAAGCATGAGCCACTATGCCTGGCCTAAAGCATTTTTTATATGCTTATTTGCCATCTATATATCTTTGATGAAGTGTCGTTAAAGTCTTTGACACATTTTTTAATTATGTCATTTGTTTTCTCATTAAGTTTTAAGGGATCTTTGTATATTTTGGATAAGAGTTCTTTATTAGGTGTGTCTTTTGCAAATACTTTCCCCCAGTCTGTGGTTTATATTCTCATTCTCTTGACATTGTCTTTTACAGAGAATCAGTGTCTAATTTTAATAATGTCCAGCTTATCAACTGTTTCTTCATAGATTGTGCTTTTAGTGTTGTAGCCAAAGTCATTTCCATACCCAAGGTTATCTAGGTTTTCTCTTGTTATTTTCCAGGAGTTTTATACTTCTACATTTTACATTTAGGTCTATTTTTAATTAATTTTTGTGAAGGGTTTAAGGTCTATGCCTAGATTCTTTTTTCACTTGTGGATGTCCAGTTGTTCCAGCACCATTTGTTGAAAAGACTATCTTTGTTTCATTGTATTGCCTTTGCTTTCTTGCCAAAGATAAGTTGACTGTATTTATGTAGGTTTATTTCTGGGCTCCCTATTCTCTTCTATTGATCTATTTGTCTATTCTTTTGCCCATACCTCACTGTCTTTTTTTTTTTTTTTTTTTTTTGAGACAGAGCTTCGCTCTTGTCGCCCAGGCTGGAGTGCAATGGTGCAATCTTGGCTCACTGCAACCTCCGCCTCCTGGGTTCAATGATTCTCCTGCCTCAGCCTCCTGAGTAGCTGGGATTGCAGGCATGCGCCACCACGCTCAGCTAATTTTTTTGTATTTTTAGTAGAGATGGGGTTTCTCCATGTTGGTCAGGCTGCTCTCGAACTCCCTACCTCAGGTGATCCACCCGCCTCGGCCTCCCAAAGTGCTGGGATTACAGACATGAGCCACCGCGCCCAGCCACACACTGTCTTGATTACTGCAATTTTATAGTAAGTCCTCCAACTTTGTTTTTCTCCTTCAATATTGTGTTGACTATTTGGGGATTTTTTGCCTCTCCATTTAAACTTCAGAATTAGTTTGTTGATGTTTACAAAATAACCTGCTGGGATTTTGATTGGGATTGCACTGAATCTATAGAGCAAGTTGGGAAGAAATGACGTTTTGACAATATTGTGTCTTCCTATCCATGAACACGGAATATCACTCCATTGACTAAGTTCTCTGATTTCATTCATCGGAGTTTTTAGTTTTCTTCCTATAGATCCTGAACATATTTTGTTAAATTTAAACCTAAGCATTTCATTTTGGTGGGGGGAGGGTACTAATGTAAACGGTACTGTATTTTTTATTTCAAATTCTACTTGTTCATTGCTGGTACATAGGAAAGTGATTAACTTTCAAATATTAGTAGTTCATCCTGTGACCTTGCCATATTCAATTATTAGTTCTGGCAGGTTTTGGGGGTTTTGGTTTTCTTTTAATTCTTTCAGATTTATACATTGATAATCATGTCATCTGTGAACAAAAAGTGTTCTTTACTCCTTCTCAGTTTGTGTACCTTTTATTTCCATTTGTTGTCTTATTGCATTAGCTAGAACTTCCAGTACTACGTTGAAAAGTAGTAGTTAGAAAGCACATCCCTGCCTTATTCTTGATCTCATTGTTAAAGCTGCTAGTTTCTCACCATTAATATGATGTTAGCTGTAGGACCTTCATATGTATTTTTTTTTATCAAGTTAAGAAAGTTCTCTTCTATTCCTAATTAACTGAGAGTTTTTGTTATGAATGGGTATTGGATTTTGTTAAAAGCTTTTCCTCCATCTATGTGGTTATTTTTAAATTATTTTTTTTTAGATAATTGTAGACTTACACAGAGTTACAATACAGAGTTGCAAGAAATAATACTGAGAGACTGGGGCAAGACAGATGACTAGATGCAGCCAGGAGGAACATCTCCCACCGAGGGATGGGGCACTGGGAAGACTGGTGCACTTCTAGCAGATCTTCAGAGGGAAAGCATCGAGGGTGGACAGAAGGAAAACACAGATGCTGGGTTGAAGTGGGAGAATTCTGGGAACCCTGCACAGGGCTACCATACACCAGGACTCATACCTGGCACCCAGTGACTCCTGGGGAAGGGGTGAGTTGCAAATGCAAGGAATCTACTCTCACCACAGGCCTCTGGAATCCCAGCAGGTAGAGACCCCTTGACCACCACAGACACTTGAATTGGCAGGGAGAGCTGCTCAGAGAAGTGGTAGGGGAAGAACTCCAACCAGAGTAGAGCCTAGACATTTTTGTGTGGGAACATCTCAAGTGGAGCATGGCCAGGGTTGCCCATATCCCTAGGCTCAACTTGCTCCCATAGGAGACTTTAGCCCTAGAGAAACTGTAGGACCTGAACTCTGGAGGGTGATCTTGCCCATGAGACAGGGCTGGTCTGGCCTGAGCACCACTTGGTTTGCTGGCCTCTCCTGGGGCCCCAGCCTGGCCAAGTTTGCTTGTAGTGCTGCCCTCCAGGTACCTTCTGTACTGGTGAACTGCACCTGACCAGTACAGTACTCAAGCAGAGTGGCCCCAGTGGACATGCACAAGCCTGTCTGTACCCTCTCCCATCTGCAGCCTCCCTGATACTGCTTTGCCCTCACACATTTGCCCACAGCTACTCCCATATAACTTTGCTAGTACATGTGTACATGGGTGGACCTTGTCTTCCCTCCCCTACCAGCATGAGTGTGCATGTGCACCCTACTGTGCCACTGCTGCTGGCATAAGTGCACCTTCCTTGCCTTCCCCTGCTGCACCACCATTGTTGTTGGACCTTTGGCAGGCACAGAGTCTGTCAGCCCCACACCCTCCAGCAACCCACTCCTGCACCAAAACTACTACACATGTGAAAGTAGACACAGAGGAAAGCAGACTTGCCCCCATCCTAAGCAGCAACTGCTGCCTACAGAAACACACAGAGAGGGTGCAAACACCACCACTAGTGTGAATGCATGCACAGCCATTGGTGGAGATCCCTGTCCCCCTGAGCCATGCTGTCAATGCCAGCTGCAGCTGTGAACACTCACACAGAGGCCAGCAGCTGCTGCAAATGCCCACATGGAGGCTGTGCTGTTAATGCTGGCTGTTGCTGCAAATGTCTGCATGGAGGCTTGGCACCCTGGCAGCCAACAGCACCCTGCCACAGCCAATAAGCATGCCCCTTTCTGCACTACAACTGTAGCTGCTACTGAAATGTGCGTATGAGGTCAGATTCTTCTGCCACCGCCTTATGAAGTGTTTCGGCTAGTACCATCCAACAGAGTGTTATGATCAGTGGTCTGGAAGCACATTAGCCCTTATAGCACAGGAGTTTACTAAACTTGAGGAGCCAGAGAACAAAGTGGGGAACCAATGCCAGTTTCCCAGAGTTAGAGCACACAGTCCAGGGGTCCTGACCTGAGCCAGAAATAAAACCAGTCAACAGAACTCCACTTAAACCATAATCAAATTGCAAAGGTGATTAAATACAATAAAAGGTGAAAAAAAGCATCCAAAGGACAGCGACTTCAAAGATTGAAGAAATGTCAGCCCACAAAGATGAGAAAGAACCAGAGTAAGAACTCTGACAACTCAAAAAGCCAGAGTGTCTTCTTTCCTCCAAAGGACAGCACTAGTTCTCCAGCAAGAGTTCTTAATTGGGCTGAGATGGCTAAAATGACAGAAATAGAATTCAGAATATGGATAGGAATGAAGATCATCAAGATCCAGGAGATGAGACCCAGACTGAAACCCAATCTGAGGAAGCTAACAGTCACGATAAAAAGATACAGAAGCTGACAGACAAAATAGCCAGTATCAAAAAGAATGTAACTGATCTGATAGAGCTGAAAAACACACTATGAGAATTTCATAATGCAATTGCAAGCATTAACAGCAGAATAGACCAAGCTGAGGAAAGAATCTCAGAGCTTGAGATTCTTTCTGGCTTTCTCAAATAAGACAGTCAGAAAAGAATAAAGAAAAAATAGTAAAAAGGAACAAGAAAAACCTGAGCAATATGAGATTATGTAAAGAGACCAAATCTACAACTCGTTGGTGTCCCTGAAAGAGATGGGGAGCATGGAAACAAGTTGGAAAATATATTTCAGGATATACTCCATAAGAACTTCCCCAACCTAGCTAAAGAGGCCAACATTCAAGTTCAGGAAATGCAGAGAACCCACACACAACACTTCGCAAGAAGATCATCCCCCAAGACACATAATCATCTGATTCTCCAAGGCTGAAATGAAAATAAAAAATGTTAAAGGCAGCTAGATAGAAAGGAGAGGTCACCTACAAAGGGAAGCCCATCAGACAAACAGCAGACTTTTCAGCAGAAATCCTACAAGCCAGAAGAGATTGAGGGCCTATATTCAAAGAAGCAAATGCTGAGGAAATTCATTACCACCAGACCTGCCTTACCAGGGCTCCTGAAAGAAGCACTAAACATGGAAAGGAAAGACTTACCAGCCACTACAAAAACACAAGTACACAGACCAGTGACACTATAAAGTGACAATACAAATAGGCCTGAATAAGAGCCAGATAACAACATGATGACAGGATCAAATCCACATATAACAATACTAACCTTGAATGTAAATGGGCTAAATGCCCCAATTAAAAGACACAGAATGGAAAGCTGGATAAAGAACCAAGACCCGATGGTATGTTGTCTTCAAGAGACTCATCTCACATGCAATAACACCCCAAGGCTCAAAATAAAGGGATGGGGAAAAACCTACCAAGCAAATGGAAAACAGAGAAAATCAGGGGTTGCAATTCTAATTTCAGATAAAATAGACTTTAAAACAACAAAGTTCAAAAAAGACAAAGAAGGACATTACATAATGGTAATGGGTTCAATTCAACAAGAAGACCTAACTATCCTAAGTATATATGCGCTTAACACAGGAGCACCCAGATTGATAAAGAAAGTTCTTAGAGACCTTCAAAGATACTTAGACTCACACACAATAATAGTGAGAGACCTCAACACCCCACTAACAGATCACTGAGGCAGAAAATTAACAAAGATATTCAGGACCTAATCTCAACACTGGACCAAATTGACCTGATAGACATCTACAGAACTCTCCACCAAAAAAACAACAGAATATACATTCTTCTCATTGCCACATGGCACATACTCTAAAATTGACCACACAATCAGACAAAAACAATCCTCAGCAAATGCAAATTAACTAAAATCATACCAACCACTCTCTTGGACCACAGCATAATAAAACTAGTATTCAAGATTAAGAAAATCATTCAAAACCATACTATTACATGGAAATTACACAACCTGCTCCTGAATGATCTCTGGGTAAATAATGAAATTAAAGCAGAAATCAAGAAGTTCTTTGAAACTAATGAGAACAAAAATACAACATATCAGAATTTTGGGGACACAGCTAAGGCAATGCTAAGAGGGAAATTTATAGTGCAAAATACCCACATCAAAAAGTTTAAAAGACCAAAGTTAACAGCCTAACATCACATCTAAAAGAAATAAGGAAGCAAGAACAAACCAACTCCAAGGCTAACAGAAGACAAGAAATAACCAAAAATGAAAGCTGAACTGTAGGAGATTAAGACACAAGAAATCATGCAAAAAATTATAAACTTAAGGTAAAGGGGTGGAAAAAGATATCCCATGAAAATGGACACCATAAGCAAGCAGGAATAGCTATTCTTATAACAGACAAAACAAACTTTAAAGCAACAGGAGTTTAAAAAGACATAAAGGAACATTACATAATGATAAAAGAACTTGTTCAACAGGAAAATATCACCATCCTAAATGTATATGCACCTAACACTGGAGTTCTCAAATTTATACAACAATTACCACTAGACCTACCTAAAAATGAGATAGACAGCAATGCAATAATAGTGGGAAAGCTCAAAATTCCACTGACAGCACTAGACAGATCATCAAGACAGAAAGCCAACAAAGAAACAATGGTTTTAAACTACACCCTAGAACAAATGGACTTAAGAGATATTTACAGAACATTCTATCCAACAATTACAGAATATACATTCTATTCATGAGCACATGGAACATTCTCCAAGACAGACCATATGATAGGCCACAAAAGAAGTCTCAATAAGTTTAAGAGAATTGAAATTATATCAAGTACTTTCTCAAACCACAGTGGAATAAAATTGGAAATCAACTCCAAAAGGAACCCTCAAAACCATGTAAATGCATGGAAATTAAATAATCTACTCTTGAATGATCATTGGGTTAACAATGAAATCAAGAGGAAAATTTAAAAGTTATTTGAACGGAATGATAATACTGACACAACTTATTAAAACCTCTGGGATACAGCAAAGGCGATGCTAAAAGGAAAGTTTATAACCTTAAATGCCTACATCAAAAACTCAGAAAGAGCACAAATAGACAATCTAAGGTCACACCTCAAGGAACTAGAGAAACAAGAACAAACCAAACTCAACCTCAGCAGAAGAAAAGAAATAACAAAGATCAGTGCAGAACTAAATGAAATTGAAACAAAAGATAAAAACAATAAATGAAACAAAAAGCTGGTTCTTTGAAAAAATAAATAAAATTGATATACCATTAGTGAGATTAACCAAGAAAAGAAGAGAGAAGACCCAAATAAGCTCAATTAGAAATGAAACAGGAGATATTACAACTGATACCACAGAAATGCAAAAGATCATTCAAGGCTACTATGAACATCTTCATGTGCATAAACTAGAAAACATAGAGGAGATAGATAAATTCTGGGAAACATACAACCCTCCTAGATTAAACCAGGAAGAAATACAAACCATGAATAGACCAATTAACAAGCAGCAAGATTGAAAATGGTAACTTTAAATTTGCCAACAAAAAAAGTCCATGACCAGAAGATTCACACTGAATTCTATCAGACATTCAAAGAAGAATTGGTACCAATCCTCCTGACATTATTCTACAAGATAAAGAGGGAATCCTCCCTAAATCATTTTGTGAAGCCAGTATCAACCTAATACAAAAACTAGGAAAGGATATAACAAAAAAAGAAAACCATCAACCAACAATCCCTGATGAATATAGATGCAAAAATCCTTAACAAAATACTAGCTAACTGAATCCAACACCATATCAAAAAGATAATCCACCATAATCAAGTGTGTTTTATACCAGGGATTCAGGGATGGTTTAACATACACAATTCAATAAACGTGATATGCCACATAAACAGAATTAAAAACAAAAATCATGGCCAGGTGTGGTGGCTCACGCCTGTAATCCCAGCACTTTGGGAGGCTGAGGCAGGCAGATCATGAGGTCAGGAGATCGAGACCATCCTGGCTAACATGGTGAAACCCCGTCTCTACTGAAAATACAAAAAATTAGCCAGGCGTGGTGGTGGGCGCCTGTAGTCCCAGCTACTTGGGAGGCTGAAGTAGGAGAATGGCATGAACCCAGGAGGCAGAGCTTGCAGTGAGCTGAGATTGCGCCACTGCACTCCAGCCTGGGTGACAGAGTGAGACTCTGACTCAAAAATAATAATAATAATAATAATAATAACATAATCATCTCAATAGATGCAGAAAAAGCATTTGGCAAAATTCAGCATCGCTTTTTGATTAAAACCCTCAGCAAAATCGGCATAGAGGGACATACCTTAATGTAATAAAAACCATCTATGACAAACCCACAGCCAACATGATACTGAATGGGGAAAAGTAGAAAGCATTCCCCCTGAGAACTGGAACAAGACAAGGATGCCCACTTTCACCACTTCTATTCAACATAGTACTGGAAGTTCTAGCCAGAGCAATCAGACAAGAGAAAGAAATAAAGGGCATCCAAATCGTTAAGAGGAGGTAAAACTGTTGTTGTTTACTGATGATATGACCTTATACCTGGAAAACTCTAAAGACTCATCCAAAAAGCTCCTAGAAAGGACTAATATCCAGAACCTACAAGGAACTCGAACAAATCAGCAAGAAATAAACAGGCAATCCTATCAGAAAGTTTTAGGATACAAAGTTAATGTACACAAATTAGTAGCTCTGCTATACACCAACAACAACCAAGCTGAGAATCAAATCAAGAACTCAACCCCTTTTACAATACCTGCAAAAATAAAAATAAAATACTTAGGAATATACCTAACCAAGGAGATGAAAGACCTCTACAAGGAAAACTACAAAACATTGCTGAAAGAAATCACAAACAAATGAAACATATCCCATGCTCATGGATGGGTAGAATCAATATTGTGAAAATGACTATGCTGCCAAAAGCAATCTACAAATGCAATGCAATTCTCATCAAAATACCCCCATCATTCTTCACAGAACTAGAAAAAACAATCCTAAAATTCATATGGAACCAAAAAAGAGCCCACATAGCCAAAGCAAAACTGAGCAAAAAGAACAAATCTGGAGGCATCACATTACCTGACTTCAAGCTGGACTCTAAGGCCATAGTCACCATAACAGCATGGTACTGGTATAAACATAGGCACATAGACCAATAGAAAAGAATAGAGAACCCAGAAATAAAGCCAAATACTTAAAGCCAACTGATCTTCAACAAAGCGAACAAAAGCATAAAGTGAGGAAAGGGCATCCTATTCAACAAATGGTGCTGGAATGATTGGCAAGCCACATGTAGAACAGTGAAACTGGATCCTCATGTCTCACCTTATACAAAAATCAACTCAAGATGGATCAAAGACTTAAATCTAAGACTGGAAACCATAAAAATTCTAGAAGTTAGATGTCAGGAAAACCCTTCTAGACAATGGCTTAAGAAAACCCTTCTAGACATTGGCTCAGGCAAAGACTTCGTGACCAAGAAGCCAAAACCAAATGCAACAAAAACAAAGATAAATAGATGGGACTTAATTAAACTAAAGAGTCTCTGCACAGCAAAAGAAACAATCAGCAGAGTAAACAGAAAACCCACAGAGTGGGAGAGAATCTTCACAATCTATACATCTGACAAAGGACTAATGTCAAGAATCTACAAGGAATTCAGACAAATCAGCAAGAAAAAAACAATTCTATCAAAAATGGGTTAAGGACATGAATAGACAATTTTCACAAGAAGATATACAAATGGCTAACAAACATATGAAAAAATGCTGAACATCACTAATGATCACTAAAATCACTAATCATCTAATCACTAATCACTAATCATCACTAAAAAATGCAAATCAAAACCACAATCAAATCAAAACATCAAAAAATAACAGATGCTGGCATGGATGTGGTGAAAAGGGAACACTTTTACACTACTGGTAGGAATGTAAACTAGTACAACCACTATGGAAAACAGTGTGGGGTTTCCTTTAAAAACTAAAAGCAGAACTACCATTTGATCCAGCAATCCCACTACTGGTATCTACCCAGAGGAAAAGAAGTCATTATATGAAAAAGACACTTGCTCATGCATGTTTATAGCAGCACAATTCACAATTGCAAAAATATGGGACCAGCCATCAATTAACAAGTGGATAAAGAAATTGTGGTGCATATATATATATATATATATATATATATATGGTGTGTGTGTGTGTGTGTGTGTGTATGTGTGTGTATATATATATATACCATGGAATACTACTCAGCTATAAAAAGGAACTAAATAATGGCATTTTCAGCAACCTGGATGGAATTGGAGACCATTATTTGAAGTGAAATAACTCAGGAATGGAAAACCAAACATCCGTGATGATGCAAAGGCATAAGGATGATACAACTGGACTCTGGGGACTCAGTGGAAAGGGTGGGAGGGGGGTGAGGGATAAAAGACTACACATTGTGTACAGGGTACACTTCTCAGGTGATGAGTACACTAAATACTCAGAAATCATCATTAAAGAATGTATTCATGTAACCAAACACTATTGAAATAAAAATATTAAAACTTAAAAAAAATTAATGAATCCAGGAGCTGTTTTTTTTTTAAAAAAATTAATAAGACAGATAGACCACTAACTAGACTAATGAAGAAAAGAGAGAGGATCCAAAGAAACAACAAAGGGGATATTGCCACTGACCCCACAGAAATACAAATAGCTATCAGAGAATACTACGAACACCTTTACATACACAAACTAGAAAATCTAGAAAAAATATGGATAAATTTCTGGACACATACACCCTCACAAGACTAAACCAAGAACAGATCAATATAATGAGTTCTGAAACTGAATCAGTAATAGTCTATCAACCAAAAAAAAAAAAAAAAAAAAAAAAAAGCCCAGGACCAGATGGATTCACAGCCAAATTCTACCAGATGTACAAAGAAGAGCTAGTACCATTTTACTGAAACTATTCCAAGAAATTGAGGAAGAGGGACTTCTCCCTAACTCATTAAATGAGGCCAGAGTCATCCTGATACCAAAAGCTGGCAAAGACACAACAAAAAAAGAACACTTTAGGCAATATCCTCGATGAACACTGATGCAAAAATCCTCAACAAAATACTACCGAACTGAATCCAGCAGCACATCAAAAAGCTAATTTACCATGATCAAGTGGGTTTTATCCCTGAAATGCAAGTTTAGTTCAACATACTCAAGTCAATAAACGTGAACCATCACATAAATAGAACTAAAGACAAAAATCACATGATTATCTCAATAGATGCAGAAAAGGCTTTGGATAAGATTCAACAACGCTTCATGTTAAAAACTCTCAACAAGCTAGGTATTGAAGGAACATACCTCAAAATAATAAGACCCATCTATGACAAACCCACAGCCAACATGTGGGTTGGCTGAATGGGAAAAAGCTGGAAGCACCCCCCTTGAAAACTAGCACAAGGCAAGGATGCCCTTTCTCACTATTCCTATTCAACGGAGTATTGGAAGTCCTGGCCAAAGCAGTCGGGCAAGAGAATGAAATAAAAGGAATCCAAATAGGAAGAGAGGAAGTCAAACTATCCCTGTTTGTAGATGACATGATTCTATATCTAGAAAACCCCATAGTCTCTCTCCAAAAGTTCCTTGATATGTTAAACAACTTCAGCAAAGTTTCAGGATACAAAATCAATGTACAAAAGTCACAAGCATTCCTATACACCAAAAACAGCCAAACCAAGAGCCAAATCAGGAATGCAAACCCATTCACGGTTGCCACAAATACAATAAAATACCTGGGAATACAGCTAACAAGGGAGGTGAAAGATCTTTGCAATAAGAATTACAAAGCACTGCTCAAAGAAATTAGATATGACACAAACAAGCGGAAAGACATTCCATGTTCATGGATAGGAAAAAGCAATATCATTGAGATGCAGAAGATTGAAACTGTACCCCTTCTTTACACAATCTACAAAAATTAACTCAAGATTGATTACAGACTTAAATGTAAAACCCAAAACCATAAAAACTCTGGAAGGCAACCTAGGCAATACCATTTTGGACGTAGGAATTGGCAAAGATTTCATGACAAAGATGCCAAAATCAATTGCAAAAAAAGCAAAAATTGACAAATGGGGCCTAATGAAACTAAGGAACTTACACACAGCAAAATAAACTATCAACAGAGTGAATAGACAACCTACAGAATGGGAGATAATTTTTGCAAACTGTATCTGACAAAGGTCTAATACCCAGCATCTATAAGGAACTTAAATTTACAAGAAAAAAACAAACAACCCCATTAAAAAGTGGGCAAAGGACATGAATGAATACTTTTCAAAAGAAGACCTGCTTGTTTCCAACAAGTAAATGAAAAAAAGCTCAATATCACTGATCATTAGATAAATGCAAATTGAAACTGCAATGAGATACCATCTCATACCAGTCAAAATGGCTATTACTAAAAAGTCAAAAAATAACAGATGCTCACAATGTTTTATAGAAAAGGGAATGCTTATACATTGTTGATGGGAGTGTAAATTGGTTTAACCATTGTGGGAAGCAGTGTGGTAATTCCTCAAAGAGCTGAAAACAGAACTACCATTCAACCCAGCAATCCCATTACTGGGTATATACTCAAAGGAATAGAAATTATTCTATCATAAAGACCACACACGAGTAAGTTCAGTGCAGCACTATTCCCAATAGCCAAGACATGGAATCAACCTAAATGCCTATCAATGGTAGACTGGATAAATAAATAAATAAATAAATAAATAAATAAATAAATAAATAAAATATGGTACATATACTATGCAGCCATAAAAAGGATAAAATCATGTCCTTTGCAGGAACATGGATGGAACTAGAGGCCATTATTCCTAACAAACTAACACAGGAACAGAAAACAAAACACAACATGTTCTCATTTACATGTGGGAGCTAAATGATGAGAACAGATGGACACAAAAAGAGGTACAACATACACTTGTGTCTACCTGAGGGTGGAGAGTGGGAGGAGGGAGAAGAGCAGAAAAAATAACTATTGGGTACTAGGCTTAGTACCTGAGTCACAAAATAATCTGTACAAGAAACCCACGTGACACAAGTTTACCTATATAACAAACCTGCACATGTACCCCTGAACCTTAGAAAAGTTAAAACAACAAAAAAAGAAATTATACAGAGAGATTCCCATGTGCTTTTTGCCTAGTTTATCTCAGAGGGAAATATCTTACAAAACTATAGTAAAATACAATAAGCAGGATGCTGACATTGACAGTCAAGATACAGAGGATTTTCATCACCACAAGGATTTTTTATGTTGCCCTTGTATAGCCAAACCCACCTCCTTCCTACACCCTTTGTCTGTTAATGTGGTAGATTACACTGATTTTCTAATATTGAACCAGACTTGCATCTCTGAAACAAACCCCGCTTAATATTGTTATGCAGTTCTTCTCATATATTGCTGAATTATATATTAATGTTTTATTAAAGATTTTTGCACCTATATTCATTAGGGATATTGATCTGTGGTTTTCTTTGTCTTTTCTCTTTGTCATACTGTCTTTGTCTAACTTTGATATCAGAGTACTAACAGCTTCATAAAGTGAATTAGGAAGTATTCCCTTCTCTTCTATTTTCTAGGAAAGATTGTTTAGAACTGGTGTTAATTCTTCCTTAAATGTTTTGCAGAATTCTTCAATGAAACTATGGGGCCTAGAGATTTCATTTGGGGGAGTTGTTAAATTACAAATTCAATCTTTTAATAATAAAGATAGTCAGACTATTTCATACTGGGTGAGTTGTGGAAGTTTTTTTTTAAAGTGGTTGATTTCATCTAAGGTGTCAATTGTATGCATATAGAATTGTTTATGGCATTACCTTAACATCCTTGATGTTTGTAGGAACTATAGTGATAGCCCCTGTTTCATTGCTGATATTGGTAATATGTGCCTTTCCTTTTTGTTTGTCAGTCTTGCAAAGATTTGTCAATCTTACTGATCTTTTCAAAGAACTAGCCCTTTGTGGCATTTATTTTTCTGTTGTTTTTCTGCTTTCATTTTCATTGATTTCTGCTCTTTATTATTTCCTTCCTTCTGCTTGCTTTGGGGTTATTTTGCTCTTATTTTCCTAGGTTCTTGAGGTGGGAGCTTAGATTGTTGATTTTAGGATTTTCTACTTTTCTTGTACATTTAGAGCTAGAAGTTTTCCTGTGATCTTTTTACTATTTATTTTTACTTTGATTCCATTGTAGTCAAGGAAAGCACTCTGTATGATTTCATTTCTTTTAAACTTGATATAGCTCAGGGTATGACTTATCTTGGCATATGTTCTGAGGGTACTTGGAAAGAATATGTATTCTACTGTTGAGTAGAATGTTCCATAAATGTTGATTAGATCCTCTTGGTTGATGATGTTGTTCAGTTCTTCCATATTTTTGCTGACTTTCTGTCTAGCTCTAATCAATTGTTGAGAGTAGACTGTTGGCCTCTTCAATTATAGTTGTGGATTTTTCTATTTCTCCTTTCAGATCTATCTGAATTGAGAAGTTTTTGCTTCACATATTTTGCAGCTGTATGGTTTGGTGAATAAACATTTAGGGTTGCTATATGTTCTTAGAGAATTAACCCTTCTATAATTATGTAATGTCTCTTTCTGTCTTAATTTTCTTTGCTCTGAAGTCTGCTTTATCAGTTATTAATACACGTACTTCTGAATGCCTTTGATTAGTGATATATTTTTCATTCTTTTACTTTAAAGCTGTCTATATTACGTTGGAAATGTGTTTCTTGATGGCAGCATATAGTCAGATCATTTTTTTTAATTCACTCTGCCAGTCTTTTAATTGGTGTATTTAGACCATTTACATTCAATGTAATTATTAATATGTTAGGACTTAAGTCTGCATTTTAATTTTTTCAGTTTATTCTCACTGGTTTTATTTGTTTCTTTATTGCTTGATTTTAATTTTTATGCCCTCCTGTGGGTTTCTTGGATGTATTTTTAGAATTCCATTTTGATTTTTTTGTAGTATTTTTGAGTGTATCTCTTTGCATAGTTTTTTCAGTGGTTGTTCTCAATATTACTTAAAATACACATAACTTATTACAGTCCTCTGGTGTCATAATTTCACCAGTGTGAGTAAAGTGCAGAAACCTTACCTGTCTTTACATCCCTTCAACATATTCAATTTATAATATAATAGTATTTGTTCCTCTACATACATTTGGAATAACATTAGAGATTAGTACAAATTTTGCCTCAACTGTCAAACATGATTTAGAAAACTCAAGAGGAGAAGGAAAACCTGTTGTATTTGCCCATATTTTTGCTGTCTGTGTTCTTTCTTCCTTTCTGATGCTCCAAGGTTCCTTCTGGTATTATTTCCTTTCTGCTTAGAGAACTTCCATTAGCTATTATTTTAATATAGGTCTGCTGAAGACAAATTCTCTTAGTTTTCCTTCATCTGACAATGTCTTGATTTCCCCTTTATTCCTGAAGGGTATTTCACACTGACTACAAGATTCTGAATTGAAAGTCGTCTTTCAATATTTGAAAAATATTGTGTCACTTCCTTCTCAATGACTTATGATGAGAAATACAGTGTCATTCTAATTGCTTTTTTCATACTAATTAAGATGTTATTTTTCTCTGACTGCATTCAATATATTTTCTTTTCTTTAGTTCTCAGACATTATGTTGTGTGTTGGCATGCACTTCTTTGGCTTTTCTTGTTTGAGAGTTTCTGAGCCTCTTGAGTCTGTAGGTTTTCGTCTCTTGTCAAATCTGAGAAGTTTTTGGTTATTATTTCTTCTAGTCTTCATTCATTGCCTTTCTCCTCTTTTTCTGGAACTGCAATGACATGAATGCTAGATCTTTTGTTATAATCCCACAGGTCCCTGAGTCTCTGTTTAGTTGTTTGGTCTGTACCCTCCATTCTGCTGTTGAGCCCATCACTAAGATTTATATTTCCATATTCTGGAAATTAAGGATTATGAGATGATGAAATCATCCTGGATTATCTGGGTAGGTCTAGATCTAGTGATAGGTATTCTTATAAGAGAAATACAGAGGAGGTAGCATGCATCTATGGAGGCAGAGATTAGAATGAAGCAGCTACAAGCCATGGAACACCTGGAGCCACCAGAAGCTGGAAGAGGCAAATAACAAAATCTCCTGTGGAGACTTTGAAGGAAGTGCGGTCCTGCTGACACCTTGATTTTGGATTTCTGGCCTCCAGAGCTGTGAGAGATTACACTTCTGTTGTTGTAAATCAAATTTATAGTAGTTTGTCACAGTAGCCATAGGAAGCTAGTACAGCAACTATTGTCTTTTTTTCATTCAGTTTGAGATCTTCTTGGTTCTTGGTTCTTCATGATTTTCAATTGGAACCTGAACATTTTTTATAAGTGATGAGGCTCTGGGGTTCATTTGAGCTTTATGTTTAAGCTGGCTTTTTCAAACTTCACTCTGGCAGGGGGCTGCCTCATTACTGTCCACTTATTAGGTGAAGGTAGAAGTCTAGGTTCCCCATTCAGCCTCCATTGCCATCTGAGGAGTTGGGAAAGCTCCTTTTTAGTACTGGGTAAGAATGGCAGTTCTGCCTCCCAACATGGACTCTACTGACACTGAATTGGGTGTCAAATTGGCCTTGTTACTACTGGGTGATAGTGAAATCCCAACTCCCCCACTAGAGTTCCTCTGACACCACCTCACTGGGGAGGGGAGGGGTGCATCATTACTGCCAAGTGCAGGTGGAGTTGATAGGAATAAGTAATTGATTGAATGGGCAGGGAAAGGGAAAATTAAAAGTCTAGATCAACTTTCAAGTTTCACCTTGGGCAATGGCTTAGGGAGTAGTACTATTTTCCAAGATAAGGAATACTGGAAAAGAAGCAACTCTGATAGAGACAGAAAGATTATAGGTACTATTTTAGTCACATTGAGTATTAGTAACCTGTGGGATATCCATGTAGCAACCATCCAGAAGGCAGTAGGATGGACTTGTCTGGAGCTTGGGAGACAGATCTGGTTCCTATTGCCCTGGGAAGGTTGAGGTTGTCTGGGAAAAGCAAGGAGTTAGGCCAGGCATGGTGGCTTACACCTGTAATCCCACACTTTGGGAGGCCGAGGTGGGCAGATCACTTGAGCCCAGGAGGTCAAGACCAGCCTGGACAACATGGCAAGGTGTCATCTCTACAAAAAATACAAAAATTAGCTGAGTGTGGTGCAACTATAGTCTCAGCTACTCAGGAGGCTGAGGTGGGAGGATCATCTGAGCCTGGGAGGTTGAGGCTGCAGTGAGAAATGATCACACCACTGTGCTCCAACCTTGGCTCTTGGCGATGGGAGTGAGACCCTGCCTCAAAAAAACAAAACAAAACAAAACAAAACAAAAAACAGAAAGAAAGAAGTTAGAACCCAGTCCCTTGAACAGAACCCTGAGAAACATCAGCACTGGAGGAGCAGTAGAGGCAGAGAAGCCAGCAAAGAAGATGGAAAAGCAGCAGGCAGAGAGGTAGGAAGCAAATGAGCATGCCACAAACATGTAAAGCAAAGTTGGTGCAATAGTTACTTATCTGCACCCTGGACCCCAGTGTTCCCTCCTGTTGAGGTTCCTTTAGACCTAGAGTGTTCCCCAACTGTGCCTTTTACCTTTCCTTTCCTTTGTCTCAAGCTTCCTTGGTAGAAAACACAGCCCCTTGATCAGAAGGATGATGCCAGCCACAAATTCTAAGGTAGGCAAGAGAGCTCAGGGTTTAAAAGAAATAGGACTCCTTTCTGTCAGAACCTCCTCTGTGAAAAGAGGAGTGAAATCCCTGGAGGAGGGAGAAAGCTACTGTCACTTCCCATAAATAGGTAGGTCAGAGCAGCTCTGAAAGATGATTGAACCAAATCGATGTGAGGGACCCAAGAGGTGACTTTTGCACAGGGAATTTAGTGATAGCACAAGAGGGGAGAAATAGAAAAAAAGTAGTAATAATCATACAACATGAAAACAGATTCAAAATTTTCATGCAAACTATGGGATTTTTTGTTCATTTCAGATCACTAAATGACATGAGACATACTCTTTCTTAATGAAAGGACTCTGAGTTTCAACATGGAGACTCTGGTTTACATTTTCATTTCAGTTTCCCTCCAGGATGTTTTCTCTCCAAGTTCTCTTCTCAAGGCTGGTTCTCTAGAGACACCATAGGTCAGAAGGCACTTAACCATAATAATAACCTCAGCTGACATTTATTAAACACTTACTGTGGACCTTGCCCTCGGCTAAACTCTTTACATAATTTATCTAATTTAATCATTCCAATAATCCTACAACATATGCATTGTCACACCTTTTATGAAGAGTCTAACGCACAGAAAGGTTAGGTAATTTATCCGAGACCACACAGGTTCTAAGTGCCTTTTTTTTCCAGCACCAACTGGTACCCCACATACATGCATGAAACGCCAACAACTTTTCCACCTAAAAAGCAGGTGGCCCAGTCTGGAAGGATGACAGCCAAGGGTCTCAGACACACATAGATAGTAGCACCTCCACCCAAGAGGCTTTAGGTTGATAAATGAGCTGGTTGAGTTTCTCCAGTAGGGGAGTTCCTGGGATGTCAGGTTATTCTCCAGGCACATGATAACTTTCTGGAGCCTAAGTGAGCACCCCAGGTCTCTCTGTGAAGTGATATGGCATGACAGGAAGCTCTGGCTGCGCTAAAAACTGGGAGATATTCACAGTTATTAAACACAACTTTCTGCTTAAATAAAGAGATTATCTGTCTTACCTCCTCCTCCAACATTGGGCTAGTTCCTGAGATGCAACTTCAAACTCTTACCTGAGTCAATAACATCTGCCTCATTCAGGATGTGGCAGACTTTCTGGCAGTGAGTCAAGCAAAATTTGTGCAGTAAAGTAATCTGCACACTTCTGAGTGCATTACCATTCAATATTTCATTATTCGTTAATTCAGCAAAATATTTTTCAGCACCTTCCATATGCCAGGCATTATGAGCATTCAAAGATGAACAAGATCAGTCCCTGCTTTTGGAGGAGCTGACCCAGTGGCAGATGAGTTATTTAATGCTGAGGGAAGTGTGACAAGAGAGCCAAGGGTATTAGGGAAATATGGAGGAGCCACAGCCAGCCCCACCAGTGGGGTTCTGAAAGAAGAGTTCTGGGAGAAGGAAGACTCCGGTCAAGTTTCAAAGGCCTGAAGCAATGGGTGGAGTTCGCATTTTCAGGAAGAAAGGGAGGACAATCGGGGCAGAGAAAATAGCTGGAGCAGAGGTTTGGAGGTGAGACATAATTTGAGTTATTGAGAAGTAGAACAAGCTCTTTAGCATGCCAAGGAAAAGGCAAAATGGTCATAAGAGACGAAGCCAAAGAAGTAGAAGAGAGTTCTCTGTGGCCCATTAAAGAAGCTGGGCATCTCCAGCCTCATGGAAGTCTTTTAAGTGATGGTGTGAAGATCTGAACATTAAATGGCTCAGTTGAGGCTTTGGGTACAGGAAAGCTTTTCCAAAGGACACTAACAATGTGTGGAGCATGTTGCTAGATTTTTAGCGCTTTGTACAGAAGACTTATAAGAGTACCTAGAACACTGCCGTATTCTCTTCCTTCTCCTCTTGGAGGGGAGGGTTACCCTTAAGCAGGTTTCTCCCATTTCAAATGAAGTCACTCAACCCTCCACACACACGTGCACATAGGAGGAGAAAGAAAAAGGGAAAATAGGCAAATTAATTCTAAGATCAACCTCAGTCAAACCATTAAATCCTGTTAGTTCAAACTTTTGCTTCTATTGACTAGACATGAAATTGGCAGCAGGGTAGGGAGGAATTAGAAGGCAAACTATTCATTTAAATGGCCCCTATCATGCCCCTGCCCTGGAGGAGCTCACAGTCTAGTGGAGAACCCAGATAAAGAAACAAGAAATATTTTACGTGTGGAACAAATAAAGACCTTAAGCACAGAGCAAACAAGAAGCACTTAAGAGGGACACCTAAAACAGGCTGGGAAGAGTAATGGAGGAGCCTTCTTGAGGAAATGATGTCTGGGCCAAATCAGTAGAACTAGACTAAGAAAGTGGTAAAGGTAAAGGGAGAGAGAGTTCCAAGCAGAGGGAGCAGCAGGAATGTGTGTGTGCATGTGTGCGCATGTGTGTGTGTGAGAAAATTTGGGGGACTCTAGTACTTACATGGGGACTAAAATAACTCCAGAGAGGTAAGAAAGGCTTACATTTTAAAGGCCTTCGTAAGACTTATGTATTAGCGTTAAGTCATGGGAATAGATCAAAATGAGCTCAGTTCTGGATGTGATAATGTTGTGCTGCCCAGGGCACCCCAGTGGAGTGTTCACAGGGAGTTAGCATCACTCCGCTAGCTCCAGAGAGATGACTTATTTGTACATACAGATCTGGAATCACTGACTAGGTGGTAGTAGAAGCCATCCATGTGTTTCTGTACTAAAATAGAGTGCAATGAGTGGAAATAGAACAGGACAGAGGGTGGGAGGATAGAGTCATAAGAAACTACAGCATTTATAGGGCTAGAGAAAGGAAGTCCAGTCTTCAGAGGAAACTGAGAAAGAGTCATTCTAAAAGATTGGAGGGAAATTGAGAAAGGGATAGGTCCAGGAAGTCAAAGGTGGATAGAGATGCAAGAAAGAAAAAGTGGTGTCAAATATTTCAGTGAGATATGGTAAAATGAGAATTGAAAAGGCTATTGAATTTGACAATTAGAAACCTTTTCTAGGTTAGTTTGAGTGGAGGGTTTGCGGGGGCAAAGCCAGGTAATTTGAAGAAAGTGAGAAAACAGATATGACAAAGTTACACAATTCTTTTAAGAAGTGTAGAAGAGGGATGAAGGTCATTACAGGGGAATATATACAAATTCAACTGAAAGGATAAAGTAGCTTAGCAATAAAACTCAAACTGTGTGGAAATATCACTTAATTCTGGATTCAACACATTCACATTTATAAAGTACTAACTACGCTAAGAAATACACTGGAACTTTCACGTAGCTAATTTTTTATTATGTAAAGTTAGTATCCTTTACATAGTGGTTGGTATCTTTTACAAGTGGGTGAACAAAGTTGAAGAATACTTTTTCCCCTGGCAATGTAGTAAAAGTTGTTGGGATTTTAAAAAAATAACCTGAATTCAAAATGATACAATTTTCAGAAGACATTTATGCACTGAGGTCTTTCTTACCTTGCTTATAACATAATTATGCACTGGCTGAATACATTCAATCATGTTTTGGCCAATCAATGTATGTTGCTTAGTCCTTTTTCACTACTTTTTTTTTGTGGATTTGCCAAATCATTTGGGAAGCGTTTTTCAAAATATACTGTGCTACTTAACTATATCTGTGGCTAGGTATGTTTTTCAATCCCATTCCAGGCACTTCATAAATTACCCACTCTGTAGAAGCCACAAGTAGCTCTAGAAACAGACACTGCTGACACATGGATCTGCTTGGTCTCTTTTTGTCCTCATTGGTTTATGTGTATGCACCATTTTGTTTTCAAGACTGGCTCAAAGTAAATCATAATTGCTAACAAACAGCAAATTCATCTTGTTTTACCCACTGTACTTGGCAATGCTGCCGAATTGTAGACTCTCAGTAAAAAAATTAAAATATCAGAATTATTGCTACCTCTTTCACCTCCTCCTCTCAGCATTGAGAATACTGCCAATGGTACCTCCATGCTATCTTTCTGATATTTCCCTTTGTCTTTATTCCTTGGGCTAGGCTCTGATCTTATCTCCCTTGGATAATTACAACATTCCACCATCCTAGTTCTAGTTAAAGGCTTTTTCTGACATTATCTTTGCAATTATTCAGAAGCTCTGGATATCCCATCTATAATCATCAAGGGACCCTACTTCAGCTAGTTGGAAGGGGCATGAAGGCCCCAACAGGGAACAGTTGCATTTTACTATCCTGTTTGCACTTCTTGGAACACCATGAAAATCCTCCATGTTATTTAATTGAAACCAGGACACTAAAAGAAAACCTTAAGGGAAATGTTCCAAATTTTCTAATACAGGAATGGAGCAGCTTTTATCCTAGCCAAGAAGACATGAACACCCTTTATTCCAGTATTGCCCTTCACTGTCCCTTCTCAGGTGAAAGCCAGCCATTTGTAGATTGTAAAAGGCCATGAATTCATAGACTCACTTGTCTATTTTAACTCCACAGAAAAACTAGTTTTTTACTACCTCTTTTGTTCCGTATCAGCTAGTTCCTACACTGCTACCATTTTCTGCCCTACTCAGAAAAAGTGCTGTTATTTGACTGCCATGTAGTAAAGTGACACTGAAGAACATTTATAACACCTCTGGTCAAATATGGTAATTCCCAATGGCCAAGGAGAAATAAAATGTGTGGCTCATGAACCTCTTTTCTATTAAAAACCTCCACTGAAATACTGAAGTCACCGCAAAGTCGACGGTAGATGCTACAAATGGATCAGCGGCTTTTTAAAGGTCAGCAAGTCTCTTTCTCTCCCAAGTCTCAAAAACTCCCAATGAGACAGATGGGAAAATCCAATGGAGGCTCTGAGACACACACAACACGCCTTGCAAATGGAGGACAAGCACACAGCACATGCCACATGAAAAATGTCTGTCATGTTTTTCTTTCTTTTTTTTCCTCCCTTCAAACAGAAACTTTACTTCTACAGTGAAATTACTTGTTTCTACAATTTCACTTAAAAGGGATGAAATTTTCAAAATCATTTTTCTTGACTAAGATGTTATTTACAATGACGATGGGGATGGGATGGGGTGGGAAAAGCAGAAAAGAGTTTCAGGCCACATTGCTAATGACGGATGATTAATGAAAGGTAGAGTTATTTAATAAAGAAGATACAGATGGGAGGGCAGCAAAGGACCTTTCAATTGTGCCTCTGATCCCTCTATATGGTCCTAGCTGAGAGCGCCAAGTAGATTCCCCTAACTCTACGCCTATTATACAATATTTACAGTATCTCTTCTGTAAGGATGTAGGATGAAAAAGAAAAGATAATATTTGCTTTCATAAAGTTTTTTATAGAAAGTGATAAATAAAGCAAAATGAAAGGAATCATCTTTATATATGCTTTCTGCCTACTTTATAAATTCACCATAATCCAGGGCTGTTTCTGGGCTTCTCTTAGAAATCTTTCTGTGGGTCAGTAGAAAAGTTACTGTCTTATCCCCTATAAAAATAAAGGATCAAAGGATCATGGATACAAGCAGACTTTTGTATATCTCTCTGCCTCCTGATGGGACCCACCACTCAGATGGGCAGATGCTACTCTTCTTTTTCTGAAACTCTCCTGTTTTTCATTATGTTGAATCCAAACTCATTCAGGTGACTTATAGCTTTTGTTACACATAGAACACTTGATTACACCTTTCCTTTCAATAGTGTATGCATTAGAGACTGACCTCCTCCCATCCCTGTTCCCTAAAACTCCCCCCAACCTCCTCCTACACTGATACATAAACCACTATATTTAGGGGAAAAGGTGAATTTTCAACAAAAAGGATTCCCTGGTTAATTGAATTTTCTGTTCAACTAAAATCAGATCTTTGTGTTTCAAGCTGTCTTCATTCCTTAACAAGTTCAGTGCAGTGCATACACACTTTTCATGTGACTTGTGATTTGCAGGGCCACAGGATCATCTTTCCAAAATGTCAGGTCCCACTGGGTGGTATTTCCACACAAATAAAGAACATATCGGATATTGGGCTCAGTGAGCACTAATCTGAGAACATGCCCTAGAAGGTAGTTTAAAAAATATTCGTACACTTTGGCTATTATTTTATCATCTGTCATCACCCCTTGCCCCCTAACATACACACCCCCACCCCAGAAAAGAGCAGAGAGAATAAATCTGGTTGTCTGAAGGTTGCTATTAGTTGAATCTGGGATAAATTCTAGATCTTAGCTAATTTTACTCCCATGAAAATAAGGAAACCAAGACAATATAATTTGCTAATGCCATACAAAATTTATCCCCTCTTTTCTGATTTCAAGATTATTGAACCAAATTTTAGAATGTTTATAGACATTAAGCCACAATATAGTAGCCCTTGAGATCACATTAGTGTTTTCATCTTCAAGTTTCCCATCCTCTTTGGATATGATTATCATTTTTCTGTCTCTGTGTTCTCCATGGGACCGATCCCTAGGATCTACAAAGTTCAGTGAGACCCAGGTCTGCAAACATCAGTATTTGAATTCTTAGTCCTTACCAGGAAGCCCTCTGCTCAGGCATAAACATGTGGGCTTGGGATCAGTGTGAAATGCAAATCCTGTGCCTACTTCTTACTCACTCTGTGACCTCAGGCAAATTACTTAACACTTCTGTGCAGCATTTAGCCTACTTGTAAAATGGACACAAGAGAACTACCTGCTAGGGTTATTGTGAAGTTGAAATGAGATAATCTGGGTAAAATACTGAATAGGTAGCTGGCAAAATGGCCGAATAGGAACAGCTCTGGTCTGCAGCTCCCAGCAAGATCAATGCAGAAGGCGGGTGATTTCTGCATTTCCAATTGACATACCTGGCTCATCTTATTGGGACTGATTAGACAGTGGACACAGCCCATGGAAAGCGAGCTGAAGGAGAATGGGGAATCACCTCACCCAGAAAGTGAAAGGGGTCCGGGAACTCCCTCCCCTAGACAAGAGAAGCCATGAGGGACTGTGCCATGAGGGATGGTGCATCCCAGCCCAGATACTACACTTTTCCTGAAGTCTTCGCAACCTGCAGACCAGGAGATTCCTTCTGGTGCCTACACCACCAGGGCCCTGGGTTTCAAGCACAAAACTGGGCGGCCATTTGGTCAGACACCCAGCTACGTGCAGGAGTTTATTTGCATACCCCAGTGGCACCTGGAGCACCAGCGAGACAGAACCGTTCACTCCCCTGGAATGGGAGCTGAAGCGAGGGAACCAAGTGGTCTAGCTCAGCAGATCCCATGCCCATGAGTCCAGCAAGCTAAGATCCACTGGCTTGAAATTCTCGCTGCCAGCACAGCAGTCTGAAGTCAACCTGGGATTCTCAAGCTTGGTGGAGGGAGGGGTGTCCACCATTACTGAGGCTTGAGTAGGTGGTTTTCCCCATCACAGTATAAACGAAGCCTCTGGGAAATTCAAACTGGGTGAGCCCACTGCAGCTCCACAAAGCCGCTGTAGCCAGACTGCCTCTCTAGATTCCTCCTCTCTGGGCAAGTCATCTCTGAAAGAAAGGCAGACAGGGGATTATAGATAAAACTCCCATCTCCCAGGGACAGAGCACCTGGGGGAAGGGGCAGCTGAGGGTGCAGCTTCAGCAGACGTAAACGTTCCTGCCTGCCGGCTCTGAAGAGAGCAGCAGATAATCCAGCACAGTGCTCAAGCTCTGCTAAGGGACAGACTGCCTCCTCATGTGGCTCCCTGACCCCCGTGCGTCCTGACAGGGAGACACCTCCCAGCAGGGGTCGACAGACACCTCATACAGGAGAGCTCCAGCTGGCATCTGGCCAGTGCCCCTCTGGGACGAAGCATCCAGAGGAAGGAACAGGCAGCAATCTTTTCTGTTCTGCAGCCTCCACTGGTGATATCCAGGCAAAGAAGGTCTGCAGTGGACCTCCAGCAAACTCCAGCAGACCTGCAGCAGAGGGGCCTGACTGTTAGAAAGAAAACTAACAAACAGAAAGGAATAGCATCAACATCAACAAAAATGATGTCCACACAAAAACTCCATATGAATGTTACCAACATCAAAGACCAAAGGTAGACAAATCCATGAAGATGAGGAAAAATCAGTGCAAAAAGGCTGAAAATTCCAAAAAACAGAATGTCTCTTCTCCTCCAAAGGATCACAACTCGTTGCCAGCAAGGGAACAAAACTGGACGGAGAATAAGTTTGATGAAATGACAGAAGTAGGCTTCAGAGGGTGGGCATAACAAACTCCTCCAAGCTAAAGGAGCATGTTCTTACCCAATGCAAGGAGCTAAGAACCTTGAAAAGGGTTAGAGGAATTGCTAACTAGAATAACCAACTTAGAGAAGAATATAAATGACCTGATGGAGCTGAAAAATACAGCATGAGAACTTCATGAAGCATACACAAGTATCAATAGCCAAATCAATCAAGTGGAAGAAAGGATATCAGAGATTGAAGATCAACTTAATGAAATAAAGTGTGAAGACAAGATTAGAGAAAAAGGAATGAAAAGGAACAAACAAAGCCTCCAAGAAATATGAGACTATGTGAAAAGACCAAACCTATGTTTGATTGGTGTACCTGACAATGACAGGGAGAATGGAACCAAGATGGAAAACACACTTCAGGATATTATCCAGGAGAACTTCCCCAACCTAGCAAGACAGGCCAACATTCTAATTCAGGAAATACAGAGAATACTGCAAAGGTACTCCTCGAGAATAGCAACCCCAAGACACATAATCATCAGATTCACCAAGGTTAAAATGAAGGAAAAAATGTTAAGGACAGTCAGAGAGAAAGGTCGGGTTACCCACAAAGGGAAGCCCATCAAACTAACAACGGATCTCTCTGCAGAAAACCTACAAGCCAGAAGAGAGTGGGAGCCAATATTCAACATTCTTAAAAAAACAATTTTCAGCCCAGAATTTCATATCCAGCCAAACTAAGCTCCATAAGCAAAGGATAAATATAATCCTTTACAGACAAGCAAATGCTGAGAGATTTTGTCTCCACCAAGCCTGCCTTATAAGAACTCTTGAAGGAAGCACTAAATATGGAAAGGAAAAACCAGTACCAGGCACTGCAAAAACATACCAAATTGTAAAAACCATTCACCCTATGAAGAAGCTGCATCAACTAACAGGCAAAATAACCAGCTAGCATCATAATGACAGGATTAAATTCACAGATAGCAACATTAACCTTAAATGTAAATGGGCTAAATGCCCGAATTAGAAGACACAGACTGGTAAATTGGATAGAGTCAAGACCCATCGATGTGCTGTATTCAGGACCCATCTCACATGCAAAGACACACATAGGCTCAAAATAAAGGGATGGAGGAAGATTTACCAAGCAAATGTAAAGAAAAAAAAAAAGCACGGGTTTCAATCCTAGTCTCTGATAAAACAGACTTTAAACCAACAAAATAAAAAAAGACAAAGAAGGGCATTATATAATGGTAAAGGGATCAATGCAACAAGAAGAGATAACTATCCTAAATATATATGCACCCAATACAGAAGCACCCACATTCATAAAGCAAATTCTTAGAGACCTACAAAGAGACTTAGACTCCCATACAATAATAGTGGGAGACTGTAACACCCAACTGTTAATATTAGACAGATCAACGAGACAGAAAATTAACAAGGATATTCAGGACTTGAACTCAGCCGTCAACCAAGCAGACATAATAGACATCTACAGAACTCTCCACCCCAAATCAACAGAATGTACATTCTTCTCAGCACCACATCACACTTATTCTAAAATGGACCACATAATTGGAAGTAAAATACTCCTCAGAAAATGCAAAACAATGGAAATCATAACAAACAGTCTCTCAGACCAGAGTGCAATCAAATTAGAACTCAGGATTAAGAAACTCACTCAAGGCCTGGTGCGGTGGCCCAAACCTATAATCCCAGCACTGGGAGCCTGAGGCGGGTGGATCACGAGGTCAGGAGATTGAGACCATCCTGGCTAACACACGGTGAAACCCCATCTCTACTAAAAATACAAAAAAATTAGCCAGGTGTGGTGGCGGACGCCTGTAGTCCCAGCTACTCGGGAGGCTGAGGCAGGAGAATGGCGTCAACCTGGGAAGAGGAGCTTGCAGTGAGCCAAGATTGTGCCACTGCACTCTAGCCTGGGTGACAGAGCTAGACTCCGTCTCAAAAAACAAAACAAAACAAAACAAAACAAAAAAAAAAACCTCACTCAAAACCGCACAACTACATGGAAACTGAACAACTCGCTCCTGAATGACTACTGGGTAAATAAGAAAATTAAGGCAGAAATAAATAAGTTCTTTGAAACCAGTCAGAACAAAGACACAATGTACCAGAGTCTCTGCGACACAGCTAAAGGAGTGTTTAGAGGGAAATTTATAGAACTAAATGCCCACAGGAGAAAGTGGGAACGATTTACAATCGACCCCCTTACATCACAATTGAAAGAACTAGAGAAGCAAGAGCAAACCCATTCAAAAGCTAACAGAAGACAAGAAATAACTAAGATCAGAGCAGAACTGAAGGAGACAGATATGAAAAACCCTTCAAAAACTCAATGAATCCAAGAGCTGGATTTTTTGAAAAGATTAACAAAATAGACCACTAGCCAGATTAATAAAGAAGAAAAAAAGAGAAGAATCAAATAGACACAATAGAAAATGATAAAGGTGATATCACCACTGATCCCACAGAAATATGAACTACCATCAGAGAATACTATAAACACCTCTACACAAATAAACTAGAAAATCTAAAAGAAATGTATAAATTCCTGGACACATACACCCTCCTAAGACTAAACCAGGAAGAAGTCAAATCCCTGAATAGACCAATAACAAGTTCTGAAGCTGAGGCAGTAATTAATAGCCTACCGACAAAAAAAATCCCAGGACCAGACTGATTCACAGCCAAATTCTACCAGAGATACAAAGAGGATTTGGTACCATTCCTTCTGAAACTATTCCAAACAGCAGAAAACCAGGGACTCCTCCCTAATTCATTTTATGAGGCCAGCATCATGCTGATACCAAAACCTGTCAGAGACCCAACAGAAAAAAGAAAATTTTAGGCCAATATCCCTGATGAATATCAATGTGAAAATCCTCAATAAAATACTAGCAAACTGAATCCAGCAGCACGTTAAAAAGCTTATCCACCACGATCAACTCGGCTTCATCCCTGGGATGCAAGGCTGGTTCAACACACCCAAATCAATAAACATAATCCATCACATAAACAGAACCAAGCACAAAAACCACAAAATTATCTCAACAGATGTAGAAAAGGCCTTCGATAAAATTCAACACCCTTCAGGCTAAAAACTCTCAATAAACTAGATATTGATGGAACACATCTCAAAATAATAAGGCTATTTATGAAAAACCCACAGCCAATATCATACTGAATGGGCAAAAGCTAGAAGCATTCCCTTTGAAAACCAACACAAGACAGGGATGCCCTCTCTCACCACTCCTATTGAACATAGCACTGGAAGTTCTGGCCAGGGCAATCAGGCAAGAGAAAGAAATAAAGAGTATTCAAATATGAAGAGAGGAATTCAAATTGTCTCTGTTTGCAGAAGACATGATTGTGTATTTAGAAAACCGCATCATCTCAGCTCAAAAACTCCTTAAGCTGATAAGCAACTTCAGCAAAGTCTCAGGATACAAAATCAATGTGCAAAAATCACAAGCATTCCTATATACCAGTAATAGACAAACAGAGAGCCAAATCATGAGCAAACTCCCATTCACAATTGCTACAAAGACAATAAAAAACCAAGGAATACCACTTAGAAGGGATGTAAATGACCTCTTTAAGGAGAACTACAAATCACTGCTCAAGGAAATAAGAGAGGACACCAACAAATGGAAAAACATTCTATGCTCATGGATAGGAGAATCAATATTGTGAAAATGGCCATACTGCCAAAAGTGATTTATAGATTCAATGCTATCCCCATCAAGCTACCATTGACTTTCTTCACAGAATTAGAAAAAACTACTTTAAATTTCTCATGGAACCAAAAAAGAGACTGTATAGCCAAGATAATCCTAATCGAAAAGAACAAAGCTGGAGGGATCACGCTACCTGACTTCAAACTATACTACAAGGCTACAGTAACCAAAACAGCATGGTACTGGTACCAAAACACATATATAGACCAATGGAACAGAACAGAGGCCTCATAAATAACGCCACACATCTACAACCATCTGATCTTTCACAAACCTGATAAAAACAAGCAATGCAGAAAGGATTCCCTATTTAATAAATGGTGTTGGGAAAACTGGCTAGCCATATACAGAAAACTGAAACTGGACCCCTTCCTTACACCTTATACAGAAATTAACTCAAGATGGATTAAAGACTTATACATAAAACCTAAAACCATAAAAACCCTAGAAGAAAACCTAGGCAATATTATTCAGGACATAGGCATGGGCAAAGACTTTATGAGTAAAACACCAAAAGCAATGGAAACAAAAGCCAAAATTTACAAATGGGATCTAATTAAACTAAAGAGCTTCTGCACAGCAAAAGAAACTATCATCAGAGTGAACAGGCAACCTACAGAATGGGAGAAAATTTTTGCAATCTATCCATCTGACAAAGGGCAAATATCCAGCATCTACAAGGAACTTTAACAAATTTACAGGAAAAAAACAAACAACTCCATCAAAAAGTGGGCAAAGGGTATAAACAGACACTTCTCAAAAGAAGACATTTATGTGGCCAATAAACATATGAAAAAAAGCTCATCATCACTGGTCATTACAGAAATGCAAATCAAAACCACAATGAGATACCATCTCATGCCGGTTAGAATGACGATCATTAAAAAGTCAGGAAACAACAGATGCTGGAGAGGATGTGGAGAAATAGGAATGCTTTTACACTGTTGGTGGGAGTGTAAATTAGTTCAACCATTGTGGAAGACAGTGTGGAGATTCCTCAAGGATCTAGAACTAGAAACACCATTTGACCCAGCTATCCCATTACTGGGTACATACACAAAGGATTATAAATTGTTCTACTATAAAGACACATACAAACGTATGTTTATTGCAGCACTACTCACAATATCAAAGAGTTGGAACCATCCCAAATGCCCATTGGTGATAGACTGGATAAAGAAAATGTGGCACATATACACTGTGGAATACTATGCAGCCATAAAAAGGAGGAGTATGTGTCCTTTGCAGGGACATGGATGAAGCTGGAAACCACCATTCTCAGCAAACTAACACAGGAACAGAAAGCCAAACACCACATGTTCTCACTCATAAGTGGGAGTTAAACAATGAGAACACATGGACACAGGAAGGGGAACATCACACACAGGGGCCTGTCGGGGGATGGGGGCAAGGGGAGGGATAGCATTAGGAGAAATACCTAATGTAGATGACATGTTAATGGGTGCAGCAAACCACCATGGTACGTGTATACCTATGTAACAAACTCGCACCTTCTGCACATGGGCCCCAGAACTTAAAGTATAATTTTAAAAAATCCTTAAGATTGAATGCCCTATTTAAATTCAGCCATTTTTATTGTTACACTGATAATCTCTTCCAATACCCACATAGCAGTGTTTCTCAGAGGAGGTCTACAGACCAACCATGTCGGAATTATCCACAAAGTCTACAAATAATGTGAATTCCTGGTCCCTATTTCCAGTGGAGTCCCATTCAATAAGTCTGAGGTGAGGTTTACAAACTTGTTTTAAGTAAGTGTTCATTAATTCTGATGCACTCAATGTTTGAGAACCACTGCCATAATGGTTCTGAGAAACATTTGTTTGCTAAATCCATTTACTTTGCTAATTGGTGGCATCTCTTTACATTATTTTTTCTCTTTTTGTCTCACATGAGCCTTTACTCTGCGCTAGAAATTCAGATAATTTATGCCATGGGCACTTGTCATTTGTTGGCTGTCCAACATTTGAATCCCCAACATCCAAATTCTACACTGGATTAGTCTTGGTGAGAGATAGGACACCTTTTCCCACTCCAAAAACTGAAGCAGGAATGTCCTCCTTTTTCACCTTCCCCACCCCCAACCCCTTCACATGTGTGCAAACATACCAGGGCAAGAACATTTGACCCAGTGCAGCCAAACAGACACTCCCACCCAGACTTTGAATTGGGGGAGACAGACCCATGGACAAAAGGATAGATGAGATGGCTGCGGCAGTGGTGGTGGCCCAGCCACAATGCTGTGACCAATAGCCCTGACAGTGTGCAGCAGTCTTGGTGATAAGGAGCACACCCACCCTTGCCCCTGCCAAGCTGGATAAAAATGTCTTTGATAAGGTGGGGAAAAGTGGGCTTTTTTTTCAATATTAAGATGTTCTCCAATTATGCTAAAAGGTGGACAATCTTAGGAATATTTGATACGGTTCAGCAAAGAGACAGAGATTCAGCTAGCATACTAACACACCAGAATTATACTGTATGTGGTTAGTCCATTTTTGCAGGAGAAAAGTTTGCTTATCTTGAAGATACTTCACCCTCAGGCAAAATAGGCAGTGTCACTGTTTTTTATCTCCTTCCTGTAGAACTGATTCCCAACTCCTACTCTAGGTTTACCAAGGAAAACTAGATGGAACTGACTGCCTGGGCCTAGCAATAACAGAGAAGCAAAACCTGGGGAAGGGAGGGCTGCCGTAAAAGACAGAGGGGACTGTAGGAAATAGAGAGAAGAAATAAGGGGGTCACAGGGTCTACCAAGTCAGACGTGCAGACATGCGTGGATGGAGAGACTGCTCTGTGGGTGGATGGGGAGACTGCTCCGTGTACGGAAGAACTGCCCATTCACATCCCCCGTTTTCTTGGCTGCTACTTAACTGGAGACATGCTCCTGCCTCTCCCTGCTCTACTCACCTCCCTTGGGAGTAGGAAAGACCTCAGAGATTGAAAGCCCCCCTGAACTCCCGCAGTCGGGAACCAGTCTATCCATTGAATGTATACATTACTCTCCTACATGTAAAATTTTTATGTGGTATGCATGGATTACCCTTCAAAGGGAAGACTAACAGATTCAGAGGGTAAGCTCAAACAGAGGCATACATTAGTAAGCTCTTTTGACTGGAGAGCTAGAGATACCAAGAACCATGCTCTCGAAGTACTGGGTTAGATGAAGGGGTTGGGCTTGATGACCTTTAAAGTCCCTTCCAGCTGGAATGTTCTATATTCTGTAAATATTCTACACTCTCTTTATTTTAAAATGCAGCTTTTAGCAACCATGGCTCTGCCACACTTTAGGCAATCTCTTTGCCATTCTGAGTCTGTTTACTCTAGTGTGCATTGAGTGAGTGACACTGTGAATTGCCCAGCCCCTGTCCATTGCCATGTCTTCCTTTTAAACATGAACCTCATTCTGTTCTAATACCCTTCACCTCTGTCCCGTGCAGTCACATGCCTCAGGGAAACCTGACCCTGCTCCCAGCCCCAGAAATGGGCCTGACTGGTCTAAAAGTAATCCCATTCCTCTTGTCAATGATCAGTTCATGAATGAGATGCAATTCTGGCCAATGAGACATGAAGGGAAACTTGAGGGGGGCATTTGGAAAAAAAAAATTCTCACTCCTAATAGAGAGCTCTAGAGGGGGAAATAATCTTTCATTTTCTTCTAGAAGTATTTGGGCTTTGTTGTGATGGCTGGAACCGCTATAGCCATCTTCCTATCAGCCTGAGGATGCATGCAACACTTGTGACAGAACACTAGGGGTCTTGATGATAATGGTGAGCCACTAAATCGATCAACACTGAAATCTTCCCACAGCTCTGAATTAAAAGAATGCATTCACAGTAGTCCCTTCTTAATGGCAAGGAACATGTTCCAAGACCCTCCAGTGGATGCCTGAAACCACCGATAGTACCAAACTCTAAATATCCTATGTTGTCCCTTATACATACACACCTATGATAAAATGTAATTTATAAATAAGGCACAAAAAGAGATGAACAACAATGGATAATAAAGTAGAGCAATTATAACAACATACTGTAATAAAAGTTCTGTGAATGTGGTCTCTGTCTCTCTCCAAATACCTTATTGTACTGTACTCACCTATTTTGGAACCACTGTTTCAGAAAGCAAAACAGCAGATAAAGAGAGACAAATGTACTTGTTATTAAAGACACTTTGAGTTGAGTTTTCTGTTACTTGCAGCCTAATACATCCAACTGATAGGGTGGAGTTAAGAATACCTTCAAAGCATAATTGTAAGGGCCTGAGGAGATAAAATAGATAGAAATGCACTGTAAAATGTTAAGTAGCATATAAAACGAATATGTTTTTATTATTGAGTGCTTAATTCTCTGTCTTCCACATCTTCATAAGTGTCATTTTTTTCAAGATCTTTAAAACAAAACAATTTCCAAATATAATTAATATTACCTCAACATAAGTGGAGAATGATAAGATAGCAAATAGAAAATTGATCCTGGGTTTTCTGTGATAACTGCAAGACCTGGCCAGCAGAATGGCCTGGCACTCCTGTTACTGTCCTTGGCAGAAGTCCTACTCTGGCCCTTCCATCTAAGTGCCCAGACTAATTGAGCCTTTCATGAGTATTTCCTTTTACTACTTTACTTGTGCATCTGTGTATCATTTTCTTTCTGTTCTCCCTTAAACTCCCCATTGTAATCCCACTGACTAGAATGACACTCAATAGCAAAGGCAGGGATAATAAGGTCAAAATATAGTCTGAAATCAGCCCTGGACTCCTGCAGCTGCGCCACTTGCTAATTCACTTGGAACTTTATAGATGGCTTTTCTCTTTCCCATCACAGAGCAAATAACAATGCTGAGGAGGTTGAGATAGGACTGCACTCTGCTCCTCTCTGTGTACTATTTAATTCTAGGCATGTTTTCAGCTGGGGATTTATAGCAGAACAAGACAGTGCGTGAAATATCTTTCCTTTATTTTTAAATGATTAGTAAGTAAGAATGTACCTCTAAGACAAAGGGGGTATATAAAGTCCAACTGCTTTTGCCAGCTGTGCCAATTTGCCTAATCCTAGAAATCTGTTATTATCTCATTTTTAATCTCAAATATGAAGTTTAGTTTTAGGAGGATCTTTGCCTAACAGAAGGAACAATTGAGATGAAAATCTCTGATTCCTATGAAATACACTGCTCTTGGAAAACTTTGCATGGATTTCTGATATACACAGAGATTTCTATGAAGTATGACCACACACACACACACACACACACTTCAGATCCCAAGACTTCAAGAGACCTCAGAGATAGAGCTACCTAGCCCAACACCTTCCTTGGAAAAAGTCAAGAGCCAAAAAGGCCAAATGACTTGCCAAATATCATACTTCCTGCCCAAGATTGCAGGCAACGGCAGTAAAAGGAATCACAATGACAGCCATTATTAATTTAGTTCGTACTAAGTGCTTTGCATTCATTAATTTAGGTCTCAGAATAACCCTATGTAGCTGGTGCTATTTATCCTAATTTTAGAAATGAGAAAGGGAAACCTTGGAGATACTAAATATTGTCCAAAATCTAACAGCCAATGGTTTTGAAAACCAGTAAAGATAGTTTTCAGAGCTATAAGGCAACTCTAAAGTCTATGTGCATAGCCACCCTACCAGGCTATATATTATACCAGAATCTAGTAGATGCTATCTTATTTTACCATACCAAGACGGCACCTATACTCAGAAGAAAATGGAAATAAAAGTAAGACATTATGTTTTAAACTTTTATAGCTCTTTGTGGTTACTGAGTTCTAACTAATATTCACCCTATTATAGAGAAAAAAATGAGCCTCATAATATGATCTGAACCTACTTAATGGTTGTATATATTAAAATAGCTTCTAGACAAGATACAACCAGGTCTCTTTTCAAAATACAACATCCTCTTTCCTTAAAGCTCTAAAAGATTGTTAGAAACAAGAGTAGGCTTCTTTTTCTTCTTTAAGTATTAAAACGAAACACCTTGACTGTATCCTTTCAAATCTCCCCTATTTATCAGGCTGACATTTTGAAATTTGGGTTTGCTATGAAAATAGCTTATCCAATGAGAGAGCATTGTGTTGGGCCAATGTCTTTTTTGAGTGCTGTGACTCTCGGTTTCATTGTTCTGTTTTGCTGCAGAATTATCATTGCTATTTTTGAATCACTGCTGTAGACTTGTCAGCTTTGAACCACTCCTCTTGGCTGCATGGGCTCCAGTCGCCTTTTCAATCCTACTGATGAGCCATCCCACGTGTAATATTTTTATGGCTTCTCATCTATTTATAATTGCTTCTCAAAAACTAGAAAATTGTGTTTGTGCCCTACTTTTTTCCCCAACCTACATTACCCCTCTGACTGAAGTAATAACCTGTCATGCTTAAACAATTAGCGTAATGCAGAGGACACTCGGGCCTCCTATACAGTGCTAATGGATCTCCAAATGTGGCTTTAAAAAGTCAGATAAAAATGTGTTTTACATGGGCCAGTGCTGGATTTTGGCAAACCACCTTTACACACACGTTGCTGACATAGGATCATCACGTTGGGTGCTTCCCAAGGGGTGGCAAGCTTCCTCCACCTGAAGTCTGAGACTCAGCAGGGAGATGCCTATGTCTCAAAAACACTACTAGTACATACATCAGAATTGTCATTTTATGCTTAGTGTGACATTATAATAGTATAATGTCCATGTCTTCTAACCAATGCTGATTTCCTGAATATGGTTCTAAGACACATTTCTGGCTTTAATCATGCAAGACTTGCTCTCATTTATTCACTCATTTACTCATTCATTCATTCACTAACTCAAGTATTGATGAGCAAAGTTTCCCAAGGCCCTTATTCCATAATATTCCCAATTTAAGAACTATATTATCAAACATTTCTGCATTGAATTCTGAACCTCTATCTTTTAATAAAAATGTAAATAATGGATGACATTTGTAAGTTCTTAGGGAGAAGCAGCATAATACAGATGTTAAGAGCATGGACTCTGGAGCCAGCGTACATGAGCTTGAATTTTAACTTTGCCACGTAACTAGCTATGTGATCTTAGGGAGACTACTCAACCCCTCTGGGCCTCAGTTTCCTTACCTGTAAAATGGGAATAATTATAGTATCTTTTTTTCATATGGTTGTTATGAGGATTAAATTAGTAAATGCAAGAAAAGCTCTTAAAACAGAGCACACATTAAGTGCTTCTTGTTATTATGCATCAAGCACTGTGCTAAGCATGTCACATAAATTATCTCAATTTAATCTATAACAGAGGGATTTTAAAAAATCCAAGTTTAGAAATGAGAAAACCAAGGCCTTAGAAAGGTTCAGTAACCTGCCCTAGGCTGCGCAGGTATAGTTAGGAGTAGAGCCAAGATTCTAACTCAGGCATTCTGTGAACAGAGCCCATTTGCTTAAGAACTCTGCTATACAGCCCTGACATCAAGCTTTCCAACCAACCTGGGTTAGGTCACGTGTGGTGTGATTTGACTTAGCTTGGGCTCAGTTTATGAAATTATTATAAAAGTAAATAGCCCTTTAGAGAGTGTAGCTCTCTAACCAGCAGCATGGCCTCATGTATAAAACGGAGGGAACTTGACTATCTTCATTAATTTCTTTTTACTTTGCCAGGATTCTTATTGGTGACCGTAGAATTTTTCTGCACTCTGAAAGAGGAATTTAGCAGCAAGGAAAATTGACCTTACTAAATTGGTTGGTATTCATGAAGCAGTTTTATTGAAATAGAACCGAATCACATCAAGGGTTGAAAATGCCCTTTTCAAGTCCTTTAAGTACACACATATATAGATAGATTCAAAGACAAATCCTTGTAATTCCTAATGGATATGGTATGGAAATAGATGCTGAAAAATAACATGCAGATAATGAAATGATGAACTGTTCTGTTATCTCCTCTGAAAAATTCAAACTTTTCCCTCCTTCTGTGCATAGAACATGCAGCAGGAGTGGAGCAGGGCCATGATTTTGCCGGCAGGCTTCACATCCTTCAGGGACCGCCTGACCGTCACACTGCGTAGTTTTACATCCCATCAAATAGATTTTCTTTGTTCAGAAAATAAACATGGGCCTTTTCACATATTGTTTGGCCAGTTATTTTAATTAGAGTAATGTGAGACATTAATTATGACTATCTCTGTTGGGTAGAGAAAAAGTAACTCAAGGAAAAATTAATAACAACACAAATAGTTGAAATAATAGTTAACTTTTTTTGAGTGCTTTCTGTATGCCAAACATTTTCCATACATTATCTAATTTAATTCTTACAACTCTAGAAGTAGGTATTGTTATTATCTCTATATTATAGACAAGGGAATTGAACTGAGGTGCAGAGAGTTGAAGTATCTTACCTAAATGAGGCAAGGACAGCTAACTTTTCACCAAAATTTTTGCACCATCATCCGTAAAATCAAGCTGTCTATGAGAAGCAGCTGCCCAACAAGGGGATACATTTTTCAGCTTCCCGTTCTTCTTGGTGAAGGCATGTGATTAGTCCTTGCCAATAGAAAGCAGTGGGAGGGATGTCTGTGTCTCCCAAGTCAGTAATTACTGACTGTGCCTTCTCCACACTCCCTACTTAACGCTGATTGAATGCAGAAGATACTGAGGTTGTAGAAGGCAGAAGAGCCACAAGAAGAAGAATTCCCATCTCTGAATCACCACATAGAAGACTGCTCATCAGGAACACCAGCACTGGATTGTTATATGAGTGAGAGATAAAATTCTATTGTGTCAAAGTACACATAACTTGGGGTGTATTTGTTACAGCAACCAGCATTATTACCCTAACTAGTACATAAGCCTATCCTGGAGGAGCCAGAAAGCAAATCAAGGGATTCTAGCTCCAGAGTCCACATTTGTAACCACTCTGCTCAGCTGCTTCTCAGCAAAGGAGGCAGTAAGTGCTTCACTCCAGTTCATTCATGGCAGAAATGCAAAGAGAGATAGAGCTGAGACCAAGTCTAAAGTGTTCTTTTGAGGAGAGTGTCTCACTGCGTTGTATTTATCTTTGGCCATTTTGTGTCAAAAAACTTCTACATTATCTTGAAATGCTGCTCACAGGAAGTTAACATTTCTTTTCATTCTTTAAATACAATGTCAGCTCAGATTTCTGAAAACCCACCAAAAATGGCATGATTTGAGAAAGTAAAATAAAATACTTATTCGATGTATATTCCTGAGTGAATTAAGTAATTTTCGATTCTCTAAAATTGAGAAGTGTGCCCCTATGCAGCTACACTCAAAGCCCATAGCACAGACTGGAAGGTGACACACACCAATGGACTTAGGTGCTAACTAAACTCAAGCAATCTGGATTTTCCAGCTCTTGCCCCATGCCACCCCCACGCTTTCTCTCAACCATCATAGTTACCCAGGCCAATGCATACCTTTTTTATGGGCTAAATTTCCTGGATGGTTATAATTTTAAAATCTCTGGCCTCAGAGTGCTGTAATTACCTCCTGATGATGTAATTAGCAACAAAATTTAATGGAGTATCATGGGACACCTAGAACCTTTCCAAATGCATCCACCTCATTTATAAAGGGTTTTGAACCACTTCCACAACCAACTACCCATAAAACCGAGGCTCCCAAGGTGACAGAATTCACCCACTCTTAGTGAACACTGCACACTGACCTATGCAGTAACATTAGGTTGAAGAATATTATAAATGTTGTCAGTGACCAGTAACTCACAAGCAGTCTCATTACCTTACCAGCGGTGAAGGCAGGTGTGCTGAAGTTAGCACCCTGGGATACATTAGACATGATGTAGAGAATTAGTCATTAGTCCCCATCAGGCGTGTTTTTTTCCCACTGTGGAGGATTTAACACGAGAGCTCCAGTGTGAGCTGAGTCTTTCTCTGGCAGCTTAGACGCTGCCTAATGAGAGCAATGCAGACTAGCTCTGAGTTCACATGAGATGGGGATTGTCTTTTCAACCCTGCCGTCACCTGCCACCCCCATCACAGGGAAGGTTGCCAAAGGAGAATCCGGGCACAGTCCTAACATGATGTAAAGGCCCATTCAAACAGCTAGGTGTTCAGCACACATATCTTCTGCCTAGTTTGGGTCTGTTTGCTTTTCCACAGTTTAAAGACTTCAAAATGTGAATGAAAGAAACTGATCAGTAGGTAATTTGGCATGTGTTAAAGGAGAGTTTTGTGGCACCAGGCATAACAATGTTAAACAACAGCAAAATTCTATAATCTGATAACAATTTCACCTCATCATTGAAGAAGTAGCTGCTGAATTTTGGAAGTCCATTGGGATTCTTTGGAAACTTCTAGAGTTAGCGTAGTAGATCAATGGCCTTGAGGCCTTAAATAGAACTTGGGTATACCGATGAGCAAGCCAAGTGCCTAGTTTTTATTGCTGGGATGAGTTCTGACATTTAAGGTCTTCCGTGACTTAGAATGTAATGAGACAACTGCTCCTAAGTAGAGGAATTATGCAGAAATGATATATGACTTGCCTAGAGAGAAAAGTATCCCAGCAAAGAATGTGAGATGGAATATAATCTGGCCCCATTAGAAATCTCTGTAAGAGTAAAGAACGGATTTAATGTTGAATGGGAAATTGAAATACTATATTTCTCAAAATGAAGGCAAAATTCAAAGTTTCAATGTTCTACCTGAACCTGACTTGAGTGTGGCCTCTAAATGATAAAACTGAACTGAGGATCCTGGTAGAAATTCCTTGGAAAGTAAACGCTCCTGCTACCTTTCACTCAGGGCTCTCTTGAACATTGACACCCCCTTGAGGTGGAAAAACTGGTTTTAATATTGGAGTCATCTTTTACTAGCTATCTTTATCCAGGTGTTTATCTCCTCTGAGTCTCATCTGGAAAACAGAAATAATATCCTCTCAATTTACTTCTCAGATACGGAGATTGCATAAGGCAATGTAGGAGATTCCACTTTAAAAAGTGAAAGAACAGCCCTTTCCTAAGTCAGAGAGAGGAGAGGAGCCCATATAGTGATAGCTTTAAGCCCTACTCACGGAAATGGCCTTGACCCTTGGCAGAGTAAGAGTGTGTTTTAAAGGCCAAAGAGTTATAGAAATGATCTGACTTTATACACCAGGTGTTGTATGGCAAACACTAGTCTGAGTGAGGAGATACTAAAATGTGTTATGGGGAAATAAATGGTACAGCTAGTATACATGGCCTGTCCTTCTGAAGTAAGGTGCAGGTTCAGAATGTTTCTTTAGAGGAAGAGTGGCAGAGGCAACATAGAAATCCATCATCATAATGATATATCCACTTCCTTCCTGGTGAATAAAAATGGTGTCTCCTTTAGAAAGTGATCCATGAGTCATGTCCCACCTCTGGCTCCATCAGGTGGACATGAGTTAGAAATTCCCATGGCTCCTCCTTCACTACCCACCCTCTCTTGCTCACCGTGTGAATTCCTTGAGCTACATACCAACAAGAGTCTTTCAATAGCTCTCTCCCGCATTATTGCAGCAGCCTGTAAAGTCTCCTCGTTGCTAGAGATGCCACCTCGAATGCTTTCCTATTCTGAAATACCACATTAAGGAAAATCCATGATTCTCCTTTTATGCCAGTTAAGGGCATCTATAGTGGCCCTCATTCACCTTTCAAAGTTTTCCCAATTCAATGAATGCTTTATTCAAGGTAAACATGTTTTCCAAACATACAGCATATGTCCCGACCTCCCTGACTTTGCCTATACTGCTTCCCTCCTCTTTTTGAGGTGTGACAACCAAACCAAAAGTGTGGTCTTGAGGGTGCCTTATACCTGCCCATATTATTTCCTTCCAACAATGTCCTGCTGAAATGTGTCTCCTACATTAAGCATTTTGAAACCCCCTAGTGGCATTCATCCTTCTCCAATGGTTCTTTAGATTTTGCTCAGAACAGTTAGATTTTTCCCTTGTAACACAGTTATTTCTATGCTTGCTGTATTCCATCTTCCAGACTGTAAATTCTTTTAGTTCAGGGAACTGTGCCTTACCTTTATTTCCTATAATTATCTAATTCAGTAGGTGTTCAATATTTGTTAAGTGGATGGATGTATTAACGAATAAATGAATGAAGTCTTACCTTTCTTCCTTTGCTCATGCTGTTCTACATTAAATGGTTTGTCATTGGCCTCAAAATACCAGCCATCCTTTAAAGTCGAGCTCAAGGCTTATTTGTTCCATAAGGCTTTCCTCAAACTACTTCAGACCCCACCAATCCCTCTGCTGTATTTATAGTCTATATGTCAAGCATCCAGACAGGTGCTCTCCTAAATGTTCACTATCTACTTGAAGAACACTGGTCTTGCTCCTCTAAAACAGTCTTAATTCTGAACTCCATGGATAGGATGAGAGAGACCATGAACTCTTTTAAAACTAAATGCAATTGTTTTTAATGCTCAGGTGCACTAGAGTGTCCAAATCTCCATGGCTCAAAACAGGTTAAAGAACCACTGTCCCATAAGCTCCTTTCTTAGAGCAGAGATGGAGTATGTCCTGGACATCTTTTCTACTTCCCTCAGTAGCTAGCCAAGTGCTGGACTCTCTTTAAATGATTGAAGCATCCCCTTGATGAGACCAATGTCTCTTGACTTCCACCATGTCCCACCTAGCACAGCACCAAGCCTGGGAGGTGGCTGGCAGAGCTTCATAATGGCATTGCAAGTAGGCAAGCAAATAACTCAGGAGTGTGGTGAACTAATGCCTGCATTAGGATGGTAGAAAAGCGCCTGGCCTAATGGTGTTATCTTTCTTTTGAAATTCTATTATCAGACGGGTCAGGCAATGGCAATGCTGCAGGAAAGCATGAGCCCTGGGTAGTTTTGGGTCGTTAAAAATTAAACCTGTAAACGGGTTGATCTCCTCTGGAGGAGGGCCTGGCGCAGCCCTGGAGGCTCTGGGCTGAATCCTCACCACTGCTCCATCTCCTCCCTTTCTGCCTTGCCTGGCCTGCTCTGGCCACCTTGACGCCTCACAGCAGCACCAGGTCTGGAAAGCACCGGAACCCGTATGTGTTGAATTAATATAAAATAAACTTTATAAAGCATAGTGCTTTAGAGAGGTAGTGTTAGCAAAGACATGTCAAAATGTTCACTTGGGGTTGAACAGCAGGACAAAATAAGATATGTTACCAGCTCGAATGCTTTTATATATATAAAAAGATCTATGGAGTCCTTTTAAGTTACAAATGATGACTTAAGCTATTTAACAAAAAGGTTGGTTTTAAACAACAAAACAAAACAGAGGAGGTACAATTGATGATTTTTGTTTTAACAAGCTGAATTCCTCCTGGCTTCTCCTGGCTTAAGTCGTGGTTTGTGTTACCAACCAAAAAAATTATAAGCAGCTAGTGCAATCGTGGTTTCGATAAAACTCTCTGAAGTAATGATGATCCCACCTTATTTAGACAAGTCAGGGGTCAATATGGCCTTATTTGCTTCTGTTTTTCATTAGTGGCACTCTCTCTGTGTAGCATCACACTTCCTACCAGCTCCTTGAATACACAGAGGATTCATGCTTCAGTTCTGCATGTATTAAGAATGCAGCCATAGCAACTACTAGCATTAATGAACTATTTGCTTATGCAGTAATAATTAACTTCCATTACATTACTTTGTGTGATTACTTTCTTAATTGCCTGAATTATGCATCCATTTAATATTTAATAACCATTCTCAGAAATCAGACACTGGTAAAAAACAAATTGCTCACAGTTTCCTTGCAATAATTAAGCTCACAAGAATAAATGAAACCTTTTAAAAACAAATGCCTTGTGATTATATCCTTGCATGTAGAACAAGATCCTAAATTAGTTATTTATTAAATCTAAATTTTAGTCCAAATAGTGCATTTTTCATTTTCACCTCGGGAAATCAACCTGCACAGTACCTGATTTCAACAACAGAATTAAGTGCCTTCTATTTTCTTTGGGAGTCACAAACTGCGTTAATATTTATTACCATGCAAAATTCAAAAGTACTTAAAATATTGTGTGTTTATATTTATTTCAACTTGGCATCTCTTTTACACAAGGTAAGTAAGATGTTTAGGTGGAGATTAAAGTGTTATGAAACGAGATCAATAGCTCTCCATTAAGATGGGCTATTGTGAGCCTCCCCATTATTCTGCTTCCTAACCACCCCGCCCCTGACACACACATACTCACACACAAACCCAAGCCCAACCATTCACCTCAGTGAAAACACACATATGCAATCTGTTTTTAACCAAGCAGAAGGAGACTCATGGCAATTTATCCTCATACATTTTCACTCACAACCAGGCAGTTTGATCTTGCCTTTCCAACTCGCCAGCTAGAGCTCTTAGAACCCCCGTGCCCTTCTGCTGGCACCCAAGCAAAGCCACATGCTGATTTGCAAAGTGATAATGCTATTATCCTATTGTACATCAGCTTCAGTTCCCTCCGGCTTGCAAAGTCATCACTGTTTTAACAAATAAAACGTGCAACTGCTTTATCGCGGGTTTTCTTGGTGAATAGATTCTATTGAATCTGGACAAGACAGCTTTCTTTTTTTTTCTTCCTGGGACTGCATCTGCAAAATTGTTCTGCCATTCCACATTGATTATGGCAGCTATGTACAGACGTGTTTATCTGAACCATAACCATGTTAGGCTTAAGCTACAGGGACACTGGGATATTATTTACCCACTGTTACCCTGTGCATACATAATATACACAAAATAATGTGTGTCGCATGAAAAGAGGGAGGGAAAGTTTAAAGCATTTTGTACCAAATGGGCTCATCCAGAAAAATAAGTGCAGCCTAAGAAATTACATATGGAGTGCCAAGTGAGTAACTGAGATGAACCATTTTCCTACCAGCGAGGAGAATCTTTTTCCAAGGCATGGAAATAGCCATGGGGAAGGGGTAGCACTGGGGACGGGGTTGATTTGTGGAGAAAAACTGGAGTTTAGGGTGTTGCAAGTCAACAATGGCTGTTATTCTGAGTTTCTAAACTGAGCTAAATTGATGCCAATCTTGCTGACTGTTGTTACAGTGGGCAGAGTCATTAGGATTTGCTTTTTAAATGATCTCTCAGCCTGTAAGGCTGAGAGCTGCTAGCAAGGCAAGGTTAGAGAGAAAATGATAGCAGTATGTTGATGCTTCACAGACCTCATGATAGTTTCCGTCTGTCATTATTTACGTCTGACTAGATGCGTCATGTCAGCTACCTAGAAGGCACTTTAATATGAAGCTCTTGTTTGCCTCCACTCTTGCGCAGCCAGACTGGGATACTATTATTTTTGCATCACTACACTTAGGTGAAGCTTGCTTCAATCTTTCAGTAATGACACACAAAAGAAGTAAAAATGGTTGTGTCCAAGTTATTATACATGCTTGTATTCTAACAGGCCTCGTCAGCATTGCTCAGAAAAAGAAAAAAGTGAATTTAAATCAATAAACAGACATTTATTAAAAGGTCAGCTTAATTCTATTTGTTCCAGCTCCTTTGCCAACATTTTAGGTAAAACTATTTTTCTTTGGCTTTGGATTAGTGTCATTGTTATTGGATGGAATCACTTAGGGGGAAGCTATAGAATGAATATTTGATCAAATTTGCTCATGTTGCTTAATATCATCTTATATCATTTTTATAAATTTTATCAGCATCACTGTAAATAAATCCACATGAAAAGCTTTCATTTTGTATCTATATTATTGGCATCACTAAGGACACATTTTTAAACAATGTGCATTTATCTGAAAACTATATATAGAGAGAGAAAGGCCTAATAACAGTGATTCTGAAATCCAAGATGGCTATTTTATACATCAGAAAAAAAATACTATTATGGCAAAAAATGAACGAGGATATTGATGTTTTCTTTCATCAAGATTGTCTTAACAAATGAAGCTACCACTATTCTATAACTGTCCCTAGCAGAGAAAAGAAATGTTAATTGAAGATATTCTAGAATGTTGAAATTTATTGACACCATTTCATACTGAAAACTGCAACATAGTTTTAGCAGGAGGCACATTTTAACAATGCCAAAATATTCTAGGTGACTTTTTCTTTGTGCTTTAAAAAATATAATAAATATAAGCAGATTTTAGTATGAATGAAACAATCTACAAATATATTTGTAAATACAAAAGCATATAAAGATATACAATACATCAGTAATAACACATAAACAGTTTGCAATTTTTTATATGCATAATTTAGTACAAAGGCTTGAAAAGGTACAATTTTAAAAATAAAATAACTCACATAGACTCATGTAGACATTTTTTAAAATGTGCCTTAGGAATGACATGTTTATAAAGTTTCCACCAAGATTCTATATTTAAACAGTAAATAGCATTGTCACATCCGGAAAATGAGTTATTACTCTGAATTAAGAAATTTAGATAATAGAGAGAAAAAAATGCACAACCATTCTGCCTTCTGAACTTTAAGCATTTAACAGAATATCATGACTGCTGCAGTGTTAACTGAACAGATTTCTATCAAAAGTCTGGGGCATTCTGAATTAGCTGGAGATGGCTAGTACTTGATCTCCTTATTTTGACAGAATAAGTGCTTATATTCTTGAAGTCTTCACAAGCCATGTAAGCATAAAAGTGTGATGATGGAGATCTCTTTTCCGTTTTAAAGATCAGATGCCAGCTTCATGAGATGATATTTTCAGGTTGATGCATTTGTGTTTGTGGCATATTTTTATAAATTTCAAGTATAATGCTTTGTCAGGACTAAATGAAATGCCCTGTGCATACATATATATACATGCATATATATACACATGTATATATGTGTGTATATATATATGTGTGTGTATATATATATTAGAATGCCTTATAATTTGCATTTTTAACCACTGGGCTCTCATAAACTACTATGACAAATACAGTAATTTGAAATGGAATCAATCACATTCTCTCAATCCCTTAAAATGTTTAAATAGTTACATTACAGCACATATGTTAAAATACTTTTTTACAAAATGGTTTGCCCAAGGCATTTTTCTTACCTCTTGCCCAAGCTACATGTGAGTTATGGCAAAAAATGAACAGTAGGTGGCAGTCAAACCACTAAACTGCCTCAAAGCTTCATTAACCTTAGACTCTTGTTAAGAGTAATAGGAAAGTAGTGTATTTTTCCATTTTAAAGAATTCATTTTATAATTAATCTTGAAATACATTTCTAAGGTCCCAAGCTGCTGAAATAGTGAGCTGATTGCATCCTTAAGCGAATGAGCTCAGATAAAAGTGATTTAATTCAAGAACCATTTCTGCTTTGTCTCTGTGACTTTTTTCCCCTTCATTTCTCTGTTATTACTGTTTTAATGTGGGTCTTTATGCAGTTGTAGTTGTGGACATGATCAGCACATTCTTGGGCTGAAGCCCAGGGCTGTGTAAGCCGTGCCTGCATATCTTCATGCACGTTTTAAATAACCTGCAAGAGCTATTTCCTCCCCTGATCTTACAGACCACACGAATATAGTCCCTTTCTGTGCATCAGAAGATAAACTAGTTTATAGGAAGAAAATCCTAGAGAAGTAACTGAAACACAGAAAGAACATCCTCAAAAGCAGAGGATTGTGAACAACTAAATTTTCAGACAATGGAAGTAAAAATTATTAGTGTGAAGTACCTTTGGAGGCCATGTTATCTACATTACAGGAAGGGCTTCATCTGTTGTGCTCACCATGGTCCTCACGGTTGAGAACAGCATGCCAGGCACACAGTAAATGTTCATTAAATATTTTCTGGACGAATCAATGAGTGGCCAAAATCCAAGTCCCACTCATTTCTCAGATAGTCTATCCTGAAACTTTTTGCTACTGTCTCAGCTCTTCACAATGATAAAGCTACATTCTCACTCTCCACTGCTGTCCTTTCTCCAAATGTTACTGTTAATCACTATCATTGGGAACTGACATGGCACCACTAACACAACACAGCAGGACACAATTCTAGTCTGGTCGATTTGGAATGTAGATGATGCCTTTCCATTGTGTTACTGGCCACAATTGTTTCTAAAAATCTAAGTTCATGCTACAGAAAGAGCAAACTATTTAAGTAGTATTGGCCTAAAAGCTAAGTCAACTTGATCAACATATTTACCTGCCCATGCTGTAGTTTCCTCATCTGAAATCAGAAAAAAACAGAGCCTACTTTATAGAGTTATATGTGTTTCAATATTGTTATTATTATTATTATTATTATTTTCAAAGGCTTTTTCTGCATCTATTGAGATAATCATGTGGTTTTTGTCTTTGGCTCTGTTTATATGCTGGATTACATTTATTGATTTGCGTATATTGAACCAGCCTTGCATCCCAGGGATGAAGCCCACTTGATCATGGTGGATAAGCTTTTTGATGTGCTGCTGGATTCGTTTTGCCAGTATTTTATTGAGGATTTTTGCATCAATGTTCATCAAGGATATTGGTCGAAAATTCTCTTTTTTGGTTGTGTCTCTGCCCGGCTTTGGTATCAGGATGATGCTGGCTTCATAAAATGAGTTAGGGAGGATTCCCTCTTTTTCTATTAATTGGAATAGTTTCAGAAGGAATGGTACCAGTTCCTCCTTGTACCTCTGGTAGAATTCGGCTGTGAATCCATCTGGTCCTGGACTCTTTTTGGTTGGTAAGCTATTGATTATTGCCACAATTTCAGATCCTGTTATTGGTCTATTCAGAGATTCAACTTCTTCCTGGTTTAGTCTTGGGAGAGTGTATGTGTCGAGGAATTTATCCATTTCTTCTAGGTTTTCTAGTTTATTTGCGTAGAGGTGTTTGTAGTATTCTCTGATGGTAGTTTGTATTTCTGTGGGATCGGTGGTGATATCCCCTTTATCATTTTTTATTGTGTCTATTTGATTCTTCTCTCTTTTTTTCTTTATTAGTCTTGCTAGTGGTCTATCAATTTTGTTGATCCTTTCAAAAAACCAGCTCCTGGATTCATTAATTTTTTGAAGGGTTTTTTGTGTCTCTGTTTCCTTCAGTTCTGCTCTGATTTTAGTTATTTCTTGCCTTCTGCTAGCTTTTGAATGTGTTTGCTCTTGCTTTTCTAGTTCTTTTAATTGTGATGTTAGGGTGTCAATTTTGGATCTTTCCTGCTTTCTCTTGTGGGCATTTAGTGCTATAAATTTCCCTCTACACACTGCTTTGAATGCGTCCCAGAGATTCTGGTATGTTGTGTCTTTGTTCTCATTGGTTTCAAAGAACATCTTTATTTCTGCCTTCATTTCGTTATGTACCCAGTAGTCATTCAGGAGCAGGATGTTCAGTTTCCATGTAGTTGAGCGGTTTTGAGTGAGATTCTTAATCCTGAGTTCTAGTTTGATTGCACTGTGGTCTGAGAGATAGTTTGTTATAATCTCTGTTCTTTTACATTTGCTGAGGAGAGCTTTACTTCCAAGTATGTGGTCAATTTTGGAATAGGTGTGGTGCGGTGCTGAAAAAAATGTATATTCTGTTGATCTGGGGTGGAGAGTTCTGTAGATGTCTATTAGGTCTGCTTGGTGCAGAGCTGAGTTCAATTCCTGGGTATCCTTGTTGACTTTCTGTCTCGTTGATCTGTCTAATGTTGACAGTGGGGTGTTAAAGTCTCCCATTATTAATGTGTGGGAGTCTAAGTCTCTTTGTAGGTCACTCAGGACTTGCTTTATGAATCTGGGTGCTCCTGTATTGGGTGCATATATATTTAGGATAGTTAGCTCTTCTTGTTGAATTGATCCCTTTACCATTATGTAATGGCCTTCTTTGTCTCTTTTGATCTTTGTTGGTTTAAAGTCTGTTTTATCAGAGACTAGGATGGCAACCCCTGCCTTTTTTTGTTTTCCATTTGCTTGGTAGATCTTCCTCCATCCTTTTATTTTGAGCCTATGTGTGTCTCTGCACGTGAGATGGGTTTCCTGAATACAGCACACTGATGGGTCTTGACTCTTTATCCAATTTGCCAGTCTGTGTCTTTTAATTGGAGCGTTTAGTCCATTTACATTTAAAGTTAATATTGTTATGTGTGAATTTGATCCTGTCATTATGATGTTAGCTGGTGATTTTGCTCGTTAGTTGATGCAGTTTCTTCCTAGTCTCGATGGTCTTTACATTTTGGCTTGATTTTGCAGCGGCTGGTACCGGTTGTTCCTTTCCATGTTTAGCGCTTCCTTCAGGAGCTCTTTTAGGGCAGGCCTGGTGGTGACAAAATCTCTCAGCATTTGCTTGTCTGTAAAGGATTTTATTTCTCCTTCACTTATGAAGCTTAGTTTGTCTGGATATGAAATTCTGGGTTGAAAATTCTTTTCTTTAAGAATGTTGAATATTGGCCCCCACTCTCTTCTGGCTTGTAGGGTTTCTGCCGAGAGATCCACTGTTAGTCTGATGGGCTTCCCTTTGAGGGTAATCCGACCTTTCTCTCTGGCTGCCCTTAACATTTTTTCCTTCATTTCAACTTTGGTGAATCTGATAATTATGTGTCTTGGAGTTGCTCTTCTCGAGGAGTATCTCTGTGGCATTCTCTGTATTTCCTGAATCTGAACGTTGGCCTGCCTTGCTAGATTGGGGAAGTTCTCCTGGATAATATCCTGCAGAGTGTTTTCCAACTTGGTTCCATTCTCCCCATCACTTTCAGGTACACCAATCAGACGTAGATTTGGTCTTTTCACATAGTCCCATATTTCTTGGAGGCTTTGCTCATTTCTTTTTATTCTTTTTTCTCTAAACTTCCCTTCTCGCTTCATTTCATTCATTTCATCTTCCATCACTGATACCCTTTCTTCCAGTTGATTGCATCGGCTCCTGAGGCTTCTGCATTCTTCACGTAGTTCTCGAGCCTTGGTTTTCAGCTCCATCAGCTCCTTTAAGCACTTCTCTGTATTGGTTATTCTAGTTATACATTCTTCTAAATTTTTTTCAAACTTTTCAACTTCTTTGCCTTTGGTTTGAATGTCCTCCCGTAGCTCAGAGTAATTTGATCATCTGAAGCCTTCTTCTCTCAGCTCGTCAAAGTCATTCTCCATCCAGCTTTGTTCCGTTGCTGGTGAGGAACTGCGTTCCTTTGGAGGAGGAGAGGCGCTCTGTGTTTTAGAGTTTCCAGTTTTTCTGTTCTGTTTTTTCCCCATCTTTGTGGTTTTATCTACTTTTGGTCTTTGATGATGGTGATGTACAGATGGGTTTTTGGTGTGGATGTCCTTTCTGTTTGTTAGTTTTCCTTCTAACAGACAGGACCCTCAGCTGCAGGTCTGTTGGAATACCCTGCCGTGTGAGGTGTCAGTGTGCGCCTGCTGGGGGGTGCCTCCCAGTTAGGCTGCTCGGGGGTCAGGGGTCAGGGACCCATTTGAGGAGGCAGTCTGCCCGTTCTCAGATCTCCAGCTGCGTGCTGGGAGAACCACTGCTCCAGTATTTTTATTATTTACTACTGACCCATGCATAACACTTTACAAAACACATAACACTTTACAAAACAATTTTTATTCACCCCTATTTGTGTATGTCATGAGAATCCTTGTGACAGTAACTGGACTTGGTCATGCAAAGAAAGACTTGCATAATAGAATATCCAGGAGACTCTCAAAAATGAAGTATAATATGGAAAATAATATGCTTTAAATTGACCAAAAGCTTGATTTTCTTTTCTCTCTCTCCTTTTTTTTCACCCAGTTTCAGGGATAGTCAGGAAATAATTAACATTCCTACACCTCCCTCCAGTTGACCTGAGAGGTGAGGATGCTCTCCCATCCCCATGCTTCCTCACATCTCAGGCCAACTGATCTCTGAAAATGGTTTCCAAACATTGAGAACTCACCTCAAACCAGGACTCAAAAATTCTCATCAATTTTGATTTTTAAAAAATCTATACTGTAGGTCATTAAAATGACCACTTTCAGGACAATTAGTTCTAGAAGGACGCATTATAAGGTGATTTCTTGTTATCCTTCCTTGAAACAGATAGCTGCATTTTGTCAAAAATAAATTCAGATCCCAAGGGGGCCTAAGTTTAGTTCAAACCATCAGAAAGGAGGCGACTCAAGCTGTGTTTACAATCTGGCAGTTTACTTCCTTCGTATGTAGCTAGCAGTGGGCAAGCCTTGCACATCGGATTTTAAGGTTAACAGTAAGAAGCATTTTCTAATCTCACTGAGAATTTAAGGAAATAAAACCCTTTTCTTCAACTTATTCATTCTTTTCTTCCTATGGCAAACACTCCACAGTATTTTTAGTAAAGAAATGTGAACTAGTCAGTGTCTAAAAAAAAAAAAATCAGTAATTTGATAACGTTCTGAGACATAGGCTCTCTTTTTTCTAGAATCTTGTATTCTTTTAGGTGACTCTTTGAGGAAGGAGGTCAAAATATTGAGTGTGAGCAATTTAAATAGGAGACATTGAGTAATTTAAAAATGAGACATTCAGTACAAGACTCATTCATTTAAATTACATGAAAATCCAAGGTAGACTGTGTGTAATTAGGGGCTGTGTAAGTCCTCAGACAATTTCAGTGGGGGTTAGGAGATTGCTTTAATAGACTATGACAAGTTTCCTTTTGTTTTTCATAAAATAATTGTATTCCCCCTTGAAATGTAACAAATCCTTAATGAAATCACAGCCTCTTTCTTGTTAGGGAGTACTTTTTATGTTTTGAGAGATCAACAATGTCAAAACAATTACTTCAAATTAATGATGGATGAACCTCAAAAGATTCAGAGGTTGATTACGTCAAAGATATGAAGCCTCACATGAACCTCCGTGAAGCCTGTGGTCAAAATCTCACCTGATACGGTGCTCCCATGAGAGGCATAAGGGCGGAAAGCAACACAGCATTGGATAGGGAAAAATACTGGGCAGAGAGTAAGTCTGATTTTTACTGGTTCTGTTATCCACTTCCTGGATTACCCCAAGCAAATAACTAAGAGTCTCTGGACTTACTCTTCTAGTTGGATTTCTTTTATTTTTTGCTTATTTGTTGAGGGGTTGCTTATTTGTAATGTGAAATAAGTAATTTTCTGTGACATTGCTGTGATAAGTAATTTTCTTTTGACTTTTTGGACCAAAAAGGGTATTTTTATGGTTTATACATATAAAGTAAAACCCATCGGTGGATTAGTTTCTGCTAAGCTAGAAACACATTTTCACTTGGTCCTCAGATAGTGAAATTATAAGTAAGTTCTGGTCAGGTTTGCAAGCAAAATCATGGTGGTAACTGTGCATATTATAGCCAATGCCACACATATTCCTCTGATTCATTAATAACTAAGAGAATGGAGGAAAGAAGGAGCAAACCAAAAATTTGCTTTATAAATAAGTCATGCCAAACCAGTCTCCTTTCTTTGTGTTAATATGTGGATAATCAGTGTTGTCAATACAGAATCTTTGCAAAGTGGATATCTTAATTTCAAACACAAAATTCAATAGCTTGTACTATTATGGACTAGATAAATAAATTCAGGCAGGATGATAATGTAAACCAAAAGTGCTCTGTAATTGTTCCAGTCTTGTTTGGCTTTTTATTTTCTCTGTGGTTAGGTTGAAGTCATAAAAGATGTACCTATCAAACCTTTAAAGAACAAAAAAAGACTGTAAGGGATACTTGCTATGTTGGACGACATCATCAAGATTCAAGGAACTTAATAGGATGGAGGATATGCTAAAATAAATCAGATGAATTTAAACAGGGATAGAGTCCCATCATTTAGGTTCTAATACATAAAACATACACACTGCACATACGTATATAAGAGAGAAGGGACGTTGGTTTTTAGTAGTTCTGGCCCTGGTCATATATGACTAAAAGTTCTGAATGAACTACCAGTGTAGCATGGCTGCCAAAAATATAAATGCAATGGCAACTAACACATGGACTTGTGTGTCAGGCACTTTTCTAAATTACTCATGAGCATGATTTTATTTATTCCTGTTATCATTGTTTTATAGATTAATAAACTGAAGTAGAGAAAGCGTAGGTAACTTCTCCCGAGGCAGAGTCAGGATGACGACGGCAGTGCCTGTCCCCAGAGCCCACTCTTGGAATTTCTGCTTATACAGGCCTTTCAGCTCCGGGAGAGTTCCTGCCCACTGTTCTCTGAGCTGGAATCTGGCTCTCTGTTCCCTGTACTTTTTAAGATGGACAGGGAAAGAAGACACCATAAACATCAAGAGGCAAAGCTGTAGGAAACAGAGATGCTTGCCTGGAGGGGAAAAGCTTGGGGAAGTCACAAGAGGTGTTATCAGATATCTAGACTAGAACTTGTCAAGGAAAACGTTCCACTTCTTTATGTATTCCCATAGGGAATGGAAGTCACAGGGAGGCAAAATTTAACCCAATATATGTTCTCACCACATAAATGATCCCAACTAGCATGTGCTGCCATGTGAGATAGTGAGCATCTCATCTGTGGAAATTGTCAAGAGGAAGCCAGATCAAGGAGCAGTGCCAAGCAGCACTGGGGGCAACCAGAGAGCTCCTAGGGAGCCTTCCGAGATGCAAAGGTTTGGATGATCAAGGAAAAGCTTGAAGTAGAAAGACTGTCTTTGTGAACTACTTCACTCCCTCCACTCAACAAACACACACACATACAAACTTTCCTCTGTCTCCATCTGTATCCTTACATGGTAACAATTGCACTGGGTTTGCAGCTAATAGATCTGAATTCTTACTAACATTTTACTCAAACACCTCTGCCCCCTTAATTTCTCTACCTGTGAATAAGAAAAAGGGGAGGAATTTGAAAAGATGGATAGAAGGAAGATGGAAGAAGGAAGGGGGGAAGGAGGGAAGGAAGGAAGGAGGGAAGGAAGGAAGGAAGGAGAATGTAAGAAAAATAGATCTGGTCATGCTTCTCTCTTCATACTTCTCAAGACTTTTGTGAGACCACAGTGATATAATAGATTAGTAAGAGTTTTGAGGAAGAGAAATAGACATTTGAAGCACTGTGTAAATTCACACTACTGAAGGATTTTTTGTGTGCAGCAGTTTGGCTCCATGCCCTGTGTGACTCCTAGGTCATGGGTTTGTTCCATATGAATGGGTTAATTACATCCTGTCCTCTGACCACATGCTCTGTGCCCAAGTCAAACTTGGCATCTGGTGAATGGCTGTTCTGTGCCAGGGACTGTGGGAAAGAGTGAGAAGAACTCAGTACAAAGCTGTCTCCACCAACAAGAAACAGGTCAAAATGAAATTTTTAATCACCGTGCATAGTGGCATCATCTCAATACATAAAGGACTGCTCTTTTAATAATGGAAAACTTTTCTGCAAGTGGGGAGATTTTACATTTAGATGAAATACATTAAAATGAAAAATATATACATATGCATACACGTGTGTGTGTGTTATACAAAAATCTCGATGTAGAAATTTAAAAAAATAGATACCAAGGCCCATTACTCAGTTTTTAATGTATTCCCAGACAATGAAATATATGAACCTTTATTACTGGTCATCAATATCTAGCATCTACCTTTTTTACTCACCAACTTTAAAATAAAGCTATAGAAATCATAGGCGATTATACAATAAAACAACACAAGTCTTCTAAACAATTTTAAAATTCAATTTTAAACTTAACTAATCAAATGCTACTATTTACACATCTGGAATGAAAACATAAACCAGTTCATTATAAACATAATAACCTCAAGGAGTTGGATATTATATCTATAAGTAAGATAACAGATGTGGTATAAATGTAGAAACTGGAAGTGGGGTGCTTTATTTTTCAATTTCCCTAGATTTACATTAAGGAAGTACAAACCTTGAAATCACAACTGTAATATAGAAGTTAAAAAGTATTCAATTCTTTAGCTAAGAATTGGCTTGGGTGGAAAAGCCTTACATATATCTCAAAAGGGCAAACTAAAGAGAAATAATATATTAACTAGAGTTGGGGTACAAATATCAAGAATAACAAAACATATTGAAAGAATTAATTAAATTGACAAAACCTCAATTAAAATGGGAGTTTTTCATCTTGAAATCTTCTTATGCTGCAGATTACACCGATTTTTAAAGATAGCTTAAATATTATTCTAGAAATATTTTGTATTTCCTCTGCAATTACTTGGAAAGTTATGAATATTTAGAACAAAGGGCTAAATACCCTAGTTTACAACTGCAATGGGAAGCCTTTTGGGGCTGTGGGGGAAATGGCTAGCAGTCCACCAACAGTTTCCCTTCTTTTCTTCCTGAGCATGGAGCTAGGTTACATTTCTCAGCTTCTCTTGCAAATAGATGTGGCCATGTGACCAGACTGACACCAATGAGCAGAGCTGATGAGAGCAATTTTCAAATCACATGCTTAAGAGGGCATTCTTGGCTCTGGACTTCTGCTCCTCACCCTTCTTCAAAGCTCCTAACTTCCTTCCAGTGACCAGAATTGGGAAACTCTGTGCAGAACTACCTGATGCAGATGGCAGGGCTACTGTCAGTCAAGTCCCTGATGAAGTGGACAGATCTGCCCCATCCACCTGAATCTCTCACCTTGGAACTATTATGTATGAGAGAAATAAACATTTTTTGTTTTTTAAGCTATCTTAGTATTAGGTCTCTTGCTATAGCAGCTTAGCATTTTGGAAAACTCAACATAAACTTTTCCAAAAGAAATTTACCTAATTAATCTACAAGTTTTCAGAATTATTTTCATTATTTTCATGCACACAAAAATGTTGGGCTTTGGGGAGAGACTTGAATTAAATATTTCTACGAAATTTACTTTCATTGAAAAGGAACATATAAAATGATATGTTTCTATAATAACTCTAAAAGTTAACTAGATTCTTTATCTTAGGTTTTTGTTGTATTTTTATTATGTTCATTTCATTTAATCATAAGACTGTGAGCTTTTATAAAAGCAGAGTAAATTATCTGAGTTCTGAGAATTTGAATGAGAACTCTTTTTTTACAAAATACCATTTTTATTATTGAATGACTTATTACCATATCTGGCAGCCCTAGGTTTTAAGAAGAAAAATGTAGTTCACTACAAAAAATAATAACAATATTAAATAAGAGGCTAAGATTTCAACAGCAATAGACAGAATTCCATAATATAAGAAGACACATAGTTGAAAAATTGTACATTCTAAAATTATGACTAGAAACTTAACAATGTCAAATGTCTATATTTTACATTCTTTTTTTATTTTTTTATTTTTTTATTTTTATTTTTTATACTTTAAGTTTTAGGGTACATGTGCACATTGTGCAGGTTAATTACATATGTATACATGTGACATTGCTGGTGCGCTGCACCCACTAACTGGTCATCTAGCATTAAGTATATCTCCCAATGCTATCCCTCCCCCCTCCCCCCACCCCACCACAGGCCCCAGAGTGTGATAGTCCCCTTCCTGTGTCCATGTGATCTCATTGTTCAATTCCCACCTATGAGTGAGAATATGCTGTGTTTGGTTTTTTGTTCTTGTGATAGTTTACTGAGAATGATGATTTCCAATTTCATCCATGTCCCTACAAAGGACATGAACTCATCATTTTTTATGGCTGCATAGTATTCCATGGTGTATATGTGCCACATTTTCTTAATCCAGTCTATCGTTGTTGGACATTTGGGTTGGTTCCAAGTCTTTGCTATTGTGAATAATGCCGCAATAAACATACGTGTGCATGTGTCTTTATAGCAGCATGATTTATAGTCCTTTGGGTATATACCCAGTAATGGGATGGCTGGGTCAAATGGTATTTCTAGTTCTAGATCCCTGAGGAATCGCCACACTGACTTCCACAATGGTTGAACCAGTTTACAGTCCCACCAACAGTGTAAAAGTGTTCCTATTTCTCCACATCCTCTCCAGTACCTGTTGTTTCCTGACTTTTTAATGATTGCCATTCTAACTGGTGTGAGATGGTATCTCACTGTGGTTTTGATTTGCATTTCTCTGATGGCCAGTGATGATGAGCATTTTTTCATGTGTTTTTTGGCTGCATAAATGTCTTCTTTTGAGAAGTGTCTGTTCAAGTCCTTCGCCCACTTTTTGATGGGGTTGTTTGTTTTTTTCTTGTAAATTTGTTTGAGTTCATTGTAGATTCTGGATATTAGCCCTTTGTCAGATGAGTAGGTTGCAAAAATTTTCTCCCATTTTGTAGGTTGCCTGTTCACTCTGATGGTAGTTTCTTTTGCTGTGCAGAAGCTCTTTAGTTTAATTAGATCCCATTTGTCAATTTTCTCTTTTGTTGCCATTGCTTTTGGTGTTTTGTACATGAAGTCCTTGCCCATGCCTGTGTCCTGAATGGTAATGCCTAGGTTTTCTTCTAGGGTTTTTATGGTTTTAGGTCTAATGTTTAAGTCTTTAATCCATCTTGAATTCATTTTTGTATAAGGTGTAAGGAAGGGATCCAGTTTCAGCTTTCTACATATGGCTAGCCCGTTTTCCCAGCACCATTTATTAAATAGGGAATCCTTACCCCATTGCTTGTTTTTCTCAGGTTTGTCAAAGATCGGATAGTTGTAGATATGCGGCGTTATTTCTGAGGGCTCTGTTCTGTTCCATTGATCTATATCTCTGTTTTGGTACCAGTACCATGCTGTTTTGGTTACCGTAGCCTTGTAGTTAAGTTTGAAGTCAGGTAGTGTGATGCCTCCAGCTTTGTTCTTTTGGCTTAGGATTGACTTGGCGATGCGGGCTCTTTTTTGGTTCCATATGAACTTTAAAGTAGTTTTTTCCAATTCTGTGAAGAAAGTCATTGGTAGCTTGATGGGGATGGCATTGAATCTGTAAATTACCTTGGGCAGTATGGTAATTTGACTTCCTCTTTTCCTAATTGAATACCCTTTATTTCCTTCTCCTGCCTAATTGCCCTGGCCAGAACTTCCGACACTATGTTGAATAGGAGTGGTAAGAGAGGGCATCCCTGTCTTGTGCCAGTTTTCAAAGGGAATGCTTCCAGTTTTTGCCCATTCAGTATGATATTGGCTGTGGGTTTGTCAGAGATAGCTCTTATTATTTTGAAATACGTCCCATCAATACCTAATTTATTGAGAGTTTTTAGCATGAAGGGTTGTTGAATTTTGTCAAAGGCTTTTTCTGCATCTACTGAGACAATCATGTGGTTTTTGTCTTTGGCTCTGTTTATATGCTGGATTACATTTATTGATTTGCGTATATTGAACCAGCCTTGCATCCCAGGGATGAAGCCCACTTGATCATGGTGGATAAGCTTTTTGATGTGCTGCTGGATTTGGTTTGCCAGTATTTTATTGAGGATTTTTGCATCAATGTTCATCAAGGATATTGGTCTAAAATTCTCTTTTTTGGTTGTGTCTCTGCCTGGCATTGGTATCAGAATGATGCTGGCCTCATAAAATGAGTTAGGGAGGGTTCCCTCTTTTTCTATTGATTGGAATAGTTTCAGAAGGAATGGTACCAGTTCCTCCTTGTACCTCTGGTAGAATTCGGCTGTGAATCCATCTGGTCCTGGACTCTTTTTGGTTGGTAAGCTATTGATTATTGCCACAATTTCAGATCCTGTTATTGGTCTATTCAGAGATTCAACTTCTTCCTGGTTTAGTCTTGGGAGAGTGTATGTGTCGAGGAATTTATCCATTTCTTCTAGGTTTTCTAGTTTATTTGTGTAGAGGTGTTTGTAGTATTCTCTGATGGTAGTTTGTATTTCTGTGGGATCGGTGGTGATATCCCCTTTATCATTTTTTATTGTGTCTATTTGATTCTTCTCTCTTTTTTTCTTTATTAGTCTTGCTAGCGGTCTATCAATTTTGTTGATCCTTTCAAAAAACCAGCTCCTGGATTCATTAATTTTTTTGAAGGGTTTTTTGTGTCTCTATTTCCTTCAGTTCTGCTCTGATTTTAGTTATTTCTTGCCTTCTGCTAGCTTTTGAGCTATTTATTTTATTTTAGTTTATGTAGCTATTTATTTTAAGCTATTTTAAGCTATTTTAGCTTCTGCTATTCTTTTAAGAATGTTGAATATTGGCCCCCACTCTCTTCTGGCTTATAGGGTTTCTGCCGAGAGATCCGCTGTTAGTCTGATGGGCTTCCCTTTGAGGGTAATCCGACCTTTCTCTCTGGCTGCCCTTAACATTTTTTCCTTCATTTCAACTTTGGTGAATCTGACAATTATATGTCTTGGAGTTGCTCTTCTCGAGGAGTATCTCTGTGGCGTTCTCCGTATTTCCTGAATCTGAACGTTGGCCTGCCTTGCTAGATTGGGGAAGTTCTCCTGGATAATATCCTGCAGAGTGTTTTCCAACTTGCTTCCATTCTCCCCATCACTTTCAGGTACACCAATCAGACGTAGATTTGGTCTTTTCACATAGTCCCATATTTCTTGGAGGCTTTGCTCATTTCTTTTTATTCTTTTTTCTCTAAACTTCCCTTCTCGCTTCATTTCATTCATTTCATCTTCCATCGCTGATACCCATTCTTCCAGTTGATCGCATCGGCTCCTGAGGCTTCTGCATTCTTCACGTAGTTCTCGAGCCTTGGTTTTCAGCTCCATCAGCTCCTTTAAGCACTTCTCTGTATTGGTTATTCTAGTTATACATTCTTCTAAATTTTTTTCAAACTTTTCAACTTCTTTGCCTTTGGTTTGAATATCCTCCCATAGCTCAGAGTAATTTGATCATCTGAAGCCTTCTTCTCTCAGCTCGTCAAAGTCATTCTCCATCCAGCTTTGTTCCGTTGCTGCGAGGAACTGCATTCCTTTGGAGGAGGAGAGGCGCTCTGCGTTTTAGAGTTTCCAGTTTTTCTGTTCTGTTTTTTCCCCATCTTTGTGGTTTTATCTACTTTTGGTCTTTGATGATGGTGATGTACAGATGGGTTTTTGGTGTGGATGTCCTTTCTGTTTGTTAGTTTTCCTTCTAACAGACAGGACCCTCAGCTGCAGGTCTGTTGGAATACCCTGCCGTGTGAGGTGTCAGTGTGCCCCTCCTGGGGGGTGCCTCCCAGTTAGGCTGCTCGGGGGTCAGGGGTCAGGGACCCACTTGAGGAGGCAGTCTGCCCGTTCTCAGATCTCCAGCTGCGTGCTGGGAGAACCACTGCTCTCTTCAAAGCTGTCAGACAGGGACATTTAAGTCTGCAGAGGTTACTGCTGTCTTTTTGTTTGTCTGTGCCCTTCCCCCAGAGGTGGAGCCTACAGAGGCAGGCAGGCCTCCTTGAGCTGTGGTGGGCTCCACCCAGTTCGAGCTTCCGGGCTGCTTTGTTTACCTAAGCAAGCCTGGGCAATGGCGGGCGCCCCTCCCCCAGCCTCGCTGCCGCCTTGCAGTTTGATCTCAGACTGCTGTGCTAGCAATCAGCGAGACTCCGTGGGTGTAGGACCCTCCGAGCCAGGTGCGGGATATAATCTCGTGGTGCGCCATTTTCTAAGCCGGTCCGAAAAGCGCAATATTCGGGTGGGAGTGACCCGATTTTCCAGGTGCCGTCCGTCACCCCTTTCTTTGACTCGGAAAGGGAACTCCCTGACCCCTTGCGCTTCCCAAGTGAGGCAATGCCTCGCCCTGCTTCGGCTCGCCCGTGCGCACCCACTGACCTGCGCCCACTGTCTTGCACTCCCTAGTGAGATGAACCCGGTACCTCAGATGGAAATGCAGAAATCACCCGTCTTCTGCGTCGCTCACGCTGGGAGCTGTAGACCGGAGCTGTTCCTATTCGGCCATCTTGGCTCCTCTCCCCAGGACTGCTCTTTTAATAATGGAAAACTTTTCTGCAAGTGGGGAGATTTTACATTTAGATGAAATATATTAAAATGAAAAATATATACATATACATACACGTGTGTGTGTGTGTTATACAAAAATCTCAAGATGTAGAAATAAAAAGAAATAGATACCAAGGCCCATTACTCAGTTTATAATGCATTCCCAGACAATGAAATATATGAACCTTTATTACTGGTCATCAATATCTAGCATCTACCTTTTTTACTCACCAACTTTAAAATAAAGCTATAGAAATCATAGGCGATTATACAATAAAACAACACAAGTCTTCTAAACAATTTTAAAATTCAATTTTAAACTTAACTAATCAAATGCTACTATTTACACATCTGGAATGAAAACATAAACCAGTTCATTATAAACATAATAACCTCAAGGAGTTGGATATTATATCTATAAGTAAGATAACAGATGTGGTATAAATGTAGAAACTGGAAGTGGGGTGCTTTATTTTTCAATTTCCCTAGATTTACATTAAGGAAGTACAAACCTTGAAATCATAACTGTAATATAGAAGTTAAAAAGTATTCAATTCTTTAGCTAAGAATTGGCTTGGGTGGAAAAGCCTTACATATATCTCAAAAGGGCAAACTAAAGAGAAATAATATATTAACTAGAGTTGGGGTACAAATATCAAGAATAACAAAACATATTGAAAGAATTAATTAAATTGACAAAACCTCAATTAAAATGGGAGTTTTTCATCTTGAAATCTTCTCATGCTGCAGATTACACCGATTTTTAAAGATAGCTTGAATATTATTCTAGAAATATTTTGTATTTCCTCTGCAATTACTTGGAAAGTTATGAATATTTAGAACAAAGGGCTAAATACCCTAGTTTACACCTGCAATGGGAAGCTTTTTGGGGCTGTGGGGGAAATGGCTAGCAGTCCACCAACAGTTTCCCTTCTTTTCTTCCTGAGCATGGAGCTAGGTTACATTTCTCAGCTTCTCTTGCAACTAGATGTGGCCATGTGACCAGACTGACACCAATGAGCAGAGCTGATGAGAGCAATTTTCAAAACACACGCTTAAGAGGGCATTCTTGGCTCTGGACTTCTGCTCCTCACCCTTCTTCAAATCTCCTAACTTCCTTCCAGTGACCAGAATTGGGAAACTCTGTGCAGAACTACCTGATGCAGATGGCAGGGCTACCGTCAGTCAAGTCCCTGATGAAGTGGACAGATCTGCCCCATCCACCTGAATCTCTCACCTTGGAACTATTATGTATGAGAGAAATAAACATTTTTGTTTTTTAAGCTATCTTAGTATTAGGTCTCTTGCTATAGCAGCTTAGCATTTTGGAAAACTCAACATAAACTTTTCCAAAAGAAATTTACCTAATTAACCTACAAGTTTTCAGAATTATTTTCATTATTTTCATGCACACAAACATGTTGGGCTTCGGGGAGAGACTTGAATTAAATATTTTCACAAAATTTACTTTCATTGAAAAAGAACATATAAAATGATATGTTTCTATAATAACTCTAAAAGTTAACTAGATTCTTTATCTTAGATTTTTGTTGTATTTTTATTATGTTCATTTCATTTAATCATAAGACTGTGAGCTTTTATAAAAGCAGAGTAAATTATCTGAGTTCTGAGAATTTGAATGAGAACTCTTATCACAGAAATGCTGTCATGAACATGGAAAAAATTCCTGCATTTTCCTAAGTTATTTTTATATCCAAATTGATTTAACAGGTATCTAGAAAAAAAAAATGCAGCTTACTGAGAAAAAAAAAAAAAAAGAGTTTACGTAGTAAGCCTGAGACTGTTATTCTTAGAAGACCTGTTTGCAAGTTGGGTCCTTAGCTCTTACCTGGCAAATAGAATTTCAGGGGGCTTCCTACGAGTCCTAACTAATGATTGTCTCACTGCGCCTAAACTACTTATAAAGTAATGTGGTTTATGCTAATATCTGCTTTCCATCCGGGAGTGTGGAATCTTAATATATGCTATGCAGAGGGTGCCTACTGACCAGCCCCCAGTCAAATCCTTGGGCATTGAGTCTTTACTAGGTTTTCCTGATAGACATTTCACACATGGCATCACAAGTTGATGCTGGAGGAATTACAGGGACAGGACTCTTGGAAGCTTGAACTTGGTTTCTTTTGGACTTTGCCCCATGTACATTTTCCCTGTGCTGATTTTGTTTTGTATTTTTTCAATGTAATAAATCATATGTTGAGTCCTGTGACTTCTCCTAGTGAATCACCAAACCTAGAGGCAGTCTTGACAACCCCTTACATTCTTATCGAATAGGATTTGGAGTAGTAATAGCTCATAGCGAACTAAGAGAAATGGAACTAAACCATCTTGGAAAGCTGGGCACAAGGTATAAAATTATTGGGTATCAGAAAGAATTTATTAGGCATAAAGTTTTTCAAAAGGAATAAAACATTCCAAGATGGAGAGTGCTATCACAAAATAATACCATTAGATATTTACATGGGACCTCCAGTGTCCTCGATCTCAATAGTGCTCTGAGGTGGGCAGGTCATGAGTTACCTTCATCTCCATTTCCAGAGCAAGGGGCTTAGACGCAGACTTGCCCAAGGCCATACAGCCAAGGTGTGTAGAGCAGATAAGAGACGCAGGACTTTTGAAGCCTAATCACCTTCTAGTTCTCCCAGCCAGCTTTTGCAACCCGTTTCTGAGAGCCCAGAAGCCTGAGGAGGTGCCTCAGAGGTCACCAGTACGAGGCAATGGAGCATCCAGGTGGAAAGCCTCCAAGTGGCTCCGCAATTACCCGCTTTATATATAGGAATTCTGCTTACGTTTGTGTAAAGACAAGAATTCCAGTTTTTTTGGTTTGAATACCGTTGAATTATATACTTTGGTTCTTTGTAAGTAAAAATCTAAAATGCTACAAATTCAGGTTTTTAAGTTTTTTACTTTTTTTCTTTTTAAAAAAGCTTTTACTTTAGGTTCAGGGTACATGTGCGGGTTTGTTATACAGGTAAACTCATGTCACAGGGCTTGCTGCACAGATTGTTTTGTCACCCTAAGGTGACAAAGCCTAGTAGTACCGAATAGTTACCTTTTCTGATCCTCTCCCTCCTCCCACCCTCCAATCTCAGGTAGGCCCCAGTGTCTGTTGTTTCCTTCTTTGCGTCCATGAGTATCCCACCCACAGGGTGGCTCACAGATTTTAGCAAATAACTCTAAGGTGGATTCTTGCTAAATCAATAGGAATTATGCATGGGCACATTTTTTTCTGTTCTTTACAGCATTCACCTAGTTAGTTAGTTCCTTTGCTACGTCCTGCATCTGAAACTCCTCTCTGGATTCCTCATTGTTCTCCTCTCTGACCCCCTTGTTGCTTCTGTTTCTTTCATACACACTAAATCTAAACCTGAAATAGCTACAAGATCTGCCCTGATTACATTGTACGTAGGTCACTAAAGGATCAAGGAAGATTAGCTATAACAAATTTACTCTCAGCTCTCAGCCTTCGACTGACTCTGTTTATCAGTCATCATTCCTACCGAATCTATTGACCGATATAGAGAACATAGACCTTGGAGCCACAGAGACCTGGAATTCAATTCTTAATTTTACCACTCTCTTGCTCTGTGACCTTAGGCAAGTCAATTAACCTTTATAAGACTGAATATATCTGCAATGTGGCAATAACAACACCTACCTTGATGAGGCTGAAATTCCAGAACAGCATCATTTCAAGTTCATGATTATTTAATAGCCCTTATACCAACTACTCATACTAGAAACCCACAGGAGTCACTGCTATATTTACTTAGCCCTAACCAAAACTGTAATGTAGTCAAGCCTTCCCTGGCTTTGGATATTTTTCCTAGAAGCCTAGAAAAAACAACAACAATAATAACAACAACAACAACCACAAAAACCACTGTGATTATTCCCAGGCAAGATAGCCAAATAAAAACAGCTCTGGGCTGCAGCTCCCAGTAAGACCAATGCAGAAGGCGGGTGATTTCTACACCTCCAATTGAGGTACCCAGTTAATCTCGTTGAGGCTGGTTAGACAGTGGGTGCCACCCATGGAGGGTGAACTGAAGCCGGGTGGGGTGTTGCCTCACCCGGAAAGAGCAAGGAGTCTGGGAACTCCCTCCCTTAGCCAATGGAAGCCATGCATGCGGGACCCTGCCATGAGGGATGGTGCACTCCAGCCCAGATACTACACTTTTCCCACGGTCTTCCCAATCCACAGACCAGCAGATTCCCTCCAGTGCATACACCACCAGGGCCCTCAGTTTTGAGCACAAAACTGGGCAGCCATTTGGGCAGACACCAAGCTAGCTGCAGGAGTTTTTTTCGTACCCCAGAGGCACCTGAAACACCAGTGAGACAGAACCATTCACTCCCCTGGAAATGGGGCTGAAGCCAGGGAGCCAAGTACTCTTGCTCAGTGGATCCAACCCCCACGGAGCCCAGCAAGCTAAGATCCACTGACTTGAAATTCTCGCTGCCAGCACTGCAGTCTGAAATCAACCTGGGATGCTACAGCTTGGTGGGTGGAGGGACGTCTGCCATTTCTGGGGCTTGAATAGGTGGTTTTCCCCCCACAGTGTAAACAAAGCCACCAGGAAGTTCAGAGTGGGCGGAGCCCATCAGAGTGCCACAAAGCGGCTGTAGCCCGACTGCCTCTCTAGATTCCTCCTCTCTGGGCAGGGCATCTCTAAAAGAAAGGCAGCAGCCCCAGTCAGATAAAACCCCCATCTCCTTGGGACAGAGAACCTGGGGGAAGGGGTGGCTGTGGGCACAGCTTCAGCAAACTTAAACGTTCCTGCCTACTGGCTCTGAAGAGAGCAGCAGATAACCCAGCACAGAGCTCAAGCTCTGCCAACGGACAGACTGCCTGCTCAAGTGGTTCCCTGACCCCCATGCCTCCTGACGGGGAAACACCTCCCAGCAGGGGTCGACAGACACCTCATACAGGAGAGCTCCAGCTGGCATCTAGCGGGTGCCCCTCTGGGACAAAGCTTCCAGAGGAAGAAGCAGGCAGCAATCTTTGCTGTTCTGCAGCCTCCGCTGGTAATACTCAGTCAAACAGGGTCTGGAGTGGACCCCCAGTGAACTCCAGCAGACCTGCAGCAGAGGGGCCTGGCTATTAGAAGGAAAACTAACAAACAGAAAGCAATAGTACCAATATCAACAAAAAGGAAGACCAAGCAAAAACTCCATCCAAAAGTCACCAACAGCAAAGAGCAAAGGTAGATAAATCCATGAAGATAAGGAAAAACCAGCACAAAAAGGCTGAAAATTCCAAAAACCAGAATGTCTCTTCCCCTCCAAAGGATCACAACTCCTTGCCAGCAAGGGAACAAAACTGGACAAAGAATGAGTTTGACAAATTGACAGAAGTAGGCTTCAGAAGGTGAGTAATAACAAACTCCTCCAAGCTAAAGGAGCATGTTCTAACCCAACCTAAGGAAGCTAAGAACCTTGAAAAAAGGTTAGAGGTATTTCTAACTGAATAACTAGTTTAGAGAAGAACATAAATGACCTGATGGAGCTGAAAAACACAGCACAAGAATTTCTTGAAGCATACACAAGTATCAATAGTCGAATCTATCAGGCGGAAGAAAGGATATCAGAGATTTAAGATCAACTTAATGAAATAAAGCGTGAAGACAAGATTAGAGAAAAAAGAATAAAAAAGGAACAAACAAAGCCTCCAGGAAATATGGGACTATGTGAAAAGACCAAACCTACAATTGATTGATGTACCTGAAAGTGATGGGGAGAAAGGAACCAAGTTGGAAAACACACTTCAGGATATTATCCAAGAGAACTTCCCCTACACAGCGAGACAGGCCAAAATTCAATTTCAGGAAATACGGAGAACACCACAAAGACATTTCTCAAGAATAGCAACCCAAAGACACACAATCGTCAGATTCACCAAGATTGAAATGAAGGAAAAAAGTTAAGGGCAGTGAGAGAGAAAGGTCAGGTTACCCACAAAGGGAAACCCATCAAAGTAACAGTGGATTTCTCTGCAGAAACCCTACAAGCCAGAAGAGAGTGGGGGCCAATATTCAACATTCTCAAAAAAAGAAAGAATTTTCAACCCAGAATTTCATATCCAGCCAAACTAAGCTTCATAAGCAAAGGAGAAATAAAATCCTTTACAGACAAGCAAATGCTGAGGGATTTTTGTCACCACCAGGCCTGCCATACAAGAGCTCCTGAAGGAAGCACTAAATATAGGAAGGAAAAACTGGTACCAGCCACTGCAAAAACAAACCAAAATGTAAAGACCATTGACACTGTGAAGAAACTGTGTCAACTAACAAAATAAATAGCTAGCCTCATAATGAGAGGATCAGATTCACACATAACAATATTAACCTTAAATGCAAACAGGCTAAATGTCCCAATTAAAAGGTACAGACTGGCAAATTGGATAAAGAGTCAAGACCCATCAGTGTGCCATATTAAGGAGACCCATCTCATGTGCAAAGACACACATAGGCTCAAAATAAAGGGATGGAGGAAGATTTACCAAGCAAATGGAAAGCAAAACGAAAACAACAGGGGTTGCAATCCTAGTCTCTGATGAAACAGACTTTAAACCAACAAAGAACAAAAAAGACAATGAAGGGCCTTACATAATGGTAAAGGGATCAATGCAACAAGAAGAGCTAGCTATCCTAAATATATATGCACCCAATACAGCAGCACCCAGATTCATAAAGCAAGTCCTTAGAGACCTACAAAGAGACTTAGACTCCCACACAATAATAGTGGGAGACTTTAAACCTAACTGTCAATACTAGGCAGATCAATGAGACAGAAAATTAACAAGGATATTCAGAACTTGAACTCACCTCTGGACCAGGCAGACCTAATAGACATCTACAGAACTCTCCACCCCTAATCAACATAATATACATTCTTCTCAGCACCACATCCCACTTATACTAAAATTGTCCACATAATTGAAGGTAAAACACTCCTCAGCAAATGCAGAAGAATGGAAATCATAACAAACAGTCTGTCAGACCACAATGCAATCAAATTAGAACTCAGAATTAAGAAACTCACTCAAAACTGCACAACTACATGGAAACTAAACAACCTGCTCCTGAATGACTACAGTTAAATACAAAATTAAGGCAGAAATAAATAAGTTCTTTGAAACCAATGAGAACAAAGTTACAATGTACCAGAATCCCTGGGACACAGCTAAAGCAGTGTTTAGAGGGAAATTTATAGAACTAAATGACCACAGGAGAAAGTGGGAAAGATCTAAACTCAACAGCCTAACATCACAATTAAAAGAACTAGAGAAGCAAGAGCAAACGAATTCAAAAGCTAGTAGAAGGCAAGAAATAACTAAGAACAGAGCAGAACTGAAGGAGATAGAGTCACGAAAAACCCTTCAAAAAATCAATGAATCCAGGAGCTGGTTTTTAGAAAAGATTAACAAAATAGATAGACTGCTAGCCAGATTAATAAAGAAGAAAAGAGAGAAGAATCAAATAGACACAATAAAAAATGATAAAGGGGATATCACCACTGATTCCACAGAAATACAAACTACCATCAGAGAATACTATAAACACCTCTCTGGAAATAAACTAGAAAATCTAGAAGAAATGGGTATATTTCTGGACACATACACCTTCCCAAGATTAAATCAGGAAGAAGTCAAATACCTGAATAGACCAATAACAAGTTCTGAAATTCAGGCAGCAATTAATAGCCTACCAACCAAAAGAAGCATAGCACCAGGCAGATTCACAGCCGAATTCTACCAAAGGTACAAAGAGGAGCTGGTACCATTCCTTCTGAAACTATTCCAAACAATAGAAAAAGGCAGACTCCTCCCTACCTCATTTTAAGAGGCTAGCATCATCCTGATACCAAAACCTGGAAGACACAACAAAAAAAGAAAATTTCAGGCCAATATCCCTGATGAACATCAATGCGAAAACCCTCAATAAAATACTGGCAAACCGAATACAGCATCACATCCAAAAGCTTATCCACCACGATCAAGTCAGCTTCATCCCTGGGATGCAAGGCTGGTTCAACATATGCAAATCAATAAATGTAATCTATCACATAAACTGAACCAATGACAAAAACCACATGATTATCTGAATAGATGCCAAAAGGGCCTTTGATAAAATTCAACACTCCGCCATGCTAACAACAATCAATAAACTAGATATGGATGGAACATATCTCAAAATAATAAGAGCTATTTATGACAAACCCACAGCCAATGTAATACTGAATGGGAAAAAGCTGGAAGCATTCCCTTTGAAAACCAGCACAAGACAAGGATGCCCTTTCTCACCACTCCTATTCAACATAGTATGGAAGTGCTGGCCAGGGCAATCTGGCAAGAAAAGAAATAAGGGTATTCAAATAGGAAGAGAGGAAGTCAAATTATCTCTGTTTGCAGATGACATGATTGTATATTTAGAAAATCTCATCATCTTAACCCAAAAATTCCTTAAGCTGATAAGCAACTTCAGCAAAGTCTCAGGATACAAAATCAGTGTGCAAAAATCACAAGCATTCCTATATACCAATAATAGACAAACAGAGATGCAAATCATGAGTGAACTCCCATTCACAATTGCCACCAAGATAATAAAATACATGGGAATGCAACTTACAAGGGATGTGAAGGACCTCTTCAAGGAGAACAGCAAACCACTGCTGAAGGAAATAAGAGAGGACACAAACAAATGGAAAAACATTCTATGCTCATTAATAGGAAGAATCAGTATTGTGAAAATGGCCATACTGCCCAAAGTAATTTATAGATTCAATGCTATCCCCATCAAACTACCATTGACTTTCTTCACAGAATTAGAAAAAACTATTTTAAATTTCATATGGAACAAAAAAAGAGCCCATATAGCCAAGACAATCCTAAGCAAAAAGAACAAAGCTGGAGGGTTCATGCTACCTGACTTCAAACTATACTACAAGGCTACAGTAACCAAAACAGCATGGTACTGGTACCAAAACAGATGTATAGACCAATGGAACAGAACAGAGTCCTCAGAAATAACACCACATATCTACAACCATCTGATCTTTGACAAATCTGAGAAAAACAAGCAATGCAGAAAGGATTCCCTATTTAATAAATGGTGTTGGGAAAACTGGCTAGCCATATGCAGAAAACTGAAATTGGATGCCTTCCTTACACTTACACAAAAATTAACTCAATATGAATTGAAGATTTAAATGTAAGACCTAAAACCATAAAAACCCTAGAAGAAAACCTAGGCAATACCATTCAGGACATAGGCATGGGCAAAGACTTCATGACTAAAACACAAAAAGCAATGGCAATAAAAGCCAAAATTGACAAATGGGATCTCATTAAACTAAAGAGCTTCTGCACAGCAAAAGAAACTATCATCAGAGTGAACAGGCAACCTACAGAATGGGAGAAAATTTTTGCAATCTATCCATCTGACAAAGGGCAAATATCCAGAATCTACAAAGAACTTAAACAAATTTACAAGAAAAAAAAACAGTCTCATCAAAAAGTGGGCAAAGGATATGAACAGACACTTCTCAACAGAAGACATTTATGCGGCCAACAAACATATGAAAAAAAGCTCATCATCACTGGTCATTAGAGAAATGCAAATCAAAACCACAATGAGATACCATCTCATGCCAGTTAGAATGGTGATCATTAATAAGTCAGGAAACAACAGATGCTGGAGCGGATGTGGATAAATAGGAACGCTTTTACACTGTTGGTGGGAGTGTAAATGAGCTCAACCATTGTGGAAGACAGTGTGGTGATTCAGGATCAAGGATCCAGAACGAGAAATACCATTTGACCCACCAATCCCATTACTGGGTACATACCCAAAGGATTATAAATCATTCTACCATAAAGACACATGCACACATATGTTTATTGCAGCACTATTCACAATACCAAAGACTTGGAACCAACCCAAATGCCCATCAGTGTTAGACTGGATAAAGAAAATATGGCACATATACACCATGGAATACTATGCAGCCATTAAAAAGAATGAATTCATGTCCTTTGCAGGGACATGGATGAAGCCGGAAATCATCATTCTCAGCAAACTAACACAGGAACAGAAAACCACACACTGCATGTTCTCACTCATAAGAGGGAGTTGAACAATGAAGACATATGGGCACAGGGAGGGGAACATCACACCCTGGGACCTGTCATGGGGTTTGGGGAGAAGGGGAGGGATAGCATTAGGAGAAATACCTAATGTAGATGATGGGTTGATGGGTGCAGCAAAACACCATGGCACATATATATCTATGTAACAAACCTGTATGTTCTGCACATGTATCCTAGAACTTAAAGTATGATTTTAAAAAATGGCATTGTTAAAATCATTTAATTAAAAACCTAAAGCCAAACAAACATACAAACAAACAAAAACACTTTAAGTGTTTAAGTTGCTTTTTTTACTATACTCACCAGGGAAAGGGAAAGATTGAGCCTCTTAATGCATGCAGAATGCTGAGAGTGCCAGGGCTGGGCTGACAAATTTTTAGGGTAAAGCTATTAATCAGAAAAGAAATGAGAGGTAAGACAATGACTCACAACACATCAGAGCCGTTGGCTGCTCCCAGTGAGTACTAAACTCATTTAGGCAGCTAAAGCCAGTGGAAAAAGGGAAGCACTGAGGTTAGATCATCAAGAAGAGAGAAGAGAAGGATGATCTTTTCTCTTTTAGATTCCGATAAACAAAGACAAAACCTACAGATGCAAGTTTTAGGTTGAAGCTTGAAGAGAAGGCATCAAATGGTGCCCACATGTCACATTTCTTTACATCATGCTCCACATGTCAATCTTTCTAAATATGAAATATAAAGGTAGGTGATAAGCATTTAATTAAATATTTATGTTGTAATAGAGGCTTTAAAGAAACTGAATACTCAAATATAAAAATGTGAATTTTATTTGGTCTCCAATGTAGTATCTATGAGGTCCAAACCAACCTATGCAACTTACTTGCTCATTTAACCTTAATTGAATGGTATCAGACATCATGGTACACTTTATCCCAGTTTGAACACCATTATAACAGCTTATCTCTAAATCCACTAGATCAATAACTTGCCTACCCAACAAATGGCAAGAACTACAAATATTTCCCCAAAGGGAGATTGTTTACTGTAATTCCTGTAACTTGTCTGTGCTCTGCCTTCTCTCTGCTCATCTTACAATCCTTCCGTCCGCACTCTGCTCACCAACTCAATACCATTTGTTCTACCAGCCAAAGTGTGGCTCGGGCCATTTAAATATGCTTGATATGAAATGACTCTTGTCTACTGCTCTCCTACCCCACTGGTTACTTTATTCACTGTTACCGATGTCTAGAATTCCTCACCATTTCATCTATTTTCAGGAAAGATTGTCCTTTATTACCTGATGTCCAGATATTGAAACCAATGTATATCATATATTTTACTGTTTTCTTTGTTGTTATTGTTTCAAGTGGCAGGGTAAGTCTGGTAGCCATTACTTCATCTTGGAGAGAAGCAGTAGTCTCAAATTTATAAAATTTAACGGAAAAATCGGAAAATAAAAGATTATGTTTATGAATTACCTTTAGGAATATAAATTATAATTAGAGTCCTTATGTTCAAAAAGTTAAGTAGAGATATGGAAGATATATATGTGTATATATACGTATATATACATATATACGTATATATACACACACATATATATACGTATATATATACATATATATATGTGTATATATATACACATATATATATGTGTGTATATATACGTATATATATACCCACATATATATATGTGTATATATATACGTATATATATTTTTTGAGATGGATTTTCGCTCTGTTGCCTAAGGCTGGAGTGCAGTGATGCAATCTTGGCTTACTGCAAGCTCTGCCTCCCCGGTTCACACCATTCTCCTGCCTTAGCCTCCCAAGTAGCTGGGACTACAGGCGCCCACCACCACACCTGGCTGATTTTTTTTATTTTTAGAAGAGAGGGGGTTTCACCATGTTAGCCAGGATGATCTCGATCTCCTGACCTCATGATCCACCCGCCTCGGCCTCCCAAAGTGCTGGGATTACAGGTGTAAGCCACCATGCCCAGCAGGAAGATATATTTTTTAAATACCCAAATGGAGCTTCCACAGAAGAAAAATACAATGTCTGAAATAAAAATAAGGGGGTGGTTCCAAAACAGCAGAATAGGAACAGCTCCAGTCTACAGCTCCAAGCATGAGCGACGCAGAAGATGGATAATTTCTGCATTTCCAATGGAGCTTGGAAGACAGTAGTGGTTCTCCCAGCACACAGCTTGAGATCTGAGAATGGACAGACTGCTTCCTCAAGTGGATCCCTGACCCCAAAGTAGCCTAACTGGGAGGCACCCCCCAGTAGGGGCAGCCTGACACCTCACACAGCTGGGTACCCCTCTGAGACAAAACTTCTAGAGGAATGATCAGGCAGCAACATTTGCTATTCACCAATATTTGCTGTTCTGCAGCCTCCGCTGCTGATACCCAGGCAAACAGGGTCTTGAGTGGACCTCCAGCAAACTCCAACAGACCTGCAGCTGAAGGTTCTGACTGTTAGAAGAAAAACTAACAAACAGAAAGGACATCCACACCAAAAACCCATCTGTATGTCACCATCATCAAAGACCAAAGGTAGATAAAACCACAAAGATGGGGAAAAAACAGAGCAGAAAAACGGAAAATTCTAAAAATCAGAGCACCTCTCCTCCTCCAAAGGAATGCAGCTCCTCACCAGCAATGGAACAAAGCTGTATGGAGAATAACATTGAGAAGTTGAGAGAAGAAGGCTTCAGACGATCAAACTTCTCCGAGCTAAAGGACGAAGTTCGAACCCATGGCAAAGAAGTTAGAAACCTTGAAAAAAGATTAGACGAACGGCTAACTAGAATAACCAATGCAGAGAAGTCCTTAAAGGACCTGATGGAGCTGAAAACCATGGCACGAGAACTACGTGACGAATGCACAAGCTTCAGTAGCCATTCGATCAACTGGAAGAAAGGGTATCAGTGATGGAAGATCAAATGAATGAAATGAGGTGAGAAGAGAAGTTTAGAGAAAAAAGAATAAAAAGAAATGAACAAAGCCTCCAAGAAATATGGGACTATGTGAAAAGACCAAATCTACGTCTGATTGGTGTACCTGAAAGTGACGGGGAGAATGGAACCAAGTTGGAAAACACTCTGCAGGATATTATCCAGGAGAACTTCCCCAATCTAGCAAGGCAGCCCAACATTCAAATTCAGGAAATACAGAGAACACCACAAAGATACTCCTCGAGAAGAGCAACTCCAAGACACATAATTGTCAGATTCACCAAAGTTGAAATGAAGGAAAAATGTTAAGGGCAGCCAGAGAGAAAGGTCGGGTAACCCACAAAGGGAAGCCCATCAGACTAACAGCTGATCTCTTGGCAGAAACTCTGCAAGCCAGAAGAGTGGGGGTCAATATTCAACATTCTTAAAGAAAAGAATTTTCAACCCAGAATTTCATATCCAGACAAACTAAGCCTCATAAGTGAAGGAGAAATAAAATACTTTGCAGACAAGCAAATGCTGAGAGAGTTTGTCACCACCAGGACTGCCCTACAAGAGCTCCTGAAGGAAGCACTAAACATGGAAAGGAAGAACCGGTACCAGCCACTGCAAAAACATGCCAAATTGTAAAGACCATCGAGGCTGGGAAGAAACTGCATCAACTAACGAGCAAAATCACCAGCTAGCATCATAATGACAGGATCAAATTCACGCATCATAATATTAATCTTAAATGTAAATGGGCTAAATGCTCCAATTAAAAGACACAGACTGGCAAATTGGATAAAGAGTCCAGACCCATCAGTGTGCTGTATTCAGGAAACCCATCTCACGTGCAGAGACACACATAGGCTCAAAATAAAGGGATGGAGGAAGGTCTACCAAGCAAATGGAAAACAAAAAAAGGCAGAGGTTGCAATCCTAGTCTCTGATAAAACAGACTTTAAACCAACAAAGATCAAAAGAGACAAAGAAGGCCATTACATAATGGTAAAGGGATCAATTCAACAAGAAGAGCTAACTATCCTAAATATATATGCACCCAATACAAGAGCACCCAGATTCATAAAGCAAGTCCTTAGAGACCTACAAAGAGACTTACACTCCCATAAAATAATAATGGGAGACTTTAACACCCCACTGTCAACATTAGACAGATCAACGAGACAGAAAATTAACAAGGATGTCCAGGAATTGAACTCAGCTCTGCACCAAGCGGACCTAATAGATATCTATAGAACTCTCCACCCCAAATCAACAGAATATACATTCTTCTCAGCACCACACCACACTTATTCCAAAACTGACCACATATTTGGAAGTAAAGCAATCCTCAGCAAATGTAAAAGAACACAAATTACAACAAACTCTCTCTCAGACCACAGTGCAATCAAACTAGAATTCAGGATTAAGAAACTCACTCAAAACCGCTCAACTACATGGAAACTGAACAACCTGCTCCTGAATGACTACTGGGTACATAACGAAATGAAGGGCGAAATAAAGATGTTCTTTGAAACCAACAAGAGGAAAGACACAACATACCAGAATCTCTGGGACACATTTAAAGCAGTGTGTAGAGGGAAATTTATAGCACTAAATGCCCACAAGAGAAAGCAGGAAAGATCTAAAATCGACACCCTAACATCACAATGAAAAGAACTAGAGAAGCAAGAGCAAACCCATCCAAAAGCTAGAAGAAGACAAGAAATAACTAAGATCAGAGCAGAACAGAAGGAGATAGAGACACAAAAAACCCTTCAAAAAACCAATGAATCCAGAAGCTGGTTTTTTGAAAAGATCGACAAAATTGATAGACCACTAGTAAGATTAATAAAGAAGAAAAGAGAGAAGAATCAAATAGATGCAATAAAAAATGATAAAGGGGATATCACCACCGATCCCACAGAAATACAAACTACCATCAGAGAATACTATAAACACTGCTATGCAAATAAACTAGAAAATCTAGAAGAAATGGATAAATTTCTTGACACACACACCCGCCCAAGACTAAACCAGGAAGAAGTTGAATCTCTGAATAGACCAATAAGAGGCTCTGAAATTGAGGCAATAATTATTAGCTTACCAACCAAAAAAAGTCCAGGACCAGATGGATTCACAGCCGAATTCTACCAGAGGTACAAGGAGGAGCTTGTACCATTCCTTCTGAAACTATTCCAATCAATAGAAAAAGAGGGAATCCTCCCTAACTCATTTTACAAGGCCAGCATCATCCTGATACCAAAGCCTGGCAGAGACACAACAAAAAAAGAGAATTTTAGAACAATATCCCTGATGAACATCGATGCGAAAATCCTCAATAAAATACTGGCAAATCAAATCCAGCAGCACATCAAAAAGCTTATCCACCATGATCAAGTGGGCTTCATCCCTGGGATGCAAGGCTGGTTCAACATACACAAATAAATAAACATAATCCAGCAGGTAAACAGAACCAACGACAAAAACCACATGATTATCTCAATAGATGCAGAAAAGGCCTTTGACAAAATTCAACAGCGCTTCATGCTAAAAACTCTCAATAAGTTAGGTATTGATGGGATGTATCTCAAAATAATAAGAGCTATTTATGAAAAACCCACAGCCAATATCATACTGAATGGGCAAAAACTGGAAGCATTCCCTTTGAAAACTGACACAAGACAGGGATGCCCTCTCTCACCACTCCTATTCAACATAGTGTTGGAAGTTCTGGCCAGGACAATCAGGTAGGAGAAGGAAATAAAGGGTATTCAATTAGGAGAAGAGGAAGTCAAATTGTCACTGTTCGCAGATGACATGATTGTATATCTAGAAAACCCCATCATCTCAGTCCAAAATCTCCTTAAGCTGATAAGTAACTTCAGCAAAGTCTTAGGACACAAAATCAATGTGTGAAAATCACAAGCGTTGTTATACACCAATAACAGACAAACAGCCAAATCATGAGTGAACTCCCATTCACAACTGCTTCAAAGAGAATAAAATACCTAGGAATCCAACCTGCAAGGGATGTGAATGACCTCTTCAAGGAGAACTACAAACCACTGCTCAACGAAATAAAAGACGATACAAACAAATGGAAGAACCTTCCATGCTCATGGGTAGGAAGAACCAATATCATGAAAATGGTCATACTGCCCAAGGTAATTTATAGATTCAATGCCATCCCCATCAAGCTACCAATGACTTTCTTCACAGAATTGGAAAAAACTACTTTAAAGTTCACATGGAACCAAAAAGGAACCCACATTGTCAAGTCAATCCTAAGCCAAAAGAACAAAGCTGGAGGCATCATGCTACCTGACTTCAAACTATACTACAAGCCTACAGTAACAAAAACAGCATGGTACTCATACCAAAACAGAGATATAGACCAATGGAACAGAACAGAGCCCTCAGAAATAATGCCACACATCTACAACTATCTGATCTTTGACAAACCTGACAAAAACAAGAAATGGGGAAAGGATTCCCTATTTAATAAATGATTCTGGGAAAACTGGCTAGCCATATGTAGAAAGCTGAAACTGGATCCCTTCCTTACACCTTATATAAAAATTAATTCAAGATAGATTAAAGACTTAAACGTTAGACCTAAAACCATAAAAACCCTAGAAGAAAACCTAGGCAATACCATTCAAGACATAGGCATGGGCAAGGACTTCATGTCCAAAACACCAAAAGCAATGGCAACAAAAGCCAAAATTGACAAATGGGATCTAATTAAACTAAAGAGCTTCTGCACAGCAAAAGAAACTACCATCAGAGTGAACAGGCAACCTACAGAATGGGAGAAAATTTTTGCAATCTGCTCATCTGACAAAGGGCTAATATCCAGAATCTACAAAGAACTCAAACAAATTTACAAGAAAAAACAAACAACCCCATCAAAAAGTGGGCAAAGGATATGAACAGACACTTCTCAAAAGAAGACATTTATGCAGCCAAAAGACACATGAAAAAATGCTCATCATCACTGGCCATCAGAGACATGCAAATCAAAACCACAATGAGATACCATCTCACACCAGTTAGAATGGCGATCATTAAAAAGTTAGGAAACAACAGGCGCTGGAGAGGATGTGGAGAAATAGGAACACTTTTACACTGTTGGTGGGACTGTAAACTAGTTCAACCATTGTGGAAGTCAGTGTGGCGACTCCTCAGGGATCTAGAACTAGAAATACCATTTGACCCAGCCATCCCATTACTGGGTATATACCCAAAGGATTATAAATCATGCTGCTATAAAGGCACATGCACACGTATGTTTATTGCAGCTCTATTCACAATAGCAAAGACTTGGAACCAACCCAAATGTCCAACAATGATAGACTTGATTAAGAAAATGTGGCACATATACACCAAGGAATACTATGCAGCCATAAAAAATGATGAGTTCATGTCCTTTGTAGGGACATGGATGAAGCTGGAAATCATCATTCTCAGCAAACTATCGCAAGGACAAAAAAAACCAAACACCACATGTTCTCACTCATAGGTGGGAATTGAACAATGAGAACACTTGGACACAGGAAGGGGAAAATCACACACCAGAGCCTGTTGTGGGGTGGGGGGAGGGGGACAGGGATAGCATTAGGAGATATACCTAATGTAAATGACGAGTTAATGGGTGCAGCACACCAACATGGCACATGTATACATATGTAACAAACCTGCACGTTGTGCACATGTACCCTAAAGCTTAAAGTGTAATTAAAAAAAAGAAATAAAAATAAAATGCTGAATAAGATTAGTGGCAGATTACATATTGCAAAAGAAACTATTAGTGACTTAAAAACATAGCCAATAGCAAAACAAAACAAAACAAAACAAAACACCATAGCCAATAGCAATAATCCACAAATGAAACACAGAGAGAAAAAATATAAATTTTAAAATGACAAGAGAATCCTATAAGCGGAGAAGGTAGGAGATTAAAAAAATATTTTAAGAAGTAATGGCTGAAAAATCTCCAAATTTGATGAAAACTATAAACCCACAGATCCAAGAAGTTCAATGAACTACAACCACAAAAACCATGAAGAAAACTACACCAAGGCACATCATAATCAAATTGCTGAGAATTGTGATAAAGAGAAAATAGTAAAAGTAACCAAACAAGGGAAAAATGAAACATTATGTACAGATAAATTAAGCTAAGAATGACAACATATTTCTTGTCAGAAAAAAATGTAAGTGCAAAGAAGCCAGTGAAGTAATATGTTGAAGGTATTAAAAAAAAAAAAACCTTAACAACATATGATTCTATACCCAGCAACAATATCATTTCAAACTTAAGGTGTAAAATAAGGACATTTTTAGACATATAAAACCTGAAAGAATTCATCAATAGCAGACCCACACTAAAAGATATGTTAAAGGAATTCCTTTGGGAACAAAGAAAATGACTTAAGATAGAGATATGAATCAAAGGAATGAAAAGCATCAAAAATGGTAACTATATGTGTAAATATATGAGATTTTTTCTTATTATTTAGCTTTATATCAAAGTGTTTAAGAACAAAGAATATTACCAGAGATTAAAAAGGCAATTTTATGATGCAGAGCTGAAAAATTTCACCACTCCCTCTTCCAGTAATTATTTTTAAGTAGACCGAAAGTCAGGAAGGATACAATGGACTTGAACAACACTATTGACCTATTAAGCAAACTGACCTAATTGACATTTATAGAACACTCCACCACTCCACCTAGTAACAGAATACACATTATTTTCATGTGTATACAGATCATTTATCAAGATAAATCAAATTTTGCTCATAAAATAAGTCTCAATACTTTTAAAAGGATTCAAGTCATACAAAATGTGTTCTATGACCACAATGAAATTAAATTAGAAATCAATAACAGAAAGATCTTTGAGAAATCCCTCAAAATTTAGAACTTAGATAATACAATTTTAAATAACCCCCTGGTCAAGGAAGAAATAAAATTGTAAATTTGATTATTTAAGAAAGACTTGTGAAATTAAAAACACAGCACATCAAAATTTGTAACAGAAATTTATCAATTTATGAAGAAATTTCTCAGATCAATTACCTCAGATTCTATTTTCAGAAACCAGAAAAAGAGAAGCAAGTGCAACCCAGATTAAGCAGAGGAAAGGAAATAATAAAGATCAGATAAGAGATCAATGAAACAGAAAAAGGAAAATGGAGAAAATCAAAGAAACCAAAAGCTGGTTCTTCAAAGAGATCAATAAAATGAATAAACTTCTAATCATGTTGATAAGGAGAACAAAAAAGATAGAAGACACAAAGTTCCAATATCAGGAATGAGAGAGGGAGCATCACTACAGAATTTACAGATAGATATTAAATGAATAATAAAGGATATTATTAATAGCTTTTTGACAATAAATATAATAATTTAGATGAAATGAATGAATTCTTTGAAACATACAGGTACCAAACTCACTCAAAGAGAAATAGATTACCTGATTAACCTTATAACTATTATAGAAATTGAATTTGTGGTTAAATTCTTGCCACAAAAAAATCTGCAGGCCCTGATGGCTTCACTACTGAATTCTACCAAACGTTTAAGCTAGAAATAAGGCCAATTCTTTCCAAACTCTTCCAGAAAATTAAAGAGGACAGAACAATTTCCAACTCATTCTATGAGGCTAGCATTACCCTGATACCAAAACTTGATAGTCACATTTTAAGAAAACTACAGACCAATATACCCCATGAACACAGATGCAAAAATTCCAGATAAATTTTAGCAAATTGAATCAAATAACAATATAAAAAGGACAAAACATCATGACAAAGTAGGGCTTCTCCCAGGAATATGAGTAGCTTAACCTCATCAAGGTAGGTATTGTTTTAGATGACCCACATTTTAAAATCTTAAAACAGAAGGTCAGATTCAGTATAAATATTCCTATTCTTCCTTATTGAAGATCTTGCCTCTTGTTAGGGCAGCCAGGAGCTGGGTAATTTTTCACTCTTCAGGATGAAGAGAAGCCTGAGATCAAAATATCCAACAGTTCAATCAAATGTATAAATTAGACTTCTACCTGGATTTACCACATTAAGACTCTTGAATGATAAAGATTTTTTGAAGTATTGAGACAACAGCAACTATATGGTTAGCTTATATCCACACTTAGCAACAGTGAAGCAAAATTTAAACAGGAAAAGGCTGAGGGAACTGTCTACAAACAAAAAGAAGAAACAGGAAGGACTAGAGAGAGAGAGAGATTTGTTTTTTGGGGGGAGGGCCATGCTGTCTTCCAGGTGCTACCAACCAGAAGCCAATCTTTACCATTCCAATATAAAATCTCTCTGTTGGTAGACAGAGTCCCTTCCCTCCCTCTATTAAAAATCAGGAAAACCACAGGGGAAAGGGTGGTAAGCACACACACAGAGACAGTGTTCCCCTCCCCAGAGCAGATATTGGGAGCATAAGGGTGAAGATGGGAACATTGGGCAAAGCAGCCCACAGTGGTTCAGGGAATGGAGAATGGGCAGCATGGACTTCCTCCAACAGGAGATGGCAGAAAACTGCAGTGGAAGTAAAGTGGAGGGAAGAGGAAAGTAAACTCTAGGAAGGGTCAACAAAGAGGCAGCAGAATGGAGTGGAAAAAACATGACTTTTGAGTTCAGAGACTTGTGTTTGCATCTTAACTTGTTAACTAAATGACTGTTGAATGACTTATGCTTTCCATGCTGCCTCTTCCATAAAAATACCTACCTCGTATTCATGTTGTGATGATTAAATACGTTAAATGAGATATCATAAGTAATGCATATGTAAAGTATATTAGGTTGATATGAGGCATCCGTAACACTTATAGAGACTCAAAGTTCTGAGAATAGAGGGAACCGTAGGAAAATTTCTGCTTCAGTAGAAAACTAGGCATTGCCTATCAAGCTTGTCTAACCCATGGCCCGCGGGCCACATGCAGACCAGGACGGCTTTGAATGCAGTCCAACATAAATTTGTAAACTTTCTTAAAACATTATGATTTTTTTGTGAATTTTTAGCTCATCATCTATTATTAGTGTTAATATATTTTATGTGTAGCCCAAGACAATTCGTCTTCTTCCAGTGTAGCCCAGGGAAGCCAAAAGATTGGACACCCATGGTCTAGATCCTAGAGGATACTTTTCCAGTTTGATTCTAGCCTGTCCTCGTCTTTGGTCTATTTACAACTCTGTAAATTGTGAATAACTGATAACAATGTACAATAATTCTTGTCTATAGATTTGCAAATTCTGTCCTGTTCAAAAAGTTCAATTTCCTATCACCAACTCCTTGTGAAAAAACCAGTTTTGCCTTCACTTTCACATTCATTTCAATGTTATCTACAACATGTGTATTCTTTAGATTATCTTTTAAGAGTCATGAGGCACTCAAAAGAGTGTGAGAGTCATGATTTTACCGTTTTTTAAGATTGTCTTTTAACATGACTAAGAATTGAGTCATCTGCCATTGAGGACTGTACAATTTGTTTATATTGCAGCTGCAATCACCATCAGCAAAGCCGTTCTCAGTTTCCATCCTGTAATGTATTTTCTCAATTGCTTTTATCTGACACTGGTTCAACTGAAGTTCTTGTACATATGCAGAAAGTTAATAAAGTGTAGTTATGAACTGTTCTAGCAAGTTAATAACTTCTAAATTGAAGGAGCAATATATAATAACCTGAGCAAATTAATCATTTTAAAACATCAGCACCTTTGTCCATTTCCAATTTGCAAAAACCTGAGAAAGAAGAATGCTGCACTTAGATAACTCAAGCAGGACCCTGGAAAACAAACAACGACACAGTCAATACCTGTCAGGCTTCCCAAGCTCTAATGAGAAAACGGGTCTTCCTCTTTCTCGTCCCATACAGTCATGCATCCACTGTCAGTCCTCACTCAGCTATACTGTTTGTTTGCCTTTGTCAAGTACCCATTCCATGGTCCTGGATTAGGTGCTTAGGGTGCAAAGATGGATGGATACAGCCCTATAGACAGACTGTTCAAATAGGGTGGTGAGTGTTATGCTGTAGGATGGACAGCCCAGAGAGGACAGACATCTTGCCTCGGTCAACAAAGGCACTTCAACTGACACTGGAAGAATGCAAAGCAGCTAAGCAGGTGAAAGAGGGGGGGATAGGAATTCTAAAACAGGGAATGGCATGTGCAAAGGCCTAAGGGTCACATAGAGAGAGCACGGTGTACCCAGAGACTATAAGCCATCTGGAATGCAGAATGCACAAAATGACAATGTGGGCATAGGCAAGGACCAGGCTGCTGTATGCTGCAGCAGCCCTGGAGGAAAAATCAAATAATACTGTCTGCCATTTATTGGATGCCTACTATATACCAGGGATTATAATAAGCATTTTATAAATATTGTCTCAGTTAATCCTCACCAAATCCTAAATGGTTAAGTAGGATTTCTTTCTCTGTATTGCATTTTAATTACAAAACTAATATATGCTTGTTGCAACACGTCAAATTATCCTTCCAATCATAATCCTCAGCAAAAGTAGTAATGTGGTTTATATTCTTCCACATACTTCTCAATGCTCACACAGCAAATATAAATGTACAAACAAATATATGTATATACTAATTAGTTTATACTATACACATTCTTTGTCAACAACTTTTAAAATATAGCCACACATACAGACATCCTTTCAGGTTAGTACGTACAGAGATAAATCCTCCTTTAAACAAACATTCCGAATGTACCAGAATTCATTCCACCATTCCTCTACCAGTGAACATTCAGGATTTTTTTTTCCCTCTACAACAAACAATGCTGAAATAAACACATCTTTGTGAATATATCCTTATGTACTGACGCTCTCATTTTTGTAGGATAGAGTCCCCCAAAGTGGGCATACACATTAAAAATTTTAGAGACACTGTCACACTAAATTATTAATGTTCTTTACACCTATTCATTTTTATACCTCTGCAAAATTGCAGAAAATAAATTGTTTTTCCCGGCAAGTCTTTGAGCCTTGTGGAGAATGATGAGGTCCTCATTCAGGTTTTTTTTACGGTCAATCTGATGGTTTTAGCCTGAATTTTACACACCTGAGCAATGAGACAACAAGAATATTGAATGATAAAACATCTCTTTATACCCACATGCCTTCGCTTACTGCTGAGGGACTCCTTGCTCGCTGCTTGGGCTGAGCAGGTGCTAGGCTGTCAGGCTGCCAGGTTTTAGGTGGAGAAATCATCAAATTATGAATGAACGCCTGTCATCATGGTCACATGACCCTTCTGACTGAGCCAATCAAGTCAAAATGTATTGCCATAACTACAGCTTCATTTTTAGACATATAAGCCAACATATCCTTAAAACTATTTGCTACATCATATATTTTTTGCTTCTGTTATTTCTAACTAGGTTTGGAGAATATGGCAGAAATGGCATTTTAAAAAAGACAAAGACAAAAGGGAAAAATTCTTAAGTCCAAAGCTAAGCATAAACCTTGTTTTAAAACCAAGCAATTTGTTTTCCTTATTTTAACATAACTGCACGGGTTTTTGACTAGCAGATGAGGAAGAACTTAAAGGACCTGCGTTTCAAATATTTAGTAGCATTGTTACTGCAGGGCTTCAAGAAGTTCCCTATTGTCCTGTGTAAATTTTGGGCAGCATCAGAAGCATGTGCTAAAGCTACTCCTACTAGTGGGCCTTTGTCTGCACCATTTCCAATTTCACCTTGATATCACATTACCTTTCAATGTAACTGACTTTTGAGTCAGCTTCAGATGAGTGCTACATTTCGTCCATGTGTCCAAACTTGCAATTCTCCCCGCTTCATGTCTTACCAAAATGTACTCTTGGGAAAAACTGCCCATGTATTCTACCTGGTCTGGCCAAGTTTAGGCAGCTTATGAGACTTAATATCCTATAAGTGGTGGGAGATGGCATTTAAACAAAGGAATAAACAATAACAATAATAAAAAATGTTTAGAGTTTCACAGTTACAAATATAATAACATTTAATACTATGTTATAACATATAAATATAAATAATGTTACAATATATAAATAACAACATACACAATAATAAATGTTTCAGTGCCACAGTTGAGAACTGTGGAACTCTAAACATGAGCAAGCAGGAGAGGTATGAGTGGTGGCTGTGGCACCAAGACAGCCACTTCTTCTGCATTAGCATAAAGCCATTCCTAGAATGAGAAACACTCTTTCATGAATCACCACATTACACTTGGACAAATCAATCCTTATCTTGCTAAAAAATAAAACAAAAAATGTCACTGTGGCACTATCTTGCTTAACACCTGTAGTTGACTCTGCATCCCACTAGGACAAAACCTAAGCCCCAACCCTTAGCTCCCATCATGGCGCCCACTTGTGCTCCTAGGAAGGAGCATCTGGCGCCTTTTCCTCTGTGGCCTGGCTCACCCACTGTCCGTGGCCTGGCACACAATTCCCCACCTTACTCAGTGGTAAAATTATATTCATTCATCTTTATACTTGGCTCAGTGAGCACCTGCTCTGCCAATCCTTCCTGAGTCTCCTCTCCAAGCTTCCTGACTCTGACCTCTACTCTCAGTGCTGCCAGATCATGTCGTCATGATGTCTTCCTGTCTGGGCTCTCCCAGCACCACTGTGTTCCTGAAGAGTGGGGACCATGTCTCTTCCATGACTGTAGCTCTCAGGGGCCCAGCAAGCAGCCCTCAATAAACACTTCTTGAATGTGCATCAGTTTCTCCAAAGTGACCAAGGAAGGACCAAGGATCCCAGTCTTACAGATTCACACTTTGTTCTCAAATTCCCCAAACTGACACTTTGGAATGAGTATCAGTCTCCTGAAGCCCCATCTGAGAGTGAAGGCTTTAATGTGTTTTTAGTTTCCTGTGCACCTCCCAACCCACCCAGGAAAGTCAGTCATTTTCCTGCCTGGTGCGCTTAACAATCACCACTGTATTTCCTCATTTGAAAAATGGGTATAATGACAGAGCTGTTGGGGGGATTAAATTATGTAAAATGGTTAAAGTGGTGTTGGGCACATGATACTTCAAGAAATGTTAGCCATTATTATAATTATTAAATCTGAAATCATTTGATGTCCTTGAACATTATTCAAATTTATATATATGCAAATCCCCCTAATGTATGCTCACTGATGCCAACATTAATCATATCAGAATTTGCTCCATAAGCATATTTCGAGCATAGGCTAACGTGTTTGTATGCATAGGACTTCAACAGCTCCCGTTTCACAGACTAGAAGTAAGAATGTTTTTCAGTGAACTTTGCCCTGGCAGTTAACAAATGATAAGAAAGTTCATTCAGTGGGATTTTACAGGCAGCTAAATTGCCCCAAGTTTAGACTACCTGAAGCTGTTACAGCAAAGCTCACCCTGGCAGCTGGGGCACCAAATCCATGACCCCTGCTAGTTAATATGAAGTGGGGAGGGGGCCGAGGGAAAAGGAGACCCACATGAAGAGAGAATGTGAAATGAAATAGCAAGTGGTCCTCTGACTTGCTGAGGATTCTCTCGGGAAAAACATACCAGCTTGTGAAACATGAGCTTTAAGAAGAGTTGCCTGTCTACTTTTTCCCCATTCATTTTTTTGTATATATAATTTATGCTGCGTTATTCAGTCATCATTTAAGATTATTACCACAGCTTGCTAACAAGCCAAACTGCACTCAAAAGCATCTCAGAAGAGGAACTCACTTTTCTATCAACAAAAGTGTCTTCCAGTTTACACCAAAACCAATATATCAAAAGAAGTAGTTTCCCATATATCATGGAATTAACTGGTCATCAATGCATGACAAAATTCAAGTTTCTCTCAGATTATGGGGTCATTTTAGAGACCCAATTTACCAAAGACTTGACAATTTTTCACAAATTAACTTCGGTCTGCCCAAGGTACATCAGAAGCTCTATTTAAAACAGGCATCTTTTACTTTTGCATTACTTTTATGTGATTCTAGTTTCAATCAGCCAACCTACTGTCAAAAGTATTAACTACATTCTAACTTCACTGTTAGAATAAAATGGAGCAAGTATTCTACTCCAAACTAAAGGTTAAACTTAGCATTTAATTATCTTTAGCTTCAGGATTATACAAGGGAGTTCCAAGTGAGACAAGAATATAATAAAGTAGTAATATTCCAAGTTCTATACTGGTTTTGGACTGAATTGTTTCTCTCCCCAACTCATCTGTTGAAGCCCCAACCCCCAGTAACTCAGAATGTGACTGTCTTTGAAGATATAGCCTTAAAGAGGTAATTAAGTTAAAACTATGCCATTAGGTCCTAATCCAAACTGAATGATGTCCTTATAAGAAAAGGAAATTAGAATACAAAAAGCGACACCAGGGACATGCAGGACATGCAGGCACAGAGGAAAGAGCATGTGAAGAGGCAGAAAGAGGGTGGTCATCTGCAAGCCAAGGAGCACGGCCTCAGAGAAAACCAACCCTACTGTCACCTTGATCTTGGACTTCCAGCCTCCAGAACTGTGAGATGATAAATTTGTGTTGTTTAAGCCACCCATAACAACCCAATATGTTGTTATGGCAGCCCTAGCAAATTAATAAAATAGTCCAAGAATTCAGATGTGAATTCAAAATACTCTATGGAATAGGAAAGAATTCAGAATACTCTATGAAGTAGGAAACCAAATTCTTAAACTTTGTGCCATATTCCAAGAGATCATCATAAAGAAAATTAAGTATTCATCAATGGTCCTTCTTCCTTTGTCCCCTCACCCAGACCTCTTAGGCTGCATGGAACAGTTGCTGAAACTCCATCCTGTTCTGCTCTTCCCAGATGTGATCTCTAGGGTCCAGCTGTTTTTCTCCCTCAATCCCTTCTCATTTGTACATCAGAATCACTGGAGAGCTTGTGAAAACAGAGTATTGGGCCCCACTCCCAGAGTTTTTGATCCAATAGGTCTGAGATGGGGCCCACAAATTTACACTTCTAAAATACTGCAAATGATACTGATGCTTTGAGAACCACTGTATCATATACCAGGTTACCAGCAATCCCTACGCTCAGCCATACCTGCAACCAAAAACAGTGACATACACCCTTAGGGCCCTGCTTGGATTTGGCAGGCTAAGCTTATAAATTAATTTATGCCAATGTAAAGCAATATATTACCCCTTACAGGGTATTTGATTTTAAAGAGTCATTTAGAGAGAGTATTAATGACAGCTATAAATACCTTGCTATAAGCCATAAGCTAACTGTATTCTTGAGGGCAAGCCAATTGCTATGATAAGTAACCCCCACTCCCAGTGGCTTAACACAGTAAGCATTTATGTCTCATTGACAATCCAATGCAGATTGTGTGGTGGGATAGTTACTCTGCTCCATGCAGCCGTTCAGGGACCCAGGGTTCTTTCATCTAGTGGATCTTCTATTTGGCAAGCAGATGAGGGAAGAGAGTAGGATCTGTGGGAATTTCTTAGAAGGTAATTTCACCCACATTCCACATCCCCTTTATTTCCAACCATGTTTCATCGGACAGAACTCAGTCATATAATAATGACCTTACTATGAGGGAGACTGGGAAATATAGTCTAGCTGAGAGGAAAAGGTATAAATATTATTGAACAACCAGCCAGTCCCTGCCACATGAGATTTCCATGGACCCTGAAATCATGAAGCCAAGGCAATTTCAAAAGGCCAGCCATGCAGACTTAGGTCACTAGACATTCCTGAGAGCTGTGCCACCATGCTAATTGTCCTTTATTGTGCCTAGCCATAAAACAGGGTGTTTTAGTATCTATGCAATCTCAGCCGAACTTAAAAAAAAAATAGTCTTGGGCTAAGCATGTCAAAATGGTCAATAATCATGTATCTAAACCAGTTAATCTGGAAACAAGAACGTGCTGGAGAAAAAGACAAATCAGAGGAGATACTATCTGCCAGAAACAGAGCTACATATCATACACAAATTTTATCATTTAGCCTTGATGACCCTATAAAATATGTGCTGACTTTACAAATGAAGAAAGGAAGGCTCAGTGGAGGTGAGTGAGTTGACCCAGAAAGACTAAGTTGGGTCAAGATTTGAACCTAAGGCTGTCCTACTGCAGTGTTCAGTCCATTTTTTGTCTTTACCATACTGCCTCAACTTTGGCAATACAAGTTGTTTACCTTTTAATTGGTTAACTTAAATCAACTAAATCTATCACAGATTATTATTTGGTTTCCAGAAAACTGTTGACTGCCCTCTTCACTCCTAAGTCACCAGCTTTAGAAAGAGAGCACTCCACTTTACTCTCACCAGCTGGGTCCTTGCACACCTTCGCCTCCCTGAGCCTCAGTAACCTCAGCCATAAAATGGGAATCATCTCACTGCCTTGTGAGGATACATGAAATAACACGTCAGAGCACCTGGGATCTCACTTCTTGGCAAGTGCCGGTTTCTTCCTGACTTTCCCATGAGATGTTGGCAGGAGGTGTCAGCTGCTATGAACTGACATGGACAAGAGAGAGGGGCTGGATAAGGAGAGGCATGAGTACCCTCAGATATGTTCTGAGCCTATGCCAAGTGCTTTGTGCACACGGGCACCTTGTAAGTGTGTGGAGGTGGTGAGGTGATGGTGATGCCAAGGAAACCAAGTATAATACATGGGGGTGCAAAGCATATTCCAAGTTTTGTCCTGGCTCTTCCAGTCCTTCTTGATGACCAAGTACTGGCCAGGATCATGCTGAGAACAGAGCCAGACCCAAGATATCCAGATCCCTCTGCTTCCCACGGTAGACTCCTGCAGGACCACGCTCAGGGCAAACAGAACCATACAGGGGGGCCCATCTATCCCATCCTACCCTATCACTCATCCCTCCCTACAGCATTGCTCAGGGATTTCCTCTACCCACCTTGTGAAGCCTCTACCCACCCTTAGGCTATCCTTCCAAACCCGTGTGGAAGCCGGAAGCCATCTTTCTGCCTTCTGTGCTGCCAGAGTCCTCTGAATTTACACCTTCTCATGGCACTTAGCCGTCTGGTTCATTGCACTAAAGATGAGTAACCATGCCCCTGCAGAGGGAGAATAGTAAAGAAAGGAAGGGCTTGGTCGGGCACGGTGGCTCATGTCTGTAATCCCAGCACTTTGGGAGGCCGAGCCGGGTGGATCACCAGGTCAGGAGATCGAGACCATCCTGGCTAAAAGGAGGCTGAGGCAGGAGAATGGCGTGAACCCGGGAAGCGGAGCCTGCAGTGAGCCGAGATCGCGCCACTGCACTCCAGCCTGGGAGACAGAGCGAGACTCTGTCTCAAAAAAAAAAAAAAAAGAAAGAAAGAAAGAAAGGAAGGAAGGGGTTTTGTGTCACGGAGCCCAGCCACTTTCCAAATAGGAGACTCCAAGCCAGTCACTCCATCTTTCTAAGTCTCAATGTCCTCATCTGTAGAATGGGAGTAAAAGCATGAACCTTATGGGTTTCTCATGAGAATTCAGCATCTAGCCCAGTGCCTGGCACATTGAATTATAAATACTCACAAAATGGGAGTTCCCTTTGCCCCCTTCCCCATGCACTTGCAGAATTCTTGAAAGTAGTTATGTTCCTAATTCACCTTGGTGTTTCCAATGCTCCATGCATACCCAACAAATATTTGGAGACTAGAAAGTGAATATACTCAGAGCACAGAGTCATTTACTGAACATGAATGAACAGATTAATTGCTCTGTTTTCTCAAATGTCTTTCTTTTCTCATGTCTTTCCTCTCAAAAGATGATTAAGAGGACATGATCTCTCAAGTTCTTAGGAGAGAAAAATTAAACAAGTCAGAATTGCTCACTAATTTCAAGGCTTATTCAAGCTTGGGCTGCCCCCCTGGGAGACATTATAGTGGCCCTGAGGGAGGCGGCGCAGCTGCTGCTCCAGCCTGCCACTCATCTCTGTATTCTGTGGAGACAGAGGCCATGCCGGGGCCCCACAAGCTGCTGGGAAGTGCTGGCTGAGCTCTTGCTTTGAAAGGCCCACGTGGAAGCTGCTAGCAGTAGCCACAGGAACAGCCAAGGCAAGATGGTCTAAGCCAGCATGCCCAGACACTTTGGATTTCTGAGGACAGTTCCAATGGCCGAGGTCTGGGCCTTCCTCTCTGGCTAAGGAAGATTTTTCTTGTGAATGTGACGTGACTTTTGGCTCAGAATATGAGGTTCCCATGGTCTGTTTCTCATAGCATGAAGTAGGACTAAGTATGCTTTAGTTCTGTCTTGATGTCATCGCGATGAGGCTCAGGAACTTGGGAGGGGTGGGAGATTGGTTTTCAAGAGTGCTCAGGCGGTTACCCGCTCCCAGTCCTGCAGTGCTCACACCAAAGTACCTACAAGATTTGGATGGAGCTGTGGAAGCTGAGAGAAAGAGACAGAGAGAACATGCACAAGGAAGGGTCTAGAACTCACATTGTGGACCACCAGGGCTAGAGAGAGCTGGAGTTGTAATAATTATAGGAATAACAAGTATACTCAGCACCCACTGAACAGCAGGCAAGGTGCTACACACAGGTTTTTCCTTGCTTATCTCATTTGATCTTCCCAACGACCTCATGAGGCAGGCCCAACCATTTCAGAATCAAGGAAACTGAGGCACAGAGAGACAGTCACTTGTCCAAGGCATCATAGCTAGTAGTCAGAATTTGAACCATTACTTTGAATTATTTTATTCTACACTGACTTTTTATTTTTAATTTAGGGCTGCTCAAATTTTAACATGGATCAGACTCACCTGAAGTCTTTATTGAGACAGATTCCTAGACCCTTACCCAAAGATTCTGATTCCAGAGGACTGGAGTGGGGCCCATGAATTTGCATTTCTTAGTAGTTTCCTGGTGAAGCTGCTACTGCTGCTCTGGAAACCACTCTCCGAAAATCAAGGTCTAGGGCAAACTTACACATGCCAGATCTTAATCCTAACAGATCAGGAGTTAGAAAACAAATGGAGAAGGTTAAGAATTGTCAAGAAAACCAAAGGTGTTTGTATTGATGTCAACCTTAAGCTCTCTGCAGCAGGAAGTACCTACAACCTTCTCTCTGGATCTACTAATCATTACTCATTTTTTTTCCTCAAGGCTCTTAACAGTATCACCTATAATTCTTATCTGACCAAATTTAAAAATAGGAAAACAGTTTACTGTGGAGTTCAAGTAGCTCTGGAACCCCATTGTAGTTTCCTGTCTCCCTGTGTGGTTGGTCAGGGATGACTTTCTGCATCCTTTTCACCCAAGGTCAGAATGGACCTGACTTGGTAGGTAGGCCTAAGGTTATTACAGAAAAAGCATTCCTGGGTGTTTACAGAACTGGATCTAGTCCTAGGTCTGCCACCTGCAGCTGTGTGGTCTTGGACAAGTTGCTTTACCTCTCTGAGTTATACTCGATGTGCTTCAGTGTACCCTCTAGCTCTATCTAAAGTTAATCTCCATGGCTGGGCCCCGAAGACTGACAATGTGCACACCGAGCTGTTTCCAGTGTCTCCCATCAGCTTTGAACTTGCAGTTTTTTTACCCTCCCCTTGGCCTTCTTACTCTGGGATTCGAGCCCCTGTTTTTCCTCTGAATGCTGGCTGGGCTTCCCCTCCAGGTCTCAGCACTCCAGGGGGTCCTGCTGTTGAGAGGCCCTAGGTCCCTGGGTGCCAGAACTGGAGAGGCCTGCAAATTCCAGAAAAAAAAAGGGGAGAAGGAGCCTTGTCAATAGTGAGACCCAACTAGAACTAGGATTCTATCTCCTCTCCTGCTTTCTTTCCATTACTTCCCATTATCTCCAAGAAGGTGGGCGAGGACCCTAGCATGCCTTTCTTAAGGAAATAGATCATAGTAACAGTGCCATTCTAGCTAATCTTCTTATACACATTTATGACTCCTGTTTTAATTAACTAGCCAAGAGCCAGAATGGCTTCATAAGTGAACTAGGGCTAGTTTCGGAAATTTCAACCTAATTCTGCCCTCACAATCCCTACCTCTAGACCCAACTTACATGGTTCCTTCAGCACCTACAGTGAGGTATCTTCAATATGGGTCAAACCACACTTACCTAATCCTCACCTCTGCTTTCTACACAGAGGCCAGCGAGGTTCTTTCTTCTTTGACTAGGAAACCTGCATGAACAATGGTTAAACAGAACTCTTTTCTATTTTATTTGAGGGACATCAATGGGAAGAGATTATACCTAACATCTGAGAACAAAACAGAGAGGGAAGAGAGTTACAGGGCAGCAGAGAGAAGCTGAAGGGGAATCCGAGACCCAGGAAGAGGCCTGGGGAGCAGCACCCACCGTCTCTGCCTTATGCAGGAGCTCCCCACACCTGCAGAGCCCACCCCTCTCTGGTTTACAGCCAGGTACACACCTGCCCACATCCAGTGGAATTCATAAAACCAAGGCAGAGAGCGAGCATCTGTGTCTGGGCTTGGTGTTTACAAGCCTCCCCTCGGGCCATGTGTAGTAACTCCTGTGGCCTGCCCTCGGGTCCCCTGAATCTGGCGTGCCTATTTGGAATGTTACTATTTCCTCTGCCCTTGCAAATTTCCTTTAATCTCAACCCAACATTTCTACTTGTAATCCTGCTGGCCGTTTGCTGTTTTGTGTCTGTATTGAGTTCTTGAAAGCTGGACTCACTCAATTCCCTGGAATTAGGGTACTTATTATAGAGACACTTGAGAGACAAGAGCCTCAATATCTGCCAGTTACTGGCCCCCCACCCCCCACATCCACACCCACATCTCCACCTGGACGCACACTGCTGGCCTCACTCACGCCATTGCCACTCATGTCCCTTCATGCCAAAGAGAGAGAGAGAGGAGAGAGAGAGAGAGAGCGAAATATTAGTCAAAGATAAAGCCACCTACACAGGAAACATTCAGTACCCCCACCCCACCCCATGATGACTTTATCTAAAGAAGATTTAAATTTCAAATGGTAAAATGTGCATTTAAATTTCCCCAGCCTTCCATCAGTCCACCTCTGGCCCTACCTTCTGCTGCAACTTGAGTAAACTTGAACTAGTAAATAGGAGTAATATTATGTTTTAACAATTCATTTATGAGAAAAAAATATGCATAACGGTGGGGGAAGTCCACTGGCAGGAGTTCCCTTATTCATTCAGCATGAATAACAGTGAAGACACAATTACAACTCCACATTTTAGCAACAGCATAAACCAAACCAGGCAGTAAGTGGGCAATTCCCTTCTGTTCCAATACACTCCAATTAACACAAACTGAGGAAGGAATAAATTTAAGCAGGAACAGCTTATCAACATACAATTAGCACTCAATAATTTATCCCTGTAATGCCAGATCAAATAAAAACATTGTGTCATAAATCACTTACTCAAGCAAGCCACCAACCCCTATGCTTAAATGATCTTTTGGTTGATTTGTTTTCTATTCACCACCCTTATGCCACAATAGGTTTTTCTTTCTTTATTTATTTCTGAGACCCAAGACAGCCAGGCAGCTGAAGTGGCATTTTCTACTCTCCAGAGTTCAAGGCTACATTAACCATAAACAGAATTATAAGGAGAACCAGCTCAGACCCCATAGAACATGCATCTACCTCCAGATAGGACAGCCACTGACAGCTGCAAATAAATAGGTGTGTGGTCCTCCAAAATTTCTAAGGAAGGGAATTCCTCATTTAGGCTTTCTAAAGTATTTTCAGATTTCAATCCTTACAGATAAAAGAATTTTCATAAATCTTCCATCCATAGCCTCTGCTTCATTTAAATTAACTGATGCTGGTTCTATGGAAATGAAAACCAGCCTGTCATCATTCTCTCTACAATAACTTCTGTAAATCTACAATCATTAGGTCCCTTGAATGCCTTTTCATTGGTTCTTTCACCACCAAATCTTAGTCCTTTAAGTCTTTTGTGTCGCCCACCATCTCTTTGTAACCAAATGTTCCCCATCCTTTTCCTGCCAACCTTGTTTCCCAGACTTCCTTGCAACTGATTTAACCAAAGAACCCCAGCGGGTTCTTCAATTCTCTTTGCGGTAGGCAGAATAATGCCTCTCCCCAAGGATGTCCACATCCTAATCCCCAAAATTTTTGAATATGTTACCTTATGTCGCAAAAAAGCTTGGCAGATGTGATTAAGCTAATGATCTGGAGATAGGAAGATTATCCGAATTATCCAGGTGGGACCACAGTTATCACAAGCGTCCTTATAAGTGAGGGAGACATGTTCTCACTCATAGGTGGGAATTGAACAATGAGAACACTTGGACACAGGAAGGGGAACATCACACACTAGGGCCTGTTGTGGGGTGGGGGGAGGGGGGAGGGATAGCATTAGGAGATATACCTAATGTAAATAACAAGTTAATGGGTGCAGCACACTAACATGGCACATGTATACATATGTAACAAACCTGCACATTGTGCACATGTACCCTAGAACTTAAAGTATAATATATATATGTATAATATATATATATATTATATATATATATATAAAATAAGTGAGCAAGAGATGCAACAGAATTGGAGGAGATGTGAAGGCAGATGTAGAGAGGAGAGAGGTGTAGACAGGGGCCCAAGAAATGCAGGCACCTCTAGGAGACAGGAAAAGCAAGGTACAGATTCTCCCCTAGGGCCTCCAGAAGGAGTGCAGCCTCCCAACACCGTGATTTTAGCTCAGTGAAAGTGGTTTTGAATTTCTGCCCTCTGAAATGGTAAGACAACACATTATGTTGTTATAAGTCACATAGTTTGTGGTAATTTGTTACAGCAGCAATCAGAAACATTCTCTTTGAGGTGTCTAGCTCTTTATCTCTTCCAAGCTAAAGAGCGTAAGTTTCATTCCAAAACTTAAGTTCTGATGTAGTCTGCACACCTGGAAATATCTAAGGAGCTCAGAAGGCACCAATCACTGAGAATGGAAGGCATTCAATTTCCAGAAACCTGGATGTGAAGATCTTCTACTTAGCCCTCTCTAGCTTTTTTTTTTCGTTCCATTATAGAAATTTTCTAATATATACAAAAGTAGACAGAGTAGCATCAAAATCCACTGTATACCCACCATCTAGCTTCAACAATTATGAACTCATGGGCAATCATGAATCTTCTGTATCCCTATCATTCCCTCTTCCCTGGATTTTTTGAAGCAAATTCCAGATATCATTTCTCCACAAATACTTCAATATCTATCTATAAAAGATAAAAGACAATGGTTCTTTTTAAAACATGACCACAAAACTATTACTGAACCAAAAGAAAATTGATATTAATTTCTCACATAATTAAGTATGCAGCCAGTGTTGAAATTCCCCTAATTGTCTCACAATTTTGTTTGCATTGGGATCCAAAAAGGACCCTCCATTGAAATTATTTAATATGTTTCTCAAATGTCTTTTAATCTATAGGCTCCCCTCCACTACTTCTTATAACTTATGTGTCAAAATCCACATTATATATTACATGTCAAAATCCACAGTCTGAGTTTTATGACTTCATTCCATGATGTTTAACATGTTTGCTGTTCTGTACAATTTGGTAGTTAGTTCTAGTGGATTTATTAGACTCAGGTTCAATTCTTTTCGGCAAGAATATGTCACAAGTGGTGTTGTGTATTTCACCACACTTTCTGGTTCACTCTCTTTTTGTCATGTTAGCAACCATTAATGAACACTGCCTACATCTACTAATTTATTAGGGATTACAGAATAATGAGATTATTTTTTGTAGAAACAGGGTCTTGCTATATTGCCCAGGCTGATCTCAAATCCCTTGCCTCAAGTCATCTTCTCACCTCAGTCTGCCAAAGCACTGGGATTATAGGCATGCGCCACAATGCCCAGCCTCCTGGAATGATGAGATTCAAATTCTGTTTTCCCTTCTTTATTATCTGGAATCCTTTTACAAACAGTAATTTTCCCTAATTGATTATTTGGTTACCATGAGATACAGTTCATGTAAGAAAGATAGAATAAAAGAATGATTCATCCACTGTATTTAACAGTTTTCAAAATAATTAGTTTGGCCAGGTATGGTGGCTTGCACTTATAATCCCAGCAACTTGGAGGCTGAGGCAGGAGGATTGCTTGAGCCCAGGGATTCAAAGCTGCAGTGAGCTATAATTGCACCATTGCACTCCAGCCTGGGCAACAGAGTGAGACCCCATCAAGAAAGAAAGAAAGAAAAAGAGAAAGAGAGAAAGAGAAACAGAGAGAGAGAAAGAAAGAGAGAGAGGGAGAGGAAGGAAGGAAGGAAGGAAGGAAGGAAGGAAGGAAGGAAGGAAGGAAGGAAGGAAGGAAGGAGGGAAGGAGGAGGGGAGGGGAGGGAAGGGAAGGGAAGGGAAGGGAGGAGGGAGGGAGGGAGGGAGGAAAGAAGGAAGAAAATTATAATGTGTTGGCTCCTGGGCATCCTTCAAAGGTGGCTGATAATGTTTCCTATGTTTTTATAATAATAAAAAGATTGATGCAAAAGTAATTGCAGAATTATCTCATGTATTCAAACATATTTTATGTGCTTCAAACCAATACAGTTATTACTCTTACTAATGTTCAAATTGACCCATATTTAACCAGTGGAAACTTCTTCAAGTTAGGTCCTATGTTTTTCTGATACAACATGAATGGTCTTTGATAGCTTTCTTGCTTTGTGATATGGCAAAATGATCCAGTATCATCTTGTATATCTCCTGCCCCCAGCCTGGAATCAACCATTTCCCCCAAGAAGCCCTGGGTCTTGGGAAATTACACTTAGAGATGACAATCTGTATGCTAAAGATGCTCATTGCTAATAGATTGGTCATTGTTTCCAGGCCTCTTTGGTGGAGAGAGCTAGGAAACATATTTTTAAAGATAAAATATTTCATGAGTTTAAACTGTTTATTCCAATTCTAGGTCAGTTCTACGGAGTTTTAAACTTAACCTCATGAATCTTATATCTGTATTTTCTATTTCCCTCTCTGAAAAACATGATACACAGTGACACTAACATGATTATTCACTTGCTTGACCATATAATATTCTAGAAGAGTCCCTGAAAACAATACTAACACTTCTGCCTACAATATTATTACTGAAAACAGTTCAAGGTGCTTTTTTTCCTTGTTTTTGCTTTGTTACGTTTTAGTGCAGTCCTTTGTGTTCTGAGGACGTAAACCACTGGGGCTAGATAGGACTAGAGAGGGCTAGATAGGGCTGCTTTATGCACACCTAGTTACCATTTGCTCTATCTTACATAAGCAATTTTTAAGCTATAATTTATTTTTACTTTACAATTAATAAAATCATTCAATAGATAAAATTTGTCTTTTATCTGTGAAAATGATGGGATTGGCTTTTATAAATTCCACCCTGTCTATAAGTTGGTGTCTACGCTAGGAAATAGAAACCATTTCATTTCAAATGGGAGGTAAGGATTTAATATAGAGAATTGATTACAAAACATATCAGAGGAACTGGAAGTGCAAATAAGAAAAGTTTAGCCAAAACTTTATAACTGCAAGAAAATGCTAAGACTCGAAAAGTGAAAGGGGAAAGTTGTGTTACTCAGAGCCCATGAGCTCACTCATGCCACAGAATGCCGTGGCTGCTGAGTGAAAACCCACAAGAATGCACATTCTCATTGACGTTGCTGCCTAAAGCACAACCACATCTGCTTCCCTCCATCTTCTAATCTCACCTGAGTGCCTCTTATTGGTACAACCAACACAACTTAGCAAGAAATGGGGTCTGAGTCATGTAGGAAGCAGGTTTCTAATCCCAGAAATAGGAGAGAATTAAAAGGCAGTAAGGAGCAGAGTATCAACCAACAACATGCAGCTCACCTATCCAGAGGTCAACACTTAGATACACTTTTCAGTAGAAGCAATGGGCTCGCCTGGTTCCTCTCAAGATCAATGGCTCAGGACCAAGATTAAGGGCATAATCTCTGGTAAACACATGGAAAAAAGACAACTTATGTGAACGGATCTAAAACAATGCATTGGCCTTGCTAATATCAAACTATACTCATGTTCTCTTCTATTCTCCATCCTCCAGCCCCTAAATGCCGGCAAAGCAAGGGTCATATGTTAGATATATGGCTGTCTAGGCTCAGAGAAGCTATAATTTGCTTTTGAAATTTATTCTTTTTAGTTCTTTCATGAGGAATAATTTGCCAATTAAATAGGACCACAGCCAAAGTAGAAACAGAGACATACACTGAAATCTGTTAGCATCAACTGTTACAGTCATTCTTCTCTAGATGACATATTGTTGCTATATATAGTTTAGATATGAGTAATGAGAATGTGATTGCAAGCCAATATTTAGGGAAAAGCTAAGCTCATCACGACTGCTACTCTGATGGAATGTCTTGGTGATGGATTTAGTCTTATACTTTCTCAATTTATTTTTCTCTGGGATGCTTTCCTATTTAGGGTATTAAATGACTTACATTTCATGGACAGAGAAGGACACTTATTAATAGTGAAATCTTGGGCAAGTTATTTTATCTTTCCAAGCTTCCTCATCTATGAAATGGGGATAATAATAGTATCTACCTCACACAGTTATTTATGAGGATTAAATGAAACAATGCCTATAAAGAATTTGGAATAGGACCTGACATATAGTAACTACTTAATAAAGTGGGCTGTTCTTATTCTTGCTAGAGAAATGCCAAGAAACAAATGGTCATTTTAATTGTCAGCTAAAAGTAATCTTACTTGAACATTTCTTCTTATAAATTATAGATAATACTCAATCCAGGAGAAGTTAATGATGCCAGTAAAAGAGTCACTAGAAGTAGGAAGAAAATTTGATATAAATAAAGGGTTAAGGCAAATATAGAGGCCTTCATGCTCTAGAGTCAAAGAATTTCTGCTCCTCCGAGACCAATAAGGAGGATAATCATGAATTTAAGTAACTTTAAGTGGGAGAAAGTAACCTAAGTCACATTTAATGGGAGGATCATTCTGAGGAATATGAGAGTTGTGGGAAACTGCTTCTCATAATCGTGATAATTCACATGAGCAGGCCATCTGCTTTAAATTGGAGATGAAAAATTGGAGAAGTATTGGGAAAGAGGGGGACAGGTAATATACCCGGCATGGATCAAAGGAGAGAGAGCCAAGAGGAGAGAGAAAGACAGAGGGAATCATTTGTTAGGGAAGCCAGAGAGAAACTTCCTTCTACTGAGCTGGAGAAACCCGTGTTCCCCTCGTTTAGCATCAGAATGTCCTGCTGTGCTATCAAATGTTGTTGAAGTTGAAGGTCAGGCTTCGTGGAAAGAATGATGCAAATGTTCACATTCCCTAGAAAGAAATGTAAATTCACAGCGGAACACGTAGCTAAAGGTGATAACATCTCACCACAAGATATTACTCTGTGGTGCAAACCTTACTGCTGCTTTGTGATTCAAGATAGTTATGAGAGTTAGAGAAGTACGTTGAGATGACGTTCCTTCCATTATAGTCACAAACTGACACACAAACACACACATTTATATATTTATATTCAGACACACACACACACACAAAATTATCATAAATGTAACTACTCCACATGCAAACTAACACAAATATATTGCATCCTGGCAACTCAAATCAGCAATTGTCATCAGTAACATGATTTTCTGAAATAAATAATTCTTGACACATTTCCAGACAAAAAGGACAATCTCTCCTTCATTAAATGGCAGTTGCATTCCTGGAAGTTTCAGGGACCATTAAAATCAAGCAAAACTAATTTGTACATATATGTTAAATGGAATTAGATTCAAAGTTGAGATAATTGTAAATAGATCTTGTGAGACAGTCAAAATTTTTGTGGTTCATGGCACAAATCTTCAATATCTAGCATCCCTGGCCCCTGTTCACAAATGTCAGTAGTGTTCCTTGATTATTGTATCAATTAAAATTGGGCCCCATCTCTAAAATTTCCCTGCCCCGGCCCCGGAAGCAGCACAGCCATTGTTGAGAAGTGCTGCTATATCCTGTCCATGCTCTTGAAGGGAAGCCAGCAATACCCTAGGTGAATGAATACACTATTTTGAGGAACTATCTCCATAGCACAAAATGTAGGAATATGCATTTACTGTGGTGGTGCTCCTCACAGGGCAACAAGTGTTATAGACTCAGCCAAAGAGGCACTGAATGACCCTAGAGCGTCTACACCTAGAGAGATGTACACACACCTGCCCCTTGGCCACGTCTGACCACCCATGACAAGGCTGCAGGCAGCATGCCATAAACCTGTAGCTGACATCCATTCTACTCCTGATTAACAGACCTGGATATCCATCTGCTCACCTACATGTCCCACAGACAATACATTGGCAACAATGTCTACTTTCCTGTGGGAAATGCTGCCTTGGAAGACCACAAACAGGGCCATCCTTATAATTTCTCAAAATTCCATTCACCTGTATGTGTGGAGTATCTAACAGAAAGGCAGCCAGCCCTGAGGACCCACTGGTCCTATCTGGGCTCTGCTCAAGCTAGGTGGAGTATAGTAAGTGTTTATTAAAGGAAGCCATGAGGGACAGTTCTAGTTACACTGAGTACAGGAACTCTAATGACCCTGATGGTTCCCGAGGCTGAATCTGGAGACTTGTCCTGGATTCCGGGAAGTGCTGGAGGCCTCCATAAAAAGAGTTCTGTCATGATCGTGACTCTACTGCAACTCCACTCTGCTACCAACAGGCCACATCCCCCTGTGGCGCTAAGTTCAAATTCCAAGGGAGAAATGTTATTGGCCTGGCTTATCTTCCTCATTCAGGCTTCAAGTTATGGCTCATCCATTAACTCTGGGATAGGCCCTTTCCCTCACCTCAGTGTGCACCATCACAGACAGAGTTAAGAGCAGGGACACCTGGTCCACTGCCCACTCAGCAGAGGCAATGGCAGGAGTAGATTCTCTGCAAAAGTAGAATGACAGAGACCACCCTAAAATGGCTGATATACCTGCCATCCAGAAGACTAAGTGAGCTTTCCAAATAGTGGCAAGACAAATGCTTCTCAGGTCTCTAAGAGAGAAGAGAAAGATGGAAGAAAGAGTCAGTGCAGTGTAAGGATGTATTTATCAACCATGCTGACTTCCTCTAAGTTTCATAGGCTAGTAGCCTTGAACCACTGGACAAATATGTAACTTTCCCAGGAGATAGGGAATCTGTATTCTTATACCCTATGACATCATAGGTAAGCAGTTTAAGTGTGACCAGAAATCCGTAATTTAAATGTTATGAACTTCTGTTGTCCCCTTTCTTAATGGAGAAAAATTCTCCATACCTTTCAGAAAGTTGGTGCAGTAAGTAGGATCCAGCTTTTCTGAGAAGTCAGACAGGAGGTGCTGGATGTATTTTAATAATGCTAACCCTAGAGAGGTTTATGAGTAGTTTTCAAGAGTCAGTACAATTTCCAACCCTGGAAATTTTGAATACTTTTGTATATTTTTAGAGCAGCAGTTCTCAAACGAGGGTCAATGTTGCCCCCCTCCCCCCAACACCCCCAGGGGACATTTGACAGTGGCTAAAGACATTTGTGGTTCTCACAACTGGGGGTTGGGAGAGTTGGCACTGATATCTCTTCGGCAGAGGCCAGCAGCACTGCGAAACATCCTACAATGCACAGGACAGCCCCCACAACAAAGAATTACCAGCCCAAAATGTCAATAGCTCAAGGGTGAGAAACTATTCTAGGGTGAGAGTCCATAGCAAGCATTATTCACATTCACAAAGGGCCCATGACCTAAATAAATTTAGGATCCCCGGCTCTAGACTGGCAAAAGGCCACAGAAGGCTCCACTTAGGCCTCTCACTTCATTCCTGGCTCTTTCGCCTGCACCCTAGGCAAGCCACCCAATCTCCTCTCTTCACATACCCCTAGCTCTACCACTGCACTCACCTTGCAGAAAAGAAAATCCCTGTCCAAACGCCAACTCACCTTTGAACAAACCAACTCTCTATCTGCTTCTCAATTTCCTGGGCCAGTAAAGGCTTTTGACACCCTCACAACCTCAACCTATCTTAACACATACATATCAAGCTGTAGAGTCCTTCTCAAGCCCAGCTGGCTACTCCATGATTCATGCTCGGCCAATGACTATTTCTCTGCTGCCACTAATCAACTCTCTTTTTGCTCTACCTGCTGCTAGATTGCTCCTCCATTTCTATCTCCTTCTTCCGCTCCGCATACAGACAAATCAGGCTTTCTAAAAGGAATGACAAAGCAACAAAGCATCATTTCCCCACTAAACAAATCGGAGCTCTGCCCAGAGAGAGGCAGCTGAGCTGGGATGCATTAGGGACTGCCATGTTGGCACTACCGGAGGTTCATTCTATGCAGTAACTGAGCTCAAAGGCTTCTCTGTGAGATGTACTTCAGTTCTCTGCATGGAAGGGAGCCCTCCGTGTGGTTTAAAATGCCTCCACAAAGTACAAATAAGCACACTAAGCTACGCAGTAAAACACAGCCTAACATTACCCAACGTCCACCATTATATGCTGTTAAGTATTTAATTAAAGAGTCATATGAAGCAAACTGTTATATACACAATAAAGAGGAAAAAAAGAAAAAACAAAACACAGGTGTGGAACAGCCTGGTTGTAAGTACAATTTTCATTTGCTTTTACCCAGGGGCATTTGGAGAAAAGATTGTTTTGCCAAATATTTATCCATTTTTTCATTTTGTTGAAACATGTCTTTTCCAGAAAGAAAAAGGCATTTAACAAGTATTAAAAACATGTGTTGAAACCATTTAGAAAGTTTAATTTTCTTTAAAAATGGTTTCCGGAGCTGGGGTCTTCTCCAAGTTTTTGGAGTTGCATTTTCACCTGATCGTATGTCAAGTCTGACCTGAGTAACCCTACGTGGGCCTCTGTCAATCACATGGAGTTTTCCTTGGACCACCACCAACCTCCAACCCGCCCCCAGCTGAGTTAATCCACCATCCGCTGGTATCTGCTGCAATAGAAAAGCTAATACTAACCAAAGACCTGACACAGTTGTTTGATATGAAGGATTTGGTTTTCTGGGAGCTTGTTTCCTATCATTGTGGAGGTTATACAGCAAATTTCTGGAGGAAGGCCAGGCAGTTTTGAATACTGTAGTTCCAAGTGGCTTAGTCCCATAAACATAATCAAAGTCTGTATTAAGTTTATACCTTGCAGGGTAATAACAAATGATACAAAATGTAGTAAAAGATGCTGGACACAGCCGAGAAAAGTTAATGAAATATGAATGAAAGCAAACAACTGCCCCATCTATTGTTCCAAACTGGGCCCCATACTCCTAATGGGAACTTGAGCTGAATGAAAGGAGGGTGCCAAGCATTGAGGTCAAGAAAGAACTTGAGTGCAATAGCTGGAACTACTTCTTGTGGTTTTGACATGCCCGAACAGCATTTTGGGAGCAGATAAACTAAGCTACACCTGACCTTGCAGCTGGCAGCATCTGAGGGTGAAAGGTTAAAGATAAATTGTTCTTTAACAATTTCTCCGTGGTATAATATTTAAAGAAAAGCAAAATGGAATGGCACTCTTTCCCTGATACTTTCCAGCTTCTTTATTCAGAACAAATAAAAATAGTGGACTTGGTGCTAACTAAACCATACCTTGTTTTCCTTATTTTATTTTATGAGACAGGATCTCACTGTGTTACCCAGGTTGGAGTGCAGTGGCCCCATCATAGCTCACTGCAACCTCTGCCTCCTGGGCTCAAGCAATTCTCCCACCTCAGCCTCCCTGTAGATGGGACTACAGGTGTGCATCACCATGGCCAGCTAATTTTTTAATTTTTTTGTAAAGGCAGGGGTCTCCCTATGCTACAAAGGCTGGTCTAGAACTGATGGCTTCAAGCAATCCTCCTGCCTCAGCCTCCCAAAGTGCTGGGATTACAGGCATGAGCTACTGTGCCTGACTAGTTTTCTTTAAAGAGATGGATTTTTGAGCATGATGTTTCTCTTTTCTCTGAGATGTGTCAGCAGCCAATTCTGCAGTAATGGCATGCTCTAAGAACAGCTATCTTCATCATCCATGCCATGAAATAGACTTGTAGCCTTGTAGCCATTCCAGCCTTGAACAACAGCCTGAACAACAAGACTCTTTTCTTTTGAGGACATGAACACCTATTTCCACTACAATAATATCAAGATCCTCTCAACTTTCCCCCAAATTTTTTTCCCAGAGAAAGTGAGGAGTCTTGCAGGAGGAAAGTACCTTTTTCTGAATATAATATGGCTGCATTAAGAGATTCATCTTGTTAAACAGGCCTACAGAATGTATTCAAGAGAAATTCCTCAAAAGATGTAGAAATTCAAGACTTTAATTATGACTTAGCATTCACTTTCACAGATATTGCTGAACTAGAAGCACAGCAATTATTGTTTTTTGTTTTGTTTTGTTTTTTTTTGTTGTTGTTTTTTTTAAGACAGTGTCTCGCTCTCTCACCAGGCTGGAGTGCAGTGGTGTGATCTTGGCTCACTGCAACTTCTGACTCCCTGGTTCAAACAATTCTCCTGCCTCAGCCTCCTGAGTAGCTGGGATTACAGGCATGTGCCACCACGCCCAGCTCATTTTTGTATTTTTAATAGAGACGGGGTTTCACCATGTTGGCCAGGATGGTCTCTATCTCCTGACCTTGGTGTTCTGCCCGCCTTGGCCTCCCAAAGCAATTATGTTTTGCTACTGTTGAAGTTGGCCAAAGATTTGATCACCTGAAATTTATTTTAACCACCAGTATATGTCTTCTTTGTTGTTACCAACTACCTGGAGAGATTCTGATTCAATATATAAATATACAGGTTACAAATGTCATTATATATTGTTAAAATAGCTTTAGTGACTAGGAGTACAAAAGTAACACAGGTAGAAATCAATGAGGGGATTAGTTTGGCCATGGCATATTTGGAGCCCCAGTCTTCATCTAGCCCAGCAATCCTACCTCCAGTAATTACACCAATACGAGGCTTTTGTCATTTCACATTTTTGCACCTAAAGTGTGTGAAAGCAGTTCAGTTCCAAATGACATACAATTTTACGTTCAAAAGCTCATTTGGACCCATGAGTCCAAACCAAACCAGCAATAGTCCTCAGCTACAGGAGGGGAATAAACAAAGCAGATCCTTAAAGACATGCTGATGGCAAATTTATTATTATTTTTAAATTTGGACATGCATTTCATACATAATTCAAAAGTTCTTTAGTAATAGATATTTTTTTAAAGTAGCACCATCAAAATCAAGCCACCAAAAATTAGAGGGAGAGAGCACTAAATTTTTTTAAGGAGACAAAGATATATCATGAAGACTAAAGAAGCATATGAATCTCAAAGTCCTTAGAGAAAAAAACAGAAACATGTAAGCAGTGCAAAAATATAAGATAAGAAGTACCACTCGGGTAGGAGAGAAGATGTATTTTAAGTTGAGCAAAGGTCTGATTGTACTTTTGAAGTACTGAGAGCGGGAAAGGAGGGAAAGAGCAAATAAAACCTCGGGATTGCTCAACGAGAGTAACAAAGGACAATGGAGTAAAGAAACATGCAATTGGTATTTATATTTTTTGTTAAAGTGGCCAAGGGCCTAGAGGAGTTTCTGTGTGATTATAAACAAAAAAATATCAGGTTTCCTTATATAGAAACTCAAAGACTGGGATAGAAGTGAGGAGAAAAAACAAAACCAAAGACTAAAACCCAAAAACATAGAGACAGTGTGAATACTGTTTTACCAAATCCTAGCAACTCTTGGAACTTTATGGAAAAAGACAAAGAAAATAAAGGAACTCATTTTTCTGAGAACAATTGTGTCTGTGCACTACATATGCTATAGTTTGGATGTTTGTCCCTGCCCAAATCTCAAGAAGAGTTGTAGTCTCCAGTGCTGGAGGTGGGGGCTGGTGGGAGGTGTTTGGATCATGGGGGCGGATCCCTCATAGTTTGGTGCGATCTTCATGATAGTGAGTTCTTGCAAGATCTGGTCATTTAAAAGTATGTGGCACCTCCCCCTTCTCTCTCTCTTTCTCTGTCTCTCTGGCACTTGCTCCTGCTTTCACCATGTGATGTGCCTGCTCTCCCTTCACCTTCTGCCAGGATTGTAAGCTTCCTGAGGGCTCCCTAGAACGAGATAGATGCCAGCACCATGCTTCCTGTACAGCCTGAAGAATCATGAGCCAATTAAACCTGTTTTCTTTATAAATTACCCAGTCTCGGGTATTTATAGCAAGGCAAAAATGGCCTAATACAACAAATAATATATGTATAAATATATATTCCCTAAATACATTTTTAGAATTTAAGATTTAAGTTGCTAAGTGAGAGTTTATTGGAGAAAACCAGAGTTGTTCTAAGCATACTACTATTGGTCGTGGCTAACCTCCAAAATGCTGCTTAGATGCTATGATTAGATTTGATGGAACAAACTTATTCCTAACCTAATGTGTGAGCTTATAAAAAGTAATGAAAGAATGAAAGCACCTCATCGATCAATATTGGTCTTTCACCCACAAAGAAATATATTAAAGCTTACTTTTCCTCAAGCTACAAAGCAAGCTACCATTGAGGAAAACTGAATATACAGTCTTTGAACTTGACATGATTTACATTCAGTGCATAAAACAGAAAATAGTGGGCATTATATTAAAGCTTTATCATGTTTCTATTAGGAAGACCAACAGACATGGAAACCAGATGCCTTCAAAAAACAAAACAAAACTCTAAAGTGATTCCATCAACAGAAAAATGGCCCTGTCTCCTTCCCTCAAGCCTGCTTTTCTATTTCAGAATCATTTGCTCAAATATTCTTGCCCTTGCCCATTATCAAGCAATAAGCTATCTTTGAGTCTGGTTTTTGGTCCATACCACCAATCCAGACCACATGGGAATCAGGAAGAGCTAGAGATTAGCAGATGAAGGGCCATCTGGAATAAAGTTCTGAGGATATTTCCAAGCCACAGCACTGAGGACCAACTGGCAGAATAGTCTTGGCCTCAGACAAAGAAACCACCTGGCAAGTGTAGGTGGGATCCAGAGAAAAAACTGAGGGTGGTAGAATTATTCACTAGGAAATAACGTGCCCTCTGGAGATTTGTTTCAGCTGCACTATGTAGGAGGGTAGGTCTTGCAGGTTAGAAAACTGCCCTAAAAATAGAACTGGTGCAGGAGAAAACTTTGAGAAGGGTCATAAGGAGAGGGCACACTTAGAGTGGGCATGGGGACTTCTGGGGTATTCTTTTGCTAGTGCCTCATTTTCCCAAGATGCTGTGAGATTCAAGAGGCAATGAGAATGTCAATAATGATCAACAACATGACCAGGCCAGGAAGTCACCCTGAGAATAGGCAGGGTGCCCATGATGAAGGGGCTGGGAGTGCAGGATGAAGGGGATACATGCACTGAAAGCTCTGTGTGAAGCATGAGCAGAATTTCATTCCAGGCTTTTTCAATAGGCTGGGGAGAGGTTTTAATGCACTGACAGTCAAGATAACTTCTTAAGCATTGTTTTGAGATTCCTCTAACTGCCATCTAAAAGTCAAAAATTAGGAATTCTCTTCTTTCTCATGGAGTACATGAAGTTATGAAACTTCTTTTCTCTCTCTGCAGCTTGCCCATTTTCTTTCATAGGCCATTCCAAATCCATATCCTTTACTTCAGGGTACATTTTCTTCTCTGCTCCTTAGATCTTTCTATTCTTTCCTCTACTTCCCATTGCCATCCCTTCAACATCACCACTACTAAGAAACCATGGAATCTAAGCTATTGGCATTGGGTTGCCTGTCTTTACAGTAAAATGGGATCCACGCACTTCAGCCATGGTTTAGACACCTGTAGAAAACCATGGGGGAGAAAATGAAATGGTGATGTGGGTTACATGGGTAGATCCATTTGTCCAAATTATTAAGATCTTTTTATGTACATTAAATTTCTCTCAAAAGCTTAAAAATGATTGAGTAGGGGGTAGGGAATGGGTGTAGATAAATATAAAGCAAGAATAATAATTATTGAAACTGAGTGATTGGTACACAGGAATTCATTTTACTATTCTGTTTACTTTGTGTATGTTTTAAATTTTACATAACAAAAGATGAAATGGTGATTCTTTCCTATGTACTACATCACAGCCATGAATATCTATATATTCATTTTTATATAATCGTATCTATTCATATACATTCATACATATACAGTTGCTCCTTGAACAACATGGATTTGAACTGCATGGGTCTATCTCTCATGCCTCCCCTGCCACTTCCTCCACGTCTTCCACCTCTGCCACCCCTGAGACAGCAAGACCAACCCTTCTTCTTCTTTCTCCTCTTCAGCCTACTTAACATGAAGTTGACAAAGATGAAGACCTTTATGATAAACCATTTCCATCTAATAGATAGTAATATATTTTCTCTTCCTTATGATTTTCCTAAAATATTTTCTTTTCTCCAGCTTACTTTATTGTAAGAATACAGTATATAATACATATAACATACAAAATATGTGTTAATTGACTATTTATGTTATTGGTAAGGCTTTCAGTCAACAGTAGGCAATTAGTAGTTAAGTTTTGGAGAGGTCTCAAGTTATATGAAGATTTTTTACTGCACAGGAGTTTGTATTAGTCAGTTTTCACACTGCTATAAAGAACTACTGAAAACTGGGTAATTTATTTTTTTTAAAAAAGGTTTAATTGACTCACAGTTCTGCATGGATGGGGAGGCCTCAGGAAAATTACAATCATGGTGGAAGGAGAAGGAGAAGCAAGTACCTTCTTCACAAGGCAGCAAGAGAGACAGCAAGCGAAGTGTCATATTTGAAAACCATCAGCTTTCATGAGAACTCACTCATTATCAAGAGAACAGCATTGGGAAAACTGCCCCCATGATCCAATCACCTCCCACCAGGTCTGTCCCCTGACACATGGGAATTACAATTTGAGATGAGATTTGGGTGGGGACACAGAGCCAAACCATATCAGGGTCAACATCCTTAAACCCTGTGTTATTCAAAGGTCAACTGTATTCACACACACACACACACACACACACACACACACACACATATTCCTGAGAAGAGACACTCGTTTCAGTACCATCTGGTCCTCATTTTATCACATGTGGTTCACTATTCACTCAGTGAGGAAGAGAGGGCTTTGACATCTGTCAGCCTATCCAACATTTGCATTGACTTAAGCATTTGGTTATGAAGTATTTTAGCTTTTTCTGGCCTCCAGAATGGGAGCTGGGTGACTGGAACACATCTCCTCTGCACTGAGTTTTGCAATAACACCACTTTATGTAATCCTCTCTATCCCTTGCCACCATCCAAAACACTCATCTGCGCTCCATTACTCAGGATGAAAATGGAGTCTGCAATGTGATATCTCAGGGAACCACCAGGTATGTGACCAAACACTTTCCCCTAAAATTATCACTCTGACTGACAGTGCTATTAGAGACACTGTTCTCATTCTTGCCTGGTAGTTTATTTCCTTTTCACTGGTACGTTCTTAAATTACCAAAATATTTATAATCTATGGTTTTCACTAACTCTCTAGCGTTTATTTCATCACCTCAACATGGGTTACTTCCTTCCCATCCTGTTTTACCTTTCTCAGTTTTGCTGCCTTTTCCTTAACATAATCTCCTACATTATCTGGATTTATCTCTATATCAAATGAATTTATTCCATTAGAAAAGAAAGGCCACATCCTAGAACTCTTTGAAAATAGTCTGTTCATAAACCACTCACTAAACATTTCAGTGTAAGACAAAATACTTAATGATTTAGACAAATGAAGGATAGCTTAGTATGAATTATGGAATATTTAAAAAGAAATATCCTATAAAATAAAAAACTATTACACTCAGTAAAGGAGAGAGGCTTACAAATGACTGGGAGTGGAATGCTTGCAGACTTATTTTGATGAATAGAGAATAATGTATTTTAATTAGCATACTAATAACTTTGTGAGTAAATTTTTGCTTCTCAAGTACGGGGAACAGCATGCCTTCCTAATGAGGTTGATCTGCAGACCAACTTCCATTATTTATCTGCTTCATAGATACTTTTTCTTTCTTTAAATACAAGACAAATCAGGAAGATCTCTGCCTCCATTTTTATAAATTTTGAGTTAGTGGAGTCTAAATTCATGAAATTCAACTACCATATGGTATCATACAATAAATCAAGAGTTTTTCAACAACTGTAACCTGGCTTAGACTTTTCTGAAGCAATCTACAGCTCTTCATACTGTTTTCTACACGTAAGCGAGATGGTAATGTTCACAAAGTAATCCAGCATTGATGCAGATGGTAATTGCAAAATGTAGAAAAGAAAAATTCTGAATTCACTAAAACTAGGTACAAAGAACATGATAGCACATGGCTGATACACAGCAGCTGGGATTGACACACATTGGGCCAGGTGGAATCACCTCCCTCCACACACCCTTTATCTCAGGTTTCCTGGTGACCAGTCCCCTTCTGCTTTCCTTCTCATCCACATGACTCCTGCAAACTTCAGCCTTCATGCTGGGTGATCCCAGGCCCAGCCTCTTACTTCCTGCACTTTCCTTTCAGCTAGAAATATTTCAGCTTTTGTCTTGCCTTTCTGCCAAAGTGTTTTTGCTTATTTGTTTTTTAACAATTGTCAAAATCACTAAACTTTAATATTGATTCATTACTATTATTTAATCTATAGTTCGTATTCAAGTTTTATCAACTATCCTAAAAATGTCCTTTATAACTTTTTTTTCTTGGTTCACAGTTCAATGGAGGATCATATATTGCATTTTTTAGCATATTTTTATTATGGTAAAATACACATAACATAAATTTACCATTTTAACTATTTTTAAGTGTTCATTTCAGTGGCATTAAGCACATTCACACTGTGATGCAATCATCACCACCAAAGTAGTTTAAAGAGTCTTTATCACTGGGACTCAGGGTAGGTCTGAGTCCTTGGCCAGAGCTGTGGGCTTTGAACCCAGTCAGAAAAAGGACCTTAACTAAGCTATGACTAACCCGGCTCAAATAAAACAGTACAGTAATTTCTCAGTGTCAATGAGGGATTGGCTCCAGGAGTTCCCTCAGATACCAAAATCTGAGGATGCACAAGGCCCTGAAATGAAATGGTGTAGAATTTGCATGTAACCTAAGCATATACTCTCATATCATACATGTTCACTACAGACTTTTTTCTGAATATTTTTGAACAGAGCTTACTTGAAACCACGGATGTGGAACCCACAGAGACAGAGGGCTGACTGTATTTAAAATGAGGCAAAGTGCAAATGTCCTTGATGCACTAAAACAGGCATTCTTCCATACCCAGCTAACACAAAGAATAATGGTTACACCATAAATTTAACACTCCAGGCCAGTCCTCAGCACATATGTAGGTATTTCATTAGTAAAAGTGTACCAAAAGTCGAGGTTAACATGAACTTGACGTTGAAGATCAAAAGAAGAGGAGGGAAATATCTGAAATCCCCAGAGCATTTTTTTTTTTCTCACTGAAGCTCCTCTTTATTAGCTGCAAGTAAATTTTCCACATTGTGAATTTTCAGAGACAAATTCCTCTTGTGTTTCTCTCTGTTACCCAGCTCAAACTGATCTGGACGTGCCTGAGCAAAAATACAATTAGGTAGAGAAATCTGTTTTAAAAAACAAAACAAAAACAAAAAACAAGTGTGGCCCAAGAGTGTCATTAGAATTAGTTAGCATATTTATCTAGGGAAACTATAAGTTGGTTTCCTAGGTAAATATCCAAGGCTGTTTCCAAAGATATTCCTGGGAATATGTAGTACATATGCTTTTGTATCTCTGAATTTGGAGACCTTTCCAAGGTTCCTGGCTGCCACTTCAGAGAGTGGGGGTTATATTTACGTTTCAACATCCTGAGTGAGTATTCTGGGTGTGGGGACTGAATCTGAATCAAGGGACTTAGTAAATTTGCTTTCTAATTCTGAACCCAATAAAAAGAGGAGCAGCAAACAGGACACTTGTGGTATCAGAAAAGGAAGAAAACATGTTTCTAGTACCTATCAGGTACCAGACACGGAGCTAAGCAGTTTACATACTGCATGTAATGAATCTCAACTTCATCTCCGTTTCCAACCCTACATTTTACAGAGAGGAAAGCAGGGCTTAAAGATGTGGAAAGTAACATGTTAGTACGTGACAGAGCCTGGACTCAGGCTCCTGTGGCACCATGGGGTCATGCAGTGTTGCTTATCTGGGCAATCCCATGAACACTCAGTTTCCAATAACAGATCAATGGCAAGCTGGAAAAACATCTCAGATGGTGTGCCACAAAGCATTTCTTAGAAGATGTTTCCTGCCTCACCTTTATCAGTGGCTGGAACAAAGCCATGGAAGGCAAATCCACCTGATTTGCATATGATTGCATGTGCTTTATATGAGATGGACACTAAATACACTAGGTAACTAAATCAGGATTGGAGAAAATACAGACAAGCTGGAGTAATGGACTGAATGGAACAGGATATTACAATGAGGTAAGTGTCAAGGTCTGCATATAGGTTCAAAAATCAATTGTACAATAATACATGAGAGAAACCAAATTTAAGAGCAACGTCTACAGACATTTTTCTGGCAACAATAGGGTCAGAAATAATTCATAGGATCATGTGCTCACAGACACATAATTCTAAGCTATATTAAAAGATGTAGGAAATCTACAATAAGCGTGGTAATATTTCTACTTTGACCTGCACTGATCAGGCGATGATCTAAAAGAAGCATTTTATGCCTTCAATAAATATTTATTGAGTGCCTTCTAAGTTACTAGGTACTGTGTTAGGCCTTCGAGATCTGGTGGAGAACAAAAAAGACACAGTCCCTATTGTCACAAAGCTTAACAGCCCAGGAAATGCAGGTAAAGTAAAATGTGCTCAGAGAATGAAGAGGAACTTAAAACTATGTCTTAGAGCAACAATTAAAGAAATGGAGGATTTTTAGCCTTGAGAAAAATCTTTCTTGAAGTGCATATGAGAGATTGATGGGGAAAATGGAATCATGTTTTATGGTAGATTTTACGCTATGTTTTTTTTTTTTTTTTTTTTTTTATGAGACAGAGTCTCGCTCTGTCGCGCAGGCTGGAGTGCAGTGGCACAACCTCGGCTCACTGCAAGCTCCGCCTCCCGGGTTCACGCCATTCTCCTTCCTCAGCCTCCCTAGTAGCTGGGACTACAGGCGCCCGCCACCACGCCCAGCTAATTTTTTGTATTTTTAGTAGAGACGGGGTGTCATCATGTTAGCCAGGATGGTCTTGATTTCCTGACTTCGTGATCCACCCGCCTGGGCCTCCCAAAGTGCTGGGATTACAGGCATGAGCCACCGCGCCTGGCAGATTTTACGCTATTCAAAACATGTCCTGCCCCTCTAGGTGAAAAGACTATGCACCCTCAGCCCACAAATGTTGGGGTTGGCCGTGCAACTTGTGAAGCTCCTCTTCATGGAAGAATTATGTATCTCGATCATCATTGGCCTCCACAGCAGCCACATGACTTGCTTTGGCCAATAAAATGTAGGCAGAAGTGATTATGTAAAGAAAATTCAGCTAACAACATTAGGAGTGGCAGTCCATCCTTGTTGTGGCTAGTAGAAATCTGTTGAGTAGATTTGGTTTCAAGCAATAATACAACATTCAGTTTATAATAAAAAAAAAAAAAAGCCTCTTTTACTAAGCATATGCTATCTTAGCCAAAACCAGAAGTGAGGTTGTTCACCAATAAGCCCAACAGAAGCACTAAAGTCTGTATTCTAATTATTTTGTTTGGTTGATTGGTTTGGTTGTTTTGGTGTTTTGGTTTTCTTTTTTTAATTTTTTATTTCCATAGGTTTTGGGGGAACAGGTGGTGTTTGATTACATGAATAAGTGCTTTAGGGGTGATTTCTGAGATTTTGGTGCACTCATCACCAAAGCAGTGTACAATGTACCCACTGTGTAGTGCTTTATCCCTCACCCTGCTCCCTCCCTTTCCTCCAAGTCCCCAAAGTCCATTGTATCACTCTTATGCCTTTGCATCCTCATAGCTTAGCTCCCACTTGTGAGTAAGAACATACAATGTTTGGTTTTCCATTTCTGAGTTACTTCATTTTTTTATACACAGAGTCTTACTCTGAAACCCAGGCTGGACTGCAGTGGTACAATCATGGTTCATTGCAGCCTCTACCTCTCAGCTCAAGAGATCTTCCCACTTTAGTGCCCCAAGTATTGAGATTACAGATATGTGACCCCAGGCCTAGCTAATTTTTTTGTTATTGTGGTTTTAGAGACAGGGTCTTGGTATGTTGCCCAGGCTTGCATTCTAATTGTTACTATTTCCCAAAATTAGATGGCCCAACTATCATTAACACATATTAATGCTGCCAAATTTTACTGTAATAGTGGGTTTGATTCAATTTGTTCCAATCAATTTTATTGATATATAAGGACACCTGCAATGTATCACATGCAGATTCAGCTGAAAGTTTGGTGATCAGGCTGGAAATAAAAAAAATGATGCTTTGCTTTATTACTAATACTGTTGATGCTACTCTTGCACAGTAATCTGCTTCTACTTAAGTGGCCAGCGTTAGGAAATGAGTTATCATTGGTGACCTCTAAGTGAAATTGTAAAGATGTCAAATAACTTGGTGGTTTGCTTGTACATGAAAAAGAAGGATAACGGCGGAGGAGCCACGATGGCCGAATAGGAACAGATCCGGTCTACAGCTCCCAGCGTGAGCAACGCAGAAGACTGTGATTTCTGCATTTCCATCTCAGGTACTGGGTTCATCTCTCTAGGGAGTGCCAGACAGTGGGCGCAGGTCAGTGGGTGCACGCACCGTGCACGAGCCGAAGCAGGGCGAGGCATTGCCTCACTTGGGAAGCGCAAGGGGTCAGGGAGTTCCCTTTCCGAGTCAAAGAAAGGGGTGACGGACGGCACCTGGAAAATCGGGTCACTCCCACCCGAATACTGCGCTTTTCCGACGGGCTTAAAATAAGGCGCACCACTAGATTATATCCCGCACCTGGCTTGGAGGGTCCTACACCCACGGAGTCTTGCTGATTGCTAGCACAGCAGTCTGAGATCAAACTGCAAGGCGGCAGCGAGGCTGGGGGAGGGGTGCCCGCCATTGCCCAGGCTTGATTAGGTAAACAAAGCAGCTGGGGAGCTCGAACTGGGTGGAGCCCACCACAGCTCAAGGAGGCCTGCCTGCCTCGGTAGGCTCCACCTCTGGGGGCAGGGCACAGACAAACAAAAAGACAGCAGTAACCTCTGCAGACTTAAATGTCCCTGTCTGACAGCTTTGAAGAGAGCAGTGGTTCTCCCAGCATGCAGCTGGAGATCTGAGAACGGGCAGACTGCCTCCTCAAGTGGGTCCCTGACCCCTGACCCCCGAGCAGCCTAACTGGGAGGCACCCCCAGCAGGGGCAGACTGACACCTCACATGGCAGGGTATTCCAACAGACCTGCAGCTGAGGGTCCTGTCTATTAGAAGGAAAACTAACAAACAGAAAGGACATCCACACCAAAAACCCATCTGTACATCACCATCATCAAAGACCAAAAGTAGATAAAACCACAAAGATGGGGAAAAAACAGAACAGAAAAACTGGAAACTCTAAAATGCAGAGCGCCTCTCCTCCTCCAAAGGAACGCAGTTCCTCACCAGCAACAGAACAAAGCTGGATGGAAAATGACTTTGACGAGCTGAGAGAAGAAGACTTCAGACGATCAAATTACTCTGAGCTATGGGAGGACAATCAAACCAAAGGCAAAGAAGTTGAAAACTTTGAAAAAAATTTAGAAGAATGTATAACTAGAATAACCAATACAGAGAAGTGCTTAAAGGAGCTGATGGAGCTGAAAACCAAGGCTCGAGAACTACGTAAAGAATGCAGAAGCCTCAGGAGCCAATGCGATCAACTGGAAGAAAGGGTATCAGCGATGGAAGATGAAATGAATGAAATGAAGTGAGAAGGGAAGTTTAGAGAAAAAAGAATAAAAAGAAATGAGCAAAGCCTCCAAGAAATATGGGACTATGTGAAAAGACCAAATCTACGTCTCATTGGTGTACCTGAAAGTGATGGGGAGAATGGAACCAAGTTGGAAAACACTCTGCAGGATATTATCCAGGAGAACTTCCCCAATCTAGCAAGGCAGGCCAACGTTCAGATTCAGGAAATACAGAGAACGCCACAAAGATACTCCTCGAGAAGAGCAACTCCAAGACACATAATTGTCAGATTCACCAAAGTTGAAATGAAGGAAAAAATGTTAAGGGCAGCCAGAGAGAAAGGTCGGATTACCCTCAAAGGGAAGCCCATCAGACTAACAGCGGATCTCTGGGCAGAAACCCTACAAGCCAGAAGAGAGTGGGGGCCAATATTCAACATTCTTAAAGAAAAGAATTTTCAACCCAGAATTTCATATCCAGCCAAACTAAGCTTCATAAGTGAAGGAGAAATAAAATCCTTTACAGACAAGCAAATGCTGAGAGATTTTGTCACCACCAGGCCTGCCCTAAAAGAGCTCCTGAAGGAAGCGCTAAACATGGAAAGGAACAACCGGTACCAGCCGCTGCAAAATCATGCCAAAATGTAAAGACCATCAAGACTAGCAAGAAACTGCATCAACTAACGAGCAAAGTAATCAGCTAACATCATAATGACAGGATCAAATTCACACATAACAATATTAACTTTAAATGTAAATGGACTAAATGCTCCAATTAAAAGACACAGACGGGCAAATTGGACAAAGAGTCAAGACCCATCAGTGTGCTGTATTCAGGAAACCCATCTCATGTGCAGAGACACACATAGGCTCAAAATAAAAGGATGGAGGAAGATCTACCAAGCAAATGGAAAACAAAAAAAGGCAGGGGTTGCAATCCTAGTCTCTGATAAAACAGACTTTAAACCAACAAAGATCAAAAGAGACAAAGAAGGCCATTACATAATGGTAAAGGGATCAATTCAACAAGAAGAGCTAACTATCCTAAATATACATGCACCCAATACAGGAGCACCCAGATTCATAAAGCAAGTCCTGAGTGACCTACAAAGAGACTTAGACTCCCACACATTAATAATGGGAGACTTTAACACCCCACTGTCAACATTAGACAGAATAACGAGACAGAAAGTCAACAAGGATACCCAGGAATTGAACTCAGCTCTGCACCAAGCGGACCTAATAGACATCTACAGAACTCTCCACCCCAAATCAACAGAATATACATTTTTTTCAGCACTGCACCACACCTATTCCAAAATTGACCACATACATGGAAGTAAAGCTCTCCTCAGCAAATGTAAAAGAACAGAGATTATAACAAACTATCTCTCAGACCACAGTGCAATCAAACTAGAACTCAGGATTAAGAATCTCACTCAAAACCATGCTCAACTGCATGGAAACTGAACAACCTGCTCCTGAATGCCTACTGGATACATAACGAAATGAAGGCAGAAATAAAGATGTTCTTTGAAACCAATGAGAACAAAGACACAACATACCAGAATCTCTGGGACGCATTCAAAGCAGTGTATAGAGGGAAATTTATAGCACTAAATGCCCACAAGAGAAAGCAGGAAAGATCCAAAATTGACACCCTAACATCACAATTAAAAGAACTAGAAAAGCAAGAGCAAACACATTCAAAAGCTAGCAGAAGGCAAGAAATAACTAAGATCAGAGCAGAACTGAAGGAAATAGAGACACAAAAAACCCTTCAAAAAATTAATGAATCCAGGAGCTGGTTTTTTGAAAGGATCAACAAAATTGATAGACTGCTAGCAAGACTAATAAAGAAAAACAGAGAGAAGAATCTAATAGACGCAATAAAAAATGATAAAGGGGATATCACCACCAATCCCACAGAAATACAAACTACCATCAGAGAATACTACAAACACCTCTACCCAAATAAACTAGAAAATCTAGAAGAAATGGATAAATTCCTCGACACATACACTCTCCCAAGACTAAACCAGGAAGAAGTTGAATCTCTGAATAGACCAATAACAGGATCTGAAATTGTGGCAATAATCAATAGCTTACCAACCAAAAAGAGTCCAGGACCAGATGGATTCACAGCTGAATTCTACCAGAGGTACAAGGAGGAACTGGTACCATTCCTTCTGAAACTATTCCAATCAATAGAAAAAGAGGGAATCCTCCCTAACTCATTTTATGAGGCCAGCATCATTCTGATACCAAAGCTGGGCAGAGACACAACCAAAAAAGAGAATTTTAGACCAATATCCTTGATGAACATTGATGCAAAAATCCTCAATAAAATACTGGCAAACCGAATCCAGCAGCACATCAAAAAGCTTATCCACCATGATCAAGTGGGCTTCATCCCTGGGATGCAAGGCTGGTTCAATATACGCAAATCAATAAATGTAATCCAGCATATAAACAGAGCCAAAGACAAAAACCACATGATTATCTCAATAGATGCAGAAAAAGCCTTTGACAAAATTCAACAACCCTTCATGCTAAATACTCTCAATAAATTAGGTATTGATGGGACGTATTTCAAAATAATAAGAGCTATCTCTGACAAACCCACAGCCAATATCATACTGGATGGGCAAAAACTGGAAGCATTCCCTTTGAAAACTGGCACAAGACAGGGATGCCCTCTCTCACCACTCCTATTCAACATAGTGTTGGAAGTTCTGGCCAGGGCAATTAGGCAGGAGAAGGAAATAAAGGGTATTCAATTAGGGAAAGAGGAAGTCAAATTGTCCCTGTTTGCAGACGACATGATTGTATATCTAGAAAACCCCGTTGTCTCAGCCCCAAAACTCCTTAAGCTGATAAGCAACTTCAGCAAAGTCTCAGGATACAAAATCAATGTACAAAAATCACAAGCATTCTTATACACAAACAACAGACAAACAGAGAGCCAAATCATGAGTGAACTCCCATTCACAGTTGCTTCAAAGAGAATAAAATACCTAGGAATCCAACTTACAAGGGATGTGAAGGACCTCTTCAAGGAGAACTACAAACCACTGCTCAAGGAAATAAAAGAGGATACACACAAATGGAAGAACATTCCATGCTCATGGGTAGGAAGAATCAATATCGTGAAAATGGCCATACTGCCCAAGGTAATTTACAGATTCAATGCCATCCCTATCAAGCTACCAATGCCTTTCTTCACAGAATTGGAAAAAACTACTTTAAAGTTCATATGGAACCAAAAAAGAGCCCGCATCGCCAAGTCAATCCTAAGCCAAAAGAACAAAGCTGGAGGCATCACACTACCTGACTTCAAACTATACTACAAGGCTACAGTAACCAAAACAGCATGGTACTGGTACCAAAACAGAGATATAGATCAATGGAACAGAACAGAGCCCTCAGAAATAACGCCGCATATCTACAACTATCTGATCTTTGACAAACCTGAGAAAAACAAGCAATGGGGAAAGGATTCCCTATTTAATAAATGGTGCTGGGAAAACTGGCTAGCCATATGTAGAAAGCTGAAAGTGGATCCCTTCCTTACACCTTATACAAAAATCAATTCAAGATGGATTAAAGACTTAAACTTTAGACCTAAAACCATAAAAACCCTAGAAGAAAACCTAGGCATTACCATTCAGGACATAGGCATGGGCAAGGACTTCATGTCTAAAACACCAAAAGCAATGGCAATAAAAGCCAAAATTGACAAATGGGATCTAATTAAACTAAAGAGCTTCTGCACAGCAAAAGAAACTACCATCAGAGTGAACAGGCAACCTACAAAATGGGAGAAAATTTTTGCAATCTACTCATCTGACAAAGGGCTAATATCCAGAATCTACAATGAACTCAAACAAATTTACAAGAAAAAAACAAACAACCCCATCAAAAAGTGGGCAAAGGACATGAACAGACACTTCTCAAAAGAAGACATTTATGCAGCCAAAAAACACATGAAAAAATGCTCATCATCACTGGCCATCAGAGAAATGCAAATCAAAACCACAATGAGATACCATCTCACACCAGTTAGAATGACAATCATTAAAAAGTCAGGAAACAACAGGTGCTGGAGAGGATGTGGAGAAATAGGAACACTTTTACACTGTTGGTGGGACTGTAAACTAGTTCAACCATTGTGGAAGTCAGTGTGGCGATTCCTCAGGGATCTAGAACTGGAAACACCATTTGACCCAGCCATCCCATTACTGGGTATATACCCAAAGGACTATAAATCATGCTGCTATAAAGACACATGCACGTGTATGTTTATTGCGGCATTATTCACAATAGCAAAGACTTGGAACCAACCCAAATGTCCAACAGTGATAGACTGGATTAAGAAAATGTGGCACATATACACCATGGAATACTATGCAGCCATAAAAAATGATGAGTTCATGTCCTTTGTAGGGACATGGATGAAATTGGAAAACATCATTCTCAGTAAACTATCGCAAGAACAAAAAACCAAACACCACATATTCTCACTCATAGGTGGGAATTGAACAATGAGAACACATGGACACAGGAAGGGGAACATCACACTCTGGGGACTGTTGTGGGGTTGGCGGAGGGGGGAGGGAGAGCATTGGGAGATATACCTAATGCTAGATGACGAGTTAGTGGGTGCAGTGCAGCCGCATGGCACATGTATATACATATGTAACTAACCTGCACAATGTGCACATGTACCCTAAAACTTAAATATAAAAAAAAAAAAAGAACAAAACTTAAAAAAAAAAAAGAAAAGAAAAAGAAGGATAACATGCTTCCTTTTCTTCATTCTGTTCAATACTTGAGCTTTTCCTAGGCACTCAAGTCCCTTTGGAAACTAATTTAAATATTCATTACAATTAAGAACTGCTGCTTCTAAAAGAGACTGCAGAGTGAACTTCAATTAGACTTTATTTGCTGGGATTTGCCCTCCTAGCCCCTCCCTTTCACTTATTCCATATTTGTGAGGTTGCATTTAAATTACAATTCACCTTTATGACCACCTGAGCAATTCATTTATGTTCTTAGCATAAGATATTGCTCAAGTAGTCCCTCCTCAACTAGAAAGATATCTCAATTCCAAATCTGTATAATTGCCACTGTGACAAGGGAAAAGTTGTCCTTTTCATACATTATCACTAGCTAAGACTTCAAGTGTAAGCAGCAAACATCACATGCTTATTTTGAAAGTACTCATGAGGGTTACCATGATACTAGAAAACATAGTCTCATATATTATAATCCAGTTGGATAAATAATGAAAAGAACATAAAACATATAAAAAATTAAAAAGTTGAAGAACAAAACCTTTAGATAACAGATCAAGATAAAATAGTTAATCTCCCACTATTTCAAAAAGAATTGCACAAAAATTAATTGTATTTATGTTTTGAAGAGGAAGAGTTTGTATTAAGGCTAGGAAATCTTATACAATGCCTAGCACACAGTAGAACTTACTAAACATTGGCTGAAGAAATGAATGGAATAATAGGATGGCTCAGAAAGAAAGCCCTCTTAGAAATGAGACCAAAATGATGGGATTTAGCTCCAATTGTGAGGACTTTTATATCCTAGATATGGAGCTTGGGCTTTATCTTTTGGCAAAGGGAATGTTGATTGTCCCAAATTCAAGGCTTGCACTCCCTGTTAGGGTATCATGGATAGCTTATCCTTCACTTTCCCACTCAAAAGTGTTATCGGTCTTCACCTATCTGCCTTCTAAAACTACTGCAGACTGAAGCTATCTCACTTTCCTCAGGGATATCTGAGTATTTCTCATCTGTATAATTCATTGGGTAATTAATCACCTGTAATTTTTAATATATCCTTATGATAGTTCATTTTAATGTGTCAGCTTGACTGGGCTATGGGGTACTCAGATATTTGGTCATTCTGGGTGTTTCTGCAAGAGTGTTTTTAGATGAGATGAACATGTGTATAGGTAGACTAAGTAAAGCAATAGCCCTCCCCAATGTAGGTAGGGCTTATCCAATCAGTTGAAGGCCTTATTAAAACAAAATGCTAATCCTCCCCAAAGAAAGAAGGCCTAATGATCTTCGAACTGAACATCATTTTTTGTCCTGCTGTCAGACTTGAACAATAAACACTGGCTCTTCCTGTGTTTCGAGCCTGCCAACCTTTGGAATGGAACTACACTATCAGCTCTCCTGGTTCTCAGGCCCTTAGACTCAGACTGAAACTAAACAATTCACTCTCCTGGGTCCAACTTGCTGACTCATTCTATAGATCTTGGGACTTACTAGTCTTCATAATTGCATGAACCAGTTCGCTGGAGAATTCTGACTAATACAGCCCTTTTTTCTTGTCTTAAACTGCTATTACAGTATTTCAATCTAGCTTAGCCTTTCTACATGTTTACAGCCGGCCTTTCAAACTAGATTGTAAGCTTCCTGAGGTCTGAGATTAGGAGGTATTCAACATCTGTGTCTCTTTTCAGGAGTTACTGGGGACTTGACTGTGGAGAGCAATGTGGTTACCATATGTAGTTTGGCAGATTACACCCTGCACAAGGTCCCCACTGAGAGGGCAAGTGGGATAAAAATCTAGCACCAGGTCCCCTTTACCAAGAGTGGCCTTGGCACAGGGCTATGCTCATCTGGAGGAAGAGAAGTCTGTTTCTAATTCTCAAAGCCATTGAATAGGCTATTGGATGCCCTAGACAGCAGCATTACAGGTTGGTCCCAGCCATGGGCTGTGTTAGCATCCCAGAATAATACCGACTGCCTGCTCTGTTCAACATTTGGCAGGACTCACCTAGCTCCACCTAGCTCCACCTTAAAATGGCCAGAACTAAGTATCAGAAACTCCTATAAATTCTCCACAAAAGGCTCTAAAGGCAAATGTACCTTCAGTTGACTTGGAATTAGAAAAATACAAGTTATATCAATGATGGTGTTTCCATAATTTCAATATTTAAAATTATACTAGTCAGGCTTATTAACTGCAAGTACCAGAGTCCAACTTCAAGAGATTAAGCAGAAAGATGTGTATTGGGCAGCTCACAAGAAGACTGGAAAACTACATATGGAAAACAGGCAGGAAATCTGCGGGTTCAGTAACAGCCAGGTTCAGAACCAAAATGACAGATAGAGCCAGCCCAGTGAAGACACCTATCCCACAACCATTGAATACTTTACTTCCTCAGCAATTACCACCAGCTGCCCTATAAGGATTTCTCCACTACTCCTGCTTCCTTGCACCACTACCTCCGAATGCAAAATCTCTGGCAAGAGTATCTGATTGGCTAAACCCTAGGGAGGCTGAGAAAAAGAGTAGCCAGTGTTTTCAGCATCTCAGTGGGAGGTAGGCTTGGCTTCCCACCTTGATTCCTAAGGTGGAAGATTTCTCAAATACAGGAATGGGATTTAGATTTGGAAAATCAAAGAATAAAAATGTTCATTCCATGCTTATAAATACATACATCTTGAACATCTGTTGTGTATGGGAAACAAAGTAGTGTGTATTGAATAGAAAAGTTTGTTCATTTATTTCAACTTCATTTAAACTCTTCATTGGGAGATCCCACATTAAATATAAATGCTCTCAGCTTCCCAATTTCAGGTGAGAACCCAATACATGCAGCATTTCATCGAGATGAGGGTCTCACAGAACTCAGCTGAAAAGTAACGAATCAGTGCAAGTTTATACATACACAGAATCCTAATTCTTAAATGGGAAAACAAGTTTCAGCCAGTTCCTTAATTCTGACAGATCTTATGCTGCTAGGATCCCCATCAATAACAAATGCAAGGAAGTCATGAACACATATTTTGGAAACTGCTTCAGAGACACTCAAAAGTTTTTGGCTGGGCGTGGTGGCTCACACCTGTAATCCCAGCACTTTGGGAGGCCGAGGCAGGCAGATCACCTGAGGTCAGGAGTTTGAGACCAGCCTGGCCAACATGGCAAAATCCCATCTCTACTAAAAATACAAAAATTAGCTGGGCACAGTGGCAGGTGCATGTAATCCCAGCTACTCAGGAGGCTGAGGCAGGAGAATTGCTTGAACCTGGGAGGCAGAGGTTGCAGTGAGCTGAGATTGTGCCACTGCACTCCAGCCTGGGTGACAGAGCCAGACTCTGTCTCAAAAAAAAAAAAAAACAACAAAACAGCTTTTACCTATCAATTTACTTCTGAGATCTTGCTTATGATGTAATTAACAAATATCTTTTAACATAAGGAAAGAGCACAGATTCTCTCATTGTTTTCACTTTAAAATACATGCCAAGGCTCATAATAATTTTTAGGTCTCAAAAACATATAAGACATCAAGTATATTTTCTTTCTTGAAGTATATTCTCACAAATCTAGAAGACATTGTTATGGCTCCTACTCACTTTATAGATTACTAACTGCCAGACAGAAATCTTCTATAAAGAACTGCTGACTGAATATGCCAATAAGTAATCATGTCTCAACAATGATGTGAGGATAAACTACGATGAGTGAAAATGTTTGGAATTCCTAAAGAAGAAAATGTGCTGAGTCATGGAAAGTACTGATGTATAGTTTCTCAACTAAATGATGGACAGCAAAGAATACTGTGACTCCTATAAATAACTCTTTGTTTTTATTTTAAAGAAATTACACTAATATATATCTTTTTGTTTTCCACAATTGGGAAGTGATATCTGTCATGTTAAGCCCTGTGCTTCTGTTGAGGCAATGAGTGAGGGCCTGGTTCTTGGGCTCTGTCTCTTCCATACTACTGAGGTGAACTGTTAAGAAGTGGCTTTAAAATCTTTATTAATAAAACCAATCCCAGACAAAAGTGTTCCTCAGAGACCTTTCCCCCACTCCTTCCTCTCTGACTTCTCTGCTCCTGGTACCCCTGTCTCCCAGCAAGCTGTGACCTGGGTCCTATTCCCACAAGGCCTCCTCCTAACCTTTAGCTACTAACTCTTGCTATTTTTACCCTTTCTGTATGTTTTGGCTTAATTCTGAAAAGCCTCCAATAAACAAAAGAGATCTTTTGGAGCAAAAGGCACCCAACATTTCACCATCGATGTCCCATTTTCCTTAGGGCACTGCTCATAAGACATTACAAACTTGCCTTTCTGGTTAAATCAGTATCTGGCATGAAAGACAATTGAAAGTCAATTCATCTAGAGCAATGTCTCAAGGTACTGCCCTCCCATGGGAAAAGGGATCCCAGAGATTATGAACTCAGAGGAAAGCTGCCACATTTTGATAGACTGGAAAGTTCCAGGCAATCCTTAGATAATGGCCCTGAAGGAAGGCCCAAAGAAAAGGCTTATGGGCCTGTTTGTTTACCCCATAATTGGTCTACCCTACTCAACGTGTGGCCATTTACCCATATGTTACAGGTCAAAGACAGGTAAGAACAGAAATAGAGAGCAAGCATTAAAAAATTGTTATAGCAACTTGACAATGTCTTCTGAGTCTAAGAATACAAAATTGGTGTTTGTATTTTGTCTTTTATTCATTTTCTAATAATTCGTTTTTATTGTATTTTATTAAAGTATGGATCTACAAAGTATTGGGGGGATTTCTTTGTGGTTCTTCACCACAGATAGCTTGATTAGCACTGGTTTAAAAGAACGAGGTGAAAATGAATTACTTGCAGTGATACTTGATAGAGCTATGGTACATAATTCCTTATGATTTTTAGCTTAGAGGTTTACTTTAAAAATAAATTGTAAATATCTATTTAGGCCGGGCGTGGTGGCTCACACCTGTAATCCCAGCACTTTGGGAGGCCGAGGCGGGTAGATCACGAGGTCGGGAGATCAAGACCATCCTGGCTAACACGGTGAAACCCTGTCTCTACTAAAAATACAAAAAATTAGCCGGGGGTGGTGGTGGGCACCTGTAGTCCCAGCTACTTGGGAGGCTGGGGCAGGAGAATGGCATGAGCCCGGGAGGCGGGGCTTGCAGTGAGCCGAGATCATGCCACTGTACTCCAGCCTGGGTGACAGAGTGAGACTCCGTCTCAAAAAAAAAAAAAAAAAAACTATTTAAACACAAGTATATGTGTTTGTGTGCAATGTATTGCCAGCATTTGTGTACTCGTTATCTAGCAATACTAAAAACATAGAACAAACTACAGTCAACAAATATACAGAGAAGTGAGTTCTTTTCCAAGTCTAAGGAAGATCAAATATGATAAAAGGAATGAATGTCTCTGCCACTGAAACAACATAAATATTTGCTCTTTCAAGTTAGAACTTGAGAATATGATTGTTATTTGGCACTGAATGTTTCTTCATCAGCACCCCCAAGGAAGCCGGGTTGATCCCCGTGGCCTCTGGCTGGCTCAGGCATACCATCTTGGCTCACACTGAAGCACAAAAGGACATCTCAGATCACTGCCCCAGCCCCACTCCCTGCCCATCACCTGTTCCCAAGCAGTTTTGTTGGCAGGGGAAGGGTGGGGTGGTCAATGTAGAGGACAAATAAAGTTACTGTCAGCCCTGCAGCTGAATAAGAAGTAGGAAGAGCCAAGCAGCATTTCCTAAAGCATGTCTCGAACTATACTTCGGCAAAAATATCCACCCTGGAAATGTGTTCAGAACTATAAGAATGAACTTATTTTTTTCCTTGGACTGAGCCAGATTTAGTAATGCTAATAGATATTGTATCAGATACATTAGATTTTTGTAGTAATCCAAGGTAATTCCCTAGGTGGTGTGATATGAGGAAGGGAACACAGACGAACTACTGCAAAATGTTTCCCCATCAGGCTATCCTAATACACACAATTCTATTATTAAAATATTCCCTTTTATCACAGTCTGTTGGGTTGCCGTAACAAAATACCATAGGCTGGATGGCTTAATTAAACAAAAGAAATTTGTTTCTCATAGCTCTGGAGGCTGAGAAGTCCAAGATGCAGGTGCTGGCAAGGTAGATTTCATTCCAAGGCCTCTTCTCTTGACTTGTAGGTGGCCATCATCTTGCTGTGTGCTCATATGACCTCCTCTTTGTGTGTGCATGGAAAGAGAAAGTGAGCTCGCTAGTGTCTCTTTTATAAGGACACTAATTGCATCATGAGGGTCCCCTTAGGAGCTCATCTAATCCTAATTACCTTCCAAAAGTTTCTCCAAATACCATTATATTGGGGGTTAGGGCTCGACATATTAGTTGGGAGTGGAGAACACAAACATTCAATCCATAATATTTTTGAGCTAAGAAATTATATCCATAAGTATCTTTTTAAATAAAACATTCTAATTCTTCAATACCTATTTTTATGGAGTTGAATTTATTCCTTATATTCGTCAGATTTATCACAGCATGAGGGGGCAGGGAGTGGAGAAACGATATGTAACCAGAAGAAAAATATAAAATATCCAGGCTTGGAAGCAATAAAGGAGAAGGCAAAAAGAAAAAGAAAAATGAACTATTTAAGAATTGCCCTAAGACTGGCTGTTATGAGATGTTATTAATTCATTCATTTTCTCTGTAGTAATTAATTGAACTCATAGGTGTAGGTACAGTGCTGAGTTGGAGATAACCTGGAATAAAAGCTGACCAAAATGGACTTTACAGACAATAGACAGACCTTTGGCAGGTAAGATTCATGTGATGTTAGGGTGTTATGCTGGAAGCGAGTCCAGGGTGGAGCAGGGGCAAAGGAGGAGGCCAAATCTACCCAGGAACTCAGAAAACACTCACTGGGGAGATCAAAGGTAAGTGAATCTTAAAGGAGGCAGGTACCCAGAAGAACAGTTCAGATGGGAGAAAGGGAGGAGGTGGGAGGGACCAAGGGGGCTGGGGCACTGAGGACCAGGCTCAGAGGCAGAACACAGAAATGCAACAAGTCACACACTAGTGGCAGGCACAGGCCAGATCTGGTGGAATTCGTATACCCCACAAAGGAGTTTTTTGTTTTTTTTTTTTTTTTTTTTTTTTTTTGAGACGGAGTCTCGCTCTGTCGCCCAGGCCGGACTGCGGACTGCAGTGGCGCAATCTCGGCTCACTGCAAGCTCCGCTTCCCGGGTTCACGCCATTCTCCTGCCTCAGCCTCCCCAGTAGCTGGGACTACAGGCGCCCGCCACCGCGCCCGGCTAATTTTTTGTATTTTTTTTAGTAGAGACGGGGTTTCACCTTGTTAGCCAGGATGGTCTCGATCTCCTGACCTCATGATCCACCCGCCTCGGCCTCCCAAAGTGCTGGGATTACAGGAGTGAGCCACCGCGCCCGGCCAGGAGTTTTTGCTTTATCCACAATCACTGAAGGATTTTAAAGAGCCACGGAGTAACTGAATCAGATTTTCTCTTTAGAGAGATTAGTCTTGTAGGCAAGGTGAAGAGTAGATTGGAGGAGTCAGAGACTAAGAAATCCGTTAGGAGACTGTTGCAAAAGCCTTGGCAAGAAATGATGGAGAGGGGAATGAAATAAGGCCACAGTGTGGGGAAGGAGAAGAAAAAAGGATAGTTCTTGAGGAGCAGAATTGACAGGACCAAGGATAAGTCCAATTGTGTACTGAAGCAGAGGGCATTCTTAGATGCCCGGTGACTCTAGGTGACATGATGCACCATTTGCTGAGGTAAGAAATTTGGTTGAAGAGAGCAGGTTTGAGCAAGGCATGGTGGCTAACACCTGGAACCCCAGAATTTCGGGGGGCTGAGATAGGAGGATTGCTTGAGTCCAGGAGTTCAAGACCAGCCTGGGCAACATAGCAAGACCTCATCTCTACAATATAAACATAAAAAATAAATTAGCCAGGCATGGTGGCACACATCTGTAGTCATGACTACATGGCTACTCGGGAGGCTGAGGTGGAAGAATGGCTTGATCCCAGGAGTTGGAGGCTTCAGTGAGCTATGATCATGCTGCCACTGCACTCCAGCCTAGGCAACAGAGGTAGAACCTATCTCTGAAAAGAAAAGAGTGGATTTGATGGGAACACAGTGAGTTCTGTTAGGCATGCTTTGTTGGAGGTGCCTACAGGACAGTCAGGAAGCGGCTGGATCTATGAGCCAAGAGCTCAGGAGAAAGGCTGGGGCAGGAGCTCTATATTGAGAGTTACCTGCTTCAAGGCAAGCAAGGCAGAGCGTGAGCTGCCTGAGCTAGGATCCTGGACAATCCAAAGAAACCCTGCGTATATAGCTGTCTTCATAAGTAAATGGCGAGTTCCTGAAGGGTCAAATCATTCATTTTTCATCTTACAGCATTTTGTATAAAGAAAATGCTCCACAGCTGTAGATATAATATAAGATACTAGCAGCACCAGGAAAATAGATTCAGTCTCTGACATAACTGGGCTCCACCATGTCCAAGCTGAAGTAGCAGCAACTGCTGCCCAGAATGGATTTAGAAATGAAAACATGAATGAAGCCTCCTGCTGGAGCTTTGTTCCTTGATTTTTTTCACTTAATAAACAACACACCTTCTGAGTAAAATAATCTATTTTAATGACTCCAAAAATAGTATTTGCAAATAGAGTTGAAGCCTTCTAGTGAGGACCTATGTTGAAGTGGAAGAAGTATTTGGAGTATGATTTCCCAAGTAGGTGTGGTCAGAAACGGGGGCGGCTGGAAAGGTGGAGAATCACCTGTGATAGAAACAGAGTACAACAAAACATGCTCTCTGCTTTCTGCTGTATTCGTTAAATAGCCTTTATTGTTTTTGCTAAGAAAGGTCAATTAATCATCCAAAGTGCTATCTGACAGAAATTAACAATCAGCTGTGACAAATATCCAGTAAGAGCTCACAACAACAAAGGGTTTTGTTTTTCTCTTTCCATATACCATTGAAAAAGGAGGCATTGGCATGTCATATCTCTTTTTACAGCTTCATTAGTGATTTTTGGCACGTACGAAGAGGTGAGAAAAATAGAAGTGTCGCTGCTCATCTAAGCAGACCACAGGTAATTAGTTACAGCCCCATTCCCTCGGCGATATCATCCCTTAACAAAGCACTCAAATGTTTCAGAGCAAACCTTGTCTAGAAAGGAGAAAAAAAGTAGGTAGCACAACTCTCTACTTGAACTGGGTCCAGTAAATCTCAGAAGTGATAACAGGTAAAACAGAGGATTACTAAACTGAATTCAAATTCTGTTTTATAGGAAAATTAAAACTAGTGTTAGAAACTACCATAAGTCCTACCACCTTCCTCAAAGATTCTAAAACACACTCTGTGCTTTTGTTCAATGCAAGTTTTGGTGTTAATGTTTCAGCCACAAATATGAAGAGATTTTGCAGTTCATCCTCAAATAGAGCTCTGCAGGATTCCAGGGAGACTCTATATTTTACTTGTCCTCCTCCGCATCAACAGGGTTCCCACCCTACACCCTCTACAAAGGGACGTCCATGTTTTGCTTCAGGGAGGGCCCTGTTACTAAGTCTTTACCTAAACCCATGCACTCTGGTGAAGCACTATCTTTAGGTATCAAGGCCATTTCAGATGATTTCCATGGAATGTTCTAGGATGGAGCCACCAAGTTCTCCAGTTTGCCTGCTTCTAATTTAGGACTGAGGCTGTATTTTCTACATCTGGTTCTTCCCTGTGGGTCAGCCATTTCTGGCTGTAGCTTTAACATCCTCTGTCTGCCCTGTCAATAAACTGTATGCCTTGGTCCCTTTTGTGAGAAAAGTCATATCTTGTTTGCAATAAAATATGAAAATGGGTTCTCTTCATTATGTAGAAACATTATGTGGAAACTTTCATGTGTTCCCTTCATTATATACCAGGAAGCTGGGTGCAATATCACTGAACACAGTGGTTTCCTTAGCAGCAGAAGTTAAGGATCCTAATATTTAGTCTCGTCCCCCTCAACATGAACTAGATTATCATTGTCACAGATTTTGCTGGTCTTAGGAATGTTGAGCCCTTTATATGGTTTTCAAATGCCATGTTGAAATGTGACCTCCAATGTTGGAGGTAGGTCTAGTGGGAAGCGACTGGTTTGTGGGGGTGAATCCCTCACGAATGGCTTGGTGCACTCCCCATGGTAATGAGTGTGTTCTCAGTCTGTGAGTTCATGCAAGAGCTGTCGTTTAAAAGAACCTGACATCTCTCTTGCTCCCTCTTTTGCCATGTGATGCACCTGTTACCCCTTTGCCTTCCATCATCAGTGGAGGCTTCCTGAGGCCTCACAGGAAGAGTATGCTGGCACCATGTTGGTACAGTCTGCAGAACTGAGCCAAAGAAACCTCTTTCCTTTATAAATTATCCAGCCTCAGGTATTCCTTTATAGCAATGCAAAATGGACTAATACAGCCCTACATTACCTTCCTGCCTGCTGGTCAGTTAGCCTTATCTTCAATAGTTCCAGAGGCAGAAATCTCTTGAAGCAGCTCATCTTGCTTTTAGCTCCAGAAAGATCTTCCTTACAGAGTCAAAGTGTTTTCCTGTAACTTTTAGTCATTTGTTCCAATACTGCTTTCTGAAGCATCATGTCATGATCATGTTTTCCTATACCTCATGGTCCCCTAAAGGGCTGAAGGCCTTTCTTAGAGCTCATTCTCTTCCTCCCCATCCCACCAGCCTCGTCCTCTCTAAACGAAATATAATTTGTCCTTCAATGTTCTAGACTCTAACCTTCTATTTGTCCCTTTTGGGAACACTTCCTTTTGTAAATTCCCATTGAAACAGTCTTTTCAGCACAAACCCCAATAGCCCATGTGTAACATGACAAGCACAGAGAGGTCGCAGTGACTCTTCTCTGATATGGATGCTGTACCAGATGTAGCCCACAGTCCTTGTGTGGTGTTTATCTGTCCTACCACACACCGAGGCCCCGTCACATGCTGGGAAGAGCAGCAGCCTCTGGAGGATAGGGAGCAAGACCACCAGGTTCTCTGGAAGAAACCAGCGCTGGTCTGGCACCCATGCTCATTGGTTCCATCCAACTCCAGCACTTCTCTTGAACAACAGTCAAGGGGGATCATTGGTCAAAAGTTCTTGAAGACAGCAAAAAAGAAGGTTGTGAAAAACTGAGCTCTCTTAGGAGACTGACCCATCAATAGAGTCAACGTGCTATTTTATAGATCCTGGAGTAAACTTAACCATAAATTCATGTAGCACCAGACACAGATAATGCGTAAATGAAACAACGGTGTGTTTTTATCCTGCCTCATTACAAAATGGGTGAATCCTTTATTTAGCAGTTGCTATGAGAAATATCTATTTTAGTCCTTTCCAGAATTACTGCTTCTTAATGATCCCACATTATTCACTGATTGAGCCAATGGTCCCACAGACTAAGGTAAGCTCGTTGCCCCTACGACTGGACCCCTGAGCCTATCTTGAGAAAGTGGTACAACTTCACAGAGGCTTACCATAAATTCATTTTCTTCCACACCAACTAAGGCTTTAAAATAATGTATATTCACACCCACTTGGGTGGTTACTATAAAAAATAAAACAGAAGACAAAAGTGTTGGTGAGGATGTGGAGAAACATTCAATACTGGGAGAATGGATGAACTAAGACTGTGAGGGTACAAGAGGAGCTGAAAGGAGAGAAAGTATAGTCACAGAATGTATTCATTTGTTTTCACACTGCTGATAAAGACATACCTGAGACTGGACAATTTACAAAGGAAAGAGGTTTAATGGAGAACTCACAGTTCCACATGGCCGGGGAGGCCTCACAATCATGGTGGAAGGTGAGGAAGAGCAAGTCACATCTTACATGGATGGCAGCAGGCAAAGGGAGAGCCTGTGCAGTCAAACTCCTGTTTCTAAGACTTCAGATGTCATGAAACTTATTCACTATCATGAGAACAGCACAGGAAAGACCCACCCCCGTGATTCAATTCACTGAGTCCCTCCCACAACACATGGGAATTATGGGAGGGATAAGATGAGATTTGAGTGGGGACACAAAGCCAAACCATATCACAGGACAAAGCTGGATTTAAATGCCACAGAGAGATGACTCCTGGTGCAGCCATGGATGTGAGTGCTGGAGTGGAGGACAGATGCAGGCCATTCGAGTCATGAAGGTAGGGAACAAGAGGAGAGGGCAGTGGATATGAAGCCTCATTCTCATTGGGGGAGTTTTAAAAAAATACTGACTGACACCCATGTTCTATCCCCAGCAATGCCCATGGGTCTGGGCAATGAGGTATATTTTGTTTCTTGTTTTTTTTTAGTTGTAAAATATGTGTAACATAAAATATTCTATTTTAACCATTTTTAAATTTACAGTTCTGTGGCATTCAGACCATTCACATTGTTGTGCAACTATCACCATCAGCTATCTCCAGAACTTTTTTGTCTTCCCCAACTGAAACTCCATACCCATTAAACAATGACTTCCCATTCCACCCGCCCCCCAACATCCCAGGCCCCTGGAAACCAACATTCTACTTTCTGTCTCTATGAATTTGACTATCGTAGGAACCTCATTCTAGGTACCTCAAACCTGATATTGTTTGAAAACTTCCTTGATGAGTCTAATATGCAGCCACTGTTAAGAAGTATTGTGCTATGATGCTGGCTGTTTCAACTATGTGGACCATGAAGTTCCCTGGGGCCATGCCAATCCTTGGAGACAGGAAGAAGATTATGAGGCAGATAAAGTCTTCAGTAAATAAGCTACATGAAAATCATGATGGAAAAAGGGTAGCAGAAACCTCAAAAGGGTCAGGTTGTTATATAAAGCACAGGGGTGCTAGGCTGGAAATGTGAGCCAAGATGGCATAAAGATTTCAACCCAAGTCTGATTGCAAAGTCCAGCTTCCTTCTGTTATACCAGTGGTTCTTTCATTCAATAAATATTTGTTGAGTACCTGTGATGTGCTAAGCAGTGTCCTAGGCACAAATTTCCTGTTCACATGGAGTTTATATTCTGTCAGGGAGTCAGATAATGAACCTGAGAATAAATAGATCAATACGAATTTTAAGTAGTAAAATGAAACAGAGTAATGAGGTAGAGAGTGAGTTGGGTCATTGAGAAAGGCTTTTCTGAGGAAGCGATCCTCCAGGGAAGCCTGAATGGTGAAACAGAGGCCATGATGTCAAGTGCAAAGGCCCTGAGACAGAAATAAGTTTGGTGCACTCAAAAAACCAAAAGAAAGCCTGGGTAGCTAGCACATGGGAGTGAGAGAGTGAGCTGTGAGCTGAGATAGCTGGGAACCAGATGAAGCTCTTGTAGGCCAAGGAAAGAAATTGGGGATCAATTGTCCTTGTAGAAAGATGCTATTCAAGGGTATCAAAAATCAGATTGGCTGCCTTAAGAAGAAGGAACAAGGGGCAAAAGTAGAAGTAGGGAGACCAATGAACACCATTGCAGTAGCTCAGAGAAGAGATAGTGCTGGCTTAGACTAGGATTAGTGGCAGTGGCAATGGTGAGAAGTGGCAGAATCATATCTTTCATAGGTAAAGCCAGCATAGGATTTGAGGGAAAGAGGAGTAACTCCTAGGTTTAGGCCAAGCATCTGGATGGATGATGGTGCCATTTACTGAAGGAAGAGGAGGTTTTGAGGGGATAAAAAAATTCCACTGGGGTCAAGTTAAGTTGAAGATGCTTATTAGATATCCATAGAGATGTTGAAAAGTGTTGTGTATACAAGTCTAGAATTCAGGGGAGAAGTCAGGTCTAAACTTACAGACTTGTGAGTGTGCTTAAGCATCACTTGGAGAGTTGTTAAAAATGGTGATTCTCAGCCTCCACCCCTGGGGATTCTCTTAAGTAATTCTGGGGAGGGTGGGGTTGCACTTCTAATTCGCTCAAATTTGATGGTTCCCTTAAATCCTGCACTCTACCATTCCACTTCCTCTGGTTGAGGTTAATCCACTAAACAGCTCTTTAGCCACTTAACTATATATATATTTTTTCCATCTTATTCAAATATTTTTCATTGTTTTATGTAAATATATAGTATTAAATTATTATCAATATGTTCTAATATATTATTTATTATAAATATAACCATATATTAATATATTACATGAATGCATTGATCTAATGATTACATATAAATTTATTTCTCATATTTTTCATCTCAGTCACAAAATGAGAGATACTTCCTTTAAAAGCCTTTAAAGGAAGTTGGCCTACTTTATCTCTGGAATTCCCTTATCTGTCTAACTTGAGAAAGAAAGAAAGAGAGAGAGTGAAAGGTGAAGAGTTGGTTGCACTGAAATGAATTATTTTTATTGTGAGTCCATGTGCTTCCCAAATCAACAAGACTTTGTCTACTTCTGGGGGTTCATATACCACGTTAGAATCCACTCCAAAATTAAGCAGAAGATCATCAATCTTAGTCTTCTATATTTGTCAGAATTCTCTTTTTTGATATCAAGACAGAATAGTCCTACAATCTTCGGACCATCTGCCATTCTCCATCATTTCTCAAAAATGGCTGACTGCTTCTATTAACTCCATCTCACAGTTGCAAATTATTTCCCCTCAGTGCTGGATGCTCTGACTGAGCCAATGCAGTTTATCTGAGAGCTGACTTACTTGCCTCTCACAGCATTCAGCAGCCTGCTGGGCTTGCCTATCTGAAGACCATTCTCCTTAACAGGAACTTGGAAGCCTCACAGGACAAGACTCTGTTTGCTCTGGGGCAGGTCTTCCCACTCAGCCAGGGGACCATTCTTTTTGTTCCCCATCCACCCCCCAACTCCAGAAAAAGTCCTTTTTCATCGTTCTTTCTGTTTTGGACTGTACTGAGGTATTATTTGATTTAGTTGGGTTTTTCTTTGTTTTGTGTTGGTTTTGCAAACCCCAGATCCACTCCCAACTTTAGTCCTCCTGTCACAATTTCCACAGCATCATCACATTTTTAAGTGTACTTTTGGCTGTGCGACCCTCTTCTCATTTTGTGTGCCTGTCTTTTTAATAGACCTCTAACTTCTAGGCACCTACCTATGTTCATTATCTCACCAAAGCAGATGTTTTAAGGTACCCTTATTCCAGAGTGAACATTTACAAACCATTATGGGGTGATTGATGGGTACAGGTTTCCATATATGCCAGCCGATCAGGAAGTCTGCCACAAGGCTGTTCTCATTATTCAACAGTCTTTGTGGCTATTTCGATTACTGCTCAGGTGAGGTCAGGGGTAGATATGACTCAGGTCCACGACAACTGACCTCAATATCTCTCCAAGGCTGGTTTAATGGTTAAGATAAAAGGAATTCTGGAAACAAAGTTCCAGGAGATTTTGTGGTAGAATAAATGATGGTGGTGAATAGGGACATGCACTTGCCATTAAAAGTGGCATGTTTATGGGGTGCTGACAGAGTTTATGGGGTGCGTGCCTTCAGGTACCAGCCAGACCCATGCTTTTCCTAATGCTTTCAGCCTTTTCCCAAAGGTTTGGACAACACAGCTGGACAAAGCTGCCAGGGGAATTCCTCAAGTTGAAGGTTGCTTTTATGTTTTACCAATGTTCCCTTCCACTGTCAGCACTAGAGCATGAGAAGGCATTCTCTTCAGATATGACCCTGGGATCAGGACTGCCACCCCACACAACTCTGGAGGGCCTCATGCACATGGAATTCTATGTTGCATCCCAGAGAACGCACTCCTACAAACCAGAGTAAGAATGGCACCCCCTGGAGCCATGGCACCCCCTGGAGCCGTGCTATCCAGAGGCCCTGCAAGGACCCCAGCCTTATGCCACATCTCTTACCGTGGCCCCTGCCATATTATGCAGCTCAGTCAGCTACTGAACATAAAAGCACTTCACCACAGAGAGTCAGTGCCATAGTACAGGTTCTACGAGGCAGCTGTAACAACAACTTCCATGGAAATAGTATTTTACATTTCTTTGAGTGCACCTGGTCACGGCCACACGCCTTAAAAAATTCCTCTGTGGCAAGCATGGTAAAGCAGACATGGTTGCCCTATTTTATCCTCTCTGAAGACAGCTTTGGAGAAGTTAATTCTTATTCAAGGCTACAGAGTTCTGTGGCCTTAGGCCTGGATTTCTCCTTCTGCATCCAATGCTCCTTCCATTATCCCTTGCTGCCAAGTTTGGACTAGTTGAATGCAGAACTCTGATTCTATTTTAGACCTAGTATGTTGAATCTTTGTTCTCTGAAATTCTACCAATTATATTTCAGTCCTTTAATTAAGATCTTGGATTTTTATTAAGACGTCAATTCTTGACTTCACCTCCTTATCTTCCTTGGTTCTTATATGATTTAAGACCTCTGTAACTCTGTGTAGCAAAAAACCCAGCTTGATCCAGGCTTTTTGTTTTGTTTTGTTTTGTTTTTTAACAAAACGGGGGATAATGGAGTATTTCATTGAGCTCAAAGTATAGAATGCAGCTGGGTCTCAAAAGTAAGCTGAAAGGAAGAATTGGTCTCTGCATTTCTGTGCATATGTTTTATTCCTTCTGAGTAGATTGTTTTACTCTACCTCTCAATCCTCATGGTGAAAGAGTCATCAAGGCCTTCAGAGATTTATGTACTGAAATGCAGTTGTTTCAAAATGATCCATCTGTTTCCATCTGTCCCAACTCTAACTCTGCCTGAGAAGTGAGTAAGTGGCCCAGCTTTGGTCAAGTGTCTATCACTGAACAAATCTGGTATAGCTAGGATGGGCAAAGTTATGTACATATACAGTTGTTCCTGGTACCTGAGGGGGATTGGTTCTGGAACCCCCAAGGACACCAAAATCCTTGGATGTTCCAGATCCTTATATAAAATGGCATTATATTTGCATATAATCTATACACATCCTCCTGCTTTTTTTTTTTTTGAGATGGAGTCTCGCTCTGTCGCCAGGCTGAAGTGCAGTGGTGTGATCTCAAATCACTGCAACCTCTGCCTCCCTGGTTCAAGCAATTCTCCTGCCTCAGCCTCCCAAGTAGCTGGGACTACAGGCATGCGCTACCAGGCCCAGCTATTTTTGTATTTTTAGAAGAGACGGGGTTTCACCATGTTGGCCAGAATGGTCTCAATCTCTTGACCTTGTGATCCTCCTGCCTCGACCTCCCAAAGTGCTGGGATTACAGGCATGAACCACCGCACCCGGCCTCCTCCTGCACATTTTAAATAACCTCTAGATTACTTATAATACTTAACACAATGTAAATGCTATGTAAATAGTTGTTACACTGCATTGTTTTTATTTGCATTATTTTTTATTGTGGTATTGTAATATTTTACTGTTTTTCTCCCCCAAATATTTTCGATACATGATTGGTTTAATCTACAGATACAGCACCTGTAGTAACAGAAGGCCAAGTGTATGGACACCGCATGGCAGGTCCCCAAAACTGGGAAGCAGCAGGGAGTGAAGGTTGGAAGCGGGCCTTGACAAGGTCCCCATGGCCAGAAATATACCTAACTAAGCCCCTGCCCTTTGTGCTCAGGGTGGGCCTATACCAGGCTTCACCCCTGTGTAGAGCTCCATTCAAATTCTTATGCTGGGTTCCAATCTGGGCCCTCTTGCCTGCCCATATCACATTTTCTCTACCCTGCCCCACTAATCTTGTTTTATCCTGTGCTGACTGAATTCAATTTTCCTTCTGGCCAAGCATGCAGACAATACCCGTAAGGACTCCATATTCTCAAACCTACCCTCCTCCACTGGGTTTGTATCCCAAGGCCACTTGGTCATCGCTCAACAACAGGCTCTCTGCAGTACCACTCAACATGAATGAGATTGTGGAATCCACTCCAGCCCCTCCAGTACTTCCAGTATGCAGTATGGCCCAGCTGGCCATAGGTCAATGGTTTTATTTCACCCTCCAAATAATCTTTCCCTCATCTTATTTCTCACTTCCCTCCCTTTACACTCTCATTCTACTTTCACTCGTGCATCCTACACTCACTGCATACCTCCCCCAATCTATACCCTTTCCACCTTCCTGTGTTACTATTGCATTGACTTATCTGTCAATTTCTAGCCAATCATAACATCATCTTTCTCGAAACCCACATTCTTAGCCTACATTATTTTTGCTATTCTTTTTATGCATACGTTTAGGGAGAGCAGTTAGTGCTCTCTACAAACTCACTAAAACAGACAAATGCCCTTAGAAGAAAATGACAATTCTCAAAGTATACATTAATGAAACTCAAAAAATTCCAATTTTCATCAACCCATACAAATTGATAGTAAAGTTAATTTGGAAGAGGAAATACTTAGGATACCTGAGAAATTTTTGTAAAATAAATTTGAGAGGGGAATTTGTGTTACCAGATTCAAATATATTTTAAAGCAACTCTAACTAAAACAACAGAGTATTGTTATAAATAGATTAATGAAACAGAAGGTACATAAACAGGCTCATGAATATATGGGTAGTTAGCGACTTAAAATTAGTAAGGCAGCCGGGCGCGGTGGCTCACGCCTGTAATCCCAGCACTTTGGGAGGCTGAGGCGGGTGGATCATGAGGTCAGGAGATCGAGACCATCCTGGCTAACAAGGTGAAACCCCGTCTCTACTAAAAATACAAAAAATTAGCCGGGCGCGGTGGCGGGCGCCTGTAGTCCCAGCTACTCGGGAGGCTGAGGCAGGAGAATGGCGTGAACCCAGGAAGCGGAGCTTGCAGTGAGCCGAGATTGCGCCACTGCAGTCCGCAGTCCGGCCTGGGCGACAGAGCGAGACTCCGTCTCAAAAAAAAAAAAAAAAAAAAAAAAAAAATTAGTAAGGCAAGGAGGGCTGACTCATTAAATGATGTGGAGGCCATCAGGAACCGTTTGGAGAGGAATAAGTTAGACTCTTATCTCACATAAGACCCCAAGACAAAATGATGATTTATTAAAGAGTTCAATATTTTTAAAAACCTGATAGCTGCTAGAAGTAAATATAGGAGAATATGTTTATCATCTTGGAGTGGAAGATATTTTTCTTATCAGCACACAAAGGTAAAAAACCATAAAGGATAAGATTAATAGATTTTACCAAAAAATATAGAACTTCTGTATGATACCATATGTCATAGAGTAAAAAAATTTTAGAAAATTATTTTCAGCTTCTAGCATAAACAATATATAAAAAGTATGTATGGCTTAGTAAGGAAGGTGTAAAAACTCCAGTTGAAAATAAGAAAAGGAAATTAAAAAAGAATTTTTTAAAAAAGAACATATATAACTACATGAAAAGATGACCGATCATTATTAATCCAAGAAATAACAAATTAAAAGTTAGTTTTATCTGAGCCTCTGACAAATATTGAAGGAACAGCTTAAACTTAAATGAAATGGCTGATATTCATACTGCAGTGTGGGTAAACAGCACTTTCACATATTATTGGTAAAACCAGAAAGAGGTGAATAATTTTAAAACAATTTTCTAACACACATCAATTTATCAGTTTGCTAATATATGTAAAAATTTTAATACCACTTTTAGGATTTTTTTTTTTTTTTTTTTTTTTTTTTTTTTTTTTTTTGAGACGGAGTCTCGCTCTGTCGCCCAGGCCGGACTGCGGACTGCAGTGGCGCAGTCTCGGCTCACTGCAAGCTCCGCTTCCCGGGTTCACGCCATTCTCCTGCCTCAGCCTCCCGAGTAGCTGGGACTACAGGCGCCCGCCACCACGCCCGGCTAATTTTTTGTATTTTTAGTAGAGACGGGGTTTCACCTTGTTAGCCAGGATGGTCTCAATCTCCTGACCTCATGATCCACCCGCCTCGGCCTCCCAAAGTGCTGGGATTACAGGCGTGAGCCACCGCGCCCGGCCCACTTTTAGGATTTTATCTTACAGAAATACTCTCATTAGCATCTAAAGATACATGGACCAAGATGTTCTCAGAAACATTATTTGTAAAACCAAATAACTGAAGGTTATTTAAACACATTTCAGTAGGAGAACAGTTAAATAAATTTTGGTCCAATCATACTACGGAATGCCAAAAAAAGAGTTAAAAAGATAGAGATAAATGTGTACTTACTGCTCCTGAAGAGTGTCCATGATATATTGTTAAGTGAAAAAGCTAGGCATAAAACAGTATGCGTAGTACTGGTCCATTTCTGTAAAATAAGAATGTATTTGAATATGAATGGAAAAGAGCCTGCAATGATATACACGAAGCTGTTAACAGTGGTTATCTTGAGATGAGGAAATTATGTATTTACTTTATACATCTCTGTTATTTGAATGTTATAAGACAAGCTTATATTCTGTGTCTATTCAGAAAAAAAGTTTTGAAAAATATTTACTGAGTAAGTACCCCTGGCTCTCCATCTCTGGCCAGAGTCTACCATGTCATCCATCAGGGTCTTGAACTCAGTGATGGCTATGTGGAATCATCTTTCAATGGCTAAATCTGGGGTGCCCTTCAAATCTCCCAAATTCTTAAAAGATGCAAAAATAGTCATTGCACCCAAACAGTTCTTATAGTGAACCTGAAAGAGCTGCGCTATCAATTTTGCACAGGATAATGCCGATACATTTTGTTCTGTTCAAGTTTGGCAATTGTTGAAAACAACGTGTGTGTGTGTGCATGTGTGTGTATGCTAAGCAAACTTAAGAGGACTTGCCTTCCTTTTATCCCTGAAAGTCAAAAAGAGACTTAACAGGCCAAGAATCTTATATCAAGCACCTGAACTAACATTTGAGATCTGGGTCAAAAGGAGAATCGACTAATAGTTGGCATTTTTTCAAAGGTTTTTCAAGTGATGCCAAATAATTAGAATGAGATCATGTTAGAGGCATTCAGACAGAGTCCCTTTGGGGACAAGAGGCAGAGGATGGAGGAGGAGGACAAAGATCCTACCCTTTATTCCTCATCCCCACATTTGATTTTGTTTGTCATCAGTTGTCCCTTATTAGCATGGACTCTCCTTTTTCCATGGAAATTTATCTAATTTAATTGCAGAACATGCAAGACGGGCAATCCATCTTGCCCCACTGTCCATGTAAACAATACAGAAGGGTGGACTGTTTTCTCTAGCTATGTCTCTGGCAGCCTGTTCACTTTCAAATTAAAGGAATTAGAGGGTAAACATGGTAACCACAATTAAGATATTTTTAGAAACATAAAATCCTCTAGAAAACATGACACTAATACTGGTATTATGATTGAAGTTAGGAATTATGGTTATTAGAAGCTTTGCAGTTTAAGTGCCTCATAAATCTAATCGCCTCACACATCCACTAATTCTGTTGCTATATTTACTGCAGACATCTATGATGACAGACAGTACCTTTGAGAAGGGCCAGATAAACAAAATATTTTACATACTCAAGCTTCTCAGTGTCTAATGGATTCATATCATGGAGAGAAAAAGGCTTCATTAAAGGAACTGCACCAGGTGCTGAGAGCCGATTTACCATGGAGATTTGATCTGAGTTATCTTCTCCTATTTAATGGGAATACTGCTGTTTCACTCCCGGAGTCCTGAGCACAGAATGGACAGGGAGGGCCAGAGGAGGGGGTGGCAGGGTGCAGGGGAGGACATGGTAAGCTGACAACTCTGTAGATATGCAACTTTCCCCGACAACTTGGAAACTATCTGGAAGAAATATTATGTAAAACCTGGTGGCACGTGTTACATGTCCAGGATCCTTAGAATATCCATTGTTATTGGAAAGATTTCTCAACGAGGAGCGAATTGCACAAAGTAACCCCAGAATCCTCCTCTCCTGATGCAACTACGCTGTGGGTGCCTGCATGACCTTGAGAAGGAAACAAAATGAGGTAGGAAGTTATTATCACCAGACGTCAGAGCAGAGATGGAACCATTTTAGTATTATGGCTGACCTTTGGCCATTTCTTGAAATCAAATGCGATGCTTACTGCTGAAATCCTAATTTTATAGATTAAAATTTATGCCTGAGAATGTTACTGTGTGGTAGGTGGCAAATTAGGAACATTTTTAAGGCTATGAATTCCTTTTGGTTTTTCTTCCAGCACCATTGTAAATGCAGAAATACTGCCACAGTGGCTGAGACATGCCCAGTAGTCTTGCCTCCCAATCCCACACACCCACCACAAACTCTACTGGATTACTCACATTACCTGTGGGCAGAAATCACAACTTCTCAATCTTCCTAGCCCTTAAGAGAGTGGCCCTTTCACGTTTCAGACAATACATGTGATTAATGGAGAAGGCCACACAAGGGAACATGCCAGAGAGGGGGCATGCTACAGTCCTGACCACACTGACAATTCCAGCTTAGATTTTGAGTGTGTGTTTGTGAGCAGGAACAATGCTCGCCGCGTGTGTACATGTGTGTGAGTGCAGGGTGACAAGCTTCAGCAATCCAGGGAAAAATGATGGCATCTGGAACCAGGAAGAGGCCATGGGGAATACGTAAGCAAAAGAAGACAGATTAAAAGGACATTGAGAAAGTAGAATTGGCAGGACTTGGCTATTGTCTGGGTGTGCCAAGCAGAGGAGTGTGAGGAATCAAAGATGGCAGCTGGGTTTGTTTCTGGCTTCTGCAACTCATTACATGGTAGAAACAGGTTTGGGGAGAAAAATGATGGATTTAGTTATAAACATACTGAGCTTAAAATGTCTGTGGCTATCAAGATGGGGAAGACCAACAGTACTAATAAGGTACAAGAACAGCCAAAATAAAAATAAGAGAATGAAGCTGGGAAAAAAGAACAGAAAATTGATTTTTGTAGCTGAAGACTTGATGTACTTTTCTTATAATTAAAATACTGTTTTGGAAAGGAGAACAATGTAAGAAGTGCCAGAATGATGAACTCTTTGGGGACTAAGTGGCATGATTTTGCCTTAATTCCTAATAAACAGGTGAGTTTTCATTCTAGGCACCTTTACAAATAAGAATGCCATCCACTTAAATAACTGAGATTCTACCATCTAACAAAAGAAAACAAACAAAAATTTACAAAATAAACAAAATCAAAAGTATCTAAAGGAAAACTCTTGTGTTATGAGATTACCACAAACATTCTTATGAAGAATAAAATAACCACATATTTCATGTCATATTCCTTCAAAACGTTTTACTGATAGAAATAAAGAATAATCTTTGACCTTCTCTAAATATGTACAATTCTGATAGAAAAAATCAGGGTGTGGAGAAGGCCAGAGGCATGAATTATGCATGCCACATCATCACACTTGTTCCTCAATATAGAGCTGCAGCTGCTTTGTATGGAAAAAGAAATTAGAATGGAATAGATATTGAACAATTTTCTCCATAACTGGTTCTTACTCACCTTAAATGTAAAATTTTATTTAGCTTATTTCAAAGGGAGACATCCTTATTAAGGGAACACATTTACTGGCACCTGTTGGAAAGGATTTAATGCAAACAAGCCTGAAATAATTGAAGGAAAAGCACCTTCTGACTGTTCTCAGAAGAGCTTAGCAAAGAAGAGGATGGCAGGAAAGAATTACTTTATTATATTGATTTTCTTGGAGAAATCAAAGGAGGATAACTCAAATAGACCAATTCACTTTTGCCAAACTCAGTGGAAGCACGTAGACGAGCCATGAATTTACGTGTCAAAAACTGTTTGAAATCATTTAGTTGAACATGGAAGTCAGGATTTGCACATTATTACTCTAATAAAATAGCTAATACAAGAGGATATCTGGCTTCATTTGTACATACTCCCTGTTTTAAATGACTGCAAGTATAATGGGTGTAAGTTTGTCTAACAAAATGTTTACAGTCCAATCAGTTCATTAACCTGAAATATGAAGAGTGTGATGCGGTTATTGTGGTGCAATAACAAAGACACTGGAGCACAATAAAAGTAATTGGAATACAGTTCTCTCAAAGCTAAAATCTATTTCTCTTTCACAATGAGTAAAATATTTCAATTTTATAAAGACTTTCCCATAGTAGTTAACATTGGTCATGCATCTGGTGGTTTGTTGTCTTTTGTGGTACATCAAATAACATCACAAAAGTAATATTAATCTGTAATAAAATGACTTTACATTTACTTCATTTACATTTATTTCACAAACATTCTTTATGAATATGAAAATTATTTAGTATTTACAGAATTCTAACTCTCCGATTCATTCTTCTGTCTATGACTACGAGAATCCATTTCAGCATTTTCCAAAGTGTGTCCCCTGAAACACTGTTTCCACAGGATGTCAAATGTATGTTACTCAAATAAATGGCACTTCCTAGTCAGATAGGAAGGAGAAAGACTGGGAAACAAAGTTAAATGGATTTCTCCATTGCAGAACTTCTCAGATCTTTTCATATATTCATGCACGTGGAAAATCTCCAAGAAAGTATATATACAGGCCACTGAGTTTCCCAAGTATTTTCACCTCTCAACCCTCTTTTCTTAATGAGCATCTTTTAGCAATGGCAATCTAGGAACCACTAACCTGTTTATTTTCATTATCTGGGCCAGGGGGCTTGAGTAATAAGTGAAATAGACAGGCATAAATGACAATAGGAAGTGGTTCAGTAGGGGTCGGGGATAGGGCACACCAAAGAGTAGTATCCAACTAACAGGGGCAGTTCTGACTCGGTTTTGATCACAGAAAAGCAGGATAGACATTTCAAATTTTTAAGAGCAGAAGAAAATTTGGATTTTTAAGTGGCTGAATTTGTTTTTAAAACTCTGTGGCCCAAAAGTGTCTGTTGCAAAATATGGACCTTGAGCCTCCTGATTTAGACTTGTGTCCTAGGATAGCACTTTCGAAACCCATTCTGCAAAACTTATTGTCCAGAAAAGCCACACCAAATAAAATCTTCTTTAGTTTGCTCAAGGTCATTGTACGTATAAGGCCACTGGTAATGACAGAGGTTGTCCGGTCACTCTGCTGGCCACTGTTAAAAACCAAGTTATGCAGGAATGACACTGGATCACCTCACTTCCTTGTGGCCTACAGATCAAAACATGCTGCCCAGATCTCTTTAAATGTGTCCTGTGAATATTAAAAGCACAATCAGGCTGGACACGGTGACTCATGCCTGTAACCCCAACACTTTGGGAGGCCAAGGTGGGTGGATCACGAGGTCAGGAGATCAAGACCATCCTGGCTAACACAGTGAAACCCCATCTCTGCTAAGAAAGAAAAACAAAAAATTAGTGGGTGTGGTGGATCGCACCTGTGGTCCCAGCTACTTGGGAGACTGCAGTGGGAGGATTGCTTGAGCCCAGGGAGGTTGAAGATGCAGTGAGCTATAATCATGCCACTGCACTCCAGCCTGGGTGACAGAGCAACACTCCATTAAAAAAAAAAAAAAAAGAATAATCAAAGTTGACTAGGAGAAAAGAACAAAATTGATAGTGAATGTATTAGTTTGTTAGGGCTGCCATAACAAATACCACAGACTGAGTGGCTTAAACAACAGAATTTTATTTCCTCATAGTTCTAGGGGCTAGTAGTCTAGGATCAAGGCCTCAGCAGGGTTGGTTTCTTCTGAGGCCTCGCCCCTTGGCTTGCAGATGGTCACCTTCTGGCCGTGTCCTCACATGGTTTTCTGTGTTGCCTGTGTCCTAATCCTAATTGCTTCCTTCAAAGACATCACTCAGATACACACCCCACCCTAATAACTTTTAGGGTTACTTTACTTTAATTACCTCTTTAAAGGCCTATTGACAAATACAGTCAAGGTCTGAGGTACTAGGAGTTAGGACTGTAACATATGAATTTTGGGAGAATGCAATTCAGCCCATAACAATAAATGACCTTACAAAGACAGAACCCAATAGATCTCTTTTTTTACTTGCATTTATTTTACAAAAATCACCTAAGATTACACAAATAAGAAAATGTAGACTGGGCGTGGTGGCTCATACCTGTAATCCCAGCATTTTGGGAGGCCAAGGCAGGAGGATCACTTGAGCTCAGGAGTTTGAGACCAGCCTGGGCAATACAGTGAGGCCAATGTCTACAAAAAAAAAACTTTTTTAATATCCAGATATGGTGGCATGTGCCTGTAGTCCCAGCTACTTGGGAGGCTGCAGTGGGAGGATTGCTTGAGCCAGGGAGTTTGAAGATGCAGTGAGCTATAATCATGCCACCGCAGTCCAGTCTGGGTGACACAGTGAGGCCCTGTCTCAAAAGGAAGAAAGAAAGAAAAGAAAAGAAATAAAGTGCAAAGCTTGCCACAGGAAAGTGAAACATTGAACTAAAATTGGTAAAGAAACGATTGGAAGATATTCTTGAAAAGCCAAGTGTTTTTAAAATCAACGTGGCCCACCAATACCTAACACAGGGCTTCAAAATATTGCTGACCGTAACATCCAGGTCTAACTAGTGATAGGTGAGAATTTCTAGACAGTGGGAGAACAAGGGAGAGAGGATGGTATGGCATGTGTATAGCATGTCCTGCAAATCACATAGCTGAGCTACACCAGAGAAAGTATCAATTCTATGCCAAATTCCCAGAAAGAGTAAAGGGGCAGGCTGGTAGCTAATAAAGTGTTGGGAAGGTTAAATCCTATCAGATGGGGCTTTGGCTTTTTTTGTTTTTTTAAGAGCATTGGCTTTCATTTTCTGTACAAATCATACTAACAGATTAGGAAGAAAAGCGGAGAGAGCAACAGAAACAATATACGTCGACTTCAGCGGGGCTGACAATTTTTGCTTAACAGCTTTTACAACACAGGCCGGACCCTATTGTTGGTTGTAGGGCTAGGCTCCAAAGAGTAATTTTAGTGGCTTGATGTCAGCATAAGGGCATTCCCAGAACACTAGTCCTTGGTCTGATATCTTAGCATTTTTATTAGCAAGTGCAATGACTCAATGGACATGCTGACTATGCAGCTGACAATACTTTAAGAGCAAGAGATTTGTTTGATAGAAGCCAGGAAACCAAAAAGTATGAAGGTAGTGTATTCAAAAGGTTCTCTTAGACTGGGAGAGACTTTGGGGATTTCTAGACCTACTGCCTTTAAGTGGAAATATAAGCGTAAGAGTGCTCTTTAAATGCATGACATACTTACAAAGAGTTGAAGCTTTTTTTTCTTCCATCTACCTAAGAGACTTGAGCCAATTTCAACTGGGTGGCGCAGCCTTATGGCCATGTCTTACATAGTTGTATAACTTAATAAGCATCCATTCTGGATCCCAACCTAAGACTGGTCCTTGGTTGTTGGATAAAATGCCCTCTGTGTATCTTAATTTCATTGAACATCTGGGATAAAAGGGGTCGTTCTTATAATACTTTATACATAAAATACCTTTCAGTTAAAGACTCCAAATACCCATGCACCTATAAAGTTATTATTTTGACTAGAGGCTGTAAGTGTGAGAACATTTCACATAAATAAGGTAGAGATGGATTCCTGGCCCACTTGAGCCTCAGATGTTGTTAATGTCATCAGAGTTATGTGTTTATCCTACAACAGCTGAACTCATGCCTTGGCAGGTCAAAAACCTTTCTGTGCACTTTTCAACCCACACTGAAGTTCTAATGTCTGGGAAAACACTCAGGAAAATATTATTTCCATTTGCAAATTTCCTTATGGTCACATTGTTATTTTGGCACAAGCAGGCAGAAATTAAATGTCTGTCAAATGCATATTACTGGCCTCACCAGCTAATGTATAATTCTGGCTTTGCCCTTTAATTTTTAGTAGGGCAACAAAGAATTGGTTTTAAACTTTCTTAAAGATCTGCCTTCACAAACTCTTAGGGAAACTCACAGATGTCAGGCTTATCCTGCAGATGGAAATCAAAACAGTCAAATCTTATCAAAATTGAAGGTCTGCCTAGAGAAAACATACTTCCCCCAACACACAAAAATGTGTGTCTTTCAACTCATGCCTCCCTCAGTTTGACTGCTACATAAGGTTTCCTTTACTAAATGAACATTTACTGAGCACCTCCTAAGCACTGGATGCTGTTAAACACTAGAGAAGGTACAAAGACGAATCAGACCAGGTGCCTGCATTCAATGTGCCCATAATCTGGGGGAAAAAACAAATACTAAAGAAAGTAATTATGATTCTATGAAAAGGGGACTTTAACAGAAGCAAGTGGCTGGTGTGCTGATAACATAGAGGAGACCATGCCTAACTGCCAGGAGGGTGGGGAAAGGAGAGACTTCTGTCTGCCTGGGAGCCAAAAGTCAGCAACTGGTTTTCACACTCTTGAGAGGGGGTTGGCAAACTGTGATGCACAGGCCAAATCCAAGCCACTTCTTGTTTTCATAAATAAAGCTTTATTGCAACACAGCCACGCCCGATCATGTACATATTATCTATGGTTACTTTTGAGCTGCAATGGCTGAGTTGAGTACTGAAGCTGTGTGGTAGGCAGAATAATGATCCCCCAAAACTGCTCACTCCCTAATACCTGGAACTCGTGGATATGTAATTTCACATGACCCAAACTAATTACATGAGTCTTTAAAAGCAGAGGACCTTTCTCCAGCTCTGGCCCACGAGACAGATGGCAGAATGAGAAGGATTTGATGTCCTAATGCTGGTCCCAAGATGTAGGAGGCTGCGTGCAAGAAACTGAGTTTTGCCAACTACTCCAGCAAGAAAATGCATCCTCCCTAGAGCCTCCAGGAAGGACAGCAGCCTTGATTTAAGCCCACTGAGACCCATGTTGACTCTGTTCTAAAGAACTGTAAGGTAAATTTCTGTTGTTTTAAGTCACTAACTGTGTTGATAATTTGTTAAAGCAGCAATAGAAAACTAACATAGATGAAAGTATGTGGCCCTGAAGCCTAAAATATTTATTCTTTACCCCTTTACAAGAAAAGTGTACCAACCCATGTTCCTGAATATGCCTGGTGTAGGGGTGGAAATGGCTCCATTCCTATCACAAAAGACAGGTTAACAAGAGAAAAATGTAACAAGTTTATTTAATCAAAGTTTTATGTGACATGGGAGGCTTCAGACATGAAAATCCAAAGAGGCAGGGAAACTGTCCATGTTTTTGCTTAGGTTCAATAAAAAATTGACAGGGTGTAGAAATGTAATTGGACAAAAGGATATAACCTAATAGTAATAAACTGGGGAAGAACACCCAGGAAAGTCTGTCTTCTAGATTCTTTGTGGCCTCTCTGTGTAGCAAGTCTTCCCCCCAGGCCTGTGGCAGGACCCCACTGGAATGGGAAAAGGGTAAGAGTGACCTTTCTAGGTTTTATGGCTTGCTTTGGGGAAAAGGGTTCTAATTTCTATGACCTGTCTCAGGGAAGAGGAATTCTGGTTTTTACTCATCACTTCCAGGGGAGAAAAAGGGGCAGGAGACAGGAGGGCAGGAGAAGGTCAGAACTTGCTTCTGAGACCTTCCAATGTCCTTCAGTTTAAAATATTCAGCATGCCAAAGTTCTGTACATTGAGGTATCATGTTCTGAGCCCCAACCCTGGCAAATATTCCAAGGATGTTTCAAAAGCCAGCAGCAGAAACTACTAATTGTCCCCCAGGATCTATTGTCTTTTTCTTCCTTTTAGTAACAGGACCCCATGCATAAATATGTTTTATAAGGGCTCATGAACACACAGCTACAGACTACATTTGTCAGCCCCCCTTGCAGCTAGGTTTACTCATGTTCCCAAGCTATTGCCAGTGGATTGTGACTAGAAGTGATGTGTGCAACTCTATGTCACTTCCTTAAAAGGAAATTGCTTACCTTCCATTTCCTCTGGTCCCTTTGCACATGCTAGAATTCAAACCTGGTGATGTTAAACCATCTTTGGCAATATGGATGAGGACAGTGCCCTGGGGACTGGTGAAACAATAAGATGAAGAGTATCTGAATCCCTGAATGTTCTTATGGAGTAGAGCTGCCTAACTACCCTGGATCCCACTACCTACCTCTGGACTGTTACATGAGAGAAGAACAAATTTTCGTTATCTGAGTCACTGTGTTCTAGGGTTTCTCTGTTTCAGCAACTCAATACTAGTACTGACTAGTACAGGGGAGCAGTCCCCTATCTTAGCATAGGATCAGAGAGAAAATAGTTCATCAATGGGCTGCTCTAATTCACAGCCATCATAGGTGCTTGGAACTTTCCCAAAACCCCATGAAACCTCTTGTGGAGACTTTAAAACATGGCTGCAAATTATTTGACATTCCTCCCATTGAGAGATGGGATCTATGTTCCTTCTCCTTGAGTCAGGGCAGGCTTGTGTCTGGGTTTTTTTTAGATGGAGTCTCGCTCTGTCACCCAGGCTGGAGTGCAGTGGTGCGACCTCAGTGCACTGCAACCTCTGCATCCCGGGGTCAAGCAATTCTCTTGCCTCAGCCTCCCAAGTAGCTGAGACTGCAAGCACACGCCACCACACCCGGCTCATTTTTGTATTTTTAGTACAGACAGGGTTTCACCTTGCTGGCTAGGTTAGTCTCAAACTCCTGACCTCGTGATCTGCCCATCTCGGCCTCCCAAAGGGCTGGGATTACAGGCGTGAGCCATGGTGCCTGGCCTTGTGTCTGTTTTGACACATAAAGTATGCCACAAGTGGTGTTAGTTACTTCACAGGCTGGGTCATAAAAGGTCATGCTGCTTTTATGCTGTTAGCTGGAACTTTCACACATGGAACCCTAAGCCACCATGTTTGAAGTCCGGCTACCCTGGGCCCACCATGCTGGAGTGGTGATATGGTTTGGCTGTGTCCCCACTCAAGTCTCATCTTGAATTCCCACATATTGTGGGAGGGACCGGTAGGAGGTAATTGAATCATGGGGACAGGTCTTTCCCATGCTGTTCTCCTGATAGTGCATAAGTCTCACAAGATCTGATGGTTTTAAAAAAGGGAGTTTCCCTGCACAAGCTCTCTTCTCTTGTCTGCCACCATATGAGATGTGCCTTTCACCCTCTGCCATGATTGTGAGGCCTCCTCAGTCATGTGGAACTGTGAGTCCGTTAAAACTCTTTCTTTTGTAAATTTCCCAGTCTCAGATATGTCTTTATCAGCAGCATGAAAATGAACTAATACAGTAAATTGGTACCGGGAGTGGGGTGCTACTGAAAAGATACCCAAAAAGGTGAAAGCAACTTTGGAACTTGGTAACAGGTAGAGATTGGAACAGTTTGGAGGGCTCAGAAGAAGACAGAAAAATGTGGGAAAGTTTGGAACTTCCTAGAGACTTATTGTATGGCTTTGACCAAAATGCTAATAGTGATATGGACAATGAAATCCAGGCTGAGGTGATTTCAGATGGAGATGAGGAACTTGTTGGGAACTGGAGCAAAAGTGACTCTTGTTATGTTTTGGCAAAGACACTGGTGGCATTTTGCTCCTGCCCTGGAGATTTGTGAAACTTTGAACTTGAGAGAGATGACTTAGGGTATCTGACAGAAGAAATTTCTAAGCAGCAAAGCATTCAAGAGATGACTTGCGCACTGTTAAGGCATGCCATTTTAAAAGGGAAACAGAGAAAAAAAGTTTGGAAAAATTTGCAGCCTGACAATGCGATAGAAAAAAAAAATCCCATTTTCTGAGGAGAAATTCAAGCTGGCTGCAGAAAGTTGCGTAAGTAACAAGGAGCTGAATGTTAATCGCCAAGACGATGGGGAAAATGTCTCCAGGGCATGTCAGAAACCTTTACGGAAGGCCCTTGCATCGCAGGCCCAGAGGTTTAGGAGGAAATAATAGTTTTGTGGGCCGGGCCCAGCGTCCCTCTGCTGTGTGCAGTCTAGGGACTTGGTGCCCTGTGTCCCAGCCATGACTAAAAGGGGCCAAGGTACAGCTCAGGCTGTTGCTTCAGAGGGTTGAAGCCCCAAGCCTTGGCAGCTTCCATGTGGTGTTGAGCCTGTGGGTGCACAGAAGTCAAGAACCTCCACCTAGATTTCAGAGGATGTATGGAAACGCAGGGGCAGTGCCCTCATGAAAACTTCTGCTCCAGCAGTGCGGAAGGGAAATGTGAGGTTGGAGCCCCCACACAGAGTCCCTGCTGGGGTACTGCCTAGTGGAGCTGTGAGAAGAGGACCACTGCTCTCAAGACCCCAGAATGGGAGATCCACCAACAGCTTGAACCGTGTGCCTGGTAAAGCCACAGACACTCAATGCCAGCCCATGAAAGCAGCCAGGAAAGGGACTATACCCCACAAAGCCACAGGTGCAGAGGTGCCCAAGGCCACGGGAGGCCACCTTTTGCATCAGCATGACCTAGATGTGAGACATGGAGTCAAAGGAGATCATTTTGGAGCTTTAAGATTTGACTGCCCTGCTGGCTTTTGGACTTGCATGGGGCCTGTAGCCCCTTTGTTTTGGCCAATTTCTCCCATTTGGAATGGCTGTATTTACCCAATGCCTGTATCCCCATTGTATCTAGGAAGTGACTAACTTGCTTTTGATTTTGCAGGCTCGTAGGTGGAAGGAAATTGCCTTGTCTCAGCTGAGACTTTGGACAGTGGACTTTTGAGTTAATGCTGAAATGAGTTAAGATTTTGGGGGACTGTTGAGAAGGCATGATTGGTTTTCAAATGTGAGGACATGAGATTTGGGAGGGGCCAGGTATCGAAGGATATGGCTTGACTGTGTCTGCACCCAAGTCTCATCTTGAATTCCCATATATTGTGTGAGGGACCCAGTGGGAGGTGATTGAATCATGGGGACAGGTCTTTCTCATGCTGTCTCACAATAGTGAATAAGTCTCACAAGATCTGATGGTTTTAAAAAGGGGAGTTTCCCTGTAAAAGCTCTCTTGCCTTGTCTGCCACCATGTGAGATGTGGCTTTCACCTTCCACCATGATTGTGAGGCCTCCCCAGTCATGTGGAACTGTGAGTCCATTAAACCTCTTTCTTTTGTAAATTCCCCAATCTTGGGTATGTCTTTATCAGCAGCATGAAAACAGACTAATAGAAATGGTCACATGGAGATGCTCAGGTCAGTAGTCCCAGCTAAGCCCATTCTTCAGTCACCCCAATCAGATGCCAAACATATGAGTAAAAAAGTCATCTTGGAAGTAGATCCCCCAGCCCTAACTATTCCATCCCCAGCAATTTGAGATACACCTAATTATAAGAGACATCTCAGATGTTATGAAACAGAGAAGAGCCCTTTGCCTTTTCTGAATTCTTGACTCACAGAATCCATGAGCATAATAAAATGGTTATTCTATATCACTAGGTTCTGAGAAGGTTTGTTACGCCTCTCCCTAGGAATGAAGGAAGAGGAAAATGAGTTAGAGGACAAAGCATAAAAATCCACTGTTCTCCTGATCACCCAGAAGCCAACAATTGGGATCCATCCTGAAAAGGCAAATGAGATATCTCCTGCATGACCTTCAACTTAGGTGATAGAACCCCAAAGTCTTCACTGGTTCACACCCGTAGACCTGGGTCCTCTGAGCCACTTTGGGGCTTGCCTTACCATATATAGCACAACACTGAGAATCCAGCTGTAGTGATACTCAGAAACTGACACCATTATTCTAATTTTACCCATAAGACAAACCTTTGCGAAAAAGGATGTCCTGCAGAGTGCCCTGGATCAGATGATCCAGGAAACGTCACTATAGAAATGCCAAGCATCTTGGTAGCATCAAGCATTCCAATTTCTATGGGGCAGTACTGCTACAAGGTTTGATTAATACTGGTATACCACTAGGCAACTTGGATTTCTATGACATCTCTCCTCTCGGAAGTGTGCTGGTGTGCAATAACTTGAGGCTTACAGTGAATTAAGGGCTGTGAACTTGCTGACATACACTGGCAGCCAGGATGGGATCAGTCCACAGGAAGAGAAAGAAAAGCAAATCTTCTTCCCTGCTGTAAATGATCCCTCTGCCATTGGGAGTTCTCAAGTCTTTGTTAACCCATGTTTGCTAAGACCCTTGGCCAATGTCGTTAAAACCAAATGCTAGTTAAAACCAAAACCCATACCCTGTTTAACCCATTAGTGGGTGTTCTTGAAATACAGTCTCGCATTACCTAACAATGACATGTTCTGAGAAATGTGTAGTTAGGTGATTTTGTCATTGTGTGAACCTCATATAGTGTACTTACACGAACCTAGATGGTACAGCCTACTACACACCTACACTATAAGATATAGCCAGTTGCTCCTAGGCTACAAACCTGCACAGCATGTTACCACACTGAATACTGTAGACAATTCTAACACAATGAACAGAAAATGTGCAGTGAAAATACAGTATTACAGTCTTACAAGACCACCCTCATATATGTGGTCTAACATTGACCAACACATCATTATGCGATGCATGACTATATATTATACAACTACAATTTTTAAAATTGTAAATGAATTTATTCTGAAGATCAAACTAGATTTGCTCAATACTCGGTAAGTCTTGCAATAGCCTTTGGCCAAATGCAGTAAAGACTAGACCAAGGTTTATTGATGGAATGAGAGAGCAAATGAGAAGAAGCTTTAACATTCACATAATTAGATTTTATTTAGAAATGCTTATATCTGTTAAAATCATCGTCAAAAGGTAGCTAATTTTGTTGAAACTTGACTGACAGAATATGCTTTTCCTTACCAAGTGGTTGAAGTTTAAAGTTTCCAATGCCCACTAGTAATCTTTCCTCAGCCCTGCCTCCCCGTGCCACCACTCCACCGACCTCTTTGCTGGAAAGATTCCGTGTTTAATATTTTCTTTCATTGTAAACTGCATGCCTATCAAGCTTTGGGACTCATTTCAATATTGATGTAAGTAAAGCAGATCTGAGAAATAAAGGCCCAAAGGCAATTCTCAAGAATCCGTGAAAAGGTAATTTATCCAAGGAACAGTTCATTGTTTTTTTCTTTGTTTGTTTTTGTTTTTGTTTTTTGAGATGGAGTCTTGCTCTGTCACTCAGGGTAGAGTGCAGTGGCATGCTCACTACAACCTCTGCCTTCTGGGTTCAAGCGATTCTCTGGCCTCAGCCTCCTGAGTAGCTGGGATTACAGGTGCCCCCCACCACACCCAGCTAATTTTTGTATTTTTAGTAGAGACGGGGTTTCACCATCTTGGCCAGGCTGGTCTTGAACTCCTGACCTCATGATCCACCCGCCTCGGCCTCCCAAACTGCTGGGATTACAGGTGTGAGCCACTGCTCCCGGCCAGTCATTAGAAATCATTAGATTTTCTTAATGCAGTGGGATACTTTCCAGATGACAAAATCCACTAAATAGACAACAGGATAGATTGTGAAATGCATAGTTCTAAATGATAGCTTCACATTAAGTGGGAGACTTTCAGTATGATTGGAACTGATATTATCTAGTACTCCCAAGGTGTTTGAAATGATACAGTCCAGCCCTCTATCCCGTGACTAGTCCATCAGTAAACTTTATCTTGAATATTTTGATTTTGAGTTCCACTGACACTCTCCCATCACTAAATATTACCTACATACTTCACACCCTTTAACATCAGCATTGAAATACTAAGATTTACAGAAAGTCCCTTTTGCCTTAGGATATTTCTTAGAGTTATAGATTCTCTTCCTAAACATCCAGTTAAGTATAAGGCAAGAACCTATCAGCTAATACCGCTTTCAAAATTTTTTAAAAGGTATTTTCCAAATAATACTTCTGATTTTACCAACTTATAACTACTCTGGAAAAATTACTTTCTTTTGCTTAAAACTTTAAAATGAAATTCCTTTTAGATATCTTTTCCTTTTAGATTATTTCTTATGACCCTTTAAAGCAGCAATCTGCAACCTATCTGGCACCAGGGACTGGTTTTGTGGAAGACAATTTTTCTATGGATCAGGGTGGGTCGGGGGTGGGGAATATTTTGGGATGAAACTATTCCACTTCAGATCATCAGACATTAATTAAATTCTCATAAGAAGCGTGCAACCTAGATCTCTCGCATGCGTAGTTTACAATAGGGTTGGTGCTCCTATGAGAATCTAATGTGGCTACTGAAGTGACAGGAGGTGGAGCTCAGGCGGGAATGCTCTCTTGCCCGCCACTCCCCTCCTGCTCTGCGACCCGGTTCCTAATAGGCTGTGGACCAGTACCGGTCTGTGGCCCAGGGGTTGGGGACCCCTGCTTTAAAGGTGAAGGGCAGAACAGGCTAGTCCTATATCTACTAATTAGCCCACAAACAGATTCTTAATGGAACCACAGTTAGAGCAGTAATCCTTATAAAACAGAAGGTTTGGGTATTAGTGCTGGGTTTACCCCTAACTGCCTGACCTTGGATGAATCACGTCACCTCTTTGGACTTCAGTTTCCTCATCTACAAAATCAAGGTCAAAACAGAAGATCTTGCAAGTTGTTTCTTTTCAGCACAGATATTAGTTGTGCTTGAGTATTTATAATTCTTTAACTCTTGCTCTAATGTGTGTGTCATCCACTTCAGTAATTCAACAAGCCGTGACTTACTGAGCCACTGCAAAATGGAAAACACATGCTTGACACTATACGTGATACTGAAGTGACAGATGCAGAACCTCCACTTGGGGAACCCCAATTTAGCTGGGAAGATAGGACCAAGACATGAAGTTGTATGATGTCACCACACAATGTACAAGTTGGCACCAGTGTCAATCTTTGACTGCTCAGCTGCAGATTTTGAAGGCCTCCCAACAGCTCACCCTTTCTAAACCAGGAGACAATGAGAAACAAGCTTAGCAATGTATTAAAGGACAGATCCTCACTAGTTCGGTATATAATCCTGAAGTGGATATCCTGAACCCCACTCCCCTGCCACAGACACCCATATGCCTTCAATTAAACACTGCACAATCCATATGATAGTTTTTTTCTACTCTGTTTTCTCATGAATTTTATCAGTTAGTGTGCAGGCTAAGGTGCTCTATCAGAATCCCACAAATTGGAGTCACTTAAATTAGAAGTTTAACTACTTCTAATGTAATAATGGTCCAGAAGCTGGTAGGGTAGTTCTATTGTCCTCTACACCTGGCTTGCATTTCTGGACCCAAGAGAGCTGTCTCAATTTCATACATTACTATGGTGATGGCAATGATGATGGCAAAGTGTGAAAACGGTGATGGCAAATGGTGATGGCAAAGCAATGGTGATGGCAAAGCAATGGTGATGGCAAAATAACTTGAATGCCGCAATCTTGAAGAGTCAGTATGGTGTTTAGGTAAAGAAATTATCGAGGGCTTTGAATTTATTTAAGTAACCAAAATCAAGCCTATCTCGGTGCTTCTCCCCACAATTGTGTAACCCAGAGTGTTTTCATAGATGTGTTCCTAATTTTCTCTAAGAACTTGTTGTTCTGCTGATGAAGAACATTTGAAGTGGAAAAGCACAGAGCCTCAAGACAGCAAAACTGGGGGTTGAGGGAAACTCCGAGGTAGTGTAAATGATACAACCATACTGAAATGCAGCCAAGAAGTTTGCATTAAGAGATTTGCTGCTGTTTGGGCAGAAAGAAGACTGATATTTGCATTCAGCCTCTCCTCATGTGTTGTGTAGTGGGATTGTTTTTAAGCTTGAAAATACTTTAACAGGCTGTTTCCAAGGTAAAAACTTAGAAGTCCCAACCTCTGTTGAAGAAGGAAGGAGGGGGGACAGCTTGTAGAGAGATGCAAATAGACACTTCAAAGTTAATAACATTCACAGTCCCTAGTAAGTCAAAAGGGGAAATGTGGAGAGAACAGAGGTAGTCATCTGCAACATTCAAAGATCTGGGGAAATTGGGTCTAGATGAAATCATCCTGATAGTGGAGTGTATCTTTTGGGGCTACCTCAGAGAAAAGGACATTACACCTTATAGCTCCAGACTGAATGTATGTGATAATGAATTCATGAGCTTGAGAATGTGCCTATGACATTTCTTCTACTATAAACTTAATACTTATATAAATGGGATGTTTTCAGAGCCACAGGAGGGAAAGTAAGACAGAGCAGCTCAGCAAGTGGAAACAAGCTGCTTACCTTACATATCTATATTTTTCTTTGTGAAATGGCATAAAGTATCCTGTTCCATAATCGAATTCCTTCAAAGTCTTTTTAAAGCAAAGTTTTCCCCAAATATTTATATGGAAAAAAATGTGCTTATAACCAAATAGAATGTAATTCTAATCAGAGTTTCCTCCAAACTAAGTTGGTCTTTCCAATACTAAGTTTCTTCTTCCAGTCATTAGAGTCAAGCACAAGATACACTGGTTTTTCCTAACCTCTGTATATCTAAAAAGCTTAAAACAACAACAATAAAAACATACACATACTTCTGTATTATTGATATCCTAATCAAATCTGTTTGTTCAGAGATCAAGCCAGATTGATACATTAAATGTTAACATAAAATTTATGATCATTTGGGCTTAGATTTACAAATCCTAAACTTGGTGATAAATATAAATTTATCTCACTTTTTGAGAGATTTATTTCCAAAAATTATATGATGAACATGTTATCTTAAATACTCTAACTGAAATGTGTGGTGTATTATCCGGAGTGAATAATTGCACCTAAAAACTGTATGTTCACAGATAGGTTTTCTGAAAGCAAGCTGCAGATGCACATAGAGAAGGTAGAAACTGGCCTCTGCCCCCTCACTCTGAAGCTCATGTTGAAGCCACCTCCCTAGATAGTGACACAGAGCAGCAAGCGTGCTGAAACACTAGCTCCTTTCTATTCCATTTCTCCATCCAGTGTTTAGCCAAGAACCACTTCTCAACAAAGTGCTTTGTTGCCCAAGCTCTATCACTAAGCACCACTGAGCCTCCAGCTGGGTAACCTCTCTAGACTTTCTCCTTTTATGTTTAAAGCGTGTGCTCAGAGGTGGACCCTACGCTATCAGGCTTCACTTCCACAGTATCAGGTTCACTGCGATTCTCTTTCAAGGCTGAAGTCACTGTAATAACCTACTCCAGAGATCTACTTGGCACTCAAGCAACTCAGAAATTTAAGGAACAATGCTTTCGTTCTGAGTACTGTGATTTTGTTTCAACAAAGCTCCCAGACTGAGCTCTCTTTCTCATTTTCAGGTGAGGAGGGCCTTGTGTCTCCACCATTTACAAATCTCAGATTTGAAGATTGCACATGAGTAAGCCAGGCTGTGATCCATACTCTCATCTCAGTGAACACTTGCTGTTTACAGAGGGCAAGCTGCTTTTGTGTGATTCAAAGCATTACTAATTAAAACCTGTTACCATCCTAAGGGCAGATATATTCTCCTCTGGAGCAGCATTTGTCTGTCCCATTAGCATTAATGGGAGTAGCACAAGTGCATCAAGAGGAGAATGGTCCCCTTGGGTCTTTGAACTTAACTCTACTTCAAAACTGAAACCGATATATACAATGGTATCATTGATGCCATTAAAAATCATTATACTTTACTGCAACTTTTATAAAAGTAATTGTAAGCTTCATGAAATATACTTGGCTCCTGGGAGTTGTGCATTATTAGGCTGCGACTGGACATGATACAGTAAATTACACTATAATACTTGAAAAATATTTTGGCCAGGGGAATTTACTAGAGCCCAGTCCAGCTTATGCAGAGGTCTATGTTCATAAAGACAATTAGCTTGGGTAGATTTGAAAGGCACATGTAATTCTTTGCTAAAATTTAGGGAAAGGTCTGGCAAAAGATGCAACTTAGTGTCTATGTTTACAGTAATATGTCTTAATGGGCTGCTATAAAATACCATCACCTTGTGTCTCTGTAATATTCTTCATTTGCATAGTCTTAAATGCTTTACTGGTATTATAGAGCTGATGTTCCAATTATTTGAGAGAGAGAAAGAGGAGGCATTTTTTTCCAGACTGTGAAACTGAGGCTTAGAGAAGCCCCGTGGTGACCAGGGTGAGGGACGAATAAAAAGGGAGGATTCAGGTGTCTACCTGACATGCCAATCTAAAGGATTAAACTAGTGGAGAGCCAGGGCAGGAATGGCCTCCATTTCCAAGCTAGAGGCCCTGGTCTGCATAATTAGCTGTTGCATTCACTGTCATGGGATGCAGCTGAATTTAACGGCCTGGATTGGTGACCTCATTAGCTATGAGAACATGAGCAAATTTAACAGTTTCCTAGTATGTAAAATAGAGATTACAAAGTACCTATTTTGTGGGGTTGTTCTGAAGATTAAACAATTTAATGCACATAAACCTCTAAATAGTATCTGGCACATAGTAAGCACTCAATAAATGTGAGTCATCCTCGTTAACCTTTAAGCCAGCCAGGGCTGTGTTATCTATAGGGAAATAGTGCACAGAGAAGGTTGATTGGCAGAGAGAACCACATCCTTTACTTCTAATCTTCCCGGAAACCAGTTCCATGTTACTCTATTGCGTCACCAAAGTCCCATGGGCTTAGAGCTTCAGACCCTCTAAAACTATAAGTTGCCTGGGAAAAGCAATGCATCATTCCCAGTGTCTGACATGTGTGCCACAATGCACTTAACTTCATCAGGTCCTTTCCTGAGAATAGAGGAGACAGATCGTGTTCCCTGGACCCTGCAAAGAAGGGGTGGACCAAAAAGCCAAGGTTGGCACCTACATCCTAGCCTAGAGCCAGCTCTGACCTCAGGGTTGTCCCTGCTGGCCTATATATAGTTAGCCACTGATTCCCTCACTAGTAAGTTGTGTCTGCAACTTCTGAATCTGCCTAGTGTCACCCGAACCAGAACTCCAGTGGTCTGAGGTCTTTTCAGTAAAGGAACATTCGGTCACAGCTCTGGAGGTGCTGCAGGCTGGAATACCAGGGCTGCCAGAAATGCTTCTTTCCATTGTTTCGTGTGTGTGGCTGCCTGGCCAGTCCTGGGACAGGAAGAAGAGTACCAAGGGAGGCCTCTCCTGTCCTTTAAGTCCAAGCAGTTAATTTGTCTTCTCTATCCTCCCACGCCATTCTACTGAGCTCTAACACATCTCACATTTTACTGAAATTATCTATGGTTTTGTCCACTGGACTGTAAACTTCCAAAGGAGAGAGACGACATTTTATTTATCTTTGTTCTAGTACAGTGCCAATATTAGTGGACACTCAAATATTTATTAAATACAAAACTTCTTGGCAAAGGAGTTTGCCAAATCATCTCTTGGAACCATGAGTTTTAAAAGCACTCCCACAGTTCTTAATTCAGGTTCGAGTATTGTAAGTCTATTCCTCGGTGTTCTTACAGGAGATTTGATTTGCTTCAAAGTTGCCTTCAGATTCCTTAGCTATCGAGCAATAACATAAATGCTACATTGAACATTTTTTTCTTATTTTTAAATGTCAGCAAATAATAAACTAAGCTTGTTTTTGCTTTTTAAATATAATGAAAGTAAAATGAGACCACCAGATCAATTTTGCAGATTATTTTTATATCTCTGGGATTTAAGCAAACTAACAAAAACTGTGGTCCCCAGAAAGCTTAAGAAGAGTTTGAAACCACAGACTTAATAAGTTTTTTTTATAACTATTTAGCATCTCAATTAACCTTATCAACTCTCTTTCATTCCACTGGCAATTTTCTGACCTCCAAGTTGAAGACTTGAGCCCTGAATTCTGCTCATGGGTGAGTAATCACAGCAAGCCCATAGCAGAACCTATCCTCAAACCACAAATATATCATCTTCAGCATTGTAAATCAAAGCCTCAAAGAGCATCATTTAGCCTGCAGCTAAAATTGCTTGTTTATCAGATGGTGCCTGGTTTAGCGTGGAGCAGTCCCTTGTAAATCTCTGGGACCTTTTACAGCATATACTTAAGCAAGCACATCGCCTCCTGGGAGGCTTTCTAAGAGTTTTAATGACTGTGGGCTGCTGAAAGATCCAGGCCTTGGTTTAGCTAAAGTGGCTAGGGGTACAGTTTGGCTCCATTTTGTAAACTCACAAAGATAAGGCGTCTGCCTGCTCCAAAGTGAGAGTGAGCATTTGTTTTTCAGGAAATCTTTATATCCAAAGTGTTAATGTTCTTGTGGCTTTGGCTATTTTGACCTTTTGTCTGCTAACTTTTGATTTACTGAGGGAGAGAGTTCTTTTTCTAGGCTTTATTGCCACTCTGGAAAGACAATGAAATGCATGTGATTCTGCAAAATTACATGAAAAAAACTGATTTTGGATTAACACTGTACACATCACACACAATGGTAATGGAGTCCCACTCCCTGCCCCCACAGCCTCTCTTTAGTTACATTTAAAAGTAAATATGTGCCCATGCTTCTGCCACAGAGCAATTAATGTGTCCACCGCAGACCCTGCTGGTGACTTGCTCACCTCAGCATTTTCTTTCTAAGAAAGAGAACAGTTTATAGATTCTGGCCGTGTAGCTAAAGGTAGCAAAGGGAAATTGTCCACCAAATTCCCATTGGTTTAAAAACCTAGCTACTTGCTGAAGTCATGAATAGCTTATTGACTGAATGTACCACCAAGGACCCCGGCAGCCCACCAGCTACTTTACTGATAGACAGTGGAAGAGCCCTGATGAAATTCACTAATTAAAGAAATCTTTACATGGTTCTTTCTTATATACCCCATCTCTTTGATACAAGTTAATTAAAGTACTCTTCAAAACCTTCACCTGACATGGAAAAAGTTCCCTAGAGAGTTGGAGGAGAAGCAAAGCACATTTCAGGGGCTCTTCACTTGTTTTCAGGCAATGATAAATTGTTTTCATGTTAATTTTATAGCTACCATGGTCTAGGTTTTGAAAATCAGCCTATTTTTCCTAATACCGTGCTCCCTTCTCACAAGCCAAAGATTAATGTTTTTGCCTTTGCCCCATTAACACATATTTTTAGCTTTTATGACAAGTATTGTATACTTATCCTCAGGAGTCCCCAGCTTGAATGCCCTTCATCAGAATGATGCCTAGTGGGGAACAGCTTATCTGTAGTAGTGTGCTTGTTTGGAAAACAGTAAAACTACTAGCAAAACCCTCCAAAATTAAAAAATAAAACACAAAACATGCTTCCTGAAAATTTACTTTATATATTTATTCCTCCAAAACCAGGTCCGAGAGACAGTTTGTAATATTCAGACAAATTAGAAGACAGATGATGCTAGTGAGTTTTTGATTTTTTTTTTCATAAAAGGTGGTATAGTACCATTCCTCTTTCCTGGTGACCACATTTTTAGCCCCTACTATAACCCCTACATGGCAAGGTATATGATAGGAGAGGCTTCTTGGAGTATAACATTACACAATACTTATTTCATTCATTAATTTTATGCAAAATAACATTTATTGAGCATCTATTATGCATGATGCTAGGCCCTGGGACAAAATTTTCCTATTCTCATTAAAGCATCTAGTCTAGTAAAAGAGTGCATCCATTAATAAAATAATAACAAAAAATGTGAAATCACAATTTGGGTAAGAGCTATGAAGAAGAGATACAGAATACTGCAAAAGAAGACTCCACCTAGTTTAAAAAGTCAAAAAAAAGCTCACCTGAGAAAATAATACTGGAATCAGAAACATAAATGAGAGTTATCTAGGCAAAGAAGGGAGGAAAGAACATTTCTAACAGGGAGAATAGCATGTGCAAAGGCCCTGTGGAAGGAGGGAACTTAGAGGAGGCCAGTCTGACTGAAGAGGAAACCTCAGAAAGGAGTATGGTGAGTTTGAGATTGGACCTTACTTCTTAGTCCATATTAAGGGTTTTGCATTTATCTTATGTGCAATAGGAATCACTGAAGCATTCTAAGCAGAATGTGATTCTAAGCAGAGTAACATACCCAAGGCTGCATTTGGAAATGATCGCAATAGCTACATTTAGAAAAGATTGCAATAGCTACAGGGTAGAAAAGAGATTTAGGGCAGCCAGGACTCATTCTGGAGAGATGAGTTAAGAGGCAATTGCAAGGACAAAGGTGGTGATGTTGGAAATTAAGGGAGAAGTAGACAGATTTGAGAAATATTTAGAGATAAAATCAATAGGACTTAGTGAGTGGACATCCAAGGTGATAGGAAAGAGAAGTGTCAGGAATGACTCCTATGCTTCTGTTGTGCATAACTGAATGGCTGGTGGTGTTATTTAGTATCCTTGAGGAGACTGGAAAAGGACCAGGTTTGGGGATGGTAAAGAGTTTGAGACATGGTAGATTTGAAGTGGCTCCAGAATATCTAGAAATATTAGGTAGGCATTGGATAAACTGGCGTGGAGCTCTCAGGGCTCTCTGAGCTAGAAATATAAATCATGAGACGTCCATGTGGGGATGGCCACTGAGGCTAAATGCATTAGTTTCTTAGGGCTGACATAACAAATTACCACAAATATGGTGACTTAAAACAACAGAAATTTATAGTCTAATCATTTTTGAGGCTAAAAGTCTTCAGGAACACTATTGCTTCTTCCAGCTTGTGGTGGCTGCCAGCAATCCTTGGCCTTCCTTGGCCTGTAGCTGCATCACTCCAATCTCTGCCTCTGTCATCACATCACCTTCCCCTCTTTTGTGTGCCTTCTCTTCTGTCTGTGTTTCTCTGTTTGTCTCTCACAAGACACTCTTCGTTGAGTTTAGGGCCCATCTGTATAATCCAGAATGGTCTCACCTTGAGATCCTTAACATTAAATTACATCTGCAAAGAACTTTTTCCCAAATAAGGTCTCATTTATAGGTTCTAGGGGTTAGGATATAAACGTATGTTTCAGCCCACTACAGCATGCACATGCTAATAAATGAGATCACTCAAGGAGACAACAGAGTGGAAAAAGAAAAGGGCCTAAGACTGTGCCTGGAGGAATTCTAATGTTTATTCAGTGTGCCATGTAGAATTCCACTGCGTAGCAACAAAGGCCATTGACTAAAAAGTTTCTTTAGAACCATGCATGGTGGCTCATGCTTGTAATCCCAGCAACCTGGAGGGCCGAGGCCAGAGGATTGTGTGAGGCTAGGAGTTTAAGACCAGCCTGAGCAACATAGCAAGATCCCATCACTAAAATAATAAAAGATAAAAATAAATAAGTTGAAAGTTCCTTGGAAGTCTGAGATCATTATCAATTAAAAACTCCTGAAGTTTTCCATCTATTCATCATTCTCACCCGTTACCCACTTGTTCAAATACAGCCCCCTAAAATCTCTTTTCTCATATTCTTCTGCCCAGTATACTTAGCACTCAATTAGCACTCTCACTGATTGCTTTCTAAATGTTCGGCATGCATTAATCTTAGTATGCTCCCTGTGGACAGGTTCTGCATATTCTATTCCCTGGTATTTCCCCACGGCATTCAGTATAGGACTGGTCACATGACAAATATCCACTAGATATGTGTTGATTAGTAAGGGCTGTATTAGTTTTGCTATTATTATAATTAGTTTTCTGTTATTAATTTTCCAGTATTGCTATTAAATCACAATTTAGTGGATTAAAACAACATGAACTTATTACCTTATAGTTAATAAATCAGAAGCCCAGCGTAGGTCTCACTGCACTGGAAATCAGTGTGTGGACTGGACCAGGTGTGTTCCTTTCTGGAGATTGTAAGGGATAATCTGTTTCTTTACATTTTCCAGCCTTTGGATTCCTGCAACTTGCATTCCTCTACTTGTGGTCCCTTTCTCTTTCTTCAAAACCAGCAAAAGCAGGTCAGGCTCTTACATCTCAGCACCCAGATATCCTCTTCTAATTATTTGGAAACTTGTGATTTCATTCGACCTACCCTGATAAGCCAACATACCTTCTCTATTTTAAAGTCAGAGAATTAGCAATCTTAATGCCATCTGAAACCTAAATTTCTTTTGCCATGTAGGTAACAGTTCCACGGATTAAGATATGCACATCTTGGAGGAGGGCAGTCATTATTCTGCCTTCCTCAAGTTCATTCAAACTTACTAATTAAATTACACGGCCAACATGTTGGCCTTTGAACATAGGCTCTCAGGAAACAGATATTTCCTTCCCACTTCCATGAGCAGGAAGACTTCTAAACAAAAGAATGAAGAATGATTGCTTGACAATGACTAGTTATCAGACAGCAGAGAAAGAACAAGTGCTAACAGGGGGCTCCTGGCCCAGATTGTAGCTGTCTACTGAGCCTCCGTCTTGAAAACCCTGTGCCATTCAAGTTTCCTCAGCATTTACCACAAAGCTATGTGGTCAGGTACCGAGCAAATACAGTGACCATAAGATTTATCATCCTAATCAGGACACCATTAACAGTGAAAGGGGTATAACAGGTGTAAGCTGGGTGTGTGGTCACCCTAAAAGAGGTAGAGAGTGCAGTCAGAATGAAGAAAGTCCTTTTTACCTGGTAGTTAGGGCCAGGAAGGGTGAAGACTGTCTCATTTCTGCATGAGACACTTCTTTTTGTCCCTGGTCATTAGTTTGGGATCAATTCAGACACATGTGGAGTGCTGGGGTCTGGGACAGCTCTGCTCTGAGAACTGTCACCTTGGATTCTCCTTGCCTCACCCGTCAAAAGTTCAACACATTGCAAAATGCTTCTTTGCATTTAGATAGTGTCTTGTCTTGTCAAAGCACTTTGACACATTCCTTTGAAACTTCACAATAGTTACATGAGGCAGGACAGGAAGATGCACGTTGACCTTTCCATTTTGCAGAAGAAGAAGATGAAGCTGGATGCAGAGGAGTTGAGTGGCTTTCCCAAGGCCACAGAAATGTTTAAACCTGGAATCCAAACTACCTCAATCCTGGTCACAGTCCAAAGTTCTTTTTCCCACACTGCCATACTCTGGATGATTGATATCACCCCGTATTTGTAATCATATTAGTCAGAAGTCTGGAAGAACAAGCTAGCTTGCCATCACCTTCTCAAGGGCCTACTTGAGACTTCTGAGTCTTAAAGGAAAATGATATAAACATTGAGATGTCCTCTCTCCAGTTTGACTTTCAAATGGGCTAAAGAAACATTCAAAACATGTGTTCTTTGCCCTCTAGCTACTCTGGAGACAACTGTTCCCAACTCCATTCTCTAGCTGGTGGCTGCAGCAGCATCTTTGAATAAGGACAATGACACTTTTGATATATAAAATGTAATTTGCCTTCCTTTCATTAACAAACACTTTTCCAGAGAGCAAATTTCATAGCTCAGACAAATGTGAAAGTATTGCCTATCTGCCTGTGGATTATATAAATCTACACTGTCTCCTCCAGCAGGAGGTGATAAGAATTGATGGTTGTAAAGTGATACAAGATTAGTAGCACATTATAAATAAAGCTACCACTTTTTCATCATATAGGTTTAAATCAGGAGAGAAGACATAGGAAAAAATTTTATTCTGCCCTTAAAGCAACCAAATTTGTAGGTTTGAAAAGCAAGGAGCATTTCCTTCCATTGATTGTTTCCAAAATGCAAAAAGGAGGGGTGGTCATGGAGGGTGCCAGGGACTAACATTTAGGTTACGTTAGCAGAGTCAATAACTAAATTTGTGAGGACTGCTTTGCCAACATTGGAAGTTCAAACCGGGAGGAAGGGCTTGTAGGAAGCAGAGGTGATGTTGCATAAGAAGGCAAAATCAGACCAAATCTCTTAGTATTCACTGTTCACTGCCAATGTTTCCATTCATTCATACAAGACATATCCAGTGAATGCACACTGTGTTCCAGGCACCATTCTACATCCTAGTCAAAAAAAAAAAAAAAAAAAAGAAAAAGAAAACACCACTTAGAGTTTTTGAAATAGAGGGAGTTTAGAAAATGTGTCCAGTTGTGAAGAACATGAAAGCTTAATCCAAAATAATCAGGTCAAAAAATTCCAGATTCTGGGAAATTGTATAACGCCATTTGTTGGAGAAAATGTACCTGCAGGAGAGACTGGAAGAAGAATGGCCAGAGCTCTGGGTTCAAAGACAGCTCTGTCACCAGTCTCTGTGGTCTTATCTCTAAGAGGGGCGCGTACCTTCACAGTTTCACAATGACCCTCCCAGGCTGGTGTTTAAAGATTACAAGTTGCGGCCGGGCGCGGTGGCTCATGCCTGTAATCCCAGCACTTTGGGAGGCTGAGGCGGGCGGATCACCTGAGGTCCGGAGTTCGAGACCAGCCTGACCAACATGGAGAAACCCCGTCTCCACTAAAAATACAAAATTAGCCCAGCGTGGTCGCACATGCATGTAATCCCAGCTACTCCGGAGGCTGAGGCAGGAGAATGGCTTGAACCTGGGAGGTGGAGGTTGCTGTGAGCCGAGATCGTGCCGTTGCACTCCAGCCTGGGAAACAAGAGCGAAACTTCCTCTCAAAAAAAAAAAAAAAAAAAAAAAGAAAAAGAAAACACCACTTAGAGTTTTTGAAATAGAGGGAGTTTAGAAAATGTGTCCAGTTGTGAAGAACATGAAAGCTTAATCCAAAATAATCAGGTCAAAAAATTCCAGATTCTGGGAAATTGTATAACGCCATTTGTTGGAGAAAATGTACCTGCAGGAGAGACTGGAAGAAGAATGGCCAGAGCTCTGGGTTCAAAGACAGCTCTGTCACCAGTCTCTGTGGTCTTATCTCTAAGAGGGGCGCGTACCTTCACAGTTTCACAATGACCCTCCCAGGCTGGTGTTTAAAGATTACAAGTTGCGGCCGGGCGCGGTGGCTCATGCCTGTAATCCCAGCACTTTGGGAGGCTGAGGCGGGCGGATCACCTGAGGTCCGGAGTTCGAGACCAGCCTGACCAACATGGAGAAACCCCGTCTCCACTAAAAATACAAAATTAGCCCAGCGTGGTCGCACATGCATGTAATCCCAGCTACTCCGGAGGCTGAGGCAGGAGAATGGCTTGAACCTGGGAGGTGGAGGTTGCTGTGAGCCGAGATCGTGCCGTTGCACTCCAGCCTGGGAAACAAGAGCGAAACTTCCTCTCAAAAAAAAAAAAAAAAAAAAAAAAAAAAAAAAAAAAAAAAAAGATTACTAGTTGCTATGGCCGGTTCTGCTCATGGAAAATAGTGTTAGGAGAAATGGAGACCTACGTGATATAGAGAAAAGGGGACTATACTTAAAGATTTCAAGCAAAATGGTAAGTTTACTGGCTAACATGAAAAAGAACCAAATCATGTCCTTTGCAGCAACACGAGGCAGCTGGAGGCCATCATCCTAAGCAAATTAATGCATAAAATAGAAACAAAATATCCCATGTTCTCACTTATAAGTGAGAGCTAAACCCTAGGCACACCCAAACATAAAGATGGGAACACAGACACTGGGGACTCCAAAAGGAGGGAGGGAGGGAGGGGTAAGGCATACAAAACTTCCTGTGGGGTACCATGTTCACTCTCTGGGGACAGGATCAGTGGAAACCCAAACCTCAGCATCACACAATATACCCTTGTAACAAACCCCCACATGTACCCTCTGAATCTAAAATTTAAATTTAAAATTTTTAAAAAAGAATACAGGGAATGAAATAATTAGAATTGCCCACAATTAGTCATTTGTTTTATCTTATAGTACACACACAACAGACTCAGAATAAAAATACTAATCTACTATCAATAAGATTACTTAAGACATTAAAATAAATCTTTCTGCATATGTCAAAAAATAAGTTTGTTGGCTAAAATGTTTGAGTATTAGGATATTTAGATCTGGTGTATTTAAGCATCAGGAGGCTTATTATCTTAAACTGGTTCATACACAGTTCCAGCCCTAAATATACCCATAGCTCTTCCTCTTTCAAAGCCCGAGTTAACATCCTGCACCACAATTGTTCCATCCATGCCTCACCCTCTCTGGTTTTGCCTCTGTTCCTCCATGCCAGAGAACAGCTCATGAGTTGTCTGACGAGCACCTTTGAGTCTGGTCCTGTGGATTGTCTTCCCATTCCTGGCACGCCCCACATGACTACAGGATTCTGGTACTTTCTCTGTGCTGTTGCCTTTGCTCCCTCACCTCGCCACAATTCTGTCAGAGCCCTCCCCCTAATTCCCACTCATTCTTCAAGTCCTTTCTGCCCCTCCCAATCAGGACAAATCCCTTTGCCCTGTGGTCTCTCCCTTCTCTGACAGCCCCCACTTGCTCGCTTGTTTTCATTGGCTTTATGTCCATCTTCCCACTATACTAGAAGTTCTGTCAAGGCAAATGGCTCCAACCAGCTCTGCGTGTAGTCCATAGCAGCTGCACACTAGTCATGGGATGGAGTTCAGTCTGTGATAGGTGCCGCTCCTTTGTATTCTCAGGAAACCTGTGCTTAGCCCTGTTACAGCACATGCACACACACAACAATGTAGTCACCTTACTAGTCATTTTCCTCCTCTGAGGAGAGAGTGTATCTTTCATCTTTGTGTCCCTACTGCCTGCCCAGGCAACAGATATGAAGTAAATTCTTTAAGCCCAACATTAGTTCTTAAAAACTATGATTCATTCTGTGCTCATCTTAAGCAATAACAGTTGGCTTAACTATCAGATGAAGTAGGCCAAACATAAGCCATCTCTAAACTTAAGCCTTTCCATTCCAAAAGCTGGCACTATTATTCTTAATAGGACTGGACTCAAAGTGTGGTGAATGGTGCCCCCAAGACTGGGTGGCTCAGAATCGGTGTCAGGCCAAATTCTGCCATGGTGGCTGAATTTGATTCCTTATTCATCTGGGACTCATATGAAAAGTGCACATGCAAGCAGAAGAACTTTTTGGACACCTGCTCTGTGCTAGCATCATTTGTATCCAGAAGAATAAACAGTTGGTCTTTCCCACGCAAGTATTAAGCTTGGAAGACAGGACTAATCTACAGTGAAGGTCTGAAGCACAGGAAACATCTGAATACCATGTAACGTGCTGGAAATGAGGGAACGGCCATCATTTAAGTCATTACTGTGACTCTATAATGCCTCTGGGGAGACTGAAGAAATCACCTCTCCACTCCCAGGAGTCTTCTGTTCATGGTTTCAGCCAGGGGACTCCAGCTAATGCAGCTAATTCAGTTCCAGAGAAGCAGATGCAAGGCATTTTCCTCTCCTCCACTAGCATGAATTTGTTGGCCTTCTGATGTGGCCAATACTTGCCTTTAAAGTTAGCTTTCTAAAGAGACTTTATTTTACCAACCTTTGAAGATTTTAAAACATATATTTTCAAAATACAGTGATTTTGACAATGTCAAGTGTTGGCATGGATGTGGAGCACCTGGAACTCACATTTCTCATGAGAATACACAATGGTGTAACCACTTAGGAAAACAATTGGGCAATTTTTAAGAAAGTTAAACATAAACAATCCAGCAATCTCACTCCTAAGAATTTAACTAAGGAAAAAGAAAACATAAAGACTTGTACATGAATGTTCATACCAACACTATTCATAATAACGAATCTAGAAATAATCCAAATACTCATCTACAGGTGAATAGATTGTGGTATGAAAAATATAAAGGAACAAACCTCTGAAACACGCAATAGCACAGATGACTTTCAAAAACATCAAGCTGAGTGAAAGAAGTCAAACACATATTAATACTGATTTTATGATCTATTTACATGAAATTCCAGAAAAGGTAAAATCAATCAATAGTGGCAGAAAGCAAATCACTGATTGCCTGGGTGGGGTCAGGGCTGGGTGTTTACTGGGAAGCAGATGATGGAAATGTTAATGTTTTAATTATCATGGTGGTTATGCAATTATATAAAATTTTCAAGATTCATTTCACATTATATTGGTATTGTATGTAAATTATGCCTCAACAAAGTTTTGGGGGGTTTTTTAAAGAGTGAATTTTGGCTACCTTTAAAAAAGGCCTTTTAGTTTATAATTACCTTAGGACCAGAGATAATTTTTTAAAACTGAACAATAAATAAAGTCTGGGTCTGGAAACCCCCATTTATTACAGAAAACTTGCCTTTTGTTGTTAATGATTCATTTCCCACTCATCAGCTTTAAAACACGGCTTCTTTGGCAATCTAATGTTGAATAATTATCAGGAATGTGACCCAAATGTTTCATAAAGACTTCTCTAAAGAGTTATTGTAAAAGGGAGAGTTCCATTTATGAGAATATGAGTGAAGTGGAGTCATGATTAAAGGCGTCACATTGCACTCCCACATGACTGACAAGTTGGTACATCTGCATGAGTGATTCCATTCAGGAATTCATTTCTCTAGGAAATCTTCAAGAGGAAGTCATTGAACTGCCTCATCAATATTTAATCAGGTGGGTTCTTTACCTAGTTGATTGATTGAGTTCCTTTCAGGGAAATTCTGTCTTTAAATCACAAAACACCATGTTTTAAGAATGGTGGATGAAATTTTGCATGGTAGTTTTTATTAAGAAAGGCAAAATGCAGAAGTTAACAGCATGGGCTCTGAAAATATAGCTGCCTGGTCAACTCTGGGCTTCTCTTCTTATCAGTGATGTGACATTAGGCTACATAGTTAAACCCTCTAAGCCTCTGCTTCCTCCTGTGTAAAATGAGAATATAATATAGATATGCCTATAGGATTACTAGGTGGTCTCAGCGAGATATTACATTTAGCATGGTGCTAGGTACATGATTATATCCTTATTTTTTATTATTCTATTTATTAATTATTATTGTTAAAGAACTCAGAGTACTTCACAGATCATCCAAGCTTTAGCAAAGAATAGGTGACATAATGACTATTTAGCTACAAGAGAAAATGAAGAGAAACATATTATTTGACTTATTATGGGTTACATTAATTAATGAACCTAAGTCTCTGGGCTTTTCCTTAAACAGTCTGTCATTCAAATATTCAAACTTTGTTTTAAACATATTATTAAAATGAATATTAAATTAGCTTCACGACTGAGGGAGGAGAATCGCTTGAACCCAAGAGGTGGAAGTTGCAGTGAGCCAAGATCGTACCACTGAACTCCAGCCTGGGCGACAGAGTGAGACTCCGTCTCAAAAAAAAAAAAAAAAAAAATAGCTTCATGATCCCACACACAAAGCAGGTGACAGGGAAAGAAAGGTGACTGGATGTTTCAGATGGAGGTAAAGGAAACAAACAATCCTGTTTGGTTCAAGGATTGAACCAAGTTTGAAAGAAAAAAACTGGGGGAATACCTGAATAGTAAATACTTGAAGAGTAAACCGTGAAATTAATTTGATTAGTGAACTACTGCTTGGCACCTCTATCTCTCCTCCTGAAACATTCCAACCTCTTCCTGTAGAGTGAAAATAGACCTTAAAGTTGTATCTAAATGTGTCCATTTCCAATCAAGATATAGCACTGACCTAGAAAAGTAAGCGATTAGTAATAATCTTCTGAAATGTTAACAGGAGTTGCATTTTTATTATTATTTAAATGTGAAGCTAACTTCACATTTGGCAAAGCTAACTTCCTACCTGTTATACTTATGAGCCAATTGTTCCCTAAAGGCTCAGTCCATTTCTGAGTCTGATACCCACTGGGATTCTAGTCTTTATGAATCATGCCAAAGCAGGTGTATGTTTCAGAGGAAGGTAAAGGAAATGGAAACAATCCTGTTTGGTTCAAGATTTCCCTAGAGAAAATGTTTGCCTGATCATTTAAGAGTGGAAAAAAAGCATACTATTCTGCTGCTTTTAAACAAAGAATAAGAAAGCATAAAAATACCCTCTTATGTGTTTCATAATTTTTTCCTCTGGTTTTAGGATTGCTTGCAAAATCCTTAGATAAAAAAGGGAATTCTGTTAGAACGCTTATCAAAGATTTAAAATTACACAATTTCAACAATGACAAAAAAAACTCCCTAAATTTAGTACAAGTTCCACAACAGGGAAAAATCCAATTGGTAGCAGAAAGTAAATAGGTTTCTTTTCATTAAACTAGTCTTAATAGTAGTTATGATACACTCTACACTCTCTTTTGGTTATGCAATTTCCATTCTTGCTGAAATTTGGTAAATTTTTCTACATGAAAGTTGTAAATTTTCGTTCATTTAAGAAAACTAAATTCCAGAAACTGCCAAATGCCAGATATTGATCTCTCTACATTTCTCTGCATTCTACACTCTCAGCAAAATGAAGTTCTTTCAGGTTCTCTCTCATAGCCATTTGACAGTCCTATTTCGTCTGCATGGACCTCTCTTCCACCCCTCTTCATCTAGCTAATTCACATTCTTTCAGGATGTCTTCCCCACATACCCTGACCTTCTGCCTGTGTGGGATTGGCCCCTTCCACAGGGTTCTATAGTACCCTGTCTTCCTCCAACCAAGAATGTACCCACCTCTTGTGTTATATTCCCTCCAGAGAGCAAATTCTGTTCATCCTTAACTTCCTGCCACTTGCAAAGACTTTTCAACAGTTAGTACATTAGTTAACGAATGCCTGGCCCATTAACTTAAAATATACTGGTCCTTTTGACAGAACACACCCTGCCACCTCACCTGCGACAGTTTTGCCAACTCCTCCAATCAAGTTGTTTAGTGTCCCCATGCTTCTGGAACTGTTCTCTCCATCACCTTTAGTCCTATTCAATACTAAACCCGTTAACTGGTTTATCTCACAGATGTCCCCAAATTAGAATACTTTCCCTGGTCATGGATTTTTCTGGGGAGGGGTGCCAAAAAATCAAGAGCAGATTTTGTAGCCTGACTCAGAGATTACTTTGCTTGCTTTACTTTGCATTGACTTGCTCCCTGAGTTCCAGTCAACTACTTCATTAACGAGTTCATCCAAATGGCTGATTTATGAAGATGGTAGTATTGGGGAGCTTGGGGGTGGAGAAGAAGAGGTAGCAGCAGAACTCTGAATAGGAAAAAGTCTTCTCTTATTCACCACTCTCTCTTCTAGCCACATACTGGTGGCCCTGCCCCACGGCCTGTACTAAAAGTCTAGGGGTTGAACCATGTTTTTATAACATTAATTCTGTGAGGGAAAAATGATCCAGGGTTTAAATAATTGACTTCTAAATTTACTTCTGGAACACAGTCTGCTTCCTGTATAGAAATGGAATAGAATGGAGTGTATGGAACGGAATGGAGAGGGATGGGCTAGGATTGGTGAGGCTAGGATAGGATAATATAGGATAGGAAATGACTCCAGTACTTGCATCAAAAGTGAACTGTTAGGGTTCCTCAAGGAGCAGCAGTACAAGAAATAGATTTTATAAACCACCACTTTTAGGTAGCACTAATATCTGAAGCATGTTGCTAAGTTCTTAGTGCCTTGAGCACAACAGGCCCTTAATGTAAAGTTGTTGTCATAGACAATCAATAGGCACTATAAAAGGCAGTGCAGAGTCCCCTGAGTACCAGCGTATATCCTATCTACAGTTCCTTTGCCTGGGAACACTAATGGAAGTCAGAGAGTGAAGAAGCAATGTTCAAGCAAATGGAGCAGAGTTTTAAAGAAGGCAGTCCAGAAATGTCTGATCTAGAAGGGTCTCTGCCATTGCCCCTTTCCCTCTCCGCTGGATCGTGTCTGGGTGGTCTTTTCCATTTGCCTCCTCTGTACTAAGAATCTATAGCTTCATCCCAAACTTCCTTCCTGCTCCCACATTTATGGTTATCAGCACCCTCCCTGGGCTCCCTTGTTAGGGCAGCAGCGTAACTGGCATTGCTTTGCCATCCTGATCCCTCCCTCCTCTGTTCATCCCATTTTCAATCTGACACCGTGTTCTGATGACTTCACCTCCTTCGAATCTCTTAAACCCCAAACGATTGCCTCCTGAGGTACTTAGCCATGTAACAGCAGGTCCTGGCTTCTATCCTTCGAAGTCGCTTTCCTTTGGTATATTTAAGGGAAGGTGTTTCTTTTCATATCACTTTGGAGTCAGTCAACCTTGCTGCCTGTTTCTCAGCTATTGCCTGGCTCCTAACTTGCTCCTGCCCCTGCCTGGGGCCTCTGCTCACATTCTGCTGGTCACTCCTGAATTTCCAGAACCTGTGCATTTCCTAAACATGCTGGCCCAGAGGAGGAGTGATGCCTAAAGCCTGAATACCCCCCTCATCTTCTCATCCCAAGCCTACACATTGCCCATAATTTCGTTCCCCAAAGCACCACTCACACCAGCCAATGTATATAACAGATTGTTATATACATTATTCCAAAGTATAATGAAATACTTTGGAATAATGAAAGGATGGATGACACATTCAGCACAGGTCAGCAAACAACTCAAAATTATACAAGTCACCATTTGTCTGGGAGCTTACCCCTGCTCCAGGGAATTTCTGACTCCATCACAGCCAACACACAGCATTCTTAGGGCCCCGTCCCCTTCTTTATACTGACCACAGCCCAGTCTCCCACTGCTCCCCTATGTTTCAGGGTCCTCACAAATGTCATCTTTCAGTGCCAGAAGAAAAGAAATAGTTCTTGTGATTTTATTGTGCGAACAATTTAATTAGACCGTTTCCTGAAGGGGCCTACCCCTTCTAGCTGATGAAGTGCCCCAGAACCCTAGAAAGAGACGCTGCTGCAGTCATTTCTTCTTTAAAGTAATCTCTTTGTTTTCTTTTTCTGCATGTCTTTCTTCTCAATTCTGCCAGACCCTGCGTCAGTCCAGGCTCTCATTACTGTCACCACTTGGCTGGCTTGCCTGTCTCCCATTTCATTTCACTGAGCCCCCCTCGCAGTCCCATCTCCCACTCTGACACAAGATTCGTCTTTCAAAGTCCAACATGTCATTTCCTTGTTCTAAATCTTCAACAGTTCCAGCTCCATTGCAGAAACATCTTAGCCTGCATGGCTCCTGAGGCTGTGACTTGGTTCTGGAAGCCCTTGACTCCACTCTTATTAAGGTCCTGATCATTTCCCTAACAGGTCACAGGCACACCTTCTTGAATTTGCACGTACCCTCAAGAGCGCCATCTCCTCCTTCAAAATTCAGCTCAACCCTCACTTTCTTTGTCAAATGCTCCCAGGGCCTCATCAGGATTAGCAGCTCTGCTTTGCTGCAGGACCATTGCTTACCTCTATTAGTTTCTAGTAAATGGCTTAGACCGATTTGTTTATGTTCCTGCCTTATTTACAACACACTTTACTCACAAAAGGAAGACTGCCTTTTTCCCCTTGGATACCCTGTGTCCTGCACTGCACTTACCATAAAATTAACAAATGTTTGCTGGGTTAAATAATTGATTTATTTATGAATAAATAATATGGAAGAGTCTGGAAACATGAAGGAGAGTTATAATTGACCAATTTTATTCCCTTTGTCAAACTCCACACAGCTAGAGGATGGGAATAAGAAGGACCTGTCATTTGGTCCTACTAGAGAAGCTGGAAGAAAGAAAAAAAGTAGAAAAGAAGGGCTTGTCCTGATATATCTCTATACTCATTCCCCAGTAGAAGGAATCTGAGACGAGCTGGACTCAATTCTTTGTCTAAAGAAGAGGTCTGCTTGGAATACTTTGAACAGGCTAAATAAAATTTGCAGAATATGGGTGAGTAGTTCCTTACAGCCCGTGTGTGAAGCAGCTTCGTGATTCTTAAAACCAGTCAGTGAACATGTTTGATTAGCATAAAAAAAGAGCAGGAACTGCAGTATCTTTTTTTTTTTTTTCTTTAAGACATTCACAGAGAGTAGCTGTAGATGCTACCAAGCCCCTCATGCTGCCATCATGAAGAGCAGCCTTGGTGCTTTCAGGTGTGCGGCATCAACACACACACACAGGCACACAGAGGGGTGGGAGGAAAGAGAAAGAGAGATTAAAAACAAGTAAATGGAAACAGGGAATTTAAAAAAACAAAAACAAAAACAAAAACAAACTCTGATTCAAAAAGCACATTCTGGACATTTTACTTCATCTGCCACACAAGGTGACTGATAGAGGGATGGGTGGTGTGGACACTGGGGCGTCAGTTCCTAGGGGCTATTTGGAAGCTAGTCCCAGGGAAGAAGAAAGAAAGTCAGAGTCGGGGGACAGGAAGGGGGTGACGACGGCAAAGGGTGATGAGCACTACCTGAATGGCTTGAAGCTTTCCTGAATCACCAAATTTTCCTTTTTCTAGCATGTTCTGGCTTTGTAAAATCCCCAACGGTGAGAATACCATATTGCAAAGCGTAACAGATCGATCAAGCACCCAGCACGAGGACCGCTCCATGAGTTTACGGCCCTAATGGCTGCCTCACAACAAAATACACATTTAAACAGAGCACATGAGTCATAGCCGACTAACAAAAGAACCACCCATCTGTGCACATTCAGGAGAAAGAAGCTCGCTGGAGAGCGCTGATGTGGACTGAAGCCTTGTCATGGGGCTTTCACTGCAAGTGGAGCTGAAGCCCAGTGTCATCAACTCTAACTCAAATTTCCAGAGCTGAGATTATTCCACAATGTTCTAAAGCCAGGCAGAGGAAGTGGTGGTGCCAAGCTTTAAATTCAGTCTAAAGGCCGTCCAGCCAGGGCTTGCGTGCCAATGGCACCACACTGAATGATAATCCTGTTGGCCAGGACTCTCAACCTACTTCCAAATCATGTATTAAAACATTCTGATGACTACCACATAATTCATCTAGATTCATTACAAGAATTATAACAATGTCTGTTACTCATGTATAAAATGTTGTGATGCTAACTCAGCAATAATAATATCCAACATTTATTAAACACTTGCTTTAGACCAGAAGTTGAGCTAAGTGCTTTTACATGTTTGACCTCTATTAATTCTCAGAACAACACTAGGAAGTGGTTTCTATTTTATTATTATCCCCACTTTACAGAATGAAAAACTAAGGGTTGAGAGGCCCACTCATCATCTCTTATTCAAGTTCATCACTCTTACCCAAGGTCACATAGTCAGTGAAGAAGAAGGGATTTGAACTTCAGAGATCACACACACATAACCTCCATAGCATTGGTTAAAGGAGATGGAACCTGGGCTTTGAGTATCCTAGAATTTTATTCCCCAACCAATGTGGTGAGTTCTTATATACACAGGGTAAGGTCAACAGTACACAGCTCCTGCCTACAGGAATCTTGCATTCTGGGTTCACTCTGGTACTCCATTCTAGAAAGCAAAGGGGCAGTAAGAAGTTGAGCCTGAAGTTCAGCAATGGAGCCATGTGAGCTTAAACAAAATGAAATGGTCTCTGGCTTACTACATTCTGGTCCCACATTAAAAGCACTGTTGCTCACTGAAGGAAACATTATCCACGTGTTTCTGATTCATTTACACTTAAGTCATCCCAGTCTCGGTCTGAATGCATATGGCTTCTAAAAGGCTTTTTAACTTTCCAAGAGCCTTTTAACTTGTCTTTCTTCAAGTTATGCCAAGAGTAAATGGGACTAGATTGTCTTAAAATTTTTAACTTAGAAATCAAAATGTCTGAAGAGGCCAAAAAGGGCATTCTCAGCTCTAGAAGGGACACTTCCCAGGCTGTAAGTGTAAGAGCTTGAAGAATTTAAGTAATGAATCAGCCCTTATTAGAGTTCAAACTCAGAGAGGACTTGTCTGAAAACCTTCATGTATAGATTATGTTTGATCTCTTTTTCCCCTCTAAGTAGCTGTCACAAATTCTTCACAGCATATAGGAGTAATGATCAACTGAGGTTTCGGTCAGGCTTTTCATCATCCAACCTGAAGTATATTGAATGCATGCCTCACGTATTGAGAGAGACAAAGGAGGCGGGTGTGACTATTGTAGGAGCACAGAACTAGAAGATAAAGAGCATGTGAAGAAAAATCCACCAAACTCTGTTGTGACAGTCGGCCTCCAACACCCCATTCACCTCAGGAACACAGCACAGCACTAGTTGCTTTATGTGTCATATTCGTGGGCATCCGGGTGGCCTGAGGCTTTCCACTCAGGACATCAGTCACTTTCAGTCTAACATAAGCAACTGAGTAGCCCGAAAAAGCCATTGTAATCCCAGAAGTCTAAAGCAATGTAAAATCTGTGGGCTTCGTGGTTGCAGAAGTTCTGGTGAGGTGCTCTCTGTGGATGGCCGAAGTTAAAACATCTTTGGCCAGGTGTGGTGGCTCATGCCTGTAATCCCAGCACTTTGGGAGACTGCGGTAGGTGGATGGCTTGAGCCCAGGGGTTGGAGACCAGCCTGGGCAACATGGCAAAACCCCATCTCTACAAAAAAATAATTACAAAAATTAGCCAGTCATAGTGGTGTGCACCTGTAGTCTGGGAGGTCGAGGCAGCAGTGAGCTGAGATTGCGCCACTGCACTCCAGCCTGGGAGACAGAGTGAGATCCCATCTCAAAACAAACAAACAAACAAACAAACAAACAAACAAAACAATGTATTTAACATGTCCTTTGTGTGGAAGAATAACTCTAAATGTTTTTATTACTATAACAAGGGGGTCTCCATAGACGAAGGCCTCCTGAGCGGGTTGGATTTGGGTTAGACCTTTTTAATGAGAAGGCATATGGTTGGACGTACGTTTTGTAAACAATTAACAACTTGGGTGGTGATTACAGCAGGGAGCGAGCAGCTCTCAAGGGTCCTGACAGTCTTCTAAGCACATAAGGCACCATTACAATACTAGCTCTGGAGAGGGAAAGAGCATAGGTGTCACCTGGGATGCTAAGGCATTGCTGCTTTTCATGTTAATTTGATTTTTTTCTGGAAATATAAAAATACATGAAATCTTAAAATTCTTTTCCAAAGTAAATTCTTTTAAAAAAACATATTTTTCTACTAGAATGAAATTCAAACCACTTTTTATTACAGGCACCTCTGGAAAAAAAAAAATTCATTCACCACATTCATCCTTCTTTTAAACTGGCAGGTATTTGAATGGTAAAAATGGTCCCCAGCTGGAGCTTCTAGAATTAACTCCTTTTTGTCCAGCCTTACTTCCCTTTAGAATCAATATGAAGTGAAAACAGACTGATGCTAAACCCAAAGAACCATTGGCCCCTGAACAATAAAATAAAAACAGTAGGGAAAAGTGAAGATTGATAGCTTACTGCGTACTCCAAACAAGATTTCCTAGGTTCTTTTCCCTTCAGATTCCTGAGGCTTAAAAAATACCATATCTCTTTCAAAGAACTGTTTAAGAAATGTTAACCAACCCTTCTAGTGTTCTAAATGGGAAATCCAATACCATGTGGCAAACTTTTTGGAGATATTTCTACATGAGATGATCGCTAGAAGGGAATCCATAGCTTATAGCCAGACTAACATGTGACTGGGCAAATTACTTTATGTCTCTTGTATTAGTTATCTATTGTTGTGAAACAAATTATCACAAACTTGGAAGCTTAAAATTATTATTCTAATAATAATAATAGCACTTATTTATTCACTTTCTGTGGGTGAGGAATCCAGTCCAGCTTAGCTGGGTCTTCTATTTCAGGGTGTCTCTCAAGGCTGCAATCAAAGCATCAGCCAGAGCTAGGGTCTCATCTGAAGGCTCAACTGGGGAAGCATCCACTTCCAAGCTCACTTTTGTAGTTGTTGGCAGAATTTCACTTCTTTAAGGGCTGCTGGATTGAACGTCTCAGTTTCTAACTACATGTTCACAGCTTAAAACCTATAGGCTTGTTGTTGCAGGAATCCTGTTGAGACTCTCTTTGTGAATGGCAGTGGTTAGAAAGTCTCTAAAATGTTCTTCTGCATGAAAAAAAATAATTGTATTCCTTGACACATGAACATCCCCAACATGGCAATTTGCTTCATCAATGCTGGCAAGGGGAGAGAATCAGCTAGCAAGGTAGAAGTCACAATCCTTTGTTGCCTAACCACAGAAGTTATATTCTATCACCTTTGCCATATTCTGTTGATTTTGAGCATGTCACTAGGCCAGCCCACATTCTAGGGGAGGGATTACACAGGACATAAATACCAGGAGATGGGGATAACTGGGGGTTATCTTAGAATCTGTCTACCACATCTCTGTAATCTAATTAATCTCATCTGTAAAATGGGAATAATGATCCCTACTTTATCAAATTATTGATAAAATGTGTAAAGTTATGTGTTTATTCATATAAAGAGATTAGAAGAGTGCCTGACACATAGCAAATGCTCAGTAAATGTAAGCCCCTGCTATTATTTGTTTGATATTTATTTTTCCTACTATTTGATTGTTACGTGTGAGAAGCCATGCTCTTCTAGCTTCCTACTGGCTTTCTCCATACACTAAAATAAACAGTGTGTGGAAGGCACCAAGGCATGGCAGCCCAAGCTCACTGGCATAAATACCACCCAAACTGGAATCCAGCTTCCTCCACGTTATCCCATTACCAATCTAACCACTCTGGAGTGTCAGGTAAAATGAAAGGAGATAGGGAAGAGGAAAGAGGCTTTCTGGTTCAGACAGAAGAGATAATTAATGCCTCATGACCTGAATCTAGATCTCCTACAGCTACTCCCTCAAAAGCCAACTTTATTTATTGACTCTAACCTTCAAAGAACATCATCAACTTTCTAGTTCTCAATATTATTCTGATCATAAGTTTATCAAACATAACCAGAATTACATGACCTATGGGCCCCAGCACTGTCTTTGTCTACAGTGCATTTAGGAGATGTGTCTTGCTGCTTTAGCCTCTGCATGGGAAAAGAGTGGTATATTTGGTGCTGATGTGCCCCTTTTATGAAAATCCACCGCTCAAAAGTCCACACTTTAAATCTGGGAAATGGAGAGTGTTTACACACAAAATGAACACATAGTTATTTCCCTTTGCAGAAGGATTCACCTTCAGCTTCCCTCACAGAGTGTACTCCTTTAAGCATTTATGTGTTTAAAGATTAGTTCAGTGACTTAAGGAAAAGAAGCCAAAAATTAAAGAGTTGGGCACTCATACAAGTGCTGATCAGATATTAAATAATCTCTAGAAGTCATGACATAAAAGGAAATAGTCTTCTTTTGTACACAAATCCATATGGGAAGTTTATCCTACTGTATTTTCCTGCATACGCTGTAAAATCTTAAAGGAAAACAAACCATGTTCCAGGCACTTTTGAAACCCTGGCACCTTGCAAAATGCCAGACACAAGGCAGGCCCTCCAGATCTGCTTGTTGAGTAACTAAATGATGGAGTGCCTAACTGATTGGTTGTCAAACTGATTATTGACTAACTGATGTTGTCAGAAAGGTCAAAACTGCTGCTTTTAAATAATATCACTTTAAAAAATGTAAACGTATTTATTAGCTGATCAATAAAGACACGTTTCAACAAGTGGTGTTGGAACAATTGGCCATCCATCCATATGCAAACAAACAAACCTGAAGCTCAGCCTCACACCTTATACAAACAGTAACTCAAAATGTACCATAGATCTGAAGGTGAAATATAAAACTATTAGGAGAAAATGAAGAAAATCTTTGTGGGTTGGGGTTAGTTGAAGAATTCTCAGAAATGTTAAGAAAAACATGAGTTATAAAGTAGATAAATTAGACTTCATTATGATTTAAAACTCTTGCTCACTGCAAGTCATTGTTAAAATGAAAAGACAAGTGATTAACTGGTAGAAAATATTTGCAAATCACATATCTGACAAATAACTTGTATTCAGAATATGCAAAGGATTAAAAAATTCAACAATATGAAAACAAACCAATTAAAAATTGGGCAAAGGATTTGAGAATAGATTTCACCAAACAAGATATAAGTACATGAAACAATGTTTCAACATCATCAGCCATTAGGAAATGCAAATTAAAGTCATGGCTAAAATAAAAAATGCTGACAATACCACCATCTATTAGAATGGTTAAAATTTAAAACACTGACAATACCAAGTGCTAGTGAGGATAGAGAATAACTGGAACACTCATACATTGCTGGTGGGAATCCAAAATGATAGTGCCAGTGTGGAAAACAGTTAGGTAGCTTCTCACAAAGTTAAATATATGCCCACCATAAAACCTAGCAGTACTACTCCTATTTACCTTAGAGAAATTAAAACTTATGTTGACACGAAAACCTATAAACAAATGTTTCTGGCAGCTGTATTTATAATTGCCAAAAATCAGAAACAACCCAAATGTCCCTTAACAGAGGAATGACTAAACAAACTGCAGTACATCCCAATGATAAATTACTCCTCAGAAATAAAATAAAATAAAACTATGGATACATGCAACAACTTGAATGAATCACAAAGGCATTATGCTGTATGAAAAAGTACAGTTTCAAAAGGTTACTTACTGTACAGGTTTATTTACATGACATTCATTAAAGGACAATAGTGATTCTATAGTCTATAGAGTAGACTACAGTAATGGAGAAAAACTCAATGATTGCCAAGTGATGGGGTGAGGTGAGGGTGTGACCAGAGCCTGAGGAGAGATTTTGGTATGATGAACTGTTGTGTAATTCTGGGTAGTGGTAACACAAATCTATTTATGTGTTTAATTCATAGAACTCTACACCAAAAAAAAGTCAATTTTACTGTATGATAATTTTAAAATTAAAAACTTAATAATAAAGATGGGTATATCTGGCTTTACATAGACAAACTTCACAGCCTGATCTACCTCCTGACAACTTCTTGTATGAAATTAAAGAGTTCCAGTTTTAAAAAGCATGTGGCTAGCAGCCCCTGAAATAATCTGTCCCAGACCCGCTTTAAAATACATGAGAAAACAGAGAAAAATGGTAAAACTCACCACAACACTGAGAACAAGGACTACCAGCATCAGTGGCAGAATCTGAAAATACTTTCCCTATGACCAAGGGAAACGGGTTGAGCAATGAAATTTGGGGCCTTCTGTGTAAGCACATCTCAAAATAGGTGGGGAGATCTTTCATCCAGTTCTACTATCTCCTGGTCATGTCTACGCAAACAAGAAAACTGAGAAGCTATTTATTTGCTGCATTAGTGAACTACTTGACAGCCAGAGTGCTGTTCCAATCTCATCGTTGCCAGTCAGATACCACAACCTTCAAAAATTAACTACTTGGCAATGGGGTAGCCAGTAGGACTGGTATATGTCATTAGGACAGAGGCAGGTGTAGGAAGGACCTAGTAGACGTTCAACCTGGGGATTTTGATGTTCCTTGACACTGTTCACAGTGCCAGAGAATCAGACAAAGAGATGAGGAGAGAAGCCCATCTTATTTTAGGAGAACTGTACTAGAGTAGCAGGTTGGTCTCTGGAAACTGTGCATGTCTTGGAGGTCAGATCCATGATAGGAGATGTGAGAGGTGGACATGACCAATACTCTCCAGATGCAATAGTGAGGCAATGGCTGAGGCTGCCTTACTTGTATCTTTGGCTCCATCATTTACTAGCTGTGTGACCTGGGAAAAAGTTATCTACCCTTTCTGTGCCTTCGATTTGTCATACATACAGGTTGGTGCAAACGTAATTACTTTTGCACCAACCTAATACAAAGTGATAAATAGTGTCTATCTCATGATAAGGAGTCAATATACTAAAGTTCGTGGTCATGAATATTCCTCCACTTTGTACTATTTTCTCCCACAGTATCAATTTTTTCCTCTTGCTCTTCTTTAAATGAGAGGAGATTGATTTAGGGAAGGTATATAAAAACAATTCCAAACATCTATTTGATACAGTGCTACACCAACCATCTCATAATCAAATTACTGAAAAAGAGTGATAAAAAGAAAATTTTAAAAGCAGCCCAAAAGACCAAAAAAAGGACACAGTTCATACAAAGGAACAAACATAAGAATTATAGCATACTTCTTGTCAGAAACTATGTAGGCCAGAAGAGAATAAAACAATATTTTTTAAGGGATAGGGGAAAAGTATCAACTTTGAATTCTGTAACCAGCAAAGATATCTTTCAAAAATTAAGGTGAAATATAGACTTTTTCAGACAAACAAATCTGGGAGAATTTATTGACATCAGGTTTCTAAGGTCCAAAGAGCTTCTTTAACAAGAAATGTTCATCAAGCAAAACAATAAAAAATAAATTTAAAAAAGGCAACAAATGGAAATTTGAATCTACAAAGTGTTGAAGAATGTTTGAGTAGGAAATATGTGGATAAATATAAGAGACTTTTTTTCTAATTTTTGATCTCTTCAACATGTAATTGACTTTCAAAACAAAAATAACAATGTATTGTGTGTTTTAAAATGTATATAGAATTAAAGTGGATGACAATAGAGCCAAAGGCAGGAAAAGAGAAATGGAAGTACATTGTTGTAGGAACCCTATACTACATGTGATGTGGTATTATTTGAAGATAGATTGTGATAAGTTAAAGATGTATAATGTAACCCTTAGAAAACCAATACAAAAATAAAATAAAAGCATATAGCTGATAAGACCATCATGAAGATAAAATGAATATAATAAAAGTAATCCAAAAGAAGGCAGGAAAAGGAAAAAAAAAAGAAAAAAACAAATAGCAAGGCAGTAGCTTTGAATCCAACATTTCAATAACTACATTAAATGTAAATGATATGTAAACACTCCAATTAAAAACTAGAAATTGGATAAAAAGCAAGACCCAACTCTATGCTATCTAAAGAAAGCAATTTTAAATATAAATACAGATTAAACATATAAGAATGGAAAAGACATACCAAGCAAATACTAACCAAAGAGAGAAGTGGCCACATTAATATCAGACAAAGTAGACTTCAGAACAAGGAATACTCATAGAGATAAAGAGGGGCATTTTATAATGATGAGAGGGTTAATACACCAAGTTCACATAACAAACCTAAATGTATATTCATCTAATAACAGGGCTTCAAAATGCATGAAACAAAATGATTGAAATGGAAGAAGAAATAGACAAGTCTACAATTATAGCATACAGTCAGTATTCAGTACATGGTAGCTATTATAATTATTATTAACATTATCATCCATCTCTGACATTTCCAAAACAAGATTCAAGGCAGGAATGCCCCACAATTATTTAACAGTTTCCTGAAAAGTCTATCCAAAATATCATGAGAAAAACAAAAATAAGAGGCCTAAGCTATTGGAATAGAGGAGATAAAATTACCATTATTTCTAGTTGATGTGATTTTATGTTTAGTAACTAACAACAAAACAAAACCAAGAAAAGCAAAATAACTAAGAGGTATTAGAATAATAGGGCTCAGTGAGGGAAACTATTTGAAACTAATTACATTTCAACAACTTCATGTATGCTATCAGCAACTAATTGTAAATTACAAATAAAAAGAAGATTCTATTCATAAAAACAATGAAAAATTTTAAATTCCCAGAAAAAAATCATAAGCCCTCTATGAAAAAAATTAAAATCTTTCTTGGGAACTTTTTTTAAGAGTAAACATTGATGGTGACTAGAGTGATGAATCTTCATGTCTTCCTACAAACCTAGTCTGAGTCTGGACCTTGAATTCTTATAAAACCATATGGAGGCTCATAACTCCCTCATTACCTTGCAGGAAGTTTCTAGCATTTGAAGAGAGATGCAGAAGAACCCATTCATTATTGCATCCAGCACCCAGAAAAGTTCCTAACACATAGTAAGTATTCAAATAATATTGGATGGATGGGTGGGTGGTTGGATAAATGAAACAAATGAATGAATCTCTAAACAAGTTCCCAAACTATGCTCATCTCTCTTATATCTGGCCTGGGTTCAAAGCAAATGTAGAGTTCTGGATCCAGAGAAAGTTCATGATAATTGACTTAATCCATCCTGTACTTGATTCAAGAGCAATTCTAGGATCACTGAGTTCCCTCCAGACAAGAATAAATTGAAATAGATACAGATTTTTTTCCCTTATGATTGAAGGAGGGAGTTGCAACAACTTTCCACAGTTATTCAACACAGTATTTACTGAGAATTTATTTTGTTATTAGATACTGGAAACACAGCAGGAAATGCTTCTCCTCTCTTGGGGCTTCAAATATGTGGAAATAGACATTCAACTAGCAAATAAATAAATGAACCAAATACTTACAGATAGTAAAACATACTGTGTAGACACTAATAAGGTAATGAAATCTAACTAGAGATTTAATTTAGCAACATGTTTTCTTCCCTGACTCATCCTCAAGCTCATGCCTGTAACCAGTGCTTTTTTTTTCTTCTTATTGCCTTTTTCTAATTGCTGGGCAAGTTACTAATTTTTTTTGTGAAGGGACCCTGTATCCGGAGCCATCTCAGACTATCATTTTTTCTTCTTTATGGGTATCATTCAATGACTCCCAAAAATTCTGAAAGCATCCTAGAACAGCCTGACATTTCTATTTCAACAAGAATATATAGGCAGTTTCTTCATATACAGGGGTGTGTAGGTTTTATAATTAGGAAACCAAGGAAGAATGCCATCAGCTCACTTGGTGTGTTGCTGTCCATTTACTCACAGCACCGAGAGTGGTCAGCCAGATGGGCGGGAACCAGTATGCTGTTTCTGCTATCCAGTACACCTTACCAAGATTTCACAGAACCTCTGACTAATACAGCAATATTGATTTTATCTAAAGGGAATTACTTTTAAGAAAATTTTCTCCTAAATCGCCCTGGAAGATGCTCTCTTGTTTAACCAAATAGTGTTGATTAAAAGGTTGAAATGAATGCTAAGTGAGCTGTTTTGTTTACTAGTGGAAACAATTATTTCTTCAGCCCTCGCCTTTCATCTCCATAAATTAATGCTCTTTTCTCTGTGCTTCATTGACGGCTGGTGAATTATGCAAATATTTTTTCTGTAAGAAATTAGATAAAGTAGTCTCGAGACTTCTTATAACAAGTCATTATAAAGAATGGCAAGTTAACAATTTGATTTAAAATACTGTTCTCAATCTAGGTTGCCTAAGTTCAAATGTTTTAACCTTTAAATCAATTATCTGAAACCAAATTATATTTGTAAGTACATGGTTATTCTAAAGAAATTAAGTCATTTTAGCATTTCCTTTAATAAGAAAGTGATTTTAGGACATTATAGAAATACATCATTTCAATAGTTACCTTTCTACTACCAGTACTACTGCCTCCAAGATAGTGCCATTTCACCCTGACATCACAAATGAAAATAAACAAATATTTGATTAATTCACATAGTGTGCCTTTTTCACAGTAGGGGTGTATGTATATTAAGACGGTTTAAAAGTCAAACCTCAGCACTGCACAGTTATTTCAAAAAAAATCAATGAAAACCAAATGACTCACAGTAGCTCACAATTAAACCAAAAACTCACTTGTGCCCTTTTTCCCACAAAAGCAGCATTTTTAAATGCAAATTGTTCAATACTCTAATTGCTCCAAGAGCACTTCTGATTAGCAATCTTAATCATGTTCTAGCGCCTTTTCATCCCAATTTCCAGGATTTTGTTATTATGTGTCAGCATGACTCAAGGGAAAGCCCAAACCCTGGTCCCACCAGACTGATACAACCTAGATTGTAAACCGAGTGGTTCTCAGCTCCAGGCCATCCCGTCTCACTTGACCCCTCTCTACTCAGAGCAGGAAACCAGCTCGGCTTCCCTTGGCAGTAAGGGAATGAAGTGCATTGATTGCTCGTGATTATTAGCTGGAGTGGGATGAGCCTCCTCCTTATTATGCAGATTAGCGGAGCTCTCAGTCCCAGCATATTGTGCAGATGTGGGCTAGCAGCTGCTCCTACAGATGGCAAGTATACAACTCCATTAGGATGGATCTATTGTCTGCTCCTGGCTTGCATAGAAGCTGGGGCAGACTGGGCAAAGAGAAATTGTTAAACGGCGAAATGTAAAGGCGCACACACTTTTAAAAATCTGCACCCAGGAGACTCTTTACACAGCAGGGCCAACAGCACTCAAATTAGAAATCTACCCTAAATAAGGACTTTTATATGTCACAATTAAGCTTGTGTATTTTTTAAAGCAGATTAACCATTAAAATTGAGTAGCATAATTCAAATTTTGCAATGCCATGCTATTAAATATTCAGAGTATAAACAAATCCTAAGAGATTCATTCAGAAATTTGCTCTACATTCAGTTCTTCGGGAACCTTGTGTTTAGTTAGTTCCCTTTAAAGAGGCAAGTTTATTTTCCATAGCATCAAAATATGATAAGACACTGAGCTTCCCTTGTTAAAGTGTTTGCTTTGGGATAGTTTGTCCTTTTAGAGTTATTGTTTATTCTGAAGAGCATCAAAGTAGTTAATTCAAGTTTGTCTGCAGCAAAAGTTTGCATATAAGGATCCTTTCTGAATAAATATCATTTAAATCATTGGCAACTAAATTACATTGTCTGCTGCATAATTTTGGATGTGGTATAAAATAATTTGATTGCCAACTAATTGAAGAGATTAAGTTGGGTAAAGGATAAGTTTTTGTTTTGTTTTATTTTATTATAGCTAATGTTTGTTTAGATCTTCCCCTAAAATTTAACAATGAAAAAGACCCCTGGCTAAGAGAGAGTCTAAAGGAACAGAAACTTCTAGAAAAATGGGAGGGGACTGCCAGAATGTTACAAGGAGTATAACTCAAACTTGTTACCAAAATAAACATAACTCTATTAAGTACGGTCTTTAAAAGTTCAAAAGAGTCAAGTTTAGAGGTGAACGCACAATAGAAAAAAAAGTGATGACCTACTCAGTTACTCAGACTAACTAACGTAGACAGGCAAATAAAATAACTTAAAAGCACATCAAGGCCTGGTGTGTTGGCTCACGCCTGTAATCCCAATACATTGTGAGGCCGAGGTGGTCAGATCACCTGAGGTCAGAAGTTCGAGACCAGCCTGTCCAACATGGCGAAACGCCATCTCTACTAAAAATACAAAAACTAGCCAGGCGTGGTGATGTGCACCTGTAATCCCAGTTACTCGGGAGGCTGAAGCAGGAGAATCGCTTGAACCCAGGAGGCACAGGTTGCAGTGAGCCGAGATTGTGCCACTGCACTCCAGCCTGGACGACAGAGCAAGACTCCATCTCAAAAAAAAAAGAAAGAAAAGAAGTACGTTGTGTAAATGTCAGCATCAGTGTTACATGAGAAAAGATTCTACTCCAAATTGCCAGATTCCGACAGAACAAGCACTGTTCAGGGCTTTGCAGGGAAACAGAATCAAAGCAAAAAAACTTGTCTCCATTCTCCTGATTGAACCATAGAGTAAGTGGCCAGTGGCTGAAAGAAGAACCAGGATTGGATCAAACAGGTTACAGATGATCTGGTGGGGAGGATATGGCCCTGGAACTTATGCTGGATGTCTGAAAGATCAAAAATAACCGAAAGCAGATGCACTTCAGGAGATAAAGTGTTAAATGGCACATCCTCAAAAGGCAACTAAGAGTTAGGAAAGTGGAATCCCTGCAACCAAGGCTGAAAATAGATTCCTCTTCCAAAGAGGATTCAAGCCTTTGTGGACAGATTGCCTAAATATAGCCAAGATCAACAAAATCACAAAACTTCAAGAAGTCCAACCACCACTATAGAGAGAACACAGCAGAAATAAGCTCCGTGACTACATTAATCAGGAATTCAACAACACATTGAGAACACACAATTACAAAATAGTAAACTTAAAACAGATTGAAATTATGATTTTGTAAACTGAATGTCTTGTCAATACATAACATTTAAACCTAAAGTTTAAATCATCTTGTGAATCCATTTCAGTTCAACACATCTTTTTTAATAAGGAAGCTCCATGAGTCTAACAACTTGTTATATTCCATGTACTGCTGCATCCACAGCACACTGTAAAATCTCTTACATGGATTAGAATAGGCACTCAATAAAGGGCTGATAAGTGAATATGTCCACACATTAAATAGTGCACATGGAATAACAGACTAAGTAATTACATCACAACATAGTAAGTCAAAAATTCAACTACACACCATACAGAGTTGGCAGAGAAGATTTTACTGGGGAGTTGGGAGCCACCAAACACTTTTGACAGAGTTTTAAAGAGTAATCAAAAGAAGAATGGACATTCTGAGGAAAAGCAATAGAATATGCAAAGGCACAGAGTGTGAAACATCAGCACAACTGCAAGTAGTGCCTCATGGCCAAAAAATTCATTCTCCCATAGCTGAGGAGAATAGGGGATGCAGGCAGAGGATACACACCAGGCCAGGGTGAGTCATAAAAGAAGGAAGCCAAGGTCGGGTCTTAAGCAGCCTTGACTATGTCATGCCAAAGAGGAGCCTGAACTGTAATACAGCATACAGAGTTTTAAGCAGAAGCGAGACACAGTCAGATTTGACTTAAATTTTCTCGGTTACATAAATACAGCCCATTTAATGATCTATTACAAACTCTTTAAATAGATTTGCTGTCTTTTCTGGCAATTGACAGCCCTTGGTTTCAGCCTTCTGCCTGTGGTCTGACCTTTTGTAGGACATCATCAAACCTAAGAGCACTTTTTCCTCCCTCCAGACAAATCTGGCTGTCATTTCTGGATCTTGAATTCCACACTCAATGCAGTGCTCCTTTGCCTAGAAGAGACAGCAGTGTTCCTTGACTTCCTTTCCCCTCAAACTGAGGCTGTTTGAATGCAAGCCATTGACAGATAAACATTTTGACCACATTAAGTGTAGTTGTAGACTCCTTCCAGTTTCAGGAGTTCACAGATGAATTTTAATTGTGTTAGTAAAACATTTGCTACTGATTTGCTCTTTATAGTAGCTTTTGCTGCTGACTTCACATTCTCCTTGGGGCCTCTGCTCAAACTTTTTGTATCACCCAGTACCCTTTCCATTCCCCATTTTTATTTGTCAAACTTCTTCCAGCCCCATGACATTTAATCACATTCATTCTTGTTTTATAGTTGGATTTAAACATATCAATCTCCTCCATGGATTACAACCCTTGAGGGCAGGAACCAGAAATGATTCATCTTTGATCCCACTCACATCCAAAATAGTAGATAAGATAGTAAATGAGAATAAATGAAATAGCATCTATGAAATCCCTGTGTACAATGCAAATTACTGTGAAATTTGTAGTTCTTATTAGTTTCTCTCTCTCTCTCTCTCTCTCACACACACAGCAAAATAATTATTTATTTTTCAATGGAATTTTCTAGCCATCCTTAGTGTCCACCCCACAAGAACACTGGGGGTCCTTCCTATCTCCCTTGGTCATTCTCCTCCCCAGTATTCCTCTTGGTTTTTGTTTTTGTTTTTGTTTTTGTTTTTTACCCATCTGTCCTCATCCAAGGACCTTGGCTAACAGTCTGCCCCAATCAGAGCAGAGGACATGTGTATTTGGCCCATGGATTGCCTTTATGGTTGCATCTGTGTGTGTGTATGTGTGTGTGTGTATGCACACATAAGTACATCAGCACATTAAAATTCAGGAGAAGTCACACAAACACCCCATTTGGGGCTTCTGTTGAAACATGGTAACATAATCTGGAGCTGAGTTGGGGGTGTCCTTCCTGTTGATGTAAGTTCACCTCTCCAGTTTGGCAGTCCCTGTCTCTTCCTATGGTCCCCATGATACCCAGCCAGGAGTCCATTGTCATTTATCAATATGCTCATGCTGTTATTAATTTTTTTTACAATAGAGGTACATTTCTTTGATTCTATATCTCTACCAAAAGTGGGAAAAAGAAAGACTGAGAAAGCTGCATGATTTTTCTTACATTAGACCTGCTGTATTTATTTATGTTACTTTACGTGGCCCCTGGGACATTCCGTTTTTACACCCCTGATACAGAGCATCAGTATCAGTGACCATGTGAGCAAGGAAGCAGGACCACTATAAGTGATCTGGAACCAAGACTTACTATGCAACGGAGGTAGCTGGGGAAGAAGTTTATGGAAATCTAGTGGTGAGCCTGAAACCAACTGCTATAGGTGAGCAGGGCAGCAGTTGGGAAGAAACCTGGACAGAAAGCAACAAAGAAAAAGACAAATTAGAACCTGTGAGGACAAACCAGAGCCTCCATTTGTTTCTCATCATCTCTAACCTGATGCAAGAGACTGGAAAATAAGCTGTTGCCCTTCACCATGATGCTGCACACGTGCCTCATCCAAGACTCATAGAAACTGAAGGAAGAGGTCTAGCAGAAGCTGCAGGAGCTGTGAGCTCAGGCTTTTGCAAGCCAGGTGAGTCAGTATATATAATAGGTCAGCGATATTGCCAGGGAGCCTAGGGCCACAAGGGAGCCTGGAGCCCTATGCAGATTTTCAGAGCTAATGTCTGCTACTTCACTTCTGCCTCCCAGATCTGGAGTAAATTTCTGTTATGGCCAACCTTGACCCAGAACCATATAGAGAAGGGAATTCTGGGAAGTGTAGTTCCACCTTAGCTAAATGACAGTACAAAACCACTACAACATCTATTGATATAGTTTGGGCAGGTCAATTACCACAGCATGCACAATGAATAAGTCTTTGTTGCACTTTATCTAAACAAATCTCAGCTAATAACAGAAGAAAAATCAAAGATAGCTTAGAGAATATAAGGATATCTCTTCTTTTGGTTGAGTTTTTATTGATACGTAATATTTGTACATATTTATGGGGTACATGTGATATTTTGTGACATGCATACAATGTGTAATGATCAAGTCAGGATATTTAAGGTATCCACCACCTACTATTTATCATTCCTATGTGTTGGGAGTGTTTCAATTTCTCTCTTCTAGATATTTTGAAATATACAATACATTGTTCCGAACTATAGTCACACTGCTCTTCCATTGAACATTAGAACTTATTCCTTCTATCTAACTATGTTTGTACACATTAATCAACCTCTCTTCATCGCTGCACATACACCTGCAACAACCACACCCCCTTCCCAGCCTCTGGTATCTATCATTCTACTCTCTTCCTCCATGAGATCAACTTTTATAGTTCCCACACATGAGTGAGAACATGCCTATTTTTCTTTCTGTGCCTGGCTTATTTCACTGAACATATTGACCTCCAGTTCCATCCATGTTGCAACAAAGGACATGATTTTATTCTTTTTTATGGACAAATGGTATTTCATTGTGAATATATGCCACATTTTCTTTACCCATTTGTCTGTTGATGGACACTTAGGTTGATTCCATATCTTTGCTGTTGTGAATACTGCTGCAATAAACATGCAATGCAGGTATCCCTTTGGTGTACTGATTTTTTTTCCTTTGAATAAATACCCAGTAGTGGGATTGCTGGATTGTATCATAGTTCTATATTTAGATTTTTGCAAAATCTTCATGCTGCTTTCCATAGTGGCTGTACTAATTTACATTCACACTGACACTAAATAAGAGTTCCCTTTTCTCCACATCCTCACCAACATCTGTTTTTTTTTATCTTTTTAATAATAGCCAAGAATGTACGGATATATCTCAGCTGTTACATTTCACTACCATGACCAGCTCTCAATGCAGTGCCTTGCACAAAGTAAATGTCTAATATATTTTAGTGAATTACATCAGGCAGTCCTGGTGACCCAGTTTTATAAAAAATAGTAGGGAAAAGAATAGCACTATCAGAACACATCTTTTGGTTCTATTAATATTATTTCATTTTTCAAGAAAAGACTGTGCTTTTGACAGAGTAAATAATGGTTTTTGTGTATAAATATTATGTCTAGATTTCACAGGTTTTTTCATTTTAAACATAAAAATGACCTTTACTTTATATAGCACATCCTGATTAAGAAATAAATTCCCAATTAAGGAAATCATTAACGTTAATAACAGAGATATAAACTGTATTAGTCCATTTTCATGCTGCTGACAAAGACATACCCCAGACTGGGAAGAAAAAGAGGTTTAATGGACTTAACAGTTCCACATGGCTAGGGAGGCCTCACAAACATGGCAGAAGGCAAGGGGGAGCAAATCACGTCTTACATGGATGGCAGCAGTCAAAGAGAGAGCTTGTGCGGAGAAACTCCTTCTTATAAACCCATCAGGTCTTATAAGACTTATTTACTATCATGAGAACAGCACAGGAAAGACCTGCCCCCATGATTCAGTTATCTCCCACTGGGTCCCTCCCACAACACATGGGAATTATGGGAGATATAAGCTAAGATTTGGGTGGGGACACAGAGCCAAACCATATGATAAGCAAAGGGCAATTAATAAATATATTGTGGAGATTACTGTCAGGTATTTAATCTGTAACAGATATATATCAAAATGTTACAAATTTCTTGCAAATGGGTAAAAATAAATAGGAAATAAACAAAAAAAAAGGTTAACAAATTAACAGGAAAACTGAACCTTCATTTCTTCAAATAACCAAAAAGCTTCAGTAAGTCATATATATTTTTCTTAATAAGTAATATTGAAAAAAATGCATAAAAATAAAATGGCCTACATATTGCCACCTAGGAATTTGTCTTCATTGGATAAATTGCTTTTTTCTTCACCAGTTCTTACAGTTTAATCCCTAGAATAAATCCCTTATCCCATGTCAAGAGGGTCCACTTCCCTGATCAAACCCTCACTGATACAGATGCTCAGTAGCAGGGGTCTCAAAATCAGATGCATCCCCCATCTCTACTAAAAACACAAAAATTAGCCAGGCGTGGTGGCGGGCACCTGTAGTCCCAGCTACCCAGGAGGCTGAGGCAGGAGAATGACATGAACCCAGGAGGCGGAGCTTGCAGGGAGCTGAGATGGTGCCACTGCACTCCAGCCTGGGAGACAGAGCAAGACTCTGTCTTAAAAACAACAACAACAACAAAACTCAGATGCATCAGGGGACAAACAGAAAGAATTCTTCCACTTAATGGATTAATATATCTAACGTATTGAGCCATCCCCAAGCTAGCCATTGATGGTTAGAAACTTTCAGGAATAAACTTAATTTTAGTTAGTATTACTGGATGACATATTCCTAATTTAACCTGAGTGTACATTTTCTTTTAACAAAGGTTAATCAGAAATTCTCTGATACATGCCACTGCACTCCATACAGCCTGGGTAACAGAGCCAGACTCCATCTCAAAAAATAAAGGAAAGAATTGAAAGAAGAAAGGGAGGGAGGGAGGAAGGGAGGGAGGGAAGGAGGGAATGAAAGACAGAGAGAGAAAGAAAGAAGAGGAAATTCCCTGATAAACATTATCATAAGCATTAGAAATTAAAATGGCACATCATATTAGTAAGGAATTTAGCTCAGAAATACTCAAGGTTTTTGAAGAATCATACTCCTAATGCATCTTTTCAGGCTAAATATTATGTCTCAGTCCCTGAGTATCATCAGGCCTGGAACAGATCTCAAAATGAAACCCATATTTCTTTCTTTCTTTCTTTCTTTTTTTTTTTTTTTGAGACAGAGTCTCACTCTGTCGCCCAGGCTGGAGTGCAGTGGCACAATCTCAGCTCACTGCAACCTCCACCTCCCAGGGGTTGAAGCAATTCTCGTGCCTCAGCCTCCCACGTATTTGGGATTGCAGGTGTGCACCACCATACCCGGCTAATTTTTGTATTTTTAGTAGAGACGGGTTTTGCCATATTGGCCAGGCTGTTCTCGAACTCCTGACCTCAAGTGATCCACCTGCCTTACCCACCTTGGCCAAAGTGCTGGGATTACAGGCGTGAGCCACTGCGCCTAATCGAAACCCATATTTCTTGAACTCTATTTTCTCAAAGTGTGTAAATCTAAAACTTCCCAGAAAAGATCCTCTCTGTATCCAGGACCCACTAAAAAGAAATCTTATTACTTCCCAGAACCCTGCAGGATCCCATCTCCTCTTTTGACACATTATGTCAGTAAGTTTAATGTGATCCAAATCCACACATCAGTCATGAGGTTTAAAACATCCAACCAGAGGTTTTGAAATGCAAGCACCAGGGTCTGGAAATGGTGACCAGTACTCTATGGTACTGATTAGAGGCTCATTCTTCAATAGCATATATCTCAAACTTTTTCAGAGGCAACCCACAGTTGTCCATGCTTTGATAGAAGATACTCAAAACTATGATGATATTGCCATGAATTGTATCATTGCCAAGCATACGGAGAAGACTTCAGGGATATTTGTGAAGCATGTAAACATGGACGATTTTGAAAAAGAAACCAACAGTGGCTATTCTGGAATGTGACATCGAGCTGAGCATGCTCTGCAGAGGTCTTATTATATAAATAAGCTTGTTAATATATATGATAGCATGCCCTTAAAATAGTCCAACATTATGATTTCCCAGTTTGGTTTTCCATATGCCAACCACAGAAGAAAAATGTAAAAGTAAAACAAACAAACCTGAAAACTGCTTGGTATTTGAGTAGCTTCTCCATGCTATGTATTTTTTTTTAAGCAACATCATGAATTTTATCTACTCTGGAGGTCACTACAGTAGAAAAAAACTGCAGTGCTTCTAGGATATAAAATTCACATTACCTTCAAAAGCCAAGAAGTTGGTCCTATCCAGTTAGGTCTTCTTATGAAGAGTTTTCATCCAGGGATATAACACCTTGGTCAGTGATTTTATTGTTTACATTTTGAGACTGTTCTACAGTTTCTTTGACTCCTGGCATTTGCCTTAAGGACCTATAGCAAGCTGTTTTCAGGATCAGAAACTCAAGAAAGGCATTTATCTGCTTTTTGACGAAAGGTTGATTGTTTTCATTTGAAGACTGAAATGCCTCTTTAGCAAAAGCCTGTGGTATGGGGTAATGCCATTTGAGAAGAGAATAGTCTCAGTGGCATATGAAGAGGAAAATTTGCAGCTGCCAATGCTTTCCTTATGGCCCTGACAACTAGCTCTTCCAGGACTAACTCAGTCCAGCATGGTTTTGATGTAACCATCAGTGCTTTTATTTTTGTTAAGTCTTTATTGACTGGGACGGTTAATTTTAGTAGCTGAAGAATGTCTAGTTGTTTGATTTTTGTAAACATTTACTGCATGAGTCACAAAACAATATAGCCTATATTTCTTATATGTAACTTATATGCAGCAAAGAGTAAATGTGTTATAGATTCAGGTAGGGCATTTTGTCACTGAATCTGGCCTTGAGAACGTACATTAATTCTTACATTTTACATAATGTATGTGTTGTTTAAGAAACATATAAAATACCTTCTGAAAAAATGAATAAGTAGGGCCTGGCAGAAGTTAAAACCCTTTGTATCAAAAGATATTTATCATTAGAGCATTGGTTATCTTCTGGATACTAAAAGATTGTATTATAAACAAAGCCAAACACTTACATTCAGAACTCAAAAAAAAGATCCAAGGTACTATTCATCATGATGAAATTTCACCTACATACAAAGAGGAGAAAATAAGAACTGAGTCATAGCAGAGGAATTCTATACAGAGTCTGCATCAGTTCATTGGTATGGTTGCCCACTCTTTGTTATGTGAATTAGTATCTGTGTTTCACCCGTTGTTTGTGTTTAGTCCTTGTTCACTACTGGAGCAAGGAATTCTTAACTAGGCTTCTGTTTACCACCCTCTCCTTCTCCTCCTTTCTCTCTTCTTCCTCCTTTTCCTCTTCCTTCTTCTTGCATAATGCCTGTATATTTTCAAAATTGCAAGATGGGAGAATATTAAAATAATCATGGCTAATGTTCCAATAATGAGGTCTTTTGTGCATTTAGTTCAGTATAGGGTGTGTTTTTTTACATTGGAGAGTATATGTGTCTTAATGCAATCAGATTTCAAAAAACAAAACACTTAGAACCTTACTAAAAATTGGTAATGTCAATTATCTGTTTTGTCCAACATTGGTTGTATTTTTTTGCCTCTTGGGATTCCTCTAGCAGATAAATAAAATAAACTTTTATTATCCCTGTGTTCTATGTTAAAAAAATAAATAAAATAAAATATCCATCCCTTTGGTTAAAGACTATCCCATTAGGGTAAACATGTTTAAACATCACATATTTTGCATATCTAATTATTTATTGAATGAAAAAAGAAAATTTTCCACCAGAACTGTTCTGGTTTCTGCCAGAACAGAATATATGTACCTTATACACATGTTGAAAATCTACCTCAGTTTGCTTTAAAAATCTATTCCAGGCCTGTTATAAAAGATTCCTAAGCATTATTTATTATTCTGGCCTTCAAAACCCATTAACAAGTACTTACACCCCAGAATAGATCAAATTGTAGACTAAACTACGGCTGGCAAAGATCACAGCACTAATAGAAAATTCTCTGAATCTCTTGAACTTATGGGTTCTAGATAAGAAAGGACCGAGGAAGAGCTCTTCAGTTTGGGAAACTGAAATGAGAACAAATTATTACAGAGCTATTGGTACCAATTGGTGACTATTTAAATGTGTTGTTAGGCCCATATTCCTGATGGATTTATTCCAAATCCAGTTTCATATTTAGGAAATAAATGAGATTAATACATGTGTGTACCCACATGTAGAAGCATATTTACAAAGTATAGATGAGCAACAATCAGTGGGGGTGTTATTTGGGCATCTTTAGTGCTAGCTAAATGAACAGCTCACCAACTGCTATGGTTTTACAGTCAGCAGAAATAAGTGGCTGGAGTTCCAGACATCGAATCCTTCTATATAGTTATTCAGTGGTAACATCAAGTACATGAATGGAGGTGTTAATTCAGAATTGTGTGTGTGAAATAAACAAGGAAGACTAGAAATCCCATTAAGATATTCTCCCTGGGCCCCTTATGCTCACACACACATACTCTCTCTCTCTCTCTGTCTCTCTCTCTCTCTCTCACACACACACACACACACACACACCCCACATATGACCCTCAGGCAGTACGCCCTCTAATGGAGCACTAACATCAGGCATGACTTGGTGGCTGCTTTGAGGAAGCAGGTGCTCAGCTTCCCCCATCTTTGCTCTGTGACAGTTTCTGTGTCACATACACCATCACCAGCCTGACACATGTATACCATCCCCCTTAATAACCCAGGGAGGTCTTGGGGGTCAGAGGTTCCCCTCAAATGACTGACAGCCATGGAGGCACCATACCTGCAATAGAGCCGTCAGCTGGAGTGAGACGACAGGACCCCATGGGGAATTCCTTTCTTTTCCAACAAGGAACCTTCACTCAGCATGACCTGCCTTGGAGAAAGCTTTGGACAAGGTCCTTTCTTTTCCCCTTCAAATCCTGCCTTGAAACAAGCTCTCTCAGCCACCTGCAATTGCTGTAAATCAATTTCCAAACAGAAATCACTATGCAAAATATGCATAAGCCAAGATGGGTAAGGAGATGACAAGTTGCCCTGCCCTGCCTCCTGTCATGTGGGGTCTCCTCTCTCATCTTCTACAAAGCCCCAAGAAGTTCAAAGAGGACTCAGACTCACAGATTTTTAAGACTAGAGATGGCTCAGATTCTTCTGCCTCTGCCACTACCCACAACCTAAACTCCTCTTGCTCCTTTGGTATATTTGATCGTTACTGTTGTTTGGTTTTATGTAACATAACCAAAATACCACTGCGATCATTTGTAAAGAGAAATACAAATATCAAAGGAACCAGATTTTTTAGTTCCAATCACTGACCCACTCCATCTGTGTAAACTCCCCGAACTCTTAATTGTGTGTACATTTTTATAGGTGGCAATTTGGTATCCATTGTTCCTCACTGGAAAAATATCCATTTCATTAGGTAGCATTTTAGACTTGGAAAGACCTGTGAATTATTTTCTTCCTTCTCCAGGACCTCGCACAGTCGATGCATCTAAGTTCTTCATTTCCAGATAAGATTATTAAGTGGTATGTGGGCTTGCCAGGACTCCTACATAGATCATGAGGGAGGCAGGGTTAAAAACTCTGCCTTACACATGCCATCTTGAATCTCATATTCTGAAAGGAAGAGTTAGCTGCTGCTGGAAGAGAGAATTAATCTGCAGAAGCAAAGACCACGAATTGCTGAGACTGAAGAGTCTTTCTATCACAAGCAGATTCTGCCATGTTTGGTGGACTGACAGACCATTTTAGGAAGGTTCCAGAGCAATAGCGAGATTTTTCATAATGAAGCTAATCAGCCACCATGGTGGTGAGAGTCAGCAGGCAAAAAGAGGATTTGCCAAAAATAAACAGTGGGAAATCTTTCCTCACAATCTGCCTGGAGCTGGTGGGGAGAAGGAAAGAGATGCAGACAAGCTTTGTTATGCTGAGTGAAAGAAGCCAGACATAAAGACCACTTATTGTGTGATTCCATTTATATGAAGTATTTGGAATAGACAAGTCCATAGAAACAGAAAGCAGATTAGTGGCTGCCAGGGAATGGGGGTGGGCAAGGATGGGGGATGAGTGCTCATTAGGTAAGGGATTTCCCTTGGGAGTAATGAAAATGGTCTGAAACTAGATAGTAGTAATTGTTGCACAACATTATGAATTTGCAAAATGTTACTAATAGTAAGTTTTCTGTTATGTATATTTTACCACATTTTTTAAAAGACATGCCTGTAGCCTTTAAGAAAGAAAAAACTGGCTCCAGTTCTTATGGTCTTCCCTTTGTGCTCCCAGTGGGGTATAGGACAGCAGATAACAGTCTAGAGGTGAAAGAGGAGAAAGAGGAATACTCCAAGAGTGAGAAGGAAGATGAGGCTTCTCCCTCTCCCAGGATTATGCCAGGACAGGGGCCTTCATAGGCCACTTTGCACTTGTGTTAGCAAGTGCTTGCTCCCATATGCTCAAAGAGCTAGACAGGCTTGGACTGAAATCTAGCTCTGGCCCTCTCCAGCTATGTGACTCTTGACAAGCCATATCACCAAACATTCTGGAGTGCCCTACTATGTGTGACTGTCCAAGGCCCTCCACACATCATGTGCTTCAATCCTCACAAACTTCGGAGGCAGAGCCATTATCTCCTCTAATTTCCAAATGAGGAGGCTGAGACTTAGTAGGGTTAATGCAGTTGCTCCAAATCACACAGGCAGTGAGAACAGTTAAGGCCGTTAACCTCTAGTTTGTGTCTCCACTTCTAAAATGGGGAGAATAGTAACTACTTTGCAAGAGCATCACAAGGATTAAAGGTGCTCACTAAATGGTGGCTGTCATAAATGATAAAACTCACAAGATCCTAATAAGGTAGCACACAGAGCAAGAATTTTATTGATGAGGGAAATCACATGGCTAGTCAGCGATAGGGCTGGGACTAGGATCTAAGCTGACCAACTTCCAATCTGCTGCTCATCTGACCACACTATGTTCAAAAAGACACACCTATAACAATAAATCGGCAATAGGTCAACACATAACTAATCAGAACATCAGGAATGGATGCAATGTAGATCTGGGGCAGAAAAGAGGTGTTTATTTGGAGAGCAGAGCTCCAAACAAGGGAAGGGAATGGAGAAGGCAATGAATGTCCTCTGATCAGTTAGAGATGTTTCCTGACAACAACAGATGCTTGTGAGGCTGTGGAGAAATAGGAATGCTTTTACACTGTTGGTGGGAGCGTAAATTAGTTCAACCATTGCGGAAGACAGTGTGGTGATTCCTTAAGGATCTAGAACCAGAAATACCATTTGACTCAGCAATCCCATTACTGGGTATATACCTAAAAGATTATAAATCATTCTACTATAAGGACACATGCACATGTATGTTTATTGCAGCACCATTCACATTAGCAAAGACTTGGAACCAACACAAATGTTCATCAATGATAGACTGGATAAAGAAAATGTGGCCCATATACACCGTGGAATACTATGCAGCCATAAAAAGCATGAGTTCATGTCCTTTGCAGGGACATGGATGAAGTTGGAAGCCATCATTCTCAGCAAACTAACACAGGAACAGAAAACCAAACACCACATGTTCTCACTCATAAGCGGGAGTTGAACAGTGAGAACACACGGGCACAGGGAGGGGAACATCACACACCAGGGCCTGTCAGGGAGTGGGGGATAAGGGGAAGCATAGCATTAAGACAAATATCTAATGCATTCGAGGCTTAAAACCTAGATGACGGGTTGATAGGTGCAGCAAGCCACCATGGCGTATGTATACCTATGTAGCAAACCTGCATGTTCTGCACATGTATCCCAGAAGTTAAAGTAAAATTAGAAAAAAAAAAGGAATGTTTTCTGACAATGTTACCCTTTTGTAGAAAATAAATCTGGAGAAGCAATGATCTCTGATGAGCTAGGTGTCCCCACAGTGTGACAGGGCCTATTAATAAAAGTAATGATAATGACAATGAGTACCACCAATTGTGTACTTACTATAACCAGGCATTTGACAAAGTGTATCACATGCATTTTCTCAAATACCTATGAATGGGTGTAGAGTAGGTATCATGGTCCCCATCTTACTGATGAGAAAACTGGAGCCCAGGATCACACCAGTGAAAAGCGGCAGAGCTGGGATTCAAACCCAGGCCTTCATGAGTGCAAAACTCTGGCTCTTGACTAATACGTTACTTCCCATGAGGCAGATTACTATTAGATTGGTGCAAAAGTAATTGTGGTTAAATTAAGGTAATGGCAAAAACCGCAATTACTTTTGCACCAACCTATTAGCTAATTATTCATAGTCACAGATACTTCTGGCATGAACAGAAGTGGGCTCAATAAATGTTAATATCTATCCAAGGACTAAATTTGCAAAGGAAAAAACATACAATATAGTGGTCTAAGACTGGCCATAGGCAGAATATAAGGCAGAAAATTCTTCTGGAATTCTTCTGGTCCTACCCGTTCCAGCACATTAACAAAAGCAGCAAGTCATAGGGGCCAATCAGAATTAGGGCCTTCTCCCTTGCAGACAGACACTCTGGTACCCACTTAATGCAAGGCTTCAGCTTTCCAGACTTCTTAGGAATATTTTTGCAGGTGGTCCTGGCTCCAACAAGCTAGAGATAAAACTTCTTCCATTCATAGGCAATGGGGGTGCTCTTGATCAGCCTAAAGGCATATCACCAGGGAAGCCATCATTCTCATTATGCCTGAAGGCATAATTCACCACATGTGGAATTTGGCTCTTAAAAACTGCATAAGTCAATCTTAGTAACAAGTACACAAAAGAAACCCTAAAGGTTCTATTTACTAGTTTCTTATCCTACTATGTAGAGTGGAGAGAATGTTCAGGGTTTTTCACTATATTCACTGTTTAGTGAACGCACCACTGACAGCTGGTCTGTGAACACTCTTATGAAAATGACATTTGCGACCCCATGTCATTTTTTTTTTTTTTGAGACGGAGTCTGGCTCTGTTGCCCAGGCTGGAGTGCAATGGCACAATCTTGGCTCACTGTATCTTCTGCCTCCCACATTCAAGCGATTCTCCTGCCTCAGCCTCCCGAGTAGCTGGGATCACAGGTGTGCACCACAATGCCAGGCTACTTTTTTTGTATTTTTAGTAGAGATTGTGTTTTGCCATGTTGGCCAGGCTGGTCTTGAACTCCTGACCTCAAGTGATCCACATTCCTCAGCCTCCCAAAGTGCTGGGATTACAGGAGTGAGCCACTGTGCCCAGCTCCATGTCATCTTAATAGGCTGGAATCAATCACTGGGTTTACTTCTCTGAAAATTATATAAGCCTACAGATATTTGGATAATGACAGATAACTGATGAGTGTACCAGCATATTTCATGGATTCTCTGTTGTACATTTTTGGTTTTTTGCACATTTTAACATCTCTGCAATCCAGATGAGCTTTACTATCACCATCAGCCAGCAGAAACTCCTGGCAGAGTTGTCATGGTCTGCTCATGTGAGAACATAAAACATACCAGCATCAAAACTTGCAGAACGGATCTCATTGACAAGGAAGAAAATCCCAGAGATAACAGTGGAGCGCTTTTAAAGAAATGTTGTATTATCAATGCTCTTGACGGCCCAGAAGAAAATACTGTGTAGAAAAACATGGTTCTAGATGGCTCTGAGTTGAATCATAAGAGTTGGATTTAGGAATACATAGGAGTTACATTGGTTTTTTTCTTTTTAAACCTGTGGATTATCTAAATCAGTCTAGAAATCAGTCTAGAAAAGCTGTTTCAAGAACTTAAAATAAAAATTCTAAGTCATTATTTAAAATTAGAAAACATTCTGTCATAGTTTAATTGGCAGCATCTTTTTCTTAATTGTGGTAAATAAAATAATGGTCCTTCTTGTAATCAATAACATCTTAGATTCAGTGGAAAACAGCTTAAGTAGAAATACACTGCAATGCAGTGAGCTTGCAGAAATAAAATAACCAAAACTTTAATTATTAAGAGAAAATAAATATAATTTCCTCTCACTCTAGAAACATCAATATTTAAAATGTTACCGTAACCTTTATATATAATGCATGCTCTATTTGAAAAAGGTAACACACCCGAAAAAGACATTATGAAGTAAACCATTTTGTTTGTTGCTTCTCAAACTTTATATTTTTTATACAGAGGAATTGGGAAAACTCTTAAAATCCTCAAAAAAGGAAAACAATTTATATTACAAAGAGTAAAACATTTAAACTTAAGTTAAATAGAAACTGCACTTCTTTATACTTCAATGAGCTTGCTAAGCCTCAGTTTTTTATTTGTAAAATGGAGATTTAAAGCAGCTATATGTCATTGTGTTGTCACAAGAATTGAATGGTTGATACATATAAAATGTTTAGTAAAGAGATCCACATATTAGGAGGTAAATAATTCATAATTGTACTATTCTTATTATCTTTATGATTATTTTACATTTGGCTCAGTGCTCAACAAATATTTGAGTGAAATAGTAAAAAAACAAAAAACTAAAGTATCATATCTCCATCATTTTAAAAGACTTTATTCCCAGCAATGAATTATCTAAAAATGTTATTTTTAAGCTTACATAATAGTTTCCTTATAGACTCAAAAGCAGATGATTTTTCAAAGTATTTAAGCAGGAAGAGAGATGAAAAAGTAATCCCATTTTCTTTGGCACTGTGGTACTGAAAAGCCTAATAGTTAAGTGCTATTAACAAAATGATGTGGCTGGAGAGACTTCCTTAGTGTTGAGGGGTGAGGGTGGGGGTCGGAGGGTAGGAGGAGAAGGAGGAAGAAAATTACAGTTTGTTATAATCCAAAATTCAACTCAATCCTTCAAGAAACAGATTCTTTCCCCCTACACACGCGCATACACACCCACACACCTTTTGTTTTTTAGAGATCTTGAAAATGTTTAGTCAAATGGGTCTTAAATGTCAGTCCTCTGGTGGGGAAGGAAAAGGGCACCACACACAGATCTTTCCCCTGCTTGGTCCAAGCCAGACGTAAAAGAAAACAAGCTTGAAATGAAATAAAGAATAACATAATTATAATACACCCTTCTCAAAACAAAAACAAACAAACAAAAAAACTCTGCCTCTCATTAAAATGTGAAATATCTCAAGAGATGGTTGTGGGTTTTACAATTTTATAACCCAGTTTTTTAAAATCCTAAATAGAAAGTATGTTTGGGTACATGCTATTTCATAAATGTCATGCATTTATGGTGGGAGCACTTTCTACACATATTCCTCGTTTACATTTCAAACGTGGCTTTTGGAAATATCCACCAGACACTAAATCATGGACAGAAACTCATAGCTTTTCGGGAGGCAGCAAGGTCAGGTGAAGGGCACTGGGTAGGAAGTCTGGAAATCTGTATCTCCTTCTAGCCATTCCCAGAACCAGGTCGTTGGCCCTAAACAAGTCTCTTGACCTCCCTGGATCTCAGTATCTCCATTAGGACTTAAGGATCTATTCTAACATCCTTTGACGAGAATTTAAATTTTTGCCCAAGGTGACCTCAATGTTGATAACAAGAATGGGAAATAGTGTTTATGATACCCATCATTTCATTGTCTTAAGTGCTACTTCACCTTAACTCATTTTATGTTTCAAAACACACTGTCAGCCCTTTATCAGTGTGTATGTGAGTGTGCATGCACACACGTACACACACACACAAACACACACTTCAAGGAATGAATAACAAAGAATCCCGCTGTGAGAATTATATATAGCATTTTATGTGACACGTTAGGCATAGCCATGTTCTAGGTGCTAATTATGAAACAGCAAACACAGAAAGCTTGTGTCCCTCCCTGAGTCAGCTGGGCCCACATTGCATTTCTCTCTAAGGTCAGTATGGCTTCATGCAAAACCCTTCTCCTCCACCCTCTGCTGACCAGAGAACAGTGACCCCCTTAAGCTCCTCAACAGCACAACCCAAAAGCAAAGGTGCAATTTAATTCTTAGCCTCAAACACAGCCCATTTGGAAGGACACCAGTCACTAGGGTATTGTTAGTGCCTTGAAATGGCCAAGAGGGATTGCTGACTCTGCGAATATCACTCGAAAGGCAGGAATTCTATTTGAATTACTAACATAACAGATGTTTGCTAGGCTCCACCATGCAGTCTGCATACAGTTATGCTAATTTGGCAGCACTTCTCTTCCAGTTAGCTCTGAGCCATTAGAGCACGCAGCTAGTAGGTCCTTCTGTCTAACTAATAATTGCCTATTATTGATATTAATTAACATTTTTTGCACCTTTCCTCAGTTTTGACCTAGTATCTGTTGGTAGTCTAATCACTGTGGCCTATTAAAAGTCAAAATACAGGGGCCTACAGTAGTCACGAGCCATTTATCAAAAAGCAAACAAGGCCAATTAAACAGGCAGCCAGACAGTTGTCTTGATTTGCCGCTGACTGTTTCTTGATCACCATTATAAATTGCTAATAGGGCAGAAAGCGCTAAGCGGGGAGCATCTGTGGGGGTCTGGTTATTGCTCACTCCCCGCCTGGTGACAGGTGAGAGAGAGGCTAGTGATGGTCTTATTGATGTGAACTGCCCATCAATTGGTAGTTATTGTTAAAGTTCATGATGCTACAGCTGATCCCGTCCTGCTGAGAGTCAATCAAATTAATTAGAGCTAGAAATTCTTCTTTATTATTTTAAAGCACCGGTACAGAAAGAAGCCCTGTAATTTGGATCCAAAGGCAATGAAGAAAAAAAATCTTCATGTAGTACAGTGTGAAAAAAAAAAATCAGATATTGCTTCTTCCATTATTTATAATAAGGTTTGCGGCTAAAGGTTTTTATAGGCACAGATCAAGAGATCATAATAGAAGCATATTGACAGATTTTTTTCTGCAATACTCTAAGGAACTGGCTGTAGCAGGAAAATATATCAAAACCTTATCATCAGAGCTGAGATCTTCTGTGAAAAATCAATAAAGAGTTATACATGGTTTGAGTTTAAACAGTTCTCTGTAGTCATTTAAACATAGTGCATCTGTACAGCTTTTTACCTCTGGAGACCAAGGTAACCTAGCAACTGCAGGGCTTAAACCGATTAACTACAAATGAAGTACTGTACGCCTATCAAAGCAATTGTTCATCGTTGCCTTTGTTGCAGAGACTAAGCTAATTGAACATGATACAGTATGAAGATAATTAACACCCATGAGTTTGTTAATTGCCTGTTAGCATTACAACACAGTCTCTTGGTTTCTTTTTAACTGTCTCCTTTGTAGCCTCTTACTTCCCTTAAAATGGTGCAGGACCTGTTTAACTGGCAATGATATCTTGGAGTTTATTAACCCTTTTAAAATTTTTTTTTTTTTTAAAAAAAGCCATCTTAATGAAGCATATTGCATGTGCTTGTTAAATGCAAGCTCCCACTTTGTCGCTCTATTTTCCCAAGATTGGAAATTTGTTTTACAGATACTGTACAAACTATGTTTATTTTTCGTGCTAATTTATTTCAAGCAATTTAGCCATTATAAATGCTCTTGAAAAAAAAACAGCTTTAGTGGTTCCCTTTATTACTCAGCTGCTCTGCTTTCGAGAGTAAGCGATAAATGTCTTTGAGGGTTGGAATATTAATTGAAGGCAGCATCTGGTCAGCAGCTGACCGGCTCCAGTTGTCCTGCTCCAACCGAGCAGGCGAGAAAGAAGCTTTGCTGGCTCTCTTTGCCAGGCTCTCACTTTTCCTTGGAGCCATGGACTAAATGAACCCCCATTTTATCTCTGCTGGATCACTGCATGGATGCCAGAAAATCAATTGGGCAGGAAAATCTGTTAATCTAAAGTGAATTCAATCTAAGGAATCATTTAAAATAAAAATTTCAATCATTACTTTTTCAGAAAAGCACTTTTTTCCCTCAAGTCTGTGTGTACATGTCATGACGATACTTCGAAAGGACCTATAGCAAGAGTAATTTGAAGTCAATAGAATTGTCTTGCAAAGAACAATTTGCTTTTTGGAAAAAAAAAAAAATAGGGTGGCTGATTACAAACTTAAGAGGAAATGGAAAACCCAAACACTGTGTGGCCAGAAACCATTAACACACTCTAGCCCAGAATACACATCAGGACAGATTTTTCTCCTGTTGAGAAGGAATACCTTGGCTGTGTTACAATTGTTTAACTTGGATTTTCCTGCACGATCCTCTGTGTTTGTCGTTACCATGTCGCGGTTAATACTTGCTGGTAAGCCAGTCCCAGGGGAGCCATTTCTAGTGCCCAATTACAAGTTCTATCATCAATCATAAGTATTATTTATTCAACAAAATGAATTGCTAATTAATAACTGATGAGCATTATGGCCTTGAAGACTATAACACTATTAATTATGGTTGGCATGAAAGGGGTCTACCTGGCACATTTTCACCACAATTAGCCCTGGAAGCTTTCATGGACTATGTCTATTAAGATAATATAAGAAAAGGCTGACCTTCCTTCCCCTCCTGCATAAGGACTAATACATTATCTCAGGTTAGAACTTCACCAAATCAACCCCGGTATTCCAACATTGTTTTTCCTGTGCACCATGACTTGTATGAGAAGCATGGCATGGAGAAAAGAACTCCCCATAGAGGTTGGCAGGTACAAAATGCAGCCACACATGCCCAGCCGTGCTCCTGCTGAAATGCTGCAAGGGGTGACTCAGCCATAGCCTAGCACTTGGAATGTGGCTGCCAGCTTATTTTTAGACTCAGTTGTTGCCCAGCTCCTGTTCTGAGCTCTGGGTCCAGGCACACAGCAGCTAAATCACTTCAGCAGGCAGCTGGCAGACGAAGACTGTTCACATTTACTGGCAGGCTGGTGGGAGTACATCGTTCACCTTAAGGACTTCCTGATCAGACACTTAAAGAAGGGAAGCTAAGAAATGCCCTCTTGCCCACTACTGGGGAAGGAGAAAACAGTAGGTTTGAAGAATGAACACACACAAAAATATAATACTGCTGTGAACCTCTTTGAAAGCAGAACAAATCTACTACCTCTGTGCTCTGTGTAGCTAAGTCTCTATGCCCAAAGCTCTGTGGGTGACCAAATATGGGTGGATGATAAAGCACTGCAAAGACTTTTTAAAGTTATACGAATAATATAAGGGAAAAACTTTTTTCCTCCTGCATATGTGTAAGCTCTAGAAGGAAAGAGCTTGTTAAATAGTTATCTGGATCATTCTGTAGTTTAGACAATTATTTCACATTTAATGCTGGATGGATTTTGGAGAATAAGCAATTTACATGAATCAAATTAACTAAAGAAATGAAAAAGCACTCTCTTTCTGCTGGATAAACAGAACAGCCAGTCTCGCATTATTTCAGTTAAATATGTTTAGGGTTCAAATTATACAAGCATCTTCCCTTACCATTCTGTCAAACAGCAGAGATCTCAGCCCTCTTTTTGTGGGTGGTTACATGTGTCCTTTGAGGGGAAAAAAGAAAAGAAAAAGTGCACCCCACATCCATATGGCATGATTATCGGTGAAGTTATTTTTAGCTTTACAAAATCAAGAGTTAGGAAAATTCATAGAGTGAAAGAAATGTTCATAAAACAGCCTAATTAAGCAAAACATTTTTCAGAGTTTCCACCACATTTCTCTGTAAAGACACTGACAAGTGAATACACCCAGCTGGTAAGGGCTTGCCAGCATTTAGGTTAGTAAAGTGGTAAATTATTTGTGTTTCATGGTGGCAAATGTACCTATTTCTGCAAAGGCTAGGACAGAACAGCCAAAAGAGGCCATTTAGTTGACACTGATTAATGGAAAGAGCAAGTAAAAATTTAAGGAAGGAAGGGAGAAAAAAGGGGTAGAAAGAGTTCAGTGGAAGTGGAAGAGGAAAAATGGAGGATGGGCTGGTAAGAAACCTTGGATTCAAAAGCTGGCTCCACCACTTTCTGCATTCAGAAGCCTGAACAAATCAGTTCATCTATCTGAGCCTCAGTTTACACTTTTGTAAATGGGAGTTATTCATACTTCTACTTGTCTTGAAGATTTGTAGGGAGGAGCCAGTGAATAGGGTGTTTGTGTCTTTAGTTTTGAAAGCACTTTGAAAACAAATAGTTACATAGAAATGTAAGATTTCTAATAATTTTGCTTGTTTGCTACTGAGAGGTGAAGCCAGCTGGACTTCCTAGGTTGAGTGGGGACTTGGAGAACTTTTCTGTCTTACAAGAGGATTGTAAAATGCACCAATCAGTGCTCTGTAGCTAGCAAGAGGATTGTAAAATGCACCAATCAGCAGGATCCTAAAAGTAGCCAATCTCAGGGAGGATTGAAAAAAGGGCACTCTGATAGGACAGAAACAGAACATGGGAGGGGCCAATAAGGGAATAAAAGCTGGCCACCCCAGCCAATAGAGGCAATCCGCTCGGGTTCCCTTCCATGCTGTGGAAGTTCTGTTCTTTCGCTCTTCACGAGAAACCTTGCTACTTCTCACTCTTTGGGTCCATGTCATCTTTAAGGGCTGTAACACTCACTGCAAAGGTCCCACGGCTTCATTCTTGAAGTCAGCGAGACCACGAACCCACCAGAAGGAACAAACTCTGGACACACTACTAGCCCATCTCAATCCAGTTATTTCAAGCAAAGTGGCCAGGTAGGCTCCAAAGGCTGTATGTAGAAGGGAACATATCACCCAGACCCTCAGTTTGAGAATTAAAGACTGGGTCAGTAGTTGAGAGTATTGAAGCCTGCATGAGGGAATATCATGTTTTCTTACATCAAAAGTCAAGCAAAGATACCTGAGCCACAAATAGCCACTTCCTACGATCACACCTGAGGCTACCCCTACAGAGAACTCCAACCTTATGCACAATAATAACATCAGGAAATTAACGAGGTAGTTATTCTGGATAGGTCTGGTGTGGGGCCTAGAAAAATCTGCATCTTAATCAGCAGCTCTGGTCTTTCTGAGGCAGGCAGTTCACAACTACCAAACGAGAGACCGAGTTATGACTCCTGTGAGTAGAGCACAGCCCCAGCATGCACTTCTCTCATTCTGCAGCATGGTTGTGAACATATTTGGACCAGGAGGCATCTTTTCAAGAGTCAAGAGAAACAAGGAATGGTGGAGGCTCAGTCCTTGTTTTCGGTAAGACAGGCTTGATTCAAGAAGTTATTTGCTCCTAGACTGCATGGGAAAGGCACTGTTTTGTAATCTTTAAAAGCTTTTTATTTTGAGACAATTGTAGATTCACGTACAGTTTTAGGAAACAATACAGGAAAGATCCTATGTACCCTTCACCCAGTTCACAACCAGGACACTGACATTGATACACTCCACCCACCTTATTCAGATTTTACCAGTTATACATGCACTTATTTGTGTACATGTGTGGGTATTTAATTCAAAGTGGTTTTATCAAATGTGTAGAGTCATGTGACCACAGTCAAGAAAAAGAACAGTGCCATCACCACAAGGATATGCAATCCTCTGTGTTGCTCCTTTATACCAAACCCGCTTCCGTCTTCATCTGCTCCATCCCAAGGTCTGAACCCATGGCAACCAACCAGTAATCTGTTCTCCATTCCTATAGTGTTACTTCAAGAATGTTATGTAAATTAAACAATATACCATGTGACCTCTTGAGATTGACTTTTCTCACTCAGCGTAATTCTGATAGTGGTGTAGTGCAATATAGAAGTAGTCCATTCTCACAGGCGTGTGGAGATATCTCATTGTGATTTTAATTTGCACTTCCCTAATGCCTAATGTTATTGAACATATTTCCTGGAGTTTATTTTTCTCTTTTTCTAGTTTTATGATCTGAAAACATTTTTTATCTCCATAGGTTATTGGGGAACAGGTGATGTTTGGTTACATGGGTAAGTTCTTCAGTGGTGATTTGTTAAGATTTTTGGTGCACCCGTCACCCGAACAGTATACACTGCACCCTATTTGTAGTCTTTTAACCCTCACCCCTTCCCCTGAGTCCCCAAAGTCCACTGTATCATTCTTATGCCTTTGCATCCTCGTAGCTTAGCTCCCACTTATAAGCAAGAATATATGATGTTTGATTTTCCATTCCTGAGCTACCTCACTTAGAATAATAGTCTCCAATCTCATCCAGGTCGCTCCGAATGCCATTAATTCATTCCTTTTTATGGCTGAGTAGTGTTCCATCATATATATATACCACAGTTTCTTTATCCACTCCTTGATTGATGGACATTTGTGTTGGTTCCACGTTTTTGCAATTGCGAATTGTGGTGCTATAAACATGCGTGTGCAAGTTTCTTTTTTGTATGACTTCTTTTCCTCTGGGTGGATACCCATTAGTGGGATTGCTGGATCAAATGGTAGTTCTACTTTTAGTTCTTTAAGGAATCTCCATATCCTTTGTGGCACTGATCAAGGAAATAGAAATGCTACTCCTAAAGCCTCAGGAAAAGGAATTAAAGAACCTAAACCAACTTCACAAACATGTAGACATACACATTTCTCCTCCTCTTGTAGGGAAATTATCCTGCATCTTTACTTCCCCAAACACTTAAGACTAACCTTCTGCCCTTAAAAGACTAATTCTCTTTTCTCTAAAATAAATGGACCTTGGACGTAGGCTGTGGGGTAACATCAAAAATGTTCCTTTTTGAAATATAATTTTTGACGCCTCAGCCTCACAGTGAATCTTTTTTTAATTTAATTTTTTATTTCAATAGTTTTGAGGGTACAGGTGGTTTCTGGTTACATGGATAAGTTCTTTAGTGGTGATTTCTGAGATTTTGGTGCACCTGTACCCTGTATCCAGAGCAGTGTACACTGTACCCAGTAGGTAGTCTTTTATCCCTCATCTCCCTTCTACACTTTCCTTCCAACCAAGTCTCCAAAATTCCATTATATCATTCTTATGCATTTGCATCCTCATAGCTTAGCTCCCACTTATAAGTGAGAACATTTGATATTTGGTTTTTCATTCCTGAGTTGTTTCACTTAGAATAATGACCACCAGCTCCATCCAAGTTGCTACAAAATACAGTATTTCATTCCTTTTTATGGCTGAGTAGTATTCCATAGCGTATATACACCTCATTTTCTTTAACTACTCATTGGTTGATGGGCACTTACATTGGTTCCATATTTTTGCAATCATGAATTGTGCCTCACAGTAAATCTTACTACATTATAGATGCTCTGCTCCACCCAGGTTTCTCTGGAGAAAGTGCTCTTTGCTGAGGGAAGGTCTCCAAAATCAGCTCTTTGCTGAGGGAGGGCCTCCAAAATCAACACAGCATCCACTATAACACTTAAAATGAAAAAGGTAGAAATAAAATATGTGAAAAAAATAGAATATAAGTCAGGAAGAATGATAGGAGTTGAAATGCTCTAAAGTTCTTGTATTGTTTGGGACAAGAGTAAGAATATTGGTTAACTTTAGCCTTTACTAAAACCATTTTTTAAAAAAACTGATTACGAGAAATGTACTAAAGGATAAGGATATGAAAAGGTGAAAGTACAAAGATGGGAAAAGGCATACAAAGCAAGTACTCAAACAATCAACAATAACAACAAAAGCTTAGGGAGCTCCACTAATAGCAGACAAAATAGGCTTTAAAACAAATAGAATTACTAGAGATTAAACAGTCACTACGGAATGATTAAGTTTTGTTCACCAGAAAGATATAACAATTCTGAACTTGAATACACTTGTAACAAACCCTCAAAAATATTATATAAAAATTGTCAGAACCACAAAGAAGTACAATCAAACATATAATCGATAAATCACAGAGACCAATAAATCAGGAAGGATTCTAAAGATGTGAAACTGAGGCTCACAGAGGTTATAACTTATGACCGAGTTGGGATTCAATTCCAGGGTATCTTACTCCACTCCAGAGCACTTTCCATGTTCCCTCTAGAAGAGATGGTGGAATTGAAAGAATGAAGGGACAAGAAGAGACACGACACTGATATCAGACTTTGGTTGTAGAATGTATCTTTTTGGTGGAGATCATATTTTCCTATTTCTTTCACTCAAATCTACTATAGAGAGTGTTGAAAGGTATGATAATGTCTATGACAGCAAAATGGTATGATTTGTGGGGGTTGAGGGGAGTTGGGGATGGTTAATGAGTACAAAAAATAGAATAAGAGCTACTATTTGATAGCACAACCGGGTGACTATAATCAATAATAATTTAATTGTACATTTTAAAATAACTAAAAGACTAAAATTGGGTTGTCTGTAATACAAAGGATAAATGCTTGAGGGGGTGAATATCCCATTCTCTATAATGTGACTATGATGCATTGCATGCCCGTGTCAAAACATCTCATATACCTCATAACATATACACCTACTATATACCCACAAAAATTAAAAAAAAAATTTAAATGGTATGGTTTTTTCAGATACCAATCAGGTGACTAATATATCAGTTGTTCCTGATTCCTTGCTCTTCTTCATTGTTAGGTGTAGATGGTAGAAAAAAATATATATATTTCTTTGCTGCTCAGGACCAGTAGCAATATTGATCTTCACAGAGAGAACCTCTCCTTAGTTAGTCTAAGTTGTCTGAGAAAAGTGACTTATAAAACAAAATCTTATCTGACAATAAGAGTGATGCCCCCTTCCCCAGCCCCCAGCATCTCTTCTGATTTTCAAGCTACATTTTATCTTATGGATAAGATAGATCTGTTATGAAGTCAGATAAGCTCGAATCAATGTCACCAGAAAATTGCAAAATCGTTTGCCCAGAATATAAGGATTTTACCTCTTTTTTCCTTCAGTAGGAGTCATGGATAATGGCACTTAGAGAAAAATGTTCCAGTGTGGTGGCCATTTTTCTGTTTTAACAGGTCTCATCTTCTAGTAAATAAACACTGAGCCAAGCCTGGCAAATGAAATGCTTACCAGGGGCTCAGCCCTCCCAGCCAAAGTTCCCATGAGGACAGAGAGCTGCAGCCCTGGAAACGTGCTTCCTGGGAGATCCAGTTGAGGTAGCAAGGCAGTCACCCTGAGAAACACAAATCAGCCTCAACCCTGTGGCAGGACAGGTCACCCAGAAGCCCAGCCCTAGTTGAGAGGCCAGCGGTGAGGCCAGGGATTACCTCTAAATCTCTGGGATTCTTACCTACTTTGGGTCATTGATTTCTCTGGAAAAGGAGTCAATACTATGTTCTCCCACTCTTCAGAAAAAAAGCATATACTCAGACACAGCAACTTTTGCTCACCAACCCAGGAGGTCTGACCCCAGTTAAAAACTATGGCCACAGCCTTAGCTTCTTATAGGACTTTTCTTAAATACCTGGTTCACTTTTTAGGGAGGAAGCAAGTGCTTGAGAGCATGGTTTCCGCGGTCAGGTTCTCAGTCTGAACTCCCACCTCACCATTCACAGTGGCCTCACAACTGACTTTAAGCAAGCACCTTAACCTGTCTGTCACTCTTCATCTGTAAACTGGGGTAAGTAATGCCTGTTTCATAAGGATGTTATTACGGCTGAGTGAGTTCACTCATGAAAGAGTTTAGACGAGTGTCTGGTAGTTATGGTAAAGAATCAACAATTCAAAATGTTCATCATTCATCTTATTGCCAGTCCCTTGTGAAAGTTTCTTGGCATCTGTTTGTGACAAGACCAGCTTCTTGGTTTAGGCTAAACTCTCTCTTCATCTCTCAGCCTGAATTCTCTCTTGCCTTCATCTTCTTACCCGACCTTTTTTGTTTGTGCAATAGTTCTTTTTGGCAGTCACAGAGCTAGCATAATACCTCAATATTTCCAAATTGAGGAAACACTCAAGGTCTTCTTCAACTAAACAAGTCTTTTCCTGGATTTGAGGATTGTTGTTTGAAACCTGTGTTTTCACCCTACCCACCCCCAAACTCAAGATCTGTGGGAGTCACAGTTTCTCACCCAGGCTTTCTCACTCACTGCTTCTTCAGCTGCTCCATCCCCCTCTCCCATCCTGGGTCTGGTCACCTCATCAGCTGGTCTCACCAGAGTTCAGTGGCCTGAATTCCGCTTTCCTAGACAAAACTGTACCTGCACTAGAGGACAGACGCCTACAGGCATCTCCAGACCACGACTGTAGGTCCGAGACACAGAAAGCATAATGTGAGTGTCAGTTCATCCCTCAACAACTGGCACATGCCCACCCTGGCTGAGTTGGGAAGGAAATAAATTTTGACTTTTAGAACTGCTCCTGCTTCCACATTGGTCCCTCTCCCTCATCCCAGGGGCCTTCATCTAAACCTATCCTGGGTTTCTCTATAATCACCCCTCCCAGGGAACAAATTAACAGAAACTAAGAAGTTGCCTCTCTTAATGGCTTTGAAATTTAGTGAGAAATTTTGAAAAGAGAGCCACAGATAAGAACCTCCAATGAAAGCTTTTAGATGTCAAGCTCTTTTCAGGTGAGGATGGGGCAGGAGGAGACACCTGTCACAGCTGCCATATTGGATGGCTACCCACCCCCCAGCCTATCCATCAGGCTGTCCTGGTCACAGATCCAACACGGTTCTAGGCACACTGTTGGTTCTAATTAAGTCTTTGTTTAATTAATTGGCCCTTATAAATAATGTAAAAAAAATCAAAATAAATGGCTCCGTTGTATCCAGGGCACATTTGAGCCATACCTTAGACATACAGCCTTTGTATGCTAAGCGGGAAGAGAACTCATTTGTTGTGGGAGTTCTTATCATATTCCTGGTGGTGTGCTCCCTTTACTTCATATCATTTTTCCTGTCATTCTATAAGGTTTGTAGTATTATTATCCTTAGGTTGCAGCAGAGAGTCTCCAGGAGCTTAAATAACTTAGAAAGGTATAATGGAGTAAAAATACAGTGGACTTTGGACTCCTTTTTAGCTTCAAATCTTTGTCCTAATACATTCTAAGTTATGAAACAGATGACAGCAGAACTTTTCCTAAAGCAAAAGTGGGGGCCCATAGGAACCCCCACTGTGTACTCATCCAACTCTCACTTACCTCCCCTTGAAGAAACCTTGAAATACAATTGGAAGCTCCTGGATTCAAAGCCAGACACACCTGCCTGTGACTCCCAGCTTCACTGCCCCAAGTGGTGAGGACTCAGCCAGCCTCTACTTTCTGTTTGTCTGTCTATACAGGACGGGCTCGTTCTGATGACTGCCTGATGTGCGGGGGGCCTGAGGGGTTGCATACACAGCCAGCGCTGAGCAAATGGCAGTCATGTGACCACTTACGTTTGCATAGTGAGCAAGTCATAGACCAAACCCAGGACAGGCAATTTCAGAGCTCATGCCTTGCCTGCCCCATTGTACCAACTCCAGGCTTCTAATTAGAACCTAAAGAAAGCACACAGGACCCAAAGGCAAGCCAGTTTATGATGAAATGTGGAATGCTAACAAGAAAGGAAGAACACCTGCAAAACAGACATTTTACAAAGAGAAGCACTGGCCCCACATTCATGCAGGCTGCCACGCTCCCTAGCATCGAGTACAGCTATTCAAGGGTGAATTGATTGAGTGTGGGAAAGGCTGATGGGAACACAAATGTGGGGCACTGGTAAACACATGTGACTTGTGGAACCTTGTTTCACTTGTCTTAAAATACTGTATTAAAAATCCACCACATATGAAATTTCTTTTGATTTGCTTTGGAGTTTTTTTTTTAATCAGTTTGCAAATGTGATATGAATTTAAATATCTTGTAATAAATGTTAAAACACTTAAAACACAAGAGCTATGGAATCAGTTTGTCAATCACTTTTCTGTCAAAGCCTCATCATCAACTCTCTTTCTCAAGGTAATTCTAAAAATAAGGAAGTTACACCCTTCCACTGCAGCAGTAACTCTCCTTATTCAGCCACTAAGAGCAGACAGCATAGCAGACCTGGGGCATCCTTTATCCATGTCCCACCTCACCGGAGCAAGCACCCACCACCGTTTCTGCGCTGACGCCGCCACTGCAGAGAGCTCAGTGGGACTCAGAATACTCTGTCATTTGCTACAGCTGGGTCTGGCTAAGCTGACATGGCCTGGGGAAGCCAGTGCTGATTTAGGGGTGATTCAAGGCTCCCCAATTTGAGCCCAGTGACAGGAAAGGTGATAAAGAGGCACACGTTCAGGTTATTACTCTGAACTGCAAACTTGAAGAGAATAGCAACGAGCTTTCCTATGAAGATAATTCAAGATTTAACTAGCTCTGAATCCATGCTATTTCTTGAAGTACAATTTCATGCAGCTTCATTATAGAAAATAACACTGTCATAATTTTTATTTTTCTTTACTAAGAAGAACTGTCAAATGGTGGCTCATTCTTTTACGTGAATGGGGCCATTAATGAGGTTTCACAGGTGTAACACAAGCCTCAGATTAATGTATTAGAAGGTAAATGGTTTAGACCTGAGTTGTTCTACTGCTATCTTTCAAACTATGCACAAAGTGTATTCAAATACCTTTAGATTGAGATCCCATCTCCTTCCTTGTAAAGTGTCTTTTGCTTCACTGTGGTAGACAGAATACTGCCCCACCAAAGACCTACATCCTAATCCTCAGAAGCTGGGATGTTCATTACGTGAAAAAGGGACTTTGCATGTGCAATTAAGTTAAAGGATCTTAGGATGGGGAAATTAGCCTGGATTATACAGGTGGGTCCAATGTAATCCCAAGGGTCCTTATAAGTGAGAGAAGGAGGCAGGAACATCAGAGTTGGAAGTTTGATGACAGAAGCGGATGTCAGCATGATGCAATTTCTGGCTTTGAAGAAGCCAAGCCAAGGAATGCAGTAGATCTCTAGAAGATGGAAAAGGCAAGGAAACAGATTTTCCCCTAGAGCATCCAGAAGGGACACAGCCCTGCCAACACCTTGATTTTAGCCCAAAGGGACCCGTTTCAGACCTCCGACTTCCAGAACTGTAAGATAATAAATGTGTGTTATTTTAAGCCATGAAATTTGTGCTAATTTATTACAGTAGCATCAGGAAACTAATCTATTGATGTTCCCCTTTCTTCCTACTCCACATTCCACCTCCCTGTACACACACAGTGTAACCTTCCCTGGTTGAAGCATTAATTCTTCCAGAAAGTTGTCTTTTCTGACTCCTGCTCCGCCCCACCCCCAAAAGAGGTGAGATGCCTCTCTCCGTTCTGACCTCCATCATAGCATTTATCACAGTGTATCATCATTGCCTATGGTTTGTCTATTTCCTCCACCAGACAGTGAACTTCTGTAGGGCAAGAACTACATCTCTGTAGTTTGTATCCCCCGCTCTCAGCACACTGTCTAGTGTAGCATAGACCCTCAAAAATATTTTTTACGGTCAGGCAGGGTGGCTCACGCCTGTAATTCTAACACTTTGGGAGGCCGAGGCGGGTAGATCACCTGAGGTCAGGAGTTTGAGACCAGCCTGGCCAACATGGCGAAACCTCGTCTCTACTGAAAATACAAAAAAATTAGCCGGGCATGATGGTGGGCACCTATAATCCCAGCTACTCAGGAGGCTGAGGCAGGAGAATCGCTTGAACCCGGGGGGCAGAGGTTGCAGTGGGCCGAGATCGTGCCACTTCACTCCAGCCTGGGCAAAAGAGCGAAACTCTGTTTCAAAAAAAAAAAAAAGAAAAAAAAATGTTTTACATCAATAATTGCCGTTTGAAAAAGTTATGAGCACTTCATCTTCTACTGAAAATAATACCCATCTTCACATTTGATATTGTGAACAAGTATTGAATGAATAAACAAATGAAAATGTGCTGTCAAATCAAAATGCATTCAAGCATGAAGCACATCAGGAACAGCAATGGCCAGCGCACTGGCCTTTTTAGGCTCTTTGTTTCCCCAAGACCAGAGCACAGCTTCCTTCTCAGTAGTCCTCGCTAAGGCATCTCAACAGCTCTTCCTGGACTTAATACAGATTTGCCTAATGTTAACTTGCCCAAATAATTTTGTTTTAGGTTATTTTATACACAGCAATAATGCCTAAAAAGGTTATGTATCATTTAAGGAACTTTCAATTTTGACATTAATAAAAGAAAAAAGTTACCAAAGCAATGCAGCTATTTTTCTGAAGGAAGGAGGGAAAATGCCTCAATAAGGGATATAAAATTCTGAAGGGAACGGAAGCAAGATTTTACAAGACTGTTTGAGATAATGTCAAGTACAAGAACAAAAGAACATAAACTAAGGCTCAGAAAGGGTCAGACCCTCAAGGAATTTAGGCAGAATTTCTTTAGAGATAGAGAAGTAACTTTATAGACTAAAAATAAGAGTTAGAGGAGAGGCTGTTATAAATATATTTGAAGCTGTTAGACCAAAATTGTTCCCTGAGCTGCATTCAAATCATAGATCATGGTTTCTAATTCTTCAGAACAGAACAACTTGAGTTGAGTATTGGGCTCTCTTTTGGTGATGTCCTTTTTAATCTTCTTTTTAACTTCTTTCAAATTAGCTGTTTAATTTAGCCACTTGGTGGGGCCTTAGGGTTCTCAGCAGTGCCATACAGAGTGTTGGCCTCACATATGAGACAACAGAAACTTGGAGATTAAATTGCCCGGATGGTGGCTCACACCTGTAATCCTACCACTTTGGGAGGCCAAGGCAGTTGGATCATTTGAGGTCAGGAGTTCGAGACCAGCCCGGCCAACATGGTGAAACCCCATCTCTACTAAAAAATACAAAAATCAGCTGGGTGTGGTAGTACCTGCCTGTAATCCCAGCTACTCGGGAAAGTGAGGCAGGAGAATTGCTTGAACCCGGGAGGCAGAAGTTGCAGTGAGCTGAGATAGCACCACTGGACTCCAGCCTGGGCAATGGAGTGAGGCTCCATCTCAAATAAATAAATAAATAAATGGTATGCCTTAGCATAGGTGATGAGTCCCTGACTGGGAAGACTGGAATTCAGAGCTGTTATACCACAAAGGTACTGCTTATTGAATTGGACCTGGGCTGTAATTCTTCCTTCCCATCTGAGAAACAAGGCTGCTGTGATAAACTTCTCATCAACTCCAGAGACCATTGTTGTTATCATTTGCCTACTACATGCATAAATCTTTTATTACAAAAGATAATTATTATCTGTGCCACTTACTTGATAGTCTTGTTAAATGAGTAGCTTGCTCAATAAGTATGATGTATTCAATGGGGAAAGAAATCACTCCTGAAAGGAAGAGGGGCTTGAGCTGGCAGTTGTGGGATGGGTGGAAGTTGAATATATGCAGAGAAGGAAAGAGAGTGGGAGAGGGTCAGAAGAGGATAGGGGAGTGGGGGACAGCACGTGTCTTCAGCAGAGGGTCTGTGTGAGGTAGATGTTAGCCACCTCCTTGGGATAGGGCATGTTCGAATTGGAAGCAGGCCTAGGGTATAGTCAACATTAGCCCAGACTAGGTCAAAATGACAAGTCCTTTGAAGGGGCAGCTAGGGTCAAACAATCTCAACTTAGGGCAATGACTGACACAGAATGTTGTGGGCATCAGAGCAGTGTAGGTTGAGGTGGCTGAAATCAGGACAAGTATAGAAGTAGCTTATTTTTTGTTTTTCTACTCTGCAAAATGAAGAGTCTGGCACTTGTCTTTTAAAATGCACATTAACAATAAAATTGAAATAACATATTCTATCAGATTGGCAGAAATTATTTTTAGAATATTATCTTGGTCCATTAGGGCTGCAATTACAAAATACCATAAACTGGACAATAGAAATTTATTTCTCACAGTGCTGAAAGCTAGAAAGTCCAAGATCAAGACACTGAATCGGTGTCTGGGGAGGGCCCGTTTCTTGGTTCATAGATGGCGCCATCTTCCTGCACCCACACTTGGTGGAAAGAGAAAGTTCGCCCTCTGGGTCTCTTTACAAGGGCACTAATCCCAATCATGAGATCATGATTTCATCTCCTCCTGGAGGCTTGGGTGTTAGGATTTCAACATATGAATTTTGACGGGGACACAAATGCTCAGACTATAGCAAATATTTAATGCAAGGAAGGGTACTGAAAGACAGGCATTCTTATATTCACTGGTGGGGGTGCATGCCGGAACAAACTTTCTGCAAACAGTCAAAATTAATTCATTTACTTAATTATTTGTTGAGCATTTACTATTTAGGAAGCACAGGTCTTTGGAAACATCTTGCCTTTCAGTCACCCTCCTTCTCCCCAGTGTTCTCCTGTTGCCCTCTGGCTTCCCAGAGCATCCCATCACTGATGCTACAATCTGAATATTGCAGAGCCCTCCTGATTGAGATTAGTGCCCTTATGAAAGAGACCACGAAGAGGTAGCTAGCCCCTCCCACCAGTAAGGAAAGAGCCTCACAAGACACTATATCTGCTGGTGCCTTGATCTTGGACTTCACAGCCTGCAGAACTATGAGAAACAAATGTTTGTTGTTTATAGGCCATCCAGTTTATGACAGTTTGTTACAGCAGCCTAACCAGACTAAAACACCTAACCAGACCCATCTTCTTTAAACAATGATCCAAGATTCAGACCTATCCCTCCACCTTGTTTCTCTTTTAAAACATATCTGCTTGGTATCCCATCCCACTAGGGCCCTGTACCAGCTAGCTCACCCCAGTAAAGTACAGTGAGTGACATCAAACATAAATTTAATTTGAAAAAATTCGACTTAAATTGTACCCTCCAGAATAAAAATAATTTTTTTTTGTATAACCTGAACCCTGAATGCGAGTCAAATGCTTCATCTGGTGCTCACCCAAAAACAGCAATCTATTCCAACACTGAGGAAAAGCTGTGTTAGACATTACATACACACAAAACCATGTGTAGTCGAATTTCCTGGCAATTTGATGGTAATTTTGACTACATTGAATAGTCTCCCAACTCACTAATAGAATCTGACCCTGTCTCTAAGATGCTTCTCTAACTCAGGCTGAAGAGCTAATGGTTAATAATAATGTGTTTCTTAAAGAGATATTTGTGTTGTAAAGGAGCACATTTGAAGGAGTGATGCTTTTTCCAGGAGGAATAAGCCTGTTGGAGATGCAATATTTATTTGGGTGCAGGGGGAAGGGAGGGAGCTGCCTCCTGCTTGTACAGCAGGCCTTGAATTCTGTCTTTTTCAGATTGGTTAGAAGAGCCAGGCTGGTCCAAAAAAGTGGTTCACAGTGTCTTGGATGCCCTTTCATGTACTGCACATGCTTCTGGAATAAATACTGACATCCATGTATGGCTGGGGGAGTAAAATCAACATTCACTAAGCAGGTAACAGGAACATAGTTGTATAAGTTACTCCATCATATACCTCACTGAATCCTCACAATTACTACGTGAGGTAGCTATTGTAGCTATTTTTATAGATGAGGAAACTGATGCTCACAGTACTGAGTTGTACATTAGTAAAGCAAAGATTTAAACTCCAGTCTGACTGACCACTGAGGCCAACTACAATGTAACCTTGCTCCTACTAACTTGCCTAAGGACAGCTGATAACCACTTTGAGCCTTTTGATTTAGACTGGAATGTTCCCAAGTTCCTTTGTCATGCTTTTAGTACAGATTAACTAATAACTCCTTACATCTTTGTATCATTTAGCAATTTGTAAAGCACTTTTAGCTATATTACCCCTTTCTGTCAAAACTTCATAAAGCTACAGGGCAAATATTATCACCCTCAGTTTTATAAATAAAGCAGTTGATATAACCCCAGGAAGCCTAGCAAAAAAGAAAAAGAAAAAAGAAAGAAATTGAGGACCAGAGAGTTGAGAACTGACTAAGGTCACATGGTTAGGAAAAGGTGGGCAATTTTGTGGCTAGGAATGATGGGACATTAACTCTGGCACACTCTGCAATGCCACATGGACCAAGCTTAGAATTTCATTACATCAACCGGCCACACCTGTAGAAGAGCCATCAGAAATGGATCTACCTGGCCTGGCGCAGTGGCTCAGCATTTCGAAAGGCCGAGGCGGGTGGATCACTTGAGGTCAGGAGTTCAAGACCAACCTGACCAACACGGTGAAACCCCGTCTCTACTAAAAACATATATATATATATATATTCAAAATTAGCCGGGTGTGGTGTCAAGAGCCTGTAATCTCAGCTACCTGGGAGGCTGACACAGGAGAATCACTTGAACCTGGGAGGCACAGGTTGCAGTGAGCTGAGATCGTGCTATTGCACTCCAGTCTGAGCAACAAGAGTGAAACTCCATCTCAAAAAAGAAAAGAAAAGAAATGGGTCTACCTGTGCACCAAATGCAGAGGTAGCAAACAGGAGGCCAAGATCGGCTTTGAGGAGTCTGTGTCTTTTTCCTTAGGAAACTATTTCTGGCTCATGCTGAACAGATTAGAACATTCCAAACTCATACCAGGACCTGAGTCAGAATCCAAAATATTTCTTTTCAATTTCCATAATGTTTTTCTCCTTTCTAAAATTGTTCACTTAATTAAAGATCCGCCTGTTCCTATCCCTTTCTCAGTTACCTTCCAAAGTACAAAAATTACATCAGACAAAAATTTATGTGCTTGTTCTCCAAACTGCAACGTGCTTGCATCACATCCCTTCCCAATTTTAGATTTCTCCAGTATATCTGTATCTGTAAAAGCTTTATTCATGGTTAAGGAGAAATTAGATGGTATTTGGCTAGAGATGCAAGAATATACAAATTCCATCCTCTCCACAGAGGCCCCTAGACAGCAAACACCCAAGGAGTAATAGTAGGAATGAAACAAAATATCACCTTCTTGTTAGCCAGATGGGAATATCTTAGATGAATCCTATTTCCCCTACACTACTGTGGACCATAGGGAAATCCCACTGGCCATTATCCTATATTTATGTTCCAGGAGTAATAGTGACAACCTTGGATTCCATCCCTGGAAATTTTCCCTCTTGTCAATCTGCCAACACATACCAAATCATATCTTCAGAGGCCACGAAAACTGAAATTCAACATAAAATGGGAATGAGATGCGGTTACCACAGAGCTACCATTATGCTCTGTCCTTCTAGGCCACTCCGTCCTGTCAGCAGCTTCAGACAACTGACAACTACAAAGCTGTCAACAAAGTCAGCAAAGAGCAGGGCAAACTCTTACCACGCGATGAGAATGAGCAGGCATAAAAGTGGATTTCCCTGAATGAAATGGGAGGTCTGAGGGGTTAAATGTGAAGTCAGGTGTGCAAGTGAGACCCACAAACCCCCCAGCACCTCAGGCCTGGATGTGCCAGTCCAGGATTTAAACAGATGGAAAGTGTCTCTTCTGTCCTTGAGAGGACAGATAAACATAATAAAAAGGAATGTGATGCCTGTTTCTTAAATTTCTCTTTTCAGTCGCTTCTCAGCCATCTAGTTTCTAAATGTTATAGGAACTTAATGCTACAATAATTCAATATGCAGGAAGATGTAGCCAGCCCTGAATACCCAAGATCTAAAAATTGAACCACGTACCACTGAGGTTTTAGTTATTGGTTTGAATGTTCTTTTGTGACAACTCTTCTACAGAATTTGAAAATTTTCCCACCCCTACCTTGATAATTCCATGTATTTAAAACTGAAATTCATCCAAATTTCCATTTCCAGAGAAACACATTACACCAAGATTGATTATTATGTTAAAACCTGGATGCACATAAACTAGAGCCTGAGATATTTAGATTATCCTTTTAAAAAATAGTGCAACAATATTTTCCCTGTTTCTCCTATGTCTCATGGAATCACAATGCTAGAAGGCACACTCAGGAAGTTAGGCATATTTCTTAGGTTAGTTTTCATAGGATTCATTTTAAGTGACTCTTAATAGAATCTTAGACTTCCAGAAGGCACCTTCAGGTCACAAACTGGTTGCCCAAGGTATGTTTTGTTTGGCCAGCACAAGGCTTTACATTTTTTTAATGTGTTGCCAACATTCAAATATCAGGAAATTTCTCAGAAGAAAAGTAGAATCCCTGGCTTCTCTGTTAAAACCAGAAGCTCTGGCCATGCTGTGCACTATTTCCACATGGCCAGCATCAGCCAGAGTGGGAGGAGAGCTGTTCCCTGCAGACAGGCAGAGGACCCTGGGCCCACTGTCCCCATCACCTGGCCTCATGCCCCCAAGTTCTTGGAGTGATGGCTCAAAGCAATGGCTCTGAACTGACAGTTTTATCAGAGTTGCCTAGAGGGAACTTTCCACCCCATTTATGTCCCAAATGCCCATGGAGAACCACTGCCTTACATGTCATCCAGCCCACCAGGTGAAATACGAAAGAAAAAACAAAAACAGCATTACCTTTTCCTGAAGACGTTAATCTTCCACTCCTATCACTAAGGCAATAACAGATTCTACTACAGAAGTGTGTCTGACACTCAAAATCTTTCATCAGTTTGCCTAATTTATTCATCAACCAATCAATACAGAGAAGAAGAAAAAAAATCTTTCAAGAAACTCTGATAAAACTGATACCCTGATAAAACTGACAAATTATCTTAGTCAAAATGGTCAAAGCAATAGCTTTCATCTGTGATAAAGCTTGACTTTGGTGTTTTAATCCCTACTTTCCTTGGTGGAAAAACCTTTAAGAAAAAAACAGTTCTACCCAAAGGAATTAGTTCTATAAGTCCATCTTTATGAGAGCTAAGATCTTAATGTCTCAAAACAGCTACCTTTGCAACAAATTCAAAAACAGTTCAAGTCCCCAAGCCTAAACTAGTGTTGCTCCAAGTGTGAACTACAGACCAACATCAGCATCACCTGGGAGCTTGTTAGAGGTGCAAAGTCTCAGGTGCCATCCCTTGCCTAAATCAAAAGCTCGGGGGCCAGAGGACAGCAATTTGTGTTTCTGGAAGCCCTCCAGATGATTCTGCTATGTGCTAACATTTGAGAATCATGGGTAGGGTTTCAGAACCTTCTGGGGAGACAAAAAAAAAAAAAAACAAACAGATTTCTGGGTCCTACTCTCAAGTGCATTTCTAACAAATTACAAGGTAGTACTGTTCCTGCTGGCCAAGGAACCACATTTTGAGTGACACTGCTCCCTCTACGCTAGTGGTTCTCAGCCCTGACTGCCCACTAGAATCACCTAAAAAGAAGAAAGAGGGAGAAAGAGAGACTATTGACCAGGCCCCACCCCAAACCAGCTGATTCAGGAATCTTGAAGGATAGGACCAAAACCCTGGTGTTTTTTAAATGTGCCACCCTAACATATAGTCAAATAGAGAACCACTGCTCTCAGCATAACTAACTTCTACCATTGACATTAGCTCTCCTAACTCACTGATATAATCATTTGACTTCTCTGGAAATGTTCTGAGACTATTTATGTCTTAAGAGACAGCTGTGGCCAATAATCTCAGCTGTTTTAGTAACCTTTTCCAAGAGCAGCCGCTCATCAGTTTGGTAAGACTTGTCCCTCACAGTCATTTTCCATCCCATTCTTGGATTCATACGTGAAGATAGTGTTATTTGGGGATAACTGCTAAGGAACGATGTCAGCAAATTGTTTCTGCCAATAGGTAAAACCCATAGCCATGAAAGTCAGACATCCTCCAAATAACACATTCCATGGCAAAAACTAAATGTTTTGGCTAAGGAAGAGACACAGATGTTCTAATATTCTCAGTACCAGTGCAATTTCCTTCCAAGCAACTTCAACAACTCCAAAAGAGATTTGTTTAACCCATTAACTTAAGTCAGCAAAGGTATCAATATGGCGGCAGGGGAAGGGGACAGGACACACAACCTTACACCCCCTTAAAACACCATTTAAGGGAGGAGCAGCTTGAGGAGATGGCCTCTTACTATACAAAACCACTACAAGGACTTTAAAGAAGTTTTGATGAGAAGAAATGTGGATAGATGCCAATGTTTGCCCAAAACATTTCTTAAAAGATTTCTAAAGAAATATTCCATAGCTATCAATGGATCCAAATACCTTAAAACTTGAGTTTCTCCCTGAAGCAGCTTATACTAGTGACAGTTCATCAAATAAGGGGAAGAAGTAAGATGAAAACAAAATGCATATTCATGTGTAATAACAGAGTAAAAAGACACTATAGGAGAAAATATTGATAAACAAATATTTTCCTAGAGAAAGTGATGTGTATATTTTAGCTTCATAAAAATACACTTGAAAGAGGAAAACAAACTTTTTTTTCCATTTTGGCTTTATTAGAACAACAAGAGACTTTGTGTCTCCCATCAAAGCACACCCAGGCCCTTTTGTCATGTCTGAGAAACAATTGATTCCTCTATTAAATTGTGCTATATGGAAAAATCTTGACAAGAGCAATATCATTTATTAGACTAACAAATATGTTAGTTGAACCAGCTTTGGAGACTTCTAAAATCCATTATACAACTGCAGCTCTTTTTCAGAGACCAGGATGTATTACAGAGACCAATTCTCAGGACACAGTATGACTAATTTACTTGCACATTTCAAGAGACCATTATTTCTTAGGAAGAGTAGAAAAATTATAACCTTCAACTTTGGGGGAAATCACCAACAGCTGATGTGTCTATACTGAATATCGCAACAAGCTGGATCTAAATTCCCTAATATTTCCATTTTCAGCATTTTCTGACACTAAAATTTTTATAAGGGGAAACAAAGCGAGAGGAATGACTACAAAGAACAAAACTGACCAGACAATTTTAGCTAACTTTTTGCATAAGGTTATCAAAGCCCCACCCTGGTCCTGCCCCTTTGTTCACACCTCATTTTTCCATGCACCCTAATCTACTCCTCACCCTGTTTTTGTTCCTTTTTTTCTTTGGACAGTGAGACCTTGCGTCCCCCCCTACCCCATCTTTTTAAAATAGACATAGGATCTCCCTCTCTCTCTCCGGCTGGTGTGCAGTAGTGAAATTATAGCTCACTGAGCTTCAACCTCCCAGGCCCAAGCAATCCTTCTGCCTCAGCCTCCCTAGTAGCCGGGATAACAGGTGCTTGCCACCAAGCCCAGCTAATTTTTTATTTCATTTTTTGTAGAGACGGGATCTTGCTTTTTGCCCAGGCTGGTCTCAAACTCCTGGGCTCAAGCGATTGTCCCTCCTCAGCCTCCCAAAGTGCTGGGGTTACAGATGTAAGCCACCATGCCCAGCCAGCCATTTTAAGTCCTCAAATAAGACATCCTACTAACAGCCAAATGCATTATCCTCTGTGGCCAGCAAGATATGCCAAACTCAGAGAATCAGAGCTCTGCAAGCTGCTGCAGAGTTCACTTTGTCCAACCACTCCCCTTTGCAGGAGAGGGAACTGAGGCCCACAGAGGGAAAGAGACCCACCATAAGGCACAGTAAATCTGTGGCAGAGCCAGGCTGCCAATGTCGTTTGCTTCCCTCCTCTGCACAAAAGCTCTCTTCATCTGTCGCAAATATGGTGAGAAATTCAGGCTCCATCTTAACTTGCAGCACTCTGAGGCCCTTGTGGCAATCTGAAATATCACCTGGAGGCCTTCCCCCTACTATTACAAAGTTAAACTGGCCCAGTAGGTTGGCTCACACCTGTAATCCTAACACTTTGGGAGGCCCAGGCAGGAGGATCGCTTCAGCCCAGAAGTTCAATACCAGCCTGGGCAACATAGTGAGACCTCATCTCCACAAAAAATACAAACAAATTAGCCAGGCATGGTGGCACACACCTGTAGTCCTAGCTACTCAGGAGGCTGGGACAGGAGGATCACTTGAGCCAGGAGTTTGAGACTGCAGTGAGCTGTGATCACATCACTGTACTCCAGCCTAAGTGACAGAGCCAGAACCTGAGACCCTATCACTAAAACACAAAAAAATTCAAAAAGTTAAACTAATCACTCCTTAATGATCAATGAATGATGAAGGGTCAGCGCCTACATCTTGTATAGACAATCAAACTCACATCCTTCCAAATGTGCACCCAACTCCACCAAGCTGTATGCTGAGATAAGCAGGGTCATTGAAAGGGCCAGCTTCAGGGGAGAAGGGAGAGCCTCTGAGCTGCCAGGGACTCCCAAGTACAAGGCAGCTGGCTCAGCCATTCACTAGACCTTTCAGCCTCTGGAAGGAAGGTGCTCAGGATGACAGGAGCCTTTGGTCATAAACCTCCAGCAAGCCCAGAAGGAGGAGGAAAACTCCATTGCCTTTGTCTACATCCAGGTAAGAGGCTCAGCACCAAGCAGACCAGATAGTTGTGGCAACATCATCCTTGGTCAGCCTCTGCTTTGGAGGATATAGGGCAGCAACTGCAGGGAAGTGAGAACAGAGGGCACAGGACGTAGGGAGGGAACATAGGCGAGAAAAAGGGAGGAGGAATGAGGGAGAAGCCTGCATTCTGAAAAAGAATTATAGGACAGCCTTCTAATGCTCATCCAGATCCTGTTCTCTTTGCCTTCTGGGACCTTCTGGTCCCATGAAGCGATTATCCTTCCCAGTCCTTGGGTGGTTCCATGTGACTGGTCCAGGCTAGAGTGGGGGGTGGGGGTGACACAGGGTGGAGGATTTAATACCAGCATGAGTCCCTCCAGGGATCCATCCCCAGCCTGGGGAGAGTGGAAGCACTTGTTGCTACAGGGAGTCGTAAGATTGGAGAAGCCAGGGACGAGGAGCTAATAGGTGGAAGACATTTATTTGGCTTGGACTGACACCCAGATCTCCAGGCAATTTTGCTTAAATGAGAAATAAACTTTGCCATGTTGAGCCACTGAAATTTAGAGGTTTTTTATTACTGCAGTATAACCTAGCCTTTTCTGGTTGACAGAAGAATAGATAAAGAGTAGAGAATAGAGAGTTGATAGAGAACAAGAAAGAAGAGAAGAATGGGAGACAGGAGAGAGTGGGGGAAAAAGGAAAGAGGGAATATGAGAGCTGAATGCGATCACCCTCATGTAAATTGCCTTATCCTTGTACAACTAGCCCTGGGAGCACAGGAAAGACATAAGGAAATGTGCTCAGCAATAACTCCCACGAGAGAAGTCAGTGCTCACGGGTAACAAGTTAGCCACTGTGATGCATTTGTACTCATCTCCCTGCTGAGTCATGCTTCATGTAATGCACATATGTTTGTTTATTAAATATTTATTGAGCACCTACTAAATGCCAGGCATTGTAGTGAGCACTAGGGATACAGAAAAGACTAATGTAAGCATGGTTCCTGGCCTCATGGAGCTTATAAACTATTATTTCTTTTCCTTTAAATTCTGCAAGTAACTCTTTCCAATATTGCACCTGGCACAAAGACAAGAATGATTGCAAACTTCAGCCACCAGCCAGTGATAAGTCTGAGGAAAAACCTCCAGGGACTCCACTAGCTGATTCTGCCAGGAACTGGCTGTGGGGACTTAGTGAGAAACCCATGAGTTCTGGGGGTCAGTTTTCTCATCTCTGATATAATGAAGTTAGGCCTAATGACCTCTATGCTACTTCCAACTCTAATCATAATAATTATAATAACAGCACCAATCATAGAAGCCAACATTTATTAACCATTTACTACATGCTAGGCACAGAGCTTGGACTATTGCATTTAATCCTCACATCAACTCTATAAAGTAAGTGTTATCATTCTCATTTTGCAGATGAGTGAACTGAGGCTCAAAGATGTGAACAGGCTTGCCCAAGGCCACAGAGCTAGTAAGTGCTATCACTTACTAGAGCCAAGATCTGGAGGGAATTCTGACCAAGTCCTGAGCCCATGCTCTTACCCACTCTGCCAATAGCTGTCACCATAAAATATGTCTATTACTGTGGTAAAAAAAAAAAAAAATTAAACATAGGAGACAAAGCAGATGTGATTTTTAACAAGCTCTTTGGGATGCTAGTACTCCACCCACTACAACCCCAGAAAAGAGTCCTAAAAGAGATCCTGGAGGCCCTTTAAGGTGCCTACTAGAAACAAAGTTTAATCATCATTTTCCATCTCTTCTGAGAAATGGAAGACTTTTGTCTGGACTATATATATCATTCCTGCTCTGTGTTAATCTAGTTGCCTCATTGGGTCCACAGAAAGGATAGTGCGAGTCTTCCCTTTGGACCTCACCCCATCTTTTTGAGCTCCTGTGACTGTAGGGACAACTTCCTGTCCCTCCTTTGTCCACATCAGGCCAGCTAGGTTACTGGCTGTCCCTGCACCATGTCAATTTGCAGCCTCCGGTTCCTGCAGTCTTGAGAGCCAGACCTATTTCACCTGAAACACCTCCACCCATCACTCTTTGTTTCAGCCAGTGTTGGTTACTTGTGTTCCTGGCTGTCCTTAGAACTAAATAAGAAAGTAAACCAACAAACAGTTACAGACATTTTTCTCTAGGCTTGTAATGGAATGTCAGACTAACCAGGTATTCCATGAATCTTGGTAGCCTAACTTTTTAATTAAAAAGTTGTTTCAAAAGAGTTCTTGAATAGAAACTCTAAGTAACTGCCTGCCAACTCCAACTACCATGCCTAAGGAATCGGCAATGAGGAGAATTGAATGCAGAAGAAACAAGATTTTGACTATCGTCTTAGAGGAAAAGAGACACCTTAAAACATACAGCCTAGAGGGTGGGCTGCATCATGATACAGTGCAGTTGAACAACTTCATTCTAATCGAGAGATCCCACTCTGCCAGAAGATACCATATTGAGCCTCATGCCCTTTCTGTTTGTCTTCACAGCATTAAAAAATGTTTTCATATATTGTCAATATTTTTTAAACAGAAGATCTCACATAGAATCCAGATTTCAGACCTGTCTTGAAGTCGAAGATATGGTGAAACTGAGCATATATCCCCTGCGCCCCCACAGCTATGAAGGGCAGACGGGGAGTAGCAGCTGCCCCTCTCTGGATCAGGCCTGAGTTCTCTGGTTCTCTATAATCTCTACCACTCCCTAATGTCTCATACACTGGCCTGCTTGTCTATTTGTTACCTCCCTGGATCCTGCAGCCCCTTTAGTCAGCCTGTTTAATCCATTCTGCTTGGCAACTGAGGAGAAGAAGGAAATTATAGACAGGTTGTATGTGGGTGTCCATGTGTTAAAATCCTTCTGAAAACTCCTGATCTGGCTGCTCTCCTTTCCCTATGACCAACTTTCCACCCAGCCTTGCCACATCGGACCTAGTAGACTCATCACCAAGATGTGATGAGCCTAGCATCCTACTCCCAAATGAAATTCCTGGTTATCCACACAGGGCCCTCACTTTTGAGTCCCATATGCTGAAGACCAGGATTACAGTGGATGCCAGGTCAGTTTCATGTACTGTGCCCCTCTCCATTCCTTCCTTATTCAGCACATATATCTGAGTGGTTACTGTGTGCCTGGCACTGCTCTAGGCATTGCACTTGTCCTCATGGATTTTACACTCTATGGGGGAAAGTCAGAAAACAAATAATATGTAATACATAAGATGCTGGTAAGTGCTATGAAGAAAAATGAAATACAGAAGAGGGGTTAAAGGGTGACAGGGGCGCTATTTTAAATACAATGATCAGGGAAATTCTAATACAGCAACATTTGAGCAAAGATCTAAAAGAGATGACGATGTGCATGGATATTTGTGGGAAAAGTGTTCCAGACAGACGGAAGAGCCAGTCTAGAGCCCTGGGGCGAAATGTGTTGGTGTAATGAAGGAACAGCAGAGGCCAGTGTGGCTGAATCAGGGGAGAGTGATGGGAAGTGAGGACAAAAAGATCCTTGGTTGGATAATGATGTTGGTTAGATCATGCAGGACCTTCACGGCCACATAAAGACTTCTGACGTTTAATCCAAGTGAAACGGGGGCCAATGGAGAGTTTTAAGCATAGGAGTAATGTAGTCTGACTTGGGTTTTAAAAGAATCCTTCTGATATGCCACATGGCTTGAACATGAATGTTCATAAGATGGTTCTCAATAGTCAAAGACTTGAAAACATATCTATGAGTTCCGGGGGTCAGTTTTCCCATCTCTGATATAATGAAGTTATGCCTAATGACCTCTATGCAACTTCCAACTCTAATCATAATCATTTTAATAACAGCACCAATCACCTGGGGGGATCTTTTTGGAATGGTGGAAATTTTCTAAACCCGGATTTTGGTAATGTTGTACCACTCTATAAATAACCTAAAAAATCATTGAACTATACGCGTCACACATATGATTTTTATGGAATGTAAAATTGTACCTCAATGAAGTTTTAAAAAAATCCTTCTGGCTGCTTTGTGAAAAATAAACTGTAAGGGAACAGGAGTGAAACAAGAGATACCCCTTTAAAGGCTGATGTAATTATCCAGGTGAAAGACAATGGGAACTTAGACGGTCATGTGCAGTGGAGGGAGTGAGATGTGGTCAGACCCTGGACATATCTGCAGGCACAACCCATAGAACTGGCCAGTGAGAGAAAGAAGGGTGCCACTGAGAGGTTTACTGAGTGAATGAAGTTGCCATTTTTCTTCTGAAGTGGGAGAGTCTGTAGGAAGAGTGGCTGTGGGAGAGAGTGGGAGAAATGAGTTCTGTTTTAGACATGACAAAGTGAGATGCCCGCTATGCACAGAAGCTGAAAAATTGAGTAGGATGGAATATGTAAGTTCATGCGAGAGGCTGCTTGAGTGAAACTGCAATAATCAGTAGAAAGAACACCACTGTTTTTGTTTTTTTGTTTTTGTTTTCATAGTAGCCATTCTTACTGATGAGAACTCACAAACACAAAGAAGGGAATGACAGACACTGGGTCTACTTGGGGTGGAGGGTGGCAGGAGGGAAAAATAACTATTGGGTACTGGGATTAATACTTGGGTGATGAAATAATCTGTACAACAAACCCTCGTGACACGAGTTCACCTATGTAACAAACCTTCACATGTACCCCTGAAACCTAAAATAAAAGTCAAAAAAAAAAAAAAAGAAGAAGAAAAAGGAAGAACACCACTGAACCAATGTTTAGCAAAATGCCTCTGCATTTTCATTATGCAAGCTGCTGGTAAGATGCAGTGGGCAGACACACACACACACACACACGTCACATATATTTATGCTTACAGTCACATACATCAAAGTATATGTCTACTGTTAAAAGTTCAGCAGGTATTTCTGTTGTAAAAACCTTATATTAGGCTGGGCGCAGTGGCTCACGCCTGTAATCTCAACAGTTTGGGAGGCCGAGACGGGCAGATCACTTGAGGTCAGGAGTTCGAGAATAGACTGGTCAACATGGTGAAACCCCGTCTCTGCTAAAAATATAAAAATTATCCGGGTGTGGTGGCACCCACCTGTAATACCAGCTACTCAGGAGGCTGAGGAAGGAGAATAGTTTGAACCCGGGAGGCAGAGGTCACAGTAAGCCAAGATCGTGCCACTGCACTCCAGCCTGGGCAACAGAGCGAGGCTCCACCTCAAAAAAATAAACAAACAAACCTACATTAGGAGGTAAGGTAGAAGTGTAAATAGAGCCAAAAGGAAAGAATATAATGCACTTCATGTTCATTTCGCCATTTTCATAAAGAAATAATATCCAATAACAACGTAATGATGGGATGAAGAGGACTAACATTGTATACACATTAATCATTCCTAAGTTACATATGACCGAAGTAAAAGTCTAATTAGTATCCTAAGAAAATAAAATTTAAAAGTAAGGCAGGCAACAGTATATTTGGCTGCTGTATTTTTCTCCAGCCATCATAAAACCATAGACCCTTAGACATGTAAAGGATCATGTACTGTAAGACAGACACAGATGAGACACAGCACCCCCAAAAGGTAGAACAACTTGCAGGTGAGCATGTTTCTAACTTCCTCAGGAATATTGCATGAAAAGGAGCTGTGTGTCTATCTTCCAGAGGAAAATAATAAATAAACTGGGGCACTCTGAATATATCACAAGAGAACTTCCGTTGCTACACCAACTTTTCTCACGACTGAAGTTTAGTTTATAAAAAATAAAATAAAATAAGAGATCTCTATGAAAGTAGCTTGGCCATGTAAGCCAAACTAGTAAACGTGCTTATCTTTGAACCCACTGATTCTATTTTCTACATATTAGAAAATTACGTAAAGGAGATATTTTGATAGAATCAATATTGTTCCTCACATTTTTATTAAATTACTAGTAATAAATGTAAAATAATAGAGTACTGCTAACAAAATTAATTGAAAGTAAATAAAATATCTATAAATGGAGTGTGTTTAAATAAATTAAGGTGTCATCCCATGCAATTATAAAATACTGATGTGATTCCAAATTTACTAATATGAAAAGAAAACCAGGCACGTTGTTGAACATAAAAGAAAACACACATTAAGGAACAGATAATTGAAGTTTCTAAATTTAAAAAATTAAAGAACATGGTAGAGAGTGTAATCCCATTTGAGATACAGAAAGGCATGAGTGTCTTTGTGGGTGGAGAGGTAGTAGGGCAAAGAGGGCAGGGGATAAAGATATACAGAAGACTGCTTACCAAAATATTATTGTGTTTATGAATGCACAGAAAAACTTCAAATCTGGTTTTATTTTGAAATTTATAATAATACTGCATGTTATGATCATTTATAATATAGATATATAAATTATAGTTACTGAATCAAGTCTGTCTTCTTCCCCACCTTCTTTTAATGAGAAGGGAGCTGGGAGCAGGATGCTGGTTCACCTAGGTAAGCCCTTGCTAGCACAGGTGTAGGGACTGAGCAGGAGCTGGGTTTGAAAAAAAACAGGAATAGCAAGGCCGGTGGGGGCAGGGAGGCAGATCAGGCAGGTGAGCTCAGAGCAAAGCAACTACAATTTGTTCCTTGGTATCAGAGGGACCTGGCCCAGAAGACAGAAAAGTGAATTCCTAGGACTGGAAAACGTGACTGGAATGGAAGGCTGGGCTGGGGAGGGCAGGGAGGAAAGTGGTTGACAGCAGTTAGGATTCCAGGAAGCAAAGCTGGGGCAAGCAGGTGAGGGGAGGTGGAGAGATCCCGAGCCCAGCCTCTAGCTCTGCCACAGGAAGCCCCCATCCATTAACAATTATCCACGGATCCTCAATAGCAGCTGTTGCTTTACCTTGGCTGGAGCATGCATCAACCCCCAAAGATGGACTTCTTGGTCGTGTGTGATTCCTCGCAAACACATAGAAGTACCTTTTTCATTTGTTGGTTGGTTTATGGTTTGTTCGTTCCTGTTTGTAATAGGGAAAGCTTCATAACTGACAAGCGCTTGAATCCCCGCCCCCAAGCCACTCGAGAGCATCCCATGTCTCTTCCAATCAGGGACTCCGTGGCTTTCCCTAGTTTGAAGAAACTTTGCCACATTGATCAGTGACCTACATGCGGTCACAGATGTCACAAAGCCTGCATGTCCCACCTGGCCAGCCCAGGCCCCTGAATGGCCCCTAAAAAATCCCTGAGCTCCTTCCTCCCAGATACCTCTTTTCTCCTCCCCCTCCCACCCAGCCTAGTGAGAAAATTTAAGTATTTTCTTTTTTATTAAACTAATAACACTAGTGCTTTGTAATGTAAGCCCCTCCCTCTTTTTGACCACCTGCTACCAACAAAATAGGGAAATACTTCCTTTTTGGAGGGTTGTAATGGAGGGAAACGTCTTTTGCAGTCACCGATGCACCCTCCAGGAAAATTTCACAGTGAACAGTACAAGGGCGCACAGGCCCAGATGTTCCAAGGAAAGTAAGTCCCAGAGATATGACTTCACTAAATCATACCTTTGCACATTCAAAAATGGGTGTCGTTTTCAGGCCTCACATCCCCAGGAGTAAAGCCAGGAAAACCCTGGGCCAGCTTCTGTAGTCATTTCTGTCGCTGAAGCGGGGAAAGGAGACCCAGCTGGGACAAAGATCTTTGTGCAGAGGGCACAGCTCAGGCCCATGCTGGTTCCCTGAGGCTTCCTTTTGATAAGTGAGTAGTTAATCCGCAGGTTTGCAAGAGCCTTGGGCCTGGGCTGATGATATCTGAAAAAGGTGGATACAAACAGGGAGGGCTGTAACCATCCCTGAAAAACATTTCAAACTGTGTTACAAGCTAGCCCTGCCCGAGAGAGGGCCCCTACTTTCCTCTCTACACGGCTCTTAAGTCTCTTCAAAGCACTCAATTAAAAAAAAATGTTGCTTCTATAAAACTCAGAGCAGACTATTATCGAGCAAACAGCTGCCATGTGATTGGAAGCACAGGAAGTGTTCCAAGGAAAAGATGCTTGGTGCTATTAATTTCTTCCTCTGTGTTCTAAATATGGTACCCAGATATGGGGCAAGGTGACAGTGAGTATTGTTTTTATTTTCAAAAATGCAGTTATGAAAGAGGTCTTTATTCATTGTAGAAATGTTTGAATATGCAGAAAATTACAGAGGAAAAATCAGATTTACTCATAATCTCAGCATTCCAATATAACACCTCCTTTGGTGTTTAATGGTATATTTTTGTACCATATTTTTTCTACTTTATAAAAATATAATTGAGATCATATTGTATATAAAACTTTGAAATCTGCTTTTTTTGCTTAATACTGGTTCAAAAACATTTCATGTAATTTTTAAAATCCTTAGAAATGTAATTTTAGTGGCTGTGTAATATTAAATCATATGAATGTGACATCATTTCCCAGGGATTTCCCAGTAAGTAATTCTGTGATAAACATCTTTAAGTTTCTCTTTCTGCATTTCAGATTATCTTTTGAAGACAGGTTTCTAGGGCTCCCCAGTGAAAGTTAAATTGTTTGGTTAATTAAAAGACAACATAATAGTTAGCAATTTTACCTTTAACTATCTTATTGAATATTGATATATCAGCAAAGAAATGACTTTTCTATAGCTTTATCTCTTATAAGACCTTTCTGAGTTATGAAATTGATTTTAAAAAAATAATCCAAATCCCGGGAAAAAAAAAGGAAAAAGAAAATATTTCAAAATGTTAACTGTGGCTATCTTTAGGAACTGGAACTTGAGTTCATTTATTTCCTTCTTTTTATTTTATTGCATTTTCCAGATTTTCTATAATGTGCACAAAACCACTCTTAACAATGTTTCATGAAATAATAAAAGGTTTTTTATAAAAACAATGTATGCTCTTCTCTTTTACATTTCTAGAACAAGCTACTATCAATTATAAGCATTTTTTAATGCATCCTCCTGCTTATTCAAGCCCACAGTTGGGAAAGATGGCAGAATTTCGGATTTTCATTTGTTCCAGAAAATGCTTTGTGAATAATTTAATTGGATTTAGGTAAGGGAAACTGAAGTTATTTACAAAAACATGAAATCATTTATTTAGTTCCACCTGTATCATTTGAGTGAACTTAAGGATACCAAACAACAAAGCTCACCTTTCCAACAAGATATACTTGGTCACATGTGCACACATGTGCATGCACACACACACAGACTCATTTAACACTTGGTCTATTTGGCTCTACTCCCCACCACCCCCAAAAACAGGAAAGTAAGCCCTCTGGGGAAGCAATAACAAAGTGCAAGTCTGGTAGATGAGCAGTTCCTAGTCCCCCTACCCAAAACAAGAACCATGTATATGCAATCTCTCTCTTCCCATCGTAAACATAATTTTTAATTATTGTTTTTCATTTTTGTTTTTAAATGCCTAGACAACAAAAATGTTTTGTTCCTTTCTCACAGAAAACTATAGGTCTGAAGTAAGTTGTGAATTATTTGGAAATGATGGGTTAGTTTAAATATAATCTTTGTCTAGTTTGCATCATAGGCCTTTTACACCAGAATCAAACTACCCAAGGAGGAGGACATGAACTGGTTAGCAAGGGAACCTTTCCTGATTTGAAAAGATAAAAGTAAACAATGTTTAAGGAATATTTAAGATATTCATTATTATCATCACCATTATTATTAATGATAAGAAATAACAAAAGATAGCATTAAAAGATTTCATAAAACCTTATGCATGTGAAGATCAGGAACGAAAGTTGACTCAGACAATAAGCTTCTCTTAGCAGGAAAAAGAAAACTAGAAAATACTAAGAAAATTCTGTGGAAAAAGAAAGTCAAATACCACATGTTCTTGCTTATAAGTGGGAGCTAAACAATGGGTACATATGAGCATATAGAGTGGAACAGTAGACACTGGAGACTCCAATAGGTGGGAGGGTGGGGAGGGGGAGGGACGAAAAATCACCTGTTGGTACAATGTACACTGTTGGGTGATGAGTGCACTAAAAGCCCAGATTTCACCACCAGACAATATATCCATGTAACAAAACTGCACTTGTATCCCCTAAATCTATTTTTTTTAATTCTGTGGAAAAAAATAGATGTCTCCACTACAAGAGAGAAGGAGAAAAGGCAATTAAAACAGAAAATATGCAGAGGAAACTGCATGTATAATATTGTCATTAATATTTCTCAATGAAAGGATATACTATTGAAAAAGCCTTTTGATCCTCAAGTTGCAGAAAAAAATATACTTATTTCTAAAGCTCACAGAAAAAATGATTTTGAGTACACGTATATGTATAGAGAATTCTGGTCCTTTACATAAAATCAGATATATTAGTTTTCTGGTTTAGCCTCAATAAGAAAAACCAGAGTTAAATTAAATATACCTTATAAGAGTTGAGGCTTGGTAAGTAATGTTCTTATATGTGTGTACCTGGGCATTCCTATTTCTTTATATCTTGTTCTATATTTTATTCCATTGTTTATGCTTACAATTAGGTTTGCTATTTTTGTATACCATTCTTTTTAGTGGTATGAGTCTCTGGAGAAAAAGTTTAATTGACTTGGGTTATAATATGGTTTTCTTTTATGCATATTTGGTAAAAAGCCTAAGAATCTATAAGCAAAAATCACCTGGTGGCTGCTACCCAAATCTTAGGCATTGGGCCAAGGAGAAGACATCCACTAAAGGGTTATAATGACAAATGCAAATCTAGTAATTAAAAGCAAACTCACATTAGCCTAAATACTTCATGCCACAGTTAATGCCTGCTTCTTCTTCCTCTGTTGCCACGGAGATAAAGAGCAGCTGGTAGGCTCTGTATCTGTGGTTCCCTGGCTAACCATGGCTGCACAGCAAAATCACCTGGGGAACTTTTAAAAGTACATATTCCCTAGCTCCCCTTTCCCCTACCCTGAAATTCCGATTTAGTATATGTATTGGAAAGATTATCATCTAGTCTTTGCATACTCAACTCCTTTTTTATTTCATAAAAATTGGTTTTCTCCAAATTATTATTTTCCAGTTCATAGTGTCTTCAAGAATTAAGAAAATGTTTGAAAGATTTAGTCTCTGAAATTTTATAAATTTTATAAAACTCTTCCAAGTACAGGTCCCCAGATATTTCAACTGATTCAAATATTTTCAAACACTTTCGGCTTTTGATGAGATCCCGTGTCAGCATATTCCCAGGGAAATACTGCTGCTTCACCCTTTTCTGGTTCAACCTTTTAAGCAACTAATATCAGTGATTACAAGGATTCCCTGAGCAATTTATAACATTAAGGAAATTTGATTATTAATTGACTTGTTTTCTTGGCCATCTGATAAAAATGGAAGGGTCGGGAAAGACATTTTGCACTGCAATTTTTTTCATTTCTTGTCCTCATTTGCAAATAATACAGTCCCAGGAGAATATGTATATGTGTCGAGGTCTGGGGGGAAATTTGGAGAAGGGGCAAAGGGTATTTGATTGCCCTTTGGAAGAGTAGCCAGTTCTCCTGATCTTGCACAAGATATTCCTGTTTTACTCTACTAGGAAAACAGAAGTTTCCCATCAGTGCTTTGGATTGCACTTGTAAATACAAGAGAGGTAAATGCCTACTGGAGATTGAAATTTTTTTTTTTTTTTGGCAAATGAGAACACATTGGGAATTTATAACTTGTGTTGCAAATGTAGGGGCTCATTGCTTTTGTTGCATTGTCTACTAGGCTGAGTAACCAGCACCTCAGAGACTAACAGTATTAGTAGCACACAAAGGCCCAGCAAGCACAATTAATAAAAGAATGAGTCTAGGTCTATAACCGTTTTGTACCCACAAAGATGCCATCACACTCATCTGAATGAGTTAACATTTGAGCTACAAATCAGGCTTCTTAAGGCATATCCATCTCAAGTCTTTACTCAAGGGATTAAGCTTGGCAGACAAGATGGCGCCCTGTTCCATGGATAGATAGAGCCCCGTTTGGGCTGAACAGCTCTAGAAGAAAAAGAACAAGGCAGGAAGTAAGTTCATCCAGGATAGTGTCCTAATGTGTGGCTTTATCTATCTTTTTCCCACTTCATCCACTCGTCAATTTGGCTGGCATTTCAGGGGACTTTGGGGAGTTGCCACTGCCAGAAGAGTGGAATCAGGGGAGCCCCCTTCACACTTCACATTACCGTCAATGCTCCACTCACAAGAGCCCACTCCTAAGACCAAATGTCTCTTGACTCCTATTGAACCCTGGGCTAAGCCGTCTTCCTGCAGCACACCCATCTATGTAAAACGCTGCAAAGAGGATATAAGCAGCATAAAATCTTGATAGAACAAAATAAAATGTGCACCAATGTGCATCTGATAGATGTAGCAATTGATTTGTGGATTAGGTTTTTATTTTCAGCCCATTGAAAAGAAATAATGTATGGAGGCAATCTAGTACTAAGCATTTTAGAAAATCTATTTGAGATCATTTCAGCAGAAGCTCTGGCAGTTTGTCATAAGAGGGGAGGAGAGCAAAGGATAATTGTCTCCAGTCTAGTAAAACACAGAATAACTGCCATCACACTTGAGTGAGCTTATAGCCAGCCGGTCCCAGGGCCTCTAGAAGATAGAGCAGTTAATGTTCCCTTTTATTTCAGAGGTTATGTCACTTGTATCACAGATTTATACCATGATACAGCAATTTCATCCAAACAGATGGATAATGATGTCAAAGGCAGAAACCCTGTTTTTATTGAGTTTTGCAAAGATTGCTCAGATAGCTGCTTCAATTGAAAAGCCCCAACAGTACTTCAGCTCTTAATCTTTGTAATCTCAGTGGTATTAAATTTCATCATTTTTGTTTGAAGGAGGAAAATTCTGCAGTAATGGCTTCCTAATAGGAAACACAGAGGCTGCAAAGCTGGGGGCTCTCGATGCGGCTGCTCCATAAGCACTGCTGATTTATAGGGCTGTTTATGACAGAAAGGAAAATTATCTTCTGCAGGTATAAATCAGGTAAAGAGTAGGAAATTGAACTTAGATATCATCTTGTCAGATGCTTAATGTTCTTCCTCCTGTCACTTTGGATAGGCCCAATTTGTAGAATACTGCAGAGGTAAAAGAAGACAATTAACAGTGACAGGATGGTAATAGATGAAGCTATAAAACCAACCTGCTGGTGCTGGATGCTATGTATGATTTTAAGATGAAGTGATGCCAAAAGTATATATTAGCTCAAACCAACCATTTCCTGTGTTCAGCAATACCCAGTGTGGCACTTGTTTGTCACTTTCATTGAGATCTACATACTACAGTTTACATATTAATGAATCCATAACATCTCACCTTTCCTGAAAGTCAGAGGAGTTCCACAGTGGCTTATTTGTTGTTTACTTATCAAAAGCACAAGGATAATTTGCTTAAGGAGCAAATAAGGAGGTTTCTCATTGTGGTGATCATGCCCACAGGAGAGAAGGGGACATAGACTACCAACCCTTAGGAGCCACGGAAAGTGTGGAGAGAGGTCAGTATCCAGTTTAGTGAAATGACACCAACACAGTCCCCAAACCTGGTCTAGGTAAGCACTCCAGAATTGCCCCCCAGAAAGCCAAAGCAGACTCTCCATGACAGTCTCTGTGTCATAAAGGTTGGGAAGGTTAGCGGAGAGTTAGGTGGGAAAAGCTGGCTGACCTTGGGGCTGGAGTCACTGGTGGCAATTATCTAAAGAGACTATAAACAACATTACCGGGAAACGAACTCAAGGACAATCGCTGTTTTGGCAGCTTTGTTAAAGCCAAGCTGAGACTCTGGCTGTCAGAAATTGAGGGCTTCTTGTCACAGACGCTGTTTTGTTTCTTGTTTTGTCAAAGACTCACAGAACATTTCGTGTGACAGGGAGATTCTATTTAGAGAGAGAGCGAAGCACAGCGCTCCAAGGATCCTAGCTCTCCTGATTAGGTTTCCATAGCTGGTAGAGAAGATTCAGTTACACATGGGAACCTGATCAGGAAATTGGCAGGTCCCAGGCAAATAACATCTACTACCAGTTTGAAATATCTACCTTGGCTCTAATAAGCATTAATTAATAATAATAATCATATTCAAGAAAAAAATGAGTTACCTATGCACAAGATATTAAGTTTCCCTCAAAGAGAAAGAAGTAAAGGATTTCAGAGAAAATCAGACACCGAGAAGTTCTAAACCACAATTGCTAAAAGGAGTTATTTTCAGAGGACTATAGACAACTGTTGCAACGTACAGAAAGTAACATTTCAACTAAAGCACTAAGTAAGGCCTCAATCTAAGAATATGTATCTTGGAAAAGTCAAGGCTCTAAGTTTCCAGCCCAAGTAACCTGCCTATTAGATGCTGTACAAGAATCTAAAATACGACGTGCAGTCTATATTCAAAGGATTAAATCTGAGCCAGTCAAAATTTGGAACCAAAATTTTTAAGAGATAATATTCTGCTGCTTAGATCGTCAATTATTCCTCTCTGGTAAATAAAGATTAAGAACAAATATCAATGTATTTGACATGTGGTTTTAAATCTATACAATTCTCATTTTGTACTGTTTTTCTACCAAACTGCCAATTGTCTAATATATGAACATTTGGTTCAGCTCCTTGTATCAACGAATGGGGATGGGAGGGGTTACAGAGTGAACACTGGGCCTAGCTGAGTAAGCCAGCTGGGGAAGCCGGGAAAGGCACACATGGAGGGGAACTGGACAGATGGAGCTCAGTGCTAGCAAGTGTCCCACTCGCTGGTGGTGAAGACCATAGACAGTTTTGCGACAGAGGCCAGGAGTTGGACAAAGGAGGTGAAAGCGAGAAACACAAGAGGGGCCAAGCAGTCACCCAGGGCTGGTCTTTGTCAGTTGGCTCATGAATAACCAAAAAACAAAAGAATGAGCAGTGACATAGAAAACAGAAGAACCCACTTGATGTTGGCCCAAAGGAAGGTATAGTGCCCCTCCTTTGCTGAGGACAGACTATTAGGAACATATTATTTCATTTTGTTGTTTAAGGAAATAATGAGAGGGCACACAGACCACATTCTTCCTGCACTTAATCACTCCTGTTCTTTGCCACTGACTGTTTCTAAGGCAGAAGCACAAGCCATTCCATCACAAGAAGGCAGCCGGCCTAGTTGCACGTGTACATCATTAAATATATATGAAGTTATCCTACCTATTGTTAACAAATTCTGAAGTTAGCAAACTCTGTTCCTGACTCTGTTAGTAAGATGTACTGAAACTATCTGAACCTCAAATTTAGGATACTTCAGGAAAACCCACCAGAGTGCCAAGAAGAAAAGCCAAATAACAGTGGATCCAAACCAAATCCTGAGTAGTTCACAACAGCACCAATGCCTGAAATGAATGCTCTAGCTGAATAATTGTATCACCCTTCACCTTGCAAATATCATTTTTAAAAGACAAACATTCATCTACAATAAAAATGTAGTGGAGGAGATCAGTCAGAATATTCCCCGATATCCTTTCATGAGCAAAAATAAAGAAGGGGTTGCAATCCTAGTCTCTGATAAAACAGACTTTAAACCAACAAAGATAAAAAAGACAAAGAAGGATATTACATAATGGTAAAGGGATCAATGCAACAAGAAGAGCTAACTATCCTAAATATATACGCACCAAAAACAGGAGCACCCAGATTCATAAAGCAAGTTCTTAGAGACCTACAAAGAGACTTACACTCCCACAAAATAATAGTGGGAGACTTTAACACCCCACTGTCAATATTAGATCAATGAGACAGAAAATTAACAAGCATATTCAGGACTTGAACTCAGCTCTGGAACAACCAGATCTAATAGGCATCTGCAGAACTCTCCACCCCAAATCAACAGAATGTACATTATTCTCAGCACCACATAGCACTTATTCTAAAATCAACCATATAATTGGAAGTAAAACACTCCTCAGCAAATGCAAAAGAATGAAAATCATAACAAACAGTCTGTCAGACCACAGTGCAATCAAATTAGAACTCAGGATAAGAAACGCACTCAAAACCACACAACTACATGGAAATTGAACAACCTGCTCCTGAATGACTACTGGGTAAATAACAAAATTAAGGCAGAGATAAATAAGTTCTTTGAAACCAATGAGAACAAAGACACAAGGTACCAGAATCTCTGGGACACGGCTAAAGCGGTGTTTAGAGGGAAATTTATATAATAAATGCCCATCTGAGAAAGCGGGAAAGATCTAAAATTGACACCCTGACATCACAATTAAAAGAACTAGAGAAACAAGAGCAAACAAATTCAGAAGCTAGCAGAAGACAAGAAATAACTGAGATCAGAGCAGAACTAGAAGAGACAGAGACATGAAAAACCCTTCAAAAAATCAATGAATACAGGAGCTGGTTTTTTGAAAAGATTAACAAAATAGATAGACTGCTAGCCAGACTAATAAAGAAGAAAGAAAGAGAAGTATCAAATAAACACAATAAAAAATGATAAAGGGGAGATCACCACTGATCCCACAGAAATACAAACTACCATCAGAGAATACTATAAACACCTCTATGCAAATAAACTAGAAAATCTAGAAGAAATGGATAAATTCCTGGACACATACACCCTCCCAAGACTAAACAAGGAAGAAATCGAATCCCTGAATAGACCAATAATAAGTTCTGAAATTGAGGCAGTAATTAATAGCCTACCAACCAAACAAAAAAGCCCAGGACCAGACAGATTCACAGCTGAATTATATGAGAGATACAAAGAGGAGCTGGTACCATTCCTCCTAAAACTATTCCAAACAATAGAAAAAGAGGGACTCCTCCCTAACTCATTTTATGAGGCCAGAAACATCCTGATACCAAAACCTGGCAGAGACACAACAAAAAAAGAAAATTTCAGGCCAATGTCCCTGATGAACATTGATGCGAAAATCCTCAATAAAATACTGGCAAACTGAATCCAGCAACACATTAAAAAGTTTATCCACCACAATCAAGTCGGCTTCATCCCTGATGCAAGGCTGGTTCAACATACGCAAATCAATAAACGTAATCCATCACATAAACACAACCAAAGACAAAAACCACATGATTATCTCAATAGACGCAGAAAAGGCCTTCGATAAAATTCAACACCCCTTCGTGCTAAAAACACTAAATAAACTAGGCTTTGATGGAATGTATCTCAAAATAATGAAAGCTATTTATGACAAACCCACAGCCAATATCATATTGAATGGGAAAAAGCTGGAAGCATTCCCTTTGAAAACCGGCACAAGACAAGGATGCCCTCTCTCACCACTCCTTTTCAACATAGTATTGGAAGTTCTGGCCATGGCAATCAGGCAAGAGAAAGAAATAAAGCGTATTCAAATAGGAAGAGAGGAAGTCAAATTATCTCTGTTTGCAGATGACATGACTGTATATTTAGAAAACTCCATCGTCTTAGCCCAAAAACTCTTTAAGCTGATAAGCAATTTCAGCAAAGTCTCAGGATACAGAATCAATGTGCAAAAATCACAAGCATTCCTATACACCAATAACAGACAAACAGAGAGCCAAATCATAAGTAAACTCCCATTTACAATTGCTACAAAGAGAATAAAATACCTACAGATACAACTTACAAGGGATGTGAAGGACCTCTTCAAGGAGAACCACAAACCACTGCTCAAGGAAATAAGAGAAGACACAAACAAAGGAAAAACATTCCATGCTCATGGATAGGAAGAATCAATATCATGAAAATGGCCATACTGCCCAAAGTAATTTATAGATTCAATGCTGTTCCCATCAAGCTACCATTGAATTTCTTCACAGACTTAGAAAAAACTACTTTAAATGTCTGTGGAACCAAAAAAGAGCCCATATAGCCAAGGCAATGCTAAGCAAAAAGAACAAAGCTGGAGGCATCATGCTACCTGACTTCAAACTATATACTACAAGGCTACAGTAACCAAAACAGCATGGTACTGGTACCAAAATAGATATTTAGACCAGTGGAGCAGAACAGAGGCCTCAGAAATAACACCACACATCTACAACCATCTGATCTTTGTCAAACCTGACAAAAATGGCAGTGGGGAAAGGATTCCCTATTTAATAAATGGTGTTGGGAAAACTGGCTAGCCATATGCAGAAAACTGAAACTGGACCCCTTCCTTATACCTTATACAAAAATTAACTCAAGATGGATTAAAGATTTAAATGTAAGATCTAAAACCATAAAAAGTCTAGAAGAAAACCTAGGCAATACCATTCAGGACATAGGCATGGGCAAATACCTCATGACTAAAACACCAAAAGCAATTGCAACAAAAGTCAAAATTGACAAATGGGATCTAATTAAACTAAAGAGCTTCTGTAAAGCAAAAGAAACTATCATCAGAGTGAACAGGCAACCTATAGAATGGGAGAAAATTTTTGCAATCTACCTATCTGACAAAGAGCTAATATCTGGAATCAACAGGGAACTTAAACATATTTAAAGAAAAAAACAAACAACCCCATAAAAAGTGGGCAAAGGATATGAACAGACACTTTTCAAAAGAAGACATTTATGTGGCCAACAAACATATGAAAAAAAGCTCATTATCACTGTACTTGTACTGTGTATTTACTTGTACATTTCTAGAGAAATGCAAATCAAAACAACAATGAGATACCATCTCACGCCAGTTAGAATGGCGATCATTAAAAAGTTAGGAAACAACAGATGCTGGAGAGGTTGTGGAGAAATAGGAACACTTTTACACTGTTGGTGAAAGTGTAAATTAGTTCAACCATTGTGGAAGACAGTGTGGAGATTCCTCAATGAGGTAGAACTAGAAATATCATTTGACCCAGCAATCCCATTACTGGGTATACACACAAAGGATTATAAGTCATTCCTCTGTAAAGACACATGCACATGTATGATTACTGCAGCACTATTCACAACAGCAAATACTTGGAACCAACCCAAATGCCCATCAATCATAGACTGGATAAAGAAATTGTGGCCCATATACATTATGGAATACTATGCAGCCATAAAAAAGAATGAGTTCATGTCCTTTGCGGGGACATGGATGAAGCTGGAAACCATCATTCTCAGCAAACTAACACAGGAACAGAAAACCAAACACTGTATGTTCTCACACATAGGTTGGAGTTGAACAATGAGAACATATGGGCACAAGGTGGGGAACAACAAACATACTGGGGTCTGTCCTTGGATGGGGCGCAAGGAGAGGGATAGCATTAGGAGAAATACCTAATGTAGATGATGAGTTGATGGGTGCAGCAAACCACCATGGCACGTGTATACCTGTGTAACGAAGCTGCACATCCTGCACATGTATCCCAGAACTTAAAGTATATATATATATGAAGTATATATATGTGTATATATATATAAAGTATATATATGTGTATATATATAAAGTATATATGTGTATAAAGTATATGTATATGTGTATATATATATAAAGTATATGTATATGTGCATATATATAAAGTATATATATGTGTATATATATAAAGTATATATGTGTATATATATAAAGTATATATATGTGTATATATATAAAGTATATATATGTATATATAAATAAACATGTATATATAGTATATATATGTATATATATAAAGTATATATGTATATATACACACATATATATGCGTATATATACATATATATGTATATATATATATACATGTGTATATATATATATACACATATATATATATAGAACCAGAAAAGAATATCACACTGCTTACTGGCTCCTCCTCCATGTAGTAAGGGGCACTGTCATTCTTTCCACTTTCACCATTGATTGTGATGCCTCTGTGATGTCATGTAGAGTGGAGTTGATTTGTAACAACACCAGAAAAGATGTCCATAAATTACACTTCTATTCTTGGTACTAAGGGCATTTCTAAATCTAACATTTAAATTATTCGATTCTGTGCCATTTTAAAAATTATCTCTCCAATGACATTTTTCATGGAAAGCACTTATCAAAATGTTTGTTCTGAGTACACATCAAGTGCTGGTTTGATTTATACAAAGGATGCAGACTTCTTCCTGGCTGGATGTTCAACAAGGGACTAATCGTCTCTTAGGTACTGAGTGAGTGGAAAAACACACTGTTCCCACACCACAACAATCAACACAGAAGACTTCTGTGGCCAAATGTGTGGGGGTTTTTCTGCACACACCAAGCAAGAAATCAGTTCCGCAGCAGACACCAGCTGGAAGTCCTCCGATTCAATTCGGCTACCATCTACCTGGAGATAGCGTCAGATCCCACAGGGCTCAGTTCCATAAAGCTGCCTTCTCTTCAGACACCAGCGGCAAGTCCGAGTCTCGGGAACTCCTGACCAATGTGCTTTAACTTGGGGCTCCAATGAGCCCCTCTTTGGGTTTGATTAATTTACTGGAGTGGCTTACAGAACTCAGGGAAACATCTCTATTTACCTTTTTATTATAAAGGTTATTACAAAGAATACAGAGGAAGAGATGCATAGTGCAAAGTATGAGGGAAAGAACGCGGAACGTCCATGTTCTTCCTGGGTGCGCCACCCTTCAGAACCCTTCACATGTTTATCCGGAAGCTCGCTGAAACCCTATCCTCTTGGGCCTTTTATGGGGACTTGTTGGATAAGCATGAATGAAGCATGGACAACCATGTAGAAATGTGACTGGACAAACAGGGTGTGAACTAATACTAACAGACTAAACAGAAACCCAGCAAGTCCTAACTGTTCTGATTCTTCTTGGCCTCTCTGTGCAGCATTCCTTCCCCCAGGGTATGGGGCAAGACCTCCTCTGAAATGGAGGTCTTATGACCTCTTATCAGTCAAAGTAGGCCAGAGCATTTCTTTATGACCAGCTTCAGGACAGAAAGGCAGGGTTTTTTTGTTTTTTTTTTTTTTTTTTTTTTTTTTGAGATGGAGTCTTGCTCTGTGGCCCAGGCTAGAGTAAAGGCAGGGTTTTTATGAGCCACCTTCACCTTGGGGAGAAATAACAAGGGCTTTGGGGAGTTATAAGCTAGGAACAGTTGATGGAAGCATGTAATTTATAAAAATATAAATACAATAATATCACAGTTACCTTAAACTCTCCACTTAGAACAGTGCTTGGCTTGTTTCTTAGCGGAACACTGTGTTCTGCTATCAGATCCGCACCTCGTCTGACATTTGGGGTACTCGAATGAAGAAATCTTTGGATTTTCTTGTGCCTCTAGGTTTTCTGCTATGGCACAGTAGAAGGCAAGGAGAGAAGGGCATGGGCTGCTGCTACCCACAGCTGTCATCCTCTTGAACTTTACCTAGAGGTACAGGCATTGATGACCACCGGCCTTTTTCCACTTAATCTTTGGTTAGAGGCACTGGCCCTACATAAAAGTCCGCTTCCCCTACCTTTTCCCTTCCTTCTTCACACATCCTTCGGTGGTCATCCTGTGCTCAACTGGCACCTTCATCCCCAGTACTTTGCATGTTCTGTTGAATTTGGGGTCAGTATCAACATTTCTGTTAATTCTTTTTTGGCTCTTCCATGTGTTTTTCATGATTCCTATTTATTATATTTAATTCCTGCCTTGTGATGGTTCTATTCACAAGGAACATCTTTTCTACAAACTCTATGAAGGCATTTTGCTGTCCAGTATTATTGCCAGGTGTTTGATAAGGTAGATGAGAAAGTGGTTTAGGTCTTTGATTCTCAGGCCCACCAGGAAGGTCAAGAAGAGAGCAATGAGGAAGTGGGTTGTCCTATTGCTTCCAGCCACCTCAACAGCCTCCACCTTTGCTGACACCTCCCAAGAGAAATCTGGGGCCATCTCCATCAGTCTTTGCAGAGTATGGCATCTTTTCCAGCAGGCTAGGTAGCTCTAGTTTTCATGCTGAGCGCCATAGAAACCCAAGATTCCACAGGGTCCTTTTGTTATTCTTCAAATATTTGACTCAGCTTTTAAGGTGGATGTGCAGTAGGCTTAAATGATGCACGTACAGATGTATTTTATAACAAAGGTTCACACCTCGAGGTGTGAATAAATTTATTCACAACCTAGATGTTGGCTATTTCTGTAGGCAGCCTCTATTCTCACTCCATGCTGTCCAGACATGGGCTCAGCTTTTCTTTCAGATCCAAGCCTCTCTCACCTCTCAGCTGGGTTATTGTAGCAGGCTCTCATTTACTTTTCTCACAGTTCATTCTCAACAGCAGCTAGAGTGATCATGTTCACAGGATCAGCATTAAAAACCCTCCCCTAGTACCCCATCTTATTTAGAGTAGAAGCCCATCATAGTGATGGCACACAAGGTCCTACACTACCCACCACCATTCCCTGCTTACTGTTTCTCTTCTTATTATCCCATCTCTCTTTGGCCTCACTGGTGCACTGGCTATTCCTCAACATGCTGGGCATACTCCTGCTCAGAGCCCTTTCTCTTTATGGCCCTGCCTTGAAACTCTCTACTTGGTTTGACCCCCATCCCCAGATGTTTACTCAGATATACCTTGTCCCTAAATTGAGCACACTATCTTTAAAATATCTTCTCTTCCCCTGCATTTTCCCCTCCATTAAAACTGTCTAGCTTTTCTATTATCACCAACATTCAGTAGCAATGTTATCACCAACAAACACACTCTATATTTTACTTATTTATTTAGTCTATTGCACCCCCTCCCCTAGTAGAAAGGAAAATCCGTGTTGCCAGAAATTTCTGAATGTTTTGTTCCCTGCTGTACTCCAAGTACCTGTAAGATAGATTATCAATAAATATTTGAATTCTCTAGAAATAACCTATGAGCCTCTAAGTGTTACTATTAATATATAGGCTAGATTTTCCTGGGACTTTTGCAGAGAGTTGGAGGAGATGGTTTATGTCCAGGGGTAGATTCTCCTTTCAATTACTCTTTTCCGGAGAGTTGAGATCAATCTACTTTGGCTTAAGAAAGCTGCTCTTCCGTTGCCTTTGGATACCACTAAAAACATATTCTCTTTAGGTCAGCACAACATTTAATCAAGGAGACTAGATGGGAATGTTCATGAGAATCTGAGAGTAAGATGTGCAAAAGTTTCCCATCTGGGAAACAATGTAAAAAGATGAAATTAAGGTAGTCAATGTGATTACTTCTGCTAAAAAGTGTGGAGGGAAAAATTATTCGCTAAAAGGAAATTTGAAGAGTTCATATGCATTGTAGTCCCATGCATTTCATTGGCACCCATAATTGATAGCAATACTAATGCATTAAAAATCATTGCTCTTTACTGCCTATGTGCATTACAAGCACACATGTTTTTCATTAACACACATAAGCAAGGGCAATATACATGTGGTAAAAATGAGTTTTTTTACTAGCCATTTTGCAAAGTTAGTAGGTATTTGTATGGCTGATCTATTTGTATATGTAAATGTAAACACCTCTGTATGCTATGGTGACATCTTAAAGTAATTGAAAGCTCAGTATGAAAGCTGTGTCCAGCCTTAAGACTACCTTCAGTTAAAAGGCTGTACCTTTTAATAGCTGAATAGGCTGCCCTTTCAGACATATCTCAGAAGAGAGAATTTATTATATAAAGTACTGTCTCATTGGGTATGCAAGGTAAATAATCCCATTAAGAATCGAGTGTGGGCCGGGCGCGGTGGCTCACGCCTGTAATCCCAGCACTTTGGGAGGCCGAGGCAGGCGGATCACGAGGTCAGGAGATCGAGACCATCCCGGCTAAAACGGTGAAACCCCGTCTCTACTAAAAATACAAAAAATTAGCCGGGCGTAGTGGCGGGCGCCTGTAGTCCCAGCTACTTGGGAGGCTGAGGCAGGAGAATGGCGTGAACCCGGGAGGCGGAGCTTGCAGTGAGCCGAGATCCCGCCACTGCACTCCAGCCTGGGCGACAGAGCGAGACTCCGTCTCAAAAAAAAAAAATAAAAAAAAAAGAATCGAGTGTGAAGGAAATTCGGTACTATTCAAATAGGGCAAAAAGGGGCCAACAAGGTAGAACAAAAGGCAGTTATGGAAGTCAACCACTGCTTCTATTTTGGGTTTCAGATTCTGTGCTGGATAAAATAGATTATAAAAGCTGGCTGCTTATAATCAAGAAGAGCCTAAGCAAGAGGCCTGGAAAAATGTATTCTTTGGTAGAAAAGCACAAGTAGAACATAGCCTGTTGGTCACGCATTAATTGAACGATCCCAAAAGGTGGAAAATGTTAACTACCACAAATGCATTTTCAAAGGTCTGTGAATGAAAAGATCCTTTGCTGGATCTATAAGTCCCAATAGACCTTGTGCACAAGTTTTCCAAAGCACGAGTATTCTTGATGGGTGACTTGATTAATTGTCCTCCTGTTTGACTGAGCCCCTTCCTTGTGCTGGAATTTCAGAATCATGGCTATTCCTCTCTATGGAATATTCCTCTTCTACTTGAGATACTACACAATAGTTTCCTGCCAGTTAGTACCTACATTTGTTGTCATCCACATCTATAACATCTACACTTATTGCCATTTACCTATCATTAAAAAAATCAAATTGCTCTTGAGCCTTCAGAATTGAATATTCCTGAAATGGAAGGACTAGATGGGTCTTGGAGGCTTATTTGGTTCACACATCTGCCTTTAGGTTGTTAAAGAACTAATGAGACTATAGGACACTGAGACATCTTCTATTTTCCAAAAAATACCATATCTACATTTGGGCAACAACTTTCCCTGTAGAGTCTGTTCTGTCTTTCTGTAATATGAGTTAGCTCTTACATAACTGGCAAATAGGAAATGAGGCTAGTGTAATTCAGAAGTCATGTTGGTCATACATGATTTTTCTCAGATTATTAATGCTTTATATTCCAAAGCATTGTCAGCTGAATACAGCCAGCTATGGAAGATCATGGAATATAGAATTCATAGCCTAACTAAGTTAGGGGAAACATCATGCCATAAACAGTTTCGCCATGTACCTTGTCTCGGAAGTCCTTATTGTGTGGCTTTCTCTGATTTAGGGGTGTTTTGCTTTTATCTCCTCAAGTCAGTAGCTTCAGTCCTTAATTTTATGCCCTCCATCAAGCTAGCCTCTCTCTTTCTGTTTCTTTTATTGTAGTAAAATATTCATTTTTCCCCTGTGTTCACAGTATCTTTTAAATCAGAAAATTAAATAGATTTTTTAAACTGAGAATATTTTATTAGGTTTATTATTTTTGTTGGTGTTTTTGTTAGAAAGTTGCTTAAGTTCTGAATGGTCTTCTCCTAAGCCTGTTTTACCTAGAAGTCCTGTGATTTTGAACAGTACATGTATTTTCTGAAATACTGCTTACAGCAGAAGAGCCTGTATTTCATTTTCTTGATGAATGTTAATACAGCTGTTTATAACTGGCCAATTCCAGGGCTTGTCCTAGCAAGTTAAACTAAGATTTGAGCAGAATCATTGGTAAAGTGCATAGTGGGTTACCAGAGCAGCCCTGAGACTTGCTGACATTTTTGTAGGTTTATTAGTGTGAAAGTTCAGAAGTCTCACAGCGTATCAGTTTTAGTGCAATGCTCTTATTCCTCAGTCCTCTCCCATTTCCAACAAATGAGAAACCATAAAATGCTGCCTAAAGCATATAATGGTGAATTTTATGAATTTTCTTGAAATCATTAGAAATAATTTTTGATGTTAAGAATGTAGTTGCTGAAACACACTGAAGCCCCTTTCTAAACCTTGTTCAGCTACATAAGAATTTTGAGTTTTCAGATAGGATTTTATTTCCTGCTCTCTCCCCTACCCCCAACCAGTGCTCAAGACTCTTGTTCTGTCCTCAGACACTTCTGCTTATGGCTAATTGGGCAAAGCAGTTACATGGATGTGATCTTATGGGTGCGATTTCAACTCAATAAGCATATATCGAACACCTACTACATGTGGAGAACTCTGCTAATGAGATACGATGCTAACTCCCAAATCAGAAATTGGTGTATGACCAGAGATCTAGAGGCAATGCCTCAATGCAAGACAGCAACCAGAATGGAATAAGGATTCAAGTATTCTTTAAGTGTCCCTTAAATCCCTTAAGGGACCAACCCTGATATTTTGCTGGAATGCCTTTTTTTTTGCTGTGGTGTCTGCAGACAAGCTGGGAGCTGAGAGAAGGGTCAGAGAGTGATGGGCATCCATACCTCAGAAGCTACCTTATTTTGTAACTTGTCTTATCCATGACATTAGTTTAATGACATGTGTGTGTTATGTGTTCCATTACTTCACAAAAGACCACAAATCCTTAAGTGACCTCAATAACTAAATTTCTGTATGTCACAAAGCCACAAAACCAGCTTGGAATAGTGAAATTCCCATGAAATTGAATTGATCCTCAAATTATTGCTTAAATGAAAGGACAGTAGAAACTTAAGAGCATATTAATGCCAATGGGAATTGCTCAGCTAATGCTGTGCAAGACCAGTTGAGAAGCACACTAGGCATGCTACAAAAAAGCCATTATGCTCATCTTTTCAGAGATGCATGGTTTGTTTTATTCTTAAAACATTTGAGGTTTAAAGTTTTTATACTGTGCTTTATAAATAGAACTGTAATGAGGCTGAAAACCAAAATAGTTCTCACCACTGGGCAGAGAAAGAGAAAGAGGAAGCGGTAGCTGAATGGTGCCCATTTGAATTCCTTTTTCTAAAAATCCAATTTAATTTTTTTATCAGTTGTCTCATTAACCATAAGATTTAGAAAATCAAATGCTACTGGAGTAAAATAAGAGTGACAATGCAAAATAATTTTAAACAGCTTATTTTTATGTTGGTTTCCTCTTAAACATTTTAAAATTAAAATGTTCTTACATCATAAAAACTATTTTGCAATATGTATGTGATTTATCCCTAAGTTGGAATCCACCTGTTTTAAATGTATACTGAGCTTTTATTTATGCTTTGAAAATATAGTAAATAAGAAGCATAAATGTTTCTGATATTATGTTTTGTCATCTCCAGCTAAGAAGATTGAAATCCCGAGAAACAATTTTCTGAAGAAATGAAATCATATGCCCTCCTGAACTCTTTGGGGGAAAATAGCCTCTCTGTTTGCTCAGAATATGAAACAGTAAAACAGTACAAGTAAAACAGTCAGCCTTGCCATGCCATGTCACAGTTCTATTTGTAGCGTTTGAAATGACATTTAAAAAGATCTTCTGGGACTTTACTTATTTATTTATTTAAGAACTAACTAGTACGAATAATATTTGCACAATCTTGCCGATGTAAGATTTTTCAAATCAGATGTATTTATTTTCTGGGAAACTTGGGAGATTGCTTTGAAGCCTTTGTGTTGCATAACTTCACAGAGAATATGTGAAAAGGAGATTTTGGAAGTGCTCTTTACAGTGGTAACATTTCTGAAAATATTAAGGGCATCCTCCAATGTCTTTATTTCCTCGGCACTTGGAGGATCTTCAGTAGACTCATTGGTCTCATAAGGTGGGCAAAAGAATGTCGAGGATGAAAACTTACTAAAAGGCAAAAAAAAAAACCCTGTTTATATTTTAATTACTATGTTTTTCAAAGAAAAAATAAGCACATTTAGAGTAAAGAATTTCAGTATATTGTCACTTCTCATCCCTTGGGTGATAAATGTTTCCCTTGGGCTAGATGATGGTCCAGATAATTCAGTGTTGTTGAGGTTGGAAGTGAAGATTCTATAAAAATCAAACCTGATTTGTTTTACAAGTTTGCATAATATATCAATTTTGGCAGCATATCTTTGCATTTTGGGGGGGGGTTTGAGACAGGTTCTCACTCTGTCATCCAGGCTGCAGTACAGTGGCGCCATCATAGCTCAATGCAGCCTCGACCACCTGTGCTCAAGCAATCCTCCCACCTAAGCCTCCCGAGTAGCTGGACTACAGGTGCACACCACCATGCCCAGCTAATTTTTAAATTTTTTTGTAGAGATAGTGTCTCACTATATTGCCAAGCCTGGTTTCGAACTCCTGGCTTCAAGCAATCCTCCTGCCTTGGACCCCCGAAGGGCTGGGATTACAGGCATAAGCCACCACACCTGGCCGTCCTTTTGCTCTTATTGTAACATCTTGAATTTAGGGAGAAGAGGTTTTCCTTCTCCTCATTTATGAATGTGATTAGATAAATCATATAAATAAGATGTTATATTTTACTTTACAGTTAAACTATACTGTATTATAAAATTATAACAGTACACAACTGAGCAAAACCACCTGTCAGTGGCAGTTTGTAAATAATGACAGAAAAATCTATCTTCATATTTATACTCAAATATTATTTTTGACACCAAATCGTTTTCTAAGTTTGATTGCTCACCTTAATCAACAAACTTGGCTCCAAATATTTGGGTCATCTCAGAAGTTAAGACTGGTCTCCAATGATAAAGATTTGGTAGCGCTGAGAATATTCAGAGAAATAGGTGGTAAGCTGTGAAGGCCATCCCCAAAATGGAGTTCCAATGTCTCTTTCAGAAATGGCAGCCTCATGGAGGTAAGTGGACAGTCCTAGACTTCTGGCTTTGAAGGGAGAAGAATGCACTTTGGGTTTATTAAAATTTTAAAAATTTGTGTAAATTTATGAGGTACAAGTGTAATTTTGTTACTTATACAGATTGCATAGCGGTGAAGTCAGTACTTTTATTTATCACTCAAATTATACCCATTAAGTAATTTTTTATCAGTCACCTTCCTCCAACTCCCTCATGCTTCTGAATCTCCATTTTCTGTCATTCCACACTCTATGTCTATGTGTACACATGTTTAGCTCTCAATTACAAGTGAGAACATGGGATGTTTGTCTTTTTGTGCACACTTGGGGTTTAGACTCTAACATATATATTTAAAAATCTGTTGCTTTATTGTGGAGTTATAGCTTGTGTATCATTTTGATTTAGAATGTCAAATTCTTTAAGAGCTCAGGAAACTGTTGGGGAACTGCCATGGCTTAAAGCACATAGGATCACCTAGTCCTAACATTTCTGGGGTCAGAGAAGAGGGACAGTCCTAAGAACTGTGGACGAAACTGAACCACTTGGCAATGTTAACTCACTGGACAGTTGCTGATCACTACCTTCAGGGAAGGGTTCCCTGATCAAACTCTCTGTATATATTTACATGTTATTTTAAATAGAGATACAGAAGTTCTTGTTCACATGTTATTTTATAAAAGTTTTTTTGAATATTTTTTATGTGTGTAAATCCTTTATGATTGTATTAGTCAGAAGCCCCACCTCTCCCTTTTTTTCTTGAAACAGAGTCTCGCTTTGTCACCCAGGCTGGATTGTAATGGCATGATCTTGGCTCACTGCTACCTCTGCCTCCTGGGTTGAAGCAATTCTCCTGCCTCAGCCTCCCGAGTATCTGGGACTATAGGCATGTGCCACCATGCCCAGCTAATTTTTGTATTTTTGGTAGAGACGGGGTTTCGCCATGTTGGTCAGGCTGGTCTCGAACTCCTGACCTCAAGTGATCCACTGGCCTTGGCCTCCTGAAGTGCTGGGATTACAGGCGTGAGCCACTGTGCCTGGCCAGAACCCTTTTTGACCCCAAGGGGCAGAACTCCAACTAGCTTAAGAAACAGGAAAACATTTGGGAAGGTTACAGGTTTATCTCACGTGACCTAAACTCAGTCAAGGGAGGCATGTGGCTAAACCTTACAGAAACAGGATCTAAGCATTCTCTCCAACTTTCAAATGTGTTTCTCTTTGTCTGTTGGGTTCAATCCCAATGGCTGTAAAGCAATGTCCTCTACATCAGTGGTCCCCAACCTTTTTGGCACCAAGGACCAGTTTTGTGGAAGACAATTTTTCCATGGACCTTTGAGGGGAATGATTTCAGGATGATTCAACCACATTACATTTATTGTGCACTTTATTTCTATTACTATTACATTGTAATATATAATGAAATAATTATACAACTCACCATAATGTAGAATCAGTGGGAGCCCTGAGCTTGTTTTCCTACAACTAGACGGTCCCGTATGGGGCTGATGGAAAACAGTGACAGATCATCAGGCATTAGATTCTCATAAAGAGCATGTGACCTAGATCCCTCACACATGCATTCACAATAGGGTTTGTGCTTCTATAAGAATCTAATGCTGCTGCTGATCTAACAGGAGGCAGAGCTCCAGTGGTAATGCAAGTGATGGGGAGCAGCTGTAAATACAGATGAAGCTTCACTCACTCACCTGCTGCTCACCTCCTGCTGTGTGGCCCAGTTCCTAACAGGTTCCTAACAGTTCCTAACAGGCCCAGTTCCTAACAGGCCACGAACTAGTACTGGCCCATGGCCCAGGAGTTGGGGACCCCTGCTTTGCATGGTGGAGAATGCTACAACTCCTGCCACTAGATTCACCAAACTGTCATTTCCCAGTTCTAGTTCAATAAAGCCCAGACAGATACACATCTAGATCCATCAGCTGTGGCCAAAGAAGTCACACATGAACATGGCAGTTCTCATTGAGATCACATGGTTGAAGAGGAAGGGGGTTGGGGAGAGAAGTTCTCAATAGGAGGGAGGTTTGGGGCAGAAAACATGATAACAGTTTACCATAGTTTCCAAACAGAAATACAAATGCCACAGGAATAGAGGTGGTAGTGTCTTAAGTGCAATGTTCTGAATGCTCAGTGCATGTTTGAGACTGACTGCTTTCCAGATAACTTTTAGGACTTGAAAAATGTAACTGTTCTCCAACCAGATAGCAGAGTTGTGCAGCGGGAGCATGCTGAGTCTATAACAGTTCTACAGCTTATCAAATTGGTAGGAGCAGATCTCCCACATTTCCTTGACCTCACCCCTGAATTATTTGTTATGAAATTGTAGTGAAGAGTATGGACTCTGGATCCAGACTTCCTGAGCTGAAATCTACCCTTCTGACTGTGCGACTTTGGGCAGGGTGCTTAACACCCTATGCCTCAGTTTTCTCATCTGTTAAGTGGAGATAGTACCTAGCTTAGAGGGACAGAAGATTTGATGAAGATGCAATACCTGCACCTGGCAAAAAGTTAACAGCTCAATACATGTTAATTGTTATTATTATTCCCATAGTTACATAATTATAAGAAACTCTACAGGAAAAGCATCTATTTGTCTGTATATGCTGCTCCTTATGCTGGGATGGCCCTTCTCCTGCTTTGTCAATATGCAAAGCTCCAAATGTGCTGCAGTCCCAGCTTTACCCTCTGGTTGCTCAAAGCATCCTAAAGGAAGAAAACACTGATGTGCTATTTGTTGGGTTGTTGATTCTGTTCTCCCCATGTACCATGATAATTATGAGAGTTTAGAGCATATCTGGTTCATTTCCGTATTTTCAAAATTTAACAGACAAGAGAAGATGAATTGTTGGTGGGATGACTAAAAACATGTACATTTCAGTTTTGTCTTGTTGGTATCTCCTCTGCCATTCTACCCAAGATTCCTTCTTTAATCCTTATCTTTTTGACATCCTAACAACCCTTCAAAGCCCAGCTCAAATGCTATATTTTTGGTTAGGCTTTCCCTGACCACCCAGCCTGGTCTCTACAATCATAGCACATTTTCCTCCCTAGTCATGTGGCATGGTCATGTATTGTAGATTAACCTAAAAATAAGTGAGATGTAGAGGTTTCATCCTTATGGTTGTAGAAATTTTATGTAGTCAAATTAATGCTTCTGTTTGCTTGTAGGTAGAATATATGTAACTAATCCTGCCTTTTAAAATATCACCTTAATGTATTTTTATTATTTTATTTTATTATTTTAGAGACAGGGTCTCGCTATGTTGCCCAAGCTAGACTTGAACTCCTGGGCTCAAGCAGTCTTCCTGCTTCAGCTTCCTGAGTAGCTGGGACTATAGGCACAGGCCATAGCACCCAGCTTTAATGTATTTTTAAACATAGCTCTGTGCCTTACAGCCAGCAAAGAGTTCTTTTATTTCTTAAAGTCTTATACTTAATTTTAAAACTTGTTATATTCTTGGTAAAAAGATTGAGCCTATTAAAGGATTTGTCCTATTACAAGATAAATTGGAAATTCTGTTTCCTGACTCTGCTAGATTTAATTTAATTCAAATTGTTAAGCACAGAGAAGCCAAATAATCTTAAGAAGTCAAAAGAAAATTTGCCAAAAGGAAGAAATATATTTGATTTATGCAATTTCCTAGTAGGTGTTGGGCATCAGATTAAAACAGTGAGCAATCTATGAGAAAAGCCCAGCTGCCAATTTTGGAAATGTGAATTACAACTGAGGATAGCCAATGTCTTAGGTGTCCTTAATTATGAAGAGTTATGGATGGAAGTATTCCTGATCTTAAATTGTATAAAAGTCCTTGTTTCTCTGTACTTTTTATGATAAAGGTGGTCATTTTTTTCTAATAAGAGGCATCATATTTGATAGAGATGAGAGGAACTTGGAATTGGTTCTAGTTCTAGCTCCAGAGTTCCTTATCTATAAAGACAGAGGAAATACTACCTGTCTTGGTAAGGATCCAAAGACATAGGATCTGAGAGTTGTGCCTGGAAGCCACAGTATCTTTCACAAACACCGTAAGTAGTAAGCGTTCATTCATGGGATATTTTATCTAAGAATTTTAAAACAATGTGTTTTGTTACATCAAAACAATTAAATAAGAAAAAAAAGGTGGAGGGGTAGATCTCTCCCAAGCACTGCTGAATTTTTCCAGGATGATTTATTTAAAACAGAACAAAACAAAACACAACAAAATATTTTAAACTACTCTTTCTTTCTATTGGCTGGCTTCTAAATAGGTCACATGGCTAGGTCTTCAAAAGTCTAACAGAACAGGCTGACACATTTTTTAAATGCTGGCATGCCATATTTCTTTTTAGTATTTTCAATGTCAAATAATTTGCTAAGCTGGTCTTTTATCCCAGTGCTACCAGATGAATTTCTAAAACTTGTCCTTTCATCTGTTTGCATCTCCTGGCTCCCATCCCAAGACCTGTGCCATCTGTTTTTCTCTTATCAATTCCTTCCTAACCCTCTCCTCCCTTCTACCCTTCCCTCTTCACTATACTTTCCCATCAGCCTACAGACTCAAGCTTTCAAAATTTCTAAAGAATCTTTCCTCTACTGTGCCTCTTATACACCTACCTTGTTCCCTCCTCTTCCCAGCCAAGCATCTGAAAAAGATAAGTCAGCTCCTGCTTTCTCCATTTCAGCTGCAGAGTCTGGCTTCTGCTTCCACTGTTTTCTTCAACTGCTCTTGCAAAAGTGCCCAGTGTCCATTGAATGCCTGCTCAATGGTCTTTCCCTACTGCTCTACTCTACTAGGCGCTGTTGACAGCCCCTCCTCCTCCTGGTCCATCTACAACTTCACTTTTTTTGAATCCAGATTATTTCTAGTTCTGGCATCCTGTCTCAGTCTTCTTTAATAGCTTGCCTTCCTCTGTCCCCCTGACCAAGTTGTTGGCATTGCTTTTGGTCCTCTTATTGCCTCCTTTATTGGAGAACTCACCCATTCCCATAGTTTTAATTGTAGTGTGTGCACCCACATATTGATAACTCCAAATTTGGTATTTCCCATACCGAGAAGGTCATAAAGAACACTCAACTCAATAATTTTGTATTTCTAACTGTCCATTTCCTTTATCACTATTAGTTACTTTTTACAAATATAATTCTAATTATGTCACCTGCCTGCATAAAATTCACTAGTAGCTCCTTGCCACATATGGGATAAAGGTCAAAGCCCTAAACATTGCAGGGGCGTGTAAAATGCTTTCCCATTCCTATCTGAGTGTCAGTCATGGCAAATGCCAGGCTGTTCTTGAACCTCGATGTCTTGCATGACTCTAGGCCTCTACTCTCACCCTCTCCCTGATCTTGCCCTCTTTGGCTTTGATCCTTGAGTGACTCCTTATTCCTAAGGTCCAATTCAAATCTCAACTTCTCTGTGAAACTTGTTCTGATTTGCCCTTAGAGACCCTATATTATAACTGTTAATGTGTCCATCTTCTGCCAGAATGTAGGGACCCTGAGGGTAGGGATTATGTCTCACTTATCTATGGATCTCACATCCTTAACACAATCTAGCATATGTAAATGCTCAACAAATGTGTACTAATTGATGTATACGAATTGACTAAAGCAGTTAGTGATTTGGTGAAGCATAGCCCTGACTATAATTACATTATATCAAATAAGAAAATAATATCTGAAAATATTAATGCAATCCTATATTCCCAGTATATAGTCTTCATGTTTTTGAGATTGTATCAGCAATGATGCATCTATAATGTTCATATTCGTGATGATTGTTCTTTTTCTAAATTTTCAGGGACTTCTCCAATTTTCATCAAGAAGTTTTAGTATCAACCCCTGCATCCTTTTTCCCCACAAGTTAGCTTTTTGTTACTTTTAGCCAGGTGGATTTGCCTGTTCCCACTGACAGTTTTGTCTATATGAGAACAGGGCCCACAACTGATACTATAACTGAATCATTTGGGAAATCAATAACTAGAAACTGTTGAGCCACTAGGAGCAGCGCTGAAGACCTGGCACATGACATAGAGAGTATTGGGCCATTAGTGTGGCTCTAGTTTTTCTGGCTAAATCACTCCCAAGTCATGAAAATTGTCTTGTTCTTAAGACTCTCCAGGAAGAAGATGTTGCTGCCTCTATCCAGACCATTTATGTATTGGTTAATCAACCAATCAATCAAGCTGTCTGTCTATCCTGCTGCCTTGTTCCACACAGGATGTAAGATAAGATTATTTGGTTCATAAATATATCAAGATAACAAACATTAGAAGTAATTTTTTAAGTCAGTGAGAAAGAGTAGGGAAAATAAAATGGAGCCAGGAATTAGGCTCATTTCAAAGTGCTTATAACAGAGGTCTAAATATTTACTAGAGGCAATATACAATATTTCTGATTTGACTCTGAGCTTTCCTGCAACTAGTGTAAAGAGGGACAATCTGATAAGCTATGAAATTCATGATATCTGTAAGTATCAGCCAAGCCAATTTTCCCACACAACTATTCTTTATACTAAGACCTGAAAGATGGTTTCCATTTGCTTGGTAAATCTTCCTCCATCCCTTTATTTTGAGCCTATGTGTGTCTTTGCATGTGAGATGGGTTTCCTGAATACAGCACATCAATGAGTCTTGACTCTTTATCCAATTTGCCAGTCTGTGTCTTTTAATTGGGGCATTTAGCCCATTTAAACTGAAGGTTAATATTGTCATGTGTGAATTTGATCCTGTCTTTATGACAGCTGGTTATTTTGCCGATTAGTTGATGCAGCTTCTTCACAGTGTCAATGCTCTTTACATTTTGGTATGTTTTTGCAGTGGCTGGTACCAGTTTTTTCCTTTCCATATTTAGTGCTTCCTTCAGGAGCTCTTGAAAGGCAGGTCTGGTGGTGACAAAATCCCTCAGCATCTGCTTGTCTGTAAAATATTTTATTTCTCTTTCACTATGAAGCTTAGCCTGGCTGGATATGAAATTCTGGGTTGGAAATTCTTTTCTTTAAGAATGTCGAATATTGGTCCTCACTCTCTTTTGGCTTGTAGGGTTTCTGCAGAGAGATCCTCTGTTAGTCTGATGGGCTTCCCTTTGTGGGTAACCCAACCTTTCTCTCTGGCTGCCCTTAACATTTTTCCTCCATTTCAGCCTTGGTGAATCTGACGATTATGTGTTTTGGGGGTGCTCTTCCTAAGGAGTAACTTTGTGGTGTTCTCTGTGTTTCCTGAATTTGAATGTTGGTCTGTCTTGCTAGGTTGGGGAAGTTCTCCTGGATAATACCCTGAAGAGTGTTTTCCAACTTGGTTCCATTCTCCCCGTCACTTTCAGGTACAGCAGTCAAACGTAGGTTTGGTCTTTTCACATAGTCCCATATTTCTTGGAAGCTTTGTTCGTTCCTTTTCATTCTTTTTTTCTCTAATCTTGTCTTCATGCTTTATTTCATTAAGTTGATCTTCAATCTCTGACATCCTTTCTTCTACTTGATCGATTTGGCTATTGATACTTTATGCTTCACGAAGTTCTCGTGCTGTGTTTTTCAGCTCCATCAGTTCATTTATATTCTTCTCTAAACTGGTTACTCCAGTTAGCAATTCCTGTAACCTTTTATCAAGGTTCTTAGATTCCTTGCATTGGATTAAAACATGCTCCTTTAGCTCAGAGGAGTTTGTTATTACCCACGTTCTGAAGCCTACTTCTGTCAATTCGTCAAACTCATTCTCCTTCCAGTTTTGTTCCCTTGCTGGAGAGGAGTTGTGATCCTTTGGAAGAGAAGAGGCATTCTGATTTTTGGAATTTTCAGTCTTTTTGTGCTGGTTTTTCCTCACCTTCATGGATTTATCTACCTTTGGCCTTTGATGTTGGTGACCTTTGGATGGAGTTTTTGTGTGGTTGTCCTTTTTGTTGATATTGATGCTATTGCTCTTTGTCTGTTAGTTTTCCTTTTAACAGTCAGGCCTCTTCTGCAGGTCTGCTGGCATTTGCTGGAGGTCCACTCTAGACCCTGTTTACCTGGGTGTCACCAGCAGAGGCTGCAGAACAGCAAAGATTGCTGCCTGCTCCTTACTCTGGAAGCTTCATCTCAGAGGGCCACCCACCAGATGCCAGCCAGAGCTCTCCTGTATGAGGTGTCTGTTGACACGTGCTGGGAGGTGTCTCCCCATCAGGAGGCATGGGGGTCAGGGACCCACTTGAGGAGGCAGTCTGTCCCTTAGCAGAGCTCAAGCGCTGTGCTGGGAGATCCACTGCTCTCTTCAGAGTCAACAGGCAGGAACATTTAAGTTGGCTGAAGCTGCGCCCAGAGCCACCCCTTCCCCCAGGTGCTCTGTCCCAGGGAGATGGGAGGTTTATCTATAAGCCCCTGACTGGGGCTGCTGCCTTTCTTTCAGAGATGCCCTGTCTAGAGAGGAGGAATCTAGAGAGGCAGTCTGGCTACAGTGGCTTTGCGGCACTGCAGTGGGCTTTGCCCAGTCCGAACTTCCTGGTGGCTTTGTTTACACTGTGAAGGGAAAACAACCTACTCAAGCCTCAGTAATGGTGGACGCCCCTCCCCCCACCAAGCTGGAGAGTCCCAGGTGGACTTCAGACTGCTGTGCTGGCAGCGAAAATTTCAAGCCAGTGGATCTGAGCTTGCTGAGCTCCATGTGGGTGTGATCCGCTGAGCAAGACAACTTGGCTCTCTGGCTTTGGCCGTTTCCAGGGGAGTGAACGGTTCTGTCTTGCTGGTGTTCCAGGTGCCACTGGGGTATGAAAAAAAAAACTCCTGCAGCTAGCTCCATGTCTGCCCAAACAGCCACCCAGTTTTGTGCTTGAAGCCCAGGGCCCTGGTGGTGTAGGCACCTGAGGGAATCTCCTGGTCTGTGGGTTGTGAAGACCATGGGAAAAGCATAGTATCTGGGCCAGATAGCACCATCCCTCACAGAAGGGTCCCTCACAGCTTCCCTTGTCTAGGGGAGGGAGTTCCCTGACCCCTTGCGCTTCCTGGGTGAGGCAATGCCCCACCCTGCTTCTGCTCACCCTCTGTAGGCTGTACCCACTATCTAACCAGTCCCAATGAGATGAACGGGGTACCTCAGTTGAAGATGCAGAAATCACCTGCCTTCTGCGTTGGTCTTGCTGGGAGCTGCAGACCGGAGCTGTTCCTATTTGGACATCTTGCCTGGGAATCCTGGTTCTTAATAATAGTAAAATTTCTAATAGTGCTTGGCAAAATCAAGCCAACCTAAGGAATGCTCATTTTACCAAAGGCATATTTCAGGATATTCGTCATTTCTTCAAAATATTGAATAAAAAAACCACTATGGAACATTTTTACAGGATATTTTAATCACTTTAAAGTATACAAGGTAAAGAGGAGTGTTGCAGATAAAAAGGCAACTTCAATAAATGGACAAGAATGGAAGTTGTGTGATACATGAAATGTTTATGGACTGAGTAATCAGATCAAGCAGTGTTCAAATCCTGCCTCTGCAGCTTACTAAGTGACCTTAGATGAGTTACTGAACTTAGAACTTCAGCTTTCATACTTATAAGACGGAGATGAAAATCATCTATTTCAAAGAATTCTTCTAAGGACCAAATGACACTGTATATAAACTGTCTTGCTGGCTATATATTATGCATTCGGTTAATTATAGTTTCTCCCATATGAAACCAGCACATCAGAGTGGCCTTCACTTATACTGCTGTACATAGACAGTTAAAATAACTACCCCTTAGGTAAATATTTCTATAAAATCTTACATATGCTATAAATTTACCTAAATTCTAATCTTTTAAATAGTGAAATTCATTCTTACCTCTATTATTAATACAAATTATCACAATTCTCGATTTGTGGAGCTTGAATTAGATCTTGCTATAATTGCTGTCACAAGACAATTCTAGACCAAACTGCTCTGACATGCATTACAGCAAACTGTATTGTGATCATTTAAAAACGTATATCAGAACCTAGGTTTAGGAAGTTATTTTAATATCCATAAGAAGCAGTCTCGATATTAACTTAGTTGTGAAATTTCCAAAGAAATATATTAAAGGAAGATCAAAGATTATGGTGCCATATTGAGTATAACAAAGCAAGTACTTAATAGAAGACAAAATCCATTTCTCTTAATTAAAGGAATTAATGAGCTGTGTGTGTGTCTATATATGTGCCTATAAAGGGAAGGGGAGGAAATACGTAAATGCATGCAGGGAGGTTTCATACTACTCTACAAGCTGAGTGTGCTTTAAGCTGCTGCAAGAAAAAGAAATCTGAGCTTCTCAGATTCCTTCCTTCCCAACTTTTAAACCCATATCATTCATAAAGCATTCATTCCTCTTTTCTACTTCCAGAGTAACAGAGGTCCCTATATTTTTACTGCTCAAATAAACTTTTTCTTCTTCTCAGGCTTTGATTCTCTCTCCCTTTTGAAGCTCAACGTAAGTGAACTCTTTCCTGAGAGACTTTGCACATATGAAAATGCTCTGAATTTGGACACAACTATTAACATGAATTTAAACATTTTTCTGTAATAAAATGATTTGTTGTAGGTCATTATTTTAGATTTTAAACTTTTTTACTTTAAAAATTAGAATTGTTGAAAGTAATATACATCTTTGATATTAAATTTAGAAAATACAGAGAAAAGGGTAAGGAAAAAAAGTAACCCATATCCTACAACCAAAATATAATCAGTTAAAAGATGACTGTATTTCTTTCCAGTTCTTTATATATACTTGTGTGTATGTGTTCTTGCTTGTAAGAGCAGACTATATATACTGTGTAACTTTATATCCACTTTTCTCTTAATATTAAATCATGGGCATTTTCTCACATTATTAAAACTTCAAAATATATACTTTTTTTTTTTTTTTGAGATGGACTCTCACTGTGTCACCAGGCTAGAGTGCAATGGCACGATCTTGGCTCACTGCAACCTCTGCCTTCCAGGTTCAAGCGATTCCCCTGCCTCAGCTTCCTGAGTAGCTGGGATTACAGGTGCACACCACCATGCCTGGCTAATTTTTGTATTTTTAGTACAGAAGGGGTTTCACCATGTTGGTCAGGCTGGTTTCGAACTCCTGACCTCGTGATCCGTCCTCCTCGGCCTCCCAAAGGGCTGGGATTACAGGCGTGAGCCACTGTGCCCAGCCTAAAACTTTGAAATATTGTAAATGCATTATTTGAACACACTCTCCCACTTCTGAACCTTCTGATCACCTATTTTTTCCACTGTCATTAATAATTCTGTCATGAACCTCATTTTACCATGCAACAGGCTTTGGCCTACAGAATCCAAGCTCACACTCAAAATACATTCTGAGGAAGAAATTATAAAGAGGAGTTACTAGGGAAAGGAGTGAGACTAGGCATCCAAGCCCCCAGCCTGCCTGAGTATGAGGGAAAAAAACACATTACCATTTGACAGCTGCTCTGATGCCTGTAAAGAGTAAGTTAAAGGGTTCCAATGTCTTTCCCATGGCCAGAGGTTCACATGGCTTCAGATGATACCAAGTGGTCTGTACTTGATTCCAAACTTTAATAATGGTAGTTCATGTGAGCAGAGCTACAGGGAGCAAGTATGATCCCACACACAAAGCACCTCACTCAGACAGTTTTGGTTTAAGAATACAGCTGTGTACATATCCATTTATAAATGTGTAAGCTAAAAGGACTAAAGACTCACTGGAAACCCAAGAGAAACAATTAATGTGTTACAATGATAGATTGCAGTGAAATAGCTTTTTAAAACTTTTATCATTGTGCTTTAGATATCCAATATTCGAAACAAAGAGAGAGAAAAATAGGCAGACATTCATTTAAAAAAAGAACTAATTTTATGACTTCGTTGCATAAGCAAGAGCTTTCTGGGAGGGGGAGACAAAGGGACAATTAAAGAACAAGCTGGGGTGGGGAGGGGTAGAAATACAGTCTTTACAATATCAAACCCAGTATGATATCTTATGATTCCTTATAATACTCCCTTCTTACTTTCAAAATTCACCTTTACTAAGTGACAAGTTACTAACCTGACAAGTTTTAAGCTATTCTTATATTTGAAAGCGATCCTTGATAAAGCTATCAGAAGTCTAAAAATATTCAAGACCCATGCACTGAATTTATTTGTATATTAATTTTGCCGCTAGTGTGGCATGGCTGCTTTTTCTCCTGACAGTATGGCTTCTGGCCATAGGAATATTTTGAAGAATTCTTTAATGCCTGAAGAAAGGGTAGTTGAGATCCAATTGATTTTTTTTTAACCTAATCAATCCAAATATTACAGTAATGATAATATCTTTGATAGTTAGCTATTCTCCAAGAAGAGAGCTACATTTCTCCCCTACTGACTCACGGTCCCCTCTGAAAATCAGATGAGGGCTATACCTTCTCTTCCCGAAGAAATGTGCATGCACACCTACAAAATTCTTCAATTTCCAGAGGCCCCTGGACTCCCTGAATTCCTGTTAACAGCCTCTATACCAGAAAAAGAGGAATTTACAGAGAAATTGTAAACTGGCAGACTGACAGTTGAAGAAAGAAATAAGGGATGGGAAGTAGAAAACGAAGTTTCCCACTCTGGGCCAGACTTGGCCTAGACGTTTCCTCTCACTTTTCACAGCAGCTGTGTGTACTACATATTTTTTAATAGTCAAGGAAACTAAGGTTCAGAGAGGTTATGTGGCTTTCTCACAAGGTCATACTGCTGCAAAGTGGCAGAGCCAAAACACAAACCTGATCTTCTAAGTCCAATGCACACCTCACTTAGCACTTACAAAGTGAACTTACTACGGTTTCATCTTGGGACTTCTCAAGACTGAACTATTAGACTAAATGCATCTACTGTGAACTCCCTGAGTTGGGGGCGGGGGGTCCATGTCTTATTCCCTCTATATCTCCAGCACACAGACAGCATATAGAAGGCATTCCTTAAAAGAGGAATGAATGAATAAATGAAAACACTGGGACAACAATCCCACTGATAGTAGCAGAAGCTACATGCAGCTGTATGTTGCCACAACATAAAGGTCCTTGTCATCACTAAATATTCCTTTAGATGACCACTGGACACAGACATTAACATATTTTAAAACACATATGGTAAAATTCTTGTACTAGAACAGTGTTTAATCTTCTTGAAAAATAACCTATTCATAAAACACAAAGTAGCTTTCTATCAATCTAATATTATCAGAATAATTAACATCCTTTGTTAGCCAACTAGTGTATCTTATAAAAACCAACTTATGTTGAAAATGAATACATAAGTTAGGACTACTTTTAAAAAATACTTAATTTTACTAATTTCCTAACTAGAACATAAGTGCATTTTTGTTTTGTTTTTGTTTTTGCAATAATTGCTCTGAAGATAAAACCAAAGCACCATTTCGATGTAGCAAAGGTAATTGGTGCATTTACTGCTCATGGCATGTTAATGTATGACTATGTATCAAAGGTCATCCTTCTGTACTCATACATTATCAAATTTGAAAGCACAATATTTGATTCTGAACATCCTTTAAACTGCCCAAAATGTGTGTGAAAAATAGATAAGAGTTCTACTTTGGGTTGAAAAAAAAGTGAACCCATGTTTTGGAAGCAGAAGGGTCAAGACGCCAGTGGCAAGGTTAGATGTCAGCACTATGAATCTCCGACTGTCTTAGCTTATCAATGAGGTCTAGTACAATGATCACAAGCTAAAATTGCTGTACTAATGAAGACAAAGGTCCAAAAAATTAGTGCAGGCCCCCTAACAGAGGGCAGTACCTGGTGGACAATAATGCAGAAATCAGGATATAAATCACTCTTTAGAGACAATAAAACCTATAATGCACAAATTGAGTTGTTTACATGTCCATTGAAGGCACTGTTAAAAACAGAAGGTGGCAGCTGCCATATCTCTTCTTATTCATCTGGAATGCGGTTGCCCCAAATTCAGCTTCTTTATTAGAAAGCAAGGCATCTGTTTCCCATTCTCTTCTTCCAACTCCAGATACACAGCACTACTTTGCCAACACACAATTTAGTAGTCTTGTGCCATCCCGACCTGAAATAATTGTTGGACATTCACTCTGGCTTCAAACTTTTGCTTACAATTGTTTGCTAGGTAGATAAATTGGTCTTATCAGAATGTACTAAAACATGAACAGCTGTGGTTTTCTCCTTTGATGGTTCAGGTGCAGGGAGAAACAGTGGAAAGGAAAAAATCCCCTCCTTTTTCTATAGTGATTGTGGTTATTCTGAAATAAATAAAACATAATTTAATTTCATCAAGCCCAACTACAGGAGATTGCCTTATTGAAGAGAAGATCATACAAACATACAAAAAGAATCTGGTCTTCAAAAAAGAAAACACTGTGCTGAAAAGGACCAGGAAGAACCTATAACATCTACCCAAAACATGTCTCAAGCATATCAATTTTCTTTCAGTCTGTACTTTATTTCACACAATTCACAGCATCCCATTCTGAAAATTCATGTATTATTTGGCTATGTGGATATTCTTAATTGAGAATACAAGTCCGTTCCACATATATTTTCTTTTTTGTTGCTGCTAAAAAAGATATTTTTAAAAAGCAAACCACTGTAATTTAACAAGAGCCAACTCATGGCAGCTATGCAAAGCCTTTAGAATTCTTGCTAAAGACAGTAAGACACAAGTAGCCAGTTTCATTTTGGACGCAGGGTGGGGAACATCACACACTGAGGCCTGTCATGGGGTGGGGGAAGGGGGAGGGATAGCATTAGGAGATATACCTAATGCAAATGACGAGTTAACTGGTACAGCACACCAGCATGGCACATGTATACACATGTAACAAACCTGCACATTGTGCACACGTACCCTAGAACTTAAATTAAAAAAAAAAAAAAAGACAATGAGGCTGGTTGTGGTGGCTCACACCTATAATCCCAACACTTTGGGAGGCCGAGGTGGGAGGATCACCTGAGGTCAGCAGTTCAAGACAAGCCTGACCAACATGGTAAAGCCCCGTCTCTACTAAAAACACAAAAATTAGCTGGGCATGGTGGCATGCACCTGTAGTCCCAGCTACTCGGGAGGCTGAGGCAGGAGAATCGCTTGAACCCAGGAGGCGGAGGTTGCAGTGAGCCGAGATCACACCATTGCATTCCAGCCTGGGCAACAAGAGCCAAACTCCATCTCAGAAAGAAAAAAAAAGACAATGAATAACTTGGTTAGCTTTAATTCATAAATTATACCACAACTAGAGCAAGTTTCAATTACACTTGCCATGTACAGTAACACATTTCCTTTTAATGCTATTTATTTATTCATTTTTGAGATGGAGTCTCGCTCTGTCACCCAGGCCGGAGTGCGGCGGCACGATCTTGGCTCAGTGCAACCTCTGCCTCTGGAATTCAAGCAATTCTTCTGCCTCAGCCTCCCGAGTAGCTGGGACTACAGGCGTACACAGCCACACCTGGCTAATTTTTTGTATTTTAGTAAAGTCAGGGTTTCACCATGTTGTCCAGGCTGGTCTCGAACTCCTGAGCTCAGGCAATCCGCCTGCCTCGGCCTCCCAAAGTGCTAGGATTACAGGCATGAGCCACCACGCCCGGCCTATTTTATTTTTTTGAGACAGAGTCTCACTCTGTCGCCTGGGCTGGAGTGCAGTGTTGCAATCTCGGCTCACTGCAACCTCTGCCTCCAGGGTTCAAGCAGTTCTCCTCTCAGCCTCTGGAGTAGCTGGGATTATAGGGTTCCCCACCCTAATTTTTGTATTTTTAGTAGAGACGGGGTTTCACCATGTTGGCCAGCCTAGTCTGGAACTCCTGACCTCAGGTAATGTGCCCGCCTCAGTTTCCCAAAGTACTAGGATTATGGGTGTGAGCCACCGCACCCAGCCCCTTTTAATACTTTTAGATGCATGTATCTGACTTTAAGGTCTGAATTCCTATGGTCTATATACTGAAAGAGAAAATACTCTTACATTATTTTGCATGTTGTATGTATGTACATGTGAGTGTGTCCAGGCTCCACTAGACACAGATGTCAAAAAAGCAGCAACTTTATCCAGACCATTTCTAACTTAATGCCAGTTATAACACTAAATGAGTCAGAAATCGGATAATGAATAAAAATCAACATAAAAACAAAAAATATTTTTAAATACCTCATTCTACAGATATTTATGGGAGCAGGGAGTGAGGGGTATTGGGATCTTCAACAATGGGAACTCATTAAACGAACACAAAATATTTTATGTACAAGTTAGAAACCTTATCCAAATCATGGATTCATGTGAATGAGGGATGAGCTCCTGTACTGTAATCCCCCTGAACACCTGTGTTGTGAGGTCATCTCCAGTTCAATTCATTCATGATGAGAGCTTTTCCTATGTCAGGCATTGAGAGTACAAAACACATGAATCCCCCCCACCCTCAATGTGCTCAGTTTCCCTATTCTTATGTCTTGAGCTAGTCCTTCTCACTTTCTAGCTCCAATTCCTGGATTTGTAAGAGTTTCAAGAGAAGCAGCACACCAACCATTGATGCTGAGAAAGTCAGATCTATCAGTTATATGAATCCACTCAACATACCTGTAACAGGCACAGGTTTTGTTTTTATTTCCTGTTATTCTGTTTGAGGACAGCAAAAGTGAGAAAGTAAAAATTAAGGAACATGGCCTATCTTCAGTGTTAGGTCAAATGAGGGAGGTAGACAGAACAAATAACAAGAGGTCAGGAGACTACAAGTTACATAAAGTATATAAAGTGCAATCAACAAAAAAGCAAGTAACTGCTTAGAAAAGTTGAGGATGATGTCACTCAAAAGATTACAGATAATGCTGGGTCTTGAAGAAGTGAGAGTTTAAAAAGAATAGATCATATGAGAGTGCATGGCATCTCTCAGATGTATGAAATACTTATCTATGGCCGGAGTATAAAGGAGAGTACTGGGAAATAGGCTGAAAAGGTGATTTTTGATTCTGAAGGGCTTCCTTGCAAGTTGCCTACGGAATTGCAATATACAAGTGAGTCGCAGAATATTTTTAAAGATGTGTGTTTTAGAAAGCTCCAAGAGCAATGTGGACAATGGATCAAAAAAAGACAGAGGAACCAATTGGAGTTTGCCTAAATTGTGAAGAACAAGTTATCTGGCCCTTTCCCTACTCAATAGTTCAAACAATTTAAGATTTGCAAAATTCCCCACACTACAAAAATCTGCACTAAGTATATTTCCCATTCTGTGTGGTCTGTTTGTGCATACTACCTATTCAACAGATATTGTCTTCCATGTGTTGAACACTGGGAATAAAATGATGAGCAACAACAGATATGGTCCTGCCTTCAAGAAGTTCATAGTTTGATATGGGAGATAACATTAGAAGGAATTTCAAGGAAGGGTGTTGAATAGAGTGTCTGGTAAGTCTTAGGTTAAGACTGCCCTGAAGAAGTAACAATTATCAGAAAAATATGAGGAACCAAAAAGAGCATTAATCTATTTTTTACATCTACCAAAGGAGAGGATTCATAGGTAGTAAAAAGAGCATGGACTTAAAGATCCTAGGTTCAGATTCCATTTTCAATGCCCATAAACTAGTCTTGGGGAATGAATTTAATCTGTTTGATAGGATTCTATCTCCTCACACGGTTGTTGTGAGAACTGTGTGAAAGTACTTAGCACATAGTGCCTGACCGAGAGAAGGTATTCAAACAATGTACATTTAATTTCCCACTTTCTTCACCCTTCAAAATATTTATTTTCATGAAAATAAATGATTTTTCCCAGTTGTCCTAAATCAAGTGCCAGGGATCTGGTAAAAGTCTTTGGCAGCTGAAAATCTGGCCTGTTCTCACAGAATCCTGGACTGAAAACTTAAAAGTCTAATTTACGAGGGAGACTTTTGAGAACATTTTTTAATCTTTCCAGAGTACTTCCAACTTCCATTAATTCTGCTGCCAAACAAAAAGGAAGGTAGAAATACTTAAAAAAAATAGAGAAAATGCATAAAGCAGAAAATCTAGGTTTTAAAAAGCATCAAATAATATAGAACTATATAACTGGATGGTGTTTCCTTCTCCTAAAGTCCATTAATAGTATGAATTAAACCAGGTATGATAGAAGCTCTGGAGGACCAAGAATGGAAAATTAAGTGGAATCCAAGTTTCATACACAGGCAAACTGATAAAGGGCAATTGGGGCAAGATACCTACTACCCAATAAATTTAGTAATTTTTAGTCATTTAAAATAGCATTAAAGTAGAAAATGTAGATTAGTTTCTGAGGAGGAAAGAAATTAGGATGAGACAAATAATATATGGAGTGATAAAATTTAATAAGGTTTTCATTCTGTACTCAATTTTTATTCTTGTTTGTATTCTAACAAATGTACTTTCTATATTTATATATTTATCTGTCTACATTCAGAGCCTGAATATATTTACTTATTGACCAGTAGAATGCATACACTTAAAACTTTAATAATTTTGAAACAAGTCAAATTACATAACTGTAACATACAGCAGATCACCAATTCACAATCATCTCTACCTTGGTTCATCTTTACACAAGTACTTGAATTCCCTTTAATGTCTCTTTAGAAGTTCATAAACTATATCTAGATCTCTGCTACAATTTTCACAATTAATTGAAGTTATACCAGATAGTAACTTAATACAGTATATTCTCCCAATTTTCTAGAGTAGCTAGTCTCCATGACCATTTCAAAATAGCTATTCATAATTCACAAAATGCCTTTATTCTTTGGCCCTTCAACTAACTGATTTGTACACAGATAATAAATCCAACAGGTAATATTGTAAAGTAATATTGTAAGAAGAAAGTTTTAAGACGATTAAGTAGTTGCTGTCCACTGGAAATAAAAGTAGACTTATAAGGTCTTATTTTTTAAATGAAACTTTATGTAACCTTCAGGTTGTATTTTTTAAATAACCTTAAATGCTGACACCAACATTGAGAGGCAGTGTAAAATTCATGGTTCAATACAAATCATCCTGCATTAACAGTTGAGATCTAAGTTCTGGCTTGGCTCAGGTGCCTGCTATCCCTATGACCCTGTGTCTTAGCCCATTTGTGTTGTTAAGGAATACCTGAGGCTGGGTAATTTACTGAAAAAAAAACAAAACAAACAAAAAAAAAAAACAAAGAAGAAGTTTATTTGGCTTACAGTTCTGCAGGCTGTACTAGAAGCATGGTGCCAGCCTCTGCTTGGCTTCTGGTGAGAGCCTCAGACCACTCATGGCAGAAAGCAAAGGGGAGCTGGTGTGTGCAGAGATCACACAGCAAGAGAGAGGAAGCAAAGAAGAAAGGGAGGGAGGATACCAGGCTCTTTTAAACAATCAGCTTCCAGGGGAGGAAAAATAGAGCAAGAACTCATTACTGCAAGGACAACGCCAAGACATTCATGAGGGATCCGCTCCATGCTCAAAACACCTCCAGCAATGGGGATCAAATTTCAACATGAGATTTGCAGGGGTCAAACAAACCACATATAGCACCATTTCTAAGTCATTTAGGATTTTCGGAAACTCAGCATACTATATTTTATGAAAATCATCATATAATCAGAATATCTTTCCCCTGACACACGCACATCCACACCCAAAGCTATACCTCTTCTGATACAACTATGTTCTCCATAACAATAGTGACTGTGTGTCTAATGCATAAAATGAGTTTGTATGAGAAATAGCAACTTCAAGAATAAAAGGCCTAGCTTAACAAGAAGTAGCAAAATTTCCAAACTTGGGTTCCAAGTGGAACGATTCCAATTCAATTAAACAGCTATTTTTATTTAGTGCCCCCAATGTCTATGTGAGTGGGAGCGTATCTCAGGCAGAGGAAAAGCTCAAGAAGGCTGGGAGATGAGAAAAGACTGCATATGCAAAACACAGAAAACACTACTATTGTTACTTTTAAAATGTGTGTGTGGCAGGGGGAGGTGGCAGTGGCTGTAGTTGTGGTGCAGATGCCAGCCATAACTAGGAGCAAAATTACACAGGGCTTTGCAGGCCTTATTAGTAAATTTGGACCTCATCCCAAGAACACTCAAGAGTCATTAAAGGGTCTAAGCAATGGCGTGGCAGATTCATTTTCTTTCTTTCTTTTTTTTTTTTGAGATGGAGTTTCACTCTTGTTGCCCAGGCTGGAGTACAATGGCGCAATCTCTGCTCACTGCAACCTCTGCCTCCCGTGTTCAAGCAATTCTCCTGCCTCAGGCTCCTGAGTAGCTAGGATTACAGGCATGCACCACCACGCCTGGCTAATTTTGTATTTTTAGTAGAGATAGTGTTTCTCCACGTTGGTCAGGCTGGTCTCGAACTCCTGACCCCAGATGATCTGCCCGCCTCAGCCTCCCAACTTGCTGGGATTACAGGCGTGAGCCACCACCACACCTGGCCCCTCATTTTCTGTTTTTTAAAAACTCAGGCTGCAGCACACAGAATAGATAGCAAGTGCACAAGGTTGGAGACAAAGAAACCAGTTAAGAGACAGCTTTGGTAATCTGAAATGATGGAGGCCAAGATTAGAAGGCAGTACAACAGAAATTAAGAGTAAATCCTCTGAAGTCATTTGCCTATATTCAAATCCCTCTTTTTCCACTTACCAGGTATACAATTTTAAGCAAAGTTGCTTCCTGCTATGGTTTGAATGCTACAAAAAGCATGTGTTGAAAACTTATGCTAACTGTTGCATTGGAAGGTGGAGCCTAATGGAGATGTTTAGGTCATGAGGGTGAAGCCCTCATGAATGGATTAATGCTCATTATAAAAGAGCTTGAGGTTGCAACTTCCATCTCTTGCTCACTCTTGCCCTCTCTTACCCTTCTGCCTTCTGGCATGGGATGACAAAGCACAAAGGCCCTCACCAGATGCTAGCATCATGCCTTTGGATTTCCCAGGTTCCAGAACTGTGAGCCAAATAAATTTTTGTTCATCACGTTACCCAGTCTGTGGTATTCTGTTATAGCAGCCCAAACGGACTTAAATACATACTCTCTCTACAACTCAGCTTTCTCTTCTAGTAGTCCAAAGATAAAAATCTTCACAGGATTCTTGCCAAAGTACAAATATAATAATATATATACAGCAGTTAGCATGTTGCCTGGCACAGAATAAGAATGCAAATGTTTATCATCATTATTAATGCAATGTGAACAGAGAAATGAGAATATAACTAGAAGATGTTTAGGAGACAAAAATTGACAGCTTGAATAAAGGGAAAAGAGATGAGTTTACAGCTTCTGGCTTAGAGAGTAACTCTATTTGATTAGATGAGAAACATAAACGGTTTGAATGTTCTGAAGGTTTGAAGCAAAGTATAGTGTTCATTCTTGAATATATGGATTGTGAGAGACAGGCCAGTAGGCAGGCAAATATATAGCTCTAAAGTAAAGGAAACAGATCAAAGCTGGAGATCTGAGATTCAGAGAGACAGATGGTAAGTCCTTTGGTGTTGGGAAGAAACCCTAGGGAAAGAATATGCAGAATGAAGAAATGATGACACTAGGTAGAACTTAAGGAACACCAACACTTACAGGACGTTGAGAGCAAGAGGCCAGAGAAATAAGAGAATAATAGTGTGATATATGAAAAGCCAAAAGAAAAAAAGTATCTCAGAGAATATTCAATGTCAATACTGCCAAGCAGTGAAACAAGAACTGAGAGTTTTCACTGGATTTGGCAACAAAGTATTTATTCACACAATATGCATCAAGCATTGTGCTAGACCCTTGAGATACAGACATGAATAAGAAAAATAAGACCCTTGCACAAACGGACATTATGTTGTGAAGACAGTAAACTAGCAAACAAATCAAATACACATTGTGATAAGGATGGTGAGCAGAGAGTGACATGATAGGGAGTAAAAGGCAGAGGCCAGCTTCAGATGGGGAGTTTGGGAAGGCATCTCTCTGAGGAGGCAAAATTTAAGCTGAAATCTGAGGCAGGAAAGGGCATGGTCAGAGAACTGAAAGGAGTTCCATATGGCTACAGCACAATGATGGCGGGAAGACGGAGAGACAGAAGCTAGACCATGTTTGTAGATCATGCTCAGGACATAGAAGAATTTAGATGACCCACTGAACAATTGTAAGCAAGGAAGCTAAGATCACTGTAGCTAATGGTACTTAATAGCTTGGATTTTCTCATTTATACTAGTCTTAATAATCAGAAATAGGACATTTTACTAAGTTTCAACCATTAACTGTTTATTATAATAATAATGAAAATAAGCTTTTGTATCTAAAAGGATACTATATGGTTACAAACATGTTACCTATCGCATTAATTTTACTAATCCCCTTTTAACCTTCCTCCATATTTCTTTCAAAGATATTTCTCATACTATCTGTTTGAGTCTATCAAATTTCTCTGAGGTACTCACTCATTTTCAAGCAATGTATATCAGAATTTGAATGTTTTATAACAACATGACTAAGCAAGATGTTACTAAAATCCATATGGGTCAGTAACATACAAAAAACCTGATGAAATTATTTTTAAAAAGTTTATATTCCACAGAGTTTCAGTTTCCTATTTCCTTAATCTATGTATTTATATACATACATACAATATAGAAAAGTTGATGCAAAAAACATTGGCTTGAATCTGAGAAGCTGAATTACATGTTCGTATTATTTTTTACTTTCCTCATCTGCAAGAGGAAAAACTTATGGTCCTTGCATATTTTAAAGACATTAATAAGAACAAATGCCATCGTTTTCAGGTAGTGTGCTAGGCACATTACATTATTTTTAATTATCCTAATACCCTTCAAAAATAAACATAACTCTTCCCATTTTACAGATGAAAAAATAATCTCAGTGAGTTTATAGGTGACTTGCCCAAGACTACAGACCTGAAATTTAAGCCCAATACGGCAGGCTCAAAAACTCTGGTTACTATACCGGATGTCCCAGACTGTTAACAGATTGAGTTCCAAAAAAAAAAAAAAAAAAAAACTGTCACATATGAGATATTAAATCATAAAAATAGATTTTTAAATGATAAAAATGTTTTGTTCAGTTGTTAATAAACTGTGTGCAACTTAGAAACATTAGCCAAACACACCATTCTTATACAGGTATATTTTTCCCTTCAGCATAATAATTTGATTTCCATTTTTTTTAATATTGGAGAAGAGAGATAAAAGGAGGCCGTAACAGATAAGCACACTGTATTAAAGGTCCAAGAATTAGCACTGAGACACATTTTTTCCAGTTAATCCTTAATACAAATATTAAATCCAATTAACTACCAGCAACCCACTACCTATTCTCACAAAATTTGTTTCTCAAAGTTAAAAATTACAAATGGCTGGCCTACGATGTTCCTGAATCAGAAAAACCTAACTTCTGATTAAAACCTCTAAATGTCACTATTTCTGTTAACTAGAAAGGAAACAAGTCTGAATAAAAGTACCATAATTTGCTCTAAGCAGAATCTACAGATTTATTGTATTGTGAGCTATTCCTCCTAAGATTTTTCAGGTAGCCAAGTCACCCACCAAGATACTGTTTGAAGAAGACTAGATATTTAGCAAAATGAAACTGATGCCAGATTATTTTCATTTTCCTTAATAAAATACAAACAAGAGCACAAAATTCACTTATATATCATCATTTTATACTTATAAATAATGCTCAGAATTCAAATAGGGTCAAGTGCAGAAATATTTCCTATATGCTAGTGTGTAAATATAAACTAATTATATACATAATGTGCCTTTGGCCCAGTTGTAAAATAAAAGACATCAAAAAGAAACACTGCAGTTGACTGTTTCATTGCATTCTCACTGAGAATTCGTACCAGTGCCAACGTAGTTACAGTTCTACTTAACTGTTCCACTGCATTCTTATTGAGAATTCGTACCAGTGCCTATGTGGTAACAACTTTCATACCGCTTAATGTAAACACCTAAATAGACATTTCTCCCAGTTGTAAATATCTCAGGAGCTAAAATTCTATCAATTTTTAATAATGAAGTAGTCAAAATCTTAACCAAGTTTCATTCCTTAAAACAAACACAATTAGAGAACTTACTCTTAACCAAAGTTCTTCCTATGTCAAAATGGATATTTACGGGTTATACATACAGAAAACAAGAAGGCAATCATGTTTGCTTACTTTTAGAATGGACAAAAAAGTATCTAAAAGCTGTCTCAATAGTGTGGGTCTTTGTACATTCAAAAGGATCTTACTTCACTGATATAACTTGCTTTTAATTTTAATACCCAGTATATATAACTTTGAGATGTTCAAATAGCTAGGCAATCTGAATTCAAATGATACACAAGCATACCCTTAGAGGGGCAAAAAAAGTAAGTGCCACCGAAAAAGCAATAACTGACATCAGTAAGACTATAAATATCCAGTTGAAGGCACGTGGAAGCATTTACTACTCTGCCGTCAAAGATTCTCCACTTAGTTCAGGATCAGGAATAGAATCAGCTCCAGGAACTGTGGAGTTGGTTTCAATCACTGAGGCTTCCTCATTCTCAGTCTCTTGTTTCTCCTCTGGTTCCTCTGAGTCAGATGCTTTTTCAATCACTTGGTTTGTCTGTTCTGTAGCTGGTATTTTGTCATCTGTCTGCTCTGTATTATCATCAAGAACATCGTGTTCTAAAGATTCTGAAAAGATAAAGATTCAAAACTTTAGGAATACCTGAACGTTAAAACTGCTAAATAAGGCAAGCAAAAAAGATAAACACACACACACACACACACACACACACACACACACACACACAAAGAAACCATACAATTGTCTAACATTATCCTTAAAATCTTTTACAATAAGTACATAACTCTCTTTACAGTTAGTATGATAGAAGAAAAAAAAAGTAATTCAGAGGAAAAAAACCCATAAATATACTTTTTCTAATGTCCCATATTTTCATACAAAATAAGTTACTAAAGACACATCTGAAAGTTGAAGTCCAAAAATCATAGTCCCAACAGAATTATGTGCTATAATACAATAGTCCAGCAAACAATGCAAATGTATTAATGTCCAGATTACATTTCCTGAAGAAACTGTTTCCCTTGTGTCCAGGCAACCCTGTGAGTAATATGTAAATGTGTACTTTGTGGGTGGGTGGGTGGGTGTGTGTGGGTGTGGGTGGATGGTGCGTTCCTACACTGATATACATCTCTATTATCCAAAAACTGGGAAGTCAGGTTTCTATCTTTTCCAAAGGCATGACTAGTCTCTCCTCATCCCTCTGCAAGACAAGTCCTCTGTATTTAACCTCTGGGTCAGAATGTACTACATACCTAGCATGTTAGGGAGAGAAAGAGAAGGGTCTTTTAATCCCATCTCCATAGCAGAAGTTAAGGGTACTAGTCCCTACATGAAAATTTACTCCTTTTAAACTCTCTAAGTATTATTGAATTCAAATCCCTTAAAAATAATATAACAATTGTATTGAATAAACTGCCTTTAATTCTTTAAGGTTTAAAGAACAGGATGGAGGAGGGAATGACTGGAGCAGACAACCTTTGGGCCACCCAATTTCTACATTAAAGATAAAAATCTAGCTTTAAGGTATTTCTTTGTTTATGTAAAAAACAGCAATTAGTATTTTTGCTAGTAGAAATATGGCCAAACCATATCAGTTGAGAAAAAAAGCATATTTTTCCACTCTCATAGATGATTTCTTACGATATACTACAAATGTTACTGATTCAAAAACTCTGGAGGGAAGGCCAGCCTTAGTAAAAAGTTCTAATTAAGTTCCTTGTATAATAAAGGTCAGTTTTGCTAAATAAATAAAATTGTTTTGCAAAGAAATTATGTGTTATATGCACATGTGTTAATATGGAAGTCTTAGAAATCCATGGTTTTACCATACAAGTTTATCTATAGCTCACATACTCTATGCCAAGACTTTAAAAATATTTAAAAAGAATTATTTCTTTAAAGAGATACCTTGGACTCTGGCTTATATAATTAGTTATAACCACCTTCCACCTTTTGATATGTAGAATAAAGGCCCAAATTCTATAGTTTTACTATATGAAAACTTCCTATGCTCACAAAAAATAGTAAGGAATGTCCATAAATTAATTTGTGCCAAATCTCATTTTTAAAAATCCTATCTGTATCTTAACATGGCACTTAAAATGGCATTGCTACACACATGGAATTTTATAAAAATCCAAGTTAGAAAACAGTAAGTCACTTGAATTTTGTTATTTCAATGTTCCAGAGCAGAAAGGAAAAGCAGAAAGGGCAAATGAAACTACAGGCATGTACAAATCATTTCTGCTACAAGGGCAAACAAGTTATCCGTGGAAAACTTCAGGAGTCACCAATCATTTGTAATTCTACCCTCACAGAATGTATCCAAGACAGAATGTTAAGCGTCATGGTTTTCCACAACTCTCTGGCCATAGAGCAGTATTTACTTGGCAAGAACTTCACAATTTCTTATAGTTTAGTAAGCCTTCTGAAACAAACCAATAAAGCCACAAGAAATGAAAAAACAAAAAGCTAAGAATCCAGGATGTAACTCACCAATAAACATGTTTAAGTGAAAACAGGCCCACATAGTTTGTCATATTCTGTCTGACAGACTGCCTCAATACTGTACTGAAACAGGAGAGGTATCAAAATTCAAGGCTTGTCATATTAAAGTTTTGTGATGTTACTATTTTCAAAAATAGACTTTACTAGTCAAAGCCGATTTAATGTACAAATTCTGGGGCCACAAAGAAATGGTTAATACAAGGAGGAGAACTACAATACTGAAATTTTTAAATGTCTGCAATACAAGAATTCATAGAAATACCATGTGCTATCATAATCAGAAAACAAGATACACGAAGTCTTCCAGTCACTACTGTATTTCAGAGAATATGTGGAAGACTACAAAATTGGTGAAATGGGTGGAAATTGAAAATAATCAAAGAGCCTATTAATGATTAAGTTTCTTCCCCTGGGTTAATTTGCAGAAAAGCAATTTTTTAATGGCAGTAACACTACAAAAAATTGGTATGTGACATGACATCTACAATGTAGACATCAGGTAGTCTAAATAAGATAGGTATTGATGTTTGGATGCCAATGCCATTTTGTAAGAAGTCATCAAACAAGATCTAAATAATTAAGTGTAAATGATTAACAGAGAATTACATATAAATTTAATAATCACAGAGCTTTATAAGATTATTTAATGTGTTACAAACATACTTTTTTCATTTTTATGGAAGCACATCATTTGCCCATTCTAACAAAAACAGCAAATTTCTTCCATGAAGTTGTAGTTTAAAACAGCTTGGTGGAATAAAATATATTTCGCAAGATGTTAATATTTGGGCATAAAATACTATAAGAGAAACCAGGCTTTGTGTTCACACTAATTAAACAACCCTACTCTTCCCTTTATGGCCCAGTTTAAGACTAAGACATGAAACAATTACCTGAATGACCTAATTCCATCTGTAAGAAAAATTTTAAAATCGACTCTGGCATCTATAATGTCAAGAAAACAATATACCACAATGCCATAAAACAAAAAATGATCCATGCAATTTCTTTCCCCACTCCTGCCATCACCCCACCCCAACCTCAATATTCTTGAGATATTATTATTATTTTGTTTTACCAAATAGTAACAATTGGCTTCCAGTTGTTTGGGCAAAGTCTCAACTCAGCTAGAAAACTGAAACTCATAAAACAGTGTAATTATATAATGAATATCACTGCCCCACCTATAAACTACACACATGCAAAAACATGTAAAGAATATCATGTTTAGGTTTTTACTCTAGTTCTTGAAAAAATAATTTCTTAAGAAAATTAAATAATAGTCTAGCAAAACAACTTCATATATTTTTGCCTTGCTAACACATCAGTACCCTCTATCTATGTAAGCTACAAACTTACCCAAAGGAACTGTGTTAAATTAAAATTGACAATATGTCTTTAACTCACAAGTTTTAAACAAGGCACTTTTTACGAGATTTTCCTGCCTTAAGGAAAATGGCTAACTCATATTTAAGAAACAAAGGTATAAATTTCACCCCAACTCAACCCAATAACTCAGTAAATAAAATTCAATTAAATTATAACCACTCATAATAGCTAGTATTCATCAACATACAGAATACCATTTAATTATTTACCATTTCTGAGCAAATCAATTAGACAAGTTAAGGGTTTTTTTTTTTTTTTTTTGAGACAGAGTCTCACTCTGTCACCCACGCTGGAGTGCAGTGGCACAATCTCAGCTCACTGCAACCTCCGCCTCCCGGATTCAGGTGATTCTCCTGCCTCAGCCTCCCATGTAGCTGGGACTACAGGTGCACGCCACCACACCTGGATCATTTTTGTATTTTTCAGTAGAGACGAGGTCTCACAATATCGGCCAGGCTGGTCTCGAACTGACCTTGTGATCCGCCCGCCTTGGCCTCCCAAAGTGCTGGGATTACAGGCGTGAGCCACCGTGCCTGGCCAAGAGTTTAATTATTAAGCAATGATCTAAAACTAAACTATTAAGTGAAAGTGTTTTAGAAAAGGGAGTGAGACGGCCAAAAGATCTCTGTGTCTAAAACAAACATGCAAAAACATACTACATATCTTGAGAAGGCTGCACATAAGTAAATATAAACAAAGGTATAAAAAGATTATTTAATGGATCTGGTAAATACATGGAATACAACAAAATTTACATTATCAAATAGTTTAATTTCCTGGAGCATAACAAAAATACTAAGAATTTTCCCTTGTTCAGCGCAACCTAATGGTAACAGTATTTTGCATAAAAGAAAGAGAAGGACTAAAATCATATTATCAAGTTAAATTTTACCTTATATAAATTTCACTTGCTATTTTTGATAGTATTGATTAGATGCCATGAGTTTTATTATTAGGAAGTTATTTCCAATTGGACAAAAACTATATTCTACTAAAATAACTGCATGAGACCTAGACAAACACAACTGGGCAATAAAAACACAATATTAACAGTAACATTTTGTAAACATGCTAGCCAAAAAATCACTGCATTAGAATATCAACAATGTAGAAACCTAGTACTCTAATGATTATCACATACCATAAAAAGAATGCTTTTTTAAAAAAAGGTAAAACTGATAAACCACCTTAATGTAACTTAGCAGAGATTCAAGTATTACGGTACTATCTATTTAACCATAAAAGAAACTGAGGAACCTAAAAGCAGTTCATTTCTTGCCGTATTTAGTATGCCCTCAAGCAAAAAGACAATCTATATCCATAATTTCTTGTATTTCTCTAATAATCTATTACCAAAGCATCTGGATGTAAAATTCCAGAAAAAAATATTCCAGGTATTCAGGTGAGAAATTAATGAGAGAAATTTCTTCTAGGTCTCCTCCTTTGATGAAAACTTTCCAAGATTCTGTATGTTTTTCTAAAGAGCGGTCCAGAAATTTTAACAGCTTTGTGCCCCATCCTAAATGCGAAATCTTCCAAAATCAGAATCCAGGCAAAACTTAACTTCAAAATCCTTACATCACAGATTGAAAAAAAAATATTTCTTCTATTAATTCTTGATTGTTCATAAAAATGGTTACTGATATTTGTTTAAAGAAAAGTTTGGATGGAAGAAAGTTATCTTTTGGTTCCATCTGTAACTTCAATAACTTCATCTCTACACTTTCTGCTGCTAAGAAGGAGCCACTGCAATACTTTTAATAATATAAGAATTAAAGCAGAAAAGTTTTTTTTTCAGACCTCAAGTATCTACATCATTTAAAAATCAGAAATCTAAAACACTGTCTGTTAGCAAAGAGTAGATGATTGAGATGATGTGGTCTTCATTAATAGTTCAATATACTCATAAGCCACCGGGGTTCAAAACAAATGCAGCTTCATCTGTTCATCAGATATACTTCTAGTTGTTTACTAAAGGAAGCCAGCTTGGAATTGATAACTGTGTGTCACAGTGTTGAGTTAGATGTCTTGAGAAAAGTTTCAATCTTCTGGAAAGCCAAAGAAAAAGATGCTCATAGCCACTTTGATGAATCCAAAGAGAAGTATGAAAGTTATTATTCTAGAAACTATCTTAACCAAATGGAATTGTTGCTTCAGTTTTTAGCATTATGGAGTTATCAAACCCTGCCTCCAGTTTTGTCTTCATGTAATAACATTACCTTATTGGGGTTGGGTTTGAGCCAGTAAGACTTCTTTCCAGGAATTTCAGACAGAAAATGAGACGTCTGGGGTATTGCTCCTCCTAGATTAGATGAGAAGGATAGGTATAGCTGGGTGTTGTTTGCTAACTATCTATCTTGACCTTAGCAGAAGACAGAAAGTATGGGACTCATTATCAAGATTTTCACTGTGTTGACTGTTTCTTCCTGTCTTTTTTTTTTGTCCCAACTATTAGCTTACAGATATTCACTTTAGCTTCTATAAGCAGGGCTAGTCATGGAAAAGACTTCAATTTTTCCTCTAGGCATCTTCAGTATGAAATCCTTTAATTTTCAGTTCCAAAAGGCTGCAATGGCAAGGCAGATGGTTTGCATGTGACAGCATGCAGCTCAGAGCACGACTTAAGCAAAAGAAAAAAATTGACATTTTGTTTGAAGGTGATGCTGCAGACTTGGAGAAGATGAATGCATTGATTCAGTGTTGGAAGAATACAGGCCTCTGTCATAGCTATCTGTATTCAAATTCACTTTGATATTTGTTAGTAAGCCAAAAGCCAAGCCCAATTCAACACACACATTTTAGGTTCACTCTTCAAAGTTAAAAAAAAATATCGATACTCAAATCCCATACTAAATTTCTGATATCTGAAAATTCACTGCTTCATATAATATTCTCAATTAAAGCAATTTTTACAGTACTCAATGTTTTTATGAAGAAAATATCAAATACATGTAAACGATAATTCCTAGAAATTAAAATAATTAATCCTGACTGGTAAATAAATTATGTGAACTAAACTTCTAATATGCATTTTTTTCCATATCACACATAGCAACAAAACATTATGGCCTGTTTCATAATTGTGGCAATCTTCATAATTCAGAGCTAATTAACAAAGAGCTCCTGACCAAGTATTAATACTGTAGCAAGAAAGAGCTGGCAATAGTCTAATCTTCCACCTCATCTTTTCCATTTTTTCATGAAACTTCCTCAAGAATTCCTAAAACAGAATTGTAAGATGAATTCTAAAACCCAATAAATTCTGATAAATTATTTCTCTAAAATAAGGTTGATTTTTACATCAAAGGCAATGTTAATCTTCTGAACCTTTAGAAAATTGTTTGTTTTAATGAAATACCAGTCCTATTGATACAGTAATCCAAAAAAATGCAAGGATAACTTTATAATTCCAAAGTTTCCTGCTTTCTGGTAATTTCTACCAATTTGTGTGGTAGATACAAACCTATTTTATCAATATTAATCACAAATCTTGTATTTTATCCTTTGAACAGTTGTTTCATAATTCCAATAATCTGTTTCACTCAGATAAATTGAAAAACTTAACCCATGAAAATATTACTAATCAAATCTCCCAACAGTTTTTAGAAAAGGTCACTCCATAAACAGTATTTAACTAGCTGATGTTAGATGTTGCTTATCACAATACAACCTGCATGTTAAAAGTGAAACACATCACACCTATCACACAGGAGGCTATGGTAACAGAGCCGTAGTTGACATATGCATGCAGCAAAATCTGATAAATTAATCCATCTTTATCTAAAAGCATTATGCTTTTATTACTGTTAAATAACACATGTTATTAAGGGGCAAAACTGTTTAACATATTCATACCTTCATTAAACTGGTTGTCTGATGAAAGCACACTTCCTGATGGCAAGGGACCAACTGAACTTGAACCTTCCACCACCTGCCTCTTCTCAAAACTAAACTCAGGAAGTCTTGGAGCCTGAGGTCTGGTTTTTCTTGCAGGGTTCAAGAAAAAACAGTAGGCACATCGAAAAGCTGCAGAGAATTTTTTAAAAATAAGCAAAACCACAAACCAAGCAAAGTTCAAGAACTAATTAGTTAACTCACAAGATCACTTTTGCAGATATTCAAAAGAACCTTTTAAAAGTTACTGTGTATGTTATTTAAATAATAATATGGTAGATGCTCTAAACAGAACTAAAGCATACTTCCTAATTATTAGAATTTTAATTTTTAAAATTAAAGGCAGAAAAGGCATAACAGGTTACATAGCAGGCTAACTATGTAATAAGTTACACAGCAGGTTGACAGCAGAATAATATTAATGATTTAAATGAATTAGTGAGATTACATTTCTAGTAACCAGAATCATTAGGTATTTTAAAATCCAGAAGCTTGCACATTTACCCATGAAAATGTAGTACATAATATTTCAGAAGCATTTTCAATTTACCACAGTAGTTTTTAATAGTGGCTACACATGAGAATCATCTGCAGAGCTTTAAAAAATATACTGATGCCTGGACCTCATACTCAGTCCATTAAAGGAGACTCTTTGTAAATGGGTCCTGGGTATCATAATTATTTTAAGCTCTTTGGGTGATTGTGATGCACAGTGGGGTTTGAGAACAACTGGCCTAGGGGCTGTACATTATATAGGAAGAAACCTGAATTGTCTTCCCTGCTTTGCTCTATGTACTAAAATAAGGATAATATGCCTAACCAATGTATACAAAGAGAGTATATAAAATAAAATGACACTGCATAGAAAATGGCATAGAATAAAATATTTAAGCATAAAATATTTAAATCTCATTGCCCAATAATTCTTACCAATGTATTCAAATTCTTCCTTCAAAGCCATGCCATTATGAGAAAAACACTGCTGACATATAAGTGCATACCTACACCGTAAGGAAAAATGAACAGACCAGTTACAAATGCAAACAAAGCTCATGACAGAGACTAATTTAGCCATCATGGCTAATTTATATTTTAACACAGCTAAATATGCCATAACAAATTATATGAGACTTAGTAAACAACAAACAATATTCATTAAATAAAAGCCAAAATTAACCAAAGCCCAAATTTCAAGCATTTAAAAATATAATTTATACATCAAATTTAAAATAAACTAACAGTTAAATGAATATATCTTTATTAAATTAGCAGAAACATATTTGACAACTGAACACTTAAATTTTGGTGTTTCCCAGAGTATAGTGCTGGGGATGAAAGCCTCCAAATCTGTGGTCAGATAAGGCTGGAAAAGTTGGAACCCTCTTAGAGATTCACAATGAATATTATTAAAACCTGAGATGTCTTGCGGCAAACAAACATATTTAATTTTGTTTAGTACAACCCAAAGATTAATTACTATACATGATTCTTATACCTTTCCCAGTTACACTAAACATCTATTTATATACTTTCTCAGTTCTCTGTGGATATACTCAATGAATACTTCGCTATATCAAATGTCATTCTATTTTGAATAACATACGATTTATTACATAAACACTAAATTCTCATTCCTTTTTTTAAATAATATTAATTAGGAGCGCTGTCAAACATCTATTATCCGATGAATTTTTTAAAAATCTATACTTTGACAATTGCTCTGTACATATCATACGATCTTCCTAGAGTTATTTTAAGAATAATTGGAAAAGCATTTTGAGAAATAAATACATGCAAATTGCTCTTAACATTAAAAGTACTACTATCACCAAGTCCAGTACTGATACCTATAAAGCTCCACTTCTTAGAACCTATCAGAGTTGAACTATGTTTTTGCTTTTTAAGTTTAAAAGTTTCAATGAAATAATCCAGTTTCTCTAAAAGTTATAGCAGAGTTAATATTTTTTCAAAATGGATTTAATCCAGACTATGTTGTCAAAACTTCTACTGTCAAATAATTGAATATGTACTCTTTTGCAGGGCTATAAAATACTCCACTATGCTCTAAAGTCAGAAAATAGGTGCCACAAAACTAAAACATCTAGTGTGTACACACACACACACATCCTGTTTTCATTTTCATTTATCTACCACCTTAGTAAATATTACCTGTTTTGTGGACCATCACCAACCAAATATTCAACAATTCTATCCAAAGCACCTCGTTCTCGGGGGAGAATAGGTCTTGCTAAAGGTGGACCTGGAGGATGAAGACCTATTAAATAAATAAATACATACAAAATTTATATACATGAAATACACATAAAATTTAATTCCATTACCAAGAACTACCTATACTTGTTAGAAATTTTAAAAGGTTTTAACAAAATAGCAAAATACTAATTCTTATAAATCTCTGAAGAACATTCAAATTTTCATTAAAAATACTGTACTACAAAATATATTTAAATATGTGCTATATTAGAACTACCTTTGCTAGTAGATTCTGTAGTAGATTCCTACATAACTACTAGCAAATAAAATTATGCTTAGTTCTGTACAAACTGATGTTTTTAAAATGCTCCAACTCTTAAAAGCCTACGTGATAGTAAATCAGGGGACTTCCACTTCAGGCCATAATAGAGCAACAGGAGTCAGATTTAACGTCCCACCTAAAACAATTAAAATACTGTGCAAAACATATGAAGTAACAGTTTTAAAGACACTGGATATCAAGCAATGTAGGTTATTGTTCCCTGAGAAGACTAAAAACAAAACATGCCCTACAACTGCCCCAGCTTATTGCCTATAGAGAGTTTCCACTCGGCAGTGAAAAGAAAGTAAACCCAGATGAAATGTAGCAGACTCTCACAGTTGAGGAGACAAAGCCAGAATTCTGAGAAGGCCAAGGCATATTGAGTTCACAAGAAAGGGTACCAAGCAGGAGAGAAGGCACAGAGAAAGAACAACAAAGATTTGCAGAGGGTCTACTGGAGAATTCAGCAGAGTACTGACTGGTGCATGCATGTGAGAAAACTATCTGAGGATGGAGGAAAAAAACTACTCAAAAAGGTGAAAAGAAACAGCATTCATACAGGGCCAAGAATATTGCCCATTTCCAATCAGAGTGGGAGAACCTCCTAACACACAGGCCATTAGGTAAAGTATTCAGAAGAGTACTGTATAGGAATTTTTAAAACCCAGTATTGAATAAGGTAAAATTCACAATCTCTGGCAACAGATTAAAAATTACTAGACATGCCAATAAGCAGGAAAATATCACTGATAAGAAAAATCAATCAAAATTGACCCAGAAATTATGAAAATGACTGAATTAGTACACAATATTAAAACAATTCTTATGACTATGACTATATTTCATATGTTTGAGAATCTAAAGATTCAGTATGCTAAGTAGACATAAAAAAATGTAAAACTTAAAACCAAATTGAACTTCTACAGATAAAAACTACAATGTCTAGTATAAAAAAAATCCACAGATTATGTGTACAACAGTTTAGACACTGCACACAAAAAAACTGGTGAACTTTAAGACATAGCAATAGAAACCATACAAAATGACAACCAGGCGCAGTAGCTCATGCCTGTAATCCCAGCACTTTGAGAGGTCGAGGTAGACAGATCACTTGAGCTCAGGTGTTCAAGACCAGCCTGGGCAATATGAGGAAGCCCCATCTCTACAAAAAAAAATACAAAAATTAGCTGGGTGTAGTGACATGCACCTGTAGTCCCAGCTACTCAGGAGGCAGAGGTAGAAGGACTGCTTGAACCCACGAGGTGGAGGCTGCAGTGAGCCATGATCGTACCACTGCACTCCAGCCTGGGTGACAGAGCAAGACCACAGAACAGTCTCAAGCAGCCTAATATATTTATATTTATATTTATATTTATATTTATATTTATATATAATTGGGGTCCATCAAGAAGAGGAGAAAAATGAAGAAAAAGACAAAACTATTTAAATAATGCATATTTTCCAAATTTGATTAAATCTATAAACCCACAGATTCAAAAATATCAACAAATCCCAAATACAAGAAACATTATTTTGCTCCAAGACAGTGCATGAACAAATTGCTTAAAACCAATAATCAAGAGAAAAATCTTGACCGGGTGCAGTGGCTCATGCCTGTAATCCCAGCACTTTAGGAGGCCGAGGTGGGCAGATCACAAGGTCAAGAGATAGAGACCATCCTGGCCAACATGGTGAAACCCTGTCTCTACTAAAAATACAAAAATTGGCTGGGCGTGGTGGCACGCGCCTGTAGTCCCAGCTACTTGAGAGGCTGAGGCAGGAGAATTGCTTGAACCTGGGAGGTGGAGGTTGCAGTGAGCTGAGATTGTGCCACTGCACTCCAGACTGGGCAACACAGCGAGATTCCATCTCAAAAAAAAAAAAAAAAAGAAAAAGAAAAAGAAGAGAGAGAGAAATCTTAAAAAAAAAAAACAAAAAAAAAATACATTATGTACAGAGAAAAAGATAAGAATGACAGCAGACTTCTCATCAGAAAAGACGCAAACCAGAAAACGATGAAACAGTATGTTTAAAGTTCTGAAAGAAAAAACTGTCAAAAATGTTATATCCAGTATGAACATCTTTTTTAAATGAAGACTTTTACAGATATACAAAACTGAAAGAATTCATCACTAGAAGAACAATACAAGAAATGTTAAAAAGAAGTCCTTCAGGCAGAAGGAAAGTGATAGCAGATGGAAAGCAAGATCTACACAAAGGAATAAAGAATCTAAAACAGTTATCATGTGGGTAAATATATAAGACTTTTTATTATTTAAATCACCTTAAAAGATAACTGACTGCACTCTATTATGCATTATATGTAATCTAGAGATGATTTAAAGTATATGGAAGGATATGTATAGATTATATGCAAATACTATGCCATTTCTTTTAAGAGATTTGAGCATCCGTGGATTCCAGTATCCACTGGGGGATCCTGGAACCAATCGCCCATGACATATACATGTTCTTTCAAGTAAATATAAAACATTTACCAATACATGGCATTCTCAGACATAAAACAAGTATCAATACACATAAGAAGATTCACGTAACACAATGTATGTTTTCTAACAAAATAATTAAATTAGAAATCAGCAGCAGATAAACATCTGAAAAATCTCCAAATATTTGGTGACTAAATAACATACATTTGAATAACCCAGGATTCAAAGAAAAAATGAAAATTAGAAAGTATTTTGAACTGAATGAAAATGGAAAAAAAATCAAAATTTATAATATGCAGCTAAAGCAATACTTAAAAGAAAAAATTTATAATATTAAACACCTATATTACAAAAGAAGATAGGACTAAAATCCATAATTTCAGCTTCCACATTAAGAAACTAAAAAAGAAGAGCAAATGAAACCCAAAGTACAGAATAAAAGAAATAATAAAGATCAGAGAGGAAATTAATACAACAGAAAATACAAAAATAATAAAGAAAAGCTGGTTCTTTGAAAAGATCAATATAATTGTTAACCTCTAGCCAGACTAATCAGGAAAAAAAAAAAAGAAGATACAAACTATTAATATCAGAAAGGAGAAAAATGCCATAACTACGGATTGTAAAAACATTAAAAGAATAATTAGGGACTATTACAAGCAACTTAATGCCAATAAATTCTATAGGTTAGATAAAATGGACGAATTCCTTGAAAGACTACCAAACTACCGAAGTTCACTCAAGAAGATAAAAATAATTATGTTAAAATTTTGTTAGGAATTTTTGCCCCTATGATCATGTGTGATATTGGTCACAGTTTTTCTTAAAGAAACTGAATTTTTAGTTAAAAAAAAAAAACACCTTTTTCTCTCAGAAGAAAAAAAAAAAAATAACCAGGCCCAGATGCTTCAACTGGTCATATCTTTAAAATTAAGGAAACATTTAAATTAAGGAAGAAATAATACCAATTCTACACAAATTGTCCAGAGAATTGAATAGGGAATACTTACTCATAACGTTATGAAATGAAACCGACATAACTCTGATAACTCTGATAACAAAACCAGACAAAGATATGACAAGGAAAAAATAAACAAAAAAACCACAGACCCAATATTCCTAATGAGTATTGATATAAACATTTTTAACAAAATATTAGCAAATCGAAGCCAACAATATGCATATAAGATAATTCATCATGATCAAGTGAGATTTATTCCAAGAAAGCAAGTTAGTTTAACATTTAAAAATCAATGTAACTCACTATATGAACAGGCATTAAAACAAAGAAACAAAGCCCAATATAAACATCTCAATAGATGTAGAAACAGCATTTGAAAAAATACACAATCTATTACTGATTTAAAAGAAAACCTTCAGCTAACTAAGAATAGGTGGGCACTTCAAGCTGATAAGGAGTATTTATTAAAACAAAAAACCCTAGAGCTAACATCATGCAAAACTGTGAAAGAATAATTGCTTTTCCCCTAAGACCAACAAAAAGGCAAGGATGTCCACTCCTAGCACTTCTATTACCATTGTACTGAAGGTTATAGCTCATATAATAAGGTAAGAAAAATAAATAGAAGAAAACCAGATTGGAAAGGGAGAAGTAGAATTTTCTTTATTCAGACAATGTGGCTATGTAGAAAATACTATGTAATCTACAAAAAAGTTATACTAACTAGAGCCAATAAATTAGTTTATCAAGGTTATAGGATACAAGAGCAATATACAAAAATCAATTGTATTTCTATATACTAGCAATAACCAGTTGGAAATAGTTAATAAAACAATACCATTTACAATAGCATTAAAATATGAAATTAGATGTAAATTTAACCAAAAAATGTGCAAAATCTATACACCAAACACTACAAAACATTGCTGAAAGAAATTAATGACATAAATAAGTGAAGAGAAATATACTGTGTTCATGTAATAAATTAGACAATATCATAAGATACTAATGGTGAGTTGGGAGTGGAGGAATAACACATAAAATTTAGTTAATAATTTTTATTTTATATAAAAATAATAACAAAAATAAAGAGTTACACATTCAAACATTATGAATTGTAACCCTATAACCTCTGAAAACTGAAAGAGAACTATTTGCAGGAGATACTCTGAATTGAGACAACACAGAAGGCACTGAGAAGACAGTGACAGAATAAAATAAAATGTGATGTTTGCCTTTGTAAAACAAGACAGAATGAACATGATAAGGTGGGCAGCAATGGAGGTTTACATGGAGACTTCATAGAAGACTCTGAAACAAAATGGAACCCTGTTGGAAGATGCCCTGCAATATAGGGATACAAGGGTTTCAAAATGGCTATGACAAAATCTTTCAAGTATTCAAGATGGCTTTAGGATAGCAATACTACATTATACTAAATTCTTATAATTTAAAGGAATAAAAAGGAAATTTGATTTGTAAATAATCACAAACTTAAAGGCTATTACCATCTATAAAAGGGCAACTGATGTCAAAATTATAGCTATTAGTAAATAAAAGTTAGGTTCTAGACCAAGTTCTTAGTATTAGAAATCAAGTACACTTTGTTTTTTTTTTGAGACACAGTGGCGATATCTCAGTTCACTGTAACCTCCACCTCCCAGGTTCCAGCAATTCTCCTGCCTCAGCCTCCCAAGTAGCTGGGAATACAGGCACCTGCCACCAGGCCCGGCTAATTTTTGTATTTTTAGTAGAGACGAGGTTTCACCGCGTTAGTCAGGCTGGTCTTGAACTCCTGACCTCAGGTGATCTGCCCATCTCCGCCTCCCAAAGTGCCGGGATTACAGGCGTGAGCCACCGTGCCCGGCTCTCAAATACACTTTTAAGTTTCCATCACTGGCAGGGCACAGTGGCTCACACCTGTAATCCCGGCACTTTGGGAGACCAAAGTGGGCAGATCACCTGAGGTCAGGAGTCTGAGAACGGCCTGGCCAATACGGCGAAACTCCTACTAAAAATACAAAAATTAGCCAGGCCTGGTGGTGCCCACCTGTAATCCCAGCTACTCGGCAGGCTGAGGCAGGAGAATTGCTTGAACCCGTAAGGCAGAGGTTGCAGTGAGCCAAGATCCATGACACTGCACTCCAGCCTGGGCAACAGAACAAGACTGTGTCTCAAAAGAAAAAAAAAAAAAAAAAAAAGATTCCATCAGCTAAGTTACTGGTTTACTTGTGCTAACAACATTCAATTATTATCATCAAAAAATAAACTTGAATCCAGACATGGTCATCCCTCATTATCAAATTTTCAACTTGAATAAGCAAGCCAAATTAGATTTGGAAAGCATTTAAGCCAACTTAACTTGCAAGAGTATTTTACTTCTACATATTTAAAGTGAACATATCCACAAAAGAATCTGGATACATGAAATAATAGATTTCATAAAAATATCTTAAACCTCTTGCACATGCACCTTTATATGCATGCTGTTATAGACAATGGTAATTAACACAAACATCAAAAGCAATCATTGTAGGAATACTGGTCATTTTTACACAGCTTGGCAAATTATCAAGTACCTGCTGGTTATTAATTTTCAAACATATGGGAGCTCTGTGGTAATACACATTAAATTGATTCTCTTCCACAAATATGGCATAAAGAAAAAACTAAGTATTAATCTTCTTTATAATAAATTATTTAACTCATTCACATTTTTGACAATGTACAATTTAAACACAGTCTTTCACACAGAAACTAATTAAAAACTTCAGTAAAACATGTTATATTTACATGATCATAAAATCTAGGCTATTATTCCTTCTATAGCCCTATTCTTACATGTGCAATACAATTTTTATTACTTTATATGTTGCTAAACTTTTTGCTTAAAATAAGTTAGATATACAAATGTATATAATCCATACATTCGCACCCAAAAAAGTTCTTTCATTAAACAACCAGGAATTTTAATTTACAAATCATGGGTATCTCAAATCAACCAGATAACAACAGAAACATTAGTAATTTTCAATCAATTTAACTTTTCTCAATTTCATAAAATATATGGCTGCCTTAAGTATTGTCATTATATGTCAAATTTAAAAGTATTGTTTTATGTAACTATTTTAAAAGTTTTAAGATTTGTATACATTTCATTTATAGTCAGTATTCTTAATTTGTTAATAAATGAAGAGTTTTTTTAGTCTTCTAAAATCTTATGCTGCATTTTTGAAGGAAAACAGGAAAAACATCTACTGTACTAAGTGACATTTCCATTTTTTATTGATTTTACTACACAAATACTCTGATTACCTGATATCAGCTACTGCCTAGCCTCAAAATCATTATTAATTATATATTAGTAATTAGTCATGAAATAACAAAGTAATCTACATTAGAATAATCTAAAACAAAATAAATAATTTACTAACATATGCAACAATATGACATGGAAATCTACATAAAACAATGTGATCTGTGCTAAAGCAGTGGACTTCCATGCCCCAGTCACACTCCAAAAGAAACTGGAGGGTACTATAGTCTATTACACTTCAGAATGGGATCTTCCCCTAGAGATCCACCACAGTGAAAAGAGATAATCTATGAAATAAAGAGAATATGTTCATTTAATAGAGCTTTATAAAATATCTATCAGAAAATACTAAGGTTCTATGCCTTAAAAAAAAAAAATCTACTAGCCCACATTAACAAAAGTATACAATACAGGAGTATTATTCCTGAAATATGTTGTCATGTTTAAAAATATATGTATGGAGTTGAGCAAAAAACATCAATACATTCCAAAAGTGTTTTCTTCTATCCCTGTTTTATATAAATCTGGAGGCATTCTAAAGTTGAATATAAAAAGATATGCTGTACTGTTGGCTACAGAATAATACAAAGTTTTATTGCTATTTAAACAAAGAAGCCATAACAGTTAAATGAGCTCAAGAAATAGGTTTCAGTATCACAAGGTGCCAGCTGTAAAGAGTTATGGCTAATTGAATATGGAACTCCTGCTTAATCAGATAACTGCTCTGCTATTTCCAAATGAAATGCCATTTCCATACCACCTGAAAATGGCCCGTTTTATTGGTAACCAGAGAAAACAATATAAACTGTAAATAACATTAAGTGCTCTGTTTACCCATTCCAGGCACTGAAGTAGCAGGGGATCCAAGATGTCTTGGTAACACATTTGATGATAGGGCTGGAGTAACAGTCCTTTCTGGGGGTCCACCAGGGGCAGAACTGTCCTTTGGTGGTCCAGGAGATACTGGAACTTGTGGAGGAGGGCCCTGGTTAGGGCTTGCTGGTGTTGGAGAAAGGTTTCTTTGAGCTGCAGTTCGCTGACGAATCTCTGAGAAGAGTAAGTACATACTAGACTTAATTTCCAATATACCATATTAGCCAGTATCACAAACAATTTATATTTATTAAAATTTTACGCCCCAAAAGGCATTGTAGTGTCAAAATTACTTATAATAATAAATCTATAATATGTGACATTGAAAACAAAGTACTCTATTTCTGAACTTACAGTTCAACTGTACATGTTTACACAACAAGCCATGATCTAAGTGTAGCTACTGATACCACTTTTCAAAACAAATCCAGTAAAATGAAATCACCCAATTATGTGCCATGTCTTTTTAAAGTAATCTTCCTCATCATAATAAAGGAAAGAAAGTTTATCAGAATTAGTCAAAACTCCAAATTGCAGATTTGTTTTTCAAGATTTAAAAAACTAAAAACTAAGCGATAAGTGAATAAGTATATTCTGGAATTATCAAAGTAATTAATCTAAGTAGTCATAGAAATGCTGAAAAAGTATTTTTACTATTAGGTACCATTTCCATTCTCCTTTATGGTATTGCTATCCTTTTGGCAAATTTGTTTTGGCCAAAACATTCAACAGATCTACTCCATATAAACAACATTTCATCATTAATACATCTTAGCTTATAGTTACAGAAATTACAAGATTCTCTGTAACAGGGGTCAGCAAGCATGCCAAATTCAGGCTGCCGCCTGCTTTTGTAGTTTTATTAGAACACAGGCCAGTTCTTTTGTTTACAGATTGTCTATGGCTGCTTTAGAAGAGTAGAGTAGTTGCAACAGAGACCATATGGCTCTCAGGGCCATTTAACTATATTTACTATCTGGCTCTTTACAAAAAAAGTTTCATGACTTGTACTCAGTAACATAAAATTGAATTCTATTATTCTCTATTCCCACCAATATTTTACTTGAATGTCAGTGGTAAGATTTCACATAAAGAAGCCTTTATACTTTTTCAATTCTACCTATCACATTAAATTATCACAAATCCTGAATTAGTGAGCTGAAACTAAGTAAGTAATTTTTAATTGGCATAAATAGTAAAAATACATATGTCCAGAAGCAAAACACTTGGACTTTATTTGACAGTTAAAGAATTACATGAAAGTTCATTGCAATTGAAAGTACAGCTCTAGCATCAGATCTTAGTTCATCCCAATCTAGTCTACTAGCTAAGAACCAGGGCCCTGCAGTTAGAAAGATTTGGTTGGAATCCTGGCTCTGGCTACATGACTTCAGATAGGTTACTTAACTTTGATAAACCTGTTATTTTATCTGTAAAATTAGGATAATATTAACTAATTGTTATGAGAATTAAATATGATAATGTCTGCAAACTGATAGCTCACATTTAATGAATACTTATTTCAGATGACAGTTTTTGTACACAACTAAGTATTTTCAAATGATTTTAGCTAAAATTACTGGGATCAACTAATTTTCCATTGGTTCACAATTTAGTCTTTAACCAAGCCATGGCAATAATAAATTATAAGCACAGTATCATTATATAAATGGAACCATCTTTATATTTTGCTACTTTCCATGCAATTTATATAGAAAATTTCAGCTGTTACCTGAACAAATCATATCCTAACGTCTGCAAATTAGCTGCTAACTTTATTTTTTACTCACAAGGAGCACCTTAATAGGTGGTTGCATATTAGGAAAGCCATTAAATGCTGCAAAAGGTACTGAAATCAATAAAATCATATTAGGATTTGATAATTTAAACTACTCATTTAAAAATAAGGCATCAAATACTGTAAATCATTTTTCAGCCAACTTTCAGGTAAAGCATAACTCAAAAAGTGGCATTTTTCTTCCAGATAAATGAAAGTTTAGCATTTATTAGACTATATAAAAGCAGCTATTATCCTTCCTCTTCACGAAGACTTGAGACTACTTCCTCTAAATGTGCATTTACCCAGTGAAAATTACCTGAAATGCTTTTACTATCACTAGTACACCACTGAAAGGAGACTAGCTAACAAAGGACACCATGTCAAGCATTCCATAAAAGAGATGTACCTTAATAATTCTAAATCTAAATTTAGGAAAAGGGGGAAAATGTTATAGCAGAGTTACAAAAGGGAGAAAATGTAGTTTCATCATTTTCAAAGGAAAAGCAAGTATCAAGGGTTACAATATCTTCAATAGTTCAAAATAACAAGGTACCAAATCTGTATTTGTCAAACTATTATAAAATGTTCTGGTAGTCTCAATTTAAAATACCTCAGATTTATCTACTTTTAACTACTTGTGATTCATAAAGTTTTGTATTAATTACTCTAAAAAGTTTCCAGTACTCAACAAAATAGTCATATTAGATATGTTCAACATTTCCTGCCTTAAACGTAAGATACAAAGCCCCCAAAAGAGCCACCAAGCATTCCACATGAATCTGGCAAAAAATCATAAGGAGCATGCCATAAGGTTAATTCTCAACCGTAGTATGTTTTAACACCCTCATCAATGATCAATGACCCAACAAAAATCATACTCACTGAGGATGATGACATGCCTATATTAGGTTTAAATTCAAAATGAAGCAAACAGACCCATCACCAAGTTCTTTTCAAAGAGGTTACTTATTAAGGGTTATGAATAAAGGTTGGTTAGTGGGTACAAAAACATACATAGGAGGAATAAGAGCTAGTGTTTGACAGTACAGTAGGGTGACTACAATTAACAATAATGTGTCATTCAAAATAGCTAGAAGAGAAGAATTGGAATGTTCTCAACATAAATAAAAGATAAATGTTTGAGGTGACAGATATCCCAATTACCTTGATTTAATCATCATAAATTGTATGCAAGTATGTAACCCCAAAAATATGTACAATTATATATCAATTAAAAATGAAGCAAATAGAATCCAAATGATATATTTTTAAAACTACTATATTAAACAGAAGCTTAAATTAATGATAAAACAGCATAGCTGTGCAAAGCAAAGACTCTGGGACCAAATGGTCATAATTTTAGCTCCACCCTGTTTACTAGATGTGTATGCTACCTTTTCCAAGTTGATGACATCACTCAGTTCAGCTTTCTCATAATGCGAATACTTACCTCTTATGCTTGTTGTAAAGATTAAATGACAAAATCAAGACAAAGAACTCAGCCAAAGCACATGCGAAGTACTTAACAGGCAATAACTATTAGCAGAAATAGTGCATATCTAAAGGTTCCAACGATTATTATAAATCAAAAACTAAGCAATCTAGAATTTCTAAGGCAATTATTTAAAATATATAGATACTAATTTACACATTAAATGTTCCCTTAGTTATTTGTGAAGTCATTTACATGTATAAATTCACAACTTATATAAAAACTTAAATGTATAATTCTAGCTTGCCATTAAATAATATTGGGATGAATGTTTTATAATACAAATACTCGTCCCTTAATTTATCAGATTTTTTAAATACTCTTTTTATGCTGCTAGAAGGTTTTGTCTTTGTTCTATTATCAAGCTGTGGTAGGAAGAACACCATACAATAATTAGGAGGCCTGGATTTTCATCTAGTTAATAGTACCAGTTCCTTTATTATTTCCATAGGTTACTGAGGAACAGGTGGTGTTCGGTTACATGAGTAAGTTCTTTAGTGGTGATTTTAAGATCTTGGTGCACCCATCACCCAAACAGTATACACTGCACCTATTTGTAGTCTTTTATTCCCATCCCCTTCCCGCCCTTTCCCCTGAGTCCCCAAAGTCCATTGTGTCATTCTTATGCCTTTGCACCCTCACAGCTTAGCTGCCACTTATGAGTGAGAACATACGATGTTTGGTTTTCCATTCCTGAGTTACTTCACTTAGAGTAATAGTCTCCAATCTCATCCAGGTCACTGTGAATGCTGTTAATTCATTCCTTTTTATGGCTGAGTAGTATTCCATCATTCATATATATATATATATATATATATATCTCAGTTTCTTTATCCACTCATTGGTTAATGACATTTGGGTTGGTTCCACATTTTTGTGATTGCGAATTGTGCTGCTATAAACATGTATGTGCAAGTATCTTTTTCGTATAATGACTTATTTTCCTCTGGGTAGAAACCCCATAGTGGGATTGCTGGATCAAATGGTAGTTCTACTTTTATTTTTTAAGGAAATCTCCATACTGTTTTCCACAGTGGTTGTACTAGTTTACATTCCCACCAGCAGTGTAGAAGTGTTCCCTGTTCACCACACCCACACCAACATCTTCTATTTTTTTAATTTTTTTATTATGGCCATTCTTGCAGGAGTAAGGTGGTATTGCATTTTGGTTTTGATTTGCATTTCCCTGATCATTAGTGATGTTGAGCATTTTTTCATGTTTGTTGCCCATTTGTATATTTTCTTTTGAGAATTGTCTATTCATGTTCTTAGCCCACTTTTTGATGGGATTGTTTTTTCTTGCTCCTTACGTGAACTAAAACCCCACTAGGTTCCAAATTTCCTTAATATGAGTGTTGGCAAAACTACAAAGGCAATATTCATATTTTCCCTAGCACTGGTCAAAGGCTTTCTGAACTCCCATGTCCAGTTCTAAGACTCATAAGAGAAAATTTCAGAAATTGGATTTTAGTAATGGGGGTGGGGGAATCTTTAAGCCTATTCACATATGCAAATGTGGAAACTCTTAGGGTGAATTTTGCTTTTTGTAATTGTGAAAAAAATTATACTATAGTATAATTTTATACTATAGTACTATAGTTAGGGCACAGGGATATATTTTCAGGTAAATTTCTATTGTTTTCAGTTCTGTATTTTTTAACTTATTTGAATGTAATTCCTTTAAATAATCAAAATAATAAAGACATCTCTTCCTTCTACTTTCAAAACTTTCTGAAGTCCATGGTCACTGTATCTTCTGTTCACATCCACTCATACTAAGCTGCTCCAAATTCACCTTCTACCCTATTTCGCTATTCAAATTGTACTCTCAATAGGTCAATGTCTTTTTATTGCTAAAAAATGACTTTATAACCTCTTCCTTCCTATAGAGGCAAAGCTTTTTGAAAAACAAAAAAAAAAACTTCTCTGCATTTCACTTCTTAACCCAACTCAATCTGGTTTTTGTGCTCCTTTTTAGCTACCACAGTATTACCCACCACTGAAAGTATCACTGCTTTGGTCACCAACAACATTATAATACCACTACTAATGTTGCATTAACATAGCTACTCTTTATCAAATCCCTATTTTCTGCTAGGAACCATGCTAGGCACTATATATGAATTTACTAATTTCATCTACTATTTATATCAATCCTTTGGGGTAACTCCTATCCCCAGTTTTCAAAAGAAGAAACCAAAGTTCAGTGGCCAAGTAACTTGCTAAAATTCTCACAGTAAAATAAGAGATGGAGCCAGGATTCAAATTCTGGTTTTTATGACAAAAATGCCCATATTCTCTGTGTTATGCAACCTGTCAAATTCAAAGGCCTCATTTCAGTCTTCTACTTACTACCAATCTAGCTCTACTTTTGACTCTGATCATTCATTCTTTTTCCTGGGCTCTTCTTTCTTCATCTACTCTTAAATGTCAATGTTCCCTGTAGTTCTGTCTTAGGTGCTCTTACTCTATTTTCTCTCTCTGGGCAATTTCACTCAATCTCATATTCCAATAATAATCACCTATGCCTCCCAATTATTTCTAATCTGTATATCTATAACCTCAACCTTTCTCCTGAGCTCCATATGAAATAATCAACTACCTATGAACCTCAGCATCTTGCTATAACTCCCATTCAACAGAACCAAAAGTAAATTCATTATCTTCTACAGAAACCAGTATTCCAATTATGTTCTTTATCTGGCTTAACATACTAACACCTAAGCAGTTGTCCAAACAAAAACGTAGGTCACATCTTGATTCTTCCTCCCACCCCCAACCCCTGCCCCGCTTTCCAAATCTAATTGCCTGTATCAATCTACTCCTGAATTATCTCTCAAATCTCTTCTTTTTCCCCAACGCTATTGCTGTAACCTTATCTAGTACAGGCCTTTATCTTTTAACTATATTAGATGATATTCCTAATTGTTCTCTATGGCTCAGTCATATTCTCTCCAATCCAACATAACCTCCATGTTACTAAAAAAAAAAAAAAAAAAGTATTCTTCATAAAATGCTAACTTGATGTAAAATTCAAAGCCTCCATTGACTTTATATGTTGTGTATAAGATAAAGTCCTGAACTCCAGAACTATACTACATAATGATGCAGAAAAAGCCCTTCATAATTTGATCCCTCCTTCATATGACCCCTACTTTCCTTTTTCAGGGATATGGCAATATTTGTAGTGCCTCGAGGTGCCAAGTTGTTTCTCTCTTCCAGTGCTTGCACACGGAGTAAATCCTTTACCTGAAGAGTACTTTTTCAATCCTATTCTCACAGCAAATTATTATTAAAAGTTATAATGCATTGTAATTTGTGCCTATCTTCATTTTGGTCCTTACCATACCGTTTATTACATGTGTATACCCCTTTTAATCAAAAGCTAATAAGCAGGAACTACATCTCTGTAGACACATGATGTGGGAAAGGTAACTGGTACAGAGTATGAGCTTAATAAACACCTATGAAATCAATCTATTTTCCTCTTGCATTTCAATGTTAAATTTCCAACTGCCTGCTACCCAACTTATTTAGAGTGATAAACAGGAAAATGGCCTCTCAAAAACGTCCCCATCTTCTTGTCCATTCTGTAAATATGTTACATGCAAGGCAGATAAAGATTGCAGATAGAATTAAGATTGCTAATCAGCCTGCTGCATTTAGAATCTCAGCTTAACTTCAGAAGTCCATACAGAAAAGCTATCTTTAAGCAGAAAGTTTTCTATTAATAATAATATATATCACTTGCCAGCCTTTAGTTGAGTTTGTTCTTTTGTTCTGCTTTTCAAATTAAAAATACATTTTGCTTTATAGTTCTTTGTCTTAACATTTACTTTCCTTTATCACCTTAATAATTTATTTTTGATCTGGCCTAACTTCTAGCAATCTCAACATTAAACAACATGAACCCTGCAGTTCACCAAGGTCCTATTTGGTAAATTACTATTTTATAACATTTAAACAAAATACAGCAATGCCAAAATAAATGTTTACTTTTATTTTCTTCAACTCATTTATTAAGCAACCACTAAGAGTAAAGCACCAGCATAAGCACATTGAAGGGGATTCAGAGTTGCATATAGAGGTAGCAAGCTAACTTTAAGATAAGAAAAACAAACTCACTAAATATTCTAATACAAGCTAAATGCCATATAATGGGAGCCAACAAAGTACTATAGAGTGAAGTGAGGACTTCACAAGAGGTGAGGACTGACAACTTAGTCATCTAGATGGGCTGAAGAAAGGGTTTACAGTGATGATGGCATTTGAGATAAACAATGAAAACTGGATTGGGATAGAAATGCCTTTGTTATCTATATTAAAGTACATGTGGCAGTTTTAAAATAAGACTCCAAAATCCTTTGATTCTCCTTTCAACAAACGGGAGCAGAGGGTGTCTGTGTACCCTCCCCTTGAAATTGTACTCTGACAAAGAGAACAAAGTTGTGCCAGAATCCAGGACTTTTTGTCTCCTATGCTCCCTGGTCTTGGAACCTGCCACCAGGGAAGAGTAAGCTCAACTGACCCGAGAGAAGTCCATGTGGAGAGGAAACAACAGCCAGCACCAACTTGCCAGCTGTGTAAACCACCTTGATAGTAGATCCTCTAGCTCAGTAAAGTAGCTCTAACTGATGTGAGACACAGATAAGCTGTCTCCACCAAACCCTAGCCAAGCAAATTTCATGAGCAAAAAAAGAATGCTGTGTTAAATCACTAAATTTCAGGATGGTTTGTTATATACTAAACAATTGTAACAGTATGAATTTGATACTTATGTAAAGAACATCCAAATTTCTTACAAGGCAAATTTATTAAGGTGAATTTATTATTTTATAAGGCATTTTTCACGTTCTCTGAATCAAACACATGCCCAAAAAACAGCAAAATATAAAGTATTGCTCCATTTGGTATAAAGATCAAAAAAAGATCTATAATTTCTACTTTAATTTTCAATACATGCTATGGAACACAAGTGAGTAAACTCTAAAACCTACTGAAATAAGAAGTTGTACTCTATTTGCTAAAACCATTAAATGTCTCTGCAAAAATAACTGATTTTGAATTTAGCTGTGGCAAGATACAATTGACTTTTCTTTTGTTACATTTCATTAGTAAAGGTGCAGGGCTGAGTACAAAAGGCAAAAGAAAATGTATAGGTGGTGTCCTCCTAGAAAACAATAGGAGGGTCAGTTAAGGATTTTTTAGGCTGGGCGTGGTGATTAAGGCCTGTAATTCTAGCACTTTGGGAGGCCGAGGCTGATGGATCGCTTGAGCCCAGGAGTTCAAGACCAGCCTGGGCAACATAGTGAAACCCCATCTCTACAAAAAGTTAAAAAATTAGCTGGGCACGGTGGTACATACTCGTAGTCCCAGCTACTCAGGAGGCTGAGGTGGGAGGATGGCTGGAGCCCAGGATGTTGAGGTCGCAGTAAGCCATGATGACACCACTGCACTCCAGCCTGGGTGACAGTGAGACCATGTATTCAAAAAAAAAAAAAAAAAAGATTTCATTTTTAGGGCATCCTCCAAAAATCTGATCATTCTCCCTATTTCAATCATTTACTCCTATGGTGATAACCTATTCCTATAACTTTGCAACCAGAAATAACTGATCACTTCTCAGGTTTAAGCATCCTGTTCTCCAACCACTAACCTCTCAGCTTACCTCCTCCAACTGCAAGATCTATAACCCATTAATTATTAATAGGTCAGTGAACATTTTTGGAAAGAGCCACATAATAAACATTTTAGGCTTTGCAGACCACATAAGCTCCTGTTGCATATTCTTACTCTTTATTTTTTAAAATGCTTTGAAAATGTGAAAACATTCTAAGCTGAAGAACCATAAAACACAGGTCTTGGCCTACATTTGCAGGTTGCAGTTTGTGGATTCCTGTATTAATACTACCAACACCTTTTGACTGTCCATCACTACCACTCATGTCTTTATTTCCCTCATAATCGTCTTAAATTCCATAATCCATTGTGATAATGGCTCGCCTACAAACAACTTCAGCTCCTGGCCCCCTTATCAAATTATCTAACACATGAGGCAAAACCCCAACCCTGCTTAAAACCAACCATTTGCCTACTCCATGCTGGCACCTACACGGGTGACTGTAACTGGAAAAGCACACAGAATCCTGCATTAAATTTATGACTATTCATTTTAAGTAGCCTTTAGAGTCCCCTGGCATTATTCCATACCTTTTCTTCAAGCCTCCAACATTATCTCCCCCAACCTCATCCTCACTAAGAAAATAGAGATACAATCAGAAAATTGGCTGGGCGCAGTAGCTCACACCTATAATCCCAAAACTTTGGGAGGCTGAGGTGGGCAGATCACTTGAGGTCAAGAGTTTGAGACCAGCCTGGCTGACATGGTGAAACCCCGTATCTACTAAAACTACAAAAATTAGCCGGGTGTCATGGCGGGCACCTGTAATCCCAGCTACTCAGGAGGCTGAGGCAGGAGAATCACTTGAACCTTGGAGGCAGAGGTTGCAGCAAGCCGAGATCACGCCACTGCACTCCAGCCTGGGTGATACAGTGAGACTTCATCTCAAAAAAAGAAAACATCTCAAAAAAAGAACCCAGCCACCTACCTATGTCTTCCCATGTTCTCAGACTTTCCTCATTGCTAAAGATGAGCTATCACACACTTGTCAAAAGCCGACTTCTCCACTTGTATACTAGATCACATCCCCTCTTGCCTACTCATGGACAGTTCCAAATCAATTCTCCCTACTCTCTCCTCCATCATTAATTATTCCACATGGATACTATTGCAGATCATTCCAAGATGCCCGAATAGGAACAGCTCTAGTCTGCAGCTCCCAGCACGATCAACACAGAAGACAGGTGATTTCTGGATTTCCAACTGAGGTACCTGGTTCATCTCACTGGGACTGGTTGGCCAGTGGGTGCAGCCCACAGACGATGAGCTGAAGCAGGGCGGGGCATTGCCTCACCTGGGAAGTGCAAGGAGTCAGGAGATTTCCCTTTCCAAGCCAAGGGAAGCCGTCACAGACACTACCTGGAAAATCGGTACACTCCCGCCCTAATACTGTGCTTTTCCAACAGTCTGAGCAAACCACACACCAGGGGATTATATCCCGTGTCTGGTTTGGCAGATCCTATGCCCACGGAGCCTTGCTCACTGCTGGCACAGCAGTCCGAGATCCAACTGCAAGGCAGCAGCCTGGGGTGGGGGAGGGGCGTCTGCCATTGCTGAGGCTTGAGTAGGTAAGCAAAGGGGCCAGGAAGCTCGAACTGGGTGGAGTCCACCTCAGCTCAACCAGGCCTGCCTGCCTCTGTAGACTCCACCTCTGGGGGCAGGGCATAGCTGAACAAAAGGCAGCAGAAACTTCTGCAGACTTAAAATGTCCCTGTCTGACAGCTCTGAAGAGAGCACTGGTTCTCCCAGCATGGAGTTTGAGCTCTGAGAACAGACAGACTGCCTCCTCAAGTGGGTCCCTGACCACTGTGTAGCCTAACTGGGAGACACCTGCCAGTAGGGGTCGACCGACACCTTATACAGCCGGGTGCCCCTCTGGGACGAAGCGTCCACAGGAAGGATCAGGCAGCAATATTTGCTGCTCTGCAGCCTCCTCTGGTGATACCCAGGCAAACAGGGTCTGGAGTGGACCTCCAGCAAACTGCAACCGACCTGCAGCTGAGGGTCCTGACTGTTAGAAGGAAAACTAACAAACAGAAAGGAATAGTATCAACATCAACAAAAAGGACATCTACACCAAAACCCCATCTATAGGTCACCATCATCAAATACCAAAGGTAGATAAAACCACAAAGATGGGGAGAAACCAGAGCAGAAAAGCTGAAAATTCTAAAAACCAGAGCACCTCTTCTCTTCCGAAGGATTGCAGCTCCTTGCCAGAAAAGGAACAAAGCTGGATGGAGAACAACTTTGACAAGTTGAGAGAAGAAGGCTTCAGAAGGTCAGTAATAACAAACTTCTCCAAGCTAAAGGAGGATGTTCGAACCCATCGCAAGGAAGCTATAAACCTTGAAAAAAGATTAGACAAATGGCTAACTAGAATAAACAGCATAGAGAAGACCTTAAATGACCTGATGGAGCTGAAAACCATAGCACGAGAACTACGTGATGCATGCACAAGCTTCAGTAGCCGATTTCATCAAACAGAAGAAAGGGTATCAGTGATTGAAGATCAAATGAATGAAATGAAGCAAGAAGTTTAGAGAGAAAAGAGTAAAAAGAAATGAACAAAGCATCCAAGAAATATGGGACTATGTGAAAAGACCAAATCTACGTTTCATTGGTGTACCTGAAAGTGATGGGGAGGATGGAACCAAGCTGGAAAACACTCTTCAGGATATTATCCAGGAGAACTTTCCCAACCTAGCAAGGTAGGTGAACATTCAAATCCAGGAAATACAGAGAATACCACAAAGATACTCCTTGACAAGAGCAACCCCAAGACACGTAATTGTCAGATTCACCAAGGTTGAAATGCAGGAAAAAATGTTAAGTGCAGCCAGAGAGAAAAGTCGAGTTACCCACAAAGGGAAGCCCAACAGACTAACAGCAGATCTCTCAGCAGAAACTACGAGACAGAAGAGAGCGGGGGTCAATATTCAACATTCTTAAAAGAATTTTCAACCCAGAATTTCATATCCAGCCAAACTAAGCTTCATAAGTGAAGGAGAAATAATATCCTTTACAGACAAGCAAATGCTGAGAGACTTTGTCACCACCAGGCCTGCCTTACAAGAGCTCCTGAAGGAAGCACTAAACATGGAAAGGAACTAACGGTACCAGCCACTGCAAAAACATGCCAAATTGTAAAGACTATTGATGTTTGGAAGAAACTGCGTCAACTAACAAGCAAAATAACCAGCTAACATCATAACGACAGGATCAAATTCACATATAACAATATTAACCTTAAATGTAAATGGGCTAAATGCCCCAATTAAAAGACACAGACTGGCAAACTGGATAGAGTCAAGACCCATCAGTGTGCTGTATTCAGGAAACCCATCTCATGTGCAGAGACACATATAGGCTCAAAATAAAGGGATGGAGGAAGATCTACCAAGCAAATGGAAAACAAAAAAAAAAGCAGGGGTTACAATTCTAGTCTGTGAGAAAACAGACTTTAAACCAACAAAGATCAAAAGAGACAAAGAAGGCCATTACATAATGGTAAAGGAGTCAATTCAACAAGAAGAGCTAACTATCCTAAATATATATGCACCCAACACAGGAGCACCCAGATTCATAAGGTAAGTCCTTAGCAACCTACAAAGAGACTTACACTCCCACACAATAATGGGAGACTTTAACACCCCACTGTCAATATTAGACAGATCAACGAGACAGAAGGTTAACAAGGATATCCACGACTTGAACTCAGCTCTGCACCAAGCTGCCTTAATAGGGATCTACAGAACTCTCCACCCCAAATCAACAGAATATACATTCTTCTCAGCATCACATCGCACTTACTCCAAAATTGATCACATAGTTGGAAATAAAGCACTCCTCAGCAAATGTAAAAGAACAGAAATCACAACAAACTGTCTCTCAGACCAGGGTGCAATCAAATTAGAACTCAGGATTAAGAATCTCACTCAAAACCACACAACTACATGGAAACTGAACAACCTGCTCCTGAATGACTACTAGGTAAATAACAAAATGAAGGCAGAAATAAAGATGTTCTTTGAAATCAATAAGAACAAAGACACAACATATCAGAATCTCTGGGACACATTTAAAGCAGCGTGTAGAGGGAAATTTATAGCACTAAATGCCCACAAGAGAAAGCAGGGAAGATCTAAAATCGACACGCTAACAACACAATTAAAAGAACTAGAGAAGCAAGAGCAAACACATTCAAAAGCTAGCAGAAGGCTAGAAATAACTAAGATCAGAGCAGAACTGAAGGAGATAGAGACACAAAAAAACCCTTCAAAAAATCAATGACTCCAGGAGCTGGTTTTTGAAAAGACCAGCAAAATAGATAGACCACTAGCAAGACTAGTAAAGAAGAAAAGAGAGAAGAATCAAATAGACACAATAAAAAATGATAAAGGGGATATCACCACTGATCCCACAGAAATACAAACTACCATAAGAGAATACTATAGACACCTCTATGCAAATAAACTAGAAAATCTAGAAGAAATGGATAAATTCCTGGACACATACACCCTCCCAAGACTAAACCAGGAAGAAACTGAATCCCTGAATAGACTAATAACAGGCTCTGAAATTGAGGCAATAATAGCCTACCAACCAAAAAAATTACAGGACCAAATGAATTCACAGCTGAATTCTACCAGAGGTACAAAGAGAAGCTGGCACCATTCCTTCTGAAACTATTCCAAACAATACAAAAGGAGGGAATCCTCCCTAACTCATTTTATGAGGCCAGCATCAGCCTGATACCAAAGCCTGGCAGAGACACAACAAAAAGAAGTTTAGACCAATATCCCTGATGAACATCGATGCGAAAATCCTGAATAAAATACTGGTGAACTGAATCCAGCAGCACATCAAAAAGCTTATGCATGATGATCAAGTTGGCTTCATCCCTGGGATGCAAGGCTGGTTCAACATATGCAAATCAATAAATGTAATCCATCACACAAACAGAACCAAAGACAAAAACCACATGATTATCTCAATAGATGCAGAAAAGGCCTTCGACAAAATTCAACAGCCCTTCATGCTAAAAACTCTCAATAAACTAGGTATTGATGGGACGTGTCTCAAAATAATAAGAGCTATTTATGACAAACCTACAGCAAATATCATATTGAATGGGCAAAAACTGGAAGCATTCCCTTTGAAAACTGGCACAAGGCAGGGATGCCCTCTCTCACCACTCCTATTCAACATAGGGTTGGAAGTTCTGGCCAAGGCAATCAGGCAGGAAAAAGAAATAAAGGGTATTCAATTAGGAAAAGAGGAAGTCAAATTGTCCCTTTTTGCAGATGACATGCTTGTGTATTTAGAAAACCCCATCATCTCAGCCCAAAATCTCCCTAAGCTGATAAGCAATTTCAGCAAAGTCTCAGGATACAAAATCAATGTGCAAAAATCACAAGCATTCTTATACACCATTAACAGACAAACAGAGAACCAAATCATGAGTGAACTCCCATTCACAATTGCTTCAAAGAGAATAAAATACCTAGGAATCCAACTTACAAGAGATGTGAATGACCTCTTCAAGGAGAACTACAAACCACTACTCAACGAAATAAAAGAGGACACAAACAAATAGAAGAACATTCCATGCTCATGGATAGGAAGAATCAATATCGTGAAAATGGACATACTGCCTAAGGTAATTTATAGATTCAATGCCATCCCCATCAAGCTACCAGTGACTTTCTTCGCAGAATTGGAAAAAACTATTTTAAAGTTCATATGGAACCAAAAAAGAGCCTGCATTGCCAAGACAATCCTAAGCAAAAAGAACAAAGCTGGAGGCATCACACTTCCTGACTTCAAACTATACTACAAGGCTACAGTAACCAAAACAGCATGGTACTCGTACCACAACAGATATATAGACCAATGGAACAGAACAGAGGCCTCAGAAATAACACCACACATCTACAACCATCTGATCTTTGACAAACCTGACAAAAACAAGAAATGGGGAAAAGATTCCCTGTTTAATAAATGGTGCTGGGAAAACTGGCTAGCCATATGCAGAAAGCTGAAACTGCATCCCTTCCTTACACCTTATACAAAAATTAATTCAAGATGTATTAAAGACTTAAATGTTAGACCTAAAACCATAAAAAACCTAGAAGAAAACCTAGGCAATACCATTCAGGACACAGGCATGGGCAAGGACTTCATGTCTAAAACACTAAAAGCAATGGCAACAAAAGCCACAATAGACAAATGGGATCTAATTAAACTAAAGAGCTTCTGCACAGCAGAAGAAACTACCATCAGACTGAACACGCAATCTACAGAATGGGAGAAAATTTTTGCAATCTACCCATCTGACAAAGGGCTAATATCCAGAATCTACAATGAACTCAAACAAATTTACAAGAAAAAAACAAACAACCCCATCAAAAAGTGGGCGAAGGACATGAACAGACACTTCTCAAAAGAAGACATTTATGCAGCCAAAAAACACATGAAAAAATGCTCATCATCACTGGCCATCAGAGAAATGCAAATCAAAACCACAATGAGATACCATCTCACACCAGTTAGAATGGCAATCATTAAAAAGTCAGGAAACAACAGGTGCTGGAGAGGATGTGGAGAAATAGGAACACTTTTACACTGTTGGTGGGACTGTAAACTAGTTCAACCCTTGTGGAAGTCAGTGTGGCGATTCCTCAGGGATCTAGAACTAGAAATACCATTTGACCCAGCCATCCCATTACTGGGTATATACCCAAAGGACTATAAATCATGCTGCTATAAAGACACATGCAGATGTATGTTTATTGCGGCATTATTCACAATAGCAAAGACTTGGAACCAACCCAAATGCCCAACAATGATTGACTGGATTAAGAAAATGTGGCACATATACACCATGGAATACTATGCAGCCATAAAAAATGATGAGTTCATGTCCTTTGTAGGGACATGGATGAAATTGGAAATCATCATTCTCAGTAAACTATCACAAGAACAAAAAACCAAACACTGCATATTCTCACTCATAGATGGGAATTGAACAATGAGAACACATGGATACAGGAAGAGGAACATCACACTCTGGGGACTGTTGTGGGGTGGTGGCGGGGGAGGGATAGCATTGGGAGATATACCTAATGCTAGATGACAAGTTAGTGGGTGCAGTGCACCAACATGGCACATATATACATATGTAACTAACTTGCACATTGTGTACATGTACCCTAAAACTTAAAATATAATAAATAAATTAATTAATTAAAAAAAAAGAAAAGAACAAAGACAAAAGTCATTGCAAACTCAGAATATCTTTTCCCATGCCAGTCTGGGGAATATTTTATGTAACCACTTAATATAATGACGGTTAAAATTTTATATAACATTTAATGATGTAATAGTAATGACTTCATTAATAATATGGTAATACAAGCTCAAAAATAGTTAACATTACACAGCGATAATTCAATTTTCATTTTTCTTATTTCTAAATTATTTTATTCTAAAGTGTTATTTTAGAAAAAACAAAATTTCACAGAAATCATAACATTTTTCAAAAATAAAACATAAAAATGTAAGGATTTTCATAATAACAGATATTCCAAGAGACTATTATTTGAAAGTGGGAAATATTTACAAAATATTGATGAAATTATTTAAATTTTAAAAGATTAAAACCAATGATATATTTAATCTCAATACATATTTGACATCCTAACTTAACATATTCCCATAAAATCAAAATGAAATAAAATTATTGCCATCCACCCTAAGTCATATCCCAAATTACCAAATATAAATTTACACAGAAGCATTCTACATAAGTTTTTGCACACCTCCAACACACTTTTGAACTCACTTGGGTAATTATGGATCTTTCCAACAGCAGCAGCAGTTTCTACTAAGTTATTTACCTTGTCCAGGTCTTGCAGTTACAGCTGCTCCAGCAGATGGCGGCTCACACTCCTGTCAATTATAATAATGTTATTACAGTGACCTATTACAATGTGTAATTTATAATAAAATAGTAGTGATATCACAGTCTTACCTTTGCTTTCTTTGAGTCCGGATCAAACCTTTCAAGAATTAATTTAGCCGTCTTGTAAGTTTCTTTTTCCATGACTTCTTCAAGCTACGAACAAAAATTTCCATAAATTGTCACACTTCAAAACACACACTACTTATTTGTATAAGTCCTATTCAAAAAGGTTTAAATATCCTTAATATATCCAAATAGAATGAAAGACTTCCTACATTCGAATAATTAAAATCCAGATTTTAAAATGGCTTCTAACCTCTAATATGTTACTTGTACTTAACAGTTTTACTGCAAGGAAATACCAAATATTGCTAATTGTTTACATATAATGAGGAGAATAATTACATGCACCAACTTCAATAATGGAATGTGCAAAAATCTATCAGCCATCATTATTGGAAGTTATTAGACATGACAAGCAAATGACAGGCAATTCCTCAGATTTATTTCCTCATAGCACTTAATGCTATTAATTTAAAGAAGGTCGTTAGCCAAGAGCTTTACAAAATAAAATCTCTGTGCCAATTAACTGCTGTCAGCATCGATTTTAGATTATTTATTAGCAGAAGCAATTAGCTTGCTGCAAATGCAGTGAAAACTCACTAACTGGGAGAACAGCCATGGAATTTGCTCAAATGACTTTAAAAGATAACCCTCACCTCTTTTTTACTTAGACTCAAACAACTTTAGAGGAAAAAACTGAGCACAGAATTTAAGCAAAAATTTTACTGAGTTCTATGTTCACACTAGGGACTATAATTAAATCACTTCATTATTGTAACGTTTTATTTACCATGCACTCAAGTCACTTTATAACTTAATACATGGGTTTAACTTAAAATATAATCACTAGTAAAGTATCACTAGCAGTTACGGCTAGTTCAACATCAGAAAAAGTTGAACTTTAGTACAAGACAGTCATAGTAATGACAAATTACCTAATATGTAGGATAAAGTGCTTTTGCAAAAATTGGAAAAGAACCTTTTCTTTCTCAGTGACCACTGATAACCACTAAGATTCATTAAATGTCATATTCATTCCAAAGGACATTTATTTTAAAATGCAACCCAAAGCACATTTACTGAGTTAAAAATATGCTGCCACAATAGCAGTTAACAGATTCCTCATTAAACACTCAATTCGACATTTAAGAGGTAGGTACTTAGATGAATGATTTATTAGCCTTGCCTTGGTTTAATGAAACTAAAATATTTTCCTATTTCAAAATTATTATAAATTCTCAAAATAAACAAGTTGACTTTTCTGATGTAAAGGAGATGTTTATAGTATCACTTTAGAGTTAGAAAAAAAAAAACTAGGAACAGAGGTAGAAAGAGGGCATAATAAAATACATCCCCAAATCAACATAATCTACATGGAATATCAAAGAAGCAAATCCCTGATCTCTACACATTAGACTTTTGATTTTTTAGCAGTGTTGTGCAGTAAAACTTTATGTAATGATGAAAATGGTCTATGTCAGCGTAATAGTAGCCACTAAGCCCTATGTGATAAATGAGCACTTAAAATGTTGCTTGTGCAACTGGGGAACTGAATTTGTACTTTTGTTTTGTTTCATTTTGTTTTGTTTTAGATGGAGTCTCACTCTGTCACCCAGGCTGGAGTGAGTGGTTTCGGCTCACTGCAGCCTCCACCTCCCAGGTTCAAGCGATTCTCTGCCTCAGGCTCCCAAGTAGCTAGGATTACAGATGCGCGCCACCACACCCGGCTAGTTTTTGTATTTTTAGTAGAGACGAGGTTTCGCCATGTTGGCCAGGCTGGTCTCGAACTCTTGGCCTCAAGTGATCCACATACCTCAGCCTCCCAAAGTGCTGGGATTACAGGTGTGAGCCACTGCGCCCAGCTGTAGTTTTATTTCATTTTAAATAATGTAAATGTAAACAGTCATACTGATTTGGACAGATAACTCTAGACTAAAACTACTACTAGGTTTAAAAAGATTAAACTGTGATCTTTAAAACAACACACAAAACTCCAAACCAAAATGCTACTTTATCGAATGATTGCATTCCTGGTAGATTATTCAGCAAGTATTCAAGTGTATCTATGTTTTTATTTATCTTAAATAAAATCAGTTTTTAAGTACTAAAAGATACAAATCTATTTCCCATTTTTTGCATTTACTTCTAACAAAATATTTTCATATAATAGCTTAATTAACACACATCCATACAACATTTAAGTAATAATATGTTTTAAATACACTGTTCAGTGCAAAGAACATGAATTTGAAACTTCAAAGTGAGAAAAGATCTGGGTTCAACGCACATTTCTATTCTTAGAAGATTGTTAGCACTTTGTCAGCCTCAGTTTCTCCTCTGCATAGATATTTTAATACTTTCTTCATAGCACTACTGTGCAATTTAAAAAAATATAATGTAGGAGAAAGAGTCCACAACAGTGCCTAAAATATTAACATAATTTTCAGAGACATCTCAATTACTCAGAATGGGCCTGAAACAAACTATTTCCAAAAACTCAACATATTAACCTCAAGATTCAGGAACAAGAAACTAGAATTCTTGAGAATTCTCTCATTCAAGCTTGTCCAACCCTTAGCCACCAGCCACATGTGGCCCAAGATAGCTTTGAATGCAGCCCAAAACAAATTCGTAAACTTTAAAACATTATAACATTTTTTTGCAATTTTTTATTTTTGAGCTCATCAGCTATCGTTAGTGTTAAAGAATGAATCATTTTTCTGTAATACGGTTGTACTAAAGGTTTTAGGGGCTTTTTTATTTTAAAAGATAGAATAATAAATACATGATTCTATTAAGAGTCAACATTGTGATGAGTTATATTTCTATAACATGTAAAAATTATTTCTACTGGATACAGCCATTACATCATAGAAAACATTAAAAGGGCACACTAGCACAAAATAAATGTGAAAAAAACTTTTTAAGTTTTGAAAGACAATTCTACAAATATTTAATACTAAAATTATCATTCTTGAAACAGAATTTTAAAACGCACAAAGCATTAATTTCCCTAACCAATATTTACTCATGAAAAATATTCCAGATGTAAGAAAACTTTCTTTCATTTCTTTCATTTTGCATTAACTTTGCAATTCAGAGTATTAGGGAGCATGTTATACCATATAAACTCATCCTTTTATCATGCTGAAAATACTGTCTGGTATCCCTGATTTGAGGTTTGCTGTTGAAATTGATGATGCTTTTACTAATTCAGATGTTATATCATTTTCTTTCATATAAGAGTATTCCACAATAATAGTCACATCTTTCTTCTTTGCATTTCTTCTGTTATTGTGTAGCCTAAGGTGAATATTCAAACACTGGGAAAAGCCAGAAAACATTACTGGGTAATACAAAAATGTAACATTTTAAGCCGCTATAAGGTTAAGAACTCTATAGAGAATAAAAGCTAAAATTGCCAATTTAAAGACTTCTTTTGCTTCCAAAACTTATTTCATGGAATATCACGCACAGGATTTGTACAAAATATACTTTATACATTTATATAAATTATAGTAGGTATATAAACATTTTTATTTGCAAGAATGACTCACCATTAATAAGAGAGTGCCATAAATGCCCACAAAACTGATTAGATTGTACCACTTCTCTATGATTCTGTACTGTTCCCAGAAACGTCAACATTAACCTGTAACTCAGCATGTCAGAATTTCTTGCTCTTGCCTTCAGCTGACATTAGTGAATTCCTTTGAACTAGTAACATCTGTAGTTGATTGTTAAGCTTTAATTCTCAGGGAACTATAACACTTTTCCTCATGTTCCCAATTTCTCAAGTGATTTTTCTCAAGATTCAGAAAAACACAGATTTCCCAAGGAATGCTGGAAATTACCACATAGGACTAATATTCTGAAAAAGCACAAAATTTTCATGAAGCCATTTAAAGAGGTAATCTTGACTCATGTATTTTGATAGAGCTTGATTTTTGAACTGTTTTGAAGGAATGCTCATGGATGCAGAGGGATTATCTGCTTGCACAGATTACTCAGTGATTATTAAAAACTCAAGTTTTGTTAAAGGGCCACAAAATACGTGAATGGTAAAATGCACACAGATCTAGACTTGGGAATTTTTTAGATAACTAAAGATTACTTCCTAACTTTATAATAATAATACTTACATTAAGCTCTTAAAATATTGTTAAGATGCTCTTTCCTAATTTACTTTTTAATCAATTGATAATTCATATCTGTCATTACAAATTACAATTTTACAAATTTCAAATTACATTACAAATCTATTCAGATTAAAGGGATGCATCCCCAAGGAAACCACTTTTAATAAAATATCAAGTAGTGACCAGCATGGCCAACATAGTGAAGCCCCGCCTCTACTAAAAATACAAAATTAGCCAGGTGTGGTGGTGCATGCCTGTAATACCAGCTACTTGGGAGGCTGAGGCAGGAGAATCACTTGAACCTGGGAGGCAGAGGTCGCAGTGACCCGAGATTGCACCACTGCACTCCTGCCTGGGCAACAAGAGCAAAATTCCATCTCAAAAAAAGAAAAAAAAAAAACCAAAGTGTAAAACTACTCAAACAAAGCAGCTCTGTTAAAGGCTTGAACAGTCAAGATCACAAACTAGTTCGAGTAGCAAACAGTATTATAACCAACAATAATCAAGTAAATGCAAATTGTGTTTAATTAATAAAGTGAATTAGAGCCAACATTTTTCTTTAGTCAAACTGCAAGAGAAATGCCATATTGAATTATTAATATTGATGCCTAATGAACCATTTAAACTTGCAGAGCTATTGAACTCAACTTTTTCAACTGTTGTCAGACTTAAAATGAAACATCTTTTATGTTGCGATTCCTTTAAAGGCTATTTAAAAAGTAGTAAATAGCTTGACTTATCCTTTCACACAATTTTCCAAGTCAGCTCTGTTACTCTATTGAGAGATTTTCCCAAATCATATGTTCTTCAAGATCCTGTTTTCTGGCCATATGATGCCAGTGACATTGGGCTGCTTCTCATCACTTAGGACTTTTTTCTTTTCTGCTTTCCTTTGTCTTCCTCTTCATCTTTTCTACTTTAACTAATATTTCTCCATTTTGGTATAAGCAGGACTTGTCTCTGATCACCAGTACCAGCTCTTCTTTTTATCTCATCAGCAAGTCAAACCAATCATATCACAACTTCTAAATCACTGACACCATCAGTATTTCCTCACTTTGAATTTCTGGCTGTTCCATAATGTGCAGAATAGCAGAAACATAATAATAAGATATTTCTGTGTTTGGCAATTTAGGACCACCAAAATTGCCAATGCAGTTTTGATAAATACCTCACAGGACACCCAATAAGGAGCAAACAAAGCTAAGGAATCCTTTCAAAATTAAAGTTCTCTTACTTTTCAGGTACTTAAAGCCCTTAAAACCAGTATCTATTATCATCAATTCACAGAATAATTTTTAACATTAGTCTTAACCTTCACAATATTGGTTTCTTAATTATTACTTGTTACATACTAGACTAAAATATATTGAATTGATCATTTGTACCTGATTAAATTTTATTAAATACATTTCTATACAACATAATACTATCAGCAGTTATCATTTTCACACTTCAAAAATAATCATTAAAAAATTAGTAGCTCTATGTCAAACACCAACTTCAATTCACTTATTACAGACTACTATGTATCAATATCTAGAGCGCCTTCTGTCTTACTCTTGGTCCTCTTTCCAACACATCTGAAGGGATGCATCAACTAGCCCCACAATAGATATCCATGTGATCAGAGTTACTGATAGAAAGTGGAAAACTCTGAAGAAAACAATTATCTCTCTCTCTCTCCCATCTCTTCTTCAGTATTTTCATGTTGAATTGCTCTCTTACAACCGATCTTCTTGATTCCCTCTCTTTCTTGGTGTCAAGAAAACCTGAGAACTGACACGTGGAGATATTTTGTCCTTTTTTATTTAGCTCTAATAAACAATCTGGTACCCACATTTTTACCCTCTCTGCCTCATTTAGGCCTCCAATATGACTCATTTACTTACTTCTCAGCTTCCAACTGATACAGATTCTCAGAATCTCAAAAGTCCTTCTAAACTACTTTTTCCTGTCAATCATTATTAACTAGCAAAAATATTCACAATTTCACTTCATCATTAAAATGCTATCTAAAAGCATATTTCTTCCTTGGAGAGTTATTAACTTCCAACACATAAACATTAATTATTCAGTTCTTATTAGTTTAATATAAATTAATTTTAAATAAAAGTTAACTTACTATTTTTTTCCTCTGGGATTTTAAATCATCCAATGCTTCATCTAGAAAGCAAGATTTAAATCAAAGATTAAGATATTTAGATATAAGAAAAAATCACGCCAAATGACACACGGTAGCAAACACAAGAAAACTTTCTTATTTTAGGATTTTTCAAAATTTAACTGATGTGTAGAGACAAAAATTATCTCCATCTTCACCCACATATAGTTCATATTTTTGCCTGTATTATATATTATAGGCCATTGAGGTGAAAAATTGACTTTACATAGTATAAAGCACCTTTCTAAATTGAAATATATACAAATACTTTTTAATGTGTTCAGAAACATTACTTTCTACTATTTCTTTTTCCTTTCAACACCTCACCCACATTAATTTACAAAATTAGTATCAAATCTCTTTTTATACACTGGTAATAAAAATGTTCTCTTTGTTTATAAGGAAATAAATACATATTTTACTTAGTCAAGCCTGAAGATATTAAGCACGACTTTTTAAAAAACCTAGAAAATCTACCTTATTGCATCTGAGAAGGGACATGGAAAAAAATACTAATAACTTTCCAAAATTAAACATTTCTAAGATTTGCCCGCTTATATAGGTTGGCATGGTGGAACAGAAAGAATCACCTCAGAGGATATCTTTTATGAATGTCAATGTTTGATTTACAAATTATTTAAGTTTCTAGTTTTTCTCTAGAAATATTTAACTAATACAGATTGAAACACTATTCCCTAAGGAAAGCAGAACTTATGGCTTGAATATTATCAAATGAAATGTAAATAACTGTTCTTAATACTTAATTAAATTTATAAATAAAATTATTACTTCTTCACTGAAATTCTAGGTAACAAATACCTGAATACCCAACTCAAAGTACATCATTTATGTAAAAATTCAAGGAAACACAAACATATAAAAAGATGATTTTACTATAAAACTTTTTTCAAAATAGATTAAGCAGTCTTTAATGTGATAGCTAACTTGTTACTAAAAGCAGAGGAAATCTGCTAACATCTTCAAAGAGAATAGTAATTTTTTGTTAGATAAGACCAAGCCAAACATCTGTACTTTAATCCAAGGGTTAGCAAACTTATTCTGTAAAGGAAAAAGTAAGTATTTTGGGCTTTATGGGCCAAAAAGCAAAATCAAGTCTGTATTTTTTTGTTTTTTGAGACAGGGTATTGCTCTGTCACCCAGGCTGGAGTGCAGTGGCATGATCTCGGCTCACTGCAGCCTCTGCCTCCAGAGTTCAAGCAATTCTTATACCTCAGTCTCCCAAGCTGGAATTACAGGCGTGTACCACCACACCAAGCTAATTTTTGTATTTTTAGTACGGACAGGGTTTCTCCATGTTGGCCAGGATGGTCTTGAACTCCTGACCTCAGGTTATCCACCTGCCTTGGCCTCCCAAAGTGCTAGATTACAGGCATGAGCCACTGAGCCCAGCCTAAGAAATACAAAAGAAATACAAAATTTCCACAAACTTTATAGACTAAATTCAAATACAGGTTGAGTATCTCTTATCTGAAATGCTTGGTGCTAGAAGTGTTTCAGATTTCAATTTTTTTTTTAATTTTGGAATATCTGCAGAATACACCCCAGCTGAGCATCTCAAATCCAAAAATCCAAAATCCAAAATGCTCCAAGGACCATTTCCTTTGAGTATCATGTTGGCATTCAAAAAATTTTGGATTTAGGGGGATTTCAGATTTTGAATTTTCAGATTTGGGATGTTCAACCTATATAATAATTGAGTTCAATTTTTTGTAATATAAGTCTACCAGGGAAAAGAATGTAATACTTTCAGGGGTGGATAACATTTCACTTAATTGAGGTTCAAAGCTAAGTGTTCTCTATCATCAAAACTGATTGCAAATGATAATCCATTAATGCTGATCTGTAATGAGATTTTACATATTTGATTTTTTAATGTCTTTTCACAGAGGTAGTTACTGCCAAATACTGATATCAATCCACAGGCATAGGATTTTAATTGAGCATATTCACTAGTTTGAAAGGCATTTATAAAATTCTATTAGATTCTTCTCTTGGCATTTGCCTTTTAGAGTATTATTACATTGGAAGTTAATCACCTCCAATCAAAGACTGAAGCTCTTCAATTATACAGTGAAATGGATTTAGAAACACAGAAATTTCCTTTGCACTTGCCTTGAGGTCTGAAAAATTCTACTGGAACTATAATTTCACCTCGGATAATGCATCTGCTACAAATTTGTGTGGGAATGGCAATCCTGCTTCTTGTTTCCATTTTTATAGCACTTTTAAAAAAAATTACTTGTCATTACAATGTTGTTTTCTAAATGACTTCACCACATTATAGGTTTTGCATATATACATTGTTTTGCCTTGCAATCTTAGGTTGGATTAATTAAGAACCATTATCAAGGCTGTAGCAAAAGCTAATTTCCAAAGCCAGTCAGTATTCAAACACAGTGACTGAAGATGGTCCTTCTCATTTGAAGTATTTCAATCTAGGTTTTGAGCTCAAAATATGACAATAAAACTTTGCCATTGCTAAGCCATCAAACTGCTGTGAGGCAAGTCAAGATAGCTTCTATTCATGATTGAAATTCACATAACTGACAATGGTTAAGTCCATGAGAGCAATGAAGTTCCCTTTGGCCCTACAAAATGACAAATTCAAGTATGTTCTGTGAAGTACCTGTTGTTGAATAATACAATGAATAACCATAGACTGTAAACACCTTACAGTTTCAAAAGTTTTGTACAATTTGTACAACTAAGTCTTTTTCTGTTACATATTTTTACCAGCAGTAGTTACAGTACATCTTAGCAGATTCCACTTCAGGTTGTAGTAAATTGCTGTTTTCTAAACTTCACTGAAAATATTCTCACCTAAAGTTGTTCTGCAAAGACTTTTTATAGAGACTAATTCTTCAGTCACTTCAAGCTCAGCGTGGACAACTCAAACTACAATTGAGCAGTATTGATAACATCTGTCAACTCAACAACAGCCAAGGAAGATCACTTGAAATCATTTGCCTTGTTCTTTAATTGACTACTCATGTTTGTTTTTCTGAATTTTTCTCAATTCTTCAGGCAACTGTTCTTGCTGAAACGTTACTAGTCTTAAGTGTATTTTCCCTGAATACATTTCTTCTGCTGCAGCAATCAAACACAATTTAATTAACTCATAATTGGTAAATGGCTTTCCTTTCTTCACAAACAAGCCACTCAGAAACTTTCTTTGACTGAAGCCCCATTTTCCCTTTTAGTTTTATGGAGCAATTCTGCAATAATATATTCCATTTTAAATTTTCTAATTTTTATGACCATTGCTTTCTGTGAGTTGGGAATATGATGATAAGTAGTTAGTATGGTAATGTCAAATACATATTGTACTCTTTTAGCACAGCTATAACGTCATTGCATAAAAAATACAATGCTTTGCATTTTGATAATAAAATAGTCCACATTCCATTATGTACTAAAAGTGCAACATTCAAAGTCCACTTTTCTTTCCTGGTTTTTACATGATGGGTATGCACGGGTAATAAAAATAAAATAAAATTGTCACAGTACAAAAATACACATGGCACTTAAAAAATGCTGTAAAGTTATAACTGCATCGGTCGTACAACAGTGTGAAATGATGAAATGATTAGTCCTACAAGTGCCTGAAGTGATGAGAGCACCACATACAGTCTGTCACAGCTACTCAATTCTGCTATTGTAGGATGAACGCAGCTAAAGACAGCATGACTGTGTTCCAATAAAAACTGAAATTTGAATTTCATATAAATTTTACATGTCAAAATATTATTCATTTTACTATTGCAATAATTTAAAAATATAAAAGCCAATCATGAGCTGTACAAAGCAGTGGGCAGGACTTGGCTTCCAGGCTGCAGCCATCAATTCCTGCTTTAATTTATACAAGGTCCAACTTGTAAAACAAAACAAGTAAAAATAATCGAGAATAAAAAACAAGGACAGGACCAATAGCTTCAGGCTTAAAAAAATACTATGTGACTGCAAGACAATCTTTTACAAAGTCGATTTTAAACATACAGGTAATACCTATTAAAATGAATTAGTACAATTAAAAACAAAAAGAACCTCTGAAATATATTTTAAAGCAAAAAAAAAATCCCTTTCATAACCACGTCCAGATCTGCCTATTTATTACATAAGTTAAAAATATTCATACATTTGATTTCCTTAAAGAAGTGTTCCAAAGGACTCTTGAAAAAGGTTTCTTATTTTTTTTTTTTTTTTTACTATCTTGCTATTCCTTGGAGTCAGAAAGCATATTTGCTTTCAACTTCTTCCTATTCTTCCACCATCTGCTATATTACTAAATATCACCAAAAACAGTATCAGAAGCTTAAATTTCCTTAATCTGATAAAAAGCATTAACATTTTTTAAAACTACAGCAAACATCATACTTAATGGTAAAATATTAAAAGTTTTTTCCATTAAAATCAGGAACTAGACAAGGATACCTGCTATTCCCACTTCAAGTGAATACTGTACTCAGTCCTAACCCATTTAAGCAAGAAAAATAAAAGAATAAGAATTGGAAAAGAAGAATCAGTGCCATCAGCTCACATTTGTATAACACTTCGCAATTTTTATATGCTTTCATATATAGTAACATTTACTACTTTTAACAGTCCTACCAAAACAAATATTCCTGTTTTCATTTTATTTTTTTGTGGGTACATAGTGGCCGTATATATTTATGGGGTGCATGAGATGTTTTGACATAGGCATACAATGTGAAATAAGCACATCATGAAGAATGCGGTATCCTTCCCCTTGAGCATTCATCCATTGAATTGTAAACAATCCAATTATACTCTTTATTTTAAAATGTACAGTTATTATTGACTATAGTCACCCTATTGTGCTATCAAATACTAGGTCTTACTCATTCTTTCTGTTCCCATTTTATAAATTAAGAAACTGTAAGGTCCAGCTGGGCGCAGTGGCCCATGCCTGTAATCCCAGCACTTTGGGAGGCTGAGGCAGGTGGATCACTTGAGGCCAGGAGTTTGAGACCAGCTTGGACAAAATGGTGAAACCCTGTCTCTATTAAAAATACAAAAAAATTAGCTGGGCATGGTGGCGGGTGCCTGTAATCCCAGCTACTTGGGAGAATGAGGCAAGAGAATTGCTTTAATCCAGTAGATGGATGTTGCAGTGACCTGAGATCGTGCCACTGCACTGCAGCCTGGTCAACGGAGTGAGACTCCATCTCAAAAAAAAAGAAAGAAAGAAAGAAACTGTAAGGTTCAGGGAACTTGTTTGTAGTACAAAAAGATGGCCAGTGTGGCTGGAGCAGAAGTGAACAAAGGAGAGTGAAAGATGAGGTTGAAGAAATAGGAACAAGCTAGAAAGTCAGGATATGAATTCAGATTTCATTCTGGTTGCAATGGGAAGCTATTAGACAATTTTAAGCAAAAGACACACAAGATCTGATTTATACCTTAAAAACAGACTAGTGAAGAAGCAATTGTGCAAGCAAGAGATGATAATGAATTAGAACTGTAGTAGTAAAGAAAGTGAGAACTGGTCAGATTCAAGATAATTTTGGAGGTAAAGATTATATGACTTGCTGGTAATGTGAATGAATATGAAAGAAGAATCAAAATAGCTCCCAGGCTTTTGGTCTTGTGATGGTTAATCGTATATGTCAACTTGATTAGGTCACACAAGGTATCCAGATAATTGGTCAAACATTATTCTGGGTGTCTGTGAGGTTGTTTTGGGGTAAGATTAGCATTTCAATCAGTACACTGAGTAAAGCAGATTGCTCTCCCTAATGAAGTGGCCCTCAGCCAATCAGCTGAAGGCCTGAATAGAACAAAAAGTTTGCTTCTCCCTCCAGTGAGTGAGAACACACCATGCCCGACTCCCTGGAGCTAGGACATCTATCTTTTCCTGCCTTCAGACTCAAACTGAAACATCAGCTCTTTCTGGGTCTTGAACCTGCTAGCTTTCAGACTAGAACTTACACTTACTGGCTCTCTTGGTTCTCAGGCCTTCAGACTTAGATTGGAACTAAACCATTAGCCCTCCTGGGTCTCCAGCTTGCTAACTGCAGATCCTGGGACTTCTCAGTCTCCATAATTGCATGAGCCAATTCCTTATAATATTTCCTATTGGTTCTGTTTCTCTGGAGAACCCTAACTAATGCAAGTTTTAACTATTAGTCATATAGGGTAAACATTTACTGAGATGGAGAAGACAAAGGGAAGAGCAGACATGAGGGAGTGGGAATAAAGGGGAGGAGCAATATTAATTCTCTTTTGGCCATGTTACTTATGAGATGCCTACTAAACTCCTAAGTGGAAATGTCAATTACACAGTTAGGTATACAAGTCTACAGCTGAAGGGAAGAGACTGGACTAAAGACTTAGATTTGGGAATCATTAACAAATAGGCAATATCTGAATCTGTGGAAGTGAATAAAATCACCTAGAGATGTACTGTCTAATGTATTAATAATAGCCAGGAGCCACATGGGGCTATTTAAATTTAAGCTATTTAAAATCCAGTTCTTCATTTACACTAGCCTCATTTCAAGTGCTCAACAGTCACAAATGGCTAGCAGATACCATATTGAACAGTAGATACAGATTATTCTCATCAGAGAAGGTTCTATCAGACAGCACAGACCCAAACAAGTTATCAAAAAAAAAAGAAAGCCAAAGGCAGAATTCTAGTAGAAGAGGTAAAGCAAATAAAACTAAAAAGAAATCACCAGTGAAGTGTTGTCAAAGAAGCTTAAAAAGTTTTCAGAAAAAGAGTGAATAACTGAATTAATTCAAATGCTATTAAGAGATCAAGCTGTATGAGAAAAGAGAGCTGATTACTGGCTTTGACAAGACATAGATAATGAGTGACCTTGAAATGAGCCACTGCAGTAAAAAATGGTGGAAACAAAACCTAAACAAATTATGTTGAGAAGGAATAGGTGGAGGAAAAGAAGAGATAACAACTACAAATAATTTTTTAAAAAATTTTTGTTTTGAACAAGAAAGAGAAATTGGTGGTAGCTTAAAGGAAATGTAGGGTTAGGAGAGGTTTTTTCCCCACATAGTCATACTGAGGCAGAATTATATGCCAATAGGAATAATAAAACATAAAATGATGCAAAAGAGATGATAACTACAGGAGATAACTATAAGAGCAAAGCTCTAGAGATGGCCAGAGTATTTAGAATCCAGAGCATAAATGGCGGTTAGCCATAGATGAGATCAAGGCCAGTCTTACAAAATATAATGAAGGTTGAGACCCTACTGAGTACAGGTAGAGCTAACTTTACATACATTCAGCCCTCCATATGGATTAGTTCAGCACTCATGGAATTAAATCAACCATGGATCAAAAATATTCAGAAAAAATTAAAAATAACAACAATAAAAAATACAAATTTAAAATTAATAAAATATAGCAACTATTTATATAGTATTACATTGCATTAGAGATTACAAGTAATCTACAAATGATTTAAAGTATGCAGGAGGATGTGTAGGTTACATCCAAATTCTATACCACTTTTATTCTCGGAGGGTATTGGGACCAATCCCTCACAGATACTGAAGGACAATTTCACTTGGTGGTGTAGGTAGCTCTCATCTGTTTACATCTATTTTCTGTATAAAGTAAGACTATAGGTTAAGAGTGACCAGGTAGATTTTGTAAGGTTTGTTTGTGACTTTTGATTTATTTGGTTGGTTGGTTGGTTTTAGTTTGGTTAGATTTGATTGTTGGTTTTTGGTAGGAGGCAGGTATTAGTGATTTGAGGAGAAATACAGTAACAAACATCACGCTGACAGAGAAAAAGGTGAATTTACTGGGGAACTATAATAGGACCATAAGGCAGTTTTAAGTACATACTTGATATCTGCAATCATAGATTTAAAATAAGTCTGGTCAGGTGAGCATGTTGTATGATTTTCCTCTAATAAGTTTAGCTGCTTCAATGAGATTAAACCTGTAAATGTATTTAATCAGAATACTGTTTTGCCAGTCATTGATTAGGCATATAATTGTATTTAAAGAGGGTAGGCTTTGACAGATAAGTAGGAAGAGAAGGAGGAGCAAAAGGGTCAAGAGTGTCAGCAAGGAAATAGTCGTTGGGGTAGATTATAGGATCTAATGTGAGCAGAAGAGAAGAGAGGTTGTGAGTGAGGAGGGCAATTTGATAGTCATATATTAATATTTGTACAAACTTTATTTGGATCCTTAGTCAAACAAATAAAATTTTTTTAAAAGCAAATGATACTTATGAGATAACTGAAAAGTTAATATTTTTATATTTAATATTTTATGATATTAAGAATTCTTTTCCAGGTATGAAAATGGAGAGATACATTTGGGATATACTTCAAAATAATATACGGGGTGAAAAAAATGGGTTGAGGTAAAAATGAAACAAGACTCTGTAACAAACCAAGTTTTCCATAAAGATTAATTTAACAAATATAAATTCTCTTTATTTAAAAATGTTTGTTTTGGTCGGGCACCATTGCTCACGCCTGTAATCCTAGCACTTTGGGAGGCAGAGGCAGGCGGATTGCCTGAGCTCAGGAGTTCGAGACCAGCCTGGGAAACATGGTGAAACCCTGTCTCTATAAAAATACAAAAAATTAGCTGGAAGTGGTGGCACGCACCTATAATCCCAGCTACTCTGGAGGCTGAGGCACAAGAATCACTTGACCTGGGAGGCGGAGGTTGCAGTGAGCCGAGATCGTGCCACTGCACTCCTGCCTGGGCGACAGGCTCTTCCTATGCCCCTGACTCTGTCTCAAAAAAAAAAAAAAAGTTTGTTTTGTGTAAAAAAAAATCTAAATGAACAAGATGGAAATAACACAAATTAAAAACAGAACCATCTTGATCATTTATAACCTTTCTCATGCTTTATAATAAACAACTCTTCAATACTTAACACATTATCATTCCAATATCATATTTTACAACCTGTCTTACCAGCACATTCTAAAATAGGTATTTTAAAAAATATTTATTAAAAATTGGAATTAAACTTACTATTTCTTTCTGTTCTCTTGGAAAAGAAGAAAATAATTACTGTTCTTATGCTCCAGATGCTAAAAGGGAAGCAAAATTCAGAAACAAAAAACATCATTAGAAAAAGCGAATTAGAAGCCATGTAAAATGAAAACATATATTTCCAATTAGAGTTAGGTACATTGTTTCCCTTTATATACAGAAAACTAAAAAGCGTTTATTTCTGCCAGAGAACATCAGAACCTGTGCTTTCAAAGGAGGAGTTCTCAACCTAAAGTCCACAGACCTTCTGATGATCCCCTTAAATTACAAAATTACCTTTGTGTGCATAAGTGCATTTCTCTGGAAAGACCATTGCTTTCATCAGCCTGAAAGGAATCTATGCACCCCGCAAAAGATTGAGAATATTAGAATCCCTTACTAAGTAAGCATCAATTCCAAAAACTTAATTTGTCTATTCCCACACATTAAGGAAAAATGCTTTTACAAATGTAAGAGCATTATACAAATGTAAGTTGCCACTCCTTCCCTATTATTTAACAATAGAGGGACAGTCTCTACTCTAAGAGATTAAGCTACCTGAAGGAAAAATAAACAAAAACCTTACCTTCAAATAAATACTTGATGAGTAAAATTAGCTAAATATCTCCTCCCAAAGATTTTATAAGGATAATTCTTTAGGCCTTGCATTAGTAAGACATCAAATGAATTGAAAGAATTAAAAGAAACTAAATGAATAATCCTCATCACAAACTTGTCAGGGTCATCTCCTAAATTCAATGTAAACATAGCAAAATACCTCTTCTCCATAGAACCTGGCAGAAATAAGTACATAAGGCTGGGCACGGTGGCTCACGCCTGTAATCCCAGCACTTTGGGAGGCCAAGGCAGGTGGATCTCCTGAGGTCAGGAGTTTGAGACCAGCCTGGCCAACATGGTGAAACCCCATCTCTACTGAACATACAAAAACTAGCCAGGCGTGATGGCACACGCCTGTAGTCCCAGCTACTTGGGAGGCTGAGGCAGGAGAATCACTTGAACCCAGGAGGCAGAGGTTGCAGTGAGCCAAGATCATGCCACTGCACTCCAGCCTAGGCGGCAGAGAAAGACTGTCCCAAAAAAAAAAAAAAAAAGAAAGAAAGAAGTATATAAACATTATTCATCATCTTAAAACATACATTGTATCTCTTGTAAAAAAAAATTTGATTGTACTGGAAATAAATTCAGAATATAAGTATGAAAATTAGTTCTTCACTCTGAAATACAGCATTTGCTATTTTGGGGAGTTAACCTGCAAGTAGTCACCAGTGATCCCTGTCTCTTGGTATTCACACCATTGTGTAGTCCTCTCTCACCAGTGTTGGTCTGTGCCACCAACAGCATGGCAGAAGTGATAGTGTATCACTTCAAGATTAAGTTATAAAGGACTGCAGCTTCCATTTTGGGCCTCCTCTTTCACTTGTCTTTCTCTCTCCTGGATTACAAGCTCTGTGAGAAGACAGCTGTCATGATATGAGAACAGTCAAAGAAGTCTATGAAAAGGTCCATGCAGTGAGGAAGAAAGGTCTGTGGTAAACACTCAGCAAAGAACTGATGCCTGCTAACAGCCACCTGTGTGAATTTAGGAGTAGATTAGGGAAAAATCAGCCAAAGTGAGTAGGATCACACCAGATATCTTATTGGGATTTGAATTCAGAATGCATTTTGGTGGTGGCAAGACAATTAGCTTTGGCATGTAAATTCCTGGATTATACAAAGAAAAAGGAAACTAAACATAGGCTTGCCAAAAAACAGCCTATATGAAAAGAAAAAGACCTCAAGAAAAAAGCAAAAGGAACACAAGAACAGAATGAAGAAAGTCAGGGGAATTGCAAATGCCTACCGAGCAGTGAGCTGGAGATTGGATAACAGCAGAGGGAGTAAAGATCTGCAATGACTTTATCTACAGTGATTGTATGGATTTAGTTAAGCCTTGAGATGACTGTGGCCCCTACCAACAGCTTAACTGCAATTTACCTAAGAACAAAAGATCCTGAGATAGAACTACCCAGCTAAGCAGCTCTTAACATTCCTGCCCCTCAAAAGCTGAGACATAATAAACATCTGTTGTTTTAAGCTACTAAGTTTTGGGGCAATCTGTTACACAGGAATAGATAATACACTTTTTTTTAATATTGTGATGATTTATTTTTGTGACATGAAAACACCAAATAACTAGCACCAGATTCCTATTTGGCATTTGGACAATTACCTAAAAGTACAAAAAACACCAGGCTTTGTCCTTACCAAGGGAAGGGAGATAAGAGAATATAGGTTAAGCATAATGCCCATAACCCTCAAGGATTCCGCAATAATAAAAAAGTCTCGTATCACTTCTCCAGTGCAAACCCACTGAAATAGTAGCAGGCTGGAAGGAGGACTTTTAAAAAGCATACAGAGAAAGAAAACGGGGAAAAAAAGATGGAATTGCAGAGATAGTGGCTAGAATTCTGTAGGAAATGTATAAATTTTCTTAAATGAGTAGATACTTTTTAAAAAGCATATATAATTGTCAGTGTAAATACTACAAAAATTGAAATATACTCTCTTCAAAATAAAACTCACTAAATCCTCTCTGTGGACAATAAATTCCTCTGGTTTTTATCAGAATTCCTCCTAGATAACATAAGCTATCAAACAACAGACATTTCCATATGTCAAGTCTTCAAGACTTCAAAAGGTAAAACAGAATTTATTTTTCTTTAGGGCTAAATTAAATGAAATTCTTTGGTATTTTTTGTTATTTTTGTAGAGACAGGATCTCACCATGTTGCCCAGACTGGTCTTGAACTCCTGGCCTCAAGTGATTCTCCTGCCTCTGCCTCCCAAAGCACTGGGATTACAGGCATAAACCATCATGCCTAGCCCTTTTATATTTTTAAATAAAATTTAGAAAAAGAACTAAAGTACTTCAGGACTCTGTTTTAGTTATCCCAACAAAGGTTTTGCTCTCCCAATAATTAAAAATAATGTATTAAAATATAGCAACATATTTTGTGAAGATATTGACGATATTAAGGATATTATTACTAACCTCTAGTTAGAGAATAGTGGCATAAGATCCACTTCCCCCTTCTCTTCATAAAAATAATCCAAACAACAAGGAGAATAAAAATAAAACTGCAAACTACTTCTCTGGTAAAACAGAGATATAACTAAAACTCAACCATCAGAATATGTGGAGGCACTCTCAAAAGCAATGGAGATTATTACACAGGGGCTCCAAAAAGTGGAAGCAAAACAAGAAAACTGCATATTTCACAAAGAGGTAATAAGGTAAACTTTTCCAAGTGTAAAACTTAAAACCCATGTTTGTAACAATGAGAACAAGATGCACAGCTACAGGCAGACACTCCTCAGTTTGGTTCCAATAAAAAAAGAGAGAAGGCAGGAATTAAAAAGAAATTATTCAGAAGTGCACTATTTACAAAGAGTATTCTGTTCCTATGGCAAGGGGGTTGGGGGGAAGTTTTGTATTGTGAAAGAAATACAATTGCCTAGCCCCACTGGCTGGGAAAAAATAACAGCTAAACAAATTCACACACAAAATCCTGAATCATAAGGAAAATTCTAGTTAGCCTGGAACACAGGAAGATATGCCTTTATACCAACACGACCTATAAATAACTGACCCAAAGTAAATGTACCACAAAGTAAAAGGTTTTAATTATAAAAACCAAAAGCAAAAAAAATTGTTTCAAGACAGACCAACTTCTTTCATATCAACAAATATTAAGTGGGCTAAACTCACTAAGGTAAAAGAAAAAGACCTTCACACTGTAACACCAGACAAAACCCAACTCTATAATGTAAATGGATGCATCTAAAACTAAGTATCTTTTAAGGTTGAAAATAAAACCATAGACAAAGGTATAGCAGGCAAATGCAAACAAAACAAGGGTTGTGATCATAAAACCCCAATGGTTAAACTTTTTTTAAAAAACCTTTAAACTAAAAGAAAGTCACATTATAAAGTTAAAAAAAAAAATGTGATTCCTTTCCAAAAAACGTTGACTGAGCACATCCACAGGCAAAAACAAAAAACAAAAATTAAACCACCTTGACCTGAACCTTGATTAACTCAAAATGGATTATGAAATTAAATGTTAAAAAAAAAAAATTTAAGGTATAGAAAAAAAAAGTAAGAGAAAATCTTCACAACCTGTAGCAAGGTAAAGTGGTCTCAGAATTGACATGAAAAACACAATTAATAAAGGGAAAAACTGATAACTTGAACCTCATCAAAATTAAAAACTTTTGCTCTGCAAAAGACCCTGTTGGGAGATGAAAAGACAAGACAATCTAAAGATTAGGGGGAAAAAAAGCTGTAAACCATATATATCCAACAAAGAACTTTTTTTTTTTTTGAGACGGAGTCTAGCTCTGTTGCCCAGGCTAGAGTGCAGTGGGGCGCGATCTTGACTCACTGAAACCTCCGCCTCCTGGGTTCATGTGATTCTCCTGCCTCGGCCTCCCTAGTAGCTGGGATTACAGGCACGCGTCACCATGCCTCGCTAATTTTTGTATTTTTCAGAGACGAGGTTTCACATGTTGGTCAGGCTGGTCTTGAACTCCTGACTTCATGATCTGCCCGCCTCAGTCTCCCAAAGTGCTGGGATTACAGGCGTGAACCACTGCACCCGGCCAGAACTTTTATCTATAATATATGAAGAACTCTCAAAATTCAACAGTTAAAAAAACTAATAATCCAATTAGAAAATTGGACAAAAGTCATGAATAAACATTTTGCTAATAAAGATACATATTAATGGCAAATAACCACATGAAACATCCTCAGCCATTAGGGAAACAAAAAATTAAAACCACAATGAGATATTGCTACATACCTATCAGAACAGTCAAAATAGAAAAGAGTGATTAACACCAAATGCTGGCAAGGATGAAGAGAAACTAGATCACTCACACCTACCTAGTGGAAATGTAAAATGGTATAGCTACTCTGAAAAAAAGTTTAGCAATTTCTTATAAAACTAACATGTACTTACCATATACTCCAGCATTTGCACTCTTGGGCATACACCCCAGAGAAATGACTTATGTTCATACAAAAACTTGTACAAAATATTCATTGCAGCCTTATTTGTAATAGCAAGAACTGGAAACAATGCAAATGCTCTTCAGCTGGTGAATAGTTAAACTATGATACATTAATACCATGGAATACTGCTCAGAGAAAGAAAGGAATTATTGACACACTGAACAACTTGGATGGATCTCAAGAATATACTGAGTGAAAAACGCCAATTTCAAAATGTTACATACTATGTGAGTCCATCTTATAACATTCTTGAAATAACAAATTTGTGGAGACAGAAAACAGATTAATGGATGGCAGGGGTTAGGAATGCGGAAAGTGGAGGAAGATGTGTATGGCTATAAAGGAGTAGCAAAAAGGAGCCTTGTGGTGATGGAACAGTTCTGGATCTGAATTGTGCGGTGGTTACACAAAGCTACAGGCGATAAAATTGCACAGAAATATAAAACCCACTCAAAGGAATTCATATAAAACTGATGAACTCTGAATAGGCTCCGTGGATTGAAGCAATGTCAATTTCCTGGCTTAATATTTGTTGATATGAAAGACGTTGGTCTGTTTTGAAACAACTTTTTTTGCTTTTGGTTTTTATAATTAATTAAAACCTTTTACTTTGTGGTACATTCACTTTGGGTCAGTTATTTATAGGTCGTGTTGGTATAAAGGCATATCTTCCCGTTTTCCAGGCTAACTAGAAATTTACTACAGTAGTTCTCCCTTAATCTCAGTGATATATGTTCCATGACCCCCAGTGGATGCCTGAAACCATGGACAGTACCAAATCCAACATATACTAAGTTTTTTCCTATAAATACATACCATGTAGGTATAGGGATTTAATTTATAAATTAGGCATAGTAAGAGATTAACAAAAATAACTAATAATAAAATAGAACAAGTATAACTATACTGCAATAAAAGTTATATGAATGTAGTCTCTCTCGAAAAACTAATATTTTCAGACTGCAATTGACCACAGTTAACTGAAACTGCAGAGGGCAAAACTATGGATGAAGGAAAAACTACCATATAGATGTTACCATTGGGGTGAGCTAGGTGAGGGTACCTGCAACCTGCCTGTACATTTTTTTCTGCAACTTACTGTTAATCTATAATTTTTTCAAAATTAAAAATTCTTCTTAAAGGATGTGTTTCTAACGAAGATATAACAGAAATACCCATGTAAAGAGCAAAGCATCAACATTTGTAAAGCAAAACTAGAAGAAATACGGGGAAAAGCAGAAATACACTGTTATTAGGATGTAGAAGATCTATATAGCATAAGGTAGTTCTCATTGCTAATATTCAACTCTGTATAACTGAAAAAAGAGAATACATCTTCAAATGTTCATGAAACACTTAAAAAATTGGCCAAATAACATTCCACCAAAAAAACTCAATAAACTTAAATCAGAAATATTTAACATTCTCTGAGAGCAATACAATAAAACTAGAAATTTTAACTAAGACAATAAATAAAAATATAAATATATATTTGCCATCCATAAATAACTGATAGATTATAACTCCCTCCAAAAAAACATCATATCTTGAAAATAACCAAAATAAATCACTATGTATCAAGACCCATGGCATAAAACTAAAGCAGTGGTCAGAAAATGTCATAGTTTCAAAAACATGTACAGTGTTATTGTTTCAACAAATAAAGAATGAAAATAAAGAAAAGTTTTTGGATGTTTTTATAAAATGATCACAAAACTGAAAGCAGAAATTTTTCCTGGAATTCAAGAATGATTCAATATTTAATATAATCCCTTTGTATCAAGAGAAGATGAAAAATCATATGGTATCTCCATAGATAATGAACTGTATTTAACAACATTCAACAACCTTTCTTGATTAAAAAAAACTAAATACAGTAAGAACAGGTAGAAAATTCCTTAACATGATCAAATATATCTGTCTCAATCCAAAAGTCAGAATAATGCCCAATGGTGAAACATTAGAAGAATTCCCAAAAAAACACATCAAGTATGTCCACTATTTTCTCTACAACTTAACATTGTCCTGAAGGTATTAGCTAACATAATTAGCCAAGAGAAAAAAAATAAAAAATATCAAACAAGAAAAAAAAAAAACAAACGAAAAAAACAAAAGGAGGTGGTAAAATTATTGCTATTTACAGATTATATGATTGCATACTTGGAAGCTCTCAAAGAATCAACCAAAAAAATTATTACAAACAATAAGACTATTATTGTAGTTGAATATAAAATTAGTATAGAAAATCACTAGAAATACCATTTGACCCAGCCATCCCATTACTGGGTATATACCCAAAGGATTGTAAATCATGCTGCTATAAAGACACAAGCACACGTATGTTTATTGTGGCACTATTCACAATAGCAAAGACTTGGAACCAACCCATTTGTCCAACAATGATAGACTGGACTAAGAAAATGTGGCACATATACACCACGGAATACTATGCAGCCATAAAAAATGATGAGTTCATGTCCTTTGTATGGACATGGATGAAACTGGAAACCATCATTCTTAGCAAACTATCGCAAGGACAAAAAACCAAACACCGCATGTTCTCACTCATAGGTGGGAATTGAACAATGAGAACACATGGACACAGGAAGGGAAACATCACACACCAGGGCCTGTTGTGGGGTGGGGGGAGCAGGGAGGGATAGCATTAGGAGATATACCTAATGTTAAATGACGAGTTAATGGGTGCAGCACACCAACATGGCACGTGTAAACATATGTAACAAACCTGCACATTGTGCACATGTACCCTAAAACTTAAAGTATAATTAAAAAAAAAAAAATCACTACATTCCTATATACAATCAGTTGAGAAATAAAAAATTTCTTTGACTCACATTCATCAAAGCATTTGTTGTTCTTTTCTGAATGAAATTAATGCTACTTGGAATATTACTACAGCATGAATTTTTGTTCAGTAATATCTAATGACTGGAACTAAAAAAATATGTGTCCTAGCAGGAAATACTTGGAACTTCAATATAATAGAATCACACAGAGGACAGCGTAAACATTTTAAAAGCTCAATATTCAGTGTTTTACTGTACTCAAACTAAAAATGCTAAAAGTTGAAATATAGCAGAATATCTCAATTCAATCAATATAACTAAACCTTCCTTACTTTGGGTAAAGAATTAACATTCTATAAACCTGGTGGTTTTTCACCAACCTTCATATATGCAACATTATTTTGTTACCTCTTTCACCCTTTCTGCCAAACTTAAGTGTTCTTTTTCAAACAACCATATCATAAGCCCTATCCAATTTATCAAAATGTTTTTAGATGAGATTTAGCAATATATAAATCTAACGATGAGCTGGGCGTGGTGGCTCATGCCTGTAATACCAACACTTTGTGAGGCTGAGATGGGCAGATCACTTGAGGCCAAGAGTTTGAGACCAGCCTGGTCAACATGCTGACACCCCATCTCTACTAAAAAAAAAACAAAAAACAAAAATTAGATAGGGATGGTGGTGAATGCGTATAATCCCCACTACTCAGGAAGCTGAGGCACAAGAATTGCTTGAGCCTGGGAGGCAGAGGATGCAGTGAGGCAAGAGTGCACCATTACACTCCAGCCTGGGCAACAGAGTAAGACTCTGTCTCCAAAAAAAAAAAAAAAAAAAAAAAGCTAAAGATGAATTTATATACAGGTCTTAATATTTATAACTATGTTGACTTCTTTGTCAGCTTATTTAACCACCAAAGACTTCAGCAATAATTACCTTCATGTTTAGGCAAAATAGTAACAATGATTTATTTTGGTGTAAAAAATAAGAATCAAGTATTTCTTGCTTTTGTTTTTTGGGGCATACAACTCAAAACCATTTTTCCTTCCAAATGTCTTCTTTATTATATATAAAAGCCATATCTAAAAATTCCTTTTGAGGTTATTTTTGAGTCTGTCGCCCAGGCTGGAGTGCAGTGGCGTGACCTCGGCTCACTGTAAGCTCTGCCTCCCGGGTTCACGCCATTCTCCTGCCTCAGTCTCCCAAGTAGCTGGGACTACAGGAGCCCACCACCGTGCTGGGCTAATTTTTTTTGTATTTTTAGTAGAGATGGGGTTTTACCGTGTTAGCCAGGATGGTCCCGATCTCCTGATCTCGTGATCCGCCCGCCTGGGCCTCCCAAAGTGCTGGGATTACAGGCGTGAGCCACCACGCCTGGCTGAAAGACACTTGTATTCTTACTAGTGTATCATGAAATAAACATTTAACTTTCTTCAAAAGGTTACAAATTATGTTTGTCAACCTAGCTGGATTGAGGAAATACCTAACATGTGCTACTTGTGGGGAGAGAGAGGAGGCATGAAAATTGTATAAGAACAAATCCCTATCCTTAAATGGTTTTCAATTTAAGTGGAGATACAAGAAGAGAAATAGGAATATGACCACTTTCCTCAATTCCCTTGCTTAAATTTCTTCCCCAACAACCCCATTTTGAGAGGCAAAAACAAATAAAAAAATTATGGCTAACTCCTCAATATCTTATGATGATGATCAGTCTCTAAAATTACAGAGAATGAAATGTCTAGAAAGTTATAATTCGTAAAAATAAGGTATCCGAAAGTAAAAGTCTACAAGACTTTTACTTAGTTAACATAGTTAACTAAGCATTAGTTAAAGCATTAGTTAACATAGAAATAAAACTTAATGGTTGCTGACTTAGAAAATGAACCAACTCCCAAGGTAATGCATGTTTGCTAGCATAATGCAGAAATACAAAATTGTAACTTTACGTAACCCAAACCTTCCCTCACTACGGTGTGTAGCCTTAATGACTCCTACAAAATAAATTTGGCATTTATATTATGATTTAAGTTTCAGTAATAGTTGAAAAGATCAAGGGAGGTAAATATACTATTGAATCTGAAAGGCCAAAAAACAGTATGTGGAATTATATTAAACTCCTCCATATTACATTCTGAAGTGAAAATATAATAAAATTTCAAAGGATATTAGAGTATTGATATTCTACCATAAAGAATAATTTTGGAATAGTTATACAATATATGTTCAGTCCTGATCCATGACCTTTCCAGTAAAAGCATTTGGGAAACTGGGAATGTGTAGACAGCAGTCACTTTTTACAGATACCAGGTAGATTTCTAAACTATATAATCAATGTACACAGTGTTGAGCAAAACAACATACTTTATTGCCCCTTTTGCCTCTAAGTCTTTAAGTAAATCCGAGTCCAGCCCTCAAAACTGTTTGCTATAATTTGGATATTTGACCCTCTAAACCTCATGTTGAAATTTGTCCCCCAGTGTTGGAGGTGGGGCCTAATGGGAGTTGTTTGGGTCATGGGGGCGGATCTCATGAACAGATGAATGTCCTCCCTGGGGCATGGCGAGAGTTTGCCCTCTATTAGTTCCTGAGAGAGCTGGCTGTTAAAAAGAAACTGGCACCTCCCCTATCTCTTGCTTTCTCTCTCACCAAGTGATCTCTGCATATGCTGGCTCCCTGTCACCTTCTGCCAAGAATGAAGCAGCCTGAGGCCCTCACCAGATGCAGATGCTGGTGCCATACTTCTTGTACAGTCTGCAGAACCATGAGCCAAATAAACCTCATTTCTTTATAAACTACCCAGCCTCAGGTATTCCTTTATAGCAACACTAAACAGACTAAGACACTGTTTCCCAAAGAAAAAAGTCCAGGGATAAGCTCACATTACACACAAAAGGCAAAAACTCACATTACATACATAAGAAAATGTCCTGTGTTAAGTCTTCTTTCTTTTTACCACAACATCCACTTTCACATTGTTTTATTTCATGTTTTTTGATTGTCATTGATCAGAAGGACAATGCTATTCTTTGTTGGATAACCGGTCTGTGCTTCAAAAAGTGAAAAGCTCACTGAAATAGAAGCTACAACAGCTGAGAACGAGGTTACAAATATCAATGAGATGAAGTGAAAAATGGCTCTGAAGCTAAACAAGCCAAGATATACTAGATGCAGGTGATGCAGAAAAATCAGAAGGACACAGTAAGGATAAGAAAGCTTCATACCCAAAATATCAGAAAGACTGAATTGAAGAAATTACATTTTTAAAGAAATGAAGTTTTCCTGCTTCTAAAGAACAATTAGTATATAATTTATTTGCCCCCCAAAAAACTGTTATGAATCATAATAGCAAACCTAGATCATAGTTTTTGGATAGCCATTAGAATTAACACAGTAGAGTTCCCTATCAGACATTCTGTTACAACTAGATACAAGTCTTTTATGATCAAAAAATCAATCTTTATATGGAAATATATGTAAAGTGCATTTTTGAGTATTTAAAAGTGCTTAAATTTACTAAACATCTCATACTTATTTTGTAATTTTCTTTCCTCTCCTCTTATGAAAAAAGATAAGGGAAACAAGGAAAAGGGGCTCACAATTATAAAATCCACTACTTCTGGGATAAAAGCATTCCAAAAGATTTCAAAAAATGAAAATAAAGAAAGTAGCAGAGATAATTATTTTGCAATATTATGAAAGCACTCAATTTCAGCTCTTGTAGCTACATACGAACTTATAATTTTACAAGCTTCAGGAGTTTCAAATTGAAAATATGCCCTGCACTAAAGACTAAACAAACACATTTTTTTATAGTAGTATTCAGACTGAGGCAATGCCCCTATTAAATGCTCCCATAGCATTTTACACTTCTGTTTATAACATTCATCATACTCATTACTTAATGTTTGCAGTCTAAGATATACAGTCAGAGAATTTTGTATTTTTATGTACCATACACCATTATAATCCAATGTCTAAACAACTGGTACCCATAAATGCTTGTTGACTGAATAAACAAACTTTTTATTAAATTGTCTCTCAAAATTCTCAGTCATGATACGCCTCCTATACAGTGCTATATTATAAAATATTTCTAAAATAAGGGTCAATTGCTTTATAGCAGTGACCATATAGCAGTAAAACGAAGGGAAGAGAGTTGAGGTGAATATATTCAGAATAATTTGAGCAGTTATTCTTTCGTTTTTACAAACCCTGCCCCACTTGCCATTACCCACTACTCCATGCCCAGTGCCCTTCGGGGAGCATGGTCATCTACTAGAAAATCATAAAACATTGCCATATAGAGCAATTATTACTCATATTACTAGGTAATATTCCTCAGGTATATTGGATTACAAATGAAGGTTTAGAACAATTGTTCTACTAAAAAAATCTTTTCAAATTGTGAAAGAAATTCAAACTCAATCAGATATTACCATTTAATAATAAAGAGACCGAATATACATATTAGATATACATTAAGACTCTCTAGTCAGAAAAGGAAAAGATCAACAAAAAGAATAATTTACTTACATCAATGGAAAAGCAAAAAATGGGAGTGTCATGGCAAGTCTTGCTGTAAATTCATCAGGAAGATACCACAAATATACAATTAAGCATGTAAACAGATAGAGAACTGAGGAATACAGAATTAATCTTCCAACCCATAATTTTTGTAATCTCTGATTTTTTTCCCTAAATTCTTCCAATGCTTGAATTTCCTGTTAAGAGAAAATTATTCCATGTTAGTAAATTTCAAACTTCATAAAGAAATTAAAATGTTAAAAAATTTTAGCAGGAAAGATATTTAAGAAAAAACTCTTATTTAAAGTTCAGTAAAGCATAATATTCTAACAGTTTAAAACAAAACATAATATGAAAAAGAAAACTAAAAATGAAGTTAAAAATGTATAATGCTTATTCTAACATCATTTTTACAATGCAAAGTTAGTTACTATTTTTAAACTATCAAATTGGCAAAGATTCAGGGAATGAAATTGGTATCGGCAATAATATTTGTTGAGTCAAATAAGTAATAATTCCTCCTATAAAAGGCATTTAAAAAATCTGGCAATAAGAAAAATAATTAATAAAAATTAAAACAGTAACCCATCTATTTATCACTCTCAATATTCCCAGAAAATAATCATTTTTGATAATAGTATATAAAAAGCTGTGAAAATTTTGTAGACTGATAAAAACTATTGTACAGTATCTCATCTATTTTGTCCTACCTGTAACACTGATTTACACCACACTACAGATCTAATTTCATTCTAACTGGCTCTATTACTTGAAACAGACTTCTTAAGTCACGGATAGACTTTGGATTTTTTGAGATCACATAATATTAAAGTTCTCAGACTCACTCTATATCATTTCTAAATTCCCATACCAGATTTGGTCTCCAAAATAATATATACTACAATAATATTTACTTAATACCTAAAATGAATTAAAATACCTCACAGCCAAAGAACATACCTTATCTATACTTTCTAGAACTTCTACAGTTGAAGGTTTTGTCTGTTATACAAACAGAAACAAGAGACAGCATTAAAACTTATCACAAACCTTTACATTTTGATATAATCATTAAAGAACATTTATTTCAAAATTAAATTTTCTCAAATCTTGTCAAATATGCATTCTTGTTTATAACTAAGATTTATTTAAATAAAAATTATAATTGCAAATAGAACTACGTAAGATTAAAGAAATAAGCATTTCCCTACTTAACTGTTTTAATCCTAGAAAGACTTTTAATTCTGATAGCTCAATTTTTACCATTCTTAACCTCAATAGAACACACCGTTCTAGAAAGAAACAAATTTTGGCCACGCACGGTGGCTCACGCCTGCACTTTGGGAGGCCAAGGTGGGCGGATCACTTAGGGTCAGGAGTTTGAGACCAGCTTCGCCAACTGGTCTACTAAAAATCCAAAAATTAGCTGGGCGTGGTGGCATGCGCTTGCAATCCCAGCTACTCAGGAGGCTGAGGCACGAGAATTGATTGAACCCGGGAGCCAGAGGTTGCAGTGAGCCGAGATCGCACCACTGCACTCCAGCCTGGGTGACAGAGCAAGACTCCATCTCAAAAAAAAAATTAAATTAAATTAAAAAATTTAAAAAACACACGTTTTCCTCCAAAAAAAATTCTTAGGAATGATTACTCAAAAGAATTAACACATTGAAAAAAATTACAGACTAAAAATGGTCTGATTTGCTATTGCTAAAAGTTCACTTAAGACTCTGGAGGTCAAAATCAACAGGTTATCTTCTTTCTAAATTCCTAAAGTACTTTTTGCAGATCAGATTTTAAAAGGACATCTAAGAATACTTCATTATAGCAAAGCTTGTTTGCCAATGATATTTTTTATACATCTAGAATGAAAACCAGCCAAAATCACTCATAAAACACTTGAAAAAATATTTACCAATTACATACTCAACAATCCAAGAGGGTAATGAATATCAGTTCATTGTAGTTTCCATAAGAGTTGTTAACATTAGGGTTAACCATATGAAACTGACATTTTGCTAAGTCCAAGCAGTTGAATACTGGCAATTTCATATGGTTCAACCTATTATGAAAGACAAAACAAGAAGAGATAAATTTGATCCTTGGGCAGATTATTATAAGGTCATAACAGGGTCAATATAATGCTGATCCAAAACAAGGCTGTTCCAGCAATACCCCAAAACCTAAATTGTGTACCAAGTATAGTTAGACTCTATTATTATGGTAATAAGGAGTAAAAAAAAATAAGTAGTTTATCCTAGACTACCTTATCTCCTCTTACTTTTGAAAAGAGCATTTATATAATTTTTTTTTCTTTTTCTTGAGACAGAGTCTAGCTCTGTCGCCCAGGCTGGAGTGCAGTGGCACAATCTCGGCTCACTGCAACCTTCACCTCCTGGATGGAAGCGATCCTGCCTCAGCCTCCCGCGTAGCTGGGATTGCAGGCGCCCACCACCATGCCCAGCTAATTTTTGTATTTTTAGTAGAGACGGGGTTATATAATTTATACAATTCATATTTTCGAGCTGTAACTTTGAGATACTTCCTCTAAAAGCTTATCCAATAAAATCAAACTGCATTTCTAATTTTGTTTAACCTATAATTTCTAAAAGCACAGGCAGTGTGACTTTAGTCAATATTTATGATAAGCTTCAAGTAAAAAGATACAGTCTGTAAAAAACAAGTCTTGTATAGAATTTTTTTTTTTTTTTTTTTTTTTGTGAGACTGAGTCTTGCTCCGTCACCCAGGCTGGAGTGCAGGGGCACAAGCTTGGCTCACTGCAACCTCCACCTCCTGGGTTCAAGCCATTCTCCTGTCTCAGCCTCCCGAGTAGCTGGGATTACAGGCGCGCAACACTACGCCCAGCTAATTTTTGTATTTTTAGTAGAGACGGGGTTTCACCATGTTGGCCAGGCTGGTCTTGAACTCCTGAACTCATGATCTGCCCGCCTCAGCCTCCCAAAGTGCTGGGATTATAGATGTGAGCCACCACACCCGGCCTAGAATACTTACTTTCAACTACCTTTCAAATAAGCTTGAAACTTAGGAAGTATAAGAAAACAAGATAGCCATTTGCACACAAATACAGAAATACAGAAATAAAAATAATTCATACATCCAAGTGAAATAATTCTGTTAAACAGAGGCATTGGACACCTACAGAACAAATGGAAGTATTAAAATAAAAAAATAGAAAAGTAATTCAAAAGAGAAGAAAAAAGTTAAGGAAAATAGCAAACTACTATTCAAGGCTATAATCAAAGGAGACTTTCACAAATAGCTTTATGTGACACTTTTATATTAGACTCAAGAACTAGCTGTAAAGAAAAGTACCTTACCCTCCATCGAGAAAATAATCCACCCATCTTTTATTTGTAGAAACTGGGCACAATGATAAATATCATCAATTGTCCAAAGGAATTCACAGCTAGAAATAAAGCAAGTATTTAAAATGTTAAGTTAAACACACAGCATACCCACTATAGATGTTGCAATACTGCCTAAAAAATGTTATGAAATATTAATTTATTTGGATGCCACATATATGGAATTTGATTTCAGACAGTTATTGGGATAGAGTCTACCTTTTTTTTTTTTTTTTTTTTTTTTTTTGAGATGGAGACTCTCTGTGTTGCCCAGGCTGGAGTGCAGTGGCGAGATCTCAACTCACTGCAACTTCTGCCTCCCGGGTTAAGCGATTCTTGTGGCTCAGCCTCCTGAGTAGCTGGGACTACAGGTGCGCACCACTATGCCTGGCTAATTTTTGTATTCTTGGTAGAGACGGGGTTTTGCTATGTTGGCCAGGCTGGTCTTGAACTCCTGGCCTCAAGTGATCTGCCCGCCTTGGCCTCCTAAACTGCTGGGATTATAGGCGTGAGCCATCGCACACCACCAAGCCCACCTTTTAAAAATCCATTCTTCAAAACCAGAACAGATCTAAAAGTGAAAAAGTTTGAAAAGCTTTTTAAATGACAATGCAGTTTAGAAATGTATATTCTTACCACTTTGCAATTTTCTATCCTTTAAAATAGGTTCTCTATGTTGTTCTGGTAACAAAGTTTTACCATACTACTTTCATACTATACACTTAAATAATTTCTACTATCCAGCTGTCTCCCAACTAAACTAGTTATCTGGAATAGAAGTGTTTTACAATGTTTAGAATATCACCTTACAAGTAATAAGAGAAAGCCAGCTGAGTTATGAATAAGAAAATAAGGATTACAAGGTTATCTGTGACCTTTAGCAAATCACTTAATGATTCTAAGCCTTAATTTTCTTTTCTCTTAATTAGTTAATAATACAACCACTTTCTCACAGGATAGTCTATAGTATTACCATCTCACAGATAAGAAAACTAAGTGAAAAGAGGTTTAGTGATTTGCCCAATAGCTCAGAAGAAATATGGCCTAGAGTCCCTTTATCTTCAGATTTCTAGCCTCTATTACTAAACACTTCTGTTCAATGCCCAAATAAACATTTCTCCCTGACATTGTATACAAGTCCCTGAAGCTAGTTGACCTTCAATTCAGCTAGCTCCATAACCACTTCTTTCAGTTGCTTTTCTATGACTCTCGAATGTTTTATAATAGACTCAACAATATTATATTCTAAATCAACTTACTGGACAATGATTACACAAATTTTTATTCTTTTAAGTTGAAATGGTAAAAGTATAATTTCAAACTGACATATTTTAACCAGGTTACAGTTAGATACTTGCCAATGTATAAAACTACTTCTTTTCCACCCCCAAAAAGGTTACCTATGTCACACTTCTCATATTTTTTAACCATAAACGTAAACACAAAATAATACCAGTATCAAGTAAGCACACTCACTCTGCAAAATTATTCATATATTGTAATTAGCATAAGGCATAGCTATCTTGGAGTTTCTCAGAAAAGTAACAAAGTGCCTAACTGTAAAATACTTTTACTCACAAAGTAATTTTTAAGGACAGAAACACCTATAATCTGTCCTGAAAAACTCTAAGGTTTATAACTATAATGAATGTTTCAAGTCTTATTTAAGTTGCAATCTAAATATTATTAATCATTTAGTATTTGCTTAGTACTCAAATTTCTAAAATGTGGTTGTAGAAAATCCAGGAACTTTAATGATTAAACTATAAATTTCTATCTGAATTATGACAGTAAGTAAATCTAAAAACCCTCTTGAGATGCTAAAAATAACTACCAAAAAGGTGGGTGAAGGGGGTAGATTCATATGAATCACTTGTTATTCTCAAAATATACATCATTCCACTATTCTGGAACTAGTGTATGGTGTCTAGCAGTGTTCTGTACACAACCAACCTACATATTTTGGTTTGAAGTAGAATTATATCCTTCAATGTCAAGTTTCTAACCATCACACCCTAAGACTGTGATCAGAATTTTTAATATTTGAAATTAATGGCACCAACAATATCAGTTAAACACTTAGTAAGTACTTCATTTCTAGCGGCCCTAAAACAAATGCTCTGTGTGTGTGTGTGTGTGTGTGTGTGTGTGTATAAATATAATTTTTTTTTGAGACAGGGTCTCACTGACACCCAGGCTGGAGTGCAGTGGTGCGATCTTGGCTCAATACAACCTCCATCTCCAGCGTTAAAGCAATTCTCCCATCTCAGTCTCCAAAGGTGTAGCTGGGACTATAGGCATGGGCCACCACACCCGGCTAATTTTTTTTTTTTTTTGGTAGAGACAGGAATTTCACCTCGTTTGCCAGGTTGGTCTCGAACTCCTGGCCTCAAGTGATCTGCCCACCTTGGTCTCTCAAAGTGCTGGGGATTATAGGCATGAGGCACCACGCCCGGCCCAAATACTTTATATTAATTTTAGCATTTAGATACTACTATCCCTCCATTTTACAAATGAGAAATCTAAGGCAAGAGAAGTGAAGTAGTGTGCTAAGTAACATCCCAAAGACAGTAAGCAGGCCGGGTGCGGTGGCTCACGCCTGTAATCCCAACACTTTGGGAGGCCGAGGCGGGTGGATCACAAGGTCAAGAGTTCAAGACCAGCCTGGCCAAGATGGTGAAACCCCGTCTCTACTAAAAAACTATAAAAATTAGCCAGGCGTGGTGGCAGGTGCCTATAATCCCAGCTACTCGGGAGGCTGAGGCAGAGAATTGCTTGAACCCAGGAGGCGGAGGTTGCAGTGAGCCAAGATCGCGCCACTGCACTCCAGCCTGGGTCACAGAGCGAGACTCCGTCTCACAAAAAAAAAAAAAAAAGAAGAAAAGAAAAAAAAAGGCAGTAAGCAGCAGAGCCAAACATAATATTTTAGTTTTGATTTTTTAAGCACCCAGTTATTATGAATAACACAAAATCAGAAATAAAGTCTGCTTTGTATAGATTAGATTTGAATATTTATATGTAAAATATATGAAACCACCTCTGACATTATCAAATTGTTGGTAAACAAATCTACTGAAATGAAAAGTGAGTAATAAGCACAAGAAATAGTATTAGTACAATGTATTGTGTAACCCAATTCCTTTATTTGATTACATTTGAGTGTTTAAATCTGCATTAAAGAGAAGTTAAATGATTTGCCAAAATCATGTAGCTCCAGCTAGGGACAGAACTGGTACTAGAAGTCTGCAAGCACAGCCTTTATTTGTTTACTGCATGTCAATTTTAAAGTAAGTACAATATGAAATATATGCATAATATCACTATACCAATTTTGACAATTATTTGCTTAAAGAATTGTTTTGGTATTAATGAAACAATCTACATCTTAGCCTCTAAGACCCCTGAAGCAAGGGATTATGCTTTTAAATTTGTACTCTAAAACAATATTAGAGTGATAGTCATTAAATGCCATATCCATGCTTTCAGGTTCATAATCAAAGAACAGTCAACCAGCACAGTTTCAGCAATTTTTCTATCAAATTCTGATATTAAAGGAACTGTTTTACTGTAATGCATATGTAATAGGTGGTACTTTCTAACAGATGTGAAAACACAACAAAATTAAATAATTAAATCAAATATTTCTCCATAGCTTTAATTTCATACCTCTTCTGTATTCAACCACTGGTGCTCTCCTTTCCACCCAAACATATTAACTCCAAGTCCTGTGGCCCATCACTTACTGTAAAATCTTGGACAAATCAGTTACTTAACCTATCTGCTACTCAATTTCCTCATCTGTAAAAGAGGGATAGTTAAGGACCCCCTTAAATGTTGAAAGACTTAAATGACCTAATGTATTCTAACCTGTTTACAACAGTGCTTGGCACATAGTGATTGCTCAATACAAACTGTTTTTACTGCTGTAGTTGTAGCTATTTTCTAATCCATCTCTCCTTTCTTTCAAATACATGGAAAATACATGGGAACCGAATAACCTTTGCATTTCCTTCTGAGGCATAAATCAATTTGCTTGCCCTGGATTGGACAGACGGTTCAACCTCAAGTGACTTTTCTCCAAGAACTCTCCCATGAACATGTACAGAGTGTTTCTTTCCACTCTGATCTGATACCACAACAGGACCTGTCATGACCTTAAGAGCAGGGTGCATCTAAGTGTGTTTTTCTTTTTGTTGAGACTGAGTCTCACTCAGTCTGTTGCCCAGGCTGGAGTGCAGTGGCACAATCTCAACTCACTGCAACCACCGCCTCCTGGGTTCAAGTGATTCTCCTGCCTCAGCCTCCCATGTAGCTGGGATTACAGGTGTATGCCACCACTCCCGACTAATTTTTGTGTTTTTAGTAGAGACGGGGTTTCCCCATGTTGCCCAGGCTGGTCTTGAACTCCTGACCTCAAGTGATCCACCTGCCTTGGCCTCCCAAAGTGCTGAGATTACAGGCGTGAGCAACCCCACCCGACCTAAATGTGCTTTTCAATGAACAATAATGACCACCTTATTTGAATGTTTTCTACTAATGGCTATTTACACTCAGGTTTGGGTGTCAGAATTTTAAATCTTGGGAAATGTTTTTCTTAAATTTTCACCTCACTCCAAGACACATTAAAATAATGCAATAAAATAGATCTGGATTCAAAATATGGCTCAACCACATACTAGCTATGCAATCTTGAGCAGATTACTTAAACTCTGCACGCCTCAGTTATTGCATTTGCAAAATGGTAAAAATATCTACACTTCATAGAATTGTTGTATAAATTAAATGAAATTATGTATCATTTGGCACAGTGTCCGACACATAGTAGTAACTGCTTAATTGTAGCCATTATTATTACCAGAAAACACATGTATTTATATGAAACACATTTCTAACTTCTTATAAAGAAAGCACCTATTTCATAATTCTAAAATTGGAAAATTATATTAGTTTGTATTTTTACAAAAATAGATTGCTCTCATTTTCTCTAGTATAAGAAATAGAGCAAAAAATTCTGTAGACTCTGCCATTAAATAACCTTGTAGGTCTTTGAAGGAAACAGCAAAGGAAGTTCTATGTTTATCAAATTCCAAAGTTAAGTATAAGCTATTTAATCACCATCAACAGTACCTCCATAACATATTATACTATACAATTGAAGAGTAAAGGTGATTTATTCTAGAATTCTAACTTTCAAATGTCCTAACTGAAAAGACAATTCTGAAATAGCCCAAGCCACATTTATTGCTCCTCAAAAAGAATTTTAATGAAAAGTACACCTCTATTATATATTAAGCACTCTTAATATATAATGATTAGTGCTTGCTTTCATGGTAAGTCAATTTTCATCTGAACTAAATACCACCAAAAAATTACTATTTGATTATAAATGTTTCTATGTGAAGTCATATATTTTTAATAGCCATATAACTTCTCCTTTTCTTGTATTTTCTTGTTTATATAACATATAAACACTATATAAGTTTACTAACATCATTACTGAGCTGATCTCAATAGATAACAGACAACCTTAAAATTCTAATTTAAACGCACCACTCCTGTTTAAGAAAATGTGTTAAAAGTCAACTTGGTCTTCTGGGGGCTGCTGAGGAAAAGAAATGAGCATTCCCTGCCAGTTTGAACATATTCCTGAAACCAAGCTTACTCACACCCACCAAACCGCTGTTGAATAGAGTCAATTTTGTCAATGCTGACACCCAGGCCATAAAGAAAGGAGGAAACAGTAGACACCGAGCAACACACACCGGAGGCCAACTGGGAAAAGCAGAACACGGAAAACTCAGTGATTCACGGGTCTTGCTTAGTACTGTGAAAGCACCATCAGCAAAGCTGAGTTGACCAATTTCAACTCTTTCTCAATCCGTAAACTATGAACTGACGGAATTTAGATTTGTTTTTCTCCTCCTACCACGCCTCTGATACAATGCACCTTCGCCCTTCCCCTCCACCCCACAGCCCACCATCCCTGAAATAAGGACAATGGTTGGAGAGTCTCTTCTCTAAGTAGCACGTACTCCACGCCCACACGCTAGAGCCCGGCAGCATGACACTGACAGTTTTCAGTCCCTTCTGGTCTTTCTAACTCTTGGAGCCTCCGCACAACTCAGAAAGAGAAGCGGAGAGAACGCTCAAAGCGGACAGCTGAGCGTAGGAAATGCTAGTTTGGGACCTTCTGACCTCTTTGCCCCACCTGTGTCGAGATAAGCTCGACACAAGTGGGCCAAAGAGCTGGGGCTCAAGCCAGTCACCACCCGGAATCTCCTAGAACCGAGCTGGAGAAACTACCAGCCCTAGAGGGGAAACAAGGGTTTCAAGACTCCAGCGCCACCACTGCCAGTGTGCTGGGAAATCCAGGGAACAAGGCGGCGAGCCTGGGTCTGCGCGGACCACCGCGCAGCCTGACTAGCAGCCGCCGCAGAGCTCTAGGCCACTTGGCAGGAGGCGGGGGCACCAAGGAGAGGCAAGCGGGGAACCCGCAGCTTATTTCCCAGGGGCACAGCTCAGCATGCCTCCCCGCTGCAGAGCCCTCCCAACTGCCCTCGCCTTGAGCGTTCTACCTGCAAGAAGCGGGCGCAGCCCGGCCCGGGCGTCCACCCCCGCCAGTCTCGGCCGCCACCGCCCAGCCTGCCTCCAGAGCAGGCAGCAGCCGCCACTGACAGAGAGACAAGCCGGGCCAACTCCTTCCCATGAAACCCCGCGCTCCAGCCGCTCGCCAATTGGCGCCGCGGTCGGCGCGCGCCGCTCCCCCGTCACGTGACCGTACCCTGGGCGGGTAGTTGTTGGGGCGGGTCGGCCGGGAGGTTAGGATCTTGTGTTTGTGGCCTCCGCAGCCAGCTTAGGCTGCTCGGTGTCGTGTCGCAGTTATGTACTGCCATTTATTATGACTCTTAGAATATAGTTATTTCTTACTCTTCCGCTGCCTCCTTTGCTTTTAAAGCCTGTTCTGCCAAGTCTCGCTGGAGAAGGAAACCCCTGAAACTGGTCCTGGTGGTCTCAGACCGCCGCGCGAGCGAAGAGTGGGGAGGACAAAGGTTGGGGAGTTGAGAAGGATGGAGATGGGTGCATCTGGAAGGGAGTCCGTCCTGAGGAGTCCCCCATCAGCTGTCAGCCAGCCAGCAGCAAAGCAAATTAAGACTACACAGCTCCGAAGAAGCCAGTTCCCAACCAAGCCAGTGGAGAAAAGTCAGCCCGGTCCCCAGGAGTGCTTGAGGCTCTGTCACTCTTGGACGTCAAAAAGGGTCATTTGATGACTGGACGCTTACCTCACCGGTGTGAGGTAAGCTTCAAACGCCGTATCATGTTGCTTTAAAACCTGCGGGTAACAGCATAAGCTGAGTTTTCTATCTTAGAACTCTTAACCCCAAGAACACTCTTCACAGGCCCTGATAGGTGGACCCACAAAAAAACCACTCAGGCTATATTTGACTCGGATTTGAAACGCTGCCGAAACGGTATTAAGTGTCCTCCTCAACTGGAAAAGACAAATAACAAATGATGCCTGAATGAGAAAAAGACTAGACGTGCACACAGTAATGTGTGAGCAGGGAAACTTCAGCGAAGGTTTTTATCATGCTTTACCCCTTTTACATGCTTTACCCCATGTGCAAACATTTTTCATGGGTTTTTTTCTATTTTTTATTTATTTTTATTCTATTTTTTTATTTATACACAAAAAAGTTTCAATGATTTTTTAAAGAGTAATAGTTTTAATATGTTACATTTAAACTTTGACGATGCAAACAGGTTGTCAAGAGAAGCAACTGAGCATTGTTTGGTTGGTAAGAAAATTTATTATACTAGAAGCTACCGCATAATTCACTGTGCAATTTGCTTGCCCTAATTGCCTAAATATTTAGTTACAGTTCTGTACACTTGCAAGGATGAGGGGAAGGGAACTGAAGTTTAGCGTGTCACTGTGGATCAGGCACTTTCCAAATGTAGAAGAAAATGAACAGAAACATTTCACCTGTTTTGATGTGGAAATTTAACCGTTTTGTTTTTCAACCTTTGCTGTTGCAAAGTATTAAAGTCCTGTGCAGTTTTGCAAATATATCTCACCGCAGAAAGATCTCCTTTCCTAAGAAGACTGGGAAGAACGGCTTTCCACTTGCCAGTAATGTGTCCTCTGGTTTCAATTGAGCCATCAGTGTCTGTACTCCAGCCTGGGCTACCAAGCGATACCCCACCTCTGAAAAAAGGGTAGCAAGGGGACAGAGAAGAGCTGTCTGGATACACGAGATTCCAAAAACCTAATCCTGAGATAAAATTCCCTAGGGAATTGCTCTACCGAGAGTAGAGATTTGACCTGGAAAGAGAAGGGAGAGAAGTATTTAATCATTAACTCTTTTAATCCTCCCAACAACCTTTTTAGTATCATTTTTCAAATGAGGAAACTGAAATGTAGAAAGATTATGTACACTGTTGAAGGTAACACTAAGCCACTGCCTCCTTCATATCAAGAATAGTTGTTCATCGAGCAAATAAAGTGAGGGAAAGACATTACAAGCAGAGAAATCAACATACACACTATTGTGGCTGGACTTCAGGCTACAGGGTGGTTCCAAATATTTATTGACAAGGCCCTGTGTTACGTGCTGAGGATACAGAGATAAATAAACCAGCTGTCCTAAAGCCGCTGACACTAGTGAGAGAAACCTTAAAAAAAATACAATGCAGACTAAATAAGTGCTGTGATAGAGGCTAATGTTCACGGTATTGGAAAATGATAAGAAAACAGCAGCCGGAGAGAATGTGAGAAAGCCAGTGAAGGTGCTGCTTTAGCAGAGTCCAAATGTCAAGAGTTATCCCCTACTAACCCTGAAATTGTTCTGGGATAGGGTCTAAAGAATGAAATCCAAAGAACAACAGAGAAGAACACCAGAGAATACTTGGAGAGAGGAAACAAATTGCTCTAACCAATGGAGTTTTAAATGGTCTAGTTTAAAATAGGTTGAATTTACCTAGGTGTTATGAGAACTTAAGAACTTACATAAGTGGCATTCATTGGTATGGTCAAAGAGGTTAGGTAAGGCTTCTTTGAGGAAGTCACACCAGAATGGAGATCCAAAAGATGAGAAACTGAAAAAGGGAGAGTGGGAAACAGAGGGAATATCATGTGTAAAGCCTTTTTGTCAGAAGGGAACACTGCAAGCCTGAGGGACTGAAAGGAGGCTATTGTGGCTAGAGCCTAGGTTGCAGGGAGAAAGTGCACCAGTTTGAAGCTGGAGACCAGATTAAGCAGAGTCTTATTGGCCATATTAAGAACTGTAATCTTAAGAGAAAAAGGGAGGGGGAGGGCATTTGACATGATTGGATCTGTGTTTTGAAAAGATCATTCCAGCTGCAGTGTGGGAACACAAGCAGAGCCAGCACTGGACTAATTAAATCTATGAGTGGTGTTAGTGTTGGTAGGCATGCAAGTGGCTTGGGGTAGGAACAAGGAGATGGACAGAAGTGGGGGAAATGGAACAATAGGAAGTAAAGTGGAAGGTCTTGGTGATGGATTCAAATATCATGGGGTGGGATGGGGACTGAGGGAGAGGGAGGAGTCAGATAACTCAGAATTTCTAGCAGACCCAGTGGGTGGATAGTAATGCCATCATTGAGATATGGAGGACACTGGAAGAGAGCCAGGTTTGGGGGAAGAGGGTAATTTCAATTTGAACACGTTAAGTTTAAGATATTTTTGTGACTTCAAGGGAAGATGTAAACATTGGAATCTTTAGGTCTGCAGCACTGGGCTGGAGAAAAAAATATATATTACCATTTGCAATTTTTTGTTTTCTGCAGGGTACTTATTTTTTCAAAATACATATGTCTTTATTGTAAATAAGATGTTTTGTTTTTAAACATATTTAGACGCACTTGAACCCAGGAGCCAGAGGGTTGCAGTGAGCTGAGATGTCACCATTGCACTCCAACCTGGGCAACAAGAGCAAAACTCAGTCTCAAAAAATAAATAAAAATATATTGAGAACAGAATTTTAAACTAGAGCAGTTTCCCAGACTTCTCTGAGAGTCACCAGTGTCCCTTATCAAAAACTCAAATTCTCAGGCCCATCCCCTAGAGATTCTGATTTCACTTGTCTGGTATAGGGGGCCTGGAAATGTGGATTTTTTGACAAATGCCACTGGAGATTCTTCTTATTGCTGAGTTTCTCTGGGAAGTGGTATGCCAGTGCCAGAGGCTACCTGCATAAGAGTCACCACAGTGCTTATTGAAATATAGATTCTCGGGCCCTGCAGACTAAATCTATAGGGATAGAAGGGTTGTGAGGAATGGAAAAAGGAACATGGTACCATGTCAGGTGGTCCAAGACCTCACCCTTCATCTTTGACAGAGATGTTCTGCGCGTCCCACTGGGCAGCCCAGAGGAAAGTGGATGTCCCTTGCTGGGTGATGCGTATTTAGGCAGCAGGCAGCCCTCACAGTCTGCAATGATAACAGCTCTTAACCTAGGCCTTCTGCCCTGTCCACTGACATGGCACTCAGCCCACTTAGATAGTCTCTTTTTCCACCATTCTTATCAAGGCCCATTGTTCCCTCCTGGCCCCCAAATCTTTTTCAATGTTATTTCCAGCACCCTGTCTTTTTACTCCTGGTTCAGGTGTTTTTCAGCCAATCTCTGTGGCCAGAGCTGGGAGAGAAATTGGGTCAAATGCTATGTTTCAGTCTTGACAAGGCTTTTTTGTTCTTGAGAACCGACTTTGGAAGTGTTTTTAAAGACTGAGCTGTGTCAGGGAGGAAAAACTTTTCCTCTGCGCTCTCTTGTTTCCTCTTTGGGGGCCTGCAAATTAAAACAACAAAGATAGCAAGAGAAAAAAGACATTTAATTACATATGTACACACACACAGAGAGAGGGAGAAAGAAAGAGAAATTCACAAATAACTGACCCTAGGTGGTTAGAATTTAGAGCTTATATACCATCTTAATAGGGGACAAAGAAGGGCAGAGAGGCCCTTCTAGGAGAGTAAATGACTTCTTCAAAGGAAGTGAGGGAGAGACAAAGCATTTAGAGAAAACAAAACACTTTTTGGAAAGATAAATGGACTTTTAGGAGAATAGATGGAAGATACGATAGTTTTGTAGCAATGTCTGGGTGTGGTGCAGATGTCTCCTCAGAGAAGAAAATATTAGAATTGCTCCCCAGGAGGGGATTTATTACAATTGAGGTCTTTTGGGAGGCTTTACTTTTAGGCACATAAGGGATTTCAGGAACTCAAGTCCTTCAGCTCAAAATAACTTTTATGCCATGGTAGCTTATTCTGAACCCCTTCAATTATTTGTTCTTGTAGTCTTGCTGTAGCAATCCCAAGTCTCTTTGAGACACTGTAGATGCTTTGGAATAGAGGAAGAATCAGAACATATGAAGAAAAGAAATGATTAGAATGATTTGTTGGTGATGGCAAGCATACAGAAAAGTTTCTAAAACTGAAGTATACTATTGAGCACGATAACACACTCATGTAACCCCATATGGGCCAAAGTAGAACATTCAACACTCCAAAAGGCCCCAATGTGCTCCTTCCCTTATAACCTTCAAGTGCCTAGAGATGGCCACATCATGATTATTACCATATTTACTTTCTTGTTTTTCTTTCTGGTTTTACTGCCTAATTACTCATCCTTAAACAATATTATTTTTGAGCTCTATGTAAATGGAATCACAGAGTTTTTCATTTACATGTCTTGAACTTTTTTGATCAATCTGTCTTTAAGATTTACCCATGTTGATATGGCTGTAGTTTATTCATTTTCATTGCTGTAGGTTACTATATTGCATTGGTGTATCATAATTTATTCTACTGCTGATGGACATATAGGCTATTTCTAGCTTTAGGCTATTATAAGCAATGCTGCTGTGAAAGTTTGTGTAAACACACACACATATGTATGTTCTCTTTAAGTACATATGTGTGTGTGTGTGTGAATGTATATATATATATATATATATGTTCTAGAGCATATAAACACAGATTTCTTTGGAGTCTTTACCTTGGTATGTAATTCCTGGTTTGTAGAGCATGTATATATTAATATATTCAGTTTTACAAGATCGTGCCAAAATTTTCCAAAATGATTGTACCAATTTATATAACCAACAACAATATACAAAAGTTTCTGTTGCACTACATCCTCACCAACACTTGATATTGTCAGACATTTTAAGTTTTATTACTGTAATGAATGTGTAATGCTGTTTTATTGTGGCTCTATTTTGCATTTCCCTGATTTTTAATGAAGAATAGCCCCTTTTTATATGAGTGTTGTCTAATTGTTTAGGTCTTTCCCCATTTTTCTGTTGGGTTGTTTGTATTTTTCTTACTTTTTGTATTAATCTGTTATATAATGTTGAAACAAGTTTTATTGATTATATGTGCTACAAATGTTTTTCCCACTTTGTGGCTTGTACTTTCACTGTCTTAATGTCTTTTGATGAAACCAAGTTGTCAGTGGAGTAGAATTCATCACTCTTCCCTTATGATTAATGATATCTGTATCCTATTTAAGAAATATTTTCCAACCCTAAGATCATTAAGACTTTTATATTGTCTTCTAAAATTTTATTGCTTTGCTTTTTAAATTTTGGTCTAGGCAGACCTGCAATTAATGTTCTTACATATGGAGAAAGGGAGGCATATATAGATCCCCAACCCCTTCCATGTGGAAAATTAGACTAGCACCATTTGTTGAAAGATGGTCCTCTCTGCCCTACCCTGCAGTGCCATCTTGATCATGAACCAAGTAGTCATATAAGTATGGAGTTGTTTCTGACCTTGGTATTCTTTCCATTAGTCTATTATCTTTTTTTGTATGTTGCTGGATTCAATATACTCACATTTTGTTTAAGATTTCAGGGGATCTCACAAATAAGACTGACCTGTAATTTTCCTTTTGGTAATGTCTTTCTCTGAATTTGGTATCAAAATATGCTAGCTACCTTCATTAAATGAGTTGGGGAATACACTTTCTTTTTCCTATTCAGTTGTCTTTTTTACCCATTTATTCTTCTTGTTTTTGGAATCAAGTTGTCAAGAACCCCCAAAACTCTATGTGGATTTTTATTAAAATTTCTGTTTGTATATTAATTTCAGGGAAAACAATATTCTTCTATATGAGCCTTTCCTTTCAGTAATCTGCATTTATTCAAGTGTCCTCATATATGTTTTCCAAAAATTTTATCATTTTCATTATATAGGTCATGTATCTTATAGGAGGCAGAATTCTAAAGTCCCTCTAAGTTTTCCACCCCTAGTCAGTAAAACACTAATCTAGGCACTGCTAAGAATGTACAGATGTAATTAAATTTATAGATCTTAAAGTAGGGAAATTATTGTAGATATCTGGTTGGCCCAGTCTAACCAATTGAGCCCTCATAAAAAGAGAAATTTCTTCAGCTGGAGTCAGTCAGATGTGGCAAAAAAGAAAAGCTGAGAAAAGATGAGGCAGAAAGATCAGAGACATTCAAATCATAAAAAGGCTTGATGCCACCACGTGGTGGCTCACACCTGTAATCTCAGCACTTTGGGAGGCTGAGGCGGGCAGATCGCTTGAGCTCAGGAGTTCGAGACCAGCAACATGGTGAAACCTTGTCTCCACTGGGTAATACGGTGAAACCCTGTCTCCACCAAAAATACAAAAATCAGCCGGGCGTGGTGGCACATGCCTGTGGTCCCAGCTACTTTGGAAGCTGAGGCAGTAGGATCTCTTGAACCCAGGAGGCAGAGGTTGCAGTGAGCTGAGATCACACCACTGCACTCCAGCCTGGGTGACAGAGCGAGACTCCATCTCGAAAGAAAGAAAGAAAGAAAGAAAGGCTTGGTGCATCGTTGCTGACTTTGAAAAAAAATGGCCAAGGAATGCAGGTAGCTTCTAGAAGCTGAGAATGGCTCCTGGCTGACAGATAGCAAGCAATGGAGAGCTCAGTCCTACAAGTGCATGGAACTAAATTCTGTCAACCACCTAATGAGCAGGAAACAGATTCTCCCTTAGAGCCTCCAGAAAGGAACAAAGTAAGTAATACCTTGATTGCAGCCTTGTAAAACCTAGCACAGAGAGCTAGCTGAGTCACTCTGTGCCTGGATTTCTGACCTACAGAACTGTGAGATAATAAATGAGTGTGATTTTAAGCTGGTAAATTATGGTAATACGTTATGGGAGGAAAAGAAAACGAATATATATCTTATCAGGCAAAAATATTTTGGGTAGCTCATCAGGTAGGCCTTTAAGTAGAATGAGTCCATGAAGGTCACACTACTCAAATCCTGTGGCTGAGATTGTTTCACCTTTTAGAATTTTGACTAAAAATGCATACGCTGTATATATAAGGCAGATGGTACTTGGAGCTGCTATCAGCTACCTCCTGAAAGTGGGCTTGGTAGACAAGATAGATAGTACTTGGGAAAAGAAGGAAGTAAATAGAGGAAAAACACAGCACCAAAAGCCAAGAGCATGGAGTAAGAGCAGAATGAGCAGCATGGCTTCTCAGCCTCTGTTTGCTCACTTCTGATTTGGACCCATCCATCACACTCTCCTGAAATAAATGTGTGCTAAATGTGGTTCACATGTTCCACTTAAAAAGAGAGAAAATAAAGTCTAGATCTCTGTGAAGTAACTCTGCAAATATTGAATGTATTTCGACACTGACATTTTTCAAGTCTAACATTAAAGATTTCTATTGTCATAAATAATGCATAAATCCAGAGACCGTTTGTGTCTGAAAGGCATGATTTAAAATTAGAACACAAGGTGTCCTGGCATGTATACCTGTCTCAAAACTCCATGTGAGCTCAATCTAGTTATCAAAAAAGAGAAGAACAATTCCTTCTTACAATTAAAAAAAGTTCTCATTCTGATAATATATATATATTAGCTAAGTAGGTTAAAAATATACATTCTTGGCTTTGTGCTCAGTAACTCCAAAAGGTGACATTCTAATGCTTCCTAAAAAATAAATGATACACATGACAAATCAGGTAGCTGGTGAAACTTGAGTCTTCCCTAGAATGCCTGTAAAGCTTACACATAAAATAAGGAAGATGTAGCTTTAGCTAATTCAGACTGAAATTTATTGTTAATAGGAGTCATAAGAGTGCATGGTATTTCACAAAGCATAAAATATAAAAGACAGATTTCCTGCCCTGAGGAGCTTAGTGAAACATGTGCAGACAGTAGGTAACAGGAAAAATATTAAGTCATGGTGATTTACAAAGTGGTCACCAATGGAAGACCGAGTACAAGAAGATGCCTTATAAAAATGTCTGGTTTTTGGAAAAAGATCTTGCAAAAGCTTGAAGAAAGAATGAAAAAGAGATGAGTGAAATGAGAGTTCTAAAAATGATGAAAGAGGAAAAACTGAAGGGAGAGGTGGAGAAAAAGGCTCAGGCTGCTGTGAGACATGAACCAATATATGAATTATAGAATATAGGACTGATTTGACAAACCTCTGAAAATAGACAACCGGAAATTCTAACTATACATCTCATTTCTTATAAAACTTAAGAGATAGTTTTCTCAAATAATAGGCACTAGACCAAACTTCTTGTTCAAGCCATATTATATGTCTATAAGATATGTACATATAAATAAAATTCCATGTAGATCTGTATACTGCTGAATTGTGAATAATTTTAAAAGTTTGATTTTTTTGAGTTATAGTGTGAAAGTAACTTCCCCTTAGAAGATATATTCAAAAGCGCTAGTTTTCTTTATACATACATATGTTACAGAAAATACCCAATGCTATAGCAATACTGAAATCAGAACCAATATTTCCCTACAAGATAAAGACCAAATTCCTGTACAGTATATTCAAGGCCTGTATCATCTCCAGACTCCACCTTTGTGGACCAGACTTCTCTTTATTCCTACAATAGGCTGTATTCATAAAATTGTCTGTCCCAGTAATTTGCCTATTTTTAATTGGATCATTTGGCTAGGCGCAGTGGTGCATGCTTGTACTCCCAACATTTTGGGAGGCCAAGGTAGGAGGACTGCTTGAGCCCAAGAGGCTGAGGCTGCAGTGAACCATGATCACTACTGTAGTCTAGCCTGGGCAACAGAACAAGATACTGTCTCTAAAAAACAAAGTTAAAAAAAGAAAATTGGATCATTTGTCTTAATTAAAGGGTTTTGAGCATTATATATTCTGAATACTAATTAATTTTTAGACATCTAATTTTCAAATATTTCTCCAGGTCTGTGGTTTGTCTGTTTGTTCATTTAACATTGTCTTCAAACAGTAAAAATTTTTAATTTTCATGAGGGAAATTTATAATTTTGGTGTCATATCTAAGAAATATTTACCTAACCCAAGATCACAAATATTTTATCCTATGTTTTAATCTACAGGTTTTTACCTTAATATTTTGCTTTTAGGTCTTATGGTTATTTTGAGTTGGTTTTTTAAAGGTATGAGGTATGGGTTAGCATTCATTTTCTTTGCATATGGATGTCAAACTGTTTCTGCACCATCTGTTGAAAAGACTGTCCTTTTTCCATTGAATTGCCTTTGCATCTTTGTCAAAAATCAGTTGGCTGGCCGGGCGTGGTGGCTCACGCCTGTAACCCCAGTACTTTGGGAGGCCGAGGCAGGCAGATCACGAGGTCAGGAAATTGAGATCATCTTGGCTTACATAGTGAAACCCCGTCTCTACTAAAAATACAAAAAAAAAAAAAAAAATTAGCGGGGTGTGGTGGCATGCACCTGTAATCCCAGCTACTAGGGAGGCTGAGGCAGGAGAATCACTCGAACCTGGGAGGTGGAGGTTGCAGTGAGCCGAGATCATCACCCCTGCACTCCAGCCTAGGAGACAAAGCAAGACTCCATCTCAGGAAAAAAAAAAAATCAATTGGCTGTATATTTGTGAGTCTAGAAATAGACTCACTCTTCTTTTCATTGATCCATGTTCTCTATTTTTGCCTTTTGCTACACCATGTTGGCTACTATACCTTCGCAGTAAGTCTTGAAATGAAGTAGTATGAGTCCTCCAACTTTGTTCTTGTTAAAAATTGTTTTGGCTAACCTAGTTCTATATGAACTTTTAAATAAACCTCAATTTCTAGAAAACTATCTTGCTGGGATTTTTATTGGGGTTGCATTGATCTATATATCACTTCGAGAAAAATTGGCTTATTAGCAATATTGAGTTGTCCTATCCATGGATACAGTATTTCTATCCATTTATTTAGATCTTTGATTTCCTTTATCATTATTTTGTAGTTTCCAGCATATAAATCCTGCATAGTTTTGCATTTTAAATTTATAGCTAATTATTTCATTTTTGGTACTATTATAAATTATACTGTGTTTTAAATTTTGATTCCCAAATATTTACTGGCAACATTTAGAAATAAAAAATATGTTTATCTTTGTACCTTTTATTTATAATATTACTTTTCTAAAATGATTAATTCATTCTAGGACTCTTTTTATAGATTCCTCGGGGTTTTTTATATAAAAATCACATAGTCTGAACAGAGAGTTTTATATTTTCCTTTCCAAGCTGTATTTTTTTAAAAATCTTGTTTCTTGCCTTGCTGCACTATCTAGTACCTCCAGGATAATGTTGAAAAGGAGTGGTGAAAGCAGACATCCTTGCCTTAAACTCAGTCTTAGGGAGAAAACATTCAATCTTTCACTTGTAATACATTAGATGTAGATCTTTTTATCAGGATAAGGAGGTTTTCTAGTTTGTGGAAAATACTTATCATGAATGGATTTTGAATCTTGTCAAATGCTCTCTCTGCAACTACTGAGATGATCATGTGGTTTTTCTTATTTACTAAGTTGCTATAATGAATGACATTGACTCTCAAATCTTGAACAAGCCTTGTGTTCCTGGAATAAACTCTATGTGGTCATGACATGCTCTTCTTTTTATATATTGTTAGATTCAATTTACTAGTATTTTGTTAAGGATTTCACATCCATGTTTATGGGAATATTGCTCTCTAGTTTCCTTTCTTATTATGGAATGTCTTTGTTTGGTAAATGAGTTGGGAAGTGTTCTCTCCTCCTATTTTCTGAGAGAAAGTGTGACGTATTGGTATTTGTGTTTGGTAGAACTAACCAGCAAAACCAGTTTCATTGTTGGGAAGTTTTTAACTGCAAACTCAAAATCTTCAATAAATGTAAAATAATTCAGATGATTTAGTTCTTGAGTGAGCATTAACAGTTTATGTATTTCAAGAAATTGATTTCTTTCATCAAAGTTGTCAAATTTACTAGCATAAAGTTGTTCACAGTATTCCTTTATTAGCTTTTGTTTGTTTGTTTTGTTTTTTATTTTGTTTGTTTGAGACAGGGTCTCACTCTGTTGCCCAGGCTGGAGTGCAGTGGCGCAATCTCAGCTCACTGCAACCTCCGCCTCCCAGGTTCAAGTGATCCTCCTGCCTCATCCTCCCGAGTAGCTGGGACTACAGGTGTGTGCCACCACACCCAGCTAATTTTTGTATTTTTAGTAGAGACGGGGTTTCGCCATGTTGGCCAGGCTGGTCTTGAACTCCTTACCGCAGGTGATCTGCCCACCTCAGCCTCCCAAAGTGCTGGATTACAGGCATGAGCCACTGTACCCAGCCACTTATTAGCTTTTTAATGTCTGTCATGTCAGAAGGATCAGTGATGACGTCCCTACTTTCTTTTTTTTTCTTTTTTCTTTTTTTCTTTTTTTTTTTTGAGAAAGAATCTCCTTCTGTTGCCCAGGCTGGAGAGCAGTGGTGTGATCTCAGCTCACTGCAGCCTCCGCCTCCTGGGTTCAAATGATTCTCCTGCCTCAGCCTCCCGAGCAGCTGGGACTACAGGCACATGCCACCATACCCGGCTAATTTTTGTATTTTAATAGAGTCGGGGTTTCACCATTTTGGCCAGGCTAGTCTCGAGCTCCTGACCTCAAGTGATCTGCCTGCCTCAGCCTCCCAAAGTGCTAGGATTACAGGCGTGAGCCACCGCTCCCGGCCCTGCTACTTTCATGTTTGATATTGGTGATTTATAGCTTCTCTCTCTCTTTTTCTCAGTCTGGCTAAAGGTTTATCTTTTTTAAAAAATAAGCTTTTTGTTTCATTGATTTTTCTCTATTATTTTTCTACTTGTAATTTCATTGACTTTTGCTTTTCATCATTTCCTTCTATCTGTTTGCTTTGGGTTTAACTTGCTCTTCTCTCATTTCTTAAGTGGAAATTTTGGTCACTGATGTAAGACATACTTATTTTCTAATCTTAGCAATTAATGCTACAGGTTTCTTACTAATCACTGTTTTAGCTCCATCCCCATATTTTGATGTTATATTTTTATTTTCCTTCAATCAAAATGTTTTCTAATTTCCCTTGTGACTTTCTCTTTTACCCATGTTGTATTTAGAAATTGTGTTGTGTGTGTTATATCCAAATATATGGTGATTTTCCAAATATCTTTTTGTGGTTTATTTCTAATTTAATTATTTGATGATCTGAGGTCACGGTTTGTATTATTATTTTTTTTAATTTGTTGTGGCCGGGTGTGGTGGCTCACGCCTGTAATCCCAGCACTTTGGGAAGCCAGGGCACAGATCATCTGAGGTCAGGAGTTCGAGACCAGTCTGGCCAACATGGCCAAACCCCATCTCTATTAAAAATACAAAAATTTGCCAGGTGTGGTGGCACACACCTGTAATCCCAGCTACTCGGGAGGTTGAGGCAGGAAAATCGCTTGAACCCAGGAGGCAGAGGTTGCAGTGATCTGAGATCGCACCATTGCACTCCAGCCTGGGTGACAGAGCGAGACTCCAACTCAGAAAAAAAAAGAAATTTGGGCCAAGCGGGGTGGCTAACGCCTGTAAGCCCAGCACTTTGGGAGGCCGAGGCAGGTGGATTGCTTGAATCAGGAGTTTGAGACCAGCCTGGCCAACATGGTGAAACCCTGTCTCTACTAAAATACAAAAATTAGCTGGGCGTGGTGGTGGGCGCCTGTGATCCCAGCTACTAGGGAGGCTGAGGCAGGAGAATCACTTCTACCCAGGAGGCAGAGGTTGCAGTGAGCCAAGATCGTGCCACTGCACTCCAGTCTGGGCAACAGGGTGAGGCTCTGTGTAAAAAAAAAAAAAAAAAAAAACATTGTTATAGTTTGTTTTATTGGCCAGAATATTGTCTTTCTAGATAAATGTTCCATATACAACATTTGAAAAGAATGTGCATACTAATATTGTTGGGTGGAGTACTCTATAAATGTCAATTAAATATAGTTGGTTTCAAAAGTATTGTTCCAGTCTTTCATATCCTTATAACATTCTGTCAACTTCTATCAATTACTAGGAGGCGGATGTTAAAGTCTTTATATGTAATTGTGGATTTATTGCTACCATGTTTTGCTTTATGTATTTTGAAGCTCTGTTGTTAGGTATAAACACATTTAAGATTGTTATATCTTCTTGGTGAATTCACTGTTTATCATCATGTGATGTTTCTTTATATTCCTGATAGTATTCTTTATTCTAAAGACTATTTTGCCTAACATTAAGATAGCTACTCCAGCATTGTTTTGATTAGTGATTGTGTGGTATACCTTTATTCATACTTTTACTTTAAGCCTATCCTATAGCTTTATACTTGAAGTGGGTTTCTTGTAAACAATATCTAGTCAGGCCTTTTTTATACAATCTTACAATATCTACTTTTTTACAGTTTTTTGTTTGTTTGTTTTTGGTTTTGTTTTTTGAGATGGAGTCTCGCTCTGTCGCCCAGGCTGGAGTGCAGTGGCACGATCTTGGCTCACTGCAAGCTCCGCCTCCCGGGTTCAAACTATTCTCCTTCCTCAGCCTCCTGAGTAGCTGGTATTACAGGTGGGTGCCACCACACCCGGATAATTTTTATATTTTTAGTAGAGACGGGGTTTCACTGTGTTAGCCAGGATGGTTTCGAACTCCTGACCTCATGATCCGCCCGCCTTGGCCTCCCAAAGTGCTGGGATTACAGGCGTAAGCCACCACGCCTGGCCCTTTTTTACAGTTTTATTGAGATATAATTTATATATGCCTTTTGATATTGTCCCACAGGTCCCTGAGGCTTTGCTTATTGATTTTTCAATCTATAATGTGTTTCTCAGATTAGATGCTATCTATTATCTATCTTCAAGTTCATCAACTCTTCCTCTGTCATCTGCAATTTGCTATTGAGCCCATCCAGTGAATTTTTGAGTATGCTATTTTTTAGGTCTAAAATTTTCATTTAGGTTTTTTAAAAATAATTTCTAACTAGGTGGTGGCCACTGCACAAACTAGATTCTGCTCACTCTGGGCCTCACTCCACTTCCTCTGTGACAGATCATATGACACATGATATGTCAAGACATATCATGTCTGACAAACCTGATATGGCTGAGATCAAGAAATTTGATGTCAAAAATAGAAGAAGACAGAATTGCAAGAGAAAAATCCACTGCCTTCCGAAGAAACAATAGAACAGGAGAAGCAGGCAGACAAATCTTACGGAGGCATGCGCCGCCAATATGCACTGTACATTCAACGAGAATTGCCTTCTTATTTTACTTATTTTAGCTGTTAATTTTGTAAGATGCAAAGAGGTTGGATCAACTTTTAAAGGACTTTGCTGCCCTTTTCACATCAAACAATAGAAAACTGCTGACGATGAAGGCCACACCTACCTCTCCCATCTGCTTGTCTGGCTGTCAAGGAAGGAAAATAACTTGCATGTTGGTGAAGGAAGAAGAAGAGTAGGAAGACAGGTAAATCTAGAGTAAAACCAAGCTGCCCCAAGGTGTCCTGCAGGTTCTCAAATGCAGTTTAAATGAAGTTTAATTAGAGTGCCATTTTTCTTGTTCAAATGATTTTAATTATTAGAATGCACAAACTTTATTTTAAAATAAACAGTTTTAGGCTGGACGTGGTGGTTCATGCCTGTAATCCTAACACTTTGGGAGGCTGAAACGGGTGGATCACTTGAGGTCAGGAGTTTGAGACCAGCCTGGCCATCATGGTGAAACCCCACCTCCACTAAAAATACAAAAATTAGCTGGGTGTGGTGGCTCGCACCTGTAATCCCAGCTACTCAGGAGGCTGAGGCAGGAGAATCACTGTTCACATTAAATTATTGTATTTTCATCATTGCTATAGCAGTTAATCTTATTAAATAAAACATAGCAATTTAAATGCACTAAAGTCTTAAGACTTTTCCAGTTAAAGTTTGTTGAGCATGTAGAAATTACTTAGTATCTTAGAGTTCTAGGTGCAAAATATACTTTTTAATATCATTATTTTGGGAGGTTAGTCTTTCTACTCCCTACTCTCCTCTCTACCAGCCTCATCCAGAGAAATAACTCTCTCAAGGTACTGATAAGAGATGCCACAGTCAGGCTAGTCAATGGAGTGAAAGATGTCACTGCCAGATCCCCTGTATAGTGGCACAGACTCCTGGAATTGAAACGGAGCTAGCTTAAGGAGTCATTTAATCCAGACCTCTTTCTTCCTGCAAGGGGTCTGCCTGAAATGTCTAAGACAGATGGTTTGTCCTTAAAATTCACTAGGGACGGAGATTCTACAATATTACTCTGGAGTCTTTTCTAATGTTTAATCACTATTACTGTCAGGTCGGTTTAAGCTCTTTCCTGCTAGTTTTTCCTCTGCAGACATGGAAAACGGTTGAACACCAACCTCTTTATAATCACCTTGCCAATACGCAAAAACAGTTACCATGGTGCCCTTCGGCCTTGTTTTTTCAAAAGCATGTAATTTATCTCCTCTCCATTTTTAACACATCAATATTTTATCTCATTAATCATTTGGGTTAATTTTAATTAAACTCTTTCCATTTGTTATATATCACTTCTAATGTGGCATTACAGTAAGTTCTTAAATTGTAATGTGTTTTATTTTTAATTATTATAGGGTTAGGTAGAACAATACAAGTACTTATTGAGTTTGTTGTACCAGCAAGAAAAGGATAGGCAAATCTCTTGCTCCCACATAGTGTATATTCTAGTAGGAGAAATAAACAATAAAAACTATAAAAATTGATCTATAATATCATATAATGTTATGATAAGAATAAAACATCTTGTATTAACTAGAAAAATGCTAGGCTGCTATGATAGAGACCCAAAAATAATGCAGTTGTTTGAAAAAGAAGTTTGTTTCTCTTACTTAACAGTCCAAGGTAAATGTTCTGGATCATCAAGAAACTGCTCTATGAAGTCATTTGGGGACTCCAGTACTTCTATTATGCTGCATTACCATTCCTAAGATCATTATCATTAGCTCTATACTATAAGCTGAGTCACCCTGAGTTTCAGCCAGCAGGGAGGAGAAAGACAGAATGGATGAGGCTACCCTAGATTCAGAGGTGGCACACATCACTACCCCCGCATTCTGCAAGAAAACATAATTTCATGGCCACACTTGGCAAGGAGGCTGGGAAATGCATGCAATCTAACCACATGCCCAGGAAGTAGAGAATGTATGTAGGGGGAACAGATAGAGTGTTGCAAACACTGTCAATATTTCTCCCCAGTATCTTAAGATCCCCTTTTACCTATTTGTGTGTTTCTGCTTCCAACAACAAACCCCAGGCTGTTTTTCAGAAGACACTGGATCCCACTTGGCCAACATCAGAACATGCCTGGGAATTTACTTTCCCCCATTCCACAATGCCCCCAAGGGGACTGGTTGGCGCAGAACTATGAAAGACCAGCTCCCTTCCCCTCCAGTCAGGACAACTCAGGCATAACTTACCTTTCAGAGCTCCCCTTCAGACACAGGCTGAAGCAGCCCTCTGTGGGGTTAGCCTGAGATCCATACTCGCTTGGCTCTCTTTCTGTCCTGCTTTCCCCACTCCCTTATTGGTTTCTCCCAGGAGTGCTTTCCTAATAAATCACACACGAATCCTCATCTAAGGGCCTGCTTCTAGGAAACCCAATCTAAGGCATGGGATAAAGGGTTAAAGTGTGATAGAAGGTGCTGGATCATTTTTAGTGGCTTCCCACATATTATCAAAAGGAGTATTTGGACAAGTATGAATGACTTTAAGGAAGGAGGCCATTTCTCTTACTGTCTCCTGTCTCCAAAGGAAAGGAGGAAATAAAAACTGAAAAATAACAGACTGATCAGCGCCACTGGCCAGGCCTGTAGGCTAAAGATTAACCCCCACCCGGCAGGCGCCTGTAGTCCCAGCTACCTGGGAGGCTGAGGCGGGAGAATGGCGTGAACCCGGGAGGCGGAGCTTGCAGTGAGCCGAGATGGCGCCACTGCACTCCAGCCTGGGCTACAGAGCGAGACTCTGTCTCAAAAAAAAAAAAAAGAGAGATTAACCCCTACCCTAATCGCTTGTGCTATCTATAGATCACAGACAATGGTATGGAGAAATACTTGCCTTGCTCACCACCCCCACCTAGTCACGTACCCCATGCTTGCTCAATCTATCACAACCCTGTCATGTGCACCCCTTAGAGTTGTAAGCCCTTAAAAGGGCAAGGAACTCTTTCTTCGGGGAGCTCAGTTCTTGAGACGTGTCTGCCGAAGCTCCCGGCCGAAAAAAGCCACTTCCTTCTTTAACCCAGTGTCTGAGGGGTTTTGTCTGCGGCTCGTCCTGCTACAACTTAGCTCATAGATGTCACCACTACTACGGAAAAAAGAAAACTCTAAAATATGTGTTTTAATTGTTTTGCAAGGGTCACATTCACATACACAAACTTAACTTTTGCAATGTGGATATCTACAACCTGCTCAAAAAGTGAATGCAGTGGATCTGCAGTTGTGGAGAGCGAGCACCACCGCAATAATGGGCCACGAGTTTGGAAATCTGAGGTGGATGCAAGATGCAGTTACCTATAGCTCGTGGCCCTCAGGCACTGGCCTCCCCACACTACTTCAGCAACGATATCCCCAACAGGCTGCACAATAATACTCAGGCACCTTTCCTTTGCATGAAGCCACCATTTGCAATGTTTTATCTCGTCTACACACAGGAGAACTGTGTAGGAGTCTGAGAAATCCAAGAATAACCCAGCTGCCTATGTTTTATCTCGTCTACACACAGGAGAACTGGGAGTCTGAGAAATCCAAGAATAACCCAGCTGCCTATGAAAATGGCAAATGAGCAACTCATCTGGATGACTCATTTGGTTCCCGGTCTCTGAAAGACCCTTCTCTGGGATAGGAGTCTTCATTGTAGTGTCTTCAAGACACGATAAATTTATGGACTGCACTGTTGTGGTTTTTTTTTAAGTGAATGCACCTGCTTTTTATGTTATCAAATTAGGCTTCACAAACGTAGTATCTTCCAATTTGATATTTGACAATGACGAGAATGCAGTTAAATGAATGGAGTAGATGGGCAACAAAAGTCCTCAGTAATATTCTGCATGGTATAACCCAGCATGGACTCAGAGCACTGCAGAACACAGAACATCAGGCTCGATGGCTCACGCCTGTAATCCCAGCACTTTGGGAGGCTGAGGCGGGCAGACTGCTTAAGTCCAGGAGTTCGAGACCAGCCTGTGCCACATGGTGAAACCCTTTCTCTACTGAAAATACAAAAAAATAGCTGGGCATGGTGATGCATGCCTGTAGTCCCAGCTACTTGGGAGGCTGAGGTGGGAGGACTGCTTGAGCCTGAGAGACGGAGGTTGCAGTGAGCTGAGATGGAGCCACTGCACTCCAGCCTGGGTAACAGAGTAACAGAGAGGCCTTGTCTTAAAATGCACACACACACACACACACACACACACACACACACACACACACACACACGACATTATGGATTCTGAAAACTAAAACACTGAAGGAAGCAAATATATCCCATGTAACTGTTTTGCACAAGGGTATTGGCAGCATAACCATAATGAAGTCTGGGAGTGGAGTAATTGGCAAAAGATTAGCTGATTTAATTTTGACTTTACTAATTTTAACCAACTGTGATTCCCTCCTATGATCCTAACTAATAAATTAATGTAGTTTTATGTTACATATTTTTTACAGTAGGATTGAAATATGTAAATATTAGACTCATTTATGTGCTGCAGAATCATTTGGTTTACATGAGTAATTGATTCAGTAAGAGAATTTTTCAAAATAGGTTTCCAATTTAAAGTATCACCTTTGACGAACACACATCAGGAAATATATATGCTACTTAAAGTAAAATTAACTTGCATTGAGATTGTCTTATTCAAATTTTACTCTCTCAGAGCTCTGTAGACTTTTTTGTGGCTCCGATCACAGTTTAAATTGTACATTTATTTTTATGATCATTTAGTTAATGTCTGTCTTCATCACTCAGCTGTGGATCTACGAGTGCTGTTTTTGATCACCAGCAGTACATACAGTGCCTGACACATAGTAGGTATTCAAAAAGAATTTGTTGGCTGAGAAAAATTAATGAATATCTAAATATAAAAATACATATATTAATTCTCAAAATAATCTTTACCAAGTATGTGGTATAAGTATTATTACTACTCTGTAAATTATAGAAAATGGATAATACAAATGACTCTTGTCCATAGAAATGCAAATGATTTTATCCAGTATAACGCAATTGATTATTGCTATCAGGATAGATTAATTCTGCATCAATTTTCAGCATTCCTTATTGCCCCTATGTATGTGGTTCTTTGAATTCTTTTTTTAACTACTTATAACATCTTACTGGTTCCCTCATTAATTATGCATTAAAAAGGATTTTTGATATGTGCTAGTTTTATGTTTGTATGACAGTCATGATGTTACCTTCTTTTAGAAAATAACATTTAACAGTTTAACAATACCTTAATACCATCTTAAATAGTGCTAATAGGTTACTGTATGTACACAAAAGTATATTGAGAATGAACTACATGAAGAGTACTGTGCTATGCCTGAACATAATGAACAACAATATAGTGATGGAGTCTGGTATATAAACCAATGGCAGGAACTGAATATCTTTATCACACTTCTTACTAGAATTTAGGCCAGATGTGGTGGCTCATGCCTGTAACCCCAGCACTGTGGGGGGGCTAAGGTGGGAGGATGGGAGGATCACTTGAGCCCAGGAGTTTGAGACCAGCCTGGGCAACAAAGTAAGATCCTGTCTCTACAAAAAATCAAAATACAAAAAATAAAAAAATTAGCCAGGCATGGTGCACACGCCTGTGGTTCCAGCTAACAAGAGGCTGAGGCAGGAGGATTGCTTGAGCCCTGGAAGTTGAGGCTACAGTGAGCCATGTTTGTGCCCCTGCACTCCAGCCTGGGAGACAGAGCAAGACACTGTATCAAAAAAAAAAAAGAATCTAGTAAAGCTGCAAAGAGATTAGTAAAAGAATTATGCATACATATTTTGCTTTTCATCATTATTGTTACTTCATACAACCACAAGTTACTAGCACTGCACTGTATCAATGGTACCCCGTGCCAGTTCTCTGGGATTTGCATGTCAGAGAAATATTTTATCTAAACCATCCATGTGAATATTTCAAAATATTCCAGTTTGCGGTTAAATTCATTCTTTTATTTCATTTTTTCTTTTTCCTTTTGTTGTTTTTTGTTCCATTTTTCGTACTTTATAAATGAATAATTACTTAAAATTGGAAAAAGAGATATCTCAAGCATTGAAATTTCAACTCCATACATGTTTCAAGGAGTGCAAAAGGTTATACTTGAGGGGGTACTAAAATTACTTAAGATTTTTTTCAAACGAATGCCAAAAACTGTATCTGCTAATAAGTTTTGCCCAGCTTGGAAACCAAACTCACCCACAAAGTATGAGAATGCCAGATATACGACAATAAATATTTTTGGCATAGTTTCAAAGCTACATAATGCCAGACATAGACATGTAAAAGTAATGGCAAGAACTACAAAGATTATAAAAGAAATAAAGTCACAGTTCGTAATTCATATGATTATGTTCAATAGCAGGCTTAGACGGCTATTCACATAATAAGATCCACATGTAAAAGCATCAGCTTATTTTACTTGGTAAAAGATAACAAATATTAAAATGGCTTTTAAAAGTAAAATTTTGTTGAGAGCTTGTAAATGCATTTTTGCAAGCTCAAGGAGAATAGCTGAAATTGTTTTTTTGTTTCTATTTAGATTTCCAACTTCTGCTTCCCTTTTCGTCACACTCAGAAAAGTTAAGTAAAAAATGAAAGAAAATACAATCTCAAAGATCAAAACAGCTTTTAAATATTGTCACTATAATCTGTGTATTAAAACTGGAGTGTAGGGGGAAACACCATTCCCCCAAAATTAAATAAATTCTGCATTGCATTTAGAGAAAGGATGAGGGAAATACAGCTGTCAGATGTTCAAACCTTGATTTCACTATTGGGCACAGATTATGGTGCTCAAAGCCAAAGTGAATAAAGCCAAAGCAATTCCCTTGTATCCTCCACTGCAAGGTGAGTATATAAAGCTGGTTTTTAAGAGCAGAGATTCTAGCAATATTTTTTGCTCCTAGGAATATTTTATTTTAGACCCAAGAAAATCAAATTAAATAAAGTTTGTGATGGGTTTGATTTTCAAAGATAAAAGAAACACATCTTTGTGTTTTCTGTCTGCTTAATTTATGGATTAGAAGTGGTCAACCATCAGGGTGGGCTAATGAAAAGCAAGACTGAGGGGAAAAGCTAGTGGAAGAAGAATGGAAGAAACTGTAGAATCTGAGATAAACTGTCAGTGCCTCAGGCAAGATAAACCAGAACACCACAGTGCCAAGAACAGCTAGCCTGGGGTTCAGTTCTTAGTCACAAGCAATACAGTGAATTGCGGTTCATTTTTTTAAAAGAAATTTGACTAACATAGAAAACAATAATTCAGTAGGTGAACTGAAAATAATCACATTGTAAGATTTTATATTAAATACAGTGAAATATTTTTGTCCGTACTATAGGTCTATATTGTATTGAATTTTTATTCTGCTGTGAAAATATAACAAAAGCTTTTGTTCCTTTTCAACCCAATGAAAATTTATAATGTAGGATAATTACATTGCATCTCTTATCTATCAGCTGTTATAAAATAAAACAATAATGTTTTGCAAGCACATATTTTTTTCCTTAGTTCAAACTTTGCATGAAATTTTTAAGTAGCCCTCTAGCAAAGCACTGTTTGTGTTGAATACATTTGTAATGCATTCATGGTGATATACACTTTTCTTAGATATTAGTGAAAATTTTTTGTTACAAAAAGACACTTTTCGATTGAGTTCTGTCCCTATTTACACATGGATCCTTTTAATGGATGTTGAGAGTCTTGATTTAGAACTTTTAATAGGCTCGTTTACATTTTGCAAATCTCTACCTTTGAAATAAAAAAAAAAAAAAAAAATGCAGTGATCCACCCATCTGCAGACAATTAAGACCAGCAGCCAAGTATAAAAGGGTGGAGAACTTTTAATGGGTGTTTATAGATTGGAAGCACCGACCCCCTTTTGAATGGAAGAGGCCTAAGAAGAAATAGTAAGTGTTAAGGATAACCATGAAATTCATTTAACCCCCCAAGCAGAAGATCTGTTATCAAAGAATTTGCAGGATTCTACACCTTCCAACTTAAGGTTCTCAGCTTAAAGTACTTTAAAAAGAAATATCTTATTAGAAGTGTTTTGATTATAATTTCTTAGCTGCTTGAAGGTCAAAACGCAAGCCAGCAGGAAGACCAATAGTAAGGTATGTGATATAAAAACAAATATTTCCATAAAATCTTTGCCCTAGCAAAAAGAGAAATTCTTAGTAGGTTCAAGGTGGGAATTTAGGGAATAGTATTTTTTTACAGGAAATACTGGTTAGGCGTTTTATATAGGGGGTTCTGCGTTTGTGAAGGGATAATTTGCTCTAAAATATGTGGGCAACCAGCCTAAATTCTCTAATTGAGTAGTTTGCTCATAACCCGAGGCCATTAGGTGAATGTAAACTGTTACAGGCTTAGTAAGAAAATAGTCCCATTAGGATTTTTTCTATTTGTATGTGGTTGCAGGTTAAAGTAACTGTTTCCAAAATCATGGATTAATGAAAAGCTCTTTTTTTCTGAGTTTGCAAATACCAGCTTTGAAATGCTCAAACTCAAATTAAGCCAAGGGTTCTTTTTTTTTTAACAGTTAAAAAATCTTTTACAAGATCAAGTCTCAACTATAAGTTCCATTGTAAGTTATCTAAAAATAAAAATTAGAGATGTTTAATTAAATGGTTGTTAATAATAAATGAAAAACAGCCATATGTTCTTTGAATCTGTCATTCAGGTATTTTGCTCATGTCCTAAAATGTCCAGTACTGGCAAATGCCAAAAACTTCGATGCACAGAAAATGAGTATGACTTCTAGAAAATAAAAACTCATGCAGAAATTCAAGAAATGTTGTGTCCATGTATTTCATTCGGTAATGCTCAGATGCCACACGTGCTGCATGTATGCTCGTATATCTGTAAAGGAGAAGACAACTTTATGTGCTGCTGCTTGAATTAAATTCTGAACTTCTCTCTCATAATGGATCTCTTCAGTTAAACAGTCTACTTCCTTTCCTGTTTCCCGATTCCTGTTAACTCATCACATTGTGCTTCTTACTAAGTATGGCATACTTGCATAGCCCAGAGCAGGACAAGGGAGGAATGCAAAATAGACTGCATAATATTTCTTAAAATCAGTAGTGACTGTATATGCAGAAGAAATTCAGTCAAGGAGGAAAAATCTGACCAAATATGTCAGGTAAATTTAATAGACATACTCAAAATTAAAGTAATTCATGTGTCTTTGTCATGTCTCTATTTCTCCTTTGAAATTGGCTCCAGCACTAGTAAGGTGTGGATGCTAGTATTACATCAAATCTTATTTTAAAAATTGAATTACACAAAAACTTTAGCAACTTAATTTTTTAAATATACACTTAGAGCTGAACACGAATCTCTCTCTCACCTGAGAGTGCTAGGTGTTTTCTTCAGCTGTTTAACTTTTTACTCTGTGACGTTTTCTTTTTTCATTTTAAAATGTCTCATTTCAAAACGTTATAAGATTACAGAAATACCCTAAGTAAATATTTGTCCAACAACTTAGCTGAAAAATAAATCAGAATAATATGTGAGAAACTCCTTAAAAAGAGAAAATTTTTTTTAAAATGTTAAAGCAGAATTGTTCTGAAATGACTTACAAGAACTGGGGAGAGAAACTTATATACACATTGGAGTACATGAAGAGAGAAGGGATTTTCAAAGAGGCTTGCTCTACAATGAAAGTATGTCTAAATTCCACACCTTGAAAGAAGGTAGAAAAGATTTCCAGAACAGCCTGATAATTTTTAATAGCTTTTTAAAAACTTTCTAAAAGATAATCATAAAGATAATTTATTTACTATCTTCTTTCAATTGAGATTGAAGATGGAATTCTTGAATCATAAATTTTGGAAGAATTGAAAGATGAGATTTGCTAAAAGAACTGATGATAAAGGAAATATAAATTGATTCTGGTAGAAACCAAATGGAGAAAAAGAATTTGTCATCAAAATTGTTCCCTTAATTCCTTATTTTCAAAACTAATAAAATAACACTATAAAGAGGAAAGGTAGAGATTCATTAGATTCTTTCACGTACCACCTTACCAATATTTGTAATATCAGATATAACTAGGAATTGTATTACAAGAAAAATGAAAATGGATGTTTCTATAGAGAATAATTATGCTTGAAATGACCAAAGACACAATAAAATTATAATGATAAAAGTTTTTAAATCCATTCATGTAAACATACCATTAGAAACTATCTGCATATAATGAGGCTTCAAAAGGATCCTAGATGGTTTCTCAGAAGGTTTACAGGTGAAATTTTAAAAGAATAAAGGTCCCATCCCTCTTATATTCCATCTTGCATGTACAGTAACTTTAATAAATTTTTTTAGATGAATGAGAAAGAAGAAAAGCAAACTGGTCATGATACAATATCTATCTTGTGAGAAATAAAATATTACAAGTCTAAATATTTGTTCTTACTAAAATATGACTTAAAATAGGTTTTCCTGGTAGATAACTGTTGAAGTTAGGTGAAAGTGTTTCATTATAGCATTCTGTTTTGTATATGTTTAAAATTTTCCATGATAAAAAGTTTAAATGATAAAAAAGCAGATTCCTCAAGATTTGGAGGTAGATAAATTGGCATTTGCAAAGTTTGTTTCTATTTAGGAATAAAAACTTGGAGAATCATTGCGGAATTTCTTCTCTGGGAAGGATTTACTGGGGGAAGGGATACTAAAGTGGCATCTGCTCTGTCTAGTGATAATAAAATAAGAAGGTACAATGAGGCAGAAAGGGAAGCCAGAAGGGAGGGGCAGGATAGCAGTTTTAAGCATGGTGGCTATTTTAATAGTACAAGACTTTGTTCTTCTGATGCTTCACCACCTCATTAACCTGTGTGTCATTCTGAAGTATTTTGCCATGCTCTGATGATTAGAGACTTGCTCGCTAACAACACATTTTAAATGCAAGTTCTTCCCTGGAGTCATGGTGAATTAATTTTCAATTAGTTTTCATTAATGAACTTCATTTTTATGGTCCTAATTGCTATCCCAGCTTCAGGAAACTAAGCAAGTACTTTGGTGGGGTGTGGGGTGGGAGGCCACTCTAAGAGCCAAGAATATTCTGGGCCGTTTTCAGAAGACTTTATACTTCAGTCATCCTCCAAAAACTACATCTGAATTATAAATCAAACACCCACCAATAGAACCCATGCATCTTTTCTGTGGTCTTGAGAAGTATGTTATTGCTAGCTTCATCTGGAGTTTATCTTGCGTCCCAAAATCAGGATCAGGGAGGGAAAGTCAGATTTAAGCAGAGAAAAAGAGCTACTGGAAGTTCTAGGGAAATTGTCTAAGGTAAGGAATCATTTTCTCTTCCAGAAAAAAAGGAGACCAAGGATGTCTATGATGATCTTATTATCATAATTATGTCCATATTTTCAATGAGCAAATAAAATTCCTGCAACCAGGTCACTTCGTCTTCTTTCTTCAGTGAAAAGAATGAATACCAACCTATTCAGAATCTTCTTTCCTCTATAGAGAAATTCATCACCACTTCCTTTTGTAAGCTTCAGTGTTAAAATCAGAATAGGCTATATCTGTACTTTAGGAAATATTGAGTAATCATTATATCTTGTTTAAAATAATTACCTTCAGTTGTTAATATTTTTTAAATCTGTCTGCCATGTGGAAATTCTATCCTGAATTGTTTCTATCTAGTACTAATGCCAAATTTCTTCCCACTTGGAAAATGTAAAAAAAAAAAATTATGTTTTAGAGATGGGGATCTCACTATATTGCCCAGGCTGACCTTGAACTCGTGAGCTTAAGCAATCCTCTGGCCTCAGCCTCTTGAGTAGCTGGGACTACAGGCATGCACCACCACACTTGGCTTACTTGGATAATTCTCAGTCATTGTAAATTAATAGTAGAAGATGTTTTACAAGCATAATACATATAAATAATAAAAGAATAAGAGATATATAAGCTTGTACCTGATAGAGTTCTGCTCCCATTTCTACGGTTTGGGCAAGTCATCCACTCTTTCTTTTCTTTTAGACAGGGTCTTGCCCTGTTGTCCAGGCTGGAGTGTAGTGGCACAATCTCAGCTCACTGCAGCCTCCACCTCCCAGGCTCAAGTGATCCTCCCACCTTGGCCTCCCAAGTAGCTGGGACTACAGGGGCAAGCTACCATGCTTGGCTAATTTTTGTACTTTTAGTAGAGACAGAGTTTTGCCATGTTGGTCAGGCTGGTCTCTAACTCCTGGGTTCAAGTGATCCACCCGCCTTGGCTTCCCAAAGTGCTGGAATTACAGGCGTGAGCCACCACACCTGGCCTCACTCATTCTTTCAATGACTTAGTTTCCTCTCAAATAAAAAAAGTTTAGCCTGGATTTTTCAGAGTCAAATAAAGATTCAAAAATAGTTTGTAAATAATCACAAATAAGTCTAATACATAAAGACAAACTGCATAGTAAAATCAGTGTTCTTATGTTGCTAATGAAGGACTAACAGCCTGAGTAACACACCCACAAACCAACACTCTAACAACGCAAGGAGCCACTGTGATGCTCTGTGCCACAGGACAAAGACAATAAGATGTCTGTACTCTTCATTTCCAGTCTAAAAACAAATCTGACGCTCATGAAAAAACTTATCACCCACAGCCTGAGACTTTATCTTTGTAAAATTTAATAAATATTTTTATTTCTTATTATTTTCTTCATGAAAAACTGAGTTTGTTGATAGCTTAATTCTTTTGTTTTTTTTTCTCTCGAGGAGGGACACATTTTAAAGCATATCATGGTTTTAGAATTTTAAAAAGTATTTTATCTTGTTACTTTGACTTAAAAATATGTTATTTTTTAATTAGTTGTGCTAATGCTTCCCTTTGCACAGAAATGATCATTTCAATATTCTTTCAGTTAACATTAATAGAGTGCTGATTTCCTCATAATACTGAAATCTTCAGGATCATATCTAAACAAAACAAAACTTGAAGATGGGGTCCTGCTCTGGAGGGATTATAAAATAGTTGAGATGACAAAAAAGAATACATGAAACTACAGAGCAGTGACAAAGCAACAGATGAATAAGTAGAAAATAAAGCAGCAGAAAATGTAAATGGAAGTGTCCGGGGCATGTAGAATACAGTAAATTATGATGGACATAAACCTTAGCTAGTGTTTTACTGTCTTCACTTACTTCCTCCTGCAGAAGCAGTTTCTCTACATTGCTGATCACTTTATTGTGAAAACAAACTCAGATTTTAATTCTTCTCAAATGAGAAGTATCTTATAGACAGAAGCATTTCTTGGCATTCCATTCCCCCCCACCCCCACGGAAAGACATAAAGATGAAATTGGGGGCCAGGCCCAGTGGCTCACAACTGTAATCCCAGCACTTTGGGAGGCCAGGTGGGCAGATCACTTGAGGTCAAGAGTTCCAGGCCAGCCTGGGCAACATAGCACAAACCCCGTCTCTACTAAAAATACAAAAATTAGCCAGGTGTGGTGTCGCACACCTGTAATCCCAGCTAATCCAGAGGCTGAGGCAGGAGAATCACTTGAACCCGGGAGGTGGAGGTTGCAGTGAGTCAAGATGGCACCACTGCACTCCAGCCTGGGTGACAGAGTGAAACCCTGTCTCCAAAAAAAAAAAAAAAAAAGATATAAAGACAATGGCTCCCACAAAATTCAGCAAGAAACTACAAATAAGAAATACTTTATTATGTAAGTCATTTTAAAAGATCTGGAATATCACTGTATTGTTTAGGTACAGATTACAGTCCAATCTATAAAAATATAAAAAGAACTATAGATAATAAAACTATAAAAATATAAAAAGAGGCCAGGTGCAGTGGCTCACACCTGTAATCCCAGCACTTTGGGAGGCTGAGGCAGGTGGGTCACCTGAGGTCAGGAGTTCAAGAACAGCCTGACCAACATGGTGAAACCCCGTCTCAACTAAAAATACAAAAATTAGCCAGCCATGGTGGCAGGCGCCTGTAATCCCAGCTACTCGGGAGGCTGAGGCAGGAGAATCGCTTGAACCCGGGAGGCAGAGGCTTCAGTGAGCCGAGATCAAGCCACTGCACTCCAGCCTAGGTGACAGGGAGACTCCATCTCAAAAAATAAATAAATAAATAAATAAATAAATAAATAAATAAATAAAATAAAAAGAACTGTAGATAATAAAACTGAATTAATAATGAGCAGGAACAACACTAACCTTCAGAAGTGATCTATTAGGTAATGCAATGAGTTAAGGGTGCTATGTCAAAGCCTTTAGAGGTGCTTAATCTGTAATAAACTATTGTATTTTTAACAAAATATTGTCTGACTAATCAATTATAAAAGTAAGATCCGCAGTCTGACAATGGCATGGTAAAAAGAGGTCAGATTTTCGAGTCAGACAGGCCTGAATCAATCCCACTTCTGACATTTATGAACAGGTCCTTTGGCAAGTTTCTTCACTTCTCTGAGTCTCAGTTTTCTTACCAGTAAAATACAAATAATAATAATACCTACATTATAAGGATTTTTGTGAGGATTGAATGACATGACTCATGTAAAATGTTTTGCACATGGTAAGCATTAAATAAAAATAAACCATTGCTATGATATACTCGGCTAAACATTCAGACCCAAACAAGACTCTCTAAGGAGGATGAGGGAAGTTATCTTACAGAATCATCTCATCAGTGAAGTCAATAAAATATTTTCATTAAAAACCACTAATAAATTTGAAGACATAGCCAAATAAGAATTATATGACTGCCACCTCAAAAAACTGAGATGTCACCAGTTTACAATTCTCAACTTCTGGCACAAAAATCAAGTAGTTAATATCATTCTGCCTTTATAATTCCACTGAAACACAGGATAATTGGTTCTATATTTTGCTTTAACTATCCTGAGTTAAAATAAACAATAAGATACATGTCCAGTGTTTTCTCATGAATAAAGCATAAGTGGATATATGTGGTTTTATTAGGTTGGATGGGAAAATAAACTTCCCTGCAGCCATGCACCTGTTTTCTACACATTCCAATATGGGAAATGTCAACTTCTTTAAGAGGAGCACTGTGAAACTGGCCCCTAAGTACATTTTCTTAAGCCCCACATAATAAGGATTTTCCTAACATGTTATGTTGTCTTCCCAAAACATTAAGGAATGTGTTTCAGGATTCCCTAACCTTGATCATAATGTTCTTATAAGATGGGTGATTTGTTATATTTATAACAAACAGTCAAGTTATAGTAGCTGAAAGTCAAATAGCATTACCAGAAAAAGGCAATGAGAGATAATTGGGTAATATTATAATTCTGACTCTTCAAGATACATGTTAAAATAAGGCATCTTACCGTATGTGGTAAAACTAACAGAATATTATTGCCCCCATTCTAGCCTAGTAAGATGTTAGTTATTTTCTTTTTTGGAACAGTAATACATGTACACAGTTTCAAAAATTGAAAAGTTTAAAAGGATATATGCCCCTCACTGATCTTCCAAGTAAACTTGGTTTTTAACACTGAAGCACTATTCAGTCATGCATCTTATAAATGTAATCTCACATTGATTTACCTGATACCAAGACAGATAGATAGACTAGATAATTGGATAGAGACACAGAAACTTTTACTTCTGATTTTATATATATAGTATTAGTTAATAACATATTAAATAAGAAGTAAATTAACAAATATCACGTTACCAAGATTTTTAGTTCTGAAGAAAATATCTAACACAAGGAGTGTCTACTGTACTACAAAAGACCATCAAGAGAAGCCTGAAAACTGTATCACTGAAAGTACCACATACATGGAGTCAAAAGGAGAACTGAAGCAAATACATAAGCTGCTGTCTAACCAGACCCAAATAACAGAATTTTTGTAGTCATAGACAAGGATAATTTATGTTCCTATTGCTAGTCCTAAGACCCTGCAAACTGAAAGTGCCCTCTGAACCACAAAGCAGTCCAACTGTTTGATTTAGTCTTAATATTAAAGTCATCTTGTTACAACCTATTTCCTTGAAATTTATGATCCAGATCTAAAAGTTTCTTATGTGTGACAATTTTTTCATTACCCAGAATGTTAAAGCAATCATAATATTTCATTATCCTTAATTATTTAGAAAGAGGGGTTTCCTTTAAGTTTAAAATGAAAATAAGAGGGACTATAGGAAAATGAAAGACAATCTTTGCCCGTATGGCTTTATAAGGAAGACTTCTGTTTGTCCTCATTGTTGAGTGAATTAGTATTAATATTGGCTTAATGTGGACTAAACAATTTTATCATTTTTTCAATTTTTCTAATAAACAAATTATATATAATCAAGCATTTAGACATTTAATTGATTTTGATTCCATGAACATAGTATCTTAAATGCATATAAATGTATTTCAAATGATTAAAGGGTAGTTATTTAGTTATTTCATATAAGGGAAAATACTCTTTAGTAAATACAAGTAACTATGCGAAGATATGATAAATGTATACTGAACATTTATGGTACTCAGTTTTATGAGTTAACAACTTCATACTAATTTTACTAATTTCTTCAGAGCTACTGCTCTCTATTTTTACATTTACTTATTTAAATAAATGATATATTGTATATGGTTTGAATAGCCACCTTAAAACCTCTCTCCCTAAATGTAATTTAGAACATAAATTATTACATAGAAAACTACTTTTAGAAATTCCAATTGATAATTGTAAAAATATTTTAAGGATGCTTTGCTTTGAGTTTTAAAAATATTTCAAGCATATTAAATTGTTCTATTAACTATTAATTTATTTATATTTATATGCAACAACATTAGAATATTTTTGTTTTGACAGAAACCAAAGGAAGCAAAAAAAAATGCACAATTAAACCAAAAAGATACTGTGTCATTCATACTCAAACACCACAGGACATGTTAAGAGAGCCATTAAAATAGCATTCTATTGTGCTATTATGACACATAGTAAGTTTCCAAAATTAACAGAGAGGGTATTTTGCTGCCTGTTGGCATGTATCACAGTCTTAATATGGTTTTTTTAAGGGTGGGAGAAGAGTTAAAAATATCTTATGTGTTTTGATAAGTACTTTTTTTTTTTGAGACAGGGTCTTGCTCTGTTGCCCAAGCTGGAGTGCAGTGGTGTGATCATGGCTCACTGCAGCCTCAACCTCCCCAGACTCAGCTGATCCTCCCACCTCAGCCTCCTGAGTTGCTGGGACTACAGGAATGCCCCATCACACTTGACTAATTTTTTTTTTTTTTTGGTAGAGATGGGGTCTCCTTATGTTGCCTAAGCTGGTCTCAAATTCCTGAGGTCAAGTAATTCTCCCACTTTGGCCTCCCAAAGTGCTGGGATTACAGGCATGAGCCACTATGCCTGGCCCTGATAAGTACTTTTGAGAGTTTATTAGGCATTAATCACTTTTAGATATGTTGTTTTCGGTGAGAAAACACTCAGCCATCACATTTCCTCTGTTTTCTTTAGAGTTCTTTTCTCTATGTCTATCCCAGCCACCTTCCAGGGCTGCTTCTCTGTTCTCTTCCTCTTGGCCCAACTGCATTTAAAAAGGATATTTGAAAAACGAATTGGTGAAGGTATAAACTTGTTCAGTTATGTTACCTGTTCATGCCTGACCTTATAGGTTGGGCACTCCCCTTGGCCTTTCACACGTGCAGTGGCATCTCCAATTTTGTTCAAGATTCACAAGGTTAGCTCTGTCTCTGCACACCCTTGACACTCACAATGTAACTAGAGTCACTCTCAGTTAGCTTCAGCTTTCTGAAATATTCAGTTTATGCCCTAGAATGTGCTCACTATATAAATAACATTTCAATATGATTCCAAAATATGGAATGTATTTCTAAACCATAAGGAAGAACATAGAATTTCATCTCAAACTCCACATAGCTAGGTCACTATGTGGCACTGTTTTCAAGACGAAATGAAGGTTTCAGAGTAATATGAACTCAGCCTCACTGCCCAGGCATACGCTTTCCAAATATTAATTAGGATACCATCTGTGGTTCAATAAACCTTACTGGGGCCTCCTCCTTCAAACCTCCAACCACTGCCATTTGAGTATGAAGCATCCATTGGCCATTTGTTTCACCAGGTGTTAAATTTCTCTTTGAGCATGTTATATTTAGATTTCTGAGTAAGATGACAGTAATATTTAGTTCAATGCCCCTCATTTACCCCCATAGAGGTCAAAGGGCAGGACATATTTTGAGGCCAATTACTCTGTCTCTTTGGTTTAGAAGGACATTAGTTATGCACTCTTCAAAACACAAAAGGTAAAGTAGTTTTCCTGCATCCAAAATTACCGACAGCACATAGTAAGAGATTCCAGCCCCACTGAGTTACTTTTTCACATGGTGTGACATGACAAAGCACAGACACAAATTCCCCGGACAAAAGATAGCTGGAGTGTTGATAGTTGTCTTTAGCTGACTTTTTCTTCCTGGAGCCAGAGGGGGGACTTAGACATAGCATGCGTAAGAAGACTGGCACTGGATTTAGACAGTCTGGGTTCAAAATTCACACATTGCTAGCTGGTGACTTGGGGAAAGTTAATTTAAGCTCGACTTTCTCTCCTCTATCAATTAGAGTTAATAACAGCATCTGCTTCATAAGCCTTAAATGAGATAATGCATGCAAAGTGCCCAGTGTGTGGTTAGCATTTAGTAAATGTTCGTTGTTATTATTATTTTATTCTTTCATTCAACAAGCATTAAACGCCTACTACAAAGCATCTTACGGATGAAGAAACTGAGGCACAGAAATGTTGGACAGGTATCCAAAATAGGACTGGAACACAGATGTCCTAATGTCAATTTATCTCACTAGGGTAAGTTGGTTCTCTTAATGGGTTATTAAAAACTCACCTTAGTTTTGAGAAACAGCCAGGAACTTCTCAATAAATGAACTAAACAGCCAGTTTTTTGCCTTGGTTTTATGAAGGGTGTAATGGTTTCAAACATATCTGCAATGAGAAACATATTGCAAACATGTCTTCCATGAGCAAAGCAAAATAAGACTGAGATGTAAATGTGACCCACCAAAAGAAAGGCCAGCAAATACTTAAGCCACCCAGAAAATCCATCTCACTGCTTTACCTGTGTCTTGCTCAATCTAAAAAAAAAAAAAAAAAAAGCCTGCTGTCAAGTAGGGCCTGAGACTTTTATTTCTTTAATTGTATATATTGTCTTTATGTCTTCATATAATGGGATTTATATAAATTTCAATCAATACTAAGGACAAAAAAATGAGTGATGATCAGGAGGAGAAAGGGTCCCTGTGGATTGATTATTTTCTCTAATGAGTGGTTATACCCGAAGACTGACTAACAGAGAAGCTATACTAAACAGATTAGCCCACATTCACCATGCCAAAGCTAATAATGGATTCCCTGTGGAACAAATATCGTATCACTCAGATCTTTATACATCACTACTACTGAATTGAAAATTTCAGTCTCTGTAAACACAAAATAATATAAGAACACATAAAAGACTATAAGATGATGTCAAAGTAAATATAAATTTCTTCACTTTTTTTTTTTTTTTTTGAAACAGAGTCTTACTCTATTGCCCAGGCTGGAGTTCAGTGGTGCGATCTTGGCTCACTGCAACCAACATCTCCCAGGTTCAAGCGATTCTCCTGCCTCAGGCCTCCAAGTTGCCGGGAATACAGGCATACGTCACCACACCCAGCTAATTTTGTATTTTTAGTACAGATGGGGTTTCACCATGTTGGCCAGGCTGGTCCTGAACTCCTGACCTCGGGTGATCCACCTGCCTTGGCCTCCCAAAGTGCTGGGATTATGGGTGTGAGCCATTGTGCCTGGCCTTTTTCACATATTTCAGTTGAAATCTAAACATATGATAATATGGTTGTTTCTGTACAATAGCACAAAAATATGCTTTTATGAAAAAGTGACAAAATCAGTAATTAGTGGTCACAAAAACACTTCATTGTTTATTCACGACCAATCAAAAAATGAGACTTTTTCCCACTGAAAGAATAGAAAGTAATCACAGTACAGATATTCAAATAATTTGATGAAATTTAATTGATGCTCTATAAGTGGAATTACCAAACACCTTTGACCAGAATGCTGAGATTTGGTGGGAGGGAGTAAATCTACATTTGATGATGTACATATTTCAGAATGTTGAAACTTGATTTTTCCTAAACTGCTTTATTTGAAAACTACCAAAAATTAATATGAAAATAAAATTTAAAACAGCAGGAGTCAAAATGCGTATTTTGAATGACAGCAGTTCCACTGGCTTATAATCATTTCTTTAGCCCAGATAAAAACCTCTTTATAGCCTTGGTTCCAAGATTGTGCATTTCTGATGCAGTTTATTATAAGAAAAGTAAGACAGTCCTGGTCTATGTAAGTGCATTTAAAATTTACACTGCTAAGAAACATAACCTTGATAACAAAAGCGAGTGGGAATGAATATTATTACAAGTGACAAGATTTTTGAATGCAGAACTGGCATTTGACAGTGTCATTTGCAATAACTGAATTTTTTAATCTATGTAATTCCTGAAGTATCTTTCTGTTGCGCATAATATTTAGTTTTTGGTCACGTTGCAATATAGCTTTGTGCTTAGTATATTCACTTTTATATTCTTCCTCCCCTGGTACCATGCCAGTTTTGAAGCTGATCAAATAAGATTTTTCATTATTGAAGAGGAGTTGACACTAATTTTTTCATTCATTTCACACACAAAATTTTTTTCTGTTTCGAAGAAAAAAGTCTCACTGGGCAGCAGCCCAGGCGGGAGTACAATGGTGCAGTTATGTCTCACTGCAGCCTCAACCTTCCTAGGCTCAGGTGATCCTCCCACCCCTCCCTCACAAGTAGCTGGGACCACAGGCATGCACCACCATGCCTGGCTAATTTTTTTTTTTTTTTTTTTTTTTTTTTTGAAGAGACTGAGTTTCACCATGTTGCCCAGGCTGGTCTTGAACTCCTGGACTCCAGCAATCCACCCACCTAGACTTCCCAAAGTGCTGGAATTACAGGCATGAGCACCGCACCCAGCCCATTTTTTTAGAGTGTCCTTTATGTACCAGTTAGGGATCTGTGCTGAGAAGAAGTCATGGTCCCCTCTGTCATGTAGCTTAGCGTCTAGTGAAGGAACCAGACTTTTAACGAATAATCAAATAAGTGCATACAAGTAGTCCTCTTGATCCCTGGTTTCACTTTCCACAGTTTCTGTTACTCATGGTAAAACGTGGTCTGAAAATAGATGAGTACAGTATAATAAAATATTTCGAGAGAGAGAAAAAAACAGATTCACATAACTTTTATTACAGTATATGGTTATAACTGCTCTATTTTATTGTTAATTATTGTTAATCTCTTCCTGTGCCTAATTTATAAGTTAAGCTTTATCACACGTATGCATGTATAGGAAAAAACAGTATATATAGGGTTCAGTACTATCCCCCGGTTCAGGCATCCACTGAAGGTCTTGGAAAACATCCCCCCTGGATAAGGGGAAACTACCGTAGTTTAAAGGCAGTAAGTATTATGAAGGAAGACCATAGGGTGCCATGAGCTAGAACATGACTCAGTTTGGGAGATCAGGGAAATCCATTCTGCAGATGTGATCTCTAAGGTGAGAACTAAAGAAAGAATGAGTTGACTAGGCACGCAAGTGGATCAACAGAGTAGACTTTGGGATTGCTTCCCTCCCTACCCCTCACCACAGACTTCCCTTACATAGGTGGGTTTGAGCTGGTATAGACCTGCCCTCACCTCAAGCATTGGGCCCTGATTGGTCCAATTTAATCTCCTTGCCATGGTGATTGGTTCAAAGAGGGACTGGCCAAAACCAATCAGCACATGACAGTCTTCACAAGTCACAGTAATTGGCTCTTGGGGGGGAAGGAGGGGAGTGTGACCCAAATTTGGATAATCAAAATGAAACTCAGGACTTTCGTCTGAAGATGGGGGAAAAGTTGCCTCCCCTTCTTGAATGTGAACAAAGACATGTAGTCCAGGAGCCAGCAGCAGCTCTCTCTCTACCACAAGAAAGGCCAGCTTGAAAGTAAAGCTAGCAGGGAGGAGAGGATAGAATCAGGATCACCACAGTGAACCAGAACCCTGATGGCATTATGAACAGAAGCCTGAACCACCCCTGATCTTTCCAGCTTGCTTTTCTGTTAATAGCAACCAAAAGTATTTTAACTGTTACTGGCAAAGGGGATTCTAGGCAGAGGAAATGTTATGTGAAACATTATGTGAAAACCCCAGAGCAGGAAAGAATATAACACAATGCTGGATATCACTCACTTATCCTCCATATGAATTCACTCCTTTGATCCTCTAAGAACACTGTGCTCCGTGCTGTTCTCTCTGCCTCTGGTATTTTTTTCTACCTCCTACCTGCCTATCAAATCTTACTCATCCTTCAAAATCCTATTTAAGTACTTCCTCCTTTTCTACAAGCCCTTCCCCAATCACTTTTACCCACTTCTCCTTACTGACTCTAGCCAATTTTTTTCCAATTTCAATTTCAGCATCTGCTGTATGCTGACTCGACATGCCTCCTACCTGTTCTGCAATGCACGTCAGCACTCCCATGCCTTTGCCCAGCACATTTTCTCAGCCTGGAATGAACTTCCTCCTAGGGCATCTATTGACAGACCCTTCAAACATCTATAATGCTACCTCTCCTAGAAAGCCTTTGCTAATCCCCCAGTAGGATGTGAACATTATCTATTTCTCCACTAGATTTGTCCTTTATTGAGGACAGGAACCATTTTTTATTCAACTTAAGTTCCCACAGCATTACTACAACAGAGTAGATATTAGAGACAAATGTTTACTGAACAAATAAGTCGTTGAATTGTTAGACGAATAAACAGATTCCTCTAAATAGATAGATTAGATAGACATAGAGATATAGATATGTATATACAAACTGAGAATCCCTTATCTAAAGTACTTGGGAACAGAAGTGTTTTGGATTTCAATTTTTGTGGGGGGCTTGGCATATTTGCATATACATAAAGAGATATCTTGGGGATAGGACCCAAGTCTAAACACAAAATGTATTTATGTTTCATATGAACCCCATACACATAGCATGAAGGTAATTTTATTTTTCCCTTGGGGACCCGGAATAAATTGTGTGTTGTGTGCCTGTGTTTTGACTGCAACCCATCAGACAAGGTCAGATGTAGAATTTTCCTCTTGTGGTGCCATGTTGGTGCTGACAAAGTGTCAGGTTTTGGAGTATTTTGGATTTCAGATTTTCAGATTAGGAACACTCAACTTTCATATAGTTAAGTTTTATGGAAAAGGATCCATGTCTACTTTTTAAAATCCATAGTAAATAGCAGCATACAGAAGTATGTTGTAGGAATTAAATATAAGTATATATTGAATGAAAAAATACATATGAGATGCTAGAATTTACAATAATCAGAAGAATGAGGACTTAAGCAAATGTGTTTGATGTTTTTCTGGTTTTTTCTTTTAACTTGGAAGCTATAGAATGTCATTCAGCAACTTTTTATTTAATGCCTAAGGCACTCATTGCTTGTGACACCAATCATCAGAGCCATTACTAAAGTCACTGATGTACAAGAATATGCAGCTAATAGAGACCAGAAATGTTGTTCATATGGTTAAGCACTAAATATTGGTGAATTGCACTTGAGAGCAAATAGCTTCAGCTATAAATATGGGACTAAAAGAACGAAAGACCAATGTTTACTTCCTTCTATGAAATGCTCTTTTGAAATGGCAAATAGACTTTTGTAATGAGAATATCATTCAGCGGATCAAACTGGAAACCTAACTACTTTATCGTTTTTCTTTAAAGTCAGCAGCTTCAGCTTTTTAAGTTACATTAAGATTTTTGGTGCCATTCATACAAAGTTAGTGGGAATATGCTTGGTTAAGACTTTTTGAAGGACAGTTTGATATTATCTATCAAAATGTAAAATATATATAACCCATTAAGTCCACTTCTAGTAACCCATCCAAAATAAAAACTAGAGCACAAGGAAATATGTACAAAAAATGTTTGGTACAATATTATTATTGGTTGAAGACAACCTAAATAGCCATTAGTATGGGAATGGTTATATAAGCTGAATTATTTTGAGACTGTACAATACTATACCTCTGCTGAAAAGAATGAAGTGCATCTATATGTATTGGTATGAAAGAATGTCAATAATAAATTCTTGCAGAAGCTGCGTGGTGAGTACTTAGTTTTCTCTCTACTTTTTTGAAAGTTTGAAAATTTCTATAATGAAAAAGGTTTTTTAAATATCATCTAGAGCTCCACTTCTACTTAGGATCTAGAAAGCTTCAAGATAACATTGCTCCGATCCTAATAACAAGAAAAAAATGGATAACCTACAAAATCATAATTTTTCTTTAACCCATTAGAGATCCTGAGGATACAAAGCAACTATATGAACTAAATTCCAAAGACTGACAAACTTCTTCAAGGAAAAAAAGGAACACTTAAATTTTGCCTTTGTCACAGCACAGAAGGAAGAGGTAACTACCATTTAAGGTAGGTTTAAAAAAAAGGAGCAAAATTTTTAACAAATTCCTAAAGACTAGATGTGGGCTAGTGTATCAATTTATAATAAATGGGAACCCTGGGCCTCTACAAGGAACTTTGCGTTTATTCCCAAGCTCTTATGCACCCAGGGACCACAAAATAGACTGGGGGGAGAAGTTGGAGAGAGGGCAGAGCCCCCTTTGGAGACTCAGTCATACAGGTAAGATCAGCTGCACTGGGGGAGTGGTATGAAACAGAGCCCACCTCCCCAAAACCTTCTCTCTTAACAACATAAAAGCTGTAAGCAGCTTAAGGGGAGGAGAGCAGTAGCAGAGCTTCTCATACCAAGAATCCAGGCAAAGATCCACTGCTTCTGGCCAGGTGTTGTAGCTCATGCTTATAATCCCAGTACTTTGGGAGGCCAAGGTTGCAGATTGCTTGATCCCAGGGTTTTGAGAGCAGCCTATGCAATATGGCAAAACCCTGTCTCTACAAAAAATACAAAAATTAGCCGGGCATGATGGTACATGCCTGTAGCCCCAGCTACTCGGGAGGCTGAGGTGGGAGTATCACCTGAGCCCGGGGAGGTAAAGGCTTCAGTGAGCTGTGAGCATGCCACTGCACTCCAGCCTGGGGGACAGAGTGACACCCTGTCTCAAAGAAGAAAAGAAAAGAAAAATCAACTACTTCCAGGGAAAGAATAGAAACAAAAGCCCCTCAGCCCTCGGAGAGGTATAAAAACCTCTTGGGCCTGGGATACTGCAGTAATACAAAGCAAGGGTCTGCTCCAAATAGGGAGAAGCTGGAAACTGTCTCCTGCCCAAGACTCAGCACAGGTGTCTGACTTCTTTGAGAGGGGCATCCATCAAGAGGAATACTTAAAAGGCTCCACCCCTCAGGCCCAGGCACACAGGCCCTGCTGAAGACTGCAGATGGACCAGGAAAACCAAGATCTCCCTGGTCCTACAATGAACCTAGCACTAAATTAGTACAAATGGCTGTCTACTAGCAAGGGAGGGACAAGAGCACAGAGGGAACCCTCCCCTCTGTGGCACACATATTCAGGAACAGTTGACCACTGAAGGTGAACCACAAACATGAGCCTAATATCAAACACAAGGAAATAGCCATTCCCTGCCAGAGGCATTTGAATCTGTTGTGCACTGAAGACAGAGATAGCAGCAACATGGCAAAACCAGCTCAATGACTGACTTAATTGACTAATTCTACCACACTAACATGCTGACAACAAGAAGAGGTGCGCTCATCACTGGACTTACATACTCTTCACCTCACTCTCTGCTGTTCTACACATATCTGCCATTAAATCAAAAATTAAATGATATAGTTTGGCTCTGTGTCCCCACCCAAATCTCATCTTGTAGTTTCCATAATTCCCATGTGTTGTGGGAGGGACCCAGTAGGAGATAATTGAATCATGGGGGTGGGTCTTTCCCAGGCTGTTCTTGTGGTAGTGAATAAGTCTCACAAGATCTGATGGTTTTAAAAAAGACAGTTTCCCTGCACAAGCTCTCTTCTCTTGTCTGCTGCCATGTGAGATGTACCTTTCACCTTCTGCCGTGATTGTGAGGCCTCCCCAGCCACCTGAAACTGTAAGTCCATTAAACCCCTTTCTTTGGTAAATTGCCTAGTCTCGGGTATGTGTTTAGCAGCAACATGAAAATGGACCAATACATTAAACAACAAAGAAAGCAAGAAAAAAGACCTACTGTCAAGTGATAAAGCAATAATTAAAATCTAAATTCAGAGATGACCCAGGTATTGGAATTATTAGACTGGTACTTTAAAATAACTATGAATAATATTTTATTTTTTTGAGATGGAGTCTGGCTCTGTCACCCCGGCTGGAGTGCAGTGGAATGATCTTGGCTCACTGCAGCCTCCACCTCCTGGGTTCAAGCAATTCTCCTGCCTTGGCCTCCCTGAGTAGCTGGGACTGCAGGCATGCACCACCATGCCCGGCTAATTTTTTTGTATTTTTAACAGAGACAGGGTTTTACCCAGCAGCTTGGACCAGGAGCTGCTGGTCTCAGGAGCTTGAGACCAGCCAGGCCAACATGGTGAAACCCTGTCTCTACTAAAAAATACAAAAATTAGCCAGGTGTGGTGGCACGTGCCTGTAATCCCAGCTGCTCAAGAGGCTGAGGCATGAGAATTGTTTGAATCCAGGAGGTGGAGGGTGCAGTGAGCCAAGATTGCGCCACTGCACTCCAGCCTGGGTGACAGAGTGAGCCTCCATTTAAAAATAATAATAATAATAATAATAACAATGAAAGAAAACAAGAAAACAAACCACACATCCAAAAAACTCTAAGTGCCCCAAAGAGGAAAATAAATCAAATAAATAAGTATCAATGACATGAAAGTCAAACTACTGAAAAGCTAAAATAAAGAGAAAATTTTGAAGGCAGAGGAAAAAAACAATGCAGACAGAAAAACAAAGATGACATATTTCTTACAATATACTTCTCATTGGAAACTACACAAGCCAAAACAATGAAGCAATGTCTTAAAGTACTGAAAGAAAAAATACCTGTCAACCTAGAATTCTATACCCTGCAAAAGATCTTGCAAACCTAAAGATGAAATAGACTTTTGGGGAAAAAAAATGCTGAGAGAATTTTCCAACAGATCTGCACTAAAAGAAATGTTAAAAGAATTTCTATGGGCAGGAGTATGATATTAGATAGAGATCTGCATACATGAAGAAATAAAGAGCTCCAGAAATTATAAAAATAAAGATAATTTTTTAAAATTTACTTTTTTTCTTTTGTTTTTTTGAGACAGCATCTCACCCTGTGGCCCAGGCTGGAGTGCAGTGGCACAATCACAGTTCCCTGAGGCTTCAACCTCTCAGGCTCAGATGATCCTCCCACCTCAGCCCCTCAAGAAGCTGGGACTACAGGCGTGTGCCACCACATGCAGCTAATTTTCATATAGATATATATTTTTTGGTAGAGGTAGGGTTTCACCATGTTGCCCAGGCTGGTCTCCAACTCCTGGGCTCAAGCAATCCACCTGCCTCGGCCTCCAAAAGTGCTAGAATTATAGGTGTGAACCCCTGTGCCTGGCCTTAATTTACTTTTAATCACTTTAAAACATAATCGACTGTCTGAGGGAAATACTTCAGATATGTGACTATCTGAAGAAAAAAATAGTACTTTAAGGTTCAAAACATATTTATAAATAAATTGTATGACAACAATAGGACAAGATTGAGATAATTAACATTTAAGAAAGATCCTTCCCAAATGCTATTCTCCCATATATATGATTTCTTGGCTTAATGAAGGCTGCTTGTGTAGAAAAAAGCATGAGCTTTGATGTCTCCCCAGCCTTTAGCTGTGGGACCATGAGTAGAATGTTGAGCATCAGTTTCCTCATCTTTAAAATGAGAGGGAAGGGCCAGGCACGGTGGCTCAAGCCTGTAATCCCAACAATTTGGGAGGCCGAGGCAGGCAGGTCACCTGAGGTCAGGAGTTTGAGACCAGGCTGGCTAACATGGTGAGACCCCCATCTCTACTAAAAATATAAAAAATTAGCTGCGCATGGTGGTGCACACCTGTAATCCCAGCTACTCAAGAGGCTGAGTCAGGAGAAGAGCTTGAACCTAGGAGGCAGACGTTGGTTGCAGTGAGTTGAGATTGCACCACTGCACTCCAGCCTGGGCAACAGAGTGAGACTGTGTCTCAAAAAAAAAAAAAAAAAAAAATCAGAAGGAAGAAAAAAGTAATACCTAGTGTGTGGCTCCCTGTGAGAAACAAATGAGTTCACTATGAAAAACAACTGGCCCTGTGCTTGGTATATGAAGGGCACACAATGCCAATGTTAGGAGTTGTCTCTCCTCACCACCATCACCACTCCCCTCACTGCACTATCCTCATTGCTGCATATTTTGTTCATGGTTTTAGACTCTGTTTGCAGATCTCGTTGATATACCCCACTCTTAGAATAAGACATTTATGCAGCCAGAAACGATATTTTTTGTTCTTTTGCACCTGGGAAACCTGTAAACTCTATTTCTCATCTTCTTGCCTTTCTGTGTCAATGCTCCTTAAGATATTTCTTCAGAACTCCTTTAGCTCCCATAATAACTGTGTGTGTTTACTGATGCTATTATTCAATTCAATCACATTATAATAATTGCTATTAAACTGAAGTTATTTCTCTGTCCCAGTGAATAAATGGCACATGGGAATATTTCTAGGCAACAAATCACTCTGTACTCAGACATTTTTATAACATCCTAATTCTTGATCAAATTCATCATCTTTTTGTACAGTTTCAGAGCTGAAAGAGAAGTTAGAGGATATCTATCCCATTCTAAAAGAGGAGCCACTCAGCCAGTTAATGGCAGAGCCAAGATTGAAACTCAGGGTTCCTGCTTCACCCCATCATTATAAAGTGGACTGGCTAAGTGATTTTTAAAAATCAAGTAATCATCTCTATATCATAGTTAAAGATCTTGAGCTAGACATGGTGGCATGCACCTGTAGTCCCAGCTACTTGGGAGGCCAAGGTGAGAGTATCACTAGAGCTCAGTAGTTCAAGGCTGCAGTGGGCTATGACTGTGCTACTGCACTCCAGCCTGGGAGACAGAGCAAGACTCCATCTCTAAAAAAAGAAAAAAGAAAAAGAAAGAAAAACATAATTAGGCCGAGTGCAGTGGCTCACGCCTGTAATCCCAGCATTTTGGGAGGCTGAGGCAGGTGGATCACCTGAGGTCAGGAGTTCAAGACCAGCCTGACAAACATGTGAAACCCCATCTCTACTAAAAATACAAAAATTTAGCCAGGCATGGTGGTGGGCACCTGTAATCCCAGCTACTCAGAAGGCTGAGGCAGGACAATTGCTTGAACCCAGGAGGCGAAGATTGCAATGAGCCAAGATTGTGCCATTGCACTCCAGGCTGGGCAACAAGAGAAAAACTCTGTCAAAAAAAAAGAAGGAAAGAAAGAAAGAAACGAAGAAAGAAAGAAAGAGAAAGAAGAAAGAAAGAATTAAAGATCTCTAAAATGTGCAAAAATGCCATAGTGAAGACTTTTGTTTTTTTTTTTTGTTTTGTTTTTTTTTTTTTTGAGACCAATTCTTGCTCTGTCACCCAGGCTGCAGCACAGTGGTGCGATCTCCGCTCACTGCAAGCTACGCCTCCCGGGTTCACGCCATTCTCCTGCCTCAGCCTCCCCAGTAGCTGGGACCACAGGCGCCTGCCACCACGCCTGGCTAATTTTTTTGTATTTTTAGTAGAGACGGGGTTTCACCGTGTTAGCCAGGATGGCCTCAATCTCCTGACCTCATGATCCGCCCAACTCGGCCTCCCAAAGTGCTGGGATTACAGGCGTGAGCCACCACGCCTGGCCCATAGTAAAGACTTTTATAGATGAAAATACTTTAAGACCACAGGAGGAAAGAAGCCGTATTAATCCAAAGTTGTAGCAGCATTAATGATTATTGTCACTGCTATTCAAACAATTCAGTTTTTTTCTTTTGTTTTGTTTTGTTTTTTGAGACAAAGTTTCGCTCTCGTTTCCCAGGCTGGAGTGCAATGGCGTGATCTGGGCTCGCCACAACCTCTGCCTCCTGGATTCAAGCAATTCTTCTGCCTCAGCCTTCCGAGTAGCTGGGATTACAGGCAAGTGCCACCATGCCTGGCTAATTTTGTATTTTTAGTAGAGACGGGGTTTCTCCATGTTGGTCAGGCTGGTCTCGAACTCCCAACCTCAGGTGATCCACCCACCTCGGCTTCCCAAATTGCTAGGATTACAGGCGTGAGCCACCGTGCCTGGCTCAATTGACTTTTTAAAGTTAATTTTAATATTGTACTTTGGTAGATTAAAGATGACCACAAATTTTCACTACCATTTTCCTGGAATCTAGGCTGATCTCAGTGACCTGCATGACTTAAAGAACTGGGCAGAAGTGAGGTCCTGGGACTTTTTTTTTGTTAGAGATGGATCTTGCTATGTTGCCCAGGCTGGAGTGCAGTGGCTCTTCATGGATCTGATCATTGCCTCAAACTCCTGGGCTCAAGCAATCCTCCCGCCTCAGTTGAATGAGTATCTAGAACTATAGCCACCTGCCACACTGCACCCAGCCTTGAGATCCTGGGACTTTTGATGCTTAGTCATAAGAAGTCTTGCAGCTTCTATCCAGGTCTCTTGGAATCCTCTCTCTGAACACAACCTAACAACTATAAGGAAAAAAAATTTTAATGGCCCAACACATGAATAAACTTCCACAAATTAGATATACAGATGGCCAGTAAACACATGAAAAGATGCTCAGCATCAGTAATCAGTAGGGAAATGCAAATAAAAACTACAATGAGCTAGGTGAGGTGGCTCACACCTGTAATCCCAGCACTTTGGGAAGCCAAGGAAGGCAGATTACTTGAGCCCAGGAGTTGGAGACAAGCCTGGGCAACATAGCAAAACTCTGTCTCTACAAAAAAAATACAAAAATCAGCCAGGACTGGTGGCACATGTGTGTAGTCCCAGCTACTTGGGGGTCTGAGGCGGGAGGATCACTTAAGCCTGAGAGGTCAAGGCTGCAGTGAGCCGTGATCACACCACTGGGTTCCAGCCTGGGTGACAAAGTAAGACCCTGTCTCAAAAACAAAACAAAACAAAACACCCCAAAACACAATGAGATATCACTTCATACCCATTATGATATTCTGACTGTAATAGAAAATTAAAAATATTGGCAAGGATATGTAGAAATTGAAACATTTGTGGATTGGTGATGGGAACATGAATTGGTTTAGCCAATATGGAAAAAACAGTTTGGTGGTTCCTCAAAAAGTAAACATAGAATCATCATATAATCCAACAATTCCACTTCTAGGTATATACCCAAAGTAATTAAAAACAGAGACTTAGCAGATGTTTGTATAACCATGTTCTTGGCAGCATTATTCACAACAACAAAAAGGTGGAAACACCAAGTGTTCATAAGTGGATGAATGGCTAAACAAAATATGGTATGTATATAAAATGGAATATTGTTTATACATAAAAAGGAATGAAATTCAGATATATGCTACAATAGGGATGAACCTTGAAGACATTATGCTAAGTTGAATCAGCCAGACTCAAAAGGATGAATATTTTAAGATTGCACTTACATAAAATACCTAGAATCTAGAATAGGCAAATTCACAGAGGCAGAAAGTAGATTAGAGGTGATATGGTTTTGCTCTGTAACCCCACCCAAATCTCATTTCGAATTGCAATCTCCATGCATTGAGGGAGGGAGGTGATTGGATCATGGGGGCGGTTTCACCCATGCTGTTCTCGTGGTAGTGAGTGAGTTCGCATGAAATCTGATGGTTTCATTTTTTTTTTTTTTTTTTTTTGAGACAGAGTTTCGCTCCTGTTGCCCAGGCTGGAGTGCAATGGTGTGATCTTGGCTCACTGCAACCTCTGCCTCCTGGGTTCAAGCCATTCTCCTTCCTCAGCCTCCCGAGTAGCTGGGATTACAGCCATGCGCTACCACTCCCAGGTAATTTTGTATTTTTAGTAGAGACAGAGTTTCTCCATGTTGGTCAGGCTGGTCTCCAGCTCCCAACCTCAGGTGATCCGCCCACCTCGACCTCCCAAAGTGCTGAGATTACAGGCGTGAGCCACCGCACCCAGCCAAGATCTGATGGCTTTACAAGTGTTTGACAGTTCCTCCTACACATGCTCTTCTCTCACCAGCTACCATGTAAGATGTGCCTGCTTCTTCTTCCACCATGATTGTAAGTTTTCTGAGGCCTTCTCCACCAGGCAAAACTGTGAGCCAATCAAACCTCTTTTGTTTATAAATTACCCAGTCTCAGATAGTGTCTTTATATCAGTGTGAAAATGGACTAATACAATAGGTTACCAGGGGCTTAGGGGAAGGGAAATAGGAAGTTATTGCTTAATGGTTGCAGGTTTTCTGTGATTAAAAAGGTAAATTTTATGTAACGAATATTTTACCAAACAGTAAACAAAAATACAAGAAAAAGTTTGCAATTTACGTAATTTTTTTTTTTTAAAGAAGTCCTCGGCTGGGCGCGGTGGCTCACGCCTGTAATCCCAGCACTTTGGGAGGCCGAGGCAGGCAGATCACAAGGTCAGGAGATTGAGACTATCCTGGCTAACAGGGTGAAACCCCGTCTCTACTAAATTTTTTTGTACTAAAAGTACAAAAAATTAGCCGGGCGTGGTGGCGGGCGCCTGTAGTTCCAGCTACTCGGGAGGCTGAGGCAGGAGAATGGCATGAACCCGGGAGGCGGAGCTTGCAGTAAGCGGAGATCGCGCCACTGCACTCCAGCCTGGGCGACAGAGCGAGACTCCGTCTCAAAAAAAAAAAAAAAAAAAAAAAGAAAGAAGTCCTTATACTCTGAGACCAACACGCAGGAGAGGCCACATGTAATTGCTCTGGTTGACAGTCCTAGCTGATCTTGACCTTCCAGCCATCCACGCACAGGTGCCAGACATCTGAGCCCTACCCTGCCCCTCAAAATCATGAGACATAATAAAATAGTTGCTGTTTTAAGCTGCTAGGTTTCAGGATAATCTGTCATACAGCAATAAATAACCAGAATACGCTCTCTCTACTTTGTGTAAATGGATTGGCCTGGTGGCTCCTAAATATCTAGAAGAGTGGTATGGTTAAGGAGTGCTTGGACAGGCTTTGGGAAAATTTGAGAAATATTTGGATGGTAGGCAGCACGGGTCTCCCTTACCTAAGGCAGAGGCAACAACAAACTGGCTTAAACATTGTATCCTAGGTTGCTGGTAAACATACTTGACATACAAAGGCCAATTCAGTCATCAATTACAAAGTTTACAAATGGCATTTGGTTTTTATTCAAAATGAAATTACTTTTATGAAGTCCCACAGGAAAAATGGAATGTTGTAAAAAGTAAGATTATTCCCTTCACTAAAATGACAAGGAAGAAAGTGATGCTGTTTTCCCACCCCCCACCCCCAATACTATTTGGTGATATTTTATAAGGGTAAGTATGATAGCTGCTTCTAATCTTTTGTCCTAAAATTGGAAGGCGAGCAGGCTCCAGGGTGCCTGTGAACTGGGGGCTCCTCCTCAGTGCCCCAGTGGAGAGCGCTGTCCATCTCAAGTCAAGATGAATAGCACCATAGAAAGTGTGTTAGAAGAGGTGTTAGGACGCCTCAGTTCTTTGTTCATTTCCACCCACCACCTAACATGGGCAGAACACACGACCTCTCTGGAAGTCAGCTTCCCCATCCGCAAAAAGGGAATAAAGCAGTTTTTCTACTTTAGTTGCACACTGGAATCAGCAACCTAAGATATGATGCTTAAAATCTTGAAGCCCAGGCTGCACACCAAAATAATTATGTCAGAATTTTGTAAAACGAGGGCCTCAGGATTTTTTAAAATTCCCCAATACCTTCCAATACAAAGTCAAAGTTGGGAACCACTGAAATGGAAGAATGAGTTACAGAAAAATATTTACAGTTCCTATTCAGCTCTAAAAATTATATAATCTGATACTCTCAAAAATTACACTTATTCAGTAAATATTTATCACATACTATGTTCCAGGCACTCTGTTTGAAACTAGAAATACCAAGAGAAGTTCAGTATTCTAGATGAGGGCAGTGGGATAGACCACATAGAAATACAGGCAGTATTCAGTCTCAATTCAAGGGAAGAAATGGAGTAGTCAGTTCTCCTGGGAGGAGGGAGGAAACAAAGAGGAGGTAAACTGAGTTAAGTCCTCAAGGATGATTTGGCACTCAACAATGGTAAGGCTCTCCATTTTAGCGCCATCTTCTTGGAAGCCTCTCCGCTGTGAGAGCCAAGAAGCGAATGTATAGGCTGAAGCGCAAAAGAAGAAAGATGAGACTGAGGTCCAACTAAACTCCCAATTTGTGCACCCGTGGAGGTGCATTTCACAGGAACAGAAACATGGGACGCCAGAGGCTGGGGATGCTGGTACAAGTTGTTGGACTGCATGCTACTCTCTAGAGATTGTCTCTCAACTGACCTAGAACTTCCATAGCCATCTGATCACCAAGACCGCCTCTGAGAGGAAAGTTCTGAGAGTCTCACCTTGCTCGCATCAAAACAGTTCCTATTTATCCTTTTTCCTGGATCTGTGATATTCTGGACTGTTTCTGTGTTCAGTTGTGGCCAAGTGTTACAGGTATACAGTAAATCACCTCTTCTGTTGTCTTAGGTGGAAAACAAAAATAAAAACAAAACAAAAAACAATGGTAAGACAGAGGTAGTGGAGGGTAAAGGAAGAACACTTCCTGTTAGCCAGTATCCTGGTGTCTAACATTTACATACGAAGTTGTTGATGTAGGCCAGGCATGGTGGCTCATGCCTGTAATCTCAGAACTTCGGGAGGCTGAGGCAAAAGGATGGCTTGAGCCCAGGAGTTGGAGGCTACAGTGAGCTATGATCGCACACTGCATTCCAGCCTGGGCAACATAGCAAGACCCTTTCTCCAAAAAAAAAAATTATATTAAATAAAAAACTGATGTATCAGGTGGGAACCTCCTAATACATGTATTAAGTGGGAACCTCCATTTCTATGACACCAGCCAACCTCTTTCCTAAAAGAGCTTAACTTATGATGAAATGGCACAAAGGCAGTATGATAATGCAACTAATAATAACTTGACCTTTTTTTTTCTTAGAGACAGGGTCTGACACTGTTACCCAGGCTGGAGTGCAGTGGTGCAATCTCAGCTCACTGCAACTTCTGTCTCCTAGGTTCAAGCAATTCTCCCACCTCAGTCTCCCAAGTAGCTGGGACTACAGGTGCTCACTACCATGCCCAGCTAATTTTTGTATTTTTTGTAGAGATGGGATTTTGCCATGTTGCCCAGGCTGGTCTTGAATTCCTGGGCTCAAGTGATCCGCCCACCTTGGCCTTCCAAAATCCTGGGGTTACAGGCGTGAGCCACTGTGCCCAGCCAACTCGACCATTTATAAGGATACTACCATGGGCCTGCATCGTACTATGCACATGATATTTGAGTTCGGTAATTTCTGATCACACAAATAAGCTTCCTTGAAATATTAAAGGGTTGTTACGTGGCAGACCTGTTGAACTTGTTCTATGTGGTCCTGGGTTAGAACTAGGATCAGTGAGCCATAGAAAGGCAATTTCAGCTCAACTAAGGGAATAGCTACCAAACTGGCTATACTATGATGGACTGAATTACCTCTGGACAAAGTAAGTTTCCCACTTCTTCTTTTTTTTTTTTTTGAGACTGAGTTTCACTCTTGTTGCCCAGGCTGGAGTGCAATGGCACAATCTTGGCTCACTGCAACCTCCACCTCCTGGATTCAAGTGAGTCTCCTGCCTCAGCCTCTTGAGTAGCTGGGATTACAGGAGCCCGCCACCACGACTGGCTAATTTTTTTGTATTTTTAGTAGAGACGGGGTTTTAGCATGTTAGGCTATTCTCGAACTCTTGACCTCAGGTGATCTGCCCGCCTCAGCCTCCCAAATTTCTGGGATTACAGGTGTGAGCCACCATCCCTGGCCAGTTTCCTTCTTCATACTTTACTATGTAAAAAACAATTTCGACCCCACACTACTTAGAGACCAAGTACAAGAGGCAAAGGCAAAATTTAAAGAATACCGATGCTTCAAGAGTTTGTTATTATTTTCACCCACAGATATACCTCTATTTTCCACAAGAACAGCAAGCAAAAGAGAAGACAGGGAGGCACTCAGAGGATGGGGATTCTCCAAAGGTGAAATGCAAGCTTAAGCAGTTTAAATGTGTTGATTTCAAATGGGATATGAGCAGCAAGTAAGTAAGGTGTTGCTCAGAAAACTCTAAGACTAACATGGCACTTGAGGCTACTCTGATGGGGCATGGCTTATATTAGGCTCACAGTCCCCTCTTCTGGCTATAGAGCTAGACTGGTGTCCAGACTGCTGGTTCCAGCTGACAGGTTCTTGCCAGGGTGGGGTCTTGTCTCTGGCCATCCACCTGTGGAGTCTACCAATCCATTTGCTTTTTACTCATAGCCCTTTGCTTTGACAGATGGTTTTAACTTCAACTTACAAATAATTTTCTCTCTGGTTACTATCTCAGTCTCCAACTTATGCTTAACATCTTAGGTAATAGTTTGCTGTTTATCATCTTAAGCAACTTACAGATTTAAACTTACACGGTGTGTTTGTGTGTGCATCTGTATGGAAACACATATGTGTTCTAATACAAATAATTTCCTGCTTCATCATTTTCACACATGACATCCTGAACCAGAGAAAAGCAGAAAAGAGAAAGCCTCTAGTAAACTGAAGATTCACCTTATTCTATCAGTATTACAGCATACTTGAAGAATTCCATAGCCCTACAGCTTGTAGAAATGTTGAAGGACCTCCAAGTGTCTGGTGGGTTGTTGCATTAGATTACCTGTAATTGTTATGCCAAGTCTAAGAATCTGTGACTGTCTGACATTTAACCTGAATTGAAATCAGCCTTGAAATAGGACTGTCTCCCATCTCTGTCTTTCAGCTGCAAATTATAAATCATCCTGGTTAGCCTACTGAGATCAGTGAGGAGAAGAGAATGGGAGGATCAGAACACAAATGAAGTCACTGATTACTTGGTTGCAGCCAAGATGCAAAAAGGAATAAGATGTGCTTCTCTGCTCAGAAAATTCATAGTCCATTGGGAGAATGGGGTCTTCCTGGATCATTTCAGAACAACGTGGAAAACAATGCAATTAAAGAATGTGTGTACATAGTTTCATAGAACCACAGACAAGGGCACCCAGCCTATCTGGGGTGGGTGCAGAATACAGAATTTGAAAATTATCCAGTGGAAGTGATTACTAAGATGACTCAAAAACAGGACTGACGCAGGCATGAACAGGGAGATATGAGCATTCTGGATGGTATTGCATATGGAGGGAGAAATTCTACTTTGGAACACTGACGTCAAGGCCAGTTGGGTGAGAGATGGGGTTGGGGCAGTCATCAAGTGCCAGACCACACGAGGATGAAATGCCTTGTTAAGGCATCTGGCCTTTACCTTGTTGGCAGAAGGAAACCATTGCTGAGTCTTAAATAGTAGAATGACATGGTCAGGTATGCCTTTCAGATAACTCTCTGACATGGCCTTGTAGAAAATTGATTGGAGAAGACAAGAAGATGACAGGAGGGAATGAGCCATAGAAAGGCAGATTTCCTTGGAAGAAAGAAATCTTCTTCCAAAGAAGACTTCCATAGGGTACTGTTACAGTAACCCAGACAGGAGATGTTAAGGTCTGAACCTGGGTATTAGTAGTTAGGGAGGAAATAAAATTGAGAAATATTACACTATGTAATTAGAGGGCACACCAAATGGTTGAGTGGGAGGTGTCAAAGAGAGGTGGATCAGAGTTGTCTTAGTTCAGCTACTATAACAAATTTCCAAAGACTGAATGGCTTAAAAAATAATTTATGTCTCACAATTCTGGAGGACAGGAAGTCCAAGGTCAAGGCTCCAGCAGATTTGGTCTCCTGTGAGGGCCTGCTTCCTGGTTTGCAAATTGTTTTGTGGCTATCTTCTCATTGTATCTTCACATAGTGGAGGGCAGACAGAGAGATCTCCTGCCACCTTCTCTTTTTAAAGGGTACTAATCCCATTATGAGGTCCCCACTGTCATGACCACATCTAACGCTAATTGCTTATCAAAGGCCCTACCTTCAAACACCATTATATTGGGGGTTAGGATTTCAACATATCAGTTTGGAGAAGACACAAATATTTCGTGCATAACAAGGGACAATTTTCATGTATGTACAAAGGTCTTCCTTGGTAAGACCTTTCCTGACCACTCCACTAAAACTACAAATCATCCTTACCAGCATCCCCTATCCCTTCTCTTCCATCTTTCTCTAGTGCTTATATAATTTCATTATTAGCTATCTGTCTTCACTACAATATGTGAGATTCTTTATGGCAGGGATTTTGTCTCTTTTGTTCACTGCTGCATCACAATACCTGCAGCAGTGCCTGGCACCTACTATGTACTCAATAAGTATCTGCTCAGTGAATGAATGCCTGATGGTGGTGCTGAGAAAAACTGAGAAAAAAATGCAGGAAGAAGAGCAAGTTTAGAGAAAATGATGCTGGGTTCACTTTTGCACTTTCTTTAGCACTCCAGGGAAAAATAAAGCTATGCAGAGACTCAGAATGTTGGATATGACAGAGGCCCTAGAGACCATTTGTTTTAGTCCATTTATGTTGCTATAAAGGAATACCTGAGGCTGGGTAATTTATAAAGAAAAGAGATTTCTTTGGCTCACAGTTCTGCAGGCTGTACAGGAAGCATGGCTCCAGCATCTGCTTCTGGTGAGGGTCTCAGGCTAATTTCACTCATGTCAGAAGGCAAAGGGAAAGCGGTGTGTGCAGAGCTCACATGGCAAGAGGAAGCAAGAGAGAAAGAGGGAGGGAAGGTGCCAGGCTCTTTTTGACAACCAGCTCTCATGGAAACGAATAGAGCAAGAACTGACTCATTCCCACCAGGACAGCACCAAGTAATTCATGAGGAATCCCCCACTGACCCAAACACCTCCCATTAGGTCTTACCTCCAACATTAGGGATCACATTTCAATATAAGACTTGGAGGGGTCAAATATCCAAACCATTGCACCATTCTATACAGTTCCTTCATTTGGGAAAAAAAGAAACTGAGGTCCAGAAAACTGAAGTGTCATGCCCATGGCAAGGCAAACACAGCTGAGCCAAGCATCCCACCCCTGTTCCCAGCTTCAGTTTAGTGTTTATGCCTCTTGTTTCTGGTAATATGAGAGATCAATAAAAATCACTTGCCTTTGACCTTCAGCTAGAATTTAACTAAACTATTAAGTGCCTGTTTTTTCAGAGCCCACTTAACCAATTCATTCAGGAAAGAAAATTTTTTGAGCCTGAGCCAGATATAGAAAGATCTAGTCATAGAGGTCTTCTCTGCCTTGGAATCTTGCCAGGCTGAGGCTGCCTTAGCAGCTGTGCTAAAGCAAATAGACAGCTCTGCCTGTGAGCCTCACACCAGGTAAGTAGTTGCCTGAATCCATCCGTGATTTTATTTTTATTTGATATTTTTAAATTGAGGTATAATTGTCACACCATGAAATGTATAGATCTTGTCAATACAGGTCAATGAATTTTGACAAACATAAACACCCATGTAACCCCTACCCCAATAAAGATCCTTCCTGCCCTTCCCAAAGCCCCTTTCAGAGGCAACCACTTTTCTGATTTCTATCACCATTGATTAGTTTTGCCAGTTCAAGAACGTCATGTAAAAGGAAAACTTTTCCAGATTCGTACATCTGGCTCCTTTTACTTGGCCTCATGTCTATGAGATTCAACCAAGTTGGTGCTTGTATCATTAGTTTTTTCTTCACATTGCTGAGTAGTATTCATGGGCTTAGTATAGCACAATTTGTTTATTCATTCTCCTGGATATTTAAGCTGTTTCTAATTTCTGGCTATTGTGAGTAAAGGTGCTATAAACAATCTTGTTTAAATATATTTAAGGACATATGTTTTCATTTTCCTTGGATAAATGTCTAGAAGTGACATGGTTGGGTCTTAGGATAGGTATATGTTTAACTTCATAAAGAAATGCCTAACAGTTTTCCAAGGTAGTATATGATTTTTACACGCCAACCAGCAACATATAAGATTTCCAATTGCTTCATAGCCTCACCAATATAGGTGTCATCAAGCCTCTTCATTTTAACCCCATGAGAAGTCAAACAAACACAGTACACTTTTTTTTGTAACTGCTAACACTTTGCAAACTTCTATTATGGAGAATTTCATACACTTACTTAAGCATTAGATGCATTCATCATCTAGCTTTACGAATTATCAACTTATGGCCAATCTGGTTTCATTTCTATACCCTTTATCCCCTCCTCCCATATTATTTAGAAGCAAATCCCTGACATCATATCATTCATCTGTAAGTATCTCAGTATGTATCTCTGAAATATAAGGACAATTTGTAAACCTAACTAAAATGCCATTGCATTTGATATAAAAAACAATAATGCTTTAATACCACTAAATATTCAGTCAACATGCAAATTTCTAATTGTCTCAACAAATTCATAAATTTTTTGTGTAGCTTGTCTGCTAAAATCAGTATTCAAATTAGTATACGTACTGCAATCAGTTGATATGTCTTACAAGTATCTTTTAATTCAGAGGTTCCTCCTCTTCCTGTTTTATTCTTCATAATGTTTTTGTTAAATAAATTGGATTGTTTGTCCTCTAAATTTACCTATAGATTGGATTTTGCTAATGCATTATTTAACACATTCTTCCGTCCTCTGTATTTTCTGTAAATTGTTACTTCATCTAGGAACTTAACCACATTCAGGTTCAAATTTTTGGCAAAACTACCTAATCCTTGGTATTATGTTCTTCTATCTGGAGGCACATGGTGTCTGCTGTCTCTCTTTTTCACATTAGCACTGTTTTTTATCTCATCATTAGATGATTAACTTATTTTAGGTTGCAAAATTGTGACATTCCAATGCTACTCTGTTTTCATTTATATGTTGGGATACTTCCATAAAGAGAAATTTTCCTCATCTACTAATTGATTACTCCATGGTACAGTTCATATACCAAAGGCAGGTCAGCAAAGGAAACATCAACAAGATGAAAAGAGTACCTACAGAATGGGATGAAATATTTGCAAACCATATGTCTAATAATGGGTTAATTTCCAAAATATACATGGAATTTCTGCAACTCAATAACAAAAAACAAATAATTCAATTTAAAAATGTGCAGGCCAGGTGCAGTGGCTCACGCCTGTAATCCCAGCACTTTGGAAGGCCGAGGTGGGTGGATCACCTGAGGTCAGGAGTTCGAAACCAGCCTCGCCAACATGGCGAAACCCTGTCTCTACTAAAAATACAAAAAAGTAGCCAGGCGTGGTGGCAGGCGCCTGTAATCCTAGCTACTTAGGAGGCTGAGGCAGGAGAATTGCTTGAATCCAGGAGGCGGAGGTTGCAGTGAGCTGAGATCACGCCATTGCACTCCAGCCTGGGTGACAGAGCGAGACTATGTCTCAAAAAAAAAGTAAATAAAAATAAAATAAAAATGTGCAAAGGATTTGTACAGGCATTTCTCCAAAGAAAACATATAAATGACCAAAAAGTATATGAAAATATGTTCAACATCATTAATTATCAAAAAATGCAAATCAGGATTACAGTGAGGCCCACTGTGGTGGCTCACACTTGTAATCCCAGCATTTCGGGAGGCTGAGGGGGGTGGATCACTTGAGGTCAGGAATTCGAGACCAGCCTGGCCAACATGGTGAAGCCCCATCTCTACTAAAAATACAAAAAATTAGCTGGGTATGGTGGTGCCTGTAATCTCAGCTACTTGGGAGGCTGAGGCAGGAGAATCACTTAACCCAGGAGGCGGAGGCTGTAGTGAACCAAGATCCTGCCACTGCACTCCAGCAGTTCAGTGTAAAGGAGATTACAACAAGATAACTCCTTGCACCCGTTAGGGTGGCTATTATCAAAAAAAAAAAAAAAAAAAGATAAGTGTTGGTGAGGTTGTAGAGAAACTGAAACCCTTGCACATTGCTGGTGGGAATGTAAAATGGTTCAGCAGCTATGAAAAGCGGTATGGAGATTTTTTCAAAAAATTAAAATTAGAACTACTATGTGATGCAGCAATCCCACTTCTGGGCATGTATTCAAAAGAATGTACATCAGGATCTCGAAAATATATCTATACTCCCATGTTCATTTCACGGGAAGTTGCATGGTAGTTCACAACATCCAAGATGTCTATTAACAGATGAATTGATGAAGGAAATGTGATATATACATACAATGGAATATTATTCAACCTTAAAAAAGATCCTGCTGCTTGCAACAACATGGATGAAACTGGAGGACATTATGCTAACTTAAATAAGTCAGTCACAGGACAAATACAGCAAGATTCCACTTATATGAGGTATCTATAATTGTCAAACTCATAGAAGCAGAAAATACAATAGTGGCTGCCAGGGACAGGAGGGTGGAGGAAATGGGAAGTTGTTGTTCAATGGGTATGATAAAATTTCAGTTTTGCTAGAGGAATATGTTCTAGAAATCTGCTGAGCAACACAGTGCCTATAGTTAACAATACAGTATATGTATTTTAAAATTTGTTTAGGGGACAAATTTCCTATTCAGCATTTTTATCCCAAAACAAACAAAGGGACACAAGGAAACTTTGGGAAGTTTTAGATGTATCTATTACCTGGATTGTGGTGATAGTATCGCAGGTATTTGCATATGATCAAACTCATCAAATTGTACACATTAAATAGGTGCGGTGGCTCACACCTGTAATCCCAGCACTTTGGGAGGCTGAGGCGGGTGGATCACTTGACGTCAGGAGTTCGAGACCAGCCTGGCCAACATGGTGAAACTCCGTCTCTACTAAAAATACGAAAATTAGCTGGGTGTGGTGGTGGGTGCATGTAACCCCAGTTACTCAGGAGGCTGAGGCAGGAGACTCGCTTGAAACCAGAAGGCAGAGGTGGCAGTGAGCCAAGATTGCAGCACTGCACTCCAGCCGGGGTGAAAGAGTGAAACTATGTCTCAAAAAAAAAAAAAAGTGCAGCTCTTTGTATATCAATTATATTTCAATAAAACTGTTTTTAAAGCAGAATAAATAAGTTGTTTTTTTTTTTTTTTTGAGACAGAGTCTTGCTTTGTCACCAGGCTGGAGAGCAGCGGTGCGATCTCAGCTCACTGCAACCTCCACCTCCTGGGTTCAAGCGATTCTCCTGCCTCAGCCTCCCAAATAGCTGGGATTACAGGCATGCACCACCACACTCAGCTAATTTTTGTATTTTTAGTAGAGATGAGGTTTCAGCATGTTGGCCAGGCTGGTCTCGAACTCCTGACCTCAAGTGATCCGCCCACCTCGGCCTCCCAGAGTGCTGGGATTACAGATGTGAGCCCGCCGCACCAGCCCTGAATAAGTGAGTAAGTTCTTAATTCTTTTCTTTTAGTTACTAATTTTAAAAATAGTGAGTTTTCTAATATTCTGTAATGTGGGCTTTTATTGTATAAAATAAATAGGATAAACTCATATATTTAAACATATTGGGGTATGTTTCAGTTCATTGCGGTTATTTAAGGGTAATTTTTTCTACTAATCAAAATGTTGTTAATCCACTGACAAATAGCTTTGAAAGGCATTATGGTGTTTTGAATGGTTTTTATTTTTCAATGTCATATGTGGCTGTCTAATTTTTAAAGTGATTATACAGCGTAAGGCAGCACTGAGAAAGCGCAAGATCTTTACAAGAGCATCACTATCTTCAGCGGCATCACAGAGCACCTCCTCTGTCCTGGCCTCCTGTGAAAGCTTGCTGGGGACAAGAGTTTCTGGGGCCCTGGACTTAGCTGGTGCTGTTCTGTAATGCAACAGCGGCACACATAACGCTACCAGAACTTAAGCAGCATTGCTGAGTGGTTATTTGCTAGAGTCCTGAACCTGATTACTTGGGTTCAAATCCTGGATCCACCAGTCAAACTTAGTGAAGTTACCTTACATCTTTCTGTCTCATTTTTTCCCACCTGTAAAACTTTACCTCTTTCTGCCTTATTTTTCCCTACCTGTAAAACAGTACCTCAAAGGGATGTTATGATGATAAATGAGCTAATAGAGGAAAAGCACCATTTGCCTGGCATATGGTGAGCACTCAATGAATGTAAGCAGTTATTACTGCTTTCATCATCCAAGCTGATCCTGGATTTCCTTTACGACTCCCAGCCCTACCCATGAATGGAGGTTTGAGACCTCAGATGCATGCAGGAGCCCCCAACCTCCACTGTCTACTAAGAAGAAAAACACCTTAGGTACATGAGTAAGAGGCAGTTGAACTATGACATGCACTAACCTCCTTCATCAGCTACTACAGGGAAAAAAAGAATAGTGGCTCTCACTATACATTCCTCACTAGTTTTATTATTAATTCATTTTTCCTAACAAACTCTTTCGTGCCAAGTGAGAATACCTACTTTGGTGAAGACTTCAAAGTTTGGAGAGCATTTTCACTCACATTATTGCATTTGAGCCACTTAAAAGTCCTGGATGCAGACATATTTTGTTATCCCCATTTGACAAACAAGGGAGTGATAGTGACTTGCCCAGGGTCACAGAGTCAATTAATGACAGCAGGGACAAATACCCAAGTCTTCTGATGCTTTAAACAGCAACTTTCTGCTTTCACAATTGTGACATCCTTTTCTCATCCATTAATTTATTCATTCAACAACTATTTTTTGAGTACCTATGCTTTGTCAGGCACTGTTCTGGGACTAGCAAGATGATACAGCAGTGGATTCAACAGTGGGGGAAATAAAACCAGACAGACAAAAATTTCTGCCTCAGCCAGGCAATGTGGCACACGTCTGCAGCCCCAGCTACTCAGGAGCCTGAGGCTGGAGGATCACTTGAGCCTAGGAATTCAAGTACAGTGTGAGCAACATAGCAAGACCCCCGTCTCTACAATAAAATAAATTCTGGCTTCTTGGTGTTTACATTCTAATGCGAGAAGATTGAAAATGAACAAGCAAATAAGAACACATAGCATGTCAGATATCAATCATTGCTATGAAAAAAAACAAAGCAAGGAAGAGTAATAGGAAGTATACTATGGTAATAGGAAAATGTTACGACTTCAATTGACTGGTCAGGGAAGACCTTCCCGAGAAAGTGACATTTGAGTCAAGTGACGGAGATGAGGGAGGGACTTGCAAATATTTGCTAGAGGAGCTACCAGACAAAGAGAAGTGGCAAGGGCAAACACCACTTCTCTTTGTCTAAGGGATAGACAAGTCTGGTATATTTAAGGAACAGCATGAAGATAACTACAGCTTCAACAGAGACAGCAAGAAAGAAAATAGTGTCAAGACCATTTTGCTTAGGTCTGTGTAAGTAATTGTAAGGCCACTAACTTTTATTCTGAGTTAGATGGAATGCCATTGAAGAATAACTATAAAATCCTTATCAGGAAGTAAAATAAATAATAATACATGATAACCATAAGATATCCCAGCAATTCCAATCCTAAGTACTATACCCACCAAGAAAGCTCATAGCTATGCACAAAAAGACATATACAAGGATGTTTATAGTAGCATTATGCAAAATAGCCCAAAACTGGATACAAACCAAACACCAGACAACAGAAGAACAGATCAATTGTGTAATTTGCATACACTGGAATCTATTCAGCAGTAATAATGAACTACTGAAACTTGCAAATACATGAAATAATATCAAAAACATAATGTCGAGGGAAAGAAGCCAGTCAGTAAAGAGTACATATTACTATGATTCAATTTATACAAAGTTTAAAAATTAATCTGTCATGTTAGAAGTCAGTATGTCGTCACCTTTGGGAGGTAATAACTGGCAGTGGGCACAAAGGAAGATTCTAGGATGGTGGTAGTGTTCTATATATTGATCTGCATGGTGGTTACAAGGATGTATGTATTTAGTGAGAATCCATCAAGCTGTCTACTTAAGATTTGTATACTTTTTCTTATTATGTCACATTTCAATGATGTTTATTAAAGAAATAATAATAATATGGGAACATGAAAGATCTACCCATCCACAAATAACTACTGAGCACTTACTGTCACAAGGCACTGTTAGCCATTATCTAGTTAATTACTTAATTACTTTTTACTATCATACCACATTTGGCAGACCTTTGGGAAAGGGATCTTAGTTTTGATAAGGTGGCAGTAAGTTCATCATTCTGATGACAGAGACTTAATGCTAAGCCAGTCCTCCCATCTGTGGTTTAATAAACAAGGAATAACGATGGAGGCTCTTAAAGATAAACACCCCTTCTTAGGTGCTAGAATTTTGCAAAACCTACTCAAGCTCTTAACAAATACTTTCCTTTAGCCTACCTGAATGGGATGTCTTTATCAGAAAATATAATCAATAAAAACAGGTGATAAATGATAACAGGGAAATGTATGACCTTAATATAAAATATTTTAAATTCTAGTTAATCGAGAGTATGCTAGGTTACAAAAAGATACCACATTCCGTTTCCTCAATTGACTTAAATCTTTTTGCCTATTAATAGGCTAGCTATATCCATCTGGCAATTAAGGTTCACCTTCTAGGAAACAACCTGACATGGTGGGTATCTTTTAAACTAAGAGATATGCAGAGCAGTTCACTAAAACAATACCCTCAGTTAAAGTCAGACTGCATTAAGTCCAAATTACCTTAAATATAGCATGTTTTAGTGTTATTTCTACATCTTTTTACGTGAATATTTGTTGAGGCCCATAAGGTGTGTAATACAGTGTCAAGAGGATTTGCTGCCTAAACCAAGATTAAGGTCATAATAGAACCAAAACTCAGATGGATGGCAAGGGACGGGGAGGGGGGAAGAGAAATGACTCTGGAAAATACTCAGTGAAGTAAGAAACCTAGAGCTTACTGCAAACCATAAACCACAGCTTTCTAATTCTGAGATTATAGTGGTGAACATCTGTTTACCAGTTAAATACACTGCCATTTACATGAGGGAGTACATTTAATGGACAAAGCATTAAGATCACTGAAGGGTGACATGTTTTGTTTGCAGTAATGTGTGACTGCACAGCCTTCCTAGCCAGCTCTCACGTCCAACACAACTGACTAGCCCTGTGAGCTCCTTCCCATTACATCAAATTATTGCTGTTGAAATCCTGTGCCTAGCAAATAACACCAAGCTGCTCTGGATAGTCCATGCTGTGAGTTCCAGGACTGCAGAGCATGCAAAATGTTCTCCTTGTAGATATTTAATGCTGAGGAGCCACAGAATCTAAAACCATGAAAACTAATAGTCTAATGACTTTGAATTTTTGTAGTCATTTCAATAATTATTTAAAAGATAGAACTAGAGAGAACTTTCCTAAACACCTTGACTAATAAATTATCAGTATTTAAACAACAATTACTTTATGAAATGGAAATTAGCTGTTATAATCAAGCCGTATGGCTAATATAATTGATTGGTTCATATTTTTAAGAAGATGGAATGTATAATCCAAAGAATAACTGAATATATTTCACAAAATTAACTAGAGGTGATAAGTTCTATTTTGTTGGACAGGTTGGAGTTTTTTACATTAAAAAGAGAGAAAAAAATCTTTTGAGTCCATGATTCTGAATGGAAACTCTGATTAAAAATTGTATTGCTTTAAACTTAAAAACCTCTAACGAAATGGAAAACAAAATGGAAATCAGCACATGTATATGCAAATAGATGTATGTATATGTGGGGCAAAGAGACATTACATTGAGAAGCTATACCACTATTATATAATTGATAGCATGAGAAAAAATGATCTGGGTTCTCTCTCCATTTTAAAAACACACTTCAACATATTTGGAGTAACTGCAATTACATCATGTTTTGACCATGTTTTATTCACAGCCCTCCTTCTAATACATGACAGTTTTCTGGGTTGATACTGAAAAAACTAAAATCTGTTTACACGAAAGCATTCCCAGGCTTGATGGAGACATATCTTGAGTTTTAAAGAGGGAAACTGGGCAGATTGTCCCTTCTCATAACCAAGCATCCTGAACTCCCTGAAACTCATTTTAGGCAGCATGTCTAAGCTGAACTTTTTCTTCTGTATATCCCAAAAAATCCCTAATCAATCTGCAATAGAAATGTCCATCCTTTGGAGTTTCTCCTCTTTGCTTAGGTTTTATTTTAGCATGGTTGTTATTGTTTTTGGTGAATTATTAGCTCTATCCTCCTGTGTTGCCAGTGCCAAATGCTTCAAAATACGTTATTTCCTTTAGCTTTCATAAAGATTCTTTCAAGATGGCATTGTTATCATCATCCTCATTTTACAGATGAAGAAATTAAGAAACAGAAAGTTAGAGGATTTACCCATGTAGAGTTTCAGAGACCAGAAGACAGGTCATGTGTCTCTCACTTCTAAGTAAGCCCTCATTATTTTCACTGGGCCATATGCAAAAAGAAATTTGTTCATTACTCTTTTTCTGTCCTTTGAAATAGGTTTCTGGAGCCAGGCGCGGTGGCTCATGCCTGTAATCCCAGCACTTTGGAAGGCCGAGGAGGGCAGATCACCTGAGGTTGGGAGTTCAAGACCACCCTGGCCAACATGGAGAAACCCCATCTCTACTAAAAATACAAATTTGCTTGGTGTGGTGGCCTGTAATCCCAGCTGCTCAGGGAGGCTGAGGCAGGAGAATTGCTTGAACCCAGGAGGCGGAGGTTGCAGTGAGCCGGAGATTGCGCCAGTGCACTCCAGCCTGGGCAATAAGAGCAAAGCTCCATCTCAAAAAAAAAAAAAAAAAAAAAAGAAAAGAAAAAAGAAATAGGTTTCTGGAAGGTGGAGGTGGCTAATGATAGCTTAATTAAAAACAAAGCAAAACAAAACAAAATAAAAAGATAAAGCCTTTCACAGCAAACAGGGGCCTTGGGTTATGGAAGTAAAAATGAATTCTCAACTCATTTCGGCTTCCTGGCTTTTTTAAGTCCTCTGGCCTGTGACCACCCACTTCTCTGTAGCGCTTAGTAACCAGATCCTAGGCCACTGCCCATCTCATACTGCCTGTGCGTGAGTATAGGACAGAGAGGAGTTTTGGTTTGTCCTGATGTGTACATAAAGGTACATGACATTTATGGAATACCCCCTAAGAGTAAGGCACTGCTTTCTCTGCGACATGAGAAAATTCATTAATTCTTTACAATCCATATATAGGTAGAACTCTTGTTTATCCCCATTATCCAGAAAAGGACAGCGAGATACAAAAAGGTTAAGTAACTTGCTCGACGTCTCACAGCAAATGAATAACTCAGGTGAAGGTCTCATAGCAAATACATAACTTACACTTGGGCCGAGGTACCCGTGGGGCCACCCTCACCTGGCAGACTCCACCCCCATTACCAGGCCCAGGCTGCTTCACTAGAGCGCTCCTTAGTGTTGGCTTGGTCTTGATACAAAGATCTCAAGGCAGCCACTAATGGTGGGGCGAGAGGCTGAGAGGGGGAAGAGAGGTTGGGGTGCGCCTTCCCGGGGCAGGCTCTCAGAACTTCCATAGTTCAAGTCCTCATTTACTAATGAATTTCAGAAAAGCAGTTAGAAAACCTGGGTGTCGCCACCATCTCCACTCCTGCCAAGCAAGCCTCCGCCACGCGGTCGGGGACCCGGGTGGGCGCATCTGCCCTCCCCAAACAATGGTGGTCTCTGGGGCTGTGTGGAGCCTACGCCGGCCCAGGAGAAACCAGCCTCCCGTAAACACCGGCGGCGAGTTGTAGAAAAGTCCCTCCAGGGTCCCAGCCCTTTGAAAAGGTGTGTCCCTCCCCTTCCTCGCTCTCCCCAGAGCAACGTCTGGGAAGCCGACACTTTAAAGGCGCACTCCTTTTCAGGAAATCTCCGGGTGCTTCCTGGTGGCCCCCGGGGGAAGCTTTGCTAGCCGCCTGCCCCTGTTCCCGGAAACGAGGCCTGCTGGGCGGACTGGCAGTGCGTCCACCGCGAGGACAACACTGAAGGCGCTGCTGGCCTCGTTCGCGGTGGGGCCCGCCCCGACCCCGCGCTCCACTCCGGCCACGCCTAGGTGGCTGCGGAGGCCGTGTCCCTCCTCCACTTCTCAGACCCTCGCCGAGCAACTGACGCGACCCGGAGGCTGAGGAAGACGGAAAGTCCGGGGCCAGGTCCCACGTCTGTGGGTTCAGGGTAGCCCCCAACATGCCTTCAGCTAGCGAACCCCACCTTGACATCCCTTTTTTTCAGCTAGGAGCGCTTCGGCCGCTTTCTTCAGCTTTTTTCTTCAAAGAAAAAGAAAATCAGAACCGAAGGTGGCTGTGGGCCTCGGGGTGACCACGGGACCAAAAGCCAACACTTATTTTCCTCTACTTTCTCTTTGAAAAATTATCTGGCCCTACAGTGCCACTAACGCCCAGGACAGGGTTGTGCAAGGGCCCGAAGCCCTCGGTGATTTTCGCCGGTGCCTAAGTGTGGAAGTCTGTGTGTGGAAGAGGCCAGCCAGGGCGACCCTTCTTGGCGTTGGGCGCACCTGGCACTTGAATTGGGCCCACGGTTTTGTCCCCTTTCCGGGCCTGCGAGGGAGTGGCAGGGTAGGCTTGGCTGGCTGGGGATTGTGGCCGTGTCCAGACCAGGCTCTCCTCTCCCCGTAGCTGTGCCTGCGCGGTCGCTGCTCCTGCGGTGCTGCGCTCGCCTCGCGGCTGGGTGGATCTCCAGCGGGGTTACCCGCGCGCACTAGTGGAAGAATGGAGGGTCGTCTGGGGAATCTCCACAGGGCGCCTAGCCATTTTTAGGGGCCTCTGTTCCTTCCCCACCTGCCAGCTGCCTCTGTCCTCCAGTCCCCAGAAACCGCGCGGACCCCTGCGCTCTGGGGAAGGCTTAGGGAGCGGAGAATAGAGGTCAGGGGTGCGACCAGTTACACCGAAGAGGCGGCTAGAACTCTGAAGTGACAACCGCCACTTTTCAGTACTCAATGCACAGAGTTCATCTGTGTTCAATCTCCATGCTGAGCGCCCAAGACCCTGGCAAGTAAGACTTGGGTAAGGCCAGCAAGGAGCAAGTCTGTTGGAGGCTTTCAAGAGCCTACTAAGGAGGACAGATATAGACAGGCTTTTTTCCATGAGGGGAAACTGAGGTTTCAACAGAAGCATCTACATGTTTCAGCCTGCACTCTCTGGGCATGGCCAGTGGCTCCAGGCCCCGAAATGAGCCACTCCGCCTCATCTGCACCCTCCCCGTTCCCTAAAAATCCGAACGAACTGCTCGCTCCCAAGGTCAGGATCTTACGGGGCCACTTTTTCGGATCTCCCAGGATGCTTCCTGGTGGAGTGGGCAGCGAGGTTTCCAGCCGGGCTCGCCCCGCCTCCAGAACCTCGGGCCACAGTGCTTTAACGACGTCGTCGTTCCGCTTGATGCGAGGGCCGCTTGGTGAACTGTTGGCGACGTCGTTCGCAGCCCGAAGTCCCTGTAGCAGGTCGGTATCACACATCTGCTACTTGCCTTGCGCTGTCGCCAAGCGTAGTCCCAGTCCTTCCCGTGAATTTCAAAAGTGGCATTGGAGGCTCAGACAGGAAACAGGCGTGAGGGGCTTACACACTTGAGCTTGCCCAAGCCCTACCTCCCACCCAGCGGGCTTCCTCCCGCTTGCCATGGGCCAGGGATCAAAGGAACAATAACTACAATGGCCACCATTTATTGAACATGCCAAGCAAACTTTAAAAGGTTTTATTGTTTCGTGTGAGCCTTACAACAACACAGCGAAACAGCTTCTATTATGCCCATTTTACAGATGAGAAAACATGCAGCGAGATTAATAGATCGATTACTTGAGCCCCAGTCAGGAAGAGCCCAACATCCTGCTGCTTTCATTTTGGAGGGTGAGAAGTGGAGTGTGTGGAAGAGAGGCAAAATGGAGCCTACAGGGCTCAGTGGGGCTCATGACCCTTCTCATTCCCGAAGTCACCCACCAAACAAACTCTGCTTGAGGCCCCTCCCAGCAGGGGCCCTGGGAGGAAGGTGGTGGAAGACAGGACTGACTGAGGACCTTGAGCCAAGGGAGAGACTCATCTCATTTGGATTCCAAATGTTTTAGCTGTGTGACCTTGGGCAACTTGCTTAACCACTCTCACTTCTGTTTTCTCAGTTATAAAATTAGAATCATAATGCACAAGGCAGATAGGAAACTCTTAAGAGCTTTCTGAGGATTAAATAAAGGGAATTTATTTTTCTTATCTTTCCCTGTTGGTTTCCCCATGCCTAGCACAGTGCCCTGGACACAATGAATACAGGATAAGGTATTTTCCTTTCTTTCAGCTTCTTCCAAAGCAGCACCAGCTGCATGGCACCTCCCACCCTGCCCTAAACCGCCTGACTCTGTGCGGGCACAGGTCGAAGCAGAATATTTGCCTCTTCTGCCTCTTCTCCCTTGGCCTCAGGCCCGGACCAAGTGAAGCTCTTGGGAACAGGCATTTGGTGGACTGGTCTCAGCCTCTGGGACTCAGAGGGCAGCCGGCAAGGGTGGATGGGCGTAGAAGAGGGAGGGAGCAAGACCAGGTCCTCAGACTCCTTACTCCTTCCTAGTGTTGGGAACAACTAATACATACAACTTACTCTACTGTCAGGCCCTAGTGTGAGCTTTAAACACACTGTATTAACTCAATCTTCCTGAGAAGGAGGACTTACTATTCTTATTTTAGGGATGAAGAAACTGAGGCAGAAAGCAACCTGATTGTGGTCACACCACAAATGAGTGGCTAAGCAGAGATTTCAACCACAAAGCCATACAACCTCTCGCATTTGGAGAGTATGAGTGGCAAAGGCACCCTTAGCAAGAAGAGAAGGCCAGTTAGAACCTTAATCTGCAAGATTTCCCCCAGGCTCCTAAGGTCTGGAGGCCTGTGGGTAACCAAACACTGCTTGTCCAGCTCTGCCTCAGCAGCTCCATCCTGGCCTTATCCTTGAGCCTGGACACCTTGAGGTAGTCACCTCACACACCCCTGAAGTCTTGGACCTTGTTGTCCCTGAGTGTAAGCCTGTTCCCAACCCTATTCCACCTCTGCCTCAGTTCCCTGTCCCCTGCCCAACCTCTGTGCTGCCTCTATCATCAGTCTGTCACTAGCACCATTCTGTGACCGTCCTCGTGGCCTCTCTGGGTCTGAGTCCCTTCACTCTGTGCACATGGTTTTGGGTTTGTTTGTTTGTTTTGTTTTGTTTTGTTTTTCTCTGCTTGGATATCCAGTTGAATTCCCAGGAAACCTCTGCCCCACCCCCACCTCCACCTCATTTTTCTCCTCTGGAGACCCTGCAGGGCACAGGGACTAGAGCGATCTCCAGGCCATTGCTTTCACATTTATTTTGGGGTTTGTTTCTTGATGGATCCAGAGGCTGTGAAGAGTTCTGGATTCTGGATGATTGATGTGAGCAGAACCTGGCCCAGGGGAGAAACCAGTACCCTACAACCCCAGTTTCTTGGACACCCCCTTTCCCAACACTGCATTCCCATAGGAAACCCCAAGCAACCAGACCCTGAGTGTGGGTCACTGCCTCACACAATGAGCCGCCCCTCCATTCTTTCCCTTTGACTAAGGGTGGCAGGTGAGGCAGATGTTTTCTGGCAGGGGCTTTCCTCTCCACACCACCCCACTCCACCCTACCCCCAGGAATCAAACCTCTATAGCCTTGATGGCCAAACCCAAGCCCACCCTCCCAGCAGCAGCCCTGGGCTCTTCAGGAGCCTTTGGCTTCCCCTCCATCCGGGTAATTTATTTGTCCAGTCAACAAGCATTTATTGAGTCTCTACTCTGCTCCAGGCCCCAGAGATCCCCAGCTAAAACCCACCCCTTGCTCTTGCAGGTGATAGGTGAATGCAGGAGTCTCTGAAGGGGAGCGGGAAGATATCCAGGAAGACTGACCGTGAAGAAATCCAGGAAGACTGCTGAGGAGCTGACCCCAAGGGTGAACAGGCCTTGGGGCCTAAGAAGCTGATGAGAATGTTCATGAATGGCCCTTTGGACCCTCAATTCCACGTGGCCTCTCAGGACAGGCTAGTAGTGAGAGGCAGTGGTGGGGTTCGAAACCTGCCTGAGCTATTCCCAAGAGCAGTGTGAAGTCACCTCACACAGCCCTTGTAGTCTCCTGCAATTTGGCTAGCAAAGCTATGTCGGTAGACGCATTCAGAGGTGGCCCACTCCGGAGAGGGACAGATGTTGCCAGCCCCTCACCACTCCTAAGCCCACGCATCTGAGTGGGGAGAATCAGCTTTTCCAAAGCACCACCCTACCCCCACCCCACTAGATGACTTGGATAGTCAGAGGAGGCGAGAAGCCTTGGCGGAATGTGTGAGGGTGGGGAGCGATCGTGCTGGAGAAGACCGGGCGCAAACAGTCGCTGGGGAGATTGCAGCCTTTAAGCTTTTTTTCTTATTCGCATCTTCTGGCTTCTCTCTTCCGTCGAACCCTTTTGGCAACCGCAGGGAACACGCATCCTCAGGTTGGCACGGGAGGCGGCGAGGAGCTCCCGGAGCCACCGGCTGCTGGATCCCCCTCTCCCCCGCGTCTGGGCGGAGGAGGAAGGGAACCGGGTCGCGCGTCCCCCTGCGACAGCTCTGAAGGCTCGAGTCCCTGCAGAGCGTGGACACCAGCCGTCTTCTCCCGCCCACGGCGTTACACCCGTCTCGGCTGCTCCGAAGAGACCCCTCGCTGCCATCGCAGAAAGGCTGGGCCAACCCTGAGGGCCCTCTCGCCTGGCCGTCCCTCCTCGGGTGCGAAATTAGGGGAGGAGGGTGTCGGGGTGTGCATCTCCAGGCTGCGGAGCTCCCGGGCATGAAAGCCAGGGCCGAACCCGAGAAAGCAGAAGTGCACGAGTTCGAAGTGGCCACTCGGCCAGCACTCCACAGAGCTGACCCATCCAAAGAGGGGAAAGACCTGCCTGGGAGAGACCCTAAAATGAGGTCGGGGTTGGGGGATAGGCCACCTCACCCCTGACCGCCTCTTCCGCCCGGACTGCAGTCACCCGAATAGCCTTCTGCCTGCCCAAGAGGAGCAGAATTGCTCAGGAACCCGGACTAGGGTCCTTCCTACCTACACAAATGCAGATCTACCTCCGTGGGTGCCCCATTATGGAACTGCAGTGTCACCCACACACCTCTCTTTGAAGGGAAGCCTTCTGGGGCAGCTTAGCGGAGTAGCTGAGAGCGTGAAACTCATGATCTGGGCAGTGCAATATTCAACTCTGGGAAAAGTGTTCATCCCACAGCCCAGTTTACCCCTCTGTAAAATGGGGATAATGATGGAAACTATTTCGTATGAGTGTGGTGAAAATTAAATGAGTTAATGTATGCTCTTGGCAGTACGTGGCATATGGAAAGTGCCAAAGTTTTATTTAACTGCCCTATTTTCACCAAGATTTTTTAAAATGGGGCAGAGGAATAGAAGGAGGTCCCAGAAAAACTCATTTTAATCCCTCCTGCCCTTCCGCAAAGCCTTCTGCCGTGGCCTCTGACTTTTTTATTTTTACTTTTCTCCAGAGAGAACTTAAGTTAGGCCTCATGAACAGGGAGGGCAAACCAGGCCTGCTTGGGGGTCGGGGTCGGGGTCGGGATTGGGGTGGGGTTGCAGATGAGATATCTGAGGCCAAGCCCTGCCCTCCTGTAGCTTCCACTCCAGAGTTGAACCTGGGCTAACTCTTCTCCCACACAAAGTTGTCAAACCGAGCAGGATATCCGCAGAGATTCGCCAACCGTCTTGGCATGAAGGTGGAAACAACGGGTCACCGCCGCCCTGAATCAGCTCCTGCCAAAGGGCTCATTAAATCCCCCTCCAGAGCCCCCATCCCAGGACTAAGTAAGTCATTTGCTGGTCTGGCTTGGATGAACCAAGGATCGCAGGAGGCTGCCTGTGTGCCTACCCGTCCCCCCGCCCGAGTCCCCTAGTGGGCGAACGCTGGGCCGGGCACGGTATCTCCCTGGCGAGCACAGCCTGAACCCAAGGCTGGTTTTGAGGTGGCAGTTAATTACTAGCCCGGAAAGCCGAAGCCCCGGAGCCGATGTCTGGGCTGACAGGGTTCCCTCCTCAGCCTCGGGGCAGTCAGACGATTCCTAACAACTTCTCCCAAGGAGGTAGATCCCTGTTTATCAACCAGCACACCCCGTCGGCCCTTTTCTTTGGTAAACACTCTTTAAACAAACAGCCCATCCGCCCTGTTATTGCCAAAGCTGCTCAGAGCTTTAATAAAAGCCCAGGGAAGATCAGAACCCGCGTCCAAGGCTGCTGCTTAATCCAATGAAGGCAATTTCCGAGGATAATTGCGAACATGTTTTAATGCATATGCATGAAAAAGGATTTTTTTTCTGAGAGACCAACTTTACATGCTTATGTAATTGATTGAGGCGCTGACCCGCTATTCAAAATGTTATTTGAGAACCATCACAATGCGTAAACTTGCAAATTGCCCAGCTTGTATCTGAATTAATACCTCATTCATCATCATTATGGGTTGATAAGTTAATTTAACCATTTCATTCTGCCTTAATGAGCTATAGTTAAATTAATGCCACATAATATATGAAAGTAACATTTAAATAGAAGCACTGGGCTGAGACAAGCCGAGGCTGCTGCTATTTGGGCTGAAATAAGGTGACATAAATCTTTTCTTCATTACAGGACCCAGTCTGCTCTACCAGCAGTTATGAAGTATTTATTCATTCACTTTCTTTTGCGAAGTTGCTTTGCCAAATAGCATAGGTAAATTATGTGAGCTTGTAAATAATGCCTGAGGATGTATTTATTAAAATAAGATTGGGGTGGAGGTGGGAGAATCTATAAAAAGCATTTTCACAGCATGCTTTCCCATCGCTCCAGGAAAACCAAGACCCCCACTGCCAGCCCTCCCCAACTTGGCTGGGAATACCACAGGGTCTGGAGGTCACTGGTTTTACTCCAAAGTGCCTGCTCTGAGTTCAAACCTCAGAAACACCAGCCTGCCCCTTTTCTCGTTTGCAGACTGGACTATCCTCCCAACCCACCCCCGCCACCACCCCTCCTCCCCTGGGTTTCCGTCACAGGCAGAGACACCTTGATTCTGGTTTTCCTAAGTCAGGGATGATGAGCTTAGTTGTGGATACTTTGCAAATTGGTGTAAAGGAAGCTGGAAGAGAGGGTGACCCTTCCCACCTCAGAAGTGGTTCAGGAAGCTTCCATGAGATTCTTTGGACCCAGACCTTAGGTCAGAGAAGCTGAGGTGAGAGTGGCTCCAAAGAAAGAGAAGGGATCAGGCCAAAAGGTCACTGAAGAAAGGGGAGGTGCCCCCAGGAGCCATAACCCCCTACATTTCTCCCTCTCTACTCCCAAGCCAGTCTTTTATTGGGATAAGTTATTTAAACTCAAGGGGAGTCTCTCCATCTGAGAGGGGGTGAGACAGGGCAGGCTTCGTGGGTGGGGATCTTTGTAGTCACACAGGGTGATGGGCTTAAAAGCCACCCCCCAGCTTGATTTGATGTTCTGTTGTTGCCCTCTTGAAATTCCTAATAACTTTTGAACAAGGGGCCCACATGTTCATTTTGCACTGGGACCAAAAATTGTGCAGCCAGTCCTAGGTGGAAAAAGAGGAAAGGAAAAGAGACTGACTTCTCATGACCACTGCAGGGCTCTATGTCCCCTTCTTTGGTTCCTTATGAGAGGAAACTCAGAATGCTACTTGAAAGTAGATCCCCACTTCTGATCAAATCATGGCTCATAACATTAACAGACAAATTATAGCGTGAGCCCTACGCTGCTCTCCAGGGTCTCCAGGTGTAGGCCTTTGATGACTGGGGTTTGGGAGAGCTGCCAATAAAGGTTCAGCCTAAAACCAAAATGCACTCCAGCTTCTGACCTGATCGGCCTAGGAAAAACGCTCAGGGCCTTGGCAAAGGAAAAGGTCACTTTCCTTCCTCAGAAAGCCCAGGAAAGGGACTCAAGTTTTAGCGGGAGGGAGAGTTATAAGTCTTCCTTTAGCGGATTCAGGATGGGTAGGATTGAAAGGACACCTTTCCTGGAATCCATAGCAGACTGAAGAATTTTGAGTTTGGAGCTGTGTGTAAGTAAGTAGATTTTTACAAAGGTAAATTTCTTTGCTTGTTCTTTTTGCACCTAAAAATCCAGGACACCGGAGCATTATGGGAAGAAAAAGAAATACAATTTATGGAAGAGAAGTAACAAGAGGAAAACCCTTACCATATATTTAGTCTTCATAACTTATTTAATTGCAGAGGGTAGCGATTGTTTCATCAAATGTTTCATATTTCTGAGTTTGGAGGGCGGGGATGCCAGGGTAAGCTTCCTCCGAGCGACTAAGGAGCAGCAACAAGCTCTGGAATTTCCTCTCGGGGTGGTCCGTTCCACCTTAAATAACTTGGGCTTTTTGGTCCCAAACGCGCCCTGTAGTTCAGGTTTTTTTGTCCTCCCTGCAGCAGCTGTCACCCTGCATTACTCGCAGTCAGCTAAATGAAACATTATTCTAAACATATGCATCGTAATCAGTTCGGTCACACTTACAAGAACACGCGTTAATAAGGCAATCAATCACCCTGGAACAAGCAAGTTGTTCTGTAACAGCTCATAAACAGTGTGTAATGAAGAATTGGAGGTTACCGTGACATGCGTTGATCAGATAATCAATGTCAAAGATGCGATGAATGTCAGTAAATGTAGTTTTCATGTCGTTTCTATAAAATCTTCAATTTACAACAAGCAGTTCAATTACCCAGAAAATACAGTCAATTAAATAGGGGTGATTGGACAGTAGGGGGGTGGATCATCGATCTTTGCATTTCTATCTCGCTAGTGGACATTTAATTTGGTTTTTCCATTAGCGACGAAATAAAGAAAATATAAAATATATTAAACAACCTACAGATTTATTTTCTTGTCAAAAACAATTCGGGCTTGATGACAGACAGTCTTCTGCATTTTATGATGAATTATTTTTTCATTCTTTGCACACTCGAGACAAAAAAAATGCTGTTATTTTGGACAGGGTTTTTTGGCCACTGTCTTTTTCCGTTTGCTGGCCCATCTATCTCAATGCTTTTGTTTTTAAGGGTTACAACCCCCGAGTTAGCAAAGAGCACCGAAAACCAGGGTGATACATCACCAGTCCAAATGTGCTGCTATAATCGTATTTCTTTAATGGGGGAGTTCAAGAAAAGAGAGAAGGGGAAAGAGAGAAAAGAATTTATCGAGGGGGAGGGAACCCTTGGGATTACTTCAGTATATATTTAACCAACCTGCAATTAAAGACGGTATCAGCTTGTATCATTTAGAGCTAATGCAATAATAATGGTAAATTACAGGCCAAAATGGCTTGTGATCGCAGCCTCTGTATTCCCAGTAGTGTCCTCATCGTTGTAATTAATGCCAGGGTGAGCAGTTGGAAAAAGAAAATTTCGAGGAAGGGACATCTTGGTTTTTAAATCGAATAGACTGCTTTGCACACACCATTGACTCTTGCATTTTGCCATCGAAATATCGATTTTAAGACAGATCTGTAAATACACGAAGAGGTGGACTGAACTCGGGAAAGAAGATAGGATTGGGAAAGAAAAACAGGGCTGAAGTACCAAAGCAAAAGAAAGAAGGAAGAGGGGAAATCATATTTTTAAATATCCAGTTGCTTGAAATACTCATAGCCAATTTGGTAAAATGTTCACAGCATCCTTTATCCTCAGCAAACAGAAACACTACTTAAGTTTGAAGAATGTGCTGTACACCCCTAAAAGAGACCAAAGGAGATGGAACTAGTAAGGGAGGGCTGAGCTTGAAGAGGGCTGAGCTCCTATTAAGAGTGAACTTTTTCCTTGAATTAAATATTAATATTTACTTCATAAGTGGGAGAATAAAAGTGGGCAAGTTAATTAGATAGAGGAATTAATTTTGTTTACCTTTGTAGTACTGCAAACATAAACAGCTCCTAACCCTGTGTACACACTCCCTATATATATGACGGCACGTCCTCTACCATGTGTATCGACACACACACTACTCCTAAACACTCTTATCTGTTTAGCCAGCCAATTAACGTTAAACCAATGTTTGGAAGAGTGCATGTCTCCTATAAACATGAGTAATGTATTTGCCATAAAAATAATGATTAGAATGAATTAATCCATCTGATATGTGTATTATATGGATTTAAACATGTTGTTTTAAGAGATTCTCATAACCCTGGATGCCACAGTTAAAAACGAACACTAGCACAAACCATTTTGCAATCTCTTAAACAAATAAAACTGCCTTGATTTAAATAACATTTATTTTACATGACCAAACACAATAAATAACGTAATATACAAGGCTTTATAATTATTGCACATTTGTAAAATATCTTACAGTGAGTTCATACATCCAGCAATATTTAAAGCACGAAGACTTTATTTACAATTTTATTTCAATATAATAACCAGATCCAATGGACCCAACAAATGATGAATTTATGTTAATTTTACCAACCAGCGTTCTCATCAATCATATATATTTTTTGGGGGAAATGTAAACATTACTGCCTAAAGTACCTTATATACATCTGTTAGCTGATCATAACAAAGGACTTTAACAATCTAAATAGGTAAAGCTGATAAAGGGTACCATATTTTGGTTTATTTTATTTAGCCTTAAATTATATATTAATATTTTTAAAAATGTAAACTCAGTGAATAAGAGCTGGTATAATCAATATTTTACATAAGTAGTCTCATGTTTTTAAAAACAAAAACAAAAACTTAAGTTTTAGATCATTGCTATTTCATTGGAAAGTTCTCTAATATTTTATGGTAATATTTTAATAGACCCCAGGAATTTCGAAATACTGTTTCCCCTTTATGTATTTTCCATTTGATGGAAATAATTTCTCCTGGAAAACTAATTCTTTCAAAAGTTTACTGAAAGCCTATATTTAGGAAATGATATTTTAAAATCCAGTGTCTTTAAAATAACAATATGATGGCAGGACACAAATCTGAAATAAACCACAGAAAATAGTGCCAATGTGTATGTATACATGAATATGTGTGTATCTCTTACATATGTATTTAAGAGCACGGATATATATATGCATATACATACATATACATATATATACACATACACAAACACATGTAGGTAGCCTACCTACATTTTAATACACGTACACACACATACCCACTTCGCTGGGTCTAAACATGCACTAGCAAGTTATTTTAGGGCTTCAACTCTTCAGAAAATCTCATTATGTGAGGAGCCAAGTGGCTCTGCGGGGAGCATTATGGAAATATCTGGGCTTGATTTAATGAGGCTGTTCACACTGGTGGAATATCAACTTAACAGAGAAAAGTCTACCCAGGGCGTCCAAGTTACCAAAATGAAAATCGGCAATTGAGATGATAAGAACGTGGCTTTCTTCTGCGAAATCACTTCAGGTAACAGAGATAACATTAAATAACATACATTCTATGCACCAAGAACAATGTTTTATGTACCGAGTCTCTTATCCGTCTCTCCTAATGACTTCCCTTAGCGGGTTGTTAGTACTTGACAGCAGGTCTCCGTGCGGGGAACTTTTCTCCAATTCCACATTCAAAGGAGGTCCATCAGAGAGCATGATTGGCAATTTTCGTCATAATCTGCACATTATTAGCATCAAACTTGACGTGGCAGTTAACACTAGTGGGTTTTGATGTACCTTTCTTCAAGTTCAAGGAAACCCCTCCAGTAGCCGGGTTGGCAGAGCGGGTCTCAGCAACCCAGCGGTGGCTTTGCAGAGGCGAAGGCGCAATAGACATGCGTGAGAAATATGCCAAGAACCATTTCACCCGAGGAAAAGGAAAGCGAGGAGAGAAGGGGACGAGGGACATAGAGAGTTCTAACTTAGAAAAGTGTCTAAGGAAATGCTTTAGGATAATATTAATATATCTAGAGATTCAAGTATTTCCCAGATCGAGTGGAACCCGGTAGTTGGAAAACTGAGCTGAAAACGCCTCTCCAAATACTACAGCGATCTATCAGTCTTACCCCTACCCCAACTCCCTTCCTTTCCCTTCCCTGGCCGTGGCAACCTCTTTTGCCATCACTTTTTGCATAAAATATGCAAGATGCTTCCATTCCATCAGCACTGAAACCAAAGACCAAAAGAGAGAAAGGTGTTGGACCGAAAAGGAGGCGGCGCAACGGCCACCCCTTCCAGCACCTCGGCTTTGTCCTTCCCGGGGAAGGCGGCCACATCCCTACCCGCCTTGCTCCTGAACGTAGTAAACAATCTCACAAACAACCACCGCTGCCCACGCTCTCCATCCGTCCTCCCGGCCTTATCAGACCTCCGTTCTCCCGCACTCTTCGGGCAGGGTCCCTAATAAGCTCAGGCTGAAAGAACGTTTGCCACCTCCCCCACCCTCGTTGAAAGAAAAGGAAGAAAAACAGCAGCAGCGAGAAACCTCCGGGGCGACTCCTCCCCCGCCCCCAAGCACCAGCGCACAGCATCCCCCTCTGTCTTTGTTGTGGTTCTCCGTTGCTTCGGGCCACGCCGTTCAGCCAAGCAACCCGGACCTGAGAGTGCACAGCCAGGACTAGCTTAGGGGGCGAGGGGTTGGTCTTTGGGAAACCAAGCGCTCAGGACAGAGGTGGAAAGTGGGTCCCGGGAGCCAGAAAAGAGAGAGAAGGGCAGACGGCTGGGTGGCAAATACAAAAATAGAAATAATTTAGGGGGATGCCCGCCAGGCTTTTGCGCCTGCTCCTTCTCCCCCAATTCGGAGCAGGTTCCCTTCGGCCTCCCGCGCCCCGGGGCGCCCCCTGGCGGCAGCGGCAGCAGCGGGCAACGCGCGGAGGGCTCAGGGGGCGCACAGGGGACTCCCGGGCACACTCAGAGAGGCGGGCGCGGCCCCCTGGCGGTGGCGACGTAGTTATCTGGTGAGCGGAGCCTCGTCCCTCTGGTCCGGCGGGCTCACGGCCGTCTTACTAAGCACCGCGGCCGAGTAGGGCAGGAAGCCGCTCTCGGAACGCGGCGCCGCCGCGCTGCAGCCGAAGTCCGAGCCTCCCCCGGCCCCGGCGCCCCCGCCGCCGCCGCCACCACCACCACCGCCGCCGCCACCGCCACCCCGGGAACCCAGGGCTGCGGCAGCTGCTGCCGCGGCTGCCGCCGCCGACTGACTGCTGTGGCAACTGAGGCACGAGCAGGGTGCAGAGCCGCCGCTGGGGGGCGCGCCGGCCGCCGCCGCCGAGGAGGCCGCAGCCGCTGCGGCTGCCGCGGCTGCCGCGGCAGAGGCCGCGCTGTTGAGCCCCGCGGCGGCCGCGGGAGCCTGGTAGAGACCAGGGTGGCGGAAGCTACACAGCAGCTCCGGCCGAGAGTAGGGGTGCGAGAGGGCGCGGAAGGTGTCCAGTGGCCGGATGGAAGTAGCGAAGGGCGACGAAGCCGCGGCCGCCGCGCCTGAGGCTGCAGCCGCGGCCGCCGCCGCCGTGACGCCCACGTGCGGGTAGTAGTGCAGCGGCACGTGCGAGTGGAAGGGGTAGGGCAGGCTTCCGGTGGCGGCCGCGTGCGTCATCATGTAGGTGTAGAAGCTGGGGTCGGCTGGGTGCGGCCAGGACATGGCCAGGCGCTGCCGCTTGTCCTTCATGCGCCGGTTCTGGAACCACACCTGCGGGGAGAGACGCGCCGCAGCCTGGGTTAGGGAGCGCCCCGTGTTCCCAGCTCCTGTCCCAGGACCTCTGCCCCTTCCGGACCTCTGAATGGCTTGGTCTACTTCTCTCCGACCAAGCCCAACCCCGAGTACCCTGTGGTCTCCCAGCTGGGAAAGTGTGGACGGCAGTGTGTGGACCGCCGTGGGCACACCGTCCTCAACGAAGAGGGTCCTCTCCCCCGCGTCCGGCTGCTGCTGCTCCTCAGGCTTTTATTCCCTTACTTCTTGCTGCACTTTTTTGTCCCAATCCAACCTTTCCTCTCCCTCCCGCCACCCACCAGTGCCGGTCTCGCTGAGCACCCGTCTCTCAATCCCAGGATTTGTACGGGGATTCTGGGCAGCCTTTGAAGAGAGGCTGCCGCTCAGCTTTTCTGAGAGGTCGCCGCGCGAAGTCTTGAGCCCTCCGAACTGCAAGGACCTGCCCCTAGGGGCACGGGTCCGATTTTGATATTGAAGGGATGATTTTGTTGGAATCGTTTGCCTTAAATGAGTGGGTAGAGCAATGTCTCCATAAACGGGGAAGGGGACGTTTCCACCCCTCCCAACACTATCTAATAAAGACATCATTCGTCACAACTCTAAATTAAAGAAAGCCCGATCAAACCAGAGGGAGACTTCCACACTCCTCCCCTACCCCGTGGAGATTTTTTCTTTTTTCTGCAGTGTCGAACGCTCCATGAAGGGCTCACCAAATCGCCTAACCTCCCGGCTATCTCTCCCAGACGTATAATAAAATTAATAACCTAAAGTTATATATAAATAAGGACAATTTCGTTGCATTTTTCCCCGCAGGAGGTTGCCCTTTTTTCGTTGCCCAAGAGGAAAATGTTCAGGAAACTACTGTCTCAAACCAATCGATTTTAAAGATACAGTATCCTTTTCTCCGTGTAACGATTTATGCGGAAAATAAATCTCCAAGCTCAAGAGCAAATGAAAAGTTTCACCTCTGGTTCCTGCTTGAGGAACAAAGACCAACTGGGCTTGCCGCCTAGGGGAAAGTGGGGCCGTGGGTATGGGCGAGGGGGCATCTGGCCAGGCGTTGGGCACAATGGAGCAGGGGCGAGTGCTTTCAGCATTGGAGTCACCATTCGGGGGCCTTCTTAGATCCGTCAGGCCGGACAACCGTTCGGATTCGGTGGCCGGGAAATAAATAAGCCAATTCCTTTGGTGACTACCCCCCGCGGATTTCCAGACCCTTAGCTAAATCTAGCCACCCAGAAAGGGGAAAGGGGAAAAAGAAACAATCAACCCAGATGCCCCCGGGGAGGCCAGAGCAGGCATGCACTGGAATTGATACCTTGATGGTGGTTTCGGGCAGGTTGAGTGCCGCGGCCAGCTCGCACCGGCGGGGCCGCGACACATAGTTCTCCCGGTAGAACTCCTTCTCCAGGCGCGCGATCTGCTCGCGGGTGAACGCCGTACGGTAGCGCCGCACTTGATCCGCGCCAGAGCCGGAGCCACCCAGCGCCGCGCTCCCGCCGCTGCCTCCGCTGCCTCCATGCAGGCTTCCGAGGCCTGAGCCCGACGCCGACGTCGTGGTGCCGGCAGCCGAGCCGCTCTCTGCGTACCCTGGCAAACAAACGACCAACAGCGCATGAGTGGCTGTAGGACCAACAGCCCGGCGCTGGCGCTGCGCGCGGATCGGGGAAGCCCCGTCAGGAAGGAGAGTCGCTGCCGGAATTGATGGGGTCTGTCATGCTTACAAATTGCTGCCGTTAATGGAATCAATAAAGTTTGGGGAGCCCTTCATAAGCAAATAATAGAAACGGAATTAGGAGATTTCTTTTTTAATAATTAGAAATTTTCAACCAAGGAGGAAAAGTGGCCGAGGGAAAATGCCTACCTCTGGGCGCAGTTTGGGAAGCTCTGGGTTTCCCATGGTCTGGAGACCGCAGGGCAGCTTTTTATACGGCCTCTAACCTTTATCTGAGTCTTCGGGGTTTCAAATATTTTAAGAGTTCCAACACAGCAGTAGCTCAAACCCAAGCCAATAGGGGGTGAAATATACTTTTCAACTCTTTCTCCCGCTGACCTAAACAGAGACGCCGGCGAGGCTTCCTCCGACTTACCCAGAAGAATGCCCCCTCCAGCCCTGAGGGCACAGGGGCAGGGGAGTTCAGAGTAGTTGCCCAGGGTACCTTTCCCAAAAGCAACTCGGCTGCTGACTAGGGGTCTACCGGCTCGCTCGGGCTCTTAGACACGAGCGCAGAAACATTTTCTCGGACTCAGGAGCGAGGGCGGGTGGGCCTGGTGTTCCAGGCTCCGCAGGCCTGAGCCTGGCGGGAAAGCTCAAGGAGCAGAACTGGAAGGCACGGTCCCAGACATGCGTCCCGCCCCCGCCCGTGCTAGCTCGGTGTAGCTTGCCTGTGGAGGGTCTGAGAGGGGAAAAGGCACCGGGAAAGGCTGGCGGGGGCCGCGGAGGAGCAAAGAGGATGGGACTGGAGAGCGCGGTGCGGCCGGCGCGGTTACCTTTGCCATTGTTTTCCTTAAGCTGAGCGGCGCCGAGGCCCCCGGGGGAGCGAAGCGCGGAGCAGCCCACCTCCACGTCGCTGCTCATGTCGGCCTCAGCGGCCGCCTCTGAATAATGGCCCGGCTTCTTGCGGCTCTCGGCGGCGGAGGAGATTTCGGAGGAGACGGTGCTTTCGCTGCCCGTGTGCTGCAGGTTGAACAAAGTGTCTATTTCGAATTTGCCCTTGGCGGGGAGTTCTCCCAGAGCGCTGTGCAGGGGGGCAGACGGCAGGCGCGGGCTTAGGCGAGCCGGGTGCTGCGAATTTTCCAGGGCCTCGAGCACAGCATTGCCAGCCGAGTTGGACAAATTGGAGAATCTCTTGCCCGCCGTAGGGCTGTGCAGCCCTCTCTCCATCAGAATCATCTCTTTTCTTATTCTTTCCATCATCTCAGCTTTCTTAAAAATGTCACAGTGGCCCTGCTGTCCCGTCCTAATGATAGGCTGCGCCTAGGGCTAATTCTCATTCAGCCCCAGCGAACGCCTCTAAATATTATTATCGCTTTCGGAGGGAGGCGGAAAAATTGTGGGATGCCAGAGCGAGGGAATGACTGGTCAAAATGACCCATACATCCTTCCGATCCCGAGATGTCATTCATCAAAAAGTAGCGCCCGCTCGTCATTAAGGTACGAATGACGCTGTTCGAATAATCATTTATTGTAACAGGTTTATAAGCAAATAAATACACCCTCCTGTCAGTGGGTAATGAAGGCAGCTTCAGAGCAGACAAATAGATCCAGGTAGGAGGCGAGAAGAGACAAGTGAGGAGGAAGGCTCCGGTCCTTTGCCCGCTCCGAGCCAGTTCTGCTCGCCCGGGGGTTTGGCCTCGGGGGTGAAATTGACAGTCTGATTAATAGAGCGCGCCGCGGCACATTTCCCCCTTCATTTAGGGGCATCATTACGCTCTCAGTTTGCTAGGTTGCCCCTTAGGTCCTAATCATGCAGCGCCTTCTTCATTTTTCCTTGGACACAGATACGTATTAAATAATAGATAATGGTTTGACTTTCCAGAGTAGGTCCTCGGGAAGGTTTGGTTTTTTTTTTTTTTTTTTTTTTTTTTTTTACCATTTACAAGCTGGGGGCATAAGTGGGGGGAGATAAGGGGGAGGATGCAGGAAGAGTTGCGTAAGGAGAAGACCTTGCGCCTCTCCTATCTGGATTACTTATCTTTCGGATTTCGGAACCAAATATGTATTTTATTTAACAAATAGGACGCCGGAGTTCTTTCCCTCCCTATTTCTTCACCTCAGCCTAAATGCTCTCCTCCCACCCCGGGAGAGAGAGAGAGCGGAAGAGAGGGAGAGAGGGAGAGAGGGAGAAAGGGAGAGGGAGACGGAGTGAGAGAAAGAGAGAGAGAGAGAGAGAGAGAAATAGAAATATCCTAGAGTTTTGAAAGCGCTTTCTTGCTACGTGGCCGCGGAGGTGCATTGGGCCCGCGCCTCCAAACGGAAATCATTAGGTCCTCTCTGATTTTCTAACACCGTCTGCAGAGTGAGATCTGAACTCGAAGTCCCCGGTTTTTTACTTTTATAATCCTGCTGATAGAAAGCCTTCTCGCCTACGCATTTTCCTGAGGGGAAACGAACTAGGCTGGACGATTTGATAGCAGAATTCGACAGCTAACTTTAAACACAGTGGAGATTTACAGCGCCATACGGGCGCTCCGAATCCACGCTCACGTTGCCAGATTTTCCCCTCCCTCCTCAAATAGAATTATTTGCGGCAAAGGCGCTGGATTTCGAGGTCAAAAGAGGAAAGAGGAGACAGCCTTCTTCCCCTACCTCCCCGCTGCCCTCCCTTCCCCTTTGCTTTTCTTCCTTCTCTCTTTCCTCCCCTCATCAACCCCAGCCCCTTACCTGCGGCCACAGGTATTCCCAGCGTTGGGTCCGGGCGCAGAGAGTCGCCGAACAGCCTTACAGCAGCTCTCTGCGGCCTGGGCTTGGAGGCTGAGCCTCTTGGCGACAACTTTGATAGTCATAATGACGCCGGTGGCAACCATTTTAACGAAGATCAATCTTCACTCCAGGCCGCTCCTCATCTCCCGCGGTTGCGCCCACCCTTCCCTGACCCTCCAAGCACTGTGCCCACCCGCCAACGGCCCAGCCGGAGAGAGATTCGCGGACACAGGCGGAGGCGAGGGAGGACGGGGATGGGACGCGGAGGTCCGCCCGTGAGCTTCTGAAGCGGCTGAGAGACCCTGACAATCTGGGCGCTGGGCGCGGGTCCTGCATCCCCACATTTAGCCTCAATCCGAACCCCAACCAGGGCCCCCTCTTCTTTCTGCCGACACACCCAGAACATTGGGGTGTGTTAGGGGGCAAGCTCGAGATCTATTCGCCTATAGCTCTTGGCGCTTTCCTTTTAACCTTAGACCCGTTGGGGGCGCATCAGGAATGTAAGGGGAAGCGAGGTGTGAAGTATATTTATATACATATATACACACATATAGTCAATGCCAAAAGTTTATCTTCTGTTCCCCTCGGCGCCAACTTATTTCAACAACGCGAGCTTTGCTTAGAAAATCAATTCCACATCTTTAAGGTAATAAACGGAAAGCTCGATAGGCAGGCGGTGCCTGGGGGAACGGGGAACCGGCGGGGAACGCAGAGTGGGCATCCAGCGCACCGGGACTGGGACTTGACCCAGCGTCCACCTCTGCCCCTGCCCCATTGGCCACCCAGCTCCGAGCTCCCTGAGTTCTCATTGCGCCGGCTTTGGGGCCATCAGCGCGGTGGGAGTCCAGCCCTGCCAACGCCCCCACCTGCTCCCTCCCTGCTCCGCAGCCCGGATGCCCAATTCTGCCATGCCTGGCAGTCGCTGCTCCTGTGACCCAGGAAGGGTCCCCCTACCCAGTCCTCGCTTGCTCCAGGGACTGAATGGGACACCTTGGTTCAGGCTCGGGTCGTGCTGGGGTGGTGGGGGTGGGAAGTGGTGCGAGACCCTGGCGGGAGTGTGGGTGAACCGAGGCACTGCTTGGGTGGAAATCCGTGGATGCCTTTATTGCTGTCGTTTGGCGCCCCCATCTGTTTTCCTCGCGGTTTCGGCTGCTGTGAGTTGGTTTTCAAGTCGGAGACGCAGTCACTGGGGACTAAGGTGAGGACTGACGACCCCTTCCTCTATCACTCAGCCCGAGGCTCTCCCACATCTTCCCTTCCTCTGGGACCCGACGCCTCTGGTCCCAAAGGCTGCGCCAAACCGGACCTCAGTCTGTCGAAAGGGAAAACACTATTTCTCAGCAGCACCTTCATTCATTAGTGGCTTTGAAAACTATTTTTGCACCTTTTAAATGACACTGATAGTGCATTTCTAGCACGTTTATTACAAAAAACATGTCAGAGACATGTCAGCGAAACTACTCACAGTAAAAGACACCTATAATGTTTCCACTAAACTGGGTGTAGCAGGCAATAATGTTTCATGAGGTACAGTGACCATTCCATTCCAATATTTAATGTCCCTTAATTTATTTAGAGATTCCACGCCCACTAGTAGTAATATTGGCTAACTTATACAAAACTCTTACTTTGCAATTCCAAGTGCTTTTTACATGTTATCTCAGCTAAGGTTCACAGTAACTCTGTGAGATTTAAACTATTATCCCTTTTCCAGAGATTATGAGCCAGAGGGGTTCAGGGACTTGTGATTTAAACTTATCTCCGATGATAAAGTCAAAAGTGTTGTTTAAAGCCTTGGGCAGCATTTTTTAGGTTAATTCTCTCATTTTGCATATGCCTTATGTAAATACAGGCCTACCTCAAAAACATTGAACCTATATAGAGGGTAGTAAGAAGAGTGCAGTTCTGTTGATTTGTGTGTGTATTTTGTTGTAGTTGTTGTTGGTGGTGGTTTTTGTTTGTTTTGTTTGTTTGTTTGTCTGTTTGTTTTTGAGACAGAGTCTCACACCGTTGCCCAGGCTGGAGTGCAATGGCAAGATCTCAGCTCACCGCAACCTCCGCCTCCCGGGTTCAAGCGATTTTCCTGCCTCAGCCTCCTGAGCAGCTGGGATTACAGGCATACGCCACCACGCCCGGCTAATTTTTGTAGTTTTAGTAGAGACAGGATTTCACCAAGTTGGCCGGGCTGGTCTCGAACTCCTACCTCAGGTGATCCGCCTGTCTCGACCTTCCAAAGTGCTGGGATTATAGGCGTGAGCCACTGCGCCCCTCCCTGTTGATGCTTTTTGATGAAATACCCAAACTTGCACGTCTCCCAGAATGTGAAGGCCAAGGCTGGGAACAGGCCTGTCAAATGTTCCGGGTGGTTTGATGCAGCCTCTGTGACCGTCAAGGCCTCTTACCCACTACCAAGGTACAGAACCCACTAGATAAAACAAGTCAAGAATCCAACCCAAGCCCGCATGCTTTGGCAGAAATTTTTAAGATGGGGTGGGGAGTACAGGAAGGACTTCCTTCGCATGGACTGAAAAGCCCTTTTTGTTCTAAAGGAGTAATGACTTTGAAGAGGCCTAATTTTTTGGTTAGGTTTCCAGACTAAATATTTGTTTCTTGAGCAGCAGCGGGTCCTCTGAGGTGAAGTGGTAAACACTTTTGGCCTATGACTGCAGGTAATAAAAATCTGTCCGGGCTGCCCGAGGGGAGGGGCGCCGGTAAAGCCGTAGCTGCAGCGAAGCCCCGCGTCTGCCGCTGCCGGAGCCTGGCTCTCCTCTTACGCGGGGGGCTGCGGGCAATTGGGGCCGACAACTTGCGGTCCCGCCTTGGGACGCATGCTTGCTCGAGAGCTGGGGCTGCAGGGTGCAGTGGGACAGTAGGACCGCGAAAGCCTGGGCTTCGAGCCTCGGGCTCCCTGTCTTCAGGCGAAGTGCGGTTTCCACGGGTGCAGGTTTCGCTGCATAAGGGAAGACTCAGATTTCGAGCCCTCGGCAGGCCAGCTTCTAGCTCTCTGTCCCTTCCGGGTCTCTCCGGTTGCTTCTGTCTTTCCTCCTCCCACTCCCGTCGCAATCCCGCGCCCCACGGAGGAAGGTCGTGGTGCGGGAGTTGGGGGATACTTTCTTCCTGGGCTCGGTCTACGCAGACCCATCGCCTGCCTCGAGTTCCTGTGCCCTCAGACGCCACGGGAAAACTTGCAGGGACATCTAGCGCCAGGCGTGGGGAACTGCGCGCCGCCGGGCCGGGAAGTGGAGCCGAACACTGCCCCTCCGCCTCCCTTTCGGCTCCCCCCTTCGTGCTTGGGCACTTTCCTCACCTTCATCCCTTTGCCCTGCCGGTAAGGACAATGTGGATTCCCCATAGAGACAATGGACTCTGCGGAATGGAGATAGGTAGGTAGACAGACATTTTCTTTTATCTCAAGCTACCGACAGAGTGAGAATTTACTGGACTTCCCAGTAGTTTTGCTAGGGAAGTGTATTCCAAGGACAACCCCTCACCTTGAAATGTCGGATAAAACTTCAGCAAATTAGGGTCCCAGCTTTTATTTTCCAAAAAAAGGCAACAAGTTACTCTGGGCCTCTGGCTCCTGCCCCACCCTCCTGCGTCCCTTTCACAGTGAGATTAGTGCTTCTCTTCAAAGGAAAGAATCCTCACTGTGTTTAATTTTTTCCAAGGCTGGAGAAGTTCTCTCCATCCCAAAGAAGGGCCCGCTGTCCTGCATGAGGCAAACCTGGTTCCACCAAATAATGTTTCTGATTTGGAGGGGGTTTGGAACTGTTGTTGCTGCAAACGATTTTCATTTGATAAAGCCTAATCGTGTTGTGAAACCCAAACGGAATATGTCTCAAAGGTAGAAAGTACTCAAATGTGGCTTCCACTGTCTAGCTGTTGCTAGGGTCCCCTTTTTTCACAATAGGTTTGGTTTGTTGTTGTTGTTGTTGTTGTTGTTTCTTTTGATATCTCCAGGCTGAGTAAAACTGGGTGTTGCCTGGAGAGGGAAAATTAGCTCCAAAGTTGGCAGAACACAGATTTGGTTAAGAACACTGTCCAGCCACTTCTGCTAGACTTAAGATTTTACTTTGGAATTAAGACTCTATTTCTACACCAAATATTTGGCTTCTTACAAGTTAATTAGGAGGGTGTCCTGCACTTCCTGATCTTGGCCATCAAGACAAGTGCTTTCAAAGGAGTCCCCAGGACCCCACTCTGATAGAATCCTGTGATCCTGGCCTTAATGGCCACTGATTATGTGGTTAATTGAGCTCATTGCTGTCTTGGCAAGCAGAGCAACTTCAATAAATCTAAATCACAGCCTGTATCTGCCCATTCCCCCAAACCAGGACAAGAGCAAAATTTGAAAGATCATCTACTAGGTTGAAAGGAGAGAATATGACTTCCAGAACAGCACTGATGCTTAAAAAGGATGCCTCTGGAAGAAAAGGAGGAAGAGGAGCAAGTGATGGGAGAATACAGTGGGACTTTGGGCACCATAGGGTCATCCTGAGTTTTTCACCAAAATCAGGAACAGCGGCAAAACTGGTTTCACTGAAGAAGACACACGTTTGGAGACATGTGTAGTCTCCAAGGATTCTCACTTAACAAAGCCTATTTCTGTTGTTAAAAACCCCTGCATAATGCACCCACACACAAACACAAGGCTTGGTCTGTGTTCCTGGCCACCTAAAGAAACTGATTCCCAGTAAGTTTAAACCTGAATGAAATGTTTCTGCAAATTCAGCCTCAAAATTCCTCCTCTACCTGGCATCCCTGGCTTGTAAACTATGTGTCTCATTAGTTCATAAACAAAGCAGCCCTGACTTTGCCTTGTACTCAACCACAGCCCTAGGAGCCAGTAGAATTTGTCCAGAGGTGCTGGGCTTTGGAGCCCAAGTGGACAAAGTCAGACCCCCTTTCCTCAGGGCAAAGCCCTCCCACAGGGCTGGGACCCCAAAGGCTATGCTGGAAGCAGGTTCAGCAGCAGGATATCAAGGGGCAAAGCTCCTAATTCAAAATCTTCCTGGCTTCTGAACAACCATTAGGATGGACAGAGAAAACTTTTGCCCTGCTCTGAGAGGGTCCCACAGGGCTTTTGGAAGCAGAGCCACCATTGAGAAATCCCTTTCAACCTGAGTAGTAATTCAGATTTTTCTCCCACTCCTGCACAACTTAATTTGCTGAATGGAAAATTCAGCCAGAAGTGATGGGCTGCTTGAAATCAACAAAACTTGACACATTCTTCCCATTTTCATTTTACTTTATTGTTAAACACATAATTGATCATTAAAATGTACTTATCAGTGAGAAAATGAAGCAGAAGCCCAAGGCACAAAACCACAGGGATATTTAATTTTAAGAGACTGAAAGTTTGTTGGTTCTACTTATATCTTAGAAATATTTCAACGAATTTGTTTTTTGGAGTCATAAAAAGTTAAAACTATCTTCATGTTTTCTCTGTCTGAGGAAGAAAAAATGAGACAAAGGGAAAATAAAAGCATTTCATGGTGGCCCATGGTTGGTGGTTTGGTACCAAAATTGTTTCATAAAGACCCAGCCAAACCCTCTTTAAAAGTTAGCAATCCTGTCGCCTCGCCACAGTTGGCCTTTTTAAAATGCTGGTTGAACTTTCATTGCTGACTTTTGCCTTCTTTTCCCAAATAGTGAAAAAAATTTTCTCATCAGCAAACTTCTATTCCCTATGATTTCCTGTAAATTCAGGCCCCTCCCATCTCAAATTTGATCATGAACATGTCTAGAACTTCAAAACGATGAAACGAATTCTCTTGCTTTTCCTTTCCAACACCCCTCTCATAACTTTCCCCTTTATTTGAGCCTTTTATGGTTACTGCGTTTTGCATGTCAACACTCCTAACACCAGCAGCCTACCCTGAAATGCCAGGCCAGGCCAAGGAGGGCCTTCCTGGCTCTCTTCCTCATCTTACTCAGGGCATCTTTGGTCGGGGAACAGTGGTGCTGGGTGACAAGCTTTCACCAATCACAGGCTTAGGGGAGTGATTTTCTTGGAGATGGGCTGGCTTGGGGAGTGCATGCCACAGAACCAAATGGGCTCTGAAGGATCCCATATCCACCCCCAGAACCCTGGGCTCATTGGATCTAATATTGTTCCTAAGGCAGAGCCCCAAAGTCACAGCAGGACTCTCATTGGTGCCCCATTAGTTGCTGAGATTGAGGGATGGTGGGCTGGAGCTCTGAGGCTGAGGAGCAACAGAAAGGGATGATGAGGGACAGGGCTGTAATCCCTAACACCCTGGCAGCTTGGTTCCAGAGCTGGACCTAGCCCCACCAGCACTGCCCTGAGCCCACCTAACCCCTTGAAGTCAGACCGTTTCTCTGGGCTGCTCCTATCACAAAATCCGAATTTGCTTGGAACAAGCGCCCTCTTAATTTGCCCCTCTCAGTTCTCTGCAGTTGACAGCTTGGAAAAGGAAGCGAAACAAAGGTCCCTGGGAAAGTGAAGTTTTCAATTAATTTGGTGTGAGAAACGGGCGGGAGTGGGTGGTGACTGCAAAATGCGAGGCCGGTCGGCTGCTGGAGAGACACAGAAGTTTCACGGTGGGAGGCTGAGTGGCTTTCTCCCCCGGCGCCGTTCTCAGGGTCTTTCTGCGGGTCGAAGAAGGACCCGCGGGAGCTGAGAGGCCCAGGTCGGAAGCACTCCCGGCTGGCCCAAGAGTAGAGGCGAAGAGCGTTGAGTAGGCATCCATGGACTTTTCTTTCTGGGACAGATTGTCAGGCTCACTGCGCCGATGCCTGTCTTTCATCTGTTTAAGTCTCTGCCGCCAGCCCCAAGGGCGCTTCATGGGCATTTTCCGAACGGACAGCGTGTGTGTATAGGAAGGGTCTGCTCCAATGCCTCTTACCTGTGTGAAATGCCTTTGCCGGGTACCAGTGCACAAGGTAGGGCAAATTAGCTCACTCGGATTTGGGGTCTAGAAGTCGACTAACTGAGGGATTCAGCAACAGGATAAAAAAATGGGCCTGTTTTCACATCATTCTGATCATCTCTGTCCTTCGTCTTCATTTTGCTGTGCAACTCGGGGAGCCGAGGAGAGGTGGCAAAAACAGCGGTTGCCGAGACAAGGCGCAGGCCTTGGCGCCCGCCTCAGTCGCAGACAGGGCCTGGGATGGGCCGTCGCGCAATCAACTCGTGGGGGTGGCTGCAGCGCGTACGCCTGGGTCGGGGGGGAGGGCGGGAATGGGAGGTGGACCCTGCAAGGGGCAGGAGAGGGGTGGGGGCCGGAGTGGGTGGGTCCAGCCAGGCCTGGGCCGGGAGCCAGGCTCCCCCGCGTTCCTACCCCCACGTGGCCGCGCGCAGCCAATGGCACGCCCCCGGCGGGGGCCCTCGGGGCGGGAGGCGGCCCCCCGACCGGCCCAGGCCCCCTCCCAACCTGAACTTCGTTTTTATAAACGTCCCGCGATGAGCTAACCTGTTGGAGGGCAGGCGGGCCGGAGGCGGGAGGCTCACAGAGGGAGAGAGGGCTAGAGGAAGAGGGCGGGAGCGAGCGAACCAGAGAGAAAGGAGAGGAGGGAGGAGGCGCGCCGCGCCATGGTGTCCTGCGCGGGGCCAGGGCCAGGGCCGGGGCCGGGCCAGGCCGGGCCATGAGCCGCGCCGGGAGCTGGGACATGGACGGGCTGCGGGCAGACGGCGGGGGCGCCGGTGGCGCCCCGGCCTCTTCCTCCTCCTCATCGGTGGCGGCGGCGGCGGCGTCAGGCCAGTGCCGCGGCTTTCTCTCCGCGCCTGTGTTCGCCGGGACGCATTCGGGGCGGGCGGCGGCGGCGGCAGCGGCGGCTGCGGCGGCGGCGGCGGCAGCCTCCGGCTTTGCGTACCCCGGGACCTCTGAGCGCACGGGCTCTTCCTCGTCGTCGTCCTCTTCTGCCGTTGTAGCGGCGCGCCCGGAGGCTCCCCCAGCCAAAGAGTGCCCAGCACCCACGCCTGCAGCGGCCGCTGCAGCGCCCCCGAGCGCTCCAGCGCTGGGCTACGGCTACCACTTCGGCAACGGCTACTACAGCTGCCGTATGTCGCACGGCGTGGGCTTACAGCAGAATGCGCTCAAGTCATCGCCGCACGCCTCGCTGGGAGGCTTTCCCGTGGAGAAGTACATGGACGTGTCAGGCCTGGCGAGCAGCAGCGTACCGGCCAACGAGGTGCCAGCGCGAGCCAAGGAGGTATCCTTCTACCAGGGCTATACGAGCCCTTACCAGCACGTGCCCGGCTATATCGACATGGTGTCCACTTTCGGCTCCGGGGAGCCTCGGCACGAGGCCTACATCTCCATGGAGGGGTACCAGTCCTGGACGCTGGCTAACGGGTGGAACAGCCAGGTGTACTGCACCAAGGACCAGCCACAGGGGTCCCACTTTTGGAAATCTTCCTTTCCAGGTAGGGGCGATGGAGAAAAGGGACCGACACGAGGGAGGGGGAGAGAGAAGGAGAAAAGAAAGGACTAAGAGTATGCGCCCCTACTTGGGAGTGGGAGTTGTGCCTGTGCTCCACACGTGACCAGGGTTAACCCAGTGGAAATTTGTCCAGTTCGTGTGAAATCTGTAAATTCCTCCTCTGATTTCAACTGCCTCCGTCACTGCCCTTTCTTTCCTGTGTGCAGCGCAGACACGTTTTTCTCCTAAAGTTGAGAGTCTCTGCGTGCCCTTTCCTTGGGCCTCTCCCTTTTCTCCTAAAGAGAACTTTTTCCTAAGAAACCTGACAGAGTTGGGTCCCCCCATTTTCAAAGACATCACTGCCCCAAGATGACTACTAAAGCTTGTTAGATCAAGCTCACGAACTCCTAACATAGGAACGCGGGAAATCAAAATTTGAGCAAAAGACCTGAGTTGGTATGTGTCTATGTATGTAAGTTTGTTTTTATACAACCGACATTTGCAGAAACTGTCCTCATGAACGTGCCCAATAACCACACCATAAAATTGCAAGCTTGTTAAGATGCCGGTTTGAGAAACTATGATAATCAATCAAATTAACCATTGTTGTTAAGTGCAAATAATCCTTCTTTAATAACAGGTAAGTGTTATGTCTATGTACATAATAAAGACCAAACAGCATGGCATTTTTTAAAAATTTCCTGCACCCCTGCAAACGCACACACACACACACACACACACACACACACAATCCTCAGCTAGGTGCTCCGAATATCCCAGCCTAATTTTTCTTGTGCTTTTGTTTGTATCAGGGGATGTGGCTCTAAATCAGCCGGACATGTGCGTCTACCGAAGAGGGAGGAAGAAGAGAGTGCCTTACACCAAACTGCAGCTTAAAGAACTGGAGAACGAGTATGCCATTAACAAATTCATTAACAAGGACAAGCGGCGGCGTATCTCGGCTGCTACGAACCTATCTGAGAGACAAGTGACCATTTGGTTTCAGAACCGAAGAGTGAAGGACAAGAAAATTGTCTCCAAGCTCAAAGATACTGTCTCCTGATGTGGTCCAGGTTGGCCACAGACAGCTTAGAAGCCATTCGGTTGTCTCCAAAAGGCCTTTGGAAAGACTTGAATATGTATTTAATTCCCCCCACCCCCTGCCAATGGTGGCAAATTTTGTGAATTGTTTTTCTCTCTTCCCCTTATCTGGCTCTAAAACCTTCTGCTGCCCAACCTGACTTTGTAGTTCTGATTTTTACTTGTTTATTATTGGTTTTGTTCTTGCCTAGGGTTTTTAAAATATCTGTTTTTAATGTTTTGTTTCTCCCTCCAGGCCAGTATAAAGGGACTTGAAGTATTTTTTAATAATCCGCCCCCCAATGAACTTCAGAAGTGCCATTCTGATTTAAGGGTTTTTTTAAAAAATTACTTTATTTGTTCATTCCCAGCACTGATTATCTTCATAATCCATTAGGACAGAATGGTTTTCAGTCGTTCATATCCTGTAATTAGGTAATTGAATCATTAGCTCTCAGCAGTTGCCCTGAGGCAAGTGGAAAGGCAGGCAGTGCTCTGGGGTCACCGAGAAAGTCTAAAAACAGGAGGCTGAAGGTACTGTGATGGCTTTAAAAATGGCCACCTTATTAAATAGGGATTGTATCAATATTGAAATGAAGACAATCTTTCCAACTTTGGGTGTTTCACTTGCTGTTTTAATTGTTTGTTTTTAACACTTTGTAGGTTTGTGTTTTCATAATCTTTAATTTGAAACTCATGTGTCCTCATGGATCGTGGATGCCTTCATTTCTTGAGCTCTCAATGCAGACATTTAAATGGCTGCAATCAGTAGAGTGACCCGCGGATGGCATAAATGCACCTCCTTTTCTTGGCCTTGGATCTATGGGTCTGGGATTGTGGTCATCTCCTCAATCCTCAAAAAGAGGCTGAATCAATGTGGCCGTGGGTGGGAACTTACATACAGAACCCAATGAAGAACTTGACTGTCTAAACAAGGGGGCCTCGCATGGAGCTGTAAAGCATCTAACAAATATGAAAAATGTGAAGTTCCAAGGTCCAAGAAGAAAAATAATGATGTTTCTGAAAGTGATGATAAATAATTACTTTTAAAGTGCTGCATATTTATACAATTGAGAGATTATTTTTGTAAATGCAATGTCTGTGAGCTGGGATACATGGGCAGTGCTTCAGACATTTAAAAATCACTTTTTACTCCTAGGGAGATGCCAATAAACAGAACTCTTTTGTTTCTTCTGAGTCCTTATACATTTGTTTTATTTTTTCAAGTTTGTGTTTCTTCTTGAAACGATTCTTATTTATTACAAAATCTTGGTATCTTGAACACAATTATGTTCTCTATAGATGAAGGAAACTCAACACTAATTCTGGTTTCTGGAACCTTCATGCTCTCCACTTTTGCCCCCCTCCCTCCCTTTTGCCCATGACTTTAACATAAGTAGTGATGTTTTAAAATGAGGATATCATTTACAGTGTTTAAAATGATATTTTATACCAGGCCAGCTCAAAAGACAATAAAATTTTACTTTTCTTTCACTATTGTCAATTTATTTATATAGTTCTATTTATTTTTTAATCCATATGTATTTGTATGCCTGTGCATAGAAAAACTTACTCACTTGAAAATTTTCAACCTGGAAAGACCATTATAAACATCTGGACTAGGAAGGTCTTGAAATTAGAAAGACATACCCATATTTGGCAATCGAAAAAGAAACATTTCAAGCTTATCCCATATCGCCTTCTCCGGGCAGTCTGCACAGAGCAGTTGACAACTGAAAACATAAAACCTAAACTTTCAGACGCAATTTTTAGGCACTAGAATTTTCTGTTTGAGGCCTTTTTGCCACTCAGGGAAATGGCCGATGAGGAACTGGATGACTCCTCATGGTTAGCTCCCCACACAATCAACTCAGTGGTTGCTAAAGTTTTAGTGTGTAAGTTAGTTACATAGTGATATTTAAAACCTCACTTAGTGTGAAAACTCTCCTGGTGGGAGGGCTCCCTCATGACTTTGAGAGAGAAAACGCAGAGACCTAAGACTTGGAGCTACTTTCGTTTTCCCTGTCCCAGCTTGATTTCTTTCATATCTTACTGGCGACCGTGGACAGCTAACTTCGATTTTGAGGGGGAGGGACAGAGACAGAGAAACAGAGAGAGATATGATCGCGATTCAATCTTTGCAGAAGAAATAACCCGTGCACAAGGGGCCACACCATCCCCCACCTTACACTTCGGGAAGGGTCGTTACCGTTTTTGTGGTTTTTCTCAAAAGATGTGTTTTCATCAGAAACGGGCACATTTTTCCTTTCTCCTAATCGCCAACTTCCCCTCCATTTTTTGTGAGTCCCACACTCCGGAGCTTCACTCCATTTCCCCTGTCTATTTCTCGGGTTTCCCATCGTGGGTAGGGGAGATTGCCTCGAGGCTTTCCTTTCATCTCTAGTTTGCATGTCACTTCCCCCCCTCCCCCCGCCTTGGAGAAATGGTAGGTTTGCTGAAGATTAAAACTGTGCTCAAACGCTCTCTGGAGGAATTTGGATTGAGGGCTAAATCAATAACAGAAGAAGGCTTTGTTATTCATATGCATTCCCTTTATATTCCAAATTGCAGAGGGAGGAGAGGAACTGGTAAGTGGCCCAGGCACTGGGAGGGAGGCCCTCGGGGAACCCGGAAGGCTAAGGGGGCTTGGAGAGAGGCCTTTCCTTCGGTTGGAGACAGGCGGCAGGAGAGCTCCTCAGAAACCCGGCAGGTTTTTAGCGCCGCGGGTGGGGGAACGAGGTCCCCGTGTCGCGTGATTCAAGAGGCGAAGGAAGCATTGGAGCCGGGACTCACGGTCAGACAAAGGGGCGACTGCAGTGCTTCCCCGCCTCTGGCAGCCCCCTGGGTCCCTCTGGCTCCGCTGTCAGGGGCGGCCTTGCCGCCAAGATCTCCGGCTTTCGGAGGCGCTAGGCTGCGTCTGAAAGCGGGCTGGCGACCCCAGGGAGGCCGCACCGCCCTTCACTGTTGATCTTGACCGTGCGGCTGCGCCCCGATAGGCATGGAGCGCGCTCGCCATCTCCTGGGCATTGGGCGGCATTGGCAGAGCTCTCTATTCGCTCCTCAGCCAAATCCTGTTCCATTCTCTTAATCACCAGCCAAGCCACTCTCCCGCCACTACTTTCCACCCCGATCCTCCCTCGATCAGGTTCCCCAGCTCGCATAAGACTTTGCCTGCCAGACCTCGAAAGTCATAAACCCGGGGGATGAAGTGGGAAGACTGTCCAAGGAGCAATGGAGGGAACCTAGTTGTTCTTGTTTTTCCTGTTTTTCACTGAGTTCTTTTATGCCTTTAGTCCTGAGGCGCAAACAGCTGTTGTAGGGCTGCCTAAAGGTCCGAAAGAGACACCCCTCGGCTTGGAAATAACGAGGAATCGTCGTGCACTGAAACGTGAGGAGAGACTGCAGGGACCCCTGGAGCTGGAGCTTTCGGGAGTAACGAAGCTGCAGCTCCTCGAAAATAGGATGGGTTCCCCAAAATAAGAGCTCTTAGGGATCTGAGGCTTGTATTCCCTTGAGTATCTAGGAACTGGGATTGCAGTTTGTGCTTGCCCCCACCTCCCAAGAGAGGACGAGAGCGAGTGAGTCTCTATGCCTGGGCTCCTAAGGAAACTCTCTGGCAGAGCCAGAGGAGCCCCAGACATCCCCACCCCCCCGTCCTCACTCCCTCTCTCCCCCCCACCAGAGCAGGAGGAAGAGGCCGATTGCGTTCCCCAGAGCCACCCAATTGGTCGCCATAACTCACACAATAAAGTGGCAGCGCGGCGGTCAGTCTTGCCCTCCGGCGGCGCCTGTGTGGTCTCAGTGCAGGAGCCCGCGATCTAACCAATTCCAGCTTGGCTCGGAGACCGAGGGTCCTGCTGCAGGCTGAGACTGGCGCCGGTCACCGGGTCTCCCAGGGTCTTGGGATCAGAGGCAGGAGGGGAGGACCCCTAGTCCTCTGGCCGGACTAGGCAAGAGGGCCAGCGACGGGGTCTGAGCACACCGCTCCCGGCTAAGAACTGCTGCCTTTCCCACTTCCCTGTTTGTCAGACCCGTGAACTCCCTATCCCCGGCACCCCTGGGGGCGCTGAGGCAAGGAACTCTGCTAGCCAGCTGCCTCCGAACGCCCGCTGTTCCCCGGCCAGGTGGTTCTGGCTCTTCTGCCTTTCCACACCCAGTCGGGGGAGTTCGTCCTGCTTTGCCCTCCACTTGGTGGATGGGGACACCTCGGAGTTCTGGTTTGCAGTGTGTAGTCCTGGAGAGGACTCCTGAAGATAAAAGGAATGTAGCCTTTGGCCACGATTGGTGGATCGAGCTGATGGGTTCCCTGGCGGACATTCTCCATGGACCTGTATGGCAATTTCCCTATGATCAGAGTTCTTAGCCATGGGGACACAAACCAGAAATAGTGTGGCCTCCTTCCTGGATCCCAAAATTGGGTAGTTTGTGATGCCCTTTTTGTGTCTGCGGCCTGGGACTGAGGGCTCAAGTAGCGAATGGGTCTTTGCTGCCAGATCCTCAGGCAGAGGTCTCTGGAGAAACCCTCTCTGTGGGAGTGATTGGGGTAAAAGTGACATTGCTCAGGCCAAGGGACAGAGCTCCTGGTGCCGCCGGACCGCGCCCTCTCCGGATAAGTCGAGAGGCGCCGGTTAATGGAAAATGCCTCCGCTGCAACTTAAAGCCGGTAGAAGCAAGCCGGGCCCAGAAAGCCTGCGGAAAACGAATCGCAAAGCCAATCACGACCAAGAAGAGTCCCAGGGGACACTTGGGCAGAGTCACCCTCTTGCCCGATGTCCCCAGCTGCTGAAGCCGGGCCTGGAAACCCGCAGACAGTTAGTCTTCGCTCAACCTGATTTGGCTCTGCTGGCAGCCTCGTCCTTCGCCATCGAACATTGCGGGTGTTATCATAATACTCTGAAGGGGGGGAAAACGGGTCGGGGGGATGTAGGCGGTGCTGAAATGACCGGCTTTGAAGAACCTGCAGGCAAAGTTTCGTCCAATCGTCTGAGCCTGTCCTCTTATTCCCGGTTGTAACTAAATACTGTTGCGAGCGCAGCCGAAGCCCTTTGTTGGAGATGTGTGAGCGCAGTCTCTACAGAGCGGGCTATGTGGGCTCGCTTCTGAATCTGCAGTCGCCAGACTCTTTCTACTTCTCCAACCTGAGGCCGAATGGCGGCCAGTTGGCCGCGCTTCCCCCTATCTCCTACCCGCGCGGCGCGCTGCCCTGGGCCGCCACGCCCGCCTCCTGCGCCCCCGCGCAGCCTGCGGGCGCCACTGCCTTCGGCGGCTTCTCGCAGCCCTACCTGGCTGGCTCCGGGCCTCTCGGCCTGCAGCCCCCAACAGCCAAAGACGGACCCGAAGAGCAGGCTAAGTTCTATGCGCCCGAAGCGGCCGCTGGGCCAGAGGAGCGCGGTCGTACCCGGCCGTCCTTCGCCCCCGAGTCTAGCCTGGCTCCTGCAGTGGCTGCTCTCAAAGCGGCCAAGTATGACTACGCTGGTGTGGGTCGTGCCACGCCGGGCTCCACGACCCTGCTCCAGGGGGCTCCCTGCGCCCCTGGCTTCAAGGACGACACCAAGGGCCCGCTCAACTTGAACATGACAGTGCAGGCGGCGGGCGTTGCCTCTTGCCTGCGACCTTCACTGCCCGACGGTAAACGGTGCCCATGCTCCCCGGGCCGGTTTGGGCCGGGATGGGAGGTGGGGTTCAAGGGAGAGTGTAAGGGGAGGTGAACCGCCTGGGGGCGGGCAATAGACAGAGTACGGGCTGGGTTGACGTGGGTTGGGGCTGTGTTGCAGGCCTGCCGTGGGGGGCGGCCCCGGGGAGGGCCCGCAAGAAGCGGAAACCCTACACGAAGCAGCAGATTGCGGAGTTGGAGAACGAATTCCTCGTCAACGAATTCATCAACAGGCAGAAACGCAAGGAATTGTCCAATAGGCTGAACCTCAGCGACCAGCAAGTCAAAATCTGGTTCCAGAACAGGCGTATGAAGAAGAAGCGCGTGGTGCTTCGGGAGCAGGCGCTGGCGCTCTACTAGCCGCGCGCGTGGCCAGGGCCGGGTTGGATCTGCCCTTTTGGACAGAGGCCTTGTTTGGGGAGGGGGATCTGGGGCTAAGGCTAAGGCTTTTCCTTCGGTTCCTTCTCTGCTGGCCCCAGAAGCCACCAAGAGATTTACAGACCAGGCCAGTTGGGCCTCCTTGCTTTCCTCAGTCCCTGAGAAGCCCGTGAGAAACGTGCGGAAGTACCAGTGCAACTCTGGCTGGCCTTAAGGCTTCCACGTTGGGGGACTGAGGCCAACTCTCCTTGCTCCTGGCTGGGGCATTTGCACCCACCGCTCATTCTTGCTCCCCGGTACCTGGATTTTTCTGTTTCCACCCAATTCGTTCTCCCTTTCCCCCTCTCTCCAGCCCCTTCAGCGTATAGCAGTCGCCTAGTTAGGGCTCAGAGTGGAAGGCCTCCTGAGGGAATGGAAAGGACTGTGGGTACAATTAGGTCTCTGCAGCAGAAGCCCTTTGTGGCAAGGCCAGGATCTTCACTCTGGAGAAAGGAAAGGGCACCATCCACCCTCCACCCTCCTGTCTGCCCTGGCTGATTTGAGAGAACAAAAGCCACACTAGATCTTCAGACTTTGGGAGGAAAAGGGAGGGAAGGGGAGGGGCTGGGTAGTGGGGTAAACTTGGAGATATCTCGAAATGAGAAATGCGAAATAGGCTGGCCTATTTCCAGCTGGGTAGAATATGTGGAACCTTCATTTCCTGAGATGGGATGAGAGAGACTGGGACTCCAGACAAGTGCCATCTCCAGACAAGACTGGCAAACATTGCCCTACTCCCACCTTCTCAAACATGCCTAGGCCAGGCCTATGAACCCTGTAACTGGATCCCCAGAGGCTAGCTCTGGTGAAAGGAGCTGTTGGTCTGCTTTGAAGCTCTGTTGCACAGGGAGAGGGAAAAATATCCAGGGGAGGAGAAGGGAGTGAATAAGAGGAGGAGGGGTGCTGCACTCCAACTGTAAATATGGCTTTCCAGTTGAGGTGAGTAAAGGTGTTGGTGCATCTTTCTTTCTTCAATTACCTTAATGGAACCCCATAAGGATAGGCAAAAATCCTTCTCAAGAGTCAAGGGGAGGGGAAGGAAGTCTCTTAGATTCTCTGCCCCGCTAGCTGCTCTTGACAAAGCAAAGAGGACCAGAAGTTCCTCTCACCGTCTCTACCATCTGCCAACTCTACCAGAGGCCCAGCTACTGTGCCCCTTCTGAGGCATGTCTGGCCTGTCCCAGTGGAGACTTTAAGGCCCTGGGCCCTGCCAGGCTTGCCTCATGGAGGCAGGGGTTCCCAAATGCCAGGTGGAGTTGTTCTGGGTGTACTGGAGTGTCCCGCCTTAATCTCAGTGAACCAAGCCTCCCCCTGCGAGCTCATTCCACTATCCCTGCCTCTTCTCCCCTCTCCTTCTGACATGTAGCACTCCTCCTTCGCAATTCCTAGCATGATGCACAACAACTCAAGGATTCAGGATTCCTTCCCAAAGTCCAGTGATTTCTTTTCAGTGCAGGACCTGGCCCTAAATCTGGAGTGGGCCCCTCACAGAGAGCCCTGAGCCTTAGCCCAACTGACTTCAGTTGATATTTAAACTAATTTCATTTTCTAGGCTATCTAATAGTTATCATGCATGTTTTGTTTTGATTTTGTCAAAAACAGTAGCTTGTATATATCAGACACAATATATACAAATGTTTTGAGTGAAAATAAATATCCAGGTCTGAGCCAAGCTGTCAAGGAGCTGAAGTCAATTTTTCAAAATGTTTTGGATTCCACCTTAATGTTTTTCAGGCCACCAAATTCGTTTTTCTTTTCTGGTTATTGTTTCACCGCGAGTGTTGACTGTTCGTTAAATGAGAAAATGGCTTCCGAGGCAGTCAGGAAATGGTGTGTAAAAGCCTACAAACCAAATATGTTTGGAATATCCAAAAGGGAAGGACCATGGCAGATCTGAGTGTGTCTCACACATTAAGGGGACTCTCAGCTTGTTGCAAGCTGGGACTTCCACACTTAGCCTAAATTCTCAAATTTTAAAGCTTGCTGGTATTCGGGGTCTGTAAAGATTTGAGGTTCTTCAGATGTCAAAACAAAACGTCTGTCTCCACCGAATTTTGGTCTGACTTCTCTGGAACCGGCTATGTCCTGCTAAATCCTTGATACCAGCAGGTTTACCAGGCGCCCAGCAGACTCCCTTGGGAAATGGGGCCTCAAAACTCCCTAGTCCATCTGAACCTCTAGCTTAGTCCAGGAAATTCAGGGCCTGCTTGCTACTCATTTTCTTGCAAAAACAAGCTCCTAGCTGGTGGAGGTGGAAACTAGCTTTTAGCTAGAGGAAGAATTAGCAAAACCACTAAATCACTAACACTGAATATTCAACATTTCAACTCCCTTTCCCAGAAGCAAATTTGGTGTATAATTGAAATTTTTAATTGTTCTTTAATTGTATACACACACACAACTATATATACCTATATGTATATATATTCAATAGGAGAGAAAGAAGCAAGAGCTGCCAAGGCCCTATGGCTCAAAAGGATTCTCCACCTGGCTGGGCACATAGAGGCGATGGTACCCAGAGCAGGATCTCCAAGTCTGAGTCTGCATTCAGAGGTTTGCCTCCTCAAAAACAACTGAACAAAGGCTGAAGCCGCACTGAGCGCTCGGAAGGCTGGGGAAAGGAGGAGGAAAGCATATGAACTCAGATCCAGGCCTTAAGACAGAAAACACGGAGGCCGTTTCTTTCCAAAATATATCATTAAATCATCGTGTTCTTTCCCTTTAGCCTGGGATGAGTGGGGGGAGGGGATATTCATGGAGATCACTCCTCAAAGAAAATTAAATTATTCTAAATATAAAAGCGTATCTCTTGGTTCAGCAGTCTTTTCCAAATCTATCCCGTTTGCTATTTCACACAAATACAAAGACTCTGGTGTCTCCTTCCATAGCCCGGGTTCCCGCAGAGATTTGGAACCACTAGGAAATTTGTTAAAAAAAAAAAAAAAAAAAAAAAGCCGAAGAGAAAGGACGCTAAAATCTGAGTGCTCAACATTCCCTTCAGAAAGACAAATGTGTCCTCTGAAATGCTGCAGTCCAAGCGGGCCTCTTGACCAAGAAAACAGTTTTAAAACGAGAAAAAAACAGCTTCATCTGGCATTCAATCAGTTGGGAACTCAGAGGGCGGCGGGGAAGGGGGGACGCTTTTAAGGCCTGGGGGTTCTCCCCCAGGGAGGCGGGCTGAGGAGGCTTCCGGGATGCCGGCGGGTGGAAGAGAAATCTGGAACCGTTGTAAATATTCATGTGGGGGGATGCCCCTTCACCCTTCACCCGCCTCTCCCAGCTGCATTCCCCCCTCAGTGATAGTGGGGGAGGGCAAGGCGACTGCCCCACTGTCCTTAGACAAAGGTGATCTCCCCATATTTTTGTTCTCCAGTCGCTTGACTTAAGAAGTCCATTCCGAAGGCTCTGTAGGGAAGGAACTGGCTCTGGGTGTTTTCCCTGCATTTCTCTTCTTTCGTTTCTTAAAAGAGCATAAATAATTAAAGTTTGGCAGGGAGGAAAAGCTTTCTTGCAGAACTGTAGTGGCAATAAATGAAATGACTCAGAATCCCTTCCCCAGTCAGCTTTTACGAGAGCTGCCAGACAGTGTCTGTTCACGTTCTCCAGATACCAGGGGCGCCCTGACAAAGTTAAGGTCAAGTTAGTGTCTTATCTTGGGTGACTCAAAATCACCGCATCGCGTCCTGGCGCTGTGCGGAAAGCTCTTTCTCGCGGAGCGGCTGGCTGCGCCCCGAAGGCCTGGTGCGCTCCCTGCGTTTCGGGTGGGGCCGCGCAGGCAAGGACAAGGCCACAGAGTCGGGGTCTTCACGGTAGGTTCTCGAGCGGGACGCGCGGGTCCGGAGGCTGCGGTTTTCCCTGGGTTTGGGGAATGGGGGTAGGAACTAGGAGGGAGCTGGGGCCAAAGAGCCAAGCGGGCTGGGACTGGAATGAAAGCGCTCTGGGTTGTGGAGTGGGTCGGGGGGCAAGGGTCCGCGCTAAGGAGCCGAAAGGGGCCGGCCGCCCCCTTCCCCTATGCACCGGCGCGCCACTGCAGATGGCTCACCCTCCCCCGCCAAATCGCTGCTCCCGCCGGAGCTGCCGTCGCCATGTCGTTGAACTTGAATGGTTCGTCCTCCCCTTTTCCCTCTTCGGCGGTCAGCAGGCTCCATACTGGGGGCGCCGGGCTGCCTGCACCCCACCCCGTGCCGCCAGTAGAGAGAAGGTGCGAGAATTTTGCGAATCCCCAGACACATAAAGACCCGGGTTGAAGTCCTCGCAGCTGCCCTGGGTCCTGAGCTACCGCAGGGCCAGTGTGCAGCGTCCAGGGAGCCATTTTAGGAGAGAGATCCAGGGGCGTCGACCACGAGCCCGAAAGGGAGAGGCTTGGGCCTGGGATGGAGATGGGGAGGCAGATAAGTGTGCTGGGGGTCTGGGTTGAGGAGAAGAATGTCAGCTGGAATCTGGGCGGGGGTGCCAGCTGCGGGGAGGGAGCACACAAGATGGGCAGTTCTAGTTGGGGGAGGCTCGATGCCCTCCAGTCGCCACAGACCTATTTGCGCAGTGTTGGGGGAGGGAAGAAGACATGGGAAGGGGCGGAGGAAGGAGAGAGGAAGGGAGAAAGGGAGGGAGGAGAAAAAGAGGAAGGGGGGGTACATCAGCCAGAAAATAGATATTAGCTCAGACCACCCGCCTTTTCTCTGTCTGTCCGCACGGTGGGCAGAGCGCACAGCACCGGCACTGCAGCAGCCCGGGCCAGGGAGGGAACCAGCATCACAGCCAGCGCCGCCTGCCCTGGGTATAGGACTGAGGCCCAGGCCCCAGCGCTGGGATTGCCTGGGCGGAGGAATCTTGGGGAAAGGGGCAGCCTCCTGCCCTCGGTTCTGGGATTTGGGTTTGGGAAGAGACGGTTTACCTTTGAAAAGCGTCTGCTCACTCGGAGGTGGGATCCCAGGCCTTGCCTGGACCCATGGGCTAGGAGAGGGTCGCGGCAGGCTGGGAGGAGAGTGAGGCCTTGGGGGAGTGGATGGGGTGCCCCACGAAGAGTCTGCCTCAGAGCCAGGTGACACAGAGGGGCTCCAGGAGGGAGTCAGGCTCCGCTGAGAGCCCTTAGAGAGACAACCTATCTTGGGGGAGGGGCTGAAGTGACCATGCAGACCCAAGGGTACCAGAAGAGCCTCGGGGAAACGCGGCGTGGATTCGCAGGCCTTGGCGGGGCTCCGAAGCAGTGAAGGGTCTAGGTATAAGGCGGACACCCAGGCTAGGCCTGAAAGCAGAGGGGTGAGGAGGACGAAGGTGCGAGTGTGTGGGGGTTGTCTCTTGTGGGGAGCCAGCGGGAAGCCAAGCACCCTAAGAGTAGGACTCCAGATCCTTTTGTTCACCAGACTCCCCAGATTCTAGGGAGGCTGGGGACCACGGGCTGAGCCCCCTCCTGGCTTCAGTGCTGAAGGAGAAGGCAGAGAGGCAACGGGGAGAGAGACAGAGACAGTGACACACAGCTTAGAGGAAAGGAGGGGAGAGGATGAGAGGACAGAGAGAGAGAGGAGAAGGGAGACAGGAAAGCAAGAGGAAGGAAGAAGGAAAGCGGAAAAGAAGAGGAAGGAGAGAAGTGAAGACAGGAGAGAGAAGGGAGAAGACTGAAGAGAAACGAGGCAAGGAGAAAGAGAGACAAGAACAGAGAGGGAAACCAGAGAGAAGGGAAGAGAGCCGGGTGGGCACGAAGGCCCCGGCCTGGGTGAGTGCCTAGGTGGTGAATGGCCTGGGTTTTTCCGAGGCCAGCACTCGCACCCTTGGGGTCAGAACCGGAAAGAGCCAAGTCACTCCACTCTGAACGCGCTGGGCAGAAAAATATGTAAATCAGGGCTCCCTGCGCCCTGGAGAGTGGCGAAATTACTCCCGCCCGGTGAACAAGAAGCAACAAGCTCCCAGGCGGGTGAGCTGCAGAGGGTGGCAGAGTCGCGGGGGAGGGAGCGGCTGCAGTAAGGGGGGTGGGGTTCGGAACCTCACACCCTCACACCTAGTTCCTAGCTTCTAGGGAGCCTGGAGCCGGGGCTTCCCCCCCTCTGCTCGCTGCTTCTCTCCCTTCCCCCTTCCTCCCCCTCTTCCCCCTCCTTCCTCCTCCCCGCCGGCCTCGGTCCGCGTACTTAAAGCGGCGCGGGAGGGCGGACGCGGGCGGGCGGCCCGTTCGGGCGGTGGCAGATGCGCCCAGCGGTGACAGCGGCCAGCGGCGCGCAGGTGACCGGCCTGAGGCGCAGCCTGGTCAGGGAGCGCCCGGGGAGAGCTGGCGGCAGAGGGCAGCCGATCCGCCCCCAGCGCGCGCGTCTCGGCGCCAGGAGCCGTCCCGGGGCGTGTTGGCGAGCGTTGATATAGATATAAGGACATTTCTCTTCATGGCGTCACGTGACATAATTACCACCAGAATCAATCAAGATGAATTGCACGTCAGCGCCCGGTGGGGATTTTTGCTTAGTTGATCCTGGCCCAAGCCTCTTGTGCAATCGATGGCTCAGGTTGGCTGCGCGGGGAGCGGCCAGAGGCTCGCTGGCGCGCACGCCGCGGAGTCATGAACGACTTTGACGAGTGCGGCCAGAGCGCAGCCAGCATGTACCTGCCGGGCTGCGCCTACTATGTGGCCCCGTCTGACTTCGCTAGCAAGCCTTCGTTCCTTTCCCAACCGTCGTCCTGCCAGATGACTTTCCCCTACTCTTCCAACCTGGCTCCGCACGTCCAGCCCGTGCGCGAAGTGGCCTTCCGCGACTACGGCCTGGAGCGCGCCAAGTGGCCGTACCGCGGCGGCGGCGGCGGCGGCAGCGCGGGGGGCGGCAGCAGCGGGGGCGGCCCCGGCGGGGGCGGCGGCGGCGCGGGGGGCTACGCTCCCTACTACGCGGCGGCGGCGGCGGCGGCTGCGGCGGCCGCGGCGGCCGAGGAGGCGGCCATGCAACGCGAGCTTCTCCCGCCCGCGGGCCGCCGGCCGGACGTGCTCTTCAAGGCGCCTGAGCCGGTGTGCGCTGCGCCGGGGCCGCCGCACGGCCCCGCGGGCGCCGCCTCCAACTTCTACAGCGCGGTGGGCCGCAATGGCATCTTGCCACAGGGCTTCGACCAGTTCTACGAGGCAGCGCCCGGGCCCCCGTTCGCCGGGCCGCAGCCCCCGCCGCCACCCGCGCCGCCACAGCCCGAGGGCGCAGCCGACAAGGGCGACCCCAGGACCGGGGCTGGTGGCGGCGGGGGCAGTCCCTGCACCAAGGCGACCCCTGGCTCGGAGCCCAAGGGGGCAGCAGAAGGCAGCGGTGGCGACGGCGAGGGCCCCCCGGGAGAGGCGGGGGCCGAGAAGAGCAGCAGCGCAGGTAGGCACCGGGTACTGGGCAAGCGGTGGGCCCGGGGGCCGCGGGGGAGGGGGGGGGGGCGGAGGCCTCCCTCTGCTTGCGCCTTTTTATGTGCTACTTTATAAGCATTCGAAGAGGTTTATACATCCTATAAGATTTCCTGGGCCGTTGTAAAGTGTGTTTATGGTAGGAAACCAATTTAGGTGGGCTTAAGGTAGACTTCGAGGAGGACATTAATAGCTGTCGAGAGCCTTTTCCCAGTTTTGGGCAGGGGGTTGCTAGATACCATGGAGGGAGGGAGGGAGGGAGATTTCAAGCCAGTGTGAGTGCATACACCGGAGCCTCCTGCTTTTAAGGGAGAGAGGCGGGGGGTGGGGAAGTGGGGGGAGTTTGATCCTTGCACTGGACTTTATCCAAGCCGCTAGCTGACGCGCGCCGCTGGAGTCAAGCAGATGCCCCGGCGGGCCTGCTCTTGTCTCTGTTCCCTCAGGTTCCAGTTTAGAGCCTGCCTTGCCCTCTGCTTCCCCACCTCCGTGCCAGGCTCTGTGTGTGTGTGTGTGTGTGTGTGTGTGTGTGTGTGTGTCCGGGCGTGAACACATGTCCACGCCCGCACTCTCTCCTGTGCCCGCCCATATATCATCCCCCACGACGCAGGCAGGGCCTTTCGGCCGCGGCAGAGAACGTCCCCAACGGGGCCAGGGCCTGGCCCTCGCTCAGTGGCCCGGGCGGGCGGGCGGGTGGGGGCTGTCAGGCAGCGGCCTCTCTCACCCCCTGGTCTCTTTGCCTTGCAGTTGCCCCCCAGCGGTCCCGGAAAAAGCGCTGTCCCTATACCAAGTACCAGATCCGCGAACTGGAACGCGAGTTTTTCTTTAACGTGTACATAAACAAAGAGAAAAGACTTCAACTCTCTCGGATGCTCAACCTCACTGACCGGCAAGTCAAAATCTGGTTCCAGAATCGCAGGATGAAAGAAAAGAAACTGAACAGAGACCGTCTGCAGTATTTCACTGGAAACCCCTTATTTTGAGAGCTCCAGGAAGCGCCCTCACCCCAGCCCCACTCACCCACCCTCCTTCCCACCAGCCTGCTCTCCGCAGGCCCACTGTCCTTGGGTTTAATGACGTCTCTTCTCTGTGGAACTTCACGATTCCTTCCCACGGTCAACTCGGGACCTCCCAGCGACCACTGCAGCCTGCGGACGAGGCCGGGACTTGGCCGAGCGGATCCTAATAAGGGGAAAATGGTAAATGCAAACGTCCCGTTACAATTTTACCGCCAGTGTGCTGTCGTTCCCCCTCCCCCTCTCCGAGTCCTCGTGGGGACACGGCGGGGTCTGTAGGAAGTTGGGCCGGGTTGGGGGTTGCTAGAAGGCGCTGGTGTTTTGCTCTGAGTTTTAAGAGATCCCTTCCTTCCTCTTCGGTGAATGCAGGTTATTTAAACTTTGGGAAATGTACTTTTAGTCTGTCATATCAAGGCATGAGTCACTGTCTTTTTTTGTGTGAATAAATGGTTTCTAGTAAAATGGAGGTTACAGCTTCAATACACTGTATGAATTCTCCTCTTTGAGGTTTAGTGCCTCCTTAGGATATTTTAGTGGCCAGAACCCATGCAACTGAAAATCGAATGAAATACTTTTTAGTCCCACTAAAATAGTAGTCGTACCCTCCCACCACCTCTAGGTTACACTGGTTTTAAAAATCATGTTAGTGATGAATTTCTGAATTGACGATGTGACCAAGCAATGCTGGCGCTGCCTTCTCCAGGCAGTAAGGCTGGGGCAGCAGGAACCTAAGAAGAAAACTCCCACCCCCACCACTAGTCTAGTGAACTTGGGATTTCTGAAAAGACAGCAACCATTTTTAAAAACTGGTTAGAAAATCCAAATGATCTCTTACAAGCTAACAAGGAGTCACAGTCCCTTAAAAAAGAAGAAACCAAAATTAGAAACTTCCATTGAAGGGAGAAGTTTTCGAAAAGGAAGTCATCAGTAGGTGGAGAGGGCTTGCTGGTGTCATAAGTGGACCTGGAGTAGGGAAGGTAAACCCTCCCCGCCCCCACTGAAATAGGGCCAGGAGCTGCAGACCCTCTCACGGCATTTATCGCTTCAAGTTAAAGAATGTGGTGAGGGCTCTACTGCACTTTATGTTGCAGGGCCAGGCCAGGCTGTTTACAAAACCTTGAACTGTCTAGACAACACCATAAAAGCCAAAGTTCTAAACAGCTTAATTGGGTTATATTATACACCTTCTGGTGGGCCCAAAAGAGATTTCCGCAATGTGCAATAAACTGGAGAAGTGAGAAAAGCTCTCTCTCTGAAAAGAGTGAAGTGAATCTTATGAGTCTTAACCTCTCCTAAGCCCAAAGACAAAATATAAATCTATAAATGCACAGTACCCCATGCATCTTCCAAGGAGTCATGCACTTCAAAATGCAATTAAAAAAATTGCTAAGCCTTATTTGGGAAGGAAAAAATAAGTGCATAAATGTATGCCTTTGAACTTCCAAAATGTCAAGGTCATCACCTTTAACCTTTCTGAATAATTAGGCGCCTTAAGTTCTTCTTGATTTTCAGCTGCCACCCACTCTCACACATACATGCTCACACATATAGAGAGCCACACACACATTTATGACCACACAAAATCATACCAGGAGCTCACCATAAATCTAAGAAAATTCCTAATTTCAGGATCAATAACCTTAATTTCCCTGCAAACGTTTGTGTAATGCAATAGCAGTCAACTTCTTTTTAAAAATACTGATTAGATTAAAATGCCTTCTAGCTGCTTTCACTACAGCTAGGAAAGGCTGAGAATTCTGGCGGGGGGTCTTAAATAGTGGTCCCCTTTGCTTTAATGAAGAACTACAGTTTTAAAATCAAGCCTTTGAAAGAGGAAGTTCTGTGCAGCCTTACACCTTCATTAAATTTGAAAGCAATTTGCCACCCTGTGAAATAAATTATTGCACTTTCTACAATAAGGAACAAAAGGAAATATAGTTATAATGCTTTTAAAAGCATCCTTTGGTGAAAGATGCAATGGAAACAAAGCCTACAATCGAAAAATTTCGTTAAGAAGGGGATTCCTTTGGTATTCTAGACATCGGTTAAAATGTCAGTGCCCTAATAGTGTGATCGTTCCATGAGCTTAAAACTGTTTTTTTTCTTTCTGTTTCCATCTATTTTTTAAAACTGCATCTAAACGTAGCAAGCTTGTGTGCCCACCACCCAAGGCAAGCCGAACCCGAGATACCATTTTCCGTTTGCAGGGGCCTGGAGATCCACACGAGGGCGCGCTCACGTTCCAGAAGCCGCGTTTGACCAAGAGGCCGCGGTACCTTGTCTGTCCAACACTGGATTCTAATAGGCGACCTCAACCCCTTAGAAACAGGCGGCAGCTAAGGTGTTTGCTAGTTTATTTGTTCTAAGCAGCCATGAGGTGTGAGAAGTTGTATAGAGACAGAAAACGGAGCAACTAGATTCACGAAACAGCCTAATCTTTGTCTCTTTAAAGACAAAGCTGTTGCAAAAGAATACCTTGGTATAACCAGATGGTGTGGAGCAGAGTTTTAAAAGATAAATGTATGCATTTTGAAAGATACCATAGCCACTGCTGGTTAATTAAATTAGGGAAAATCAGTTTTCTTGGTTTCAGTGTGGAGAGCCTTGTCTAGGGTTGGACACCCCCTACTTAACATCCCCCTCCCCCCCGCAAAAAAAAAAAAAAAAAAAAAAACCTTCATCGGTTTTACCCCCTCTCAGACCTCCTGGGATGATTAAAAGGCTTTTGTTTATAACAGATCAGGGAGCGGGCCACTTAGCCAAATGTCTCTCAGAAAAAAATAAGACGCATGGGGGACTGGGAGAATCGTTCTGGGAGCCCGCGGCCGTGCCTGGAGTGCGCGGCTACCAGTGGCGACCGAGTGGCGCCGGCAGGACTGTGAGTTGGTGTGCCCAGGCCGGGCTGGGCTGATGCGGACACGGGAGGCAGCAGGCACTCGGGGGAAACGTTTATACTTCAAGGCGTTGTAAAACGGGGAATGTATTTGAAGCAAACGGGCTTTGCGTTTGACAGAAAACTGGCCACCCTTCCAAGCTGCACGCCGGTCTTGAGCAGAGTTGAATTGTGGCTCTCAGAAGCAGTGCATTCGTTGCGTGCCCTCCTTCCTCCAGCAAAGCCCCTGACCTTGGGGAGGGCCTGTGTCCCCGTTCGGAGTTCACAAGAGAGGAGACAGGGCTCCCCGACATTGGCCTCTCTAAGGGAGGATGACTGCCCCCTTTCCCTCCCCGAAGTTCATTGTGAAGAGCCTGCAACCCCCAGAATTAGCGCTGGCCTTGTTGGCCCTCCAAGCCCTGGACCAAAGGCCCTGGGGCCTGCCGCTTGCCCCTCTCCCGGAGCTGGCCTCAGCTTTGGTGGGGAGGCCGGGGCTCCAGTGAGCCCCCCGGCGAGGCTCCAACGAGTGGCGTGGGTGTTCCCCGCAGGCAACCTTGGCTCCACTAGTCTGACCGCCGGTCCACCTTGTCTATAGTGACGCTACCTTTCCCGAGGCTGAACGGGGTCCTCGGTCTATGTGAAGTGAGAGCTGCCCTCCCTAAATGTCGTTGTCCTCTCAAGGCGGCCCCAGCGGCTGCACATCTGGCTGTGCGGGGGCCCCTTGGACTTGGCTGGCAGCCGCCTGCGAAACACCGCTTCTCAGCGGTCTGCAGTTCCTTTCCTCCCTGCGCCCAAGATGGGCCTGACAAGGGCCCGGGATCAGACCAGAACCTCTGGGGGCTGAAGACCTCTCCCCACCCCCATCTTACAAAGTGTGTGGGGCTTGCGGAGAGTGGCCTTGGATCCTAAGGCGCCAAGGTCTCAGACTCTGAAGTGGAAGGGAAATGCGCGAAGTAGGAGTCTTTTGTGTCTGTGCAGAAGGAGGTTCTCCGGCCGCCGGCCCTTGTTGCACGTCTGGATAGACCCCTTATTGCATTGGTGGTAGACTCCCCATTTGCCCCCTAGATTTCCTTTCACCTTGGCTTGGAGGTGCACAGTGCAACCCGGAGGAGCGCCCGGGGAAGACAGCTTTTAATCGACTCCATCCGCTCTGTCCCCAAAGAGTGACACAGCCCAGAGGTGGCTCAGAACCCTAATCCGGGGTGACCCTAAGAGCCCACAGGTCCACTCAGGCCCAGGGCTTCAACTTTTCTTCCAGGAGACAAGAGTGCAGATGCAAGCCACTTTTTGATTACAAATGCTAATTTCTTGTTCAAGCTGTTCTTTTAATTTTTCCCTGGAAAGAACTGTGGCAGGGAGAAGGGCGTCTTGGTACAAATATGGGTATTCATCTCCTTTATGGTGCAATATTGATTTATTATTAATGGTAACTGCTCCAACTGATCTAAAGATGATGGAAAACATCAGCTACATTAAATACTCATAAGCAAAATAAAGGCTGGCCTGTAGAGCACGGCCTTTTTATTCCATTTGTCTCACCTCAGCCTTAGAGTCTTAGGCACACTTTCCATCCTTTGGGGCTCGGATCATTCTTTTGTATTATTTCTATCTTGCTCAATTTTTTAATGATAAAATATCTCAAAATATTGACAGTCTCTTGTCTCAAGGAGCGGGTCTGAAAGCAGAAATTTTAAAGATAAAAAATAGAATTTTGTGAGAACAGATTCAAAATTATGTCTGATATACACATTTTTGTCTGTGAGTAAAAACCTATTTAACTCTAACCAATAAGGGAGTGACTTTGAGCTCAAAGCCACTGAAAGCTGAAATGGAAAGGTCCCCAAATTCTGAAGACACATCCTGCCTATTCTGGCTCACTGCAGACCTACCCGCCCGCAAGGAATTGCTTGTTTTTAGCCTGTATGTTTTCTTCATGTATAAATAAAGATTATGAAAGGGCATTTGATGGGCATAAAATTCCCGATTAGATTAAACAGTCTTGCCTTTCTTAGGGTAGGGAAAATTGGGCAAACAAGTTCCCAGCAGCTCTTCTGGCCAAGAGGCAAAAGGGCGACACTCGATACTGCTGGAGCGCCAAGCTAGTGTCAGGGCGCCTGCGGCAAGCGAGTGCAGCGGGCACTTCATTCAGCTTTGGGCACGCTTAGCCCTGGCTTGAAACAAGATCTCTACTATGTGAGAAAGCAAATTTCAGGGCGCTGGTCAGTGGCTGTTAGCTTTGAACAGTACCTTAGCAACCTAGAGTCAAAAGTTATGTTTTGTCTTGTTTTGTTTTTCCGGCCATCCTCAACCCCCACCCCCAAGCTCGAAAACAGCCACCCCTGTGGAAAGGTAATGTTTAAACCCCAGGCTATGCTGGGATGCTGCAGCCAAAGCAGTTAGAGGCGCCAGGCTTTTAACCTGACAATGATGTTGTATTTGAACAGCTGCGTAAAGGTTTAAAAGGTCTGTCTCATTGCCACCGCGGAGTTTTTTAAAAGAGGTTATTGTTTGGGCGAGAGCACCGAGAGGGAACAGGCGAAAGGGTCCCAAGGCCGAAAATAATGTTCAACGCTTGTTTCAACCAGGCCAGGGGAGATTCCTTTTTGGGAAGAGGGACAAAGGGTTTTTTGGGAAAGGTTTTTGTAAAGGAGCGGGCGGGCTACTAGGTCCCCCAGAATGCTGAGGCGCTTTAATGAACCTCAGGCCCCAAAGAAATGTTCTATTGAGGTGGAAACCCAATTTACCCACAAGTTCAGTCTCTGGGCCTGAAATCCAAGGCCAGCCCATGCCCCAGCGAGTACGGGGAAAAGAGAACACAGATGCCCTCCCGGACTGAGAACTGGTTCATGGTCAGAGTTTCTGGGACCGCTTTAGTTTCTTGGCTGGCAGGAAGGGAACCTGGCAGGCCGAAGGACGGCTCCAAGCCCTGGCCGGCCCCTCACTCAGGGCAAGTCTTTGGAAATCAAGGTTAAAGCTCCCCGCTGCTGCCCCGAGGCCCGGGCTTCCGCAGGGCGGCTCACCCGCCTGCAGCAAGAGAGGGAGGGAGGAAGTTGTTGAAGTTTCTCATAAAACTCTGAGTTTCCATGGTGGTAGTGGTGGTAGTGGTGGTAGTGGTGGTAGTGGTGGTTCTTTAATGAGCCGGACCACAACCCCAGACCATATCCTCTTCATAGAAGTTTCCCTCACCAAAGGAAACAGAGAACTAAGATTCCCACCTCCTTCCCCTCCCTTACCCAAGCAAAGCCTTGTCAAATAATTTCAGAAATTGTCCAAAACTGTAAAACTCAACTTCTGACAAAAGTATAGCTTTTAATATTTGACAATTTGTATTAAAACAAAAATGACCTTCTTGGTTAGCAGCGAAGGGAAAAAAATCAATAGTATAATTTTCAATAATTCATAAAGCGAACGCCATTATGGTAAATTTAACTATTAATCTTATCCTTTACAAAGTCTCGATTGATTTGTTAATAAAGTATCTTCCCGTGTGTGGCAACAGCGGGCATAACTCTTTAAAAACCTTCAGAAGCAAGAAAATTACCAAGTAGCCCAAGAATGTAGATGAGAATTTTATTGATCGCCCTGATTCTTCTTAATATGTATTAATAAATTCCACAACCTTTTGTACCTTGCACTTGTCAGAAACCAGTGCTTTTACAAAATCCATAAAAGGAAAACATTTTTCTTTGCAGAAGAACCAAAATGACACCTTTGCATTTCTCTCTGTCCTTCTTGGCCCAGTCAGTTTTCTAAAACTTCTGGATTCTGAGGGTCAGAGTTTCCCCTTTTCTTAAATTATTTTTTCCTTTCTTCCTTCCTGTTTGCCCTCCATTATCAGGGTGTGGGGAGAGAAACCTCTGTTTAGTTCTCCTACAGGGAGCCCGAGGGACGCTTTCGCGGATAGTGAACTGCTGGCAAAGAATTGTCTCTGGGCTGAAAGCTCCCAGAGGTCCGGCCCCGCAGAGGTCAGGGTGTGGTTCCTCTGAGAGCCGAAGCCTCGTGTAGCCCTCCGGGGCGCATAGGAACCCGGAGCCAGGCAGGAGGACCGAGCGGGAGGACAACGCAGGGACCAACCCATCCATGGGGATCCGGGCCCGGCCAGCTGCTTGGCCTCCCGGCCCTCGCGGCCCTTTTTGCCTCCGCCCTCCTAGAGACACCTTGGCCGCTTCTTAGCCCCAAGGGATCTTTCCTTTGGACCCCTGGGGTGGGATGTCTCAGGGCCCGCGGAATCCGACTCACCTTCCCGCTGGGCTGCCCGGGACTAAATTAACCAGCCTGCGCCCCCACCCGCTTGTCCTGGACCCGGCCCTCTTAAGCGCGTTCTGCCTGGTTGTGTGTGGGGGGAATGCTTCTGTGCGCTGGCGCCAGGGCACTCTGGCTTCCCTCCCCGTCCGTGCGTGTCCACTTGGAGGCCCCTAGAGCTGAGACTTTCCTTCCGCCGGTTGGGCCCAGGGGCCGAAGCGGGGGACGCGAGTGGGGCGGGCTGGCCGAGCGAGCCCTGGAGAGGCGGACAGGAGGGCGGCGGAGAGCGCTGGGCCGGTTGTCTCCAGCGCGCACTATCGCGGGCGCGTAGTAGATGTCGCTGTTGTCCGTGCTTACCCGGCCGGCCGGCCAGGCTCTGGAGCACGTGACCCGAGAGGAGGCTGCGGCTCAAGGCCATTTTCAAATCTCATTGGCTTGGTTGTCATGTGGTCGGCAGAGGCATCCACAATTACACGGGGAATGTTTTCCTAGAGATGTCAGCCTACAAAGGACACAATCTCTCTTCTTCAAATTCTTCCCCAAAATGTCCTTTCCCAACAGCTCTCCTGCTGCTAATACTTTTTTAGTAGATTCCTTGATCAGTGCCTGCAGGAGTGACAGTTTTTATTCCAGCAGCGCCAGCATGTACATGCCACCACCTAGCGCAGACATGGGGACCTATGGAATGCAAACCTGTGGACTGCTCCCGTCTCTGGCCAAAAGAGAAGTGAACCACCAAAATATGGGTATGAATGTGCATCCTTATATACCTCAAGTAGACAGTTGGACAGATCCGAACAGATCTTGTCGAATAGAGCAACCTGTTACACAGCAAGTCCCCACTTGCTCCTTCACCACCAACATTAAGGAAGAATCCAATTGCTGCATGTATTCTGATAAGCGCAACAAACTCATTTCGGCCGAGGTCCCTTCGTACCAGAGGCTGGTCCCTGAGTCTTGTCCCGTTGAGAACCCTGAGGTTCCCGTCCCTGGATATTTTAGACTGAGTCAGACCTACGCCACCGGGAAAACCCAAGAGTACAATAATAGCCCCGAAGGCAGCTCCACTGTCATGCTCCAGCTCAACCCTCGTGGCGCGGCCAAGCCGCAGCTCTCCGCTGCCCAGCTGCAGATGGAAAAGAAGATGAACGAGCCCGTGAGCGGCCAGGAGCCCACCAAAGTCTCCCAGGTGGAGAGCCCCGAGGCCAAAGGCGGCCTTCCCGAAGAGAGGAGCTGCCTGGCTGAGGTCTCCGTGTCCAGTCCCGAAGTGCAGGAGAAGGAAAGCAAAGGTCGGTATGAGCAGAGTTGCCACCCCAGCGGGGCGCGCAGCCCGGGAACCCGGCAGAGAGGGAGTGCCGGGGTGCCCAGCGCCGAGCCGGAGCCCGACTTGGCAGGTGCTGCTCCGCCTGGTTTTAGAGGGGTGATCTCAGCCCTGAGATAGTCCCCGCTTCTCCCCTGCTGCCCTGGCCCTCTCCGCCAGTCCTGGCCCCACGCTGATGGCGCCCGGGCAGAGGAAAAGCTTGCCGGTTTTATTTTTCCTGAGCTAGACCTGAACACAACAAAAGAGCGCAAAGGAGACCTGCGGCTCATAAACACGACCACAGAGCCTCTTTTCTCCTGCTCAGATTTGCAGTTCCAGTTTTGCCTTGAGCCCAATGATCATGTTAAGGTGATCCAGGGCACCGTGTTCGTGTTCAAGTGTATGCACCCCGCATCCTGCGAGCTTGGGGGTGGTGAGGGGAAAGAGATGGCTGGGCTGGTTGGTGCTTGAGTTGGGAAACAGGGCTTACTGCCTTTGCTGGGCTAGGTAACCTTGGCTTTGTTTAGGAAAAGTGCTGCAGTCTTTGCAATCCGTCGGCAAAGAGGGCAAAGGCGGAGGGGGAGAGTGGAACCCGCATTGCCCTCCCTGCAAGGCCAGCCTTAGGGCTGGGCTAAGGCAAAGAGCCAGGGATCTGGCTTTTTGAGAAGGAACCCTCCTCCTCTCCCCCAGTGCTTAGAGGTGGGCCACAGTAGGGGGCTCCCTTTCTGGGGGAATGCTTTAGTGTGGGGGCAAGAAGACATGAAAATTAAGGAAATTCTGGGGAATGCAACAATACCCAGGCAAGGTGGGGGAAGGTGTCTCGCTTCCCCATTTATCTTTTGAAAGAGAATGGGCACCTATAAACCTGACTGTCAGGATTCCTGACTGCCTAGGAGAGGTGGGGAAGAAGTGGCAGATTTGGGGACCTGAGGCAGCAGTGGGGTTGGTAGGCTTGTCCAGGTCGTGGCGTATTCCCCTCCGTCCCTGTTAGGAGCTGAACCCTTAGAATGTTGCTGGGGAGATCTGGAAAGTTTACTATTCTACTAATGTTTTGTACAAGTGAGAAAGTTGAAAGAGAGAGCGAGAACCCAAATGCAGACTGTCCTGCCATCATGTCATTTAAGTAATGTGGCATCAATGTAAGATTCCCTTCCAAGGCCCACTTCATGTGAGTAATGTTTAATACTAGCATTTTCCAAAGCGGCCTGGCTGCCAGCAGGGTCACGGCCAAGGGTACATTTGAACAGTCTGAAGAAAAAAACAAAAACGAAAACCAAAACCAAAACCAAAACAAAAACAAAAACAAAAACAAACAAACAAAAAACCTCTTGATTTTTTTCTTCTTCTCCCTTTAATTTTGTTAGAGGAAATCAAGTCTGATACACCAACCAGCAATTGGCTCACTGCAAAGAGTGGCAGAAAGAAGAGGTGCCCTTACACTAAGCACCAAACGCTGGAATTAGAAAAAGAGTTCTTGTTCAATATGTACCTCACCCGCGAGCGCCGCCTAGAGATCAGTAAGAGCGTTAACCTCACCGACAGGCAGGTCAAGATTTGGTTTCAAAACCGCCGAATGAAACTCAAGAAGATGAGCCGAGAGAACCGGATCCGAGAACTGACCGCCAACCTCACGTTTTCTTAGGTCTGAGGCCGGTCTGAGGCCGGTCAGAGGCCAGGATTGGAGAGGGGGCACCGCGTTCCAGGGCCCAGTGCTGGAGGACTGGGAAAGCGGAAACAAAACCTTCACCGCTCTTTGTTTGTTGTTTTGTTGTATTTTGTTTTCCTGCTAGAATGTGACTTTGGGGTCATTATGTTCGTGCTGCAAGTGATCTGTAATCCCTATGAGTATATATATATATATATATATATATATATAAAAACTTAGCACGTGTAATTTATTATTTTTTCATCGTAATGCAGGGTAACTATTATTGCGCATTTTCATTTGGGTCTTAACTTATTGGAACTGTAGAGCATCCATCCATCCATCCATCCAGCAATGTGACTTTTTCATGTCTTTCCTAACACAAAAGGTCTATGTGTGTGGTTAGTCCATGAACTCATGGCATTTTGAATACATCCAGTACTTTAAAAATGACATATATATTTAAAAAAAAAAGATTAAGAAAACCCACAAGTTGGAGGGAGGGGGACTTAAAAAGCACATTACAATGTATCTTTTCACAAATGAATTTAGCAGTTGTCCTTGGTGAGATGGGATATTGGCGATTTATGCCTTGTAGCCTTTCCCTTGTGGTGCATCTGTGGTTTGGTAGAAGTACAACAGCAACCTGTCCTTTCTGTGCATGTTCTGGTCGCATGTATAATGCAATAAACTCTGGAAATGAGTTCACTCCCTCTGCTTTCTGAAATGGAAATATGTTATGGTGGAAATGAAAGCCTATGGTGAGATTATCTTCTGGTTACACTCCCTGTTTGGGGCATTTGGGCAGGGGAGTGATAGACTAGTAGGGGAAGGGAGATGGGGGAGAAAAGCTGGAGGAGGCCTAGGGTGTTGGATTTTGGCAGTGGTTGGGGGAGAGGAATTATAAGCTAGCTTGAGAGTGAAGTTTTCATAATTGGGAGGAAGGGGAGTCTCCTCTTTCCTTTCCCAGTCCCCAGTGATAGTAACATAATTGCGCTCTCAATGGGTGTGAGCTTTCCTCTGGCCTGAACCTGGTAAGTAAGCCTATACCCCAAGCCACTTTCTCCTCAAAGCTTCCCATTTGTGTGTTTTCTCCTCTTTGGTTTTGGTTGTGTTGTTTTTAATGCTTTCAGTGGCATCTTGGTGATTTCTGGCTGGCGAGCAATCATCAGGGGCTAGGTTGAAGCTAGTCTTGCCCACCTGGAAGTTGCCGGCCTCCATTACAGGAGCAAGGACAAACAGCAGTGTAGCACTGCAGCGGATCCAATTCTGCCCCCTTTCCCTCAGCCCTACCCCCATCCCAAGCGCAAGACAGCCAGACCCCAGAGAAGCCGAGGATGGGTGAGTTTTCCCATCCCACTTCGCCTTGATCTCCTTGTGGACGGGTTTTATGCTCAGTCATTACCTTTTAGTGGCCCACATGAAATTTTGTTAAAGGAAGAAATGAAAAGATTTTCCCCAGTCAGTCTTTCCTCTATTTAATTACAAAATGCTGGTGGGAACTGCTGCATCTGGGATGCAAGAAAATGCAGAAAGGGTGACTGAAAATTTTGCAAATGAACATGACTTCCCATGAAGTCTAATGTTCCATTCGCTGCCATGGTCCAGGGGACTCCCACCAGCTTCCACCGGCTTCAACAGGATCTCCACTAGAGAGCCCAGACTTATCTAGTCCTGTCGGGGAAAAGGGAGAAGAGGCCTTGCAGGAGAAAGCTAACAGAAAATTCGTTACCTGAGGTCCTGCCTGCAGTTTCAAATAGCTTCCAGCAGTTTTACAAAACACATCCTTTCCATTTCTTCCTTTTAAATGTTTCCCTAAGAACGATCCATTTAGGTGCTATAAGTCCTCAGCCAGGGAGTCTCTGGGACACTGGCATTCAAAATTTTAAACTTCCGCCCCAAAACCAGGAACATTCCAAGACAGAACTCTTTTAGGGGGCCATTTCCTGGGGGTGGGGGAGAGGGCTTGGAATCAATGCTAGATTGAAAACGTTGTAATAGCTTTGCCCCAGACTTAACACCGGTTGGGCAGGAGGAGGGTAATTTTTATTTAGCCGTTTCTCCGATCATGTGGGGAATACCATTAGCTGTTGATAGCGGGCCATGTATCCGAGGAAAGCCTGAGCTACAAGGCAAAGGCATCCCATCTGGAACAAAATCAGAAAGCTATTGGCAAAGGTAATCAATCAGGCCATAAATAGCCATTTACCCGCTTCCTTTTCGGGGCTGGAGGTGGGCCGGGAGCCCTCCAAGGGTGAGCTGGGCAACTTGTAGAGCAAGGAATATGCCCTCCGCTGCCGGCGCCCCGGCCGCTTTTGTCTGGGCTCCCAGCCGGGCTTCCGAGGCTTTGTACCATGGATTTGGGAGTGACAATGGGCATTTCCCTCAGATTCAAGGCTGCTCAACCTCACCTCTGTAGGGGGAAAAAAATCAGAAGGGAGTGTCCCAAGGACCTAGCCATTCGGCCGAATTTTTTAGACATTTTGGGAGTCTCCTCCGAGGCCTTTAAGTGCGAACCGCGCGAAGCGGCCCTGCCCGGGGAGACTCGCTGAGGCAGGGCTGAGGCGGCGGGCGGGAGCAAGCTGCTCTAGCATTTGGGTTCTGCCCTGTGGCGTGTTCTCTTCCAGGGCCTTTCCAGCATCATCGGAGAAGACGAAGCACCCTGGCCGCCACTGTCCGTGCTGCGCCAACTCGCCCGGCCGCCCGCCCTTCCGAGGGCAGGCAGAAGCCCCTCTGTGTCCTCCACCGCCGCGCCCCGGCTCGCCCCTCGGGCCGCGGCGTGTGCCCAGCCTCACGTCGGGGTGTGTGTGGCCGCGCGGGCGTGTGTGAGTGTGGCAGGGGGAGGGGGCCCTCCGATCTGCTCCATCCGTCCGTTTTATTAGGGACACATTAATCTATAATCAAATACACCTCATAAAATTTTTATTGAAAGGCATAATATCATTACAGAGGTCTTCCACCTGTTTTAAACAACACGACAAGCTGTGAGCAAGCGTGTGTGTGGGGATGTGTGGGGAGGGGTGGGTGTGAGTAGGGAGAGAGGCGAGGGGAGAACAGCTCCCCTCGGGCGCTAGGGGCCGCCCCGAGGGCCCGCCTGCCTCGGGCGACACCGGCCTGGCGCCCCCGCGGCCGCTCCGTGTGCCCTGGACTCGCCGCCCGCGGCTCGGAAGCTGGAGAGTCAGCGACGGGGCCCGACTGCGGGACCGAGGGCTGCAAGAAGAAGCGAACAAATAGTCCCCAGCGCCTCCTCTGGATGCGGTCGCGTCTGTGGTCCTGGCAGCCGCTGGGCGGGCCAGGCCAGGTCGGGCCGGGCCGAGCCGGGCACATGGACCTGGGCCTGCGGGCTCTAATTGCGGCGCTTATGTTGATGATTTTTTTTTTAATCACAGCAGCCCCCAGTTTAGCGGACTGATTTACTCCCGGTATTGGTAAATATGATCACGTGGGCCGCGCGACCAATGGTGGAGGCTGCAGCCTGCGAACTAGTCGGTGGCTCGGGCGCCGGCGGGGAGCTGCTCGGCGGCGGACAGTGTAATGTTGGGTGGGAGTGCGGGACGCCTCAAAATGTCTTCCAGTGGCACCCTCAGCAACTACTACGTGGACTCGCTTATAGGCCATGAGGGCGACGAGGTGTTCGCGGCGCGCTTCGGGCCGCCGGGGCCAGGCGCGCAGGGCCGGCCTGCAGGTGTGGCTGATGGCCCGGCCGCCACCGCCGCCGAGTTCGCCTCGTGTAGTTTTGCCCCCAGATCGGCCGTGTTCTCTGCCTCGTGGTCCGCGGTGCCCTCCCAGCCCCCGGCAGCGGCGGCGATGAGCGGCCTCTACCACCCGTACGTTCCCCCGCCGCCCCTGGCCGCCTCTGCCTCCGAGCCCGGCCGCTACGTGCGCTCCTGGATGGAGCCGCTGCCCGGCTTCCCGGGCGGTGCGGGCGGTGGCGGTGGTGGTGGAGGCGGCGGTCCGGGCCGCGGTCCCAGCCCTGGCCCCAGCGGCCCAGCCAACGGGCGCCACTACGGGATTAAGCCTGAAACCCGAGCGGCCCCGGCCCCCGCCACGGCCGCCTCCACCACCTCCTCCTCCTCCACTTCCTTATCCTCCTCCTCCAAACGGACTGAGTGCTCCGTGGCCCGGGAGTCCCAGGGGAGCAGCGGCCCCGAGTTCTCGTGCAACTCGTTCCTGCAGGAGAAGGCGGCAGCGGCGACGGGGGGAACCGGGCCTGGGGCAGGGATCGGGGCCGCGACTGGGACGGGCGGCTCGTCGGAGCCCTCAGCTTGCAGCGACCACCCGATCCCAGGCTGTTCGCTGAAGGAGGAGGAGAAGCAGCATTCGCAGCCGCAGCAGCAGCAACTTGACCCAAGTAAGTGCAAAAGAAATTGCCCCCTGATTTATTGCTGAAACCTGTAAGGCTCGAATGTGCAAAACTGATAGTTTTACTAACCTATAAAAACGTCTAGACGCCTACCCAAGCCTAGGCGAACAACATGCATCCATAAAAAGAGCTTCCCATAACCACCTACCCTGGGCGCTCAGTTAGTACGGTAAACAGAGCGCGAGCATTAAGGCTTTTTATGATAATTCCCCACAAGTTGTGAAAAGCGACCATCCTTGGTGAAATTAATTTAACGACCTCTCTTCCCCACCCTGTGGTCTCTCCCTGCCTCCCCTCCTCTCCTCTCTCCCCGTCTCCAAACCTCCCTCTTTGTAGACAACCCCGCCGCGAACTGGATCCACGCTCGCTCCACCCGGAAAAAGCGCTGTCCCTACACCAAATACCAGACGCTTGAGCTGGAGAAAGAATTCCTCTTCAACATGTACCTCACCCGGGACCGGCGCTACGAGGTGGCCAGGATTCTCAACCTAACAGAGAGACAGGTCAAAATCTGGTTTCAGAACCGTAGGATGAAAATGAAAAAGATGAGCAAGGAGAAATGCCCCAAAGGAGACTGACCCGGCGCGGTGCTGGCGGGAGCGCTCAAGGGCAGCGGATTTGTTGTTGTTGCTGTTTTCCTTTGTGGGTGTTTGGTGCTTGATTTCCAGAAACTCTCCAGCGACTTGGACTTCTTCTTCTTTTTTTTTTTCTTTTTAGATAGAAGTGACTGTGTGGTTGGTCTCTGAGGTATTTGGGGGACTCTGTATTTGCTCGTTTACGTGTTGGAAAAACCAAGTGGCTTTGGGGTTTCGCCCTATCCCACTCCCTCTCTTTCCTGCTCCATTGGTTCCTTAAGAAATGCTATATTTTGTGAGTGCAAGCTGGCTTGGGGAGCCCTCTCTTGTGTAAATGTCCCCCATGTTTCTGAAAAGTGCTGTAGTTTAGTCCCCTCACCCCCAGCACTGCCCAAACAGGGGCCAAGTGCGCCCCAATTCCAAGAATGAAGGCAGAGCGACAACAGTGCGGACACCCCGGCTGCTAGCCCACGGTGAAGCCCGGCGGGGTTGCCCACCAGTTGCGAAAGCCCCCTTTCCTCAGGGAGCACGCGGGACCTCGGTGGAGATCTCCAGTGAGGCTTAGAGGAGCCCAGGGCCTCGGGCGGGTTGGGGTTTGTCCTCAGTGCATTGGACGCGCTGCTCTCTCCCCTGAAGGCTGGGCTCGCGTGGGCGGCCGCGGGTGGTGGCCCTCCCGGTTCCTGCCCGAGGACCAGTTGTAAATGTTACTGCTTCCTACTAATAAATGCTGACCTGATCAAATGGAGCCCAGACGCTGGCCCTAAACATTGTGTGCCTGCTTTCTCTGCCTCTCTGCAAAATATCACACTCAGGATATTTCTCCTCTACCCCTGGGAGTGAGACATTGTTAAAAATTCAGGGCCCTTCCACCTGACAGATCTCTCTGATGTGTCTCTGCCTTCTCTGCCTCACATCCCTTTGTGTAGGCAGATGCAGCAGCACAGACCCTGTGGGGGGACATTGGTGCCTCCCCAAGCCTGGTTCAAGGTCCTCCACGAACTCTGTGCTTGGGCCCAGTGTTAGCCTTGCAGAAGCGCCCAGAAGAGCCAGCAGGCCCCAGAAGCCAGGCACTTTCAGGCTGGGGCTTGGGTACACAGCACCCTAACCTTCCCTGGGCTCCTGAAGCCCCAGATGCCAAACCCCTCTCCAAACAAGGGAAAGGCCAACTCTACACTCTGGAGCAACTGTCCCAGCTCGGTGGGGCTAGCTGGCTCCGGGAGGTCCCAGCTGGTCAGGCTGTGAGCTTCTGCTCCTCCCCACCAAAGCCCCAAAGTGACCTTAGCGATCAAAATGGTCAAGGCTCTCCTCCCCAGCCACCTCCATTTCACCGCCCCCTTCCCCCCACCCAGCTTCTGTGTATGTTTAGCCCCCAGCTTGGCCCTCTGAGGGCTGCATTCAGGGGCTAAAATGAAGGTCATTGTAAGTGAGGGTTTGGGTGAGCACAGCATTTGCAGGCCAAAGAGGCAGCACTGCCAAGTGGCCTGAGCTGGGTGGAAGGTGGGGGCGGTGGCAGAGATCTTGGGGGATCCCAATGAAAGAGGGGACGCGAAGAAAAAGCATAGGGGGGCTGGGAGGGAAAGCCAAGGAAGGCCCAGATCCGGCAGAAGGTGCTGCGCACCCCTGCCACTGTGGCCAGCTGGGTACCTAGGGCTCTTTGAAAACAGGAAGAGCCGAGGTGTCATAAAGCCATCTAGCGGGCCAGACGTCTGGAGGTAATGAGTTTACGACAGGCCCAGTGCTTTGCTTTGAAACCATCTCATTTTGATGTTTGTGTTTGTGGGAGAAAAGGAAAAATGCAGACAAAACTGGGTCTTAAAATCTAGACAATAAAATATAAACAAGACTGCGTTGGACCAAGAAGGCAGGGGCATGGGAGCCCCCAGGTGAGGTGTGAGCACCTAGGAAGTAAACATGAAAGAGGTAGGAAGGAAGAGGTGAATGAATTTCTGATTTTTGAAATGAACCAGGTAATGGAAGTAGCCTAAGGAGATGGCATTTTACAATATTTTGACTATGACCACGGTTTAGCTGGTTCTTTAGAAACAAACAAACAAAAAAATTGGCCTGTTATCTGGGGATAGGGTGGTTAGTGATCTTAGGTCATTTACCCAGGTGAGAGTCTCCCAGAAGTGTGGTTCGCGGGAAAAGATGAAGTTAGATGCCTATTCACAAGAATCTCTGGCCCTCCACTCCAAACTTTGAAGCAAAATGTTGTTGAAATTTATGTCTATTCACTTATAAAAAAATACAATTGTTACACCTAAACTGGAGGAAAGCAGTTTTGAAGATGAGTAAAAAGATTAACCTAACAGGAAACACTTAAGCCAATTGAATAGTCATTGCTTTTAAAAAAAATTCTAGTGGAATGCTTAGTTCAATGACTTTTGATATATATTTTTAAAATCCCATTTATTGTCCATAGAAATTCCAACAAACAGAAGCGCAAAGGGACTTTCCAGACAGCCACTCAGAGATCCAGCAAAAAGCTTTTGATTTGGCTTCGATTCCCCCCAAAATCGGCCACCTAAGTGGGCCCCAAAGCATTAAAGTTACAGTGTTAAAGTAGCAAATATTCATGATTTAATCCTAAAAGTAACAGCTGTAAGAGAAAAACAAAAACATAACAATACTTGATTTCTGTAATTTCTTGGTTGCCAAAGTGTCTGGTTCCTCTGGAAAATAAAAAGCCTCTTGGCAGTTGATATTTAGAAAGTTGTAGGTTTTGTTAAATCTAGCCTGTCCTATAATTGTTTTAAAAGGCACAGCTGGGCGGTTACAGCATGGGGACTTTTGGTGTCTGGCAAAAGAAGGGCTGGAAGCTTTTGGAAAAGACACTACTGGAAGCTGTTGGGAGCACTGATTAGAATATCCTAGGCATACAGGAGCTCCTGCTTGCTGCTCTTGACTTGTTGACAGTCACAGGAATGAAGCATTATTAGTGTCAGCAGTCCAAGCCCCAAATTGAAGAACGAGATTAGAATTGGTTTGAGATGAATAAAAATTAAATTCAGTGGACTGGAGGTGGCATTTGGCCACTAGAGAGCGCTGTTGCTCCACTTTCTGATCTCGTAAAGCTGGAATTGCGGCGGAGAAAGGTTTTGATTAAAAATATTAACAATCTTATTTTTAATCCGAAATTAGGATAATTTTAACCAAAAATAAACAAGGTGTACTATTAATTTCTGTGTTTGCTGGGCATAAAATTTTGGCTCGATCATGGCTTCAGAAACTTTGGACTGTGGCACAGCTGAAACTATAAAACATGATAAATTAATGTATTATATCAAAACAGAAAGCTGTAAAAAGCATAGATCTTTTCTTACTAAGTTAATCGCGCTCTTTTTCTACTCATATTATAAACGGAATGCTTAAATAAATGTTAAAAACTGTTTTGTCCCAAGAGGAAATGTTGTAACGTTTTCTAAATTTGGCCTGAATGTCTATAAATGAATTTTCTAGTGTTCATTTTTCTTTTATTCCCCCGAGGAATCACACAGTTCTACAAGATGCCTGGTATTGTTGAGATCCAGGCTCTTTCATTTTCCCCCCCCCCATTCCATTCCAAAATCCACTCATTTATCCAGGGTTCAAACACACACACACACACACACACACACACACACACACGCCAAACTGAAAAAAAGGGGCACAATTACAAAGGTAGCTCCAAGGCTTTATTGACAATAATAATCTTTTAATTGGGCATTTGCAAGATTGAAGGACAAATCCTTAATTGTCAGAATCAATTCGTTCGCCTTCGGATTTAAAGAAAGTCATTATACTTGGCAATAACCAGCAGAAAAAAAACCCCACAAAAACAAACAGCAACAACAACAAAAAAACCCTTGCTCTCCACCACCCCAAGTCTGCACTCCTTACTAATTTAAAAATTAAATAAAGCATGCCTCTGTCATCTCCAGATTCATTAACGATTCCTTTACCTTTCAGTCATTCCCAGTAGAAATAATTGAGTCGGACATTATCACCTTGCTATGTCTGTCCATCTCGATCTCATTTTCTCCATTTGTAAAAATGATATTTCAGTCCACCCGGACACAAGTCAGGATCGCGCTCGCAGGCTGGGCCAACCCACAAGGAGCTAGGGGTAGCTGAAATCGCTCGCCAGCCTGCAGCATCTCTGAGGCCGTCTGGGGTTTTCGGAAATTTGCATTTGGTGTGGAAAGCCGGCGTGGTGCGTTTAGCTTGAGCAGGGGCGCCTTGGAGGTCTATTTCCAAGGCTGTGGGCCTGGCGCCCTCACGACATTGTACCTATCCCGAAGGAAACGGGGCTCAGTCACCCAAAGAGCCCACGAGAAAGGCCGAGCAGGAGAGGGGAAAACACACACACACAACAGAGAACCATTGCATTTATTGGACATTGAAACGGGAGCAGAGAGGGAAAGGAAGTGTGTGGGGAGGCGGTTGGTAGGGTAAAGCCAGACAGCTTTGGAGAGAGCTGCTAAAATCGGGAATATTTTGTCGATTCACACTCGACTGGGCCACATGACTCGGGCAACTTTTCTTCATCTCTGCTCACAAACTAGGCTGAGCCTTCTCTTTCTCTGCTTTGGGAAAAATTCGTAACTTTGAGGCCTGCGCGCTCTCTCGGCAGTAATTTCACAGGCTTGGCGGAGGAAGTAGGATCGTTAGCATAAGATGGGCCGCCTGCAGCTGCCTGGAACCGGCGCGATCTGAACGCCGGCTGGGAGGCTCCTGGGGGGAACTTGCGGTCGTCTGCCCTCCGCACTCCTCCGGGAACCGCAGCCGGCCCTGGTTCGCTGCGCGCCGGGGCTGAGACCCGGGAGCCGCGTCCTGCCCGAGGAAATGTCACCCTCCCCAGCGCGAGCCCTTTTTCCCGCCTCAGAACGTTTCTGTCCGCTCTTCTATTTACTCTCTCAGCAAGCCTAATGCCCCCTCCTGCATTCTTCAGCCTCCCCCTGCGCCCAGGGCTGACGTCTATCAAGGGTGAAATGATGGAAACTATATTCATGGGCATGATTTCCATTAAATATCAATTAACCTGAGAGCCTCGGCCAGGCTTGCGGTGCGTCAAGGGTAAATGTACATCTCATTTCCACAGGGCCCGCTCGGCTGGAAAAGAAAGGCTTTGATTTGCTTTGATAACGCCAGGATCTGGGGCCACACTCGCGGCTTTTAATTAAACCACTTCGATATGCCCCAACTCAAATGCACGGTCCGGTCCGTCAACACCTCTTGTCCACGTTCCCTGGGCTGCACCCGCGTGTCCAGAGCTGCAAAAGCCACGGGCAACCTCTGCTTTTGCAGCCAGGGGCTCGGGGAGGCAGTCATTTGCTCCGCAGCCTCCTGGGAGTGGCCTCCTTGGCTCCCCCAAGTCTAAGGCTCCGCCGCGGCCCCTCCCTGCCGGCTGCGATCCGCATTCCCGCGGCCCCGGGGCACACGGAGCCCTTGGCAGTGCGTCTTTATGGGCCCCCTTTAAGGCCGGCGGAGGCATCTCGGGCCGGGCGCGGCGCTCCGTCCGTCGGCCGTAGCGACTGAACTGCGCGCGGATCCCTCCGCGGGGCTCCTCGTCCCCGTCACGCTGACTTTCCGTGCAGTGCTGTGGTGCGAAAATGCCTCGCCGGTGCGCACCGGGTCGGCAGCCTCGGCGGCGGGGGCGAGATTGGCGGGAGGGGGGCGCGGGGGGGGCGCGGTAAGAGGTGGCGGCGGGCAGAGGGTGTTTTTTTTCTTTTCCCTCCAGAGCCGGGGTTTGTAAACCGAGGCCAGAGTGTCCCCGTGGGCCGAGCGCACTTTTTTCTTGTCCGGGTGCGCTCAGTCACTGGTGCCTGAGAGGAAACAGTGGAGGCAGCGGGGCAGGTCGCCTGGGGCGTCGGCGATTATATTGCGGCCGAGCCGGGGCGCGCCGGGAAAGGCCGGGAGGGCGGCGGCGCGCGGGGGCTGGGCGAGGCCCCGCGACCCGCGAGGGAGGCGGCGCGAAGCCGAGGCGGCGGGCGCAAGAGCCGGGCATGAGCGCCCAGTAGCTGAGCGCCCGCGGCTGCCTGGCCTCAGAAGCGACGCGCGAGCGCGGGCGGGCGGCAGCAGCGACGTAGCCCGGCGGTCCCGGCGGCGAGAGCAGCCGCCCCACAGGCCCCCGCGGCAGTGCGGCCGAGTCGAGGCTCGCTCTCTGGCTGCTTAGCGCCGCCCGCCCGCCCGGGGCCGCCGCCGCTGACGCCCCAATGAGTTCGTACTTCGTGAACCCGCTGTACTCCAAGTACAAGGCGGCGGCTGCGGCGGCGGCGGCGGCGGGCGAGGCCATCAATCCCACTTACTACGACTGTCACTTCGCGCCCGAGGTCGGCGGCCGTCACGCCGCCGCCGCAGCAGCCCTGCAGCTCTATGGCAACAGCGCCGCCGGCTTCCCGCACGCGCCCCCGCAGGCGCACGCGCACCCGCACCCGTCCCCGCCGCCCTCCGGGACTGGGTGCGGCGGTAGGGAAGGCCGGGGCCAGGAGTACTTCCACCCCGGCGGGGGCAGCCCGGCCGCTGCCTACCAGGCCGCCCCCCCTCCTCCTCCGCATCCTCCGCCTCCGCCGCCACCTCCCCCCTGCGGCGGGATTGCCTGTCACGGGGAGCCCGCGAAGTTTTACGGATACGATAACTTACAGAGACAGCCGATTTTTACGACCCAGCAAGAGGCCGAGCTGGTACAATATCCTGACTGTAAATCGTCCAGTGGTAATATTGGCGAGGACCCAGACCACTTAAATCAGAGCTCGTCTCCTTCTCAAATGTTTCCGTGGATGAGACCACAAGGTTGGGATGCATTTTTTTTTTAAGAAGGGAGAGGGGGAGAAATCTGCTTTCATCTCACGTTCTGGCTTTAAAACTCCCGTTCCCTCTCCCCCTCCTTTTCCTTCTTGTGTAGCCACAGTGGCTCTTATTCATAAAGTAATACAGACTTTTTTTAAAAAAGTAGGAACCATGTAAAGATGATGGGGACAGAATAATTGTGAAGACCTCTCTGCTCCTCTTGCCTGCACACCCTATATATATATATCGGAGCTAAAGAGCTCTGTGTATATTTCACCCCGTAGACCCCCGTTCCACAAACCTCCAGCAACATGCAGAGGTACCATAACATTTTTAAAACTTTTATTCCCCCCCCCTTTTTTTTTGTTTTAATCAGCAGCTCCTGGTAGACGAAGAGGAAGACAAACCTACAGTCGCTTCCAAACTCTAGAGTTGGAAAAGGAATTTCTTTTTAACCCCTATCTGACCAGGAAAAGAAGAATCGAGGTTTCCCACGCCCTAGCCCTCACCGAGAGACAGGTAAAAATCTGGTTCCAGAACAGGAGAATGAAATGGAAAAAGGAAAACAACAAGGACAAATTTCCCGTTTCCCGGCAGGAGGTGAAGGACGGGGAAACGAAAAAGGAAGCCCAAGAGCTGGAGGAAGACAGAGCCGAAGGCCTGACAAATTAACTTCTACCTTTAAAATTTACCACAGACTATTAAAACTAATAATCACCATATGCTGTGGACACCACCTATTTTCTTTGTTGGAAAGGACCTTACCTGTGTTTCAAGCTACCTTCATGTCACTGCTCTTGAGGTTTTCTGTGCTTTGAGAGGGATTTGGGTGTTTAAAAAAGTTTCTAGTATCACATAGAAGCTGTCCTTGAGCTGTCCTATGGAAGGGTAATTTGATACTGACCTTGTAGCTATATTTTTATAATGGTTTTTAATGTCTGAGCTAGTGATTTGCCTCAACAACGTAAACTTCCTAATGATTAGCACTTAATAATTGCATATAAAATGCTTTATTAATTAAACAAGTGCACTTGAACATTTTAATATTTGTGGTGAGTAAATTAAAAGGAGTTTATTAATTAAAAAAAATTATGTCTGCAGAATACTTTATATTATTTGATTACAATGTATTATTTATGGATTTTTTATTCTTTCCTTTATAATGAATAGTTCGGGTGCGTTTTGTTTACTCCTAAAAGGTTTCTTTGCGTATTTTCTAAATGTAATATCTCGGGGAAAATATTAGAAAAGCACGTATTAGCTGAAGAATGTAACTTGTAGTCCAGCTCTGCAGCTTCCTTAAACTTAAGAAAAAGATTGGGCCAGTGACAAGAATTTAAAGACAATGTCCAAGTTGACAATTATTTTTCTATAGTCCATACAAATTAAATAATCTGGCAACTCTGGCAAATCGCCTTGTAAAATGCGTCTCATTTTTTAACTTGCTTTCGTTTTGAACCGCCCTTGTAATCGCCTGAAATCGCTAGTTCTTTATGCGGTGGCTGCCGCTGTGTTCCGTTATTTTCAGTAGGTGTCATATTTATTTGTATTGCCTTTGTTCTGTTCGCCGCTGGTTTTAAACCAGCTTGCTGTGTGCATCTCAGACGTCGGTTGGTACGTCCTCCGCTGTTCTTCAGGAAAGCGATAGCCTCACCTATTTGAAACAAGCCCTGAGAGGAAACGCAGAAAAACCTGAGTGTAAACAACTCCGGAATGTCGCTAGCTCCTTAGTAAATAAATGAATCTCTTTCTGGAGCTAGTGTCTTTGAGCGCCGCAAATACCCCTTTTCCATGAATCACTAACAATCGCCTGGGCTCGCACGAAGGAAAGGACTCGCTCAAGGCTTCTGTTTAATAAGAAAGGGGTGGGGTTACACACATTCCGCGCTGTTTAAAAAAAAAAAAAAAAAGGCCGCAGGGGCCCCTTCTTTTTCAGAGAGGACTGGCTAGTCTATCTTGCTCTAAATAATCTTGCTAAGATGCTCTGAGAGCTTTGATCCTCTTAAAGGACTCAAGTTGTAGGCCCAGTGGGGGACAACGCAAAGTCCATGTTACACCACAGCTTATTGCACTGAGCCGGCGTTGATGCTGGGGTTTGGCATCTGTTATTAACAAGATATCCATTTTCCATTGGAGGCTGCTCCTGCAGCTGCCATTTTACAGGGGAAAGTGGGGGGAAGAGGAGCGGGAGAAAAGAGGAGAAATTCAAGTAAAGTAACATTCCCGAAAAAGGGAAAGCACCTTTGTTAGGTAGTCATCGAAGAGCTCTCTGCTTTCTCTAACCATGTTTATTTTCAAAGGGGTAAATTTTTATTTCCAGAGTTGCTTTTATTACATAGATAAGAAAAATGGAATCCTATAGTTTTGCGCCAGGGTCACCTCATCGGGTTTTATCAGGCTGTTTGCCTGTGGCTTCATGGACACAGAAATGTTGCCACTGGCCAGGTCAGAAGGAAAGCACCACCTGGCTTTCCATGCTGGGAAGAAGTGATGGCTGTGACATTCTCTGACCTGAGCCAGGAAAGATAATTTTAAATCACAGGTGGCCCAGAACTTAAACATTTGCACTCCAAGAGACAGCTGCAAATGCCTATGCTGGATTTGAGAATGTTTTGCTCTGTGCACTGCTTAAGACTCTGCTGTCAGCTGGTACAGAGTAAGGATGCCAAGGGCCAAGAGGCTGGGGAACAGCCTCCAGTGTAAACCATCCAAAGACCAGTGCTGGCTGAAATCCAGCTGCCCTGGATTTAAGGGACTCAGGACTTCTTTATATATTAGCAAAACTGGCTGTCTCCTGCTCAAGGATGCTCACCAGATACTTTTAGAACCCTGAAATAATGTTGGCAAGACTGTCAGGTGGGAGCCCTGTGTATGGGTGGGTACGGAAATCAAGGAAGGAAGAGGAGATAAAATTGTCATTTCTTCAGCATTCTGTGCTGGTCTCAAAGTGTAACTTCTGGCCCCACTGGCCGCCTAAACCATGGTAAATTCATACCTCATGTACAGACAGACTGTTGCAATAGCTGGTATATATTAGATTATGAATTTGTATGTATACATAGCTTACACACACGCCCAGAGTGTTGATTATTCATGTAGGTAAATGTTTCCTTTTGTAGCTGGGAAAGAGCATAGATTTGTGTTCAAATAAAGACCTGGGGGAATTACACATCACACACACTCGCCACCTTCTTTCTTACACTGACTAGACATCCCCACCCCCCATCATGGTGTTTCATGCAGACAGACTGGCAGTGACTTGCGCACAAGATGCCCTTCTAATGGGCTCAAATGTGTCAACATCCAAGCATTGAGGCAACAAGCGAACACTTTTTTGCTGCAGAAATTTGCATAAACCTTCAGAGAATGCTTTGCCATCCCAGGCAGCACTTTTCAGCCCTGAACTGCACCAGTCTGCCTAGTGAGGTCTGTAAACCGTTTAGAGAAAAATGGTTCTCTCCAATGTTAACACTGAATGAAAGAACCAAGCCTTCTGAGTGATTTAGGCTCTCCATTTGCAATGACCAGAAACACACAAAAGAGAATGTGGGTCTCAGTGGTTTTCAGAGAAGTCAGTTCAAGGATGCCATTTTGTGAGGTTCCACAAAGCCCAATATATCGCTTACCTCTGCACAAGGGGAGAAAAATGCAAATATGGCTGCTTTTCAGTGCAAAGTGTCTTTGCGGCCCTCATTCCCCAAGTTGAAAGGGAGGGTCATAAAGCTCTGCTTTTATTTGGGTAAGATGGGGAGAGGATAATGAGGCAAATTGACTATTGAGATTATTTCTCAGAAAATTTTGGAATTAAACAAGTTATTTGCTCAATTCCACATGTATATACCAGTATACTAGTGTGAAGTCTTCTGGGCTTCTGAGGGCCCAAAAACTTGCCCCATCTGCTTGTGTAATTTAAAATATTGTTTTATTCTGTAACACAGAAGGAAGTGCTATTTCACATCCAAGCTTCTTGTGTCCTCTGCTTCCCCCGTGTTTGCTGAATCCTTGGGCATCTAGGGATGGACATGGGAGGAGAGAGAACATTTTAATGGGCCCTGGCTGCTGCTGCGGTTCCCTCCAGCAAAGTTAGGGCCCATTGGCTTTTTTCTAGAAAGAATATGACTTTTGCTGACAGATGGCAGCAAAAGTCCTTTAATCAAAAACATCCAAGGTCATCAGAACTTTTTCAAGGGATAACAAATGGCCTGCTCCAGAGGGTGCTGTGCTGCTTCCTGCTTCAGTCCACATCCACTTAGGCACTTACTGGGTGTGCAGATGTTAATAGCAGAGAACTTATACACAGGTATCTGATGCAAACATTTGTAACATAGTACTGGAAGTGTAAAGACACTGTCTTTAAAAGGATGGGGGGTGGTGTTACCTCTTTCAGGAAGGTTCTGAAGGCTGCATGGCTATGCCCATGAGGGGAATGCTGGAGGCCAGCCAAGGACATTTACTTTCAGGGGGAGTTCACCAGAGCAGTTCCTGTGAAAAATATAAAGGGAATGTGACACCGGCCTTTGAGGAAAAGGAATTATTCTTTTTTCTAGGCTGATCTGAGGAAGTCACTCTTTTCCTGAACAAATGTCTTTTCAGTATTGCGTTGAACAAATTTTTCAATTGGGAAATATTTGGGGGCAAGGGGAGAGGGGAGAACTAGAATTAAACTCCATAAAAATGAGAATTGCTCTTAGAGGAGGACGTAGAGCAAGGAGTTTCAGAAGGGATCCAGAAACCATAACCCTGTCTGTCCAGAAAGATGTTTCTGTGGAGAAAGACCAGGTGGTAGAGTTTCAAACGGGTATTTCGGAGAGGTTGACAAGTACCTAAAACCATTTGAAGCCTTTAAGCTGGTTGGTGATTATCCTACTGCAGAACCTCCCGGGAATGGGAGGGACCCCAATTTATGTTGGAGTGGTGTGTTGGGGGCACATTTTCTTGGCCTGCAGATCCCTCGTTTTCTTCCCAAGGTAACTGGGGCTGGCTTGCAAGATGAGAGGGAGGAGGGGAAACCGAAAGTGGTTGGCTGCCTCTGGGGACAGGCCTTTTCCTGAGGGGAGAGGAGGAGAAGCCAAGTGACTAGCACAGGGTGAGAGATGGGAGGAGGTAGCTGTGGGGATCGCTTCCCCAGAGCGTGAGCAGTACATTGAGTTCATTTCCCTCCTTCACGATGGCCAACTGCGCAGAGGTTTTGAGCCAAACCAAAGAAAAGAACACACACACACACACACACACACACACACACACACACGCACACACACAAATAAATCCTAGAAAAAGAAACAGAGGAGGCGGGGAGGGAGGGAAGAACCACGAAGGGAAGAAAAAGGGAAAGGTGAAGAGGGACAGAGAAAGAGAAGGGAGGAAGGAGAGAGAGAATGGAGAGAGAGAGGAGGAGGAGAAGGAAGAGAGGAGGCGGGGGAGAGAGAAAGCAGAAGAGGAAAAAACATGGCGCTTGCGAGCTGTATGTGCAAAATCCGCAAGGAATTGCAGTAAATTCCTTTTTGTTTGAAGAAAATTTACAACTTGGTAATAGACCTTTTTATGACCTATTTGCGGTCGTCATTGGCTGCGGCTGGTCATGTGCAGGCGCCGCTCGCCTTCACGGCCTTTTTCCTGATTTCCCCGGCGAATTTCCCCCCGCATTCTGCTTTCCCAGAGCCTCACCCCCTCTTTTTCTAACCTTTGTCTCTGCAGAGGTGGGCTCCAGTCACCGGCTGCGGGATTGCGGAGTCCGCCGCGGCCTCGGCTCCCGCCCGGCGCCCGGCCTGGCCCCACCGCCGCTCACTCGGTCCGCATCGCCGCCACCTCCGGAGCTGGTGGGGAGCCCGGCGAGGGAGGGCCTGGAAGGGGCCCTGGGCGCCGAGTCCCCCGCCGGCGCCGACACCGCCTGCCAGGAGCAGCCGGCCTGCTCGAGGTGACTGCAGCCGCGCGGTTCTGGCGCGGCTTCTTCACCAACATGAGCGGGTCTCTGCGTCCGAGAGTGAGCGCAGCCGGGCAGCGCCTAGTGGATTACAGCAGACGCCCGGACCGACCGCCGCCTGTAGCTCGGCAGCCTTCGGGTAAGAATCGCCCCCTCCCCGCTCCCCAGCATGCCACCAAGAAGCCTGGGGCGCCGACCCCCTTGGGCAGCTCAGTCCGGCTGCTCCCCTACATTTCCCGGGGAAGTGGGGGGTCGCTGTCTAAGCCCCTTCCCCCAATCACTTCGTTCCTAGGGCGTCCCCTGGGGCCTGGGGTGGAGTCCGGCTGGGTTCAGAAGTCTAAGGGGGCAGTATTATTTCAAAAATTCTGAGATACGGGTAGCCACAGACAGGATCCCACTGCCTAGATGGAGAGCCCCTCAATCCTACCCTAGGAAAGTGTATAGACGGGTTACTACTGAACATCTCCACTTTGCTGGGGGTCACTAAAGGCATTTTATATAGAGCTGTGGTTTTTGTGGTTTACCTGTGGCCGTGGCCAGAGGTTCCTGGGAGGCTAACAGGTGTTTTTTGAGGGTTGGGGCTTGGGTGGGGGTGGGGTGAATTCTCTGTTTCTAGGATGTGCTTGGTGTTTGAATCTAGGCTTTAGTGACTGATGCTGGTTAATTTCTAGGGTTGATGGTTTATTGGGCCTTGTGTTGTATGAGATGGAATTTTAAATATTTTTAAATGTTTCTCTAGTTCTTAGAGAAATTTTTAAGCAACTCAAGATAGGCTCTTCCCGCATATGATAATCCGTCAGGTGAATTTGGATTCTTTTATATCACAAAATGAATCCATGTTTTGGGAGGTAATGGTATCAGAATATATGGTGCAGGTCTTGGTAAAAACCCAATAGATCTTTGAGAAATACAAGACATCTCTGTGTTGAAACATCGTGTGTTTCTTATTTGCCAGAGTAGGAAAAGAGTAGATCTTTTTGCTCTCTAAATGTATTGATGGGTTGTGTTTTTTTTCCCACCTGCTAATAAATATTACATTGCAACATTCTTCCCTCAACTTCAAAACTGCTGAACTGAAACAATATGCATAAAAGAAAATCCTTTGCAGAAGAAAAAAAGCTATTTTCTCCCACTGATTTTGAATGGCACTTGCGGATGCAGTTCGCAAATCCTATTGCCTATTCCCTCATGAACATTGTGAAATGAAACCTTTGGACAGTCTGCCGCATTGCGCATGAGACTGCCTGCGCAAGGCAAGGGTATGGTTCCCAAAGCACCCAGTGGTAAATCCTAACTTATTATTCCCTTAAAATTCCAATGTAACAACGTGGGCCATAAAAGAGTTTCTGAACAAAACATGTCATCTTTGTGGAAAGGTGTTTTTCGTAATTAATGATGGAATCATGCTCATTTCAAAATGGAGGTCCACGATTTGTGGCCAGCTGATGCCTGCAAATTATCCTGGATCACTAACTCTGATCACTTACAAATAAGAAACTTGAGTGATTGTTATTTTATTTGGAGTGTTTGTATTTTGTAATTATTTCTCTACTACAGTACAATGACCTTTGAGGTCATTCTTTGATCGGGGTAAAAAACATTCCCCATTGAAAAGCAGGCACCTGGATAGTGGCTTCTAGGCCCTGCCAGGTAGATTCGGAGCAGGAAGAGTCCCTAGGTCGGATGGTACCCGGGTGGGTGTGGGGGTGTGGCCCTGATGGCCAAGCTCTATGTTCAGAGCTTCAGTGCTTTTCCCTGGTTCTGTAGCACAGCGCGCTTGAGTGACTAAAAACCTGGGTTGGGTGCAGGTCCGATTACGCAGCAGAGGTTGATGTCATGGGCAGATTTGGAAGACTTGAGGGGTTCTTTGTAAGCCCCGTGGTAGCATTAATTCTTATTGGAACGAAATGGTCGATTGCATCTAAGGGAAATAATCCACAAATCACAGGAACTCTCGGGCCATTAGTCCACAAGAAAACTAGTTCGTGCTGTTGCCACTACCGGAAATAACCCCATTGTTTCTGTTAACCTAACCAAAAAATGAAACGAAATTTTAAAACGCTGGGACCCTGAGAGCTGAGAAGCCCAGAAGTATAACTCCCAGTGTCCTTGGCCCAAACCTCTGTTCTCTCATAGATCAGGGAGCCGATAGCATGTCCGGGCCTTGGTGACGACGGGTCAGGCCATGAACTGGGCTTGAGATCTCTGGCGAGGACCAGGAGAAAGACGAAGCTCGAAATTATAAATGTGGCCAAGCACGAGAGCTGAAAACAAAGCGTATTTTCCCGTCAGATGTTTCTACAAATAAATTTCGCCAGAGTTCTGTTTTCTGAATCAGAGAGGCAAGGGAAATCGAACAAAGACAGTATTTCACCCTGGGCTGGCAGGCAGCTGTTAGAGGTATTTACGGCCTTGCCGCAGTGCGGCGGCCAGGCAGCCGGGTAGGGTATGCGGGGGCACCGGAAGCTGGGGAGAAGCCATGAAGAACTCAGAATTTCAACTTAAATTCAATTTAGGGTCACGTTTTCGGAAATGGCGTGAACAGATGCCCTCTTTCTAGGGACTGGTCCTTTAGACTTGATAGTTTTGCAGAATGAGGGAGAAGTTGTGCTCTCTGGATGTAGGATGGTTTTCCCCGCCTTGAAGAACGACTCAAAGGGAAGCGGTGCCCAAGATGTGACATTTCTGATCCACATAACAACCTTCAGAGTGTTCATTGGCAACGAGGAGATGCTGCTTGTTCGGCGGAATAGGGTTTGCAAATCAGAAAGGACAGTTGAAGCTTTTAATACATGTTTTCCTGAAAAAGAAAAGTGTGTTTCCTGCTTCTTGAGATGAGGTTCCCAAGCTCCTCTGCATCCAGGCGTAGAAGCAGTGCGCGGTACCTTATCCGCACTGCGCGGTGCAAGCCGGCCGCACAGCTCACGGTCCCGCAGCGCCCGCCACACACCCGCGCCAGAGGTCCAGCGCATGTGCAGTGAAATGGCCTAGCCCGGGAATTCGATCGGCAAAGCACGGGTGTGGGGGCGGGGGGGTGGGGGGGGGCGAGTGGACTCGAGCAGGAAGATACACCCGATCTTTCCATTCTCCCTCCGTCAAGGCTCGCTACTCATCTTGCCTTTATCTCAGCCTTCCCTGTATAGCTGAACAGTTCTACCTTTGGCTACATTTCCAATCATTATGACTTATCACCTCACCCCAGTTTAAATCTGTACGCTAGACATAGGCTGAAAATACGAGACGAGGGCCAAAGGAAACACTCTTCTTTCCAGTTTATATATATATATAGCATATATTTGCCCCTCGGGGAAGGCTGTAGATTTTTTTTTTTCAGCCTGCTGCTACTACTTTGGGAAAAGGCCTTTTCTCCTGGCGCCTGTTCAAACCGCCACACTTCAGGCCAATCCTTCGGCCTGACCATTCCCGGATCTTGTTATGCCAGCACAGCACATTCGAGGGCTCTGGGGGGCAGCAGCTCGGCGAAGAGCAGTCAAATAAATAAATAAATAAACAAATAAATGAACGGACATATAAGGGCTTTTCCCGCCTGGGTTCGCTTAAATAATGGGGGACAAGCGCCTCTGGGCCACGAGCTTGTTGTTTGTCCTGGGATGGGGGGTAGGGGATGAGAGGTGGCCTCAGGTCCCTCTTGCTCCTTCCAGCCGCCCCAGGGGACACTGTAGAACCAGCCTCTGGTGCGGGGAGACCTCCGCCTGCCGGAGGAAGTCCCAGCCTCAGGTTTCCGGGGCTGGTGGTCTCCCTGCTCTGCTGTCTGGCGCCTCGTCCAGGAGGAGGCGCTGTAGGACAAGCGTCTCGCCGGCTGCGGCGGGCCGGGGAGGGCGGGAGCGGAGGGATCGGTACCCGCTCCTCCCTTCCCGCGCACTCTACCTCCGCGCGCCAAGTGTGTGGGGCCTCGAACAAGGGTCGACGGTGCTGCGCCCCGTCCCCCAAGGGGTTCCTTTCCCCAGACTGGCAGTGGAAGCAGCTCCGAGGCCTGGGAGCCTAGGGCCGTTCCGGGTTGGCGGGCCACCTCGCTTTCTCCGCGCTCCCGGAGGGGGCGCGATTTCCTCGTGCTGCGCTTGTAGGAGCAGCAACTTGAATCCTGTGTGGGGCAAGCTGGGCCCAATCCGCGGATCCCAACCAGCCCCTCCCGCTGGGCCGTGGGTCTCGTCATTTACCTTGCCCAGGATTCCTGGTACCCAGAATGGACAGCCTTGAAAAGCACATCCTTTAGTGCCTCCTCCAACAGGCTGATGGGCCTTGCCCTTGCTCACTTAGAACAGGACCTGGGTCCTGGGACTCCCTGGAGACTCAGAGCTTGGGTAAATCCCATTTGCTCTGCAGCTCAAGAGAACTAGCCAGATGCGCATGTCTACTCCACACCACCCAACCACTCTTCTATCACCACTTCGCTCATTTCAGGCCTTTTGTGGGCTCCACTGGGCACTCCTCGCACCAGGTTCAAGAGCCAGCGACACCTTACTTAAATAATGCTCTGACCCAATCCCACTGATCCTCCGTTATCTCTTGGCAATGCAGTCTTTTGTCCCCCTCTCCCCACCGCCTTCTCTAGGGTAATGATTCTCAGTGAAGACCTGCATCAAATCTCTTGTTTATAATGCAGGTTTCTGGGTCCTATCCCAGACCTACTGAATCAGAATATCCAGATATGGTACCCAGAGACCTGCATTTTGTAAACACTCCTCCGCCCAGGGCACTTGGGCTGCATACTTATGTTTGAGAACCACTGGTCAATTATCTCTCCTGCTCCTTTTATGATCCTTTGTTCTCCAAAGATCAAGTTCCCTCTAACCCTACAACTAAGCATCCCCCAGAGCTCTTAGGGTTCCATCCAGGGTTGTGGTTTTTAAGGTCACCACCCTATAGACTGAATACTTACATTTTAGGGAAGAGGCCGTGGATCCCTTAACTTTTGGCTTACAGATTTCAAAGACAGCAGGTTGTGGGTTCAGACTGCCATGGTACCACTTACCTATTGCGTGACCTTAGGCGAGTACTGCAACTCTCTAGACCTGTTAATTTCTTTGAAAAGGAGGGATAAGAGTACCTTCAAGGGTTGCTATGAGAATTTTTACTTACTTGCAATTCTATATGTCAGGCACTATTCTAACTGCTTTATGTACCTTTAACTCACTGGTTAAGTACTTAAACCAGTGTTTTGCCACATACCAAGTATTCAATACATACATGTTTCTTATTATCCCCCTTTTGCTGAGTAATCAGGCCTAGACTTTTAGAGCAAAAGACCCCTGGTTCACTCACCAAATTTTTGAATTCTATGGAGGAGAAGACAGGCTTGAACACACAGGAAGTAGCAGACTCAGGAGAACATAGTTCCGTGACTTAACCTATTGCTGTTGTGGGCCACATAGTCCTGGCCCATTGGGTCTCAGTGTCTGGCACCTAAATGTATCAGGGTTACACCAGGCAGAAAGTGGCCCTAACTCCTCAGTGGGCAGGTATCAGGTAGGGGAGGCCTCACATTCACACAGGCACATCTTCGACTCCCACAGATGGCTTCAGGTCTTTCCTGAGAGCAGGCCCATTTATCCAGCTCCTGCAATCACCTTCTCCATCACCACCCTGTCCTGTCAGTCACACCCACTGGGCTGGTTGTTCCTCTTGTTATTCTATAGCCCCAGGGCAAGGACCCTCCTTAGTCTTTTAAAATCTAGGGCAGGGTAGGAAAGCAAAAGACCAACAACAGCCAAGGAAGCCGAGGAGCCCCACCTCCACTCCCCCCAACCCTTCTCACCCCTTTAACTGCTTGTGCCCCAGGATCTGGGTTCCAGGGCAGCAGCTGAGCCTCTGCCCCCAACATGTGTGGGGGTTGTAGCCAGAAAGGGTATTTTTATAACTCTTCATAAAAGATGTACGGAATTTAAAAGAATTGGAAGGGTCAATGGAGAATTGAGGGATAAGTCCTCACCCTTAGTTCTGGGTCCATGACTTCTGGCTACAGACTTTTTTCATGAGAGACTTAGTAGCTCTTGGCCAAGCTGCTTTGCTTGGCTTAACCAGGAAGTCCTCCTGGGTCAGATTTTCCCTCAAAACGTACAGTTTCTTCTGCTACCAACCTTGTCAGGCAGTGTTCTGCCTACAGCCTAGGGCAGCACCTCCTGTTCCAACAAATCTTGGTTCTCCTAGTACTTAGGTAGCCACCTTAGCCTCTTCTGCCCTTCTTGGGACCACTGGAGCCTTATTTCTAGCCTCCGCTCTGCTCTCAAACATCTTGCTCCAAGCCCCCTCCCCTTTTGTTTTGGTCTCTTCTCTCACTATTGGCCTTTTTGTCTGGGGTCACCTCTGCCTCCCTGGGTCCTCAAGCCAGAGCTCCAATGAGTGACTCCACTGGGGCAGAGGGAAGTGGGCAGGGAGAGAAATGTTTCTGTTTTGGTGATAGAGTATAGTGCCAGGAATATAGAGTTATGTTTCTCTCATGCTGGGGACTCCCTGTTCAGTCCTTCTCTGGCTATACCCCCAGACTACGTCCTTAAGTACCAGCCCTGGGCAGTCTTCTTTCTCCACCTGCCCCGGCCAGGTATTCAAAGCCCCACCTATCTCTTCTGGTTGTACAAACATTTAGTTTAAGAGGAAAGCTCCACCCCCCTTTAGGCAAAAGGCCTCTTAAGAGCCAAAATGAGAATATTCTTTCCTGGAGCCACCTAGCAGGGGCCCTTAGGGTGGGCAGAGGGCTGACTTTCATTACTTTTGGAGTAGAGCTGCTTCCTCCCGGGACCCCTTCACTCTCTCCTCCTTCCTGCGAGCTACTTTGGCTCCCAGGGTTTGGAGGAGCCCTACAAGGTGCCCTATCTCATGGGAGCTTCCTAGGCTCTTTTTAGCCACATGGGGAAGGACAGTACCTACAGTCCCACTTTACCTATAAATTAATTCCTTCTAGGTTTTTAAGAAGGCTCAACTTGTCTTTCCCCACTGCCTCTTCCATTATCACCACAACCATTGCAAGTTCTTGGGAAACTCCCCAACAAACTGGCACATGCTAGCTCTGCTCTTTCCACCACTCAGCTTCTCTCCCCCATTTCACCCTTTCTTTCATCTACAGAAGACCAGGAGGAGGGGAGGAGAAAAGGAATAGGGGAAGGAGGAGACAAAAGAAGATTATGAGAAGGTGGACCCTTACTCTCTCTTTAATCACTTTGCCTCGCTTTCCTAAGATCAGGACATAAATGATGTCTGCCTCAATATATTCCTTTCGTCTCTCCTTTTCTTTACTCACAGCTACTTTTCCGTTATTGTCTAAATATACAGAGTAGGCTATGTAATTTTATCTTTTTGTGTAGGCCACAATAAAGGTTGCAAGCATGTCTCAGTCACCATGCTTCATCACCGTTTGTTCAAAGAATGTCTACCTAGCCCTAACTGGGTACCCATCACTGTTTCAAACACTATTTCTCCTCAGTCTTATCTTCTCGTTACCCCATTCTCATAAAAAGCTCATCACAATTGCCTGGAAACTAATATGTACTATGATTAATTTCTTTCTTTCTTGGTTTTTTTTTTTTTTTTTTTTTGAGACAGATCCTAGCTCTGTCGCCCAAGCTGGAGTGCAGTGGTGCGATCTCGGCTCACTGCAACATCTGCCTCCTGGGTTCAAGCGATTCTCCTGCCTCAGCCTCCTGAGTAGCTGGGATTACAGGCACCCGCCACCACACCCGGCTAATTTTTGTATTTTTAGTAGAGATGGGGTTTCACCATGTTGGTCAGGCTGGTCTCAAACTCCTGACCTTGTGATCTGCCTGTCTTGGCCTCCCAAAGTGCCGGGGTTACAGGAAAATAAAGAAAGCTCTTCTCAACCCCTCAAACTATTATTATTATTTTACAGCTGCTCATCTAGTGCTAACCAGAATCAGAAACATGTTTTGAAGAGTTTATCCATTTTTAAAAACAGATGCCATCAACCATAAAAGAAAAATATCTTCCTACATGGCTAATGAAACAAAAAAAGGAGAAATGGATGCCTTACAATCCAGGCTAATAGCCCCCTGCTTTCTAGCTAATGACAGTGAAATCAGGAAATGGGTTTGAAAATGCATGTAGAATGGGTGGAAATTGGGATGCAAAGAGATCTTTGTATGAAGGGATCTCTTTTATGGGCTTGATGGGTCTTTCTGATGGGAACAGTTGCAACTGAATTTGATTTAGAAATCATATGTGTGTGTGCTCTACAAATCTCCACAGAACATCCATTATTTTCATCAGAATAGTCAAAACCACACGTTTTTACACTGTTTGGTGGCAACTCTGGTGGGCTATTGAAGGGTGCTGGGGGGTCAATTCTCTTTTTATTTATGCTCCTTGGTGGGAGCTGAGGGCATCTTTCCCTCTCTCTTACCCCCACCCCAGCCTCCCCCAAGCAGAGAATGCCACATTTTCCTAGAGAGCAGCTTCAGGCCCAAGCTCTTTCCTTGGCTTTCTCAGCAGGACAGCGGCAGTGTACTACTCTCTCTTCCTCTCTTAGGCTCTCTCCCTGGTGGGGGCAGCAGTGTGGGTGTGGGGGTAGTGCTCCTAAAACTCCCACCCAGTTTTGAGCCCCCAAAGTTCCTGAGCCTTAATCACTGTGCTTGGAGACACCATGGGAGTGGGGACATCTGACTTCCTAGGCTTGGATTCCTTGAGAGTCTCATTTGCTTCCTCACACCCTGTCGCCTTCACACCAGGGCTGTTTTATTGTTTTATAACCTTCTTTGGAGCTTTAGTTGCCAAAGATTCTAATGAGGCTATTCTCCACTTTCTCACTTTACCAAACCCCAAGTCTTGCTGTGTTAAGCAGTTTGGTCACTTGCAAAGGCTTTCCTTTCAGATCTAAGCGAATTACAGAAACCTCTAGGCATGTGGCTACCTTCAACTTTGTCCAAGCCCATGCACAACAATATGGAGGGAGCCAAGTGTTAATTCCAACTGCTACTCCCACCCCCAAACCCACCCAGCCTCTCCCTAACCACCCTTTCTCCATTGAAACTTGAAAAAAATCTCAAATAACTTCCAACTTCTGTCATAAGCAAATAAGAAGTGGCTTTTGACCTTCCTCTTTATCACATCTAGAGCTAGAAAATTATTGAAATAAAGGGGTTGATGGTACTCACAGTGAATGCCGCCAAAGAATCATAAGACATGCCCACCAACTAGCCTTTTCCAAATAGCACTATCTCCCAACTTAAACAGCTTCTCCGAAAAGATGCTATTTGAAAAGCCTGGGGTATTGATATGAATATGACCTCCCTTGCATCCTGGATATTTGGAACTATTTAAATCTGAGGTAACCGTTGCAGCGAACCTTTATTTAGTGAATAAAAGTTTAAAGCCAAAGGTTATTTATGGTTCTGCAGAGATGGGACCTGAGTGGCTATTTACGAGCACGTGATTCCAATAAACTTTGTTTTATGGCTTGAGAGTTGACAAGCCAAAATATAATTCCCACCATAAATTAGGTTAAGAGCATACAAGTGCAGATGCTGGGTTCCTGGAGCAGCAATAGGAACGTGAGAGGCTCCAGCCAGCTCCAGGCTAAGAAGGAGACGGTTCTACTCCCAGCTCCCCTGCCCACTAGGAAAGAAAAACAGTAAGTCACTTATTACTTTTTCCACAACAACTTCAGAGGTGGGAGATTTCTCTGTTCCTGACTTTTCTGCCTAGGATGGGGATAAGTCTCATCGAAGTTAATTCTAATTTTAGCCTAAACCTAAATTAACAAATAGAATGAGCATCTCGATCTCCCATGCCCTCCCTTCCTGATAGGGACAGTTAGGAATTGAGGGCTCTCACCTCACAAGAGGGACTTACTGCCCCTCTCCTCCCCCTTAAGAGCATCTCCTTCAGAAGTGGAATAAAACAGTGGTATTCTGGGTGGGGAAAGAAAGAGAGGATGAGGGTGAAGCTGCTTTGTCCCTGAGATTTCTGATACTGCTTTCCTATAATAATATCAGGAAAGACTGAAAACTTAAAACTGGACACCAGCCTCTGGGAGGACCACTGCTTAGTAAGATTGTCTTCTGGGCTCTCCAGCAGCAATCCTGAAAAATTGATGTCATACCCATAGAGCTGGATAACAATCTAAAGCATTGCCATTCACCTTTAAACCCATTGATTTTCCTCCTCCTTGGTTATCATTTGGGTCCTCATTTCCCCCTGGAAATTGCTCTTTGTTTTGAATTGGAGTAGAAGTGGCAAGTCCCAGCCATGCCTGATTCTTCTTTGAAGAGGAGAAGACAGGTTTTGGGGGCACTGGTTGGGGCTGAGGAATTTGAAACCAAGCTGAAGCTGGAAAGGGAGGCTGAATTGCTCCCAGGGTGGGAGAGATAGGAAGCAGGGGTGAGGGGCAGATGGAGCGGCTACCCCCTCCCCAGTGGACCTGCACCCACCCGGCCCGATTGCGCAGAAGGAAACACACAAAGGCCCATTTTCTCCTCGCTTCTCGTTTTCCCACTGGGAAAACCCTGTTACAGGCGACCTGACTCGGGCCCAGTAACTAGTGAGGTTTTGCCCAAGGGTGCGTGGAGTGGGGGAGGCGATGGAGATCGAAATCTGTCATAATCCGTGGCTCTGCTCTTGAGGGACTGCGGTCTCCGGCTCTGCGGAGAACTTTGCGCAGTTCCCGGGGGCGGGCACCTGAAGCAGGGAGGTCTGGGTATTGGTGGGGTATCTGGGCCTTGTCATTTTTCTGTGTGTTATATGTGTCTGCTTTATTATCCTGTGGAATTTAAGTGATCCCCGTTTTCATTGCAACAGGTTCAGGACCATGAGAGAGCGCCGCTGTAAGTACCTTCCCGCTTCTTCCGAATCGCGAAGAGACGGTACTGATCGCGGGGAAGTGGTGGGCTAAGGGGCCAAGCCAGCGGAGTGGGCGGATAGAAGAAAGGCCCTGCCTCCCCCACCCCACCCCCACCCTCCACCCCCGGCCTCGCTCTGCGAGGTTAGCCCGCTTCGGGAGGTGGAGGCGCTAAATCGAGGTCCCGGAAAGCTTTTCTGGGGCCTGGTTCACAGACACCTGCCTGAGAGAACGGTCCGCGGGGTCTCGCCCTTGTCTCCTTGGGCCTCCCTAGACCTTCGCGGCCCTTCCCTGCTCTGCACAGGTGCAGCTCCGCCAAGGCGCTCACTTCTGTTAAGAGCTTGCTAATTAGCAGCCTGTCTTATTAGCGGCTTCAAACCAACGCAGTAAACACCAAGGCAATGCGGTCCCCTCCGCAGCCCAACCCTTCTTAACCTGGTCTAGCCTGGCCAACCTTCTGTTTTTAAAAAAATTCACTGAAAACAAAAACTCAATCCTCTGTGGCCGTGGGTGTGTTGAGTTGCCCGCTTCTGAGCTTTATGTGGACATTCCTTCCCCGCCCCTCCCCCGATCTGTTTGCAGCGGTGTGGGCCCTGGGCTTGGGACACTGGCTGAGCGAGGAGGGATACGGACCTTCTTTTCACCTCTGCTTCTCTGTAACTGCAGTTGGAGAATTTCCGCCCCAGAGGCGCTGGTGCTGCAAGGAGGCATAGGAGGGTGGAGTGGGGTGGATGCGGTGGGGTGGGGCCAGAGACTCGTGGGATCCTTGGCTTGGATGTTTGGATCTTTCTGAGTTGCCTGTGCCGCGAAAGACAGGTACATTTCTGATTAGGCCTGTGAAGCCTCCTGGAGGACCATCTCATTAAGACGATGGTATTGGAGGGAGAGTCACAGAAAGAACTGTGGCCCCTCCCTCACTGCAAAACGGAAGTGATTTTATTTTAATGGGAGTTGGAATATGTGAGGGCTGCAGGAACCAGTCTCCCTCCTTCTTGGTTGGAAAAGCTGGGGCTGGCCTCAGAGACAGGTTTTTTGGCCCCGCTGGGCTGGGCAGTCTAGTCGACCCTTTGTAGACTGTGCACACCCCTAGAAGAGCAACTACCCCTATACACCAGGCTGGCTCAAGTGAAAGGGGCTCTGGGCTCCAGTCTGGAAAATCTGGTGTCCTGGGGACCTCTGGTCTTGCTTCTCTCCTCCCCTGCACTGGCTCTGGGTGCTTATCTCTGCAGAAGCTTCTCGCTAGCAAACCCACATTCAGCGCCCTGTAGCTGAACACAGCACAAAAAGCCCTAGAGATCAAAAGCATTAGTATGGGCAGTTGAGCGGGAGGTGAATATTTAACGCTTTTGTTCATCAATAACTCGTTGGCTTTGACCTGTCTGAACAAGTCGAGCAATAAGGTGAAATGCAGGTCACAGCGTCTAACAAATATGAAAATGTGTATATTCACCCCGGTCTCCAGCCGGCTCAGCAGGCTCCCCCAATTTGTCTGGATAGAGCCTAGGCCCAGTGTCCCAGGAAGGTGGATACTTGGGAGTCTTTGGCATTCAGGGAAATTGGGGGGACTCTCCTGGGATAAACAGATTCTGCAGCCTCATAGCCCTTGTTAGAACTGGCGCCCCCAAAATCCCTACGAAACAGGTAAAGTGGTGGAAGCAAAGGATGGGGGGATGAGCAAAGTGCCAGGCTTGGAGGGGGAGTATCCCTGCCCCACCCCACCAGGCCCAGGCCCAGGCTTGAAACTAAATTTTGAATTATGTGGGAGGTAGGAAGGGCAATCAAGACAGTTAAAAAAAAATCTAACACCTTCAGCCTACAGTTAGGCACCCAAAAGCCCCACTCGAGCCAGGGCATCCCTGTGCCCCTGAAATCCATCGAGGCTCTGAGTGAGTCTGCGCTCTCCATGCCCTGAACTGAGGGACAAGCACTGCACAGTGCCGAGGCGCTGGGGCGGGTGAAATTTGTGAACTTTTGTACTCTTGTGTGCTGCTGTCGGCAAAGCAAAAATAATGAAAGTTTGTGATATGTTTGTAAATGATTTCGAATGACCCCTCGCCCTGCCCTTCACCATTAGCGCGCCGGCCTCAGCCCAAGGCGGCTCGGTGCCTGTGAGCAGCGCCTGCCTCGGGGTCTGCAGCAGCAGCGGAACGGAGAGGCCAGCCCGGATCAGGGCCCATGAAGGTAAATGCGCGACTTCTTGGAGAAGTAGCTTTGGCAGACAACCTGGCTTGGTCGGGCAGTAGGAAAAGGAGTAGACACAGGATATTCCCCTCTCGCTTCTTTTTCTTCTGCCGCTGAGGGCATTTGTTCCTTTCTGGAAAATACCACTTGGTAAGGAGGAGGGTTATTTGGATCCTGGTGGGGGAGGGTGGTTAATAAAGCCGCCATCCTTGGGATGGATTATTTTTCTTTCTTTCTTTCTTTTTTTCTTTCTTAAGAAGAATATTCTGGTTGTTCGCCTGCTTGGTAACCCTGACCCTGGCAGAAGAATGAGGGAACTCATTGCTTCAAATTGTCGCCAAGCCCATTAGGCTACCTGAACTGTCTCAGAAAGTGCGGGTGGCTGCGTCGAACGGTGGTGGCTCAGAGGAAGAGATTGGGGCCGGCAGCGACCTAGGTACCTCACTCTGGGTGGGACCCAGAGGTTGTAACGTTGTCTATATATACCCTGTAGAACCGAATTTGTGTGGTATCCGTATAGTCACAGATTCGATTCTAGGGGAATATATGGTCGATGCAAAAACTTCACGTTTCTTCGGAATAGCCAGAGACCAAAGTGCGACATGGAGACTAGAAGCAGCCGGCGCTGGTCAGCCGCCTCGTTCTGTTTTATTACCTTGGACTCCAGGAGGATCAGCTGCGCCTGGTGACATAGAGCAGCTTTTCCTCTCCAGAAGCTCCTCACCTTTAAACAGAGTATCCTCTGGGTGCTGAAAAGAAAGAAAGACAGAAAGAGAGAAAGAGAGAGAGAGAGAGAAAGAGAGAATGCAAGCCTAATTGGTTGCATGGATGCAGGGCCAAAGGGCTAGGTTTTGGGGTACTAGGGAGTGAGGTACAAGGCCAGCTTGCCCAGTCCCAGCTCTGCCCTCCAGGAACATGAGGTGCAAAGGTACCCAAATGGGGGCTTGCTTGTATTTGGGGCCTGTGGGAAGAAAGCAAGCTTCAAAGAAGCCCAGTGGGGAGCTCTAGGGTGCATTTTGACAAGGTGGAGGTGCCCTTGCCACCATCCCAGCCCACCCCCAGCTACATGGGCAAGGGCAGCGAGGGCCCCCTGCTATTTTGGCAGGGCCCAGCTTTGGCTGGGAACCCCCGGGCCTGGGCACTGGTAGAAAGCATGGCGGTTACTCATTGCCTAATTTGATTCAAGCTGGCCAGATTCTGGTAACTTTTGGGTGACCCTGATGAAGACAAAGCCAGGACGGCGGCCTTTGTATGGCAGAATCCCTGCTCCCGCCGGCTGCAGGCAGGGCGGGCAGGCAGGAACCCTCCTCGCCTGGGGCACTCTGCCCAACTCAGAGGCGAGTTCACCCACCCACCTTTCATTGCTCTGTACCCCAATAGGAGGATTCATTCTCCCTTGAGCTGTGCCTACTTGGTGTCGGGGGGCGGGGGTTGCATTCAGCTGGGGGTGAGTGGAAGGGCCACGGAAGGTTGGCAAAATCAGTGGCAGACAAAAGCTGGGATTACCTGAGGGGAATGGGGTGCTGGGGACTGGAACTACATTAATATCTGGCAGGGGCTCTCAAATGTGCCATAGCAAGCTACTTGATTACACGTATGTTATTTAGTTAAATTTGTGAAAATTATGAGATGCTCACCAACCCGGTGATAAACTTGCTCCCTCGCCATTGGCTGGCCTGGTCACATGGCTGCCCAACTTTATTCAGTTGACAGCAAGTAGGAGGGCCCTATGGAAGGAGAAAAAAAGACAACACGAGAAAAATTAGTATTTTCTACCTTCTGAAATTAATGGTCATGAGTTCGTATATGGTGAACTCCAAGTATGTGGACCCCAAGTTCCCTCCGTGCGAGGAGTATTTGCAGGGCGGCTACCTAGGCGAGCAGGGCGCCGACTACTACGGCGGCGGCGCGCAGGGCGCAGACTTCCAGCCCCCGGGGCTCTACCCACGGCCCGACTTCGGTGAGCAGCCTTTCGGAGGCAGCGGCCCCGGGCCTGGCTCGGCGCTGCCTGCGCGGGGTCACGGACAAGAGCCAGGCGGCCCCGGCGGTCACTACGCCGCTCCAGGAGAGCCTTGCCCAGCTCCCCCGGCGCCTCCGCCGGCGCCCCTGCCTGGCGCCCGGGCCTACAGTCAGTCCGACCCCAAGCAGCCGCCCTCCGGGACGGCACTCAAGCAGCCGGCCGTGGTCTACCCCTGGATGAAGAAGGTGCACGTGAATTCGGGTAAGGCTAGGGTCCAGTAACCTTTCTGTCCACATCCCAGCCCGTTAGCCTGGGTCCTCTGGAAGGGGGTGCGAGTAGGTGGGGGCGTGTGGAGCTTCCATGGGCGCCGCAATTACTCTCCCCATAAATTTTTATAGCTGAGGGAGCAGGTCAGGACCATGTGGCTGGCTGCTCGGCTGTGGGCGCAAAAGGGGGTGGGGATGGGGGGGTGGGGGAGGACTCCATTTTCAGAGCAGGGGGAAGGCTGTGGAGGAGCGGGGGATTTCCAAAATGCTTGAGGGTTCCGGACCTGGTGGTGGGCCCAGAAGAAGGAGCACATTTGGGGATCCCGCAAGCCTGGGGTATGTGGGTGTGTTTGAGGAGGTGGGTGGGAGTGAGCGTGTGCGCCGGGGAGAGGGCGGGAGGGAGGAAGCAAGCGAGCTTGGGAGCGCGCGGGGAGGGCCGCGGGCCTCGGGGCGCGCCAGGAAGTGAGCGGCGGAGGCGAGGGGCCTAACTAGTGGCCGGGCGCTGACCTGCCTGTCCTGTCTGTTTTGTCTCGCAGTGAACCCCAACTACACCGGTGGGGAACCCAAGCGGTCCCGAACGGCCTACACCCGGCAGCAAGTCCTAGAACTGGAAAAAGAATTTCATTTTAACAGGTATCTGACAAGGCGCCGTCGGATTGAAATCGCTCACACCCTGTGTCTGTCGGAGCGCCAGATCAAGATCTGGTTCCAGAACCGGAGGATGAAGTGGAAAAAAGATCATAAGCTGCCCAACACTAAAGGCAGGTCATCGTCCTCATCTTCCTCCTCATCTTGCTCCTCCTCAGTCGCCCCCAGCCAGCATTTACAGCCGATGGCCAAAGACCACCACACGGACCTGACGACCTTATAGAAGTGGGGACCCTGGGCCCATCTCTCCCTGCGCACCAGGCTGAGCCGAAGCTGCGGGGGCAGGCCGGGCCTGCTGTCACCTCGCTGGGCTCTAAGGTACTGTGGGGTGGACCTGGGACAAGCAGGCCGCCCTCGGACTAGGTTAGCATCCTGCCCGAGGGCAGCCCCCTCCCTAGAGCGGGATGGGGATGGGAGGGGGGGCGGGATTCTCTCTCTAAGTATATTATATGGCAGGAGCTACTGAGAACATAAAATCTTGGCGAGTCATTAAACTTATGAAAATCACCGCTCTTGGATTTTGAATTTGCAAATGAAGGTTGGATGCTTTATCCCACTGTGAATTTGGACATTCTCCCCCACTCCACCCCTCCAGGGTGCTTTGTGGCTTAATAATGTGGGGGAGTTGAGGCAGAAGGTTGGCCACCCCTGTGCTAGGTGCTTTCAGTGGAAGCCAGAGAGCTGGGTCAGGATTTCTGGACTTTCTGGGTTGTCTATGGAATTTCATGTGATTAAAAAATATATATTTTGCTCCCAGTGGCCCCACCTCCAAAGAAATGGGTCTAAGAAGGAAGTAAAAATGGGTTATTTTATGTTTAGATATTTGCTTAAATATTTATTTGTTGGGAAATGTGGTACAGAAATAACTGACACCTTCATGCCAAAAATCTTAAAAAGGTGAAAGGGGCTGAACTTCAGGGAGCAGAATCAGAGATATGTGCACTTACTTCTGAACTCCACCCCTCCCCACTCTCTGGAAATGTATATAGGGGGGCCTTAACCCTTCCAGAAGGAAGCAAAGGATTCACTCAAAGTTGCATTCTTGAAAATATATTTCCACATGTGTTTTTTTCAGCACTGTGCTTACAACCAGTTCTGGGTGATTAAAGGAAAGGGAAAAAAACCAACAAATGGTCCAACATTTTCCTTCTGGGGAAAGAAAACAAAACCTCTATGCACTGGGTCATTAGATAATGACTGAATTTTCTGTTCCAACTGGATTCCAAATGCCCTAAATACCCTCATATAGCAGTGTTTTACAGGAATTAGTGTATGGCCTGTGTAGGGGAGGGGCTGTGCAGTGGGGAGAAAGTGGGAAGGTGAGGAACTCTTGCTTTAAGAAGGAAAAAAAAAAAACCCTAATTGAATCTAGAAGTCCACAAAAGTTAGCCTTAGAGTTTTTTTCCCCCTGAAGTTTTAATTTTTTTAAAAACCAAATCTAAGGAAGTTTTCCTCAGCTCATTAATTAGAAGCAGAATTTGTAAAAGTATAAAAGTTTTCAAGCACTCGTCTTTGCCTTGAGAATAGTGGTTTTTTAAAGAATCACTCTCAACAGGGGAGATGTCCTCTAGTCGTTTTTCTTCTGCCTCTCCTGGGAAGGGTTCAAAGTTCATTTTTCTAAAATGCTGACCCTCAAGCATAAGGAGGAAGAAGTCAAAGTTAATGGCCAGAGTTCATATACTCAGATGAAACCAGTCTTCCCAAGGCCTCAGGCTCCAAAAAAGGTTGTAGCTATCAAAAAGTGACCAAAGTGGGAAAGGGAGAAAGGATAAGCTTAAAATTTAATTTTAAGATCCAGAAGGGGGGTATTTTTTTCAGTACTTCAAAAACACTTTAGAAGGTTTCTGTTGTAATTTAAAAAATATATTTAAGTGGGAGGGAAAAAAGAGTTTCTCTGTAGGCTTGTTCTTTGGCTGTGTCTCCTGAGAGCTGAGGGCAGGTATTCACTGCAGTCCCTAGGCTGAAATTCCGCTTCTCTGAAGTGTCTTCCAAGCCTTGGTCTTTTGTATTAGACCCTGGGGACTGCTCTTTGTTTCTCCTTGGGGTGAGCCTGGCTCTCAGACTTGCACATGGCAATACTTGAATGTCACCACGTCGGGATATTAAAGATGGATATTCGTGCATTATTCACATCATTGTTTCTATGACAAAAAGCACAGAGTTCATACATAGTCAAGACGTCTTTTTTCTGACGCCCTCACGTTGAGAAGCTGAAAAGGTATTTTACCGAAGTTCGGGTAAATTACAGAATCAGGTTCATCCAGAGGACAAATTTTCTATTTGATTAGCTGTATTTCAGCCGGGAGGACTGACCTCTAAACCCCTAACCTTTTGGACTCTAACTACCCTTCTCTTCTTTTTTCCTCTCTAACATGGAGAGCAGTCTTTGGATGTACCATTTGAAAGGAGCCGCTATCCTTAGGCAAGTTGGAAAGTTGCTAAGCTGCTTTCCTAAAACCCAAATCTGTCTATACATTGAACCTTCTCTTTGAGAAGGGGAAAAAGGTATATATTTTCACAACATCCAATTACATATATATAATAGAGATTTGTTGTATAGATTTTCCCCCACCTCAGAAGTTCAGGTTACTCACCCCCAGTTTCATACCAAATGCCACACAGGCTTAACTGACTGCATCCCTGCCCCAGAGGAAAGCCAAGAAACATGTTTTCATGAGGAAAACCCAAGCTCCTTCTCAAACATAGCCCCACTACTTTGGAAAGTAACTTAATCAGAGAAACAACTTCTTTGTTTATAAGTCTCAGCTCTCCTTCTCAGCTTGGAGGGATTCTTTTGAAATGTTAATGGAGCCTGGATGGCCCAGAGTGCAGCCCCCAACCCTGAGGTCCCAGTCGGACCCCAGCATCCATTTGGGCCCACAGGAGTGGGCCAGGGAAGGGGTAGGGCCCCGTAACCACTTAGGGCAGGGAAGGAAATGGGTTTCCATCTGAGAACGTGCTTTGGAGAAAGCTAGGTGTGGAAAAGCTCCAATGCCCATTTGCTATTATTTGTTTCCAGTTTGTTCCTTTAAATATGAGCCAGAAGTGTTTGTGTTGGTGTTTTAAAAACAAAAACAAAAACCGTGTTGGGGTCCTGACTGGGGGAGGGGGAGAGTGAAGTGTTTGCTGAGGACATTGCTCCTCTGACTCCCATCTCACTTTGTCCATCGCAGCCTTTTGTTGGGAGATGACACTGTCAGTCAGCCCATGATGTCTGTTCACACGAGATGCTTTTTTAATAGAATTGACCAATGTTTTGCTGCCACTGATTAAAGTATTATTTATACTAATTGTTGCTTGTAGTTTTGATGTAATTCATTGATCTATATTTAAAATAATAAAAGGTGTAGCAAAATCTCCCTCCTGTTTGGTGCCTTAACAGAAGCATTCATCCTTTGTTAAGTCTTCTAAAAGCTAACATTTAACATAAACAAGTTATTATTTTCTGCAATAAATTAGGCACCATTTTTTGGGGGGTGCCTAAAGTGTGAAGGTTAAACCATGTAAGGCTTAGCAATTCTATTATTACCACCTCCTTAATGTACACACACTCCCAGTTGGCCACCATATTTTGTGAGCATTGGGAAGCCTGGGGTTGAATTCAGGGTACAGAGTGTTGGGTGTTAATTTTTTGAAGAAAAAGTAATTGCCCAGGTTAATAGGGGGATCCAGGTTGGCATTCTGCTGGGCCCGGGCCAGGCCCCAGACCTTTTTGGTCTGGAAGCCCTCAGAGGAAGTCTTTGGGAAGTGGTGGATGAGACACCTTACTGGTCCCCCACCCCTAAGGCAGGGAGAGCGTGCTGGGTTCTGGGCCGAGCTGAGGCTCCTGGGTGGCTGCTCTGACCTGACCCCCGGGCCTCCACTCTTGGGCTTCTACTTTTCCAGTACTGTTAAGCTCCTGTGGGGACTCCAGCACCTGCCCCTCCTTCTTCCGCGCCCCCTCCACCCCTCAGGCAACAATAAACACTCCCCACTATAAAAAGTGCCCTGCACTACATTTACCGCAAGGGCTTCTTTACATCTTGGCCTCGCCTTGAAGAAGGGGCCAAGACAGGAGTCCCAAAATAGATGGGGGTGCTTGTTCCAGACAGGAAATGAGCAGAATGCATAAAATCAGACATCTGTCCTTAATATATGGAAGGGCTTGCCCCAGACGCGTGGACATGTGTATTTATAAGTGCGCAGGCAGAAGTTTAAATATTCAGACACATTTTATGATTGTCCTCTGCCCGTCTTCTGCTTAATGGCTCCTCCCGTGCCCACCAATACATCAATACCGTTGTGTGTATTGAATCGCGGGCAGGGATGAGGAGGAAGCGAGTCCATAGCAGAGCCCGCTGAGTATAGAGTACAGTAAATCGGGACCCTCGGCGGACGGCGCTTCCCGCCCGCCTGCCCGCCATGTTGGGGAGCCCTCCCTGCCCCCCGCGCCGGGCTGGGCGGCCGGGGCTCGCTGGCAGCCGGGGGAGGGCCTTTCATAACCCGGAGAATTTTCTAAGTGCGAGGAAGATGATAAGAATAGATTTCTACAAGTCCCGACCACGTGATTGGCGAAATAATTAATTCAGCACGTCCCTTAAGAAACACGGAGTCGTCATTAATCTGCCACGCAAAGGGCTCTCTCCGACTTGGAAAGTGCAGGGATCCCAAGAATATCACCCGTCCAGGGGGGCCGCGCGGTGCCCCCGGCCCTCCACCCCCGGCCCCCGGCGGGCGCGGGAGCGCGGCCGCAGGTAAATATTTTGGCAACTTTTATTTCATCAGATTTAAATCCTTAATGAACTTAGCTGTCACGGCCGCTGACAAATAGTTCCCTTTGCTTCCTGATTTGGAACTGCGCGCCGGCGAGAAGTTGTTAGTGGCTTGGATGGTGACCTTTGGTTCAGCAAAGCTTTGCACTTATGAAAAATTACTGAGAGCGGCCGAGTGTGTGTGTGTGTGCGTGCGTCCGCGCGCGCGCTTGTGTGTGTGAGAGAGGGAGAGACAGAGACAGAGACAGAGATAGGGAGAGGGTGTGTGTGCGAGGCGCTAGGGTGCCAGGGGGCGAGGGGTGAGGGGCGAGGTGCACGCGGGCTGCTCCAAGACAACAGGAGTTGTAAAAAACCGGCCCGGCTGGCGGACGCGCCTGGCGCACGCGGGCCGAGGTTGCCTGGTCGCCTGTGTCTACCAGGAACAATGGTCGCTGTCACGGCATCTGCCGCCTATTCTTAAACCGGTGAGAAAAGGCCCTGGCCCTCTTTTCAAGCGAGGGTCGTAAATTTTTCTTTGCGTCATAATAGAAGGCTATAAAATCGAGTTGAAATTTTACCCCAGGCAGGTTTTAACCAACAGATAATGATTTCCGAGTTGCCTCTCCCCCCGCTCCTCTCTCCCCACCCAAGTTCTGCTGCCTCTGTCACCCCAGCGAGTTTCTTCTTCTTTCCCGTTTATTTTTGTGTTTGTATTTTTTATTTCTATTTTGGAAGAGCTAAAATAAACGCGAGAAGAAGTCCCTGCAGCCCGAGTGGGAGACCCCGGGGCGACGGGAAGCCTGGGGAAAGGAGGATGGGGGAGAGGCCAGTGCGGGCTGCAGAAGGCTGTTTCTCTGCTCGCTCCCGTTTCTGCCTTTTTTCACCGGCACTCCAAGAAAATTGGGTGTCCTAAGAGCCACTCCGCTCCGTTCCACCCCATCCCCAGCTTGCCAGGGTCGTGGGCTGGGGCAGTAGCGAGCATTCTTTTCTTCCAGCTTGCAGCTCCGACCCGGGCGCCTCTTCATTCGCCTCCTTCCCTCTTGTTGCTGTGAGATACCTCCATTGGCTTTCAGAATGATTTCAGCGAGCAGGGGCTGGCTGCGCGTGGTGGTTGTTTTGGGATTATGTGTGCGTGTGTGTTTGTGTGTGTGTGTGTTTTCATTTATTTTTTGGTGTGTGTATATTTCCCCGTCAGGACAGAAACAAAGTTTCCCCCATTATGAATTATACATTCAAACAATAACACATTAATTCAATTATTCAAAGATGACAAATGTTTATGTGCTTTGCGAGTGACTCGGGCGCAGATTCCAGGCGCTTTCTCTGAGCTGCTTGCATTTTTCTCAATGAGAATCGTCTCCCCTCCCACCCCCCCCACTCCAACCCACTCCAACCCACCTAGATATCCCCTTGTAGGCCCAGAGAGGAACCCACAAAAAGCTTCCCCAGCCCTGCTGGCAGCCCGGCAGCCAACAGCCTCCCAAGGCCCCGGCTTGGCGGGCACTGGCCCGGGCTATTTTATCAGTGTGACAATTGCCCGGGTTGGTGTGATAAATCATCGTAAGTAATTCCTGAAAGGGTGCGAGACTGTTGGGGGCCGGGCGAGGACTGTAAATCTTTCCGGTTTATTGCTCTATGAACATATGCTCCGATTGAAGAAGGCTTAGATCCTTTCCTGGAGACAAATTCCCGCAAAGCAGCCCCCCTCTTTGGCTGGGGATTAACACTTGCTGCTGGCCGTCAGGTCGGCCTCTGGCAAGAGGCTAGGGGGCGGGGTCCTCCGGGTGGGGGTGGGCTGGGGTCACCCACGATCCGGCTTCGAGAGACGCCCCGAGTGGGCCTCTGGCCAGGCCCGGCCAGGTGAACAAAAGGATGGGCTCGTAGACGGTTCTGGGGGCTCGGGCCTCCAGGACATTCCTGCGCCTCTGGAGTGGGGATGCGGTGGACCTTACCCACTCCTCTGGGGCTCTTCTATGGCTGCTGGGCACTTTCACCGGTCTCAGACCCTGCAATCAGCAACAGAGCATTTCACTGTGCCTGATGCCGCTGAGCAGAGCTGGCAACGAAACCAAAACTTCGGGGACAGGGTGGAGAGTTCCCCGTGGTGCGGGATTCCCGAGTGTGGCCCCGGCTGGGGGAGGGTCTTGGGCGCTCATTACAGGCCAGGAGGTCCGCTGCTGGCGCTGGCACGCTTAATTCTTTTTTCCCACATTGCAGAATCATTCCCACCAGCCACTCGGAGAGTGGTGGGAATCTGTCTTGGTTTAATATTTCTAAAATATAAGTTTCATTGTCCCCCAGGTTAGCCCAGCCAGGACTCATTGCGCAGTCCTCCTCGCCTTCCTGGAGGCGCCGCAGGAAGCGGGAAGTCGCGGCTTGGCGGTTGCTGGGCCTGTGGGATCTGCGGGTCCTGCCCAGACCTGGAGTCGCACAGATCACGGCGGGCAGTGGCTCAGCGCCTAGGCGGCTCCAGGCCTCGAAGGACCAGGTTGGGGTGCTCAGGGATCAGAGAGGGGAGGTCGCTCTGGGTCCGGGTCGCCTGCTACGCGCCTTTTCTGTCTCAGAAGTGGCGGTGACTCGGCTGCTGAGTCCGCGGAACGAGCCACGGAATGGTGGTGGTGGCGGGGTTTTCTGAGGTGACTGGCCAGAGCTGAGAGTCGCGGCTTCCACCTTTGGGCCGGAGCGGGTCCTCGCCCTGGGAGGAGCTGGGCGTCGGCCTCCGCGGCGGGGAGGCCGCCTTGCCGGGGTGCATGAGGCTGCGGAGTACTCCGCGGGCCCGGGAAGCTAGGGGTACCCTCAGCCTCTGCTGCTCCACGGCAGTCTCCAGAGACGCTTCTAAGAGAGGCAGTTTCTAAAATTTCCAGCTCCCGGACCAGTCTGGCGGAAGGCCCAGCCAGGGTCAGAGGTCGTTGTGGGGAGAGACTCTCAACGCCCCCAACCCACTGAGGGCGGCCAGGCCAAGACTGAGTCGGCCCGGAGCTGCGAAAATGTGTTCTTTCCTTCCGCCCCACACCCATCCGCGTCTGCCCCAGGAATGGGGCCCAGGTCCCAAGCCTCCTGCGCCCTTCCTTCCAGCCCCCAGGCTTGGCTGCGCTCCGGGACTGGGTGGCGTGAAAGTTTCAGCCTCAATCAGTACAAGCTTCCCTCGGGGTCACGTGAACAAATATGCTTGCATTTGAAGGCAGCGTCTGTATTTCCCGACTATGAGGGGGTTTCCGGGGCTCTCTCCAAATCCAGAAACGACCACGTTCCGCAAGCAAAACAAATCCCAAGCTCTGGGGGGCCTGGGAGGGCTGGGCAGAAACCCAGGAGTGGGTGGGGGCGCGGGTGGCTGCCGCTCTGGGCCCGAGAGCGGACGGGCGGGCGGGTGGACCGATGGGCGCGCAGCGCAGGCGAAGCCAGCTCGGGGACTACGAACTCGTTCCTCCTGCGTTTATTGGTAGTTGAACCTCAGCCTGGTTCCGTTCTACCGGGAATTCCGTGTGCTCGAGTATATGGCCGTGTCTGCGAGCGCGCAAGACCAGGGTTGGGACAGTGTTGTCTGCAGACAAAGGGGGAAGGCTAGCTCTGCCCCCCACTGGCGCCCACTCTGAGGCCGAGGACACCAGGTTTATGATAAATTGGGATCCAGGTAAGCAATTGCATGACAAAATGGAAATCTTTGGGCACGGGGCTGCTTGCCGCCCTGAGCGGGATATTAAATATGATTTATTTTGTGTAATCTGTGATCTTGATTATTGCCAATTGGTGAGGCAGCCCGCGTAGACCTAGATACACTGCTACATATACATGGAGGACGGTGATTAATCGTAACAAGGCGCGCTTTGTGGGGACGTTCCCCGCCTACCAAAGGGTTAGGAGGACACTACCTTGCCAGGCTTGGAGGGTGGCCGGCAGCATTGGGGGTGGTAGTAGCAGTTTAAGGAGGGGATCTGGTGAGGGGATTGAGTGCTGGAGGAAATATTTGGGGGCTAAATGTGCACTTAGGAGAATGGGCTGAAAAAGAAATTAAAACTTTTTTACACTTTACTGCCAAAGTAAGATGGAGCGTCATATTAATTCTGTGTCTTGAGCTGCCGGGCTGGGTGCAGGCGGGTTGATTTATATGTATTTAAAATAAACTCGGTGGTCAGCCAGCTCCCTGCATTGTTCCGGTAGCGAGCTCCACACACAGCCTTTACCTCTTGCTGTTGGCTTAATTTTTTCTTGGGAGATTAAAACGCTACTGAGCTTTTCCTCCCAAAATTTGAGAGAACCTCCAAACTACCCAGAAGAGTTTGGGAGGTTCCTCCACATTTCCCTTTACCAATCCAGGCTTTTGATTGCCGTAGTGGCAGAGAAAAGGTTTAGTGTTTCTAGGTCCTTCTCCCCAAAGAACCCTGAATGAAAGCTAAATCATATATTGGTTCACGAATCCCATCTCTCCTTTTGTTTACTTGCTCCCTGTGGCTACTGGCTGGGAGAGGAGAAGACAACCCATCCCGGGTCTTTCCGTGCCAGGGATGGAGTGAGCAGCTCCAGGAGCTCCAGTGAGTGGTTCCATGCTCGTGGTAATGCCACTGGGCCAGACCCAACCGGACCTTTATGGGGAAAGAACCTCAAAAGCAAGGAGCATTCCCTTAGCTTAGGTTGGGACAGGCCCTAGCAGGAGAGGAACCGACTTCCAGGGGCTTCGCCATCATAAGAGAGCAGTAAAGTTGTTTTGTCAATCTCCTGCGCTTGGCTTCATCAGAACTGAAAGTCGCTGGACATTTTTCTTTGCTAGCTGCCTTGAAGCTGCGCGCCTGCCAGCTTAGTCAGCTGAATCCAATTACCGCGAGTAGCATTTCATTTGGCCCCATGGAGCATTCACTTATAACTTCCCCCGAAAATTTCAATAATCCCTACCAAGGCTCCACGCTGGCCCTATCCTAAAGAGTTTTCCTAGGGTGCTGCTGAGGGATGAGGTGTAGGGTTGGGGCTGCCTGGACTCAGCTCTTCCTTGACAGCTCACGGACGCAGCTCCTTCCTGCTCTTCCCGTTTTTGGCTCCAGAAAGAGCACCAGTGCTGGTGGTCCAAAGCCAGCCCGGTTAAGGCTGAGAATCTGGGCAAACAAGGAGCCAAAGTTGGACCCGCGTGGGATGGTGGGTGGGCAGGGTAGGGAGCGTGGGAGAAGGTGCTGAAGGCTTTTCTGGTGGTCCAACTTTGGTTAACTTGGGGTCCTCTTTCCTTTCTTCTTCCCAAGCCTCTTACGCCAAGAGCTCAAAGCGCACCGCGCACCCCGGAACCCCCAGGCGCAAACTTACCCTGTTCCTCCGCGGCTGGAAAAAGAAAAATCTAGCTAGAGGCATAAGGGGGTGGCGGCCCCGGGTGACCTCCCAACTTAGCTCTTCTTTTGAGGGGATGCTCCTACTTCTAAAGAACTCTTTTTTAAAAATAAATAAATAAAAAATAATCAAGCGGCGAAAGTTGACGTCCGCCCACGTGAATGTATTATATAAAGCAGCTACAGGACCAGCTGGCTTGAGAGCCCTGGTACCTCGGGCCTCCACCGCACCACCCTCAGGTCCCGGCCCAGCCAAGAGCGCTTGGGGGAGGGGGGCGGGCAAGTGGCTTTTCCCCCTGGGTCCAGGCCGGCTGGGAAGCTGAAGCCGCAGCGCGAAGTTAGGAGCCCTACCGGGCTGGGATCTCTTCGAGGCGCTTCTGTTGGGTGTTCATTAAGGGGTGAGTTATTGCGGTGCGAGCCAAAGGTCACTTCAAAGGCTTATGGCTGCGCGCTTTAGTCTTTAGAAGCGCCGGGAACGCTTTGTGTGAGGCTTTCCCGGGTGTAGTTTAGTGCTCGCAAACTACTGAGTCGACAAATTGCACAGGGCAGATGCAAGAGGGGGACTCTGTCTCTCTCCTTTCACCTGACGGGGGGTGGTCACCCGCTGAGCGGTGACAGTGGTGGGGGAGCTTGGTCTGTGGCTTTGGGTGGGGGTGGAAAGGATGTTTGTTTCTTAGGCGATTTGCAGTCTGATCCTGACCCAGAAGTGGGCAGCCCAGGGCCAAGAGTGTGGTGGATACTTACCGGAATGAATAAACTCAGGGAAAGCATCTGATATATTTAATGTATAAATCAGGAACTAGCGCCCAGGTCCTCTTCACTGAGGCTCTGTAGAGCAGCCCCTGACCAAGATCCACCCAAGCCTATTTACCTTCCTTTCCTGGTGCCCTTTTCTGCAGCCTCCCCTGCCAAACCCCCACCTTAATTCTGCACGGTCTCTCTCTTCTGCCCCTAGGAGAGTGTTTGGCTTCCGGGATTGGGACCTGGAGGAGCATTTAGAATTTGGTAGGGGCAGGAGGAGAGCAGATTGGCTTCCCTGCACCTCTGACCCACCTGGCTAGAGGGTCTGGCGCTTCCCTCACGTCCGGGCTCTCCCCTCCCCCATCCAGCCATGGATTTTGGCGTTAAAGGGGCCCTCGCTCCCCAGGAGCCAACTGAGTCTGTGTTTTGCCGGGGAGAAGGCGTCTGGATGGTCACGGGTACCATATACAATAGTCACATTGACTATGACGTCCTTCAAGTGGGAAAAGCCCTTCAACATGTAAGTGTTTGTAAGCAAGAACCGGCTGCTACTGAGAGTTTTCCATTTTGTTCCAGATTCGCCTCCACAGATATCAAAAGAAACCTGAAGAGCCTACAAAAAAAAAAGAGATAAAGACAAAATTCAAGAAAACACACACATACATAATTGTGGTGAGTGGGCATCATTTAAATAATAATTTCCAGTACATTTCCCTCTGCAACTCAAGGTGGCCATCTCAAAATTCATACATCAAGACATAGAACAAAGGGCAGCTTTGAAGTGGGTCACTTCAGTATGAAGTACCACCCGTTACATGAAAACCGATCATTGGCCTTCAAATTTATGGCGCTTTAATGGGGCAAGCCCAGTGCCTTAAATACAGGGTGCATTACAGTATTGAGTTATCTGGGCTAAATAAGAGTGATTTAGAAGGCGCGTCCAGGTCTTCTTATAGAGCAAAAGAGGCTCAAGCTTAGAGATCGGGAGAACTTGGGCGGAACGTAAAGAAGTCTCCTTTCGAGCAAACCCAAAAACCAGTGGTTTCGAATCCCGAAGTAGCAAAGCCAACAGGAAAGGGAGAATCGTTGCTCGGTTCCAGTGAATTCGTGGGGATGCTCAGCAAAAGTCTTGGCCGCCAGAAAGAGATCCGTGGGCTTCTGACCCTGGTTTAGGCAAAACAGGGGGAGGCGCCGAGACCAGCTCGAGCACTAGCGGATTTTGAGAGAAACTGACCGCAACCTCCATCGCCTTCCCCCTCTCTTTCAACTTGGATGGGCTGACTCTACCCGTCGGTGATTTACGACGATTGCAGCGCTAGTCACAGCCTGGCGCCTGGTGTCCCCTCCCTTCCCAAGCCCCCTCAGCTTTTCCACTGCCACCGGCGTACAAGCAAGTGCCGAGCCGGCCTCCGCAAGTCGGACTAGCCTCCCGGCGTCCGAGGCCACCACGGGCAGCAGATTTTTGGTCCCCAGCGAGGCTGCGCGCGTTCGTCCCGCCTCCGACCGCCGAGCAGAGCTGCTAGCAGAAGCAGGCGCCGGTCACTTTATATAATCCTGCTGCTCGCAGGGTGCAAGAGCGGGAAAAGTGCGGAGTAGGGAATTCTTTTGCTGCGCTGCCTCCTACGCGGAGCCTGCTTTCCACTGCTGAAAAGTGCCGGGCCTTGGGAAGTGTTTTTCTTTTCATTCCTTACCGAAGCGTTTACTGCCGCCGTGGTCGCAGTCATAAATTTTGCTACAAACCACAATGACAGGTGCATTGATATGCACCGTGAGAGCTCCAGCTGCTTAATAACCCCGTCCCCTGGTCGCTGTGAGCGCCTTTTATTTATTTGGTATCATATTAGGTATTGATCTCTAGTAGCATTAAGTGCGGTGAGCAAGTATCAGGGTTCGGCTGCTTTGGAGGCGCAGCGGTTGCGGCGGGCCGGCGGGCCCGGGGAAGCGGGCGGTGGCCGCTCAGAGAATACCTTCCTTCCGGCAGGAGACCGTTTGGCCCTGTATTCCGGGCCTGCGGTTGGGCCTCCAAGCTGAGTTGGGCAACTTCCCAGCACCGCAAGAAAGGGCGAGCCAGACCTATTTGGCACCCCTTTCCCAGGAGGAGCAGGGGATGGCGCCGGCGGAGTTTGGGGAGGCTGCCCTGGCCAGTTCCCCGGGCTAGAGGGTGGAGGAGAGGAGGAGGGAGAGGAAAGGGCAGCTGAGGACTTGGAAGAAATGAGAAGCCGTGCTCGACCACCCCTCCCCCAACACTGGCTCATCTTCACCCCAAGACATTTGGGTCTTGGAGCCCAAATGAGCAAAGGTACCAAAGGGCGAGAAAAGAAAGGCTTTAAAAAAAGGGTGAGGGGGTGATCGAAAAGATGAGCCACTGAACAGTTGACCATTGTCCAAGTGATTTATGACCCGTTCCTGCTTTTTAGGTTCAAGCAGAGTTCACAAGGAGTAGGGATTTCTGAAAAGAAATAAGCCTTTTTACCAGTTTTGTAACTATATTCTCAGGTTTTGTTTTAAGAGGGATCACTTTTGGGAAACTGCATTTTTGGGGGACTGCAAAGCCATTTCCAGTAAGGACAGCACCATCACTGGCTCTTGCTTTTGGGGAAATGGACATTAAGGTAGTGGATTGTCATTGAGTGGGAAATTTCTTGAGACAATGTAAACAGTTAGGAAAACAGACTCTGGTTTTTCAGGAAGATGCCCAATGTTTGTACTTTTGAGGTCTGTACACAGAACTTTTTCTAGGAATATGCCATAGAAGCAAATATATATATAAAGCCATCTGTCCCAGAAGAACTGGTCAGTTCCTAAGTAAGCTATTTTAACGTGACTGGTTCACCTATCTAGATCAACTTTGTCAACTTGGGAGGCAGGAGGGTGAATGTTTTGCTTCCACAGTTGTAAATGGAATGACAGAGCAGCAGCAAGTTCTGGTAGTCTGAGTGTCCGATGTGACCATTAGGCCTCCAGAGGGTTAAGACTGAAAGCAGGATACCAGAAAAGCCTGAAACATAACCAAATCCAGAGTGCCTCTTTCTTCAGCAGGGGGCAAACATATGTAAGTATTAGTCACAGAATGAAGACTTAGCTGTCCATTTGATATCCAGTAACTTTTAACAGAGAATGATATATAAAATTAATCAAAAGAAAAATTAAGTCCAGCTTTGTTAAGTAGATATCCTACCTACATACATTTAAGAACAATAATGGAAACAATTTCTACAACATAGTATCTTGGTATTAAGGGCCTGTTCCTCATCAAGACAAATGGCATACTCACTTATATTCTAAAACAAGACAAAACAAAAAGGGCAACAACACTACCTACCAAAGACTAATTAGAAGAATTTTAAAATTTGGGTTAGGCTGTTTGGTGCAGGTGGAGGGAAAACTAGTGAATCATTCTGGTACCTGTGGTCAAATCCATTAGGCCACATAAGCTGTCTAGATGATGTGGTACATCATGATGACCAGGATGGAAGCCAGGGAGAGTTTCTAGGAAGGAAAGTTGCCTGAAAGACAGATCAAGAATTGAGACCAGGGAGCTGACCTATGAGTTTTCTTTATCAAACAGACAAAGTGATTGAATGGTATTAGTTATACTTTAACTCTTTAGGAGCCTTTCAGAAGAAGTAGGGAGGCAGGGAGAGAAGGGAAACCCCCATAAAGAAGGGAATACAAAAGGGGTAGGATTTTTCTTAGCTTTTTTTTCTTCTTCTAATTCTGGGTCCATTCATCATGTCATGAAAGGTTCTCTCATTGGTTGTGGTTTGGGTGGGAGGTAGGGTAGAATAGATTATCCAGAGCAGATGTCAATAATATCTATTTATACAATAGATCCAAGGCAAAAATAATAAAGTTATAAAGCATTCTCCACTCACCCATGTTCCATGCATTTCAAATTCTAGATCTCTTTGCCCATTTCCAGTGGTATCTGTTTAAAAGTAGGGGAGGTCAAAAGTAAAAGGTCTAGAAAAATGTAAATGAAAGAGAAGAAACATTTTCTAGCCTCAAAATGAGTCTGGAAGTCTGCAAGTCCTCCTGTTGGTGTTTATCCCCTAGTTTTCTACATTGTAGATTTTACACTGCTGATTCATAGAGCTTACTCAGCTGATTTTCACCCTGTCATCGTTAAGTGGACTATCTGGACTTTCATGCAAGATGCTGTGATTTTGAAACCAGGTGGGGGGAGACCCTTTTTTTTTTTTTTTTTTTTTTTTTTTTTAAGTTCTGGCTGTTCTGAGCATGTTATAGGACTTTCATTTCCCATCAAAACCTTGTGCTGACCCAATGATTGACTGATTGATCCACTTATTAATTCACCTATTCAACAAGCATTTATTGCACTAACTACATGCAGGGCACTGTGCTGGATGTTAGGAACAGTAGACAAATGACACAGCCCCTGCCTGCAAGGAGCTTACAGTTTAGTGGGCGAATCAGCCAACAAAATGTCTGAGGCTATAAGTACTTTTCCACACAGAAGAAAGGCTAAATGGACAATCTTGAAGAAAGTAAATTGTATCTGGAGGTAGAGGGAAGCCCTTTCCCTCAGCTACAGTTGAGCTAAAAAGAAGGAAACTCTTCTTACATTTAGGAAAAATTCCTTCTGATACTTCCAGAGGTTCAAATAAGTTGAACTTCATAAAATCTGCCAGGCGCAGTGGCTCATGCCTGTAATTCCAGCACTTTGGGAGGCCAAGACGGGAGGATCACAAGAGCCCAGGAACTCAAGACCAGCCTGGGCAACATTGTAAGACCCTGTCTCTACAAAAAAAAAAAAAAAAAAACTAAGAGCTGGCGCAGTGGCTCACACCTGTAATCCCAGCACTTAGGGAGGCCCAGGCGGGTTGATCACCTGAGGTCAGGAGTTCAAGACCAACCTGACCAACATGGTGAAACCCTGTCTCTACTAAAAATATAAAAAATTAGCCAGGTGTGGTGGCAGGTGCCTGTAATCCCAGCTACTCAGGAGGCTGAGGCAGGAGAATTGCTTGAACCCAGAGGCGTAGGTTGCAGTAAGCTGAGATCATGACACTGCACTCCAGCCTTGGCAACAGGAGCAAAATTCCATCTAAAACAAAACAAAACAAAACACTAAGACATGTAGCCAGGCATGGTGGGCACCTGTAGCTACTGCAGAGTAGCTGGGACTCTGAAATACTCTGAAATAGCTATTAATACTGCAGAATAGCTGGGACTTTGAAATACTCTGAAATAGCTATTAATACTGCAGAATAGCTGGGACTTTGAAATACTCTGAAATAGCTATTAATACCAGGCTAAAGTGGGAGGATCGCTTGAGCCCAGTAAATTGAGGCTGCAGTGAGCCATGTTCATGCCACTGCACTCCAGCCTGGGCAACAAGCAAGACACTGTATTAATAAATAAATAGATAAGTAAATAAACTCAGATCCAGCACCTTGCCCATCTCCCCGCCGTGAAGTGGGTAGGAAGCAGAGAGCATGGGCTAGTCCTTCTATATTGACTGGTCTTGCCAATGACACTCCCTCTGGGGCCTCTTGCTTTTCTTCTGACAGGTCACCTGGAGCCTGGGGGCCGGCCCAGCTCTCTCAGGATTCAGCAGACATTGGAGGTGGCAGTGAAGGATACAGTGGTAGTCAATGTTATTTGAGCAGGGTCAGCAGGCCCTGGAGCTTCCTGAGTGCACAATGCAGAAGGCTGCTTACTATGAAAACCCAGGACTGTTTGGAGGCTATGGCTACAGCAAAACTACGGACACTTACGGCTACAGCACCCCCCACCAGCCCTACCCACCCCCTGCTGCTGCCAGCTCCCTGGACACTGACTATCCAGGTTCTGCCTGCTCCATCCAGAGCTCTGCCCCTCTGAGAGCCCCAGCCCACAAAGGAGCTGAACTCAATGGCAGCTGCATGCGGCCGGGCACTGGGAACAGCCAGGGTGGGGGTGGTGGCAGCCAGCCTCCTGGTCTGAACTCAGAGCAGCAGCCACCACAACCCCCTCCTCCACCACCGACCCTGCCCCCATCTTCACCCACCAATCCTGGAGGTGGAGTGCCTGCCAAGAAGCCCAAAGGTGGGCCCAATGCTTCTAGCTCCTCAGCCACCATCAGCAAGCAGATCTTCCCCTGGATGAAAGAGTCTCGACAGAACTCCAAGCAGAAGAACAGCTGTGCCACTGCAGGTAGCTCCCTGAGGTGGCCTACTGCCAGACCAAGCCCCCTCCAGATTGACCCAAGGAAGCCTAGTCAGGGCTGGAAATGCAACCTTGGAGGTCATATGTCTAAACTCCTACTCACGTCAAAATGTTCTTTTTTTTAGTGTTCCTGATTGGGGTCATGACCTTGCAGTGACAGGGTGCTCCCTTCCATTCCAGGCTGCTGGTGCTGTTGCTGGACAGGTCTTATAGCTATTAATAGAGAGTGCTTCCTTATATGGGCATATCTGTTTTCCTGGGCTGCTAATTATAACTCCATTCCCTCTTCCACCCAACAGCTCTTCAAGATTTGAAGATAGGTATTACAATCCCCAAGCCTAGGTGATTATATAGCCCATATCACACGAATCTCATTCCCTTAAACTCATAAAAACTAAAGTCTTAGAAAGTACCATACTAAGTACTTTCTAAGCATTATCTAATTTAATTTTTCAAAGAACCTTTTGAGGTAGGTATATGATAACATCCCCATTTTACAGATAAGAAAACTGTTAGAGAGGATAGGCAACTTGCCCAAGATTCTGAAACTGCAAAGTGGTGGATTTGAATCCAGTCAGTCTGGCTTTAGGGGCTGCTAAGCATAACCATGAGTCTCTATTTGGCCCACCTCAGCCCAATTCTCCCACTCCAGCAAATCCATAATGGGGAGGTGCCTGTCCTAGTAGGAGAGGATATTCTGGGAGACAGTAACAGCCTTGGATTTCTCTAACTGGAAGGGGAGCCCCTCCAGTTGGGGCCTTCTCTAGGTCCACCCAGGGCATGTAGAAGATAGGCATGGCCAGGAACTCTGAGGGCTGTTCCTTCTCTCTGCTTAGACTGCTTGGTTCCTGAAATTTTCTGACCTTGTGGTATCTGATGTGGTTTATCTTCAGGTAGATGAACTTGCTTCCAGGTCCAGGGCAAGTTTGGGGCCTGGGGTGTGGCTTGCTATCAGGGATCTGGTTTGCCTGATGTTTTCTGGGGCTGCTGCTCCTAGGGAGAGGGTATTATCCTGCCTGCAACCTCCTTTTCCTGCCCCTCCTTCCTCAGCTGCAGGCTCAGGCCCTCCCTCCCAGGAGAAATCCATTTGTCTTCCCTGGGAGGGAGTGGACAAGCAGCTGAGAGGTGGCAGGGTAGTAAAAGCCAGTGTTGAGGCTGCTGCTCCTAGCACTGTGAATACTCAAAATGCTTCCAGCCTGGCCTTGGACTCCCTAAAATACCCAGGCAGTGTTTTTTTTTGTTTGTTTGTTTGGTTGGTTTTTTTTTATTTTTTATTTTTTGGTTTGTCACCTCCCTGGCTTTGAGTGCAGTTGGGCTGCAGTGGGGCGCCAAGATCTCCATCCCCATACTTTGCTGGGGGTTGGTGGGGGGCTTTGCCCAGAGGCCAGCTCCTAAGCAAGGCAGGCTGGAGCTATTTCCTCTTCCTTTCCTTCTCCATACCCCACCCCTGGCAGCAGAGGCTGGGAGGAGTGTTCAAAGGAGTCTGGCCCTTCTTTGACAGAGGGAGGCCTTACCAGCTGCTCCTGGTCTCTCATTAAACTCTTTCATGGCCTTTGGGTGGGTATGGGATGATGGACTAGGCTGCAGGGGAGAGGGTGGGCAGAGTGAACTGGATCTCAGAAGGCTGATGGAGGTTTCAGGTGCGACTGATAGGTAGGCCTAGTAGGGGGTTGGTAGGTAGGTGAATTCCCCCTTGGAATCATACCTCTCAAACGGCCCTTCCCCTCCCCAGCCAGGATTGGAGGTGGGGGGAGGGAGGAGGAAAAGAGAACCAGGGAAGCACCCCTCTCCAGTCCTGAGGGTCCCCACCCACTCGCTCAGCGCCCTCCCTCTCTCCCTCCCTGCCCAGGAGAGAGCTGCGAGGACAAGAGCCCGCCAGGCCCAGCATCCAAGCGGGTACGCACGGCATACACGAGCGCGCAGCTGGTGGAATTGGAAAAGGAATTCCACTTCAACCGCTACTTGTGCCGGCCGCGCCGCGTGGAGATGGCCAACCTGCTGAATCTCACGGAACGCCAGATCAAGATCTGGTTCCAGAACCGGCGCATGAAGTACAAGAAGGACCAGAAGGCCAAGGGCATCCTGCACTCGCCGGCTAGCCAGTCCCCTGAGCGCAGCCCACCGCTCGGCGGCGCCGCTGGCCACGTGGCCTACTCCGGCCAGCTGCCGCCAGTGCCCGGCCTGGCCTACGACGCGCCCTCGCCGCCTGCTTTCGCCAAATCACAGCCCAATATGTACGGCCTGGCCGCCTACACGGCGCCACTCAGCAGCTGCCTGCCACAACAGAAGCGCTACGCAGCGCCGGAGTTCGAGCCCCATCCCATGGCGAGCAACGGCGGCGGCTTCGCCAGCGCCAACTTGCAGGGCAGCCCGGTGTACGTGGGCGGCAACTTCGTCGAGTCCATGGCGCCCGCGTCCGGGCCTGTCTTCAACCTGGGCCACCTCTCGCACCCGTCGTCGGCCAGCGTGGACTACAGTTGCGCCGCGCAGATTCCAGGCAACCACCACCATGGACCTTGCGACCCTCATCCCACCTACACAGATCTCTCGGCCCACCACTCGTCTCAGGGACGACTGCCGGAGGCTCCCAAACTGACGCATCTGTAGCGGCCGCCGCCAGCCCGAACTCGCGGCAAAATTACCTCTCTTGCTGTAGTGGTGGGGTAGAGGGTGGGGCCCGCGGGGCAGTTCGGGAACCCCCTTCCCCGCTCTTGCCCTGCCGCCGCCTCCCGGGTCTCAGGCCTCCAGCGGCGGAGGCGCAGGCGACCGGGCCTCCCCTCCATGGGCGTCCTTTGGGTGACTCGCCATAAATCAGCCGCAAGGATCCTTCCCTGTAAATTTGACAGTGCCACATACTGCGGACCAAGGGACTCCAATCTGGTAATGGTGTCCCAAAGGTAAGTCTGAGACCCATCAGCGGCGCGCCCTGCAGAGGGACCAGAGCTTGGAGAGTCTTGGGCCTGGCCCGCGTCTAGCTTAGTTTCAGAGACCTTAATTTATATTCTCCTTCCTGTGCCGTAAGGATTGCATCGGACTAAACTATCTGTATTTATTATTTGAAGCGAGTCATTTCGTTCCCTGATTATTTATCCTTGTCTGAATGTATTTATGTGTATATTTGTAGATTTATCCAGCCGAGCTTAGGAATTCGCTTCCAGGCCGTGGGGGCCACATTTCACCTCCTTAGTCCCCCTGGTCTGAACTAGTTGAGAGAGTAGTTTTGAACAGTCGTAACCGTGGCTGGTGTTTGTAGTTGACATAAAGGATTAAGACCGCAAATTGTCCTTCATGGGTAGAGTCAGGAAGCCCGGTGGCGTGGCACAACACACTTTGGTCATTTCTCAAAAACCACAGTCCTCACCACAGTTTATTGATTTCAAATTGTCTGGTACTATTGGAACAAATATTTAGAATAAAAAAATTTCCCAGTCGGAACTGTATCTGTGTTAATCATGCACACTTGCAAGCAGATCACTATGCCTTTATCTCGCACAATCCCCATGGAAGGCCCCGAAACAGACTGACACTTTGAAAAAAATATTTTATTTATTTGGAGTCTAGTGCATAAATTGGTTCTCGGGATACTTGATTACTTTCCAGCTATTGAAATTAGGGGAGGGGGAAATGAGGATGCAAACCTAAGAAGGTTCTGGGCGGGATGATTTGGGCAGGGCTTTTTGAAAGCAGCGCCTGCTTTGCTGTTTTTACTGCCTTCTTTCTAGACACAATCGACTTTTACACTGGGGAGACCAGAGCTCACTTTTCTGCATTAAGTAACAAAAAATAAACTTTGAAAGAAAACTGACAATCAAAGAAAAAACACAAGAGAAGTTGTAAGAAGAATTGAGCTATGAAAAAGCTAAGGTGTAGAAAAAGAAACCATCATTTGGAGACGCGTACCTAAGCTTTTTCTCTAGGAAATGCTGTCATGAATTCTTCCTTTGTAGTGATCATTAGTTCATTTCTAAAGAAAACAAACATTCCCCAAGATGTAAAGTAATAATATTTCATTAATGAAACATAACAAGTATAAACACCTTGTTTACTCCTGTTTCTTATACAAAATGGGCAAAAATGTCTTCAAGGATTTATAACCATTTTGTAAATATTAATGTGGCTTCTGCTAGGGGTGGACAACTTCCCGGCTTCTATGGGAGGGGCCACTTAGAAAACGCCTTCAGATAAGGTTCAATTCTTTTGTATTTCAGCAAAGTCAGCCCACGCATCTCTATTTGGTTTGACAAATAATGCAACTCCTACTACATCCCCGATGACACGAAGTGAAATTCCTATTGTGTGGAAATAATTTAACTTCTAATCTTCTGGTGGAACAACAATCGTTTCTATTTGGATGTTTGTATTTCACTAAGTAATGATGGCTCAAAATAATATTTAGTTTCCTTGTTCCTTTGTGCTGTTTTTAAAATGGCATGTTAGATTTGGGGGTGGGAGGGGATATCCTTTTGCTAAATTTCACTTTATCTGAGCAGGTTTAAAATATATATGTTGTAGAAGTGTATCAACAGAATAAATGACTTCAATCGAAGGCACATTTTACCCACTTTCAAGGCTTAACATTGTTTTCTATGAAATTTGCATCCATAGGCAGAATTTCTAATTGTCTTGTAAGAAATTATTTTTTAAGCTATTAGAGAAATCAAAGGAGAGCTCACTGCCTTGCAGGGATTACAACCACCTTTCTTAACTGGCTAAATATTAACTAGCTGAATTGTCAGGCTGCTTAGATTCAGCCCGATTTTCCCTCATCTCCTCTTCCTACCATAAATAATAATAAAAATACGTAATGTGTCATGGCTCCAGGCGTTTTCCAGCACAGTGTGTTACCGCAGGAGTATCTGCTGAGTCTGCGGGTGTCTGCAAAGCCCCAAGTGTCATTTGCGGCTTAGGGTTTCATGGATTAGACTTTAAACGGTGTCTAGCCCGGCTGACATTAGCTTCCTCTCACACTCAGGCTCCAAGGAAGTGTGGGATCAGGGGCTCCCTCTCCAGGCAGCCACAGCTTTCCCCGACGCCCTCCTCTCGAGTGGGGTGAGGGCTTGGACCAAATCTGCCACCTTCTGTCATCTCTGGAGGTTCCCGAGACTTCTAATAGCTCGGATCTGTTCCTGCCATTGGCGTGAGACTCATCTGAGGGGCGTGGGTGGGGGTGGGCGGCGAGCCGGGGGAGGGCGCGTTTCCGCGCGGCTGCCAGCCCAGGAGAAAGTTGGGGCCCGCGGCACAGCCATTTAAAACTTCATAAATTATAAACAAGCCGCCTTGGCCTTCGCAATAAATTCCGCTCCTTTTGAGCCTGCAATTAGTGTTAGAAAGCAACCGAGTCTAAACACAACCAAACGCCCTCTGAAGGGCCCAACTGCCTGAGGTTGCAAACCTTTATTTCCCAGCGCCACCCCCTCTCCGACTGAGGTTTGCACACACAGTCGCCTCCTCCCCCGCCACCGCCGGCGGTACACACTCGGCTGGGTTCCCGCTCTGCAAGGGAAGGTCACAATAGCTGCTCTATCGGCTGCGGAGGCGCCTGCCGCCTCCCTCCCGAGTCTCAGAAGCAGAAAAACAAGAGAATGGGGGAGGGGAGGCCCCAGCAACAGCGCCCTTTGCGGGAGGCAACCTCCACCCTAGCCAGGGTCTCTCTCCTGGGACGAGTGCTCGCAGAGGGTTGCGGGGAGGGCAAAGGGAGCGCACCAAGACCACCAGGCTGCTCCAGGCCTTGCCGCAGGGCGCTGGGTTGAGGGTGCCCGGAGCAGCCGCGCCATTGTGTGTCAGGTTTTCCCACGGGATCCGTGATGGGGGAGGCCATATAAAGGGAGCTCGGATCCGGGCCTCTCCGGCATTGGTCTCTGGGAGGGTCTACCTCGTTTGCCCAAGGGGAAGAAATGGCTCTGTCTCAGGCCTTAGCCAGCTCTGCTTTTTTCCTAGAGACTACTTTGGGGAAGGTGGGGATCAGGGAGATTGTGGGTCCTCCTGGGGTCTGAAGAAAGGGGTCAGGGCAGGATCTCAGGCCCATGGCTGAGGGGTGGCAGTCGTCTGGACATTCTAGGTGGTTCTGTCCAGGCAATCAAATATGAATTAAGGCAGGATAGCTGTGAGGCAGCCAGAATGGCCAGCTGCAAAACGGGAGGTGGGGGTGGGGAAGGAGATGCAGACAGTGAGAGCTTTCCCTGCAACCAAGAAAAACTCAGGATCCAGCCAGGAGTTGAAGTGCTGAGACCCAACTGAACTAGCCAGGAAGAATGGGGAAGTGGCAGAAGAAAGGCCTGGAGAGTAGTCCTGGTCACTGGTAAGCAGGTCAGAAAGGGCGATTAAGTACATATTCTGTCTCCTGGCTTTCAGACCTCCACCTTATCCAGGGACCTGACAGAGAAAAATCTGCCTCTGATGGAATCATTAAGTTAACCATCCATTTGTACCATTTCTTTGTACAGGCTTTCAAACGAGAGAGAGGAGAGAATACAGGAGGAGAATGTTTCCCCTTGGTGCAGCCCCAAGCTCCCTATCAGAGACACATCAGCCAAATTAGTTTCCGAGGCTCACAGGCTGCTAACATTGCTGAACAAGATTTTTCGAATTTCTATGTGTTAGGAGTATTAAAAGATAGTGATTACCTATACTAGCAGCCTTTGTCCCTTTTCTCTTCCCTAGTCTGTACCAGCCCACTGGCCCTTGAGTGAAGTGCATCTTCTCAGCCTGCGGACTTGGGAGCTCAGGCTCTCCATCTGTTGAGGTTTTTCATTAGGGAGACTACAGAGGATGTGTGTGGGTGTGTGTTTGAATAACAAAGAAGTAACCCTTCATTCTAATAAAAGTGTTCCTCTGCTTGACCTGGAGGAGCCAGAAGCTTGTTTATACCTTCAGTATTCAAGGGACAGTCACAGGCCTGTTTTGACCTTTTCCTGAGAATTAGCTGAAACTTCCCTCTGAAGTCAAGTAGTGAATCTGTTATAGGTCTAAGGAAGGTCCTCTTCATCTGGGAGTTCTTGGCATTACTTTGGTCCTTCTTTCAGAAACTGAAAGAAAAGAATAGGAAGAACAGAAGTTTGTGAGTAGGCAGGAAGGGACATGGATGACCCCAGTCTTCACAGGACTATGGCCTGATCACTTCGAGGCACTGCAACTTCCCAGAGTATATATGTAGGGCTTGGGTTGAGTGGCCCTGTTCCGACACTTTGGGCACAGGGAGCTGAGACTGGGCTGTCACTAGCCAAGCCCTTACCATCTTTGAGGGCTGGTTCTTAGATCTCTCTTGCAGAAGGCCTGGATAGAAAGGAGAAAGATTGGGTATATTGGGAGGCTGAGACAGGAGAATCGTTTGTACCTGGGAGGCAAGGTTGCAGTGAGCTGAGATCACACCATTGCACTCCAGCCTGGGCATCAAGAGTGAAACTCTATCTCAAAAAAAAAAAAAAAAAAAAAAAAAGATTGGGTACATAAGTCCTCTGCACTTTCTGCACTGGTGATGCTGGAGAGGAAGGACGGTGAATGATAAGAATCATCACAGAGGATGAAATCTTAGTTCTCATTGTTCCCTTCTTTTCTACTCCAGCTACAAATGCCCTTATCTTTGGAGTCCAAGGTTGGGAACAAATGGATTTAAGTACCTGGCCTAAAGCCTATTCCTAAAAACTTCCCTCAGGTTTCACACCTACCTTGGCAAGTTGGAAAGTGCAAAGACAATATAAGGGCCCATTTTCAGGCCAGGTCCAGCATGAAACAGAGTGAACAAAATTAGTTCCACACATTAGGGAAGAGCCAAGTCAGACGAATATCCAATCATTTGCAGTAGTAGAGGCAGGTGAAGGGTCCCCAGATCTGTAAGGCAGGAGTTACTGCATGAGTCTTTCTGTCCTAGATCTTGGGCAAAATGTCCTGATTGGTTCCTATAGCTAGTCTGGATTATTTTAAGGAAAGAATACTACCTGGAGAAATCATAAAAGCTGGGTTTTAACATTAGTAAGGGCCAGAAGAATTTAAATCCTAATTTAAACCAAAATTCATGGAGAGCTCTGGTACAGGCAGTGTTTTTACCTGGGAAGCAGGGCTCAAAACCTGGCCAGGAGGTCTTGTTGGGCCAGGAATGTCCGTGGTTGGTGAGGAGGCTGGGAGAAGGCCTTTTTGATGGCTCCATTGTTCACAGCGCTGCCCTACAAATACCATATCCGTCCCCACCTCCTCTGCAAGGGTCGAGCGGAAGAGTAGGTCTGGTGAGCTGAGCTCTAGGGAGCTGGTACCATCTTCCCTCAATCCCCCTCGGTTACCCCTTGGGGCAGCAACGACGCCATCCCAGCCCCTTCCAGAGAACACACAAAGGAAGCCCCACCCGTCCTTAGACCTGAGGACACGCTCGGGAGCGGGCTGACGTGGACCCCGTTTCAGGGCGCCCCGGGCCCCTGCGGGGAACAATAGCCGCCGCCTCCTGGGCGGTCTGGCGGGCGCGCGGCACAAACGTCCGCGCCGCCACGTGATGCGCGCGCTCGTTCCGCGCTCTCCGCGCCTCAGCGAGCGGCCAGGCTGCGGGCGGGGTGGGCTGGCGCTCCTGATCCACCTGGAACACTTTTGCAAAGACAGACGGTGAGTTAATCACCCTACCGGCTGGCGGCCGCGTCCCCTCTCGCCCGCGAGGAGGACTGGAGAAGGGGCTGGGGTGGAGGTTTTCTCTGTGTGTGTCTAGGGTTGGGGGCAGGAGAGGTTAGTTCTATTAAGAGTTCATCAATCACCCGGTGTGCACTTTTCGCTCGACAGCGGTTCCTCCTACTTCAGAGCAAGTCTGGGCCAGCTGGGATCCGACCAGAAATCGCAAGCGGAGGAGACGCAGTAGCGCAGGCTGAGCGCTAACTGAAGGCGCGACCTGAGCCCGGCGCCTGCTGGGGAGCTGCGCAGCCAGGACAGCGGTCGGCAGCACAGGGCCTGGGCGCAGGGCCCGCCGTCACCACCTCACGTCGGAAGCCAGCACTGCTGCCCGCCAGCCCTGCCGCCTGCCCTCGGACTTCCCAGGGCGCCCAGGGTCCTCCCAACGCGCCTGCACCCACACCCGCCCCTGAGCCACAGTGACCTTGCATTCCCCGCCCCCTGCCACACCTCCTGCGTGCCCGAGTGTCACCCTTAAATACCGCTCTACACCCAGAGAGGGACGAATACACCTCTGAAGACAGGGCAAGACTAATTTCAATGGGTCAGAAGGTTCTTGCAGGCACTGTTTTATTTAAGAGTGCCTATTTACTGGCAGGAGTATTTGTGTGGGAGGAAGTAGGCTAAGACTGCTGTTGAACTTGAAGCTAAACTTGAATGCCATTTAAAATAACAATAAAAATATACTTAAAACACCAATCACAATGATATGACTCACCTCTTTCCAGTGTGGAGGAAACACTCCAGTATTTTTACCTCCGTTCTTTCCGGTGTATTTTAAGAACACCCTAAAGGGATAGACAGTAAGTGTCTGAGGGTAGTCACTAGCATTAGAGCTGTTTACAGCAGGAGGGTTTGGTGGAGTTAGTGGTGAAGCATTTTTATAACCCTTCTGGAGTGGTCATGCTGTTCTCTTTGTAAATCCTAACAAGGTTCCAGCCTAGTTCCCCTTTTACCCTTTTTTGCTGCGGGACTTCAGCTGAGATGTTTCTGAAGTTAGTAAATGTGTTGCCTCAGGCCACAGAAAATAGTCCCTGAAGGAAAGAAAGCCTCAGCTTTGCCCCCTCTTCCTTCAGCCTTCTCTCCCTTCATCCTCTTGGGTGGAAAATTAACTTGCTTTGGAAAAATGTTCTACCATCTTGCTTCAGATAGATATAAGCTGAAGCATTAAGCCTCACACAGTGTCCTGAACTCACTGAGCAATGAAACTACTGGTCCTGCTGTCCTTGGTTCAGTCTGTTCCTCCTCCTTGCCTTTCACCAATTTCTAGTGAACAGCTCCTATACACACTGTGCTGGGCTCTGGGATACAAAGACAAGTCACTGATGGTGTATGCTCTTCAATCTAGTGGGGAAGAGAAATAATCTTAAAACAATATGACAGGTGCTATAACAGAGGTGTGGTCAAAATGTTCCTCTAATAAAAAAGGAGCCACTAGTAGTACTATAATGTCAAAAAAAATAGTTTCAGAGGAGGTGAATTCGGGTTCCTGAAACATAAGCGTTTTTCAGGCCAAGAAGGGAAGCCATACCAGGTAGAGAGGACAACTCATGCAAAAGCAAAGAGGGAGGAAAAAGCAAAGTCTGGGCTTGGAACAAGGAGAGTACTTTGGAGTGTGGTTATCCTGGCTGAAAAGAGAGGTTGCACAGGGTTCACGTGAAGGAGTCTGGACCTACTCTCTAGAGACTGGGGAGCCACTGCAGGTTTTAAGCTGGGATGTGAAGTTATGTATTTTGAAGCTAACTCAGGGATGCTGTGTCTGATTGGAGAAAGGAGAGACACGAGGCAAGAAGAACAAAATAGGAGGCAACCGCAACAACACAGCAGAGAGAGGAACTAATGTAACAAGAGTGAAGAGAAAAGACATTTAGAGGTAGAATTCACAGGACTTAGTGATCAATTGGATGAGTAAAAGAGGAGTTGTGGATGTTAATCTCTAGATTTGAGGGACTGAGTCACGTCATTCACTAAAATGAATAGAGGAGGGAGAAGAGAAGGCTTTGCAAGGAATCTAATGAGTTCGGTTGCAGTCTACACTGTATTTTCTGCTTTGCTACTGATACACTGTGTGGCCCTAAGCAACCCACTTAATCTTTCTGGACTTCAGTTTCATCAGTGAAAGAGTCAATAAAGATATCTACCTCATAGGCTTATCATTAGAGTTGTATGGGAATGCGTGTTAGATATTGGTATCTTCACCAGGTCCAAGTGAGTGTTCTATATAAAGCTAAAACCTAGGAAAAACACACCCGCACTCACACCATGCTGATGAATACTTAGATCCTGGGTGTCCAGTGAGAAATGTCTTAGAGAAATTAAAAACAACAACATCCTACTGCTTCCTAGATATTGAATCCAAGCTAATGTTTAGGACTAGGTCAGATCAAATTGCTATTCAGAGCCCTCTCCTTCAAGAGCGGTACTTGCTGGAGGATTCATGCAGTAATGTGTTCTTGGTATCAAACCACTAAAGAGGTCTTTTAGCAGATGTCAGAAAGCTTCAATGCTTTTTTTTTTTTTTAAAATATCATGTGTCTTTCAGGGAATGCTTGAAGCCACCTACTCTCTTTTGAACCTCCTTGAGCCCTGTGTGGAATGGTGTAGTATAGAGAAGAGTGCTGAACATCTGACTTTGGCCATTTACACCGGGTGTGATTACAGCAAGTTGGTTATCTTTTCTGTGTTAGTATTATCATTTGTAATACAGAATTATGAAAGGCTCAAGATAAGGAAGAGAGATATTTTGGGAGATGTTATAAGAGTAAATAAAAGGTATTATTTTTCACTTATCAGATTGGCCAACATAAAAACTTCAACATCCCATTGACTTGGCAAAGGTGTGAGGAGACAGGAACTCTCATATATTGCTGATAGAGGTATAAATTAATTTATTTCTGTGGAGAAATGTATTAAAACTCACAGTGCACATATCTTTTGACTAAATCATTTCACTTCTACAAATTTTTCTAATAGGTAAAAGCTTGACCATGTGTTTGTAATAGCAAAAGGTTGAAAACAAGCTATATGCCCACCAACAGGGAATGGCTAAATGAATTGTGGCAGGTGTATACAGTAGAACAGTATGAAGTTATAAAAGTAAACCAGGGCCAGACGCCGTGGCTCACATCTGTAATCCCAGCACTTCGGGAAGCCAAGGCTGGCAGATCACTCAAGCCCAGGAGTTTGAGACCAGCCTGGTTTTGTAGAGATGAAACCTTATCTCTACAAAAAATACAAAAATTAGCTGGATGTGCTTGTGCATGCCTGTAATCTCAGCTACTCAGAAGGGTGAGGTGGGAGGATCACCTGAGCCCCGAGAAGGTTGAGGCTGCAGGGAGCCATGATTGCACCACTGCACTCCAGCCTCAGCGACACAGTCAGACCCTGTCTCAAACAACAACAACAAATCCAGGAAGTTATGTGTGGATATATATGGAATGGTCTGAAAGATACAATAGGGGGAAAAGCATGGTGCGAAAAAGTCTGCCTAGCATGCTACCATTTGTGTAAAAACCTGTGGAGTACACACACACACACACATATATATAAATTATGCTAGTAAAAAGTGTCTCTGTAAAGATACACAAGTTGGTTGCTTATGTGAAGGGGAACTAGGTAGCTGGGAACAAGAGTGGGAGGAAGACTTTTCACTGTATACCCCTTTGTACCCTTTGAATCTTGAAGCAAGCATATTTAAATTTATTACTCTTTTGAAAAAATAAAAGAAGTCGGGCACAGTGGCTCTCACCTATAACCCCAGCACTTTGGGAGGCTGAGGCAGGTGGGTCACCTGAGGTCAGGAGTTCGAGACCAGCCTGGCCAACATGGTAAAACCCCATCTCTACTAAAAATACAAAAATCAGCTGGGCATGGTGGCACAAGTCTGTAGTCCCAGCTACACAGAAGCTGAGGCAGGAGAATCACTTGAACCCAGGGGGTGGGGGTTGCAGTGAGCCAAGATCACACCACTGCCCTCCAGCCTGGGCAACAGAGCAAGATTCTGTCTCATAAAAAAATTAAAAAAAAAAAAAAAAGGAACAGAGCAGAGGGTGCGGGGAGGGAGAAGATCAGGAAAAATAACTAATGGGTACTAGGCTTAATACCTGGGTGATGAAATAATCTGTACAACAAACCCTCATGATACACGTTTATCTATTTAACAAACCTGCACATGTATCCCTGAACTTAAAAGTTACAAAACAAAACAATGCCATTACTCACCCTGACTAAAATGATAAAGGAACAACAACAAAAAAATGTTTAGTACAAGTGACCTGGGTGTGCCTGTGTGTGTTCATATGTGTCCTTATTTGTACTTGCTCTATCCAGCAAAATTAATCTTGGGATACCTCTTGTTTTATTCCCCCAGGGCCCTGATGCTGATCAACCTCAACGATAATGAGGGGATTCTTCACTGTTGCTTGGTGCTGGGGTCACAGGTCTGTCTCTACCCTCTCTTCTAGGAGGACTCAAGATGAGGCTACAGAAGTCTGGCAGAGCAGCAGGCCTCTCAGTCAGAACCACTGACTGTGTGGCCTCCCGGAAATGAGTGTGCCTTCTTGAACACTGCTGTGCTTGCTTGGGATGGAGGCCTGCCACAATGCCAAGGAGTAGCTACTATATTTCTTCCTCTTTGCAGACTGTGAAAAGGCAATGGACTGTGGAAAGTCACGAGACCCAAGGTGGTTCCATTTTTTGCAGGATGGCTTTGCCTTTTAACCTCTGAGTAAAGTGACTTCCTCTCTAAAATTAGGGGTTTGATTTAGCTTATCTGGAAGGTGTTTTCTAGCTTTGACATCTTAGGCTGTGAAAAGTCAGCCTTTAGCCAGAGAAAGAGTTACTGCTTAGGCTAAGGGACATTTGGCCCCCTCTGGATCCCTGGGGCTCAAAGGCATATTCCAATTTGAGAGATGGAAGAAAAAAAAGGCTGAGTCCTCTCTCTTCAGATGCCCATTCTCACTCCTTCCTTCTTCCCATTGCCTCAGAACCACTCTAAATTTTCTCTGAAGAGACTGGGAGAGACAAATCTCTTTCTCTTCCCACCCCACTGGCATCATCAAAGCCAAGGTAAGGAAGTGGCAAGAAGCAGAAGTGAGCCCAGTCTCTGCAAAGCACCAATTGGTCAGCAAAACTTGGGAAACTTCCAACTGACCACTTCTTAAGGATATGCTCTAGAACTTCAGCCGAAGTAGACTTAAGTTTTACCTTGACATTGACCTCTCTGCAACCCAACAAACCTCTGGACACTTTTTAGGTATACTCATGTGCCAGCTAGCCATGACCTCTCATCACTCATGGTCCCTCCCATAGGAACATCTCCTTTCTTCCCACACGGCCCCCTCCCACCCCAACTCCTACAGCAGAATTATTCAAAGTGTGGTCCCAAACAATCTTGCTTTAGGATCACCCAAAAGTCTTGTTAAAAAAAAAAAAAAGGATTCCTAGGCCAGGCACAGTGGCTCATACCTGCAATCCTATCACTTTGGGAGGCTGAGGTGGGTGAATCACTTGAGCCCAAGAGTTCAAGACCAGCCTGGCCAACATGGCAAGACCTCGTGTCTATGAAAAAATCAAAAATTAAAAAAAAATTCCTGAGTCAGACTATTAGGTAAAAATCTCTGGGGGTGACTCAAGAAACCTGAACTTTTAAACAAGATTCTATGGTGATTTCTACCCACCTGATGTGGTTTTGGGAGGCAACAATCTAAAGATATCCTTCAGCCAATATTAGTCACGGTAAAGACACACCATTCTGTCCACTCTGCTTACGTCCAACAAACACTTTTGAATGCCTCCATGTGTCAATCACTGGCTTGACCAGTAAGCCTTTCATTCACAAAATTCTCAGGGAAAGGCACAGCACTTTAAATGGTTTTCCTCAGGGAATGTCATATTGTCAGATTTCCAACAGGTTTAGAATTCTTGTCCTTAGGACTCCTTTGCATCCCTACCTCCATCCTAGGATGACTGAGGGATGCTACAGAGAACTGCATCTTAATCTTCACTTTCTCTTAATGTGGATTAAGAAAAAAAAGACACCCACCCTTTTTTACCCCAACAAACAAGATTTTCTGTGACTTGGGGTTAGGAAGCCAAGCGTTGCAATGTGCTCAAGTGCCTCCAAGCGGTAACACAGTGGGACTTGTCTAGAGGGCTTACCCGGAGCTTCTTGAAAACAACTTAAAACACACAGAAGCAATCCCTGCATTTTGGGAGGGTGAGGTAGGTGGATCACTTGAGGTCAGGAGTTCGAGACCAGCCTGGCCAACATGGCAAAACCCTGTCTCTACTAAGAATATAAAAATTAGCTGGGTGTGGTGGCATGTGCCTGTAGTCCCAGCTACTTGGGAGGCCGAGGCATGAGAATCGCTTGAACCCGGGAAGTGGAGGTTGCAGTGAGCCAATATCGTGCCACTGCATTCCGGCCTGGGTGACAAACCGAGACTCCATCTCAAAAATAAAATAAAATAAAATAAACACACAGAAAACCAGACTGCCACCCTTTATCACTTCTGTCTGCAGAAAAGAGGCTAGTTATTAGAAAGGGAGAGAAAGGTAGTCATGAAAGGGATAGGGAGTGGGTAGGGGGTGGCTGCTGTGGTGAGCAGGATGGGAGAGATTTCAAAGCATTCCTACATCAAACACAAGCTGGCAATTGGGCCCCTCTGCTGTCACCTCCCGTGGAGAACTCAGCACCAGGACCCAGCAGAGCAAGTGACCCTGGGGAATTCATGGCTTGACAAGTAATAAAATTAGTAAGACATTTCTCCCATACTTGGTGAACATCTAAGAGACAAACTTTAATGTTACTCAAAATATGCTATATTCACATCTTTCTATATTTCCCCAATAATATCTTCCAATTTCTCCTTAGATAATTATACATTAAGATTCCTCTAGAGTAGATTTATAGTATAGCTAAAACCTGTGTCAGAAATAAATCTCTAGCTCCTTTGGTTTAAGACTGTCTTTTCCCTAGCCTAACTTTCTCCTAACAAAATGTCATTACATAGTAAATCCTTGGCAAACATCTGTTGAATTTGAGTATGAGATGACCAGAGTCATGACTTCCAACCTGAGCAAGTCAAGAACCAGTCCAAGAATGGAGATGCTAACTCTGAGCCCCAAGGTGTGGGATATGCCAAGGATTTGGAGATTAAGGGAGTGGAGAGAAGGGTGAACAGAATGTAGCTTTCTTTTTGTTTGAGACGGAGTCTCGCTCTGTCACCCAGGCTGGAGTGCAGTGGCATGATCTTGGCTCACTGCAACCTCCACCTCCTGGGTTCAAGCGATTCTTCTGCCTCAGCCTCCCAAGTAGCTGGGACTACAGGCGTGTGCCACTAATTTATTTTTATTTTTATTTTTTTTAGTAGAGATGGGGTTTCACCGTGTTAGCCGGGCTGGTCTTGATCTCCTGACCTCGTGATCCACCCATCTCAGCCTCCCAATGTGCTGGGATTACAGGTGTGAGCAACCGTGCCCAGCCAGAATGTAGTTTTCTGTATGCGATTATCAAAGAAATGCTATTGGGTCTGAACAAATATTGAACACCTCTCCCTCGCTCTCACCCACAGTTGTGAAAACAAAACAAAACAAAACAGTATTTTTAAAAACTTCATTCTTTTTTAGGGCACTTTCTTCCCTCAGAAAGGCTAAATCTCCAAAATTTTACTTGATGGAGCTAGTGTGGATAGCTCATGGGTGCATTAAAGTCAAGGCCTAATTATATCATGAAGGACCCAGCCTTTGCCCCAAATGCCCAGGAGGAAAAACTTAGTCTTTGTTGCCATGAAAGCTGCCAGGACACCTAGGCAGCCTGATTTTTCTGAAACCTTAGAGAAAAGGCCCTTAATTTGAGGGGTTTTGGTCAGACTTGCCGGACAGTCAGGCTGACTCTTCTGCCCTAAACCCTGGGTTGCAGCCGGCTGGATGTCTTCCCCAAAGAGGTTTACAAAGTCATCCTTCCTTCTTGACCCATGGGGCCTCTAGGCTTTGGAGTTGTGATAGGATAAGTATCATTTGAGGGAACACTGTGAGAGCTGGGACATCTTGCAGATAAAAACTGGCTATTAAAATCTAGCCAGAGGTGGAGGAGGGGGCATTGTGAACTCAGCAGCATCTTATTTGCTGTTACTTTTGCATAAATGGCACAGGAGAGCAGTGAAGAAACGTGTCTACATTTTAAGGCTGAGCTAGCTCTGAAGAGCTCTAACATTTCCTAACTGGGGTGTTAGGGAAGAACTTTTATTTTTCTCTTCTTAAAAATTATTTAGGGCCGGGCGCGGTGGCTCACGCCTGTAATCCCAGCACTTTGGGAGGCCGAGGCGGGCGGATCACGAGGTCAGGAGATCGAAACCATCCTGGCTAACACGGTGAAACCCCGTCTCTACTAAAAATACAAAAAATTAGCCGGGCATAGTGGTGGGCGCCTGTAGTACCAGCTACTCGGGAGGCCGAGGCAGAAGAATGGCGTGAATCGGGGAGGCTGAGCTTGCAGTGAGCCGAGATCGCGCCACTGCACTTAAAAAAAAAAATTAAATAAATAAATAAATAAAAATTATTTAGGACCTTATCTGACTGGCTATAGCACAACTGAAATAGCAAAATCAAGATTGAAGGGCTATTTTCAGCACAGGTATTCCATTTCCAATCAAACTCAAGAACTCCAGCAGTGCAGGAACCACAGACCTCTTTAACTTTGTGCTGATTCCTAGGCATCCACCCTCTACTGGCTCCCCTCAACCTGGGGACATCCCTCCCCCATCCTGCAGCAACTTCGGGTCCATCAGTAGTCCACATTTTGGTAGGGCTTTGTTTATTCACAAGTCCACAACCCTGGAAGGAACTGGCTCCCTGGGCTGTGATGGCGCCTATTCTAAAGACTTCCTCAGAGTGGAAATTTAGGCAACAACAGCTCAATCGCTCTTTTATGACAAGTCAATCAGTAAAACAATGATAAAACCTCGGTTACCATAACTTAGAGGCTGTAATAGATTAACTTTTCAAGGGCACTTGATATAAGCTCTGAGTAGACTCTTTAGAGTCTTTATTCACACAGGGTTTTAGGAAACCACCCTCTTTCATAACTACTGTGTGTAAATAACCTCTATTTATCTAATTTGTAATTTTCCTACAGTCCCCTCAAAAGGGAACATTAAAAGAAATACTAAAGGAAGTTGGAAAGTTTGTCAATGTAAAGCTGGTCTTTGTAACCTTTCTACTCTTCATTTCCTGTGGCAATTGCACTTTTATTTCCCGTCTCTCTACACTCAGTAAACAAAACCATATTATCAAGGGAAAGACGTGAGCCCATTAACATTGTGAGCCCTCAGATTTCACTCACAAGAGACGATGCAGCACTTATCTGATGGAGCAGAAGCTCTAATTGCTTCGAGGTACAAGTCCATCTAAACCTCTGAGATCTCACCCGTCCCCGGTAAGCCCTTGCGCCCTCCAGACAAGCTCCTCAGTGAAAGCAAGCGCCGCACCGGTGCCTGTGCCAGTCTCCCAGAAAGGAGCATAAGGAGTGTTCCACCACCACTCTGGATTCTTTATTCCAACAACCCAGCCGGAGGGGAAAATCTGCTAAACCACCCCACAAGGCAGAAACTTTATCAAAATCTGGCACTACAACACTGGCCCTCATCACGCCGCCACAAATTGCGAGGGATAGAAGAAAGCTGCAAAGTCACGTTAAAAGGAAGCCTAGTCAAAAAGTGAAAATTTTGTCCCGCCCTAGGCACACAGCACTCACAGCATAAGATGTAGTTCCATGAGTCCTAGGAAAGGGGGAAGAAAGGAAAAAACCAAACATCTGCTCTAGGTTTAGAAGAGGGATAACATCAGCGCCAAGCAAACCGAAAGCGCAGAGGACTCAGAAGAGGGGAAGAGGAATAACTTTATCTGTCCTGGAGGTGGGCGAAGAGCAGTCTCCACCGGCCGCGCGTCACGCTCCCATTTAACCTTTTCCATGCCGCGACGCCCACACTCCGCCCTCGAGGGACTAGCCCCCCCCACGATCCAGAGCAGAAGCGGCTCGCCCCGCTGCATCCACGGGCCCTCACCCAAGCGTCCAGTCCTGCCTTTCTCCCCCCACCTCGCCCAATACCTGTCCGAGAGCAGGCGTTCTGCCCTCTCGCCCCGCCCTTGCCCAGGCAGCCCCCGGTCGCGACGGCTCTCCTCGGGGCTCGGGGGCGCTGGGCGGCGGCCCTGGGCTGCTTTGGCTAACTTGGCTGCGGGGCAGGCGCGAGGAGCGGCGCGCCGACCGGGCCGAGCGGAGAGGCCGCCCATTGGCCGGCCAGCGCCACGTGGCCGCCCCCGCCGGTATATTAGGCCACTATTTACCTCCGGCTCACTCGCCATGGGTTGGAGAGGGCAGCTCGGGTAGAGAGGGCTGGCGGAGCGGCGCAGACGGCGGCAGTCCTGCTCAGCCTCTGCCCGGCTCCGTACTCCGGCCCCGGCCTGCGCCCTCAGAAAGGTGGGGCCCGAACCATGAGCTCCTACCTGGAGTACGTGTCATGCAGCAGCAGCGGCGGGGTCGGCGGCGACGTGCTCAGCTTGGCACCCAAGTTCTGCCGCTCCGACGCCCGGCCCGTGGCTCTGCAGCCCGCCTTCCCTCTGGGCAACGGCGACGGCGCCTTCGTCAGCTGTCTGCCCCTGGCCGCCGCCCGACCCTCGCCTTCGCCCCCGGCCGCCCCCGCGCGGCCGTCCGTACCGCCTCCGGCCGCGCCCCAGTACGCGCAGTGCACCCTGGAGGGGGCCTACGAACCTGGTGCCGCACCTGCCGCGGCAGCTGGGGGCGCGGACTACGGCTTCCTGGGGTCCGGGCCGGCGTACGACTTCCCGGGCGTGCTGGGGCGGGCGGCCGACGACGGCGGGTCTCACGTCCACTACGCCACCTCGGCCGTCTTCTCGGGCGGCGGCTCTTTCCTCCTCAGCGGCCAGGTGGATTACGCGGCCTTCGGCGAACCCGGCCCTTTTCCGGCTTGTCTCAAAGCGTCAGCCGACGGCCACCCTGGTGCTTTCCAGACCGCATCCCCGGCCCCAGGCACCTACCCCAAGTCCGTCTCTCCCGCCTCCGGCCTCCCTGCCGCCTTCAGCACGTTCGAGTGGATGAAAGTGAAGAGGAATGCCTCTAAGAAAGGTAAGTCCGCGGGCCTTGGATGGGGCCACCTGGGGTTGGGGACGGAGCCTCCCCCGCGGAAATGCGCTGGGAGCGTGGTGTCGCTGCCTTTCCAGACAGCGGTTTGGGTTTTGTGGAGGAGACGCGTTCCCGGGCGAATTCCATGGAGTCTGCCTCGAGTACAGATTCGGAAAATGTGCCAGGCATTGAGAAAATTTCAGGAAGGAGCTCTCCGTGGAACTTCTCCTGGTACAAATTCTGTTCCTAGGGACCCAGGAGGGCTGCGCTGGGACTTTGATTCTAACTAGCTCCACTGCTCACCCACATTCTGTCCCCGGCCTCAGGCCTGGCTGACGCCCTGTCTTTACGTTGCAGGCAAACTCGCCGAGTATGGGGCCGCTAGCCCCTCCAGCGCGATCCGCACGAATTTCAGCACCAAGCAACTGACAGAACTGGAAAAAGAGTTTCATTTCAATAAGTACTTAACTCGAGCCCGGCGCATCGAGATAGCCAACTGCTTGCACCTGAATGACACGCAAGTCAAAATCTGGTTCCAGAACCGCAGGATGAAACAGAAGAAAAGGGAACGAGAAGGGCTTCTGGCCACGGCCATTCCTGTGGCTCCCCTCCAACTTCCCCTCTCTGGAACAACCCCCACTAAGTTTATCAAGAACCCCGGCAGCCCTTCTCAGTCCCAAGAGCCTTCGTGAGGCCGGTACTTGGGGCCGAAAAACTGTGGCCTGCAGAAGTCCCAGGCGACCCCCATCCCTATCTAGACTTAGGAGCTCAGTTTGGGATGGAGGTGGGAGAACAAAAATGAATAGGGATTTCACTTGGGAAATGAAGTACTTTAGTTGGCTTCCGAGTTCCAGACTATATGTCCAGATATTAATTGACTGTCTTGTAAGCCACTTGTTTGGTTATGATTTGTGTCTTATCAGGGAAAAGGTGCCCAGCTGCCAGCCCAGCTCCGCTGCTATCTTTGCCTCACTTAGTCATGTGCAATTCGCGTTGCAGAGTGGCAGACCATTAGTTGCTGAGTTCTGTCAGCACTCTGATGTGCTCAGAAGAGCACCTGCCCAAAGTTTTTCTGGTTTTAATTTAAAGGACAAGGCTACATATATTCAGCTTTTTGAGATGACCAAAGCTAGTTAGGGTCTCCTTGATGTAGCTAAGCTGCTTCAGTGATCTTCACATTTGCACTCCAGTTTTTTTTTCTTTAAAAAAGCGGTTTCTACCTCTCTATGTGCCTGAGTGATGATACAATCGCTGTTTAGTTACTAGATGAACAAATCCACAGAATGGGTAAAGAGTAGAATCTGAACTATATCTTGACAAATATTATTCAAACTTGAATGTAAATATATACAGTATGTATATTTTTTAAAAAGATTTGCTTGCAATGACCTTATAAGTGACATTTAATGTCATAGCATGTAAAGGGTTTTTTTTGTAATAAAAATTATAGAATCTGCTGCTCTCTGCTTTTCTTACACTCTTTAATAATGATTCTCTTTCTTTAAAGTTGATTCAGTTTCCTGTATTTGAATTTTCTTGATTCTGCTATGAGAATTTGTTTATGTTGATAACTTTTTTTTTTTTTTGACACGGAGTCTTGCTCTGTTGCCCAGGCTGGAGTGCAGTGGCACAATTCTGGCTCACCACAACCTCTGCCTCCCAGGTTCAAGTGATTCTCCTGCCTCACCATCCCCAGTAGCTGGGATTACAGGCATGAGCCACCATGCCCAGCTAATTTTTTGTATTTTTTTTAGTAGAGACGGGGTTTCACCATGTTGGCCAGGTTGGACTCGAACTCCTGACCTCAGGTGATCCGCCCACCTCGGCCTCACAAAGTGCTAGAATTACAAACGTGAGCCACCACGCCCAGCCGATAACTTTTAAAAATAATACTTCCTACAGGTTGTGTACACACCCAGCAAGTTATGGGCAATTAGTAGTTTAAGAGAGAAAACTACTCTGCCAAATATCCAAGTAACTATGGAAATACTTTCCTTACCTTGAGTGCCCTAATTTTATGGTAGGTGTGTAGTCTGCACATTTAACTCAAGTGTTAGGTGCCTACTGTGGAATGTTGTAAAGCCAAGGAGACACTTCAGGGAGATCTTGTTCTTTTGTCTCCTGTCCTCACAAAAGGAAGAGGAAAGGTGACCTGAAGACTTTGTTTCTTGGTTAGTGTTCCCTGAGAAAGGCAGCTGCACATCAAAAAGTTCTCAGTGGCTGAATTCCCATTTCCAAAGTCAAGAGTTACAAAGGAGGCTGGGAAAGGCTAGTAGTCACAAATTTCTACTTCCTGTAACCCAGACTGAGTATCTGGCGGAGAGAGAGCACAGACAGTGCCTTTCTGATTTCAAAAATGAAATATTTTCAAATGAATACTTTGGAAGAGGTACAAGCACAAAACTTGAAAGTTGACAAGAGAGTATGTGGTTAAAAAAAACCCCAAAACCTATTCTCTAATCTATTTCACCCAAACTCCCATTTCTCATCCCGGGAGGCATTCATAGTTGACCAGAGTTTATGTAAACTTGCAGAAATATGAGAAAAAGATGCAATATAAAGATACAGAATCAAGTGGATACTTGGGACAGTTTTGGGGAGTACGTCCTTATTTTACAACTATATCTTTAAGTTCTTTCTATAGTTCAACAGAAGGGCTAACGGCCCAAATAATTCAGATAAGAACCTCAGCTCTTTTAGCTAGATTTCTAGATTCCAGTATAATGCTTTAAATCTAATTATTCATAAATCTAAGCAACTGTGAAAGATTACCTTTTTTATAAAGCAGCAATATGATTAGTTCTCTTAGAAAATTGGAGTTACACTGAAGTTCTCATTCTTTGCACCTATAGTTGAATGGAGTTGAAGAAATAAAATGATCAGCTCCAACAAACTCAGCTGATTAGAGGGAAAAGATACTGCTTAAAAAGCAGGTCTGTCAATATTATTCTTGTTTCCCCGGCTGCCCTTTAATAACTTGATGCTAATTGAATCTTGTTTGAAACAACAGCCCCCCTCTGAGCTCTACTGCTATTTGAAAGAACTTGTTAAAGGACTTGTGATCTGCTTGCTTACAGCCACCTCTGGGCTTCCCCTGCAGTGGTCTTTGACATGACAATGTTTCCTTTTTGATAAGCATTTAAATGTACACCTAAACAACAACAACAACAAAATACCAACATGCTGGGTCATTTCCTTAATCTACCACCCTTTTCTCTGAGAAAATAAAGCTTTTCCTTCTGAAGCTAGTACTAGCACTTAGCCCTGATGGATGTCTTCCTTGATGAAGGTGGCTATTATGACATTCGTATAATGCTATTCTATGAATCAGGCCAATATTAGCTATTTTTTGCCCAACCCCAGGGATCTTTAAAAGCTTTCTTAATGCAGATCACTGTACAGCTATATTCAGTATTAGGAAGAGTCCTGGCTGGAGATCGGGATGAACTAGGTGACCTCTGGAGGTCCCTCCCAACAATGAAAATGCTACAATTTAATGACTTCTGCATATTTTATTTTAGACCTATCATTTGAAGGGAGTTAGGCTCTAAGAGAAAGCAAATGTGCTGTCTAGGATTACAGTGATACTGTGTTTATACAGGAAAAGAGGATTTTAGACACTATCAAATACATGTTGTCAGTGGAGGTACCTAGGCAATGTGGATCATTTACAGAGCATTCCTTTTCCTATTATTTTGAGCCTTGTGTTATTTTGAGTCAGATCTCCATGAAGTATGAGGTTACTATGTAAACTGCAACTACTCAAACAATCCCGTTTCTATTTTACAAGATTTCAAACTAAATATGCTAATTTACCCTCCAGTGATCTGTTACAAGGATGAATACACAGTGGACAGTTCTGGCTGTTGTATAATTAACTATTCAATGTTCCTTTGTCTTCACATAATGACCATGTGTCTACTTTTCTGGATCAGGATAATTGGGAGTGAGGAAAAGGAAAGCACTTAATAATATATAAAATTCCCATAAGTTGAGTACTAGCAAATGAAGGCTTTGCTGATATAAAAACCTAAAGCAATGTCACCTAGAGTTTCAAAAGATTAATTGTGTGTGATTTATGCTGCCTCAATCTCAAATATGGTGAGGACCAACACCAGAAAAGGCTGTCTGATTATCGTGTCATCCAAAAAAAACAGAAGCAGGCTCAGGAGAGTTGCATTAGCTCTGAAGTTCTTAATTATTCCTTATGGCCAAAGAAATGATCTATATTTGCTGAATATTGAATTTGAAAACCTCAGGATCTAATCAGTTTCCGAGAGTTGTTTAGTCTGACCACAGACCTCTCAACAAGAAAAATGCCCATTGTTAAAACTTTATTTGTGGTTTTAAAGTAAAACCATAGTGGACATATCTCACGAAGATAAATATCCGTCTAAATAGAAACAAAGATGTTCATGGTTTTTACCTCTATCTAATGTTTTCAAGTCATGAACATGCAACAAATCTGCAAAATAACTCTATTTCAACATCTCATTTGTAATTGCTTATTACGTTGTACTTGTTATTCAGAAATAAAATTTCTATAGAAACTGTTTAACTAGATTCAATAATGAACCAAGAGGATGAAAATCCTAAATATTGGTGTGAAAGGAAGGTCTATTACTTAGCTTGTAAAGATTTCAACATAATCTCTTCTCCTTCTAGAAATCTTACTGATGTATTTTGGAAAGAAGGGCCAAAGAGTAGTCATTTGGACTTGTCATAGCTAATAAACTATTACAAGTTTATTAAAACTGACACTTTTGAGGCATTTCTAGAAGGTGCTGGACTCTTCAGCACACTGAATTCTTAGGGATTTTGTAGAGCCTAAGCTTATACAATTTGGGGAAACCTCTTTAAGGAAAAAAATACAAAATTGTTAATACAAAATTCCCAGGATGTGGAATGGTTCAAGTTAGTGAAGTTTACATTTCACTGGGCTCATAGTAAATTCATATCTGCCCCTTCCTTGAAACCATCACTTTTTCTCCACTGCCATCATTGCCTATGAGATAATAGCAATGATCGCTTTTCTCTAACATCTTAGAGCCAGAGTCACTCTTTCTCTTCAAATGCATCAAATAGTGGATAATGGGGACAAGGGCAGGTTGGCACTCTGTTCTACTCTCTTAGCATCTCAATCTCACTGTGCTCTTCTGGGCTACTGGGTGGCTGACTTTAGCCAGTGGCTTTTCCCATTCTACTGCCTTAGAATGGGAACCCTATCTCATCCTAGAGGTCCCCTTCTGTTGTGTTTTCTTCTCAAAGATATAAACAGAAGAGAAAGATATAGCTGGAGACAATGCAGCCACATTGTTAGCGTCTAAACATTTCCTAGGATGGAACCACTGAGGCTGAAGTAAAGGACCCTGAACAAATAACATTATTATTTTTCTTTTCTTAGAAATGGGATCTTGTTTTGTTGCCCAGGCTGGTCTTGAACTCTTGGGCTTAAGTGACCCTCCTGCCTTAGCCTCCCAAGTAGCTGGGAATATAGGCATGCGCTGTCACACCCAGTAAGAACATTATTCTTTTGCTTTTTTTTGAGATGGAGTCTCGCTCTGCCGCCTAGGCTGGAGTGTACTGGCGCAATCTCAGCTCACTGCAAGCTCTGCCTCCCGGGTTCATGCCATTCTCCTGCCTCAGCCTCCTGAGTAGCTGGGACTACAGGCACCCGCCACCATGCCTGGCTAATTTTTTGTATTTTTAGTAGAGACAGAGTTTCTACCTTGTTAGCCAGGATGGTCTCGATCTCCTGACCTCGTGATCTGCCCACCTCGGCCTCCCAAAGTGCTGGGATTATAGGTGTGAGCCACCGCCCCTGGCCAAGAACATTATTCTTAAGGGAGGAGACCTGGATTTCAGTACCAGTTGTATTTTCTGATTAAAAGGAAAAATAGCTTGCCTGGTCTTAGATTCTCCTATAAAACAAAGTGGGTTGGTCTGGATGATCATTACATTCCCTTATCACCTTAGCATTTCTTCACAATCCTTTACTGTGCTGGTTATTACTGAAGAGTATTTAGTAGTACTGTAGCTCTGTAAGATTAATGTCAATGAGAGGCTGGGATTGAAGTAATTTCTGAGACCTTTAAAAATTATCTGGCTTGGGCCAGGCCCGGTGGCTCACGCCTGTAATCCCAGCACTTTGGGAGGCCGAGGCGGGCAGATCACGAGGTCAGGAAATCGAGACCATCCTAGCTAACACGGTGAAACCCCGTCTCTACTAAAAATATAAAAACAAATTAGCCGGGAGTGGTGGCGGTTACCTGTAGTCCCAGCTACTTGGGAGGCTGAGGCAGGAGAATAGCGTGAACCCAGGAGGAGGAGCTTTCGGTGAGCCGAGATCGCGCCACTGCACTCCAGCCTGGGCGACAGAGCGAGACTCCGTCGCAAAAAAAAAAAAAAAAAAAAAAAAAAAAAAATTATCTGGCTTTAGAATCTGGGTGTATGTGCATATGTATATGTGAACTAGGTAATGTTCCTCATTTGTCTACCTGATGAACTAAAAGCTAACGATGGTGAGAGCCTCCAAAAAGACCACTTTCCTTTGAATAGATAAACTAGATCTTAACAAGAGATTTTTCAAATGGTGTCAGCACTTTCTATTTGGATTCTCAAACTCCTTGTCCTTAATTCCATACTTCAAAGTTGACAACTTTCAGAATAGAGAAGTCATATTGAGTCTTTTCTCTTCCTTTCAGATAAATGGGATTCTGAAGTGAATGCTCCGTTCTGTCGAAGAAAAGAAATATGGATAAACAAATCTCTCCTTCTTTCCATTAGTCAGCAAACTCTATTTCTCCTTCTCCATTGGCTTAGTCTTTATCATTTCTCATTCAGCAATGCAACTGATGCCTTATTGGTCTCCTTGCGTCCAGTCTTCTTCCCAGTCAATCCATTTGAAAGCCCTGCTTTCGTTGTATTGTTCCACTTTGAACTCTCAGTAGCTGCTGGTAGCAAGTAGAAGAAACTCAGATGTTTTTAGCTTGGGATTCAAGGCCCTCAACACCTGTATCCAGCCATCTTTTCCCTGATAATTTCCCACCATTGCCTGACACACAAACTTTACCCCCAGTTAGTGTGGACTGTTTATACTCCCTGCAAGAAACTTATGCTTTCCTGCCTCTGAACCTTTTCTCACATCATTCCTGTCTCATACGTCTACTTTCTCTCTGCCTATCCAAAGTCATCCTTTGTGGCACAGCTCAAACCTCACCACCTCTATAAAACCTTTTTTTTACATCATCCAAATTTAAAGCTGACTCCTCTGAGCTGCTGTAGTATTTATTGTTTGTATTACCTGCTTAAGCACTTAGAATCTCCTGCCATATTATGAGAGGTCTTTTTCTCTTTCTGCCTTTCTTCCCCTATCATTAGTTCCCCTTGCATGGGCATATGTATATTTCATCTATCATTGAGTATTTTATACATAATAGTGGTCCTATACCATTTGCTGAATGTTGAATGTGGATCAAAGCTTACAGTGCTACTCATCAAGTGCTTTCTACCAGGTGAGGAACACTCTGATAACTTACTTGCTAAGTATTCTCTATATTTCATCACTTATAATAGAACACAAGTGATTTTTGACTACACAGTAAAATACAAATAGGAGGCTAGAAAGCTGAAGGAGGGAGAGCTTATAGACTTTCCTCCTTATGCATCTGGTACATTCTTTTGATTAAATCCTTTGTATACCAATAAAGTGTGAATGTTATCTAAAACAATCCCTTTTATTATTTTTATTCTTTCTTTCTTTTTTTTTTTTTTTGTGAAATGGAGTCTTGCTCTGTTGCCCAGGCTGGAATGCAGTGGTGTGATCTTGGCTTACTGCAATCTCCGCCTCCCTGGTTCAAGAAATTCTCCTGCCTCAGCCTCCCGAGTAGCTGGGATTACAGGTGGCCACCACCATGCCCAGCTGATTTTTGAATTTTTAGTAGAGAGGGGGTTTCGCCATGTTGGTCAGGCTGGTCTCGAACTCCTGACCTCAGGTGATCCACCTGCCTCGGCCTCCCAAAGTGCTGGGATTACAGGCATGAGCCACTATGCCCAGCCAATCCCTTTTATTCTTACAGAATGTAATTTATAATGCATTTTGGTTGTTGTTTGAGGCTTTTTAATATATTGTATTTGTTACTTATTATAGTTGTTGGAGTACCTTATGGCAACAGAACTCCTGGAGAAAGATTGACGAAACCAAATGAGGTCTAGCAGAGGGTTTCTAGAGACAATTAAATGTAGTAGTTACCACAGTGAACCTTGGAAGCAGACAGGCTTGGGCACAAATCCCGGGACAGGTGACTCAGTGTCATTCAGCTTTACATTCCTCCCTTAAAAATGGGAATATTAATGTCTCTACTTCACTGACTTGTGAGGAAGAACAGAGATAATACATGTGGATCATTTAGAACAATGTCTAGTGTAACCTTTGCTAATTATTAAGACAGAATGGGTAATGAGCATTGTGATAGGCATTTGGATGGAAAGACAGGGACTGAAGGAGAGAAATACTTACATATATGACAAATATGTACTGAGTTTCCAGGTGCCATGCACAGACAATTACCAATTAGGATTAAAGAGATACTGGGAAGGGAAGAATCATTGCAGTGAATATGGCTGGAGAGAATAAGTAAAGTCTAGGGTTATTCAATACATTTAGCAAAATACTGGTGGTACATAATAACAGAGGAAAGGAAAATGGCAGCTAATGAATGCTTGATGACTGCAATGGCTGGGCACTCACTAAACTAAGCCCCAAGACCTTAGAAGAAGCCCGGGAGAAATAAAGGATGGAAGAGGTGTCAGGCCATTACCCACTGCTTCTAGTTTACTGGCTTATTCTGAGCACAGAAAACTTAAATCCATCACACTTTTGTTCAGTTTTTTTCTATCCAAAAGGACATGTGAATTCACATACATGGCACTTTAGAGGTCAGGTGCCATAAATTAGAATGCAATGATGATTTACATACATTTCCTACACTGTAGCACCTCCCCAGGGTTGAATTTATCATTCTTTAAAATAGAGAGGTTCAGGTTGTGTTCTGTGGACATCAAAGTGAGAAGAGGAGTGATCAACCACATTAACTCCTGTTGCTGCAGAAAGGAAAAATTCTTCCCTCTACCTACTCTGGCAGTGGGGAATTGTGAATTTTCTCAACTGTGCATAAAACTGTAACTATTTCCGGCCGGGCGCGGTGGCTCACGCCTGTAATCCCAGCACTTTGGGAGGCCGAGGCGGGTGGATCACGAGGTCAAGAGATAGAGACTATCCTGGCCAACATGATGAAACCCCGTTTCTACTAAAAATACAAAAAATTAGCTGGGCTTGGTGGCAGGCGCCTGTAGACCCAGCTACTCGGGAGGCTGAGGCAGGAGAAGGGCGTGAACCCGGGAGGCGGAGCTTGCAGTGAGCTGAGATCACGCCACTGCACTCCAGCCTGGGCGACAGAGTGAGACTCCGTCTCAAAAGCAAACAAACAAACAAAAAACGAAAACCAAACAAACAAAAAAACTCTATTGCCATTGTGGGTCTATAAAAACCTACCCTTAAACTGAAAAAAATAAATAAAAACTTGCTGCAAAAAGGACACGTTGTGGTCTAATTAATGGCTGAAGGACAGTTCTATATAAATAGAAATTATTTTTCCTGATTGCTTATGATCTAATTGTCAAAATAGTGTTAGTATTCAATTGCCTGTATGAGTAATTACTCTATCATATGTAAATGTTTACATCTCCTCTTACATCTGAAACTTGAGTCACATTTTGAATATGTGAAGTGTGTTAGCTTCATATAGGGGGAAAAAAACTACTCGCTTATGAAATAATTGTAGGTCGGGCACCGTGGCTCATGTGTGTAATCCCAGCACTTTGGGAGGCCGAGGCGGGCAGATCATCTGAGGTTGGGAGTTCAAGACCAGCCTGACCAAAATGGAGAAACCCCATCTCTACTAAAAATACAAAAATTAGCCGGGTGTGGTGATGCATGCCTGTAATCCCAGCTACTCAGGAGGCTGAGGCAGGAGAATCATTTGAATCTGGGAGGCGGAGGTTGCGGTGAGCTGAGTTCACGCCATTGCACTCCAGCCTGGGCAACAAGAGTGAAACTCCGTCTCAAAAAAAAAAAAAAAAATTGTAGAAAAGGTAGATTCTATGTGAATATATAAAATGAGCTCCAAATGATGAATTAAAACAACAATATTTCTTATTCAGACAAAAATAGCATACTATTTGTCCCTAAAAATCTTAAAAAGATTTAAAATTTAAACTTCCTTGGGTTAACCTGCCAAGAAAGTCCAATAAGCTTCTGTTTTGACTGCAAATAAAAGCACACATACAACCAGAATAATCTATTTTTCTAGCAGCATATGGTTCCTTTGGGAACTTCAGAAACAACTGTGTTTGTATGCTTCAGAATTGTCACATGGGGAAGCTATCTGAGAATTCTCAAGGCCTGTTTTTATTAAAGGTTTGTAATTTGGGGCTTGGCCCTTGATTTTAAAAAATTTACATATTTTAGAGGACAATGTTATCTCAATTGGTTCCATGTAAACACAAACAATTGCAGCTTAGATATTTTAGTACACCAATGAAATGAATGAACTTTGTTCTGAATGAACTAAGAGGAATAAAGGTATTGCTTTATACCTGTCCCTAATTCAACATGTGTCACAATGACAAAGGTAAGCTAGCTGCAATTCATATGTAAATAAAGACTAAAGGTTTCAGATGTTCTATTTCTGCCTCCTTCCAATTTTAGTTATAAAACATAATTATCATTTGGAACTCAAGATGAATAGATTTAGCTTAAAGCTTTCTCAATTAAGATTATGTAGTATTAGAATTGCTTGTTTATTTATTTATTTACTTTTTTTTTTTTAAATTAGAGACAGAGTCTCACTATGTTGCCTAGGCTGGAGTACAGTGGCTATTCACAGGCACAATTATAGATAACTAACTATAGCCTCTAGCTTCTGGGCTCAAGCCATCCTCCTGCCCCAGCCTCCCCAGTAGCTGGGACTACAGGTGTGTGCCACCATGCCCAACTGATTTATTTGTTATATTTTTAATTTTAGGAACACTTTAATAAAGTTCAACAACACATTTGGATTGCTAAAAAAATCCAAACTTGTAAATATTTTTCTCCCATACTTCTAGAGGGCTCTCTTAGTGAAGAAGAAACAGTTATCTGTTAGTTTCATCTGGTTTCTCTCTCTTATTACGTCTAAGTAAATGTAAATTTAATATTTTTATTTAAAAATAGCATGCATAATATGTATCCAGTTTTATAAAATTATTTCTATGTACCAAGTTATTTATGCACCGATCACTCCTAATATCTGAGTGTCTACATAGAGCTGTCAAGAAAGATGTTCACCTAATATTAATGATGGTTACTTCTTTTTTTTTTTAAGTTCAGCTTTTTATTGAACACGTTATAAAAGAGGTTTAGTCAAAAAGACCAAGGCCCATGTCATCATCAGACTCCTTGGATTCTTCTTTCTTTGCTTCCACTTTCTTCTCCTCAGCTGGAGCAGCAGCAGTGGAGGGGGCAGGACGTCCTGCTGGTGCAGCACCAGCTGCTGGAGCAGGTCCACCAGCCCCTACATTGCAGATGAGGCTCCCAATGTTGACGTTGGCCAGGGCCTTTGCAAACAAGCCAGGCCAAAAAGGTTCAACATTTACACCGGCTGCTTTAATGAGGGCATTGATCTTATCCTCCGTGACTGTCACCTCATCGTCGTGCAGAATGAGGGCCGAGTAGATGCAGGCGAGCTTGGAGACGGAGGCCATGGCACGGGCGAGTGTAGGGCAGGCGCTGCCGGACGCGGTGCTAGTCGCAGGATGAAGTGAGGGCCTTACCCCAACGCGGCCTTAGCTTCCTCGGAAGGACCGAGCAGCTTGGCGGCAGCTGAGGGAAGGGGTCGGTTTCTTCTACATAGTAAGATTTTGTTGACATTTTTTTCTTTGTAGTGATTTTCTGTTTTGCTTAAAATTTAAATAATTAAATTCAGAAATAATAAAGTCATTACTTTCAAATATAAGAAAAAGGGCAAAATTCATCTGGTAGCCACAGTCATTGCATTTATTTTTGCCAGTGGAAGGTCCCAGAGGAATTAGATAATGCTTCTCATGTGCCAATTCTTGAATAATTAAATAAAAATGTCTGTGATATACATGGGTGTACACATGAGTCAAATAAATGATAGATAAGGTCTATCATTCATTTCTTCAACAGGGAATTGAGCATTTGAGTGTCACATATGTTCAATTTTCATCCTACCAGTTGGAAACAAGTTCTGAATTGTGTTGATAAAAGTGGAATTCACGATTAGCAAAGTAATAAGAAAAGTATACCTTTAGCTTAAGTAAAATGGAGAATCCAAGAAATGTGGAAAACTATTCTATCATTTTTCTATACTTATAATACAAAATTAAAGAAATGTTAAAAGCAAGTTTATAAAGATATAGGCACACTTTTTAAAGGATGCATATTTTTAGTAAGCTTTGCAGTTTTCTAGGGAGCAACACTAAAATATTCTTTAATTTTTGTTGTAGCAAGATTTATAAAATTTGATAGTGGTCTGTGTAACATACATACAAACACAAGTCTAATTAAGCCTCAAGAAGGTTAGTAAGGGTTAGGTAACCATACTAAGAAAATGCTAGTCCTTCCATTAGTTTTATTTAGAAGTTGGCTTATTTCACTAGCAACTTGATCACTCGGGGTATGCCTGAGAGGACTTAAAACAGATTTTTTTTTTTTCCAGATGGGGTCTCACTCTGTCGCCCAGGCTGGAGTGGAATGGCGTGATCTTGGCTCACTGCAGTCTTAACCTCCCAGGGTGCAGGTGATCCTCTCATCTCAGCCTCCTTCCTGAGTAGCTGGGACTACAGGCGCGCACCACCACACCCAGCTAATTTTTTGTAGAGATGGGGTTTTGCCATGTTGCCCAGGCTGGTCTCCAACTCTTGGAATCAAGCAATACGCCTGCTTCAGACTCCCCAAATGCTAGAATTACAGGTGTAAGCCACTGCACCTGACTGTCAGATATATTCTTTTTCTAATGGTATTAGGTATCTTCATTTGGCTGAAATTATTTAAATCCTTTGGAGGATCTATTACATAGCTGCCATTGTTTTGGCTTGCCCAGTATTCGTTTTCTGTCCCTCTAACGACCTGACACTTTTTCTGTGGGAAAAGGAACAGCTGATTCCCGTGCCCGTGATGGTGATACCTGCCCTGGCGCCTGTGCCAGAATTACATTCCAGGTGTTGCTGTTGCCTCCTGCGTGTGGAGTACCCTCCGAACCTAGTTTCCTAGCCCTCCTAGAGATAACTAAAGTTAATCATTTTTCTTTTTTAAGCTACCTTTAGTGGGTCCAATGTTTGCCACTCAGAACACAGTGTGATGCACTACCCTCAAGGAACTTACAAACTCAGTAGAAAGGAAGATTGGATAAGTCCAAAAATAATATTAAGTGCTTTATTGGCACTTCACATGCTTAGGACTGTGTCCACACAGCACAAAATGAAGCGGCAGGCTGGCAAGCATCCAGTTGCTTTAACAAATTTGGCAATGCATTGAAAACATAGGGCTACAATGTCGATCATAAGATTTCTGGAGAAGGGAACTCCACAACTTCCACTGGTAATTGGCTGCTAGCTGCTTCACAGACTCTGGCAATGGAGAAGTGAAGTCATTCTTTTCCCCCTCCATCTCTTTTGGTTCCTAAGAACTTTCCTTCTCAGCTCAAAGTGGGAATTTTGGACTGAGTGATGACAAAGATCCCAATACTAATTGCTTCTGGCTTAGTTTCATGGTTGGATTAATTTTAATTCCTTCTGTTTCCAAACCCTTCTGTGCTCCACACTGCACTTTGCATACATCTTTATTATAGAACAATTGCTGTTTATTGCAATTACCTGTATCCATGTCTGTCTCCTCCAGGGCAGGAGATATAACATATTCATCTTTCTAGCTCTAGCTTCTCTACCATATTCACTTTTGCTGTGTTGGGTATTATACTCATTTTGCATATTGTAATTACTGAAGAGATTTTTAAAAAAGACTTGTCTGTTTGCCCACTTTGGTCCTGCTAGAAGGTACTCCATCCCATGCTTGGGTTACAGTGATGAAGCAAGAAAGTCTGTCTCTGTCTCTTCTTTTTCTGAGACTCTTCCGGCCACTAACAGCCTCTCTGTACAGGCCTACCAATACTGTCCAGTCAGTAGTAGATTAAGGCAGCTCTAGGTTCTAATTAGCAGTGTTCTATCTTAACCTAGCTGCTTTTAAAACTGTATACAAAGTTTAGTGTACTCTTCTGCATGTATGTTACATTTTACAATCAAAAGAAGTGAAATAATGTACATTTAAAAATATGTCATCTCCTAAATGAGAAAAATGAGGCACAGAGATGTGGCCTGATGGCTGAATGTACAGCCAGGATTGAAGCTACAGTCATCAGAACTTTTGTGTTCCTAATAGCTCTCTGGGTTTCTTGAAGCCAGGAGGAGGGGAGAACATCAGGTTACAATTAAGAATCTCTCGGCTGGGTGCAGTGGCTCACGCCTGTAATCCCAGCACTTTGGGAGGCTGAGGCAGGTGGATCACCTGAGGTCAGGTGTTTGAGACCAGCCTGAACAACATGGTGAAACCCTGTCTCTACTAAAAATACAAAATTAGGTGGGCGTGGTGGAGGGCGCCTGTAATCCCAGCTACTTGGGAGGCTGAGGCAGAAAAATCCTTTGAACCCAGAAGGTGGAGGTTGCCGTGAGCCGAGATCAGGCCATTGCACTCCAGCCTGGGCAACAAGAACGAAACTCCATCTCAAGAATAATAATAATAATAATAATTACTCTGTTGAGGTCTGAGTGATAAAATGTCACCTGACACCAAAAGCACTGCAGTTTATGTCCCCACAGTAGAAAGAAGGGAAGGGCTGCCTGGTGATGGAGGGACAGACTGCCAGTGGGGCCCTTTCCCACTCACCCACACTCTACCAGTCATTTCACCATTTTTTGGTTTTGTTTTAGTAAAGACTCTGGTTAAAGTATACATACTCCTCAAAAGGGGTTATATATTAACCTACTATATTAGTTTTCCATTTCCATGTACAAATTATCTCCAAACTTAGTGGCTTAAACCAACAGGAAGCATTTGTTAAACCTCACAGGTTCTGTGGGTCAAGAATTCTGGAGTGGCTTCACTGGGTGATTCTGGCTTAGGATCTTTCAGAAGGTTACAGCCAAATGTCAGCTGGGCTGCAATTTGACTGGGCCTAAAGGATTCACTTCCAACGTGGTTCGCTTATGGCTGGCAGGTCAGTTCTCTCCATTTGAGTCTCTCTGTGGGGCTGCTTGAGTATCCTTGCAACATGGCTACTGGCTTCCTTCAAAACAAGCAATCTAAAAACCCAAGGTAAATGTTGCAATGCCTTTATGACCTAGCCTCTGAACTTGTATGCTATCACTTTGGAATGTTCTAGCAGTCACACAGGTCAGCTCTGATTTAGTGTGGAAGCGTCTGGACAAGGACCTGAAGATCTAGGATTGAGGATCACTAGGGGCCATCTGGGAGGCTGGCGACCACACCCACCTTTAGCTCCAATTTTAATTTCAAGTTAGCTCAGAAACAGGAGAAACATGGGGGTGGACTGAGGTATGGAGGGAGACTTTAAAGTGGCCCCATTGGGAGTGATAGACCCAAAAGCAAGCTTTATCAGCCTTTCCTTGCCCTAAAGGCAGCTTGAATCAGGAAGAAACAGCCTTTGAAGGAAGTTACAGACCTCAGAACACACCCTTGCCTAAAAAGTATAGATAATATGATTCTTCCTTTAAGGAAATTGGGTACAGCTGTGAAACTCTTGACAAATTTCATGATAATCACTGTTATCTGACTGGGCAGCAGTTTTAGTGGCTGCTGCCTCTACCAAGTTGCAGTGTACAATAGCAATGTGGTCTCCTCGTGACTTACTGTCTCTGTCTTCAGAATGTATTGAACAATATTAATTCATTGGTGGTTGTTTTGAAAAACAGGTTTGTCATTACAAATATGATATAGGTTGGGTGTGATGGCTCATGCCTATTATGTAATTCCAGCACTCTGGGAGGCTGATGCAGGAGGATGGCTTCAGCCCAGGAGTTCAAAACCAGCCTGGTCAACAAAGTGAGACCCTGTCTCTACAAAATATTAGAAAATTAGCCAGGTGTGGTGGTGTGTGCCTGTAATCCCTACTCAGGAGGCAGTGGCAGGAGGATCCCTTGAGCCCAGGAGGCTGAGGCTGCAGTGCACTGTGATTGCCTCACAGCACTCCAGTATGGGCAATAGAGGGAGACCGTGTCTAAATAAAGAAAGAAAGAAAAGAAAATAGAATAAAAACAAATATACAGTATACTTATTTCCATGTTCTATTTTGCTTTAAAATGTTTATTAGTATGTTTAAAAGCTGGTGTAAGATCCTCATAGATGCATTAATCAACACGTTCACTTGCTCATTTTTCTTTTAATTTTAGTTTTCAAAAATACCCAAAGGCTACATCCATTACAAGGTAATGGACTGCAAAATCTTATTTAATTGCAGTGAACATATTCACTGAAATTACAGAAAAGGAAAAATATGTAATTCAGTACTTCTATCAATTTAAAAGAATCAAAATAACCTCTGGTAATGAGCAAGAGAGTGATTCTCCATGCTCTCCCTCTCCATCTCTTCCTTCCTTCTCTCCTCACTGTAGCTTTGTGGATTTTAAGAAAGCAGGAGACCCTGGGCCAGAGCATCTTTTGTACTCAGAAGGCCCTGGAGACCTGTGGTTGAAAACTCCTGGGAGATGGATGTATCTAACACTCTCCTAGCTTGATTTTGATACAGGGCTTTAGAGTGACTCACCAATAGCAATTTCTAGAGCCTTCTGCAAACTGAGAATGCTTAGCCGCTTAATTGTGCCAGGGGATCCTTGGGCCATGAGCAGTTGCACTGTCTATGAGTTATTCTGTTGTGTTCTCTATTCATTTCTAAGGTGGCGTGAACCTTTTTTGAGGTGACTAACTATGGCCTTACTCAAACCAATGGTCTTATTTATGATTCGTGAATTGTCTTATTTTAATAAAATATTTTCCCAGGAATTTACAAGTAATAATTAAAAATAGATAAATCATACAAATTCAGGAATACTTTGTACACTCCAAATTTTCTAGCAGATCCTGATATCATTACAGATACAACTATATTTAATTCAATCTAAGAGGGTTACTTCAAACTGAATTTTCCTGCTGTCTACTTCTGGTTCCTCAGGGATCCTATAAAAAATCCAAGGAAATTCCTTGCTGATTGCAGAGATATTAGACTGCAACATATGGTCCACACATGTCATTAGTATTCCTCTAAAGAAAAATGCAAAGGATTATATTTAGAATACCGGGTATGTGTTCAGTGGTTTGAGGTGACCCAGGAGATTATTATATTCTTCTTGTGGAATTTTCTGTAGTTAAAAGATGAATCCAGAATTCTGACTGTCTGGTTTGGACACGAGTCTATCTGTAAGTTTTTGCAGGTGGGAGGCCTGCCAAATTTTCATTATTGGGTGGTGTCTTAAAATCTATTCATCCTCCTCTTAAGGAGAAGATTTTTCAAGTTTCAGAGTTTCTCAGATATATTTTAGAGGAGTCTTTAAAATATTTTATTTATGTTTTATTTTTTAGAGACAAGGTCTTGCTCTGTTACCCAGGTTGGAGTGCAGTGGTGTGTTCATAGCTCACTGAAGTCTCAAACTCCTGAGCTCATGTGATCCTACCACCTCAGCCTCCTGAGTGCCTGGGACCACAGGTTTGCACCACCATGCATGGCTAATTTTTTTTTTTTTTTTTTCGGAGACGGAATCTTGCTCTGTCACCCAGGATGGAGTGCAGTGGTGCAGTCTCGGTTCACTGCAACGTTTGCTTCCCGGGCTTAAGCAATTCTCTTGCCTCAGCCTCCTGAATTAATAGAGATGAGGTCTCACTATGTTGCCTAGACTGGTCTTGAACTCCTTGGCTCAAGCAATCCTCCTGCCTGGGCCTCCCAAAATGCTGGGATTACTGATGTGAGCTACTGTGCCTGGCCTAGAGGAGTCTTTCGACACAGGTACCTTCTAAAGTAAAAAATTAATTATTTATGAATTATATGTCATTGGCCCCCAAATAAAATGAGTTGAGCTTATAATAGTATTGCTAGTTTTGCATCTACCTTAAATAATTCTAAATTTCAATTCTTCTTGTCCTCATGCTTTTTTTTTTTTTTTTTTTTTTTTTTTACCAGAGTCTTGCTCTGTCGCCCAGGCTGGAGTGCAGTGGTGCAATCTTGGCTCACTGCAACCTCTGCCTCCCAGATTCAAGTGATTCTCCTGCCTCAGCCTCCCGAGTAGCTGGTATTACAGGCGCCCGCCACCATGCCCAGCTAATTTTTGTATTTTTAATACAGACAGGGTTTCACCATGTTAGCCAGGATGGTCTCGATTTCCTGACCTTGTGATCCGCCCGCCTCAGCCTCCCAAAGTGCTGGGATTACAGGTGTGAGCCACAGCTCCCAGCCACCGCAATTATATTTGACCATATATGATGGTAGAACTACAGAATGGGTATCTTAGTCCATTCCAGCTGCTAGACCAAAAGTGCCATAAACTGGGTGGCTTATAAACGACAGAAACTTAATGCTCACAGTCCTGAAGCCTGGGAAGTTCAAGATCAAGGAACTGGCAGACTGGTGACTGGTAAGAGTCCTCTTCCTCATAGGTGATGCCTTCCTTCCAGCTATGTCGTCACATGGTGGAAGTGGCAAAGAAGTTTCTCAGACCTCTTTTAAAAGGGATTAATCCCGGCCGGGCGCGGTGGCTCACGCCTGTAATCCCAGCACTTTGGGAGGCCGAGGCGGGCGGATCACGAGGTCAGGAGATCGAGACCATCCTGGGTAACACGGTGAAACCCCGTCTCTACTAAAAATACAAAAAATTAGCCGGGCGAGGTGGCGGGCGCCTGTAGTCCCAGCTACTCCGGAGGCTGAGGCAGGAGAATGGCGTGAACTCCAGGGGGCGGAGCCTGCAGTGAGCCGAGATTGCGCCACTGCACTCCAGCCTGGACGACAGCGAGACTCCGTCTCAAAAAAAAAAAAAAATAAAATAAAATAAAATAAAATAAAAGGGATTAATCCCATTCACATGGGCCTTGCCCTCACGGTTTAATCGCCTCCCAGTGGCCCTACCTTTTAATACTTTTACATTGGAGATCAGGTTTCAACATAGGAATTTGGTGGCGGGGAGGACAGGGGCACAGACATTGAGACCATAGCAATGGGATATGATTTCTGATGAAATTCTGACACTAGCTCAATCCTGGGAGGCCATGGCTGATAAGCCAGGATCACTTGCTACTTTGGTCCAAGGCCTTGGCTAATGAGGTCTTCTCAGAAACTCCACTGTATCTTCCCCATTTTCTAGTAAAAATGCCCTGTTCTGCAATATAAACTTGTTTTGCATGTATCCAACTTAAACCACTAAAGTCCTGAATAATGTAAAGCCTTCCAACAGGCTATATTTGGCCTTTTCACCTGAATATCCTACTCTCAACTCAAAATCAGCATCTCCTGCCCATTTCACCCCTCCAATAAACTTGGTGCCCTTCCCAAAATTGCCCGACTGCTGTCACTTGAGTGACAACTATTTCTCCTCACTTCTAGTCACTCAGGTGTGAACTGTGGGGTACTATACTTTTCTTCACTCTCTTAGACTGCTTCTTTTTAAGTTCTTTTATTTTTCTCTCAACAGTCTGTATTTGCTTTTCATTTTCCTCTTCATTTTCTTTTTTGTTTGTTTTTTGAGATGGAGTCTCACTCTGTCACATGGCTGGACTGCAATGGCACAATCTTGGCTCACTGCAACCTCCGCCTCCCAGGTTCAAGTGATTCTCTTGCCTCAGCCTCCTGAATAGCTGGGATTACAGGCATGCACCACCATGCCCGGCTAATTTTTAGATTTTTAGTAGAGATGGGGTTTCACTGTGTTGGCCAGGCTGGCCTCAAACTCCTTTCCTTAAGTGATCCGCCCACCTTGGCCTCCCAAAGTGCTGGGACTACAGGCATGAGCCACCACGCCCGGCCTCCATTTTCCTCTTCTTTAACATCACATGTGAAGTTTTAATTATAGCTATTTTCCACAACTTCATGTCCTCATCCAATTCAGCCTCAATCCCACTGCCAGTGATTCATCATAAGCCATCTTCTTCTCTCAATTTTGCTACTGTCCTGGACTCTAGGCATACTATAGCAAGCTTAATTTATTTTATTTCACTCTCAAGGGCCCCTTCTTGTAAGAATCTTCTCAATCTGTCTAGCCAGATTTCTCACTACTGCCAAAATAAATCTTTTACTTCAAAGTGAAGTTATTTTTTAAGATGGGATCTCATTGTGTCACCCAGGTTGTAGTGCAGAGTCATGGTCATAGCTCACTACAGCCTCCAACTCCTGGGCTCCAGGGATCCTCCCTCGTAGCTGGGACTATAGTCACATGCCACCACACTGGCTAATTTTTAAAGCACTTTGTGGAGATGGTGTCTTGCTATGTTGCCCAGGCTGGCTCAAACTCCTGGGCTCAAGCTGCCTCGGCCTCCCATGTTGCTGAATTTCAGGTGCGAGCCACTGCACCCAGCTTTAGCCAGGTGAATTTTCCATTGCCTTTTATTCATATTGAACTCTTACTTGATTCTAATTTTTTTTTTGAGGTGGGGTCTTGCTCTGTCGCCCAGGCTGGAGTGCAGTGGCAGGATCTCAGCTCACTGCAATCTCCACCTCCCGAGTTCAAGCGATTCTTCTGCCTCAGCCTCCCGAGTAGCTGGGATTACAGGCATGTGCCACCACACCTGGCTAATTTTTGTATTTTTAGTGGAGACAGGGTTTCACCATCTTGGCCAGGCTGGTCTTGAGTTCCTCACCTCGTGATTCACCCACCTTGGCCTCCCAAAATGCTGGGATTACAGGCGTGAGCCACCGTGCCCGGCCTGATTCTGATTTTTTTAAGGATTTTTTTTTCCTTTTGAAATATTCTTTTCCCAACCTTCCAAGTCCACAAATTGAGACCTCTGACTATCCTTTCTTACAGTAGTTTCTTCTTTCCATGCACTTCAAGTCAACAAAACAGATCAGAACCATAAAAATGTCTTCACATCCTTTGATCTAGTAATTTCAGTTCTGGAACTGTATCCTAAGAAATTAACAATTGACAAGTTAAAAAAAGCTCCTGTGCACAAAGTTTCTCCTCCCATCCAATATTATTGATGATAGTGTTGAAGAATTGGAAACAAATTACATATCCAATAATGGAAAGAGATAATTATCATACATCACTCTATGAAAATTTTGAATGCACTAAATGAATATGATAAAGACTATGTGATTCTATAAATTAAAAAAAGTAAGTTAACTCAAAAGTAGAAACAAGGTAATACTGTATTTGTATAGATACTTTAAGTAATGGAAATCTTAAACAAGCTTGATTATTCTGCTTTTAAAATTGTGAATAAAGATAATTTAACAGTAAATGTATTTCTGTCAAAAGAAAAACACATCCATAACTAGTTTTTTAAATAAATAAACTCAAAATTTGTTTAAAATATTTAAGATCTCTTATGTGCCTATAACATTCTAGTTACTTTATATGTCACTTAATCCTTACAGTCTACCTGGTGAGGCAGGGATTATTAGTTACATTGCATTAATGAAAAAAACAAAAAACAAACAAACAACAACAGCAAAGAAGTTAAATAATTTTCCCAGGATCACATAACTAGGAAATGATAGGTTCAAAATGTTCAGCTGATTCTGCTGCCTGACAATCTAATATGAAACGAATTTAAACACATCTTCATTCCTAGTGAAATGTCCATTGTTGATAACTTAATTATTAAGTAGGGTGACTATTATAAACCCCAAAAAGTAGAGGACAAGAGAAGGAGATAGAGAAAGAGTTTTAGAATTATTGACATGGACTTCTTTCTAAGATTAGTCAGAAACACTTGGTGAACAGGGTGCCTTCTGGGAGCTCTGGTTCACCATTTTAGCTTAAAGTTTATGATTCAGAGGTGATAATGGTAAAACTGTTCAAACCTTTGAGTGATTTGGTTAAGATATAACCTATCAACAAATTCAGACAGAAGATTAGATGCTACCATCTTACTGTAGACGAGCAGTTCAGCTTGGTACTTCATGACACTTTGGTCTCAAGTAATCTTTCAGCTCCAAAGGTAATTGCTTGTCCAGCTTGGGGGTATTTCTGGAATGGAATAGCTATGTTTTATGTATGGATCATAAGAATCTATGGGATTTTGGTAATCTTTGGCTGCAAATAACAGTTTGATCTGCAAAATAATCTTATTAATAAGCTAATTTTACTGAATTGATAGCACTGCTAACCACTTGGAAAAGAGTATTTTAGAGATCCATGCATTTTCCTCTGGGATTTAAAAATACAGATTCCTGATTGAAAAGAACAGGTGAAATATTGTTGAGGTTCTTCCATGCAATCCAAGTTGTGAGAGATGGCCTAGACACCATGGATAAAGTACTAGTGAGAATCTGGATCTCACAGTAATTCAGTTATTAGGTCAACCTTTCTTTATCCAAACTGTACTGTATTTTTCAGAGCTTACTGACAAATAAGTCATTAATCAAGGAGATAATGTTGTGCATGCCTAAGAGACCCAAAATTTATTTCACATTGCTGTGGGCAGAAAAAAGTTTGGTGGTCAATTTTGTTACTCACCAAACACCAGCAGATAATCCTCAGAACAATCCCTGAGGGTAGAGTGAATTGGGGATATAGTTCTTAGAGAGCCCTTTGTTGCTAGAGTGACCAAGATGGCCAAGGAAGGAGTGGGTATCTGTTGTGTGAGAGGAGGGTTGAGTTAAGAAGGTGGCACTGAAGCTCATGTACAGCCAACTCTTACCAAGGTAAAGGGAAATGGAGCTGCCTCTCTCCCTTCCCCTGCACACAATGCAGGCTTCCTGTTGCATTGTTTTGACTTCTTTTTGCTTTCAAGTCTCCCTACTGGGTGGGGAGGTAATAGAGAAATCTTAACTTTCCCAGAGATGATCCTAGATGTTGTTGCACACTTTGGAGAGGCAATGCACTAGTTAAAATGGGTGGTTTTGTGAAAACCTTTCCTTGGCACAAAGTGAGAAGTCCAAGGTTTGGGAGTGCCTCGTGTCCACCAGCACATCTTAGCACTGTTACTAACACCTTGTTAAATAATTCAGTTGTGAGGTATTTGGTAATGTGGCATTAAAATCCCAGACAATTTTTAAAAAATGAACAACTATTTAAAAATTATATATGAACTACTGTTTTTCAAAATGAATTTCTTCCTAATGGTATCACCATCTATATCTTCCGAAGTTTTTGAATTTATGTTTCATTACAGTTGGACAATCTATAAGTCCTGTTCAAGACAACCTATATTTTAGAGAGACTTATTAATATCACCATTTTATATATTCCTTTATTTTAAATTAGACACTTCTTTATTTTAATTTACAGTTCTTAATGTGAGCCGCTTCAGGGGGACAGGAAATTATAAAATTAGTAAAGGTGTGTGAAATGTCTAAGAGCGTTCACCTACTCTCCTATCTGAAAACCTTAACTCCGTGGTAGAGAGGAGAGGATTGAGTCTCTTTCTTTGTTTCTTCTTAAAAATCCTTTTAAGCCTACCTACACTCTCTTTTTCTATGAAAATTTAAAAACAGATATGGATTCTAAACATATTTTGAGAATTCTACTCATTTGGATCATTTTCAAGCTAGATAAATACTGATTCAACTTGGGTGTTTTCTTAGCTTATGTTTGCTAAAAAATAATGCAATATTTTACTTTTGCTATATATCACATGAGCAATGTATAGGTTATAGGCCTAAGTATGCTGTTTAGGGACTTTATTATGAAGAAATTTTGGTTTGTCCTGTCATATGGGTTGTAACATTGAATGCTGTTATTTTTAATAAAAGGATGACTTTTGTCTATCATTTTATTTCCTCTTCACTAGGATATAAGTAGAGTCAGATGACTTTCTTAAGACTGTGAAGAAAAAAGAAATATTATTCCATCAGTGACCTTTGGCAAGCAACTGATCTCTTGAACTATTCTTGTCTCTGGAGTGTTTGACCAAGAATTCTTGTGGTCAAGCCATCGACAATCCAAATGTCAAACAACAGTGTGGCCATTTTTCATCTCAAAATAAGTGTTTCTCCAATAAGATGATCAATTAGTCTTATTCACATTGCAACACACCTCTCTGTGTATTTTATGTCATACAAAGATCTCTATAGTCCTATTAGCTTCTTATTAAAAAAACCTCTTCATTTAGATTTCAGGCTATTAGAACACATAATCAATCCAAGCATACCTCATGTATGACCTATGTGTATTGACATTTTCATTATACCAATACATTCTACAAAGGTGGTATTATTTTTAAAAATTCTCTGTTTCTCAAGAATATGAACTGAAGTCTTTCACAGAAAATGTCACATACTTGATAAAAAATAAAGTTCTAGGAATGGTCTTTTTACTGAAATAAAACAAATTTTATTACAATTCCTTAGAATTCTTTTTTTTCACCTGGAAACAAGGCATTTCATGGAATGCTATATAAGAAGAAATTTGAAATTTGTCTTCTTTTTGCTAGAAAGACACTTAAGATACTATACTTTCTTCTAGAGAAAAGCCTAATATGGGAAATATTAGGTGTACATTTTGAGAAGAACTCTGACAGCATCACTCTGTATTACTTTTGGAAATTTTTGACTGCTCTTTGGGGTTGTGTGGATACAGATAAAACCACTACTTCAAATGCAGCCCGATTTAAAATATGAACTATGGAAAAAAATTCTTGTTAATGGTAACATCATCCACATTTACCCAAGTTTTGAAATTATTCTCTATTACAGTTGGGCAATTTATAAATCCTGTCTAAGAGGTACCTACATTTTAGAGAGGTCTATGAATACTATCATTTTAAAGGTGTCTTTATTTTATTTATTTTTTGAGACAGAGTCTCGCTCTGTTACCCAGGCTGGAGTGCAGTGGCTGATCTCGGCTCACTGCAAACTCTGCCTCCCGGTCTCAAGCAATTCTCCTGCCTCAGCCTTCTGAATAGCTAGGCTTACAGGCGCCCACCACCACACCTGGCTAATTTTTTTGTATTTTTAGTAGGGATGGGGTTTCGCCATGTTGGTCAGGATGGTCTTTAACTCCTGACTTCATGTGATCCGGCCACCTTGGCCTTCTAAAGTGCTGGGATTACAGGCGTAAGCCACCACGTCTGGCCTTCCTTATTTTAAATTAGTGGAATTTTGGACAGGCATGGTGGCTTATGCCTGGAATCCCAGCACTTTGGGAGGCCGAAGTGGGTGGATCACCTGAGGTCAGGAGTTTGAGACCAGCCTGACCGACATGGTGAAACTCCAACTAAACTAAAAATACAAAATTAGCTGGGCAGGGTGTCACGCACTTGTAATCCCAGCTGCTTGGGAGGCTGAGGCAGGAGAATTGCTTGAAGCCAGGAGGCTGAGGTTGCAGTGAGCTGAGATCATGCCATTGCACTCCGGCCTGGGTGACAGACCAAGACTCCATCTCAAAAAAATAAAAAATAAAAAATAAATAAATAACTAAATGGAATTTTTAAAGGCTCTTTCTGAGAATGTTACTGAATTTAAACTGTTTCAAATCCTTTTTGGAGGTGTAATAAAAATATATGACTAAATATATATGTATGGTTATATCTGTGTATAGTGAGAGAGAAAAATAATTCCATGTTCATGTCTTTCTTAACAGAAGTCAGAAATTTGAAACATTTAACATATTCGAAGCTGGTTTAAAATAATAAAATAATACTTTCTTATATTTGAAAGTGAAACAGCAGTTCCAAAGAGCATTATAAATAGAACAATCTTCATTGATTCACTGGTTTATTAATTCTTTCTTTCCTATGATGAGCCAGTGACAAGCACCTATTCTGGGCCAGGTATTGTAGGAGGCACTGGAGATACAAAGATAAATGGCAATCTGTGCCCTCCTGGAGATTTTTTCTTCCTGGAGTTTTAATGTTTAATTTCAACAGCGCTTTTATTAGGAAGGAAAGGCAAGAGAGGAGAGGAGGAAAATGTCTAAAAAAGGGATGGAAGCTTGAGTCAAAAGCTATTTGGCTTTCCTTGGGAGGTTCTGAACCTATTCCATTATTATAATTGTCTCACTTCTTTACTTTTCCAACTGAAGTGAAACATAGCCCTTTTCTCTCATATCAAGATAGGATTAATAATCAAAAGACAAGTATGTGGGACCTGGATTCAGATAGGTATGGGCAGAATGTTGATCCTGCTACCAACTCAATTGTACCTTTCTTTAATTTACATAATTAGCTTGTTTGTGTATTAGTTTCCTCATCACAGAATGGGAATAAAAATATCAGTTGGTCCTTGGTAAAGGCTGATTGTTTCCCCTTCTAGTTTCTTCTTTTCCCTTTGAGCACTGAATAGCATTGATTTGAAAATAAGGCTCCAAACAAAATGTAAAATAATTGAAACCTAAGAATTGTATCTTTCAAATGATGTAGCGTAATTGCTAATCTTTATGTTTTATAAGATGCTGGAGTAAAAGTGATGTCAAGGCCTGCTAAATCCTTGGTCTGGCTGTGAATTTTTGGCACTGATCCAGACTAAATATAGCAAGTCTTGCTTCTTGGGTCAATATAATTTCTAATCTCTAGGTTGAATGGGCAAACCTTCCCAGACAAGATTTAATTCACAAATCCATTTAGGTAGATACTGGATATATCTAACAATGCATCACCAAGTAATAACAGGTCATCAGCACTAGCTTGGCTAACTAAAAAGAAACTTGCATTAGGAATCCAGCAATCTCACTAACAAACCCTGCTGGGGATTGACTAAACATAACTGTTAATTGAAAAAAAAATTAAAATAGAGTATTATGGATATATTCTCCCACTGATAGTTGCACGTAATTTCCCTAAGTGTTAATGGAAGCTGCACAAATGCATCACTGGAAGAGTATACCTCTTAACAGCCACAGTCATCTGTCAGTCTTCCATTTTACAGACTCTTAAAGGTCGGTGGAAAAGGAAAGAAAATCTCATAGCATTTTCAAAGCTTTTTAAGCAAGAGAAGTCCTTTATACTTACCAGTTCACCACACCATAGCTTTAGCTTTAAAATGGCTAAACTGTTTGGAATCACAGTTTCTCATCCCTGGAGAATGGATTTTGCTCTTTATCTTTCTAGATAATGTTAATGGGATTTCATCTAACTTATTTTATGAAGGACAAGTTTTAAAAAGAGAGGCCTCTCTGATATACATGGGCATTAAAGCACTTCTTTTTTTTTTTTTTTTTTGGCCTAATCCAGAATGTCTCTAAATTGCAGGACTTAAAGAAAGCTGAGAGCAGGCTTTGTGCTCTCAGAGTTTTAGTAAAAGTTAAATGTCTTTGTTTTTCCATTCATTTTTCAATGAAATAAACAAGTCTATATTTTCCAATTTCTCCACTAACTGAAATCAATTTCTACAGTGCATGAAAGTTATTATCACAATTCAGTGTGAAAAGTCAATGAGAAATTTAAGACTGCTGTTTCTATGACCACTTCTAATGATCACCATGGCAGCTTAGACTGCTTAAACAATATTACTGTAAACCAGGCCGAAACCAATCCTTATCCATTTCTGTGCAACTTTTCCCAATGCAACAACCATTCAATCTGAGACTGAATAAGCTATACTTTAGCAATTTATTTGGCTTGTGGCTGCCATTAGTTCTCTATGATTGTCTTAGCAAATTACCATAAACTCAGTAGTTCAAAACAACCCAAATTTATTACCTTATAATTCTGGAAGTCAGAAGTCTGATTTGGGTCTCACTGGGCTAAAATCAATGTGTTGGCAGGGCTATGTTTCTTTCTAGAGGCGCTAGGGAGAATCTTTTTCCTTTTCTTCCCAACTTCCAGAAGCACCATACTCCTTGGCTTATGGTCCCCTTTCATCTTCAAAGCTAGCAACAGCTGGGCAAGTCCTTCTCACATCAAATCACTCAGACACTCATCTTCCACCTTCTGCTTCCACTTTTTTTTTTTTTTTATTAAGTCTCGCTCTGTCGCCCAGGCTGCAGTGCAGTGGCGCGATCTTGGCTCACTGCAACTTCCGCCTCCCGGGTTCAAGCGATTCTTCTGTCTCAGCCTCTCGAGTAGCTGGGACTACAGGTGCATGCCACCACACCTGGCTAATTTTTGTATTTGTATTTGTATTTTTTGAATTTCATTTTATTTATTTATTTTTTGAGATGGAGTCTCGCTCTGTCACCCAGGCTGGGGTGCAGTGGTGCGATCCTGGCTCACTGCAACCTCCGCCTCCCGGGTTCAAGCAATTCTCCTGCCTCAGCCTCCCGGGTAGCTGGGACTATAGGCACGTGCGACCACACCCGGCTAATTTCTGTATTTTTAGTAGTGACAACATGGGGTTTCACCATGTTGGCCAGGCTGGTCTTGAACTCCTGATCTTGTGCTTTGCCCACCTTGGCCTCCCAAAGTGCTGGGATTACAGGCCTGAGCCACTGTGCCCAGAAATTTCTGTATTTTTATTTATTTATTTATATTTATATTTATTTTATTTTATTTTATTTTTATTATACTTTAAGTTCTAGGGTACGTGTGCACCACATGCAGGTTTGATACATAGGTATACATAGGCCATGCTGGTTTGCTGCACCCATCAACCCATCATTTACATTAGGTATTTCTCCTGATGCTATCCCTCTCCCAGCCCCCCACGCCCTGACAGGCCCCAGTGTGTGATGGTTCCCTGCCCTGTGTCCAAGTGAGCTCATTGTTCAATTCCCACCTATGAGTAAGAACATGCGGTGTTTGGTTTTCTGTCCTTGTGATAGTTTGCTGAGAATGGTGGTTTCCAGCTTTATCCATGTCCCTGCAAACGACATGAACTCATCCTTTTTTATGGCTGCATAGTATTCCATGGTGTATATTTGCCACATTTTCTTAATCCAGTCTATCACTGATGGACATTTGGGTTGGTTCCAAGTCTTTGCTATTGTGAATAGTGCCACAATAAACATATGTGTGCATGTGTCTTTATAGCAGCATGATTTATAATCCTTTGGGTATATATCCAGGAATGGGATTGCTGGGTCAAATGGTATTTCTAGTTCTAGATCCTTGAGGGATTGCCACACTGTCTTCCACAATGGTTGAACTAATTTACACTCCCACCAACAGTGTAAAAGCATTCCTATTTCTCCACATCCTCTCCAGCATCTGTTGTTTCCTGAATTTTTAATGATTGCCATTCTAACTGGCGTGAGATATCTCATTGCAGTTTTGATTTGCAATTCTCTGATGACCAGGGATCATGAGCATTTTTTCACGTGTCTGTTGGCTGCATAGATGTCTTCTTTTGAGAAGTGTCTGTTCATATCCTTTGCTCACTTTTTGATGGGGTTGTTTGTTTTTTTCTCGTAAATTTGTCTGAGTTCTTTGTAGATTCTGGATATTAGCTCTTTGTCAGATGGGTAGATTGCAAAAATGTTCTCCCATTCTGTAGGTTGCCTGTTCACTCTGATGATAGTTTCTTTTGTGTGCAGAAGCTCTTTAGTTTAATTAGATCCCATTTGTCTATTTTGGCTTTTGTTGCCAATGCTTTTGGTGTTTTAGTCATGAAGTCCTTGTCCATGCCTATGTCCTGAATGGTATTGCCTAGGTTTTCTTCCAGATTTTTTATGGTTTTAGTTCTAACATTTCAGTCTTTAATTCATCTTGAATTAATTTTTGTATAAGGTGTAAGGAAGGAATCCAGTTTCAATTTTCTACATATGGCTAGCCAGTTTTCCCAGCACCGTTTATTAAATAGGGAATCCTTTCCCCATTTCTTGTTCTTGTCAGTTTTGTCAAAGATCAGATGGTTGTAGATGTGTGGTGTTATTTCTGAGGCCTCTGTTCTATTCCATTGGTCTATATATCTATTTTGGTACCAGTACCATGCTGTTTTTGTTACTGTAGCCTTGTAGTATAGTTTGAAGTCAGGTAGCATGAGGCCTCCAGCTTTGTTATTTTTGCTTAGGATTGTCTTGGCAATGTGGGCTCTTTTTTGGTTCCATATGAAGTTTAAAGTAGTTTTTCCCAATTCTGTGAAGAAGAAACTTTCTTTACAGAATACAGGTAGCTTGATGGGGATGGCATTGAATCTATAAATTACCTTGGGCACTATGGCCATTTTCATGATATTGATTCTTCCTATCCATGAGCATGAAATGTTCTTCCATTTGTTTGTGCCCTCTTTTATTTCATTGAGCAGTGGTTTGTAGTTCTCCTTGAAGAGGTCCTTCACATCCCTTGTAAGTTGAATTCCTAGGTATTTATTCTTTTTGTAGCAATGGGAGTTCACTCATGATTTGGCTCTGTGTTTGTCTGTTATTGGTGTATAGGAATGCTTGTGATTTTTGCACATTGATTTTGTATCCTGACACTTTGTGGAAGTTGCTTATCAGCTTAAGGAGATTTGGGGCTGAGACAGTGTGGTTTTCTAAATATACAATCATGTCATCTACGAACAGGGTCAATTTGACTTCCTCTTTTCCTAATTGAATACCCTTTATTTATTTCTCCTGCCCGATTGCCCTGGCCAGAACTTCCAACACTCTGTTGAATAGGAGTGGTGAGAGAGGGCATCTTTGTCTTGTGCTGGTTTTCAAAGGGAATGCTTTCAGTTTTTGCCCAATCAGTATGATATTGGCTGTGGGTTTGTCATAAATAGCTCCTATTATTTTGAGATACGTTCCATCAATACTTAGTTTATTGAGGTTTTTTTTTTAGCATGAAGGACTGTTGAATTTCGTTGAAGGCCTTTTCTGCATCTATTGAGATAATCATGTGGTTTTTGTCATTGGTTCTGTTTATGTGATGGATTACGTTTATTGATTTGTGTGTGTTGAACCAGCCTTGCATACCAAGGATGAAGCCGACTTGATCGTGGTGGATAAGCTTTTTGATGTGCTGCTGGATTCGGTTTGCCAGTATTTTATTGAGGATTTTTGCATTGATGTTTATCAGGCATATTGGTCTAAAATTCTCTTTTTTTGTTGTGTCTCTGCCAGGCTTTGGTATCAGGATGATGCTGGCCCCATAAAATGAGTTAGGGAGGATTCCCTCTTTTTCTATTGATTGGAATAATTTCAGAAGCAATGGTACCAGCTCCTCTTTGTACCTCTGGTAGAATTCGGCTGTGAATCTGTCTGGTCCTGGACTTTTTTGGTTGGTAGGCTATTAATTATTGCCCCAATTTCAGAGCCTGTTATTGGTCTATTCAGAGATTCAACTTCTTCCTGGTTTAGTCTTGGGAGGGTGTATGTGTCCAGGAATTTATCCATTTCTTCTAGATTTTCTAGTTTATTTGCGTAGCAGTGTTTATAGTATTCTCTGATGGTAGTTTGTATTTCTGTGGGATCGGTGGTAATATCCCCTTTATCACTTTTTATTGCATCTATTTGATTCTTCTCTCTTTTCTTCTTTATTAGTCTTGCTAGTGGTCTATCAATTTTGTTGATCTTTTCAAAAAACCAGCTCCTGGATTCATTGATTTTTGAAGGGTTTTTGTATCTGTATCTCCTTCTGTTCTGCTCTGATCTTAGTTATTTCTTGCCTTCCGCTAGCTTTTGAATGTGTTTGCTCCTGCTTCTCTAGTTCTTTTAATTGTGATGTTAGGGTGTGGATTTTAGATCTTTCCTGCTTTCTCTTGTGGGCATTTAGTGCTATAAATTTCCCTCTACACACTGCTCTACATGTGTCCCAGAGATTCTGGTACGTTGTGTTATTGTTCTCATTGGTTTCAAAGAACACCTTTATTTTTGCATTCATTTCATTATTTACCCAGTAGTCATCCAGGAGCAAGTTGTTCAGTTTCCATGTAGTTGTGCAGTTTTCAGTGAGTTTCTTAATCCTGAGTTCTAATTTGATTGCACTGTGGTCTGAGAGACAGTTTGTTGTGATTTCAGTTCTTTTACATTTGAGGAGGAATGCTTTACTTCCAATTATGTGGTCAATTTTATAATAAGTACGAGGTGGTGCTGAGAAGAATATATATTCTGTTGACTTGGGGTGCACAGTTCTATAGATGTCTATTAAGTCTGCTTGGTGCAGAGCTTAATAGACAGTGCGAGGTGGTGCTGAGAAGAATGTATATTCTGTTGATTTGGAGTGGAGAGTTCTGTAGATGTCTATTAAGTCTGCTTGGTGCTGAGCTGAGTTCAATATCCTTGTTAATCTTCTGTCTCGTTGATCTGTCTAATATTGACAGTGGGGTGTTAGAGTCTCCCATTATTATTGTGTGGGAGTCTAAATCTCTTTGTAGGTCTCTAAGGACTTGCTTTAAGATTCTGGGTGCTCCTGTATTGGGTGCATATATATTTAGGATCATTAGCTCTTCTTGTTGAATTGATCCCTTTACCATTATGTAATGGCCTTCTTTGTCTCTTTTGATCTTTGCTGGTTTAAAGTGTGTTTTATCAGAGACCAGGATTGCAACCCCTGCTTTTTTTTTGCATTCCATTTGCTTGGTAGATCTTCCCCCATCCCTTTATTTTGAGCCTATGTGCATCTTTGCATGTGAGTTGGGTCTCCTGAATACAGCACACTGATGGGTCTTGACTCTTTATCCAATTTGCCAGTCTGTGTCTTTTAATTGGGGCATTTAGCCTATTTACATTAAAGGTTACTATTGTTATGTGTGAGTTTGATCCGGTCGTTATGATATTAGCTGGTTATTTTGCCTGTTAATTGATGCAGTTTCTTCATATCATCAATGGTCTTTACAATTTGGCATGTTTTTGCAGTGGCTGATACTGGTTGTTTTCTTTCCATGTTTAGTGCTTCCTTCAGGATCTTGTAAGGCAGGTCTGGTGGTGACAAAAATCTCTCAACATTTGCTTGTCTGTAAAGGATTTTATTTCTCCTTCACTTATGAAGCTTAGTTTGGCTGGATATGAAATTCTGTGTTGAAAATTCTTTTCTTTAACAATGTTGAATATTGGCCCCCAGTCTCTTCTGGCTTGTAGGGTTTCTGCCGAGAGATCTGCTGTTAGTCTGATGGGCCTCCCTTTATGGGTAACTCGACCTTTCTCTCTGGCTGCCCTTAACATCTTTTCCTTCATTTCAACCTTGGTGAATCTGACAATTGTGTGTGTTGGGGTTGCTCTTGTTGAGGAGTATCTTTGTGGTGTTCTCTGTATTTCCTGAATTTGAATGTTGGCCTACCTTGCTAGGTTGGGGAAGTTCTCCTGAATAATATCCTGAAGAGTGTTTTCCAACTTGTTTCCATTCTTATCACTTTCAGGTACACCAATCAAACACATATTTGGTCTTTTCACATAGTCCCATATTTCTTGGAGGCTTTGTTTGTTTCTTTTTACTCTTTTTTCTCTAACCTTGTCTTCTCACTTTATTTCATTAATTTGATCTTCAATCACCGATACCCTTTCTTCCACTTGATTGAATCAGCTATTGAAGCTTGTGCATGCATCACAGAGTTCTCATGCCATGGTTTTCAGCTCCGTCACGTCATTTAAGGTCTTCTCTACACTGTTTATTCTAGTTAGCCATTCGTCTAACCTTTTTTCAAGGTTTTTAGCTTCCTTGCGATGGATTTGAACATGCTCCTTTAGCTCAAAGAAGTTTCTTATTACCGACCTTCTGAAGCCAACTTCTGTCAACTTGTCAAAGTCATTCTCCGTCCAGCTTTGTTCTGTTGCTGGCGAGGAGCTGTGATCCTTTGGAGGAGAAGAGGTGCTCTGATTTTTAGAATTTTCACCTTTTCTGCTCTGGTTTCTCCCCATCTTTGTGGGTTTATCTACCTTTGGTCTTTGATATTGGTGACCTACAGATGGGGTTTTGGTGTGGATGTCCTTTTTGTTGATGTTGATGCTATTCCTTTCTGTTTGTTAGTTTTCCTTCTAACAGTCAGGTCCCTCAGCTGCAGGTCTGTTGGAGTTTGCTGGAGGTCCACCCCAGACCCTGTTTGCCTGGGTATCACCAGTGGAGGCTCAGTTGGAAATGCAGAAATCACCTGTCTTCTGCATCGATCACGCTGGGAGCTGCAGACCAGAGCTGTTCCTATTCAGCCATCTTGGAACAGATCTCCTCTGCATTTACTTTTAATGTATCTGATGCTTAACCCCTGACCAAGTGGACACATGAAATAAACTGTCTTCCTTGGGTAAGAAGAAGAGTTTGAACAGAAGCCATGTCTTACAGCAGTGAGGCCAGATACTGGATTCCTGTCAATTTTTGTATTTTTAATAGAGATGGAGTTTCACCATATTGGTCAGGCTGGCCTCAAACTCCTGACCTCAGGTGATCCACTCGCCTTGGCCTCCCATAGTGCTGGGATTACAGGCATGAGCCACTGCGCCTGGCCTGCTTCTACTTTTAAGGACCCTTGTGATTCTTGGATAATCCAGAATAACCTCTCTATTTTAGGTTTAGCTGATTAGCAACCATAATTCCATCTGCAATCTGAATTCCTTTTGCCCAGCAACATAACATATTCACGAATTCTGAAGATTAGGACATGGACATTGCCTACCACAAGGCAGAAAAAAAAATCTTCCCATGCTCCCATTAAACAACAACCACCTCCCCAAACAAAAAACAACAACAAAAAAGGCAATCCATTTCTCTTTTTCAGGAGAGTGAAATGAAAACCCTTCTTAGCTGGACAGATTTGTCATTTGGTTTGAGGATTGGGAGCAAATGTTTTTGAATCACAAACTCCAAGTGAGCCTTGTCTAGCTTGGGGAAAGTTCCCAGATTTGTGACAGTCACAGAAGCAGAATTGAGGTTTGAGTCCTTTGGGGGCTCACTTCATGTTTCAAATAGTAAACTGAGGCCAGGCTCAGTGGCTCACGCCTGTAATCTCAGCACTTTGGGAGGCTGAGATGGGCAGATCACCTAAGGTCAGGAATTCGAGGCCATCCTGGCCAACATGGTGAAACATCGTCTCTACTAAAAATAAAAATTAAAAAATAAAATAGCTGGGCTTGGTGGCACATGCCCGTAATCCCAGCTACCTGGGAGGCTGAGGCAGGAGAATCGCTTGAACCTGGGAGGTGGAGGTTTCAATGAGCCAAGATTGAGCCAATGCACTGCAGCCTGGTCGACAGGGCGAGGCTCCATCTCAAAAAAAAAAAAAAAGTAAACTGAGGCAAACAATAACTTTCTTGCAGTTGTCTGAAGAGAATAGTTGAAAGATGTACCATTGTAATCTGAACTGGGTGGAAGAGAGCTGGACAGGCTTCCCCTTTCCTCAAAGCATAGATTGCAATCCCCTGTTGGAGACATGAAGACATTAACTACAGTACTGACAGACCCTGGGTGGGTAATTTCACAGACAGTGGTTTTTACTGGTATCTGGGGCATAATTAGATACTAACACCCCATCATTGATGCATCTTTTTCTTTTTCTTTCTGACTATTTTGGAGGAGGGGATCAACTTTGTCTCTCCCATTCTTCTTCCCACATCCCTGCACATGTTTTTTGTCTGTCAGGGATACCTAGTACCTCCCCGTGAAAAGGTATAAGTTACCGTTCTGTAAAATGTGTGCAGCTTTTATAGTAGAATTCTATGTAGCTGTGATGAACTGCCAGATTGGGCTTGGCTAGAATTGTTTTTCTTTATTGCCTTTTAATTCTCCCTCTGATCCTTTAAAAAATATAATAGGTCTTTCCTAAGTCAAAAGATTCAAAGACATGCTGGTCAACCACAAGACATAAGGAAATCTTTTAGGATTTGTAGAGTTAGGGGAGGAAAAGATTCTATTTCTAGGTAACAGTAGCAATCTGTTTCTGCACTCCTCCACTCCTCAGCCTCCACCTCCATTGCAGCCCTTTCAGAAAAGGCCCCAACGGGCCTCTTTACATGCCTAGAAGCATAAACTTTGCAATATCAAAACGCTTCTGATGATAATCGCTCCTGCTGATACTCACACGAAAAGGATTTGCTAAATCCTATTCCCAAAGAATAATGGGTCATGAGTTGATTTTAGATCCTGCTGGATGATCAGAAGAACAGCTCTGTGTGTGTGTGTGTTTGTGTGTGTCTGTGTGCATGTGTGTGTGTGTGTATTGGAGACAGGGTCTTGGTCTGTTGCCTAAGCTGGAATGCAGTGGCCAGATCACTTCTCACTGCAGCCTCAACTTCATGGGCTCAAGTGGTCCTCCCACTTCAGCCTCCCATGTAGCTGTGACCACTGTGCCCAGCTAATTTTTAAATTTTTTGTAGAAATGGAGTGTTACTTTGTTGCCCAGGCTTATTTCAAACTCCTGGCCTCCAGCCATCCTCCCATTTCCGCCTTCCAAAGTGTTGGGATTACACACATGAGCCACCATGCCCAGCCCAAGAGCTCTTATTTCATCCTTTTATTTTATTTATTTCTGATGACTATTGTGGTGGGCAGCCTTTAAAACAGTCCCAATGATCCCTGATTTCTTGAGTATGGGCTGGACCTAGTAATTTGCTTCTAACCAACAGAATAAGGCAGAAGTAATGAGATTTTGGTTCCGAGACTGGGCTACAGAAAGACTTTGGTTTCCATCATACTTGCCCTTGATTGCTCTTTCATGTGTTTGCTTTGATGAAAAAAGGGCTGCCATGTTTTGAGCTGCCCTATGGAGAGGCCATGTGACAAAGAACTGAGGTAGGCTTCCAAGTGACAGCCAGGGAGGAACCCCAGCTCTCGCTATGACAGCTGCAGAGGAACTGAATCCTGTCAACAACCATTAGAAGTGAATCTTCCCTTAGTCAAGACTTGAGCTGACTGCAGTCATGAGGCTATTAGAGCTGGCAAAGCTTATGCCTAGATTCCACCCACAAAATCTGTGAGAAAATTCATGCTTGTTGTCTTAAGCTTCTAAGTTTCGGGGTAATTTGTTCCATAACAATAGATAACTAACACAACAATGAAGTTTAACATTAAAGTTTGGAAAACAGAGGGGAAAAAATCACCCATAATTTTACCACTGAATCACAAACACTGCTTTAGTTTTTGCATGTTTTATTTCAGTCTGCACACATATTCACACATATATTTACACTGTAAGCATAATGTGAATAAAATTTTGCATCCTATCTTTTATTTAACATTAAGCCATAAGTATTTCCATGTTGCTACAAAAATCTTCATAATTATAATTTTTAATGGCTGCATAATACTCTCTCAAGTGAAGGTACTATAAAATAGCTAATTTCCTCATTCTCTTTGGGCATTTCAGTTACTTCCCATATTTCATTTGAAATTAAATATAATGTTGCAATCAGAATCTTTGTTTATATGGTACTTTCCTTTTTATCCTCTCCATTTCAATTTCTCCCATGCCATTCTCTTCCTTGGTAATTGCTGTAATAACTCCTCAGATAATCCTCCGTGGTCAATGGATAGCAAAATTTGGGTCAGATCATATCCAAAGCTATCTTTGTTTTTCTCCTCTTTAAGTATTAGCTTAGACAGCTATTCATTTTATATTGAAAATTGTCGTGCCCAAATATATGGCAATATCGAACTTAAGAAAAATTCCATCTCCCCAATAAGAAGATAAATTTTCAAAGTTTTTAACCAGCTTGAATATACAGTTTTATACATGGAAACAAAGTAGGTATTAGATATTTATGATATTTAATTTCATCATTAATTTTAAAGCAACCTTGCAAAGTCACTTTATTTGTTTTACATAATGCTTTCTTTTTTGTTCCTGTTGATTCTTACAAATTATTGCGGTCCTTACTGTGGTAAAATATGCCTAATATAAATTTTGTCATTTTAACCATTTTTAAGTGTACAGTTCGATGGTATTAAGTACATTTACATTGTTGTGCGACTATCTTCATCTAACATCAGTGATACTGTTTTTCTTTTAGGTTAGGAAAAATGCTCCTGAGTGTGATTATAGGGTCAGAGGGTTTAAATCACATGCCTGTTAACTTTTAAAATTCAAGCAAATTGTAGTGTCTAAGAGCATGGGCTATAGAGTTAGACACACCTGGATTTGAGTCCTGAATCTGAGTAATATTTTACAACTGTGGGGAAGTTACCCAACTTTCTAAGCCTCATATTCCTCTTCTACAAAGTGGGGATAATAATTACACTTAATAGTACCTATTAATAATGGCATAAAATTACATGTGCAAACTACTTAGTAAGGTTCCTGCCACATAGTCAACACTAATTATTTATTAGTAATTTGTAAACATATGTAATATATAAACACTGATTAACTAATCATTGTCATCATCATCACAATCACAATCCTATAGAATAGGTTGTTTTTTGAATAATGCAGCTCCTGGCATTTTACTGTCTCTGGCATATACTGCAATGCAAGGAGATTTAGAACAATATTTGTGAGCAGCGTTTGTGTTTTGAACAAGTTGTAATAAAATTATCACTGGGATGATTCAACACAAATTTGGAGGATCAGCTTTTTGCAGAGCTAAACAATAACTACAACAGACATAGAATTAAACCACAACACAGTATTCACAGTACACCACAAGGCAGACCTCAATATGAAATGAAGCACGGTGGGAAAGAAGAGAAAATGAGAGAGAGAGAGAGAGAGAGAGAAGAAATGAATAGAAAGAGAATCAAGGAAGCACCTGGTAGTTATGCTATAAAGGAAAGTGATTGAAGAAAAAAAGGAGGATGATACATATTCAAGTGCTGCAACTATCCTCACAATACTCTCAAGAGATAGTAAGCAGTAGATAAACAAGCCTAAATGCAGAAAACTTACTTTTCTCAGCCTCACACAGCAAATTACTGGCAGAAATGGGATTAGAATGTAGGGTCTTGCTTCCCTAATTCTATTTGCTTTTGGTTCACTGTATTAGTCTGATTAAGGATTAATTCTAAAAGGAGGTCTTTTTCACTTGAAATGAGTGGGGTTTTACAGACACAGATTCTTGGAGAATGGATAAAGCATAGCTGTGCTGGAGAGCTTCCATTTGCCCCTGAGATCCACTCTCACCACTGTCCATCTTGCTCTCTGCACCAGTCTCATCTGGACAGACTCCATCAAAGGGTTCCCTTGCCCTCCAACTTCCTGTGAGTATTACCAAGTAAGACTGGTGGGAGGAGAGTACTTATTCTTCTGTTTCCTCTCTGAGAGGTTTCATCAGCTTGGTGCCTTGGCTCCCATCTGGTGGTCCTCTGCACGTAGCCTCTCTCTCTTCAGGTTCCAGCAATTTCTCTATTCCCTTGCATATATTTCAGGGTGGCAACAGTCCTAGGGTACTGCAGTGCTATCCATTGTTGATTCTCTATAGCCTGCTCACACCCTCGTAAACAGTGCCCTTACCAAATTCTCCTTAAATTATCCATTTTTAGTGTGCCATCTGTTTTCCACTGGGACTTTGAGTGATACACAAACTTTATTGTCACAAACCAGAACTTTTGGGAAAGAAAGAGGGGGCATCTTGGCCAAAGAAGGATCTGGTTTCTCATTACTCCAGACTGGGTTTGGCAGATGCTAATGCTAAAGGGAGATAAGTTATTCCAACAGCTATGAGTCAAAGAAAACTGGGCTGGGTGTGGTGGTTTACACCTGTAATCCCAGCACTTTGAGAGGCCGAGGCAGGAGGATTGCTGGAGCCCAGGAGCTTGAGACCAGCCTGGCCAACATAAGGAGACCCTGTCTCTACAAAAGAAAAGAAAAATAGCTGGGCATAGTGGCATGCTCCTGTAGTCCCAGCTACTCAGGGGGCTGAAATGGGAGGATTGCTTGAGCACAGGAGGTCAAGGCTGCAGTGTGCCATGATTGTGCCACTGTCCTGTCTCAAAAAACAAAAAACAAAAAGGTAAACCAGATCCTTCCACTTCCAGTCAAACATGAAGGGACATTTCCATTAGCTTCAGCATATCATGAGAAGAGACCTGGGCTGTGCAGTGAACTTTTGTCCTGGGCTGTCCTGGGGAGATGACTGTTACATTCCTCCTCTGAGTATAGCTTGGACCCTTATCAAGAGTGGCTAGGCAATCTGGGGCTGAGCTGTCCAGACGTCTACTGATTCTTAAAAATTATGTAGCTAAATGTCAACCAAATCCTCACTTTTCAAGCCTATCATTCACACCTAAATTACAGTATTATAATCAAGCTTTGCATTTGTCTTAGTCTCCTTTGTGTTGCTATAACAAAACACCTGGGGCTGAATAATTTATGAAGAAAAGAGGTTTCTTTAGCTCAGGGGTCTGCAGGTTGGGAAGTTCAAGGGGCATGGTACCAGCATCTGCTCAGCTTCTGTCTCATGCTGCTTCCATTCATGGCAGAAAGCAGAATCAAGGCAGGCATGTGCAAAGAGATCAAACAGCAAGAGAGGTAGCAAGAGAGAGAAACTGAGGGAGCCATACTCTTTTTAACAGTTCGCTGTCTCAGAAACTAATCCATTCCCATAAGAGTGAGGACTCACTCAACCCTTTGGTACGGAATTAATCAATTCATGAGAGACCTGCTCCCAGGACCTAAATACCTCCCACTAGGCCCTACCTACCAACATTGGCACATTGGGGATCAAATTTCAACACGAGTTTTGGTGGGTACAAACCACACCCAAACCAAAGCAGTATCTAAGGCGTTCAGGCTTTGAATTCTTTAACGAACAGTCTAGTGACCAAAGAAAGTGTTTTTACGTGTCATTTGTTTGGAGATCCCCAGACTCCAGATAAGAGATTGTCCTGAGAAACCCTACAAAGATACCACTGTTGTTCTATATGGGAAAGATAGCCTTGACATTGGAGCTGGGGCATTTGCCACTTTATGTCCTCTCTTGAGAATGCTTTATACATTTGATGGGGCAGAGTCAAGACCCCAAAGTCAGGCTCCAGCCAGCTGAGAGAACTTCTTCTATTCTGCAGGTAATGGGAAAGACCAACGCTAATCTCACTTTTGTTTGTTTGTTTTGTTTTTGAGATGGAGTCTCACTCTTTCACCCAGGCTAGAGTGCGTGGTGCGATGTTGGCTTACTGCAACCTCAACCTCCTGGGTTCAAGTGATTCTCCTGCCTCAGCCTCCCGAGGAGGTGGGACTACAGGCATGCACCACCACATCCGGCTAATTTAGTATTTTTAGTAGAGATGGGGGTTACACCATGTTGCCCAGGCTGGTCTCGAACTCCTGACCTCAGGTGACCCGCCCACCTTGGCCTCCCACAGTGCTGGGATTACAGGCATGAGCTACTGCACTTGGCCTAATCTCACTTTTAAACCCACTGACTGTCTACTTAGCTGTCTTGCTTTCTATAACTGCTTTTAGCTTTAATTGTCTACTTCTCTCTTTGGTACATAACTATGTAGAGGCTTCCTTGTATTGTTACTTCAATGGCTCATGTTTATTCATTTTTGGTATTTATTGAGTGGGCAGGAACTGGGTTATTATGAGCAGTTGTAATATGATGAATACAGACCCTACTCTCATAGAGCTTACAGTCTAAGAGAGGTCAGGGATACATGAAGAGATCATTATATGTGTTCGTTCCTTGTTTTGCCAACTTCCTCATAAGGATAGGGCAGGACTCGTATCTATTATTTTGCATCCTTTGAGTACCAAGCATATAGACAATATTCAGTAAATACTTTTTATGTTTCCTGTTAGTAAGTCAGAGTTTGTTACTCTGTCTGCCATGGTGTCAAAGGCATCACAGGTACCTAGCCTCAAAGTAAAGAAGGAAATGAGATTGGGAATAATGCCTGCTTAGCTCTCTGTACACTCTGAAACAGCTGTCAAATCAGACTGTATAGCTCCAGATGTCTGATAGACTGGGCCAGCTCCTGCATTCCAGTCCTTCTTCCTGGGGGCTCAGATGCTCCCGTTCTTGGTGAGCCACCCTACCCCATTGTGAAAACCCTTTTCAAATAAGGAAAAGACCAAAGAGGAAAGAACAGGGAGCTCTGTGGCTAAACTGGCTTCAACTCTCAGGGTTGAGAAACCGTTTTCCAACCCACCTCATTAAAGAGAGTGGGAAAGTAAAGACTTTATCTGAGGCTCACTGGAGTTCAGTCACAAACTATTGTTTTAGTTTTCTTGCTAAATTCTTGATATCTATTGCCACTGGCTGATATATTTTACCATTGCTCTCTTAGGAACTAAAGTGCCCAGTAATTCAAACAAGTATATTTTGAGATTGTTTGGGAGTGGTTCTCTTCAATTACTAATTTAATTTCCAACACTCCTGGTCTTTTTTACTTTGAGTTAAAGTGAATGTTATTTATGCATCAGGATTTTCATGATGGAAATAGTTCTGTGCAGGGAAACTGAGTAGTTTAAAATGGACAGTAGACCTTATATTGGTCACCATCACTTGGTATTAATGTCATCTCATCCATCTAGGTACCCAAAAATTCAAATTAAAAAGTTACACCAATTAAAGCATGGTAATTTTGTCCATAACTTTCTTCAAAACTTTTATTTTTATATAGTTATCTATTTAGGTGCTTTATTTTTGTTTCAGCCAGCATGTTCTTCTCACATTTGTAGCAATTTGCTCATGATCTTAGGTCTTCTTTTTAATTTTCAGGCCATTGGAACATCCTTCTCACTTGTGTCTGGAAGGCACTCGGTAATGCCCCCTCCCCACCAGCGCTTACTCTGCTGCTGGACTAAGTCCTAAACCGTTTTTGTAGACCCAGTCTGGCGTTCCCCCATCTGTCTGAGACTCTCTCTGCTGGTGACTCTATAACTCATTTGTCCATCGAGTTCTCACCTTGTCATTTGGATTGGAAGGACACCAGTAGTCTTCAGGTTATAACTTCAGCATCATCTCCTGGCTCCCCCATTCTAGCAATTCCTTAATGTCATCTCAGGACATGCTCTCCCATGTTCCACTTAGAAGGAGACATGATGCTCCCTCCCATCAGACTTGATACAGGTTTGAGGTGGTACTCAGATGCTCTGTTCCTTAATTCAATTTAATTAATTTATTTATTTTGCTAATTAAACATTGATTTGTGGAAGCTGGTGAAATGGGTAGGACCAGAAACCAATCCAGAGGTGGGCTCAGTGCTGAGTGCTCTAGATAAGCCAAACTCAAAGTCTTAGCAGAATTAGAATATGCATTGACAGAAAACCAATAACTGCTATTTACAGCTATTACTTTAATATTTGTTGCTCTTATATTGTTTAAGTCATTTTTATAACAAAGATGAATTAACTGAACTGTGAAAAACATAATATTCCTTAAGGATTCTCTAGCCAAAGGAGCAATAAATTTCAAGGTAGAGAAAAAAGAATAAGTATTAAGACTGCATTCACCAGCAGGGCGCAGTGGCTCACGCCTGTAATCCCAGCTCTTTGGGAGGCCAAGATGGGCGGATCACGAGGTCAGGAGATCGAGACCATCCTGGCTAACATGGTGAAACTCCGTCTCTACTAAAAATACAAAAAATTAGCCGGGCGTGGTGGCGGGCGCCTGTAGTCCCAGCTACTCAGGAGGCTGAGGCAGGAGAATGGCGCGAACTCGGGAGGCAGAGCTTGCAGTGAGCCAAGATCGCCCCACTGCACTCCAGCCTGGGCGACAGAGCAAGACTCCGTCTCAAAGAAAAAAAAAAAAAGACTGCATTCATCTAGGCAGAATGAACCAGGAATCTATAATAAATTATCAGTTAGAATTAGGTTTAGCTGCAAGTAACAGAGACACAAAAAGTAATATAGTGACTTTAACAAGATGGAGTTGCACTTTTCTTTCATCTAAAAGTCTATAAGTCAGCCGGGCGCCGTGACTAAGCCTATAATCCCAGCACTTTGGGAGGCCCATGTGGTCAGATCACCTGAGGTCAGGAGTTCGAGACCAGCCTGGCCAACATGGTGAAACCCCATGTTGTCTCTACTAAAAATACAAAATTAGCCAAGTGTGGTGGCGCATGCTTGTAGTCCCAGCTACTCAAGAGGCTGAGGCAGGAGAATTGCTTGAACCCTGGAGACAGAGGTTGCAGTAAGCTGAGATCGTGCCACTGCACTCCAGTTTGGGTGACAGAGCAAGACTGCCTCAAAAAAAAAAAAAAAAAGTCTAGAAGTAGGCAGTCTTTGAAATCATCAGGGATTCAAACTTCTGTCTTTTTGTTTTCCTGTCTTTGATGTTCCATCTCATAGTCCAAAGTGGCTGCTAAAGTTCCAGCGATTACATGTGCATTGCAGCTAACAGGAAGGGATATTATATAAAGCTTAGTCATGTGGTGATACCTAGCTGGGAAATGTCTTTATTCCAGGTGACTAAATTTGTTCTGGTGGGGTTTATTCCAGGTTGCTCAGCTAAAAATCAGTATTATTGCAAGGAAGAAGGAAAGAATAAATGTTGGGGAATAGATAAATATGATGTAACTGGGAACTATTGGGAATAAAGTATCCATGAGAATTTAATGAAATCAAGTCTCAAAAAGTTTGTCTTTCCACGTTAAATACATAATTTAAGATATACATTAAACCATTTTCAGGAAGAGTTTTCTAATAAAGCTAAAAGCACCACTCTCAAGAACCTGGTGTCAGAAGCACATCACAATTGATCACTCTTAATGTAGGTGTTAGGAATGAAGAAGAGCGAGTGAATGTTGAAAACAAAGGGCCTCAGAGACTTATGGATAAATGGACTCTGGAAGGATAACAGCAGCCTGCCACGACTTGAGGAATGATTTTGATCATTGTCAGTGGAGTTACTCTGAATCACAGATTTGGGACTTAGGGAGTTTTATTTTAGTCTCATTCTCCTAAACAGCCTTTCTGTACTTGGCTTTAAAAATCAGAGAAAGAAATTTCAGCTCCAAAGGACAATAGTTTTTTTCAAAGGGGCATTTCTTCCTCTAAAATGAGTCAGTTGCAATCCTGACTTGCCATTTCCTGCAGCAATAATATAACCAGTGGTGCTCTAAGTTAACTTAATGGACTTACCTCACTATTAGGGAGTGATTTATGTACCGCAAAGAATAGAGTTCACTTTGTGTGAAGAAAAAAAACAAAACCCAAAGAACTTTCCACATAAACCAGCCCTCACCATCATATTTTGGCCCATTTATTCCCTCTGGAGGATGATTAGACCTAAACCCCTGGCAGGTGGGGACTCTTTTTCACTGGGTGTCCTCAGTGTCTAGCACAGTGGTCCTCATAAAGCTGGCTCTCCAAAAATATTTGTTGAAACAATCTGAAAATGGTTCATAGAGACAATGACAAAAAGCACAAAATAAAAATTAATAACACAGCTTTTTGTTGGTCTTAAATCATTTCTAGTAGCTCTAAGATAAAATGAATTCATAATAAGATGGTACTGATACTGAGAAGTCTTGAGTGTAAAGAAGTGATGAAGGAAAAATATTTATTTGACAACTGCCCTTCAGTGTGAAAAATCCATAGCTGTAAACCACAATGAAGCAAAGAAAACCTAATCTGTAAGAGCTTAAGCATTTTACCATACTAGAGTTCAGGAAACATGTCTATTCCTTTTGCTATTTCTGTTTGCCAGTTCTTCTGCCATTTGCCAAAATAAAGATGTCCCTTCTCCAGCCCAAACTCAGCTGCAAAGGTGAACTAATGACTTTAGAATAGAAGACAGATGCTTCCTGCAGGAGGATTCTGGGGGAAGACAAAGAATGTGTAACCAGTACTGGTTACAGTATTTGTGAGGCCCCGTGCAAAATGAAAACACAGGGCCCTTGTTTTGAAATCTGGGGAAAAGTGCCATTAAAGATACTTAAAGGTAAAGCTTTTTTCTTGCTTCCACAGTCTTTCTCTTGACTTGTCATGGTGTTGTTTGTTATTTAATGCTGGTCTAAGTGAAGAAAAATTAAAAATTTAAATTATTGGCATAATTTTTAAAAACCATTCATCTTTATATTATGGAATGCCAGTTTTAAATGCAAAACTGTATTTAGAACCACTGATATAATATAATTTGTATTTTGTAGCTTGTGCATGCATATGTATTTTGTTCTTACCAGAACACTGGAAATGATGCAAAAAACCTAACAACTGTTTTTTATTCCACTTTTTGATACATGCCTGTTCTACCAACACTCTGTGGAAGCCAGTGGCTCCCATAAAATGTTTATCTATTTGCTTCCGTCTTGCTGATCTCCCATGCTGGGTCCACTGGAATTCTCTGCTCATGGAACATCAGAAGGCTGTATGCAAATGAGGTGGCAAGGAACACCATACAAACATATTGTGCATATTGTTCGTGCACAAAATGTTTCTTTGGGCTTCACTTACAAAACAAGTTTAAGATAACATTATTATGAATTTCAAGATGGTGACCGCAGAGCATTAAACCAACCATGAGACACTTCTGACCGTGGGACTCTGTGACTGTGCACATCATGCACCCTTGAAACCAGCTCTGCATGTCACCAAGGTAAGAGTTGCCTTTCTTCTTCTTCTCTTTTTCAGTAATTTGAAGAATCAGTAATCACTGGAAGAACACAAACAAAATAAGCACATGCCAATGGGGAAGCATTAAAAAACAACTTGGTAATGGATAACTCAAGCCTCAGATGAATCTTGAAATGTGGTAAAAAAAAAAAAAATTAATAGAAAAAAAAAACACTTGTAGTCAATGTTCATTTGAAAGCCATCTTTAATCATGTAGTTCTGTGGAAAATTAGTGGTTAAATTTTTTAAAGAATGAATCGTTTCTGTTTTACTGCTGCAAATCTTACAACTTTTTAAATATGAACGTTAAAACATACAGAAAGGTAATATAAAAGAAATACCCTCATAATTTTAATATATTTTGAAAATTTATTGCATATATCTACCATTTTTATTTTAATTTTTAATTCAGGCTGATAATATAAGAATAAGCAAGATACCAATCTTGTTTTCTTTTCATACCCTAAAATTTTGTATTACTTTGTTGATGTAAGACAGCAACATAATAGCCCCAAAGGAAAATCTATTAAACAATTTCAATTTGAAGGGTTTAAAGAAAGAAACAATGGTAAGTCATTAATGTGTTTTCATTTTAATGTATCTTTTTTATATTAGGGTGAAAAATTCAGTTATATTTTCAAATGATCAATACAAACATAAATAACTATGTTATAATGATATGGATAATCATATGACAAAAGGGCTGTGATTAAGCTGTATGCCTTCTTTGTGAATATAAAAGTATTTCTGCAAAACAAAGATGTATTATATATTAACTAATAATTATTTACAATAAAATTAACCAAAAGCCAGGTCACCCTTGTACTTAATCAATATTCCTTAAAAACAACTTTTTCCAGCACACACACAATTATGCATTGAACATTTCTGAAAGGATACTCAAGAATGTGTTAATTAAGTGATTCCACACCACTGAGAGTGAGACTGACTGGGTGTTCAGAGGAAGAACTTTTACTTTTTGCCTTTTCCTCATCTTCTGTACTGTTTAGGTTTTTTGGTCATGAGCATTTTATTTTAATAATAAAAAATCTGGATAATTTTATAAGTCTAATTTTAGAAGGATAATAAAGTAATCCAGTGACTATGTATAAAATACATAGTATGTATTTGTACATTAAAATAAATACTGTAGTGGATAGCACACATTATACATATGTGTTGCTACAATGCTTTCATTTCAATCTTTAAAAATTTTTTTTAATTAAAAAATTTTTATTGCAAATTGCTAAGTTATAATTGTATATATTTTTTGGGGGTACAAAATGATTTCATGATTAATGAATATAATGTAGAATAATTAAATCAAGCTAATTAACATATTTATCACCTCAAATACCTATCATTTTATGTGGCGAGAACACTTGAAATGCACTCCTAGTGATTTTGGAATGTACAATACATTATTATTAACTATATTCACCATGCTGTACCCATAGAGCTAAAAAAAACCCCTTAATCCTCCTAATTGAGGATTTGTACTCATTGACCATTATCTCCCCATTTCTTCCACACCCCAGCCTCTGGCAACCACCATTCTACTCTCTGCTTCTATAAGTTTGAATGTTTTAAATTCCACATATAAGTGAGAACATGCGGTATTTGTCTTACTGTGTCTGGCTTATTTCACTTAGCATGTCTTCCAATTTCATCTGTGTTGTTGCACACGACAGAAATTCTTTCTAAGTCTGAATAGTACTCCATTATGTATATGTACCACGTGTTCTTTATCTATTCATCTGTTGATGAGGTTGGTTTTATAACTTGGCTACATCAATAGTGCTGCTGTGAACATGGGAGTGCAGACATCTCTTGGACACACTGATTTTGAATCTCTTGGGTAAATTCCCACAAGTAGGATTGCTGAATCGAATTTCATTCTTATATTGGTTTGAGCCACTTTCTAGCCCAGGGGGATCATTGCACTAATAATATCACTGGAGAGTCTCCAGAGGACATGTCTGCAAAGGGAGAAAGGCTTTTTGCAATAGCAGAGCTTAATTGTCAATGATGAGGAAGAGCGGTATCCATGAACCTTTTCCTGTCATATGTTGTATATAAATGATATTCTTCCAAAATTTTAAAACATTTTTGATGGAAAAATTCAAAGATACACAAAAGTAGAGAGAAAAATATAATGAACCCCCACGTACCCATCAACCAGCTTCATTAATTACCAATTCACGTCTAATCTTATTTTGTTCATACTGTACCCCACTCACTTCCCCACTCCCAGGTGCATTATTTAGGAGAAAATCCAAATATATCTTTTCATTCATAAGTATTTCAGTATGTATTTCTATAAGGACTCAAAAAAAGCAACCACAATACCATTATCACATCTTTTATAAAAAACCTAATAATTCCCTGATATTGTTAAATATCCAGTCATTGTCCAAATTCCCGATTCCTTCATAAATATGTATTTTAAAGCCAATTTGTCTATAGAATATTTTTTAGTCTAGATTCCCCCCTCCTTATATTTACCCTTTATTTGTTGAAGAAACCAGCTAATTTGTCCTGTAGGGTTTTCCATATTCCAGATTATGCGATTGCAACCCCCGTCATTGTTTAATATGTTTTCTGTCCCCTATATTTCTTGCAAATTTGTAGTTAGATATGGATACTTAATCAGAGCAGGTTCTATTTGAGGGAAGACTACTCCCTAAGTGGTATTGTGTATTCCCTATGCATCACATCAGGAGGCAAATAATGCCTGTTTTCTCTCTCTCTCTCTCTTTTTTTTTTTTTTTTTGAGATGGAGTCTCACTCTGTTGCCCAGGCTGGAGTGCAGTAGGGTGATCTCAGCTCACTGCAACCTCCACCTCCTGGTTTCAGGCAATTCTTTTGTCTCAGCCTCCCAAGTAGCTGGGAATACAGGTGCCTCCCACCATGCCCGGCTAATTTTTTTGTATTTTCAGTAGAGACGGGGTTTCACCATGTTGGCCAGACTGGTTTTGAACTCCTGACCTAAAGTGATCCACTTGCCTCAGCTTTCCAAAGTGCTAGGATTACAGGCGTGAGCCACTGCTCCTGGCCTGTTATCTCTCTTTTAGTGATGTTAACATTGATCCCGTAGTTTGGGAGCTATTAGCATAGCATATTGTAGTAGCCTCTTCACTGGTCTTCCCATTTTCCCTTTGCTCCCACCTCATCCCACCTCATCAAGGATATTCTTTATGGAGGGACTGAACTCTGTGTTGGCTGGGCAGTTTTGCTGATTTTGGCGGGGCTTGACTGTATGGCTTTTCTGATCTCAGCTAGGGCTCTCTCACAGTTGACCAGCTGTTTGCCTAATCTAGCGTGGCCTCCACTGGGACAGCTCATTTGTTCCTTGTATGTCATCCCACAGCAGGCTAATTCAGGCATGATCTTGTGGCAATCATAGGGTTCCAGGAGTCTTCTAAATTTTAAATCATCCGATGCATTAACAGATCATTCTTTCTTAGCAAAGCAAGTTATTCATTAGACTTCCAATTAATTTTCAATACGAGCATTCAATACAGATACAATATATGATAGATCTGACCTTTCTGGAGTTTTGGCAGTTCATTTTGTCTCTTATGTAATAGGATAAGGTTTATTATTAACATTTGCTAGTTCTTGTACTTACATAGCTTTATAGACTTTCTGACGTGATTAAAGGTCTTTATCATTTTGTTCTTGAGCTTGTCAGTTCAATCCACACCAGAATTCTTTATTTCCTTTAATTTGTCTCATTGACTCTTTTACTTCCTGCACAATTCTTCTTCTCTTCTTCTTTTGACAGCCCAAGCAGATTTACAGACAGTCTTGTTTTAGCTGTGCTGATGTATCTATTCAGTTTATCTCTGGGAGATTCAGAAGAAACCTGAAAATTCATGTTTATATGCTTTTGTGATATAACAAATGTTAGGCATTGACTGAGTTGAGAAATAAAAATAGAGGGATGGCAAACTCAGGCACATGTAGATGGAAGGGTCACTCGGGAAAGTGACCCTTCTACGAGATATGGAATATTTTCCCTGAATGTTGGAAGAAATTCTGCCAAATTATTTATTTCTTCCATAATTTAGTGTTTGGTTTCTTAAAGTATACAAATAAGACATATACATTTTTCCTTGACCAAAAGTAACACCATATTTTTAAGTTCTGTATCATATTCTACAAGCTATTTTAAAAATATCAATTTACTCATGCTAACAAAACCTTGTGGGATACCTTAGGAGATGTTAAATTTAGTCTATAGGTTAAAAAAAGCTAATGCTCAGGAAGTCGGCTTTCCTCTAACTAATGGTAGAGCAGAGGACGAGGTTAGAGCTCACAGGCCTAACTCTACACTTGGAGGCAACCCCTTGCTAAGTGCATACTCAAGGCAGAATAACTTATAGCCTGAACCTGAAGGATGTTACAATAAACTATTTTGCTTGGAAATTAAGAAGGGAAAGCTCTGGATGGATTTTGCTGAGCAACACAGTGATCTCCAAAGGTCAAGGAAGTAAAAAATACAAAGATAAATATGTTTTCAGAACTTAGCCAACTTCATGTGGGTCACCACAGCCTTGTGTGAGACAAGATAAAAAATAGTTAAAAACTCTAAAGGGCTTGAGTGGCTCACATTACACGTTCTTACAATCTGTCTTGGAACTCCAAAAAGCTTTTTTGAATACCATTATCACTAATCAGTTAAAAATATTAGCTTAACATGGATTATCAGTAAAATATTATCAGTTTAAAGATATTTCTTGAATGTCTTAACACTGTGCTCGCTATTTTCAAGGAGGAATTTGATGGAAATAAAGTTAATCCTAGTAACTTTTTAGAGACAGGAACTCCTTTTGAGTCATAGACCACTTAAGGATCTTTTGAAAGCTATGACTTTTCTCCTTAGAAAATGCATCTTTAGGCTCCAGCAACACATCATTGTGTAAGAAAAAATAAAAGTACTGCCTTAAAAAGAAAAGAAAAGAAAAGAAAATGTATCTTTGAACATATACTTAAATTTTACATTCAGAATTTGGGGTTTTATGGGCATTCCAGGAGCCCTTCCATGGATCCTCTAGGCCTGAGTTATGGGCTTCAGTTGTCCCTAGTGTAATGAGAAGAAACTAAGTATGGAATCAAGTATGTCCCTAACTTGCCATCTGCTGTTGTTCGTTTGTTTGTTTGAGATAGGGTCTTGCACTGTTGCCCAGGCTGGAGTGCAATGGCATGATCTTGCTCACTACAACCTCTGCTCCCTCTAGGTCAAGTGATCTTCCCACTTCAGCCTCCCAAGTAGCTGGGACTACAGGCGAGTGCCATCATGCCTGGCTAATTTTTGTATTTTTTGTACAGACGGGGTTTTGCCTTGTTGTCCAGGCTGGTCTCGAACTCCTGGACTCAAACGATCCACCTGTCTTGGCCTCCCAAAGTGCTAGGATTACAGGCGTGAGCCACCGCACCCGGTTGCCACCTGATCTTGATAAAGTCATTTAGTATCTTCAGGACTTAGTTTCCTCATCTGTGAAATAAGAAATATAACTAGATAACCTTCCAGATGTAACTGCCTTTGCTCTTTGGAGCTAATAGTCTGGCTGAGAAGATAAAATGGTCACAAAAAAATTCAAGACATTTTTTTCCCCTGATATTTGTTATAAAAATTTTCAAACAGCAAAATGGAAAGATTTTATAGTGACTACCCATATATCCATCACTTAAATTCAGCCATTAAGCTTTATTATATATTTATTCATGTAGCCATTTCTCTATCCATCCATCAATTTTTTTTTTTTTTTGAGATGGACTCATTTAACTCTGTTACCCAGGCTGGAGTAAAGTTCTGGGTGCGATCTCAGCTCCCTGCAACCTCCGCCTCTCAGGCTCAAGCAATCCTCTCACCTCAGCCTCCCGAATAGCTGGGACTACAGGTGCACACCACCACACCAAGCTAATTATTTTTTTTTGTAGAGACAGGGTTTCACCAGGTTGCCCAGGTTGGTCTCAAACTCCTGAGCTCAAGCAGTCTGCCTGCCTAGGTCTCCGGAAGTGCTGGGATTACAGGTGTGAGCCACTGCACCTGATGCAATTCATCATTTTATAAATATATTTTGCCTTTCCGCGCTACCCACAGAGGGATCCATACTGTGTTGTTCTGGATTCCCTTCATAACTTAAAGGAAAACGTTCACAATGTCCAGAGCCCTTGATGTCCTGCCAATGAAGGAGGAGGACGTCCTCAAGTTCCTTTCAGCAGGAACCCACTTAGGTGGCACCAACCTTGACTTCCAAATGGAACAGTACATCTATATGAAAAGTGATGGCATCTACATCCTAAATCAGAAGAAGACCTGGGAGAAGTTTCTGCTGGCAGCTCATGCCATTGTTGTCATTGAAATCCCTGCTGATGTCAGTGTCATATCCTCCAGGAAAACTGGCCAGAAAGGCACGCCGATATTGGCTGCTGTCACTGGAGCCACTCTTGTTACTGGCTGCTTCACTCCTAGAATATTCACTAACCAGATCCAGGCAGCCTTCCAGGAGCCATGGCTTCTGGTGGTTACTAATCCCAGGCTGACCACCAGCCCCTCACAGAGGCATCTTATGTTAACCTACCTACCATTGCTTTGTGTCACACAGATTCTCCTCTGTGCTATGTGGAAGTTGTCATCCCATGCAACAACAAGGGAGCTCACTCAGGGGGTTTGACATGGTGGATGCTGGCCCAGAAAGTCCTGCACATGCCTGGCACCATTTCCCACAAACATCCGTGGGATGTCATGCCTGATTTCTACATCTGCAGAGATCCTGAAGAGATGGAAAAAGACCAGGCTGCTGCTGAAAAGGCTGTGACCAACGAGGAATTTCAGGATGAACGGACTATGCCAGCTCCTGAGCTCTCCGCTACTCAGTCTGAGGGTGCAGACTGGTCTGAGGGCACATGCAGGTGCCCTCTGTGCTTATTCAGCAGTTCCCTACTGAAGCCTGGAGTGCTTAGCCTGCCACGGGAGGCTGGTGTGCAGCTCCCACTGCTCCGGCCACTGAATGGGTAGAAGCAACCACTGAATGGTCTTAAACTCTTAAGCTGTTCTTGCATAGGCACTTAAGCAACATGGAAATAATGCTGATGGAAAATAAACATCAGTTTCTAAATAAAAGAGAAAAATAAATAAATATATTTCAAAGTAAATCACAGATTCCGTATATTCGCCCTAAATATTTCAGCATGCATATCAAGTTCAATATTTGTTTATAGTTTTCTTCTTTTGATGTAAAATGTACTTATGAAGGAATGCACAAATCTTAAGTTTACATTTGTTGAGTTTTGGCAAATAATATCGTTCTTTATAACTCAGGGGTCCCCAGCCCTTGGGCCTCAGACTGGTACTGGGCCACACAGCAGGAGGTGAGCCAGCACTGCTGCCTGAGCTCTGCCTCCTGTCAAATCTGCAGCAGCGTTAGATTCTCATAGGAGCTGGAACCCTATTGTGAACTGCATGTGCAAGGAATCTAGGTTATGGTGCTCCTTCTGAGAATCTAACTAATGCCTGATGATCTGAGGTGGAACAGCTTCATCCCGAAACCACCACGCCCATCCTCCCTACTTCCCTTCCCCCTCCCCAGCTCTCCCTGCTGGAAAAATTGTCTCCCCCACCCACCCTCAGGCCCTGTTCCTGGAAAAATTGTCTTTCAAGAAACCGGTCCCTGATGCCAAAAGGGTTGGAAACCACTGTTATAACTGAATCCTTGCTACACTCTGACACCCTTGTCCTTTCTCCCTTTACCATACTCACCTGGAGAAACTAAAACCTTGCTTAAATCCCACTCTCCTAATAAAAATTGATCTGTGCCATTGAATAAGACAAGACAAAAATGACTATGTTGACTATTTCAAATTTAAGATTACTAACATCTACTGGGCCTTTAATGCTTCCCAGAAATTATCCTATATTTGCTTAGGTCCATCTTTAAACCAGCATTTCTCAAATTATCCATAGTGAGAGAGACAAGCTTCTTATAATTTTAAATCCATCTTGGTATAATACTTTGGTAAATTACAGCAAAAATGGGCTACAACAAAAATGAAATAAAGACATAAAAATATGGGTCTCTAATTTTACTCTGTCCAGTTGCTACGGAATCTTCTAAATACATATTCTTAATTTCTGAACTCATCTTTTCATGGAAAGATAACAAATAATTTGCAAAAAAAAAACAAAAAACAAAAAACACTGGTCTGCAGAATATATCTGGAGTTCTACTGCTTTAAGTGACTAGAATATTTTGTACCTTCTCTCTTCTCAAACTTCCATCACTTCCTTAGCCTTCATCACTATCAGCTGATGATTTTGCTTCACCAAGACACTTGGCGGAATTACAAGAGAACTTTCATAAGCTCTCCCTGGCATTTCTACTTATCTACCAGTATCTGTGCCCACATGCACTACCTTTTCTTACATTACTTATGGAAAAACCGCCATGCTCCTAGCAAAGGCCAATCCCTTTGCCTGAATGCTAGTGTCATGCCCTTCAATGCAAGGCTGCTGCTGGGGCAGCTCTTCCTCCTCTCTATGACCCCATTCCCATCAGCATACAATCATGCTGCTGCTATTCCTCCCATATGAGAAAACCTCTCATGGCCCTCCCTCCTCCTCCAAGAAGCACACTTTTTTCTCTGTCCCTTTCCTGCAAAACTCTTTAAATTAGTTGTTTATACTAGCTGTCTCCAATTTCTCTCCATAAGTCTCTCATGGACCCACTTAAGGCAGGTTTTCACTCCCACCACTGCACTAAAACTGCTCTTTTTAAGGTCATCAGTGATATCCGGATTTCCAAACCCAATGGACATTTTTCAGTCCTCATCTTTCTTGACCTGTCAGCAACATTCGACAATTGATGACCTTCTTCCTTCAAAAACTTTCTTTTCCTGTCTTCCAGGATACCGTTCTAGCTTGCATTTCCTCCCACTTTTCTGGCCTTTTCTTTTCAGTTTCCTCTGGCTGACCTGGAAATGTTGGCGTGTCCATTCTTGGCCCTCTCCTCTTTCCTGTCTACACTTATTCCCTACATGATCTCATTTAACTTCACGACTTTACCATCTAGAGGCTGATGAATTTCAAATTCCTTTACCTCTTCGCTGACCCCCAGGCTGCCTAGTTGCCATCTCCCATTGGCTATCTGATGAGCATCTGAGTATCTCAAATTTAACATGTCCTGACATAGCTCCATGTATTCCTTCTACTTCAAACCACCTTTTCAGTTCTATTTTAGTCAGTAGTAACTCCATCCTTCTAAAGCCTAAAACCTGGGCATCATGATTCACATCACTTTTTTTCTCATACCCCACATCCAATGCCTTAGCAACTTTTATTAGCTAATCTCAGTTTACAAGATACCTAAAGGATGAAGAGTTTTTGCATAAAGATAAAAAAGTAATGCATTTAAAAACAGAAATATTAAGACAATGCCAATATTGCCTCTGGGCCCACTGAATATGGGAGATGCAAAATGAATAGCCTCCACTCCAGAGGGCTGCAGTAGCTTGCTGGGGGTGTAGAATGTTCTTAAGTTCTCCATAGGCAAGAGGTGAGGCAGATCTTGTGAAGAGACAGAGGATGAGAAGATTTTGCTAATAGTGAAATTATTGCTCCATAGGATGCAAAGGAGGATGCTGGGGAGATAACAGTGGAAGATACACCACCACCACCACCATCATCATCCTGCCATCTAATATCCCATTAGAAGGATAGTAAGTACATACACACACAGATACTAACAGCTTGAATACATTATATATATGGCAATGTTAATAATTTAGTGCCAAGGCAAGGTAATCAATAATTCCTGAATCATAGCTAACTTATAAGAATTGAAGAGAAAGGACAAATATTATATGATTCCACTTATACGACATACCTAAGAATAGTCACATTCATAAAGACAGAAATTAGAATGGTAGTTACCAGGGGCTGGGACAAGGGAGGAATGGGGAATCAGTGTTTAATGGGCCCCGGGTTTCAGTTTGGGATGATGAAAAAGAGATGGATGGTGGTGATGGTAACACAACAATGTGAATGTGTTTAATGACACTGAACACTTAAAAATGATTAAAATGACAAATTTTATGTTATGTGTATTTTACATTAAAAAAGAATTGAAGCAGTGTGCATTTTAACATTTGGCTAATCCAAGGGAGTTCAGAGAGTGGCAACTGCACACTGTAACAGAGGTCTGACATATGAAAAGTGTTCTACACCCATTGTTGTATTTCATCCTCACCACGGTCTAATTAGGAAGGTATCGCCACTCCACCAGAGGAGAAGGAAAACTGAGAGTCAAAGAGATTTTTTCCAAAGATTTACAGCTAGTAAGTGATGGAGCTGGGAGTTACATCTGGGAACATGTGTTGTCTCCAGAGCTATGTGCTTTCTATGTGCTAACGACACCACACTGAAATAGGGGAGATAAAAACTGTGCTTTAGAAATGTTCTGAAATCCATGGTGTAAGCCTGCAGCACTGTAGTGGACCACTGGCAACCACCAGCAACAGATGGCCGAGGCAGGTCTTTTTAAACAAAAGCCACACTGTGCTCCAGTGGAGGAGCTAGTGGTGCAAACAGGAGCAAGCACCGTCAGAAGTGGCTGAGGCTGTGAATGAAAGCACAGTGCTCAGGGCGAACACTGTGGAAGGACTCATCATTTCACAGTGGGCTCATTAGCATTTCCTCACACACAGGCAGTGACCACCATTGTGGGGTATCACCCTTGGATAAAGCACAGCTGAAATATCAGATGCTCAGAGGTAAATTTAAAATTTTATATCTGTACTTTAGAAATATGAGTGCTTCATAAATATGAGGCATTAAAATGATTTAGCATCTACAAAGCAGTCTGGGAAGAGGAACGGTTTTATCAGACTGGTCTCATAAAGCTTGCTGACTGCCAAAACAATAGTGCCAAAAAGGAATTCGGTTCAGACAACTCGGGGAAGCTTATTATACCGCCAACTTGAACTTTTCTTCTTTTCCCACTAAAACATGTTTTGGAAAATATATGTATGTATCCTATTGTATAGGGAACTTCAAAAGGCTCAAGTGGACCACTGCAGAAACCTCAGAATACTGTCTTGAGAATACTTCAAAGATTTCCAAAACACATCAGTATAAAACATCTTCACTGTAAATTCAAGATGCCAATTGGGTTGCCAGTAAAGGCAAAGTTTAATATTCCCAGATGTTACTATACAGTATCTATGATATGTTGGCTGAATAGGGTATGCACATTTGCACATCATGGTATTTTTTCAAAATGTAAATTTAGTCCCTGGAGATATAACAATAGCAAGGCTGAATAAATTGTCTAAAAATTAAAATTCATATTTTTTTGTTAGTTTAAAAGATGGGGGAAAGCAGAGAGCAATAAAGCTAATTCATATACTAAATGTCATTTAAAAAATTGAGATAGTACCCCCAAAATCTTAAAAGCATGAATAGATCTGAAATAAATAGCTTTTTATTTTGGCAGTGATTATTCCCATTACCAGAACTTCGTGAGCATGCAATGAAAGCTAAGTATGCTCAATTACTTAATAAACTCTCTTTTTGAGAGGGTATCATAGCATACTCCATGTAAAAAGCATCTTCTATATTAAGACAGTTGAATTCTTTCTAGAATGTTCAAAACAAAATGAAGCATGATAATTTTACAACATCAAAGAAGACATACCTACATTAAAGAACTATTTTGGAGGATTTAGTAGTTCACAGCATCTTTGTCCTTGTTGGAGGTCATAGCAAGGATAGAATTGTGGAAGCAATTTGATTATGGAAGCTTTCTTTTACTTCACTTTATTTGTAGTTAAGCCTCAGTGGTGATAACCATAAAAAGTATTTTTAAGTACAAAGTTATTTTGGTTAACCCAAAGAACAATGTTTATCCAGTCGCTGTCTAGTTTAATTATTAAAAGGATTTTGAACTCAAAATATCATTATTGAAAGCAGAAAGGAAAAGTTGTCAAGTATGTATGTCTTTTATACAGGTAATATGGCTGAAGTATCAGTCTCCAAATACTTTGGTGTTGTGTAAGGATCTTCAAGGTAGAGGTCAGTAAACTAGGTTTCTAGACTCTATCACTAACCAGTCACGTGACCTAGGAAAAATAATTGCAGCTCTTTGCAACTATGTTTCTTCATTTTCAAAATAACATTGGATTAGACTAGTTTTTCTGACCAGCTTCATCACTGGAGGCCCTCGTTTCAGCAGCCGTCTTGGGACTCCTGATTGGGAACCTTTGATTAGCCTATGTGGTCAATTTGAGGTCAAACATACAATGTCTATCAGGTGTTAAGCTCAGATCATTGAAGTCCCAAGGTTTCCTTCCAACACTAACAGTCTATGATCTTGGGACTTATTTGGTGCCTATCCTTCAATCATCATCGACAATAATGAGTTATGGAATACCTATTATTTTACCACATTGTGCTAGTCAAGAGGATACTAAAAGGTTTAAAAGATTCCTGCTAGATCTGGTTGGGAAGATGGGTTAGATAGATAAAATTAAGGAAACAGAGTATTGTATACTGGGTGGGAATGACAACCTAGGCCCAGGGCATTTGGGAAGACCTTCAAAGAGGGGACTTTAGAGAGGTTAAGGTAGAATGTGGCAATGTGGTGATAAGGTCTTAACAGACAAGATAAATGGAGTCACCAGAAACATGAGAGCTGGAATATTCAATGCCTGGCTTAGAATAAAGAGTAAGGTAGTTTGGCTGGAAAGAATTGTGTTATTATTTAATGAGTCTTTAATCCCAAATTGTATACAGCAGCTTAGCTGTTATTTTAGCAAATGTGGTAGCTATTATTGCTATATTTAGCCAACCTGTGGTACATCAGAGTATCCAACTGTTTACAATTACTTTTATTAACCCTAGGGAAATTATTGATGTGTCTCAGAATGTAACACTGACACAGTGGAACAATCGACGAATATTTATTGAATCCATATAGTGTGCGAGTCTTTATGGGGTATAAAACTGGATTGGAAAGTTTCTTGCCCTAAGGGAAAAAACTAGTTGCAGTTATAAAATGGCTGCAAGGAAAAAACCAAAATAAGGTACAAGGCTATATAGTGAATTTAGCACTTTTCAAAATGTAAACCTTCAAGCAACCCACAGTTACAAAAGTGATCTTATTCATACCCATGATGAGAAAGATTACCTTGGTACACTGATCACCCCAAGCCTGTAGCTCTGGTCCAGGTTACTTCACCCCACCAACTCTAGGACAGGATTCCTTTACATTTGTTCACACTACATATCCTCTACCTAGTGACCTCCAAACATTCCAAAGTTTTTTAAATTGTATTTTTGTTTTATAGGTCCTGTGAGATTTATGCTTTAAAGAGATTCTGTTCTGATGTGTTTCCAGGATTTGTTTCAAGATTTAGAACTCCTTTTAGCAGTTCTTGTAGTGGTGGCTCGGTAGTGGCGAATTCTCTCAGCATTTGTCTGAAAAAGACTATCTTTCCTTCGTGCATGAAGCTTAGTTTTGCTGGATACAAAATTCTTGGCTGATAATTGTTTTGTTTGAGGAGGCTGTAGATAGGGCCCCATTCCCTTCTAGCTTGTAGGTTTCTGCTGAGAAACTGCTGTTAACCTGATAGGGTACCTGGTGCTTTTGTCTCACAGCTCTTAAGATTCTTTCCTTCATCTTAACTTTAGGTAACCTGATGACAATGTACTTAGGTGATGGTCTTTTCGTGATAAATTTCTCAGATGTTCTTTGTGCTTCTTGTATTTGGGTGTCTAGGTCTCTATGAAGGCTGGGGAAATTTTCCTCTATTATTCCTCCAAATATGTTTTCCAAACTTTTAGATTTCTCTTCTTCTCAAGAACACTGATTATCCTTAGGTTTTGCCACTTAACATAATCCCAGACTTCTTGGAGGCTTTGTTCGTATTTTCTTATTCTTTTTTCTTTGTCTTTGTTGGATTGGGTTAATTAGAAGACCTTGTCTTCGAGCTCTGAATGTCTTTCTTCTACTTGTTCGATTCTATTGCTGAGATTTTCCAAAACATTTTGCATTTCTTTTTTTTTTTTTTTTTAAGACAGTCTCACTCTGTCACCCAGGCTGGAGTGCAGTTGTACAATCTCAGCTCACTGCAACCTCTACCTCCCAGGTTCAAGCAATTCTCCTGCCTCAGCTCCCCAAGTAGCTGGGATTACAGGTGCACACCACCTTGCCTGGCTAATTTTTGTATTTTTTTTTAGTAGAGACAGGGTTTCACCATGTTGGTCAGGCTGGTCTCAAACTCCTGACCTCAGGGGATCCGCCCGCCTCCCAAAGTGCTAAGATTACAGGCGTGAGCCACCACTCCCGGCCAGCATTTTGCATTTCTATAAGTGTGTCTATTGTTTCCTGAAGTTTTGATTGTTTTTTATTTATGTTATCTATTTCCTTGAATATTTCTCCCTTCACCTCTTGTGTCATTTTTTTGGATTTCCTTGCACCGTGCTTCGCCTTTCTCTGTTGTCTCCCTTATTAGCTTAATAACTAACCTCCTGAATTCTTTTTCAGGTAAATCGGGGATTTCTTCTTGGTTTGGGTCCGTTGCTGGTGAGCTAGTGTGATTTTTTGTGGGTGTTAAATAACTTCATTTTTTCATATTACCAGAGTTGGTTTTCTGGTTCCTTCTCATTCGGGTAGTCTCTGTCAGAGGGAAGGTCTAGGGCTGAAGGCTGTTGTTCAGATTCTTTTGCCTCATGGGGTGTTCCCTTGATGTAGTACTCTCCCCCTTTTCCTATGGATGTGGCTTCCCGAGAGCCAAGCTGTAGTGATTGTTGTCTCTCTTCCGGATCTAGCCACCTAGCAAGTCTGCCAGGCTCTGGGCTGGTAATGGGGGTTGTCTGCACAGAGTCCTGTGATGTGAACTGTCTGTGGGTCTCTCAGTGGTGGATACCAGCACAGTATTTGGGGTATCTCCCGGGTCCTGCAGGAGGAATCTGCTTCCTTCAGGTCACACCCCACTTTTGTATATTGGATGTGGCTTCTGATGATGATGACAATAAGGATGCTTGCTTTCCCCCGCCCTCTGCAGGGTTCCCCTGGGTGCTGCATTCCTCCACAGCCACTTTCCTCCTGATACCTGCCTCACTCTGATGTTTTCCATTCCAAAGTTTAAGTTCCAAATAGAATACATGTTTTTTCTCCCTGACACATCATCTCCCCTGCACCCCACAACAAGCAAATATAAGAAAAACAGAAACCACTTCAATTGACACCTCCATTCCCCACAAAACAACAAAACCCCACCAAACCATTCTTTCCCTGACAATTCCAATTGGTGAATGGTACTACTTCCAGCAACCCAGTCCCCAGGTCAGAAGATTTGGGCACTGGAAGAAAGCCACAGTGGGATCGGGGAAGATTGTGTACCTGAAAGGGTAGTGACAAAGGATTTCCATGAGGCCGAGGGATGTGTTTGTCCTGTTCATTGTATTTCTACAGGACCGGGAACAGTAATTGGCACTAAGTAATTGTTTAGTAAGCATTTGTCAGATTAAGCAGAAATTTGCTCAAACATAGAAATTATTGCCTTATCAAAAGGGGGGAATACTTTACTATATCCTTTTGTTCTTTCCTTGACAGCATAAAGTTTGATCCACAGATTCTTGAACTGGTATGATCAGTACTTTGGTTCTGTTTCATCAAAGGCTGAATAGACTTTTGTGAGCTAGCTCTGAAATTTAAGCAGCATTTATAATGGGACTTCTGAGGGAAATGGTATTTAGCATTTCAAGCAGCCAATTTACAAACGTGCTTTTGGAACACATCCTGTTTATAAAATTGGGGGTTCTCTGTATTCATTATGATAAATATTAAATGGATGTGTCAGATACTAGACACTAAAGGTGTGCTGAAGAGGGCAAGATTGCTTCCAGTGGGGTAGGTGAGAGATCTTTTCAAGATGGAGGATTTATGCAGAGCCTTTAAGAATAGGTGGGAGTTGGAAAGGCAGAGAGAAGGTAGAAGGGAAAACTAGATGACAGGAAAATTATGAGCAAATGCAAGAATTAACAAGGAGAGCAAAGGGATAATGAGTAAATGTTTAAGTTGTGCACAGAAGTATCTGATATGCAGAAAACATGTTACCACAAGAGTAGCATTTTAGCAAGATTAATCTCAGGGTTACCTGTGGCATGATTTGGAGTTGGGCAAGACTGGAAACAGGAAATCAATTAAGAGTCTGTTTCGTAAGTCCTGACATGAGTCAATGGTCCAAACAAGAGTGGTAGTAAATATGCAAAGAAAATGGAAAAAGACAATAGGAAATGAATTGTATTTTATTATTAATACTTCACAGAGCAGAAAATATATCCAGGTCTTTTGTTTTATAGTAAATGTATAAACTACAGTGAGATGTTCTCTGAAATATTCTTTAGTAAGGTCTTGCATTATTTCTGTTGAAGGTACTTTTGTTTATGTAAAAGACATATTGAATAATGTATAATTATACTGACAGTTGACCTTTTCATTATTAAAAAGACACACTGGCATTTCTATTTATAGAAAAACTGTGGATTAAATAACCTGAAAAACTCTCCCATTGTAAATAATTTGGAAGGCCTGGAGCAGTGGCTCACACCTGTAATCCCAGCATTTTGGGAGGCCAAGGCAGGTGGATCACCTGAGGTCAGGAGTTCGAGACCAGCCTGGCCAACGTGGCAAAACCTCATCTCTACTAAAAATACAAAAATTAGCTGGGTGTGGTGGCGGGTGCCTGTAGTCCCAACTACTCGGGAGGCTGAGGCAGGAGAATCATTTGAACCCAGGAGGCGGAGGTTGCAGTGAGCTGAGTTCACACCACTGAACTCCAGCCTGGGTGATAGAGCGAGACTCTCTCTCAGTAACAAAACAAAACAAAACAAAAATGACTAAGAAAAATCATTTGGAAACTTAGGGTAAAATCAAACATATCCATGCACCAAAAATGAAGAAGGAATTGAAAACCAAAGTGGTGCCGGGGAAGATGATGTTATGGTTGCCTGAAGGATTTGTTGGTCTCATTAACCTAGAGCCTTGGGTTTACTCTCCCATGCAAGACCTTGTGCCAGTGACAGGTTAGATTCCCACATACTGCTAGACCTCTCAAAAGGTTCTGACCTCAAAAAAAAAAAGAGCTAGCTAACAGAAAAATGTCTACCAACACAGGAAGGTAACAAGAAAGCTTGATTTTCATGTATGCTCCACATGGACCAAAATAGTATCCTCTTAAAATTCGTAACCACAAGCCCTCATTTGTCATTTGAACTTACACCACTTGTAGAACCCAGGAACTCTCCCACACTGAGAAATTAACCTAAAAAAAGTAATCAAGGTCAGGCTGGTAAACCTCCAGGGTGCTTGGTGGAGGCAAATGCAATATCTTTCTGGAGGGTTACCTCTTACACCCTAGTTGCACATAAATTCCATACACAAGCAGAGCAGGTAAAAACTTACAAAAGACACAAGGAAATAATCTACTATGAGTGAGAGTTAGCAGATATATCAAATAGCATGATTATATTTCAAGAGCTTCAATTAATATAAGTATTGGTTAGTTAGATATTACAAAATCTTTTTTTTTTTTTGAGATGGAGTCTCGTTCTTGTTGCCCAGGCTGGAGTGCAATGGCACGATCTCGGCTCACTGCAACCTCTGCCTCCCAGGTTTAAGTGATTCTCCTGCCTCAGCCTCCCAAGTAGCTGGGATTACAGGCGACTGCCACCACGCCCAGCTAATTTTTGTATTTTCAGTAGAGAGGGGGTTTCGCCATGTTGGCCAGGCTGGTCTCAAACTCCTGACCTCAGGTGATCCACCTGCCTAGGCCTCCCAAAGTGCTGGGATTACAGGCGTAAGCCACCACACCTGGCCTACAAAATCTTTATATACTTGAAGACTTCAAAAAAGAAATTAAAAACAATAGAAAAGAGTAAGTCATTAACTTTAAAAAAAGATATTTTGAGACCTCATTCTGGGCAGGTTATTGGGAAAAGGGACAAAGTTGGGCACAAAGCAGGGCTAAGATGAATGTCTGGGAATTGTCAACACTTCAAACCTAGTGTCCAAGGGGCTAGCGTGAACTTCCACTCTATTCAATTAATACTGATACTTAAAATGTCAGATTTTCTTAGTGAAGCCTCATGGCATGGATCTTCATTAAGTGGTGATAATTTAAGTAAAATGGAAGAATAGTGGCTGTGAAATTCTGTTTAGTTCAAAGCAAGACTCTAGCTACCAGGTAGCAGGGGTGGAGGGGTCAGAGTAGGGGTGGAAGATAGCAGCTGACAAGGACTTGGGTGACTGTCAAGACCCTGGTCAAGAAGGCTTGAATGTAGGGAAGATGTATATCCTACAAGATAAATTGGGAAAGAAGTCCTGTAATACAGATTAGGCATGCATGAGGAAGATAGAAAGCAGGAATGACATAGTTCAGGGTTGGAAATATGGGTACCCTGGATACAAGACTTAGGTTAACATGGCTAGTTCCAGACCCTACATGCTGATGGGAATGGAGTTTCCAATATGCTGCCAGGCTTTCTTGCTCAGATCTTGAGCAAATTTAGGGCCTACTGCTAGTTGGAGTTTCATGAGGCAGGAACTGATACAACCAACTATATTTATATGTCCACTTATCTCTAGACTGTGCAATACCCTTAAGTCTTAAAAAATGAATCTTACATTAGTATTGGGTAATAAAACAACTGTCATCCCTTTAACTTTATTCAAAACATCATGCAAAAATACTTCTTTTTGCAGACATGACTTCTATTTGAATGAATGTTGAATCTCACTGAACACATTTATGATAAGTCCATCCAATTCTGCTATCTGGCTTCCACTATCACTATAATTTCTTTTAAGGTGTTTATAAAACAAAAAGCACTTTTTTGCTGATAAAGTATCTTTACGGGAGTAATTTTTCATTTTAGAAAATTTTACTTTGAACTTTCCAGGATTTCCCCCAAAGTTTAGAATGTTTTCTGTTAGAGAGATGGAATCCCAGTTGGCCCTCATCTCTCCACCTTAATGGCCTGCTGTATTGCTGTCCAACTGCAGGGTCAGTCCAGATGAGCTGCTCCCTTCTTTCTGGAAATAGCCTACAGCTTCCCTACTCCTAGGGTTGAGGGTTTGCTTCTGAGAACCACAAGGTCGTCTGGCCCTTTTGGGTCAGATCTCTTGGGAACTGATGCTGCCAAATTGCATTTGAGATTCCAAATTCTCTGGGACCCTTGACTCAAATGGCTCCTTGTTCTTCCCCTCTGCCCTCCACAGAGCCCTCCTCCTCAGCGCATCCTCTTGCTGTCCCCATCTCAGTCTCCAGCTCACAGTTCCTGCTTTAGAGGATTTTCAGCATTCTGTTCAGCTGGAACTGTGCAAAATGCCAGGAGTACCAGCAATCTTCCAGAGTTAGAAAGTGCTGTTTCCCATAAAATAAAATAGGATTCTGAGCTTCTATGTTTGACTTTGAAGGCAGAGAGAAAGCTAAGGAAGATTAGTTTACAGTGTGCTCTAAAATTTCCAAAGTGTATTCCATGATACATCTCATCTTGAGAAATGCCTAGGAGAAAAACGAGCTTGGTCAAAGTACTTCAGGTGAAATTGGTTAAAGAAATTTATAGAAATCTGCATACTATCCTTGTTCATAGAAATTTGCAATCCACAGCAGCATGCTAACAGCCCTGAGAAGCCCTGTAGTGAGGTAACCTGTTTGACTTTGATTAATACAGTGTTTTCCAAACTTTTTGACCACTGCAACTTTTTTTGGAATAATACATATTATCATCCAGAAGAAGCTAGAATGCTGGGGACCACACTTTGGAAAACACTAGAACCACCTGCACCTAATGGCATTGACTCAGGCCTCATTTCCTTTGCAGCTACTGTTGTCTTTGCCAGAGAAGCTCATTTTCCCTTTCTGGACCTTTCTTCTTTCTTGGTCTCTGTGATGTTCCTTATTCTAGTGCTCCTCCTACCTCCTCATGGTGTCCTAAAACTGGGTGTTCTCCAAGGTCCAGGCCTCAGCTCAGTTCTTTCTTTTCTTCCTTAGGGGTCACATTCTATATATTGTCTTCAATCATCACTCATATATGGACTTAAAAAATTAATCCCTACTATCTCTCCAAGCTCTAGTGCTGCATCTCAAAATGCCCCAGAACGTTTTCACTCGTATATTTTGCTGGCACCTCAAATTCAACATATTTATATCTCACTTTCCACAAAATGCAGGCTTTTTTGACTTCCCCCAAGGACTGGTCACTTTGGCTATGATTTTTGTGGACAATATATTTTTAGAAATATTAAATAAGGGCTTCATTTGAATAGAACCCTGTCATTTGGCATTATTTTTTGCTGACATATACATTGAGGGGAAAAGCTCCTCAAAATCTAGCACTTTCAGGCCTGCATTATGTACTATAGATACTAGATTAAGAGAAACTATGGTGGTAAGAAATGATATCACTCTTTTTTTTTTTTTTTTAAGATGGAGTCTCGCTCTGTCGCCCAGGCTGGAGTGCAGTGGCGCAATCTCGGCTCACTGCAAGCTCCGCCTCCGGGGTTCACGCCATTCTCCTGCCTCAGCCTCCCAAGTAGCTGGGACTACAGGCGCCCGCTACCACGCCCGGCTAATTTTTTGTATTTTTAGTAGAGATGGGGTTTCACCGTGTTAGCCAGGATGGTCTCGATCTCCTGACCTCGTGATCCGCCCGCCTCGGCCTCCCAAAGTGCTGGGATTACAGGCGTGAGCCACCGCGCCCGGCCGAAATGATATCACTCTTAATGTCCTTTTATTAAAATCACAAAGGATAACCTCTATTTAGTCACCAAAGTTAACTATTTAACATTTAAAATATAAGGCAAAATGTCAAAAATGAATAGCCTTCATATACATAACCAATAACCAGTTACAGTCCATAAAATTACAGAAAAATCCCATTTTAATAGCAATAAAGAAGATTAAAAACTCAGGAATAAACATAATATGAAATATGCAAAACCTAGATGTGAACAATTTAAAACACTCCTGAAAGCCAGAAAAGTAGACTTGTGCAAATGGAAAGACAATCTCTATTCTTGGGTAAGATAAGTCAATATTATAAACATGTCAGTTATCCTTAAATCAATTTATAGATTTAATGCAATCTCAATGAAAATACCAAGAAGCTTTTTTATGGAGTTGTATAAATTGACACAAAGTTCATGTGGAAAAACAAACATGCAAGAATAGTCAGGATAACACTGAAAAACAAAAACTGCAAGAGAAGAAAAACACTGAAAAAGATAAAGTACTTCATGTAAAAAGGGGGTTTTAAGAAAATAAACATTTATCTGCTCACTTTTGAAAAAGGAATGCAAGAGGGATAAACCAGAAACAATGAGATAGGTTACCTACAGGGAGCAGAAAAAGATGGGGCGGAAAGAATGTGTAGGAAGAATGAGGGGAGAGTGCCACTTCTCTGTATAGATCTTTTGTTTTTGCTCTGTTTTGTTTTTGAGACAGGGTCTGGCTCCGTCGCCCGGGCTGGAATGCAGTGGCATGATGATGGCTCACTACAGCCTCAAACCCCGAGGCTCAAGCGATCCTCCCACTTCAGCCTTCGGAGTAGCTGGGACTACAGGTACGCACCACCACACCTGGCTAATTTTTTTTTTTTTTTTTGAGACGGAGTCTCGCTCCATTGCCGGGCTGAAGTGCAGTGGTGCAATCGCGGCTTACTGCAACCCCCGCCTCCTGGGTTCAAGCAATTCTCCTGCCTCAGCCTCCTGAGTAGCTGGGACTACAGGTGCGTGCCACCATGCCCAGCTAATTTTTGTATTCTTAGTAGAGATGGTGTTTCACCATGTTGGCCAGGCTGGTCTTCAACTCCTGACCTCAGGTGATCCACCTGCTTTGGCCTCCCCAGGTGTTGGGATTACAGTCATGAGCCACCGTGCCTGGCCTGCCTGGCTAATTTTTAAAATTTTTTGTAGAGGTGGGGGTGTTACTATGTTGTTCAGGCTGGTCTTGAACTCATGAGCTCAAGTGATCCTCCTGCCCAGGCCTCCCAAAGCACTGGGATTACAGGCCTGAGCCACCATGCTGGGACTGTACATCTTTCTGTATAGCTCTGACTATCATAAACACGGTAACAGCCCATATATCCACCTCCCCAAATAAATAATTAAAATCACCCAGGATGTGGGGGAACCCCAAATGGAATATGAAGAATGGTAGATGAAACTAAGTGCATTAAATGAATAACATAATCACACTGAAGTAAGTGGGGAAGGAAAGAACTAACTTGAGTATCCTTGGAAAATAGTATTTTGACTATAAACTGTAAGATGAAAGACCAAAAATCTGGATAGAAATATTGTACTCTAATTAGTAAATTTGTTTCTTGGGGAGATGGGTTTGCAATTCTTAAAGTACTTTATGTGTACACATTACTATGATTGAACAAATAAGAAAATATATTGTGGATAATGAGAGCCAGGTTTCCCACTGTCAGAGAAAAATTTACAAATAAGGAAAGAGGGGAAGGCTAAGAATGAACTTTGTGTTGGATTAAAATGGAAGGTATCAGTATAAATTCATGGTTTTATATACACATACACACACAGATATTTTTAGAAATAAATGCAGACGTGTGAGAGTATGTTAATATACACACATATTTCCTGTCTTTCTGGGCTGAGAAGACCTGGAAGAAATGACGACCCAGGAACATTGGGCATACCTAAGAAACAGATATTGGTTTCTTTTCTTTTCCTTTCTTTTCTTTCTTTCTTTCTTTCTTTCTTTATTTTTGTGAGATGGAGTCTCACTCTGTGGCCCAGGCTGGAGTACAGTGACACAATCTTGGCTCACTGCAACCTCTGCCTCCCAAGTTCAAGTGAGTCTCTTGCCTCAGCCTCCCAAGTAGCTGGGATTACAGGTGCGCACCACCACACCTGGCTAATTTTTTTGTATTTTTAGTAGACATGGGGTTTTGCCATGTTGGCCAGGATGGTCTAGAACTCCTGACCTCATGTGATCTGCCTGCCTTGGCCTCCCAAAGTGCTGGGATTACAGGTGTGAGCCACCATGCCCAGCCCAGATCTTGGTTTCTAAATATCATTCTCCATTAAAAGAAACCAAGGCTCCTTGGAAAATGATTGCTTCTGTGTCTGGGGCAGGGAAAGTAGAAAATTAGTCTAGAACATCTTCTAGCACCAGAAAATAAGGAAATAAAGAATTGTTCAAAAGACAATACAGGCATTTTTGGAAGGACACAGAAATCAACTTGAAAGATCGCCAATAGACCAATCTGGGAAAATTTGAGCCAAAAAAAAAAAAAGTTAGTTTTTGGTTATAACCAATAGGATTCCTAAAATAAACATCCATACATTCATACTGATATAAATAATCAAATAAATAAATGAAGGGGGAGAAGGCACAACTCTTCTTTACAAGTAGAATTTAAATGAATAAATGTAGAAAAAATGTTAAAAATATTATGGAAAGTCACCATTAGGCAAACACCAAAGCAATCATTGTTGCAGGCAAGAACCATCTACTGATAACTAAAGTTGCTCGACAAAAGTATGATTACAAACAGGGTTTTTCATAGTCTCAAAGTATCTCCCACAATGTGCTTATTAATTACAAAGAAAATAAAGTTACTTTATAATGGAGAAACCTGGCAGATACTACCTTAACTAAAAGATCACATTTAACATTACCAGTAATAAAATATATTGATGTGTACCCCGTAACATGATGTACTGGCAAAAGCACAATGTTGCTTCAATGGTATGCTTGCCAAAAACACATAACCTCAATTTATCATGAGAAATATCAGGCAAACTCAAATTAAGAGACATTGCACAAAAGAACTGACTAGTATTTATCAAAAGTGTCAATGTCATGGAAGACAAAGATAAAAGAAAAACTGAGGAACTGTCACTGATTGGAAACTAGGGACATGACAACTAAATGCAATGTGAGATCCTGGACCAGAAGAAGGAAGTTAGTGGGAAAATGGAAGAAATCAGAATAAACTTCGTAGATTGGTCAATTGTATTATAATTTCGTGGTTTCAATAATTTTACTATGTTATATTTTATACTTAACAAATACATGTGCATTTTACAAATACAAGTACACTACATTTGCAAATACCACTTTGTATTTACATAAAATAAAAAATTCTATTTCTCTATTAGATATTAACATTAGAGAAATCTGAGTGAAGGGCATATGAGAATTATCTGTACAATGTTTGCCACTTTTCTATAAGTCTAAAATTATTCAAAATAAAAGTTAAAGGCAATTAGATAAATTAGCACATAATTTTCAGCTTTTAGGAGTAAATAATACTCAAGAACTGAAATTTTAAAAACTACTGAGAAAGCAATGATATTTAATTTAATTTTTGGCCTGTTACAGTATATTTTAATCCAATTTACATTTTCTTTAAAGTATTTTCTATGTAGCAGAGTAGCACAGTAGAAGCATGCTGGGCCCATAAAGTATTTTCTTATGACAACATAATCTGGCAGAGCTGGTAAGCTTAACATGCTTTCTGGCATGCCAATTTTTTTCTAAAATCCTGTGTCTTGCTGTTAACATACAGTTCAACATGTTAATGGGCATTAAGGAAAAGTTAAGAGATATAAGAAAAATATACAGGTTACTTATATGACCTTTAAATTGTTGTTAGAGACCAAAGTAAATTTATTATTATTTTTAAAAAGTTATTAAGTATTATCTTTGTTTACCCTGACTTCATTTAATTTTAAGACACTAAAATTGTTTTCCATATTTGCGTTTTTGCATGTGCCCAACTATACTCCTAGATATATAAGCTAGTTCTCTTTTCTCAGCTGTGTAGGGATCTAGTTACAAATCCTCTGGAGAAAACTGGATGAGGGAGTTGTGTGGAGAAATTGAATTCTCTGATCCTTTCCTAAGCTAGTGAAAGGCCTTCTTGAGTTTTTAATACTTCAGCCTTAGATTGCAGTGTAGATGCAGCTGATGTGCTTGGAGTGCTCCATACAAAAAATATCCTTTTTTTCCTGAACTGGAGGGGTAGCCTGACAGCACTACTGGCATTTTAAAAACAACTTTAAACAAAGCAGAGGAAGATGGGATTTTTAATACTTGGAATTAGGTCCTTTACTTGCAGTAAAATGCAGAAAAACTAAATAGAATATAAGTTCATGTGGATTCATGTGAGTAACTGGCTTCAACAGGGAAGAGAATATTTAGTCAATTAAAAAAATCCAGAGAAAAAATGGAAATGATTGCTGTGATTGGCAGGAGGAACTACTATCTGATATTAGTTGTTTTTATTCCTTTTGAGTTCCTGTGCTTTATTTCTGGGATACTGTTAAGAAAAAGAAAAAGGAAGTTGGCAAGATACCAAATATTTCATACTAACCAGCAGCTTAAAATGGTTGCTTTCAATAATTTTGAAGAGTTAAATGGTGTGATGTTTTCATTTTATGTAGGAAGGAAGGGATTGCTATGAACAAAGCATGTTGTGCCTCTGAGGAATTGTGAGGCTCAAGCATGTACCAAAACAAGGTTGGTCATTATTCTTGTGAATGCTGAGATATTTGATGATGTTTCAAATATCTGAAATTATTGAAGGTGCATTTTCTATTAGCCCGGTTAGTTATTTTTCAGATATCCAAATTTTGGAAAGTCATTTGGTATACTTGCAAGGGCATATCACTTACCCTGAAGAGTGTGGTAGCTGTGCAACATGGCAACATAAAACCTTTCTTAGATAACATTGCCTGTAACTTTGAATGTGTTTGTACACTCTTTCAGTAGCATGTATTACACTGTGTTGAAATGGCCTGTTTGCTTGACCATCTTCTTAATTGGATGGTAAACCCCTGGAGAGCAGACACTGACTTCTGTTCACCATGTATCTCTAGATGTTGAGGACCCAACATTCCAAAATGAGATTCAATAATTACCTGAAGAATGAATGAGTGAATGAATCTCATTCTCTACTATAGATTCTGATTTGAACAGAAGGCAAAGGAAAATGGTGATGACCATGCTGTTTTGCATTATTGCCAGCTTTATATTAGAGGGACCTATTTCTCCATCATGGCAGCGTCTTCCTCAAAGTAGTTCCAAGTATTCAGGAGTCCTTTCAAATTTCTGCTTTCTTAGGGTAAACTCCTTACCAGTTATTTGCCAATGCTCTTGCTTCAGGGTTCCTTAAGCATCATTGCCATCCTTTCAGCTTTGTTTAGGGGCTATAAGGTAAAATGTAACAACTCAAATACAGTTTAAAACCAATGTCAAATTAACAAAAGTGTCTATAACTGGTCTACAAAGTTTGCCAATTTCTCCCTGCTTAACACATTATTTAGTATTCAACAATAGAAATCACATATCCAGATGTGTCTTGCCCATTTGTATACAGTCTTTTTTTTTTTTTTTTTTTTTTTTTGAGATGGAGTCTCCCTCTGTCGCCCAGGCTGGAGTGCAGTGGCGCGATCTCTGCTCACCGCAAGCTCTGCCTCCGGGGTTCACGCCATTCTCCTGCCTCATCCTCCTGAGTAGCTGGGACTACAGGCGCCCGCCACCACGCCTGGCTAATTTTTTGTATTTTTAGTAGAGATGGGGTTTCATCGTATTAGCCAGGATGGTCTCGATCTCCTGACCTCGTGACCCCCCCGCCTTGGCCTCCCAAAGTGCTGGGATTACAGGTGTGAGCCACCGCGCCTAGCCGGTGTTGTTGTTCTGTCTGCACATGTTCTCTCATTATTACCATAAGAGTGAATCTCTGCCATGGAACATCAAACATGGAGCTGGTTTGAAATAGCCTGTCAGCAGTATAATTAATAGACTGTCTATTATGCAAGACCTGGATGCAGACAGATTAGAGCACTTGCTATATTAGTCATTTTTAAAGAAGTTCTACCCAGTGTGACAAAAACACCCTTTTTCCCCAAATGGTAAAAGTGGCATAAAAATATTCCAGGAAGTTTAGATGGCAGCAAAAAATAAAAATAAAAATCCCATGTTGCCTTGATATAACAGTGTTATCACATTTGAGAAATCCCATCCAGTTTTTTTATATACATGCTTTTTTGCATTCTTGTATTCACAAGAAAATACATTTTACATTCTGCTGTTTTTCCTTAACATTGCATCATTTACATTTTTCATGCTATTGCATGGATTTCATACATATTAATTATAGCTTCAGAAAGAAAGTATATCCTTGTTAGCCAGATCTGGAAGCACAACATACACCAAAGGATGAGGCAATTGTGTGTGTGTGTTTTCCTTTATCTTATAAATATTAAATTTATTGCTATGGTGATTTGGTGTTGACTATTTTTGTTAGCATTGTTTAGTGTTAATTATATTTACGTGAAAGAAAGTAGTTACTTTCACATATATATAATACTTCCATTGAAGGCATCTTCAGTTCTCTTCCTCTTGATTAACCCAATCATCTGAATTCCCCCTCCTACCCACCCCAGGGGTGGTAATTAATGCATCATTATATTTTACTACTTCTTTCATAGAAATGAAAAATATTAAAAGGCTTAGATGATTTGTCTAAGTTTTATTTATTTATTTATATATATTTTTGGAGACAGAGTCTCGCTCCGTTCCCCAGGCTGGGATGCAATGGCATGACCTTGGCTCATTGCAACCTCCACCTCCCAGGTTCAAGCAATTCTCCTGCCTCAGCCTCCCAAGTAGCTGGGATTACAGACATGTGCCACCACGCCTGGCTAATTTTTTGTATTTTTAATAGAGACAGGGTTTCACCATGTTGGCCAGCCTGGTCTTGAACTCATGACCTCAGGCAATCCTCCGGCCTCGGCCTCCCAAAGTGCTGGGATTACAGGCGTGACGTACCGCACCTGGCTTGTCTAAGTTTTAAAACGAGTATCCACAGTACAGCACTCTAATTCTTACTGTGGACAGCAGTACTATGGTTTTGGCTGTCAAGCATATATATGCTTATATATGTCAAGCAAATATATATATATATATATATATATATATATATATATATATATATATATATATATAGTTTTGTTTTGTTTTGTTTTTTTTTTCTGAGACAGGGTCTCACTCTGCCTCCCCGGCTGGAATGCAGTGGTGCAATCACAGCTCACTGCAGCCTCAGGCTCAAGCAGATCCTCCCGCCAGGTGCATACCACCACGCCGGGCTAATTTTGGTATTTTTTGTAAAGATGGGGTTTCACTATGTTGCCCAGGCTGGTCTGAAACCTGCCTCAACCTCCCAAAGTGCAGGGATTACAGGCGTGAGCCACTTCGCCTGACCTCAAGCATATTTTCTCCCATTTTCCTTCTTGTCACAGGCCACATTTCCCCCTGGCCTGGTAAATCATTCAGCCCATTCACTTGGACAAAGTACTTAATCCAGAGTGAGACCATGCAAGCAAGGACAATTATAATTCTTCCCTGAAATGAATACAGCATAAGGAAGTTGGAAGAGAGTAACTCTCTTTACTGTTGGGTTGCCAAGCCTGGAAGATGTCAAGTTGGTGCTGCTGGCTGCTATTTTTCCTGCCATCTGAGAGAAGGCATGTCTTCAGTTAAAAAGAATAAAGCTGAACAGAGATGAGAGATAGAGAGCTGAAGGACTAAGGTATTGGTTCCTAGAACCCTCCATTCTGTTCTGTGAATTATTTCTGTATCTTTTCTTCCACTATGGAGCAATAAAATTAAACTTTCTTAAGCTGAGTTCTATTGTGTATTTTTTTTTATAACTTGCAACCAGAAAAGTCCTAATACAGTTCCTGTAACTGTAGATAAGACATTACCACCAGCAGCAAAGAGCAGGCAATAGATAGAGTAAAAAGATTCAGCTCCCTACAATATGGTAAAGCTATGAAAATGAGGCAACATATAGGCTCAAGGTGGAAGAATATTTTGGAAATTTAGCATCCTAATATCTTTTGAAAAGCAGTTAATATTTGAATAATCTAGGTCCACTACAATCAATATTGCAGGTATTTCCCAAAGCATGGTCAAATATGCCATAGTTTATGTGACAGTGTGCTAGCCTAAAATAGGGGGTAAGAACAGAAAGCAAGAAAAAGGTAAGAATGTAACAGTCCTGAGTTGGTTATAATTTCTTAGGAATTATAAGGGGAGGAAAGGAGTTGAGGGATATAAGGATGAATGACTGTCACATTTATCTACCCTTTTAAAAATATCTTTGTAAACCTTATATATTAGATTGCTTATAGTTGTCTACAGTTTGTTTCTAAAGCAGTAAAGACTATTAACAGAGGAACTTAAGGCACTGAAGCATAACATTGTTACAGATATGGTTTGGATTCGTATCCCTGCTCAAATCTCATGTACAATTGGAGAAGAGGCCTGGTGGGAGGTGATGGGATCATGGGGGCAGATTTCCCCCTTGCTGTTCTCGTGATAGTGAGTTTTCACGAGATCTGATCCTTTAAAGGTGTGTGGCACTTCTCCCTTCTCTTTCTCTTCCTCCTGCTCCACCATGGCAAGACATGCTTGCTTCCCCTTTGCCTTCCACCATGATTGTAAGTTTCCTGAGGCCTCCCAGCCACGCTTCCTGTTCAGCCTGCAGACTGTGAATCAATTAAACCTCTTTTCTTTATAGATTACCCAGTCTCAGGTAGTTCTTTATAGCAGTGTGAGAATGAACTAATACAGTTATTTTAGTGTTTTTAACTGTATTAACACTCTATTTGGGTTGATTGATTTAACTATAGTTAATTCTGTTGATGAGGTATGAGGGAGTAATTTGATAAAAAGGTCTGAATTTATATATTGTTCTTAAGTAAATAGTAATTTTAAAGGAATCATAGACAAAAATGTTTCCTTGCTGACACCTTTTTAAAAATAAAACGTTTACCTTAAAAATATTAACATTCTGTCAGAGAAAATTAAAAGGTAGATAAAATATCTTAGTATTTTAATCTTAATAAAGTATATATTCATCATAATAACTGCTTATTTTCTTACATTTAATACAGTAACATAAAAGTCTAGATTAGGGACATGAAAATATTCTATAATAGTTTTGCAAGAAAGTGATTTTATTAGGGCAAACAATAAGACTGTTAATGTCATGCATTGATATTTTATTTAAAAAATTGTGTAATTATTTTTTTAGTAACATATGGATTCCCCAGCACTTTTGTTTTATAACCTCATTCTTAAAAATTCTGGTGGCTTGTTTTCTTGTATTTCCCTCAATTGTGGTGATCTTAAACAGATCTTCAGTTTTAAATCTGCCGTTCGTTCTAATACAGATGCGTAAATATATTTTCTCCAGTTGGCTATTTATTACAAAGACAGTTTATTTGTGGGCACCATAAAGACATCTGCATTTTACTGAACTTAATTTTTAGTAATAAAGACCTCCCACATTACAGATTCTTTCCAGCCTAAATGTGCCTGTGTGGGAAGCAAAAGAACCATCAGTCAGGGGGAAAAAGTGAATCCATATGGTGCTGATGATTCTGCTTCCCTGGCTAAAATGAAGAAAGAGTTGAGTATCGACAATGCCCCCGGCACATCTCTGTTTTTTTCTAAAAAGCATGCTGCTATGGCTTGAATATTTGTGTCCCTCAACAACTCATATGTTGAAACTCAATTGCCACTATGGTAGTATTAAGAAGAGGTGGGGAATTTAGGAGGTAATTAGGTCAAGAGGGCTCTGCCCTTATGTATGGGATTAGTGTCCTTATAAAAGAGGCCCAAGGGAGTTTATTTGCCCCTTTTGCCCTTCTGCCATGTGAGGACATGTACAAGGTGCTATCTGTGAGAACTGGGACCCCCAAGACACTGAATCTGCTGGTGCCTTGATCATGGACTTTCCAACCTCCGAAAGTCAGGGCAGTATATTTCTGTTTATAAATTATCCAGACTAAGATATTTTGTTATAGCAGCCCTAATGGACTAAGGCACTTGCCATAATAAAGATGATTGGTGTCAGTCCCAAACCAGTACCTTCCAGCCAGCTCAGTTCATGCATGTATCATGCATCAAGCCATGGGTACTTAACTTAAATTTTAAGGGCACATTCTACTTTGCCTCTAATCTTGCTCTGTTTCTCTTGCATCTGTGTCCAGTCTCTGGCTCTTTCCAGTCTCTTCCACTTTGGGGCTCACTTCTACCCTTTGGATATGTTTGATTTTGGTTTCCCCAGTTGAATCTTCATTACTCTCTAGGGACTTTGGCTCAAGTTCTCACACAGGCCCTATGATATGGAGAAATCTTAAACTTCAAATCTGTCAAAAAGTAGTCAAAATATTGTGTCTTCAGCTTTATAAAAATGACAAACCAAAATTAATAATAGAACTTAAAGTGATGATATGTCTTCTTCATTATTACAGTTATACATAATTCTCCACTGTGAGGAGAACAGACAGGGCCTGAAAGCTTTTCTTTTGATTGATAACAAAGTATCTGGAACAGCTCATTTCTCTTGGTCAATAATACCTATGGGATGAGGAGGAAATTGGATCTCATGTATTCTTTACTATCAGTGTTACCTCTCTCTGCACAAACAAGAAAAACCTATTAATATTATCTTCCCTGTATTTCTACTATTCACAGCTGCTTGTCAACTCTGAATTTCAGCTATAGAGAAGACACTACTTCCTAAGACGCTGCTGTGTTTATGTCAATGTAAATTATTGGGTAAATTTAAATGCTGTTTAAGAAGCTTCCTTTTGCTGAGGGAGATGAAAATATGACTTAACCTTAAAAAAATTATGGGGCTGGGCACAGTGGCTCACGCCTGTAATTCCAGCACTTTGTGAAGCCAAGGCGGGCGGATCATGAGGTCAGGAGTTCGAGACCAGCCTGGCCAACATGGTGAAACCCGGTCTCTACTAAAAATACAAAAATTAGCCGGGCATGGTGGCACGCACCTGTAATCTCAGCTATTTGGGAGGCCAAGGCAGGAGAATCGCTTGAACCTGGAAGGTGGAGGTTGCAGTGGGCCGAGATCACGCCACTGCACTCCAGCCTAGGTGACAGAGCAAGACTCCATCTCAAAAAAAAAAAAAAAAAAAAAGAAAAGAAAAGAAAAGAAATCATGTTAAGATGAGGTCCTGCTGGATTAGGGTGGGGGTCCCTAACACAATGACTGGTGTTATTTCTCAAGAAGAGAGAAATTTGAACACATTGACACACAGGGGGAATGCCGTGTGATGTGGTGGCAGAGATTGGAGTGATGTATCTACAAGCCAAAGTACATGGAAGATTGCCGGCAACCCCCTTCTCTGGAGCCTTGCAAGACAGCATGGCCCTGCTGACACCTTGATTTCAGACTTCTAGCCTCCAGAATTGTGAGAATGAATTTCTGTTGTTTAGCCAACCAGTTTGTGGTAATCTGGCAGCTCTAGGAAACCAACCACGCTAGTTAAGGAGGCAGAATGAACAGTAATAGAGATCTACGGATATAAAGAATGGAAATATAGCTTTCTAAATGTCATGGACAGTAATTCTTAGAATACAGGTTTCCTCTGCAAAAACCTAGTAAGCTGTCTGACTTTTTGATTTACTGTGTGATTTAAAATGAGTTACCTCACCTCTCTGAACTTGTTTCTCATCAGTGAAGGGGGCTTTGGGTTACCAGCTCTGAAGCCTGTCCCACTTGTAATACCACCAATCTGTAATGCATATGATTTTTCTTTAATTGTGTAATTTAAGAAGCTATTAGGTTAAGACAAAGTTACTCAGGGAATTTAGTTTCTCCTCTTCCTGCCCCGTTCACCCCCGAAAGGTGAGAAGTGTGTGAAACTAAAGTATCTTATTCTCCAAGCTGAGCATCATTTCGGGTGTATGGAGTTGAAGGACAAATTACCTTCTGGCTTAGGCGCTGCTCAAGCCTCCTTTCTGCCAAGCATGTTTGAATAAACAACAACAACAAAAAACACTAATGTCTATCCACGGACTAATCAACCCAGCAATATAATGGAATAGAGGGAATTCATGCAGCCTTGAATCTGGTCCTTGGAGGACTGCCTGGGCAGGCAGTTTAAACTCCTTAAGCCTATATTCTTATCCGTAAAATGGCGATAATATTATTACTTTAATGGGTTGTTGAGAAGACGAAGTCAAATAGAATATATGTGTATATATATGTATATATGTGTATATATGTACATGTGTACATATATACGTGTATATATTATATATGTGTGTATGTGTGTGTGTATATATGTATATATGTGTGTGTAGATATAGGTATATAAGTGCCTGGTATCCAGTGGGCGTTTACAAATGTTACTCGGTTACAAAATTCTGGCTTACAGAAAGGACGCTAAAAATCTCCCAGATTCCCCTGCCAGTCCCCTGGGTGGGAGACGAGTCGGGTACTTCGCTTCCACCTGCGGGCCCCCAGCGCAGAGCCTGGAATTGGCTGGACGGAGCTAGCCGCGCCGGCGCCCCGTAGGACGGCGCGGGGGCGGGGCCGGCGGAAGCGCTCGAGTGCCGTTGTCGGCTGCGCCGGAAGTCCCTAGCCAGGCCTGGCGGTAACCTTGGGGGCCTCACTGCAGCCGCCGCTGCTGTTGGAGTGGGCTTTGCGAGTCTGAACGTTGGCGGGGCTAGGCTCGTTAACTGCCGAGAGCCTCCGGGTTTGCGGTGGAGGACGCTGAGGCCCGTGGGGGGCAGGCACCCGGGCGCCGGGCCTCCCAGCCGACATGTCTCTAGTGGCGGAAGCCTTCGTCTCCCAGATTGCAGGTAGCGCGGCTGGCCGCAGACCCAGAAGGTGGCGGCGCGGTCTCGGGGAGCCGCGTGGGGTACAGGGCTGGAGCTTTCCTCCAGCCTTGCGGCATTATACGCTGAACCCGGCCCGGATGGTGGAGGCGGGCACGGACTACCAACCTTATCTCACATATGGGAAAACTGAGAAGGAGACACTTGGCCAAGGTCACCCCGCAGGAGCAGGAGTCCCGTCTCCTTCCCTTGGGCGGTACTTTGTCCCACCTCCCCATTCAGTTGGGAGGTGCTGGAGTATGAGGGGGAGGCCTTGGATTGGGATTGAGGTGGGGGGCGTTACCACAGGGGCAAGCATCTGAACGCTTCAGTCTAAGAGTGGTGGCAGTTTCTGGGTCTTGGTACTCAAAAAGTTTAAGGTGACTGTCACTAATCAGTTGTTACCTATTGTTGAGGGAACACCAGACTTCTTGCTTCGTCTCCCAGCGACACAGTAGTGCCATTTGCTAAGACTCTAGGAGTTATTTATTTATTTATTTGTTGAGACGGAGTTTCTCTTTTGTCACCGAGGCTGGAGTGCAGTGGCACAACCTGGGCTCACTGCAACCTCCGCTTCCCGGGTTCAAGCGATTCTCCTGCCTTAGCCTCCCGAGTAGTTGGGATTACAGGCGCCCGCCACCACGCCCGCGCGGATTCATGGAAAATTTTTAAATCTGCATGTACTTTAAAGAAATACTTTTGAGTCGGTGGACTGAACATGACTGATGTATATAGGTTTGTAATTTCTCTTATTGAGGTTTTTATTTATTGTAATGAAAGAAATTAAATATTGTTGAGAAAGTGAGGAGACTAAACATAGGTACTTTGAGATAGAGGCTAATGGAATTAGTCATAACTCCCTAGCAGTGTTTTCAACATGAGTACAGTAATGAAGACAGTCACCACAATAAATAGGTACATTTGAAGTAATAAGATAGTATTTTGGAAATGGGAAGTACAGAATGTGTCATAAAATTTGCCGGAATGTTTTTCACTGCTTTGCGTTTGTGTGAACGTACATTTCTTTTTTTTCCTTCTTCACTTAAAAACATTATTTTTTAGAGGAGAGAAGCTCCTACTAGATTGCAAGCTTCCTGAAAGTAGGGATCAAACTTGTTTTGTTCCCCATTGTATCCATAGTCAGTTGGTGCTCAATAAATATTTGCGACCCAAATCAATGACTAATCTTGAGATTTCAAGCAATGATTATTTCTGCTTTTACCATTTATGTTGAAACAAAATCAGGCTTATATAGTTAGATCAGCGATTTAATTTAGTTTGCTACTATGTTGAAAAAAAAAACTTCACAGTGTATGTTGAGTGGTTCACTGTGTGCATGTGTCCTAATATGTGATTTCTTTTAATGAGAAAATGATGAATGTCTTTTAATAAACTTTGGATACTGCTTTAAGTAGTGACGTTTAAAAATTTCTAGGCATTTTGTCTGTCTGCCGTCTTAGCTATTTGTAGTGATCTGTTACTCTAGGAGGAAGCATTTAAAAATGGATAATTCAATAAATGGTGTTGGAACAACTACTAAGTCATTACACCACATGAATAAATTCCAGATTGATTAAAGATCTAAATATAAAACAACAAAATTGTAATAAAATAATTAGAGGAAAACATAGATTATTTTAATAATCCTTGGATAGCAGAAGAGGCCTAAGCAAAACTTAAGAATTCATAATCCATAAGAGAAGAAATTGGCAGATTTGATTGCCGAAAAAATTTTAAAACTTTGATAAAAGACATCTCAAGTTAGTACAAATAAGAAGACAAACCAACAGAATCAAGGACAAAGGATTGGAACAGGCATTTCACAAAAGGGTGAAATATAGATGGACAGTGAACAGATGAAAAGATGTTCTCTGTCCCTAATAATGTATAGCATCCTCCCACCCCTGCCATCAGATGGACAAAAGTGAATATGATTTCTAGTACTAATAGGGCATGGGGAAAAGTTACTCTCAAACTATTGGGTCTGTAAGTTAGTATTACTTTTTGGGAACGTAATGTAGCAATATTTATTAAAATGACATTCTCTGGCCTGAAAATTCTACTTATGGGGGTTTATCTGATAGAAATGTAAAGACCAGTACTTAAAGAAATACACAATGATATTAATTGCAGCATTATTTGTAATAGCGAAAAACTAGAAATGTTTTAAATATATGTCAAATTATTGTACACCAATCCACCAATTCCACTTCTGGGCATGTATCCAAAGGAATTGAAATTGTCTAAGAGGTATGTGCAGTCCCATGTTCATTGCAGCAGTATTCACAATAGCCAAGATATGGAAGCAACCCAGGTGTTTATCAGTGGATGAATGGATAAAGAAAATGTATATAAGATACAATGGAATACTATTCAGCCTTAAAAAAGAAGGAAACCCTATCATTTGTGATAAAATGGATGGATCTGGAGGACATTATGCTAAATGAAATAAGCTAGACATAGAAAGACAAGTAGTGATCTAAAATCTAATCTTTTTGGGGAAATCTAAGAAAGTTGATCTCCTAGAAACAGAATAGAAAGGTGGTTACCAGAGGCTGAGGGGGACAGAGGTGAGAGATGGGGAAGAGGAATGGAGAAGAGATGTTGATCAAAGGGAACAAAGTTTGTTAGACTAGAAGAAAAAGTTTTAGTGATCTATTGCACTGCAAGGTGACCACAGTTAATAATAATGTATTATATATTTCAAAATTGCTAAAGGCTTAGATTTATAATTTTCTTACAAAAATTTAAGTTGGTGCGGTGATGGATATATTAATTACCTTGATTTATTCTTTCTATTCTTTGATTTATTTAGTTCAAAATATCACGTTGTACCTCCTAAATGTACAGTTATTATTTGTCAAAAACATTTATACAAAAATTATGGTATGGTCACATTTTTACAGATCCAAAAATGAAGAAGTATATCTGTTAAATACGTTGTCTTGAAAGCTATGGTTATATTAAGTAAAAAGTTATAAAATAATATCTATTTTGTATGAACTCATGAAATCTATATAAACATACATATGTTTATATATGTTAAGAATATTCAACTAATTGTAACTAGCGATTGGGATAATAAAGATAGATTGTTGGTAGAGGGTGGAGGAACTATATTTCTGAATTGTTTGAATTACTATAGTGAGCATAGTTTACTTTTGTAATTTAAATGATTGTAATTGTTAAAATTTATAAGATTATGTTTTGCCAAGAAGTGAAAACAGGAGGCTGCCTTAATCTGTTTTGTGTTGCTATAACAGAATACCACAGACTAGGTAAGTTACAAAGAAAAAAAATTCAAGTCTCACATTTTGGGAGGCAACGAACTCCAGCTTCAAGGTGCCGGTATCTGATGCGAGCCTTTGTGCTGCATTATCCTGTGGCAGAAGGTGGAAAGGCCAGGGAGGGCAAGAGCCAGGGACTGAGAGGGCTGAACTTGCTTTTACAACAACCTACTCTTGGGATAAAGAGATGAATCCATTCATGAGGGTGGAGCCCTCATGATCTAGTCATCTCTTAACAATCCCACCTGTTAATACTGTCAGAATGGTAATTCCATTTCAGCATGAGTTGTGAAGGGGATATTCAGACTATAGCAGTGGTTAAAGTAATAATTTATCGGAAACCCTGTGTTTGACTTGTAAATGACTTATAAATGTGACTCAAATCCAGCAACTATTCACAGTGTTCTGTTTCTGGTAGTACAGGTTGGAGTTATGTATCTATATAGATCTGTTATAACTTAAGTAATTATGAATCTGTTTTTGTAGTTGAGAGCTCTAATTTTTAGTGTATCCAACACTTTGCTTATTACCTTTCCTTCCTGTGGACATGAGCTAACACTGATTATTTCTTTTGGAAACATTTAAAGATATCTGGCATCTCTCTGTGGTATTCTTGAAGTGACTTCTTTGAGATCCTTATTCATAAGGATATCTTTTTAGAAGTCTTCTCTGAACTCCCCAGTTTAAGTGAACTGCTTCTATCTCCTTACTACCAGTATTTCCCTTGCCAACTTTTCTCAGTTATCGTTCCTAAATAGGACTTATTCTGTCCATTTCTACTGCTGTTACCTTAGTTCAAAGCTTTGTCATTTTTTGCTTAGATAACCATAGTAGTCTCTGAATTGATTTCTCTGCTTCCAGTCTGGCTTCCTTCCAGTAGAGTCCATACACTGCAAGCCTCAGTGGGTTTTTTGTTTGTTTTGTTTTATTTTAATTTTCCTTAAAAAAAAAAAAACCTCCTCTTGTTTTAACATTTTGTTGGTTTCTCATTGTCAGTAGGACAGCCTCATGTCTTGTCACTTCTTTCCTTGCCCCTTGCCTGAGATGTGCACTTTGCTTGAATAACTCCTGTTCATCCTTTAAGACTCTGGGCACCGTTTTAACCATTTAATGTAAGTCTACCTGACATTTTTTTCCTGTCAAATGAGAAAGGTTTGTTGTCTAGTTTTTTTTTCCTGATAATGATAATGATATGTTGCCATTATGGAAAATGAAAACAATCCAGAGATAAAGTAAAAATTACCTGAAATCATACCACACAGATTAAGACTTTAAAATTCCATCCATCATTAAAACTTTGATGAGCAAAGCTATTTCATTCTCTTTCCCTGAATTAAAAAAATCGACATATAATATGCATAATTTTTTGTAACCTGTTTTGTCATATATTGGGATCTCTTTTCATGTCTGTGAATGGAATTACACATCATCATTTTAAAATGGTTATGTAGTATTTCATTGTAATGAAGAAGCCAAAATTTACTTAAGTAGTATTACTCGGATGGGTATTTAGAGAGTTGTTATCAGTCAGTTCAACCAGAGAAGCAGAAGTACCAGGATATCTATTTCTCTCTCGAGCCACACACACACATGCATGTATGTGCATACACAAACACATGGCAAAGAATTGGCTCTTAATGTGGAGGCTGGCAAAGTAAGTGCAAAGCATGCAAGGCGGGCAGTCAGGAGCCGGGGGAGATCCAGGACTAAGCACTGGCAAGACCAGGTACTACCTGGAGTGTCTGATCCCAGGGAGGACTTAGACCCTTTTTTAAAGGGCTTTCAACTGATAAAATCAGGCCACTTAGGATACTCTCCCTTTTGATTAATGTAAAGCTAACTAAGTAGGGACTTTAATTATATCAGCAGAATCTCTTTATGGCAGCACCTAGATTAGGGTTAGAAAAGCTAGGAGGAAGTGTGTGTCTGCTACAAAATGACGTTGCCTCTCTTCTCTTCCCAACACCTGGCGGAGAATATCCCTTGTAGCCCACTTTAGAGACATAGTAGAAAGGGAATTTTGGCAAGTGTATTCAGTGTAGGTAAGCTGATGTGTCCCAAAGCCATCACACGTGTGTGTGATTTTTGTCTGTTGTAAGCAGTGCTTACGTAAACATATTTATGCATCTGTTCAGTAGTTTTTTGGAATATATTTTTTAAAGTGGAAGATAATTTTGAACTGTTCTTTTAGCTTAATATGGAAAGAAATGGTAAGTTATGCTTTTGAATGAATAGTTGTTTCTCTAGATGATGATGTGCTGGATTTAGAATTTTTTTTTTTTTTGAGGTGGCATTTTACTCTTGTCACCCAGGCTGGAGGGCAGTGGCACAACCTTGGCTCACTGCAACCTCCACCTCCCAGGTTCAAGTTATTCTCCTGCCTCAGCCTCTTGAGTAGCTGGGATTACAGGTGTCTGCCCCCATGCCCAGCTAATTTTTATATTTTTAGTAGAGATGGGATTTCACCATGTTGGCCAGGCTTGTCTTGAACTGCTGGCCTCAAGTGTTCTGCCTGCCTTAGCCTCCCAAAGTGCTGAGATTACAGGTGTGAGCCACTGTGCCCGGCCTAGAATTTTAAAAGGATAAAAATAGACCTGGATATTATTAAAAATAGTTTAAAAATATTTTATAACCTGTATATTTGTTTTCACTTTTTTTAATGGAGAGATTTTTCAATACATTACTCACATTTTGTTTTTTTAATTTTGTTCTTCCAGTCAGTTGGTTATGAATATATCATAGGGGAGGGTTGTGTAATCCCATTTGGGCTACATGACGGCATTTGGAGCAGCCAAAAGGGTAGAGTACTTGGGTGGACAGGCCTAACTCACTTGCCCATCCCTGTGCCAGGAGTGGCTCCAGGTATTAGGGCTCCACAGTGCCACCAGATACACAAAAGAAGGGAGAGAGGTGTTGAGCACTAAACAGCAGAAATTGGCTGCAGTGTTGATTGCTTCCTTCACGTTGCTTTTACACTTTCTATGGATTTTGAAGTGAAAGGTCTAACCTGGGTTCTTATTCAGCTACTTCCTAGCTGTGTGAACTTGGGCAAATTAACTGCCTTTTTAAGCCTGAGATTTCTCATTTGTAAAATGGTGAAAATAATAATGTGTTACTTTAAAGATACAATTTTGGTAAAGCTTTAAAAATTTATTTGTAAATAACAGATAATTTAATTCAATAATATGAAGTATCTACATACAGTTATTGCAGTTATTAAAATTACTTAGTAATGTATCCTAGAATAATTTGTTATTCCAGGATGTTTATTTCAAGATATATACATTTGATATGCTCCAGCCATGTTTATTTTCATTATAAAATTGAATCTTGGTATAGGTCATATTGGCGGTCTGTTAATTAGAATTGCCATAGCTGGTTATTGATAATAAGAGTAAGCTTTTGAGCTACTGTGTTAAATGATTTATATACGTAATTGCTAATAATAACAATTTGGTCTTGTTAGGTATTTTGTGGATAAGAATACTGAAACTCAGTATAAAGGTTAGGAACAAGGTCATTGGAGTAAGAGCTGGAGTAAGCTCAACCCTGCTTCTTGTTGGCAGGCCTTTCTAGTCCTCAGTTTCCTCATTTGTAAAAGGGGATAATATATTTATAATGTATGTCAAGTATCTAGTATAGGGTGGTAGATAATAAATGTTCAGTACATGTTAGTTTCTATTGTTACTTTTATTGCCCAAGAGCCTTTCACCTTATAGTAAGGGGTCCTTTGAGGATATTAACTCTTAACATGTAGTATCCCATTACCATTTTGGACAGCAGAAAATGCCCAAAGTATTCTTACTTTTCTTTACTCATATACCATCTTTTCTGATTTATTACTCCACCGGTGCCTTGCCATATTTTAAGCACATCAGTTAGTTTCATCATACTATAATTTATTAATCTTTTGAAATAAGAACAATATCTGTTCTGTTCTTTATTTAGAAGCTCAGTAAACTATATAAAGGATGAAAAAAGAATGGTCGGAATATTCCATTTATCTCGTTGTGGGCATTTGGGTGCTTAATTATTTAAATTTATTAATAACTTCATTTAAGCAGTAGCATTAATTTATAGTATGAGCTAGGAAAGTAGTTTTGCAGCGTTCCATGGAACCCATATGTACGCATCTTGAAAGTGTGATTAAAACAGGTATGTTTTTAAAAATTTGTTTTTATATTGGTAATAAAGTGTTTTCATTCCATCCCTCCTCACATGAGTACTGGGGAATCTGGACTTGAAAAGCATTCAGAAGAGTTCCAGAGGCTAAAGGAAGTAGAAAATAAAGGTTTAAAGGCTTTTGTAATATAGAAGTGATGCTATTGCTCACAATGAAGAAAATGATGGTAAAGGCTTGTATATCCATGTATCAGAATATTTAATGATGACAGTTGCAACAGATAATTGAAGAAATACAATGCATTAAATTCATTTTTCTCTTTTTTGAGATGGAGTTGCGCTCTTGTTGCCCAGGCTGGAGTGCAGTGGTACAATCTTGGCTCACTGCAACCTCCGCCTCCTGGGTTCAAGTGATTCTCCTGCCTCAGACTCCTGAGTAGCTGGGATTACAGGCATGTGCCACCACACCTGGCTAATTTTGTATTTTTAGTAGAGACCGGGTTTCTCCACATTGTTCAGGCTGGTCTCGAACTCCCGACCTCAGGTGATCTGCCCACCCCGGCCTCCCAAAGTGCTGGGATTACAGGCGTGAGCCACCGTGCCCAGCCTTTAATCTTTTGCTCTTGAAAATAAAGATATTTTGTTATTTTTACTCAGTATTCTGAGGATTTTCCAGTATTGAGGAAGGCACTGAGGAATTATTAAAAAGTTATTGGACCGACCGTCACGTTTAAGAGAATTAAAAAAAAAACATATTAGTCATATGAATAATCTTACACAGTTGTGCTTATGACCTTGAAGATACGAAGCTGAGATTGAATGGTGCAGATGGTAAAGCAAAATAGTGACAAAATAGGTTATACTTCAGACTAGAGGCAAGATATAGTTTATTGACAGCAGTGGATCCTGTATTTTATTATACTGTATTGCTGAATAGGTTGAAACTGGTTTTTTTTTTTTTTTTTTTTTTTTTTTGAGATGGAGTCTTGCTCTGTTGCCCAGGCTGGAGTGCAGTGGGGTGATCTCAGCTCACTGCAACCTCTGCCTCCCAGGTTCAAGTGATTCTCCTGCCTCAGCCTCCCAAGTAGCTGGGATTATAGGTGCCCACCACCACACCTGGCTAATTTTTGTATTTTCAGTAAAGACGGGGTTTTACCATGTTGGCCAGGCTGGTCTTGAACTGCTGACCTTATGTGATCTGCCCGCCTCAGCCTCCCAAAGTGCTGGGATTATAGGTGTGAGCCACTGCACCTGGCCAAAACTAAATTCTTAACAGCAATATTATGTAAATTTTTGAAAACTTTGATAATAAGATCCCTTCAGAGGCTTGTTTTCTGCTAATGAAATAGTTCATAGGCTGTAATATGAGTTTTAATTTACTTAATGTGGTTTATTAACATTTTATACTCTGAAATTACATGATTTTTAGTTTTTAACTTAAAAGATTTTGGTGATGGGTGCCCCATAAAATTTGTCAGTCTTATTTCTTTGAAGACTTTTGAGTTATTAACGTTAGCCCAAGCTTGCCATATTTTGGTGAAAATTGAAAGAAAACGCCACCAAACTTTTTAATATTTTTCAAACATTTTTGAAGTTTCTTGATAAGCAGTTATCAGATGGACTGAAGATATCAAATAGAGATGAGATATTGAAAATTCAGGCTTCTCATTTTTTTTTCAAAGACAGAAGTTATAATATTCAGTAAATCCAGCTATAGACATTCATATATAGAAGTATTTGCCTTGCCAGTAAAAGGGATGCATGCTTTAATTTTTTATTGCTTTGTAAATGATCCTCTCCTCTATTCTTGAACACTTTTCTTATTTTTGTACGCTCTATAAATGAATTATGGTTTTGAACTTTTTTACATCAGTAATAAAAATGAAATTTGATTGGTTGGTAATAAAGAAGGTTCTTTTCATAAAAGCAATCATTTTGTCATGACAATTCTCGTTAACTGTAACTGTGTTGGCAAAATAGAAACCATAAAATGCATTTCACTGTTTTTATACACTTAGCTATGTTTTTTTGCTGATCATATATTTTATCTCTAAGAACTTGTATAAGCCAAAGAATTTCTTCATAACTTGATCTGTCTTTAGATGGAAAAAAATAGACTTTTGATGTGTATATTTATTACAGTGGATACAGTATCTTTGAGTATTACAATGGTATTTACCCCCACATCATATTTTATTACCTGGTCAATTTAGAGCACTAATCAGAACTTTATATGAATAAATTGTGTCATTTGTATAACATGAAGAGGCCATTATTATTCCAGTGTTTATTTCTGTAAAGTAATATTGGCAGCTGACTCAATGAACTAGCCTTCTTTTGACCTCCATTTCTTTTGATTGTTAGCTTTTATGTTATAGAAAAATGTTTTGGCATTATGAATTATAAGTAATGTTTCTTTCTTATTTTATAAATTTAAAAAAAGATTATGTCTTTATGAGAAATACCATAAAAATAAAAGTTGCTATCTAGTTTTTTGTTAGATGCTATCATTGTTATTTTTACTATTACTGTTATTACTGTTCATCGATTTAAGATTCTAAGTTGGCTAGTCCAGGAGAACTAGTTACATAATGTTAACTATTTAAGTGATAATTGACATTTGTTCTTACATTGAGATTGTGAATTATTTTTGATGTATTTTCTCCCTAAACAGTTTTCTCCTTTTTGCCATCTACGTGCACTGATTTTCTCATACTAGCATTTGGTGGCTGTTTGGAGAATATAAAATAATTTTAATATTAAAATAAATATTTAGAAACGGTGCTAATGTGTGAGAAATTACAGAGTGCAGATTATAGACAAATATAAACTATGCTTTCATTATTTACTGTTTTAGATTATCTTTGTATCATAGGTAAATGACTATTGGTTTGACTTTTATGAAAAGATATAGTTAGATTTGACTTTAGCTAGAGTTGTTTCTCTCTTGGATTCTCTTTTGTTTCCTCAATCTGTGAATAATGTAGCAACTGCCATTTAGGTCAGTTTTTAAAGATGGATGTAAGCCATTCTAGTCACTGGGTACCAAATCCTGGGGACTAGAGGCCAGGGAGTCAGGGTGATGTGGTCAGCAAATTGGAGATATAGTGAGATTTCAGGAAGGCAAAGATTCAAGATATTGGATTAATAAAGTGAAACTGTAGGGAAAGTGCAAGTGTCAAAATCTATGTCTGAAGCAGTAAAGGGAATTTATAAACGTAATATGGTCAGGAGTCAGCTTGGTAACCGATTTAGATAAACGGAATTCTGAGGCTTCAGATGAGTCAACATTTTGTGTGATTAATAGTAACTATCAAAAGTCTTAACTGGCAAGTTACTTTTGCAGTGTAACAAACCACCCTAAATTTACAGGTGTAAAACAGCCACTTTCTTATGTTTATGAATCCTGTGGGTCAGTAATCCACACAGGGCACATGTTGTGAGTGGCACAAGGTGAGATATAACCATATCCACACACATTTGTGTCTTTCCACAAGGTCAGACTTCTGTTGGTGCTTATTCAGTCATAAAAGCAATAAGCAACATCGAGTTCCTTAAGGAGGCAATTCTCCTTAGTACTACCTGTTCACTCAGTAGTCAGAGCTGTGGCACATAGACTAAGCCAATCCACAAGTCAGTCAATGTTGCAAACCGCACGTAGCAGTATACTTAATATATAAATGTTATAGATTAAAATTTCCACATCACACAGTAACATTTAACATCAAGAGAAAAGGGGACAGGAAAAGAGGTAATGAACCAGTCTAAGGAGAGCGTCATGGACAAGGATAGTGTCCTGGGCTGATCCAGACAGTTGTCAGTGTCTTGCAAGGAAGAGTTCTTGATTTGGGCAGAGCATTTGGCAGCAAATGCTGGGTGCTGATCATGAGTGACTGCCAGACAGTGTCTATTAAGATGGCCATCTTGAGTTGGTGGAGTTCTGCTCCTTTTATAGCCCTCACATCTTCTGGTGAGGACTGATAGTAAAAAGTGTGTCTGGTTATGTCTTTGTCTGGTTGGTACGTGTAGTCTCTGTTGATTAGATGAACATGTGGTCCCTGTTGGCATGATGCCTTTTTAAATGTAAGGTGGGGTCTTTTTCTAAGATAGGGTTACTTATGTATAGGGTGCTGTATACAGCACAGGAAAGATGGTTTGTCTCTCACTCATGATGTCTGGGTCTTAAGCTGAAAAGACTCAAAGGCTGGGAATGATCCAGTGGTTCAGGGTTGGAAACCTCTGGAAGCATCTTCACTTGTATCTCTGACAGTTGATTCTGGCTAGGACTTTGGCTGGGGTTGTTCTCTGGAATACTTACATGTGGCTTCTTCATGTGGCTTGGCTTCCTCACAGCTTGGTGGCCTGAGGGTAGTCAGACTTTTTATGTAGTGACTCAGTGCACCACATACAAGTGCCTGAGCTAGCAAGATAGAATTTGCATCATCTTTTATAATCTACTCTCAATTGTCCTGCAGCATCACTTCCACAATATTCTGTGGGTCACAGTGCCAGCCCAGATTCAAGGGAAGGGGAATTGTAGGGTAGGAATTACTGTTGTGGACGTATTTAAGACATATACTTTGCCACAATAACCAAGGTGGTACTGCCTGTTTTTCTTAGATCTGGGAACCGAGAAGGCACACACATGACTGAATAGAGGTTCTAAAGAAGGATGGGGATAGATGGGGAGTTGGGGGTGAGTAGAGTAGTGCGGGTGGTTTTGTACGTTGTAATTAGTTATCTATGGAACTCTCTAAAGCTAGTGATGCCTGCTCGAACATGCATGCATATACAAATACTCCTTTATTCTCACCAAAGGCCTATCATATGGAAAGATTGAGGATGGAGATAAGACAAGTATAGTTTTCAAATACTCTGTAGATCATTTGTCTGTGTGTCTTTGATTAGGAACCACTGAATGATTCGGAGAGAAAGTGAATTCTTGAGTTTACACTGTTGAATTTGGTACCCATTGTTGAGATGTTATCCTTCCTTAAATTGGTTCAATGATATTATTTTTAGAGTTACAGTAGTTTTTTTTTTTTTTTTTTTTTTTTTTTTGCTGTCAGATATCTTTCAGGCTTTAGATAGCAAAAGACCTGCTTGTATTTTCTGCAGAATGTTTGTTGAGTACCTAATTTGTGCTAGGTGCTCTGCCAGGTGCTGGGGGTACAAAAATAAGTAACAATTCTTGCCTTTCATGAGCTTATATTCTTTTGCAGAAATAGATCATTTTAATATGAAGAGCTATATCTATAGTAGAAATCTGCACAGAGGCATCTAGTTTAGTAAGCCTTTGCTGAACATTTTGCCTCCGTTTCCTCAAACTGCATTAGGGATGTTAGGTTTTTGGTAAATATCTAAACTCGTCTCCATGCCTCCTACCTTCTATCTGGCATGCTTTGGATTATTTTTTTGGATCCAATTCAGATTTCATCTCCTTTTGTGAATTCTTTCCTGTTTTCCTCAGGCAGATTTAGTTATTTCTTCATGAATATTTCTATAGGGCTTTATACACACTTTTGTTCTAATGTGTATATTAAGAATTATTGATTGAAAATATACTGTGAGCTAGAGACTTTATAGGGTACTTAGTTTATCTACTTTTTTTTTTTTGTTTTTTTTTTTGAGATGGAGTCTTGCTCTGTTGCCCAGGCTAGAGTGCAGTCGCACGATCTCAGCTCACTGCAACCTCCATCTCCTGGGTTCATGCGATTGTCCTGCCTTAGCCTCCTGAGTAGCTGGGATTACAGGCATGCACCACCACACCTGGCTAATTTTTGTATTTTTGATAGAGACAGGGTTTCACCATGTTGGTCAGGCTGGTCTCGAACTGCTGACCTGGTGATCTGCCCAACTTGGCCTCCCAAAGTGCTGGGATTACAGGCGTGAGCAATCACACCTGGCCAATCTAGTTTTATTCTTCCAATAACCCAACAAGATAATTAATATTTCCCTCTTTTACAGTGAGGTAATTGAGACAAGAATAGGTTAACCAGTTTGGCCAACATAACTCACACAATAAGTTGTAGAATTGGGAGGGGAAGCCAGGTATGTGTGACTCTGAAATGTATGCTTTTTCCCTACACCACCTGTATTTGCTTAATGTATTTTAAATGGTTATGTTTACCTTAGTCACCCCTAATCCCACCTCCCTTTTTGTTCTTCACCTGCTCAACAAAATTAGATCCTAGAGGGCAATGACAGTTTTATATTCATCTTTGTATTATAGTTGTGGGTACATTTTGGATGTTTATCACCTATTTGTTCATTTAAATGCCTTTAATATTTTTTAGGGGGAATCCTCTGAGCATTTTCTACTGTGTTCTCATACTCTTAAGGAAATTCTTGACCGTTACCTCATTTCCTGTTTCCTTCTTCTTGGAGAATCTTGCAGTTTTGTCAGCATTTCAGGTGGTATAATAATAAGTCAGATTCTCTGTGGGGGATAATTTGTTCTATAACTAGCTGGGAGGAGTGAAGGAAGAGGAATAGAGTTTTTTGGTTAGCTAGCTTGATATGAGATAGCAAAGTATATGTACAGTACCTGGAACCATAATCACATAGTAGATACTTAAAAACATAGGTGCTGACATTACAGTGATTGTATTTGGTTTAGATGGGAAGAACTACTTAGTTTGAAGGATATTTGTTTTCTGTCTCTAGAGTTAGATTTAGAGAACCATTAAACTATTGCACTGTGAAGGTTAATGTTGTTGAGGTCTCACAGTTGTGTGGGGCTGTTTTTGTATCTGTTTTTTGGCCAGATGGATTAGACTTTTACTCTTAACCAGCTGTTTTTCTATAGTTCTGCTGTTGATCTCATATTCATTTTTAGTTCTGAGAAAAACTCATAGTATCAGTGCTTCTTTTTTTTTTAAATTTCAGATTACCATTTTAAAAATGAAAAAAGTTTGAGTAACAATTACAAGACTCTTCTGTTAATTTATCATTATCATATGTAGTTGGCCTGCTTTTTATTGGAAATTAATGAAAAATAATGGATTTTTTTCTTTTTTTTTTCCTTTTCTTTTTGTGATGGGGTCTTGTTATGTTGCCCAGGCGTGCCTCAAACTTCTGGGCTCAAGGGATCCTTCTGCTTCAGCCTCCCAAGTAGCTGGGACTACAGGTGCACACCACCATGTCCAGCTATGATGGATTATTTTTATAATGGATCAAAGTCTAAACATAACCATTTGAGAACATGACACATACATACTTATTAAGGAAGAATGGAAAGTTTTAAATTTGACTTATATTTATTTACTTTACCTGAGTTATTGGCTTGTTGGTGCTGTGAATTTGTTTTCTTGACCCTTGTTAACCTCTAGAAGTTTGTCAGGTTTACGAAATTGGTCCTTGAATACCATTTTGAAATTGATCTCTAGTCACAGATAGATATCACAACTGATATTCATAATTACTAACTTATTTTTACTTTCCTTATCGAATACTTCTAATGGAAAAACTATCATGTTACCACTTTGATTGCAAAATAAATGTGGCCTGAGTTCATTAATCTTAAAGGCTTATTCTTGAACATTATAAAATAGCAACATGTTACTAAGGCATGTTTTAAAACATGGCTTTAAGCCATAGCCACAATGCTTAAGGAGAAAAAGATGGTCAAAAATCTTCTTGAAAAAAATTAATCTACACACATCCTTACTACCATTTTCTCTGAGCTAAATGAATGAAAGATAAAAAGAACATAATCTTATCTCAAGTGCCATCTGTGTCTCTAGGATGGTCTTTGTTGTGGTGTTCACAGACCATCTGCATCAGATTTACCAGGATTGCTTGTTAAAGGTGCAGATTTTTGGTCCTCATCTCTACAGTATCAGAACTCCTGAGTTTAGGAAATACATAACTTTATCAAGTTCCTCAAGTGTACAGGAAGAGTTGAGAACTACTGTTGTAAGATAATTATAATTGCTTTAATTCTAATAATTACTACCCAAGAATGTTTATTTGTGAGCTCTGCAGGAGGTTAGCTAATTTAGTTGTGTGTTCACTGACTGTAGAGCAACACTACTTGGGTTCAAATCCTGGCTGCTGTCACTTACTAGCATTGTGACTTTGAACAAATTACTTAGCTTGTGCCTCAGTTTTCTTATTGTAAAATTGGGAAAATAATAATAGTGTCTACCTCATAAAGTTGTGGGATGTTTAATATATGTCAAGCACTTACATGTACAGTAAGTGCAATAAGTCTTTTAAGATTTTCTGTTCAGCTTTCTTGAGATATAATTTACAAACCCTTTTAGATTTATAATTCAGTGATTTTTAGTATATTTACATAATTGTGTGACTATTGCCACAATCTTTTTTTTTTTTTTTTTTTAGTTTTCCACTCATCTCTGCAGTTACCACAGTCTAACAGTAGGTTTCCATCACCTCCAAAAGAAACTCCTTGCCCATTTACAGCCACTCCTCATTCCCACCACCAGCCTGAGTCAACCACTGGTCTACTCTGTTTCTGTAGATTTGCCTCATCTGGACATGTCATATAAATGGAATCATATGTTTTCTTTTGTGTCTGGCTTTTTTTTTTTTATTGGGCATAATGCTTTTTGAGGGTCATCCATGTATTCATGTTGTAGCATGTATCAGTACTTAACTTGGTTCTTTCTTATTGCCAAATAGTATTCCATCATATGGATATGCTGCATTATGTCTGTCCATTCACCAGTTAATGAACATCTGGGTTGCTTTCCTTTTTGACTATTGTGAATAATGCTGCTATGAACATTTGTATATAAGTCTTTATTTGGATATTTATTTTTATTTCCCCTGGGTGAATACATAGGAGTGTAATTGATGGGTCATATGGTAAAATTCTGTGTTTAACATTTTGAGAAATTGCCAAACATTTCATGGTCCCATCAGCAACGTGTGAGAATTTTTGATTTCTCCACATTTGCTAAACATTTGTTATTGTCTGTCTTGTTGATTATGACCTTCTTATTGGGTGTGAAGTGGCATCTCATGGTGGTTTTGGTTTGCATTTCCCTAATGACTAATGATGCTGAGTATCTTTTCATGTGCTTTTTGGCCATTTGTATATCTCCTTTGGAAAAATGGCTATTCACATTCCTTGCTCAATTTTAAAAATTGGGTTATGTTGTCTTTTTATTATAGGGTTGTAAGAGTTTCTAACATATTTTGGATATATGCTGTATGAGTTTTGCGGAATCTTAATTGCTGTCGTTATCATAATCATCATCTGCCTAAATAGAAGTCTAGTTTGTATTTGACCAGGAGATAGATTCTAGTTATTCTCTAGTTTTATTTGGGCTCCAGCTTTGGTTGTGAGAGGGAAGTTCTGCCTTCCTTTTTCTGTGTTTTCAATCTTTGTTGCTTTCCATCTTGTGCTTCTAGAATGGCAGGGTATTAAGACCCATCTGCCTTGGGTATTCTACTGTCCTCATTCATTCATTATTACTCACTCTGAGTCTTTTTTTTTTTTTTCTGAGATGGAGTTTCGCTCTGGTTGCCCAGGCTGGAGTGCAGTGGCATGATCTCAGCTCACTGCAACCTCCGTCTCCCAGGTTCAAGCGATTCTCCTGCCTCAGCCTCCCAAGTAGCTGGGATTACAGGTATGCACCACCATGCCCGGCTAATTTTGTATTTTTAGTAGAGATGAGGTTTCACCATGTTGGCCAGGCTGGTCTCGAACTCCTGACCTCAGGTGATCCACCCACCTCAGCCTCCCAAAGTGCTGGGATTACAGGCGTGAGCCACCATGCCCGACCCACTCTGGGTCATTTTAATCTTTTGCTTACTACCTTGTTCCAAATGAATGGGTTGCTGGAGATAGTTATTTGTGGAATATTATTTGAGTTATTTGCCGTAGTTCAGTAAATTGGAATTCATTTGGTGTTTTAGAGATTATACACTGTCGTGTATGTTTTTTTCTTGTTTTTTGTGTAATGTGTAGCCCAAACAGAATTAAGCCTTGTTATATGTATACCAGATAATATTGTCATAATGAGGTAGACTTCAGTGTTTTTAACTTCAGACATTGTAAAGGTACACATAAGGAGATAGGCCACATGATACCTCTAAAATAGAAGTGCCTTATGGGCAGTTACTTGGTTTTCTTTATAATTGTGCCTTTAGCTCTTAGAATGGTGCCTGACACTTTATATGCATTCAATGTATTTATTGAATGAACGATAAAACTGATTTGTAGCTGTGGCTAAATTTACTTTCTGAAGTAAGATGTATGTATAATTTACTATACATATTTATATACACTGAGTATCCCCAATTTGAAAGTCCAAAATCTGAAAATGCTCCAAAATCCAAAACTTTTTGAGTGCCAACATGATGCTCAAAGGAAATGCTCATTGAAGTGTTTTGGATGTTTGATTTTTGGGTTAGGGTTGCTTAACTGGTAAGTATATAATGCAGATATTCCAAACTATGAGAAAAATCCAAAATTGAAACACTTCTCGTGTCAGGAATTTTGGATAAGGGATACTCAACCTGTATGTAACAAGCAATAATGGATATACAGTAGACTCTTATGTCAGTCAACAAGTTTCTTTTTCCTAAAAACTTGTGATGATGTGTAGCCAAAGGAATAGTTCTGGTCTGAATCTTCTTCTAGAAGAATCTTCTAGAATCTAGGACTTCTTTTGTATTTGTGTCTAATACTTCTCTATTTTGTCCTAGAATGTTTGCTTTCTGCTTCAGGATTTCTATTTTAATTGAAGGTAGTCTATATCTTTGTATCTACACCTGCTTGCAAATGTGTTTTTTAAGTAGCCTTACCACTGTGCTATGCAATACTGACTGCTTTTTTTTTTTTTTTAACGTTTATGGAAATGGCAATATGACGCTGCACTTCCCTGTTCTCCAACACAAGCCATTTTCTTACATAAACACTGATCTCTGACTATTAAGGTAATGGGAAAATGGTTTTAAACACCTTTTGTGGGAAGAGTCACTTCTGCTTACACATCCTGTATCGTATCATTAAACATTCCCTATGAAACACTAGCTAAGGGGCATTACTATTTAATAATTTCATGACCATCATTATATAGTGTTATTTTTGACTTGCACTATAGTTTGCAGGTTGAATTGCTTTCGAATTTAATATATAGCCCTTAAAATTTCAGTTTTGATAAAGTCCCATATCATCATATTTTAAGTCTAAACATCTTAAAAATCTATTTTAAATGAAACCTTCATATATTGCCTAAAACTTGATGGGTTTTGAGTATGGTGTCTATGTTATCACTGATATCATTAGTATAATATTTATGTCAAATTAACAAATTTCCTTCCTTTCTTTGTGTGTCTTGCAGTAACTTGTCCATGTTTAAGAGCTGCCGAATGCTCTTTGAACATTTTGTTATATTAGCAGTATTTGCATTTACAACTTTGGCAGGAAGCCATCCAAATTTGGAGATAGGCTACCCATGTTTCTTGCTCCTTTTATATAACACTGTCTAAATAGTCTTGCTGTGCTGAAGAGATGACATCTATGAGCTTTTGGAATCTAGTTGCCTAAGGATAAACTGAGTTTGACTTCATTAGTGCACAAATGATAGGTTTGTGTAGAGTTATTATAGCATTAATCAATTTGATGGATTGGAAATATGACAGAACTGAAGCAGCATGTAATATTAGTGCCTATTATTCTGGAAATTATGTCTTCACCTACATTCATGTGGCAGAGGAGTCATGTTGTACATCAAGAAGGCAGAACTTAAAGAAACAAACAACAGAGGGCATCTCTTTTCATGGCCCTTCTCTTAATCCTCTTATATTAGATCATCGAGAGATGGACCTCAGAATTAGACTAATTTTTTTTAGGTCATAGCACTTTCATACTTTGAAATACGTTGATTTGAATGGAATAAATAGATACATAATCCTAACCTAATATTTAAGAGAATACTACAAGTAATATATAAAGTCTTTAAGAGACTTACGGGTATACTTATGTGAATTTATTGGTTAGCAGTCATTTCATTAAAAATGATAATGGATTAATAGTAAGAATATTGTTTTTTTTGTATTGGTTGATAAAGCTTAAAAATAGGTAACTTAAAGATAATTAAAATGAATGAGAAGCAAATACTTATTTTTTTGGGTCACGGGTGTTGCTTTATCATGTGTGCATTTCTAACATTTATGCATTATTTATTTTATGGCTTTCAGAAGTTCAAGAATATGTGTCACTTCTTTTTGATTTTACTTTGTTCTCCAATGTAAATACTTATGAGTTTCTTTGAGAAATATTCATTTGCATAAAAAAAACTCTCCCACTAAAGCCTGAAACCTTAAGCAGCATCTCTTTTGCTCCTGGTAAAGAAGACACTAAATATAGAATAATCAGGGCCTGGGCAAAATTGGGAAGTAGGTAAAGAACTAACTGGACTTTTAATAACTAATTGGATATGCACTTAGTTATGAGGTGCTTTGATATTTGCTTTATTTCTAGGTATTCTTTTTATCTGCAGTATAGGGATATATTTCTTCTTTATAAAAATGATAAAAATTTATTGCATCTTTTGTTAGAGAATACTATTAGAATAGTAATTCTAATTTTAAAGGGTGAATTAATGTAGGTCACTAGGAGTACCTTAGAGTAAGTTATTGCTTTGGTATGAAAGTGGTACAGGAATTTCTTTATCATGAAATAATTAATTTCTAAAAGGTGGGTAGTTTAATTTAGAACTCTTATAATGAAGATATTAGCTTAAATGATGCCTATATAAAATTTAATCTTGGTTAATTTAAATTTCATATTTTGGCATGTATTATTGTAGATGTCATCTTCAGTTTGGAGTAATTGAGAAGCCAAGTTTTTAATAACCTTGGGACCACAAGGAATTTTTCACATTCTAGGAATTTACCTACTAGAAAGAGAAATAAGATATTGACATAACAATATGATAGAGTAGAAAATGATATATAAGAAAAATGCAGACTGCTATGGACAGTATAGATAAAGGAGAAATTAGATTTGCTTAGTCCTAAAAGCCTTTTTGATGGATGTGGCATTTAAACTTGGTTGAGAAAGGTATAGGATTTGGGTATATGGCAGTGAAGGAGTATTCTGAACTTAAGGGGAACAATTTGAGCAAAGTCACAAAGATGAGAAAGTATGAAGTTTGTGGGGGAAATTTGAAGTACTCTGGTTGATACAAGGGTCATGTTAGGGAGGTAGTAGGCAGGGATCCCCATTCTCCTCACTAATTCATGTGTGTTCCCCCCGCAAGCTTTCTCCTTGGTCAAAAAGGATGATTTTATCAGAAGAGAGCAAGACTCTTCCTTGCTCTAGAGTACATGAATGACTGGGTTTCCTGCAAAAACTTCAAATAAGTAGTTATTTAATTAGAACGGCATTCTCCAATGTGGGATGAGATGTATGTAGGAGCAAGGGGTGATTACTGACTTTGTCTGACCTTGGGAAAGAGAAGAGTAGAGAAGAAGTTGTCCTTTTGGATTTTGTCTTTTCCCAAACCAAGAGATCAGCTTTTTATAAGGTGTGGATAATAATTCTCATGATTCATAGATTTACATATGAAGACAGTTATAGAGCTCATTTCCTAGAATGATACCTACATGGTTGATTTGTAGATTCATTGCCCAGTTTAGGATTTCAACTTTGGGCACTCCTAGGGAATAACTAGTTTTTTTTTTTTTTTTTCCTCTCATGTCATGCTTTACATGTAATATGTGTGCAAGACAACCCTTTGAAATACAGGAAGAAAAACATAAATTAACTATATATTTCTTACCTTTGCACTAACACTAAAACTGGAAATCTCTTTCTATACAATGTTTTATATTAAATATATAGTTTACATCAGATGTTACTGCTGTATCACTCCTCAGTTCAGCTTATCTGACAAACAGTCTCACTCTTCCCCTTTCCATTTCCTATGACTCTAACCCAAGAATCACCATTTATGAAAATCTCATGTCCTTATCAATAAAAATTTGAGCATGCAGGCCTGAATTTAGAAATCATAAAGTTGTTAATTGCTGAGCCGATATATCATGCACATTATAAAACATACACTAAAAAAGAAAGTAGAGTTAAAAAAGATAAAATTCAAATTCCAGGAATTTTAGGCAGCTATTTAGTATTTTTTTGAGTTGTGTTGTTGGTTATAGTGTTGAAGTTGTTTGAGTAAAGTTTATTTTATTTTTTATGTTTTGCCATGAATTTTTCTTATCTTCCCTGCTACATTCTTAGCCTGAATAGTACAGAGTAATAACAACAATGATGATAGTGCTAATAATGAAAACAGATGTTTATTCAGCAACATTTACTGATTACCTGCTATGTGCTAGGTTCTAGGGATGAAATGGTAAGCAAAAATCAGACGTGAATGCTGGATTGATGGTGCGTATTTTCTCATGGAGAAGATAAACAAATACTTAAATGTAAAAATACAGACGGGGAGTGCATGCTGTAAGAGCTTGTAAAAGGAGTGTTTGAACTATTCAAGGAGGTCAGCGAAAACTTCCCTGTGGATAGAACTGGCTACATAATTTTTAAGGCCCAGTGCAACATGAAAGTGTTAAAATATTATCCACTTTCAAGACTGAGACAGCAGAACATTAAACCAAGCAGGGGGCCCTTCCAAGTGCAGACCTTATGCAACTGCACAGGTTACACGCTCGTGAACCTGGCTGTACCTGAGGAAGTAATTTTTGAGCTGAGATGTGACAATACCATAGGAGGATAAAATTGTTCCAGGCAGAAGAAACTGCAGTGGGGAGAGTGGTGCATTCAGAAACTGGATGAAGGCCAGTGGGGCTGGAGTGCAGAGAGTCAAGGTTAGGGATGTGTGTGTGATGAGGTAGGCTGATAGAGAGGGTAACTTGAAAGGCTAAGTAGAGCCCTGTAGGCCATGTTGAGGATTTTGGTCTTTATTCCAAGAACCACACATAACTATTGATGTGTCTTAAGCATAAAATTTACTTTTGATGTGGTGAGAATACCAGTAACTTGCACTTTGACAGCATTGGACAACTTTCTTCCTCAGCCTCCATTTCTTACCAACCCCTTTTTTAGAAACTTTCAGTCTCACCTTCTGTGTTTATTCTAAGGCTGTCCCTTCCTTTAGGTGTGTTTAAAATGGCACTTCACACCAGGGTGATAGAAACTGAAAATAGGTAGAGTAGGTGAGTCATGACATTTTATTTACTATTGAAGTAGTTTGTGGTCTAAAACATTTCAGGTCAACTGAAGAAAAACTAGTAAAATATAAAAATGTTTTATTGTTGTTTTAAAATGACTTTCCTTTTAAAATGCCACAGATTTTTAAAATGTATATTGTCAGCATCATGATTTTAAATCCTTAATCTCCTCTTTTACACATGCTCAGGAGCAAGGGGTGATTACTGACTTTGACCTTGGGAAAGAGAAGTGTAGGGAAGAAGTTGTCTTTTTTTGTCTTTTACATAATAGGTATTCCCAAACCAACAAATAAGCTTTCTTTCTGTTAGATGTGGATAATAATTTTCATGATTCATAGATTTACATATGAAGACAGTTATAGAGCTCATTTCCTAGAATGATACCTGCGTGATTGATTTGTAGATCCATTGCCCAGTTTAGGATTTTCACTTTTGGCATTCCTAGGGAATAACAAACTAGAGATTTTTTTTCTTTCATGTCATGGTTTACATGTAATTTACATACAATTTATCCTAAAAGGTTATTTTTTCAGTAATTTGCTGATGTCAGCTTGTTTTTGTTTCCTTTTATTTAAAAAACTGTTATACAAGTTAATTGGGTTCTTATTGAAATTTTACTTTGTTAAAAGTTGACAGCAAAATAAATTTTGTTTCATTGCTGTGTTGGTATGTGTGTTGAAATTCAGTAGCCCTTACGTATATGTGTAATATTGTGTGTAACAGCATACAAAACTATGTGTAGTTCATTATTTACTTGATGTTTTCATGGCATTATCTCTAAATACGAGTTTAATTTTGTGTAGCCCAAACCAAAATAAACCTAAAAGTCACATTTGTTATTTATTGTAATAATACTGTGTTTTTCTTTTTATTCTAAAGCATAAGTATTCTAAAGCATAAGTAAAAGCAAATTAAGGAGTTCTTTTTCCCACTCCAGGGATTGCTTTAGAACATTTTAAATGATCAGTCTTAAGAAAAAAATGCTTCACATGTATAAATTTCTTTTAAAAAATCAGCCAGAATTACATATTAAAGTTATTTGTTGCTATGTCACAGAGACTAAAGTAGTATAAACACAATTAGAAATATACCAGTTACTGTGTAATTATATGAGCTCTGTCACTGATACAGTTTGGATGTTTGTTCCCTGCAAATCTCCTGTTGAAATGTAATCCCCGTTGTTGGAGGTGGGTCCTGGTGGAGGTGTTTGGGTCATGGGGGTGGATCCCTCATGAATGGCTCAGTGCTATCCTTGATAGTGAGTTCTCTCTCTGTGTTCACATGAGATCTGGTTGTTTAAAAGAGAGCGGCATCTCCCCCCCTTCTCTTGCTCCTGCTCTTGCTGTGTGTGACACCTGCTCCCCCCTTTGCCTTCTGCCATGATTGTAAGCTTCCTGCAGCTCTCACCAGAAGCAGATGCTGGCACCGTGTTTCTTGTACAGTCTGCAGAACCATGAGCCAAAATAAACTTCTTTTCTGTATAAATTACCCAGTCTCAGGTATTTCTTTACAACAGTGCCAACAGCCTAACAGAATCATGTAGGTGATGCACTTAAGTCAGTGATATTTATATTCTCTGAGCTGCTCATAGGTAAGATAGGCAGCTGTTCATTCTTTGTATACTCTACCATTTCTTGTCTACTGCATGATAAACTGCAATTCCTAGCTGCTGGCTATATGGGTTTATATCAGTCTACTTGCCTTCTCTTTTTAAATCATAGGTTCTATTTGTGATGAAAACACTGGATGTTTTGGTAGAGTTACTTTCTGAGAATTTATTTTCAATAATGATTTCTGAGTTGAAACAGAGTTTATGTCTTAGATTGAGTGAAATATTCACCCTTTTCACCTATTTCCAGCTTTAGATTCTTAATAAGAGAGCTTTTGGTATTTGTAGGAAGCTTCTTTAGTCTTATTTGCAGTGAAGTAATATGTTGCAAACTTTCTATTACTTTCATATTTGTCTTTTGGATGAGATCTGGAGAATCCATGGGAGTGATGATGAATTAACTTTTTTTTTTTTTTTTTTTTTCCTAAGACAGAGTCTCCCTCTGTCACCCAGGCTGGACTGCAGTGGCGTGATCTTGGCTCACAGCAACCTCTGCCTCCTGGGTTCAAGCAATTCTCTGCCTCAGCCTCCTGAGTAGCTGGGATTACAGGCGCCAGCCACCACGCCCGGCTAATTTTTGTATTTTTAGTGGAGATGGCCATCTTGGCCAGGCTGGTCTTGAACTCCTGAGCTTTTGATCCACCCGCCTCGGCCTCCCAAAGTTTTGGGATTACAGGCGTGAGCCATGGCACCCAGCTGATGAATTAACTTTTAACTGAAATTACTGACCACATAAATTGCTGTTCATATAAGAACTCTGTTACATTACAGAGTAGTGAAGTAGCTTCTGATTTATCAGAGAACACTTAAATCATATTCAGCATATGTTTAATGCTAGTGTATGTAAAGGTTGGTGCAAAAATAATTGCAGTTTTTGGCATATCGTTTGTTGGATTCTTCTTTGTAAAAGCCAGAAAACATCAGAATCACCAATTTTAACACAGTAATACAGGTTTAATACAGTTTTTGGGGAAAAACGGCAATACTTTTGCACCAACCTAATACTTAATTGTTTTAAAAATTTGTAATGCATGCCTAGTATGTGCACAAAATAGCTAACTAAGAGTTAAAATTACCACAATTTTAAATTAGAATATCCTGTTACCTTAACATAGATGATAATATTGAGTAAAACTTTAATTAGCCAGCATGTTTAGGGAATTAAATGGTAGGTTTAATCAAATATCTTCTTTCTTTCTACAGACAATTAACATCAACTGTATGCAAATCGTAGTACAGTGTGGGGTACACAGATGCATATGACACATCTGTGCCTCCAAGGAACTTGATTTCAATATTTATTCTTTGAAATTTTGTGAATTTTATTACTATGCTTTATTGCTAGTAAGATTAATGTAATGCATATAATTGAATCTTTGATGATTTAGAATTTTATAACGAATCTCATTGTATTGTTTTTAGTATAGATGTAAGCAATATAGGTGTGCTGACCATACAATTTATCCTAAAAGGTTATTTTTTGAGTAATTGGCTAATGTCAGCTTGTTTTTGTTTCCTTTTATTTAAAAAACTGTTATACAAGTTAATTGGGTTCTTATTGAAATTTTACTTTGTTAAAAGTTGACAGCAAAATATTTTGTTTCATTGCTGTGTTGGTATGTGCGTTGAAATTCAGTCCCTTACGTATATGTGTAGTATTGTGTGTGACAGCATACAAAACTATGTGTAGTTCATTATTTACTTGATGTTTTCATGGCATTATCTCTAAATACAAGTTTAATTTTGTGTAGCCCAAACCAAACTAAACCTAAAAGTCACATTTGTTATTTATTGTAATAATACTGTGTTTTTCTTTTTATTCTAAAGCATAAGTAAAAGCAAATTAAGGAGTTCCTTTTTCCTATTCCAGGGATTGCTTTAGAACATTTTAAATGATCAGTCTTAAGAAAAAAATGCTTCACATGTATAAATTTCTTTTAAAAAATCAGCCAGAATTATATATTAAAGTTATTTGTTGCTATGTCACAGAGACTAAAGTAGTATAAACACAATTAGAAATATATCAATTATTATCAAATCTCATATATTTAGTTGCTGAGAGCAAATGTAGTTATGTTATTAAAATGGGTGATTCTGATGTTTTATGGCTTTTACAAAGGAGAATCCAGCAAGTGATATCCTGATATCCTATATATTCTGTCAGTGGAGCCATTGCTTCTTAAGTGCAGTTGATTAGACAAAATTCAAATCTAGTACTTTTCCCAAACACTGGGAGGTTGGTAATATTCTCTTTGTAGCTGCAGTCTTCTCTGGATGAGAGATTAAGGGTCAAGTCAAGTTTCATTTCAGGCCTAAAATTATCTTTACTGGCATTATTTCACATTGTAGGTATGTAATGCTTCATCATGCAACTTTGCTCTAATTGTGTTTGTGGGGTGGTGTTGGTAGGGTCAAGGCAATGAAATCTTCTGGAATACAACAGGATTCCTCTGTATTTTTAAATACTGCCAGATTGTGGGGAAAGATGGACAGCTTGATACAGATATATTTGATTCTTTCTTACAATGTCTGCTTGAAATTTTACTTTGTTAAAAGTTTGCCGTAAAATATTAAAAATATTATTTCACTACAATTTTTTGTAGTGAATTAAACATCAGTATCTTTTTATACATATGAGTAATATTTAGGATATGTCTGTGTTTGAAAGAAGCTAAAGGAATTGTAGCATATGAGCTATTTTGTTTTTTTTATTCTCATTTTGGATTGGGCAAGGTATCTTCCCCTCTTCCCCATTAAAAAACAATCACCAAACAATAAACCAAACATGCTTTTAAAACAAGTTATCTAACCTACTTATACAGGTTACCATAGAATCTAAGATAGTGTGATTAGTTGCCATGTATAAGTCAACCTTAGCAAATGACTTTAAATGCTGTAGGCAAATGTACATGCTTATTAATTTGGTTTGTTATTGATATGTTTTTGCTTTATGTGCCTAATTATCACTGCCTTGTTTCCATAGCTGCAGAACCTTGGCCTGAAAATGCTACATTATATCAGCAATTGAAAGGTAAGTCTTGTTCACAATTAAAAATGGCTTTGTATCAAACTATATTTATTACGGAAAAATCCTCAGTAATACAATTTACTGCAAAGAGAATATAAAATGTAAAGAAGGGATTCCCTTGTATAATTTGTCTAGGAGGTTTTACCTGAACTTGTATCTGCCAGTGTAAACCAACTATTCATGGCCTATAAGGTCCTTAGTTTATTATTGACTCATTATATTGGCTGCTGTAGGCGGTGTAAAATGATGTGGTTGCAGGAGCAGTTGGCAGATTTACTGCACCAATAGCTGAGACAGCAGATTTTTGAAGTCCTGTGGTAAAGTGGGCTCTCAGTAAAAAGGAACTGTTAAAATGTATAGGCTAGGATGGTTCAGGCTCCCTTTAGCAGCTCTTCATATATCATCAGATCACATTATGGACCCCATTTGGGGCTTAGCAGCCTGCTACAGTTGTCAGAAGACTGCAAAGTAATGAAGACTAATAGGCAGCAGCCCTAGTCTTCTAAGCATGGAATTTTTATTGCCACGAACTTGTCATCTTTCTTTTGTGTGACGGACCTAGACACACTGTGCAATATTAACTGCAAGCTGGTTTTATATTATTGTGAATGCTTTTACTTTTAACTAGAAAGGTTTCACCAGATTTTACTTAATTTTAATGAAGAGGAACATTTCTTGAAAACTTGAAAAATGAATTGGATTTTAAGTAAACAATTTTAATTACATTGCTGATAAAATAAGTGATCAAATAGTTTTAGAGGAAACTGTCCTAGTTTATCATTATTTGTGATAATTTAATCAAAATTATAATTATATATTAACATTGATATAAAACTTTAGAATTTAGTGGTAGGCGATACCTTTGAATAAATAGAAATACTTTTTAAAAATAAAAATACTATATTCTACTTGGTTAACATTTATGCTTCATTGTATTTCCACAGGGGAGCAAATTTTACTTTCTGACAATGCAGCTTCTCTTGCAGTGCAGGTAAATATGTAAATAATGTAATATCTTTTTCACCCCCTAGGTGGTTTGCATCATTTTGACTTGCAGTTATATTTTTCCCCTTCCAAAATGTCTGATACTATATGTTTAGATTTTTTTCTGTGTGATTTACCATTATCTATATAACATTGCTTCTTTGTGAAGAATAATTTTATTATGTAATATTATTCAGTTAATTGTCAGTATATAAAATAAACATAAATTTTTTTTTTTTTTAGAAATCACTTTTATGTGGTAGGCACATTCTGTGTCTTAGCAGTTGTTTTGCTTTTGGCTGGATATGATGGTGTTGATTATTTGGGGTGATATGTTCATTTGTGGACTCACAATTATTTTCTAATTCGTTAAGATTTATTTATCACATATTTTTAAGCATTGTTTTGCTCATTGCACTCATTGGCCTCTAGCTTTTAATCTGTTTGGTAATCCTGTAGCAATGTTCTGGTTCTCTAGCCACTCCTCATATATTTATTGATTACATGAGTGTTTATTATCCCCAAACCATTTATGAAATGTAACAGCTCTTCAAGTTGTATATAACATTTGTATAATCCAAAAAAAATTAGTGCCCCTGTAAACTTTAAGCTGCATTATAGGAAGAATAGGATACTTGGGGATGGTTTGCTTAAAAAACAATGTTTATGATGTAGGTTATGGAATTATAGTTATCCAAACATTTTGCATATTTAGCTGCCATTTACTTAGCTTGTGTAGTTTAACATAGGACTGAGCATGTAGACTGTATCCACTAAATGTCTGTTGTATGAATGGTTTATAAGTGTGGTGAAAGTAGTCATGCCTTGATAACCAATGTAAAAGTAAATGATTTGCTGTGTATAAAATAATATTTTCAATCTTTATATCTTTGGAAAGACAGTTTGAAGGCACTGTGAATATTTTAGTTGAAGCACTGATTCTTAACCCTTTTAAAATTGCTATTTTGGGGATAACCCTTTCAGGATCTGGCAAAAGCTATAGAACATTTTAACAGAAAATATAGCCAGGCTATTCTGCATGTGGTTTCAGTAGGTTTACTGATTTCCCTGCTGAAGCTATCGGGATCCCCTAGGAAGAGCCCCTAAAACTACATAATACTAGTTTAGGAAGTGCTGAAGTAATTTTCATCAAATAGAAAGGTATTTTGGGTAGGAATAGACAGTGGTTTCCAACTGGGCAGCTCTTTAGTACTCCCCCTACCACCACCCTGTGACATTTGACAATATTTAAGTGTTTTTGCTCGTCAAAACGGTTGAAGGGTTGAGTGCTATTCTCATCCATTGGGTAGATGCCAGAGATGCTGCTAAAAATCCTAAAACATACAGAGTGGTCCCTGCACAACAAAGAATTATCCAGCCCCAAATGTAAATAGATTTGTCAAGGTTGACAAACCCTGGAATAGGTGAGTTAGCCAGTTTTCAGTACAAACCAAAATACCAGTATATTACCATTTAAAAAAACTAACGTTTTAAATAACCCGGAGAAGGGGGGAAAAAATAAATCTTAGTGTGTATTTTATTTGTTAATTCTATTTTTATGATTTCTATTAATTTGCTTTCTCAAATCATAGTTGCAATTAAAAATAAAACCAGAAAAAAGGACCTTTTACAATGTAGAATTTTCCTTAACCATTTCAATGTTTTTATCCTACATATGTCACTTCGATGATAAATTACGCAGCATATATTAAAATTTCTTGGTTTTCTTCAATATTCTTTGGCTTGACAGCTGATAGTAGCCATGACTATAAATGTGACTTTTCCAGTTATCTGATATAAACTTTATGGAGTAATTTTCTTCTATATAGTGGGCCAGCATTTGTTTAGAAGAATCAGTTAAAGGCCTACATTTGATGTATAAAATTGATCAAAACAATGTGACAGGTATCCACAAACTGGATTATTTTCTAGAAGATACCAGATATCAAACATCAGATATTTTAATAGTCTGCCAGTTAGGCCATTAGGAAATTTAAATTTTACTTAACACATACACTTGGTGTTTATTATACCCCCAAAACTAAGTGATTGGGTCTTTTTGAACTCTAAGAACTTTTATGATTTCAGTTTAAAAATAATTTTTTTTTCCTGTAGCTATTTCCCCTTAGATTTGCTTTCCTTCACTCTTGTATGTTGAGTATACTGAAGTATTAGTATAGCATGTTTCTCTGGTCCCTTGAGCCGAATGTGTATATATGCAGTATTATACACACATGCACACACTAGAGAGACAGAGAGAGAGAGAGAGATATCTTCCATTCTGTACTTGTGCTTTGAAGGACTTAAGCTTATGCTGACTGGAAAAAGTAACTTTGATAATAATTCTCTGTTACTATTCTCTGTTACCCCCAAATCCAAACCAGCCATCTAATAAATACACAATGTTGGCCACATTTGTGATTTGAAATTTTCTAGAAGCCTCATTTAACAAAAGTAAAAAGAAATTGGCAAAATGTATTTTAATAATATGCATTATTTTACCCAGTATATCCAAATATTATTTTAGTATGTAACCAATACATAATTTATTAATGGGACTTTTTATATTAAGTTCAAAATCTGATGTGTATTTTACACTTACAGTACCTCTCAATTTATGCTAGCCAGATTTCAAATGCCCACTAGTCTCGTGTAGCTAGTGGCTTTTGTGTTAGACACTGCAGGTTTAGAATACAATATGAGCAAATACATATATGCTCTCAAAGGTTTTGGCCAAATTGTTTTATTTAAGAAGTTTATGTCTATTGATTGAGTATATGCTGTCTTTTATAGAAGATTCCAATTGGTATCTGTTTCAAAAAACAGCAAACCCTAAATAGAGCTCTTTGTTTCAAGTTTGCTCAAATGTAAAATAGAAATATAATAGAAGCTATCCTGTTGGGTAGGATAGGATTGAATATGTTAACATATTGAATGTGAGGATTGAATATGTTAACATATGTAAAGCACTTAGAAGAGTACCTGGCATATTGTAAATATGCAATGAATGCTGTTTATTACTTCTTTCTCTCCTAATTCTTTGAAAGAAATACACGTATTCAATGTTAGTAAGAGGAATGGAAGCTTGCAGCCTTCATAGTACCTGAAAACACTAGAGTAATTGAAAACAAATGTTATGTGTAAGAATCTTTTTTGGACATGTTTGTGTTTGTGTGAACATTAACTTTTGTATCATTCTTTATCTAAAAATTAATATTGAATGCTTTAATGCAAACAAAATTTTATTGATACTGAATAATATATTTTAAAACAGTATTTATTGAATACTTTTATTGTATAAGACACTCTATTGAAAGCTTTTATGTGGAGCATTGCGTTCAATCCTTCCCATGACCCTAGTGCACAGTACTATTATTATCCTCATTTTAAAGATGTGGAAACTGAAGCTCAAAGATGCTTCGCCCACATTTCATAGAACCCACAAATTGTGGAGATAAACAGAAAACAACAACGACATTGGTTGAGTGCCACCTGTGCTTGTCACTGTGCTGAGCTCTTAATTCATATTAACCCATTTAATCCTTATAACAACTGTATGAGGTAAGTGCTGTATAAGGTAGGTATCATAAATAATCCTTTCACACAGCTACCCTATGAGGTAGGTACTATTATTATTCCTATTTTCCTACAGATTAGGAAGGTAAGGCAGAGAGGTTAAACAGTGAGCTCAAAGTTACATAAATAGTATGTGGCACAGCTGGAATGCAGACCCAGGAAGTCTGGATCGACAGTCCACACTCATAACACTTTGCTGCATATTGGTCTAGTCCAGTGATAACAGATATTGAAGTTTCACCTAACAATAAGTGATCATTTAATCACAAATTACTTCTGACATTTCTTAGTAAATTATATCTTATGATTAATAGTTTACATTAAGGAGTAAAAGAACATGTCTTAGCTTTTGTATCTTTGAAATGGGATAAAGATAGTCTTACCTCTATAATATTATGAAGCTCAAGTTAGGTAATAAATGGGAAATTCTTTTGAAAAAAGTGAAAGGAATAGGAATGTAAGATGTCAAATACAGAATTAGTGCCTATTTTGACTTCAAAGATTTATGTACATATTTTGTGAGTGTCTTTATATAATAAAATGTTACTTTCTAATAAGTTTTAGAAGTCCAATGTGCTAGCCGTTGCACAACAGAGACTTTCTAGTAAGTTTTAGAAAGAATTTCGCTTCATGTATGTGAAGCCAGTTTTAAAAAGCTGGTGTTTTTTTTTTTTTTTTGTATGGCTTAATCTAGATATTATAAAAATTTGAATTTGTTTTTTAGAGTGTCTCAAACTGATGATCATTATTAGAATATTGCATGAACAAGTAATCTTACTTTGTCCTTTTTACTTCAAGTAAGAATAGCATTTAAGGTAAAGTGAAGGAGAATGTTCTTGTTCCATTTAATATTTTTACTTTTTCTTACTCTTTGTTAATAAATACTTTTCTCTAAAAATGAAAGGGAAGACAACAGAAAAAAACTATTTTATTTCTGTTGAATGTAGTATATAATTTAAAAGTCAGCATTTTGTTTTGTTTTGTTTTTTTGAGATGGAGTCTAGCTCTGTCGCCCAGGCTGGAGTGCAGTGGCGTGATCTTGGCTCACTGCAACCTCCATTTCCCAGGTTCAAGTGATTCTCCCACCTCAGCCTTCTGAGTAGCTGGGATTACAGGTGTGTGCCACCAAGCCCAGCTATTTTTTTGTATTTTTAATAGAGACGGGGTTTCACCATGTTGGCCAGGGTGATCTTGAACTCCTGACCTCAAATGATCCACCCATCTCAGCCTCCCAAAGTGCTGGGTTTACAGGTGTGAGCCACTGCACCTGACCAAAAGTCAGCATTTTTATAGGCCCCATTAATGCTGGGCCATGAACACTCACATTTCAGATTTGATGATAAATACTTAGCTGACCCTTGCATTTTCCTTTTAGCAAATGATGCTTTCTAGAAGGATGTATTAATTATTGGCTAATGCTAATATCCAAATGTAGTGTTTGGGAAAGGGCAGGAGAGAGGAATATCTGTCTTTCTTTTGAGGCTGCAGGTTGATTACTGCCTTAGAGACAAAACTTTGAGTGTGAAAATACAGCTGCTGTAAATTTGTCTTGTCATTTAAATGGCCATAGTAGACAGCTACCTGCAGAATTTTAGAGGAAATGATTTTGAATTTTCAGTTTGATTGGATACATTTTGTTTTAAATGAGTTGTTCAGGGTTTTATGCCATTTTAAAGGATCAGTTTAAACCTGATGTAAATAGAAGTAGGATGACATGAGTGGACATATTTTAATAAATAATATAATATTTTATGAAAAAGATTTAAAAATTGACAAAACTTTATTAAAGCCTCATAAAGTATAAAGTTTTAGGTTTTTAAAATTTGTACATTCCTCTCAATTTGATCATCCTCTGTCAGATGAGGCTTCTGAATTCACTTTCAGGATTAGATGAAGGAAAGGAAAGCTAAGGGATAAATAGAATTTAGTGAACATTTATGAGATATAGAGACTTGTAAAGTCCTTTTCAGTATTCCAGACAAGCAAAATGGAGGCTGCAGATGTTTCTTTGATATCACTGAGTTTAAATTCTTCAGACTGATTGTCTTACATTATTATAGTTTGTGTGTCAGAAATGTTAAAGCATTTTGCTGATTTATGCTCATAAGACCTTGGATTATTTCAGTATATAAAATGTGATCTTTATCAAGATAATTGTGAACTTAAATTGCAAATAGAATTTAGCAGATTAAAAAACAAATCTCAATATTAGTTTCTCAACACTTAAATGGCATGGTGTATATACAACATTAAAATTAGGCAGTGTAGAATTTGTGGAAATGAAGTATATTCAAAATAGAATTAGGTGGCTATAGGAGTTGTTGTTTTTAGTAATTAGTGAAATAATGTAAAATGTTTTTAAAGGGTAATGGTTTACTGATATAAATACGTATTTAACTTAACGAAAATTCACACTCCTGTAGTTCTGAGAGATTGCAACTTAGAATATCAGCTGTGTACTTTTTTGTTTAAAAAGTAAATAGCAAGCAGGATTTTATAGTTTGTTGCTATTAAACAGAACCATAAAGATACAGTAGTAAGATGGAAAAACAACAGCCTTTTTTTAAAACAGAAAAAGGCTAGAATTTTTCATTATTAGATATACAATATCAACATAATCAATCTAGCAGCATTATATTTGAGCTGAAAATACACTTAAATTTGAGGCCATACACTACCCTGTGTGAGTGAAACATCTTTCATATAGTTCTAAGATGAAATTACCCTTGAATGAATAGCATCTTCATTTATCTTCAAACCCCTTCTGTGCTTTTAGTGAATCTATTCTTTGAACATTCTACAACAAGAATTACATTATACTGTTATACCAGAGTACTTCTGCAGTGTGAAATAGATTGGTTTGGAAAATGAACCTGGCTTTGCTATAAATTACATTCACAGGTACAAAGGAATTTGTTATTTTGTTTAAAATAGTCACAAATATAATTAAGGTCTTAATTTATGTTAAACTACAAATATGGCTGTTATGGTAACTGGATTAGGAACTTAATCTGTTGCGTCAAGAATGATACCTAACACTTTTCATTTATAACCTTAGATACCTTATTTCAATTACAGGGTCTGCAGCTGTTTGATATAAAAATGAATTATTTTATAGATAGATTTGTTCATGGTTTTTAATTTTAAATTGTGCCTCTTCAGTAAGGTAGAAAATAATTCTTCAATTGTCACAAATTTTCCTTTGTGTCTGGTTGAAAAAGGATATGAATTAAAATTCACAATCATTTTTATTTTGTGTCCTGAAAATGGCATTGCATGCTTGCGAGTAGTCGTTAGTGAATTCTTACATAAAATATTTCAAATTTAATTAGGAAATAAATAGAAGCTTTGTTCTAAAGAAGAAAAACCTGAGGTCTGCTGTCTAAGGATAGCTTTACCTGGTTGGACTGAAAATGGATTGCTACCTATCTAGAATTTGAATAACTTTGTTCATGTGACTTACATAAATTTAGAAGCTGTGTTTATAACGCCTTGAATCTCATGGTATTAATCAGTGTAAAGCATCTAATCTTTAAAAACTTATTAAAGGCAATTCTTTAAAATTTTGAATTACTTTTATATTTTTATTGGCAAGCAATGCTGATTTTATTGCTTAGGTGCAACTAAAGAGAGTGTGCTGTGTATCTAACTTGAAAGACAAATGTTCATTTTTGTCTTTGGAATAAAGAAGAGGAAAGAAGACAGTTGGTGCTGGTCATTGGCAAGTGTTTCAATATTGAGTTACTATTAGTTAATTAAAAAGAATATATGTTCCTTCCATCTACTAGTTCATCCTAAGAATTTTAATTTTTTTGTTATTATTTTTATCAGTTGGGAATTTTCTTGTAAGTAACAAAATTTTAAAGCATTCATTATAGGAGCTCAGAAAAAGAATATATATATTTTTTCGTTTTCTCCCCAACTGTTCATTGAGTGCTAACTATGTAACTGCTGTTGTGTTAGGTTATTGGGTTACAAGAATTGTTCTTTCTGTACTTTCGACTATTTTATAACTCTTGCTTAATTTTGACCCTACAACTTTATGAAAGTTGTAAACAAGATAGACATGGTCTGTATGTACTAATGAAGCTTATATTCTTGGGAGGACAGGCTTTTATCCGTTCATTTATTGGTTTTATCAGTGCGTTATTTATATGTAATTATCACAGGGAAAGCTTATATCTTTCTCTATTCTAATTGTCTCTTTTGTTGCTTTCAGAAATAACCTGATTTTTTTCTATAGCTGTCAGATGTTGATGTATCTAAAATTGACTCAAATATTCCAGGAGTAGTTTCTAGGTGAGAGTTTCATTAAGGAAGGTCAGTCTATGAAGTGATATGTCTTCAAATGTTCTCTCAAATAACATTTCATATTTTTTGGTAATAAATTCACTCTCTTTAAAGCTTTTTATGCTTATTGAATTGTGGTTTCTGATTTCTACATAGATCATTATTATTATTTTTTATACTTTAAGTTCTAGGGTACATGTGCACAATGTGCAGGTTTGATACATAGGTACACATGTGCCATGTTGGTTTGCTGCACCCATCTACTCATCATTTACATTAGGTATTTCTCCTAATGCTATCCCTCCCCCAGCACCCCCACCCCCTGACAGGCCCCAGTGTGTGATGTTCCCTGCCCTGTGTCGAAGTGATCTCATTGTTCAATTCCCATCTATGAGTGAGAACATGTGTTTGGTTTTCTGTCCTTGTGATAGTTTGCTGAGAGTGATGGTTTCCAGCTTCATCCATGTCCCTACAAAGGACATGAATTCATCCTTTTTTATGGCTGCATAGTATTCCATGGTGTATATGTGCCACATTTTCTTAATCCAGTCTATCACTGATGGACATTTGGGTTGGTTCCAAGTCTTTACTATTGTGAATAGTGCTGCAATAAACATGTGTGCATTTGTCTTTATAGTAGCATGATTCATAATCCTTTGGGTATATACCCAGTAATGGGATTGCTGGCTCAAATGGTAATTCTAGTTCTAGATCCTTGAGGAATCGCCACACTGTCTTCCACAATGGTTGAGCTAATTTACACTCCCACCAACAGTGTAAAAGCATTCCTATTTCTCCACATCCTCTCCAGCATCTGTTTTTTCCTGACTTTTTAATGATTGCCATTCTAACTGGCATGAGATGATATCTCATTTTGGTTTTGATTTGCATTTCTTTGATGACCAGTGATGATGAGTATTTTTTTCACGTGTCTATTGGCTGCGTAGATGTCTTCTTTTGAGAAGTGTCTGTTCATATCCTTTGCTCACTTTTTGATGGGGTTGTTTTTTTCTTGTAAATTTTTTTGAGTTCTTTGTAGATTCTGGATATTAGCCCTTTGTCGGATGGGTAGTTTGCAAAAATTTTCTCCCATTCTGTAGGTTGCCTGTTCACTCTGATGGTAGTTTCTTTTGCTGTGCAGAAGCTCTTTAGTTTAATTAGATCCCATTTGCCTATTTTGGCTTTTGTTGCCATTGTTTTTGGTGTTTTAGACATGAAGTCCTTGCCCATGCCTGTGTCCTGAATGGTATTGCCTAGGTTTTCTTCTAGATTTTTTATGGTTTTAGGTCTAACATTTAAGTCTTTAATGCATCTTGAATTAATTTCTGTATAAGGTGTAAGGAAGGGATCCAGTTTCAGCTTTCTACATATGGCTAGCCAGTTTTCCCAGCACCATTTATTAAATAGGGAATCCTTTTCACATTTCTTGTTTTTGTCAGGTTTGTCAAAGATCAGATGGTTGTAGATGTGTGGTGTTATTTCTGAGGGCTCTGTTCTGTTCCATTGGTCTATATCTGTGTTTTGGTACCAGTACCATGCTGTTTTTGTTACTGTAGCCTTGTAGTGTAGTTTGAAGTCAGGTAGTGTGATGCCTCCAGCTTTGTTCTTTTTGCTTAGGATTGTCTTGGCAATGCAGACTCTTTTTTGGTTCCATATGAACTTTAGTTTTTTCCAATTCTGTGAAAAAAGTCATTGGTAGCTTGATGGGGATGGCATTGAATCTATAAATTACTTCAGGCAGTATGGCCATTTTCACGATATTGATTTTTCCTATCCATGAGCATGGAATGTTCTTCCATTTGTTTGTGTCCTCTTTTATTTCCTTGAGCAGTAGTTTGTAGTTCTCCTTGAAGAGTTCCTTCACATCCCTTGTAAGTTGGATTCCTAGGTATTTTATTCTCTGTGTAGCAATTGTGAATGGGAGTTCACTCATGATTTGGCTCTGTTTGTCTGTTAATGGTGTATAGGAATGCTTGTGATTTTTGCACATTGATTTTGTACCCTGACACTTTGCTGAAGTTGCTTATCAGCTTGAGATTTTGGGCTGAGACGATGGGGTTTTCTAAATATACAATCATATCATCTGCAAACAGGAACAGTTTGACTTCCTGATTTCTTAATTGAATACCCTTCATTTCCTTCTCTTGCCTGATTGACCTGGCCAGAACTTCTAACACTGTGTTCAATAGGAGTGGTGAGAGAGGGCATCCTTGTCTTGTGCGGGTTTTCAAAGGGAGTGCTTCCCATTTTTGCCTATTCAGTATGATATTGGCTGTGGGTTTGTCATAAATAGCTCTTACTATTTTGAGATATGTTCCATCAATACTTAGTTTATTGAGAGTTTTTAGCATGAAGCACTGTTGAATTTTGTCAAAGGCCTTTTCTGCATCTGTTGAGATAATCATGTGGTTTTTTTCATTGGTTCTGTTTATGTGATGGATTACCTTTATTGATTTGCGTATGTTGAACCAGCCTTGCATCCCAAGGATGAAGCCGACTTGATCATGATGGATAAGGTTTTTGATGTGCTGTTGCTGGATTCGGTTTGCTAATATTTTATTGAGGATTTTCGCATTGATGTTCATCAGTAATGTTGGTCTAAAATTCTCTTTTTTTGTTGTGTCTCTGCCAGGCTCTGGTATCAGGATGATGTTGGCCTCATAAAATCAGTTTGGGAGGATTCCCTGTTTGGAATAGTTTGAGAAGCAATGGTCCCAGCTCCTCTTTTTACCTCTGGTAGAATTTGTCTGTGAATCCATCTGGTCCTGGACGTTTTTTGGTTGGTACGCTATTAATTATTGCCTCAATTTCAGAGCCTGTTATTGGTCTATTCAGAGATTCAGCTTCTTCCTGGTTTAGTCTTGGGAGGGTGTATGTGTCCAGGAATGTATCCATTTCTTCTAGATTTTCTAGTTTATTTGCATAGAGGTGTTTATAGTATTCTCTGATGGTAGGTTGTATTTCTTTGGGATCGTTGGTGATATCCCCTTTGTCATTTTTTATTGTGTCTATTTGATTCTTCTCTCTTTTCTTCTTTATTAGTCTTGCTAGTGGTCTATCAATTTTGTTGATCTTTTTAAAAAACCAGTTCCTAGATTCATTGATATTTTGAAGGGTTTTTTGTGTCTGTATCTCTTTCAGATCCGCTCTGATCTTAGTTATTTCTTGCCTTCTGCTAGCTTTTGAATTTGTTTGCTCTTGCTTCTCTAGTTCTTTTAATTGTGATGTTAGGGTGTCGATTTTAGAACTTTCCTGCTTTCTCTTGTCGGCATTTAGTGCTATAAATTTCCCTCTACACACTGCTTTAAATGTGTTCCAGAGATTCTGATATGTTGTGTCTTTGTTCTTATTGGTTTCAAAGAACATCTTTATTTCTGCCTTCATTTCGTTATTTACCCAGTAGTCATTCAGAAGCAGGTTGTTCAGTTTCCATGTAGCTGAGCAGTTCTGAGTGAGTTTCTTAATCCTGAGTTCTAATTTGATTGCACTGTGGTCTGAGAGACAGTTTGTTGTGATTTCAGTTCTTTTACATTTGCTCAGGAGTGCTTTACTTCCAATTATGTGGTCAATTTTAGAATAAGTGCAATGTGTTGCTGAGAAGAATGTATATTCTGTTGAATTGGGGTGGAGAGTTCTGTAGGTGTCTATTAGGTCTGCTTGTTGCAGAGCTGAGTTCAGGTCCTGGATATCCTTGTTAACCTGCTGTCTTGTTGATCTGTCTGATATTGACAGTGGGGTGTTAAAGTATCCCATTATTATTGTGTGGGAGTCTAAGTCTCTTTGTAGGTCTCTAAGGACTTGCTTTATGAATCTGGGTGCTCTTGTATTGGGTGCATATATATTTAGGATAGTTAGCTCTTCTTGTTGAATTGATCCCTTTACCATTATGTAATGGCCTTCTTTGTCTCTTTTGATCTTTGTTGGTTTAAAGTCTGTTTTATCAGAGACCAGGATTGCAACCTCTGCTTTTTTTTTTTTTTTTTTTTGCCTTCCATTTGCTTGGTAGATCTTCCCCCATCCCTTTATTTTGAGCCTGTGTGCCTCTTTGCACATGAGATGCATCTCCTGAATACAGCACACTGATGGGTCTTGACTCTTTATCCAATTTGCCAGTCTGTGTCTTTTAATTGGGGCATTTAGCCCATTTACATTTAAGGTTAATATTGTTATATGTGAATTTGATCCTGTCATTATGATATTAGCTGGTTATTTTGCCTGTTAATTAATGCAGTTTCTTCGTAACATCGATGGTCTTTACAGTTTGGCCTGTTTTTGCCGTGGCTGGTACTGGTTGTTTTCTTTCCATGTTTAGTGCTTCCTTCAGGAGCTCTTGTAAGGCAGGCCTGGTGGTGACAAACTCTCTCAGCATTTGCTTGTCTGTAAAGGATTTTATTTCTCCTTCACTTATGAAGCTTAGTTTGGCTGGATATGAAATTCTGTGTTGAAAATTCTTTTCTTTAACAATGTTGAATATTGGCCCCCAGTCTCTTCTGGTTTGTAGGGTTTCTGCCGAGAGATCTGTTAGTCTGATGGGCCTCCCTTTGTGGGTAACTCGACCTTTCTCTCTGGCTGCCCTTAACATCTTTTCCTTCATTTCAAGTTGAATCTGACAATTATGTGTGTTGGGGTTGCTCTTGTTGAGGAGTATCTTTGTGGTGTTCTCTGTATTTCCTGAATTTGGATGTTGGCCTACCTTGCTAGGCTGGGAAAGTTCTAGTGGATAATATCCTGAAGAGTGTTTTCCAGGTTGGTTCCATTCCCCATCACTTTCAGATACACCAATCCAATGTAGATTTGGTCTTTTCACATAGTCCTATATTTCTTGGAGGCTTTGTTTGTTCCTTTTGACTCTTTTTTCTCTAACCTTGTCTTCTCACTTTATTTCATTAATTTGATCTTCGATCACTGATACCCTTTCTTCCACTTGATTGAATCAGCTATTGAATCTTGTGCATGCGTCACGAAGTTCTCGTGCCATGGTTTTCAGCTCTGTCAGGTCATTTAAGGTCTTCTCTACACTGTTTATTCTAGTTAGCCATTCGTCTAACCTTTTTTCAAGGTTTTTAGCTTCCTTGCTATGGGTTTGAACATCCTCCTTTATCTTGCAGTAGTTTGTTATTACCGACCTTCTGAAGCCTACTTCTGTCAACTTGTGAAAGTCATTCTCTGTCCAGCTTTGTTCCATTGCTGGCGAGGAGCTGCTATCCTTTGGAGGAGGAGAGGCACTCTGATTTAGAATTTTTAGCTTTTCTGCTCTGGTTTCTCCCCATCTTTGTGGTTTTGTCTACCTTTGGTCTTTGATGTTGGTGACCTACAAATGGGGTTTTGGTGTAGATGACCTTTTTATTGATGTTGATGGTATTCCTTTCTGTTTGTTAGTTTTCCTTCTAACAGCCAGGTCCCTCAGCTGCAGGTCTGTTGGAGTTTGCTGGAGGTCCACTCCAGACCCTGTTTGCCTGGGTATCACCAGTGGAGGCTGCAGAACGGCAAATATTACTGCCTGTTCCTTCCTCTGGAAGCTTCGTCCCAGAGGAGCACCGAACTATGTGAGGTGTCTTTCGGCCCTTACTGGGAGGTGTCTTCGAGTTAGGCTACACGGGGGTCAGGGATCCACTTGAAGAGGCATTGTGTCTGTTCTCAGAGCTCAAACGCTGTGGTGGGAGAACCACTGTTCTCTTCAGAGCTGTCAGACAGGGACATTGAAGTCTGCAGAAGTTGTCTGCTGTCTTTTATTCAGCTATGCCCTGCCCATGGAGGTGAAGCGTAGAGGCAGTAGGCCTTGTTGATCTGCAGTGGGCTCCGCCCAGTTTGAGCCTCCAGGTGGCTTTGTTTACCTACTCAAGCCTCAGCAATGGAGGACACCCCTCCTCCAGCCAGGGGGCTGTCTCACAGATCCATCTCAGACTGCTGTGCTAGCAGTGAGCAAGGCTCTGTGGGCGTGGGAGCCACTGAGCCAGGCACGGGAGAGAATCACCTTGTCTGCCGGTTGCTAAGACCATGGGAAGAGCACAGTATTTGGGTGGAAGTGTCCCGTTTATCCAGGCAGTCTGTCATGGCTTCCTTTGGCTAAGAAAGGGATATCCCCTGACCCCTTGCGCTTCCTGGGTGAGGCAGTGCCCCACCCTGCTTTTCCTAGCCCTCCATGGGCTGCACCCACTGCCCATCCAGTCCCAGTGAGATGAACTAGGTACCTCAGCTGGAAATGCAGAAATCACCCATCTTCTGCGTTGATCATGCTGGGAGCTGCAGACTGGAGCCATTCCTGTTCGGCCCTCTTGCAGTTGTGTGCAGATCATTATTAATAGTTTTTAAGTTGAATTCCTGTTACTGTTTTCTAAAGCAGTATCAACGTATTGATATTTGTAACTATTGATTTTTTAAAATATCTCTGAACTTAACAAGAGTTACATCTAACTTTTTAAAGCAGTGAGCTCTGAACCCATAAAATTACAAAATGCTAATTTTTGCTATAGTTTACTAGCTTTCTGTGAACTTAGGAATGTTTGCATTTATTTTTAGGAATATCTATGGCTTGTTCATTAAGCAAATGTTTATTGAGACTTTATTGTATGCCAAGGACTAAAGTAGTAAACAAGATAGACATTGTCTATGTATACTAACGAACCATATATTCTTGGGGGATGGAGTCCTTCTGTCAGTTCATTTATCAGTTTTATCAGTGTGTATGACTCTAAAAATTATTCACAAACCTCTATATCAATATTTAGATATCTTGTTTTTGCTTTGTTAGAAAAGATGATATTATGTAATTATATATATTGAAAACATAGAGCATATATTCACTATTCTTTTGAAAAGTGCTATTGGGCCGGGTGTGGTGTCTCACGCCTGTAATCCCAGCACTTTGGAAGGCTGAGGCGGGTGGATCACCTGAGGTCAGGAGTTTGAGACCAGCCTGTCCAACATGGTGAAACCCCATCTCTACTAAATACAAAAAATTAGCCAGGGGTGGTGGCGCATGCCTGTAATCCCAGCTACTCGTGAGGCTGAGGTGAGAGAATCACTTGAATCTGGGAGGCGGAGGTTGCAGTGAGCCGAGATTGCATCATTGCACTCCAGCCTGGGCAACAACAGTGAAATGCCATCTCAAAAAAAAAAAAAAAAAAAAAGAAAGAAAGAAAAGTACTTTTGGTTATTTTCCTTTATTCTTTTAACATCTTTCTAGAAGTTTTTATTTCGGTACACAATCTTGGTATTTTGATTTTATAGAAGTAAATACAATTAAATTATAGTACATAATAATTATTTTAATTTTTCTCATAAGGAGACATTAAAAGGTAATAAAATAAATGAAGCCAGCTTTCTTTTGAAGTCACCAAGGTTAAGTGGTCTTTCTTCCTTTGCAGATGAACAAATGAGTATTTATTATTATGAATGTTGTTACTACTATTAATAATAATACCTAATATTTTTTGAATTACTCTGTGTCAGATAGTGTATAAAATGTTTTACATATAGAACTTCAGTTAATCTGCCTGATTGTCTAATTTAGAAATGAGAAAGCTTCTGAGATAAAGGTACTTTTTCAAGCTAACACAGTTCCCAGGATTCTACCCAGAGAGCTCTCTCTCTGATCTTCTGCTCATTAACTTCTTATTGTTCTACACTGATTCTTTTTTTTTTTTTTTTTTTTTGGAGATAGGGTCTCACTCTGTCTCCCAGACTGGAGTGCAGTGGTGTGATCTTGGCTCACTGCAACTTCCATCTCCCAGGCTCAAGTGATTGTCCTGCCTCAGCCTCCCAAGTAGCTGAGATTACAGGTGTGCACCACCACCACCCAGCTAATTTTTGTGTTTTTAGTAGAGACGGGGTTTCACCATTTTGGCCAGCTGGTCTTGAGCTCCTGACCTCAAATAATCCACCCGCCTTGACCTCCCAAGGTGCTGGGATTACAGGCATGAGCCACTGCACCTGGCCTTATTGTTCTATACTGATTCTTAAGACTGATGCAGAGGATTTCCTTCTTTTAAATTAAATGTATGTTCACTCGAATCTTTTTTTCACTTAGGTAACTTGCTTTCAAAATCTGTATTCTGTTAGGATCCATTAGGTTCTGCTAGGGTACTTAATCAGTAAAATGTGCTGGTGGTTGCCCAGTCATGAGTGGTAGGGTTTATGACTCAGCAACAGAAAGTAAGAATAAAGGATGGTAAGGACAGCAATCTCAATGAGTTAGCGTCATTCTTGTGCACAGTAGCCACCAAGGCTGACTATTTCCATTCAACCACATTGAGCCCTTTTTACCATTTTCTGAACTGTGTATTGCTTCTTCTTTTTTTTTTAACTTAATGCAGTTAAAGCAAAGTATATTTGATATTTTAAAAAGTGTTGTAGAGTCTGTTCCCTTACTCGTGTCAGAAACCATCATATTTAAAGGGCTGGGTGCGGTGGTGACTCACGCCTCTAATCCCAGCACTTTGGAATGTAAGACGGGCAGATCACTTGAGGCCAGGAGTTCACGACCAGCCTGGCCAACATGGCAAAACCCCGTCTCTACTAAAAATACAAAAAATTAGCTGGGTGTAGTAGTACACGCCTGTAGTCCCACCTACTTGGGAGGCTGAGGCATGAGAATTGCTTGAGCCTGGGAGGCAGAGATTATGGTGAGTCGAGATTGCACTGCTGCACTCCAGCCTGGGTGACAGAGCAAGACTCTGTCTCAAAAAAAAAAAAACCCAATATATTTACTTTTTTCTGTAAAATAATTGGGTTACTTTTTGGCTTTACATTTAGTTTCACTGATTTCCTCCAACATTTCTTTCTGGAGTATTATTAGTATATTTGGGATTGAAGACTTGAAATTAGATATGTATAATATTTAAGATGTTTTGTTTTGTTGATTTACACATTAATGTTATTCTGTTTACCTGCTTTTCTTAATTATAAGACCTGCTTGTTTACTTTTGACGTCCTGAAGATTGGGCCATAATTGCTGAGATTTTAAAGGATTCAAGCTAACAGTGGTTCCTTCATGTGTAACTTCTCAGTAAATTTTCAGAAGATTATACTGCTCTTATGGGACAGCTTCTTAAAACTTCTCATTTAACTAAGACGTTAAATTGACTTTTCAGTTTTTAAACTTGGTACGCTATAGGTGCAGGAAGCAGAAAAGACCAAAGATGAAGATGGTCCTTGATTATATTTTTATTCTGCCTGACATCTGTAGTTCTTCTCATTTCTTAGCACCTTGATAAGTATCATACCTGCAGGAAGTGCTAACAGATAGTATGATGTACATTTGTAGGCTCTTCTGTCAGTTGTGTGCATAAAAGAGGTTGGGTGGCCTTGAGGATTGGGCTTCTCAAATTTTTAATAGAACCTGCTTATCTGGTTTTCAAAGCACATGGCCGTACTCTTAGCAATTCTAGGCCTTTGAAAAAAGAGTAGAGTTGTCTGCTATTCATTTCTCGTCAGAAGTCTATCCAAAAAGTGATAATTAGAGACAACAATCTAAAGACATGTAGGTCCCCTTCCTTCCACCAAAAACTGCTCACCCCACAGTTTTTCCTAGCTTTGTAAATACCAGTTCCATCTTTCTAGTTGTTTATGCCAGAAATTTTTAGTCATTTTTGGAATTATTTTTCCTATATCCACATCGAGTTATCAGCAGAACTTCTTGACCCTCCCTTAAAAATATAGCTAGAATCTGACGTATCACTTTCATCACTCCCACCCTGGTCCAGGCCACCATCATATCTTGCCTGGATCATTACAAAAGCCTCCTAATTAGTTCTCCTGCTTCAGTGGTTCTGCTCTCAACAGTCTAATCTCTGTGTAGTTGTTTGTGTCCTTTGAAGGGTTCGGTCAGATTACAGCAATCCCCAGCTCAACACCTTCTAATGATTTCTTGTCTCACTCAGTAGAAGCCAAAGACTTCACAATTACCTATAAGGTCCTAAATGATATTTTTGGTTGCCTCTCTGATCCCATCTCTTAGTACTCACTTCTTTACTCCCACATAGTCATACTGGTCTTGTTAACTGTTGCTGAAACATAGTTGAAGCACAAGCCTGCTTCAGGTGTTTAAACTTGGACTGTTCTCCCCTTAGATATCTGCATGGCTTGCTCCCTAACTTTCTAAGGTTTATGATCAAATGTTACCTTATTAGTGAGGCCTTATCTGACTACCCTATATTTAATAGCCATACCTTTACACTGCTTTGTATTTCTAAGTAGCAGGAATTACCATGCATATTTTCTGGTTTATTTGCTTGTTATCTGTATCCATTGTGGTGTAAACCCCATAAGGACTAAGACTTTATGTTGCCTGCTTGTCCCAGTAGCTAGGACAGTCCTTGATACATAGTGGGTGCTCAGTATATACATGTTGAATTTATTTTTGTAGGTCCTCAAAGTTATGTCTTTCTGGCAAGTTAGCTCACCAGGAAGTTTCATAGTGGACCAAATAGCCTTTGTAGGCCTTTTTGAACTATGTTTTAATGTTTTGCTCTAGGTCATTAGAAGAAACAGCCTCATGAAAAGCAATTTTGCATTTGGCATATGTCATCTTGTATAATTCAGTAGCCCTTATTAGAGATTCCAGAGGAGAAATGTCTTTTGGAATTTAGTGTAAGAAATCCAGTTGAGAAGCAACCTTGCTCTTTATTTTATTTATTTATTTATTTGTTTGTTTGGTTTTTGTTTTGACAGGGTCTTATGCCCATCACCCAGGCTAGAGTGCAGTGGTGTGATCACGGCTTACTACAGCCTCAACCTCCTGGGCTTAGGTGATTCTCCCACCTCAGCCTCCCAAGTAGCTGGGACTACAGGCACACACCATCATGCTTGTCCATTTTTTTGTATTTTTAGTTGAGACGGGATTTTGCCGTGTTGCCCAGGCTGGTCTTGAACTCCTGGGCTCAAGCGATCCACCTGCTTCGGCCTCCCAAAGTGCTGGGATTACTGGTGTGAGCCACCTTGCCCAGCCAACCTTATTCTTTTTTGAAGGCTATAAATATTCCGTTGATGGATGCGTCACAATTTGTTTTAACCAGTCTTTTATTGATAGGTATCAAACTATTGATTATTTTGCTGTTATAAATAGGGCTTAAGTGTGAATATCCTTACACATATCTTGTATAATTTTATACATATATGTTCATATTATGTATTTATAGCAATAACATTTCTAGTTCAAAGGATATGTATGTATAGAATTTTGGTAGACCTTACCAAAGTGCCCTCAAAAGGTCACATTGATTGTATATTACAACCAGTGGTTGACTATAAATTGTGTTTTGGATTTTGACTAAGTGTCTTTTTTAAAAAAAAAAAAACAAAAACTTTTATTTTCAGAAGTTTCTGTTGCTTTGTTTTCAAAAATTCACATGACTAAAACTAGACAATATTTTTTACATTTTCATATGTTCATTTATTTATTCATCTGGTAATCATTATCTGCCTGTTATGTACCAGGCGCATAACTTCTTTCCTTCCTTTTTTCCCTCCTTTCTTTTTCTCTCCCTCCCTCTCTCTACACCCTGATCTCTGTTCTTTTTTCTCATGTTAAGATAGTGATACTTGTACATACCTTATAGGGTAAAGTTCTTGTGCAAGTACTTGGCATAGAGTAAGTGCTCAGTAAATATTCACCATTATAATTTTTCAGTGAAGTTGTCTTGCTCTCTGCAGTTTTGTTTGCCAGTTCCTTTTTCTGTGGTTTGTTTTGGCTCTGTATTTTGTTTGAGGCTTTCCTCAAGTATCTATTGATCTCTGCTAACAATTTATAGTTAAGAGTGAGGCTAAAGAGATGAGGGACTTTTTGACATGTGGATGTCACTGTAGATTGATTATATATTGAGAGGTCATTTTTGTTTGTCACTATTCCTAGCCCACCCCACCCCCAATAAAACCATCAATATGTAGATTTTTTTTCTCCAGAGAGATATCCTGGAGTGATATCCTATGTTTGGGAGCTGAGAGGGAGAGGGATCCTGTGTGAACCTCGATCAGTATGTATACTTACCCTTAACTTTGCCTCTTTCAGAGTGGCACCTCACCCAGTGCCCTCTGCTGTTTGGGTCCCTCTAGCTCAGTTTCTCCAAAGAATAAACCTTTGTCTCCTGCTAGACTGGGGGAGGGCTAATTGTCTAATGCTTATGTAGACTTTCATCCAGTCCTTTATTTGCTGTCCTGTGTCTCACCTCTGCCTTCTGTGTTACTTGGTGCTTCCAATTTTGGAATCTTCCTAGTTTCTGTGATGCAAATGTATTGATTTTCTACTGTGCAAACTCTTAGGTTTCAGCTTCCTCTGCCCTCTGCCCTGCTAAGTCTGCTTTCCATCTTAGAAAAATGGGTTGACATCTCTGGTCTGCTTTTGTCTCCTCTGCTCTTCTTAATGTTTTTCTGGGTGTATACCTTTTCTGTTTCTTCATTGTTATTTTAATAGATTTTTTTTTAAAGGTTGCAGAGATAAATGTGTAAATTTAGTCCTTCATGTTTAACCAGTTATTGATGATCTGGTAATAGTTTTTTTCCTGTGAATTTTTTTTTAAAGTAAAAAACCCTACCCCTGATACCTTACCCCTTCAAGTGAATTTTTTTGATGTTATGAATTCAATTAATGTATTCAATATGTTGAAACTACATCAAGCTGATTAAATTTCAGGGTCTTAGAAATCAGGTACAGGCAATTATGTTACGTGTACATATACATATGTGTGCATTTCAAAAATTTCCTACCAGGTAGTCACTAAATTTATATATAAAGAATGGGTGCAGTTTTAATTCATTCTTTAGTTCTTAGTTTTCACATAAGAATACATTTGCCTCCTCATTTTAGCAATTGGAGTTGCTCAGCAAATGAGAAATCTTTATATTCTCTCAGAAATTGGAAATATAGTATTTAATGTGTCACCATCATCAAAAGTTGATTGTATCACTTGCAGGGTTTTTGGACACTGTGCTATTATGCAGGTTTTTAAAAATAATGTTTGCTATAATCACTTTCAGATGATGTCAGCCTCTCTTGCTAAGGTCTCCTTTATGTACTGATTACTGTTGTTATATATCCATGCTGTCTGATAGACATCCAGTAGACATCATCACATCACACTGTGAAGATGGAAGTGTTCTAAATCTGTGCTGTTCAATAAATACAGTAGCCACTAGCCACACGTGCCTGTTGAGCACTTGAAATGTGGCTAGTGTGACTAGGGAACTGAATTTAAAATTTTATTCAAACATTAATTAAGGAGCCACATGTGACTAGTGGCTACCATATTGGACAGCATAGTTATAAAACGTTATTCTGATAGGATGTGCTAAGTGTTTTATTCAAATTATTTTATGTTGTTATTCATTTAAATTAGTTTGGAATAAAGTATTCAACCGAGGAATAAGAGTTAGCTGAGTTGTTCCAAGTTCATTATTCATTATTATAATTTGAAATACATTTTTCTTTGACTTCCATAAGAATAAAAATATGCAGATTGCTATTTCCGAATTGAAAAGAAAATATATTTTAGATGAGTGTGCCATGCCAGTTATTTGGAGTATTTTTTGTGCTGATAAGATATTGAAAGTCAAAGCGGAAGGTGACAGTGAGCCTCTCCAGTGTTTTCTTCCATCTTTCAAGAGAAAGGGGAAATACTGTTTGAGTCAAACCTTGCTATTGTTTTAGGGTGTTTACATTATTGAAGATAGTCATGGTGATGTTTTGGCTTTGCTTTTTTTTTTTTTTTTGCGTGATCATAGCTTACCTTTAATTATTGGACTCAAGCTATCCTACCATAGCTTCCTCGAGTAGCTGGTGCTATAGGTGCCTGCCACCACATGCTGCTAATTTTTTTGTTTGTTTTGTTTTGTTTTTTGTTTTTTGAGATGGAGTCTTGCTCTGTCACCTAGGCTGGAGTGCAGTGGTGCGACCTCAGCTCACTGCAACCTCTGCCTCCCGGGTTCAAGTGATTCTCCTGCCTCACCCTTCTGAGTAGCTGGGACTACAGGCACACACCACCACGCCCGGCTAATTTTTGTATTGTTAGTAGAGTCAGGGTTTCACCATGTTGGCCAGGCTGGTCTCAAACTCCTGAGCTTGTGATCCACCTGCCTTGGCCTCCCAAAGTGCTGCGATTATAGGCATGAGCCAAAAATTTTTAAAAATTTTTGTAGAGAGAAGCTCTCACTATGTTTCCCAGGCTGGTCGTGAACTCTTGGCCTCAAGCAATGCTCCCTCCTCGGCCTCTGGAAGCACTGGGACTGGCCTGTTTTTGCATTTTTAAAGTTTGGATGAAAATGCTTTGTGACATCAAACTTTTTTGTGAACTACAGATTAATTGACTAACTAGAATTATGCTATCAGTTGAGGTCTGTAGTAAGTTGAGTGTCATTTAATTGGTAAAATTGTCAGTTAGTTTTTATAAAAAAATAAAAAGCATGGGACTAAGAAGCATGGGTTTTGGGAGTTGAAGGTTGCATTGAGCTGAGATTGTGCCACTGCACTCCAGCCTGGGCGACAGAGTGAAATTGTGTCTCAAAAAAAAAAGAAGCATAGGTTTGATTGCAGAACATTACAATTCTGCTTTTATTTTAAGTGAAATACAGCATTTTGGAATATTAATTAGCATAGTTACCACTACGCATGTAGTTTAGCAAAATATACTATATTTACTATTTTATACAATATTATTATTAACAGTTGAATATTATTCAGGCCTTTGAGAAGATATATTAAACAGTTATTTCAAACTCTTTTTTGTTCTACTGAAGGCCTCAATCCCTTCTTAGTTTTTCATTCTCAGCAAAAGATTTCTCCTTCTATTTCGTAAAATATGAGCACTCACATTCTTGTTCTTTCTTATCAACTTTCAGTCATCATCACTGATTCCCCACCACCTCTTGCATTACAGTGGAAAAAGTGTCCTGTTCTGACAAAAACAGATCTCTCCAGCTAAGGTCTTACTTCCTCCCTTTTTACTTATTCTTTTTTTTTTTTTTTTTGAGACAGGGTCTTGTTGTATTGCCCAGGCTGGAGTGCAGTGGTGTGATCATGGCTTACTGCAGCCTTGACCTCCCAGGTTCAAGCAATCTTCCCACCTCAGCCTCTTGAGTAGCTGAGACTAAAGGTGTGCACCACCATGCCCAGCTAATTCTTTAAACTCTTTTGTAGGAATGGGTTCTCCCTATGTTTTCTAAGCTGGTCTTGAACTCCTGGCCTCAAGTGGTCCTTTTGCCTTGGCCTCCTCAAAAGTGCTGAGATTACAGGTGTGAGCCACTGCTTCTGGCCACATGGATCTTGTATATCAGTTATTTCACTTGTTTTATGTAATTTCAGCCTATCTCCATTATTTTTTTTCTCTTTGTGTTTTAATAAGCTCCACTCTTCTTCATATGTAATAGAAGGGAGGCAACTCTTCTCCTCCCTTCTTCCTTGTTTTCAGATCCAGGCTTTTTGAAAGAACTGTTTATATTCATTTTCTCTAATTCTTTCCATGCAAGCCATGCTTTGACATGATTTTGATGCATGCTGAAGTTTGAGAATCACCACCCTACCCTATCTTTGTGGGTCAGTCAGGAAGCTCACTATTATTGCTATGAATTGGAATCACTGGTTATAGGTTTTAAAGGACCGTTAGTTTCCACTTAAATAGACACAGAAGAATCAACTTCTGGTGGGGCAGGATGGTGTTTAAACTTAGAAATCATAACTGTAGGTGAATTAATTAAGATTGGATTTGGCAGTGAGTGACAGAAACCCAATATAGTGGTAGCTTAAAAAGGTAGTTCACTTCTCGGACAAACACGGGTAATCCAGGTTTGGTGACTACATGATTATCAAGAACCTGGGCCCCTTTACTCTTGTTGCTCTACCATTTCTAACACTCAGCTGCTACTTCATGGTTCTGTTTGGCTGCTATAGCTATAGCCATCCTTTTTACATTCTAGTCAACAGGGAGGAAAAAGAGGAGATACTTTCTCCTTTTAAAGAAACTTCCCAGCAGTTGTCCAGAACTTTTAGTCCAGTTGGCCATACCCAGTTGTAAGGGAGCCCGGAAAATAAGTTTTTATTTTAGGCAGCCTTGTGTGCAGATAGTTTCTACCACTGTAGGGAAAGGAGAGAACATATGTGGCAGGGATAACAGCCTCTACCAGGATAAGCTCTTGGGAGCTTTGAATGGCTCAATCAGTAAACAATATTGCTTATTATAAGTAGTGCACTATGAAAGATGAATTGTGGGAAAATGAGGGAGATTGGGGGAAGGAGAACAGAATTGAAAAAAAAAATTAAAAATCTCCCCCTTGCTTTTCTAAGAGATGCCATTTACTTGAGGAGATCAGACATGCATACATAAGTTACAGAGCAATGTAAGAATCAGAGGATGCAATTAGTGGGGGAATCAGACTCACGTGGGATTTATTTTTGGAGGCAGGCATCTCTAAAGGACTGGAGTTTTGAGAAAACAGAAGAGAATTGACATACTTTTGGGTAAATGGAGTTCTTTGTACAAGATATTAATCACTGTTTTGTACCCTTAACACTTAAGAGTCTTAACACTTATTTCTAATGTAGAGTTGAGGAAGGAATTATAATAAACCTATGAGAAATCTCTGTTGAGTAAAATGATAAATAATATCCTTGTTAATTTATTAATTTATCTTATCTTACTTTTGACAGCTATTTATAGTACTTTCAATTTCAAAATAGACAAAAGGTTTGTCTTCCAATTTGTATGTGGTAATTAGAACCATTGTAACTTATGACCTCCCCAATTGAATAACTGAATTATTTTATAGAAATAACATAGTAAATTTTGTGAATAGAGAAAAAGAAGCCAAGAAGTCATAGAAGAGAGAACAAGGGGAGTGGACTTTGAGTATTGTAAAAAACAGTGGGTTTGGCAGAGTTCACTGGTGTCTTAAAAACATTTAAAAATGAATTAGTGTGATCTAGTAATAGAGTTTTGCATTTTTTTACTTAATATTATAATGTGTACATTTTTTCTTGATGTAAAATTTTTTCTAAAGCATGAGTTTTAAAATTGATTGTGTATAGCATTCCATAGTTTGGATTTACTATAATGATTTACCCCATACCCTTATTATTAGACATTTAAATTGCTTATAACATTTTTGTAACTATGAGCAAAGATAAACAATTTAAGTCTTTAAAAAGTGAATTCGTGAGCACAGAAACTACATGTTGGAATATAGGGTATTACTGGAGAGAACTTTGAGGTAGCAGAGATAGTATTTTGAGTTTTCCTCTAAAATGAGGAAGATGATGATCCTATAGAAAATAGTGGAATGAAGCAATTAATAGCTTATAAAATTTGGACTTTAGTCATCTACTTAAGAAAATTAAAGCTATATATATAGTATTGCTGGTTTACATAAACTAATACAGTAACATAAATGTGGATAATTTACATTTTATTCCTTAGGTATACATACATACTTTAAGTTTCATGTATTTACTGATGTCTAAATCATACTGATTTTTAAGTAGTGACATGACATTTTTGTTTGGAAAACAAATCCTTCACTTTAAATTGGTTCATTGTTTTCTATTAGAGTTTTGTAGTATGAAACTATTCAGTTTAGAAAAGAAATGCATACAAATTTCTGTTCAAATATGCATATGCTTTTTACTGGGCTTATTGTATGTATCTTGATTTACAGGCCTTTTTGCAAATGTGTAACTTGCCTATCAAAGTAGTTTGTAGGGCAAATGCAGAATATATGTCTCCATCTGGTAAGTGTGTTTTTTTTTCTTCTCTGTTAATATTATGGAGTGATAAAATTATAGTGATAGTCCAGTTTGTATCTACATGTTAAAATGCCTGATTTTTTTTGTTTACCCTTTGAAGAATCTTTCCATGGTTTTAGAAAGTAACAATTGCAAATTTGACAATCTTGGGGTTGGCATATCTATTCATTTCAACTGTGATCAGAGATGGTTACTGACGTGTGGAAATGGTTTTAATAGTAAGGGAATTGTTTTAAATAGTAAATGTTAAGGAAATACATGATCTCAGATTTCCCTAGTCTTAATGTACATAAGACTTTCCTGTTGAGAAAACAAATTTTAGTAATAATGAATCCATTTATTATTCCACACATCTTTCTTAATTATATTCTCCCATAATACAGCTGGAAGAAGAGAGATTGTAGAAAAATTAATTTGTCGTTAGATCTTGAAGTCATCACTGAATGTTTTTGGTTTCTAATTATTTTTTCTAATGCTTAATTTTAACAGGTTTTGAGATGCTTTAGCTTCCTATTTTTTAAAATCAGTATTATCTTTATGTCAGTAGATTAAATTACTGTTTTAAATAAATAATTCAAAATTTTTAATATAAAAATGTGCTACAAAGCTGATAAATAAATGTTATATATAATTATCATGGATGATTATTGTAATTATGGTTTTGTTGGAGCAATAATACGTAGAATTACTCCTTTTTGAATAAATTATTAAGTATAACTGATTGGTATAAGTGTGTAACATTGCTTTTTAGGGAGACATTTTTCATTTTGATATGATAATTTAGGAGTGACTTGTGTTAAATTTTTTTTTTCCACCTTAAGTTTTTAAGGGTGGTAGAAATTGTTAAAAGGTATGAAGACACCCCTTCTGTACATAATGTTCTTTTATATAAATACCTGGTTTTAGAGGTTTATGAATATACATTTAGAAAACATTTCCATAAAATAATTTCTAGGCTTGTAAATGTAAACATATTTTAGATTCTTGGAGGGCATTCATTGACTCATTTTTGTGTTGGTTTTATACGTAGATTTTAGGAACTACAGAGTTCTGGTGAAATAAGTTATGTTGTGTTTTGTCCATCCTTTTCCTCTATGTAGTCATACAAACAGTTTGTATATTTATGTAAAAAGGTTAGAAGGTTAGTAATCTAATGCTAAAGTTCAGATCTTTGGCAAGTGAGATATCAATATAGTTTATCTACCTGTTTCCTAAAATTACTATACTTAGTGTCATTTAGGTAGATACCTATTTTCTTTTTATTAGATTGCGCGAAAGACAAACATAAATATTCTAGAGACATACAAAAATATACATTCTTTCATAGGAGTCTCCTATAGGTAGATGAAAATGGCACTTTCTACTAAGATATTTAAACTTTATCATATCTCAGATTGGTATTCTCTTTCATTTAATGATTTGAGGTGATAGGGAAATGTTTTTTATTGTATTTGCTTCTTTGATCTTGCGGTAGATTTTTAAAGCAGAGAGCATGGACTAGTCAGAAGACCAGTTGACTTAAACTCTTATTTCCTAAAGAGTTAGGAAATCTTTAACTAATCCTTCTGTGACTTTGTCACATATTAACTATTTCCTTGAGAAATTTCACTTCTCTGAGCCTCAGTGACTTCATCTGTAATATAAGGTAGCCGGATTAGATGACATCCAAGGTCCTATTTCTTGCATTCTTTGAATCTGCCAACTTGTTTGGCAACATATTCTTGCTTTCTTTAGAATAAAAATTTTAAAAGTGATTATTCTGTCTAAGACGGTAAACAAAGCCCTCAGTTTTCTTATATGACCTTTGATTCGCACCAGAAAATAACTGTCTTACTGTGTTTTTGCCTGATACCTGCAATAATAAGGATATAACATTGGCTCCATTTTCATTAAGCAGGCTAGTGACAGAAAACATTATTCACTTCTAATTTGTTGTGTTTGTTTTTATATATCTCTTTATATTTAGAGATATATAAGATTAATACTCAGTTGACTATCCACACTTCTTTTTGCTTCAGAATTGACAACGCTCAATGTATTTTTAAGAAAAGAAAAAAAATACAAACCCTTTTTTCCAAGAACCTGAAACTGGTCATTAAAAACAAGGAATATGCTTTGCTCTAAAAATATTATACCCCCAAATACTGTTTGTCTAGGTACTAAATAGTTTTCATTCTCAGATCATTTGATCTCAGGGGACCTGTAATAATTCTGGTAGTATAGTAGTTACAAAGATTTTATCCCGAGTTAAGAAAACAATGTGGCCTAATGCTTAACCAGATAAAAAAATTTTTTTTTGCAAGATTTATAAAGCAGTAGAAGGAAGGAATGCAGAATTGGCAACAGGGAAATATCTTCTCAATACATCTATTGAGTTGTTGTGTTCCAAAAGGCCTGCCTTTTCTTTGTAATGCATGTTGTCCTATGGATGCAGTTGAAGCTTTTGTTAGGCCTCTGTACTTCATCCATTACCCCCAGGCTGACGGAGCCAGAGAGGAGTGAATCTATTGAAAAGGAACAGGAAGAAGCCTGCTGTTAGTGTGAACTCTATTTGAACTAGGTGTGACAGCAGGTTTCATTCTTTAGCATTTGGAGTAGACCCTTCTTGCTATTTGGAGATTATTTTGTTCTCTCATCTCTAATAATTCCAAGTATTAGTATTTGTTAAAGTGAAATATTTCTTTTTTAATGTGACATTTATCTATAGAAGCTAGTTTTTATAAACATACTATTATTTTTTCCCACATGTTGGGAACATACTCTGTATTACAACTCACCAACTAGCATGCCTTCAAAGATTGTTAATTCTTTTAATTCTTGCTATTTTGAGTTAAAGAGATTTATTGATATACAATTACTTGCTTAAAATGTTGATCTCAATGGGTATCAAAGACTTAAAAGATGTAAAAAGGTTTTTTAAATGTAGTTTACAATATAGATTGATTCACTGTACTCTGAAAAGAAAGCTTACATTTCTTTGAAATATATCAGTGGTCATGTACCAGTGTCCTGGCTTGGTTCATGTAATTTGGATAATTAGTGTTTGCTGCTATATGGTGATATGTTTGTGTTGGCTCTGAAAAGAGAATGTTATGTGATCTGTTATTATATCTAAGTGAGAACTCTAGAAATGAATTTACCTGTTCTTTTTTTCTAAAGTTGGTTAGTAATCAGTTTAAAAACTTACAGAATTTAATATACACATCTGACAAAAATTTTCAAAAGTTACAGTTTTATGAAATCCCTATTTATAAATACCTGAGTTTTGTGTTAATTTTTTTTAATTATCACAAACTTTAACATACTGGAAGTATTTTTATAAATACTTTTTTTTTCTCTCAACAGGTAAAGTACCTTTTATTCATGTGGGAAATCAAGTAGTATCAGAACTTGGTCCAATAGTCCAATTTGTTAAAGCCAAGGTAATAAAAAGATATTAAATGTATTTGATCAGTTACCAAGTCATTCATCATTCTTTAATGTGTCTTAACATTTACATTGATTTCAACCTAGTTTTATAAAATGCCAATGCAAACTACTGGAAAATATTTCTGAAGTGTAAGTTAGTATTTTTTCATGATATAATGGCAAAAGAGGTAGCTTTTTTTCCTCTATTAATGTCAAATTTATTAAAGGTATGTAATTTTAATATCTAGTCTAAAGAGATGGTTTGATCTTTACAAAATGGTAGATAATTTTCTAACTTATGCTTACTACAACTGTGGTCATAAATGAAAAACTATTAGGTTTTGAAGTGTCTGGCTGACCTTTGAAAAGGGAGATACAGGATTTGTTTGAAGTTGAATGTATTTATCCATTTGAATGATTCTGCTTTTCATTTATTCAGTTTAGATTTTAATAGTTATTAAGGAACAACTCCCATTAGTGTTTCTGAAAAATCATTCCAGACTTTTTGAATATATAGAAAAACCTAGATCATACTAGTGTGTATTATTTTGCAACATACCTTTTAAAATCATAAATATGTTTGGAAATTCTTCCATATTAATAGCTGTAGGTATATATCATCCTTTCACATTGTTGTATTCTGCTGTATTGGAGATATATATATATCTCCAAAATATATATATATATTATTTTTTTTTTCTTCAACACCCTCCCCCTGTATTGGATAAATTAGAATTTTATTTACTCAAGTTTATTGTTGGGCTTTTAGGTCATGGCCAATTTTTTGTTTTTATAGAGTACTAAGATAAATTTTCTTATATATACATCTTTGTATAAATTCCTAAGGTTGGTATTGGTACCTTAGGATAAATTCCTGAGAGTGGTATTAGGATGTCATAGGTTATGTACTTTTTAAATCTTGTAATAGATTGCCAGATTGAACTAAAGGTTATATCATTTTATGTATCTCCTAGTAACTATAGAGTATTAGAATTTTAAAATAAGTGGGTTTCTCCCCCCATATCTTTACAAACGTATTTTTTTCATCTTTGACCACTTTATAAACAGCACATGTCAGTCTTTTGGCATTTCCTTTATTTCTAAATAAGGTTAATCTCTTAAACAAGGTTTGCTGACCATTCTGTTTTCTTCTTTTGTGAAGTAGTTGATAGTGTAATTTTCTCTATTGAAAGATACATTTGTATAATGACAAGTAAGTACATACTAATATTTTGTAGTGATAGCAGAGTATTATTTATGCTTTTATATAAAATAATTTTTAGGGGGCATTTTGGACGTTTAATTCATTGTATAGTTGCATGTTACGTTATTTGTTAGTGAGATAACTGAAAGTTTTTGTATATTTAATATGATGTTCTTTTAAATTTTTTTAAATTCCCTTTAGGGCCATTCTCTTAGTGATGGGCTGGAGGAAGTCCAAAAAGCAGAAATGAAAGCTTACATGGAATTAGTCAACAATATGCTGTTGACTGCAGAGGTAAAATACTAGATGATACGGCTTGAAAATAAGCTTTTTCTCTCATTCTCATAAAATATAATCTTTCTTATGGGTTAAAGTTATTGAGAAATGGGAAAATAGTCAAGTAATTCTAGAGTTGAGTTGGCTACCTAAATTATTTGATTATTACCTTTGAACAAGTTACCTGACATTTTCAGTTCTAGTTTTTCTGTTTATAAAAAGGAGTGATTCTTGCCTACTCATTATTTTACTTTGGCCTTTTGAAATTTGCTTAAATAATATCTGTAAAACACTTTAATGGTATTTAGACATGTATTGTGTGAATAAAAAATATTTTTATAACGTACCATCATTACATTTTTGTGGATAGCAGCTAAGAAAAACAAACCGCTACATGTGTGACTTATGAAATTAGCTTATAAAAAATTGCCTTGGCAAAAAATAACTTTCTTTATCCTTTTCCTCTTTGGTATTCTAAAGTTTAGTGACTGTTCTTTTGTTCCTAGCTGTATCTTCAGTGGTGTGATGAAGCTACAGTAGGGGAGGTGAGTGGTTCTGTAACATTTATCTTAATTAAAATTTAATGAGAAAACACTTTTGCTCAGAATCGCAAGTCCCTGCTCATAAATGAAACATTGTGGTTTATACCATTAGTGATATAGTTTTTCACTTACTTTAATTTTGCTTGCACATAACATTTTAGGGAAGCTATGTGTCATTGTTTGATATAACGGGTTGCAAAGTACATAAAAGTTTATATATTTTTAAAGGGAATGGCTTAAAATTTTAATTTTTTAGATTGCAGGATGTGTATTTTTTTCAGATTGCTCTATTTATGTTCTCTGAAAATATATTTCTTTTAGAATTCTATTTGTAAAAACGGGCATTGTTTTTAGGAAGGATCACCTTTTTTACAAAATCTTTTTACTTTAGATCACTCATGCTAGGTATGGATCTCCTTACCCTTGGCCTCTGAATCATATTTTGGCCTATCAAAAACAGTGGGAAGTCAAACGTAAGATGAAAGCTATTGGATGGGGAAAGAAGACTCTGGACCAGGTCAGTTCAGGTTGAAGTTGACAAAACCCTCAACTTTTATGCATTAAAAGAATCATTCTTTATATTGATACTCCTTTAAAAAAATATATATAAGATTTGCAAGAAAACCATTTCCTGTGATTTTCACTAACATGAAGTAATTTTATTTCTAAAAAATCATACATGCTTGATGTAAAGCAAACAATGCAATGCAGATATGTGTAAAAAAGCAATAAAACTTGCCTGAAATCTCATCACCTAGAAAATACCACCCTTAACTATTTGGAGAGCCTTCTTCTAGATGTTTCTTAGTAACATTTTCTCAAATGGGATCATTATGCCTGCTACTGTATAACCTGAGGGTTTTTTTTTTTTTTTAATTGAACAATACATTGTGGGCACCTTTTATGTAACTAAATATAGATCTGCAGCATCAGGGCTTAAAAAAAAAGCCCTGTTAAATACAGTACTTTGTCCGTCTGTCTGTCTATCTATCTGTCTATCTGTCTATCTATCTGTCTATCTATATTTTTGCTACTAAAGTAGCAAAACTTAAAAATACTTATCTTGTCCACAAGCATCATTAAGTTAATTAATGCCCGTCTTTTCCAAGGCTACCCTTAATACTAGCCAGCCATCTCACTGATGTGTGCCATTGGCTACAAGGGGGTTTCAGTAAATGAATAGGGATAGAATAAATAAAAATCTATCTCCACTAGTGGGAAAATAACTCAAATGCTTTTACTCATAGTGGGTCAATGTTGTTACCTTTATTAAGCAGATTTTTTGGTATATGCAAAGCCATTTGAATATATGGATTCAGGAAGACACTTTTGTTCTTGACAAAATCCTTATAAGTAACTTAAATGTACTTGTATTTTGAAGGACATTCACTGAGAATTTCTTCCTATTTCTTGTATACAAAGTATTATATATATATACTTATATAGAAAGTATTTCTTATAAGTATTTCTTATATAGAAAGTATTTCTTATAAGTATTTCTTATATAGAAAGTATTATATATATATGTGGTCTATGGTCTTATTAAAATATATTATAAAAGGTTAACTTAAATTTATATTTTTGTTATAAACTGTGATACAAGTTACGTTTTAGATACTTTTTATTGTTTTGCTAATTGAAATACTTTTCCTTGGGGTTCATTGCCTGTGTTAGGTCTTAGAGGATGTAGACCAGTGCTGTCAAGCTCTCTCTCAAAGACTGGGAACACAACCGTATTTCTTCAATAAGCAGTAAGAAATTTTACTTTTTTAAAGTTAATTTTCTGTACTGTTAGGTTGCAAATTTCTTTTTTTCATAAAAGAATTGCTTTTTCAAGAAAATATTTAGCTATTTTTATAATTTTTGTACTCAAATATTTTTGTGGCACTTTACTCTCAGGCACAGTGCTAGGCTCTAGGAGACTAAGATTTCTAAAATATGGTCCTTATCATTAAGAATTTCTCTTAAAGGCAGTCATGTAAATCAATCATTGTATGATAAGGTTTTAATGAGGTAGTTCAAGGTGCTATACATGGAACTACAAAATCTTAACAAAATTCTAAACTTGTACTATTAAACATGAAGGAAAGTAAGTTACTATTAATGTAACTATGGTTTTCTATATAGAATGATAGCTGGAGGATTAGAAGAGTCAATAAAACTAAATATTAAAAAATATTGTTTGATGGACAAGCACTATTATGAACTTATCTTTTAAAATGTTAATGAAAATATTTGTAAAACACAGAAATTAATATAAAGGATATAGGTTAAATATATGTGTATATATGTAAGTTGAATAATGTTTCATTAATAGATTTGCTTTTGCAGTTTTGAAAAGACTCTAATGAAGGCAAAGAATGAATTTTCCGTTGTTAAAAAATTACAATTTTAATATATCAGAATCAGCTGTCCTGTGATCCAGTGTAAGATGGGCTTAAAGCATTTTAATCTCAAAACTTTCCCTAGAAAGTCTGACCTTTTCTTGACATTTTAATAAAAATTATTTGATTTTTAGATTAATAATTTCTAAAAGGCTTTATTTGCTATTATGTGTTATATCGTCATAAGCATTCCTCTTCTATAACCATATCAAACATATTTGGGTAAAGATAATATTTGTAGTAAAAATGGCTATGATGATAGTTTGGAAATATTTAAGTTATATTAATCTATAACACAAGTAATATATACATATATAATTGATATTAAAATCTGGGTTCTGTTGATCTTTGAAGCAGAAAAATCTTCAGAATTCAAACTGTGAAATTCTGGTGGGTAAAGCTTCTACAACTCTGTTCCTGTTTCTAGTGATGTTTGCTCTACAGATTCTATTTTTCAGTCCCTAACACAAGAGAAATGTATCCAAATGTCAATATTACGTGATTTCTTTTCTTTCTAACAGAGGAATTCTTAGGAATTGAAAAGCTCAGAAGGGGTGTGTTTTATTGAAATGCATTATTCTATTTTAGTTTTGTTATGCACACTGTCTTTAGAGGAGGCCAGGAGAATAGATCTAACTTACTTTTCTTCTCAGTTAAACTCATTGTCATTGTGTTAGTAACCAGAGTTTGGCATGTGACTCAGTGGAAATATCAAGATATCATTTTTCTTCATAAGGGCACAATTACATTTACACTTGTGATGAAAACTTCTAACTTAGAACAGTTCAAACACCAAAGCCTTGCTTTTGAGGAACTATTTAATTGATATTATGATGTAGAGTTTTGACATAATTTTCCTTTGCGTGATACTTAGATAAACATTTTCCCTAAAAATAAGATTAAAGATAGAAGAGATTTGATTTTTAATTTTATTCGATCATTTAATTAATACTAAAATGCAAATAAAGTACATTTAGAAAAAAGTAACTGGTATTTCACTTCCTTGTGCCAACATTTTTCTCATTCCTTTATCTGTAGCAGGAGTCATTACTTTGTGAGATACTATGTTGAATAGAGCTGTGGCCTAAGTCAGGTATTATACTGCAAGTCAGAGGGTCTGAATTCTATTCTTGGCTCTGACATATCTCTAAGTTACTCTAATTTCTCTATGTGTATGCCAGTCCTAAAATTAGAATTAACCCCCTACAATTAGAATTAATCCCCTAAAATTAGAATTAACTTTCCTTCTAGCTCAACTACTGGGGATGTTGGGAGGACTCGTGAAAGAAACCAAATACCGTTACTTGATGAGAGAAAAGGAAAAGGGTAGTTAAGGGAGATCTCACAGAAAGAATAATAATTGGGAAAAGAGGCCAAAAAGCAAGGGGCTTGATTTACAAAACTTGGGTGACAGCCCTAAAGATAAGTGATTAGGATGTAAAGAAAAGATAACGTAGATTATTTCTAGTACTATAAAGAGATGAAAAGTTAATGGGAAAGAACAATTAGGAAACACTCAGACAAAATTAATGCTTTTGAAAGCATTAATATAGATGATACTATGAAGGTATCAGAGAGAAATAAATGTGAAATAATGAATAAGCAAAGCAAAAAATATGAGTGCCAGAAAAATCTTAAATGGAAAATGTTAGGAAAATGTTGAATTTTACTGAGTGCCAGAAAAATCTTAAATGGAAAATGTTATGAAAACGTTGAATTTTACTGTTTTTGTTTTGATATTCAAATGAAAAAATAGTAGATAACCAACAGGAATGTGGAAAGAATAATAATGTAAGAAGGCATCAAATTTCTTAGGACTTTAAAAATATATTTGTCACCCTGGAATATTTTTCTAATAAAAAGTCTATAAAGATAAATGCAATAATATATGAAACATCTTAGAGCTCATAGGAGGGGAATTGCTATCTATATTTGAATTATAATCACAAACTATTTGGTAAGCAGAAGGGTAGAAAGTTGTGTTTTCTCTTCACGTGATATAGCAAGATAATTAAAATTGGAGGTATATGAAGATCTTGACTTGATTAAATAGTTCAGTAGAAATACTGGATAAAATATGTTACTTGTCTTTTTGTTAAGTCAGGTTTATTGATGTGTAATTTACATCTAGTAAAATTGGCACTTTTATGCGTGTAGTTCTATGAATTTTAACAAAGGCATACAGTTGTGTAACTGTCACCTATCAACTAAAATATTATTTGTACTTCTTAAAAAGACTTGTTGGAATCAGTAATTTATATATGTCAGAGTCAGTGTAAGGAGTTGCTCAAATTTGGAAAAATTACAAAAAATATGCTTTAAAGGTTAGTGTGTGTGGATATATACAGTCATGCCCTGTATGGCAACCTTTCAGTCTGTGATGGACCAAATATATGATGATGGTCCCTTGAGATTGTAATATATTTTTACTTACCTTTTCTGTGTTTAGATATGTTTAAATACACAAGTATTTGTGTACCATAAATACACATTATCATTGTGTTACAGTTGCCTACAGTATTCTGTTTGGCAATGTGCTGTATAGGTTTGTAGCCTATTAGCAATAGGGTGTACCATATACTCTAGGTGTATAGCACCATCTAGGTTTGTGTAAGTAGACTCTATGATGTTCACACAGTGAGAAAATTGCCAAACAGTGCATTTCTCAGAATGTATTCCTGTTAAGCAACACACAACTGTATGTGCTTTGGTTTAATCTGTTGAATTCTACTTCTGTTGATGTTCTAAAGTAACTTGCCACAAAGTTGCTGTCTTTATGTAAAATCAGATCAGTTTTTATATGCTCATGCCCATATATAATTCAGTACCTCTGGAGTTATGTGGATATATATTTGCAACAAACCACTTCAGGGGTACTTCTGGAGCACTCTCATTTGAGCATACATTGATAGTTGAACTCTTTCAGAGCCTTCATTTATTAATAAAGGGTGCCCATCTATACTACTGGAAGTTGCATCAGAGAATATATGCACCTTTTTTAGGCTCTAGTACAAGAAGTATAGGGTAGCTGGCACTAAACAAGGATTAGGAAAATAAGTTCTAAATTGGTAAGATAAGATGTACCTCTTAAGAAATATGTTTAAGGATGTGGAAGAATTGGTGTTTGTATTATTCTCACCAAGTGCCTCAGCTCAGCTCCCCATTTATCCACTCTACATCCTTGGTTTTTTGCAGGGATCTATTCATTATTGGTTCATTCCTGTGATGATAAGATTATGGTGCTGTTGAGTCTAAGGACCCTTGAGATTTTTTTTTTTAAAACTATACTGTTGGCTACCCATTTAAACATGGCCATAGATTGCACATTTGACTTTGATTAACACTTCATGAATGTCAAAAGAGTGGAAGGCTTTCAAAGAATGTAAGTTACTACTATTGAGAAAATTAAATATTCCACACATCTTAGGATGCTTTCTTTTTTAATTCATGTATTTATTCGGCAAGTGCTACTTCAGTTCCTTAGATACTGTGCTAAGAACTGGGAATATAAAGATATATACAGCATTGCCTTTGAAGAGCTTGGAGTGTAGTGAGGGAAACAGTTAAGTGAACACAGTTATAATATGGTATGAGAAGTGTGTCACCTTTTTATTGGTTCATTCAACACAAATTTATTGCACAATTCCTGCTTTGTGCAAGGAATTGTTCTAGGTATTGGGGTTACAGCAGGAACCAAGTAGGTGAGGTCCTTTCTCTACAGGACTTTCTGGTAGAGGAGATGCACAATAAGCAAAAAAAAAATTATATGGTATTAATTATCAAATGTAGAATTAAAAAAGGACCACATGATAAGGAGTGACTACATGTCCACTTTAATTTGAGTGGTCTGAGGAGACTTTAAGATGTGCCATTTAAACCTTATTCTAAAAAATAAGGAGCCAGTGTGAAGTCAGAGGAAGAGTATTTTAGGCAGCAGGAATAGTTATAGTCAAGGTTCCCTAATTGGCTTGAGTTTGTTACGTTCAAATGCAAGAAACAAGGCCAGTTTGGGTTGTATGCTATGAATGGTAGGATATGAGGCTAAAGAGGCAGGCAGAGGCCAGATTATCAAGGCTCTGTGTGCTTAGTGTAAGGAGTTTGGCATTTTAGTATAAGTAGAACAGAAATCCATTAGAATATTTTGTGCTTGGAGTTGGTATGATCTGCTGACATTAGTCATTCTGACCATGGTATGGAGAATGAGTAGAAGCAGTAAGACACTTTAGGAGGCTATCTCAGTGGTCTAGGTGACAGATGATGGTAGGTTACACTGTGAAATCATAATGAAGAATAAGTGGTGGCATTCAGGGCATATTTTGGAGGTAGTGTCTCACCAGACTTGCTAATGGATATAGGAGGGTGAAAGAAAGAACTCAAGAGTAGCCCCTAAATTTTTGGCCTGAACAGCTGGTTGGATAGTGGTGCCTTTTATTTTGGGAAGTTTGGGGGACAAGCAGGTTTGGGATACTGTAAATTACTGCTATTGAGAAAATAAAGTATCCCACACATCTTAGTCAAGATGCTCCACATCCTGCTCCACAGATACTCCACATTGAAGTGGAGATGTTATGTAGGCATTTGAATGTATGAATCCAGAGCTCAGGGGAGACATTAGGACCAGAGATAAATATTTAGGAGTCAGTGGCATCAAGATGGTATTTAAAGCCATGCATCTCTAGGAGACTACTTATCAATAGGGTTCAAGGCCACATAGCTAGTAAGTGATAGTATTGGAGTTCAAATTTGGATTTTTACCAACCCCCAAATTTATTCTGCCAAACCAGATTACTGCAACATATTTTCACATTTATGTAGGCTAGCACATATTTTCTCAAAAACTTTATCACTGTGGGACACAGTAATAATTAGCTCGTAATTATGATGACATTTTCTTGTTTTAGTAATAGTGCATTAGTAATTATTTTAATATAATGTAAATTGGTGATGCCCCATTTATAGATCATTAGTAGTGGGGTAGATTTCATTTTGTTGTTAGTAATATATAATTACAGAGAAAAAAATTCCTAGAAATTTTTATGTTGAAGCCATCCTTATGATTTTGTCTCCTTCAGAAATCTAAGTTACTTTAAATGTGGTAAAATTAAAGTTGTGTCTTGTTGTTGATTTGTGATTGGGTATCATTTTTTTGGTCCTATCACCACAGCGAAATCCTTTGTGCTTTGACAGCATTTTGTTTATGCATCTATTAAAACACTTAATAAATTGTATTTATTAAAACAACTTTATAATTTATGTTTCATGTACATGTCTTAGAGTATTTTTCTTGTTTTTATGTCTAGCATTTGGTATGGTTTCTGGCACATTGGAGATCTGCTATATTTAGTGAGAAAAGTAATGAATTAAATGAATATGATCATTACATCTATATTATTTTAACACACCTAAATGTTGTTACTAAAGAAAGCAAGTCACACAACTAGCAAATCATATTTTTTTTCCATATAGCAGAAACTCCAAGAAAAGTTATATCAAGTTGTGGTAGGATTTGTTTCTTACGTGGCTTTTTTCTTTTAAGTTGATGAATAAAATGATTTTAAAAAACATATCCACGGGGGTCTTTCAAGTATCCACAGGACATTTGTTCCGGGACCCCCACAGATACTAAAATCTGCAGAGTTCAAGTCTCTTATATAAAATGGCATAATTGCTTACGTAAACTTAATGTATTGAGAAAGAAAGAAAAAATGGTGCAGTGTTTGCATGTAATCTATGTACATCCGTATATTTTAAATCATCTTTGGATTACTTATAGTACCCAATACACACAATCTAAATGATATGCAGTAGTGTGATCTCAGCTCACTGCAACCTCCACCTCCCGGGCTTAAGCCATTCTACCACCTCAGCCTCCCGTGTAGCTAGGACTATAGCCAAGCACCACCATGCCTGGCTAATTTTTGTATTTTTTGTAGAGATGAGGTTTTGCCACATTGTTCAGGCTGGTTGTGAATTCCTGAGTTCAAACAGTCCGCCCACCTCAGCCTCCCAAAGTGCTGGGATTACAGGCATGAGCCACCATGCTTGGCCTATATTGTTATTTCTAATCTTTTAAAATATTTTGGATCTGAGGTTAGTTGAACCTACGAGTATGGGACCTGTGGGTGAAGAGGGCCAACTGTGTTTTCTATTGTAAAAGTTAAATGCTACTTACTCACATTACTCTCATTTCTACTTTTAGGCCTACTGAACTTGACGCACTGGTATTTGGCCATCTATACACCATTCTTACCACACAATTGACAAATGATGAACTTTCTGAGAAGGTGAAAAACTATAGCAACCTCCTTGCTTTCTGTAGGAGAATTGAACAGCACTATTTTGAAGATCGTGGTAAAGGCAGGCTGTCATAGAGTTATGTGTTAGTCTCAGGAGTCTTAACTTTTGAAATATGTTTTACTTGAATGTTACATTAGATATTGGTGTCAGAATTTTAAAACCAAATTACTGCTTTTTGAAACCTCAAATTATATAATGTATCTTATGTATGTGCTTTATATTGTTATTTGTGTATACATTAAAATAATTCTGAATTATTTAATCTGATATGTTGTATTCTGTATCTTGAAATTTTTGTTTCCTTGAAACATGCATGCATTTAAAAATAAAGCTTAAACAACTGTATGGATGTTACATTTACTTTCTTTTGATTTTTCTGAAAGTCATTCACTGAATTTTACACATGTGGAATAAACAGTGTCTTTTCTAAGGCAAGTAATTTGTGTTACATACTCCCAAGATTCCCTTGCTAGTTACATGGTGAAGCAGATAATGGGAATAAACGTTCTTAACAAGTGTGCACTTAGAAAATATGGATGGTTTTAAGGTAATTAAATTTTGGTGCAGATTTGACATTTAAGAACATTCTTTATATAGAGACTTAATTAAAAAACATTTCATCAGAGCAGCTGTGATTTACATTTGATAAAGGAAAAGTTTGAGGAACCTTTTTTTTTGAGACAAGAACATTTTAATAATGCTCTTTTATTCCTTTGTGGGGAAGGGAAGATAGTTTTCACAAAAGTATTAACAGGAATTTTTATGTAAACACTAAGGATTATATGTTGTGTCCTTTCCAAATTTTCTCATAGTTTATATCTTATAAAACCAGGGATGCTCTGAAGAGACAGACGTAAAAAATGATTTCTTAAAAATGTCTAGAATAATAGTACTTTTATATTTTCTTTTTATGTACCAGGGAATTTTAACTTATTTAATCCTTATAAAAATAGGATGGCTTTGCAGACACTGCTACCATCTGGAGGCGCCTGCCATCAGCCATTATCAGCTCCATGTTCTCCCACATAGCTGCCAAGTAGGAGTTCCGCATCTCCTTTGGGCTGTTTGCAGGCAAAGTTCCAAAGACAGCAGAAAACTTTTGTGTCCTGAGCACTGGAGAGAAAGGGTTTGGTTTAAGAGTTCTTGCTTTCACAGAATTATTCCAGAGTTTATATGCCAGGGTGGTGACTTCATGCCATAATGGCACTGGTGGCATGACCATCTGTGGGGAAAAATCCGATGATGTGAACTTCATCCTGAAGCATACAGGTCCTAGCATCTTGCCCATGGCAAATGCTGGACCCAACACAAATGGTTTCCAATTTTTTATCTGTAGTGCCAAGACTGAAGGCTTAGATAGTAGGCATGTGGTCTTGGGAAAAGGTGAGAGAGAGGGTATGAGTGTCATGGAAGCCATGGAATACTTTGGGTCCAAGAATGGCAAGATGAGCAAGAAGATCACCATTGCCAACTGTGGACAACTCTAATAAATTTGAATTTTGTGTTATCTTAACTACCAGACTATTCCTTCTGTAGCTCAGGAGAGCAACCTTCCACTCTACGTGTTTGCAATATCCCATAATCTTTGTGCTCTCACTGTAGTACTTTGGGTTCCATATTTTCCTTATTCCCTTCTACATCTAGCTAGATTGAATGGTTAATTTTATGATTATAAAATAAAAACTTGACAACAAAGACAAAACACCATGAAGGTTATTATTCCCAGTTTACAGATGAGGAAATGGAGACACAAAAAATACCTTGTCCAAGGTCATAAAGTTGGTAAATGGTAGAGTTGGAATTCACACCCATGAGTCATGGCATCAGTTTGGCTTTTTTTTTAAAGTTTTTTTTTTTTTTTTTTTTTTTTTTTCTGGGGGACAAGGTCTCACTGTCACCCAAGCTGGTGTGCAGTGGCATGCTCATGACTAATTGCAGCCTTGACCTTCCTCCGGGCTCAGTTGATCCTCCTCCCTCAGCCTCCATGTAGCTGGGAGTCCAGGTCTGCCACCATGCCTAATTTTTGTATTTTTTTGTAGAAATGAGATTGCACCATGTTGCCCAGGCTGTTGTGGAACTCCTGGGCTCAAGTGCTCCACCCACCTCGGCCTCCCAAGGCTCCTACCTGTGTTGGGATTACAGGCATGAACCATGGTGCCTGGCCGAGTTTGGCTTCTCATCACCATGCTTTTTTTTTTTTTTTTTTTTTTTAAGATAGAGATTTATACCATGTAAAGGATACATTAGGTTTGCCTTCGTGTAAATCCCATGTAAACTTTGAGTACTGTCTTTGGACTATAGTGCTCTTAGTAGGTTTCCTGAGCTAATATTGTAATGTGTATTATTAAAATCCCTAGCTATCTGTGTTTTTGTACAATTTTTATGACAGGTTTTGTATACATTTTTGTGTACTGGTATATAATGATGTATTTTTTTCTTTTAATGCTACCATCACATTTATTTAATTGTACAAGTACCATTTGTACCTCAGTATACAAAATTCTGATGTTTTCTTTGAGATTTTTCTATATAAAGATATAAAGATGCAATGTCAACATGGGTTGTGATATTTTATTTTATTTTTGAGACAGGAGCTCACCCTATTGCCCAGGCTGAAGTGCAGTGGTGCAATCTCAGCTCACTGCAGCCTTGACCTTTTAGGCTGAATGGATCCTCTCATCTCAGCATCCCAGGTAGCTGGGACTACAGGTGCATGCCACCATGCCTGACTAATTTGGGTATTTTTTGTAGAGATGAGGTCTCACCATGTTGGTCAGGGTGGTCTCAAACTCCTGAGCTCAAGTGATCTGCCCACCTCCACCTCTCAAAGTGCTAGGAGTAGAAGCATGAGCCACCACACCTGGCCTGGTTGTGATATTCTAATCTTAATGATTATAACTGACTGTATTCTTAATATGAGGAACACTGGGAAACTGGTTGTTTTATTCCAAGTTGAGGTGCTTACTCTTATTTAAGACTTACATGGCTCACTCTCAGAGGGCTTGTTTCTTTCTAGTGTTGAGGTGAATCACCCTTGGAACAATACAATAGAAAATGGAAACTGACGTCTCGTTTTCGTGATTCAGTTTTTTTTTTTTCCTTTATCTTTTAAATTTGAGTTTGGAAAGCCAAGTCATAGTAGTTAAAAATTATCATGTAAAACCAGTTTGTTGACAAATGCTGCCAAAATACTTACATATATTGTGAATTTTAAAATAAGCACATGCATCCTTATTTAAATAAAAATTTAAATTGTAAGTAGTTCTTCAGAATGATGGTTTTACATATGAGAAACTTTAAATCAACAATGTCTACAGTATCATATTTGATGACTGGAATGATCTACATTATTGTGTTTAAAATAATTTTATCTTCTATGACACTTTTTAGAAATCCAACGTACTACTTTTTAATTGATTTGAATATTGGATGAGTAGCTGTAGTATTAGTTCATTAGGTACTCAAAATCAGTGGTCCCCAACCTTTTTGGCACCAGGGACCGGTTTTGTAGAAGACAGCTTTTCCATGGGATGGTGGGGAACGGGGAATGGTTTCAGGATGAAACTGTTCTACTTCAGATCATCAGGCATTAGATTCTCATGAAGAGCACACAACCTAGATCCCTCACATGCACAGTTCACAATAGGGTTTGTGCTCCTATGAGAATCTAATGCCACTGCTGATCTCACAGGAGCCAAGGCTAGGGCTATATGCTTGCTTGCCAGCTGCTCACCTCTTGCTGTGCAGCCTGGTTCCTAACAGTAAGGGTCCATGGCCCAGGGGTTGGGATCCCTCCCCTAAATCCAGAAAAATTAGAAATTATAAAATATGTCAATCTGAAAGATTAGTATAATAGGTCTTGATGCTTTTTTGATGAACAAATAGTGAATGGTATTTTACTATTGTATATGGTTGTCATTTAATCATATAGGTGTTATATTGAGGTATTTTAAGATGTTACATTCCACAGTAAAATTTAAGATACTATAATTTTTTTGAACATACTGACATTTTTGTTTATTAAAACCAGTGGCTTCTTGGTCAACTATTTTGTAGTATGTCTAATCCATTTATGTTTACATATATTAAATCATTTATAAATTTTATTGAGCCTTAAAAGGAAATATTTAAAGGTTTGATTATATCTAGACTGATATAAATGTTTTCCTAATTTGTTTTTAAATTTCTAAGAATTGAAATAAGATTTCTATCTTTATTTTTTCATTTTTGCTGAATTATGGCGATTGTGATAAGACTGTAATAGTTTCTCTGAGATTTTCTCCTTGGACAATCCTGTTTTCTGTGAATATAGTTTTATTTCAGCTTTTCCAATCTGTATGCCTTTTTGTTTTGCTTTTGTTTTGCCTTACTGCACTAACTAGCACAGTGCATTGTTCAATGGGAATGAAAAAATGGATGTTCTTACCTTGTTTGTGGTATCTTAAGGGGCAAGTATTCAGTCTTTCACCATTAAGTGTGAGAGTAGGTTTTTGTTGATGCCCTTTACTGAGCTGAGGCAGTTCCCTTCTAATCCTGGTCTGCCGAGTGTTTTTTTTTTTTTTTAAGGTCATGAATAGATGGTATATTTTATCAAAGGCTTTTTCTGCATCCATCGAGTTGATCATAGGTTTTTAAAAATTTTATTCTGTTGAAGTGGCTAATTATATTAATTGATTTTCAAATATTAGGTCAACTCTAGTATCCTGGGATAAATCATATTTAATTGTGATATATTATCTCTTTTTATATTGTTGGATTTTATTTCCGGGTGTTTTGTTTAGGATCTTTATGTCCATAGTCATGAGAAATGTTGGTCTCTAGTTTTCCTGTAGTGCCTTTGCCTGGTTTTAGTATCATGTTAATATTGTCCTCATTAAAAGAGGTGGAAAGGGTTCTTTCCTATTCTACATTTGGGAAGAGTTTAGATTTGATATTATTATTTTCTCTGTAAATGTTCTGTAGAATTTACCAATTTTACCACCTGGGCCTGGAGGTTTTTTTGTGGAAGATTTTAAATGAAAATTTTGATTTCTTTAATATACTTAGGACTCTTCAGGTCATCTGTTTCTTGTTGGGTGAGCTTTGGCTTGTGCCTTTCAAAGAATTTGTCCATTTTCTCTAAGTTATTGGATTTATGGGCATAGAGTTGTTTGTATTTTTTTAATTATCCTTTTAATATCTGTGGCACCTATAGTAATATCCCATCTTTCCCTTTTCATATTTGTAAATTATGTCAGTCCGGTTAGAGGCTTATCAATTAAAAATTTCCCCCTAGTTTCCAGTTTCATTGACTTTCTTTTTTCTCTCTGTAGTTTTGTTCTCAGTTTCTTCTCTGTTCTATCATTGTCATTTCCTTCCTTATACTTGCTTTGGGTTTAATAGTTTCTTAATGTGGAAGCTTAGACTGACTTGAGACTCTTTTCTAATATGGGCATTTAATACTATAACTTTCCTTCTAAACACTGCTTGGAATTTTGATATGTTGTGCTTTTATTTTCATTTAATACAAAATATTTTCCAATTTCCTCTTTGATCTATGGGTTATTTATAACTGTATTCTTTAATTTGAAAATATTTGAAGATTTCTCAGATTTTGTTCTGTTATTGATTTCTAGTTTAACTTATGTTTCTAGAACAGACTTTATATAATTTGAAGTCTTTTAAATATGTTCAAGTTTGCATTGCGGTTCAGAATGTGGTTATCTTGGTGAATGTTCCATGTGCAATTGTAAAGAATGTTTTAGGGGCTGGGCACTGTGGCTCACCCCTGTAATCCCAGCATTTTGGGAGACTGAGGTTGGCGGATCACTTGAGGTCAGGAGTTAGAGACCAGCCTGGCCAACATGGTGAAACCATGTCTCTACTAAAAATACAAAAAGTAGCCTGGCGTGGTGGCGCACGCCTATAATCCCAGCTACTTGGGAGGCTGAGGGAGGAGAATCACTTGAACCCAGGAGGTGGAGGTTGCTGTGAGCTGAGATCGTGCCACTGTACTCCAGCCTAGGTGAGGGAGTGAGACCTCGTCTCAAACAAACAAACAAAAAGAAGAATGTTTTATTCTGCTGTTGTTGGGAGGAATATTCTATAAATATTAAGTTGATCAGGTTGGTTGATTTTATTCTTGGTTGGCTGGTTTAATTGTTCTATATCTTACTGATTTTCTGCCTCCTTGTTCTTCATTGCTAAGAGAGGAGTATTCTGCGTTGCTGAGAGAAGGATGTTGAATTGTGGCTTCTTTTTCTCCTACCATTTCTATCAACTTGTTTCATGCATTTTGAAGATCTCTTGTTAGATGCACATACATTTAGGATTATTATTTTTTCTTGAAGAATTGATCCCCTTAGCAACATGTGCTCTTTTTATCCCTGATATTTCTTATTCTACAGTTATTTGTCTGATATTAATTTAATTATTTCAGTGACTACTCAGGGTTTCTTTAGATTAATGTTTGTAAAGTTTATATATTTTTTATTTTTTACTTTTGAGACAGAGCCTCACTCTGTCTGGAGTGCAATGGTGCAGTCTCGGCTCACTGCAACCTCTACCTCCTGGGTTTAAGCCCTTCTCATGCCTCAGCCTCCCAAGTAGCTGGGACAACAGGGACGCACCACCGTGCCTGGCTAATTTTCTATTTTTAGTACAGATGGGGTTTCACCATGTTGGCCAGGCTGATCTCGAGCTCCTGACCTCAAGTGATCCTCCTGCCTCAGCCTCCCAAAGAGCTGGGATTATAGGCATGAGCCACCGCTCCCAGCTGCAAGGTTTATATATTTTATCATTTTACTTTTAGCCTACTTGTAACCTTTTATTTAAAATATATTTATTTCTTTGTTTTTTTATTTGGATGGAGTCAGGAGTCTCGCTATGTTGCCCAGCTGGTCTTGAACTCCTGGCCTCAAGCAATCCTCCTGCCTTGGCTTCCCAAAGTGTTGGGATCACAGACATTAGCCATGGTGGCAGCCTACACTGTGTTTGTATAAACAGTTCAGAATTGAGTCTTGGATTATCTGACAATCTCTCTTTTAATTCAGGGGTTCCCAACTCCTGGGCGATGGACCGGTACCAGTCCCAGTCCGTGGCCTGTTAGGAACCAGACTGCACAGCAAGTGAGCGCCCAGCAAGTGAGCATTCCCACCTAAGACCCACCTCCTGTCAGATCAGCAGCGGGCATTAGATTCTCATAGGAGTGGGAACACTGGCCACACCTGTGAATCCTGGCCTAGGTTGCCTGATCCTTATAAGAATCTAACTAATGCCTGATGATGACCTGGGGTGGAACAGTTTCATCCCGAAACCATACCCCTACCCCACCTTGTTCAGTGGAAAAATTGTCTTCCACAAAACTGGTCCCTGGTGCCAAAAAGGTTGGGGACTGCTGTATTAATTGCTGCATTTAGGACATTTTCATTTAATGTAATTATTGACATAGGTGGATTAAAACATCATCTTGCCAAGTGTTTCCTATTTGTTCTGCTTGTTCTTTGTTTCTTATAACCGTTTATTATTTTGATTGACTTTTAATGAGGCCATTTTGTCTCCACTCTTGGCTTATTATTTATAACTCAGTTTTTTAATAATAGCCAAGGCTTACAATATACATCTTTAATCACAGCTTATGTTCAAATAATACACACTGTACTCCAGTCTGTGGCTTGTCTTTTCATTTTTCACTGGTGTCTTTGGAAGAGTGGAAGTTTTAAATTTTAATAAAGTCCAACTTACTAACTTTTTCTTTTATGGAGTGTGTGTTGTCATATGTAAGAAATCTTTGCCTAATCCAAAGTTGCAAAGTTTTTCTTCTATTTTTTCTTTTAGAAGTTTTATTGTTTTAGCTCTTACATTTAAGTCTATGATTCATTTTGAGTTAATTTTAACGTATGGTGTGAGGTAGGAGTCTCCTCTTTTATTTTTTTCATATGGCTATGCAATTTATTTTCCTTGGCACCTTTTGTTCCATCAACATGTGACAAAATAAGGATAGAGATAGGGGAGAAGGATCCAACTGGGGGCTTTAAGCCTTTCCTACAGCTGCAACTGTTCTCTCCAAAGAGCAAGGGTCACTTTCTTAGGATTCCTACCGTGTCTGCAATTTTTTAAAAAAAACTTTCTGTGAGGTTCTTGGAGAAGAACCTATGAATGAGTATGAATTCCCCTTGTGTCTGTGACCCCCAGGGTTTTTAGAGACTCTTGTTTGCTTATAATAAACCTTTAGCAATTAGTTAAAAAATTTAGCTTACTTTTTCTTACCATTGTCCAGTAGTATCTGTTTCAGGTAAGCAAGTGCTTGTGACTCTTCTGTCCTTAGATTTTGGATTCGTTGGTCCTGCAGCCTCAGCTGTATAAGTTCAAGAACCGTGGTGAATTTGCATATTGTCTGGTGTTTGTTGTTATTGTGAGGGTGGGAGCAGTGCTTTTTAAATCTTTCTACATTGTAAGCAGAAGCTGGAAATCTAGGTTCCTTTTTATTCTTGATAAGAAATACTCATTTAGAATTAAAAGTATTGAATTTTCAAAACAGGTTTTATGAAAAATTTCAAACATATATAAAAGTAGAGTAAGTCATAAAAAGGAGTCTCGTGTACCTATCAAACACTAACTCATTTAAACAGTTACCAACTTAGGGCTGTCTATACCCCCATTGTTAGAATAAGCTTTATTAAGAATATGTGTTGCATATACGTTCATGTAAGTCTGCTTTTAAAAATGTGTTACACAAACATGTTTCTTTTTCTTAATATTTTGTTATTACATAGATCATATTCACACCTAGGTGAAAAAATAGAACATTACTAGTATCTTAGAAGATCTCTATGTGACAGCAATTTCATCTAATCCCAGCTCTTTACCCCACCTCTGGAGGTTGCCATTATCCTGATTTTGTGTTAATCATTCTCATGATTTAACTTTTTTCTGTTTTTGATCTTCATTTAAATGGAATCATGCTGTGTGTACTCTGTTTTGTTTTGCTTTTTTCACACAATATTATATATTTTTGTTTCACCTACTTTGAGCCTAGCACTGGTTAACTTTCACTGTTGTATAGTATTTTTTCATAGGCAAATATAACACTTTATTTCTCTGTTTTCTCATTGGTACACTTTTGGATTGTGTCCAGTTTTCCATTACAATATAAAAATAGCTGTTTATGAACACTCCTGTACATATCTCCTGGTACAGGTATACAGGAGTGTTTACTTAAGAATGTAATTGCTGGGTTGTCAGGTATGTGTATATTTAACTTTATTAGATAATTCCAAATTGTTTTCCTAAATGCTTGTGCCAGTTTACACACTTACACTTGTCTATATCTTTGCCAACATTTGGGATTATTAGACTTAAATTTTTTCAATTGTGGTTTTAATTAGTATTTTCCAGATTATCATTGAGCTGAGTATATTTGAATGTTAATTGGCTATTTTCTTTGTGTGTGTGTGTGTGTGTGTGTGTGTGTCTGTGTGTGTGTGTGTATGTGTGAAAAAGCTATTCATAATTGCTTTGTCTATTTTTCTGTTGGGTTGTTTTTCTATTGTGAGTGATTTATGGGAATCCTATTGGTATTATAGATATTAACACCTAGTTGGTTATAACTGTTATAAATATCTGTTCTTAGTTTGTGGCTTGTCTTTTCAATCCTTTTATGGTGTCTGGATGTACACAGATTCTTAAGTTTAATATAGTCAATGTGATGATCAATCTTTTTTTTATGATTTGAACTTTTTGTCTCTTGTTCAGGACATCCTTCTCAATTCTTATGTATAAGTCAGAGTTCAGTTTTAGACCTCTTGGTCTTGGGATCTAACATGGTTGTGGTGGACCTTAGTACCATAGAGCAGGTGACTGGAAGCATAACCCATTGTGTAGTGTTGAGCCACAATATTTCTGTGTGTTTTAGTGTTTTCATTTTAAGTTTTGCCTACTTTATCAAACGAGACCTTAAAAATCATACATCAAGGCCAGGCGTGGTGGCTCATGCCTGTAATCCCATCACTTTGGGAGGCCGAGACGGGTGAATCATGAAGTCAGGAGTTCAAGACCAGCCTGGCCAAGATGGTGAAACCCCGTCTCTACTAAAAATACTAAAAAATTAGCCAGGTATGGTGGCAGGCGCCTGTAATCCCAGCTACTCGGGAGGCTGAGGCAAGAGAATCGTTTGAACTCTGAGGGCGGAGGTTGCAGTGAGCCGAGATTGTGCCACTGCACTCCAGCCTGGGTTACAGAGTGAGTCTCTGTCTCAAAAAATAAAATAAAATAAAATCATACATCAGAAGTAATACAGCAAAGAACCCTTTATGAGATTGCTGAGCATATTCGGTTTACTTTTTGTTGAAATCTGTAGAGGAAGTCAAGGGGAAACTGATATCAGACGTATTGAGAAAGGTATAATTTTCAACTGCATGGTACCCCCCCCTACATAAAAGTTAGGAGAAAAAAAGTCCTTCAGGTTTTGGTTAGTATGAAGAATTGTCCTACAAAACACCAGCTTCCATTTGCCTAGATCCTATGTTCTGTACAGGGATTTTTGATGATAATTTATGATGACTCTATTAAATAATAGAATCTACCAAAAACAAAAACTAGGATTTTGATTGGATTTACATTGAATTTCAGGGTTGTTTTAGAGAGAATCATTATTTTTACAAAATTAAGTCTTTATATCCATAAATGTGTCATGCTACCATGTTTAGGCTTTTTCTAATGTCCTTCATTGAAGTTTCATGATTATCTCCATGGAGTTCTTGACCATCTTTTGTTGATTATGTTCCTGTGTGCCTGTTCGCTCCATTTCTATTTATTATAAATGATATTTAATTGAAATTTAAGATTTTTGCTGTAAAAAATGTTCTCATGTATGGAATCCATCTAGTAAAATCCTTTTGAGCTCTCTTATTCTAATGATCTTTCTAAGGATCCTTTGTAGTTTTCCATGGATGAAAGGTATAAACCCTAGATAATGGCAGTTTTGTTTCATTTTAATCTTTAAAATTTTTGTTTTCTTTTCTTGTCTTTTTGTGGTTAGTAGGACTTCTAAGTTAATGCTAAATAAAAATGAAAGATCCTTTTCTTTCTTTCTTTTTTTTTTTTTTTGAGACTGCATCTCACTGCATTGCCCAGGCTGGAGTGGATTGGCATGATCTCGGCTCACTGCAGCCTCCACTTCCTGGGTTGAAGCGATTCTCCTGCCTCAGCCTCCCGAGTAGCTGGGACTACAGGCATGCACCACCACACCCAGCTAATTTTTGTATTTTTAGTAGAGATGGGGTTTCACGATATTGGCCAGGCTGGTCTTGAACTCCTGACCTTGTGATCTGCCTGCCTCGGCCTCCCAAGAAAGATCCTTTTCTTATAATTAGATAGGAATCAACATTAAAAAAATTTTTTTCTCTTAAAACATGGTAAATTTCTTTAAGTTTTTTGTGTACTTCACTGAAGCTTTATATATTTTACTGCATGTAGATCTTAAACATTTTTTTAAAATTTTTGCCTACTTGTTTTATGGTTTTGAGGGAATATTAGCAATTAAATCTTTTTTTATTTCATTTTTAAGTTAATCATTGCTGGTGAATCAGAAAGCTTTGGTTTTTACATGCTGATCTTTAATCAAGCCACCTAACTGATCTCTTTCATTATTTTGCTTTTGTTACTTTTGGGTTTTCTAATGAGGAATAAGTCTTTTTCCTTTCAATGTAATGTCTCTTCCTTCCCCTTCTCCTTCTCTTCCTTTTCCTTTCCTTCTTTTTTTTCTTTTACTGCAGGGGCGAGATCTTGGTGCACTATTGAAAGATAGTGATAGCAGACATCCTGTTACCAGTAATAATGGAAATGCTTCTGGTATTTCACCATTCAGTACGGTGTATCCGTATGTTTTGAGTAAATGTCCTTTCATCAGATTAAGGAAATTTCCTTCTAATTGTAAAGTTTTTGTTTTGGAATATTATGTGTCAGTGTGCTTAAGTCAAGAATGGAAATGAAATTCTATCAAACACTTAAAAATACTTTTAGAGTATTTATGGATGATTAAAAGATTTCTCCTATTTTATTTACTATTTTAATTATATCAGTTATTTAATTTAATATTGGGAGTTTTTATTTTTAGTTGACACATAATTTTACATATTTATGGGGTACAGAGTGATACTTCATGTATGCAATGTGTAATGATCAAATCAGAGTAATTAGCATATCCATCACCTCAAATATTTTACATTTCTTTGTGCTGGAAACATTCAAAGTCCTCTCTTCTAGCTATTTAAAAGTATATAATATTGTTAGCTGTAATCACCCAGCAGTGCTTTAGAATCATAGTACTTATTTCTCCTATCTAGCTGTAATTTGTAACCATTAACCAACCTCTCCTGACTGGGGAGGGATGGGGGGAAAAGAATTTCCCCCATCCTTCTCAGCCTCTAATAACCATAATTCTACTCCTCACTTCTATGAGCTCAGTTTTTTTTTTTAACTCCTACATATGAGTGAGAACATGCAGTATTTATCTACATAGAAATGGTTGACTTATTTCACTTAACATAATGTTCTCCAGTTGTATCCATGTTGCTGTTTCATTCTTTTTGTGGCTGAATAGTATTTCACTATGTATATATACCACATTTTCTTTATCCATTTATCTGTTGATGAACATTTAGGTCAATTCTGTATCTTGGCTATTGTGAATAGTGTTGCATTAAAGATGGGGGTGTAGATATTTCATAGATATACTGATTTCCTTTCCTTTGGATAAATACTTATAGTCGGATTGCTGGATCATATGGTAGTTCTGTTTTTAGTTTCTTGAGAAACCTCCATACTGTGTTTCCTAATGGCTGTACTAATTTACATTTCCACTAACAATGTATAAGAGTTCCCTTTTCTTGGTGTCTTCACCAGCGTTTGTCATTTTTTTTTTTTTGTAACAGCCATTCTAACTGGGGTGAGATGGTACCACATTGTAGTTTTGATGGACATTTCCCTGGTGATTAGTGACGTTGAGCATTTTTTCATATACTTGGCCATTTGCATATCTTTTGAGAAATATCTATTCAGGTTCTTTACCTGTTCTTAAATTGGATTATGTGTTTTTTTGCTTTTGTGCTGTTGGGTGCTTTGAGTTCCTTGCATATTCTGAATATTAGTCTCTTGTTGGATGAATAGTTTGCAAATATTTTCTTCCATTCTGTAGGTTGTCTCTTCTACTCTGTTGATTGTTTTCTTTGCTGAAGCTTCTTAATTGGTTATTTTTGGATTTTTGCATATTGTTCATGAACTGCTTAGTTTAGAGTTTGTGTGTGTGTCTGCTCTAGTTTTGTCTCTCAAGTTTTGTGAGCCTTTTACAATGTTAGGAAACTGTCCATCTTTTTCTATGCTCTGGAACAGTTCTTACAGAATATAGAGTCCTGTTCTTTGAAGTTCAGTAGAACTTGTCCATAAAACTTATTTTTTGGCTGGACGCGGTGGCTCATGCCTGTAATTCCAGCACTTTGGGAGGCCGAGGCAGGTGGATCACGAGGTCAGGAGATCGAGACAATCCTGGCTAACACGGTGAAACCCCGTCTCTACTAAAAATACAAAAAATTAGCCAGGCATGGTGGCAGGCGCCTGTGGTCCCAGCTACTCGAGAGGCTGAGGCAGGAGAATGGCGTGAACCCGGCAGGCAGAGCTTGCAGTGAGCCGAGATAGCACCACTGCACTCCTGCCTGGGTGAAAGAGCAAGACACCGTCTCAAAACAACAAAAAAACAAAAAAAAAACTTATTTTTCCACTCTTAGAGTTTTTTAGAAAGCCTGATTTGCTATTTTCTAGGTGCAATTAGTTGGCTTTTTCATCCTTTGGGTATTGTCTGTCCAAGCTTTCTACTTCTTAAATCTATTTGAATAATCCACAGTTTCCTAGAAGATAATTGTGTTATTTGAAAAACTTTGTAGAGGACGCCTCATCCTACAAGTTTATGTTCTGTGTGTGTGTGTGTTTCCTAAACCATATTTTGTATAAACATGTTGCTATTAGTTAAAATTGATAAATATGTTTGTGAGTATAGGCTATCTAAAGATAAGAATACTTCATTTGTAAAAGATAAGCATTTGCTATGTACTTAAGATGTAAACCTCTAAAATTTTAATTATGCTTATGTAAAACATAACTCATAAGCAAAAGATGGAACTTGTTTATTAGGAGTGTAAAGGCACTAATAAGACAATGTGATCTTGAGCCAACTGAGTGTAAGCCATGTTTAAAAAGTGCCTTCCCCAGTTATCTCAAATACCTAACCTGTCACACCAGCAATAAAAAATTAAGCATTGCCTTTGCATCCTCATAGCTTAGCTCCCACATATGAGTGAGAATATGTGATGTTTGGTTTTCCATTCCTGAGTTACTTCACTTAGAATAATAGTCTCCAGTTCCAACCAGGTCACTGCAAATGCTATTATTTTTTTCCTTTTTATGGCTGAGTAGTATTCCATGTGTGTATGTGTGTGTGAGTGTGTGTATGTATATATGTATTTATATATATCACATTTTATTTATCTACTCATTGATTGATGGACATTTGGCTGGTTCCATCTTTTTGCAGTTGCAAATTGTGCTGCTATAAACCTGTGTGTGCAAATGTCTTTTTCATACAATGATTTCTTTTCCTTTCATTAGATACCTAGTAGTGGGATTGCTGGATCAAGCAATAGATCTGCTTTTAGTTCTTTAAGGAATCTCCACACTGTTTTCCATAGTGGTTGTATTAGTTTACATTCCCACCCACAGTGTAAAAATGTTCCCTTTTCACTGCATCCCCACCAACATCTATTGTTTTTTGATTATGGCCATTCTTGCAGGAGTGAGGTGGTATTGCATTGTGGTTTTGATTTGCATTTCCCTGATAATTAGTGATTTTGAGCATTTTTCCATATGCTTGTTGGCCATTTGTGTATCTTCTTTTGAGAATTGTGTATTCATGTTCTTAACCCACTTTTTGATGGGATACTTTTTTCTTGCAGATTTGAGTTCTTTGTTCTTTGTAGATTCTGGATATTAGACCTTTGTTGGATGTACAGATTGTGAAGATTTTCTTCCACTCTGTGAGTTGTCTGTTAACTCTGCTGATTATTTATTTTGCTGTTATCAGGGGAACCTGCCCCCGATAGTCACGTAGGTTCTTTTCTATTTTCCCTAAGTGTCGGCTGGTCTGAGAAATAAAGGGAAAGAGTACAAAAGAGAGAAATTTTAAAGCTGGGTGTCCGGGGGACACATCACATGTCAGCAGGTTCTGTGATGCCCCTTGAGCCATAAAACCAGCAAGTTTTTATTAGTGATTTTCAAAAGGGGAGGGAGTGTACAAATAGGGTGTGGGTCACAGAGATCACATGCTTCACAAGGTAATAGAATATCACAAGGCAAATGGAGGCAGGGTGAGATCACAGGACCACAGGACTGGGGCAAAATTAAAATTGCTAATGAAGTTTCAGGCATGCATTGTCATTGATAGCATCTTATCAGGAGACAGGGTTTGAGAGCAGACAACTGGTCTGACCAAAATTTATTAGGTGGGAATTTTCTCATCCTAATAAGCCTGGGAGTGCTACGGGAGACTGGGGCTTATTTCATCCCTACAGCTGCAACCGTAAAAGACAGCCGCCCCTGAAGCGGCCATTTCAGAGGCCTACCCTCAGGGATGCGTTCTCTTTCTCAGGGATGTTCCTTGCTGAGAAAAAGATTTCAGCGATATTTCTCCCATTTGCTTTTGAAAGAAGAGAAATATGGCTCTGTCCCACCCGGCTCACCGGCAGTCAGAGTTTAAGGTTCTCTCTTGTTCCCTGAACATTGCTGTTATCCTGTTCTTTTTTCAAGGTGCCCAGATTTCATATTGTTCAAACTCACATGCTCTACAAATAATTTGTGCAGTTAACACAATCATCACAGGGTCCTGAGGTGACATACATCCTCCTCAGTTTATGAAGATGATGGGATTAAGAGATTAAAGTAAGGACAGGCATAGGAAATCACAAAGGTATTGATTGAGGAAGTGATAACTGTCCATGAAATCTTCACAATTTATGTTCAGAGATTGCAGTGAAGACAGGTGTAAGAAATCATAAAAGTATTAATTTGAGGAACTAACAAATGTCCATGAAATCTTCACAATCCACGTTCTTCTGCCATGGCTTCAGCCAGTCCTTCCATTCGGGGTCCTTGACTTCCTGCAACATCTGTGCAGAAGCTTTTTGGTTTAATTAAGTCCCATCTATTTATCTTTGTTTTTGTTGTATTTACTTTTGGGTTCTTGACTTTGGGGACTTGGGGGAAAGGGTGGGGGGTGGAGAGGGATAAAAGACTACACATTGGCTACAGTGTACATTGCTTAGGTGATGGGTGCACCAAAATCTCAGAATGACCACTAAGGAACTTACTCATGTAACCAAACACCACCTGTTCCCGAAAAATCTATTGAAATAAAAAAATTTAAAAAATGAACCAATCAAAAATAACTGCAACAACTTTTCAAGACATAGACAACACAATAAGATAGATAAATTTTAAAAATTAAGTATTGAACATCATACCACCTTTTCTGCATCTTCTCCAGAATGCACAAACCTGGGTGAGAACTCATACATAGGCTATATAGTGATGAGTTATCCCTAAATATTTTACATTTTTGTTGCTATTATAGATAGGTGGTGTTACAAATTTCAGTTTCCATTTGTTTGTTTCTGGTATATAGAAATATAACTTTTATATATTGCTCTCGTATCCTGCCCTCTTGGTAAATTTATTCTAGTATTACTAGACCAGTTATAGTATAACTATAGCTTTTTTGTAGATTCAATCAAATTTTCTACCTACATGATAATGTCTGCAAACAAAAAATTTTACTTGTTTCTTTTCAATTTGACTGATTTTATTTATTTATTTTTCCCCTAGAACTCTAGTACAACATCAGCAGAACTGGTGAGAGAGTACATCCTTGCCTTGTTACTAATCTTATAGGGGAAACATTCACCCTTTCTACTTTTGTAATATAGACATTTAATGCTGTAAGTAATTTTCTGTAAGTACAGCTTTAGCAATATCCCACAAATTTTCATATATTGTGTTTCAGTTTGGTATATTGTGTTTCAGGTATATTTTATTAAGTTCAAAATACTTTCTAATTTCACTTTTGATTTCTTCTTTGAACCCCATGTTATTCAGGAGTGTATTATTTAGTTTCTTTGGAGATTTTTCTCTTTTTTTTTTTTTTTTTGCTGTTGAGTTTCTTTGATTTCCTGGTATATTCTGGATATTAGTCTCTTGTTGGATGAACAGTTTGCAAATTTTTTTTTCCAATCTACAGGTTGTCTCTTCATTCTCTTGATTGTTTCTTTTGCTGAAGGGAAAGTAAACTGACTGTTACTGATTTGTAATTTAATTTCATTGTCAAAGAATAGTCTTAGTATAACATGAATAGTTTTACATTTGAGACTTTTTTTGTGGCCCAGAATATGGCCAATCTTATTAAATGTTCCATGTGCAATAGAAAAGAAAGTTTATTTTGCTGTTGTTGCATGGAATATTCTATCACTATCAGTTAGTGAAAGTGTTGGATGATATCAAGTTGGTTGATAATGTAGCTGATTTTTCTGCCTACATGTTCTGTCAAGTATTGACACACGGATATTAAAATGTCTGACTATACTGGTGGGTTTGTCTGTTTCTCCTTGCTGTTCTATCAGTTTTTGCTTCATGTATTTTGAAGCTGTCATATTAGGAGCATAGATATTTAGGATTGTTCTTTCCTCTTGATTAGCTGACCTCTTTATCATTATGAAAAGACATTTTTTTCCACAAAAGTCTTTGTTCTGAAATGTACTTTAATAGCATAAATCCTCCAGCTTTCTTTGAATTAGTAGTAGTATGATATATCTTTGTCCATTCTTTTACATGTAACCTATTTGCATCTTTATGTTTCACAGTGAGTTTCTTAGAAGCAGCAAGTAGTTGAGTCTTTATATACAATCTGACAATGTCTGCCTTTTAATTGGAGTGTTTAGACCATTTACACCTAATGTGATTATTGATATAATGAAATTTGAATATACTTTCTTGCTATGTTTTATGTTTGCCCCATCTGTTTCTGTTTCCTTTCCTGTTTTTCTGCCTGCTTTTGTTTTAAATGTTTATTTTTTATCTTAACATTTCTGTTAGTTCACTACCTATAACTCTTCATTTTGTTATTTAGTGATTGTTTTAGGACAAGCTTGTCTAACCCATTGTCTGTGGGCTGCATATGGCCCAGGATGGCTTTGAATGTGGCCCAACATAAATTTGTAAACTTTCTTAAAACATTATGATTTTTTTGCAACTTTTTTTTTGTTGTTGTTTAGCTCATTAGCTATAGTGTATTTTATGTGTGGCCCACGACAATTTTTCTTCCAATGTGGCACAGGAAAGCCAAAAGATTGCACACCCCTGTTTTAGGGTTTCTAGTATATATCTGTAACTTATAATGGCCTACCGTCAAGTGATACTATACCATTTCACATAAGAAGAAGTTTACAGAAGTGTATTTTTATTTCTCTCCTTTCAGTTTTTGTGCTATTATTTTACTCCTACTTCTGTTATATCCTCCACAGTACATTGCTATTTTTGTTTAAATGGTCAATTATTTTGTAAAGATATCCTTTGTTTCTTTGTATAGATACATATTTCCATCTGGTAAAATTTTTCTTCGGTCGGAAGGACTTTCTTAATCATTTTTTTGTAGTATGGGTTTACTGGTGATGAATACTTTTGTATATTTGAAAAAGTATTTCACTTTCACTTTTGAAAGATATTTAAGTATCAAATTCTAGGTTGACCGTTTTTTTTTCCCCTTTCAGCAGTTTAAGCCATCTGCTCTACTGCCTTTTCCCTTCCATTATTTCTGATGAGAAAACATCATCCTTATCTTGGTTTCTCTGCATGTAACATTTTTTCCTCTCTAGATGCTTTTACAATTTTTTCTGTATCCCTGGATTTGAGCAATATGATTGTGATGTAGTTTAGTGAATTTTTTCTCATGTAATTACGGTTTGTTGATCTTGGACTTCTGGATTTACACTATTCACTAATTTTGGAAAAATTTCAGCCAGTATTTCTTTAAATATTTTTTTCTGATCTCCTCTCCCCTCCTTCAGAGACTCACATTACACATATATTAAACCACTTGGAATTGCCTCACAGTTCATTGATAATGTATTGTTGTTACTGTTTTCCTACTCCTCCTTCTAGTCCTTTTTCTCTTTTGTGTTTTAGTTTGCATAATTTCTATTGCTATGTCACTAAGTTCACCTTTCTTTTTTTCTGCAGTGTCTCATCTGTCATTAACCTCATTTTGTATATTCTTCATCTCACACATTATAGTTTTGTATCTAGAAATTTTTCGAGAACTTTTGTGTCTCTAACATGTTCTTTCCTCTCACGTTTTAAACATTTGGATATAGTTGTAACAACAGTTTTATTGTCCTTGTGTGCTTATTCTAACATTTGTGTTGGTTCTGGATTGGTTTCTGTTGATCGATTTTTCTCCTTATTAAAAGTTTTCCCTGCTTATTTGCATGCCTGATAATTTTTTATTTTATGCCAGATATTGTGATTTTTTTTTCCTCTTGTGGGGGCTGTATATTTTTCTATTCCTACAAATATTATTTAACTTTGTGTTTAATGCAGTTAAGTTTCCAGAAAACACTTTAATCCTTTTGGGTCTTTTAAAATATGTTAGGAGCAGAACAATATTTAGTCTAGAGCTAATTATTTTCTCTTTTGAGACAAGACCCTTTTAAACACAGGTGCTCCTTGATGTAGTTGTTGGCATGTAACCCTGTCCTAAATTGAGGAATATAGCGAATGGGTATCACTTTCATACCACCCTAAAGTTGAAAAATCTTAAATTGAACCATAGTAAAGTGAGGACCTTCTGTATTCTATTTAACACCTTGTGAATTAAGAAATTTCTCAATCTCACTGGTGCAAACAAGTACCATTCTTGCCCTTGTGTGATCTCTCAGTATTGCTCCCTTTAATCCTTTTGGGTGTCCTTCTCCTGGCCTCAGATAGTTTTCTCATATTCATGCACTGATAGTCCTGATTCCCAGGGGGCACCAACTGCCGATCTATGGAGTTCATTCTCACTACTCTGCCCTGCAAACTCTAGCTGCCTTTGTCTCCCTGGACTTTCCCCTCTACTTCTTCAACTTAGAGGGAGTCTACCAGGCCCTACTTGGGTTCCCTTCCCCTATGCCCTGTCCTGGTGTGATGTTAGTTAACTTTTTGTGTCAATTTGACTGGGTTAAGGGATACTACATAGCTGATAAGACATTATTTCTGGGTGTGTCTGTGACAGCATGACCAGAAGATATTAGTATTGGATTCAGCAACAAAGAAGATCCACCCTCACCCGTGTAGGTGGGCATCATCCAACCTACCTAGGGCCTGGATAGAACAAAAAGGTAGGGACAAGGTAAATTAAGTCTCCCTTCTGGAGCTGATGCATCCGTTTTCTCCTGCCCTTAGACATCAGAGTTCCAGGTTCTCAGGCCTTTGGACTGGGTCACTTAACTAGTCCCTATCCAAAACTATCCAAACTAACACGCAAAAAGGAAAGAAAGACTAGAAGAAAGGGAGGAGAATACCACCACCAACAACAAATCTTCCGTATCGACGAACTGTGAGACAATCTCAACCCTCTAGGCCTTCAGACTCAGGCTAAGTTGCAATACTGACTTTCCTGGTTATCTAGTTTGCAGGTAGCATATCATAGGACTTTTCAGCCTCCATCTCTTGAAACCATTGTTCCATGTATTTTGTCTGGATTTTTAGGTATTTCAGGTGGGCTAGAATCAAATACTAATAGAATACTAATATCTAGTCACTTGAAATACCTAAAAATACCCAGTCCCTAGGACTCCATCTTAGCTGAAACTGAAATTCCAATAACATTTTAAGTTTCCAAGATTTCTATTTATTTTCTGTTTCATGTGTACAGGACACCCAGGAATCTCTGAAGATATTATTCAAATTTATTTTTGGTTGTATAATTGACTCTTTTTTTGATGATAATTTGTTGAGTTTGGTGTCTTTCTCTCATGGGCTTGGTTTTCTTTACATTTTGGACAGTTCTTAGTTGTCTGCTTATGTTTCTTTGCATTTGAGAATTAGTATACATTTCTCTGGGGATACTAGTTACATTACTTACTCTGCTTCTTCTCATTGTCTATGATGAGCATCTAAATAGAGTTTGGTGGCAGTTTGTCTTCTGGGTGTGATGTTCCTCATCCTTCTTGAGGTTAGTTGTTACTTGGGCACTCCCCACAGCATCCTGACAGCAAATACTGCCATTGGCCCCTTGCTCCTAAGCAAAAGCTGGGGATTGAGGAAGTGTCCCATCAGCCTGGCTGCTCTGAATTAATTTTCACCTGAATGCCTGGGATCCCCTCATGTACTTTGTATAATAAGATGCCACTGACTTCTGGAGTTGGACTCTATTGCCATTTTTTTTTTTTTTTTTTTTGAGACGGAGTCTTGCTTTGTTGCCCAGGCTGGATTGCAGTGGCATGATCTCGGCTCACTGCAAACTCCGCCTCCCAGGTTCACGCCATTCTCCTGCCTCAGCCTCCTGAGTAGCTGGGGCTACAGGCGCCTGCCACCACGCCCAGCTAATTTTTTGTATTTTTAGTGGAGACAGGGTTTTACCATGTTAGCCAGGATGGTCTCGATCTCCTGACCTCATAATCCACCCACCTCAGCCTCCCAAAGTGCTGGGCTGGGATTTCGGGCATGAGCCACTGTGCCCGGCCTCTATTGCCATTTTTATGATAAGTTTCTGCTACTACTTGGTTTCCTCCAAACTTATTTCTGTGTAGATCTGTGTGCTCTTTTAAAATCGAGAGTTTGTCACAATTTCTGCCCCTCTGTTAGCACTTTTTGTTTGTTTGTTTTCCATTGTTACTATGGACATCTTCTTTCAGAAATGTTTATCTTTTCTGACATGGGTATAAGGAGATGTAGACACATGTTCAATTATATAATGTTTCGTTATATGATGATACACTCTAACTCATTAACCAGCCATTATTAATAAAATATTTAAGTGATGTACAGTGTGTATAAGGTATAATGAACATTCTTGAACATATATTTTTAAATAATTATGTAAATGTTAATGTGTAAGCTCTAAAACATAGTTTATTTGATTTGTTTACATTCCATTTAAACACTAAAGATATATAATAGTCACTTTATTCTCACATACATACTGATGAGGGTGTATTGGAGGAAAAAGTATTATTGATTTCATTTTGAAAAATAGTGTTTTTTCCCCCTGACTCCTACCTTCACTCCCCATTAGTGAAGAATAGTCAAAGACAATACCTTAAAAAAAGAAACAACAACAAAAAAACAAAGAAACCAAAAAAACCTTCAAATGTACTAAGTAATTTGAAAACTTTACCAAATATGTCAAATTACTAAGATATTAACCTAGGTGATGGATTAATTTATACCAAATATTTAGAGCAATGTCCTAAGTTTGGTGTGATGTCCTAAGTACATTAGTCAGTACTTTTCTGATTTTCACACCCAAATATTTAATATGTGAAATTTCCATGATTATTGAGTAGAAATATGTGGGTTCCAGAGGGGAGAGCATACTTATATCTCTCTGCTCCCAAATAACATGTGTAGTTTGTTAATGTTGAACACGTTATTTTATTTTGGTTTAATCATACGTTCAAAGAAAATACCATTCACAGTTGTTTCTGGAGGATTAGCTCCTTGTTGTTTTCTCATTACCTGAAGTTTAAAACTAAACTTAACAAAAGTAGTCTTAAAAATAATGTGTAAAAAAAAAAAAAAAAAAACGCTCAATATAAGTTAAACCAGAAAACTAATTTTATAGTGATTTTTTCTTTAATTAAAAAATGTTGACTTACCAAGTTTAATGTAACACACTTTCATCAGTGTAACGTTTCACTCCTATAAAATTAGAGATAATTAAAAATAAGACTGAGGTTTTTTTTTTAACTTTTTGTTATACACATTTAGTTTGAACTCCTTGTCCTAATTACTTGTTTCTGTTGAACAAGTAAGTAATATACTTAAGGATGCTATTGGGATCTTGTACAACAAACAGAGAATCTGAAAGACAAGACGGAAATGTCATCTAGAAAAAACATATGAGAGAATCTCTTTATTGACCACACATGTAATCTCAAAGTGAAAGTTAATGAAATTTAGGCAATTAATGCATTTTTTTTAATGTATAGGCTTTTAAATGGAAAAAAATTACTCTGTCTAGATGTTTATCATGATAAATAGTTGATGTTTTCAGTAGACTGGAAAATTAGTTAACAACCTATGATATATTCCAGAATAAAAGGCCATCATTGTGTAAACACTAACGCATATTCATATAATGTAAGTCCGCTGAATCATTCATTGGCAGTCATTTGACATGATGTTAATAGTTTTTTCTAACTGAGTAGGTTTCCATTATTTGTTCCCTTCGAGAATTTAGAAGTGCTGAATTTTCATTGGATAGCATAGGAAGCATTATTTTAGCAAGATCTTCAATACCCATGTAGTCTTTATTTCTCAGTATCATATTCTTATTTCATCACTAGAATAATACTCTTGACAGTTAAGTTCTAATCAGGTTTCATGTTTACATTCTCCAAAGTGCTTATTTTCATTCATTCAATAAACACCATTTATTTTCCAGGGACTGTGCCAGGTGAGTACTCTGGATAAAGAACTGCTGACTAGTTCACTGCCCCGTATCTGCAGGAGCCTACTTGTTGAGCATATGGTAAGTGCTTGACAAATAGTTATTGAGTGAACTTAGGTCATGGAAAAATCCCCAAATATTGTGAATTCAAACAACACACTTCAAAATAGTCCAGGGTCAAAGACAAAAATCACAAAACAAATTAGAAAATATTTTGAATTTAGAAGTAATGAAAATACAATACAGTTGACCCTTGAACACCATGGGGTTGTTCGGTGTATAGTCAAAAATCTACATATAACTTTGTACTCCCCTAAAACTTAACTACTAATAGGCTGCTGTTGACTAGAAGCCTTATCAATAATGTAAACAGTAAATTAACATGTATCCTGCATGTTATGTGTATTACATACTGTATTCTTACAGTAAAGGTAAGTTAGAGAAAACGGTATGAAGAAAATCATAAGGAAGAAAAAATATATTTACTATTCATTATGAGGAAGTGGATCATCCTAATGATCTTCATCCTTGTCTTCATGTTGAGTAGGCTGAGGAGGAAGGAAATAAGGGGTTGGTTTTGGTGTCTCAGGGGTGGCAGAGGCAGAAGAAAATCCATATGTAAGTGGGCCTGTGATGTTCAAACCCATGTTGTTCGAGGGTCAACTGTATGTCCAAATTTGTGGGATTCAACTAAAGCAAAACCTACAGAGAAAATGCTGTATTAGAAAAGAACAGTCTATAGTCAATGATCTCAGCTTCTACTTTTATAATCTGGAAAAAAGAGCAATTAAACTTTAAGTACTATGAAGGAAATAATAAAAAAAGTGGAAATCAATAAAATGGGAAATGGATAAGCAAGAGAGAAAATAAGTAAAACCCCAAATGGCATAGAAAAGAGGGACACAATAGAGAAAATTAATAAAACTCTAGATAATTCTAAGGTAGAGAATGGTGGGAGATAAATAGGCTTTTAGGCAGATGGTTATGGAACAGCATCATTGTGGAAAAAATAAACTTTAACTCTTAGCTATACACAAAAATTAAAATGTATTATAGATCTAAATACAAAAGTTAAAACCCTAAAGCTTCTAAAAGAAAACATTGGGGCCAGGCACAGTGGCTCATGCCTGTAATCCCAGTACTTTTGGAGGCTGAGGCAGGCAGATCACCTGAGGTCAGGAGTTTGAGACCAGCCTGACCAGCATGGAGAAACCCCATCTCTACTAAAAATACAAAATTAGCCAGGCATGGTGGTGCATGCCTGTAATCCCAGCTACTCGGGAGGCTGAGGCGGGAGAATTGTTTGAACCTGGGAGGTGGAGGTTGCGGTGAGTCGAGATGGTGCCATTGCACTCCAGCCTGGGCAACAAGAGCAAAACTCCATCTCCAAAAGAAAAAAAAAAAAAGAAAAAGAAAAGAAAATATTGGGAAGAAACTTTTTATGACCTTGGAGTAGGAAAAGGTTTTCTATGTAGGTTACAAAAATATTTATGAAAAAACTTTGAAAATTGGACTTAATCAAAATTTAAAACTTTTGCTCTTCCAAAGACAATAAATTAAAAAAGGCTTACCATAGGGGAAAGTTTTGCAATAATATAGCTGATAAAGGTCTTGTATCCAGAACAACAAAGAACTCAGAAATTAATAAAAAGCCAACTAAAAATACAAGGTTAAAAGATGAGCAAAAGACTTAGGCATTTTACAAAAAAAATGCATGAATGACCAATAAATGCATGAAGAAAAAGCTTAATTATATTAGTCATCAGGGAAATGTAAATTAAATCACAATGAAATGTCATCACACACCTATTGAAATGACTAAAATAGAAAAGTTTGATAATATGTGTTGAGAAGGACATGAAACAATTGAAATTCTCATTCACTGCTAGTGGGAGTGTAAATTGGTGCAAGCACTTTAGGAAACTGGCTGTTTCTTAAAAATATATTTACTATATGATTCAGTAATTCTACAGCTAAGTACCCCAGAGGAATGAGGCCATGTCCATGCAAAGATTAATGCCTGGGTGTTCACAATAGCTTAATTCATAGTATCCCACAATTAGAAAAAAGTCCAAAAGTCCATTTACAGGTGAATAGATAAATTATGGTACCTTTAAACAATAGGACACTACTCAGTAAAAAAAGTAACGAACAACTGTTACTTGCAACAGTCTGGGTGAATCCCTAAACCATTACATATGCTGCAGGTAAGAGGGCAGACATGAAAGTACATTCTCTATGCATATATAAATTTTACAATACACAAAGTTAATCTATAATGACAGCAGATCAAGGGTTATCTGAGGTCAGATTTTTGTTGTTGTTGGTTTTCTTTTTGTATTGAATGTATAAGGCACTTGGGGGGGTAATGGAAGAATTCTATATATTGGTTTTGATGTTTATAAGATGTACACATTTGTCAAAATTCACCAAACTTCATTTTATTGTATGTAATTATACCATAATAAAGTTGATTTAAAGAAATGAATTGGGTGACACTTTCTTCTGTTCCCTGAAATTTATATAAGATAAACATTGCAAGCTAAGTTATTTTTTTACTTTTTTGGTTTTTTTGGTTGTTATTGTTTAGTACCTCTCCATTCAGCCAGGGATCACAAACTCAGTTCAGAAGCCACATATGTAATGAATAGAATGAGACCGACTAGTTATTAGACAAAAGGCATAGCAGGGGCTGTGCCAAAGTGGATAATGCATCCCTGTACCTTAAGGCATTAAAGTAAAAGAATTAAAACAACCTGCCTGCCAAACCAAAATGTCTGTAGGCAATATTCAACTGGTTGACCATCATTATGCATCCATTGACTTGTGACTTAAAATATATACCACCATTTAAAGCAGTTTCTCAATGAGGAGTCAAGAAATATCTTGGGAAGCTTTTTCAAATAACACGCAGTCCCTTTACCATCTGCCTAATTGAGGACCACTGGTATACTATGTTGGTATCTAGAGCTAAATAATAATGATCAAGTTGATGGCACCATGTGGCTTTAGTTACTGGCCATTGCTAACAGTTTTCTTTTTGCCAGCAGAGAATGTTAATTTTGCTATGGATTTTAGCAAAACTACACTTGTGCACAATTGCTTTATTAGAGAAATGACAAGAGATAACCATATGCAGCTCTCAAATGACCCACATTATAATGTCTAGTACATGGGCGAAAATTCTGTTTTCTTATTTATTATTCATTTATTCATCCATTCAATAAATATTTAAATGCATGCAAAAATGAGTTCATGATTTCTTTTCTCTGAAGATATTTAAAACTTAGTATTGGGAGGGAGAAAAGCTAGCACTGGTATTCAGATGGCGAATGTTGCTGAGATGGGATTAATGAAGCCTCTTAGGATCAGTTGGACTGCTAGCAAATGCTTCATTTCCTGTGGATTTCTCCCCTCACAAGCTGAGCAGAGCTTCAACAGTTCTCACAACAATTATCACCCACTTGTCCTGTAGGTCTCAAGTTTTTTTGCATTCATCAGGTTGAAGGATTCATGGTATTAATCACAACTGAAGTTGTTATTTATCACCTGCTGGGTGAGAAATAATAATTTTGGCACGAGTGGGGCAGCAGGCCAGAGGTACCAAATTAAGTAAAACATCTAAACACTAGCAAGGATCATTTCTCTGATTAATGAATTGTTACAAAGAAAAAGTGCTACTCATTATCTGGTCTTACCAATACAAAGTGGGGCATGTAAGAAGAAAAGTCCCAGCTTGCTCAGGCCAATTTTTCTGTTTATTTCATTCCTTTCTTTCTTTCTCTCTCTTTTTGAGACAAATCTGTGCACAGATTTGTGTTGCAGTCATGCTATTTTTTGTTTTGTTACCAAATAGAAATGAAGAAATAACTTACGTTTTACATCAGAAAATATTTCTGGCTATTGAAACAATGTTTTTAGTGACTTCTAAGAATTTAAAGTAATTTTGAAATAGGACAGGTAGGTTACCTTTAATTTGTTGAATTACCTTCTCATATGTATATAAATTAAACTTTTTACTCTAAAGAGTCAATGTATTTTTCTTTTTCTACTTTGAATTGGATACTATTGCCAAAGGGCTTGTTTTAGAGAGGGTAAATTTTCATTTCTATTTTTTTTTGTTCTTTGGCAATTCTGAATAAGAAAAGCTCATTTTCACTCTGACACTTAGAGCAATTTTTGTCTTTCACAATGCTATCCAAGAACTTCTACTTCTAGTCATGATGGAGAGGAACAAGGACTGGATGTATCCTCCTGCCTTAAACAATTGTAGAAATCAGACCAAATATATAAAACAATGGTTTAAGACATGAAACAATAGTCAGTTTAGAACAGTGATGCCTGCATGAAAAGAAACAAAATAAGCCATTCAATTACCCAGCTTCTGCTTAGAAGGCATTTCTAGGCTGCCTCACAGGAAAGAGGAGAACCCAAGCAGAGCCCAGCAGTCTCCCTGAGTTGAGAATACAAGAATTCCAGGCCAAGAAGGCCACAGTAGCTAGAATTCACAAAGCAGAGTACTGAAGAGAAGATAACTGCATAAAGAGAGAGAACTCTGGAGATCTGTATAAGGTTCTAGTCTTCAACTGAGTATTGATCATCACATGCTTATGAAGAAACTTCACTAAGGCTGGGAAAGAACTATTGGAAAAGAGCAAGCCAAGCAAGCCTTAGAGTTCAGAGAAGGCTGAAAATAGTTTGTATTCTCCTTAGAGTGAGAAGACCATCTAATACATGTGGCATTGAAGTTCTCAGAACGGTATTCCTTCAGTATTGGGGCCCAATTAGACCTAGACTAATGGTTGTCTAGACCTACCTAACAAAGCTTAAAAGCAAGCATCAAAATCAACATGGTGAAACCTTGTCTCTACTAAAAATACAAAAATTAGCCAGGCATGGTGGTGCATGCATGTAGTCCCACCTACTCTGGAGGATGAGACAGGAGAATTGCTTGAACCCAGGAGGGAGAAGTTGCAGTGAGCTAAGACGGCTGGTGCCACTGCACTCCAGCCTGGGCAACAGAGTGAGACTCTGTCTCAATCAATCAATCAATCAATAGAATTAATTCCAAGACTGCATTCCAGAACAAGGCCTTAAAACAGTTAAGGAACACAAAAATCTCCAGCACCCATTAATGTAAAATTCACAATGTCTGCGACCCAAGATAACATTATCAGGTGTGCAAAAAGCAGGAAGAGAAAAATCAATCAGTAGAAATAGACCCAGAAATGACACAGATGACACAGATTAGTAGACAAAGATGTTAAAACAGCTATTATATAACATACTTTTTATGTTCAAGAAGGTAGACAAGGGAATGCTATCTAAAGAGTTATTCTAGGTATATTGATATTACTAGAACTTTGAAAGTGTGCTAACGACTGAATAAATGCAAACAAGCCAGGATTAGTATGATTAACTTTTCAGAAGATGCATTTCAGTAAGTATACAAAGGCTTGGGAAAAAATTTGTGATTGTATTTTCAAAAAATAGGAAAAGGGAATTATCCTGAATTAAAAATGCTAAATATATTTATGCTATGCTAGAAATTATCTTAAGGTGATTTATATTTATGTATGTATATGTATAAAGGAAAAAACAAAGCATAGGTCTATATTCTTTTAATTTAGTATGCTGTCAAATCTTCATAATATCTTTAATAATTACTATTGATTAATAAGACATTTCTGTTTCAAGTGGTTTTCTAATAGGAGTTAGTGAGCATCATTTCTGTATACACCTAATCAGAAAATAATGTGCCAAATGAAAACTTGAGTTCTACAATAGTCCAAGAGAAAAAGTTACTTTAAACTCGTCCTTTGACAAATAATATATAGCATTTAAAGTGAGTTAAAAATTTGTTAAATAATACATATCAAATTATATTAAGAGCACCCAATTGAGGGTAGTCAGGATATTTGTATATGGTCTTCTATTATAAGGCCAGAATGAAAATTTCAAATATAAAAGCCATCCACTAACAAAACTCAATCAAAATGAATTCATTGCAAACAAATATTTACTGAATATCTTTTATACTGCATTTGTTAGATTCTGAAAGGCATGCAAAAATAGATAAAGCCTCTACTCTCAAGAAGTCACAATATATAATGGGTAGATAGCCAAAAATGTGTAAATATTTCAATAAGAATGCAATAAAACAATTTAAGAAGGAACATAGGCCATATAACAAATGATGCTGAGTTTAAACATGTGAAAAATTACTGACATTTAATGAAATGGTTGTAGAAATCTTCATGGAGAAGGTAAACAATTGCATTTAAAAGGTAGATAGGTAGACTGAACAGGGAAAGGTTTTTAGAGGTCACTCTATGAGTTAAAATTGCCTAGCAAGTTAATGGACAGTAGGTAAATCAATGTGATTTGATCAGAAGGTTTCTATAGAATGGCCATGAAAGATAAAGTTTTAAATACAAATTTGAACTATATTACAAAGGGTTTTGAGGGCTCATCAGTAATTTGGACATTTAGGCAACATGCAGTTATCATAGATGGACTGTTGCAACAAAAACTGCTCTGGACTTGGACTCCTGACTGCAGTTTGTGTCTGTGTACGTGGTCTCAGGCAAGTCAGCTCCTCTCCAAATCTGAGCTTCCTCATTTACAAAATGGAAATGTTAGTATCTGTTCTGCCCACCTCACATGCTTGCTCTGAAGATCAAACAAGTTAATTAATGTGAAAGTGCTTTGCAGATTATGAAGCATTCCAAAAACCCAATGTGTTATTTTCACTGGAGAGAAGAGTATGATATGATTAAATTGGCTGTTGAGCAATTGATCAGGAAGTGATGTGTAGTATGCCTCCTGTAGCTAGGAGTAAAAAATGGAAGGTCATTTCATTAATTTAAGTTTATGTAATGAGTATCTGGATTAGGGAGGTCACAAAGAGGAAATAGAGGGGCAGATCTGAGAAAAATTTGTAAGGAAAAGCTAACGAGTGAGAGCAGATTGGGTGTGGTGAATGAAAAGGTAGGGTCCAAGATCTTGAGCCTCAACAGCTGAAAGGTATAGTTGGAAGAAAAGGAAATTGATGAGGGGTTGACAGTGTGGAGGCCAGTTTTGGACATATTGAGTTGGACATCCAAATGGAAGTGTCCATTAGACCAGGGGTCCCCAACGGACCCAGTACTGGTCTGTGGCCTATTAGGAACCAGGCCACACAGCAGGAGGTTAGCAGCAGACAAGTGATTGAAGCTTCATTTGTATTTACAGCCACTCCCCATTGCTTGTATTACCATCTGATCTCCACCTCCTGTCAGATCAGCAGTGGCATTAGATTCTCATAGGAGCATGAACCCTATTGTGAACTGCACATGTGAGGAATCTAGGCTATGTGCTTCTTATGGAAATCTAATGCCTGATGATCTGTCAGTGTCTCCCATCACTCCCAGAAGGGACCATCTAGTTGTAGGAAAACAAGCTCAGGGCTCCTACTGATTCTACATTATGGTAAGCTGTATAATTATTTCATAATATCTTTAATGTAATAATAATAGAAATAAAGTGCAAAATAAATGTAATGCACTTGAATCATCCCAAACCATCCCTCCCTAACCACCCCTGCATCCCCCCTATGGAAAAATTATCTTCCATGAAACCAGTCCCTGGTGCCAAAAAGGTTGGGGACCTCAGCCGTAGACAGTTTTAAAAGGCATGAATTTTCACAATCTAATTTAACAAATCTCCCAAATAATCTTCTGTGATATAAGAGAGATCTTTAATAACCATGTTTTTGTATTTTTAGGGTATAAGAGAACAAAAAGCCTGGGAACTGGGGAGGGATAAACTGAGTGAAATTTAGCTCTGCCAACCTTGACAGTGCTCATTTAAAAACATGTAAATTAAACTTGTCAGGATAAGCTCCTATGGGGCTGCTGGCCACATCTTAGAAACTCTCCAACTATAAATTCACAAAATCCATCATGTTTGTTTTTCTGTAATTTTATTATTAACATATGCATATTTCCATTTTCTTTCCTCTTTTTATTAATAGAATTACAGGTAATCAGAAGTGGTGAATATTTATGGAAATTCTGTTAACTACCTGTTATTTTCAGTTGAGGGTATTCAATTTCTGGAAATCATATTGAGTCACTACCAAGATGGGCTTGATAGGTTCAGTTTTGCTTATTCCCATAAGCATTAACTGGGCCTAAGTGGAACATATTTTCATTTTGGTAAGTTCATACACTTTTGTTTTATAAAGTAATTTTGAGGAATTATTCAAAATTCACACATTGCTTTTTATTCAAAATAGGTAACTTTGGTCAGATTTTCATAGTCCATGTTTGGTGGAGGTTTTGTTTCTGTCTGAAGATGGCAAATGGTAGAGGACAAGAACTCAACATCACATGTCTTCTTTGAGGCCTCCAACCCACTCATAGTTTAAAAAGGGAGGTTGGGGAGATATTTTTATGTCCATGTGAATTTTATAGGAAAACAAACCCATATGTTTCTGATGAATTTACACTTAACTCATCAAAATGTGGGGTTTTATAAAAGCTATTTGATGTCTAAAAATATCCCTTTGGGACAATCTTTAAACGTAGTTATCCTCCTCTATTGCTCCCTCTCCTTTAATAATAAGAGTGCATTATAATGCACTCTGCTTGAACCAAATGTCTAGATTTTGGAGAGCTCTTAAAAACAAACAAACAAAAAAATGCTATCTCAGTAGTTTAGAAATGATGTTTTAGGATCTCCCTCTTCTCTGCTATGAGTGTGTATGCATGTGTGTGCACGCATGTGTGCATATATATATATATATATATATATATATATATAAGAAAAATCCAATTTAAGTGTTCCTAAAACTTCAGATCTAGAGAAGAACTGCCTTGTAATGTCATTTTGCAGGGATGACAGTTCCCTGGTCTGTATTAATGGCAAATCCCTAAAACTAATTACACCTAGTTGCAGGTGTAACCTTTTCTGTTTACAACTGGTGACGACAAATATGCCTTACACTACATTCTCTTCCAAAGGAACAAAACGGCGGTCATTTCTAAGGCATTTGGCACAGCAGTCAACCAGGGACAGCAAGGGTGCCCTTTGCTTTCCCCTTTATCAAAATATATTCATTCCAGTTTTCAAATTGCTGTTTTTGAGTCCTAAATCTCTACCCACACTAATTTCTGTGGGTCAGACTTTGACCCTGATTGGAACAAAATCTGGAGTCAGATATTCACACCGGAACGCCTCAACCTCCCTGCGTGTCAGAAGCCATATCGCTGCAAATGCTTCACACACCTAGGAGTGCGGCTTGTGGAACTGATGAGGTGAGAGCGCAGCACAGTGGCGCGGGCCTGGTAATCACGGGACTGAGGAAACACATACATCATCTGCCACACAGGTTGGCATTTCAAGTAAAAAACCTTCACACCGTGTAAGATGTTGGACAAATGATGGCCATATGCATGTTTGTCTGAGTGCAGATGGCTCTGCGTTCTCAGAGAGGAGAAAGCTGAGCTTGGCTCTTTTTGCAGACAGTTTAATATTAGTGACATAGTTTATGTCCTCTGCAAAAACAATAATGGAGGAGAAGGTGACATAAATTATTTGCAAATCGTTTGACATATGCAGGGCATTGTCCTTGCAATAATCACCATCAGTCTGTCAGTTTAAGATATGAACCGTGCCACTGCCATTCTATATCACTGTGTTAAGCTTTCACATGTTGTAATTTTACAGATTTGTTCACTGGAGAACTGCTGCAACACAAATCAAATTGGATTATGTTTAGTCATATACTCTATCATGCACATTGCTTAGATAAAAATAAAAAAGTACATTCCATGGGGTGGAAGATCTTGAGGCAGTCTTCCATTTCATATCTTTGTGAGGTGGTAGTTAAACAAACCACCCCATCTATACCATCACTCAACTTTAGTTCACTTTTCGAGTTAGTGAGGTCATTTCTGAGACTCTTAACTTTGCTTTCTCGTTATAAAGCCATATAGAATGTGTATAAGATGAAAATGATCTATGATAAAGATTTTTCTTAAGTATATTTTCTAATAAATTTAAGAAGTTAATGTGCAATGTTCAATGATATCTTATAGACACTTTTAAAATTTATATATGGTATTATTGGATTTCTTTCTCAATTCCCCCAGAAAATGACTGTAAATGGCGATTGAATAGCAGACGGTGTTGTCCCGTGTTTCTAGTGTATGAACTTAATGCCATATGGCATATTTTACTTATCGAGCTCTTGATGCCAATTGATGTTGAAAGCTGTGTTTTACGGTTTAACCATACATAGCAAATGCTGTAAATGCTTCTGAGTCATTGCTGTATCGCATATATTTGGACCAATTGATAAATGGACTTTAGAGACAGTTTCTCTATTTCCCAGAGTTTCTAAGGAAACTATGAATTCTAAAACAGGGCATTTAGAAATTGAGTACAAAAATTTCAAAAGAGAAATATGATCTGTTTTCATTTGGAAAAGTTACTTCCATTCAGTCCTATCAACAGAGCTGCATCTGCCTTCTGCCATTATGTAGTCCTTAAAACAAAGATTTATTACATTTCCATCTTTGAAATAACATCTTTTCTCACTGAAGGTGGCCATTATCACAATGCAATTTTATATCTATAATGATAAGTGCAGTGAGGCAAGCATTTACAAATAGCTGTTTTAATCTATCTTAAATGATGCACTTAAATGGTACATCAGAGATTTGACATTAGGTGCAGATGATTTCAGAAAATCCTTATAGTAGCATTAAATACATATATTCTTTATTTAGCACCGAAGAATAAGTTAAATAATTAAAAAGTTAAATTTGATGAAGATGCTGATAAAATCAAATATTGTATTTATAGGACTAAAGTGTAAAGATGGCAATAATTTTTTTACTGTGTTCCAACAAACTTAACTAGTCATTTTATTTTGGGAGTTGTTGCCTACATGCCGATATGAGCTCATACCTCTATGTCTAACCTCCTATGGAATCTATTTAACTGGATGTCTCAGAGGTACCTCAGATTCTACCAGTCTTTTCTAAACTACTGCTCCTCAAGTACTTTCCCCAACTCTGTTAAAACCACCATCTAATCAGTTGCTCCTTTGTCTATATTCCCCTACAACTTTCATGCTAATTTCTGTTATAAAAAACTTGCATATATTATAGTTAATTGTTTTAATTATCTCTGCAATGAAACTGTTGAGTCTTTGAGACTCTGTAGGCACACAGATGCTCAGTAAATTTCTGGTGAATTAAATTGAAGCATCTTTGGTTCTCTTTTCCTCTTCATCCGCATCTCATCATGTACTGTCAGTTGTTCTCATGAGTCATCTCTAGAATTCATCTCCTCATCTTCATTCTGTTGCTGTTTCCCTAGTTTCAGACCATCAACATTCTTCTCTTATATTTTGCTTATTGTTCCCTCTAGACTGAGGTCTCCTGTTTCTGCCCTCTGCTTTAGCTGGGTGCATGTTTCCTCATGGCCCATGAGCTGCTTTCTTCTTCCTGCTCCAGGGAACTCCTGGTCTTCTTATATTCCTATTATTTATTTATTCATTTATTTCTTACCAAACAGGACTTATCAAATATTATCTTATTGCTAACCTCAGTAGGGCTTTTGTTTTTTGCATAGATGGAGTTTTTGAATGTAGTTATTTTCATTGAGTTGTGGCTTTCGCCAACTCTGATCTCTCTTATACATGCATCTACTTTTAGCTCACATGTCTACATCTAGACTTCTTTAGTTTTCTTTCAACTATTTACATACGGCACTTTAAAAACCTTTTTATTATGAAAATTTTTAAATATACAAAAATCTAGAGAGAATAGTATAATGAACTCCCCTGTATCCATTGCCCACCTTCAACAATAATGACCTCACAGACAATCTTTTTTTTTTTTTTTTTTTTTTTTTTTTCAGACAGAATCTCACTCTGTCACCCAGGCTACAGGGCAGTGGCATGATCATATTTCACTGCAACCTTGAACTCCTGGACTCAAGGGATCCTCTTGCCTCAGCCTTCTGAGTAGCTGGGACTATGGGCACACACCACCATGCCTGGCTAATTTTTTTTTTAGTAGAGACAGGGTCTCACTTTGTTGCCCAGGCTGGTCTCGAATTCCTGGGCTCAGAGTGATCCTTCCACCTCAGTCTCCTAAAGTGCTGGGATTACAGGCATGAGCCACTACAGCTTGCTTGCTTTCTTCTTTCTTTCTTTTCTTTTTCTTTCTTTCTTTCTTTCTTTCTTTCTTTCTTTCTTTCTTTCTTTCTTTCCTTCCTTCCTTCCTTCCTTCCTTCCTTCCTTCTTTCTTTCTTTCTTTCTTTCTTTCTTTCTTTCTTTCTTTCTTTCTTTCTTTCTTCCTTCCTTCCTTCCTTCCTTCCTTCCTTCCTTCCTTCCTTCCTTCCTTCCTTCCTTTCTCTCTCTTTCTTTTTTTTTTTCTTTTTCTTTTTTTCCCCACCTCTTGGAATTTAGTTGTTGAAAAAAATAGTTGTGTTTCCTATTTCCTTTTCTGTAGTCTGGATTTGCTGATCATGTCTTCTTTCCCTTTATTCACCAGCTTTCAAATTAATGGTTACCTAACATCTTCAAAGATCACTAATGAGTGTCTTTTTTCTTAGTATCATTATGAATGCATGAACTTTAAAAAAATTGAGAAAAGAAATCAGGATATTGAAGAGATATCTCCCATGTTTATTGCAGCACTATTCCCAGTATCCAAGATTTGGAAGCAACCTACTTGTCCATCATCAGATGAATGGATGAAGACAATGTGGCACATATATACAATGGAGTACTATTCAGCCATAGAAAGAATGAGATTCTGTTATTCTGTCATTTGCAACAACATGGATGGAACTGGAGGACATTAAGTGAAATAAGCTAGGCACAGAAAGACAAACTTCTTATGTTCTCAAACATTTGTGGGAGCTAAAAATTAAAATAATTGAACTCATAGAGATAGAGAGTAGAGGGATGGTTACCAGAGGCTGGGAAGTGTAGTGGCAGGGGATGGGGGATGCACCGGGGAGAGTGAGGATGGTTAATGGGCAAGAAAATGTAGTTACAGTATTTGATGGCACAACAGGGTGATTACAGTCAATGATAATTTATTGTACATTTTAAAATAACTAAAATGGTATTAATATACTGGAAATGTTTGTAATGCAAAGAAGTTATAAATGCTTGAGGTGATGGATACCTCTCAAAATTTTTCAGTTATGTAATAAAGATTAAATCTACATTCAGATGTTGGTTTGAAGATCATTAATAGAAAAGCATTGAAAATTTTAACATGTAAGTGAATTAATCACATTCAAATCTAGCATCTTCATTTTCCCTTTATTTTACTTACATTGTATAAAATAGAGTTGTATATATAATATATACATGACATGTTTTACATATATACATACATATACTACATGTTTATGTTAAAAATGTTCTGATGACAAAAAAATTGTCAGTGTAATCCATGTATTTATCTTTATAAATATGCCCATTTGTCCTTTCTTCAGCCAGTGGGAGTTTCTTCAGTTTGGCTTCTGAGTCCTCTTGACTGGGATAATATTTGATAGCTTTTATTATGACCCATCTCACACATTTCCTTCTTCAGACTTGGAACCAGCTATATCTCTTAAGAGCTCTGGATCTTTTTAGTGGGAAGTGGTACTTAGAGGCCATAATAGAGATGCTCATTGCTGCTGCAGTTGATCATTGTTTCTAAGCATATAAATATATTCATGTATATAAATGAAACAAAGCATATTCAGAGAAGTCTAGCTTGTATCCCTGTCCAGAATATACCACAGTCCTTATGTGTTTATTTTCCCATTCTTCCTTCTATTGCAGAACAATGCACCAATGAAAAGTTGCATGTATATTTTTTCCCATATTTTTGTTAATATACCTTTGGAATAGATCCTTAGAAGTGAGGTATTCAAATTAAAGGGTAAATGTATATGTCATGTTGCTAGCTATTGCCAAATTCCCTAAAGGTAGCTCAATTTTGCATTGTTACTAGTAACATGAGAGTCCCTTCGCCTCACAGCCTCAACAATGTTTTCTAACTCTTTGATTTTTACTAATATGATAGGTAAGAAATAGTATTTCAGTCTAGTTTTGAAAATCAACTTTATTGAGATATTATTTACATATAGGAAGTATAAGTTTTAAGTATATAGAATTTAGGTTTTAAAGGAATGTATACAACTATGTAACTATCATCAAAATCAACATGCAGAGAATTTCTGCCATCCCCCAAAACTCTTTATGACCCTTTGCCATCAATCCTCAATGCCTACCCCATTCCCGGCTTGAAATAGCCACTAATTTGCTTTCTATTACTGTAGATTAATTTCCCTATTATAGAATTACATAGAAATGGAATCATATCGGATGCACTCTTTTGTGTCTGACTTCCTTCCGTCAACGTTGTTTTAGGGAATCATCCATGTTGTCACATGTATCAGTTCATTTCTTTTATTAATGTCATCCATTTTATAAATGGTATGGATATACTACAGTTTGTTTATCCATTTGCCTGTTGATAGACATTTGTGTTCTTTCAAGTTTTTGGCTATTTTGAGCAAAGCTGTTATGAACATTCATGTATAAGTTTTTTTGTGGACATAGGTTTTCATTTGCGTAAAAACCGAGGAGAAGAATTGCTCAGTCATATTCTAAGTCTATGTTTAACTTTATAAATAACAACAATTTTTTTCCAAAATGGTTGCACTATATGGCATTCCTACAAAAATATTGGAGCTTTTCAGTTGCTGCACAACCTTGCTATTATTTGGTATTGGCAGTCACTAAAATTTAGCCATTTGAGTACATGAGTAGTGATATATCTCATTGTGATTTTATTTTGCATTTTCCTGTTGACATTGATATTGGGCATCTATTATAGGCTTATTGACTAACCATGTCTTCTTTTATGAAGTATCTACTTAAATCTTTTGCTCAGTTTTAATTTGATTCCAAGAGTTTATTTTTTAATATTTTGGACAGAAGTTTTTTGTCCATATTATGAATGTATTCTCCCAGATTGTGGCTTGCCTGTTCATTTTATGAAGAATGTCTCTGAAATAGAAAATGCTGTACATTTTGAAGAAATTTGATTTATTTTTTTTTTATTTCTAGGTTTGTGCTGTGTTCCATTTAAAAAAATCTTCCCCTACCCCAGGGTCACAAAGATATTCTACTATTTTTAAGTTTTAGAGTCTTAACTTTTACATTTATTTTTGTGTACAGTGTGGTCATATATATTTTTAAAATATTTATTTTCAGTTATTGAAGCACCATTTGTTGAAAAGACATTTTTTCCCACATTGAATTACTTTGGCATCTTTGTGGAAAACTAATTGATCACATATTAATCAGTTTGTTTCTACATACTTTGTTCTGTTCCATTAATCTATACATCTCTTCTTATGCCAGTAAGAATAATCTATGTAGATTGCAGTAGTTTTATAGTTAGTCTTGAAATCAGGCAAAGTCCTCCTATATTATCCTTCTTTAGCAAAGTATTTTTGGCTATCGTAGGTTCTTTACATTTCTATATAAATTTTACTTGCCTATTTTTATCAAAAACTTGCTGGGATTTTTTTTTTTCAGTACAACTTAGAGAGAATCAATAGGGAGAATTTAGGGAGAATCAATACCTCAACAGTATTGTTTCCTCTATTTGATTATCACATATTTATTTAGGTCTTCTTTAATTTTTCTTAGCAATGTTCTGTAGTTTTCAGTATATAGTTCTTTCACATAATTTGTTAAATTTAATCCCTAAGTATTCCATGTTTTTGATACTATTGTAATTGGTATTGTTTAAAATTTTATTTTCCAATTATTCATTATTAGTATACAGACATTTAATTAAGTTTTATATGTTGCGTTTGTGTACTACAACTTTGCTAAGTTCATTTATAAGTACTAGTAGCTTTTTTGTAGATTATTCCAAGATAGTCTCCATAGTCATCTTTATTATTTCCTTCCCTTTACTCACTTCAGGTTTAATTTATTCTTATTTTTTTACCTTCTTAAGGTGCAAGCACAGATAGTTTTAGGCATCTTTTTGCTAAAATAAAAATACTAAGCTATGAATTTCTTTTGTGACACTGCTTTATCTTTATGTCATCTTTTCTGTAGCCTTCAGTTCAAAATATCTTATAATTTCCTTTGTAATTTCTTATATCAATGTGTTATTTAGAAGTGTATTATTTTAAAATATTTGAGGATTTTCTAGATATGTTTTTGTTACTGGTTCTAATTTAAGTCCATTATGGTCAGAGAACATGCTCCATATAATTTTATTACTTTTACATTTATCAGGACTTGTTTTATGGTCTAACATAAGGTCTATCTTGGTGAATGTTGTGTGTACGCGTGAAAAAATGTGCATTCTACTGTTCCTGTCTGTAGTGTTCTATAAGTGTCAGGTCAAGTTGGTTACAGTGTTGTTCAAGTCTTTAACATTCTTAATGATTTTCTATCTAATCATTCTATCGATTACTAGGAGACGGGTGTTAAAATCTCCAACCATAATTATAGATTATGTATTCACCTTTCACATCTGCTAATTCTTGCTTTCTGTATTTTGAAGCTTTATCAGTAAGTGAATGCACATTTAAAATTGTTAAATTTTCTTGACACATTCACCTGTTTCATTTTGTCATTATCAAATGTTTCTCTTAGGCCAGGCACGGTGGCTCACACCTGTAATCCCAGCACTTTGGGAAGCTGAGGTGGGTGGATCATGAGGTCAGGAGTTCAAGACCAGCCTGGCCAAGATGGTGAAATGCTATCTCTACTAAAAATACAAAAAATTAGCCAGGCGCAGTGACAGGCACCTGTAATCCCAGCTACTCGGGAGGCTGAGGCAGGAGAATTGCTTGAACCCGGAGGGCAGAGGTTGCAGTGAGCCAAGGTTTCACCACTGCACTCCAGCCTGGGTGACAGAGTAAGACTCTGTCTCAAAAAAAAAAAAAAAAAGAAACAAAAAAAAAGCTTCTCTTAACTCTTGGTTATACTCCTTGTTCTGATGTCTGATATTAATGTAGCCACTACAGTTTTCTTATAATTACTGTTTACATGGTATATTGTTCCCCATCCTTTTACTTTTTAACTTAATGCATATTTATTTAAATAGCATATAGTTGGATATTACTTTTTAAATAATTCAATGTGAAAATCTCTGCCTTTTAATTGGAGTCTTTATTCCATTTACATTTAATGTAATCATTGATGTGTTTGGGTTTAAGTCTACCATATTCCTTTTTGTTTTCTATTAATCATATCTGTTCTTTGCTCCTTTTTTCTTTATCTCTGTCTCATTCGGGATTAAGTGAAATTTTTTTGTATTTCAATTGAATATTACTATTGGCTTTTTAGTTATGTGTCTTTTATTATTGTTATATTTTTAGTAGTTGTATAAGCTTTGCAATAAGCATCTTTATCTTGTCACAATCTAACTTTAAATAATAATATACCACTTCCTGAATAATGTAAGGACCTTACAATGGTATATTTTCCTTTTCCCCCTCCAATCTTTCGGCTCTTATTGTCATTAATTTTGTTGATACATATATTATAAACCTCACAATACACTGTTATTATTTTTGCTTTGAAGAGTCAGTTATCTTTTAATGAAATTAATAAATAAGCAACAAATCTTTCATATATATCCACATATTTATTATTTCAAGTTTTTAATTCTTTGAGGAACTTCCTTTAAACCCTTCTTGCAGGGCAGGTGTGTTGATGACAAATTATGTTAGCTTTTATTTGTCCCTAAAAGTATCTATATGCTTCCATTTTAAATACTATTTCCTTAGGTGTAGAATTTTAACTTGGCAATTCGTTCCTTAAACATTTTAAGGATACTGTTTTACCATCGTGTTACATGGTTTTGGATGTGAAATCTGTGCTCATTCTTTTGTTGTTGTTGTTGTTTCTATTTTTGTAATGTCTTTTTTTCCTCTGGCTGTATAAGATTTTCTATTTTTTCCTAGTTTTCAGCAATTTGATCATAATGTGCCTTGTGGATTGTGTTGTGTGTGTGTGCATGTGTGTGTGTGCATGTGTGCACATGTGTATGTGTTCTTATTCTTGCTAGGTTTGTTAAACTTCTGGAATCTCTGGAGTTGTTTTTTTCAAGTTTGGAAAATGTGTAGCCATTGTTTTTCTTCAAATACTATTTTCTGTTTTTCCTCTCTTTTTATTCCTGGAAATACAAATATGTGTACGTTGGACTGCTTGTTATCGTCCCAGATGTCAACAAGACCCTGTGTTAAACTTTTATTTAATCATTTTTTTTCTTTCCATACTTCAATTTGGATATCTTCTATTGCTACGTCTTTAAGTTCATTGATGTTTTCAGTGTTTAATTTCCTACTTATCCCATCTTATGAATTAATTTTTCACTTCAGGTATTGTATTTTTAAGCTTTAGACATTTACCTGGCTCTTTTTTTAAAAAAAAATTTTTATTTTCTTCCTCATTATTTTAATGGTTTTCTTTAAATTTTTGAGATATTTATAAGAGGTGCTTTAAAGTCTTTTTGCTAATTCCACCATTTCTGTTATTTAATGATCTGTTTCTAGTGGTTGATTTTTCTTTTAGTTATGGGTCAGGTTTTCCTGATTCTTTCTACGTCTTTTAAATTTTGATAAAATGTTGAATGTTTTGAATATTACATTACTAAGTGTCTGGATTTTGTTGTCTACCTTTAAGGAGTATTAAAATTTGATTTTGCAGTAAGCTTCAAGATCAGCTCGATCCTTCTGAGGCTTGTTTTTAAGCTTTCTTACGTTAGTTCTAGAGATAGTCTTTACTCTATGGCTAGTTTAGATTTACTCTTAAAGAGTGATCCTTTGGGGTTTTTACTGAACGACCTGAAATTTCAACAAGGTTTTAAATTCTGTTGGTCAGATTTTGAATCTCTTAGCCCTTTTGAAATTCTAGCACATATCTAGCTTACAGTTTTCTATTAGTTTTTTGCTTGGATATTTTACCCTCCTCATGTGTACTTAGCATATAGCCAAAGACTCAAGGAAACCCTTGTGCAAATTTTGAAACTTTCTCTGCAGAGTTCTCTCCTTCGTAGCACTGTACACCACAAATTTTTGCCACCTTATCCTTTCTGATCTTCAGTTTTTGTCTTAACCTGGTGAGAACACTCTGCTTTGCTTGGCTTCCCCCTTCCTATAATATGGTCCACTAGGTGCCCTCAGGCAAAACACTGTGTGATTGTAGGGCTTATCTTATTATCTCCCTTCTATCTATGATCACATTCATGTGCTGCTTGTTGGCCAATGTCTGAAAACAGTGGTTTCATATATTTTATTCAGTTTTCTAGTTGTTTACAGTGGGAAGACACATCTGGTACCAGTTAATCTCTTATGGTCAGGAGCAAGAAGTCCTTCCCTTATTGTACTTTTAATTTTTATTTCTCTTATTATGAGTGAGATTTGATACTTTTTCATATGGTTAAGGGTAATTTGCTTTTGGGTGTTTTTTTAACTAGCCCATTAAAAAATTATATCTTTGAACATTTTTTTTCTCTCTCTCTCTCTCTACTTTTTTCCACCTTGTCATTTGTATCTTTATTTTTGGATGGTATTGCTTGCCATGTGAACAAACATGAAAATGTTTGTTCAAATATATATACATTTATATAAAATAAAATTTTACCAATCAAACCCATCCACATTATGGAGGAATTCATCCATGTTTTCCTCTAGTACTTGGGTAGCTTCAATTTTTACATGTAAAATCTATTTACGTGGAAACTGTTCTGATGGGTAGCATGAGGAATACATCCACTTCATCCACATTTATTTTTTTACATATAATTCTCTAGTTATTCCAATGCTACTTGCTAAAAAGTCCATCTTTTTCTTCACTGACTTGACATGCTGCCCTTATCATATACTAGATTTCCATATGCAATTGGGTCTGCTTCAGGGTTTTACATTTTGTTTGATTGTTCTGTGCATTAAGCACTTTGTGGTACTTGAGGCACTGTGGTATGTGATATACCAGGCAGGACTAGACTCCTCACTGTTGCTCTTTGATTTCCTGGGTATTTTGGTTTATTTGTTCTCTCAAAATGAACTTTATAATCAACTTGCTTAACTCCAGAAAGGAGTGGAGGATGAGTGGGAGGTACTTATTATTCAGAGGGTAAAAAGTCTATAGAGAAAGTTCCATTTCAGGAGCATTTTGAAGATTAAGTTTTCTGAAGCAGGTGTGGCAGGGAGGAGTAATTGGGATAAAGCCATTTGGGAAGTTGGAATCAGACAGAGACATTGATGTTTTAGGAAACTACTTAGAAAAAACACAGAGAACAGAAATCCAAAAATAACAATGAAAGAAATAATAATATATCTTATTCTTTTTGTGTTAACCTGATTTTATGTGCCCCATTGCAATTTTTAGAGTTGATTTTTCCTAACTTTGGCATTTCTCATCACATAAAGGGATAGGATTGTCTGATGCCCTTTCATATAGGAAAAGGCCCACCTGATCCAGTCTTAGTCAGATATGTGCACTGGACTGAGTAGACACTAGCAGTGATGGCCTGCTGTAAGCCACCTGCCTTTGGTGTAGTGGGTGGGGCAGGGGATGGAGATGGGTAACAATGCCTTAGCCAAAGCTCAGCCTTTGAAATTAATCAGATCTGGGCTCAAATCTCAGCACCACTACTTCCTAGTCATATGACTTGGGGAAGTCAGTTTCCTCATTTGTAAAAAGAACATACTAATGTTTATCTCAGAGATGCTGAGCTGGTTAAGTGTAACAAAAACAGTAGTAGTCTCTTCTCTCATTGTTGTCTATTTTTCTTTGGTCTTTAATGCCGATTGACACATCCAGGAATCACAGAAATGGTCTTGGCTTTTTTTTTTTTTTTTTTTTTTTTTTGAGATGGAGTCTCGCTGTGTCACCCAGGCTGGAGTGCAGTGGCACAATCTCGGCTCACTGCAACCTCCACCTCCTGGGTTCAAGCTATTCTCCTGCCTCAGCCTCCCAAGTAGCTGGAACTACAGGCACCTGCCACCATGCCCAGCTAATTTAACACAGATTTCTGAGTACCTATTGTGTGAGTCAGGCACTGCCAGGCTACGTAGGGACATAAAAACCAATTCTAGTGAAGTTCTTGTGGTTATGTGATTTCTAGATAATTAGGGGGAGACTAAAAGTTAAATCTCAATTTTATTTTGAAATCAGTTTCTGATTTCCTGATGCATAATGGGAAACAATAGGATTCAAGGTATACTAAAACCCCTCAGAATGTCCAAGAATTACAGTAGATAGCCAAATAATTTCCTTAGCCGCAAATATATTCCATGATCTGGAAATGAATTATACATGATAATTTTTGATTAATTCCTCTTGGCATTTTTACTATAAATTAATTTCTTAATTTAAACAAATGCTTAATCAGAGGTGTTCTGTGCTCTTCACAGGTACTGAGATATAAAAAGATATATACATATTCTGCATTCCCCCAATTGTTTATAATTTTATTATTTTAATTGATGGCTTTAAAAAATAATTTGTTCAGATCAGTGCAATATTCTGTGCCTTTCTGAGATTTACTCTATTGTAAGGAGTAAAACCCTCAAACATACATGTAAACAGAAACGCTTAACACCAAACACCACACAGCAAATAAACCCACTCAAAATTTTCCATCTCTAAGTATAAGCACCTTATTGACAATCTCTTCTTTCCCTATGTTAAATATAAGTGAGGTGTGTACTTAGCCCCTTGTCATTGTAGTCTTGTTAGAAATGCATCTAGACTCCCATAGAGGTGACTTTCTTCCTGTTTCACACAAGTTACTATAAAATGTGAACTATCATGGTTTTGCATTATATTGACTCAAGGGTATTTAACAAAAATAAAAGCATCAACTCACATGCATGTCTTTCTACTTTAGGCAAGGGCAAGATTATCATTGTGCTTTTCCCACTGTATCAGATCTACTGCTCTCTGCCTAAGCACTAATGGTCTCAGTGACATTGAACAGATGAATTATTTCAAATTTAGTTTCTCATCTGTAGATTCAATTGTGGTGTCCTCTTATGATGTGAGCTGGTAGAGCTACCAGACAAAATATAAGATGCCCAGTTAAATTTGAATTTTAGATAGAGGATGAATATATTTTTAGTATAAGTATATCCCAAGTATTGCATGAGGCATACTTATACTAAAAAAATTCAGTCTTTATCTGAAATTCAAATTTAACTGATGTTCTGTATTTTTTAATTGTAACTAAAGAAATTATATTGTAAATTATAAGTTAAAATTTTGTAATTAAATTGTAAATTATAAATTAAAAATTGTATTGTAAATCGACAAGTTATAACCATATATATTTATGGGGTAAAAGTGATATTATGATATATGCATAAAAAATGGAATAATTAAATCAAGCTAATTAACATACCCATCACCTTACTTATCATTTTTTGTGGTGAGAACATTTGACATTTACTCTCTTATTAATTATGAGATATACAACAAACAATTAATAACTATAGTCATCATGCTGTGAAATAGACCTAAAAAAAAACCCCTTATTTCTCCTGTCTAACCGAAGATGTTCTGTATTTTTATTTCCTAAATCTAGCAACCCTAGTTGTTTGAATTCTTGGAAAGAGAACATTCTCACAATATTTGTACATACCTAGGATGTTTAGTACAGAAGTATGTCTAATCTGTACTAACCTGTGTGTTTGCTTTAGGACAAGTGTTTTAGGACATCAGTGCGTAAACCCTGACTGGAGGCCTTGGTACATCCTACCTGTTCAGCATTAGAACCTTTGGAATAATGAAATAGGAGAAACTACTCTGGGAATGAAAACACCCCCAGGCTGCTTTCCTTTCTGTTGCCCCCAGTCCATAGGGAGTCAGTCACTCTGAGCTGGATTACGGGGCCACTTTCTGCTGTCTGGCTCAGCATGAGACTGGGTGTTTCCATTTCACCTCCAACAGGTCACAATAGGAACAAAGTTGCAAGTCCAAGTTCAATATTTGGCTTCTGTTAAATATTTTACAACTACTCATTTTTCATGCCCAGAGTTTCCTTTTATTGAATTTTGATGTCTGATTCTGTCTCTTCCATAAGAATTAAATCCACTCACACAAAGGTTCAATCTGAAACTTGTTGTGAGGAATTCTCCCCCTTAAGTCTGGGTATCCAGGGCCACTAGCAATGGTATTGTTCTCCTATGTTGCTCCCATTGTAATGAGCTTACAATCCGAATCTTTAGATCTACTGCAAGTTTAATTGAAAGAAGCATTTCAGCACTAAGATCTATTATCCAGTGAATTGAAGGGGAAGTAAGAAACTAATACTGATGCGTGTCTAGGGTCCACAAACATGCCCGATGAACAAGTATGTTAGCTTATAATTTATTTTGAAAAGAGGCTTGAAATACAAAAATGTTAAATAATGCAAAGAGGTTGATATCTATAAAGAAGTCTGACATGTCCTCTAGAGCATGAGCCCTTTTTCCAAATAAGGGTCCACATCTACAAGTGGTCAGTTCTTAATTACATGGGGAAACAGAAGTGATAGGGCGAACATGTCCCATTCTTGGGCCAGCATCTGAGTAGGAGAATTACCATTATCAAAGGCCTACACACTTATCACATGAAGGCAATATGTGTTTTTAAAGGGGCAGGTTGTGCACAGGAGTGCCTCTGCTTAGTGGTGGCTTCTTACTGGTCTGTGAAATTCATATAATTGTTCTAAGAGGTCACTTGGCTATAGTAGGCTGATTTTGGTCTTGACCAAACTGCTGGTCACCTTTACCGAATTGCAAACATGATTTCTACAATTGTTGCCCTTGTTTAGCACATGAAAAATTTTTGTCCAGAAGAAACTTCTTTTAGTCTTCTATATCATCCAGAAAGAGGTCCTTCCACATCCAGATGTTTCAGACAGTGGACTACGTAGGGAATCAACATCTGTTATTGATTGATTTGTGATCTTTCCTCTGCCTTTGTTGAAGGTTTTAGCAAGCAGCAAAATGACCAAAAAGCAAGGGATCAAATTTGACTCAGACTAATAAAAATCTGACCCTTGTCCTAAGCCTCTGGAGTTTTGATTGAGGTTGTGAAACAGTTGTGTTTATGAATCTAGTTAATTGAGCTCTTACTTAGAATGCTTTCACTTATTGCAAACTATTGAAATGCAAGTGCATTTTAGAAGCATCTGTGTACTATATTCATTAAGCTGCATGTGTCTTCCACATGCCAGTGACTTTTGCAAATCCAGGAAAGGCATTCTCCTTCCCAGAACTTGTAGTGGTTCCTAGGATGCTGAAGTCCCATAATTTTATGGATTCTGACGTTAAGTATTTCAAATGCCATCAAGTTGAAATTTGGCAAAACAATTTATATTCTAGATATATTTTTAAAAACTCTCTGTTTGATGTGCTTGGGATGCTATCTAAAATGAGAGTCAGGAATGTGAGAATCCATTTCTGTGACAAGCAGGTGAAGACCATGCCTTTTTAGGGGGTTGTCTTGTAGCAGCAAAGTCCTGGGTAAGTTAAAGACAGGAATGGGAATGTAGTGCAAGTTTCCATCCCTTCCTCCAGCTATTTATGGTCGTTAAGGGCTGAAGGAAGGAAGAAGGTTTCGAGAAGGGGATTTGGAGGAAGAGAGGAAGAGGACACAGGGGGACAGCAGGAGCTGCAGCCACCATGTGGTGACTCTCTTGAATGGCTGCTAGTTACCAGCTTCTGGCATGATTCTTGAGTGAAAGACCTTGAACAAACTTGTTTCTAGTGGCAGAAGTTGAGGAGACATCAGGGGACAATTTGAAGGAGGCTGCAGGTTTGCACAGGCCCTTGGAATACTAAGCTGGCCACAATCAAATAGTAATGTTGGCCAGATATGGTGGCTCACACCTGTAATTCCAGCACTTAGGGAGGGCGAGGTGGGAGGATCACTTGAGCCCAGGAGTTTGAGACCAGCCTGGGCAGCATGGCAAAGCCCCATCTCTACAAAAAATACAAACATTAGCCAGGCGTGGTGGTGTCTGCCTGTGGTCCCGGCTACTCAGGAGGCTGAGGTGGGAAAATCGCTTGAGCCTGGGAGGTGGAGGTTACAGTGAGCCATGACTGCACCACTGCACTCCAGCCTGGGCGACAGGGCAAGACTCTCTCTCTCTCTCTCTCTTTCTCTCTCTCTCTCTATCTATCATCTATCTATCTATCTATCTATCTATCTATCTATCTATCTATCTATCATCATCTATCTATATAAAATGTTACTTAAACCCTTTTGGTCTCCATAGGCTGGTGAGGCCAGTGGTCTGAGATAAGTAATGTAACTTGCAAATAGCCCTGGCCATCATGAGACATCCCAATTTATTGAACATCTTCTGTACTTTTCATCCATATCACCCTTCAAAGGTATCCAAGCTATCTGGGGAACTGATAATAGGCATGTGCAAGACACACTGCTGGCCAGGTGCACCTTTTTGTAAGAATACTATTGACTATAGGAGTTTCAGCCTATCCTTTTAGAACAGTGTTTCCCAAATTTTTTCCAAAGCATAAGAACCTTCTGAGTCATTTGTTAACATACAAATTCCCAGGCCTGTCTCTTGGAGATTCTGATTCAGGAGGTTGGTAGGAGAGTGAGGCAAGGTGGCGAGTGCTGGCATGAGGTCTGAGAATCTGTATTTTTAATGACCACCTCGGGATCTTTATGATCATTAAATTTAGGAGATGTTTACTTTAGATGGGATTAATGTATAAAATGACCTGGTTGGCTGGATTTTGCCCAGCATTTGATGTCTGGGATTTAATGAATAAGTACATCATGTTACCTTATTTATGACTTTTCTTAATTTCATAGATTTTGGTACATTTCTCTTTTAGGCCTTATTAGGTGGGAGTTCAAATCTTTTAAGTCTTTCTTCCGTGAAAACTGCTTCACCCACATGTTTCCAGCCATATCTGGATATTGAGTGCAAGGACCAGAATAGCATGCAGTTTTTCAGATGTTGATGTATTAATTACCATTGCGTTCAGGAGGGTAAGAACAAGCCTTCACCTCTATCCCTTCGCCACTTCCAGACTGCATCTCTTCATCTCTGCATTCCAACCACATAGAACAGCCTCTTTAGAACTCCATGGCCTGCCCATCGGTCTTTTTTCTTCCTTTGCGGAACACCAAATCCTTTCAACCTATCTACATCTACCAAACTCCCACCACTTTTGTTTGTTTGTTTGTTTTTGTTTTTGAGATGGAGTCTTGCTCTGTCTTCCAGGCTGGGGTACAGTGGTATGATCTTGGCTCACTGCAACCTTGGCCTCCTGGGTTCAAGCAACTCTCCTACTTCGGCCTCCTGACTAGCTGCAATTGCAGGCATGCATCACCACATCCAGCTAATTTTTGTATTTTTAGTAGAGATGGGGTTTCACCATGCTGGCCAGGCTGGTCTTGAACTCCTGACCTCAAGTGATCTGCCCACCTCGGCCTCCAAAAGTGCTGGGACTATAAGTGTGAGCCATTGCACTTGGCCCTCCCAGCACTTCTTTTAGCTTACTTGAGCCCAGTCATCTGGGTATGTGCTCTTTTTCCATGTAGCATCATGTGGTTATGTCTAGAAGAGCATTTGCCACATTCCATCAGTTTATTTGTCACCCTGTTAAACTATAAGCTTTGTATTTCCAACAGCAAGCACAGTGCATGGCACATAGTCTGTGCTCAGTACACATTTGTTGAAAGAATGAATGTTTATTTGTTACATTTTCTGATGTCATCCAACATTCATGTGCTTCTTTGTTTGCAGGAACATGGCAGGGGTAGTGTCTGCAGAAAAAGCCCTTGAAGTCTAGGACAAATGAAAGCCCAGATGCTGCAGTTTCACAGGAACATTTTGTATGGCCTCTCCTAAATGTTGACACTCATCTTCCAACTTATATCAAGTCACAGTTGTGAGAGACCTTTGCCCTGTTCTCTCCCTTTGAGCGTTTCACATAGTGAGTGTCTTGGCATCATCTGTATTCTGGGAGCTCTCTCTCTGTTCTCTTGTAGAATACTTATAAAACATCAGATGGCCCCAATTCTGATCTCTATGGAAACTCATTTTTTTTTTACCCAGAAAGATGTTTATTTCTATTTTCTTTTTCTTTTTAGCTCTTATACTTCTCTTTCTTTGATAAAACAACAGGCTTTGAAGAATAGAGGTCTTAAGCTCATTAAGAGCCATTTGGATATGAATGGTTACAAATAGTACATATTTTGTTGGACTGGAATGGGAGAAGAGTCTATAAAAACATATGAACTGGGACTCATACCAAATAACATTATTTTGGGAACCATATTTTATTTTATTTTAATTAAATTAATTAAATTTATTTATTGAAATGGAGTCTCGCTCTGTCGCCCAGGCTGGAGTGCAGTGGCTTGATTTCAGCTCACTGCAACCTCTGCCTCCCAGGTTCAAGCAATTCTCATGCCTCAGCCTCCTGAGTAGCTGGGATTACAGGTGTGTACCACCATGCCCGGCTAATTTTTGTATTTTTTAGTAGAGACAGGGTTTCACCATGTTGGCCAGGTTGGTTTCTAACTCCTGGCCTCAAGTGATCCACCCGCCTCAGCCTGCCAAAGTGCTGGGATTACAGGCGTGAGTCACTGCACCCAGCTGAGAACCATATTTTTAAAAGAAATGGATACTTTCACAATGTGCATGAAAATATCTTTTAAGAATACATGTCAGCCAACTCAACTCAAAGTCCTTCTAAAGGCCTATTAGGTCCTATGTGGTCTGACCCTTGCTACTTCTCTGAACACATCTCCCACCAAATTCCTCTCGCCCACTTGGCTCTAGCCAAATGAGCCTCTCTGCTTTCCTGTTCACTCAGCCTGAATAACTTTCCCACCTGTTTTCCTTCAATCTCTGCTGAAATATCACCTTCTCAGTGAGTTTTCCTTTGGATACGCTATATAAAAACCCACCTCCCCCATCCTGTCTGGCACTATTTAGCTGCCTCTCAGGCTTTATTTTGCTCTAAAGCAGTCATCACCTTCTGAGGTATGTTCCATGTATTTGTGATTGTTTTGTCTGTCTCCCCTGCTTGAAGGTAAACTCCAGAAAGGCTGAGGCTTGTCTGTCTTGTTCACTGCTGTATCTTCAGGACTTAGTCCAGTATCTGGCAACAGACTATGAGATCAATGAATATTTGTCATTCAATATTGAATTTAATTTCTATCATATAGTATTTGTAAAATCTGTATTATTACAAAAAATGAAATTGTACTTAAGGAAAAGTAAAAAGTTACAGAATAATTACCTCCTAAACTATTGAGTTCTAGACAATTTTGCTGTTGAGATTTTAAAGTTTTTCATGGACTATTTCATTTCAGTGCTATTAAGATCTTTTATAAGATAAGGAAAATATTCATCACAATTTATTATGGTGAAAAGTGGAAACAATACAGGTGTCCAACCATTAAGATTTGCTCAATAAGCTAATATATTTCCATACACTGTAGCCTTATACAGTCATGAAAAATCATCTTACTATGAGAAAATGCTTCTGAGGTACTAAGTGTATAATAAGATATAAATATGCAAAAAAGGATTTCAACTTTGTTGTGGAGGATTGGAAAGAAATGGAAAGAAACAAGTTGAAATAATAATGAAACAGAGATACAGATGGTTTCAGTGAACTGCCCAAGACCACACTGTTGGTGGTGAAGGAGCTGAGGGTCAAATCTCGACCAACTTCTCTGCCTTAGCATTGTCCAAACTGTGCCTACAGCCTCTGCCTGCGCGGTGCTGTGCCCATCAGTCTCACCAGCATCACTCCCTCCAACTCCTGTGCATCTCAGGGCAGGGGCTGGTGTCTATAACCCCTGCACCTGCACATGTGCCAGTTCACCATGTAGTTTTAGATTTGAGTTACAGTCTAATAGAACTTTGGATCTTATACATCTTCTCCCTGAGATAATAGGTTTAGATCTCAGCAGGCATAAATCAGTCCTTTAGTTTGACCAGAGAAATAATAGCAAATAGTAAATACTCTGTAGTACTTTCAGTAATGACAATGAAAGAAGCCTACCAAGGTTGAGTTGATTTTTTTTTTCTTTTCCAGAACTGGGACTGCTGTTGACTAATGTGGAAAGAATTTAGCTAAAATGCTGGTCTATTAAAAATAGTCCCAACTGTTAAATTGTAAGTATATCAGTTAATACCTTGGGCAACTCTTAGATTATGGCATCAGTTCATTTGAGGGCAAGCTCAGATATAAAACATCTTCCAAAGAATTATCACTGGAAAAGTTTATTTGGGTATTTAACCTACATACCGTGTTAGTAAATACAGCCCTAGACTAGAGTTTATAATCTCAGGAAAGTAGCTTACAAGATGGTCACCATTTATTCTTCTGTTTCCTTAAGCAGCTATCTTGATATCCAAGATGTCCTGCTTATAAACAGTCATCTAAGAGGCCAGGGAGCAAAGAGAGCTGTGTGATGGATCACCCTCAGCGGGCTGACTCTGCCTGTCATTCTCACTGGCTCTAATTAAAAGACGCCTAAGTCAGAGGTCTGAGGCAGGGATGACAATAGGACAGCAGTCCCCAAAATAGCAGCAAAGGAAAATGGATGCCTTTGGGTGATTGCATGATGTCTGAATTAATGGCCAGGAAATGAGCGATTATTGCATACTTACAGCTCGGCTGTTTTATAAAGCTGTGGCATGCTCAAAGCCATATTCTTGAACTTGGGGAAATTTAAGAGAGGAATTTGTTCAGTTATTGCTTGGCTGAATATAATGCATATCCAAGCAGTGCTTAAACCAAGGAGAAAAACACTTTCTGTTACTGCTGTTTTAGTATTGATGTTTCTAAAATAAGCATAGTCTTATGAAACTCATTTTGTAGACACATGTAGTCTCTAGCCAGTTGTTGACTTAGAGAAACAGTTTTATTGCTACTGCTTCTGTTCCTGACTTATAATAATATTAGTTGGTATTTAAATAGCTGTCTTACTGTGGAAGCAAAGCTTCTAAAATCTTTCTCTTCCTTTTTTTTCTAAAAAAAATATTCCCACAGCACTTCTATTTGGCAAATCGGTGACAAGCATCCTCGTGGCTTGTTACTGTGGCTTATTAGTTCAGTAAGTTAAAGCATCATACAGAAGAGGCCACAGTCCGGCGTTGGATCCCCTTGTGGAGGTGAGCTCCCCCAGGCTGCACTCATCACCCTGTCGCCATTTTGTAATGGTGTCCATTCATCACAAGCGGAAACGGGTGAAAGGGTGAGGGTGGATTAGAGCAAATCCATCACGACTACTGGAAACCCAACTGATTATGCCAGCCTCACAGACTGAGGGCTGGGAGGGGTCCAGGGAGTAATATTATGCAAACAACAGCATGGTATGCAAGTGAGGAAACTGAGGTATGGGTACATCATATTGCTGGATTTTCGTTTTAAAGATCCTTTTAATGAACTTTAAATCTATGTGATTTTTCCTGCTTTTTAGTCAGTTTGAATTTTTTAGACATAATCATTAGAACATTGGCCACCATCTAGCCTGCATCACAAACGGACACCTAATTATTTCTTAAACTATCATGTGTTCTAAAAATAACCATCTCAAGTTTAATAGTTCCAAAACAGATGTCAAATGAAACCTTGCTCACATATATCCTCTCACAGAGTATGGCCTACCTTAGAGGAGCCTATAGGGAATAAAGAAGAAAAAAAAAAAACTGGAACATAACACTGACTTCAAAAGGAGGATGATTTTGGTTGAGGTAGGAGATGTTATATTTGGCCTGGTTTTGTTTTGCAGGACAGTTATTCTTAGAGTGGCTGACCTTCCTCCTGTGGATTTCTTTTATCTTGGCTAAACTGCTCTGTTTTCTCCTCATTTATTTATTTATGCTCCCACTGGTGGTGCCTCTGAGAGGCCCTGCTGCTTTCAGTCTTGCAGACTGTGCCATCAGACGCCCTCAAGGGGCCCTTGGTGCTGAGGTCGCCACCAAACGTCTCAAGTGTACCAAGCCCACAACCAAGTTAAATGGAATGGCTTTGTAGGGATGAGAAAAGTCCATCTCGTTTTCTGACTTCACTCAGTGGCATGCTACTCTTTTCTCATAGCGTGTCTTTGGTGAACAGTAACTGAGGAGAAAGGAAAGGCAGCCAAGGTCTGTAAATGCTATTTATATGCTTCCCTGACAAGAGCGATTTGGCTTCATTTTCCAAAGTGCTATATCCACAGATAACCAGAGTGTGCTCTTACCAGTACAGGCAGCCTGCAACCTACATTTCTGGCTTATTTCCTATTTTTGAGTGGCCTCTGTACCTGGCGTTACTTCTCTGGACACCAGCATTATCTGTCCCCATCTGTGTCCTGGTCAGGAGGTACCTGATTTTGACTGTCTGAAGTCAGTCTTCCTGGGGACCTGACTTTCCTGACTCCTCTGTTCCAGCTTCAGCCCCTCTGCTTCACTGGAAAGGTAACATCTGGGTTTATCCCCAGCACTTTTCCCACCCACACTCTCCACATCTTCTGATAGGAACAACAGCTTACTAATTATTTTGGGGGTTAGAAGGCTGGAGAGGAGGCTTCTTATCTCAGGCTTTAAGGAGGTTGTCTGAGTCATAATTAAGGCCACAGACCCTGGGACAAGACTGCTTAGGTCAAATCCCAACTCCGTTGCTTTTAGCTGTGTGATGTTAGATAAGTTACTTGACCTCTATGGCCTCCACTTTTTCATCTTTCAATGGGAATATGGTATCTACCTCACAGGTTTGCAGTGAGGGTTCAGTCTATTAATATTTGTAAAGCCCTTAGAACAGGCCAGGTAGAGTAAGTGCCCTGTAAGTGTTACTCAAATAATGAGAAATCACTCCCCTTCAACTGCCTTGCCAGGAACTAAGCATCAGCTGCCTGCAGTTCCCAGCTCCTGGCAAAGATGTAACTGCAGGGTTAGTACATTTTCCCTCCGTGAGCCCTTGTAAAGCCTTGGCCCTGAAGTCTCACTGTGAATTTTGGGTCTAGGTCTACCCAGCACAGGGCCCTGCTGGCTATGGGAGCTGTGAGGTGCGTGGGGGCTGAGTGCCTGCGCATGTTCTGTGAAGTGTGGGGTATGGTGTTAAGCTGGAATCTCTCTGGGATAAAACATATTTTGTATTCAAGACAGAGATGTTTTTAGAATGAGAGAAAGCAACCCAAGGGAACTAGAGACAAACTGGAAAACAATGTGTGAAAGACAGAAAGACTCAATAAATAAAGGGAAAATTGGTTTTGAAGGTAATTTAGAAACCTTAGTTAACCTTCTCAGTATCAGCAACAGGTACTCACTATATTTGTGACCCAAACATTTCCCTATCTTGACTAATAAGCTTAAAGCAGTCTTTAAAGATGTGCGTGTCAAGGAGAGAGAAGGGCCAGCACCACCAGCTCCTGCTGGGCTCTGCAGTGTCCCGGCATCCCCTCCAGAGCCTGCTCAGACCTTCTTGGAACTCTTCATGTTCCTAATTAAATCTGCTCTTTACAAGTGCCAACAATGAAGATCAAATAAATATGCTTTTCCTAATCCATCTTATTGTCGTCTGTCACTTTTGTTTGGTGACTAGTTATGGGATGCATGAGGAAACTACTGTGTATATGTTTTTAAAACATTTTGAAATGGTCCATATACTTACATATAATTTCTGAATTCTGAAAGACCAAGATGATTCTTCAATAGCCACAGGTCTTGGACCCTGTTTCTCTTAATAACTGTAACTATAGAACTTGCTCAGTGCCTTACTCTTAGGAGAGGCTTCAGAAATATTTATTGCATGCAATTACTGAATATATGGCACATGTAACATCTGTTGTATCAACAGATAAACAGGATTCTGAGCTGTTTTTTTCTCCATTGGGCTTCAGGTACATAGAAATGGATTGACGGCCGGGCGTGGTGGCTCACGCCTGTAATCCCAGCACTTTGGGAGGCTGAGGTGGGCAGATCACGAGGTCAGGAGATCGAGACCATCCTGGCTAACATGGTGAAACCCCGTCTCTACTAAAAATACAAAAAATTAGCAGGGCGTGGTGGCGGGCACCTGTAGTCCCAGCTACTTGGGAGGCTGAGGCAGGAGAATGGCGTGAACCTGGGAGGTGGAGCTTGCAGTGAGCCGAGATTGCGCCACTGCACTCCAGCCTGGGAGACAGAGAGAGACTCCGTCTCAAAAAAAAAAAAAAAAAAAGAAATGGATTGATAATTTTTGGTTTATGACACACTCTCATAGTTTTGGTTTTTTTGTTTACTTGTTTATTAATATAATTTTATGAAGTAATATATAATGATGAACCCACCATTCAGCAGAAAAGCTCAGATTTAAAAAATAACCTACATCTAACTTATGGTTCCTCTCACTCTTTCACCCTGGCTCCACCCCCTGAAGAGGTAGTCATCTAGAACCCTAAAACCTTTCTCCTGGGATGGGAGAGGAGAAGAAAAAACATTCCCATGTTCCAAACAACTGGCCCAGGAATTTCTGAAACAAATCCTGTGCAAATTGGAGACCGTCTCTACAGACAGTCTGAGTTGTTCAGGCCAATGGAGTACCTAGTCTGATCTCATTCATCTTTGCATAGAGGACTTTGCAGGCCTGTGATGAAAGAGGTAGGGTGGGAGGAATTTCTTTGCCTTTTGATATTAAATGTTTAACAAGGACATACTAATTGACTTTTTAAAGTATAGAATTAAAGCATTTTGTACTAGATTATCAGAACTGATATTCATCTGTAAGCAAAAGCTATTAATAGAAAAGTCTTCTGTGAAGAGAGATTCTCTCATTCACTATGTAAGGAAGCTTTGCCCCTTATCCTTCAACTACTCCAAATTCTTCCAGTTGTTTCTTCTGGTATGACTTCCGTATTCCCAAGTAAACACATGCGACTCTTGAGCCATCAGTTTTACTGGCAACCTATTGCATAGCCACTGTGGCTAAGAGGACGTAGCTCTCTTATGCCAGTCTCCAGACTTTCCCCCATTATTTTTGGTTAAATCAGCATTTCAGAGTTAATAAAATTGTGACTATCGATATGTTTGTCTGAGCCAGGCAGTATCCCACGATTACCTTTCCTCTAGCCATGGCACTTTCACTTTCCTTGGAATGACTCATTCCCTTGAGTTTCATTGGATTTGTTTGCTTTGTGTCCATTAATATGTCTTTGCATACTTTCTAATTGTCTCCCAGTACCATTTCCCTCATGATAACCCATCTGATGTTCTATCAGTCTCCCTCTCTGCCTGTACCCCTGGCTTTTTTCTCCCTGGAAGCCTCTCTGGATCCTGAGTCTTCCTGCTCCACTCAGACCCAGCTGCCCTGGAGGCTCACAGTCCTAGTTTCTTTCCTTGCCCCTTTCCTATATTTACCTCTTATTTTCTTGAAGCATCTATCTTCCTTTCTTGTTTCACTATCTTATTTTGTGAGAAAAAAAAAAAAGCACTCCTGAGAAAACAGGGCAGGGGAGGTAATTATTTTAGTATTCTATGTCTCTTAAAATATCTTTATTCTTCTCTCACATTGAAATGATAGTTTGGCTACAGGATTCAAAATTGAAAATGATCTTAATTGTCTTCTAGGTCCCAATGTAGCTTCTGAGAAGTTAATGCCATTCTTATTCCTGATCCTTCATACGTACCCTGTCTTCCACTCTCCCATTTAAAAGTTATTACAATTTCTCTTTCTCCCCAGCGTTCTAAAATTTCCCGATGTGGACATTTTTCATTAATTATGCTAGGCTCTCACAGGGACTTTCATTCTTCAGAAATACATATTTCTGTTCTGGGAATCTTTCTTATATTATTTATTTGATAATTTTCTCCCAACCATTTTCTCCTTTCCTTTTTTTTTGTCAGTTCTATTTATCAGCTATTCCATACCCTGGATTGATACTCTAATTTTCATTTTTGGGGGGTTTCTTTTGACTCTTTATTTTTCTTTCATTGTCTGTTTCCTTAAGAGATTTTCTTAGATCCTTTTATCGCAATTCTTTTTTTTTTTTTTTTTTTTGGCTATCAAATTTTTCTTCTTGGAACTCTTCATGCTCCTTATTAAATCTGCTCTGTACAAGTGCCAGCAATGAAGATCAAATAAATTTTGATCAATGAAGATCAAATAAATTTGCTTGTTCCCTTTTTAGAGCTTCTTCTTATTTCATGCAATGTCTTCTTTTGTCCTGCTGAGAATAGTAATTGTGGTTTGGGGGATGTTTTCTTCTGTCTTTTGCATTGTTTCTCTTACCTCTAAGATCCTTTCCTCCCTCCACCAAGTTTCTTGGTTTAGATTTCTGTCCTTTATATTACAGAAGTTCCTCAGATGTCTGGTACTTCTGTGCTATAAGATTATAATTAAGAAAAAGGTCATATTATTTGTAATATCTGTAACATTTTATTTTCTAAGCAGAAATTATCTTTGGTTTTCTGATATGTTTGATAAAATATTTAACAAAATGGAGGAATCAAAGTTTCCTCAGAATTCTACCTCCTACAGAAAACCACTATTAAAGAAAATCCGTCACATTTTAATGCATGTGTAAACATACATTTACATAAATAGAATTACAACCTACAGTGTTTGAAAACTGCCCTTTTCCACTATTGCTAGGCCATTAATATCTTTCCATTTCAATACATATACTATACCTTTTTTATTTTTTATTTTTATGTTTTGAAATAGAGTCTTGCTGTGTCGCCCAGGCTGGAGTGCAGTGACGCTATCTCGGCTCACTGCAGCCTTAACCTCCCGGGCTCAAGTGATCCTCGTGCCCTAGTCTCTCAAAGTGCTGGGATGACAGGCATGAGCCACTCAAATTCTTAAATGGCAGTTTGTGTTACTTTTTCTTCCTTTAAACATCCTGAAGCTTAGACACAGAATCTATATTTCTCAAAGACCACTACAGCCTCCTTTCACCGAACAGCCATTCAGGTAACATACACTCAAAAGAGGAAACACTGATACTTAATTAACAAGAGAAAGTTGACTTGATATCCTGTTTGCACAGAGACAAAAATCAGTCTTAAAAAATAGCAGATTGAAGTTGATGTTAAAAATATACACCTTGACAGTGAGCACTTCTGTATCTCTATGCATGAGATTACCTATGCTATTATAGTAAATAGAGCATCGAATGGGACATGATTAGGTTCAAGTTGCTGTGATTTGCCATAACACAAATGTGCATATTTTATAGTGAGAGATGACAATAAAGATTCAAACAGGACCAAGCTATCTGTACTTTTGTTATAGTCCCATTGTTACTAATGCATAGTTGCACTTAAAAAATGAAAAACAAACAAAAGAAAAAAGAGCAGGACACAATCACAGAAAGTCCAGCTGGGTAGAACTACTGTCGATCAGATTCTCTAGGCTTGGGGAGGGGCGTCTGTGCCTGCAGCAACCAAGGGATTCCTTTATGGGCTAAGAGTTAGAACAACTTCCAGTTTCAGCGCCCCCTCATCTCGCCAGGCAGTCTAGGCTGTGACTCAGGTATAGTGCCCAGATAAGTTGTCTCTGGATTTCCATGATTGAATACCCCAACATAAGTACATTCATTTATTTAGGGGATGTATATACACTATTACATTATGTTACATGTACATTACATAAACCAAACAGAAAATTAACAATGATCTAAATAGTACCCATAAATAAAAAATTTAAATTTTCTATCTGTACCCAAGTATATTATTCCTATTTTGGAGTCCACTGGTCTGGGAAGAAGGTACCATTTTCATCCATGAAATGAAAGGTCCTAGAATTTGCCTTTACAGCAAGTGAAGCACTTGGTGAGAATAATGAGTCTGGAGAAGCTTATGTAAATTATCTTTTTTCCTTCTCAGCACCCATCGAGACCCGTCTGTATTATAGGTCGTCCTTCACTAATGGAAAATTCCTTTAACTAGACACTGGGATAGAAACACAGCTTCCAGAAATGTGTTTCTCCCTGATGTGATTTGAAAGTATTATGCTGGCTATCTTTATGTTCTCAAAGTTCAGAATCAAAGAAGGAATTTTCAGATTAGTTGCAGGTTCTCCCTTCCTTCTCCCCATCCCACTTTTGTAACTGGATGCGCTTTAATTCAAAAGGAAACTTTTCAGGCCATTAAGCTTCAGTACAGTTTAATGCCTTTGGGCTGAGAGGCTTGAAATCATAGAGATGCCTGAATAAATGTTTTAAAATAAAATCTGGAACAAAAAGCACACTCTTTAAATTTATTTTAAGTTTGATTTTCTGCCTTGTTCAAATAAAAAATCTTGCTCATGTCCATGCTGCAAAAGCCCCAAAGAATGATGGCCCAGCCCAGCTTTGGAGTGGATGGGCCAAGTCTGAGGAGATTGGGCTTATCTTAGAGGGAGGAGGGCCTCCTCTGGCTTCTACTTTTAAAATAGTCCCAAATGACCAGTTTGCATTCTAGGCCATAGTAACTCTTTTGCAGAATGAATAGTATTTTCTTAAGCACTTTTAAGTTGTCATTCACAGCCTATTTTAAAAATGACTTAATGAGTAAAAATATGCTGTTTATAAGTCCCTATGTGCATATTTTTTTAGAATGGCTAAAACAGTAGTTTTGTTTGCACACATTTACTGCAGTGGCCAAGAGAGATGCGATTGTGGTCAGACTCCCTCACAGTGATTCATGAAGGTCAGTGCTATCTGCCTGGTCATCTTTTTTAGGATCAAATTGGATTTTAACAATTGATTCACTTGAACTTGCACAGACCTTCAGCCCCACTTTTCAAATAGGGAAATTAAGGTTTGCATATATGCAAATAACTTGCTCCAGTGTAAGCCAAAGGCAGTGGGGCAATGAGGAACACAGGTCACTTGAAAACCTAGCCAACTGTGTTGCCTGTAAACTATAGTGAAATCTCCTTAGAAGAGCTCTGGTCAGCAAGACAAGAAGTGAGTTCTTACTTCTAGACTGGGAAGGATTTGCCAAGCAAATTAATAATCCACAAAGAAAGAAAGTTTAGTGTATATGCCATTTTAAGTCCAGGAAAGCAACCAGTCATGTATAATTGGCATGCTAATTATGAATTATTTCTCTATTTGTTAACCAGATCCCTACATTATCTGTTACAAGCAGTGCCTTTCTAGCTGTATGAGTTATGTATGGTTTACAGAAATGAAACTACATTGATTTAAAACATTCTCTAATTCAGATTAGACTGAATGAAGTTCATGTAGCAAGAACTCTTTGCTTCTTGTCCTAATTTTAAAAATTAGCTTTATTCATAAATTTGTTGTTGTTTAATATTTGTGGGGTTTGGAATACTTTTATTATTTAAAATTAACAATCATTCTAACTTTAAGTAGGAAACTGCATTTTAAAAACCATTTTCCACCAAGAGGAAGATTTAACTTTATTTTTTAAACCGTATCTCTATGAGCCACGTCATTAGGAGCAGCCCAGGCAAAGATAAAATTTAAATGAAAAGTAAATTTTCTTGTAGGAATGGGCTGTATCAAATCTTTAAGTGATTGTTTTAATATCTTATGTCCTTTTTAGTTAGATATTCCAGGAATAATCCAAAACCCTTGAAAAAAACTTTAAAAATATGTCCTTTGTTGCTTTTTAAATCAGTGTGGTGCTTTAGGAGTTTCAGATAAAATGACAGAGACCACCTCAATATTTCTCAGTAAAAAGGAGGATCCAGTGATATTATACTTTATTATAATACCCTCAAATAAAAATGGAAAAATAACTAGGGACTGTATACCCATACAATCCTGCAAATGCAGAGTCACTAATTGACTTGAGTTTTTTGACAAATCTTCTGGTTCAAATTAATTCATGTTAATCAGATCTAGGCCACCAAAGACTGTCTAGAAGGATTTAGGAGATGTACAGCTCAGGCCAGTCATGAGAGAATCAGAATTCTTTTAAAGAGCTACAGTTTTAAATTGTGAAGTGTTGAAAATGGGAAAACTCATTTTTTTTTTATTGGAAAACTGAAGTCAATCTAGAGCACGTCTTCTCAGCAGAGAGTAACATTGATTTGGGGGTTGGGAGTTCTTGATGATTAGTTTTCAAATAAGGATGCCATCCTCTGCAATTCTGAATCATGCCTGGTTTCATCTTCACTTTGAAAACTAGTTATTTTCATCCAGAAAAAAGCATTTTCTACGCAGTGGTAATATCACAATGAAATTTTATCAAATGCCTCAGTAATATATAGTCATCAATGAATCTAACAAGGATAAATTTTATAAGAAAACCAATAAAAGAAAATGATTGTATTGGTTACTAGAGCCAGCATCCAGAAATGAAAAATAGAAAGGAAAATATCACTTTGCATCGGACAGCATTTCAGTATATATAATATGTTGGGATCTTCTCTTCAAAGTTATTAGGTATCTAGCGGAACAACAGGCAGCAAAGGGATAAAAATACTTCAGCCCTTTTAAAATGTCAAAAACAACGTGAAAACCACTGTTTCATCCCTAATCTGTTGTCTGAATAAAGTGCAGTTTTCTGTCCCACTGAAATGTTTATGTGTTTAAGTCAAAATGTGCTGTGAGCCACTGTTTGGAGATGCATCTACACGTGGGAAAAACTATTCAAATAGTGAAGTGAAAAAAAATCAGTGAAGGATTCTACCAGATAGACATCTGGAAAACATGAGAAATGAATTTTTTTAACCTCTGAGCATTGGGGGTCTTGTACTTATACATCATCTGCCTAGTGTTGCTTCCAGATGCAAGAATGAACTTGGTAAAGAATGATACATGTTATAAAGAAGAATAGAAAATACTTAAGATTGTAGGCACATCATAATAATCTGATTTTTTTCTTCAAAAAAGTATATTTAGTTTGAAATTGTAAAACTTGAAATATTGTTTAATAAATTTGTCAGAGCAAAAGAACTTGAATGTTTAATAAGTTTTATCATTAAATTTGGAATATGCATCAGCTATCATAACTGTAGCTGATTCTAAAATATGGATTTATTTTGATATATTGATTCTATTAATTTTTTGTCTCTTTATTTAAAAAATTTTTATAAATTGCCTTGTACAATTTACAAGGCAAATCATTTTAAAGGGTTAAAATTAATAACAATAGCCTCTGACTCAAACTTCCCCTCCTCTGAGTCCTTTTCAATGGAAACCACTTTTAGCTCCTCCAGCTTGTTCTTCTAGTATTTGTGATCATTATTTTGAGAAACATCCTTACACCACTATTAAAAATCCTTCTTTTCAGCTTTAGGTATTATCTATTAGTTTCCTACTTGTGATGATGAGGGTCAGTTTTCTTCCACATCCTTCCTCCCTCCATCTTCATTTTACTTAGACCAATATTCAAAGTTTATGACTATGTAAATATTTTTTACAGCTAAGCCGTACAATATGATACTATTTCCTTTATTGCATACTATATTGTTCTCTCTGGAATTGGTAACTCTCCTTCTCTTTTTCGTTTGCTTAGTTTTCTGTTTTTGTTCTAGCTTATCCCCAAGTCTTGGACAGAGTGGTACATTTTTCTCTGATTTCAGTTAAACAAACCAGGTAACTTTTTTCTTAGGTACACCCCTCCAGAATCTCTTTTCGCCTTGCTCTAGTCTAGACTAAGCTGTGTGCTATTTATTGTCCTAGAAGCTTCCTTTACTATCATCTTGTAGATTCCACTGCCTTTCTCTGCACTGGAATCTTTGTTTCCTGGATCCCATACATTTCAGGTTCTTGTTTTTCCATCCTTTGGATAGTAAGCCTCTATTCTATTAGCTTTCTAAATAAATAAAATGCAGAGAAGATACTTTTTTTTGTCTTTGCATTTACAAAAATGATGTTATGCTATCTAATATTTGATCAATAGTTTGGCTGAGAATATAATTCTACTATGTAAGTAATTTTCCCTCAGTATTTTGATGGCATTGCTCCATTGTCTTCCAGTTTCTGATTTTGTTGTTAAGATTTCCTATGCCTTTCTTTGTATGAGCCTGTTACAAAGCTTCCTGGATTTCCTCTTTGTTTCCAGAGTTTTGAAATTTCATGATCATGAGCTTTGATATTAGACTTTTTTCATTTGCTGTGCTGGGTACTTGAGCCCTCTTAATACATGAATGCATGTCGTTTTCTTCTGAGTGTTCTTTTCTGGTGTTATTTCTTTGATGATTTCCTCTCCACCTCCTGCCCTAGTCTTCCTTTGTAAAGGTACTATCATTCAGAAGCTGGACTTCCTAAACAGATTACTTAAATTTTTCATCTTATTTCTCTCATGTTCATATATTTATCATTTTTATTTGGTTTCTGGGATTTTTTTCTCAACTTTATATTCCAAACAGTGAATTTTTTTCTACGATCATAATTTCCAAGAACTCTTTACTCTTCTTTGAATATTTTAAAATAACATAATTTTGAAAATCTTATTTTTAATTTTCTTTTCTGATCATACATTGTTTCTGTTTTCTCCAAGTCTGATCTTCCCTCCCTCCCTCCCCTCCTTCCTCCTTCCTGCCTTCCCTTCCCTGCCCTTCCCTTTCTTACTTCCCCCTCCCTCCCTTCCCTTTCTTCCTTCCCCCTCCCTCCCTTCCCTTTCTTCCTTCCCTCTCCCTCCCTCCCTTCCCTTTCTACCTTCCTCCCTCCCTCCCTTCCTCCTTTTCTTCCTTCCTTCCTTTCTTTCCCTCCCTCCTTCCCTTTCCTTCCTTCCTTCCTTCTTTCCTTCCTTCCTTCCTTCCTTCCATTTTTATATGTTAGAAGCATTTCTCACATGTCTAATGATCCTTGGCTGTCTGTCCATTTGTGGGAATGAGCCTCTGTCATGTGATCTGGAAGCTGTGTGCAGGTGCACGTGTGTGCCCAAATTCTCACTAGGCTTCACTCTTAGGTGACCCGACAGTATTCTTCTATTAGGGGAATGTCCAAGCTGTTTGTATGTATTGGTCTTTTCTTTAGCTTGGTCAGTTGTTCTCAGAGAGAAATACTGCCTGGGAGCCATTAGCCAGGCCCCCAGCATTCTTGCATTCAACTGGGGAAGGGTACTGTTCTGTGTGTAGACTTTCACTTAGTCCTTCTGTTTCCCGTAAGGAAATCCTATGCTCAGCTGTGACTTGTGTTCTTGTGACCAAAGTCACTCGAATTCAACTTTCCAGAGAATAAATCTCTAGAATTCTACCAGCTTAGTTAGTGATAGTATATTGCCGAACCATGGTGGCTGGAGAAGGAGATCTGTTGTATATAACTGCCATAGAATACACTGTGTATAAAATTTTAACCAATCCATTTGTTTTCAGTTCCCCCACAACCCTACCTCCAGAGGTATCAACTGCTCCATTTCCTAAGCCTTTTAGGGTTCTGTAGTGCAACTATATTTGTTCCCAGACTTTCCCCCACTGCTGGCTTCAGTTTCTGTTTTCTGACTCTGCCTAGAGAGTTATAACTTCTCTACTTGCTTCCAAGTAGAGAATTCCAAGATATTACTGTTATCTTCTCACTTATTCTCTTAATCCTTGTGAGTGAATACTTTTTTTTTTTTGAGATGGAGTCTCACTCTGTTGCCCAGGTGTGAGTGAATACTTTTAAAAAAATTATTTAATTCCCCCTGAAGCAGTGATTTGGAGAGAATAAATGCATCAGTGACAGCATCTGTTACATCTACCCTGTTTAAATAGAAACATCCTTTTTCCTGACTCTTCGGTTGTCCTTTTTATGTTAGGCCTGCTCATTCTTGTTTCTTTTCAGGTTTTCAAAGGAGACTTCCTTAAAGCTCAGCCCTTTGTACTTCCTTCTCTTTGGTGTCTACTTTGAAGACCTCATAAATACAATAATCTTTCTTATGCTACTTCTTTAAAGACTGTATCCTCAATCTTATTTATCATCTAACCCCAAGTTCCATATTTCCATCTGCCCAGTAGCGCAGGGACTAGGGGGAAAGAATTGTGGTCCCAGGTGCAAAGTTTAAGGAGGCCCTCACTCTCAGGGCTGTGCTCCCTGAGACCTTGAGAGTCACCACCTTCTTGAGTTTGGTATCCTGGGCTTCTTACCCTCCCCAGCCCAATGCCAGTCCTGCTGCCTCCTACATAGCCACATTTTGGCTATCACAATGTCACCTCCCACTCATTATGTCTGTATCAGTCCATTCTTGCATTGCTATAAAGAAATACCTGAGACTGGGTAATTTGAAGAAAAGAGGTTAAATTGTGTCATGGTTCTGCGGGCTGTACAAGAAGCATAGCGGCATCTGCTTGGCTTCTGGAGAAGCCTCAGAAAACTTACAATAATGGCAGAAGGTGAAAGGGGAGTGGTCATTTGACATGGCAGGAGCAGGAGCAGGAGAGAGTGCGGAGGTGCCACAGACTTTTAAACAACAAGATCTTGTGAGAATTCACTGACTATTATGAGAACAGCACCAAGAGGATGGTGCTAAACCACTCATGTAGGATCCACTCCCATGATCCAATCACCTCCCACCAGACCCCACCTCCAACACTGGGGATTACAGTTCGACATGAGATTTGGCGGGGATACAGATCCAAACCATGTCAATGTCTAAAACCAACTTCACCAATTTTCTATTCACAATTCTTCCTTTTTTCCCTACCTCTATTTCTGGTTATTTTCAATAGCACTACCATTCTCCCTGTCAGATTCATTTATCACCTTTTCCAGTGTCCTGATATTCCAATTCTAACTTTTACCTATTTTCCCTTTAAAGTATGTCTTGGCTGGGCGCGGTGGCACATGCCTGTAAACCCAGCACTTTGGGAGGCTGAGGTGGGCAGATAACTCAATGTCAGGAGTTTGAGAGCAGCCTGGCCAAAATGGTGAAATCCCGTCTCTACGAAAACCACAAAAATTAGCCACATGTGATAACGCATGCTTGTAGTCCCAGCTACTCAGGAGGCTGAGGTGGGAGAATTGCTGGAACCCAGGAGGCCGAGGTTGCAGTGAGCTGAGGTCGTGCCACTGCAATCCAGCCTGGGCAACAGAGTGAGACCCTGTCTCAAAGAAAAAAAAAGTATGTCTTTTATTTGTTCTGTCCTTTTCATGTTTTTTTTTCTAATTACTTCCAACAGAGATTTTAACTCTGCAAGCCTTGAACAGAGACTTTCCCTGCTTCAAAATTTCCTACACACTGTTTTCATCACCTCCCTCCTAGAAACCTCAGTGTCTACTTCCTCCCCATTCAAATCTACCATGCCTACTAGACTTTCAAAGCCCTCCATTACCCGACTCTACTTCACCTTCAACAAATTCATCTTTCTTTAAGGTTCAATACAAGTCATAACTCCTTCGTGAAGCTTTGAGTCACTATTCATTCCTTCACTGACTAGTCTGTTTAGTTTCCTCCTTTCAGTTCCTCTGGTACTAATTGTTCATTTCACACTTAATTTTACGCTGACTTGTGCTATTCCATGCCTCACGGCCATCTTCCACTCACTGGGCCAGAGCCAAGTCAATCATCTTCCCACTCACAACTCACTTCTCCTTTTCTCACCTATCATTCTAGTTTCTGTCAGGGACACTTCTAATCTCTAAGCCAGATTCATGGATCTCCTTTACCTGCCCCCTGATACTCTGATTTAAAGTTCGATCAATTTTTCCTGTAAAATATGTCTCATGTTTGTATGTCTGCCTCCTTCCCTAGACAGTAAGCATCTGAAAGGCAGGATGCATATGTGAATATGGCTTCTTGCAGAGTTTTAAGCAAATAGCAGGTTTCCAAATTCTCCTTAACAAGTAAGAAAACCTCCTCCAATATTTTACATGATAGTTATCCATGAGAAAGAAGGACTAATTTATCTTCTTATCAAAATATATCATTTCCAAAGAAGAGGATATTGCAGGGTTACCCCAGTCCCACGTGGGAATTATCATTCAGCATGTATTTTTAAAATATTTGTACAATTAGATAAAATGTTTAAAACTGAGTGCCAAAACTGTCTGTAACACTTAAACTTTAGTTATTCAAAATATGTCTCTGGTTACTATGATTATTAAAAGGCTGTGTTTTCCATAAAGGCTTATATAATGTAAGACACCAAGAAACTTTCTAAACATTGCCAACTCAACGTTATAGAATGTACTGACCCCAATAAAGTCTCAATATCCTGTTACCACTTCCCAGCTTCTTTCCCTGTTCCTTCCCTTTTTCCTTGGTGAATGCCTACGGTTTCATCACTAAAAACAAGAAGTTTAAAAACCAAGGAAGAACAAACAACAATCATTATAATTTGCTAATACATTTTCAGTCTTTCCAGAATTCCTGAACAAGTAATTTGTTCAGTTATTCCAACAACAATAAACCTCTGCAAACTATCAAACTACCAGTTATTTGGGAAATGAGAAATTCAATTAGGAAATGGCAAATGGGGTTGAATTAGCACTTCTCTGGGAATATATGGGATCAGAATTTAGGGCAGAATCTCAGAGCTTTTTGGCCTTCATGGACATTTGATGGGGAAGAGTCAACAGATGATGGCTGTTTTCCTAATTGTTCAGGCCTGGACTCCACACTATTTAATTATCCATCTTGGTCTTGCAGTGTTTGTGGTGGTTACCCAGTCGTCATGAGATACCATCTCTACATTCACTCTTTTCTCAGCAGCTTCCTGACTATAATTAACAGGTATTTGCTACTTTTGTCCTTATAGCAAGGCTGCTCCAATTTTATGTGCTTAGGAATCACTGGGATTTTGTAAACATGCAGATTCTGATTGGGTGCTTCTGGGTGGATCTGGAAGGGTGGTTCTGGTTCTGGGTGGGTCTAGAAAGTTGCATTTTGCAAAAGCTCCCACATGAGGCCAATGCTGCTTATCTAAGGAACACACTGGGAATAGTAAGGACTTTGGAATATTCAGAAAAATGTATTCATGTTTCAAAGTATTCTTTTTAAGAATAAAGTGAGGCAGGTTGCCAAGTTTCTGTATGTTGAATTGTTTTTTTTTTTTTTTTTTTTTTTTTTTTTTTTGAGACAGAGCCTGACTCTGTCGCCTAGGCTGGAGGGCAGTGGCATGATATTGGCTCACTGCAATCTCTGCCTCCTGAGTTCAAGCGATTTTCCTGCCTCCCGAGTAGCTGGGATTACAGGTGCCCACCACCACGCCTGGCTAATTTTTTTGTATTTTTAGTAGAGATGGGGTTTCACCATGTTGGCCAGGCTGGTCTCGAACTCCTGACCTCAAGTGATCCACACCCCCGCCCCTCCCCCAGCCTCTCAAAGTGCTGGGATTACAGATGTGAGCCACTGCACTGGCCTGAATTGTCTCGATCTCTTACTGGTAATTATAGGCCCATGATTTTGCCCTTTATTTCCAACTTCTAGTGGTCTAGGGGGTGCCTTGTCTCATATTGGAGAAGGCTGGCATTGCAGACAGGCAAGTTTTCTTTGAACTCACTGGGTCAGCAGCTGATCAGGGCTCTCAGGAAGCCAAGGAAGTGATTCTCAGCCCCTTCAGATCCTGCTCATTTGGGGATTTGGGGTATTTCTAATGCCATCCACCTCTGAGTAATTGGATCTTTATTTTTAAGAGTGCTGCTCTGAAGTACTTAGCTTTGAAGAATATTCAAGGGTCCCACTACTGGCCAGGAGGGCTGCATGTGGACTGCAGGACTCTCTGATTTATGGGGCTTCTCTTTTCCCTGTTCAGCAGGGAGTCACTTGCCAGATACTGAAACAGAAATATGACTCTTGGTGGTGATAAACATTCAGAGAAGAGGGCATGAAATGTGACTGAGCAAGGAACTGAAGAAGAAAATAACATTTTATTAATTGCACTACAGTCAGCCTCTATCTCCATGAGATTGTATGGGGGCCCTTCTTTTGGGTGGTAGATAGAAAAATATGAAGCTATGCATCACCAAGCACTGGTCAAGCAGGAGATTTTCACAATGGCTGCTTTTTGCCTGCTGTTTCAGAAGGGTTGATTCATTTTAAGATACAGATAAGATGGAGATATCTCCCTTTACAAGTGAATTTTATTTTGTTTTGTTCTTTCTTTTTCTAGGACCAGGTTGAGTAGCCTTGTGCTGGAGTTGAAAGACATTTTATCTGAACTGATATTTGTCTATATCAAAAAGGATATAGACAAACTTCTCTATTTTTAGTTTGCTAAATTTTTGTCACAAATGGGTACTGAATTTTGTCGAATGCTTTTTTTTTTTAACATAAATTGATAAGATCATGTGGTTTTTCTTCTTTAGCTGGTCAATTTGTTGGATTACATTGTTTGATTTTTGAATAATGAACTAGCCTTATATACTTGGAATAAATCTCACCTCGTTGTGATATATAATTTAAAAAATATGTTGCTGGATTCAATTTGCTAAAATTTTGTTGATTTTATGTCTAAGTTCATGAGAGATTTTTATCCATAGGTTGCTTTTTTTTGTGCTATTTGTTTGCTTTTTGTATTAGGGTAATGTTGGTCTCATAAAATGAGGTGTTCCCTCCTTTTCTATTCTCTGAAAAAGATGATATAAAATTAATGCTAATTTTTAAAATGTAAGGTAGAATTCTCCAATGAAACTATCCAGGCCCAGGAATTTCTTTTCTGGAAACTCTTAAATTACACATGCTATTCCTTTAATGGTTATAGGACAATTCAGATTTTTATTTCATCTTGGTTGAGATTTGGTAGTTTGTTATTTTCCAGGATTTGGTCTATTTCTTCTAAGTTGTCAAATTATGAATGTAAAGTTGTTTGTAGTATCCCCTTTTTATCTGTATTGAAACCCTCTGCAGGAACTATACTGAAATCTCTTATTTTATTCCTGAGATAGGTGATTTGTGTCTTCCCTTTGTCCTTGTTAGTCTTGCTAGAAGTTAATCAACTTTATTGCTTTTTTTTTAAAAAAAAGAAACAGCTGTTTGTTTATTGATTTGCTCTATTGTTTTCCTGTTTTCAATTTCAATGGTTTCTTGTCTTTTCTTTATTGTTTCCTTCCTTCTGCTTGGTTTGGGTTTATTTTGACCCTTTTCTGTGTTTTGTTTTGTTTTAGGCTAGTCAAGTGGAGCAGTGAGAGTGGAGAACTTTTTCTGTTTTTTTAAGGTAGGAACTTAGATTATTGATTCGAGACTTTTCTATTTTCTAATACAAACATGTTTCCTTCTCAGCACTGCTTTATTTGCATTCCACAGATTTATTATGTCGTATTTTCACTTTCAATTTAGTTCTATGAATTTTTAAAAATTCTTTTGAGATTTTTCTCTTGCACTATAGATTATTTGGACAGTGTTGTCTTATTTTCAAGTGTTTGGAGATTTAGCTGTTGTCTTTCTATTGTTAGTTTCCAATTTGATTTCATGATTGTCATAGAACATATATCATTTCAATTTTTATGAATTTGTTGAGGTTTGTGTTATGACCCAGCATGTTGGTCCACCTTGGCCTATGTTCCACAGCCTTCTGAAAAGAATGTGATCCTGCTGCTGTTGATAGAAATATCATTTAGATCCTCTTGGTTCATAGTGTTCTTCTGTTCTCCTATATCTTCGCTAATTTTCTGTCTAGTGATTTTATCAGTCACTGAGGGGGTGATGAAGTCTCTAACTGTAATTGTGGCAATATGTGTTCGAACAAGACTTCCAGGTGGTTTTGATTATGCTGAAGTTTGGGAACAAGTGCCTTTAACTATTTGCAAATTTCAACATTATGAAAGGAATCCCCTTCAATATTGAGAAAACATGACTTTTTTGGTGAAGTTGAAACTCCCTAGCTTAGGTTCTTTTCTTCCAATTCATCCTTCTGATCATTAGGTACCTTTAATAAAGAAAATTCCAATTATATCACTCCCAGGGACACATTTAATGACTCTCTGCTGCCATCGAGTTAAGCCTAACTATCTTAGCTTGAATGGTCTAGCCTCCTCTCCAGCACTGGAATTTGCTACCATCCTGTATGGGTTCTGCTCTCTACCAGACTGGACAAGTCATAATGTCTCACATCCACACCGTGCCTTCTTTCCCCTGGGTTTTCTTCATGCATTTTTTTTTACTGAAATGTCTTCCCTCCATATGTATTTTTTCCTGTCTTTCTATTTCAAATAATACCTTCTGATCAGGAGTTTTCTTAATATCTGAACAATATAGAATTTCTCCCTTCTCTGAGTCTCCATGGCAGTTTTTGTCTTTCTTTCCCATTTCTTTTTTACATGTTTCTTCTTTAGAGTTATTTGGGATTTTATCTTCTCTCTCCTGCTAGATTGCAATTTTATTGAAGCCGCGGACTCCATCTTTGTATTTCCAGCAGCACATCACATGGTTTCTTAAAATATTTTAAAATATTTGTTGAATTAAATTTTCTGGACAATTAATGATACTTAATGTGCCATTGCTTTGTTCCTATAAAATTAAAGAAGATTTCTAAAGTGAGTAAAGACAGTGTCCCCTTTCAAGGATCCTGGAAGTAAACTATTTTTCTTTTTTAATGAAAGAGCATTCATTAGGAATTTACGGTGTTTCTAAAGTGGCCTTTACATATATTTTAAGCCCTTTTTAAAGTAATGGTACTGCAGTAAAATACATAGCAATATAAATGTAATTGCCAATGCTCATAGTGATTCTAATGTCTAAGTGTAAATGATCTCTACCCTCCTCTTTTTTATCCCCTCTACCACTCTCATGGGCTGTGTCTTAGTCCATTTTGTGCCACTATAACAGAAAACCTAAGACTGAGTAATTTATAAAGAATAGAGGTTATTTCTTACGGTTCTGGAGGCTGGATAGTCCAAGATTAAGCGACTCACACCTGGTGAGGGTCTTTTTTCTCATCATTCCGCGATGAAAGGTGGAAGACAAAGGGGAGGGGAAGGAGGAGGAGAGAGAAGGAGCCTGAACTCATCTTTTTATCAGGAATCCACTCCTGCAAAAACTAATACACTCCTCATAAGTGGGCATTAGTCCATTCATAAGGACAGAGCCCTCATGACCTAATCACCTCTTAAAGGTTCTACCTTTCAACACCATTTCATAGAAGACTAAGTTTCCAACACATGAACTTTGGGAGACACAGTCACACTATCGCAGGTTGTTTCCAATAATCTATTCCTTGGACTATTGCCATGTTTCCTAAACCTGCCTGGTTATAAGGATAGCCTAGAGAGCTCACTAAAATACAGATTCCTTGGCCCCACCCAAGATCTCCAAAGAAAAATCTGGGAATTTATATTTTTAGCAAGCATCCCCTGTGATTCCAGTTTTCAGGCCATGCCTTCTAATAGTTTCAATTTCTCACCTCTCCAATCCATGATTTGTCTGTCATGTTACTTAACCATCAATTTTATTGCAAACTACTTTCATCAAGTATTTGCAGTTTGTAATTGAGATGATAGTGTCTCTGAATGCTTGATTTTCTAAATGAAAGGGACTTTCATGGTGGTCTGGTTAGGAATCATGGAATGCTTAGTTTCCTCAATAGAAGCACAAAATATATTATTATTTTCCCCTAACCAGAATACATTGTTGGATATTACAAGAACAAAAGAAAAAATCTTTTCACAGTATAATATGGAAACATTGCAGAAAGCAATATGAAACCATCTTACCTGTGCTTTAGGGCAAACTATGTTACACTGTGTATATCTTAGCTTGAGTGGTATAGCCTCTGAAGTATAATACCATAGGTATTATACTAAAGAACTGATACAAAAGCATTTCAGGATGTCCTGAGAATGTGTTGGATAGAATAACTCAATCCATTTGGTGCTCTATAGTATAAAAAACTAGGTAATTGCAAATGGGATGAAATAAATTTACTCCTAAGGTGATATAATGTCTACTAATGTTACCATGCGATTGCCAGGTAGCAACTTTGAGTGTCATAAAACAGAAGAGCAACATTGCTATCTTGGCTTTAGAGTCAAAAGGGATTTTAGAAAGTATATCATTTAATCCTATTGGTTATAGACAATAAAATGGTGGATATTTGAACAATTATATCAGGACAGACACTGTTGTAAATGTTTTACATGTACAGCATCATTTCATCTCACTGCCTCTGAGTTAGGTTACTATTGTTGTTTACATATAGGAAAACAGAGCAACAGAGAGGTTAAGTCACTTGCCCCAAAGCACACAGCTAATGAGCAGTAGATTGGAGTCAAGGTAGTCCTACTCCAGTCTGCTCTCTTAATTGCTATTCTCTTCTGAGGAAATAAGCCACAAATGTACTAAGGCAAATCCCTTTCCCCCAATAAGGGCAAAGCACAGCTTTCTTGGCTGTGACCAGTGTCCTTTCTACCTCACCAGGCTAAGTAAAAACGTATCAGACAAATTGCCATGTCTTTGAGACCCCTTACTGTCATCAGTTGGAATATGCTGCATCTCATAGCTACAGCTATGTAAATACTGGAAGGTAAATACTTTCACTAATAGTAACAGCAAGATTTTCTAAAGTTTGCCTTAATTTCAAGTCTACAATTTTTCCATTCATAGACAGATAATTATCTTACTGCCACCATTACATTAATTAAAATGTAAGAACATTATAAATAACCAAAACAAATATTACCACTTAAGAGTTACTTTGCTTTCATATGCATGTGTTATGGGCTAATTTGGGTCTTCTCCCAAATTCCAACATTGAAGTCCTAACCCTCACTACCTCAGAATGTGACTGTATTTGGACACAGGGTCTTTACAGAAGTAATTAAGGTAAAATGAAGTCCTATGGGTGTGTCCTAATCCAATATGACTGGTATCTAATACAAAGAGATTAAAATACAAATAACACAGACAGAGACCATGTCAGGACACAACAAGAAGGTGGCCGTCTGCAAGCCAAGGAAAGAGACCTCAGAGGAAACCAACTTTGTCTATACCTTGATCTTGGACTTCCAGCCTCCAGATATGTGAAATGATACATTTCTGTTTCAGCCACCCAGTCTGTGGTATTTTGTTATGGCAGCCCTAATAAACTAATACAGCGTAATTGTCAGAGCTTATATAATCTTGGGAATATTGATACTTGAGAAAGCACTTTGGTCATTAAGGGGATTCTTTTTTTTTTTAAATTAAATTAAATTAAGTTCTGGGATACATGTGCAAGACATGCAGATTTGTTACATAGGTAAACGTGTACCACGGTGGTTTGCTGCACCTATCAACCTATCACCTAGGTATTATGCCCCACATGCATTAGCTATGTATCCTGATGCTTTCCCTTCCCTGCCCAAGGGGATTCTTTATTTACTTTGCATAGAGCAATCAGCAAATTAAATATTTGCTTTGAATACAGCAATTAACAAAAAGAATTGTCTAGTTCAGGATATGTTGCCCCTCTCTGTGAACATATTTTCCTTCATCGGTAAGTTTAATTTGAATTTCTTCGTAAGGGCCCCAGAAATCATTCCTCATTTTTGCTCATCCCTTCAATCAGCAACTTTCTCAAATCCTGTAACACTGACCATTCTCCTGGCTTTTCATGTCTTTAACCAAGGCTCTAGTTTGAGGTAGACAGCCTGGTAACTAAGTAGGGCAGGGAGTTCTGGCTTAGCAATTGTTCTGTGGCTTGGTCAGTAGTTAAGCCCTTTTAGTAGTTGGCCATCTTGGGGAAAATTTCTGTTCTTCAATACCCGGTGAAGATTAAAAAAAAAGAGAGACAAATATGCTTTCGGAAAGTAGGGCTTTGGAAAGTAAGTTCTGGCAATTATAAGGAGCATTAAGGAAATTGTACTTATTTCCCCCAGGCTCCCACAGGAAGGACTATGGCAAAAGTTCTTGGGAAAAAGATGTGTAGAAAGGTCATCTTTCTGTCTGGAGCTTTCAAACTTAAGATGTTATTAGCAAGTACATGTTATTCGCTAGTTTATTTGAAAAGTATTCAATACAAGCCCTTATACCTCTTCTTCCAAACTCAAAGGAACGTTAAAAACTTTTATGCTGTTTCTTTTGTTTAGGTCTTTTGCAAAACAGCATGAGAAAGATCATTCTTTTTCTTCTAGAATGAAATGTCTGTATGGGTGAAAGGAAGGAGTTTGGATACCCTAAACTTTTCTCAGTTTTGTCATAAATATCAGTACATAAGATAAAACCAATGCCATCAAACACACACCACCAGAACATTCCTCAAGCAGAGTTAGACTGGGGCAAAATGCTCACTGTAAATTTTGATAGCACATAAAAGACTTTAATGTCTCTAGGTCCACAAAGCACCAAGAAGTGGCAAAAATGACAATTGTAATGGAAAAAGAAAAACACAATTCTGTCACGTTCCAGAATTTTAAATTATGTCAGGTTTTAGATGCATTTTGGTAGCTTTACATCCATAAAGTTCTAGGAAGTAGTAAAAACAAGAACAGTTTTTAAAAATTCTGACACGTCCCAGAAAGTTCTAATTGTGTCAGATTTTAAATAATTTTTTTTCTTTCACAGATAACATATATTTCACAAACATACACATGATTCACTAGATGTTTATGATCATATTTTGGTGGGATGGAGGCCTGAGAAGCAAATCACATGAATATCTTTAAGCATATTACTGTAGTTACCGACTTCTGGGAACATGAACTGAGGTATTACTCATGATGCAAAAGTAACATGACTTTCCTGTTTTTGCTGCTAGTTTCCTATTAAACAATTGCTGCTGGCAGCCATAATAATGTTGTGAACATAAAGCTTTCTTCGTCTAACATTCCTGACAAGTGCTTGATTGTCCAGAAAAAGCCATCTGTATGTATCTGAAATCTTGTAGGATGCTATGTGTCACTATTTTTTCACAAAGAAATGTCTGCATCGGGGTGTAGGTGGTCTCTAATGCATTTCTTTAAGTGTTGATTTCTTTATAGCCAGTCACAAGCAGATGCCCCAAATGAGTAAACCAGTATTGAATCCTTGAACCACCAGTCCTATTAGCCATGGGGTGGATGAGCTTCCAAGTACAAAGGAGAGGGCAAAAGTGGGATCCTTTCTTCCTCAGACTCAATAATTCTCTTGAAGTGGTGGTTTAACAGGTGGAAAATGATGTGAAACTTTAAGAACAACAAGTCAAATGCATGGCGAGGCTCCAGGGATTTGTAAAGGGATATGGACGTTTCTAGTGCAGATTACCAGGTCATCAGTTCAAATGCAGCTGTGCTTAGCTATCACTAAACATGGTTATGCATGATGACTGCCTGGGTCTGTTGTGAAGTGGGGTGGTGCTCTTGGTTCCCTAGTAGACAGCTGGGGAGCTGAAAACCCAGCTAAGAGGACCACGATTTCAATTGGCACTCATGGAAATTTGAACTCACCAGGAGACCCAGGCTTGCTGAACCCTCAACTCTCTACCTTCTTAAAGCATCTCCTGGGCTCTGCAAGCTCAGGACGTGTGCTGAAATAAAGCACATCCTGTGACTGTGTGAATGGCATTAATTCTGTCAGCCCAGAGAAAATCTTTCATGCATGGATCCAGCTGGCCGGTAATCGAGCCGGTGAATAGAGGACTTGGCTTCCCAGTTTGACTTCTTGTCTCTGAAAAAGTCACACAGTTCTGAATTTCCTCCAGGCCCCTGTCTCACCCCAAAGTGCCAAGAGGTGTCCCAGGAATTACCTCCAAGAGTGTCATGGTGCAGTCCTTGGATGCGGCTCAGTTGCAGTAGGATTTGTGTAAATGTATATACCATGTTCACAGAATCTCCAATTCTGTCACACATTTTTTAGGACTATGACTGTGTTGGAACCCAGGAGCCAGGGCTCAGCTTCCCATGAAATAACGAACAGTTTTTAAAAGACAGGAAAGTAATCACATCTTTGGTAGTCAGGTTAGGATTATGCTATTCAAGCCAGCTCTGCGCAGAGACAATAGCAGCTGCTGGGTTCCCTGTAGTTGGAGAAACAGACAAGCGGAATGCTGTCTTTCTATGATCCCCATGCCTGCTCTGACATCCATCCCAGACCAAAGAGTCTAGGGGCTGGCAGAGGCAGCTGTGGCTAGGCAGAAAGAGCAACAGTTTGGGGTTTTAGAACATTGAGTTACAGTCTTTGATCTGCCAAGAATAATCCTGGCTAGTCCCATAGCCTCTTTAGAACCTCAGTTCCCCCATCTATAGCCTTTCTATTGCACTAGAAAGGCTTCTGATGTGGTTTCCAACATGCTATTTTAAAAACAATTTGAATCCTTCAGAAGACAGGGCTATAAAAATAGAAGTAATTATGACCTAAGCCACCAATAGTAATTAAATTAAATAGGCTCATAGTGAATGAACAAAAATTTATTTGTTGTGTAGAAACCTGAGGATGTGTTTATAAAGTTTAAAAAGCAAAACCCATACTGGCATTTAAATAAAGATTGCTCTGTAAAACGTGTGCATGTGACAAAGACTGCACAGAAAACGGTGAAAGTGGCCATGTGAGTGGGAGAAACACAGGTGTGGTTTTTATTTTATATAAATTTGTTCTAACATTTTATTTGTTGCACCCATTATTTTTTTCAACAACTAAAAACAAACTTCCAAAGTGCTTTTATCTTTAAATTTACTTTATGGAGGTAGTCACACTGCCTTTAGAAAAACTTTATTAGACTGCACTTACTACATTATCTAGAAAATAACACATTTATATGCCTATAGATTCATCTGCCCCCCAAAACCACACAAAACAAAAAATATAGATGTCTGGTTTTGTCTTTCTCTATAAATAAAAGGAGGCAGAGACAGTAAATATAGAAAGGTGGCATGTTACATTACCATAACACACCAGAAACCCAAGGTGAGGATAAAAGTGCTATTTATCAACCCACTGAGAGCTATGATTCTGTGGATTTTCATGTCTTCAGTGTTACTGGAGCTTAGATAATTCCAGAATTTTATTCTTTATCTTAGAACTTCATCTTTGGAAAGCTTTTTAGTAAAACTAGGAGGTAGAGTAAAGAAGGTATGAGCCTGATGGGGAACAAAGATAAATGAGTGAAACATGTGGAGTATCCATACTCCAAATAGAAACAGAAGGCAGGGGAAATTTCAAATTCAAAGGGAATACTAAGTGTCAAGATACTCATCACTTCCACATTCATGTACTTGTTTGCAACCCTAGCTCAGGCAACACCACCTGATTTCTGTTTAGTATCTTTCCAAAAACACCATTCCAGGTCAGGAATTCATTTGTCTCATTTTAAAATAGAAATTTAGTAGAAAATAAAATAGAAGTAGACAATATTAATATTATATTTCTTTTCATCTTGAGTATATTTCTTATTCTCTCTGTGTTTCTGTTACCTCTTAAATACATATCCATGTATTTATTATTAGGTATCTGTCTTTGTAGATAACATAACAAAGGTTTGTTAGCATTAAAATAAATCGGATATTATTTAGGGTGAAGAATACAGCATTTCTCTCTTTTAATTCAAAAATTTTCAAAAAACAGTCTGGGTTTCTAAGAGAAGTATGACGAACATTTTCTGACACTTAGCCTATTCTAGGCTCTGAGCTATGTGCTTTAAATGTTTTATACCATTACCCCTCATACCAACTATCAGAGATAGAGGTTGTTCTCAGTTTACAGGTGAGATGACTTGCTCAAGGTCTTGGAGCAGGGAGTTAAGCTACACCTGACATGGGAAACAGGTTAAAATTTTATACTGTACAGTTTGTGAGAAAAGAGTAGCTTTCTTTGTTTGGTTTTTCTTTTTTTATTACACTTTTTTCTATTTTTTATTATACTTTAAGTTCTGGGATACATGTGCAGAACATGCAGGTTTGTTACATAGGTATACACGTGCCATGGTGGTTTGCTGCACCCATCAACCCATCATCTATGTTAGGTATTTCTCCTAATGCTATCCCTCCCCTAACCCCCCACCCCCTGACAGGCCTTGGTGTGTGATGTTCCCCTCCCTGTGTCCATGTGTTCTCATTGTTCAACTCCCACTTATGAGTGAGAACAAGCGGTGTTTGGCTTTCTGTTCTTGTGTTAGTTTGCTGAGAATGATGGTTTCCAGCTTCATCCATGTCCCTACAAAGGACATGAACTCATCCTTTTTATGGCTGCTTAGTATTCCATGGTGTATATGGGCCACATTTTCTTTATCCCTTCTATCATCGATGGGCATTTGGGTTGGTTCCAAGTATTTGCTATTGTGAATAGTGCTGCAATAAACATATGTGTGCGCATGTGTCTTCATAGTAGAATGATTTATAATCCTTTGGGTATATACCCAGTAATGGGATTGCTGGGTCAAATGGTATTTCTGGATCAAGATCCTTGAGGAATTGCCACACTGTCTTCCACAATGATTGAACTAATTTACATTCCCACCAACAATGTAAAAGCATTCTTATTTCTCCACATCCTCTCCAGCATCTGTTGTTTCCTGACTTTGAGTGAACAGGCAACCTACAGAATGGGAGAAAATTTTGGCAATGTATCCATATGACAAAGGGCTAATATCCAGAATCTATAAGGAATTAAACAAATTTACAAGAAAAAACAAACAACCCCATCAAAAAGTGGGCAAAGGATATGAACAGACACTTCTCAAAAGAAGACATTTATGCTGCCAACAAACATATGAAAAAAAGCTCATCATCACTGGTCATTAGAGAAATGCGAATCAAAACCACAATGAGATACCATCTCACCCAGTTAGAATGGCTTTCTTTGTTTTTTAAAAAAGATCTTGCCCTTAAGACACCACACCACTGATGCTGGAAGAAAAGTGCATATTTGTCAATTAAGGAAACGTGAAAGAGAATGAGTTAGACTGGAAAAGAGGCCTTGAAATGCAAAGAGATAAAGAGAGATAAAGGTATCTCGGCACATCAGACTTACGCATAACAAAGTAGGTTATAGGTTTTGCACATCTGAGTCCTAGTGTATGAATTCTGGCTTGGCACGCAGGAAATTGTGGGTGGATATTGTGACGGGGCTTCTGTGGAGAGAGTGTCCCTACTCTCCTCTACCCACCCAGCTTCAGCCTGGGTTGCCTCCTCAATGTCAGAGACTCCAATAGCACCCCGTGCTTCTCATTTGCAGAACCCCTTGCCCTTCCGATTACTTTTTTTACATCCATCTCCCCAGCCAGGTCAGAGGCTCTAGGTGTGCTGTGACCATCTCCACTCATCACCATGGAACACCTGGCATACGGGGCCTCAGGCAAAGCTGCTAGTGGAGGCCTTGGGCCACCCCCTTCTCTCTTCCCACACTGGACACCCCAGTTTCATACTCAAGCTCCATCCTCTTCCACTTAACCACAGCTGGTCCTGTGCCTCCTCCTTGAAGCCATTTGGACAGGGAATTCTGGGGTCTTGGGTACCTGGAGCAGGGCCTAGAAATGGAGGAATGTGACCAGGGCAAACAGTGTATATTGTGGGGCCCAGGGCAGAGGCCCTGATTGCCTGAGTCTACAGGCAATGTTGCCAGCATTCCAGAAACACTGTTGTGCATGTGACGAACATTAATAAACTGCAGCACTGCTACAGAGAAATAACATGAAGCCAACTCAGAGGGCCCTGAACAGCAGGAAGCGGTGTACAGGCTTTGCCGGAAGAGAGGGCAGGTCTGAGGGGCAGCAATGGTAGAGCCTGAATGAAACACTCACTGTAGCTTACCATACTCTAGCTATTATTTTTCCATTACTTTTCTATAACTTTTAAGGGCAGAGAATGTTCCTTTTCATTGCAGAGGAAGTTCCATTTACTTGGATGTTTACTAAAGGATAATCTCAAGCTTCCCAGTAATGACTCAAACAAATAGAATTTGGACATTCTGAGAATAACCTAGACCCTCAGATTTTTTCCCAATCTGTCACTAGTAGTTTGTACACCCACACAGCATGCCTAACACGTTTCTGATAATGTATTTAAGGTTCAGAGTGAAATTTCATACTCTGTGAAATTTAAAAGCAAGGTAAATTCTTGTTTATACAGCAGTGCCTATAGGGTAGAGATCAATGAAATGGGGACATCTGAATGAAACAAATATAAAACCCAAACAGAAATTTTTACTGTATGAAAACAAAACCATCTTTTCTATAGCTAGACCAATGCTATATGTCAGGATGATTTTGAAGTTAAAGTTTAGGGCTAACAGGAAGTGAGAGCATGAGGTGCTGAGAGAATTCTTGTGAAGCAGTAGAGAAAGTTCCTGGGAATGAACCAGAATACCATTTGTTTTCCTCCATTGTTTTATTTTAAGAATAATTCTGAGAGATTCAGAATGTGCTTCATTTATAGAAGGAGAAAAAAACAAGGGAATATATATTCAGTAGACAGGAACTCCATTTAAAAAAGAATTGACAATTACTTAGAAGTCAGGAAACCAATTTTCAAATCAATACCTTGTTTGAGAAGGATAACGTGATGTAGTGTCAAAGTAGGAAGCATTATCAAAGCTGCATTTACTTTGCATCAGTTTTTAAGCAGTCCGAGTCAATGCGGAAACATCTGAGAAAGGAAGGTCAGACAAAAAGGAGTTACAATCTGAACTAAATCTTTATGCTGTCTTAGCCAAACCTTACCATACAGGACAAAGCCAAAAATCAAGTTTGAGTTGCGTTTATAACTCACATTTGCTTAGTTGTAGCCTAACTGCCAAAGAACATCTCCATCCAAGCCCTACCCCTGCCCCTGGAATAAACAGCATAACTACAAACAGGAACAGCCGCAGAATTGGGTCCCTTGTGTCCCACTCAGATTCTTGGTGGCATTGCAAAACACAATTTGAATATTATTAAAGGGGACATAGACAACAAAAGGAGGTTTAAAGTAAATTACATGAAATGAGTTTTTATCATCTCTGCTTTATTTGGTATGTGAGAAATTCAATGCCATCTACATATGTACATCACTGAAGAATAATTTCAGCGTAACCAGCTGAAGGAGCAGAAATATCTTTAATTTGTGGAATGATTAATCATGATTTGCATATCATTATCAAATCAAGAAAGTGCTCAGTAAAGTGCACTCTAAGACAAAGTAAAGACATAGACTGCTGGAACGGAATGATGAAGGAACCAAATTTGTTTTTTCAATATTTGGCACAAAGCCTTTTCCCATTCGTTTTAAATTACTAGGAAAAGTAAACGTTTTGGTAAATGCTTCAGAGAGATTTATAGGGGACCCTAAATGCAGTCTACTTGGTGACTGACTCAATTTTAATTCCTTTGGTTCTTGGTTGCAGAAAGGGCAACATTGTTACCACTTGCCTGGTCAAAGGTTACACTTCCTGCCCTCCATCAACCTGGCTGGGACATGTGAGTATTTTTAGATACTACGCAGGTCACCTTCCAAGGGGAATCACTCAGGCTAACCATCTGATTAAGAGGCTTTTGTAATGAATACTGCGGCCAGGTATGCAATTAGCACAGCACTAGCTCTCCCTTGTTTAATGAAATGCATACTAGGTGCACATTCATGGAAGAGCTAAGTAAACAGCCAAATAGTCATTCTTTCTTTTCAAAACTTTTAACTACTATTTTAATTGCATTTTTTTATATATATAATACAAAGTTTTCTGTTCACATCCCAGGGAATTTGGAAATTCAGAGTGCCAGATTTGGGTTGTTGTTTCTCCTAAGAGGCTTCCACAGGCGCAGCTTGAGTCATTCGCTTTCAGCTCAATGTTAATACCCATGGCCATGCATGGGTGCTCTTCCCCTATGATCTCTGTTAATGGAGAACCCTTACTGAGTGCTTACAGGAGCCAAGCACTGTCTTAGGCTCTTGACTTGCTTAAGACGATCATTCTTTCTTTCTCACAGACAAGGAAACTGAAGCCAGACAGCTGAGAGCCTGTGCCCTCACCTGGGACCCAGATCAACAAGACTGGGCCAGAGCAAAAATAGTGAAGACTTCTGAAGTTGTCCTGGGTTCTCCAATATCCCCTCTCTGTTTTCCCTGTAGTAGTGTCCCTCTCCTCGCCCTCAGACACTAAAATGCTGGACTCTAACCACCATCCCAACTCAAAGCAGAGATTTGCCACCTTAATTTCCTCAGCTCAGGATGGGCACTGTTGTGGTACCACCCATGGGTGTTAACTTGTTAGCTTGGCCAATCTAGCCTCACATCCTCTGACTCTAGGGATCATTTCAGGGTGTGTGCATGACCCACAATAGTCCAATCAGAGTTGAGCTAGGTCCTGGCGACAACTGTAAGGCCCAGTCTGGCTGGATCTGCAGCTGGTTCTACCCGTGGTCCTCTCAGCTATGTGACCTGATGAATTCCCTTTTTCCTGAAGTAGTTTAGATTGAGTTTTCTGACATTTGTCTCAGAAAGGAGTCCTTGTATCAGAAAATAAAAATGTTGCCCAGTGGCAGCGAGAAGCCACTGTGATCCTTCAAAGAAGCAGAGGGGTGGGGTGGGTGTTGTGACAGATGAGGGTGAGGGGAAAGAGACTTAACACTGAAAAGCTACAACTTCGACATTTATTTTATCATTTAATGCCCCCAGTGATCTTGTAAAGAAGGTGACATTCTCTCTAGTTCACAGATGAGGAAACTGAGGCCCAGGAAGATTCAGTAATGTCACTCATTTCACAGTTTATAAGTGGCTGATTTGGCCTTCAAACTGGGCCCACCTGGCCCCAAAGGCCACAAGTGACTTTCTGCCACTCAGTGCTGCTCCAGAGAGTGCTGTGTAAGATGGAGCACCTGGGCAGTGAAATTCTCCAAGGCACTGTACGTTTGATGTGCCATCTTCAAAGTACTCAACGTGTCATCTCATTTGCTGGGTGTCGTGGATGAGGTGGGTGAATATGATGGGTAGATGTTATATTCACTTCTTGGAGATGAGCTCCTGTCATGAGAGTGGATAAGATTTGGGCTAACACTTTGGTTGTAAAGATTGAGAGGAAGGAAACAAATATGAAAATGTGATGCATTCAAAGTAGTAATGTTTTGCTGTAAGAGGACTCACAGAAGACAACGTGGACTTAACATGGCTCTTGGATTTTTTTGTTTTTGGTCTGGGAGGAGTCTGAAATGCGACAGTTGCCTGGTAATGAGTATGAGGGCACTAGGTTGAGGAAGGAAGAGGACATTTTCTCTTTCTTTCCCCCCGCTTTTTTTTTTTTTTTTGAGACAGAGTCTCGCTCTGTCACCCAGGCTGGAGTGCAGTGGAGTGATCTCGGCTCACTGCAAGCTCTGCCTCGTGGGGTCAAGCGATTCTCCTCCCTCAGCCTCCCGAGTAGCTGGGATTACAGATGCCTGCCACCATGCCTGGCTAATTTTTGTATTTTTATTAGAGACGGGGTTTCACCATGTTGGCCAGGCTGGTCTCATTTTTCACATTTAATTGACGGCAAGGCAAATATTTAACATTTTAAATGTTGTACTGTGAGTACAGTTCTGTACCAGGTGCTTTGAGAATATTAAAGAGAATTTTGTTGAGGAAGCCAAAATATACAGAACCAAGGAGCAATTAAATAGCAAGACATGAACAAGAGAAGATAAAAACACATGTATGCATATGTTTGGAGTACACCAAGGGTAACAGGAGGGATCATGAGTTAAGTGGGGCTGGCCAAACGCAACTTTTTGTATCTCTTGAGTTTTAAGCTGAGATCCTGAGAATTAACCTCATCAGTAGAAGTGGGCAGGAAAGATATCTTTTATTATAGTAGGAGCAAATTTAGGTGGCCTTTTATTCTACTGAGCAAAAGAAAGTCGTAGCTGGGTCTCTGGAGAAGGGGATGCTGGAAACTAGGGTTTGAGCCAGATTTCCACTGTGCCTGTCTGAAGAGCAGACAGGGAAAGGCAGCCTATCATGAGGTTGCTATTAAAGTCCTGGAATGACACTGGGAGGCTTTACCTAGAATGGCAGCTGGGAAAACATGGAAAAGGTGAATCCAAACAAATAGGGATTTGGGCAACTGTCCTTTCTGGCTCAGTTGCTCAAGGAAAGTGTACACCATTGGGAAGTAAATCAGACTGGGTCTTATTCATCTTCCCTTAGTGTCTGGCACTCCGGGGATATTGATATGTGTTTACTAAATGAACAAGTGAATGAATGAATGAATAAGACTGACTCAACTGGGAGGGTACCTTAGAAGCAGGAGCAAGATAATAGCTATTGATCAATGGCTGGAAGTTACGAAGAGTTCAAAAAGATTCAGAATGGAGTAGGGCCATTTTTCTTTACAGAAGTGAAGAAGTCATTAACTGGATGGGAATTGTGGTTTCTTTTGCGGTGGGGCAGGTGGAAATTATGCTGGAAAGGATGGATCTCTTTGGCTCATTTACATGGCCTGGTTACACCAGGTCTTCAACTTCCACACCAATCAATATTTATATCCTTAATGCTCCCTGGCTTCCCTTCTCACAGAGGTAAGACACATCAGGATTTGAATTCCAGGTACTTTGCTCTCTGTAGACATATTTGCTTTGGTATGAGAATTATCTTGCTTGACATACCTTAGTATTCTTTACCTCTGCTCAGCGGTTTCAGTAGTTTTTTTTTCCCCCAAACCTGTTTATAGGGTTTTGCAGACCTGCCTTCTCTCTTAAAGGGACATTTCTGTTTCCTCCAAACATTTTCTAAAACACCTGAACAAACCAATTAAAAGAAAAAGTCATCTTGTAGTTTATAATGGTATTTGTGACTTTATAGGCAGTGAAATCTCTTCCTATATACATCCTAAATTAACAGAGTCTGCCCTTCATCTTTCCTTGTTTCTCTCAGGGCAGGAAATTGTTCTGGTAAATGGAGTCCCTCCCCCACGAATGCCTGGGATGGCCAGAGCCACAGAGTCCTCTGATTGTGCCCCAGGTTGATGGTTCTGTGTGCAGGGGGTCTGCATTGCTCCAGTGATCCCATGAAATGGAATTCTTTCCCCAAGCTGGAGCCCCTAAATTTACCTCTTTCTTCCTGCATTCCCTCAGAGATAGAGAATCCGAGTTAATCCCTTCAGGATTCTTATGGTTTTAACTCTTGCCTCTTCTGCTGCTGTCCTCCACTTAAATACCCGAAGCGAATTCCCTAAGCTTATTCCAGCATTGATCCTTATTTTCTTGTATAAAGGGAGAACTGCATTAAAGGTAGAGTTTCTTTAAGTGAGATTCTTATGCAATTATATATTTTTTTCTGTATTTAATGGTTGACTGTTATTCTCTTACAATGTCAAATCCTTTCTAACCTTGCTTTTCAAAACAAGCTTTGCTTTCTATTTCTTATAACTTGCTTTGGGGGAAAGAACTTTCACAGCATTTAGAGGAAAGGATGCTTAGACTAGGAGTGAAAATACCAGGTTTTCCTTTTCCCTTGTCTCTTGGGGAATAAAACATCTTCACACAGGCACACTGTCAGGTGCTGCCAACAAACAGCTACTTCTATAAATCAGTTTATTAGGCCTTTAATTTCTGTGACATTTATCTTCCCAACTTAGTTGTAAACTTTTTTTGATCATGGGAACTGACTGTTTATTTCTTTTCCTTTTTTGTTTGTTTTGCATATTCTAAGCCAACTTCAGGATTGGGTTCTCCAAATTGTGGGAAGGGCCTCTATATGTGTAGCTGGTGCCCAGGTTGAGGTAGCTACTAATTCCTGTGGGGTTGGTTCTGTTTGTTAGAATCATTGTTTTAAAATTAAAACATTTTAAAAATGAATTTATGCCAATATATGAAATGTGATGGCATGTTCACTATAATTATTTAGGATATTTTTGTCTACAAGTGTCAGAAAACTCAATTCAAAGTGATGTAAACAACAAATGGAGTGTTCCCTGTACTTTTTCCCTGTAATTTACCTTACTTTTTCTGCCAAAATTATTACTAGCATTCCTTTCACTCTCAAAAGTGCCTGGATTTGGATGATAAAATATTTGGTCATCCATATCCGTGCTTAGTGGCTGCCGTAATAAATGACCATAAAGTTTGTGGTTTAAAACAACACAAATTTCCTTTCTTATGATTCTGTAGGCTAGAAGTCGAACACAGGTTTCACTGGGCTAAAATCAAAGTGGCACCAAGGCTGGGGTCCTTCTTGATGCCCTAGAGAAGAACACATTTTCTGTTGTCTAAAACATTTATTTTTAAATAGACTTTATCTTTTAAAGCAGTTTTAGATTCATAGCAAAATTGGGCAAAAGGTACAGAAATTTCCCATATGACCCTGTCCTCACACATGCATAGCCTCCCCCAGTATCCTTGCTTTTCCCGGTTAGGAGAGGTTGCCTGCATTCCTTCAGTCATGGCCCCTTCCTTCAACAGTGTGCGGCCACGTGCTCCTCATACTACCGTATCTCAGGTCCTCTCTCCAGGTTCCCTTTCCCATGTTTAAATGCCCTTGTAATTACAGCACACCCATCCAGAACAATCCAGGATCATCTTCCTTTTTAAAAGTCATCAGTTGAGTTGCAACCTTGATTCTATCTGCAACTTAATTCCTCTTTGTCCTGTAACAAAACATATTCACAGCAGCCAGCAATTAGGCCACGGTCATCTTTGGGGGGACTTTATCCAGCCTACCACATCACTATACTCATAAAGGGCTTTATTATTGTATTATACATATCAAGAAGTCTAGACATGAGATGACTCCGGGAGGGTAAGTTTACAGCTGATGCCATCATTATGGGCCCAAGTTCTCACGCCTTTCTGCCAAGCCATCTTCAGCGAGCAAGCTTGTCTTTTGCGTTGGGTGCAAGATGGCTGCCGCTTTCTCAGCCACTGTGTGCAGTCACAGCCACAGCCAGCTCAGATAAGCAAGGGGTAAAGAGATGGTTGTTTTGTCTCCTGTAACTCCTTACTAGTGATGAAAATCTTTTCCACAGCCCCATAAGAAGATTCTTGTGTTTCACTGGCGAGGATGTAGCACACCATTGTTCACCCTCTGAAGCATATGGCTGAGGAGGGAGTGGACGCCAGAGTAAACTGGGGTACTCTCAAATGAAGGACAAAAGGGGAAGGACTCACAGGCAGGCAACCAACCATTTCCTGTGCATTCACAGGAAGGCGGGAGCAGGAACCTTCAGGGCACTCTTGTGACACGTCCTAGTTTCTATGCATGAAATTCTCTGGGACTATGAAGTGGGTAATAATTTTATTTAGAGTGACCGTTCCAGAAATCTTAAGGCACAACAAGATTGTTTTCAGTATTGCATAGATGAAGGAAGAAGACACTGTGAAACCAAATGCCACTCACAGAAGGAGGGTCTGAACCGCAGCCCTTAGGTATCCATCTTTGGTTTGCACCTGAGCCTCATTGCAGCTGTTTGACATCTTAGTCCTGTGACGACGTTGCTTCGGGTATAAATGTATGTAAAATCTTGAGGTAAAAAAGCATAACTTGTCAGCATATTTTTTTATGTTTTATAATAACTTTGCAAGTTTTCTATATTATCCATGCTCGATGCTTCAATAACTATTGTAGCTAATAGTCTCATGTACTTTTGTGAATTTATACAACCATATTGATAGCTATAGCCTCATAATGCAGAGCAGTACATTCCAGTAAACAACTGGGCTGTAAGATCCTATTATTACTGGCAGCAGGAATATATGGCAAACACAAGAAGCCACAAGCAATAAAAATTGCCTCATGTCCTTGTAATAGTCCAGGTGAAATGACATGCCAGGCACGGGTAAATATCCACAAACTACCACAGAGCACCTCTTCACCCCTTGGGGAAGTAGGCTGTTAACACCAGAAGAAAAATTGCCACTGAGATTATTAGAATGGAGTAGTGACACCTGGTAGTGAAGTGGCCCATTCTAGTTTTTCCATGGCTGTGGATAAAGTATGGTTCTCTCACATCATTCTACAGAAAAAAGTGGAATAAAACATGAATATGCCATTTATTTATTACTCCAAATTATTATCTTTATGGAAACTCATTCATCTAATCAATAAGTGTTTATAGAGCACCTACTATGTGCCTTCTACCATTTCAGGCTTTGGAGATAGATCAGTGAACCAAACAAAGATCCCTGCCCTTATGGAACTTATATTTACACAGGTGATGGACAAGAAACAGTAAATATAACGAATCAGTAAATTACATGGTGTGTTAGAAGGTGATAAATGTCATGGGAAAAGAAAAGTTAGAGCAGGTTAAAGGGGATTCGAAGTATGAAGAGAGGGACAGAAGAGAAGAGGAGGGTTAGTGTTTACAATCGTAAATATGGCAGTCAGAGCAGGTCGCATAGAACAGGTGGTATTTATGAAAAAAATGGGAGGTGAGGGAGTTAGCTGTGCAGATGGGAGAAGCATAAATCAGATTACATCTCTCCCTGATTACCCCACTCACACTTAAAGCCTTTCAAAGTCTTCCCTTAGCACATACAGGGAAGTCTAACACTAACAGGACCTATAATGTAATTTTTTCTTCCTCTCAAATCATATGTTGTTCATCTCTTCCCCCAGCCCTTACACTGCTTCAGCCACCTGGTCAACCTTCTGTTCCTTAGGGGCTTCACTCTCTTTGTTACTCGGGACCATCTTCCCTGGAGGTTTATCACGGCTGGCTCCTTGGCTCCTTCTCACCCTTCAAGTCTTAGCTAAAATGTCATCTCCTCAGAGAAGACTTCCTAAGTCCCTGTCAAAATTGGACACCAGTTACTATACTGTATCACCCTATTGATTTTCCTTATAGCATTTTTTTACTATAATCTGCCATTTTCTGGTTTATATATTTGTTTCCTTATGTTGTCTGTCTTCTTTCTTTGGAATGTAAGTGCCCTGAAAGAGCCTTACACATGGAAAATGACCTTATCCATTTTATGCCTTACTTTATCTCTAAAATTTAGCACACGGTAAGCACCCAATACATTTGTTAACTGATATGGTTTGCCTCTGTGTCCCCACTGAAATCTCATCTCAAATTATAATCCCCACGTGTGGAGGGAAGGAGGTGAATGGATTATGGGGGTGGTTTCCCCCATGCTGTTCTCGTGATAGTGAGAGTTCTCATGAGATTTGATGGTTTTATAAGGGGCTCTTCCTCTTTCACTTTCTCTTCTCTCTCCTGTCACCTTGTGAGGAAGATGCCTACTTCCCCTTCTGCCATGATGGTAAGTTTCCTGAGGCCTCCCCAGCCATGAGGAACTGTGAGTCAATTAAACCTCTTTCCTTTATAAATTATCCAGTCTTGGGTATTTCTTTATAGCAGTGTGAAAATGGACTAATACATTAAGTGAACAAATGCATGCTTGTGTGTATGAGTATTTGGAGGCCTGTTGCTTTGTAGTAACTTAAGGCTTACAGAGTACTCACCAACCACCACACCACCACCACCACCACAAGTGCGTGCATGTGCACGTGCACACGCACACACACACACAGAGATAAAACTTTTGTGATGTTGCTGGGGAAATTACCGGATAATTAATCTGCACCACCCTGCTCTCTCTTGCCAAAAGACCAATTGCTACGCAAATCTGAGGGAGGTAGTGTGTTTACAGACAGATCGACCCTGGGATGTACTGCAAGTGACCGACATGACAGCTGCTTAATAAAGCACCTGCTCCATTGCAGGTTAAATTAGGCTGATAATTGTTCATTGCTATTTCAGGGGCTATCTATCTATCTGAAAAAATCTGAACTAGAGTCTTGCCAAGGTTTGGAGTTTTTCCCAACAAAATCTGGAATAACTGGATATCAGCACAACCAAGTTGCCACTTACAGAGGTTGTAATTGCACAGCTACAGGTGGTAGCACTTGCTTCGTTTCCATTGTTTTCAAAACAGCTGTCTTGGTAATATGTTTTACTCTTCTGAAATGAGGTGAAAGAAACAGAAAAGAAAAGAAAAAGATGGGGGCTATTTTCTTGAGTTTATTTTCCTTGAGCTCTTTAGAAACTAAATCAAATGTAACTGGTCTGTAGCAGGCATTCTACTAGGAGAGAGTCTATGGGGGTTAAAGGATATTAATGTTTTAAAAACCTAATGATTTTTGTCAAACACTTTCCATAAAGGTTGTTTAAGGATTGCATGGATGGGTGGATGAATAAATAAAATAAAGATGGCAGATTTACTTTATTTGGGAAGGCAGCATGTTGGGATAGAAAATTCAAGGACTCATAATTGCTTTGTGACATGTCTAAAACTGGAATAATTCGGGGGAATTAGCATAACCTCTGAAGAACAACATTGCATTTTTAAAAACATATGAACAAGAAGCTTTCATCTGTTAGTTCAAACAAGAATGGTATGCCTATTTTTCATCTATCCATTAGCAAAGATTAAAAAGTAATACAGTAATAGTCATAGTAAGGGTGTTGTAAGACAAACACTCTCAATTACTGCTGGTGTGAATTGATACAACCTTCCTGGAAAACTCAGTAACAAGTAACAAGAGTCTTAAAAATTTCCATACCCTTTATTCCAATTATTCATCTTTTAATTGAATTTCTTGCCGAGCATGATTTGTATATGAAGAGGTTTATTGCGGTGCTTTTTGTAATAGTGAAAAACTGGTAGCGTCCAAATGTATATTAGAACGATTAAGTAAATGATAGAATATCCATATAATAGTATATTCTACTACCATTAAAACTTATAAGTATGGCTGGGCGCGGTGGCTCACGCCTGTAATCCCAGCACTTTGGGAGGCCGAGGTGGGTGGATCATGAGGTCAGGAGATCGAGACCATCCTGGCTAACAAGGTGAAACCCCGTCTCTACTAAAAATACAAAAAATTAGCCGGGCGCGGTGGCGGGCGCCTGTAGTCCCAGCTACTCGGGAGGCTGAGGCAGGAGAATGGCGTGAACCCGGGAAGCGGAGCTTGCAGTGAGCCGAGATTGCGCCACTGCAGTCCGCAGTCCGGCCTGGGCGACAGAGCGAGACTCCGTCTCAAAAAAAAAAAAAAAAAAAAAAAAAACTTATAAGTATGATGTAACGTTAAATAAAAAAGCAGGATATGAAATTATATATGGACTGTGAATTCAACTATTAGAAAATATGCTGAAAAAATATTGGAAGGAAATTTGAGAACATAGTGAGTGAGTGTCTCTACAGGGTGGAATTATAGATTTTTTCCTTAATAGTATTTGTATCTTTCCATATCTTTTTTATTCATCATGGGTTATTTTGATCCTTCTGGGAAACAATGTGGAAGCAGAAGTAGATCCTGATTTAGGCTTTACCGTATACGAATTGTGTGATATTTGGTAAATTATTTAATCTCTCTGAGCCTCAATTTATACCTGTAAAGTGGGGACAATAGTATCCAACGTGCAGGGTAGCTGTAATGCTTAAATAAGACACTGTATTTAAGGAGCCTTGCAGAATTGCTGGCCTATGTTAGACAGCCAGTAAATAGTGCTTCTTATTACTCTGGGGTAACAGGTGATTACAAGCTGGCAGGAGTGTTTCCTTTTACTTTACCAATTAATCTTTTATTTTTTATTCCATACTCGACATTTTACAGAAAAAAGATGGTAAACTACAGTTAATTACATATATGTTTTCTGATTATTTTCAGTATAGAGACCTATATTTTTATATAAATACCATTAGTGAACACAATCATTTATGTTCTATTAAACATTTTGATTCTCATTTAAGCATTTTGCATACAATTATATATATAATTTTTTTTCAATAGCTACATGTATGATGACAACAGCAGTACACCAAAATTTACTTATTCATTTCCCAATTTGGGGCTTCTTCTTCTTCTTCTTTTTTTTTTTTAAAAAAAAAACTTGTATAAGTGGGATTGCTAGAAACATCTCTGTACAAGTAGCTTTGTTTTCTTTGAAATATTTTCCTGGGCATATGCTACTCAAAGTGGGTTAGTATGTCAAAAGATAGATTGATTATTGTGCTCTTATTATATTCTTTTAGCCCTTCTTTAAGGAAGGGCTAAAGAGGCAATAGAGAACAAAAGCCTCCCTTTTAAGAATATAATCCAGCAGTTGCTAACATCTCATTTGCTCCCTTTGGAATTTAGTAACATGGTCTTCATTAGCAGGAGTGGGGGCTGGGAAGGAGGATCTCTAGTGACTATGTGCTCAGTTAAAACCCATGTTGAGATGGAGTGCAGAGAGTGTATTCTACCATGAAAAGCAGGACAGAATGGAGAAGGGAGTTTTTCCCATTATCTGCAACACTTTCTCTGTGAAGTTTTTCCTGTCATCCTTAGGCAGAAGTAGTTTCTCTCTCTGCTGGGTCCCATATTTATGGTAAATAATTTTTGCACATCCTTTTCTGTCTTGAGTCTGCTCTGCTTGAGGACAAGCATAGTGCTTCCTTCCTCTTGGAATTTACCATCTTATTTCATACTTTTATGGATACTACATTCATTTTTCAGTATCAGACATTATCTAGCACGTTGACATCTCCCTTAGAAGGTGAAGTTCTAAGTCTGTTTCACCTTCTTCCCATAATACACACACCCATCTTATGTCTTCACCCACTCGATATAGTTATACAGTAATTTTATTTATGTCAACATTGTGTTGTGTTTAAATAATTATGACCATGTAAATCCTTGTTTATGTATTGAGCAAGCAATTATGACTAATGCTTGCTCATGTGCTGTAGTGTAATATAATAAAATTTCCCATCCTGTCCAGTATTTTGTTTTCCCTGGAGTTTATAGTTATGCTTGTTTTTAATAAATTATTGTTAAGTATCTATGTAGTTATCACTGAATTCAATCCTAACTTTATCCAAATTGTACAAATATCCTTTTAAAATGTTTAAACACATTAAGCATAAATTACATCTTCTTGAAGAATACACGCCTTCTGATATGCTCTAAATGGGACTGTTTTCTAGGCCTGCCAAATAGCTATTATCTTCCCTTGCTATCCCTCAACTCTTTTTTGTATCGGTTCCCTTGTTTTTGAGGTCCCGTTTCCTGGTTTATTCCCTCCTCTCCCCCCGCCCTTTTTTTTGGTAGAACATACCCTCCAGAAGCTTCTTGAGAAAGGATTTATGAGAAGTAAGATTTGAGACCTTGTTGATCTGAAAAAAATATCTTTATTCTACTCTCATACTTAAATGAGAGTTTGGCTGGATACATAAAGTTGGAAATACTTTTCCTTCAGAATTTTAAAGGGATTACTTCATTGCCTTCTAGAATTTGGTGTTGCTCTCAAGAATTCAGATGCTGTTCTTCTTGAAGCTTCTCAACCATTTTGCTTTCATTTCTCTGGAATAGTCTAGGATCTTTTCTTTGTCCTCAGTGTTCTGAAATTTCATGACAATATACCTTGATATGAATCTGTTCTCTTCTGGGTAACTAGTAGGACTTTTCATTCTGAAAATTTATGTACTTCACTTGTTCAAATTGTTGTTGAATTATTATTTTGATTTTTTTCTTCTCAGTTTCCTTTTTGTTTCTCTTTGTAATTCCTATTATTTGGATTTTAGACTTCTTAGCCTGGTCCTCTGATTTTCTTACATCTGTCTTATTTTACTTCATATTTTATTTCTGCTCTAATTTCTGATTTTCAAATGTTTTATTGTTTTTTCCATTTCTGTTATCACATTTTAAATTTACTTAGAAATGAAAGGCTTATTTAAAAATGTTATATGTGTTTTTTAAAGATTTTTTCCTTCTTGCAAAAATCTTTATTTTCTTCAACTTTCTTTTTATTCTGCTTGTTTGTTTCAGCCTCCTTTTTTCATATTATGGGCTGTCATGCCTGGTGACCCTTGGCTATTTGCTCATTTTAAAATTAAGGCCAGTAAGCCTGGGTGTGGTGGCTTAACGCCTGTAATCCCAGCACTTTGGGAGGCTGAGGCAGGCAGATCACTTGAGGTCAGGAGTTCAAGACCAGCCTAGCCAACATGGTGAATCCCTGTCTCTACTGAAAACACAAAGATTAGCCAGGTGTGGTGGTGGGCACCTGTAATCTCAGCTACTCGGGAGGCTGAAGTAGGAGAATCACTTGAGCCCTGGAGTCAGAGGTTGCAGTGAGCGGAGATCATGCCATCCACTCCAGCCTGGGTGACAGAGTGAGACTCTGTCGCACCAAAAAAAAAAAGATTAGGGCCAGTAAAAACCTCTGTGTATGTGTGCAGGGCCTGTGGACTAGATGCAGAAACAAATGAGTTATATGGGTCAGAGCTGGGTAACACAACATGAGGGAGAAATAAACCTTTATTGTTGTAAGTCACTGAGATTTGGGCATTCTTTCTAATGACAGCAAAACACAGCTGAGGAACACAAGGGTTCAAGACCCTTTTCTTTTATAAGAGTGGCCTCCAAATATTTTTTAAAATCACCCTTTATTGAAGTATAACTGATATATAACAAGTTGCACTCATTTAAATTGTACCACTCCAGTTTTAATGGATGTGTGCACATGGGAAACCACTTTCATAATCCAGATACAGAACGTTCCTATTACCCAAAACATTCCTCATGTCTCTTGCAATCTATTCTTTCTCTGTCTGTGGCCCTAGATCACCAATGATCTACTTTTATTACTGTAGATGAGGTTCCATTTTTCACATAAATGGAATCATAGAGTATGTACTTTTTTGTATCATACTTCTTTTATTCAGCATAATGATTTTGCGATTCACCCATGTTGTTGTGTGTATTAGTGATTCTTGGCTTTTTATTGCTGCATGTTCTTCTACCGTATGGATGTACCTCCAGATGTTTTTGTTTACTCTTCTATATTATTAAACTTTTTTGAGCATTCACCCCTCTACACATATATTTAGTGTATTAGTACTACAGTACTAATATATTTTATACATTATAAAATGACACAAACATCTTTTGAAAAAATGAGATCAAAATAAATATAATTTATTTTTTTCTTACCTCCTAGTGCATCATCCTCATTAGTCCCTGGGTGTACATACTTGGTGGCCATTATATTATGCCTCTGGATGTACATCTCCATTTGGATATAACTTATGATATCTCCAGAATGATTCATTATCTTTCCCCTAAATTCAACTTCTCCTGATAATCTGTGCATGAAATTAGTCTTTTCACTCAATCAGACAAGATTGGTAAGAATTACCTTCAACTATCTCTTTCTTACCCCTTATAAGCAATGCCCAATCAAAAAATGTGTTCTGGATGCATCCAGTAGGTGGTCCATCACTACCTCTCTGTGTTCATGGTCTATTCATATTTACTGCTGCTTCTTGGATCAACTCTGAACAGTTAATTGTCTTTTTCTAGGAAATCATTTCCTTTTGTTTCCAAATGTGGTGGCATAAGTTGTACATAATATTCCATTATAGTCCTTTAATCTTTTCTAGAACTTGTGATTATGTCCTTTTCATATTTTCAATTTTATTGTTTTTCTCTTTTTCCCTTAATCAAGATTGATAGGGGTTTATCCATTCTATTAGTCTTTTCAAGAATCCAGTTTCTAAATTTATGTAGTTTTGTTTTCCATTTTACTAATTTCAGCTTTAATCCCCCCAAGGTATAGTTTAGATCATATCATTCCTTCTTGGTAAGCTCTCAATGGCTCCCCGTGGTCCTCTGAATTAAGTACACACTCTTGAGACAGGTACTTTTGGCCTTAAGGAGATGTGTATTGAATGGAGTTCTTTCTCCATTGTCAGCGAAGGAGAGTTAGGGTTGTGTGGAGAAGAAAACCATGTCTGCAAACCAGCCCATAATCTGTTTAGCTGTGTTATACAACACCTTTTATGTTTAACATCGGGGCAGATCCCTGACCTCTGGCAAGCCTGTGAAATAGTCCTTGCTTTCCCGAAAGTTGGGGATATAAATAATATTTATATATAAGGTCTGCAATACTATAGGATCAGTTTCATGAGCTGTAATTAAATAGGACTCTTGCCATAAATTCTTTAGTTCTTGATGGCATGCAACAGCTGGCGACCTTAGTTTTTAATAGTGTTTTCAGGGGAGGAGGAAAGAAAAAGAGAGGGTCATTAATATGGTCTAGCCTTTGAGACCTTTGTGAATATTTTGGTCTAGTATATACTCCCACCCACTAAGTGAAAGACATCTGTTCATTCTGTCTGCAGTAGTTGGTATTGGCATTGAAGGCAGCCTAAATGAATGGATCATCCCAGTCATGGGCTACTCGTTTGATTGAGAGGCAGTATTTATCACTTTTGGTGGACTTAGTCAGCTGAGCTGACTTTTTCTTTTTTTCTTCCCAGAGTAACACCTCAAAAGCCAATATTACTGATTGATCTGATATCTCTTTTTTACTTCCTATGTGAAAAAAAAGATACCACCAGCTGTCATACTCAGGCTAGTGTGACTGGGGCCTCGTGGGCTTGTGGGTTTTCCTGAGCAGGTTGCATGAGAAGGCCATGGCTTGGTCTCTTCCTCAGTGGTGGTCACTCCCCACACTGAGTTACCAGGCTCACTGTGGATTACTAGGCATGGCAGGTAACCAGTGGTCTAAGACATTGAGGAGATTTATTGACATAAATATGATGGAAAACAAGTATGAATTTATGTGTAATTTTTACTTGAGGGTGTGGTAGATTGCTCCATGGTTATTTTGCAAGATATATGGGGAAAAGTGCCTAGCTAGCACAGAATATGGAGGCAAAATATTGTTTGTGTCGTTTCCAAATTTTAAAAGTTAAATATTTGTATTTGATTTGTTTCTGATCACAAAATTAATAAAGATTCAGTGTAGAAATTTCAAGTAAAAAAGATGAAAATAAAACTCATCCAAATTTCAGGGAATATCATTCAGTATTTTACTTATGTCCTTATGGTTATTTTTGTTCCTTGCTACATGTCTACTTAAGAAAACACAGCTATATTAGATAAATTCTTTAGTAACATGCTGTGGCAGTTTAAAAAATGATTGCAAACTTGTTGACGCTCCTTTCATTGTTCTCTTGCCTTGTATTGGCAGGTTTGTGGTTTGCTTGTAATCAATAGAATGTGACCAAAGTGATTCTATGGGACTTCCCAGGGTAGGTCAAAAAATGTGATTCAGCTTCTGCCTTGTTCTTCCTAACACTTGTGGAGGAGCCTGGAGCCACCATTCAAGTTCAATTTCCTGAAGCAACCATGCTATAAGGAAGCTCAAGCTTTATGAAGAGGCCATGGGTAGGCACTGCAGTCAACAGCTCCAGACTAACTCCCAGATGACAGCCATCTGGGGTATTCAGCCCAGGAGGGCCTTTGATGACTGTAACCCCAGCTTTCATCTTACTGTAATCACTTGAGGAACCCTGTGCAAGAACTGTCCAGCTGAGACCTTTTTAAACTTCTGACACATTTTTTAGAAAAACAAAATAGAGTAATTGGGGTAATTTGTTATGCAGCAATAGTAATCAGCACACATGCTGAAAGCCAACCAACCACCAACTTAGCAGCATATTATGAACTCTTCTTTCATGTCATTCCATTTCCTTCCACACCATTTTAATGGTTCATTGTATTTTATTGTATGGAAAAATATACCATTTTAAAACTAATTCCCTAGTGTTGAATATTACTTTGCCTCGTAGCTAAATATTTCAATGAATAACCTTATAGGGAAATCTTGGTGCATGCTTATTATTTATTTCTTAAGATAACTTCCTAAATTCAGAAAGTAGAAGGGTTGGAGTAATTATTTTTAGCACTTTTTACAAATAGTCTCAAATTATCTTATACCAGTAGTGTCCAATAGTGTCTTTGTACCTGTATGTGCACACACATGCACACAGACAGCTGGAATATGGGAGACTGTGGGTTTTAGAGTCAGCAGGCTTGCAGGCTTGACTTCCAACTCATCTCCACAGTTTGCATGACCTTGAACAAATTACTTAAGCTCTCTGGACCTCATTTTAATCTCCTGTAAACTGGAGAGAGTAATACTTACTTTAAAGGATTGCTATGAGAATTAGATGAGACCGTATTAAAGTGCCAAGCACAGAGTGGCCATTTAAAATGGTAACTATTGTTCTTATAATTAGCAGTTGAGAGTGAAGTAATCATTCCCAGATTTCTTTTTCCTACTCTCTCATGCCTACTTGGTGACTCTGCTTTCCTTCTGGTATTTACTGTGGCTCTGGTCATCTTGGGCCTTGCAGGTAGCTGGTTGATGAATCCTGGGTGAGTGATAGCTGTCAAAAGTCAAAAGTGTTATTTCTGCCAACTGGTGAGTGCATTTTAAAAGGCAATTCTTGAAAGCAAAGGCATTTTGAAGGCCAATGGAGTGAGTCCCTGATGCTGGGGCTCCTGGCACCTTCCCTGCAGAGGAAGCTGATGTTCTTGGGAGGAAGACTTCTGTGTCATCGCACCTTTCAAACCACATGCCTCGGGCACTCCGCATTGTGAGACTGACCCTGTTCTCAGGCAACCTGTATGGGACAGCTGGTCTTCTAAATATGAGAGAAGTAAGAAAACCAAACAATGCAGACAGTTCTTTCACATTAAGTTTTGAATTACTTTGGAGAGACACCACGTGGAGCTCTGGAAAGTGTGAAAGGAAAAGTGGTCACAGATGTGGGGCAGGACCTGGGTGGTGGCTCTGCAGGCACCCTCGAACATGTTTAGCTCGAACATGGGTAGCTGAGAAAGACTGATATTCACAAATGACTTCTGCAGATTATCAGCAGATAAATGGGAATGAATGATGTGGTGAAGATCTGAACCATTTATATTTCTCTATTCCTTTGTTTACTTTCACTCATTCCAGAAAACTAGATAAATTGAGGGCTAAAAAGGGACAGAGTTTTTTCATCTTTAACTTTATTGACTCTTCTATATGGGAATCAGGCCTTGGCTGGGAAGGTGTTTACTTTTAGTAATTTGGATAGTCTTATTGTAAATATGCTGTTATATAGCAACCGTAGAATCTTCTTTAGAGACAGGGACTAGGCAAGATTATTTTTAAACAATGTAAAATATTGACAATATAAATTATTTTCATTTTGGATATTTCCTTTTAATCTTTGTCTACATATTCATGTTGTAAGGTCACAAATTTTCTCATAATATACTTAGCTGTGCAAAAAATATAGCTTTTTGTTTATATAAAACCAACTTGATCTTCCTCATAAATCCCCATCTGTATCTTGGTAGTCAAGATACAGATCTTGATCTTTCCTGGAGAGAAATGTTAACCACTAGATTTTTGCTAACTGGCAAATTTAGTCTATTGCAGTCATTTAATCAGTCTTTATAGAAGTTCAGATGCTTTAGATAAAATGGGCTGTGACTCACGCCCACCCTGCCCTGCTCCTCTCTTAAAAGGACTTGGGAATATAAGGTAGAAGGACCCGGGGGTCCTTGAATCTTTAGAGATTTCCGTGGGATCCGTATTGGTCCCTGTTCTGAACTGTTGGTCTGGTGGCTTCCTGGGAGGGTGACTGCTGGGGTGGGACCAGTCCCATGATGGGTGTCAGCTGACAGCTGAGGCTGAGGCCTGCTGCTGGTGTCATCTGTAGTCTTGCTTGGGAAAGGCTGGAGGTTTCTCCCAGGGACTTGGCATCCCTTACCTCATCTCCTATTAGGCCCTTTGAGCCTGTGCCACATGCTCCATTTGCCCTGGCTGGGTCCTTCCACTTCATTCATCACCTGGGGTGTCCCCAGGCTGTCTCTCAGCTTAGTTGCCAACTGTGTCTGCCCTGGAGACATGAAAGCACCTCTGGGTCCTATCCAAGCCATGCAGAATCCAGGGTGACCCATAAAAGCCTTTGTGTTCACAGCCCATTCTGCCCTGCAGTGTTTACTGGGATCGGCAGCCTCCAGTTGGGTGTAGGCCACATTTCTTCCAGAATCTAAAGACGAGGGGGCCAAAGCCTGCCTTCCCACCAGCCAACACGCATCCCCTCATCTTCTTATTGGGTAGGAACCTTCCTCAATTAAAACTATGATCTAGCTGGCGAGCCTCATCTTACATATTTTAACAAGGACACTTTGTTATTTAGACACTCCTCTCTCCTTCAACCAAGTCTTGCTTTCAAGACCAATGTTTTATGAAAGAAAAAAGAAAATTGGTTCTGAGACTCAAAGCTAATTAATTGCCTCTTTGTTCTGACTACATATTCCACTGCACTATTTACCTGCATACGTTCCCTGGGGCAATCACCCTATTGGTTTAGCCTGGAAGTCAAAGGCAGAAGCAGCCATGATCCAAAGTGGGAAATAGAAATTCATGGGTTTAACATTTGCAATATATTATCCCAGTAACAGAAACATTTATATTATTATATTCAGAGTACATATGATTCAGTAATATGTTTTTCATCACTATAATATGTACCCTTATACTCTAATAAATTTCCAAGTTTCCACGAAATCATTTAAAATTATAATTTTTAGTGGTTATAAAATGTTTCATTAGTTTGACCTTTCATAATTTAATTACGTGTCTCTCTTGTTAGACATAGTATGTCTTTGCTAGTGTTGCTGTAACGAGGTACCACAAACTGGGTGACTTAAACATACAGAAATATATTGTCTCACAGTTCTGGACACTAGAAATACAAAGTCAAGGTAGCAGCAGAGCCATGCTTCCCCTGAAACCTGTATGGGGAGTGTGCCTCTTCCTAGCTTTTGGTGGCTTGCCAGCAATCTCTGGCTTTCCTTGGCCAAAGACACATCACTTCAATCCTCAGTTTTTGCCTTATATTCTCCCTGTCTCTTCACATAGTCTTCTCTTTGTGCATGTCTGTGTCATGTCCAGATCCTTTCCTCCATCCCCCGCAGTTTAAAAAAGAAATTTAGTACTTTTAGAGACAGAGTCTCTCTCTGTTGCCTAGGCTGGAATGTGGTAGTACGATCACTGCTCACTGTAGCCTCAACCTCCCTGGCTCAAATGATCTTCCCACCTCAGCCTTCCAAGTAGCTGGGACTACAGCAGCATTCCACCATGCCTGGCCAATTATTTTTATGTTTAGTAGAGATGAAAGTCTCATTTTGTTTCCCAGTCTGATCTTGAACTCTTGCCCCCAAGTGATCCTCCTGCCTTGGCTTCCCAGAGTGCTGGTATGACAGTTGTAAGCCTGGCCCAAATTTCCTCTTTTTATAAAGAAAGCAGTTATAGTGGATTTAGACTCACCCTAAAGACCTTTCATCCTGACTAAATCGGCAAAGACCCTCTTCTAAATGAGTTCATATTCTGAGGTACTGGAATTGAGGACATCAATGCATCTTTTTTTGGGACAAGTGATTTCATCCGTAACAGATATTGAAGTTGTTTCTAGGTTTGTGTTGTTGGTGATGGTAATGGAGGTTGTATTATCATAGATAAAACTGCTATGGATGTCTTCAGGTATATAGCATTTTACTTCTGTTTTAAAAGAATACTAAAATTTAAAAGCAATGAAATAAGATTGTAGTTAACTATTTTTAACTTAAATGATTTATTTCTACTTTTTATTATTCACACATTTTCAATTGATACCATAAAGAGAAGTAGAATAGAGATGGTTCAGGGCTTGGAATCAAGTCATTAATAGATAGTAGGCTCAGAATGAAATAGACATTGTCTTGTAGATAATAAAGCATCATGGGCAAAATAAAATTTTAAGAACTGGGAAGTTTTGACTAAACTTTTTCTAAAGAGTTGTTTTGGGGATCATGTTGCCTTGGCATGTGTGGTAAAGTTTTTCCAGATATTTTTCCATGGAAGATAATTGGTAGTGTTTTCAACATGTTTTGAAGTTCAGACATTGCCAAAGACTTCCAAAAGAAAGAAACTTCTGTTTGATGAAGAGTAAGATCTTTATAATTTGAGACAAAGCAGTTCCTCAGTCCCAACCCCCTATCTATTCCTGACAAATGCACCCAGATCTCATTCAGGCTCAAGGCCTGAGTCTTATTGCATGCGTGTTTCTGTCTTGGTGTTTCCAATTGCATCCCAGCTACTTGGTTGTGCTTCTCTTGGTTTAGCCTCATGAATAGCTAGAATTCAGTTAGACTCTTGGTCCTCTGGGAAGGCCTGATAATTCCCAGCAAAGCTTGGTTATAAAGTTTTCCTGTGTCAGCCAGCTTTTCCAACTTGGAATCTTCAAGATCTACACTACAGCTCTACCATATTTCCATTGGTAAACCCTTCCTCTTCTCTGGTAGTTTTGGTACCATGATTAGTGACAGGGAGTTAACATTATTGTGCTTTTCTGGTGTTCCAGGCATTGTGTCACGGTTTTCAGACACAATTTACTTAACACTTTATCTTGGAAGCCGGCATTTTAATTCCCACTAACAATTGAGAAAATGGGGCTATGAGAAATTTAAAATATTGTCCAAGGGCTCCCAGTGAGTGAGTGACAAAACCCGGATTAAAACCTATATTTTCCAGGGGCACAAGACTCTGTGCCCTTTCTAGTGCACCACAATTCCTCTAAAGAGAAAGAGGGACTTCTCTGAAATGGGCAAATGACCTAAAGCAATCTGGGTCATAACTGGGACTGGTTTGGAGCTAAGAATCACTAGGCAAATCAAAGTAAGTCAAGAGCAATGGATCTCAACTGGGTTGGTTTTGGTTCCCAGGGAACATGTGGCAAAACCTGGAGATGTATTTGGTTGTTACAACTGCGAGATGGGTGCTACTGACATACGGTGGGTAGAGACCAGGGATGCTGATAAAGATCCTACAATGCACACGTTGCTAATGTAAACAGAAGCAGACCAGAGATGGGTTGGAGTTTGGAATCAGTTCCTTTATAAATAGGCTCAGAATGAGAAGATTACTGTCCAATACACAATATAATACAACAAAGCCTCCCACAACAAAGAGTTATCTAAAATGTTAATAGTGCCGAGGTTGGGAAACCCTAGTCTAGAGGACTGGCATCTCATCTTGGCTTTTCCAAAGGGTTGTGAACCTGAATGTGTCACTTTGCTTCTCTCTACCTTGCTGTCTTCAACTCTGATGTGGTTTGGATGTTTGTTCCCTCCAAATCTCATGTTGAAATGGGATCCGTAATGGAGGTGGGGTCTGGTGGCAGATGTTTGGGTCATGGGGGTGGATCTCTCATGAATGGCTTGGTGCCCTGCCCATGGTAATAAGTGAGTTCTCACTGTGTTAGTTCTCATGAGAGCTGGTTGTTTAAAGGAGCTGGCTCCTCCTCCTTCCTCTTTTGCTCCTGCTCTTGCTATGGGACATGCCTGCTCCCTTTTCACCTTCCACCGTGTTTGGAAGCTCCCTGAAGTCTTCACCAGGAGCAGATGCTGGTGCCATGCTTGTGCAGCCTGCAGAACTGTGAGCCAATTAAATCTTTTTTCTTTATAAATTACTCAGACTTAGGTATTCCTTTACAGTGATACAAATGGACTAACAAATTATGAAGTATGTTTGTAGAGATACATGAACTCTATGATTCTGGGGTTCATTAAAGAAGGTAACTAGGCCAGGCACGGTGGCTCACGCCTGTATTCCCAGCACCTTGGGAGGCTGAGGTGGGTGGATCACCTGAGGTCAGGAGTTCAAGACCAGCCTGGCCAGTATGGCAAAACCCCGTCTCTACTAAAAATACAAATAACTGGGCGTAGTGGCAGGCACCTGTAATCCCAGCTACTTGGGAGGCTGAGGCAGGAGAATTACTTGAACCCACGAGGCAGAGGTTGCAGTGAGCCAAGGTCGCAAGGTCGCACCATTGCACTCCAGCCTGGGCAACAAGAGTGAGACTCCCTCTCACAAAAAAAAAAAAAAAAAAAAAAGAAGGTAACTAAAAATGCCCACACTTGAAAAACCAAAACCAAAAATGGGGGTAATCCTGCTTTTCACCAAATCTGGGCAAGTATTAAAGTATACTAGAGCTGGAGTTTTAAAAGTTCTGATTACCTTTACATGAACTAATAGGAAATAGCTATCTTTTTCTCCCTAAATTATTACTGGGGTAGCATCCTCTCCTTCCAACTGACTGCTTCAATTCACCTTCCCAGTCGGCTGCTGTTGCTGCTCTGATAGCCATAGCCAACAGCTCCACTTATATAGATTACCGTTTTGTTAGAACAATCTTTATCAGCCTATGTTAGCTTTCTCTTGAATCACTTGAAGAGGAGTCTTGAGTCTTCCCTTAGAGTGTGCTAAGGATTTCAGTTTTTAAAAAATGAGTTGGATTTCAATAAAAGTGTGACTATTAACATAAGTTATTTCAAATATTTCATGCAAAGTTGCATACTTCTGGGGCTCAGAGTTTGGAAAGAGCATCAGAACACAGAACTGCTGAATTTGTGTGCACAGACACAAAACCTTAAATCAGCTTAAATTCATTGTGCTAGTCTAACTTCTGTGATGTGAACAATATATATATATCATATGGCCAAGTGTTTTTATCAAATTTTCAATAACCTATTTTGTATTATTTATATAATAGCACATGGAACTTAGTGGTTAGAATATTAATACTAACTAAAAAACATACCTAGTTACTTTTTCTTAGAACAGAAGATAGATGATTCTCTTCTAAGAACACTAAATGGGAAATACTAGGTAATATTTTCCCATGCCCCAGTAATAGGAAATATAATAGAATTTGGTAAAAAAGAAAATTTGCTTTTGGTGTGACTGCAACCGGCCAAATGAAATCACATATCTGCCATTCAATGCAGAAATCAGTTTGTGTGGTAAAAAAAAAAAATACTTCCAGTAATCATGAGCTGTTTTATTCTTCTTTTCATTGTTTTTTGTTTGTTTGTTTGTTTGTTTGTTTTCTTAAGAACCAAAGGTACAGAGCATAGGTTTCCCAGCACCCATCATGAAATAATATTCCGGAGGGTAATATCCTTTTTTCATGTGGATAGGTTAGAGTTGTTGCCAAGCGATCATTATTTAATGACTTCTGCCAAAGTAGTTTACATCGTTGTCCTGAACTGATGGATGTCTCTATCAGGAGAAAACAGCTGTGGTAGGTTTCCTTGTTACTAATTTAAACAAGGCCCAAGAAGAAAGGCCCAGTGAGACAGATGTTTCAGTAGAAAGATTCCCTTATTAACAAATAGTAATTAAGTGTACTATGTACTATGGGGTAAAAGAGAAAGGAGTAGGTCTGTTATCTAGAAAGTATATTGGCTTTGTGGTCAGAAAGGACCAGTCTCAAGTCCTCACTCTACCATTACTAGTTACATGAGCCTGGACAAATTCCCAAGCTTTTTTGAAGCCTCAGTTTTCCTATCTGTGAAATGTGGATATTATCTTCCTCATTGAGTTTTTTTTTAAATGATTTAAATGAAACAAAATATGTAAACTGACTTAAAATAGACACTTAATAAATATTAGTGTTCTTTCCACATGCACACTGCTCATATTCCTCCCGTCATCCTCCACAGCTTATATTACAACGGGAGAGAGAAGGGCATTGTAGAGTACCGTGCAGGGGCATGTGATTGGTATCATGCAAGAGAGAGACTCAGTACTCTGTAAAGGGTCACACCAGCCTGGTGACTTAGGAAGAAAAATAAAACTGAATGGGGACTAATCTCAACCGTCCTCACTTGATGGGACACCTGTACCCTACTTCTAGTTCCAGATTATGCATGAGTACCCATGGCTCTATGCATAACTCTGGCCCAGCCCTTCTTACCCTGCATTTTGTGTGTGTGTGTATGTGTGTGTGTGTGTGTATGTACAAATCCTTGGTTTCAATGCCCTTCCCTTGTCCATTCCTATGTTCTCTGGTCTACCTCCATAGAGCAGGTAAAAATAAATGGTCATAGAATGAATGAATGGAATGAGTGAGCTATACTAAGAACTGTCACTTTTGGAAATATCTAATGGAGAAGAGCATTCTAGGAAGAGTGACTTGCAACCAGCTTTCTCTCCCCTGTTTAAGGTAAATTTAGTAAATTGTGCCTGCCATGCTTTGTTATTTGCTGTGGGCAAATGGTTAAGAGGCCATTGCAATGATAGATTGTTTTTCTTTAGGCTCAGGCCCATGAAGAGGAGCAGGTTAGAGCACATTTCACTAAGATTCCACCAGCATCTTCACTTCATTGTAGGAGCCATGAGCAGGGTTCAGCTCTGCTCCTCATTTTACTGATTCTGGACCTGAGGCCCAGAGGGCACCGGCCACCGGCTCCCTCTTGCCTAGCCCACAATGCTGGTTGGAATGGTGATGAATAGGAACCAGCTCTTCCAATTCAGCTTAAACAAAATGAAACAAACCATCAAACAAACATTACCATTTGCTTTCTATGAGTCATTATTCTGGCTGTGTTTATTTATGGCCAAGCAGAGACCAACTGGTCAGTATTGCTCACTAAAGGCCTCTTAACCACCAGCTGGGCCACCAGGCGGAGAGACTAACTGAACCGGCTACAGTAAAAATCAAACTGTTTCTGTCACTGACCCAACATTTATTCCAGATACAGGATAACAGCTTTTATGTGATCATAAGTTTGCAGGAACAAGAAGTTAGAAGAATGTAACTGTTGCAGGCATAAACCGGTTTTCCCCAAAGTTAATGAGGCTTAAGCTTCTGGGCTTCTCACTTGTGTACAGACCCCACCCATACAAGGCCTTGGAAGGGTCTTAGCAATGTGGTCACAATATCATATGCTTTGCAACATTTCCAAAAGTTAGATATTTTTGTATTATTTTCCCTGAGAAAGATCTTTGCTCCTGCCTCCACCCTGATTATATGAGCTTCAGGCTCCAGAAAAATCTAGATCTGACCCTGGTTATGGGGTATTTTTCTCAAATTCTGATTGCTTAAAGAAAGAACACATAAAAATACTCCTTGGGCCAAAAATGGTTCATTTCCCCTGATTTCGATGTTCCCCTCCTCTCTTTTAGAAACAGCATCCCATAACTTTTAGCTGGGCAGTCTGGCTCAGCTAGAGAGTGTATTTCCCAGCTTCCCTTGCAGTTAGGTGTGGTTATGTGACTATATTTGAGTCAATAGGATGTGAGCTAATGTGAGAATGCACAAATTCTGGGCCTTAAAGCCTAAGCTACATGTCCTAAACATCCCTCTTCCTCCTTCCCACTGGCTGGAAAATGGTGATAACTTGAAGCCACAGGTGCAGGAGGGTAAGACTGCTCTCCCTGTCCTGGCCTGCTCACTCCAGACACAGGTATGAAAGAAATTAAGTCACTTAACTTTTGAGTCTATTAGTTATAGCAGTTTAGACTGTACCCTAATGAATTCACTTCCTCCTTCTTCCTGTCAAAGGAAATAAACAAAACTGAAATCCGACCCAGTAAGAATTTATCTCCATAATTACTCCTGAGCCTATGAACTACGAGTGAGTTTGTTTAAGATAGGCAAAGCTCTAGAAGTGTCCTTATTGATAGATCCTCTCAAGTTCTGTTGTCCTTACATTGTAAAGAGCACTGGACGAGCAGGTAGGGGATGAGGATTCTGTCATTTATAGGTACAGAGCAGGCACTCTGGCTCTCTGGGTCTTTTTATCCTTGACTGTGTGTATTGTGAGTAATTATTATTTCAACAGGGTCTTGGGAAGCTCAAATAAATCCATATATGAGATAGAACTTAAATTTTATATGTATTATTTTACTTTATTTATTCTTGAAATATCTAACAAACTTAATAATGACACAAACCTGTTAGTTTGTTGTAACAATTTATTCAGTGTTTAGCACCAGCCCTGCACCTTGTAAGCATGTAAGTGGTGATTTACTGTTAGAAATGATAGCTTTTGCTGTTTATAATACTTTGCTATTAATAATAATAATATATATCAAGTATTTTAAAACTGTAAAACTGCACAAATGCCTGTTTTTGAGCTTATTCTACAAAAATATAAGCACTTATTATTGTCAGATATGATGCAATAAAAGTAACTTAGGCAATATTTACAAGATACAAGTCTAGAGTGTAGTGGACATGAGAGAGGATGGCTGTGCAGCTCATAGTACCCTTAGTGACCCTGTCTGCGGTTTCATCCCTAGCTCCTGACCTCATCTGATTGGTTCAAGGATAGAGATTTTAGACCCAAGCTGGGCCAATCAGGTTCCCTATCTTGAGAGACTGAAGATGGGTGGAACCGAGTCTGGGGCTCTGAGAGGGAGGTCACTGGTACTGTCTGAGTTTCTGCTCTTCTCGCCCTCCTCTCCATGAGCTGTATCCTTCCCATAACCTGCTTCTTGCATTAGCCAGAGTCTGTTTCTCTGGCTTGTACCCAAAGAATCTTGACTGATACCTATAGGGAAACAATGTTTGCTCTTCTCAAGTGCCTGCCTTGAGATTACATGCCTCTAAGATTTGTATAGAGGACAATAAGAATAAGAGCTTATTGATAAGGCTGAACAAAACTGGGGAAACAATATAAATCCAAAAATTTTTGAAAATTTTATCCAGCTTTCTTCAAATTATTGACTTGGCAGGTATAATGAAAAATATTAAAGCCAAGTAGAAATGTTTTTCTTATCAAGTTATAAAACTATATGAGACTAAACAAAATCAAATTAAGGCTAAATTAATACATTTTGTGTAGAGAAAATAAATACATGATTAAATGTTTCATGGTATCTTTACCTAAGACCACGATGCAGGAGAACCTTGACCCAATTGTAGCAATGTGTGAGCCACCAGAGAGCCTCACTCTAGCACTCTTCCAAGAGGGAGGAGTTTGGTGGGCTATGGGCCTGTCTTGCCCTCCAAGGAGTGCTTTATCGCTAATGTACCAAATGCGCTAATTATAGTGCCGTTTTCTCTTTAAGGCAGTTCTTGAGCACAACCTCTTGAGAATAGTCTATCTCTGCCACTTGTAAAACTGCTATGAAGTGGGTTTTGAAACATAAACAATTACATGGATAATATATGTGGGAATAGACTATTGTTAAAATAAAAATTATATTTATCTTCAGTGGCATAAAATGGAATGTGTCCTTTGCCCTGGTCACACTTTATCTGTCCCCTCCATTTTATAGGGATTTTTTTTTCTTAAATAAATCTTTCCCAAGCATAATAAAAATCTAATTGATCCTTTCTTTGGGGACGTTCATAACCAGATCTTTGATGAAATGCCCCATAATGGTTCTAAATGAGGTGTATTGAACTGTTTTGTCAATTCATTGCAGGAACAGTGGCATTGCCAATATTAAGCACGAGGTAAACAGATCTTATAAAAAGTACTACAGAAGGAGTATAATGTTTGCCTTTTAAAGCCACTGTTTTATATTTTAGATCTTTTAAATATAGTTTGAGAATGTTCAACACTATTAGATAATGAAACTAAAAATGCCATTCAATGTAAAGCCCCGCTAACAAGGCTTGGCTTTCTGTGAAGGGTATTGCCAGAAGTTCCCTTTTGCTTCTCTACCTTTCACAGCTCCCCAGACAACATTCATCCCTTCATTCATTCACTCAGTCACCCATCCAATCATTCCTTCATTCATTCACTCAGTCACCCATCCAATCATTTCTTCATTCATTCAACTATTGTTTATTAAATGCTCGCCACGAGCCATGAGGGGAACATATTTGAACTCAGCTTTGAATATGTCTTTGTTTCCAAAAAGTGTGTCTCTCAAGGTACACTGCCCATATGTATTTCTTACACTCACTGGTCTCCCCTGTGTTACTGGGAAGACTCTTTAACCCTCATTAAATGAATAAATCCCTGCTGCTGGTCATAGGGAGGACACCATAAATGCAGCTTCTCGAGAAGCAGTTCTATCTTGAACTGATGCTTGCAGTTGAGAGGCCTTCATGAGTTTCAGTTTGGGCTCGCATCTGAAACTCCATTTTGTTTTCTTCCTTGCCATATCTCAGATTAGTAGTTATCAGCACCTCTCCTGTCTCATTTTTACCTGCTCCCCAGGGCCTCCTGTAGTGACTTGCATGTTTGCAAGCCCCATGGCCTGTTTCTTCAAGTTGGGACATCCTAAACACATCCTCAAAATTGATAAAAATCTGTCTAGCTGTTTTGGTATGATGTGGTGACAAAAAAGATAGAAACTTAACTTTAGATGTATGGAACAAAGATAAAGCTTGGTAGTATGCTACAGAGAATTCCTGCAGGTTCAAAATGAGTTCAAGTGTGTGGCAACAAGGCTCTCTCCCTTTTGATGCAGATTCAGGAATTTGGATGCCATGAATTTCAATAGCATCAGCTTTGGTTTCAAGCGCCTGTTTCAGGGCTCCTCCCCGACTTTCCACCATCTGGAATCTGAGTGGTTAATGGGAGAGGCTGTAAATACCGAATCATTTTGTCTTCTCCTTGTCTGTCCCTGCAGTGGGGTTTGTTCACATGAAAGCTACATTCTGCAGGAAAGGCATCATGCACCAAGGAGAAAAATGGCATTTCTTGTCAACTTTGACTTTTTCACACACTTTCTCCAAATTCTACTCTGAGAGACTGTGATAACTTTTTTTGAAAGTCAGAATCTGAAGGAAAAGCTGCTTTCCAACTAGCTACAGGGGCATTTCTTGAGATGTAAAGTTGTGATTACATGTGAAAAAGTCTGACCATACTATGAATTATTAATTAACATTGATGTCCTATCAATCAGACAGTGCATTTATAGTTAGATATAAGTTAGAGCAAGTCAGCCATCCTAATTGGCACTCTGGAGGGAAGGAGACTCAGACAATCCCTGCAGAAACCCCTTCTGCTCTAGGGATATGGCGTCTATTTACCCTCCAGACAGTATTAATTCTTGCAAATATCTGGACAGCTTGTTGTTCCAGTGCCAGCTTTCACAAATTGCAGTATAAAGGAGGACCAGTTATTTATTGTTGGGTAACTAACCACTCAAGAGATAGCGGTGTGAAACAACAACCATTAATTTCTTGATTTTGTAATTTGTGCTGGGTTCATCTCCATGGTTCTTCTGCTTATCTTGCCTCCTGGAGTCACCTATGTGGCAATTGATTGGTGGGTTGCTTGGAGGCTGGCTGGTGGGGACCATCTCATTCATATGTGAGTGAATTGCTGGAACAGCTTGCTGTCTGGGCCTCTCTACTTGGCCTTATCCTCAAGGAAGCTAGCTTGGGCTTTCCTATATGGTGATAGCGGTGTTTCAGAAGAGTGAGAGTGGAAGCTGCAAGATCTCTTAAGGCCTGGGCTTGGAAGCCTCACAACAACACTTCTGTTGGTCAAAGTAAGTCACAAGCGCAGCCCTGATTCAAGGAGTAGGAAAATGGATTCCATCTCTTTAAGAAAAGAGCTGCAAATAATTCATGGCCCTGCTTCATCTACGCAGGTAGGAGGAGTCAGTGTTAGAGCCATTGGCCCCTATAAATGTGGGCTGCTGGGATGTTTCTTTAATGTCAGGTGAAAATTCACTTTGGGAAAGGAGTTGCAAAGTGAGCCCAGGTTATGGTCTTTCTACTGTCAGATCAACCCTTGGCAATAAGCTCCTGCACTCTTGCCAGATGATTTTTCTAAGATTCAACTCTGATTGTATCACTCTCAAGCTCATACCTTAGTGGTTTCCTTTCTCCTGGAGTCTACAATTCTCATTCTTTTTTTGAGAGGAAGTTTCACTCTTGTTGCCCAGGCTGGAGTGCAGTGGCATGATCTCAGCTCACTGCAACCTCCACCTCCTGATTTCAGGTGGTTCTCCTGTCTCAGCCTCCCAAGTAGCTGGGATTACAGGCACCCACCACCATGCCAGGCTATTTTTTTGTTTTTTTAGTAGAGATTGGGTTTCACCATGTTGGCCAGGCTGACCTCAGGTGATCTGCCCACCTTGGCCTCCCAAAGTGCTGGGATTACAGGTGTGAGCCACTGTGACCGGCCTATAATTCTCATTCTTTAGCATGGCCACTCACAGTCTGGCTCTTGTCCACCTTTGAATCATCTCTCATGATTTCCCCATGAGTAAGCTTTGCTTCTTGCAGTATCTATTTGTTCCATGTGCTTGTATGCTTTGGTGCAGTTCCTGATGCCTAGAACCTCCTTTCTAGGTTTGTTAAGGATCAGGTGGCTCGCAAAGCTTTCTGCAAGACAGCCTCAGCTAAGTTAGGCTCCCCTCCCTGCACTCCCCTCTGGTGTCCACAGCATCCTGTGTGTGAAGGCTGGTCTCCTTGACCTCCGCTCCACCAGACTGCAAGTCCCTTGAAGGCAAGAACTATGCCTTATTTCTCTCTGTTGCTCCTAGCCCAGTGTTGGGCATGTAAAGGGAGCTTGAAATATGTCAGCAAACATATGATTATATAGTAAAATCTCTTTGGGATTTATTTCCTACTGTTTTTGATAAAAAGACCCCAACTGTCCTTTGGGCTCCCCAGGATGTACAAATATGGAGACACACCATGGAGCAGTCTCCAGGCTTGTTTGTGGGTCATGAGAGATCCTGGTATTTCTCACCACTTCCAAGGCTCTGCCTGGCCCCTCTTCCCAGCACCAAGGTCTCTGGATTCTTTCTTTTTCTTTCTGTATTTTAGAATTATGCCATCACATAATCCTTATCAGTGAAAAGTTCTTTTTGGGTGTAAAAGAAACCATCAAGAAGTGGCAAAACAAACAAACAAAAAAAAAAGCAATATTAAAATCTTGGCCAGGCACGGTGACTCACGCTTGTAATCTTAGCACTTTGGGAAGCCGAGGCAGGCGGATCATATGAGGTCAGGAGTTCAAGACCAGCCTGGCTAACATGGTGAAACCCCGTCTCTACTGAAAACACAAAAATTAGCTGGGCGTGGTGGCAGGTGCCTGTAATCCCAGCTACTCGGGATGCTGAGGCAGGAGAATCACTTGAACCCGGGAGATGGTGGCTGCAGTGAGCCGAGATCGTACCACTGCACTCCAGCCTGGGTGACAGAGCAAGACTCTTTAAAAAAAAAATCTTATCTTCAAATTGCCTATGGAGTCCACGAGAATCCCAGGAAGATGGCACATAAATACTACTTCCCAGCCATGCATGTGACCACTGGAAAAATGCTACCCTGGACTGATATGGAGTCATTAATCAGGTGTCATGCAGTGGTCCAAAATGGCCCTTACGCATCTATAGTGGACTGAGGAAAATCACTCTCCATCCATGTCAGGCCATGACCACCCTGATCATTCACTGAGGCCACCTGGGCCTTGTCACAGCCACTGGCAGCAAAGGCAGCTCACTGTGCTCTTTCACCATTCAACAGCTGCTCCAGGAGAAGGTGTGGTAAGGAGGAGTCAGGCCAGAGGAAGTGAGAAGGAAATGAGAAGAGGTGATGGCATGGGGGTGAGAGATGGAGCAAGGAGAGGGAAGGAGGGGGTCAGGCCTGCTTTCCCCTTCTGTTGCCCTAAGCATGGCCAATCTGTTTCTCCTCTGTGATTTCTTTATCGTCTGGGCTGTCAAGGGTAGAATTTCCAGTTTTCTCTGGCACATATTATAAAGTATTGGGGACAGAGGAGTATTGAACTTGAAGCTCCATAAACCTTGCAAATTTCAGCCCATAACTGATTTTCTAATAGTGCTGTTAATGTTTTTTCCTTTCAAAACCCTCAATCAATGTTGATTACCAAAGGCTTCTGTGTCTCTCCAAAAATAGCTGAACTTGCTTTTTGGGGGAATGTTTGAATAAATATTTGCTCTTATATGATACTATACACTAAGTCTTTAAATAAAACTGGGTTTAAATGAAACCAAAGGGAAGAATCATAACCTTTTACCCTATGCCAGTCACCGTGCTAAGTTTTTTGTGTGCCTTATTTCATTTATCCTCACTTCACCTCTGTGAGGTAGCATCTACTGGTATTATCTCCTGATGGGGAAATGGATATTAGTGTGATTGAGTTGGTTTAGTAAGGCCACACAGATAGTGATGGAAAGAGCTGGAAATATCCTACTTCTGCATAACCAAGTGCTCCCAACCACTTCCCTAAATGAATATAGGTCAATATATATGTGTACATATATCAGTCCTCCTCACCCAGTACCAATTTTTATTGAACATGTACTATGTGCCAAGGACTAGACTAGATACCTTCCAAAGGTCTTCACATTTCATTAAAATAGCCACTCACTAGCTGAGTTTGTATACAACTATTGCCCCTTCTCTACTAAGAGATAACGTAACATGTTGATTTAATACTTGGACTTTGGTTTCAGACAGGCTGGGTTCAAATCTTGACTTGTTTATGTGCTGTTTATTGCATATTCTGGCAAGTTACTTAATTTCTCTGTGCCTCAATTACCTCTCTGTGACAACACATAAGAGTAGTATCCACGTTATGAGGTTTAAAGGACTTAAAATTTCAAGAATGCCTAGAACAGTGACAGATACCACCTAAGTTCTATAGGAGTTTGATTAATAAGTGAACTGGCTTTTAAAACATGGCTCAGGCTGCAAAGAGAATAGGGTGAATAGTGAACTCTTGCTAGAGAATAACTCCTGCAAGAAAGATATTTAAAAGAAAATGAAAAAAAAACTATCAAATTACAAAATCTATCACAAGTTTAAAATGAGAATATTACCCACATGTGTCTACGGAGCTGTGAAGTGTGAGAGTAATGAGCTAAACTGTCTAAGTTTATTCAAAAAACAAAAGTAATAGGTCTCTTAAAATGTTTAAATAACAATGGCTGGTGATACTGGATCTTGGTTTTGAGAGGAGAACACTGTTGTCCACTTCTGAATTATTTGCTTCCAAGATGTTTTTGGATTGTCTAAAACAGGGTTAATTATTTCAGCTAATGAGTGGATTATTTATTATAATTATTTATGCACTGCCAGGGGAACATGAGGTGCTTTCCACACAGGCTTAAGTTGCCAAGGAACACAGTTGACCCTTGAGAAATTAAATAACTGGAGGCCAGTTTTATACTGATACACATATGCATTATTGATGCAGGCTTTTATGAGACAGTCTAGAAATGTCTTGTGCCCTTTGAGTTGATCATGAAAATCAGGCAAGCCTATCTTGAAACTTTTGTGGGCATGTATTCAACCTTCTTCATAATCTATATTTAATTTCCTTGACAGTCATCTTTCCTCAGATTTTGCTTTTAATCCTTGCTATAAGAACCACTACTCATCAAAATGTCCATTTTCATAAGAGGTGGGAGGAAGGCTTCCTAGAGGGGAGTGTCTGCTTTGAAGGAGGAAGCAGAGGGTTAGAGAAATCAAAATATCAATTATCTGTAAGGTCGGCTGCTGCAGAGCAAAGCTATAAAACCGAGAGAGTTTACTGCAAAAGGGTGCCCCCTGCTGGGGACTCTTTGAACTGCACGGTCATCCGTTCTGAAGATTTAGCTCAGCTCAGCCCAGAAACCTAATGCAGCTGCTGGAGAGGGGCCTCCTTCCCCCAGCACACAACTCGTGGTCCCAGACATCTCTCCCAGATGTTTCTTTATGACCCGTCAAAATGTTTGCTAAATATCATCTGTTAATTTCCCAAACATCCTGGCTCTAGTTCTTTTATGTGTAACCTGATTCAAGATCTTAAAATAGCTGACAGCAAAATAAAATATAAAATAAAACATGAAGGTGCATTTGTCCTGAAACATCAACAAAGTGTGCTGTTCAGTAGGATTCCAATCTCAAAGGACATTTATTCATCACGATGGCAGACTGGTCAGGTGTTTGGCGATCATCCCTAGTCTTCAGCTTTTTAATCATGAGATTTTAAAAAATGTCACCATCTGTAGGGAGAGCTATTGGTCTCAACCTCAGTTTGTTGTGGTGGCAGTCACTCTCCACCCTCAGCAAGTACCTCACAGCAGGACTTTGGTGCAATTGTTAAGGAGGTAGCATTGCTGCTGTCAGCCTCTCTTCGTGGATGAGGTCTGGCAATTTCTCCTCTGAGGCTGGTACCAGGCTCCATTTGATGAAAGAATTCACATTCCTCCTAAGGACTGTTTGGATTGTAAGACGGGATTCGTGGATGGAAAAGTGCTTACTGCAAAAGGAGTTTCTAGTGATGAAATACTTTCATCTGGAGAAATGGAAATGGTGGAGCCCACCCATCAAATCACACACCAGGGTTCCTCTACCCCTCAGTGGATAGAGGATCAGTTGCCATGGCAACCAAACCTTCAGCAGTTGCCCTCCAGACAGTGTAGGCTGGTTCTGGCAGGAGGGCTGACGTCAGGAGGTGGGAGGAAGTGGGGAGGAAGTCCACCCTTGAGGCCAGGCTGCTCAGGCCCTTAACACACCCACAAGTCCCCTGGATAGAGGGAAGTAGGTCCAGCTGCAGCTCTGCTCCAGGAAGCTGGGAGCCTGCAGCTGGTCTGGGAACCTTTTGTGCTAAGGGAGGTCTGTGAAGACAAGCAGTCACTGATTATAGGATATTTCATCAGAGCAGCTGCAATTGATCAGCTCCTGAATCAGTGCCTCTCAGAAGGTCCACCCTTAGAAACTTCCCAAGCTGCGTGCGTCACACATTATCTGAAAGGCTCTACTACTGTCACAGTTGTTTTAAAGGGAAAGGCAACCTTAAACAAAAATTTTCCCCTAAGCAGCTGTTAGGATAGGTAACTGATTCTCTGTGTTCCGTAGACTAGCAGCATCATGTCACCTGGGAAACTGATGGAAATGTGCCCCATCCCAGACATACTGAGGAAGAAACTTTAGTATACGGCCCAGGAATCTGTGTTTGTACAAGCTCTCTGGGTTATTCTGATACACACTACAGTTTGAGTACCAAGGAAATGGGTAATAAGTACATAATTTCATTAATACAGGAATATATAATGGAAACGAGTTGGGTGGGGGGGAGGTGAAATGGTGAACCAAACCCTCTCTAACTAAGATGAGGCCACATGTAGGTTCTTCATGCACAGAACCTATTGGTTTCCTCTTCTTCTGGAACCTAGCCCATCTTTAGTGTCCTGTTGAGTCTGGACAGATAGCAGTACTGTCCCCATCTTTGACATCATTCTTATGGAAGACACCAATGTATTCAATGATGATCAGCTTTCTAGTGGAGTTTCCAATAGCCCATTGCAGGGAAACACAGGGACTGCCAAATTGCTCGAGAGCTTTCTAAAGCCATTCACAAGGTATCTCAAACCAGCTACATAAAGGAAAACTTTGGCTTCAGTAACTGTGATAGGCTTCAGAAGATAGTTGTAGGATGAGTGATCACAATGAACTATTATTAAGAGGCTGACAATTTTTTCACAGGGCACTGTGGTGTTTAGAAGGTTGTTTTGATCCTTATCTTTTTAGCCATTCGAAAAGTGCTTGGCCCAGGTCACTCTTAAAAAGGAGGACCTGAGTAACAGCTGCCCTTGATGGAGGGCTTACTATCTACTAAACCAGCACAACAATCCAACTTCTCACTCAGTTCTCACCACATCCCTATAAAGTAGGTGCTTTTAATTTCCCCTATTGAGCAGTGAAAGAAAATGAGCCAGATGAGAAGTAACTTGCCCAAATTCCCAAAGCAAATAAGGGGCCACTCCAGGATTAGAACCCTGAGTAGTCTGACTCCAGAGACCATGGAATTAACCACAACCTCCCTGAAGCCCTAGACCAAAGGCCACCTGCTTTCCAGATCTCTGTAGAAACCACCTCTTCCTCTGTATACCACTCCTAATATTGCCACTGATAATTTGCAGAATTTTACATTGATGATCTCATTTTATATTCACAACAGTCCTATAAAGTAGACAGCTGTATCAAGGTTCCTATGTTACAGATGAGGAAACTGAGGTTCCAACTAGCCCAGCAGCCTGTCTGAAATTATAGTTCATACGAGGCTGAGCCAAGGTTCAGACTTGGAAGCACATTCACTTTTGATACACTCCATTCACTCACTTAGCTCATCATGGCTTGCATCCAAATTATTTATGTTGAAATCTGTGGTTATCAGCTATTGATGGCAGACTTTCTGAGTTAGTAACCACTTTTTTTCTTTTAAATATTCAGGAGATGAGGACTTAGAACTTTTAAAAACTATTACTTATTTTTGTATTACAAAAGTGGTACATGTTTATAATAACATGTCAAACAATTTCAGAAGCCTGTTAACCTTTTTATATTCCCCATAGCACCCAATATGTTGCCCTGGCATAAAGTAGCTTTTTAGTAAATACAATGGATGTAATTAAATATTGAATTGGTTTCTCACACAGGCACTGAGTTTCCAAGTGTTCATTGAACACCAAAAATTGTGCTGGGGGGTTGTGGGGATGCAGCTGTGTCCTCTGTCCTCCCGGAGAACAGGTAATTCAGGTGACATGAATGGGGCAAAGGGGGAAGGGCAGGCCCTGGAGGAGACTGCACTACACAACCAGATTCTGAGATTTCCATAAAGGCTTCCCAAGGAACAATATGAGTGAGTCCACACCTGAGATACATGTCTGAATTCTGCTCGCTTACTCCATGTTATTAATTTAATCTGCGACTGAATCCCCCCATTCACTCATTATCCAACAAATATTTATTGAACACCTACTTCGTGCTAGCTTCTGTGCTTGGCCCTAGAGGATTTTGTTGTTATCAAATAACAGGTTTATTGAGATACAATTCATATACCATACAATTCACCCATATAAAGTGTACAGTTTGATGGCTTTTAATATATTCACGGAATTGTGAGCCCATCACAACAATCAATTTTAGAATATGTTCATCACCCCAACGAGAAATTCCACAGCCATTCCCCACTTACCCTCAAGTCCCTCTGTGCTAGACATCTATTAATCTGCCTTCTTTCTCTATGGATTTGCCTATTCTGGACATTTCGTATAAATGGACTCACATAAAATGTGATTTTTGGTGACTGGCTTCTTTTGGGCTGTGTTTTCAGATTCAGCAGTGTTGTAGCATGTATTAATACTGCATTTCTTTTCATTACTGGCTAATATTCCACTGTATATACCATTTTTAATTTATTCATCGGTTAATAGGTATTTGGGTTGTTTCCACTTTGTAGCAATTATGAATAATACTCCTATGAACATTCAGGTACAAGTTTTGGTGAGGAAATATGTTTTCATTTCTGTTTCTCACTTAGGAGTAGAAGTGTTGAGTCAAGCCCCCACAGGGTTATTGTAGGAAAGCTACCTGGGGGATATCAAGTCAACTAGCCAGAAATTCCTCTCTTAGGTGAGGAATAGAAATGTTTAACCATTGGAGAAACTGCCAGATTATTTTTCAAAACAGCTGCACCATTTTACGTTCCCACCAGCAGTGTATGAGGGTCCCAATTTCATCGCATCCTGACCAACATGTGTTATTATCTGTCTTTTCGATTATAGCCATCCCAGTGAGTGTGAAGTTGTATCTCCTTGTGGTTTTGATTTTCTGGGTAACCTGGAGAGTTTTGAGCACTGTGGTAACACAACTTGGCTTAGTTTTAAAAGAATCTGTTTGGCTAAGAATGAACTGTAGGGGGAAGAAGCAGTGGGGTCGGGTGGGGGGTTGGCGGAACTAGTTGGGAGGGTAATGCAATCATCCAGGTGAGAGAGGCAGGAGAAGTGTTGAGGAGTGATGGAATCTTGGAATCTGAAGAGCTCCCATGTAAGACGTGAGGGATTTCCATATTCTTTATAAGATTGGAAAGACAAGGATTCCATTGTTGTCCCTGGAAAACAAAGTAATGCATGAACCTCAGATTTTGTACTGAGAAAATGCAGTAAGAAGAGTGGTGAGCCTGAGAGCTCCTTTGTGATGGGATCTGTATCTGGATCAAATGCTTGATAGCATAGGGAGGGACTGCGGTGTTGAGCCTGGCCATGGGGTCTGCCAGAGAGCTTGCGCTTGAGACCTGGTTCCTGCACTCATGAGTATGGGTGACTTTGGGCACCCCATTTAAGACCTCTCTGCCCCAATTCTTATCTGAAAAAGGGAAACAATTCCTGACTCTTCCAGAGTTGCTGTGGGAGAAATATTACTTTTAATGGCAAAAACCGCAAATACTTTTGCACCAACCTAATGTTTGGGGGGATTCAAACATTACAGTGATTTTCTCAGAACTTGAGAAGAGAAAGATCAAGTTTGAGAGGAAGTCAGTGGAAAATAAGAGCTCTAAAATGTTTGGTTTAGAATCACCTTTGAGATCCAACTGCCATTCATATATTTCTACTCTCAAGTGCTTTTTTTTCTTTGACCTCCTGGAAAATGCAAACATTTTAGATGTGAAAATCTAAAATTACTTGTTTTTTTTTTTGCCTTCCTGGGTCATATGACAGTCACATGACTTGATTTAAATAAATTGGCTGGAGGTGTGTGTCAATGGATTCAGGAACTGTAACCATCAATAGCTTCAGTCTAACCTTGTACAATGTCACTCAGACACTGTCAAATCTCTGTAAGATCTAGTTGATCAATCAAATTAAGAAGGACACATGAGAGGCAAGGCAAGTTGCCATTCTTTGCTGATAGAGTGCGCCCTTTACTGAGTGCCCTTTGTTGTCTGAAGAAGCCAAAGACACACATGCTTCCTGGGTAGAGCAGAGGAACAAGATTCTACCCATCATATTCACATTTCAATGGAATATACCTCTGGATACAATATCCACTGAGCTTTTAATAGCAATTTTTAAAATGCCTAAAACATAGATTATCACTTTTTCAGCTGAATGCTTTATTGCTTTACCTTTGGTTTCTGTTTCTAATTTGAAAAGTAAAATGCATAAATCAATTAGGTTATATACTTGATTTATTAGACAACATAAAAATATGTGAACATGTATATCATTTTACAGTTACAAAACTAACAGTAATAGTACATATAAGTAGTGGCATATACCTACTCAGTTCATAGAGGAATGAAAAGTATAAACCTTTTGCATTCTCAATATGATTACAGGGTCTTGAAGTGTGAGTCTAACAATTATCTTAGTCTTATGAGGTAAGAAAGTTTAAGCCCCACTAACTCCAGACTATCCCTATTTCTTGATTATTTTGAGTTGGGGATAGAATGAAGAAGAAAAAGACTGATTTGTCCTTTCCTTCAGGAACCTCTCCTTGGGCACTCAGTATTCTTGTCGGTCCAGAGATGGTGTGGCTGGTGTAGAGGTAGCTATTCACCAAACCCATTCCTCTTTGTTTTTGGACATGTAAAGAATGTACATTTCCTAGCCTACTTTTCAGTTAAATATGCTCATGGGACTAAGTTTTGGCCAACTACATGTGAATGGAGCAATGCTTTTCCATTACCCATTTTTATAACCATTATTCAATTTTTAAAAAGCAACCTCAAAATAGAAAACTCCTATAATGTGTTAAAGGGATCTTAATAACTGGTAACTGTTATTTTGGTCATCCCATACGTTTTGGTAGCCAAAGGTCTTGGCAAGAGCTTGCCTTAGAATAGCATGTTATTTACTCATTTAAGAGCAATTCTGACCAGTGAAGTTTACTAAGATGCAGATTCCAAAGAGAAGAAGACAGGAAATTATTTCACTCCATTGGAATTTATTCTCTGTTGCCAGAAGAACCTTGATTCCAGAATCATTCTTTGGTTGACTTTGGATATAGCAGCTGAAAACCCTGAGAGTCCCCAAAGAGTTCCAAGCTTTCACCATGACTGCTGGGTGGGGGTGATGCTCCTTCAGTGTTGGTGAAGACTTAAGTCTTTTCCTCATCTCTTTCCTGATGTTTGGGGCCTTCTCCATGGGCCGGAACTTGGGCCAGGGTCTTGGAAGAGCCTCTCCTCTCTCATAACCTCACGCAAGCTGATTAATGAAAACAAACTTTTTTTTTTTTTTTTAGTTTACTTATTTGACTTCCTTTATAAACGTTTCCAACCAGGTTTTATGCCTGGTAATGAAATTATGCTTATTTTTAAACTTCTAAAAATGTTTCCGTCATCCTTGAGTTGGCTGGAATTTCAATTTATTCAGGCATGGATTATTCAAAAAGAAGCTTGCTGTATTTGGCAAATGGTAAGAACAAGGACATTAAACTATTAGCACTTTTAAGTACCATTGAGCAATACTTTTATTCCCTAAATGTAAAGCTTTGCATGAGAACGTGTCTAATATTAGCTGGTAGACCAGATTACTCGGGAGTCTCTTCTGGTCTCCTAAGTAAATAGTATTTCTTGTGTTGTAATTATTTATTTTCCCAAGAGGCCAGAAAGGCTGTAATCTTAACAACAGTTTTATCTGTTTCCTCTCTCTATAACAATTTACTATGTATACCTAAGAGACTGGGAAACCTCTTTGGGTTTCCCTAATCCAGACTTCCAAAAGATATTTCTCTTTTAAAGAACCCAGGTGTTAAGCCAAATCCCCTGTTTATAGAACGTTAAGGTTATGACACAAGTCAATAAAAGCCTGGAAGTGCTGTTACTGCTGACATTGCACCCCTAACACACACCATTGTGCCTTTTATTTCTCTTTCACAATAGTGTGGAGTTAAGGAGGGAGTGTAAAACTTAACTTTGAATTTCCTGGCTTTTGTTGGTTTGTTGAGCAATCCTAATGCTATTGAATTTTTTTCCCCCTTGCTGGGTGGTTGTTTTTCTGGTGTGCAGTTGTGCATTGTATTTTTCTAAGAATTACAATGGTTTAGACACGTCATATTGGTGTGAATGTAAACCAGAGGTTAACCTTTGGCAGGATAAGGAGAGTAGAGGAATATATGTAAAATGTGTGAATTCATTTGAACCTGACAGTGATTTTCAGTAGGAGAGGGAGTTTTATGTACACAGTTCATTGGGCAGCTCTCTCTTCTTTTAGCCCATGGGTTGGATCTGCTCATGGAGTTGCTATTATTACATGAAGGTAAGAGCCCAGATGAAAGGGAACACATTCTGCCAATCAGCACGGTACTTCCAAACTTAGAGATCTCACATTTATTCTTTAGGGACAGTGGACACTCTAGTGAATTTACTGCAGAAAAGTGGCTCTGAGCTTGTTCCTATGGCGAAATTAAGAGGTCCCTTTGGTTGCCTTTTTCTCTTATTTCTTTTAGTAATTAACAAGAGTTTATACTGTTTATTTTTCTCAGTGCAAAAGCTATATATGTTCATAGTAGGAAAATTGTTAAAAATAAGCAAAAAGAGGAAGACAAAATCATTGCTTATCAACCACTGCTAATATTTCAGCGTATATCTTTGTAGGTAATTTTATCATGTAAACTAATTTTTTTTAAAAAGGAATCATACCATACATACTGCTTTGTACCTACTGTTTATTAAACCATAGTGTCAAACAGAATTGCACAGCAATAATGTTTATCTCATTTTTAATGTTAATTATAAAGGCAATACATATGTATAGTTTTACAAAAAGAAAACATCAGAGGTGATTTATGCTAAAAGTTTCTAACTGTACTTTTCATATATATACACACTTTTTTATTTACATATTTTTTTGGTTAGATGAATTATAATTTATGTGAGTACTCACCTCTCTTTTCTCTTTCCACTGGGCTGCAAGCTCTGTGGAAGCATGTCAGTTTTTATGGCCATCGCATCCCCAGCACCTGCATAGTGGCCAGTATATAACAAGCTCTCAATAAATAACTAATAAATGAATAAATAAACTTTTAGATTATTTTCATTTTTTCTCCATTATAAACACTCTTTAACATATCACTTTGGGCGCGTGTATTTTGTAGATTGTGTGTAGTTCTAGAAATAGAATATCGAGCCATGAGCATGTGTGTCGGAAGCCATACTGCTTGAATTTGTATCCTGGTTCTCCTACTTACAAAGTGTAGTGTGCCGAGGCTGGCACATGAAAGCCAATTATGTACATCTCTTCCCAACTCTGAATTCAGTGACCTCATGTTGGTAGCCTGAAGTCAACTATGGTGGAAGTATTTATACCACAGAAATTGGCAGGGCTTTTTATTTCCATTTTTCTTTCTTTCTTTTTTTGTTTTTTCTTTTTTTTACCCGAGACAGCTAGTTTACTACTTTACGATTGCTAAGACCCTAGGAAAGTTACATCACCTCTCCAGAGCTTAGTTTTCTTATGTATAAAATGGGGACAATTAAAGTCTGACCTCATAGTCAGGGAGGCTGCATTGCACAGTTACGGGAGGCATCATTCACATGGAAGTCTATGTGAAATGTGCCTTCTGGAATTGTGGAGTGTGCAGTGCTGCACAGAGGGTGGCTGTGAGGATGAAATGTTTAATACATGTAACTATATAAGCACTCAGCCTGAGCACACACTAAGCACTCAATCAATGCAAGCAATCATTATGTTACTTTATTGTAGATGTATATATTATCTTAGGAGTTTCCAAATATTCTCCAAAAATAACAATTTATATTCTCACTACTAGTTTCCTTACTCCCTTGCCATAAGTGACTATTATTGGTCTTTTTCTTAGTCTAATTGCTGCAAAATATCTAATTATGGCATTCATTTGGTTTTCATTGATTATTAGGAAATCCAGGCATCTTTTCATTTGATTATTGGCCACTGGATTTCTATGAATTATCTGTTTATGCTCCTTGTATATTTTCCTATTAGCAGCCTCTTCTCCTCTTTCTCCTTCTTCAATCAATCTGTAGGAGTTCTTTGTGTATCTTTTGAAATATATGTGTTGCAAGCATTTTCCTCAGTTTGTCTCTTGACTTTGTTTATCCTGTTTTGTTTTTGTGTTTGTTTGCTACACCAAAAATATTTTAAATTAGTATGTAGTAAAAATCATGTATGTTTTCTGGGTTTTGTATTATGCTCAGAAAGTTACTTTAAAATTACACATATAATCTCAAAAATAATAATTATGGCAGAGTATTTTGTGTTTAGACAGACATCTGGGCTATTTTCAAATCTATCCATCCCTTACCTATTTTTTAATTTGCTATTATAATTATGATAGTTAAATATGTATAAGTATATATGACAATTGTAAATGCACATAATTGTAAGTAGCTATTTTGTTATTATAAACAGCTCAGGTTCAATATCCTTGTGAGTATATTTTTGCACACATCTTCAATTATTCAACTAGGATAGTCCCAAATTGTCCCCCAGAAAGATCTTTTTCACTGTATTTTTACCCTCACTACCAGGAAATGTATTGAGAAAATAAGAAATCTGTGAAGCAAAATATTGTTCACATTGAGAGTCTGGGATGCAGTTTGTAGTATTTTTCTCTTTTAGGTAAGAAGATGTCTCAGTGTCTTTCCAATTCTGATTCTGTCACATCTTCGCCACATAAATTATCCAAACACAAAGACTGAAATGCGTTGCTAAGCTCCTTATCAGATTCGGGAAAACAGCAACAACTGGAAAGACAGTGTGAGCTGCTGCATAATGCTCATTATGGAGTCTTGAAAACAGACGTCGCATAAACGCAAAGAGAGGCTAAGCAAATAAAGATTAAGGTGATGTGCCTGTGCGAGAGCCAAGCCCACAAAACCCGAGATGTGAATTAGAGACAATAAGGATGTGAATCCTGAGCTGTTCAGGAACTTCAGGTTCCTGGATGGATGGTGGGGAGTGCAAATGTGGTCTGAAGACATCTAATATATTTCTGGTGTGGGCTGCCACACTGCAAATTCACCAAAGGGTGTAGGAATGATTTCACACAACAGTTCACTTGGTGATTTACATGGGTGCAGGCAGTGGGGTCATATGACACTGGTGAGCCAATAGACAGCAGACCTGCTTTGCCACTGACAATCAACCGACACTGAGAGATGTCAGCAGCCAATATGACTGAGAACTGGGAAGGCATAATAACATTTACATTGATGTTTTCAGCTGCAATTGCTACATGCTTTTTCTCTGCTATTGCGAAGATACAATATGTTGATTGTACAACAAATTCCCAAGCCTTCATTCTTTAAAGCTTTCTAACCTAAATTTGATAATTTCACAGCAGTGCTGTGGCTTGCTGTTACTCTAAAATGGAATCAATATCTATCTTATATATATGGTTTTTCAGGGATCATTGTTTCTATTTCTTGAATACCACTGCCATTTAATCAAAAGGCAAAATTCAAGAAAAGGCAAGATGATATTGTGCTGAATGTTAAGCAATATTCTGCATGCATTAGACGTTGATGAATATTTCAAGGAGCACCTCATGACTAATCTTTTGTCACTTTAAGATAAAAGATTTACTTGTTACACACCCAAACGCCTATACTCAAACCTGAAAAAGGTGATAATTTGGTAAGATTGAAGTCTGCTGTGTAGATTGCGTACCACCATGTTCTTCAGAGAGAAAGAGAATAAAGGTTAAAAGAAAAAGAAAGCAGGAGGTATGTTCTAATTATTATTTATATTTCATACTTATAAAGATGCAACTGTTTCCTAGACTGCAGTGTATTTTTTTAGATAAAGCTGACAAAAACAACCATCACAACCAAAAAATGACAACTGCAGACGTTTAAGGCTGATTGGTTATGGGGTCAGGGAGGTAATAAAGACAACTAGCTATCCATGATGCTCATTGAGGACTGGCTTGTTAAAATTTCTCTACCAGGAGGGCTAGAATCTCTTTGCCTTTTCTTACTGCTCATTTGGACTGCTTGGGGAGACAGTGCAGCATTAACAGAGAAATGCCATTCAAGTCCAAAGAGGACACTGGCTTTGAGCTTGGCTGGGGAGATAACTGTCCACCTTAAGAACATTGCTCCATTCTTTTTGGACTCCATGTCTTCATCTGTAAATGAGGTTTCAAATTCTGAGAAGAAAATTCCACGAATCTCTCCACCGATACCCACAGGGTAGGTGATCTTCTCTTTCATGCTGGAGGAAATTTGAGAGAGCAGATTGCCACTGTGTAGGTCAGGTCTGGGTTCTTTCTAGTCCAGAGTAGGGAAGAAACAGGAAAGAGGGCTGGTGTTGAAGGACCTTCAGCCACGAGAAGGGCTGTGTACCATGTAGCCCTCTGGGGAGGCACAAAAAGGCTCACCATTTTCTGAAAATGACTAGACTGCAGGATCCACGTGAGTGTGACTATTGCATTCATGACCTTATCCACAGGGCCTCACAAGGTGCCTGACATGCAGTAGGCTCCAGATGCATATTTATTATAAAGTGAATAGTCCTTAAGCTGCAGGGTCCCTTCTATTTGCATTCTAAGAAATAGTCACTTTTATGCCTAATTTTGTATTTGCAGTTTTATAAGTTTTATAAGAGGGTCTCCCAAATAGTATAAACTTCAAGCCCCACAAAACCTATGTTTGCCTCCCATAGGCATGCAATAAATATTCGTGGATCTAATGAGTAACAAGAAAAAGAAGGAACAAAACCCTAACCCCTCCCCTACCCAAACCAGTGGCAACCGGGAGGATCAAATTCAACCTTGATCAGTCAGAGGCAGCATTCCTAAATTATTCCCAAGCAGCAATAGACAATGATTTACCTCAATTAATTCAGCCAGTTAAAAGCTTAGTTCTTACTTGCCAACCGAAGGCTTGAAGGCAAATGTGTTTAAGCCTCTCTAAAGATCTTCTGAGTGATTACAAGAGGATTGTAAACATCTCTGGAGGCAGGAGATGTAAGTATAGAAGGAGCGTTTGTGCTTGGCATTGTGCTAGGTACTTTCACATACAGTGTTTCAATTTATTGTTCCCATGTGGATGAGAAAACTGAAGCACAGAGAGGTAAAATAATTTCCCTTAAAGTTATGCAACTATTAATGGGTAAAGTTTGGATATGAGTCCGAAATACTATGTATGTTTTCCACTCGTCCACACTGTTCTACAGTGACAAAATGGAGGGCCTTTTCTTGTGGGTTGTAAAAATCTAAATAAAAAATAAGAAAAGTACAAAGGAGAACAGCAGGAAACTAAAGTGAATAGGAATTAGTGGACACTGACAGCAATATATTACCTGATTACTTTATGACCTGTGGCATCTTTTATTCTGCTGCTTATTGGAACAAAACCTGTATAATTCAATGTAGACTGAGAAGAATCTCTGCATTTGGGCGATAGGAACTTTAAGAATCCGTGAGCTTAGAAAGCAATTTGAAGCAGAGGCTGTAGATGATTCAAAGATCAAATCCGAGGAAACATGTAATCAGAGGGATCAAAAAAGTGCTTAGGGCTGGGTGTGGTGGCTCATGCCCGTAATCCCAGCACTTTGTGAGGCCAAGGCAGGCAGATCACTTGAGGTCAGGAGTTCAAGACCAGCCTGGCCAGCATGGCCAAACCCCGTCTCTATTAACAATACAAAAATTAGCCAGGTGTGGTGGCGCAGGCCTGTAATCCCAGCTACTCTGGAAGCTGAGGCGGGAGAACCACTTGAACCTGGGAGGCGGAGGTTGCAGTGAGCCGAGATCATGCCACAGCACTGCAGCCTGGGTGACATAAGCGAGACTCTTGTCTCAAAAACAAAAACAAAAAAACAAAAGAAAACCCAAAATGTGCTTAGACAGAAGTGAGAAAAAATAACTTCTCGGTAGAATTTTAATTTTTTGTAGTTCTGCAGCGCTTTTGGTGATTCAATCCTTATAGTAGGAAGCCCTCAAAGAATTCAGTTTTTTGGGCACTGCAGTGTCTAAGGCTGTGCTAAACATTGTGGTACATTCAAAAGAAATGCATGGTTGTAATTTCTGCCCATAAGAGCCAACAAGGCAGTCAGGGAGTCAAAACAGGCCCAGAACATAGGAGATAGAATCATCTGTGATGATAGAAAGTCAATTATGAGGAAGGAATAGGAAATAAGGAAAAATAGAATACACTGCTCATTTGGTGGATTTCTTGACCTTTTCTCAGTGTCTCACAGTTTGGAATACAGATTTATGTGCATCCTTACAGCAATCTTGTGAAGGAGGCAGGGGAAGTATTATTATTAGGAGACTCAGAGGATGAAGTGATTTGCCCAAGGCCACCCAGCTGGGAGTCAAGCTCACACCCACTGATTCCCAGGCTAGTGTTCTTACTAGACGATAATTCTTTATTGAGTCACATTTTATTGGGCAGTATTTACATGACCTAATGCATTTTAAAACAGCGACAAGTTTCCTATTCACTGAGTTGACAGTGAGTATACAAATTTGGCTCAATGTTAAAAGTGTGAGAGGAGAAATCTATGACTTTGGATTCAGGCTAAGGAGACATTTGGACATATTCTAGGACTTGGCCAGTGGTGCGCTGCTTAAATGGCTCTAGAGAAGTGCAGAACCTGCTCTGCAGCATTTACTAATTTCCATAGTGTTGGATCCTCCCATCCTAGCTGATTCTAAGCTATCAACCTAGTTTAAGGTCCAGCTCAGGAAATTCCTGAATATCACTGCTAGCAGTAGTTTCTTCACTCTTCTACTGTTAGTTTTGGCGCTAAGAAGCATCTTGAGATAAAAGTTTAGACCCAACTTGAAAATCTTGAGTTTGGTTCCTGGGTTATGCCTCCCTGTCTTCTTTGTCTGTGCCTGTCCATTAGAATACAAATTCATATTATGTGTCTCATTGATTTCTTAGAAAGTGGTTTGACTTTATCTGTTTGATATATACATGCTGACTACATTATTGATTATTGCTTCTTTTTAATTCTCTTTCTTTTGTTTGAGACAGTCTCACTCTGCCACCCAGGTAGACTGATAGTGGTGCAATCTTGGCTCATTGCAACCTCCACCTCCCAGGCTCAGGTGATTCCTATCCCTCAGCCTCCCCAGTAGCTGGGATTATGGGTGCAGTTCACCACACCTGGCTAATTTTTTTTTATTTTTAGTAGAGACAGCGTTTTGCCATGTCGGCCAGGCTGGTCTTGAACTCCTGACCTCAGGTGATCCACCCACCTCAGCCTCCCAAGGTGCTGGGATTACAGACGTGAACCACCATACCCAGCATACTTCATTTTAATTCTTAAAGAACAATGAACTCCTAATGGATCTGAAGTCTTTCCAGGACCCATAAGAAAGATGTGGTTTCATTTAAATATTCTCCCTTTCCTTACACATGAAAACATTTCTATAGGGAACTAATCCATTCAAGATCTCTACTTTTGCTGAATTTCATATATTCTGATGTTAATGAGCATCTGATTCTGGGCTTCTGATGCTTTGCCTTGATTCTGTTGATTGCTATTCCTTGCCTTAGCAGCATTGCTTTTCCATGATTATGTCAAAATATTTGCTTTAATCATGTTGCTGTGAAAACCTGAAGCACAAGGTATCCATTCAGTTTTATTCTTCCCCAGTGGGCACAACTTTCACTGGATACTAATGAAAGTTGCAAATGTGGGTAAAGGAGAAACTAGTGCCTTTGGAGTTGGGCTGGTTATTTAAAGATGTATTGCCATGGCACTTAAGGGAAATGATTTATCTGTTTTGTTTTGTCCTCCTATAAATCAAAAACACACCACAGTGTTAAGCATTTCTCAATATTTATGCTAATATAAATTTGGGCTTACATACTTGACACTAATTCAGGAGAAGCTGTGGTATTAGAATAATGGCTACCTGTGACAGCCACAGTGTTATTCAACAAGCACTTTAACTCTTTATTAGGCTATGGATGTTCTGTAGAAAACAGACGCAGTAAATTTCCCTGGCAGAAGCAGCTTCTCTGGTAGGTAAACTGAGATCACATTTTTTGTCTTTTGCTTGGTTTTGTTTTTGACACTCGGTTAGCAATTGCATTTATAAATTTCTTACTAAGGAGGCACTTGGAATAGAGTTAGGAGTCAGAGGATGAGTCCTGTGGGAAATCGGAACCCAGAAAGTTTGACTCTGTAAGTCTTGAATAGTCCATGGATCCAGCAGGCAAACAAATAAAATAAACATTTGCTAAAGAACAGATTTTTGTCGCTTAACTAAGTTTCTTCCTTTTCTGTCATTGTGTTAGCATCACCAAGATGTGACTCTTTCAAGTTCCTCAACCTCTTTGTACCTCAATTTTCTCATAGAAAAATGGGAATAATAATAGAACTCATATCAAAAGAGTCCTCCATCCATCAGAGTGAGAGTGAGTGAGACAAATGCATATAGGTTGTGCCCGTATATGCACGTGGCAGGCAGGCTCACTACAGGTTACCGGGTGTGACAATTGCCACTGACAACTGGGATCCTGATAATATCTCTGAACTCTGGATTGTGTTGGAGAATTTGTGAAAGTCCACTAGACCTCATCAACCACAGGCAATTTTCTGAGATGTCATGTTGGGGCTTCCCCCAACTAGTCTGTAGCAGAGGCCCAGAGACTTGCTGGGGTCTACTGCACTGGGGGTGTCTTCAGTGCCTCTTCAGTCTATGAATTGGGCCAATTGCTGATTAGCTGCCTGGCTGACCTTTGATTGGGGGGAACACTTCAGCTTTACTTTCCATATTTCTCAGTGTCTGAGTGCATTTTTGACATTTCCTATCTGCATCTACCCACAACGTGCCCACATTTAATTTGGTAATTGGCTTCCTCTGGAAGATATAACTAATGTAGATACCATATTTCTCACAAAAATTTGGGAGTTTTTTGATCATTTTTGATGCAAAGTACAATGAGAATTCAAGACCTTATTATTATTCTTACTAAACAAGAGGCGCACCAGGTTTAAAGTCAGATTTGTTTCTGTGTTAATAATACATTTGTATTACCCTTCCTTGCAATCCCCGTCTCTACTCCTGCTATCTTCAATGTGAGTTTGCACTTGTCAAAATGAATAATATGCAGCATCAATTCAAACTCCACTTTTCCAGTGTGTTCAGCTGTAATAGTTTCACTTTGCCTTGATTCTGTTGATTGCTATTAAATCCTGGATTCCTTTAAAATCTGGGAGATGGTCCTTAAAGTCTCACTTATAAATTGTGTGCATTTATTAGAATCTTGCTTAGAACAAAGAGTATTCAAGCCCCTGGAAAAGATTGCCGTTTACTTCTACACTCTAGATAGAAGAGGTTGCAGAAACACATTTTGTTTTTTGAGGAAAAAATTGTTTCAAAGGTATAATAAATGGTTGTGGAGAAGCTCTTCCTTTTCCTTCCTTCCTTCCTTCCTCTGTCCCTCTCTCTTTCTATGTTTTGTCTTGTGGGGGAAAATTATAATCTAAACCCAACACACTTTAGTGAAGACAGCGGATTTTGGCCAAGATTCACAAGTTTCTTTGTGTCTATATGCCATTGATGTAAATGAAATGTTAGTTGAATGTATTATGACAGCATTATTCTCATGGGGTATATTTAGATTTCAAAATCCAGCCCCCAACTCTTTTATTCAATGACTATGGTTATTTTAGACTACGTTTTAAGAAATAATTCCAGATAAAGTATTACAAATATCAAACCTATTTTTAAGAAAATCAACCTACTCCAAATAAACACCCATCCAAAGTGTAGTTAAGTCAGTTGAGCATGGTAAATAAAATCCAGTGGCTATCAATACTGGCTGAGCACACCTGCAGGCACAGCTGTGTGCTGGGTGCTGGGCACAGGAGTCCTGGAAGGCACTGTGACAGAACAGCTTATGGGAGAGGAAGAGGGGACGCTGATTTGTTGAATGCCTGTTATGGTTACAACTAGATGCAGGTTTACCATGAGGCTAATGAACCTTGAGCTTTAGGGCCCACATTTGCACAGATCCTTTCCAAGACCCTGTAGCACCTAAGTAATATGTTCACATGGCCACGTGTTTTGTAAAGTTTGGAAAAATAAGATATTTAAGTGCAGTTAGTTATGATCACTGTTTTTGTTTGCTCCTACTTCCCCTTTTGATAGGTACTTCCTTTAGTATTGAGTAGTGGGTGTGTTTAAAGATGGCCACTAGTATTTTGGGGACCTCGTTAAGGGAAATTGGGTTGGGACAACATTTGGTTTTGGTTTCCTGGTCTGCAGTCACTTCATGCCCAGTTATGTTCTTGCTAACCATCCCAGTGTAGAGACAGCTTCCCAGAATACATGTACTGTCCACCGGCTGACACCCAGCATGGGGGACAAAACTCAGAGCCCAGGCGTTGTATCACAACAGCAACACGCTCTACAGGGCCTGGCATCAGCATCAGAAATAGGTGACCGATGAGGGAGACACAAGATTTGAAATGTACAGAGGCAGAATCTGGTGTCATCAATGACTGGTGAAAACGGAAGCTCTTTTCTGTCAGGAATATACTTAATAATGAAACACAAATCGCCGTGTATAAACCCACCATACATTTTTCTTGGTGTGAGAAAAACGTGAGAAAAATGTGAGAAATAGAATGGATCACAATTCTTGTATTTTTAGGGTACAAACCCGTAGCCATATTATAAACAGAAATATGGCTGTGTTTAATGCTTAATGCATCCAGCTATCAATAATATAAAACAAGTTTTGTTCAATTGAAGTAGAGCAAAGGCTAAATTATCTTTTTATTCTCTCTATAAAAATCATATTACAAAATCATTGTCATATAAAGAAGTGATAAAGACTGTGCAGCCAAATATGGGAAAAATATTATGGAGGTTCATCAGGCTATTAATAAAAATATTGGGTTATTTTTCTGTATTTTGTGATGCATATGGCATTTGGCAGCTTAAAAATATGTAATTTATGGTGATTCCTTTTCTCTTTCTAAGTACGCATTCACTTTCACTTTCTCTTCTAGTCTTTAGACAGTGCTCTCCAAATTGTAAGCACTCTGAGCCCCACACAGTCTGGATCCACCAGGCCCAGGCTCTGTGCCAGTTTCAGGCATGTTAATCTTATTTCAGCTGCACCTTGGCTGGGCATGCTAGAACCTGCTCATCCCTTTTCGTACAAAAAGTGAGGCTCAACAAGGTGGAGTCAGTTTCCCGAGGTGAGATATAAGCGCAGGCCTGGATCCTTCCCCAGGTCAGCCTGTATTCACCACATGCTGGATTCACACCCAAGCCCAAGACTTGGCAGTGAGACTTTTCTCTTTTCAAGGCTGCCCTTGATGTCTGTCCTTTAATGTAGCACTTAGGAGCTTTCTCATTTAGCCTTCACAGTAGTTTTTTTCTTGTTTCATTACACCTCCCTTATTTTCAGCAAACTTTAAAAAATCTATTTCACACTGTGAGCAGAGGTCACCAGGTGGAAATCTCAACCCCTCCTCTTCCTCTGACCCCCGCCCCCAACCATCCTCCTCCTAGCCTGTCCTAGTGGAACTCAGTGAACGATGCCCCTCTGTTTCGCTCCTGCAAACCAGCAGTCCTCCCCACTTCACTCACTCACTCACCTCTGCATTCAGTCAGTTCCAAGATTTGTAGAGTTAAGCTCGTCAATACCTCTTGCCCTCCCTCCATCCCGCCGACCCTCCCCTCTGCCCCATCATTAGCTCAGGCCCGGATTGGGATTGGTTTAACTAAGTGACCTGCTACTTGGCCTCCTTGGTTTAGCTCTTCTTTAATCTGTTCTCAACAATGCTGCCATCTGATTCTATTCCCCTTCTGTTTAGAATCGTTTAAGTCATTCATTTATCATCTAACAAATCCTTACTGAGATGCTAATTTGACGTGGGCAATGGGGACACAGTGGAGAACAAGACAAAGTTCTTACCTTCATGGAGCTCACATTCTAGCATGGGGAGACCCACTATAAACAATGTTAATAAGTTAAGAATATAGATATTTCTAAAATCTGGACAAAAATGTGCATGTCAGAGAGTGATAAATGTTAGGCAGGAAAATGAAGCAGGGTAGGGGACCTAAAGCAAACGAGCAGCAAGGGAAGGGAATTTCTTATTTTGTGTATAGACTGGCTGGAGGAGGCTTCACTGATAAAGCAGATATTTGTCTGAGCAGAGACTTGAATGAAGCAAGGGCGACAAGCCATCGGGACATGCGGAAGAACATTCTAGGAGAGGAAACCGTAGGAAGGAGCATGACTGCCATGCTGGAGGTGCAGCAAGGAGGGTGGAATCTTGGTACCTTGGTGGGAGCTCAGGGGCATGGGTTGACAGCATGGCATTGGGTGTATGTCATGGGAGGCCTCTTGCTATTGAGAGGTTTGGTTTTTACTCTGAGTGGGTTGCAGCATTGTGAGGTTTTGAGCAGAGTAGTGATATGATCTGAGTTGTAGGTAACAAAATCATTCCTGGCAATGTGTTGGGAAGGGATTGTAGAGGGGCAAGAGTAGAAGCAGGGAGAACATCAGGAGACCACTGCCATGATCCAGGCAAGAGGTGATGATGGCTTAGAGCGGATGGCAAGAAGTGGGCAGATTCTGGATGTCTGTTGCATGGTTCTGTGTCCTTCAAGATAAAATGCCGAGTGCTCAGCATATCACACAAGGTCCTTCGTATCTGTCTCCTTCATATTTCTTAGCTGTCCCTAGGGCTTTGCACATACTACTCTGTGTTCCCAGAGCCCCTAGCTACTTCCTTGAATGCACAACTCAGTAAGCCCTCTCTTTTCTTCCTCCAAACCTGGCTGGACTATTTTTTCAGCTCCTTGCACTTGTCTCCATTCCTTTGTGATATAATTGTGTCTTTACTTGTTTGCCTTCTCCACACTGGGCTGTGAGCTCTTTGAAGGAAGAAATTACCTGAGACTGGGTAATTTATAAAGGAGAGAGGTTTAATGGACTCGTGGTTCCATATGGCTGGGAGGCCTCACAATCATGGTGGGAGAGAAGGAAGAGCAAAGGGATGTCTTACATGGTGGCTGGCAAGAGGACTTGTGCAGGGGAACTCCCATTTTTAGACCCATCAGATCTTGTGAGACTTATTCACTACCACAAGAACGGTATGGGGGAAACCGCTGGCCTGATTCAATTATCTCCACCTGGCCCCACCCTTGACACATGGAGATTATCACAATTCATGGTGAGATTTGAGTGGGGACACAGCCATATCACCAGTGCTTGGCACATAAAGAGATATTCAATAAATATTTGTTTCGTGGTGAAATATACACACTAATAAGGCCTGGGCTTGAACTTCTTTTTTTTTTTTGAGAAAGGGTCTCACTTTGTCACTCAGGCTGGAGTGCCATGGCATGATCACAACTCACTATAGCCTCAAACTCCTGGGCTTAAGTATCCTCCCACTTCAGCCTCCCGAGTAGCTGGGACCACAGGCATGTACCACCAAGCTTGGCTGATTTTTAAATTATTTTTGTAGAGATGTGGTGTCTCTCTGTTTTCCAGATTGGTCTCCAACTCCTGGGCTCAAACAGTCCTCCTCCCTTGGCCTCCCAAAATACTGAGATTACAGGCATGAATCACCATGCCTGGCCTGGGCTTGAACTTCTGGTTCTTCAAGGAAAAGCCCTAGAGAAGCATTCCCAGCCTAGGGACATACATAAACAAAGACAGCAGTGGGATTTAACTTTGGAATATAGACACTGCAACCTTAGGAACTTTTTAGAGTATCGTGGGGTTTAAACAAACAAAAAGAAAAAACTAGCAGTATAGGCAAAAGGAGTGAAGGGTCAGCAGTTATGGAGTAAAAATACAAAGACTTACTGTTTGTAGAGTGCCTACTCTCAGTCATACTCTCTACTAGCATCTGAACTATGGAGTCAGAGATTGACCTGGAGGCTTCTGGGGCCCTGTGAAACCTGGCTGAGTGTGTTTTTTAAAAAAGTGTTATGGTCTGAATGTTTGCATCCTCCCAAAATTCATATGTTGAAATATTAACCCCACGGTGATGGTATTAGGAGGCAGGGTTTTTGGGAGGTGATTAGCTCATGAGGGAAGAACCCTCATGGATGAGGTTAGTGCTCTTACAAGAGGCCAAAGGGAGCTGATTTGCCCCTTCTGCCATGTGAGGTTACAGTAAGAAGATATCCATCTATAAGAAAGCGGGCCCTCACCAGCATCTGGCCATGCTGGCACTGTGATCTTGGACTTCCCAGGCTCCAGGACAGTGAGAAATAAATTTCTGTTGTTTATAAGTCACCCAGTTTAGTGTATTTTGTTACAGAAACCCAAACAGACTAAGAGAATAAGCTTCCAAGAGTTCACCCATCCTCTGAACAGGCAGAAGGATACAAACATGATGAAACCAGCATTTGAGAAAGAGTATGGAAATGGTCCCTTGCCAGGGTCCCCATGTGTCACCATATGCAAGTACCATAAAAATACTTATTCTTCTTGGCATCCCCAACAGCATTTAGAATTGATATGACTGCTGGGTACTTTGTCACAATTCACTTGTTAGTCTTCACCTAAGTGGTTTTATCTCTGTGTTTAGCATTTCGCCTGTATTGTCTCCCACCCTTGGCCCACCTCTTACTCTACCTGCTGCTATTGTAATTAGCTTTATGTGGCCAAATTTGACAGCACCTCACCTCAGCTACACCATGGACCTCTTGCTTCCTGTCCCAAGGCCCCTCTGACATCAAGGCTGAGAGAGATGCCTGTGGAACCCATTCACATACGCAACCTGGAAGTGCAGGAAGGTAAAGTTTCACAGGCAGCCCTTGATCAGTGGAAATAAGAGCTGGCGGAGAAATGCTTCCTCTTCGGTGTCCCTAGGCAGGTAATTCTGAGGCACATTCTTTTTTTGAGATGGTCTCGCTAAGATGCCTAGGCTGGAATGCAGTGGCGTAATCTCAGCTCACTGCAACCTCTGCCTCCTGGGTTCAAGTGATTCTCCTGCCTCAGCCTCCCGAATAGCTGGGATTACAGGCATGCACCATCACACCCAGCTAATTTTTGTATCTTTAGTAGAGAGGGTTTCACCATGTTGGCCAGGTTGGTTTCAAACTCCTGATCTCAGCTGACCCACCCACCTTGGCCTCCCAATGTGCTGGGATTACAGGCATGAACCACTGCGCCACTGTGCCTGCCTGGCCTCTGAGGCACATTCTATACAGTGTCTCAGAAGCTCCTGGAGGCTTGAGCTCCATCACTCACAGCATTGACTGGACAACACACCCTTCTCTGGGCTTTCCCCTCTTTCCTCTTTTATTGTCCACAGTGTCTCATTTCCATTTCCTGGGTTTGCCTCTCAACCAGATGTAACCCACTGTCTTAGACTGCTTGGAAGTGGCAGCACAGTTGAAGGGTAGAAGGGAGCCAGGCTCAGAACCCCATGCTTAGTACCCTCAAGTCATGAGAACACCAGGACTACATCTTGGAGCCAAATAACATGTTTGCAAACAAAATATACACAAGGAGCAGTTTGGGAGAAGCAAAATCATCAGCATGGCTGGTTGAACACCTTCTGTGAAAAGATTTGTTTTCGTTAGATATTCTAAATGTTACCTTCCAGCTTCAATAGGTCAATCCGTTTCTTTCTTCTATGGACACAGGGACCATGTTTTTCAGGAACAAATGACCCTGAGCTGAGAATCCTTGTGGGGCAATCTGCTGCATTATTCCCTGATAAATGGCCTTTACCATAAAGATGTCATGGATTGCCACAAAGAATATTCTAAAAAAGGAATATTTCTCATTATGAAAAATCCTGTGAAGACAGTTATCACAGTTTTGCTATGAACTGTCATAGCAAACAGTTGTTTTCTAGTTGATACAACATTATTTTGTGAAGTCTTTTATTTATTATTAAAATGAGAATTCCATTAATTTCAGTCTTGTGTTTCTAAAACGTAATATTTTCTCATAGGGATCAGGAATCAGGCAAACATCTTTCATTTTTGTCTAAGATGGTTTTGGGTAGACAAAAAGTGAAATGGATTCCATCTCTCACAAGTACAAAGCTGCCTTATTATTGGAGTCCCTCCATTATGCATTGTGCAGAGGAGCAAAAGTAATCATAACATGAAAATCTTTACTAATGTTATTTATTCATTTATTCACTTAAAATTCATTTATTCACTTAAAAATCTCTCCCCTAGTTAACACAAAATTTGCCATTTACTTTAACAAAATAGTATAAGTCTGCAAAGTGAAGCTGTAAATCTTACAAAAGATGTGGGATTGGTAAAGTTGATAAAAGTGATGTTGACAATTGTTTGAATCATATGCAAAGCTATAGAAAGATAGGTGCAGCAAACCACCATGGCACACTTTTACCTATGTAACCTGCATATCCTGCACATGTAACCCAGAACTAAAAATTAAAATTTAAATTAAAAAAGAAATTAAAGAATCAGTAAAATAAACAATAAGTAAAAGAGAAAAAAATGATAAACTAGAAGTTCTTCATAAATGTTTAAAAATCAAATGATTAAGAGGGCCCTTGAGAAAATACTAAAGTCCTAAAATATTACTATTTTTATGATAGGGATATCATGATGTGGTATTATACTATCATAAAATTTGGTAGAAAAGTTATGTGAAGAAATCTACTTGTTTCATTTTTGGTTCTAAAGAGTAATTTATAGTTGCAATTATAGCCCACACTTTAAAATATATGATAATGTAAACCTCTTTTGGTAATTTTTAGGTTTTTTCTTTTTTTCAAAGTGACGTTCCATTCAAACGTTACTCTCAGGCTCAAACTATTTATGCTGAATTTTTAGTTCTTGCTGTAAATGAATTCACTCAAAGAAGCTCTTGCCCATTATAAATTGTCCTGTATATGAAATCACAGAATCATGAATCAAGGCATTTTAGAACTTGGAAAACATTTTCAGGAAGCCATCTGCCTTTGTATGCCCACTTTGCAGTTGAACATTTTAGAAATTGGATGATACAGCTGACTGTCAGGGATATGGCAGGTAGGGGGAAAAGATAAGATTCTAAGTCTTATGATTCCCAACAGTTATCCCTACACTATGCTTATGCAATTTTGCCCAAATCATCAAAATTCTTTGCATCTGAGAACTCAAGAATTATACTTGATACATGGTCATACCTATAAAGTTTTTGGAGAAGATTGAGAAAAGGTGCCATTCAAAATTTAAATATAGTTACATAATTCTTGATTACTTGGGTCTCTGGATTCGAATGGAAGTACAGATAATTGAAAAAAAAACCTCGAATGCTTAAAAATATTTTAGCTCTGTTCTGTTTTATAATGTATGACATTCTCAAAATTACATTATATTTTTACTCTGAAGGTTTTAAAATGGTTTTTGGCCAAAAGTATTAAAATTCTGACCTAATAATCTAAAAACAGTAGATAATTCAGAAAGTATTTATATTAAGCTTTGTAAAACCTTATAGAATATTCTGGTAGTGAATTTATCTTTTCTAAATATATCTTGAGAAATGTGTAAAATTAGTTTGTCTTTCCTCTGAGCACAAATCACTAGTAGTGGGTGGTAGAAGAAGTCAGTTTTGAATTAAAAATTTGTCTTAGATAATCCACTGAGCCAAGAATATGCATTTAGATGTTACAGAGTTGCTCGTATTTCAATTTTTTAAGGCATTAAGAAAATACTCAAAATTGAGAGAGATGTTTTTGGATCATTAAAACTACTTAGTATCAATAAGAAATACAAATAAAAAAAACTCACCTTATTACTTATTGCATTATACTTGATTCCCTCCCATGTCCCCCTCTTGAAATTACAGCTGGTTAACAGATGGCAGACACTAAGATTGCACAAAGAAGCAGTCACACGCACACATGCATCCTCTTAATGAGGCCCCCACTTCTTAGGGTGTCCAGTGAAGACTACTGGCTGAGAAAGACCCAATTGGCAGTCTTCTGTCAGAGCTAATGTGGAAAGGGGAGGGTTTGGGGATACATTAACTCTGTATGTGTGTCCCACAAGACCAGTGGCTAAGTCACATGTTCAAAGTTCTAACATAGTGGAGCCTTCTCTGAATGTTCTGTGTTGTTGTTGTGTTTTTTTTTTTGTTTTTTTTTTTTGTTTTGTTTTGTTCTGAGACACGGTCTTACTCTGTCACCCAGGCTGGGGTGCAGTGGCGTGATCGTGGCTCAATGTAGCCTCGGTCTTCCAGGTCCAGGGGATCCTCCTACCTCAGCCTCCAAGTAGCTAGGACTACAGGCGCATACCACCACACCCAGCTAATTTTTGTATTTTTTTTTTTTTTTTTTTTGTAGAGACAAGGTTTTGCCACATTGCCTAGGCTGGTCTTGAACTCAGAGCTCAAGCGGTCCACCCACCTCGGCCTCCTGAAGTGTTGGGATTACAGGTGCGAGCCATTGCGCCAGGACTGAATGTCTATATTCTTGAAGGAGACCTTCTGGGGCATGTTGAGTAGGGAAGTGACAAGACCAAGTTGAAAAGACTGTTCTTGCTGCAGTGAGGAGAGTGAACTTTTTAATGGCTGTGCAGAGGAAGGTTGGGGGTGCGTGGGGGTGGATGGCTACTGAGGCAAGAGGGGAAGCATGGAGACTCATAGCTGGCTCTTGTGGTGGTTCAGATGAGGGATGATACAGCTTGATCTAGAGAAGTGCCCAGATTCCAGAAAAAGTAGAGTTGAATCAACAGGACATGGTGATTAATTGGCAGTATGAGCGCAAGAGAGAGAGAGGTCTCAAGGAAAGCTCCCAGGTTCCTGGCTTAAACATCTGGTTGGGTAAAGCCATTCATAAAAATGCGGGAAATTCAAATAGGTGGAAGTTGGTAGGAGACAATCAAGAAGTCCATGTTGGACATGTTAAGTGTGAGATATCAGTAAAATATTCAGGTGGAAATGCCAGGGAGACCACCTGGAGCTCAGAGGCGAAGTATAGAGAGAGTGCTGGAGACTTCTGTTTTAGGACGTTTTATGTCTTTCAAAGCACTTATATTAATTTAATCTCAGTCACATAACAATCTCTTTATGAGCTCAGCAGAGGAGATATTGTTATCCTACATTTCACAGGTGAAAATTGAAACAAAAAGACATTCAGAGACTTTGCCAAGTTCACATCCCCTGATCCAAGGACATCCTATGGGATATGGTAATGTGATCTTGTTCTTCCATCTCAAAGTCTTACTGATTGGTTTAGTCTGATTTGAGACTTGCTTTCTAGTTTTCTACAAGTGGATCAAGAAGCAGGGTTTTTCCTCTTTAAAGAGCATCCCAGATTCCATAAGTATTAAAGGGCCACAAGTCAACTTTATTGCTGTCTCTTGTCTCTTGAGGTCCAATGAAGAAAGAAAAGGGATTATTTTCAGCTCAAAAAGAGTTCAAGGCCACCCATGGTTCCCATCAACCCTGACAGAGTAGGTACTGCAGAAATGATGGCAAAGGTACAGCCTATGGTTCTGCAGAAAACTGTTGTGTGTGTGTGTGTGTATGTGTGCACGCCTAGTGCATGGAGGGACAGTGCTATCATCCGTTGGGTCCCAGCAGGAACAACAGTAGACCTGTAGATTAAGAGTTTGTTCTGTTGCCTCAGGCAGTTGGTCTTCAGGCTCTCACTCTTGCGGGGCATCTGGGTGTCATCCTAACTTATCACGAGTGTCTGGGCATCCAGGAGTTCAACTACCTAGACATAAAACCCGTCAGTTCTTTTAAAACATCCAGCTAAAAGTCAGTCACATTTCAAACCTATCTTTGGAGGCTGTAAGAACCCCTTATTATAACCAAGATGCAATAGGCTTAAATTTTTGAGGGAAAAACCTGGTGACCAGACAGTCTTAAGAAAAAGTGGGGTTTGCTTAGGGAACTCGATGCCCCAGGGATGTACATGTCTCAGAAACCAGGGCCAACTTCAGGTTCCTTTGCTCCTTTTCTCTAGCCAAGGTTCGTCTAGCTTTAAACATATTTTTCTCTGTGCATATTTGAACACTCCCTTGTCCTTTCAGCTCCAACATACTTTTTTTCTCCTTTCATTAACTTGACATTAAACATGTCTTCCCTCAGCTGCTACACAGACTCTATTTTCAGTAGGAGAAGGTGAACATTGCTGCACTTTGGGTTCAACTAACATCTTGAACTATTTTTCAGATGTTGTGCGTAAACCCAAACCCTAAATAACTTTAGCTGAATACTTTCCCTTTATTTTTTATAGCCTCAATATGTATATAAAGGGAAATATATCCCACATGGTTCTGATTTTATTTATTCCCAATTCCTCAAGAGGTTATTTTCTGAGACATGGTGGAAGTTCCAGAAGCTTCATGAACATTTTTTCTCCCTCAGCAAAACCCATCTTTCTCAAGCTTAGAAGACCCCCGATCAGTAACTTCGTCATCAAAGTTTTCTTCTGAACTATGTAAACTGCAGGAATTAGGTCCAAAGAGTGTCTCCACAGTTGTCTTCCAGTCTTCAATTTCCTAGATCTTCCTAAGTCTATGTATTTAGGGCATTAGAAATGTACATACCTTGAGATTTTCTTTCAACTTGATCTTTCTGGTTTCAATCAACCCACAAAGATGTACTTAGCATCTCCAGTAGGTCCAGCCAGTGCTGGAGAGAGGTCCTTGGGGGTTGTAGAATATAAAAGTAATTTTGAACAAAATGCCTTTCACTTGGGCCAGTAGAGTGAGGGTGTCTGTGGCCTGTTAGGAATACAGGGCTAGAAAGAAGGTAGGAGAACAGGTGGGCAGTTTAGAAGTCATGAGACCGAATGTGCTCCCAGAGGAGTCAGAATCAAAAGGGAAAGAGAAGGTTGCAGGGAAAGTAAGGAGGCACCAAGGGTTGGGAAGGAAGGTCTGAGATGAAGCCTGGGAGAGCATCCAGCGCTCTGTAGGATGAGAGCAGGTGTCCTTGTCCCCTGAATCCGCGTGTCTGTGTCTCGTGATGCATCTTACAACAGATTATTGTTGCAACAGGAAGGGTTTGCTGATGGAAATCATTTTTCACATACCAGTTTATTTTCATACTGAAGGAAAAAGCCGGTAGAGAAATTTTCTCAGAACTCACATCCTCATGGGTCACTTGGCACTTGGGACAGACACTGTGAAAAAGTGACAGGAACTAGTTTTTTCTTAAAAAAGATATTCCTAAAAGAATAAACAAACTCAAGCAAAACCACTAGATCCACTAAGGACCCAAACACTATTTAAAAATGCCCAAACACTTAAGCTGGGGGAACAGAGGAAATTCCAGGGAACAACTGAAAGAAGAGGAGAAGCACTTAAAAATAGGTGGGGTTCATTTCCTCAGTGCACGAAGTTTTCTCCAACCCTTGCCTCAAGGCTTCGTGTTTCTGGTATTAATAATTCACAGGAAAAGGTAATGAAGTAACCCTAGTCTGGTCCGGAATGGAAATGATTTAGAGCTTTAATGAAGGACGTACCTTACCAGGGAGTTTTCTCCATAGCCGTGTTATGCATCTCCTAACACGCTCTCCTGGGTTTGTTCTGACTCAAGTATGGTTTCATTGATGATATAGAACAGTTTAATGTTTGGCAAAAGAATTACCACCTCGAGCTTGGGACAGCTGACTATAGATCAATTCTGCTTCCACAGCCAATTTCTGTTGGGCATGATTATCTGAAGGCAGCTCTTGGCTCGTGTATACGATTAGCATGGTTAAATGAAGATTTAATGACCCAGGATTCAGCTGTTTAGTTTTCAGTATACCTACATCTTCCAACTAATCATTCTGACACACCCTTCCTTAAAGGGAGCAGTACATCTGGGACTCATTTTCGTAGACACAATCAGGGGCTTGAGCACCAAAGATGGTACCATTCTACAGGAAGTGACTCAGAGTCCGATGAGAGTGAGTGTGTAGGAGTTATTGCTACCTGTCCCCAGAACAGCGAACATGGACTCAGCACCGTTATGAAAGGTCTGTATTTCTCAGCCCTCGTCCTGGTCCCTTGTGGTAGAATGAAGGAACTAAGACCATACCAACCTGTCCAAACCAAGAAAGTAATTTCACATCAGAAAGAGATTAACTCTCTCAACCCTCCGTGTTCAGCTTGCTGGTTATTATTTCACGACCCATCCTCTGCTTTTGACTCCTGATATTCAGAGAAGGCCCTCCTCTGAAGTGAACAAAGCCTCTCCTTCGTAGAGGGTGCCTGCTTTCTCCTGTACCTCCCCAGCAATGATGCATCCCTGTGAAAGCAAATTGAGATGCCTGCTCTCCCTCCCTCCCTCTCCTGAGGCTTATGGTTGCACAGTGGCTGTGGCTGGCTCCACTGTGGAGCTGCTGGGGTCTCTGTAATGTTATTTGACTTATACATATTTTATTATGTTTGGCTGTTGGTGATATTTAGATTAAAATGATTTCCAGATTATAATAAGGGCTGCACTCCATTAAAGGAGAGCAGTTAGATCACTGACCATGTTAAAATCCTCAAAATTGGGGACTGTATATCAAGACACCTAGGAAAAGGGTTTCAAAAGTTGGAATGGGGGTAACATGGGAAACTCCACAACCCATATGTAGCATTTTTGGCTTAAAGGAACTGCTGAACCTTGAAAAAGATTTATACCACATTTATTATGATGCGACAACATCACCAAGGATATAAACCAGTCACTGGCACTCTCTCAAAGAACACATCATTGTAACTCGTTATAACAATACTGCTGTGATATGTGCTTGTAATATTTATAAAGGCTAAGCTATGAAAACAGTACATGCCAACTGTCAGCAGTGATGTATCATTTAAAACAAAAGAGAGTGTACACAACATAATGGTTTAAATGAACTCCATAAAAATGCATTGTTCTGCTGAAGCAGTTTGGCCGTGTGGACCTCCAGTGTCATGCACTGCTTTCCAGGATTTTCTGTGGCTTGGCCTCTGGGAGCTCTTTCTAGCTCCCTTTGCTGTTTTCAGAAATCCTGCAGTGTTCTTGGCAACCTGGCTGGACTCTGTATCTGGTTACTTAGTTCCTAGCAGAGTACCTTGCTAAGAATGCTTGTAATCTATATAGGTAGGCTGATTGGAGTTTTTTTTTTTTTTTTTTTTTAAGACAAGGCCTTACTCTGTCACCCAGGCTTGAGTGCAGAGGCGTGATCATGGCTCACTGCAGCCTCAACCTCCCAGGCTCAAGTGATCCTACCACCTTAGCCTCCCGAGTAGCTGCAGCTACAGGCATGCACCATCACACCTGGCTATTTTTTTTTCTATTTTTTGTAGAGATGGGGGTCTTGCCATGTTGCCCAGGCTGGTGATTTGATTTTTATATGGGTGTGGGACACTTGATGGCCAGTGAGAGGGTGAGGCAAATGGGTTTTACTTCCTTATAAAAAGAAAGGTGATTAAGGGGGCAATCAGGTGGCCTGGCTGATAATTTAGCTCTAACTTTGGGTATGTTCTGTGAAGATGCTCGTGGAGCTTTTCTGAAACCAGCAAGATGTGATTAACCAACACTACCCCAGTGAGACAGATGCTGGGCAGGTGAAACCACAGCAGCACCCACCAGAGTGGGAAAGAGAAGGAACATTTGATAGTCAACTCAAGAAATAACTCAGTGACTTCTGAGGAGTGGGCAAGATGTTCAGTTCATACATTACTTTAGTAAAAAGCCAAGATGGCAGGTAAAATCCCTCCCATCAGTGCAGGATGGAGAGAGGAAGATAGGGAGAGTAAAAGGGAGAAGGAAAGGAATTCTCTTACAGAGATGGCTCTGTAAAGTATGAGCTCTGAACACGCAGACACAGGACATTTTGTAATTAGTGGATCAGCAATGACACACAGAAGGCAATGGTCCCTTATTAAAGGAAGAAGGTAAACAAGACACATTCTCTTTGACCAGTCTTTGTTAAGGGTTCCAAACTTATTTGGAGGGAATTAATAGACCACTGGGAAAATCTGGCTGAGTATGTTTGGAGCTTTACAGGCATTTACATGTAAGTGTAAATGATCTATTTAGCAAGCTGTGTATTTTTTATGCTATAGTATAGGATTACTTGTCTCAAATAATCCTTTATTCTTTTTGATGTCCTTAGAAGTCTTGAATCAAAACAACTTCTGGTATTTTGAAGAAGTGATACCTAAATTATCTAGGGTCAACAGACAACATTTACAGTCAAAAAACTTTGCCCAACTTTTTTAAAATCTTATTTATTTTATTATACTTTAAGTTCTGGGGTACATGTGCAGAATGTGCAGGTTTGTTATATGGGTATACACGTGCCATGGTCGTTTGCTGCACCTATCAACCTGTCATCTACATTAGGTATTTCTCCTAATGCTATCCCTCCCTTAGCCCCTCACCCACCGACAGGCCCTGGTGTGTGATGTACCCCTCCCTGTGTCCATGTGTTCTCATTATTCACCTCCCACTTATGAGTGAGAACATGTGGTGTTTGGTTTTCTGTGCTTGTGTTAGTTTGCTGAGAATGATGGTTTCTAGCTTCATCCATGTCCCCGCAAAGGACATGAACTCATTGTTTTTTATGGCTGCATAGTATTCCATGATGTATATGTGCCACATTTTCTTAATCCAGTCTATCACTGATGGGCATGTGGGTTGGTTCCAAGTCTTTGCTATTGTGAACAGTGCCGCAATAAACTTACGTGTGCATGTGTCTTTATAGTAGAATGATTTATAATCCTTTGCGTATATACCCAGTAATGGGATGGCTGGGTCAAATGGTATTTCTGGTTCTAGATGCTTGAGGAATTGCCACACTATCTTCCACAATGGTCAAACTAATTTACACTCCCACCAACAGTGTAAAAGTGTTCCTATTTCTCGACATGCTCTCCAGCATCTGTTGTTTCCTGACTTTTTAATGATTGCCATTCTAACTGGTGTGAGATGGTATCTCATTGTGGTTTTATTTGGATTTCTCTAATGACCAGTGATGATAAGCTTTTTATCATATGTTTGTTGGCCGCAAGAATTTCTTTTGATAAGTGTCTGTTCATATCCTTTGCCCACTTTTTGATGAGGTTGGTTGTTTTTTTCTTGTAAATTTAAGTTCTTTGTAGCTTCTGGATATTAGCCCTTTGTCAGATGAATAGATTGCAAAAATTTTCTCCCATTCTGTAGGTTGCCTGTTTACTCTGATGATTGTTTCTTTTGCTGTGCAGAAGCTCTTTAGTTTAATTAGATCCCATTTGTCAATTTTGGCTTTTGTTCCCATTGCTTTTGGTGTTTTAGTCATGAAGTCTTTCCTCATGCCTATGTCCTGAATGGTATTGCCTAGGTTTTCTTGTAGGGTTTTTATGGTTTTAGGTCTTGTGTTTAAGTCTTTAATCCATCTTGAGTTAATTTTTGTATAAGGTGTAAGGAAGGGGTCCAGTTTCAGTTTTCTGCATATGGCTAGGCAGTTTTCCCAACACCATTTATTAAATAGGGAATCCTTTCCCCATTGCTTGTTTGTGTCAGGTTTGTCAAAGATCAGATGGTTGTAGATGTGTGGTGTTATTTCTGAGGGCTCTGTTCTGTTCCATTGGCCTGTATATCTGTTTTGGTACAAATACCATGCTGTTTTGGTTACTGCAGCCTTGTAGTATAGTTTGAAGTCAGGTAGCATGATGCCTCCAGCTTTGTTCTTTTTGCTTAGGATTGTCTTGGCTATGCAGGCTCTCTTTTTGGTTCCATATGAAATTTTAAGTAGTTTTTCCAATTCTGTGAAGAAAGTCAATGGTAGCTTGATGGGGATAGCATTGAATCTATAAATTACTTTAGGCAGTATGACCATTTTCACAATATTGATTCTTCCTATCTGTGAGCATGGAAATAAAACTTTGTCCATCTTTATCACTCTTATAGAATGACACCTACAAAGTCATTCCTCCTCTGTAGTGCCAGTCACACAATTGAGAGCAAATGCACCTAGAAGGGCAGTGAGGAAAGGGGATGAGAATGGGGGAAAAGCCAAAGAGTGGGGCCACAAGGCCCAGGCCATTAAATGGGGGCTGTGGTTGGTATGAGAAGATGGGGGCAGGAGGATGGTAACCACAGCAGAGAGGTGGCAGACCTAGGGGATTGGGAGGCTCAGAGAACACATTTCACAGATTGTTCTGGGAGGCTTAACTATGGTGATAGCCCTCCTGGCTGATCAGAATGTAATAACTTGGTAACTTCTAGTTTCAGGAAGGTATCATTCCACCGCAGAATTCCTACAGAAATTCCCACTCTCACCAGAGGGCTCATCAGGGAAGGAAGCTGGGATCTGTGCTTTGAGAACTCTTCAAGTTAAGATGTTGTCTGGGAATGTCCATGTCCCTCTGGAGAAAAAGGGCCCTGTTTCTCACGAAGCAATCATTCCTGGAGGCTGACTTGCTTTATCCATGCTCTATCAATCTGCCACCTTTTGGGAGAACTAAATCTAGTCCAAACATTTTTATAATGCTATTTGATAGTTTGAAACTGAGTCATATTTTATCAAACCTCCATTGTCATAGTTCCAACAGAGAGGTTGAAGAGCTGCCCTCTAAACACGAAGTTTTAAAAAACAATCTGTGTTCCTCATTAGCCACAGACTTTAAATTTTACTGTTGGAAACTTCTCAACTTAGAAAAATGTTAGGTGAAACAGCCTTAAATGTGGGCTTTCTCACGACTGTTAATATTTGATGTGCATACTGAGAAATACTCTTGCTACAGAGTTGGATTTGTGTCTCTGTTGTCCTCAAACCCCAAAACTTAAAGAACAATGAGAAGAAGACAAAGTGTGAACAAAAGATTTAGATGCTCTGAAAATCAGCTATACTTTATCAGGGTTTGGTACTGAAAACCCAGATTCTAAAGTCCGGGTGATGAAGCCTTTTCTGCATGCAGGATAATGGTTTCTGAATAGCAAATCGTCTCATACATAGGTCTCCCTGGTTGATTTCTGCATGGGTCTCAGAGATGACACGGCTTTCTCACTAAGGAGCATTCATTATTTTAGATGTGCCCTCATTTAGCAGTAAATCATCAACAGTAGAAGTGCAAAATTTGGAAATGGAGATTCAGCTGGAGAAAATGCTATGTTACTTCTCTCCTTTTGGAAATATTTTATGTCCTTCATCCCATCACTGCATTATACATTTAAATAAGGAATTCTCCTGTGTAAATTCCTGAACAGACACTACAACTTTATTTGTAATTTTGAAATTGGAAGATACCTTAATCCACCCTTCAACTTTACACATGAGAAAAACAAGACCAGCAGGAGACCAAGTGACTTACTCATGCTCATATGAAATAAATTGTTTAATTTAGGGGTTAACTCAACTTCTAAAGTGAAATAAAATGAACCAACCAAGCACCTGCTTTGTTTCCTATTGTGCACTGAGTGAAGGTTAAAATTCGAAGTTTAAACCTGAGCAGCAGCCCCTCTACTGCCCTCCCCAAACCTCCACTTCCAGACTAAGGGAAACTGGTCAGAAAATGTTCTTAAGAGCTTTCATTCATAGGATTGCATTCAGGCTTTTCCTTTTTGTGGCAATCAACAGTTATAATCAGCAAGTGGGTCACTGCTGGCCCTGATTACAGACAGGAACAGGCTTTATAAGTGTATGGTAACACCAGGCAGGCAGGACTGGCTGAGGTGGAACAGAAAAAGGAGCAACGGGAGGAGAAAGGTGCCATGGCCCCAGAACCTTGCTCTGAATTGTCAGCTGGAAAAGAACAGTGCCTGGGTGCAGTCACTCTTCCTTGAGCCTAAGATCATAGCTTTTCTTCTGGGATAGCCTGGCACTCCACAGACAAGCTGGTGATTCTGAGGGAAGTTTTGGTTCCTTTCTCTTGGAAAGAAGCCCCCTGAGCAGACTGTGAACGTATTTTGCGTGTTAATTATACCTATAGGACCTATTCGGTCTTCTATTGAAATTCGTGGTTTACTCTCTCTTCTCCAGCAGTCCACAGGCACCCAGCTGCAGAGTTCTCCCGAAGGACGACCTGTGTGTGCCTCCTCCAGGGCACGTCTGTGGCCAACCGGGCGCTCAGGAGCCTGTGGGGTGGAGTCCTTCTCCGTCCTCTTTGGCCCTCCCTCTGACACTCTCCGCAACCTTTGTTTTGGATTTTCCTCCCTGTAAGCTGTCGCTGTTTCCCGTGTCTCTGTCGCCATTCCCTCGGTGGCCGGTGCGCAGGGGATACCAACGCAGCCGTTGCCTGGGGACTGGGCCTTGTGCGGGGCCGGTGCTGCGGGCTGAGAGCGAGGCGGGCAGCCCCAACAGTGCGAGGACCGGCTGGAAAGGTTGAAGGAGACTCAGATTGCCAACGGGGCGGCTACTCTTGCTGCAAAGGGAACGAGGACCCGGGCTCTCCCGGCCTCACAGCTGCTCCCCTCCTGGGGATTGGCCCAGGCCTGCACGGCCTGAGCTGCAGACTGCCTGGAGCAGCTTCCGCCGATGGCCGGGACACGGCCTGCCCCTCCCCACAGCGGCGCTTCTGTCCACAGCAGCCGCCCAGCGCAGGCTCCCCCAAGGTTCCCCGGCAACCCCCACTACAATGCAGCGCTGTGGCCTGCGGCGGAGGCAGGAGGCCCGGTGGCGGGTGTTCTCTCTGGCCTGAGCTCTCAGATGGCGCCCATTTTGATGTGCTTGTCATTGTCAGAAAGGCCATTCACAAGCCGAGATACTTTCCTCAACGAGACAAAAACACAAGCGATGCTTGCCTTCCCTCCACTCGGAGGGCCAGGAGGGGTTCAGCGTTCTCACCTCTATCGCTGAGATTGGACACTAATAAGGGAGGATGACTGTCAGTTATTTGTTCCAGCTGGAAGCAGGGGTACAAAAACAAAATCACCTCTTAAAGTTTTTTTCTAGAACTGTATATGAATCTATTGGATTTGGGAACATATCCCATTTGTCCAAGCAAACGTGATAGCCACATACACACAAAGAACCCGAGAGATCATAAATAAAAAACCAAAACTCAAAAGCAACCGCTCAAATAAAATCTGCCCAATATCCCCGAAACTGCTGACCACTTTTATAATCTCCAATGCGGAGTGTTTCTCATGACTAGCAAAGGGAGGGCTTAGGGACGATGATTCAGAAATTGGCCTGAGCCAAATGTGGGTGTCAGTCTCTGGTGATATTTGATGCGCCTCAAGTAACCACAGGCAGAGGAGGAACAGAGCCTTCAAATGAGTTCTGGCTTGTGAAAATGACTCAACTTGTTTGGGGGGTGAACTTGAAAGTGTGCAGCCCAGATGTCAACTTTAAGATCTACTCTGCCTGACACAGCTGTGGTCTTCAAGTTGCCTTGGGATTGGGTGGAGCCACACCCACAGCTGCAGCCGAGCTGTGCTATTTGCAACTCCCCCAGGGCCAACTGCTGTGAAAAGAACAGTTTATTACAAAAAATAAAACAAAATGCCAGCTCATCTTTACAGTTTCACGGTCTGCCTTGGGGAAAGGAAAAGGAGTTTTAGTTTTCACCCCTTGTGCACCAAGTGTGCTGTCTGGGGCCCGTTTTGGAAAGATCTGGAAAATTCTCTACTGTGCTGTTGACTCACTGTCTGACCATGGGCCTGCCATTTAACTTGGCCAGCCACTGCTTCTCTGTTTGGGAAATGGAGAGAATGGCATTTGCCATCTACCACATGGTGATGTATAGAGTGCTTTGGCAACGAAGGTAGATCTGAATGAAATCTGTGATGCGTTATAATCATTTTCTTCAAACAAAGATAACTTCAATCATTGTTTCAAACAAAGATAACTGAGTTTGGGAAAATTGTTTGTCCTGACAGCCTTAAGAAGCTCATTCAAGTTGATTCAAGGGCAGGCTTTAAAAGAAAACAGTGTGTCTGAAAGACTATGAAATTGGAATATTGAGGCAAATATTAAAAGTTTTCCTACTCTAAATACAACACAGACAAAAGACAACAAAAATATCTTGTTATCAAATGAAACATCAAATTACTAGACTAAAGATAAAAAGTGCTTTCCCCATAATATTCAGCAGATAGGCTAAATGCTACTTATTTAGTGTTAGAAAAACAGACCCCTTGTCTATTATTTCTCAGTGCTTAATATATTGAGTTTGATCCTTTGAGCCTAGAAAAATGAGTTTGCACTATATATGTGTGTGTGTGTGTGTGTGTGTGTGTGTGTATGTGTATATATATATTAGAACCCAGCCTGTGAGTGGGTACGATAGTGTTTCTGTGGTACTTAAGCATCTGAAAGAAACATGAACTACATTGATCAACCAAATGTTTTGTCTACACAATACCAAGCATTAAGATATTTCACTTATATGTGGATTCTTGGTGTCATATAGATGAAACGCTTCAGAAGATAATTGAGATTTTTCCTTTTTGTTAAAATATTTATCATATATAGAAACAGTTGAAGTCTTCAAAGTTCAGAGGGAAGAAACAGAAGGACATAGAAGCAAATAAAAACAAGGATGGGGACACTGCTAGCTTTTATGGTGACACTGTCCTCTGGGTGCACAAGCAGAGGACACATTCGTATGAAGAAGAAAGCACCACTTCCTGATTACAGCAACTTCATGCCAAAGGCATGTGACTTGGCCATTGGAACATGGACTAAATTTTATCCTCCATTCTTTCCTCAGCTTGGAGCCTTTGTGCAGTGCACTAACCATACAACTGTACATACTGGCCCTGAAAAGCCACTGAAAGGAATAGGAGAAATGTTCAATAATAAGGTAGAAGTAGATGTGAAGAAGAGAGATAGAGGCTTGTCTTTGCTCACAGGCCTCCTCAGTGAATGTTCACAATCCAGAGGGCACTGTGTGTGTGTGTGTGTGTGTGTGTGTGTGTGTGTGTGTGTGTATACGAGCCACTTGTTTGTTGGTTGGCTTATTTTTGAGGTGAGAAAATACTATAAATTCTGGCCATATATTTACTGCCTTCTCTATTCGGTGCTGTGCCTGTCAAGTTTTCACTTCCTCTGAATTTTAACTCCCTGTCTCCCTCCCTATGCTATTCTCCCCTCCTGCAACACAAATGCCTTTTTAAATTTTTGCTAGTTTAATTAGTACATGCATTCATTTTGATTGATGAATTGATGTGGCTTATTTGTATGAAGACTCTCTTCCACTACCAGCGCTGTAATAGAAACGGCTTGCGTGGGGCGACACCTGCTCTGATGCTGCAGACATTCTGTTTGATGCGGAGAGGCCAGCCATTCGGCTGTGATTTTGTAGTCTCTGGGGAGATATTTTTTCATCACTGTTGGTGGAGTGGGAGGAGGCTGGTGGCGAATAAAGAGAGAGAGTGGTGTGAAACTGATGGCTGAGGAACAACATAGCTAAGGATTTAATGTTTATATCTTACTGGACTGATTTTGAAATAGTCATTGTTCACACCCTGGGCCCAGGAGGGAAGGAGACCTTGACATTCTGCCATCAGTAGTAAGGTATTGTGAATTAGTGCAGCCAGTTGAAACTTTCCAACACCTCTTGCCAAAGAATTAAGCTGAAATTAGTGCACAGTTGGTAACAATTTGATTTCTAGTTTCACTTTAATCAGTGAGGATTAATGGGTAAAATTTTTACTTCTAATCTCACTTTATCCTGACTAACAAAAGCTGTCACTTCCTTGAAAACTGCTAAATGAAGAGGGATTTATACGATCTTTCAGAGAATAAAAGCTAAAGTGCTAAGGCCCACTTTTCAGACCATAAAATTTTCAAATTGCCCTCATACCCTCTACATAATGCTTAGAGAGCTGACTGCTGCCTGATTCAGTAAGGTTTATTGCTGGAAAATGGTGGTGGAAAAACTTAAGAGCATTCCTAATGGCTTCAAAACTCCAGAAGAAATGCAACAATCTTCCTGGGGAAAATTAATTTTACAGAAGAAAAGAGGAAGTAGGATTCGAATTGCGAATACAGCATTGCCCATCTAGTACATATTTTAACTCCTTTTTCTTGTTTCCGTTGGCCACCTTAGCTAGCCCTTTGTATGACCCTTCCCTGACAATCAGTCCACAGCAACATTGTGAAACTGGTGGTCTGTCCCCACTCTACCAAGGTTTTCCCTGAATATCTTATGATCCATTTTTTATTAACTCTCACTCCCAAGAGGCCCTCACTCAAGATCTTTTTCCTTGGGGACAACCTCCTACTCCAGACTTTACTCTGTTTTCTTGTTCCACTTCCCACCAAAACCAATGTTGTTAGGAACCTTTATGCACTCATTTCTCACCTCCCTAATTTTAGTATCTTCAGGGTAGGAACACAGCACCTTGAGCTTGGAAGTCAAGGCTTGAGTAGGTATGATTGATGGAGATGTTGGGGAAGGCATTATTTGAACATCATGAGTTGTGAGACCGGGTGATCTTTCAAGTTCCTTCCATTTTCCAATTCTGTGAGTCCACAGCATCACCAGAAGGGAAACATGGCCTCCTCAACCCTTTCTCTAGTTTGATCAGAACCAAATATGAACCTTTACTCCAAGGCTTAATTATCTTCAGATAAATTTAATTCCCTAGCTACTGGGTTGCTCCCAAGATTATGCCGCAGAATGGACACCTCTTTTCATAATCAACTGGGAAATAGGAATGAATTCTCTAGTGCTCGGATGCAAGAACCATCAACCCTCACAATTCTTTGTTTTTCCCAGTCATATTCATTCTAAGTTTCCACTTAACAAAGCAGGTTCACTATCAGTTATTTAAGGGGTTCCTTCCCCCTCCAATGAATTATGTAAGAACCCTGGAATTTAGGTGGTGCCAAGAAAATTCGGAACACTGTGTTTCTAGCTCGTGGTGGCTTTAATCTTTGTAATAAGACTTCTGCTAAATGAAGTGCTGTTCAGCATTGGCACAGAGGGCTGTTTGGGTGAACCCATAGGGCACCCTGCCAGCCCTCAGAGTCATGATTCTTACCCTCATTTACCACACAGGCTGTCATTTGAGGAACTTGTCACAACCCTTTGTTTCCTATCTTGTTTTGGGAGGATACTTCTGTTCCCTTGGATTGGACCATGTCCAGTTCTCACCCTTAAGGCCTTTCCTTGTCTTAGTCAATTTAACTCCTCTGCTCTGTAATCCTTGGATTACAAAACAAGTTGTTTCTCCTTTCCAGGGACAAGAGGAGCTTCCCTATTGTTCTTAATTCTTAGGGCAGAGAAAAAGGCACAATCATATTAACTTGTAGCAGACGAGAAGGAATTGGGTAGATTAGTGAAATCCTTTATTCCTGCTGATTTTTTTTTCTTTTTAAGACGAGGTCTTGCTCTTTTATTCAGGCTGGAGTGCAGTGGTGTGAGCACAGCTCACTGCAGCCTCAAACTCCTGGGCTCAAGTGCTGCTCCTGCCTCAGCCTCCTGCAAAGCTGGAACTACAGGTAGGTGCCACCACACTCCACTTCCCTACTGAAATCTGTCAGTCATTTAGGGCTATGCCCACATCTACATATGTACCTTAGGTTTATTTAATAGAGGATTGTAACTGCTATTTGAAAGCTCTGTTAGAATGAACTTGTCTAGTGATACTATGTGTTGGCTGGGATTGCATGTGATTGTAGGTAGCAGGGGTTTATTTTCCTCATGTTACAAGAAGTCCCAGGGTAAGGAGCTTAGGGCTCGTGCCATTGCTCCGTGTGGTCACCGTAGTTCCCTTTCCATGCATGGTATGTCCTTTCATCTGTGTGATTGAAAATTGGCTGCTCCCAGGCAGGAAGAAGGAAGACAAGAGAAACCTTCTCTTTGTGAGGCGCTGTCTTTTTATTTAGGAACAGGAGTATTCTCCAGGGGCCTTGCTGGTATCTATGACCAGGACAGTGCTGTGTGGTCGCCCCTGGTGATATGGGAAGCTGGATAGGTATGTTGATTTTCCAGCCCTTCTAGTGGAAGCAGAGGAAATGGCAGAGGGGAAGCATTGGAGTGGGTACTGAGTTAGCCAATCTAAAGTATCTGTCAAAATGCATGAGGGGGTCTACATTATTTACAAACAGAAAAGAAAAACTATGAGTTGTGTCTGTGTTGTGTGACTGTGACTAAAGAGACAAATGGTTACCTAAAAATTACAGTTCACATTATCATTGGATGAAAAGTTAATGTATGGAGATTGACAGCAAGAGCTATGTCAGAGTCAAGGCAGAAAGAGTGTGGAGAGGCTTCCAGGGAAGAGGGCTATAGCCAGAACCATCCTTTGCAAAGACAGGAGAAAATGAAAACTCAAACCTGCGTTGAGACTTGTATATTGTCCGGAGTCTCACAATGGGGGTGGGGGTGTGTGTGTTCTGCTTCTGAGGCTGAACTGGGGAGGTGCCTGTGGGAGAAAGAAGGGTATTTCTTGATCACAGTGGCTTTTGACACTGTCTGCACACTGTACTAACATGGGAAACTGTTTTTTCTTTTCTTTTAATACTGGCTCCTAGGACCCATCCCCAGAGATTCTGATTTAATTGGCCTGGGGTATGGTCTGTGTATCAGGATATTTCAAAGATCCCCAGTTAAGATTCTAATGCATAGCTAGGGTTGAAGCCACTGCCTTAGATTATTCTGGAACAATCACAGTAACCCACCTTCTTTAGAATTATGCTCACTAAATCACACCTTGGCCTGATCTCATCGCAGACACCAGAGGATGAACCTGCCTGTAGGAGCTCCTGGTTGTATCTGCTGTCGGGATGCTGTTGGGCATCCTCTTTACGAGAAGCTATGGGGAAAATGCTTCCAGTTTCAGTTTCAGGAAGTGTGATTCTCCTGAACTTTTGGTTTGCTTTTGTCTTGTTGACATGCTGAGTCTTATAAATGATTGTTTCCCCTTTTATTGTGGCTGCTAGGAAGCTTGGGAGCAGCTCTACATTACCATATGGTCTACATTCCTCTCTCTTAATATCACTTAGAGTTTCTTATCCAAAATGTTTAGTTAGACTCCTTCAATTTTTAAGAATTATTTTTTGTTGTATATCTGTAAGCCATCTCCAATCCTTGGTAGAAAAGACAGAGGATTAAAATGAATCAAATAAATAAAAGAAATATCCAAAAAAATGCCTAAACTTCTCACCATCACCCAAGCAACACCCTTTCATCCTTTTATTTGCAACTTTGCTAAAGTTCTAATTTCTAAAATTTGATTTATTTTTTGCCCTTGAAATTTACTTTAATCTGGGCTCTTCTGTGTAAAAATGTTTTCAATGGGAACTTGAATGGTAGTATCTCCAAGAGTAATTTGTTTCTGGGTCTCTCTACCCTCAAGGGATGGCCTTAGTTCTTTATAAGGTTGCTTTGCTTTGGGAATACAAAGAAATTAAAATTTAGAGAACTAGACATTCAGCTTACTCTAATAGAGTCATTCAGCAGACAGTATAATAGGTGTTGTTAGAAAATGACTATATTTGTATTTTTGCCTTTTATAGTTTTTTTCTTGGGTTTATTGTTTCAAGAAGCTGTTTTTAATCAAAAGAAGTGGCTGCTGTAGCCATTCACTGTGAGACAAAGAACCAGAAAGCCGTCCTCATTTGATTTCATTTCATTTCACAGAGGCAGCACTCAAGCTCTGATTCTCACTGTTGCCCAGCGTCAGTTGTTTAGCAGACATGATTTAGATTGCTACAACCCGTTTGTAAGTCACTTATTTTGTACATTACTTACTAATGTCTGGCAAAGTGGTTCTAAGTTACCTATTGTCATAAAAGTTAAGAATTCTGACAGAGATCTTAGGAATCATAATGATACAATATTTATGAGGCAAACTACCAGGTAACATCTACTGATGGAAAAATAGCTAGCAAGCATTTTCAAAATAAGTCTGCTATTAGCCTTTTTTTTTTTTTTTTGAGACGGAGTCTCACTCTGTCACCCAGGCTGGAGTGCAGTGGCGCGATCTTGGATCACAGCAACCTCCGCCTCCCGGGTTCAAGCGATTCTCCTGCCTCAGCCTCCTGAGTAGCTGGGACTACAGACACGTGCTACCACGCCCGGCTATTTTTTTGTATTTTTAGTAGAGATGGGGTATCACTGTGTTAGCCAGGATGGTCTCAATCTCTTGACCTCGTGATCTACCCGCCTCTGCCTCCCAAAGTGCTAGGGTTACAGGTGTGAGCCACTGTGCCCAGTCAGCCATTGCTAACCCATGTAGAGTTAGAAGGAGGCCAGATGCCCAGGATTAATTTCTAAGTACTTGCTGTGTGTATTTGGGTGACATACTTAACCTTTCTAGATTCCAGCATCCAAGGAAAACAGTTAAAATGACATGAGCATTGTAAGGTTTAACTAAGGAGGCAGACCATCAGGCTCTCGCTCTCATGATTTAGTATTCTGAATTTAACATGGTAATTAACAGGATGGGCTTATGCTTGTAATCCCTGCATTTTGGGAGGCCAAGGAGGCAGATCGGTTGAGTTCATGAGTTTGAGACGAGTCTGGGTAACATGGTGAAACCCTGTGTCTACAGAAAATACAAAAAATTAGCTGGGTATGGTGGCGTGTGCCTGTGGTCCCAGTTACTTCAGAGGCTGAGGCAGGAGGATCGCTTGAGCCCAGGAGGTAGAGGTTGCAGTGAGCTGAAATTGTGCCACTGCACTCTAGCCTGGGCAATAGAGCCAGACCCTGTCTCAAAAAAAAAAAAAAGTAATTAACAGGTGCCAAATTCTTCTGCTGTTGACTGGTGCTAATGTGAATACAGTCCAGAGGGGAGGAAGCCTTCCTTGAGCAACCTGCAGGATCCATTGCATGCATCTCTTAGTCCTTTTCGAAAGCATAAGCAAGGAAAGAAGGACAAATCTGGACAGAAGAGAGGCATGAATTCTGTCTTTTTTCCCCTCCACTTTCTCCCCTCTCTGCTACTAACATTTATATGTGTCTTATTTTGGTATTAGAGGTGGAAAATTTGGTTTCATTCACCCACCGCCCTTCCCACCTCTCTCTCTCTTTTTTTAATCGGAAGACTCTGCAGAGAAGAATTCACAATAGTAAACTTTGACCTTCAAGGTATGAGATCATGCTAGGAAAATTGTAGAAGTCTCTAAACTATAGCATTGGCCATGGCCTTTGGGTAAATTAGATTCCTAGCTTTCAGGGCATGGACTGTCTCTTGCAGAATTCTGCCCACCCCTGCTGGCCTCTCTGCTAAGCAGCAATAATTGTGCTGAGTACTGCTGCTTCCCATTGTCTGAGAGTTCTGTCAAGAGGAAAAATGATAATTGTTACACTGAAGTTATTAAATTTTTGTGACACTAGCAAAATGTCTTGCAATACAATCAAAACTGAGAAGAGAAAGAGACCGTTTGTAATCAGAGATCCCACCCAGCTCCAAATAAAATTTTTTGATCACAATGTGATGTCCCAGTAGTAATTTGGTAGCAAAATCTCTGTGAGATTTTTTCCATTGCTATTTTTCCACTGTGTACCAAGTGAATGTAGGGAGACTTTGGCTCAAGTGAAAAGGCCCGTCTGCTCAGTCTGCATCCTCTTGCCTCCCCTCACTGTCCAGCCCTGCAGGTGTCTGAGTTTTATATATTAAAGAACCGTTGATACTCAGTTTCCAGTGAGGTTGCCTGGACCACCAAATCTGCAGAGACACTTCTCCCCAACCCCTCGACTCCCTCTTCACCCCCCTTATTTCTGCTTGTTCAGTTATGTCATGGGGTACGTGTAACTTTGCTAGTGACTGAGATGAGCTGCAGGACCTGGCCAACCCAAGACACATAGAACCAGAAAGGGAATGAAATGGCTGGGCTTTTGGAGATCAAGTAGGGACACTCAGCTTCTCTGGCTTCCTGAGGAAGCATACTGTGTAAGATGTGAGGTTTGAAGTGTGCTTTGGAAGAAATGAAGCATGTGGGTTTGTTACTAAAGAGAGGAAAATTATACCACACCTGGAAGTGGTGAGATGATTTTTCTTATGCAGATGTTTGCACAGGGTCCTGCCTAGGAATCTCTGATGGGAAATGAGAATAGCAGCAACCAGTGGACATATCCTGAAACTCATACTCTCTTTTGATTGAACTTGAACACCTTGGGTATTTTTAGGTGTAAACAAATGTCCTTTTTCTAACCTACAACGACTCTAGCCACCAATGTCTCTAGAGCATCTGAATCCATTTCTTGATTCCATACTCATACCATACTAGCTATGAACATGTGCTCCAAGCCAGATGGCATAAATGGGAATCCTGGAACTGGGAGGTATGGTCAAAATATGTGGTTTGACAGTGAGGGAGGATTAGCTCCCCAAAGAAAAACTGGGGTATCCCAGAAAGGAAGGAGTAGCAGTTCTGGGGTAAGTTAGACCTAGGCTTGAATCCCAGCTCTACTAAATCAGTGCTGTAAACTGGAGCACTTTATATAGCCTCTGTACACTTCAGTCACTAAAATGGGTAAAAAGTATCTTTTTTGTGTATTCTTGAGAGGACTTAATGAGATTAAGTTATAAAAATATATATATAGTATGTGGGACACAGCAGGCTCTCAATAAAAGGGCATGTTAAAATATTTGGATCTAGCAGATCTTTTGCTCCCTCATGGTATGAGACATTCTCTAAAGTTCTTTGGATTTGGTTATCCTTTTCAGCATTCCCTTAGCCACTAAGGTTTCCTAAACATCAGCATAAAGAACCTTTTCCAGTTATAGCTTTGAGTCTGCCTTCTGTATCCCCTGGGAATGAAACTATTTTTTTGGTATGTGTTTATTGTTGTGTTTATGATTATTATTAATTCGCCATCAAAAGACAGTGTATCCTTAATCAGTTACTTTCTGCATCTCATTGCACACATTTCCAAATCAAAGCATTGAAATGAGCAACTCAGCTTGTTGGTAAAACATGCTTTTTAGTTTGTGTAACTCCAGCAAAAAAATGCTCCCCATGGCCTGCCTTCCTAATAATTCTTGAGGGATGAACTAATGCTCATATAGTTACATCTGGTTCTAGAGTTAACAAATGGGTCACAAGGAAAAGGAGGAGTGAGAAAAGCCAACCAGTTTCCCCCGCCCTCCCTCTCTGCTTTTTTTTTTTTTTTTCCTTCCTCAGTGTGAAGTCATTTGCTTTTCTTTTTAGCCCATACCAAGTCTTCAGAAGTTGAGCCAGGCAGATGGTGAGGTTATAGCTTGGGCAAGATGTGTTCTAATGTTATCAGCTTTAAAGGAGCACATGGAGCAGAGAGGAAAGATGGTTTGTGGTATTTTTGTTTATTAAATTTGATGGTTGCATTATGACATTTATATTTATTAAATGCACAGAATCTCATCCATCACAGTTGACAGTCAGAACATGTCCTGTGTGGTTGGCATAGCTGTCTCTTCCTGCAAGGAGATCTAACATTTATTCTTATTTGGGAGACTAAGAAGAGGTGAAGAAAAAAGGAGATCCACCCTTCAATGCCACCACCCTGGAGACTGTGGGAGCGGGAGATAAGTGTTATTGTGTTTGATTCTGTCATGTTAAGAAGCATTTTCCTTGTTTGGGTTGTGAGTCGGTTTGATGGTGCTGTGTATGGAACACTCAGCAGCATGGGAGCAGCAGAGCCAGTGAAACTAGCACAGGAAAAATATCCATAAAGAGGGCTCTCAGCTTTGCCTCATTAAAATCCTGGCATTGCTATAGTTGAAATAATGTTGCTATGGCTTTGTTTAATTGCTAGAGCACCTCAGCAGCTAGGCGTCCTCATTCCACTCTGTATTTTATTACCTGCCAGATGTGAGCCTCTTAGATATTTTATTAGAGCACCAGGTGAGCTGATGAAAGGACAGCACTCTGACTGCCTTCTAAATGACTCCTGGTTCACTTGAGCTTTGTTTGTACGTAAGAGGCAACAAGAGCTGGCAAGACTTAGGAACAAGAAGAAGGTACTGCCACTCATGGGTCTCAATAGGTCCTTAGGTGGAAGAGATGGTGTGCTTGCTTAAGGTTTACAGATCTGTTCCAGAGTATAACTTGAAGATATTTCCACAGTCAATGTGCAGATGAATTAGACACACATGGATTCAATCTCTCTGCCATATATACTTCCAAGAATAAAAGGTTCATTTAGGTTTGAGTGAACCCAGTCTATCTGGAAATCAGATAATCCACAATACTGCCCATATAGCCTAGAAATCTTTGAATTTTAAATATTTAAGATACCAACCTGAAGAAGAATTAAGTCCTTTTTCTCTCCCTATGCCCCTTGTTATTTTGTTAGGGCTAATGTTCAGTTCTAACTTCAGTCATTAGTGTCCTGGTTGGCATTTTCTGAGGCAGCAGCCTGTGTGTAGTTGCTATGTCTAAGAAAGATTTCAAGCAGTACCAAACATTTATGTAGGCCTCACACAAATTTGACTATCATGTATTTTTTCCCCTTAGGTTGACTTAGGACCTAGGAAATAGTTTATAAGGGTACCATGTACTAATCTCATTCCTTTTTAAATCTAAAAGTAATTGTTCATAACCATTACAAGTCACTGTCTGAGCATCTTTAGGGAACAGCTCTAGTCTACATATTATGTGGGCTGTTAAACAGGTAAATGGCAGTTTATCTCTAAAGAGTTTAAACAAAACATACCAAAAGCCAGACCTCTGTGAAGAGGCACAGTTTCCTGCTAGATAGCATGTGTGCATCTGATTACATAATGGACTGTAAACATTTCCAGAGGTGGGAGAGAGTGCAGGTCCTGAGTGTTAGAAGACAAAGGTCATGAGTGTACCTCACATGGTCCACTTGGCTCCATTCTATCCCACAGCCATAGCCACCCCTCACTCCACCCTGACTACTTTGCAGTTCACATGAGTGAAGCCAGGGCTCACTGATAAGGGAAAATACTAGTAGTCTTCTCTGTCTCCCTTTCTTTCTTGAATAAAAACCATACTTTGAAATACAGTTTTAATTCTTCTTCTAACACATTTACTGCTTATTCTTATCTGCTGCTTTAATGGAGTGAATACTTGTGAGAACATAGCATGTGCTAGGGTACACATACATATCTTATACACATACATGCACACACACATATACATACATACATATATATTTTCATTTGATTGTCACAACAGCCCTCTGAGGTCTGGACTTAGTATCAACATTCAACTGCTAAAAAACTTAAAGATCAGCACCTGGCATGTAGTTGGTGCTTAATAAAGATCTGGTGAATGAATAAAACTCAGAATAAAGATCCTGCTTTTGCTTCTGTGATCATAAAGCAAGCACAAGGCAATGGCAGGATTTCAACCTGGTTCCTGTAGCTGCAAAGCCTGCTCTTTCCTCACCAGTGCATGAGAAGGCCAGCACAGATAGGTCTGTGCCTGCCTAATTCTCAGATGGGTACACCTCATGAAAGAGAAGCACATCTGAGAAAATTCTCTATCCCTCCACTAACTGTTCTGTTGCAGACAAAGCCATAACTATGGATCTTCTAGCTTTTTGTTTTTTGATCAGAACCCTGGCTATAGAACAGAGATCAGGAGACTAATGGGCTCGGAACTGGTCATCTCCCTGGAACAATTTTTTTGTAGCCAATGCAAAGTGAGAGTTCAGAGGGGGCTGAGGACATGGATGTGGAGCTAAGAATAGTGGACCCAGGAGTACTCCTGAAATCTCTGATTTATATTTGTTTCTTGCAGTTGCTAGACCCCTGAAGAACAGATTTCAGAGTTCTGTGGGTTGAGACACACCAATTCCACACTTGGGAGGGAACTGCTATTTTATTGCCCCAAATAACTGTTTTATTTGTTTATAAATTCTTCCCTTTTCTGTTTTATGATGCAGTTGTGGTGTGTTTAATGGAAGTACAAGATTAAAACTGGCAAGCTGACTGCATGTTACATTTCCAAAGCTTATAAATGGTTTGAATCCAGAATGTCTGTGGCCCTTTCCAAGAATATTTGGTTTCTCTAAAAAGCAACAGCTGTTGGGAAATGGATGTAAAGTTTTTTGGCTTTTTTGTTTGTTTGTTTTTCAGGAGGAGAAAAGCCATTGGCTTTTACTATAGTGTGTACAGCATTTTGTTTAATGCTTTTATTCCGTTGGGGAATTTGCCTGTTTGATAAGAGATGAAACAACAGGGACTTAGTAAAATATAAAAACTCATGATGTTAAAAATCAGCAAATTGAATGCTACTTTAAAAAGTCACACAAGAAAAGAATCTTTTTCTAAAAAAATACCTCTTGCTAAGTAGAAATTTTTTTCTGTAAGAGTAGTATAAAATTAAAAATTTTACTTTCCACTAACGTTTCTGTTGTATTCTGTAGTTTACAAAGCACACATATATTTAAAATCTGAATCTCACTACAATTCTACTAAGCAGCTTAGGGACAGTGATTTTCCTTGTTATAAATGATTCACATAAGTCCTGGAAGGATGAAGCCACTTGCCTGGAGTCAGGCAGCTCACCAGTGGCTGAGCCAGGGTTAGGATAGAATTTTGCAATGACTAGCTCAAGGCTTTCTGTCATACCAAATTATCTAATTATTAAATGGTATCATTATCAGTTGAGTTAGGCAATGTGATCTGGCCAAGCTGTTCACACTGCTCCTGCTGGATGCTGTTCCCACAGCTATAAACCCATCACTTATCCCTGGGTCAGTATCCTGGTGGAAGCATCAAATGGCTGAGTATGCTCACATGCTCAAGCCCTGACTACCAGGGGGTGGGACCAGAGAAGCCCTCTCTGCCTGAGCTATCCAGAGGAGCAGGGCACTGTATCCCAAGAATACTATATACATATGGTGAATGGTTCACCTCAAACAGGACAAAAGGTTGGATGCTAGGTAGAGCAAAATGCAGTGATAGCGTATCTGTTTAGTAGGGCAAGTACGGACCGAATTGAACCTAGTTGACTAAAGTGGGGATAAACTTTCCTTCCTCCCCTCACTCCCTTTCTTTCATTTTCCCCAAAATATCAACCAAAAGGATTGAGAAAGAAAACTAGAGGAAGTAGTTTTCCAATTGTAGTGAATGTAAGACTCACACAGGAGCTTAACATACATGCAGACCCTAAGGCTTGAGCCCCCAGATTCTGATTTCATAAACGTTTTTAGTACTTGTCAAAAACAGGCAGGATCCCCTAAACTAAAATGGCCTGAATAATATCAAAGTAACACTAAATAATTCTTTATTTTAAAATAAGGGAGTAGTAAAATAACTGGCCAAAGACCCTTGATATTATAGAATTTCTATGTTACTACTTTTAAAAAAGAAACACAAAGACACTAAGATAGTATCCTAAAGGCTATGACCCCTGATTTTGGCAAGCTGCTGAAATAATAAGTCTGGAATGAGATTCAGGAATCTGTATTTTTATTAAGCCCTTATGTGATTCTGATGCAGCTTGTCCAAAGACCTCATTTTGAGAAACTCAACCTAGGAAGTCAAAGGGTTAACATAGGCAATTCTGTCTACTTGATAACTGGAGAAATCACAGTCCAGCTCAGCTAGGGTCCCTCCTCTGTGCTCTATTAAATGGGCTTCATCTCACCCCTAAATTGCAGGTTTGGCCTCCATCTGTTGTTACTGAGCCTCTGCAGGCATCTACACCATCACCTGATTTGGCCCTTGCTTTGGCTTCCAGTGGCTGGCATTAGTGGTCACCAGAGTGCAGGAAAATGGATAGAATGTGCTCCAATGACAAAGAGAACTGGACTTAAGAGTGAGGAAGTTTAGCACTTTGAGTTTTCTTTATAAACCCTGCCACCACTTCTCCAAGTGAGAGATTGGAGGGTTGGTAAGAAAAAGATGAAAAGGGAGAAAAAAGAGTAAGATAATGAAATTGTATCTTTCTTTACTTTATGGTTTATGTAGCACTCTGTCCTTCAAAGAGCTTCTAGAAAAAGATAACTGTGAGACTAAACAGTCTGGGGCAAAAAGTCAGTGCGATGGGGGACAGATGAGGGCATATGGGAGAGCATCAGAGGCAAGGAAGCATGTTGGGGGACGCAAAGCAACGTGCCCGATCAGGGGGTACATCATGGCAGGGTAAATTCATTGAAATGCCTTCCAACTTCCAAGAGGGGAGAAATAGTCATATTACATAATGGTAGATTGTTAAAAGTCCAGGGAATCCTCTGAATTGATTATGAAACATAAGCCCACAACTGTTTGGTCTGGAATAATTTAAAATATTGAACAATTTTTATTATCAGGGAAAATTGGAACCCATAACTACCATATCCTGGTAAGCTATGCTCCCATACTCCACTCCCCACTCACTGGATTCTCGTTATACCTTCCAGCATTGGTTTCTTTAGAAATTTTTCGAGTTGTTCTAATATAAGGAAGCAAAGAGCCAGGGGTCCAGGACCTGTGTCCTGGACACAGGACATCTTTGCTTGGCTGCCAACTTGCAGGTGACCTTGGAAGAGTCATTTCATCTCTTTGGCTTTCAGTTTCCTCATCTGTAAAAAAAAGAAGTAGTTGAAATAGTAGTCTGTATACCCCTTCTATGTATAACACTCCACATTCCCTTAATATATTCAGGATATTTTTAAAGAACTTGCTAACCTTTCCATGAAAGACAAAATAAAAGTCCACTATTTAGAGCTAGTGATATTTTTATAAGACCTAGGAGAATTCTCCTAACAGTAAACAAACTAATGGCTTTAGTTTCCCTATCATTTTGCTAATGCTGTGAGCAAACCACCCAGTTTTAAACAATAGAAATTTATTTTCTTATGATCCTGGAGGCTAGAAGCCCAAGATCAAGATGTCACCTGGGTTGGTTTCTTTTGAGGCCTCTCCTTTTGTTTTGTAGATGGCCGTCTTTTCCTCTGTCTTCGGATGGTTTTCCCTCTGTTGTGCCTGTTTGTGTCTCAATCCTCACTTTTATTTTTAAGATGGAGTCTTGCTGTCGCCCAGGCTAGAGTACAGTGGCACGGTCTTGGCTTACTGCAATCTCTGCCTCCCGGGTTCAAGTGATTCTCCTGCCTTAGCCTCCCAAGTAGCTGGGATTACAGGCTCCCGCCACCGCACCCAGCTAATTTTTTTTTTATTTTATTTTTAGTAGAGACGGTGTTTCACCATGTTGGCCAGGCTGGTCTCGAACCCCTGGCCTCAAGTGATCCACCCACCTCGGCCTCCCAAAGTGCTGGGATTACAAGCATGAGCCACCATGCCTGTCCTCAATCCTCACTTCTTATAAGGACACCAGTCAAATTAGATTAGCGGTCACCCTAATGGTCTCATTTTAAGTTAATTAGATCTTCAAAGACTGTATCATGAAATAATACAGTCATATTCTGAGTTACTGGGGAGTTAGGACTGTAGCGTATAAACTTGGAGGGATGACGAGACTCAATTCAGCCCATAATAGTCAGTCTCCAAGCCAGTGCATCTTTAGGAGTATGGTAAACATCTTATACCTCAGCTATCTTGGGTGAAGCCCCAAATTAGATGAACAAAGGATTCAATGAACTCTTAAAGACCTCATCAGTTCTAGGTATTTGTGATACTATATAAAGTTCTTCAAACCCAACACCCGATCACCAGGAACATAAACCAAGGAGGGGTACAAAGAGCAAGTCTGCAGGAAAATAAAATAAAAGGGCAAATTGTTTGTACTTTGGGGAAAGCAAAGATGGAAAAGAACTTTGAAGCATTTACATTTAGAGCAGTTCCATTACATCATAAGGGCAGAAGTATTTTATCACACAGCTATTATTGTTTGATCTGTGCCAGTAGGTGAACTTTTAGAGAGCATAGGAGTCCATTTCACATAAATCGCACTTTTAGCAAATGCAGAAGCAGGATCCTGCTGAGGACAAAGGAAAAATTCATGATGCAATTCCCACTTATCCTCATGGGTGCCTTTTTACCACTAAGAATGAGGAAGAAGAATTCCTTTCCAACACCACTGTAAAAAGAATACTTACAAATTACTCTTCCTCATTGTTTGGACAGTAAAAGCAAGTAATGAGTCTCACACCACATATCTCGGGTTTTTATAGCCTCGGTAACCTATCTGTCTCCTCAGGTATGTTCTCAGTGGCACAGATAACTGAAAAGAGAATAAATGCATAGGTTCTTGTGCTCAGGCCTGCCTCCAGGCCATTGCTCCCTGTGGCTTCTCAGGGCCCACAATACACTGCTGGGCATCATCTCTGTTTTCCCAGTGGGAAAAGAGGTACATGATATTCATTGTGTATTTCTCCTACACTCTGCAGCCAACCATCCTCATCTGTAGAACGTTACACTTCTCTCTCAAGGAACCCCTACTGCCTATGAAATCACATTTGTTTAATAACTAAAATTCAGATTTAAACACACACAAACATATACACACACAAAGAAAATAGTTTGGATGCCATCTTAGACATTAGCCTATTTATATGTCATAAACTGTCTGTGTCTCAATCCTTGCTTCTTATAAGGACACCAGTCAAATTCTGGAAACCACTGCCCAACCACACTTTTAACTCATTCTAGTGAGATATCACCCACTCTCTACTAGTTTCTTATCACTGTTGTAACAAGTTACCACAGAGTTAGTTGCTTATACAGCATAAATATATTACCTTATAGTTCTGCAGGTCAGAAGTTCAATGCGGGTCTCACTGGTCTAAAATCAGGTGTTGGCAGAGTTTGGGGAGAATCTCTGCCTTTTTCAGCTTCTAGAAACTGTCCATATTTCTTGGTTCACACCCCACCCCTTTCTCCGTTTTCAAAGACAGATAGGTTGCATCTCTCTGACACTTTTTCCATTGTCATGTCTCCCTCTGACTCTCTGATTTTCTCTGTCACTTTTAAGGACCCTTGTAATTAGATTGGGACCACCTGTATAATCCAGGATAATCTTTCCATCTCAAGGTCTTTAACCTTCATAACATCTGCAAAGTCCCTCTTGCCATGTAAGGTAACATATTCAAAGGTTCTGGGGATTGGTACATGAACATCTTTGGAGGGCCATATTCTGCCTACTGCAGGCTCTGACTAATTTAGCTGTGCATTTTGGTGTCTTCGTTTGCAAAGCCACAGAAAGATATGTAATTACAAGGCAGATTGTTTTTCTTGAACAACCCAGTGTGGTTTCTTTTACATCATGTAGGGAGAGAGTAGGAGGGGCCTACATTTAGAGCCCCACCGGGTGAGATGTGGGATCTGTCAGAGGATTTTTTTTCTTGCTCACCCAACCATGCAAACCAGTGGAAGTCTTGATTTCATTTTGGTTAGTCATGATCTCCGATGGGAACCACATTCATGTGTGTATATCTGTATGTGTGTATGTGTATGTGTATGTGTATGTGTGAATTTAGGTAAAGCCTTCCAGGAGCCCTCTTTGCCCCCTTAGACTGGTTCTGATGTCTCTTGGCTCTCATCAGAGCAGTCATAACACTTTGTTGCATGTGTCTGTCGTCTCATCTGTCAATGTTGGACAACAGGAGGGCAAGTACTCTAACTTGTTTCTGTTGTACTCCCCGTGCCTAGCACATGGCCTGCCAGGATGTTTAATAAACATTTGCTGAATTAATGAATGCTCCACATCAAATCTCCTATTCATAGTGTTACTAGCCCAGCCTCTGACATAAGTGAGTGGCCTGGCAGACTACTAAAGATAGAGTAGAAATCTGAGGAGTATTTCCCAGAATTTTAACATTGAATTAATTAAATTGGGAAAATTCAGAGTTTGTTTTTTTCTCTTGTAAAACAACTTGGCAGACAAATTTTATATATTTGATCATTGAATTTCTAACACAATAGTAAAATCTGCCAATGGTGAACCAGGGACACAATGTAGAATTCAGGAAAGCACTTTGATCTAGGATCACAACGCTTGAATTCTGGTTTACGTAGCTGTATGGTTTGGGGCAAGTCATTTACCATCTCTGGGATCTTATCCTTATCTCTAAGTGATTCCAGTTGATGCTTAACATAGGTAACGGCCAAGGGCCTTCTCAATGCTGAAATGCTGTCATCTCCATGGTCCTGTTATTCTAGTGTGGCGTGACTCATTCTTTCCTAAAGTGTGGAATATGAAATGTAGGTGATCGGTTGGGAGTGGGGTGGATGTGACATGATTTTAAGTACATAAATGAACATTTTTTAATTTTAACAATGTGTTGAGTGGGCTGAATGCCGTGAGGTACAATCAAGAAATGGCATGGTTTTCATCCCCTACTGTATCCCATGCACTCTTACAGCTCTCCGTTCTGCTGCTGAATGATAGTCTAGACCAGTTTCATAATTTTTTGAATCATTTTTGGTATTTGAACAGTCTCATGCTCATGTATTAAAAACTCCAGTCAAATGAAAACCTAGATTTCAATCTTTCATCCAGTTCAAAGTTTTTGCCCTCCACCATCTGAATCCTTACCCTTGATTCTGAAGACCAATAGTAGGAAAAGAGAGTGATGGTTTATTTTGCTTTCCTTGATTCACTGACTCCAATTCATAGTGTTACCACTGACATCCCCAGAGTCAAGGCCAGGGGAGGGGGATTGGAGGACAACAGAAAGACTGGCTTGCCTGGAACTGGTATAAACTTGCTGTCAGAGGCTTCCCCGGGACAGAGGCCCAACTTGGTTTTCTCTGGGGGCATTTTTACGGGCCCTTTGGAGATGCTTTCACCCAATCAGCCTCTCTGTCAGGATTTGCTTTTGCTCTCCTCAGCAGGTGAATCTTGGGTAGCATCCCTTCAAGATGGCTCTAACCCCACTCCTTTCTGGGGCATTGCCCGTGGCTCATGGAAGCTCACATACCTTGCTCTATCTGCCATTTGTAGAAGGGCAGCTTGCTTGGCCCTGTCTTTGTGTTACTGCCTGGTGGAAGCACCAAGTAACCTCTTGTACTCTGATGCCTTCGGTTGTCCAAGACTCCAGGGGATGTGACTTGGGCTTCCCCCAAGAATTCACAAATGCTCTGGAGCTTAGCTCCCCAGAGCTTGCATCTGGCTAGGGAGTAAGAAGCCAGCGTCCACATCTGGCAAGGATCATCATGAGTGGTTTTCTTGGGACCTCCCTTACTTTGCTCAGAGTAGAAGGGGAAGAACCCACAGTATCCTCTAATCCAATGAGATATTCTCATCCTGATGAATCTTCAACCTTCTCTTTGTAGTCCTAAAGGACAAGCTTGGCCACCTATTAGCACCTTACTTTAGATGACTGGGGCACTTCTCATTCCTTTTTAAAAGCTTTGAAACTTAGCCAAAATTTTGAGATGACAGGGAAAGTCCCCTTTTACATTTTGTTATGTATTTATTTTGCTGTGTATCAGCATATATAACTTAACAAATCTGATTTCATAAATACTGTTTATGATTAGAATAAATACGGAAAGTAGGAGAATTAAAGAGAAAAGTAAATTAATAATAGTATAAGTGGCTTATAGATATTGCAAAGACATCATGTATATTAGGGTTCTCTAGAGGGACAGAACTAATAGGATAGATAGATATATAATAGGGAACTTATTAAGTAGTAATAAATCACATGATCACAAAGTCCCACAATAGGTCATCGGCAGGCTGAGGAGCAAGGAAGGCAGTCTGAGTCCCAAAGCTGAAGAACTTAGAGTCTGATGTTTGAGGGCAGGAAGCATCCAACACAGGAGAAAGATGTAGGCTGAAAGGCTAAGCCAGTCTAGCCTTTTCATGTTTTTTTGTCTGCTTTATATACTGGCAGCACTTGCAGCTGAATAGATGGTGCCCACCCAGATTAAGGGTGGGTCTGCCTTTCTCAGCCCACTGACTCAAATGTTAATCTCCTTTGGCAGCACCCTCAGAGACACACCCAGGATCAATACTTTGCATCTTTCAAACCAATCAAGTTGACACTCAGTATTAACCATCACATCATGGTAATACTCTGTTGGGCCTTCATGTCAATGTTAAGTGGGACAGTGCAAGGCTGAGGCAGCATACTCTCCCCTTTCCAGCCCAACTGTGACAAAGAGTGCTTATTCCGAATTAAAGACAACATTTTTACTCCATTGTAGCTAATCTACAATGGGACATTTTCTTCTTCAGCTTCACAGTTAAATTTTTCCAAGTGCTCAAACAGTGAGAAAATGCTAATTGCCAAGTTATAAGAGAATAACCTGTTTACTCTATTGAGATGAAGAATTGTCTTAAAATTATAAAGTGGGTGCTAAATAAGGTGGTCACAATACAGAATAATAAAGCCCTCTATAATGATCTATAGTTAAAAAAAAGAGATGGTCTGTATCTTCTTTCTTGATTACTTAAAGTAGTATAAAGCAACTGCTATGATCTGAATGTATGCATTGCCCTTTCCCAAATTCATATGTTGAAATCCTAAGCCCCAAGGCATAGTATTAGGTGGTGGGACTTTTGGAAGGTGATTAGGTCATGAGGGCATGAGTGGGATTAGTGGCCTTGTAAAATAATCCCAAAGGAGCTTGTTTGCCCCTTCTGCTATTTAAGGACGCAGCCAAAAGATACCATCTATGAACCAGAAGGCAGGACCTTACCAGGCACATAATCTGTCAGAACACATGTTAGACTTTCCAGTCTCCAGAACTATGAGAAATAAATTTATGTTTTGGGAAAGGGACCCAGTCTATAGTGTTTTGTCAGAGTAGTCCAAAGGAACCAAGATGGCAGCACGTTGAAAATGTTAAGGGAAGTTTTAAAAATATGAATTTCCATGGAAAAAGAGGCTTTGTAGGTGAAAGAATGCTGAATCTAGAATAAAAATTCCAGCTTTGCAACTTACCTACAGATAGCATGATCTTAGGCAATTCCCTTGGCCTCCCTAAGCCCATCTTTGTAGAATTGCCCTACAGAGCCATACTGGATCTGTGCAAAGATCAAGTAAGATAATGTACAGTCTTGCATCACATAACAACAGCAATACATTCTGAAAAATGCATCTTTAGATGATTTTGTCATTGTGCAAACATCATAGATTGTACTTATTACAAACCTAGATGGTATAGCCTACTACACACCTAGGCCAAATGATATAGCCTATCGCTCCTAGGTTACAAATCTCTACAGCTGTACAGGATGCTGAATACTGGAGGCAATTGTAACATAAGTAGTTGCATATCTAAACATATCCAAACATAGAAAAAGTACAGTAAAAAATATGGTGTAAAAGAAAAAAGATGGTACACTCGTACAGGGCACTTAGCATGAATGAAGTTCACAGGACTGGAAGTTGCTCTGGATGAGTTGGTGAGTAGTGAGGGACTACGAGGGCCTAGGGCATTACTGTACACTGCTGTAGGCTTCATAAACACTGTACACCCAGGATACACTAAATTCATAAAAAACTTTCTTCAAAAATAAATTAACCTTAGTTTACTGTAACTTTTTTACTTTATAAACTTTAAAAATTTTAAAAACTTTTTGGCTCTTTTGTAATAACACTTAGCTTTAAACAGAAACACATCGTACACTTTACAAAAATATTTTCTTTCTTTACGTTCTTATTCTATAAGCTTCTTTCCTGTTAAAAATGTGTTGTTGGTTTTTTGAACTTTTTAGTTAAAAATAAAGACACACACACACAAACACACACACACACACACACACACACACACACACATACATTAGTCTAGGCCGACACAGGGTCAGAATCATCAATATCATTGTCTTCCACCTTCACATCTTGTCCCACTGGAAGGTCTTCAGGGGCAGTAACACCCATGGAGCTGTCATCTATGATGATAACGCCTTCTTCATAGCTCCTGAAGGACCTGCCTGAGGCTGTTTTACAGTTAACACTTTCTTAAAAGTCAAAGGAGTACACTCTAAAATAATGACAAAAGTATATTCTAGTAAATACTAGGTGATGGGAATTTTTTAGCTCCATTATAATCTTATGAGACAACCACTGTATATGTGGGCCATCATTGGATGAAACGTCATTATACGGTGCATGAGTGTATGTGACACAGAAATAATCTAAAGAGCCCAGTGCAGTGCTTTATCAGTCAATAGACAAGAGAAATTGACCTTAACATTTTTCATTGAGATATAATTTACATTGACAATGGGCCAATTTTAAGGTACAGTTCAATGTGTTTTGACAAATGTATGTAGCCATATAACCGACGCCACAATGAAAATTATAGAAAATTGCCACCACCTCAAAATATTCTATTGTATCCCATTGCAATTCCCTCCCTACTCCCACTTTCATTTTTTGTAGAATTTTATATGTAGTCATGCGCCATCTGAAGACATTTCAGTCAAGGATGGGCCACCTCTATGACAGATTATAACGGAGCCGAAACATTTCTATCATTTAGTATTTACTATACTGTACTTTTTGTCATTATTTTAGAGTATACTCCTTTTATTTATTAAAAGAAAACACCCACATTCACTGTAAAACAGCCTCGGGCAAGTCCTTCATGAGGCATTCCATAAGAAGGCATTATTATCATACGAGATGACAGGTCCCTGCATGTTTTTGACCCTGAAAATCTTCCAGTGGGATAAGATGTAGAGGTGGAAGACAGAGATATTGATGATCCTAACTCCGTGTTGGCCTAAACTAATGTGTATATTTGTGTTTTTGTCAAAAAAGTAAAAAATAAATAAATAAAAATAGAAAAAACCTTATAGAATAAGAATATAAAGAAAAAATGTTTTCATACAGCTGTACAATGTGTTTGTGTTTAAAGCTAAGTGTTTTTACAAAACAGTCAAAAAGTTAAAAAATATTTTAAGCTTATAAAGTAAAAATGTTGAAGTAAGCTAAAGTTAATTTATTATTGAAGAAAGATTTTTAAAATAAATTTAGTGTAGCCTAAGTGTACAGTGTTCATAAAGTCTACAGTATACTACTGTATACTACATTATACTGTATACTACATATACTGTATACTACAGTATACATATACTACATATACTGTATACTACAGTAATGTCCTAGGCCCTCACATTCACTCATGACTTACTCACTGACTCACCCAGAGCACCTTCCGGTCCTGCAAGCTCCATTCATGGTAAGTACGCTATACAGATGTATTATTATTTTCTTCTTTTACACCACATTTTTACTGTACCTTTTCTATGTTTGGATATGTTTAGATATGCAAATACTTATTATGTTACAATTGCCTCCAGTATTCAGTACGGTAATATGCTGTACAGGCTTGTAACCTAGGAGCAATAGGCTATACTATTTGGCATAGGTGTGTAGTAGGCTGTACCATCTATGTTTGTGTAAGTGCGCTCTGTGGTGTTCCCACAACGACAAAATCATCAGTATGGAATGCACGACTGTAAATGGAATCAAGCAGTGTATAGTTGTTTGTGTCTAGCTTCTTTCACTTGGCACAGTGCTTCTGATAGTCATCCATGATGTTGCCAGTATCAGTAAGTTCCTTTTTTATTGCTGAGAACTATTTCATTATGTGGATACATAAATATTTTGTTTCTCCATTCACCACTTGATAGACATTTGTGTGATTTCTAGTTTTTGGCTATCATGAACAAATTACTATAATTATTTCAGCATAAGTCTTTGTATGAATATGTGTTTTCATTTTTATTGAGTAAGTACGAAAAAGTGGGATTGCTGAGTTGTCTGGTAAGTCTGTGTTTAATTTTACAAGAAACTTCTAAACTACTTTCTAAAATGGCCACACCATTTTGCATTTCCACTAGCTGCATATGAAATTTCCAGTTGCTCAACATCTTTGGCAACACTCAGTGTTATCAGTATTTCTAATTTTAGTTAATCTAGTAGATAGGAAGTAACATCTTATTGTGCTTTTAATGTACATTTCCCTAATGATGAGTGATGTTCAGCATCTTTTCATATGATTGTTTCTTGGGTGAATAATCTGTTTGAATCTTTTGCCTATTTGTAAAATGGATTTGTTGTTTCCTTATATTGAGGTGTAAGAGTTCTTATATTCTAGGTAAATGTTCTTTAGATATATAAATGGAGATTTTGCAATATAATTTCCTGGTCTGTGGCTTGCTTTTTTATTTTCTTTTGAAATGTAAACAGTGTCTTTTGAATTGTAAAGTTTTAATTGTAGTTATACCACAGAGGCAGGATGGATCCCCTCCCCAGTTTTGGTTTAGATGTTGGTTTAGATGTGTGATACCACACATGCACCAAGAATATATGAAAAAGTTATGGCTTGCAGAATGAGACTTTCTTGGGAGAGCAGGGCAGGCTCCTAAGCAGGTTTAAAAATGGCTTGAGAGAAAGCAAGAAAAGAGTTTGGCTTGGCTTTTACTGTGATTAGGGAATGAGGTTGGGGTGAGAGTTCCTGTGCATGAGAGCCAGGGCTTGCATATTTTGAACTTCCCGTTGGCAACAAAGGTAGGTGCACCTGGGTTTTCTTATCAGCTAGCCCAGATGTGGGGCAGAGGGGAAGGGGAAGTGGTGGGGCTTGAAAGATTTCAGCAGTCAAAATCAACCATCCAAATGGAGTCAGGCTCTTTATTATAGTTTTGATTTTTTAAAAACCAATTTATCATACTTTTTATGTGGTTCATTATTTTTGTGTGTTCTATCTAAGAAATATTTTCCTAACCAAAATAAAACAATTTTCCCTTATGTTTTCTTCTAGTAGTTTTATAGCTTTAGATATTACAGTTAAGTCTTTGATCTATTTTGAGTTAGTTTTTGTATATGGCATGAGGTATGAGTCTAAGTGTTTTTCTTCATATGGATGATCAATTTTTTCAGGACCATTTATTGAAAAAGACTACCTTTTCCCACACTGAATTTTCTTGGCACCTTTATTGAAAATCTGTTGGCTATAGATATGAGGATCCATTTCTGGACTGTCTATCTCATTGATTTATATGTTTATATTCACACCAATACTACACCATTTTTACTACTGTAGCGTGTGTCTGTGTGTGTGTGTGTAATTTTATTTTTTAGATGGAATCTCACTGTGTTGCTCAGGCTGGCATTGAACTTGTAGGCTTAAGCAATCCTCCTGCCTCTGCATCTCAAGTATCCAGGACTACGGGTCCACACCACTGTGCCCAGCTATAGTTTTATAACGTGTCTTGAAAATGGTTATCATAATCCTCCAAATTTGTTCTTCTTTCCAGAATAATTTAACTTTCTACATCTTCTTTTGCATTTCTGTATGTGTTTTAAAATCAGCTTTTCAGTTTCTACAAAGATACCTCTTGGGGTCTGATTGAAATTGCATTGAATCAATAGATCAATTTTGGGAGAACTGATATCTTAACAATATTGTGTCTTCTGATATATGAACACGGTTCATCTCTCCATTTATTTAGGTCCACTTTTAATTTGTGTCAAAAATGTATTATAATTTTCAGTGTAAAATTTTACATACTTTGCATTTTTTCCTAAGATTTTATATACATAGATTTTGAGCTGGAGTGCAGTGGTGCCATGTCGACTCACAGTAGCCTTGACTTCCCAGGCTCAATTAATCCTCCTGCCTCAGCCTCCCAAGAAGCTGGGACTATAGGCACATGCCACCACACCTGGCTAATTTTTGCATTTTTTGTAGAGATTGCATTTCACTATGCCCAGGCTGGTCTCCGACTCCTGGCTCAAGCAATCCACCCACCTTGCCTTCTCAAATTGCTGGGATTACAGGTGTGAGCCACCACACCTGGCCAGAGTTTTATATTTTTGATGTTTTTGTATTAGTATTTTTTTTTTCAATTTCAAATTCAAATTGTAGAACTTTTGCTTCCATCCAAAGTGGAGTAAACAGGGATTGGATCTATCCCCTCAACTGAAACAGCTAAAAAGCTGAACAGAATATATCAAACAATGGATTTCAAGTCATGGGACATCAGGTATTGAAAGACAGTGATTTCTGAGTGATGCAGCACAGTGAGGAGAGCCCAGCTCACCACCAGGTCATGGCAGAGGGAGCAGCAACCCAGGCAGGGCCCAGCAGTTGCCCTGAGTTGAGTAAACAGAGATGGGAGTTCAGGGAATTCCGCTGGGCGTAGAGGTGTGTGCGTGTAGTCCCAGCTATGCGGGAGGTTGAGACAGGAGAATCACTTGAGCCAGGGAGGCAGAGGTTGCAGTGAGCTGAGATTGCGCCACTGCACTCCAGCCTAGGTGACAGAGCAAGACTCTGTCTCAAAAAAATGAATAAATAAAATTTAAAAAAAGTAAATTTGAAAATATAGCACCCATCCAAAATGAAACTCAGAGATGAAAACTTACTGAAAAACTAAAAAGAATAGAGCATCAGTGAGCTACAAGACAACTTTGAGTCTTAATGGGGCGGGAAAAGGGTATAGAGGGAAAACAGATAGGGATTACCAAGGGACACAAGAAAACTTTTAAGGATAATGGGTATGTCCATTTTTTTATTATAGTGATGGCTTCATGGGTGTGCATATATATGTGTGTGTATATGTATATATATGTATACACATGTATGCTAAAACTTACCAAATTGTACACTTTATGTACAGTTTATTATTTGTCAATTATATCTTAATAAAGCTGTTTAAAGGTCCCAATTATTTGTTGATAGTATGTAGAAATACAATTAATTTTTATTTATCAACTCTGTGTCCTGCAACTTTGCTAAAACTCACTTGTTCTAATAATGCTTGTTATTGCTACTATTATTGTTGTGATTAAAATCTACACTATCAATGAGAAAATCATTATCTCATTATCAATGAGATTTAATGCAGGTGTTAGGGCTTTACAAACTGTGAAGCACTCTATGAGTATGAGTTATTTTATTAACTATAATAGAAAAATCAAACTTTTATTCTTTTAGGCACCTATGCAGAGGGTTTCTCTGTAGAAGAAGGCCCAGATAAACTGGGATCTTCGCCATCACATGAGAGCAGTAATGCACATAGGACTCTAACCTACTCATGGGCCAGGCTGCCATCCTTCTCTAACAATTGCAGGAAATGGACTTAGATCCCTTTTCCTTAGAGCTCGTGTGTGCCAGCTCCCCTGCTGGGGAAGCCCCTGCATCCTGTCTGCTCTGTATTTGATGCTTGGTGATAACAGGCCTTCATACTCCAAGAGCTGGGAGCTGCTCAGGACAGAGGTATTTATAGGTTCTCTGGAAATGCCTGCTGAATGTACCCTGGAGGCTGGCTGGAGAGCTTTCCCTTGCAGCGCTGCTCAGCTCCTGGACTGTTGTCAACGCCAGCAGAGCAGGGTAGAGAGTCTTCTACAGAACCAGGCTCACTTTCCTGGCTTGCTTTCCATATGACCATCTACAAAAGACCCTCTTCACCCACTGGCCCTGTTACCGCAAAGCTATAGTTCTATGTAACGGCAGTTAGTGTTAGAACAACAGATTTCATTTACCCTTTATGAGGAATTAATTATTCAGTGTTGGTAAATTTATTAAGAATTCTCCATGGGCTGCCAAGAACAAAGCATTAGACTAGAGCGCAAATTAGATGTGCTGAAATCCATGTATTTATATTCTATTGTTTTCTTAAAGCCATGAACGAATATTATTTCATATGGACATGATATTTCTTTAGTCCTGTCAAACATTTGATGTATATTTGGTACATTTGAGTTTTTCCTTGTTTCTGTAGACAGCAATGTAACAAGCTAGGCTTCCAGCTATTCCTCAGGGGCCTTAGCTGAAATCACAGCCCTGATTTTTCCTCTTATGGAACTCATCTTTGCTCCAAATGTCTTCTTGAGCAACACAGAGTTTAGCAATGGGTGAACTCATTTTCTTCAAGTTCAAAAATTATTCAGATGTGAAGATTTTTGAAATTTAAGGGGATTCTTGGTTTCTACATTAGGTCACCCATGACACAGTGCAACTTCTGTTTTTGCTTTTGTTTTTGTTTTGAGACAGACTCTCCCTCTGCCACCCAGGCTGGAGTGCAGTGGCATGATCTCTGCTCACTGCAAGCTCTGCCTCCCGGGTTCACACCATTCTCCTGCCTCAGCCTCCCAAGTAGCTGGGACTACAGGCGCCCACTACCACGTCCAGCTAGTTTTTTGTATTTTTTAGTAGAGACAGGGTTTCACCGTGTTTGCCAGGGTGGTCTTGATCTCCTGACCTTGTGATCCCACCTGCCTTGGCCTCCCAAAGTGCTGGGATTACAGGTGTGAGCCACCGCACCCGGCCCGCAACTTCTGTTTTTAAGTGGGATATAAATGCTTTAAAGAAGCTTGTTGAAAGGCCTCAGAAGATTTTGTGGACATCAAATAGTTTTTAAAGAACATTTTGCTGGTTTAATTATAAGAAAATAGAAAACATGCAGATCAAATTGACCCTAAAACACACGATTTTAAAAATTAAGGGCAAATAATTCTGACAGAACACATTTTTCAAATCTAAAACACATGAACAAAATCAGGAGGACTGAGGAATTCAGGTTATATTAATAGCAGTTGGACTAATGATATCAGCCATACAGAACTTCCGAGGAGACCACGGGCTGCTTCCCTGTGTTGCCTCGGACCTCATCACCTGGGATCCTGTTTCTCACCTCAGTTTTTAAAATTTTATCCTTTTAAATGGACCAAATACTAAATCTTTCCCCTTGTCAAGTGTTTGTGTTTTTTTCTTAGATTCTAAAGAAAATTACATGCTCTTTGAATTCCTTAAACATATAGTTTGTTCCCAAGCAGATTAGGTTCTTGTCTGAAGGAATTTGATGACTTTTACTCTGTTTGGCTTCCTAATTGTCAGAAAACTGGGTGCACCTATGAGTCACATAATTAAGAAATCCCAATATTTGCAGCTCCATGACACTGCAGTGTTTAACCATTTTTAGCTGCAGAAACTTTTCTACAAATAGTAGATGTATTAAAAGACACCTGCCCTGGTGGGGCTGGGACGGTGTCCCCTCCTCTCCTAGTGATCGTCCTTCTGTTGCGCACAGCTTAGGGCTACTCAGCAGATAACAGATTTGCTCGAGGTACCTTGTTTCTGTGTGTTTAGTAAGTTTTATGCATGTACTAGTCATTGCCTTTGAAAATTATTTGTGAGTGTCTTTCGGGCCTATCATGAAGGTGCCTTTCTCCAGAGAAGTTTTGCTACTGCCTGGCACTTGTGAGCATTACTAATCCTCGACCACCTTAAACAAGTTCAGGAGTTGAGGCTCCTTGGAAGCTCCAGGCAAAACAAACCCAGGTGCAAATTCACATCAGGGGTGGCCTGTGGCTATAAAGTCTCAGAGATGGATACTTTTTCTTTCTTTTTCCCCGCTTTCCTTCCTTTCTCTACCTCTGGATGTATTAGAGGCTAATTGACTTACGGTTGATACTTATTCTGAGGGTGTAGTCTTTGGGCCCCATTTAATGTGAGGAAGGACTTTTTCCTCAGACTTCCTTCTTGCATTGGCCCTGAGCCTTAACTTCTGCCCACCTCTGCATAAGACCAACAAAGTTCAGCAGATGTCTTCTGCATAAAAGCGTCTGTGGTGCTCAGGTCTTGCTTTCCTCTCTTGCTTCCCTCTTTCTCTTAGGTTTGGGCCTGGTAGTTCCTTACAGCTTTGTCAGCTTGTTGACATTTTTGTGAAACTTTTTAAATTAATGTTTTATTATATATTTTTAGTTTTTTTCTGCAGGAGATTTCATCTGAAAAAACCTGTCTCACCATCTCTGAAAATAGAACTTCTCTAGATATTAAACTGAGTTGACAGTTCCCAAGCATCTGATAGTCAACTAAATCTTACCGCAAGGCCCTGCATTAAATCAGGGCTTTCAGATTTAGAACAAGGAGATCATTTTCTGCTTCTCCTATACTGGTTGACAACGTATGTTCCACCATTTTTCATTAATAAAATTGTATATTAGAGATTTTATAGGAATCCTGTTTTATCTCAGCCCTATACTAGGCAGTACATGTGATGGTATAAAATATGATTTATTTCCATATAATTCTAAGGAATTTGGGATGCTGTTTATTTTAAAGAATACATTTAATTGGCCTTTAGCTTTAGGAAATAAACATTTTTAAAGTGAATTATATGATGTCATTAATTTATCCTGAGCAGAAAACTAACTCTAAGTTGAGAACAATAGTGTCAACTCCTCCAATATGGAATTTCCCCCACTGTGCCCGAGTTGGCATTAAACCAGCTTCCATGCTCCACCTCTCTCATCAACAGAGTCTACCCTGCTGTCAAATGATTGTGGGCTCAAGCTCACAGCCAGTCATTTAAACCTCCAGCATTAAAGGGGGTTTCAGGAAGTAAAATCAAAATGCTGAAAACAGAGAACAGAACATGGGCACTTGTATGGTATCTTTCTGGAAACAAGGAGGCTATACTTGAAGAACAGTGGCTAGCAGCCTCAAAGAAAGGGAAATTTGAGGAGAAAAAGAATAATTTCCTGCGCCCAATGACTCTGTTTCTGACAATGGGCCTTCTCATGGGCTAATCTCTATGCATGGGCCTCAAAGAGCAGCCACAGGCCTGGAAAGCAAAGAAGTGCTTTGTGATAGGTGCTCAGTGGGATTTGTTCAAATGAATGAAGGCATGAGCGAAGAAACAAATGAACAGAATGCCCTTTCCTTCCAGACTAGCAATCTTTCTTCTGCTCATCAGAGAGCAATTGTCTCCATGTTGCTTTCTAAAGTGCTTCTTGGCTTACTGGAAATACATCATTCTTTCTTCACAATTCATGCCCTATAATGGTATTTTTCAAAGTGTGGCCCACACACCATCTACATCCAAATTACCTGAGGTGTTGGTGAAAACTACAGATTCCTGGGCCCTATTCTACACCTACTGAATCAGCATTTCTGGGGATGGGCTCAGGAATCTGCACTTTTAACACACTCCATGTGATTCTATTTTACAAAGAGGTTTGAGGAGATTCTATTTTACAAAGAGGTTTGAGTAGCATTGCATTATGTGAACTGTATTATTACCATCAGTAAACATTTATGAAGCAACCACTATGTTCATTGCAAATTTTAGTCTTCACTGTATGAAAATCTGTAGGAAGTCTGTAATCTGTTCTATCATGTTGTTTGATGCTTTCTAATGTTGAATGCATCTGTTTGCCTTATTACCACAGTCATCTTTATTAAAAACATTCATACACATCCTGTATCATGATGAGTTTCCTATAGAATGAGAAAAACAGGTAGAAATATTTCCCTTCAAACTCTAGACAGAAAATCTGAAATATGAGAGTACCATTGAGGATATAAAGCTTAGAACCTAGCTAAAGAGTTAAGGGAGAAGGGAATTGTTCCTTTCAGTTTTCTGTAGTTTGGAAGTTCCTTCAATCCTGAAATAGTAATTTGTTTAAGCAAGTTTGTCTGATCTTTGTCCAATATGGCTTCACATAATAAAATGAAATTCCTTTTATGAATTCTAATCAGAATTCCTTTTACGAATTGACACAAGGTAAGTCCAGACTATTTGGCTTGGCTAATTCTCTTTGGTAAGAAAAATTTCTTGGGTGTAAAAGAATTTTTTTTAAAGAAGAAAAAAAAATCTTGAAATAGGTTCATGTTCCTAAAAAGTAAGCTTGCATAAAGACTGTTCTTGTTGCCAAGTTCAGGAGATTTCTAATGCAATGTAAAGGATTAAGTGACACACTGAAGAGAGATTTGAAAAGTTAACTATGCTGCATGTGAACAGAAAGCCTTTAGCATCTCTACATAACATCCTTGCATGAAAGAAACGTGGATTAAAACCACTGTGACTTAACATAGTACACACTTTGTTGCAGACAATAGGTAGGTAATTGATCAGTTGTTCTCCACTGACTTTTCAATCTCGTGTTTACAGCAATAAAAACATAAAGCAGTACTCATGCAGACACCGGCAAAGAAGCATATTGTGATGGATTTACTATTTCCTTTGTATAGGCCTTAGATTGGAAATTAGCTGAACTTGTAGATTTTGAGTCCTCATTCGTCATATGAGGGGCTGGCCTGCCAATGCAAGGCATGTTGCTGCACAAACATAAGATCTCCAGGAAAACAGCGTTCTGATGTGGGCACACCCAGCCTGATCTGGGCAAATGCTTTAAGCATGCCTTGCCAAGGGAAATGGGCGATTAAAAGAAAGGCTGTCAGGATCCTAGTGAAAAAGAGGCCATAGAGACGTCAACCATCCTGGATGACCTAAGGTTCTACCACTATTAGGTGAGAGACACTGTAGCTTCCCCAAAGGTTGGTACTATAAAGGAGAGTTCACTAGACTTCTAAAGATAAAGGGCAATTTTATAAGACAGAACTGAAAGGACTCAAATAAAATATAATGACTTTTAATTTATAAAGGCACTGGTGGATTGTTGCCTGGTGTCAACCAGAATCTTGTACCCAGTTAAGAGGAATAAGTTCAATTGTTCAGAAAGAAAAAATATATTTTTAAAAATTCGTTGTTTTAGTGATCATTTAATAATTGTTCATTGCAATAGTTACAAAGAAATCAATTTAACTTTAATTCTCATGTCTCCAAAAGGAAAAAGAAGATAGCTTTATAATTATTTTACATGAAATCTTTAGAGCAATTTATAAGCACTGCACATTTGAAACAATGAAGGAAAAATCTAAGGCATTTCCTACTGCAAGATTCAATTGTATGAAGGCAAAAGGGGCTAGGAGTAGTATATTGCCCAAATGAGCATAGGATGTATATACTCAAATCAACTAAGAGTTTATAGGAGCTGGATTTCATTGATTAGGACTGTTTTCTCTCCTGAAAGCATCTGATGGTTAGAAAGTTTAAAAATAAAAAAGTCCATCTGTTAGCTTGATTCAGCTGTGTGAGTATTGCTGATAATTCATCAACAAAACACATAATCTACCTCACTTGTAGAAAAGGGCAAGAGGAGAATCCTCAAATGGGGAAAAACAAATTCCGTCATAGATTCAAAAAGCCCAAATAGATTTTGTCTTCTTTTCCCTCTTATCTTTTTCTCTTGGCCCATCTTATGTAAAGATGCTGCCCCTGGCTTATATCTTTGGTATTCTCCTTCATCCAGTGGAATTTGTGCTGTGTCTTAAGAGCTCTTCTGAATCATAAGTAGTGTATTAATTAATTATTGAGCAAGTGAAACAAATTGCACATCAGTGTATTTTATAATTATTCTCCAATTAGATTTGGTTTATTGAGTTAGAGGAGGAGGAGAATGGGATTTCTGGTTAGACTAGAGGGAGCAGCATGCAGGGTTATGTTCTGAATTGGGAAATATTTTGAGCTTTCTTATTAAATAAAATCAGTCATTACATGTATCCACAGCAGCTGGAAGAGTGTAGAGAGAATGTTATTCCAAGAATCAGATGCCATGTTCCTTATTTGCAGGATTTCCCCAACTTTTGGAAAGGCTGCAGCTGATATGCAAGTGCGAAATGCTGTCTGGAGAAGATATGCTGGAAAGGGAAAGAGAAGGAGTTGAAATGTTATTGGCATGGGGTCAATAAGGCAAAGGGTCAGGAATTTAGAGTATTTCGATGGAAGAACAATTTTGGATCTGGGATATCAAGGAAGAGAAACAGAAATCACAACGGACATCACATTCAAATGGTCACATGCCATAGAGATACCATTATAAAAAAAAAAAATTCTTGTACCTTTGGAAGTATCCCACTTCTGTTACTGCTAGTACATGTTTAGTGTGCGTATTCCTGAAATATTTGGTTATGAGCTTTGGACTCTTTTCACTTGTAACCTTTTCTCTCCTACACTAGGGATCCTCAACCAAGGTCCTCCACACTTGTCAACGTTCTATACAATCTGGCCACTATCTCCTTTCAAATGTTACCCTTCCTGTGTTACCTCCAGAAACCTCTGCACAGCCATGCTGCTCCATCCTCTGAACACTTGTAATGCCTACCTGCACTTGTTCAGAGCATAGCTCAATCTCTGCTTGATCCTCCTCTTACCCATTTCCATATTCTACCCAGCCTTCAATGTCCAGCACAAACACTTCCTCCCTTAGGAAGCTCCCCCTGCTTTCTCTACCCTGAGAACCCATGGTGCTTCTTTCTGAACCATTAGTTTGGCAACTTACTACATGCCATCATATATATTATTGCTTATATTGTTATTAACATTTTGAGGTGCTATGCCTTGTCTTTCTTATGTGGCTGTTTGCCCTTTGAGAGCAGCAGCTGGGTCTTCTATCTTTATACCCTCCACAGGCTCTAGGACAGTGCCTGATGCACAGTTGGAGCTCAATTAATGTAGAATGATAAATTTGTAAACAACAAAAACAAATTATAAGTTCTAAGAAACGTTTCTTCCATTCCTTGCAATTTCTTCTTCCCAATAATATTAGATTTATTAAACCTAATTTATTTATTTATTTATTTTTTGAGACGGAGTCTTGCTCTGCCGCCCAGGCTGGAGTTCAGTGGCATGATCTCTGCTAACTGCAAGCTCTGCCTCCCGGGTTCACGCCATTCTCCTGTCTCAGCCTCCTGAGTAGCTGGGACTACAGGAGCCCACCACCATGCCCGGCTGATTTTTTGTATTTTTAGTAGAGAGGGGGTTTCACCCTGTTAGCCAGGATGGTCTCAATCTCCTGACCTCGTGATCTGCCCACCTCGGCCTCCCAAAGTGCTGGGATTACAGGCGTGAGCCACCGTGCCCAGCCTAAACCTAATTTTTAAATTTGTTAGATGCTTAATTAAAAAAAAACTAATAAATTATTAGCTTTTAAAAAGTATTTAATTACCGTGAAGGAGGGCCCAAGGGATGTGAACTACTCTGTTTCTTGGCATAATACTTGTATTTTCTCATAAAATGCAATAGAATAATATTACCTTAAGGAAATTACTTATCTTCATTAAATTTTTGTATTTATTCTTGCTTCCCTCCTTACTATTTGAGAATAACTGATGAACTTGCTGCACGACATAAATAGTAAAAGGAGGAAGAGACAGATATCACGTTGGCTTTCTGGCTCCTTTCATACAGAAATGTCCCAGGTTTGACCTCTTTTCTTCAGTCGACACTCACCCGTTGCTTCTGCTCTCCTTTCTCAGGTTAGGGCTGGGCAGGAGCCCAATGTGATATTCTCCTACATCACTGAGCTATTGGAAATGCAGCATGCATCAAGAGGCAGCTAAGTGGTTAATTGCAATTCATGGACTCAGCCAAACTAAAAGGCAGCTTGTTCACCAAGCCACCCTCCTTTTTCCTCTTTTCTCTGGAGCAATCCCAGCTCTAATTAAAATGTAATATTCTCCTTATGTGATTCCTTGGAAAAGTTTGTGGAATGACCACATAATACAGAGCAGATTTTCCAGATGTTCCCTGTCTTGGCTGGTATTCTCATGCACAGAATCTCCACCTCCAAATTTCTCTTCTATATACTTACCAGATGACCTCCTCTCTCCTCCCACTTCTCCCCTGCTGTCCCTGATACATTGTACATAACTTCCTGAGTCTTATTGTTGTGCCTTCAGTGTGTAAGAACCATTACTGAAGTGCAGTGGGCCAAGAAAAAAGTAATACTTGCCTCCAAAGAGCACTTTAATGCTATTTACAATGGAAAAAACAACTTTGAACTGCTTCCAAAATAACAGGCATTAAAATCACTTCTGTTTGCAGTTGAGATGGATTTTGCAGTAACCTTTCCAAACCTGCTTCCTCTGAATGTTTTTCAGTCCAGAGAGTGGCTTTCTCAATGAAAATTTAAAATGGTGCCCACATAAACACTTGACATACACCGCAAAAGGCAATTTTCCAACACTTACTCAAACAGTTGCTCGTGAAACCAGGGTCTGCAGTCACACGATCCCAGTGAAGATTGTACAAGCCTAGAGATATTATGAAACACTGTTGCAAGCCATGAATCAATAAAAGTGGCCACGATGGCATAGCCATCAGGTTTAGGCACATGTTTGATAAAGTGATCATTTAACATAGTTCCATGAATTCAATTTCCCACGTCTTTCCCCCACGTATTTTCCATCAACCTTATATCCCTTCAGTCTTTTAATCTGGGTTCATAAAATGTTACGAGGATTTCTCAGCCAGAGGTTGCAAAATGGCACTCTGTAAGTGAAATCTATGTGATTTCTGTTTCATTTTTAATTCGTATAGGTTTTTTTCCCCACAATTTATGAATCCATACTAACATACAATTTTATGTTTTAAAATTGTAATATTCCACTCAAAAATTTGGATTCTTGGCTTCTTTTGAGATATCATTTTGGTCTAGCACTGTTCTGCTAGCACGAAATTGAACGGCTGTCCCCTTCACAGGGGCAGGAAACTGGTATTCTCTGGAGCTTCTGATTCTAGTCATTTTTTCCTCTTCACCTCCCTGGCATTGAATTTAACATTTTGAGTCATAACTTTTTCAGTTTAAACATTTTATAGCCAAAAATTCAGCCAAGCAAGACATTTAAAGCCATATGTCCTAAGTTAATTTTTTTTTGAAATCTAAATTCTTTCTCCATAGTATATTTCTCACTTATCTATATTCTTGACATCGGATTCCCAAGTAAACTGAGGTTCATCACATAGCAAACCTACGTGCTATGTTAAGAACAAGGGCTCTGGAGTCATGCAGTCTTGACTACTTTCTAGCTGTGTGGTGCTGGAAAAATTGCTTAAATTCTTTGTACATCCTTTTTCTTATCTCTAAAATAGGAATACTCCTTAACGCAGTAATTCTCAACTATAGTGTGCATCCAAATAATCTAGAGGGCTTGTGAAAACATGATTGCTGTTCCCAGCCCCAGAGTTTCTGATTCAGTAGGTCTGGGATGGGGTCTAGAAATCTGCATTTCTAACAAGTTCACAGGTTATGTCACTGGTCCAGGGACCACACTTTGAGAACAACTGTGTAACCCACTGGATGAAAGTTAAACATGATAATTGTGTAAAACACAGGGTGCGGTGAACTAGTCATTTTGACTGCAAGAAAAAGTTATATTTAACTTGTTAGAGGTTCAAAGTTTAACTCTTTATAAAGCCTGATGAATTATTGCATTTTTATAAATAGTATTGATTAGTGGAGATTCCACATGTAATTATTTCATTTCTGCAACCTATATATTTTTATAATGAAAAAGATAAAACTCACACCTTAACCATGTTCTGGTCTTACTTTGGGTCTCTTGCTCTTTCACTGCTGTAAGGGGAGAATTAATAGATTTGTCATAAGACATTGGAAGGAAAGATGAGCTGGAAAGGTATCATCTTAGATTGCCATGAATGAAATCACATTCCATTCTTCCACTACCCCCTCCGTCCTCCTCCCATACCCTCCTGGAATCTAGACCCAGTGATGGAGGATCACCCTAACAATGCAGCGTTCCCTCTCGTCTGCAGAGAACACAAAACAATCCATGTTCCACTGGCTGTTTGTCTGTCCCTTCCCTCTCCCTGCGTTGCCCCAGTGCTGGGCAATGAGACATGGCATGGCCTCATAGCAGACTCAAGAATCCTGGGAGTGAGTTCCACATGGACTTAAAATCATTAAACAGATTTCTTCCTCCTTTTCCTCTCTCCTTCCCTATCTCCCTCCTTTCTTTCTCTTTCTCTTTCCTTTTTTCCTATATTTGAACATTAAATGTCATAGGGATATAGTATCCATTTTGCAATACTGGCAACTGACACCTCTTTAAAAGAAACTCTAGAACCCAATCCTATTTGCCTGATTCTAAAAAAGAAGTTCTAGCACAGTATTCAGGCATATTCTACTCACAAAAATAGCCCTGGTGCACATGCAACAAATAGAAGCTATGTAAATAACACATGGAGTTGAATGTGTTATATCTAATTACAAATTTATGGACTCCTAATTTTCAAAAAGCTTAACCATTACATTGTACTCTACTTCTTCCTGTGGTAGACCACTTGGGATTTCAATGCCTCTTCATCTGGGAGAAATGGGAGTGAATGTGAGCTGCAGGGGCTTGTGGAGGTGCTGGGGAAAGCTTACCCGAGTGATAGGCTTGTTGAATGGTAAATTTTGTTACCAAGGAAGGAAGTCTATGGAACCTCTTTTCTGAAGATTCCAGGGAATGTTCTAAATGCAGCACTGGACCAGAGACAGCAGACTGGACCAAATGACCTCCAAAGGATCCTTTCAAGACTGTGATTTTGTGAATGTTTTTTTTATACCAATCTACTCATTGCTTCCTAGAAGCTTATGAAGCTCCACACATCTTCTCCACTGCATAGTTAACTGCCATGAAGTCTTTTACAAGCATTTCTAATAACATACCCACTCCAGAGAAGCAGAGCCCATCACAGTCAAAAATGGCTATGACTTACAGCAACCTTTGAGATAGGAGCTCTCAATTGGTATTTAAATTTAAATACCACATCATAATTCAGGATGCTAAATCAGTGTGTAAAAAAGGATCAATACACAATAAAACTACAAGCAAGACTGGCATAGACCGCACAGCTTCTTTTTCCATCTAAACGCTCCCAACTTGTCTCCAGATCTGCTTGACACTGCCTCATTTGACATTACTTAGTCCATAAAACTTTACACATTTATAATGGGCAACAATAAGACTGGGCAGTTATCGTGGCATAAAAATGGGAGAAAGAAGTTTCCAGATCATCAAATATGGACATCGTTTTCTAGCCAAATGCTTTATTAATGATAAATTAGCAGTCCCAAATGAACACAGGTGTGATAAAATATCTACTTCATTGACAGGTTTTTATTATGAACTGTACTTACAGGCTTAAATTGAAAAGACCCATCTCCACAAACCACTTCCACATTTTGAATAATGTTTCACTTGTGATAGGTAAATAGGAGGCATTTTAGGAACATTTCAATAAATCTCATTTGGAGTGAGACTGATTTTTCTTAAGTAGACAAAGTTGGGTTGGAAGACTTATAAAAATAGATTGATTATTTCCTGGTGCCATAAGAAAAGAAAACCGCAATAAGTACTTTGCTGCTGACATTTTGAAAATCTTACATCCTATAGCTTGTTTGACTTCATTAGATTATACTAAATATTAGGAAGGTGCAGAGGAATGGTGAAGAAATGAAACTAGAGAACAAGGATGTATTTGCCTAAAAAAACTGGAAGGAAAAAATGAATTCTTTTCATTGAACCACTATCTGTTCCTTTCCATCCTACTTATGAGACAAGTCAGTCAACAGCTATTTACAAGACATGGAAGCTTAGAATTACATTGCTTTAAAGTATGAGGACTTCAATATTATGGCCTAACAACTAGCCAGTATCTTTTTCAACACAAGAGTAAGCAGTCTGGCAGATCTCTGGAGTTCTAAACCAACAGATCAAGTTCCCCCCTTGGTTGTTTAGGCCTCTATAAAGAAAGAAATGCAATCCAATAATGACGATATTGGCAGTGGAGAAACACACCCAAACCCCTATTAAAGCTAATTCAGAGAGACTTCCTGTACCCTGTAATGATATTTCAAGGCATCTTTTTTGACTTGTGGTGGATTCAAATGTATGTAATGGGTCATAGACTAATAAGATTTTATTGTTCTTGGAATTGGGTTGAAATATCTCCTTTACCTCCCACCTCCTTCATTCTATCACATACCCATGCCCTCTCTGCCCTGATCCCAATATGACCTCATAGCACATGTCCCTTAGGACCAATGCACAATGAGGATTTAGCACAGCTCTCACTGCCTTACCTCTTTGGAGTCTTTGGATAACCTTCCAGGTATGGTTCTGAACCTTTTCCATAAAGCAGTAGCAGCCTTGCAGGAATTTTGCTATGAAAAAAGTAAAATGAACTGGACTTCACGATCAACCAGAAACAAGCGTGAACAGACCTGTTCTCAGACCAAATCAACATCTACTCCTGCCCTGACAACTATAAATTCAGAAGTCGTCACCACATAAAGTGCCTCATGCACAAATACTTGAACTCTGACTTCCTTTCAACAGCCTTAATGGTACTGCTTCCCATATCATTTTAACATGTCCTGGTGTTGTAATGCCATAAATGACAAGCTCAACTATGATCATGGCTCTAGTTGCCAGGCCTAACTCCACAACACCTCTGTCATGTAACAGGCGGCCCTGATGTGGCACACACAAGAGAACTCCGCCCCCGCAACTCCCAGAGCCTCAACTCTCTCAAGCCTTTCCTTCTGTATTAGAATGTGGAGGCCTAAAACCCACTACTGCAAAGTACAGACATGAAAATAATTAACCATCTCTTCTATTCAGCTATAACTTATATTCCCTCTGAGGAGGAAAAATGGAGAGAGAGAGAAAAAGAACTCCAGGCCCAGAGACCCACATTTCATTTGGAACACTAGGGGTTCTTGGTAGAGATCATTAAAGTGTAGTTTGAGATATTTTCCTTTTCTCATCAAATCACTAGCCCTGTAATTGATGTCATAAAAAATATCTGTGTTCAGTTGCAGTGGGTTTCTCAGGTCCCTTCAAGTTATCAATTATTTATATCCCAATGAAATGAAAGGAAGCTGCATTGTAAGGTCCTGAAATGCCACTGAGGAGTCTGAGGGTGGCATCGTTAATCTTGTGCATTGCACCCATGAAGAGCACATTATACTCTACTTGGGAAAGTTCATTTCCCCTTCTCTGTCATACATTATCTGGTGGATTTTATTGCTTCTCCTCATAAATAGTCTCATTGGGCTTTTTGTTTGTTCATATCCTCCACAATTTAGACTCATAAGGATGACAGGAAAAACACCAGTGCCTTCAGATTCCACAGACCCTTTTCTTTGGGTCTTGTGGGCTTTAGCCATTTCCTCCTCATTCCATGGCATCCAGGGAGTTTTGTTCACCTACCAACATTACATAGTCTGGATTTTAGGAAGAATTACATTTTCTAATGGCATAATTTAATTAGTATTAGGGTTCATAGCCTTCCATTATTTTTCCTGCTTTAATTTCCCCCTTCCCAAACTTTCTTCCCCTATTCACACAACAGAGTAATTCTAGCAAGATGAGATAATCACACTGTTACTTTTCCTTGGGGGAAGCAACAGAAAACATTTGATGATAAGTCTTAACATCCTAACTTGGCCATTATTCTTTTAGTGAAATGAAAAGGAGTCTTGGCTAGCACACTACCTTTATATATTCTGGTAAAGAACTTTATAGGTATCGCTGGTAAAATCTGATACTGCACCTTGTGCCAAGACATTATTTTCAGGCTTATTTAGGATTGCCCTTTTATAGGCCTCATTGTAACAACTAGAGACAGTTCATGGAATCAGAGTTATATCTAAACAGAGTGCTGCAATAGGCTTTAGCTTTTCCATCATGCAAAGTGCAGATCGAAATCCAAATGAATCTGTTCCTAATCAGCCTGTGTCTCTGATCTACAGACTATAAATTTGGTTGTTATCAATGATATGGCATGCAAGTGTAAGTAAGGATTGCTTATGTGGAGAAACCACTAAGAATGTTCTAAAAATGTTGGAAGAAAGGAGCATGAATTTATAAGAAAAAAATGGGTACAAGCAAACCCAAATAACCTTGTGTAGTCTTACCTCTACATGACCTATATTTTCTGTTATAGGTCATGATCTCCTTTTGGAAAACAGCAAGGTGGCTCTTTCCAGGACTGAGGAGGGCATATATATTTATTGTTCCCCATCTAGTCAAAGGGAAGTTTTGAGAATAGGGAGCACGCTGGTTAGACAGGACTGCAGCCACAATTCTTTCTTAACGCTGCAGTTTCATGTTTTATATTTACTGTTCCCTAGACATGTAGACATCTAAATTGGCATTAGGAGTGTGGGGAAATTCTGCCAATAATTGGATCCTGAAAACCTCAACAACTTGATTAACTTCAGAGACTTGCAGTCCTGTTTGCCAAGTATTATGCCATCCAGAGTTTCACAATACACCTAGCAATACAGATAACTAATATTCCTCTCCCCTTCATTTCCTGCAAAGAAAGGACTCTTTAAAACATAAGGGGATATGTTCATTCAATGCAGCTACAAAGAAGGAGAGAGGGATATTTTTGCAAAGTGATCAAAAGCTACTTAAACAATTAGGTGCCTGCGATGAAGGCCCCAGCACTTGTGATCTCAGCTTGGTGCTCCAGCTTCCTGTAGGATGGAGAGGCATCATATGGCTGAGGCTATGTGTTTCCTGTCCAGAGGAAGCAGAAGGGATCAGGAAAAAAAGAGAGTAGGGGAAGGAGCAGATGGGTAGAGCTAGAGAGGACTTCTAGCTCTCTCTGACCCTAGCCATGGTCCGTGCTTGATGGTTCTTTTAACAGAATGTGGTTTTGTAGAGGACAAAGCAAGTGCAGCTTAAAGAAGCCCCTGCAGACAATTTCAAAGCTGAAAAAAAAATCAGGGTTGCTTATGTGGAGAAATTACTAAGAATGTTCTAAAAATGCGGGAAGAGAAGGGCATGAATTTATAAGAAAGAAAATGGGTACAGGCAAACCAAAGTCACCTGGTTTAGTCTTAGCTCTCCGTGATCTGTATTTTCTGTTATAGGCTAGGATAAATGATTTCATCTATGTCAAGCTTAATGTTTTTCTTTTCTTTTCTTGTTTTGTTTTGTTTTGAGATGGAGTTTAGCTCTTGTTGCCCAGGCTGGAGTGCAATGGCGCAATCTTGGCGCACTGCAACCTCCACCTCCCGGGTTCAAGCGATTCTCCTGTTTCAGCCTCCCAAGCAGCTGAGATTACATGCATTGCACCACCACAGCTGGCTAATTTTGTACTTTTAGTAGAGATGGGTTTCACCATGTTGGCCAGGCTGGTGTCAAACTCCTGACCTCAGATGATCCACCCGCCTCGGCCTCCCAAAGTGTTGGGATTACAGGCGTGAGCCACCATGCCCGGCCAAGCTTAATGTTTTTCAAAGCATGTTCACATAGGTTTTGTTGGTTGTTCCTTGAGTAGGGTCTGGCTGCTGTCCTGTTTCCAGGTTTAAGGCTCGGAGGGGTAAGTGACTTGCCTGGTGTCCAGCAGCCCAGAGCAGGAAGGACATCACTTAGCTTCTGTTTATGGCTTCTCCGCTACTCAGCTCCCCTAGAGTGGAGCCTTTGTCTCAGGGACTCCTCCACCCTTCTATTGCTCGGCAGGGCACAGTGCTGCTCCCCTTTCTCAGTGGCAGCTCTGTAAACACCGATTGATGAATTAATTGGCAACAGTGATAATGACTGCTCTCAAGTACCTACAACAAAAGTTGTTGTTTTCCTCAGGGATCTGCCCAGAACTGATGTACCTAGGGTTGGCATTAGAAAAATAATGAACAATATCAGCGGATATTAGTGACCGAGGAAGCAGGCGCCAGTTTAGCTCTAGACACCACACTGAGATTCACACAATTAGAAGTTTACAGTCAACTGTTGGATGATACAGTCCATTAATCTTTCTAACAGTTACATGGTTCCATTTGGACCAGGCTCAACTCTCATAAAATGCAGACTCATTACACTGACTCAGATGGGAGCCGGGAGAACATGTTCAAGGGCAGCACTGCCATTGGCATGCATACTTGAGGAACTATTTTGGCATCTTAAATGTGAAATGGAAGTTAGGCAGTTTCTCCGGAAAGTCAGTCCTTGCTTTTGCTTATCTAGTCCTTTGCTCCTCTGTCCTGCTTGTCTCATCCACTTGGGCTGGGAATTCAAATACAAAGAGGAGAGCATCTGTAATCATCTGCTCAGAGAACATGGCCAGGGAATTTTACCAAAGTAGATTTAAGAACAAAATCATCCTGTTTGGGAGGCAGTGGAATAGGCAGCCAATGTAAATATAGCAACTCAGAGGATGAAGTGGGTAATTTGACCTCTTGAATACCCTTTGGATCTTGAATATCCAGTCTGATTATATTGAACAAATGAGCTCATAGTTCTCAAATCTACAGACTTAGAATGATGAGGAGAACGCTGTTTCACCTATGTACTTTCTATTACAGAGACGTGCCTCTTGGTGTTACGAGCTTGGTGAATGTAATTTCATTACATCTGTATTGCCACTTTTTCAGCTGAGAAGTGATGTCTTAGAAAAGTAAAATGACTCGCTCAAAGTCACACAGCTGTGAAGTGAGCAGACAAGCATATGTAAATGGACCGCAGGCTTATTGAGGCCATGCTCTGAAATCTACCTTGGCATTATCAGAGGGAGAGGCTATACTTTCAGCTTTTGTTAATAATTTTAACCCTAAAGAGGAGGAAAATGAAGGGTAAAATATGAGGAAGTTGGGAGAGAGAAATGTAGAAATGGTGTTGACTTCACCTACATCACCATCGGCCTAAACTGGCTGTGCAGTCAGGGGAAGGGGGCATTTGGATGTGGTTCTATGATGCCTGGGAATGGGAATTAAGATTTATTTGAGATCAGTTAACAAGTAGGCATCCTAATAACTGCTTAAAAATGCATGTGAGGCTGGAAAACATGCAGGCTCTAGAGGAGAATGTAGAAACGCTGCAGGACTGTCAGTTCTAAGCATTATTACTATGCTGCAGTGGTTTCCAATGACTATGTAGTTCTGATGCATGTGGCATGGGTCTTTCCACTTAAAACCACTTTCAGGATCTTTTACACACTCTCCTTGCGTTTGCATAAACTATAACCACTGTAATCAATATTTCCTACCAATAGATTCTGGTCATTGAGCACTGAGCCTGTTCTGAAAAGATGGTTCCTGGAATCCTAACAGTGATGAAGTCATATTGATCATCTGCATATGGATTGTCTATGGCCAATTTTTAAATGCCATTCTGATTTCTCACAGCCCACAAGATCCTTCTAAGCCAGCTCCTTTTATACTCTGTCACTGGGAGCAAGGGAGGGCACATTGATTTTAATATTGGCTTTAGTCAAACCTCATTAGGAAGGTCAATGTACTGCCATAATCTCACTAAATAATATGTTTAAAACACTAAATAAATAACACATTATCCATAGTTTTGGAACATCAAGGCAGCTTTTTTAAGTATCACAGCTTATTTAAGACAAAGGAGTTTTAAGCACAGTACTTTTGGCTTCTCTCCCACAATGTTGCAATATGATATTTAGAGCTTGTGAATCGAGACAAACATGTATGGCCAGGTGTGGTTTGACATAAAAATTTCTGAGAGACAGTTGGTCTCTGTGCATGATAAATGGTCAAAAATCTCATTCATTTCTCATATCTGTGCTTTAAAAGGAAAGGTAAATATACCGAAGGCTTCCTTTTCTTTGGTTGGCATTTATCTTCTCAAGTGTGGAGGTCCATTTGATTAATGTCTAGTCATTTAAGGAAAATGATGTCTGCTTTAAATTGCATGAAATATGAAACGATTAGGTCATGCTTCTGGGGAGTTTTTATGTTCAATTACTTAAACTTTTTAAAACTTTTTTTTTTTAAGTTTTGTGTTGTGTGCGTCAAGGAGACCCTCACATCCCCTGCATAACTCAATAGATGGGGCAGGCCAGGCATGGTGGCTCTTGCCTGTAATCCCAGGACTTTGGGAGGCTGAAGCAGTAGGATTACTCAAGTCCAGGAGTTTGAGACCAGACCTGGCAACATAGTGAGACCTCATCTCTACAAAAAAAAAAAAAAAAAAAAAAAAAAAAAAATCAGCCAGGTGTGGTGGTGCATGCCTGTAGTCCCAGCTAATTGGAGTCTAAGGTGGGAGGATCACTTGAGCCTAGGAGGTTCAGGCTGCAGTGAGCCATGGTTGTACCACTGCACTCCAGCCTGGAGAACAGAGCGAGACCTTGTTTAGAAAGAAAAAAAAAGATGGGGCTATTTTCTGATGTGGATCCTTCTTTAGCAGGAGTCTTCATCTGCTGGCAGTGATGGCTTTGAATTCTGGCTGTGCCCAAGTACTAGTGGGTAGTGGTCTCGTCTGGTGGGCAACCACATGCTAACCTATCCCTCTTTCAAAGTTTTATTAATTATGAAAGACAAATGTCCATTCTAATTTGGAAATTACATTTTACATTGTTGGCCATGGTACCACACTGAGGCTGCTGCTTTTCATTATATTATTATCCAGTCTGGGTTTTGACTTTTGTTGTGTGCTTGTAGTCATTTTCTCCTAGTGGACTAACATAGTTTCAAACACTACATAAATAACCCAGTTCCATTTGCTAGTTTCCACAATTTTTAAAAATCAAGATACCAGATAAAATAATGTTTTGATGGCTAGAGGCTATTATCAGCCTATTACAGAAGCCTGGTCTTTGGAAAGGTATAAATCAGACAACGCAGTTTCAGTGATGCTGTGCTCTTCTGATTTTTTAACGCCTTCTGTCAAGGCTGCCTTTACCTGCATCTTTTGATAATAAGAGAATTAGATCATTGGCATCATCACAAGATGCATCTGGCAGCAGCGTTTCTTCATTATTATCATTACCAGGGGTTTGTGGTGTTGGATTTCTTTCAGTTCCATTTGTTTCATGTCTGTATGTTTCTGGGTTCTGATAGTGCCTGTCTCTCTCTCTCTCTCTCTCTCTCTCTCTCTCTCTCTCTCTCTCTCTCTGTGTGTGTGTGTGTGTGTGTGTGTGTGTGTGTGTGTGTGTGTGTGGTTTAAGGATACAGAGAGTTAGAGAGAGAGACTAACAGAGAGATTGACAGTGAGGAGGAAAGAGATTGGTAGAAAATTAAAAGAAGGTGGGGCTGGGCGCAGTGGCTCATGCTTGTAATCCCAGCACTTTGGGAGGCAGAGGCAGGCGGATCATGAGGTCAGGAAATCGAGACCATCCTGGCTAACATGGTGAAACCTCGTCTCTACTAAAAATACAAAAAATTAGCTGGGTGTGGTGGTGCACACTTGTAGTCCCAGCTACTCGGGAGGCTGAGGCAGGAGAATCACTTGAACCTGGGAGGTGGAGGGTGCAGTGAGTGGAGATTGCAGCACTGTACTCCAGCCTGGGTGACAGACTGAGACTCTTGTCTAAAAAAAAAAAAAGAAAAAAGAAAAGAAAAAGAAAGGAAAAGAAAAGAAAAAGAGAAGAAGTTGGAAAAGAGAGACTGGGTAGTGGTGTGCTGGGGATTCCTTCCCTTACCCTGATCACACCCCTACCCCTATTCTTTATCTACCAAGCAGCCTATGAGGCCTAGTCAGCCATTCCTCAGCACTCAGCCGAGGGATAGTGTGGCTTCCTTTGAGACCGTTCCTGGGTTTTCTATCCTTTCTCTGTCTACCTTCCCACCCTCCTTCAGAATCAGAGGTCCTGAAATGTGTGGCATAGAGGATATCTCACACAGGGAAGCACGATTTCCCTACCTATCTTTCGAACAGCCCCTTCTAGACTTAGTGGCACTTGAGGAAACATTCTCTTTGTTTCTGTATAAGCTGTCACTCCCTCTTCCTGTCAAAGGTTCTGGTTTCATTCAGCCAAGATGAGTAGAGATGATTTCCCACATGAAAATCCTTGAAGAGAATTCCTTTTGCCTTCCTTCTTCCTGAACACACAGCTGAACTGTTCTTCCTGTGCCTAGGGTATCAAAGTGGGACCATGAGACCGAGTTTTGGCCAACAGAATGTGGGTAGAAGCTATGCTGGCCACTACCAGGCCATTAAACCTTCTGTGCAATCTTCCAAGCTTTGCTTCTCACTGTCCTTGGGCTGGAAGTAGGATATTCTGAGACCCTAGAAGACAGAGTATCCTCAGGATGGAGGGCCCAAATCCGTGTCTCACTGCTAGGAAGAGGTGCTCCCAAGTGAGCTGCCTGGCCAGAGACATTCACACTGGTCTCTCAGTGAGCAGCGCCAGAGATTTAGGGTTATGACAACTGTTAGTGTCACACCAGAACTGCATATCTGTGATTTTTTTTTTTTTTTTGAAGAAAACAAGTTTGGTTGTGGTAGTTTTCAGTAAAGTCTTTTGACTTATAAGAAAGAAACTAGGATGCTGCTATCTTTGAAAAAAGAATAAATTTGTGCAAAGCACTGATAACATCTTCAGACCTAATATCCAACATTGTGCAGCATGGTCAATTTTCAAGAGGATATATATTTCCAGGAATAATCAGGACATTTGCATTATCCTCAGTTTTGGGAAGAAATTATTATAAATGGTTCCATTTGTGCATTAGTGAAATCCCTAATCCCATGGTGTGCTTGTCATATGACTGTTCATTTGCAGGTATTCAACATTTCCGATACGAGTATTCCCTTACCTGCTTTTAAATCATTACTGTTTTTATAATGGCTTCATTATTTCTTAATTGTCCTAATTTTTTTTCTTACCTATTCTTGTTAAAAGCCGATTAAAATGTGAATAATTTCAACATCCCAGGCATTCTAGAAACAAAATGAATTTCAGGTTTACATCCATTTGTCAGTAAAAGGCAGAAGAGGAGGGCAGGATGGACAATTCTAGATTAACCTCAACTGAATTTAATTATGCCTTTATGCCACATCCTCATGGCACTCAGAATGTGGTAATGTCAGTAGTGTTCATTGCTCATTCAGTCCTGATGAGGAAACTAAGGTCTAAAGAGGTCTGCACAGTTAGATAGTGATGAAGGCAGGCTAAGCCCCAGGTCTAACAATTTCCAGTCGAAGGAGCTGTGTGGAACTAAACCTGTTAATGTAAGTGGGTGTTCACTCTCTTCAGCACTGTGTTCTCTCTCTCTGGTTTCCTCCCCTGGCCATAACCTAAGGCCCACAGGATAAAGGCACTAACAAATACCACTGATGCACTGGGAGGCTGACATCTCTAGGTGCTTCTGCCAAACACTGAGTTAAACTAAACTTTTTGACAATATATTTGTGAAGGTTTCTTTCTATCCTCTCCATTCCCTACTTCTTCAATTCACTGGCTATTCTTGCTTGAACCGTCTCTAGGCAAAGCATGATAGGAAGAAATGTTCTATTTCCGGCAATTGTTAGAATATCACCCTCTTCTGTATGATAACAGTCTTCTAATTAATTAGGAGAATCACTAACAGCCAATCTACTTTTTCAGGCATAAGAACATTTTTTTTCCTCCTCAGTTCAGGAATATTGAATTCTTGTCTCTGATGATCCTTTAACTAGCTATGTGACTTTGAACTAAACTCATCACCTTTCTGACCCTTAGTTTTCATCAGTTAAATTAGGGGTTAGTTCAGAATGCCACTGTCTCTTCCGGCTGGAATTAATCGATCAGTTCAACAATATGTGACAGCCACTATGGAAGGTACTGAGAATTTTAAAGGAAGAAGAAGGAGGAGGAGGAGGGGAGGAGGGGAGGGGGGGAGGAGGGGAGGGAGGGGAGGAGGAGGGGAGGAGGGGAGGGAGGGAGGGAGAAAGGAAGGAAGGAAGGAAGGAAGGAAGGATTTCCTGTCCCAATCTGGCTTGAAGTTCCTGCTTTTTCTGGATGGGGTGATGAAAATTAAGGGGTACCTGGTTTTCTGGGTAAGATCTGGTTTCCAAAATCACACTGGGAAATGGAGAATCCGGGGACATCCCCTGAATCTGTCAGGATTTCCAAGCCTCCATTCTTTCTTTTTTTTTTTTTTTTTTTTAAATTATTACCCTGGATAATGTTCTTGAGATTTGAATTACCTATCACTTGTATTAAAACTCCTTCTTTGGCAAGGTACGGTGACTCATGTCTGTAATCCCAGTACTTTGGGAGGCAGAGGCAGGCGGATCACGAGGTCAGGAGATCGAGACCATCCTGGCTAACACGGTGAAATCCCGTCTCTACTAAAAATACAAAAAATTAGCCGGGCGTGGTGGCACGCGCCTGTAGTCCCAGCCACTGAGGAGGCTGAGGCAGTAGAACTGCTTGAATCCGGGTGGCAGAGGTTGCAGTGAGCCAAGATTGGTTACTACTGTACTCCAGCCTGGGCGACAGAGCGAGACTCCATCTCAAAACAAACAAACAAACAAACAAACAAACAAAAACTCCTTTTTATGTTTCACTTGTCTCTTGTTCTCCTTCTAGTTTTTTTTTTTTTTTTTTTTTCTCCCCTGCAAATTGTCAACATTTAAGAATTTAACCTGGGCATGATGGCTCATGCCTGTAATCCTAGCATTTTAGGAGGCCAAGATAGGAAGATTCTTTAACTCCAAAAGTTTGAGACCAGCCTGGGCAACACTGAGAGACCTCATCTCTACAAAAAATAAAATGAAAATAAATTAGCTGGGCATGGTGGTGGGCGCCTATAGTCCCAGCTACTTTGTAGGCTGAGATGGGAGGATTGCTTGAGCCCAGGAGTTTGAGGCTGCAGTGAGCCATGATCACACCACTGTACTCCAGCCTGGGTGACAGGAAAAAAAAAAAAAAAAAAAAAGAAAAGAAAGAGAGAGAGAGAGTTGTGTTTTAGGTTCTCTACAAAGGCCACCCATTGATGCACTTATCCTGACATCCAGTTCTTCCTATATAGACCTTTGTTCATTTGCATACACATATGTATTTACTACACTAAAATTCTTCTTATGCTTTATTTGATAGTTTTCTTAATATGTTGTTATAAAACTATATCTGATTGATCAAAGGAAAGCAGTTCCCTCTCTCTCCCTCTATTTCTCTTTGAAATGTTGAATACTTGTCAATCATATCAAACCAGGGTCAGAGGAAATTTGATGGAATGGTAGAGGCAGCCCAAGGAAGTCTGCCTACCAAGAGCTTCCTGGAAGTCTGTGCTTGGTCTGCTGGTGCAGAACCTGTACAGTCCATTCTATTTTCTCATCCCAGACAGCTCTGATGCTCTGCAAATCTAAAACACGTCCACCAGCTGGTCTCCATTTTATGTCTTCTCCTTTATTTATTTGCTGTTGGCAGTGGATAAACCAGAGATTGTGTCATTTCAAACTTCAGTTTGTGCCAACCCCTCTCAGCCTGGAGATGATTTTTCCCAACATGACCTTGTAATCTTTCATCATATCCTTCTTCCTCTAACTCACTCTATGTTTAGCACATGGACCCAGCAAGGAAAGGGTCTTGGTTCATCCAGAGCACAGATGGGAGTTCTTTTGTGTCACCTGCCAGACAATAGATTCAGACTTTATACTCACTATCTCACTCTGGTTCATGTTCATTATTTTGGAGTATACCCAACAGGACTGTCTTGGTTACAAAGGACAAAAAAGTCACCTTTAAGGTAACATTAGGTTTAAAAAAAAAAAGATTTAAGACATTATATAATAATTCTAAAAACTAGGAGAAATTCTGGCTTTAGGCATGGCTAGACTCTGGAGTTCAAATTTATGTGGACTCAGTCTCTTACTCACTCTCCCTTTTGTTGGCTTAACTCTTGGAGGGATCCTCTTCTTAGGATGGCCCCCAGCACCTTCAGTCTTACACCCTCCTGGGTTCATGTGCAGCTCAGTCTGATTATTACTGACCAGAGTGGAGTTTTGTGCCTTCTCCTGAGACAATCACTGTGGCCAAAGAGAGGAAATATGTTCATGGCAAAAGCTTGGGTTACACGTCTCCTTCAGGTGCTGGAGTGTGCCCAATCTCAGTGTACACTGAGGTTAAGGGAGGTGATTCCTCCCAGGAAACCAAAGCTATGGCTACCAGAACAAGGAAAAGGTGACTCTGGCCAGCCAGAACACCAGAGGTCCACTGCATGAGTACATTGCCTGACCATGCATGTGCTTGACTCATTTCTTTTTCAAGATTATACTTTGAGAATATCAGTCTCATATGTTTTCCTCTTGGTTTTCCAGTTGTGTCATTATCTCTGATTCTAACTCCCAGGCAATGAAGGAGTTCTCATCTTTTCAGTTCTTCAGCTTGTACTTTCAAAAATCAGAGATGGCTTCTGTTATTTCAATCTGTAAATCAATAGAAAAAAATCACCATTGTACAAGTTTCAACTGTTTCTCCAATCCAGCACGCACATGGCGATGACTGCAGGGTGTTTACAGTTATAAACACAATATAACATTGTATATGAGGCAAAGAGCATATTTTGCAGTTCAATTTCATAAACTGTTTTCTAGTTTATCAATTCATTTATTCTGTTTTCATCACAAGAGTTTTAACATTTAAACCCTGGGAAAAAAAAGCAGGCAGTCCGCATCTTAAAACTAACAAGTTTGGTAAACACAAAAAGAAAAAGCAATCGTTTTCATTTGCAATTGTCTAAACAGTCCACAGATGCACATGAGCTATTGCCAAGTATATTTGTTTATTTACTTGATTTATAACATGGGCTCAATGCATAAAAACATCATAGCATACATACAATAAAATATGTGCGTGCATGAATCTGTTGGCTCACAATATTATGTTTCTTTCTGTACTTCAGAATTCCCTTGGCACGTCTTTGACGCTCAATGTATGTTCACTAATAGTGACTCTTCCTGCAATTTCACATAAACACCAAACAAAAAGAGTAACTGGGAGAGAGAGAAAAAAAAATATATATATATGTATATACCTGTATCTTTACAGTCATTGTACTTTTCTGGATCCTTCTCAAAAAGCCAAATGGAAGTGAGTAGGTCTGGCATTTCTTCCTTTCCTCTCAAGAGATATAATGTGTTCATAAGACCTTATAACGTGATGAGATTCTAGGAATACTTTCTGTTACTCTGATTTTTTTATTTTTCTAATCAAATATTAACTTTCTAGTTCCAGAAGTTGAACTTAAACCAGATTTTTCTTCTTTTTAATGAGGGATCCTTTACAGACCCACAGACACGATAAAGCATGAGCATGTTTTAATGCCACCCTCTTCCTTCCCATGACCCAGTGGAGAAGAAAATGGAGAATGTGTATGTATTTAAAGAAAAATGTAAAGTATTTCTCACCATACAGGCAGGGTATAGAGCATTCTAATTAGTCACTCCAACTAGTTGGATGTCCCCAAGACACTGAGCCCGTCCTTTTGTGTTCTAGGATGAAAAGATAGTTTGGATCTCAGACGGCACCATGGTAGCAGCCATGCATGTCTTGTTGCTTCATGCCATCCCAGAGATACCAGCAGTTCCTCTTTTCCAGCTGGATATAGCTCCAACTTACAGAGTGACCAGTCTTTCAGAGGTTAGGCTGCCTAAGTGCAAATAGGTATCAAACCCCTTTGCAAAACAGAGCTAAAACCTAATCGCTTTCATACATTTCAAACATCCTACGGTGCATTGCCATATTAAAATTAGGTTGTGTCAGCCAGTTTTATATTTAAGGCCCATGAGATTCAACTAATTTAGAATTCAATCTTGTAACTAAGGAAAAAGACTCATTACAAATAGCCTTTCTTGGCAGCTTTATGTCTCATAAAGAGGATTGTTTTTACCAAGATAGTCTCCTAGGCTGAAACAAAGGGGTCACTGTTCCAAATGTTGGTCTCTACCCCAATTCTTTGATTTGATTTCCTCAGCTACAACACTGATACGGGCAGTACTCACTACCAAATGTATTCAACCTCTCAGGAATGCTCTGACAACCAATGAAACAATGCCCTAGGTTCTCTGAATTCTTTGGCACTTCCCTGAAAAGCACCCAGAAAAGAAGCAATGTCTGAACAGATGTAAATTTCACATATCCTTTCTTTAATTAAATGGACAAGTGTAAAAGGCTCAGAAATTAGGAGTATGGACAAAAACAGCATCCACTAATCTTTGGGGGATGTTTCTAAGCAACCAGCATTGTGTGATACAGAGATCATTACATCTGTTCCATTAGTATGCCTTGTGTTCCCAAGGGGTTCCGAAACCTCACAACATTCCAAACATTTTATAAAGAATCTTCCTTTTGCCTTATTAATAGGAACTGAGGACATAATAGAAGCAGAGACATTGCTGGTGCAAATTATGTGAAAATGGAAATCTTACACATTTTAGGCTTAGCCAACAAATTGATTTGTGATGCAAATGCTATTGTCCAATGTCTCTCACATCCCTGGACTCTCTAAATGTGTATGTGTGTGTGTGCGTGTGTGTGTGTGTGTTTTAATTTCAGTCTGGCATTAGAATTCTCTTAGTTTATGGCCATAAACTACCATCATCCATTCCATGTGGATATTATTTCCTGCCAAGTAGCACAGGCTGTCACAACTACCACACTGACCAGGGGATTCCCCAAGTGGCCTCTGGATGCCTTCATTTAAGTAGCTGAAATTTATGAGTTCTGGCCTTAGAATAAGAATTTCTATTACGAGGTCCAGACTGTTTTTGGCTGAAATTTTGATTTCCTGTGATTTCTTGTGGAATGTAGGCAGCTGTCAGTCTTGTTCATGAGAGGAGGTCTAATGAGTCCAGAAATTATTTGTATTTCATTGTTTGGGGATCTGATTTACTTCTCCTGATGGGCCAACTGTCCAGTACCTGCAATAAGTAAATGCACATTCTCCCATTTCTCTGGAATACAGTCTGTCATAATTCTCTGGACTTTTAAAATAAGAGGCTAGCTGTCCACTGCTGGAGAGAACGTAAGCTGTGGAACAGGATGACCTTTTGAGCTCCTTTCCAACTCTGTCCCCACATTCTGATTTCCCTTCTGGAAAGCAGACATTAACATTTGACGAGGTTCCATGCTTCTTCACTTTCTCAGCTTTTGTATTTCAAACGTCTATTGATCGTGCAGTAGTTGCACATTATTCCTTTGTTCTTTACATCTTTATTGATGCAAAGCAGTGCCAGAAACTGCTTTTTAACAGTTATTCAATCCCTGATGCCCTTCACGTATCAGATTTGGGATTTCATTTCTTAGAACTACTGGGCTGGCTACACAATTAATTGCTTCTTATTAATAAGCCATTAGATTCACCTGACCAGCCATCAACAGCTGAAGAAAAGCACGCCTCCCCCTCCTTTGCCTATATCTCTTTCTCTTTTGATGTTGAAGCTGCTCTCCTGTGCAATGGGAGACTTGCTGGAGTGTCTGGAGGTCTCTGGCTCATTTAAAGTGACAGGCAATGTTATCCGCTGATACTAAACAGGTTTCTGTGGTCGTCGCTATGACCTTTATCCATTCACCCATCAGAGAGATCCCAGAAGGCCACTGACACTTCACTCTGGTTAATCACATGGCTCTTAAGGAAAGAGGTTGTATGTTTGTGTGTGTTTAAATTTCCATCCACTGGCATCAGCAGTCTGTGCTCAGGAGGAGGCATAACATGCAGGGTAGCAAGGCTAGGTCTGGAGAGAGAGAGATGTTGGTTTCAAATCCAGCTCCACCACTTATCGGAAGACATCAAACACATTACTTCTCCTCTCCTAAGCCTCAATTTCTCCTCCTGGAAAATGGTGGTCATAGTACACCAACCCAGCTTGATTCTTTGCAAATGAAACAAGCCTGCATATAGAATATATTCCATAAGCATTTGCTAGAATTGCTCTCTTTAGCCTGCTGCCAATTGACTTATATTCAACAAGAGATCTGCATGGTGTAATGGGCCATGAATGGCCTTTGGCATCATCAAACAGACCTGGTTTGATCCCCAACTGTGCCATTTACTCTGTGACTTTATTTGCTGATCCTTATTTCCCCTTCTCAGAGGGCGCGTATGAGGAAGAAAATGAGTTAATGAGTTGTGCCTGGCATGCAGCAGGCCCTCAGAAAACATGGATCTCCTGACTAGAGACCATCAGGAGCCATTAGACTTTCCTCTCACCAGAACAGGGGGCTAGGGCCAGCCCCAGGTTGATTCTGATGACTATTTGAGGACTCACAGTATTATGTGAGCACAGGCCCCATCTGTGCTCCACGAAGGTGGACCTCTTGCCCTGGCTGTGGTCTCTCTGTAGGCTCTATATTCATGGTTCTGACACTCCCAGGCATGTAGTCCTCTTGGCCCTCCCATTTCAGGTCTAAATGATTTATCTAGATCCTTGGGGCCAGATATGTTTCAGAGTTCAGAATTTTCCATGTTTTAGAAAGATCATTCAGAGCTGTCTGTATTTATGGTACCTAATACCCCCAGTGGACTCTGGGCAGCACTCCATAATCAAACACATTAATATTTCTTCAGTAAAATATATGATTGCTTACCATAAAGTGGGATAATGGTAAATATCTTCACATCTTTTCAGGTCAGGTTTTGTCACCAAATATATTCCAATCAAGTCAGTATCAATGGCCAAATGAGTTTGGGAAAAATATTCAGTTTTCAGAGACTTTTCAATTTGGGGATTGCTGATTGGGGTTGTGGACCCATAGAAACCCTGGAGCTAGAATTGACTCCTCAGACCTTGTTTGTTTTTGTCCCGCTGATGTACAAGCCATTTCCAAGTATTCCATTCTCCTCCGCTATAGATAGCCTTTCTTGTCTGTGCCAAACTATAGAATTCTCATTTTAAAGCCTTTTCTTGAGGACCCTTTTTTTGGTAGATACATTCCATTTATCCAATTCACCACCTCTATCTTTTATTCCTTTCCCCACCAACTCTGATCTTGAATATTCTGCATAGGTTTATGTGGTTGGCCTTGAATAAAAGAATGGTTTCTTGATTTGCCCTTAATGTGTGCATTTGCTTTTTTTCTTTTTTTATATCAGCCCACAGAGCAGGGATCCTGTTATTAGATTCCTTATTAACTCGCTACCCACAACCAGGGACTTCCATGGATTGTATGCATGCTAATGGGAGGAGAACCAAGCACACTAGACAGAAAAACCCAACGGAGGCTTCAGTCACTACCATGGCCACAGGCTGCAGTCCTAACCTATTTATGTTCAACCTTCTTACAAAAGGGACTGAGTAAAAGGCAGTGAACAAATTAGTGTTCACCTCTATCTTTGTTGCCATAAAAGCAACTTAAACTCGTTTCATCAAACATGAACATCATCTTAAAACAATAAAGAACTGAAAACTGTGCCCCAGACAGTGTTACTCTTGATGGTAACAGTGATCTTTATATAAAGGACTGTTCTATGAGGAATATCTGATCTTGACTAATAAATAATAGTGACTGACAAGAGGAGTCTTTGGCAAGGTAAACGGGGAGCTGCTTATACTTGCTGGCTCTATTTCTCACACACCAGTCACTACAATTCAGCTTAATTTGTCTTCCCTCATCAGTGCAAACAGTTCTCCCAGAGTCACCAGTGGCCTGCAATGACTGGATTTAAGGGCTATTTTTCAGTCCATTTTACTTAAACTCTCAGAAGTATCTTATGCCACAGCCAGCCCCTCCTACGTGAAATACTTTCTTCCTGTGATTTCTATAATCATGTGGAAACTTAGTTATCTCCTTCATCTTTTACCTCTTCTATTCATTCTCCTCAGCAAGTCATCCTTCAGTACCTAATCAAGATAAACTAGCATTCCATAAGACCTTCTTGCCTTTTCCCTCAGTGATCTTTCCCTAGGTGATCTTTCTATAGTCAGATGACTGACAAATTTATATTTCCTGCCCAGGTCGAGACTTTCCAACTCCAGACTTGTATACCCAGCCATCTCCTTCCTATCTCTTCATGGGGGTCAACAGATCCAAAATGGAACTCATGACCTCCCCTTCCAAACCTGGTCTTTTCTCTCTCTAGAAACAGCATCCCTATTTGTTCTCTTTTGCAAGTCAGACACATAGGGGTCATCTGGAATCCTTCCGTCTCCTTCATTGCTGATATCCACCTCCCACCAGCTTCTGCTGGTTTTACTTCTTAGGCAGCTCTCTTGCCCACCACATCTCTTCATCTCTACCACCATAAACCTAGTCCAAGCTTCTATCACAACTCACCAAAAATTGTAGTCCCCTCACTGTGGAAGGAGGAAAGAGTGGAAATTGGAAGAAAACAAAGTCTCTGTTACAATACCTGTAGGTTTATAACTGTTAGGATAAGTATAATAATCAATAAAATATTATGTTTCTCAAATTTGCTTATTTTTGTTTGATACTAGACCATTTATGAGACCAAGGAAGGGTCTCATTTTCTCAATGCTTTTAGCAAAGGAGTTCCTAAGACCTATGTCTAACTGATCACTGTGATGACGGTGCCATGTCTGTGGGGAGAGGAACAGTGGGGCCTAAGTCACTCTAAAAGCCCCTTAAGTCCAGGGATGCAAGGAAAACTGGATATACTTGCTTCCTCTCCCTGGTTTCCTGAGTCCTGTATTGGCTCAGATTAGAGGATTTCCTTAGTTCCTGTATGATCTAGCCCTTATGTGGGACAAGGTTAGAAGCTCTCCTGTCCTGACACTCCCCTGACACGCGCTTAGCAATGGACATTGCCCCTGGAAGCAGATTTGTAGGAGGATCCCAACTCAAGCCTGCATTAACCTACTTCAAAGGAGTCTGACTGGAATTGATCAGTTCTGGGTGGTTTTGTTCTTTATCCTCATTACCTACTGAATTTGTTGTTTATGATAATATATCCTAAGTCTCATCTTAGAAAATAGTCTCAGACAGTTGCAAGATCAGCCTCATAAACAGAAACAATTGCAGTAACAATTCCAAACAGTGGTACTCACCTCCCAATTCTGCTTTTTTGTTAGTCTTTCCATTTCTGTGCATGTCACAAACGGACCCTAGTCGTTCATGCCAGAAACCAAGGAATCATCCTAACACCATCTTCTCTGTAACCACTTCTACCCATATTCATGAAACCATCAAGTCCTTTTGTTTCCATCTACCAAATACTCCTAGGGTCTTATGCTTCTCCCAAATTTCACAAGCACCACCCTAGTCAAAGCCATCATCCTTCTGTGACCTGCCTACAGCAATAAACACCTAGCTGGTATTTTGCATGAACTCTTCATCACCTCCATGTATTGTCTACACAGAAGACCTAGTGTCTTTAAAGACATGGGTTATAGTGTGTCCTTCCCCCTTTGCTCTCACTCCACTCACTTATTTCAGTTCTTTCCACATGATCATCCTCTTTCCTGCCATGGGACCTTTGCAAATACTGTTTCCTCTCTCTAGAACTTTCTGTCCTTTTCATCATCTGGCTAATTGTTCACTCACTTCTAAGGCTCCGGTTAAGTGTTATTTCCTTGGCCCCTCAAACTAAACTGAATCCTGTCATGCTCTTACAAATTTACCCGTTGATTTGTCAGCTTCACTTGTTTTACCTGATAAATATATAGTCATTTTTACAATTGTTTAATATCTGTCATCTCAACCAAAGTATGAGTTCCAAGAGGACAGGGACTGCATCTGAACCAACACAAGTGTGGACTGGCACTTGGTAATGTCTTTGATGGAGGAGGAGCTCAGGCTGCCGTAACAAATTACCATAGACCGGGCAGCTTAAACAACAGGAATTTTTCTCACAATTCTAGAGGCTGGAAATTCCATATTAAAATCCAGCAGGGTCAGTTTCTAGAGGGCTCTCTTCCTAGCTTTCAAACAGCCACCTTCTTGCTATATTCTCATATGGCCTTTCCTTGGTACATGTGTGTGGAAAAAGAGAGAAAGATCTCTCCCTCTTCTTTAGGACACCACTTCTATCATATTAGGGGCCCATTATGACTTCATATAACCTTAATTACCTCTTAAAAGCCCTATCTCCAAATACAGTCACATTGGGGGTTAAGGCTTCAACCTATGAACTGGGGATGGGGGACACATTTCAGTCCATAGCAGAGTCCAATAATATTTCTTAAAAATATGAATATAAAGCACAATCACTAATGAAAAATGACTTGCCTTACATTGACAGTTGTCTATTGTAGTTGGGTTTCATGAATACGGAAGAATTAATTTATTGAAACTTTGTATTCAATCATAATTATCTTAATAAACATTTTGTGTTTATTTTTAATTTTTCCTTTTCTGTCATCATTTCCCAGGTAATAGTGTGGTGTTGGCATCTGGATATGTATGTGGCAAAATAAAAGAGAAAACGTTTTTCAAAAGTTTATCAGAATTTAGGGGAAGTTTGAAAGTTAAGTTTCTTTGGCCACTTGAAGACAGTTTAATTCTAAAGTCCTTTTAATTCTGGTTGTGAACCTTACTTCCTCGTTGTGATGGCTAATTTTATGTGTCAACTTGACTGGGTTAAGGGGTGCCTGGGTAGCTGGTAAAACATTATTTCTGGGTATGTCTGTGAGAGTGTTTCCAGAAGAGATTAGCATTTGAATCAGTAGACTGAGCAAAGAAGATTCACCCTTACCAATATGCGCTGGCATTGTCCCATCTCTTGAGGGCCCAGATAGAAGAAAAAGATGGAGGAAGGATGAATTCCCTCTCTCTCTTTGAGCTGAAACATCCATCTTCTCCTGCCCTTGGACATCAAACTCCTGGTTATGGGGCCTTCAAACTCACACAAGTGCCTCCCATTCCCCATCCCTCAGTGACATCTTAGGACTCAGAATTAATTACAGCACTGGCTTTCCTTGTTTTCCAGCTTGCAGATGGCATATCACGGGTCTTCTGGGTCTGCATAATTTCATGAGCCAATTCCCATCATATATATATATATACACACACTATACATATATCCTACTGGTTTTGTTTCTCTAGAAAGCCCTACCTAATGCACTAGGCAAATCATTGGTAGGGAAATAATCCTGGCTCATTGGAAGTGCAACAGGAATGATAAGTCTGACAGATCATCCCATTGTTCATGCTTAGTGTCTATCCTAAAAGAAATACAATAAGAACCTCCACAAAAACTTTGACTGTACTTTGATACTCGCATTTATTTTCCAGAGTGAATACTTCCTCTGGGTTTATTTCCAGAGGCTGCTTCTTTTTGGGGGGAGGGGGAGGGGCGGTGCAGGTGTAGGGGTAAAGGACATCTACTAATTGTGGCTTCATTCCAACTAAAGAAATTCCTCACATCTATTAATGACAAACTGCAATACTGTTGCTGGACTAGAAAATTATCTGTTAGAGTCAGTACAGCTACCAGGGTTATTAAGGAGCACATTTGTTTTTTTTCCCCCTGAGTCAGTGCCCAAAAGACATTTTATGTAGCCTCAGCTATTTTGAGTACAGTTACACAACTGGCTTGAACTTATTTTGGCAAAATCTTAGTGTGTGTGTCATGGGCAATAAAAAATTCCTGGAAAATATGTGTTTTCATACAAAGTACCATTACTTACACTTTCTGGAAATTAATTTCGTGTAAATCACAATGAATGTTTGATCTATAGTCTCATATAGCTAGTTGACTCTGACCAGAGACTAAGTGGCTATATGAAGAGAAGTTGGTCCAGAGAGATGTCTCAAGGGCTTGCCTGAGGTAGTAGTTGAAGCTGTGAGCCACAAAAGGCATGCCTGTCAAGGGCTGGCCTCACAGCCTAGTTTGCATTCCATCTTTTGGTGTAGTACTTTGTCAGAATGTAGCAAGTAGAGAAATTCTGTTGTGCATACATTTTATGGCTCTCAGTGGTTAGGATCTGAACTTGGTAGACATTTCACAGGGCACAAGATGGTAAAAGATCCATAAGGAGAGCCTGGGTGGTAAGGGTCAGAGCTCTGAGTTCTAGACCTATGTTTGCTGCTGAGTGACTTGGAGGTAGTCTGCCGCTTACAGGCTCTGCGACCGTGGGCAAGCCATTTGACCTCCTCTCTCTCTCTCCATTTTCTCATCTCTAATAGGAATAATATGAGTGCCTGCTTTGTAGCGTTGTTTGAAGATTAAATGAGTTGATGCACAGAAAACACTGAGGATAATACCTGACGTGTAGTTGGCACTCGATGTTCGTTGCTTACCTCTTTTTCTGTTTTTTATTTTTTTAATTTATTACATGATTATCCCACTAACTTGCCTCCAATGATTGTGGTTAAGTATAAACTACTAATCCTGCCCTGAGAAATGTCTCATTTGATGAGACAATGGTTAGAAATGGTCATTTGATGCAATAGTTTATAACATAAGTGAGCAAGGAACTATTTTCAAATATGAAAACTTTTGGGCCATGTATTTCAACTCCTTCCTCCATTTTTTAAAATTCTCCTCTAGATGCTTACAAGGGGGTTAGTACCCCTTGTTTAGGCTCTCTCCTCAAAACTCCCTTCCACTCCAACTCCCTAGTTTTCTTTAACTTTCTCCCCCTTAGGAAAGTGAAAGAATAAGAGCTCCAGCTAGAGACGCTTGATTGAAATAGCACGGGCACACGGCAGCCTCCTCTGCAGGGCTTTGCCAGCGAGCCCCGCCCCGCCTGCAGATCCTGGGTATGCTACTGGGTACGGGAACCGACCCCTGACCGTGAGGCTCGGCATCGGGCCCTGGCTGTTCTGAAGATAAGGACGATCTCCCTCCGGGGTCCAGGCAGCACTGCCCGTCTTGCTATCCTTGGAGTCTGTGCCAAGTACATCAGGAAAATCTCTTTTTCATTGTTTGATTTTCCACGGGCTTTGAAAACGTTCCCATTTCATACAGCCAAGTCCAGAATTAAATTGGACTTCACTGATCTTTGCTGACAAAAAATTCCCATTCCACTTCCTGAGGCTCTTCCGCCTGGATTTGTTTATTGGCCTCATAGATGATGTTTCTGACGTGCGCCCAGAGCTCCTCACTCAGAGCCCCTTCACACACGAGCTGACCCTGCACACTGCTTTGTGATATAAATTATTCATCTGATTTCTTCAGCACTAGGCAGGCATGGCCGAGGAGAGCCTCGCTTTCCCAACGTGGAGTCATTGACGTTTTTCTGTTTTCCCGCGAGGTGGTTAGGGAATGATTAAAATGGACTTGAAGAGTCAATTTCTGTTGGGATTGTGGCTCGGCAGTCAGCAATCTGCTAGGGTGGTCTGAGGGCCAGTCATTACGGAAACACTGCCAAAGCTGTGTCTTCATACTTCTCTCTTTCCTTCCTACCACCCTGCCGTACCTAGAGAGGGAGAATGGCAATGATGTGAGCATTTTATGTTTAAAAACAACAGCAACAACAAACTCAACCCCCCAAATCCCCTGAGCTTGCTTTCAATTCCCCTCCCCCTCCTTATCGCCCACGCCACCATCAACAGTGACACCTAGTGGTCAAATATAAATTAGTCCCTTTATTCTGAATTGACTAGCTTTCTACAGAAAATAAAATTTCCTGTAGAAGCAAATAAAGACTGAGCTTTACTCCTTCCATGAACATAGAGAAAGATGGATTATTCATAATGAGAAGCTAAAATATATTACTTGGGAGAAGAGGCAAGTGCATTTTTTTTCTTAAGAACATATTGGAGCTTTGTATCTTAAAAAATAGTTTCTATAGACGAGTGCTTGGTTTTCCTTTCTTTAATGATGGCCACTTTAATTTTATTATAATTTTAAAAGTTAACAGCTGTTCATCAATGTTTTAAGTTTCAACACCTATAATTGTTATGTTTAAAGTATTTAAAAATGTATGATAGTACAAATCAGTCATTTGCATAATCCGTCTCAAATTCTTGGAACCACATTTACTGGCAAAAAATGGTTTCCACTTTAGTGATGTAGTCTCCAGAAACAGGTGAAAATTTTTATTTTAAGAATTTTTTTTTCGGTAAGTGAGGAAGCAAAAACATTTATATTTTTAATGAAATCTTTTAGTGGTTAAAAAAGAAAAACCTTGAATCTTCTTTTAATTTTTAAATAATTATAGAGTCACAAGAAATTACAAAATAGTACAGAAAAGCCCTGTGTACCCTTCACCCAGTTTCCCACAATGGTAACATCTTACATAACTGTGATACAACGTCAAAACCAGGAAATTGACATTGGTACAATTTGTGGAATTTATGTAGATTTCACCCGTTTACTTGTATGCATTTGTATGTGTGCATAGTTCTATGCAATTTATCACGTGTAGATGCATGAACCACCACTACAAACAAGGTAAAAAATTGGTTCATCGCCACAAAGATACCTTCTGCTACCCCTTTATAATATTGAAATATATGCTTGAGCCCAGGCACCTTGTCTGCGGCAGAAAGAAGGCATGTATATGTCATCATCGTCACACACATTTACTGAACTCTATGGGTCTGCCTTGTGTTAATTGCTTATGCAGTAGATACTACTTATTTTTTTAACAACTACATTAATTTAAAAGGACAACAGGGGAGAATTAATAAAAGAAGAATGATAACTCATCTAATGTCTTGCCCTTTAACACAGTGGTCCCCAACCTTTTTGGCACCAGGGATTGGTTTCATGGAAAACAATTCTTCCATGGATGGGGGAGATGGTTTGGGATGAAACTGTTTCACCTCAGATCATCAGGCATTATTAGTTAGATTCTCACAGGAGCGCACAACCTAGATCCCTCGCATGCGCAGTTCACAATAGGGTTCGCGCTCCTGTGAGAATCCAATGCCGCTGCAGATCTGACAGGAGGCGGAGCTCAGGTGGTAAAGCTCACTTACCTGCCGCTCACCTCCTGCTGTGCGGTCTACTTCCTAACGGGACGGTCCGCAGCTCCGAGGCTGGGGACCCCTGCTCTAACACACCAGATAGAGTTTTTTCCAACTCTGTTTTGTATTTGATACAGATTTAAATCAACAAATATTATTGGGCACTGAGCTGGGTGATGAAGGAATTACAGGTGCTGACAAAGTGCACTGCTCAGCACCAATCCTCAGATCTCAAGGTCCGGTCTTCTTCTGGGAACCTCAGACAGCCAAGGCCAGGCTCACTCTCTAGAGTCCCAAGGACAGGACCAGTTCCAGTTGAGAGGCTTGGCACAAGTCACTTCCGCTCTTTTCAACCCTCCTTGCTAGGTTTTTCTTAGACAATTTACTTCTTCAATACTTGAATATCTGAAAAGTCACACCATATTGGGTAATACAGATTATCAATGTGATTTGAATTAGCTACTCCGAAGTAAGGAAAACTGAAAGGCAGTTTAATGATTGTTTTCATCTGTCCAAGCAGGCAATCTGACAGGAGGAGATACCTAGAAGAACATTGGACTGGGAGTCAGAGATGTGCCCTAGTGTTGACTTTGGCACGAACTCACTTGTGATATGATGTGAACTTTGAGTGTCTTAGGTTTCCCATATGAAGAAAAAGAGGCTCAGCAGATGGCCAAGTCCTTTTCAGTGTTATCTTTATAAAGCAAGTGTTAAAAAGTTTCTTTATGGTATCAGCTTCTAAATATTGGGTAGGTGATAAAAGTTAATTAGAAATGCTCCACATGACTTAAAATAGACTTCTGTCTCAAAATGAATGCTTTAGAACTATGTATTCTTATAAATGTGCCCTGTAAGGTCTACATAAGACTTTCCTCTGGAAGTCACTCTCAATCTTGAACGTCTAATGAAATGTATTTATTAGTAAATGATGTGCTAATACATGGTATCATTCTAATGCAACGTGTCTGTTGAGCAGAAATCTCACTCGTGAGGAAATTGTGATGCTAAATTCCTGATGTAAATATGTCTCTTTCCAGCTGTGTGATCTTGGCAAGTCAGTTGGCCTTCTTGGGTCTTATGTGTCCTCCTAAGTTTGCTATCTAAATACAGAAATTTTCTTAGATATCATTCAGGAAATTTCTAGAGAAAACTGAAAATACAGGAAAACACTTTGTAGTCAAGGGCAAGTGAGACACTACGCCAATAGTATATATGTATATATTAGGAAAAAACCTTCAGATATATGGTTTGTTCTACATGCAAAAGAGAAATAGTCTTTCACAACTTTGAAATGGTGGTTCTCCCTCACATAGGATCTCAGGGCCATTGTTCACTGGGTAAGGCTCTACTCAGCCTACCCTGGTCCCTTCACAGGAAAGCCTGCATTGATTACCCACTGGCTATGCTGCACAGCCAGCTGTGGTCCCCGCTTCCTCCACCTCACTTCCAGGCTCCCGATAGAGAGGAGTCCCAGGCATTCCCGCCTGAGCCATACCTCCTGTCAGATCTGTGGCAGCATTAGATTCTCATAGGAGCACGAACCCTGTTGTGAACTGCACATGGGAGGGATATAGGTTGCAAGCTTTTTGTGAGAATCTAACTAATGCCCGATGACCTGAGGTGGAACCGTTTCATCCCAAAACCATCCCCCCAACATCTGTGGAAAAATTGGCTTCCAGGAAACCAGTCCCTGGTGCCAAAAAGGCTGGGGACTGCTGCTGTACAGGTCTCCATGATGTCCTGAGGTGCATAATTTGAAATAATTATTTCAATGTGCTAAATCTACTAAAATTTAGCACTTACTTTTAAGTAGTAATACTGGCAGTACCCTACTTTTGGACATAATGCATTTCCAAAAACGTGCTTGAAATTTAAGTGTGTAAAGATGGAATAAAAGACTCCATGTTTTAAGAATGGGGAATGTCCATTTCCAGAGTTAAACATTTTAATTGATTCTATGATTAGTTCATTCAGTCAGTCAATATATGTTAAATGAGCACATGCTATGTGCCAGGTACTATGCTAGGTATTGGGGAAATTGCAGGGAACAAAACATGTAAAAACCCCTGCCTTCATGGACTTACTTACATTCTGGGGATGAATGGAGGAAACAGAAATAGACAAAATAAAAGAGAAGTGTGTTTAGGCTCTGCACAATGGCTCATGGGACCTGTAATCCCAATGCTTTGGGAGGCTAAGGCAGGAGGACCCCTTGAGGTCAGGAGTTCCAGACTCCATCTCTATAATTTTTTTTTTTTTTTTTTTTTTTGTAATTAGCCAGGTGTGGTGGCGCTCGCCTGTAGTCCCAGCTACTCAGTAAGCTGAAGCGTGAGGATCATTTGAGCCCAGGAGTTCGAGGCTGCAGTGAGCTGTGATTGTGCCACTGTACCTCAGCCTGGGTGACAGAGAAAGACCTTGTCCAAAAAAAAAAAAAAAAAAAGACAAAGAGATGGGAATTTTCTTTATTAAGAGGCAATACATGAGAGAAAATAAGCATGGGGGAATAGGGTGTGTGTGTGTGTGTGTGTGCACATGAAGGGTGCAATTTTTGGTAAAGGGGTTCAGAAAGGTCTCTGTGAAGAGGTGATGTGTGTGAGAGTCTGAAAGGCAAAGATGGCTGATGGATCCCAGCTACCTAGTATTAATATGTAACTTCATTTCCATACCAAGAAAGTTTCATGCTGAGGAAGTTCCTAGAGCTGGACTCAGAAAGGAAATGGTGCTAAAACTCACTGTCTTCTCACACCATGCAGAAGCCGGCCAGCCGGCAGAGAGGCTGAAGGGTGATTCCCCATGAGCGTCTTTTGTGGGCAGCTCTGATGGATGCCACAGACCAAGGAATCCAAAAAAGGCTTATAACACAGTTAGAAAACAGGGTTTTTGGCAACTTCTGGGGGAGCTGAATATATCCTAACTCAGCAATTTCCTTTTCTCTTAGCTGCCAGTTTGCTTGCCTGTGCATTATGTGTACACTCACCATTCTCCACAAAGGGCCCTGCCGTTCTCTGTGTGGTCAGGCAGGGGCCTGTGGTGCCTTCCCTACTCCTGTCTGCCCTCTCTTCTCAGTTTCAGGAGGTGTTGGGTTCCCAGGTCTAAATGATGACCAACCCAGCAATGCTAAAGAGAGAATGTATTATTAGAGCTCTGGATCACTTGCTTGTTTCTTTCCCATGTTATGCAGTCAAGTAATAATGTCCTTTTATAGAACAAGAAATAAAAATATTTAAAAAATGAAATGAAAGTTCAGCTGGTAAGAACCATAACTGTAATACTGAATGAGTAGCTCCAGGTATCACTTTTTTTGAAGTATGAGGTCTGCTTATCTACCCTCACCCCCGGGAGCCTAGCCAGCAGCACAGAATTATTTAGACTCTCCCTAATTTGCTCGCCTACTTCATGTCATGGCCAGGACTAGCCTTCTGCCAAGGCAATCTTGTGAGTTTTAGCATGCAGGGAATATGTCTCTCTAACCTACTTTCTGAGGCCACTCATTCCATTCCCTAATTCCCCGATATTAAAAAGATGTCCCCAGAGAGGTAAAAATTGACCTAAAATTAGCTTCTGTGTAAAAGACTGATCTTAGATAAGAGCAGATTGCGTTGGGGAAAAAAAGGCCCCAGTGTTGGATAGAAGAGGGTGGGAGGGAAGAGACTCAGGGCCTGAGGCATAAGGAGCAGAGCATTGTTTGGAAGGACAGCAGCACCTGCTTCATTGTTTTGCTCCAAGCCAGGCTCAAGGCAAGAAGGAACTGTGATTAGAGGAAGAAGGTGACAGACTTTGGAAGGGAATGTATGGAAGTGGAAAGCAACATTGGCTCTGCTGTGTTCCCTGAAAGCCTCTTAGAGTCTGTAAGCACCCCAGGACATCTTGGAGCCCTGGACACAGAGAGAGAGACAGAGAGAGAGAGAGAGAGAGAGAGTGTGTGTGTGTGTGTGTGTGTGTGTGTGTGTGTGTGTGTGTGGGCAGCTCCGGAGGCAGAGGGTGGAGGCAGCTCAGACTCCTCTCCACGAGGAGCCTGGAAGTGAGGTAGAGGAAGATGGTGACCACACCTAGCTGTTCAGTATAGCCGCTGGATAATCAATGCAGGCTTTCCTGCTGAAAGAACCAGGGTGGGCTGAGCAGGGCTTCACCCAGTGCACCATGGCCCTGAGGTCCTGTGTGAGGAAGAACAGGGAGAGCTGTTTGTTCAAGGCAGCTAAGAAGAATACAACTGCAAGTATAATCTAAGCAAACCCAGCTGGGGTAAGATAAAGTCAGTGTTGTCACTGGGAAAACTGAGAGGCATGGTGATGTCAAAGAGTAAGGCTGCAAACAGGAAAGTTGAAAATAGGGTGGGACGGGGCAAGGAAGAATCTGGGGTAAGAATTCAGAAATATGTTCGTTATAACAGGTAGCATGGTTAGGGGATTTGGGAGAGTCTGGAGCAGGACAGAGAGTGAGTACCAGGATCTTCTGGGCAAGCCCAGGGCTGACCACAAGAAAGGGGTTTGGAATCTCTCCCAAAGCATGTTTCAGAGCATAGTAGTCCAGTGAGATGAGCTGCTCCATAAAAAGGCTCCCCTGCACCCCATTAAAAAGGAATTGTTGAGACTGCAGCCTGCACTCTTCTTACAGATTCATTAGTGTAGAAAAGCTCCAAGAAGTCCTGAAACAAACCTCTTTAGCTTTACTTAACCCATAATTTCTCCAATAAATTCGACCTTGGACCCCTTTTCTTATGTTATACATATTCCATTCCTAGCAACACACTTTGGGAAACACTGTTTAATGGCTCTTTCCCCTGGTCTGGTTGTAATGGCCACCCACCTGAAGTCCCCGGTCATGAAGGTGATGCCTGCAGACCCCTTGCTATAAAGTAGAGGTCTCCTTGCCTTCCTGACGTCCAGGCCCACAGAAAGGCATGGACACTATTCATATCCTCTCCCCTCACTGTCCTTGTATGCATTTGGGTGTCTGTTGAAATGGAGCTCAGAGAACATCAACAACCTACCATATTGGCTTGAGAAATTATTACAACTATGTTATAAGAACATCTTTGATCTACTGAGAAAAATATTTTTCTTATAGCTGGAGAGGTATATCCTTTTCTCCCAACTTCCTACCTGTACTTTTTAAATCTGGAGGGTTTTTTTTTCCTTACTGTGATTCTTGATGCTACCTCAAGGTGTGACTGTCAGTTAGCTATAGTTTATTGCCAGCTGATGCTGGCTAACAGACCATGAACCATTGATAGCTAATATCCTTAGTTACATCTCACCCCTCCTGAATACAGGAGTTGAATTGCTAAATTTCTTTTTCCAAAGGACATTGATTAAAGGAGTTGACAAAGCCACTTGAATGCAAAATTTCCAACTGTCTAAAATGAAAAGCTTTCTCGATCTTCATGTCTTGGACTGGGGAGAAGGTTTATTTTCCTACTGTGTGTAAATAATGGATTTTGCCTTTTCTGGAAATCCATCATCAAAGAGTATGTTGAATACTCAAACAATGGCAGTCTAAATTGTCCTGCAGTGACACTAACTAGGTGGAACTAATTCAGAAATGTGCAGGGAGCATGATGAGGATAACTTTGTGTGTGGGGAAGAAGCAACATGCCTCACCTGCCTCCATCATAGCTTAGCGTGGCTCAGGACAAATGCTGCCTCATCCAAAGCTGCCCAGGAAATATAGAATCCTCATTATAAATTACAGTCAGCTTTGTTTTTTCTTTTTCTTCCTTTCTTCCTTTTTTGAAGAGGCTCTTTGTCAGAGAATGTCAAAGCTCAAATACTTTTTACTCATTTTCTTGCTGAGAGTTGCAAGCGTAACCAGCAGCAACAGCCAGTAATTAATCATAGCTCTGGAGATGGGAGCACACGTTCAAAGACATTTTCAACCCACTGAAAGACGTCATGGGTTTAAAATTCTGCATAGAGCAGAATCTCTGGAATGAGGCTTTACATTCTTGCTGATTTTGATGTACCTACCGAGTGTGGCCAAAGGTGGCTCTTGGTAAGACATTAGAGGTTACAGAATTCCTCAGGAAGCATCTAGTGTGGGCTAACATCTCTGGAGCCCAGTAGGGAAAAACCAGAAGATGGGCAGAGATAAGCAAGTGACACCAGGCAAAATATTAGGTGAGTATTTTGCTTATGACCTTTTGTTGCAGTGAACCAAGATTTACAAGTTATGCAAGGGATTTATTGCAAAGATGCTTGTGGAACAGCATTGGAAATGGAAAATGCTTAGGGTTGGAGATAGTTCTAGAAATCACCTAGCTTCTCTGTTGCTCTCAGGAGACAGAGAACTGCCCTCTATTAGTGGATCTAATTACTTAATGATGACTTCTGTCATCACCATTCTAGTCCCTCTGTGGACTGGCCTAAACTTCCCCTTCCTTGTAACTTCAGCTTGCACATGTTCCTTTTTGCTCCATCCTGTCTCCAACGTCCTTTTAAAACTTCAACTCTTATTACTAACTGGCTCATTCTCTTGGCATTTTCATAGTTCATATTCCCAAGAGAGCAAATTTAGTTGGTTCAGATTACAGTTAGGGGATGGGCTGCATCATTGGTTGCTGGCCAGCCTATGGATGGCTTGCCTCGGGGTCAGGTGCTCATCCCTGTTCTAATCAACTGTGACCAGGTAGAGTAGGGTTACAGTGTTTAACACAAGCTCCTCTAGACCTGCCCCTTCAGCAGGACTGTGATCAAGGCAGGCACAGTGATTGACATCTGAGGTCACCCTGTATTCCTATTCCATAATTAATGAGGTGTCTTTAGGCAGCTCATGTTATACTCATCCACAAGCCCACACAACTATCATGTCAGTGCTGCAGACTCTCCCAAATCCCCTAGTCATGCTACCTCTTGTAACCAACTTATATCTGAATTCTTACCGCAGATTCTTTCTTGGCCCTGTCCCACCCTATTTTCAACTTTCCTGTTTGCATTCTTACTCTTTGACATCATCATGCCTCTCAGATTTCCCAACGACAATATTGACTTCATCTTACCCCAACTGGGTTTGCCTAGATTATACTTGTGTCACAGTCTAAATAAATCTCTAATCTGTTCAGTTCTTCCCATCATAATGACCACTATCCTACTGAAGGCCATAATTACTCCTTAACTAGTACCCCTGCTAACAATCCCATGGCCCTCCAATCTTGCATTCATCTTTTCTTTTTTCTTCTTTTTTTTTGAGATGGAGTCTTGTACTGTTGCCCAGGCTGGAGTGTGTGACATGATCTCGGCTCACGGCAACCTCCGCCTCCTGGGTTCCAGCAATTCTCCTGCCTCAGCCTCCTGAGTAGCTGGGATTACAGGGGCCTGCCACCACACCCAGCTAATTTTTGGTATTTTTAGTTGAGATGGGGGTTTCAACATGTTGGCCAGGCTGGTCTTGAACTCCTGACCTTGTGATTTGCCCGCCTCAGCCTCCCAAAATGCTGGGATTACAGGCATGAGCCACCGCACCCGGCCCTTTGCATTCATCTTTCAATGATATGAATCTTTTTGTGCTTTCAGCATTCAATGGCTCCCTTTGCCCACAGGTTAGAGTCTAATTCCTTGATGTGGTTTCAGAGGTTGACAGGCTTCCATAATTGCCTGGTCCCTGCCAGCCTCTTCCCATATCTGCTCTCCTAGCCACCCTCCTTTGCTTTATATGCTCCCCCTTACTCAACTCCTGTGTGTTTCTTATACATGCTGCACTCTCTCTTGACTTGGGGCCTTTGTACCTGTTTTTCCCTTTGCCCATTTTTCAACTCTCCTCCTTCTCAGCTGAAAGTTCATTTCCCCAGACATTTCTTACTCCCTAGATGGGTGCAGTGAGGATGAGGAGCTCATCTGCTACGTTTGCAGCTGTATTCCTGCACTGGCGCAGATGGCGCATGGGGGGTGCTCTCTGAATGTTTCTTCTTCTTGTGATGTTAAATCTCAGTGCTCCAAGAAATTATCACTTCTGTGTGGGAATCAAAATGAAGGCAGCTAAAAGGAGTGATTGGAGAAAGGGAAAAGAGGAAACAAGTGAAGTGAAATAGAGGGGTATGTAGTATAATGATTTTGAAAAACTCACAGAGTATAGAAGGACCCCTGAAGGAAAAAAAAGATCTATGAACTTTGATTGCTGAAAGAAATATGCAGCTCCCAGAAGGATCACTGAGATCAAAGGACTTTGCTGAGGAATCCATCTCAAGGCTATTTAGCCATTAACAAAGCAGGATTTTGGCTCTGGATTAATTTCTTTAGCAAAGAGAAGTTCAACTCTTTTCTGAAATCTTTGGAATAGCTGTGGTAGTTCTAATGGGTTATGAATCCAGGCACCTGTTACCTGGGGCTTCCTGGGACAGTTTGCATTCCAAGGTGCAGTCTACCACTCCCAGTGTCCAGAGCTCTCTAGTGTTTCTTGATAAAGGTTCACAGACACCTGCAGAATAGTTTATTTGCCCTTTAAGTAACTTAGCCTGTGCTTTCCTCCTTGTGCTCTGCCCTTGGAACTCAGAGGAGAGAAAAGGGCTGGCAACCTTGTTGCACCTCTGTGAAGGAGACAGGCTCAGCTCTCTCTGACATGAACTTTCTCTAGGACAGTCCTATAGCCATATCTGTTATCTCTACTCTACTGGCACAGGGTAGGTAGTGAGTTTCCACAATAGCTGCCTGAGCATGCAAGTGACACCATTCTCCCATAGGTTTGAATGTGAGAGTCTAGATTTCTGAGGTGGCAAAATACACTGGAAACCAAAATGAGAATGGCCACTGCATGGTATTTAGCCAGTGAGAGATAGGGCAGGAGAGGAAGATGGCAAGTGGCTAGTCAGTAATGCAGCACCTCAAAATCCATTTTCTTTAGGCACACAAATTAGCCACACACCCCCAGTGGAATCCTTTCCTACCAATGGCAGATGGTGATCACAGAACACAGTTTTGCCCCAACCTAGGAAGGAGAAGATGGCTGAAATAAACATGTATTGCAAGAACCTGGGATTCATCTCCTTTGATGGGGTCAAAGAAGGAAGAAATTGCTCCTGGAAGACACGAAAGGCTTGCAGACCACACCCCACCACCATGTCCTTCCTACCCTGCCTCCCAATGTCCTACCAGCCTGGAAAGCAGCTTTTGTCCTTCCATCCAAAGGCAGTGGTGGCCCATCAGAAAAGCAAGGATCCAAGTTCTTTATTTTCCTGACAGCTCAGTCTGGAGAGATGCAGGATCATCCTCTCCTTGCATTCCAATCTGAGACTGATACAAGTAAACATACACTGCATCATTTAAGTCTTCTTTTTTTTCCTATTTTTCTCTGAAAACAAAACAAAACAAAACAAACAAAAACCAAGTTGGGTTACCTATCCGAACCTTTTTTTTTTAATCTGCAAAATTAGAGGATTGCAAAATTTTTGAATTTTTTTATCTGCAAAATTTATTGAAAATTTTCCTATGAGAGCTATTTCTAATGCCCTATTTCATTTCATATAAAATAGTCAGAGGCCACAGGACAGAGAAGGAAACACATTATTTTCACTGATAGGCTATCAAATAAGAAGAGTAATGAGGATTTGGGTGCAGGGTGCACAACAAGCCTGACTTACAGACACAAGATGCCCAATTAAATGGTGGCCTCCCCAAGGTCACAGCCTCCTTCCTGGTGGTGTCACCTCTCCCCTCTGCTCCTGGTACTCTATAATGCCATGTGTGTCCTGGACTCCCTGACAGCTGTTGACTTAACTCTTCACAGACTTTGTTTATTTTTCTCCAAGTTGGATTATAGACCTAAGGCCAAGCGGGTGGAGACACAGGATTGCCGTAGATATTTGCATTCATTCTTTTCTCGTCATCACTGTTTAGACCAACATGTCTGGTGAAAGTGAGATTTATGAAGAGCCGCCCTCCTTTTGGCTGCCTGGCTTCCTTGCTCACAGTCGGGCTGCCTTGGGATGTTGATTTTTGTTCTTTTGCCATTGTTTCCAGGCTCCCTATTTCTAATTTCTTTTTTCAGAGGCTGACGCAGTTATTTCCACCTCAAGTGCTTGGCCCTGCTCTCCAGCTATGGGCTTCGTAACCCATGGCAACAAGGGAAGGGAAGCAGGTGATCGCACACAACACACATGCACATACACACGCGCGCGCACACACACCCACCCACACACACACACACACACTCGCATGCAACATATTCTCCCCAACCCCCTTCTTTGACTCTGGCAGTCCTGCATGGGGCCCACAGAGGGAGGAGGCTTTCCTGGCTGCAGTGCCAATTAGACACACAGGCCTCGTGGTGCTGGGCGCTCAGGGCTTCCGGGTCACAATGCAGCAGTTGCGGTGGAGCAGCGTGGCCTCTCCTTCTGAGTGCTCCAACTCCTCGTATTTCTCTGGGGCAGCAAAGTAAAATCCGACCTTGCACACACAGAAATGCCTTCACAACAGTCCATTTCCTGCTAGCTGGGAACCTTATTTTATGTCATAATGGCGATTGGCAGAATTATGCCTGTTAGTAATAGGCACAACTACTTACATATATTTACAGTAAGAAGACTTTTTTTCACATGATTTTACAAAGGTAAATGATAATTAAGTTATTTAAAAGCTAAACTCTCACTCCTCTGCCTCCATCCCATATTTACAAGTCCTGGGAAGCTTCAAACCAGTTCAACAATTTTCTGTTCCTTGCCAAATTTTCTAGCTGGTTTTACCAAAGGATTGAAGGAATCAAGGGATGGACTTAAGCTCAAGTGGTAAAAATCCCTTTTCTGTCCACAGACTAGAAATACGTGATGACTGCATTCTCATCTGACTTAGTCAAGACTGGTGGTAGTAGGTTAATAAAAGATTAATTAGGGGATTGCAAAATTTTTGAATTTTTTTATTTGCAAAATCTATTGAAAATTCTCCTATGAGAGTTGTTTCTAATGCCCTATTTCATTTTATATAAAATAGTCAGAGGCCACAGGAAAGAGAAGGAAACACATTCTTTTCACTGATGGGCCATCATTTGAAGTGTGGCATCATAAAAAGTGACACATATAAAACAGGAAACATTTTCTTTTTATTTAAAACTTACAAATATACATTTATCTCCCATGCTTTTGAGGTAGGGCCAAGGTCTGATGCTTGGAGTCCAAGTCACCTTACTTGTACAAGCTGCATCCACAATGTGTCATCAGCAACTTCCAATTTTAGTTTCTTAGTGCTGTAAGAATTTAAAGACACTTGGGAAGCCCAGAATCTGTCTAGTTTTTAATGTCCTGCCCCTGATACATTACAACAGTTTCATTCCTACCTCATTTACTCAAAGCAAAGTAGCTTGCCTTATTGTTTCCAAACAATTCAACTTATTTTCATTTAAACCACTTTATTTCCTTTTGCATTCATATTGCATTGATTTATATATTCAACAAAATTATGAATTACAAAACAAATGGAACTGACAAAAACTGGTTTGGGAATAAACACAAGTGCTCTTGATGAGTTGGATATGAAGCTGGTGGGAGCAGAGGTGTATGGACATTGAAGAGAGAAGCAGAGAGCATTACAAAGCAAGTAGGAGCTTTTAGCCCTTCCTGCGCATGCCAGTTGGATGTGATCACACATCTTAGACACACTAGAATGTGACTCCTAATATTTGAAAGCTAATACCAGCATGGCACTAGACAGCCTCTTTCACTGATCTCCTCCACACACGTGCTCCTGAACCTATATCTTCATCCCTAAGATCAGTTCTTTATATTTTACATTTGGACATCTCCATTTGTCCCATTTGCCCCTCAAATTCAGTATGTCTTAAAGCAAGCCATTCTCTTCTTTTGAGATAGAGTAGAACATGCTGATTTTGCCCTTAGAATTCCTTCATCAAAGGAAATATTAAGAAAGGAAGCCAAGATGAGGGCCGAAGGCCCAATCTCCTTCATGCCCTTCCTAGTAACCCCGGGACCCTCTGAGGATCTCCAGAATTCTTCAGAACACAAATTGAAAACCTCTGGAATAGGTACACAGTATAGGCTTTGGAGCCAGACAGAGCTGAGTTCAAACAATCACTGTGTCACATTTTATCTGTGTGAATATAAGCAAATTGGTTATTATCTGAGCCCCAGTTTCCTCAGAAACAAAGTGGGAATAACATAGTTGCCAATAAAAATTGTGAACATAAGAAGAAATAGTGCCCAAAAAGCACTTGACATGCTGAGGTGCTCAACAGTGTCTGCAGATCAGTTCATTGCTTTGTTGGTCTGTTTGTTTAATGATACCCAGTTCCCAAGGTTTTCAGTCTCAGTTAACACCAACTTTTTCTTCCTCTTGGGCCACAGCCCTCCTACTGTTTCCCTCTAGTCATTTGGAGAGCCTTCGAGGGAGACAATGCCTTGGATAAGAGCACAAGTCAGTGCCCTTTACCACTTGAGCATAAATGCATTAAGTGCTGCATTTTCTATCCCCTTAACATGTAACTCTTACTTTCACTTCCATTTCATTCCTATTGTTATCACTCTAGTTCATGCCTCCATTGTCCTCTAACTTCCTGCTAATCTGTACCCATGCATTCAGCCTACACATTGATGACCAATTACCTTCTTGCATCACAGAACTCATTGGGCCGATGGTGCATGGAGTCCCTCAGTGGTACCCAGGGGTCTACCACATAAAGTCCCTATGGCTGAGGTTGGCATTCAAAGTGTTTCAAGTTTTAGCCTCTTGTCTTTGACCACTTTGCCACCCACATCTTTTGTCCAGCCAAAGCGACTCCTCTCCATTCTCAGAATACAAAAATCTCATTCTTCCCCAAGTCTGTGACCTTGTCTGAGGCATTCCCTCCCTCGAATGCTCTCCTTCTATACTTCTGGCTAAGTCCTACCAAGATTTCAAGCTGAAGTGGCACTCTTTTTTTAAATAATGTTTCATCTTTTCCTATTTTAAACACCCTCCCCTTACTCTGTCCTCCAAAGTTTATTCACCTGAATAACTGGTGAATAACAATTCACCAGTCTTCCTGAATTGTTATTGTTTATATGAGATTTTCCCCCTCATGAACCTGGCTTAGAACCTTGCTGTAGTAAGCTTCAGAAGAGGTATCTTGGGTAAAAACTTTTTGATGGATAAAATCTCGATAGAATAGATAAGATCCATATGAGGAAACAAAAATGAAAGCAGGTACCAAGCCTCACCATGGGTTCATAGTGTACTATCTCAGCATCAGTCTCTCAAAAGGGGCATTGTGCCCCTTGAAGTCTTGGTTTTCCTCCTAGGAGGCTGCATGTGTAGGCAAGACAGAGATCAATCTAAAGGAAACACAGTTTTCCTTGACTCTATGTTTTGTTACAAGTTTATTCATGTTTTTTGGAGAGAGAAAATCAAACTTCTATAAATTGCTGCAGTGCTATAACGAAAGAAAATCCACATGCTCTTTCAAGTGTTTCTTGCTGCCATTTTATTTTCTGTCTTCCAAGCTTGGTGTGAGAGATAATTGGCCACAATTTCTTGAACACATATATTGGAAACTATGACCCCAATAACAATTTCTGATTCATCTGCATTAAAGATTTTCCCCTTTCCAATACAACAAATTAAAAATGTTGTACAATCATTCCACATTGTAACTATGGAAAGCCTGGAACATTATATGAGTGGTAGAAAACAAATCAATTGACATTACCAAATGAGCACAGTCAAAACCCCCTTATCCTTTTTTATTAAGCTGGACAGACTGGCTAATGAAGGTCTGGGGCACTGGGCTCTGACAACTCAAGGAAGCCACCATTAGCAAACAAACATCTGCTTGCTTCCCTCTGCGGTCCCTGCCAGCTGCGGCCGAGGCACAGTAAATTAGTCTGCTAATTCTATTGGCTTGTTCCTGCATTTCTCTAATGTGGAATATTGATCTGTGCTGGGGAGCCTTGGCTTGCAAAGTTCCTAAAGGTGCAAGTGGGCAATGTCTGATATTTTTTAACACCAGGAAAACCTATGGTATGGGGGAACTGTTGCTGAAGTGGAATGATACCCAATGATGAAAACTGGGAGGAGAAAAGCTAAGGTTGAAAACAATTCAGTTCATTGAGCGAGTCTCCTTTAAAGGTAAAACAGTGGGAATCACATAAGAAAATGATCACCCTTTTAGTCGTTAGTGGAAGGCAGGATGATTTTGACCCATTTTAAAGGATGGTGGAAATGAAATAGGAAAATATAGTCTATCTTTATTGATTATTTGATGTTGAAATTCTACTCAAAAGAAAAAAATAAAACCTCTATAACAGATACCTGTCTTGATTTTTAGAGGCACCAGGGTATATTGGCTGAGATCTCAGATTCAAGGATCCCCTACTACCTTAGTAGTGTGATGTACGTAAGGTTGTTTCCTCATCTCTAAATGGCAATGATAACACATAGACTTGTGAGAATGAAATTTTGCCTGGAGATCACCTATCACAGCCCCAGGCACATTGTTGGATTAACTTTCAGGGCACTATATTTTTCATACAGAAATCTTATAGACAGTGGATGTACTCCTCTGCAGATTTGTTTGAGAAAAACAGAATAGGTGTTTGAAACCGGTTCTCCACTGAGAAGATATCACCCACCAGTACCCTACAGAGTTTACTAAGCACCGACTTCTCTGGCTGGATGGGGTATGAGAAAGTATACCCTGAAGGAAATTAACCCACATATGTAAGGCCAGTGGCAATAATACAATCAGGCATTCAGAAGTTATCAGATTGCTTACAAAGTGTGAGGGGCTTTACATGAGCTCCTGCTCCCCGCCCCACTCTTAAACCTCCTTCCCTAATTTAATAGCTATTGAATTTCAAAGAATTATTCTGTGTGTCTTTCTGGTTATTTTAAATCCTACTGCTGTCCCTGGCAGAATGGGATGTGGAAACAAAATTCAGGTTATCTTTCAAAAATAAAGCTGACATTGATCTCAAGCAGATATTCAGGTGGGATGTCCTCACCTCTAAGGACAGCTGGCTTCTGTTCAGTGTGGTTTTTCTGTAAGGTAACCAAAACTTCAGAACACTGAAAATTGTGGGGCATCTCAGAAGGTTTAGTAGAACCTCAGCTCCCTCCTTTCTGAGTTCTTAACTATTGACTTTAAAATAAATGTTTTGGGAACTACCTTTTTGTTATGTGGGGGAAAAGCCCTGTGTGAGGCACTAATTTAATCCACACAACACTCCAAGATAGATACTATTATGCCTATTGTATGGTAGGGACAGTAAAGCTCAGAGAAATTAATGCATCCAATTGTCTAAGAATTCACAGCTAGTAAAGTAGTAGAACTGAAATGGGATACATACATGTCCATTTGATTTCAAAAACTATCCTAAATTGCCTACACTATAACATATATTACAATAAATGAACCTTATGAAATTGCTAAAGTTCAACCAATTTTGACCTACAAAATGGCAGTTTCATATACTACAACCAAATGCTTCATTTGACCATGGCATATGTTTCATTTGACTTACAGTATTGATCGAAACTTTTTGTATTGATATTACATATCCAAAAAGGAATGCAATTAAATGTATTTGAAGACTTTAGTTCCATTCTTCTCATTTTTCTGCTGCAAAATACCAGAGGAATCTGACTGATCCTATGTCAATGATTCATACATTACTTGACGTTTCCCAATAATTTTGTAATTAATCTTTGTATTTTTTTATCAGTTTCATTGTGACCTGACCAACTGAGCTTACAATTGTGTTTCCCTCTTGGCTGCTGAACTTCAACACATTTTGCCATTATGACTTTTATATTAGTTTTCATTTCTTTCTATTCTCAGTTCAGCAATATTGCTGGAGTAATTATTGTTCTTTATACCTTCCAAACATGAGTATATTTTTAAAAACATAAATTAGATGAAACTGTATTAAATTCTCTGGGATCTAGAACATATTCTCAAGGGGGATGAAATCCACTAAAATTATATGTACCTAAGATACGCTGGTAATATTTTGCTAGAAAAATTCTTTGTTAGCATAAAATGGTAAAATATATTACATACAGTATATACATATATAGATAGATGTTTGAACATATAAACAATTTATTTAATAATATTTATTATCTATGTTTCAAACTTACTAATTAATGTGTTGGCTTTCTAAGCTTTTCTCCTTTCTTCCCCAATAATTCTGAATCTACCTTTGTCACTATGATTAGGTAGTCCTTTATAAAAACATTTCACCATTCTGCCCCCATGTCTTCACTTTACATTTTCTTCTATGAACCTTTTGCCCTTGTTTTCTGTCAACTCTTTTGAAAGACATATTTTCTCAACTTACAGTTTTAAAGACATTCATAAGATGAATTCAGTTACCTTTTATCCCATTCTCCTTTTGTCCAAGGAGAATGTTGAAGAAATAACATTTTTTCAGTTGCTTAGCATTTTTTATTTCTGGAGAGAACTTTCACTGTTGTTATCATTTGACTTGAAAATGACATGTATATTATCCATGTGTCTGTAGGCATTTTTTAATTTTAATAATTTTGTAGATATATTTATATGTATTTTAAGCAATAGCTGCGTTAGACTGTATAAATCCCTCCCGCCCCCCCTTGTTTTTTTTTTTTTGAGACAGAGTCTTGCTCTGTTGCCCAAGCTGGAGTGCATTGGTGCGATCTTGGCTCACTGCAACCTCCACCTCCTGAGTTCAAGCAATTCTCCTGCCTCAGCCTCCTGAGTAGCTGGGACTACAGGCACATGCCGCCACACCCGACTAATTTTTTGTATTTTAGTATAGACAGTGTTTCACCATGTTGCCCAGGCTGGTCTCGATCTCCTGGCCTCAGGCTATACGCCTGCCTTGGCTTCCCAAAGTGCTGGGATTACAGGCATCAGCCACCATGCCCCACCCTAAATTTCCCATTTTTCAATAGTTATTTAGTTTCACAGTCTTTTCTAGTTTTTAAATTTTGAAACTGCTCATATGGACATTCTCTGTCATGTTTTTCTTGCCAAGGACAGCACAAGAGAATCCAATGCTCTTTTTAGCTATGATACCTTGGAACTAAACTTACTCTGACAAATGCAAACATTTTCCTGCACTGACAAAGGCCTTCACTAGTGAGTGGCGTGCTGGCCACATTGTCAGGAAGGCTTACCTTAGAAGCTATAAATTTATAAGAGGTCTGACAAAGCTGGGATGTTTTCAGGTGGTCTTCCTTAAGATCATTTAGATTTAAATATTTGAAAAGAACCCTCTAGAGACCACCTTTTTAAGAAAAAGCTCATCTAACGATGAAGATGGGGCCAGAGAACTCTCAAAGCTGCCACCACTGCTGCAACCATTTAACATCCTGTTTTCATCTTTCTCCTCCAGCAGCCACCTCAGTAGTCCCAAGGCGTGTTCCTGCACACTTACCGCAGGATGCCATAGCTATTTCCTTATTTTGTGTAGCTATTTTTATGAGGTTGTAGACAATGTGCACGCTGGTTTGTGAAGGGTTAACACTCAGTTGTGCTGTTGTTGTGCCCTTAGTCACAATATGTTTCCTTTGAAGCAAGGGTGCAGTGTTTCAAATGACAATCGGTATAATTCTGTGCAGATTTTTCCTGATTAATGGACAGGAATTTTCAGTCGAATCTTTAAATGAGTTAGGACAGTGTAAGAGATGGATATAATCCTTACATTTTTTCATTAATAGACATTTCAAATTTGAAAAACTAGGCATTGTATACATATCTGATTTATTGCTGTATGTGTTTCTTGAGTCATAAAGCTGCTGCAAAAGTTATATAATGCTTGCAAAAAAAATAGCGTGGTCTCTTTGTGAAGCTGAATGAAATAAAGTATAAAGTTTGTGATACATTAAATCACAAACATAAATATGTACTTTATGGCCAGCTGTTATTTCTAAATGTGCACATTTTAAAATAGAAACATTTACCCAACATGCTGATTAGCAATTTCCCAGTTCCAAAAGCCCAATTGCATTTAAGATGCAAAAGATTAAAATGCCTAAATAGATAAAGTTAATAGTTCATCTTCCTAAATGCTTTTATATGTTTTAAGTCTTACAGTTCCTTCCAACCCAGTAGTCTCAAGGCTGGAGCTACTTTGATGTGGATTTGTGTTTTATGCACATGTTCTCATTGGAACTGAATCTCACTGCATCTCAGACACCCAGAAAAATATTCTGCACATGAAGGGACGAAGGGACACCATGTGGCTCCATACTACTTCATGCTGTGCATGCGGGTTCTCAGAGAAAGTGAACTGTTTTTCCATTTTAATTTCTCAAATATTCAACCTTCATTTTGGCTAAAAATCATCTCAGTTGCTAATGTTCCATCTCTCAATTTTACTCCTCCCCTGCATAAAAACTGGTCAAGGAGAACATGCAAGATTATGTTGATTCTAAAATACAGTTCCCCCAGGAGACCTTATTGGCTCGTCCATATAGCATTTCTGTCTTTGTAGGTAGAGCAGAATTTGTAAATGCCTCCAGTCCTTTAGGACACATTGGCAATTGGCAGTTCAAAAGTTCATATGATGCCATATGTCTGAATAATTTTTATCTACATCTAAAACAATACAGGACTGTCAAATAAAATCCTGCATGCAAACAAATGATGGAATGCAGGGGAACTCTCTGCTTTAGCCTTTTCTTCTTTGTCCGACAAGCTAATGCAATAAGGCCAATAATAAAAGGTTGTGTATTAGGCCTAAAGCCTGTGACAGATAAAAAGAAATGTTGGAAACCAATGAAGCTTTTGCACAATTAGATTTTTTGAGGCTGTGCTGTAAGGATTGCCCAGAGCCTGTTCAGTCCTGATTGATGGTAAAATCATAACTACATCATATTAGCTGTAGAGTTCACTGACAGGTTACTACAGATTAATATTGCCACTGCTGTTCACTTACCATCAAACCAGGGGAAATATGAATTGAGCTGTTCTTCTAACAAACCCCGCATATTAAAAGGTAAGGTGTTCTACTGAACAATCTCCCCCTGTCACTGAGGAAAGACACAAACAATGTCTATTTGAGAGATATGCAGATACCTTGCAGCATACTAATTAGTTCTCTGCTAAAACAGCCCCATCACATCCGGCTGGCTAACGACCCTTCATGTGAGCTTGTTCCTTCAGAGCTCTTGGCTACAGGATTGCAAACAACATCCTAAAACGTGGAGCTGCAAACCTTGGTGATTTAAATGCTCGCTGCCAGGCAAATTGCGGTGACATAAATTTGGCCCATGTGTTTTGCATCATGTGAATACGAAACAGGGGGATGCCATGGAGCCGAGTTTTGTTTGCACTGGACTCTGGAGGTTTGGTGGACTATTTTCAGAGATGCTATTCATGACAAGGGAGGAGGATCTTTTGCTTTACTTTAAAAATGTTGAAAATGCAAGAAGTAAGCATGTTGCTCTCCTAAATTAGATCGTGCTGATAATAATGACATCCTAAGATGAAAGCATTTTATCTTTTTGCCACCCGAAGCCTTGGATAAAAATTCAACAGTAAAACGAAAACAGGGCTCACTATACAGTATATGAAATGGAATGATTCTTCCTGATTAGGATATGTCAATAAGGAAGCACTGGAGTAAGAGAGGTATTTCACGTCCTGCCTGTTGTGATGACAAGAGCCCCGGCCTGGCATCAGGCAGGAGGCCTGAAGCTTTGGCCTCTTGGTCAAGGTGCTTGTCCTCTCAAGACTTGGAATGTGTGTGCGGGGGTTGAACTAGGGAATCTCCAAGCTCTCTTTCAGCACTATTATCCCATGTTGCTGGCCCCAGTGTTTTGTATGCTAGGCCATGTGTCTTTACATGGGGCTGTTGGATTTCAGCATCAGCATTCCCTGGGTAGCTGGTTAAAGATGCGGAGTCTGGCCCCACCCCATGTGGTTCAGGTGACGTTCAGTTTAAGAACCACTGTCATGAGGGATGGCAGTGACTTGCCTAAAGTCATTATAGACTTTATCATTGTTTAAAAAAGAATGTGCAAAGAGCTAGACAGTCAGCCAGAGACTGGGGAAGAAGATAATAATATCTTCCTATAGATTTAAAGAGAATTGTTAATCTATTATTTAAATTTATATTATTTATTTATTTGAAGAGAAAATGATGACCCTGGCAACAGTAAACCATAAGCTTCATCACATTAGTGGACAGATGATAGACTAGGAGAAGATGTTTGCAATGCTTAAAACCGACTTTGACAAAAAAAAAAAACCTGACACAATTAATATCTAGAATCTATAAAAAGCTCCTGCAAATTGACCAGAAATAAACAGGAAACACCATAGAAATATATGCAAACAGTATGAAGCTCAAATGATGAACTGGTGTTGGATGGGGTGTTCAAATTCATTGATAAGCAGAACAATTGGCTACTCTAGACACATGAGAACATCAGAGTTTAGAAAACTGAATAATGCCAAGTGTTTGCAAGGATGAGGGGTTGTGAAAACTCTTTCGTTATTGAGGGAAGAGGAAATGAGTATGATTATTTCAGAAAGCAACCTGACAATCTTGATGAAATTAAGTATGAGTATGTCATAAGACTAAGGTGACAAGAGGCCCTTTCTTACTCAGGGTAGCAGGGAAAGTCTGAGGTTCTGACATAATTATTAATAGTGCCGTTTTCATTTTCCAGGATGTTCTTGGGAAAATAAATTATATAGTCACCCTACTACTGCAATCCCACTTCTGAACACATATCCCAGAGAAATTTTCACAAAGGGATCATATATGCCAATGTCTTTTTAGCATTATTTGTGATAATGGGGAATCAAACTTGATGCCTTCTACCAGGGGAATGGATCAGTACACTGGGTTGTCGCAGTCTGGAATACCGTGCAGCTGGTGGAGGCAATATTTTTTATGTAAATATGGCAATATGGGTAAATTTTTAAAGCAAAATTATGAGTGATAAAGAGAGAATGATATTTAAAATTCCATTTGTCTAAATTTTAAAAACAAATATAAAAATTTGTTGAGTACAAAAACAGTAGATATATGAAAATATATGCACACATCAAAATATTAAATTGACTGTTATGAGGGTGAGAAGAATGGGGATGAGGATCTGAGTGAGGAGGAAAAAAATAATGAAATATGAGAAGGATTTTTTGTGGAGTTATGTGATGATATGCTATACAAAGAGGTGTAGGATTATTATAGACCTCTGCCCTTGAGGTCAAAAATGAAGGATAAAAGAGTGACTGTAATCTTAATTTCTGTCTCTGGAAAAGTAATGGAAAAATTTTCCTTCAAATCAAATACGATTGTTAGCAGGAAACAATAATTCATAGATAAGAAGGCTTTTGAGTCTGTCCTGTATAACCTATTTGCCAGGAAGATGGAAACTATTGTCCAGATAATTCTACTGTCTAGTAATCTCCTGACTGATAACAGCCTCTGGCATTATCAATGAGTGACACAGATTTCACAGCAAAGAGTGTAGCAAATAGTATTTGCAAGGTATATGTTTGTAACTGTCTCCTACAACTTTCAATGGATTCCCCATTTCCTATAAGATAAAGTTCAAACTCCTCAGCTTGGCAACAAGGACCAATGTCTACCATCTGACATGAAATATCCTCTCCCATTTAATCTCCTAATTTCCCTACACCGATCCTTTGCTTTCCTGAAATGGTCCCTTGTCTTGTCACACCATGTGTCCTGCCTCATATGCCCTTCTATTCCTCCTCTTGTCTTAGTCTTACTCACTTCCAGGACTAGTTAGAAGTATAGACCTTCTATAAATCCTTCCTTTTCCAACTCGGGCCTGCGTGACTTTGACTTTCTCCTTCATGCAGCTGTTGCAGTGCTACTTGAAATTATAATGATCTTTTCATGTATGTGCTTTCTCTTCAGGGGCTTTGTTATATACTCTCAACTCTGTCTTACAAATAGTCCTAAGCCTTTTAAAAAGTATTTTTGAACACACATTTATTGACCCCCTCCTCCCCCTGATACTACAGGAAGATGACAGTGATTCCTGGAATACTGTCCCTGACTTCAAAGGAGCTTATAGTCCATGGGGGGATATGTCAATACCCAGAGAGAACTGAGAAATAAGAAAGTAAAAAACATCAGGAGGTTATGTTAGGAGCTAGGCTAGAGTTGGGGAGAATGATGGGTGGAGGCTGCGTGTGAGTCTCAGCAGCCTCCCCACTCCCGTTTCAGACGGGACCTTCACCTTTTGTGCACACTGCTTTATTTTTATTTTTATTTTTATTATACTTTAAGTTCTAGGGTACATGTGCACAAGGTGCAGGTTTGTTACATATGTATCCATGTGCCATGTTGGTGTGCTGCACCTATTAACTCATCATTTATATTAGTTATATCTCCTAATGCTATCCCTCCCCTCTCCGCCCACCCACAACAGGCCCCGGTGTGTGATGTTCCCCTTCCTGTGTTCAGGTGTTCTCATTGTTCAATTCCCACCTATGAGTGAGAACATGCAGTGTTTGGTTTTCTGTCCTTGCGATAGTTTGCTGAGAATGATGGTTTCCAGCTTCGTCCATGTTCCTACAAAGGACATAAACTCATCCTTTTTTATGGCTGCATAGTATTCCATGGTGTATATGTGCCACATTTTCTTAATCCAGTCTATCATTGATGGGCATTTGGGTTGGTTCCAAGTCTTTGCTATTGTGAATAGTGCCACAATAAACATATGTGTTGTGCACACTGCTTTAAATCCAGACTGGCCTATCACTTTATTGCTCAGGATAGTTAGACACAAAGAAGTTCTTCCAGAAGGTCTGCTGGTGATAGTGACTATCATATCATAAAATAATTTCCCCAATACACAGCCAACACTCCTTTTTTCTGCCTGGTGTATTCTAGGGATAAAATAGTTGTTGAGTGAATCTGAACTTTGCTGAGGGAAGTGTTAGCTGATAACTGAAAACGGGAAGTTGTATCCTTAACTGATTCAGTATCATTGCCCTGAATCCCATGGTAGGAAAATTTGTCATTGGGTTGTGTTGCTGTGTAAGATGGGAAGATAGTAAGTAATTTAAGAATCTCTTACATAAGATGTTTGGGATGGGAATTTCATAGATGATTTTGTGATTTAATCAGGTTATTGGGGACCCAGGGTCTTTCTCCATTTCTACTTCCCCATGCTCAGCATGTTTTCTTTTCATCCTCAGACTTACTGCATCTTGGACATAAGATGGACACCATAGTCCTAGACTTCACACAGTCACAAAGTTGTGTTCAAAGGCAGGGTGGTAAAGAAGGCTTCTTTCCAAGATCACTCTCTGCTTGTCAGAGAAGGACATATATCCCAGAAGCCTCTGGGGCTTCTGCTTACATCATATGGACCAGAACTGGGTCCCATGGCCATAACACACCACAAAGGGTGTTGGCTGTTTTAGTGCTATAATAGGAGGCAGTCTTGTTAGTATGGAAGAAAGGGGAGGGGACTTGTGGTAGAGTAGGCAACCAACAGAGTTTTCCACAGGACACAAATATATTGGGTATCCAAGAAATGGTGAACCTTTTCTGCAATTTCATGCCACCATCTTGTGGATTAAAATCATGTTCGTGTGGACAGGTTCTCACCATGTCAGACCTGGAGTCAAGCTTCTTTTTTGCTGGGCAATGAGGAGTTTCTTTCATTTCATTTGTTCTTTCATTCATTTTTCTGATTACTCATTTGTAATATATTTACTGAGCATCTAGCAGATGTTATTAAGTTTGTTTGCACTATAAACCCCTTCGGCGGCCAGATGAAACCTACGGATGCCTACTCAGAACGTTTTTTAAAGCATTAAATAAAATACACAGGATTACAAAGAAAGCCAATTCCATTGAAATACAGTTTACCTTTGGACCCTGTGGCCAGATCCTGTGCTAATGCCAGGCTATAAAATAGCAGGAATTACAGGAGGAACATTGTCCTCATGCAGCTTAGGGCCCAGTGAAGGAGCCCGCTGAGCAGGAGGCAAGTGAAGGCTCCCATAAGAGAGGCCTGGGGTGCCTAGGAGCACACATGAGGGCACCAGGCTCCATCCGGGTGGAGGTTGAAGGAAAAGAGATTCCTGAGTATCTAAGAAGGGATCCAAAGGAATTGACCAGGAAAGAGGGAGTAGGAAGATAGTTGTGGTGAGAAAGAAAAGTAAGAGCAAAGAGAAGATTGAAGAGTTTGGAGAACTGTTCTAGTTCAGTATTTCTGGAGTGTAGAGTCAAAAGGGGTGCTGAATTTCTGGGCAAAGATGAGCTCAGGACAAAACACTCCTGAGTCTGCTGCTGTGTTGAATGAGTTTATTGTACAGCAGCTTTGCCCAGTAAAGACAAGTGACAAGCCTGTAGTGACCTTGTTGGGTTTTGCTCACTGTTGCATCTGCAGTCCTGAGCACAGTGTTGCATTAAATAATGGTTACATGAAGGAAACACAAGCCCTCTGGGTTTCTCATTCCTAGGCCAGCATGTTATAATGCATTTTGTGAGGACTCACAGCTGTGTATGAGAGCATGCTCAGTCAGTTCCTAAAACAGGATCTTCTACAACTCTCATTCCTCTCCACCTCTATATTCCTGGCTTCGAGTAGCTGCCCCATCCTTCCATCTTTGGCCAAAATGTCAAGTTCTTGGCTGCATCTGTGGGAGTAAGGCCTACAGGTGTGAATGGAGCCCAAGTATTGAGGCTCACCCAGGAACACGTGGGAGGCTATGGACACTTGCCACCATGGCCACCATGCAGATTCAGGGATCTCACCCCACTCTGTCACCAGGCTTCACAGAGCCATCCAGTGGTTGTTCCCATGGTCTTCTTGTTTCCTTTAAAAGTACAAGAGTCGTGCTCTAGGTTTCTGGGGTTTCCTTGGTCCCTTCTAACAAAAATCCCCACCAACAATCTCCAGAGTTCACAAAAACGTGGCTTGCAATGTACCCTACACATTGATATGCATCTGTTTCTCAATGTTTAAGGGACAAGATAAGGATGGATAGAACACCCAATGGGAATAGGGGACATGGGTATTCCCTGAGAAGAGGTAATAACTAGTCAGATGTTAGAGCTGCAAGGGAGCTTAGAATGTGACTAGCTCAACCCTTTTCCCTCATTGAGGCCCATTTACCATTGAAATGAAAGGGTTGAACTTCGTTATGTCAACTGTGGCCTTGAATAGGGTGGTAGAAATTAATTAAGTTGTCTAAACTCTCAGAATTTAGCAACTTCAACTCTAAGATGAATGGTTTGAATATGTCTTTGAAAGTTCTAGCTAAGCATAAATGCTATGATTTTTGAATCATATCAGACACTTTCTCTATACATAAGTCTAATTTTCACCAGAAATGTAGCCTTCTTTTTCTTTCTAAGAGAGATTGACATATAGCTAAATTTTTAAAATTGATCCACTTTTTGTCATATGGACACTATTTTGTTATGGTTATCCTACAATTCATGAGCCAATTTGCAGCACAAATCTCAGATGATATAAGTGAATTATTCACATTTCACAGTGGTAACATAGTAGTTTTTCATTTCCCATGTCAGTTAAAATATCTCCTATATTCTATGTTATGTATTTTTAAAAAACCTAGGAACATGCACATATTCTCTGTTTTGGAATATGTTTGAGAACTTGGCACCATGAACAATGTGTTTGCGAGAAAGAACTGAACCAAGTAAATTTCACATAACCTGGTATTCTCTATTCCAGGAGCTCAGAAATGTCATTCTGACTGATAGGAAGATCCTAATGTCAGTAGCCTCCTGATTTGGTTTAATCGGAGCCTCAGCTCATCAGTTAATTTCACTGTGTCTGATCTTTCATTCGTAAAATGAGAGATAACCTATCTGACAGCCAGATAAAGAGGAATAAAGTTTGCAAAGCACTTAAGACATCTACAGAATGAATTGAAGAGAAAAAGATAATAATCCACTCGGATTATTCTTTGATGACATGGCAGATTGGCCTGGTGACATAATTTATAGGCCTCTTTCTTTGTCCACAAAAGGACCTTAGGCTCTGTGAATATGTTTCCTTGGAACTCTACTAATTTTTGGCATGTATCAGGCCCTGACCATGACCTAGATTTTGAGCAGAAGATCAAATGAAGCCAGACTAGACCACTAAAATTCTCCTGCATCATTTTTTCCGCTTATACTAGAGCACATACATATTTAAAAGAGAAAAACATGAAAAAAGGCATCTCTAAATCAAAACTACATTTGAAAACTTTGTCCAGGAATCCTTGCAGATGGGCACCAAAAGTCAACAAGACAAGCTGTCTTTTTGTAAGACAGCTTATAAAATATCCATGGGAAAATGTGTACATTGTAATTCTACAAAAAGGGATCTTATAGAAAAGTCAGGCACATAAGTATGGATTTCCAAAGTATGAATGTCAGTAAGTAAAAGACTGCAAGAATTCTAGAAGTTTCTAATTCGGTTTCTGATTGTGGAATTTGCCTTTGCCTGGAACAAGAAGCCCAGCTGTTTTACGATAGGGTCTTTTGCCTCCTAGCAACACAACAGACAATGTGTGCCTTAAATAGCAAGGCTGTTTTCAAGGACTACATCTCTTGGTTGTCTGCAGTTTCAATAATATTTTCTGGAGTTATAATTCATGTTGCATAGCAGTTATTTCTTTTATTGTTTGTTTACTCAAAATTTTGACCTAGCAATAAATTCTTATGGATTTTATTTTTTGATGCATTAAGTTTAATTGGAGCACAGGACTTCCATTTTGGGGTTCTGGTATTCTTTAAAAACATCATTGGTCTTTAAACTGAAAGGTTTGATGGAATATTAAATTTGATGAATCATAGCAAGTGTCTGTGTTTGTTAGCTTTTATAGACCATATTATTCATTAATAAAGTCACACTACATTGCCTTGAGTGGGTTCTAAAAGGTTAATGACTTGATGCAGGCTGGTGTGCTTACTGTTTGAGGGTGGCTTGTGGCAAACTTAGTTCACTTTAAAATTGGAATACAAAATAAAGATTATAATTTTAATCTCAAAGTCCAGAAATTTATTGGTCTCCTTCCTCTTTTCCTCCTCCTTTCTCTTCTTCAACCATCACCAAAAATCTTGCTCATTCAGATGTATGTGGTTTGAAGCCACTGGCTAGTTAGCTTCAAGATAACTCTGGAGGGGCAGTAGCATCACCAGAGAAGTCATCCTCCCTCCTGGCTGCTCCTACAGTGACCCTCCAGCAAGCAGACGCTGACTCAACTATGAATCACCCATTTTGAAACAAGAGCTGTTATTTGAGAAGTATACTGTTAACTGTTTGATTTTTTTTCCTTGGAGGCTCTGTTTTGGAAGACAAAATATTTGCAACCTTCAAATAAGAATAACTTATATAGCACCAATTACAAGATCACCTGTGTAAAGGAATCCATTGCATATTTGTTGACTGACTGAAATCAAGACTCAAGGAGGCACGTTCTCCTGTTCTGTGGTTAGAAGCATTTGGAGTAATTATTACATTTGGATTGTTTACCCCAGAGATTTTCTGAGTCAAACTTTTATGTGTCAGAAACAGTATTAATTTAAGCCAGACTGGGATTGTGTGGTTGCTTAAAAAAATAGCTAAATTGTTCAATTCCTTAATATTAAGTAAAGGCTCTACAGATACTTAACGAAAATCCATGAAATCTATATCCTTCTCAGAGGAAACCTTCTCTTGACAAAGTCAAGTGTGAGGGTAAATTTATCTTAAAAAGAGACTCGTCCAGTGCCTTGATTCTGTTGGGAGTTGTTAGTAAAATAAATGACTCAAATTGGTTTTGTGTGAGAAACAAATCAAAGCATTACCGGGGCGTGCCGGGCTGACCTGCAGTAGCTTAACCATTTCCTGAGCAATGAGAAGCTGCTAGATTGGATGGGTGATAGTTCCCGTGCTAGTCATTGTGGAGAGAAAAATAAAAGTTCATAAAAAACAGGCCACCAAGGGTTATATGGCTGCAATTGTTTCCAGGCTGAAACAATTTCGTATCTGTTTGTTATTGTCAGTATCTTGTTATATTGTTCTTTCAGAATCAATAAAAGCTAAACTCCCTCCATGGTTTTACTACTAAACTTTCCTGGAAGGATGTGTAACACTGAAAGTCAAGAATGGCAAAATAGGCAAGTAAGCAGAATGAATGATGATGAGTAAAATGTAAACCCACTTTAGTTAACAACTTTTTTTCTGAAAGTTTTTCTACTAATATAAAACATATGGAAAGATTCTTGGTGTTTTTGTTTTCATTTTTGTATTAATGTGTGAGGTAATTTTTTTTCTTCAGAGGAAAGAAAAGAGCAAACACACATAGTAGCAATATTTTTATTTTTATTAAGAAAGGCTATTTTCAGAGGATTCTTTATTCTCAATTTTTCCACACTTCTCAGAGTCCCTTGCTGGCAGTCACTGTTGCGGGAGGTTGAATTTATCCTGTTTAATAGTAGTTGTTATATTGAATGAGAAGGCGGTTTTATTAAAACTAGTTTAACAAGCATAATCATTTGCATTTTTCCCCTGCTCTATGTTACTCATCCATATCTATTTACGGCTGAGCACAATAGTCACTCTTAAGTATTTAATGCTTCTTGATGATTGGAATTCCCAGAAATAACTCACCAGCATTGGAGTCCAAGGCTGGACACAGTTCTGCTGAAGTTGTGGTGTGCTGGTAAATATTTAACAGCCAGTTCCTGGGAGTCGGGATAGGGAGGGAAGCATTTGCCAGTGTTCAAGGTGTAAATACTCACATCATAGCAGATTTGAAACTACCAACCTTCTATTGCTGAGTAAGGCATTGGGAAGACAGGTACACATTGGCTCTTGCCAGCCAGTTGTGAGTTGGCTTGAGTATGTTACTGTAGACTCTCCACCAAGTTAAGTGATTATGATTCTATGATTATTTAACAGATTGGAAAAGGAGAACTCTGTTGGTTTTATTATTTTTTTTTACCTAAAAGTTATGAAAACAATTGTATCTAAATATTGTCCTTGGATATCAATATGTGCTGACCTTACCCAAGCACTGTGAGAAACTAGTTCTCGCACATTTCTTTTTCTAAAAATTCTTGGTTGTAACAGAATGTCTAGGTAAAAAATTTCTCTCCGTGGGGAAAAATAGAAGAGTAAATTATTATTTTTTCCCAGCTTTATTGAAGTATGATTGATAAATAAAAATTGTACTCATTTAGGGGATGTAATATGATGTTTTGATATATGTATACATTGTGAAATAATTACCACAATCAAGCTAATTAACACATACATAATCTTCCATCATTACCTTTTGTGTGTGTCTGTGTCTGTGTGTGTGTGTGATGAGAAAACTGGAAAATCTACTCTCAGCAAATTTCAAATATATAATATATTATTATTAACTATAGTCAACAAGCTATACATTAAGTTTCCAATACTTAACTCACCTTACAGCTGAAGGCTTGTACCCTTTGACCAATATCTTCCCAGTCCCTCCACCCCTCAGCCCCTGGTAGTGAACATTCTACTTTCTGCTACTAGAAGTTTGACTTTTTTTTTTTTTTTTTTAGATTCCACATATAAGTGAAATCATCTGGTATTTGTCTTTCTGTGCCTGGCTTATTTCACGTAGCATAATGTCCTCAAAGTTCATCCATGTTGTTGCAAATGGCAGGATTTCCTTCTTTTTTTCAGGTTGAGTAATAGTAGAATGGTAAATTGTAGTGGGTGATCCAGCTCTATAATTTTAAAAAGTTTATTTTTTAAGATATGGTCTCATTACTGAAATTAGAGTCTCTGTAGAATGGGGAAGCTTTGAAGGACCCATTCATAGGGTCAATAAAAAACAATGGGCCACTGATATCTCTACATCTTTTATAGACAAACAGAAAAAATAGGGACTATCATAAAATATATATGTATGTGTGTATATATATATATATATGTATATATATAGGTTAATCATATCTCTAAAGTACTTTAAAGAAAGCTATATAGAGTAAAGCTTATCATTTGCAGCTGTTAAAGAGGAATGCCTGCAATGTGAGCAGCCCAGTTTGAAGATAATGGATTTATGAGTTGCAGGAAGCAAAATGTGTGATCGCTTGGGCCAGAATCTGTTAAGTATCATGTTGCTATTTCTCCCCTTTCTTCCCCATCTTAGGTCACATCTCAAATATGAACATCACCCAGAGGTTACCCAGGTGATCCCAGGCCATCTCGGGTATGCAGCTGTGCAGAACTTGATCTTGAAGGACAGATGGCATTAGGGGGAGTTCTTTTATACCTTGCACTGACCAGGGCTAAGTTTCTGACATTTCTGTCTGCAGACAACAAAAGGCTTTCATCATGAGCTGCTTTCTGATGCGTGCTTAAAACCAAGTTGAACGCATTAAAAGGGCGAAGAAGCAGAAATCTACTCGCTGTGCTCTGTGAAGAATTAAATAAAATTTTGATGGGGGTCGAAGGAAGGAGAAATAGATTTTAAAAAATCTTTATGCTCTCTCCTCCAAAAACTTGGATTTAATGTGTATTTTGGGCTAATTCTAATTCTCCATTCATGCCAATACACATTAAATCCTATATTTTCTTTAAAAATAGACATTTTAAATAAAATGTTTAATGCAAATTACATTTAGCTGAGTTTGATCTCCCTTTCTGATTCGAATAATATTATGATTCTTGCAAGCCCAAACCTTCCCTTAGCAAAATTTAATGTTACCGGGATGCGGTATGCTTTCATGAATTCCCCTCCAAATTTTTCCTTTTTCAGCTAGAATATTTTCTCAGACCTCCTTCTCTCTAATGTTACTAAAATCCTTTGAAGTATTATCTAATTACAGAACTAAGACTTAACCATGTCCTTTTCAGGAAACTTAAAATAACTCTTTTATCCTTCTAATTTAGTACTTTATTCCACCATATATCCACACCAGTCCTTCTGACCCATCATATTTCTGAAAAGTACAAGGCAACATTTCTGAAATTTAGTTATTAATTGTATTACATAGAGGCTATATGCGTGAGTGAAAAAAATAGTGTTATAATAACTAACATTGCTTGAGTTACACGACTGTCCCAGGAATTATTCTAAGTGCTTTATGTGCATTTTTCATGTAATCATCACAATAATCTGGAGGAGATAGATCATATTCTTATTATCATCCCCATTTTCCAGATGATAAAGCTAAGGCACAAAGAAATCATGAGACTTTTGTAAGATCACAGGACAAGTCAGTAAAGGCAGGATTCGAACTCAGGTTGTCTGGTTGGATCATTCACATTTTTATCCACTTTTCCATGCTTCTCAGAGTGATCTTACCATTTGTTTTGAAAGCTCTATTCAAGGCAGTGTGTAGGGTGGATAGGACACTGGACCAAAGACCAGAAGATGGGCCTTTAACCTGATTTTTTTTCATGAATTGGTTGCGTAAACTTGGACAAATCAACACCTCTGGAAAAAACAGTAGGCAGAATTCATCACATTAAGTCCTTTTATAAGCATCTTATTTATTTTCAGTAAATAATGCTGTCAGTGGGAGGCCATCTAAGCAGGGCCTTTAGGATCAATATTGAATGCGGATTCTAGGGTGAGACACTCTGGTTGACACAAGGCTGTGGTTGATGTGGGACTTCTGGGTTGAATCCCTACTCTGCCTCTTACCAGATGTGAGATAGACAAGTTAATCACACTGCCAGAGCTTCTGTTTCCTCATCTATAAAATTCAGATAATAAAAAACGTTCACCTGAGAGAGTTGTTGAGGATACTTGAAGAGTTAACCTTAAAACACTTAGCACAGCATCCATATGCTTTGCTGTGTGATCCTGTGAGGTTACTATTACCAGCTCCATTATACAAATGAATAAACTGAGGCAAGGCCTAGAGAAGTTAAATAACTTGTCCAAAGTCATTCGTCTTGTAAGTGGTGGAGTCAGCATCCTAACTCAGGCAGATGAGCTTTCAATGAACACACCATCTTTCTCCCAGGACTAGGAGGAAACTTTATGTTATCTATTACCTGACTGTTTACTAACTGTTTGTTTTCCAGGATGTCCTCCACATTCCACAATTCAGTAGCCAAAGGATTGAACTGATACCTGCAGAAGACTTCCTGGATTCCCTCTCCAAGACCCACAATCCACTATGATTGGATAAGGCCTACCCTCTAATTGATCAGTACTACACACACACACACACACACACACACACACACTCACTCACCAAGGCTTGGTTTCCTTTTCTAAAAAACAAAAGAGGGTAAAGGAATGCCCTCCCAAGTCTCTTTCTAAAATTTTCAAGTTCTACAGGCTCAGTAGGCATCCAGCCTCTCAGCACTACCCTATGTCCCCTATGCCCACGTAGATAAACTTGTTTTAATAAAAGCTAACTTCCGATTTAGCACACAGTATTAAGAATTAAAGTTGGATGAAGCTATTACTGTTACGAATAGCCTTGGGCTATTTTTCAATTCACCTATGTCATACGTCAAGTGATTAAGAAAATCAAATGCTGTATCCAGGAAAATAGAACATGAAAAGGCAGGAATAATGTGTGTCTTTAGGACACCCATTTGAACACAAAAGAATTAGGGCCCAAATTTCACTATATGTCAAATGTGAATTTATTTCTATAAAAGGCTTCAGAACTCTCTAAGCTTTGCATTGTCTGAAGAGTGCTACAGAGCCATCTGTGACTTGTAGTGGTTGCATCCAGATCTTTGAAAATGCTTTTTCTTCTTAATCAAGTTAGGATATTGGATTTCCAGAAGAGTAGGATCTCTATATTTTGATACTCGCCTGATTTCTTAAAGCTCCTAAAGGTGCCTTTTGACTTCCTAACTGATTCTAACAAACACATGGCTTCAGTCTATCTGGCTTCCCCTTTGTCTAAGAACACTGACATTAGGAGTTGCCAATTGGCACCTCTATGTGGACACCTTCCACCCAGAAACCATGTTGAGTTTTCAGGTTTCACAATGATGCTGATTTGAGTCAGCACTGTTGGAAATGAGGGTCTTTTTAAAAATGCTTCAGATTCCCAGTTATTCCTACCTTTGTCTCTTCAGTCCTCAACATCCTCTGGGGCAAAACTAGAGAGCTGCACTGTTTCTGTGTGAGGTGAACCTGCGTCCACAGAGGAGCAGCACTCACGTTCCCCACTCAAGACCTGTGTAATTTATTTGTAGCAAAGCTCCATCCTTAATTCACTATTATCTTGTCTTTCTGGCATCCTCCTTCCCTCTGTGCTATGCATGTTGGGGTCGGTGAGGGGAGCAATGACCCAGAGAGGGGCATCTTTTGCATGGCAAAGTCCTTTGGATGAGCTGAGGATTCCCATCTTGACTGAAGTTTTCCAGTTTTTAAATCTCATCTTTCATTTTGTGATGCTTGATAAAGATAGCAAAGTAATATGAGTTAGTAAATGTTAACACGTGCCGCAAATACAAAAGCAGTTTATTCTGTCATTGATAATGGAGGAAAATATGCAATAATAGTATTGAATTTGCACTCATAGGTAAAAGCCTTCATTGCAAAGCAAAATCTGATTTTTGTTTGTGACCAGCATGAATGCTGACCTCTGCCCTTTGAATGATCTTTCCGTCTCCCGGAAAGTTCATGAAAAGGTCATGGAGCTGCGCTGACTTCCTCTGTGTGTGCATGGACGTGTCTTTGCTATTGATCCAGGAAAAGACCATTCTGTGGTTTTGTTCATTTTATTTTTAATGGAAACCTAATCAGTAATTATAAAATGTTTCTAGAAGAATTCACGCCTGAGTAAGTGAAGAAAGCTAACCTCATTTCATGCTGATTATTTAACCTTGGTCATAACTCCCAATTAAATGCATTTCTTGAACCCGTAACAAAGCAAAATATGGCACTTACTGGTCAGAAATTCAAAGCAGGAGAGAGAAAAAATGGCTTAATAGCTGGAAATAAAAACATCAGTGAATTTTTCTTATGGATTCCTTCATGTCAAATTCATATCATGAGTGACTCGCAGTTTTCCCTTTAGATCATCTTGGCATCATCGAGGAGCAAAAATAAAAATGATTTCTAGTATATTCTTGTGGTGATTCCTTCTTTTGATGCTGCCTGTCACTGTAAAAAGGGTTATGAATCTCTGGAAACCTGCTGTACTGTCGGCAGCATAGGCACCAGTTTTCAAATCAGACGTCAGTAACTGGAACAGTTGGAGGGTTTTAAATCTCTACGAGAAAACTATTGCCATTTACAAACAACAAGGATTGTACTGAAATGGTGAAAAATGCACTTGCGTCATATTTAGAATGATTGTGTGTGGGAGGATATAACAATACTTTTCAGGACTGTAAGCCATACGTATATTCATATCTTGTGCTATTTATCTTGTAGATATACAGCGCTGGGAGTTCTCTACTGCTAGCTGTTAGGCTCGTAGCATTGAGGAGGAAAGATCCCAAGGCTTGTCACTGCCGTATATCACTGCAGCTGTGCCCTTTGATTACACTGGGGCGCCACCAGTCATTAATAACAGGGAAAGCTTTTTGTCTGGCAAATGCATCACTGTACAGTCTTTTCTTAACACCTAGGCATCTTGGTGCGGTAGCAAAGGTAAATTAAAGATGAAGCTTGTTTATTTTACAGCCACACTTGTGAAAATAGAGGTGGCCTTTCCAGAACCATTCAGGAAAATGTATTTTTCCCTTGCCTTGTAAAATTGAAATATTTTCATATTTTGCATTTGCTGAAGGGAATCCTGTCATTAAGTCACTCAAACAAACAATTTGAGCACAATGTAGTTATGATTTTAATTCCATCACTGTCACACTCATTTGGCTACCAGAGGGTTACAAAACAAGCTATCATCCAAGACAACAATTACTGTATAGACTTAAAAACCCAAATGTGTTCCTGGTTGAAGATTCTTGAAGAGCATAATGTGAATGAAACTTGCATAGAATGTTTTCCAAATGCGGAAAAAACAACACAGTCAAACTTGATGCTTACTGAATGTGTGGCTTTGAAAGGCTGATGCCAGAGGCCTGTTTTCTAGGCAGTAGTGCTTTCCTATCAAAAGTAATCCCGAAGCTGACCAATTTCTGAGAAGCCTGATCCACAGTAAACTAACTCACAAGAAATGGGTTTATAAATGCCACCTCCCTATGTCAAATGTTGTACTCTTTTTTTTTTTTTTTTTTTTTTGAGATAGGCTCTCTCACTCTGTCACCTGGTCTGGAGTGCAGTGGTGCAATCACAGCTCACTGCAGCCACAAACCTCCTGGTCTCAAGAGATCCTCCCACCTCAGCCTCCTGAGTAGCTGGGATTACAGGTGCACACTATAGTTTTCATTTTTAAGGCAAATGACACTGAATTCCCTATGATGTTCATTATATAAAGTTTATTTTAAAATAATGTTAGGGAAAGAGGCAGTCTATTTAGAGAACATTATTAAGGAATTCAAAGTACAGAATAGGTACATGGTTAGGACAAAACACCATGATTGGCATATGCAAATTACCAAACTATTTACTAAAGTTTGGACAACACTATTAATCAACTTTAAAAACTGCCAGGATAATCATTCTAAAATATGAATTAAATCCCATCATTGCCTCTACATAAAATTGCTCAGCAGTGTTCCAGTATCTACAGGATCTGATGCCTGCCTCCTCTTCCAAACCTATCTCTGTCCTCAACCCTACTCACAACCAAATTCTGCCCCTTCTGTGAGAATGCCACTCCCTCCCCGAGGGTTCCTCCTTACCCCTTACCCCTCAAGACTCGACTCAAATGTGAAGACTCCAGCCCTCAACCCAAGCATTCAGGGCTCATTTGGTCACTATCCAAGGGTTCTGGGCTAAAAGCGGTGGGGACCTCAGGTGAGGATGGAGCAGTCCAGGAGTCAGGTAAGATGCTTCAGTGGAAATCACAGAGGTCTGCTGAGGTCAGCAAAGACTGATGTCTCCCCAGCATCCCTCCTGCTTCAGCCTGCTTGGTGCCTATGCTGTGATTGACTGTTTAAACCAGCCCTGGGGAAGACTGTGGGAGGAAGTAGGAAGGTTTGAGGGTCCTGTCTAATCCGTAATCAACCCTGGGCTGTAATATTTGCAAAGACCTTGAGGAGAAACCAAAAGTTAAGGCAGAAGACCCGTCAGAGAACCAAACACACAAGATGGGAATTGAGTGAAGAGGCTGCACCTTAGGCATCAGTGGGTAACTGAGTCTCCATTCACTCTGAGTCCTAGTGAGGCTGGACCTGCCAGCCAGTTCCAGGTCCTGTGCGAGCTGGAGAAGCTCCCCAGATGTGAGGGAGACCTGGTTGTTATTGGCCCCCACCATGGTGGGGCTGGGCCTAAAGAAGGCACAGCACAGTTAATGACCTTTGAGATCCCATCAAGGAGAAGCAATGTGTTCCCCAATAGGATTCAGGATAGATTTCCAGATAAGAACAGGATAAGCTTCCCAAAGCCAGGGGCTTATGTTTTAGAGCAGAGATTTCTTCTTCTTGGTGGTGATCACAGAGAGAGTGGCAATAAGCTAGGCCTGGTAAGATGTTAGTACTTGTATGACGTCAGCGGATGGAGCTGGGCAGGAACAAAATCCCTGTGGATAGAAAGGAGACAGCAAAGATATGGGGGTGGGAAAGCACGCGGTGAGGGGGAGATTTACTTAGAAGAATTCAGGCCTGCAAGCTGGGGAAATTGGGCCGTAAAATTGGCATTGTTTTTTAGAATAATCACATAATTTTCTCGTTCTGGAGATTATCTTGACCTGTTCTTAATCTCCAGAGGAATTCGCTGCTTATGTATCCCTTCTTGACGCCAACCCCCTGTCAGTAACTGAGATTCAGTGTGTCCATGATCCTCAATAAGGGAGGAGATGCAGTGGTGGTGGTGGGGCAGGCATCAGCACTGATGAGTGGAGATTCTACTTTGAAAAGGTTTTACTCCACTGCAACCCTAGATGGTAATCAGTCAATTCCTGCTCTCAAGAGGAACAACCACTGGATGCTGGAACTTAGTTTTGGTCAAACATAGGGTTGCGCTGGATAGTATTTAAGATTCCTTCTGAGCTCAGATTCCAGGACTCTCTTCTCAAGGCTTGTTCATGCTGACAAGGTCATCTCCAAGTAGATAATATTTAAAGGAGCTAGAAATGTTTCGATTGAACTAGAAGAGTAGCTGCCACTTTTTCCATCTCACAATAGAATATTGATATTAGCCACTTTGAGAATGAATTATAAATCATTCCAATAACTATGAATTATATATTTATTGTGTACATGGAAGGCTGTGTGATATAAATGGGTATGACATGGCCCCTTACCTTGAGGGACTCTCAATGTGGTGAGACTAATATTTAAACACACAAATAGATGTGGCAATGTAACACAATGGTTGAGAAGGTGGGCCCCAGACACTGTTACATTGCTAAATATTTAACAATAACAACTGTTGATCTGAAAGAGAATTGTGGGAGGAGGGTACGCTGGTGTGTAGTTCATGCCTATTTCCATGGTGTAAATACTCTCACTATAGCTTATTTCAAGCTACCAACTTGACATCACTGAATGGAGAGTTAGAAAGAGATCCTAATAATAGACTCTCTAATGCTGGTATGAACTGGCTCTGGTGATAACCTATCTGGTCTTGAGTCTCAACTCTGGCATGTACTACTGTAGTCTCCGCTTTGTAACTCCTTTATCCTTTAGCACCATCTGGAAAGTGGGATGTTAGTGGTGCTTTTTCATAAGTTCATTTGAGGGTTCCATGTAAAGTACTTAGAACAGTGTCTGGTGCATGGTCTCAGTAAGCATGAATGTACTTATTATGATTAAATACAAAGAGGATGGAGAGATGGCTACCAGGTAGGGGATTCCAGGACTTAAGAAGGGGTAAATTTTTCTACAGGTGGGGATGGTGGGGATTGTCCTCCATCTCAAGGGTTGGGGGACAGCATGGCAAAGCCAAGCAGGTAAGAAAGTACCAATAATGTTTGGAAAATTCCTTGTAGCTCAGTTTGGCCTGGATACAGGTTTGCCTTTTTAGGGAGATTATGTGCTTAGGAATTAGGGTGGGCCACGTTGCAGGGGTCTTGAATGCAGGAAGATCGGACTTACTACAGGGGACAGTGAGGAGCCACTAACTATTTAGGGACAGCAGAGTGACATGAGACCTGGTATTCCCAACAAAACTTCTTTAAGCTGAGGGTGACATGAATGTCCAAGTGATGTGAGGTGACTGCTTCAAATTATCCCTTGGGAATGCAGACTTAATCTATGATTTAAAACCAGTATCGACTGGCTACAGCCAAGTCTGGCATGCAACTAAAGGACATCAAGGCAAACTCTGGGTTTCAATACAGTGTTCAGGACTCCAATTGGGCCAATGAAAGTTGTCAAACAGGTATATCTTCCATAATAATTAACTCACATTAATGAAATTTCCTATCAAGTAGATGCTCCATAGATATATGATCGAACTGACTGGAATCATCAGTTCACAGAAACTCTAATACAAAACAAATTGCTGCCCTTTAGAAATGACTTACAAATAGAACTTCTGCAAATATTATAGGATAGGAGAAGAGTATCACTTTCTACAGAGCTGATTGAAGGAGAAATTGCTCAGTTGATATTGTTTTCCAGAATGTCACCCCTTCAGAAAACACTCTTTCAAAATGGCTCATTTACTTTGCATCTAATTTCTATCAATTCAGGCTTTGTTTTGTAAACAATGTTCCAAGAGCCAAGTTCCTTTTTAACAGCTTACAAATTACCCCAAATCACACTATTGTTTGTAACAGCCTTCACATTTCGTGTGCTGATTACCAATTTAGAAGGTACAGTGGCATGCGTTGTTTCCTCTCATCTTCATAGTAGCCCTGTGAGAGGGAACTGCAGGACTTGAGAGTTGGAAGGGACCTGTGAGATGACATTGAAGGCCCTCTTTCCTCATTAATTCATTCAACAAACCTTTGTTGTATATTGACAGAAACTTGACAGAAACTGTGCCAGGATTACCCATGCTGAATAAGAGAGAAGGTTCCTGTTCTCAAGGAACTGACATTCTTAGTGGGAGGCCAACTGCAAACAAATGCACAAATGTATTATCAAGATAATTAAATTGTGGTATATTCTCTGAAGGGAATATACAGGTTCTATGATAGAGAGGATTTGGGTTGAAATTGTACTTTAGATATCACTGTCAGGAGGTGACATTTGAACTGAGACTTGAATAGTAAGAAGGAGCTAGTCGTTGAAGACCTTGGGGCAGAGCATTTAAGGCAGAGAGAACAGCAAGGACTCAGGCCAACAGTGAGCCTGGCATGGCTAAGGAAGGTGAGGACCAGTGTGGCAAAGCAAAATAAGCAAAGGGGACAGTGGTACAAGATGACATAGGAAACTTGGACACAACCCAGATTCTGAGGACTGAATTTCAACCCAAGCCATGGAAGTGTTCTGAGCAGAGGAGAGATATGTATCTGCTGGGAGGTGAAGGGATGTGTCGAGGTACTAAGAGTGTCAGCAGTGGGACCACTCAGGAAGCCGAAGCCCAGAGAGAGAAAGTAACTTTTTCAAGATCATTCAGATGGTTGGTGGCAGAATTGGTTCTAGAACCAGGTTTTCGCCCTCAAGTTTTAAGTGTTCTTGTCATTTTGCAAATAAGAAAGTGTCTAAGGGATTTTAATTACTGTTTGTACAGGAGCATCTAGAAAGTTTATAATCATCCCAGTCTTCAGAAAAAATATTATATTGCAGAGTATATTTTTAGTGTGTGTGTGTGTGAACACGTGTGTGTGTACGTTAGAAACACTGAGATCAGTCTATACTTCGTAGACACTAGGTATGTGGGTGTGGCAGACACACCTTATTGTCTATATTATTATAGTCTCCATCCTTTTCCTTTCTCCTGCCCACAGACTCCTCATTTTGTTCCAGATAACATTGTATTTTCCAGTCTCCTTTGCAGTTAAGAGTAACCTAGTTTTGACCAATTAGAATTTTGCTGAGGTTTTCTGGAAAATTTTTACTTTTCTCATAAAAGCCCCATTTTTTCTACATTCTTGTCATTTTCTCTTTCTTTTGTGAAACCATGGAAATGAAAGCCACATATTAAGATGGCAAAGTAAGAAGCTGGAAGGAGCCTGGTCCTTGGTGGTTTAAAAGTCATGGCACCAACTCTGTGCATATTATATTACTTCTGAACTTCATGGCAGTTAAGAAAATGTTAGTTAAACCACTGTGTTTGGATCTTTGTTAAATGCAGCTGAACGCATGAGCTAATTCACTGGCCTGGAGAGAGAAAGAGCGATAAGTTAATACACAGTGGCTGCAATCCAATATAAACAGCTTATGAAAATATGAGATGGGATCAACGATGTGCTAGAACCAGGAAAAGTAAGAGTTGTGGATTTTCCTAAACCAAAGTGGTATTTTTCTAAGCAAAGCTATGGTAGCACTTTCTTTAGGAGGAATTAAGCCATCAGCTTTTACAATAAAATTTCCTATCCATGTGGGCCCAAGAATCAAGGAGACCTAGAACCAGGGACATTTGAATTATACCAGGAGAAGGAACCCTGAGAGGGTGTTCAATCAAGCTGCTGTCAATCACCTGCAAATTCACTTAAAGCAATTGTCAAGAGGTCTAGGCAAGTTTAAGCCTCCTTTGCAGGTTATGAGTCCATCTGAGGTTGCATCCAGAGTCAGCTCAAGGGATTCTTGGTCCCTTTTATAGATCAGGCTCACAGTACATCTTCCTTCCAGGCTACTCACACCCAAGATGGTGATGAGCCTCTAAAGGTCACCCTATTTTCAATCTAGGGATCTCCATGGCTAGCCAAAGGAGATGTAAATAAGAGCTTTCTGTGTCATTTCTTTTCATGACTACCTGAAAACATTGTCTGACCCTACTCAAGTCCTTTGACAGTTATTCAAAGATGCTATTTGGGTCAAGGAGCAAAGGACTTATTCATGCCCTCATTTTCTCACATTAGAGCTGCTCTTAGAATTTGCATTTTCTCTCTTATACATAGACACACATAGACATTAGACTATAAATTTGAAGGCAAAGTCTATTTGTAATGGTTACTATATAATTCCAAGCCCCAGTACAGCATAAAGTACTATGTGTTATTCCATAAATATTCACTGTGTATCTGACTCGTGGACACAGACGTTCCTACAGCTTCCATAGAAAAGGCTCTAATAGGTCACTTACAGCTTCCATAGAAAAGGCTTAATAGGTCACTGAACAGGTACACAGAGGTAAGAGGAATATCAGGCTCTCCATCCCTCTAAAAGTTTCCCAGAAGCATGACCACTGAATACCCACCAGACTAAACTAAGAAATCCACCTGGGCCTTATCCATAACAACAAGATGTGACATTGAAAAAGCATTTTCACTTCTGAGGCTTCTGGTTCTTCTTGCATTATCCACCCACCACTCTATCCATGTAGCACACATTTATTGTTTCCTAGTTTCAGTTATTCTCAAATTCTTTTAGCTTGTGGGGTATCTGGGAAAATAAAGCATTTGAAAGCAAAGAAAGCCTGACCATGAACCAGCAGTCTCATGTAGCTACAACCCTGCAGGCCAGACTGTTACTCTAAAAGACATGTCATGGAGGTGGCTCAATTACCATGAAGGGGTTCCCTGCTGAGTGATGGGAGCACCTTTACAGCCTTCAGTAGTTACAATATCCCCTCTTAGTGGCTTATACTTTGGTATTAAAAACAGAATTTGTATCAGAAGTAAAAACTGGTCATGGCTCACATTTGGGAAATACTGTTGCCACGCTAATTTATTTTTCTTTTAAAAATACATCTTAACGTATTTTTTGACATTCCTTGGTCTCCTCTCCAAATGATGCCCTAGGAAACACTGGCGTTGCGGTCATAACTGGTTTTGAGCTAGTGACTTGCAGTGATTTTTCAAGCTTGGGTTGGGGGAGAGGAAGAAGAGAGGAGTGAGTTTGTTATTGGGCGTCAGGGATATACTTTTCAAAAATGCACAGCATCTTGGAAATTTGGTTTCCCATCACCATTTATATTGCTGAGGAATAGACATGTCTCTCACTCTGCAGTAGTGTTTCATGACATTTGGATTTACAGTGTTCAAGCTGAAGTCTCTAGCCCCTTGCAGTCTGTCAAAAACAGCTTCTTTGTCCATTTATTTTTGTCTTCCACACCCAGTCTGAATATCTTTTGTAAATTTATACTTGACAACCCTCGTATTTCAGTAGCTGGCTTTGGTTTCACAATCTACCTTGCTTGCTCAGTTACATTAGCTGAAACAACAAATTTAATCCATGATGTCAATAGTAAATTATAACAGAGAGGTAATATATGTCTGACATCATAAAGGTCAAGGCTATGGTGGAAACACTGCAAATTCTGGAGCCATTGTTTGAGCAAGTGGTTGGCTTTTGCTAAACACTAATATTATGAAAATCAGATTATAAAAGCTACATTTGGCTAATCTTATTTTTTTAATGGAAAATTTCTAAAAGCAGAAAGCTCTCATACTCTATACTGCACTGTGGATTTTGTTCCCATGGACATTGGCTATGTAATTATATTTTATATTTGGTAGTGGATAAATAATTAAAATGAGAATTACTTTCCTGAAAAGATTCATTTAGAGCACACATTTTCTATTACCATAGCTGTTAGATAGGGGAGGGGACATTGCCTCCTACCTACCTAAACTACCTTGCCATTAAAGTATCTAAATTACCTCGGTGAATTCTGACCACAGAAGTGGTTGATGAATTGCTTTTGCATAAATGCGCTTTCCCTTTGCTAGAATCTAATTTTATGAAACACACTCATGTGTGTGCCCACATGCACACACACACTCACCAAGAGACACACATATACCAAAGCAACCACTGAACCCTCTCAAGAAGAAAAATTGAAGGCTGGAATTTTCTCTATATAATGAAGTTTTTTTAAATGTTGCCAGTAATATAAGCATTGCTGAGGAAAGCCCAAATGGTTTCATCTCCTGTAGGCAAGAGCAGTTCATGAATCATTGTTTCCATGCAAAAGTGTTTCATTCCTTTAACTGGTGCTATCAATTGTACTGGCTGAATTTTTTTTTTTTAAAGTATCAAAATTTGATTCTGGCTTAAACTCATTTCTTACAAGTAGGGAAAAAAATCTTTCTGCAGAGTAAGCCCAAAAGCCATTCCGTGGATGAAAGGGTCTGAAAATCCCATCCCTTTTGTCATTATGATGTGTTTAAAAGCTTTGATCCATCATAGGCAAGCCCAGCAGCCAAGGAGGGTTCTTAAGCAGCTATATCTCTCACTTGGCGCAGATGTATTTTTATTTGTTAATTAGAAGCATTTATTATAGTTGCCATGTATTCTTGCTGCATGTGTTAGACTAGGAAAGAATACAGTATCTGAGCCCCAAGATATGATGTGGTGGAATAATTCGTGTTAGGTATTATCTCAAGGTAGTGTCATTTTTGTTTGTGTCCCTGAGAAGGGAGAAGATGACTTTAGTCCCCCAGTGTCAAGGATAACCAGCCGTTCATAAGATGAGAGTTGGAGCAACTGCTCTAAGGAATCTGAAGACAAACAGGCTGGCGGAAAGGAAGTCACCTCCAGTGCTCTAAGTCAGAGCCTCTCTGATTCGCCTGTCTCCATTATTGCACAGCACATGATGAGTCTGACTTTGAGAGATAAGTTGGCCAAAGTGGAGGAATGCCACATGCCTAGGCCACTTTCTCTGCCTAACTTTCGATCACTTACCATGAACAAGCTGAAGAAACTTACTCCTCAAACTGGCCTTTGCTCAAGTTCATAAAGCACTTCAAAGAAAGAAAATGACTCCTGTATATGAATGTTGTTGCAATTAATAACTGCCCATTTTTTATTTCTAAGCTATCTTTAATTTGGTGGTTGAGGCCTATGAATATGCCCAAGAGATCATGAACAAGACACAATTTCTGCCTTCAAGAACCTTAAAATTGAAAAATCACGACGAAAAAAAACAAAGCCCTCTGATCTGGTTTGGATTTGTGTCCCCACCCAAATCTCATGTCAAATTGTGATCCCCAGTGTTGGAGGAGGGTCCTGGTGGGAGTTGATTAGATCATGAGGCGACATCCCCCCTGCTGTTCTTGTGATAATGAGTAAGTTCTCACAAGATCTGGTTGTTTAGAAATGCGTAACAGCTCCCTTTTTGCCCTCTCCCTCCTGCTCTGGCCTGCTTTCCCTTCGCCTTTCGCCATGATTGTAAGTTTTCTGCAGCCTCCCCAGTCATATTCCCTGTACAGCCTGTGGAGCTGTGAGTCAATTAAACCTCTTTTCTTTGTAAATTACCCAGTCTCAGGCAGTTCTTTATAGCAAAGCAAGAACAGACTAATACACCCTCTACCCAGTCTCTCAGTCTATAATCCCTCTTGATGTCACGCTGCTGCAAGTGAGGATGAGAAATTGGAGAACAGGTGTGTGTCATTCACGATGGGCTTCATCACAGCGTCTACCACAGCGTATTTTGCTACACTGACAGCATTACCATCACTTATGTGTACTGATTTATATGCCAAAGAAAGATCACTGGGGTGTGGTGTGTACCTTGCCTTATATCACCAACATGTAACTTTGATATTTCTTCTTCATAACAAAAAAGAAAAATTATTTAATTTCTCTAATTTTTGTTACAAAGTAAAGTAACATCCTACAAAGCAGGTTTTGATCATTTCTGGCAGCAATCAGTTTTCTTCTCTACTTTAATTCAAGAGTAAATTTTGTTTTCGAATGAATGAATAAGTGAATTGTAGCTGGTACTATGATCCACCCACCTGTACTTCTTTTTGACTCTGATAGTGAATAGAAGTTTACAAAAGTTTACCCTCCTAGTTTGGCCTTAAAAACATAGAACCTTGGTTTCAGGGCTATTTGACTGCTGCTTTAGCTAAACAATAGCAATAATTAACCATTACTATGTCCCATGTCATAGGTACCATGCCTGGCACATCATTTGCTGTATCTCATTCAGTGTTTGCAATAGCCCTTTGAGTTAGGTATTGTTATTTTTCCGTTTTACAAAGAGAGAAGTAGGATTCAGCAAAACTCGATAACGATCAAATGCTACAAAAACAAAAAATAGGTTGATTGCTAGCCTATGGATTGATTTCCTTTGGGTCAGGTGTCCACTCCTGCTCCAAAAATCCATTCAAGGATACAAATCTGACCGCCTCCAAATGCAATGTCTCTTATCTCTGCCCAGTCCTACTTCATTGATGGTTCACATTACTAAGTTCCCTTGATGTGGATTATTCTCCCTGTTAATTCTCTCGGTCCTAGAGTGACAATTGTACTTCCTTTAGCAATTAGAAAGCAGTGGTTTCCTGGGCTTGCTTCATCACCTCAAGCAAGCCTGTTAGCTACTGCTCTTAGCAGGGGAACTGGGAACATGACGAATGATGGCCATCTGCTCCAGGAATAAACAAACTCTTCATTATTCCATTAGTGATTTTCCATTTCCTGCTAAGCCTAACAATTTATTAGCACTATTTAGGCTAATGTATGGCTGTATTATTTTACATAGTTACTTCATATTCTTCATGTGATGACATATTTAGGTGTTCAGATCCTCTGTGTGGTTTTCTGCAGACAGAATTGGATGAGTTTGAGAAGATAACTCTCCCAGCACTGGTAAGACCACCATTAATTCCTCTTTGTGGAGCAACTTTTCTCCAAGGATTTTAAAAGAAATGACCGCATGGCCATTGTGAATCAAATAGGTTTGAAATGCAATGCATTAGGAGGAAACATTTATGTGTGCTTCTCAGTCACGCTACACTGAACATAATTCTTAGGGTTGTGTTGAAAGCAGCACTAGACAAGGCCCCAGGACCCCAATTTCCAGCCCTCTACTCTGTAGGGTTTTTATGAAAATCAGCAAAGGCATGTAGGTGATGACTCTGAAAAAGTGACTCTTATCCAGACTCCTTTAAAAGAAACACCTTTATTGCAAGATCACACGTGGACTGGAATTGGAAGAAGAAAGCAAAGTCCCAGGGGATAGAGAACACTCTAGGTCTCCTCTGGCCACCTCTCTCTCTCCTTTTCAGGTGACATGTTCTTGCTCCCATTGTGTCTGTTCTCTGTGACGTTGCTGTCCTCTTGCTGTGGCCACTGCTCTCTCGACACTGACCAGCTTCTTTCTTCCATCTCTTCCAAGATTCAGAAAATGGTGGCCAAGAAGCCAAATACAGCCTGAAGTTGTGCTTTATTTGGCCAGCTTAATATTTAGATCAAATTTTGAATTTGAATGTTTTTGGCAAGGCATGTATTAATTTTTGCCACTTAGTTGCAAATCCGTACATTTACTTTTTTTCAGATGAAGGCATTCAAGTTTAAAACCACTTTATATATTTTCTCTACTTCCTTATCCTTATTCATAGTTTTCGCTACTTCTTAACTTTCTATGACTTCACATGCTGTCCACCCATCTAATAACGTGCTCTGCTACAATTGTATGTCCTGTCACTGCTAACCCTCAGTTGATCTGTTTATCTCCATTGACATTTCTGAGAAAGAACACTGCTGTCCCATATGACATAATAGGTCATTCCAAGACATCACTACTGACATGTGTATTGTAAGTGGAAAAGTTGTAGGGTATCCATTATTATTATTGTTATTCTTATGTGGTAGTATATATTAGGGCCATATAATAACTCCAACTCCAAAAAAATTTCTTTCCTGGCATATGTGATGATTTATTGCTTTGGAGTTTATCCAAAGACCTTAGCTAAGAAGCACAGCAGTTAAGCTATGGACCCATTTTTTTTACTGATGTGAACATACCCGTGGGTCTTCTGTACACATCTGTGAGGCAATAGTTTCAGGTTCAGACAAACCACTCAGGTTCTTAGTTGAGTGAGGTAGTCTGTAGGCAGAGCCAAAGCACCCTGGAGATACATGGGCAGGCACAGGTCATTTGGGGCTACCTTGAAAAGAGTTTAAAAAAACTTTTGGATACAACAAAGCCATCAGTGTTGAAGAATGTTATGTGGTCCTTACTTATGCTTACAAATTTGGCCCCTTCTTCATCTTTGATACACCTACCTTCTATTCACTCAGTCATTTGTCTGTTTTATTCTGTTCCAACCTCCTCTGCCAACATGGACTCAGATTAAAAATAAAATGAAGACAAATAAGGGAAAATAGACCATTTTCTGCTTTCTGCCAGGTCTAGGCACCAAGGCTGAATGTGTCTCTTTCAGTATCTCATTTTATAAAGAGATAAAGACCACAATTATCAGAGAAGCCAAACTACTAGACTGAAAGATTTCATAAATATTTAGACTTAACTAATAAAGTAGCATATGTTTACAAAGAATATAGTCTTGGAGATCTCATAACTAGAACTAATTAAGGTTGGGAATTAACTTTGGAAAGAACTCAAAAGCAATGAAAACAATTAGACAAATGATCTCTTAGTCCAGAAGATGCAAGATTTTGCAAGTGGCTATGACTCGGCCAATGTCTCTTAAGCTTTCTACTTTAGACATTGTACTGGAAGCTCAAGAGGCCAGATCTTAGCCCATGAGTTATCTGCCTTGGAACAATTCTAAGGGGTGTCATGAAGATAAAAGAGATAATCAATGTAAAGACATATCAAGCATTTAGAAAGAAAGGTACTGTATACACCCAAGGTATTATTAGCATTATTACCATTACCTGTTCTAGCAGGCTTTTTTCTTCAAGGATGCTGCAGTGTAGTACCCAGTTGTAAAAAGCCTAAGTAAAAACAAACAAAAACAAGACCAACATGCAAACAACAAATATCTTAAGGCCATCCAGGAATGCCTGGAAAATCATCCTTTCATGTGCGTGGGAACTTTGCACTTTTGAAGGCTGCAGGCAGGCTGAGCACAGAGCTTAAGAGCAACATTGTAATGGGACCAAATCACTTGGCTCACAAACTTGTGTGTGTGTCTTTTTTGGGAGGGTGGGGGAGGGTGTTGATTAATCCCTCTTGGTGGCCATAAGTGATGCAAAGGGCCCTAACTTGAGAAGAACTGAGTCTCTGTAGATGCCAACTGACCTGCCCCATGTCTTCAGGTGGTAATTCCTTTGCACCAATGTCAAAATAGCAGGGATTAGAGCAGTTAGCAAACGTTAAGAGGTGTATTTATTATCAGTATCATTTGAACGTCTTCATCTGCCCAGGATTCTTTTTTAAGACTTTGTTTTCCAGGCACCTAATGACTAACTAGAAAAGCCCAGTTAAAATTATTATTATTTTTTTTAATTTTAGTAGCAGATTTCCTTTGAGAGGAGGATGTGGACAATATGGGCATTTGTAATTTTTAAGAAGTCAGTTGTTTTAAAAAGGATGATAAGGGTGATATAAGGTTACATTCAGCTCATTCTCAGCAGTATTAAGTCAATGTTTGTGGAACACTGTGTGGAAACAATGTTGAATTAGGCCATAATGACTAGAAAAAAGGAGGATACAATAGCAACTTGGAGAGATGGGAGAGAATAAATTTAAAAATTGTAGTCATTAAATCAGAAGTTCCAAGTTGAAAAGAATCCCAATTGTCTTCTACTCTGGTTTCTCAAATTTTAACTTGGACAAGAATCACCCAGAGGTCTTGTTAAAATGCAGATTCTGGGCCAGGTGTGGTGGCTCACACCTGTAATCCTAGCACTTTGGGAGGCCGAGGTGGGTGGATCACTTGAGGCCAGGAGTTCAAGACCAGCCTGGGCAACATGGCAAAACCCCGTCTCTACTAAAAATACAAAAATTAGCTGTGCATGGTGGCACATACTTGTAAACCAAGCTACTTGGGTGGCTGAGGCATGAGAATTGCTTGAACTCATGAGGCAGAGGCTACAGTGAGCCGAGATCAGACCATTGCACTCTAGCCTGAGCAACAGAGCAAGACTCTGTCTTGAAAAAACAAAAAATAAAAAAATAAAAATAAAAAAGCAGATTCTGATTCAGAAGGTGAGGTGGTGGGTTGCTGAGTTTCTGAATTTCTAACCAGCTCCCAGATGATGGGTCCATAGACTAGCTAGGGAGCTCTACCCTAGCTCCCTACCTGGAAAATGAGTCCATTCAACCACACAATACCTTTTACATCTGGTACGGGCCGTAGAGTTCACAAAGCACTTTCATATGTCTTCTCATCTGATTTTCCTAATCCTTACTTTATATTCTGCCAACCTACTCCCTTGGCCCATTTTACCAGTGAGAAAACCAAGGCTTAGATGAGTTGGACAGGGTCTCGTGGTTACAGAGGGCAGACCAGGACAGAGGTCTTCTTCCTCCTAGCCTACATCTCTTATCTCAGAGGGGCTGTACTTGGGTGTAGATACCAGATAAATAAGCAGAGAATGATAGCTAGTTAGAGGAGAAGTATTGCAGTAATTTTGGGAGCGTTTCTTCTGTGAAGTTCAAAAGTTCTTTGTACACATTACTATACAACCTAGTGTAGGACTTGATTCTCTTTTAGTTTTATTGTATGAGGGGCCTTTTGACAATATGTTGAAAGGTATGAGCCCTTCTCAGAAAATTTCACTCACACTCACACCCAAATGTTAAGAGTTATAAATTTTCTTGAAACCTATGTCACTACAGCCAGGCTAAGGAGTCTGTCTCTGCTAGAAGCTACCTTTCAGTTTTTTTTCTCACCTTGTACCTTGAATTCTCCAACTAGCAAAAACATATTTCCCTCTCTTTGTCTCCTTCTATTCTCTTGGAGGTTATGATTACAGGTGACATATAATTTATGCACAAACTTCTAGGTGATAGCACTCAAGGTATTATTATGTTCCCTTCCCTACCTCATTCCTTTCTTCCTTTATCTCTCTCTGTCTCTCCCACCTTCCCCGCCCACCCTCCCCCCCACCCCCCGTCATATCACACTCCTGTCTTGGGCTGAACTTGTCATCTAATAAGATCTATTTATTACATGATTTGCTGCTAGGTCAGTGTCTTCACCTGGGTTCCCACCAAAGTAGAGTAAGTAGAGTCTGATGACCAGGACCTGTGTGCAGCAGGTGTCTTTGAAGATGATCCTAGGGATCAGGAGTGACAACCAGGGACAGAGGAGAAGCCCATCAGTTCCTTATAGAGTTGGTTCCTCTTGTACTCAACTGGACTATCTTGTTAGGACCATCTGAGGATATAGAATGCTACTCAGAATTGCTCATAATGAAAACCACTGAAACAAAACACATTTATCCATCAACTCTCATACCTGTTGTCTAGGAGTTGCCCCAGCTACTGTTGCATGTGACCTGAGCAGGCTTCTCTAGGTGCAGTTCCTAAGAATCGCAGGGCTTTATCCGTTTCTTCAAGGTTATCCAATTTGTTGGCATATAATTGTTCACAGTAGCCTCTTATGGTCTTTTATATTCTGTGGCATCAGTTATAATGTCTCCTCTTTCATTTCTGATTCTATTTATTTGAATCTTATTTTCTTAGTTGAGCTGAATTTTGTCAGTTTTAACCATCCTTCTCAGGGGAAAAAGACAATTTTTCCGTGGATGGGGTGGTGGTCGGGGGATGGTTTCATCAGGCATTAGGTTCTTCTAAGGAGTGCGCAGCATAGATCTTTTGCATGCACAGTTCACAATAGGGTTCTTTTCAAGAAAACAACTGTTTTGTGATTTTCTAAAATTTTCTATTTCATTTATTTCTGCTCTAATATTTACTATTTCCTTTCTTCTGCTAATTTGGCTTAGTTTGTCCTTTTCTAGGTCCTTTACGTATAAAGTTGGGTTGTTTATTTGTGATCTTTCTTCCTTTTTAATGTAGGTGTTTATTACTACACAAGCTCATAAAAGTGGAGAGTAGAAGTGTGGTCACCCGGGACTGGGGGAGAAAGAAATGGAGAGCTGTTCAATGGGTATAAAGTTTCAGTTATGCAACATGAATAAGTTCTGGAGAACTGCTATACATCACAGTACCTATAGTTAACAATACCGTACTGGGCCCTTAAAAATTTTAGGGGAGTAGATCTCATATTAGGTGTGCTTACCACAAAAACAAACAAACATACAAACAAAAACCAAACAAAAAAATACAGAGTCACAAGGAAACTTTCGGAGAGGTTAATGATGGATAAATATGATGGATATGTTTATTACCTAGCTTATGGTGATGGTTCCATGTGTGTACACATATATCCAAACTCATCAAATTATAGACATTAAATATGTGCAGATTTTTGCACATCAGTTATACTTAATAAAGCTGGAAGAAGGAGAAGGAAGAGGAGGTGGGAGGAAGAGAAAGAGAAGGAGAAGGAGAAACAGAAGGAGAAGGAGGAGAAGGAGAAGAAGGAGGAGGAGAATAATAATAATCTCAGGGCAGAAATGTGAGCTCTTTAAATGAGGTTCTGTTAGCAGAAGTGTCCTGCAGAGCTTCTAGCACAGTGGTTCCCAACCTTTTTGGCACTAAAACCTTTTTTGTGGAAGACAATTTTTCCACAGATAGGGTGGTGGTCATTTCATCAGGCATTAGATTTTCATAAGGAGTGTGCAACCTCCATCCCTCACATGCACAGTTCATAGTAGGGTTTGAGCTCCTATGAGAATTGAATGCTGCCACTGATCTCACAGGAGGTGGAACTCAGCTGGTAATGCTCGCTAACCTGTGGCTCACCTCCTGCTGTGTGGCCCGGGTCCTAACAGGCCATGGACCAGTACCTGTCCATGGCTCAGGTGTTGGGACCCCTGTTTTAGAGGATATGTGCCACAGCAGCAGCTAGAATTAGAAGTGAGGCTAGGCCAGGCACGGTGGCTCATGCCTATAATCCCAGCACTCTGGGAGATTGAGGCTGGTGGGTCACTTGAGGCCAGGAGTTCGAGACCAGACTGGCCAACATGGTGAAACCCTGTCTCTACAAAGAAATACAAAAATTAGCTGGGCTTGGTGTTGAATGCCTGTAATCCCAACTACTTGGGAGGCTGAAGCAGGAGAATCACTTGAGCCCGGGAGGTGGAGGTTGCAGTGAGCTGAGATGGCGCCACTGCACTCCAGCCTGAGCAACAGGACAAGGCCCTGTCTCAAGGGGGGGGGAAGAGAAAGGCTGGCAAGATACAAGGTGATGCCCAAGAGACTCTGATGCGTGAGATCTTCCTCAGCCTGCTTTTGTGCAATTGACTTATGTTAATCTAATAGAGAAATTGAGAGTTATTCCTCTTATTTTCACCTTATTGATTTTTGCCTAGCAATTTAGCCTAGAGAATATTTCAAATATTCTGTTTCCTTCACTTACAGTTGTGCCAATCTTGGCCAGTTTTGCCTGTCCACTAGGTGGTTTGCCTTTGGATGTGGAGTCTGCTGGCTTGGACTCAAATCCCAGTTCCATCAACTAGCAGTGCGACTTCAGGGAAGTTACTTAACTTCTCTCACTTATAAATTGGGGATTTATAACCCTATTGTGAACTGTGCATTACAGTATGTACATAATAAAATTTTTGTTCTAAAGATTAAATGAAATAATCCTTGAACAATTAGCTGAGTATATGGATTATGTAAAATAAATGCTTAATAAATATAAACTATATTTTTAAATCTGATAAGTTTATAACCCCATCTAAGTCATTGGTAAAAGGATTGAACAGGAAAGGTTCAAATGAAGAACCTAATGGCAATTTTTCTGAGCCTTTCCTTTGGGTTATTCTCAATCTACAGGATCTCATAAAATCTGCTTTGAGTCCAACCACCAATCTCTTGCTTGAGTTCACCACAACAGATGACCTCAATTGCTTTGCTGAACTAAAGGAATCCTTTATCTACATAACTCAAAGTGTGGCCCATCAACTATTACTAGTCTGAAATGAGATGTACAGAAATTGAGAGTAATTGGGCACAAATTTTTATAGGAATTTGACATTGCCTTAACGTTCAAATGCATGGTCAATGGACTGTCTTCATTGAACAGTATATAGACCAGATCAGGGAGTTTTGAAATCATAAGGTGAGCTACAGATGGTAAGTAGTAAGAACATGCTAAAGCATGTAATATTTTAAGGTTAAGTTGTCAACTGTAACTCAAATGTATATAAATACAAAAGTCCCTGTCTGTTCAAAAGTTAACTACAAATTTACAGAATAAATTGTTGGAACTGCTTACTGATAAAGAATTTAAAAATTTTGCATAGAGCATCACTTGCTACATTTTGGGAAAAAATGTTAAAAATGAATATCCTGTTTTCTTTGCCATGAATATATCTATGTAAGACTGGTTTGTCTATTTTGTTATCAAAACATAGAGACAGTTTTGATATACATTATCCCCTATAAGTAGCACTGTCATCAGTCTAGCCTAGATTAGATAAGTTAACATCAAGAAGCAAGCTCATTCATCACAGGAAAATTACACATTAATATACAAATTGTTCATTAAAGTGTGTACATAGGTGCTTAATATGCAGAATTTATTCCATTCATAACTTCGTTATGATTGAAGAATTACAAAAATTATGAGTGTAACAGTAATTTTCTCTATTTGTCTCTCCAGACATTGTCAATGAACAATGTGTACAGTTTTTTAAAATTCACTTTTTTTCTTATGTTTGGTAATATTAGTTGAAATGTAATTTTATGTCTACTGAATATAATATTAAAAGGGGGCAAGCATTTTGCATTCTTTAACTTTTTTTAAATTGACAAATTGTAATTATATATATTTATGGAGTACAATGTGATGTTTTGATACATGTATCTGTTATATAATGATCAAATCAGCTTAGTTAGCATACCATCACCTCATGCTCTTATCATTTATTTGTGTTTAGGACATTCAAAAACCTCTCTTCCAGCTATTTTATAATACACAATACCTTACTGTTAACCATAGTCACCCTACTGTGCAACAGGACACCAGAATTTTATTCCTCCTAATTGTAACTTTGTACCCATTGACAAACCTCTCCCTGTTTTTCCCCTCATTCATCCCCGTCTGCAGTCTCTAGTAACCACTGTTCTGCTCTGCTTCTGTGATACCCCCTTTTTTTTTTTTTTTTTTTTTGAGACGGAGTCTCGCTCTGTCCCCCAGGCTGGAGGGCAGTGGCGTGATCTCGGCTCACTGCAAGCTCCGCCTCCCGGGTTCACGCCATTCTCTTGCCTCAGCCTCCCGAGTAGCTGGGACTACAGGCGCCTGCCACCGCGCCAGGCTAATTTTTTGTATTTTTAGTAGAGACAGGGTTTCACTGTGTTAGCCAGAATGGTCTCGATCTCCTGACCTCGTGATCCGCCTGCCTCGGCCTCCCAAGGTGCTGGGATTACAGGCGTGAACCACTGCGCCGGGCCCCAACCTTTTTTTTAAGTTTCCACATATGAGTGAGATCATGTGGTGTTTCTTTCTGTGTCTGACTTAGTTCACTTAACATAAGGTCTTCCAGATTCATGCATGTTGTCGCGAATCACAGGATTTCATTCTTTTTTTATGGTGCAGTAGTATTCTATTGTGAATATATATATATCACGTTTTCTTTATTCATTTATCCACTGTTGGACACTTAGCTAGTGTGAGTAGTGCTGCAATAAGCATGGGAGTGCAGAAATCTCTTTAATATACTGATTTTTATTTTCAGATATATACCCATTAGTGGGGTTCCTGGATCATATGGTAGTACTTGTTTTAATTTTCTGGGATACCACTATACTGTTTTCCATAATGGCTGTACTAATTTACATTCCTACCAATAGTATGTAAGAAAAGACACTTTTCTTTTGTCTTTTTGGTAACCGCCTTCTAATTGGAGCAAGGTGGTATCTCATTGTGCTTTGGGTTTGCATTTCCCTGATGATTAGTGATGTTGAGCATTTTTTCATACCACGACCATTTGTATGTCTTCTTTTGAAAAACAGTAGTTTATTTTTATTGGTTTTACAAAAGTTGCCAACCTCTTGGAAAATTTTTTAAAAAGCTAACCTTCCACAAGAGATAGTTTGAGAAGCTCTTCTCTATGCTATTCACTTGATTCACCAACCATCCCCAGAAAAGGAAATGAGTAACTCTCATGAACCGAATATAACCCTTATAAGATTTTATTATCTATAAAATAACTGAAATTATCTCACACAAGACATTGTAAGGCTGAATTATTGTTTATGAATCAGCTTTGAAGACAGGTTAAAAAATAACCACCGATTTTTACATTCATAACAATGTCCACCAATCTCTTCTGTAACCACAGAGTGTAGTAGTGGAAGGTATCAGAGAATACCTTTCAAATTATGGTACACAAGATCACAATAAGCATCAATACCCAGAGAAGGCAAGGAGCACCCTGGGAGGTGAGGTGAGTAGGAGGAAGTGCAGGAGCTCATGAAGAGCCTCTCTCTGGGTCAGTTTCATTTTTTAGTAAAATTTTTCATACTGACCCCATAACACAGACAATATAGCCTGGCCTGGCAGTGCTAAAACTGGAATAAAGCTACAATTCATTAGCCAACATTTATCAGTTCTGGAGTATATCCTGGGATCACCAAGACTTGAAGAAGGCAATATAAAAACACAGAAGGAAGGAAGTCAATGATAATAACAAAACCCAATGCATGATTTTTTAGGGAAAATAATGGATAAAAACATTTATGGTTTTAAAACATCTTTATTGAGACATAATCACATAAATAACATAAAAAACACCCATTTAAAGTATACATTTTAATGGTTTGTAGTATAGTCACAGAATTGTGCAATGATCATAATTTATTTTTTTAAATTTTAATATATTCACTTTTATTATATATAACTATTAATTGTGCACACACATATATGCTAAGTTACTGAATAAAAAATACATCAATGGTCACCTTGGAGGAATTAACAATGCCTAACAAAAGGAGCTTAGCTTCTTGCTACTTCCCTGTTTACTGCTCCAGAGGGGAGGTGAATGAGCAGCCCAGGGCTGGAAGTCCTCACCTCCCCATCAGAGATGGGCTGCAGTAAGCTAGCTGACCTTCCCCTACCATGACCCCGATCCTGACTGTGAGTGGTACTGGGCCTCCTGGGCAGGTTTTGACCAGTAGCTGTGCCTCACCAGCCCAAGTTAGTGGTTCTATTGGTTTCTCAATGTTGACTCTAGTCTGGTTGCAACTACCAATGTATTTTCCATGTGGCCACAGAACATCAGATAATGATTTTACTTCCTACTAATCTGGAGTAGGTTCAAATTGGATGTCTACAGAGAAGAGAAGGCATGGGTATGTTTCCCCATTTCTTTTCCTATATTCCAAATCCTAAGTTCCTTGAACCACTTCCTGTTTCCAAATGAGTCTGTCCTTCTAGTCTCCCACTTCCCACAATTCTCACTCTTTTCTTTGACTCTTTAGGAAAACTGATTGCCACTCTTGGAAGCGTATCTGGGATAACTGTCTTTTGATGAACTGTTACTGTTTCAGTGCCTAGACACTTAGCCAACAAAGTATTTTCTCAAGTGCAAATAACACATTGTTTTCCAAGCGCACCACTCCAGAGCATCCCAGCCACCAACCATAGCGCCACGTGGACCCCTTCATGCATTAAAATAATAAATGCATTAATCTGGGAAGAGGGAAGAAAATGAGAATGCTATTTTATTGGAAAGCCCAAATGATTTAAAAATAAATATAAGGAAAATATAGCTCCCTAATGTAAACTTCACTGCAAAAAGGCAAACATAAAAATGTGGTCTCTGTTTCAGGTGTTCTGGAAACAAATTCACTTTTAAGATTTGGGGACCAAGTCCAAGCACTGACAAAATTAAGAGAGAAATCTGTTTTTGTAATATTTTCCTTCCTTTGTTAAACAATCTTTTCTATCTTGCAGAAGTTTTAAGATTGCAATTTTGGTTCTGATAAACAGTGATTTCACTAACATGTATTTAAATAATTCAAAATTTGGAAACGATAGACAAACAGCACACTGGTTTACCTTCTCACTGTGTACTCATAATGCAAACCAACTGTGTAAAAACATTGGTAACATAAAATTACAACCTGAAGAGAGCTCTTCAATATTTTTGTGAGTGCTCACCGTGTGCCAGCACTGGGCCAGGACACCACATAACCTGCACGTACAGGGTGCATTCCAGAGCAGAAACAAGTGGTAAGCAGCTATGATAAAGAAGAATGCTATGCTAGATAAACAGCATGGTTCTATGACAGTTCGTGGCAAAGGCACTGCCAGAGGAAGTGCTAACCTCATGGCAAATGGAAATCACAGGTTTCTAGAAGTAAAGTGATTTTAGCTTCACTGCTTCATACTTGGAACAGCAGACACCCATAGAGAATACAAACTTCTCTGTTCCACTCAAGTTAGAAGCAGCAACTCAAATGCAGAAAACCACCAAAATAGAAATGCTGCCTCAATGCATTTGAAAGGAATTTTTCAACAAGAACAGCAATTGCATATTGTCTGAAGAGGAGCAAACTGGCAATCTTTTCCATTTTTCTTTCTTCTCTAAGATGCTGGCATCTGTTTCTGCTCTGTTTACTAAGGTTTTCATTAGAAAAAGTACAATATATACAACTTTTCTCTATCATTAATATAATACATACTATCTTTTTTGAGTGTTGAATTCAGACAAGTAAAGTATCTCTGTATTTTCCATCATAGTTGGCCATAAATCCTGCAGCCTGCAAGTGATAATGTGCTTTGGCTTTATGTAATTGTGCTGGCTGGAGCTCTGCATGCTCGTGTCTCCAGTTTTATTGTGTTGGGAAGACAGAAAACTCTTCCAAGTTCCTGATGGAGATGTTGGCAATGGTTCAGCTCTCTTGGGTGATGATATGTGGGTTGCTTTCTCTAAGGAATTGCTTCTCTCTGACCAGCAATTTCTCTCGTGGCAGTAGTATGTCCATCCTTTGGAAGACCATGAAAAAAGTACAAATATTCCCCCTCTCCATAGCTTAATGTGAGAATGAGGGTGGAGGGTGGAAATGGACATGTTGGCTTTAAAAGCATAAAAGAAAATAAGTGAGTCACATTAAATGCATACACATTAATTCACCCACTCCTTCCTCCCTCCCTCCTCCCTCCCTTCCTTTATACCTTCCTTCCTCAATTCCATATGCATTTATTAAATACCTTACATGTCCTGCACTATATTGAATGTCACGAAAGTCCTAAAGGAATTTCAAGTTCTGACATGGAAAAGACAACTATAATGGAAACTTTGGGGAAGAGTGTCAGCTTTGGCAGTATATGTGTTAGGGTAACATTAGCTGCTATTAACAATAAACTTCAAAATACCAGCGACTTCACACAACAGAAGTTTCTCTCTCACTCAGATAACAATCCAAAGCAGATGTTCCTTATCTGTGGGAGGTTTTCCTCCATGTGGTGATAAAGGATTCAGCCTTCTCTCTTGAGGCTTGGCTTTTCCCTATGGCTTCAGAATCATTTCCAGTCCCCAGAGATACTGGAAAAGGCACAGCCACTTAGAAACTCTACTTCTGCTTATTTTCCATTGGCGAGAACTTGTCACATGACCCAGCTAGATGCAAAGGAGGCTTGGAAGTGCAGTCCCTGGCCAGGCACCTGTATTCCCCAGTATGGAAGGAGAAATGAAAAACTAAGGGACAGCCACAAGAAGAATAGAAATGAATTCTCTCTCTTCTCTTTTTTTAAACAATTAATGATAGTAGAACACTTGGTAGGAAAATACTGGTGGACCTACCGAGATAAGCTAGAAATAGAACAAGGAGATTTGAGAGTCTAAAGGCTGGCATATAAGCAGATCCAACCTCCTATTTTTCAGGCAAGAAAACATGATATTGTTTATGCTACTTCTCATTTTCAAATCCCCTATCACAGTGTGATTTGGCTCATTTTCTTTCCCTTTTTTTCTTGAAGCAATCATAAAAATTAAGTCTAAAACAAAAGTAATTCTTCAGATGGCAGGTTTGGCTGCCCTTTAAGATACCTAATTTACAAAGCTCCCTTTAATGGGTGCCATCTTACAGCCGGGGAAATGAGCCACTACCATGGAAGTCAGGTTTGTTAGCTTTTTTGCCTGAATCCCCTCCGTTTTTCTCCCAGCCTCAGCAAGCACAGTTTCTTTTCATCCTAATGTGGAGAGGGATAAAATGAAAGGAAATTTTTCCTTAATCCAATAGTGAAACTTTCCAGTTGTGAAGCACTTTGAAATACAAACTAATTAATAAACACAACTCTCTTCCAAAGCAGTAAGGATTGCCATTCTCATTTTTCACAGCTGAGAAAGCTGCAGTTAAAATAGTTTGCCCCAGGCTGCGTACCTTGTCTGTGGAAAAACTTTGAGGCACCAGCCCTGTATTCTCTCAGGATGGCATGTTGCCTCTCTAGAGAGTAATTGGCTTTCATACGGGTTGTAGCTAACAGTGACTTCCTCAATGACTCCACAGTGCCCCTGGCACCAGCTATGCAATTGCTAATGCTCTTGTCACAAACTGTGAGTGACCCACTAAAGAAAATAAAGAAAAAGTAATTCACTGGATGGCCCTCTCTCTCACAAACACTTCTGGAGATTGAAGAAATACTTTTGCAATCATAAGTCCTGTGCTAAACTGAGAATCAGACAAATGAAAAGTATTTGTTCATATCCTCATGGTACTAAGACCTTAGGGCCAAAATTATTACTGCCATTTCACAGGTGGAGAAACTAAGAACCAGAGATCATTGCTCCCAGTGGGAAGTCATTACAAGTCTCTCATCTCAATGCTATCATTTTGTCTTATCTCATTAAAAGAAATACGCTTGTATACAACAGCACTGCAGCTATTTCAGTAAGAAAAAAATGATCACAGGTGACATTATGTGTGAGAGTTTGCCTTGACCATGCCTTTTATGATGGAATAATTGGTTCTGAGTTGTATCATAGATGCATAATCACAAACAGGCCCCAGTGATGGTGGAATCTAGCCAATCTGGGAAGCCCAAAATGCTTTTACTATACCCACAGTTAAAACATTTGTATTTACAATACTGTGTCATAGCTTGCTTATGAAGTATAGGGCTTGTCATAAACACTATTGGCTGTCAAATATAAGAGAAATGCCTAGGACATAGATCTTTACAGAATCTTTGTTCTCCCTTCTTGAAGCATACACTGTTTATGTAAGTGAGGGATTAGTTATCATGAATAAATCCAGCCAGAATACTCTGGGTTCATTTTCATTGGTGACCATGGTGAGATTTAATGTTGATGTTATAAAACTGGACTCCTCAATATAAGAGCCACTAGCCACATGTGGCTATTGAGCTCTGCAATTTGCTGGTACAAATTGAAACATATACATGTAAAATACACACCAGATTTTGAAGACTTCATATAAAAACAAAATTGCAAAATAGCTCATTATTTTTATATTGATTCCACGTTGAAATGATAATATTTTGGAAATACTGGGTGAAATATAAGATTATTAAAATGAATTTCACCTTTTTTTTTGTAATGTTATTACGGAGCTACTAGAACATTTAAAATTCTATTCGTGAATCACATATTTCTACTGGAAAGTGCTATTACAGAATTCTCTCAAGAGCTTCCTAAATTGAAAGCTTATTCAATCATTCAGTCCCCCAGACCACCAGCAACAGCTTCCTGCCAAATGCACAGTGTATTAGGCCATTTGCGTTGCTATGAAAAAATACCTGATGCTGGGTAATTTATAAACGAAAGGGCTTTAATTGGCTCATGTTTCTGCAGGCTGTACAAGCATGGCACCAGCATCTGCTAGGCTTCTGGTGAAGGCCTCAGGAATCTTCCAATCATGGTAGAAGGAGAAGTGGAAGCAGGCACGTCACATGGTGAGAGCTAGAGCAAGAAAGAGAGACGGGGAGGTCCTAGACTTTTAAACAACCAGATGTCTCATGAATTAACTGGGTGGGAACTCACTTATCATCAAGGGGATGATGCAAAACCATTCATGAGGGATCCGCCTCCATGGTCCAGTCACCCCCAACACTGGCAATCAATATCAACATGAGATTTGGAGGGGACAAACATCCAAACTGTATCACACAGGAAGAGAATATTCAAGGAAGAGAATGTTTCCTGGCTTTAACATCTGTCTTAATTATTTTATTTTCTAATATTGGAAAAGACACTATAAAGTATTTTTCTTATATTTCTCCCTTGACTAATTCCTACATGTCCTTCAAGACAGCTCCACATCACCGCCACTTGGAAGCCATGCCTCACTACCACATCCCTCCATTCCTGGCTGTCTGGTGGCATGAAGCTGGCTGGGTTAGGTGCTCCTGTTCTGTGCTACTCTAGCCATATTATAATCTTGTCTCATTATAATCTACTTGTCTCTTAAACCCATTTCCTATAAATTCCTATGGTAAAAGTCTCTGTCTAAATTTCTCTTATGTAGCACAGTACCTGGAAACATTTCACAAACAATCATTTGTTGAATGATTGCTTAAATGAAGAACAAATAAATAAAAATAATTATTGGCTGGGCATGGTGACTTTTGCCTATAATCCCAGCAATTTGGGAGGCCAAGGTGGAAGGATCACTTAAGACCAGAAGTTCAAGACCAGCCTGTGCAACATAGAGAGAGTCCCTCTCTACAAAAAACAAACAAACAAACAAAAGTTAAAAGAATTAGCTGGGTATAGTGATGCATGCCTGTAGTCCCAGTTACTCTGGAGGCTGAGGCAGAAGGATGGCTTGAGCCCAGGAGTCTCAGGCTGCAGTGAGCTATGATCATGCCACTGCACTCCAGCCTGGTTGACAGAGCAAGCCTCTGTCTCTAAAAATAGTAATAATACTGCTTTAGTTGACATTGTTATTTCAGAATTATAAATTACAGTAGTTTACTTTTTTTTTTTTTTTTGAGACAGGGTCTCACTCTGTCATCCAGGCTGGAGTGCAGTGGCATGCTCACGGCTCACTGCAGCCTTGACCTCCAGGGCTCAGTTGATCCTCCCACCTCAGCCTCCCAGGTAGCTGGGACTACAGGTGTGTGCCACCATGCCCAGCTAATTTTTTGTATTTTTAGTTTTTGTAGAGATAGTGTTTCATCATGTTGCCCAGGTTGGTCTTCAACTCCTAGTCTCAAGTGATCTTCTCACCTTGGCCTCCCAAAGTGTTGGGGTTACAGGCTTGAGCCACTGTGCTTGGCCAGTAAGTTTGCATTTAATTGACACTATACAAAAGTTATGTTAGTTTATTCTCATAAATGTATTTGAAAGAAAATCCTTCATCATTTTATTAATCACAATTCTTTGTAATTACTCTCCCTCAACTCAGGAGTGCTGTGAAAATGATATTGATGACTAGAAATTGCTATGTGAAAAATATAAAGTAAAAATGTATTTGTATTTGTATATCACAAATCAACCAAACCGATGGTAGAGAGGTTAGTGGTGATACATATGAAGCATTTGCTGGGAATTGAGAAGGTGCCTATTATAAAATTAATGCGTTTGTGTCATATAATTTACTGACCAAACCCAGAGACTCTGAGAGTTAATGGTAGTGCTGTAATATTTATTCTGGGACAAAAAGCATAAATAGGACTGTCAGGAACAAATCAGGACATATGGGCACCTCGTTACATTAAATGAGAACCGTTTCTTATGCAGGTAACCCACAGTATAGAAGTAATGGATGGGCTGTCCTCACAGGTTTATAGGAAGAAAGGGACCCTCATCCTTAATGGAAGTCCCACGAGTTAGAACCAGCAGTTACAAGATTCTGTCTTTTCTACTGGCCACTCTGTCTCGGGTGGATGAAACCTTTCAGCAGTCCCCTTCCCGATGGAGCAACTGACGAGCCCTGTGAGTGGAAGCTCTATCACTTTGCCCATCAGCTCACAAACTCAGAAAACTGCTTGGATGGATCTGTTCTGTCGGGTGTGGGGAGAGTCCTTCCTTGATCAATGCTTAATGAGCCAACTCTGTCATCTTCCTTTCTGTGCCCTCCATCAGAGAGGTTGGAAAGAGGGAGGAGCTATAGAGCTGCAGCTTACTAAAGCCACTAGCCTCTGTCATTGTTCTGTTTGTTCCTCCTCGCCTTGGGAAAAAACTCAAAGCTATATCATCTTGATAAGAGCTTTCTATTAAAAACCAGTGCATACATTATTATTATCTCTTGAGAGATGAAGAAATGGAGGCTCAGAGACATTAAGAGATTTGCCCAGAGGGAGTATCATGGTGGAGACTTCCGAGGCCCGGGCTGGGGCATTTTCCACCGTAACACAGTGCTACATGGAAACACCTCATAAAGACTGCATTGCTTTAATTTAATTTACAATATAAGCTTGAGTGTTTCCAAAGAAATCAAATGTGATGTTCACGCTTTGTTTCCTACAGCGGTGGTTACCCTGTATCATTCCGTAGGCTTGCTGTCCTTGGGCAAATGTGACGCTGCACACCTAATAATCACAGCCAGTCTAGCGGAGGCCTGTGCTGCCGGAGAGCTCCGTGGATGCCGACCAGCATTATTTAAGTTTTCATTCAAAATCTCCTTTAGGGTGACTTCTGTGCACCTGAACTTCCCGTTCAAGAAGATCAACAAATGGCTGAAGACAGATTTTTCAGCCAGAGGAAAGAATTATTACCTTACCATCAGTCTAATGAAAACAGAGGTGAAATACCAACCTGCAGTAGATAAACAGCACACCGAGCCATCCATCACATTCAGCCTTACTGAGCAGAACACCCTAACCGATTTCGCCTGATTTTCCTGCGCCTCTTGCAGACAGGCATTCACAATATCAGAGAGCTGAGACATTTTCCAGCAAGCTTTCGTCAGAATAAAAACCTGATCAGGAATCCTTGAAGCCATCCCGTCTCCCAATCTAAATTCCCCTTTCTCTCTAGCTATGAACACCAATAGCTTATTAAAGACTTGCTTCTCACTCGCAAGCTCTGCCAAGCTGGCATTCCCTTCCAGGAGCTGGTTTCTATTATTATTGGATCTACACAGCACCTCCAACGACAACTCTCTTTTTCAGAACCTTCTAGTTGATAATTAGCATATCCATTCATTCAGCAGAAATACCTGCCCATTACTAGGCACTCCGGGTATAGAGATACAAGGCCCCTGTCTTCCAGGAGCTGAAAGTCAAAGGAAAAAGGCATCTTGCCTATCTATAGACCTTTTCTTTCATTTTTCACATATATCATCACTCATTTTGCCTTAGCAATGGTGAATCAAAGACAGCAATGCACATGTTGTTAACAATGGCCGTTGAGGAACATGTTTGAAGGGCTCTAACACATTATAAATTGTGCTAATGTCTGTTGATCTTTGCAATAAGGAATCATAATAGAAACAACAAAACTATGAAATAGATTTGTGGAATGCTTATGATGTGAAAGGCGCTAATCATATTTTGTTTAATACTTATGGAAATCCCACAAGATCGTAGTATCCCCAATACACAAATGAAGAAATGGAGCCCAGCCTGAGAGTATACATCTAGTGAGTAGCAAAGCCACTATTTGGACCCAGGTATTTTTCAGGGTATTCAGAGATGGTCATACTGTATCTGGTTAATTCACAAGAAACTAATAAGTAAAAGAAAATTTTCACTATCCATAGTGGAGGATATCCCTTTCTGGGGTCCAGAATACCTTGCTCCTATCCATGGAACACCTTCCTCATATCACATTTTTAATCAGAAATCTGCAAAGGGAGAGCGAATAGTATCAGAGGATGTTCCATACAGACTACGGTAAGGACAGATGAGATGACACTTCAAGTCATACACACATGTGTACACACACAAACACACATACATGCACACGGACATGATCTCTGGTGACTGGAGTGATTCCCCCTTTCACTTCCATCACCATCTCTCTAGGACAATTCTACACAAGTCACAAAACTCTGCCTATATGATTACTTATTTTGTGTTCCAGTGCAGATCATCCAAGGTGAGCTTTTGTCCTTAGCCTGGGATAGGCCATATTCCCAGAGTAAGTATGCCTTGTAAATTAGCTCCTTAGTACACTAATGAGTATGACATTTTTAAAAAAGCAAGAGGTCATGTGATAGAGTTCTATGGTTTAAAACATGTTTAAGAAATGCAAATGTAAACAAAGTGAAATCGGCACTGTGACTATGGAAGATTGTCCCAAACAGATTTGAGAAGCACTGTAGGACTCATGCTCCTTAGGACACTGGGCTGTACTCCTGCTTCTTCTGAAATCACATTTTGCAAAAGGTAAAGAAACATTCTATCTCCTTCAATTATGCATGTATTTAAGTAACTTAATGCTTAGAGCACAACTACTTGCCCTAACTTCCAAGCTTCGGAGAGATACCTCCATGTCACCCCCAAGAACCATAAGATGTATCACTTATTTATTTCTATTGCCTCTAACACTTACACTTAGTAGAGAAATAAACTTTTAAGTAATCATCTTTTTACTGGAATCACCGTGTCCAGTCATATTAGTATCTCACCCAATGTGGCTGCTCCATAAAATGTCAATAAGGAGTTGAGATTTCAGACTTTTCTTCTGTGGCTGTGAAACTGGGATGTAATCCAGCTGTTGGGTCAAAGACAAACATCACCTGTACTGTTTCAGATCCATCATGAGTATGATGTGCAAAGATAAGGTTACACCCAGTCAGGTGCTGACACATAGGAAATCGAATCGACCCAAGGGCCACGTTAATTAAAGCAGAGCTCTGCCAAGCAGGGTTTATCAACTGAAGGGGCCGAAGACTCCCTAAATGTGGGCAGCTCAAGATCAAACCCAGTGAACCCTTGCCCTTGGCTGTGAGGCACTCTGAGGACTCGTTTGAAGTACAACCTGAACTTTGCTGGCACTGACCCAAATGCCTACACAAGGCTTTGATCATGTAGCTCTGCGTGCCACAGGATTTCAGTCCAAACTGAGGCTCACTAACAACGACAGAAGGTGGAGATTAGAGGAAAGCAAGAAAGACCCAAAACTTCAAGCACATGCCAAGGAGATAACACTGTGTTGAGAGGCAGTCAGTGCCTCATGAACAATGCTTTGAGCTGCAGTTAATAACAGAGGCATCAACACCTCCCTCACAGATACTATCTTTTCACATTGCCCTCTTGTGTTTTGTATGTTAACATTTATTTCTCTAGTGCATTTATGCTGTCTATGCCATGTGATGTGCTATGACAATCAGAGAATTTTGATGTGGCCTAGATTCTGGAAAAACATAATGAAGATTTGTTTTTCTTTGTTATGATGGAATTCAAACTAAGCCCTACACTGGAAAGGTGTTCTCATGGTAAGTTTACTGGTTTTGGAAATAGATGTGGTATTTGTCTAACCCTTATTTCTTGTGTATCTTTTTCCTTAGGCGGCTCCATTCATGGGTTCTGTGAAGGGCTGGGAGCCAAGTGTTGAGAGAAGGAAAGCTGGTGTGCGTGATCTGTGCTGATGAATTGAGGGTGGCTGGGGGAGCCCATCAGCCGTGCTGAGTGACATTCCACAGAGTTAGCCTCAGCAGATGTCCTGTACAGAGGGCTTTGTGGTACCCACACAAGTTATGAACTCTGGAGTCTGTAGCTATGAAGAGGTATTTCAAGAAAGAAATTCCTTCTGCATTCATCCTCTTTCTGGTGCATCTAATACTTTCCCTGTGGATGGAGGAATTTTGTATGGTGCTAAGTATCACCTGATGAAATAGTTACTTTAGGCCGGCGTGGTGGCTCATGCCTGTAATCCCAGCACTTCCGGAGGCCAAGGTGGACGGATCACTTGAGGTCAGGAGTTCGAGACTAGCCTGGCCAACATGGTGAAATCCTGTTTCTACTAAGAATACAAAAATTAGCTGTGTGTGGTGGTGCATACCTGTAATCCCAGCTACTCGGGAGGCTGAGACAGGAGAATCACTTGAACCTGGGAGGCAGAAGTTGTAGTGAGCTGAGATGGTGCCACGACACTCCAGCCTGGGACACAGAGTGAGACTCTCTCAAAAAAATAAATAAAAAGAAATAGTTACTTTAATTGCTTGTTATACTAGTAGTGGACAAGAATAGGGCCTCTGAATGGCTAGATGAAAACAACAATAAGAAAACCACAATTTTCTATGTCGTCATAACTGGATAATCATTTAGGGTGAAGGTGGATTCTAAAACATCTTTGGTAGCTGAAGTTACCTCCTTTCTTGTTCTTTCACTTCCGTGCATGGATCTCTTGCTTACTATAGTAATGTGCATAAGCATATTCCGTAAGATGTGCATAAGATCTGCCTTTTGCATAAGATGTGCATATGTTAAACAGGGAATCCTTTCCCCATTGCTTGTTTTTGTCAGGTTTGTCAAAGATCAGATGGTTGGAGATGTGTGGCGTTATTTCTGAGGCCTCTGTTCTGTTCCATAGGTCTATATATCTGTTTTGGTACCAGTTCCAAGCTGTTTTAGCTACTGTAGCCTTGTAGTATAGTCTGAAGTCAGGTAGTGTGATGCCTCCAGCTTTGTTCTTTTTGCTTAGGATTGTCTTGGCTATATGGGCTCGTTTTTGGTTCCATATGAAATTTAAAGTAGTTTTTTTCTAATTCTGTGAAGTAAGTCAATGGTAGCTTAATGGGGATAGCATTGAATCTATAAATTACTTTGGGCAGTATGGCCATTTTCATGATATTGATTCTTCCTATCCATGAGCATGGAATGTTTTGCCATTTCTTTGTTTCTTCTCTTATTTCCTTGAGCAGTGGTTTGTGGTTCTCCTTGAAGAGGTCCTTCACATCCCTTGTAAGTTGTATTCCTAGGTATTTTATTCTCTTTGTAGCAATTGTGAATGAGAGTTCACTCATGATTTAGCTCTCTGTTTGTCTATTATTGGTGTACAGGAATGCTTGTGATTTTTGCAAATTGATTTTGTATCTTGAGACTTTGCTGAAATTGCTTATCAACTTAAGGACATTTTGGGCTGAGACAATGGGGTTTTCTAAATATACACTCATGTCATCTGCAAACAGAGACAATTTGACTTCCTCTCTTCCTATTTGAATACCCTTTCCTCTCTTCCTAATTGAATACCCTTTATTTCCTTCTCCTGCCTAATTGTCCTGGCCAGAACTTCCAATACTATGTTGAATAGGAGTGGTGAGAAAGGGCATGCTTGTCTTGAGCCAGTTTTCAAAGGGAATGCTTCCAGCTTTTGCCCATTCAGTATGATATTGGCTATGGGTTTGTCATAAATAGCTCTTATTATTTTGAGAAACATTCCATTAATACGTAGTTTATTGAGAGTTTTTAGCATGAAGGGGTGTTGAATTTTATGGAAGGTCTTTACTGCATCTATTGAGATAATCATGTGGTTTTTGTCATTGGTTCTGTTTATGTGATGGATTACGTTAACTGATTTGCCTATGTTGAACCAGCCTTGCATCCCAGGGATGAAGTTGACTTGTTCGTGGTGGATAAGCTTTTTGATGTGCTGCTGGATTTGGTTTGCCAGTATTTTATTATCAATGTTCATCAGAGATATTGGTCTAAAATTCTCTTTTTGTGTGTCTCTGCCGGCTTTGGTATCAGGATGATGCTGGCCTCATAAAATGAGTTAGGGAGGAGTCCCTCCTTTTCTATTGTTTGGAATAGTTTCAGAAGGAATGGTACCAGCTCCTCTTTGTACCTCTGGTAGAATTCAGCTGTGAATCCATCTGGTCCTGGGCTTTTTTGGTTGGTAGGCTATTAATTACTGCCTCAATTTCAGAACTTGTTATTGGTTTATTCAGGGATTCGGCTTCTTCCTGGTTTAGTCTTGGGAGTGTGTATGTGCCCAGGAATTTATCCATTTCTTCTAGATTTTCTAGTTTATTTGCATAGAGGTGTTTATAGTATTCACTGATGGTAGTTTTTATTTCTGTGGGATCAGTGGTGATATCCCCTTTATCACTTTTTATTGTGTGAAAACTGGCTAGCCATATCAGAAAACTGAAACTAGACCTCTTCCTTACACCTTACACAAAAATTAACTCAAGATGGATTAAGGACTTAAACGTAAGACCTAAAACCATAAAAACCCTAGAAGAAAACCTAGGCAATACCATTCAGGACACAGGCATGGGCAAAGACTTCATGACTAAAATACCAAAAGCAATGGGAACAAAAGCCAAAATTGACAAATGGGATCTAATTAAACTAAAGAGCTTCTGCACAGCAAAAGAAACTATCATCAGAATGAACAGGCAAGCCACAGAATGGGAGAAAATTTTTGCAATCTGTCCATCTGACAAAGGGCTAATATCCAGAATCTACAAAGAACTTAAACAAATTTACAAGAAAAAAAACAAACAATCCCATCAAAAAGTGGGCAAAGGATATGAACAGACACTTCTCAAAAGAAGACATTTATGCGGCCAACAAACACATGAAAAAAAGCTCATCATCACTGATCATTAGAGAAATACAAATCAAAACCACGATGAGATACCATCTCATGCCAGTTAGAATGGATCATTAAAAAGTCAGGAAAACAAATGCTGGAGAGGATGTGGAGAAACAGGAACACTTTTACACTGTTGGTGGGAGTGTAAATTAGTTCAACCATTGTGGCAGACAGTGTGGCAATTCCTCAAGGATCTAGATCCAGAAATACCATTTGACCCAGCAATCCCATTACTGGGCATATACCCAAAGGATTATAAGTCATTCTACTATGAAGACACATGCATGTGTATGTTTATTGCAGCACAGTTCACAACAGCAAAGACTTGGAACCAACCCAAATACTCATCAATCATAGACTGGATAAAGAAAATGTGGCACATATACACCATGGAATATTATCCAGCCATAAAAAAGAATGAGTTCATGTCCTCTGCAGGGACATGGATGAAGCTGGAAACCATCATGCTCAGCAAACCAACACAAGAACAGAAAACCAAACACCGCATGTTCTCAATCATAAGTGGGAGTTGAACAGTGAGCACACATGGACACATGGAGGGGAATATCACACACTGGGGCCTGTCGGGGGGTGGGGAGCTAGGGGAGGGATAGCATTAGGAGAAATACCTAATGTAGATGATGGGTTGGTAGGTGCAGCAAACCATCATGGCACGTGTACAGCTATGTAACAATCCTGCACGTTCTACACATGTATCCTAGAACTTAAAGTATAATAATAATAAAAGATGTGCATATGTTCTGCATCTTGCATAGGATCCCTGGGTAAGACTTGACTGTGTTGGGATCCTTTTACTTAATGAACTTTTGATAGCTGAGCTTTGTTCCATGTTGAGTTACCATTATTGTTTTAAATCATTAAAACTGTCATTTAAAATAGTCTTTAAAGCAGAAAAGGACACAACCTAGTCTATCCATCTATTTGGATCTTCCAGTCTGAAGTGCACATATTACATAGCAGCAAACAACAGTCTTTCTCCAACCACTTGGTTAAGTGATGACCACTGTCCTTTCCCCCTGATTCTTTTTTTCTTTTTTTAAGGTATGCACTTTTATTCAACTGGTCTTAAGTCAGTGTACAGGTAAGCCCTGGCTGCCTCCACACCTCCACCCCCTCCCAGGGAGACCAAAAGCATTCATACATCGCAAGTTGGGAGACAAAAAAGGGGGGCCACGATGGCTGATCATTCAAAATAAAAAAGTATTAAATTGAAGATTAAAAAAATTACATTACCTTATTTACATTGAAAGCACTGCTATCACCTCCCATGTGTGGGACTCGGGAGAGGACTGGGCCATTCTCCTTAGAGAGAAGTGGGGTGGTTTTGGGGATGGCAAGCGTCTTCCTGTAACAATGCATCTCACGATATTTGGAATGACTTAAAAAAAGATTAATCAAAGTCCTCAGACACATTGCAGAACTTTGGGGGATGCTCACTCCAACTGACTGCTGTCACCTTCATCGGTCTAGTTTTTTTAAATCCTGAGTCAATCCAAAAACAAAACAAAACAAAAGCCTTGCCAATCTTGTTTTTTGCCCATAGATAGGTTTTGGCAAGAAAGGGTATAACGCAACTAAGTAACAGTCTGCCTAGAGGCATTTGCAGCGGACAGCGGAGGGGCTGGACTCGTATTCCCGCTTGCTGATCCACATCTGCTGGAAGGTGGACAGTGAGGCCAGGATGGAGCCTGCCCTGGATTCTGACTTCAATTCCTAACTCCCCTCTCCTTGCTCTTTCTGCTTCAGCCCAAGTGACCTGCTTAACGTGCCAGGGCACACGGCAGGACAGGGACTTTGCACTTGCTGTTTCTTCAGTCTGATGGCTCCTCTCCAGCTATCTGCATGACTCGTCCTTGCTTCCTCCAGGTCTTTGTTCAAATGTCATCCTCTTAGTGAGGCCTCCCCTGGCCGCTCTGTCTAAAGTTCGCCTTGCACCCGGCACTTTCTGTTCTCCTTCCTTGCTTTATATTTCTCCCACATATTTATTGCTATACTATAAATATATACATACTGTATTTTTTAGTTTTGGCTCATTTTAGTGTTGATCTTCCCAGGCAGAATGTGAGGACAGAATTTTTGTTTGTTTTGCTCTCTGTTGCATTAGGGCACATGACAAGTATTTAATATAAATTTTTGAATGAATGAATGAATGAATAGGGTCCAGGTTCTCTGCTGGTCACAACTGATCAAGTCAAATATGGTTTTTCATTGCAAGGAGTTTATGTCTCATGAGGATGGCAGATATTTAAGTAATTAAAATGTGTCCACACATAAACCTGCATACAGATGTTTATGGCAGCTTTATCCACAATTCCCGAAATTTGGAAGCAACCATGGTGTCCTTCAGTATGTGAATGGATAAATAAGCTTGAGGACATCCAGACAATGAAATATTTATTCAGTACTAAAAATAGCTATCAAGCCATGAAAAGATGTGGAACAAAGTTAAATGCATTTTACTAAGTGAATGAAGCCAATCTAAAAAGGCTATATACTATAATAATTCCAACTATATGACATTCTGGAAAAGGCAAAACCATGAAGATAGTAAAAAGACCAGTGGTTTCCAGTGCTTAGGGACAGTGAGTGATGAATAGATGGAGCATAGAGGAGTTTTTTTTTTTTAAGCAGTGGAACTACTGTGTATGATACAATAATGGTAGATATATGTCATTATACATTTGTCCAAACCCATAGACTATGAATGAATCCTGATGTAAACTATGGACTTTGAGTGATAATGATATGTTCATGTAGGTCCATGAATTGTTTTAAATGTACCACTCTGGTAGGGGATGTTGATGGTGGGGGGTGTTGATAACATGGGGAGTGGCAGGGGCATATGTGAGATCTCTGTACCTTCCCCTCAACTTTGCTGTGAATGTAAAATTACCTAAAAAATAGTCTATTAAAAATGTGCAAATAATTTGTGAGAAAATCTAAGTGTCTCCAAGATCATGAGTTTGAACTTGAAAATGGCTGTCTATACAAAAAAAAAAAAAAAAAAAAGAAAGGGGTCACTGCAGGGGTGAGAAGGAATAGCAGTGGAGCCTAATCCGGTCTTCCTGTGGAAGTGATGTTTAAACCAACACCTGAGCTTTATGTGAGGGGCCAGAGGCAAGAGAGAGTATGGCAGTTGCCAGTTCCAGGTGGCTGGAGCTGGGACGCAAGAAGTGAGAAGGGTCCAGATGTTAAATGAAGCTCAAGGTGGCAGGGGGAGCGGGGTGGATGCAAAGATCTGGCATGAAATCTTCAGGAGACTGAGCAACAGGGAGCCATAGAGGGGTCTGAAGCAGGAAAATGACATGACCAGAATAGTATTTTAGCCAGATTTGAGAGAAGCAAGAAGAAAAGTTAAAATGAAACAGATCTCAATGTGTGCAGACTGTCAAATCTGTCTCTAGGAGAACTGATTCACTCTGGACAGACAAAAATAGTAAGCACATAGAGTACAAGTGAAATTTTCTTGGGGTCCTTACAGCTCTGGGAACACTGAGCCCATCCCTGCCTCAGCATTTCACCCACCATGTCCCCTTACTGAAAATGTTCTTTTCTTCCATCCACAGCCACTCATCCTTCACAAATACAGTTGCAGTCTACTTCCTCTGGAGAACTCTTTCTGTCCTCATTGGTATTTCTTTCCTTTGATTTCCTAAAGCACTAAGGTGCACACCATGCAACTTAGCTCTTAATGGTCTACCTTACTGAATAATCTGATACCTTAGTAACCCAAGTAGAATGTTCTTTCCTGACTAACAAAGACTCCATACCCCACCCACCTCCTCACTACCTACCAGGTTCTTCCAAAATGTATCAAATAATTTAGGTCCAGAGTATTGAATATAACCTGGCAGTCTGCAATCTTAGAATGACTCTTCAAAGACTCACACTTTATAAATGAGAACATCTGGACATGAGTAGGTCAGCAGGGAAAGCCAGGAGAACTAGGCTTTGGAGTTATTATCTAGCTATAATTTAGTTGAGTGACCCCATGCCAAAAAAATCAGAAGACCCTCTATGACAGTTGAGCATTTGTGAAGAACAAAGGCAGAATATCCAAAACGTAAGGACAAATCTTAAATATAGTAAAAAATTAGGCAACTGCCACATGAAAACACCTAGTAGAATCTGAAAAACAAACTTCAGTGAAATTTGGCCAACTGTGTAAATGACCACAGACCTCAGTATGGTCAGTATTGATATCCAAAATAATGGAGTAAAATATATAAAAACAGCTCTATTTCTGGAGTAAGATGTCAGAGCATTCCCTCCCTCCCTTCCTCCCTCCCTCCCTCCCTTCCTCCCTTCCTCCTTTCCTCCCTTCCTTCCTTTCCTCCTCCTCCCTGTCTCCCTCCCTACCTGGTGTTGAAAATATTATCAATAGACCTATTAACAATTACTGCATTCACGTATTCTTCCAGTGTCTTTTTATTGGCTGTCAAGGACCATTAAATGGATCAACATAAAACAGTGTGCTACCTCTTGACTCCAGTTTCAAAATCTCAGTATATTTCAGTAAACTATCTCTTTAGTGAGAGTGATGATGTTTGACCATAAGGCCTTGTTGAGAGTGACAACAATGAATGGGTTACACATTGCTGATCTAGATCAAGAAGCTTGTCAGATGTTACAGTATGCTCACACATTAAAGTTACACTATGCGGCAATTACCCTAAGTTTATTTTGTGTCAGTTACAGCATGATGGGGATGCCAATCACAGAGCTCTCCTTGCAGGTAGGTTAGCATTTCTATTCTAGGTCCCCATATTCAAAAGCGTTCATAACTTGGTCATAAAAACTAATCATGGAATGAATCTTGGCATATAAAAGTCATTTCTCAGAAGATTAAAAAAATACAAATTAGAAAAAAGCCCCAAGTGCTTTGCCATTCTGATGTTACCCACAGGCCCCAAAATGAATTAGCAAGTCAGCAAGTCCTTTTCACTTATTTTTTTCTTTCTCCAAGAAAACTGTGTACTTCAGGGCCTTTGGGTCAGTTTTTAAGCTGACTTGTCTGGAAAAGGTTATCACTTGGAGGGAAAGAAGTTCTTTTCCAGCCTGGACAATATAGTTGAGACTCGGTCTCTATAAAAAATTTAAAAAGACAAATCAGCCAGGCATGGTGGCTCACACCTGCAGTTCCAGCTACTCGGAAGGCTGAGGTGGGAGGATGACTTGAGCTCAGGAGTTCAAGGCTGCAGTGAGCCATGATGGTGCCACCACACTCCAGCCTGGGTGATGGCAGAGTGAGACCCTGTTTTAAAAGGAAAAAAAAAGAATTAGAATTAAGTTCTTTTGTGCTACACAAAGATATTTTCCTTCAGGTGGTGATGGGAGGAGGGAAGGTTGGCTAACACTGAAGTTTCAAGTTTGAGTTCAGGGCTGTATTTCTGAATATAAACAAGATGCTATTGAAACTGTTCATTTAGATGCTCTCTCTCTTTTCTTTAAATAATCTCTAAAATTTTATATAATGAGAAACTGAGAACAAAGATTCAATCTTGTTTTTCCCTTGCAACTGCAGTAGCAGATATTTACTGATGGCAAACTGTTCCAGATATTTTGTGAACGTTATGCCATTTAATACTAATTTTAATATTGCAAAAAGGCACCACTTACTGCCTTTGTTTTATAAATGAGGAAACTTAGGCTCAGACCAGTTAAGAAACCTGCCAGGGGACATACACTGAAGCTGAAACCCGGGAAACCCAGGCCCATAATAAGTTAAATGTGTGTGTTCTATTAGTCATATATGCTTTTTAGCATGACACACAAAGGTAGGTCATGCTAAAAAGTGCCAATACCTATGTGGAAGAAAATACTCACAGTTAAACATATGCTCTAAAGGTCTTAATGTTAACATACAGGTGTCTGAATGGCAACTGCTAGGGCTTTGTGGGGCTGGGCCTAAGTAAATGCTGATACAGGCAGCCCCTTCACTTAGCCCATCCATTTTTGCCCACATTGTCTTTGGCAATTTCTGTAGTCATCTCCAATTCATTTAAAAAGTTTACTACAAGAGTTAATTGATCTTGATTGCTGGTGGGTAGCATTAACTCAAATACAGAAATGCTCTTGCTCTCCAAGATGACTCCTATTTTAGGGCCTGGCCACCGCTAGGCTAAGCTTGGTGGGTTACCCTCAAATGACCACCCACATTCATGTAAGGTGAACTTGTCCTCAAACAGCTGCTGGCTATTAAAGTTAAATTTTGATCAGATCTTCCAACATTTAGTAGTACAATTCCAACTCACTAGGTTTTCCAGGTTTTTCAAAAATCACCTTTCGTTCTCATGGTGAATAATTTTAATTGGAGAAAGAAAAAAAAATCTCAAATGCACAAAATCTTTTACCATGTTTCATCTTTTTAATAATGTATTTATTTTTATTCTAAGTCCAACAGGCAAAGACCAAGTCAATTTCAGTATTTGGCACAAAGCCTGCTGCAATATTGATGATATAATATCAATCATGATTATAAGTTACTCTGTTATTATGTGAATATTATTTTATAAGCTTTAATAAGATGCTTGAGCATTTAAGATGAATGGTTTAAAGTCTAAATTCATATTCATGCCAAATATGTAGGACATATTTTTCATAATTGTTCTTGTCCCTTGGGTCAGTAATATACTTTATAATCATCATAAAATTTCATTCTTAATTCATTTTAATTTATCAGAAGGAAAATATGGATGGTTATTGCCCAATTAAAATACTCCTGATGCTTTTAAGGTAGATATTATTGGGGTTTTGGAGTTTCACTGAAGACAATTTAAAAAAAAAAAAAGAGCAGCTGCATGGCTTCAAAGTGTTTTTAAGTGCTCTGAGTTTCCAGAGATATCCAGCTGTTTAGCAGTTCCCTGTCCCATGTCCTGTTCTCGTATCATCTGTGATGTAATCAAGGAAAGACTGGAACATTTTTCCCACATGAAAGGTGCAGGAGCATGTGACTAGAGATAGAATTTTCACTTGGTACCTAGAGAATCCATTCTAATACTTATGTACACTTGGCTTACAGTTGCCAAGAGCAGGATCTAGGAAGAAGGTCACCAAAAAACCTGAGATAAATGCATGAATCTGAGTCTGCCTCCTTGGCTAGACATAGTACCACTTGCTTTGTGAGAGACACAAGAGGTGTGCCCTTGGAATGGATGCTTTTTGAAGGTGTTTGCTAAAGGCATTTTCTCTAGACAATTCACATGATACTGGCTAGAAAGCAAACCGGTAGGTGCCCATACAGAACCCAATAGAGCAGATTCTGTTACAAAAGCTACAGTTTCTTCCAGAGAAATTAAATGAATCAAAGTGATTAATGTCCATAAAAGAAAACATATAGTCAGAAAAACTGCATTTCAGTTCATTTTGAAAAAATTACAAACAGAATTCAGTCTGACCGTTCTTCCTTTGATGCATTTGATTTCTACTTTCTTCTCAATTTCATCAAGATCTTAAGCCATAACTGTATTGACACCTATTTTTATTTTCTTCCCCTCACTTATCAGGATATTGTAATTTTATATACACGTGTTCAGTTCTCTGAAAAGAAAGTCCCCAAAGTTCATAATCTTCTAAATGTTTACCTAATATTAAGATGAAAGCACTCTTAAGGACGGATACTATGAAGATGCCTTAAGATTGTTTGAAAGTCCAGGCTTTCAAACAATTGGTGTTCCTCTCCAAAAAGAGGAGAGTCTTTGCAGTGGGAGCATAAGGATTAGTTGGTGGATGTGGTAAAGGCAGACAAGTTTATTAAAATATATGCAAATTGCTTTCATTTGGAGGTGTGTTATAGTTTACAAAGAGCTTTGGCATGCACATGTTGTATCATTTGGTAAAAATTAGCATACCCACCATTCTTAGAAGCAATTCAGTTGTCTTCTAATACACTGCTCATTTGTGAATATTTTCTTTTCGAACAGGCAGATTTTCACTTGAAATATTGAACTGTAAGATTCACATCATAAGGGGCGATAAAGTCATATGCATTCTTAAATAAAAATAATAGCACATTCTTAAAAGGACATTTGTTTGTTTATTACTTAAATGGGTTTCAGCCACTAGCGTACATTTGGCACCAGTTGCTGTGTTTTGCTCTAGCCTGAGACTCTAATGCCTGAGCACTAGTTACTCCGGTTCTAAAAAGCTATGAATTTTGATATATAGCCTACGTTATGAAAGCTTACCTCTTTATGGCTTCAACCAGGTGAGTGTATGGCTCCGGGCTTTTCTTTTCTTTTTTTTTTTTTTTTTTTGAGACGGAGTCTCGCTCTGTCGCCCAGGCTGGAGTGCAGTGGCGGGATCTCGGCTCACTGCAAGCTCCGCCTCCCGGGTTCACGCCATTCTCCTGCCTCAGCCTCCCAAGGAGCTGGGACTACAGGCGCCCGCCACTACGCCCGGCTAATTTTTTGTATTTTTAGTAGAGACGGGGTTTCACCGTTTTAGCCGGGATGGTCTCGATCTCCTGACCTCGTGATCCGCCCGCCTCGGCCTCCCAAAGTGCTGGGATTACAGGCGTGAGCCACCGCGCCCGGCCCGGGCTTTTCTTTTAGGCTCTTTGACCTAGAGAAATGAAGCTTGGAACAGGGGATCTGCAGGCACTAACTTGTAGAGGAGAGTCCCAGAGGTGCAGGTATCATGCATTCAGTGAGCTGGGAAACTCTAGCCCGGGAACATGGAGTCACTAAGTCTTTCAATGTAGGAAAGGAGCCCCAACTGTTAAGGCAGCTAGCCAAGCAGGTGACAAACTGTTGCACTTCAAAGACAGGAAATCCCTTCAAACGTTAAATTGTAAGGACACAAAATGACCTACATTCAGGAAAATGGGGAGTCAGTAATTCCACATCAGGCTTGTTCCAGTTTATTGAAGCATGTCTGGTGGATATTAACTGGTCCTAAGGATCCCACTCTAAGTGAATGGCAGCCTTTTCCACCAGAAACCCACATTTTCAACATCTTATTTTTAAAAAGTCATTCGAGTTCACATCAGATTGAAGTTATTATGTAAGGACTCTCTCTGGGACAGTTTTCAACCCTAAAATTAGTCTAGTTTAAAATTACAATTACTCAGAATGTTTAAGAAATCTATGAACATGTTTAAAAAATCTTCTGAACATCAAAACTAAGAGAAGGCATCAGTCTACAGTGCAGTCTTAGAAAACAACTGATGGATTGCTTAAAATTGGAAAGACAGCCTAGAAGTGCCACAATATCAAGGCATAGGACTTCCTAGTAGTTTTACCCAGCTCAGAAGGCAAAGTCTAGATGGATTTCCTGCCAATCCCCAAAACTACCTAGGGCTGTGGATGCAGCAGTTTGAAACATGTGTCAATGCTAAATACTTGTCCAACTGGCTTGAAATAAAGGGAGGGCTGGGGGTGGGGATGGTTGAAGGGGGCAGAGAAATGGCATATGCTTTTCTCAAGGCAGGGCCTCTGTCCCCCAGCACTCGAAGAATTACTGAACAAATGTGTTAAGTGGGAAGGAAATGGATGGGTAAAAGCTAACTTCATCTCAGCACAAAAGAAGTTGTCCTTCCATGCTTACATTTTCAAAATGCAAAAATCCAAAAAGCATCGATATTGGAAAATTCTTGGGAAACTGAAAAGCTTAACCATATTCCATAATTTTATTAATTTAAGACCTTCCAAGCAGGGAGGTCAAACTTAACTCTGCTTCCAGCTTACAAAGCACGTCAACTTATTTTGTATGTATAGCTATAAACTGTTTGCAAGTTTCCTCAGTCAGGTACTCGGGATGAATTATGAATGGAATTAGCCAGCCTGACTTGGAATTTCCTCACTTTTACTGGTCTTTAAACAAGATTTTTATACATTCATATGTAATCGATGGAACCAACACATGAAATGGCCCTTCACATAAAACACTCTCTTTTAAAGTGATTTTGCAGTTAAGGAAACCTAAATATGAACTTCTGATGTGGAAAAGGTAGTTTTTATATGCTATTTAGAAACTGATCTGAAAAACTGATGAGCTGACCACAAGATTTCTGTCAGAAACTGAAATTAGGATTATATTTTAAAATACAATTGTAAATGCTTGCTTTCTTTTATAAAACCAATCTGCTTCTCATATTCCTAGCCTTAGTCACACTGAAAATACATAAATTTGGTATTTGGTTATTGAGTTTTGAAGTTGCAAGGCAGGATAATTTAGATATTCATAAATACAGAGCATAAGAAAATCCTTCCTGAGTGCAAAACTATCTTTAAAATAATCATCCAAAGGAGTGAATGCCACACCTCCTGATTTAATTTTGGCTATTAGCTATTCATTCCTTAATATACATTCTTCCACATAAAACTTGCACTGTCTTAAAACTTGCCTACAAACTGGCATGTCCAAATTGTGTGCATAAAAAATAAGATGAAGATCGATGCCAAGTTTTCAAGAAAGAAATGAATTTGGATTGTTTATTACACCAACAAGACACATGTTCAAATTTATCCCCTGTATATAAAAAGATTAGTATAAAATATTTCTCAATTGTTTATGCAGAAAGTAGTAGGGAACAAATTCCAATAATTTTTATCACATAGCTGATATAGCTAAATATTTGGAACCTTTAAAAGAAAAGTGCTAATTAAAATACATATAAATTTTTCAAAGTTTAAAAAGCAGTTGGAAAAATACTTCTACCACTTAGAACACAATTACCTGCACAGCTTAATAGTCTTATGGATTTCAGTAGTAAAATATGTTTAGAAACATCTTGTCTTTTCCATTCCCTCAAACACACAGTGGGCTGAGAATATAACTCTTCATAATATATTAAAAAGTATCCACCATCTTGAGAAAACTATATATTATGGTAATAATTTTTACATCTGATTATGCCATTTTTAGACTATGGAATATAGTTTCTGAATTCTTTTGGGGGGAGGGAAATGGTGTGGAAAAACTACTTTTAAAACGTGCTTCTATCTTCATTTAAAATGTATAAATTCTCAAGTTTCTTAACAAAAAACTTTGATCCCACTATTTTATATAGACTGCATTTATAGGCTTGGAAATCCTGTTCTCTCTATTAAACTCCTTAGACAGGATTATATTAATCTTACTTAAAAGAAAAAACTACTTACAGCAAACATGGCACTCAAAAGAATTAAAAATAATACTTGCAATATTTTAATATTTATGAAAATCTGTTTTTTGAAAGACAGATGAACTTAGAAATGTGAACACACAAAAAAATACAAGTATAAAGTTTCCTTTCGAAACTTTTCCTTTCAAAGAAATATTTATCCCACATTTCTACATGCAAAACTTTTAGTGTAAACTATTGAGAAAATCCTAAATAGTAAAACATTTGTTTCTGTAAGTCCATAAGCACTTGCTGTACATACTCAGAGGCAGCCCTGGCCCACTGTATCCGCAAATGCATCTGCAGGGGGAATGGTTCCAAGCCAGTCACTGAGTGTCATCTGTCCCTTCTCCAGGGGCAGGGACATTGAGTCACAATGAAATTTTATTATTTATATACATTATTTTAAATTCTGTTTTTCTTAGAGCTCAAAGCTTTGACAGTAAATGTCAAACCACACTGAAGTTGACTTGTTAGCTTTTGTAGCTAGCCTTACTGCTGTCGGCTATTTCAAATTGCAAATGACAATAAACAGGTGGTTTTTTCTTTTAATCACTAAAGAACATCCCTTTTCATATAGCTAATATAACAAAAAAGTCTAAAACATGGGCATATAATTCCCACTGTAAATTAATTATAATTATTTCAGGCTTAAGTATTAATAGTAAGTGAATTCTTTTCAAGAGATCCTTGGCGGTTCCATTTGCCCTTGAACATTAACCCTGCCACCTCAAAACTCAATGCCTTTGCACTTAGTCTAGAAAATTAAAAATACAACTCGTCCTCATCCTAGTAACCTGCGCAAGTCTCTACAAGAGACTGGAGGATCTACGTGGTAACTAACTTTAACTTACCTCTTCTAGGCTTTATTAACGAGTTTATCAAAAAATATTAACTTTCAGGCAAGATGTGGCTAATTCTTAAATGCAGCTTAAAACTTTCGACATCCCCTTGTAAAAATGATGCCACGAAATGTGCCACTGTCCATTTATTTCCCATTTCACTTAACGCATTAATATTGACCCTTCGGACAGCAGCGCTGGCATCATTTTGGAGCTGCAAAGCAAGACGTGGCGCGTTGATGAGCTAAAAAGGACCCGTCTTTCTCTGGGCCCCTTACCAACATCTCTCTCCCTAGAAGACAAATACTTTTCAGATCTCGCACCCCTCTTTACAAACCTGAGCGGGGCTTTCGGGGTAAGGGGAGGCAAGACTTTGGTGGGAGCTGCTCGTCTTCAGCAAAGCGAGGGCCGGCTGCAAAGGCGCAGGCTGGCAGTTCGGGTCATTTCCTGCCGATTCCCCATTCCCCTCGGAGCAGCTTGGAGAGGAAGTCGGACTTCTTTTCCAGGCGGAGCCTCCACGATGGGCGTGGGCGCCTCGTGCGTGGGCCGGGGGCCTCGTGCGTGGGCGGGGATCGGGGCCTGGGAAAAACGGGAACCCGGTACCCGCCCGCGCCCTCGCGCGTCGGCCAGGAACCTCGGCCCCATGCGGGCGGGCCAGCGCGGCCAGGAGGGCCGGGAAGAGGGGTCCCCGGGGCCCCGGATGCGCTGAACTCCGGGGAGGGGATGGGCAGGAGAGAGAGCACACTCCTGGAGCCGCGACGTCCAAACCCGGACGCACTTGAACCCGCAGCGAGGCCCGTGGCTCGCGGCCTTCGGAGAGCACCCGCGCCCCGCGCAGACCGGACGCCGGCCTTGCCCGATCCTCGGCATCCTTCGGCGGGGCGGCCAGTCCCAGGGCGCTCGCTGAGGGCCACACCCTGGCCCCAGAGTTTAGCACCGCCGCGGGCAGGGCGCTCCGCTCCCGGACCCCGAATCTGAAAGCGGAGACCAAGGGCTGCCTGCGGCAAAGCTCGACATACACTTGATTTTCTTCCGATTTGGAGAAAATGTCACGGGCGAGAGCAAAAAAAAAAAAAAAAAAAAAAAAAAAAACCCTAACTGTAAATATTATTTGGAGGTGGGCGAGGGCGCGGCGTGCGCGCGGCGGCGGGTGGCGGGCGGCGCGGGCGCCCTTGCGGGGATTCCCGGTCTCTCAGCGCGCCCTAGTGGACGCCCTGCCTTTCGCTGGCTCCCCGTGCTCGTTACAATCTGCAATATATTATTTCTTCCGAAGTATTGACAATGTGTGAGACTCCAGTAACCCCGGAGCTCTCGTCTGTAATCAGCACATTTATCCACATTTAAGGGGGAAAATCCGAATTAAATCCCCGTGACCCTGATTGGGTTACAGTGTCATTTTCCCTGGATCCTCTTTTAAATCCACTCCACACTGCTTCTCTGTCTATTACATGCTAATTTAATTTTACTGTGGAAGATATTTTCAGGATTTGCTGAGGACAGTAAATTTTGTAGTTTATGTTATTTCACTTTTTATGACTTTTTAACACTTAATAAAATTTTATTAGAGCACTTTTGTGTTTACAAGGCCACAAAACTCTTGGCAGGTTGTCAGAAGTCCTTTTTATTATGATCCTACTGATATACTGCGAGTAATGAAATAATCATGTCCAGAAATGTATCAAAGGCCAGAGGGATTATCCCACTTAATAGCTCCACAGATGCGCCCAGAAGAATGTGGACGCGCGACAGGACGGGCTGAAAGGCTGCAGGAGGAAGCAGGCAGCCCCGGCTCCTGGCTTTACCATTTCGGTTGCTTTCCTAAAAGGCTACATGCAGGGTCATGTGACTTTCCGCGGTCTCAATAAAAAAAAAAAAAAAAAAAAAAAAAAAGAATTTATTCTATTGCAAAATGTGCTTTTCTTTTTATACTCCTTGTGTGGGCATTTAAGACTGTTCTAGTGGCAGTGGGGTTGGCTGTACATATCCATGTCAGTCACCGCGCCCGGCCCCACTTTCTTCTCATTTCTAAGTGTACTTTTGTGGCATTTAAACTGCCGATGGTGACTTTGGTGTTGAGCGGTGTTGTTTCCACAGCCCACACTGAAGGCATTGGGAGGGACCCAGGAGGGCACAAGGTGTTTTAAGGCCCTTTCCCACCTGCCAAACACCTTTTGCTGTTGCTTTTTGGTTTTATTTTGTTTTGCGAAACCGGGGAATAGTGACTTAAGGACTCGGCTTTCTGCCTTGTGCCAGAGAGCCACAGTACACTGCTTTTATTTTTATTTTTTGGTAAGACTTGGCTATAGGAAGGACTGAGAATATAGCTTTCATTTCTTTTAAAAAACATTTCCTTTTCTTTTAAATAGATACGTGATCATTTAACACACGGGTGTTAAGTTCATTCTTGCTGCAAAAGAAGGCCATTGTACCTCCTGACCCTGAAAGCAAGGTGGGTGGCTTTGTTTTATAATTAAATTTTCTGTCTTCAGCTTCATATTTCTCTTTCTCTGTTATTTCCTAAAGAGTGTGTCAAAGTGATAAAAGAGGTGAGGAATGGACTCATAAACAGAGTGATTTTGAAATTACTGTTGGTGTATCCATAGCACGTGTTCTTCTAAACTTTGGCTTTTAAGGATTTCAGCAGGGTTTTTCACAAGCAAGTGTGTGTGTGTGTTTCATGTTCCAACATATCACATTAGGATTTTGTAATCTGTCACTGTTTAAAACAGCCTCTGGGAAGCGCGCCTCTCTCTGGATTGCCTCCATCACACGTGTGTTCTCTCCCATTCAGAAATACATAAGGCTGCTCATGATGCTCTTTGATTTCAACTTCAAGGAAGCAGTTTAGTTTTTTGTATGTCGTTTGCTAACCATGGACAAAATTTAGCACCTGGTCTAATAGTCTTCTGTGTGTCTGTGATGGCCTAGATTCTGAAAAGAGCTTACGAAGGACTGCAGTCCTACCTTAAAAATAATTATGTCCTGAGATCATTTGGGCAGCCATTTATCTCCTTTTCTGGTATTTTCTATTTGCAAATATGAGTCAGTTTTTCTTTCTCTTTTTCAAATTATTTCTCTAACAGTTAAAGAACTAGGAAAGAAAGTGATGTTAGGCCCTGACTAAATATTCTTCCTTCATTCTGCTTACTACTGACGGCTTGTTTTCTTTGCCTTTTACCACATGAGACACAAGATATGAGACGGAGCAGAGAAAAAGGTTCTGATGTTAGCTCTCCAAATTCCAGAGTGTTTTGCATAAGGGAATTTATGCTCAAGTTCAGGAATCAAGAGGAACATATTAATTTTCATTCTGCTATGAAGTGACAGTTCAATTTTATGAGTAATTTGTGTCTGGGACAATTTAAATAATACTTAAAAGCCTGCAGTAGCTTTCAAGTTAAAAATCTATTGTGTTCAATTATGAAGTAAACCTCCCCAAGGCAGATCCATTTAATGCATCAAAGTATGTTTTTAACTCTTATTCAAAACTCCAAGAGATTGGCTTAAATATGGTAACTGATGGCACACAGCTGTGTTAATGGAGGGCTAACTAGTGTCCACACCGACTTCACAGTCCCTTCTCAAGTCTTCAGTGATGAAAGGAAAGAAAAGAGTGAAGCCTCAATCTTTTCATCTAGAGAATCGATCTTCAAAAACAGGAGTAAAGGAGCCACACCAGAAGCATGCAATGGTCTCCTCATAAGAAAACGTGCTGTTACAAAGCAGTAAGGTATTGGTGATACCAGGGCAGACCCTAGAACCACTTTGCTTGTTTCCAATCCAGTTCTGCTGTCTATTACTGTGTGGCCCTGGACAAGTTATATAACCTCTCTGTGATTAGTTTTTTCATCTGTAGAATGAGACTGATGCTAGTCCCCCCCTCCTAGTTTTGTTGAAAAGTTTAAAGAGTTAATTCATATGAAATGCTTAAAACAGACCCTGAGTGCTTCTTAAAACAAACTCCTGGAAGACTGACATATCCATCACCTAGCACAGTGCCTGGCACATAGTAGGTCAATCAATATTTGTTGGATGAATATTGGATGTTATTTCATTGAGTGCCCTAGTTGGTTCAGGTGTGACCCATGAAGCAATGACTGAAGCACTCTCAGCCTCAGGTGTGGACTTGACTACTGAGAGTGGGCAGCACTCCAAGAGAAGTTTTATCCAACTGCAATTTTACTTTTTCTACGGATTTCTATGTTGTCTTCTTGATTAACAATTGGGTTATAAAGCTTTTGAGAAAAGAGCATCCGAAATTTTGAGGGGTCTCTATAGCACTTACCACAGTGCTTTGTACATAAGTAATAGACAATTGGTAAGACAGTATGCCACACATATCAGAGCAGTATGCATTACAGTCTTTTATTCAATAAACGATGGTTACAGGCACTATGCGAAATCTTTTCCATACATTGTTTCATTTTATTCACACTAATTTTCATACAGGTAGTTACAATCCCTATTGTATAGGTAAGGAAAATATGAGGCTCAGAGAAGCCTAGTGACTTTCCCAAGGTCACACAGCTAGTAAATGACAGGTCTGGATGTTTAGTCCAGGTCTATGGAAATGTCAAACATATACAGTTAGCACTACCCTGCACTGCCTCCCAATCTGTTTGGCTTTAAAGAGTCCCTAATCAATCTGGTCATTTACAATTAATGTGTAAACCATAATGAAAATGGAAATGATTAAGGCTGGAACCCAGGCCTATTATTCTTGAATTAGTCTTGTGCGGTGGTTGGAATACTAGGCCCAGTGGGGTGAGACACAGGCCTGCCTCCCAGGGTCTTTCCTGTCCTCCGCTCATTCCACCACTACATGTAGATATTTGAAAAGGCCCAGAGGAAAAGTCAGGGTTACTTTTTTCCCCTCTGTGGAAAAACATGATGAAGCTGAATTTACCTCAACTAGTATTAAAACATCAAGTGAACAGATGTACATATTGATTAAAGATGAAGAAAGGAGAACTCAGACAAGTGGGTGGCAGAGCAGTTTTTCCTTTTAACCAAACGTTCTTTCTTTATGGCCTTTAAAGATATGCATTCTTCCAAGATACTTGATGGGTGTTCTGACCATTTCAGGGAATGAAGAACAGCCTGAGACCATAAGGAAAGCCTTGATTCATGTACGAGTTTCTTTAATGAGTAAGCAAGAGTCATGCAAGAGTGCTCTGCTGTAGCCATGTGATTCATTCTGTACCCCTGAAACAAATATGTACAGAACCCCAAAAGAGGAAGCTAAGGAGCCTGTGAGTTATTCTAAGGAATGTGCAACACCCCCTATTAAAAACTCCATCCTAAAACGGTGAAACCCCGTCTCTACTAAAAAAATACAAAAAATTAGCCGGGCGTAGTGGCGGGCGCCTGTAGTCCCAGCTACTTGGGAGGCTGAGGCAGGAGAATGGCGTGAACCCGGGAGGCGGAGCTTGCAGTGAGCCGAGATCCCGCCACTGCACTCCAGCCTGGGCGACAGAGCGAGATTCCGTCTCAAAAAAAAAAAAAAAAAAAACTCCATCCAAGGATAAATTTCAAAAGTAGATGCTGAAAAGATGGAAGTCACTGGCTCCACCTGGTAAATCCTATACTATCCCTGAGAAGGCAGAAGTCATTCTTAGGTTTAGAGAGAGTCTACTACAGCCAAAACAGTTAGAATTAATCTTGGACTTATGACTTTGTGGCTGTTATTGCTGGGACAGGGGGACGGAAATGGGGGGAGGAATTGAGGGATACCTCCAAAGAACTCACAAGTCTGCAGAGACCGAGCTCACTACATAAATACAGCAGTGGCAGACTCCAAACCTCAACTTGCTGCTCAGGGAACCCCAGGCAGTACCAGGCTTTGGTGGCTTTGCTGGAAAAGAGTTCTGGGGTTTACCAGCCCTCTCATGCATTTAACTCTGGGCACTCAACTCACCTTAAGTCTTTGAGTTTTCTTATTGAAAGAGAAAAGTAATCACACCTTAAATTAAATTTATGGGTTTTTTTGAATAAAGGATATACTTATAGTTTCCAGCTCTTCACTGTGAAGTCTGATTAATTTTTTAACAGATGAGGAATTTGTGTATTGATGAATATTTGATAAAAACAAGAGAAAACATTAAAAAGCAACATGAACTGCAGAGTTCAATCCCACCAAAATAAAAATGTAGCACTGTATATCTTGAAACTGAGGTTAGACTCTCTAGGAAGAACATGGAGGAAATAAATGCTCAATCCATATTGCAGCAGACATAATTTTAAGCCACCACAACTTTCAAGGACCTTTGAACCATTTTCTTCAAATTTGCCTTGCCTTTCTTTCTGCATCTGTGAACTTGCCAAGTTAGAGTTTATTGCTGTAACAGGTTTTGAATGATAGTGTATCTGTTTTGAAAAGGTCAGTACTTTTTGATTATTTGATGGAAAGAATGTGTGCTTTTCCTTTTTTATGTATCTTTCAAACCAACTGTCTTGATATAAATGGAATCTTTAAAAAATATATTTACCCTTTTTAGACTAAGACCAAACATTCCGTTCCATGAAAGTCATGAGTGGTTGCTGAAAGGAGGTTATGAATGAAATAGTGTCTCCGCTTGAACGTCAGCAGCTAGCCTGCATTTATTCCTCAATTTCCAGAATCTAGAATAAAAATAGTGATTAGCAAGGCCAAAATACAAAACCCCAGGACGTAAAGCAGTGAGCACAGGGAGGCTCCCAGGACAGGAAGCCACTGGAAGCTGGTTGCTAGGAGACACTCGTCTTTTGCCGGCAGCAGGAAGATGTCCTTGAGCATGGCTTCCCCTGTGGTTGGCTTTGGACAAGCCGTGAATCAGACTGTCCTCACTAGTGCCGCCCTCCCAGCAGGGCCGACCAGCCTACCATACAGGTGCCACTGAGGGGCAATGGTGGGTCCTGTTCCCTGGGAAAGTTTCTCACATGTGCCCAGCTTTTCTGATATGCTCTTCTGAAATCAACAAGCATTTGATGTCTACTCTGGGTTATAAGAATATGGAAAAAAAAAAAAAACAGTTTCCTGGGTGGTGCTTTTTAGGTGAGAATTTTAAAAAATAAAATCATACCCTAAATTATACGAAACAGCCTACAAGAGCTGTAGGAAAAAAGATAAGATAATGAGTTAATGGTAATTAAAAGAGAAATCATAGAGGAGAGAGCATCAGAGCTGGAGGATTCACCTAGGGAGGAGGATGCTGGCAGGGGAACACCCTGTTTACTGTCAAGAGCTCTCGGAGGGCCCTTGATGGCAGTGAACTTGTCTTTCTTGCTCCCAGAAGCATCCCCAGTACATAGGACAGTGTTTGTCAGAGTGTTCAGGGTTCAATGGCTGAACAAATGCAGGAGAATGAAGATGCTGAAGATGAGCAGAGGGGCTTGGTGGTCATTGTTGGTGTTCCAGGGAAGAACCAGTGGAGAGAATGCTGAATGAAGAAGGCTGGCCTCATTGTTATCAGAGTCTGTAGTGGAAAATGGTGAGAAATGAGGTGGCTGGATAAGGTGCAGACCAGTTATGAAGACTCCTAAAAACCAGACAGAAAATGGCTTAAAGAAATTAGGGAGCTACTGTGGGAATCTGAGCCTGGTAGAGATGAAAGTTTTATGGTTTACAAATGCTTCTTTTCAAATGCATCATCGCTTAACATGTACAGTTTATTATATGTCCGTTACAACTCGATAAAGCTGTTAAAAATACATGATCTCATTAGGTGTTCAATATTTGGTGAAATGGACCTTATCCTTATTTCATTTTTACAGATGAGGAAACTGAGACCCAGAGAGGTTCATGGCTTGCCCGAGTTCAAACGTTTCAGATGACAAGCCAAGACTTCCGGGTTTTCTGCCTCCACGTCCCTCATTTGCTTCTTTCTGAATGCAGCTCTCTGCTGAGGGACTTGGAAGGAGACTGGCCTGTGGTTGGGGAGGCCAGTTGGGAGGCGGCGGCAGATGGCTGTTTGCAGTTTTCTCTCCCTCTCTCTCCCTTGCTTTCTTGTCTATGCTGCCCTCACCTTCTCTTCTTTTCTCCTCCATTGTTTCTTCTTCCCTGACAGTGTCTCAGACCTCTGGGTGGCATCCTGCTAAGCTGCACATGTGGGGGTTGCTCCCTGACTGTCACAGCTGCTAAGGGGCCAGCTTTAGGGCAGTGCTGTGCCATTTGGACATGAAGGGCAGCACCTTTGGGACCTGCAGCATTACATCTGTGGCACCTCTTTGGAGAGGTCTGATGTAAAAGAGAACACAAAGAATGAGATTTGGAGCCCAGGAAATATTACTAAGATTCAGACAATACGTGGGAATGTTGCATTTAAATATGCAGTTAACAGATCATCTTAATCGTCTTCCCCAGACCTAGCTTCAAAAGCATTCACCCAGTTCTCACATGTGTGAGTGAAAATCACTTAGATTTTGACTTGGCTATTAAATGGCCTCAAGCAAAAGCAAGTCAACCAAATTAGAAAGAAGGCAAAGTGCTATGGGCTTTGGAGCGAGATGACTGTGAAGTTCAATCTGGATTCCTCCATTTACTACATGTCACTAGTGCTAGATGCTACTTAGCCTCTTTGGGCCTCAGTTTTCTCATCTGTAAAATGGAAATAATGAGTCCAACTTAACAGGTTTGTTACAGCAATTAAATAACCGATGTATTGTGCACAGTGCCAGGCATGTAGTGAGCCCTCACCATGTGAATGGCAGCACCAGCATCCACATCAGCTCATCATCTTCATCAGTGGCATTACCTGAAACACTCTGTCCTCATCCGTGACATACATTAGAGGAAAACAGCCTTGTTTTCTTTAGGTTTTGTATTCTCCCAAGGCTGAAACTTGTATTTGTAATGCTACAACTTTGATAATTTTTTCCCTTAAGAGTTCCTTCAGCAGCATTTTTTTCCTACCAACTTGCATGTGTAGAGTTATTCAGTAGATGACACCGAAGAGTTTCATAGTGAATGTTTGTTGAGTGAATGTATGAAATGAACAATACCACCACCTCCAAAGCAAGTTTATTTTCTCTTGTTGATTCTAATGAGGATTTTGTTTTTAAATGGGGTAGGTGGTGGTGGTTGGTATGTGGTTTTGATAGCCAGGAGTGATGTGGCACAGGTGGTTGTGTGGGGTTAGGGATGGCTAGCCCATCAACCCAATCATATGGAAATTCCTTTTCATTATACTGCAAAGCAGCCAGCTAGAAATGGAAAATCTAGTTAACTAGTTCTTTTATGGAAAACATCCAAGTTGGTAGAAGTTTTTTTCACTGAATGTCTCCTAACACCTCCCTGATGGCCTGGCTAGATTGACTCATTATTTCCAACCGACCAGCTTGACCTGACAGAGCTTCTGTGACAGAACCCCTGCCCAAAGCTCCTTCTATCCCCAAAGCGCTCTGCTGGCTGCTCTGGAGAGCGCAGGTTTGACAATCTCCAGTCTCCCCTCCATTGAGTCTTAACTGTTTCTAACAATCATTTCACGGCTGAACCCCAATTTGCATCATGGGTATAGACAAGGGGTAGAATACTAGTATTAAACAGTTGAATACGTGGCAAATGGGAGTAGAATTAAGACAAACAAACAACAGTAAAGAGATCAAGAAGCCTGCTAGTGTGAAAGGCAGTTTGGGCTGCTAAGTCATATCTTCCCAAGGGGTAATATACAAGCAACTGGAAACAAGAGGTGTCTTCTTAACAATAGAGTCAGACATACATACACCCTTCAATCTTTTAGTAATACTTTGGGTTAAAAAATGTTTAAATATTAGGCCTATATTTTCCTTTATTACCAGAGCCTCTTCTTCCAGATTCTATCAGAAAGCTAATACTAACAATAATGTCGTATAGGTTCTAAGATTGTGGGAAACCTCACTTCAAAGCCCCTTCATTAGAAGCTCAGACTTCCATACTAGCACCTAGTTTCAGGCCCATGTTGGGACTAATTACTGCCACTGGGTTTGTCGTGAGCCATCGCACCTGGCGAACCTACCTATATCTTTCTTTGAATGTGCTCAGACCAAGGGTCTTATCTTAAAGGAATATCAGACCAGAGCACCAGACCTATGGCTGAGAAACACCTTTTTTACCCCAGCACACATTTTCCCATCCATCCATTCATCCATCTCCAACAAATAACCTTACACAGCTTCCCCACTCTGAAAGGTAGATACCATATCTGTCTACTTTATCTCCAAATCATAGTCCATAGCCAGCAGAGCGTAACCACCAAAGGAATATTTGTTCAATAAATAAGTGAACAGTTATAAAATGCCCACTATATTGGCATAGTCATACATATATGATGAAGCACAGTCCCTGCCTTCTTGATACTCACAGTTGTTTTTCAGGATAGCTTTGTACCCCATCAGAAAAAAATAGATTTCAAGGCCGCTAATGTTCCTTTTATATTCCATTGGCTGGCCGTGTCAATATTGACTGTGTAATGCACTGACAGATGCGCAGTTCCCTTCAGAGAGAAATGAGAAAAAAAAAAAAAACAGCTTCACATCAGGCAAATTTTGATTATTTCTTTCTAAAGTGCACAGCACCTCCAGTCACTAATGGTTGTAAGAGACTTCGGGGACACTAATCTTAATGCGCCATTTCCTATAGGTCTTGTTAGTTCCTAAAACCATCTGTAAGAAGTTATTGTATTTGGCTTTCTTCAGCCATATTTTTTAAGCACGACATTTAATTAGTGCTTGTTAAGATGTTTCAAGTGCTTTGGCCACTTCTCTCACCCCTGCTGTTTCTTCATGGTCAGCATATTTTCTGGAAATGTTGTTTTCGGGAAAGGGCATCAGATGCGTCTGTGTCTGGAGAATTGCTCTGTGTATCCATGTGAAGCAAGTCTCTGAGAGCAACTGGAGGGACTGTCAGGCTGGCTGTGGGGCCTCCGTGTTCACAGCAGCTACTTTGAAAGGCCTCCAGTTTTGACGTTCTCATGGAAAAAGCAGAGACCTCAAAATGGGTTTGGAACCGACAACAATAGGAGGGTACACTGGAGCCCTGGAGAAGAATGTCACATAAGTGAAATGTATTTGAAATATTTAATCTAGGAACCTTTGGATTAACTTCATTAAAAAGAGTTTGCTTGAAAGGGCATAATTTTTGCTCGAAGAGACCTTATGAAAACTGCAAAATGGTTGATGGTACTGAAATATCCACCCATGCTCACTAAAGGAATAAATAGGTTGAATATAATTCCATTATTTTTGCAACTGTTTAATACCATAAAATTCATTAAAATTTCAAACTGCTTTACAAAATAAGACATTTTTTTCTAAGTTTTTCCCCAAAATTCTTTATCCACATTTGGATTAGAATGGCTTGATATTTGTAGTAGTTTATGAAGCGCAAATTCATGTCAAATCTGATATACAAAAGAAAAGTATTTCAAGATAATACGGAATCTGTGAAAATGAAGAAATATGTGTATTTAGCTAGGTTAAGAAACGCTATCTAATCTACTAGCATAACCTCAAATTTTTTTTGAGACATATTCGAGGAACAAAAAGCTTTATGCCGATCATTGCTTTAATGGTAATTAAGTTTTCTTTCTCTTTGAATTTTACTGTACTCTTCTAAGGTAAAGAGGAAGCACAATACATGTAATATAGAGTTAGTCAAATTATTAATATTCCACATGTAAAGTAATTTCTACTGGAGCCTTTTTTTTGCCTCTGTAATCTAAACATTAAAGTATATTGAAGTCTTTAGTCAAAGACTGGCATTTGGCACTGGGTGTCCAAACATTTCCCGCTGGGCCCTCAACCACTAACAAGCTTTTTGTTTGGATAGAAGAGAAAGGGGAGAGTAAGGAGTTGAGCTGGCTAACTCTTGACATCTGAAATCTTTATCAGTCACAACGACTTTTTTGGTTTGTGTTGATGATTTGTGGTATTGTTGTTTATCTGTATATCATTCACTTGGACTCGCTGTTTAGATGCAAAGATCTCAAGACCATCTGCAGTCTTGATGGGTAGTTGTAGCAGCCCGACCAGACATCTGGCTGTCAGTTATAATTGCATTCCTGCTCCTAAAGTTGTTGTTAGATACTCCTGATTCCCTTTGAATGTATTACCGTGATGCACCACCGTTTCAGGCCATTGATGTGAGAGACCGAGTTAATTCCTGGCTTTCGTCTGGCTAGAACCAAGATTTATAAAATGAACAGAACTATCCATTTTGCTGGAAGTGTGGCTGTTTTTGTCTGCATTAGGTTTAATGATGCATCAGTTTCTTCTGCAGCCTATACAACTGATTCTTTGAACATGGAGAGAAATAGTGCATCCGAAAACTATTTTCATGGTGTTGCCATGTTTACTATTTCCTGTTGTCTTTGCCTGAAAGTGTTTTAACAAAAATTAGGGTAGAGCATACAAACATTTGAGGCAGGGGATGAAAGGAGTTGTTATTATGTTTCCTTTCCAGGTTAATGTGGTTGCCTTTGATTTAAGCACTACATACTTAGGACAGGATATGACACCAATTAAAGACATGAAACTTAATTTTTGGACTAAACAATCACATAATCCTTCTTCTGGTATCTGGTTGAGGTTTACTGACATGGCATTTATTTCTCAGTCACAATCCTAAATTTATTGGGTTGGCTTTACTTAAGGTACATGGGGCAACTAATATTAGTGCATGTAAAAACCTAGCAATGTCCTAAATTGTAAAGGAGCTATTATAAAGAGAACATATTTTTTCCCGATGACTGTCAACATGAGATCAAGAATGCATGCAAACTCACTCCATGAGCCCTGGGCTCACTCATCTTGGTTGGAGGCAGATTTTGATTTAAGATCTAAATTTCAAAAAATGAAAATCAATTTTATCTCATAAAGTACAACAGGGAAAATTTTTACTAATAACCTCTCCTTAGCCTTAAATTTAAATTACATTTTTGTCAAGAGAATTTTAGTATTTATTGAAAATCAAGTTTAGATAATAATCACAAAATAATGCATTAATCGTTTAAAAAGATAAAAAGTAATGTACTGTTTGTGGGTAACACATTTAAATAATAAAATTGAATATTAGTGTTTAATTTTAGTACAAAAAATAATTAAAATGAAGGCATGCAAATATAATGAGCCAGGTTAACCTCCCCATCTTTCCACTTTGACACCTTGTTTAACTCTAGCTAATGATGCTATGAAAAAAAGTATTAGTGGTTTCAGTTCAGCCCCTGGTGGTCTATATCACATATTGCATAACCTGCTGGTGGGTCTTACGGGCTATTTCTCATTTACAGACAGTAGCCTTTTATAATTCTGTCTGGAAGTGGGGGATTGCAGAGGGAGGGTGCCCTGTTTTAACCTATTTATTATGCACTTGAAAATACTGAAAATGTTTATAGAAGTCAAATTAAATTTTGTAAAACACATTAGTGCATTCATATGTTCAAACCTGAGCCTACAATTCTATACCAACTACTCACGTAAAGTCATTATGTGGAAAAGAAAAAAGTCACTTATGGCTTCTACTCCATGTGGAAAATTACCAAAGACTGCAGTTTTTCTAACCACGAATGGTCTCATTTCCCATGTGCAGTTGGTTAGCTCCTCACTGTATCCCCAAGGAGTGCGTGAGTCTGAAGCACTGCAGAAAAATGAGAATTTTCACACTTTAAAAGAGCCAAGGCAGCATTTGTAATGACTAAAAATAAGAGCAGAAGAAGTAAAAGAGGAAAGAAAGATTGGTCCCTGGTTTTCCTTCCCCTCTGTTAAGCGAGACCATGGAGTTTCCAGGTGAAAGTCAATTGTGGGCTTGCTTTTAATTTATACAGGACGTTAGGAAAGAAAAAGAAAGAAAAAGAATACCAACTCCCTTAAATTTCCTAGCTCAAAGTTGCTTGCAGTGAATGCTAAAATGAAAGGAGTTATCAAGGCCAAATTCACTATACAGCTTTTGCGAACTGTTAGAAGCAATTTCCAGGACCTGTGCTTTTACATAGGTTTGCTTTCACTCTCAGCTTGAGTGTTAATTTTTGACTAGTTCTTTCTATCCTTTCGTCAAATGTACACATCCATTTCTTCCGGCATCTCATACACACACTGCACACCACACACACACACGTGCATTATATACATAAGCAAATACCTCTAGCCACTTGGTAACAGTATTTTAGAAAGCAGCTTGATATCTGGATTAGAGAGTTGAATACTTTCAGACAACTCTCGTGGGCACAATGTGTTAACTGTTTTCTGTGCCACCATTTTATTGTATGCGAGCGGATGGCAAAATGGTGGTTCCAGCTTTTTGTTGTATAAGGACTCCTTCGCATTCAGCCTCTGATTGAAGAACCAGTTTGTATACCGATAGAAAAGCCAGGCTTCTCAGTCTGGGAGACTGACTAAATAAACCATATACGCAAATCTTCTTCTACTCACTGCTTTGCAGACGCTTAACCAAAATTTTGCATATATAAGTACAAAGGGAGCAAATCCTGATTAAAATAAAAAATGGACAGAAATGATATTCCATTTAAATATATAATTCAATGGTGTTGGTAAATACATATGTTATTAAAAGACCTTCCAACGTTGCCATAAGTAAACTACCTTGAGAAAAGGTCCAACACAGAGTTAGCGTAGAGAATGTGAATGTTTTACTTGTGCATAAACGATCTTTCCAGATCAAGGTCGAGGTCATTGGCAAGATAGTTTAGTGAGCTCATTCTACAGTTATTTGCACATGCAAATTGGGGTTCCAATTTTAAAAATATTATTGCTTTTTGTTCATGAGAAGAGCTTTGATTAAATTCTTAAAATAAGAATATTAAAATAATTGAACAATATACCTGTGCTAATAATATTCAGTTTTAATTAGCTCCTAAATAGAATCAAAGCTAAAATGGATTTTGACGTACCCTTAACTGGATCTCAAATTAAGGAGAGATGAATTTGACTAAGAGAAGATTTTTACATTGTTGTCTATTACAGCTGAATTACCACTCTCTTTTGTCTGAAGAAAAATATTTTCTTCTCAACGAGGTATATATTTTTAAGACTGAAGACAACTGAAGCTTACAGCATATAGTATTTGGTTAGATTTTTTTTTTTTTTGCTTTTTGACTGCAGTTGCCAAACATTTGAGATTATAAAAACGATAGTACTACATAAAATAGACCTGCAGCAACACTGTTTATGGCACACGCAACAATATTATTTTCTGCTGTTTGGTGTGCAGGAGTTGTAAATAGCAAAATGTGTAAGCCATTAAATCTAGTAGCAATAGGACTCAAAGCAAGGTTTATTATACCAGTGCCTGAAAAGCTTTACTTTTTATCTCTGTGTGTTAAATTTTCGTGTTTGCAACAGTATTTTAGCTCTGGAGCTATTTATCTGGTAGCATCTTTGAGAAAAAGGAAATGGACAGATGTCCATAAACAAAGGGCTCCACCTGGTGGTAAAGAGGAGGTATGAAATGTTGATGAAGAGAACTAATGCTGCAAAGGCAAACAGATGGAAGAGCAACGCGTGTGCGTGTGTGTATGTCTCCTAAAATGAATATGTTTGAAGGAAAGAGAATGACAAAATCCTCCAAATTTGGATTCCAGTGTGGATATAGGCTTACAGCTAACATTATTTGATTATTTCTTTCACATTCAGTCATTCCAATATGTTTACAAATTATTTTATTCAAAATACATACATCTGAACAGATATTAACAGATGACCCTAACAGATACTAGGTACAATTGATGACAAACTATCCATATCATCTGATCATCTTAGGTTTTAGTAGAATGCCATCTAGTAGACAGATTTAAACAAAGAAAGCATTTGTTCCGACTCGAGGGCATCCTTTAGGTGGCTTTGTGGCTCACCTAGTTAGGAAGACCTGAAAAGGATGTGGTGCAGAGCTCCGGGGAGGGAAGCAAGGGTTTCAAATCCATGACTAAGAAACAGAAAATTGTTCATTTTAAAATGTCATCTGTGGCTGAAGTGTTGAAGAATTTGAATCTGCGTATTGTGATTCTTCCACCTTTTCAAACTCTAAAATTAGGCCAGGAATTACATATATCAAATACTATGCAAAATGTAAAACAGGCATGCCGTTTATGGCTCTCTACGTAAGGTGGAAATTAAATCTTCAGCCTCCAATAAAATTGTATTTCTGTAATAAAACTGCTGCACCTTGACTCTAGACTACATTGAATCCCAAATTAAACACTCCATTTGCTGTACTGTAACAAGCAAAAGGGTTTGCTACACTGAACAATATTACAGATAGGAAAAACGTATTCTTTTTTGCTTTATCACCTATGTAGAGACCACGAAAACAGGCTAATTCCTCATCTCTTCTTTCTCAGAACACAACATGTTTTGATATGGGAAATTTTAAAATTCTATCTTTCATTGCTAAAATTTATATTTCTTCCTAATTCTATAAATCAGCATAGATGACTAGGCCTAAAAAAAGTCAACCAAGTAGGATATTTACTACAAAATGTCTACTGCATTTCATGGATAACTCAGGCTTATAAGCAGAAACAGCTGGTGTGCTAAAGGCTAGGTACATTTCTTTATGCATTATGTATAATTCCCCATAATGTACATGCAACATTCACTCCACATCCATATCTGAAGTGCACACATACTGCTACATGATCTATGAAAGTTTTAAACTTAGGATCTGTTAATACATATGTATTTATCTCACCCAGTGTTGATTTAGAAGAAATTAGACTGGATGTTCTTTTAAGCAGTCTAATTCTATAGTTTTTTTTTCCCTCACCACGCCATGGCCCAGCCAGCGCTGACTTCTGGCATTTGTAAAGTGTCTGTAATAGAAATGAAAGCCTACCCAGGGTGAGGAATAGAAAGCAATGAATACTAATGTTGCTTCTTCTTACCAACTAAAGTGCAGGCGAACAAGACAGGAAGCTGTCTGTGCCTCTCTGTCTCGGCCGTCCTCCCTTGGCTCTGCCAAGCCACCCTCTAGTGGACTGAGGGGGGAATTTCCTTTCCTGGCTGCCTCACTCGGCTATTCATTTGATAAATGAGCTCCCCTCCCCCTCTCTCAGGAGATGGTAGATATTATTAACCTTCAAGCACGATACAGCGAGATGAATGTTAATCATGAAGGGATTTCTCATCAAGTTTAATGGTGTAAGACATAGAGAAGTTGTGTTAGCAGTTTCAATCCTGCTAAAAATGCTAATTGTTATGTTTCATATGATAGGTGAGGATAATAGGAAAATGGCAACAGCTTCAGCGTTTCCATTTGGAAGTTGTTGCCCATAATTTTGAGGCAAATATAGAGGAAAAGATTACGGTCCTTAGTATGAATGACTTGTGAAGAGGCTAATTTAGGGCTGCTTCTTTGGAGACATTGGAGATTTGAGGCTTGACATCTACTGAGCTCAAGAAAAGAGAATTTTCTGCTGGGAAGAACTAAAGCCAAAAGAAGAAATTTTGGACCTAGAAAGAACATGAGTCTATGGTAAGGGATACAAGGTTATAGTGTTGAGTACTGATCTTTTGAGCACTTTCTGTCTTCTACATTTTTCTCTGTGTTTCACTGGCACTTTTGCCAACATGTAGAGGTAATCTTTTTTTTAAAGCAGTTATTTCATCCTGACCTAGGAATCATAGTAAGTGCACTTAGGAGTCCTAGATGAACCCCAAGAGAAATGCCATTTTTGTTTTTCTCAACATGTCCCTTTCCTTGCCCCATGAGTTGTTACCCATGCTCTGGCATAAGGACACCCTACTGTCCCCAGCTTCAATGACCCCAGTCTTGCAGAGTTGGCTTCTCATGTAGCTCTGTTGTTTGTCCTGGTCCCTAACTGTTTGAGCTGGGGTTCTTTCGGGGCACATACACACACAAGTGGGGATCCTGGAATGTTATATGAGCAATGTCTTCAGTGTATACTTTTACTTGACTTTGATTACCCTAAATTCTATTGCTCAACCCTAAACTTCTATAGTAGCTCATGGTGTTACCTGTGAATGAACTGGAAAGCATTTTGCTGCAAGGAAGCTTATCAGTTGAATGTGGGCCTTGAAAAATTTCCTTGTAATTTCATAGTTTATGTGTTCAGTTTGACTTTAGAAAGCATCTAAATGATAAATGCAAATTCAAAAATAATCCATTAAGGATATGAGCCTATGTGGATATGGACCTTTTTAACTGTATTGTCCCAGTTTTCATATGTAGCTTTTGTCATCATTTTTTTACAGACTCCTATAAAATGGAGTCAACATAGAGAAAATATGTGATTCTCCAGGTGCTAACATGAGATGGGATATCAATGACTAACATTATTTTCCCATCAATAATGATAATTATACTAATTAGTCCAGGCATCACACCTGTGTAAAATCCCTATCCCTATTTTACAGATGAAGTCACTGAGACACCAAAGGTTAATTGCTTGCCCAAAGCCATGTAGCAACTTGGTGAGTACCAGTATTTAAAATCTTACACTCTTGCTTCCTTAACAATGGAACAAAGTTATTGCTTGTATCACAGGAGATTGGTGTCAATGAACAATGGAGCAAAGGGGTCACATATTGCTTGTTTTAAAATTGTAGACTCTTTCTCATATTAATGGAGTCCTTTACTGTGTTTTCCAGGTTGAAGTTACTTTAGTGTCGAAAGCTCCACATATGTGCTTTTCGCAAAATCAATAGTCACCCCATGCAAACGAAGAGATGGTAATTAGAGATGGGACAGACCCCAACATATCCTTCATTTGAAGATAGAATAAATTCAGCAAGATACCTAATTATTATCATCATCTTTCACAAAAACATATGTGATTTTTCCCCCCTACCCAAATGTTTTAGTGAAAACTGCAACTGTGCATTAAAAGGCAGTTTTGCATGCATATATTCAGAGAACAATATGGAGAATCTATCCCTTGGGATAAAAAAAAAAACACCCAGCAACAACAAACTTGAAAACAGATGGTTCTGATACAGTCTGATAAGAATGTAAACAAGAAAATCTTTGTTGACTTATTTCATAGTAATCAGTAATAATTAGTTATTGTCTAGAGGTGAGTTACAAATTTCACAAGCATGGCCACGAACAGCCTCTGAAAAGTGAAGCTAAATTTGTGACATCAGTGAGGAATTACTGACCCCTGCTGAACCCTCCTTATTAACATTTTTCTTGATTGACATAAAGGAATGAAACCCTGGAAGAGGATAATTTCTGCATTCTTTGTTTTTTCTTTTGTCATCATTTGATTTAGAGATATTAGACCCCTCTGACTAATCCATGAATTTTAAGTTCTTTGAAAAAGAACTTAAATTTTCTCTACAGCTTAGAGAACTAAAGCTCTCTTTCCTTCCGTTTTTCCTTCCTTCCTTCCTTCCTTCCTTCCTTCCTTCCTTCCTTTCTTCCTTTTTTCTTCCCTCCCTCCCTTCTTTCCTTCCTTCCTTCCTTCCTTCCTTCCTTCCTTCCTTCCTTCCTTCCTTCCTTCCTTCCTTCCTTCATGGGGTCCACAGTTTAGTTGGAGAGGCAAGTTTGTAAAAAAATAACTATCACCCAGTTTGTTAAGAAGTGGGCAAGGGCTGGATGCCATGGTTCATGTCTGTAATCCCAGCACTTTTCAGAGGCCAAGGATGAGGAGGATCACTTGAGCCCAGAAGTTTGAGACCAGCCTGGGCAACAAAATGAGACTCCATCTCTACAAAAAAATTAAAAAAAGATTAGCTAGGTTTGATGGTGTATGTCTGTGGTCCCAAATACGTGGAAGGCTGAAGCAGGAGGATCGCTTGAGCCCAGGAGATCAAGGCTGAAGTGAGTTATGATTGCACCACTGCACTCCAGCCTGAACAACAGAGCAAAACTCTGTCTCAGGAGGAGGAGGAGGAGGAGGAGGGGAAAGGGTGGGAGAGGGGGAGGGAGGATGAGGGGGAGTGAAACACAGAGGGAGGAGGAGTGCCAGTGAAACACAGAGAAAAATGTAGAAGCTAGAAAAATGTAGAAGATAGAAAGGGAGGAGGAGGAGGGAGGAAGGGAGGAAGGGAGAAGGAAGAGAGAAGGAGAAGGAAGGAAGAAGAAGAAAGAAGTGGGAAAGATGGCATGGAGAGGAGTCAGGAGAAGGACTGAGTCCTTGCAGAGGAGATATTAGACCAGGTATTATGTAGTGCTATTACCAAGTCCTGACTGCAGAGATCACCAGGCTGTTGACTATGACATCCTGAGTGAATAATGAAAATTTAAACTGCTGGCTAATTCTTTGGATCAGGTGATTGTACACCATCAGTTGTGTGGGTAGCATGCAGACAAGATCATGGTATCCTGCCATGATCCAAAAGTTTGGAGAGGTGCCCTTCTTTTACAATACTTGTAATAGAAAACTTAGGCTGTATTCCTCCATGATAACGTGCCTTTGGAAAGAGTAGTCCCTTCTTTAATATGTAATTCAGCCATCTGAAAATACTTGTTATTAAAATAAAATAATACAAATAGTCTATGACAAATAGTCTAGGCAGTGCATCCTGGAAACCCTTGGCTTTTATTCAACAATATTCAAGAGCTGTTTAGTCAGTGCTTGTAACTTGTCAGACACTACTAGGCACGTGAATTAAGAGAATGAATGCTCTATGTAACTTCTCCTTTATAGAACACAAAATCTGGTTGGGAAGGACAATATCAAACAGAAAATTACCCAAATTGTTTATTAATGAAAATGTGATAAGTGCTATTGGAAGCAATAGATGCTGTTGTTTTGTCTACCCTGATTCTATTCTTCCGGTGACAGCATCTTGATTTTGTTTTGAGAACTATCCTTCACCATTGCATGCAACCTTGATGAGACTCTTAGTCGAGGGGCACTGCCCCTACCTAGTTTGTGATTCAAGCTGGGCCAGTAAGATGCCCTTTTCCAGTAATGAGTGCACTCTCTCGCTCACTCGCTCTCTCTCTCTCTCTAGTTTAATAGTATAAAGATCTTCAAAGTTTGTATTTACGTTGGTCAAAAGTAATTGCGTTTTTTACCATTGCTTTTAATGTTTAATCCTTAGCTTTTCCTTTGAGTTGAGAGTGACCCTTATATCCTTCCAACAAATTTCTTAAGTTAATCTGTTAAATTAACTGCTTGTAACCAGTTGTAGTATTTATAGCACTGCCTAAAAATCCAGGACTCAAATAACAGGTAAACTAAATTGTGGCATGATTTTGAGAGTTTGTTAGAGTTTAAGAGAATGTATTTTACTGACTGTGATGCTTAGAACATTCTATTTTGAATAGCATGAGTTGGTGACAGAGGATTAATTTTCTTCCTGTATCTGTAATAAATAACATTTCCATAATATCAGTAGTCATAATATCTATAAAACAAAATATAAATATTATAAACTTTGACAGTATAGAGCTATACCCTGACAGAAGTCCAGAGATGATGAGGTATGTTAACTTTCTTATCTGAGAGTATTAAGGTCAATAACTCTTTTCTAAAGCTGCTAGATCCAGAAATGAATACATCTATCCAACTGAAGAACTAAAAAATCATGAGTTAGCCCAAATTGGGGAGCAGGTGGGGAGGGAAGGAAGGCATATAAATGAATGAAATTCTTCATCTTTCATGCAGAGAAGTCAGCAGGTACTGGCTACCTAAGACTGAAAAATCAAGAAAGAGAGATGCAGGCATATTATTTATTTGGAGTTAAAAGTAGAAACCACTGGAAGAAATAAAATGTAAGTTTATTAATAATGACTTCCTTTGGAGAATAGATGGTAGGAGAAGGGTCTAGATAGAGGGTATAATTTGACACAAACTTGGCTGCAGAAGATCTGGCATTCCAGAAATATATGCGTCATTAACCTAGTGATGGCATTAAGAAAGCGATATTATCCCGGGCTGTGTTAAGACAAGTATTATTTGCAGCTAGGAAATAACCCTTGTGTCAAATTTATTGTAGGTTGGGCTTTTATTTGAATATTACACTTTGGGTCTGTAACTTAAAACATATGCAGGAAAATTGCATAGAATCCACGTATAGAAGAGGAAAATGATGACAGGGATTGGAGACTATGTACACAAGGAAAGGAGGTGGGTTGTTTATTCTGGAGAAGAGAAGGCTGAAGGGAGACAAAATTAACAACCTATGGGCAGTGAGGTGGAACTCTGCAGAACACCAGTCAACCTTCTCCATCTCACTGGACTGAACAGAAGAAAATGGGTTTAGACTGCATCAGGAGAAAATGTGTTTTTAAGACACAGGAAGACTTGATGACCTGTGGTTGTGACTGAACGTGGGAACAGGATGCCCTAAGAACTTTTGGAGTACTTTAGAAATAAGATAGAAATATTCATTTTCAAAATAAGGGTTTGTATTAGACTTGAGGTCCCTTTAGATACAGTAACCACATTCTATAGTTGGATGTCTGTGAACTTACATATGGAGAAAGGTTAATGATCAAGTGGTCTAAATAGTCTCACCTTGGCTGTGATTCCCAGGTAATATCTCATTAGGGAAAAAAAATCAATATTCACATTTTTTTTCTTTAAAGTACTGTGCTATCTACTGGTTCTTTTAAAATATATATGCATGCACATATATATATATAACTGTGTATCATATTTTAAGGGAAATTCATATAGTCTTAGGAGCAATAGTTATCATATTCAAAGTTTGTACCATTAAAATATTTATGGTTTATTTTTCTAACAAAAGCAATAAGATTTTGATGCTGAAAATCTTCAAAAACACAAAAAGCACAGGAAATACCTTTTTTTTCATTAAAATGTGAGCAAGCAAAAAAAAAACATACAAACAAATTTGGTCCTGTCTTATCATGACTGCTGCTAAGGCGGTCCAGCTGGGTTTCCCTGTAGCCAGAATCTGGTCCCCTATGCTCATCCTTTCAAGAAGGAAGTGTGAGTGCCTGATTAGCTGTGTCTTTATCTTTCCTCCTCACTGCAATTGGATCGCACTTACCCAGTCTCTCACACTTATGTATTGAAACAATTATTAGAAATGTGGTGATGGAGTATTGACTTACCTGGCACCTAAGTCGAGGTTAATCCCTTTTGAAAGCTGGTTGTATAATCTGTGCCTGGGCAGCTGTAGCCCTGGCAAGTTTAGTTAAGACACTAAAATGAACATCTGGATGTTGGTTCAGGCATTTGTATTCAACACCTGGATAGGATTCTTCAACTTTGGTCTTTGGGTCTGAAGAAAACCCCTATCTACGTAAAGCTCGTGGTTGCTTGAGATTTGGTGTGGGAGGGCAGAAAGGGAGGAGTGAAGGGAATGACTATTGGTTCCTTAACCAATAGAGGCTGCCACAACAGGATTCCTGAGCTAAAGGAAGTTTGAAAATTTCAGACCATGCTGATCGCAGGTGATAGACACCTTGCGGGCCAACTCTTCCTATCCATGCATACACTTGAGTGATGGACAGACATACCTCATTTTATTGCACTTTGCTTTGTTGTGCTTCACAGATTTTTTTTATGGTATCTGTTATGGTGATCTTGTGATCAGTGGGTCTTTGATGTTTCTATTGTAGTTATTTTGGGGCACCACTAACTGTGCCCATATGAAATGGCAAGCTTAACTCTTAAGTGTTGGGTGTGTTGTAACAATATATTGTATGTTTTGAAGTAGCTAGAAGAGAGGACTCGAGATGTTGCCAACACATAGAAAGGATAAATACTTGAGGTGATGTGATGGAGACCCTAAATACCTGACTTGATCATTCATTATATTATACATACTATGCACATAACGAAATATGAAATACCACACATACCCCATAAATATGTACAAATACTATGTATCAATAAAAAAAAAAATGTGATTATTCAAAAGTAGGTCCAGCCTCAGGCATGGTTAATCGGGCTCCAGCTCCTTTGCTCTGAGGTTCTCTTTATTCTCTTTATTCTTCGCTCTTCCACATATCAGCCTCATTTTCAGGCTGACTCTTCTCATGGTCACAAGAAAGCTGCTGTAAACTCTGGGGCTGCAGCTTCCCCATTCACCTACAGGATAGAAACTGCTGGTTCCCACAATCAGAGAACAAGTTCCTGAGGTTTGCTCTGACCGGACTGATGCAAACTGCAAACCAAGCACAGCGGCAGGTGGGATAAGACGATGAAGATTGCCTTAGACTAGCAGGGCCCTCCTCTGAAACTGATGACGGGGTCAGTCTCACCTAAACCCCATGACTGCTGTACAACAAAGGAAAATCTGGAATTAATAATAGGGTGGAGGGAGAATGGATCCTGGGAGAACAACCAAGAAATGTCCACAGTCTTTTGGGCTCTGGGTAAGGCTTCCTGACTGGGAAGTCCCTGGGAAGGTAGAATGCTTCTTAACGATGGAGACAGAAGATTCCCATCAGACCGGTCAGGTGTCAGGGGCTGGGTGTCAGACAATTTGATTAAAGAAAATAAATAAATGGGTAGTTCTTGTGAAAAAAATGTTGTGTGTATTCTGACTGCTCCACTGATTGGCCCGTTCTCCAGTCCCTCTCCCTCTACTGGAGCCTCCCTATTCCCTGAGATACAACAATATTCAAATTAGGCTAATTAATGACCTACAGTGGCCTCTAAGTGTTAAAGTGAAAGGAAGAGTCACATGTTCCTCCCTTTAAATCAAAAGCTAGAAATGATTAGTGAGGAAGCCATGTTGAAAGTTGAGACAGGCCAAAAGCTAGGCCTCTTGTGCCAAACAGTTAGCCAAGTTGTGGATGCAAAGGAAAAGTTCTTGAAGGACGTGAAAAGTGCTACTCTAGTGAACACATGAATGATAAGAAAATGAAACAGCCTTATTGCTGATAGGGGAAAGTTTGAGTGGTCTGGGTAGAAGATCACTTCAGCCACAACATTCCCTTAAGCCAAAGTCTAATCCAGAACAAGGCCCTAACTGTCTTTAATTCTGTGAAGAGCATGTGTAGTGCATGCTACAGAGAAATCTTTCATGAAAGAGTCAATGGATATGGCAAACTTCATTGCTGTCTTATTTTAAGAAATTGCCACAGCCACCCCAGCCTTCAAAATCCACCACCCTGGTTAGTCAGCAGCCATCAACATCAAGGCAAGACCCTTCAATGGCAAAAAGATTACAACTCACTGAAGGCTCAGATGATTGTTAGCTTTTTTTTTTTTAATTTTAGCAATAAAGTATTTTTAAATTAAGGTGTGTATGTTGTGCTATTAGACATAATGCTATTGCATACTTAGTAGACCACAGAAGAGTATAAATATAACTTTTATGTGTTTGGGAAACCAAAAAATGTGTGTGATTTGTGTTATTGCAGTGGCCTAGTACCCAATCCACAATACCGCCTATGCATGTCTGCATTCCTCTCATCTCCTATCAGTGCACTTCTCACTCTAGCCAGCACCTCTTTCCATTCTTCTTGAACCCTTGCGTCAGAATTATGCTCTGGTTCTCTTAATTTTCCCTGGAAAAGAGACGCTTTCTCTGTAACTCTCCTATGAATCAAATGGCGATAAGGAAGAGGTAGGAGCTGTGGCTTTCATTTATTTCGCTGCTACTCCAACATGCTTAAATTTTTAACCCTTCTGCCCACTCACTATTTGCTGGTTACAGAGGTAGAACGCACATCTGTTCTGCGCAAACACATGAATACACATCATATAGTCACTCCCCAGCTCTGCATACTGAGCTCAAAGAATTTCAGAGCTAGAAGGAAGCAATACAATTTTAAGCTTTTAATTTGTAGTTGAAAAATCAAGACCCAGAAAGACTGGATGTATTGCCCAAGACCATATAGCTACTTACTGCAGATCTAAGACTAGACCCCAGGTCATTTATTTCCTAGGATCCTGGTGCTTCCTCCAGAAAGGATGGTCCGAGACGCCAACAGCAGCTGGATGTTCTCATCAGTCCTCCCTGTTCTGTTCTGCTCTGAAGTTGTCAGAGGCATGGAAGTATTCCCTGATGAGCCACTGGTTCCCACAGTTGATAGTCTAATATTTAAGAAAAGCCACTATTATGAGGTCTTTCCTGTAACTTAGCATGGTTACTAAATAGACCTGTAGCACTAATATTTACATAGTAACCAGTGGCTTACAGAAGAAAGTATATGCAGACAGAAGTTACTTTTTTATGACACCAGTTAATTCTGTCTCTCATTTTAGTTTTTAAAAATCTCAAAAAGCAAATGATTCTTGCTCATTTAGTTTCAGTTTTCTTGTCTATAAAATAAAGCAATATGAGATGGTCTTTAAGATCCTTTCAAAACCCCAAAAACGTGGATATCTACATTTGGATTTTCTGAAGAGCTAAGATTTGGGTACTTTACCTTAATTTTGAATACTTCATAATGAAGCCTTTCTAAAGTATTCTCCTTCACCTGCTGTCATACACAGTGTAGGCAAAACACTGTGAATCTTTTCTTGGTGGGCCAGGATCAGGTGTATGGGAACACCCGTGGGGCTGAATTCTGCACCAGTGGCGATGTCCTCAGGGATTAAAACAACATTCAGACCACTGGCTTTTTGAGTTATTGTATCAGAAGTGATATATTCCGAAAAAGCAGAACAACAACAAGCAGATAAGTAAGATAAGTGAAAAAGGCTCAAAGGCCGCTAATGAGTGGGAAAATTGGCCAGTGGCTAAAAGCCAAGTGCCTTCTTGCAACTAAAATGTCTTCATTATTTTTTCTGCCACTGAAAAAGGTAGAACAGAACATCTATACTTACCTCCTGAGCAGCTTTCTGACTGGAAGGAACATGAAGAGGCAGACACATGTGAGCTTTAGAGGGTAGGGAGCCGTCAGGAGGATGAGGGTTGCTTCCAGGGTGGAGAAGAGGCTCCTAGGGGTGAATGGCTTGTTGTCCAGTTATATTGTCAACCAGGGTTTGTGACAGCCTGGCTCACTCATATAGAATTTTTACACATAATATAATTCACAGGACTTTAAGTTCCCAAATATCCTCTGTCATCAACAGTTGATTCTAATCTTTTGTTCTAGGAGCTGCATGACCTCCTCCCACCACTCCTGATGTTACTTGTGTGAAGAAATGATTTGATATGCTCTCTCCTTAGCAGGGGGTTGGGAGGGGTGGACACTGAGGACCAGGACAGCAAAATATTATCCTCTAGTCGTATCTCAAATCTGTATCTGTCTGTGACACAGCCAATCCACTCGATCTAGTTATTTTCACAATTTTACATTAGCTCCAGTTATAGAAGCTTGAAAACATTAAAGATATTCTTTACACTGTATATAGAAAACAGATATATATATATAATTCATATATTATATGCAATATATGCATATTTAATATGATATATATATCGATCTGTCTGTCTATATATCTCTCTCACAGACAAAGGTAGAAGCAGAGATGTAAATTCAAGAAGCTCAGAGACATTATTCTGTGTCCTTTTTACTACTTTCCACAAGTAATGGTCTATATCTCCATGAGTTTTCCTTGTTTTTGGAGCCTGAATTGTGCTTTTAGAGACCCTCACTCTGAGGAGACTAACTTTAAGTTTTATTTATATTCATTAACAAGAACATAAAAGCACCCTACCGAGGACCTCTGAAAACTAAAGTTGAATGCAGTGCTCCACACCCTGCCCCTGCGTGCTTGGTTGCAGTAGTCACTTGTGGTCTAGTTTACTTAATAGCTAGAGAGGTTAGCACCCCGTTTGACAAGGATGGAAGAGTCCCTCAGGCCTGACAAATAAAATAAAAAAAATAGCTGTAAAACCAGTAAAGATTGTACTAAATGCTGTCTTGTGAAAAAAATAAAAATAAAAAAAGGATATAAAGAAAAGCCGGAGTATTCTAGCCAGCTGTCTAATTCTGGAAAATCATATAACCTCTCTGGGTCTTGTTTTCTGTGTCTATAAAAGGAGCTTGGAATTTTCTGTGATTCTAAGCAGCTGGGCATTAAGCTTATTGACGACCACACCTGTGGCACAAATGTGTTTTGGAATAGTAGTAGGTGCTGAATTTGTCAGAAATTGTTTGAATGAGGAATGGATGGATAGGGCGAGTTCTGCCCTTCAAGCCAGAAAAAGTGTGTTGACTTTTTTCACTTGAAGGCACCTGATTAGTGTATCAGAGACTAAGCCTGCCCTTCTAGCTTTGCCATGGAATCAGTCTCACTCTGGGACATGGTTCAGATCATACCATGGAAATAGTAAGGGAGCAGGACTACATTTTTGCCAAGGGGAACCCAGAGCAGTGTTATGCTTCCTTCACTGGGAGGTGGAAAATTCCATTGCAATGAGCAAGACCATCTCTCAATGCACAGGATCCACTTTGAGTCTATTTCCAGGTACCCGCCTTTGTTTGATCAAATTTGTTAAAGAGCCTCTTCCTTATGATTTGGCTTGCCAGCTAGATCCATCTACAGGGAGAGAAGAAGCTGGAGTATTTTTGTTCCTGTGACAGTTATACCTCACTGTAAATTTTTTAAAAGGAGAGTAGATTGGGCCAGGTGCAGTGGCTCACACCTGTAATCCTAGCACTTTGGGAGGCTGAGGTAGGTGGATCACGAGGTCAGGAGATTGAGACCATCTTGGCTAACATGGTGAAAACTCCGTCTCTACTAAAAATACAAAAAATTAGCCGGGCATGGTGGCAGGCACCTGTAGTCCCAGCTACTTGGGAGGCTGAGGCAGGAGAATGGCATGAACCCGGGAGGCGGAGCTTGCAGTGAGCCGAGATCACGCCACTGCACTCCAGCCTGGGTGACAGAGCGAGACTCCGTCTCAAAAAAAAAAAAAAAAAAAAAAAGAGTAGATTGTATTAGCATGGAGAGGGAATTTAAAGGGATAGAATGTACTAGAGAAACAGTGAAGGGTAGAGGAGGGGCAGAAAATTGGGCCAAAAGGGCATCACTTCGTAACCCTTAGAGAAATTTCATGGGGCATGGGAATACAAGTTGGAGGTTATTAATATGTCTGTGTTGCTGGTTTGTCCATACACACTTGGTGCAAATATCAACAGTGGATTTGCTTTATAATTAAGGTGGCATTTTGCAATTCACCTGTAATAAAGAATGTGAGTAGTTTATTAAAGATTGGTTTGTATAGTGAATAGTATTTATTGCAAATAAATAAGAAGCACAGTGGCCTCACGCAGAATGAGTAATAATCTGTTTAAAAATGGAGCTAGCATGAAATTGCTGAAGACATACCTTGATCGAGCATTATAAAATCTCTTCTTTATGGAAATATCTCTGTATTTATAGATTGACCTACTTCTGTATACTTCTAGTTGGACTTGTACTAATGATGGAAGAACTTGAACGTTTCAAAAGTTGAACAGTTTTACAGCGACTTCTGACAAGATACAAAGCATTTGGTAGTTAAGGGGGATATATACTTCTTAAAGGTCATTTTTAAACGTATTGAAACTATTAAATAAGTGTGTAGATTATATCCGTCTCTTAAACCCCAAACTAAAAATCTTCAGGAAGCATAAACACAAATTCCCTCAATCGAAAAAAGGCTGCTTAGCAGACTAAGAAGAATATAATTAAAGAAGCCCATTTTAGGCATATATGCAATTATTTTAAGATATGTTTATAATTTGCATTTAGTAGCAAGATCGGGTTATTAAGCGTACAACATACCAACCTTAGTAATCACGTTAACGAAATAAAATGTCTAGAAACTTTAGAAAGTTGATTAGTAATCTACATTTTGTACTAATTATGGAGGGGCACATTATAGCTTATAAATACACAAGATAAAAATCCCAAGTTTCTGAGTGCAAAAAAATAAACTTTCATATATTTTGACAAGCATTGCCTGGTCTGAACTATTTATAATACTTTAGAGTGTACTAGCACTTTTTTGGTAATATAAAAAGTAATAGAATCTTAGTAATATGAAGTCCCACTAGAGATATTTGCTATTAAATTGTTGCTGAGTGTGCTGAGGTTTGGGGGAGAATTATCGAGTTTGCAGATTAGCAAAGCAAGTTCTGGCAATGTTTTAAAATTGAATCAGTGATGCTTTAAAATGGGATATATTTTAAGGATTCACAATAAGAATTTAAAAATAGATGAAAAGATGGGTTTGTTATCGTCAAGCAGTGTATGTTAATTAGTGTCTATATGCAAACTAATTTTATGTTTGTCTCCAGGTTTAAGTGTATACAACAAGCAAAGGGTTAAGGGTGAGGCAGAGTTCAGGAAAGAATAATTAAAAATGAGAAGTGACATTAATTTTAAATAAGTGCTTTCCCATTTTCTGCTTTCTTTTTAATTTTTAAAAAATCTTTCCCTTTCAAGCATTAGCAGAGCTGCAAGCACAGGATGGCCCAATTTTGTGAAATTAGGCCTTTGCCCATGTTTCTAATTCAGAATTGGATGTACTTTAAATGTCCCCCTGAGTGTAGCAGCTGAGAGTCCTCTTCTCTCCTGGGTACTGTAATCTTTGGTGGGGTCACTAAAAGGAGGGATATGTCACAGGTAACCTTCTACCACTTGCTATGGGGAAGCTTTCTTTTGTGTTCTTTCAGATTTGAGTAAAGTTGCCAAACATGATAAAACTGCTTGATGATGGCAGAATTGTTAAGTCTACTCTTAACCCTGTCCACCAGTTTACCAATGAAAAGGTCAGTGGCATGCAAAGAGAGGAATTCTTTATAGCTGCCAAACAACTGGTTTAATTCACCTGTGTTCCACCCTAGAAGTACTCGGAGATAGCTACTGGAAGGTCAAGAAATAAATCCTTGTAGTTGGGAAGTCATAATTTTCAACAATCATCTTCAATTTATTTTGAAGCAATTATTTAAACCTGAATTAGTTGTTAAGTCACATATAAGATAGGTAGTTAGCTTGTATGGTATAATTATTCAAAGGTAATTTGTAATTAATTATGAAATACCTTTACTAGAAAAATAAGTCCTATATAAATTGAACTAATTTTTATGGTACTAGTAATATTACTATACCTATTAGAGGTGGAGCCTATATTAACTATTAACATTAATTAATGTTACACTAATAACATTAACATTAATAACAATTAATAACATTAATTGTTGTTACAGGATAATTTTAGATTTGCAAGGATCCTGAGAAGTTATCCAATTTAGCTTTTTACCTTCAGAGAGAATTAAGCTAAAGCTCCACCTGTTCCTTGAAAATGATTCCTTCTGCCCTAAACCTTGGAGAAGCTTTTCTTCCTTTGAATTCTGTGCTGTATCTGTGCTGGACATTTGGAATTTAGCATTGATTACTCTGTATTGCAATTTTATGTATGTGTCCTATCTCCTGAACCAAAGTGTCAGACCCTTTCAAATTAAAGACTGGAATTGAACATTTTGGCCCACTTCCCGCATATGCTAAGGCAGTGGTCTATGATGGAAGATGTTCAGTATGCACTGAGGAGATTGATCTAAATTTATCTTGAAAATCATGTTAGTCCTTAACAATCTTCTCTTGGTATTTGATCAACAACTTGAATTAGAAAGTATCAGAGATGTTTGGGACATTAGATATACTCTAATCTAATCCCTGTTTTACAGATCACAAAACTGAGTAAGGGCCAGAGAGCAAAATCAATTGCCTAAGACACATTGCTGGTTAGTCGACAAGAACCCTCTTTTTAGGATGCCATCTGATATTAATACCAATGTGTATGCCCTACATTAGGGTCTAACTTCACAGGTAGACTCTTCTCTCCTTAGGTTTGTTCATTTGAATGAATGAATGGTTCCTTATAAATGTCTGAGGTGCCAGACCAGTGTTCTTTCTTTGTATATTCATAGATTAGCAGCAGCTTATAATGCTGCAGATATATTCTGCTACTAGCCAGTGGCCCTGGAACCTAATTTACAATATCCGGGTATTCTGTATTCCCTTGAACATGTGATTTTTTTTCCCTTTGAATTCTATGTTTTTTGGATTGCTCATGGTGGAAGGTTTGGGACATAAATCATCATCATTTGCTACTGATCCAATTTGGGAAAACTAGGTCAGTGAATTGTACATCTGTATTAGTTGCTGTGGAAGGACCATTTTAAGCATTCTCAGACATGTAGCTAAGCAAGTCTGGGGCTCTCTGACATTACATAATTTCTCTGCTAAACCAAAGATCTCATTGAGTTTGCTGTTCAGCCATGTCTTATGTTGGATTAGGGGTATATTTGTTCAAAGCTCAGTTTCATCATTTGTCCAGCTTCACAGTATTTCCCCAGATAGGGAGGCTGCCTTCCAGGCTTGGCTGGTTTTTCCTATATTGCTGGGAAAGTTTTCAGTGAATGAATACAATGTAGAGTTTTCATTTGTCACCATGTTATCTCATTTCTAATTTTTGTTCAAGTTATTTTAAGGAAAAGCACCACCCAGTTTCTCTGACCAACTTTTAAAAAAAGATGAAAAGATTTTCTCAGCATGAATAATAGCAACAAGCACATGATGGTCTAAGCTTTTGAACTCTCAGACAGCTGGAGTGCCCAGAATCAGAGTGATTTTCTTCAACCACTTTAGTGCACTGTGAATGTGTGATCGGAGTAGAGTGTGTGATCTTAAACAGTCCTGGTGTCGTGTGGGGAGTTTCCATTCCTTCACTAAATAGACTTCCTGGTTTGAAATTAGCGTCTCATCATGACAAACAGGACCATGTACAGGGAGGTCAGCAGGGGCCTTTCCTGTCATTTGAAACGTGCCCTTGGTTTTGCTTCCCCTAACCCCAGTGCCTTGGAATGCTGTTTGAATCTGGGGATCAAGTGATTCTAAAGTCTCTCCAGGAAAGGAGAATTCAATGAAGCATTCAGCAGCAAAAACTTGGTTAAAAGTGCAGCCTGTGTCAGCATAGGAATGAATTAGAAACAGACTGTGAAAACCTCACCTGTGATCAGTATCACACCCAGAAAGTTGGAGACATCAGGAGGACATGTTCTATGTTTTCACTACCTTGTTGCAGGCAGTCATGAGAGTGATAGGAGGTCACTGTGACTTGTAGTTGTAGGTCCCATTTACTTTCAGGAGAGCAGGCTGAGAGGCTAAGTTCTGTGGTCCGTTGATTATCTTACCTTGGCTTTTCATAACCTGGCAGTTTCCAAAAATAGTTTGAGGACTAACAGAATTGCTAACTACCTCCCACCTCACTCCTGTAAAGACAGTGAACACAACCAGTCTCTTTTTTCCTTTGTTTCATACAAGAAGGGAAATTTTTATACTATAATATGAGAAGACTATAATCTAAAAATAAAATCTTTCTTAAGAAAATTTCCTCATTTTGCTCTGGACCTGTGAAAATGTTTGCACAGACCTGCCTTTGGGAAATCACTTCTCTAGGATGAGCAACATTACGAAATTCCCTCTGTATGGCCATAGCATAGCTTTGTTCCTAGCTCCGGCTAACTTTCTTTGTGGCTGATGCTTTTTAAAGAATTCTGGTTGAATGTCACTTAGTACTGGCTGGAACTTTGTTCAGTAGTTTTGGTAGATGCTGCTGGTATTATCATAATTCATTCATTCACTTGCTTATTTAACAAACTGCCAGACCCAGGCTATGTACTGAAGAGATAAAACAAAATAAACTCACTATTCTCAAGGAGCTTGAAACTCCTTTTCAAGAATCTTATTTAAAAATTTTTAAAAGTCTCTCTTTGTGCCATGAGGGCTTGTGTAGAACACAAGCAGAAGTTGTGAAATGAGTATTTATCTATAGATCCTAAATAAAGGTTTATTGGAGATTTCTCTCTCTACCTCTTTTTTTCTCTGTACTATTCAAAGAAACCTTGTTTCTGATAAGGTAAGGTAGAAGTTAACTAGATAAAGTTCTGACAATGAAATTTAAATTACAGGTTCTAGTGTGATTTTGGCACATCAAAACCCAAAGAACATTTAGAATGTGCCCAGCCCATGGAATCTATTCCTTTGATCTACTCAGCTCACCAAGATGATTGTTCAGCCCTCCCCCACTTTCTCTCAAAATATCTCAACCACTAACAACAGCAACAATAAATAAAAAGGAAAGGAGGAAAGAAGAAAAATCTCCTTAGGGGCATAAATTATTTTCATTTGCTTTCTGCAATGACAAAATTAAGAAAACACCAAATAGCTACATTACTTTGCATTGGGTAAACCTCCAGCCTTCAATTGCTAGGTAACATTTCTTGCAGCTGCTGAGGCTAAGAAACTAGTTTTGCTTTGAATAGATTTGGTGTATATTCAAAATCCTACTCGGTGAAATCCAGTTGTTTGTGAGCTTAAAATTGAAAGGCTTTGTATGCTTTTCTTTGAAATCAGGACCCATTTCAAAGGCATATTACTCACTGGATAAATTGCTGGTTCACAGTTCCAAACCAAAATCAAAGGGGTCTGCAGGCAACTTTGACACTGTCAAGTACCTGGAACTGTGCTGCTATGTGATGAACATTAAGTAAATGTTTGCTTAATGAATGAATGCATGGACTCAATTAATGATCATATCAGCTTGCATTTGTATATTGCTTTATAATTTGTAAAGTGATTTCACATCTATATTCACTATAACAGTTTGAATAAAGAAGAAATTAACTTCACATGTTGGATTCTGCTTTAAAGCTTTAAAGCCACTGATAAGTCGTTGGCTTAACGTGAATATTAATTATTTAACTAATAAAGTAAAAATAAGCTAGGGATCAAAACAGTGGTTTAAAAGATTATGCTACTATTATTTTTATACAATCTGGGGCAGAGTTGATCCTTAAACCAGAATTCCACCTCCAATGAATGTTTACTGTTGTGTGATTGTGGGTGTGTGTGTGTGTGTGTGTGTGTGTGTGTGTGTGTGTGTAAACACAGGCATGTATACTGTAGCTTTTCTGTTTTCTCCAGAAATGTAACCAAAAAATCTAGAGAGAAACAATCAAATATTTATACCAGAGCTTTGGTGCAAGTAGCTAAGATACCAGCCACTGACCCAGCTGGACAGTAGCCTTTTATTTTTTCCTTATTTGGAGCCATGGCCTTGACCTGGCTGAATGTCAGTAAAAGTAGTGTTAGGCAATGCTCCCAAATAATTCATCTAAGGACCCCAAAGCTGGCCCTTCCATACAACTCTTCTTCTTTGCAAAGGCTATAGATCACAGAAAGGCTTCCTTGAGAAATGAGGGGCAAAACAAATCAAATCAAAACACAAAACAGATAGCACCTCTCTTTGGGTTCCTGGACACCCCAGCTCTCAATTTTGTTTCAAGAGCTCAGACATCAGTCCTGATCATAAATTGCTGTAAATTCTAAGATTTCTCATAGAAAACAGTAGTTTGGCTACCTTAGATAAGTATTACATGAGGCTTGGTGAATGTTGAGTTAGTAGTAAATTACTGAATTCCTTGTTTTTCTTGTTGTTCTTGTTGTTGTTTATTTGTTTTCTTGGATAGCTTTATTTGTTAAATATACAGTAAAATGGTGTTATAATGAATTCACAGAGAGATTACAAAAAAAAAAAAGATTCCTGCATAAATTGCCAGGTATAGTGAGTCATGCCTGTAATCCCAGCACTTTGGGAAGCTGAGGTGGGAGGATTGCTTGAGCCTAGGAGTTCAAGACCAGCCTGGGCAACATAGGGAGACCCTGTCTCAAAAAATTAAAAAAAAAAAATAGCTGGGCATGGTGGTGCACCTGTGGTCCCAGCTACTAAAGAGGCTGAGGCCTATCCAAAAAAAAAAAAAAAGCCTAAGTTCTTGAGAAGATGTGTTCCTATTTGTGTTCATGTACCTTTTAATTCCTGCCTCAGATTCCCTGAGTTCACAATCCTGAAGTATCCCCAGGCCCAGGCCACAGTCAAGCTCCTCAGGATCTTATTGTCTCAAACTTAAATGCAAAGGAGACTAAAAATAAAAGATTGAAAGAGAACTAGAAGCCAGGCGGTAGTCAGCGAAAAAACATTTGGACTTCCTAGAGACCTTTGTTTATCAACATGCTCATGAAACTTGCAAAGAAAGTCATTTTAAAGCTCATATCAAGAGGGATTGTGATTAGTAGGAGCAAAGTATAGAAGCAGGGGAGTTGGCATTCAGGTTCCTGTTCTGCTGCCTAATAACTGAGTACCATTAAACAAATCACTTAATCCCTTTGAGCCTCAGTTTCCTTTTATGGAAATAGGTATGCTCATACGACATCACAGGTTTTGTGAAGACAAGATGAAATAATTACAGGAAAAGTCTTTATAAAGTGATGTCAAAACAGGTGCTATTACCAGTGGTAATACTTTTATAACAGTATGTTTTTTATTATAAAAATAATTTTTATTGCAGCAAAATTTTACAGTTATGTGAGTTGTAATGTGCTGACCACACAACTGAGGGATTCTGCAGTATCTGCAGATCCTTAAATGTCTAAAGCATCTGCCTGATGTTGCTGGGATTTGCTGCCATGCCTGTTTAGAAACTCTGTTTTGGAGCTCTGGGTCACTACAGACTGCCCATAGTGCTTACATTCCAGGGGCCACTTAAAGAGATTCCACCGAAAGATTTCTTAGAAGTAACCCTGCCAGCAAAATTCCAGATGCCTATAAAATCTGTGGCACAGCCTGTGTGCTGGAAAGAGACCACTGGGATGGAAATCAGGGGACAGAGCCTTAGTGTTAATCCTCTGTTAACTCTTCATGGTCCTGGACCTCAGTTTTCTCATCTGCAAAATGACCAGTTTGAACTAGATATTCTTTGAGGTAGATTCCACGTGCAGCGTTTAAAAGTCTTTGCTCAGTCTGTTGTTTCAGTGGGCTCTTCAAGCACCAACAGGGGCCAATCAGGAAGGTAGGACCTGCCTGATGTCAACTCAGGGCACGTCCCACAATATTTCCAGGTGTCTTCAGGAATATGGAGCACCACTGTCACCCCGTGTCACCTGTAAGATGGGAGAAGGGAACCCAGTCAATAAAGATTATGAGGAGGGCCGGGCACGGAGGCTCACGCCTGTAATCCCAGCACTTTGGGAGGCCAAGGTGGGCAGATCACTGGGTCAGGAGTTTGAGACCAGCCTGGCCAAAATGGTGAAACCTCCATCTCTACTACAAATACAAAAATTAGCTGGGCATGGTGGTGGGCGCCTGTAATCCCAGCTACTTGGGAGGCTCGGGAAGGAGAATTGCTTGAACCTGGGAGGTGGAGGTTGCAGTGAGCAGGAGTTGCAGTGAGCCGAGATCGTACCATTGCACTCCAGCATGGGCAACGAGCAAAACTCCATCTCAAAAAAAAAAAAAAAAAAAAAAGAGATGTTGAGGAAACTGTTGCCCAGTTTCAAATGTCTCCATTTTTCTCATTTCCCTGGGTGGATGGGAAGAAAACCATAAATATGTCTAGGAAGCCAGAAATATGAATTGGTTACAGATTTTTTTCTCTAAGAGGATAATTAGATAGATTGAATGTAAAATATAGTACTAAATGGGTAAGGGTACCATAGAGAAGCATCTGTTGGGAAGGACCAGAATTGCTTTTGTGTCTAACGAGAACAGAAATATGTTTCAGGGCATTTGAATGTTGCTTCAGACAATAGGTTTCAGCCTATATGAAGCCCTTGGAGTGTTCAGGAATGAAAAGTTCTTCAATGGAGTGCCTAAATGCTAACATACAGATTTAATGTTGGGGTTCTTCAACTCACAATCAGCACCAGTCTTGACACTGATTAAAGCAAACGTTTATAGGGGATTTGGACTTTGCCAGTATTTGCCCAGTCAGGGCAATTTATTGAACTTTTGGGTCAGCTTTTGTAATGACACAATAAGGAATAAAATCTTGTTCTCTTAAACTTGTCATCAAGAATATTTGCTCTCAGAATGTTGTGTGAAATATTAAAATGTGATCCATTATTAAAATAAAATGGTTTTGCTTTCACTTTACTGTGAGAGAAGTATATATCAAGCTCTGAAAGACTTGAGTGCTAAAAAACAAGGGGTGATTAAAAATGAATTCTTAAAAGCATAAGAAATCTAAAAAGTGGATTTCTTTAGAACGTAATGAAATATAGGTTGAAAAGGTAACTTGCCAAAATGACACTGCTCTTATTACTGGAAGAGACTTCCTGGGTGAATCAGTAATATATGATTTTAAAAAAATTAAAGGGAGGCTGATGTACTGACGTTAAATTCCACACAAATATTCTGGTTATTGAATAGTAATTTATTGTAGTTTTACTGGAAATTTTCTCCTCTTAGTTCTTAAAAGGTTTTCCAGGCTCAATTAGCACCTTTCCTCCTAATAATCAATATTGATTTTACTGTATTCATTTTAGATTTTAAAAATTTTGCCTAAAACTCAAATCTTAACTATTTTTACAGTAACATATTTCATTAAAAAAAATCAGGCTTAGCGGGTAGGCCTGCATTGCCATCTGAAAAATGATACATTTTCATTTATTTGAGGTGGGATCTTAAATTCAGAGAAGTAGTTACAGTTCTGGGTAATATGAGCTCTCTCTGGATTTAGAACTGTTGACAAGATGTTAATTGAGAATATGTGCATCATTTTCCAGTATCTTCTTAAAATTGAGTGGTTAATTTTAATAATATTGCAGCTTCTGTTTTTAACCTGCCTATGCATCTCTGTACTTCAGTATACTCAATGTTTCTAGGAGCTGATTATGTTGGTTTCACAGGGCACATTGCCTGACGGGGGACCATGGAGGTGGCCCCCAATGTGTTATGATATGTTCTCATGGGGAGAGTGAGCGACAGTCAGGGGTGATTCCTGTTCATTCAGTGTGCTGTGAAGTGAGCCGGAATTACCTGCTTTTCTACATTACTCACTTTTCCCCTCAAATGACAAGCTTTCTCCGACAACATGGGACCCATTGCGTCTGGAAAACACACACTTCACCCAAACACTTCCATTAACTCCTGTAAATTGTTTTGTGTAAATGTTTCCTGTGGTTTTTCATGCAGCATTCAATTTCATCTTCTTTTGAAATTGAAAAGGTCAGTTTTGTGGTTGTTTTTAGCATTCACTAGTAGAAAATTAAAAAGATTTCTAAGGACTACCTTTTCCAGTCACACATTTTACCAACATTTGAGCTACTGCCTTGGGTTGGCCAGGAAATGTCTGCCGCCACATTAGCGATGTGATAATGGGCTTCACATATCACCTGGACATTAATAGAATGAAATCACTTACTGCTCCTGAAAGCAGCTTTGTTCTCAGCGGGTGTCCTGAAGGCACTGCATGAGCACAATGGACCTTCTATCACAGAGGTGAAAGTCAGAAATAACCTAAACCCATCTTTATCTCGGGTGTGTGTGTGTGTGTGTGTGTGTGTGTGTGTGTGTATGTGTGTGCGTGTGTTTCATCTTTATTTAATGAGTCCACTGATATTTGATGGAAATGACCAAAATTCAGCTAGTTGCATAAAGTATTTCTGGGTCTCCAATCTGCTCTGATCTGTGACATGCAAAACTTCTAATGACTGGGGACCCCTAACTCAGCTGCAATAGCCCATCAAAGGTGCAACTTTATTCTCTCATAACAGCTTTGTAATGTGATCAGCAGACATATCTGTTAACTTTTCCCTGAGCTGTGCAGATGTGGCTATAAAAGAGGCACTATGCCGTTGTGTCTTTCCTACTTTCCTTCAGAAATGAATTTGCTTTTTGATTATGGCAGAATGGCTGCCATATAAATTTTCTGTGTAAATTTTTCCTTATAAATTAAGTGCACATCCACTTAAAGCCCAATCAATGAAAATTGGGAACTACAAAATAAGAATGATTCAGAATTATTATTAGCTTTATAGAAATGCTCTTTGCTTTGCAAAGGTATTTGCCATAGAATTCTATAAATAAAAGGCATCTTTTGTGCATTTATGTCATTCTTCAATTAATCAAAATTAGTATTTTTCTGATAGATACCTGTTACATAAAGTAAAACATGGACATTATTAAATAGTTAGCCTTGTGATTTGTGTGTGTATGTGTGTGTGTGTGTGTGTGTGTGTGTGTGTGTGTGTGTGGTTTTAATGAGTGGAGAGTTTAATAGGCAAGAAAGATGGGAGAAGGCAGAAGATAGAAGCTCCCCCGTTCAGAGACAGAGGGAGCGGGGCTCCAAAGTCAAGAGAGGGAACCTGGATTTTTTTTGGTTTTGGGAAAAAGTGTAAACTGGGAGTTGATTTGCCATATGATAGGTTTATTTAAAACTTGGACACACATTTTAACTGAAAAAAAAATCAGGCTTTGAATTATTTTTTACAAAAATAAAATGTGTGGTTTCTAAATTTTAGTTTTGAGTTTTTAACCTATTTCTCCTCTGAGGAATATGGGCTTGTGACTAGCATACGTTCTTCATATCACATTCAAAGTCAAATCTGGTTTTTCTAGCAATCACATGGATAGGCATAAACAGATAAATAGTCACCGCACTCCATTGACTGCCATGGCTCATTTTTCATCTTTTGAAATAAAAGCCCAAGAGAATTTTTGTCAGGCTAAATTGGAGATTAAAAAAAAGGTTCTGTTTTGAAGTAGATACTTTGAACATGGCAGATTTGTGAGAAATTTTCTTTTGCCTTTGATGCCTTTTAAGATCTAGAAGGCTCTACAAAATTAGAATTTTGGTTGCAGAAAGAGTGTTCATCTAATCCTAAATTAAAGAACTGCTTTTGAGCCAGGGCTGGAGTTGTTTTGGCTTTTGTAATTTCAGGTATATTATCAAGTTTAACACTAAATTTAAACATTATAAATTAGTTGACTTTTCCCTTAATTAGCCACAGCTATGTTCCCATAGAAAAGCTGAAAATATGAAGTTACGTTTTCCTCTAAAGGAGTCTAATTACATTATTATCTGAAATAATACCTCCTTAACGATTCTTTGAACAGTACTCCCTATGTTTTCTTCCACTATGCAGACTTTTCATAAATAACAGTCTACATCAAGACAAACAGTACATTCAGCAAGCTGAAGAAAGCAAATGAACCAACCCTCTGTATTCATAACATGCTTCTGGACCCCTTTAATGTGGAATTCACAATAGATGTATACAGTGTTCATTGGGGTATTTTAATATTTTTTCATACAATGCTATCCATCAAAAATGCAAAGAAGGCAAATTACTCACAAGGAAGAAACTGAAGAAGCCCAGAAATACTGAGCTATGTAGGATGACATCATGAGGCTAAAATATGCAGCAAATACTAACAATAATACTACTAGCTACTAATAAAGCAAATACAATCACCAGATCAGTGGTTGTATTAAAAATGGGCCTTCTCATTTAAGGCCAAAAAAAAAAAAAAAAAAAAAAAAAAAAAGACCCTATCCATTCTGACCTATCTTCCTTATTCAGAACAAAACAATGCTTCTAGAAAATCCCTCTAGACATTTTAAATCCCACATAAGATATCCCGGAATAAAAGAGCATTACGTGGACTTCTGGATGGCACAGCTACAGAATTATTATCCGTTGCATTATAAGGAATGACTTCCCCTCTAGTCCAGGGTTCATTTTTTCCCCCATAATCAATGTTTAACTCATCATGACAGTTTAGTGAGGCCAAATGTGTCAGTTTTACTTTTCCAAAGGAATTCTGTTCAGGGAATTACATTGAACATGGTGACATGCATTGCTTTTTAATACAAGTTTCTTTATTTCTGAAATTCAATTTTATTCTATATTTATGCATTTCTTTAAGGACTACTTGAGTTCACTAAAAGATAAATAAATAAAAATGCTTATACGTGCTACATGCCATGGACCTGTGGGCATAAATAACACAATGTGAATGCAGATACACATCCTTTTCCCATTTGTTTCCATTCTCGGTGCCAACTTTGGTTCAATAAACAATGACTTTCAACTTGGTATGAAGGAAGCATCTAGTACGTAATGCACAGAGCTGTGCCCCTCCAAAGAATGAAACCCTTCAGAATGGCTAAGGGTGAGAATAGAACCGAAGCTGATGAGAGCAGAATACAAAACACGAGCAGTTTCAAATTCACCTGAGGGGACAGCAGCAACTATGGCTGAGTCAGGGAAATATTTTCAAGCAGAGTTTTGCTGATCACTTTTACACCCATGAGCAGTAATCAGTCTAGATGATATTTATGAAATGAGCATTGAAATGGTCACAGAATTGAGCAAGAGCTGAGATTGGCTGATTGATTCCTTATGGCATATGTTCCTTAGTTTCTCCAGCAAGAAAATGGAAGCATTAATTCTTTCCATATCTCTCAAAAGCATGTTTCAAGGATTAAAGAATTCAGAGTGGCAAAGGATCAAATTACCATTTATGTAGGACTCTTTCTAACCAGCAGGGCATCATGTAGTACACTGGAAGAGCTTATTTATTGAATCCGCAATTGAATTGGCTTCAGAGAGTTAATACAACATCCAAGGTGACAAATTGACTCACTACAAATGAATTGCATTAGTTCCATTATTTGTAAAGCACTTTACCATCTGGGAAGAAAGTTGTAGTATAAATTCCATTCTTTTCAGTATCTTAGCTAAGGAGGTTCCAAAGAAACTGGCTCAACATTTTATGAGCCAGAAAAGTGAGGTTTTTTTCTTCTATTAATTTGCTAAGTGTTCTCTGCCCCATGGTTTTAACACAGGAAAGACAGCAGGTGGCAGAGGGTGCTGGCAAAGGAAAAGAGGTGGTTTTGCAAATTTGGAGTTGATTCTGGCTCAAAACAGGGGTGCCGAGTTAATAATCAGAAGAATCATTTAGTTGAGACTTACCTCCAGAACAGAGAGCATCTCAAAATTTTAGCAGATTCAGCATAGTCTCAGAGTTCCAAAATCTTAGGTTCCTTTCCTCAAAGCATTCCACAGAGACAATATTATGTAACGTCAGGTACATATACTTGGAATTCCAGTGATGTGAGTTTGAGCCACAGTGCCCTCATTGTTCAGTTTGACTTCAGCCAAATTAATTTTACCTCTCTGAGCCTCAGTGATATTCCCTGTAAAATGGGAATAAGAATGGTATCATGTTAGAGGGTTATGGTAAGATAAAATATGATAATGCACGTAAGGCTTCTAGCATGGTGCTTGTGCATTGTAAACCCTCACCAAGTGTTCACTCTTATTGCTGTCATCAAAAGTGTGACCCCAAGTGTCCGCTTCACTAAAAACAGTGCCCAGAGTGGTCTGGGAGAGTCCAGTAGACAATAATTCAACTCCCTGACATGTAAATAGTGGAGTATCGATATTTTTGTTGGCTCCCATCGACACATCCTGCCCGTTAATTTTGAGCACTGACCTGTACCCATTCATCCATTCATTCAGAGAGCACTGAGTTAGGGCCTCTGTGGGCAGGTCCTGTGCTAGTCCATTGAAAAAGGGAAGGGAGATCCCCTGTTTTTGGAAACATGAAAATACATAGAATTACTTTTAAAACAACAGGAAGCATATTTGTGCATACAGATGAACTAGTAATGATTTGATTGTTTGATCATAGCTAACACTTATTGAGATCTCATCAAAGGCTAGAGCCACTGTGTTAAGAGCTTTATGTAAATTATGCCATTTGATCCTTACAAGGATCCTGAAAGACCTAAAAGACACTTATTATTATTCTAAGCTTCGAACCCAAGAATTCTAACTCCAGAGTCCGTATTCTTGACTACTACTCTAAACTGCCATCCTAAGACAATATAGATTGCTAACCCATTCAGTATTGGGTTAAACTAGTACTCAATAATCTGGTACCTAAAGTACTAGATGCTCTTCTGGTATAGCCTGTCCTCCTTGAAGACTTAGACCTTATACTTTGCCACCATGCTGTATCGATCAAACACAGTTGCAACTGCATTTATTAGCAGTTATAACCCTGTACATTTTTATCTGCAATTTCCAGTGAATCGAGAGGCATTATATGTTTTGTTATTTAGACCTCATGTTTCACCAACAAGACCACAGGGTTCTTGTTTATGTAATCCTAACTGGGAAGTCACTACTATCTCCATTTTGCTGCTAAAGAAGCTGAGCCTTGGATAGAACCACTCCACTGATGAGCAAAATCAAGTATAGCTTGAACTCAGGTCTTTGACCCAAATAAATTATGAAATCATAGTTCATCTTTTAAAATTGGAGTAATGCATTTTATGCAACCAAAGCAAAAGTGACTTTAAATTTGATGACTGAACCATTGCATCATCCCTCTGTAGCCAGCTCATTTCTTGTTCATTCAGTCAAGATCACTGAGCTCCTCCCAAGTACTAAGCATTGTCAGGAAGGCAAAAATAAATCAGACACAGAGTCTGAGTGCAAAGAACTTATTTGAAAGAGGAAATGAGGATCTTCAATTAAAGACAAAATAAATAAATATATAGTAGAGGCCATAAAAGAGAAATCGAAGTTCAGGGCATTAAGGGAGTCTTTGCAGCTAGCTGACTTGTAGGCCCTATCAAAGTGGTAGCTGTCTTAAGAGGGGAGGGCATTCATGTCAAAGAAGTAATAGGCTGGTTTACTCAAATAAGGAGCTGATTAGGTAACTAAGGGGAAGGAGAAGCTAAAAAGTACAATTTGGCACAAAATTGAGCATTGTTGTCTATTAATTTTATCTTTTCTACCAGTTGTTTTGTTTTCACAGATACAGTATGAAATATTTTTTGAACTCAAATGAAAGGTTTCACACACCAGATGAAAACATATAAAGTTCATATTTTCAGTTTTTTCATATTTAGCATTTCATTTATTTTAGAGCTCTTTCATGTTGTTCACCTACTGCATTGAAAATAACTCTGTAACACACTTATGCACTTTCCCTTTAAGAAAAGATTCCAGCCCTGTTTTTCAGATGGTCATTCAGTGATACAAACCTGTAGGACTGAGATAAATTGCTCCTGGAAACATTTTCCTCTTGGAAAATCACAGATGAGACTAAATGAGACATTTTATATATATAGTAGCAAACAGTCTTAGGTACATTTCATTTTGAAAGTCCCATCTGTCTTGTAACCCAAACAGGTTTTGACACTGCAGAGTGATTGCAGTACTTCAGGACATGCGAAACACTAGGAATGTTCAGGACAGGATGCCAAAGAACTTCATACATTTTTATCATTTGGATATTTTTAAAAAAGCAAAAATATAATTAAAACTCTAGTTGTATCTCTTGATCTGTGTGACCACTGTATTTTGCAACATATAGCTTGAATACCCCAGCCCTGCATTTAAATACAACTGCAGTTTTTACAACAAAAGAGAACCAGTAAGTCTTTTTCCAGGATTAGGATTTTAATTGATATCATTATAGCTAAAAAGTTTGAACATGATGGGAATAATGACTGGTGTTTTTCAGCAAGTTATTATTCATTCTACATCTTTCTCTCAGCTATGTGCCCAAGTCCACAGTGTCTGTAATATTTAAATTAATAATGCAAATTTAACTATTGCCATTAAAGCAAAGAGCTAATTAGGTCCCTGCTTGCTGACTGGCAGTATGATGCAATGACTAAAATGATTTGAGTTGATAGCTAACATTGCCAGGAAAATGTGAATTGAGTTCGCTTGAGATTAAACAACCTCTAAGACTCCAAAGGAGGGGAAAATAAAAAGTGACTCATCCCATTTTTCTAAATAAAAAAAAATCCACGAAGAGACACAAATAGCTCATCAAGCAGCTGAGAGCAAGGTTTCTGAGATGTTGTGCAATTATTTTTTGCCTTTCATTTAATGGTGTTTCTTCCAAACACTCTGTGAAGAGGCAATTTTTCTCAGGCATCCGTTAGAATGTGTGCCTTCTTCCATAGTTTTCACATTCTAAGCCAGCAAGGCAAGGCAAGCAAGCTGAACTTTATCTGTTTTATAAACACCTCTTCTTCTAACTAAGCCCTAACAGGAGAGAAAGAGAGAGAAGGAGGAGGAGGAAGAGAGGGAGGGAGGTAAGGAAGGAGAGAGGCAGGCAAAGAAAAAGCGAGCAAGCTAAATGGCATTTCTGTCTGCCATTATTCTCATTTCAGAAAAACAACCCCAAAATAGATTAGATAGAAGACACGGAGAGAAAAATAGTGCTTGTTTCAAATTCAGGTAGGTTAAATCTGTCCGGGAATTTCTAGAAGCAGAAAAATAGTGCAAAAGACATAAGGACATATTCCATTTAATAGAGTAAAACTTTTGATGGTTGTCAGAAACAAAGTAGAGGCTTTCTTATACTGGAAGCAGTATGGGCTTGCTTGCTGCTACACACTGGCTCAGGGGTAGTTGCTTCTAGAACATGGAGCAGCCCAACCTCTCCTCTCTTGGCTGTTACAAAACTAATGGGCTGTTTGAGCATCTAACAAGAAGCCAGGTTCATCAGGTAGTACCACCTGAAAGGTACGATAGAGCAATAATTGGGTGTGAGACAGAAAAAGGCAATTTGGCTCAACATGCTTTTTAAAAATAAGCTTGACATGTAATAAAAGGTGAACATTTTATTCATTGAGTGATAATTTCATATATCGTGTGAAAAGACTCCATTTTTAAAGAATGATGCTCTTACTCTAAGGAAACTGCTTATTTAATTGGATTGCTACAACCTAACACTATTAAATATTTGCCTCATTTGATTTCATCAAATGACAGTTCATATATCTGTGCTAATGAATTCATTTGTTAAGATTATGTTCTCATAGCAAATTTACTCATGTTCTATTTTCTAAAACCTCCTTCCCTTTCTACTACTTCCAAAGTATCATAATGTGATTCTCCAAGGATAAGTCAATTCTAGTTGTCCATCATTGCAGAAGGCTCTCCTGTGGCAAATAGTGAGAATTCCATGTACTAAAAGCATTGCTCACCTTTATCTCCAGCTTGACAAGGAACTGGCATTCACGTGACAGGAGAGGAATGTTAATCACTGAAAGGCTATGCTGCTAAAGGTGTTGATCATACTATTCTTCTGGAACTTGTCTACATGGCATCAATGGTTTCTGGTTCAGACCAAAAATTACTTTAAAAATCTTTTTAAATTGGATTATTTAGCATTGCTAGAGGCAATGTGGCATAGTGATTTGTAAAAATACCAGCTGCTATGTATTGAGATGTTACTATAGCTTCACACACATGATGTCATCTAATCCTCAGGATAACCTTATGACTGGCTTTGAAGTCAGACAGATCATTTGTATTGCTTTGGAATTTAGCTTCCTTATCAGTAAAATGAGGTAATAATACCTCATAAGTTTTTTTTAAAGATAAAATCATATATGTAAATTGACTAATGGCATAGCCCATATTCTCAATAAACAATGCATATTCTACTCATTTATCAGGAAACATAAAGTTGTGATCCCTGCACTACTGGGGCTTGGTAGCTACACTCAAAAAGCCATCTATTCATTGTGCCCATGTTTGAGCAAAGTTGCCTGGCCATTTTGAATATATCGTCTTTCAAAAGAAGGCTGTATCAGGAAAGCCATTAAGGTTCTTTCAAACCTACCTCCCAGGTTAAACTGCTGTAGAATCCTTCTGAAGGTTCCCAATGGAACTGCAGAATTGAATTGCTACTATTTCATTATTTTGATATATCAATATTAATTTAACTACAACTCTATCCGTAGATATTTAGGTTGTTGTCAATTTTTAAATACTTTAAATAGTATCACGGTCGATATATTTATGTTCGTATTTTTTCCTATATTCTGGATGATTTCCTTGGAAATGATCTTCAGAAATGAGGTAGATGACTGAGTTGAAAAATGTGAGCATTTTTTAAGGGTCTTGATATATATTGCCAAATTGCTTTTCCATTTACAATGCTTTGTGTGAATATAGTTTCACCAAACTTCTGCCTAAGCTTGAGTCCTTTTCTCCTACAGAAACTCTCCAATTCAAAAATACTTGCTAAAAGATAGCACTAGATTGAATGATGTAAGTACTTGTTAGAGGATACGAAATGAGATATGTGCCCAAACTCCCAAGCATCTTTGGAGGTTGGTAGACAAGGAAGAATTGCCATGTTGGACTCAGAGCCTATAGGTTGGAGTGAAGAATAAATCAAAACCAGGCTGGCTCACAGGAGTCACGAGACCAGTAGCCAACATTTATTGAGGTCTTCCTATAATAACCAGGTCAGTGTTTAGCTCTTTACATGGGTGATTTTATTGAATTTTCCCCAAACCCTCATTTTACAGCTGACAAGGCTTTACTAGCATTTGGAAGTGAACGTCTGAAAGCAGATTTTCCAAGGGGAAGGAATAGTCCAAAATAATCAGCCCAGTTTTCCCGTTTTTCATCCAGATTAACAATCACAGCATCTTCTCCCAAAGCCATGTGGGAGGCGAGGGATCTCCTATGGGGAGAAACGAAGAAGAAAGGGAGGAAGAAGAAAGGCAGTTGAACTGGGCTCTTTCCAGAAGCTTTCAGAGGTGTCGTGCCACCTTTGGTCTGTGACCCTCTGGGCCAGCAGTCCCCTTGAAGCTTTGTGGGATGCAAACAGCCCGTGCTCTGCAGGCTGTCAGGGGCCACGATAGGAGTTCATGCCAATAGAATGGCCTTTCGAGAAGCATTTCTCCATCTCAGAAACACAAACACATATACATTCCTGTCCATATCAGACACACGGGCTTTCCAGTTCACCTTTTCTTTCCTGAACAAGCATATCTATCATGGTCAATGTACAAGAAATGCCCTTTTTGTGCAGTTCCCTTTTGTCCCTCTTTTCATGCCTTAAGCCATCAAAAGAGCACAAAACTCGGTGACATTTTGTAGGATTTACCTCTGAGACTCTGGTGTCACAAACGCAGCTGGGAGTATTGAATGTGTCCTGGTATCAACCAGTGTCCTGAGGGTCTTTCCATTGATTTTACTTCTGAGTTCACAGGAAGACCCAGTGTGCTTACTTTGACTCAGTACTGAGATGTCATTATCCTAGGACAGTTCATATAAAGGGAAGAAAAGGGAAATTCAGGGAAAAAGAGACAGTATAGGCCACATTGAGAAGTACAACTATGAGGCAGAATGAGCTGAACTATCTTACCTGCTGTATTTCAGAATAAAACCTTAGTCCTGCCCCCTTCAAATACTATGCTGTGAAGTCTCCACTGCTCTCGGGATAAAGACCAAGCTCCTCTATGTGGCACACACAGCCTTTCAGCATCCTGCCTCATCCTCCAGTGGCCTCTACTTGCCCTTAGCTAGATAAACTCCAGTCTCCCTGATTCATTTTCAGTGCTAGGATTGTGTAACTCTTGCCTCAAGGACTCTGTACTTGCTGATTCCTCTGCCTTTAGGGACTTTCTCCTTGCTCCTCCCTGGCTTGGCTACCTGACGTGCCGTCTCTTCCAGGAAGCATTCCCTGACCACTCAAGACCTGGCTGCACACCTCTCTTCTGTGCTCCTAGAAATGCCTGCATATTCTGTTCTTATCAAAATGCTTCTCCCACTGATTGAAATTTCCTTTTACATATCTGTTTCCTCTCTAAGCTGCAAGCTGGCTGGAGGGTAGAGGCTATGTCTTATTCAGTATTTTCATATCCAGTTTTTAGAACAGTGCTTGACTCAGAAGTCATTTCATAGATGTTTGTTACTGTGGAAATCCTGAACTTGACGGCTTCTATAGATGACATGCACTTATACTTAAATGCACTAAGGGAATGGAGATAGGTATCCCGTGTTTGTTCCACTGAATTGCAGGCTGCATGAATACCTGTCTGAACCACCATACAGTTCACTCTCTGTTTCTCACATGATTATGCAGTTACAGTGTAGAACTAGAATCATGCCTGTAACACTACTCTATGCTCAGAAGGCATTATTTACATATCCACTCTACATTTATCCGGAAACCACAGCTACTAACTCTACTAACCATTCACACAACCTTGGTAAGTAATTGGTGTAAGTGCATAGATGGCTGATAATGTTCCATCCTCCTTCTATTCTCGATAGCTGAGTTTGGGTTCATAAGCTTAGAGAAAGGCTCCTCAGAGCAAGCTCGTGGTTTGGAGAGTGGAAAAGGCATGCATTTTTATTGTGGCTCTTGTTTCCAAGACTCAGCTAAGACCTGAATAGATAAACAAAAAATATATCATAGAAGCAGCCTATTATTCTCAGGGTTGCTGTGACTGTCCCCAGGGCCTTACAAATTATCAATGAAAAATACAACATACTTTCACAGAATTAAAATGCTTGTTGGGCAAATGGCTCAACTTCAAAGAGTGGCTTTGTTTAGAGCCACCTAGTGACATTTTCTCAGTCCTCCACCCTGGATGGAGAGTGGGAGCCACTACTTACCACCTACCTCCTGCCCCCTTTACCCATAGCTTGTTACATTAAGCTAGGAAAGTTTTATGTGTATAATTTGTGAAGTTCTCTTAAGCAGACAGTGCTATATATATATATATATATATATATGTGTGTGTGTGAAATGCTGTTATTAATAATAAAGGTCGGCTCACCTAAGAATACTGTAGAATTAAAGTAATGAGATTCTATTTTTAGGCAGGCTTGCCAATAACATGCAAGTATGATAAGGCTATGATTTAAAGCTCGCTTGAAGATTCCATTGCTCTAAAGAGTACATTTTCTGGGCTGCCTGCACACAGTAGTCAGCCGCACAGAGCTCTATTAACGCTAATGGTGGCTCCACACGTGAATCCCAGCATGCCCAGCTAAAAATAGGTCTCAGTCTTTCAGACATGGGAGTGTATCCTGCAGACAGCTTGCTTTCACAAAATATATATCAGCCTCTTCAGTCACCTTGCAAAACCCTCATCACTGTCTTTGAAACACTAAAAAAAAGCCTCTAGAATGTGTTTTGAAATTTTTATACATCTGTAATTATGTGAAGATAAAGGATGTGCTTGGGAGGCTCAGTTCTGTTTATATTCAGATGTGAAAAGGTATTTAATAAAGGCCTCGATTCTAAGTGATTCATAACTAGAAAAGAAGTCCCACTCCTCAGGAAAAAATATAATTAGCTCTTCCACCACTAATGTTCAGGTCAATGCTTTGTCAATAACAGTAACTCTTCTTCACCAATTTAGTGCAGCCTATAAAGATCATTATGACTCATAATTACAGATGCAGATTTATGTCAAAATGCATATATAAATCTCCAGTTCTGGATATGGGTCACCTCTTATCAGGCAAAAAGATTAGTATAAGGAGACACTCTCCTTGATCCCTGTGATCATTTTTCTCTTGCCTTTTTGGGGGTAGAATTATAAGGGTTTCCTATCACTGACCCAGATATAGCCCAAGGCACATTACAGAGTCACCTCTGGAGGGAGTGAGTTGCTGGCTGGCTTTGGTGGTGAGAATGGGAGAAGGACGATGTAGCTGTGGAAATATACTTCCTGAGATTATTGCTGTCTGGTTAAATGAAGAGCCCCTTTTCAACACCTGCAGGTCAGCCCCTGTAAATCAGAGGGAAGATGATCATCTGAGCAGAGGGAGATGGGTTTTAAAATGACTGAGACTTCTCCAGGCCGAAGTCTACTGCTCAGTGCTGCACCCAGGGCAGTCGTAGTCCTGATAAGTTATCAAAATTTGTGGAAGCTTGAGTGACTGAATGGGATGTTATGTTGGCCTTGCCAAAGATTTTGTCGTGTTAGGATTTGGGTTTTGATGCATTTCCTGCTAGGAAGTCTGAGGTTTGGAATGTCACCTGGTCTCCAGAGAATCTCCCTGATGGTAGAGGGGCAGGATTTCCCCAGCACCTGCGGAGGATGTGAAAAAGGCACCCACCCTCTGTGTGTGCACAGGTAACTGCTGAAAAATTGCTAGTTCTTCTATTTAATAACAGCCTGAATGCTGAGTTTGGGAGATTACTATGAGAATGCCCAGAGACTCCACTTTTTTCCTACTGCAGAGCTCAACCCGATATACTTAGAAAAGATAATTGCTGTTTAATATGGCAACTCTCAGACAGTGTTAATAAAAAAAATGCATAGACAGTTAAACACACACCTACCCTATGACCAAGCAATTCAGCTTTTGTGAATACACTCAAAAGAAGCAAGTACATATGTCAACAAAAAGACCTGTACAGGAATATTCAACACAGCTTTATTCATAACAGCCCAGGCCTGGAGACAACCGAAATGTCCATCAACAGGTGAATGGATAAACAAACTCTCATATATCTCTGCATTCAGCAAGAGCAAGCAATGAACTACTGATTCCCGTACAACACAGTTGAATCTAAGAAATGTTGCATTAAGTGAAAGGAGCCAGACACAAAAGAATCCACTGTGTATGAATCCATTTATATGAATTTCAAGGACAGGCAAAACTAATCCATCAAAATAGAAATCAGAATACTAGCTATTTCAGTGGGGCTGAGGGTTATTGACTAGAAAGGTGCACAAGGGAACTCACTTGGGTGATGAAAATGTTTTATATCCTAATCTGGGCAGTGGTTAACATGGTATATACATATGTAAAAAATTCATTGGGCTGTATACTTAAGATTTATGCATTTTGCTGTTTGTAAATGATAGCTCAATAAATAGAAGTTTTTAAAAGCTAGGTGGAAAAAATACATGGAGAAGAACTCATTTCTTAAGAGCAATCATGAACAAAGACAAAATCAGGAAGATATTCTAAAGACTAAATGAAAAAGAATAAATGAAAAAATATGAGCCTTTTATTCTTCCTACTTTTATCACATGACATAAAAATGCCGGGGCTCAGGAAACCAAAATCATTATTTGAAATGCTTATGAATTCACCAAGAGTTCTTCAAAGGCTTATTTTCTGAGTGCTTCTCTTAAATTAGGAAGTGTTTCATTTACAAGGTTTTCCTTAGGAAATGGTGTTGTTTAAACATAAACAACCAGGAAATAGATAATTTCAGTTGATGCATCACTTGTCTTAACAAGAGCTCAATTAGTTAATGATATTGTTGGCCTTAAGCATACTTCAGTAAAATATATTTCATTATCTTGAATATTTAGATTAATTAAGGTAGGAAGCTATAGGGTTTATGACAAAAATTGATATTAAATACACAGTGCCCATTTTTCATACAATACACCTCAGTCCTTTTGTGTTTGTCTTGTGATAGATAAAGACTTTCAAGTTGTTAAAGGAAGTTTTCCTGGGGTACTTGCCTTCCTGTGTCATTAATTAAACAAATTTATTTTTCAAGAAGGATCATGACAGAACTTCCACGTGGCATCTGCTACTGATTATTCAGTTGACATTTTCATTTCTGGAATTCTAGAGTTTGTCTGAAATTGTTAGTGACATTTATAAAATGCTTGCAGAATTTTAAACTGGACCCAAGAGATCACTAAGTCCTTCCTCCCTCATTTAAGATGAGGAAACTGAGATCGAGAAAGGTTAAGTGACTTACTTGCCTGGGTTTGGTTTCTCTGGGTGACTTCTTATATAGAATTTGGATGTCTTTCTTGAACTCCATGATAACAGCAGATTCTATGATTAAAGAGATATTGCTGTTGCATTTGTAAGCACGTGCGCATTTTACAAAATGGGAATCAAGATGAAGACATCTTTGCGTGGGACCCAGAGTATTTTCCAGTCATGGAATTCTGTTTCTGATCTCTATATAGTTTCACCACAGTGAAGCTTCTGTCACTCACTTTAGGCTAAGCCTATTTATCCCCCTTACCAGTAATAACTCCTCAAGAGTTCTATGAACCAGTGTCACGCATGTAATATGGCGTGGGAGCTGTGTTGCCTGGGTTCACCTCTCATTTCTCTATTTGCTAGCTGTGTAACTAAATTACTTGCACTGTAGATCTCAGGTTCCTTATTTGGAAAACTGTGATAATACTATTACCTTACCATTTCTTTTTTAGGTTTAAGTTGAATTATGTAAGTCAAGTCAGCCTGGCTCTTAATAAATATTCAATAAGTGTTATATAATAGATAATTATGGAGTTTTTAGAAAGAAAACCACACTCCATCTTCTTTTGGTTGGTTTTCCCACATTTTTGCATATACAGTTCACTGAACTGAATACCCTACTCTTTCCATTGTATCTTCTGCCAGGTATCCTCTCAAATCCAGCTCCCTCCATCATTAATTACTTTGTCCTCAGCATACCTGCCATCTGGCTGGTTTTTCATGGCATGCGTAGCTCATCGTACACATTTTAGCAGTGAACCCTTTTGGTCTTATAATGCTCTTTATTTTACCTTATGTCAGCTTTCAGAAGGCAGGGGCTATATCATGTGTTTCTTTTGCATCTTTAATAGTATCTAGCGTGATGAGGGACATGTAGCAAATTATTGTAACAAAGGAATTCATATAGAGCAACTTGAAAAATACTAAGCCTTGGTTTCAGTGATGGCTGGCAAACTATTTTGATGGTGATATTCTGTAAAGTCATATTTAAAATGTATTTCATATAGCAGGAACATTGTTGGCCCTCCCCCCAAAAAACTAAAGAAATAAAAAACCTATAATCCAATCATTATAACCCAAATTCTGAAAACCTGATGTTTCCTTTTAGTCCTGTTAGAGTGCATGCAATCAAACATCAGGACCAAAGCCCTGCTTTTGATCTATGCATCAGATAATGACCCAAAGCCAAAAAGAAAATATAAAAACATATCTCCAACACATGTTCATAGTCATAGTCTTTTTAAATACCAGGAAGTTACAGAGCCATCAAGAATATACAACAGCAATGGTAAGGCTTATGGTTAACATTATATATACATCAGAAAATAGAGATTTAGGAAAGCATCCCAAATACTTAGGCTTTCTGGCGATTCTGTACCAGAATTCTTTCATTCCCTTTTTGATGCTGTGATTCCCTAATGTCCATTTCACAAAAGATCTTTCTCAAGTAGAGCTAAGAATGTAGAATTGTTTGGATAATTGCCATTTACACTCCAACTTTAACCTTTCCAAGGCCTTGGTCCAATTTTGTGATTTATTTAAAACAATAACTATTTTTTTTTCTGTTTACACGAGTTCATTGCTAACTCAGGCATTTGATTTTTAATTTTTGTTTAATTCCTAGGTAATGGCTAAGATATCTTAAGTGCCAGGATAAACAATGCCAGGTAATATGTAGTTCTGGCACTTTATGTTCCTAACTTATATACTTGACAGGAATAAGACTTCTTGGGACACCACTCTGTAAAGAGTTTTGCTTACGGGGTTTGCTTACTCAGGGTACCAGCATTCAGCTGCAGTTGTTAGAATAATGTGTGCACATCCACACACAGCCATGCAACTGTAATATAAAGGGTGTTTCTGGTATTTATTATTATTATTAATTTAATTGATAAATGAAAATTGTGTATATTGTGTACAGCCTGATGTTTTGAAATATGTATACATTGTGGAATGGCTACATCAAACTAATTTGCATATGCATTACTTCACATACTTTTTTTGTGGTAAGAACATTTAAAATGTACTCTCTTAGCAATTTCCAAGTATAAAACCCATTGTTGTTACCTATAATTACCATGTTGTGCAAGATGTCTCTTGAATGTATCCCTCCTGTCTAACTGAAATTTTGTATCCTTTGACTAACATCTCCTCTAACCCTTCTCTCTACCCCAGCCCCTGGTAACCACCATTCTACTCAATGCTTCTATGAGTTCTGTTTATTTAGATTTCACATATAAGTGAGATCATTCAGTATTTGTTTTTCTGTGCCTGGCTTTTTTTCACTTAATATAATGTCCTCCGGGTTCATCCACATTGTTGCAAATGACAGGATTTCCTTATTTTTTAAGGATGAATAGTATGCCTTTGTGTACATATCACATTTTCTTTATGCATCCAACCATTGATGGACATTTAGGTTAGCTCTGTATCTTGGCTGTTATGAATAATGCTGCAATAGACATGAGAGTGTGGATAGCTCTTTGACACACTGATTTCATTTCCTTTGGATATAAGCCCAGAAGTTGGATTGCTGGTCATAAGGTAGTTCTATTTCTAATTTTCTGGTATTATCTTATTTTTCATCATTTCTCCATCAATTCAACAAATATTGAATGTCAACTATGTACTACTTTGGGAAACAGCAGAGGAAAAAACACAAACACCCCTGCCTTCATGGAGCTTAATTCTAAGATCTTTTCTTTTAGCCTCTTGGGCTTTCTTTAGTCCTTTGCTCCTTTGCTTCAATTCCCACTATTTGGTTTTGACAACAGTAGCAGATAATTCTTTGCATGCTGTGGCCCATCAGGATTATAGTTTTGGCATTACTTGTTTTAGGCTGTATTGACTATACATGTCTCATCCTTAAAATATAGCCCAAACATATGTTCATTACTCTTTAAATGTGATATGGTTTCTCTCTTTACAGCCTTTGCAGTGGAGGGGTTTTGTTAATGAAATGTGTAATGGGAACATTTTTTTGAATGAAGAAAATTGGGATTATTTCAATTTACCGTATATGCCAGAACATCTATCTATTTTGACCATCAGTTAATGAATTGATGGGTCGATTAATGTTTTACAGAGGCTAGTTTTTTCCTGGTATATTGTCTTTTACTTTTTTCATGTTCAAACATATAATCTGTGGCCCACTGATGTTTCTCTTTGCTGTTGTAATAAATGCTAATGATAGTATTTGGAGTCCAGTGGTCATAGTGTGGACTTGTATGTTTAAATACGACTGATGGGCATCATGTAAAGCTCATGGCTAGGTTTTTAATTCTCCTCAAGGATGATTAAAAGAGTGTATATTTCACTTTTTGCACTAAATTGGTAGCAACCTATCCTGTGCTAGGTGGAGCAGAAGCAAGGACATCCTAAAATATTAATTGTTTCTGTAGGTAGTGGTGGTTTTATGAAGTATTGAGAAGATGGGTATAGTGATCAAGATTAAGTGGAATTTCTCTGCCATATAGAGAGAAATTCTCAGAAATGTTAATGGTATGTTCATCCCTGCAATCACAGTGAGATTAACAGGAAATGGAGAAATCTTTACTAATTAACTAGGTTCAAAAAATAGGGGAACACACCAGCCCTTTCTTGTTTTAAAGGGCAATTTTTTGAAGCACTACTGATGACTGCCCCATCATTCCACCCTAAAAAGGCAATTAGTTGTTCCTATCATATATATGCATTCCAGGATGGAGAGCTATGTAGGAATGTAATTTGAAGCAAAAATCAGTTGAGAAGTCATGAATTGCAATTGTAAATGAAAGTTATGGATTGCAGCTAAAAACAAGTTTTGTCCATATGTATGAATATGAAACAAATTTTGGAATATGCCTCTGTTTTCTAAACAGCAATTCCAAATAATTTCTTTGATTTCTTAAAATTCATAGTAGGATGAGTTCCTTCATTGATTATGGGGCTGAACTGAATAAAACTAATAATGTAAAATAATTAAAAATGATAAAACAGTAGCATTTGTGGAATGCTTTTCATTTGTCAAGCATATGCAAAATATCAGTTATTTTATTTAACTTTTATTTTAACTCTATGAGATGAAGACATTTTAATATCTCTTAATAGCTGAGGAAACTGAGGCATGGAGAGATTGAAAAAAACATTCCCAAACTCCCGTAGTCAGTATTTGGACTGGGGCTCTGTAGCCCATATTTGTAACCATCTTTTTTACAATGCCTCTTGGACTTTGGCAAGAGAAAAGGAAATTCTATATTCTTCTTTTTTTTTTTAATCTCATATCGTTTATTCAAAGGTCAAATTCACATCTCTTGCAGATGGACATTTTGTGGTTCTTTCTGGAGGATGGTTCATGATTCTTTTCAAAGACATCTTTGACTTAAGGTGCTCATATATCCAACTTCCAAAGTTGCCCCATCTGAGGAGCTTAAAATTATCTGATGCTTACTTGCAACCTTTTTAGTAAATGCCCATCTGGCTTAGGGTAGCTTTGGTATTTCATATTTAGTAAAAGTGTCTGCTACCTGTCTTTAGAAAATATCTTGGTTTTATGTCTCCCAGACTGCTTTTTGCTAAAGGCAAAGTGTGGAATGGAGAGTGGTGGAATTTCACTGTGCTATAGGAATTAGGTGCAACTACTACATTAAAAGCAATAGCAGCTGCTATAAATCTGAACTCTGTTTGGGGGAAGAAAAAGAATAAAAGTAAAACATGTGACAGGATAGGCTGCAAATTGCCAAGGGGAAGACACTTTCCTTAAAGAAATAATTAAGACTTTCTACAAAGAAATCATTTTTTATTTTGGATTGCACTTAAAATGTGAAGGTATAATTCAGATTTCTAAATAATGAATCATTCAATTTCTCCAAAGACATTTCATCTTCTTCAGGGCACTTCTTTTTTCCCAATATTAAAAAAAATTCTTAATAAAGTAATTCATGTTTATCGTAGAAAATCTAGAAATACATGAATAACCCAAATAGCATAATACAGAAATAACTACTGTTAACATTTTAGTATATGTCCTTCCAATATTTATTTTACACATATACAATTTTTAATATAATCTGTTCTCTTCAATTATCAATATATCACAGAATCTTTCCATCTCATCAAATATTATTTGACAACATTGTTTTTAATGATTGTTTAATATTCTGTGTATGAGTATTTCATATGTTACACAGATCATTATACTGGAAATTGAGGTCGTTTCCAGTTTTACACTGTCATAAGCAATGCTGCCATGAACATTACGTAGCTGATTCTTAGTATGCATTCATGATTATTTTTCTTAGGATAAATTCCTATAATTGGACATGTTGATACCAAGGGTTTGTAAAATATACTGATGAATTGCTCCTCGAGAAAGATACCAGTTTACATTCACAAAAATATAATGTTTTACATGTAAATGTTAAAAAATTGGCATTTCTGATCATTCTTTAGAGTAGCTTTGGCGAACTGTTATTTCTATACCAGTAAAGCTGGGCCCTTTATCTGTGCATCTGGTGGACAGTAGATGAGCTGAGACAGCTTATAAGTCATCTTTCCATTCATTTCCATCTCTACCTCAGGCTTTATATTTTGCTTTCCTGTACTTTGGTAAGGTTGGGACAAAAGAGAGAGAAATGGTAGGGGAGCAGGATGGAGAAAGAAGTAAACACACTCTCCTAAACTGGACTCTTGTGGAAATAGTGATTTCCCTGTGATAGACTTATTACAAGGGAGAAAAAAAAGCTGCTTCTTATTTTCATTCATTCATTATTGCATGTCCCATACCTCTTCTTTTTTTGTTTCTCTTTTGAGATGAAGTCTTGCTCTGTCGCTCAGGCTGGAGTGCAGTGGCATGATCTCAGCTCACTGCAACCTCTACCTCCCAGGTTCAAGCAATTCTCCTGCCTCAGCCTCCCAAGTAGCTGGGACTACAGGCACACGCCACCATGCCTGGCTAATTTTTTTTTATTTTTATTTTTTGTATTTTTAGTAGAGACAGGGTTTCACCATGTTGGCCAGGCTGGTCTTGAACTCCTGACCTCAGGTGATCCGCCCTCCTCGGCCTCCCAAAGTGCTGGGATTACAGGCATGAGCCACTGCACCCAGCCCTGTACCTCTTCTTAATGTAGAGAAATGCAGCTGTTTCAGATTTCATAGCAAGATTTATTTATTTATTTATTTATTTATTTATTTATTTATTTATTTAGAGACAGAGTTTTGCTCTTGTTGCTCAGGCTGGAGTGCAATGGCGCAGTCTTGGCTCTCCGCAACCTCTGCCTCCTGGGTTCAAACTATTCTCCTGCCTCAGCCTCCCAAGTAGCTGAGATTATAGGCATGCACCACCACACCCAGCTAATTTTGTATTTTTAGTAGAGACAGGGTTTCTCCATGTTGGTCAGGCTGGTCTCAAACTCCCGACCTCAGGTGATCTGCCCACCTTAGCCTCCCAAAGTGCTGGGATTACAGGCGTGAGCCACTGCACCCGGCCAGCAAGCTTTATTAGTGTATATTTTCAGCGTGCCTTTATTTTGACTTGCTGACTGTAATAAGCCCCGGTTTATTCTCAGTATGATATCTTCATTGGTATATTTTAGTGGTGGAAGAACTGTATCAAAACATCAAACCCACCACCCCCACTCCTAGGAGAGAAGATGACTTTGGACCTGCGAAATATACTCTGATCATGGATTTGTTAATATCATTAGGATGTCTTTACAGACTATAACCAAGCCAACCAACAATCTCATTCATATGAAGTTAGAATAATCTTAACAGGCCTGTATTTTGGAGAATTGTAGCCTGAAGTTGGCCAAAGTAACATGCGGATACCCAAAAGAAACATCTTCCCAAACAAGAAAATTCAAAGTTCTTGTTCACTTATATTTCAAAGAAGTGGATATAATGATGAAAAGAAAGCAGGTTAACCTTTTCTGACCATACAAAGTTTCTCTGGCTCTTCGAAATAATAGTAAATACTTCTCAACTCTGTCTAGAGATAGAACTTCTAATTAAGTCAAATCCAAGAAAGAGAATTGTGCAATGCAGTGGTTCCCAAATTCTGATAACATTGAAGTGCTAGGAATTTGGCCGAGCTGCAGCAGAAGGTTCTGGGGATGGAGGTACTCCTCCTTCAGCCAGAGCAGCCATGCTTTTTTCTGAGCTCTACCTTGAACCTCTTTCTAAGTGCTCACTCAAAGGGAGACTTCCTCAGCAATAATAATAGTGACAACAACAACAATAGAGAAATACCAGTATAACTGTAAAAATGTGATCTGATAATGATTACAATATGGCCAGAATGTTCACCCAGTCTTAGACACTAGCACTGAAAGATGTTCTGATACTCTTGCAGACTATTTTTTGGAAGTAAGATTAGAAATGCCCTCCTGCCTAGCACAAAATAGGTACCCAATAAATGTTTGTGAAATTAATGAATAAGCTATTGGATGAGAAAGGGAAGAGTGTTGGACCAGCGGTTTAAAGACCTAGAGATCCAAATCCTGATTTCTTGAGGGACCTTGGGTTTTTCTCTGAGCCTCAGTTTCTGAAACTTTCTGAGGAGTGTAAAATTAGTTTTAAGATGCCATCCAATTCTACCTGGAATTATGACTAGAAAAATGTAGGCTGTGTTAGAAAGGAATTAGAAAGAGAAAGAGCAAGTTACAAATTCTGAAGGTCAGGCAGGTAAATAAAGATCAAGCTACCAACAGCAACTACAATACCCAGCACAGCCTGCCCTGAAACCTGTATATCACTTTGCTGTTCACAAAGCATTTGACACATTCTTAGAATACCTTCAGGCCCATTTTATAAGTGACAAAACTGAGGTTCAGCAAGGCAAGTCATTTTCTTAATGTCACCCAGTGGCAGAACTGACACTGGGAATTGAGTCTTCAGATAACATCACCCCATGGACTCAAATATATAGAAAGCTTTATAACCTGGTCACCCAGGTGGCAGGGACACATAAAGTGGCAAAAGGATTCTACTGAGTTGGGGTGGCCTAGTTCTCCTCTCCCAAGAAGGAGGCCCATAACCTAAGTCTCTTAATTTCCGATCCAGAGTTTTATGCATGAAACTTTATGGCCTCTTGAAAGGTGAATGAGTAGGTTTGATTCATTGGAAGTCAGAAACAGCTTTTTAAACATTTGGAAATCAAGATAGGTAGTTAGTCTGCCTTGTAAAATTTTCTTATGGATATCACTACCAGAAAAATTTATCTTAGCTTAGTATATTGCAAAGCTTATTCAGTCCCATCACACGTTCAGATTCAGTCATTGTTAGTTGAGAGTTTTAGCATTAATCCTAGCCATATCTTCATTCATGTGTTCTTGGAAAGTAACAATTTGTTTTGCTATCACCAAATTCCACCCATGTAAAATGGGTCACTAGGATGTCAAATTTTATAAGGTTATTTATACCACCACTCTCTTTTTGGACTGCAGTTTTGCAGGTTATTTTTCTTCTGTGTATTAATAAGAGGAGTTCAGAGTACTGAATTTTGTTTATTGAAGAAATTGGCACTGTGAATCCTGAGTAAACAAAAAATACAAAATGTGAAATATTGAAATAGTTTATCTAGCCATGAAAGGGTACATTCTAGTTTTATAATATGAATCAAGAAAATCTTATAATGAAAAATGTTCTTCATTTCCTAGTTTATTTGTAAGATGATGTAATCTATACACATAACTTAAAAAAATCAACCAATTATACTTTAATAATCTTATATGAGTGTATATATGTACATGTATTATATATAAATATTAAATATACACACATTCCACCTTAATAATCAACTATTAATGCCTTTTCTTTAAAAAACAGTCTTATCCGATACCTGTCGTTTTTAGGTATATGGACAAGATAACTTTATACATATTAAAATTAGTTAACAAATAGCAGCTGCATGTTCACTAACATACTAATAACTGTAAGTTCTTTCTTGTCCTAATTATTTCTAATAATCTCTGTGGAGACTTATATCTCAAAAAGCACATATGTGTTGATGATAGAAAGCAGGTTGAAAAGTACTGATTTATTGCCACTCTTCATTAAGGTTAAAAGCATTCCAGTGAGATGAAGACATCTGCCTTGTATTTTCACATTGCAGAAGAAAAGTTAAGGGCAGGAAGAACAAAAAGAAAGAAAATAATGTTTCAAGTTGAATTCAAAGCCAGGTTTAAAGAAAATAGTTCTTGTTTCATATCTGTAAAACTTTTTGGGAAAGAATCCCCCATGCCCATGACTGTCACTTACTATTATGCTATTCAATATACTTAATACTATATATTGACAATGGAAATCATGCTCTGTGTCCCTAAATTATTTTTCAAAATTTTACACAAAGTTAATGAACACACATATCTCTTAATAGTTCCTTTCTTTTAAAAAATTAACAAAGAAAGCTACTACCAGAGAGAATTAAGAGGGTTAATTATACAATGTACAGGAAAAAGATTTTTGAAATGGGCCATTTCTCACCTCTTCTTTGAAAGGTGGGACTGGCTATAGGGTTTAGTGAATAGTTACTTGCTGTTTTGGAAATCAAAGGAAAAGGCCACTGGAGAGAGGGTGAATTTAGCTGTTGCAGGATTTTTATCTCTCTAAATGAGTGCTACTGACAGGAACCATATATGATACTTACTCCAGCTGTGGAAGAGAACATGGGTGGTTTTCCAAGGAGCTGTCACCTGCCTATGTATGCTTGTCTATCTGTGAGCTCATAGACAAATCAGATATATTTATGATTTCTGGTGTATAATAAACACTTAGAGCTACATGTAAGCTTGGGGACTGTGTGTTTCTCTCATTTAAAAAGGATTATATGTGAATATCCAGGTTGCCTTTGCCTTAGAATTACAATCAGTCTTTGTACTTAGTGGTGTTTGTCACTACACAAAAACATTTGTGAATGCATGAGGCCCCCTTTGAAATGACAGAAGAAAGATAAAGTAGTTCCTGATTAAGCCTGTATTTATTAGCCCACTCAAAAATAAGGAACAATTCAAGCAGAGCTGATCACTCAAACCAATAAGTTAAGTATTTCACTTAGGTAACCAAATGCATTTACTTCATACTGCAGTGTCAGGTTTCTTGAACAGCAGATATTTTCCCAGGAAAAGCAGACGCAAGTGACATTTTAATTTGCATTTCTGTGGTATATCTTTTTCCCAACCTTTTGCTTTTAACCTACCTATATCATTTTACGTGAAGTGAATTTCTTGTAGAAAGCATACAGTCAGGGTTGAGGGAACATTGATTTTTTTTAAAATCCATTTTGATAATCTCTGTTTTTGATTGATGTCTATAAACCATTTATATTTAATACAATTATTGATATGTTTATACTTGTCTGTATTTTTATTTTTAATTGTGTGTGTTCCTTTTGTTTTTCATTAATCTGTTTTCCCCTTTCCTGGCCTCTTTTGGATTATCAAAACTTTTTAAATTATTTCATTTTAATTTATTGTGCTGTTGACTATATCTCTTTGTGTAGGTTTTTAGTGGTTACTCTAGGGACTGTATTATATATCCATAACTTCTCATAATCTACTTAAAATCAATACTTTACCATATTAGGTGGAATGTAGGAACCATACCACCATATTGATCCTTTTATACTCCTTTCCCATGATGTTATGCTTGTCATATATTACAGCTATGCACATTGAGAACTCTATCAAGACAATGTTAGAAATGTTTCCTTCTCAACCATTAAACATCTTTTAAAAAGAGAATAATCTATCTATACCCTCATGTTTGCCATTTCTGTTGCATTCCCATTATTTATGATATTCCAAGTTTCCTTCTGCTATCATTTCCTTTTTTTCTGAAAAACTTCCTTTAGTAATAAATCAGCTTAGTTTTCCTTCATCTAAGAATGTTTATTTCACCGTCACTCTTGAAGAATATTTTCTCTAGATACAGAATTATGTGATAGTTTTTTTTTTTTTTTTTTTTTTTTGAGCACTTGAAAACTATTGAGCCACTTCCAATTATTCTCTATGGTTTCTGATAAGAAATCTGCAGTCGTTGTTCGAATCCTTGTTCTCCTGTAGATAATATGCTATTCTTCTCTGGCTGCTTTCAGGATTTTTTTTTTCCTGTAGTTTTCAGCAGTTTGCTTATGATGTGGCTAGGCATGAATTTCTTGGAGTTTATTCTATAGAGGGTTCTTTGAGCTTCTTGATGCTTTAGGTATGTGTTTTTCACCAAACTTGAAAAAATTTCAGTCAGTATATTTTTCAATTATTTTTAGCACCATAGTTTTTTCTACTCTTCTTCTTGAGCTCTAATGACATGAATGTTAGGTCTCTTTTTAGTATCCCACTGATACCTGAATCTCTTAATTTTTAAAATCTTATTCTGTCTGTTGTTTAGTTTGCATAATTCTGTTAATCAATCTTCACATTAATAAACTCTTTTCTTTGTAATCTCCATTCTAGTAAATCCATCCAGTGAGTTTCTTATTTAACTTATAGCATTTTTGGTGCTAAAATTTCTATTTGGATTTTCTTTATATTTTTTGTTTTACTGCTGAGACTTTCTATTTTTCTATTTGTTTTAAGAGAGCTTATAATTGTTTGTTGGAGCATTTTTATAATGGCAACTTTAAATTCTTGTGTTGTCTTGGCATTTGGTGTCTGTTGATTGTCTTTTCCTATGTGAGTTGCATTTTCCTGGTTCTTCATGTGCCAAGTAATTTTAGATTATATGCTGAAAATTTTGAATATTGTATTACGAGACTCTGGGTCTCGCTTAAAGCCTGTGGAGAATATTGATATTTTGTCAGCAGGCAAGTGACCTGATAATGTTCATGGCACAAGTTTAAACTTGCCTTCTATGGGCTGTGGTCCCAGTGTCAGTGAACTTTTTAATGCCCAGTGCTATTCAGATTTGTCCCTTGGGTATGCCCCCCAGTGACAACTCTGAGAACTGAGTGGGAATCTCTCTATTCACCTTCTGAAGTCTTGTATGTGCTGATTAGAATGAGATCCATGCATGTGCAGTTCTTGGAATCTAGGAGTTAATAAATAATCTTACAGGGCTGCTTTCATAAACTCACCCTCTCTGCAATCTCCCAGTACTTTCTGATTTCTGAGGACTCCCCTTTTAATGCTTCCGGTGAGAAAGCTGGGGTTCTGCCATGCACTTCTGCAGCTATGCCTGCCTCCAGGGCCATGTGGTGGGAAAGAAAGTAAGGGTAAGCTCATACTAGCTCAGTGCTACTTTGAAATTCAGTCCTCTTCCCAAATTTGCTATTTATTATTATTTTTTCAAAGCTCTCAAATGAACTCTGCACATGTTCTCTCGATGCTTTATAGCTGCATTCAGTAGGGTGGAGTGTGTTTTCTCCATCTTACCCAAGAACCCGAATCTTGGGAGTGACATTTTAAAATGATATATTTTGTTATATTAAACTTGTCAGTTAAATTTCCAGGTGTAGTGTTCTCAATAATTGAGGACATTCAATTTTCAGATAGTTAAGTCCTAAATCCCTTAATGTTATAAGGAATGTCATGCTTAAGTAATGAACCAGGAAATAGCTGTTGCAAAATCAATATAGGGTCATATAACAAGATAGGCATGACAGTATAGATTTATTCATGTACCTGCGTAGGATACATATGCAACTCTACAATTTGCTCATTCTGATTCTTGTGGCATGTCCGCATGGTGGTTCCATAATGTATCATCATATGATACCATAATGTGGAATGTTTCTTCTGTTATGTGAATGTGAGAGTGCACACACACACATTCTCACACACAGCTATGTTTTTAAAAATGATCTGTTTGGAACTAGATTGCTCTAAAACAGTAGTTCTCAAACTTCAGTATTTCTGACCTTTAGAGGTTTTGATTCATTACTTCTGAGATCGGGCCTAAGAATGTGCATTTCTAAAAGACAATACCAGATGATGCCAATGCTGCTGGATTCAGAACTACTCTTTCAGAATGGCTACCACAAAGAAATGAACAAATACCCCAGAATTTTATGTGAGCCACCAAAAGGCAGAAATTGAAATGTGTGACTTTCTATTCATTTTTGGAGATTTACCAAGCAGAAATCTCTTTTGGCTTTGTGTTGATTTCTTATTATAATACTTTACATTTTAAGTTTTGATGAACACAAGTACTTGCAGTAAGTTCAATGGCTATTACGTATATAAGTATATACACACTAAACCCATATGCAGTATATCATACTAATAATACAAGTTGAAATAAGAATAATTCATCCAATTAAATAATTTGGTTTCTTCAGTGTCAAAACTTTTCAGAATTATCTAAAGTAAGTAAAGAATGGTTTTTAGATTTTTTTAAATGTCAGAAAGGAGGAAGAAGAAGAGGAGGAGGAGGAGCCATAGAATGTATATGTGGCCCACAAAGCACAGAATATCTATGATTCAACCATTTATGGAGAAAGTTTACTGGCGCAGATGTAGAACATGGTCTGGTTAATCAAAGCAATGCATCAAGAGATGGTAGGGTAGCGATTAAAACTATGGTTTTTGTTGTCAGATTGCCCTTGTTCAAATCCTGAGTTCACTAACCACTTATGTAACCTTGGACAAATTAACACAATGTTTCTGTGCATCTGTATCCTCATCTACAAAATGTAGATGATAAAAGTCCCCAACTCATAGGGCTATTATGTGATTTAATTAGTTAATACATGTAAAGTGCTTAGAATAGCACCTGGCATATAGTCAGCATCAAATAGACATTAGCTACAATTGTCTACTTGATAGAATACTGTGGAAACATTAAAAGTGATTTTGTACCAAGCATTCATAAAATATATGTAAATGTTTCTATGTAATATTAACAAGAAAGAAAGCAAAGCACAAAATGGCTCACAATACTTTGTAGAATAAGTAAAACATGAAAGCTATGCACTGGAATCAAAATACAGGAAGGAAATACTCCAACTTATCAGCAGTGGTAGTGCTAGTTTGATGTGGCTATGGATGATTTTCCCCCTTCTGCCTTTCTGCATTTCCCAAATTTTCCAAAATACACTGTGGATTTCAGCTTACTGGCTGTACCTCAGGAGTAGTGTATGCCTCTGCCAAGGTGCTTATCTCTGAGATAGAATAACAAGATGAGCTAAGGTCGTAGTGCTCACCATATTTCTGCCAGTATTTATTTTGGTCCCTCTAAGTCGGGGCCTTCACATTCTTTGTGCACAGTTGTATTTAATTAGGACTTGAGCTAGTCATAAAATATGCATTAATTGTCTGTTGTTTCATGAGTGATGGCCAAAATAACAGCCCTTGATAGGAACAGTTTGGGGGTGAGCACCACTTGGTCTGTTCATCTTCCAAGACTCCCTGCCCAAGTAAGAGATTCCTATTTGTTATCTCCTTTTATCCTGGAGAATTACTAATCCTGCACTACCATATTAAGTACTAATTAAGCAGAGATTTGTCATTCCTGCCTGAGAACATTGAGCTGGGCTGCGGCTGCATATTTCACAGACTTCTGACAGAAATTATTTTAATTAGACTGCTGCTAGCAGCATTTAAAATAGTCTGTATGGTCAGAGAGGAAGAATGGCTCCTCAGTCAGATAATTTACTTATTTTTCTTTTTCACTCACCATAAATCTTAGGATTCTGGTTATTAAACCCTTGAAGGGGGAGGGGTAGTCAGGGAAAGGAATCAGCTAAACTTTATCTTACTTTAAATCCCAGAAAAGAAAAACCTCCCATGGGTTTGCTGAAAAAGACACTTTTAAAAGAAAAAGATGTTCAAGCAAAATCTGACACCAACAGGCTATTTTTACATGACGAATATCCAAAATGTCTAAACAATAAAGAGAATCCATGCATCTTTTATATATGAATAAGGTGGTTGGTCCTTTCCTTTTCACTTGTTATGCCCCCAAAACTGATGTCATTATTTGATAATTACTAGGTTAACCTGACACTGAAAAGCAAACTAAATAAATAACAACTAAATGGAACTCCACACTCAGTATACCTCAATTAATCAGAACACAAGTTTTGCAGTTTTACAGGGATATATTCAATTTTATGTATCCATTGACTAATATGAGAAACTGGATGAGTACAAGCTCTTTTTCTCTTTAAAAAATTTTTTTTAACAATCAATAAACATCTTTTATTATCTACATATAGATTAATGACAAACATATCTCTTTGTATGCATTTAATTCTATTACAAAATAGAACCGAAAGGTGACCAGAAGTGAAAGAGTGGAATGAGACCAGAGAGATGGTGGCCACACTCACTGGCACACCTGAGATGGTCAATCCTTCCACACTTAGGTTATGACTGTGTGTACTCCAGGAAGCAGTGAGAAGATGGGCACATGGCCAGGAGAAATGGCAATGGAACTGAAACCTGGACTCTACCTTAAAACAGTTATTGGGTAGGAATTAACAGTAATTAGCATGGTAATTAACTCACAGTCTTTATCTGACTTTTTAACTCTTCAAAGCCAAATTCTTAAAAGTTTTAATTTCTCACAAGTAATTTTGAATGCATTTCATTGTTTCTGATTAATAGTGCTTATCAGAATTTTAGTATCACACACATAGCAAATTTGCATTGGCTAATATACAAGTTCCAAATAAGAGCTTGTAAGTTCAGTTGTCAGTAAAACCCAAGTGATGGAAGGGTATGAACTTGCGATCCAAGATAAAATTCTGCCATGCTTTAAAACCAGCTGTTCTCTTCTCCTTTAGAAGAAGATACCAGATATATGCCTTGTCTGGTATCTTCTTCTAAAACAAACCAATTCTATCTACATTGAAAATCTGTGGAGGGAAGTCACGTTTCTTAACGATCTACCCAAACATCTTGGGAAACAATTTAGCAGCCACAATATCTCATACTCTGTGCCAGTGTTTACTTTCACCATATGTAGATTCATGTGACCCTTGAAACTGAAGAACCAACCGTAAGTGGTAAAAATACATTTTATCAGGTGCACTATCACCATGAAGTCAGCAACAAACCCTGAGATTTCTTCTGAATCATTATCAGATTAATAGGATGCAAATCTTGAGACTGATCCTCTAGTCCAGTGGTTCTCAAAGTGTGCCCTCAGAACAGCAGCATCAGTATCACTTGGTAATTTGTTAGAAATGCAAATTCTTGGCCCTCACCCCAAGCCTGGTAAATCAGAAGCTCTGGAGGTTGAGCCCAGCAAGCTGTAGTTTGATAAAACCTTCAAGTGATTCTGATGCTAAAATTCGAGAACCATTGCTATAGCCCAAATTTGATTGTATATTGTAATCATATGGGGAGCTTTAGAAATTGCTGATGCCTGTGTCCCAGTTCTAGAAGTTCTAATGTAACTGGTCTGGAATATGGCCCCAGAACCAGTATTTTTTAAAAGCTCCTTGGGTGATTCAAATGTGCAGTGAGAGCTGAAAACCACTGTAATAGCCCAAACAAAAATGGCTCCTATTTTATCAGTTTCTTGGCAATAATTGTCTGTTGCCTAGATGCGTAGCTTTCCATACATCAAATAAATACTCATTGTCCTTCTGAATTATTCGTACTGTCAAACGTTTCATTCCATTAAATCAGTGATACTTATTTTTTCATTTTTCAGTGGTAAGTGGTGGGCAGGTAAAGGGTCTTTTAACTTGTTCTTCAAGAACATGTAGTAGCTACAGCCTTTGGATTCACCTTGTATTTCAGATGTCTGTGGGCTTTCAGGTGGGAAACCTCTCAAGTAAGTCATGAAGCATTAAAATTCAATTAAAGATAAAATAATAGGGTTGTGGCTACTTCATACAGGGAAGACTAGCCCATATGCGTGAGTGAGGAATTCAGGTGAAAAATATTCATTTTTATGGCTCAATATTTTAGCAAATTTTTAGAATATATACTTAAATATATTTGATCTGGTTCAATAAGTCAGAATGTTTGGAAATAAAAGACTGAATAATATTCCAATTAATTGAGTATTGACCAGAAAATTTAAAAGGTAGGAGGAAAAATCCTTATTTAAAAAATTTTTATTCAAAAGAGACACTAACCTTAATATGATATATTCTGGATAGCATATGAAGGAATCCCACATGGAAGGATCAACTGAGTCATTTTAAACACGTATTATTTCTCATGTGTACTTTTTTTAAAAAAATGCATTAGAAGACTAGGAGAAAACTAGACATAATAGTTTTCTATCATCATGGAGATGTTGTGAGAATCATGTAAGATAATACATTGCAAAGTCCTTAGGATGGAACCTATGCATGGCTTCCAAATAAAAGTTAACTAAAATATTCACAACATGATTTAAAATTTGTTTTCAGAATTTATATATTTTGTTCAAATAGATAACCCAAACTCAGTTTTGAAAATTTATGAACTAAAATAGAAAACATGAAGATGCTATTTTTATAGATAATCACATTGATAATAATATAATTTAGAAATTTTTAGTACATTTTAAAAGGGGAGGGTTAATCTTTTTTTTCTTTTAAAATCTTTTTTTTTAATTTTATTATTATACTTTAAGTTTTAGGGCACATGTGCACAACGTGCAGGTTTGTTACCTATGTATACATGTGCCATGTTGGTGTGCTCCACCCATTAACTCGTCATTTAGCATTAGGTATATCTCCTAATGCTATCCCTCCCCACTCCCCCCACCCCGCAACAGTCCCCGGTGTGTGATGTTCCCCTTCCTGTGTCCATGTGTTCTCATTGTTCAATTCCCACCTATGAGTGAGAACACGCGGTGTTTGGTTTTTTGTCCTTGCGATAGTTTGCTGAGAATGATGGTTTGCAGCTTCACCCATGTCTCTCTTTTTTTTTTAATCAGTGAGAATCTCACCTAAGGCGTGAAGCTCACCCTTCTCTCTGCCCAGTCTCAAGTCTTCATGGAGCCTGCCCTGACGCCCAGCCTGCTGAGACCTTTCATTCTCTAGTCAAACGTTTCATTCCATATTGATGAATTAGGTTTTTTTTTCTCAGCACTTTTACTACTTTAGCTCTTTCACATTAAAAAAAGTTTATTTATTTCCATTATAATCATACTTTAGCATCTTCGTGATTTTCAGTGCTTTTGTGTTTATCAGCTACGATGGGATGAATAATATTTATCAGTTTTTCAAAATGAAGTACAGATACCCTGAACGTACTTCCATGCCGTCTATTAGTGGTAGGCATATTGACCCAGTTCTGCTTTGGAGGATCATTTTGTTCTTACATCAAAAATTTTCCATTAGACAACCTACTTTACATGATTTATTTCTACATTTCCATTGGGAATTACATTTAGGCAGGACAAACAGTATATATATAGGTGGAGCTACACACAGACCAATTTTCACCATAAGACCCCCACACAAGGTCCTTTGTACTTATATCAATATCCCACTATTCATTGATCTATTCAACTTATATTCACTGAGAAGACACCACACATTGAATTAACCATTTAAGTAATAGTACGGTATTACCCATGCCATTGATGGTAGTTCAACAGAAATTAGAAAACAGCTACCATTATAAGCCAGTTTGATAGAAATTTAATTAAGAAAGAATGTCCATACAGCCATATTTTAGGATTCTTCTTATGTAGTGATGGTGGTACATGGTGTTGACCCCCCACAGAATGGTATGGCATGAAGGCACCCACTTTTCACTGCCACAAAACTAGGGCTTGGTGGCTTAGCCCTCTGCCCTCTGATATATAGTCCCAACCCAATTAATTAGATACTTATCGAACATTTAGCAAATATATATTAAGCATCTTCCATTAGAAGGCATGGTACTGTTCCCAAGTTGCCAAGCTGTAATGAGAGAAAAGAACTGTTCCTGGTATATTACTACAGACAGGCATTGGTGGCCCCAGTTGGGTCTGGGCTAATGCATTCCAATTTCCTGGGTAGCCATACCCACTTGACCATGCCTGGATTATTTGGTGTTAGGAGTTGCTGAGAAGCATGCAAATAAATGCATTGTATATTATACCCCAGGTTTCACCCTGTGTGAAGTAAAGAAATGGAGACATTTTTAATGAAAGAGGTTATTCACTGGCTAGTGATCCAATGAGATTTGGGGAATGTCTGCTATCTGACTCTCCTTTCTGGTGAAAAGTCAAGAATATGCACATGGGAAGATTATAATCCGAATTAGCATTCAGACTGACTTCAGCACTCCCTTTTCCAGTCCCTCAAAACAAAACAACCCATTGTTTTCCTGGTGCAGTGGTGCTCCTCGGCCCTCTCGGGAGGTTAGGATCCACTCGGTGGCTCTGACCTATTTCTCAGCTTCAGGAGGTTAGAGGTTGATTGTGTTTGGTGCCCCGAGTTTCCATGATTCTTGCCCCTCAACTTAAAACACTGTGTTTTGAAGTTAACACAACTGAACTGTGGGCGCGTGGCCAATGTGGAGGCTGGGGAGAGAGGGATGGGTGTCAGGGGGATGTGGCCAGGAGGAAATAAGAGCAAATTCCTCCAAAACGATGTGACAGGAAATGACAGAGTATCAGCCTCCTACCACCTCACTCGGCCGCTTACGAAGGGAAAAGTCCTTCCTAATCACAGAGCTGTGCCAGAGCGCAGTAGGTGAGGATGATGAAATAATAAAGCATTTCCCGTATGTGTTTTTCATTAGGACTGTTTTGTTTTTCTTCCAAGTGCTGGGGAAACAGAACAGAAGCCCCGCTTCAACCGGCACCACAGCGGCCGCCTCCCCTGGGAATAGCAGCTGCGCTAATAGGAGGGGTGCCCTTGGTGGAATGGGTTCTAACACCTTCCTAATGGAAATAATGATTTGTAAAGCTCTCTTTATACCCTTTGCTGCATAATTAGTAGCCCAGAGAGCTACAGATTAGAAACGCTGTTCTTACTCCCAACATTTTTGAAAATTTGGCAAAACATTAAATGTTCCGTTCTGAGAGCCAAACAGGTAGAGGTCTTTGAATAGTCCCAGCCCTGGCTGGTGGTGCTGGCCCTGAATCACTCAACACTTATTACATAGAAATTAACTGGCTTGATGTCAATTAGTGAGAATTTGTTAGCAGACATATCCAATGGACCTCCCCTAACCCAGTTTGGTAGTTATTGTGGAAAATATCTAAATACCCTCATCCAAGCTAACTTAGATAGTATTAGGAGAGGCAAGGTGTGTCAGCCTCCTTTGTGTTTTGTGTGTATGTGTGCATGTGCTTGTGTTTAAGGCCAGGGCTGAACATCAATTTTTACCCATCTCTCAGAGAAGATATTTAAGAGGAGCTCAGAAGGAGGCTGGCTAGAAAATTCTCTCTGGCCCTAAGAAATAACCAACCCAAAATGCCTGTTGTTAAATGGGTCATAAAAGCACTGGGAAATCAATATCTGACTTTCTGTTTCAGGAATGGTGGCTGCTACATGCAGTTTTAGATCAATCTGCTATCGTAATTGTACCCAAGACTCAAATAATTTCCGTGTTAACTCTGGACACTTTGAAGGTGGAAATCTCACTTGTTTATCTTTTTATAAGTAATTGCTCCCCCCATCCCAATTGGATAGCCCATGTAAAATAAACCATGTGAGAAATAAAATAAGGATTCATTTTATTAAATATCTAGGAGAAGCGCTTGGGTGACCTGAAAATGTAATTAAACCTCCAAATAAGCAGATTACTGGCTGAAAAGCGAGATTGATAGATGAACCCCTTCAGCTAAAAGGGATTGCTTAATGGACTGAACGACAATCTTGGACTCTGTCCACCTTGGAATTACAGGTCCAGAATCAGGCAGGCTCCACTCCAACACTTCGCCTCCTAAGATAAATGAAGCTGCATGAGGCCGCTGTGAGGAGAGCCCAGAGGTGAGACCTGTGGCTCCGTGTGGACAGGCAGATGTGCAACACTCCTTATAAAAATAGCCAAAGACGCCCAGAGCAGTGTTTCCAAGCCTCTTCCTGACTTACTATCCAGGAGGCTTAAATAACTCATTCATCTCAAAAGGTTAAATTTATTTCTGGCTTTTTGAACATAAGATACTAATTGCATTAGAAAATGAAGAGCAGAAAATGAAGTTAAAGCCTCAGTAGGACAGACTAAGCTCAAATAATGAAAAATTACCTGTTGTTATTATAGTTGTACTCCTGCCATTTAAAAAAAGACCAGAGTCTGCCTTCCTTTTTGACAAATATGACAAACTTTCCGACTCTGAGCTTTTTAACCTTTTTTTTTTCTGAAGGAGGTTTTGGTGAAGTTTTTCATACCATAAATTTTGGCCCCAAGTCTGTAAAACTGATATATTTCAACTTTAAATATTTGCAGCATTTTGGATTTATCATCTTGGTTTTCTGCTTTGTATCGTTTAGAAACTGGAATTAACTGAGCCTTTCCCTGTAGCTGTGTGACAGTTTCAGAAATTGACAATGTCAAACTGTAATGTCTTTTCTTTGATACTGATAGGAGTTCTGTAACCTACATGACTGATGCAATTTATCTTAAGATAGAGGCAGCAGCCCTGACTCCAGAAAAGACTGAACCAGTTGCAGTTGTCTTAGTTTGGTGCTATTGGTCATCCAGGCCTCTTTGCTATCATGGCTAAAGATCAGTCCTTAAGCCAACATCTCACTGGTAAATTCACTCATAGTAATTTTGTCCACAACATTTACCCCTAAGAAATTAGCCTAATGGATCCCCCTTGATGAAACTCAGTTTTCCAATCTACTTGTTCAGGACAAGTCATTGCTGTCTCTCAACCTGTGAAAGACAGAATTCTGTCCTCTTCTCACTTCAGGACAAGAACAAGGGTATAGTCCTTATCCCCATCTAAGTCTGTGAAAAAACATCCTGGAGGTCATGACCACTTGTGGAGTTTAGCTGGCTAAAAAACTGTACTTTACTTCTTGGTGATAATACATGACATGGAAAAAAAAATAGATCCAAGGCACAAGGGCCACTCTATAGTCATGTACTCAACCTTGAATAGAGCAAATAATTACTTTGATGCTAAAGACAACTTATCCTCCCAAAGTTCATCATCAGTAAGATTAGCATTTCCCGAAGCACCTGACTCCATCTTTTGATTGGAGTGACTTCATTTAGCTCTGCAAGTACCCATCTTATGGTTTATCTTTAATCTCAATTAAAGATCAGTGTTCTTTATATGATTCCATTATGAACTATGAGAGAATGGCTTGATTCTAGGATCAATTTAAGAATTATCAATTTCCAGATTTGGCACAAGAGTCTGTCTGTGATCTTAACTTCAAGAACTTTGCCAGACCATCTATCAGAATGGAGCCCTTAAAGAGAAGAGACAGTCTGAATGTTGCAGGGATTATTCACAATATTATTCAGTTATTACCAAATGTGTATAGTTATGGAAAACAGGACAGAGACTAATGAGATTTGGGAAAAGAGTGATTCCTTATTTTTTTTTAACTTCCTAAGCTTTATTTCCTAAAGTTTATCAAACAATGAGCTGTTAATATTGTGAGCACATGAACAACTTGACATTTTGGCACCTACTATTACATACTGTGTTCTTTAAGGAAATACTATGTGAAAGGGTGCACATTGACTCAGAGTTTAGTCCAGATCTTCAATTTCCCATATGACATAAGGCTTACGGGTTGACTAGATTGACTTTTCAACAACCTGAGAGGTGGTTAAGCATCGTGGTTCAGCACATAGTCCCTGGAGCCAGATTGCCTGGGTCTGAATCTCAGCTATGCTACCGACAAGCTGGTGTATCCTGAGAAAGTTATGTAGCCCTTCTGTGCCTCAGTTTTCCCATCTATAAAAGAGCGTTAATTCTAATGCTGTTTCATGGAGTTGTTGTAAGGATTAAAAGAGTTCATGTAGGTCATGAGCTTTGCTTGCTATTTGGCACATAGGAGGTTAGCTTAGGTAGGCATTAGCTGTTATTATAACTATCTCAGCTCCACTCCCCGCAGCAAAGGCCTGCTGTGGAGAGAGTTCAGGAGAGCTCTTCTCCAACAATGACAGCCATGGTGGCTGACTGTGCATAGCACACAGTGAGACTTCTGAATGTTTCTCTTTACTAGAAATCTCTTCCCACAGTACCCCCCTCATAGTAGCTACTCATTTCAGCTTCCAAAACGTTCTCAGTTCTTCCCTCTCTGGCCAAGATCTTCTCTCCTTCTTCCTACCTCTCAGACCTTTTGATTTTTTCCAGGCAGCTTTGTGTCTACATCTGTGTAGGTCAAATAAGTCTCTCAGTTTCTCCAAGTCTGTGTCTCTTCCTATTATCCCACCCTATCCATTACTCCTCATACAAAATGATCCTCTTTAGAAGGCAGGAGAGGGAGAAAGGCTGTGAATAATTATATTTGTAATATTCTTATCTCTGTCACAGTAAATACTTACTAAAATACATGAATATGATCCTATGACTCTTTCTAATCTGAAAGCAATACCTAGAGTCTAACCATCGGCATATATTGCAGTGGCAAATTTATTTTTTAAAAATATACTATTCACTGTCAAGCACAATGGCAGCATGATAGAATCATTACTTCATTATTATTTGTTGTTTTTAAATTACTATAGCAATCTACATTAAGAGACATCCTGAAGTCTATATTTCTCTTTTTACGGAACCATCAGAATGGATTGAAATTAATTTCAAATCATTTCTTAAAAAGAGCATTCAGTGTTTCCCTGTTATTCACTACTTGGCTGACAAAGACAAATTCTATTTGGAAACATTATGTGACATTACCTGATACTGTTTTCCCATAAAGAGAAAAAAGTGTACCTATTTTTCTGTTTAATGAGCTAAGATAACTGAAGGCTATGGCACTCGATACATCTTGTAGCTTTTATGATATTGTCCAATTTTGCAAGATTCATAATTTACAACTCAGGTAGAGAAACGAGAGGTGGGCATGAATGGAAATTAGAAACCTGTTGGGTAGTACTGTTGAGTGTGGTGGCTTGATGTTAATTAGGATGAGAGGTTGCATGCTTTGCTCCAAGTGTGCACCACATTGGCAGCAAAGACATATTTGCTCCACCTTCATTACCTCTGAAGAAGAAAAGTCTACAAAACCCCCAAAGGTTGCCAAAGTTGGCCTTTGCTACCCTCTCCCCACTGCTTTGTTTTCAAATGCATCCTTCTCTAGGTGGCAGCCCAGATTCCTATCTCCCATCTTTTCCTGGCCCAATCTATTCTCATAATGGCTGTGATGCTGGCTGCGCATCAAAAATTTGTGCTCCTCCTTCCATGTGGCTCTGGAAAGTGGATGCCTAGGAGAGATCGTATTTCCCAGTTCCACGTGCATCTTGGTAGAGCCATGGACTAGTTCTTACCACTAGTCTATGGGCAATAAGGTGTATCCAGCTTTGGCCAAGGTGGTTAAGAAGACTTCTTCACACCCTGTCTTTCCTCTTCTGTACTGTTAACAGAGGACGTAAGGATGCCAGGGGGCCACAGTGTGGAAGGAGTCTAAATCTCTCAGTTTCCACATGGAGGAAAGCTGGCTGCTCACCATGACACCTACCTTGTACTGTTACATGATTAAAAAGTAAAATATTTTGTGATAAACCACTGAAATTGTATGGTTTGTCAGAGCAGTAAGCTTTATCCCAGCCCAGATAATACATTATGGTCCCTATTCATTCTTAGTGGGTGATATAGTTGGATATTTTTCCCCCAAAATCTCATGTTAAAATGTAATCCTCAGTGTTGGAGGTGGGGTATGGTAGGGGGTGATTGGATCATGGGGGTGGATTTCTCATCAGTGGTTTAGTGCCATCCTCTTGGGGCTGTCCTCATGACAGTGGGTGAATCCCCATGAGATCTGGTTGTTTCAGTATGGTACCTCCCCGCTGCACTCTCTCTTGCTCCTGCTTTCACCATGTGACATGCCCGCTTTCGCTTCACCTTTTGCTGTGAGTAAAAGCTCCCTGAGGCCTCCCCAGAAGCTGAGCAGATGTGGGTGTCATGCTCTTACAGAACTATGAGCCAATTAAACATTTTTTCTTTTTAAATTACCCAGCCTCGGGTATTTTTTTTATAGCAATGCAAGAATGACCTAACACGGCTGACTAAACACTAATGCCCAGGATTAAGTCAGAGAATGATGACACCCTCCTACTGGAGGATTTGTGTTTTGCTTGGGGGAACTGCCTACCCTTGTCCTCTGTCAAATGATAATGTTCATGGTTGTACATGCCAACCACATGGTGACTGACCCTGCCATCCATCAACATGATGAGGAGAAAATAGGGCTGGTTAGAATCAGAGTTCCTGGATCTGAGTTCTAATAACTTAATACTTAGTGGGTACTGAGCAGGCTATTTAACTCCCAGAGCCATGGTTTTCTCATCAGGAAAGTGGGGGGGAGTGTTGTCATGTTCAAGACTTTGGAACCTGACAGCCCCCAGTTTGCGATCTACAAAATCTTTACGAATTCCTTACTCTTTGTAAGACTTGGTTTTCTCAACTGCAAAATGCAGATAAGAACACCTTTCTTGTGAGCTTATTGGCTTACTCATTCAATAATTTATTTATGCATTCAACAAGTATTTACTGAGAACTTTCTCTGTGCCAGACAAAATTACAAATACAGGAATACAATTGTGAACAAGACAAAGTTTATGTCCTTATGAAGCTTATAGTGGCCATGGTAGATAATAAACAACAAATAAACCTGTATTCAACTAGTATGGTGAGGTGAAATGAGCTTATGACTGTAAGTCTCTTACACAGTGCCTGGTACATGGTGAAGACTAAGAAGTGGGAGATATTATTAATATTAACTATAAAGATGAAAATGCTGAGTAATTACATTCAAAAGGATCCAGTAGGGCTATTGTGAGGATTAGATGAAATTAGTGTTTATAAGCTATTTATTTTATCTGCTTACTTGGTGATTAATTGAAGCAAATATAAAGAATATGTTAAGTTTCCCCTCACTATTTCAGTGAGGTTGGGATATTTTTGGTTCGCATAAGCCACTTGTTTCTTGAGAGCAGAGGAACCACAGTCAAAATGTAGCCCCCACCCCATGCCAATCTAAGTCGCTTTGAGGTGTTGTGTCTGCCCTCGAGCAGAAATAATTTAACTTTGGCTAAATCAAATGCGGGAGAACAGGACTCTTCGAATGGCTCCTGGATTCTGTCATTGGCACAAAGTGCCTGGACCCTAAATAGAAGCTCCGACTTTACTGGCACCAGTGTCCATCTGCCGGACAGCGCCTCTCGGAACCCTGATGTGCAATAACTGTGCACTACCTCTGAGTAAAAAATAGTTAGCTTCAATGCGTGTATGGGAAGGGGAGTATGTGAGAGCAGGCAGGTAAAAGGATTTGCAAGGTACTATCTCTTTTTGAGATTCTTGCCATGTGATTTTCCTACAAACAGGTGAGCAGAGCACACTGTTAGCTAGTAGATTAGGTTGCATAAGTAGAATGAGCATAAAAGTTATCCATTGTGGACACTTTTGAGTGTGAAAGGGAACAGTATTAATAATTATGTCAGGACAGCAAGAGTAAGTCAGGGCTGCCCTGGGCAGCAAAAAGAGACACATGTCCACCCTGAGCACATGTCCTCAGGAAAAAAGCTCTTATTGATTTCTAACAATCACGAGGAAACAGAAAATATACAAAAGTAGCCACAGAAGTTTTATTAACATCTTAAATGCCCTTACTTTGCATACTATGTACTTAGTATGTAATGCATTGTATAACATGTGCTTCTTTAAACTATAGAGCTGCGGTATACAAACAGGTTTTTGCAACCTGTTCTCTAATTTTAGCAACATGCTGTAAACATTATGTCCAGTCTTTGAATATAACATACAATATTTTAAAATACAAGAAAAAGAGGGAGAGAAAAAAATCATCTTCCTTTAAATGAGTTTGCTTTTACATAGGGATATAACATGGTGAGTCGGAAAAATACAATAAAGCCTTTTGATGCTTCATATTTTCTGAAAACCTAGAGGGGAAGAAAGGGGAGGTCCTAAGAGGGGAGTTAATAGTCATAGTTTACCATTTCTCACCAGTCTAGAGCAGGGATTAGCCCAGAATTTGGCAGTGAAGGGGTATGGGCAAAGTATTCCCAATAGGGTCTTCTGGTAACTGAAGTTGGAAGAAGTGCAGAACTTTTATCAGCAGGCCTCAAAGAGGGGAACAGAAACAGCGGGGAGATGGTAGTGTCCTGTTGCCTTGGGCCATTCCAGAGCAGTGAGTATAGGGCCCTCTCTCTTCTGGAGCACAGTGCATGGTCCTAAATCTTACCAAGAAGGGCCAGGTTGGTTCTCCTGGAAGCAGACTGAGAGACGCTGATTTTCCTTAGGAAGTGGGTTGAGGTGTGCCCTTGGAGCAATACCTGTGAAGGAGCAAGGGCAGCAGGACTGGGCAGAGGGAGGAGTTGAACTGTGATGCAGTTACAAACAAAGGCCTCAGCGGATCCCACGGGGGGCTCTGGACTGGGATGGCCCTTCAGAGTTGTCCTACATTAAGGAAAGAGTCTCAAACCTTTGGATCCCTGTCCTTATCTCCATAGACTAATCTCCATCTACTACTACAGAGAGGAGACATGGCCTTGGATGAGGTAGCTCTCTTCAGCTGAAGGCAATGCTGGGAGAGGAACTCAGCTGACAGCTGGCAGCTACCAACACTCCTAGAGCCTGGGGGAAAGAATACTACAGTCCTGGATGGGGAATCTGGGCTACCTACCATAGCATACCCTACCCAAGTGGTTCCCAAACTTTAGCACAGTGTATCCCAGTCACCTGGTGGGCTTGTTAATATACAGACTCCTGGGCTCCATCCCTAATGTTTCTGATCCATTAAGTCTGGGACAGGGTCAAGCATTTGTATTTCTAACAAGTTCCCAGGAGTGCTGACCAGGGTGTCCCACTTTGAGAACCACTGTAGTACATCAGGCATTTAGGAACTCATGCTCAGGCACAGATAGCTCACCAATCCTTTAAAAATATACAGCTAACAGCCATTCAAGTTTGTACATTTCAAAGCTGAATCAGGCAGCTTTTACTATCTGTAAGATCTCAGGTTTCTGCTTCTTTAAGTGACAATTTAGGGACCAGAAAAGAAAGTCCTGTTGCAATGCAGCATTTATTTGGAGGGCTTTAGGTCTCAGTGTCATAAATTATCTCAATTTTCCAGAGGCCAGTAGCTGCTATTTGAAATTGTCATGAGCAATTCATTCCTTTACCTTAAGCATAACGGCCTAGAAAAGAGAAAGAAACTGGTTGCTTAGCTTACAGAATTTCTCCCCACAGCTGCATCTGTGCTACCTGGCATCTGTTCTTCTAGTGGACCACTCCTCTTGCCCCTGCTTGTACCATTTAGTCCAGTTCAGAAGGATCATGCCCTCATTGGACTGTGGCCTCCATAACTGGTTTAAGGGTAGACATGAGACCCAACTGGATTCCTCTGAGTCCTTTTGCAAGACTTGTATTTGGAGTTGAGAGTTGAGAACATTTTCCTCTCTAATAAAGAGGATATGAGCCTCATTGAGGATAGAAGACCCTGTGGCTGTGTCTTTTGCACAGTGAAGAAGTCTATAGGCAATGTGGGAATGGGAGACCAATGGGTAGAGAGAGTGAGATAAGATACACTTGTACCCAGCTATTTCCCTGCCCTTCTTGGTGACAGGAGCCAATAAACCCTCCTTTCCTTAGAGAGCTCAAGGAGCTGAAGGTAGGTTGTTGCCACTTGCAGTCAAATGAGTCCTGTCTAATGCTGCCTTTAAATGCAAATACTATGGGAAGCAGGATACATGGACCCAATTTTCAATCCTAACAACTTAACTGAAGATAATGTAAATAGAGAAGCCCTGCATGAAGTCTTGGTAAAGTCCAGTTAGCATGCAGCAGTAGGGATCTTTTAAAGCTACGTTTGCTTAGAGAATACTGGGGGATGAGGGTAGGAATGGAAGATAAATAGAACCACAAGTGGATACTCGCTGTGTACATCCACCAAGTGCTCTTTTATGTATGAAACACTCTTCATTCCATGTAGTCCGGGATGGCAGGTAACATAGAAAAAGAAAGTGAGGCCTAGAGAGGTTTTGTGCATTTCTCAAGGCCGCATGATGAATAAGTGGCAAGGCCATGGTTCAAACAAAACCTTTCTGATTGCAAGCAATGTGCACATCAGCATTTCCCTGCCCTGTATGTGACCTGTACTCAAAGCAGAGGCCACAACAGAGGAAGGAGCAGATTTATAGTGGCAAGAAGGCAAAATTTACCCATTTCACAGCTTTGCCAAGGATTCACCTGGAGACTGAGACCTGGGACCCTTTCAGTGATCCAGGATCAATTTTGAGGGGTCAGGTACATTTCTTAAAAATCTTAAAATCCAGGAAGCCAAGTTCAGCACTGAAGAATGTTAGGGTAAAGCATATCATATTGAATTTATATTTATGTTGAAATTGATATTTATATTCCTTGACAGTCCACCCAGAGGTGAAACGATGGGTTTTGTCATTTTTGTTGCTTATTACCAAGATGTCTCAAGCGTCCATGATCAAAATACTCTATGGAACTCTTTCAATTAAACATTGTTAACTCATACTCCATTAATTTGAACTCTTCCTATAATTCAGACGATGTCTATGTAATGCTTATTTAGTAAAAAGTTTGAAATTATTTCTTATTTTACCAATTCCTAAGGCTTCCTCTCAAGTACAGAGAGTCTAAAAAAAGTATAACATTTTAAAAGAAAGACTCAGAAATTATGAATTTCTTCATGACACTTTCACCACTGTGTCCAGTAACGAAGTCTTGTATGTTAGAAGAGTTTTATGTTTAGGAGGCATTAATATGTAGAATAGGCCTACATATTAAATGGTCCTCATTTAATCTATTAGCACTCATTTATGTCTTTATTTCTAATATACACTGCAATTAAAAATAATTAGCACTATTTCTTTGAAAACTATTCTGTAATTGAAGCTTTTGTCTAAGGCACTAAAGCTTTCCCATCATCATCAAATGCATAGGAAATGTTTTCACTCTGCATTGCTGTACTGATGCATTGAAACCAACTGGGTGGTTTGGAAATAAGTCTTGTCTGAATTAGTCAGACAAGTGTTTCCCTAACTTGCTTCATCATAAAGTTTACCTCTGAGATTCTGCTTCAGGTCTTGGTTAGGACCTGGAAAGCTTTATTTTTAACCAGCATGCCAGGGATTCTGATATAGGCAGTCCATGGATAATGCTTTGAAAAATACTGAATTGGATGATGCCTAACTTCTTTATTTTCCTTTGAAATAAATCTGAATTAAGCTAGAAGAATATAGTATAGCAAAAGTATGTATTTACATTATCCATATATGAACATATGTCTGCAGTTGACATGTATGATTAGAAGCTTAGAGAAAATTTCATTTGTCAAAAAGTAAAATTCCTTTATAAAGAGGGAATTTATGGTGATTTTTCCCATTCTTACTCATTTCTTTCAAGGTGAGATTTAATTTCCCATGACAATCATTTCACCAAATGATACACACTCACAAATACATAATTTTCTTTTGAAAAATTCAATATACTGTTCACCTCTAGGGCCTTTTCTTTACAGTGGAATGATTTGTATAATTTCACACCTTAGCTGTATTCTTTGAGTTCTTATTGATAATTGAACATGATTTGTTATGAGAACAAACACACATCAATAGGAACACTGAGTGTACAAATTGTAAACACAACTAAAATTAAACAATTGTCTGTTTCTTCTAGCTTGTCCAGCAAACACAATTTACGTACTTCTTTGACCTTGAAAATGAAACTAGGTTTTAATCAATTATTCAATCATTTTGAGACAGAATTGAATATGGCCATTCAATTTATTAATTTTGAAATTATAGTATTCCAATTGAATAAAAATATTTTAAAAGGCCACTGTATCTTGTTCTCTAATTTTCAAAGTACCATATATAGTTGCTACAGTAGGAGCTTATTTATGCCTCCTTCTCAATTCACAAACTTGCTCATTTTCTTCTGGCTTGCAACAAAGGTTTAACGAACAAATTCAGGAGTACTATGATATCCTAAGATGAAAAGTTCACAAAATTCACCACCAGACATTTACTAGTAGACAATATATATTATCATTAGTAATTAAAACTAAATTACCCTTGTCAAAATGAATGGAAAAATGAGTCTTATCGTGTGCTGCTCTTGTATTTTATCATGTTTGTTGAGCATTTGTCTATTGGTGTGTTTCATGGGGCTTCCCATTGCAGTTGCTGCATAGCCCAGTAGCACTATTAGAGCACAACATGAAAGAATATGATGAATCCATCCCTTGTTTATGCACCAGGGATCCACTGTGCAAAAATCTCGTAATCCAATGTGAGTCTCCCCTTTGACGTTAGTGATTAAGCAAAGTTCTGCTTTCCTTATCACTTTAGAAAAGTATTCTAATTCCTACTCTTTACTTTCCCCTTCAATTTCTGATACACATATATCTCCATGGTTCATGAAAAATTTTCCCTGAAATAAATGGTGATGAAATGGAGACAAAGAATATAGTTACCAGTCTTTCTTTTGTATAACATGCTGCCTGTCTATTCAACCAGCACTTACTGAATACCTGCCATGTGCCGAACTCTGGGTAGGCAATAAGGAGAGAAGATTAAAATCAATGAGAGAGTTTCTGCTCTCCAGGAGTTCACATTCTGTTTGGAGAGACAAATGCATAAATACATTAATTGAAATAGAATGTGGCAAATGCAGTAATGTACACACGTGACTGCTCCATAGGGCACACATGTGACACACATGCATGGCAGGGCTAAAGGAGCATATGGGGAACATCTGACCAGAGGATGACCACCCATGAGGCTCCATTGAATAACAGTCATTGAGTTGAGACTTGAAGCACAAGCAGACAAGCAGAGGGAACTTAAAAGAGCATGACTTGTGGGGTTGGGGCGAGGTAGGCTGAGTAGCTAAGTGTAAAGGGAACAGGGAAGAGAGGCTGTACTGAAGAATGGGAAAAGCTCCATTTTGTAGATTAAATTGCATCCCCCTGCCCTGCCAATTCACATGTTGAAGCCCCAATCCCCAGGGTGACTATATTTGGAGACAGGGCCATTAAGGAGGTAATTAAGATTAAATTAGGTCTTAAGAGTGGGGTCCTCATCCAATAGGACTAGTGTTGTAATAAGAAGAGGAAGGGACACCAGAGATCTCTGGTGAGAAAAGAGGTCATGTGAGTGCATAACAAGATGGTAGCCACCTGCAAATCAAAAGGAGAGGTCTTAGCACGAAGCCTATCTTGCTGGCTCCTTGCTCTTGGGCTTCTCAGCCTCCAGAACTGTGAGAAATACATTTCTGTCAATTAAGTCACCCATTCTGGGGGTATTTTGTCATGGCAGCTCTAGTAGACTCCTACACTCTATGAGTCAGTGTTAAAAGGGCTTTGTCTGCAGTGCTAAAGAATCTGGACTAGAAGTGACAGATGGCTAATTTGCAGAGCAGTGTCATGGTCAGATTTGGGCTTTTTGAAGACTGCTGTGTCTGCAGTGGGGATGGCAGGTGGGAGGGAAGGTAGACTGAGGCCATAAAACATGCAAGGAATAGAAACATAAGGGCAGATCAAAGACCTCAGTCTGGGGAGCCAGGAGGGGGCTATGTTTTAGTCCAGCTCTTCTACTACCAGCTGTTTGACCTTGAGACAATCACTTTATTCTTCTGGACCCCTGCTTCCTCTTCTGTAAAATGAGGAGTGTTCACTCATGGGTAGTCACTATGGCCTCACATAATGGACATTCTTCTCTGAATACTCTCCCCTCCCCTTCCCCACAGTGTGTTTGAACCTCATGACCCTGTTGCACAGGCTAGAGTTGATTGGATCAAAGTGGTCACCTTACTTAGTCTGGCTTAGTCTGGCTCTTTCTGTCAAAGCTTTGGTCAGAGTCAGTCAAGAGGTCTGGGTATTGGGAACTGCTATGGGCTGAATGTATGTGTCCCCCGCAAATTCACGGTTGAAATCTAAATCCCCAAAGTAATAGTATTAAGAGGTGGGGGCTTTGGGAGGTTATTAGGCCATGAGGTCTCTACCCTCATGAATGCGACTAGTGCCCTTATAAAAGAGGCTTGAGGGAGCCTGCTTGTCCCTTCCACCATATGAGGTCACAGTAAGAAGTTGCCATTTATGAGGAATAAGCCCTCACTAAATATCAGATCTGCTGGCATCTTGATCTTAGTCTTTTCAGACTCCAAAACTGCAAGAGATAAATTTCTGTTGCTTATAAATTACCCAGTCTAAGGTATTTTGTTACGGCAGCTCAGCCAGAATAAGATAGGAACCATTCACATTAACAAGAGAAAGTTTTTGGAATCTTATCCGTGTGTCCTCAGAGTGGCCCCTGTTCACCGTATTCCTGAGACCTGCTTGTTCAGATTTTCCTTGAGTTCTCCTTGATTTCTCACCTCCATATATTTAGATTATTAATTTTTTCCCTTAGGCTAGCTTGAGTCAGTTTTTGTTATTTATAACCAGAAATGTGTTATCCAAATGACTTCCTGATTTGACATTTGATGAATCTGACATAAGGACATGACATGCATTTGTAGCTGGTCTAGGGCCAGCCACATCCCATTCAGAATGGCAGAGTGGTTGCTGGGGTATAAGATCCTCAGTCCTCCTATAAGATTTCTCTACTTACCCTGTCGGTGTGTCTGAAATTCCCACTCTAATAGTCACGCCTGTGGATAGGGAATTTCTGCAATTCCATTGTCAGTGAGTCTTGGATTATAAGACTCATTACTTATTTATCATTAGAAAACAGGGTCCCAAGGAGGGAAGTCTTTGAGGATGGATAAAGTTAGAAAATATATGGATATAAAAAGTCAGCAGGCCAGAACTGAGATTTCAGGGTGCTAAGATCTGTTGGTGGTAGTCACGGGTCCAGATGACTCTGGAGGTAGAGGAAGGGTGCACCAAATGACGGAATGGAAAGAAAATTGATCAGTGATATCATCCAATGCAGAACTGATGATTTCACTGTGGTTCAATCTTGGGCCAGAGTAGGGCCTCTAGGAAGTTCTGTGAGAGTCCAGCTTGATTGTTCACATTCTACGTGAAGAACTGTTCTCCTTTCCAAAGTGTGTGAGTAGGGAGCCCCTCTAGGAAGCTGAACTGAGCAGGTTTTGGGCAGAGTGCTGAGATGAGCACATGCTTAGGTTAGAAGCTGCTGTCTCAATGCTTGCTCCACCACTTGCTGACCAAGGGCTTCAGCCAAGGCACTCAATCCCCTTGTGCTTCCCTTCCATTTCTTGCAAGGCAGCTGTGAGTAGAAATTAAGTTAGGTGCCATATGGAAAGATGTTTAACAAATGTTTACAATGAAAGAAAAAGCACATATCTATAGCTATCAAAGTTAAATGATATTTTTCACAGGCAAAAACCTTCATCAAGATGCCATTGAAAGAGAAAACTGGGAAATGGTTTGCATAGCACAGATTTGTTAGATTTTATGTTTTGCTCCAAACTATAACTTCACTAATTTGTCTGGGAATAGGCATTATTTCTCAGTACACCTTTTGTCCTGCTATGATGTTATTTTGACATCTCTGCCCACTGGCGTTTTGTCGGTTACTTAAACAAGATTGCTCTGGCTGGAAACTTGGAACCTGTGTTAGAATTCTCCACCTCTTGTGTACTCTGAGATAAATGCTCTACCTCTCTGTGCTGTAGTTTCTTTTCGTCTGAAAACAAACTGATGCCTGCTTCCCTATCTTATGGATTCTCCACGGAAAACAATTAACAAAAGTGATAACTAAACACTCTTCCCCCAATCAAGTGCAGTAGTTCAGTTTTGTATACATTAACCGCATGGTATTTTAAATCAACCGGGGAAACAGGCACTCACCTCCTCAGCCAAGATGATTAAAAATTTATGCCAACAAAATGAAAAAGCATGCTGATTCTGTTCATTTCACCCATTAACTTCATTCCACAAAGAAGAGAATGGACTGCTTAACAAATACATGTGAGCTCATTTAAATGGTATAGACACTTATTTTCATGTAAAGATAGTGGTATGTATGATAGATGACCTTAAAATCATATCCAGCCCCATGGTTTGGATCTACAATTTTGTATACTTTTTAGGTGGTTAAGGAAGAATTCACTGTTAAAAACAGGAATCATTGATTGTAGGCTGGTGCTGCTACTGCAAAATGCTGCTCAGCCCCGCAGTGCTCTCAGTTGGGTTGACAAAGTCATCTCCATCCAAAGCGTCAAAGGCCACCCTGACATTGTTTTGGTTGGAAACATGAATGACAACAGCCATCTGGGCTCCTCAGGGTGCTAAGGTGGTCTGTGATGCCTCCCCCAGTCCTTTGCAATGCCTCCAGCACACCCAACAGCCGTTTCCCAGTGTCCGTGTACACAAAGGTGGCTATCAACTCTGGGGAGGGAGTGCTTCCTGTGTCCTCCTTGGAATAGAGGGTGGCCCTGAGTAACTTGTACCATGTCAGGATACATAGGCAGAGTTCTGATTCAGCGGTTCTGTATCTCTATTGAGCTGATGAAAGTCTTTAAGTCTAGTAGAAAAAGCTCAGGCTCACTTCTCAAATGGACTGAAGTGCAAATCCTAACTTAGTCACTAACTCCACTAATTCACTCTGTGATCGTGAGCTAATTGTTCAATTTTCTGAGCCTCAGTTTCTTCACCAGTAAAATAGATAGCTGGAAACAGGGTTGTATTAAATAAAACAACCAGTCCAAATTAAGGGACTTAATAAGTATTTGGTTTCTCCTTGATTATTAAAACCATTGGATTTATTCAGAGCTAGGTACGGTTGTTAAGTTAGTTCTTTTCATGAAACAAATGACATTAACCACAGTAAAATATTCTTTATCGACTGGATAGAGATGAGCTAATGTAGACAATGAAAGCATATTTTGGGGATGAGCCTTGCCAAGTCCACTTTGATATTTTTGTTGTACAAGAGCAAAGCCAGATGGAGATGATGAAGTGGCTAAGCTGGGTGCAAAAATATGAGACCAAGGTATTTTTTCACTAATTTTTACCCATGGAACTATTTGGCACCTTCCCTGAGTTATAAAAGAGGGCTTCTACTCAAAGTCTGTGGGTCACACAGCCCCTATCCAGACCCCAAAAGTCCTTTAGCAAAATCTGACTTTGAGTTAAAAGCAGAAATGGGTTGTGAGCATCTGCTCTGGAGGCGTCAGATAACACTCTTGCTTATCAAACCTTGATCAGAGAGGATGACAGAAACATATGGAAAGGCCTTGCCCTTCTGACCTTCCCACTATAATGTTTGGAAACCAAGGGGCTCAGGGTGCTTTAGGAGAGGCCTGAAAAAGAGGCTAGTGTGCCTAAATTCAGTTCTACACACATTTATCAAGCTGGTCCCAAATGGTAGACATACTGCCAGGAGCCTAGGTGGCATTAGGACCATCACAGAGACCAGAAGGCACTTAGTCTCTGGAGCCACAATCTCCAGAGCACCAGCATCTTGGTAAATTCATATTCAAGCATTTGATTTGCACATGATAACCTCTGTGTCTGTTGCAAACCGGTCCAGCAACAATACAGCCATTATTATTTTTTATTGTTTTCTATGTATGAGCTCACAGAATTCTAGGCATTGTATAGAATATAATCATAGTAGTTTTATATTCAGTATTGCATCAGATCTGAGATCTTAGTTGCTTAGTTTAAAAAATAGTCTAATTTATATGATAAGTTATGCCAAAGAGAATGATACACAGTAGAAACTCTCATAATTTCCAAATTTTGGAACTGATTTGAGGATTAAATGGAATGATTAATGAAAAGTACCTAGTTCAGTGCCTGGCCCATTGTAGGTCCCTTGATTCACACTGAGCATCACCAAGGTTTGTACCAAATCAGCAAATGGTCCCTCCAAACAGGCCAGCAAGATCATGAGTATAATTAGGCAATAATCAATACAATTATGGAATTATTGGGTTAGAAGGGAATTTGAACGCTCATCTGATCTCTCCTTGTAGCAAACCTAAATCTGTCAGCCTTACTTCTAAGCCCAGTTTACTTACCCTAAGCATATTCAGGATGAATCAACTTTTGGTTTTACGCTTCATGAGTGCCTAAAATCAGAATTACACGTATATATTGTTTTTCGATAAACTGCATGTAGTAGCCAGGGAGAAATGTTTTTCCTTTAACTTCCCAGTCCAACTTCAAACAGAAAGTATCCTTATAAAAAGACTGGCCAGATGCAGGTATATATCTCTGAGGGTTGTCCTGGTTTCTTTTTAAATTAGGCAATGAATATACTTCTTGACATGCACACACAAGATTTGTGGCAAAACACCTTTCTTTCATGTAACTGATTTTCCTTTAATCCCAACCTTAATGTATATCATTCTTGATGCATAATCTCAAATGGGCTTTGAACTAGCAAATGCTAACTTTGAATAATGAAGAAATAAATGGCAGTTTACTTTATAGCTGGGCTCAGGATACATGGGGTTGAGGGGCAATGGCAGTATAACTGTTCACCTTTCACCTTGGCATAAGCAGGTAAAGTACAAAAAGGAAGTGATTAGTAAGAGGTGACAATAAGTTAAAACCCAGAGGCTGAGTGTTCCCGACGCATTTGCATTCCTCGATTTGTAAGGCAGTGTTTAAAATAAAAAACCATCACCAAGACAGAAAAACTGCTATAGTTATATCACAGCACACTGAGTTGCAAACCTTTTAATGAAAGACATAATTCTTGGGTTGTCTACATCACACTATATTCTCATGCAAAATACTTTAATGCCTGGTGTAAATTACTTTAGACTTTCTTAGCGTGTATTGCATTTTTTAATCATGGGTGTTCAGTTCTATTTTCCATTTGGAGTCCAGGAGAGCAATATCCAGATAAAGCCAGATGAGCTCCATACCTCCAGCCTCTCCTTCTCTGCTTTTGCTCTCCCACCACTACCCTTCTTTTCTCCCCTACCTCTAGGACAACTACAGTTCCCAGTTCATCTTTAGTTGGAGGGTATAATCTGGTGCCTGGTCAGACAAGTGAACAAAGGCAGCTTTTCCCTGGACAGGATGCTGGACAAAGGATCACCAGCAGTGCTCCAGCCCACCGTGGACCAGCTCCATCTGCAGAAAGATGAGGTTTGCTGAGCAGAGCTCTACCCTCTTCACAGCAGCATATAGTAGAATGGTCACAAAGAACTGCTCATACCCTGTCTGCCTTCTGAGAAGGACATAGCTGAAGGAAAATTAAAATAGTCACATAAAATGGCCTAGGCCTGGGCCCAGAGTACCCATACAGTATGCACGTCCTGCCGGCCTGACTCTGACTGTTACCATGGTCATCTTTCTAAAACACCAATTAGATCAAACCTTTCTCAGCACATTGACCATCTTCCATGTTTCCCTCTAAGGCAGACTTAATCATTCATATCAGCCCTGAAAACACTGTATATATGCCTTTTGTTTGTTGGTTTCTTTTTTGAGACAGTCTCAGTCTGTCACCCAGGCTGGAGTGCAGTGGCACGATCTCAGCTCACTGCAACCTCTGTCTCGTGGGCTCACATGATCCTCCTGCCTCGCCCTCCCAAGTAACTGGGATTACAGGCATGCGCCACCACACCGTGCTAATTTTTTGTATTTTTTTTTAGCCGAGACAGGGTTTCACCCATGTTGGCCAGGCTGGTCTCTAAGTCCTGACCTCAGCTGATCTGCCTGTCTCAGCCTCCCAAAGTGCTGGGATTATAGGCATGAGCCACTACACCTGGTCCCATATGCTTTTTTTTTTTTTGAGATGGAGTTTCACTCTTGTTGCACAGGCTGGAGTGCAATGGCACGATCTCGGCTCACTGGGACCTCTGCCTCCTGGGTTCAAGCGATTCTCCTGCCTCAGCCTCCTGAGTAGCTGGGATTACAGGTGCCCGTGACTACGCCCAGCTAATTTTTGTATTTTTAGTAGAGATGGGGTTTCACCATGTTGGCCAGGCCGGTCTCAAACTCCTGACTTCAGGTAATCCACCTGCCTTGGCCTCCCATAGTGCTGGGATTACAGGCATGAGCCACTGAGCCCGGCCTCCGATAAGCCTTTTTAATAGCAAGTGTCACAATGGACCATAGGTGGAACACAGTGTCTTCCTTTACAATCTGTAAGCACGTCTGGGACCCAGATTTATTCATCTAAGAATCCCAGGGCATAGCACTGTGCCGGTATGCTCAAAGTTTGCTAAATGAATGAATGATATATCCTATGGAGAAAGATGCCAGATTTATACATTGCCATTTAAATCATATATATTTTCATTTCACAATCTCCAAATTGTGTAATGAAAGTAGGCAACTCCCTGTGATGGTGACAGAACTCCATATTCTGTGTTCTGAAAAGTATGTAATGATAGTAAAATATTGAATGCAGTTATCCACATTTAATTCAAGAGATTGGCAACATGGCTGCATTTGCAATTTTTTGGTAGTGGGAGCAAGGGTAAATGAAGAATTTAATATATTCTGTGCAGGATTCCCCTTTTTTTCTGACGGAAAAAAAAGTAACTTTTACTTATTTATCTATAACCTTTGTATAGCTCTATTTTTTCAGCTGGTTCTTCCTATCCAGCTTCAGGGTCTAAATAGGGGTTGGTCCAAGGCTAGCTAAAACCCTGGATGGGATGAGTCTGGCACCTATTCCTGTGACTATTGATTCTGGGGCTGTGCCAGGTCTCTGGGGATTGGAAAGATTCCCTATCTGAGGCTACTTGGCTATGAAAACTTGTCCTCCAGCTCTTGCCAACTAAAACACAGTAGGAGAAAATGTTGTGTGGCAACCGGGTATAAACACAACAGTTGGAATGCTTCAGAAACAAGTTTGGATTTCCTGGCTAAATGTATTCAATGTTAAAACAACAATAACAGTGTTAAAAACACATTTGGGGATTGTTAGAATGCCTTACCCACTGGTTCTGATTATTATGCTTAGAGGCTTATTGGATATACTGGTGTCTCTGAGAAATATTTTCTTAGGGACTATGTTCAAGGTTATGTCTATACAGACATGTTGAGGTGAAGAAATCCCAACACCTATGGAATAATGAAAGGGAAGTAAAGATATGTGGGTTCTACTTTTGTCTGTAACCTGATGAGCTCTGAAAGTTTGGGTAAATCATGTCTCTGACTCAGTTTTCTCATCTGTAAAGTGGGTAGGTCACTTATAGAAGTCTCTGAAGTGCCTCCTAGTACTGAAGCTTGATGAGCTTTGCTCTCCTCTGAAATTGACCAAATGTCCTCAGTCCAGTATGTTTGTGCTTGAGTAGAGATGAAAGGCTCTTAGTTTTTAAATCATGGCTTTTGATGTTAGCACAGGGACAGAAAACCTCATTAATTTTTCACCCAGGGACTACCTAGTGGGGCAAGGCCTTTTTATGAGTTGAATTGTGTGTCTCCACCACTGACCCTCCCCACAAGAAAATATATGGTATATTGAAGTCCTAATCCCAGTTCTTAGAAATGTAGCCTTCATTGGAAATAGGGTCTTTGAAGATTTAAGCAAGTTAAAATAAAGTTAACCATTTCACATTTCTACCTGTCTGATCTCACTTAATCCTCACAAGACCTCTGCAAAGCACATGTCATCATTTTTTCCATTTACAGGTAAAGAATTGGAAGTGCAGAGAAGTTAAATAATTTTCTAAAAGCCTGTGGCTAGTAGGAATAGAGCCAGGGCTCAAACCTAGGTGTATCTGCCTCTAACACCTGGGCTTTTAGCCACTACTCCATCAGCCTTCTGTAGAGAGGTTATCTGGCCATGGGTAATTCAGAAGTCACTCAGATCTGAGAGTGTATTATGTGTGCCATCCCTAGTCAAATCTCCAACCAAATAAAATGTTTTGACCAGGTCAAGGCGACTCATATAAAGATGAAATCATATAATAATGAACACAAATAGATTATTTTCCACATTGTCGAAGACTTTTGTCCAAACAACATGATTTAATATTTGCCAAATGCCCACTGCAAGTTGAGCAGAGGAGGCACCATCATCATGCACTGGCATTTCTCAGGGTTTCAATATTGGAAACAAAATAGCAACAACTATTCTCTAGTGTCAGGTAATGATCTTGAGAGAGATATATTATTCTCACTCTATCCCTACCCATGTATCTATTGCATAAGAGGGAGCATTTCACAGATACAACTCAGATTTATGGGTAACATAAATCCAATTATTCTTAAATAAGATTTGTCTTTGTCATCTGATCAGCTCTGTAGCATTCTTAACTCTTTGTCTATGTTTACTAGGCAATCCCATTTGGTAAACACCACCCAAGCATGCTCTCAAACACACTGTCTTTTAGAAATCAATGTAAATGTAATTCTACCAACATCAGCTAAGATAATAAGATCTGAAAGGTCTTAATGCTACCAGACATGCTATGAATAATAGCTGTAAATGCAACTCAATGATTGATTCAACCGATGACAATGAAGGTCCTGGGGAAAATGAGCATTTGATTTTCTCATATTCCCTGGTACATTCTAAAGTACCTTTAATTTTGGGATTGGCTCTCAGGCTCATTGTGGTATCACTACACACATTATTGGAGCAGAGCCTGCAAAAGGAAGAGAAACTGCAAAAGTAGAGAAAGTTGATTTCATTGCTGTGTCCCACTCTGTCTTAGAAAGAACCTAAATCATCAACATGTATGTTTTATCTATTCCCTTTAAACACATCTGCTTACTTCCTAGGACTGCCATAACAAAGTACTACAAACTAGGTGGCTAAAAGCAACAGAAATTTATTGTCTCACAGTTCTGGAGGCCAGAAGTCCAAAGTCAAGATGTTGGCAGAGTTGGCTTGTAGATGCATCGCTGCAATCCTCTGTCTTCACAGGGTTTTATCCCTGTGTCTCTGTGTCTTCACACGGCTGTCTTATAAAGACACCAGTTATATCCAGACTACACCAGCACAACCTCATCTTAACTAATTACATTTGCAATGACCGTCTTTTCAAATAAAGTCACATTCTGAAATGCTGAGGGTTAGGACTTCAACATCTCTTTTGACAGGGGGGACATAATTCAACCTAAAACACTCAAGTAAATAAACATTAGAATTCATAGCTCTATAGCAGTTAGGTTAAAAGTCAGACAAAATATTTACCAAAACTATAATAGAGAATATGGAAGTCTCAGTTATAAGCAGTATTTGGTTATAAGTATTTTTTTTTTACATTTTAAGTTATAAAATAGTTAATACTAAAAAAGAAAGAAAATGTCAGATAAGGAAAGTACTATGCAGTGGATTAAAATATGGTGATGTGACAGAAAGTAACTGATTGGCTTCCTTGGATTAGAATATCAAGAAGGGGTTCTTTGGGGTGGTGATATTTAAGCCGAGATCTAAGTGAAAAGAGCGAATGAGCCATATGAAGATAAGAGAGAAAGCTTTCCAGACTAAGGGATGAGAATGTACAAAGGCTCTAGGCAAGGCAAGCCTGGCAAATAAAAAGGTTGGTGACTAGAATTTTATAGGTGAGGACAAACTAGAATCACAGTTTAGCATGGGCTTTAACTTTACAGAAAAGGGATTATATTTTGTTCTAGGACCAATGAGCTACTATTTGTGTTAGTCCATTTTGCATGGCTGTAAAAGAATTCTTGAGACTGGGTAATTTGTAAAGAAAAGAAGTTTATTTGGCTCATGGTTCTGCAGACTGTACAAGAAGCATGGTGCTTTCTTGTCTCTGGTGAGGCTTCAGGGGGCTTTCAATCACGGCAGAAGGTGAAAGGGGAGCAGGCACATGGCAATAGAGGGAGCAAGAGAGAATAGAGGAAGTGCCAGACTCTTTAAACAACTGTGAATGAATACAATGAGAACTCACTCATTACCCCATTCATTAATGGTTTGATGCCCTCCTTGGGGATCCACCCCTATGACCAAACACCTCCCACCAGGTTCCACCTTCAACATTGGGGACCACATTCCAACATGAGATTTGGAGGGAACAAATATCCAAACTATGTCACTATTGGAGGGTTTTCATCAGGAGAATAACATGACCTGACATATGTTTCAAGATAACTGCGGTTACCACGTGGAGAATGAAGACAGGGACAGATGAGATGTAGGGAAACATGAGGATTAGATTGGTAGAAGTGGAGATGGGCAAAAGCATTGACTTGGGATGTGCTTTAGAGGTGAGCTCTACAGAGTGTATTGATGCACTGGATGTGAGGAATAAGGAAGATGATGCCAGTATTTTTGGTTTGAGCAACTGAATGGACTATAGTATATTTTAATGAGATGGAAAAAATTGTGGAGGAACAAATTTGGAGGGGATGTGTGAATCACAGGCTTTCCTTTGCTAAAGTTGAAAAATGCATATGAGAGAATCATGTGAATATATTAATAGGCAGTTTGTCATATAAGTCCTTGTAGTTTGTAAAAACTAGACTCATTCCTCATGTAGTGTAGTCAACTCTACATTAGTCAGGACACTTTCTCTGGCTGGTAAATTTTGTCAGCCATTTTCTTGTGGCCTCTTTCACTTTTCTTCCTGCCTATTAAATAATCACTTACCATATTTTTTTTGTGTGTGTGCTGGTTATGTGGATGAGCACAGTGCTGGCAGCTAACACTGCAGACATAGGTGGTTCTTTATGAATGTTTGCAGAATAATTGAATGAATGAATATACCTGTCAGGTTCCCTTGAGGCTTAAGTCTTGAAGTAATGACTAGTCTAGTACAGAAAATAATAAATATACTTTAATAACTAAAATAGAAAGTAAAAAAGTGGTGAGTTGAACAGGAAAGGTCCTAATTAAGGATTGGGGGAATTCAGAAGAAGCTAGGGGATTCCAGAAAGACTTCATTAGAAATGTGGCATACTGACATGATATTAATAGAATACTATTTAGTAATGAGAATGGAGAAGCTAAAACTATATGCAACAACATGGATAAATTCCAAAAACATAATTTTGAGCAAAATAAGCCATACAAAAGACTAAACACTGTATGGTTTCAATCATGTGAAGTTCAAGAAAGGCAAAACTAAACTATGGTGTTGAAAGTCGGGAGAACACTTGCTCCGTAGGGGAGTTATGACTGTTAGTGAGCACAAGGGGAGTTCTGAGGTTCTGCTTCTATTCCGTTCCTTTGGTTTTGTTTGTATAAGTGTGTTTACTTCATAAAAATTCACCTACTTGTACACTTGTGATTTGTGTACTTTTTCCTCCCTTCCCCCTTTATTTTTCTTTTATTTTCCCTTAATCCTCTCTTCAAAGAATGTGTACCTTTTAAATGTGTATTACGTCAAGAACTGTGAAGGGTCTGAGATTTTACTCTATTTGCAATCCTGCCATAGTTTTATGGATGCTGGCAGAAGACATGATATTCCTAGGTCAGAGACAAAATAGTTTGTGACTCATAGCATGGCAAATAGCATGAGCTTTATGTTAGCTCTGGTTCCCTTTGGTCTTCCTCCCCCGAATTGCACAGAAGAGGCTACAATGGATGCTATACACACAATGGGTTTGTGTCATGGCTGAGGAACCTCAAGTTTAGAGAAACCAAATCCTTCATAATGAGATAAAAGCAACATGCTCTATCTTTGCCCTGGAGGGAGACAATACCTTTGTTATAGCAAATAATAAACAAACCTGTCCTTTGCTTGGGAGGAAGATGCCATCTATCTTCCAAAGCTGTTCTGTATACAAACATCCTTGGAAAGTTAGTCTGGAACAAAAGTTGTCAGTGCCTCACTGCTCACAGGACATGCAGAAATGTGAGAGACTTGTGGAGAATTATCACATAACAAAACATTTTTCAATAAAATGTTTACACTTAAAAATCTCTGATGCTTTAGCTAGGCCTTATTTGGGCATAATCAAATTGAGGGAAAATAACTTTTACATGAGCGATGGTGAACAGTTGAGTAGAGCAGGGGGTTTTCCCGACCCGAAAGGTCTTCTCACGTGGGAAGTTGAGTGAAATGAAACTCAAATTGCCAATTTTACTATCTTTTTTACTGCTCAGATAAAGGTTCGTAGAAGGGAAGAAAATCACATTAAAGAGTGAAACAAAAATTTAAGGAATCATCTGTGAATCTCATTTATCTTTTGCCCTCCTCCTCAAACTCGGCAAGAATTTGTATTATTTAAGAGTTGAGGGCCAGGCGCGGTGGCTCACGTCTGTAATCCCAGCACTTTGGGAGGCCGAGGCAGGCGGATCACAAGGTCAGGAGATCGAGACCATCCTGGCTAACACCGTGAAACCCCGTCTCTACTAAAAATACAAAAAATTAGCCGGGCGCGGTGGCGGGCACCTATAGTCCCAGCTACTCAGGAGGCTGAGGCAGGAGAATGGCGTGAACTCAGGAGGCGGAGCTTGCAGTGAGCCGAGATCGCGCCACTGCACTCCAGCCTGGGCAACAGAGCCAGACTCCGTCTCAAAAAAAAAAAAAAAGAGTTGAGATTTGGAAAATATTTCCATCGTACTATGTGCACAGTTCAGTAGTTTTTATTTTGAAAATGAACCATGAAATAGAGAAAATAATAAACTCAAATGCCTTTAAAAGTTTTTTATTTTCATAATTGAAATTTTTATACCAAAATTATATTGGCCCTAATTAACTTCACTTTGAAAGACAAATCCCTAAATTCCTCTTGTCTTATTCACAATAAATCTAGATGACCCAATAGCATTTAAGCAGAAATGTGATATGCTTAATGCTTAACAGTTTCTTAACATTTTCTCTCTGAAACATCCATTTTTATGCTACCTAGGTAAGAGTATGGAAGTGAATATTAAAATCCCATAACCATATTTTGGTGCTGATGCTGCATTTTCACGTTTTATGATCTATCTCGAGCTGTTTGATTGAACGGCAGTCTGCTGTTTAATCAAGAGCCATGTGTAATTCTATATAAGTGTACTGTATTATAAAAATGAATGTAAAATTAATTTCAGGATATATATGTTTAATTACACAGTTTCATGTTACATATCTGAATCAAATTGTGCATTGCCTTTTAATATCTTTAAGAAGTTTGGAATTAATTTAAGCAATGAAGCTTGAGATCTTTTAAAGGAGGCTTTTCTCAGATCATAACTCAGTTCTTGAAGTTGGGTCCTATGCGGTTTTTGCAATTTAGCTCCTCAGGTGTGGACGTCAAGGGATATTACATTTATTGAATGTTTGTTATGCACCAAGCAATGGGATAAATGGTTTATATATATCATCTCATTTTAAAGCCTAACAAAATTCCATGGGGTGAGTGTAATTCCCATTTTATAGATGAATAAACAAATCAAGAGTGAATTACTTTAGGTCACCCCGTTAAGTGGTGGAACCAAGATTTGTATCCAGAAGTGTATGACTCCATATTAAAATTATTTTTTTAATAGGACTTGCATATGGGTAAGAAAAAAGATTGAAAAGATGAATGTGTACAATTATGTTAGCAGTGGTGGGATTAAAGGTAACTTTTTTTTTTTTTTTTGAGATGGAGTTTTGCTCTTGTTGCCCAGGCTGGAGTGCAATGGTGCAATCTCGGCTCACTGAAACCTCTGCCTCCCGGGTTCAAGCATTCTGCTGCCTCAGCCTCCCAAATAGCTGGGATTACAGGCATGCGCCACCATGCCCAGCTAATTTTATATTTTTAGTAGAGATGGGTTTTCACCACGTTGGTCACGTTGGTCTTGAACTCCTGACCTCAGGTGATCCACACGTCTTGGCCTCCAAAGTGCTGAGATTACAGGCGTGAGCCACTGCACCTGGCCTAAAGGTAACATTTAATTAATCATTTTCCTATTCTTAATTTTCTGAATTTCTGATAATGTGCAAGTATATGTACTTATTTAAATGTAGTATAGGACTTAAAATGATATTGAGGAGTCATTAAGGAAGATAACTATTAATGGCAAGGGCTCCCCTGAGCTTTATCTTGACAAGGGAAGCTTGAGGCTGGTGGTCTTCTGAAAGTCAGCTATGAGGCCATTGCCAGAGACCTGATGATCATGAACTGATAGTATGCCTCCCACAAGGACCCCAAAGGTCAAGTTTGGAGCAAAAGATAGGCAATTCAGGGCTGTACTCCAAGCTGAAAAAGTTCTAGTGGGTGGACCTCAGATGGCTTGATTCTTATTAGGTCATGGAAGCAAAAACAACCCCTGCTTCCCTACCGCTGTCACTTTTAAAAAATTGCTCTAGGCCAGGTGCGGTGGCTCATGCCTGTAATCCCAGCACTTTGGGAGGCCGAGGCGGGCGGATCACGAGGTCAGGAGATTGGGACCATCCTGGCTAACACGGTGAAACCCCGTCTCTACTAAAAATACAAAAAATTAGCCGGACGTGGTGGTGGGCGCCTGTAGTCCCAGCTACTCCGGAGGCTGAGGCAGGAGAATTGTGTGAACCCGGGAGGCAGAGCTTGCAGTGAGCCAAGATTGTGCCACTGCACTCCAGCCTGGGCAACAAGAGTGAGACTCCATCTCAAAAAAAAAATTGCTCTAATAGCTTATGGAGATCACCTGGAGTCATTCCACTCACCTGTCTATAGTTGTCTATGGTCTTATAGTTTATTTAATAATTAGCCCTTTACTTTGTGTGTATCCTTATTATAGTTTGGATGGAGTCAATCCATCATTTCCTCTCTTAAATGTGTCATTAATTCCCCTTAATATTTCTGAAGCTAAGCTTAATTGTTCATTTGAAGATATGGGATAGAAGGAAAGAAGGGTGTAGTCAATGCTCTGGTGTGCCACCCAGGTGCCCCCTTTTGGGCCAAAGTATCATTCCCAGCTGCTAGGGATATTGTCTGCAGGCAGCTCACAGCTGAGACTCTCCTTAGGCATTGCCTTTGCTCAAAGGGAGCTGCCTTGCCCGAGGTTACATGTCCTCTGCAAGGGCAGCCCGTATCAAATGCTTGGACTATAAGTGAGTACAAATAAAGGGCCAACTCCTTTGCCTCAATGTAGCGCATCTCTGGAAAGCCATCCCAGCTCCAGACCTCTTTGTGGGATCATATGAGACTTCTGCTGCAACCCCATCACAGTTCAACTTCTTCCTCTGCCCAGGCCTGCTTTCCTCACATCCGTACAGGTACTGCTTTTTACAGCAATCACTTATGAGCTATCTGCATGTAAATATCTTCCCAAATCTCTTTCCTTGGGAATCTGACCTAAGACTCACTATAATTCCTATGGCCTCCACTCCACCACTGGTGAGCTACAGAAAGAGGAGAGTTCAGAGGTGAATGTCATAGTAACTCTTCCAGACAGATTCCCAGACAGATCACTCTTCTGTTTAAAGGGACTGAGCAAGGAGTTAGTCACCTAGGCTCACATACCAAATTTGCTTAGAAAGAGGCTATAAGCATACTCTCTAAGCCCGAGCGTCAAGAGCTGTAGTGCTTGTTAGCCTCATGTTGCCTGTAGTCTCTATGGAGTCTGAGTCAAGTGAGCACTGGTCTCAACCCAAGCTCAAAGACTCTGTGTCTGATCTCCTGGACTTTGGGGCCCATGGGTTGTGTTGACAGGTCAGTGTTAATAGTTTTCTGGGAAAGCAGAAAACTGCAGTAGTGGTGACAAAACAGAGGTCTCTATTTTAAAATGGAGCAAAAATGCCACTTCACCGTGACCCTTTGTGATCCAATGCCTGTCTTTTGGGTTGGGCTTCACCATTAGTCACATTGAAGGAATCACAGAATCGAAGTAGACTCTGACACTGCTCTGGGTCTGGGTGACTGGGTAACTCAACATCCTATCTTAGATTTGCAAACACTTCCATGAAGCCCACAAAAACCAACAAAGAAGGATAAGATGGTATCAGAGGATACCACAAAGAAGCATGTTCTTTGTAACAACTCTCTTTATGAAAAATATACTGGATCAGATTGTGGTGGGACAACTTGATAAATAAAGACTCAGGGATTTTTTTTTTTTTTTTGAGATGGAGTCTTGCTCTGCCACCCAGGCTGGAGTGCAGTGGCACAATCTCGGCTCACTGCAACCTCCACCTCCTGGGTTAAAGCGATTCTCCTACCTCAGTCTCCCAAGTAGCTGAGATTACAGGTGCACAGCACCACACCCAGCTAATTTTTGTTTTTCTGGTAGAGATGGAGTTTCACCATGTTGTCCAGGCTGGTCTTGAACTCCTGACCTCAGGCGATCACCCCCACTCAGCCTTCCAAAGTGCTGGGATTACAGGTGTGAGCCACTGTACCCGGCCCCAAGACTTAGAGATTTAATAACCCATGTGGAATAACTTTTTTTAAAAAACATCAATCAGACTGAGTTATTTTCCCCAGTACTACGATGGTTGTTACACATTTTGTAGACACCCCTACCCAGAACTTCCTGAGAAAGGATCTGATAACCACCATCTACACTAATTCAAACAATTGATTAACTTAAATGGAAAAAGTCTCCAGGAGGAGAATCTTTAGATATCATCGTGAGTGGTGAGTTCCTCTCCTGCTAAATTTGCTTATCTACTTCTCAGATATAATTTCCTCTTGTAAGCATTCAAAAAATATAAAACAGTTTAATTTAACCAGTAAATTGGTTTAGTTTCATTGAGGGTAAACTTTGTGGAGGACTCCTCTGGTTAGGATGCAGTGCTCCTCAAAATTAGACTATTGAATTTTCTTAAAATGCTCTAAATAGTCAGCCAGTAATCTTCTGGGAGCATTATTTTTGCCAAAAGTGAAACAAAACTCTTGACTTGACTACTAGGAAGCTCATAGCTAAACTTAATGTTTAATTATAATAACAATTATTGGCTTAGATTTTCTAATAAAATTCCTCTTCCTTTTCAACCCCACCTTCATCCTATCCCCCAAACACACAACTATAGAAATTTTAAAAATATTTTAATGAATTTACACTGGGCAAAAAAACCAGAAAGTCAAGAAACATTCTGGAAATCATATTTATTTCTGTCTTGTTGGTCCAATATTTTAAGGCTGATGTGGGGGAAGTAATATATAAGTGGGCAACAACAAGAAGAAAGATGTTCAAGTTCAACATCTCTCCAAAGATCAAGGATTTGCTGATAAGTGGCTGGATGTGGATTATATATCCAGCATAGAGAGGAAAACAGTCTCTTCAATGTGGAATCTATTTTCCAAAACTGAATAGATCTATGCCACAAGCAGTTCCATCAGACAAATTGTGCCCTAAATCTTCTTTGAACTGCTGGGCTTAAATCAAATTGAGATATAAAAGGTTTCATTTTACATAACCTGTATTTAAGGCTTCTATTGAGTCTTCAAAATGATTTGCTGCAATGCTTGTGTTTTTGGTATGAGTCCAACTTCTTAACCTGTCTATAGTTTCAGTGATAAAAGTTCACATTAACTTAAATAATATGCCAACATTGAAGGCTCTCAGGCTAGTTATCGATAGTCTCCATGTCTCTAGTATATTAAGATAAAAGGAGCTGTACTATTATAAAAACTGACATTAATTGATATGATTCTCTATACCAATACTTCAATCAATTTAAAAATACTATTTCATAATCTGTGTATGTTGGAATTTGAGATAATGGAATGTATATGTCAGATAGCATGGGCTCTAATGTGGTAAAACTATAACCCCAGAGTCCCAGTGACATAATAAAAATTTATTTCTTATTTATGCTAGCCCCAGTGTGAGTTGGTTATTCCTTCAGAGTAACTGTCCTCCATGCTGTGACACAGAGATCCAGGCTGTTTGTACCTTCTAGCTCCACCATGTCAATATATCCCCTTCTTTATATCATGGCAGCAAAAAAGGGGGTCAGAGTAACACACTGACTGTTGAATGCTTCAACCCAGAAGTGGCTCCTGCTCATGGCTCATTGTCCAATCCTAATCACTTGGGAGCAAATGGATTTCCAGTGAATAGCAAATACCTCTGTCTCAGGGAATGTTCAGCATTCTGAAGGAGTGTGCAAACTTGTGGCATCTTATTCCTTGAAAATGTACGTTCTATCAATGTCACTGTGTTTACATAAAATCTTGCTTAGTAGTGTCATATCTGAATGTATACATAACATCTGTGCTTATAATTATACATCTAAAAGTAGAACATAGTTTTGTTTATAAAATAACTCTGTTGTTCATAAGTGATTTTTGTTACATGGATATTAAGATTTTTTTTGCTAAAGGTATCGTTTTATTGTTTGGGTGATAAAGGTCAAAGACATACCCCATGTAGGCAGAAAATAGGGTTTCCCTTGAATAAGAGACTACTTGTGGTGCCAGGCTCCAGAATTTTAGCAAGCCTCTGAGGAAGAAGCAAACCTCTGCCATCCAAAGAGAACTCAGGAATAAGAGGCATTGCTCAGTGAGGCAATAGAATGAAGATGCTTTTCTCAGAGTGTGTGAAACTATTGAGAGAACTTCTATTGTGTTTTGGGAAGAAGGGTGACAATAAGCAGACTAACAACAGGGGAGCAAGGATCCTAGGGGATACCGACCCTTTAAAATAAGAACACAAGTGTATAGACAGGCATAGAACCTGGGACTTTGCTCCCTTTCTCAGTTCTTAAGGAAGATTCTGAAGACCTCAGAGCTCTTGAGGGTACCAAGAGCTTAGTTTACTTGGGGCCAACATTTATTTATTTTGAGACAGGGCACACTCTGTCACCCAGGCTGGAGTGCACTGGTGCAATCAGAGCTCACTGCAGCCTCGACCTCCTGGGCTCAAGTAATTGCCCTCTGCCTTAGCCTTCAAGTACTTGGGACTACAGGTACATGCCACCATGCCCGGCTAATTTTTTTTCAGCAGAGATGAGTTCTCCCTATGTTGCCCAGGTGGGTCTCAAACTCCTGAGCTCAAGCATCCTCCTTCCTTGGCCTCCTGAAGTGCTGGGATTATAGGCATGAGCCACCATGCTTGTTTAGGCCAGCTTTTAAAAAGGAAGCAGAAACAATTGTTAGTTTAGATGGAGATTGGAATAAAAGAAGTGAGAAGACCCCAGTGGAAGGTTACATACATTCTGGGAGAGAAAGGCAGGGCTTAAGTCACAGAGTATGGCTGTAATATTTGCTACATCTGGGGGTGGGGAATGGGAGTAAATGGGAGATGAATGTGGGGACATGGATAGCAGCCAGACCATAGATTTGCTTCTAAAATTAATGTAGAGTCATTGTGGGATTCATATTATAACACAAGAATAGATTTTTATTTTAGAAACAATAGCAGCCATGTAGCCTAGAGATGATGACTTTATGAACTATGACAGTGCTGAAGAAAGAGATAAAATATTTGGCAATAGGCTCTATAGGACTTGGTGAACATTGGTAGTGGGGGTGGGAAAGTTGTAAGTGAACTGGGCTGACTTCCAGGTTCCAGACTTGGGAAACTGGGCAATGATGGGGCCATACTCACTGAGAGACAGCAGAAGCAGGCTGGTGTGGAGAAGGTAATGGAACAGTTCTGTGCGTGGTGATTTTGAGCTATTTGTGACACAGAACAGATACTCATTATTCTTTAAATATGTGAATTCCTTTCTCTTTCAAAAAGAAAAGAAATGACTATTTCCCGATATATAAGACCCATAAAGAAAGAGTGCTAAGGTCTTTTGAATAGTGTCATGTATCTATTAGAAATTAAGATAATAAAGGCTCAATTTTCATTCAAAGTTGACCTCTACCAAAAATTAAAGGCATGCATTGTTACTCAGATCCTGATGCTGTGTTCTACACATTGGGTTAGACCTCCTTGTCCTGACTCTTTGAATCATAGCTGTTTCCTAGATCCTCTGGACTTTGTGTCTACACCAGCATCTATAATGTGGATTAACACCCACAACACCCAATGCACAGGTCTTCTACCTAGCCTCATTCAGCCTCTCCTGTGTCTCTACCAAGACCCTGCACTCCGATAATCATTTAACTGGTTTCCTACAGCAGTGATCCAGATACTGCCGCTGGACGTTCATAGGCAATTACTTCATGTGGTTGGAAGTGATTTCTTTCTGAAGTCATGCTCATTCACTACATTAGTACTCTCAAAATATATTATTGTTCTCCTCCCCTAACTTCAATGAGACACCTAATTCAGTGCTTAGTACATGAGAAGGACTCAGTCAATGTTTTTTGAATAAAAGAATAGATAAATATATTAAATGGAGGCCATCAAAAAACTCTTTTATTGCTCTATCAATGTACCTTATGCTCACACATGTGATTTCTTAATTGTCCCCATGCCAGTGACGCATATGCCTCATCTCGTGATGAACACAAATGTAGTGGTGAACACAATTTTCACTAATAACAGACTGGAAATAGCCAAAGCCATCAAATATCTGTAGCCAAAGAGCTCCACATCCACGTGTCAAAGGAGAAGCAGATGGGTCAACCTCCTTTGTGACACAACTTCCCAAAAGTACTAAAATAATGATTCATTTTACAGACATGAAAAACATAGCAGGAAATGGAATAACACAATTTTAATTAGAAATATTCAGATTTACTCTTAATTTAATTCAGCTGCCCAACAGCCATGGTTAGATTTGCATCATGATGTATTTTCGATACTATCTATTTTCATAAATGTAAACTTTCCTGAATATGCTTCTGATGGATCCTGACATTTTAAAATATGTCCTATTGTCCTTTTCTGTGCAGTAGACCAAGCATAGAGTGTTCACTCCTATATCATTGTCACTGTACTATCAGACCAGATGGCTACTTCATCACAGAATCAAGAATTAGGAATAATTTATGCTGTTCCTTGCTCTAGAATATGAAAATAGAAAGCATTTGCTGCACACATACTCATGAGGAGCAGCTTGACCCAACAGTAACAGCCTCATCGGAGGACATTTGGTGCTGTGGCTGCACCATCTTCAGGAACTGGATTTCGTTCTATGGAACCCTAAGCTCTCAGGTCATGGAGAAAATTATTGAAGCATGTGAGTCGATGCTTCACCTAGTAATCAAATTAAGCCCAGAGAGCCTCTTTGTTGAGGAAAACAAGTTGCAATAAAACAGTTCTAAAATGGGAAAGATTATATCTGAACCTTTCATTGTTTCATATTCAAGGATTTCTCCCCTTCATAGGAAAAAAATTACGAATGTTGGCTTAATATTCAGAGCAGTTGTTTTTGTGTCTGTGAACATTAAATGTTAGAAACGGAAGAGCTATTTATCTTCAGCTGGCTGAAGAGAACAGTGGAAATTTTTCTTTATTGGTCTATAAATAAGCAAAGTCTGAACACACCCTTTATTGGGAGAGGGAGTCACGGCAACTCATTCCACATATCAACTGGCTCGGCAGGATTTCTGTATTTGATATGGTCATAAGCATGCAGCTAGTGACATAGACAAAAGGTTGTCCTCTCAAACTATCAAACACATTTAGCCCTAGGACCAACTAGTACTCCCCAGAAACTAGTATTTCCCTAGAAAGAAAAATGCATATAAAATCATAAGCATTTCTAACAGGTGTTATTGTTGAGAAAAAGCTAGAGAAATCAGCGACGTATCACTTAACAAGATCAAATGAATGGCAGTTGGTTTCTTTGTAAAATCATTTATTATCAACAAAGAAATGTGAGGCACTTGGGCTTTGTTTACATAGTGCCAGAAAAAGGTGGTTAACTCAGTAGAAAACAAGCAAACACCTCCCCCAAAATATCAGTTAAGATGCCTATTTGAATTCTACAAACCAAAGATCGGTTGCATTAATTTTTTATTTATCAATTATTTGTGGTTGTGAACACGTAGGAAAGCCATTGAAAATGTCTCAACTAAATGGGCAATATATCTGTTCTTCCTATATGAATCTGTTTAATTTGTTCATGTATATTAACTTTTTCAGATTAGATAGCCCACAAAAACAGACAGCTGCACTAGAGGAATTTAGTTATGTAGGCAAAATTAAAAGGCTATCAGTGTGAAAAGTGAGAACTGACAGAAAGCCTAACAAATTGGAAAGAATAACAGGCAGCTAGCAAGAATCACATTCCCTTTCCAAGAAAGGAACTCTTTCTGCCTGTTCCCTGTACGTGATTTGAGGCTTATACTCATATTAATGATAATACCTCTTCCATCAATATCTTGGATTATTACCAGTGTCTGGGAGAAATTTTATTGGCTGCCGCAGTTCACTGAAAATTAATTGATATGACACACTTACTCTACATGAACTTGGAAAAAAGTCTATGGAGTGAGTGATTTAATTCATTTTATGTTAATTATAAATTATGCCAGGAAACACTATTACGGATGGACTTGTTTCCAGCTTACATTGCATGTGTGAGCAGTTTGTACTTCCGACATGCTGAATACCCTGATTTTGACTGACTAATACCTTAGGAAAGGCATTCATTTGGCATTCTCACTAATATTTGCAATGTGGCATGTCCTTAAACAAATTAGGCCAGGAGGAGGCAGCAAAATGGCCCACTTATCTTTATTTGTAACTTAACCAACATTATGGGAGACAACATCCAAATTGGGCAATTTAAAACTTTTACTTACTTTCTGTATATATGTAAATAATCTCCTGAGTGTTTCAGAAAACTGAAAAGGAAGAGGGTGGAGGTAGGGTGGGGAGTGGCTGCCAAATCAAGCTGAAAATGAAAGATGACTTTAGAAAGAGAATGCAGAGTTGCTGGTGGCACATTAAGGTGGTATGCTGAAGAACTCTTTATTTTCATTTCCTGTTTGATAGTGCTGATGAGTAGATTCCTCTCTATTCTCCCTCTCGGTGAGCGCACACTAATACTTTTATTAAAAGGAGTCCATCAGAATGGGGTAGTTGTTATGCAGGAGCAGTAGCTCACATAATGGGGGATGGCATTTCTTTCCACTCGTGCTGGTCCGCTGGTTCTAATAGCAACCTGGAGCTCAATTTCCTCCTCAAGAACATTGCATTTCATGTGGAATGTCAATTATTAAAATGCAGTGTCCCGTGTCTTACTTCTCAGTAGATGAATTCATTTGCAAAACTTGCTAATTTATGCAAATGATCCTTAACCTGTAACTGCCTGGAACCTATTTTAGCATTTCTAGCAGCGTTTGGCAGCTCGGAGCCTAGATGCGGGAAGGAAATCCATTAATGCAGAATTCGTCAGTTCTGTCATCATTATATCGGTTATTGAGTTGTTAAAAAAAAAAAAAAACACCAACAACAGATAAAAATGTGTTATTAAGTGGAAGCCAGCTGACAGCTAGAGCTGAAAAATCTAGAGATTAAATTAAAGATAAACCAGGATGAGAGGATCTGATACCTGCATCTCCTGACACCCCTGAGTAATGTTAGATGCTAATGACCTCTTTTCTGGAAGAAACTAACTGGTTAATAACCCAAAGAGGGTCTATCAGCTACTGACTAAGACAGATCCAGATAGAGAGCAGATAAGAAATTTCTTATTGGGAGTAAGAGCCAAATTGGCCTGGGTTTTAGTAAATGCAACACACAAAAGGAACTGTATACAGTTTTTATTTTTTAGTCATGGTTACATGAAAGATGAGGCAGCAAAAAATGGGATGCCGTCAAGAAGGGGGTTGGTGTGTGTGCGTGCATGCACGCATGTGTGCTTGTGCTTGTGTGTGAGAGCATGAGGCGGTACAAGAGGGCCCGCTGGTACTTCTGTGTCTGAATGTGTGTTCCTACAGGTACCTCATACATCACATATCTCGCAGCTTTCCTCTGAATCGGTTGAGCTTTGTACATCAATGGGGCTGTATTTTAATCAATAGTTTGGAAAAGACATACTACAATTTTTACCCCCCGTAGCCCTCACGTACTGTGACACAGTCACTTTTCAGGAACCATGTTGAAAAAGGGCTTTCTGCAAACCTCAGAGCTGCAGGTCAGGAGGATTCAGATTTCTGGCCTGGCTTCTGCATCCACCGGACCTATATCTATCATTTTTTTTTCCATGTTCTTCATTCTAGCAAGTTTACAAAGGCCAGTGAGCAGACTGATTTAGATTTAAATTAGCCAGGAAAACTTGACAAGGGAAGCAGTGTGTGTGTGTGTGTGTGTGTGTGTGTGTGTGTGTGTGTGTGTGTGTGTTTGTGTGTGTGATGCACAGGTGAGCTCTAGTCTGGACACTCAGCCTGGGCCATCAATGCAGACTCTACCAAGCAGCCCCTCTGGTCTCCTGCACCTCACTGGCCACTGGCCACTGTTTTGGGGGATTTCCTTTGTTCAGCTGAGCATGGCCTCTGACTTACCTGAATCCATGCTGCACATACACAGTTACAAGCTGCCCGCATAACCCGATCTTCTGACTGCTGTATTTTTGTATTTTTTTTTCTTTGCAACTATTGGTACACTTGAAAGCGGGTAGGGGCATTTGTTGTGGATATTGGGATGAATTCTTTCAACTCCTCAATGGATTCCAATGAAAGAGGAAAAAAAGAATCTGCCCTTGGTAAAATGGACAATTGCCACTTCAAGGAATCTGTCCAAGGTCCGGAATATCATAAGAGAGTACATATTTAATGGCTCACTTTGCTCCTATTTCTTTCAGAACTGTGTCTCTTTAAATCTACTGAGGAAGATATTCCTTCTGGCCCACAGGATGCCAAAATGACTTGATGATTTATTTATGCAGCACTTGGCAGCCTATAGTCCAGATTGTGGCTGAAGCTGAATTTTATGAGCCTTCCCCTAGTAAGTGTATTTTAAAATTATATTAAAAGTATATTTTTTGAAAACCTCAGTCATGTTTGGCCCAGCCTCGGGCCCTGAGAACGACGGTGATAGGACTAAGGAATTAATATTACTAAGGACCTGGCTGGTGAAATTTTTATTGTGAGAGCTTAGAAGAGTGTTAAGCTTTCATTTGGGGAAGGAAAAAATTGTATTCAAACGTAAATGCTTTAGTGATATCAAATGTGACCTTTCCTATTTGTAGCAATTCATCTGGTCACTCAACGGCTATTTTATTGGGCTTCTCACCATGTTCCAGGAAGTATTCGAAGCCCAGGGGATTGTGGTGAAAAAGACAAGCACTGCTCCGTCTCCCCTGGAACAGACATTTCAGAGGAGGGAGGTGGATGATAAACAGGCAAGTAAATACTGTAGCTGAACAGAATGGTTTCAAATCACAATAAGTCCCATGTAATAAACACACAGACTGTGTCACAGGACTTTGAGCTGAGAACCCCTTGAGGTGCAGTGACTTTCCATGTTTGCCTGAAAGGATAGCTTCTTTATGTTAAATCAGAAAAGCAGGGTGGGCACAGTGGTTCATCCCTGTAATCTCAGCACTTTGGGAGGCTGAGGCGGGAGGATTGCTTGAAGCCAGGAGTTGGAGACCAGCCTGGGCAACAAAGGCAGACACTGTCTCTACAAAAAATTTAAAAATAGCCAGGAGTGATGGTGTGTGCCTGTAGTCCCTGAGGTGGGATGGGGAGTCATAGGGGGCAAAGGCATGGGAAGGAGGATGGCTTGTGCCCAGGAGTTCAAGGCTGCAATGAGCTAGGATCCTACCACTGTACTCCAGCCTGAGCGACAGAGCGAGACCCTGTGTAAATAAAAAAGAAAAGAAGAGGGTCTAGCAAAACAATTCCCTGGACAATTTTACTTCTGCAAAACCCAGCCCAAAAAGAAAATGTGTTGTGAAGTTCAAATGAAAGAGTTTAGACCAAGAGATGAGTTGATACCAAGGTGGTCAGGCAATGTAGTTCCAGGAGCAGCTTGTAGTTTGGCATCGTGCGTTTAAACTTTACAGGATCAGTGATTAATTGTTGTAAGGAGGCCCAAGTTTACAAAGCCTGAAATAAGGCCACAGGGGCAGGGTTTTCATTGATGGGTAATAAAAAATGACACAGCAAGGATAAGAACTTAAAATCCTGGGCAGTCTTCATTGAGAATTCTTCATAGTAATACCTCATACTTGCACACCACTTTATGTTTTTCTTTTAAGTACAATTCACATTTTATGGCCTTTGATTTCCACATCAATCCTGTAAGTTATTGCAATCCGCATGTTAGATGAAAGAACTACTTCGTGGAAGAGACATACAGCTTTACAAAGGTAAAACTGGTCTCTTTATCATAGTCAGCTATTCACTCAAAAATGCAGATGTGATACCTCACAATTTTAAAGGAATAATTCTTTGTGATTGCATTGCACTCTGCTTCTGTAGCCAGTTGTAAGTGAAAACCTCTGGTAGTCCATAATTTTGTTCCAAGTTTTACCCCATTTTTATGTGGATTTTTTAAACTGAAGTTATGCTTTCAAAATACAAAAACAAGTACTTAAATAAGCAAATGGGCATGGCAGATGCTTCACGTGGTCCTATCTCCCAAAAAAGCTGCTTAAAACTATGGCTTGCTGTGGAGTCAAGTAGACAAGGACTCAAATTCAAAGACATAGTCTGGCTTTTATTCCTGACAGTGAGATAGATTTTCCTTAATACTAAAACTAAAGGTGAAAAGGAGGCCTGCAATTGTGTCTAAGTCAAGGCCAGAGGATATCAAGGGCCTTGTCATTACTGTTAAAAAACCACAACCAAGAACAATCACCATAATCTAGACCTTTGCTGAAGAACTGCTGGCCGAGGAACAAAAAATTAATAATTCAAATTAAACTCACTTAAATCATTTTGCTATCCCTTTTGGTAAACAAAGACCTTTTCTTAAAACATAAAATTTTAAGGAATTTATCCTTTTTAATGAAAAGATGTGATTATTACCATGTAATATTGATTGAATGTCAAAAGCATTTAATTTATTGGGTACTGGTAATACAGAAAGATAGTGCAGAGAAAGTGAAATTAGACACTTTCCATAAGTGTCTAGTTGTAATTCAACAGATACTTAACACTCTTTTGCTAACATGAATCTATCATCTGTAAACTTTCTAGTGATTACCTTTTTAAAAAAAATTCATATTGTGTAATTTCTTCACAATGTATCAGTGCCCAAGCCTTTTGAGTAAGATTGCTTTCTGAGAGTTATGTGTGTGTTATTGTTTCACTGAAGTTACTTAAGCATAAATTTGAGCCACAATTACAGTTATTTTGTAGTACAAAAGTGTTGGGGCAGAAGGTTCCATCTAATAGGTGTCCCTTTCTGTCCCATACACAGCTACACGCTATGCTGAACCGACTGGTAGGGTAAACTTGGGTGTGGTCAAACCTCATACTCTTGAAAATGTGGAAGAATCCTCCCTGCTCTACTTCAGTCAAGGCTCAAGGTGCCCTTTCAGGGTGATGATAGAGTCTGGACCCCATGTACGCCATGGCTGACACTCGGAAGCAGTTTTGGACAGGCAGGTTCATTTAATTTCAGAGGAGGGCTCCTTAATTCACTGAATGTCTGGATCTCCTGGGGCTTTATAAGAGTTAATCTCATCCAGTGCCAAAGCCCTTGGGGTTTTTTCCTACTGTTTGAGACTATACTTCATTAGTCTCATCCTCTTCTGTGTGTTGTTTCTTTGGTTATTCTAGAAGATCCCAAGTAAAAGCTCCAGGCAGCAGTCAGGAGTTCTAAGCAGGTGACAGTCATAGTATTGACGGAAAGGGCTGGCTTTGGAATCAGCTAGATCTGGATTTGAATCTCAGCCTTACCACTTCCTGTGTGAACTTGGGCAATTATTACACTCCTCTTTGAGGGTCAGTTTCCTTACTTGTAAACAGGAATAATTATGTCAACTTTATAGGACAGTGTGAGGATTAAATGAGGAAAAATAAAAACCAGCACACAGCATCTACTAAGTGCTCAAAACTGCAAGCTCTCTTACCTCTTGAGGACCTTGCCTTCTAAATATATCTCCATCTCATACATCACTTCAAGTCACAGGTATACAAGTGGTTTTAATGACTCAGTTTCATCTGCTGCATATTTCGTCTAAAATTTCTAAGTACTTCACTGCTACAGTGAAGCCTTCCTCTTATGCCATCCTTGGATTTCTTGCTCTAAAGCCATTGTATAAATGAAGACGTATAGAACAATATTAACTCCCCGCCAACAGGGTTTAAGTGAAACTCATCCACCTTATCCTGTGACATATGGTGTAATGGGGGATGGGCCTCCATAGATTACCCTCCAAGGTGAGATTCAATTCCATTTTGCAGTTAAGACTTGATTAGGATCTTTGGCATGCTAAAGCCACAGTTCAAAAAGTAAAAATCTTGGGCTGACAGTTGCATAGGTTTGTTGTTAATGTCATGGAAAATAATCAAGTTTATTTAACTAATAATTCATTATTTTCCCATCAAGGACAGCCTTGTCACTTTCACAGAGAGGGATTTGGTCCCTTTGAATTAATGTGATTTTTGTAGAGGCAGGATTCTGAATAGACTCTGTGTTTCCTATAGCACAGCCTATTTTCCTAACAGCTATCTAGACAGGATCAGTGTTGTTACTTCGAGAGTTACACAATGGAATAGGGGGGAGTTATAGGTAATCCCTTCTTCTGAACTAGCTTGAAATAAAAATTAAATGGGCCTTGAGCATTTGTGAATTGCAGTGTTTCATTGGGGCCATGGAACACTAAGTGAGGCTCAGAAACAGGGTGTTAATTCAGGCCTAATCATTTAATTCCACTCTGTTATGTGCTGTATTTATTGCCCTCCTGGATCTGTTTTCTATGGCCTGATAAAGAGACAGTGATTCTCCAAAGCTCAGTCAGGGACCATTTTATTTATATCGTTAGTTAGTCCAATAAAAGCACTGGCTTCAGATTCCCGCTGTTATTTTCTGTTTTGTAGCCCTGTCATTAACTATGAAAATGCTGATGGGGTTTTCATCTCCTGGGCTGGAGTTGCTTTGGTTAAATGGGGGCTCGTAAGAAGAGGGGAAGGTCAGGACTAGATGGACTGTAGAAAAGTTAAGTTTGGTGTAACCAGATGCAGAGTGACTGGGAGGCAACTTGGGTTTTAGGAGCAAATACAAGCCTTTCATTATTACGTGTGTTAGTGTGCTGAAAACTTGATTGACACTTTTAGAGCAAACTTAGGGCTTTTAAGATGTGATTCTGTTTGTGAACCAGACGTGTTTCAGAGTTTTTAAAGGTCAAATCTTTCTGCAACTCTTCACAAAGTGAAAATTGTTCTAATTTTGCACAGAAGGTAACAGAATATAGCTCTAAAGTTGTTTATATATGTCAAGCAAAGAAGTGAAAAACAACAACAAACATCAATGGGATCACACATCAGATCCTCTTTTTTTTGAAAATAGTTTTCACTGTATACTTTTATTGTTTAGCCAACAGTCTCTAAAGTGTTAGAGAGTTCCAGAATAAGAAAATGATGATGGGAAACTTGAATTAATTCAAGAGGTCACTTGAATTAATAATATGGCAATCAGAAGCTAACACAGGTGCATTAACGTAACATACTGTGTAATTACCAGTGTTTCCAATGGAGTTAATGGGTAGTTATCCATGTAATAATAGACATTATTTCATAGTAGATATGCAGTTAGCTCATCTCATTGGTGTGTAGAGCACAAATGAAGCAAATCATCATTATTGTTTCAACACTAAAAGATGAAGACATTTTGAGGACTGATGGGCCTCTTTATCAGACATACTATTATATTTTTAAGATGGTCTAAAGCACACATTCAGTAAGTAAATGTGAGAGGCATTCAGCAACTAAATGTGAGAAATGTTAACAGTCAGTAGCTTCCATTCCTATGCTGGTATTTAAATGTTCGGAGCAATTAGCATGGTAGAAAGTTGTTCTGGGGGATGTGGTTGAAATTGCATGAGCAAATTTGCACGGAAGTATACATCAATAACCAAAGTTATCACATTCTCATTGAAAGATAAGAAATGAATATTCATTCATTTTACCAACAAAGATCTGTTGACCACTTTCTATAGGAGATAAACAGCTAACAAGTTAGGTCATGCCTCTACTCTAACTCTCCTAAGTACAGTGAGATGTATCTTTGAATTGCAGGGGCTGGAGGGACTGTGCTATATATGAGGACATCACTTAGTACTTTAGAATTTATGGGTCAGGCCAGGTGCAGAGGCTCACTCCTGTAATCCCAGCACTTTGGGAGGCAAGACGGGCAGGTCACTTGAGGTCAGGAGTTCAGGACCAACCTCACCAAAATGGCAAAACCCCATCTCTACTAAAAATACAAAAAATACAAAAAATAAAAATAAAATAAAAAAGCCGGGAGTGGTGGTGCATGCCTGTAATCCCAGCTACTCGGTGGGGCTGAGGTAGGAGAATCTCTTGAACCCTGGAGGCGGAGGTTGCAGTGAGTTGAAATTGCACCAGGTCATGACAGCCTGGGCAACAGAGTGAGAATTCATCTCAAAAAAAAAAAAAAAAAGAATTTATGAGTCACTTTATTATGCAGTATTACATTTGATCTTCAAAAGAACCTTGTGAAGTAGGAAGGCCAGGTATCTTCATTTTACAGATATGGAACTTGAGCACATGTGTCTGGTTCAAGGTCACTTATCAAGAAAACAGTAGAGTCAGGTCTTCTCATCCCTAATCCAGAGCAAGTCCACTAAATAAAGATTGAGAGAAGCTATATTTAAAAATGACAGATAGCTCCACTCCTGTCCCCGTGAGTTCTAGCCTTTTATGATTCTAGAATAAATGTCAAATCTTGAGTTTTAGAGAGGAAAAGAGCTGGAATTAAAAAAGAAAAGAAAAAGATTTCAAAGATGTGGGGAGTGCGTGGGAGGAGGCTGGAGAGATGGTAAAGGCATTGGAGGCCAAATAACTAAGGGAGGGGAGGAAAGGGTGGTGGCCAGACGTGCAGCACCATGGAGATCAGAGACAGTGCCAGGCACAGTGGGCTTGCCCAGAAAGCTGTGGGAAATATGTATTGAATAGTAAACAGCACCCAGATGGTGGAGGCTCTGACACAGAGTTTACTTGGGAGGAAGTGAAGAGCCACTGACAGTTTGGGACAGGAGAATGATGTCACAACAATGACCTTTTGCAATGATTAGTTTAGTGGTGTGCAAGAAAAAGTAGCTATTGTTGGCAAAGACACTAGAATTGTCCAAGCATGAGAGAGAACCTAAGACTACAAAAGAGAGCATACAGCCCCAAGGATTTAATAATTCTCTGGTGAATTAGAAAAACTATTTTTAAATGTTGTAAAGTATTCAAATAAATCAATCACAGCTGCTCACCCTTCTTGAGAAATAGCTCCAAATTAAACTTGGCTTTTAACAGACATGAAAAGGAAAATTAGGCAACCATCTAAAATCCAGGGCACACCCTATACTTCATAGGGGCTCAATTTGTTTTTCTTATGTTGATGAAAATATTATCTAAGTCAAGCAAGAAAAACATTTCTCTGGGTTGCTAGCTTTTCAGATATCAATATTCTTATTAAAATATAATTTATAAGGTTGCTTTAATTCTTCTCTATTTTAAATGTATAAATGAAATCAAATGAATGCTAAATTTGGAGGTCAATAGGGGATTATTTTTTCCTTTGTGAGCTAAGGAACAGAATAGGATAACAGTAGGAATAAAGGAATAACTTTAGTGTTTTGAATTGACTTTTCTAAAGTCTAGAGTCTTTATTATAGAGAATTCCACGAAACTTTGATATTTGCCAAGGGTCACAATATCAATTAATCTAACATCATGGCTTTAAGCAAAGCAAGATCTGTTATTCCTAGACAGCCTCAGGCTAAATTCTGAACTAAGGTAAATTAGCTTTTAGACCCACCCAATTCCGTAGTATAAATTGTCACACTGGCTGGGTAAACTTGATGAGCAAGTTACTTTACTTAACATCTCTGGGCCTCAGTTTTCTCATCTGGGAAGTGGGGATAATGATAGTACTGCCTGCCCTCACAGGTGAATTCTACAAATGTTAGTCACCATTGAGAATCATTCCCAATCCTCTCTGTATACCCCTGCATTTCGTACATAGTGATCCTGGCCATCAGGATGTTCTCTCAGCAACACTTCATTTTCCCATCATTTGTGCTGCCTGCCCTGATGTTCCAGTTCATCCTACTCAGTGCCGTAATTTTGACTAAGTTGAGAACCTGCTGCATGCCGAGATGTCAATGAATGTTCACATATCTCCTTATCAACTTTTCCAGATATCTTGTTTGCATTTTAACAGGGCTTAAAAGCATTAAGCCAAACAGTGAAAAATGATATTAATTATAGGTTCCTCAATTGGTTAGTGAAGAAGATCATGACAGGGAGAGAGGGAAGAAGGGCCTAAATTGCCCCCACACATAAGGTAGCCTCTGGGGAGAGTCTGAGCTTCTGGTGGTCCCTGAGTGACTCCATAATCAACACCTAATATTGTTGCTGCTCCAGCCATAAGCCTGGCTCCTAGATCCGAGGGACATCAAAGTTGGTCCTATCATCAGGAACATTTTTCTGGTTAATATAGAATGTGCCACCATCCCTCTCACATTCAGCAAACACAAAGACGCATCTTCTAGCAAAGGGCTGCGTTTTGGTGTCTAATGTTCCAGCTACAGTAAAAGCCCACTGGGTCTTCCTCCTGTGTTTATAAACACAAGCATTTAATCCACAGCTATGCCTCCAGTTGCTGAAGAGAGCTGCCCCTGCCCTGCATCCCTGCATAACGGGCTCTTTTCCTCTCAAACCAATTGTGGCACTTGCTTCCTTCGGCCCTGGTGCCTATCTACAGCTGTGCTTACTGAAGTGAGACTATAATTTGCTACAGCATGCCAGAGTATTAATAGACAATTATTTATTGCAAATCTGAACCATTTATACTGTTTACTGGCTGACACAATGTAAAATTTTGATCCAAATGTTAATGTGTCCATGACATTGCATAATTCTGTTCCACGCCATGGTTTTTCTCTTCTAAATGAATCGAATTTGCAGTACAAGGAAATGGCATTTTTAATGGATGAATGATTTACAGCCTCAAACTTACTTATAAGGCTATTATTTGTGTAACTGAGGGAGAATTGACTAATTGCAATAACACAGCAAATTAGACAAATTTAGGATTATACTGGGAACAAATTCATAGGGAGAAAAATGAAAATAACTTGCAAAGTTCTTAAAGGGTAAGTGAATAAATCTCACTTTAGCTTTACAGGGCAATTGTATTTTGGGGGGAGATCAGGTACCTTTGAGGCCAAACAGACTTATAAATATTCAATTGAGTAGAACATAGATAAAAATTACCTCTTCATAAAGAACCATATGTGTAGGAAAGAGCACTTCCAATTCTCCAAATGTTTACTGAAATTGCCTACACAAATGTTTTCAGCAGTTGGGTGAAAACAAAGAGCTTTACAGTTATGTGGTTTTCATGAAAAAGACACCAATTTTAGCATATTTACCTTCTATTTGTTGAGCATGCAACACAATGCCAAGGAAGAATGATTTCCTAATGGAGATCTTCATGATTTTTCAAAATAAAAAATGTGCATCAGCAAAAATAATATTTCTATCTTTCTGAGGTATTCCTCTTAGGCTGTTTATATCGATTCCTATTATTTTTTACCTCTACTCACAGAGAGATTGTTAAGATAAAAAGTGCTCAACACAGCTCTAATTAAGTCTGAGAGCTACACTAGATGTCTAAACACAAGGACATCCAAAATTAAGACTCCTTTCATGTTTTAGTCCATGGGGCTCCCACAAATTAATAATGAGAGAAAACTAATTTGGAGTTACTCCAAAAATATCTCACACATAAAATATTCATGTGCCAGTCCAAATTTCAGTTAACCCTTGAACAGTGCGAGGGTTAGGGGTGCTGACCCCCATGCAGTCAAAAATTGTCGTGTGGCTGGGCACAGTGGCTCACATCTATAATCCCAGCACTTTGGGAGGCCGAGGTGGGGGGATTGCTTGAGGTCAGGAGTTCGAGACCAGCCTGGCCAACATAGTGAAACCCATCTCTACTAAAAATACAAAAATTAGCTGAACGTGGTGGTGCACACCTGTAATCCCAGCTACTTGGGAGGCTGAGGCAGGAGAATCACTTGAACCCGGGAGGTAGAGGTTGTAGTAAGCAGAGATCGCGCCACTGCACTCCAGCCTGGGCAACAGAGCGAGACTCCATCTCAAAAAAAAAAAAAAAAATTCTCATGTAACTTGACTCCCGAAAACTTCACTGCTGATAGTCTACTGTTGACTGGGAGCCTTGTGGAATACATAAACACATATTTTGTATATTACACGTATTATACACTGTATTTGTGCAATAAAATAAGCTAGAAAAAAGAAAATGTTATTAAGAAAATCATAAGGAAGAGAAAATATATTTACCATAAATAGGAGTAGATCATCATAAAGGTTTTCATCCTCGTCATCTTCACATTGAGCAGGCTGAGGAAGAGGAGGAAGAGGAATGGTTGGTTTTGCTGTCTCAAGGGTGGCGGGGGTGGAAGAGGAGGCAGGAGAGGCAGGCACACTCCATGTAACTTTTATTGAAAAAATTCCAAATATAAGTGGACTCTCACAGTTCAAACCTGTGTTGTTCAAGCGTCAGCTGTGTATACAAAATGGCCTTCTCTTCTCTAATGGCAAGACCCTCCCTCCCACTGGCTTTAGTGATTGCTTCCTTGGTTTTCTTTCCTGTTCCCTGCAACCAGTAGCATCCTCTTCGAGTCTGTTCTCCACAATTCAGCTAATGATCCTCTTTCTCAAATATATGCCTTGTCTTGCCTCTCCTCTGCATAAACCCTCCCCAGAAAGATCAGGATAGAGAAATACTTTACCATGGTGTACACAGTCCTTCTAGACTTCACAGCGGATACCTTGCCACCTTCTGTCTTGCTGTTTCTCCCCTTTCTCTTGTCCTCCAGTAATCTCCAGGTGATTTGTAATCCTTGGAAACAGGCTTTGTGCTTATCTCTAATTTCAGGGCCTTTGTGCATTCCTGATCCTTCTCGCTTTGTGAGGCTTTCCCCACCCTCTTTGCTTGGCTCTTACTGAAGCTTCAAGAATGGTTTTGGATGACCTCTTCCTCGGGAAACCTTGGTTGAGCCCACCAGTCAGTCAGCTTCCCCTTGGCTTCCCCTACTTCCCATCACTGTGGTGCCACACCCAGTTTAGAACACTGGGTCTTCAATCACTTTCTCCCCTGAGCTAGAAGCTCCTGGAAGGCATGACTTGTCTTCTTTACTGGGCTTAACCACACCCAGCAAATATATGAGGAATAAGTGAAAGGTATCTTGAATACCTACTTTGTTCCAGGCACTGAACAAGGTCCTGGGGGAATACAGAAATGGTTTGTGTGTGGTCTCTTCTCTCAAATAGAATAGCTTATAATTCAGTAAAGGTTATATAAGAAATCCAGAAATAACAGCAGAATATGGTAAGAGCCACAAGAAAGGCAGGAATTGCTATAGGGTTTCAGAAAATTGAGATTCATTCTTTCTTTAAAAACCACTGTCTTCTCTTTGTTTCTCTCTGTCTCACTCACTGAATCACTTTGAAATAAAGCAGACCTCGAATTAAATCCACATTCAACCACTTATTAACTGTGTGACCTCAGACAATTTATGTAAGCTTCAATTTCCTCATCTGTAAAATGAAGATAATAATATTTACCTTACAGGGTGCAGTGAAGATTAAGTGAGATTGTGCAAAGGGCCAAGAGCATAGAAGACTCAGCAAATGGCGTTGAGAGTATTATTTCAAGGCAATGTGCCACTTGTTCTCTCAGAGCTGCTCCACTGTACTTCAAGTTTTATTACTCGGCATCTCATATTTCAACTATTAAAAAGATATCTTTAGTGTAGGAATCTTATCTACACATGGCAAATAGCTTGTTTTCAAAATAGGACACAATATACTACTCAGTTTTTTCCAATATTGATTGTAAGTTAATATTTGGAAGGGCTTCCTTGCTACTGATAAGCTTGAATTTGGGGCTTTTTGAAATTTTAAGGTTGCAAGGATAGAAACCATAGCTTACACTCCACAGGTTGTCAAAGACTTTTTGCTGAATTTAAATTGCCAAATTTAAAACATCTGATTTATTTATGCAGTACATATTTATTGGGTTCTTGGATAGACCCTCTTGCTGTATCCATCTTTCCTTCCACAGACCTCCATCTCGAATGGAAAAGCATCGGGGGAAATGGAAAGCAGCAACCAACTGCAGCAATGTAGACAAGTAGTGAAGTGAAGCAATGACTGGTTGAAATTGATTCAGATTTTAGTGTCAATTATAGTCCCCATGTCAGAGTAAGGACAAAACACCATTTCTATAACTTATATGATAAATTAAGCCAAGACAATTATCTACTACATTAATACTGGATTCAGGGTTATATACTGGTCAAGAGTTTGGGTTGCAAAATTAGACCTGTATAATTGTGATTTTGTACAAATTACTTAGTCTTTTTAGACTCCAAATTCTTCAACCATTTCATGGGGATTGTAAAACTGACCTTGTGAGGTTGCTTTGGAAGTCAATTGAGATAATGCATATAAAACACTTAACACACACAGAACTCATCGCATGGATATTTTTAGTATCATTTTGAAGATGTCATGGACGTGGTGGCATTTTAAAAAACATTAAGTTAAGGGCACCTGTTTGAGAGACAAGATGATTGTATTATTGTTACTCAGCTGAATGCTTAGTCCATACTCATTGGACAGTGTGATCTTGTATTCCTGCAGGCTGCCCAAGAATGGGGCAGGTGTGAAACATGCATTCAAGAAACAGGGTCAATAGATCTGAAAGTCTTAACTAAATCAATGCAAATAGAAAGTTTGAATTACTACTAAAATAACCAGCTACCACCTTCTGTACATGCAAAATTGCAACATGGAAATATTAATTAAAAAGGAAACATTTTGGGGCTCTATCATGAGAAGCTAGTTGTTTGGCTCAGTCCTCTGCCTTTACGAAAAGCCTCAAATTAGTTTGTGAGAATTTTATTCTAATCTGCAGTCACAGAAACACTCTGACAAGGCTGAAAGAAAATAGACATCAGACAAATTTCAACTCAAGTTCCCATTTTGGAACAAAGCTTGCAGCACATTACATTAAGAAATATTACTTACACATCATTTAAATATCTTCAGAATAATACAGTCATCTTGTATTAAATATTTTGTGTTAAAGGCATTATATTTGTTAATTTTATTCATTGAAAATATGCAAGTTATATAACCCTATTTAGATGCTTCTTCACTTTTCAATACTCAGAGCCTCTCAAATTACAAGTATCCTGGGCCACTCTCTTGACCACTATGGTGTTTCAGCCTTCCCAATGCCTTCATCTAGTTCATGCCTGATTTTGAGCAATGGGGGGAACTATCCCGTATTCATATTAAATATATTTATTTTACTTTCACATCTCATTCAAGAAGAGAAGCCAGAAACAGGAATATATTGTTTAAGAGCCAGTTTTAAATTGTGTCCAATGGAATAATTCCATGGGAGTTGCGTAGGGCTTTGTCACTGATGTACATCAAGAAGAATTCAGATTTTATATTATTTGTTCTAAACCAGAACATTTTACTTATTATTCATAATACATGTTGAAAGCAGACACCAAAATGGCTCATTTGGAGCCTTTTCTTCTCGCCTGCTAATGCACATTAACGCCAGTACACATTCTGTATTATAGATCCATAAAATGCATTTGCATAATATTGAAATTATAATCCCAAATGTGTACTAAAAACCTTTATGAAAAATTGTCACTGCTCAGCTACTATACAGTGGCTAATTTTTAATCTTAGCCTCTCAGCTGCGAGTAAAGATGGGGTGTTCTTTAAATAAAAAATCTCAGGAGTAAGATCCTGGAACCTTAACTCTCCCCTGTTTTAAGTAGGCTGTTTTTAGGGGGAGAAATAGACTATCCAAAGTGCTAAACAGCTGCCTCCATGGTGATTCTGGTATTTTGTGGACTGATGTCTTGAATTTTTAGATTAGGTGAGAGTATCTTTAGTTAACCTGCCTTGTGTCGCCAATGGGATGAGCGAAAAAGCCCTCTGGAGCAGAATCAAAGTGGCTGAGGTGGCAAATATTTTAGCAGAGAATACTACTGGCCACTGCTTCTTGAGTGCCACCTATGTCCTCGGTGCTGCAGTGGACCTTGGAATAAATTATAACAGTGAACCCTCACAATAATTCCGTGAGCTAGCTAGCTGTCCCTGATGGAGACATTGAGACTGAGTCTCAGAGAGGCTAAGCACTTGCCACATCTCTCATTTCTCCAATGTAGACCCTATCTGTTCCATATTCTAACTGCTGTATCCAAGAAGAGTGTTTAATTTATATGTTTGAGTCTTCAAATGATTCCACAACTGTGCTTTCAAATACTTCCCAGAAAGTTCTAGATGAGACTTTCCAAAATTAACATCACAGAGTTACATTTCTACCAGGCCTTTTTGACATATACTTTAATAAGGGAAACCCTGATAAACAGGCTGAATTCTCACCTTGTGCACAGTGGGGTCCAGTCGGAGAGTGGCCCTGCATTTCCTCTGTGGAGCTGGTCATTTCTTGGTCACGGGACCTTCTTGCCTTTTTCCATGGCCCTAGGCAGAAGTTTACCCTCTGTGTGATGTCAGGCAGTTCTACTCAGTTCACCAAATTGTGAAGTAAGGAAATGTTCCCTGGTGCCCTCATACCAGACTCTACCTCCTTTTTCCTCTTCTCTGTCTTCGGAAATGTATAGCTGCAGGAGGGGAACAAGAAAAACATAAGTCAAGCAGGCATGTCCCCGTGTCCCCCACTCTACTCCCACCCTGCACCCTGCTATAGCCATCTGATCCTAGTGGCTTTTTTTAATATAAGAATCAAGGAGGGAACCAGAGATAAGACAGAATGAATTCCCTACCTTATATGGGAGATTTTGGTTTGGAAAAGAATTCCCTTATTTTCTCTTAATCATTTATTTAATATTCATTTATTTGATGTTAATAGATATTATACACAGTACTAATGCCAAAGGTATAATAGTTCTAAAATTATTTTTTATGCTGTGGAAAGTATGTCTCTCTTCTACTCCTTTTTGAAAACATACAAACAATAGCGTAGTATATGTGATATATTGCACCTCATTTTAAAAATGTGTATCTTAGAAATCCTTTTTTACAAGGCCACGTAGAGCTACCTCTTTAACACAGATATGCTATAAATTTTTTAACCAGTCTTCCTTTGATGGATATTAAGGTTGTTTCCAATTATTTGCTATTAAAAACATTGCTGCAATAAATCATGAATCCATAAGTCATTTGGAAACGTATCAATAGATCTAAGAGATACAGTCCTGGAAATGTAATTGTAGGGTCACAGGACAAGCACACTTTTAATTTTGGTAGATTCTGAGAAATTGTCCACCCTAGAGATTGTACCAATTTAAACTCCCTCTCCCCTCAACCCACTAGCAGCAGTGCACGAGAGTCCCTTAGTTTAACCCTTTAGATCAAGAGGTTCTGGTAGGATATGGCTAAGACTTGAGAGAAGGTGGACTTACGGGAAGGTCGGAGAGAAGCCTGGCTTTGTGGACTGAATGTCTAACCTCTTCTCAGGCAAGCTACAAAAGAAAAGGACTAGGAAACTCTTAATAAGACCATTCTATTCATTTCAAAGACTCCGAAATAGTCTCAAACATATGGGTCTCATGTCTGCTGCTAAAAATTTCCAGGAGGTAAATTCCACAGCCTTCTTTGGTAAACTATTTGGCTTCTCACAACTCTTCTGAAAGTCAGGACATTATTCCTGATGTCTAATATAAATCTTTCCTGCCTACATCCACTTGTGGAAAACGTGTGCTAATATTTCCCTAAAGCAATGCAAGTTCAACTGGCTAGATAACATTATGCGCTAATTTCATGGCTAAAGTATATATCCTCCTGTTTTGCTTTAATAGCAGGCATCTCTTAAGTCGTTTTTAGAAACATTTGATGCCCACACAAGGGAACATGAGCCCTTTTATTGTGTCCCATCTTTGTTTTAGCTATGGACTTTACAAAGACTGTGTGTGTGTGTGCGTGTGTGTGTGTGTACTTTACTTTAAAATTCTGTAGTGCCCTCTTGTTTTCTTTTTCTCATATATTATAATCATAGAATTGTGATACCTTCTCATTAAATGCTGATTAACATACAGCTTTCTTAACAACACATTCAATATCACTTCTGCTGAAGGAAACAATGTCTGTAACTGAGAGGCGTGTAGGTCATTTCTGAGTATATCTTTCTCCTGCTGTCTAGATACAATAACTATTTTAGGAACATTTGGCATCCAAAAAATCCCAGCATTGTGCAAATTAAAACATCTGCTTATACTTTGACACTCTCATTCTTCAAAGATTAGTTGGATTTGCGGTTGCTTTGTTCAACAAGCCTGCTCTTAGAGCTCAAGGATGCACATTTAATTATTGGGAAGATCTGTTTGACAGAGTTGTGGGGGAAAAAATCACCCATTATATTCAGACCAGCATTAACATTTTTATAGAACAAGATTGCCTGAGAGTCAAAGAAGAGGGGAAAACTCCAGGAAAATAAATATGAATCTATTTGGTCACTGGTCTTCTACTGATATACAAGACTCCAGCAAACGACTCTTTGCTCTGTTCCCCAGAGCTCATCAGCTTGCTGTTAAACTGGCATTTCTGATTTCTGCCGAGGTGAAAGACAGCAAAGTAAACTCTGCTTCCAACAATAAATAACAGAAGGAGTTTTTCTTTTCATTCAAAAAGGCTTTAGATCACAGCAGACAGCTACAACCAGGTGCATTTAGCTACATTTGTCATTGCCACAAATGCAAAACATGTAAAGAATCTGTGGCAAACGGGTCAAGATCCAGCCTTTTTCTACCTTATTTTTTCATCTGTAATTGTTACCATTGCCATAATGAAGGCCAAGGTGCCAATAGTAAAGCCAGCATCTCCTGATTGGTTTATTTATTTATGCAAGTCATTGACGCTAGGTAGCAGATTGTACACTGGAAGGCTTTCTGTGTCTCAGGCCAAAGACTAGTAATCTCCCTGGGCAATGCCGAGATCACACATGTCAAGAGGCAGCAGTGACTCGCAAGCCAACTCATCACTCACCTCGTCCCATCACTGGCCTGGCCCACTCTCATTGCAGTCTTTTCATTGCCATTCCGAGGGGGCCTACAGACCTTAGCTGTTGCACAGGGAAGAAAGGGATAGGAGAAGGGGGAATGCATAACACATGCAGCAAGAGGGATTTGGTGAGGCAGGAACCAGCAGGTGAACAATGACTCATTTGGAAACATGCAGCTGGGTGTGTGTTATTTGCATATCAGAGACCCTTTGTTAAAGTGGCTTGCCCAGCTGTGTGGGCACATTGGTGGGGGGTCGGGGGGGCGCTGGTCAGAAGCAGAAGATGAATTCTCAGAGAAAACAGAGTGACTTCCTATCTAACTGGTGCACAAGTTGAGGATGGCATGCTCATAGGGGACCTGCTGCAGAAAAGCTGCGTGCTTCTGAGATTTATTTTCCTTTTGCAAGTATATTATTTCCAAACTCGTCTTTTCAAGATCTTGCAAATTCCCTTGAAAAGAAAAGATTCAACAGTTTAAGGAAAACAACAGCAAAACAAAAGCCATGTTGATGAGGGACAGAGATAAGGTTGGGTTTGAAATGAGTGACGAACCTCGTAATGAGGTGTGCAGCTTTGTATATTAAGTGATTTCTCTGTGGTACTTTTCCAGATGTGATGGAATACATTTATTTTTGTGCTCATCTGAACTGAAATAATACAAACGAGATACTAAAAAGATATCATTATGTGCAGAAGTAGGCGAAGAATTTAGAATCCCAATTCTATAAGTTAACAGCTGTGCGTAAAGCAATTCGGAAATGCTTCAAGTCTGCAGGTTGCCTGGGAATCTCTGTCTAGCTCGTATGGACTGGTGACAATCTACGTGTGAATCCTGCATGTTGATAGTTCAAGGCTACTTTATTTCAGGCAGAAATAAATAGCTGGTAGTAAGAAGTCTGTCTCCACCGAAAGCCTGCAGTACAGCTGAATATAGCCACTGCAGTAGTGCCATAAAACGGGATGAGTTTAAAACTACCAGATGGTACCCTGTACAGTGCCTGAAATAAAATGGAGAATTAGGGTGCCCCAAGGTGTGCACAGGAAAGGCAATTACATGAAATAAATGTGCCTTGGGCCTACAGGATGCTCAAGTATGCTACACAGGAGACATACAGTACATCTGGTGAACAGATTTTATCACACACTGGAAAGCCATAAAGCACGCCGTTGAATATCGGAACCCCGTCTTACAATGACATTTTACCTGTGTTGCTATTCAGTGCTGTTTATTTTAAAAGGTGCTGTAATCTCAATGATGTGTTTTAAAAGCCTCCTTAACAATGTTTTCTACTATGTCCCATTTTTGGGGGTACTTTCAATGCAATGAAAATCTGTGGACAAATAGCCACTCTGGTCACACGAGATCTTGTTTTTATTTCATTTATCTCATTGCTGATGTGATTTGAGTAATAGGATTGTACTTGTCAGCACTCCCCATTAGGGAAAATGCCAACATATTTTTAATGCTATTTCCCACCTCTCCATTGTACTGTCTGTAGCTTCACTAGAGTTTCCCTCTCCACCCACTCCTCCTTTTTCTTAACGTTCAAAGAAAATGTGATTTTTTTAGTGGTGGGGGTTTGTGAGGAGGATTTGTTGGCATGGAGCCGTTTCTTGCTTCTTCCTCCACAGACGCAAATCTGCTTTCTGTTTGAAAAAGGTGTGTTTCTCTTCCGTTGTAAAAATGGCTGAGGAACACATAACATTCATTATTGTTTTAAGAGTTGCTGTAATAAAATCCTCTCAGTACTTAAAGATAGTTTTAGTATCCCTCCTAGGATTCATTCTAGCTTTGGTAATTGGGTAATTGCATCCCCTCCCCCACCAATAAATATTTTCACCCAATTAAGTTTAAAACTATAATAAATTTTAAAGAATTATAGTCTAAAAATTCATACCCTAGAACCAGTATTAAGTATGAATATTTATCTTAAGCCATCAAGCAGTGCAGCCTGTTTAGATGCTCCCATACCTTCTGTGCAGCGTCCTAGCTCTCGAGAGCTGCTGCTGGCAGTGCGGCTTCCCCGAGTGCCAGGAAGACGTGTGCCCTTTACTGCCTGTATGGTTTTCAGACAAAGCAATCCTTTACTTTCATGTTCCTGTCCTTCTTTGTTTCCATGCGGCATTATTAATTTGTCCACTCCATTCATTCATTCATTCATTCATTCATTCCTATCTTTAGTAAGTTCTAACTGAGTGATTGGGCCCGTGCTTATGATTGAAGCTGGGTATGGAGAGACGCATAGTTGGACCAAGTGGCTGCCCCGACACAGCCCACAGCTTATTAATACCTTCACTCTCTCCCATTCACTCCACAAACCAATGCATCCAGATACATCTTCCAGGCCTTTATTACAGGTTCACCCTCTGTTGCACAAGAGCATATACTCTCAATGCTAAAGGGCAACTAAATGACACAGGGCACTACCCTCATTGCTCAGATGTGTAACAAATGCAGAGTAGCATCCAGAAGACTGTCCAGGAGTTCACATTTCAAACTCCAGCCCAACAGAGCCAACAGAGATGCCAAACCTCCTGTTCCCTCATGTTGAAAATAGAAATTCAATCACAGCCCCCAAAGCTGGTAGCTTTTGGCAACAGTAACACCTGGAGCTCTGGAGCCAGGAGCAAGGACAAAAGGGCACCACTGGCAAAGCTGAAGCTGAGGTCTGGGAGAAGGGAAAAGTGCAGCTACAGCAAGAATGAAAGAGGAATTGATGACTAGGAGAAGAAAGAGAGCCAAAAAGAACAAATCAGTAGGCCCAGCTGGTGGATGAGAAGAGGGTGGACCCTGGACTCTGGGGCTCTGTTGGGCACTGACCTGGTCTCCCCACCACCATGGTTTTCCTCAGTTCTGCTGCCTTCTTTCATCCACTTTGTCCACTTCTCCTAAGCCAAACCATCCTATCCTGCTGCCCACAAACGCCCAGATCTGTTCTTCCCTGATCACCCGCTCCACCTCCACCATCAAGGCTTAACCATCTCTGCCCCATTTCCACCCATCACCTTTTAGGAAAAGAGCCTGGCAGCATTGCATGCCCAGGTGGTCATATTTCAGATGACACATTGTGAAAACACAATGACATAGACACATAAAAACAGTGATGCTGAATCTCTAGGTAATGTGGTTTTGGGTGCTGAGCTCTATTAATAAAGAATATGTCGGCCGGGCGCGGTGGCTCACGCCTGTAATCCCAGCACTTTGGGAGGCTGAGGCGGGCGGATCACGAGGTCAGGAGATCGAGACCATCCCGGCTAAAACGGTGAAACCCCGTCTCTACTAAAAATACAAAAAATTAGCCGGGCGTAGTGGCGGGCGCCTGTAGTCCCAGCTACTCGGGAGGCTGAGGCAGGAGAATGGCGTGAACCCGGGAGGCGGAGCTTGCAGTGAGCCGAGATCCCGCCACTGCACTCCAGCCTGGGCGACAGAGCAAGACTCCGTCTCAAAAAAAAAAAAAAAAAAAAAAAAAAAAAGAATATGTCAATGATAATATTCAGTTGGTGAAAAAAAAGATAATTAGAAAAAAAACCTTTAGCTTCTAAAACCCTATGTCAATAATTTCTGAGGACGTCAACAGGGAAGTTGTTTTTAAAATTCAGGATCATAATACCTGAAAAGAATCAGAATCTAGTAACTTTTCTTCTTCAAAACCTTTCTGATGGGATTCTAGGTGGGGTTGTTGGCGATGGTGGCAGTTGGGGTTCGCCAAGAAGAAACGTCCAAAAAATTGAAGTTCAAAGCTGAGCTGAAGCTAAAATCAGTCTGGTATTTGGCTCTTTATATCATACACAGAACTGGTCAAGAGGATGGCAATCATAACTTCATTTTATTTACTCTGAAATATTTCAGATAACTTTAATTAGTTTCAAAGATGTTATTTGAAGAAATAAGAGTAATACATGTCAGAAAAATGGTCTAAGTGAAGGGCAGGAAAAGATGACAGGGAAGAATTTGTGAGAAAAGTCTTTGTGTCTGTATTTGCTTTTTACTATATTCAGATTTTTCATCAGTTCTTAATCAGCACTATAAGCAGAAGTTGCAGGCAAGGGCAGGAGAATGGCATTGGTAGTTTTAGGGAAGCTATGAGGGAAAAGTGTGTGGGGGAAGGAGTTCTTGGTATGAACTGTACAAGTTTGTTTCAATGCTGTTTCTCCAAGGGCAGGTTGGGCTACAGGTGGCTGCTTTCTGGCTGATGCCAGTTGGCATGTCACCTGCCCTGAGGGTGGAGTTTTCAGAAGGAAGGGATCAGACCAGAATCAGCCAAGGTTCCAAGGAGCCTCCCCTAGATGGATACAGTCTGAACAGGTGTGGAGAAAGGTCGTTTCCATGGCAGCTGTCACTAGGCACTCTGCCAGGGAGGCTGACTAGCACTTAGTGGACTGGATGCAAGATGTCAGCATCTCCAAACTACCCTGCTGTATGAACAATGTGTGGGCAGCACCCAGCTTCCAGCAAGCAAGGCTTTAGAGCATGATGGGTAAAAAGAGAGTGAATGCACCGAACTCCTGCTGCTGTTGTTTCCCAGCTGTGCAAACTCGGACAGGTTATTTTATCCCTTTAAGCCTCAGTTCTCCACTCTATAAAGTGGGCATGAAAACAGTAGTGCTTTCCTTATAAAACCGTCATGAAGAATCAATGAGATAATCCACATAAAAGTACATGGCCTGGCTTACAGTAAGGACTCAATCATTTTTAGCTATTCTTACAAATAACAACTCTGTAGGCAAGGATGAATGAACTAGAGCTGTAGAGAGGAGCAGAGGGAAATGAGACTCTCTTTGGAGCATCATAGAAAAGCATCAGAAAGCACATAAAAGAAAAAATTAGGGGAAGGCATAGTGAGGGTAGAGGACATACAGGTGGTGAGAAATGAAATTAGATTGGACTCACTCTTCACCTAATATCACAAGATTTTCCATCACTAAGGATCCTCAGCCAAGGGATGGGAATCTTTTGGGATAAGCAGAGGCAAGTGGTGGGTGTGGGAGAGCAAATCAGAGACCATTCTAGAAGTTGGCCTGGTGGCAATAAGTGACGAGAATTGCATGGGTGCTTACCCAGTAGCTGTTGGGTGTGGTAAAAGGTGGGTCACAGCTGTTATGCTACATGTAGATATAAAGACAGAGGAAGTGGGGAAAGGGGCCCTGCGGGTAAATGTTGACTATTAGTGTGGAAACCAAAGTCAGGACAACCTGGGTTGTGACCCCAGAGATTTTGCCAAAGCCAGTTGAAGGTCTTTAGACACCAGAGGTTCTACAGGGTCTCAACATGTGATGGTACAAACGGGAAGGTTTTGTGCTTGTAGAAAAGTGGTGACATTGAGGAACAAAGAGAAACCTGTTCATAAGGCCTTAAACAACATCACATGCTGGTATTCGTTTTTTTAAGGTGACAGAGTAAAATACAGTAAGGGCAGGGATATAAGAGGATGTTCTAAGCAGAGGGGAATAGGAATGAGCTGAGATGCTTTCAGGAAACAACAGGAAGTCTGGGGGTGGGGAGGACAGGATAATGGAAGAAACACTTTCCAAGTGAGGAGAACCAGGCTTGACATACAATCAGTTGTACAAATAACAGAGATATTGCTCTCAGCCACGTGGAGCAAACGGAGAGCAAATAGTCCCGGGCTGGGATGATGATGGCCTGGACTGAGGCTACAGGAGAACCAATGGAAAGGAGGGGTCAAGTTTGAAAACATGGTAGAGATAGAATCAACAAGACCAAATGACCTCTTGGAGTAAGAAATGGGAAAAGGTTGGCACCTAAGGTTCTTTTCAGATTTCTTATCCTCTCTAACCTTTCCCGCCCACATGACATTGCTTAACACTCCTGGCTTCTGGAAGCTTTTTCTGTTTCTTTAATGAGGCGGCACTGCCCTGCTTCTCCTTCTGGTCATGAGCAAAACAGAAATGACCTTTGGAAAGAAATTTATCTCTTCATTCCAACACTCATCTCTCCAAAAGATTAAGTGATTTATGTGACACTGGTCAAATCTGATTTAAGTAGTAGGTCTGAGCCCATGAGACTTATCTACTAAGCTGAGTTCCATCCCCCAGGGAGAAAAAAAGGGAAGAGATTTGGTTGCAGGTGTGTACAGATGTGAGCTTGGGGAATTGAAATGTTACTAGGACTCTCTGCAGGAAACTTAATGCTTCATACCAGCAGGCAAAAATAGTTTGAGGTTCTTTCCCAAGACAGTGAGTTTTAAATAGAGATTTGATTTGGAATTGTCGACATATAAATCTTCCTCCCAGGCTTCCACATGAAGCACACATTTGATCCTATAGACAGCAATGAGTCTTTAAGAGCCATAATGGCCCATCATGCCAGAGGGTATTTATGGATTTACAGAGTCTTCAGATATCTGGATCTTGTGCAAGCATGATAAAAGCCCTCTGAAATTTTTGCTCAAATAAATAAGTGCTTAGCTCGCTGTGTTTCTTAAATTAAATGTCTCAGCCATTGTTCACTTGTAAAATACCCAAGGGTCCTAGTCTACATTTTGGAGTAATGTGCTGCAACATTTCTGTTGGAAGAATAAAGCGGTTTAGGGGCTGTAGGAAATCACTAACTTCTATTTTTGTTTTTCACGCTGCTAATTTAATAGGAAATATGCTGCTGAGTACAAGTTTGACGGCAGGCATTTCTCAAGCCATCTCTCCAGTGACCAACAAGGTTGATGGGAGTGAAATCGTTTTCTGTTTAAAAAACTGATTTGGAACATAGGTCAGTAATTTTAGAAACCAAACGTGTTGTTAGATTCTTAACTGATAGGACTTAGAAGCTAATAGTTGTAGAGATGGGAATCTTGTCTGTAGGTTGAGTTTCTCATTGAGTTTTCTCATTTCCAGCAAGGAGCTGAAGAATTTTTACTATCTCACAAACCCTCTTCTTTCATAAGGAGAAATATTAAAAGTTATTTTCTGTATCTTCATGAAATGCCTGTCATGATATGGAATTAACATACCCATTTTCATTGAATGCTTAAAACAAAGTATTTTATAAATTGTGGTAAATAAAGCCTCTGACAGGTAGCTGGTACTAGAGCAGTTAACTCTCTCAGAGGACCCTCAGGCTTCCTGGCATCTTCTGTATGCCATAAGCCAAGGTGCTTTGGCTTAATCCAAAACCAGAGGCCAACAGTTTACTGATCTGTGTCAGTTAGGTAAATCTCAATGCACAGAGATCACCGATTTTAAAAATATAAATGTTTTCCCAACCTATACTTCTTTGTGAGATAAGTATTGGGGAAGAGCTGAACATAATGTATCTTTCTTGGTTTGGGTTATTAAAATGGGAACATGTCATATAATGATAGCCACATATGGAGCAAAGTGTAATGTCTAGAGAAAGGCTGCTGCCACCATCATTACCACAGTGGCCTTCCCGGGCAATCTCCTAAATTCCCAGCAGAGAGGCAGAGTCATCTAGCTTGCTGACGTGGGAGCCAAGAAATTGAAAACAGTGGGGAAGAACAGGAGGACCTGTACCTGCTACCTCAGCCAAATTACCTGTATTGACTTTGAGTGAAGCCCCTTAGGTTTGAAAGAATAGTTGTTTTTGTAATTGTCAAGGGACAACTCGGTTTTTCTAAAAACTCTGAAGGTGAGCAGTCTCAACTCCCATTTACACATGGAACACTAAAAAGCTATATGTAATTGAGGCTTCCCTATGAATCACACAGATTATGCCAATCAGATAATCAGGTATGCATTTAAAGAAAAAGCAGAAGACTGTTAAGTCAGACACATGGAGGCAGCAGAGAGGAAGACATCATTCCAAAAAGAGATGGTAATCAGTTGGAAAAACTGAGTCCCAAGTCCTCTGTAGCGACTCTTCTGGAAGACCCCAGAATCAACATTAAGGATTGATATGGTTTGGCTCTGTGTCCCCACCCAAATCTCATCTTGTAGCTCCCATAATTCCCACGTGTTGTGGGAGGGAGCCAGTGGGAGATAATTGAATCATGGGGTGGGTCTTTCCTGTGCTGTTCTCCTGATAATGAATAAGTCTCATGAGATCAGATGGTTTAAAAAAATGGGAGTTTCCCTGCACAAGCTCCCTCTCTTGCTGCTCCCATGTAAGAAGTGCCTTTCACCTTCTGCCATGATTGTGAGGCCTCCCAAGCCATGTGGAACTGTAAGTCCATTAAACGTCTTTATTTTGTAAATTGCCCAGTCTCAGGTATGTCTTTATCAGCAGTGTGAAAATGGACTAATACAGTAAATTGGTACCAGTAGAGTGATGCTGATGAAAAGATACCCAAAAATGTGGAAGCAACTTTGGAACTGGGTAACAGGCAGAGGTTAAAACAGTTTGGAGGGCTCAGAAGAAGACAGGAAAATGTCGGAAAGTTTGGAACTCTCTAGAGACTTGTTGAGTGGCTTTGACGAAAATGCTGACAGTGATAAGAATAACAAGGTCCAGATTGAGGTGGTGTCAGATGGAGATGAGGAACTTGTTGGGAACTGGAGCAAAGGTGGCTCTTGTTACGTTTTAGCAAAGAGACTGGTGGCATTTTGCCCTGTCCTAAAGATTTGTGGAACTTTGAACTTGAGAAAGATGATTTAGGGTATCTGGCAGAAGAAATTATTTAAGCAGCAAAGCATTCAAGAGGTGATTTGGGTGCTGTTAAAGGCATTCAGTTTTAAAAGGGAAACAGCATAAAAGTTTGAAAAATTTGTACCCTGACAATGCAGTAGAAAAGAAAATCCTATTTTCTGAGGAGAAATTCAAGCTGGCTGTGGAAAGTTGCATAAGTAACAAGGAGCTGAATGTTGATCACCAAGACAATGGGGAAAATATCTCCAGGGCATGTCAGAGAGACCTTTGCCACAGCTCCTCCCATCACAGGCCCAGAGATTTAGGAGGAAAAAATGGTTTCATGGGCTGAGCCCAGGGTCATTCTTCTGTGTGCAGTCTAGGGACTTGGTGCCCTGTATCCCAGCTGCTCCAGCCATGTCTAAAAGGGGCCAAGGTACAGCTGTTGCTTTAGAGGGTGAAAGCCCCAAACCTTGGCAGCTTCCACATGGTGTTGAGCCCGCAGGTACACAGAAGTCAAGAATTGAGGTTTGGGAATCTTGCCTAGATTTCAGAGGATGGGTGGGAACGCCTGGATGTCCAGGCAGAAGTTTGCTGCAGGGCCAGGGCCCTCATGGAGAACCTCTGCTAGGGCAATACAGAAGGGAAATGTGGGGTCAGAGCCCCCACACAGAGTCCCTACTGGGGCACCACCTAATGGAGCTGTGAGAAGAGGGCCAACGTCCTCTAGACACCAGAAAAGTAGATCCACTGACAGCTTGCACTGTGTGCCTGGAAAAGCTGCAGACACTCAGTGCCAGCCCATGAAAGCAGCCGGGAGTTGGGGCTGTACCCTGCAAAGCCACAGGGGCAGAGCTGCCCACTGCTGTGTGAGCCCACCTCTTGTAACAGTGTCACCTGGATGTGAGACATGGAGTCAAAGGAGATCATTTTGGAGCTTTAAGATTTTACTTCCTTGCTGAATTTCAGGCTTGCATGGTGCCTGTAGCCCCTTTGTTTTGGCCAATTTCTCCGATTTTGAACAGCTGTATTTAACCAATGCCTGTACCTCCATTGTATCTAGGAGGTAACTAACTTGCTTTTGATTTTGCAGGCTCATAGGCAGAAGGGATTTGCCTTGTCTCAGATGAGACTTTGTACTATGGACTTTTGAGTTAATGCTGAAATGAGTAAGATTTTGGGGGACTTTTGGGAAGGTCTGATTTGTTTTGAAATGTGAGGACATGAGATTTGGGAGGGGCCAAGTATGGAATGATAAGGTTTGGCTCTGTGTTCCCACCAAAATCTCATCTTGTAGTTCCCATAATTCCCACGTGTTGTGGGAGGTACCCAGTGGGAGATAATTGAATCATGAGGGCAGGTCTTTCATGTGCCACTCTCATGATAGTGAATAAGTTTCACGAGACGTGATGTTTTTAAAAATGGGAGTTTCTCTGCACAAGCTCTCTCTCTTGCTGCCACCATGGAAGAAGTGCCTTTCGCCTTCTGCCATGATTGTGAGGCCTCCCTAGCCACATGGAACTGTAAGTCTGTTAAACCTCTTTCCTTTGTAAGTTGCCCAGTCTTGGGTATGTCTTTATCAGCAGTGTGAAAATGGACTAATACAGGGATTGAACAGCTTTTCAGGTATATAAAGCCACAAACATTTCCTTGTTGTGAAGATATTTAGTCTCCAGGCAAGAGGGAAAACTCGTGTGTGTCTTTCCCTTAAGCTTTTTTCAGTTGGACCCCTGGGGGAATGCTTAGAGGATGTGGTGAAAAGCATTCCTTGAGTTTTCCAGCTTCTTCCTAGCACTGTCCTCTAGTGTGGGACCACCAGCTTCCTCTGGATTCAGGGATGAAGGGATTGACAATGGTGCATAGGTCTAGGGGATTATCCTTTTGATTCTGACCACTAAACTTAATTGGGTAAGCCATGGGGACCAGCTAAGACCACTAAGCAGAGAAATGGCATGATTAGGGTTGTGTTCTATAAAGCCCACTCTGGCAGCAGTGTGGAGAGATGAATTAGAACAAGAATAGGATGATGGCAGCAAACATTGCCGTAGGTATCTATGGCCAGAGTGGTGGCTCACACCTATAATCCCAGCACATTTTTAGGGAAACTGAGGTGGATCACTTGAGGCCAGGAGTTTGAAATTAGCCTGGGCAACATCATGAGACCCTGTCTCTACAAAAAAAAAAAAAAAAAAAAAAAACTCCAAAGAATAACAGAAAAATTAGTCAGATGTCATGCTGTGTGCTTGTAGTCTTAACTACTTGAGAGGCTAAGGTGGGAGAATTGCTTAAGCCTGGAAGGCTGAGACTATGGTGAGCTGTGATTGCATCACTGTACTCCAGCCTGCATGATAGAACAATGCCCTGTCTCAAAAAAATACAATACAATAAAAAGTACTTTGAGAGAGGATAAGAATTTCAAGGACAGTGGCAATTACATTGACAACCATGGTCCTAACAAACCTCCTTGTGTCCCCAGACCATGTCATCCCCACCTTGGTGGCTTTGGTGTCTATGTTTACCCACGAGCTGCTCCACATCTTCCTCAGATATGAGCTTACATATCATCAGCATGTCTGCTTCTAATATATTTTAATGTGCATTCCTTACTGTAACAGATTTCTGGTAAATTTACAGTTTTGGCATAGGGCCATTTCCTCATCCTGCTCATAACTAAATCCAGCAAGATCTTCTTTACCTCTATTACATTCTAACTGCTGATCACAAAGTCAGGTAGTGCAGGAATAGACACATGGCGACAGCCTACAAACACCCTCTCTTTTTCAGGATGAGTAAAATTAGAAAGGGACTCCATACAGCTGAGACCTATGTGGGTTCAAATAATAATAATAATAACAAAATAAATAAATATTACACCCTTGTACTTTGTACTGAGCTCTTGCTTTGTACTGCACTGTGGGCTTAAAGTTTTGTGTATATCTTGTCATTTAATCCTCACAAAAATCCTATGAAGTGACTACTGTTAGCATTCCTATTAAACAGACAGAAAACTATGTCTTTTTTTTTTTTTGAGACAGAGTCTCACTTTGTCTCCCAGGCTGGAGTGCAGTGACACAATCTTGGCTAACTGCCAACCTCTGCCTCCTGGGTTCAAGTAATTCTCCTGCCTCAGCCTCCTGAGTAGCTAGGATTACAGGCATCCAGCTAATTTTTGTATTTTTGATGGAAATGGGGTTTCACCATGTTGGCCAGGCTGGTCTGGAACTCCTGACCTCAAGCGATCTGCCGGCCTTGACCTCCCAAAGTGCTGGGATTACAAGCCTGAGCCACCATGCCTGGGCAGAAAACTAACTCTTAAAGAGAGTTTAAGAAACCTTCCTAAAGTTTCATAGCTAGTAGGTGGCAAGCAGGGATTCAAATCCAGGTCTATCATGTTCTTGAGCTCAAGCTCAGTGACGCTGTGCCACAGAGAGTATCATCGTTATTTCCTGCACAGATGCTCATCTATTTCTAGTCCAGTCCCATGATATAAGGGCAAACTAAACCAAACTGCAGGCATTTCTCCCAATCCAATTCAAAATTGGAAGAAAAGCTTATCTTAAGCCTTAGAGGATTCTCTTAGATTTAATCCAGCACTTGAAATCTGAGTCTCAACAGAAGGGAATTTGTGGAAGGATCCAGACCAGATGAACTCTCAGACTCATCAGCATGGACCAAATCTAGGTCCTGTGAGAAAGGAACATAATTCATCCAGCACCCACAATGCCCCTCCTTCAAGGGTTGGTGACTAGACTCATCCCAGTCACCTTGCAGGAAATTCCTGGCACGAAACAAGCTCCAGTCCCAAATTTATGACACTTAGGCAGCTGACAGTCTTTGCAGACTTGAAAAGAGACTCAGATGAAGTTTTGTACATAGGCATTAATGCTATTTTAGCTACAAGAGCTCTAGGCAGCCATATCTGCCAAGAGAAGTGGATTTTTCAGGCAGGGGTCTAAGATAGCTCCTTTACCTGCCATAGTAAATTGTCAGCTATAAAAAGTCATTCAGTCCCCAATGGAGAAGCTACTCCTGGTCAACAGTTAACTCATATTACAAAGAACATTTTAAAAGTCTGATGGCATAAAGAAAGTAAACAAAAGATTAATATCCAACATCTTTATGCAAGCAATATATCATTAATGATCATTATGGAGAACTTCCTTAGTTCAAATGAGGTTCCAGAAGACTGGAAGCATTTCACTGTAGCACCAGTATTTATAATAGCCACCCTGGGGAACAGCAGGCCCATCAACTTGACATAGCTAATATGCAAGGTAATGGAAATAAGTAGAGGTGAAATGGAGCCACACGGACACTGAATTATCTTGGGAGCCAACTTCCATGCAAATAATTAGAAACTGCCCTGATTATTAGTAGAGTGGAGAGGACGCTGCCTCAAACACCTTAGGTCACATTTTAACTTACTATTTAAAACTGGCGCATCATGTTGTCCTGCTGCTTAAAATCACAGCAAAGAACACTGGATGCAATTGACAGAGGACAAATCATTTCTAATGAAATTTGAGGAAGGAGTTTGTTCACATGGTTTGGGAAGCAGCACAATATTGGAGATGAGGGTGGTCTGGATTTTAGTCCCTGTCCCAAGTGACTCACTGTGCACCATTTTATTATAAAATTCCTTTAACCTTTTATTAATTTTCTCAACTGTAAAATTTAGATAGTATTGCCTAACCTCTTGTCTCATTGTTTGTGTAAAACAAGAGAGATGAGCCTATATAAAAATACTTGGTAGAGTATAAGACAGGAGAGGGAAATGCAGATGCATAAATGAGCGAAGTAGCTGCATGGAGGACGCTGGGGGATTTTGCAAACTGGTGAGACACACCCTATTTTTTAAAACGGCCTTTCAGCTCTAGCTCATTGTTGCCTTGCAGGAATGAAGGACTGGTGTTGCAGGCAGGTCTTCCCATTTTAAAGTAATATTGAAAATAGCTTTTCTTTTCTGATAAGTAATCTATTTTAAAATGCAGCAGTGAAAACAAAAGTTTCTAAAACTCTGTACATGCAGATTCCATACTATTCATGGACTATTAGTCCTCTCCCCCAAAGGGTCATATGGTATAAGGGTAATTGGGAATTTTATTAGTTGATAATAATAATTGCTAACATTTATAGAATTATAGACTAGAATATTAGTTGTGTGCTAGGTACTTATTTTCACTGTGGAAATGAGGGTTTCCCTCCAGCTTTATTGAGGTATAACTGACACAAAAATTGTATATATTCAAGGTGTACAGCATGATAATTGGAGAGGTACTCTTCCAAATGTTATATAAAGTAGTCCCAGAAAGCCCGAGAAAAGGTACTATTATAATCCCCATTTCACACACGTGGAAACTGAGTGAGATTATCCCTGGTTAAAATTACATGAATTTTATAGAAGCCTTAATTTCTAAAAAAAAATTATAGAAATCTTAATTTTTAAAAAAATGTAGCGAGGATGTGATGTAGAAGCCCCCAACCCTCAACTTTTTTTAAACCAAACCCTTCAATATGACCATTCCAAGGAAGTATTTTCCCAAAGCATGGTTAATTATGGATCTTTCCTGTACTCTAAATAAGTACAGAGAATTTGCCAACGTTTCCTCTCATACATCTACTTTTCTTTAGCTTACCATGGCCCATGGAGTTAGTTAACTAAATAAAACTAAAAATTCATTTTTATTTAACTGGACAAAGCAGGGAGTGGCCAGGGAAGGTAATTTCTTAGCCTGACTTAGAGCTAACCATGATGTGGGAAAGGTGAGCTGCCTAGTGTCAATCCTGGATCAAGTTCAAATACAAGAGTCCAGAGGAAACACAATAATGTTTCATCTTCTCATTATTGCACATTAAAGACTCTGCTAGAGGCCTTTCATCCTGGAAAATAATATCTAGAGGGGATCTTCAAGTTTCAGAAAGGTATTTCCAAGAAGATCTAAAAATAAAGAGATAGGATACCCACAAGAGAGGAAAAAGCCTCAATTTTCTATTAATAGTTCAAATAATGAGGTGAATATCTGAATGATGAATAAAATATGACTTCATTTTCCCTTTCTTCTTGTCCCTTTAGCAGGTCTTTGCCAGTTCCTTTGCTTATTAGCATGACTGCCAGAGAGTAGGCAGAACAACAGTTAAAAAGCAATGTTCTTTGTGGGACAGTTAGAAGAAAATTATTGTCTGTAGTGATTATTAGAAAAGGGCTAACAACGAAAGAAATTTCTGATTATCTACACACCTTAAGCATGCAGGATTGGCATTAGTATTATTTGTCAGTCCAAGTCTGTATTCCTACTCCTCCTTACATTCTCATTTTCCACATTTCTGTTTTCCATGCCCAGACATTTCCAGCAGTCTCTTTCAGCATGGAGATGAAGGGCTTCCAAGTGATGGCAAGCAGTTAAAAATATCAGAAGGAGCTGGCAAATGACAGTCATAGTTAAGGGAAGTAAGAAATGGAATCTTACCAAGGGTCAGTGTGTGGCACTTGGACGATTCCGGGGCACGTGAATGACTAACTTGGGCCAACGAGGAAACCAAATGGGCAGCCCAGATGCAGAGGACCCTCATGCCATCTCCCTGTCCATGAGCTTGGGGCCTGTGTCCCTTCTCTTCCTGTCATGGCCTGAGTGTTTCCCCAAGAAGCCAGGGAATTAGAACAGGATGATGTGTGTAACCCCGGAGGGAATTCTAAACAAAAGCAAACAAGAAAAGAAACTTCCCTTTATGTGCCCTTCACCAAAGGAGCATTCATTCTGAGAAGTAAAATGGCGTTTCCTTGGCCTGTGAGAGGGAACTAGTCAGTGATTCTCAGAAGCAACTGCAAAAGCAGAGTCTTGGAATTATAACAGCTTGTTGCTAACCTTGACACTAATCATGAAAAAGGAAGTGGTAACCATTAGAAAATTCCCAAGAATAGGTTATGCTGGGACAGAGGGAAGAACGGTACTGATATTTTAAAATTGAGCAACATTCATCCCCTCCACATCCTCCAAAACAGCCCAGGGAGCTTGTGGATCCTAAGCGTTTTTATCGCATTCAATTGTGTAAGTAAGTATTCATAGGGCTTTGGAGTGTACCTACCACTATGCTAGGAGTTTCTTTAGTGAGAGAAGGCTTTTTCATTAAGCAAAGACATCATGTTTGGGAATGAAGTTAGTGGGGTCAGGAGAGATTTTCATGATCCTCGGGCTTAAGGAGGGACTTACCTCCTGGCCCTTGATTCAAGACAGGAGAACTGTCTTGTGCACATTCCAGAAGTTGGTATCCCAGAAGTGAGGACATTTAAGGCACCTCAGTTATCAAAGAAGTACAGGCTGTTGGACAACTTGCAGCCCGCTGTAGGCTCAAACGTAATGCTCTGTGGAGAACTAGACCCAATTAAATTGGGGACTGCCTTGCAGTTACCAAGTTTCATGCAACTACTGATGGATTTGGAATGAGGAGCAGAGGCAGGCCCAGAGCAAAATTAGCTGAGTCGGGAAAGGAGAAAATAGACTCAGAATGTAAAAGCAGGGTTCTTTGATGGGCTGAAGAACTGACACATGGAAAATGTAATGCATTATTGACAAACACGTATGCTGGCTGCAAAAATAATTAACACAAGCAGAAAAGAAATAGGAATGAAGTGGAGCAGAAAGACTTTGAAAGATTGTGAAGTGGCCACTGAAATTGCCAAGCTAATGTCAGAGAGATGATTAAAATTTTCCAATAGAACAGGTGAATAGGTACTTAGGAGAGTGTGGTGTAAACCAAGAGAAAGTGGATCATTATATGAATCTGCACTGAGATACTAATCAGCATTTTATGTGCAACTTTGCGGTGCACATTTTAGCAGATGGAGGAAGCTCTTAAAAGCTGATAGCTAAACCGAGTCTGACTGCCTTTCTGTTTCATAATAACCATCCCTGGAATGGGTACTTGTTCCTGTGAGCACTGCAGAATCAGTTCCCAGAATAGAATTCCAGAAATATCAATATGTTCACAAAGTAAAAATATCTGCAAAACTCTAGGATCAAGGGAGAGGAAGGGGAAGGAAGGGAAAGTTTACATCTTCCTAAACAGGAGTACCTAGATGAACAAGCTGTAACAGAGTTCTCAGTAATGAGAACCCAAAGATCAAGTAGCAAAAAGGAGAAAATCTTCTGCAGGACAGACTGTATATATGCACTCATGCACACACACATTTTTGTAGAAACTGTATTGCTGCAATAACCAAAACAATTAGATGGTGGATTGTGGGTATGTTAAAAGAGAATAATTCTTCATGATCAGAATGACTTTTTCCCTCATTCAACAGAAAAAGACTCTTATTTTTTATTTGTTGGAAAAGCCAAATTAGAAAAAATATATATCTTTATGACCATAGGAGACAAATGAGTGATACCAAATATCACTAAAAATGCTATTAATCTACAGTGATATAAAATTACCATCTCAGCACAAAGAAAGCCTATATAATCTGAATTTCTCTGGCATCATAAAAACGAATGAGAAGCGAAATTGAGAGTAAGTATGCTTTTGAGATGCCGTTAAGAGTTACATGCATTGTTAACAAATGTGGCTAGACAGACTGGTGATTTACCTTGAGTAACAAATTTATAGAGATACAGAAAATTTCCAGAAGGGACCAACTCATTGCCCTTCACTTTGGTTAATGACACCTTTGAGGGTGTTATTCTCCTTTCTTGGATATTAAAGTGTGGCTAATTAGCTATTGACTTATAGATTATTTCCCCATTTTTATTTGCTTATTTTCTGCGTATAGCAGAAGCCAAAAATAGCTTGGGGTGGGGTAAGGGTGTGGCAAAGAAGAGGATACAGGTCAGGAGTTTCTTCATGTATCAGAGGAGCCTAAGTGACCTCACTGGGTGACCAGTGAGGTACACAAAGGACTTTGGCTTCATCACTATGGGGCCTTCCTCAAATCTGAACAAGCCCCACTCTCTGTTAATCCTCCATTATCTCTTAATCAGTCTAGGTGAGTGGAATGTCAGCCCAATTCCAGGATATTTCCACAAGACCCTGGAAGAGCTGGACAAGGGCAATGGCCAATTCTGTAACTAAGAGGAAGTACAGGGCAATATCTTACAGGAAGTAGAGGGCAGTTTCTGACAGGAAGTAGAGTGTAGTTTCTGACAGGAAGTAGAGTGTAGTATCTGACAGGAAGTAGAGGGCAGTGGCATTGAGCTGTTGAGAGAGTGGGAGGACAACGAGGATGTGGAGGAGGAAGGGTAAAAAGATGGAAAAGGAGGGAAATGAGTGTTTTCACATCTTCTCCCATATTTAAAAAATAAAAAGAAACTAAAAGGAACCTCACTACCAACACCACCGCTTAGGGGAAATTTAGAAAGGAACGTGTCAGTTTTCAATTTGTCTCAAAGTTGGTGTGTGAACAAGATATGAAGGTGATAAAACTTTACGAAAATGCTACCAGTAACCTCTGAAGTTTGCTGCTAGCCAGGGAAAATATGCAATGAGTGGTAGCAATGGCATTTTCCTTTATGTCAGCTGCCTTCTACAAAGATTTTAACATTTATATTATAATACTAATGCAGGACATCCTGTGAGATGAGCAGAGGCTTTTAGAATCCCATTTCCCTGAGGATTACAGCCTCCTTCCCGGGGCACATAATTAGAACAAGGCGAATCTGGAAATATAACTGAAGTCCCATTCTAGTCTATTGTTCTTTCCCCGAAACTGAACCAGGCATCTTTTCCTAACATCCCTCTAGACAGAGACTCCATCTCTGAGAACATGAGAGTGCTGGGCATGGCCTTTTATGTCAAGCAGAAGTTCCAAGGTTGGCCCCCATGATAGATCCAGGTTTATGGGACCTAAAGCTTAAACTTGTGGGTCACTCTTTAAGAAAAAGAATTTTAAAAGATGAGTTAAAAAGTAGGTACGCATGGGAGAGTTTATTTCAAAAAGAAATTGCATCAAATCAGAAATGTTATAAAACTCACTGCTGTAGTTTATCTGACTCCTCCATTTGATCCTCAGTTTTGGAGGTAGGGCCTAATGAGAGGTGTTTGGGTCATGGGGTGGATCCCTCATGAATGGTTGGTGCAATCTTTGCAGTAATGAGTTAGTACTTGCTCTATATTAGTTCCCATAAGAGCTGCTTATTTAAAAGAGTCTGGCACTCCCCTCTTTATGTCATGTGCTTCTTCCTTCACCTGTTATTTCTGCACAACTGGTTCCTCTTCCTCTTCCACCATGAGTGGGAACAGCTTGAAGCTCTCACCAGAAGCAGATGCTGGTGTCATGCTTCTTGGGCAACCTGCAGAACCATGAGCCAAACAAACCTTTTTTCTTTAATTACCCAGTCTTTATTATTCCTTTATAGCAATACAAATGAACTAAGACACTGAAAAATATCACAAATTAAAAAAAAAAATCAGAAAGGAAAGTAACATTATGTTTTTGGTAATTAAGCGCCTAATTACAGTTCTATAATGCTTGTTTCCCTTCATCTTTGCCTTTATACTCTTTGATTGTCCCTTTATATAACAATTTTGTAATTTTTTCTAGAGAGGAAAACATAATTTGGTCTTTCCTCTACTGTGTTTGATCAAAATGTGGTCATTATTGGTTTCAAAAAGTTACTTTTCACTTCAGCCTTTTATTGGCAATGCCATATCTGTAAATTCCTTGGCAGTTTTTGCCTGAGGCCAAAACGTTTAGAGACTGTCAACCTTCTAATCTGGCTGGTCAGCCCCACTCCACCTCCCTGTTCCCAGTTACAGTTTCTCACTGACTCCTTCCTTACCAGGTCTAACCTGGGGTAAGGTGGCCAGGGAGTCAAGGTGCTCTGACACCTAGGTCAAAGTAGTAATGAACAGTGCCTAGTTCAGATTCCTATTACTGAAGGTAAGAATGGGTCAGGATGCTCATGGCAGGCCTATCAGAAGGAGCTGTCATTAGGTGTAGGCAGAGGGAGAGGATTTTCTGAGCCCACCAGGCCAGCCAACAGCCCTAGGACCATGACAGGCAAGGGCAGTGATGCCCCCAGGCCGAGTTAGCAACTTTGTCTTCTTGCTGGGGTGGCTGCTTTCTCTTGCAGACAGCACCTGAGCCTTGAAAAAGACCTTGAATTTTAATCTCCATCTATGCCTTGTATCTGCATCTAGTTGGCCATCAACAAATTATGAAATAGAAGGTTTACTTTCAGGAACACCCTTTCTCCTGTGGGCATTTTCTGTTCTTAGAACATAACTACAGAGAAAATTCACAGATAGGGAATTTAAATAGTAAGTTTGAAGCCCAAAGGTGCTTTTTAAACCTATCAACAACAAACTATCAAATTTTGAACAATTATGTTAAAGACTGAATTGTCATTCTATGTTCTCTGTAATAAATATTACAAAATTGTCACATGCAGAGTCAACCAAAGAATATGTAGCCAAAAAGTGTAGGAAAAAAGGTATTCTACTGCTGTGATCCCCTAACCAGCCCCAGAACCCAGAGGAGATTCCCCTCAACCCTGTAGGACTTGCTCTTGGCTTCCCGGTAGAGCTCATTGAGCAACACGTCCCTTTTGATTAAATGCCTGGGAGCTACTTAAGATGCCCCACACCTTGGGTGACTGAATTTAGATCAGAAATTTTAAAAACAAAATCATTAAGACTTTAAGGAATTTACCTATAACTGTGGAATTAAATGGAGCCAGTAGGGAAGATATTATGATATTGGAGAATTTCCCCTCATTTAAGCCAAGAGATAGACATACCCATAACATTTATGCCTAAAGTTAACACCAAGTCAGAGCTTAGGAGGTATTGATCATTTACCAGCTGTATGACCTGTAACAAATTTCTTAACATTTTTATTAGTCCTAGTTTCCTCATCAATTAGAAAGGGGAATGATGCTATGGTCATACTTAGCTTGCAAGGTGTGAAAGCACCCTATTACAGTGCCCTACATATGGTGCTTAATAAATGTGATTTCTTCCTATGGTTTTACAATATGAGTTCTTGAATTTTATAGTTTTCTATGGTGTCTTTCATCTTTACTAAATGGTCCATTTATGTAACTTGAGCTCCTGCTGAATCCCAAGAGACCTCATTGTTTTTAAGTCCTTACTAATTCCTGATTTTTGCTTTATCTCCTTCACCTGAAGACCAAACCCTGAACTTTTGCTTATACCCTGTATTACCTATTTTGTGTGATGTTGATACTAATCCCTGGAACAAATGTGCTGACAATGTTATATCATTTCTTTACATAGATTTTGATGCTCATCTTCCTAGAAAGACTGGCCACATCTCTCAAAGGGCAGGTCTGAGGCATCATGATACATAACACTTTTTCTCCTGCTCAGATTTCTCTGGACTGCACATATTTCTAATTTTAGAAGTAGCTGCAAGCAGTTAGGAGTCATGCACTCACATATTCAATGGTCTGTGCCAAAGCTGTCCATGTCTGTTAGGGTAATGTGTACTCGGTTATTTTAAATTCTTTCCTTTGAAATGAATGCTTTGCTGTTTCCACATTTTCTGATAATCAGAAATATACTTTTCCAGACCTCTTCCTAAAGCATGTTGATTTTAAGGTCTGCACCAGACCTCTGTTCTGCTCTCGACTGTTGAATATGTCTGGCTTATTTAAAAAAAACTGTGTTTGCCCATAGAGGGGCAGGGAACTGGGGAGGAGAAGGTAGTTAAGGTAGGATTCTGACTCCAAATGAGCTGATTAAAAGGTATCTGAGATAATTGTTTTCAAAGGTGGAAAGAGATGGCTGGAAATCAATGGGCAGTCATGTTGGAATGTAAAAGTAATCAACATGAACACAGGCCATATCATCAATGCTTTCTGAATGCAAAGGGAAAGGGAACTACTATGCCGTGGCTTCCTTCAAATTGATGTGTCTTTCCAAACTTAGAGGAGCAAGAGAAATGCTTGCAGGGACTTTAACTTGAAAAAAAAAAACAGGCTTGTGGCATTAACATAGCACGTTGAGTTCTTTGGAGTCAAGGTGCTGGCTAAATTTCTCCTGCTAATAAATGCTTTTATCACAAAGTATACCCAATTCCACTATCTGTGTGATGCATACCAAGTTTCTTTGGTTTGTAGCAAGACCATTTTGCATTACAGTTATTCAAGAAATCACTGATCAATTACTAAGATGCATCTTCATAAGAAATAAATTCTTGACATGCATAGAAGTATATGGATGGTTGAAAGTAACTTGGAAATTGGAGTAACTGAAATAATTTAATCTAATCCAGTCATTTCACAGGTGGGATAGTGGAGGCCCAAGTTACTTATGGGATTGGGTCAAAGAAAGCCAGCATTCTTTGACCAGTATTAACATCTGTGTGTCCTGATATCTACTCAAACTATGACATGATAATATCTGTACACCAATCACACAGAAATGAACTAGAGGTGATATAGTTTAGATGTCCCTTCCAAATCTCATGTTGAAATTTAACACCCAGTGTTGGAGGTGGGGTCTGGTGGGAAGCGGATCCCTCATGGCTTGGTGTTCTCCTTGCAATAGTGAGTACTTGCAAGATCTGGTTAAGTCTGTGGCACCTCTCCCCACCTCACTCTCTCTTGCTCCCACTCTGCCATGAGAGATGTCTGCTCCCACTTCGCTTTCTGCCATGAGTAAAAGCTCCTTGAGGCCTCCCCAGAAGCCAAACAGATGCCAGTGCCTTGCTTCCTGTACAGACTGCAGAACTGTGAGTCAATTAAGCCTCTTTTCTTTATAAATTACCCAGACTCAGGTATTTCTTTATAGCAACACAAGAATGGCCTAATACAAGGGGGGACTTGAGGACACCTGTATAAACAAAGTGAAAACATTTGCATTTTCTTTATACTTTATAATAAAAATAAAGAGCATCAGAGATGGATATTGAATAGTGAATGTGTGTAAAAGCTCAAAATACATCTTTTCCAAGAATTTTAACGAGAAAGTTGAGCTTGCTTCCATGTACATAACTATTTTATACCAAGTTTTATGTTTGAAATGGCTACAAGCAAGTCCTGATCAAATCTTTTTAATGATCTTTTCAAATTCTTGATAGTCACCATTGATGAGAAACTTTGTTCTCACAAGTAGGTGATAAAACCATTTTTTACAGCCATTCAGAAATTTATAACAGTTGAAATTATCTTTAAAGAATCTGAGCTTTTCTTTTTTATTTTCTTTGACCGATGTAAATGTTAAAATTTCTTTTGATAATGAGAATGGATTTCAAATTCAGTCAAACTTTTTTCATTCCAAGTATTTCGATAGAAAGGCGCTTGAACATGCAGAACGTGCTCACAGTGCTGGAGCTCTTGCCCTGCTGTTTGTATGGACTCCATAAAAAGGGCACTGCTACTGCAAGTACAGATGTAAGTATCCAGCATACGTGAAGAAAGAGGTGCAGGGCAGCCCTTGAACTCTACCCTGCTGGAGTCTCACCTGTCCTCCCTCTCTCCTCATCCGCCACACTCAATCAAGACTTGGACCTCATAGCAAGCTCCTCGGGCCCCTGGAACAAGAAGTCTCTAGCATCTCTGCAGATTTCTTGCCCACAGTGGGTAGCAGCGTGCCCTGAAGCAGACTGCTGAGACAGACAGTGAGGAGCACTTTCCTGGCAGCACTCAGTGTGTGGCAGACAAGCTTGTGGTATTTGCCACCTGCAGGGACTATGGGACATGCTGTCAGAATCCCCTCAAACTGCTTTCAAGGAATCCTGGACTGATGATCAGCTCAGGACCTCAGTTATCCCAGGCCTCATGGGCCAGGGGTTTATTAGATCACAACATACCTATAACCACTGCATGGCATAAAAATCAGGAAGCCCAGAGAACACAAATGTCTGGCCCACGTCTGTAAGTGACAGCCCAGGATTAGAAGGTATTGTCTACCACTCAGTCTGTATTCTTTCCCCTTTCCATAGTTCATCTCATTAATAATTTGACCAACATACCATCCTCAAGGATAGAAGTATGTCTCCTGAATTCTACCAGCAGACCAGTAAATGTGGTAGTTTTACTTCTCATGTATAATAAGTAGTAGTCCTAGAAATTCACATGATTTGTGTGTGTCTATTTGAAATTTTATTTTATGAATTAAAAATAATAAATCCTGTTACATCCATTGTGCGATCACAGAGATACTGCTGCCCTCTTCCCTAAATGTTCCACATCAGTGAGACTGGTACCACTGACCACTTTTCATCTATCAATCACTATGGATGGAAAAATAAAAACAAGCAATTTCTTTTATCATCTTTTTCACCCAAACTCCGTTCATTATCTGACTTTGCATATGCTTCATCCATTTCAATTCCCCCGGGCTGAGCAGTTTATGTTCTAAAGAGCTGCAGACTAGACTGAAAATGCCCTTCTTTCATCTTTCTTTTATAAAAGAAACATTTTTTTTCCTGTGCCTGGGAAGAAGTGCTGAGTGGACAGCCCTGCTGGCTTCTGTTTATACTGTGAGCAACTGAGACACAAATCAGTACTAGGGTTATCTTGATTTCTGCCTGGAACAATATTATCCTGCAGGGACCCACTCTGGGAATCCAGAGGATGATATATCCCTTTCTATCATAGGTATGTGCCTAAGAGGGCAATTTTAGCCCCTCTGATGCTGCCAGAGACTGTGAATAGCGACAGGATGGAGGAGTGGCACCATGTCACCATACTCTCATCATAACTCACCACCAACACACATTAAATTCCTACTTTGTGCAAAGCCACGTGTTAGTACTACGTACTAAGTCTATGTGCTAAGTCCAGCCTAGGATAGAAGAAATAATAATAAACATTTGTTGAACATTTCCTATACTTCAGGCACTAAATCAAATGTGTTGCATGCAACATCTAACTAAGCCTCACCATGATCCAATGAAGACTGTGTTATTATTCCAATTTTCACATAAGCATATTATTATTCCCAAGATTATGATGCTTCTATGTAAAGATTCTTCTTAATTATTTTATCTAATGCAACTATCTTTTTCTCCAGTTCATTATTTTATCTAATGCAAATATCTTTTTCTCCAGTTCAGCTCCTTGTTTGTTTTCTTCATAACACTTCTCACATTTAAAAAAAATATTTTTTTCATTTGTTGGATTTTTTTTTTTTTTGCTGTCTCTCTCACTAGTATGTTGTGTTCTGAGGTTAGAGATTCTGTCTCTTTTGTTTCACCGCCTAGCAGGGTACCTGGACACATAATAGGATCTTAATAAGTGTTAGTTGAGTGAACGAATAAATAAGTGAGTGAATAAATAAAGCTGATACAAAGAAGTTAAGTACCTTGCCCAGGGTCATAGAGTTAGTGACAGAGCTGGGATTCAGTGTCCATGAGCTTATGCACATAGCTGGTCTCCTAAATATATGATAAACCTGTTTAGGATTTGAGATTTCGACATAAAAACCAATATAGAGGATTCAGGGGTTATGCATCCCAGAGAAAATCACTTTTTTCAGGTATAGTGCAGAACTGCATTCTATTTTAGATCCCCAGCTGAAAATATGGTAGGAATCCTGCTAGATATACTGACCCACTGACCATTATTACCTTTTCCTGCTCATCTTTTGATTATCTCCTCCACTTCTCTTTGCTACTTAGGGACACTGGATTTTGTGGATGCTCCTTGGACACACTGGAATGCACCTTGGGCAGCCCGTGGATCATTTTCCCCAGTATGAAGCATGGGAGGAGCTGGAAAATGAACTCATGAGCCAGTTGAGCCAGCACAACAAGCTGGAGCCAGGTAGGCCTGTTCATGATCCGAACTATATTTATTATCTGACTTTGCTTCCAGAAGCTGCATAGCCAGAAGTCAATTTTTCCCATTGATATTGGACCAACTGAAAGAATAGAAAGATTAAATTGATGAGAGGATTGGCTGTCATATAGAGCTTTTCTCTCATCTTTGGCCAAGAAGGGAGAATCAAACATAGTGCTCAAGGCTTCAATTGGAGTAGGCACTCAACTAATATTTATTGCATGAATAAATGAATGACTGACTGGAGAATAAGTGTTTCCCTTCATTAATAGTATATCTTTCCCTTAACTTGTTTAAGTTCCTTCTATGAGAACTTCTAATGAGAAGCTTTGACTCACAATGTTGTAAATATTGCTGTTTCTGTCTTATATAGACCAATTATTACATTAAAATTGTAATATCTTTTACTTCTCTTTCTTGGAGAAAACTTCCCAGGGACAGTGAGACTTTTTTCAGACAAACAGCTGCTTTGGAATTCATAAAACCACTGGTATTTTAAACTCTACAGATGATACCAAAATGTTTTTTTTAAAAACTAAAAAGAATAACAGACGGAATTTATTATCTCATCTTGGGAGTGGGGGCAGTGCAGCATGCACTTAGATCAAGAAATTTCCTGAGTTGTGAGTGGATGTGACTCACTTTTTATACCAAGGCCATGGAATATTAAGGGACCATTTTCCATCTCTATCTTCCTGAAATGGTATCATTTCTACATCATTGATGATAAATGTATTATGTTTTCTGTTAAATATCCTATTATCTGGGGGAAAAAAGAGGCATTGGTGTTACCAGTGGTTAGAAAAGAACCTTTGTATATCTCTAAGTTTTTACATCTTTAATTGGGATTATTCTTTTCTCTATTTCTCTCTCTCTCTCTACCCCCTTCTTTTCTTTCTTTCTTCTTCCTTTCTCTCTTAATATACATCTACTTCTCTTGAGCAATTACATGTCTTTGGTAACTCTCATCAACATAAATTGTCAACATTATTATGAGCCTGTGAGTTTTCATCCTGAAGTGATGCAGTGGAAGTTTCACTGAGGCAATATCTTGGTGATATTCTCCTTCCAGTAGGGCTGGGTTGTTGGGCTAAATGTGCAGTTGAAGAGAGACCCCCACCCCCACCCTCCAGAATCACCAAGAAAGTTCTGTGGTTATCGACAGTGGGAATTGAGCCAGCTACAGTTAACTTTCAACAATAAACCAACTGGGATATCTCTGTGTCCTCATCAGCATGTGCATTCAAATGAGCTCCCATTAGCATTATTATCCCAAATTTCTTTCTTTTGTCCCACCCTGCTGAAGCATCCCTGCCAAGGCCTCCCAGTGAATTCCTGGGAGTCCCCAAGGAGTGTCTCGCCTCCTCACATGCCTGCCAGTCAGGTCCTTAAGCAGCCCCACACCTTCCTCTCCTGGATCCTCCACCCATGCCAGGCTGGAGGGAACCTCACTATAGCACCAGCTGGTGGTGCCTATGGTAAGAACGAAGTGTAACACTGGTGACATCTCCCTAACCCGCTAGTCTTCAAGAAGCCAGAGCTGTCTGGGTGCCTCAAAGAAGTAGGGGAGAATGGTCCTCAACCCTAGTTCTGTGCCATACTTTGATATGCACAAGAGTGGCCATGTTGGGGTCCAGGTGACAATGTCTCTTGAAAATAGCTCCTTCAGACTCTGGCCCTTACCCTTCTACCCACCAGGTGATAACCCAGTCCAGGGGATCAGTTGCAGATGGAGGTTAGATCATGGCTTCAACTCTCCATGGCTATGCCCCCATCTCAAAACTATGCAAAACAACAAACAGAAAGAAGTCACTACCACCACCACCAACACACTCTCCTTGCTCCAAAAACAAGAGCTCTTGTGGATATCAGATTATACAAAGTTGTACGCAGAATAGTCACTACTCTACTCTATGCTGTTCCACAAGCAGCCTAATTCTGACCCTCCACCTGTGCTCAGCAGAGCCTCACGCTACTGTGCTCTACATGGTAGCCCCCACTTTCCATGTTCTGCACACCCTTGCTGGAGACTCCGCCATTCGCTTACTCACTGTGCGTTATAAGCATGATGCAATGAGCATTCCTTGCCTCCTTCACTTGTGCATTCAGCAGTTCTGCTGGTATCAGTTAGCCACAGCTAATGTTGTACATCAAACCACACTCAAACTCCATGGCTTAACAGAATAATCATCTATTCTCCCTCATATATTTGGGTTTGGCTGATCCAGGTTCAGTTCAGCTGGGCTTGATTTCAAGCTACAGATTTGGTCCAGATGTGCTCCTTATGTCTTCTTCACCCTCTTTGGACCAACAGGCTAACCAGGACATTTCTTCTCATGGCAGAAGCAAAAGAAGGGCCAGCCCAACTGCACAAGTACATTTGCAGGCTCTGCTTATATCAAGTCTACTAGTATTCTATCGAGCCAAGCAAGTCACAGGGCCAAACCCCACGTCAATGAAGCAGAGAGGTACTGCCTCCATGGAGGTATAGAGGGGCGGGAATTGGGGATGGTGGACAGGGAGTGAATATTTGCTAAATGATAGATTAGACTATCACAATGCTCAAGCTCTAACTTAAATGGTCAGTAAACAAGTATCAAATGTAGTCAAGAAAATACCAACGGAGCTATTTTTGCCTGAAACAGGCTGCTCTAACAAGTTTATGTGGAAGCATACATCCATGTTTCATATTGTGGGACCATGTGTACAAATGTTTCACATCAAAGCATTACCACTTGCCTTCTTGGTCAGCTCCCAGCTGATTTTGTTTGAAACAGTCACGACTTACTCAGTGAGGGACCTCTGGTTTCCAGAACCAATTCTGCCTTGTCTTTCAAGAAATCATTCCTGCTTTCTCTGCCTTATATTCCATCTGAACTTCCTCTTTCACTATTGCCCCATTTCCATATCTCCTGTGTTCAGACTTCCCTGTTGTCCCAAAATGTTTCTGGAGAAGTCTGTAATAGCTTTCCAAATTCAAAAGAAGGAAAAAAACAGAGGTCCTTTTCTATCACTCTTCTTCCAGCTTAAATTATGTGTGTGTGTTAATATATACATGTATGGGTGTATTTATGTGTTTGTATCTATAAAGAGAATATATGTGTGTGTAATGTAATTATTACTCTTATTACTGGTGATGAAACAGAGATTAAACAAACAAAAACAGTAAAGACATATACAGCACTCACCCCTTCCTGCAGGTGAGGAGAGTTGCAACACTATATTTGGGATCCTTCTTGCTTCTATTGTTCTGCATTCTCTTTGATCTGAAATAGTAACATAGAAATTTTCTTTCACAGGGAAAAAGATATCCTTTTTAGCCACATGTTTAATTCTTCAATGTCAATATTTGCAGAAAACATGAGCACAGCATGATATTGCCTTAGAGTTGTTGATTAATCCCATTCGGAAGCTTCCCTAAGTTTTTTTTTTGATCTTCAGTTCATCATTAGTCTGGTAATGGTGTGTGTGCCTCTGTGAGTGTATTATTGTATTGCCCCAAAGCCTAATAATGATGACAGTGAGGCTTTATTGTGGATTAAGTTTACAGACTTCCTCATTCCCATCCAGTTCCATGGGAGTAATGACTTAACTCAGCTTCCATGGGAAATAGAGACCAGCCATAGATGCCTGAGAGGAGTAATGGTGGCACTGATGTAATCTCCAACCTAGATATGCCAGGGATGTTTGTCACCTGTTTAAGAAGCTAAAATGTCACCATGGAGTCTACAGTTTTTTTGATAACCATTTCATCTACAAAACAAAGGAGGTGTGTGAACACATGAAATGAAAAATAAGAGACACTGTGAGCTAGGGGAGCCCTGGATGCCCTCCAGGAGTCTCTACGTCTTGGGGCACTGAGGTCCTCTCCCAGGGCTGGGCACAAGGAGTCTCTCATTGTGCTCACCCTTTTCCCTGCCTCACTCTGGCTTTTGGATGAGAGTAAATAGAACTGAGAAAATATCAGAAAAGTTGCTCCATAAGAGAAAGGCAAACCATTTTCAGTCTCCTAACCACTCTTCTTCCTTTCTTGAGGCTTAAACCAACTTTAATCACAAAGCCATGAGGCCACTGGTTTTCCCACCCATTCGCTGCAATGTGGGATCAAACATTTTCTTTTTTGTGTCTGTTTATATGATCACTTATGTAGCCTGCAGACTTTCAGAGAGATGCCGTATTGGTTTCCTTCAAATATTAGGGCTTTATTTTATTTTCATTTCCCAAAATATAAAATCTGAGTCCCTTAGCTTGGGATCACTAAGTACCAAGAAATTAGCTGAGTTAAAGTGGCTCACAGAACTTGGGACAATTATAGCTTCTTGCAACGCCAAAAAGTACTTCTGAGCCAAGGTCATTCAGGAAATCTCAGCTAAATAAAAATGTCATTAAGTTTTGTAAAACCTTTTTGCTGGGCAAGAGGTAAAAAATAACTTAGAAACCATTTGAAAATCCTAAAGGTCAGACTTCTCTGAGCAAAGGCTTCATCAGGCTTCTGCCTCTTACTGAAAGTCAAAGCATCAAATGTCCACTGATTCTTGAGCCCTCTTTATTCCCTACCCAGAGCTGAGCCCAATGCCTCACAGTCTGCCTGTTTCCAATTCCTCTGTGCCAGCATATCTGTTAATGTCCCAAGCGGCTTCCTTTACAGCCGCGCGATCATCTGTGTATTATTAACTAACCGCAAATTAAAGTCATTACTTGGTGCTTAATTTTATGTAACATTTCTTTGTAATGTGTACAAAAGAAATTTGTTTTTAGCAGGAGTTTTGTAAATAGCATGTGCCGTGATTAATTAGAGAATATGAATCTGCTGATTTGAAATTAAATTCAGTGCAACCATTTTCTTTAGAAATAATTTCTTAAATAACATTTCAAGGTGTGTGAGTCTTCAAAAGAAAAAGTAAGCATCTTGCATTGATTGTCCTAATGCTCCATCCTAGATACTGTTTAGACTTTACCTGCTAGAGAACTCGCTTTTATTTTTCTCGTATCTATAGGCACTGTAAGGAACAACAACATTCAAAGGGCTATTATAAATCCTTTTTGGAACAAGGTAGAGTATAAATGAATAAACAAACAAATGAGCAAATCCTAAAATACTTGGAGGTCAGTTATATTTCAGTATAGTTTGCTCTTCTCCAACTACTGTGCTTTTTCTCTTCCTCTTACACCCCAAGTGCATTCCTGCCTCTAGGCCTTCGCACTTGTTCCTTCTGCCTGGACATCAATCCCCCTGGGTCTTCATGTGGCTTGAACTTTAGTCAGGGACTTTTCTGATCATTGTAGCTAAGGAAGTTCCCTGCCCCAGCCCCTATCACATCACTGTGTTTAATGTTTTATTTGCTGAATAAATCACTCTGTGATATTACCTGGCTTTGTGATTGTTTCTTTTCCTCTGTCTCCTCCTATGAAATGTAAGATCCTCAAGAGCAAAAACTTGTCTGCCTTGCCTTCCCTGTATCTCTAACACCAAGAACAATGTCTGGCACATCAGTGGGTGCTTAAATAATCTCTGCAAAATCAATGAATGGATTGCATTGCTCTCACAAGCCAATAATTAACCATGCCCCTAATGGAGAGAAAGCATAATCGGCTTTCAAAGTTTTCTTGAGGGAACAGAAAGAGAAATTCAGTATTTGTTGCCTAGCCATGAGATACCTTGCAAGGGAATGAAGAATTAAAATATGAAAAAATTAGATGGGAAAAGCAGGAAGTAAATGTTGTAACTAGACGCCCCCTGAGAAGTGAAGCCTTCAATCACTTGGCACCTCCTGCATTTATGAGCCCAGCAACCAGTTGAACTGTTCCTATTAAAATGACTTGGCCAAGCCATCATCTTTGTTGATTGATAATAAATTAAAAGATCTGAAGAATCTTTCAACCTTCATGTATTTAAAACAGGATTCTTAGGGTTGATATGGTGTTTCTGAGCAAGAATTAGATGAGGGTGCTGCTGTGATATCACAAAGAGTTTCTGACCAAGAGAATAAAAATTAAGAGGTATAAATGTACGTGTTGTATCATACTACATTTTAGTTTTGTCTTCAAAATATACCAAAGTCTTTCTTTCTCCCCAGAGTCTCATGCCTTTTAAAGCTCTTCTGTAATTCTTCCTTTACATTAAGTCTAAATCGAATGGATGGGACCTTGCCTAGCAATATTAAGATTTTAGCCTGGGTCCAGTGGCTCATGCCTATAATCCCAGCACTTTGGGAGGTGGAGGCAAGGCATCTCTTGAGGTCAGGAGTTCGAGACCAGCCTGAGCAATATAGTGAAACCCCATCTCTACTAAAACTTTTAAAATTAGCGAGGTGTGCTGACCCATGCCTGTGGTCTCAGCTATTCCAGAGGCTGAGGCAGGAAGATTGCATGAGCCCAGATGTTTGAGGTTACAGTGAACTATGATCACAGCACTTGTCTCCAGCCTGGGTGACCCAGCAAGACTCAAACAAACTACAACAATGACAACAACAAATGATTATATTTCCCAATTGTGAGTAGAGTCTGGAAAATGTTTATTTTCTGATTTTTCTGTGTACTTAAAGTGAACAAAAATTTAGGTGGCTCAGTGTGCAATGAGTTGCAATTGCCACATGTTCAAATTCCATCTCTGCCATTTACTAACTGTATAAACTTGGGCAACATACTTAAATCTCGCTGAATCTCAGTTTTCTCATCTGCAAAATGGGCTTAAGATAACTCACGTGGATCAAATGTCAAGCATTTGTTTTCATGTAATCACAAGTGGCAGTTCTTTTACTTTTTACTTTTGGATTTTAAGGTGTGCTCTAGAAAGTCATCTCCAATCCTGGTTATAGATTAATTCACCCAGGGTTTTTTCCCTCCAATATTTTAGATGTTCTACCTTTTACATATAAATTTCTCATCCACTTAGAATTTGTCCTGTTATTGGCTGGGTGCGGTGGCTCACACCTGTAATCCCAGCACTTTGGGAGGCTGAGGCGGGTGGATCATGAGGTCAGGAGATCGAGACCATCCTGGCTAACACAGTGAAACCCATCTTTACTAAAAAAATACAAAACAGAGGAGCCAAGATGGCCGAATAGGAACAGCTCAGGTCTACAGCTCCCAGCATGAGCGACGCAGAAGAGGGGTGATTTCTGCATTTCCATCTGAGGTACCGGGTTCATCTCACTAGGGAGTGCCAGACAGTGGGTGCAGGTCAGTGGGTGCACGCACCGTGTGCGAGCTGAAGCAGGGCGAGGCATTGCCTCACTCGGGAAGCACAAGGGGTCAGGGAGTTCCCTTTCCTAGTCAAAGAAAGGGGTGACAGATGGCATCTGGAAAATCGGGTCACTCCCATCCGAATACTGTGCTTTTCCCACAGGCTTAAAAAACGGCGCACCAGGAGATTATATCCCACACCTGGCTCGGAGGGTCCTACGCCCACGGAGTCTCACTGATTGCTAGCACAGCAGTCTGAGATCAAACTGCAAGGCGGCAGCGAGGCTGGGGGAGGGCGCCTGCCATTGCCCAGGCTTGCTTAGGTAAACAAAGCAGCCGGGAAGCTCGAACTGGGTGGAGCCCACCACAGCTCAAGGAGGCCTGCCTGCCTGTATAGGCTCCACCTCTGGGGGCAGGGCACAGACAAACAAAAAGACAGCAGTAACCTCTGCAGACTTAAATGTCCCTGTCTGACAGCTTTGAAGAGAGCAGTGGTTCTCCCAGCACGCAGCTGGAGATCTGAGAACGGGCAGACTGCCTCCTCAAGTGGGTCCCTGACCCCTGACCCCTGAGCAGCCTAACTGGGAGGCACCCCCCAGCAGGGGCAGACTGACACCTCACACGGCTGGGTACTCCAACAGACCTGCAGCTGAGGGTCCTGTCTGTTAGAAGGAAAACTAACAAACAGAAAGGACATCCACACCAAAAACCCATCTGTATATCACCATCATCAAAGACCAAAAGTAGATAAAACCACAAAGATGGGGAAAAAACAGAGCAGAAAAACTGGAAACTCTAAAAAGCAGAGCGCCTCTCCTCCTCCAAAGGAACGCAGTTCCTCACCAGCAACGGAGCAAAGCTAGACGGAGAATGACTTTGACGAGCTGAGAGAAGAAGGCTTCAGACAATCAAATTACTCTGAGCTACGGGAGGACATTCAAACCAAAGGCAAAGAAGTTGAAAACTTTGAAAAAACTTTAGAAGAATGTATAACTAGAATAATCAATACAGAGAAGTGCTTAAAGGAGCTGATGGAGCTGAAAACCAAGGCTCGAGAACTACGTGAAGAATGCAGAAGCCTCAGGAGCCGATGCGATCAACTGGAAGAAAGGATATCAGCAATGGAAGATGAAGTGAATGAAATGAAGCGAGAAGGGAAGTTTAGAAAATAAAGAATAAAAAGAAACGAGCAAAGCCTCCAAGAAATATGGGACTATGTGAAAAGACCAAATCTACGTCTGATTGGTGTACCTGAAAGTGATGAGGAGAATGGAACCAAGTTGGAAAACACTCTGCAGGATATTATCCAGGAGAACTTCCCCAATCTAGCAAGGCAGGCCAACATTCAGATTCAGGAAATACAGAGAACACCACAAAGATACTCCTCGAGAAGAGCAACTCCAAGACACATAATTGTCAGATTCACCAAAGTTGAAATGAAGGAAAAAATGTAAGGGCAGCCAGAGAGAAAGCTCGGGTTACCCACAAAGGGAAGCCCATCAGACTAACAGTGGATCTCTCAGCAGAAACCCTACAAGCCAGAAGAGAGTGGGGGCCAATATTCAACATTCTTAAAGAAAAGAATTTTCAACCCAGAATTTCATATCCAGCCAAACTAAGCTTCATAAGTGAAGGAGAAATAAAATACTTTACAGACAAGCAAATGCTGAGAGATTTTGTCACCACCAGGCCTGCCCTAAAAGAGCTCCTGAAGGAAGCACTAAACATGGAAAGGAACAACTGGTACCAGCCGCTGCAAAATCATGCCAAAACGTAAAGACCATCGAGACTAGGAAGAAACTGCATGAACTAACGAGCAAAATAACCAGCTAACATCATAATGACAGGATCAAATTCACACATAACAATATTAACTTTAAATGTAAATGGACTAAATGCTCCATTTAAAAGACACAGACTGGCAAATTGGATAAAGAGTCAAGACCCATCAGTGTGCTGTATTCAGGACACCCATCTCACGTGCAGAGACACACATAGGCTCAAAATAAAAGGAAGGAGGAAGATCTACCAAGCAAATGGAAAACAAAGGCAGGGGTTGCAATCCTAGTCTCTGATAAAACAGACTTTAAACCAACAAAGATCAAAAGAGACAAAGAAGGCCATTACATAATGGTAAAGGGATCAATTCAACAAGAAGAGCTAACTATCCTAAATATATATGCACCCAATACAGGAGCACCCAGATTCATAAAGCAAGTCCTGAGTGACCTACAAAGAGACTTAGACTCCCACACATTAATAATGGGAGACTTTAACACCCCACTGTCAACATTAGACAGATCAACAAGACAGAAAGTCAATAAGGATACCCAGGAATTGAACTCAGCTCTGCACCAAGCGGACCTAATAGACATCTACAGAACTCTCCACCCCAAATCAACAGAATATACATTTTTTTCAGCACCACACCACACCTATTCCAAAATTGACCACATACTTGGAAGTAAAGGTCTCCTCAGCAAATGTAAAAGAACAGAAATTATAACAAACTATCTCTCAGACCACAGTGCAATCAAACTAGAACTCAGGATTAAGAATCTCACTCAAAACCGCTCAACTTCATGGAAACTGAACAACCTGGTCCTGAATGACTACTGGGTACATAACGAAATGAAGGCAGAAATAAAGATGTTCTTTGAAACCAACGAGAACAAAGACACAACATACCAGAATCTCTGGGATGCATTCAAAGCAGTGTGTAGAGGGAAATTTATAGCACTAAATGCCCACAAGAGAAAGCAGGAAAGATCCAAAATTGACACCCTAACATCACAATTAAAAGAACTAGAAAAGCAAGAGCAAACACATTCAAAAGCTAGCAGAAGCCAAGAAATAACTAAGATCAGAGCAGAACTGAAGGAAATAGAGACACAAAAAACCCTTCAAAAAATTAATGAATCCAGGAGCTGGTTTTTTGAAAGGATCAACAAAATTGATAGACCACTAGCAAGACTAATAAAGAAAAAAAGAGAGAAGAATCAAATAGACACAATAAAAAATGATAAAGGGGATATCACCACCGATCCCACAGAAATACAAACTACCATCAGAGAATACTGCAAACACCTCTATGCAAATAAACTAGAAAATCTAGAAGAAATGGATAAATTCCTCGACACAGACTAAACCAGGAAGAAGTTGAATCTCTGAATAGACCAATAACAGGAGCTGAAATTGTGGCAATAATCAATAGCTTACCAACCAAAAAGAGTCCAGGACCAGATGGATTCACAGCCAAATTCTACCAGAGGTACAAGGAGGAACTGGTACCATTCCTTCTGAAACTATTCCAATCAATAGAAAAAGAGAGAATCCTCCCTAACTCATTTTATGAGGCCAGCATCATCCTGTTACCAAAGCCGGGCAGAGACATAACAAAAAAAGAGAATTTTAGACCAATATCCTTGATGAACATTGATGCAAAAATCCTCAATAAAATACTGGCAAACCGAGTCCAGCAGCACATCAAAAAGCTTATCCACCATGATCAAGTGGGCTTCATCCCTGGGATGCAGGGCTGGTTCAATATACGCAAATCAATAAATGTAATCCAGCATATAAACAGAACTAAAGACAAAAACCACATGATTATCTCAGTAGATGCAGAAAAGGCCTGTGACAAAATTCAACAACCCTTCATGCTAAAAACTCTCAATAAATTAGGTATTGATGGGACGTATCTCAAAATAATAAGAGCTATCTATGACAAACCCACAGCCAATATCATACTGAATGGGCAAAAACTGGAAGCATTCCCTTTGAAAACTGGCACAAGACAGGGATGCCCTCTCTCACCACTCCTATTCAACATAGTGTTGGAAGTTCTGGCCAGGACAATTAGGCAGGAGAAGGAAATAAAGGGTATTCAATTAGGAAAAGAGGAAGTCAAATTGTCCCTGTTTGCAGATGACATGATTGTGTATCTAGAAAACCCCATTGTCTCAGCCCAAAATCTCCTTAAGCTGGTAAGCAACTTCAGCAAAGTCTCAGGATACAAAATCAATGTACAAAAATCACAAGCATTCTTATACACCAACAACAGACAAACAGAGCACCAAATCATGAGTCAACTCCCATTCACAATTGCTTCAAAGAGAATAAAATACCTAGGAATCCAACTTACAAGGGATGTGAAGGACCTCTTCAGGGAGAACTACAAACCACTGCTCAAGGAAATAAAAGAGGATACAAACAAATGGAAGAACATTCCATGCTCATGGGTAGGAAGAATCAATATCGTGAAAATGGCCATACTGCCCAAGGTAATTTACAGATTCAATGCCATCCCCATCAAGCTACCAATGACTTTCTTCACAGAATTGGAAAAAACTACTTTAAAGTTCATATGGAACCAAAAAAGAGCCTGCATCTCCAAGTCAATCCTAAGCCAAGAGAACAAAGCTGGAGGCATCACACTACCTGACTTCAAACTATACTACAAGGCTACAGTAACCAAAACAGCATGGTACTGGTACCAAAACAGAGATATAGATCAATGGAACAGAACAGAGCCCTCAGAAATAACACCTCATATCTACAACTATCTGATCTTTGACAAACCTGAGAAAAACAAGCAATGGGGAAAGGATTCCCTATTTAATAAATGGTGCTGGGAAAACTGGCTAGCCCTATGTGGAAGCTGAAACTGGATCCCTTCCTTACACCTTATACAAAAATCAATTCAAGATGGATTAAAGACTTAAATGTTAGACCTAAAACCATAAAAACCCTAGAAGAAAACCTAGGCATTACCATTCAGGACATAGGCATGGGCAAGGACTTCATGTCTAAAACACCAAAAGCAATGGCAACAGAAGTCAAAATTGACAAATGGGATCTAATTAAACTAAAGAGCTGCTGCACAGCAAAAGAAACTACCATCAGAGTGAACAGGCAACCTACAAAATGGGAGAAAATTTTCGCAACCTACTCATCTGACAAAGGGCTAATATCTAGAATCTACAATGAACTCAAACAAATTTACAAGAAAAAAACAACCCCATCAAAAAGTGGGCAAAGGACGTGAACAGACACGTCTCAAAAGAAGACATTTATGCAGCCAAAAAACACATGAAAAAATGCTCACCATCACTGGCCATCAGAGAAATGCAAATCAAAACCACAATGAGATACCATCTCACACCAGTTAGAATGGCAATCATTAAAAAGTCAGGAAACAACAGGTGCTAGAGAGGATGTGGAGAAATGGGAACACTTTTACACTGTTGGTGGGACTGTAAACTAGTTCAACCACTGTGGAAGTCAGTGTGGCGATTCCTCAGGGATCTAGAACTAGAAATACCATTTGACCCAGCCATCCCATTACTGGGTGTATACCCAAAGGACTATAAATCATGCTGCTATAAAGACACATGCACGTGTATGTTTATTGCGGCATTATTCACAATAGCAAAGACTTGGAACCAACCGAAATGTCCAACAATGATAGACTGGATTAAGAAAATGTGGCACATATACACCATGGAATACTATGCAGCCATAGAAAATGATGAGTTCATGTCCTTTGTAGGGACATGGATGAAATTGGAAATCATCATTCTCAGTAAACTATCACAAGAACAAAAAGCCAAACACCACATATTCTCACTCTTAGGTGGGAGTTGAACAATGAGAACACATGGACACAGGAAGGGGAACATCACACTCTGGGGACTGTTGTGGGGTGGGGGGAGGGGCGAGGGATAGCATTGGGAGATATACCTAATGCTAGATGACGAGTTAATGGGTGCAGCGCACCAGCATGGCACATGTATACATATGTAACTAACCTGCACATTGTGCACATGTACCCTAAAACTTAAAGTATAATAATAATAAAAAAATAAATAAATAAAAATACAAAACAATTAGTTGGGTGTGGTGGCGGGCGCCTGTAGTCCCAGCTACTGGGGACCCTAAGGCAGGAGAATGGCATGAACCTGGGAGGCGGAGCTTGTAGTGAGCCGAGATCGTGCCACTGCACTCCAGCTTGGGCGACAGAGCAAGACTCCATCTCAAAAAAAAAAAAATAATAATAATTTGTTCTGTTATGTAGTACAAGGAGTGGCGTCAATTTTATCTCTTTGCATACAGCTACCCAGCTACCCTAACACCATTTATTAAAAGTTCCATCCTTTTCTTACTAATTAGAGATGCCATTTTTATCATATATTAAATATTCATGTGCAACTAGGTATACCTTTGAATTTTCTGTTTTTTCCGTTCTTATGCTTATTCATTAACACCAAACTATTTTAATTTTAGAGGTTTATGTTTTAATATAATACCATTGCTCTTCTTTTGAGGCATTTTCTAGCTATTCTTGCATGTTTATTCTTCTAAACACACTGTATAATCAATTTGTCTAGCTCTAGGAAAAAATGTGATGAGATTTTCACAGGGATTACATTAAATATTTAAATAAGCATAGAAATAACTAAGATATTTATGTTTTCTTCGTGACTATCATTTACCTTTCCAATTAAGTCTAATTTTGTACCTTTATGAGTGTTTAATAATTTTCCTAATAGTGATTTTGAACATTTCTTGTTAAGTTTACACTGAGGTATTTTGTTTTTAGCTATCAGACACATGGTCTTCTATTCCATTATATCTTCTAACTAACTGGTTTTGTTTGCATCTATTGATTCAGGAATCATGTTGTTATGGCAGTACTGGCATTAGTATTCTGAAACTGTTGTGTATGTAGTGTGAGGTAAAGCAAGAATATGTATATATTGGTGTCATTGAGAACTGGAATTTTCAGCTTGGGTGAGAGTAGATACAGCTTTAAGATCAATGAGGTAAAAATACTGTAGTCCTGAAAATAAATCTGAATAGCAGTACTAATTCATAATATGTTTTATGGTTTAAAAGCATGTATTTTCTAGTTCTTTCCACTGGAAAGGCCTAGAAACAATGGCCAACCTACTACTACTAGCAGTGAGCACCTCCAGAACCCTGATTGCATCTCTAAAACTATTTTCCACCAAAAGGAACCCACCTCTTGGAAAGATGGCTGATTCCAGATCTCAGACAGGGAGTTTATGAAATGAGCCTGGAATATATTGTCATGCCAGGTATCAAGGATGCTATGAAAAAGTACTATGATTCTGTCCAAAGAGGATCCAACTGGCCAAAGATGGGATAATTTGAGCTCTTCAGTGGAATGATAAATGAAATGAATTCAATGGAAACATATCAAGTATATTTAAATGTAAATTCGGAATGATATCAAAAATCTAAATTCATTAATCATCTTTAAAGAACGCTACAGGATTAATTCATTGTGTTAAAAAAAATGGTCTCAAAGTAATCAAATAATCAAGGGTAAGTTTCTCTTTATAGAATTTTTCCAGCTAATAAATGAATGAGGATGGATAGAATTGAGACATCAGCATGTTGCAACCTTCTAATGAATTAATGGCTCTGGACAGTGTTCACTAATGGCTGCTAAACACCAAAGAGAGACACTTAGACATTACGTACCTCCTAACGGAAGTGCAGAACACTACATGTGCATTAATCTTGACAACAAAATAATTGAACCTGAATCTGGTTAAGCTTCTAAATCCAACTACCAATTTACAGCTTACAATGACAGAGGAACATGTTAAACATCACAGGGATGCCATCAGCAAACTCCAAACTGTGGGAAATTCCAAGACAGCCAGTTTATTCAACATTAACTTAAACAAGTTGCAAAGGGGAGGTGGGAGATATGGTTGAGAAACTTACAAATTTTTTTGGCACGCAAACATTCATTTGACCGTATTTTAAAGGCAGAGCAGAATCACATTCACTTTCTTATATATATATAAGATTATATATAATCACTATAAACAGGCTGGATTTCAGAGCTCTAAGTTCACTTTGGAAACTTTTGAACAGTTGACCACTAGCAGCCCAGCAAGCTTTTTCCTTCCCTTCCAGGCTCTCCTGCACTTTAGTAGGGAGGAGGCAGTGTGTTGGTGACAACTGATGCTAAATAAATAGTGCGTGGTTGTGCTTGCCAAACCCTTTCCACCTCTTCCACAAGCAACAGGGAGACTTGGCTTATTCTTTATCTGAAGTCTCCAAGTCAACAAGTAGGTTATCAGACACAAAGAATAGAGGGAAGCTTCTGTTGTAGATAATTTTAAACGTTAAGAATGGATGAACTTGGAGCTTAAGTGCTCAGTCCTCCTTTTGCTGACCAGAGAGAGGTATGCTAGCAAGAGAGCTCAGATGCTTGGTCTATTGAAGCATCAGTGTAATATATTCAGTTCCTTTGATTAAAAAGTGCTGGAAAAGCCATCTCTGGGTGGAGAAGGGAAGTGAGTTGATTACAATGATGGTACTATAAAAGGCAAATCAAAGCAGCAAACAGCAGGCAATGCCCCTTTCCTCTTGAACTCCAACAATCAGTCCACTCCTGTCAGCTTTACAGGCCAAGAAAACTCAACTGGGAAAGCAGAGGATGATAACTGGGGCAGAAAAAGAAGGCCTTTGTCCAGACCTGTGGACCACTTCAGACATTCTTTTTTCCCAGCACTGTGTGCTTTCTAGTCAAGGTGGTTATGGGGGATTCAAGGTTTAAGACTCCATTTTCTGGCCAGTGCTGTAAAATCGCATAAACAGCTGATCCTTTAGAGGTATACCATGCAGATGTCATGTTCTTTTCCAATTGCACCTTCCATGGTTTAGAGGCATAGATAGCTTCCCCACTGATGCTCAGCCACTTCCTAAAAGCAAGAAGCCTTTCTTGGAAGACAGGAACAGTTAGATCATCTTTAGCTTGTCCAATGTTGAGAAGATAGTTGCCTCTTAAACTTGCTGTCTGAAGCAGTTCCAAAACCATTTCAGATTCACTTGCAAAGTCAGACATTGCCATGTTGCAACCATTGCCCCAGAATTTCTTGTCAATGGTGGTACACATCTCTTACTTGTGGTCTTGCAACCTCCCCAGCTTAAGTTTCTCTTGACAGTTGTAGTGCTGTCCATGGTGACAGAACCATTTCTGACCCCATCAGTCATTTACTACCACCTCTTCCTTGATAGATATCATTGTAGAGGCAAGTTCAAATAAGTATCAGGACAGTCTCACTTTATTAGACAAAATCATATCAGACTTGTGCCTGTTAACAAGATCATATAGCTGTGGCATTGTTTTTACACTGCCAAAATGCTGTGTTTTGAAGCCATTTTTTTTTAAATCAAGTAGCTAGAGTGGATGGAACCATTCTAAGAAGTGATAGAGTTCATTGTGTATGTTCCTCTTCCAGACTGTTTCCAACTCACCAACCAAACTGGTAGGGCCCCACATCCTTAGAATTTAAGTTCTAAGACATGAGACTCAGCCAGTTTGTGATGCTTTGTATCATGACTACATACTTGGCCTCCAAATCCTGGAAGAGATTGGCCCACTTGTCCATTCAGATGGAAGAAACCCACTGTGAACTGCTGGCTAAAATCTGCATGGCTGAAGCCAGGTGGGTAGTGGTGATACATGAAACGCTGGTAGTGAATCTGTCTTCACCTTTCCAGAGCCACCAGCACCAAGAACACTCCCCAGTGCACAAACATGCCCCAGTGCACGAACATACTGAAACTGGCCTCATCAAATCAGTGTGGCAGCAGCCAGGAATCCAGCCTCAGCCAGTCCAAAGTGTACCTGCCTGGAGCCCCAAGCACCCACATGACGGCTCCATGCGCCAGCAGCAGCAGTAGCAGCAGCGCAGGGGCCACTGCCAGCAACTTCATCTAGTGAGCCCTGGAAGCCTGCAAATTAACAGAGACTTTTAATTAATTAATCCTAATGAATAAACTTTGTTTGGATCTCAGTCAAGCAAACAAACTTATGTTTGTCATGCTTTAAGGAAAGCAGTACCAATACGGTGTTCATGGAAGCAGATGGAATCTATTGTGGAAATCGGAAAGAATTAAAAGAAGTTGGGGAGAGTGAAGGTTCAGGCCAAATGAGCTGGTGGTGGTACTTTTCACAGCCTGTGTGGTGGTACTCATTACAACCTCATTTATTATCCATTGTCTTCAATTTGCCCCTCGGGGAAATAGTTTGGTCTAAATAAAAGCTCAGAATAAGGATCTAGAAAAAGATTAGCTACATTAAGCCATGCACTCCAATTCAACTAGAGATAAAACATGAGGGAAAGAAGGCATATCTCCAAATTCAATTCTCCTAGCTTCAGTTATGTTTTATGGAGAACTTCTGCCATTCACAAGAGATGTAGTTTCCCCAGGGGAGACAGCAGGTGTACATTTACTCTCAAGGTTATTTAATTGCTGTCAGGAAGACATATGATTAACAAAGCCAAATGCTGGAAATATGAAGTATAGACAATTTTAAAGTTGTTTATATAGTGGATTACAGTATATCATACAATGTGTTTATTTGCCATAAACCTGCCTATCACAAACTGTTTCCACACCTGTGTGTCTTCACTAAACTGCCTATTGCTTAGCTGTTTGTGAATTCCCAGCTATGTGGATGGCCAGCAGCTGGACAAGGGGCAGCTTCCACTGGTGGCCTCTCTGAGCCACCTCCAATGTACAAGCTTCACACCAGGGCTTTGACCACTCCAGTCTAGGGTTGAGACCTGCTGGCCCATTGTGTCCTCTGCTTTGATGAGAGCCCTATGGAAGGAAACCAGTATGGAAATGAAGGGCCTGTGAGGTTCCCCGCTGTCCTTTATGACACCCCACTCAACGTGAGGCCCACTGTCTGTCATCTGTGGGATACTCTTCAGAGATAAGTAGGGAGTTGAGAGGAGGCATTTAGAACCGTCAGAGCCATTTGGCAGCATGCATTTGTGTATGTTGAATCTTAAAATTTTGAAAAGGGACTTGAGTTTTATATGTATTGGTTTTTTATTTCACTTTAAGTTATGTTTATTACATTTTGCCAATCAGTCTGTGACTGATTGGAAGTAAAAAACAAAACTGATCCTTCACTACAGATAGTTTGAGATGCACTGGTAGAGAGTGACGGCCCCAAAGCACGCTGCATCCCAGGGCTTTACCCTGACACTCAGCAGTTCCAAGGGGACAGCAGATGGGAAAAATGTGACCCACAAAGATGGCTTTCGAAAGGGTCTCTCAAAGGTGAGGAGCAAACATTGAATCTACTGCATATGTGTTAGGTTCATTCCAGGGCAGGGCAGATCTAACAAAACCAGCCTAGCTGACCCCTAGTCATGGCATAACTCTTAGGCCTTTCAATACTAGCAGCAGCAGTAGTAGTAATAGTAGTAGAAGATGAAGATACAGCTAAGACTTATATAGGACTTAACTGTGATCCAGGTTCTGTCCTAAATGCTTTGCCTTGGCAGCATGCGTTTCTGAGAAGGGGCAGAAAGTCGCTGTCTTTACACAGAGTCTAAGAAGGCTTATATAGACTTACTATAAGCTACAAAATAGCAAATGGTCTTCCCTTCTCTTTGAAGTGATCTATATTCTAGCCTATACATGTACAGAGAAGTATAACATCCAAATCTGTTTACAGTGATTCCTTGTATAGCCATGCAAATTTACTAATGACTGACCCCTTCTTAGGGTATTTTGAAACATCATGCCAAATATACTAGCTATATTGCATATGCCAGATATACTAAAGACAGTAATTAAAGAAATTTAATACCCAGGAAATAGGAGTTTGTGTGCAGATACTGGTCATGGAGCATATCTGGAAAATTATTAGTACAGAAACAGCATTCAATTTTAGAAAATATGGAGATAGTTTGACCAATGTTTTGATTATTTGTTGCTGCACTTGGACATTCTCAGGCATGAAACAGAAACAAAAAATATATAAGAAAGACAACAGAACAAAACTTACATTACTGCATAGAGACATTATCCAAGACCAAGTCTTTATCTGCTAGTTTACTCCCTCCGAAAAGATAGAAGACTGAGAAGTATTTCAGATATTTCTTTGCTCCTTCCTGCATCATTAGGGTTTTTAAAAATGTTTGAGTTTTCTAAAGCCTATATTTAACAGTATAATAGAGAGTCTGTTCACCCTATTCCTCTAAGAATGAGCCTTCTTAGACTCTGTAAAGAGAGCTACTTTCTGCCTTCTCCAATAATCTCTGCAACAGCCAGAGCTACCCCCACTATTGTTGGCAGCCAGATTCCCTGCCTGGCTTTGAGGTGGTCAGAAAATAGTTAATCACACACAGACTTTCAGTGTATGGTTGTAGGGAGGATTAAGGAGTTCACCCTAGGGAAACATAAATGGTGGTAGCGATGGGGACTAGTTCCCTACCTCACGTTTCCATGGCCTCTTGTCCCTCGTCAGGTTCCGTGGACAAGCTGGTGCTTGACTCTGCAAGCACAGTGGATAGTTTCAATCCCAGGTGAGCAGGGAGGGAGATGTTTCCCCTTCCAACCAACTGACTAAAATTTCTTCTTCTTCCCGTAAATTTAAACCTAGTAGTAAAATGGTAATGCTGAATCCCAATCAATTAATATTCACTGGAAGCCCATAACATTCCAGAGCGATGATTCCTGCCCTTGGGAACTTTACCCTAATAAACTGTAAATCACAGGAGAGCCTTCTCCATATTAACTCTGTGTACCCTTTGAGATGAGGTCATGCTTGTAGGCCTACCCTAAAGGTAGAGAATCCAAAGGAAAAGAAGGCCAATGCTGCCCAAGACTCAAGGTGTGCCAGTGAAATGCCAAGAAGAAAAAGACATTTACTATTTAGTGGGGATATTTCCAGGAGAGAAATTTCCAGCTTGTATGAATAGCATAGGAGGTCAACAGCCTCAGGCAGATGGCAGCTGTGAGGCCACACCAATCCTTCTGTCCTCATATTGGCAGACAGAGGCCTCCACCCTGGAGCTTTGGTGGAGGCCTGGCCACATTTGGGAGCCTGAGCTGGAGACAGAGCCACACCTGGTGCTTGGTTTGAGCCCTGGTCTTTGACTTTGGCCAGCAGAACCTGAAACCCTTGGTGATGCAGGGATGAGCACACTTCCTGAGCTTGGGGTGGTCAGTGCAGGCAAGTTGATTGAGTTTGCACCTAATGCCCTTTGGGATCTTGGTCTTGACCTCCTTGGACTTCACAAAGGCCCTGACAGCCTCAGTTGATTCACTCGTGGCCCTGACATCATTGACCTGCGTCTTCTTCTGGCCCTTCTTGTGCTTCTTAGCAAAGTGCATGTTCCTCAGGAACTTGGGGCCCACCCTTTTAAGAGATTTACATCTTTGACATAGGGTTTTCTTGATGCCATTTCTGTTCTAGTTGTGTGTAGTGTGATTCTTGGACTTGGCCGTGTTTACACAGTAGCCCAAGGCTCCCAAAGCAACTAGTAGCGGTAGAGAAAGCGTCCACCCTGTTTCTTTGTGCTATTTCTTATGTCTGTTATAGCGAGAAATAAAGTAACTTATAAAATATCTTCAAAAATTGTTATTGTATCCTCCCAACAAGGTGATAAGATAGATACTAATATCTCCATTTTACTGACAAGGAAACTGAAACGCAGGAAGAATACATCCCTTCTTGAGGTCTTGCAGAATCAAGGCCTTAACTGAAGTCCTTTTCCTTCAACCCCAGTGTTTTTTTGCCATTTTGGCTGCCTTTATGGTCTTTTACTGGATTTTTTTTTCCTTTGGGTATTTCACAGTCATCTCAAATTGAATTTATCCAAAATGGAATTCCTGATTTCTTCAAATTGCGTCCTTCTCCTGTTTTCTATATAAGAAATCTGGGAGTCATTTTTGATACCTTGTCTCTCTCATTTTCCCATATCCAATCCATCACCACATTATGACAATTATACCTCCAAAACACCCCTCTTGCTACTTCTATCTGGTTTAAGTACTCTGGATATTTATTTGTTAAGTAAGTGCTGAGGTGGAATATGTGCAATTAAGAAGGATACCAGGAAGACAAAGTAGCTGGGAAGTGAGCTAGATTTCCTCTTAAAAATAAAGATTTTGAAAGGTCTCTTCAAAAAAAAAAAAAAGAAGAAGAAGAGAAAAAGAAGAATTAAGCTCGTGAGTCATATTAATATCTTAAATTTTCATTTTAGTTTCCCTAGGTGCAACTGAAATTCTTTCTGGAACGAAGCAGTTTAAATTAAATCCATTGTAGTTTAATAATAAATGAATGCCTTAGATCAATTATCTAGTTTTCTTCTCACAACTAGACTCTTAAGCATAGGCAAACAGATGTTATTATAATTTATGGATTGAAAACTGAGGTTCAGAGAGGCAAAGTGACTTGCCCAAGGTCACACAACTGAGACTAGACACCAGAATACTCATGCCAGCATGAGTGTTTTTTCCTAGTAAGCTCTGCTAACTTCTGTAACACATCCTGTCATCATATTTTAGTGCTGAGACAACACCAAAATAGAGTCTAGAAAATGTGGCACATATACACCATGGAATACTATGCAGCCATAGAAAAGGATGAGTTCATGTCCTTTGCAGGGACATGGATGAAGCTGGAAACCATCATTCTCAGCAAACTAACACAAGAACAGAAAACCAAACACCGCATGTTCTCACTCATAAGTGGGAGTTGAACAATGAGAACACATGGACACAGGGAGGGGAACATCACACACTGGGGCCTGTCAGGGAGTAGGGGGGTAGGGGAGGGATAGCATTAGGAGGAATACCTAATGTAGATGATGGGTTGATGGGTGCAGCAAACCACCATGGCACATGTATACCTATGTAACAAACCTGCACATTCTGCACATGTATCACAGAACTTAAAGTATAATTAAAAAAATAGAGAATAATATAGGAAATTCACTGATTTAGCAGAAACCTGTGGCGCATACACTGGCTCAGAAAACATAGTTGTTGTTGTTCTTCCTCCTCCCCCTCCTCCTCCTCATCTTCTAGAGATTGTGTGGCACACTCCAACAAATGAAAACAAAGACCTTAATAAGAAATTTTCCTTATTGGTAATATGACAATTCTGAGTAGGAAAGGAAAAAAAAAACCCATAATGGCAGATTTCTATGATACTCTTTTGCACACTGATTCTTTCTGCCATGGATACAAATCTTGCATTAAGTGACTATCAGTCTTGCTGAACCTTCACTCAAAATACCTTCTGAAAAACTGTCTTTTCTTATGGTCCTTCTTGTAGTTAGAAACTATGTCCTCTAAAGAAATTCAAGAAGCAATTCAAAGCAATTTTTTCATTTACTGTTTACAAGGATTGGGTTGGGTCACTCCAAAATATAATCTTTTTTTGTCAGCTCTATAGCCTAGGTAAAGTATTTCTTTTCTCTCCAAGTGCATGTCATTGAAAAATTTACCACGAGATTCCTAAAACCTGGGTCTTATGCTACAGTGCACTCCTAGAGTGCAAACAAAGGTAATGATTTAGAAAATCTCTCGGTGATGTGGATGAGAATGAGTGTTAGAGCAATCCCTAGGCAGCAGAAAAAGACTCCAGTGCTTACATAGTCCTAGTGTGCACACATGGCTTCTGCTGTAATTCTTTTTTGTTAAAACTTACCTGGCTTTGCGCACGACCTCAAATGTGGTGAATTCTAGATAACACCTAATATTTATTCATGCCATTGTCAAGAGCATCTTTGCAGTTCTTGCCAAGGTCTGTCGTCGAATATGTTTATCCAGCTGCATGGCAAAAACGTAATACACAGTCATCATTTTACTCAGTCACCTACTCAATATTTTCTTCTATAATTAAGTTAACTCATAAATATCACACTTTTAATGCGAGAGAGCCATGGTTCATCCAGCCAGTTGAATAGTTGTTTGTCCATTATCTAATGTTGCCGGGCACTCAGTCATTTCATTATGGAGTTTGAAATAATGAAAATCATTGCATTTACTTAACATGCACAGTAAACAGACCAGGATCCTTCCAAGAGCTCCTTTATTATGCAGTGCAAGGCCATAGAGGAAATTTTGTAAGAAGCACAAAGAACTGTGGGGGCTGTGTTGGAAATGATTTTGGTGTATACAAGCAAATCTGCTCTAATTGTCTAAAGCCAAGGACAGAAATGCTGGCTCGATTTGCAGCTGGCACAATTTCTGGCTCAAGCAAGTAGAGTTGCAAATAAATACACAGATCTTGATCTTGCTTATACCCGATTCACTACCAGCTGTGCCCATGACCCCTCTAGGCTATTTCTATGTACTATGGCATTTTTGAGACCCCTTCCTCTAAATATCCAAACGCAGTCTGGTTTTTTAAAGCAACCTACGGCAGGTCTTACACATTCATCTCCATAGTATAAAGATTAAAGCTTGAGGACAAGAATCTGCCTTTGCCCTCCAATGCCAGCCCTAGTGACAATAGCATAATATGCATCCACGTGGTTACCCAGCCCTAGAGACAAGGGACATATTCCATAGGATCATAGTGAAATCACCTTCTGAATGGAGTATTTATAGCTGGCACTGCCGGGCAGTTATCTTGTCTAGAATTATATCCAAATTTTGCTCAATCATTCTGGGAATAGCCTTGGTTAGCAATTGCTCATAATGTCAATGCTTTTGGAAACTTTTTACTGTCATTTTATTGTTTTTATTTCAAAAATAAAACTTAAAGGAGCTTGAAAAGTAGATTTTTAGATGATCACACACAGGCCTGATTTCAGTAGTTTCAGTTCTGTGCGTTTTACTTTATATGCACCCACTGAAATTAGCCAAAATTAATCCATATTTGAACAAAGACTATGGATACAAATGAGCCCTAACTTCCAAGACTACTCAGTGAAGTACACTAGCTGAAGCGTTTCGAATGCATTGGCCCTGGGAGGCGAGGAAGTTATAGCAAACAACATATGGGCTCTAAAATCTGGAACTATCCAAGACAGAACAAGAAAGCTATTTTCACTTTCCTTGTTCCATTTTTTTCCTCCAGAAGATGAATGATTTCTAATCACATTTTACTCTCATCTTTAGAGCTGGATCCTGAAAGAACCAGGTTGGTTTAAAACAGCTAGTGAGTTTGCAGCCCTGTCTTATGATTACCTCATGCATTTGTGTCATCTGCTTTCCTTGTTGTGTGAAAACACACTGAGGAAATGTGTAAGTCCACTGAATTGTTCCAACTCTTTTATTCACCTTTCAGCATGCTAGTTCCTTCCCTTGGCATTGATATCATGCATTTGTCAAAGATAGACTGTCACTTTAGGGCCTCTATTATGTGCAAGAATTGGCAGCAAATTTTACCACTGGGATTTGCTTATATCCTCTGTATGTTATTGTACTTCTTTGGCATTCAGTAAATTCCGTGCACCCACTTCTTTGATGTGCATTCCAGCCCCTAAATGTGGAAACAATGACTAAAATTTTGGATCAAAGCATCCCATAGATGGCAAGCAACACAGCTCTCTGATAATTCACTAGAACAGAGAGCATCTCCCCTCCCCCACTAAATCTAGGCCAATAGTCCTTCAAGAACAGCTCTGGCTTCCCCAGAGCTGCAAGGGCATGTGAGGAAGTTGAAGAAAACGACTCCAGGGTTTTAGTAAAAGGAAAGAAACTAAACTGGATAGCTCTTTGGAAGCTCCTGGCCATTTCTAACTATAGGGAAAGCAAACCATTGTTCAAATTCCTTCACCACATTATTTTTCCTGGTCCTGCTCTAACTAGCACTTGAACTGGGCCAGCCTTTTTTCAGCTTGGAAAAAGACCTATTTTCTCTATCACGTCAGCCTCACAAAATGGCCCAGATTTTTTTTTAAATGAATCTTTAAAAGGAGAGTTAAAAGGCCCATGAATTGAGGATTTTTTTTTTACTAATTGAAAAATCACAGAACTACCAAAATCTGAACTGGTAACTTTTGCAAACTGGAATTAGCTGTCTGGAACACACTTTCAATGTTTGCTTTTGCTTTACTCCTGGAATGCCTGTGCAAATAATTACTTGATTCAATTTACTTCACAGGTCAACTTTGACTCATAAAAGTAGTAAAGCAGGTAACCTCCCAGGGATGCTGGGAAGACAGATGAGCAAATAGATATAAAATTGTTGTAAGTAATTAGCAGGGGTTGGGGGTATTTTATAAATCGAGCTTATTTTATGGTTATGTTTTCACTTCACACCATTTAGTGTCCAAAATGTGCTCATTATAATTAATACACAATGTTGAGAACTATTATAGAAGTACCATATTCCTTTTAAATATAGTGAAGAAAATAATTGTGTTTGAGGAATCTCATCCTGTGTAAATTAGAATTCCCAGTAAAGTGGCATAATTGAAAATTGGGCTGACTGCATGGAATGGGGAAGAGAGTCATTTTAGCACGATAGTGCATGTTCCATCAAAAGGTAGTGCACCAAGGTGGCGACTGACAGCTCTTAAAATAAGTTTCAGATTCTCTCTCTAGATAGGAAGTTTTTAACTGCCTGATATATGCAATAGTGACATCCAGTGGTTGTAGAGATAATTACAAGTGTATCTCATTTTAAAATATAAAATGTTTTATATTATAATCAAATATTCTGTGTTGTCCAATATTGTCTATATTTTTTATTTGGCAATATGCAAGTCAATAATTCAAACTATATACCAAGTAAAGCAAAATGCACTCTGTTTATCTACTAAGCAAATTCCTAAGTCCTATTATTATCTTCTTGTCTTTTAATTTTACTAAAATTACAGTAAGTCTACTCTCCAAGGGTCTCTCTGGCCCTCCTAAGCACACCTGGATGTTTTTACAGGCATAAATGGGATGGTGTGCATACTACACACACAGCAAAAGTGGGAACTGCATTTTACCAGTAAATACTGGAGAAAAGGCATCTGTGATCCTGAACATGTTCATTGCTGCAGAATTGCTCTAAGAAGTTCATTAAGATGTTTTCTAAGTCATTGAAGAGAAATAAGGATTCAGAAAGAAGAAAGGAAAATAAAATGAAAGAAAGGGAAAAGGAGGGAAAAAGGAAGGAAAGGAGGAAGAAGGGAGGGAGGGAAGGAAAGAAGGAAGGAGGGAAGAAAAAAGGAAGAAGGGAGGGAAAGGAAGGAGAGAAGAAAGATGACTATACATTGATCTTTATTAAGGTTTGACAATGGAGATATTAGCCTCCAAAAGAAATTTTTGTTTGTTGTTTGTTTTTTTCGATGGAGTCTTGCTGTGTCACCAGGCTGGAGTGCGTGGAGTGCAGTGGCATGATCTCAGCTCATTGCAACCTCTGCCTTGTGGGTTCAGGGGATTCGCCTGCCTCAGCCTCACAAGTAGCTGGGACTAGACACCCAGCTAATTCTTTTGTATTTTTAGTAGAGACGGGTTTCACCATGTTGACCAGGATGGTCACGATCTCTTGACCTCATGATCTGCCCGCTATGGCCTCCCAAAGTGCTGGGATTACAGGTGTGAGCCACCGCGCCTGGCCAAGAAATTATCGTTTTAAAATGCACTTCAACTGCCAGGAAATTAACTAAGGCAAAGATAAAATTTTTTCACTTAAAAAAAAATCCTCCTGGCACACCTGTAGTCCCAGCTACTCAGGAAGCTGAGGCAGGAGGATCAACCACTTGAGCCCAGAACTTCAAGGCTGCAGTGAGATGTGATCACTCCACTGCACTCCAGCATGGACAACAGAGTGAAACCCTTTCTCAAAAAATAAAAATAAAACATTGAAAACAACTGCTACTACCACAAAGTACCTAGAACAGAACCACTTACAGGAACATGCTTCAAAAGCATCTCTCTCCTCCATGATGAGGAGGAAATTTAACAGAAGCCTGTGATGTCATATTGGCTTGTATGTCAATGCTGAGCACACCAGGTGACAGCACACCAACTTCCCAGAAGCCACACTAGATAGACTGTCATCTGTGTCAGGCTGTTCCTCAACCTTAGAATCCCTAACTGTTGGAGGTTTTCTTCCCTCAATCACCTGCCTTTTTGAAGCTGGAAACCATCATTCTCAGCAAACTAACACAGGACCAGAAAATCAAGAACCACATGTTCTCACTCATAAGTGGGAGTTGAACAATGAGAACACATGGACACAGGGAGGGGAACATCACACACCGGGGCCTGTTGGGGGGATGGGGGGCTAGGAGAGGGATAGCATTAGGAGAAATACCTAATGTAGGTGATAGGTTGATGGGTGCAACAAACCACCATGGCACGTGTACACCTGTGTAACAAAACCACACATTCTGCACATGTACCCCAGAACTTAAAGTTAAATAAATAAATAAATAAATAAACATTCTCAGAATGGGAAGAACTTAGAGGCGCCCTCTTCCATTTCTTGCTTGCTGGAGGAGAAGAAAAAATCAAACAAAACAAATAAAACAATTAAAACATCAACTCCAATAGAAGGTACTAAAATCGATATGTAACTCCATAAACACACACACACACACACACACACACACACACAGAAAATGTGTTGGATTGGTAGAGCATGTGTGCATGAGGCCTGTTATTTGCATTAAGCAAAGAGCCCTAGGACAAAGAGAAAGGAATAGCCTCCTTTCACTCTGAGAAATGATACCCATTTGTGTCAGTGAGAGTTAGGGGAGAGGTGCATTGAGACAGAGCAGGTGAGTCGGCAGCCTTTAAGCAGGTTGGTTTGCTTTAACAAGGGCTTTGAACTGCAAGCTGGCTTATGCAGATACTGAAGTCAAATACCGCCCTCCTACACACTGCTCTCAGAGTACCTTCCCTCGGAGATTGCTCTGGCTTCTTGCTTCTCTTAGTCATTTTCACAGCACGACTTCATTGGGATATATGGAAGATTAGCATGCCCGGGTCTCACCTCTCCCTTTAATTCTGCAGGAGTCTGGCTGGGCTAGCTTTTATCTTGTGCTCCCTGGAACCCTGACTGGATGATTTCTGAAGTCGAGCTGGAGCCCATCTAGAGGGAAGGTGAAACTTCTCCTCAGCATGCAGGGCCTCCTGCACCCACACTGCCACAGCCACCGCATTACCAGCTCCTGCCAGTCTGAGGAGCAAGAGGCTGGCATGAAGAATCAGTTCCATTCTTTCCTCCCTAAATTTAGAAAAAGCCTGTTTTGCAAAGCTTTCTTCAGTGTTTCAAGACAAAAAAAAAAAAATTAAGCAGTTGCACAACATGCATATCTTCTCCTGGCCTGCAGCTCCAGGTATAGTTTTACTATGGTATATAATCTAATAATCCATTTAATTTCTTTAGAGAGATGTTATATATACAGGTGGCATTTGGATGGAATCACATGCCATAAACCTGTCTGCTCCTATCCAGGTTCAGAATACAGAAGAAGAATCTGTTTTACAGGCCTTCTAGAATTTTTACATGGTCAGTTGGCTGGTTTTTGTATTCTGGAACATATGAGAGCATCTGCAGGGAAAAATATATATAAATCCTATAAAATGGTGGCAGGATTTCTGATTTACTGATAGTGCTGGTTTGAATTTTCACAAAAATATTTAGCTACAGGACAATGTATTAGGCGTATTCTTAAAGGTAAATAACTGCAGCCAATAAAAGTTCGGCCTATAAAGGGTCCCATCTTCTACTAGTTTTCTGCACCGAGAATTACTACCAGTATAATCATGGCTCCCTGCACACTAATATTTCCTCTGATACAGTATGATCAATGTTGTGGAAAAACATTTATTATATTTCTTCTAGCTACTTAAAGGCATTACTGAATTATGGGCATCACAAAACGAATCCACTGTGCATTTTTTCTTTATGTGACGTTTTTACAATCTTCATTTTCTGCTTTGCAGCCACTGAGCTATAGAGATCCACACTTCATCCCTCTTACAACTGCCACTGGGGCCACCCTCTCCTTTCTGCTTTATTACGTCTGAAATGCACTTCATATGATAACATTCCTTTTCATTCTGTACTGGACTCTCATTTGAAAGGAAGAAGTTATGAAAGAAATTAAACAATCAGTGTCGTTAATAACAGTTCTTAATCTCCTTACTTAACAAAGGTTATGAAAAAAGGACAAGGGGAGGAGATGGTAACAAACAAAGGTAACATAACAAAGATGGTAACATAACAAAGGTTATGAGAAAAGGACAAGGGGAGGAGATGGTATTTTACAGATCATTCCAGAAGAGCTGATGAACTCTGAATGGGTGTGGGTTTTTCAGTTTTGACATTTAACGATTTTATTAACATCTTTGCTTCTTATGCACCTTAAATCCACAGGATATGCAGCTGGGAGCGAGTGTCCAGCCAACAGCCCGTGTCTCAGGCCCTGCCAGGGGATGAATCAATTAGCAAGAGAAGCAATGATGCAAATGCTCCGGGGTCACTTGGGATGCTGTTTGCCTTTTTGATAGAGAAAGCACACCATAAATAACATCACACCTCAGGAAATCATTCCAGGAGGCCCCGATGCTGGCAGGGCTGCTGCCAGGGACGGAAGGAATCGTTTGCTCATTGTGTGTATTTCCCCCAGCTCAGTCAATGGGAGATTTGTAGTAAAATCAAAGTATTTAAAAGGAGGACAGTATGTGGTAACAGAGGCATGTTTAGCAATTTTTTTAGTACCAGAACCTGTGATTTATGACCCAGAGTTACAGCCAACTTTATTACAAAAATGACTTCACCCATAATAACCTTATTCAGGGCCCTCTGATGAATGATGTAGTATCCAACAGCATTATAATCTAGTAAATATTCAAACACAATTCCCGCCTCCGCCTCATTTCCAACCAACCCCTCAGAAGCAGGCTTCCCCCTTTACCTGCTGGGAGAAGTGGGGTCCTGGGTAAGGCTTTGTGCTCTGTCTGTGGGAGTTTGCCTGGATCAGGCATTTATACTAAGCCAGGACAGAAAGTGACCTCCTGGGGTCTCAGTCATATCTTGTCCAACCTTGTCCCCTGAGGAGTAATGAGCAGAAGACACCCACTCACCCTTCATTTCCTCTCTGTGCTGAAACTTATTTCCTCCCTGCATTCCCCCACTCCTCCAGAGCTCAGATCCCCACCACCTGAAAGGAGCTCCAGTAAGCTCCCTGACATTTTTAATTGCCATGGTAACTGAGGGCTGCACTAAAACCGCCAGGGCTGGGTGTCCAAGCAGGGTCCCCTGGGCGTACCGGGATCTAGAAACTAGCCCTCCATCTTATTAAACTCCGGTGTCAGTTCCTAGCAATTGTTTTAAATTTACACCCTCAGAGTGGCTTAGTGGGATTACATGTCCATTTGCATTAAAACAGTTTTCTGTCATTAAACTGCCATACAATAAGCTTCCTTGGGACAAATTAATGAGCTCTAAATATCATCAAGTAGAAGTTCACTTCAAGACAGGCAACAAGGAGGGGGGTCGGAAGGAAGTGGCTGCTCAGAATCTCATGGCCCAGGAGAACGATAAGTGCCAACTAAAGAAGGGTCTTGTCCTGTTTCTTCACTGCACGATAAGTGGTCCTGATTTAGAGCTGAATGGGGAGATTTGGCAATATTCTCCCTGTTCGCCAAAATCCTATAGCTCATCTTCTATTCCTTCTTCCAAATATGACTTTACCCTTGACTTTGCTGAAATTTGCTGATGAAACACTGACCTCTTGTCTCAGTGACAATGTCTCAGCCTCATTTTCTTTGTCCTGTAGTTTCTCTGTCCTTGAGGAACTTGCGTGCATCCACGTGGCCTGGGAACAACACGCACACAACGCAGCACTATGTGTAGCTTGAACAAGTGCTCCCTAACTTTGTTAGTTCCCACACACTTTGCTAAAATGCATGTATGATTGCTACTGAACTGTCTGGGTCCTCAGACCTTATCGGGACCCTGGAACACGAGTCCTGATCAGGAGCACCTTTCATGGTCATCAGGAGCAGAATAGGAACAGGGAACAGTTTAGCTTCTAAGACTGAATTTGTCCTGCTCACAAGAATCACCAGAGCTTGTCCTCACAAATACATATGTGTGTCTAAGTAGAAATTTTTCATTAACACCAAATAAACCCCCAAACCTTCCCTTATGTAAAGGAAATAAGACTGGCTGCTAGACAGACTTCTTGATCCACAGAGGCTGTGATCTCATTTCTGTGTAGCCTTAACAGGGGACAGTAATGTATGATTGAGACACTGCTATATTTAGGAATGACAAGATGAACATTATTAATAGCTTAATTGACATTAAGGCAATTACCCCTACCCTTATTACAGTTTGTAGAATTACACAGAAAATATTGGCTGGGGCCTTTTTTTCCCTAGAGCTACCCAAGGATACAGCATTTTATTTCATGCCAGATCCCAGCTTTGACATTAGATACTTAGCCATAGAATGATTCCAGTAAATCATTATAAATGCATTATAATAAAGATGTTATGAGCTATCAGATATTAACCCCCAACCCCTAAAGAGAGATAAATAGTCCAGTTGCATGATTCCCACTTTTGTTTCATAAGAAATAAGCTTTTGCAAAGAGCAACTGACTAATGAATTATAAAATGGTGTGTTGAGCTCAGATAATTAAACAATGCATTTTAGTGTCTAGTGCAGGATGAACACTAAATCATACACAAATAAAAAAGGTAAAAATCTGAGCCCCATGCCTAACTCCTATTTTTGAATAACATTAATGTTGGTCTACAGTCCAAAAATGCTTCAACTATTTTCTTATCTGATTAGAGAGGCATATCAAGTATAAGATCAAGGCACAGTAGGCAAACTAAACCAACAGTCAGAACAAAAACTGTGAAGGTGCTAATTTCAGATAAGCCCACAAGGTTATTTTAATGGAGATTTTACATGGAGATTGCTTTTTCCCCCAAAGTGTTAATGGGACAAAAGTCTAGAAGGACCTGGAAGTTTTCAGGTTTCCTTATACTTTATATTTTCTCTGAACTCATAATAAAGCATATTAGTGGGAATGGGATCTATGCTATTGGTGGTGGTCTTAGCCTTATAGTGTTGGAAAGATGAATACACATCCTAAAATCTTCTCTAGGTTGTGGAGGTGCAGGGATGAGGAGGGGTTGGTTTGGGTTTCAACCATTATCCTCCCCAGGTGGTGGTATCCTGCCCAGCAGGGCTTCATCTAGTGGTCAACCATGGAACACCATGACATTTTCACCAGTGGCCCTCAGACAGGGCTGGTTTGCCATTGGCTGCCATTTCCTGGCATGTCGTAGATTTGCTGCGTGATTTGAAGCTGTGCTTCAGCACATCCTGAATGTGTTTTTTAGTCTTTCAGTATCTCAAAGACATGGTGTCCGCCTCAAGGTAGTCTCCTATTTCTTCGTCAAATAGCACATCATTAAGGACTGTGTGGCCAAAATTACAGATGGTCTTGGACTCTGTATGGGCAATGACCACCTGTGCTGGTAATCGAGGCTTCCCTGGAACACCTGGGAACATACCACACAGCCAGTCCTCTCCTGTGCTCCAGTCAAGCTTAACCTCACAGCCCGATACTCCCTCCACTTCCCTAGCTCCATGTGTTAGCCACTGCAGGTTAATTGATCTAAGGCTTATTTTCTTCAAATATAAAATGAAGATAATAATGCCTACCCAGAGGGTCATGTGAACATTAAATGAGATCAATTATGTAAAGATCTATCTATGCAGTGCCTTTCACAGAGTATGCCCACAAATAAATGTTACCTGTTTCATTTTAGTTATCTATGTTTAGCTATCTTTGTGTTTTTTCTATCCTGCTTCTTCTCGCTCCACTATACTCTTACATCCTAATTCTCTCTCTCTCTCATACACACATACTTTGCTGTGTCTAGCACAGTGCTTTGCTTGTGGCTCACACTCTACATGCTTGTTACCCTGAACTATTAACAAAAGCAGCTGCTAGTAACAGTTAATGTTTTCTGACCACCTACATGAGCCAGGCACTATGCTAAGTATCATCACTTCCTTTAATTCTCACAAGCTTATGAGACAAATACTATTTTAATTCTCATCTATCGGAAATTAAAGATTAAAGATGTTCTATAACTTGCCCAAGGTCACACAAGCTCTTAAGTGGATAGTCAAGATCCAAACTCAGAACCGGCCTGGATTTGAAATCTCAGTTCTTAACTATCACTGTGTCAGACTGATTTTGTTAGCTTTTTCCTCCTTTAGACTGGGCCCTATCAAGGGATCAGAGATAAGCATGTACCCACTCTCAGATGAGTGATCCCACGACCTCAAGTTTTGAAGTTCCAGGAAGTCCAGAAGTGTATGCTAACTCTAGTTTATAGCTGTTCAAAAGTCACTTGTCTAAAAACTTCAGGGACATTATGTAAAACCATCCAAAAAACATTATTGCACACCCCATAAAGTTAATTTCACTTTGCAAGAATGTGTTTGAGGGAGGTGATGCACTTGGCTATGTATTCAGGTTGGTGGCCACAATATATGGAGCTGTGCTGTCATCCTTGACACTCTGGCTTACTGGCAGCCTCGCTCCAACACACTGTCACAGGCGAGGGATGGCCTCCCAGTCTTGACTCAGAACACTTAAGCTTCCTAATGGTCCAAGTCTCACAAACCACACACCTCCCTTAATTAAAAAAGTAAATTAAAAGGAGTATTTCAACTTAGGGATGAATTATCTTAGTAATTTAAGATTGACATTTTATTGGATAAAAGGACATGTATGAGTTTATTTTAAAATACTGCCTTCATGAACAAGAGACCACAGAAAAGATTATCCTGAGGTTGCAAGGCGTTTGTAGAGCCAGAGGACACCCTTGCAAAACAGCCACTGTGAGAGGCCAGTTGCTGCAAATCACAGGTCAGCCACTTCTACACTTGTCCTTCAAGCACATCAGCCGGACATTTGGAGTTTTCTATAGTCTTCATTTCAAACTCGATCATCCTGAGTGTTGTGGTGGACACTACTAGTGTCACAAAGAGTCCAGCACCCTCTCCTTCCAGGTATATAAACGGTGCATTGCTGGGCTCCTTTGCAGTTGGATAGGTCAGGTAATTTGTCTGTTGTGAAGAGTTACTATGTTTCACTTCTAAGCCGAAGCATTTGATTGTCAATGGAATACCCTCCAGCTCTCTCCTTCCCTGCAGAAGTAATCTTGGAAGCATGTGTTGAGATGACAGAGTTCCCAATAGCCTAGATTCCTGAATGACTTAGTGGAGCTGAGTCCTCCACAGGTCCATGTTGGACATGCACAATCAGTGAGAATAAACTTTTGTTGGATTAAGTCACCGATGTTTGGAGACTGTTCATTACCACAACAAAATGTAGCCAAATCCCGACTAATCCAGGAATTAACCTTTTGTTCAGAAAATACAGCCCTTCTAAGTCATAAACCCATATTCTCTTTCCAATAGCTTATTAAATGGTTTATGTATTTTCCATCTTTTTGATATACTCTCAGATGCCTAAAATTACCACAGTGACCTTGGATTGGACAAGGTAGTTGTTTGTCTTTTAGCCATTAATAAATATTGCTACTGTGGAATGAGTGAGGGAAACAGAAGAAGACAAGGTTGGCCTTTTGAAAATAATATGGCATCATGTAACGATGAAAAAGAGAAAAAATACAGAAAAAAGAGAAAACAAGAGAAAAATGAAAAACAAGTCTATAAGAGAGAAAAGTAGAGAAAAACAAAACAATAGAAATGCTGGGCAATTTGTTTCAGATTCACTATAACCAACTGCTTGTTGTTGGGTTCTGCTCTAGAAGGCATCTCTCAGGATGCCTTTGACCCTCAGCACCTTTTTGTGTATGTGCCTAGCATACTGAGGTGCTCAATAAATGTTGATTGAAAGGGTAAATAAAGGAATAAATTTCCATTTTATAATCTTGGAAGCATATATTACTTTAAACGGCCTATGACTATGAATGGACATTCCATTGCACATTGAAAGGCAGTACAACAAGTGAGAAGGGAAGTAGAAATATATGAGTTTGAATAGCTCTTCATAACCTTTAAACCTGAGTCCTTGCAAAGAGCAACTATGAGGTCAGAGCAATAATTCTTTGTCCTAAAAACAGGACACCACTGATAACTCAGAGCCGTCTGTTGAAGAAAGTGTTTCAAATAAACTGGTTAGCAATGCCCTTGTTTTGTTTGCCTCTGGATGGGAAGAACTAGGAGTGCAATCAGCACCGAGGTGTCTATAGTCTTGATGTGGTGGGAGATGAAAGTAGGGGAACTGAATAATGTATTTTTTCAAAACCTTGAATGGAGCGAGAAATACTGATAAAAAGGAAGAGTTGTGAGTCATTCTTCTGCTGATGCCAACTGGGAAGCTCCAGTAGTATATTCCCCTGGTGATGAAGTAATTCACTTTTTCTGAGATTAACATTCTGTAGTAAGGCTGTTCCTCATACAAGGTTGCTCACAGGTAAAGTTAATAAAAGGCAGAGTCTAAGAATTCATAAGGAAGTTTGCCTTTCCATGGGGAGAAAGCATGCAATCAGGGTCTCTAGTCTGTGTGCACACGTGTGTGTGCGCGTGTGTGTGTGCGCGCGCGCACTCATATGCACAGCTCAGATGTCCAGGACTTGAGATGAGAATGGAAAGCACCGAATAAGAAGAAAGCTGCCACACAGTAGGCTGAAGGAGAATGACTACAACCTTTAGGCTGAAAAAAAAAAAACACTACATGCTGGCGTGTATCCTTGTGGATATGTGGAAACACAACAAAAATATTGGTCCATCCTGGCTGCAGTTTTAAAGGAAAGGAAGATCTCCTGGCATCAACATCTCTTGGAGATGAACACACTATACATGCAAGTTCAAATCTATCATCTTCCACCAGTCAACCCAAGCTACATTCCCCTTCCATTTATTATCAAAGGAATAAGCACTTTTGTTTCCCAGGCTTAACTCCTCAAAATCATGAGCTTTTCTTCCCTACCTTTCCCTTCATTCGAACTCTTTCCTTTCAAAATGTTTATAGAATTCATTCTTATCCTCTCCCTGCCTGGGGGGTTTATCTAGCTAGTCTAAATTCTAGATCATTGCCTTTCTATAGGAAATATAAAACACACAAATAATGAAATACCCATAATCCAAGGCAGAAATCATGAGTGTTATAGTAACAATGGCCTCAAGAGCTAGACTGCCCAGGCAGCTCATATTTCATACAGTTTTACTATTTTAAATAAAATCAATTTGAAAAAATCATTATGTTGAAGAATAAAAATGTTTAAATATTACCTGATTTTTTTTTCTCATTTCTTTTTTCCCTTTTGACCTTCCTCCTTCCCCATGCAAGAAGCTGGACATGTCTCTGCTATTTAACTCAAGGAAGGAATAAGACAGTATTAAAGAGAAGAATTCTTTCCCTGACTTGCATATTTCCAAAGCCGAGCCCCTCAGGGATATAAAGACTTAAGGTAGAGGCAAAAGATTTGGGAAAAAATAACGTGAATTTAAGGTAGGCTTTACCCTTCTACCTCTTACCAAAGAAAAGATTCCCAGGATTGATGGAAGGGGATATTTGGAAGGAAGCAATGGGAACAGAGATGTTGGTGGGCTTAGGTCCCCAAAAATAAGAACCTGGGTCCTGTCCACCAGTTTTAGATGTGGGAAGGTGGCAAACCCCCCATAGTAGTTTATGGGCATAGAGATAAAGGAAGCAAAGTTTAGTAAATTGGCTCTGGAGGTTGATTTGGCATCATTTGGTAAAATTGAAACATTGGAAAAATTTTTACACATATACATAAAAAGCTTTGTACAAAAATGTTTATTCCAGCATTACTTTTAGTGGAAGAAAGCTTCCCAACAACCTAAATATCCATTAATAGAAGAGGGAATAAATAAAATGTGAAATATGTTGACTGTAGACTATTGTGTAGCAAAAAAAAAATGGTTAAAATAATAGAAGACAGTACAGAAGAATTTAGATCTTAGAATCCAACTGTCTTGAGAGTTAAAGCCTCAAGAGTTAAACTTTAAGTGCCTCATTTTACAGATGAGAAGGAATGGGGGACCTGAAGGCTAAGTGATTTCTTGAAAGCAGGCTGTTGTTTCGACTTCCAACCTGGCCTTTCATCCATGATGTCATTAGATGCCCCAAGCTACCTGGTATAGTTCAGTCTATTCCAGGAAGCAGAACATCATCCCCTCTGATCTCTCTATTAGTCTAGCACAGAAGAACAAAAAGAGGAGGGGAAAGGGGAAGAAAAAAAAGGTTGCCCTTGTTCTTGAGGTCACAGTTCAGATGAAGAACAGAATCATAATATGAAACCATAAAAGCCACTTAAGTGACACAGTTCTCTTATTTCCCACATTCACAGCTTAAGAAGTCTTTTGATCATCTCCGGATCTCCATTTTCTTACTAGCAAAACAAGGGGTTCAGCTAGAAAGAACGACCATCGACTCCTTAAGTTCAAACTAGTCTCCTTGTAACGAATCTAACTTTTAGCTATGGAATCTAAGCTGTCTCGATTTCACGGTTGAAATCTACACTCACAAAATATTTCATACACTTTCCCCAAATCTCTTGTCTATACTCTAACAGTTCCTTCTGACTGGTGAAACCTAGAGACCGTATCTGATGCTTCTTTGCCAATATAATGTTTAATTCTCAGCACTCTGATAAACTTGTAGGAAGAATTTTCTGCCTTTGTTTTAAAGATAGGCACTACATTAAAATCTCAATACTAAATGGCAATCCAGGCACTTATTTTTTCAAGACTGAGATCCCAATGTCAGCGAAACGGCTTTGGCTTCATCACTTTGCAAGCCTGAGGTGGGAGTGGACATCTCCACCTGCCAGCGCTTATCTCTCGGCATGGTCTGATGGGCCGAATGGGAGTGGGAGTCAGGAACTCCACGGTAAGTACTAATTGTGTGACTGATTTGGGGCTGTGACATCAGAGAAAACTGTTCCACTTCAGGCTTCTTGTGCAAAGGAGGAGAAAATTGTAAAGAGAAAATTTCTCTGAAAAGTACATCATGCTCCAGAGGCCAAATGTGACAGTCATTAAGGAAGCAAGAGGAGATGGCTTCTTCCCCAGCCATGACGGGATCACTCATGGTATCCCCACCCACGCTGCCAGTGTGTCACAGCTCAGCCACAGAAACACAGCAACTTTCATGCAAATGGCTCAAATTCACTTTTCACATTTAAAGTAACACATTTTGTAATTATTAATGGTTAATTCCTGTGACCACCCATGAGTGAAGGGCATTTCCGTCTCCCACATCTTTAATGGCAAATAATTAATGATGTGTTAGAAATTAACAACAATTAACAGTGCATAAGAACAATGGCAGAAGGTCAGAGACTCTGAAGAAATGCAACGTTTAGCTTCTCGGGCAGAATCTGGCAGTCTCAAGGAGGGAGACTCCAGGCAGAAATGTTTCCCTCAGATACAAATACACCTCAACTCTTGCTCCAGAACATGGGCCCAAATACAATCACTTTTTAAGACTAAGTATGTTGAAGGAAATAAACAACTACCCAGCACTTCTATTAAGCTTATTAGTTTTGCTAAACAAGCAAAATGGTATAACATATTAAATTTTTAGCTTAGTATTAATGAGCATTGCCTGAAATATAGAACAAATTTCTGATTTAGCAATTACATGATCATTTTAGAATGTAGTAGGGTCTAGTGAATTTCTAGAAAGAACTCTGAGTAACATGTAGATATAAATCACTTATAGAAACTGTATGTGTATATCATATTTTTGTGTTTATAGGATCTCTGCAAGTATTATTGCTGTATATAGGCAAGTTTAATAAATTGCCTTAACTTTACCTACATGATAGATAAGTGGCAGATAATATTACTATTGGAGTGTTGAATTTCCCAGCCTTGCTCTATGCACTTTTATCCTATTTTCCAAAACAAAACAAAACAAAAAAAAAAACAAAAAACAAAAAAACAAAACAGAAGTCCTTGGGCCAAAGTCTTATATGTCTCAATGTTGAAAATAAAGTCAGAGAAAGTGAGTCAAGCTCAAATACACAAACTGATGATCTAACCAAGGATATCCACCAAGGGTATCCTACTATAGAACAGGCATGAGATATATATATTCTGCTTCCACCCACAAAGTAATTATAATTATAATTATATTACCTGTAATTATAAACATAATTAATTATATTCCTGCAGCACTTTAGAGCTTACAAAGTGCATTCACATACATTAATTATTTAACCTCATCTGCACCTGGGAGGCAGGCATAGCCGAAAACCCACAGAATAAAACCACCGGCTTCATATTGAACCCAGATCTATTGCTTCCAGGTGGCCACTTCCTTCTTTCCATCTTGTGATTATCCCCTTAAACCAAGCATGTTCTGAAAATGGGGGGAGAATCCATTTTCTAGAAGCAATGATATTTCTAGCTTCTTGGTCAAGCAACTTCCAAACCAGGAAAAGTGATTTTCAGGGAAGGAAGAGCCCAAAATTTGTGGGGAGGAAGCACCAATCACAACTACCTCAAGGCTCTGGTTTGGCTCGGGCGCACAGGAGCAGTTGGTGGGGCCTGAGCCTCACCTCTGTCCACGTTTTCATAGGCAAGAGTAATTCAAAGAATGACAGACTTTTGGAGGTAGAACAGAAACATGTCCTGCACATTAGGAAGTGTGCCTTGCTGAAAATGCAAAGAGAGCCCAAACTCCACAGCAGCTTATGGAAGGAACGATCATGATGAGACCTTGCAGTTCAGCCCTTGTGCTTTGCAGGTTAGGGGATCAAATGTGCACTCCTCTGCCTGCTTTTCAAGGTTCCACACCCCCCTTCTCAAAACCCCCATATCATATTGGATATGTGGCACACAGCTGTCTAGCCCCATTTCCCATTGCACCTTAATATCCTAACCAGTCACCCTCGCACAACCGTGCAGCTCTCTGTTCCTGTTCCCATTCCTGGGCTCCTCATGTGCAGGCTCTTGCCTGCTGTTAGTGGATTCAAATCCCACCCAGCCTTCAAGGCCCAGCCCAAGGCCCACCTCCTTCCACCAGACATAAGGGAAAGTAGATTTTGGCCCTTCTAGGGAAGAACTTACAGTCTTCTCAGAGAAGAGATTTGTATTCAAGCAGCCATAGAAGTTGGAAGGTGTTCAGTGAGTAGCCCTAAAACGGAGCTCCTTAAGTATGGACCAGCAGATCAGTATCACCTGGGAACTCATTAGTAATGCAAATTTTGGGGTCCTGCCCTGGACTTACTGAATTAGGATCTCCAGGATCCGCTAAGGAGTCATTGGTTTAACAAGCCCTCCAGGTGAATCTGATGAATGCTAAAGTTGGAGAGCCCCTGCCTTAAAAGAAGTGAATTTGTGGGAAGTCAAAGGAGTAATTGACTTCCAGGGAAGTCTTCTAGAAGAAATTGGCTTTTGAGGTTTGGCCCTTTAAGACTGTTAAGATTCAGACACCTGGAGAGGAGTGGCAGGCATCCCAAGAGTAAAGACAATGTGAGCAGAGACCCAAATCCAGAAAGGCACAGGGGGTCTGGAAACAGCAAGGACTTCCATGTGGCCAGTGTCCAGGATGGCTGGAGAGGAGTTGCTGGCAGTCAAATTTCAAATAATAACAACAACAACTTGTATTGATCCCCTATGGTGTGCCATGAAGATTTCTAGATGCTTTATTTACAAGAATTCCTTTATTCTATTCCCATAACCCTATTAAAGAGAAAGTGTTATTAGATGATCCCCATTTAAAGATCAAGAAACTGGCAGGGCGCTGTGGCTCATGCCTGTAATCCCAGCACTTTGGGAGGCTGAGGCAGGCGGATCACTTGAGGCCAGGAGTTTGAAACCAGCTTGGCCAACATGGAGAAACCCTGTCTCTACGAAAAATACACAATTTAGCCGGGCATGTTGATGTGCACCTGTGATCTCAGCTACTCAGGAGACTGAGGAAAGAGAATCGCTTGAACCTGGGAGGTGGAGGTTGCAGTGAGCCGAGATAGCGCCACTGCACTCCAGCCTGGGTGTCAGAGCGAGACTCCATCTCAAAAAAGGAAACAAAAAAAGAAGATGAAGAAACCAAGGCTTAGAGAAAGTAACTAAACTGTCCAAATCACACAATTTGGGTTTGAATTTTCACAGCAATAAGGATATAAGTTGAGCTTTGAGCTTGGCAGCTGCAAGCTTAGAGCTTGACTTTAGGGCAATTTGGGAGCCATCTAGGGGTGGTTGACAGGCAAAACAGACGGTTGGCAAGGAGACCAGTGCGGCAGCCATAACCCAGAAGAGAGATAATGAGAGTGAGGATTACAATTAGGGACAGGGGCATGAAAAGGAAGGGGCAGATTCCAGATAGTGCAGGGTCAGAGGAGCAGGACTTGACCAGCAATAAAATGGAAGGGACAAAGGAGAGGCTGGGGTCAAAAGTCTCCTGGGAGCTTAGTCTGGGAGGAAGCTGGAGTCATTAACTGAAGCAGAGAACAACAATAATGACAACAAATAGATCATCCTCTTCTTCATATTGGATTTTATTTATCACACACTTATATACCAGGTACTGTTCTAAGTGCTTTACATAGATCAGATCATTTAACTTTTACAACAGCCTCCAGAGGTAGTTACTATTATTCTTCCCATCTTACGGTTCAGAAAACTGAGGCACAGAGAATTTAAATAACTTGCCCAGGACCACGTAGTATAGCCTTCCTCGTCTACTCTTGCTGTAAAATAGCACTGGCATCTTGTCAGGGATTGGAATTCCTCAAAATGATTCAATTATGTTTCTTCCAAACTTGGAAACAAACAGAACTGTAGCCAAGTAAAGCAACAGGTTAATGAATCCAGTAGTTCTCAATCTTCCCCATGCACTAGTATCACCTGTGGTGCTTTACAAACTTACCAGTGCGGGGATCCCACATCCAGAGATCAGGATTGTGTTGGTCTAGGCTGATGCAGCATTTGTTGGTTTGCTCGTTTATTGTTTAAAGCTCCCCAGGTGTTTAATGTACACATAGCACTGAGTCTACTGAATAAATCAATTGACAAGCAAGCATTTGTTGCTTACCTACTAGGTGGTAAGTGCTGTGCTCCATGCAGTGGTAGATTCCAAAGGTGATCAAGATACACCCCAGCCCTCAGAATTGATATCTTCCAGGATTTGCATAAGGCTAAGGAAAAAGAAGCAATTTGGGAGCAGAGCAGAGGTGGTGAATTTAGCTAGTGACCCAGAATTAATCCTTGGAGCTTGCTAGGAGAAATAGGGAGTACTGGAGAAGAACAGTGTTTTCACTAAATAAAACAGATAAAGAAAACTCCAGAGGTTGCTGGGTAAAATTATCCCTTCACTTTGGAGGTCAACTGGTGTAGACCAATTTGTCATCCTCTGTCTCCTTTCTATGCAATAGGAACTCTGAATGGCCTGTGTATCCAGGCACAGATCAGGCCCTGGCGCCAAACCACCAATGGCAAGGCATATCTTTTTTTGGGCCAATGGGGAAAAAAGGAAAACATTTCAGCTGCTGCTAAGTCCCAGTGTCTTTATTTGAACTTCCCTGGAACAGGCAAGTTAGTGATATTTATGGCTTACAAGAATTTCCATCTTTAAGTTTATCTTCTTGTTAAAAATCAGCCATCCCTCTACCCAAAACAACTGAAGACAATAAATCAAAGCTTAAATAAGAATCAAAGACTTATCTCTCCATGTAGGAATCCCTATAGTTGCTAACATACTATATTTTACTATCAGGCATCATAAGAGGTTAAGTGATTGGGAGGCAGGGACGAGCTTCCCTTCAACTGGGTGTGCAGAAGCCATGGAAATGAGACCAGACGTTGTCCAAACTAAGGGAGGAAGAGCTGGGCTAGCATTTTCCAATGAATTCCAGCACCTCATGCCACACTTACCTCTCCCAAATGACGCACACTGTGCTGTTGTTATTCTTAACTGATTCTGCCAATTGATGACTACACTCTCCAATCTGGTTCCTTTCCCTTTTGCAGAAACAGTGGTGTCAAAACAAGCCTGTCTCATTTCTGAATACTGAACGGATGTACCATTCTATCACTGTCAGCGAGGGAATGACAGCGGAGTTTGGCAGCAGCCTTAAGCCAGTGCCATAAGCTGCTGATATTGTAGCAAAATGTAAAAGAGGTACTATTTGGTGCCCACTGGCCTGCTCTGTGCTCTTGTTGTCCACACCTGTGTTCAAGTGCAGTGTTAGTGACAGGTCCAGACAGTGGCCATTCTACCCTAACACCCAAGTTGTTCCCATGGCCCACCTACCACGCATTGCCCGAGTTGGGGGTGACATTTACTTACTGCTCAAAAGCAGCCTTTTTCACAGATACAGTAGAAGGGGCCCATGGAAGTAGGCCTTTTACTACCAAACATGTTTACTGATCAAGTTACCACATTGTCCAAAAATTTTCTTTTCTGAAGAATTTCTGAACATATTTTTTCTGAAAAATCTTGATCAGTGTTTTCTTTTGGAAAAACGTGGGAGGACTGCTCACTCCCTCAGAACTTCTCTTTTAAAATGCAGTTAATCTTTGGAATTTAAGTTCTACATCTTAATGCACTTTTATTATTTATTCCCCATCACACAGAAAGTTTTCCAGGAGTAATAACATATATACAGAGACTATAGAATTTAAAACATACAAATCATGGTCATGGAAATGCTTTGTTCTCAAATGCAATCCCATATGGGCAGATAGGGTCCTAATCTCCCTAGTAGTGAAAATGGCTACCCGGCAAAGACAGGGAATCAACTTAAATGCCCATAAATGACAGATTGGATAAAGAAAATGTGGTACATACATACCATGGAATACTGCGCAGCCATAAAAAAGAACAAGATCATGTCTTTTGTGGGAACATGGATGGACCTAGAGGCTATCATCCTTAGCAAACTAATGCAGGAACAGAAAACCAAATACTACATCTTCTCACTTATAAGTGAGAGCTAAATGATGAGAACTTATGAACACAAAGAAGGAAACAGTAGACACTGGGGTCTACTTGAGGGTGGAGAGTGGGAGGAGGGAGAGGAGCAGAAAAAATAACTATTGGGTACTGGGCTTAATATCTGGGTGATGAAATAATCTGTACAACAAACGCCTATGACACTAGTTTCCCTATAAAACAAACCTGCACATGTACCCCCAAACCTAAAATAAAAATTAAAAAATAAAAATTAAAAAAATAAAGTTGTAAAATCCAGAAAAGAAAAAAAGAAAATGCTGCCTTCCTAAGAGTGCTTTTGCTTTCCATGAGGAAGGCCGGGGAAAGGAGACAGGAGGGAAACAGGCTGTCATCAGCAAAAGTTTCCTCCAGAGGAAGCAAAGCCTGACCTCAGGATTTCTTCCTGTCATAAGGGGGGTGCATACTGCTTTTGTCCTCCATGGTTCAAAGAGAAATCTATCTTATTCTTTTCCTCTGAAAAAAATTTTCTCCCACTCCCTCCTCCTTTTCTTGAAAAATTTAAAAGATACAGAAAAGTTAAACTCTCACATTCATACTTCCCAGAGTTAACAACTGTTAACATCTGGTCATATTTTCCTCCAGTTTTTTTTTTTAAGAAATAATATGTTTCAGATTCCAAACCTAATCCCCTCTAACCAGCCTACTCTCCTATACCCAAGAGAAGCCACTTTCATGAGCAGATGTGGGTCCTTCCAATCCATTAAAATATAGACATTGTATACAATCAGGTATGCCACAATAAATAGCATTGCTTTCTGTATGTGCAGTGTTTCATTATTTACATAAGTGGCATCATTCTTGATAGTTACTACAACTTGCTTTTTTTATTTCTTCTTAACATAGGGTGTTTGGTGATCTATCCATATTGAGCTATGTAGATCTAGTTCTTTCCCTTTCTTGTGTATATATCACATTTCCAATCCACTATTGATGAATGTTTAGGCTCTTTCCAGTTTCTTACTATTTTCTACAATGGTGCAATAAACATTCTTATACTTGTCTCTTTGTATAAACATCTAAGTATTTATGTAGAAAATATACACAGTAGTGGAATCCATGGGGCTAGGATATATTTCTAGTTTGCTTAAGTGCTGCCAAAAGACTCCCTAGTGACTGTTACGTGCCAACATAAGATGATGGAACTATTTCCCCCACATGCTGGCCAAAGCTTGATGTTCTTGGACACTAAATTCATTTCCAATTTGATGGTTAAACAACGATGCCTAAGTATTGGTTTTATTTCTCATTTCCATGCCTATTAATAAGTGTAACTACCTTTTGCAGGTTTATTGGCGTAACAATTTTCTTTCATCACATCCTTTGCTTATTTTTCTGTTAGATTATTTGTATTTTTATTACCAGTTTGTAAAGGTTCTACCTGTATCCTGGGTAGTAACTTTTGCATATTATATACGCTGAAAATGTCTTCTTTTCTTATTTTTGAATTGGAAATATATGCATATGATACGAACTTAAAGAGTTACAAAAGTGCACAGTGAAAAGTTCCCCTTTCACATCTACTCCTCTTCCACCATTCGGTTTCCCTTCTTAGACAAAAACCAGTGCTGTGGTACACCCTTCCAAAGAGTTCTACACATATACAAAAAATAGTCTATATGTTCCTCTACAGTTTTTAAAATAAATTTAAAAGATTCATTCTGCATATTGCTTTTTTCACTTAAAAATATTTTAGACATCATTCTGTAAGCTCCATTCAGCTTATATGGAGCTACTTCTTTTTCTTTCTTTTTATTTTAATGGCTACAAAGTCTTCTTTTTCTATTTATGGACCAGAATTTATTCAACTAGATTACTACTGATTGACACTTCCAATTTTGCGTTATTAAAAATTTGCTTCTTACCAGAGGCTGGGAAGGGTAGTAGGGGGATGGGAGGGGAGGTAGGGACAGTTAGTGGGTACAAAAAAAAATAGGAAGCATGAAAAAGTCCTGCTATTTGATAGCACAACAGGGTGATGATAGTCAATAACAATTTAATTGTACATTTAAAAATAACTAAAACAGTATAATTGGATTGTTTGTAACACAAAGGATGAATGCTTGAGGGGACAGACACCCCATTCTCCATGACGTGATTATAATGCATTGTATGCATGTATTAAAACATCTCATCTACCCCATAAACATATAAACCTACCATGTACCCCAAAAATTAAAAATAAAAATTTTTAAATAAAAACAATTGTGATTCAGTGACAATTCATATTATTTCATACATGTACAAATATCTGAAGGATAAATTCATAAAGAGAACTAAAGACTAAGTGCCTTTTTAAAAAAATAGATTTTGCCACATTGTCCTCTGTAGAGTCTGTACCAATTTATACTCCCATCAGCAATGTATGTGTCACTTGTCTTTTAAAAAGGTTAATATAATAATAACAGATAACATTTATTTTGTGTTTATAATAGGTCAGGCATGTTTCTAAATCCACGACTTGTATTTTACAGAAATCATTATGGAAAATGTCAAACATGAGTAAAATAAACTAAAATAATATAGTGAACTCACGTATACCCTCCCTCAGCTTTACTAATTAAGAATATATGGCAAATCTCCTTTCATCTGTACACCCACCCCCACTCCCTTCCCCACAAACCTGCTGGATTAAAGCAAATGCCAGGCACTGTAAAATTTTAATCATGAATACTTCAGTAGTTCCTCTAAAAAACACAAATCTTTAAAAATTATCACAATATCATTATTATGCCTTGAACGTTAACTATTTCTTACAATTTCTTAATAACCAGTCAGTATTCAAATTTCCCCAGCTGACCCACAAACATTCTTTCACACTGGGTTTCTCTGAATTAGAATCCAAAGGATGTCCCTGTGTTTTATTTGGTCACTGTGCCTCTTAAGTCTCTTTTTGTCCCTAACAACACTCATCCCTTTTGTTTTCTCACCATTTATTTATTAAAGCAAAAAAGCATCATATGTCTTACTCAATTGTCTTAACCTTGTTTGTAATGGGGTCGAGGATTTGTTTGGTTTTGTTTGCCATAAAAGGGGTGAAATTTTGCTACTGTCAGATTTCAGTACCTTTTCCTCCACGGTATGTGTATTTTGTATCTTGTTAAAGAAAGCTTTCCCTACCCCAAGGATACTTATGCATTTTTTTCTCACAGGTATAAAATTACATTATTTACATTTTGGACCTTTACTCTATCTGGAGTCTATGTTTGTATATGATATAAGATAGAAATCTCATTTTATTTTTTCTCTGGTATACAGCCATTCTCTACCCTTTCTTCATTGGTTTGCAATGTTGTCTCTGACACAAGCTAAATTTTTCACATATACCTGGCTCTGTTTACAAGCTCTCTCTGCTGTTTGATTAATCTACATATCTGATCCTACTCCAATACCACACTGTTTTAATAACTATAGCTTTTTAATATGTCAACATGTTGTTAGCACAGATTTGCTTAAAATTTTTTAAGTACAATAAAATCAAGACCTTTAGAGCCCTCCAATGTTCAAGCAATGATGAACTTTGATTTTAGGGAAAAAAATGACATTTGGCAGACTGTTGAAACTGAGATGGGAATCTGTGTTGTCCTAATAAATAAAACATAAAAGCTAGATTTACTTTATTTGGAAAAGTTGTATGCAGTTCTTCTACAAGTACAGGACTTTTATGATGACTTCTCAGATCAACAAAGGATTTGCTCTTTTCCTTCCCTTCTTCTTTCTTCAGCCTTCTCCATATCAGCGTGGGCAGGGAGAAGTGGAGGCTGAAAACTCATGAATCCAGGAGTTAGGTGAGGGTGAACATTCAAATCCTTGCTTTACAGATTAAGAATAAGAGGCCCCAGAAGTGGGAGATGGACAAACCACAAATCTCAGGACTCTTGTTATTTGTGTCCTGCTAACTACTAAATTTTGTAGATTTAAATGCCCCAAAGAGCCAATAGCTGACTGGTCATGGTTAATTCATCAAACATGTACTGCTTGATCAATCTGGAAAACCTGGGAGGAATGGCTGCAGCCAATGTACTGATCAGCTCTCAAATGAGAGATGAGTATTTTTGCTGCAAAGGAAAAAAACACACAGAGCTCCAGAGACAGACCTGTCCCATTTTCCCGAGGCTGATCAAGGAAACTACTTCTACCATATCTCAGTATGAGGACAACTCCACGAAAGCAAACACAACATTCTTTACTCCAAGGCTTCAAAGATCTTTGCCCATCTTCATAAGGCTGACTAAATACATTTTGATGGTAAAGTATGAAGAGGTCTAGACCCAGAGAAAATACACTTGGTGAAAATTAGTTAGGGGTGCTGCATAGCATATGAAATGTGTTTTGATACATTGTGCAGAGAAAAAGACCTGCTCGAGTTTTTCAGTCTCTAATTTGACAAAGTCCAAAAGATAGTAGATTTCATAGCCAAGATGGGTAAAGGAGATGCTGTCTCTTTGGAGACATAAAAGGAGGGGTAAAAGTAGAAAATCAACTAATGTTATATTTTCTAAATGGTATACAGCAAAGAGTGATGCTGCCAACAATTCACTACAGTGGGGAAATGTAACTTTTGTTGGACACAATAAGGTCAATTAATAGGACTCTTATTTATTCATTCAACAAATATTTACTGATCCCTATTAATGCTGAGGAATCCATACTGAACAAGACATTCATGGTGCCATCATTCATGGAGTTTCCCTTCTAGAGCTGAAAAGAAAACAAGTAAAAAATAAATGACAAGCTGCAATAACTTGTATGAAGGAAGCAGGCAAAGCACTGAGACAGAAGCCAAATATGGGGAACCTATGTTATGGGTGGTCAGGGAAGGCTCATCTGAGGACCAACGCTTCTATTAAGACATATGGGAGGCCAGGCATGGTGCCTCATGCCTATAATCCCAGCACTTTGGGAGGCCAAGGCGGGTGGATCACCTGAGGTCAGGAGTTTGAGGCCAGCTTGGCCAACTGGTGAAACCCCGTCTCTACTAAAAATAAAAAAGCCGGGCATGGTGGCATGTGCCTGTAGTCCCAGCTACCCTGGAGGCTGAAGCAGGAGAATTGCTTGAACCCCAGGAGGTGGAAGTTGCAGTGATCCAAGATCGCGCCACTGCACTCCAGCCTGGGTGACAGAGTGAGACTCCATCTCAAAAACTAAAAACTAAAAATAAATAAATAAGACATGAGGGAGGCAAAGATCAAGGAGAAGAAAGTTCCTGGCAAAGCAAATGGTAAGTGAAAAGGCCCTGAATGGCAGAAGCTCAACATATTCAGGAAGCTGAAAGGGAAGCAGCAAGCCAGGGCCCTGGTGAGCTGACTGGGGGTGCAGGAGGTCAGGGATAGTGCTGGAGATGGGCCCTATATGGGTCATGCAGGGCCTTATAGGCCAAGGTAATTCATTTGCATTTTTATCCCAAAAGCAACAGTAAGCTTTGGACAGTTTTAAGCAAGAGAGTAACATGATCTTATTTGCATTTTATAAAAATCTATCTGCTGTGTGCAGAATGGATGGAAAGGTGGATATTTAAATGAGAAGAGATGGTGGCTTGGACTGGGGTGGAGAAGTGAAGAGGGAGAAAAATGGATAGATTCAAATATATTTTGAAAGTGGATTTGGCTGGGCTTGTTGGCAGACTGTATTGAGAGGATGAGGAAAGGGGTGAAATCAGATAACTCCTAGTTTCTTCGTGTGAACAACTGAATGGATGGAATTGGCTTTTACCAATACAGGAGATATTGAGAGAGAAAGGGCACAAATGGGAAGTGAAAATTAAGTGTGGTATTTAGACAAGTTCAATTTGCAGGAATATAATTATAAAATTCAGAAGTTTGGGCTGGAGATAAAAATGTGGGACTTGTTAGCATGTAAAAGACACTGAACATGGGAAGGAATGTGATTGCCAAAGGAGAGAGTTTGGAGATGGCCAAGAAGGACCAGAACCAAAAGCCTGAGGAGCATCGACGTTTGAGGTAACAAGGTGACAAGGGATAAGAAGCTCACACAATTGCCTGGGGAGAAAAAAAGAAAAAGAGTAGAGCACATTATGGTGATCAGACCATATCTGATTATGATACTCAGGAGAATATCTCAGGAAGGAAGGAGGGGTTGGCTTTACCAAATCCTGCTAGGATTCTTGAGGAGTAGGACTAAGAGAATTAAACAAGGAGAACACACCTGGGATTCTGGCTTCTAACAACCACTTTCTCAGAAGACTTCTACTCCTCTCCTTATGGCCTGTGCAGCAGAAGTTCAGGAATTTACTGTCCAGGAGGATTTGTTGGCCGAAGGACAATCACTGCCCATCTGAGGATTTCCCACTTGGAAGCAAACTCCAAAAGAGTCCATCATGGGAGGTCAGGAACTCAACACCTCTCCCCTGGATCACTGTACTGGATCCTTCCTTGCTGCCGTGATTCTGGACTTACTAGATCTGACACATTAGCTCAACATTATTTCTTAAAATATTGCTCAAAATTGGCATCACATTTTTCAGGGCAATTTGTCATCATCTATTAAAACTTAAAATGCTCATGCACTCTGACCTGGCATTTTTACCTCTATGTGTCCCTCAAGAGCTAAGATAAATGTTGAGGTATGTTCCAAAAAAAGTTTTGTTTGCCATAGTAAAAAAATTGGAACAATTTAAATGACCACCCATAGAGAGATGGTAAATATTAAAGTATAACCTGTCAATACAGTTGAATGTTACGTAGCTGCAGAAAAAACGTGTAGTCTTTCTAGATGTGTTGACATGGAAAGGCAACCATGACATCTGTGTTGGTGCATGTTGAGCATGAAATTCTCTCTCATTGCCTTCTAACAGATCTCCAGTTTTCCTTGGTCTTCACTTCCTCCCCTTGGCAGCCCATCTGACTCAGATTTTCCCAATCCACTTGTTCCCCTAGAGACCCTAAATGTGAAGACCAAATCTGTCCTTAACTCTGCAGCCAAAGAAAATTTAAAAAATCTAATCACATCACCTTCTTCTCCTTGCCCTTAGAATAAAAACCAGAATCCCATAGAAAGGTCAGCGTGGCCCTGTGTGATCTGGCCACTGACTGCCCACTCCATCACATCATCCCCCTCTTGCTTGTTCTCTAGGCTTCTGGCACACTGGCCTTCTTTCTGTTCCTTGAATGACAATGTTTCTTCCTACCACAGGACTTTTAAACATGATGTTCTCACTGCCATCATCCTTCAGACAGCCCAAATGTCACCTTCTCAGGGGAGCCTTCCAGCCAACACAAGCTAGATGAGATCTGTCTGTTTTTATTCTAAAAGCCATTTTGTCTTTTTCCCTCTTGGCCCTTCTCATGATGTGCATGCATGCACTCACTGTTTGATGATTTCTCTGTCTCACTCAACCTCAAGACCTCTGAGGGAAGGACTGTGTCCATCTTGCTCCAGATTTTAGTACCCAGCACAGTACCTGGGGTATAGTCAGTGTTCCATAAATGTTTATCAAATGAATGAATCTGAAATTATATCTTACACATAGTAGGAGCTCCACTGATAATGATTAAATGAAACTGAACTGAAAATGATGATTTGTATTTGTCCTGTTAATTTTGATCAAATCAATGTATGTGGCTTAAAGATTTAAATATAATATATTCCTCTTTCCTCCATCCAAGCCATCAGCAAATCCTATCAATTCTACTTCTTCCAAAACACATTTCCAGTCTTTCCTCTCCCCTTCATTTCCACCACAATCACCCTAGTGCAGACCACTGCCAGCTCCTATCTGGACTATTGAAATGCTTTCCAATGGGCCCCTGCCTCCACCTACATTTCTCTGTAGTCATTTTCAAGGAAACAGACAAGACACCCTTTCGAGTAAATCAGATCATGTCAAACCCTTGCTTAAAACTATCACTTCCCAACAAAACTACAAACACACTTGAGATGCAGTTCAAATTCTTTACCCTGAAATCTTTTTGACATAATCTCATAATGTTCTCAGGAACTACCTCTACACTCTAATACACTGCTCTTCCTTCTATTCTTTGTATATTATCAACCTATTTCCATCTTAGGGCCTGCACTGGCTGGTACCTTTGCTGACAGTGCCCACCAGTCTGTCATGTCCCTCTGTTGTAAATCTCCACCTGGCATTTTTCTTGTTTATCCCTTCAAGTGTCTTCTTTACTGCTGTATTCTCTGTATCTAGAGCAGTACCAGGCCCCTAAGAGGCTAATGAATTTCTGTTGGATGGATGAATGCCTTTAAAAATTCTTTACTAATTGATTTCCAGCCTGATATAGTTTAGATATTTGTTCCCTCCAAATCTCATGTTGAAATTCGATCCCCAGTTGTGGAGGTGGGACCTAATGGGAGGTGTTTAGGTCATGAGTTCTCAAGATAACGAGTTCTTGCTGTATTAGCTCCCATGAGAAGTGATTGTTAAAAAGAGCCTGAGGCACCTCCCTTCCTTCTCTTTCTCCCTCCTCCTCCTTCTCCCTCCTTCTCCACCTTCCTCCTCCTTCCTTCTCCACCTTCCTCCTCCTTCCTCCTCCTCCTCCTCTCTTGCAGTGTGATCTGCAAGAACATATGACTTCCCTTTGGCTCCACTTTGCCTTTTGCCATGAGTGAAAGCAGCCTGAGGCCCTTACCAGAAGAAGAGTCTGGTACCATGCTTCTTGTGCAGCCTGCAGAACTATGAGCCGAATAAACCTCTTTTCTTTGTAAATTACCCAGTCTCAGGTATTCCTTTACAGCAGCACAAAACAGACTAACTCACAGTCCTATTACTTCACTGAAAGTATTCTCTTTTAGCCATTTCCAGAAATGGCTTTTTTGTTCTTATCCTCTTGAACCTCCCTCCTCTTCCCCTGCTGCAAATTGGATACCTCCTTTCTTTTCTTGTTTCCTTCCTTTCCTTCTGTGAAGCCTCTCTCTCACCACCCAGCTGACTGCTCCTTCTCTCTCCCTTCTAATAGCATCTCCCATTCTCACACTTTGAAAATCCTCTGTGGTTTTTATTCCTCTCCCTCTCTTAGAAACACCATCTGTCCCAAGACTTCCAACAAAATCTCTGCAACCATGACTCAACTACCTACACCTCTTACCCCAGCCTTTCATTCACATTTCCGTCTTCTTTATTGCCCTACAATGTTTTCAAATTCCATGTGTTAAATCTTCCTCTTTCCCAGCTAGTTTTGCTTTAAAAAGTCCTCTTTAAGGTCAAAAGCACCAAGACTCATCCTTGCCCCATAACCCAGGAATTGAGTTATGATTAATTCTTGCTTCCCTTTTGGCCTAAACAGCCAAGCTCTCATCTTGGCCTTCTGTGTCTTCTCTATATTTTTCGGATTCAACACTTTTCCATTCCCATTTCAGGCCCACTCTGCTTTTACCTACAATAATGCAAACTCTCCCATCTTTGAAAATGCCCTTTTTAGCTCTGAAAACTCAGAACCACAGGATAGTAGAATTGGAAAGATTCTTTGAGGGAACCTGTCTCATTTTTTGAAATGGGAAAACTGAGTCCCAAAAAATAACTAGGATTTGCTCAATAGTGCAGCTAAGCATTCACGTTAGAGATTTTTCCACCTATCCTTCCACAATGTCTTGTCTCCAAAACATTCTTTCTAACTTGGCTTTCTTTTCTACACAGCTGCCATGTTGGTCTTCCTTAAGATGGAAATAATCCTGTTGTTTTCCTACATAAAAAAAAAAAACTTCAGGGACTTCTAATGCCTCAGTTAAGCTGAGAAGTTTACTCAGAATTGCTAGATCTACTGCTCTCAGATTTAAGCTCAAACTCCTCCACCCAGTATCTGGCATTCAGGTTTTTATAAGCTGATACCTCTCCTGCTTATAAATGGAATGGAAAGGGAATGAATGAGTAGAGTATGGAATGGAATGGAAAGGGAATGAATGAGTAGAGTATTGGCAGACAAATTTCAGAGCAGTATGAAGAGTTTTCTAAGTATTAAAATTATTCTTCAATGGCATGGATTTTCTTGGGAGCTAGTGAGCTTCCTATGAACCTCAGTGTTCAAGAACAGGCTAGACAATACTTAACAATAAATATTAGAAAGAGAGCCTCCATTATGGTGGTGGAAGCTGGTTGAGATGAGTTCAGACTCCTTACACCTCTGAGTGCTAACACCCAGTATCCTTCCTGTCTTAATTGGCTTGGGCTGCTATAACAACTAGGTGGCTTGAACAATAGAAATTTATTTCTCACCATTCTAGAGGCTGGAAAATCTAAGTTCAGAGTGCCAACATTCCTGGGTTCCAGTGAGGGTCCTCTTCTGGGTTGCAGACTGCTGACTTCTTATTGTATCCTGACATGATAGAAAAAGAGCAAGCTATCTCTGTGGCCTCTTCTTATAAGGGCTAATCCCATTCATGAGGGTCCTACCCTCCAAATACTATCACACTGGGAAATAGATTTCAACACGTGAATTTGGAGGGGACACGAATATTTAATCCATTGCACTCCCCATTCTAGCCTACTTCTGGATTCCTTTGACATGCCACTCCAAAAACATCTGAACTTCTAGCTTGCCCCATATGGCCCTCCACTTTCCTATCCTTCTATTCCTTTGTTTATGCTATTCTTGATGCCTACAATGTCTCTTTCAACCATCTCCATGAAACACATTTAAATGTCATTTCTTCTAAGACATCTTTACAGATACCTCCAATTGAGTGTCTCTGTGTCACTGTCTCTACCTCTAGCTCTGTCTTATCTCGCTCAACTCCCTTAGCATAAAATCATGTAATTATGTTGCTCAGGATAGATTGGAAGGAACATTAATGGGCATCTGGTCCAAATACCTATGATTTTATTCTCTTGCTGTCTCCTCTCCCAGGGAGTCCTGTACATCATTGCTGGGTAAATCCACATACCCTTCCTTTCATTGCATTTTTTTCTGTTAGAAAACCTCCAGAAATCCCTGCCTCAAATCTGTGCCTCTTCATCCTGCAGTCAAAGTCACCATCAGTAGCTCCCACTCCTGACTCTCTCACCAGAAGAGTCTCTCTCCTTTGATCGGACGAGCTCCATCTACTCCTTTACTCACATCCCTATTCCTTCTTCCCTGTATGTTCAGGCCATTCTCTATGCCTGAAATGCTTTACCCTTTCTTCACTTATAAGAAATGTGTTACACTCCTCTCCAGGAAGACTTTCTTAATTACGAGGGCCAATGTTTTTATTTTAAATTTCTTAATTATTACCCATACAGTAATGAAATGCCTGTCTCAATACTGATGGTGAATTGTTTTCTAGCTATTTTGAGTATTGACATTCTCTCTTCCTACTGGGAACATGAACCACCTCATCTTTCTCTTACCCACTTCCACCCACTCAGTGCATCAAGTACACAGGAAACCATAAACACTTGCTGATATTTGTTAAGCAAGTTACATCTTTATAGTGGCCATTTTATCAAACAATAGCCACAAGTGTATATTGTGGTGAGAAGCAAAACCGGATAGAAAGAAAAAAATATGTATTTGGAAGGGGAGACCACAAGGAGAAGCTGAATATTAGCAGTGAAACAAAGAGGTAATAAACCTTAGTAGTTTCCTAAAAGAGTAGGCATGATTGCTTTAATTGAAACAGAAGACACGAACACTGGAGATGTGCTCCTTTAACACCAGGAAGATGAATTAGAAAAGCTGCCCAAATATTTTTTCTTGAGTGATGTATTATGTGATGAGAAGCTTGTAATACGTTATGGTTGCACCTTTGACATATGATTTAACCCGTTGATGCAAAGTCTGGATTTCTTGGTTTGCCTCTGTCTGCCTTTAGCTATTAGAAAAGATATTCTAAAATGAGAGCAGAAATGGATCCTTATAAGGGTTTGATGTGGAGGGTGAAGTCTTTCTGCAGATTTATGCTGCGAATTTAGAGTAGCTTAGGAAGAATTGCAAAACCGAACGCTGCAATATGAAAGTTATTCCTTAGAGACAGATCACTCTGAAGTCTGGCTCCAAGTGGTCTTCCTGCTTAAGCTTCCAGGCCAAATCATGGCAGACAAATATATTGCTGGAAATTGGAGATGTGGCATTTTCACTCTTCTGAATGTTTCAGACAGGTAACTTTTACTGCAGGAAAGTCTTTCATAGTAGAACTAAGCCAAGGTGTAGACCCTCATCTTGGCCCAGGTTCAGGGAGGTGGCCAGTGTCTAACAAGGCAATCAGAGGAATTTGTAAAGGGGCTTCTGAACATTCTGACATAAACTCAGTGAATTTGGGTTGGGGTGGAGAAACAGGGTCCTCTCTCCATGGAATCCCCAGGCATGCACTTCAAAGGCAATTAGCATTGCTGATCAAGCAAACAACTTGTACCTTACTATCTTTTATAGGAGTATTTAAAACTTTTTAACAAAACACATGCCTTCTTCATGTCACTGCTATGCTGGTAGCTCTTATTTTAAATGTATTATGACTTCTAAATGCTTTTCTGCCATGCTTACATAGAGCCAACCCAGCTACATCTCATATTTGGCAAGTTTAATGAGTTTCCTCTCCTATCTCTCTCTTCCATCATTAACATTGTTCTTGAGATGTTCAAGCAGGCGTGAGCTCAGCCCAACACTCATAAACCTTGTCCTCTTCTGCCTTTTGGGTCATGCTGACCTGGTCTTGGGGTAACTACTCTGTGGTCACATCCTGTTTGCTAGTTGAGCACCCATCTAATGGTGTCTTTGCCTCTATAGCATTTCCTCCAGATTACTGATGACTACAGCACATGGGAAAGCACCAAAAGCCAGGGTACAAGGCAACCAGAGTGTATCAGCTGCTTCCCTTCAATTCACCAGGCCGACCCTAAAGTCCTAAGTCCAGACTAGCCATGAACTATTTTCTCACTGTTACCCTAGTCTCCTTAAAACTGTTCTCAAAACTATTTTTCTACTACTTTGCTGAGTTTAGAATAAATACCACCTTGCATTTGCTAGGTCTTTGAGTTCTGATTGTGGCAATTAGCTTTAGCATCCTCTTTTATGTCCTCTTATAAAAACGATCCACCACCTAGTCCATATCTCAATTTCATCTTCAATATGGCTCCAGACTCCTCCTTCCCTTTGTCTCTCCTTGTTCCAGGTTGCAGTCCTAGAATGAACACAGAGCAAAATTCAGACACTAGGCTATTTCTTTCCTGCAGTATTTTTTCCCAGCATCTGACAAGTTCATAGCCTGTCTTTCTCTCTGGGATTGTTCCTTTACAGAAATGTACATGGATTAAATAACAACAATACTCACCATCAGGTTTGAAAGGCATGGGGGATGCAAAGTGCCTGACTCAGGCTTTCCCACAAATCTGAGAAATGAATCTGGAGAATTCTGTTACTCTTTAACAGCTGTCTTTGAAAGGGAGAAGACATAGAGTGGATGTTATGGGCCCACCCAACAAAGTTGACCTCCTTGAGTCAGGTGCAAGGCCAGACAGACACACAGGAGAACAAGTTGATGGGACCTAACAACGCCATCTAAAATTTTCACCCCAGAATTTACAAACTGGGCATTTCCTTTGTTTAAAAAACTTTTGCTTTAAAGTGGGTGTTCCAATAGCATGTGGGACTCTATAGCTCAGACAGAGGGTCTAACTTTTGTCTAAAACCAGGAGTTTCATTGAGGAAAACAACAGAATAACTGATTACAGGTTATGATATTCAATGAAACCTCAAGAACACTGTAGCTTCTCAGTCCACTTGGGACTGTAATGATAAGCCCCACACTCTAAAAGATTTAACTGAGAGAAAAGGAAGTTAGCATATTTAAACCCCTTTCTTATTAACACTAACAACAATTAATTACAAACATTTATTCTGATTTATGGACACCTGCTTAGCATCAGCAACACAGACCCACCCCTCCAATTATTTAGTGATACAATGGCACATTCATTTTGCTCTGTGGAGTCAAGCCTTTTCTAATTTCCTGTGTAGCCACCTTCAGTTCTGTGTATATCTTCCTATTTTAAATTACCAACAGGCCTCAAACATATTTGCCTGGTTTTGAAAGCAGCAGGAGGTGCTTTTTGAAGTTTCTGAAATACACACACATGCATACATGCATTGCATGCATGCACTCACATGGGGCACTCAATCCAAGCACAAGGTGATAAGATCCTTTCCGTGCAAAAGTTTTCCAAGTACTTACTCACACTCAGACATACAAAACTTCTGTTTTTCTCCCTTATTTTAATGATCTATCACAATTAGATAACTTCTTATTTATAACACTATTTTTGCAGTCACGAAGAAATACAAGAAAAGTGATGACCAAAATGACTTTAGAAGTCAGCCTCGGACATTATTTTCTGCTATTAGTCCTTACCAATGTCAAGTGCAAAATTTAAATTAACAAGCACTTCCCTTATTGGAATGACTTCAGCACTTTTGCTGCCTTCCATTGATTTCTATTTACTTTGGCAGCCACAGGCAAGAAGAACATATTTCTGTGCCTGAAGAAGCACCCTAAGGCTTCACTAGGGTGTATAGATGCGAATGCCATGATGAAATGTTGCTGCGAGGTTATTCTAAAAATTAACATAACACAAGAGGAGCACTATTTATGTAGTGTTTCTACAGGCCTTACCTTCCTGTTAGCGTTGTGTTAGAGTCATCTCCTGGCTATATTTCTCATATTAACAACTGGTCTATAGTCCTTTAACCTAACAGTAAATATGCTGTCAAAGCCATTTTAATACTAAACAGCTTACCTGCAAATATGTCATATGCCAGATATTCTGGACCAGAGGTAACCTTGACCCCACACTAAGCTTGTAGGAAAAGAAGCTAATGCCTCTAAATCATGAGGTTACTGTTGGTGACAGGTGTGTATAAAGAACATTCTTCATTAGAAATACCAATAATAAATATTTCTAAGCTCCAAATTGGCTTCAAGAAGGCATGAAAATCTATAGAAGGGTTAAAATAAGCTTTGGACTCATTGTACGGTTTTTTCAATTCTTTGTAAACTGTTAGCCTCAGGTTTCTTAGAGTTGAAAAACCCATGGAATAAATACAATCAGAAGATACTCCCTTTCCTTTTTTCTCTTCTCCATTTTATCACCTGCAATAAATAGCCAATCATATTATAGCATATTCATCTATGAAAGATAGCTAGACAGAAATATGAGCTACCACATTTTTCTTGAACCCATTTCCCATATTCTGACATTTCAAACATTTGCCAACACCCAGTGGCTCCGCCAGTTTTATCAATAATATAAAAATGAAGAAAGTTAAACTAAATTAAAAACAAAAAAACTCAACTCTAGAGGACTACAGACAATATTTCTCACCCTGCTTTTAAATTAAGGCTTTGTTTGTCCAATGTCGGCCTCAACTCCTCCTTCTGGGACTGGAGGAGATACCAATAAGTGACCTTGATATGGAGGAAGAGTACCCAGACTTCTATCACCATAGCCAGACAGATTATCGTGCCTCAGTTTTCTTATAAAGACAAATGTTCCTAATAAAATCCTAAAGGGTACTATGAGAGGATGGGTACAAACCCACTTTGGGAACCAGAGCTTCCCAGCCCTACCATGGTGACTCCAGCCTTTCCTGACTCCCTGCCTAGCCTTCCACAGGTTGTGTCCACAGGATAGAATGCCCCAGAAGCCTGTTTGGTTGAAAGTTGGGTGGGGGGAGGGGCATGTTGACAGGCAAGAGGCAGTTAATTCAGCTGCAACTCAACCAGAGCACCCGAACTATCCCTCTGGGGTAGGAAGAGGGGGGCATGGGCTCCTTTAATGACCCCAGATAGTCAGGACCTCTGTTTTATGTCTTATCGCAATTACAGCGAGACCAGGCCCGGTAAGTCGAAGCAGCTGCAGGGCCACATGCACATTAACTACGGATGTGCTGCCCCTTCAGATCTCGCCTGCACAGGCACTCCCCCCACCCCCCACTGGGCCAAATCCATTTCTTTGAAGCATTATATACAAAAGCCACTTCTCGGAAATTCTGACTTACTTTTGAAAGATGCTATATACTTACTCTTCACCACTTTGAGACACTGGCTAATGATACTCATAGAAAAACATTAGCCAGTCCCCTGTATAAATGGGCTATTTCTAATGAGAAAGTTTCTACAGTAGAAAACATCTCATGGTGTCTCCTGCCATTGTGGGGTGGTTTCCTAAGCAACCTCACTAGCGTCTACCAGCAGGCATTATTCCATCAGGTCCTTGCCCTGCCTCACCTCCACACTCTCTTAGCTCTTCAACAAACCTGTCCTGACTCCAACGTGGAGATGCTGGGAACACAGCCATGAGAGATTCTGACAAGTCTTGACTTCATTCAGCTTCCCAGTCAAGGGACAATTAATTACCGTGATGTGGAGTGAGTGTGCAGGAAATTAGAACCTTATTAACAGTGACAATATGGTTCTCAGGACAAACACATAGAGCCCATCTTCACTTCATAAGGGAAGCTTTAGAAGGGTAAAGATGGCTTTTGAACCACTTTGGCTAAAAAGGAATGTGTAGTTTTCTAAACCCAGATATGATTCCTACCTATAACCTTGGAAATTTACCAGGTTAAAGAATGAATCTAAATGTGAAATTCTGCCACCTTAGAATAGAGCAAGGACTGGATTTTGTTAGGTCCTGCATCCAGTTAACAATTTCTTTATAAGTTGTATTCCTGAAATTCATTAGGAAGTAGTATTTGGGGTTTCAGAATGTGTGTTTCCATTAAACAGGTGTCATGGTAGCATTTCATTTTATTTGTTCAGCAATTATTTGCATAGGCTTCCCTAAATAAATAATAGGTCTTAACCCATTAAACCCTCATTGGAACCCTGTGAAGCAGATGCCTTTCTTATCCCCATTTGCAGATGAGGAAGCTGAACATTGAGAGGTTAAGTAACTTCCACAGGGTCACACAGCAGATGAAAGTAGCAATTTCCACAGGATCCTTGCTAAGCTGTCTAGGCATCAGCTTGCCAGGGAAGCTCTCTGAGAACAACACTCTGAACAGCCCATTCCTATCCTCAAGGCTGCTCCAACTCTGCTACCTGCTGGGAATAATCTGATCTGGACCCTATGTCCAGGGCAAACACTGCTCCATGCCAGGAGGAGCAGCAGATCTTGAATGCTGACACTTGCAGGTTCCCTGAAGCCAGGGAAGGAAGATACAAAGCAGAGTCCATCCCCTGTGGCTCCTTGACCCTAGGCTTTTGGGAAGAGACTCTTATGCCAAAAGAGATCTCAGGGAAGACAAAATCTCATAATTGGGGGTGCCTAATCCCTTTCCCCAGCCAATCTGCAAGAGCCATTGCTTCAGAGTTGGGCAGCTGAACAGCCAGAGTGGGCTGGAGGTGGAAGGGTGCAGCTGGGCTCACACCCATATTGGCCGTCAAATGCCAGGGTCCTCTGGACCACAGCACCCCATCTGCATCAGGAGGTACACAGCAGTGGGGTTTTGACTAGGAAAGGAAAAGCACCAGTTTCTTTCCCAGGAGTCCAGATACATGTAACTCTGACCCTAGTGTGGTAGACACCATTAGTCTAATTCCCATGCATTTGATGGAGAGCTGCCCTTAAAACACAGGCAGTAGGCATTTACAGTTTTGCACCACTAAATGAACCACCTGCCGTTGTCATAACAGAAGGAATAAACATTCAAGACAAAATGCAGGTGAAAGCTATTTTCAAGGGTAACAAAGTAAGCTCTCCAAGACGGGAAGTGTTCAAGCATCACTTGGCCCAGACGTGATAGAGGGAATTCAGATATCTAGGTGGTTCAACTAGATCAATGCTTTCCAAATGTAGACATTCACCACGATCTCCTGGGGAACTTTGAAAAGAAAATACATTTTGTCAGGTCCAATGCCATATGGTAAGATTCATTAGGTCTGGAGTGAGACTTAAGGAATCTGTAAGTTTCACAAAACTGACAGTGATTCTAGAGCTCACCAGGACAAGGAATATTTGGACAGGATGACCTCTGTGATTCTGTTAGAGAGTCTGTGATTTCTTACCAAGGCTCTGGGCCTCACCTACCACAAATTTACAGGTTGAAAAATGCCTGTGTAGATTGCTTGTCATTGGGGAATAGTTTTTACCCCCCACACAATGCAGTGGTGTGCATATTTGCTGATGTTTTCCCCCCAAAGCATGTGAGAATGAATCATTATTGAAACAATTTACTTTCAGTTAGTGCATGAATGCCTTCCCATGATTCTCTGATGCTTTGTTTGTCCTCCTATAAAAATTATTTATGACCCAAGTGTGCTCTTTTAAATCAGAATACTTATTTCTGAAATCAAAGCTCTAGCATGCTAATGCGAGTAGAAACCTTGATAATTTTTCAAAGCCATGTTGAATATTCAAAAGCTGGAACTGAAGGAAAGGAGTTAACATTAATTAATATTTGAAGCACTAAAATAAAAGCAACAGTGAAGCTAATTTTGCAGGACAATTAATCATGAGTCTTGCTAATTACACATGGGATTTTGCAAATGATTTTTTTCTCAGGTAGCAAAGTAAAAATGATAATCCGCTACCCATCAAAATCATTGGCTTCTCACCAATGTCCCCAGCAAGAGCAATTAGTGGAAACAGCAGAGCCCTAGTAATTGCATGTCAAGAGAGGAGAATGTTAGAATTTTAATTGCTCTAAATAAAGACCACTTGCTCATATATACACCTGATGGTCCAAAACAGCTCTGCAAGCCAGAGCAAGTATGCCACCACTTCCAGGTGCCCGCATAAAAATAACTCTTTGGGAACAGTATTCTCCCAGCAACCCATGCAGTTTCTGGAAGAAAATATCAATATGCATTCACATTCTGAACTGCAGTGTCATCACTTGAATATAAGAAGTGCAAAAAAAAAAAATCACCCACTTGGGAAAATGTGCATATTCTTTATATTTGCCAAATATTTATTGCTGACATTTTTTTGAAGAACTTTAACTATCTACAAGGTGCCAAGGGCTTCAAATTTACTGAATTTTAGGATCCCCAATAAAATGTTTTTAACAAGACATCTCAAGAGGGCATAAAATAAAAAATTACCATATTCATGAGTGTAAGCCTCTAAGATTGCAATGCTATAAACTGGATGTTTATAATTTGCTTGTGGCTTTCTTAATTAAAAACTGGTAATTAGAAACTCAAGTACTATTTTTACACTTCATCTTCTACACTTTACATGCTACTGTTACTTTTCAGTTTAATATATGTACACATGGATGCACACAATTGCAAATGATCAATAATATTTAACTGTGTGTCTAAAACCTAAATGATGATGGATACATTTAAATATTGCTTTCCAGGAGATTATTATTCCAATGGCCATGTCGTGGCTTAAACACTTAGTTTAAACAAAACAGCTACCATTTTTTGCTCTTCCCAACATGCATCATTTACTCTCATTTTTAAGCTGAATTGCTGAATTGCCTTCCAAGTACTTCTAGTATCTATTGTCTCCCAGACTAGCCTTGCATCTTTTAAGTGCACCATATTGAGGTGCTAAACCACCAAGCACTTCCTGCTGTTAGCTTTGTGGGCTGAGTGTTAGGTGCAGAGCAGTAACCTTAACTTACCACCATATCGTCTTTGCACATCCAAAGTTTTGTGCATGTTTTACTATACCAGAACCACCTAAAATCAACAAGCAGGACGTAGGGAGTGCTGCTTCCTTTGCTGAATTACCAGCAGATCACAGGTGTGTACCTGACCCCCGGAGGTGATCCAGGTAATAACACTAGGATGGTGATTTAAAGGGTTAGAAGCTTTTCCACAGAAGGTAGTCCTTGAATTCTATCATTTTGCAAATATTGCTCATGAATGGCAACTTACTTACCGGCCTCCTTAAGTGGTTGCTTTTTATTTGTATTATGTTTTAAAGTAGAAAACTTTGAAGATGGTTGTTTTTCTGTCAAAGCACAGCCATTATGCCATCCTCAAGTTAGAATTTCTTCATCAGGTTATTATATATGCATATCTCATGAGACTTTAACCCTCTCCCTGCTCTTTTTTCAAATATCAATTTAGGGCCAAAAAAAGGTGAGTCAGAACAATCATTATTTATTTAGAAGCATTTTACCAAGACACAAAGAACACGCTACCCACTTTTGTAGCAAGATTTTTTAAGAGGACATAGCATAAAATGACAAAAATAAATAAATAAATAAAGCCATAAGCAGAGCAAAGCCTATTGGGTAGGATAGCATCTACGTCTCAAGTGACATGAGAGAATCTGGTGTAAATTATAAGATGATTGATTAGAAAAAAAAAATATTTGGCCAGGTGCTGTGGCTCATGCCTGTAATCCTAGCACTTTGGGAGGCCAAGGCAGGTGGATCATGAGGTCAGGAGTTCGAGACCATCCTGGCCAACATGGTGAAACCCCATCTCTACAAAATTAGCCAGGTGTGGTGGTGGGCGCCTGTAGTCCCAACTACTCAGGAGGCTGAGGCAGGAAAATCACTTGAACCTGGGAGGCAGAGGTTGCAGTGATCTGAGATCGCACCACTGCACTCCAACCTGGGCAACAGAGCAACACTCCATCAAAAAAAAAAAAAAAAGAAAGGAAGGAAGAGAAAGAAAGAGATTTTGTACAGATCAAGATTGCAAGGACACACTATTATTCTAAAGGGCAAAAGGAGTAAAGCACAGGATTCTGAAAGCTTCTTTCTTGCAGCATCTAAAATGCTCGTGTAGACATTGTTTCCCAAGCTGTCTGGCGTTAACATCAGGAGACTGCCAAAGTGCTATTTATATTGCTGCTCATGGCTGGGTGGGAGAAGGACAAAGAAGCTTTTTGGTCAAAATGTATAATTTCCCAACATTAAGTGTTTATAAAAGGGTGTTGTAGTAATAAGGGGTTAGGTGTGCCAATAGCTTCTAAATCAAGGGCCACACTAATCAGAGTGAACTTGGCATAAGTACTAATAGATTATAGCTACCCATTAAGGGAACAGAGTAGATCTTGGCTTAACCTTTGCCCCACAAACTCCCAGGACCTTTTGTGGTTTTTCCTGACTATAGTATCTGCAGACATCTTGGTAATTTTTAACACGGTGGCAGACTTCCATTGTAATAAAGCTCAATTATATTGGCCCTTTGATGGAGTTTATGGTGCCACATCAATTAAATGAGGCAGAGAGAGACAGTGAGCAGACCTTCCATCACCCATCATTTGGGAAGAGATTTGCAGTAAAAGAATAAATTTTGTGCACACATATCAACTTAACATTAAAGAAAAAATGATAAGTACAAGTAACAAAGAAAGAAAGGGGAGAACAGAAAGAAAATGATGAAGCTGAATGACTCGCTTACACTTTTGAGTTTCAGTTGCCACCTCTGCTGTTGGACCAAACTAGGGGCTCTTAAATCTGGGTTTTCTCAATCCCCTGTAGGATCCGCTAATGGGCTTGATGATACCCGTGAGTTCCCTGAAATTATGGGCCAAATATTGTGTCTGCACATATACATATTTTTCTGGGTTCAGCTTTATAGCTTTTATGAGATTCTCAAAAAAGATCATAAGCCAGATAACGATAAAAACTACTAGAAAAAATAGTTGTGTAGGCCTTTGCTACTTCTAATCTTATAAGGAACAATTTGGTAATCCCATTTCTAAATAAAGTCTGCTCCAAGTGACTCTGTTATGTCCAAAGAATCCCAAGGTTCGAAATTTGTTTTCATTGTATCATTTAATATAATTGCCTTCTGTGGTTGGCACGCATCTAGAAATTCAAGATCCCTCAGCAAACACTTCACAAGGTTTCACTTTAGTCTTTGCTGTTCAACCTTCCTTCAGTGCAGTATTGAACTGAGCTATATCAATAACCACAAAAGGAAGAAAACGGAGCTGAACCTTTTCCTCCATAGCCAGCTGAGCCACTTGAATGTCTCTAGGGCCTGAACAGTAATAGCTCTTTTATGAATTGGTTACACCTTTGGAGTTAGTGAGTTTGGCTGAAGTTAGCTGTTACTGTTATTATACCAACATTGCAAATTTTGTCTAGTTCCCTGTTGAAAATGAGCTGTTACTCTGGGCTTCACACTGGACAGTCTTTCTGGGCTCTATGTTCTCAAGGTTTCTTCAGCTTACATGTTATAGACTTTTAAAGGAATTCTGAAATCAAAGATGACCTATATCTATTAAAAAATAAAAGGAAAGGGAATTCGGGAAGCTGAAAAGAACTGACCAAATATGTGAATGGACAGGCAGCCTGGAATTAGCCAGAAATGACCCTCCAAGCATATCTGACAGAATGATGTGAAAGCATACAACATGAATTATTCAAAATAATTAGAGACAGCACTAAGGGTGTTTGCTCTGATAGGGCCATAGTGGAATTTGAAGGGGAAATCAAGGCAGCCAGAGAGAAGCAGGTAATAAACCACTTGGATTCTTAAATGGCAGGCCCTAATTTTTTCAATGTAAACATGGAGGTGTCTGTTTCCTGAATTGTAAATTGAAGAGGTTATCTAAACAGCTCTCTTTAGCATTACCACCCTGGGAGTAAGTCACCAAAGATGCTAAAAATTATACTGCTCCTGGAAAGATATGAAAACAGTTTTTCATGCAGTTTGTACAATGACATGTTATAGAAGGAGGAAAGAAATGTAAGCAGGATACAATAAGATGTTCAAGCAGAGTGGTCTTCTCTCACTCTGGACCCTCACAATTCCCAGCTAGGCAGGACCGGGCATGTTCAGTATTTGGTTTGCTATTGAACAAGAACACTTAGGTATTGCAGGGAAGAATTGCCATTTAGTACAGGTTTAGTGATCTCGAATTCCTATGATCTAGTACACCCACATGAAAGTACATACACGAAAATGTGGCATTTTCCTCTGCAAAACTTTGTATGCTGACCCAAATAAAATAAAGCTATTAGGCTATTAGTAGTTGACCTTGGGGGGAGTCAAAAGTTATATATGGATTTTTTACTATACCAGGGGTCAGCACCCCAATTCCCACATTATTCGAGGGTCAATTGTACACTGTGTCTGTTAAGGCAAAAGCAGCCTCTCTATAATTATGTCTGAGACTTGGGGTGGGATATTGGTGAGCTGCTCTAGGGCGCAGGGTTAGGCCCTTCACAGGGGAGATGGAGGATGCCTTGGGCCACCTACACGGGCCAGGCCTGTGCTGCCATCACTCCCTTTCCTCCCTAGCTACATGATTGTCCTAGGGCCATGAATAAAGGCCCAGGTGCCTTTAAAGCAGCCAGGCCCTGCCTTTCAATGAAAACAGACTTTGTTAACAGTGCCGAAGAGCGATAAAAGAAAGAGAGAAGACAGAAACATGGACCTAAGAGCTGTTTGGACACAGAAGGAAGAACCCTGATGATCCAGCATTCTTTGTCTTTTCATTTCCAAAAGGTATCATCTTCAGAAATTAAAAAAACCCTTTCTTTCTTTCTTCCTTTATGCAGTAAAGGAGGTCAACCTGAGCCACATCATCATCTTTCCAGCCATTATTCACTCCCTCTTCCTTCTGTCCCCTGAACAAAACATACACATCTTCTCTTGTCCAATGTCAACTTGTCCTTCTTGGGAGCTCTCATCTTAGAAACAGCTGTTTCCTGTCTCCACCCATACTTCTGTTTCTCTTCTCTCTGGCTTTCTAAACAAGCTGTTGACCTATTTTCAAATGGAGGGCACTTAGAAGACACAGAGGAAGAAAGAGGAGCAAAAGAGTTCAGGTCACCAAGAAGAAATGACCAAATAACGGTGTTCACAGAGACCTCCACCAACATCTATAAAGGCCCCATTCCCAAAAGACCTTAAGCACCATCACAGTGCAGATTTGAGGCTTGTATCTAATAGTCTCTCTTCCCCTCTCACAAACTGTAAAACTGGTTGAGATGCCTCAACATGCTATGTACAATTCTTCACTAGGAGCTACCCTCTGATTTAAAAGATACATTTTTTCTCTTTCTGGTTTTCCAGATAATGGATTAAATTTTCATATTTTCCCCTTCACTCTTCCAGGGATTATCTGGTCAGTGAAATCTTTATAAAGCATTTACAATAGTGCAGAATTTTGTGTGGCAGTTTAAGTAAGTGTGCACCCTATGAGGTATGTATGCAATCAGTCAAAATGAATTTTTTTATCAGAGATGTACAAAGATCTCAAAGCATTTTATAATTATATCATGTTTTGAGATGGTGAGTAAAATTGTGTCTTAACAGCTAGCACCAAAATGCCTCTCAGAGAGTAAATTATTTTTGTTAGGAAAAGACCTTGATAAGCTTTGAGAGGAGATAGTGAAACACGAGGACCCAGGGTTAGCAGGAGCTAAGGTGGCTAAAGAGAGTGAAATTGCTCTTCCCAGGGAGGGAGAGAGAACAGAGGACAGGAAAACAAAAGGAGGACAAACAGGACAGAAACATGGCATGAGAGGACACTCAGTGAAAGTAACTGGTGAAAAAAATCCCTTGTAGTGATATGATGTGGGGGGGATAGAGTAACTCTTGAGGAGATGAATAAATTCTACTTAAGGTTATTCACTTTGCTGTGATGTAAACCCCTCCTGTGTCCCCAAAAGTCTCAAGTAATGTGTACTGAACATATGTCTTGGATTTCTTTTCTTTTGGTAGAAGTCAAGGAAGGTCTTGATGTGACGCAGGCAGAAACTCCCTAAAAGATTCAGCGCATGGACTCAGGAGAGGGCAGCCAGAGATGGCCGTGAGAATGTAAATCCTCTCCCCTGCCTTCGTTTCCCCCTCAGGGATTCACAGAACTTGGGAAATGCTTTGGAATTAGGGGTTCGAGTCAATCTTGAGGAATAGGAAGACTCCAGCTAACATCTGAGATAGGCTTTCCTAAATTACTGTCCTTTATGTATAAGACTGATAGGAGACCTTCAAGAGAGTATGCTGTCACTTATTTTTCAAATTATCCTTGACTATTCTATCTTGCCTACCTGCTGCAGCCATTTGTGAGGTATCATTATAAGGGTTTGAAATGCAATAACTAGAATACACAAAGTTAACTATCCAGGCTTGGGTTCAGTACATAGCCATAGAGTCAATTAGTAAACAAAGATTTATTTATGATGAATGTATCCCATTAAATTAAGTATCATCAAGCTCTTGCAATATGTATTAATCAGTACCACAATCATAACTAGATATCTTATCTCAACCCTTACAACAATCAAATTATGCATTAGGTTGGTGCAAAAGTAATTGGGGTTTTTGCCATTACTTTCAATGGCAAACTGCAATTACTTTTGCACCAACCTATTATTATTATTATTTCTATTTTGTAAAAGGGGACCCTAAAGCACTTAAAGGTTTCTCAAGCTCATTTAACTAGTAAGTAGCAGATCTGAGATTTGAACCCAGGTATTTTGATGCCAGATCCCATGCTCTATAATCCAACAATACCTTCCTTTTGTGCTAATCTATCATCGTTGTTACTGCTTCTGAGGAATTCACCACTGGACATCAGTTCCACCTTGAGTCTTCCAGAGAAAGTAGGTTTTAGTGGTTAAGGGCACAGGCTTGTGTCTGATTACCTAGGTTCAAGTCCCAGCTCTACCACTTACCAGCTCTGGTGAAATTATTTAACTTCTTTAACCTCAATTTGTCATCCATAAAATAGGAATGATGAAAATAACCTTAAAGAACATATTTTAGAATACTATTTTTAAACAAATGATCTGTCCAATAACCTTCATGATCATGGACACAAAAACCCTCAACAAAACATTAGAAAATCTAATCCAGCATTATATAAAAAGAATACATCACAAAAAAACATGGCTTATCTTGGAAATGCTACACTGGTTCAACATTCACAAATCAATTAATGTAATTCATTGCATTAACAGACTAAAGAAGAAAAATTACATGATTGTGAAGAAAACTACATATATCTAGAATGTATAAAGAACTCTCAGAACTCAACAATAAGAAAACCAGTAATTCAGTTTAAAACTGGTCAAAAGATTTAAATGGATGCTTTATTAAAGAAGATATTTGGATAGTAAATAAGCATATGAGAAGAGGCTGAACATAGTCAGTGGGAAAATGCAAATTAAAACCACAGTGAGTACCAACATATACCTATTAGAATGGCTAAAATTTTTAAAAACCTGAAAACACAGAGTGCTAAACAGGATATAGAACAAGTAGACCCTCATATATTACTGTGGAAATGCAAAATGATAGTTACTTTGAAAACAGTTTTTGGCAGTTTCTTACAACCTAACAATCCTACTCCTTTGTATTTACCCACATGAAATGGAAACCTATGTTCACACAAAAACTTATGACTGCTTATAGCAACTTTATTCATAATTGCTAAAAACTGGAAATAACCCAAATATCCCTCAACTGGGAAAGAGATTAAACAAACTGGTAAGTCTGTAAAATGGATCCATAAAACTACTCAGCAATAAAAGCCTCAAACTATTTGTAGTTTGTTAACATAACAAAGTACCACAGTCTGGATGACTTAAGCAACAGAAATTTATCACCTCACCGTTGTGGAGGCTGGGTGTCTGAGATCAAGGTGACGGCAGGGTTGACTTCTTCTGACCCCTGTCTCTTTGGTTTGTAGATGGATGCCTTCTCCGTGTTTTCATGTGGTCTTTACACCGTGCTTGTCTGAATCCAGGTTTTCTCTCCTTGTAAAGACACCAGTCACATTGGCTTAGGGTCCCCTAATTACCTGATTTTAGCTCAATTACTTCTTTAAAGACTGTATCTCCAAATACAGTCACGTTCTGAGGTACTAGGGGTTAGGACTTCAACAGGAATTTTGTGGGGAGGGCACAATTCACCCCGTAACAGTATTGTTACAGGCAACAACATAGATGAATCTCAAATGCTTTAGGCAGGATAGAAGAAGCCAGTTTCAAAGGCTACATATATAATATTCTAGGAGGGCAAAACTACGTGGACAAAGATCAGATCAAGGCCACAAGAGGTTGAGAGTGGGGAAGGGATTGATTACAAAGGGTTAGCACAAGGTAATTTTGGGGCAGTAATGGAATCTTCTGGCCATTTGATTTGGGTAGTACTTAGACGACTCTATGCATTTGTCAAAACTTAAAGAATAGTAGACCAAATAATGAATATTCCTGCATGTAAATCAAAAATTAAATGTATAAGCATGGGCTCAGAATCAGAATAAAAAATGTTTTAAACGAAGCAGTCTGTCCACTTAAAGAAAGGCACACTCATAGAGCAAACAGCTGAAGAATGTATGTACATTGCCCCCCATCACACATGAACCCAGCACTCTTTATGCTTCCAGACTGGCACCAGCATTATCATGTAAAGAAATCATGACTAAAGAAAGATGATTCACTTTTAAACTTCCTCTTAGCATGAATATCTTTGAGGAAGTCACAGGTTATCCATTTCCATAGGTATGGGGTTTCTACAGTGGGCTGACAACACCCAAGCTGACTGCAGCACTCACAAAGGGAGAGACCCGTTTGAAATCCCAATGGGCAGGTACACAATCCTTCTCTTCCCCTCCACTTCTGCTCTTCATTGAGGAAGGAGACTCCAAATTCCAGCTGCTGCCATCTCCTCAATTCCTCGTTTTCCCTCAATTTATCATGATTCAAGCAGCTTTTTCCTACTCTTCTACGCAAAAGGAAACAGTTATTTTCATCATACTGTATTTATGGCTATTCCCCCCAAATCATTATCAGTCCATATGAAGCATCAATGTGTAGCTTGTATTTGTTTGTTTACATTGTCTCCTTCCAAAAAGGATTTCAGATGGTTTTAGTTTAAATTTATTAAATAAATGTGTATTGAGTTCCTACCATATGCTGGGAGTAGGGATATGGGATTAAATTGCAGCCCCTGCTCTAGAGGCCCCACAGTCTAATGAGGATGGATGGGAGAATAGACAGTCCCAAAACACTGCAGCAAGGGTCATGGCAGAAGCAAACATGGGCTGTTCTGCAACCTTGGGGATGGCACATATAGTCCAGCCTGGAATCACCGAAGGTGTCAGAGATAAACCTTACCTTTTTTTTTTTTTTCACACAGTCAACACAACACAAAACGCTTCACCTCTGATCACCAAAATGTATGTGTTTTTTTTCTCCCCCACTGACCAAGCACTTCTCCAGGGAACATTAACTAGGTGTTCTATAACTCAATTCAATTCTGCCACGACTTACCTAGAGGTAGCATCATATCGCACAGTTAGGGGCTCAGTCTCACAAGACTGCCCCCACTTCAGATGCTAGTCACAAGTAGTAGGTTGTCACCTAGACTTCTGACCCATCCACTTACATATCAGAGTTCCCATGACCCCCTCCTTGGGTTCAATTAATTTGCTAGGATGGCTCACAGTACTTGGGGACACACTTATGTTTACTAGTTTATTATAAAGAATATTGCAAAGAATACAGAAGAACAGCCACATAGAAGATATGCAAAGGGCAAGGTATGTGGGAAGAGACATGGAGCTTTCATGCCCTCTCCAGGTGCACCACCCTCCAGGGACCACAATTGATTGCATCATTGGTCATTAGTGATCAGCTCAACCTTCAGACCCTCTCTGCTTCCTGGAGGCCAGGGGATGGGGCTGAAAGTTTCAGCCCTCGAATCACATGGTTTGTCCCCCTGGAAGCTAATCCTTCCCTTGCCCATCCTAAGGCTATTTAGGAACAAAAGATTCTCCTGGTACCCCTACATACAAGGGTTTTAGGAGCTCCATGTCAGGATCTGGGGGCAGAGACCAATATACATTTCTTCTTATTTCACAGAAGACTTCAGAAAGCTGGATCTTGAAAGATGAGCTGAAGTAAGCAAAGAAGAATAAAAAGGGGTGCAGAGGGTGGAAGTTGCTCAAATGGCTGGGACACCTGTGCTATGAATGGGGAGATGTTGCCAGAGACAGGGTGAAACCAGATAATAAAACACTGTATGCCCCCATGAAGGAGCTTATTTAACAAGCAAGAACATGGCAAGGTCAGGTTTATAAGGATCTCCCTGGCAGCTCTGTGGAGGATGGGTTTGAAGAAGATGGACCTGGAGGACTGGAGACTGGTTGGCAGAATTTCTGAAACATTTCAGGTAAGAGGAAGAAAGTGGCTTGACCTGGACAGAAGTTAGGGAAAAGACAGATTCAAGATACATCTGAAATCAACTGGACACTAAGTGCTGAACAAAGCCCAGATGAAGTACAGCTCCATTTACCCAGACTTCTGATCTAAATACGATAATTAGTTATTATATAAATATATAAATATTCCCATTTTCAATGGCTCACATGTCATTGTCTCATTTATTCGATCTTTATAATAAACACATGTATTCATGAATGTCTATTTGAAGATTTGTAAGGCAGCATCAAGTATTTTGTAAAGAATGTGAACTCTAGCGTCAGACAAACCTCGCTCTGGATGCTTCTTTTAAATGGTTATTTCTTAAATAATCATGCAGTAAGATTGACCTGTTTGGTGTACAGTTATAAATTTTAATAAATGTAAATATTTGTGTTGCCACCACCGCAATCAGAATAGAGAACAGTTCTGTTATCGCAAAAACTTCCCCATGCTATTTTACCCTCACCCTTAACTCTTGGCAAACTTTGGATTTGCTTTTTCTCTCCATCACTATATTTTTTATTTTTTTGAGAATGTTGTATAAATGGAATTATACAACACATAGTTTTTGAGACTGACTTCTTTCATTCAGCATACTGCCTTTGAGATTCACCTTATTGCATGTATCGATCATTCATTCATTTATAGTGCTGGGTATTGTTACATTATGTGATTGTGCCACTGTTTACCCATATCCCATTTGAGGGCTATTTGGGTTGTTTCCAGTGTGGGGCATTATAAAATGGAGTTGGTTTTTATATTTATCTAGAGTAAATACCCAGGAGTGGGATTGCTGGGTTACATGCTAAATGCATAAACTTTGTAAGAAACTGCTAAACTTTTCTCCAGAGTACATTTTGAATTCCCACCAGCAGTGTATGAGAGTTACAGTTACTCTATATCTTTGCCCGTACTTGTTACTGTCAGAATTTTTAAAAAATTTTAGCTATTCTACTGGGTGTATTTACTTAACACTAGGTAACAAATGTTTTCTCCTCTGTTTTTTTTCTGAAAGCTTTATAACTTTATGTTTTATATTTAGATCTATAATTCATTTGTGTTAATTTTTTGGAAAATGTGTAGGGTTACATTCAGGTTCTTTTCTGGGCTTTTGGATGTCCAATTGTTTCATCATCATTTGTTGAAAAGACTATCCTTTTCCCGTTGAATTGCCTTTCAATTTGTCAAAAATCAGTTGTTCATGTTTGAATGGCTCTATTTCTGCCCTAGCTATTCCATTCCATTGATCTAGGTGTCTATCCTGTCATCAATCCCACACTGTCTTAGTTACTGTAGCTTTATAGTAATTCTTAAAATTGAATTGTGGAATTCCTCGAATAGTATTATTTTCTTTTTTCCACCAATCAAGCTGATTACCCTACCCATCACCTCACATATTTCCTTTTTTTTTTTTTTTGACAAGAACACTTAATATCTGTTCTCTTAACAAACTTCAAGTACTGTAGACAATACATTATTATTGACTGGAGTTACCACATGTTGTACATTAGATTCCCAGAACTTATTTATCTAATACATTTTATTTTTGATCCACATCCACCTCCAACCCCTGCCAACCACCATTCTACTATTTCTATGAGTTTGAATTTTTTTAATTCCACATACCAGTAAGATTTTGTAGTATTTGTTCTGTGTCTGGCTTATTTCACGTAATAAGTGAATGTCCAACAGGTTCACACACGTTGCCGCAAATGGTAGGATTTCCTTCTATTTTAAGGCTGAAAAGTATTTCATTGTATATATTATATGTACATTACATTTTCTTTATCCATTCATCCATCAGTGGACATTTGCATTGATTCCATATCTCAGCTATTGTAAATAATGCTGCAATGAACACAAGAATGTCTCCTTGTCACACTGATTTCTTTTCCTTGGGATATATACCCAGAAGTGAGATTGCCGGATCATATGGTAGCTCTATTTTTAGTTTTTTGAGGAGCCTCCACACTGTTTTCCTTAAAAACAGTACTAATTTATATTCCCACCAACAGTGTACAAGGTCTCCCTTTTCTCCACAACCTTGCTGATACTTGTTATTTTTTTACTTTTCAGTAATAGCCATTCTAACAAGTGTGAGGTGATAGCCATTAGGTTTTGATTTGCATGATGATTAGTGATGTTGAGCAATTTTTCATATACCTGTTTGGCATTCGTATGTCTTCTTTGGAAAAATGTCTCTTTTTGCTCATTTTTACTCAGATTGTTTGCCATTGAATTGTATTGAGTCCCTTGTATGTTTTGGATATTAGCCCCCATCAGACATATGGTTTGCAAATATTTTCTCCCATTCTGTAGGTTGTCTCTTGACTCTGTTGTTTCTTTTGTTCTGCAGAAACTTTCTAGTTTGATGTAGTTTCACGTTATTTTTGCTTTTGTTGCTTGTGCTTTGGGTATCACATTCAAAAGACCATTGTCAAGACCCATGTCAAGGAGCTTTTTCCCTATGTTTTCTTCCAGAATTTTAATGGTCTTACACTTAATTAGGGTCTTGTGTTTAATGTCTTTAATCCTTTTTGAGTGGATTATTGTGTGTGATGTAAGATAACCATGCAATTTCATTCTTTTGTCTGTGGATATCCGATTCTCCTAGTACCATTTACTAAAGAGCCATTGCATATGTTCTAAATCATTTTTGCTTTCTTAGTTCCTTTGCCTTTCCATATAAACTTTTAAATTAAGTATTGATAAATATAAGATTTCTTGATAAAATGTTTATTAGAATTGCATTAAATCTCTAGATCAACTTGAGGAGAATCAGCATGTTTACTGTGTTCATTCTTCTAATCCCTGAGCATGATATGTTTCTCCATTTATTTAGGTCTCCTTTTACTTTTGTCATCAGCATTTTTAAGTTTTCATCATACAGATATTATACATATTTTGCTATATTTACAGCATTTTGTGCTGTTATAAATGGCATTTTTTAACTTTTATTTCTAATTGCTCATTGCTAATATATAAAAATACAATTGGTTTTTATATATTGGCCTTGTATCTTAAACTCACTTTGCATGCTAAACTTACCTAGTTCTAGGAGACCTTTGTAGGTTTCTTGGGATTTTCTATATAAACAATTATGTTGACCTCGAATAGAAGCAGTTTTATTTCTTCCTTTCCAGTCCACATGCCTTCTTATTTTCTTGCTTTATCTCACTAGTTGGGACTTCCGGTTTAGTGTTTAATAGGAGTGGCTGAATAAACATCCTTCCCTTTTTTCCAGTCTTAGTGAGGAAGCCTTCATTTTTCATAATTAAATATGTTAGATGTAGGGTTTTTGTAGATGCCCTTTATCAGTTTCAGGAAGTTTCTATTTCTAGTCTGCTGAGAGTTTTCATCATGAATGCATATTGAATTTTGTCACATACTTTTTCTACATCAATTTATATGAATATATGGTGCTTCTTATTTAGACTCTTCATATGGTAGATTATATTGATTGATTTCTGAATATTCAACTGCTTTACATCTCTAGATGGCTTATTATCCTTTTTACATATTGTTGGATTTGTTTTCATATTTGAGTGTTTTGTGTCTACGTTCATGAAGAATAATAATGTGTAGTGGGGGTTTCTTGGACTGTATTTGCTGGATTTTGGCATCATGGTAGTGCTGATCTAGTAAAATAAGCTGGAAAGGGCTTCCCTCTTTTCTATTTTCTGGAATTCATTGTATAGAATTGGTTTTATCTGTTTTTTAAATATTTGGTAGAATTAACCTGTGAAACCATCTGAGCCTGGATATTTCTTTTTTTGGAAGGTTGTGTTTTACTATAAATTCAATTGTTTTCATAGTTATAGGACTACTCAGAATGTCTATTTTATCTTGGATGAGCTATGCTAGTCTGTGGTTTTTAAGAATTGATCCATTTCATATAAGTTGATGATTCCATGCATGTAGAGTTATTTGTAGCCTCCTTATCATCCTTTTAAGGTCTACGGGGTCTGTAGTTATATTCCATCTTTCATTCCTGCTACTGGTAATTCTGTGTGTTCTCTTTTTTCTTTGGTAGTCTTTCTGAAGGTGTAGTAATTTACTGACCTTTCTAAAGAACCTAATTTCTTTTTACTGGTATTTGCATGATATATCTTTTTCCATCCTTTTACTTGTTATCTACTAATATCACTACACATGAAGAGAGTTTCTTATAAATAGCTTATAGTTAGGTCATGTCTTTTTATGCATTCTGATCATTTGTCTTTGTATTAATGTGTTTTGGCCATTTTCATTTATTGATATCATTGGCATGCTTGGATTTAAGTCTACAAATTTTTATTTGTTTTCTGTTTGGTTTTTGTTCCTCTGTTTTCCAATTCCTGGCTTGGATTATGTGAACAGTTTTCAGTATTCCATTTTATTTGTTGGATTTTTTTAAAACTATGTTTCTTTTTATAATTTTTTAGCACTGTCTCTAGGGAATACAATATACATATCTAACTTTTCACAGTCTACTTAGAATTAGTGTTTTACCACTTCTTGAGTGCAGAAATTTACCACTACCTAGGACTTTTCATCCTCTCTTCTTTATGTCACGCTTGTCTTACATATTGCAGGTATATACTTGATAGATGTCAGATAAAGCCATAATTTTTGCTTTCAATGATTAAAAACATTTTAAACAACTTACGGGAAAAGAATGGGCTTTTATATTTACCCAGATATTTATCATTTCTACTGCTCTTTCTTCATTCCTAACATTCTATGTGTTCTTCAACATCGTATCCCTTCTGTCTTTTGGCAATTTTTTTAGAGTAGATCTCCTAGCAATGAATTTCTTAGTTTTTCTTTATCTGACAAAGAAATCTGGGGGACATTTTCAAACCATAGCATCTATGGAATCTAAAAAAGTTTAATTTATAGAAACAGAGTAGGATGTTTGTTACCAGGGGCTAGTGAGTGGGGTGGGGGGAATATCTTTATTTCACCTTCATTCATAAAAGATATTTTCACTTGATCTATAATTCTGGGTTGACTTTCCCTACTTTCAGCACTTTAAAAATGTGTCACTTCCTTCTAGCCTTCATGGTTTCTTTTTTTCTTTTGTGTTTGTGGCCAGGGGTCGGGGGAGGAGGTAAGAATATTTAATATCTAACCTGTTTGCAGTTTTCAAGCATACAACATGTTATTATTAACTATAGTCACATGCTGTATAATAGATCTCTGGAAATTATTTATCCTGTTTAACTGAAATTTTGTACCCTTTGACCAATATGTCCCTATTCCCCTTTCCCCACTCCCTAGACCCTGGTAAACAACATTCTACTCTGTTTCTATGGATTCAACTTTTTTAGATTTCATAGATGCTACGGTTTGAACATGTCGCCCAAATTTCATGTGTTGGAAATTTAATCCCCAATGCACAGTGTTGGAAGATGGGTCCTAATAAAAGGTGATTAGGTTATGAGGGCTCTGCCTTCATGAATGGATTGTCATTATCATGGGAATAGGTTCATTATCTCAAAAGTGAGCTTGTAAAAGCAAGTTCAGCCACTTCTTGCTCTTGCTCTCCCTATCTCTTGCATTTCTGCCTTTCACCACAGGATGAGGCAGCATGAAGGCCCTCACAAGATGCTGGTGACATGCTCTTGGAATTCCCAGCCTCCAGGACTTTGAGCCAAATAAATTTCTGTTCATTATAAATTACCAGCCTCAGGTATTCTGTTATAGCAGCACACAATGGACTAAGGCAACATTTAAGTGAGATCATGTAAGTCTGTCTTCCTTTGTCTGGCTTATTTAAGTTAGCATAATGTCCTCCAGGTTCATCCATGTTGTCACAAATGACAGGATTTCCTTCTTAAGGCTGAAAAATATTCCATTGTGTATTTTACCACATGTTCTTTATCCATTCATCTGTTGATGAACATTTAGATTGACTGTATGTCTTGGCTATTGTGAATAATGCTGGAGTGAACATAGGAGTATAGATATCTCTTTGACATACTGATTTCATTTCCTTTAGATATATTCCCAGAAGTAAGATTGTTGGATCATATGGTAGTTCTGTTTTTAATTTTTTCAGGAAATTTCATACTGTTTTCCATATTGGCTGTACCAATTTGCATTTCAATTAGCAACATAAAAGGATTCTCTTTTCTCCATATCCTTACCAACACTTGCTATCTTTTGTTTTTTTCATAATACACATTTTAACAGGTAGAGATGATATTTCATGGTGGGTTTTTTTGATTGCTTTGTTTTTGTTTTTTGTTTGTTTGTTTTGAGACAGGGTTTCTCTCTCTCACCCAGGCTGCAGTGCGGTGGCATAATCTGGGACTACAGGCACGCACCATCATGCCCAGCTAATATTTTTATTTTTTGTAGAAATGAAGTTTTACCATGCTGCCCAGGCTGGTCTTGAACTCCTGGGCTCAAGCAGTCTGCCCACATCAGCCTCCCAAAGTGCTGGGGTTAGAAGCATGAACCACCACGCCTGGCTTCATTGTGGTTTTAACTTGTGTTTCCCTGATAATTAATGATGTTGAGAATTTCTCACATACCTATTGGCCATCCGTATGTCTTCTTTTAAGAAATGTCTATTCAGGCCCTTTGCCAAGTTTTTTAAAGTTTTATTTTGTTTTAATTGACACATAATAACTATGCATATTTATGGGGTACAGTGTGATGTTCTGATACATGTATACATTGTATAATGACCAATCAGGGTAATAAGCATATCCATCACCTCAAGCACTTGTCATTTTTTTCTGGTGAGAACATTCAAAATCCTCTATTTTATAGTTACCCTACCATACTTTGCCCATTTATTGAATTGAGTTGTTTTCTTGGTATTGAGTTGCTTGAGTTCCTTATCTATTTTGGATATTTACCCCTTATCAGATGTATGGTTTACAAATATTTTCTCTCATTCTGTAGGTTGTCTCTTCACTCTGTTGTTTCCTTTGCTGTGCAGAAGTTTTTTGGTTGATGCAATCACATTTGTCCAGTTTTGCTTTTGTTGCCAGTGTTTTAGGGTCCATAGCCAAAAAATCATTGTCCAGACCAATGTCTGGAAGCTTTCTTTCTCTGTTTTCTTTTAAGTAGTTTTACAGTTTCAAGTCTTACGCTTAAGTCTTTAATCTATGTTGAGTTGATTTTTATACACTAATATAGTTTGGATATTTGTTTCCTCAAATCTCATGTTGAAATGCAATCCCCATTGTTGGAGGTGGGGCCTAGTAGTAAGTGTTTCCATCCTGGTGGCATATCTCTCATGAATGGTATAGTGCTGTCGCCTTGGTAGTGATTTCTCATGAGATCTGGTTGTTTAAAAATGTGTGGCACATTTTCCTTCCCTCTCTCTCTTGCTCCTGCTCTTACCATGTGAGATGCCTGTTCCCCTTTTGCAATCCACCATGACTGTAAGCTTCCTGGGGCCTTCACCAGAAGTCTATGCCAGCACTATGCCTCCGGTACAGTCTGCAGAACAGTGAGCCAATTAAACTTCTTCTTTATAAATTACCCTGCCTCAGGTATTTCTTTATTGTAACACAAGAATGGCTTAATACATACACAATGCAAGATAAGGATCTAACTTTCTTCTTCTGCATGCAGAGATCCAGATTTTTCCAACATCAGTTATTGACAAGACTATTCTTTCCCTATTGTATGTTCTTGGCACCTGGCCTTCATGATTTCTAATGACAAATACACAGTCATTCTAATTGTTGTTCTCCATAAACAATGCATTATTTTTCTTTGGCTGCTTTGAAATATTTTTTCCTTGTCTTTAGTTTTCAGTGGTTTATGATGTGTCTAGACATTGATTTCTTTGGATTTGTCTTGTTTGGGATTTCCTTAGCTTACTGAACCTGTACATTCTTGTTTTTTTTATATATATGGAAAGTTATCAGCCATTATTTCTTTAAATTTTTTTTGACTGGGTCTTGCTCTGTTGCTCAGGCTAGAGTATGGTGACACAATCATAGCTCACTGCAGCCTTGAACTCCTGGGCCCAAGCCATTCTCCAACCTCAGCCTCCTGAGAAGCTGGGACTACTGGTGCAAGCCACCATGGCCAACTAATTTTTGAAAAAAAAAATGTTTTAAGAGACAGGTCTCACTATGCCTCCTAGGCTGGGCTCAAACTCCTGGGCTCAAGTAGTCCTTCCACCTGGGCCTCCTCAATCCCTGGAATTACAGGCATGAGCCACCACACCTGGACTTCTTCAAATAATTTTTTTAGCAATATGCCTTTTCTACACTCCATGAGACTACGATAAACCAAATGTTAACCCTTTTGTTATTACCCCACAGGTCCCTGACTTTAATTTTTAAAGTTCTAATTGATATAGTTATATTAATATCTGCATATTTGTAACTTTCCTATCCATTGCTTTTATTCTTTGTTTTTCCATCTTTCTACCTTCTCTGATTTTAACAGGTCATGTTATGATTTCATTTTCTCTCCTCTCAGCATATAAATTATACTTTTTAGAAGGCTAGTTGTTTACCTAGAGTTTACAATATATATCTTTAACTAATGTAAGACTACCTTCAAATAACCCTATAGCACTTCATGTGTAGTGTAGGCACCTTATAATTCTCAATTCCTCCCTCTCATCCTTTGTGACATTGCTGTTATTCATTTCATTCATTTGTGCTGTAATCACTCAATACATTGTTATTACCATTTATTTAAACACTTATCTTTTAACTCAACAAGAAAAATGATTTACCTTCATTTATTGCTTCTCTAATACTCTTTATTTCTTTCCGTAGATATGAGCTTCTGACATATATTATCTGCTGAGGAACATCTCACAACATTTTTGCAGGTCAAGTCTGCTAGTGATGAATTCTCTGTTATTTGTTTGTCTGAGAAAGGCTTTGAAGGATAATTGTGTTGGGTATAGAATTCTAGGTTGGTGGTATTTGTCTTTCAACCCTTTAAATATTTTACTTCACTCTCTTCTTGCTTGTGTAATTTCTGATAAAAAGTCCACTGTCATTCTTACCCCTGTTGCTCCTTAGGTGGGGTGTTTTTTTCCCCCTCTGGCTTCTTTCAATATTTTGTCTTTGATTTTCTGCAGTGTGAGTATAAGCCTTGATGTGGGTTTGTTGGTATTTATCTTGCTCAATGTTCTTTAAGCTTCCTAGATATGTGTTTTGATGTTTCTCATTAGTATTGGAAAGTTTGGGGACATTATTACTTCAAATATTTCTTCTGCTCTGTTCTCTATTTCTTCTCATTCTGGCATACTATATTGCCACAGTTCTTGGATGTTCTTTCATGTTCTGTTCTGATTCGTTATCATCTTTTTCTCCTTGTGTTTTATTTTGGAAAGTTTATATTGCTCTAAATATTGGAAGTTTACTGACTCTTCCCTCAGCTTTGTAAAGCCTATTGATGAGCCTCCTAAGACTTCCTCATTTCTGTTGCAATGTTTTTCATTTATATAGAGCATTTTCTTTTAATTATTTCTTAGAGTTTCTATTTTTCTGCTACATTACCCATTTGTTCTTGCATATTGTCTACCTTTTTCATTACAGCCCTTAACATCTTAATCATAGTTACTTTCAATTCCCTGTCTGATAATTCTGATATCTATGTTATATTTGAGTCTTATTCTGATGATTGCTTTATCTCTTCAGACTACTTTTTGTTGCCTTTTGTCATGGTTTGTAATTTGTTATTGAAAGCAGACACATTGTGTGGAATAATAGGAACTAAGATAAATAGAATTTAGTGCAAGGATTTATATTAATCTCTATGGAGTTGAGCTGTGTTTAATGTTTTCTCTAGCTATACGTGCCAGAACCTTCATAGTGTTATTGTTTTGTTACCTCTTGACTTTAGACTCCCCTAAGTACTCCTGCTAAGAAGAACCTGTGTCTAGCAATCCTTTCAGTTGTAACCTACTGTTATTATACTGGTACCCTGTTGGTGTGATAGTAAACTGTGGGAAGGGAAGGACATTCTGTAATCCTCTGATTAACTCTCCATCATTTATGGATCTATGTCTCATGATTGTGATCTTCAAAGTTTTTCTCTTTGTGAAGTATTCTTCCCTAGATGCAGTATTCCTGCTTTGTTTCCTTGAAGCCCTGACCCCTGCTAACTATGATATTTCTCCTTTAGTTGAGACAGGACGACTGGAGGGGGCTGGAATAAGAGGAATTTCTTTTCCCTAGCTGGAATAAGGCTCTGGAAAAGTCCTTTCCCCTGGAATGTAGCCCTTTGTTATGGAGAAGGCTCTGAGTGTATTTCACAATGATTATTCTTCCGCTCCCCTGCCAAAGCCATGAGGGGATCTTTGTCGGCTCTTTGCTGTGAGTACCTGGTGAGGTTCCTAGAGATAAGGCCCAGGAAAGACTGCAGTCACTGGGAATTTCTCATTCTCTTAGTTATCCACAATCTCAATCTCCAGCAATTTGTAAAATTTACCATTTAATTGGTCCCACCAGTCTATGACTCCACTGGCTTCTGCTCCAGGCAAGATGATCTCAGCTGTGTCTCTCTGAATGTGCTTGTCTCTCTGACTTAAGGGTTGTGTTTACCCCTGTAAACTCAGTTATCTGATGGGTCCAAGAAAAGTCATTAATTTTTAGTTTATCTAGCTTTTCTTGTTGTAAGATCAGGAGTGGTAACTTCCAAGCTCTTTACATGTGGAGCTGAAATTGGAAGACTCTTTGCTAATATATTTTTTACTCCTTCTTTCCTGTTTACCTCAGATAATTTCTATTGATCTATCATTAAGCTCACTGACTTCTTACTCTGTCGTCTCCATTCTGCTATTCAGTCCATCCAGTGAGTTTATTTCAGTTATTGTATTTCCCAATTCTAAAATGTCCCCTTGATGTGTCTTTATACCTTCTGTTTCTTTGCTATGACTTTCTACTTTCCCATTCATTTCAAGAGTGTTTGGAGTTACTTGTTGGAGGATTTTTATAATAGATGCTTTGAAGTCTTTGTCAATTATTAGAGCATCAGTGTCATCTTTGAATTGGCTTTCATTGATTGTTTTTTTCTCAGGTGAAAAAAGTCTCCATTTTTCACTCAAAATGCCAAGTAATTTTGAATTGCATCTGGACATTTTTAATATTGTCTTATAAAAATCTGGGACTGGTTTAAATCCTACGGAGAATGTTGATGTTTTTGTTTTACCTGGCAATCAGCCTCATTGAGTTCAGGCTGCAAGTTCTAACTCATTTCCTGTGGGCTATGGTTTTGAGTTTCTTCAGTTTTTTAAGCCTTTTTCAATGATATTCAGATCCATCCTGCATATGCACCACCCGGTGGTCAGTCTGGGACCTGGGCAGCAGGCTATCTGTTACTTCACTTCCCAGAGAATTCTACGTGCTGATTGGGACCGGATCCATGCATGCACAGTTCAGGGGTAAGCCCTGGAGTTCATAAATAATTTTATAGGGGTCACTTCCAAAGCTCCTTCCTCTTCATAATCTTTTAAGTAGTTTCTGGTACTGGGAACTCCTGGGAAAATAATTCCCAGTACCTTCAGTCCTCTGGCCAAAAAGCTAAGGCTTCAGTTACTTCAATCTAGCATAGCAACAGGAGTTTGCACTGTCAGGCAAATTCTCTTAGGACCACAGTTCTATAGATCAAAGGAAAGCTCACCTCTCTGAAAATTTTGGCTTTCATACCCATGCCATTACCACAGAATTGCTTAAGATAAGACTGCAAGAGAAAGGAGAAAATATTTTAAAAAGAAAAGAAAAAGAAAAATGAGTGATATTCCTCACCCTCTCTGAGTGTTAGGAGTTCCCTCTGCTGCTTCTCAGTCCAGAAGTAGAGGGTTTCTCCTGAAGCTCTCTCTGCACCATGGCACCCACTTCTGGGTTTTGGGTTGCACTGAGTTTAAGCCAGAGAGAAAAAAATCAATGGCCTGATCAGAGACACTTCAAATTCTGGTTTTCTTTCCCGATTCACCAACTACTATTCACTTTGCAGGGTCTTCAAATAACTGCTCCATGCATTCTATTCAGGTTTTATAACACACTCACTGGGAGAGACAAGGTGGTTTATGCTTAATTCATCCTAGTAAGAACCAGAATTTGCTACACACTTAATAATCAGATAATTTCCAAGCCTCAATCTCTTCATCTGTAAATTGGTAATGACAATAATTTTTATGATTAGAGTTTGTGGAGAGCAAAGGAACCAATAAACATTACAGTGTGTTTAACAAATGTTAGCTGTTGTTATTATTTTTATTAGATGCTGTTGCTGTTGCTGCTGCTGCTGCAAAGCTGAAAAGGCACATAGGAAAGCAGTAGAAAGAGGCAAAGGAGAAGTGGTACCATCAGCAAATGTTAAAACAAACAAGGAGAGTGTGTTTTCTATTTCACACTTAAATAGATCATTTATACAGGATACATTTTGCTTTGTCATGAAACATTACATCTATATGAACAGTATGTCATGCAGCAAACGCTTGTAGGCAGCACCAATGTCTTATTGTGTGATTTCTTATACCAAAGTATGTACAATGTTTTCAGTGGACATTTTATTCCTTCTGTATTGTCTGGAAGAAAGATAGAGGGGAGAAAAGCTCCCCTGTGTGTGATGGCCTGGATGCAGATATGGAGTTCACAGAGATAGATGTAGAAGTGGAAAAGTCTTTATAACCTTCTTTCTGCCTAATCCATTCCATCTACAAGATAGGTTTATATAGTCATTCTCTTTGGTACAAAATTCATCCATTTATCCCAGAGTTGACATTCTTAAAGTAAGAATAATTTTATTCTTGTTTTATTATTCGTGTAATACTTTTTAAGTGTTATTTAAAATGTTACAGGGGCAGTGCTAATAGATTATAAGTGGTGGGTGGTGGTGTTGTGGGAATGAATCTAGGCCTTCCATTTCTATCACCCTAAGGAAAGAATTGCCTTTTATATGTCTTTTGGCTGTAAGTTGGACTTTTCCTGGAATGTAACTTTGATATACAATGTGCTTCTCTGTACTGAGGCTCATTGCCATATTGATAGCCTATATACTCCCCCCAGGGACACCAAAGCAAGGGAGGGTGGCATCCTTTCCACATCAGCTGAGATCGGGTGAATTGTTTAGCTGTGGGGAGTATATGGTAGGATGAATAGGAATTTTTTATTCAGACACAGTTGGGTCAAATTCTGGCTCCTCTACTTTTTGTTTTTGAAGTTAGGTAAGCTATTTAAACTCTCTGAAACTCAGTTTCCTCATCTGTAAAAGGAGGTTAATAATACTTAGCACAAAGAGCTTCTTTGGTGACTAAAAAGAACATATGTATTGTGTGTATCCTGTGTGCATAAGTACATTTATGGAATATTGAGGGTACCTTGGGTAAAATGCAGATGCCCCATGTATGCCCATTTATTAGGGTTTAGAACTCAAAGATTATTTCAATGAATATTTATAATTGTTTAATCTTTGTGTTTATGACAATCCAACCTAAAATCCAATTTCTAATAGAACATCTCAGTGAAAAGTAGGGACTTCTATACTGTTAAAGATGTTTTTAATGCTTCAGTAACAAGCCCAGCTTATTGTTCAGAAAATAATTGTTATAAGTGGAATTCACTGTAAACAAGGCACCTTGTGCCAGCCATAAACATGTCATTTGGCCTTGACTTAACCAACACTAGTCTCTGTTCCATGGGACTATCCCCAAAGAGAACTATAGGGTCAGTGACTATTCCTTGCTGGTGGGAGCTTCCTTTGCTGTATCTTGACCTCTGTAAAATGCTAATGTAAAAGAGGCTGTATGTATAGCTCTTTACATCTGTGGACCCTTAAGAATAAAGACTATTAAAATAGCTACTCTATATAGGGTGACTACTTCCATCTGCCAGGGTTTTGCTCAGCACTGAGCTAACATTTTCTCAAATAATCCTTCTGACACCTCTAAATGCTGAGCCACTTTACAAATAAGGAACCTGAGGCTTAGAGCCTTTAAATAAGTTACCCAAGGATGTACAGTTTACACACTGCAAAGCAGGGAATCAGGCCAGCTCTAGCTGATTCTAAAACCCATACTCTTAACCACCATCCTACCTACAAATTCTTCAGTTTATTACCTCTTGCTGGTTGAGTCTCACTAACCAAAACTGAACATTCTGGACCTGTGAGGCATTGGTTATACAAGGTTCTCCTGTTTTTATCAACAATAAGAACCAAAGTTAGTCATTTTAGGCACAATAAGGTCAAAATCCATTTCAACTTCCAAGCGTCTTTCCAAATTCTTTTGTTGCATTTACATTTTGTTGAGTTAAACAAAGAGGCATTCACCCAAAACCTGACTTTTCTTTTCTTAAAGTGTTTCTAATAGGATTCATCTCAATATGATCTTCATGACACACAGAAATAAAAGGCAAAGAAACTAGCCACTGCTATTTAAGGAAGTGAAAACAGTTCATCGAAAGTATTCCTAAAGGATGATATATTTAGATAAATTAGGTTAAAACCTTCCATTTAAAAATCTTTTACAACACATAAAATGCTTTTGCAGCTGGTGGGGAGTAGGGTTTGGGCCCATATATAAGCTCTTCTAGAAAAAGAAACTCAACCTTAAACAATTAAGTAACTTGCCAAGCTCATATAACTACAAGGTGGTGAATCAGAACTGGAAAATGAATCTTCCAAATATAGGTCCAGTTTCCTATAAGAAGAACAAGAAGACGTGGTATTTCCCAGAAGTTAATTTAAGTAGAAAACACTATTGGAGACGCTTTGTGCTAAAAAACAGTTGAGTTTGATTTTGTTGTTACCCATTTTAATGTATAAGATACTAAATACTATCTCTGTTATCGTTATACAATTACAGTATTGTGGTACTGTTATTATTTTATAAGTCAAGACATAAGATTAAAAAGGTAACTTGTCCAGAGAATGATGAAAATAAGTGATTGGTTACAGATGAGGACACAGATACAGATCTTGTTATTGAGCAATTGACATTTTAAGGAATTTTCTTGGCTGAATATATTGGTATGATTCTAGGTGACTATTTCTCTTTTATCATATAAGCTACATGTCATTGTTTAAAAGCTTTGGCTTCAGTCAGTCACAGGCCATTGTGGAGAGAAATGTATAGCACATACTGTATTAGAACCTCATTTTCTATTTTGGGAAAGAAAAGAATAATATGAATGCGAGCTTTTTATGTACATAAAAAGGTTAAGAGAATTATATTGGGTAGTGGAATATTGCACTTCAAGATTTACACACTTCAAATAGAAATGCATTAGATATGTTAATATGCCTAAATGCACAAAAGGAATTTAAATATTATGATTAATTATCACCTGTTGACAAATAACATTTTATACTTAATGTTAGAGAAGAAATATTTTTCATGAAATGGCCAGTTCCAATAAATATGCCAAACGTGCCTGTAAATAAAAGGCGATAATGTTAGTCAGCACCTTATGAACTCTCTGAATTCAATCTACTCTAAGTAATGTGAGTGCTAAAGAGAAGGGCAATAATAAGAACACAGTGACAGAAGGAAGAGCTACAGCTTTCTCCTAAACTTAAGGGGGAGATGTTCCAGGTCTGAAGAGAAAGGCACATGCATGGTTTGGCTCACCATTTTTGCTTTCTTGAAGCTGCAATTAATTTTCAAGAGGAAGTCACAAAACATATATCTGCATGTTCCTGGGTAGAGACCTAAAACTCCCAGGCTTTATCAGAGGCTTAAATAAAGTGTTTCTTTGGTCAGAAGCATTTTTCCTTTCGAGAGAAAGCTTATGTTTTGACTATTAGGTGTAATTTCAAAATGATCTATATATTTTATAGTATAGATTATTATTAGGTTTTAGCTGTGGGTATTTAACAAATCTAATGAATAAATAACATTTTCTGTCCCATTTTTCTATTTAAAACAAATACTAATGATTCACTCCACCACATTATGACCACTAAAGGACCAAGAATGTGAAGAACAAATATCACTGTGAAATACAGTTCCCCCAACTCCAGAAAAATAGGAAAAATGACTGATTCCTTTAATGTGAGCAGGCTACCTATTCCTCAACATTAGTGCATTACATTTGCTTTTAAAATTATCCAACTGGAATGCAGGGACAACCCATCCTTTCCCTCTTCAGCTTCACAGCATTGAATTAAAATGAAAACATCTATCATATTTAAGATTTGCTAGGGTTTATCTAGGTTTTTTAACACAAAAATTTGACTGTGTCCCCACCCAAATCTCATCTTGAATTCCCATGTGTTGTGGGAGGGGCCCGGTGGGAGATAATTGAATCATGGGAGAAAGTCTTTCCTGTGCTGTTTTCCTGTGCTGACAGTGAATAAGTCTCAGAAGATCCAATCATTTTATAAAGAGGAGTTCCCCTGCATGAGTTCGCTCTCTTTGCCTGCTGCCGTCCATGAAATACGTGATTTGCTCCTCCTTGCCTTCCACCATGATTGTGAGGCTTCCCCAGCCACGTGGAACTGTAAGTCCAATTAAACCTCCTTCTTTTGTAAATTGCCCAGTCTCTGGTATGTCTTTATTAGCAGTGTGAAAATAGACTGATACACCCAGCATCCTTTTATATCCACAGGACAAGGATAACTGATGTTTCATAATGATGATCCTAAAGAGGAATAAGATTCTGCAGAATATTATAAAACATTAAATCAAGAATAAATTATGATAGTTATCATGTAGAGCTAAGCATATTTTATTACAATTTGAAAATTATCTGAGTATTATGTACATTTCAATATTGTTTTCAGAACAATTGAGGCATCAAGCATGCAAGTAACAAAGCTTGGGCAGTTCAGAAAAGTGGTCAAGTGTATACCTGCCGAGTTTGATCAATTTGCTTTGGAATCCCAGTTCTGCTTCTTACTAGTTGTGTGACTTTAAGCAGTAATTACCCCAGTTTTCTCATCTTAAAAATGAGGATTATATTAGTATCTACTCTACAGAGTCATCATGAGGCTATCAGATCATGGAGGCAGAACATTTAGCACAAAGACAGACACAAGATAAACACTCCAAGAGAATAACTAATATTATATTTTAGACTTACTATTGTGGGAATATGAGAAAATGTCTAATCATTTGTGTAGTTAGGGAAATACAAAACAAAAATATCCTCAAATGGAACTGACACAAAGAGGCTCACTCTGAATTTAACACCAAGAAAGTGCAAAAGAAATTAGCATTCCATATAAATAAGCTCTTTGTGATGACTTTTTTTAAAAAACGAAAGGGAATGTACAGCCCCAATTCACTGAGAGCTGCCAGGGTCATTGCAACATTTGAGGAGGAAAGCATGTAGGGTGAGCAGAGAGGAGCAGGTCAGGGCTATGAATTCAGGCCCAAGGCATCATTCACAGAAGACATTAACTGCAAAGAGGCCCTTCTCCCCTCGCTTCAGGCTGTTAAGTGAGCAGAAACGCAAGAACCACTATCCCTGAAGCTTTTCACTAGCTTGTTTATTTACCCATCAAGAACCATAAGGACCTTTACTGCATAAAATGCCAAGTGTGGTGGTAATAGACATCAAACGATCTATGTCTACCAACAAATAAAAGACTAAAGTAATAAACATAGAGAGATGAGTGTTTAATGACCTTCAACAAATTTTTATTGTAAGATCCGTAACAGTTAACTATATACACTGACATCTCTGACCTGGAGCAGTCTCTGTTTTCAAAGACAGAGAAAGAGGCCCAAATCCTGCCTTGCTATAGTGGCTCTTGAAAACTGGCTTGAGTGTATCAGCCTGGCACAGCTTGCCAAAATTGCCAGGCCCCTGAAACTTCCTCCATGATCATAAAGGTGGAATTTCTCCATGTTGAGCATCTCCCAACCCCATGCCCCAACACAGATACACACACACACACACACACACACACACACACACACACACTCCTTTAACTCTTTTCATAGCTGGATAAAATACTCAAGTCAGCAGATACTTTTAGACCATTTCTTCCCAAAATCAACACATGCAGATGAAGCATAATAAATGCCATCATTCAAGATGCTTTTGAATCTCCATAATCCCCAATCACTGGTCGTAACTTTGTCCTACCAACATCTGGCTATAACTTAAAGTGAATGGTCATTTTGTCAGTGTTAAGATACCTTAGAATGCTTCCTTGTATAGAGATTTTCATTTGTAAACAGAACATAAATAAAGACAGAAGAAAGCAATAATTGCTTCTCTGTTAAACATCACAGATTATAAAATCACCACAGCACAAAGCTAGAAAGGTAGCACAAAGATGTTAATTTCCTTTTAGGCCCACTGCCTAGTTTTCCTTCAGCACCATAAGGCTTCATTTGGGTCCACAGTCTATGTGCCAGGCCTTAAATTCAAGCCTGGATTCATGATTCTTCACCAGAAACAGGGGAGCAGTTTTGAGAACTCATGAGACTCAGATTCATGGAGATTCTGAAATAAGGAGGCTACTTCTCTTTCTCTCTTTGGTTTGGCCGGCAGCAGATGTCAGCCCTGAAACAGACCTAATATAACACACAGCCAGTCTTCCAGTAGTGTGGGCTTTGAGGGAAGAGGTTACTTGTTATTTTGTGTGTGGGCGTGGTAGGGGATATGACACTAAGGTACATAGTAAGTGCTCAATAAATGTTCACTAAATTCATGTCTATGATACATTTCTTTGAAGACCAAATGGAAAAATGGTGATAGTTTTTTCTTCATGGTTTCTGAAATATAAGATTAATATATTAGCAAAATAATAAAAGGATTTCACATGCCTATAATCCCAGCACTTTGGGAAGCTGAGGTGGGAGGATTGCTTGAAGTCAGGAGTTCATGACCACAGCCTGGACAAAATAGTGAGATCCAGTCTTTACAAAAAAAAGAAAACAAACTAATTTAAAAATTAGCTACAGGCAGTGGTAGGCACCTGTAGTCCTGGCTACTCAAGTGGCTAAAGCAGGAGCATTGCTTGGGCCCAGGAGTTTGAGGTTGCAATGAGCTATGATCACACCACTGCACTCCAACCTGGTGACAAGGCAAGACCTTGACTCAAAAAAAAAAAAAAAAAAAAAAGAGGGATTTCAGAAGTTATGAATTCAATTGACAATGGCAGAGGAGTATCAGTTTAGAAGATAAGTATCTGTGTAATCCATGATCTCCAGAATCATTTTAAAAATAATGTAGGCTTTGGGCTTAAGCATGATCCAATTGCTTGTCATTCACAAGCTTCTGTAATTTGAAGAGGATCTTTCCAAAAGCTGGGTAAAACTTAGGGCAGAAGCTCAGTGTCATGGAAATCCATTCTTTGGTCTGCCCAGAACAAAATGCTTCTCTAGGAAATGCTCCTTCTACTATGTGTTTCAAAAAAGCAGTGGCCATATTCTGAGAGATCTTACCTTCCACTTAAAGTAGGTCCAGGGTCAGCCACTGAATCAATATTGGCCAATTGTCCAGCAAATCCCTCTGGCTGTTATGACTGGTCTAGCACTTGACCCAAACAGGTCAATCAGAGTGCTTTCTGAGATGTTTTTATTTTTAGATAAGAAAGCATGTCTTACATATGAAAAAATGCTCATCATCACTGGTCATCAGAGAAATGCAAATCAAAACCACAATGAGATACCATCTCATGCCAGTTAGAATAATGATCATTAAAAAGTCAGGAAACAACAGATGCTGGAGAGGATGTGGAGAAATAGGAACAGTTTTACACTGTTGGTGAGAGTGTAAATTAGTTCAACCATTGTGGAAGACAGTGTGGCAATTCCTCAAGGATCTAGAACTAGAAATATGATTTGACCCAGTGATCCCATTACTGGGTATATACCCAAAGGATTATAAATCATGCTACTATAAAGGCACATGAACACATATGTTTATTGTGGCACTATTCACAGTAGCAAAGACTTGGAACCAACCCAAATGTCCATCAATGATAGACTGGATTAAGAAAACATGGCACATATACACATATGGAATACTATGCAGCCATAAAAAAGGATGAGTTCATGTCCTTTGCAGGGACATGGATGAAGCTGGAAACCATCATTCTCAGCAAACTATCACAAGGACAGAAAACCAAACACTGCATGTTCTTACTCATAGGTGGGAGTTGAACAATGAGAACACATGAATACAGGGTGGGGAATATGACACACCACGGCCTGTTGGGAAGTTGGGGGCTGGGGGAGGGATAGCATTAGGAGAAATATGTAATGTAAATGATGAGTCGATGGGTACAGCAAACCAACATGGCACATGTATACCTGTGTAACAAACCTGCATGTTGTGCACATGTATCCTAGAACTTAAAGTATAATAATAAAAAAAAAAAATTACCTACAAAAAAAAAAAAAACAAGGAAAAAAAAAGAAAGCATGTCTTAGAGCTTCTGTGTCTCTCTGGCAGTGAAATCAAAGATGGGAGTATAATAGTTACTGGGTACCATGTCCCAACGCCGTAAAGAAACTGGTCTGCAGTAGAAGAGGAAGATATTAACAAGCAGAAAGGGGTAGAGCATAACAAGGAATAGACATGGAAGGTGTTGGTGGCATTAGTCCCAGATTCCACTTGTCCTCCTCCCTGCAATCTGATATTTCCACCATATAAATATAATAGATATAAATAAATTCAAGAGATAGGTAACAGCAAAATATAGTAAAATACTTAGGAAGAGATAGGTTGTTTTATGTATTTATTGCCTTTGCTCTTCATGCAATTTATTTAATTGAAAGTTTACATAATTTTTAATGATGACTGTTTAACAACTAGCTTGAAAAATTTCCCATCAGTTCTGGTATGATACAAGCATATGAGCATATAAGTTCTTGTATGAGTGGTACAAGCATATTCATTGAGCATTGGTAACCTTAAGTACATATATATATATATATACACACACACACATATACATACACATACATATACACTAAAGTTTTACATTTTTATGTACTTTATCAAAATTTTGCGGTTTTGGCATTTAGTATTGTATTAGAAAGGTCTCCTCCTGTTAGAATATTATTAAAATATTCATATTTTCTTCCAGCATTTTAATAGTATTATTTTTTCATATCAAAATTGTTAATTTATCTGAAATTTATTTCCATGTAAAGTGTGAGGTAAGGATCTAAACTTTTCCCCCAAATATTAGTCTGTTATCATAATGTCTTTTATTTGAATAAACCATCCTTCTACTTTACCTTTATATTACATTCTAATGAATATTTAGATCCATTCTGTGGACATCTATTCTGGCCCATTGATTGATTTCTACTGTTATGGCCAGTATCACCCTGTTCTAATTAGTGACTCTTTAAAATACATTTTTATCTCTTTTAGAGCACCTTACCCACTACTCTTTTCTGAGCTATTTTTGTGTAATATTATTCCAAATGAATTATATAATTTTTGTCAGATTTCAAAAAATCCCATTAGAACTTTGATTGCATTTGCATTAAATTTTTGCCTCCTCACAATATTGAATTCTGCCATCCAAGAACATGATATTTTATATCTATACCTATATGCCTGTAATCTACATCTATACCTATATGCCTGTAATTCTATCTCCATTTATTCAAGTCTTCTTTTATTTCTAATAGTTCATATATATATATATATATATATATATATATATATATATATATATTCTTTTAATTTGGGTCTTGTACTTTTCTTGTTGTTTATTTCTACCAATATTATATTTTGTTGTTATTACTAATGAAATTTATCATCCTGTTCAATCAGAAATTTTCAGTTAAAAGTACAAAAGGGTCAATTTTGACTATTGCTTTGTTTGTATATTTACAACTGATCACTTTTCTGGCTTTTGTTTGTTTGTTTGTTTTTTGAGATGGAGTCTTGCTCTGTCACCAGGCTGGAGTGCAGTGGCGTGATCTCGGCTCACTGCAACCTCCGCCTCCCGGGTTCAAGTGATTCTCCTGCCTCAGCCTCCCAAGTAGCTGGGACTACAGGCACGTGCCACCACGCCCAGCTAATTTTTGTATTTTTAGTAGAGACAGGGTTTCACCATGTTGGCCAGGATGGTCTCGATCTCTTGGCCTCATGATCCACCCATCTCGGCCTCCCAAAGTGCTGGGATTACAGGTGTGAGCCACTGCGACCGGCCACTTTTCTGGCTCTCTTAATGATTCTATTAGTTCTTTATTTGATTCCTATCTGAAAGTAAAAATGTTTTTACTTTATTTTCAATACTTACACCTCTTACTTCCTTTTCTTGTCTGATTGCATTGTTGAAGACTGCCAAACAACACTGAATAATGGTAAAACTAGACATCCTTGCCTTGTTGCTTCTTTTCATGCAAATTGCTCTAGCTGTTGTCTTCAGATACATTTTTATTATTTTAAAGTATATCATTATAATCTCATTTAACTAAAAGATTTTATCAGTTAAATGTTGATTTTTATCAAATGCTTTCCTGCCTTATGAGAAGACTTATCTGGTTTTTCCTTTATTGTAGTAATAAGTATTCTAATGTTGACCTGTTCTGCATTCCTGAAGGACACCCTACCCTTAAATTAGCGTGATGATTTCTACAGAATAGGTACAAAATATATAGATTAATTTACTAATCAATTGATTGGGAAATGAAAATAAAAGTCGCTGATCCTCACTGTTGTTAGGAAGTGAAATTACTGTGGTTATTTTGTCCTCCTTAGGATAATAAGAACAACAAAGACCCAAATTAATTAGCTCCAAGAATGATGAATGCCAAGGAAGAAATTTTCCTGGATATTAAGTTTCAATTCCTGAGAGAAAGTAGTTACTGGCTTCTAAGTAGATTTTTACATCCCTTGACTTGATAAATGTTAAAGTGAGTATAAAACAACAGCACTCAGAAAGTTGGCCTAATTCAACTACTGTTTACAATGGGTGGACATGTTGGATAGGTTAACATCTGAAAAACAGATGTTCCCTGTTGTGGAAACCTTAGGAGGTATTATTATTCTGTCTAAGAAAGTTTAAGTGGGCTAACGACTTTAGTAGGGACAATTTCCTGTGGCAGAGACTGCGTCTGCCAGATCCATGTTAAAAGTGTGCCAATATGCTGACTTTTGCACCCCATCCACAGTGAATGATTCTCCTTGCTGTTTCCATACTCCAGCCATGAAATCTGAGCCCAGAAGGGGGACTACCTCTTTCTCTCTCAGCTCCCGTACTTCTGTGTAGAACTAGGTCTGACTCACTCCAACTATCCTAATATTCAAAATCTGTCAAGGAAGATGGTAGCCTTGCCCTTGAAATACAATGTCTGGATATTCACATTTCTTTCAGTCAAGAAACACTTCCTGACAACTAGCTTCTATTCCTCAAACTCTCTTTCTCTTATAATTAGTGTTTTAAATTGCTTTCAAAATGCTTCAAAAAAAGTTCTTGCCCTTCTAGCTGGCCTTCCTTATTAGGGATCAAACTAACTGAGAAATTGCTACACAAAATCAAATTCTCCCAGCTTTATTGAGCACCTACTATGTACCAAGTACCAAAGCAGATGCAAGAGGGGACTGGGGAGGGAAAGATTAGGAAACTTTTAGAGTAAAGATGACTCAGACCTGGTTCGTGCCTTAAGAAGCTTGTGAGTTACCTGAGAAGCAAACACCAGAAACAAAATTATTCCCTAAGGGCACTTTCCATGGATTGTGACTTCCAAAGGAGAATCCACATATGGGGGAGTGTTATCTGCAAACACACAATACAAAGCATTTCACGCTACTTGATGTTTATATAGATCATTTTCCAAGAAAATAAAAGTGGTTTATATATGGTTCCTACAACATCTACACAATTCCCTCACCTGCCAAGGCCTCTGCTTCCCTTCATACACACATAGGCCTTTAATTGACTTCAAAGGGAACTTGGTGCATAAAGGGAGAGGCACACAGAGGCTGAAATGCACACACACTGCCATTAATCTCAGAACACTTCTCTGCGCTGAGGAGGCAGGAAGTACTGTTATAGCCCTTTAAAAACAAAGGAATTGGACATAAAGGTTAATCATCTTTCCCAGAGCCAAAATGGTTCCCAGGAGTTTAGCATGGTGGTGAGGTGCTTCAGCTCTGAAGTCAGACAGCTGGAATTTGAATCTTGGTCCCAACACTCATCACCAGTGCAACCTCAAGTAACTGACTTAACCTCTCTGTGGTTTCTTCATTGGTAAGATGGAGATTTTAAAAATGGCTACAATATAAGTTTGTTTTGAAGCCTGAGTAAGTCAAAACCTCTAAAATATTAGAGTACTGATTACCATATACTAATTACTCAATAAGTATTTATAAATATTATTCTGGAAGCAATAGTGCAAATAGCTCCCAGACTTTTGCATAAGTATTAGATTTAGGTCACAGCCAATCCAGCAAGTGAAACTTTCAAGATAGAATTCACCCCAAGCCATCCCACTGAATTAGAAATAACAAAACTGGCTCCAAACTAGCTCAGCAAACCTCAGACAAAAATAAGGGACTCTCCTTCCCTCCCCTACCGTAATGTCTTTGTTTTCATTATCCTGAGTATACAAAACTGAAATATGCTTCAGCTGAAATTATACACTTCCATTGTCATGTTTCTTCTCTTTTTTTATGTCAGGATCACAAAGATGACATAGGACCTGAGAAGTTTCATTTTGCCCCAGGAAGATTACCTGGCTATTTCCAAAGAGATGCTGCACATGAGTCTTGAGGAAGGAAAGAAGAGTTCATTCTTATCACCAAGCTGTAAAAACACCTAAATCAAATTGTCAGGTCATCCTTCAATTCCAGTTAGTTTCATAAGGGATGTATTATTTATACATGATTACAAACTATGCTCTAAAACATCCATACACAAAGCAAAACTGGATATTAAAAACCTCAATCTGTAAAAACTTGCATTCTGCCCCAAACAGACAAGTGGCTGTCATGTGGGAATCTGTGCTATAAATGTACTGCAATGTAATAGAAGAGTAATTAAAAATCCCTAAAGTAGACCACCACCACTACTCAGCAAAACCTTAGATCAGCCTCTGCTAACTTAGGAGGTTAATGCTCGTCAGTCTTCAGTAAACTTCTCAATTCCACTTCTATTTGATTCATTCACCTTACCCCTTTGCATGGTTACAGATGAACACTACTGGCCCCAGGCTGACTGACATAGGTAATAAACTGAACTCGACTGGTGTTGAACATAGGTCCGTGCTCAAGAGCCATTAGCATCAGATGAATTATGACTTCAGGTGACTTGTCCAAAGTCACACAGAAAGTTTTAGTAAGAGATTCACATGTCTGCTTCCTTGGAAACATTTTAAACATTATCCATTACCACTACTAATGGATAAAATGACTCAGGACATATACCAACCGATAATGCACTGGGCATCAAAGCCATTAAAGGAAGAACATAGAAATGTTACTGTTTATATTTTTAATTTGTTTAGGTGTAGAAGAGCCCTGTGAAATAACTGCTCTGATCCCAATAACCACCCCTGTCTGGGAGCTTCCTTCCTTACCCTGCAGGGTAACCCCTTGGCAGCTATGTTTGCACTATATCATCTCTAAAAAAAAAAAAAGGGCAGAGATGGCCTAAGTTGGGCCAATCATATTATCTCTCCTGAGAATATGGTCTCTTCTTGACAGGTTTGAAAATAATATAAAGGGGACTGGAAAACCTAGTCAGGGAACTGCATGTTGTCATCAGGATAACATCACCTTATTCAGAAAATCACTAGTCTTCCTGCAGGGAACAATGGTCTGTGACTGAAGATCCAGCAGCACCGCAGGAAGGTGGCCCTGCCATCAGCTGTCTGTGTGAGGAGCTGAAAACTGAGGCAGGCCTGCCATTCAGGAGGAGGATGCAGCGTCCACGTGGGAGGATGATTCCACCTTGTCGGGAATGTCAGGAAGGTTGCTCCTTCACCTTCCTGGCTCACTCCCTGGGACCACCTTCTGCACTTTCGGGTTTCATCTCAAGACATTTATTTAGCAATTTTCACGTACACCATACCTTATTATTAACTTTATAGTCTCTGTGTTGTACAATAGGTCTCTCGAATGAATTTCTTCTAACTGAAATTTTGTATCCTTTGACAAACATCTTCCCAGTCCACTCTCCATCCCACCCCAGCCTTTGGTAACCACTATTCCACTCTTTGCTTCTATGAGTTTGACTTTTTTTGATTCCATATATAACTGAGAACATGCAGTATTTGTGTTCCTGTGCCTGGGTTGTCTTTCTGTGCCTGGCTTATTTCACTTAACATAATGTCCTCCAGGTTTATACATGTTGCAAATGACAGAACTCCCTCCTTTTTTAAGGCTAAATCATACTCCATTGTGTATATAAACTACATTTTCTTTACCCATTCATCTGTCAATGAACATTCAGGTTGATTCTGTATCTAGACTATTGTGAATAGTGCTGCCATGCACATGGGAGTGCAGAATCTCTTTGAAATACTGATTTCATTTCCTTTGGATATATATTCAGAAGTGGGATTGCTAAGTCATATGACAGTTCTATTTTTAACTATTTGAGGAACCTCCATACTGTTTTTCATAATGGCTGTACTAATTTATCTTCCCACCAACATATGCAAGCATTCCGTTTTCTCCACATCCTCACTATCACTTTATTTTTATATTTTTTATAATAACCACTCCAACACACGTGAAGTGATATCTCATTGTGGTTTTAATTTGCATTTCTCTGATGATTAATGAGGTTGGACACTTTTTTCATATACCTGTTGGCCAGGCATTTCCTTATTCATAGAAAGTGGTAAAATCATCCTCTTTAAGGGATTAATTGTAAATAACTTTAAATGTTACTACTTTAAAGAGTATTTACATTTCTATAAGCATTGCTAGCAGTAGTAATAGTAGTAGTAGTAGTAGCAGTAATAGTGATAACTGCTAACAATTCAAAGACTTCTAAGCTGCTACAGGCCCTGGCCAGCCCCTATAAGCTCCATTACTGTGCTTAAGTATTCTCCTACATAGACACCCACCCTACTCCAAGAATAGTCTCCAAAAGTCTTGATGAAATCTCTCACAGTGGCCTTCCACCTTAGATTGCCTCCTTTGTTGACTTTATTCAGATGTCTCAGAATCCAACACACAAGGAACTGACAGAATGGGATATAGGATTAGGAGTCACTGCCTGGAAATGCAACCTATGGGAACAGATGTGATCTCCCAGGGAAAGAGCATAGAGTGGGAATAGCACCAAAGACTGATTTCAGGGTAAGGGGAGAGCTAATGGAAATGGAGGGAGCAGAGGAGTCAGAGAAGAAGAGGAAGAACCAACAGAAATCTCAGTGAAGTAGAGGTGGAGAGAAAGCTTTTAAGAAAAAGGGATGGGCTATAGTGCCAGAGGCTGAAGAAAGATGCAGGCTGAGAATGGCAATGGGGCCAGCAACTGGGAGACATCAGAGCACTGGCCTTATTTATCTCCAAGCATGAGCAGGTGACAGGAAGAGCATCAGCTGGCAGGGTGGTTATGATGTGCCAGGGAGGAGACAGGACTCAACAGCAACAAGAGGCCAAAGACTAATTGGCTAAAACTAGTCCCATGGAGCCACAGATATTGAAGTTGCCAAACTCAGAAAAAGTCCATCAATGTTGTATAGAAAATAATTAAGATTACTCATCAATGTCCCTCTTGCCTTACCACCACCATTATGCCACAGTTAAGGCACGGCACACTGTCTTAGATGGATGAATACTACTGTGCCTGGTGACAATAATGATAGCAACATATTGACCAGCATAAACCCAGCTACGTGGACTCCTTAAACTGATTTTATTTATCTGTCCTTTACTTGTAAAACAGAGAGAAAAATTGCCAAAAATATTTCAGAACTTTCCTCCACAAAGAAATATAAGATTTATACTGATTCAACTCCACTCCATATCTTTTCCAGCCACACAAAACAATAAGAGCTGATATTTGGGATAATAACCTGAAACAAAAATCCGTAATCACTGAAGAAATATTTATGCCCAAATACTTCACTGAACAAAAACTGTATACTTTCAGAAGCTCTATTCCACTTAATCTTGACAAGAACACTAGGAGGTAGATAGTATCTCATTAGAGTTAGTTAATCAAATTCAAATGACATAATCTTTGGATATAGACAGAACAACAAATTTATTTTGACAGTGTTAGGCTTGGTACTCCTATGCGTTTCAGAAATCAAAAATTAAATCACTTATGAAGAAACTAGCCTCATGTGCTCAAAGAAAACACTTTTATAATATTCTATTCCTTTATATGAATATTTTTAAATTATTGAGATATGAAATGGAAAAAAAGAAGCAATGAATTTGAGGTGCAATGGCATTCCCCTAGGCTCAAAAATAACACATTTAATAGAATTTTTAGTCTATAACTTGGGTGCAGGGGTCTTACTGAAATATCTGAACCCCTTGACCATCTATTATGTACAAATCTATCATTAAGGCTTTATCAGCAAGAGGTTGGGGAAGATATCACTGATTTTCACATGAAGCCAATGAAACACACAGATATGAAGCCAGTAAAGGGAGATGCCAAAATTATAACTCATTTTTCCCGATTTATTTTATATTACTATATTATTTTTCTATCTGCTAGAGTATTTGAACTTATTAATAAAATTAAGATGCATTACTCTAATATAATATCATGTTAATCAATGAAATTTTGCCTATATCATGTATAAAAACCAAATGTTTTCATATATGACTAGGAATTACAGCATCCTGCAAAAATGAAGAGTACCTCATATTCTCCCTTCCTCTCTCTCTCTCTCTCTCTCTCTCTCTCACACACACACACACACACACACACACACACACACCAGCCAGCTGTTCTGTCTCGGATGTCTTTGTGAAAGGCTGTTGGTTGTTGACTGACCATTGACAGACCCCTCTGGGCACCCAGTAATGGCTGATTCCTTCTCCTTCTCCACCGGCCAAACCATGTTGTCAGAGGAAAGATGGTCAGCTATGAAAAAAAATAATTGCTCCAGGAAAGAGCAAACGTGCAAAGGGCAGCTGTTTCCCTTCTCTCTCAGGACATCCAAGTGCCATTACCAAATTTCCTGTATCCAGGGCTATGGAAAAGTTCGTTGCCCCAGGCAGGGCATGAGGAGTGGGGAATACCTTTTCCTTTCAAACCTTTTTTCTTTACCCATTATAACTAGAGGATCACCACTCACTATGTTGTCTTATAAATTATTCCTATAAGATTTATTTTCATTTCTATGCTTCAAGTCAAACATTCTTTTAAGGCCAAACAGAGTAATTTACTGGATTTGTGTCTCTAAACTATCTTATAAACAGTTGCTCTCTAGTTCAAGGTGAATAACAGTCTGTGGCAGGCTAGTATCAAAGAATACTGATTGCAATTCAATTTTATTACCTTTGAGGATTCACCGTGAGGAAGAGGGCAGACTGGTCAAAATCTATAGGCTGATCATCATGAGTTTGTACTGGAAAATTCTTTCCAAGTAAATACCTCCTATAAGGATTTTTTTTACCTCCTCTCTTCATTGATGACCATATATATTTTTTTCTTTCCTGGAGATGCCAAGATGACAGTGTTGCTAATCATACCTGCAGTTATGGCAGAGGCAGGCAATGCTCATTCTTTCTAGTCCACTTGCACATAAAGCCTGATCTCTCTAGATTGGCTGCAAATGCTTGTTTAGACCCTGACATGCCCAGTAAACTCACTTTATCTCTGACACCATTGCAAATGGAAATAAACACAATGTTAACGTCATTACAGCTTCTCACTCTTGATCATTTCATCTGTCATTTAAAGCTCAGATGAGATGCTGGCAAGATTTTCAGGAAACTAGATATTCTGTCTGGGTAGATTTAACTCTCACTGTTCTAGAAATACTCCCATTAGCCTATGATCTTTGCTTTGGCATGGAGTCTGATGACACATTGATACCATTTTCTGCCTGTTAACCTACCAAAGGACACAAAACCCTCTTCATTTCCCTAGAAGTACATGTAATATTTCAAAATGTATCACGGGGCACAGCCATCCCAGGAAAAAGATGTAAGGTAATGAGATAACGTGAAGAATTCTAGGCACTGAAACTCAATTCTGGTGGTGATTTTAGTCTGAGGAAACACAACAAAGGTAGGCTAAGGTTGCATTTGTTTCTGTTTTCTTTAATGTCCTTAAAACCTACAGATTATTTAGCCAAAGTAAAAATTTAACTTTTTGCTAAAGTTTCCTTTCTCTTATAATCTCACTTTTCAAGTCTGAAGCTCTTCAGACTTCAGTGTTTCTCCAGAGCCAATCTCTGTATTCAGCAAACAAGATTTTGCTAAATGTGTGTATGTGCTGTCTTAGCAGCCATATGCCAAGGAAAAATTAAAGGCAAGGAAGAGGAAATGAAGTGCAAATGGAACTGTAATGTCTATGTTATTGGTGATGTGTGTGAGAGAGGAACCAAGTCATTACCGTGGGGTGCAAAGGATTTGTGTTAATGTAAAAACTAGGTAAACTTTATTAAAACTACCTTGCAGCTTCCAAAAGAAGGCTACTGCATTAAGGTAGCTAGCTACCTTAATGTTCATTCTGTTATATTGCTGGTTGCCATGACAATATCCTCCTAGGTATTTGTAAGGTCACAAGAAGAAGAGCTAACCCTCTTACTCCTGGAATAACTAATGTGGTTCTGTTACTTGCTTGATGTAAATGGTCTCAAGTGACAGCAAACTGTACATATAGTCAATTACAACTGCTCAAAGGAAATGATTTGTTGTAACAGCTGCTGTTCAACCTCTGTGACATCAATGTTTCTATGGAAACAGTTGCCTATTGCACTGCTTTGAATTGAGTATTGATCAAACTAGGGCCAACACTATTTCAGAGACTTGCTACTTTACTGTGTGGCAATTTACGATAGGAACTCATAACATCACTGTATATTTCAAGCCCCAAGGAACCAATTTAGCAGACAGTTACAGTAGAATATTAACAGAGGTCAATAATGGAAGTCTGATTATAGTCCTAGGACAATTATTCAATGCTTTTGTTGTCTGCCCTTTCAACATTCCAGCAGCTATTACAGTTTTCAAATAATAATATTCATGCCTGAAGAAAGTGTTATATTCATTCATCTTCTATTTTAAACTTGATTTTTCATTGTTATATTATCTATCAATAAAATTATTCAGCTATATTAACCAAGCTATGACCCCTCAGAAGTAAATAACTATTGATCAAGAAGTAAAGATCTACTGGTGCACAACACTGTTTTCCATTAATGATCTTATTGGCCCAGCTGATAAGATGGTTTTCTCTGAACAATTGAAGATACAAAGTAAAGAATAACACAGGTCTAAATTCTATGGAAAATAAAAGCTCAATCCCACATCTCTGTTGAAGATTGGATTCTCTAACCTCAGTTGAAAGAGTAGTGAAAATAAAAGCAATGCCAAGCAAAATCTATCCGTAAGCCCTTCATTCTATGTGATATTTCCATTGTCCATAAATGTTTTATTCAATCTTCTTTGGAAACAGTCCTCATGATGGTCTCGTCCAACCCTCTCCTTTTACAGATAAGGACACGAGAGTCCTGAAAAGTAACAGGGCCTGTATGATGTCTCTCAGGAAATAAATGTTATTCTTACAAGTATATGTGTGAAAAATGTTATGCTGGAAAAAAATCATGATTTACACATTTGTCATTCATCTGAATGAAAACACATGCCAATTATCTCTGCTTTAAGATTGATTTGTCAAGGACCTCAGTCAACCAATACTTTAAAATTGTTTATTTCTACCCTTCATCATTCCAAAACAGAATTTGAGGCACAGAGTCAATCAGTTCATTGCAGTAACATTGGCCACTGCACAGCTCTTTTTGTGATAGTGAAAATTAATTTTTGCAGCTAAAGTTATAAAACTTCAGAAAGCACTTGAATAACATGGCTGCATGCCAAAGAAGGGGAGCTATCTATGAATGAAATCTGTTTCAATACATGGATAACAGCTCTAACTTTTTTATTACCATAATTGAAAAATTATGGCTTGGAGAATGATTCTTGTCAGGTAATAACAAATTCATCCACCTGCTTGAAAGAAGCTTTTCCATGTCTAAGGGAAAGGATATTCTCCTAGCTTAGCTATTGATTTTTAAAATCCTACCTGGATAGCTTAAAAATAAAAATCAGTAAAAAAAAAAAAAAAAAAAGGCCCAGGTAAAGTCTAAAGTCATACTAAAATAAGTCTGGGTATCATTATACTTTTTAAAAAAATCAACTAAAACTTTAAGTTAGTCTTCCTAATGACAAACATTGTCTACATCAGGAGGCATGTTCCTTGTTCATACAAAAAATACTGGGCACTGCCGGGCGCGGTGGCTCACGCCTGTAATCTCAGCACTTTGGGAGGCCAAGGCAGGTGGAGCACGAGGTCAGGATATCGAGACCATCCTGGCTAACACGGTGAAACCCCATCTCTACTAAAAATACAAAAAAGAAGAAAAAAACATTAGCCGGGCGTGATGGCGGGTGCCTGTAGTACCAGGTACTTGGTAGGCTGAGGTAGAAGAATGGCTTGAACCCGGGAGGCACAGCTTGCAATGAGCCGAGATCGCGCCACTGCACTCCAGCCTGGGTGACAGAGCGAGACTCTGCCTCAAAAAAAAAAAACATGAAGGCAAAAAAAAGACTATTATGAGGTAATCCTAGGTCTAGCTAATCCAAAGGTGATATTATTTAAAAGCATATTAAGTAGAAAGGGGCTAGGACATATCCCTGCTCTACCTCCATTGAGCCACCAAAAGGTCATTAATTGAAGTCATGTTGTTTAATCCTTATCTAGAGTCAAAGCAAGAGAAAGGCTCAACAAAATCCCACCAGGAATCTCCATATTTCAACAGCTGACAGTGTAGAGTGGTGAAGGTAATATCAGAGGTCACAGAGGAATACCCATTAAAGCCTACTTGCTCCTCAAGCTCCTTGTGATTTTTCAAGGAGGAAATGGAGCTGCATTTTACTTATAAATGTCTTAAGTTCACGATCTGTAGGAATCCAAGGTCAAGGCAGGATAAGAAGCTACAAAGCTCAAGGTAGTTAAATAGAGAACAGGGAGTTTCTCAGGTGCCACCAGGAACTAGGCTTCGCTAACCTCATTATCCAAACATACACACCTCAAGTAATTACATCTCAGAAATTGCTCTTGTCATTGGACCAAACAGTGAAGGTTAGTTCTACCCTCACCCTTCCCCAACCAATAGATTACCCATATCTTTAAGTCACTAAAATGATTGCAATGATATTTGAATTTGGTAAGGTTTGGGGTAACCTCTTCTTCCAATATTGGTTTCACAATCACCTAACTTTGCCAGGTTTGCTTTTTTCCTTTAAAATTTTTTTTTCAATTTGTGTGGGTACATACTAAGTGTATATATTTATGGGTTACATGAAAATATTTTGATATAGGCATGCAATGCATAATAATCACATCAGAATAAATAAGGTATCCGTCAGCTCAAGCATTTATCCTTTGTTTTTAAAATAATCCAATTATACGTTCTTAGTTATTTTTAAATGAACAATTATTTTTTTACTATAGTCACCCTGTTGTTCTAGCAAATACTAGGTCTTATTCATTCTCACTAATTTATTTTTGTACCCATTTATCATCTCCCCTTCCCTCCAACTACCCTTTCCAGGCTCTGGTACCATCCTTCTATTCTCCATCTCCATGAGTTCAAGTGTTTTAATTTTTAGCTCCCACAGATAAGTGAGAACATGTGATGTTTGTCTTTCTGTGCCTGGCTTATTGCAAATGACAGTATCTCATTCTTTTTTAATGGCTGAATAGTACTTCATTGTGTGTATGTTCTACATTTTCTTTATCCATTCATCTGATGATGGACACTTCGATTGCTTCTAAATTTTGGCTATTGTGAATAGGGCTGCAATAAACATGGGAGTGCAGATAACTCTTTGATATACTAATTTCCTTGTTTTATGCCAGTATCATGCCAGGTTTGCTTTTTCTATGCAGTACTTCTGACCAATAACAGGCTTTGGTAAGGCAAGGCCCCATTTGCAAGGACATAGCCTGGATGTCAGTGGTTTTTAAATGCTTCTCAAATTTATTCATGAAAGAGTTAGTTCTAAAAGGTCCTCAGAAAATAAACTATCAGTCATAGAACCTGTAAACCTTTGGATCCATTTTATACTTTTCAACTCCCATTGCAATATAAGGACAGAAAGACCAAGGGTTAAATTTACTGTTTATCACCTATGGAGATATAATGTTTATCGTATTTTTCTGCTTTCTTATGGTGCTAACCAAGACCAAGATTCCTCTAAGAACAATAGATATGATCCAACTTTTCAGAAAAAAAAAAATAGAACCACATAGTGTTTTCTTTTAATCAGTCAGGTAAATAAATAAATTCAAGCTGGGCCTGGGCTTCATTCTATACTGTTCATATCAGTCAAATCAAGGACTATTCAATGCATTCTCTTTTTGGAAGAGAGGTAATCCTTTTCTTAAGATGAGCTGTCACCACTCACCTTAAACTATTTCTGTGTATCTAACTCATCCTTATCAGTGGAAAGTACTATGCTTCATGTCACTCATTTTGCATCTTTTGGAATTATTTGTTGTTTGCAAGCCTGATATCAACTGGTCTACAGAGAAAAGAAAGATGGATTAAGGGCCTTGAAATTACATATGTGAAAAAAGAATGCACTATTATATAGGGGGGAAACCCCTCTTAAGGGCTTAATAAAGCCCAATATGGTCATTGGTTCAGGTATTCTCCAGGCACTTTCTTTTGCCTTTGTAAATTTTTTCTTTCTCCCACAGAAGCAAACATGATTTTTTGTTTGCTTGTTTGTTTTTTAAAGTAGGAATTAGGACACCTTGGGGCTCCACATGTTCCAATGTGTAAAGAACAGTTGTGCACTCTATAGAACACTCCAGACTCAAAACCAAGAAAAGGATGTGGCTCATTGTGAGTGGGGGCTGGGATAGCAGAAACGGGGAGCTACTAAGAGAGCTGCTGCTCTTAGAATAATCAGGCTGGGCACGGTGGCTCAAGCGTGTAATCCTAGCACTTTGGGAGGCTGAGACAGGTGGATTGATTGAGGCCAGGAGTTCAAAACCAGGCTGGCCAACATGGTGAAACCCCATCTCTACTAAAAATACAAAAAATTAGGTGGGTGTGGTGGCAGGTGCCTGTAATCCCAGCTACTCTGGAGGCTGAGGCAGGAGAATTGCTTGAACCTGGGAGGCAAACTCCATTAAAAAAAAAAAAGAAGAAGAAGAAGAATCAGACACTGGTTCTCGTCTTTTGCTGCATATGTTAGAATCCTCCAGGGAGCTTTTTACACTCGCAATTCCCTGGTCCCATCCAAGACTTACTAGATCAAATTCTCTAGATGTGGGACCCAGGCATCAGTGGCTTCTTAAAGCTACTCATCTCAAGTGAATCTGATGTGCAACCAAAATTGAGAACTGTGAAAAAAAATATGCCCAGCTGGAAGTAAATTTTTACTTGTTTTTTAAAAAGTAGATTTAGGGGTGCAAGTACAGTCATGTTACATGGAAATGTTGCATAGTGGTGATGTCTGGGCTTTAGTGTACATCACCTGAATAGTGAACACTGTACCCAATAGGTAGTATATCTCATCCTTCACCCTCCTGCCTATTGGAGTCTCCAATGTCTATTATTCTACTCCACATGTCCATGTGTACCCATTGTTTAGCTCCCACTTATAAGTGAGAACATGCAGATTTTGACTCTTTGTTTCTGAATTATTTCAGTTAGGATAATGGTCTCTAGCTCCATCCATGTTGCTGCAAAAGGCATAGTTTCATTTTTTTTATAGCTGAATAGTATTCTAGGTATATATACCACCTTTTTTAAACCAATTATCTGTTGATGGGCACTTGATTCCATGACTTTGCTATTGTGAATAGCACTGTGATAAACCCATGAATACAGATTTTTTTTGATATAATAATTTCTTTTCCTTTGGGTAGAAACCCAGTAGGGGGGTTTCTGGATTGAAGGGTGGGTCTATTTTTAGTCATTTGAGAAATCTCCATACTGTTTTCCATAGAGGTTGTACTAACTTGCATTCCTACCAACAGTGTATAAGCATTCCCTTTTCTCTCCATCCTCACCAACATCTGTTGTTTTTTCACTTTTTAAAAATAGCCATTTTGGCTAGTGTAAGATGGTATCTCATTGTGGTTTTGATTTGGATTTCTTTGAGGATTAGTGATGTGAAGCATCACTTGGTCTTCTTTTGAAAAATGTCTGTTCATGTACTTTGCCCACTTGTTAATGGGGTTACTTGTTTTTTTCTTGTTAAGCTGTTTGAATACCTTGTAGATTCTGGATATTAGCCCTTTGTTGGATGCATTGTTCATAAATATTGCTCCCATTCTGTAGGTTGTCTGTTTTCTATGTTATTTATTTTGCTATGTAGAAACTTTTTAGTTTAATTAAGTCCCATTCGTTTTTTTGTTGTTGCTATTGTTGTTGTTGCATTTCCTTTTGAGGACTTAGTCACAAATTCTTTGCCTAGGCCAATGAGTTTTTCCTAGGTTTTCTTATAGGATTTTTACAGATTGAGGTCTCACATTTAAGTCTTTAATCCATCTTAATTTTTGTAGAGTGGTATGGGTCCAGTTTTGTTCTTTTGCATGTGGCTTTCCAATTTTCCAAGCACCATTTATTGAATAGAGCATCCTTTCTCTAGCATATATTTTTGTTGAATTTGTTAAAGATTGGTGGCTTTATTTCTGGGTTCTCTATTCTGTTCCATTGATCTATGTGTCCATTTTTATACCAGTACCATGCTGTTTTGGTTACTATAGCCTTGTAGTCTAATTTGAAGTCAGGTAATGTGATACCTCCAGATTTATTCTTTTTACTTAGTATTGCTTTGGCTATTCAGGCTCTTTTTTGTTCCACATGAACTTTAGGATTTTTTTTCTAATTCTGTGAAGAATGACTTTGGTAATATAACAGAAATTGTATTGAATCTGTAGATGGGCAGTATGGTCATTTTAATGATATTAATTCTTCTGATCCATGAACATGGGATGTTTTTCCACTTGTTTGTGTCACCCACAATTTATTTCATCAGTGTTTTGTAGTTCTCCTTGTAGAGATTCTTTGCTTAATTTCTACTTTTTCCTCATACCTGTGGTTTGATTCCATCACCCAACCTTTCTTACTAACGATCCTTCTACAGCCAGAACAGTTGTTAGAGCACAGAAAATGAGAATTCCCTTAATCATGGAAACAGAGAGACTTGAAAGGATCCTCTAAATGACCATTGTGCCGAATATTATACTAGGTACCAGTATCCCAATTTCCTAAAAGTGGACATTATCAAATAGAGAAAAGTGATGTTTCTGAAGTGGAATATTGTTGCATTTTTAAGGTATGGACTCTGGAAACTAGTAGATGTCTCCTTAGCATTAGGCCTGCAGTACTGGTAGTGCCACCTAATGACTATTATCAAATCTCCAAATTAGAGCACCTCATTAGCCTGAATAACTGAGACATGTTAAAAAGACTATGTTGTTTAATCTTTTCTCTGCTCAAAAAACTCTTGATGAAGAGATTAATATCAATTTATACTAAACACTTGTTCATTACATTTGCCTATCAAGCCTAAGAAATAAATGCAATTTGAAGCAAGAGTTAAAGAAATTATACATCTGAGGCAAGTTAGTAATTACTCCCTACTTGGTGTTATTATGTTATTTAGCCATTCCTTAACTTCCTCTAGCCTTGGTATTATGTTCTGGACCCAAGACAGATATTTTTGAACTATATTTTTAGAGCCAATAATCTTAGAACTCACGGAATTTCAGAACCACAAGGACACTTAAGAGATGACTTGATTCAGCCTTCTCACCTGGGGCTTTTGCAGCTCCAGGCTCTACCATTCTGATAACCTGGGCAACAATTTTGCCAGAGATTACCCTATAGAGAAATGCTCAGCTCAAGCAGGGTAAGTTTTCCTCTCCTCTGTGCTATACTGTGGAGTGGAGTTCAAACCTGGGTTGTTCAGCCAAAAATTGTTTCAGAATTTAGTAAAAATTTTTGTTTTCCCTTTTATTCTTAGGGTGTATATGAATTTCCAGGGTAGGAATGGGTTCCAGCAACAGCTGTCACATTATACCTGGAACTCCTTACCATCTTTTTCCTGGAGACCTATTGCTAAGTCCACCTCACGTTCAGCTGCTTCTCCTATGATGAACTACCACTTGGGGCTCTGCTTTCCTTTTTGTGGTTTGGAATCACTGGGTTGCTGCAATTCTGACACTCTTTGAGTTAATTTTCCAGAAAAAAAAAAAATCAGTTCATCCTATTAGACAACCCAACAGAGGAAGAAGAGGGCAATGTGACAAGGCTCCACCATAGCTAAATCTCAGTTTGGGCCTTCCAAGTAGTGTGGCCTGGAGAAGCATATGACTTCCCCATATAAAATGCTTTTAGTGACAGAGACTAAGAACTCAATCCTAGTTATTAAGATTTCTAGACAGTGCTCTTTCCACTATAATACACGGGCTACTGGTTAGATACAGTGTTGTAATGGTTCAGAGGGAACCAACCATTCTGAGTCAAACTGTTGTGGATTTTGTACAAAACTCCTTAGAAACTCAGTGCCTGGTGCTCCTGTCAGCCGGAGCAACAGAAGGACCTGAATGACTGGCTTCAAAGTATTCCCTGACCCTTCAGGGATGGTTTTCAACAGAGGAAGCACTAGGGGAGCATTCTGGAAATTTGAAGAGAGGAACATATTTGATCGTCACAATAACCAGTGAGGAGAGCAATACTGAAATTGTTGGCCAGAGTCAGGGCTGATAGACATCTTGCAAATCATGAGACAGCCCTACTCAACAAAGAATTGTTCCACATCCTGAATGATGTTTAAATGTCCCACTGGACATGCATGTGAGTAAACTACCTATTTGAAATCATCTGAGCCTGGAATCCACCTCCATTTTACACGTAATCACAAATAATTTATCACGTGATTCTAATATACGCTGAATTTTCTGGAAATGCAACTAGTATGAAAATGGAAAAAAGATAATCTCTTGTTTGGAACTTGACTAAGAGGTGTTCATCATTTTTTTAGATGCTTATCATTTTGAATATCACCAATGGCAGTGCCACTCATGGCATTTGAGTCACCAGTATACACGGCCTTATAGTCTGAATTCATAGGTGTTGCACCCATGGACATTCTATGTGTGTGTGCAGACACCTGGTTACTTCATTGCAGCTTGTGCCGTCATGCCCAAGCATTTACATATTGAAATTATTACGAATTACTTTATTATAAATGCTTTGCTTTTATACGTTACAAAAGTAACAAAAAGTCCCCTTTATACCACAATTAAGGCATTATTTTTAAAAATTGTGTCTGTAAGTAAGTAGAAATTTCAAGATAAGAAAGGAATCATTACAAAAATACTGGTGTTTAAAAGGGGGTGCAGGTGGTTGAATCCACTAGGATATCTTCCACTACCTGCTAACTCCTACTGCCCAACCCTGTATCTGCAAGGCAGGCCAGCCTCATGCAATTTCTTCAGCTCCTCAAATTTGTCCCTGTAAAGTACTTCCAGTTTTGGTGGTGAGCAGAGGGGTTAGGGTTCATTCTTTAGTTTTTTTCTCAGTATATAAGGTGGAAAAACAAGAGACCAGCTCACATCATTCAGTGACTCTTATTTTCCAATCAGGATTTGATACCTGGTCAATTAAACCCACCTTGTAAGCTCCTAACCTCTGTTCTTCCCCAGCTCCTTTTTCTCAGTGAATGAAGCTGTGTGAAACAATTAAAAAAACACCAATTACCTGGGTTCAAGTCCCACCTCTGCTTCCTACTGGTTACCTGACCTCTGTCAAGTTATAGCAAGTGACCTTTCAAAGTCTCCTCATCTAGTAAACACATTATAAATACACAACCTCCCTTACAGTGGGTTGTGAAGATTCAATGAGGTACTACATGTGAAAGTGCTTTGTAAACTACAGAACATTATTTAAATTTGAAAGGATTGAAGCTTTTTTTTTTTCACTGTCTGCCTAAATCTCTGAAAAACAAGGTGGCATTTGGGGTTTTTCAGATGTAGTAGAATTTATTTGAGCAGAACTTCTTTAAAGAGATGAAGACAGGGAGGAAAGGCTTAGGCAGGTAAGTGACTCCACTCCACACATCTGTGGTAGAAAAAAAAACACAGGTCTTAGAATCTAACTTCTCTAATGGGCTCCAGCCTCGTCGCCACCCCCATGTGAGAACAGGCTGCGTACTTGGCCCTCTGAGATTGTAAACTCTGGTTAATGATCCCACGCCTGAAGTATCCTTGTGATGAATACTAATGAATGACATATGAGGGCACTTAGCACCCAGCAGGTGCTCAATAAATGAGCACTCTTACTATTTCACAGAGAAAGGAAACAATAAACTGGATAGAACTATATAAACCTGTCCATAATATTATTCACTGCACAAGGAGATTTAGGATAAGAGGGTTTAATCTTAGAACCCTGGAGTGTCAAAAGGTACCTCCAGGAGTCTACCTCAATGAGGTTTGGTTAGTAGAGGAGGTATTACCTTCATTCCCATTTCAGAGTTGAGAAAATCGGGCAGTTACATTAGTTAGTGAAACAAGTTAAATGGGATAGAAAGGTCTTCTGATAACTGTTGTTCTTGTGTTTGTGTTTCTACTGCAATCCTCTGCCAAGCCTGCTGTAAGGCAGCCCATGACAAGTACACCCTAGCATAGCATCCTAACAAAACTCCAGCAATAAAGGGAAGTGCAGATGGATGCTAGCTGTCAACTTTGGGAAGTTTCAGCTGGCTATGATCATCTAGAGAGATCTTAAATGAGCGTATCCCTTGACAGGTCTTGGGAGAAGTCATTCTAAAAATGCCAATTTTTAGTTCAATCCAGAAAGCAGGAGGACCCTTCCACAAGACGGATAGCTGCTGTGTCCTCTCCCAGGTCTTCCCGTACCCCAGCCCACATAATTTCACAATCTTGGCTACATTAAGGGTCCCAAAAAGTCTAATCTAATCCTAGACAAGCCTTAAAGCATCTCTGAAGCACAAGAATTCTGCTTGTTTGAATTAGCCAGTTTGAAGAAATAGAGGGAAGGAATATAGAAAAAAATCGGGAAAGAATTATTAGTGGCCTCAGGCAGGAGATTTCAACTAGATGTCACTGCATCTGGCCTCTTATTGCAGTGTGGATCCCTTCTCTCATGTTTGGTCTTCTGAACCGACTTAGGATCCAAGCATGTGGGTCATAGACCCAAAGGGCTGACAGTACACACTTCAGGTCATGGACTCATCTAGCTCGACAGTTGAAAATAAGTCACAAACATAACCACTGGCAAAGCTGGAACTATCTGAAACCAGCTCCATTTCCCCATCTCTCAAGAACCTCCTATACACTTTAAAAGCTGCAGTCCTCCTTCAGAAAAACTATTGCTGGGATATGCCCCCAGAAATCCACAGCAAATTTAAACAGTATGGAGATGCTATAAATTCTGGCTGATTTACTAATTAACATAAAGAAATAATAATGGAAATCTGAACTAACTCTGAACTTTTCAATAGGAACACCTAATATTTTGTGGCCATTTAATATGTCTTGACTTCATAATTGTCTTACACTTTTTTCCAATACTTCATCCTACCTTCTAACTATCCCCATGAGGAAGGTAATCATGATTAATCTTAACCTTTGAAGTGATTAATAGAAGGGTGATACACACATACCCCAACTTGTTTTTTTTCTAGACTTCTGAAACAAATATTGACTTCGAAGATCTTTATGATTTTTCTCAGGAAACTGATGAGGTCTTTGGATTGGGGCTAGGGATATGCCTTCTCCAAAAGCTATTCACTAGTCACAATAGTAAAGACATAGAATCAACCTAAATGTCTGTCAATGGTAGACTGGATAAAGAAAATGTGGTACATATACACCATGGAATACTATACAGCCATAAAAAAGAATGAGATCATATCTTTTGCAGAAACATGGATTGAGCTGGAGGCCATTATCCTTAGCAAACTAATGCAGGAACAGAAAACCAAATACTGTCTGTTCTCATTTATAAGTGGGAGCTAAACAATGAGAACACATGGATACATAGAGAAGAACGACACACACTAGGGCCTATTGGAGGGTGGGGGCTAGAAGGAGGAAGAGGATCAGGAAAAATAACTAACGGGTATTCGGCTTGATACCTGGGGAACAAAATAATTTGTACAGCAGACTCCCATGACACATGACTTGAGTTTACCTATATAACAAGCCTGTACATGTACTCTTGAACTTAAAAGTTAAATAAAATTTTCTAAGCTACAATTTATGCTGCAAGTATCTCAGGAAATACAAAGTCCTTGAGGGTATATCATTTTTCCCCTGCTTTAGTTGCAGATATGTAAACCATAAATTGTTGATGTTCTGTGAATCTACCTAGCCTCTGACAATATTGCAGTCCATCACAACATTATTCTGATAGATATAAGGGGAGAGCCTCATCCCGTAGCTTATAGGTCCTTCCTGAATGGAGAAACAGAGGCTCAGGTAGTAAAGATTACCTACTGTAGTGCCTATGATCAACCTTCTCAGACCTGACCTCCACGGAGAACTGGAATAGCTGGACCGGGTGAGCAAGAGCTGAAGTGCTATGTGTATGTGGTAGAGGAGGGAGTTGGGCTAGGGGTGGAGGACAAGGATGAAACCTGAGCGACAGAGCAAGGGATTCTCTCAAACGCTGAGGATGTGGAGGAAGGAGCCTGCAGCCTTCATTTCATTTCATGACAATTCACTCATAGAAATTCATAACTTCTTAAATTCCATCTTCAAATTTAGCACATCATGGACAGTTGGCCACACATGCACTATGAGAAGTTTCCTCCTCAGGGTTACATGTCAGAACCATACAGGTAAGAATAGGAAATCCTTAAAGTCAGAAGTCACTTAACAGTAGGTTTCTTACAAACCTCTGTCTTCCCATTGGGTTCTTTCTGCCTTTCAGGGGTGGACATGAACATCCTATGTCCCAAACCCTCATCCTGTCCTCTGCTCTTCCTTCACTCTGGGCTGGATCACCTCATTAGGAAAATGACTTACAGCTCAGTGATGCATTACTGGTTTTCTCTTATTTATTTGATTCTCAAACACAAAAGCACAGATCCAGGAATGGCACTATAAACCCCCCTAAATACAAAAATAAAATTTGATATTTCCAAAAGGTCACAAAGAAAGTCACTGGGTCTGACTTAGCTATTCCCACGAGTTCTCTCCAGAAGTCAGAGGTAAGGAAAGCCGTATTTCCCAACGCGGACATAGCATACACCTTTATTACTGAAAGAGGATGTTTTTATTTGCACTGCATTATACCCATAAATTCCATCCACTCAGCAAGTCAAATTATTGCTGGCCTCCAAAATACATTAAGTTTGGGTTTAAATCAGTCACTTTTGGAGATATACTGCAGCCCACTTCCTAGCCATATTTGTAATATATTCACCCTGCAAATGTTCTTTAAAATGCATGGTTTGTGGAGTTGTCTTACTTCCATCAACCATGTGAAGATATAAGGAATATAAGCTCTAATTTGCAGTTTCTTTGTTTGTGTGATTGTTTGTGATCTCTACCCATAGAGTTAATGGCTGCCAAAATGCTTTCATACTATGAAGAGAAAGAGCCCTCTGAATCTGAATCAAATTAGAATTCGTGGTACAATAATAAGCAGCAATGGGAAAATACAGGGCCTTGAGCAGTTTATGCTAGAATTTGGTGACAGCAGACAGGCTTTCCCAGATAATGGTAGGAGGAGGGAAGCCAAGGAATTATTTGGAGTGCTTAATGGTGTATGGCAAGATGAAGGTATGCTTAATGAATATACTCAATTTTCCCCCAACTTAGACTTCCTATTTTACAAAGTTACACATTTGTGTTCTTCATCAATTGTCATTCGAATAATTTTAACACAATGAAGTGATTCAGAGAGTGTGCAGAAGCTAGGTCAATTATCATTTTAAATTGCTAAGAAAGGGAGATATAGGGAAATAGAACTAGAGTTCCATTGTTTCCCTGGGAAAAAAAGGCCTGTTTTCTCCGAACTTCCCTTTGTCAAGCTGCTCTGTTTGATGGGGAGAAGATGCATGCAGGGAGGGATATGTGTGGCAGCCCCTTCCAGAGGCTGAGCTTTTCTCTGAGCTTGGAAGGAAACTTGGGCCCTTCAAGTCTGTGCAAAGCAAGACATTTGGACAGGTTTGCACCTATCACTATTTTTGCCCACCATATTTCAGATTATATATATATTTTTTTCCTGCGAACACGTCACCAAAAAAGAAGGCACCACAGCATTCTGTACTCTGAAGGCACCATCTTTAAAACAATGTGATATAGACTGTTCTTTTATTTCCCAGAAATCAAGCATACATATTTTCCCTTTCTAAGGGAATTTGTGAGGCACTTTCCCACCCATTTCTCACTAGGTATACAAGCCTAATACAATAAATATCTGGTGAATATTAAGATATGAATTTCACACAAGTCACATGCAAGGGCCTATTGACACCTATGATATTCCACATTCCATGATAATCATAATATTTCTGCATAGATTTGGGGGCTGACACATTTAATCTCAGGATATAATAATATTAATAACAGCTACCATTTTGAGCACTTATATAACAAGAACCTTGCTTAACACCTTACATTTATTATCTTCTTTATATTGCCATCAACCTTATGATAAATATTATTTCCATTTTGCCACTGAGGAAATGGAGGATCTAGATACTACTCTCTCCAGAGCTTCCTTAATCATTACCCATGTCTATATCACCACAATTACTATATACTGAGGGTTTTGCTGGAGATGGCTTGTATCCACTTGCAAGAGCTGATTGTTAAATTTGTAGGAAGTTGGTGAGTTTGTGGCTTTCATGTTGATAGCTTAAAATTGGCCATGGTGGAGTATTTACAACTGGAAATCAGCAAATGCTACAAATCAGGGCTGTTTTTGAGAAAGAGTGTGTGAAACTTTTTCAACAATTACCAACATACTACTGCCAAGAAAGAATATTTTCAGTATCATGGAACTACTTGACCCTTTCCTCCCCTCCACATTTTTTTGTCTCGAGAACATTTAATGTGACAAAGCAGTAAAACAGAACGAATACCCTGAGGAATGGTGCCAGCCTCTAGGCTAGGTGTGGACTTCCCTACATAGTCTCAGTTTCAGTGCCTGGCTGGCTTGATTCTGCCCTTTCTCTTCAACTGCAGTCATGCATCACTTACCAAAAAGGATACTGAGAAACACACTGTTCGACAATTTTATCATTATGTGAACATCATAAAGTGCACTTACACAAACCTAGATGGTACAGCCTACTACACACTTAGGCTAGATGCCTTAGCCTATTGCTTCTAGGCTACAAACCTGTAGCTGTACTAAATATTGTAGGCAACTGTAACACAATGGTAAGTATTTATGTATCTAAACATATTTAAAAATAGAAAAAGTAATGTGTTGCACTATAATGTTATGATAGCTACAAGGCCACTAGGTGATAGGAATTTTTCAGCTGTACTATAATCTTATGGGACCACGATTGTATATGCAGTCTGCTGTTAACCAAATCACTGTTATTTGGCTTTTGACTGTATTTACGTCACTCACACTGCCTGTGAACCCTAAGGTTAGCGGCAGAGCAAATCACAACATTTGATAGTTGTTTTGCTGAAAAAATTCTGTAAGGCAAATTCAGTTCTTGTGACTCCAAATTAATGACCTCAGCCTAAAGCACCAATTAGCTTTTTTCTCAACTCTTTTACTTTCCATCAGGTGAATGTGATGCAAATCCAAAGGAAAGACACATTCTGAACACAGAGGGCATCTCTTGATATTCACAACCTAATCTCCACTGGGGAGCATCATACTCAATATTTTTATTATCATACTATTAACATTTATTGAGTGTTAATAGTGAGCTTATATATAACAAAGAGACAATTACTGTACCTGGTTTCTTCGCAGATTGTAGGAACAGCATGTTTTTGATATCTTGGATGGCACCAAGCTCGCTATTATTTCCCAGTGAAGTCAGTTGCTCCTAATTTCCTGAACATCTGTGCATCAAATTCATTAAATGGCTAATGAATCCAGACATATAAGGTTCATAAAGATATTTATATCTGACATTAACAAAATTGCACTCCCGCTTTGTTCCTGTACGTGACATCCTTAAGACAATCAAGTTTTTGTCACTGGCTAGAACATAGTAGGGGAAGGTAAATGACTGAAATCAACACCTTCATGTTTCCTCCATGGGACAGAGAGATAGAGAAACCAAGGTTCCAGGTGGACAGTGAATACAGGACAAAGGATAGAGGAATAGGAGCTGAGGGTACAGTCAAAGTCAGGAGATGTCCATATTTCCATAAAGCCATTTACATTAAAATATCAGTAAATATCAGTGGGCAGGATTTTGTGTGAACATAAGTTTTCAACTTGAGTAAATACCAACGCGTGTGATTGCTAGATTGTATGATAAGAGTATGTTTAGTTTTGTAAGAAATAACCAAACTTTCTTCTAAAGTCGTAGTACCATTTTGCATTTCCACTAACAATGGATGAGTTTTCAATGAATACATTTTTAGGGCAGTGAAAATATTTCATATGCTATTACAATGATGTATGCATGTCATTATACATTTGTCCAAATCATGGAATGATTTGTACAACACCAAGAGTGAACCCTGATATGACTATGAACTGGGAGTGGTAATGATGTGTCAGTACAGGTTCATCAGTGGTAACAGATGTACCCCTCTGATGGGGGATGTTGATAATGGAGGAGGCTATGTAGGTGTGGGGCAGGAAATCCCTGTACCTTCTGCTCAATTTCTCTGTGAACCTAAAATTGCTCTTTAAAAAATTAAGAATTTTTCCTTAAAAAAAAGCATTGTCAACTTTAAAGAAAAAAAAAAAAAACATTGCCAGCAAACCTACCTAGACTGAAAGCTCACTAAGAGTAGAGTCTTGTGCAAGGTGTGGCCAGTGACTGCACGTCCCCCCAACCCACTGCCCCACCATTACCTGTGCTCTCACCATTACCAATGGCCAGGTCAGGGGACCCCCATGACACACCTATGCTTACAAAAATTAACAATATGCCATTCTTATAAATGTAAGCATTAGGAAAAATACCTAATGCATGCAGGGCTTAAAACCTAGGTGACAGATTGATAGGTGCAGCAAACCACCATGGCATATGTATATCTATGTAACAAACCTGCCCATTCTGCACATGTATCCCAGAACTTAAACTTTAAAAAAAATTAAGCGTTCTACAGACAACTGAAGAGACACTATGGATGATCCCTGACATACAATGGTTCAACTTAATGACTTTCCGACTTTATGATGATGCAAAACCAATATGCACTCAGTAGAAACCATACTTCTGTTTTTGAATTTTGATCTTTTCCCAGACTTGTGATACACACTGTATGATACTCTACCCTCAGGGGCAGTGGCAGAGAGGCACAGCTCCCAGTCAACTATATAATCCTGAGAGTAAACAACCAATATTCTGTTGTGTTTTTTTGGATATTGTGTTTTGTTTTCACATCCCATCATGCCGACAAAATGTCCATCTGTGTAAAGTATTCAACACTTTTATAAAACAGGCTTTGTGTTAGATGATTTTGCCCAACTGTATACTAATATAAGTGTTCTGAGCATATTCAAGGTAGGCCAGACTGAGCTATGATGTTCAGTACATTAGGTGCATTAAATGCATTTTTTATATATAATATTTTCAGCTTACAATGGGTTTGTTAGGATGTGACTCCATCAAAAGTTGAGGAGTGTCTGTATTTGTCATGAACTCTGAACTAAGAGTCCAATACTGTGGCTCTCCTCTGAAGTCTGACATTCTCTGGCTAGGAACTTTGTACCTGTTATTAGATTTCACTGTTGTCTCAGGCTCTGCCATCACCATGCATAAAATGAGCGGGGTATGAGTTAGATTTCCAGCCCCTTCCAACTTTGAAACATTCTCAGCTTTTTCTACTAAGAAGGAAAACAGGATGTTGGCAATTAATGTCTGCCAGTAGAACTTCAGCCCAAAGCTTGAAAACAATTGCTCACTTTTTGTATTTGTACCATTTAAGGAAAGGGCTTCGGTCAGAGTCTAGCAGAGGAATCCTCCAGCTTCAAATTCTCTCTTGTAGACACCTTTCTTCTTCCCACTGGAAGTCAAGTTTGCAAAACAAGGTAAATTTGATCAGGAAAAAGCAAACAAACAAACAAAACACAGGAGTTCAGAAGAGTTGGAGCTCTGAAACTTCTTTTCCTGGTTCACAGAGAAGTGCTTGCCAAGAAGTGTTTTGAGTTAAATGGGCAGCACATGGCCTCATGTAGCCTCTTATGATCCTTAACAGAGAGAAAGGACCTCTTAAAGGGCTTTATTTACACCAGGACTATCCACTACAGGAGAGTTCAGGAGAAGACTTCCAAATCACATTTGCTTAAGCAAAATTGTCTTGATGACAAAAAGTAGGTCTATTTTAATTTGCTGCTTATTCTGTTAACTACTGAACCCTCAAAACATGCTCTTCAGTTATCTTTTCATCTAAAGCTATGAAATGGTGAAAGCAAAAACCTTCCATAGAGAAAGGAAAAGCATGAGCAATGGTGGTGAGAGACCTGGAAAGTCCCCCCAGTGTGGGGTGCTGCAGCTCGTGGCTTGCTCACATGGTCCCACCTCCTGGAGGGGTCCCCCTCATTCACTTCCCGACCCTTCCAAGTGCAGCTCAAACCCCACCCGTGACTCTCCTGGCCTCATTACTGCCTCAGCCCAGAGTAATCACCTCACCCTTCTATTAACTCTTACAGTACATATTTCTCTCTCAGTATAATCAATTTTATAATTAGAAACTGCTCCGTGATACTGCTCTCTGCTATCAAGCTATTATTCAAACATATTATTATTATTGTCATTTACATATGCACAGTTTACTGCCCTGATTTGGCTATAAACTCCTTGAGAGCAAGTTTTGTGTCATTCACCCTGGAGTGTCCCACAACACCATGGTAAGTTGCCATAGCAGGCTCTGCCTGAGCTCCTGCATCTGTAAATGGGGATGATGACAGCACCTACATTACAGATCTGCTGTGAGGAGAAAATGAGACTGTGAAGAGTAAATTTTACCTGACTCATTAAAAGTTAGCTTTTTTTTTTTTTTGAGATGGGGTCTCACTCAGTCCCCCAAGTTGGAGTGCAGTGGTGCAATCACACTCACTGAAGCCTCAACCTACCAGCTCAAGTGATCCTCCTGCCTCAGCCTCCCAAGTAGCTGGGACTAAAGACATGCACCACCACACTGGGCTAATTTTTGTATTTTTTGAGAGACGGGGTTTTGCCATGTTGCCCACACTGGTCTCGAACTCCTGGGCTCAAGTGATCCACCTGCCTCAGCCTCCCAAAGTGCTGGGATTACAGGTATGAGCCACCACGCCTGGCTGCATATTTTATTAATAGTATTAATATTATATTGGAGAAAAGGAAGGGATATAGTGCCAAAAATGAAAAAAACCTGAAATCTGTTCCCATCTCTACTAATTAGTAGCCCTGTGACTTTAAGAAAGTCAGTTAAATGCTCAAGCCTCAAATTTTTCACCCATAAAATTAGAAAAGCAACATTCCCTGCCAACTTTCTGTTGCTGAAAAGATGAAATAACACTTTTTTTTATTATTATACTTTAAGTTTTAGGGTACATGTGCACAAAATGCAGGTTTGTTACATATGTATACATGTGCCATGTTGGTGGGCTGCACCCATTAACTCGTCATTTAACATTAGGTATATCTCCTAATGCTATCCCTCCCCCCTTCCCCCACCCCACAACAGGCCCTGGTGTGTGATGGTCCCCTTCCTGTGTCCATGTGTTCTCATTGTTCAATTCCCACCTATGAGTGAGAACATGCAGTGTTTGGTTTTTTGTCCTTGCAATAGTTTGCTGAGAATGATGGTTTCCAGTTTCATCCATGTCCCTACAAAGGACATGAACTCATCATTTGTACTATACAAAGGTATCATTTATTGGTACTCAGTAAATATTTGATTTGAGAATGCTGTCCTTATCACAGAAACACCTCACTTTCTCCCCTTTCTGGCTAAAAGGGCATCAGACATGCATCTTTCGGGCTTGGAAGGAGGAAAAGGATCTTTTGAATCCTTTGAATTTCCAACAACTAGTTTATATTCAGGGGATTCACAGCATCTTAACCTCCTACTGTTGTATTCCAGGGATCTCAGTGTTTAAGGAAATATTTCTATAACACCAGAGAAACCCAATTAAAATGTAAAATATCTACTAGCCAGCCTATTGTTTTGTTTAAAAAAAAAAGTAATATGTAGTTTTAAATAGTCAACCAAGGCCAGGCACAGTGGCTCATGCCTATAATTCCAGAACTTTGGGAGGCCAAGGCAGGAGGACTGCTTGAAGCCAGGAGTTGGAGACCAGCCTGGGAAACAAAGCGAAACCCTGTTTTTACAAAAAATAAAATAAATAATAATAATCCAAGTGCTGTGTCTATAACCCCAGCTACTCAGAAGGCTGAGGCAGGAGGACTACTTAAGCTAAGGAGCTTGAGGCTGCAATGAGCTATAATAGTGCCACTGCTCTCCAGCCTGGGTGACAGAGCAAGACCCTGTCTCTAAAAACATACATACATACATACATAGTCAATCAATCAACTATGGTAGCATGATCGGTTATATCCATGAGCAGAAGGGAATCATAGCAGATCATAAACCAATCATAGCAGAACCAGAAGATACCACATACCCCAGAGATCACACATAGTATCTCCCTTAGGGACAAAAGCCTCCTCTAGTCTATACACAGAGGGGCCTTGGCACAACCACAGAACAAGGTTCCTGGTCGGTCCATGCCTAGGTAAAACTATCACTTTCATGAAAAGCTGGTACCAGAATAAATTGCATGATTTGATTCTCTGACTTCTTATGATCTAAATTTTCTCCTCCACCTGCAAACCACAAATACAATCATTCTTACCTTTTCAGTCTCATATAATTTAATATCAAGTATCAGTATCAGATGGCAGAGGCAATCTAAGTTATATCAGCAACACACCAAATATTCACTCATTTACCAAATAATTATTTAAGATGTCCATGCAAGGCACTGGGGCATACAAAAACGAATGACAAAATCTAACCATTTGGTATTATTTAGACACCTTATTTTTTATGAAGATTTGTATATTTGCTGCTGTGTAAGCATAGTTTACAATGTTTCCATTTATGATACTTTTTTTTGAGACAGGATCTCGCTCTGTCACCCAGGTTGGAGTGCAGTGGCACAATCATGGCTCACTGTTGCCTTGAACTCCTAGGTCAAGCAATTCTCCCATCTCAGCCTCCCAAATAGCAGGGACTACAGGTGCACACCACCACATGGCTAATTTTTTAATTTTCATTTTCTGTAGAGATGCAGGGTCTCACTGTGTTGCCCAGGCTGATCTTGAACTCCTGGGCTCAAGCAATTCTTCCACCTCAGCCTCTCAAAGTGCTGGGATTACAGGCATGAGCCACTTCACCCAGGCTTAATGGTAATTGGGGAAAAAAAAGTATTATTTAAGTAATAACATGGTTAAAATACTGTCAATGTAGTGCTCTTATCTGTTCTTTTAAGACAATGAAAGGCAAAAGATTGTTTGGAAAAATTATTTGATATTCCGATATGATCACACTCATTGCTCCAGTGAAAACAGGAAATGTACAAGTGCATTTTTTACCTGGTATAACAAAACAACCCAATAAAAAGGTAAAGTACAGGTGAAGTATACAGCCTTTATGATACTTCTTGAAATTACTCCACTTTTATAGAGGATATTCATGGTGGCAACAGCTGTAAAAAATATGGAAATGTAAAAGAAAAGAGACTGAATATAGGATTTATCTATGGGCCCAGTACATTAAACCCTTTTTAACACATGAAATATGACAATAACTTAGACCCTCAACATCAGGATCATAAAGGGAATTTTAATGGTGACCTGTGCCTTCACATCAAAGAATTGAATTTTTGTTGTTTTAAAGGTCTTTTTACATATTTGCCTGGCTTGCACAATTACATCAATGTGTCAGTTTAACCAATAAGACAAAACTATTTGAAATCTGTGTTGCTAGGTTACCCATCCTGATCTTACACGCAACAAGTGGAAAACTTTTCCTGGCTTCCTCTCTCAGCGTCACACAAAGTGGGATCTTAGGCCACGCCACCAGGCTGGAAATCACAGCAGCTGTGGATTATGCCTTTGGAACAGGCAGGATGCCCAGTCCTAAATCCTCTTTCCATGCAACATGCTGGACCTATACAGAAAAGCAGGGTCAGTCTTGAATCTACAAGCTGTTGGGGGTGATGCAGCCATTCCTCCATCTGTTACCTGTAATTGCCACCTAAATGAGGCACAAGCTGACACACTGGTCCCTATAAAAGGTGGAAGTAAAGGGTAAGTCCATCCCAGCATACACCATTTCTGCAAAGATTGAGTACCTGATCATCATGATCTCAAGAGAACCTGAGGAGTAAAACTGGAGTTGTTGGGGAGGCGGCAAAGAAATGAACGTGATACCTGTATCAGGTAGACATGAGAAAGTGGATATAAAATAAGGCTTAAATCCAGAGATCTAGGCTTGGGAAAATAAAGAGATTCAAGGAGTGAGAACAAAGAGTGCTGGGGCAGCAGGAAACAGTGGATGAGTGAGTGGGAGGTAAAGAGGTGAGCGACGAAGCACAATTCCCAAATCTGTCTTCTCTCTTCATTCCACTGGGCATCTTTTAGGCCTTCACTTTCTTATAGCCCACATATGCCACATGAGTTGGTAGATAAAAGCAATCTGTTAATTAAGTTTTTAAGTAAAAAGACCCTAAAGAGTTCCAGTTTAAAACGGCATCTGGCTAATGGCCCTGATATAGCCTTTTCCACCAAAATACACACATACACACACAATTTATGTTGCCACCAAAAATTAAGATTGCTAATCAACCTTACCACTAACTATAAGATCAACGGACCTAGATTTTTAAAGGCAATCAGTGGCCCACCTGTGCTTGCCACCAGCCCTGGAGAAAGCCCACCTGTCTGAAATTGGAACGACCCATTATCTCTTCCCCACTGTCTGCCACCTGGCTCATTAAATCAGCCAGCCATCCTTCTACTATATACGTGTTCCTTTTTAAGCTGGAGTGTTATTCTCCTTCCACATCCAATCTCTCATTGGTAGCTTTTTTCATAAAAACAGGGTAGCTACTTAAAAAAGAATTGGTCAGCAAGAGAGAATGGGAAGGCAGGTTTTAAAGGAGCCTCGTTATAGTCAAGAAGGTGTTCCACTGAAGACAGCACAATATAAGGGAAGAGAGAACAACAACAACAACAAAAAACTGACAACCACATATGCTTAATACCACAAGCTTTCCTGTCAGAAGGAACAAAATGAACATAAGACAAAAGCTAATCTTGGGTCAATATTTAAGGAAAGAAAGCAAGTCAAACACCAGAAATTGAGCTAGTGGCTCTGGGTCTCACCCAGAGCTTGCCCTCTGGATGTAGCTCTATAGAGAGAATTGAACCAGTATTCAGTGGACAGAGAGTAGGGCCTGCTGGAAACACCAATCTAGATGGATCTTGTTGAGAGTGACAAGAAGAACAATTAACAAATGCATGTTGGTAAATGACATAGAAATAGAGATAGAAGAAATCATACTAAAGACTTGGAGGGAACACAGACTTCTGAAAATGATTTATCACAGGAATTTTTTTTAATTTTGGAAAATTATTTCAATCTTCAAAAGAATTCAAGAAATAATGGCCTCTATGGAATAGAAGCAGATGCCCATAGCGAAAGAATAGATCATCAGAAAAAGACAGCAAGATGAGAGGATAATGAAAATGTGTTAAGGTAAAAAAGAATTTAAGTGAAACCAAAAGGCAATGATGATGGAATTAAAATCTGCATTTGAAGCTATTTCAAACAGAAATGACACTGCAGTTCATTAGGTCAGTAAAGTAGGAGACCATGAGAAACTCCTCTGGTATCTAGAGGAAAAGAATAAAGATGAAAATTAAAGAGAAGATAATAGATAAGTGTTAAATTTAACCTAAAGCTGCCTCCTTATGTATTTTAAGTTCAGTCTGAAGGTTTTTCAGTACATAGTGAACTGTAACCTAACTGGATGTGTAAACAAACTAACCTCCTCTTGTATCCATCACTGAGTTTTGGCCAATCACAGGCAGTCAGTGCTCAAGTAAAGCAAACGCTGAGCTGAGACCAATCCCACTGTTTCTGTACCTCACTTCCCTTTTCTGTACATCACTTTCCCTGTTCTACTCATAAATCCTCTACCACATGGCAGTGCTGTTCTGGATTGGAGTAGCAGGGACTACCTGATTTGGGAATTATTCTTTGCTCAATTAAATTCTGTTAAATTTATCGCAGTGGCACAATCTCACTGCAATCTCTGCCCTCTGCCTTCCAGGTTCAATCAATTCTCCTGCCTCAGTCTCCCAAGAAGCTGGAATTACAGGCCCGCGACACTGGGCCTGGCTACTTTTTGTATTTTTAGTAGAGACGGGGTTTCACTATGTTGTCCAGGCTGGTCTCAAACTCCTGGCCTCAAGTGATCCACCCATCTCAGCCTCCCAAAGTGCTGGGATTACAAGCTTGAGACATTGCACCCCGCCTGAAGTTTTTTGTCTTATATGGAAGGCCTAAGAACTATACATATTTTTCAGGAAGAAACAGAAGAGTTGGAACAAAAGTTGTAATCAATTTGTAACCTTTTTTAGCCTTAAAAAATGTTAGAGTGGCTGGGAACAGTGGCTCACACCTGTAATCCCAGCACTTTGAGAGGCCGAGGCAGGTGAATCATGAGGTCAGGAGTTCAAGACCAGCCTGACCAACATGGTGAAACACCGTCTCTACTAAAAATACAAAAAATAGCTGGGTGTGGTGGCACATGCCTGTGATCCCAACTACTCAGGAGGCTGGGGCGGGAGAATGGCTTGAACCCGGGAGGCAGAGTTTCCAGTGAGCCAAGACTGTGCCACTGCAGTCCAGCCTGGGTGACAGAGAGAGACTCCATCTCAAAAATAAAAATAAAAAATAACAATAATAAACAGATCAAGAATCCGCTATATACCAAGCAAAATGAAACTATTAAGATATATCTAGAAATAGCTATGAGAACTCTTGAAGGTCAGAGATAAATAAAAAGTAACCCATAGCATGTGAGCAAGGGGCAGGGGACTGGGGAGGTGGGAGAGAAGTTCATTCTCAAATCAATGAAAATCAAAAAAATTCAGATGTTTCTCTTACCTTAGTAAATTCTATAAAGACAGAACATCTACAGAATTTTGAGGAAACAGTTCTACCCATGATGTTATGCCCAGACAAGTTGTCTTTCATGGGCAAAAATAACAGAAAACTATTTTCAAATCTGAAAGCTCTTAGAAAATACATTTCCCTGGAACCCTTCTTGAAAAAAATTACTTAAAGACATACTCTTTCTGACTGAGAGATAATTTAAGACAAACAACATAAGAATGGAACTATTGTGCTTTGAATGGTTAGCAATGAGCCGTAAAAGAAGGTATACATTTTAATTATATCAAATAATTATTGTAAAATTTGTTAAGAACAAAAAGTAAATGTCCAAAAATATCCATGAAAGAAAAATCTTACATACAAAAGTAATAGGAATAATACATATCTTAAATCTAGGTTTATATTAACAAAGATATGGTATATAGGGGATTTTAATGTGAAGACTTGAGAAATGTTAAGGAATTTTTTTAAAAATAATTCAAAGGCAACCAATAGTAAATTTTAAATAAGATTATATTTCAAGATTACCTTAATAAAGTAATAAAAGTACATTTTAAAAGTAAATAAAACATACTTTACAGAGCAAATAAGCAGATAAGAAAATAGCAAAATATCAGAAAGAAGATAAAACATAAATTATGAGAAAAATTATGAATGGGTTAAAGCAACCTGTTAATGATCGATATTTTCAAATTGCCTTCAAAAATAAAAATTAACTCTGCCACTGAAAAGAAACCCACCAAGCCTGGGTATGGTGGCTCACACCTATAATCCCAGCACTTTGGGAGGTTGAGGAGGGCAGATCACTTGAGATCAGCAGTTCGAGACCAGCCTGGCCAACATGGTGAAACCCCATCTTTATTAAAAATACAAAAAATTAGCCAGGCATGGTGGCAAGTGCCTGTAATCCCAGTTATTCAGGAGGCTGAGGGTGGAAGAATTGCTTGAACCCAGGAGGCGGAGTTGCAGTGAGCCGAGATCGCACCACTGCACTGACCACAGTGTGAGACCCTGTCTCAGAAAAAAAGAAAAAGAAACCCACCAGAACCTAAGTGACCCATAAAGGTAAGTGGCATAAGCATGAGTAAACATGTATCTGATCCATATAAGCAAAAGAAAGCTTACAAACCAGCAGTCAAGCCAAAAAGCAATAAGCAGGCCAAAAATTTAATTATTTATTGATAAAAGGTATAATCTACAATGAAGGGAGAATGGTCATAAACACTGTTATAGACCATATAATAGCAATATTTAATAAGCAATGCTCATATATTAGACTATAAAACGGCAATTAATTCCCCAAAGCGGAAATTCTAAAGGCCACAAATTTCCAACCACAATATGATCAACCCCAAAACTATTATCACATATTGAGACAAACTAATAAATAAGTAAAACCAATAGCTTAGAATCTTTAACAAACATTTCTCTAAACTAAGTTACAAAGGAAATCAAATCCTCAATAACAGAGTAGCTTTTAAATAATATAATGAAGAAATAACATGACTGAGAATACTAATAAAAGTTGTGAGAGAGTGCCAAAATTCCAATCAGAAGTGAATTCACACTTTTAATGAATTAAGTCGCCTAGGAAAATAAATGAATAATTTGATAAATTGATCAATTTGATAATTGGTAAAAATAAATTGAAAATAAAATGATAATGACAATGATGATGATGATGTCTGACCACCTACCATGAGGCAGGTACTGAGCCAAGGGCCTTAAATAATTATCTTATTGAATCCCCACATTATTCCTGAGAGATGGGTATCATTATAGCTTGCAAATAAAGAAATTAAGATTTTTGAGACATTAGGTAATTTGCCCAAGATCACACAGCTAGCAAATGGCAAAGTCAGGATTTAATCCAGGTCTGTCTGAGTCCAGAGTCTTTATCCTTAATCCCTGCCATAGTAGTATTAGAAAACAGAAAAGTGCTTATGTGATACATACAAACAACAGCTGGCTTTTTGGAAAAACTAGACAAAGACCTGACAAACCTAATATAGAACACAGAGATATAAGGAAGGAACAAAAAAATTAAAAATGAGAAGAAAGAGGATATAACAGATACATTAAATTTTAAAAGAATTACTCTTTATGTTAATACGTTTGTAAATACTGATATAATGGATTATATCACAATAAAGCATAAATCATCAATTGTGTTAAGAAAAAGTAGATTATCTAAATTGATAAACAACCAGATAAAAAATGGAAGGTTATCAAAGGCACAAGGGTCAGATTGATCTACCGGTGATTTTTTTTTTTAAGCTTTCAAATGAAAAAATATTTAAAATGAAGACATACAATGAAAATGAACAAGCTGCAACATTTTATCAAACACAAAGGAATATCTGAAAAAATGTTTCTGCATAGGAAAACCCAATTTTATAACAATATTTTAAAAAATATTCTAAAATTAATTTGAAGAGTTAACTATGTTCATGTGGATAATTTTCAGAATTTGGTAAATTATTCTAAAGTTTAACTGAAACAATGACATTGGTCTGGGCAATGACTTTTTTGGATACGACGCCAAAAGCTCAGGCAATAAGTGAAAATAGGCAAATGAGATTGAAACCAGCCCAATTTTTCTCCCAATAGTATAAAGGAATGAAAACTTTACAGATCACTGCATGTGGTTACAATAAAACACCAGACCCCTCATCCCACCGCCAGCTGCCTGTTGACAAACTCCTATATTAATTCCTAACTTTAGTGGGTTGGAGAGATGAATTTGAGAATTGTCTCCTATCTCACAGCTGATGTTACCTGCAATAAGGCTTTTCTTCCCTAGCAATACTCATTGTCTCAATGATTGGCTTTTTGTGCAGCAAGCAACCAGACCTACACTCAACCCTTGGTGTTTGGCAGTAGTATTAAATCAAACTAAAAAGCTTCTGCACAGCAAAAGAAACTATCAATAGAGTGAAGAGACAACCTACAAAGTAGAAGAAAAGATTTACAAACCATACATCTGATAAGGGGTTGGTCTCCAAAATATATAAGAAATTCATACAACTCAATGCAACAAACAAACAACTTGACTAGAAAACAAGCGAAGGACTTGAATAAATTTTAACACGAAGACATATAAATGACAAACAAGTATATGAAAAGGTGCTCACCATCACTAATCATCAGGGACATGCAAATCAAAATCACAATGACATACCACCTCACACCTTTTAGAATGGCAATTATCAAAATTTATTAACATAAAGAATAATTCTTTTAAAATTTAATGTATCTGTTATGTCCTCTTTCTTCTCATTTTTAATTTTTTGGTTCCTCCCTTTTATCTCTGTTGCATCTGGACAATTAGATGCCAAACCCTTCACCTGTGATGATTGCCTGTCTGACCACCTGCTTTCTGTTGACCAACTCCTCTTTCTTATCCCTCCCCAATTCCTATTTTCCCACACACGGGTGCATTTCTCCCCCTCCTGTATAAAAACCTAATTTTAGTCAGTTGAGAAGATGGATTTAAGACTGATCTCACATCTCATTGGCTGCAGCACCCAAATAAAGCCTCCTATCCTTGTGATAATTATTGTCTCCGTGTTGGCTTTCTGTGTGATGACCAACAGGGCCTAGACCAAATCCCTGGTACTTTGGTAATATAGCCAAAGGGAATAAAATCAGTAAAATCAGAATGTTGAAGAGATACCTCCACTTTATATACCCTGCAGCACTATCACAATAGACAAGATATAGAATCAACCTAAGTGTTAATCAACAGATGAATGGATAAAGAAACTATTCAGATTGAAAAAAAAAAAAAGGAAGGAATTCCTGTCATTTTCAACAACAGGGACGAACCTAGAGGACATTATGTTAAGTAAAATAAGCCAGGCACAGAAAGTCAAATACTGCATTATCTCACATGTGGAAACTAAAAAAGTTGAACTCATAGAAGCAGAGAGTAGAATGATAGTTCCCGGGGGCTGGAGAGAGAGGGAGTGGGGAGATATTAGTCAATGGACACAAAATTTCAATTAGACAAGAAAAAGAAGTGCAAGAGATCTATTGTATATGGTGACTATGGTTAATAACAATGTACTGTATACTTGAAAATCACTAGGGGAGGAGATTTTAAGTGTTCTTGTCACAAGAAAGTGAAATATGTGAGGTAATACATATATATTAGCTCAATTTAGCCACTCCACTCCACAATAATATATTTCAAAATATGTTGTATGCCATAAATATATACAATTTTTATTTGTCAATTTAATTAATTAGCTATAGGATTTAATTTTTAAAGTTTAACTGGAACCATAAAAAAAGAACTGACTATCACATTTTGGGAAGAACAAAAAACAAGTACATGAGTAATGAAAGAAGACCTCGGTGATAAAAACATACTATAAAGTTTTAGCAATTAAACTGCAAAAACCTGCAGCAAAAATCAGAAGGCAGATCAATGGAATGGAATAAATAGCCTAGAAACACACCTGGTATATAAAAGAATTTATTATGCAATTAAGATACCATCACAATCAGTGGGAAAAGACTCAGTCAATGCAGCTAGATAAACATGTGGGCCTGATACACTTCTCAAAAGAAGACACTTATGCAGCCAACAGACACATGAAAAAATGCTCATCATCACTGGTCATCAGAGAAATGCAAATCAAAACCACAATGAGATACCATCTCACACCAGTTAGAATGGCGATCATTAATAAGTCAGGAAACAACTGATGCTGGAGAGGATTTGGAGAAATAGGAACACTTCTACCCTGTTGGTGGGACTGTAAACTAGTTCAACCATTGTGGAAGATAGTGTGGCGATTCCTCAAGGATCTAGAACTAGAAATACCATTTGACCCAGCCATCCCATTACTGGGTATATACCCAAAGGATTATAAATCATGCTACTATAAAGACACATGCACACATATGTTTATTGCAGCACTATTCACAATAGCAAAGACTTGGAACCAACCCAAATGTCCATCAATGATAGACTGGATTAAGAAAATGTGGCACATATACACCATGGAATACTATGCAGCCATAAAAAAGGATGAATTCGTGTCCTTTGCAGGGACATGGATGAAGCTGGAAACCATCATTCTCAGCAAAATATCACAAGGACAGAAAACCAAACACCGCATGTTCTCACTCATAGGTGGGAACTCAACAGTGAGAACACTTGGGCACGGAGCAGGGAACATCACACACTGGGGCCTGTTGGGGGGTGGGGGGCTGGATGAGGGATAGCATTAGGAGAAATATCTAATGTAAATGACGAGTTGATGGGTGCAGCAAACCAACATGGCACATGTATACTTATGTAATAAACCTGCGCATTGTATACATCTACCCTGGAACTTAAAGTATAATAATAATAAAAAAATTTTTTTAAATCATGTGGGCCTGATAAATAGACAAGAATTAGATCCTTCCTTTACACCACACACACACACTCTTACACACCATAAAAACCTTTGAAAGTGGATAAATATATAAGCAAAAAATTGGGGAAGGTTTTCTAGGCATAAATATAATAGAAAATGTAAAATAAAAAAAGTAAAAAGTCAATAGGTTTTACTCCATGAAAAAATTAAACTTTTCTATTTCAAAAAACAATATAAATAAAATTTAAAAGCAAACAAGCTGGTAAAATACTTTTTTTTCCAAACTGTGATGGATATTACGTCACTATACATTGCATATAAGGAGCTCATACACTTGAATAAAACCACATGCCGGTAGTGGATTTCTGTCATTTAGGTGCCCAAATCCAACATTTTTCCCTTTGGAGGAAATCCCATGGTGGACAGGTTGCCATCCCTGCTTGCTGGCCCATAGTGGGAGGCCCTGCGACCTAAACACAGCTAATCAGCTGCTCCCACCTGAGCGTTTGTGTCTGTGAAGTAGAGACAGAAAGGAAGAGTATCCACTGGAGATTATTCACAGGTTCTGTGGTGGAGTCCAGAGGCCAACGGAGTCATAGCCCACCGGCCATGGTGCCAGCCATTGTCCAGCAGTAAAGGTGGTAGCTGTGGTGCCTTAACAGGCTACTCCTGAGCAGGATGTGGACTGTGCCCCTTCCCCCTTGGCTCCTGCCCAAGCCTGGTTCTCAGTGTTCCCCTGAATTCTGTAAGCTACCCAACAACTTTTCAACAGATTCTTTTTCTGTTTAAATTAACTGAAGTTAATTACCAAGGGCTAACTAGCATACCTCTATGGTCATATAACCTGAAAATCAGGCTATGTTCAGCATATAAACTGAAAATTCACAGAAAAAAATACATTGTTAATAACAATTTTTAAACACCCAATCTCACTATATCAGATAAATTATTGCTGGAAAATAAAAGCCAAAATTTGGGGTTAAAATTAGCATGCTTCTTAATTTAAAATATTTTGAATTAGTAAAGATGTAAAGACATGGTAGGAATATAAATTCATACAATCTTTTTGGAAAGCAGTTTGAGTATATATGCCAAAAACTTTCAAAATGCCCATATCTTTTTGATATATAATTCTTGTTCTAGAAATGTATCCTAATAATCATTTACACAGACAAAGATTTATAAGGATATTCATTTCAGCTTTTAAGTTAAAAAGTATAAACAAAAATTTGTTTAACAAAATGATAATGGTTAAACACATATCTACATCCAGTAGAATCTTTCTTAATGAACTTCTGCTGATCCACTTACTTCATTAGTCAGTCATTTTTACTCCCTTTGTAAAGCACATGGAGCACTCCTCAGTAGAACTTTACCCATGCACTTTCCACTCCAAATTTGGGTGGGAATTTAACAAAAGTGGGATGGGTCTGTGTCCAGCCTATTTATGTTCTTGGTAACTGCTATTGAAATTATAAATGCAAAAAGAAAGATAACAGTTGTTTTATGAAATTTAAGTTGATTTGCAAAATTTAGCCAAAATCAAATTGCCTAAAAAAAGGAAGTAAGAAAGGAATGTTGCTGTTACAAATCAAAAAGTCCATAGCAGTGATTCTCAAGATTGAGAACTGCTGATTTAACAGAGGCCTGTGCTCAATTTTTAATTCTCTCTAAGTTTTCTATTTCAAAACAAGCAAAAATAGAAACCTAGAAATTACAAAAGCATTATTGATATTGTTTATGCCAGAAAGCCCAAACTGTCTGTCATAATTAAAGAAACAACCTTGGCCTACACTTTTTTAAAATGGTGAATGAAAGTGTATATGCTTTAAATTTAAAAAAAAACTGTTTGAGAAATACATATGTTTTTAAAAATATACATCATATCATTTATTTCACTGTTTCACACTAGTTATTTCACTGCGGACTGCAGGTCCTCAAGCACTATAACTCCACATACCAAGTGTGAAGCCACATGTTCCCAGATGAGTGAAGGCAGCGCTGGAACCCAGGGTCAGGTTGGCATGGCTGAGCCGGCCCTGGCTTTCCCTCACACCGGAAAGATGACCAGAGAGCCCAGGAGCCAGTGGCAGGGAGGCAGGGCTGGCATTTCCAACAGAAGGAGGTTTTTGCCCCATGCTTCTCTCTCCTTAGCAGAAGAAAAATCTTTTCCAAAAGTCCCTAACAGACTGTTTTATGTCTCATTGGCAGAACTGTGTCACTTGCTAACCCCTAAACTACTTGCAGGCCAAGAAGAATGGGATCGTCATGACTGGCTGGGAAATGAATCATGGGCAGCCCAGACGCAGGGCTTTGATCAGTCCAGCTTCCTCCTCCTAAGGTGAGAGGATGCCCATCCTCACTGAACAAGTCGTTTCCACACATCTGAACAAAATCAGGGTCATTTTAGCTAGGACATAGAGAACTTCTAGATGACAGCAGAATCCACTGCACCTTATTTAAACCAGCTGCTGGCCTCAGCACACAGCTTAAGAGAGTACATCCATACTCAGTTACTAAAATCATTCTAAAAAGCAGAATACAATATTGTATTTATGATATGCAACTAATTTAAATATATATACACATATATGTTTACATATACACATACTTTTTAAAACTGGAAGAGAATATACAAAATATTACTGTTTTGTTAGGTTTATGAGTTGGTTTTAATTTTCTTGTAGCTTTTTATATTTCCTCATTTTTTTCTAATGCACACATAATCACTTTAATAAACTGAAAAAATATTTTTAATGATGCTGTGAAATAATATATTCATGTCTTCCAATTGTATAGCAATTTTACACACAGTATTTCATTTTTTTACCTGTAAAATTGGGATAACAATAATGCTTCATAAGAAAAATGCAATAATACATGTAAAATGCCAGGAATAGTGCCTGGTAGATGATGGAAACTCATTAAATACATACTATTGTTATTATTTCACATTAACTCCCTGACAGCATTAGAAAGGAATTACTGTCCGTATTTTATAGACAACCAAGGCTAAGAGAAGTTCAGTGATTTGCTCAAGATCATGCCACTTGCCAAGACCAGTGTTCCTTTCAGTTACACCATCAATGTTCTTCATCCATGGTACAGATTATTTTAAAAAGTTATATTCCTAATTTCCTACCTAAAATTAGAATTTTGTTGAGATAGAGTTTTTTAATTTAAATAACCATAATATAATGTATTTCTTTTCCATTGTTGAAATTGAAATATAATTCACATACCATAAACTTCACACTTTTAAAGTATACCATTTAATGACTTTTTAGTATACTAATGAGGATGCACCACCATCAGTATTATCCAATTTTAGAACATTTTCACCACTCCAAAAGGGGCCATGACTGGCTCCCTCAAGCCCCTGGTGATCACTGATCTATTTTCTGTTTCTGTGGTTTACCTCTTCTAGACATTTCCTATAAATTGAATCATACAATATATGGCTCTCTGTGACTGCTCTTACTTAGCATAATGTTTTAAAACCTCATTCATGTTGTAGCATGTATCCATACTTCAGTCCTTTTTATGGCTAAATAATATTCCATTGTATGGATATACCACATTTTATTTAGCTATTCATCATTTATATGCTAAATTTATAGGGATAGCAATTTGACAGTTAATAAACAAACCAGTATATGAATCAGCAAAACGCAGTAAACCAGTAAAATAACTAAATAAAATGGCAATCAAAAAACAAATCAGTAAAATTCAGCTTGTCTCATCCATCCAGGATTTTTTAACTTTTTATTTGCAACAGTGCCTGAAAACTCTAAACACTGTTCACCTTAAATAATAAAGCATCAGACATACTTCTATTAAAAATTAGAAATATACATTTTTCACCTTACCTTGGAATGATTTTTTGTTTGCTTTCTGTTAACTTACCAGAGACCAAAATATTCCAATTCTTTCCAGAATCTTTTGTGCCTCAACTCATCTGCAAGTCTTTTAGCCTAGAGTCCCTCAACTATAAACTATAAAATATGTGCATCTCTGATACAGATAAGGTGTCAATAGGAAGCCTGGTTTTCCCTTCCCTGGGGCTTTGAGATCCATGCTTACTTTTTTCTATAGATAGATTTTTAAATAGATGACCACTGGGATCCTGTCCAACTCCAGGAGTCTATGATTCCACTTTTTTGTTTGTGTTTGTAGTCATCACCACCCTCATTCCAATTCTATTCAAGTCAGAGAATTTAGATGCGACTAAACTTCTTGTGGCAGAAGGAAATGTAACAAAAGGACAGTGATATCAGGTGCGTCCTATTACAGCAACCCCAAAGATTTATATATCACTTCCCAATTTACAAAGCACATTCCCCATGCTATTTCTCATACAGTGCCCCATGGTAGCCCCTTGAGTAGGTCAGGCATTTTATCAAGCAGAAACTGAAATGTGGGAACTGGTCCAAGTTCACGGACAAATGACAGATCTGGGGCTCCTGCCTCCCAATGCCTGTTCATTTCATTGTCTCACTAAGCACCCATTCCAAGGGCACTGGGGCTGTGGAGAGTGAGCCGCTGAAAGGCAAGCATTGATGACCAGCAGGCACTTACAGTGTTCACAAGACTGACTTTACTGACCTGCCTGTGCCAAATGGGAATAAAGAGGAGAGACTCAGAAGTAAAGCAACAGTCAGAGGAGTAAGCAAAACAATGTCCAAGTGCAGCCAAAGCCAATGCCTCCTGGACTACTTGGAAAAGAATACTCTGCACTACAAGCCCCTCACTTACTGAAAGCTTCCAAGAAATGAGGGCTTTCAAACTGCCTATGGAAAGTCATTTAGAGTTGGCATTGTCCATTCAATTTCAGAAGTTTCCACCAGAACATTGCTTGGTGACATAGTGGTCTTCACCCTGAGCGTCTACAAATGTATGTTAAGTTGCTATTAAGGACCTGTGGACAGAGAAGGCACACCACCACAGGTAAGCCATATGTAAAAGAAGCAAACTTCCTTCCTCACATTTCAATCTATTTCAACATTCATCAGGTCCTTCAAAATTTTTGCCAGACTCCAAACCCACTTTTCTAACACCATTCCTTCATATACATCAGCTATGCACATACCAAGTGTTTGCATGTAATACTTCATTGCATCCCCCCTGTGAAGCAGGCATTATTCTCCCCATTTTACAGATAGGCAAACTGGGCCCAGAAACAGATAATTTGCCCAAGCTACTTGTAGATAGAGCTGCCATTTAAACTCAGGTCTCTGCTGTTCCAAACCTATTTTCTTTCTGCTAAATTGCAATACCTCTAACTTGTTAGAATTTTACATAAAACCTTGAAATTCTAAAATATATATATATAAACTTTTTCAAAATTAAAAGCTTTTGCTGTTCAGAAAAAAAATCCTGTTTAGAAAGGCAAGCCAGATTGCAATAATAGATATGCAGTTGAAATACATAAAACATCTTGAAGAAGTTTTTATTAGTATAAATTTGTGAGCATTCAAATTTCTACATATACTTACTATAAAGTCAATGAATAATGAAGCAGTCTTTTTTTTTTTTTTTTTTTTTTTTGAGACAGTCTCGCTCTGTCGCCCAGGCTGGAGTACAGTGGCGCGATCTCGGCTCACTGCAAGCTCCGACTCCGGGGTTCGCGCCATTCTCCTGCCTCAGCCTCCCGAGTAGCTGGGACTACAGGCACCCACCACCACACCCAGCTAATTTTTTGTATTTTTAATAGAGACGGGGTTTCACCGTGTTAGCCAGGATGGTCTCGATCTCCTGACTTCGTGATCCGCCCACCTCAGCCTCCCAAAGCGCTGGGATTACAGGCGTGAGCCACCATGCCGGGCCATGAAGCAGTCTTGATAAACACAGTTGCAACAGACGTATTAACTCCTGCTTCCAACTGATTGCTGTATTTTGTTTAGATTGCATAGAATTGAGACTATCATAATTCACATATATTAACAGATGCAAACAGTAATAGTTTTCTAAAAGCAGTTTGTGATGTCCAGCCACACCTTGATAAAACAGATGACAAAAAAAAAGCTTTATTCTGTTTGCACTAAAAACCTAGTTTACCTGCTTGCACAAGTTGACATGTTAATTATCCACAGTGTGTTAAAAATTGGTATGTGTCACGTTTTAGTGTGCATGTTGTATTTTTTAACTTTTAAGTTGGGGTACATGTGCAGGTTTTTTACATAGGTAAACTCATGTCATGGGAGTTTGTTGTACAGATTATTTTATCACCCAGGTATTAAGCCTAATACACAGTTTTTTTTTTTCTGCTCCTCACCTCCTCCCAGCCTCCACCCTCAAGTAGGCCTCAGTGTCTCTTGTTCCCCTCTTTGTGCCCATGAGTTCTCAATCACTTAGCTACCACTTATAAGTAAGAAAATGCAGTATTTCGTTTTCTGTTCTTGCATTAATTTGCTAAGGATAACGGCCTCCAGTTCCATCCATGTTCCCACAAAAGACATGATCTCATTCTTTTTTATGGCTGCATAGTATTCTATGGTATATATGTGCCACATTCTTCATCCAATCTGTCACTGATGGGCATTTAGTTTGATTCCATGTCTTTGCTATTCTGAATAGTGCTGCAATGAACATTCACATGCATGTGTCTTTATGGTAGAATGATTTACATTCCTCTGGGTATAAACTCAGTAATGGGATTGCTAGGTCAAAAGGTAGTTCTCCTTTTAGCTCTTTCAGGAATTGCCACATTGCTTTTTCCACAATGGTTGAACTAATTTATACTCCCACCAACAGTGTATAAGTGTTCCCTTTTCTCCACAACCTCACCAGCATCTGTTATTCTTTGACTTTTTAATCATAGCCATTCTGATTGGCATGAGATGGTATTTAATTGTGGCTTTGATTTGCATTTATCTAACAATCAGTAATATTGAGCTTTTAAAAATACGGAATGCTTCACGAATTCCATGTCATTCTTGCACAGGGGACATGCTAATCTTCTCTGTATTATTCCAATTTTAGTATATGTGCTGCTGAAGCAAGCACACGTGTTTATAATTTTAGTAGTCATTTAAAATATATTTAATTTTTTAAATAAATTCTTCCTAAATTGATTTGTAAATTCAATGCAATCTCAATCAAAATCCTAGCAGGTTTCTTTGAAGAAATTGAAAAGCAGATGCTAAAATGTATATGGAAATGGAAAGGACCTAGAATAGCCAAAATAATTAGAAAAAGAATAATAAAGGATTTATTATCCTACTTGATTCTAAGACTTACAAGAAAGCTACGATCGTCAAGACAGTGCGGCACTGAGGCAAGGATAGACCTATAGATTCATGGAACAGAATAGAGAGTCCAGAAATAAATCCAAAGTTATATGGTTGATTTTTGACAAAGATGTGAACATAACTAAATTGGAAAATCAGCAAAATAGTGCTGCAACAACTAAATATCTAGAGGGGAAAAAAACAACCTTACAACATATTTTAAAAGCTAACACAAAATACATCATAGGCCTAAACAGTAAGAGCTAACACTATTACATTTCTGGAAGAAAATATAAGAGAAAATATTTGTAACAACAGTTAGGAAAGGCATTTTTAAACAGGACACCAAAAGTACAACTCATAAGGAAAAATATTTATAAACATTTTCAAAAGTAAAAGCTTTTGCTCTTCAGAAAAAAGTGTTAAAAAAGGCAAGCCGGACTGAAATAATAGATATGAAAAACATATCTGACAAAAAGGCTTGTATCCAGAATATATAAAAGATATTTACAACTTAAGAAGGCAAGAGCCCAATAAAATGGGGAAAAGATTTGAAGAGACTCTTTACAAAAGAAGTTATACAAATTCCAATAAGCACATGAAAAGATGATCTACATCACAAATTATGAGGGAAATGTCAATTAGAACCATAATGAGCTACTTACTACGCACTTGAGAATATCAAGGATGGGTGAAGAGGTAGGACAACTTGAACTCTCATACATTGACTGTGTGACAGTATAAAATGGTACTATTTCTTATATAGTTAAACATATACAAGCCATGTGACCCAGCAATCTTTATCCTAGATATTTACCCAAGAGAGATAAAAATGTGTCCACGCAAAACTTTTACATCAATGTTTATAGCAGCATTATTCATAATCGTCAAAACTGAAAGCAACCCAAGTATCTATTAACCAGTGAATGGATAAACAAATTGTGGTATATCCAATGGAGTATTACTATAAAAGCAACAAAATATTAGTACTCTCGACAACATAGGTGAATCTCAAAAATATTATGCTAAGTGAAAAAAGGTAAACACAAAGGGCTACATACTATGATTCTGTCTGTATGAAATTCTAGGAAAGGCAAAACCATAGCAACAAAAAGCAGATCAGTAGTTGGTTGGCTGGGGCCAAGAGCTGGGGGAATATATTGACTGTAGGAGCACAAGGGAACTTCTAGGGTGATGGAAATGTTCTAATTTGATCATGGTGGGGAATGGATTTTTTAAATATACTAGGGATTTGTTTTTCTTTTTAAGGGATTTCTTTTGGAAAAAAAAAAAGTCCTAGAATAAGAACAGAAGCATGTTCTCTTCTGAGAAATAATCCTTAGAAAATAGAAGTTAAGCCAAAATATGTAACATTACCTATGTCTTTTAAAACTTTTCTTGTCCATCTAATTTCCATCTTAAGAAAAATTAGAAATAAATCAATTACACTTTAAATACTTTTGGTACAGTTGAATATGTACAGGACTGCTGAATATTGAATAGGTTCCCAGAGAAACTCTTTGTAACAGAACTTTCCATTTGACCATAGCCCTTAAGGCATTTAAAGACAAGTGAGAAACAGACTGTTTTGGTTCGTTGGTTTGGGTTTTTTTTTCTTTTTTTTTTCATTACTTAGCTTTGTCATCATGCTTTCCTACCACCAGAAGGCATATTTATGACTCATCAGTCAACACCCAGTGTCAGATAACTAGCCATTAACATACTTCACTTGTACTGTGATGAAAATGATATCACAACTTTCAAGAGATCCCCTTGAAGATGAAACTGAAAGAAATGGTGGCCACATGTTGTTTCAAACCTGTATTCGTTACACCTCCTGACTGCATGTCGTGCAAAAGGGCCAAACAGATGTGTAAAAAATAGCTGTTTAACAGGGGGGAAAATACTGTAAAATTGTTTATGGCAGGACAGCGGGTTCTTATAGGCAAAGTAAATTACAAATAGATTTCTCAATTACTTTTTAAAGCCTAGTATTTGATTCTTATATAACAGTCAAAAATCAATTTTGCATGGAATTTATGTGAATGCCTCATTATTAATAAAACAGCGGTTGGCGGCTGCTACTTCCTCCCCACAACAGCAGCACGCAGTGGGGAAGCATTCACGTGCCAGGCTGTGCAATTCTTTATCTTTTTATCCTCTGGTTCAGCATCATAAAAAAGAAAGGGAAGAGATGAATCCCAAGCAAATTTTAGGCATGGGCTTCTGGCAGCACCTATTTCATGGGGGCCTGCTGGTGCCCTGAGAGTACTTGGTGATGGGTGCTGAGGGAAGTCCTCACCCTACTCCCTGCTCATACTGTACCTCGAAGGTCTTTTTTAAAAAAAAAAAAAGTATAATTAAGCAAGTAACTCTAGTTGTTGAAAAAGTCACTGAGCTCTTTCTCTCGCTCTATCCTTAGCATATCCAACCTCGGTACTAGAGTCTACTGACCCTGTGAATTGATTTAAAAGGACTGGCCAGTGGCAATTTTCCCCAGATTGCTTTATTTCTCCAAAATAAAATTATTTATTTTGAAAAGAACTTGCTCCTGACCCAAACATTCTAATAACATAACAAGCATAATTCTCATTCAACAAACAAGAAAATTGAATCCCACTTATGTCTACAGACCATAACAGTCTGCTCCCTACACTGTACTTGATTCATCAAACCATGAACACTCCCCGTTTCCCAAATGAAAAGTGTAGTGTGGTGAGAAAAACCTAGCTTCTCTGGTTAGCCCTCCCTAACCAATTGGATGACTTTAAACAGTTATATCACTGTTTTAGGCCATGTCTGTTAACTGGTAAAATAAGAGAGTTTTCAAAATTATCTGAGGTTTCCTTCAGCTAAGATTTGGCAATGAGAAGAAATCATTGTATTCCCATTACATGTGAAAAGCAAAAAGAAAATTCTATGTTTGGCCAACAACATGGAGAAATGCTTATCTTCAGAGGTTAAATTCAGCTAAACAGTAGCTACCTGCTATTTCTTCTATTGGGTGCATGCCTCAAAAACGCTAACGGGGGAAATGGCAGGGCGATACACTGAGTGCTTACAGCATGTTTCCAGAAACTGATTTATTCTTGATTTGAATCTCTACTATGTGCATAATTACACCTGGTAACTGCAGGCAAGCTGTGGGCAACACTCTTGCCCCCTTAGTATTTGTGTCAGCAGTTAATTAGGAATGCAGTGCTAATACAGTCTTTAAACCAACCCCAAAAAGCTGTAGTAAAATCTAGTTTAACAAACAGACATGCATATCAGATGACTCCTTGCAGATACAGAATACCAAGAGTTTATTTACCAATGAAAATCCATGGTAGGTAAGATCTGATCCATGGGTTTGTTTGCTTTTGGGTTTTTGGAGACAGATTCTCGCTCTGTTGCCCAGGTTGGAGTATAGTGACGTGATCTCGGCTCACTGCAACCTCTGCCTCCCGGGTTCAAGCAATTCTCCTGCTTCAGCCTCCTGAGTAACTGGGACTACAGACGTGCACTACCATGCCTGGCTAATTTTTGTATTTTTAGTAGAGACAGGGTTTTGCCATGTTGGCCAGGCTGGTCTCGAACTCCTGACCTCAAGTGATCCACCTGCCAAAGTGCTGGGATTCCAGGTGTGAGCCACCACACCCAGCCCCCACAGGTTTGTTTTTAAGAATTGGATTTGATATACTATTGAGAAACAAAGTGGCTTAAATATATCAATTTATTCAGAGTTTTTAAAAACAATGACTTTTTCTTTTATTCTTCTGCTAATTATTTACATGATTAATCTGACTTAACATATCTTCATTGAGAATCACACAGTTGATCCAACTAAAATTAGTATTATTTTAGGGACAAGAATGAAGGATACATTTTTTTTCCTGTTAAGTCAAATTCACATTTGGGTTTTGTTGTGCATATACTGTTAATAATGCAAAGAGAAACTTGTTCACTATGGTTGATTGCATAACAGGCCCCCATCCTGTACCCCTACCTATAGCCACGCCCTTTGCCCTATGACTTTGCAGTTGCTTTCACTACAGAGGCAAATCTGTTTTCCATCTGGGCTTGGACACATGACTTGCTTGGGCCAATAGAATGAGATGGATCGGACAGATGTTCCAGCTCCAGGCCCAGGCCTTGAGGTCCCGCTTTCTGCTTGTTCTCTCCTATTTCTGCCATTACCATGAAGAGGACACGCCTGTGTTACCGGTGGTCACAGGGAAAGGAGGACAGACGTGTGGAACAAAGCAGTCACTCCACATAAGCCCAAACTAGGTGAACCAGCACTGAGACTCAAGAGGGAGCTTAGGCGATAAGATATAGAAGAAAACCCGTCCTTGCAGATACAGAAGAAAACCCGTCTACTGTTACATGTCACTGAGATGCTGTGGCTGTTCACTATGTGCCAATTTTAGAGCAACAGGTTACTAGTATACTGACCTTTTCAAATACTACCTGATATTTATGATGATGCCGATGTTGCCAAATCTCTTCCAAAAAAGTGACCATCTGTCTTTTCCCATCTTTATTAACATGAGTGCCAGATTGATTCCAAGTTACAGTTGTATTCTTTTGGGTGAACAATCTTCCTCATGTTCTCTCAGGGTTTTAGGTGAGAAGTTGTCCAATTTTGGTGTGCCCAGAATCACCTAGAGGGCTTCTTAAAACACACATTGCTGGGCCCCACCTCCAGGAGTTCCTGATTCAATTCATCTGGGATCAGCCTGGGCCTGAGAATGTGCAGTTCTCACACGTGCCTGGGTGGTGCTGATGCTGCTTCTAGGACCACGTTGTGAGAACCACTCGCTTATTAGGCCAGGAAGGGTTAAGCACAACGTCGTCGGTTCACATACCCATCTGTGTTTTCCCAAGGCACATTTTCCATCACCTTCTCCAGCTGACCAATAAATGAGTGGGGCCAGAGCCAAGATTCCACAGCCTTCCAGATGAGTTCCCTCTGGAAGAGGCAGTCTCTGCTGCAAACGGCAGAGTTACCAATCCACACAGCAGGGATTCAGCATCACCTTTTGCCCTGAACTTACAGTTATCCCAATAGTTTGGGAAACTTCCTGGCTTGCACCCAAGATAACCTGATTGAGGAGGTTAAAAGAAAGTTCACAGTTCTTCTCAGTGTCCACCTGAAAGCATTTGTTCTTAAATTCTTCATCTTAGGATTCATGGGTTTTACTGTCAGGGAAAAATCTTCACCCCATCTATTTAAATGTGTGCAATCAATTTCCCTCTCAAATCCCCACGGCAGGTATTCTGATTTCTTCCCACTTGCTGTGCAGTGATCCCCCACTGGGAAAGCAGAACAGCTTTTGCTCATGGTGAAGCTCAACGCCGCCTGGTTTTTTTGTTTTTGTTTTGTTTTTGTTTTTGTTTTTCAATGATTTAAGTTAAATTTGAACTCAGACACTTGCACATGGCTCCTCAGTATCAGCCAGAGTTGGCGGGAAACTGGGTCCTCTGAGCAATCTTTATGTTCAGTGCTGCCTCAGAAAATTACACCAAATTAAAAAGCTGCCCCTTGAAATTTAACGTTTTTAAGATGCAATAGGGAAATAGTAAGCAATTATAATGAACTGGCCAGCCTGCTTTACCTTTCACATCCTCTTTTTTTTTTCCTTTTTTTCTTTTTAATAAAGCATGGTTTTCATCTGCTAACTGCTTCACTATTCTAACTCAATGGTTGTGCTTTGAAGAAGGGCAGGGTTGCCCTAGAGGTGTGTAAGCACTTGCCCAGGGGCCTGGGGAATGTCTGGCACTTTTCTGCTCATAGTATGGGGTAGTGGGAATATTTCCAATCTGTTTTATGGAAGTAGTTTCACTCTATTTTGAGAATCTTTTTATTTTGCAAAGAATTTTCATAAGAAACTCAATGCTCAATTACTATCAAGCACTATTTTGCCTATAATCAGGTTGTACACTATTTGACATGTTTAAAGTGTTGTTTTCATGCAATAGATATGTATCAAGCATGTACTATGGGTAGGCATTGTGCCAGGCAATTTGGATACAAAGAGGAAAATATCCTCTCTTTGTTTTCAAAGTGCTTATAACTATTTTGATGAAACAGACACCAAAATGAATACTCATTCCTGCCTTCATTCAACACACACTGTGCCTATTATGTTCTAGGTACAGTGCTTACTGTACAGTATAGCACAAACAATAAAAAGGGTAGACTTGGTTCCTGCTCAATGTGTAATCTTGTAAGAAAGTCAGACAGCTACCCCCAAAAACTGTGATAAATGTTACGTCGTCAGACAAACATGTGGCAAGAGCATGAGGCAGGAGATCTTGTCTATGAAGTATGGAGATAGCTTTAGGAAGAAGTAACAAATTAAAACGTGAAAATACAAAACAGGAAGCTGAGAAAGGAGGAAGGAAGAAGAAAAAGCTCTATAAGGGCTCAAAGGTTGGAGAGGATTGATACTGAATTGAATAAAAAATTGAGAAAACTTCAGTTTGATGAGAAAGCATGAAGGAGGGATCTATAAGAGATGAGAATGAAAAGACAGGAGCGGGGCATATTTAGGGGTTTGGACTTAACCCTAATGGTGATGTGCAGTCATTTAAAGGTTTCACCCAGAAGAGTGACATGAGGTTTGGGTTTAAGTGCAATAGTTTAGGGTACAAGTTAATACTACAGTCACTCCTCATTATTTGCAGATTCCATATTTGCAAAGTTTCCTACTCACTAACATTTACTTGTTACCCCCAAATCAACACTCATGGCACTTTCAAGATCTTTTGACAAAAAGTTTAAGTTGCCCAGAAAGCACCTTTTCAGTTGAAATTGAACAAGGTAACAGTCTGCCTTTGTGTCTCCAGTCTCATACTGTAAAGTGTTCTTTTTGTGGTCTGTTTAGTATCACATTTCTTCACATTTTTGTGCTTTGTATTGGTGATTTCACTCTTTAAATGACCCCTAAACACAGTGCTAAAGTGCTGTCTAATGTTCACAAGAGCAACAAGGCTGTGATGTGCCTTATAAAGAAAGTTCATGTGTCAGATAAGTTTCTTTCAGGCATGAGTTATGGTGCCGTTGGCCATGAGTGCAGTGTTCATGAATCAACAATATATATTAAATAAGACATCTTTAAGGAAGCACACATTAAATAAGCATATATATTGATCAGTTGAAAATGTTGACCAGAGGCTTGCACAAACCCAACCACATTTTTTTTCATAATTCAGTATTAGCTAATTCAGTGTTTGCAGATACTTTATAGAACATAACTACATGAATAACAAGAATTGGCTATATATTGGATAGGGGCTAGACTGGAGACAGAGGCATAAGTTAGAGAGAATTCTCAGGCATTCAATTGAGAGATGATGGTGACTTTGACTAAAGTCTTGGCAGTGGAGATAAAGAGAAGTAATCAGATTCGAGAAGACTGGATAGGATTTGGTAGTTGATTGGATATGAAAGGTAATGGGTAATGGAGAGGGAAGAATCAAGGGTCATACTCCAGTTTCTAGTTTAGGCAATTAAGTGGATATTAGTAACACTGTGAGAAATAGAGAACCATGTAGGAGGTCCAAAGTTCAGTTTGGGGCATGTTAATTGATGAATATTAGAAAGGCATCCAAGTTTGAATGTCAAATTGGCTGTGTGATATGCATGTCTAGAGCTCAGAATAGAAGTCTAATAAAGGATACAGATTTGAAAGACTGGGAAGTAAAGGTCCACGTGGTGGGAAGAAATCCAGGAAAAGGAGCTCTCATCATAGAAACCAAAGGAAAGGCAGGTTAACAGTGTTATAGACACTGGGAGGTCTTAAAAGTAAGGACCAATAAGCATTCACTAAACTTAGCAACACAGAGGAAACTGATGACCTGGGTAAGAGCCATTTTGATGGAGTGATGGGAGCAGAAGTCAGAAGGAAGTGGGCTGGCAAGTAAGCCTACAATGTTAATGACATCCAAGGTATCACAGGAAACCTGCGGGGAGGTTCCAAATGCTATAGTGAGAAATTAGTCTCATTCAATTTAAGGAAAATTTAATAAATAAATAAATAAATCTCCACTGGGGACACAGTGGAAATTGGAAGGTAATAGAGAATATGGAAATAGAAAGTTGGGGAAGGAGAGGTCAAAGGGGGAGTGGGAAAACAGAAAAACATATCAAAAGAATAGATGTAAGAACAAAAGAAACAGGACGTCATAACTGAGAAAGCTGAGGCCCAGAAACAGATTTGACATGCATAAGGATACATGGTGAATTATGGACAAAACAAGATAGTATTCATTCAGATTCTGCTTAAAGAATTCTGTTGGAAAAAAGTTAAGTGTCCATGTGTTTCTCTTTTTCAAACACACACACACAATCAAAAGTGAAAACAAAAACGTACAAGTCTGTGGCTTAGTGTTTGTGTGTTTAAAAAGAAAAGAAAAAGAAAGAGCTGAAGCTAATCCTCAAACTATCAAACATCAGCATCTCCCACTATGCCCTGACTGTGTAAAAATGAATACCACCTTGCTGAGAAAGAAAAGGCAAAAGAAGTGACCAGTCCCCTGGGTGATCAGACCGAGGCCACATTGCCACCTGTACTCTATAAGAACACTGACACCCAGGTCCCATCTCATGGGAAAACCATTGTTCATTCATTCAGCAGGCATTTACCAGACATCTGTTCTGTGCCTGGTACTGCTCACATGCTCAGGATTCATCAGTGAAGAGAGGAGACAAAGAATCCTACTGTTAAGCAGTTTATATACCTGAGGGAGAGAAATAGACAATGAAAAAGAAATGTAACAAGTAATTTTACAGTATAGTAAAATAAGTGCAATGGGGAAAAGAAAAATGTAGGGCTAATATGAGAGGAAGACAGAGAATTTGGGAATTACCTGAGGAAGAAAGAGAAAGAAGAGAAGAAAAGGAGGTCCAGGGAAGGTGGAAACCCAGAAGCTGCTGCAGAACCTCCTTTACCTCCTCTTGAGGGGTCACAGTTAGATCAGCACCACATACACCTAAATTGTAACATCTGAGCAAGCCGCTCCCACAAATGGAAGAGTAGATGGAGTTAGAATCTGCAAAGATTTAAGGCCATTTGTTTTGTTACATCCTTTATACAGTATATCAACTCTCTTCAATGTTGTTGATTTTCTTTTATGGTGGACAATAGGTCTTCTAACTGGCAGTGGAGTCCTCTTTCTATTAAACCAGAAAACCAGACTACTATCTTAATACGAAATACATACTTTTCTATAGCGTTATCTTCTTTGAATTGTTTGCTGTAACTTTTAAGATATAAATACTTTTGTTTCCTTTTTATTTGTTGTTTTTATGACTAGTATTCATTAGACACTTTATTTCCTCCCTGACATACTCCTGTAATTTTAGGTAATTGCCACCAAATAGAAAACGGTTTCTGGACTGAGTGCTATGCAACAAATAAAACAAATACACATCTCAGCTTCCCATGAGCATGAATAAATGAGAAATCTAGAGGGCATACTTCTCTTGATTTTGATTTTCCCATAAACATTGAACTCTTTATTTAAAAAACAACTAAGCAAGGCATGAAACTCGTGTAGATGCCTGGAACATTAGGTTTCTACTCAACTTGGTCTTGATTCTCCTCTTGGTAAGAGCAGGAATAACTGAGCAGGGACTTGTAGTTTCATGTCTAAATCTTCCTGGCATGTACACACAATGAAGCCTTAGACTTTGTTGCAGCTCAACGATCCTTTCAGGCAGCTTCACTTGATCTGCAGACCCTGCTTGCTTGGCAGTACTTAACCAAGGAACAGAGATACCTCATTCCTTCCAGATCCTCTGCTCCTTAATATTCCCAGCCCATCCATCTGTATCAGGAGCTGAAAAGCCCCACAGTGCATCTAGATTTTATGAAAACTCCTGATTGTATTTTTCCAAACAGCAATTTCCCTGACTCTGGCTTCTAATTCTGAATTTTTCTCTATTTGAGAAACATTCCAGTTCCCCATTCCTTTTTCTGATCAATAGCTGGCCTCTACCCACAATTGATTCCTTCTCCAATTAGCTCTAAATCATAGTATCAGATAGAAACTGCTTTCTGTTCAAAGGCTTAGTGTTAGAAAAATAATCACAACAATACTGAAACACATATGTGACTTGCTTTTTGTTTATGTAATAAATTTGACTGAATTTTTTCTATGGATCAGTGCTCCTCAATTTTTAAATATTCCCATACTTACGCGTGAGTACATCAGAACATATTTACACCAGTCTTGGGATTAGAGGTAATGAGCCTCATTTCTCCAAAAACAACAGACTTCCTCTACCTCCTACTCACAGACAAATTTCCCTAGTCTGAGTTTGAAACTAAGGGCACATTGGTTTCTGGAAAGGTGTAACCTGCTGTGTTTGAACCAGTAATTAGGACAATGCTTATACAGAAATTCTGAATGTTTCTAGACATTCTAGAGCCTTGCAACTCAAAGTGTGGTCCTTGATCATCTGTATCATGTGAGAGCTTCTCAGAAATGCAGGCTGCACTGCAGACCTACTAAATAGGAAGTTGCTTTTTAACAATATTATCGAGTGATTCACATGCACATTAAAGTTTGAGAAAAAAAAATAAACTTGAGATGATGTTTGGGTTCCAGGATTTTTCTTCCCAGGCAAAAGCATAGTGTGAGAGAAAAATATGAAAACATTTCCACCTCTGGCATTATTTTTGACAGGCCTTCTCTTCTTTAATACAGCTACCATTGCAGTCTTTCACCAAATTCACAACTCCAACAATCAGCAACAAACATCCCAGAGGCTGGAAGATGTTGCAGCCCTCTTGCAATAGAACCCTCCTCGGCTTCTTCTCCCAGTGCTTTAGCTACAACTGTCCACCACAAAGCTCATTTCTAAATTTTATGTTGTCATTCCCTCCCCCTTTTTCTGAATCCTGCATTTCTCCAGTGTTGAGAATGCCTGGAGACAAGATAATGTGGAACCAAAAGAGTAAAGACAATTACGTCTTCTTAACATTCCCCTTGCTTGTGAAGATGAGTGCTATCCAATAGAACATTCTGTGACGATGGAAATGTTCTGTATCTGCACTACTCAGTCTGAAAGCCAGTAGCCAGGCACACATGATTACTGGGCAATTAAAATTGCTAAGAGATAACTGAGGCACATTAAAATATTAAAGAGTTTATTTGAGCAAATAGCAGTTCATGAATCAGGCAGCACCAGACCACTAGAAGTTCAGGGCTTCGGAAAAGGGGCTTGAGGAGAAAATTTGTATAACGTGAATTCAGAAGCGAGGCAAAAAAGAAAAAGAAAAAAAATTGTGTTTGGCTAAAGTGGAGCAGTAACTTTATTTTAATCAACCTAGCAGAAATCCCTAGTTAGAAGTTAGTTGGTGGTTCCTCATTGATTAAATGTAAGTTTCATTTTCCTAGCACATGACCATTTACAGTGAGTTGGGTTTCAATTTGCTTAGGTAAGATCCCGGGGTGCTGGAGTTGCCTCAGTCTGATGAACTCCCAATTAATTATTTTAACAAAATGGAGCTAGTGTGACTGAGGAACTGAATTTTGTAAAATTCAATCGTTATTTAAATCTTTTTTATTTTTATTTATTTATTTTTTTTTTTTTGAGACAGGGTCTCATTCTGTCCCCCAGGCTGGAGTGCAGTGACACGGTCTCGGCTCATGGAAACCTCTGCCTCCTAGGTTCAAGCAATTCTCTGCCTCAGCCTCCGGAGTAGCTGGGATTACAGGCGCCCACCACCATGCCCGGCTAATTTTTGTATTTCTAGTAGAGATGGGGTTTCACCATCTTGGCCAGGCTGGTCTTACACTCCTGACCTCGTGATTCACCTGGCTTGGCCTCCCAAAGTGCTGGGATTACAGGCGTTAGCCACCATGCCTGGCCTAAATTTAAATATTAATTAAAGTAAATAAAATTTAAAATTTATTTCTTCAGTCACACCATCCACATTTCAAGTGCTTGATAGCCACATGTGGCTAGTGGCTACATTATTGGACAGTGCAGGTCTAGATCATTCTCGGGGTTTCTCATCTCCCTTTCTGTTGCTGCTCAGGTGATCATTATATCATCATTTAATGTCTCATCACAACAGCTTTAGTGACTATATATATATATGTATATGCAGGAGGGCAGAAATGCCTATATCCGGATACAAATGCTGTTTTATGATTACCTTCTCTAGTGTAGAAATCTCTTTAGAAACTGAAACTCAAAAGGAGTGTTGATTTTTTAATAATCACAAGTGCTCCAAAAATTCCCCCAAGAAAACGACCACCTTGTAGTAATCTCAATGCAGGTAAACTGCTTTGAGAGTCTTTCTTCAGAGATGCCAGAGGCATGGAAAGGATAGCAACATCTGCACACTTTACCATCAAACATCCAGACATATTAGAAAGAGAAATCAAATATTCTGATTGGCTAATATGTCTGAGCAGGGACAAATGGACCATAATTCTCTGTTCAGAATTTATGAAGATTCATCATCATTTAATTAACAATATAAATATTAAAAAAACATTTTATAATAAAATTTTATAATTGTAATAAGACACCCTAGTGCATGAATTATGGGGTACTAATTCCCACCCAGTTTTGTTGAAACTGGACATGAATGAATACATTAAAATGCATACTATGTCATGTCTTAGCAGTTAAAAAATAAAGTGGCAAAAAAGTGTTTCAAAATTCAAAGTCCTATTCCCTTAGAATATAAGCAAAGAAATTCAATGAAAATGTAATTTATTGAGTTTGAGTTCTTACTCATTTTTCCACTGGTAATTACATTACCCACACAAGAGACAGTTATTGAAGAGGTGCAAAAAATTAAACTATTATTTTACTCTAGATTTGTAAGCTTTCACTCTTTTGCAGAGAGGCCATGTTTTTCCCTCCTAAATCACCTTATAATTTAAGAATGCAATAATAATAAAATATTAACAGTCAGCAGAACACAGGGATCAGACTTTTCTGAAGGGCAGCTGTGAATCTTTCAGTATCACAATCATTTATTCATAATTATAATAAGTTACATTTATGGATATTTACAATGTGCCTGGCACTGTGCAGTGAAATTCACATATGTTACCTAAGTGAATATTTACAATCATTCATGAGGCTGATACTATCATTAGCCCATTTTATAGGTAAGAAAATTGAGGCTTACAGTCTTTCAGTGAGCTGTCCATGGCCTAAGAGCTAATAACCAGTAGACAAGATTCAAACTCAGGCAACCTAACCCCCAAATCCAGCTTACCCTACATGTAATGTAGCCAGTGAAATTAACCTCACTGACAAGATGAAAACAGAGTAATAAGAACTAAACCATCATCAGCAGGGTTTAAGCAGCAGCTGAGAGAACTTGGAGTGATAAGGTAATTCTCAGAGTCTAACAAGCCACTCAGGGCTGAATAGTAGATGCTCAGAGTGTAGTCTTAAGGTACAAGCAGAAGAATTCCCTTTTGGTGACATGACCAAGGAGGTCATATATCAGAAAAGTGCTTCTAAGATTGAAGAGTCAGAGAGCTAAGACACGAAGGTCATAAACTGCTTTAATGCACTCAGGAGGAAAAGAACAGGTCCTCAGAGGTCCAAGTAGGCAGTCAGCAAGTGAGGATCCAGTGAGTGAGAGCACAGAATGAACAGAAAACGAGCGAAGAGACTTGATCACACCGAGCCTGACATATAGGGAATCAGGGAACCTGAGATTGGGGACAGGTCCACACTGGGGGCCTAGGGCTTGAGGTGCCAGTAATCAGCCTATGATGGTCTACGGTGCTAAGGAGAGAACTCCTCAAGATGGGCTTCATGTATCCCTACCCATCCATCACCCTCCACTCCCAAACAGCAAGTCCCTTTCAGTCGTGGGACTTGTCCCTCCTTTATCCTGTGAGGTTGAGATAACTGGTGTGGAGAGAGGGGTAAAAAGGGAAACAAAGCAAACCATTACCTAAATAATCACTCTTAAGAAAGAGTAATCATGGGCTATTCTGCCATGGTTATACATACATGAGACTGATAAGGAACTGAGTATGAATAACAATTGCTATTCGTTATTGATGGCATCAGACTGCCACATGATTTAGTCTTGAGGTTGTCCAAGATATTCTTTAACAGAAAAAAATAAGCTGTATCTTTGCAAATCTTTGTTAAATACTCCTATACATTTCCTACTAAAGTCTTCTTTATAACCTCTAAATATGTCTCACTCGCAGGCATAAGACCCTCATCATTGATCCTGCAATTACTTGGGTTTTGTTATAGCAACAAAGCTTGCATTTATTAATAGGAAATTTTATTTCATTTCTGAAATGCCAAGTAGTTATTGATAGAATCTGCTCAATTTACATCCTGAACCCATATACACCTGTTAAAAAATCAATCAAGATTCATGCACATGTAAATAACTACTTATTAGTTTTATGATTTTCTGGTAGAACTGAGTTATTGTTTTCCTCTAACAAATCCTAGACTTTAGGACAACTTAATGAAGGATTTAAATAGATGTTGTGTCTAATCACTCACAAGTAGGGGCCAGGAGAATCTGGAGAATATTTTCTAGTTCAGTTAATGACTTAAAAATTAATAGGCAAAAAATTAATCGGCAAAGAATCCTCTGAATAAAAATAATAAAGTCACAGGATTTCATGACTGCAAATGTTTAGCTACTTCAAAGTTTCCAGCTTGAGATTAAGATTGTGGCTACATTGAGGAACATTTGGAGATTTGATGGGGAAAGTGAAACCTCCTGAGGGAAAAATGCATCTCAAGGATAAGAGACATGAGTTTAATGCAAGCACAAGTTTAATGCACAGTATCAGAGAGGAGAAAGGGTTGAACACCTGAGTTCTCAAAAATTCTAGGAGAAGTTCCAGAGCCAGGGCACAGGTGTGCAGCAACGCAGCAGGTGCAGGTGCACCTTGTTTTATTGCTTTCACTTTCTCATGCTTTGCAGATACTATATTTTCTACAAATTGAAGATTTGTGGCAAACCTGCATTGACCAAGTCTATCGGCACGATTTTACCAACAACATATGCTCACTTGGTGTCTCTTTGTCACATTTTGGTAATTCTTGCAATATTTCAAATATTTTCATTATTACTATGTTATGGTGATCTGTGCTAGATGATCATTCATGTTACTATTGTAGTTGTTTTGTACTACCATGAACCATGGAGCATGCTCCATATAAGATAGCAAAATTAATCAATAAATGTTGTATGTGTTCTGACTGCTCCACCCACAGGCTGTTCCCCCTTCTCTCACTCTCCTCAGGCCTCTCTGTTCCCTGAGACACAACAATATTGAAATTAGGATAATTAATAACCCTAAAATGACCTCTAAGAGTTTAAGTGAAAGGAAGAGTCACAAGTTTCTCTCTTTAAATCAAAAGCTAGAACCAATTAAGCTTAGTGAAGGAGGCATGTCAAAAGCCAAGAAAGGCTGAAAGCTAGGCCTCTTCTACCAGCCAGTTGGCCAGGTTGTGAACACAAAGGAAAAGTTCTTGAAGGAAACTAAAAGTGCTACTCCAGTGAACATACGAATGATAAGAGAGCCAAACAGCCTTGATATAGTTTGGATGTTTGTCCTCTCCAAATCTCACGTTAAAACGTGATTTCCAGTGTTGGAGGTGGGGCCTGGTAGGAGACGACTGGATCATGAGGGGTGGATCCCTCATGAATGGTTTAGCACCATCCCCTTGTAAGTGAGTTATTGCTCAGTTAGTTCACGTGGGATCTGGTTGTTTAAAAGTCTGGGACCCCGCCCCCCGCCTTCTCTCTCCCTTACTCCCACTCTCACCATGGGATATGCTGGCTCCACGTGGCTTCTGCTATGATTGGAAGCTTCCTGAGGCCCTCACCAGAAGCAGATGCTTGTGCCATGCTTGTACAGCCTGCAGAACCATGAGCCCATTAAACCCCTTTTCTTTATAAATTTCCCAGCCTCAGGTATTCCTTTATAGAAACACAAGAACGGCCTAACACAAAACTTATTGCTAATAGGGAGAAAGTTTTAGTGGTCTGAATAGAAGCTCAAACCAGCCACAACATTCCCTTAAGCCAATACCTAATCTGAGTAAGGCCTTAACTTTTTCAAATTCTATAAAGGCTAAGAGAGGTGAGGAACGTGCAGAAGAGAAATTTGAAGCTAGCAGAGGTTGGTTCGCAAGGTTAAGGGAAAGAAGCCATCTCCATAACATAAAAGTGCAAGGTGATGCAGCAAGTGCCAATGTAAAAGCTGCAGCAAGTTATCCAGAAGATCTAGCTAAGACCATTGGTGGAGGTAAATACACTAAACAACAGATTTTTACAAAACAGCCTTCTATTCAAAGAAGATGCCATCTAGGACTTTCATAGCTAGAGAGAAGAAGGCAATGCCTGGCTTCAAAACTTCAAAGGCCAAACTGTCTTGTTAGGGGTTAATGCAGCTGGTAACTTTAAGTTAAAACTAATCCTTGTTTACCATTCCAAAAATCCTATATTCCTTAAGAGTTATGCTAAATCTACTCTGCCTGTGCAATAAAAATGCAACAACAAAGCTCGGCTGACACCACATCTGTTTACAGCATGGTTTCCTGGATTTTTTAAGCCCTCTGTTGAGAACTACTGCTCAGGGAAAAAAAGCAAACAAACAAAAAAAGAAGACTGCTTTAAAAATATTACTACTTCTCATTGCCAAAGCACCTGGTCACCCAAGAGCTCTGATAGAGATATACAAGGAGATTCCTGTTGTTTTCATGCCTAGTAACACAACATCTATTCTGCAGCCCACAAATCAAGGAGTAATTTTGACTTTCAAGTCTGACTACTTAAGAAATATATTTTGTAAGGCTATAGCTGCCATAGATAGTGATTCCTCTGATGGGTCTGGCAAATTAAGTTGAAAACGCCATAGAAAGGATTCACCATTCTAGATGACATTAAGAACATTTGTAATTCGTGAAAGGCAGTTAAAATATCAACATTAATGAGAGTGTGGAAGAAGTTGATCCCAACCCTCATGGATGATGTTGAGGGGTTTTAGCCTACAGTAGAGGAGGTAACTGCAAATACCATAGAAATAGCAAAAAAACTGGAGTTAGAGGTGGAACTTGAAGGTGTCACTGAATTGCTACAATCTCATGATGAAACCTGAATGAAAAGTTGCTTCTTATGGATGAGCAAAGGAAATTATTTCTTGAGATGGAATCTACTCTGGGTAAGATGCTGTGAACATTGTTGAAAGGACAACAAAGGATATTTAGAATAGTTCATAAACATAGTTGATAAAGCAGCAACAGGGTCTGAGAGGACTGACTCCAATTTTAAAAGAAGTTCTACTGTGGATAAAATGCTATCAAACAGCATCACATGCTACAAAGGACTCTTTAATGAAATTAAGAGTCAATCAATGTGGCACCCTTCACTGTTGTCTTATTTTTAAAAATTGCCACAGTCTCCCCAGCTTTCAGCAACCACTACTTTATCACTCAGCAGTCATCAACTTCAAGGCAAGACCCTCCATCAGCACTCAAGGCTCAGATGACTGTTAGAAATTTTTAGCAATATAGTATTTTAAGTTATCTACATTTTTTTAGACACAATGCTATTGCACACTTAAGAGACTACAGGATAGTATAGACATCATTTTTATATGCACTGGGAAACCATAAAATGTGTATGACTCACTTTATTGCCATATTTGCTTTACTGCAGTGGTCTGGAACCAAACCCCTGATATTTCTATGATGTGCCTGTAGATTGAGGAGGCAGTAGCAGCACTGGGAGCTGGTCCTCTCAGCACCGACAGCAAGCCCCACAGCACCACTGTTGGGTTTTGGCATGATCAGCAACCAGGAATATTCCCACAACCATCCCAGCCAGGAGGGGAAATGGGGTCGTCACCCAGTGTGCAGAACATATAAAGACATCCCTTGGGAACCTCAAAATTGGAACGGAGATGGGCCAGAGAAATACATTTGTGACTACGTCTGTGACCTGAATTTTTCCTACCACAGTATGTGACTCCTCAGCTTCTGACTAATGGGGTACAGGGGATGCTACCACAAAATATGGCAGCTTGGCATACTGGGTTTTTTAACCTGAATTAAATTGAGAAAACTGTAGAGGCAAGAAAGTCACTCTACCTTCTCCTGCCTTTTTCCCATGGAACATGGCTGTAAAAGAATTTTCTGACCTACTTTGCCTGAAAATAAGTCCTAAGACCCTCATTCCAGAGGGGTCCTGCCCTATACCTGGAGACCAAGAAGAATCTGAACAAACAGGCCTTCCTAAATTCTCCACAGCTTATTACCATCACATCCTTTTGTCCTCCAATCACACTTCTGTACAAGTGACCATAAAAATACAGTTTTCCCTGGGCCTTTGGGTCTTCATTTCTAAAGGCTCCCATGTCATGTAAAACTTTGGTTAAATACATTTGTTTTGCCTTTGTCCTGTTAATCTGTCTTTTGTTGTAGGGTCTCAGCCAGAACCTAGTGATGGGTAAGGAAATGATCTGACTTTTTCTCCCCTATATGACCCAGGAGGAGAAGCATACAAGGTCACATATCAATGGTCTCAAGTTTGACTGGGATGGTAAGATTGGCCCAAAGACAAGTTAGATGAGGACTCCAGTGTCAGTCACATGATGAAACCCAAACATGGGCTCCTTCTTGAGACCCAGGCCCTCTTGCTGTAGTAATTGTGTGACTCTCGACTGTTAGCCACCACATGTCAAAAGACTGAACCTTGAATCAGTCTGATGAAATTCAGACCACTGAATCTAACCCTGCCACAAACTTGTCACTTAATTCAGAGCCTGAACAGAACCTGAGTAATGGTAACCCTCCACTTGTACCTCCGTGCATTGCCTTTGTTTTGTTCTCTGCATGGCCTATACCTGACAAAGACTGTCTGTGACCAAACAACTTGAATGAGGATCCTCTGGGTCCTTCATGATGAGGCCCATCTTTGGGCTTCCCTCTCTGTCCTTGAAGAATCCAGTTTGAGCAGGAACCCTGCTAAGTCAATTAGGCAAAGTCCCCCGTTCTTAGTGTCTGACCACTCTCAGTATCTGCCACCTAGACCTGCTTTCAGCAAGAGTCCTATCAAGTTGGTTTGATGTTTCCTCTTAGTGGTTTTCCATCCACGGACCCCCCACGCTGCTCTTTGGTTACAAATCCCCACTTGTCTTCCTGGCAGTTGAGCCCAATCTCTTTCCCACACTTCCAGACCCTGTTGCAGTGATCCCTGTATCCATCCCACGGCCTCTCCTTGAATAAAGACTGCCTGGCCATCTTTTAACAAGTATTATGAATATTTTTTTCTTAAACATACCTGAACATCCACTTAAATATTAATGAATAAATTACCAGTGAATGGATGGGGTCTATGTACAGAGTATTTTCTACCACCGTGATTCTATGTCATCATATCCTTAATAAGGCAAATGCTAGTATGCATGATGAAAATCAAAGAAAATTTAAAGCCAAGTAAAAACACTGCACAAAATTTACAGGCAGGCATTCTAAAATTTAGCACAAATGAAGCTCCACCCCCAACCCTAGTCTCCCTGTCATTTGACCCAACCTGTACATGCCCCCTTCCTTTCTGAGTATTAATATTACAATCCACTTCATCTCATTCATGAGTGAATTGTTGTTATAGTCTGAATCTGGTGTATCCCACAATTCAAATATTGTGACTTAATCCCAAATGTGGGAATAAGAGGTGGGCCTTTGGGGAAGTTAATAAGTCACGAGAGCTCTGCCCCCAATTACAGGATTAGTGCCCTTATAAAAGAGGTTGAAGGGAGCTGCCTTTCTGCTTTCACCCTTTCCACCATGTGAGGACACAGCAAGATGTGTCATTTATGAAGCAGAGAGGGAACTCTCACCCAACACCAGATCTGCTGGCACCTTGATCTTGGACTTCCTAGACTCCAGAACTGTGAGCAATAAATCTCCATTACTTATAAACTAACCAGTCTATGGTATTTTTGCTATAACAACCCAAACAGCTTGACAATCACCTTTAGATCTTCTTTTTCTGTAACTGTCACCAAGCAAGACTGAGTTCTGCTAGTAGAACTATGCTGGTCAGTATTTTAAGCTAACTGGGAGAATTGCATAAATGACTATCTCTTTCCATGATAACTTTATAGCAATCCTTTTCTCTAGAAATTACTGGACTTGGGGAGGGGGAGTGGAGGATTAGCTCAGGGTATTGGGTTATTTAGAAAGGAAATCAGAAATCAATCCTTACACTTAGTAAGGCAAGTGTTGCAGACAGAACTTCAGACCTCCAGGAATTCAGAACTCATAAAGCAGAAAGACATATAATAAAAATACTGAAAACTAGATTGGAGATATAAAAGCAGGGATTAGGTTTGATGGGTCTTAAGAAAAGCCAGCACAGGCTGGGCATCATGTCTCACACCTGATATCCCAGCACTTTGGGTGGCTGAGTGGGGTGGATCACTTGAGGTCAGGAGTTCACAACCAGCCTGGCCAACATGGTGAAATCTTGTCTTTACTAAAAATCCAAAAGTTAGCCAGGTGTGGTGGCAGGTGCCTGTAATCCCAGCTACTATAATCCCAGCTGAGGCAGGAGAATTGCTTGAACCCAGGAAGTGGAGGTTGCAGTGAGCCAAAATGGTGCCACTGCACTCCAGCCTGGGCGACACAGTGAGACTCCATCTCAAAAACAAAGAAAAGAAAACTCAGCCAGTTTTCCCAAACTCTGAAGAAAGAAGAGAACCTGGATAAGGGAAAAATAGCAGGTGTTGGGCCTTATACAAAAATTAATTCAAGATGGATTAAAGACTTAAACATTAGACCTAAAACCATAAAAACCCTAGAAGAAAACCTAGGCATTACCATTCAGGACATAGGCATGGGCAAGGACTTCGTGTCTAAAACACCAAAAGCAATGACAACAAAAGCCAAAATTGACAAATGGGATCTAATTAAACTAAAGAGCCTCTGCACAGCAAAAGAAACTACCATCAGAGTGAACAGGCAACCCACAAAATGGGAGAAAATCTTCGCAACCTACTCATCTGACAAAGGGCTAATATCCAGAATCTACAATGAACTCCAACAAATTTACAAGAAAAAAGCAAACGACCCCATCAAAAAGTGGGCGAAAGACATGAACAGACACTTCTCAAAAGAAGACATTTATGCAGCCAAAAAACACATGAAAAAATGCTCACCATCACTGGCCATCAGAGAAATGCAAATCAAAACCACAATGAGATACCATCTCACACCAGTTAGAATGGCAATCATTAAAAAGTCAGGAAACAACAGGTGCTGGAGAGGATATGGAGAAATAGGAACACTTTTACACTGTTGGTGGGACTGTAAACTAGTTCAACCATTGTGGAAGTCAGTGTGGCGATTCCTCAGAGATCTAGAACCAGAAATACCATTTGACCCAGCCATCCCATTACTGGGTATATACCCAAAGGACTATAAATCATGCTGTTATAAAGACACATGCACACGTATGTTTATTGTGGCACTATTCACAATAGCAAAGACTTGGAACCAACCCAAATGTCCAACAATGATAGACTGGATTAAGAAAATGTGGCACATATACACCATGGAATACTATGCAGCCGTAAAAAATGATGAGTTCATGTCCTTTGTTGGGACATGGATGAAATTGGAAATCATCATTCTCAGTAAACTATTGCAAGGACAAAAAACCAAACACTGCATGTTCTCACTCATAGGTGGGAATTGAACAATGAAAACACATGGACACAGGAAGGGGAACGTCACACTCTGGGGACTGTTGTGGGATTGGGGGAGGGGGGAGGGATAGCATTAGGAGATATACCTAATGCTAAATGATGAGTTAATGGGTGCAGCACACCAGCATGGCACATGTATACATATGTAACTAACCTGCACATTGTGCACATGTACGCTAAAACTTAAAGTGTAATAATAATAAAATTAAATTAAATTAAATTTTAAAAAAAAGAGCAGATGTTGGGAAGCAAAAAGAGAATTAGACTCCAGTGAGTATCCCTGGGAAGGGGTCCTAATCCCTGCTCCATCATCCCCAGGTTGATTCCAGGTAGGAGATGAATCAAAAGAACATTCCCTGATTGTGCTGGGAAGACAAGAGTAAAAAAGACCAGTGCCTTACTTCTATGTGGGCCCAGGAGAGCGGCAAGGCCTAGAGTTCTACCCCACCCCAGTGTGAGGCTGGAGAAGTTAAGTAGAAATACCTATATGAGGTGTCTAGGAAACAGGGCCTGAAACAGCTCCTTGGGGGAATCAAATGTTTTCAGTACAGACAAGAGCAGCATGGGTATGATCCTGAGAGAAGGCGAGCCTGCTGGGGCTAACAATAGGAGAGAATACAAGAGTAGGTGAGCTGAAAAGCATACAGGACTCTTTAGAGAGCAGGAGTTGCCTGAGCAGATATGTGATTTCATAGCTGCCCATGCCCTGGCCTCTATCTAAGCACCAGGAATTCAGATGCAAGAGGTAAAGAAAAAGGGAAATCTTGGTGAACTGAAAATCATCTTGATTTGACAGCGTTTACCCGAATTGACAAAGAACATGTTTTCTTCACCGGATGGAACAAATGCTTGAGCTGGAAATTGTTTGTTATATAGAAATAAAGTTTCATTTCTTGCATACTCAATATGTGTTTAATAAAATCAAGTATGCGAAAGTAGACAACTTCCAAGGCAGACCAATCAAATGCTGATTCTATTCTTTAAAACAAACAAACAAACAAACAGAACACTCAAGAAAAGCATTCTTTGCTGAATCTTTTAGGCTGCTTTGTATAGAGTAGATGCTCACTTATGAGTGTTGCTGCATGTTCCTCTAACAATAATCTCTCCTGGCACAAAGTCTTATTTTAATTCAAGCAAGTATTTATGCACACTATCTCAAGCACAATGCTGTTGTGTATTTAAAATACACCTATATGCAAAAAAGAAAGGGAATTTCTCAGATTAATAATGTATAAGTAAAAAAAGAACTAAAGAAGATACATATCAGATGGAAATTTTCCTCTCAATTAATGAAGAGTTATTGGAGATGATCCTATAGTCAGGGATTTGCTATAACACCAAAATATCACTTTAACCAGTAAGTTTTAGAATTCCCCTTTAGCAAAAAAGTTTTACAAGAATCATCAACAGGCTGTAAAATGTATAGTTATTTCAGTCTCTCTACCTCGAGTTTGCAGAGAAGCAGTGAAATGGTCAAGAGAATGAAATAATGAAGAGAATCATGTACAACTTGAAAACAACTTTGTTGGACACAGTTGATCTGAACTGAAACCTAGGGTTTGTGTAATATCTTGGTATACTCTAGTATCTATTATAATTCTGTTTCTCAAGGTTTTTGCAAGTTCGCATACACTTTTTGTTTTGTTGGTGTCATAGTAAAGTGGGTAGGACTTGGGGAGGAAGAGGTCCTCCTGCTTGATCAAAACCCAAGGAAATGATCTGGCTCAGTTGACCTGCAGATCCCAGCCAGCTATTCAGCCATAGTGAAATGTGTTGTCTACACAAGACAATTCATCTCTTTCTGAGCCCACATTACTAGCAGGTAAAAAGTCATTTTTCCGTGAAAGCTGTATTGTAAATAGACAATTTACTAATTTTGGTGGAATTATACAGTTAATTTCTATAACCATTCAGGCTCTAGCATTTATTTCAGCAATGTGCCTTTGTCAAAGTGAGAGCTTTGAAGCATTTTATTTTCTTCTTTATTTGGAAATGGGGAGGAACTTACATGGAATGAGATTTATTGTGGTGTAAACATAGTTCTCTAAATAAAAGATTATTGTTGCATAGTCTATCAATAGAGATGTAGTGATAAAAAAGAAGTTTTAGGCTTGTTTCTGGTCCTCTGGCTCCTACTGAACTGAGTACATTTTTAAATGTCATGAATGAATTTAATTGGGTTTTGAGATACACTGCCACATATGGCTTTTTTAACATAGAAAAAGGATAGAACTAAAAATTTTAAAAAGACGGAAGAAATGAAGAGAAGGAGGAAGGGTAGGAGGGAGGGTGAGAGAGAGGAAGGAATGTGGGAAAGAACCAAATAATCTGACTGGTGCCTTGTGGATGTTTTATAGTACCCCTAAAATCCTGCTCTCATTTCATTTATCTTTCCAAAATGACAGTGATGGTTATAGAGCATGTACCACATGCTCCACACAGTTCTGGTTCTCTTGCTCCCACAGACCTCATCACTTTACTATATAACACTAGCAAAACTAAACTTGTATGCCATCTTGAAAAAACTCCGATAATGAATTATGATACTAGAGCATACCAACATGTTTGTGCTCTATACCAGCATTTTAAAATGAAAATTAAAGTAGTGATTTAGAGGTCCAGCCTATGAAATTGGGATTGCGCATGAAGCCCAACCTGTCATGCCCTTTCTCCTCTGGTTTCCCTACTTGTCAAGTCTGCCCAACTCTTTGCAGAGTCTATAAACAATCCATCATCATCAATAAATTTTTCATATTATTACTGAGACTTACTTGGTCCAAATTAATCCAAATGTTTAAGCCAGCCCAGCCTTATCTCAAGTTCCATAATTCAAGAGTTTATGCTATTTATGAAACCCCTAATCAAAATTTTCAAGCAATAGACACCAGAAGTATACATTACTCATGTCACCCTCGGCAGGGGAGATGGCCTGTATTATACACATTAAATATTGATGTATTGATTCATTCTCCTGGGAAAAAAAATGCTCCCCTTAGTGGACAGTAAGGTACAATTTGCCTGTATTCCTACAAGTTTTGTGACATATGGCCAAATATCTCCAACTCAGAAAAATCACCCATAACTTAGGGTCTCTTTAGGGAAAGGCTAAAAGACGTTCTGGTTTCTCTTGTTCAACGTTTCTCCCTATGTGTATTTTATTATTGTTATTGAGTACTTACACGTGCCAGATACTATTCCAGGCACTTAGGGTATATAAGGGAATAAAACAGAGGTTTCTGCCTTCATGAGGCTTACATTTTAGTAAAGGAGACGGACAGTAAACAATAAATAACAAATTGAGAGAGTTTTTCATAAAGCTCAACCCAGATCTATTCCTTTAACCCTCCTAATGATTCTGTGAGTCAATTATCTCCCTGTCCTGCTAAAACAAGCTACCATGGACTATTTTTTTCAGCAACAAAACCTCAACTAATATGATTAGCCAGACTGGGTTTTGAAGTGTCCCCCTCTACCTCTCTTTTGAAACTATAATAATGGGGTATATCAGTCAGCATCCTTACTTGCAAGTAACTGTCTTATTTAAGAAAAATAAAATCACTGAAGGGATATTTGGCAGCTCTTAGAATTGCTTGGAGGGCTACAGATCCAGACTTGGAAAACACACAAGACCAAAAGGAGGCCAGACAATCAGAACCGTTGCAAAGCAGGTTCACTGTTTGCTGGTTAGGTAAAGTGCACATCAGCCCACTGCAGCTTGGGCTTTCCTTTTATTTCTTCCTCAAATCCGGGGAGACAGAACACACACAAGTTACGCAAAGTCAGTTCACTACTTACAGATAGGAAGTGAGAGACACCAGAAGCCTGGGATTTATGATCAGTTGGACCTCCAAGGCTCAGGAAAGCAACCCAGGGTGAATGGAGTCTCATTTGCATGTGTACCACTTGCCCAGCAGCTGAGGGACCCTGGAAAGCAGCACCCCCCCTTACCTTGGGGAAACATACCTGGTAGGCTAAAGCATTGAAGGACATCTTGTTTCCAGGAGAAACTGAAACAGAGCCCAGGCTCTTCCAGCCTGCCCCCTTCTTATCCAGGATGTTGCATTCCCAGCACAACCTACAGTTATTTTTGAGAACTACAAAGCCGGAAAGGAGGGAGAACTGGGTCAGTCCAAGGCCACCTGGAGAAGTGTCCTGCAACCACAGTCCAAAAGTCTCTCACATTGCTGACTCCAAGACACTGCCCCTGCTGCCTCAGGACACTGAAAATGTCCACAGCTGAGCAAAGAATTCCCCAGCAACTGGTTCTTTGCATTAGTAGTTCCACAGGCAAGATTCTCAACAAATGCATCTGATTGGCCAAACTTAGGCACCTGTCCCCAGTTGACAACATTGAAAAAGTTATTTTTTAGCTTCTCAAAATAGAAGAGGCTGTGCCAAGAGTCATATGTTGATGAACCCCCACATTTAGGAAGAGTGTTTCAAAGCTGGGCAGCTCCTCCAGAATGACATATTTGAAAAGAACTTTTTTTTTACAAGGTAGTGTCCACACCTAGCATAAGCCCTTCACACACCAACTGTAAGACACATGGCAAGGCTTCTGGAAATTCAGATATGAAACTAAATATGCAAGAGGAAAAGTAGAAACACCCACAAGGTTTAGCATGTGGCCAAATAACCAGGTTGTGAAAGCTTCCCTACTTCTTGCCATCATCAGGCAGGTAAAGATATAACCCCATTATTCTGGTCCTCAGGCTGGTGTTGATTTAGAACACCTGTGCTTCCCCCATCAAGAACACATTTGAACATAATAGAAAGCAAGTATGAGAGATAAAATGGAAGGTAAAGGGAGGTCTTGTACTTCAATGTTTCACCAATTCATCACCCTATATTGAAGACTGCAGTCAGCTAAGCCAGACTGCTACCATATGAGAAGCCTCAGAGCTCCTATTCTTGGAAAACCAACCCTCCCTGCACCCTTACGTGGAGGCTGAGCTAGGTCCTCCTCCTACGTGTGCCAAAGCAGGCTATTCTTACCTTTAGTATATCATTCTCCTCCTACTGCAAATATCTGTTCTGTTCACTTGCCTGTCAACCCAACTGAACTCAGAACACTTTGAGAAAGGAGACTGTGTATCTGTAGCACAAATCACAGTTCTTGGCACCTATAGGAAATAAGAAATATTTGTTAAACAAATGACTGAAATAAAATATCAGTGTCATGACTCCAAAAGGCAGAATAAATTCAGAATAAATCCTTAACTGTTGTTTTCATAAGAGGTAACCTTGCAAGTCATGATGCACCGGTGACCTTCAGAAAAAAAGTCTTTAAAAACACCAAAAAAAAAAAAAAAACACAAAGGCTTTGAGAGGTGGCTTTCATTGAAAATCTTCTCCACCCTGACACCATGCCCCTTAGCTTTTTGCCCAGTTTGTGTTCTTGAGTCCCAATCCCAACATACTCATCCCCACCTCCATCACACAAATCTACTTACCATCATCCTACTTCCTACTTCCCTCTACAAGTGAATGAGCTACACTTAAGGACCAAAAATATCAAATATCCTTAGGTTGAAAATCAATTAATTTTTGATAACTTTTTTCCACCCCATCCCGTGCCTACTGATTCATCTAATTGGAACTTTCAGTGAAATAATCTGGTCTTCCAGACTATTCTGACTAGCTAGAATGGAGGTGACAGTCACCACCTTGCATCAGTTAGCTTTTTCTGCAAAACATACCACCCAAAACTTAGTGGCTTCAAATAATAGCCATTGATCATTGCTCACAGACCTGTGGTCAGGTCTGTGCTGCTGCTGATCTGTGTCAGCATTGGCTGCTCTTGGCTGAACTTGCTCATGCATCTGCAGTCAGCTGGTCAGCCGGGTGATACGCGGTCTAGGATGGCCTACTCACATGTCCAGAAGATGATGTGCAGTTGGCTGGAGCCCTAAGGGTGAGTCGGCCATGTGTATGTCAGCATTCATTAGGCTAGTCCAAGCTTCTTCACACAATGGCCATAGAAGCGGCCCTATGTACAACAAAAGAGGGCAAGCCCCAGTGTTTGGGCACCTCTCACATCTCTGGCATTCTCACATTTGCTATTATACCACTGGCCAAAAGAAGTCATTTGGTCAAGGTCAGAGTCAGTGTAAGAGGGGACTTCCCAGGACCATACAAGGAAACCCTGAATAAATTGGAGATCGTTACTACAACAATCTAGCACATATCCTTGGCCCAGGGTGACTTCATTCTTCAACCTCTTTAAAACATTTACCCTTCTGATATACACATGTAAAGCTGAAATTTAATTTGGGAGTTGGAAGATTTATCAGTATTTCAGGTTTCCTTTGTGTATACCTCAGATGGTCACCTGTGCACTAAAATAAAATTTAAACATTTCACACAGCACACAGCAAGTGAGCTTTTGAGATCAACTGCTCATTTTTATGTTCATTTACATGAGTCTGGAGTTCATAAGGACAAAGATTTCATCAGTCCCATTTCCCTTCATGCCCCAGACCTAGAATAGGGCCTAATATATAGCAGGAGGGAATTCATTCAGCAATTTATTTTTTTTTAAGCTCCTGCTATGTACACTGCTAGGGCTGGAGATACAGAGGTGAAAGATCTGGTACTTGTCCTCAAATAGCTTACAGCCCAACAGGGAGAAAGAAGAGTAAACTAATAATAATATTATAATGTGGCAAATGAGACAGCAACAAAAATCCAGGGCACTAAGGGAGAGATTGGTGGAGATAAGAAGGGAGCAGAGAGTTCAGGTAAATGGCCTTTGCCATAATCTAGTCAAGAACTGATTCGGTTCCAAACCAAAATAGAGGCAAATGGGGTGAAGAGAAGTTGGCAGAATTGAGAAATGAAGGAGGGGACATGGACAGGTCTTGCTGATGGATTATAGCTGGAAAGAGAGTGTGAAGGAAGAATAGAGGATGATTATCAGGTGACTGAGTGAGTGGTAGACAGAAGACAATGTTTCTCCATATCACAAGCCCAGTGGTAAATTACACATATTTAAACTGGCTACTCTCTTGTTTTGATAACATTTGCAACTAGAGGAAAACCTACCCAATAAACATACATGACATTCCTTGGCCCCACATATCTTAAAGAATCCTTTAAACTCACAAGTCTTCAACATCCCTGTAATTGCCTTTTCAATCTCTTCTCTGTACCATCTCAAATATGTAATCAAACCTAAATTTAGTAAAATTATTTTTCTGTAGAGTAATATATTTTTATTGTTCATGTCCACTGCTAGAAGCCAACAATCTTTTTTTTATTACTATTATCTTACAATCATAAAAGCTCTGTGGCCAGGTTATGATTGCTTCAAATGAAGAAACTCAGTCCAGGTAATTTCTCACGACAGAAGTCCATGAGGAAGGTTAAGTCTGAAATCAAGCATATTAGATAATGCATCCAAGTTCAGACATTTGATTTATTGCCTATCCTTCCCAATGATTAAATATCCTGCTACCCTCTTGAAACTACACATATATTCATAATACGCTCAAAGCAGGTTAACTGTATACTAACTTTTCATCTTAATCCTCTGGAGAAAAACATCAGCCCTCACAAGACTAATAACAAAAAAGGATTGGACAGTAAAATCCAAGGAAGAGTAGAAGCAACTAATGAGGATGTGAGCATCAAATTTCTCTCTCTAAACACCAGGATCTAGCAGTTTTTCATTGTGGTAAAGGAACTCAAGAACAGCTGTCGAAAATGTGGCATGGTTAACCCTCTAACAAAAAGTACCATCTGTGGGCACTGCAGTCTGGTTATGCAGATGTGCCCCAGTACAAAGCCCAAGGAAGAGAAAATGGGTTGGCGTTACTGAGGTTAACGGGTCTGAAAGCAGACAGCATATTTTCTTCAATAGAAGGAGCACTCTGCTACAGAAGGGGACAATTTGTAACATTTATAAATCATTACTGAACCTCTAATGCACCTCTAAATACCTGCATTCATGTTTTTAAAGTTTCTTTAACAGTAAGTAGATCAATTACAGAGGACTACAAGTTCAGCATCTTTCCATGTACCATTAGTAGTTCAGTTTAGCTGAAGAAGGTCCCTACACTAGCTTTAATCGGTTTCTCCCCCACACTCCCCATCCAGTAACGCCTCTCATTAAAACTCTTTTGAAATATGCAACACTGGCTAGCTTGTCCCACTTGCTAATGGTCCTGAATTGATTCTTAATTAGTTGCAGTTTTGGAAAGAATCCAATTAAAATAGTGAGGGATTCCAATAGCAGAAAAGAACTGGCTAATATGTGTTATGCTCTGAGCTGCTGATCTTTGCATTAAACTTGCTCAGGCAAAAGGCAGCTATGCAAAATATGGCAGGATTCAAATCATACTAAACATGTTCAGGTTTTAAACAGAAACCTTCACATGGTAATTTATTCTCTAGCCATAAAACATGATCAAAGAAAGGCAGCCAAATGCTGTTAGAAAAATTACATTCCTTGATTCCACTTTCTCTCTCTTCTTCCTAAATGGACAGGTTACTAATTCAGAAGAAGGCAGCAGAATCTTTTCAATAAATTATACCATATTTTTTATTTGCTGTGTATTTTCCAGTCCTCTACTTAAATTCCAAAACAGGAGAGGAAGCTCAGTGTGGGAGAATTGAAAGAAAAAAAAAGTACGGTGGGGGGAGGGAAGCTTCTAGGAAGCTAAATAATAGGTTATTTTCTTACGCTCTTTCCAAAAGCAAAGTGTTGCTACCAGCAAAATTCCCAGTTTTGTTTATGAGGGCAGCTGGAGGTCATTTGACAGGTATGGCTTTTATGGTTCATATTTAATTATAGAAAAGCGAGGACTCAGAAAAGCAAGGTCTCAGGAAGCCCAGGAAGGAGAAGGACTCGTGCCACTGCTGGTAGGTGACAGTCACGTGACCAGCTTTTGTATTCAGCAGTAATAACTCACTGCCCGGTACTGGGATGGAGCCCAGCTTGGCTATCCCCTGAGGAGCTTCCACCAGACTTGGATGCACGGAGTCTTTGATCTGCAGATTAACATGATCAGGAACACAGGCTTTGTCTTTTCCAAACATCCTTGGTCCCTAAATTTGTAACCAATGAAAGCTTGAGCCCATTTTTATTTGAGTAATGAATTGCAGTAATTAATGTACACATTGATTTTTTTCAAGTCTCCCTAAAGGCTGTTTCCATTTTTAATTTATAGAAAATACATACTATTCCTTTAATAAGAGACTGCTCTAAATTTCAAAATACTTATGGAAGAAGAGGCACGATCAAGCAAACAGCAAAATGACGAAACAAGTGATGTTAAAGATTGGGCAATGACTTGAATTAAGCAAAGTCACTTTTGAAAAATTACTAAGAGACTTTTCCTGTGGAATTTCAGTATCAATTCTGGATCTGTTCAAACATTTCAGAATGCTTTTTAAAGAAGCAGTTATTTGAAGTGTTAAGTATCTACATGGATAAATATCTCCTTCCTTTCAAACCAAGCTCTTTCCCAACTATTAATAAAAGGGACATCCTGTCCAAAAAGGAAAGAGATGAAGAGAATTAAATCTGAATCAGATAAAATTGTTGTGGAATTTTAATTTTGTTTTAAGTGATCACATCATTTCTTCCAATGCCCCTGAAAAAATCGCATTTAAAACAAAGAGAGAGAGAGAAAAGGCCCTTGTCTCAGCTGCACCTTAATGAAGTATCCCCAGGGCTTGAAATGATGGGATTTTTCTTACTTGAGAAATAATTCTTTTTTTGCACTGGGGTTCATAATATATACCAATAGACAAAGAAGAGTGTGTGTGATACACAATCTGATAGTTATGTGAAAGTCACAGGTACTAAAGAGTAGAAAATCTCCTATGGCAGGTATTCAGCAATGGCAGGGTGGCCCAGGAGGGAGGAGGGTTTGGAGGCTCATGCAAACTAAAGGAATACCTGATTAACCTTTCGCTGACTCTGAGCCACGTGATGCGCAGTGAGCCTTCTTAGAGTGATGGCTTTAGAAGAAGATGTTAAATTTAACCTCTGGCGCAATGATAAATTGACAATAAAAAATTCAATGGCTTGGTAATTACCAATCACTTTGGACATCGGCAACATTTTTCAGTTCTGTCACTGCGCATTGGCACAAAAGCTTCAGCTGAAATTCTCTCGATCTTCCTCTTTTTAACTTTGTTTTCATGATGCAGATTAAATCTGCCACCCTATTACTGATTCATTTTCCTAATTTTTCATGTCTGCACCATGCCCCAGCTGCACCAGGCTGATAATTGTGGAGCCCAGCCCTGATGATTAACATCAGAAGAATTAATTATGCCTGCCATTAAAATTCCAGGTTGCACATGGTGATCAAGAAAAATTAAGTTTCTCTAGGCCTCTAAATCATTTCACCTTCGCAGGGAAGGATAGTGCCTGGACAGCTAGGCTGCAGCCTGTGTTCCCGCTGAGGTCGAAATCACATGCCCTTTGTGTAATTCAACAAATGCCTTCCCAGTTATTTTTTCCACGATTTGGACTAAAAGATTTAATGCTTAGAAAATAAAAGAAACCTGAAATATATTCTTGATCCTTTGAGAGGGGAGAGAAAAAAATTTTTTTCAGCAGCTCAGCTGCTGTTTCTGAAATATCTCTTATACTAATTCGTAGATGAATGAATCTCATGGAAAAAAGAAATGTGCAGCCCTTGGAAATAGTTGATGAAATGAGGGTAGAAAAAGGTCTAGCTTTACAATCGTTATAAATGGGAAGAAAGGAAATGTTCATTCAAGTAGACAAAGGCAGTGGCATTTCTTGGAAATAAATTGATAACAGAATAAAAACAGATTCTTCAGATCTTTAGGCTAAATAATAATGAGTAAAGGAAGCCTGTTGACTGACGCATTTCCAAAATGATGGTTGCATGAGAAACTCAAAATGTATTCAGTCTAGCCTAAGGTACAAAATTTACTAGAGCTATAAAGAGTAAGATGATATGCATTTATCATGTTCTTTTTCTACTCTATGTTCCATTTTTAAATTACCATAATAATGTATATTATAGGCATGGCTTTAGAAGACTACAAAGGGAGTCATATTTTGATGAACAGATGTAAATATCTTATACCAAATGGTAAATCTCTCATTCACCTCTATGCAAAGAGTATGCATAAGCTATGCATCATATCTGTTTCATTTATTATATTTAAGAAGTGATATCACAAGACAACTATTTCATTGCAGATATTCTTGTTAGTTTTTACTGGCAGTAAATTTACAAAGTCAAGGTAACCATCCCAGGTGGAGCAGTTGTGGGCACGGAAGAGGATGTAAGGGAAAAATGTAAAACTAATTCTACCTTTCTAAAAGCTGTATTAGAAAATTTTTTTAAAGCTTGAATATTTTGAAGTTGGCTCACTTTCACAGAAAGTCTTAGACTTAGTGACATGATAAAATCCCAAACTTAATGATTTAATAGCTGGAACTGAATATTTCTTCTATTTCTCAAAGTAACTACCTTCTGCACTAATTACCCAGGATCATTTAATAACCCAGTTCCACAAACGACAAGTTCTACACACAAGGCTGAATATAAATTTATTCATCTTGCAAGCATTTTTCAAAGATGATGTAACAAAAACTAGAAATGTCTATTGAAATACCGAAATTTGAAAGTCATAAAATCTGTTTAGAGAACCTAAGGTACAGATGAGATCAAAGCAGCAGGCTATTTAAGTTCCTCAAACTCTTCTTTACAGGGCACAGAACTGACTTTTGAGTATCCACATTCTTGATAATATTCCAATTCTTGAGGAGGTCTAGAAACAAGAAATGCTGCCTGCCAAACTGTTAAAAATACGAGCAAATAATGGACTATATTCTGCCTTTCCAAAGGCAAGCAAATTAAAGTTACAAAAAGTGAGAAATGACTGAGAATATGAAGTGACTGAGGAAGGAAGGAAGGAAGGAAGGAAGGAAAGAAGGGAAGGGAAGAGGGAAGGGAAAAGGGAAGGGAAGGGAAAGGAAGGGAAGGGAAGGAGGGAGGAAAGGAGGGAGGATAGGAGGGGAAACTGTGAACAAAATATATAAATCACGTAAGCACCAAGATTGATTAATGTAAAAATACATAATGCAACAACTTCCTGATGGTCAAGGAAAATAACTCAGGACAATGTTTTAAAAGAACATAGGAATTAAACAGCAGTGAAATGTTTAATGCTAACAGCACTGCAGAATGAAATCAAGACGATGGCTCAGAGGAAATGTCTGGATTTTGCTTATAGGTATTATAAAGAGCATTAGATATATGTGGAGTGGAAAGGAGAAAACACTCCCAAGTGCAAGAAAGCATTAGAAAATAGATGAGGGGCTTCCTGAAACTGTACTGAATAATAAGAGTGGGGCAAAAAGATGCACAGATTTCCCACCTGCATTCATTTTCCTTATCAAATAGACTAATTTCTTAGTAAATCCTAAATAAATAGACTCATATTACTCCTCTTTATTTGTGGCAAAGAAAAGAGGGCTTAGGAGAGAAATTTGGATATCATAAATAATTAAATTTTGTTTTTGTTTAATGCGTCATCTCTAACGTTCTGTTGCCCTTTATTGTTCCCATCACATTTATGCAGCAAGAACATGGTATGAACATGTGTGAGTGTGTGTGTGTGCACGCGTGTATGTGTATGTGTGTGTATTCCTATAAATAAAACAGTTTTTGCGATGTTTTTCTAGGTTTATGGGGGGGTGAGCAGATAATTATACTATTTGAGGAGACTGCCGTGTTACAGTGTTACCCACCAATAAGCTATGAAGATCAAGCATGCATGTGTAGGGTCATCCAGTCTAAGTAAATAGAACTTATCACAAAATGATTCTGGTACATGATTTAATGAAACACATAATCATAATAGTGCTGTTCTCTAATTAGGAAAGAATAGCAAACAGTGCACAAAAATTAATATAAGGTGTATTACTAGTAACGAATCAAATAAAATATTTTGTTTTTCCACTTTGTTCATTCTCCAGTGCTGTTATAACCAATACCAATGAACAGAAACTACAGGGCACAGTGGAGACCCCCTGCATTGCTGTAGTATGCGTGCCTGCTGATGAGATGCAAATAAACACATGGGGTCACTCACGAGGAATTCTTACCAAAACTGTCTAACCTGAATCCAGCCAAGCTTTAATCTAACCTCCGCTATACAAGAAATACAGAGAACAGAGGAAAAAGTTAAAGGACACCACAAGGAAACAGACAACCCAGAAAGTAGAATGTTGTACAGAAAAACAAGTTAAGTCTCTTCAATGGGTCAATTTCATCAAGAATAAAGAAGCTGAGAAGGAACTCTTGTTTAAGAGACATCGTAAATGCACACTTTGAAATACATTCTGGTTTGAACAAATTGTAATAGTTATAAAAGATATTTAGGAAAATAGTGGAAATTTGAATATGGGCTGTGTATTAAATTATGTTAGAGAATGATTGTTAATTTCATTGGGTGGGATGATGCTATTGTGGCTATATTTTAAAAGCCATTATTATTTTATGTATGCATTCTGGATTATTTAGAGTGGAATATTAACAGTAATTTTCTTTAAAATAGTCCAGAAAGAAAGATAAAGAAATATGGCAAATTGTTACGTAAGTTGGGTTTATGCTTGTTCATTATACCATTCTCTCTGCTTTTCTGCTATGTTTTGAAATTTTTTATAATAATAAAATTACCTTTGCTGGGGGAAGAGTGTTGGGAGGTAGATTTCACAGAGATGGTTGGATCTGAGTAATAACTAAATTGAAGTAGTTATGAGTGTCTTACAACGAATGTCAAGATGGAGTCAGCCCATGCCACTGGAAGTCATTTGAACTATTAAAGAAGTCTCTACAACCAGTTATAGAATTACTTATTTGCATAATTTTCTTATTTGAAAGATCTTTAGTTACCACCTGATCCAACCATAACATTTTGTAGAAAAGAGAAGAGAGATCAAAATAAGTGAGGATGTTGCTTAGTTTTTGTTGCCACCAGAAAAATCAATCCTCTTGACTTTGAGCCCACTCCTTCTTCTACTCAATCCAATTCTTAATCTAAAATTCCATGACACTCTCTCTCTCTCTCTCTCTCTCTCTCTCTCTCTCTCTCTCTCTCTCTCTATATATATATATATATATATATATATATATATATATATATATATATTTCGAGATGAGGTTTCACTCTGCCACCCAGGCTGGAGTGCAGTGGCATGATCACAGCTCACAGCAGCCTCGACCTCCCCAGGCTCAGGTGATCCTCTCATCTCAGTTTTTGTATTTTTAGTAGAAATGGGGTTTCACCACATTCCCCAGGCTGGTCTCGAACTCCTGCACTCAAGTGATCCACCTGCCTCAGCCTGCCAAAGTGCTGGGATTACAGGCGTGAGCCACCGTGCCCAGCTAATTCTACTTTTTAACAACAATAAGGGTAAATTATATAATACTTTTACACATTTCATAATTTTTCGTATGCTTTTCATACGTTATTTCTTTTAATGCTTCCAACAACTCTAGAAGATAGATCATTTTACAGATAGAAAAACTGAGGTGATAAGAAGTTGAACAACTTGCCTCATGTCACAAAGGAAAAAGCTTGAGATAGAATCAAAGCATATTACAACTTCCAGCTCTGTGTTTTCTCATTACTCTACAGACAGCACCTACACTTGTTAAATGACAAATGTCCAAGATCTGATTCCCCAACAGCCAATTAGGGACAATATCTTGTAGCAGCAAGTTTCATATAACCATTACTTGCAATATCAGGTAAAAGTCAAATGCATAACATTAAATAACAACCCACTGAAGGTAATTAGCTAATCCAATGGTTGTCAGCTCAGACTGCACATCATAGACTCTAGAGTGGAGCTTGATACTCTGGGTTTTATAAAAGCGTCATGGTGGCTGGGCGTGGTGGCTCACACCTGTAATCCCAGCACTTTGGGATTACTACACTTTGGGAGGCCAAGGCAGGTGGATCAGGAAGTCAGGAGATCGAGACCATCCTGGCTAACACGGTGAAACCCCATCTCTACTAAAAGTTCAAAAAATTAGCTGGGCGTGGTGGTGGGTGCCTGTAGTCCCAGCTACTCGGGAGGCTGAGGCAGGAGAAAAGCGTGAACCTGGGAGGCAGAGCTTGCAGTGAGCCGAGATTGCACCACTGCACTCCAGCCTGGGCGACAGAGCAAGACTCCATCTCGGGGGAAAAAAAAAAAAAGTGTCATGGGGCAGGGGAAAGGAGATTCTGATGTGCAGCCATAATTTAAAATTGCTAAGATAAACTACTATTATCCCAGCATGTAGCCTTCACGTGGTATAACTTGTGAAGAATTAGAATTTGGAAATCTGAAAAAATAAATGACATGCTACAACGTGGATGAATCCTGAAAATTATGCTAAGCAAAAGAAGCCATTCACAAAGGACCATATATTACATAATTTCATTTGTAGGAAATGTTCCAAATAGGCAAATCTATAGAGATAGAAAGTAGACTTGTGATTGCCCAGGGCTGGGGAATTTGGGTAACATAGGGTGATGGCTAAGAGGTTTGGGATACTTTTTGGAGGAATGAAAATGTTCTAAAGTTGATTGTGGTGATAGATGCACAAGACTGTGAATATACTAAAGCCCATTATATATTTCAAGTGAGTGAATTGTATGCTATGTGAATTTAGCCTCATTAAAGCCTTTTTTTTAAGTGAATGAATTGAATGTCTAGACAATCCCCTATGTTAACCATTTCTCTCTCCTTACTTTTTGATAAAAGCTGGATTTTTGCATTAATTCATTCATTCAGTAAATATTTACTGACCACCTTCTGTATGACAAGCTCTGTTCCAGGAGTTGAGGGTAACAGCAAAGACAAGGGTGCTGTTCTCATGGAACTTATAGTCTAGTGGGGAGAGGGCAACAATAAACAAGTAAATAAATTAAGAGAATAATTCCAGAATCTGATACAAAGCAAAGGAAATAAAACAAGGGGAAGTGATAGTTTGAACAGGGGTGAAGGCTACCTTAGAGCTGGGTAATCAGTAAAGGTATCTTTGAGGAAGTGAACTTGAGTTAAGAATGACAAGAAGTAGCAACTCATGCAAAGATCTGGGGACTGAATTACCCAGCAAGGACAAATACCTTGGGGCAGTAACAAGACTGATGTCTTCAAAGAATGGCAAGAAGGCCAGAATGGCTGGCAGAAAGTGAGCAAAGGGGAAGTAAGAGCTAAGTTTGAGAGGTTGTCAGGGACCAAATCACATAGGGGAAGTAGTTCAGGTGATTACCTAATACATATCTGAACCTCTGAGTGTGAAAGAGGGTGCTTTACTAATTACATAGGACATAGGGACAAAAGTTACACACCAGGGGCTATCCCAGGCAAACTAGGACATCTGCTCACCCTACCTAAATACCAAGATTTTACCCTAAAATGCAATGGAAACCATTGGCAGGTATTAAGCTGGATTACTGAGAGTGTGAAATTTTCCCCTCTAAGGGGTCCCCAGAGCTGATTCTCAATTAGGGAGATTAAAGATGGAAATGGTACGGGCAGGTGGCAGGTTTGGCATCTATTATGAAATCTAGAGACGCCTATTGCTATCGCACCACATGGGGGTGGTTTGCAGGCGTCCCTGTCCTTCAGCATCTTAGGGTCAGTTCTAGTATGTGAAAAATGTTCTGCTCAGTCCCCAGGGTTCCATGATATAAGGCACACCAGGAATCATTTCGGCTTGGAAAATTTTTGAAGCAGGTGTTGCCAGACATCCACTCTAACCACAGAAAAGCTTCAAAAACGTTCTGAAGCTTCATCCGACTCCAAGCATGGGAATTCTGTTGCTTCCCAGGGGGTTCACAAAGAAGAGTGAGCTATAAAATGCATTCCCAATTAACCGCTTGGAATTGTGTAACAGATTTACTGAGTTTGGGAGCTTGCCTACTAAAAACAATCATTTTCACCTTGTATGGATAATGCTGGAGTATTATTTCTGGCTCTGATTAGATACCAGGACGTTATTAAGTAAATGAAAAACACATAGCAACAACCCTCCAATTTCACCCATAAAATCTGCTTCAGATACAGTGTCTGGGAAAGGATGGAGGAATTACAATTCCAAGAAGCATTTTTAAGACTCCTAAAACTGTTCTTGAAGGCAGATCAATAATAGTTACAATTTATTGAGTGCTTACTATGCTCCAGGCATTATACTAGATAACTTGCTTGCTTTACGTAACTATAATCCTTTACCACAAACTTGCAAGGTGTGTGTGCTATTCCCATTTTATTGATGAGGAAACCAAGTCCCTAGGAGGTTAAATCATTTTCCCAAATTCATATTCATAATAAACCTTAAACTTAAGTCTGAAAATGAGTACATGCTAATTCTCAAATGCCCTGACTCATTCCCCTCAGATAAAGTAAAGCATACTTCATTTACATAAACATGTAAATGTTCCATGTGTTACCTACCATCTTTTAAAAACTCAATCATGTATATAAAAATTCAAATAGTATAGAACAAATAAATTGGGAGTTATTGTTAACATCTCAGTGGGTTTTAGTTCACTGTTGTTTTTTTTCAAATAGCAACCTCCCAGGCCTTAATGATTTGCTTTACAAGTTTTCAGTTTACATACACCTATTCAGGAATGTATCTTCTGAACCCATTCCATAGCATATCTATTTTTCTGCTTCCTTATACTCCACCCCCTTTGCATAAAACATTTATACACCCAAGTGGTTACCATATAAATCTTAGAGCTTTGGCAAATATGCTAAAATCTCTTTAAACATTATTATTAATGGTGGCCTGTGGCATATGCCTTTACTCAGTAAGTCCTCCCTTGCCCTTAAGGCACATCCAAACTTCTTAGCCTGGTTTCCAAGGCCCTTCACACTCTCTCCATGTGCTTCTCAATCCTAGCTACCTGCTGCAATCACCTTGGGGCCTATTAGGTAAAGGGAGGAGCTGCCATTTTGGGAAACCAGACAGGCAGGTGGCACAGAGGGCATCCTACTGTATTCAAAGGCCACCCCCAACACACAGAGATCAGTTAAATCAGACTGAGCATGGGGCCTGGGCATATCTTTATTTTTTTATGTGTTTGCTGGTTGTTTATTTAATCTTTCTCATTGTTGCTAAGGTACAGCCAGGGTTGAAAACCTCTACTCCCTGCTCACCCTCCAGCCTGTTTTACTGCACTTGCTTTTCCTGCTCAAAGCTCCAGCTCTCCAATGTGCTCACACCTCTAGGCTCTGTACGACATGGTCTCTCTGCCTGAAATACTTTCTTCTACTAGCCTCTCACATACCCCTCTAACTGCTGCTCATCTGTCGGGTCTCCTTTTGGATACACTTTCCAGGAAGTTTTCCCTAATCCCTACCAAACAGGTGAGAACAGTTTCCAAAGCACCCTAAACTCAACCCACAAAGTGCTTATGAAACTGCACTGCAATCACCTGTTGAACCTGCTCCACGCACCCCTGCCACCCCCATGGTCTCCTTGAGAACAAAGTTTGTATGCATTGAGCTTTGTGTTCCTGGAACCTGGTTCCATGCCTTGGCACATAGTGCATGCTCAATGTATATTTCTCAAGTGAGTGAATTAGTGAATGAGTTCTATTTCTCAGTTTGAAAGAGCTTGCTAGTTGATGGGAAATGCCTGTAAAACACTGCTGGATGTGTTAAATGCTTCCAGAAGTTCACAGAACATGCACTCAGAGGAAGATATTACTCCCCCGGCTCGTTCATACACATTCCTCATCCCTTGCTTTGTTTTTAGAAACTTTTTGTAGTATCATTCACAGACAATGGTGTTGTTTTAGAATTTAAAGTAATATTTATTAAGCAGTCCTACACCTGAATCCATGCTTATTTCATGGATTAACCAACCTTTCTCTGTGCAGAGATGTCTGTACTCTCTAGTAGCCTGGTTGTGAAGATGTCCTTCGAGTAACCTTAAGAAAGAAATGTGGAAATGCCATCTTTATAACATGACTTTGTATTATCTGTGAGTATGAACAGAAACATATTTTGGTAAGTTTTTCCCCAAATAAAAATAGATGTCTTATTTTTTCTTTTTTTAAATTAGTAATTCACTAATAATCAAAGAAAAAAGTTATCATTTTTTGTTTATATCCTTTAAAACTTTTCTTCATTTTTACCCTTTTTTTCACGTGGATTATATTTTCCTATGTTAACAAATACAGATTTCCATCATCATTTTTAATGCCTGTGAGTAATTTGTTGTATAGTTATTGAACTAACAACTATTGGTAGTCATTTAGATTGACTGAAGTTTCTGTTATAAACAAAGTTTTGACAAATATCTTTATGTGCCCATTTTTATGAGTTTATCAAAATATTCCCTTAAAATAAATGTCCAGAAGTGGAATTTCTGATCCAAGGAGCATAGATGTCTTGAAGTCTTTTTATTACATTTCTAATAGAATATATTAGAGCAGTTTTTATCACTATCAAAAGTTTATAAAAAGTTTCTCAATTTTCCTGTGAACATCAAGTATTTTTAATATTTGTTCATTTCACAAGAGAAAACATCTATTGCTGTTTTAATTTGCAATTATTTGATTATTCATGGGTTTTAATATCATTTTTGTATTTTTTGGCCCTTTGTATTTTTCTATTGCCATGTTCACATTTCTTATTAATTTATAGGAGCTCTTTATATATTAGGGATATAATCTCCTCATCATATATTGAAAATGTCTTTTTTCCCTTTTTCTTTTTCTTTTACCTTTGTTTATGGGGTGTGTTTTTCTTGTACTATGGTTTTGTTTTTAATGTAGTTAAATTATCAGTCTTTTTCTTTCTGTTTCTGGCTTTGATGACATACAAATTTAGTGTTTTGTGTAGTTTATGAGATTTAAGATAGATTGCTCATTTTGTCAAAAATTGAGTGTCACCTGGAAATCAAATTAAAACTTTTGAAAATATTTTTAGACAATTTATTATATAACCATAGCCCTTATCATAACTTAAAAAATCCCTTAATAATGACTAAAGTTAACATATCAACATTTTTGAAAAAAAATCAATCTTTTAAAAATCCTGTCTGTGTCAATTAGTAGGTGATATTTTGTCTATTCTATATTTACTACCTGAAATAAAATAATCCCAATAGAAAACCTAATTTGGCCAGAAAATGACTTTACAAGCTGTTGCAGAATATGGATACAAGTATCACAGCTTCAAACTGTGAGGAGAGATCAAGCCAGAGCTTAGCTGGAAATGTTCTGATAATGACCACACATGGGATAAAACAACTGAAAATAATTCACTTTCATTGGTATTTAAAGCATTCTAGAAAGGTTTCTCTTTCCTTTCCTGGAGATGCTACTTAAGAACCCCACAGTTCATGAAAAATCGTGTGATGATAATGCCCCAGCCTGCTGATGTCCTGCACCCACACCCACACCACCCATTGAGGGGACCCGTTCAGTGAGCTGATATTTGGTCCCTAGAGGCTCTCTTTCTACATACTGTTAATATAGACCCCCTAGTCAGGAGAGTAAACTTGACTTTAAAATATCCAAACTCTTGAGTTTCTTTAAGATTTCGTAAAGCTTTTCAGCTCCCTTTAAATTTTGCAACAAAATAGTCTTCTCAATGGGTCATAAAATAATGGACTTATGAAAGCCAATAGCAACTTTAAATTTTCTGTTTTACATCAATAAAATTAACAGTAATAGTCATAATGAAATCATTCTGGAAGCATGAGCCAAAGGAACCCTCTAACAAAAACAGCTTTGCACAAATAAACCTTCATTTTAATATTTCAAAAATACAAAATAAAATTATAGCTGCTTTCTCATTCTTTGTATCCTACTATTAAGTGCTATTTTAAAATCAAGCAAACATTAATACTTAACAGATCATCTCATATTCACCACTTTCACAACTGCACCCTCACGTAAGGAAGAAAAAAATGCCTGGCAAAACTTCTCATATTGGTCAGTGATTGTCAAATGAGATGGAGTGCTGGGCCAGGGGATATGGGGCATCCATAAAAAAATAAAATGAAATAAAATAAAGTCACTATCTACAAAGACTTGCTATCCTTAAGGAGGGTTAGAGAGACATAAATGAGAAATAATTCAATAATTACACAATAGAAAATACAACTAAGGCAAAATTCTATGGTTCAGAAAGGAGAGATTAAGTTTAGGTTGGGCATAAATAGCTCAGTGGAGAGCATGGAAATAGAGCTAGATGTTAAAGAATGGGTTGGCAGAAAGTAGGGAGAAATGCTGTCCAAGTAGACATGAAGGCAACAGCTTCGACAAGAACAGCAAAGTAGAAATGAGCATGGCACCTATGGGAAACAATGAGCAAAATATGGTCAGGTTTGGGAAGCCATGGAACGCTTAACTGCAGAAAGGAAAGACAAAAGGTATCCCATAGGGGAAGGAGTAAAAAAGAAGGCAGGGAGGATGCAAAGAGGCTTGAGGACCAGCATGAGAGGATTCTTTAGGGATAAGTACGCTGTCTGCATCCCGTGTTCCAACTTCCCAGAGTCAAAAATGGAAAGTTGTTTTAAATAATAATAATAATAAGAGTTGCTTAGAGTCAGTGGGTGGGGGAAAAGGCTGTAGGTTGGTGCTACAATATTGTGTATTCCTCCCCTGAGCCCCCACCCACATCATACCTGGACTATTACCTTCTCCAGAGAAGGCACTGAAAGATAATTTTAGTATTTAGTAAATGAACAAACACATGAGTGGAATAAGCTAATGAGCAAACAAGCATGAGAATTCTTTGCAGGGGCTTATCATATCTAGATACAAACTATGGGGGGCTTCAGGAGAAGAAGGGAGAAAACGGTGGGAGAAAGGAAAACCAGCAATAAACTGCTGCAGAAAATCAATTATAAAATGATAAGGACCTAGATTTAGAAGGTAGAAATAGGACTAAAAACACAGACATTAATTTGAGAAAATTATGGTGAGTCATTAAGTGATTTTAACTCATTGCTATTCCCATCTAACAGCCAGGTCAAGTTTAAATGGTCTGATCAACTATGATACTCATTCATCCACATGGAAAATATCTACTGAGCACCAGGCACTTTTCTGGCCCCAGGGGCCAAAGTGAATTTCAAATTTATTTTCCTCAGATTTCTGACTGATCACATAAAGCCCTGAACCCTGACAGCCTAACAACTCAACTCATGTGCAATTGTCCGTTGTCACAATCATCCTCCCTGATTACCAAAATAACCTGGCATTCATGAGGAGAAAGGTTTCAAAGAGTGAATTTTAAGGCTGAGCAGCATTAAGACAGTCCCAACTGTGTATCTATTGGAAACATTAAACAAGCAATTAAGCACTTCATCTCCAGTCATTCCACATTATTTATCCAGGTGAGACAGCGTCCCAACCAGATATAATGTTGCTTTAGGAAGCATGAATTCAGCTGTGATTTTTAAGACAGCAAAAAATTTGTATAGCAATTATATATGGATCATGAGTCAAAAATTCTCTAAATCCAAATTTGAACATATAGTTTAAATTTTATGTTCTTTCTACCGTTTGACTCTGCTTCCAGGCTCTACCAGTCAATGTCATCCTAAACATCTGCATCAAAGTTAGCCTTCATAAAACATCATTCAGCAAATTGCTCCACAGGGGAGTAAAGTTCCTCCCTCCCTCCCCTACCCTCTTTCTTCTTTTCCTTTCCTTTCCTATCTGTGGAGTGCCTACATCAGCCATGGCCCTAGGTGCTGGGACCTCCACAATGAACAAATCAGATATAGTCCATGGTTTCATGGAGTTGATCGTCATCAAAATGTCCCCTTGACTAGAGCCAGTCATTGCAAGCCCTCCAAAGTAAATCCCCGCCCTCCCCAGGCTTATCTCGTGATTGTGCCCCCGCACCACTCAAACTTCCAAATCACAGCAATGTTAAACTTTGAATTCCTGGAGTTTGTGTTTGTCTCCTGACACTTGGTGTTTCACTACTCCCTTATCATGCTGCTCCCTAAGGTGACACAGTCTGATCTGCATTTCAATTCTGACTACATTTTTCTAGCTGTGGTATCTTGAACATGTTACTTAATCTCTGGGAGCTTCAATTTCCTCATCAGGTAAATGAAAATAATAACATCTACATGTCAGGGATGTTGAAAAGATTAAATGAGATAATGAGTATGAAAACATCCAATAGTTGGTGATGAGTTTCTCCTACAACCCCAGTGACAAATGAGCACACTTTTCAAATTCCCAGAGCATGATTACACCACCAGACTGTTGAGCCACTTTGTATTATCAATCTTTTTTGTGTCTGTCTTCACAACCTACTTAGGATCAGAGAATGTGACAAACTTCTTTACTGCTTCCTGATACCTGACACAGTGTCTGACACATTATTGTCCATATTGGGAGGAATGGTGAATCTGCTTAATGATCCTTGATGCCTAACAGTTGGCATTAGTAGTTTAGAGATTTTGCTGAATTTGGAGACTCATCTAACATTCAGGTTGTTCTCCTGAGCTTTAGACACAAAAGCAGATGGAGAGTTTTCTCAGAGTGTCTTGCTCCTTTTATTTCTGTTGTTAGCTAGTTTAAGTCCAAACGCAGTCACTAAAAATATTCATATTCAAGTATTATCCTCTTAATGTCACATTGCTCTCTATACTCAATGACTATGGATCATTTTTAAAGACCAAACCAAATGGAGTATTTTTATAATACAACAATAGGCCCTCAGAATAGGAAACCAAGCAGAAAGTTAAAAGGTTAATGAAGGCCCAGCGCAGTGGCTCATGTCTGTAATCCCAGCACTTTGGGAGGCCGAGGTGGGTGGATCACCTGAGGTTGGGAGTTCAAGACCAGCCTGACCAACATGGAGAAACCCATCTCTACTAAAAATACAAAATTAGCTGGGCATGGTGGTGCATGCCTGCAGTCCCAGCTACTCGGGAGGCTGAGGCAGGAGAATCGCTTGAACCCAGGAGGCGGAGATCGTGCCATTGCACTCCAGCCTGGGCAACAAGAGCGAAACTCCATCTCAAAAAGAAAAAAAAGTTAACGAAGAGTCAGTCCAATCCTACCATCCTTCATTTCAGCTAGCATTCTAAGGTAGTAATTCAGTAACCTCACAAGAATGAGAATTGCAAGCCTATGATTTTGAAGAAATAACTGAGGGTAAAGAATTTACTTTTCTAGGCCATTCCATTGCCAAATTTGTTCTCAAGCAAGTGCAACTTCAAGAAACCTTCTAGGAACCTTCCTCAAGAAGCTTCAGCCCACTTTACAAATCACTGTGCAGCCAATAGCCCCCTCTTCTGCAGGAATCATTTATAGTTCCCTAAATCAAGGACCTTCCACAGTTTAATAAAACTTTCTCCTGAATTATAACAGGAGTCATAACTGACTTCATCTAGACTAGGCATCAGCAACCCAAAGCCTTCATTGGACTCCACTCATGATTTCAGAGAGGGCAGGAGCCCTGGTGCTTGGGTACCCAGCCTGATGCCTCACTGCTGCCCAGCACGGTTCTCTCCCAGTGCCAGAAATCTGAAGACAACCCACTGCAGAAACAACCTCCCTACTGATGTCAAGCTCAGGGGGCATCTTGTTCCTGCTCTGATGAAAGAACATAACCATTTTCCAAGAGACTGAAAATGACCAAAGGGAATCAACTAAAACACACATTTATTCACCTTCTATATAAACTCATTCTGAGTTGCAATTGCTTCATGTGGAAAGAAACCAGGGTTTTCCCAATAGGAAATTCAGATGGACTAGGAAGGTGGCAGGGACAAAGAGACTAACAGGTTGGCAAGATTCTCAGGACACATTTGGATGCAATTGCTCATTCTTTTTGTTTTTCCAGGAAAAGCTCCAGCAACAGGGAAGAAACCTCTTCTTGCCCCTTCCAGTAAATTCTCCTTGTAACCCATTGTACCTCCCCAGAGACGTTTAGAGACCGACATTCATTTAATTGCTTGAAAAGCCCAAACCAAACCAGAGTCACTGGAGCTTAGCCCACTGTTTGTTGGCTGTCTGCAGATTTACAATTTAGCACCATGTGGATCTTCCGAGCCAAACTGTTAGAAATCTAAGGGGCTCATTCTATGCCACAAAATACAATGGGCAAGAGCAGGAAAAGCTTCAAAGTCCCCAGAAGGCATCAAATCCAATTACATTGCAACACGTGTGCAGCCCTTTAAGCTGGCCATTAACATTTGGAAAATTCTTCTGGTAAATGTCTTCATATCCAATTTAGCCTTCTTTCCCCTACTCTCTACCACCCTCATTTCATAGACAGGCAACAGTAATGAGCTATATAATGTAACTCTTTAAACGAAGAATGTCATCACTTAAAAATACAAGAGAGCAGTACATGTTGTATATGTCTACAAACTGCAGTTGCTGTCTGTTAGAGTTTGTAGCAACTTTTAAATCTGTCATCACAGCATGAATTTCATACTAAGCTCCTTCCCGGTGCTCGAGCCAGGAAGCAAAAGGGGAACAGGCTGTGTCATTTATGGGCAGACAGGTATTGGGTCAAGTGTGACATCACACTCTGCTCAGGCCATAATGAGGTGAAAAAGCGAGACTGCAACAACGTGGCAGTTTGTTTACTGGGAAAATTTAAGTGGGTCTGTGTTTGGAGTTAATATAAAACTGAAACAAAGGACATGGATCACGGAATTTTTTTTTTTTTTTTTTGAGACGGGTTATGCTCTTGTTGCCCAGGCTGGAGTGCAATGGCACGATATCGGCTCACCGCAACCTCCACCTCCCGGGTTCAAGCAATTTTCCAGCCTCAGCCTCCCAAGTAGCTGGGATTACAGGTGTCTGCCACCATACCCGGCTACTTCTTTTTTTTTTTTTTTTTTTTTTTTTTTTTTTTTTTTTGGATTTTTAGTAGAGACAGGGTTTCATCGTGTTGGCAAGTCTGATCTCGAACTCCTGACCTCAGGTGATACGCCTGGCTTGGCCTCCCAAAGTGCTGGGATTACAGGCATGAGCCACCACGCCCAGCCGGATCACAGATTTTTAACAGCTCCAAACAGAGGAAAAAGGAAAAAGAGAAGAGACGTTTAGAAACTTAGTAAAACACACAAAGAGTCAAAGGATCAAAACGGGCTCCAAGCAGGCTGGTCTGTTGGCATTTTTACTGGACACATTGTTCACTCAAAATATCAGCACATCAGCCTACAGTCTAATTTTTCTTTCCTACCCATGGTTAATATTTAATCAGGGAGGATAAACTAGACCTAAAATGGGTGTGTGCATGTATGTATATTTTTTAAAAATATAGCTGACATGTTTAATACTCTGGCAGTCTTGATCAAAAATTTTCTATTCAAAGGTGGCAGGAATATAACCCCACATATCACATTTCCTCAATTCTTTTTTCATCCACACTGATATTGGGATACCATGATCAATTTCTATTTCTCCATATAATTACCTATATCAACACATGAATTTATAAAGAACCAAAAAGTACAACATTAAGATATATATGGCAAATAAGACAGGGTGAAAAAACTTTCAAGACCCAACTTTAGGCCTGGTGTGGTGGCTCGCATCTATAATCGCAGCACTTTGGGAAGCCCAGGTGGGAGGGGCATTTGAGCCCAGGAGTTTGAGACCAGCCTGAGCAACACAGCAAGACCCCATGTCTAAAAAATTTTTTTAAATTAGCCAGGCATGGTAGTCCATGCCTGTAGTCCCAGCACTTTGGGAAGCAGAAGTAGGAGGTTCACTTGAGGAAAGGAGTTTGAGGCTGCCATGATAGTGTCACCTGGGCAACAGAGCAAGGTTCTGTCTCTGAAAAAAAAAAATAGTAAAATTTTATTTTACACTTTTATGTATTTATTACACCTAATGTGAGCCCCATTCTCAAGGAGTACACGGTCTATAGGGAACTTTTATAAACAACTTACTATATGACAAGGCAGAGTGAAATCAGTACAGGTGCTAATGGCAACCCAGAAGAAGCCATTAAATCCACCTAAAATTATTTTATCTTCTGCAGAAAGAATTCCTACTCCAAAGTAGCTTCTTTTCCTGCATATCAATAAAGCAAAAGGTTCAAGACATTCCCGCCGGGAGGAGCCAAATACTTACAGAATCTAAGTCCCTACTCAAGTGAGAAAGTCACAAAGCTTCACACCATTGAAGTCCCCATAGAATTCTCTGGAGGAGCTTATTTTTCAAATTGTTCTGAATAGTTCTACTTCATCTGAGTGAGAAATTTATTCTAAGAGAAAAACTCCTATTGTAGGACTAAAAGTCTACAATTACCCTTGTGTTCCTAATTTTCTCAGCTCGAATCAGACTCTCCAGTAGCATTGGCCGAAATTTTACCAATTCTTCCCCTTTATGGAAATATTGGTTTCTTTCCACAAGTCCAATCACAAGCCCAATATTAATTGGACCCATGCTTTTTTCCTAATTATGGGCCTATTAGAAATCCTCCCCATCTCCGTGGTGATCATATCGCTCTTCATCGGCTGTAAGTTAACCCCTCTTTTGCTGTTTTCCACCTGGTATAGATGCCATTTGACATACCCAGATGCTTAGGCTACTGATTTTTCATTCTCTATCAATAGGGTAACTGGACTGCTTGATTTTTCAAATAATCAGAATAATAAAGTGGTTAAGGGTGTAATCCCTAGAATTTGTTTTTTTTTTTAAAAAAAGGTCTAATCTCAACTGTACCATGTTCATCTGTGTTACCTTTGACAAATTATTTTACCCCTCTGAGCCTTAGTCTATTCACCCAGAAAATGGGAAGAATGAAACACCTTGAGTGAAACTGTTGTGAAGATTAAACGGTACGTGAAGTACTTAGTACAACTGCAGCTCACGGTAAACATTCAATCGGTTAGTTGTTAATGAAATAATAATTATATAATGAAGAGAAGATGGTAATAACAATTATATGATAATCATGTATTATAATCATTCTTGGTAGAAGCTCATGGGGTAACATTATCCAAAACCACAGTCTTTTCTCTAGTTAATTCTATTTTAAGACCCCAGTATCTTCAATCTCTCTACCTGTAGGGAAAAATAGTGGAGAAGGAGAAAGACAATGGAAACAAAATGCAGAGACAGCCAATCAGTCAGCAAAGCCCCCACCCCATGTGCGTACAATCAGCACCAGCTGTAGTCCAATTAAACTTAATCTAGTCACATGCTCATGTGCTCCTCAGAAATTAGAGGAAATCAATTCAAATGCTAATGAGAAAGTCCATAATTTATTATCTGCTGAGGAATGCATGTTACATTAATTTTAACTGTAAACAATTATTTTTATTGCAAGATTAATTACCCTATCTTATACAACTTCCTTTTTTCATATTCTTTTAAGGAATTAGTTTTCAGTTGCTGTTTTGTGGCTCTGTCACAGTTCTTTAGCTTGAGAAAAGTATAATTAATTTAGGAATGCTGCAAATGTTGTTTTCTATTCTTCTGCCAAAAGAAAGTGGGATAAATGGCTAGGTCAAGCATGGAGAAAAATAGCTACAGCTTCTGGCCAGGATGAAAAGACATTAGAACTCAGAATGGAAGTTGGGGGAAACCACACAGAATTTAAAACGTGGGTTAATGTTGGTCAGTTCTAACCATAACATTTCTCAAAGGCTTCAACAAGCAAATCCAGTCTCAAAATTATTTCAAAGTCTCTGAAAGTCAACAAGAACTGCATGAGCTAGACTTTTCAGAGCAAGAAAGAGACTAATCATTTTTTTTCTTAAAATAGCATCAAGGCCTGGATGTATACATTTTGGTTGGAGTGACTGTTCCTTTGAGCAATCAGAAACGAATGAAATTTGCACTGTCAGAATTCTGCTCCCTTGACAAAGCTGCCCTCACCCTGACTTGACTCCCAAGGTGAATGAATATTCAATACAGTCACTTGTGAAAAATTATTCTTTAACCAATCACTTCTCAATATGGAGAATAGGATTTTAGGTAGTTGCTAGCACTCGTAGGGTTGATAGTAAGTATTCTATTATTTCTAATGAATCATTTACTTGATTTTTATGCTTTCTAAAAGTTAAGCAGGTCCATTTCCTTTATGGACACAACAAGGCTTAGCATTTTAAAGGTAAATATTTATGAAATACCAAATCCATTAGTTTACTTGCTGGCACTTTCTTAATTTAAACTTCCAAGTGAAAGTAACTGCGAGTCATCTATTAAAATTAAATTAGTCTAAATTAAATCTATAAGCCTAGTTGTTGATTTCAGTGGGAATTTGGTTAGAAAAATAGGTAAGAGAATTGAGCCTAGGGAAGGTTCAACTGCTAATTACTTGTAAAAGTTTAGGCTTAAAGAATAATAAGCATTTAACCAGGAATATAAATAGAGGAAGAAGTGTTGGTTCTGAAGATCCCAGGCTATACCCTTAGAGATAGGTTCAGTTATGACTTCCTGTCAAGGAGATTAAATCCTAGTTCATCCTAATGTGTTTCAAACTGGTCCTTTCTTAGAACAATGGCCTTGGAGGCCATCAGGCACATACAACAATCAGCTGGCCAGGAGTAGGTAGGATGAAAAATAATCTTTCCTATGAGCAACGAGCTCTCAGCACTCCACACTGTAAATTCAAACCAAAAAGGTAGGGGGTGAGGGTTGTTCTTTTTGCAAGATTTTGTGATTTTTATTGCATATTTTGGCAAGTTCCTACCAGAGGAGCATGTGCTACTTATCAGAATCACATATAGTAGCTACGAAAACCAGAAAGTGGTTGGAAGGGACAGACCGCGGTGACACAGGTTACACCTGGTTTTAATTTGATTGTCAGATGTCATAAGGGTGGACTTATAAGATTAAACCTCATTTCTGCTCTAAACCTATAGGGAATTATTACTGATTTATTTTAGCGAAGAATGTTTCATGCTCGTGATTTCCATTCCAATTTCTCTCCTTAATAAAATAAGATGTCACATGTCAAGCTACATCGTAGTGAATTATTTCAACCACCCAAAGCCATTCAACTCTGCTTGAAAATTTGCCATAAAGCCAAGATCTGTCACAAAGCATTTGGATTAGTTACCCCTGGAAAACCCTCCTACTATCAGGCAAACTGATGGGCAGCACATTAGAAAACCATGAAGGGTTGCCATGCTTCTCACACCAGAGAACTCTTTGGTTCAATACTCATCAGTGTTCTATGACCCCTTGAATTACTCAGTGCCTGGATTCAAGTTCCTCTATTTTTTTGACCAAACCAAAGCAATCTTACCATGGGCCATACTTGTGGTAGGTTTTATAAGAGTTTCATCTTTCCCAAGCTGTAAACCTCTGCATCAAGTTCCACAGAATGCATGGGAAAGGGCTTTTATTAATTTTAGAGACTTCATATAATAAATGCTTGCATCTTATTAAAGCCCCTGACTGATGAAGTGCAGGATAGGCAGGCATTCAAAATCCAAGCCACAGGTTTGCATTTTGAAAGTTTGTCTTGCTCTCGGTGTGTTTCCCTACAGTCCAGAGCAGGGGGAACACTCAAGTGAACTCTCTGCCTACATAGGATGACTGGGGACATCCCCAACTCTAATCAATTACAGATTAATTTCACACCTCCCAAACCAATGTGCTTTAAAAGGGAACTATCTTAGGGGGAGTCTATAGATCATAAATGTGGTGAATGTGTCTGAGGACCCCCATCTGCAAACACATATGCATTCTATATGTAATGTCCTACTCCGTAGTACTCTTCAAGACAGGTTCTCTTCTTTATGGTAAATACATGTGGAATGTCCTGCAGAACCTCAGGATTTCATTTCTTCAATATTGTTGTGTATAGGAATTAAAAGGAATTAGGAGAAACACAGAGATACTGTGTGAAGCTTCCTCAAACTGTTTCTTTGACTATTGGGAGGCAGGAAGCCCCAAACATCTCATCAGAAATAATTGTCTTTCATTATTTCCATTAGAGAAAGTCAGTCTTTAAAAGGACAGTGATTTGGAACTGGTTCAAGGAAGCATCTTTAGATCCTCAGCTCTCCTGAGCTTCACCAATTTCTGGTCATACTGTGGTCATTCAAGGGTTCTCATAAAGCTGTGTTTTGGCAGCAGTACGTGGTCAATCCCTTCCCTGCCAGGCTCCAGCCTCTGTCGGCCCCCTCTGTCTGTGGAGAAGCTGCTGGACTTTCACCTCCAGACCTTGCCCTGTCAAGGTCCTAAACAGACTCCCAAGGGGTCAATGGGTAGAATTCAGGATGTCTATGGACTTAGCTGAAAAAATATTATTTTCACTAAATTCTAACTAAATTTACTATTTTCTCCAGCTGGGCAGTGGGACCCCATCTCTAAAAACAATTTTAATTAGCTGGGTGTGGTGGCGCATGCCTACAGTCCCAGCTACTTGGGAAGCTGAGGCAGGAGGATCACTTGAGCCCAAGAAGTTGAGGCTACAGTGTGCCATGATCAAGCCACTGTACTTCAGCCTGGGTGACAGAGTGAGACCCTGTATCAAAAATAAATAAATAAATAAATAAATTTACTATTTCCTTAAATTGCAAACATGGACAACAAACCAGAGTAGAATTAGCACGCCTAGGACTTACAAAAATCACGTCTATTTTCATATCACCATTATTGTTGTAGATATCTCAAAATACCATTTACACTCATCACTACTTCAAAATTCTGGTAGTTATTAATTTCATTGCCAGCTTTTATTATTAATCTATTAATAAACATGTGTTACTATATCACAACTTTGGAATATTTTGATAACTATGTCATAATTAGTTTTATAACTACATTGAGGTTTATAATTTGTTATGCTAGGTATTTGTTATTCTAGATATTTTATATTGTACATAAAAACACTTTTCTGAGAAAGGCTTTATTAGCTTCATCAGACTTCTAAAGAAGCCACACAAAAAAAGGCACACACACACACACAAAAGATGAAGAACCCTGACTCTAACATGACTGGAATTCATATCTGGCCCTTATCACATAACCCAGTTCCTAAAAATGGTTTCTATTTGGTCCTGTCAAGTACAGTACTACAATGCTAGTAGCCCAAACCCTGTTTTTCCTGCTTGAATTTCTGTCTTAGAAAACAGTTCATTCTTTATTCCTTCTAGGACTGGATCCTCTGATTCACTACTCATTCGTTCAATAAGTATTTATTGAGGGTCTACTGTGTGTCAGGTACCATGTGATGTTGTGGGGGGGCGGGGAGCTCATGCAATATAGTGCAGACAGGACAAGAGAGAAAAGTTCCCTGTTCCAGTAGAGCTAATATTCTAGTGGGATGATGGATAGATCAAGGATAGATAGATGATAGATAGATAGATAGATAGATAGATAGATAGATAGATAGATAGATATAGATGATAGATAATTTTTAGTGGAGGCAGTAAGCTATGTAGAAAATTTGAATAAGTTGATGTCATGGAAAGTGACTGGTGGTCATGGACAACATGTCTGAGATTTGGATGACAGAAAAAGCAGCCATGTGATGTCCAGAGAGGAAAACCACTGGAGTATTTGAGTGATTAGGGAAGACCAGGGTAGTTGAAACTCAGTCCTGAGGTGGACAGCAGTCACAGATGGGGTCAGAGTAGAAAGAAGGGGTTACTTCAAGAAGGGCTTCCTAAGTCAGGGTAAGAACTTTGGATTTTATGAAAGTTCTGGGCAGCCATTCACAGGTTGTAAGCAGCAGATTATCATGATTTGATTTACAATTTTAAAAAGATTGTTCTGACTGAAGTATAGTGAGCAAATGAGTGAATAGGCTGTACAAACACTAGAATGAAAGGGGGAATGAAGTAGGAGGCTACTGCAGCAAACTTGCAGGAGACAAGGGCAGCTCAGACCAGGGTAGTAGCAGTGGAAATGGAGAGAGTGATGAATTGGGATATATATCAGGCTGAGTTGCAACAGGAAGCAGAACACATGCAGAAATTAAGATAATTTGAGTTTAAAAAGTGACAATTCACTAATGTGTGAGCTGCATATTAAAAAACCACAGGAATTATGCAGTAGCCCAAGGCTGTTACCCCTGGGTCCAAAGGGAAAGGGAAGGCAGGCTACCAGAACCTGGAAGGAAAAAGTGTGTAAGACAGCTGCCTCAAGAGCAGCTCTGACCTTCAGGCAGAGGGTACAACAAGCCCAAGCCTATGCGTCTGCTTTGGAAGGCCAGCAGGGGCATAAACATCCTGACCCACACCCCCTCTCCCCACCACTCACTATTGGCCAGAGGGAAAGCAAGTCCAACGATTGGTCCATACAGAGTAAAGAAGGATGAGTGGCTGTGGAAGGACAAATGAAAGATATTGGGTACATGATATGTTTGGCAGTCCTGTGGAGATGGCTGCTAGATCGTTCCTGCTAGCCTCCCCTACAGTATTGCCAGTGAACGCTAGGCTTCCTGCCTGCTGCCCTACCTGCTCATTCTAGGTCTTGTGCACTCATGAACTGTGGAAGTTACTGCTTTGCATTCCAATTATTTGTTATCCCTTTTCCCCATAAGACAATGAGCTTTTTGAGGATGTCCATTTGTATCTGCTGCTCCCAGGATAATACCTGCATAATGAAAGATCGTGATTAGTGAATGAATGAACAGCCCCTTCCAGGTTCCTGTAAAATTCTGTCCCTCCATGTTAGATCTCCTTGACACCAACTCCTAGACAGGTAACAGGTACCTCCACAGCACAAGTTGGCTGACACACTGGCTGTCCTCCTAGTTCCTCAGATGGGCCCATCACAGGGTTCCTGTCCCACCTCTTGTCTGTCTCTAAGTCTCACTCTCTCCTCTTTTGCCACCTTAGAAACCTAGTTAAGACTGCCAAGCTATCCTAAGATAATTGCCTGGATTTTTATAGTCTTTGCTCAAAGTACTCTCACTTCTCAGAAATAGCAGATATATGGCCTTCCCCTTTGAGCTGTTCTACATCAAATTAGCACTCTTATCACTGTGTCTTAGAACCTTGGTAATACACACACATATATATATATCAGATACATCTCAAAGCCAACGAGACATGGTCTGTTGCTGCACTCAGTGCTTGAGGATGCTGGTGTTTCATGCTAACATGTGTCATTGTATAAACATTACAACCAGATCTCCTTTGGAGATATGAACCTAGCCTCTGCTTTAGCTGATGAAAATAACATACCAACTATCCAAGTATAAATGACATATTTCTGAAAAGAACAAACTACTTCATACTTATCAACTGCCATATCTAGCCCGTCCAGTATAGTAGCATGCTCAGCTTTTCAGTTCTGCCTTCAAAATGTGATAAATCTTCACTTTGGGGCAAAGAGTGCATCTCTGTATTTATCCAGAGAGAGAATTTAACTCTTGTCTACATGTTTTTAAAAAGGGAGGCGGGGAGAAGGAGGAAGAAAAAAGTAACAGATTGTGAAGGATTGATTGCTAAAGCAAAAAAATCAATCTTGAGACTTTCATGATATAACCAGCTACAAAAGCATAGAAATGTATGAGAAAGCCTTGATTGATTTTTAACTCTGTAATCCTTCCCACCCCATCTATTATCCTGTATGGATCATATTAGCCGTCATTATGACTAAGACAAGATAGGACGCTGACATCCGCCTGACATGATATAACTGTAAATGGAATCGGCTTATACACAAAGGCTTTTACCTGGTTATTAATAGTGTTCTCTGTGGGTGATAGACTGGACTGATATTAAAACCTCCCTCGGCTGTGTGGAGCCATTGCAATTTGATTTCAGTCCAAGAAGCAGCTCTTCAAGGTAGTTATTGCATAGTGCCCTGACAAACTGCCAGAGTATCATTCCTGGATACTCACCCTTTTAAGAGGCTCATAAAATACTAGGGGCAGATGACATCTTTTTGGCACTGAGGATCCCAAGCCAATACTGCTAAGCTGAAAGACACCAAGTATGTCCACAAATGCCTTGATGACATCCCTAATCTTCATCACCAGAAGTGTGATACAAAGTAGAGGAAGATTTAGGGAATATAGCTTCTCCAGTGTCATGCATTGTAGTAAAACATAGATGAATACATACCAAGATATTAATGTCACTTGGTGACTTTGCTTGTTTCATTTACCTTTGATGAATCAATGAAAAAATTTAGATCTTAAGGGCACCGTTTACCTTCTCAGCTCTCTGAGGCATCCAACCACTATTTCATTTCTAGCCACGCCAAATATGTTAAGAGGGAGTAAATTGGAAACAAATATTAGATGACTTGCCCAATATTACATAGAGATTTGGGAGCAGTTCCAGTTAGAAAATCTAGATTTTCCTTCTCTTATTCAACAAAATTCTTTTACTCAACAAATATTTACTGAACCCTTACTATGTACCAGATATTTTCTAGTGAGTAGAGAAAAAGCATTGAAAAAGTGGATGAAATACCTGTCCTCATGAGCCTTACACTGTCAACCTCAGAACATGGTTGGGAAACAATACTGGATATACAGTCATATATTATGTGGCCAAGCACCTGTGAACTCAAAGAACCTGACAGATTTCCTCACCCTACGCTAGCCTCCTTCTGTCCTTGAAACCAAACATGGCATCAAATTCTGAGTAACAACCTAAGAGACAAGTGGGCAGGCAGGGAATGGGAACACCTTTTATTAAAAACATTAACTCTTTCTTTTTGGAAACTTAAAAATATCTTCCCAGTTATAAGAAAAATAAATTAGAATATTCCTGTTTTGAAGAGTTACATTTGGCAATCAGTTGTGACAATTTAATGAGGTTTTAGACAGACAGATGGATGACAGAGCTTAAAACAGTGCCTGACATACAAGATTTCAATAAATGTAATCAATAAGGAGGAGAATGCTAACGATACATTCAGTCACCTGATGACATCTTATCATATTCACTCCCTCAATGAAATAGAAGCAGAAATGGTATAGGCATATTCCTATGCTATTTTATGAGTTCCTCCAGGTGCTATGACATTCCCACGAGTGAGCTGCATTTTCTTGGCCATGTAGTTTCTCCCCCTTGGACCAGCATTGCAGCCAGTGCTTAGCCAGGGCACCCTTCTCTCTTCTGCATCCCCTGATGGTCAGTCAGTTTCAGGACTTTTGATGTGATTCTCAAGATGAATCTTGGAAGCCACAGAGCGCCCGAATCAGGTGAGCCAGCTCACAGACACCAGAGTTCAAAGAAAAAATGCTCTGTCCAGAGACAGTCCTAGTTCTTTCTTGAAGTGATGCTCATCAATGGTCATAAGGTGCCATAGTGACCAGAGATTCTTAATCCACCCAAGCCTTGAGGGTGGAAGGAAAGGGAAGGCCTTACTATTACACACCTTGCCCAGAGATACACTGTGCTTCCATCTCATTTACAGTACATTGCCGATTACAGAAATGGTCATTATCTTCATTTATAAGCACCTAACCATAATGTATAATAATCAGGGTAAGGAAAGTTGTATTTTCCCAATACAGTTTGTGGAGACCAAAGCAACTCCATCTTGGATGCTCATCTTCCATGTTGGCTTCTGATTAAATCCAGCTCTGGGAAGGCCTCTACAATTTCCAGTTTATCTATTGCTCCTTGTGTAAGAACAGATACTTACTGTAAATCCTGCCCTTAAGCCAAACAGTCTTGATGTTATCGCACTTCAATTGTCCTATGCATCCTTTCTGAATCACCCTTTCCCTATACCATATAAGCCCTGCGTCTGAGGGGTAATGGTGTAGGGATCCACCATCTTGTCTCACTGCCACCTGAGATAGAGACATGGCTTCTGTTTGCCAAGTCCCTATTGAATGCTTATTTCTAAGAGACTGGATATGTTAGCTTTTATCTTTGGCCTCTCAGCTTCCTTGGCCTTGGGGAGGGAGGGGGGTAAGTTTGTTTAGGCCTGCCCACTGCAAAACATAGTCACATACAGATTTGATAGTAAACGCACACTGTTCATGTACGCCTAGACTCCCAGAGGAGTCATAATCGCCCATACACTACAAGCTCTTCTAGCCTAAAGCCCTGATTTTTCTAGAAAGATGGTCAGTCTCCATCTAAAGGTATTCCCCTGTTGCATTTTTTCAAAGTAATGCATACTTTCCCTTCTTATCCCTCATCACAGTCAATTATGTATGCAGGTGATGACTTCTGCCTCCTCCCCACCTACTATAAGCTCCCTGAAGGCCCTTTGTCCATTGGTACATGAGGACATAGCCCAGGACCAGGCACATAGTAGTCACTCAAAGAATAATTTTGGAGTGACAGAATGAATAAATGAAATGGTTTTGATTCACCAGAGTCAAGGGACCAGTTATATATTTGCTTGTTTTCACAGGGCCGCCCCCACATGTCACTAAAAACAGGTCCTTATTATCTCTCCTTTAGACCTTCTGCTGTGTTAACACCGTTAATGCAGACACCGACACTCAGATTAATGAAAGGAAGCAATTTATTGAACTGATATTTGGTGTAGATGTCATTAGCTGCGCTCCTTTGGAGCAACTGCATCAGATTAGACACAGTCTCTCCCTAAGAGCATGTAGAAAATCATTTAACTGCTTTTTCCCAGCTGTTTATGTGATGCCAACCCCCTATGAATTGTTGAATTGGTTCTGAGGCAACTGTGAACCTTCTATGATTGCTCTTCATTGATGCTGTTTTTGTCTCTTCTGAGAAATATATACTATAATAAATCATGCTGTTGCAGTTTTATTTTTTGTTGTTATTGTCTCCTTTCCTTCCATCTGCATTCAAGATATTAGAAAAGTTCCAATAATGAGACAAGGTCAATAGAGCTCCAAATAACTTGTCAACACGGTGACACCTGAAAGGTGATCTTGGAAACAGAATAAGGGCCTGGTGGGTTTGAGTGGTTTTACAAGTCTATGAGGAAATTAGGAACTTTTACAGATACTTGGAGTTGGAAAAGTCAAAGATATCCATTAGGCAACAAGGCAAGTTCTGAGAGAGCTCATACATATCCATTACCTTCCCAAGTTTCACCAATAAATGAGCAACAAATTAGCAGATGGTCTATAAGGCAGATGGCCCAGTTCCCTTCTAGAGCCAGTGTCACTTTTCCTAGGTTTTCATTCTCAGCTCCATTGATAAGACAGCTATTGACCCAACACCCTGAAACCCCCCACCCATTCTGAAATTCATTCCCTCCATTTCTTAGTGATCTTCCACTTCAATCCCATACCGCAGCCTGACTGACGAGAAGTCTTACAGACACCGCTGACCATGCTACTAGGCGACCTATTCCTTTATAACACTTTGAGTTGTTAGAAATTTACCTGGTGCAGTGGTGTGTGTGTGTGTGCCCGTAGTCCCAGCTACTCAAGAGGCTAAGGCAGTAGGATTGCTTGAGCCGGGGGGTTGGCAGTGGGGGAGGTTAGAATCAAGCCTGGGCAACATAGTGAGATCCTGTCTCTAACAATAATAACAAAAGCAACTGATCAACTGTTTGAAATTTCTGCACATTATATAGAAATTTTCTTCCTGAAAGCTTTGACTTGTTAGTCCTAGTTATGCCCTTTAGAGTTATACAAAATAACCAATCATTCTTTCCAAGTTACCTCCATCTAGGGTTGGATTTCCTTACCTTTTCATAATAAAACTTACAGTTTCTGAACCCTCTCCTTATGAATTATTGTCCAGTTGGCAAATGTCTTACTATTCAGTGGAATCATTTGTTTCTGAAATTGAAATATCTAGCCATGACATTACATGTAATATCACTAGGAGTCAAAGCCAAAGTATGCTCAGAGACACAGGTGGATGATATTTTCAGGCATCAGCCATGAAAAGCTGGCTGATTGATATTTCTCTGTGTAAAAGCTTCTTCCACTTTTTGAACTTGCATATATCACTATGGCCTTCTTGACCTTCACTGTTTGGCATTTGTTTCTCCTGAAATACAAATGATAATAATTAAGTAAGCACTTTAAATTGTATACTCTAGTAGATCTTCAAAGACTGTATTTCCCATCTGAGTCTAGTCTTCTGCTTTTATGCTCATGTATTCCTGGAGTTTGAGAATTAATACTAGCACAATTTGGCAAGTAGGAAAGAAAGGATGTTGTTGAAAATAAAGCTTTCACCTGGCAGTTAATACTATGGCACAAGCACACATTGAATAAAAATTATTGTTGGGAGGCCAAGGTGGGCGGATCACGAGGTCAGGAGATCGAGACCATCCTGGACAACATGCTGAAACCCTGTCTCTACTAAAATACCAAAAAAAAAAAAAAAATTAGCCGGTGTGGTGGTGCACACCTGTAGTCCCAGCTACTCAGGAGGCTGAGGCAGGGGAATCACTTGAACCCGGGAGGCAGAGGTTGCAGTGAGCTGAGATCGTGCCACTGCACTCCAGCCCGGCAACAGAGCAAGACTCTGTCTCAAAAAAAAAAAAATTATTGAAAAATATTCATTTCTCCCTGAAAGTCATAAACCAAGATTAATGGTTCATGTAACTAAAATCAATCCCCAAACAAAATCTTTTCCCCTAAACACCACCAGCACACATTAACAGACCACTTCCCTCACCCTATTATCTTTCACTGTTAGCATATTCCAAGTTTCTAGCCAGAAGTCGGAAACACTAAAACCCTTCCAGGAAGCCTGCACTAGTGAGATTTGCCCAGGCTTGACAGCACCAAGAAGTGACTAGAATAATCACATCATCCTTGTTTATCACCAGGTGGTTTATTCCTGGCCAAAGCCTAACACAGGTGCTCTTTTTAGCCAAAGTGAATGCTGAGTTCACATAGGCAACACTAGCCTCACAGAGAGAATAGCCAAGTCAAAGCCCCACAAAGGGAATGCTGTAGAGGTGGGTGCTTTACACTTAACCTAAGCACAAGTGCCTCATAGGAGCTGTCTGTTAAATGTATATCCGGAACAGAAAGAGCATCAAGGCATGGGCCGTGAAGGGAGAAGCTTGACAAAGGACAGATATTGAGAACTAATAGTATTTGTCCATCTCTTATGCTGTGTGTGAAATTTGAAATTTCCAATTAAAATTCTGAGGAATTAGAATAAATGAATGCAGCAAAATCCTTAGCATTTGCTGCTTTACTAATTTGATTTTTTTCTGCTATCCTTTGACAAAGACCACCTTCTTGACTTTATGGTTCCACTTGCTCACAATACATATTTTAATTAAAAAATGATTTGATTTGAACATCTGGAGTGGCCTAGTGAAAATAAATAGGTAAAATTTGGTAAAATTAGCTAAGTTTTACCTAATGCAAGAAATGTTAGCACTCAACAAAGAAAAGTCCAGGACCAGATGGCTTCACTGTTTTTATTTTTTGTATTTTTATTATTTGTATTCTATCATACTTTTAAGGAAGAACTTACACCAGTTCTTCTCAAACTGTTTCAAAAAATTGAAGAGGAGGGAATTCTTGAAAACTTATTCTATAAGGCCAACATTATTACCCTGATACCAAAACCAGACAGGGACACAATAAGAAAAAAAAAAAAAACTATAGCCTATATTCCTGATGAACACAGATGCAAAAATTCTAACAAAATCTAGCAAACTGAATCCATGAATACACCAAAAAGATTAGACAACACAATCAAGGGGAATTTATCCCAGGGATGCAAGGATGGTTCAACACATACAAATCAGCAAAACATGGTACATCACATCAACAGAATGAAGGATACAACCATGTGATCATCTCAAGAGATGCAGAAAAAGCATTTGATAAAATTCAACATCCTTTCATGATAAAAACTCACAACAAATCAGGTGTAGAAAGACTAATAAATACTTATTTGTGGGGGCAGAAAAAGTTGAGCTCATTAGCTTGGGCAACATGGTGAAACCCTGTCTCTAGAAAAAATGCAAAAAAGTCACCTGGCATGATGGTGTGCACCTGTGGTCCCAGTTACTCAATAGGCTGAAGTGGGAGGATTACTTGAGCCTGCGAGATAGAGGTTGCAGTGAGCCAAGAACGCACCATTGCACTCCAGCCGGGATGACAGAGGGAGATTCCATCTCAAAAAACAAAACAAAACAAAAAACAAAAAAACAAGTTGAGCTCCTGGAAGTAGACAGTTAAATTGTGGTTACTAGAAGCAAAGAAAAGTAGAAAGGAGGGGGGTGTAAAAAGAGGTTGGTTAATGAATAGATAAATCTACAGCTAAATAGGAGGAATAAATTCTAGTGTTTTATAGTATTAATACTATAGGGTGACAATAGTTAACAATAACTTATTCTATATTTTCAAATAGCTAGAGGAGAGGAATTGTGAATGTTTCCAATACAAAGAAATGTTAAATGTTTGAGCTGGTGGATATGCTAATTGCCCTGATTTGATCATTACACATTGTATACTAGTGTTGAAATATCACTCTGTACCCCATAAATAAGGGCAATCATTATATGTCAATTAAAAACAAAATTTTTTAAAAAAGAAATGTTAGAAGAGGATATAAACAGATATTTCACATTCGTTTGAAGCAATATTCTAGCCATTGCACTAATAAAAATATTCCAGTGTATTTCTAATTGTTACTTAGTACAAGCCATCATTAAATCAAAAAGGAGGTAGGGATGAGATAAATAAAATTAATGAATCCAAAATTAGGTCTGTTGATAATATGCTTTCTCAGTCCAATTCAAGATAAATCAGGAGTCCAATTTTTATCCCTTCTCTTAATTAGGGAATCGGGGTACAGGTATGACAGAATGACATGTATAATTTTTTTTTCTTTTTTTTTCTTTTTCCCCATTCTTTCCCGGTTTTCTTCATCCTCTTCTATAAAGGGGGCTGTTTTTGAAGGACTTAAGAAAGAGAAGCTTTGAACATATGTTGGTGTATCAAAGTTAGACTCTGAGAGAAGATCAACATTGGCAGGAAAAAACTCTGTCTTGTAGATCTTATACTCTGAAACTGAAAGACACAAGCCCTCCTTAAGTGACACAGAGAACCTAAACAAACCTGATAGAGTCCCTCCAGGCGAAGTCAGCAACCTGGAAGGAGAGCAGAGGGTTAGAAATAGGCTAATGCAGTTGTAGAGAGGAAAACTGGAAGAGAGACCAGAAAGAGAAGGTAATTTCCACATCCTTCTTCTAAGATGAGGTTAGATGGACTAATGGGACAAGGAGAAAAACATTTACTGACAATCTCTAGGCATATTATGAGGTATAATTGTCCAAGGCTAAAATTTTTTATCAACCATACCCATATACTGCCCACCCCAGTTATTATAGACATAAATAAGGAGTTCATTCTTTGATTCAACAAATATTTATTGGGCATCTACTGTGTATGTGCCAGACACTGTCCAAAGTGCTGTGATACAACTGTAAACAAGATAGGAAAAAAATATCTGCCCTCCACATATACACTATGGAATACTATGCAGCCATAAAAAAGGATGAGTTCATGTCCTTTGCGAGGATATAGATGAAGCTGGAAACCATCATTCTCAGCAAAATATCACAAGGACAGAAAACCAAACACCGCATGTTCTCACTCATAAGTGGGAGTTGAACAATGAGAACACATGGACACAGGGAGGGGAACATCACACATGGGGGCCTGTTGAGGGGTGGGGGGCTGGGGGAGGGAGAGCGTTAGGAGAAATACCTAATGTAAATGACAAGTTGATGAGTGCAGCAAACCAGCATGGCACATGTATACCTACGTAACAAACCTGCACATTGTGCACATGTACCCTAGAACTTAAAGTATAATAAAAAAAAATCTGCCTTTGTGGAGCTTATATTCTTGGAAGAAAAAGATAAACAAGCTAAATAAGAAAAATATAAAAATAGTATACGAGATGGTAATAAAGGTGATAAGGAGGAAAAGAAAGCCATTTTGTATAGAGAAGCTAGAAAAATTTCACATAGTAAGTAATGCAGTAGAACACTCATTCTTAGCAGGAGAAAGAAGATTAAATGAAGTTATGGAAGTATATTTGTCCTTAAAGAAATAAATGGGTAAATGAACAAACAAACAACAAAAGGAACACTACCCTGGACCACATTCCCCAAAGCTTCCCAACAGAAACTACAAAGGCAGTTTATTTTCTTTTGCACCAAAGACTCATGTTCAGCTGTGTTCCATGCCTCTGCCCAAGTTGATCGGAACAGTTCACCCTTTCCCCACTAACTCCCTACAAAATTATTCTAATCTCCTATCTCTAGGTTAAGTGTTCTTTCCTCCCTGAAGCCCTGCCCCAATAAAAATAATGTCTCACATTCACCTAGCACTTCCCAATTTGCAAAGTGCCTCCCACATACTAGCCTCCATAACGATCCTGAGAGGTGGGCATGATCATCACTTTTGTACAGTGGAGGAAACTACGACATGGGGAATGTAAGTGACTTCAAGATTGAACGACTAGAACTGAGACCAGGATGTTCTTAACCTAGCCTGTTCTGTAGACTTGAGGAAGGGTGGAGTCGTGGGGAGAGCACAGGTTCAAATCCTGGACATTTCACTCACCAGCCTGTGCAACTAGTTCAGGTTGCTTAACTTGTCTGCACCCTAGTTTCTTCATTTACAAAACAGGATAATGAGACACAAAAGGCAGGTTTGCCATAAAGATAGACTGTGAGGCCCATCCCAGTGCCTGGAACCTGGCGGACACTAGACTCTCAGTCACCTCCTGCCCTCTCCCTTCTCCCACCCCCATGCCACAGCTTTCATTATAACTGCTCTCCTAGCTTACAGGGACCTTCTCTCCTCCACACTTAGAGAGAAATTGTGATCTATGCCACACAACTTGGTACTTACTCAAAAGTTCATTAAGATTCTTTTTTATAAGGGACTAAAGCCCAGGTCAAATTGCTAAATACAAAAAGGACACTTATTAGTTCCAATAACTGAAAGCAGCGGAGACAGGCAGAACTTCATCTGCGTGAGCTTGATCTGGATACTCATTTGTCATTGGGGCTCTGCCTCCATTTCCTTGTGGTTTTCCTCTGGCTCTGCCTTGGCCCATGCTCGGGCCTCATTCCCAGGCTGGCTCCCATCATGACAGCACGATTTACCCCAGCATTCCCAGCCTTCCTATCTGTGTGCTGCACTGACAAGCAGAAGAGAAGGTCTGAGTCCCAGCTTTCCCAGAAAATATTCTGCAAATCCCAGTTTCAATCACAATCCGCCCTCCTGGCCCCTGCCTTGACCCCCCGCAGCAAATCACTGTGGCTGGGAAATGAACCGAGCTCTTAGTCTTAGCCTGGGTTGTGCCTTCACCCTGTAACCCAACCCAGCTCCAATCCAGACATGGAGTCACTGCCCAGAAACCACTTGGATACCCATGTGGACTGTGGAGTCCACAGATATTTCAAGAGATTTGATGGCAGCCTTACCAGTCCACAGGACCCAGATCTTCTGAGGGCTTCTGTAGCCTGAATCCTAGGCCCGGCCCCAATCAGGTTAGTTCCTTGAAGTTGTACGCTTCCACCCCATAGCTAAAATGGCCCCTTTTGTAGGAATCCAGAATACATAAAATTGCAAGGGATTGGATTCTGCCCCTAAATTGATTTTATACCCTTGAAAGTTTTCTACTATAGCATGTGTGAGTGTGTGTGTGTGTGTGTGTGTGTGTATAAATTGTGATTAGATAAGGCTCTAAAGAACAGTTTTATAGTCACTCCACCCATTTGGCTTTCCATAGAAATAAAATCCTTCATTATGGCAATGACCTTCAACGAAGGTTAAGTACGCAAACCTCAGTTTTAAAAAAAACTGTTTTTAACTGCTTTTATCTTTGAGCCTTTGAAGTAGAAAGTAAAAAAAATCAAATATTTTATTTTTGACATCTTCAAGGAAGGTATATGTAAATAGGAAACATACATAAAATCCCTGAGCACAAACAGAAAACAAATGATTAAATATAATGACAATTGCAGAAATATAGATTGAAGGTAAAATAGATTAAGGATGCTGCCCTTTGATGCCACTTTCTGTCAATAAGGCATAAGATAAATTTGTGAGCCTCATATTTCTCTGATCCACAGGTTAAATTTGCCATCCTGTAATTCCTTGTCACCATTTCAAATATCAAGCTAAACATCGTGTATTTCTCTGGGGTATTCACAACCTTCAGAGAGTAGTTGATAGTGATCACATTTCTTCTGAAGTCTTTGTTGATCCAAGAATACATATTTTGTTGTGTAAGTCTTCATAAATCAGTCTTTCCGCCCGTTTATCATCCCTGTTACTTTTCTCTGAACACTCTCCAGTATGTCTCCAACTTGCTAATAATGAGGTTCCCAGACCACAATGCATCATTCCCAGCTCAGTCTCTCTCCTTGTGCAGAGATGGACTTTGCCTTTTGGCTTCCTGACTCACTGTTTCCACTGACTAAGTTCATATGCTGCCAGATCATATATGAACCCGTGATTCATTTGCTACCCATTACAATGCCTGGGAGAACCCAAGCACTTCCCTAAATAGGTCAATGCCTGATGTACTAGGTGCCCAGAAAAGTTCTTTAAATAAATGAATAAATAAAAGCATGAACTTCCCTGTTGTGTCTTTAGTATACCAAAACATTTATTACAAAAAGAACAAATGAAAAGGAATATGCAACCTGTGTTGACAGTGGGGACAAGGGAACAGAGGTAACACATGAGAATCATGCATGGATGCTTTGGCCTGTACCATTCAAACGTTTCTACCAATTTGATTTGATTTAGACATATTTCATTTTCATTTAGCACAAGACAAAAGGAAGTTCAGAAAACTAAGGTATTTCACCACAGCAACTGAACAGTTGAATTACAACTGAGAACGTATCTGGAGTCTAAAATTCTAGTGCCCAATGTAGACTGCAGAGTAGAACAATCTGAAAATACCATTAGTAAAGTCCTTGTAGTTCCTGGGAATCAGTTCCTACATCTTCAGCTAAAATACTTGAGGCATGGGTTCTAACTGTGATTTTTTGCCTCAAGGGCTTTCCCTTTCTACTCATAATAACAGGATGCAAGAGGGTGGAAAAGGGAGAGGAGCAGAGCTAATCTGGTTTCTTGCTCTCTTGACCCCAATTACACTAGTGGTAGTGACAGTGACAGTAATAGTAGTAGTAGCTGCTCTTATTATTGAGTACCTGCTGTATGTCATGGACTCTGCTTAACCCTTCACATAATGTTATTTCATTAATAGCCAATTAAAATATGCACATTACCTCAATTTTACTTTAAGGAAACGGAGTCCCAGAAAGATTAAATGTCTAAGGATCACGCAGCAGAGTTAAGGTGCTATTTCAGCTCTGGGAGACTGCACCCCACTCTTCTGCCCTAGCACAGACTCTTTCCTTGGTTTCAATACTATACCAAGCCTGACATGTCATGCCTGACAGCCACTCCCATTTTCTGGTTCCTCTGAACTTCTCCTTAAGGACCCTTAATCAAAACTAACTGAGAAGTAAGGGGGGGGGGTGGGGGGGAACATTAGCTAAGAGGAACCTCTTAGCTAAACTTAGAAAAATTTGGAGTTTTCAAAAGGATCTTCTCTCCAGGAAATTAAGAAAAACAACAAACCATTAAGCATGTCATGTGCTAATAGGACCAGCCTAGTATAAGGCCATGTAAAAAGGCATTGAAATCTGCTAGTGTGATCCCAGCCTGGCCACAGATGCCCATGGCAGCCCAGTTTCCAGGCACTTGCCCTCATCTCCAATCTGTCTTTCTACCTTGGTCAGTTTGTTCCATTGCATGTGTACACTGATGGCCCCTGGCCAGAACTGAGCATATCAGATCAATACAGCAGTACACAGTACTGTGATTAAACACTGCAATGAAATGCTTGGTAAAAAACAAAAAACAAAAAACAAAACAAAAAAAACTCCCCAAATGACTCCTCTTTAAGAAAATAATCAAAAATAATTAAAGCAAAAAGCAAGACCAAATACTCTTCTCTGTTGGTTAATTCATTCCCCCTCTAATTATCTGTACATTCTGCTCTCTTTATGCTGCAACTCCAAACCAACAAATACTTGGGTTGAAAATTTTTAAAGAAGTAAATTCTTCATATAATTCCACAGGTCATGCGAAAGACCCATAATTTCATGGACATAGTACTGGAAAGGAAGTGAGAAGATTTGGTAAATATGTGTCTCACCACTTTGTTAGCAGGGACTATAAAATAATGATTTTTGAAAGCCCCCTTGGATATATAAAGCATTCTACAGTACTCATGAAATATTGGTTGAATTGGTTGAACCGACCTTAGGTAAACCTCTCCATATTTCCAAGCTTCAGTTTCTACATCTATAAAACAGAAACTAATAATAACTTTCTTGTCATACATGACTATTGTGGGGCTCCCAACAGGAAAATATATATGAAAGCATTTTTTAAACAATAAAGCATCATACAAAAGTAAGTTATGAAGAAAGGGAGATGCGCTCTAATTGTGCAAATAACATGGGCATTGTGCCAGCAAGCAAGTTAAAAAGTTAATAGCACTTTTTGCTATTTATCCAGATGTTTGGACACATTCTAACTATAAATCCAAAGTGGTCACTGGCAAACATTCAGACTGTTAAAGGACTGCTAGAAGGAACAACATGAGTGTTCTCTGTGTCTCCTGGGCCCCAAGGAGGGAAGGGAAGTTTCTGCATAGTCATTCCATCTCTAACAGAAACCACAACTCCTTGGAGCCCCAAAAGGAAACCAGTGCAGATGTCAAATATTTTGCTATGATGCTGAACTGAATGAACCTACACAAGGGTTAAATCTTTGTTTTTTCACAGGGAATAAGCCCTTTAGATCTTATACGTTAACCCCACTTCTACAGCAATCGAACCAAGGCAAAAATGTGCTTTTGCAAATATTTTTGAAAGATCTGACTAAGCCATTTTTAGATGTTTTTCAGTCTTCATGTGCCTTTCCCTCCCACAGAGCACAATTAAAAAGGCACCTTTAAAAGGCTATTTAAAAACATTGATTGGCTTAACTGTGCTAATGTCATGGCTTTAAAATAAAATTCTATTAAGTCTTTAAAATATTGCAGACAAGTACTTTGCAGCAGAAACTCAGGACAACCATCCTGAGGCTTCTGTTATTCACAGATATTTAGTTACTTCAGGTTAGTTCATCTTTCTTATTATGTTTTGTCTTTCAATTTGTGTAGTCTTATGACAGTTTTCAGGACATAATTGCCTTGATGCATACTAGAGCCTAGAGTACCTAGCAGCCACATTTCCCCAAGTCACTACGGTGAATTCATGAAGACAGACGCATTATGCTGGCTGGCACTGCGTTGCTATCAATACGTAAGGAGACAATGGTGTTCTTTCCTTACATTTAAATGCTAAACATTACAGAGTACCTCACCCTCCAAGAACTGTCCCAGGGATTATTTTAGATCTTGGTGAAGTATGTGTGTCCTTTTTTGACTCTGAATCACTCTTGTCTCTAGAGAAACTCAGGGGCTCAACATACACATGTAAAATTCTTTTCTTCTCTTCTGTATTTCCATTCTTGCTGTTTTTATGCTAAACTACAGACTTCCCCTTCTATCCATAATGTGCAAGGCAAGTTCAAGAAAGGGAACCTCAGAAAAAGATCTCATTTAAGTTTATAGTTAGTTCAACATCACAGTTTTGGTTGACTCACACCAGGTGGTGACCAGGTGTCCTGATAACATTCCACCTAGCTAGGAAGCAGAGTGAGAACAGCACAAGGGCTAACACATATAAAGGTATTTGTAAACTGCCCTTTATTTTAGGAATGTTAGGTATTTGTTATTATTGCTGCTGCTGATGGTGGTGTGATGATGATAATGATATTGACTGACTTGGGTTTGTTGTTAAAGTCAGATTTGCTCAAGAATCAAGCAGACTCCATTAAGACTCCACAGAAACCATGAAGTACATGAAGCTATCCTGTGAGTTATGTGTCTTACGTGTAAGCTGCTAGGAGACAGCTTTATGAGTTACTATGCAGATCCAGCTAAGAATATGATAATGAATGAGTTACGACGTTTAGCAATTTCTCCACAGCTCAAAGTCTGAGATTCACAGACTTGGGAAAGGAACCTCCAGGCCATGACTTCCCCTGAAGAAAATGTCAAAGTTAAGAAAGGTCCTCATCAACTCCCCTCCAGGGTTACCTTCCCTTGAGTCTCCGTCCTCATTCATTTTCTCCTCCATCCCAGGTGTGGACGTACCTTCCCACCCTCCTAAGCCCAAGTTGGTTCGTCAGAAATGATCAGTTTATGCAATATTTAGGAATATTGTTCAGTTTACTCTATCCACAGTTCTACACTCTACTGAGGTAACTTACTGTTAGTAATGAGGCCCACAGAAGGACTAATTAAATATTCCTTCCCTTTATAAAACAAAAGAAAACATTTGCTGGTATTATATAAATAATAGCTTTTTCCCCAATGTTTCCAAATGCTGAATGGACCAGCGTGGGAAGAAGAGAGCCTGGGATAGGCCAAGGCAAGATGCAGTAGGCAGAGAATAAGACCTACTGCCAAGATGCCTCTTCCCAAGCCTCAACCATGGGGGTTTGGGGAGACTCCCAGCCTGGTCAAGTGAGTGTCGGAACTCTCTGGGACTGCCTGGGATTCCTCACATTCATCTTTCTGCACTCTGGGTCCCTCTGCCTTGGCTCTTTCTCCCTCTGGCCCCTCCCACTCATCTTTGCAGACCAAACCCAGGGTCATTCATCTCTAAGAATGTCACCTGCTGTGGCATCAACCTCACTTCCTAGGAATACCTAGAAACTTTGAGCTTGTCATCCTGATTCATATTTCTACTCATAGCCATACCTGGCTCACTAGTTTGTTAGCAGAGACTACCAAATAATTACTAATGAAAGCCCTCTGGGATGAAGTGCTCATATCAGTTGAATTTGTTGAACCAATGTTGGGTAAACTTCTCCATGTTTCCAAGCTAAGACCCAGTGTATGCCAATAATTTGGCACCTTCAAACATATATTCTTTAAATATTGGGTTTATTATTTATTCAGTGACATCATCAAGAAAAACTGTCTATTAATAATATTATTATTTATGCTTAAAATAAGGAATATGCTTAGGAAATATAGTATTTAGACATATTTGGAATTATTTTTTATTCTACCCTCTCATTATCATAGATAACTGGATAGTACTGGTGTATTAATTTTCTATTGCTGCCATGACAAATTACCAACATTTAGTGGCTTACACAATACATATGTATTATCTTACAGCTTTGTAGTTCAAACCTCCAACACAAATCTTATTGGGCTAAGATTAAGTTGTCAACAACTGTATTCCTTCCTGGAGGCTCAGGGGGAGAATCTGTTTTCTTGCCTTTTCCAACTTCTAGGGGCTACTAACATTCCTTGGCTCACAGCCCTGTTTTTCCATCTTCAATGCCAGCAATGGTGGACTGAGTCTTCACAAAGCCATCTCCCAGGTTCTCCGTAGCAAGGAATGGTTCTCCATTTTGGGGGACTCATGTGATTAGGCCCACTTGGATAATCCAGGATAATCTCACCCATCACAAGATCCTTAGCCTTTATGATATCAGCAAAGCCCCTTTTGCCACGTCAGGTAATATATTCATAGGTTCTGGATAGTAGGGGGTATATTAGGCTGCTCTTGCATTGCTATAAAGGAATACCTGAGGCTGGGTAATTTATAAACAAAAGGGGTTTAATCAGCTCACAGTTCTGCAGGCTGTATTGCAGACAAGCACTTTGCAGCAGAAACTCAGGACAACCATCCTGAGGTGTCTGTTATTCACGGATATTTGATTACTTTAGGTTAGTTCATCTTTCTCTCATGTTTTGTCTTTCAATTTTTTTGGTCTTCTGATAGTTTTCACAAAATAACTGCCTTGATCCATACTAGAAGCAAGTACTTAGCAGCCACATTTCCCCAAGTCACCATAGTGAATTCATGAAGACAAATGCATTATGCTGGCTTGCACTGTGTTGCTATGAATACATAAGGAGACGATGGTATTCTTTCCTTACGTTTAGATGCTAACATCACAGAGTACCTCACCCTCAAAGAATTGTCCCAGGGGTTATAAGCATGGCACCAATATGTACTCAGCTTCTGGGGAGGGCTTCAGGAAGTTTGTAATTATGGTGGGGGGCAAAACCAGAGCAAGCACATCACATGGTGAGAGTGGGAGCAAGAAGGATGTGAGGGAGGTCCCGACTTTTCAACAACCAGATCTTGCATGAACTAACTGAGCAAGAACTCACTCATCACCAAGAGGGTGGTGCTAAACTATTCATGAGGGATCCGCCCCATGATGCAATCACCTTCCACCAGGCCCCACCTCCAACACTGGGAATCACATTTCAACATGAGATTTGGAGGGTACAAACATCCACACCGTATCAGGGGGTATACATCTTAAGGGACCATTATTCTGCCAACCACTATTTGCTTTCCCCACTTGCTTGGAGTGGATGTAACCAACATGGGTAAAATTGCCAAGTAGCCGTGATGGGATTAAGAACTATTTTAACAATCTCCTAGTTGGACTCATGTGTTCCTGGCCTTCCCTTACTCTAATCCATCCCATGCTGTTGCCAGATGACTCTTCAAAAACACAGGTTCAATTTGGCTATTTTCTGTTCAATATCCTCCAGTGACCTATATGACTTCTCAAAGTATAAAACATTCTCTGAAATGTAATGATGATAAGACAGTTATCTAGGTATCTCTCATGAATTATCAAACAGTCTTTACAACAGCCCAAATAGGTTGCTGCTTTTACTGTCCCCAGTTTATGGAAGAGCTCACAGAAGATAAAACAGGTTCAGAGAGGTTGGGTAAATTTCCCTAGCCCCAATATCCTTTATACTCTCATTTGAATGTTGACAAACTATGGCCCACAGCACAAGCTAAATCTGGCCCACTGTCTATTTCTGTACAACATGCAAGCTAAGAATTGCTTTTACACATGAGTGTTTTGATCTATGTGATGAAAAGGAACACTAAGGTTGAACCCCAATGAAGTAAAACGTTATCTCTCCCAAAAGAGAAATTCATACTTCTTAGTAGACATATATTACAAAAAAAATTGTACTTAAATATTACCTGTATTTCATCAATAACAAATTTGTGGACATTTCCATTCTCTTTTATTATATAAGCACCTACATAATATCGTCAATATTTGCCTCTTGACCTACAAATCCTAAAATATTTACTATCTGGCCCTTTACAGAAAATGTTTGCCAGCCCCCTCTCTAGCCAATTGTTTTTCAAATTTGAGTAAAATATATATACTCCTTCTAAAGGAAATATATTATTTCACATGCCCAATGTTGAATTAAATCATATCATTACAATGTTACTAAATATGATCAAACATGAACTTGATAAAAGAAAAAAACTCATGCTTATCGCTCTTAAAGAACTACAAATCAAAAATTATTTATGAATTAAATACAAATAGGCTTACAAAACCAGTAAAATTCAAGTAACATCAACTTGGTGTACTTAATCATGGTGTTCTAATTCAACTCACAGCACTGTGAGAATGATTTACACGGCTCAGCACAGATGATAAGATGGCCATATACAACCGGAATATGAAAAGGTGCTCAACATCATTAATCATCAAGGAAATGCAAATCAAAACCACTATGAGATACCACCTCACACCCCTTAAAACAGCTATCACCAAAAAGTCAAAAAATAACAAGTATTGGTGAGGGTGTGAAGAAAAGGGAACTCTTTTACACTGTTGATAGGAATATAAATTCGTACAGCCATTATGGAAAACAGTATGGAGATTTCTAAAGAAATTAAAAATTGGACTACCATAAGACCCAGCAATTCCTCTTCTGTGTATATAGCCAAAGGAAAAAAATCACCTCCTCTTAAGATATCTGCACTTCCATGTTGATTGTAACATTATTCACAATAGCCAAGATAGGGAAAAAAACTTAAGTGTCCATTGACAGATGACTGGATAAAGAAACTGTGATATACAAGCATATCTCATTTTATTGCTCTTCACTTTTCCACTTCACAGATATTGCTTTTTTTTTTTTTTTTTTTTTTACACTTTGCAGGATTATGGTAACCCTGTATTGAGCAAGTCTATCGGCACCATTTTTCCAACAGCATGTGCTCACTTCGTGACTCATTATTATAATTCACATACTATTTCAAACTTATATTATTATATCTGTTATGGTGATCTGGGATGAGTGATTTTTGATGTTACTATTATTATAACCACTTAGGGGCACTACAGTGTTTGTATAAGATGGTAAATGTAATCAATAAACGTTGTATGTGTTCTGACTACTCCTCCAACCAGCCTTTCTTCTGTCTCTCATAAGGATTTCCCAATGCCTGGGACACAACAATATTGAAACTAGGCCAGTTAATAACCCTACAATGGCCTCTAAGTGTTCAAGTGAAAGAAAGAGCCATAAGTCTCTCTCTCTTTTCATTGAAAGCTAGAAATGATTAAGCATAGTGAGGAAGGCACATGGAAAGCCAAGACAGGTCGAATGCTAGGCCTCTTGTGTCAAACAATTAGCCAAGTTGTGAATGCAAAGGAAAAGTTCTTGAATGACATGTAAAGTATGACTCCAGTGAACACATGAATGATAAGAAAGTGAAATGGCCTTACTGCTGATAGGAAGAAAGCTTTTTATGGTCTGGATAGAAGATCAAACTAGCCACAATATTCCCTTAAGCTAAAGCCTAATTCAGAGTAAGGCCCTATTTCTCTTCAATTCTTCGAAGGCTGTGAGAGGTGAAGAAGCTGCAGAAGAAAAGTTTGACGCCAGCAGAGGTTGGGTCATTAGATTTAAGGAAAGAAGCCATCTCCATAACATAAAAGTCCCAGGTGAAGCAGCAAGTGCTGATGTAGAAGCTGCAACAAGTTCTCCAGAAGATCTAGCTAAGACCATTGATGAAGGTGGCTACACTAAACAACAGATTTTCACAAAACAGCCTTCTATTAAAAGAAGATGCCATCTAGAATTTTCGCAGCTAAAGAGGAGAAGGCAATTTCTGGCTTCAAAGCTTCAAAGGACAAGCTGACTATCTTGCCAGGGGCTAATGCAGCTTGTGACTTTAAGTTGAAACCAATCTCCATTTACCATTCCAAAGATCCTGGGTCCCTTAAGAGTTATACTAAATCTACTCTTCCTGTGTTTTAGAAATGCAACAACAAAACCTGGTTGACAGCATATCTGTTCACAGCATGGTTTCCTAAATTTTTTAAGCCCACTGTTGAGACCTATTGCTTAGGAAGAAGAGTCCTTTCAAAATGTTACTGCTTATTGCCAACGCACCCAGTCACCCAAGAGCTCTGATGGAGATGCACAAGGAGATTCCTGTGGTTTTCATGTCTGCTGTCACATCGATTCTGCAGCCCATGGACCAAGGGGTAGTTTTGACTTTCAAGTCTTACTACTTAAGAAACACATTTTGTAAGGCTATAGCTGCCATAGATAATGATTCCTCTGGTGGATCTGGGCAAATTCAATTGAAAACCTCTGGAAAGGATTCACCATTCTAGGTGCCATTAAGAACACTGTGATTCATGGAAGGCAGTCAGAATATCAACATTAACAAGAATGTGGAAGACGTTTATTTCAACCTTCACGGATGTCTTTGAGGGGTTCAAGACTTCAGTGGAAGAAGTAACTATAGATGTGGAAATAGCAAGAGAACTAGAGTTAGAAGTGGAGCCTCAAGATATGACTGAATTGCTGTAATCTCATGATCAAGTTTGAATGGATGAAGAGTTGCTTTCATGGGTGAGCAAAGAAAGTCGTTTCTTGAGATGGAATCTATTCCTGGTGTAGATGCTGTAAACATTATTGAAATGACAACAAAATATTTAGAATATTACATAAACTTAGTTGATAAAGCAGCAGCAGGATTTGAGGGAATGGACTCTAATTTTGAAAGAAGGTCTACTGTGGTTGAAAAGCTATCAAACAGCATCACATGCTGGACAGAAATCTTTCATGAAAGGAAGAGTCCATTGATGCAACAAATTTCATTGTTGTCTTATGTTTTATAAGATATTTTGTATTTTGCCACAACCACCCTAACCTTCAGCAACCACCTGATCGGTCAGCAGCCATGAACATTGAGGCAAGACCCTCCACCCACAAAAAGAAGATGTCTTGCTGAAGGCTCAGATGATTGTTTGCAGTTTTTAGCGGTAAAATATTTTTAATTATGTACAATTTTTAGACATCATGCTATTGTACAATTAATAGACTACAGTACAGTGTCAACATACCTTTTATATGTATTGGCAAGCCAAAAAATGTGTATTACTCACTTTATTGCAATATTTGCTTTACTGCAGTGATCTGGAACTCAACCTGCAATTGTATTCCTATACATAAAACAGAATACTGTTCAGCCGTAAAAACAAACAAGCTTTGCCACAACACGAATGAGCCTGGAGAACATTATGCTAAGTGAAATAAATCAAACACAGAAAAAAAATATTGCATGATCTCACTTTGAAATCAAAAAAGTGGAAACACTTTAAATATACAGAGATAAAGAATAAAACAGTGGTTACCAGGGGTGAGGGGGAGAGAAGGAATGAGGAGATGTAAGTCAGAGGATCCAAAGGAGCAGATATGTCAGATGAACAAGTCTAGAGAACCAATGTGCAATGTGAAAACTATAGGGAATAATATTGTATTGCATTTTGGATTTATGCTAAATGAGTATATTTTAGCTGTTCTTGCCACAAAAACAAGTAAGTGGTAACCATATTAAGAGGTGACAGCGTGCTGGCAGCCCTCGCAGCCCTCACTCGCTCTCGGGGCCTCCTGGCCTTGGCGCCCACTCTGGCCGTGCTTGAGGAGCCCTTCAGCCCGCCGCTGCACTGCGGGAGCCCCTTTCTGGGCTGGCCAAGACCGGAGCCGGCTCCCTCAGCTTGCTGGGAGGCGTGTAGGGAGAGGTGCCAGCAAGCAGGAACCGGGGCTGCGTGCAGCGCTTGCGGGCCAGCTGGAGTTTTGGGTGGGTGTGGGCTTGGTGGGCGCTCCACTGGGAGCGGCCGGCCGGCCCTGCCAGCCCAGGCAATGAGGGGCTTAGCGCCCGGGCCAGCGGCTGCGGAGGGTGTGCTCGGTCCCCGAGCAGTGCCGGCCCACTGGCCCTGCGCTGGATTTCTCGCCGGGCCTTAGCTGCCTCCCCGCGGGGCAGGGCTGGGGACCTGCAGCCCACCATGCCTGAGCCTCCCCCAACTCCGTGAGCTTCTGTGTGGCCTGAGCCTCCCCGACGAGTGCCGCCCCCTGCTCCAAGGCGCCCAGTCCCATCGACCATCCAAGGGCTGAGGAGTGTGGGCGCACGGCACGGGACTGGCAGGCAGCTCCACCTGCGGCCCTGGTGTGGGATCCACTGGGTGAAGCCAGCTGGTCTCCTGAGTCTGGTGGGGACTTGGAGAACCTTTATGTCTAGCTAAGGGATTGTAAATACACCAATCTGCACTCTGTATGTAGCCCAAGGTTTGTAAACACACCAATCAGCACCCTGTGTCTAGCTCAGGGTTTGTGAACGCACCAATTGACACTCTGTATCTAGCTACTCTGGTGGGGACTTGGAGAAACTTTGTGCCCACATTCTGCATCTAGCTAATCTAGTGGGGATGTGGAGAACTTTTGTGTCTAGCTCAGGGATTGTAAACGCACCAATCAGCACCCTGTCAAAATGGACCAATAAGCTCTCTGTAAAACAGACCAATCAGCTCTCTGTAAAATGGACCAATCAGCAGGACGTGGGTGGGGCCAGATAAGAGAATAAAAGCAGGCTGCCCAAGCCCGCAGTGGTAACCGGTGGGGTCCTCTTCCACACCGTTAAGGCTTTGTTCTTTCACTCTTTGGGTCCACACTGCCTTTATGAGCTGTAACACTCACGACAAGGGTCTGCAGCTTCACTCCTGAAGCCAGCGAGACCACGAACTCACCGGGAGAAAGGAACCACGCCAGACGCGCCGCCTTAAGAGCTGTAACACTCACCCTGAAGGTCTGCAGCTTCACTCCTGAGCCAGCGAGACCACAAACCCACCAGAAGGAAGGAACTCCGAACACATCCAAACATCAGAAGGAACAAACTCCAGACACGCCGCCTTTGAGAACTGTAACACTCACCGTGAGTGTGTGAGGCTTCATTCTTGAAGTCAGTGAGACCAAGGACCCACCAATTCTGGACACGTTATGAGTTGACAGCTGTATTAATTTGTTTTACCTGAGTAACCTTTTAACTATCTTTAGGTATCCCATAACATTATGGTTGTGTACCTTAAATACATACAATAAATTTTATTTAAAATAAAATGGCTATACAGATGGCTCAAAATATGTTCATGTTCATTATCTTGTGGTTATTAAAGCAAAACTAAATTAAAATAATGTAATAATTAGCTTATAATCAAAGCTGCCTTAATAATACCTACATGAACCCAGAGAAGTTCACAGACCCCTAATTTGAGAAACACTTCTCTAACTAATAAAAATTGTTTGCAGTTGCCCTAAACATGCTTCATGCAACTCTTTGTGTCTCTGATCCTACTGTTTCCTCCTCCTGGCTCTAATCACCTGCAAAACTCCCAAATCCCTATCCCTATTGCTACTATTTCCTCCTCTGGGCTCCAACCACCTGCAAAACTCCCAAATACCTATTTCCATTTCTGGAGGGGTGTTTCACAAGCCAAAGGGTATGTTGGGCATCAGAGAGGCCAAACAACTCAGGATGGCTTATAGAAAACTTGTGCCTACAGGAAGCTGTGTGTTGTGCAATGGCAAACCAATCCAATAAGTCTGTTTCCTGGGTGGAATAAATGCTAGATGATCAAGAAGGAGATAGGTCTCAGCACTGGGCTGTGTCCCTCTGAGCTCTGGCCATGTTGGCACTGATATCCAAATCAACTGTATAACTGCCCAAAGGGTTCCTAAAGCTGCCCAACATTCCCACATGGCCTTATCATAATCTCTCATCCATGGCGATCACTGATGTGCATCTTTCTCTTCCTTAAAGCGTTCAATTCACACCAAATATTCTCCCTGTTGGCCCTGCCTAATTTCTTTCTGGAAATTTTTTTCAGAATATTTTCATGCCCAGTTTCTCCTTTTTCTCCCAGTCTCCACATCATTTAAAGACATTGGTAAGTCAAAAGACAATGGTTACTGAGAACAGGAAAACCTGGGAAAATGGAATGGGGCTTTCACAGGAACTCATGGTGTAACCTTGGGCATTCATTGGGCAAACATTTTTGTGGAGTCCTAATAAGGGGAAAGGATTCAGGCTGCAGGGAGCAGGGGAAACCAAAAAGAAAAAGCAGATAAGCTCTAAGTCTGCCTTTCTTTGTGGTCCAGAACACGTAGCCCTCCTGCCCAAATAACTCACAATCTTCCTGTGCTCGACTTATCGCAAGACCCGCAGCTGATAGAAAAATGCCAGTAAGCTCACCGCAACCTTGGCATTATCAGTACTGCACATAGCCCTCTCCAGCACAAGCATCATCCTATGAAATCCCCAGCAAGCCTTTGTCTCTTTGCAGTCAGCTTCTCTCTTACTGATCTGCCCATTGCATCCTCACAACGTACTTTCATACTTTCTCTAATAAATCTGCCTTTCTCTAATAAATCTGCAACTGTCTTGGTAAACTCCTTTACCACCCATGCCACTGGCCTCAGCAAGTCGCTACCTATGACAATTTTTATCCTAGTTTTCCCATCATGAATATAATTGCTATAAAGAACAGTTTTTCTGAAGGATACATATATATCATTTTTCATTCTCTACAGATTTGGAGTTGGCTTGTGTCAAAGTAACAAGTCAGTGTAAATTTAAATGAGAATCATAAGTGGATGGCTGACTAATCTTCAGTTATGGCAATTATAACTTAAGTTATAACACCTACCAGATGTTACTTTGTGCAATAGAAGAGAAATATAAACTGTAAAACAGAAATTATCAAGAGTGAATAAAATAATCAACTGCCCCCAATTAAAGGTAACTCAAAGGCAAGAAAGTGGTGTTTTTATGTCTTTGGTACTAACATAGAATAGATTCTCTCATTCAATAGTGTTTTTTGAGTCCCCAGTAAATCGTCTGTATTAAGTTACAGGAACCACAATACTTGGCTCCAGACCTCAAGAAGCTAAGAGAAACAGACACAAAGAGAAACAATATCTGTTGGCTGAAGTGCCAGATAACTTTGTTTATACTATGTTATTTATTTTTCCCAAGTGATGGAGATATATATTTTTACTCATTTTATATCAGAAGAAACAGAGGCTTGGAGAGACAAAATAACATGCCCAAAGTCCCATATCTTGCATGTGACAGAACCATGATTCAAAACCAGGTCTCTCCATAGATCCAAAACCCTTGAACTTGCCATAAAGATAAGTTTTCTCCCAATGAACATAACAACTCTGGGAATAATTACAATTTTTAAAATTTCATGAAGGGGCACACACAACACTGTAGATAGTCAAAGGAGATAGAGAACATGGAATGTTTCTCTGAAGTTCATAGACATTAATAGGTAATAGCAAGGAAACAAGCTGCTAGGTCCTTAAGATCTGCAACAAAATATATATCTAAAAAAAATCACAAGATGCCATCATGAACATACAGGCTTGAATGTAAGAAACATTCATGTTGTGTATTTTTAGTCTCCCTCTCACCCCACCTAGTTATAGTATACTCTTTTTAAAACTACCCAGTGGTGTGTGTTTGTGTGTATGTGTTTATTTAAATTTTTTTCTTTTAACACATTCATTTTAAAGGCAGCTGTTTTCTGAGTTGCTGGATTTTTGTGGTCTCTATTTTGACTTCTCTGTTTTTAAAACTAAGACTTTTTGTCCACATATGTGTACCCTGTCCTTACATCCCCGCCTCTCCTGGGTTCCCTCTCCAACTAAGCTAGGATGTGCTGGTCTAGTGTAATGTATCAACTATTTGTGGCCTGGAGTAGAAAAAGAGCCCTAGTGAGATTTTATATATCAAGCAGGGAACTTCTGGATTCCATTGCTCAATATAGAGTTTCCAATATCACGATGGCATTAATTAGTATATCACCTATGACCTGAGATGTTGGGTACTATATGGATATAATTTATCACAGCAGAAAGCTGAGGGCATTTCATCTGAAACAAGACTATGTTCTCAGTGTGTAAGAATGAGAAATCATTCGCCTTCTGTCTTATCCCACTCTTATCACGCAACCAGAAACAACATTCAACTACGAAGATGAATGTGTGCCTCTCTGCACCCATCCCATGGTTTTACTCAAATGGGAAACTGCACATGTAAGTGTCTCTGCTCACCCTACCTCCCAAAGGGGACATCGAGACCTTTTCACTGGTCTTGATATTGGTCAGCCCTCATTTTCTGGAGAGGAAGGATGAGATATAAGAATGGAGTAAAATCCTAGGATCAGCTCACAAAGCAAGCCTTGAGACTGAGCAGCAATGACAAACACACCATTGAGACTAATGGGGTAGAAGCAAGAAAATGGAACTACTCACCAATTAAGATGATTATGTAATGGGAGAGAACTAGGTAAAAGCAAATTTGGAACACGGTCCCCTAATGATAGTATTTTATAGCAAAAATGCCTAAGCAAAGAACAGAGTGACAGAGCCCCTTGCCACTTTTTCATTTAAACACAGGATACAAGGGTTACCTTAAGATCTTAATTTCATTCTGCCCCCACATAATTAGCATACCATGAATGCTGATTGAGAGACAGATGTCACCGGGAAGCAGCTCCATGAGGCAGAAGGCCATCCCTCATTCTCCCATGTTTGTATTGCCTTCTAGGTTCCAAAGCACTCACAGATGTGTTATTTCATGTTTTCTCAATAATTCTGGGGTGTAACAGGGCAGAATATTACCCCATTTTAGGAATTAGGAAATTAAGATTCAGAAAGGTAGAATGACTCATTCAAGCTCACACAGGTATTTTGTACCAGAGGATTATCTGTAATACAGGCCCTCCAGTGCACAGATTTAATTTTATTCTTGGAGAAGGTTGAAGATGAGAAGCCCTGTCTGTGCACTCCTTATCTATCCCTCTCATTTCTGTAGGATTAGTGGCCACATATCACTGGGAACAATCCAGATCACTAGTAACAATCACTAATACTAATTAGTTTAATAAGCATTACCTTTGTGTTTCAGATTCCTCGTCTCTAAGGTGGGATATTGACAGTACGGACCTTATAAGGTGGTTTTGAGGATTAAATGAATTGATGCATCTAGAAAAGCGGCTGGCACACAGCTAATATTAGTGATAATCCCTACCTTTTTTCTTATCTTGCAAACAAAGCCCACCTGCTCACAAGTAACTGTTTCCCTAGCTCCCTGTTTATTCAGTACAAATGCAGTAACCTCAAGATTTCTCAGTTTTGTTGAGATTCCAGAGTCATAACAAGCCTTAGTTTAGACACTAAAATGTTTACTTTTTCTTTCATTTTTTTTTCTTTTTTAAGAGGAAGGGTCTTGCTATGTTGCCAAGGCTAGAGTGCAATGGCCATTCACAGGTATGATCATAGTGCACTACAGCCTTGACTTGCTACTTGCTTGATCCTAGACTCAAGGGATCCTCCTGCCTCAACCTCCTGAGTAGCTGAGACTACAAGCACATGACATCATACTCAGCTGTTGCTTCCTGTCTTTTGACTACCAAGAAGACTCTTAATTTTTTATTGTGTGTACTCATGTTTTAAAAGATTTCATCTACTAGCTGCATTTATTAAATAATAATCTATGTGGCCTCCTTACTAGGAAATACACTATTTCCTTATGCCTTTATAGCACTGAAAATAGAGTTCACAGTCTCCCACTGCTCCTGGAGGACCACAGATTGAGAATCACTGTACTAATCTAACCACTCATTTTCAAGATAACAAATTGAAGACCCAAGATGTTGGAGGACTTGTTCAAGGTCACTCAGCTATTTACAGTCAAAGCCTGAGCCAGGATATGAATCTTTTGACTCAACTGAGGGCCTTGACATCTTCCTTACTCTTTTTTTTTTTTTTTTTTTTTGGAGACACTTGTCACCCAGGCTGGAGTGCAATGGTGCGATCTAGGCTCAATGCAACCTCCACCTCCCAGGTTCAAGTGATTCTCCTGTCTCAGCCTCCCGAGTAGCTAGGATTACAGGTGCCCACCACCATGCCTGGCTAATTTTGTTAATATTTTTAGTAGAAATGGGGTTTCACCATGTTGGCCAGGCTGGTCTCGAACTCCTGACCTCAGGTGATCTACCCGCCTCAGCCTCCCAAAGTGCTGGGATTATAGGCATGAGCCACTGAGCCCAACCAACATCTTCCTTACTCTAAATCCATATATGTAGTTAGATCCCTTCTTCCACTGAAACCAGCATACCAGTATATCATTGCTCCCTGCAATCTGGACTTCATAAAGTCAATACCAGTACCGTCATCAAAATTGTAAAGAGATCTATTTTCACTATGCTGAGTAAATGTTTCATAACCAGACAGTAGTCAAAGACCTAGTGTTGGAAATGTAGATGCTGACCTGTTTATTCCATGACAAAAGTCTTGATTTTCTACTTGCTATAGTTTGGGGTGTGTTATAACCTCCAGGTTACCCCTCTTGTGCTATGCAGTTTGATGATTTCCCTAATATTATATGATAACCACCTTCTAAACTTCTGTAGTTTTCAACCACCCATTTCTTCTTTAAAAAAAACAAACAGTTTTAGACTGGCTTTTTAAGAGACAAACCACCCCACTCAGTTGTATTTATTGGCAAATTTAATGAAAAAATTACTATTCCATCATCCTGATCTTTAAGGAAATGTTGACTAGGACTAGACCAAGGATGGCCATTATGGAAATCCACTTAATCTTCCCATTGGCTGACACTGAACCAATTATATATTATTACACAATATTAAGCTACAATGCGGAGCTCTAAAGATTGTCTTTTCAGTCTTCCAGATAAAACAAAACTCCAAGGCCATAAAGTTATTTTAGCTGTGTTAAGAAAAAAAACTTCAAATTGAATTTTTTTTTTTTACCTAAAATGGATATTCTAGTCCCTGATTACAAAAGGTATATATCTCTCCCTGAAAGAAGTTGCACATCTGAAAGGAAATAGTTAGTGGAAATTTAGACCACACTTAGCTATAGTACTACATGCTTTTCTCAGCAACCCCAGCTGCATTCTCCAGCATCCACAGTCACCAGGGAATTTTCAGGCAGCTTGTAAATGTACAATCTCATCTCCACTATGGGTTATAGTATATGACTCTCCCCAGAGTGCCAAGCTATGACATTTAATGAATAGATTATAATAAGAAATAAATATTCTAAAGTGTTTTTCATCTGGGATGAACAGGCTCTTATTCCAGTATTGTTCTTATTTTGTTATTGCCTTGAACAAGAAACTGAAAAGCTGATTGTATAGTAAACATAAAGTACCATTGAGCCCATATCACTACATAATTTGGTAAAAGAGCCACTTCCTTTTTCCCTCAATTTTCTGCTAGCATGAACAAGAACCCAGTGGAATCCAAACCTGAGCACATGGCATTTCTGGCCATGATACAAAGGTCTACAACATCCTCCTAAATATTTGATGACCCCTGGGCTACTGCAGTGTAGCACTGCTGTGGGAACATCTGAAGCTGCTAACATGCACAGCTGTTTTTGTCTTCCCAAGCTGCTTGGAAGAGTGACTTTGGGGGGTTGTGGAAATGGAGGTAGAGTGCTGTTTGATAAAATGAGACGCTCTTACCAAGGCCCACACAGCAAAGCTAGGCCGTCTGTGTAAAACACTGATCTCTGCTCCCCACAGACTGCCCATCTGTACCTGCCACCTCCAGTCCCTCCCCTCCGCTTCCTCACCATGCTGAAAACTCTTATGTCACATACCAGGCAAGCTGCTGAAAAAGCACCCACATCTCAGGAAAAGGGCTATAGCAATTAATCTGAGGCTCTGTCCCCAGGGGTGGGGGAATTGGATGGTAATGACGGTAGAGGCAGTAGCAGTAATTCCATCGCCAGAAACTAGTTATGCCATGATAACAGACTCCGGGTAAGTGTTTTCAGGTGGCTGGGAAAGGAACTGGTGGCTTCTGATAAAGAAAAACCTGCAGATGCCTTGGTAATAAGAAATTTGGTTCAGTTCCCAGTTTCTGTGAAATAAAGTAATATCATCCACTCTTGTTATATCATAGGCATGGCCATTCCAAAAATGGCTTGGGGTGGGGCTCAGCCTCCTCCGATGCAACCCCAATAAGTAGACATAGCATGTGTGCTACACAGGTGCTGCCTGGAGACAAGTTCACTGTGCTCCTCCTGTCCAAGCAGGCCCCACTAAGACTCTTCTACATAATCATAATGCAGCCACCACTAAGCACAGGATGTTCCAGGGTGTAAATTAGAAACTACCCAGAAGAGTAAAATCACCATGAGAAACAAAATGAGATGGCAAAAGAAAAGGAAACATTTAAAAAGGTATTAAAACATAAGGGTTGGGCCGGGTGTGGTGGCTCACGCTTATAATCCCAGTGCTTTGGGAGGCCAAACCCGGCAGATCACTTGAGCCCAGGAGTTCAAGACCAGCCTGGGCAACATGGTGAAACTCCATCTCTACAAAAAATACAAAAATTAGCTGGGTGCGGTGGCATGTGCCTGTAGTCTCAGCTACTCGGGAGGCTGAGATGGGAGGCTGAGGTGGGAGGTGAAGGCTGCAGTGAGCTGAGATCACGCCACTGCACTCTGGCCCGGGCAACAGAGTGAGACCATGTCTCAAAAAAAAAAAAAAAAAATTAAGGGGTGTGTGTGTGTATGTGTGTGTGTGTGCACGTGTGTGTAAAGAAAGTAAATGCCATGAACAAACCTTTATAATAAAAGCCCGTGTAAGGTGAAACAATGCAAAATGTCTGCAGCTCTGTAAGCAAAAAGCAAGCACCTAGCCCTAGAACAAGGCATTCCGGTGTCATCTTCAGCACCTCCTCCCTTAGTCTCTTCTTGCTTTTTTTTTTTTTTTTCTCACCCTCTTCACTTTCCCCTTCCCCTCCTCTTCCCACTTTTTTCCTCTCTGGTATAACTGAAATGAATCTAAGAGCTAGCTGTGCACCTCTGAGCTTCCCTGACATTAAGGAATAATGCATGCTGCACACAGAAGTTTAACCCATCATTTCAACCCATATCACATGTAAGCATATAGCTACATGCTCCAAAGCAAAACTGTGCTACTTCAAAACATCAACTGTGCCACAATCATGGTCTCTGTGGCCATGAGAACCTGCCCACAATGCTGCCAATAGTCTACTGTGGTAAGCAATCTTCTTATTTTGTACTCTTGGTGCACAGTGGTGACAGGTAACATTTTGCCTAACCAGTGTCAGGGAAGATCCATCATAGGTCACCCCTTAGGACTACCTGCCTTTCCATGGAGATCATGTTCTTTCAACACCATTCAAAAAGTGCTTTAGCTAATGTAATTTCTGGCTCTGAGATAGATCAGGGAGGACAAAGACAAGATCATTCTCTAAAGGAAGCCAGAAGAGTGTATATTACCCTCGTATGGATACCTTAGGTAGGTGCCAGCTTCTGATGACACCATCCAACCATAGCCTCCAAGTGAAGTTCCATTTGGGCTAGAATCCCTCTTTTATTCTCAGGTTCTCAGCTTCACGGACTTGGTAAAATGACTTAAATAAACTCATTTTCTTTTAGACTGTGGTGCACAGCTCAGATGATGCTTCATGGCAGAGTCTCTCATCCCCCTGCTGCCCAGAGTGTTAGTCTCTGACCACATCACAGCTAAGTCTCTCATGAGGAATTGCCCTTGTCTGAAGGCAGTTGGCTTGCTGGGGTCAGCCCCCATCCCTGGGGACAGAGGGTGGGAGGCTGTTCACATCCAATGACTTGCTGCTGGAGTGGATACAAAGGTTTGGCCCCCTCATCTCAAATTTGGACAACTCTGAAAGGTTATCCCAGCTCCAGAGCTCCCATTAGGATTAGCTGAGGCCATATTTGTGTTGCTCAACAGTTCAATGTCTCCCCTGTGCCCAAATCTCTTCCCTACTCCATGCAAGTGTTCCTAAGAGAATTCTCCAGTAAACCTCCTTTATACAAATCTCTATCTCAGAGTCTGTATCCAGGTAACCAAACATCCAAGGACAACATCCAAGCAGTAACCACAGTAAATCTGAAGAAAGGTGTGCCATTCCTTCTAAATGCAGTAACAAAGGAGATGGAATATAACATTAAAAGAGCTAATGCTGACCTCTGTTATGATTCTTAATGATTAATTTGCAAAGTTCCCCCTCAGAGTAGTGATTCTCAACCAGAGGTAAGGTGGGGGTACTTTGTTCTCATGGGGAAATTTGGAAATGCCTGGAGATATTTTTGATCATCATGACTGGAAGGATGAGGAATTGCTACCAGCATCTGCTGGAGAGGGGCTAGGGATGCTGCTAGACATCCTAAACTGCACAGGACAACCTCCACAACAAAGAATTAACTGGGCCAGAATGCCAGTAGTGTTCCTGTGGAGAAACCCTCCCCTAGAAATATCAAATGCATGTGGTATATCATTCAAGTGAATTATTCCCTGTCTTGAAGTCAGGATATGTAATGTTTACCAACTGGTCCTAGGCCAGATGCAGTCCAAAGAAATGTGACGATGCTTCGAAAGAGTGTGGGCCCTGAGCTTGGCCTCTTCCAGCCACAGGGAATGCACCATTGAGATGCCCAAGAGCTATGGAGCCCAGACATCCATCTGGGATGGGGACAACAACCAGGATCGTTCTGACAACGACATCTTTCTAACAATGGTCACTCTCTTTCTAGTGAGGGTTCAACCGGGAACAATCAAAGGTTCTGCACACCTCCAGGCTGGAAGAAGCTGGCTTCTGAGGGAGGGGACATCAGTTTCCATTGTTGAGAGGTAGGCAGGACACCATTGTCAGGGGAGAAGGCTCAACCACTTTTATTTGTAAAGGGTAAGACTGCAGGAAAACAGTGTTTGATACTCTATGAGAAGGCACCGCTCTGCAGTGAGTCCCCAGAATTTTACAGCCACCTACTTTATATGCAAATAAGATGTATTAGGCTTGCCTTCCATTACCTAGGGCAGTCATCCTTTGTCTGGGAATAAGAATTACCACTTATGAAGCTTTTAAAAAAATACTAATGCCTAAATTCCACCCCAAAGGGACTGGATCAGAATCTCCAGGGGTAAGCCTCAAGAATTTGTATTTTGAAAACTCTGATATGCAGCCAAGGATGAGAACCACCAGTCTAGCATGCCCACTGAGAAATGAAGAGGGGGCTGCTGGTTTTATGGAAGACTTTATAACCACAGATGGCCCTGGCACAAAAACAGTCTTCACTCAGGGCTTTGGAGAAGGCCTTCTGTAGGCTACCTCTCACTAGACCCGAAACTCTAAGATTTTCTTGAAACATTCTTGTGAATAGATTTCTTGTAAATTGGACAGCTGATGCCAGCCTGCTGGATTCTCCATTAAGGAGATTTCCCCACATTTATAGAAGGAGCTTTATAAGAATTGGGACCATAAGATAAGAGACACCTTCATTCCACTGTCACTTGTGACTCGAGTTACACCAATAATCAGAATTCAACACAGCTAAGCTGTCCACTATAGATTCCAAAGCTTAAAAATGCCTATGATTTCATTCATGTGGAGTGATCAAAAGTGATCATGAAAGTGACAGCAATGTATGCTTTGGACCATTATTTATTTATCCATTTACATGGTTAGTTTCATATATATATATATATACACACACACACATATATTTATACTGTCTAATGACAGTAATAATATATATATCATATATAATTTTATAATGGAAATTTAGAAGACAGTAATCCAGAAAGATATAACTCTGAACTCTGGCTTATAGAATATTATTGTGAAATATTATTAGAACTTTTAAAGAAGGAATTCTTGGGGTTTCAGTCCAGTCTTTCAAGATCAGGCTATGGACATCAATGAGCACCAGTGCTAACTTCCACAGCGGGTATTAACAGTAAAGAGAAATGTTGTGTTTCCCAGTTATAATGAAAAATGTTAAAATGATACTAACTCATAATGTCTACTAAGCTGCTAAAAACGTTGTATGATTGATTAGCCAGTTCCAGTTTCCTATTTCCTGCTTATGAAATTGTGACAGATCATTTGCTTTATGAAGACATGTCTTGTGGCCAAACTTCACTTGGAAAAGACCCATTTAAAACTGAAAAACCAGAGGCTTTTGACTTTAGCCTCTACCACTGATTTGCACAGTGAAAATGCAAAGAGGACTTACTGGCCAAATGCAAAGAGGACTCACTGGCCCATCTCCAACATGTACTCTGAGCAGCTAAGGTAGGAAGTTAGAATTTCAGACCATGAATTCAAACAGACTCTGTATTCACTAAGGCTGTGTTGTTGTCCCAAGTACTGAGAAAAAAAGAAAACAAACAAAAATCTTCCAAATCTTTTTACAGTAATAAAACTTGTGTGTTTGTTTATGTAAGCCAAAAGATGTTTCAAGATGCTAACAAGTATAACCAATAATAGGTTGATGAATTGAATATTGATTAACCAATGATTTGAAGATAGACACCCAGACAGGTAGTTAAACTGAAGACATGGAGTTTCCTTGAGTAACCTCCTCAGAATGCACAGCAGCATTGCAACTCCACGCAACTCAGCTTTCATCGGTCTACTTGGTTAACACTTTTCTGCTTATACAGCTTATCTCATTTTCCCAAGAAGGGAACTATTTATGAAAAGTCATGGCCCTTTCTTTGGCTGGATGGAAATGCTGCCCTCAAGCCGCCACCATAACCTGGCACAAGAATGCTTCATTGCCTCTGATAGGACCCTGGGGACTCTTATACACACACATATTTATCTTCTCCTCCCTGTGCATATGAAATTCCACCGTGAGGAAAGCCCATGTTCTCTAAGTCACTGGGCTTTTCACAACCTGCATCTTCCTCAGATTAAAGTAATGCAGTGCCTCATCTAAAGGACTCCCCTCACCCCCATGCTCACACTGAGTGATCCACCTGCCTCTCAAACCCCAGGGCTGTGTGCCTTCCTCTACTCTTTCCTCCTCTTACCCAGCACTGCACTCTCAAACCCCCTTCCCTCCGTTTGCTGGTCTTCAATCTCCCTGTGACCCTGAACAATAATCCTATTACATCCCTGAACTCTATCCAGGACGTTCATCTCCAGCCACCTTTTTAATGGCATTGTTAATGATTTGAGGGGAGTAAATCACAGTCAAGATAATGGCTGCAAAAAATTAATAGACATGATTTTTATGATATACTAGTGTACTAATCGTGAGAACAGTTAATTGAAAAGCACTAAATATTTTATTATCCATTCAGCATTCTGTCTTCTTTTACCATTCAGCATTCTGTTTATTCTTTCTCCCATTCTGAACTTTTTACCTATTATTCTTTCATAATTTCCCATAAAGGAAAACTGCAGAGTAAGATAAAGGGGATTCTAATCACTACATCTAATTACAGAAATGAGTAAATCACGGTTTAACACGTCATAATCTTTCTTTTAAAAAAAAGTGTTCAAGGCACAATTCAAGGGGAAGCTAACGCCTCAAGCTTGGGAAGAAATCTAATATAGCCTAAGAATTGTTAAAATACTCAAGAAAATGGGGTCTTTTTTCTTTCTAATTCTTGAGTAAACAGTATCAGTAACTTTTTTTAAATGGTAATATTTCTCAGTCAACTGAATTGCTTATCGTTGGGCTTTGGGGCCACAAACCTGGGAGAGGGCAGTGATGGTGTCTCCTTCATCTCTCCAGCCTCAGCCCAAAGCCCAAGCAGCCGGGGCTGCCCCAGAGAAACTCAGTGAATACACCAACATTCCCTGTTTCCTTTAGGACTGCTGAATATGCTCAATTACTGTGTATCTGCTTTCTTTAGCGTTCAGAAAAATACAATACTCACAAACTGGAACATTCCACTTCCCACTGTCACATGACAAAAGCAGCCTCCTCCTGGTGAAGTCAGATATTTTCACATCTAATAAATTCTAATAAAAGTTCTTGAAGACTGCCTTCCGTACTCAGACTTGCTGGTTCGTTTACATAACAGTTCAATTTTGTTTTGCTTCTTAGGTTGGAAAGAGGATAAAAATCACAAAACCATATAAATTCTTGAAACCTAACAACCCTCTACCCCCATTGACTATTATCATCTTCATCTCAAAGGAAGTAAGATAGCAAAGGTTACAAGCTGTGTTCACTCATCCAGAGCTGGCCCTGAGCATGTTTGTCAAATGGGCCAAGTTTCTCTTGATTCTCCCACCAGCCTTTTGCTTGCTGAGTCCTCATTCCTCGGGCCTCATCACCATCATTTTTCACCCCACCCCTACCCCACTATCTCTCTGCTGCCCCACCCGCCCAGACCCCCGGCTTGCCCCTACAAGATGAAAGGCCTGAAGTATTAGCCAGAACCCTCACGCGCTTTCAGAGGACTCTTAGAGGCCGGGGCAAAATTATAGTTGGAATTTCAAGCCCCTGGAAACATATCCTTTGATCATGAATCCCCTGACCTAGAGGGGTTTCAGAATTATCTGGGGAGCTTGTTGAAAATTTAGATTCTGGGGCCGGGCACAGTGGCTCATGTCTGTAATCCCAGCACTTTGGGGGGCCGAGGTGGGCGGATCACCTGAGATCAGGGGTTCAATACCATCATGGCCAGCATGGTGAAAACCCATCTTTACTAAAAATACAAAAATTAGCCAGGCATGGTAGCAGACACCTGTGATCCCAGCTACTGAGGAGGCTGAGGCAGGAGAATCGCTTGCACCCCAGAGGCGGAGGTTGCAGTGAGCCAAGATCACACCACTGCACTCCAGCCTGGGCAACAGTACAAGACTCTGTCTCAAAGATAGATAGATAGATAGATAGATAGATAGATAGATAGATAGATAGATAGATAGAGATAGAGATTCTGGGATCTGTTCCGTGGGGCCAGAATCTTGAGAGAGAAGCCTGGGAATTTGCCCCAGTGATTTAACATAACTAGGTGAGGGATGGCCAACAGACTGACCTCTGGGATCATCACACAATCCACTAAGCTCCTTCCCCCAATGTGGGCAAGTTTGAGGGGATTCGTTTACCAGAAAAGGTAGAAGCCACAATAATATGTACAAAATGAAGAAAAAGAATCAGTTGTATTAACCATGGTTACATTTTTGCTAAACAGGATTCTAGCTTCAATTCAATCAGCTGAAACTACCAAATTGAGATATTTGATCCACTAATTGTATCAAGTAAGAAAATGGCATTGACTATTTTTAATTTCTTCATTCCATTAAGCTATTGTTAAAGACAGGATTTATAGGTGAGCATAGAGGGCTTCCCTTTCCTCCCCCAGAAATGGGAATGAACTGTGGCCAGCTCCTAAATCCAATCTAACACATGTTAAAGTCCAGCTTAATGTTGAGCTCCTTTTCCCCTTTATTAAGTGGAGGCCTCATAATAATGCCAAGAAGCAGAAGGACACTCTGCAGAATCCACTCCCACCCTGGCCAGGGGAAGCCTCTCTTCACACTTCCTGCCTTTTAGAAGCTCATCTACTCAGGAACCCTGCCCTGGAGAAGGGTGCTCTGCACTCAAGTTCCTGCTCACCAACTTCATGACTTTGGGTATCATACTTATCCCTTGGTGGGGGCCTCTCCTAGCATCTATAAAATGGGCATCAAGGTGTCTAATTTACCTGCCTAAAGCAAGACATAGGCCCCTCACTCTCTTGAGGTCTCCTTGAGCAGTTTGATTTCAATTCAGCCAGTCCTCTACTCTGCCATCCCCCAGTTAAAACTATCTAATATAAATGAAAGCTCTTACAGTTCAAATTTGATTGATTAAGGAGGCATTTTTTATACCACTAGTAAACTTCTATCTCAACAGTAGATATTAATAATTATAATGCAATTAACCACATTACAATACATTAAGACTATGTTTATCTGAATCATGACGGCTGATATTTACTGAGGAAATTATGTCAGTGGACTTCCAGGGAGCCGAAGATGGGTAAGCACAGCTTGGATGACCTTTGGGGTATGGGGTATAGACAAGGGTTTCCAGGTCTAGCTGAGTAGTTGTACCATGTACCCTCTAGGACCCTTTCAACTAGAGTCTACGAAGTTATTGCTAATCCTAAATTCTATGCATCATTACAAGTATTAGTAACATCAATCTACTTTTCTTCACTTAAAGATACATCCTTGAAAATTACATTCTGGTACATAAAGTCATATTTCCTTTTCAATTACTATGGTTCTACTACTTCAGGAGAATGTGTAGTCAATCACTTTAAGAAGCAAAGAACACTTTATTGGTATGAATAACCCCCTCATTTACCTATTTTTAAAATCCAGACATTTTTGACCCATTTGATTTATTTTCAAGCAACACACCCTCGAATTTGGAAATACAGATTGTATATTTCCACAAGAGTGTAAAATTATAAATTACAGAAATTGAAGAAAGGAGATTCCTCCCCCCACCCCAGGACTGTGACTAAGCCCATGAAATTTACTTAATAACCATAAATAAAACAATAGATTATCTTTTCATCCTCAATGTATCATTTCTAAGGTGTCATTACCTTTAATCTATCACAAAAAGTATAGGATCAACACAACATTGTTATTACTGCTGAAGCACTGGATCTGCAATTTTATACAATTCTGCCTGAATTGTAGTCAGCTGTCATAGCCAGCCAATAAGAGCCATTAGGTCACTGGTAGGTATTATGTCCCTTTGATATGAACAGGGACATAATTACCCTGAAATTCTCAAAGAACATAGCTGACCTTGGACAGATATTTTGTACAACTTGGTGCCTCCTTGCTTCTGTTTGCCTCTTCGGGTCCCACTACCATGCTTCTCACTATTCCGGATAGCCCATTCTCACTATTCTGTTGAACTGACTCGAAGGGCTCCCTTGAGCACAGGCTTCCAGGTGGGTTCAGCAAATAGAATCAGCTGATCAAAGGGAAGGAGGAGAATGAGATAAGATATTTATTTATATTACTGGCTGCCTCCCAGCATGGTGGCTTTGAACTAGCTGCACGCCTCAGCTGAAAGCTCCAGTACTTGTCAAGTAATCCTCTCCCTGTAACAGTTTGTCTCTCTCTGAGTTCCAGCAACCGCTTTTTCCCCTGTTCCACCAGGTTTAGTGATGTAATAGCTCTCTGTTGGCAACTATGCTCTGTTGCTTTTTTCAAACCCTATCCACTCATTCTTAAATAGCCCATTATTAAACTCTCTTCAATTACCCATCTTGAATATGACATCTGTTTCCTGCCAAAGTCTTGAATAATTCACTTCTTATATGAAAATTTACAGCTTTGATCAATTTATAAGCTATATCTTATTGTAACACTGGGGTCTATGGCCAATTGCTCAAATTCTAATAACAGAACCAGGCCTTAACCATGGTGGGATAGATCAAGCTGGGAAAGGGTTAGAACAAATGTCCAGCAGATAGATTTCAAGATACAGCAAGTCTAGGAATTTTTTAAAGGGGGAATTGGACTAAGAGGCATGACTACCTCGCAAAGTGAAGCTACAGATATGTCCCACCCAGGATAAGAGTGTAAAGAACCATTAGTACAAGTGCCAAGTGCTGTTCCAATCTGGGGCAGGGCAGGTGATCAGCTTACGGCCTAATGAGAGGCATTTAATGGGGATCCAGGAGTACAGATGGTTGTCAGAGGCAGGTTTGTGATAACTCAACTGTGATGAGAACTTGAGTTCAGAGGCAGAAATCCACGCAGAAAATAAAATGCTGGAGAAAAACCTTCTAATATCACTGAGGAAGAAGCCCATAAGGCAAGGACTCAGTCACAAAGAACTGGACTGTCAGGCTCAGAATGAGACCAGATGTAAAAGCCGACCAAACCAAATTAGTGGACACATATCCTTAAACTCCCTAAAACCATCTTCCTAGAGTCAGGAATGGAACTGAAATCTGGGGATGGACTGAGCTAGAAAGGTGGATGGGGTGGAGGAAGGGGGTTCAATAAATGCAGCTGTCAAGGTGAAAGGGATTCTTGGGTGGAATAACATGAAGTCTATTAAATACCATCCTGCCTAATCCTTCCTCAGGGATCTCATTTGGGGGAAAACATCTCCCCTCTCACCAAAAGGTGGAAGTTTAAGAAGAAAGGTTGTTTTCTACATGGCTATCATTTATTAAGAACTCACTATGTGCTAGGAACTGAGTTTTGCAAGCATCTTCTTATTATATCTATACAATAACTCTACAAGGTAGATACTACTATTACCTCTATTTTATGGACAAGGAAACTAAAGCTTGGAGAGGATAAATCATTTTCACAAAGTCATGCAGAAAGTCGGTGGTGGAACTGGCATTCAACTCTGTGCTGAGACCACCCTCTCAACTACTAAGACACAGTCTCTGTGGCAACATAAAGAGTCAAAGGAAGACTGTGCATATCAGTCATCAGTGGAGTATATGTGAGTGGGTGGTGTGTGATGTGTGTATTTATCTAGACAAATAGCTGCATAGGTGTAAGCCCTTGGGGAGTTATGTTCTGCTGCACAGCACTCTCATATGTTATTGTTAGGACAATAATTTCATTGTTTTCAGACTGCAATGTTATCTTTCTCCAGGAGAGAAGATTTGCCTGCCTTCTCACCAGTGGGAGCTGTGCCGGGTCCACTGCAGTATGACATTCAAAGTCATTCTAATTACCTCCCTTGCAATGCAATTCACCTTTTGGGTTCCCAGTCAAGGTGAGGAGAGGAGGTGAAGATGAGAGGAGAGGATATTTGTAACAAAATATTAGGTTTTCAAGAGCTTTCACCTGCTTTTTAGCAGTAGAATCCTTTTGTAAATGCAATCATACTCAGAACCTCAATATACAAAGTTCATAAAATCAGAACCTTTCTTATCTAAGTTTTGAAAGCAGACCCAAAACACTGTCAGCTCGACTTTCTCCAGGTACTCTAAAGTTGTCAGTTAAAAAACACTGATCTTTTAGCAGTTTCTTATAAAGCTCAATGTAGTCTTACCATATGATCCAGAAATCGTGCTCCTGTTTACCTAAATGAGTTGAAAATTTATGTCCACACAAAAACCTGCACACAAATGTTAACAGGAGCTTTGTTGATAATTAGCAACAATTGGGAGCAAATAAGATGACCTTCAGTAGGTAACTGGATAAACAAACTGTGATACTAAATACATCCATACCATGCAATGGTGTTCAGCAATAAAATGAAATGAGCTACAAAGCCATAAAAATACCTAGAGGAACCTCGAATGCATATTACTAAGTGAAAGAAGCCAGTCTGAAAAGGCTTCATACTGTATATGCCAACTATGTGACATTCTGAAGAAGGCAAAACTACAGAGACAATTAAAAGATCATTGGTTGCCAGGGGTTGGGAGGCAAGTGAACATAATAAATAGGTGGAACATAGAGGATTTTTAAAGCAGTAACCCTATTCTGTAACATACTGTAATGGTGTATACCTGGCATTGTGCATTTGTCAAAACCTACAGAATGTATAACACCAAGAGTAAACCCTAATGTAAGCTATGGATTTTAAAGATAATGTTAATATATCAAGATTGTTTCATCAATTGTAAAAACTGTACCACACCAATGCAAAGTGTTAATGATAGGGGAAATGAAAGCAAGGAGAATGGGCGTATATGGGAGCTCTCTGCACTCTCTGCTCAATTTTTTTGTAAAGCCAAAACTGCTCTAAAATAATAAAGTTTATTAATTTTTTAAAAAACAATGATCTCAAGAAATACTGAGTGCTCAATAGGCTTAATAAATGCTTGTTCAATAAAGTCACTGATTCAGAATTAACCTTGGTTCATTTTGACACCAGACATCCCTATGAAAACTGGTTAGCACATTTTAGTGATGGTACAACAACATGCTTTGTCAGGTTTCATACATGTGGTGGGCAGAATAATGGCCCCTCAAAGATGCCCATGCCCTAATCCCCTAAACCTGTGAATATATTATTTTACAGGGCTTTTGCAGATATGATTAAGGTTAACGGTCCTGAGGCTGGGCGCAGTGGCTCATGCCTGTAATCCCAGCACTTTGGGAGGCCCAGGCGGGCAGATCACTTGAGGTCAGGAGTTTGAGACCAGCCTGTCCAACATGGCGAAACCCCACCTCTATTAAAAATACAAAAATTAGCCAGGTGTGGTGGCATGCACTTGTAGTCCCAGCTACTCAGGAGGCTGAAGCAGGAGAATTGCTTGAATTCGGGAGGCAGAGGTTGCAGTGAGCTGAGATCACACCACTGCACTCCAGCCTGGGTGACAGAGTGAGACTCTGTCTCAAAAACAAACAAAAAAAAAGTCCTGAGATGGGGAAATTATCCTGGATTATTCAGGTAGGCCCAATCTAATCACAAGTTCTTAAAAGCAAAAAACTTAAAAAATAAAAAATAAAACCCTTTCCCTAGTCAGTGAAGGGCAGTGTGAAGTGTGATTGCAGAAGATGAGTGTAAAATGCAACATTGCTGGCTTTGAAAATAAAGGTGGGGGGATGGGCACAAGCCAAGGAATGTGGGTGGCCTCTAGGAGCTGGAAAAAACAAGGAAACAGATTGTCCTCTAGAGCCTCTAGAAGTGGACACAGCCCTGCTGACAACTTTCTCAGCCCACTGAGAGCCGTGTCAGATTTCTGACCTACAGAACCGTAACAATGTGTGTTAGCTTAAGCCATTTAGTTTTTGACAATTTGTTATGACAATTTGTTATGGGAAACTAATACAACACATATAGGAAGTAGAAACAAGTCTTGGGCTACTGCCTTGCCTCTCTAGCCCAATGCAGGCCCCTCCCCAAGGAAGTACCTAAGCTCTCCCTTCCCTAATCCATGATCACCCCTCCATTCATGAACTTAAGCAGTATATTTTGGGAGACATAATACACCAAAACAGTTCATCAGGATGTATTTTTCAAAGTAATGCTTAGGCAATTTCACTTAAAAAAAAAAAAAAAAAACTTCCATCTCAATGGACTTTTTTATTGGATAAAAACAGCTTGATATCCTGCAAAGAGTTTGTGCTTTGGAGTCAAACAGACTCTGCTTGAATCTCAACTCTGTCATTAGCCTGTGATTTGGACAAGTCACTTAACCTGCGCTTCAGAATTCTTGACTGGGAAGTGATAAAATGATAATCATACACACAAAAAACAAAATACTACTTATATGAACACAAAAATGACAATGATAACTATGTTTTCAACAAAACAAGCACAGGAAGAAGTGTTCAGTTGCTCCCCATTTTGTTTTCAGTGACATTCATTGAACACGTGCTATGCCAGGACCTCTAAGTAAATCACATGTGTGGGAGATTGCAACAGGAGGAGTGGAAATGGGTAAATAGATGAAAGAGGCAGTCTATAATCTATCTACCCATGTAGTTTCCCACTTAAAAAAAAAAAAAAGAAGAAGCACTAACATTAGATAACACAGGAATGTAGGTCTGGGCCCCTACATTGCAAACTCAAAACCTGTCCACATCTGATATTTCTGAAAGTGCCTCTAATCCTAGTAAGTCACCAGCCTCTGCATATTCAAGATGTTTTCTGTTTCAAATTCATTGATGAACAAAGCAAATAGCCTCATGGCAGAACTGGATCAATACCTCATATCTCTGTCTGGAAAACTGAGAAGGTAACCCTCTATTGTTCAGAGTAATAATTGCATTTAACACTTCAATCTGGACATGGACGCCACCACAACGATCCTGGCTAATTCACCTGCAGAGGGTGCTACACCTGGAGAGGGTGCTACACCTGCAGAGGATGCTACACCTGCAGAGGATGCTGGCAAAAGGTGGCTCTAACAAAAATGATGAGATTTCTCTTTCCTAAGAGATATGTAAACCACTACACAATATTAAAATTGGGAAATGTCATTGATTCACTTTAAAATAACAATAATAAATCCACTACATGTTAATATAAACAGCATATTTTATGTAAAATATTACATCTTTCAAAACAAAACAAAGTTTAGCAAGAGTAATGGGATTGTTTTTCATTGCAAATCCCTTTAACATGTGGCTTCATAAAAGCCAGCCAAATTCTCATACCTGCTCCTACAAACTGTTGTGTATCACATGTCATGTCATTGGAAAACTCCACTGTACGCCAGGAGAGAATAACAGTGAGAAAGACAGATAATGTCCTAGTGTGATAATGAAAATAGTTCTGAGCCTACAGACCCCAAAAACTACTTGGCATCCCAAGGGTTCCTCAGACCATACTGGGAAAACCCCTGCTTTAGAGTCACACCTGGAGTTTGACAATAATCATAACCATGTGCGCAAGTGTGTGTGTGTGTGCATGCGCGTGTGTGCGTAAAAACTGAGAACCAAAGCGAATACAGAATGGGGGTCTAAAAGCTTCTTAACATTGCTCCAAGGAAAGTAGATTTTTAAGTCTTCATGTTTCTGACATCACTTTTCACATTAATGGGGCGTTATGCTAATTTGTCCCAGCAGCTCTGCCAAACCACCATTACCTCCTACACTCCTTAGCTGCACTCTGTTTGTGCCCTTCATGTCCTTGTCTGCCAATTAACTAGGCCTGTTAGTCTGCTGCAAGCAAAACGCGCCAGAGCAGCAGCCCAGACAATAAGCCGCTGTTGCCTAAGGAAACCATTTAGAATGGCTGTGTTGAGGGCATCCCAGACTTTTTTGGTTTTGTCTGATGGCTCAATATCAGTTTGTTCATTGTTATTCCAAACACACAGACTATTATCATCCCAAAGTGACCAGTGATATTACTCAGTTAACAGATCAGCCAGGGAAGGCTGAGCCATCCCTCTGCAAAGCACCAGGAAAGTGCAGGTTGGGGGACAGTGAAGCCTCCAGGCCTCCAACACTGCAGACATGCGACATGCTCTCTCAGACTGCCGAGAAGGCATTTCTCAGATCTTTCGCTGACGTGATGGAAAATGAATACATCTTGGATTGAACATTTGTGAAAAATATTATGGTTTACAAAAACTATCATTTCAGCCCACACAAATTGAGCTGTCCCTGTGTTTCAGGCTTTATTTTAGGTATTTGCTATCTTAGAAAGAGCACTCAGTTGGGGATGCCAGATATCTGGGATCTGGTTCCCAGGCTGCATCTAACTAGCCGCGTGTCCCTGGACAAATCACCTAACCTCTCTAATCCTGTTTCTACCTAGGTAAACATGGGGACACTAAAACAAATGAACTCTAATGACCTTTCCATTGTAAAATTCTATGATCCTAAAGGCTGGCGTAACCTGTAAGTACATAAGCAGAGGAAAACACATTTGTAGATATATGAAGAAGGAAGAACGTGGGGCAAATTTCTCTAATAACAGGACCCTTTCAAGGGAATGGTTGCCCACCAGTGGAATGGAAGTGTTAACAGATGATGCAGACACTATCTAGAAATGCTTCCAGAACCTCAGGAGCTGGGGGTCATGCACATTCCCCACCTGCACCAGGTATGGCTGCTTTTCAGGGACTCTGCCCTTTGCTGTTCAGGATCTCATTATTCCCAGGGCTCCAGAGGGAACACACAAAGCTCCCCCCCACTGTGATGCTGAGCATATGGCCTGGCTCAAAAAGGGCTCTTCTGCACAGAGAAATAGGATGTGTCACAGAGACAAAAACACCTGGCTGTAGCCCAGATTCTCAATGGAATTATCCTTATCCTTGAAACATGTGAGCACAGCTAATGTTAAGCCTTCAGCTAAACGTGAAAATGGTAACAGTCAAGACCATATTCCCCTGAATGACACTTCCCCCTCCTCCTCAGCTCTGCCACATGCTCACATGAAATATCAAATTGCTTGCAGCTCATATTGAATAATGAATATGCCCGCCTCAGCCTATCACCAAGCCTTCAGCAGTTCGCCTGGGGAACTGGGAGAGATGTTAGAGGTTTGCAGGCCAAGCACAAAATTGAAGACAAGCCTGAATTAATAATTTGCTTATTTCTATACATGTGCTTCAAAATAAAGTGCAAATTGAATAAGGTAATAACAGAGCTTGGGGGGAAAAAATGCCTTCCTCTTGCTTGCAAACTGCTGACACTTCAATTTCATTATCTCTCACCACCCTCAATGTGATTTGCAAATGTGTTCTCCCTATGTCATCATGTGGAAATGTTCAGGAAGAGCCAAAAATGAATGGAAAACAATTCCATGGAACTGCAGGAAAAAAGAAAATAAACCTCTCATTTTCAGCTCATTTTTTAGAGCACGGTTTCTTAAAATTGTGCTCCATGGACCTCTGCATCTGAATCACCTGAGCATTCCATGGAAATTCCAGGGAAACCTCATATATTGTGTATGCCCAGTTACTTCAGCTTTTTCCTGCATTGACACAAAATCTCCATCACGTGCCTGTCAATCAGAACAGCACACTTACCTCTGGAGCCATGTTTTTTGAACTAGCATCTTTAAGCACATTTGTCCCTTTACATTTTTACCTAAAAATGTAGACATCCTTCCCCTTGTGTTTTTAATCATTGTCTCCCTTATGTCATATTCAGGCACTTATAGAAGAATGAAAACAATTTAAGTTTGAATCCAGCACCAACATCTTTCCCCATAAGGGCCATTTTCTGTGGTCTGAAGACTTCAGGGGAGAAATATTTTTAACGTAGAGAGATGGGTATAGTAGACACACACACACACACACACACACACACAGAGAGAGAGAGAGAGAGATATTTAAATCGCAATTTTTTTTATTTTTTGTGGTATATATTTAAGTATACAACATGTTTTCATAGACTCAAAATATTGAAGAAACTGCATCTCAAACAAACCTCAAAGAGGAATAAGCTAAAGACTTTCCCTATTCCCCAGTTTCCTTGGAATGGCATCCTCTGTGAACAGTGTGGAGCAGCTCTGAGGAGCCGTCTCTCCCAACTGTGATGGACAGTACCACGCAAAGATCACCCAGGGGTAAGAGCAGAAAATTATCCCTTTTATTCATGTTTTTCCCTAGCAAAAGTGCTTCCACTCCTCCTCTCACTGCCCATCTTCTTCACCTGCCCACTTTTCCTGTCAGTCCTCTGCAAACCTTCCTGATTCCTTAAGATTGGGTTGTTTCCTCTGTGCATGCTCCCATAGCACTTACTATTCTGGATTAAAACTGTATAATAATTTGTCTATAATTTCACTAAAGCATAAGCTCCTGTAACATAGAAATTCCAATTAGTTGGGTTTTGCATCCCCAACACCTTCTGTTCATTACTTGGCATAAAATAGGAACAAATAATTGATTGAACGAATGAGTGAGTAAATGGGTGCAATTATATAAGCCCAACTCATTATGCAGAGGAAGGAAGAAGAGGCAAGTAGAGGAAATAAAAATTATGGACCTAAAGATTAACAATGGAATATTAGGTCTCCCACGTCTGGGTTACTAGTTTGCATTTGGTAGGCAACTTATGAAAACTGAAATCGATAAGTGCCTATTTGGTCATGAGTATCAATACCACTTCCACATGCCAGCACCCAAGGCCAGAAGAAATGGAAAATCGCTATTGTCCATTTTAATTATCAATAACCCCTAAGACATTTGGTTGGACCACATAGGTTAACAATCAATCATCTTCCCTCTAGAGGCAGCCTAAGCATCTCTGGCAATTGCAATCCATGAAACCCAAACAAAACGATGTCTCTGAGGATGCTGATCTTGCATTGCCTTTTATCTTCCATTTGGGGTGCAGGAAAGGACAAAGATTAGGAAGATGACCTAGCAAGGTCAATCACAGCCAACTTCCTCCTTCCTCCTCTACAGGGCGGCCTCTTATATCTGTAAATTAGAAATTGATAGAGATGAGAGTGTATAATATAATCTTAGAGAGGTCTCAAGAAGTAGAAGGAAAAACAAAGTAGATTTCCTATAGATCATGATATAGTACAAGTTACTGGTCAGGACCAATATGAAGTTCCCAGAAGGAAAAATGAAGAGAAATAAAGAAAAACATCTCCACTTGAAGGTTTCCAGGGCATCTCAAACAACTCCCCACATACAAAACTGAATTTTTACCCCTTCCTTTAGAAATCTGCTTTTCCTCTAGTGTTCATCATCTTAGTTAATGGCACTAGTATTCAACCTGTTATCCAAATTACAAATTTGAGGCTTATTATTAACTTGTCCTCTCTATCATCATTCCATCTAATCAACCACCAAGAACTACTGTTTCAAGTTTCTAAATATCTTTCTTCATTTCTGTTGCTGGTATCTTATTCCATCATTACCTATCATCTACATTCTGTATTACTTAGGTTAAATAGCATTTGCTACTTTGACAAAGAAGCTCAAAATCTAGGTGAATTCACACAATAAAAATTTACTTCTTGACCCAGCAGAGTTCAATGAGAGTTGGTGGTGGGACTCCTATTGCAAACAATTGTTCAGGGACCCAGCCTCTTTCTATCCTGTTGCTTTGCCATCTTCTAGGGCATCTGAGTCCTCTACTGAGTCTACTACTTCTGTCTAGCAGATGAGGGAAGAGAGAAGACGGAAGGTAGCCAAGCTTGGGAGTGGCAAACATCACATCCACTCTCTCTTTATTATTATTATTATTATTATACTTTAAGTTTTAGGGTACATGTGCATAACGTGCAGGTTTGTTACATATGTATACATGTGCCACGTTGGTGTGCTGCACCCATTAACTCATCATTTAGCATTAGGTATATCTCCTAATGCTATCCCTCCCCCCCCCCATCCCACAACAGTCCCCGGTGTGTGATGGTCCCCTTCCTGTGTCCATGTGTTGTCATTGTTCAATTCCCACCTATGAGTGAGAACATGCGGTGTTTGGTTTTTTGTCCTTGTGATAGTTTGCTGAGAATGATGGTTTCCAGCTTTATCCATGTCCCTACAAAGGACATGAACTCATCATTTTTTATGGCTGCATAGTATTCCATGGTGTACATGTGCCACATTTTCTTAATCCAGTCTATCATTGTTGGACATTTGGGTTGGTTCCAAGTCTTTGCTATTGTGAATAGTGCCACAGTAAACATACTTGTGCATGTGTCTTTATAGCAGCATGATTTATAATCCTTTGGGTATATACCCAGTAATGGGATGGCTGGGTCAAATGGTATTTCTAGTTCTAGATCCCAGAGGAATCGCCACTCTCATTCCATTAGCTAGGACTCTGTCACATGGTTTCACCAAATTGTGCAAAGGCTGAAGAAGTATCCAAATCTGGGCCAGGAAGAAAAAACAAGCATAGTTATTGGTTAAGTTTAGCATTATCTGCCCACAGACCTCCTCACAGCTGCTCTTGTCCTAAACACCCTACTCCAAACCATTCTTTACCTGCAGACAGAAAGGGGAAAAATTCTGATCACATCACTGTATGGCTTAGAACCCTACAATGGCTGCCATTCCTCTTGGGATAAACACCAAAATCCTCTTCATGGTGTATCAGTCAGGGTTTCATCAGATTAGAGGAACCACCATGATAAACAACAAAGGATTTATTAGAGGGAGTAGACCTTACACAATTGTGAGAGCTGTTGGAGCAGTCCCTGTTGGCCATTGCCTCTGCATCTAGTTCCAAGCCTAAAGTTATCACAGATCAACCAGACTAGTGATCAGAAGGCAAGCTGGATGTGGACAGGGACAAGAACAGATTGGAACCCATTTGAATGGAGATACAAATGAATGAGGATCCACAAAGACAACTGGAAACTGTGAGGACAAACTGGAACCTGCATTTGTTTTTCACCATGTTCAACCTCAACCATAGGCATGGAGCTGCCTGTGCACTTGGCTCAGGACTCGAAGAAGCTGAAGGAGGAGATCTGGTGGGAGGTGGGAGAGCAGCAGATCCAGGTGCTTCCCACTGCTCCCCAGCCAGCAAGGTGAACTTACAGATCTCGGACAGCATTGTGAACTGCCACAGCACCTGGAGCTTTGCACCAATGCCTGAGCATGAAAAGCATGGCTGTTGCAACACTCCTGCTTTCCAAGTCTCCCATGAAATGTCTCTTGTGATCCATACTAACCCAGAGCCATACGAGGATGGGAATTCTGGAAAATATGACACAGATCAACTAAGTGGGGAAAGTCCAAAACCACCACATATGGTCCAGAAGACCTGCCATGATATGGCCTCTGTCTTTACTTCTCCAGCCTTGTCTGAGTGAACTTCCCCTCTTTTCCATTCTTTAAAGGTCACTCCCCTAGAAAGGATTTCTTGACCAAAATACTCAGTGCACTTTTAATTGCTTGTTCAAGTCTAGCCTTACCATTAGACTACAAGCTTCAAAAGGGCAAGGACCATGTGCACAGTATGCATTAATATGTCTTAGCCTGGAGCATGGTGCCTGCTATTAAAAGTAATTTCAAAAACTGCAATTACTTTTGCACCAACCTAATACGTAGAAGGCACTCAATAAATGCCTGATAAAGCAACACCAACTGGTATATCAATGAGCCTCTTGTTAGGATTCCAATTAAGCCACACAGAATTGATACTCACCCAGCTTATTTTCAAGAATCTCTAAAGTTGCCAAGACAGCTACCTGAATGAACATTCATTCTAAAGTCTGACGTTCACTTTCATTGCACCTCACCTAAATCTTTAATGCCTTTAAAACTACCCAATGAAGTTCTCATTTAAGAAATATGGGCCACTAAATTATTACATATTAGCCAGAAAGATAAGAAATTCTTTCTTTTGGAGATTTATTAGAAATAGTATACAGCTAACATTTCGACATTATATTAGAACCTACCTGCCCAAAAGCAGGGAGATGGCTTCTATGACCCTTTAGGGAAATTCCAGTTCAATGAGCCTATCAAAGTTATTTTACTAGCATAGCCACGTAAGATTAATCATCTTTGTGAATTCTTAATTGCAGTGGTCAGACAACCCCCAGAGAGTAATCCTACACCATGGCAGATTCGTGCTCCTTTTTCATTCTTCCATAATGTGATGGAGAAGCAGGAAGAAGCAGCAGTTCACTGCGATTCCCTCTTTAATTTGCTCAAGAAATAATTATGGGGGTTTCCTGCAGGGTAAATGCTAGGGATACAAACATGACTAATGGGACTCAGAGTCTAGTGGGGAGAAAGGCAAGTAAACAGACTTAGTATCTTTTCAGAGGTATTTGCAGAGAGGCAGCTACTATATCAAAAACAGATAAATGACCATAATATCACAGGAAGTGCTCAGTAAATATTAGCTAAGTGTCAGGCACCAATCTAAGCACTTTCTATGAATAACACATGTATTCCTCATAACAACTCAGTAAGGTACCTTTATCATTCCCCATTTTCACAGAGGAGAAAACTGAGCCGCAGAGAGGCTAAGCAACTTGCCCAAGGCCACACAGCAGGTCTTCAGAGCTTGCTGCTTAACCATGGTGCTACCCTGCTTCAACCTATCTCCCGGTTCCCTTCCACGATCTTTCTATGACTACTAGGCCTAATGATTACAAGTTAAGTTATTAAGGGTTCAATGATTAACTTTTAAAATATAATGAATTATCAGCATTGTAATAAAACTGACATTTAAAATCTACAGAGATCAAATTTGTAACTATATCATCTGTTAATATAAATACCTATTCTCAAAAGATGAATATAAATTATTACCCAGAAGGAACTTTCACCTCTGACAGCATCCCACCCTTGTCTGCCTCTGTGCTTCTCCCTTGACCCAGGGCTAAACGATGGAGCAAACCTTCATTAGTCACCACTCAAGCTACCACATTTTGCAGGGGAAAAAATGACAAAGGGGTATTCTGTGTAAAGAACACTTTACACAGAAACATGAAAATAGTTTCCACCCTTTTCTGTCAATCCTGGAATTTCTTAAGCCTGAAAAACAGGCTGATTCCCTCAGCTCAGTCCTAGTTGGAAGGGAAATGGAGCACTGAGTTATGAAAAACACATGCGGAAAATGCAATTCTTGTCATTCTGTTGGGAGATACAGAGGGGCATCAAATCATTTCTTGTTTGACTTCATATTTAACTGGATCAGGATCAGTGTGTACAATCCCGACGAAGTGGTTCTGCTGCAATATCCAGTTCATTCCCTCGCCAGTCCTGCTCCAGCTGGTCCACACTGGATGCTATGGAAACCCATGGAGCAGCAGGAAAGGCTTCTTGGAAGAAGCTGGTCTCGAAGAATCCAAGTAGCTCTCTATGACTGCAGGATGCGGTGGTGGGTAAAAGAGATGGGGAGGGCAAGAGGGGGCAGTCGTTGAGATGAATCCAAAGATATCAGCAGGGGTTAGACCGCTGGGTGTCCAGACCCTACTCTCTATGGAGAATGGCTGGAGGATCCTCAACAGGGAAGACCACAGAATCATTCTGGAAGTGGCAATACAAACAAATGAGAAGTCCCTTCCCTAGAACCTGTATGGTGACCCAGCACTGGGGAAAGAAGCCTATCTACGTATTATTTCCTCAGCTAGGTCCTAGATGGAAGAGGGAACTGAGCACTGGCTTAAGAAAAGCTGCTTCATTGTCCTACATTATAATAGATCAAAAGAAAGCATAAGAGGGGGAAAGGGTCTTTTTGTTTTCCCCTTTTCTTTAGCTATGATCTCAGAATATACATGAATATAAGTGAGGTTCAAATGCTGACAGCAAAATTCTGTGGAATTCATAACTTTCAAAAGGGACATTCTGGGGAAAGATGAGATGTTGAGATTGAGCCATGAGAACGTGAGAGTCTTTCTGAACTTTTTTACAAAGGGGATAGATAATAGACTGGCAAGGGAGTCCAACAGATGACAAGAGAGCGTCAGAGACACTTAAACGACCTATATTGGGGACTGAGTTTAAAACTGAGAAGGAGGACACAGACATTTACCCTCGGGGCCATAGTCTGTCCTCTCTTCATGGTGGCTTGCCCACGGATACCACAGGAGTGGGGCGCATGGATTAAGAGTGGTTTATGATCCTTTGTCTCATAACATTTGACCAGCGGAGAAGTTTTTACGATACTTTACAGTACATAGTAGTTAAATTGAACAAATATTACGACCACAATAAAACACATTCTTATCACTAGAACATAAATCAGTAATTGCTACATTGTGAGGGAGTTTCCCCCACAAGTCACGGGACACTGCTGGCATCAACTGGGGGAGAAGTTTAGAGGGAAACCACAGCATCAAATATCATTTAAAATCAAAACACCACAAAATTAAAACCTGTTCCCTCCAGGGCTTCCAGGCTGCTTTTCAAACCTTTTACAAAGAGCTTTTCTCTCTCTGGTCGATCACTAAAAAGCCACCTAAATAAAACCTATGAATAAGGACCCCAGTGGAGAGACTGACTTGCCATAAAACGCGGAATGCTTCGGTGCTCTAGAGATTCACTCCTGCCACACACTTGGCAGCAGCAAGCGACTCAATCCTAGCACACATGTTTCCAATTACAAACCGAAGATTTCAATCAGAGGTAAAGCTAATTGTTTTATGCTGCTAGCCTAGGAGAAACTCTTTGAGGGGAAAAATGTCTAGAGCTCATGTCGTTGGACTTCTTAGGAAGAAAGATGGACCACCCTCAGCAAGGTGCTGGGAAAGTGCTGAGTCCCTGGTAAAATAAAATCTGTTTTCCTCCTTTGGTTTGAATTCCTTGAGTTATTGCAACTTCTTGAAATAGTAAAATCAAAATTGCATCTCATAACAATCTAATGGGTACTTCTTATTTTATAGACTTTTTGAAACATGTCAAGCTCTGGACATTTGAGACAACACTGAACGTCCACATTCTGCAGTCTCTAGAGCTTACGGTGATAAATAAGGTAGCTCTGAAGCCAGTTTGGGGAACTTCTAAGGAAAATGGGCTCAGGGGGTGCTGCTATGTCTTGGTGATCTGGAGCCATATAACCTTAAAAGTTTACAAGGCATTATCCCCTGTTTTTTTAAAAAGTCTTGTTTTTGTGGAATGATCCAAGACTAGAACCATTTTGGAGAATAGTATTTAAAATTCAAAACAACAGATTCCCTCAAAACATGAAAAGTAGTAATTTACTCTATAAATTTCTTTTTTAAAAGCTAGCACACATTGACTACAGCACATACCAGCCCTTGTGCTAAGAGATCCCTCGGGGGCCGGGCGCGGTGGCTCATGCCTGTAATCCCAGCACTTTGGGAGGCCGAGGCGAGCGGATTACCTGAGCTCAGTAGTTGGAGACCAGCCTGGGCAACACGGCGAAACCCCGTCTCTACTAAAATAGAAAAAATTAGCAGGGCGTGGCAGCGTGCGCCTGTAGTCCCATCTACTCAGGAGGCTGAGGCAGGAGAATTGCTTGAACCTGGGAGGCGGAGGTTGCAATGAGCTGAAATCACGCCACTGCACTCCAGCCTGGGAGACAGAATGAGATTCCATCTCAAAAAAGAAAAAAAAAAGAAAGAAAAAAAGAGAGAGAGATCACTTAGTCCTCACAGCACTCAATGAGGCACATGTTCTTATCCTCCATTTTATAAGTGAATAAATTCAGGCTCGGAGAGTTTAATAAGTAATGGTGGCAGGATTTGAACTCAACACCGGGAGTTTATTGCTATGACATGCTGCCACCCCTTGAGAAATAACAAGGTAGACACACTGGTGTGGTGCCTCGGTTTCCCTCTACTGATGAGTCACAACAAAACCACCACTCCATTAAACATAATGTCCATAATCATCATACCTCTATTCTTTTACCAATCACTTCAATTATGTAAGGCGTGTGTTTCTAGGGGAGAAAGTGCTTAATCACTTTTGCCCTTAGCAATGGTAGCTCATTCAGTATTCTGGCATTATTGTGCTATACAAATTTTAATGCTTACAAAGGTGATTTTTCCCAATTCTTTTAAAAATGCAGATACATTTACTCTCACAAAAGACTCATAATAAACAATCTGGAAACCATTTGTTCATTTGTGATTTTTTAAATTATAGCTGTTGTGTGTGTGTGTGTGTGTGTGTGTGTGTGTACATTTTACATATATAATATTTTAGTGTTTATATTGTGTTTTAGTATTTATATGTGTATATATAAAGGATGAAAAATAACAATGCAAATAAGATTGAATTGCTTTTCATTTTACCTTCTAAAAACCTGACACACAGAGCACATCTTTGTGCTTCAGGCAACCAATGTGCTCTCTTATCCTCCAGATAACCACTGTATTTATTATTTAGACCAGTAAGGGAACCGAGTTCAACTTTCTTACTTAAGTTCTTATAAGTCTATCCTTTTCCATACAAGCAAACAAGGCATTGTTTCTAATACACATACATGGAAATGTGAATCAAGTGTAAACCAAAAATAAAATTCTAAACCCCGCGACCATCTGAATGGACCCCTCGTCTCTGCCAAGAGCATTCCAAAGTTAACCTGAGAAACTAGTTCAAACCATGATGGGAAGGGGGAGCCAGACTTGCCTCATTCTCCCCTCCTCCGTTTTGGAATTACTGATAGAACAGACTTTAAATCTAATAAGAAACATTAACAATCTATTCTCTCTGAAAGCCTGCTACCTGGAGGATTCTTCTGCATAACAGGAACTCTGGTCTCCACAACTCCTTATCTTAACCCAGACATTCTCTTTTATTCATTTTAGGTTTTTAGACAATTAATTAACTTTTTCATCCAACTGCCAATCCGAAAAGTCTTTGAATCCACCTCTGACCTGGGAGCCCCCGCTTCCAGTTATCCCACGTTTCTGGACCAAACCAAGGTACATCTTACATGTATGAATTGATGGTTTATATCTCCCTAAAAGGTATAAAACCAAATTGGAGTCTGTCTACCTTGGGCACATGTTCTCAGGATCTCTTGAGGGCTGTGTCATGGGCCATTGGTCACTTATATTTGGCTGAGAATAAATCTCTTCAAATATTTTACAGAGTTTGACTCTTCATCAACACAACTTTCAAGTTTGAAATTTTCTGTTTTCACAAATCATAATAATTCAGCCTCACTCAAATGAAGGGAATAAGCACAAGGAAGCTATGTTGAAACATTCTCCTGAAGTTGCTAATAGTTCATCTTCTACACAATTGTGAAATGTAATAATAATAATAATTGCGGTACTTATTCACCAATAATTACCATTTTCTCATGTTTACCAATTGCAGTAGTTTCCCGCCAAACACAGAACTGGCAATATATAACATATTTTCATTGCCCCAATTAATGCAGAAAAAAAGCTAAATCATTCTCTGGGCAACCTGCAAGAGATACTCAAATCAACCTTGGAAAGAGTGCCTGTCTCTTGTTTTATACTAATTGCCATGTAAATTAACAAAAAGCACAGCCCACCAGCAAGGAAAATGAAGGTTTCTTCACAGACCATCAACAAAGTCGCCTCTAGAAGCCTAAATAACATCATGCTTGTTTCTTTAGACAATAAAATGCCAAAGTTTTTCTTTTGCTGTCAGCAAATGATGAATACATGTGGTACCGATTATTTAATACCACTAGACCACCAGGGAAGAAGATTTAGATGAACTGCAGCAGAACTATGCCATTTATTTTTATTACCATGCATTAAAAATTACGTTTACAGATAATTGTTTTTCTCCTTCCAATAAAGCAAGATTAAAAAAAAAACCCGAAGAATATTTAATAATACTGGACCACCAGGGAGGAATTTTAAAAGTTGATTTTTTTATTGAAAAATTAGATTTGCTTTTTAAATTTTTCCAATTATTTTTAAGTGCAATTTGTGAAGAAATTATTTTAAACCAGAGTAGTATAGTGAGTTTTCTGCTGGGGGAGTGTCTCACAGATTAAGTTACTCCTTTACAAGGGTAATCACCTAATCAAATCAGCCCTCAGAATCACCAGTTTTAAAATTGCTGTGTAACTGTCTGCATGTTTTAAATTCTGTTCTACCACACATCCTCATAGGTTTCTATGAGGGCCCAGGTTTCTAAAACCCTCAAGTAAAATTAACTCTTGATTTTTTTTCCTAGCAACTTTGTACTAGACAGAGAACATTTTTCCATTTACCAGTCACTTAAAAGGAGTGTGAGGAGCACAAGGAGGAGGAACAGTAACAACAGCAGAGTGAGAGAAGAAAAGGACCCAAAAAGAGGGAAAAAAGAGAAAAAAACAAAAGGAAATTAAATTAGGCTCACACAGTAGTTGAAATAATTATTTCTCTAAGCTTCAGCTGGGCATACTTACAATTAGGAGAGGCAGTAATTGCACAGGTTGAGTATCCCTAATCCAAAAATCCGAAATGCTCCAAGATCTGATACTTTTTGAGGATGGACATGACACCCCAAGTGGAAAACTCCACACCTGAGCTTATGTGATGGCAACTAAAACCCTGTCAAAACTTTGTTTCTTGCTCAAAATGATGTAAAATAGTAGATAAAATTTTACAGACTATGTGATAAGGTGTATGGGAAACATCAATGAATTTTGTGTTTAGACTTGGCTCCCATCCCCAAGATATCTCATGTATATGCGAATATTCCAAAATATCAAAAAATCCAAAACCCAAAACACTTCTGGCCCCAAGCATTTCAGATAAGTGACATTCATTCTCCTTTCCTCCACTCCTTGCCCCCACCCTTTTTCCTCCTTTTTTCCCCTCTTCTTATCTTTCCATCTTTCTCTCCTCCTCCCTCTCTTCTCCCTTTCTTCCTCTCCCTCTCCTTCTGCCTTCCTTTTCCTCTCCCACTCCTTTCTCCCTCTCTCCCCAAAATGCACGGTCCTAGAGTTAAAGTCTTCTAAGCTAATCTTACATCAATATCAGAATGCCAGGCCAGGCGCGGTGGCTCACGCCTGTAATCCCAGCACTTTGGGAGGCCGAGGCAGACGGATCACATGAGGTCAGGAGTTCGAGACCAGCCTGGCCAACATGGTGAAACCCCGTCTCTACTAAAAATACAAAAATTAGCTGGGCATGGTGGCATGTGCCTATAGTCCCAGCTACTCTGGAGGCTGAGGCAGGAGAATCACTTGAACTCGGGAGGCAGAGGTTGCAGTGAGCCAAGATCGTGCCACTACACTCCAGCCTGGGCGACAGAGCAAGACTCCATGTCCTCCTCAGCATCCCTCACAGATGCCAGCCAACTAGCTGACTGGCCCCAAAGGTAGGCCTCTCCTTTGCTAGAAACCCTCAGTCCCCAAGTTGAGAGAAGTTACTTGTCTCCCCGTAACTCTCACTTTGGGTCCTACTGCCGCTCCCTGAAGAAATGAAAAGAAAGCAGAGTGGTTCTCAGGATAGTACTGCAAATCTATCAGCCATCCCCAAACCACCCCTGCAGAATATGCACTGTTACTTTTGCATATGAATTGTATGTGACAAAAGCAGTTTCTCTTTTCTGGAGCTGAAATCAGTTAGGGAGGTAGAAAGACACACACACACACACACACACACACACACACACACACACACCACACATACCTCAAGTCTGGCTTTCCAAAAGGAAAGCTTCTTTCTCACTGGTTCTTAGGGTAAAAAAAGAGACCACAGCCAGACCCAGACAAAATTATGAAATCATTAAAAGCTGGCTTTGGCTCTTCCCGCTTCTCCAATTCAAAGGTATAATTCCATCCATCATCATACTGTCTGCTAAAATATCCTAATTTATTAAAAAAACTTTGTCAAATATTAGTTTAAGTGACTCCAGTTTCTGGTGGAGTTTGTGCCTCTAATTATACAGTGCCCATTCACATGATTATTTTCAGGGATATAGCTCCTTTAAGACTGAGGTCTGTTATAGAACTACAAACATGCCTTTACATAAACTGAAACACTATTTCAGTGCCAAAGGTTTCATTTGTCTTGAGAAGCCAAGAATGTTCCTACAATGTAGGACAACTTCGGATCACACAGTGAATCTCTGTGGGAACCATCTGGTTTGGATATAGGTTCCTTTGATTTTAGGGCTGGCTTCACTACAATGCAGTTTGCTTGCTGTGCTCAGTTCCTTCTAAAGTGAAAAAAGCACAAGCTGGCTGTAGACAGATTGGGTCAGGGCTGATTGGCATTGAACCTGTTCTTGAAGTGTGCAGCCCCCAGCCAGTGGGAGCCGTGTGTGCCCCATAGCCAGGCTCTAGGAAGGCCACTGAGCATGGCCTTTACACTGGGCCCTGGCACAAGGACCTCCTCCTGACTTCAAAGCACTTAGTCTTCTCTGCTGCCATAAAGCCAAAACTAACCCGCCTCTATCATTTCTCCTATGCAAGGAAATTGCTGGCCCTCCTGTCTCACCTAAGCTATTCTTCTGGAACATTTGCCTTCAGACCTCACTTCTCTGGCTCCCATAAGCAGAGCTCTAGGATCTCTGTGGGCCTCCAAGCAAAGGTTCAAAGAAGGAACAGGGATCAAATGCAAGCCTGGTCTTGCCAGTCCCCCACTTAGAACAGTTCTTTGGCTCCCTGTTGCCACCAGGGCAGCTTCAGACTTCTTTCACAGCGTATAGAAGCATTCTCCAGCTTCAGTGTCTCACAGAATTAATCCCTCAAGCACAAGGACTTCTGGGGACTTAATGATGTCTGAGCTTTTGCATGTGCAGTTTTCTTGCCAGGCCTCTTACTAAGAATTTCTTCCCATCTGCATCAGCAAGATTAACATGAGAACCTTAATGAAGGCAGAGCTCTAAGAAGCATCTCAGGTAACTCTTGGAGGAAGCATTTTATGTCTAGAACAAATGTCTCCAGATTTGTGTGATGTGGGAGAGGAAGGAGAAGACAAGACAAAGTCAAGGCAGCATGAGGGTTTCAGATTGTCAATGCCATGGACAGGGAGGCCCCTGTGACAGCTCAGGGATTGTGGTGCACTTTTGGGCATCAGGTTCTCCGATCACTGCATGAATGTGTTGGCCAAACATGCTTTCCTATTGTCTTAGTCCACTTGAGCTACTGTAACAAAATACCATAAACTGAGTGGCTTATAGACAACAGAAATGTATTTCTCACAGTTCTAAAAGCTGGGAGGTCCAAGATCAGGGTGCCAGAAAATTCAGTGTCTAAGGAAGCTTCACTTTCTGCTTCATAGATGACACCTTCTCACTGTGTTCTCACATGGGATAGGACAAGGTAGCTCTCTGGGACCTCTTTTATAAGTGCACTAATCCCATATTTGAAGGTTGTGGCCTCATGACCTAATCATCTCTCAGAGGCCCCAGCTCCTAATACTGTCACCATGGGGATTTGGTAAAATGTGAATTGTGGGGAGACACAAACATCTAGACCATAGCACCTGTGACCAGCTTGGCACGTTTTTTTCATCTGGCTTACAACAACTTAACTTACTAGAACATGGGCCACTGAACTGGAAATCAACTATGATTGAAATAATATAATAATAAAGCTACTACAACAATAACAAAAACCAATATGCCTCAAATTTGAATGATGCTTCCCATCGTAAGGGACTTTCACAAACATCTTACTTGAGCCACACAACAACCCTCCTGTGAAGCAAGTGATCTTATCCTTATATAACAGATGAGAAAACTGAGGCTCTGGAAGAATAAGTGATTGGCCAAAGGCTACATAACTCATAGATGGCATTAGTGTTCTAAGTATATGTCTTCATATCGGGTCCTGTGCTCCTTCTGCTATACTTTGCCAATTTTCACTAGGACTGAAATCAACAGCAAACTGTTAAAGTAGAAGCTTAATTCTCTGATCAGGACTCGAACTCAGTTCAACAAATGTCTGTTCAGCCTCAACTCTAAACCTCCACCGGCACTACCTCTCAACATTTCTCACAGATCACAAAGCCCTCAGGGCTTTCAATTGTCAAGGCTCCTATTTTATTAAAACAAAATACATTGTGTTAAAACAGTTGTAAACACTGTGACTTTTTAAATATTTATAATTAACAATGTTCTGAACACACATGCAGACAATTACAATGACTGGATATAGATAACTCACTTGGAAATAAGTCTAAATAAGAGCTCTCGGGCAAGGCGAGACATTCCTGGCCCTTGGACCCTACCTGTGCCAAGAAATGCCTAATACACTAGAGAATCCAAACATCCTTAGATTCTAAAATGGTTTTTATGCAAAAAGATAGAATTTCAAAGATTTTGGGTAAGTTCCCAAATTGCCTAACTTTGTGATTAATAAAGGCCAGGGTCCCTGGGAAAGAACACTGGACCAGGAGTTCAGAGACATAGGTTCTAGACTCAACTGTTCTGAACTAGCCGGGAAACTACGAAGAGAATGTGCAATCACCAAAACAAACAAGCTCTGACTTCAGGAGCAAAACCAAAATGAACAACAGCAAATGGCAGTAACTTGGAGACTGGCTGCACCCAAAAGGGCATTTTGTTTTACATGATGCATGGGACCATTGTGAATTTTCATCAACACTCACGCACAGAAATTTCCAGAGCAAACATTCCTTGGAAATAAAAACTGCAGTCCTAGATGTCATCATTTTCCCTAGGCTGTGAGCTGCTGAGATGACTGCATTCTGTATGGGCCTCCACAAGGGGTTTAAGAAATCTTGATTTGCCCAAGGATGCTAATCAAGCCTTGAGGCTTAGAGTCATGGGCTTTTGTGCTGATATGCTGTGTCGGTTTTAAATCAGAGTGCCTACTTGGAGTGCGGCTGAACCCTGTTATTAAATCCCCTTTTGTTCTGCGTGCACATCCATCAATCTTATCTTACAAATCAAATAGAGAAGGAATAGCATGGTTATAATCTCTGTTAGCTGTTTCCAAATATCTAGTTAGATGCCCTATACAATGTCTACCTATAAATATTCTTTAATAATATAGCGAAGTTTATCTCAACAGTGTTTACACTACCTTTTTGCATTAAAACAATGCCCTGCAATCTCTTCTGGTTTTAATATCACTTAGACTGTAGGACTTGCTTCGAATTAGAGTATTTTCTGATTATTTGGATTATATCCAAGCCAAGATAGTTTTATTATAAATAAGGAAAAGAGTCATTTATTACCCATGCCAGATAACTTTAAAAATTCCAAACTCATAAATATATTATTACTTGTGTTACTAATTTGAAAGCTGGGCAGAGGGTAAGTGTCTCCCAGTTAACTGCTCCTTCTCTCTTTTAGAAAGAGAATCCCCTCCCAAGTTTTAGCAAGGCACAGAGCCACCTAGATAAAGACTGTATCTCTCTGCCTCCCTTGCAGCTACATATGGCCATATGACTAAGTTCTTATAAATATGATGTGAGCAGAAATGTGTGCAACTTCCAGTTCTTGACTTATAAGAACCCTAAGTCTTCACTCTTCTCTCTCTTTTCCTCCCTTCCCATGGCTGGAATGTAAACTTAACATAAGTTTCAATCAGGCAGACATGGACACAACCTTGGGACTAACAGAGCAACAAGAGAGAAGCAACCTCAATTCTGGGATGACTCTGGCCCCCTTGCTTTTCTGTAGGCTGTTATATGAAATAGAAATGGACATTCATCTCAACTAAGCCACTACATTTTGTTATGGCAGTTTACTAAATAACCTAATACAGTAACTTTAATTTAAGCTTGGACTGTAAGGCTCTTTTTCCTACAGAGAATCATACTTTCTCATGTGTTTTTCTTACTGTATACACAGTCATAAAAATAAACATTTTAATAGTATTATATGCACATAGGAATCAGCACAGTGTAGTGTTTAAAAGTGAGGGGTCTGATATTAATCCCCAGAACTCAAATATTGTCACTGCCACTTACCAAGCATTATGTGACCCTGGGAAAATTACTTACCTCAGTTTCATTATCTATAAATGTAATCATGACAATACCTAGCTCATAGGGTTGTGGTGAAAATTAAATAATAATGCATATTGAGAATATGATAAGTTCTCAGTAGACGTCAGCTCTTATGATGATGATGACATTATTGCTACGTCTAAATGACAAATTTAGGTAGCCATATAGGACATAAAGTACTATGAGGTATAGCTTCAATTTGTTCAGACTCTGAAAAAAGATAAGGTGAAGCAAATTTTTAATCCTGCAAATTTGAAAAACCTCACTGTTGAACTATCTTCCTCCTTTTTTCCCCAATGAAGCATCTCTTTCTTATTTTTATTCCCTAATTTCTAAACTACCAGCCAAGCAAGAATGAATGTCTTGTCATCAACTCCTATGTTTACCTAGGTATTTTCATTCTGAGCCTTTGTTCAGGGACTCCCAAGCAATGTATTTTAGGTAAAAGAAAAAAAAAGGTATTTGGTGGTACCTCTTCTAAGTTCAGATTGAAGCTCAGTTTGTCCCTGTTTGTCACTGGTTCCTCATTCTGCACTACTGCTCAGTCATCATGCTTTGCCCTCAAACTCTCCAGACCCCTAGACACTTGGCTTGAGGCATAAAACAAATACTATCTGTTCAGGAACTTCACATCTGAGGAGTGGAAAGAGTTAAAGAGGGTAGACAGAAATGAGATAATGACCAAACACTGGCCTTTCAGCCCTGGGATTGGGGAAGTTTGGGAACTAGTGGGGAAGGAGGAAAGAGAGCATTGGGAATAGTGGATAGTTGGCCATGATAAGATCTAGGACACATGTTTTAGGTATAAGGGCTGTTGATGATGGCAATGGTAAAATGAGGGATGATTAAACACTGAAGCATAATAGAGTAACTGTTAGCATAAATACCTATTTGGGGAAATCCTGTCCCTTGCAACAAGATGGATTAACCTGGAAGAAATGTTAAGTGAAATAAGCCAGAAACAGAAAGACAAATATCACATGATCTCTTTTATATGTGGAATCTAAAAATGTCAAACTCATAGAAGCAGAGAGTTTAGTAGTGGTTATCAATGGCTAGGGTGGGGAGCCGGGGATAGACTGGAGAGATTGTGATCAAAGGATACAAAATTTCAGTTAGAATGGAGAAATAATTCCAAAAGATCTATTGTACAACATGGTGACTATAGTTAATACAATGTATTGTATTCCTGAAAATTGCTGAGGGTAAATTTTAAGTGTTCTCATCACAAAGAAATAAGTATGTTAATTAGCTCAATTTAGCCTTCCACAAAGTATACCTATTTCAAAACATCATGTTGTACATCATAAATATACACAATGTTTATTTGTCAATTAAAGTAAATACATTTTAAAAAGATATCTGTTACATATCCTAGAGTATTGACACTAGACAAAAAAACCAAATTGCAGAGTTTTATAAATCATAAGGTTCCAAAGGTGAGGTATTAATAAGGATGATGATGATGGTTGAAATAGACACTGTGACAATACCTGTGGTGCCCAACTTCTCCCCTTAGACTAGCCTCCCTTGCTCATAGCAGAACAGCTCTTCCAAGTATTACTTTATCCCATTCCCTCTGGCCAGAGACGATTAGACCAGTAATCTACAACAGGCCTATCAGATTGCTTCTCTACAATATATGGTTACTCAACAATTGGTTTCCACTGTTGGCTCTGGTAGACTAGACTTGCATCAAACTAACCTTCTCACCAAGAGCAGCTAGATGGGCTAAAATACCAAACAAAAAAATTAAAATGAAATGAAAGAGCTACCAAGATTCAAACACCCAAGGACTAAGATACTGGAGATAAGGAAAAGAAAGCACAGAAATTAGCCTGACAGTTGGCAATACCTTTCTCATTGAGGCATTTTAACTATCAGCTAAGAGGCTGAAAAGCTGAGAAGAGCTTTCTGCTGCTGAGACAAAAAAAAAAAAAAAATCAAAGTTCAGGGCCCGCCAAGAATAAGGGTCCTAAAAACACCCCAAACATCTGGTTAGAATCACTGAAAGTCTTCACCCTAAGAATAAGAGGTAACTAGAAATAAGCAATCTCTGTAAAGACTTAAACACAAATTTGAATTAGTTCAATCTAGATTGGATTAAGATAATTAGTCTCTATACTAACAGCTAATGTGTGAGCATAAGAAGCAAAAGCATATTCTCTCTGGGGGGTGATAACATCATCCAGACCCTCAAATGATCTCTTCAATTTTTCACATACAATGCTCAGCATTCAGCAAGAGACCATTTAACCAAACCAAGAAAAGAAAATATATCAGACAATAGAAATAAACCTCAGGAGATCTAGATAATGGAGTTAGTCATTTACTCACCAATTTACTGCATACCTACTAAAGATCATGAGCTTAGCTAGGCAATGAGAATACACTGATGAGAAAAATAGTTACGGTTCCTGCCTTCATGGAGCTTATAGTCTGGTGGGAGAGATCAATAATAATCTTTCATAGGAATTAAGATAAAGAGTCGGTGAGAGTCCATCAGATGGTGACAGGCATGGAACTGTGGGATCATATAAAGTCGTGGGCATAGAAACAAGAGCCTTACAAAGAAAGCTGACCTGCCAAAGAGGAGCATGAAATATATTCACAGAAAATAAGCAAAGAGGAAACAATATGCAGGCCCAGAGAGAGACACAGAGAGAGAGAGTGAGACAGCAGCTTCCTAGTGGCATTCTAGTTCCTGGGAAGCCCAGGCACATTTCTCATGACTGGTGCCATGAAATTGGTCCTATACCCTTTTAATCAGCACTATTTTGACTGGAGCTTCCCTAAGTAAATTTCTTTTCCTTGTAACAGATATGATCTCTGACAAAGACAGGAGTCATTTATGTGACCTGGGAACTATTATGATAACTGTCATAGAGCCAAAAAGGGAAAAGATATAAATTAAATCTGTCAGATTAGCTTATTGTTAATTTCATCTGATTACACTGGAAAACAGTACACATACGTGGTCAGACTTACACAGTGTAGTCATATGCCAATAGTGTGAAGCAATTAGAAGGAACAGCAGGCACCAAGCAGTGGTGATTCTGTGTCCAAACACAAACAAGATTGCCTCCAAAGAAGTCAGTTACCTGCTTGACAAGTAAAAATCTAAATGCAGCGTTTAAACAAGTTATATTATATTGCATTCCTTGATCAAATCATAAAATATGTCCCTAGTGTTTTTAGCCATGTAGTTGTCCTTTGTCTGGAAGTATTTTATTGTATTTCATCTGTGCAAATCCCTATCTTTTGCTTCTCCTCCTGCCACCTGTGGCTTCAATTAGAAGACCCCTCCGTCCAAACTTCGTGTATTCAAAGCTGTCTAGGAAGACAGTGGTACACAAAGGCACACAGGGCAAAGGCACATGAAGGCACAGGGATGCAGAAGAGAGATGTGCAGAAAGGTGGAATGGGATTTGGGGGTTATCAAAGCCACACCAAAACTAATTTAAAAGTAATATAAGAAAAAGGACAGTAAGCAACTGGCCATGTTTAAATTTCAAGAGGCAGAATTTCAGCACTCTCTTGAAACCATGACCAAATATCCTGTGATGATGGCAATTATATTTTCTCCTCGCTCATTGTAGCTTGTTTGAAGCAGGCCAGCTTATATTTATTTACAGGTTCATATCTGGCTCCCCTGTACACATACACCTACAAACATATAATTCATAAATTTTAATCAGCAGTAAGAAAAAGAAGGAAGAAAGGGGAAAAAGAAGCAAATGTCTTCTGTTGGCTCATTCAGCATAGCACAGTTTGAAATTTCACCCATAAATATGTCAGTTTCTTTTTTCCCCATCCAAATCCACAAAAAAAAAAATGAAACAAAAGAAGCAAGCCTTTCTAAATAAAATGAGCTAAAATTAGCAAGCGTCAAAGATGATGCCAGTTGCCCAAGGCAACAAATGTTTGATGGATGGAATAATTAAGATCGACGGTAAACTAATCTCTGTTCCTTTATTGAAAACAAAGTCCCCTGAATCAATTAGCCTTGTCATGGACACCTTTTGTAAAACAGCCATGACATCCTGACCATTTCTCTTTGTTTATGGATTTGCCCACACTTCAATAAGTGCAGGGGCTGATTTCAAAAGCACAACAGATAACAATGGAGGATTCTGATACATTAGGCATTGCACAAGCAGAGTCACTGTCCTTGAAAAAATATAAATGTCATAGACAAAGTAGTCGCAGAAGATTTCAGGTATTCTCAAAGACATATCATCAAAGTTTTGCTCTTAATAAAGTCTAAAAACCTTTTACACAGGGCAAACATGTACCTGTTAGGATGGAGATCGAGTGGCCTACCCTCATAAATGATGGAGTTGGGAGACCAAACGGTCATACTGGGGCTTGTACTCACATGGTCATTTTGGGCTCTGAGACAAAAAGAGAAAGCCAAGAAGCTAAAAGAGACAAAAGGAAAATATTTCTAGAAAAGAGGGTAGGAGGGGGTGCTAACATTCTACACCACACACACCAACTGCAGCTACTGCAGTCATCTCCCTCAAGTTAGGGAATAAATCGAAAATATTAGAGATGGCCAAGCAGAACTGTGCCCTGGCTTCGAGTGCTTTCGTGACCTGAATTAAAGCAATGGTTGCTATGGTCACATAAGAATCTGAGGGACTCCTACAGCTAATCAAAGGGCTTGGGGCAGAGTGTTATGATTTAAACATAAAACCATTTTTGAGTTGTTTTTATAGAAAATCTTGCTTATGTTATTTGTCTACTTTCCTGTTTCTTCTTTTTTTTTTTTTTGATGGAATCTCACTCTGTCACCAGGCTGGAATGCAGTGGTGCAATCTCGGCTCACTGCAAGCTCTGCCTCCCGGGTTCAAATGATTCTCCTGCCTCACCCTCCCGAGTATTTGGGACTATAGGTACATGCCACCACACCCAGCTAATTTTTGTATTTTCAGTAGAGACAGGGTTTCACCATGCTGGCCAGGATGGTCTTGATCTCTTGACTTCATGATCCGCCCACCTCGGCATCCCAAAGTGCTGGGATTACAGGCGTGAGCCACTGCACCCGGCCTCCTGCTTCTTTTTAAGTGCAGCAAAAGAAAGTCATCTAATGTTTATTTGATAATATAGGCTCTTGGAGTGCTTTGGAAGCATTACTTCTGAATATCCTGGTTGGATAAGTTTATAAAATACTGGTTTAAACAAAGTTTAAAGGCTTTCTTTCCTGCAGAACATTTCAGAGCCTTTAATGTGAGTATGTGAATTGAAAATAGAGTTGGGAAGTGCTCCAGTACATAGTGTTTCCAAATTTTTGGAGCATAAAATCTTTTTTTCACAAATATGTCATGGGACAATTATTTCACAAAATACACTTCTAGAATCCTGTTTTATGTCCTATTTTAGAACATAAATACAAATGTAAAAGGTGCATGAGATTAGGCTGAATAGATACGACTTAAGGATATGTCTTATAAACTGCCCTTTAAAAATTTATATACCAGTTTCACTATAGTGGTGAGAGGAAGGAGAATGGAGTTATTCGATAAAGTTACTTGCCGTTTTATCCTAAAATAGCCAGATGCCAAAAATAAAAGCTCAGCAACTTAGGATCTTGAATTACTTGATTGCTTTTTTTAAATAAGACTTCATTGTAACAGTAATAACACAGGAAAATGTTTATATGTAAACATATTCATTCCATGAATGTATCTTGCAATTTTTGTTTGTGATATTTTTATCACACTGCTCTAAGATGAAAAGATAAAGCTCACAGACATCAAAACTAAAACCAAGTAATCCTGACTTGCTCCAAAAAGTTGGCATCTGTCACAAATGTGCTAACCCAGGTCATATGTAATACATCATTATTTTTGAGGTGAGAAAATACCTAGCAAATCACAAGAGTGGGGTGAAGTAAGCTGGGGCCATTTCACCTCCCACAGAGAATGATAAAAGAGAATAATAATAGGTTTTGCCTCATTGTAGAAGATCAGACCCTTTAAAATTGTCACCGATGGAAGTAGATTGTTCCACTTAATTTTTTAAAATAAACATTTATTTTATGCAGATTTTAAAAGTAATATAGGAAGCCTGGAAGTCACAGGACATTATTAAGAGACACAAAACTAAACTAGAATCAAAAGTTTGCAATCCACTCTGAGCATATTGGTGTCTGTACCTTTGAATGCCTATTATTTTGCAGAGTTAGATCACACTGTGTATCTTTGTATCCTATTTGTTTCCTTCATTTACTGATGATCTGAGGCATTTTCCCATGTCTTAAAAGCTCTTGGAAAACATCATTTGAAATGCCTGTTATGGTTTCAAGCCATTGATACGCCCATTACAAGGCTGGGTGCAGTGTTTACACAATCCCAGCACTTTGGGAGGCCGAGGAGAGCAGATCACTTGAGGTCAGGAGTTAGAGACCAACCTGGCCAACATGGTGAAACCCCATCTCTACTAAAGATACAAAAATCAGACCGGGCGGGCCGGGCGCGGTGGCTCACGCCTGTAATCCCAGCACTTTGGGAGGCCAAGGTGGGTGGATCATGAGGTCAGGAGATCGAGACCATCCTGGCTAACAAGGTGAAACCCCGTCTCTACTAAAAATACAAAAAATTAGCCGGGCGCGGTGGTGGGCGCCTGTAGTCCCAGCTACTCGGGAGGCTGAGGCAGGAGAATGGCGTGAACCCGGGAAGCGGAGCTTGCAGTGAGCCGAGATTGCGCCACTGCAGTCCGCAGTCCGGCCTGGGCGACAGAGCGAGACTCCGTCTCAAAAAAAAAACAAAAAAAACAAAAACAAACATCAGGCCGGGCACAGTAGCTCACGCCTGTAATCACAGCACTTTGGGAGGCTGAGGCAGGCGGATCACGAGGTCAGGAGATGGAGACCATCCTGGCTAACACGGTGAAACCCCGTCTCTACTAAAACCACAAAAAAATTAGCAGGACATGATGGCAGGCGCCTGTAGTCCCAGCTACTCAGGAGGCTGAGGAAGGAGAATGGCATGAACCCAGGAGGCGGAGCTTGCAGTGAGCCCAGACTGCGCCACTGCACTCCAGCCTGGGCAACAGAGTGAGGCTCCATCTCAAAACAAACAAACAAACAATATATATATATAGAGAGAGTGTGTATGTGTGTGTATATATATATAGTGTGTGTATATATATGTACACATATATATACACACACACACAAAAATTAGCCGGGCATGATGGTGCGTGTCTATAATCCCAGCTACTCAGAGGACTGAGGCACAAGAATCACTTGGAACTGGGAAACAGAGGCTGCAGTGAGCCGAGATAGTGCCATTGCACTCCAGCCTGGTCACCAGAGCAAGACTGTCTCAAAAAGAAAACAACAACAACAACAACAAAATGCCCATTACAGACAGCATTTAGCAACATGTGGCTCTATTTTCCTTCCCTCCTGAGACCTCACCCTGGTGGAACCTTCTTGGCCACACAGCTACCACCTGCTGTCAGTAGACAGGCTTTGGAAGCAAGACTGTTGAATATTCACTATACAGAAATAAGCCTTTTCTTCTCCATGGTCAATTTCACAGGCCAAAGCTGCAGCTTTCTTTCCAATTGAAATGTAAAAGTTACCCTTAGGCCTAAAGCACTGTTTGCTTTTGCCAAACTCACCAAATGCAGGAATCATCTGTCCAGTGGCACAAGGCAGAAATGGCTGAACCTCCCCTCTGAGCACTGTGATATGACCAAGCCTCAATGCTGCAGGAAGCATGGCTGCTGGAGAAATCAGTGAATCACAAGGTAGAGTTTTACTACCGGCAAGTGTATGTGCCTCCGGCCATTTAAAGTCCCTCTTTGTAAATAAATACATCCAATGGTGAAAAGAAAATGAGTCTTCTTATATTTTTTTCACGGGATATGGGTCCCATGAGAAGTAATACAAAAATTCTATTATCAGTATAGGCAGTGGTAGGGAAGCTTCCACTAACCATTCAAAATGCTGTCCATTAACTAGGATGGGGCCATCTGTTGGAGAGAGAGGGCAGTTCACGTTGAGTGGCTATTCCTCCTTCCTGGTGGGCTATGGCTGGAAACTTCCAAATGCCTTTTCCTGGGGTCAGGACAAGCCATCGGTAGGAAATAACTTTGAATCACTACTCATGTGGGCTGGATATGAACCAGCCCCCTACAAAGGCCAATTTCCACAGAACAGCACTAAACTCCAGGCCCTGCCAGCTGCCCACAGCCCAGGCTGCTGACACTTTTATTTGCTGGCATTTACAATGTTGCAGCCGCCGAGTCCTGCTAATGTGGCTGCTTCCAACACAGCTCTTAGGCAAAGATTACTTTGCAAGGAAGGCAAAAGGATGCTTCTCTGGGGTAAGGGACCTCTACCAGTCCTGTTCATGCCGAAGGGAACTGCATTGTCTCAAAAGCAAAGCAAAAGCTGAAAACTGGCTAGTCTTCGAGTATTTTTTGCTTTACAAAGAATGCGATTATCTCACACACACACACACACACACACACTAAACACACCTGTTAAGGTGCTTATCATTATTTTTTTCCTTCTACCTGTAATGAAGAAGAGAAACTTGCCATTTAAAACTACATCTGCCTTCTAAAGACAATGGTCCTATTAAATGGAAGGTGGGCATCTGCAAAGGCTGGCCATGGCCCAGTCATTGGGCTGAACTTTATACACATAAAGATGGATGTGGAGTCCAGTTTGGAAGGAAACATGGAGCAGTAGAGCTTAAATTCACTGTATTAGAGACAGAGGGAAGAATCTGGCTGCCATTGTGAGAGAGAGGTGCAGAGGTATAGATTATGGATGAGCAAAAGCAGAGGAGAGAGCGAGTGCTGGAGAAAAATCCTGATGGTGGGATGGACAAGAGGGCATTTCCCACAGAAATGTCTTCACTTACTTGCTGTGAGATAATCTTGGGACCTGCAAACCTTCAGTGAAAATGCTGCTAAGTGCAATAGCTTCATGGATATGCTATAGTTGACTGAGAGAGCTAAAATTTATTGAGACCTACTATATCTTAAACTCTTTGTACTTTATACATATGAACAAATTGAATCATTGCAAAGTACGATGAGGTAGTGCTATTATTATCATTATCACAATCATTTCCATTTCACAAATGAGGAAACTGAGACAGAGAGAAGTTGGCAAGCTAGTAAATGGCGCGATCGGGGAGGAGAGATACTTGACCTTAGATGGTAGGGTTCCAGGGCTACATCCTATACCACTGCAGTGAACTGCACCATGCTAAATTAAGGGACAATAACAATTCATTGCAAAGGGGAAATTGGGGCCAGAAATGATAAGCCCTTAGAGACCGTCAAAACACCTTAGAAAGGTCATTGGTCCCCAGATCTTATTGGGTAGGATGATCCTAGCTTTGCGTTACATACGCTTCTTTTCATGAGTCATTGATTCAACATATATTTAATATACCTCCTACAAGGTGACTGGCACTGCATTTGGCATGAAAAAAACTTGAACAGGGCAGGCTTGGCTCTTGCCCCCATAGAGCTTACAGCCTAAAAAAGAAATAGACAGATGGAAAGTCCATGCCAATATAATATAAACATGTTATGATAAAGTATAGTGTGCTTTAGAAATACACATATACTTGGAAGGCCAAGCAAGCAAGGCTTTGGGGTGGGAGGGTGGCGGGAACTAAATTGGGCCCTAAAAACTAAATCAGAATCAGCCAAGAGGAAGGAGGACAGAGAGAATTCTAGGCAAAAGAACCAGCAGGTATAAAGACCCAGAAGCAAGATAGGCCACAGTTTGGTAGAGCTGGAACCATTCAGGAGACAAATGAAAAAGAAATACATTTAGATAGGTAAGCTGGGTCTGGATTGTACATGCCACATAAAGAAGTCAGAGTTTATTATAGGGCTGATGAAAAACCATTATAGGGTTTTGTGGAAAAGAGGATATGATTTATTCAGGCATTTGACAAATATTTATTGAGCACCTACTAAGTGCCAGGCACTGCTGTGGATGCTTGATATAAATCAATGAAAAAATCAAAGATCCCAGCTTCACATGAGGGATACGGGGGGAAACAACAATTAAACATAAGAAGTAAATTATGTAGAATGTTAGAAGGTGATAGAACTATAAAAAATAAAAAGCAATGAAGGGCAAGTGGATTGGTAGTGAAGATGGGTGAGGTGAGCATAGACAGATGCAATTTTAAATGAAGATGTCAGGGGCAGGCAGGCCTGATGCAAAAGATGATAGCAAAGATCTGAAGGATTTTATTGTTGGTCTCTCTGCTACTCACAATCAACAGGCAAACAGATGATTAGATAGTCAAAGTGAAACCATTTCACATGTGCTTTATGCCCACAAAGTCTTCCCTACTTGACTTGGAGTCTTATTTTGATTCAGAAGCATAAACACTTTATGTCTTAGATTCTAAATTCTAGAGTCTAGTGAATAACCAAAAGTGAAATTTAGCTCTAATCTTGAGTATTTTCATAAGCTACTAATATCATATGTCCCTGCCTTTAACTACTTGAAAGCTTTATACCCCTGTAGCTTCATGTCCATCTCTTTTGAAACACAGCAGGTTAAAAATATTTGATTTACATTTATTTTTTCCTATGGCCATCCAAAAGACTTGCTTTCCACTGGAAGACACAAGCAACCATATTTGGTCAATTTGGTTTCTTTCTTTCCTTTTGTTTTTTTTTGTTTGTTTGTTTTCTGAGTTTATAATCGTCAGGAACAACTGTGTGCATTGCCAATGCCTTCCCCCAAAACTAACAGGGTTCTAACATACAAAACATCTATTCTGCTTCTAAATTTGCTTTTAATTATATTACAAGATGGAAAAAGAAATGCCTTAGCTGTTAACACTGGCTCCGTGGGGCCAACAGTAGACATAGAGCAGACACGAGGAAATACTTCAAAAACAATTTTTTTTTAGTTTGCCATGATTTAATAGCAGATATTCCTGGCTTTGAGTGAACTCTGCAATATCCCTGTGCGACAGGATAAATGATCGTCTACCACTATTAATTTTAGGTCATAATGTCTGAAATGCCGCTTCAAAAATAAATGCAGTATTTTCACTTTATTTGGTCAGGTAAATACTAAACTATTTTGTCATAATAACTTTACAACATTGTGTTTCACCTTGTCTTGCCTTGACTGCTGAAGGTAATAGGGACCATTTTATTATGTCCATAAATTGAGTCAATTGACTTATCCTTATATCCTGTTTCCTGAACTTAACGAGAGATTCTGCATCATTAGGAAAACACACCATCCTGCAGCAGGATCAAAAGCAAAGGAAGCCTGATAATAAGTCACTTTGATTTCAGGGAATGTTCACCAGGCAAACTTTCAATATTCTGGCAGAAGTAAAACAAATAACTGGCTTTGCAAAGCATGGTTTGCTCAGAACTGTGCTTAGGCTGGAAACATCCCAGAAGGTTCCACACACACTAAAGAAAAAAAAAATCACTCTCTCTGAATATGAGCCACTTTTAATGAATCTACAGATTAAGTGGTTTAACATACCTATCAAAGAGCACAAATCAAATTATTAAATATTTTTGCAAGAAAGTTTTAAAAGGGTTTTTTTGCAGTCATAGTTTTAAAAACTAAGACAATCACAATCATATTCTCAAATTACAGCTTATTGTGAGAAATGAAGGCTCATGTTAAAGTCCAACTATTCCTGGCTTATGAGTTCTGAAAACTGGGTTTTTGAATTTTTGGTTTTGGTTTTTTGTTTGGGTATTTTTGTTTCAGTTTGGTTTGGGGGTTTATTTTATTGTTGTGTTTGTTTGTTTGTTTGCTTTCTGAAGTTCTCTGACCCCAGCATGGTGCCTGGTACATGGCTCAATAAATAGTTTTGTTGTGGCATTGTATTAGCCATGACAATGGCAAAGATGGTAAGGTACTGCATTCATTCGAGGATCAGGACCCAGCCCACAAATACCACAAATACCAGTGACAATGATGATAATCAATAATGATTTTAGACCAAGCCATGCCTGTAATCCCAGCAACATGGGAGGCTGAGGCAAGAGGATCACTTGAGGCCAGGAGTTCAAGACCAGCCTGGGCAACATAGTGAAACCCCCATATGTCCAAAAAAAAAAAAAAAAAAAAAAAAAGCTAGCCAGGTATGGTAGCACAGACTTGTGGTCATAGCTACTCTGGAGCTGAGGCAGGAGGATCCCTTGAGCCCAGGAGTTCGAGGTTATAGTGAACTATGATTGCGCCACTGCACTCGAACCTGAGTGACAGAGTGAGACCCTGTCTCAAAAATCAAACAAAAAGATTTTAAATAATAGTTGTCACAGGTTGAACATCTGTGTTGTGCTGAACATTCATCATGGATCACTTCATTTAATCCTCCTCATAACACTGCGATCACTTAGGTACTACAATTATTATTATTACTACAATACTACAGATGAATAAAACATAGCATGAAGAAGTTAAATGTTGTGCCCCAGGTTCATGTAGCAGCTAAGTGGTGTCTGGTTCCAAAGCCTGAACTCCTAAACACTCCTCTACATGGGAAGTCAGGGTCCAAGTCTCACAGGCAGTCATCCATAGCAGGCTCTCCAGCCAGAGACCCAGACAGCCAGGGGAGGCTGGTAGGAAATGAGCAAAGACTCTACATGTGCCAAAGAGCTCATGACAATGGGCAAGGTTGAGCTGAGAGGCAGGTCTCCTGTCTAAGTTAATTGGGCTTATTAGAAACCATACCCCTAGCACCTATATTTTGGACTCTCTATCCCCCTGCACGTCTCTCAGCTGCTGGGACTGTATGAAGACTCTTCTCAAGAGCTATTGGAACTCAGTCCTCATTACCTTAGAGAATTCCCAGATTGTCCCTCAGACATCAAGACTAAAGAATTTTAAGATCTCCAGCTTGATTATAACAAACATGACTAGCATAACTACTCTCTAAACTACTGCTCAAAATGCTTAAGTGCTGAGGACCCAATTCAATTCCATTGAGACTGGGCAATCCTCAGGCAGTTCCACCGGACAGCAAGCCCAGGAGCAAAAATATAGAAGCCAACGATACAGAAATCAGGCTATAGTTACATGAGCCAAGTAAGTTAAAGAACTGAGTGATTTTTAGTGAATTTAATTCATATCATAGATCATGAAGGTACATAATAATTATTCCCATTCTCCACCATACAGATTTGAAAGTAAGAATCACCCAGTGCTCTGTTAGAGCTATGCAAAGTGAGTGAAGAGTTATAAGCCTGAATATGTCTGTGAGGAGTCCAACTATATTAATAAATTATTAGCCATTGTCCAATTATGACAGTGGCATGATCTGACCTCTGCCAACTCTCCAGCTTCATCTTGTTCTTCCTCACTCCCCTTCACTCACTGCTCTCCAGCCATATAGGCCCTGTCTGTGTCCATGCAGGACTATGCATCTATTGTTCAGTCTGGTGTGGCCCTCCCCACTTACCCTCATTGCCTGGATAACCCTTTTTATATTTTCAGGTACACATGGCAGCAACCCAAACTTAAGTGGCTCACACAATGAGGAACACATCTTAAAGTCTTTCTTTCTTTCTTCTTCTTTTTTTTTTTTTTTTTTTTTGTTGAGACAGGATTTCACTGTTGCCCATGCTGGAGTGCAGTGGTGTGATCTTGGCTCACTGTGGCTGATGCCTCCCAGGCTCAGTCCTCCCACCTCAGACTCCTGAGTAGCTAGGACTACAGGCACAAACCACCATGCCTGGCTAGTTTTTAAATTTTTTGTAGAGACAAGGTCTCACTCTGTTGCCCAGACTGGTCTTGAACTCCTGGACTCAAGTGATCCTCTTGCCTCAGCCTGCCAAAGTACTGGTATTACAAGCGTGATACCAGCACTTTGTAATATCACGCTGGTATTACAAGCGTGAGCCAACACGCCCAGCCCACATCTAAAAATCTAAAGCTAGGGATGTTCCACGGCTGACATCTACAGTTAAGGAAGCCAGCAGGAACCCAGATTCTTTCCATTTTTCTACTCTGCCTTTGGTGAATGGAAATTGTCTTCAAGTGAGTTCCACTCAAGGATATCAGATGTGACAACATTGAGAGGCAGAAAGGGCCACATCTTCCTTACAAAGAGTGAGGAAACCTTTCCCAAAAGCCATATCATAGACTTTCCTTGGGTCTCAATGGCCAAAATTGTAATATATCTTAACCAATCACATGTTCTAACCTAGCACATGCTTAAACCAATCAATTGCAAGGGACTAAGACCACCATGATTGACTCAGATCAATCAGGACACCTATCCCAGGACTGCCTCCCTTGAAGCACATGGCTAGAGGAAGGTGGACACCTGAAAAGCAAAAGCAGAGGGAGGCACGGGATGGTCCTCTAATGAAGGAAGAGGGAAGGGAAACGAATATTTGATGAGTAATCTATAAAGTCTGTTGCAAACAATTCATAGAGTTATTACAGATGCCACCTTCTCAGAAGAGCCCTCTGAAACCACCCCACACAGAGACTCAGTTAGATTTCTCCATTATGTGTTCTCAAAAAACACCCTACTTTCATCAGGGAGTTTATTACAAATATAATTAAACAATTATGTGCATTAATATTTACTTAATGTCTTTCTATCTCACTATACTCTCCTGTCTATTACTCTAACCTCAGCACTTAGCATAATACCCAGCAGGAATGCTGGCCAAATAGGCATCTCCTTCCACCACTGGAGCTAAGACTTCCACCACTGCCACCAAGACTCCAGTGCATCCCTCTTCTGCAAGATGTACAGTCCTCATGATGCCTCTTCCTTGGACTCTAAGATGTTGACAGCAGTCAGTCTGCCTCAAGTCCGTCTGTCTCCATGCCTCACTGCCAGCAGCACTGTTGGCTGGTGACATGCCCTCCTCCATTTCCCCATCCATAAAGGTAGCCTATGTGAGCTCTTGCCAAGAGAACAGATGGCCAGGCTGTGTCCAGCTTTATCTCCTAAGGAGGTATATTTCCTTTTGCAGCTCACAACCTCCAAGAACAAGTGGCCTATGAGACAAGAATTTGGCATTGGCTGGTCAAAATTTCTCCAAACCAGTTTCTCTATAGGCATCAGGGTAAGGTACATAAACTGCATTTTGTTCCTTCCCTTTGAGAGAACAGCTGAGGTAGAGACATTGAGGTTTCTGAAGTCAGACATACTTTGGGAAATTATTTATCTTTTTCTACATCTCATTTTTTTCATCTCTAAAATGGATAAAACAATTATTACTCCATGATGTTGCTGTGAGGGGTCATGACAGAATGACTGTAAAATGTACCAAATGATATATTTCATTAGTCTGGTTGCATTGACATCTACAGACTCTTTTATACTCAAAACTGTATGAGGCCACCACCAATGGAAAGTGGTAAAATCTAGCGCGGCAGTCCCAGAACTACAAATAGCTCACTGGAGATAAGATGACAACCAAGATTCTTCTAAGGCTGGCTGTCCAGGCCTGACAGTCTCCCTGAAGGCAATGAAGAAGCCATCTGTATTTCCAGTGATTTGATAAATTCCACTGTTAGAAATTAAAACTGACAATAAGAATTTTAAGAGATGCCCAGTTAAAATACCCTAAAGGAATAGTACCTAGCCCAGGAATCATGACTATGAGAACTGCATAATATTTTTCTGGAAGCATGTAGCGTCTCCCTTTGTTTGTCTGTCTTGTAATCCCATACCTTTAATGTAAAGGGATTGGATGCTTATCTTCAAAGGTGATTAGAGTCAGGAGGTTGAAGACGCCATGTCCCACTGTATAGGCTATCTTCTAGAGAAAAGAACTCCAGGGTAAGAGGTGTCTGGTGCCTCCTTCTACAAGTAGAGGAAAGCATGTGTCCCCGGGCCTGCATCAAAGGAGAAAAGAAAAGCATCTCAAGCACATTCAGGCTAGAGGCATGACTACCTCCTCTGAAGGCTTTAGAGACCATGCTCCCCAACACGATGCCTTCTCTTGCCCCTGGTGGCTGCGGTAATGTTACACTCTCTCAGCTCAGTCTTAAGCTGTGCTGGGTGAAGGACAGACATTCCTTGTGCAATGGACTGCGCCTCTCACTCTGCCCATGGGTTCCTCACCTCTGCAGCCTGCAGAGATGCAGTCATCATTGTAAGAGATCACATTCTGCAAATGCAGAGATTCCAACCTGAAGAGGTGAAGAAAAGACACATTTGGGAGATGTGTTGTTCTACATTTATACCATAAATTGAAGAATAGGTGGTTTAAAGCTACAAGAAAATAATCATTTGCATGTTTCTACATAGTCTGGGTAAGTCTAGCATACAGAGTCACCACCAAGGAAGCATAGTAACAATCTCTGAGAGAGTCATTGGAAGCCAGTATTCACTGATGGCAAGGTAGATAAATGATATCGTATCATGAGTAATGATACAACCAGCATTAAAATAAATGGTATTAGGGTACTGCAGTGACGAGAAGATCTATACTGTTTCAATACAAAAAGTTCTGAAGAGCCATGTCATTGTGAGTAATAGCAGTGTTGCTGTAGTTTTCTTGCATAGGAGATACAAAATTAGCCAAAAACAATGCCATTGATAATAAAGAACATGAGAGATGCCTGAACATATGCACTGACTGGACAGTATATAAATATGTAAGTATCTCTTCTATACTCATTTTTCTAAGTCTTCACTGACAAATCACTTTACTTCACAGAGGCCCATGGATTTTATAATATATTTTTAATTAAAATGCATAGATAGGGGTCCCACAAAAACATTTGCTCAATTCCCCACACATCCTAAAGAAAGCCAGAAGACCTGTCTCTCAACATCAGTTATCCCTTTCTACCATGAAGTTTTAGCTGAATAGTGTACATGGTTGCATAAAGACAACAGTCCCTAGCCTCCCTTGTTATGAAGTAGGGCCACTTAACATTTCTGGGTTATGCCTCTAAAAAGAAACATGCAGGCACTTCTACCCTTTCGCTGCTTCTGCTGTCTGGGATGAGAACAGAAGCATTCCTGGAACCCAGAAATGGAATCCAGGGGTTAGGATGATAGTCACCTACCAGCCCTGGCTCACCCATCTCTAGACTGTCCTGTGATACAGAAATAAACTCTATTTTATTTAAGCCACTGTACTTTGAGGTGTCTTAGAGACAGCAATTTACTGAGGTGAGAAAAAAAGAGCCTGTGAAAAATAAATCCATGGTTCAGTTTTAGACTTATTAAGCTCAAAATTCCTATGAAATATCAAAATGGCTATGTCAAGTGAATAGTTAGATCCAGTGTCTGAAGCTCATAAGAGAGATCTATGTTAAAGACATAAATGCAAGAATTGCCAGCATACAGATTTTAATCAACTTTATTGAGGTATAACTTACAATAAATTGCACCCACTTAATATGTTCAATTTCATGAGTTTTGACTGATGTATACACCTATGAAACCACCTCACAATAAAGATACAGAACACTTCCATAATCCTGAAGGGTTTTGTGGTGGTTGTTTTTTGTTTTTGTTTGTTTGTTTTTAATGCACTTCTTAGCAATCCATCCCTCCCTTCGTCCCCAGCCTCCGACAATGCTGATCAGCTTTTGCCACTATAGATTAGCTTACATATTCTAGAATTTAAATAAATGGAATCATATAGTATGTACATGCTCCTTTCTGTCAGCCTTCTTTCATTTAGCATAATGCATTTGAGGTTTATCCATGGTGTTGTATGCACCAATAGTTCATTCTTTTTATTGCCGAATAGTATTCCATTGTATACATAACACTACTTTGTTTATCCATTTACCTGTGGATGGACTCTTGGGTTGTTTCCAGTTATGGCCTACTGTGAATGGAGCTGCTATGAACATTCATACAAGTCTTTGCGTGGACCTGTGTTTTCCATGTAGATGGATCTTAATCTTTAAAATTCAAAATTCCCAGGAATTTGAGAAAATAAGAGAATGAAGGACCAAGCACTGAGATATTCTATTTAGAGTTTGGATAGAAGAGAAGTCTCCAAGGCAGACTTGGAAAGAAAGGCCAGAGAAGTAGAAGCAAACCAGTTAAGCATGATGTCTCTGAAGCCAAGAAAGAAAAGGATTTCAAATGTAGGACTTGACAGCTCTGACAATGCTGCTGTGAAGCAAGATAGGAGGTGAACTGAAGAGTGTCAATTATATTTGATAATGTCCAAGTGACTGACAACCTTAGCAAGATGAATTTAGGTGAAGAAGGGTGGTGAAAACCAAATTGGAGTTAGCCCAAAAGCAAATAAAAGGTGAGGAAGTGAAATAAATGTGTATACAAGAGTTCTTAGAAAATTGACTGTGAAAGAGGTGATTGAGGGGAAGGTAGAGTTAGGAAGAACTGTTTTAAATAAGAGATACAAAAGCATGTTGGAATGATGATGGGAAAAATTCAATTTGGGCACAGACACAGGGAAAGTGCCCTATATTAATCCAATATGGGCATTTTATTATAGAATGCATATGACAAGGGAACTGAGGGTATCTGCAAGAAAGATATTTAAATGAACATGAAATGTAAGTGAATTGGGAAGAAAATAAAGATAGGAGATGAAGAGGTTGATGGATGGATGCTCTTAATGAAGTAATGCTGTAGTGGAAGTGGGGAAGAATAGAAGTAGTGGCTGAATAATGGCAAGTTTGAGGAAGTGACTTCAGAGCAAGGCAGTCTCTGGCAATGACAATTCTAGAGTGTGACCATGGAAGTGAATGGCCAAGTCAAAGTGCAGGAAAAGTCATCATCACTGTGGAGGTCAGGCAACTAAGAGACAAGGTGCCTACTGTACAGGTTGTCCACATAGGCATTGAAGTTGCCAAGGGCTAAGACAAGAGTGAGGCTAGAAAACAACACTGACAACAAGCATACTCATTTCTAGGAAAAGGTCAGACCCCCTGGTCAAGATGAACTCAACATGGGAAGGAAGCATTCTAGGGGATTGGAGTCCATAGCAAACAAATACAAGCTGTGGGGCCACTGCAGGAGGTTTTGGAGTCTGGCCTCAGATTCAAAAGTTGTGAACATCCATGGGGTGGGGGTGGAGGGATGGGGGCACATGTCTGGCTTTTGTGGGAGCTCTTAATTGGCTAAAGCTATTTTGTGGCTTAAGGAAAGAATTCTAGAGAAAAATCTGTTTCTGCTATTTCCAGCAGAAGTTGTTCATATAGTCAAAGTGCCAGTCCTATGAGATACGGCCACCATTATTTTATATTTATTACTGTACTTAATCTTCTAAGAAAACAGGATTAACTTTCAGATTAAACACCATGTAAATGTTGCACTGTACTTTAATTAAAATGAATAAGCTAATTAAACCAGAAAAAAAAGTTCAAATAAGCCCACGAGAGTAAAGCATTAAAGCATATACCCTTTGTTAATGCTTTGTGATGTGAGTAAAGATTATAGCATATTAGAGATAAATATTAGTTGGCTTTTGTTATATTAAAGGTTCCTGGATCATATATCATACTATTAATGGCTAGCTTATATTAATTATGTCTGCAAACCAAAGCAATATTTGACAATTTATGATATATGGTATATCATAACATGACTCAATTCTGAATAGGATTGTTAGTATGGATTTTAACTCTCATTTTGAATTTAGACTTCTGAAAGGTGGCAAATCTTTGTGTTTATTTAATGCCATTAGAAATAAGCCTTTAATAGAAAAAAGACTTTGTAAGACTAAAAGCAGAGATGCATTCATTTCATCCCGCTTGTTACACTAAGATCCTAAGTGTATAAGGGTTCCTCTGGAGCTATTATACCAAGTAAGGGGAAGTGCCTGGTAGCTCTCAATGAGATTCAGTCTACAACTCATTGCTACTGAAGTCAGGCCATGCTCTGCTGCGTAAATGTGCACTCTGGGCCGCTTTAACATGGAGATTATGGGTTCAATAGGCCATTGCTGCTCTTTTGGGCATAAACACATTCTTGGGGGATTTAAATATGTATACTATTGCCCAAGTCCAGTGTAATTTGGGGTATTGCTCTTATCTGTTATGTCATATATCTTTAGTAGGGACACTCTCAGTTTGCAAATGAGTAATTTCTCCATTACTGTTGGTGTACTGTTCAAACCAATTTCCCAGTTTATCCTTCATGTTGATTGACACTTAGTATCCCCTCACTTAGCGTAGATTCTTGACAGTTCCTGTAACACAGCCCTTTTTATTTCAATTGACTCTAAGATAATGGGCAGATGGATGAATCACGGATGGATGGATGGATGGATGGATGGATGGATGATAAATAAGTGATAGATGATAGATAGATGGATAGATAGATAGATAGATAGATAGATAGATAGATAGGGTTGGGGTGGAGGTGGAGGTGGGTACCAATCTCTGTCTGGTGGTCTCAGAGTCCTCTTCTCTATGTAGAACCATTCATTATTGAGAGAAAGCTGGCAAAGTGTCTTAAAGTGTCTTCCTCCAAAAAACCAACTACGTAAATTATGCAGAAGCCACACACCAGGAACTGGTAGGACATCTATCCAAATGCCTCTTAGTCACTTTCCAGTAGTCTCAGTAACACATAACCCACATCCTTACCATTGTCTGCCTTTATAACACCCACTCTTAAAACAGTTGTCCCAATAGTTTGTATGTGTAGTATTAGACTCAGCCAGTACATCACTCACAGTTGAAAACACTTTTTATCTATTTATCTAATAAACCTCTGTGTGATTTCAAACTTACTGATGCATGGGACAGAAACATTTGTAAAAGTCCTCCTCCACCCCCAACAATTTTGTGGAACTGTGGGGATGCCTCACCACCTGAATAACCCCTGCATCCTGCAAACTACAGAAAAACTTGGAGGCTTTCATTGACCACACCAAAAACAGAGCCAAGCTAAGTTTGTTTTTGTAGCTTTCAGATTTGACTACATATCATTTTTATTGTTAGCATTATCACCTTGCAGTTTTATAGCCTCTTTTTTCTGAGAAGTTGAAAGAATATACGTTTTCCCACTTCATGATCACTTTTCATTTTGCAGAAAATTGAAGAGAAATAGAAGATAAGAAGGGGGAAAAAACTACGGTAAAACGCAAGACAAAAAATGAAAACAGAGGATGTAGTATTTGGAACAAATCCTTTCTACCAAGTATTAATGAATTCCCACACCATGAGAAATGTGCTTAAGCCCAATTCTAACATGTCTAATTTAGGTGCTAATAAATAATTATTTGCTTTAATATACTCCTTTCTTGCAAAAGTTTTATGTAGTAATAATAATAATACTAATAAGTTGCTAACATGTACTGAATGCATACCGTGTGCTTGGCATTGCTGTTTCACATATATTAACTTATTCTTCACAACCACCCTATGAGGTAGATACTATTTTATTATCCCCATTTTATAGATGAGGAACTGAGACACTGATAAATGAAGTAATTTTCCTCTTGTCCCAAACCACTAGGAAAGAGTAAATCTAAGATTCTTCCTTTCATCTTCATAATCCCTTCAGGTAGATAAGAGTATCCCCACCTTACAAGTGAGGCTCACTGAAGCCATGTGATTAGCCCAAGGCATCAAATAACAGCAGATCTAGTAAGAGAAGAAGGAGGATTGGGACTGGGTCTCTCCACACATCTGACAGGTTGTCTCCCAGAAAGTGGGGCCATGGCCATCCCTCATTCCGTGAAGTATTCCTTCAGAGGAGTCTTAACTGAGTTCCTGGAAAACTCAATCGCGAACAGTGAAAAGAGATCTATTCTGGATAATTTTGGTCTGGAATACATTTCCAGTCACTTTGATCTGATAAATATCAGACAAGACTCAGAAATACTAATATACACTTATTAAGAATTCAATCAACTAAAAATCCCAACCTATAGAAAGTTTTGTTTACATACTATTGTTATAAAACCCAAATCACAAGGAAAGATGCTGATTAAAGAAACTTGTCTTCAAACCAACTTTTGTTCTTATATCTTCTTTAGTATGTCCTATGTTACTTTTGCCCTTGACCTTCACTTTTAGTTGTATTAAATGAAAAGCAGACTTGGAAGATTCTTCTAAATCAGTGATAACCAATACATAACCAGTGGCCACCACCCTCCTCTTGTGTCTGTGGCAGATATAAATTGCTCACAAGCTCTTTCATTCTGATCCATAAGAATCTATCTCAGCACCATACTCCCAGCAGCCCTTACCAATCAAAAACAATTGGTAAGCATGTTAAAACCTACTTGTAACCTTTATTCTAGAGATGTTTAGTATCTGTCTCCTCTGTGTTCAAATCAATATAGATGTCATTCAATGTTCTATACCTCCATTGTCTATCTCTACGCTACTGTGCAATAGAGACCCATTAGACACCATAAGATCTAAAAGGTCTTTTACATTTGTCTCAGTCTATTTGGGCTGCTATAACAAAACAGGCAATTTACAAATAACAGAAATGTATTTCTCACAGTTCTGGACATTGAGAAGTCCAAGACTGGGGGCCAGCAGGTTCAGTGTCTGGTAAGAGCTGCTCTCTGCTTCCAAAATGGTGCTTCCAAAATGGCTTCTGTTTCTTTGAGATGACTGAGGTGTTGAGAAGGATTACTAAGGAAAATCAGGGCACCAGTCCCCAGTGTACAAGCCATGACAGAACCTCCCCATTGTCAACAGCTCTGCCAGTAGTAGAGGGCTAAACTTAGAGAGGACTTCAGGGACAATGGAACCACAGGGAAACTGATGAGACCTACTGAATGACTAATCTCATGCCTTCTGCGTGGACCGCCTGCCTTCCCCCAAGAAATCCATCTTCTTCGGAAAGCTCAGGCCAAGCTGGCATAGAAAAAGATCCTTTGAACCCCCAAAGCTCCATTGAGATATGAGAGCATGAATGAGTCATTTTATGAGTTTCAGGTACATTCTTGGTAAAAATAAAATAATATAAAATAAAAATGAAGGCGTATGGTCAGATAAGTTGGTCTCTTCCCACTTCTTATCATCTTAAATTGGTGACTCTAAAAATGATACCGCACATGGCAAATGGAAGAGCAGGTAAAAGTTAAAAGATTTGCTTAAGGCCACAGAAAATCCCAGGACCAAATTTTGCAATGATTTTAGGCACTTTCTAGACACAGTCTTGAAAGTTTATAATAATCAGCTACTTGCTACTTATGAGATACTCTTTTAAAAAAGAATTTTCTTGAGTGAAATTTATTCCTAGTTAGCTGTAGATTGCTTTAAAAAATGTACACTGAAATGCTGTATTGTCCTGGAGGTTTTTTTTCTTATTTTATTTTTTACTGTGCTAATGGTTTTGTAGATAAGGTTAATGAGATAATCTTATATTTTAAGTCTACCCAGCATAAAGATTGTTTCCTTTTACTGTTCCAATTTAAAAACAATTAATGTTCTAATCTTCTTAGAAAGTAGCTCAAATTTGGAATGGTTTGAACTAATGCAGTTTTATCATAGTCAATAAAAGTGCTGGAATGCCACAATAATAAAATGTAAGCTAAGTAAAAGAAAAAAGTGCCAGTAATTATTCAGAACCCTGTGGCGGGGGTGTGTGTGTGGGGGGGGTGTGTATATATGAGCAAGAGAGACAGTGACAGAGAAAGAAACAAAGAGAGAATGAGAATAAATATGTCAGGATTTCCATAGAGTAGCTTTGTAGTACACGAGACATTTACAAAATCCTTGCTGATTTATGAGTCAGCCATTTTGGCTTCTGCCAGAAATGTGCTCAACAGCTAGAATCTAGTCCTGTTGGATAACCTAGTATTAACACTCAGACTTCATTTGTTTTCATCATTGCTGGCTCCTTCCCAAGGAAGGAGATTATATATGTCTTAAGATGAAAAGATTGAATTCTAAGGAGTAAAAATCCTGCATTCACAGCACACAAAACTTTTCATAAACAACTTGTCACTCTGAAAGAGAAAAAAATACTTTTCTAATATTTTATTATGTAGAAGTATATTACAAGAGTTTAAAGAGAAGAAAGGAAAAGTTTGCTGAAATGACAAAATGAAATGAACATTTGCCAACATATATATGCAGTTGTTTTCTATTCAGCTATTTTGAAATAAAAGTCTAGAACACTCTACACAAAATGTTGATCCAACAATAAGTCACCATTAAATAATGATTCTCACACCTAATATTCTTATTGATGAACTTCAATATGCCTTGAAACTGAGAGTTTTGATCAGACCTGTGCTCCACTCCAGTGATCAACAAACTATGGCCCATGAGCCACATCCAGCATGCTGCTTTTGTAAATAAAGTTTTATTGGGACACAACCATATCCATTCACTTATATATTATCTGTGGTTGCTTTCATGATAATGGCAGAGCTGAGTAGTTGCGACATTGATAGTATGTCCCATGAAGCCAAAAAAATTCACTATGTTGACCTTCCAGAAAAACTAGGCTGACCCCTTTTCTACAGAACAAATATATTCAGTGCTTCTTCCACCAATAACATTCAAGAAATAAATAAGCCAAATGTGTTTCGTTGTATCTGCTCTCCTCCTATGCACCTATTCATTCAACAAGCATTTATTAAGTGCCCACTATGAGCTGTACACATGGTAGCCTTTTTATATGAGACCCCTAATGTCATAGACTAAAACTGAATGAGAGTTTTCTTAAGCACAATTTCTAAAAAAGAAATGCTCTAATTTCAAAGCGAATTTCTCAACGTTTTTTAGTCATAAATGTTTGCTTCCTGATTATCTCTTGTCTGAATTTAAGATTTGGAAATAAGCAAAGAGATGAAGATTGCATCTCTTTTCTAAGTTTAGCAGCACATGCCTCAGAGATGAGCCAGTGCTGTCCCACCAGCTTGGCCCTCCCTTCACTTGGCCCTCTTCCACCCCAACCTGAGAAGCCCCTCACTGGGCACACAATGAAAAATCCTACTCTAGCCCATTCCTTTATGTCTATGAATTAAATACTCCACAGAACAATAGAGAGCTATCCTTATTTTTAAAGGTCTTTAGAAGGAGAAACCATACCTTTCCAAAGTAGGTGATTTTAGTGGTTACCAATTTTTCCTTTTTTTTTTTAAAAAAAAAAACCCTCTCTCTTGTCTATTTACATTTAAACTCATTTACTTCTAGCTATCTTCTGAGAGTTGGGGAGTATCTTCTAGCATTCTCAGATCTGAGTAAAATATGCCTCTGTGGTTAACATATGTACAGGGGTCAAATCTTTGGCTTCTTTGAGCAGCTTTATAGCTAATCCAAGAAATACCCACATAATGGACAAAGATGAGACAGTCCATGTGTCACCCATATTTAAAGAGTCAAGTTGCTAATTAAAGAAGCAATAAGATAATTTATTATAACAAAATTAGATCCAGATACTATTCCTTCTGCTACAGTCACCAAAAGACTAAGCTGGGGCAAGACCTGGACTGAATATTAATGATTTTGAGTGAATGACCAGGGCTCCTTACAAACCACCAGAATCATGGAAATATTCTGAGTTTGATCTTAAGTTCATGGAAAGTAGAATATTCTAAAAGTAGCAGAATTCAACAAAGTGAGCCCAGGAGCAACAGAACTGGAACCTACCCAGTAGATACTGTTGGGCTCTAAAGAACGACACTGAGCCACTGGGCCTCCCAGCATGCTTTCTACTCCAAACGGCAAGCCCTTTTAAAGCAATGCTTCTCCTTCCATCCATTCATCCATCAACAATAAAACTGCTTTGACAGGATTGATTTAATACTTGGGAGAGTCCTGAATTTGATGAATGCATGACAGCTGCTTATTTTGGCCTCTTTTGCAAAGCTGTAGCTAGCATTGTTAGGAAAGCTCTAGATGGAAATTCTTTCTTCCCTTTGTTTCATTTATCAGGGCATATTCAGGGTAACTGCTACAAAGAGCAGAAAAGAAATGGCTCCTGGAGCTCTTCTAATGCAAAGGGTGGGTACACTGCTGGAAACAGGCATGCTGCTGAACTGGGTGCTTATAGACTCTTTGCAGACCTATGACATTGCGCGTTAGCACCAATGCCATTATCCACGGACAAAACCTCCCTGGTTCTCTTTGACTCCCTTCAAGTCATGACAGGTCTCCTGCCTTGTTTCTTCCATCAACCATGCCAACTATTCTGGAAAATACTCTCAGGCTTCAGGGAAGATTGTGAGGCTCTTCAAGATGTCAAAGTTCTCCCACCCATTCCTAATTGACTGTCCTTCCCAGCCTGCTCTTTCCTCTACCACTTGCTTGAAATTTCCTCCAATCACAAACACCCAGGGTCTAATTTTTCTTGTATTTCATTGCAGCAAGTCCAGCACTATCCTCTAGTGGCATTATGTCAGCCACTAAAAGTATTCTTTAGATTAAATGACAGGAAGTAAACACCCACATTGCAGAACATGCTCCACTCAAGATAGAGAGGTAAAGGGTTCATTGCCAACTGTATTTACAGCATGGTGAACTAATGCCCCTTAGCTGAGAGGGTACAGTACAGTCATCCGCTAGCTTTCATTGGCTAAGAGCACACAATCATACTTGGAATAAGGAGAAAATGTACATTATGGTATACCATCATGGATTGTTATATATACATATTTATAAACTTATATTCATTGGATATTTTTATTCAGTTCCACAAATTTTAGGAAAAATTTCAGAAAGTCCCACAAATTTCAGAAACAAGTAGTATTATACCAAATCGAGGTTATGTGCTTTCTGGCAAATGCTTCAGATTTTTTAGACAGATTGTTAAACTCTTCGGCTTCATCTCATAAATCTTCATTCCAAACTCAAGGGAAGTTCCAGAGGTCAATTTTTGTGGTATCAAAGCTCTCATTCTGCCTGAGTTACTCAACTGGAAGCCTCTGGAAGCCAGCTCTCCACCACAGCTCCGGCTGACACCAGAGAGAAGTGGGCAGCACCATCTATGACTCACTAAGACAAGGTAAGATGAGGGCAGGGGATTGACTGGATGGAAAAAGATAGACCAGGAGAAGATAGCTGGGGGATGGTCCAGGGAAGGGTAGGGGCAGAGGTGTGCACTGGTTTGGCCCTCAGGATGACAGTATCCAATCAGACCAAGGGGAGAGCAATTCCAGAAGCAAAAGGAAGAGACTATTTTCAATGGAGAGGCAGAATTAAAGGCAACCTAGACAATAATGTACTCTGGAGCTAGAACCAGATAGCAGGAAGGACAGATGGGCAGAAACGGGCAGCCACCTTCTCCCCAGAAAGTTGTTTATAGCTGTAGCTGTAGGAGATGGCCACCAGACAGAAGCCATGGCCTTGCATGAGGAACACAGTCAATGCCCGCACATGGCCAGGAAGTGAGGGAGCATAGGTATAAACACCACAAATTATCTTGCTGATTCTCTTCACTGCATTCTGTTGCCAGATGCAACAGAGGGGAGGGGAGGAGCTGAACTGATGCACTGTGCAAGACAGCCTCTCAGAGCACAGAGCAGGGTGGGCAAGTGTGGACAGTGAATATGCAAGGGTGAACCAACAATCTCTAGCACAGCTGGGACCACGACCACTTGCAGACACTGGCACAGAAGTCATGCTTTGGATCACCACGTCTGAATTTGAGGCACTTAACTTGCTTCTAAGATGGGGAAGGGGGAGGAGTTTCTTAAATATATTCGTTTATATTCTTTTCTTTCAGTTTGGCCCAGGTACTGGCGCTCATCGGAACTCTCAGGCAGGAGTCGTCTCTGCACGTATGCAAATCTCAAAAGCACACCTCCTCTAATGCTTGCACTTGGTTCTCAGGGCACCTTTCCACAGATCAGGTCAGCATTTAATGTTCTGAGTGCCATTCAGAAACCTGAAGAAATTTACACAGCCCAGGGAGCCAGAACCAACACCTCCACTTGCAAGTATATTGGTCACATGAATTACAAAGAAGTTTTATTAAAAGAAAGTTAACTACCATTAAAAGAAATTTCCATTCAGAGTTTCAAGAAGCCCAGGGTAAGCTCTCTCACCCAGGTAGACCCCACTCCCAGCTGCTCTGGGGCAGGGCTGCTGACTCCACCAAGCGTCACTGGCTTGGACTGTGTTTCCACATTGCTACTCTCTCCTCATCACTGCTGAACCTGCAAACAGCCACTGCTTGCTGTTTCCCTGGTCACTGAGCAGCTCCCTCCACTCCCAGCCCCTCATCCTTTCAAAGCTCCCTCAGATAGTAATGTTTGTTTGCTTGCTTGCTCGTAGCTTAATTATGCTCCTTTAGCCTCTAGGCTGTGGCAGAAGGTCAAACCACAGTTAGGCATTGAAGCCATTGCTCCCCTAGCACAATCAGCAAAACCCCAGCATGAAGCCCAAGCATCTCAACTCTCTCCTGCCTAGAGGTAAATTCCTTCTCCACCAGGCGCTCTCTGAAGATTGTAAGGAGGCTCTCTCTCTCTCTCTCTCTCTCACTCTCTCTCTATTTTGTTATTTCATACCTGTTGCTAACCATCCATTTTAACCTTTCTCTTCACTGTTTTTACCCACTGGGATTCCTCAGCAAACACAAGTTTTATGGATGTTTTGCAAAGACAAGATGGTGTTGAGAGAATGAAAAGGTGATAGCAATCATGTATCTGCGTTTTTTGCCCACAGTTTATCGAGATGCCACACAGCTTGATAGGTTCTTAATTAGTCTGACCCAGAGAATCTGAGACCTTCTAAAAGCAGTTTCAGAAAGAGCAATACAAATCACCACCATTATAATAAAAGCCACTGTTTATTGAGACTAGGTCCTGTACCTATTTAAACTGTGTGCCTTACATATGTATCCTTTAATCCCCACAGCAGCCCAATGTGTTATATATTATTATCTTCATTTTAGGAATTAGCTTACAGAATTTAGGTAATATACCCAAGATTAACAAGTCATAAATTGCAAAAACAGGATTTGAATTCAGATCCTGGGCAGGCTAATCTTAGTGCCCATAATGCCTACTATCCCATTATAAGGAAAACACACGTCCACAGCCCCTGCTATAAGATGAGACTAAATCACTTGTTATGCAGAGGTACAGGAATATGTTCAATTAAAACAATAACAATGCCAAAGCGTGAAATTCATAGCACCATGAATATAAAAATAAAACATCTTAGTAAACAAGACATGTGGGGCTGAATTTTCACCTCATCACATCTGTGAATTCTTAGATGCATTTCTTAGACACATGATTTTTCTGGATTACTATTATATATAATTGACATACATATTTACTTTTCTAGTACTTCTGGAATGATATAAAATACAGGACAATTACTCTTCCCGTAGCTCTATTAATACATTTGATTATTTTAAAAATCATTATTTCAGTGATTTATGTCTAAGTTTGTCAGACTCCTTTCCCTTAAGCACCACTTCCAATTTCTGATATTAAGCATGTCCAGCACAGCTTGGGCCAACTACATGGGCCCTTCCTGATGTTACAACACATCTTTCTAGCTTTCCTTACACCACACTGTGACATGTACTTGTAGGAGAAGAAGGATTTATTTCCGTACTCATCACTAGGCTCATAGCTGAGGCACCTATAGCACAAGACAGAATAACAAAAGAAAAACAACCAGATTTATTTAATAAGTTTTATGTGACATAGGAGCCTTCATAAGGAAATGAAGACCCAAAGAAACAGATAAACCTGGATGTTTTTATGCTTTGGTTTGAAGAAGAGTGGATGGTGGTAGAGAAGTATATGATTAGACAAAGGAGGTACGATCTAATGGTAATAAACTGGGGGGAATTTAGCAAGGCCTGCTTGTTCAGATTTTCCTCTGTGTCTTTGAGGATAAGGATGTTCCTTTCCTCTGGATATAGGGAGGGTCCATCTAAAATGAGGCTTTATGAGCTGCTTCAAGGGAAAATGGCAAAGGGAAGGTGAGGTGCTTCTGCTGATTTCTTAAACACCAAGGTACCATATTTGGAGGTAGCAGGATCTGGATTCCATCAACCAGCAGAGGCTTACTCTGAGGAGTCAACAAGAGCATCAGTATGGACCAGCAGTTCCCTCAGGAAGCCAGGCAATGGGCCAGCCTCCCTTCCCCAGGCCAAGATGGGCTGAGTCCAAAGCTTACAAACTAAGTGTCCATACAGGCAGAGCAGGTGACGTAACTGAGTGAGGTGGCTGGGTGTGAAGCAATCAGGAGAGCACGTGGAAACTGTAGTGTTCCTGCCCTCCACCCCCTATGCCACCTCTCTGCCTAAGCAGATTATTACCACGTGGGATGGTGGCCAGTGTTGCCAGCTCCTCTGATTTTCCCACAGAACTCAGAAACCCAAATTTTTGTGTAAAGTCACTGAGTTTTTAAACATAATTGGACAATTTTAATGTGTTTTTAAATTATATGAGTTAAGTTACACATGCCCTTGACTATGGGCCTGCAGATAGGACCTATAGATGCCAGTTTGCAACTCCCACCTTCAGCCCTGAAGATGGCGGCAGCTGCTCCTTTCCTGTCACTCCATTGCTCCATTACATGGTGCTCTCTCTCAAGCCTCTGTCCCCTCCCCTTGGCTTTTCCTCTGCCTCTCTTCTGTTCTGACTCATGTCATCCTAATTCCTTCAGCCCGCACCCTCACTCCCTCCTCTAATGCTGTCCTCGTGTCAAATTTCCATTATAATGATGATATAAAAAGACCTGATCCCCAAATTAAACAAAGCAACTTATGAAAAATCAAAATGAGTAAAGCTTTCAAATCTTGCATTAAAAGGTACCCAGTAGACTCCTCTATCCCTATGGGCACTTTATAAGTATTAATATTTCAAATGCTCATGATTGAATTGAGTTTATTTTTTATTCCTATTGGATGGCACCTCATACATATGCTGTCTGCTGTCTTTTCTCTTTAAGTTCTTGAAGTGAAGAGCCCTGTCAGCGCCCCCTGTTCAACCACTCCACTTTCTTCATGCCCCCAGCTCCTCTCTGCAAATATAAAGCTGTTAACACCTCAGAAGTCTCTCTTCTGAGCTGGACCACAGTGGTGCCTGGGGCTTCCTTGGCCTCCTGGTGGTTCTGTCCCTTCAGCCCTGCTGTGATCAGGAGCTCTCCGTGAGAACGGTGCAGCTCTTTATGCAGCACCTCAGTAATGCAACTCTCCACCTGCACTAAGGCATGTGCAGCCCTCATTTTTTGGGTCTGTCACAATTTTTGGCCATTTCACAGGGCTAGGATGTCAAAAATAGGGCTAATCTTACAGCTACAGAGAGTAGGCAGTTGCCTATATAATGAGACGCACCCAAGTAATACAATAAAATAAAAACTTAAAACATCCCCACCTGTTCACTATGACTGAAACCTCAGGCCAACCTCTTCATTCCACCACAGAGGTGCAGGAGTCTCTGTCCTGGGAAAAGCTTCCACACACTAAAGGCCATACAGAAGGGCAACTACTGATGTCAGGCATGTCCCTGAAAGCAAGCTTGATTGTGGGAGAAACAAAAGACATGGGGCCCCTGAAGCAGGTATAAGGCCCCACAGAGGGGGTGAAGCAGGTGGTTATGCACTATTTTGCCTGGAGCTCAGCCAGTGCATGTGCCCACCAAGGCAGGAGAGTAAGAATTTAGGGAAGTTAGTTCAATCACTGTGGAAGACAGTGTGGAAATTCCTCAAGGATCTAGAACAAGAAATACCATTTGACCCAGCAATCCCATTACTGGGTATATACCCAAAGGAATATAAATCATTCTATTATAAAGATACATGCACACATCTGTTTACTGCAGCACTATTCACAATAGCAAAGACATGGAACCAACACAAATGCCCATCAGTGATAGATTGGATAAAGAAAATGTGGTGCATATACACCATGGAATACTATGCAGCCATAAAAAGGAATGAGATCATGTCCTTTGCAGGGACATGGATGAAGCTAGAAGCCATTATCCTCAGCAAACTAACACAGGAACAGAAAACCAAATACCACATGTTCTCACTCATAAGTGGGAGTTGAACAGTGAGAACACATGGACACAGGGAGGGGAACAACACACACTGGAGCCTGTCGGGGGTGTGGGGGAAAGGGGAGGAAGAACATCAGGACAAATAGCTAATGCATGTGGGGCTTAAAACCTAGGTGATGGGTTGATAGGTGCAGCAAACCACCATGGCACACATATACCGATGTAACAAACCTGCACATTCTGCACATGTATCCTGGAACTTAAAGTAAAATTAAAAAAAAAAAAAGAATTTAGGGAAGTACTTTAACCTTCCTCCAGTCATTAAGACAAGATCAAAACCCTAACCCACCTTCCCCAACCTCTCAGCATTCACCATATTTAAACAGGCAACTCTGGAGACAGATAAAATCTACTGCAGTCTCATGCTGGTAATTCCTTAAGCTGAAGACTTGAAGGCAAGTCCTTTCTCATGGAGGAATTTCACTTTCCTGGTCCAACAGAGATACAGCCCAGAGGGCAAACTCCCCAGTTGGGCATAATTCTTTGGGTGAAATGTTTAAAAGAGTCCTGACAACATAGAGCAGCAATTTCCATGCAAATGTGTGCCTGTGGGGGGAAAATGCAATTGGCCCAACAATCTTGTACTGATGGTGCACCCCCTTCCCACTCCACTGGGGTGTGGAAACATGACTTGAAGAAATCTATCTATTTGTTCAGCTTTTCTCCCTCTGAGCGTGCCAAACATAAATGACTTCTGTGTTTCAAAAGAGGTGCTTGCTCCACGCTGCTGCTCTGTGTCAAGGACTACGTGGAGATGAGAAGCTGTAGTCCCCTCCTTCCCAGTGAGGCTACGGGAACAAAGGCAGTGTTTTTTTGTTTTTGTTTTTGTTTTTTTCAGAAAGAAAGAAAAATATGGCAGGACATTGATGTTTTTTGAAACAAAAAAGGATGATTAACAATGTGGGATTTACAAAGAAAAATAATAGTAATAATCTACTGAACTTGGTGAATGCCACATGATCACAGTGCTTCAACCGACCCACCCACCTCAGCTCTGATGGCCGCGGGCCACCTGGGACAGTGGTGGATGTAGTAGTGGAAAGAGCTCAGGACCAGGAGATTGTTCTGGTCTCTGCCACTTAATTCATGAATTTAAGATGAATTAGGGCAAACTGAAATAAGCATGATGGGGTTGAACTAGCTCAGGGGTCTTCAAACAGGGGTACAGGTACACATGCCTTGAAGCATTAAGACTTTGCAAGTAGCACATGGGCAGAATCAATCGCCAAATCTTCCATTTCAGCAAATTTCTTTCCTGCAATTAATCTGCCTAAGATTGTGCCACAAATACTTTTTCCCCAATATTCCTTTTCCTTCTTCGTAAAAAAAAAAAAAAAAAAAAAAATTAATATCCACCTCAGTCTTCAGCCACCACAGTCTGACTGAGGTACCATTTTCCTGGGGTGCAAAAACCTCCATGGCTCCCTCTGGAGGGAGAGTCCTCAGAGAAAAAAGCAAGGGGGCTTCAGAAGGAAATATGGATATTGAAGAGAGGCAAAAAAGTCATGACAACCCTCTGCACCAATATCCTTCCTTTCTTCTTCCTTCCCTGTCTCCCTCGTTCCCTTCTTTCATTTCTTAGAACTAGAATTCAGACGCGAGAAGGTTCCAAAAGGCCATGTTCTAATACCTTTATTTGAGTTTTAAAAATGTAATAAGATTTTTTCTGACAGAAAGTGAGTCCAAATTGGCAGAATGGCTTGACAATAAGGACTAGCTTTGCCAATTAATTTATATGATGCACACTCTCCTTGAATTTAATGAGCTAAAGCTGCAGCTCCAATGTTCAGATGAAAATATACTTTAATCATGGATATATCTAAAGGATACATCATCTAATGTACACTTTGCAACTATTTAAATTTATGATAAAAAATACTTAGATGTCAACTCGGAAAGACTCTTTCAAAATTATTTTATGGAATACATGAGAAAAGTCTGAAGTCACAAGTCTAATTAATTCTTGTCAAGTCAAACTGCCTGTGAAATTCCTTGGCCTCTTCTCTTTCTCCCTCTCTCTGTATCCAGCCCTATCCCCCACTCTCCTAACCTCCCAAACATCTCAACCACCTTACAGAGGAGGGGGCTACAACAAACAGGCTGAACATCTCAACTTATTCAGAAAAAAATAATAAACTGGTTTTGTTCCCATTTCCCTCAATGGATTAATTTAGTATTTCCTTCCCACAGGTAAGAAATAAATATGTTATTCAAGGTCAGACAGAGTAACAACCTATCTTCTTAACTTTCTGTTTGTAATGAATACCATTAATACAATTCTCTTTTTTGTCCACAATCACCACTTCTGGGTGTGAAAATCAGAAGAGAAAAGCACATAGGAATAGATATCAATATACAGATATCTCCCTTTCCATTTGCTTGAGTAATGGAAGGCCACAGTGGTAAATGTTTCAATTTTTACCAGCAACCCTCAGAAAAGGAGACAAACTCCCCAGTGACTCTTGGTAGCTACACTACCCAGCTGGTTCTTGCTCTAGACAAAAGTGTTTTAATTTTGTGCATGGCCCCCTTGGTAGTCAGGGGAATCCTATGGACCCCTTCTCAGAGTATGTAAAACAAATGAATAGGATTGCAAAAGGAGCTAATTATCTTGATATACTCTTATCAAAATATTTTCTAAAACATTCTGGTGCATAGTAATGCATGTGCTTTTTCAGTAACATTAAATAGCAAGTGTCAGTGGCAGGAGTAACAACTATCACAATTTTAAAGTAGTGATTGGTATAAATGATATTTTGAAATATCTGCAACCATTATAATGTTATATGAACATATCTATAATTTGGTGACAAATTCACAAATATCGTTGATATTACTGGGGCTTGTTGCTTGTATACATCATAAAAAGTGATGTTAAATTTCAGTTGGAGTTCAGTGAAAATAAAGACAAGTTTTTTTCCCATCCAAGTTCATGGATACCCCGCTCAAGACAAATTGTGATGGAGGCAATATTTAAAAGGCCTGCTCCCCTTTCCCTTTGGCCCCTTTACTCTTCTGGCTGTCCCTTCCTTCCCAAGGTACCCACTCTGCAGTAGCTTTAGTTAGTGTTACCTGTCGTGATGGCTCATGAGTAATAATCACTATTCCTTGACTGTCTACCATTTTGCATATATCATTTGTACACTTTACAACAACCCTCCAAAGCATTTTATGAATGGAGCAATTAAAGCTCAGAGAGGTTAAATAACTTGTTCAGGGCAACAAAGTCGAAGATTTGGGGGTTTAAACTCAGGTCTCTGTAGCTTAAAGCTTACTCCCATTTTCACTGCACTACACTGCCCCCTAGTATGAAGGAATCTTGGAATTTTGTTGTTGTTGTTTTGTTTGTTTGCTTGTTTGTTTGTTTTTGAGACAGTTTTGCTCTGTCACCCAGGCTGGAGTCCAGTAGCATGATCATGACTCACTGCAGCCTTGACCTCCTGGGCTCAAGCAATCCTCCCACCTCAGCCCTCCAAGTAGCTGGGACCACAGGTGTGTGCCACCACACCTGGCTACTTTTTTTGGAGAGATGGGGGTCTCACTGTGTTGCCCATGCTGGTCTCAAGCTCCTGGGCTCAAGTGATCCTCCCACCTGGGCCTCCCAAAATGCTGGAATTACAGACACGAGCCACCTCATCTGGCAAAATCTTGGATTTTAGTAGAGAGTTTCTTAAAACCCAGTACTTCCCATAAATCAATTTCTAATGGAATTTCAGGGATCAGCAAAGGTAAACCTACTTGGAGATGAGGAGTCCACCCTTCCATCTTTCTACACAAGTGACCATTCTCCTCACCCACCAGCCCACTTCTGCAGAGAGGGAAGGAGCTGGGCCAAATCGCAGAAATGTACCCACCACCTTTGTGAGGTCTGCATGAGTTATAGGACATATGGACAAACAGAACCCTTTTATATTTTAGGTGGGGGGGAAAGGGAGACTGAGGAAGGACATTTATTGCCTGACTGCCATTCCAGGAAGGTTCTAGATGCATTCTTAAAATGTTTTAATTATTCCCAACACAGTAAAGAAACTATTATCCCTACTTTGTAGAGCAGGAACTGAACACCAAAAAAAGATTAAAGAAAATGAAATGTAAAGAATCTCCCCAACCCTATAGCTTCACAATAGCTTTCTGTCGTTATAAGCAGATTTCACAAATCCTAGAAGGAAGCAAGCACTGGCTGAAGGAAGAAGAGTATCAAAAACACTCTTTCACAATCTAAGTTTGCAGACAACTTGAAAGCAATGTCCCTGCACTATTAATAGACTGTAACCTCCCCAAAGTAAGAGACCATGTCCCTGGCGTGTCTGTACTCCACAGAGGAGATTCACGGTGATTGTTTAGTTGAACTAAGGCAGCGCTGGCCCATGAACTTTCTATGTAACTCTTCAGAGCATCCCAGGCATTTCTTTGCCAGTAGAGGACACTCAAAGTTTCTAGCAAGTTGATTTCCAAAGTCATAAACTTTCTGGACAATGCTGTATTCATTAATCATTGAAATGGGATCCATCTTTATCTAATCCCTTTCTCCTCTCCTACCAAGTTTCTTGGCAGTTTAAAGCAGATCTGGTAAGTACTGTACCCACCACAACCACTGGATTACATCCCCCATCTGGCTTTTTACTAAGATTTGTCATGGTCAAATATGTGGTATTCTATTGAGTGCGTTAGAAAATTAAGATAAATGACAATAGATTTACTCTAACATCTTTTATACTACAAACATTATTTGTAAAATTCTGCACTAGTCTCTAGCTAAATTTTCTCCAGTCTTCCTTATCTAGTGTTAATTCTAAGAAACCATTTTTCAATAAATATTTATAAGCACCTACTATGAGATCTGTACTATTCTAAGTACAAGGAGTAGGGAAGAGGTGAATGCATTCATCTGATTACAATACAATGTGATAAGTGCTAAACAGCAGTATAAATGCAACTCAATGAATGAATGGAGAAGTTATACATTTACATAGTACTTCACATTTTTAAAATTGCTTTCATATAGTGTTTTCCTCAACACCACATCTCCTTCCCTATGTGGTAGGTAGGAAAGATATTATGACCAAACTTTATCAAGGTTGCAAGATTTGCCCAAGTTCTGACAGTGTATCAGTAAGAGAACTAAAGGTAGAGTCCAAACCACAAAGATCTAGCCCAGTACTTGAGTCTCTACTTTCACTACTCATTCCTTTCTCGGGCAGACTACTTTCCCACATAGCCAATGTCATTCAATAAAACTGCACATTAAGATATTCTGAAATCTCACAATCCCACTTATGAAGGAAACCCTTGAAGTTCTACATCTCACTCCAAACTTCCACATGCAATTATTCCACCAGGCCAATGAGTGGGAATGGTCCATAAACTATGACTTCTATCCTCAGGGGTTCCACTTATCTATTGCTATGGAACAAATTATTCTAAAACCCAATGGTTCAAAACAACTACCATTTTATTATGTCATATGATGTTGCCTGTCAGGAATTTGGACTAGGCTCAGCTGATGAGCCCACATCGTTCCACAAAATGTTGATGGTGATCACTCTGCTGTATGCAGCTGGCAGATGGCCAATGGCCTCAATCACATGTCTGACACCTTGTAGGGAAGACAGATTGTTGTAAAGTTGGACTTAGCCAGAACTATCACCAGAGCATTTCTATGCAGCCCTTCTAGTATGGCAGCCTTAAGGTAGTCGGACTTCTTACCTGGAATCTCAGGGCTGAAGAGTGATAAGGCAGAAGCTGCATGGTCTTGTGATCCAGCCTCAGTAACAGCCTCATGGCATCACTTCCATCATGCTTTTTTGGGCAAAGCAGTCACAAGTCTGCCCAGATTTAAAAAGAGAGGACACAGAGCTCTATCTCTCCATGAGAAGAGTGTCAAAGAGTTCGTAGCCACGTTATGTGTTTCTTATATTAATTTATAATTCCTCTTCTTGACCAACCGTGGCCAAGAGAGTTGCCTCTGTTCCAGTCCCAACCATTTCCTCTTCTTATGTCACCCAAGATTGCTAGCCCTCTTCTGCCTGTTCCGCACCTACTACATGTTCTTGTCTCCTGCAGTGTCATGCTGGATGTTCACATCCTATATCAGGACCTATATTACACAAGGTTCTCAGTCTTTGTCTATGGCTGCATGAGGTATACACTAAGGTATTGAGTCTTTCTTAATTTTGTTTAAAGGTGCTATTGTTGTTTGTTTAGTGCCAAGAATGGCTGCTCTCTCCATTGGCACTGCTTTCGCACTGTTCAGTTCCTGAGGCATTCTGCAGCTTCCTTATATACATATCAGCTCTGCATGATCTTTGCCAACTTAAAATTGTGCTCTCAGAGTAGGGTCTTTACTTGTCCTAATAGAATTTTTTGCTCCCAACAGTACGCTTGGGACAAAACTGCAAAATAGATGAGAATACAAGCTCTGGAGTCAGAAAGATCTGGGTTTTTAATTACAGCTCCACCATTTACTGTGAGATCTTGTCCAAGCTACTTAATATCTCTAAACCTTAGTGTCCTCATCTGTAAAATAGAGACAAAGGTATACACTTCATGGAGTTGTCAAAAGGATAAAGAGCATTGCATAGACGAAGCCATTATCATATTGCCTGGTACTTGGTAACTATAGTAATAGTAGCACTACTGGTAGTATCGATGGTGATTAACAATATCTGACTGATAAAGGACTACAATGGTTTAAAGTGCTGATAAAGATGGAAATGGACTTTTACACCTCCAATCTTCTCTCTATAGATACTTAAACTGAACTTAAGTAAAAATGTAGACATGCACACAAGTATACACATACCTGCATGTGTCAAGTTAAAATATTTATATTTTATTTTATCTAATAAAATATTTTTATTTTATACAGATATGTCAAGTTAAAATATTCATATTTCCCCTTTTCACCAGGTGTATTTTATTTATATTTCTTAAATGTCCATGTAGGTGTTTTCTGTCAGTCATTCATACCAGCATTTCAAGTAATTTTTACTAAGAGAATTTACCTGTCTTAGAAAAACATTCAGATGCAATTGTTAGGTTCAGCTGCTCCTAAAGAATACAGCATGATGAAAATGTCTCTAGAGCATCATAAAGAAACATTTCAATATTTAAGATGGCTGGATTGACTCCAAGGACTGAGAGACAGTCTGTCTATCACCAGCTCAGCTTCAGAAATACAGTTCTTGGCTCCAGTTTGCAGTTCAATGTATGTGATCAGTGCAAATACAAGGTGAATAAATCTTAAAGATACTGAACTAAGTTATTTCTCAACACAAGAACACAAGGGACAAGACATTCTTGATTAGTCGATGTCTGAGCTAGTATTTCATCTTGGACTAGCTGATGTGAAGGTTAATGTTATTGACTCCCTCTTTGAATCTTCTTTGGAGAAAAGCAATATTCTGCTTTGAATTGGTTATTACAGCAACACACTCCCCATATATAAGATCTGTCAATATTCCTTCATCTGGGAGATTCTTCAGGTCTAAGGTTTTACCGGTCATGACGTGAAGTAATCTACGTCACAATTCACGTGCAATTCACTTCACTTACACAGTTCAACCTTTCTGAACAAGTGAGAATCTTCCCAACAGGGACTATATTTACCTGTCATACATCCACAGCTGTGCAGAGGAAATAGAGTGGAGAATAGAGTTCAGGGCATTTTAGAAGCTCGGAAAATTTGTTTCTCAAATAACCAGTGAAGGATTGGTGTAAACATCGAAAGTTCCTAGGTTTGATGCAAGTACAGTATGTCAATTCTCTAGGGCTGCTATAACAAAATACCTCAAGCTGGGTGGCTTAAACAGGAGATTATTGTCTCAGTTCTGGAGGCTACAAGTCCAAAGTCAAAGTGTTGGCAGAGTTGGTTCCTTCTAAGGATTATGAAGGAGAATTTATTCCATGCCTCTCTCCTAGCTTCTGGTGGCTCCAGGCATTCCTCGGCTTGTGGCAGTACAGTTCCAATCTCTGTCTCCATTTCCATATGGCTGTGCTTTCCGTGTGTGTTCATGCCATCTTCCTTCCATGCATGTCTGTCTCTGTGTCCAAAGTTCCTTTTTGTATAACCTTTATACAAGGTTACCAGTCCATTAGAGTAGGCCCATCCCAATGACCTCATTTTCACTGTTACCACTGTAAATATGCTATTTTCAAATTATTTAAGATCATGTTCTGAGATATGGGGCGGGCCGGGGAGGGGGGAGGGGGTAGGACTTCAGCATATCTTTTTCTTTGCATGCTTACAGGATGCAAAACTCTTGAGCCAAACAGAGTAAGGAAATGACACAGTCACTTTCCAGCAATGTAGGCCCAGGAAAAATACCAAAGTAATACAAAAGATTCAATTCTATCCTGCAAAAATTATCTTTTCATTGTTTAATCTCCTTTTCTGAAAGCTACCATTAACATAATTTCAGTTTCAATCCTTGTGATTTAAACTTTTTTTTTCCCCTAACAGAAGTAGTTTCTTCTGTTAGGTACAAGATTCCCCCAAGTTTTCTATGCCTTTTACTTCATTAGCAAGAGGGTTTGGTATAAACTGCAACCAACTCCTCTGCATTTTATTTTGCAGAGAGAAATAGATGTACATGGTAATTATCATTGGGCACGAGTTAGTTATAAATTGATGAAATGTCTTCCAGACATTAGAAAACTGACCTCATCATTCTCAGAAGAATGTTTTTCCTCTTTTCACCTCTGTCCTTCAGCTTCTTAGAACCAGCACCATCCAGGAAGGGTTTAAATAAGAACCTACAGTAGTTATGATGTTCCTAGGCCACAAATATTGCCTGTGCCAAGGATTAGGCTCCTGGAAACAGACTTTCAGTTTCTGTCAGGTATCCTTCAAGAAAGAACACTGTGAATCTGGGACTACCTCCTTCCTTTACCAAAAGTTCATGTTTTAAGCCCTTGAACCTCCTAAAGGACTAGGTGGCCACTACCACATTAGAAATGAGACACAAGAGACTAATTAATAGAAAACATATTTGAATCCAACTTTGGACTTAGTGAGATTTGGAGATTGTACTTCACAGCAGAAGCAATAATGTGAAAAGTAAAGCCAATATAAGAAATGCTTAGGTTACCTTTGTAACTGCATCTTCCCCCAGATTGTGTGTGAGTTTTGCATATTCCAAAGTCAGAAGAAGAATAATGGCTCAAGAGACATATAAATACTAGAGGCTGGGCGCAGTGGCTCACACCTCTAATACCAGCACTTTGGGAGGCCAAGGCGGGCGGATGACAAGGTCAGGAGATCGAGACCATCCTGGCTAACACGGTGAAACCCCGTCTCTACTAAAAGTACAAAAAAAAATAAAAATAGCTGGGTGTGGTGGTGCACGCTTGTAGTCCCAGCTACTCAGGAGGTTGAGGCAGAAGAATCGCTTGAACCTGGGAGGCAGAGCTTGCAGTGAGCCGAGATCGCGCCACTGTACTCCAACCTGGGCGACAGAGCGAGACTCCGTCTCAAAAAATATAAATAAATAAATAAATAAATGCTAGAGAGAAACCCAGTCTCTAGAACTTACAAGTCAGAGTTACAGAATTATAACGAATTCTAACAAATTTTAAAATGAAATGCCAAAATCAAAGGACCACTTAGTGACATCTTATTTTTACCTGAATAATTGACATCACAGAAAATCAAGTTGTGGAAGGTACATCTGCAGTAACAACAGCCCCAGATTTACGTACAACACGTGGATTTCTAGATCTTTCTAAAGGTGCCAACATGTGCTAGATGAAAGAAAAAGAAGTATTAGAATCATCTTCCCTAAACATGACTGATAAATTCCAGAGAGAAAAGCCAGTTAGCTTAATGGTTGTTTGGCTGTTTCTGCTATAGAGTACTGGTTTTACATATTTTTATTTCAAGTGAAATTGTAGCTTTGCAATACATACATTTTATGACATCTCATAACATTGATGTGTCATAACTAGAATAATTGTGTTGCACGATCTTAAAACTAAGACAGCCCTTAACAATTATCTATCTTTTTTTTTTTTTTTTTGAGATGGGGTTTCGCTCTTGTTGCCCAGGCTGGAGTGCAATGGTGCAAGCTCAGCTCACTGCAACCTCCGCCTCCCAGGTTCAAACGATTCTCCTGCATCAGCCTCCCGATTTTCTCATCACTAGGAACTGCTCCTGGGATTACAAGCATGCGCCACCACACCCAACTAATTTTGTATTTTTCGTAGAGATAGGGTTTCTCCATATTGATCAGGCTGGTCTTGAACTCCTGACCTCAGGTGATCCACCCGCCTTGGCCTCCCAAAGTGCTGGGATTACAGGAATGAGCCACCATGTCCAGCCTAACGATTATCTATCTTTTCAATGTGGCTTTTACATACATGATTACTGTGTCTCACTTGAGCTTCCAATGACTCTGTAAGGGAGATAGAATGTTGTTCACTTGAAAACTACAGAGGTCCAGAGTGGATGTGGGACTTGCCCAAACTCACCCAGAGGACAGGGCCACACCTGGGCACTCCACACCCCTTCCATCCTCTTTTCATTTCTATTTCACATCCACCCCACTTCCAAACACTGTGCTCAAACACTTCAGCACCTGAATCACAGTTCCTCTCTCTCTCCTGTCTTTAACCATTACCCAAAATAACAGCATCATCCATCCACGTTGACCACAGAATCTGCCAGCAGCTCTTTCAACTCCGTTGCATGTTCGCCACAACTTTTATTTTCTCATCACTAGGAACTGCTCCCCTCTAAGATCGCTAGTCAGTCTCCCTTTCTGAAACAATCTCCTCACTTTCTTCTCCCGCTCCCAATGTATCTGTTCAATCTGCCTTTTGCCACAGTCAGTAAAAAAAATACTGATAGAGAACCTAAGAAATAGATGGAAGACCAGCTAGACATGGACACAGGCAACACTGAGTTTTACCCCTCAGCCTAGCCCACCCCTCAACCACATGGTCTCTCCCCATATGCCAATCCATATCTGCTCAAAAGACCTTAATTTTCTCCCCAGCAATGGATGGTCATTTCAGCATTACCCCCTGCAGCATCCTACAATCCCTCAATTCCTTAATCTTCCATCATTCCAATCCCTAAATCTGGATTATTTCATATTTCTCATTCTCTACTCCCAGATGACCTTGCTGCTAGATAAGATCATAAAACTATTATGACTAGGTCCACCACAAATTCAAATTCTCCAGCTTGGTCTAAAACTTTTAAATAACTCTGCAAGACCCAAAGAGAACCAAAGAATGGGTAGATGTTTTAAAGATGCAGATTTTGGTTTGAAATAAGATGGAAACATATAACCACGTTAGTTAACAAGCAACCAAAAAATAATGAGCTCAGCGTTACTGTTGGCATTTTTTTTTTTTTTGACAGAATCTCTGTCACCCAGGCTGGAGTGCAGTGGCGCAATCTCGGCTCACTGCAAGCTCTGCCTCCTGGGTTCATGCCATTCTCCTGCCTCAGCCTCCCGAGTAGCTGGGACTACAGGTGCCCACCACCACACCCAGCTAATTTTTTTGAATTTTTAGTAGAGAAGGGGTTTCACCGTGTTAGCCAGAATGGTCTCGATCTCCTGACCTCGTGATCCACCAACTTCGGCCTCCCAAAATGCTGGGATTACAGATGTAAGCCACCACGCCTGGCAGAGTCTTGTCCTTGTCACCCAGGCTGGAGTACAGTGGGGTGATCTTGGCTCACTGCAACCTCTGCCTCCCGGGTTCAAGTGATTCTCCTTCCTCAGCCTCTGAAGTAGCTGGGATTACAGGCGTGCACCACCAAGCCTGGCTAATTTTTGTATTTTTAGTAGAGATGGGGTTTCACCATGTTGGCCAGGCTGGTCTCATACTCCTGACCTCAGGTGAGCTGCCCTCCTCAGCCTCCCAAAGTGCTGGGATTGCAGGCATGAGCCACCGCACCGGCCTGTTACTGTCGACATTTAAGTGGACTTCAGATCAGAGGTTCCCGGACATAACTGATTATAAGAAATACCTGCAGAGATTTTTTTTGTCTTTGAGACAGGGTCTCATTCTGTCATCTAGGCTGGAGTGCAATGGCATGATCATGACTCACTGCAGCCTCAACCTCCCACGCTCAGGCAATCCTCCTGCCTAAGCCTCCCTAGTAGCTAGGACCACAGGTGTGTGCCACTATGCCCAGCTAAGTTTTTTATTATTATTTGTAGAGATGGGGTCTCCCTGTATTGCCCAGGCTGGCCTCAAACTCCTGGCCTCAAGGCATTCTTCTGCCCCAGCCTCCCAAAGTGCCGGGATTACAGGTATGAGCCACTGCACTGGCTGAAATTTTTTTAAAATACAGAATCTCAGGTCCCACTTCAGACCTAATGAATAAAAACCTCTGGGAGGTGTTGATTTCTAAAGCTCCCTAGAAGTTTCTGATGCAGCCAACCCATAGAATGACATTAGGTTTCCACTGGGCTACACTACTGATTGTACCTTTTCCAGGACACTATGAAAGGGATTGCTTCACTGAGGGGAAATCCAGGTTGAATGGTCTGCCTTTACAGTTTATTCCACTCCTTACTTTCTCCTCTACTTGAACCTGAAGGCTGTCAATGTTGCCTACTGCTTAAACTCTCTTTTTGTCCCACTGTGGCACTTACGGCTCAACAACCTTACGCTCCTAGGCAGCAGTCTAAGGTTCCTGCCAGAAAGTCTCGAAATGACCACTATGGATGTCCGTGTGAATCCTGCTCATTGCACCTCCACCGACATGAAGCTCACACCATCTCTTAGTTTTCCCACTAGCATGGATGGGATGCTCATTCTTCATGCTCCAATGCTGTCTTGCCTCATTTATAATGACTTTATGTTAGTCAAAATAAATGTTTTTTCACTTCTGCCCTTATAGCAAAAGTAAAAGCCAGATGAACATCGCATCTTTGCTGGACAATACTTCAATACATTTGTAGCTGCGGTTGGCCTCGGTGGACTCTATTGTAGAGTGCAGCTTATGTCACTGATTTTGAAACATCTTTATGGTCAGTGAAAAGATCAAGCATTACCTCCAGTGATGGTAAGAACCAAAGAGCCAGTTCCAGTAACATCCATGAGTATGACTCATACGTCTGACCAGTTGATTTATAGTAAATCTCCCCTGCATGTATCTTGATAAAAGCAGAACTTTCAGGTTTCCTTTTTTAACTTAATGTTCCCTACCAAGGCTTTCCTTTTCATACTTTTCAGTTGTCAAATTATTCAAATTTATACTTTTGCTCATTTACTATGGATATGATTGACTACATAATTCTTTTAAAAAGTCACCTGCAAATATAGTTACCTGACCCAATTTAATATACACATGAAAAAAATAGGTCATACTCTAAACATTGTCTCTTCTTGTCTTTTTTCATTAAATTGCAAAAGATTTCATACAGGTCAGCATAGCTGGCACCTCCTTACTTTCATTTCTGTAACCATTTTCTTTATTATTGATAACAGTTGTGACAATAAAAATAGTAATAATGCCTGCCTGCCTGCCTCCCCAAGAGCATAAACGTCTGGGTCTCTAGTACAGGCAGGCACTGAAATAAACAACAAATGCTATGTATCCTTTGTTTAACACCTTGAATGTCTTAACCAATTTGCCTTTAGTTACTATGCATTTCTAACAATTCTCAGTTACTAAAGGCAAGAGAGTGGTTAAAAAATTAAATTAAAGTTGCCTTCTCTCTTTTTTGTCCATTTCACAGAGCAGCCTCACATTTTCAGTCTTTCAAGTCTCACGTACACATCACAAATCCACTGAAACTGGATAAACACTAGAGAAATAGTTTAGTTCTCTTTTCAAGGAAAAATGAAGGTCAGAATTTGTGCAGCAGTTTTGCCTAACCTTGGAGGTACCTAGAGAAGATGGATTAGCTAAAAGTGAGCTATTTCTCTGAGGAAAACATGAGTTTCAGGCTCACAATCTGGACTGTTCTCACCCAGAATAATTCACCCTTCCCTTATTAAATACGCCTTTTGGAAATGTGACTTCATCCCTCACTATCCAGTGAAATAGGCATTGACTGGCTGATTATTTCTAGCATCACACTTACCTGTCAAGAGGCAGCTACAAGATGAACAGGTCAGGAGGTATACATCAAGTTCTTCTGAAACATAGAAAAATTAAAATGATTAATAAAAGCCCCCATTTGGCCTACATTTTATTTTGTATTCCATTCCATTTACTAAACATTGATGGAACTCTTATTGCCCCAGACAAAGTTCCCTTGAAAGTTGAAGCTGAGGCAAGGCTTAATGCTAAACTTTATTGGGAGGTGTGATCCCAGGTCAGCGTGAGTGATGGGAAAGAGAACTGCTGCAGGTTAGCAAGGGAAGAAACTACAAACTGTTGCAATGGCAAATCAGCCACTTCACAAACAGACATGCTCACTGGGATAGGTTGCACAGAAAGTTTTTCCATGGACTAGTCCATCGTGGGGTGGAAAACAGAAAAAGAGATTATCTACCAACTCCCTCACATCTCCTGCATCCTGGGGCCTTACAAGTCAGTTGCCATCGCAGCCTTTGGAGTAGAAGAAGAGGACCAAAGCTCTAGGGAGACAGGTGAAGGCCAGAAAATCTCAAGTGGCACACAAGAGGCATCTGGTACACTTATCATGTGCAATAAATGTCTTCTATGCCATTTCCTAGTCTAATATGACTATCAAAATTAAAATTTACATACAATTAAACACATCCTACCTATATGTTCAAATCACAACTGTCTTAGTCCACTTTGCATTGCTATGAAGAAGTTTATTTGGCTCATGGTTCTGCAGGCCATACAAAAAGAAAGGCACTAGCATCTGCTTCTGGTGAGGACCTCAGGACGCTTCCAATCATGGCAGAAGGGAGGGGAGCCAGTGTGTCACAGGGTGAGAAAGGGAGTAAGAGAGAGGGGTAGGAGGTGCAAGGCTCCTTTTAACAATCAGATCTCACATTAACTAATAGAATGAGAACTAAGTCGTTACAGTAAGGATAACACCAAGTCCATCATGAGGGATCTGCCACTATTACCTAAACACCTCCAACCAGGGCCCACCTCCAACATTGGGGATCAAATTTCAACAAGATGCTTGGAGGGGACAAATATCCAAACTATGTCAGCAACTAAGAAAATGCCTTCTGATCAATGATTTCTTTTGAAGACCTATGTAATAATATACGATTTTTTAAAAAATTATTTTCACCTATGAATCTCATTTATATTTCAATGTTTCAAAACAACAAACAAATAAAGAAAAAAAACTTTTTTTTGAGACAGGGTCTTGCTCCGTCACCCAGGCTGCAATGCAGTGGCATAAGCATAGCTCACTGCAGCCTCGAACACCTCAGCTCAAGCAGCACTCTTGTCTCTGCCTCCCAAGTAGTAGGACTACAGGCGTGCACCACCATGCCCAGCTAGTTTTTGATTTTTATTTTAGAAGCAGGGTCTCACTATGTTGCCCAGGCTGGTCTTGAACTCCTGGCCTCAAGCTATCCTCCCACCTCAGCCTCCCAAAGCACTGGGATTACAGTCATAAGCCACTGTGCCTGGCCAGAAAAAAAGCATTTGATCTCCTTCTGGAGAACTTTCACTGGTTAAAGCCCCTTGAGACTAGCATAATTAAATAAATATTATATCGGGGCTTATAAGGAAACACTGAGAAACCAAGTGAGCTCTCAAAGTGCCACCTGTCAGAAAGGTGGTTAGGAAAGACTCCGACTTCCTCAACAGAGTCATGCAAGCAATATATTTGCTGTGACAGAAGAAAGAAGGAGAAATTTAGGAAGAATAAACTACTCCCTTCCATAGTATACAAATAAATTATTTGTATGAAAGTAATATGAGCAATGCTGCAACTATGGTTATAATACTTTAAGTCTGTCTTACAGAGAAATTTTTTAAAATCATCTGCCTGAAATAGCTTTTTTATTATCCTACCAACTTTTCCACTGAATGATTTGTGCCAAAGTAACTCTGCATCTGATGCAATCTGAACCAGTATCATTGGGCATATCTTTGGACATATTTTTAATGTGATTAAGACACTTCAGCTCAGTCTAATAGCTTTCTTCGCCAAGGGTGTCTAAATGTTCTTAAGCTCGACAACTTTACTATCACCACTGCCATTTATTTGGATTGAGTTGGAAATTCATTTTGGCAACAATGTCTGATATTAGTCTGAGAGGCACAGAAGAAAACTTAATTTTACTATGCACCAAGTCTTACTTGCCATGAATTCAAGGTGCTTACACTGTTGATCCTAAATTATTGGACTACTTTTATTTTCAATTTGTCCAAAATTACTGAAAGAACAAAAAGCAAAATCCTATTTCCCACATTTTGATTATTCTCTACCTAGAAAGAGGATAAAAGATGCATTCAGGGTTTCCAAAATAGTATTGGGGGACTTTATCTTGCTATAGGACTAGTCCACACAGAAGATGTTTTAGCCCCTAAACATCTGCCTAACAAAGTATCATAGACTGGGTGACTTAACAGAAATGTATGGTCTCACAGTTCTGGAGGCTGGAAGTCCAAAATCAAGGTGCCAGCAGGGTTGGTCCCTTCTGAGGGCTCTGAAGGATCTGCTCCAGGCCTCTCTTGGCTTGCAAATGATGGTCTTCACGTTCACCTGGCATTCTCCTTGTATGCATGTCTCCTTCTTTAAAGGACAACAGTAATATTGGATCAGAGCCCACCCTAATTATCTCATTTTAACATGATTATCTCTGTAAAGAGTCTATCTCCAAATACAACCACATTCTAGGGTATTTTGGTTAGGACTTTAATAAAATACAAATTTGGGGTTGGGGGCAACTCAACCCATAATACTCTTGTATTTTGCTTAAAAGTCCTGCCATAGATGGGATCCTTTGGGTAATGGCAGAAGTTAAAATTCAAGCTCCAGGGTCAAATTGCCTGGGTTCAAGCTCCAGATCTGCCCTTTGCTGGCTATGAGACTGAAAAGACGTCACTTAACCTCCCTAAATTCTGTTGTTTCTTCATCTGTAAAATGGAAATGATAATAGATCCTACACCACAGGATTGCTGAAGGGATTAAATGATCAATCCATATAAAGTGCTTAGCCTAGTGTCTGGCACAAAGTAAGTGCTCCTGATATGTTAGTTATCATTAACATGAATTATTATTAACCTAAAATCATACATTTAAACTGAAAAGTAAAGCTCACTGACCCAGTCGTAGGAGAAGACACTTTCTATCTTTCCTCTCCAACCAACTTACAGGCCCCTCCACTTATGGCTGTATTTTAGATTAACAAGGACTCCCAAGACGAAGCGCTCAGGTTCGTTTTGTCCTATCAAGTCCTATCAAGGACTTGTTAGATTATAGAATTATAATGGCTGATTCCCATTTTACTCCACCCCTTAATGCCAACAGATTAAGAGGCAGAGCTGAGGTCAGTTTCTTTACTGACTAAATGTTCCTCTTTACATTGGGACCCTCTATCAGGGATGTCCAATGTTTTGGGTTCCTGAGCCACGTTGGAAGAAGCAGATTTGTCTTGGGCCACCTATAAAATATGCTAACACTAGCAATAGCTGATGAGCTTTTTAAAAAATTCATAATGCTTTAGGAAAGTTTATGAATTTGTGCTGGGCTGAATTCAAAGCTGTCCTGGGCTGCATGTGGCCCACAGACCACGGGTTGGACAAGCTTGCTCTATAATGAGGCATTCTGCATCATAGCTTCCCTCCCACAACATCCATTTTCCATATCTAAGCAAGTCAGCTCTATTCTGCATTTCCTGTTTTTAAGCAGTTCATATTTCTCTTTTATTCAGCGAAAATTAGATTACCAATTGTTTTGGCTGTTGTTGCATTTTTTCCCAAACCTTCATTTACAAATTCATTAATATTCATGAAGGAGTTTATATATTAAATTTACATAAGTATGAGATAAGAGAGAACTCTCTGCTCCTAAGATTCTAGTCTTATGCTAGAAGACTCTATGGCTTGCTATAAATATCTGTTTTTATTGTTTTGCTTTCATGTCTGGCTTATCTCCTACCTTCTTGTGGAGCCAGAAATAGAAATAACTGCTTAAGGTGATAGACACCCCAATTACCCTAATTTGATCATTACACATTGTGTGCTTGTGTCAAAAGATCACATGTTCCCCATAAATATATATGCCTATTATATATCCATAATAATAAAAAAATTATAAATAAAATAATTTTTTTAAAACAAAACTAAGACAAACTTTTCAAAAATAAAAAATAAAAAGACCCATGTTCTGGGATGGGACTCTGACCACACCAACAAGCCTCCTTCTCTGGTGCATCTCAGGAAAGGGTGAAATTAGTTCACATAAACACCACTCAGCCTGACCAGGTCAGAAGATGTGTTTCCTGAAAGTCTAAACCTTCATTAAAGTATCCAGGACTATATTATAACTTTCTTGGGCTCCTTCCTACACAAAAAAGTAAAGAAATAAAACTATATTTTACAACTCATTGGTGTAAAGATGAATATATTAATGCTATATATCAAAACATTTTATTTGACCTAAAAGTTCATTTTTTTTCTTCTTATTTTAAAAGAAATTAAAACAGGCTGTGTGCGGTGGCTCCTGCCTGTAATCCCAGCACTTCGGAAGGTTGAGGTGGGCAGATCATTTAAGGTCAGCAGTTCGAGACCAGCCTGGCCAACATGGTAAAACCGTGTCTCTACTAAAAATACAAAAATTAGCCAGGTGTGGTGGCGTGCGCCTGTGCTGGGCACTTGTGGTCCCAGCTGCTTGGGAACCTGAGGCAGGAGAATCGCTTGAACCCCAGAGGTGGAGGCTGCAGTGAGCTGAGATCCCGCCACTGCACTCCAGCCCGGGTGACAGAGTGAGACTCCAGCTCAAAAATAAATAAATAAATAAATAAATAATAAGAGAAATTAAAACAATTTCATAAGCCTCTAAAAGCATTGTAGGCCCAAGACGCTTTGTCTACTATGCCAATTAGATGTTAGCCCGCATCTAACTATATAGTATTTGATATACTATGTCAAATATATAGTATACTATATATATATGATATACTATACTATATACTATATAGTATTTGATATTAGGCCAAGTTGTCATAAACCCCAATCTAAGGTTCCTAGTTGCTAAATATGTTAACCAACTAATTATAAGGCATTAAAGATGCACTTGACTTTTATAACCCTCTATTACTAACCACAACATACAAGGAAAAAGCTCTGCATTTCTGCATACAGTTAGAGCAAGGATTACATAACTCTTAGCACATACTCATACTTATCATATCACTGTTTTAAAGCAGCCAGAGATTTGTTCTCTCTGAATCTCCTTTGTAGATATTTAGATGTATAAAATAGCATTTGCTGCTTTTTAAAGTATGTCTTTCACAAATCAGTTACTGATAAAGGAAGAAAGAAAATTAACATTCGCTGAGAGCATACTATATATCAGGCACTGTCTTGGGTGCCTCCACATGTATAGTCCAGGGAGATGAAGATTATTACCCTGTTTTTATATGTAAGGAAACTGATACTAAGTAACATGTTTAAGATAACAGAATTCAGTAATGGTAGAGCTAGAATTCAAAATCAAGTTATTTTGATTTCAAAGTCAATGCAGTTTCTACTACATCAACTAGATTAATTATATGGAATTATATATATATATAAGTGTTTTGGGGTAAAAAGATTTAGAATAACTTCATTTTAAAAGAGAAATTAACCAAAGGCCAAGCACAGTGTCTCACATCCGTAATCCCAGCACTTTGGGAGGCCAAGGTGGGAGGATTGCTTGAGCCTAGGAGTTCAAGACCAGCCTGGACAACATGATGAAACCCCCTGCAAAAAACACAGAAGTTAGCCAGGCATGATGATGCATGCCTGTAGTGCAGCTACTCAGAAACTGAGGCAGCAGGATCACTTGAGCCCAGGAGGTCAAGCCTGCAATGAGCCATAATCGCACCCCCGCACTCCAGTCTGGGTGACAGAGTGAGACCCTGTTTCAAAATAAATAAATAAATAAATAAACAAAATGTAACCATTTTCTTTCCTTCCCCCCCCTCTTTTTTTTTTTGAAACAGAGTCCTCACTCTGTCACCTAGGCTGCAGTGCAGTGATATAATCATAGCTCACCGCAGCCTTGAACTCCTGGGCTTAAGCGATCCTCCCACCTCAGCTTCCCGAGTAGTTGGGACTACAGGTGAATACCACCAGGCCCAGCTGATTTTTTATTTTTATTTTTTTGTAGAGATGAGGTCTCACTATGTTGCCCAGGCTGGTCTAGAATTCCTGGCCTCAAGCCATCCTCCTGCCTCAGCCTCCCAAAGTACTGGGATTACAGGTATGAGCCACCATGCCTGGCCACCATTTTCAAATTAAGTCAGTTATCAGGCAAAATCATGTCATCTAACAGGATCACAATTTTTGAACCAGAAGGTGCATTAGAAGACATGCCTAGCTCAACTCCTTCATATTCTGGATAAAGAAATCCCAAAAGGACTTGTGACATTGCCAGGATCACATAGAGAGAAGTGTACCTACAATCATTGCTCTCACTAAACACAAAAAGCAAAGAATAAATTATCTATACTTAGTAAAATTAAAAAAGAAGAGAGTTACATGAACAGAAAGTTATTCTGAACCATTTTTCATGGTTCACGCTGCTGCTAAATTGATCTTTTTTTAATCCATCAAATGAACTTTTCTTTCCATCATCATATGCCCCAAATGAAGACCAAGAAAGTCAATTTCATACAACGTTTTGAATTGGTGGAGGCAACTGTGGGCTTCAGTAATCAAGGCCAACTCTTGTAAGCTACAGAAACCCAGCTGGACTTTGAAAGATGGTAGCAGTTGAACTTACATAGCAGAGTGCTTTTAGATGATCAGAACAAAGCCATGGATGAAATTGGTATTTGCTCTGAGCTTTAAAAATCTAGAAAGCAGTTTCATAAACCCTTCCTCCATTATATCATACAAACCTGTAAATATTTTTAAAAAACAAATATATATGTGACTGTTTTTCAGCTAAAAATAAATACTTGTAAAAGTGCAAACAACACAGAGGTATATAGAGTAGAAAGTAAAGGTTTTCCTTAATCTTCTTCATGAATTTCATATACTTTCAGGTGTTTTATAATGCATTTACACACACACACACACACACACAGAGAGAGAGAGAAACAGCCCTGGCATATCAAGAAAAGAAAAGCTGGGGCAGGTGGGGTGTATCGGGGGAGATTGATTAGAAATAGACATGGCTGGCCAGGCGCAGTGGCTCAGGCCTGTAATCCCAGCACTTTGGGAGGCTGAGGTGGGTGGATCACCTGAGGTCAGGAGTTCAAGACCAGCCTGACCAACATGGAGAAACCCTGTCTCTACTAAAAATACAAAAATTATCCGGGCATGGTGGCGCATGCCTGTAATCCCAGCTACTTGGGAGCCTGAGGCAGGAGAATCACTTGAACCTGGGAGGTGGAGGTTATGGTGAGCTGAGATCAGGCCATTGCACTCCATCCAGGCTGGGCAACAAGATTGAAACTCTGTCTCAAAAAAAAAAAAAAAAAGAAAAGAAAAAGAAATAGATGTGGCATCAACTAAAAGGAGAGAAACTTTGGGGAAATAACTGAGATGTTTAAGAATGAATTAAAATATTTTATTTTCTGATAGGCAGTGTAACCCATACATCAGCATTGGAGATGAAGCTGTATTATGTGTTTGATTTGGAACAGAAAATAAGGGAGGCAAGGTTGAAGATAACAGTGAAAGTCCTCTAGGTGGGTTCTAGGTGAGAGCAAAGCCATCCAAAGAGCCCAGTTACTTTGGGTAAAATCGATTATAGAAATTGAAAGAAACAAGACTGTCAAGTACCTCAATCCCCAAGCTAAAGAATTTGGAAGTTTCTTTCCCTAGGCAATGAGAAGTCATTGTGGGCTGTTGAGCAAGAAATGATACAACATAATTAATGTTTTAGGAAGATTCATCTGGCAGCAACGGGCAGGAGATAAACTCTGAAGTAATAGAGGCCAATTAAGAGGTTACTGGATCCTTAAGGCATATATTCTCAAGGAAATCATCTTAAGGTGAAAGGTTTATATTCAAGTGTTTTTGCCACAGTGTTATAAAAGCAAAAAAAAGTGTTTAAAACATGCAAACAACCCAAATATCCAAAAACTGGAAGGTCATTAAGTAAATAATGGTATTTGAAGCAATTAAAAATAATGTTTTTGAAAAATATTTATTGACATGGAAAATGCTGGTAATGCAAAGTTTAGTGAAAACACTGACACAAAACTGAATATGAGTTTGACCCCAATTATATAGAGGATTTCCTAAGGACACTGTTGTGATTATCTTGCCTTAGGAAAAGACTATTAGTCATAATGAACATGTTTTAGTCTATAAAGCTCTGCTTTGAGTAAATAAATTAGAGAAAACTTTCATGTATCAACATGACTTGGCTAAGGAACATTTTGACTTTTATTATTGGTGCAGGTTTATCTTCCTAAGCATAAGAAAGGAGATGAATTAATAATAATTGCACTCCACTTCTCTAAGTAGGTTTTAGGATTAAAAAGCCCCAAGAAAAGTAAGACCCACTTCGGATGTAATGACACTGAACCAGTCGGGAGCAAACGTCAGATCATAGACCCCCTACAATGCTGATGTTTAAAAACAAAACCAAAAATTACACATTCATTCCATTTGGAAAGAAAAAAATTAAAGTAGTAGCAGTGGTTATTCCTGGGAAATGACACTATGGATGATTGTTTCATTGTTACATTAATAAGTTTACATCATTTTGATAATTAGGGAACTGTTTGGTTAATTGGGTTCATTTGTTTGTTTAATAAAGGAGCAAGTGATTAAGACTGTGACATGCAAAAGCAGAGAAACAAGAAAAGAAAAGAAAGGATACAGCAGTGCCTTCTGATTCAGGATATAAAGATGATAAAACATAGTTTACAGTGTACATGGACTTCATAGACTTTTCTACTAAAGCGGAATATACACATTAAAGAAACCTAAGTATTAGGTAACTTTCTTGGACTTTCCCAGAGAAAGTTTACTTTATGGTAGTGGTCCCCAATCTTTTTGGCGTCACAGACTGGTTTCGTGGAAGAGAATTTTTCCACAGACCGGGCTGGGATATGGTTTGGGGTTGATTTAAGCACATCACAATTATTGTGCACTTTATTTCTATTATTATTACATTATAATATATAATGAAATAATTATACAACTCACCATAATGTGAAATCAGTGGGAGCCCTGAGCTTATTTTCCTGCAACTAGATGGTGAGAGACAGTGACAGATCATCAGGCATTAGATTCTCATAAGGAGCGCACAACCTATTGTGTGCAGGTCACAGTAGGATTTGAGCTCCTGTCAGAATCTAGTGACGCCGCTGATCTGACAGGAGGCAGAGCTCAGGCCACAATGCAAGCGATGGGACGTGGCTGTAAATACAGATGAAGCTTTGCTTGCTCACCTGCTGCTCACCTCCTCCTGTGTGGCTTGGTTCCTAACAGGCCAGGGACCAGTATCGGTCCATAGTCAGGGTGTTAGGGACCCCTGCTTTATGGGATAAAGTAAAAAAGTGAAAAAAGTGCAGTACATTCTCTCTACCAAAGCTTCCCAAAAAACATCTAAGATGGCTTTCAATTGACACTACTAGTATGGTAGTACAATAGAGGAGCATTTCAAGATATCTTTTTTATTTTTATTTTTATTTTTTGAGACGGGGTCTTGCTCTGTCTCCCAGGCTGGAGTGCAGTGGCAGGATCTCGGCTCACTGCAAGCTCCGCCTCCCGGGTTCACGCCATTCTCCCGCCTCAGCCTCCGGAGTAGCTGAGACTACAGGCGGCCACCACCACGCCCAGCTAATTTTGTTTTTGTATTTTTAGTAGAGACGGGGTTTCACTGTGTTAGCCAGGATGGTCTCAATCTCCTAACCTCATGATCTGCCCACCTCGGCCTCCCAAAGTGCTGGGATTACAGGAATGAGTCGCAGCGCCCGGCGTTTTGTTTTGTTTTTTTTTTGTAAATCTCACTCTGTTGCCCAGGCTGGTGTGCAGTGGTGCAATCACAGCTCACTACAGCCTCGACCTCCCAGGTTCAAGAGATCCTCCCACCTCAGCCTCCCAAGTAGCTGGGACTACAGGCAGGCACCACTATGCCTGGCTAATTTTTTAATTTTTGTAGAGATAGGATCTCACTATGTTGTCCAGGCTGGTCTCCAACTCCTGGGCTCAAGTGATCCTCTCACTTCCCAAAGTGCCAGGATTATAGACATGAGCCATCTTGCCTGACCTACAATTTTGATTACTAGTCCAAAACAGGCAAACACAAATAAAAAAGGAAAATTACACAGTATTACTGTGACATTTTTGAAGGACACTGAGTGCAGATTCGTTCTTTTCTTACACAAGTTTTCAAATCATCATTCTATAGATCTTAGCACTGCAGCTACTTCATAAATGCTAACAGGACGATAAAATTACTTTAACAATATTTACTAAGTAAGATGGAGTCTCCTACACTATCAGTCTATTCTCCATTTTCAGTCAATATAGTCAACAGGTAAATTCCCTTTTGTCATAAAATTTCTATTTCTATTCTTTCCATCATTAAACCAAGTGGTAATGAAATGACAATTTATAGTCCCTGCTGTCACCAGGAATAATCTAATCCTTGCTGCCCACAGTCTTTATGCAGAAATGACAGAGGCCTTCCTTCCAGCCCCAACTTCCCCCAGAATAAATGGACACTTAGGGATCACCCAGAGCTTGCTGTCAACTCTAACAAGAATTTCCCTGGATAATTATGTAAAGCTCAACAACAGTGTAGTAAATAAAATTAAATATAAATCAGATATATTTATACTTCCACTAATTAAAAGTAACAACTAAGAAAAGTTTATACCACAATCTATGGAGCATTGGTTTCTGTATTAGCAAAAGATGCATAATAAGAACATAACAAGAGACTAACAAATTTCACATTGTATGTTTGCTTCTTTCAGTTTGGGACATGTTGATGTATTTTAAAATTTCACACTAGAAGGAATAGTCCTCCTAATTTGTTTATGGACCTCTGCATCACTAGCTGACCTGAAACTGGTAGATCAAACTTCCTGTGGCCCATTGACCTTAGAAAAAAATTATTTAGTAAATATTTATTAACCAACTACTCTCTCACATGCACTATTAAATAAATAAGTGCTGGAAATGATTTATATCACCAGTAGAAATTTAGAAACCACTAATTCGTTTTCTGACTCTTAGCCATTAGACATTCTTCCTCAAAGCCTTCTCTACTCAATGAGATGAAAAGGAGTAATATGTAAGTATTAAAAGTTATTAACATAATGCTTTTAATTTACTCATATTTCATGAATTCTATTTTCAAACACAAAACCTAAGAATATATATATAACACTGCTAAACTTCAAAACAGTAATGTGCCAATTAATACATGTTCCAAAAGTTCTTTTAGTATACCAAATTCTAATACACCTGCATGTTCAGCAGCATGATGATATACACTGGGTGCTCTCTAGTTGTACCGAAAATCTTCTGGTACAAATATGGCTGTAAGCTGAGTTTCCCCAGTCCTCCCCAACCTGTGAATACAAACGGAATCACACTAATAATAAGAACCCAAATTCTATTGGCTCTTGTCGCCACCTAGCAGAACCTCAGCACCTTATAAAAGAATTTCTCAAGTGCTTCTGGAAGTTGAGGTGCTCTCTGAAGTCAGTTGCTCTCTAAAGTCAGGTGAATTCAGGTGTGCTCGTGAATACTCCCACTCTGGCAGGGCATCTCCTATGACTCTCTCCAGCATCCATGTCACCAGATACTACTATCCCATTACCCACATGCACTCTCTGCCAGGAGACACTGCTGGTCTTCTGCCACCAGAGGTGCTAAAGATGTGTGGTGGGATAGAGACATTGCCTGAGCTCTGCCTAATGTTGACTAACATGGACATGACAACCCACTCAAAGGTACCAAACTCATGATGTTTCTGTGACTTTGTTCTACAAAATCTTAGATTTTGTTTGTGGTTTAATTTTTACAGGCAACTTGCTCCTCACGGTAACCAGACCTCTATTACTGGTCAGTGGTGCCTGGCTCTTCCTCTCTTCAGTATCTTTGGAGGCTCCTCAGTACCTTTCACAAATATTTTACTTTAGGTGCTGGCCCATGCATCTATTAGATGTATGTACACATATTCAACGCATACTAGTTTCCTCTAGAGAAGGTCTCTTTAATCAAGATTTGGGGTTTATTATTTTGAGAGAGATAATTTTTTGATTACAGCAAGTCATTATATTTCTTCACTAGTTATATAATTTTACCAAAATAATTTAAAGTATGAAATCCTACTCTCACATAGTAAATGAATACCTGAAACCAGGCAAACAGAAACACTTATATTTAATGGTGTCATAAGTGATTTGCAAAATATTTTAATTCATTGGTAACCCTTTGGGCTCTTACTCAAAAGGAAAGAAAAAGAAACTTAGAAATTAATAACATACACAAGAGTTCTGTTTCACCTGATAATTTTTACCTGGCTAAATGCAAGTACAAGAAGTAATTGATAGTGGGTCTCAGGCTGTTTTTCTCTGCTGAGCTCTTTATTTCTATACACTTATTCCCCAACATGCACAGTGGTTTTCTAACTGGTTATCAATCTTAGCAATGGCAGGTAGCCTTTCCATTCTGCTATTGTTTGAATGTGTCCCCCAAAGTTCACGTGTTGGAAACTTAATCCCCAATGCAACAATGTTGGGAAGTGGGTCCCAATAAGAAGTGATTTCGGTCATTATGAGGGCTCTGCCCTCATAAATGGATTAATGTTGTTATTCTGGCAGTCGGTTAGTTATTATGAGAGTGAGTTGGATATAAAAGCAATTTTTGCCCCCTCTTGCCCTCTAGAAATCTATTCCCCTTCCACCTTGCACCAGGGGATGACACAGCAAGAAGACCCTTGCAAGATGTCAGCTCCTCAACCTTGGACTTCCCAGCCTCCAGAACTGTAAGAAATAAATCTCTGTCCTTTATAAATTACTCAGGTATTTTGTTACAGCAGCATAAAATGGACTAAGATGCATACTACAGTTTAAGATCAAGAGTCCTGAAACATGATACCAATCCTTGCTTTATCCCCTCACTTGTTTCAGCACTCCCTGATTCTGGTGAATATGTCTGGGCTGCTTGTTAGCAAGAAATCCTAATTCCATTGCAAAGCAGAATCTCCACTCCTTCCATTCTCAAAGTCTTGGTTCACGTTTTGAGAGGTGGCATAACACTGCAGTCGAGAGCATGCACCATGGAAACAGATCACCCAGGCTCCACTCCCGGCTTCCCCACTTATCAGTTGGGCGACCATGGGCAAGTTACTTAAACTCTCTAAACTCCAGTTTTCTCATTATTGGAAGGGGGTGGTAATAATAATAGAAACTTCCTTAGGGTTGTTGTTAGGATTAAATGAGTAATACCTGTAACGAAATTAAAGCTATTCTGCTGAGGATGTGAGGCAGCAAAGCAAGCAAGGTTTTTTAATGGTATACTAAATACCATTATCTTACCCTAAATTTAAAAGCACTCTCTGGATATGTGGTCAGTGGCTGAGAGACATTGAGCAAGTATCTCCCTAAACCTCTGTCTCTTTATCTATAAAATGGTACTAATTGAAATAAAAACATGTAATTTACTTGGCAATTACCTAACATGCAGTAAACATTAATATTAGCTCTTATGTCATCTGTAAAAATAATCTGTAATTATGTCTGCTTTACTGGGATATTGTAATAAGATAACATAGGTAAAGTACTAGCATAATGATTTAATATTTATTAACCAAAGGATTAATATATAGTTTTCTTTTTCTCCACACTTGCCTTTTTTTCCTTTTGAGGCAGGGTCTCACTCTGTCACCCAGGCTACAATACAGTGGCATGATCACAACTCACTGAAACCTCAACCTCCCAGGCTCAAGCAATCCTCCCACCTCAGCCTCTCCAGTAGCTGGGACCACAGGCATGTGCCTCCACACCTGGCTAATGTGTAAATTTTTTGTAGAGATGGGGTCTCCCTGTATTGCCCAGGCTGGTCTTAAACTCCTGGGCTCAAGTGATCCTCTTGCCTTGGCCTCCCAAAGTGCTGGGATTACAGGCATGAGCCACCATACCCAGCTTCCACACTTGCCTTTTAAAGACCATAGGATTACTGATCATTTTTTCCTGAATTGCTTTTACTTTTCCTTCCTTTGACAGCTATACCTGGAGGTTTGAGCAATGCAGAGAACCTATGATTATATAAACTTTGTCTATTACCAACACCCTCCACAAACCTACCATTGATAAGCAAGTCTTTATTGAATGTGAAGATTTATCAGGGTAATTCTAGTTCAAAAAAAGTAGTCGAGTTTCTGGCAATATAGCTGACCAAGTATTAGGACCAATCTTCCCAACTAATGACTAAAAATGCTGGATAAAATATAAAAACATCTTCAAGAAGGCATCCATATGAAAGCAAAAGAGAAAGCAGTACCTAAGAAAGCAACACTGAATCAGCTATATTCTCAGGGCATTTGCCGAACTCAGTGAACTTGAGCATAGAGTTTTATGCTCTGGAGACAGAAGACACAACTCAGGGACCACCCAAGTTGGAGTATCCTATATTAGAATCCTCATAAAACAGGGGCCCAAAGGCATACACTCAATGAAAGAGGGCACTAAAATAAACTATCCACTTTCACCCCTGCTGGAAATTGCATGGAAAACTAACAGTCTCAAAACTTGGCAGTGTGTAGAGTGGGGGAAAATTATACCCTAAGAATTTGTAACCAAAAGCTGACCCTCACACAAGTTTGCACAGAAATTCACACTTTTGAAGCAATCTAAAAAAAATTTTTCTAACATGAAGTCAATATTATGCAAAGGGGTCTTAAGCTAGTATATCCCAGGTACCTAACAAAAGCAAATGTAAATCCTTGTAAGAAAAGGATTTTCCTACAAGGATTGTCCCCTTTCATTTCAGGACACAAAATATCTTCATGGATAAAATTTCAAGGAAAACTAAACAACTCAAATGTCAAAATTAGTAATACACAGGAGTCAATGTTATAAGTGAGAACCAGCAGGAAAAAAAAAGATAGCAAAATAGGACCCAAAAAATGTTAGATACTTGAATTATCAGATACAGAGTATTAAAAAGTATGTTTAACATGTTTAATATCAGAAACTTTAAAAAGTAGCAATTGAAATTGAGCACTCAGTTGACAGATTTAACAACAGATAAAACATAGCATAATAGAGAGAATTAGTCACTAGAAGATAAAAAGAAATTATCAAGAATGAAGATCAAGGAGACAAAAGAACTTAAACATTGAAAGGAGCACAGATAAATTGAACTTTATCAAAATTTAAAAACACTTTTTTGTATCAAAGGACATTAGCAAGAAAGGGAACAAGCAACCTACAGAATGGGTGAAATATTTAGAAATCATAATTTGATAAAGGCCTAATATCCAGAATATACAAATAATTCCTACAATTCAATAGAAAAAAAAAAAAGACAAAAAAATTTAAAAACATGCAAATCAGGAGGCTGAGGCTACAGTGAGCCGTGATGGTGCCACTGTCCTCCAGCCTGAGTGACAGAGTGTGAGCCCATCTCAGAAACAAAAAAAGGGGGGATGGCGCAAAGGACTTGAATAGACATTTCTTCAAACATATACAAATGGCCAATAAACATATGAAAAATCACTAACTATATTTCCAACAACCAACAACATAAAAAATAAAATGACAATTTGAAAACAAAATAAGCAGATGCGCAACATCATTAGTCATCAGGGAAATTCAATCAAAAGGACAGTGATATGCCACTTCACATCTACTAGAATGGCTACACATCTACTAGAATGGCTACAGTTTTAAAAACCGAAAATAACAATGTTAACAAGGATGTGGTGAAATTGGAACCCTCACACATTGCTGGTAGAAATGTAAAATGATGCAGCAGCTATAGAAATATTTGACAGAGGCTGGGCACGGTGGCTCACGCCTGTAATTCCAGCACTTTAGGAGGCCAAGGCGGGCGAATCACCTCAGGTCGGGAGTTCAAGACCAGCCTGACCAACATGGAGAAACCCCGTCTCTACCAAAAATACAAAATTAGTCAGGCATGGTGGTGCATGCCTGTAATCCCAGCTGCTCCAGAGGCTGAGGCAGGAGAATGGCTTGAACCCGGGAGGCGGAGGTTGCTGTGAACCAAGATCACACCATTGCACTCCAGCCTGGGCAACAAGAGCAAAATTCCGTCTCAAAAAAAAAAAAAAAAATTTAACAGAACATTTTTCCTCAAAAAGCTAAACATAGAATTATCATATGAACCAGCAATTCCACTCCTAGTTATATACACAAGGGAACTGAAAGCAGGGACTGAAACACATATTTGTAGGGCAATGTTCACTGCAGCATTATTCATAATAGCCAAAAGTTGGAAATAACCCATATATATGTGTATATATATATATGGACAGAGAGAGAGACAATAATAAAAAGGAATGAATTTTTGATATATGCTACAACATGAATCTTAAAACCATTATACTAAGTAAAATAAGCCAAGCCCAAAAGGACAAATATTGCATGATTCCACTTACATGAAATATCTAAAATAGTTGAATTTATAGAGACAGAAAGTAAATTAAAGATTTCCAGGAGCTGGAAGGAGTGGGTAATGGGAAGTTATTGCATAATGGTTTCAGAATTTTCATCTAAGAAAAATTTTGGAAATTGTGGTGATGGTTGTCCAACATTGTGACTGTAATTAATGCCACTGAATTGTACATCTAAAAATAGTTAAAATAAAAAATTGTGTGTTATATATACTTTAACATAATTTCTAAAAATTAACAATGAAATAGATCAAAAGCCATTAAATAGTACACTTTAAGTGAGTGAACTGTATGGTATGTGATTTATACATTAATAAATTTTTTAATGGAAAGAAAGCTTATATTCATTAAGGTAGTAAGCTAGATTGCAGAAACAGATAAACCCAAAACACAACATTACTCAAACCAAAATAGAAGTTTATTATTACTCTGTCACATAACAGTCCAAGTTGAGCGTTCCTGGTCTGTGAGTACTTCTCTCCCTGCAGTGGTTCAGTGACTGCAGCTCCCTCCATCCATCTGAAGACTCTGCCATCCTCTGAGCCTGAGGCCTCCATATTGTCTGTATTCAGCTAACATTAGGGGAAAGAGCATAAAGGGGACACATTACTTCCTAAAAGCCTTGGCCTGAAAATGTTCATGCACATGGCCACACAAAGATGTAAGGAAGGCTGGAAAATGTAGGCTTTAAATGCACTTAAAAGATTATGATATTAGAGTAAGACAGGCTAACTTATGTCTAAACAGAGTTCCAAAACATAAGAAAGGAGTGAGAAGGAGGTGGCAGCAATAGTTGAGGAGATTATGACTAAGAACTTTCCACAACTGATGAGAAAAAATAACCCATAGATTCAAGATTTCTACAAATCCCAAATAGGAAAAATAAAAAGAAATTCACACCTAAGTACATCATAGTAAAATCACAGAATCTAAAGACAAAGATATACTAAAAGCAGCCGGAGAAAAAAAGATAGATTACCTTAAAGACAGTGAGACTGACAGCTGACTTCACCAATAACAATGTAATCAAGAATGGAGTAGAATAACATATGCTGAGAAAATAATTATTAACTTGGTAATCTATATACAGTAAATTATACTTTTTAAGAGAACAAATTAAGAAGACATTTTTATGACAAATAAAGACGGAAAACATCTTCCATTAGCACACCCTCACTAAAGATGTTTGCAAAGGAATAAAGAGAAAAAAAAGCAGTAAATATTTAAAAAGTTAACTACATAAAACACAATATTATGCGGGGTTAAAAAACACGATAGAATGAAAATACATAACAACAATAGCACACAAGGCATAATTGAATTTAAAGTGTTCTAAGTCTTATATTATTGGGGAGACCATAAAGCAACTAATGAATTAAGCATGCAAGCTAAAATTTTTTATACCACTGAAACACAGAAACAAAAGGTATAACTTCCAAACTAGTAGAGAAAAAAATAGAATATGAAAAAATATAATCAATTCAGAAAAGGACAAGGAAGAAGAAAATAAGTGGTATAGAAAATGTGGAAAAAATATAAAACATAGAAGGCAGTAAAAACAAATCTAAATATGTCTACAATTATAATAAATATAAATAGACTAACTGCTTCAGTTGGAAGACAAAGTCAAGCCATTTTTTTTTAATCTTGCTTTATTCTGTTTATAAGAGACAAGTGTAAAGCTTAAGAATACAGGAAGATTGAAGATATTAAAGTAAAAATGTAGAGAAGAATGTACGAAGCAAATACTAAACAAAAGAAACCTGCCAGTTCCAGTAGACAAATGTATTTATAGACAAATAAATATTATTGAACACAAAGACAACCATGACCTAATTATTAAAATTTTAATCATCTGGGAGATATTAATTACATATTCATATATGTAATTATTCCTAATTACAGCCCCAAAATATATAAAGTAAAATTGACAGAACCACATGGAGAAACTGACATATTGAGAGATTTCAACACACTTTCAGAAACTGACTACTGAAACAAGGCATAAATACTAGTAGTTTTATAGAAGATTCAAACAACACAATAAATAAATGTAAACTAATGGGTATATATGAAACTGTCCTCAATGACTCAACACTGTTTTTTTCTTCTTTTTTTCTTTTTTATTTATTTATTTATTTTTTTGGTAGAGTCTCACTCTGTCACCCAGGCTGGAGTGCAGTGGCACGGTTCAAGCGATTCTCCTGCCTCAGCCTGCCAAGTAGCTGCGATTACAAGCACATGCCATCATGCCTGGCTATTTTTTTTGTACTTTTGTAGAGATAGGGTTTCACCATGTTGGGCAAGGTGGTCTTGAACTCCAGACCTCAAGTGATCTGCCTGCCTCAGCCTCCCAAAGTGCTATGATCACAGGAGTTAGCTACCACACCAGGCCTTCAATGACTCAAAATAAACATTTTTCCCAAGCATTCATGGAATATTTTAATCAAATGTTAAACTATAAAGCAGCTTCCAAAAATTAAAATATATGTATAAATATATATCTATATATTATAGCTTATAATATATATCTTATAAGATATATATTAATTATATAATTATATAAGATATATTATATATCTTATAAGATATAATATATTATATATAAATATGTATATAGTATCACACACAGACTGGGTTTCTGAAAAGATAAATAGTATCATACAGATCAAGCTCTCTGACCACAATGGATTTGCAACCCAAAAAAATACATAATTAGAAAAATCCCTATATGTTTGGAAATTTTAAAATGTCCTTCTAAATTACTTAAGGATCAAAGAAGATATCATAATGAACATCAGGAAACATTCAGACCTGATAACAAATAAAATATTACACATCAAAACTTACATTATAAGTGAAAGAAAGAAGCTAAAGGAAACTTAGAGGAAAATGTATAGCTTTAAATGTTCAAAGTATAAAAAAAGAAAATCTAATAAGTAATGAAAACTATATACATCTTAAGAAGTTAGTATAGGAAGAGCAGAATAAACCCAAAGAAAAGAGAAGGAAGGAAATAATAGAAATAAAAATTAATGGATAGGAAATAAAATATTTAATAGTCAAAAGTTGGTTCTCTGAAAAAGCTAGTAAAATTTACAAACTTCTTATAATAAGAAACAAGAGAGATGACCCCAAAATGAAAATTAAAATAGTATGGTTATGAAATGATAATATTACATAAATGTATGACATTAAAAGGGGGCATAAATTCTAATGCTAGAGACATAAGATAATTAGGAGATGTATGAGCATTATTCCAATAAACTTGAAAATGTAGCTGAAATGATTCCTATAAAATAGAATTTATTTAAACTGACTCAAGAAGAAAGCAAAAACTGAATGGTCCTATAACTCCTAAAGAAATTTAGTCATTAGTTTAAAATCTTTCCCTAAACGAAGGATGAGGTCCAGGAGAGTTTATTGATAACAACCATTCAAGAAACAATTTCAATTTTACGCAAACTGTATCAGATTATGGCAAAAAAAAAAAAAAAGATACTACTCAACGCATTTTCTAAAGCTAGTATAACCTCGATACCAAAATTCAACACTGACATTCAAAAGGAGGAATTTGCAGACCAATCTTACTCATGAATATAAATGCAAAAATCCCAGATAAAACACTAACGAACTGAATCCCTCAAAGTATTAAAATTACACACAGACACACACACACACACGCACGCACTATGGCCAAATGGGTTTATTCGGAAATCAAAGTGAATTAAAGAAGAAAAAAATATAACTGACTACATTAACTATTGAAAGAAAATCATATGACTATCTCAACAAATGCATAAAAAGCATTTGATAAAACTCCAACAATCCTTTATAGTAAAAATTTATAGTAAACTGTGAATTAAAGTGAACTTCCTTACTCTGATACTAGACATCTACCCAAAAATTTGCAGCAAACATCATATTCAATTTTGAAATTTTGAAAGCATTCCATTTAAATATCATAAGTAAGTTTCTGTACTATCTCTATCTACTTTGACGCAAGGTTATGCTGGATACTCAATACAGTACATACAAGAAAGCAAGGAAAAAAATAAAAGGTCTAAGGATTCAGAATGAAATAACAAATCTGTCATTATTCAAAATTGATATGATTTTCCATAAAGATAAATTATTAAAATTAAAAGTTAAATAAATATGCTAAAATAAAATCATTATTCAAAATTGATTGTATTTCTAGGCATCCATAATAAGCAGAAAAAATTTAAAAGACATTTATTATAGCATCAAAAATATGATGTGCTTAGGAATAAATCTACCAAAGATACACAAGACTTCAGGGAGAAAAGTACAAAACATTATTGAAAGATATTAAAGAAGACTTTAATTAATGAAGAGATATACAATGTAATAGGTATTTTTCAAGAAGGGATGGGAGCACAGAACCTCAGACCAATGGAGCAGCATAAAAAGTCCAGAAACAACCCCACACATAATTGCCATTTAACATATGACAGAGGTGCTGTTGAAGGTCAGTTGGAAAAAAATGCATTAAAAAAATAGTGCTGGAACAATTTGTTTCAATATAAAAAAAATTAAATTGACTCCTACCTCATGCAAAAAACAAAAATCAGTTCCAGATAAATTAAAGACCTAATGTGAAAGGCAAGAATGTAAAACTTTTGGAAGACGATATAGTAGAACACCTTTATGATTTCAAACTAAGGTAGCTCTTAAACCAGACATAAAAGATTTGTTATAAAGGAAATTATTGACTACATTAAAATCAATGTCTTCTGTTTATCAAAAAGCATTATAAATGGTGAAGGGACAAGTTCAAACTGAGAGATGATTGCTACATGCTAACAAAGTATTAAAATGCAAAAAATATTTTAAATGTTTGCAAATCAGTAGGAATGACAAACAACCAAGCAGAAAAATGAGGCATAAGTAGTCCGTAAACACAAGAAAAGATGTTCAAACTCATGGCAAATCAGGGAAATTATAACCACAAAAGACCATTCGAAAATTGCCAGACGTAAGAAGTGTGATGAAATTAACTGTTTATGAGGTTGAGGAGCAATGAGAATGCTCATACCCTGCTAGTGAGAATGTAAATTTGTACAGCACTTTTGGAAAACAGCATGACATTACCGAGTAAAATTAAATGTGCGTATTCAGGTACTCTATGATTCAATGTTCCCGCTCCTAAGTATATATCCTAGAGAAATCTTGTATATGTGTACCAGGAGACATGTAGAAGACAGTGTATAACAGTATTGTTTACAATGCAGAAAACTGGAAAAAACCTAAATGCATTCAACAGACTGGATCAATAAGCTGTGGTATATTTTCATAATAAAATATCATCGAGGCATAAAAATTAGTGAGCTACAGCTACAATCATCAGCATGGATGGATCTCAAAAATAAAATGTTAAATTAAAAGAAACAAGTCGCAGAAGAATATGTACAGTATGCTTTTATTTATGTCAAGTTCAGAAACAATCCAAACTAAACAATGCAATTTTTAGGGGCATAAATAGGTAGTAATGAGCATAAAGAAAAGTTAGGAAGGGATTAGCAAAGTTCAGAATCGTGGATAGTTTCAGGGAAGGAGAGGGACAAATTGCTTCTGGAATATGGTACCTGTAAAGTGTTATTTCTCAACCTGGATACTAGATCTAAAGTAATCCCTTTTCTTTTTCTTAAACTGAATGCATATATCTTTATACATTCTTCTGTATGCCTGCTATGTTTTATAGTAAAAAAAAGTTGTATAACATTTGCCTATAAAATATGTTTTATAACATTTGTCTGAATTTTCCGGACAAAATTTTTTTCTGAATTACAAGAATAATTATTTCAGTTTCCTCTTCTGGGGCTTGAAAAAGAGAGTCACAGAACTTGAGGTGTTCCCTATTACAAAATTCAAATAAGTACTTGTATGCACAATCCTTGTTTATTTAGCAATAGGTTTTAATTAGGCAATGTAGGTTCTCAGAGTCACTCAAAGTATACTCGAAAATTATATCATAGCCCTTTTATTCTTAATTGCATTCATGCTATCCAAGAAATAACACTGTAGAGCAGTGCTGTCCAATAGAAATATATCATAAGCCAACTATGTAATTTATTCTTTCTAGTAGCCACATTTCAACATCTGATCAATATTTTTTCTAATTATTAATGAAATATTTTACATTCTTTTCCCTCCTCAATTTTCAAAATTCAGTGTGTATTTTACACTTACAGCACATCTCGATCCGGACTAGCCACATTTCAAGTTCTCAACAGCCACATGAGGCTGGTGACTACCATACTGGACAGCACAGCCTTATAGTCTCCAGATAAATAATGATCCCCTTAGCTTCAACTTTAGAAGTTAGCAGGAGAGAACCACCCACCAAGCCTCGGGGTCTATTAGGTCTCCAAACTACAAGAAAGATTTCTAATTTTAGCATGAAGTAGAGGTAGGTACCTTATTCACACAGAACAATAGAACTGGTCATTTTTATCACATCTTTTCTCTTTATATCCCTGAATTTCCTCTGAATTAGGCCTAACAGGAACTTCTTGTAAACGGGAAATAATAATGCTTTGGAGTTCTTAAACCCATTTTCCTCAGGAATCTAAAAAATGTTAAGAATACTGGTTCATTAATCAACAGACTAACAACAGTCTAGACATACTCTGCCATTTAAATTTATGTATATTTAGAAAAATCAAGCCTTAGAAGAGAATGGCTAACATCCCATCTAGAAACAGAAACTGAACCAAGGTCTAAGATTCGGAGCCCCACGGCTCCCCTGAGCCGACACCCTGAGCACACATGTATGTTCCTTTGGGTTATTAGATTTTCTTTTGGTTCCAATCATTCACAGTTAATTCCTTATATTATTTCATATTTCACCCACTCTACTTCATTTCAATATTCTCCCACCCCTTAGTTGTCTGAAGGAACCAAATTTAATATGCTGAGTCTTGGCCTTAAATACTTAGTAATGTTTCCAAGAGGAAATATACAATTGCCAAAAGGTTTTGTTTCTTTATTTTTTAAAGACCAGTTATTAAAATTTCTGTAGAACGACTTTTGTAGCAATAAAAGCCAAATATTGACTAATTAACAGAGAACTAGAGAATGAGATCATCAATATTTATGGGATTTTTTCTTCTGATTAATTTTCAGTATTTTGCATGAGAAACCTGAGTTTTCTTAGTCAGTGTTGTTTAGTAAGTGTATTCATTTTCCAGTAGTAAGTACATAAAGGTGCCACTAATGAGAACCAAGCATTGACTTCCTGGGATTCATTTGAATGCTTATATACACACCATTTTTCCAATCTTTCCCTATTTTTTAAACTGTATTTTCTCCACAGCAGTACAAAGTATTATTTAACTAACCTCCAACACATTGGTTTTCTGGCTTTCAGATTTCATAACCAATAGAAAAATAAATGTTTTAATTAAGGAACTGGCATAACTTTGCCAATTTCTTATTTTGCCAATTACAGTTATAAAATAATAATTAAACTCTACAACTTATTTTATTACCATCATTTCCTTCAAGCAGTGGTTCTCAAACTAGCATGTGTCAGAATCACCTGGAGGGCTTGTTAAGGCACAGATGGCTGGGGCCCACCTGCAGAGCTTCTGATTCTGTGAGTCTCAGAGCCCAAGTATGTGCATTTCCAACAAATTCCCACGTGACGCTGCTGCCACTGCTCTTTGGAACCACACTTTGAAAACCACTGCATTAAAGAGAGGACATTTCAGGAGCAAAAAGGAAGACAAGAGGCAATCTCAGAATAAAAAAAAAATCAATTAAATTAAGTAAATTTAGCTTTATTTTTTCTACTTCTCCCAGGTCAGTTTCACAAACAGTAACAATGTCTCTGAAGTAACATTTAGAAACTTTCTGATAACTAGCCTTAGCCAGCCAGCCACATGTAGTTATTGAGCACTCCAAATATGACTAGTCCAAATGGAGATTTGCTCTAAGTGCAAGATACACACTAGATTTTAAAGATTTACTACAAAGGGCATGGTGGCTCAGGCCTATAATCCCAGCACTTCAGGAAGCTAAGGCAGGAGGATTGCTTGAGCCCAAGAGTTTGAGACCAGTCTGGGCAACACAGTGAGACCCCATCCCTACAAAAGATTCTGAAAATTAGCCATGCGCGGTGGAGTATGCCTGCAGTCCCAGCTACTGGGGAGGTCAAGGCGGGAGGATCATTTGAGCCCAGGGCATCAAAGGTGCAATGAGCTCGGATCACGCCACTGCACTCCAGCCTGAGCCACAGAATGAGACCCTGTCTCAATCAGAAAAAAAAAAAAAAGACTCATTACCAAAAAAGAGAATATATTTCACTAATAATTTTTATACTGATTAGATGTGGAAATAACATTTTATGTATTCAGAGTTAAAGAAAAGATATTAGAAAAAAAAAATTTTTTTTTGAGACAAGGTCTCATTCTGTTGCCCAGGCTGGAGTGCAGTGGTGCGATCTCGGCTCACTGCAACCTCCACACCCAGGGCTCAAGCCATCCTCCCATCTCAGCCTCCCAAGTAGCTGGGACCACAGGCGCGTGCCACCAAGCTCAGCTAATTTTTTGTATTTTGGGTAGAGACAGGGTTTCACCATGTTGCCCAGGCTAGTCTGGAACTCCTGAGCTCTGGCAATCTGCCCACCTCAGCCTCCCAAAGTGCTGTAAAGGCGTGAGCCATGGCAGCCAACCTAGAAAACTGTTAACTGCTTTGGGAGGTCAAGGTGGGTGGATCACCTGAGGTCAGGAGTTCGAGACCAGCCTGACCAACATGGAGAAACCCTGTCTCTACTAAAAATACAAAAAATCAGCCAGGCGTGGTGGCGCATGCCTGTAATCCCAGCTACTCAGAGGCTGAGACAGAAGAATCGCTTGAACCCGGGAGGCGGAGGTTGCAGCGAGCCTAGAGTGCACCATTACACTCCAGCCCGGGAAACAAGAGTAAAACTCCGTCTCAAAAAAAAAAAGGAAAAATAAAGAAAACTGTTAATTGCATATGTGGCTCTTATAATTCCATCAGGCAGCATTGCCCTAGAGCAATGGCTCTCAGTGTAGTCTCTAGACCAGCAGCATCAATATCACCTGGGAACATATGAGAAACACAAATCCCACCCCAAACCTATTGAATCAGAATCTCTATGGATAGGGATCAGCAGTCTACATTTTAACAAGCCCTTCAAGAGATTCTGATGCATGGTAAAGTATAAGAACCACTGCTAGAACAGTGCTTTTCAAACTTTAATGTGCATACAAATCACCTGGGGATCTTTAAAAATTCAGATTCTAGTTCAGTAGGAACTCAAGATTCTGCAGCTATAACAAATGCCACATAATACTGGATACTGGTGGTTCTGATCATTCTTTGAGTGACAGGGACCTACTTGTAACATTTACTCCTTATTGAGCACTCTAACCAATATCCAAAACAAACAAATCAGCACACATCCCTAAACTCCAAAGGATTCCCACCTCAAGATTCCAGTTAGGCTGCTCTAAGGGAGAGGAATTGTGATTCACTGACAGAAGGAATTTTGTCAAGACTCTGAGAGATATAAATTCTTCCATTTAATTGTTTGCATTATCAGAAAACCTGCCATGCTCATCTAATAAGAAAGCGTGTGTTCGTATTCCTATTTTCTCCAGTAGGTTAATGGTGATTCAATATATTTAGAGCTGGAAGCTACTTCTACAAGCCTGGAACATTTGAATGAAAAATGGGCACTCTGGCTGCATCTCCCTTGGCAAAGTGATCCATTTAATCAGCACTGTTGTTTATATCTAGAGAGTGGGTTTTAATCTGAGTTACTATCTGCTGGCTTTAACTCAGAAAAGGTAAGTAGGATAAGAAAAGAAAAGAAAAGGAAACTCTTCTCTTGAGCTGCACTGAGTTCATTTTTTGTTTATCCTTCATGACAAGAGCCATGTAACAAGAGACAGAGGCAGACTTTCTCAAATTCTGCTTGATTCCAAGGAAACTCCACCATACATCTGAGAAGCAGCTGCTCCCATATTTGAGAGTGGTGTTATTTTTTCTGCTTTCCCCCCATTCTCATTTTCCCTTTATTATATTTTCTCCACAACGTCTATAGTAGACAAATATAGAAAAACAGACATTATTTACAAGCGTCTGGAGAAAAAAAATTTTATAATTCAACTGAAATGATAGAAAGTGACTAATAATTGTTCGGCTTTTATCATGTTTTTTATGTCATGTTTTTTAATAAACCAGAGGGGAAATCTAGGAAGTTAGGAAACATGTCTTCTATAAAACTTCTTTAAATTATAGAAAGCTTCATTTTTTAAAACCAAAGTCCATCTCTTTTATTGTTTATTAACCACTTTATTGTTAAGTATAAGAAGAAAGAACACAAAATTAAATGGGTGAGTTGGGTTTTTAAGGTAAATGTGATTTATTACCCTTCTCTGTCAGTTTTGATAAAAAACCTATATGTGGTACATAATTCATGCTAGGTACAAGAATTTGCTATAAAATAAAGTTTTGGTCTATATACATATGCATACTTTTTTTTCAACATTTATTCATTGAGTTAAAGGCAACAATTAAATTCTACTTATAAAATCCTTAGTCATGAGAAGTCAGTCCATTTTGTGCCTAGACCTTATGGCCATTTCAAGAGCCACATAATGCCAGGCCAATAAAATTAAAAACTTGTTACTGAGATCTGTGAAGATTGCTCCTATGTTGCTATAAATATAAAACAATCATTTATTGTTTAGACACAGAAAGTGAAAATAAGTTCTATAAATCATTGGGTTAGCTACCATATGGTAAAAGCTTAAATTCAATATTCATTGTACTTGAAAACAGGCAATATGTGTCTTTTGCATGAGTTTAGATAGTGATGTGTGATCATAGTGGGGTAAGTGTTTCTGGCAATTGAATTTTCCAGGAAAGGGAAAATGCTTTGTGGGGTCAATTGAGGAATGTATAAGGTATCCTGAAGAGCCGGGACATTTAACAGGCCATCTCTTGGGGTAGGACACTCAGGGTTCCCCTGGTCACACAGATCACTGGAACAAATTGCTGTTACACAGACCTGGTGTTGAATCCCAGATATCCTTAGTTATGAGCATGTTGACTTTGAGCGAGTCACTTAACCTCTTGGTATTCCAATTTCCTCAATTCAAGTTGACCATGAGTGAATAGCCATGTTTTTCCCAGAAATTTCTAGATAAACCATTTTCTTCCTCAGACTCCAGAGCCCTGTGAATTTTAGATCCTTTTAAAACTTGGGAGGAAAACATCTACTTTCTATTGGTGTTGAATGTATTATAAATAATATGTGTAGAGTCCCTGGAACACAGTTAGTGCCCACTAACCGTACTGCGCAAATGTTCAGGAAGACAGGAGGAAGGCAATCCAGGAGAACTGACAGAGTTCTCCTTGCTTCTCTTCCCACTCCGTCCTACGTAGTGACTCTGAGCCTTTGAACTCCGGCTGCTGAAAAATGGGAGAGATACTTATTTTCTTTGATTAAACCACTGAAGGTCTGTGTAATTTTTTGAATGCCATGGGATTTTCAATTCACTCAAAAACCAGTGCTTATGCTGCTATGTTTTCATTACACATTTTCCTTACCTTCCCCAAATCCTAGCTTTATCCACTCTTTCATTTATTTGTGTTTATTCACCAAATCTTTATTTAACACTACTGTGTTAGATTTTAATGCGAGAGGAATTTTTTACACCTGCATTTCTCTAACTTCCCATATCTGAGGAAGCACCTGAAACACAGAGCTCAAGACCAGCACCACTTAGCTAAAAGTCTGGTCAAAAGATCACATTGATGATAATTGTAAATGAACTGACTATAGGGTCCAAAAGATTCCATGTTGCATTCAGAGTAAAATGCAACATGGCTTTTTGTGTGGCTCCTGCTGACCTCTCTAGGAACACCTCCCCCCACTCTGCACCAAATATTTTAGAGAGCTCAAGCATCTCTTCCTCCCAGAAACATTCCTAAAGTCCTAGCCTCCTCCCCATCTCCACTGTATCTACCACAAGGTACTCTAATTTTCTGCTGAACTGATCGCTCCTCCTAGAGGCCAGTGGTTCTCAAGCTTTATGGAGAATCAGATTTAGTGGGTCTGGGGTAAGGCAAGAGAATATGCAATTCTAACAAGTTTCCAGGGATGCCAATGCTGCTGGATAGAGATCACACCTTAAGAATATCTGCTCTAACCTACCAGTTCTAACAAGAAAAAAATCCCAATTTACTTTATTTTGTATCCCTGATACCTAACACAGTATGGCATACAGTAGACAGTCAAACGACATTTGTTGAATAGAAATAATGTATGAACTAGTGAATCCCTTGTTATTTTGTGTTGAATGGAATGACAAATTGGTCTCCAAGTGTAAGAACCCAAGACACTCCTCCATCAGTATTAAGTTACCTCTTATAATAAGTAGAGGGAAAGTGCTCCTCTCCTGGCCTCTGAGCTCCAGCATACTATCTGGTGCTGCTGAAAGTACAACTTGAAAATGCAATTTATTTTAGACAGGTTCTCACTCTGTTGCCCAGCCTGCAATGCAGTGATGCAATCATAGCTCACTGCAGCCTCAAACTCCTGGACTCAAGCGATCTTCCTTCCTCAGCCACCCAAGCAGCTGGGACTACAGGCACATACCACCGCACCTGGCTACAATAATTTTTGCATTTTTTGTAGAGATGGGAGTCTGATCTAAATTTTATTTTTAATACATAAAATTATGAAAGGCTTGATTTGGCTGAAGACAAAAATGTAAACAAACCTTCTCTATGGTTAAATATTCCTTCTTTAATAGTATTCATATGCAAATAAGTAAAAGAAGACAAGTAAGATACTGGCATTAGAAATATGTCTTGAAGGCCACTAAGTTTATTTCAAAAAAAGTATGAAGTGCTCTTTCCCAAGATCAATACCTTAAATCAAGTTGACCAAATTTATTTGATAATCTGAGAGTTTTGTTTAAAGTACAGATACCCAGGACCCTCCTGTGGAGAGTCTAAATTTCAACAGCATATAATGGGGCCCCCAGAAATCAGTCTTTTTTAACAAGTTTCAGGTGGGGCCCACATAGTGATTGCTTTAAGCTGCCCATCAATTAACTAACTAATTAACAAGCAGCTAGTACTGAGAACCACTGCAGGAACTCACGTAAAAATTTTCTCATGAAACTATTTTTGGCCTAATATTTTTCACCTGGAACAGGTTAGGTCATGGTGCAAAAAGCCAGGTTCTCAATCTGGAATGTTACTTTCTTGCCCTTTGGTTTCCTGGAGGGAATAAATGTGTAAGGCATTTCTACCACAGATCAAGTTTTGCGTCATGACACAATGGGGCATGAGCCACTCCAACAATAACAATAGAACCATTAGTCAAAAGACCTCAGGAAAAAGGGAAACCTGTCACAGGATGACGACAATTACCCAATTATTCTGAACATAAAAAGTAAACCTTTAATATTTGTCTTATGGCATCAGAACTATGGCATGATCTGGAGAAGTAATTAGCATATTGGAATTTTATGCTGGTACAATGTCAGGGTAAAATAAAGGTGGGCTCTGGAATGTACGGTGGGGAGGGTGGAACTAGAAATGGTCTTGCATTTGAGTACAAATATGGTGGTATCAACAATTAACTTTCCGCTAAAAAATAGTTTTCCTGTTTATACGTATGTACTGGTAGAAAAAAATTTGATGTTGTTAGATATTATGTTTGGAATAGGACTTCCTTTGAGATAAGGTTATTTAAGATGATAATTTTAATTCAGAAAGTGAAATGTTCTATCTTTTAAAAAATCAGATTATCTTGAAATCATACGTGCTTTCCTACCTCACTTCACTCACTTGCCTTCATGTTAAATCTCAAGAATAAAATCCAAGCATTTCAGCAAATCACTCTACATTGACCTCTGCCCAAAGATCTAGAGGAGGCCAGTCAGGCTTCGAAAGGACTGAGGCACTTCGGTTCATTAAATTGTTTAATATGAGCACTAATTTTTACAATCGTGTAATAAAAGTAGGTGTTTTCCAAAATGAACCGTAGACAAAGATAGAAAAGAATATATGCCTCTAGGACACACACCCATGGGGACTTTACAGCTAAGAAGTCGTTATTTTGCTAAAAATTAGTGTTGCAAAGTGCCATTCATTGTTAGCATAGCACCAGCACATAGGAGTCACCAGATGAATGTTTGATGACATTAGTTTTCTTTTATAACTGCCCATGTCTTTCATTAAACAATGACCATCAAAGAAATTATTTCTTACAAAAGAACAATTTGAGGAATGAGAGGCTGCAAATGTACAAACTACAGTTCACTGCATTTTTAATAAGAATTTTGAGCACAATAAAGATTTTATATCCAAATATATTATGAAAAAATGGATGCTAATGCTATGTTAAAAGGTTACCACACTAGGTTTATTTGCCTCTTTCTTCTTTTCTCATATCCTAAGTCATAGGCTTTAAAACAAAATCAGGTCTGAGATTCATGTAATCGTCCCCATTTTAGTGTCTGTGCCGTCTTTGGGCATCACTTGGTCCTGTCCGCCAGTGATCATGAAGGGAGCCTGGTCTGCACTGGCTAGGAAGGGAGGCATTGCAGCAGGCTCTGCCTCGGTCCACGCTTCACTCCCACCCGATCCCCCACTGACTCAGCTCATCTTCAACATCTTGTGTGGAAGATAAAATCATTGTGATGTACAGAAAAATCTACACCGAAAACAGGAATAAGAACAACCTCCCTCTCTCCTATCACCTGAATTCACATGGCTACTTAAAGTTAGTAAATTCAATAAAATTAGAGTTTAGTTCCTCAGTTGCAGTAGCCACACTTCCAGTACTCAATAGCCGTCTGTGCCTAGTGGCTACCATATTCATTATTGCAGGGATAGGAAGGTCTATTGGACAGCGCTAGTCTCCAGAGGGCCAGCTAAGGAGGGGAATAACGGTCCCCTAACCACTTGACACGTTAGCCAAGGAGGAGGAAAGAAAGAAACAGTGTAGTTCCCTTTTTTCCTTAGAAAACTGTTTTACTTCCACCAAAACTAGCCTGAGTGGATTCCATCCTTTCTCTTCCCCAAATCTTGCCTCCTTCCTGACTACAGTGGGGAAAGAAGTGGTAGTGTGTGAGAGATTTTGAAAGCAATTTTAAAAAACCAAAACAATGCATATATCTTGTATTTCGAATGGGCCAGGCACATTGGCACAGTGGCTCATGCCTGTAATCCCAGCACTTTGGGAGGCCAAGGTGGGAGGATCACCTGAGGCCAAGAGTTCAAGACCAGCCTGAGCAAGATGGTGAGACCCTGTTTGTAAAAAAAAAAAAAAAAAAAAAATTAATTAGCCAGGTGTGGTGGCACACACCTGTGGTCCCAGCTACTTGGGAGGCTGAGGCAGGAGGAACCCTTAAGCCCACAAGTTCTAGGCTGCAGTGAGCCGTGATTTTGCCACTGTGCTACAGCCTAGGCGAGAGAGACAGACCTCATCTCTTTTTTTTTTTTAAGTGATATGCCTGCATTTGCATTGCTGGCTCATGCTTGAAACCAGCTCACTGAGGTAACTTCTATATGGAAGTTGCTCCTGTAATCCCTAGGTGTTCCACATGGGCACATTGATTCAATTGAAGTTATTTTAGTAAGGCAATCATCATACTGATTGTTACTTGGAATTCGTATTCATGCTGCTTTAAGTAATAGCCTTTAACTTAATTTCAAAGCTTTAAAATAATTGTTTTAATATTGATGAAGACCGGTCTTGCTACCAATCTTAAATAAAAATCTTATTGGCAACAATCCTACATATATTAGAATATAAAAAGAATAATAACCAATAGTAATGAAGTCATTTTTTTCTTCTTCATGTCTGAAGAGCACACCCTTCTATTTCCAACACACATGGGTGAAGCTGAAGAGACTGACTATGGTAGACATTAGTAACATTCCCCCGTATTCAAGTGTTCTCCACTTCAGGACACACAAAGATTATAATTCCCCCATCCCCCTTATTTTATACATAGCTATGTAATTATTTCTGGCCAATGAAATGAGAAAAGGAAGTGAAATGCATTGTTTCCAGGCAAAAGCAGTAATTGGCAGTCTGTGACTCCATTTTTCTCTTCCTCTCTTTGATGAGCTCTGAAGTACTGCAAGGGCAGGTCACTATCTGAAGATGGTCAAACCTCCATCTCTCTAAAACATGATCTTCCTCTGCTGGCATAAGAAACTGTTAGTGTTACTTTGAGATATGAAACCAGATTTTTTCATGTGTCTGTCAGTTAAATACCATTATTTAATTCTTTTAGGGCTCTTTTTGAGAGTGAGTCTCCAATAAAACTCTATTAGGATGTGCTATGGTTGTTTTTTGTTTAAGGTGGAAACAGAGTTTTGCTATGTTGTCCAGGCTGATCTCAAACTCCTGGACTCAAGTGCTGAGCCTCCCATCTCAGCCTCTCAAAATGCTGAGCCTCCCATCCTAGCCTCCCAAAATGCTGAGATTACAGCATTTGTAATGCCACATTAAATCTTGTGCCATGGATTTAATCAAACACAAACACATCAGGCTGAGCGTGATGGCTCATGCCTATAATCCCAGCACTTTGGGAGGCTGAGGCAGGCAGATTGCTTGAGCCCAGGAGTTTGAGACCAGCCGGGGCAACATGTTGAAACTCTTTCTCTACCAAAAATCACAAATTAGCTAGGCGTGGTGCGGCACCTGTAGCCCCAGCTCCTCAGGAGGCTGAGGTGGGAGGATCACCTGAGCCTAGGGAGGTCAAGGCTGCAATGAGCCAAGATCCCACCAACCTGGGCTGTGTGCCTGGAGCTGTCCTTTCAGTACCATCTGAAATGTCATCCGTGCCCTGACACCACTGCTGTATATTATGTGCGTGTAGGTGAGCTTCATGTGAACCTTCCCTGACACGTCTTCCCTCCTGTGCTCATTGGAGTGGACCTCCATTGTGCATATCATGGTGCACTGTTAATTATTCATATTTAAGACAGAGAACTTCTGGGAGGGTGTCTTATATTACCCTTTTTCCTCCAATATGTAGCACTTTGTCCGAGAGAAGATAAGTACCAAATGTTTGCATGGAGAATGAATAAACAGATGTATTTACAAGTCTGCTCATACCTGGAATGATCTAGAGCCACAAAGAGCCAACTCCCTTTCTTTACAATTAACTTCATGTTATTGTTGCCATATTTTAACACTCCTAAGATGACTGCCAATTAGCATACTATATTATAAAGTAAGAGAATGGTGAGTCATTTGTTGAAAGCCTTTAAAGATCATTCACTAGCACTCAAGGCAAATGATATATGGATAAAAATAGCCAAAAAAGCACAGATTGGGATGATATACTAATATAATTTTAGAAAAATGATTCCCAACTTTTTAGAAGTGTCATACTTCGTAATTGATTATTGGGTTTTATGACATTTCCTTATCCCAGCCTTAAAATGCTGTTGTTTTATATATTTACTTTCAAAAGGCCTAGGTAAGTGATCAGTTTACCCATATATTTCCTTCTATTTCTCCTTTTCAGTTTTGAAGACAGACAACAATTTTCCTCTATGTTACTTTCAACTATTATGCTCCAACCACAGCAAGAGTAACTCTGAAAGGTTAATCCCTTGGTTCTCAACCTGGCTACATCTTAGAATCACTTGGGGAACTTTGCTAAAAACACAGATGCCTAGGCCTCACCCCCAAGAGATTGTGATTTAGCTGACTTGGGTATGATCCAGATTATTTTAAAAACCCTACAGTCAGGATTGAAAACTACTAGTTTAGTCAAATCATCAGTTGGAAAGAACACTGGACTGGGAATAAAAGGGTCACTCATTCATTCAATACACATGCTTGTCAGCCTTCTCACCACCTACTGAATACTATACTAAGCCCTGGGATGCAAAGATAAATGAAGCACAGCCCTAGAGAGGTTCACCGTCTGACTAAATAGAAAAGTAAATTACTTAAGTGCTCTAATTAAAAGAAACAGGGGACTATGACAGACCAAAGGAGGAGGGGAATTACTTAATCCTGGCTGGGAGGGTTAGAAAATTCTTTTTGAAAGAACTACATTGTCCGGGATGTTGAACAAGGTAGCATTTAACCTGGCAAGAAAAGGATAACAAAGACATCCAATAGAGAAGACAACATTCATGAAGTATAAAATTGTGATACCGTCAGGGAACTGAAAGCAGTTAATGTGTCTAGAGCTTGCCATTGGGTAAGTCAGGGAGGCAGCTGTGGAAGAGGAGGGGGAAAAGCAGGCAAGGGCCAGGTCATGACAATCCAAGGGGCCTCAGTTCTGACAACAAAGTCATCACAAGGTCAGAAGCCACCTGGCTATCTATGAGATATACAGTGACACCTGAAATATATTGCCACTGAATTGCGATATACACCTTGCAATGAACTCCTGTTCCTGCCCAGCAACATGAAGGCATGGCCTACAGGGACAGGCCAAGGAGTGGCTTAGAGTGCTTTAGCTCCTCTGTAATACCTGTTTTTATTCGCCTCTTCCAGGGGCTATCTCAAATGAAAACAAAACCTTGTTGTTATACAAACACAGCTTCAGTACAAGTCCTTGAACACCTCTTCCAACTGCAGGTCCTCCCCTGAGCCCCATCCTGCCTTTGAAGTGGTATTACATTGTGGTTCAGCTCACAGTTTCTGGAATCAGACCATCTAGATCCAGATTCTGCCTCTTATTACTTACCAGCATTATTATCCTGAACAAGATACTTAACTTATCTAGGCCTTAGTTTACGTACCTGTAAAATGGAATTATAAACAGTACCTCTTTCAGAGGCTGTGAGAATGCACTGAATGTACAGCACTAAGCACAGGGTCTGGCACAGAGGCAGCATTCCATCTGTATTCGATCTAAAGCTCCACTGCAATCAAGGTGGTCCTCACTCCAGCAGCTCCCATGTCACAGGGACATGAGTGAGAAATGCCACAGCTTAGGCCCCACTTCCAGTCACCTAAACCAGAATCTGCTTTTTAACAGGATCCCCAGGTGATTCACATGCACATGAAAGTTTGAGAAACACCGCCACAAAGTATTATCTAGCTGCAGCATTCTAAAATTTTAAATCTCAAAAGCGGGGAATGATCCTGTTTACTCAAAGTAAGAGTGCTGAAGGCAATGGTTCTCGACCTTCACTGGGCATCAGAATCACATGGTGAACTTCTAAAGAAATCACATATGCCTGGGCCCAACTCCACCAACCCTATGCCACCTCCACCTCCCTAGAGATTCTGATTCTGTTGACCTAGGTGAGTGGAACCCAGGCATCTTTTTTTTTCTTTTTAACAAAGCTTCCCACATGATTCTAATGATATTGAGACCCACTGGTTTAAAGAGAGCATTAAATTCTGACAAAGTCTACATGGCAACTGGGCTTATCAGGAAAGGAAGCTGAGTCGGTAAAAAGAAGCTAATCTGTGAGTTGAGGAAGCAGTTCCACTGAGACCTGCCAGGCGTTTAAAACCTCCGCTGTTCTCCTCAGGCTGTAACGGCCTTACCTTCTCCATGTCTGTACCTGTGGTTTCTACTCCAGTCCTTCACTCCCCCTCTCCTTAAATCTTGATGAAGGCGCTTGACTCTAGCGTGGCACATTCACCTCCATTGCACCTCTGTCTGCTTCCTCCCCAGCAGCAGCCCTCTATGGCTCAGGTACTGTCTGGTGACTCAGTCCGTACTGCCCAGTGCCCCACTGTGTGCTCACCCACATCCTATGTTTTTGACCCAGGGCTGGTCCTCGATCCTGGTCCTGATGAGAACTAGAAGACACTTTCTCAGGGCCATAATCCCGAGGAAGAAAGAATACAAACCTTCCCCAAAACACAGAAGGCTCAGCAGGCTAGGGAGAGATCTGCCTTCTTGAAGACAAGAGAACCAGCTTCTCCAAGCTGCAGCTGCTGACGGTTATGCCCCAGTGCTCCTCCTCCCAACTCCAACTAATTTTAGCAGCAAAATATCTAATAACACAGAAGAAAATTAAACAATTAAGTGTTGCAATTGTAATCTTTAATTTTGAAAATTTCATAGCAAAATGCTCTGAGATTGACCCAAGGGTTAGAAAACACTGATTTCAAAACTTGCTCTTATAAATTAAATCATTGGTTTAGTAGCACTAATTCTAAGTGCAATGGGAGGTCATTGAAGGGTTTGAGTAGAGTTCAAACGTAATCCAATTTGCATTTTTTAAAGACCCTTCTGGTTGCTGTGTGGCAAATAGAATGCAGGTGGCAAAAGTGAAAGCAGGCAGACCAGTCCAGAAGTGACTACGGGGATCCAGGAACAAGATGGTGGGAAGCTGGACTTGGGTGATGACAGCGAGGATCAACAAAGCCTGTGAGATTCAAGAGATGTTTTGAAGGTAGAATTAACAGGACTTGCTGATGGATTCAATAAGGTGGGAGGAAAAAAGAGGAACCAAGGATAACTCCTAGGATTCTGGCTTGAACCTCTGGAGAGAGCCACTTACCATAATGGGAAAGACTAGCAAAGACAAGGTCCTTGAACAGACCTGCTGAGGTGTTCTGGCAACCACCCAGCAATAAAGGGGAAGGGGCAAGTGGAACCACCAGGTAGAATGTCAGAGGAGCCAGGAGCCTGGCAGGAGCAGACATCCAGGTTTGCATTTAGCATTAAGAGGATCTAGCAGCCTGGACTGAAGCTTCAAACACCAGTGCATTTCCCCAGGTCCCAATCTTTCAGTAATGAGGATATGTATCAGAGAATAAAGAGACACTCAAACACAGAAGGAAAAAAAAGACACAGATATAGCAATAGATGGAGCTTGGGCACAAGCAATGAAGCAAGGACTATGACCCTGGAACCTAGGCAGGGCAGAATGAGAGGTAGTAAACAGTCTCTTTTCTGGCAAGGCACAGTGGCTCATGCCTGTAATCCCCAACACTTGTGGAGGCCAAAGCAGGAGGACTGCTTGAGCCCAGGAAGTTGAGGCTGCAGTGAGCCATGGCCACACCACTGCACTCCAGCCTTGGTGACAGAGAAAGACCCTGTCTCAAAAAATGAAAAATAAACAAACAAAAAAAGATCCTCTTTTCTGATATGTATTCCCAGAATCTAGCATAGTCCTTGCCCATGTTAGGTACTCAGATATTTGTTAAATGGCTTTATTTATTTAATGAATACTTACATAATTCTTACTATGTACCCAAGCACCATTCTAAGTGCTTCAAAATATTAACTTGTTTAATCCTCACAACAACCCTATGAAGTAAAAACCATTGCTAACCCCATCTTTCAAAACCAATCAAAACTGAGGCGTGTCAGAAGAAGTAATTTGCCCAGGGTCACACAGTAAGTAATGGCAGAGCCAGGAGTAGTCTCCAGAGTTCACACTCTCAGCCACCACGCTACGCTCTGAGTGAATAAATGAAGTCAGAGGTACTTCCTTTACTGAGATAGAGATTTTTCCAAAGTTCTTACTTTCAAGCTGCTGTAAAATGCTAGTAAATTCAAAGTTGTTGCTGAGATCAAAGCCAAGTGAGTCTGAATCCACCCTTATATTCTGTGCAGCCACCACCAGTGACTTCTCATATGAGATGTGGATGCCTTAGGACATATAAAGGCAACTCTACAGTACCCACTTCCTATCAGGATGACACACTCTTCTTTTTTTTCATGTCAGTACAAATAGTTGAGTTCATGGTGAATGATCATCTGTCCCTCCTACTCCTCTCCACCCTAAACATAGGTACTTCAATGAGTTTGATACATTAACTTAATTCGTCTGAATCCTTTTAAACCATGTTGTGTTATTTTCTTTATGGCTGTGTTAAATTTATGTAAATGGTATTATGCTAAATATATCAATCTTTCATACATTTTTCACTGAAAACTTTTTTTTTTTAATGGAGTCTCACTCTGTCACTCAGGCTGGAGTGCAGTGGCGAGACCTCGGCTCACTGCAACCTCCACCTCCCAGGTTCAAGCGATTCTCCTGCCTCAGCCTCCTGAGTAGCTGGGATTACAGGCGCACGCCACCACATGCGGCTGATTTTTGTATTTTTGGTAGAGACAAGGTTTCACCATGTTGGCCAAGCTGGTCTCAAACTCCTGACCTCAGGTGATCCACCCGCCTCGGCCTCCCAAAGTGCTGGGATTATAGGCGTGAGCCACCGCACCCAGCCCACTGAACACTATTTTTTTTTAAATCATAAGATGTTACTGTAAAGCTATATTGCTTCTAACTACTGGAAAACATGCATCCACTACATTTTACTCACCCATTTCTCTTGTGATGGACACGAGAATGCCTCAAATATCCTGCTACCACAAACAAGACTGTGATGAACTTTTTTGTGTGTATCCTCTACTGAACTTAAGGAAGAATATATCTAGAAGATATGCCTCGAAGAGGTCATAATGTATTTATGTAGTTTAAATACTGAAAGACTGTTTTCCTTAATAGGTGTACCAGTCTAGACACTCACCAACAGTGCATGGGGACTCCCATCACCCACAGGCTGCCAATACTTGCCATTGTCCACCTTTTAATATTTGCTGATTGTCTTCATTAGTATAATGGTGAGTAAAAAAATAAAGTAGAAATTTTTTTGCCAATTGGATGAGTGTGGAGTGATAACTTGTTTAAATTTGCTGTTCTCTGATAACGGATAAATTTCAGCATCTGAAAATAACCTATTTCTATCTTTCGACCATTTCTCTGTTGAGTTTGTTATCTTTTTCTTCTTGATTTGCGGGAGGTCACTGTATATTATTTACTTTAATTTGCTGCTGTTTTAAACATTGCAAACATCTTTTCCCAGTCTATCATTTGTCTGTTAAACTTCCTTATGAACTGTCTCCATTTTCCATGGCAAATCATGGGGACTTTTGGTAAAATGACATTTTTTTTTTCCTTTAAAGTAGACTGGGGAAATGTGAAGGCCTTCAGTTCTCATAATTGCAAAACCAACCCTTCACCAAACCGTGAGACATAATGACTAAGGAGAGAGCCCGAGAAATAAATTTGAAGTTCTAATTCCCACACCACTAAATTGGTGATTAAGGAATGTTTTTGGTGTATTCTATTAATAAGCTGAAGCCATTTTTTTTAACTTACGCCATTTTGTTCCACAAAGGATCTGAGGAAGCTTATAAGAAAAACAAGCAATAAAATTAAAAAATATAAATTTAAAAAATCAGGAACAAGGAAAACACAGCAGAATAGAAGGTCAAGACCAGTAGGAAACTAAGAATGCAGATATGTAGGCCACAGGGTCCTACGAAGTTATTAATGTTGAGCCAAAAATTTGGCTCTGAGCTTCTTGGCAACCAGAGGGAAAAGGGAAAAGGGAATACAATCAGGTACATTCAACGATATTCTCTTTGTTGATAAGAAAACACAAATTTCTCAGGGGAAGATAAGTTTTTCCTGGCCCTGAGTTCCAAGAGAATTCCTCAGGTGGGTTTCATGTCAGTGACTGTTTTCTCACTAACATCTCTAGGGTAAAAATGATGTTTCATGTTTCTTGTAACATCTCAGTGAAAGCTAATGGCCACCAAACTTTAATTGCTTAAAACACAGAAGGCAACCCAGTCTATTATCTGCCAGTTAAGTGTGAAAAAGGAGGAAATAGGCCAGCCATGGTGGCTATTGGGAGGCCAAGGTAGGTGGATCATTTGAGGTCAGGAGTTCAAGACCAGCCTGACCAACATGTTGAAACTGCGTCTCTACTAAAAACACCAAAAAAAAAAAAAAAAATAGCTGGGCTTGGTGGCGGGTGCCTGTAATCCCAGCTACTCAGGAGGCTGAGGCAGGAGAATCGCTTGAACCTGGGAGGCGGAGGTTGAAGTGAGCCAAGATCGCACCACTGCATTCCAGCCTGGGTAACAGAGTGAAACTCCATTTCAAAAAAAAAAAAAAAGAAAAAGAAAAAGGAGAAAATGAAGAGGAGAGGAGAAGAAAAACAAGTCCATCCAAATATGCAATCTTTGAGAGTCCAATTTAGTGTAAGAATCAAACCAAAAATATCTGGTAAAAGTAATGACATATTATTTAAGATAACACTGGCTGCTCTAACCAAAAACTCTGAAACTCTCAGTGTCTCAACACAATAGAAGTTTATTTCTCACTCATGTAAAACCAAAACACCAACCTCCTTCCTTCTTGAGGTCCCTCCATATTCTACACACAAGAACAGAACATAGAGGACCATGCATGGGAGGTTTTTATAGGCCAGACCTGGAAGCAACAACACATCACTTCTGCCCACATGCCAGTGGCTAGAACTTGGTCAGATGAGTCCAGGCACAGTGGCTCAAGCCTGTAATCCTAGCCCTTTGGGAGGAGTTTGAGACCAGCCTGGCCAACATAGTGAAACCCTGTCTCTACTAAAAATACAAAAATTAGCCAGGCATGGTGGCACATGCTACTCAGGAGGCTAAGGCAGGAAAATCACTTGAACCCAGGAGGCAGAGGTTGTGGTGAGCCGAGATCGCACCACTGCACTCCAGCCTGGGCAACAGAGCAAGACTCTGTCTCAAAAGAAAAAAAGAACTTGGTCAAATGGCCAGTCCTAACTATGAGGGAGACTGGTGGTATAATCTAAAGGTATGTACCCAGGAAAAGGGGAAAACAGGTGAACATTTAATACCCAACCACAAATTATCAGTTGTGTCTTTCAAACATTTCTTTATAATTTCAATTTTCTAAACAAGGATCTAGCAAACTACGGCCTGCAGGCCAGATTTACCTTACCACCTGTTTTCATACTGCCCACAAAATAAGAAATGTTTTGGTATTTTTTAATAGTTAAAAAAATCAAAAGAAGAATAATGATTTGTGACACATATGAAATTCAAATTTCAGTCTCCATAAATAAAATGTTCTTGAAACACAGCCACGTTCATTCATTTACATATTGTCTATGGCTGCTTTTGTACTAAACAACAACAGAGTCAAATAGTTGCAACAGAGGACATATGAATGGGAAAGCCAAAAGTATTTACTACCTGGCCCTTTGCAGAAAAGGTTTGCTCACCTCTGTTTCAAACTGATAAGAGTTTTTAAGAATCGAGCAACAGGTACTTCTAGGCAGTGACCTGAAACACAAATATGCCTGATTGGTAGTTAAAGTATATTCATAGGCATCAGTGATTAAATGAGCTGATACAAAATTGATATCTTTTGGGAACACTGAGGGGTCTGAACAAGCTTCTGGCCATTCCTCTATATGTAGAGTTAGATCAAGAAGAACTTGCAGGCAAAGCTAGAATTTTTCATAAGAAACATTTCTGGATCTATACCAGTTTAAAAACCCATGATTAATCAGTTAGTCATTTTTACATAAGCAAGTAAAGACACACTGTTTTCCAAATTTCTCAAATAAATAAGCATCTCTTCAATAGAACTGTTAGATACTATACTAGCATGGCTTGTTTTTAATAAATAATGTATCACGCTGTTATAGAAAGAATATGATTTTCTGGGGATTGTAAATACTTTAATTCCAATGGTGAAAAGGTAAAGGATAAAGTTGCCTAACAATCATACTTCATGAAATCAAATTTCAAAGTTTATTTATAGATAGTTTCCTGATGATTATGTTAGCATAACTTTATTGTTTCTTGATTACTTAAAAATCAGATCAAGAACAAAAGTAACTCCTTTTTATCAGAATGCCTATCAACCTCAAATACTGACTGATAGCATTCCTTTCTATTAAAGTTTCAAAAGATAAGTAGGTTCACAGGGAATATGTGCTGCTAGTACACACAGATGAACAGTTTTAGAATTTAAGAAGGAATAAAATGTACCAACATATCAAAATAAGCTTTAAAAAAAAATCTTGGCATTAATGTCAATAGGCACTCCCTGGGGAACTCCAGGGACATAAAGCATAAGCTTCAGGACAAAATTTTGCTTGTAGCCACTGTACCTGCAGTCATCCAGAACAAACAAAACCTTCAGCCCTGCAGAGCCAGGCTACCCGAGACCAGAATGCCCCAAATTTGGGAATGACCTCAAAATCACTGTTTCAGAGTTCAATATCAAGCTCCTTGTTTTATATAACATGCAAGTGAGCACAGATTGAGTAAGGAACTTGCCCAGGCCACACAGCCAGCAGTCAGCAGCACTGGCATTAGGACTCCAGCCAGCCCCTTTCCCCATCTTCTGGGTTCTTCCTCTAGGGGTGTCCAATCTTTTGGCTTCCCTGGGCCACATTAGAAGAAGAAGAATTGTCTTGGGCCACACATAAAATACCCTAATACTAACTATAGCTGATGAGCTAATATATATAATATAACATATATATATAACATATAACATAATGTTATATATAACATATATATAACATATAACATATAATATATATATAATATATATAATATATAATATAACATATATATTTGCTCATCAGCTAATATATATGGCCTAGTCCCATAATGAAATACTATATAATATATATATATTATATATATCATAATGTTTACACACCTGTGTTGGGTCACATTCAAAGCCATCCTGGCCGCATGCAGCCCACGGGCCGTGGGTCGGATAACTTTTCAAGTCTACACCATAATTCATCCTCCCGCAGCTGGCTCTCTGGAGCCATCAGTTCATTGACTCAAGCAAGGTTAATGTATCCTCCTTCTAAGACAGATTAAATTCAAGTCCAAAACCACTTAATGCATGAACGTCATCCCAATGAGACCTATAAAGCAGAGGCCCTGTCAGCTTTGTAGGGCCCCAAACATCCCACAATGCCTTTTTGCCAGACCTGAATTGGCAAAACTCTTTGGCCAAAGGCTCAGATGTCTTTCACCCTTCTCTTCAGACTGCATTGGTAAACCACGCTTCTTTTCTTTCCTCCTTGCCTCCTACCTATTTCCTCTGTAGCATCTGCTTTGTAGATCATTCTTCTGTGGTGTGTGAGGACAAACGACACCAACAATCACACCACCACTCAATTGCTGAAGAGTGTAATTCCTGAACAACCAGATGCACCACTTTTACTTTAATACTTCGAATTACTATGTGGAAATCCAGGATGCGTTTGTAGATTTATTTCTACTAACACAACAATTTTTACAAGTAACTAAAACTATGATAAAATTTTATCAGTTTCTGGATTTCATTCCAAGATGTCAAGACATGGGCCACATCCTCTTTAGCAGATTGTCTGGAGGAAAACCCTCCCATCAACCAAACTTAATTAATATTATTTCATGTTACTTGATAGAAATAAATAGTAATCTCCAATTTTTCTTAGCTTTTGAATAGGATATCTGAATTAACAGCATTGATTTATTTAAAATAAAAATAATGATCTCTCTTTACTCTCTAGCTCCCAATCGCAAAATCCCACAATCTCCAATTAACAGTGATTTATTTTATACAAAAATAGTGGCAAAGTTTTCTTTTCTCATCAATCCCCAAAATGTACAATGGTACTTTAGTGCTTCCTCTATGCCAAATCATAGATATCCAATATATGGCCATACTGCCTGATCTCATCTAACCTCAGAAGCTAAGCAGGAATGGTCCAGTTAATATTGGATGGGAGACCACCTGAAAATGCCATGTATAGGCTTTTAAAAAACAAAGCCGAGATACTCAAAGCTTCATCAAAATGGGTAAACACTGTGATAGTGGTTTTCAAAGTGCTTACTAACTAGCTCCAAAACACAGAATTGCTGCAGTACAACCACAAAAGCAGGGGGAACAGAATGTAAAGCATTTGGATTTTAAAGTTTTAAAAGATTTCTAGATGTTTAGAGTGATTAGTTCTGTCCCACTTACAAAATGGAAACTGAGAAACAGAGTTAATCACAGAAACCAGTCTCCTTCCCAACCTATAGTTTTATGAAACTATACAAAGACACAGCTAGGTAGCAACTTCTTCCAGGAAACATGAACATTTAGAATCTCATTTCTTCCATTATATGACTGAATCTAATAAAGAAGTACATTTTTCATGCCACAAAAGACCAAATGAGGCCAAACAAGTATTCTAGAATCAACTTGAGACAGAAAGTAATTCCATTATCATCAATCAGGGTAGCATGCCCTTATTTTATAATAATTTTAAAAATCTTAGTCCATCTCATACACTAAAGAAATTTATTCAGATAAGCTATATTTATTGTTTAATCTTGTGATGGAAGAAAAAGGGACTTTCACTTGCCTAAACTTGATTGTTTAAAAGAGGATATTTAAAACTTTTCCTTGCCAAATGTCCAAAGACTTGTAAACCAGGATATTCATTACAATGCTTTTTATAATTTATAATATATAAAGTAGATAATAACTTAAATACTCAATAAGGGGAGGAGCGATTAAGTAAATTATGGCATACTCCCATAATGAAATACTATATAATCATCAACATTGATTATTAGGGATAATTTATTGTCATGTAAAGATGTTTATATTAATGAGAAAAAGTAATGATAGTATTTAGGATCACAATTTGATAAAAATCTATAGTGAAAATTATATTTCACATACATGGGTATACATAGAAAAGAAAGGTTGGAAGTACAGACATCAAAATAATAATGTTCATTTCTAGGTAGTAGAATTACTAGTAGAATTTTTTTGTTTGTATTTTCCAATTGTTTTACATTAATATCTTTCATTTGCTAAAAAATAGTAATAAAGTATGTAGTGCATCTGAAAAATTTCATTCAAAATGATTAATATTAAAGAACTATTTCCAGCTGTGTGGCACATTAGCTTCGTGGTATATTTCATAGCTTGGTGATTTCAGGTAAGTGACAAATTGCTTTATATCCTTTCTGTACCTGGGTAAACTGAGGTACAAAGTGAAATCAGAGACAGAACTAAAAGCAAAACATGAAGTTCCAAGATTTCAGTTCCCGTTACTAAAATTCATGTATTCATTTATTCAATAAATATTTATTATGCAGCTAAAATGTAAGAAACATAAGGATAAATCATGTATAGATCCTACTCTCAGAGACTGCAATTACTAAGATAATAAGGAATCTACCTAAATTTAAAAAGAGATAATGCTATAAGAGAGGTATGAGTGAAGGAGAGGTTTCTTTTTACTCATGGAGTTAGAGAAGTATTATTGAACAACAAAAAGAACACAGTTGTGATTCAATACTGAAAAGTTGAATTTCTATGGTTATATGATGTGCATTATCTTAGAAAAATGAACTCTATGTAGTACTGAGTGAAAAAGGTGGGTTGATGCAAAACAGTATGTATGTTTATTATACACATTTTACACACACACATCCACATACACCAACGTGCATGTGTAAACCAAACTGCTAACAATGCTAGTCTCTAGTTAGGGGAATTACAGGTGGTTTTTATCATTTTGCTATCTATCATGTCCAATTTTATTACAATGAAGCTTAATGGTGTATTACAAATCAATAAAAGGGGAATACTTGTCCATGGTGACCAAATAAAGCTTGCATCATGCCATGATCAGTGCTGCACTATGCAGAAGCTAATGCTGACATGTGATAGACGATGACCAGGATGCATGACTTGCCCACTTCTTTTCTGATAGCCCCAGCTCTGATTTGTTTCCATTTGACAACACTGAATGAGTGGTACAAAATTATTGTCCCTACCTTTGTGTAATATTCAGAGAACTGAGTAGATGCCTAGAGATTCAAAAAAGGACCAAAATAACCAGAACTCTTGAGAGCGTACCTAATTACACAATCATTAATAATCAATATAGCTTCACAAAGAACTTGTCCTATGTAGATAATAGACAGTCATCCTATTACATAGCAGAGTGGAAGGCCTGATGGATCACAGAAAATTAACTGATGAACCCTAAGCTGGACTTTAGGAAGGCTTTTGATTCTCTCCTACAAGGCATGCTAGGAAAATAGACCAGGAACAGACAACTGTTGATTCATTAACTATAGATTGGCTGGGGAGTTCTAACTAAAGCATTCAAATTGAGGAGACGACAAATGGTGTTTTTGATATCAACCCGAATAACAGACAGAAGAGGCCAAAAAATGAAATTTAGAAGGTAAAATAACAATTTAAGATAAAATTGTACAAATAAGAAACAAAATGTAGATTAAACGTAGTATGGAAAAATGTGTTCAAAGTACACACCTGAATTACAGGAGCTAATTAGAAATTGTTTGCATAGAAATATGACTGTCAGTAGGCATTGCTGTAGCAGTTTAAAATACTGTTTTGACAATGAATACCGAATTAGGACTGACAGACAAATGCATGTTGTCTACACCCATGTTAGCACTTAACATGTTGTATTGCCATTACTTGTTGGCAAATCTTTCTCTCCCTCAAGGTTTTTGTTAAATCTTACTGTATTCCCAGCACCTAGCAGAGTCTGGCAGAGAGAGGATTTTTCAATACATCCTCAGGAATAAATGAGATCATCTCCCATCTTCCTCAGATACCTTAATAAAGCACTAAACTCCCCTCAGAGTGCTATATTTAAAGATGGATATGAATAATTTGCTGAGCATTCAGAGGAGAACTTAAAAAGGTGGGGAGTTGATAAATGAGAATTGGATTTTTCCGTTTATAGAAGAGAAAGCTGGGGGGTAAATTAGTTACAATTTTCTTTTTGAAGAAATCTTACGCAAAAGACATCTTTTTCTATTAAAAATGTCCAAAAGTGTCTGGGTTAGAAGCCCAGATTAGGGAAATGGACCATTAAATATTGGAATGGATAACAACAGAAAAAAAAAAAAAACCTCAACTAAAATATATTTTACTAAATGCTTTCACAAAAGAGCTAGCTCCTGAGCTCCAATGAAGACTCACGTATAAGCCGCTGTGAATTAAGAAGCTGGCCTTTCAACCAAGCCCCTTACGTAAGAGCCAAGACTCCACAATTTCATGATAAATGAGTAACCAGCCATCATCAGAGAGTTTGCACAATTAAACTGACAATTCAAAACTCAATTTTATTTTCATGATATTTATGTTCAAGTTATCATAGAAGTCTGTATCAACAGAATATAAAATATACTATTGATGTATAGAAATTAGATTTCTGGAAAATCCCATACTTATTTCTTCATGTATATTTGCATAGATTTCTATTTTTTTATTAGCTGGTTATTTCTTAATTGAGAGTGTTCTAAATAAAACCTGATATTAAATACAATATAATTATTTCAGTTCCAAAATACATCCAGTATACCCAGTAAATATGGCTTTAGTAAGAAATTGTGAGAAAAGAATCCCACTCTAATTGATTCTCACCTATGTATCAAATATTATTTTGTTCTATTCTTCAATCATTATTTTTTCTTTTTTTTTTAGCTGGGCAGCTCCCTAAACCAGAATAGGTTCAGAGCAACTCCTGGTCATCATTTTTTATTTGCAATATAAAAACTGTTATATATTATATTAATTATAATTTATAATTATAAATTATAATATAATATATTAACTGTTCTAATAACCCATTTGTCACTATAAATAGCCTTTGAGTTTTTCTTCCATTCCAAAAAGGAGTAAAAGGTCCCCCAAACCAATTGATTTAACACCAAATTTAAATAAACCCAAAGACCCTCTCACTTTTCACATTGAGTAGAACAAGGTCAGACTGGGCATCTTCCAAATGTAAAGGCTTAATTGGACTAATTCTTTCATGATAATAATGTATATTTAAGATAGCCACTAAAAATTGTCAATGCTAATTTAGTAGATCAATTCCATTAAATGCTTTGAACTTTTCACCACTTGCTAATCTCATCTATTACAGCTGCTGTTTTTGTTGAAAATCTAAGCTATAACTTAATATCAAATTACAACATTTCTAGGCAGACCTAAAAAATACTTTCTTATATGTGAAATATAACCTAAAAAGACTGTAAGTTGTGTAAATTGTAAGATTCTAGCCATAAAATTTCCTGCAGTCAAAATGCAGAAAGATCTTATCAATCTATTGGCAATTGACATTATGGTAAGAAGCTTATGGGTTTTTTTTTAACATCTTAGAAATAAATGTTTTATTGTATCTAAAATAAAGCTTTAACATTTGTGATTATTGATTGTAGACCCACCTTTATACACTAAATGGTTCAGACTGTAACATCAAACATAATGTAATTTAGGTAATACTTCAACTCACGTCAGTAGAAATGCCAAGGTTGTGCTCAACATTTAGGTGAACAATGTAAGGAATATGCTCATTAATGTAAAAAATAATATATTTGTTATTTAGCTAATGAAGAATTTTGAGACCCCAAACCACTATCGAATATCCAGCATGCCTTATTTGTCTGGAACTAGACTTCTGAGGCTATTTTTATTCCCTGTGATTTACCACCAGTATCCTCTGGGTGATAGTTGAGGAAACAGATGCTGGGAATCTCTCTGCTCAGTTCCTGAGAGGAGAGTTCTGACTCACAGCCTTGCCAGCTCCCTGCTTTGTACTCACATAAGCAAAGGGTGGTGAAGTAAAACGTAAATGACTGCCTGATTTCCAGTCTCTCATTGCCAGTTTCCTCAAAGTTTCCACTTACGCATTTGCCTCCCTTACCAATTTCGTTTGAAGTTCCTTTTCCAAAATCCTGAACGGCATGTTCCCAGGATACATTTACTTTTTCAAAAAAATTCATTCAGTGGGGATTTTCCAACTGAAATTAAAAAAAAAAAAAAGGAAGACTGGAGAGGGGGCATTCTTTTTTTTCGGCTTTTTCATTTACTGTCAATTGATTGTATTGATATCTGCAGAAGGAAGATGTAGATTTTTTTAAAAAAATTGTAAAATGTTCCCCTCTAAGCTCTAAGCACATTTTTCTTATGGAAAATCATAAACCTTCCTAAAAGTTTCCTGTATTCTGTTATTTATTGTGAAAGGATTTAAACTAACATAGATATGCTTCCATTTGGAGATTATACTTAAATTGTTAGTTTAAAAAAATTAATCTTTATTAAATGTCCACAAGGTATAGAGCATTCTTCTTTCTTTGTGCGTCTAGGCTGACAAAAATACACAGGGGGAAGAAATCTATGAAGTTTAAATACCTTTTATAATGAATTTAAAACAGAAGCATACGCCACATTATAGACTGAGAATTCAATTTCACAAGGCAGCAGTTTCTCTTAAAACTATTATTTTAGGTCGGGCGCGGTGTCACGCCCTGTAATCCCAGCACTTTGGGAGGTCAAGGAGGGTGGATCATGACATCAGGAGTTCGAGACCAGCCTGACCGTCATGGTGAAACCCGTCTCTACTAAAAATACGAAAATTAGCCAGATGTGGTGGCACGCACCTGTAATCCCAGCTACTCAGGAGGCTGAGGCAGGAGAATCACTTGAACCTGGGAGGAGGAGATTGTGGTGAGCCAAGATCCTGCCCCTGCACTCCAGTCTAGGTGACAGAGCAAGACTCTTTTTAAAAAAAAAAAAGCTATTATTTTACAGAGAAATTAAATTCACTGGCCAGAGTATGTTTTTACAAAGTTTTTCTTTAAAAACCTACCTTTACTTTATTGAAAACAATGGGACCTATATGGATAATTTTCTTTTTTTTTTTTTTTAGCTGGAGTTTCGCTCTTGTTGCCCAGGCTGGGAGAGCAATGGCGTGATCTCAGCTCACTGCAACCTCTGCCTCCTGGGTTCAAGCGATTCTCCTACCTCAGCCTCCCGAGTAGCTGTGATTACAGGCATGCACCACCACGCCTGGCTAATTTTGTATATTTAGTAGAGACAGGGTTTCTCCATATTGGTCAAGCTGGTCTCCAACTCCCGACCTCAGGTGATCCCCCGCCTCAGCCTCCCAAAGTTCTGGGATTACAGGAGTGAGCCACCACGCCTGGCCAATAATTTTCTAAGTGTAATCTTATGTGAGTAAATTAAATTTCCTTATCAAATGCCACTGAACTACCTGAATGTTTGCTTATTAATCCCATAATTTAGTGTGGCTTAACAATAGCCTGGATAATTGATTTAGACTATTTTTATATTAGGAAAACTTGGCAATTGTTATTGCATTTCAGATAAAAAGAGTTTAGGTTGACAAGTTAAGTCTCACAGCATCACCGCGACACCTTCTGGAAGTATATCTATGTGAGACGGAACAAGTCAACCTACTACTAATCCAACAGAAATCTGTCTGGGAGAAGGGGAGTGAGGAAAGGTGTCGGTTTGTTAGCATGTAGAGCAAGCAGCCTACTAAAGACTAAATTATTGCTTTCCATCACAAAGACACTTACCCATCCTCAAGTTGACCACCATCTTGTTCTCTGTGAAAGACCTGGCTGGTAGATTGGGCCGCCTCACTAGCATCAAATAAATATTCCTTACCAGCCACAAAGGGAAAATATATTGAGCCAGATTAGTAACATTCTAATAGAAAATGTGGCATTTTGAATGAGGAAAACTACTTCAGTGAAAAAATTTGGTAAGATGCCCACAATGAGCAAAGAACCTTAAAATGCAAGAGATTCTCCAGTGGAAAATGGCCTAATCTTTATGAACTAACTGCTACACAAAAGGCAAAAAGTCAACACAAAAATTGACATTTAAAAAATCTATTCGCCAATAATATTTTGCAAAGATATTATACACACACGCACGCACACACACACACACACACACACACACAGTAAAGGAAATATAACTGATGAATGATGCTGAACTACTTTTGTAGCTGTTTAACAGTTACAATCTTGGGGTCTATGTATGCACAAAAACACCAAGTAACCAAATGATTCAGTTAGACATTAAGCAAAGAAAGTCAGTGAAACTTGCTGTATGATCTGAACAACTATTTGGGCACCCAGGCAAAGAGGTAAATTCACCACTTATATATAAATGAAAAAGACAGGGTCAGTAATATGCTTGTTGTGATGCAGATTAGGGAAGGGTAAAAAATGTCTTAAATGAACACTTCAATTCTGGTATATGATTACAAAACTAAAATCCCTGCAGTATACACAAATACAATTGCCTAACTTCAAAGTCCCAGGAAGCACCCACAAGGAAAAAACACACTCTGATTTTAATGTCTTCCTGATCCCCTCAAATGGCCTAATATGTATAATATTGAAAGTCAATTCTGTAGCTTCTCAAGGGTTAAATTCTTTGTTGCAAATAACTCTAAAAAAGTATCCCAGTAAGAATCAGGCTTAGACTAGTTCAGCAAGAGGAACCGTTCCATAATGAGGCTTGGCCTGGACCAGTCCCAGGAGAATTAATTTTGTGCCGTAGAACACCTAGATAAATTAGTTTTGCTTTAAATATCGAGTCCTAAAAGAGTTAAAAGAGGGAGAATATCAATCAATAATTTTTAGATTAACTACTTTGTATATGACAAAACAAAATTAACTTTGGCATTATAACCACTTTCTCTCGCATTTCTGATAAGCCCCAAGTTTAAAATAAGTAATTAGAGATTTAAAAACCAACCGAATATGTGCATTTGTTTCTTGTTACAAAATACTAATTCACTGCCTAGTTTGTAAAAAAAAAAAAATTACTCATACATTTTGCAAAATTACAAATATTGTTATTTTTATTAAAATAATCACACCTGAGAAGAATTCAGAAAATATGTAGACAAATTCCTGTAGGGTTTTTTTCATGGAATTGCTAAAGGAATTAAGCTTTAAAATTAAGTGAAAAATAATATTTCAGTTAACAAAGTTAGGTTCTTGAAATTATATTTTCATTGATTAATTCCTTCCAATGTCTACCCATTACTTCTCTTTTATAAAATTTATTTGTATTGAAACATTTGTGCAGAATTAAAATCATACCTACAAATGATAACAAATTTAACCTAAAACTCCCTTGTGTTTTAAAGGCTTTTTCTGGTTAAATGCCTACCAGAAAGGCAAATACAAAATTCATTTCCATAAGAGATGAAATCAGGCTTTTAACCTAGCCAATTGCCCATATAAACAATCTTCAATATTATTTGGTCATCATTTGGTAATTAAAATGGAAAATCACAACCATGCTGAATTTACTCCAGGTGCCAAAAAAGTTATTTAGCAGATAACTAGAGATAGAGAAAATGTCTCTTTAACAGATTCTTTTAAGAATACATCTACAAGAAGCATCTGGCTTTCAAACAGTCATAAAAACGAGAAGCAGTTGAACAGTGGCACCCAGAGGTGAAAAGTATATTGCTTCTAGAGATTTATATTGTTAACTACAATGTTTTTTAGTCATCCTTTTTTTCACTTCCAGATTTGTTTCTAGTATCATACCAGAAATCATTTTTTCTTTGTTGCATATTGAAATACCATATTTTAATAAATAGAAATAAATGTTTCGTTTTAGAAAAAGTACTTTCTTTATTAAATTGCATGCCAATTTCCCTCCTTCAAAACAATAAACCAACTGAACACCAGGCAAAATACCTTCCATAGTTGAATATCATGTTCACTCATCTACTTCTAGCCTACCAAAATTATTAGCAAAGATATTTTTAAGAAATACCTCTGTGACTACTACACAATTTCCATATACTCCAAGCTACATTTGTGCTAAAGATGTTTTTGTTGGACCATCGCGTATCCCTGAAGAGATAAACCTGGGGAGATTTTTAGAATTCCATACTGAACCCCCTCCCATTATTATGATAGCAGAGGATGGAAATGGGAATAAGAATGCTGGACAAAAGAAAAGGGAATAAAAATACTTTTTTTTTAATTCCACAGGAAGTTTAAAAATAACAAAATCTATTTTGACCAAAATCAAAACGCGCCTGCCGATTTTAATTAAAGCAGCTCTATACCTTTGAACCAGCCAACAAGCAGCTGCAGTAAGCATTTGGCTGGCTCTGAGTTCCTAAGCTAAACTGCAGAAAAACGCCTCCTCCTGGATCTAATCACCTTCGGGCGCCTCAAATAAACCTTAGCGTGTGGGGCCAGCACAGGTCAGTTTTTTAAGAGCCTCCGTAGAACAGGGTCTTATTTTTGTTCCTGAGCTGAAATGCACACATGCACTTAGCAGAGAAGGTTTGCCTAATCTATCACCGGTTTTCGTCTGTTTCTGGGTTTCCATTACCTTTTGTCAGACGTTTTCTCCAAGATCCTCGCTGCTTTCTTTTTAATCACCTAAGAAGCAACATTGATGTGACAAGCTCCAGAAAAAGGCTCGTCCTTTCTTATCTGCATCTTCAGCCTAATGATGAGGAATGGGTTCCATAAACTTGAAAAAGGCAGGAAAATGCTGCCAAAGTCATTATCCACTACTTTAAATTGGAAAGAAAAAAGCTGTCCCTTTTTAGAAGAATGGTAATAACGTATAAAATAATTGTACAAAGCCTACAGCGTTTCATATAAGAAAGGAAATTGCCCAATGCAATTTAAAAGAAAAACAAAATACCTTCATTTCCCGCTATCTGAAATCTACATCAGAATGTACCCTCGATTTTGCATATGAAGCAGAGTGCTCAATTGCCTGCCAGAAATGAGAGCGAATTATGCCTGCACTCAAGTTAATATTGAAATAATCTCCCTCTTTTTGATACCTTCCTCTCGTCCCTTTTTCCCCTTCCGTACATTGCAGTGTCATTGCCTAAATCAATCTTTGGGCATTAAAGGTAGCTTCTGGGGAGCTTCTCAGTCGCCAGCCTGCTACTTGTCGGGGGCATCGGCTATGAACTGCAGCTGGATGGATGCCTGTCTGCCTGCTCGTCTTTAAGTCTCACGAAGCAAAACCGCAGGCTTTCTCGTACTCAAAACCACACCATCATTGTCCATATTCGGGTATTTCATTACAGTAACAGTTTGAAGGACACCAGGCTTACAGCCTTTTGGAGCAGACGGTAGGGAAGCTGCTCCACATGGATCATATTGATCTCTCCAACCACTCCTCGAACATCCACAGCTGTTCCAAGATTTGCGCCCAGCGGAGACGAGACGCGGCAGTAGACCTGGGCGCCACCTAGTGGATTCTATTGACCTGGGGGAGTCGTCAACGCGTGGTGAGGTATATAAGCTTCAGGGAACAATCCCTACAGCCAACCTAGAAAATACTAACTATAGTCGAAGCAATAGGGAAGGAGTCTTATCTTTAAAAAAAAAAAAAAAAAAGTAACAAGAAGATGACAAAAGAAGCAAATGATTCAAATGACTGACAGGAATTTCAAGAGTGGTTTTTCAATATAAATTTCAAATCTCTGAAATGTCAAAGTGCTTTATTATTTATATCTTTATTAAGAAAAGGAAAATATAGAAAGTTTATTTTGCCAAAATATTACCACTTTTCTTTAATCTGCCAGATTGGTCACATTTTGCCTTAATAAGTTTATAATTCAGTAAGCCAATCCAAATGGAACTGAATTTTTATTTTTCCTACCATCTAATAAATATGAGTCTTAAGAAAAGCTGTTTATAAAATATTCCACCAATTATGTCTCCCTTCTTCACCCATTCCATTCACAGTTTCCATTCCTATTATCCCCCAAAAGAGGTCGTACTCATTTTTCCTTCTATTCTTTACATGCACACATTTTCTGGAAGAAAGAACTTCAATTTTCTTCGTGGCAAAGTTGTGGCTATTACCTCGTTTGAGATCAAATTCAAAATACAATTCCTAGAAAGTTGTACCTTCAATTGATCCACATTCTGCAATCACTTCCTACTTTATGTTTTCAAATATATTTTATTTAACATTGCCACTTGATCATAATTTTCTAATTGTCTTACCTCCACAAATTGTACTTTTGTCTGATCCACAACCTCTGCCTCAGAAGAGGAGCCTATTAAATGTTGAATAAATAGCTATAACATAAGCAGATAACTATCTCTGACAAGATTTGTTAATAAATACTCTGGTTATTCTACCCTTTGGATGTGCTAAATATATCAACAACAACTAACATTTATTGAGGTTTTTTACTTGATGGTCACAATGGCCCTATTAAAATAGATACTACTATTATCCTTATTTTATAATTGAGGAAAGCTACTTCTAGAAGGTTAAGAAATTCACCACATTGACATGGGCAGTAAGAAGTGGAACTGAAATTTGAACCTGGTCTTTCTGACTCCAGAGCCTATACCCTGAACTTCTATACTACACTGTGTCTATCTTATATGTTGTTATTAAAATATATGATACACTATGATCTTATTACTGGTTGTATTATATTTTGATGATTCACTTTATAAAAGTAAATATTTCTAGTTTTATCCCCTGCAAAATAAGTTATTTTAGATAGTTGCTAAAATTATTCAAGTTGTTAATATTTTTTACCACGTTTGGTCTTTAAAGAATGAACTTACTATAATCAAAAGATTTGCACAAAGGAAGGAAAAGAAATTACTTTACTGATCAAAGGACCGATGCAGGAAAATATGCAAGCTGACTGCATTTCGCTAAGATTGCAACAATGAAGTGGAAGAGCTAGGGGAAATGGGAGATCTGGTAATAACTGTTTCTTTGTTTTTTCAGTTCACCTGACCTATTTAAACATTTTAATTTAGAAATGCTCCTCAGACTTCTCAGGTTTGGTCTCATGAGTAAGCAAATCAGGAACCCACAGGAACCACTTGTCAGGTTTCATTTCAAGGGAATTGGAAAGGGATCCTGACCTCCTAAAATATTTAAAGATGTTTAAAATCACATTCTTAGACCTTCTTGAACAGAAAAATGAACTTTTAAAAAAAGAGACAACATCGGTCACAATTGTTCAACACTAGAAATAACCCACAAGTCCCTAAAGAATAAAATAGCATGGCAAATAACATGGTAAATTCACGTAAGGAAATATTATTCAGCATTGAAAATGAATGCACTAATGCCACACTCAACATGGATGAATCGCAAAATACAATTTTGAGCAAAAGCAGCAAGACACAGAAGAATACAAATGATTCCACTTACATAAAGTGCCAAAACTGGTTCTGTATTTCACAATAAAAATGCAAAAGAAGTACATCCAATGGTCATTTCAAAATGCATCCAGAAAAAAAACATAATAAGCTGTGCCCATCATTTATGTTTTGGTGAAAATAAGTCTATCAGCTCCATGATTGCAGTCTTGAGAGGGAAGGAGAGAAGAGCAAAGCATGAAGACTGTAAATTCTAGAAGAGAGTAGTGGTGAGACTGTGAGCTCTGGAATCACACTGACCTGGATTTGAACTAGAGCCCTGCCATTTAATGACTGTGGATCTTGGGCTGGGGTATAAATCTCTCAAGCTCTTTGTTCCCCACCTAGAAAATAAAGATCACAGTGGGCCCAACATCATAGGGTCATTTTGAGGCTTACAGCACGCACTAGTTTTCACTAATTGTCCAATAAGTGTTTTTTTTCTTTCCCGAGATTGGAAGTAGAGGAGGAAATCAGCACAGGGAGTAGCAAAGGAAAACACTGGGCACTCACTGTGTTTCCTTCCCACTCACCCTTGGGTCACTCCTCCACCCCATGGGCTTCTCTGTGAACCACTAACACTTGCTTCTCTAGCAAGAGTCACCAGAGATCTTGTTATTCAACCCAATGAATATCTTTTCTCTACATCATTTGATACTATTTACTTTTTCTTCCTCCTTGAAACTTTTCTTCTCGTTTTCTTTGATAACCTGGGCTGTCCCCTTCTCACTAAAACCCCCATCATTGCCCACTATCAGGCCCTTGTCACTTTCCTCCTGTCTGCAACAGCCTCCTAACTGGTTTTCTCCAGCATGGCCCCTTTCCAACCCTCTCTCCACACTGCAGCCAGTGCATTTGTCCTAACATGTGGATCTCACCATGCCTCTTCCCCACAGCCTTATAGCAACCTCTATCTTGTTCAGCCATGGAAGATCTAGTCTTTCTATCTGTCTGTCTTCGGGCTCATCAATTACTGCACTAACCTACCCACTCTCATTTGGACCTTCTTGGCTTTCTACCACCTGTTTTCTCTACCTGGAATCTTGACCATATTACCTGCCTCACATAATGAACTTTAAAACTCAGGACAGGTCTCCCTCCCACCCACCATGCACCTCTTTCTACATTATATACCTTCCTTTGTAATCAGTACAATCTATGATCATTCTTGAACCTCTGCACTATTTACCCATGGATGGTCTACATACTCAAAAGACTGCCAACTCTGTAAAGGCAGGCACCTTTCCTACTGATCTTTCTATACCACCACCCAACAGAGTGGCCAACAAAAACCTAGTTAAGTAAATTAATGAATCAAGCAAATAATCAATGCTTACTTCACAGTTTTACAGAACTATCATCGCATCTCCTCTACTATAACTTCCTCATCTACTTCTACAGGAGAAAAGGGGTTATGTATCATATCCTTGTCTCTTAAACTCTGTCTTCTAACATTTATTGGTTATTTATTGCCATCATTATTATATTTTTCCACATCATATTTAACTAATCAAAAATTTTACAGGTATTTTAAACCTCTTGATCTTGTTCAATATGCTGTATGGGTAATTGGATAGCCATGAATCCAAATACTAACTTTACCACTGACTAACTCTGAGACCTTGAGTAAGTCACTCAACTCTGTTTCCGTTTTCCCACCTGTAAAATGAGGGTAAAAATTCCTAACCAACGGCTTTCTTGTGAAGTTAAATGAACTAAAATGAGGTTAATGTACATAAAGCATTTAGCACATTGCCTAGCACAAATAAGAATGCAGAAATAGTATCTACTAGTATTAATGCACAACTAAGTTTTGTTTTGCAGAGCATAATTTGTTAATCATTCATTATAGTGCTCTGTACTTTTCAAAACTAAGGGTCACCTTGGTTTTAAGAGTAAGGCCTCGGCCAGGCGCGGTGGCTCACGCCTGTAATCCCAGCACTTTGGGAGGCCGAGGCGGGTGGATCACCTGAGGTCAGGAGTTCGAGACCAGCCTGGCCAACATGGTGAAACCCCATCTCTACTAAAAACATAAAAAAATTAGCCGGGCATGGTAGTGAGCACCTATAATCCCAGCTACTTGGGAAGCTGAGGCAGGAGAATTGCTTGGGCCCAAGAGATGGAGGTTGCAGTGAGCCAACATGGTCCCACTGCACTCCAGCCTGGGTGATGGAGTGAGAGTCCACCTCAAAAAAAAAAAAAAAAGAGTAAGGCCTCAATAACTATATTCAAGTATGTATTTTTTCCCAAAAGGAAAAACTTTAAAACGTATGCTTTTATAAAACATATGCATATATATATATACATATGCTGCATAACTACCTTGCTTATTTCATAAGTGAAAAATATTAAATTAAATGAAAATATAGATTCCACTCAGTAAATGATAGCATTTTCATCGTGCAATCTACATACTATTTTAAATGCATGTAAATCATATGTTATTCATTCATGAAACATGCTTCAAGTATATAACGTAAAAAATTCAGTTAAAACTTTTCCTATTTTCTGTGCTTAATATCTCAATTTGAATCTTATTAAAGTTTAAATGGTGGTTTTGAAGAAGGCAATAAGAACAGAAAAATATTCAACCTGAGGAAGCTGACTGAAAGGAAAGAACAGAAAAACAGAAATGAAGGAAACAGAATCAATTAAATAGAACTATATGAGGACATTTGTATGGCCATTGTAAATAAGAAGGCAAGATCTCTGGAAGATATATCTGACATTTAATATATATTATAGGTATAGTATATATTTGTATTTTTAAAAATCACCATATCCTTCACTAATCTAAAAGTGAGGGATCTGTTTGCTTTATCTACAAAACTTACTTTCCCCTTTCCCAATTGCCACTCCCCAGAAAAGAAACAACAAATGTGAGCTATTTTATTCAAAAAGGAGAATCTCATGACAATAGGATTATTATGACAAGCATTTTCCACACTTTATTCTTCATGCCCAGAATGACATTAGTAAGATAAGACATTTTAAAAGTCAATAGCACTTATTTTGAAGTTTAAACTATCATGTTAAAAAAAAAAAGTCATTTCCTTAAACAGGAAATGTATTAATAATGGCACAAAAGACAGTACAAGTCATTCTATAGAGTACAGTGTTTCCCTTCAAAAAGAAAATAATATCCTTATTCTCAAAGGGTAGTAACTCTTTAATGTAGTTGTTTTAAAAAAAATCCAGGGGGGGGAAATTTTAGCACCCTTCATCTCACATTCATATATATTTTGCTGAGTTCTGATCATTTGAAAAACTAATGTATTTCACTAAAGATTTAAGTTGAGACTATCTGAAACTTAAAATTGCATCATTATAATCTAGTTGTCACCAAATAAGTTTTATCTGCTTTCTACATATATTACTTATTTTTATACCAACATTTGCAAAACTATTTTTGCAACTGACCCAGTCTGTTAAGCATCATCATACCCCAGAAAGCTTTGCAAAGAATGAATTATTGGGGCTGCTCTGTCTATGGGGTAGCCATTCTTTTATTCCTTTTCTTTCCTAATAAACTTGCTTTCACTTTAAAGATTAAAAAAGAGTGAATTATTAAAATAGTACATTTTTGCAGACTCCTAAAGTTTTTAAATTTACTTATGGAACAGAGATTTAAGATAAAAATATTTTTAGCATTGTTTAATTTGTATTTTATTTGCTATAACTTCAGATTAGATGGTATTGGGGGGAAAACTATCAAGCAATGTAATTATACATGGGTTCAAAGTCCTAAGAGGTTACCAAACCCTCAGTATATTTTATTTCCTATTAGCTAAAAACATAGAACTTTACATTTTGGTTCAATTCACTGCCTAACTCATTTCACCAACAGGTCTGACTTTCCCATCTCTTCTTTTTCTTTCTTTTTTTTTTTTTTTTTTCTTTTTTGAGACAGAGTCCTGCTCTGGTCACCCAGGCTGGAATGCAGTGGTGCAATCCAGGCTCACTGCAACCTCTCTGCCTCCCAGCCTCAAGTGATCCTCCCACATCAGCCCCGCAAGTTGCTGGGACTAAAGGTGCACAGCACCACAACAAACTAATTTTTTTTTATTTTTATATTTTTTGTAGAGATGGGGTTTTGCCTTGTTGCCCAGGTTGGTCTCAAATTCCTAGACTCAAGTGATCCACCCACCTCAGCCTCCCTAAGCACTGAGCCACCATGCCCATTCTTATCTCAATAAAATTTCCTCATTTGATTAGAAAGGAAAACTTTTGGCTGAGCATGCTGGCTCACACCTATAATCCCAGCACTTTGGGAGGCCGAGGCGGGAGGATCACATGAGGTCAGGAGTTCAAGAACAGCCTGGCTAAGATGGCAAAACCCTGTCTCTACTAAAAATAAAAATACGGGCATGGTGTCGCATGCCTGTAATCCCAGCTACTTGGGAGGCTGAGGCAGAAGAGTCACTTGAACTTGGGAGGCAGAGGTTGCAGTGATCCAAGATCATGCCATTGCACTCCAGCCTAGGCAACAAGAGTGAGACTTCGTCTCAAAAAATAAAATAAAATGGAAAGAAAGGAAAACTTTTCCTGGAGTTTATCCTAATGACTGAAGTGTATCAATTTTAGGTACTTTTGTGTGATGAGCAGCTGCGAGGTCAATCAAAGGCATTGTCAAATCCATACTGAAATATAATAAACTAAGTTTAGTCTGTCTACTTCATAAAAATTTATAAAAACACATCAAAATTCATTAGCTAACAGATTTCCTAAAGCAAATAAAGGCTTGTATGGATGACTGCCTGTGTAGATTGATTCAATTCACTGAGTCATCAGCATGTTTATAAGTGAATGGTTACCTGAAGATGGATAAGCCAATGGAAGTCTCTTATTTTCTAGTTCAGGAAATAAGGAGGACTCTGGAAACAAATCTTCTAAAATGGGACTCCCAAGTCTCTAAAATTGTTGCTTTGCTTTTGAATGATCATTCTCAGGATCCAGGATGTAGATTATTACTTTGAAGATAGCTTTTTACTAAAAACTAGTTTGAGGAATGATTTAGAAATGCTTTTCTTTTTTTTTTTTTTTTTTTTTTTTGAGACAGGGCCTTGCTCTTTCACCCAGGCTGGAGTGCAGTGGCATGATCACAGCTCACTGAAACTTCCTAGACTCAAGTGATCTTTCCACCTCAGCCTGCCGAGTACCTGGGACCACAGGGACATGCCAGCAAACTCAGCTAATTTTTTAATTATTTGTAGAGATGGGGTGTTGCTATGTTACCCAGGCTGGTCTTGAACTCCTGGGCTCAAGTGATCCTCTCACCTTGGCCTCTCAAACTGCTGGGATTAGATTATAGGCATGAGCCAGCTTTTTGTTGTTGTTGTTGTTTGCTTGCTTGTTTGTGTTTGTTTCTAGAGATGGGGTCTCACTGTTGCCCAGGCTGGTCTCAAACTCCTGGACTAAATTCTGCCACAGCCTCCCAAAGCATTGGGACTACAGGCGTGAGCCACCTCACCCAGCCTAGAATTGTTTATTCTAAATATCTCCTTTTTAAAGCAAAGAAGATCAGTTTGGGTTTAGTAGCAGAAACAGTAAAAATGAAATTTTTACTTTCTCATAAAGCTGGAAGTTGCATAAATACATTAACATGAAAAGGCACATCTTTTTTATGTGAGTTATCTGAAAATGTAATTTTAGCCAAGAGCTGAGCAAAGGAAAACATGAAAACATCAAATCCACTTATCTAATAGGCTTGGATTCATTTGAGCTGGGGCAAAGGAGGAGGTGTTTAATCATTCTATTAAGCTGATTTGGTAGAAGTCTCAAAATATGCCCAGAGTGGCTGGGCACCATGGCTCACGCCTGTCATCCCAGCACTTTGGGAGGCCGATGTGGGTGGATCACCTGAGGTCAGGAGTTCGAGACCAGCCTGGCCAAGATGGTGAAACCCCGTCTCTATGAAAAATACAAAAATTAGCCAGGCATGGTGGCAGGCACCTGTAATCCCAGCTACTCTGGAGGCTGAGCAGGAGAATCAGTTGAACCGGGGAGGCAGAGGTTTCAGTGAGCCAAGATCGTGCCACTGCACTCCATCCTGGACAACAGAGCAAGACTCTGTCTCAAAAGAAAAAAAAAAAATGCTCGGAGTGCTGAGTGGGTATAAGAATGACTCACCTGGCTGGGCGCAGTGGCTCACACCTGTAATCCCAGCACTTTGGGAGGCCAAGGAGGGCGGATCACAAGGTCAGGAGTTCGAGACCAGCCTGGCCAATACGGTGAAACCCTGTCTCTACTAAAAATAGAAAAATTAGCCGGGTGTGGTGGTGGGTGCCTGTAGTCCCAGCTACTCAGGAGGCTGAGGCAGGAAAATAGCTTGAACCCGGGTGGCAGAGCTTGCAGTGAGCCAAGATCATGCCACTGCACTCCAGCCTGGGCGACAGAGTGAGATTCTGTCTCAAAAAAAAAAAAAGAATGACTCACCCTACCACCATTTCTTGAGCTGTTTGGTGAGCAAAGGTGCCTACTGCTTTGTCTGGTATGATATGAGGGGGATTTAAGGAATGCAGAAGTTCTTCATCCATTCAAAGACAAACAGAAGAAAAAAAAAAATTCTGTCCCAAAATAGCTTCCTTACTAATGGTATGAAATTTCACCATTTATTAAAGTAAGTAAAAGAGCAAGACTAGGCCGAGCATGGTGGCTCATGCCTGTAATCCCAACACATTGGGAGGCCAAGGTGGGAGGATTGCTTGACTCCAGGAGTTAGAGACCAGCCTGGGAAACATAGCAAGACCCCATCTCTACAAAAAATTTAAAAATTAGCCAGGCATGGTGGCATGTGCCTGTAGTCCCAGCTACTTGTGAAGCTGAGGCGGGAGGATAGCTTGAGCTTGGGAGGTTGAGGCTGCAATGAGCCATGATCACGCCATTGCATTCCAGCCTGGGCTACAGAGAGAGACCCTGCTTCAAAAAAAAAAAACAACAACAACAACAACAAAAAAGTCTATATATTCTAGGGGAACAGAGGACAAACTGGTAAAACTGTTTCACAGTTCTATCCCCACCCTGGTACAAAGGCTGATAAATAAATACCTGTCAAATGAACACATTTCCATTTGTTGCTTTTCTCTGTCAAATCTCCTTCCAGCCCATAAATGCTATTCAAAGACATTATTGAAAAGCTAAGGGAAAACATCAGAGTAAAGTGCCCTTACTTTTTTGGAATAATGGAGATAAAGGCAAATTTCCAATTTGTAACAATATTTTGGCTGGCCTGGCTATAATCTATTAAATGAAAAGGAGAGAATAAGTGTTCTAATACATGAATTTGGTTACTTAATAATGGAATACATTCTTTATCATCAAAATTTTGTGAGCCAAAATTCAGTGGCTGGCAGTGGGTCCTCGTTTTTACAAATTCCTATAAATCCTAATTCTAATCTTATTTCATTGAACAATTGGGGTGGGAGAGCTGGGTTAACTGGAAAAAAAAACCTAGCATGCAGACTTTCACTAGCCCTTCTGTATTTTCAGATTTTGTAGTAATCATATTTATTATTGGAATTGAACATTAATAGGTTAGAGAAGAACAAATGATTCTGCAGACCTAATGTTAATATTTATGAAAACTCTTACATGAATAAAGTTTCACTCCCCCATCCCAGGAGCCTGTGAGCCTGTGTTAATTTGCACAGTTTGTAACCTAAAGTCTGAATAAGGCATATTGGAATAAGTCAAATGGAGAGCTGTGCACTGTCTTATCATGCCAACTATTAGATTACCTTTTAAAAAGAGAAAAAATATATGGCAGGTTTCATTTCCACACTTCAAAGAAAAGGCAATAGTGTTATGTGAAATTCAGGAAGGAAAATTGTTTAGTTGCATCTTTGCTAACAATTTGGAAGTATCCATTGTATTACTTCTGTAATGTTATTGAGCTAGTTTTATTAAGGCAAATTTATAGCAATGTTAGAAATTAATACCACTCTTATTTCCTCCACTGCCTGACTTTATTGAATGCCATGGGGCATATTAATCAGTAAAGCCAAGTAGTGCATGAAATAAAATTATAAATTAACCTGTAACATGAATGTAAAAGGGGCTTAATAAAATAGAAATAAATAACACTTTAATGATAATCAACCTGCCCTGTCTGAGCCAAGCAAAAATTGTGATAATGCCAAACACAGAGTCTAAAGAGCCCTATATATTTATACGAAGTTAGATGGAAGCACACATTGACGTGGAAGTCGAAGATGGTAATTTTGGCTACATAAGCCAGAAATCGTGTGTTACTTGAAACATGGTACTATTAGTTCAACAGATAAACAAATGGACTGCATTAGGTAACTGTTCTAAGTTCCCGCTTTTTGTCAAATGGTTTAGAAGGAACTGTCTTATTGGGTTTCCTCCCGACTCCAATGGTACTTTTTAAAGTATACTATATGGTTTTAAAATGTATTGATATAAACTATTTTCTTGAAACATTTTTAAAATATTATATTTTACTAAAATTATTTAAATCTCTTCTCTGTAATTAGGGCCCCCTTTTGCTTCACGTTATTGTCCCTTTTCTCTTTCTCTCTGGATCAAATAGAATACGGCATTAATATATCATATCTGCAAACTGTAAAACTTTTTAGAGAAAGAAAGACATTACTAAACAACACTCACACACAACTGGTTGACTATTTTCTCAAAAAAGTGCTTTATGAGTGCATAATTGAGTCAACTATGGTACCACAGTGTAAGACACCTACAAAAGGAAATTCAGTGCTAATTTAAAACAAGTAGCCATAGAATGATAATTTCTTTCTTTTTTTTTTTTTTTTTTTTTTTTTGAGACAGAGTTTCACTCTTGTTGCCCAGGCTGGAGTGCAGTAGTGTGATCTCGGCCCACTGCAACCTCTGCCTCCCAAGTTCAGGCAATTCTCCTGCCTCAGCCTCCTGAGTAGTTGGGATTCCAAGTGCCTGCCACCATGCCCAGCTAATTTTTTGTATTTTTGGTAGAGACGGGGGTTTCACCATGTTGGCCAGGTTGGTCTTGATCTCCTGACCTTAGGTGATCCACCCACCTCAGCCTTCCAAAGTGCTAGGATTACAGGCATGAGCCACTGTGCCCGGCCTAATTTCAACTACTCATAGAAACACTGAAACAGACCTAAACTTTCCATCTTATCTCTAAATCTACATTTATATATGCCATCAAAGGGAGATCATGGTGGGGGAGAGACTTATTATGTCTTTATTATGTTATTTTGAATAATAAGCATTTAGAATAAATTATGCTCCCCAAATGTAAGATGCTATTACCAATACTCATGGAAAGAAAAGACCCATAAAGCTGGGTATTCTCCTGGATTTTAGCATTGACTATATTAGTCAAGGAAGGTGACATAAAAACATTTTATATCATATTCTAAAATTATGTGGAGAGTGACTTTTAAATTAGATCTTCTTTATTTTGCTTTCTAATGATGTTGCTAAATCAACTGAATTAAGTCTTCAAGGACCCTGTACCCTGGCACCAAATCAATCTTCCTAGAATGTAATTCCTATTATATCTCCCTCTAAAACCCTCCCTGGCTCCCACTGCCTCTAGAATAAAGTCCTAACTGCTTAGCTGCACATCAGAACTTCACAGATAGCCCACTGCTCCTCTGTATATACCCAAGGTTCCTATATCTTAGTCTCACTAGGACCCCTTTCCAATACTACCCCTTTGCTTATGATCTTCTTTCTACCCGAAGTATCTTTCCCTCTCACAACTACACATCCCATCCACTACCATCCCCATAAAGTTCTTCTCAACCTTCAAGTCCTCTTCAAATGCTATTCCTCCCTAAGGTTTTCTGATCACCCCAAGATTGCATTTTTTAATTTCAAAATGGAAAGAACCAGAAATGTCGATCCACAGAATTGTTGATTCATCATAGAATTTTAAACCTTACACTATTTTGGCAAAAAAGAAAAAATAATAATTATTCTCAATTTTTTTTTTTTTGAGATAGAGTCTCGCTCTGTCTGGCCCAGGCTGGAGTACAGTGGTGCAAATCTCGGCTCACTGAAGTTTCTGCCTCCCGGGTTCAAGTGATTCTCCTGTCTCAGCCTCCCAAGTAGCTGGAACTACAGGCGTCTGCCACCATGCCTGGCTAATTTTTGTATTTTTACAATACAAAATATATAAAATGTATGCTCAGAGATGTTACCATGGTTTATTTAGGGAGCAAAATGTAATTGAGATTGTCTGAATTATTTTACGTTACTGAAAACCTACTGACCCAAGGATCTCATCAAGCATAAGAAACCAATATTAAAGGCCACTGGGCTTCTGCGTTTTATTAGCTTTAAAATGGAAAACTAAGTCTGGCTCATATTAGAATACCCAGTGATTGCAGTAGAACCTCTCCTCACTATCACAATCTTAAAAACATATCAGATGGTACATTTTAACATCTCTTTACTTCAGAAAACAAAAAGCTGCCGCTGGAAATGCCAGAAAACAGCTGCAGAGATTACACAGGGATTTTAGCTTATTTTATTTTTTGAGAAATAATGAAATGTGAAACAGGATTTCTCTCTAGTTCAAAAAACAGGGAAAAGAACTCTTACTGCCAAGTTCTTGTCTTCTCAATTATTGTTAGTGGTATCCTGATCATTTCATATAATTAAAGAATAAAAATTGACCCTCTGTGACTTAAAACTACAACAGTCTAGCACATGGTGATTGCCCATGTTCTAAACATGTATGTTATACATGTACACAGATTGTAAGTATCTATGTTATAAACGTAAAACAACGACTATAATAATTATTATTATAATAATCCAGCCAGAGAAACCGCAGACCATAAAACAGTATGGGCTCCCCCTGCTGTTTCTACTGGTAAACTTAACTAACATTTCCGGTTGCCAGGGCTTGGTGCCCTGATTTTAAGGCTGATTCATAAACAAAGGGTAAATAAAACAAAATTAAAATACCACTAGGTCAATAAATCAGCGGTTGAGGGGAAGAGGAGAAATGGGAGTGCCAACGCATTTATTGTAATAAGGAAGCGTGAACATGAAGGTGAGTAGTGCTTGGATTCCAAAAGCTAATGAGTTTCCAGGGAGCATGAAGGCTGTCCTGCCACTGCATTTAGATTAAGAAGTTTTCCAAGTCTGACTTGCTGTGAAACTTTTCCAAATCTAAAAATCATGTAATGCCCTTGGGCAAACTGGATATGGTGCTGCCATCTCCAATCTCTGCAAGTGCGACATGTACACCGGCCCCAGCCCAACAGAGCACACTAAGGAGATTATTTTGGAGAAACCGTAATGACATTGAACAGGAGGCTAGCTTAACACCTTGCCCAAGTGAGATTCCCAAGCCTCCTCCGTGATGGCTGCTTGGAGTTCTGTAGGCTAATGAGGGGAACCATCTGTAGTACTTTGCCGGCAGATGTGTCCCCCTCATACTGTGCCAATGTCTCCTGAGGAGAGGGTCTGTCGAGGGTTCCAGCATCGCTCTGCGAGGGAAGATTGTGCTATTTCACAAGCATGTAATCTGGAGGCCAAATATTTAATTATTCGCATATACACATTTTAGTATGCCTTGTCTTTTCAAATGTGAATATCAGAATGAATGTGTGAGTTTCCTTATTTGTAAGTTTGTCTTTATGTTTTCACATTCAGGGACATCGTATGATATCCTATGGTTATTTCTTTTGCAAAAATCCTATGCACTATTTCGAATGAAAGGAGGATTTGAATCAAATGAACTACTTATTTGCTGATATCACTATTTCAAAGTCATCAGAGCAATTGCTAAAGAGAAAAATTATAAATATGTTCAGGTATGTTTCCCTTCCTTCCTTCAAATGTGTTCATTGCCATATAGAGTTACTTTCTAATTCTATAATATCAAAAAGTAATAAGAAATTAAATTCAAAAGATAAATCTTAAAATCTTAATGAGTAAATTTCAAATTAAGATGGAATGACATTTCAAAGCATTTACTTGGTAGCATATGGAAAATTATATAAGGATTATAGTAGGCATCAAAATATTTTAAGGCAACCATTAAACAGTTTTAAAGATAGACCTAATTACAAACTCAGCACTTAAAGTAGGTACTTACATACTACAAAGCTGTTTTAAGAGTATAAATTATTTTATTTTGCTGTAATTCTCAAAATTTTATGGCAATTCAACTCTAGCATTCACGTGTTTCAATTAATCCACTGTCATTGATTGAGCCTTACTAAAGTTAATTTGCTTTTTCTAAAACAAAAAAAACAGTAACAATACCCCTTTTCAGGTACTGATTTGAAACTCTTAATTGTATGAGCTCGGCTTCTATATCAAAAGACAGATAAAAGAGACATAGAGGAGACAAGGTCAACTGAAGATTTTTAAGATTTTTAACCAGGGCCTTATTACATATGAAAAGTTATAACATGATTAAAAACAAGGGGGAAATGTCAACATTTTGACTTGGTTGATAACAAGGTTAGGTGAATTTCTTATATCAAATATGCAGGCTTTAGCAAAAGTTTAAAATATGCTCAAAATAGTAGTCTATGTAAATCTCACACACCAACACCATGACCAGCTATTTTACTATCTAATGTCTCACATAGACAAGGTTTTAAATGTTATTTCTCCAACAGCATAGTAATATAAATTAGACTGAGGTAAGACTATGACAATTTCTTCCTTCCTGAAACCTCCTCTTAAATTAGATCTACCTTCCAAAAATATTATTACAAGAGTCTTGGTTCAGATTATCCTTATTCTCTATAACTGACATAAATATAGATATATGAATGACATTTAAAAAGAAAAGTTCTTCTTTATAACCTTCAGCTTGTTTTCATAATAAATTCCACCGGGAATATTAGTAATAATAATTGATTTTAGCAATAAGTAATAGAGTTATAAACAGCTCCAGCTGTTTAGTGAAAGAAATGTCTCAGCTTCAGGTTTTATTTATTAGCATTTGAAGTCCCTCCATAACCCTAGTAAGATCAGTTATGGCTTAATTAAATGAGAAAGATGGCCTGCCAAAGATTCTTTGTTCTTAAAATAAATACTGTATGTTTTCTGTTTTCCTGCAAATCATCACAGCCTATTTCTATTTGAGAATAGATAGGGCTCCAAACCTACATCTACTTCATACCTCCCAAATAAAGTCTCTTTTGCCTGGAAATTTTGTATTTTTTTCATAGTGTACCATCTACAAATACCATCTTAAGAGGTTTCTCCTTTATTAACCATTTGAGAGTTATTCATCTCAGAGTCATACGTGTGAGGAGGTAACAGAGCCTCTTCACAGTAGAAATATTTGCTACTTAAAAATGAACACAAATTTACACTTACAACATGTCCTCAGTGCTGTGTTTGTGATGAAGTTCCATAGTTATTACGTGTCCTAAGTATATGTTCAACCATATCTACAAATGAAAAACAAAACGCTAAAGATTCACTGGCAAAAGATTGAGCTGCTCCATCAACATGGCAGGAATATTTCAAATAAATGATCTCTTCTCAAATCCTTTGGAGAAATGATTGCATTTGTCTGGCCTTTCCTCTCCCTGCCCCTGCCCACCGTTTTTCTCTACTTTCATCTATAATCTCGTCTGCTCCTCTCTGGCCACACTGCAATGATTCCCCCATTATGCTGATGGAAAAAAAAAATGAGGAGGATGAGGGATAAGGGGACGCGAGAAGACCGACGCCTTCCCAGATTTGAGAGCGACAGGGCGGCTCCCCTCTCCTACCACTAGCTGGCGCCAGAGCCCTAAAGATGCAGTGATATATTGCGTCATCTCTTACTAATTAACAAAGCTGTTTTCAAACTGATCGTAGTTATTCAAGGGAAACATGAAATAATTTTGACTATGAACATGTAGTAAAGCAGCAGCATCGAGGGTGATATCCCGATGAAAATAACTCCATTTTATGCCTTCAAGCTTTTGTCTTAAAAAAAAAAAGGCAGAAAAAAGAAAAAGAAATGCATCCTTAAATGATTCGTGGGTTTTTATTTTACCCAAATAATAAACCAAAGGGAAGTCTTTTTATCCTCTACAAACTATTCACTATATATATAAAACTGTAAAACTTTCCAGTTATATAATGCTCTGTTAACCTAAACAAAGTGCCTTTTTTATTATGCTTTTAGTCTAAGACAGAAATGCCCGACACATCAGGGTCACAGGGAAAGCTACTTTACTGCTTCAGCTCCTAATTCACTCACACACTCCTTCCTCCTAACCAGCTTCAGCTTTCTTCTTCCGACCACAGACTCTCCAAGATTTTGCTTTTCTCATCCTATCCTTCCCTCTTCTTGTACAAGCGAACACTGTCCTTCCAGACTCTTCCATGGCTGCAGAAGCTGTAGGGAGGAGCCCTCGGCCAGCCAGACAAAATGCACGTAATATTGCTCACTTTAGGAAAAGATGGCTCCTGGACAAACGAGCAGCAAACAGTGCGTTTGGTTTGACGACATGAATTATCATTATGCAAGTAAGACAGAGTTTAGGTCTGGCTAGAATAAAATCTAAGGTGAAAAATTCAAGCACTGTATGTGCTGCCATAGAAAATGTTATTTTTCATTTGGGAAATTTTCCTACACATGTAGCACATTTTTATCATTAGAAAAATGAAAGACTCTGATTATTTTGGCAAGAGAAAGTACATTCAAACTTCAGTGAAATACTATAATTTTTTTAAAGAAATACTTTATAGTTTGACTTGTGAATATATTAAATGGCTGGGAATACTCATTCAAATCACATGCCCTATTACCCACCCCATGCCCTCATTTCCTCTGGGAGCTGCGGAGGTCTGGCACTTGGAAAAAGAGGAAAAGAAGGAACGGGCTTCTCTGAGCCTTCTTCTGGCTTTCATAGGCAGAAAAATATCAAGCTTTCTTTTCTTCACCCTTACCCTAATTCCTCAAAGAAAGAATGCTAAGCTTTATCTTGGGTGGACTTCCTTTACCCTACACTAAAAATAAGATTGAAACTTGTTTTCTCCCTGTATCAGCCAGATTTCTACATGTGGTTTGTCAAAGGCTGCTCCTGAACTGGTTTTCCCACAGGATATCAGTGAATCATTACCCTTTAATCTCCAAATAAGATCCCAGAAATGAACAAGAGCAGAAAGTGATCTGGAATGCAAATCAATGTTTGTTTTGATGGCCTTTTGGTTTTCTAGTTGAAATCTCCCTTAGAAATTCTTTTATTATGGCACCTGGGTGACTTTGGTCTGGGAGAGAACATTCAGAAAGTGAAAATGAAGTTTGAGGAAGTCAAAAATGCTGCATAGCAAATGACGCAGAAGCTCAATGTGTCTGCATTGTAAAGAAAGGTCAGGTTTAATCCTTTGTTATCAGTCGTAATTTTGCTGGTCCCTTTCAGGAGACATCATGACAGGGAAACTACATTAACCACAATTTGGTATGCCCTAATCTTCATGCTAACTACAGTTTTCTTTTGTTACTTACTGGCCTTGACCTTTAGATGGACGGCATCAGGTGCTACTGAAACCAGCAGATCTCTCTCTAAAGCCTAGTGCAGGCCTGAGTCATATGCAGTTTAATTCATATTCCACTCAACATGCCCGTTTTATTTCCAGTGGAAATTGCTCATTTAATTGCACTGTACGTTTTATGGGGTATGCCCCAGGCTGCGTTCTTTATGCTAGGCATTTCAGTATTTATGGGCATAGCTATACCCAAAACTTCAAACATAAAAGTAAAACCAGCAAAATATGCTCTCCTCCAGTTCCATAAATGCTTTTCACCAGTTTCATTATTTTTTCCAATGAGATTAAATGGGTGTGTTAAACCTGTAACATAGACTATTACTTGGTGTTTCCAGAGCTTCTTTTGTCCTTCATATTCAAATCCAATACAGCCCCTTTTTCCTGCTTCTGAATGAGACTGCAAAGAGCAAGTATGGTCCTTCTGTGTATGGTCTAGCGCCCAGGAACAATAAAGACTTCCTCTGTTGGTAGCCTATAGAATTTTTATCTGTGAGAATAACCTGTAAAAGGTTTTGGTGTTTTTTGTTTTTTAATGAACTGTGCCTGCTTCTAAGTCACACCTACACCCACTAAAACACTGGATTAAAGATCGAATGTGGCCGGGCGCAGTGGCTCATGCCTGTAATCCCAGCACTTTGGGAGGCACAGGCGGGCGGATCACGAGGTCAGGAGATCGAGACCATCCTGGCTAACACAGTGAAACCCCGTCTCTACTAAAAATACAAAAAAATTAGCCCGGCGTGGTGGCGGGCGCCTGTAGTCCCAGCTACTCCGGAGGCTGAGGCAGGAGAACGGCGTGAACCCGGGAGGCGGAGCTTGCAGTGAGCCGAGATGGCGCCACTGCACTCCAGCCTGGGCCACAGAGCGAGACTCCGTCTCAAAAAAAAAAAAAAAAAAAAAAAAGATCGAATGTGTGTGTTGCAAAATAAATAAATATGTCAGCCTTGTACTGCAGATGGCTCCTGTGTTTTAGGGCAGGAGCAGACAGACATATGATTTTACCTGTAGCAGATCAGAAGGCATTCCCATACTACCCAAATGCAGAAAGGGCTCTACTATGTTTTACTAAACCTATGACTGTTTTTATCTGCTGTTATCCATCCCACTATATGAAATATACGAAAGCATGTTTCCAGGAAATTCCAGAGTTTTAGACAAACGCTTCTTGATAAAAGCCATTAATGGCTTTTTAGACAGTTTAAGTAGAATGGTACAAACAGAAGCCTCATCACAGGGGTTTCAGAAAAGGAAAACAAAAAGACAATAGGTATAGAACGACTCATTTGTCTATAGATTTGGAAAATGTCATAGGGTCGAGTGAAGATATTTGCCAAATTGAAGGAGGTAAGGACATATTTAGAGCCTCTGGGAAAGATGACAGATCTCAAGGACTAAGATTTGAATGCCGGAACAAAGCAGAATAGAAAAAGACTAGAGTTGTGTTTTCAAAAGAATAGGGAATATTTCGTAGACTTAGAAGGAGCTAGAGGTGGTAGCCTGAACTTTAGGAATAGGAATTCTTAGTGATTTGCCTGCAGTGTAGTAGATGTCAATGACTGAAGGATGACTGAGGATCTTAAGAAAGATGTGGCTTCTTCTTTCTCAGAAAAGCCACAGGGAGTGACCCCTGCAAATCCTTCCGAGTATAAGGTGTACACCCAGTGACAGCCTTCCTCACAGGACATAGTTATCACAGCATTGATGTGATCATTCCTCTCTTAATTAGGATTCAGTGCAGATGCAATTGGCTGAAAACCCAAAATAACAGTGGCTTAGGTAAGATAGAAATTATAGTCATTATTGGGATTATCCACACATTCTGGTTCTCCTGCTTTTAGGGCAAATAGACTACTTGCCTACCTTTTTGAAGTTAGATATGGTATGTGACTTGCATTAGTCAGCAAAATGGCATGTGTTATTTTCAGTTCCAAGCCTTATCAGTATACAATTCACTACATTCCTTTTGTCTTTGTCAGCAATGGTGGAAGCATTGGTTGACATGGACACTGTCAGCCTGGCTTTCTGAGTACCCACAATGAGCAGAGTCCCCCTGCTGACCAGCAATGGACATGTGGTGTGATCAAGAATAAACTTGCGCTGGGCATGGTGGCTCACGCCTGTAATCCCAGCACTTTGGGAGTCCAAGGCAGGCAGATCACAAGGTCAGGAGTTCGAGACCGGCCTAACCAACATGATGAAACCCCATCTCTACTAAATATACAAAAATTAGCCAGGTGTGGTGGCGCGTGCCTGTAATCCCAGCTACTCAGGAGGCTGAGGCAGGAGAATCACTTGGAGGAGGTTGCAGTGAGCTGAGATCACACTACTGCACTCCAGCCTGGGCAGCAGAGTGAGACTCCATCTCAAAAAAAAAAATAGAATAAACTTGTTGTTTTGAGTCACGGGTTAAATTTCTTTCTCACACAAAAGTCTGAGTGGTGGGGCTAGGACTGATACAGTGATTCATGGTTTGAGGGACCCAAGGTCCTCTGTCTTGCTGTTCAGCTGTGCTTGGCATGCTCATGCTTCATGGTTACAGCACTCAAGCTTTAAGCAGCAGGAAGCAGGAAGGCATGGAGAGGCAAAGGGTGTGCTGCACGTCAAGGAAGGCTCCCAGAAGCTCTCTTCCACTTGGAAACCTTTGGCCAGAACTTGGTCCCATGGCTGCACCTATAGTTGCAAGGGAAAGGGAATCAACGAAGACTGGGTGAGGCCAGCCAAAAATTGTGGGTTATTTGACCACATAAAGGGACCCGGAGGACTGCATTCTGCCTTAACTCTCAAGAACTCCTTGTATAAATGTGGAGATGATAGGATTGCACTGTCCCTCCCCATTTTTCATAAAAATAAAGAAGTAGTGAGAATATTGATCAATGTGGATGATGAGAGATTGAGGCCACCCTAACTAATTTAGTTGTTGGAAGGGGGATTTTTTTCTTCCCCAACACCTCCGTTGGTAAGAGATTATAAGACAACCATCTTCATTATGACCTTCAACAAGATTTGAAATGGACTCTTTGTAGTCATTTCATGTACTTGCTCATCTGGCTACTTTTAAAGAAACAAATTCAAATTTCTATTATCTGCTATGATATATCATTAACAGCCCCCAAAATACAAGATACAGAGATAATAGAACGGCTGACATAATCACATTTAAGTGAGTTTGGCTGTACATTCATTGTTTCTTGCAAAGACCAGAGCTACAGAAAAATAGATCAATGTGATTAAGTCTAACATTGGGGAATTGTTTCTCCATTGTGTCTGAGCTGAGGCTGGCAGCAGGAATTAGTGCTGCTACCTTTAAAGGGTAGACCACGATTGATCTGGTTCCCAAGGCAGTCATTGAACAGACGTGGTGAAACTGGTCACAGCAGAGCTACATTACACGCAGGAAGTGCCCTACTGTTAAAAGAGTGTGCCCAGTTCAAAGCAAAGTGAAAAGCTTTTTGTTTGTTTTAGTTTCACATCTAAGTTCATTTTTGGTCACCATTCCTTAAATAGAATTTTTTTTCATCATCAAGCATGGGTCTTAAGCATTTTTGGTGAGCACTACACATAGACCAGGAAGGAAATAGAATCCGACACGCCAAGGACTTATGGCCCAAGATGTGGAGAGGAGAAAGGCTGACCGCTGAGTATATGGCAACTTTTGTACCAAAATTTACCATTAAAAATGCAAATCAAAAGAGAACCTGAGGCAGGCAGTGGCACAGTGGCACTGTGCTCTCCCTCTCTTTTCCTGGACCTCTGCAATACTTCTTTGCCTGCTTCCTCCCTTTATTTGTATAGTGGAAAATCTGTTGTCCATTGCTGGAGTTCAAGCATGCCTGGGCATGTTTGTCAAACTGGCAGGGCAGGCCTTGCAGAGGCCTCGAGGGGCCCTTGACAATGGACTCAGACTGGGTGTGCTACTTAAACATATCCAGACAAGTCAGGCAAATGAGTAGGGAGTGGAGGAACAGGGTATGTGTGAGATGTGGAAAAGTGTCCCAACAAAAAAAAAAATCACTCTTGGGGAAGAGGGAGAACCTCAGCTGCATGACATGAGGACTGATTTATTTTCACCTTTCAAAATCATTCTTTTTTTTTTTTTTTCAGTCCTAGGAAATTGGGTCAGAATCTGCGTATCTAATGGGATCGTTACTGTTACACTTGTAAGATTTGGAATCCGTTCAAAAAACAAGCCAGAAACAAGCCTTTGTATACGTTAGGAAAAGATGCCCTGCATTAGAGCCCGGCCAAGGGAGAGATGGGGGCAGGTAACTGCAGTCCAAAACTGAGCAGCCACTCCTAGAAGCTCTGCTTGAAATTCATGCTGTTAAGACAAGCGACCAAAAGTATTTAACTCCTGCATTGACCTAGGCACCTCTCCTCCCAGCAGTTACCTGGGAAAGATACTCAGAATCAATGAGAAATGGGAAATCAAAGAACCTGCTATGGACTGAATTGTATCCCCTCCAAAATGCATATCTTGAAGCCCGAACCCCAGTGTGATGGTATTTGGAGAGGTGACCTTTGGGAGGTATTAAATAAAATTTACATGAGGCCATTGGTTTGGACTTGTTGCCAGTAAACTGAGTTTTTTCCCCACTTTGTATTGATGGCAAAGGAAGAATGTCCAGTTGGAAAAGGCAATCAGGTTTTATTCACTGGCCAAGAAGGAAGAAGGGGAGGCTCTCGCTCTAAACGCCCCTTCTCCCTGAACAGTAGAAGTTATGGGTACTTTAGGGACTGGGTATAGGGAGGGAGAGGGATGTTAGCATGTGCAGGGTGGGACTCCAGACACACAGGCTTAATTCAAAAACATACATCTTCATACAATGCATGTACAGAAAATGGAAGAGATTTTTCTTTTAGGGGAGGGATTTTAGCATTATAATGATATGTTAATGATCTGAAGGCAACTAGGGATCACTGTTGCAGTTTGCGCTGGTTAGCAGGTCTTATCTCCTTCTGGTATCTTGCCAGGGGTCAAAAAGCTCTGGCGCCATTCTGGCCTGTCTGGTTTCTTTAAGCAGCTGTGCCTATAAATAAAGCGACTAAAGGAAAGCATTTAAAAGAGGAACTTTCCCAGTTATTTCATCAGGGCTGCCCCAGTAACAGACAGCTTCTATGCCAGGCCCCAAAAGGCTAGACCAAAATGGAGTCACTCATGCCACATAATCAAACTAAAACTTTAAGGAAGCAGGGAAAACCCCAAACAGAGTGTTATCCCGAAAACAGAAGGTTCACAGCTACCAATCAGAAAGGCCCCAGTCAACCTGAGCTGGCAAGAAAAGGAAGTTCCCTCTACTTTAACCCTTACAAGGAAAGGTAACCTGATGAAGTAACCTGATGTTAACCATTCCTCTTTCTTAAAAATTCTTGTTTGGCTGGGCGCAGCGACTGATGCCTGTAATCCCAGCACTTTGGGAGGCCAAGGTTGGAGGATCACTTGACTGCAGGAATTTGAGACCAGCCTGAGCAACAGCACGAAACTCTGTCTTTATTATTTTTTGAAAAGTATATTTAAAATTTTTTTAAATCATTGTTTCCTTGTTCCCACCTTACAAAAATAAACTGCTCTGTCATGCCCAGCAGAGTGCCTTTTCTAAATTGTTAAATGAGATGCTCTCTTATTTGTGAATTGCTAATAAAAGCCAATCTGATCTTCAAACTAAATTTGTTGTAACTTTGTCTTTTGGCAGAGGTGATGAGGGTTTAGATGATGTCATGATAGTGGGGCCCTCATAATGGGATAAGTGCCCTTATGAGGGAACAGCAGAGAACTTGCTTCCTCCCCACCCCACCCCAGCCCCCATGTAAGGGTACAGGGAGAAGGTGGCTTTGCACTAGACAGGAAAAGAGCCCTCACCAGGGAACCAAATCAGCTGTCTCCTTGATGGCTTGGCTATCCCAGCCTCCAGAATTGTGAGAAACAAATTCCTATTGTCTAAGTCACCCAGCCTGTGGTATTTTGTTATGGCATCCCTAGCTGACTAAGCCAGAACCATACACCTAAAATCCCAATACAGAGATCTCTGGCTAATAGGCCAAAGTACACAATTTATACTCTAAAGGGGTTCTCTCCCTCCCCTTAAGCCCAAGCCCAGTTTTGGCATCTTCCTACACCAGTTAGCCTCTTGGGATAAGAGAAGAAAGTAAAAAATAGCTATATTGTGACCTGAAATCTGACCTGGCAAAGCCTGATAAAGGAGCTGGGAAGGGTGGGGTGGTGACCTAAGGAAGAGTGATTTAATGATTAAATCACCAACACTTTATTATAACATAGTTGATGGTGAGTTCTCAAAATGCAATTTTAGGGAGCCACTACACTAAGCAGGTGAAGAAAATATCAGAAAACCAAAAGTAATGTGGGATAAGTCAATACAGTATTCCAATACCAGAACCCAAAAGGAACAAAAATGTTAGCAAGAACTTAAATATTGACCTTGCTCTCTGGTCCATAAAATATAGAGGAGTAGCATTTTTTCTGGAACAAATCCATTTCTATAATTACTTAACTGACTAATCCAATACGGCTAAATTTACTAAACTCCAAGTTTACAACCAAGAGTTTTTCTTTCTTCTGAGGTATCTTAGAACATTTTAAAGTACTTTAAACTGTCATTTTATATAGTTATTAGAATGCTAGTGGTATGTAATGTAATAGTTTTAGTTTATGTAGTATATGTAATGCTATAGTTTTAATAAATAATAAAATTAATGCAGTCTCTTAAATAGTGATGTAAAATGATTCATTGTTCTTCAAATTATAATATTCACTATGTATGTTAACTTGGAAAAAAGGAAAATATCCAACTGGGAAATGGTTTTCAAACTTTTTTGTATCCATAAAACCTTTTTCAAAAACTATGCTTGGCTGGGTGTGGTGTCTCGTGTTTGTAATCCCAGCACTTTGGGAGGCCAAGAGGGTGGATCACTTGAGGTCAGGAGTACGAGACCAGCCTGGCCAACATGGTGAAACCCCATCTCTACCAAAAATACAAAAATTAGCCTGGCGTGGTGGCATATGCCTGTAATCCCAGATACTCAGGAGGCTGAGGCAGGAGAATCACTTGAACCCAGGAGGCGGAGGTTGCAGTGAGCTGAGATTGCTCACTGATGAACTGCCACTGCACTCCAGCCTGGGCAACAGAGTGAGATTCCGTCTCAAAAAAAAAAAAAAAAGCTATGCTTTACACAGACATTCCCTAGAAATACAAATAAAAGCAATAAAAGCAGATCTGGTAATAATTCCCTAGAAATAATAATTCCCTAGAAATACAAATAAAAGCATCAGTTTTGCTGGTAAATGTTTAACAAGGAGCTCTCTAAGAGAAATGGATTTGGAAGTTTGCTGCTTTCTATGGTGTAAATGCTCCCACCATGACCATTACACAGTGCAGAGTCAGGAAAGGAAGCATACATTCTAGTATTGTAAGTGGCACACCTCCACGCAGACCAGCACCCTCAGAACTCTTTCCCCCTGCTATCTTAATGCCCCAAGGGGCACAGTTTGAAAACTCATTGTAAGATAACTTTGTGCAGGGTATCTCTTTGATGGTTATCTCTAAAATTGATAAATTGCTGCTTATCGATAGTTGGAAATACTGTTTTCCTAGTCTTATGATTTTAATGAAGATCTTATAAAATACACAGTAGGAATTTAGTACACCAATAGAAGATTTTTCATGCTCATTTAAATAACCTTTTGACCTTCATGCCATGACATTCCCAATATATACTTTAGACATATTTTTTCCTCAAATTTAATGTTGTATGGAATTCTAAAAAGGGCACATAAACTAATTCTTAGAAATTTGCTTTTAAAATTATATAGGGGCACACAGACATCTTAGTCCCTACCCTCTTCCTCTGTCTCCTTTTCCTTCTTTTTCTCTCATCTTTCTCCCTCCCTTTCCTTCACTGTCTCTCTCTGAAAGTTATAATAAATTTGGAGAAGTTCAGCCTTGTTGAACGAGGAAGCAGAGTGAATTTCAAGCCTTTATCATTCCCAGCCTTAGAATTGAAAGATACGGGCCTTTTGACTTGGGGGAGTCTAGAGAGAAGGCCAGAAGCAAGTGACCCTCCTTCTACTGTTTGTGTCTGAGAAAGCCCAGGGAGTCGGAATGGTCTGCTACGGTCACATGACAGACAAATGCCCAGTCTGAGAATGCTGAGGAAAAGCATGACAGTCACATATGGGAATAATCCTCAAAAGGATAAAAGGAGGAACTGATTAGGAAACCCAGTTTTTGCCACTTCTTGGCAATAGCTATGTTTTTTTTCCCTCCTTTTACGTGTTTGCTCTCTTGTTAGCAAATAACCACTCTGTTGGGGTTTTTTTTTCTTCTTTTCAGGACTCTCTGTAGCCAACTTCTTGGGTTTTGGGTTTTGTTTTTGTTTTTGTTTGTAATATTATAGATTATGCTCTCAGGGAATTGGAAATAAACATTTCCTCACACATGCTATGAATCAACGGTGAAATACTTGCAGGTCAGATTGAGCTAACCAAGCTAACCAAAGGTGGGAAGCCCAAACTGCAGTTAAGAGCAGAGCCCTAGGCTATCCTTCCTAGCCTGCAGCCCCAGGCTGCCCTCAGTTTACAGTTTGTTTGTTTGTTTGTTTGTTTGTTTGTTTGTTTGTTTGTTTTTGTGAAAGCAAGGAGCCAAATGATCTATTCTCATTCCAGACAATATTTAGATACCACACCCTGGCCGGGCATGGTGGCTCGTGCCTGTAATCCCAGCACTTTGGGAGGCCGAGGAGGGGGTGGATCACCTGAGGTTAGGAGTTCAAGACCAGCCTGGCCAACATGATGAAACCCCGTCTCTACTAAAAATACAAAAATTAGCCAGATGTCGTGGTGGGCACCTATAATCCCAGCTACTCGGGAGGCTGAGGCAGGAGAATCGCTTGAACCCAGGAGGCGGAGGTTGTAGCGAGCCGAGATCGCACCATTGCACTCCAGCCTAGGCAACAAGAGCAAAACTCTGTCTTAAAAAAAAACAATACCACACCCTGCCTTCACCAAGCAGGGACTTATCTGAGACTGTGCCCTCTGCCTGGGGGGCAGGTAGTGGCTCTAGGAAGAGAAAGCAGACAAGGGAGGAAGCGGAATGTGTCTTCTGAATCAGGCTGGGTATATTGAGGACTTGGGGAGAGGGGCTTCTAAAGGGCTAAAGACTTTCAACAGGAACCATAGGAGAGGTTCTAGAATGTGCTAATTTAGGAAAGGAGGGTTCCAACAAGGAGCAAACATAGGAGAGGACAGAAAGCAATTCCAGTTACTAGAGCCCAAGATATGCCGGTGATGTGCCAGTCAGGTGGCTGGGGAAAGAGCAGTGTCAATACTGGAAAGGAAATCTGGTGCACTAGAGCACTCAGGCAAAAGCCCACTTAACCAGGAACAAAAGAGCCAAAAGAGCCAATTCATCCTAAACCTGGGAATAGAAGAATGCCACAGTAACCAGCAGGGGAGACTAAGGGGACAGGCTGGAAGAGCTAACATTCACACCATGTGCCAGGTATGATTCTAAACACTTTCATGTGTTCGCTTGTTTAACCACCAGCAACAGCTCTGTGCCATGGAGGTTATTAGCATCCCCTTTTACAGAAGAAAAAACTGAGAAACCAAGCATATACAGCTGGTAAGTAACGTAGTCTGGGTGCAAAACCACGAAGCTCATGAGCTTAAGAAGCATCCTATCACATAACCCAAAGAAGCAGCATACAGACCAAAACTGGGAAGAACAAGTTAATGTTTCCTAGTGAGTAACATGAAATTGTATTCTTACAATTTACCTCATCCATCAGTATATTGTGCTCTGAGATTCTTTCATATATAGCAAAGGCATTTGTTCACACGACAGATTCTGAGCACAATGTACAACAACCAACATATACATTGATTTGGCAAATACTTACTGGTCACCTCCCTCTTCCAGGCCTTAGGCTAGATGATAGGAATTCCTGGAATTTACAGTTAAGTGCAAGAACTTCATGGTCACAAATTATTACTGGAGAACGCAAAATAAATAAAAGCCCTCAAGTTTTAGCCAGGTGTGGTGGTGCACACCTGCAGTTCCAGCTACTTGGGAGACAGAGGCACAAGAATCGCTTGAACCCAGGAGGTGAAGGATGCAATAAGCCAAGATTTCGCCACTGCACTGCAGCCTAGGTGGACAGAGTGAGACCCTGCCTCAAAACAAAACAAAACCTCAGGTTTAAAAAAAAATACATTGACTTTAATTTTAAACACTATCTATTACTGATTACTCATCATGTACCAAAAACTTCACAGGTAATTGCAATGTTGCTATAATAACCCTGCACCTATTTTAAGATGAAGAAAAGTAGGCACTGAAAAGTTAAAAAAATTAGCTGTAGTCAGAGTAAATAAGTGGCAGAGATTTAAATCTAGATCCTTCTGATAGGAAAGTTCATGCTCCCTTGTGGCTCTACACTGAAATACAGAAATCCTGTAAAAAGGATGAAAGTCAGTGATAGTGAACTAAAGCTCCATGGACTTTCTAAATCATAATCACAATTTTTCTTGTAGTTAGAATATGTGAATTTTTACAAAAAGTCCATATGTGTATTGGGCAGGGAGTGGATTTGGGAGCAGGGCCATGTTGGATCAAAGGCCTGCTAGTTCTGAAGTAGTCTTTATAGAAAATACGTGGCCCAATGCAGTGGCTCATGCCTGTAATCCCAGCACTTTGGGAAGCCAAGGCAAGTGGATCACGAGGTCAAGAGATCAAGACCATCCTGGCCAACATGGTGAAACCCCATCTTTACTAAAAATACAAAAATTAGCTGAGCGTGGTGGCTCGAGCCTGTAGTCCCAGCTACTTGGGAGGCTGAGGCAGGAGAATCGCTTGAACCCGGGAGGCAGAGGTTGCAGTGAACCGAAATAGCGCCACTGCACTCCAGCCTGGTGACAGAGACTCCGTCTTAAAAAAAAAATACATACATATATATATATATATATACACACACACACACACATATATATATACGTGTATATATATACGTATATATGTATATATACGTATATATACATATATATGTATATATGTGTATATATATGTATATATGTATATATGTGTATATATGTATATATGTATATATATATGTATATATATGTATATATATGTGTGTATATATATTTAGTTTAATGATAAAAAAATATTTGGCCTACAAGCATTGGCTGAACTTTGGGGACGACATTCCCAGCGCTCTTCGAATCGCGAAGCAGCGCTGAAACAGCATCGAGGAAGGGCGCATCCACCAGGAGAGCGAGCTGCACTCCTACCTCTCGAGGCTCATTGCGGCAGAGCGTGAGAGGGAGCTCGAAGAGTGCCAACGGAACCATAAGGGTGATGAAGACGACAGCCAGGTCCGGGCCCAGCAGGCCTGCAATGAGGCCAAGCACGTGAGGGTGCCCCCCGCCCACATGACAAATACATGGCGGACATGGATGAGCTCTTCTCTCAGGTGGACGAGAAGAGGAAGAAGTACGACATCCCCAAATACCTGTGCTGTAAGATCAGTTTTGAGCTGATGCGGGAGCTATGCATCACGCCCACTGGCATCTCCTATGACCGCAAGGACATCGAGGAGCACCTGCAGCGCGTGGATCATTTTGACCCTGTGACCTGGAGCCCCCTAACCCAGAAACAGTTCATCCCCAACCTGGCCATGAAGGAGGTCATTGACGCATTCATCTCTGAGAACGGCTGGGTTGAGGACTACTGAGGCACCCAGCCCTGTCGGGCGTCCTGGTCCAGGAGGGCCCTGGGCAGAAGCCCCCAGCCCCTGTACACAGTTTGTGTCCCTGGCCACCCCGCCCGCTTCCCCCCAAGTTCTGCTGTTGGGCTCAGGACTGTTCCCCTCTCTGCATAGCTCTTGCTAGGCCGTGATCCTCCCCGTCCCCTGTTCTGGGCTGGAAAAGCAGGTGAGGGTGGGCTGGGCTGGGGCCACTGCCACCACTGTCTAATAAAATCCGTGAGCATTCAAACATATATATAAATATATATATTATATATATTATATATAATATATAATATATATAAAATATATATTATATATATAAAGGATATATATAATATATATATAAAGGATATATATATAATATATATATAAAGGATATATATAATATATATAAAGGATATATATATATAATATATATAAAGGATATATATATAATATATATATAAAGGATATATATAATATATATAAAGGATATATATATATAAAGGATATATATATATATATATATATATATATATCTCCTTTAAATTGCTCCTTTTTTGAGGGTGTTTAAAGGTAAAGGCATTCTCAGGGAAGACTTAAGGTATGATGGAGACCTTTACCTAATTCCTCACCTAGTGTTGGGGGTGGGATGAAGTCCACTTAGTAAAGCCCTTAACTTTATTTGCATTTCTGTTAGAAAGCTCCCTCCCAGGTGGCAAACTGATCTCAATATTCTCTTCCCTTACAGGCTGGTGAAAAAGCCTGGGGCAGTTTGAGTCATGGATCCCCCATTTTGATTCCTGTTTTGGTGGAAACACAAAGTAACCTAAGGCAGGTAAAGGTAGCACTTTCTCCAGAACTATCCTCAAAATTGATGTTTTGTCTCATTACACACACACACACACACACACACACACACAACCACGATCCAGTAGATATGTGTAAACATGACCCAAGAAGAATGAAAAGAATAATTACAGAACAATGTTAACTTTAAAAAAATCACAAGATATATAAATTTAGAAAGGAGGCTTTATTTTTTGTAAAGAGTGACAGCCTGCAAAGTGGCCATCCTGCAGGCTGGGAAGCACAGCCTCCAGCAAAGACCAGAGACAAACATTCAGAGGGAGTGAGAGGTAAGACAGGAATTTAAGTTTATTGAGTGGCCGAACACACATATTCAATCGGTTGTAGGATGAGCTATGAATATTCATGAAGATAGTCCTGATGCATGCCTACTGAACAAATATGCATGTTACAGATGACCCATGTTTACCTTGGGGTGGAGACTTAACATTTAAATGTATTACAATTAGGACCTATGCATCAAAAGGTCTTGTCAGGACATAAAGACACTCAAGTTGTGCAGCCTCTGTAAACTCACCCGAACCAGTCCTCGATTGGTAGCCTTCCTAACAAGAGAAATTTACTGAGACCAGGCACCTGTAATCTCTCCCAACACTTTGGGAGGCTGAGGCAGGAAAATTGCTTGAACCCAGGAGTTCACAACCAGCCTGGACAACACAGTGAGACTGCTACAAAAAATATAAAAGTTAGCCAGGCATGGTGGGGTGCATCTGTAGCCCCAGCTACTCAGGAAGCTGAAGTGGAAGGATTGATTGAGCCAGAGATGTCCAGGGTGCAGTGAGCCATGATCATGCCACTGCACTCCAGCCTGAGTGACAGAGCAAGACAGCAGAAGCTCTTTAGTTTAATTAGATCCCATTTGTCAATTTTGGCTTTGGTTGCCATTGCTTTTGGTGTTTTAGACATGAAGTCCTTGCCCATGCCTATGTCCTGAATGGTAATGCCTAGGTTTTCTTCTAGGGTTTTTATGGTTTTAGGTCTAACGTTTAAGTCTTTAATCCATCTTGAATTGATTTTTGTATAAGGTGTAAGGAAGGGATCCAGTTTCAGCTTTCTATATACGGCTAGCCAGTTTTCCCAGCACCATTTATTAAATAGGGAATCCTTTCCCCATTGCTTGTTTGTCAAAACATTTTCAAATGATTATACATTGTTCTAAGGGTGAATGCAAAAACCTTGGGAAAATTTTCTTCTTTGAATAAAGTTCACTGTACTTATTCCCACTCTCCAGATACACTGTACCTGTGGCATTTCTCTGTGTACCAGTTTTATTACTGTTGTACTTAATATGTGAGAAATGATTTGTTGTCTAGGAGACACCAATAAAAGCAGAACTTAAGGCATGTATATTTCGAAAGCGAAAAAAGTCAACAGGTTATATATATAGTGTCATAAATATTTATAACATTCATCAATTTCAAAGGCTTCTAGTTATTTGACTTATGCTGTTTGGTTAACGCCTACATTACTATAAATGATCTCAGGATCATGAAAGGCCTTTAAAAAGAGTGTTAGTATATTAATATGACCTGAGGCTTGAAAAAGCATTTCCATTTATGACTCAAAATAGAACATAAAAGAATGCTAAAACACCAATGCTATATTGTACAATTCGGGAGAATAAAGTCAGTGAGATCCTAAGTTCCACAAAGGCAGGGACCCAAATGTGTTTTACTCAATGTTGTATGTGCAGCACTTAGCACTACTGACTGACACAAGGTGAGTAATCGGTTAGTAAATGTTTAGTTAGAATACATGGAAGGGGATATGTTATGGAAAATCAATGGGTGAGCATTTCACAAATTCTAGTATGAATCCCTTTTTACAGTTTTGGCCAAATTTATTACTCTTGCTGTAAATAAGGTCTTTGCATAGAAAATCAAATATTTTAAAATCATGATGATTATTAAGACTGTGTAGTCCTGTGTATATTGTCAGGACTCTTGGTTGCAAATGACAGAAACCCCACTCCGCTTATTTTAGGCAAATAAGGAAAATGTTTTTTGCTCACAAAACTAGATACATATAAAATTCCAGTTTCTGGCCATGTGCAGTGACTCAGGCCCATAATCCTAGCACTTTGGGAGGCTAAGGCGGGCAGATTGCTTGAGTCCAGGAGTTCAAGACTAGGCTGGGCAACATGGCGAAACCCCATCTCTACAAAAAATACAAAAATTAGCTAGGTGTGGTGGCACACACCTATAGTCCCAGCTACTCTGGAGGCTGAGGTGGGAAGATCACTTGAGCCAGGAAGGCAGAGATGGCAGTGAGCCCAGATTGCGCTACTGCACTCCAGCCTGGGTAATGGAGTGAGACCCTGTTTCAAAAAAATAATAATAAAATAAAATTCCAGTTTCCAAGCTGGCTTCAGCATAGCTCTTTCCAGATGCTCAAATGATGTCCTCAGGAATACTTTCTCTCTCTCTCTCTATCTCACTCGCTCTCTCTCTCTAGCTTCCCTTCCTGCATGCTTTCCTTATTAGCTTTATTCTCAGGCAGGTTTTCTGCGTATGATGGGAAATGTGGCCCCTGCAGTTCACAGAGCTCTTATAGGGTCCCTCTTTGAACATCTGTATCAGCTGCCGAAAACATGGTTGGCCCTGTCCATGGTCACAAGCTCATTCTTAGATCAATCTCTGTTTCCAAAAGAGTAGGGTACCATGACTGGCCAACCATAATCACTCAGAGCAAGGGAGAGACAGTTCTCAAAATATAGGCTATGGAACAAACAACTTACATATCTATGAAGCTGTGCAAAGGACTTAAAATATAACACTAAGTTGTTTTAAAGGATGGAGAATCATGTATTTATTAGGATGATATTGTTATTGATTCATAGGTTAGCCAAGTTCAAAATTAAAGTCTTAACTTGTCAAAAGATATTATTCTACTTCCAAAATTATATGTTTTGTAATAAATCTAATTTTCCTGAATTTAAATAAGGAAATCAGAAAATTTCCAAGTCAGAAAAGAGAAGAAATCGTCAATTGCTTGAAAATCAGATCTTTAGAGGCTGGGTGTGGTGGCTCACGCCTGTAATACCAGCACTTTGGGAGGCTGAGGCAGTCGGATCACAAGGTCAGGAGATCGAGACCATCCTGGCTAACACAGCGAAACCCCATCTCTACTAAAAAACACAAAAAATTAGCCGGGTGTGGTGGCAGGCACCTGTAGTCCCAGCTACTTGGGAGGCTGAGGCAGGAGAATGGCATGAACCCGAGAGTTGGAGCTTGCAGTGAGCTGAGATGACAACACTGCACTCCAGCCTGGATGACAAGCACAAGAGACTCTGTCTCAAAAAAAAAAAGAAAAAAAGAAAATCAGATCTTTAGAAAGATAGATTAAAACCAGGAGAGTGTGAAGAGAAAAAAATTTAAGGGTAATCAATGCTAAAGATCTATGATTTTTATACAAATTCTGGGCAAAGGTCAACAGCACAATTAGTTAAACAGATGATTTGTGAGCATTTCCAAAAAAAATTTGATCATTCGCTCAGAATTATTATTGAGGCAAGAATTGCTGTGAAGTCTGATCCATATACCCACCTTGTTAACTCAGAGAAGGAACTCAATAAATACTTGTTTGATTGATCCATACCTTATAGTAGATCATATACAAAATTGCTCTTTTATCCCACAGATCATTTACATTTCTCCTTTAAAAGTTTATCCTCAAACGTCCCAGTATCCTGGCTCACTAAAAAGAAAAAGTTAAGGCATCAAATAGAATAAAATGTAACTTGATTTGTTCTGTTTTGCTTCCTGATTATTTTATAATTAAATTTTATAGAAACTCAAAATGTCAGTGGAGTAATGCATATCTTACATTGGCATGTATTATTTATGCCAAAGCTAATGATTGTTTTAGGACCTGCCCTAGGTAAGATCCTAGGAACACTTGTCTTTGGTACCCCCTTTTTTCCCTTTAGCACCCGTTTCCACCAGAGCTCCCTTTCCCCAAGCTTCTTCTTGATGTTCAGGAATTGCCCTACCCAGGTTTGTCATTCCAACTTTATCCCTGATACTGTCACCTAGAGGCTTCCACCCTCACCAAAACCATCTCGCATTCTGTTTCCTTAGGTGTAGGTGAGTTGAGGGTCTCTGCTTCTTTCTCCTAATTTCATTTCTTGCCTGTGCCCAACCTAACCCCCAAAGAAAAGTGTTGATGATTGGTCTAAGCCAGAGACATTGAATTAGGCCCAGTTTGCTGTCAAGCAGATTCACTGTGTGGTTAAGATGATGCTCCTCTCTCTCTTTCCCATGACACTAGATCAATCAGGAGCCTAATTCAGGTTCCCAGGCATCTCTCTCTCATTATCTTCTTTCATGTGGCCAATCAGATAAGATCTCAAAGCCAGAATTGTCCACAACCTCAAAAGAATCTAAACTTCCTTAGCTTTAATTGGGCCCTTAACCAGAGGTGTCAGGAGAAGGACCTAAGGCTAAACAACTGCCAAAGTGGGGAAAACAAAAGAACTATCTTTATTTTAGGAATGACCTCTTTAGGGCAGCAGTAAAGTAACTTATAAAAAACCCAGTAAAGACTAAAAACAGCCAAATCAACCAGAAAAGTAAAATTTTCTATTTTACCTAGTAATAACAAAGCAAATATTCACAAAAATCTTTCTCTGTAAGGAAGGCAGAAAAGGTGCATGGTTAGTGCTGGCAATTTGTGCTGAGAATGGAGAGGAAGCCACCATACATATATAGATACATAAAAATAATCTACTGAAATTCCTTCATTTAACCTGCAAGATGATGGACTAGTGAACTGAAGGGAAATAAGCAGAGATGGACATTCTGTTACTGGAAAAACTCCATGAAGGTACATGGGAGGGGTAGGGACAGCTGATCTCTGTCACATGGAGCTTAGCTGAGAAACACTATGTGCAAGAATATGCTGCTTTCATGGATATGTTATTATTTTGTAACAGCTGTGGAGATTTTTTGACAGATAAAGTAAATGGGATAAGGAAAAAACATGCAGAGTTTTAACTTGGACTTTGCCTGTGTTTAGCAGCTAGCATTGGTCAAATTACTCAATCCACAACAAGGACAGCAATTATGACTGAGTTGGGAGGAAATGATAATAACTGGTTGTAAAGTACCCTGTTGCCAGATACCAATGTGATCAAGATTTAGTAGTTTTAATTTTTGTTTTTGTGATTATATGTAAATGAAATGTTTCTTAATCTGAAAAAGTTAACAATGTTTCCTCAGCAACGTGATGTTAGCCAGGGGTCCCTGAGTCTTTCTGAGGCTGTCCATGGGAAGACTGCACACAAACCCATTTAAAGGAAGGACATCTTCTTATTCCTACATCCTCATCTGTAATGGCGCCATTATCCACTCACTTGCAGAAACTTCAACTCTTACCTCTCTTTATGCAATCAGTGGTTGACTCCTGTAAACTCTTTCTCTGAAAGCTTCTGTTTCTTATTTTTCCCTACATCTAACGACTCTGCCCCCACCAGTCCTCCTGCCAAATCTATCCCTATCCCACTCCCCACCCCCAATAATGGGGCATGTATAACCAAAATGAAATTATTAATGTATATTTATAAACTTCTTGATGAAAACAGATTTATTTATTTATTTATTTATTTATTTTTTTGAGACAGGGTCTCTCTCTCTTGTCCAGGTGGGAATGCAGTGGCACGATGTCAGCAAAGTGTGGCCTTGACCTCCTGGACTCAAGTGATCCTCCCATCTCAGCCTGTGGAGTATCTGGGACTACAGGCACTTGCCACCATGTGGAGCTAATTTCTTGTATTTTTTGTAGAGATGGGGTATTGCCTTATTGCCCAGGATGGTCTTGAATTCCTGGACTCAAGTCATCTGCCTTCCTCAACTTCCCAAAGTACTAGGATTACAGTCATGTGCCACTGCACCCAGCTAAAACCAGAAACTTTAGACCTGATTTATCAGTTGTCATCTACAGAAACAATGTAGGAGTTTATAAGAATTTTATATTATAAAAAATTCAAGTATGTACAAAAGAAAGAGACTAATGAACCTCTATTACCTATCACCTATATTCCTTCTCCTGTCCACTCCCTTCCCAGCTTTTTTTCTCGGAGTATACTGAGGCAAATTCTTCCATCCAGTACATACCTCATGTACTGACTTTTTGAAATTTTAGTTGCATTCAGGAAAAGAGAGGAGAAATTTGTAGCTGATAGTCTGGGAACACAATCTACCCCCTTAACAATAAGAGTTTTTCATGGAATCTTTAGGAATTTTTTTTAAGTGTTCTATTTTCCTTCCCTTCATAAATTGCTCTTTTAAGTTTCACAATTGTACTGAAATCAATGATTTAAATTCAAGTAAAACTTTTTTTTTTTTTTTTGAGACAGAGTCTCACTCTGTCGCCCAGGCTGGAGTGCAGTGGCGCCATCTCGGCTCACTGCAAGCTCCACCTCCCGGGTTCACGCCATTCTCCTGCCTCAGCCTCCTGAGTAGCTGAGACTACAGTTGCCCGCCATCACGCCCGGCCAATTTTTTGTGTTTTTAGTAGAAATGGAATTTCACCGTGTTAGCCAGGATGGTCTCGATCTCCTGACCTCATGATCCGCCTGCCTCAGGTTCCCAAAGCGCTGGGATTACAGGCATGAGTCACTGCACCTGGCCAAGTAAAGCTTTTTATGCTGAATTGGGAGTTCTCAAATAAGCTGTCCTCAAATAAAATTTTAAAAAAGTTTTTTGAGACAGGGTCTCGCTTTGTCATTCAGACTAGAGTGCAGTTAAACAATCTCGGCTCACTGCAGCCTCAACCTCCCTGCCTCAAGCATCCTGAGTGACTGGGACTACAAGCATGCAGGAACAAAACCAGCTAATTTTTGTATTTTTTGTGGAGACAGGGCTTCGCCATGTTGCCCAGGCTTGTCTCAAACTCCTAAACTCACGCATTCTGCCCACCTCGACCTCCCAAAGTGCTGGGATTACAGGTGTGAGCCATCATGCCCAGCCAAAATTAAATTCTCTAATTTTACTCCCAAACTGTATTAGTCTGTTTTCACGCTGCTAATAAGGACATACCCGAGATTGGGCAATTTACAAAAGAAAGAGGTTTAATGGACTTACAGTTCCACGTGGCTGGGGAGGCCTCACAATCATGACGAGAGGTGAAAGGCATGTCTCACATGGCAGCAGATAAGAGAGCTTGTGCAGGGAAGCTTCCCTTTTTAAAACCATCAGATCTCGTGAGACTTATTCACTATCATGAGAACAGCAGGGGAAAAACCTGCCCCCATGATTCAATTACCTCGCACAGGGTCTCTCCCACAAGTGGGAATTCAAGATGAGATTTGGGTGGGGACACAGCCAAACCAAATCACAGACCAACAAAACTTCACAGATTATATACTGGAACATTGTTGCTGTTTTAAGAAAATGATCAGATTGTGGCTGGGAGCCGTGGCTCATGCCTGTAATCCCAGCACTTTGGGAAGCCTAGGCAGGTGGATCACCTGAGGTCAGGTGTTTGAAATCAGCCTGACCAACATGGTGAAACCCCATCTCTACTAAAAATACAAAAAATTAGTGGGGCCTGGTGGCATGTGCCTGTAATCTCAGCTACTTGGGAGGCTGAGGCAGGAGAATCACTTGAAACCAGGAGGCTGAGGTTGCAATGAGCTGAGATTGTGCCACGGCACTGCAGCCTGGGTGACAGAGTAAGACTCTGTCTGAAAAAAAAAAAAAAGAAAGAAAAAGAAAGTGATCAGATTATGAATCTTCTTTATATCATATAGATTAACCTAGGTTCTATAAATGAGATTTAGAGGATCTGCAGCCCTGTGGGATGCCGTTACGAAGAATCCAGAAATAGTGAGTCCATCACAAGTACCATACGCAATTTCATTTCCACATCTTCACTTGGACTTGAAACTCACCAGGAGCACCTTTCTGTTTCCCCTCTACCAATTCAGGTATTATTCATCCTTTAAAACTCCCTTTGAAAGTTTCATCTCCATCATGAAGTCTTCCTAGATACTTGAGACCTTCATTTATTTCCCCATTTCTCTGCAGCACAGCACTTTAATGTAAACCATGCAAGTCATTACTTATATGTGGTCTCCCTCTAATAACTATATTATGAGGACAGGGGACAGAGAAAATGTCATAACCCCTTTTAGTGTTTTCAAGGCTTTGCATATTGCTGCACCTATACTTGATTAATTATGATATACGGGAGAGTCTTAGGAGTCAAAGGGAAAAGAAATGAAATTTATATCCAAGCACTATAGTGCCTCCAAAATAATATTGAAACAATTATTATTATACATGCCACTTGAAGATACTGATTTAAAAATAGGTCTTTATCAGTTATTCCTAAGGCTACTTGAGTTTGTACCTTACAGTCTCAGAATTTTATCTTTCTCAATTCATATAGTGAGCCTTTTTGCCCAGTTTACTAGAAAACAAATTCTGAGGGAGATTGGGTGCTACTGCTTTATTTGTTTAGGGGTAAGCCTGGGAATGTGAGAGTGAGAAAAAGGGAGATGTGGCAGGAAAGGATGGGAAGCAATGCATGGGTAGGCTACATGAAAAAACTGTTAAGGAGAAGGCAGTCAGGCAACGAGGAGGAAGTGGGGTAATTGATCTGTCACACTCCCAGCATCTCCTATTTCTACAGGCCAAAGTTCATCCCGAGTGTGGTTAACACCCAGCTTTCTGCATTGCATCATCCGGATCCCTCAGCAGTCATTTGGGAAGCCAGATACCATGCTCTCTAGTGTGGTGTTTCATCCAAGTCTCAAGTGATGAAAGGAGACAGAAACTCGAAATGCCTGACTGGCATGGCAGCAGCCAAGAAGGGCCAACATCCTGGATAAGCAACTGGTCAGCCCCTCACAGCAAAACCATGCAGGTCCCAAAGTGGTCAGATAGCTGAGCGCATGGCTGAGACAGCAGCTAGTCCTGTGAGGGCAGAGGGAATCTCAGGAAATGTAGACGATGTCTCTGATAAATATATGCCTGTCATAAAGTTTGGAGAACAGAAAGGCCATCTCTCATTTTCTCTGAGGAGAGTGCTTTCCTTGAATTCTCAAAAGCAGTGTGATACGTTAATTATAGTAATCAAATGGAACACCCCAACTTTCATTCTGTGTGCGTATAACAAGAATCTTTGCTCCCTAAAATGGAATTAGATTATAGTATGTCTGAGATAGAGAGACATTCAGTCTGTCCATCTATCTCATATAAGGGTAACAGTTGGAAATAGATTTTCTAAATTCTATGTAAGACACGATATATAAATAACCTATGGTTTAAATAAAAATTTATTCTATGGCAATCATATAAATTTACCAGAAGATTCAAATATGCAGCTTCCACAAGGAAGTAGGCTAGTGGCAAATTGATCCTTACATGAACCCTAAAAAAGAACAACACATTTCAGTTTCTCTATGCAGTGACAACTTTCTATTCTAGGCCTAGCCCCTTGTGGGGCCCACTCCAGTTCCATCCAGGGAAACAGGTAATATTTACAGGACCTGGGGCATAAGTACAAAAGGAAGCCACTGCCTACAGGCTGGCTCCACCTTCTCTTTTGACCTCCTGCTCACCCACACACCAGAAGGGGCCTCTCAAATATTTGTGAGGACACTCCTGCACATCCATCTAAGGGGTGTGCACATAATGGGAGGGGTGCACCTTAGGGAGGACAGATATTGGAAAGGGATACTGAAGGTTCTGATGCATGTTCCACACTGGGCAAAGAATTCGGGAGTCCCAAAAAGCCACAACAATGTCTACAAGGGGATTATCCTAATAAAAATCACAGAATTGCATATCTTGCTGTAGGCAGTTGAGGGCAATGGACTGACTATACTCTGTTTAGGCCTAGAGGCCTTTCCATGAGTTTCTAGGGACATTGTCAATATTGCTTGTTGATTACTGATGACATACTGATGTTTGGAAGTGAGTGGCTGCATATATCTCTTATGAGAGATCAAAGGTTTTGTTTGTTGTAGAGCAATTTTTGTTATTCTATCAGGTAATCTTGCCAAGGAATTGATTATTGACATTCAATAGCTTATACTGCAGTGCTTATTTTGAGCAGAGAAAAGATAAAATCGAATGGTGTAAAGATGTTAGAAATTGGCCAAGCACTGTGACTCATGCCTATAATTCCAGCACTTTGGGAGGCTGAGGCGGGTAGATCATGAGGTCAGGAGTTCGAGACCAGCCTGGCCAAGATGGTGAAACCCTGTCACTAACAAAAATACAAAAATTAGCCAGGCGTGGTGGTGGGCGCCTGTGATCCCAGCTACTTGGGAGGCTGAGGCAGAGAACTGCTTGAACTTGGGAGGTGGAGGTGGCAGTGAGCCGAGATTGCACCACTGTACTCCAGCCTGGGTGACAGAGTGGGACTCTGTCTCAAAAAAAAAAAAAAGATGTTACGAATTGTACAGTGAGAGATAACTAGGTAATCATTATGGCTTCACCTTAAATTGTGTATTGCAAGATACCTGCTTAGCTTTTCTTGTGGAGGGACAGGTAGGATCTGAGGATTTAGCCAATCTCCCAATCTAATTTCTGAGGAGAGCCCTTGGAAATAACGTAATGTATTCTTCTGACATCATGACATGATATCATATATTATTTTGATTACAACTGATGCTGTTTTGCTCTTCAGTCTGATAGATTTATTGTATCTTGTGAGAAAGTAGCTAGTGGCTTATTTTATACTCCTTAACTCACACATCTAATTAGATGAACAAAACACAATTAATATCTAAATTTCACACCTTTTTTTTTTTTTTTTTTTGAGACGGAGTTTCACTCTTCTTGCCCAGGCTGGAGTGCAATGGTGTGATCTTGGCTCACCGCAACCTCTGCCTCCTGGGTTCACGTGATTCTCCTGCCTCAGCCTCCTGAGTAACTGGGATTATAGGCATGCGCCACCATGCCCGGCTAATTTTGTATTTTTAGTAGAGACGGGATTTCTCCCTGTTGGTCAGGCTGGTCTCGAACTCCTGACCTCAGGGGATCTGCCTGCCTCGGCCTCCCAAAGTGCTGGGATCACAGGCGTGAACCACCGTGCCCAGCCTATTTCACACCAATTTGGAAAGAAAAAAAATCTTTGCTGAAAGCCAGTTCTGAGTCTTTTTTTTTTTTTTGAGACGGAGTCTTGCTCTGTCGCCCAGGCTGGAGTGCAGTGGCATGATCTCGGCTCACTGCAAGCTCTGCCTCCCGGGTTCATGCCATTCTCCTGCCTCAGCCTCCCGAGTAGTTGGGACTACAGGCGCCCGCCACCATGCCCGGCTAATTTTTTGTATTTTTAGTAGAGGCAGGGTTTCACCATGTTAGCCAGGATGGTCTCAATCTCCCGACCTCGTGATCCACCTGTCTCGGCCTCCCAAAGTGCTGGGATTACAGGTGTGAGCCACCGCACCCAGCCAATTTTTTTTTTTTTTTTTTGTGAGACATAGTCTTGCCCTGTTGCCCAGGCTGGAGTGCAGTGGCATGATCTCTGCTCACTGCAACCTCTGCTTCCTGGGTTCAAGTAATTCTCATGCCTCAGCCTCCTGAGTAACTGGGATTACAGGCACTCACCACCACGCCCAGCTAATTTTTTGTATTTTTAGTAGAGACAGGATTTCGCCATGTTGCCCAGGCTGGTCTCAAACTCCTGAGCTTAGGCAATCCACCCACCTCAGCCTCCCAAACTGGTGTGATTACAGGCATGAGCCATGGCGCCTGACTTTCAGTTCTGAGTCTTAAAAGAATTGTCCATTAATTGAAAGAACCAAACAGGAAAAGGGCACAATAATAAATCTATAAGACTTATTCAAGGTCACCAGAAGAGAAAGCAGCTCTTCTACAGGTGCCCAGCATTGCCATCTTAAGCAGTGGCAACTCCATTTGGAGAATTTTACTAAAAATTAAATAGAAAATAAAAGGAGGCCAGGTGTGGTGGCAGGCACCTATAGTCCCAGCTGAGGATGAGGTAGGAGGATCCCTGAGCCCAGGAGTTCAAGGCTGCAGTGAGCTATGATCACATCACTGTACTCCAGCCTGGGCAACATAGTAAGACCCCATCTCTCTATAAAAAAAGAAGAAGAGAAAGAAGAAGACGGACAAGGCCAGAAGGGGAAGAGATTGGTCAACAAGTACAAAGCTTCAGTTAGATATGAGGAATAAGTTCTGGTATTCTATTGCATAGTAGGGAGACTAGCATTAACAATAATGTATGTTTGAGGATAGCTAGAAGACAGGTTTTTGAATGTTCTCATCACAAAAAAATGGTAAATGTTTAAGGTGAAAAATATCTTAAGTACCCTGATTTGATCATTATACAAGATATACATGGATCAAAACATCACATTGTACCTCATAAATATGAATAATTAATATGTATCAGTAATAAATAAATAAAAACACCACAGGTTAGTTGCTTACAGAGTGAGATGTTTATCTCCCACAATCTCTGTCTCTGGCCAGACCCAGCATTCTCTTCCAGTCTTTTATTAGCCATATGATCTTAGGCAAATTACTTAACTTCTCTTACCCAGAGTGTCCTGGTCTCTTAGTGGAGTTAATAAGCCTACCTGTGGTCTATAAAGTAATTAATTGAAACAATGTATGTAAACACTTTTGGCAGCTAGTGGGCTCTTAATCTAATCTAAGTTTCCACACCACCTCTTACCTTCTTTTTTTTTTTTTTTTTTTTGAGACAGAGTCTCGCTCTGTAGCCCAGGCTGGAGTGCAGTGGCATCATCTTGGCTCACTGCAAGCTCCGCTTCCCGGGTTCACGCCATTCTCCTGCCTCAGTCTCCCAAGTAGTTGGGACTACAGGCGCCTGCCACCATGCCTGGCCAATTTTTTTCTATTTTTTAGTAGAGACGGGGTTTCACCATGTTAGCCAGGATGGTCTCGATTTCCTGACCTCGTGATCCACCCGCTTCGACCTCCCAAAGTGCTGGGATTACAGGCGTGAGCCACCGCGCCCGGCCTAATTTTTGTATTTTCAGTAGAGACAGGGTTTCACCATGTTGGCCAGGCTAGTCTTGAACTCCTGACCTCGTGATCCACCTGCCTCGGCCTCCCAAAGTGCTGGGATTACTTTATTTATTTATTTATTTATTTATTTATTTATTTTGTGACAGAGTTTCACTCTTGTCACCCAGTCTGGAGTGCAATGGCACGATCTTGGCTCACTGCAACCTCTGCCTCCCAGGTTCAAGCATTTCTCCTGCCTCAGCCTTCTGAGTAGCTGGGATTACAGGAGCCTGCCACCACGCCCAGCTAATTTTTTGTATTTTTAGTAGATTCGCGGTTTCGCCATGTTGGCCAGGCTGGTCTCAAACTCCTGACCTCAGGTGATCCACCTACCTCGGCCTCCCAAAGTGCTGGGATTACAGGCATGAGCCACTGCGTGCGGTCTCACTTCCTACCTTTTACATATAGATGAAAATGGGAAGACACACTGTTCCTACCTTGTTCATCTTTGTTGCTTAGAAATTCAAACTCACAGTACAGGAAATAGCACAGAATCTAATACTGAAATTGATAGAGAGCCAGGAATGGGAAGAAGGCTGCGCTGTTCTTACCTGAGAAATAGAAATAGGTTTTTAAAGGAATGAGAAGAAATTTTTTAAATTTTAGATATCTACTTTTATATATACTTTTAAAATCTTTTACTATTTAGGAATTTGGCTCTTTGAACAATTTTTAGAAACAATCTTTGCTCCACACATTAAGGGATACTTTAATGACACCTGGGACTTGGCTCACACTATCATGTAAAAAAATGTATTGGCTAGAATGTGATGTTCTTGGCAAGTAAAAGTAGCCTAGTTTCTGTCCAGTTCTTAAAGGTGTGTCATCACTAAAACATAAACAAAACCGAAATGTTTGACAGAGAACTTTAGGCTTGAGGACTTCAGAACACCTATTCCTTATATCTGAGATGGTGCTTTGTTCATGAGAGCACTGTAAATATTTAATGAATATATTATAGATAATGTTCAAAATGTATCATAAAACTTAAGATCTTTTATGAGATTTTCTACAAGAGAAAGTCTCTTGTAGAAAAACCTTAACATCAATGACATATTTAATGTCTATGTATATTTTATGCTCTACTAATTATCAATATAGGAGAATGACCTAGAACTTGGTTTTATTTCATGCAATAAAAACATAAACATGGCCACTTTCTTATTTTATATCTGTGAATATTATGATTCGGTTAATGCAAGTTAAAACAAAAATCTATTCTGTAAAAACAGTCAAGAAATAATTATGGTGTAAGTAAATAAGCCTTCATTGACAAAGATGAGGCCTCATTTGAGTTTCATTTTCTCTTCAGAGGTCAAAAGTAGTCATCCAGAAAGTGCTTCATATTCATCGTCCCAGATTCTTTTTGCCACCTCCGTAGTTTATCAATAATTAGAAGAATAAAATAAAATATGGTATAAGTTAATGAGGGAGTTCTGGACTATGTAATTCCTAAGGTTTCCTCGAGGTCTAATATTTTAAATTCTATTATAATAAAATTTCATAAATAATACATAGAGAGGAGAAAAATATAATCACAGCAACAATGAACTAATTGAAACGCCTGAGGGGTAGAATCCTTTCTGATAATCCAATCAGGCATGGAACTTCATTATTGTAAAGGGAATTATAGTAAATCAAAAGAACTGGAGATCCCTAGAGAATAAGCAACACACTCAAGGTTACATCTCAATCTAGTACTAATTTGTTAAAATGATCACATATCAAGAGAGAAAAACCTTTAATAACTTTACTAGATTTTAATTATCCCTTCTGTTAATGTGAATTGTTTGCTAAGTAGTATTTTTTAATTAGAAGCATAATGACAGTGAATTAAGAAACATAATGACAGAAAGTGGAGTCCAGCTCCATCTCCAGTGAGCTGTGTGGCCTTGCATCACTTACTTCCCTTGTCTGTTCTTCATTTATCTGTAAAATTATGGAATTGAACTAAATGAAGCTATAAAGCCCCTATGAGCTTTAAAACACTCTCATCACCACTAATGAGGTTTTGATCCTTTTGAAAGTTCTAAATATTTTCAAAAGTTTTGGTTTATCAAATGCCTCTCTAGCAGATCTAGGACTATAATTAGAAATTCAGTGCTTATATTTGATTAGTGAAAATAAAGAAAAAGATACACATAGAAACAGGCACATAGTATGAGAAAGTGATAGTCTATTTCTCAACTCCATCCACATTGCAATATTGCTCCGCCAAATTGTTTATTTTAAGCTCTTGCCAACTGAATATCATAAAATCCAGCTAACCTTCTAAGAGAAAATATCAGGGAGTGTAAAAATATAATGATTGTTTTTTATCTTTCATTTCTTTGTTGTTGATGAACAAGATTGATCTTTAACAGCCCTACAACCAAGGTTGACTGAATCAAAGATAGATACTTGAAGTAAAACAAAGTCCGTTACTGGCTTTCCCACATGAAATCATATTCTCTCCATCTTCCTCCACTCTCCCAGTCTCCTTCTCCCGCTGTCCCTCTTTCTCAAGATTTTAAACAGATACCTAAAGCCTGAAGGTAGTTATGCTAAAGGGTCACAAAGACTTGCAGTCTGTTTGCCATTTTAAAAACAGTGCCTCAATCTGCCAACTAAATGAAAGAGGAAAATGGAGTAAATGTGCTAAGAGAAAGGAAAAGGAGACACCAGTTGGCCCCAGAAAGACAAAAAAAGGGAGAATACAGATTTCTTGGTCCCTGACAACTTCAGTGTACAGGCTTATTTCTCATGAAGGCTGACAGTATTTGATTTTAATTACCAAAATTATTGTATATCCCCATCTCCTTTATTTGAACTAATGTGGGTAGATTTCTATTCCTTACTCACAAAAAGAGCTGAGGCTGGTCCGAAGGAAGTGAGTTACCTCAGTTGATGGGTCACAGTCAGTTACAGATCAACCTCCTTGTTCTACTCTTTCCCCTCATCTGACTATTGTATTTCACTAGTCTTTAAAAAAAAAAAAAAAAAGAGCTGAGACTAAAATGGCTGGAAATATATTCCAAAGATTGCCTGTAGAGCTGCAATGATCTATGACAGCCAGCGAGTAGAAAGCAGCACTTGAAAAGACTTCATGGAAATGTCTAAGGTCTTGGTTTACAAGGCTTTATGTTGCTAGATTACTGGGAACAATGATATTAGTGCCTATCCTGGAATTAATCAACCTAAAACGCTTCATGAGAGGCAAATGGGAAACCCAGGGGCATTGGAGGCTCTGATTCAGTGCAGTAGTAGGCACCCACCTGCTGGAGGTGTGCTAACACACTCCATCAACTACACCATGTAACTCTTATTTTACCCTTCAGTAAATAGCAGTACTCATTGAAAGAAAGTCAGTTTTCTAAATTTTAGAAACTTAACTCATATTAACTGATAATATGATATCTGTTTTATGATACAGTCCTAATTTCAAGTTATACCATGGGGTCAGTTTGTTACTTATTAGCTCTAGATTAAGGAATGTGTAATTTCAAAACTGATAAATCAAAGTCATTTGTCAGCCAAAAAGAGAAAAAACTCAAAGTTTCCATTTGAGGCCAGCACAGTGGCTGACGCCTGTAATCCTAGCACTTTGGGAGGCCGAGGTGGGTAGATCACTTGAGGTCAGGTGTCCGAGACCAGCCTGGCCAATATGGTGAAATCCTGTCTCTACTAAAAATATAAAAATTAGCCAGGCATAGCGGCATGCACCTGTAGTCCCAGCTACTCAGAAGGCTGAGGCAGGAGAATTGCTTGAACCTGGGAGATGGAGGTTGCAGTGAGCCAAGATTGCGCCACTCCACTCCAGCCTGGGCAACAGAGTGAGACTCTGTCTCAAAAAATATATAAAATATTATTTCAATTTGGAGGAACAAAATGTGTGATAACTCTCCCTCAGATACATGGAATCAAGTGTTTTGAATGTTCTGAACATGTGAGCACACTCTGAGAGACTCGATGCTAAATGATTTTTTATTAGGATGCTTGGGTCCCTGACTAGGTGTATTTGAACTTTCCTTCTCCTCTCCCCCCAACAAAAAACATTTTTATTGCTTTATTATTTAATAATAGTATTTTCAGCTTTTGCAATTGTCTTGTACCTAATAACAGTTAATGCTTAAGACAAGTTCAAATTTAAAATAGTATGAATAGAGGAATAACATATTTCCAGAACTAAAATTGCTTTAAATCTAAATCAGTACACCTACTATGTACCCATATTTTTAAAAAATAAATAACTGCATATTAGAATATTTATAATGATTATTTTCACATGGTTCATATCTGATTTAAGGGACATTTCACCAAGAAATAATCTGCTGGAAAAAGTATAGTAGGAATACAGCTACAACATGTAGATAATTAAAATAATAAAAATTAATCCCAGCACTTTGAGAAGCCAAGGCGGGAGGATTGCCTGAGCTCAGGAGTTCGAGGCTAGCCAGGCCAGCATGGTAAAACCCTGTCTTTACTGAAATACAAAAAATGCTAGGCACGGTGGCTCACACCTGTAATCCCAACACTTTAGGAGGCCGAGGTGGGCGGATCATGAGGGCAGGAATCTGAGACCAGTCTGGCCAACATAGTGAAACCCCATCTCTACTAAAAATACAAAAATTAGTCGGGTGTGGTGGTGTGCACCTATAATCCCAGCTACTCAAGAGGCTGAGGCAGGAGAATGGTGTGAACTTGGAGGCAGAGCTTGCAGTGAGCTGTGATCATGCCATTGCACTCTAGCCCGGGAGACAGTGTGAGACTCCGTCTCAAAAAAGAAAAAAAAAAAAAGGAAAAAAAAAATTAGCCAGGTGTGGTGGTGGGTGCCTGTAGTTCCAGCTACTTGGGAGGTTGACACATGAGAATTGCTTGAACCAGGAGGCGGAGATTTCAGTGAGCTGAGATCATGCCACTACACACTAGCCTGGGCCATACAGTGAGACTCCATCTCAAAAAAAAAAAAAAATTGAAGAAATTTGGACTGAAACAAATTACTCTGGCTTCACTTGTATACCCTATAATGTTTAAGATAATATATCTTTATATCTTCAAAAGACTATGATAGTATTGAACTGAACAAAATTCACAGCTGATATTATAAGCTTGAAGTAAACACACAACATATGCTAGTTAGTATGCTCTACAAATAAGCTACAGGATGTAAACAAGGCCAGAAATGTGTTATTGTAAATTCAGCATGGTTAATCCTACCAAATGAAGATTGTTTGCCTGTGTTTTTCAAAAAGGAAAACAAGCTGGGCGCGGTGGTTCATGCCTGTAATCCCAGCACTTTGGGAGGCTGGGGCAGGCAGATCACTTGAGGTCAGGAGTTCGAGACCAGCCTGGCCAACATGGTGAAACCCCATCTCTACTAAAAATACAAAAAAAGGCTGGGCACGGTGGCTTACGCCTGTAATCCCAGCACTTCAGGAGGCCGAGGCAGGCAGAACACCTGAGGTCAGGAGTTCAAGACCAGCCTGGCCAACATGGCAAAACCCCATCTCTATTAAAAATATAAAAATTAGCTGGGCATGGTGGCGTGTGCCTGTAATCCCAGCTACTCAGGAGGCTGAGACAGGAGAATGTCTTGAACCTAGGAGGCGGAGGTTGCAGTGAGCTGAGATTATGCCACTGCACTCCAGCCTGTGCAGCAGAGCAAGACTCCATCTCAAAAATAATAATAATATATCCGGGTGTGGTGGCAGGTGCCTGTAATCTCTGCTACTTGGGAGGCTGAGGACAGAGAATCACTTGAACCTGGGAGGTGGAGGTTGCAGTGAGCTGAAATTGCACCATTGCACTCCAGCCTGGGCAACAGAGCGAGACTCCATCTCAAAAAAAAAAAAAAAAAAAAAACAAAAAAAAAAAACCACACAGCGATGACCTGCGGCATACAACGACTGAGATCTCCGAGATGAACCGGAACATCAGCTGGCTCCAGGCTGAGATTGAGGGTCTCAAAGGCCAGAAGGCTTCCCTGGAGGCCGCCGTCGCAGATGCTGAGCAGCGTGGGGAGCTGGCCATTAAGGATGCCAACGCCAAGCTGTCCGAGCTGGAGGCGGCCCTGCAGCGGGCCAAGCAAGACATGGCATGGCAGTTGCATGAGTACCAGGAGCTGATGAACATCAAGCTGGCCCTGGATATGGAGATCGCCACCTACAGGAAGCTGCTGGAGGGCAAGGACAGCCGGCTGGAGTCTGGGATGCAGAACATGAGTATCCATACGAAGACCACCAGCAGCTATGCAGGTGGTCTGAGCTCGGCCTATGGGGGCCTCACAAGCCCCAGCCTCAGCTACGGCCTGGGCTCCAGCTTTGGCTCTGGCGTGGGCTCCAGCTCCTTCAGCCACAGCAGCTCCACCAGGGCCGTGGTTGTGAAGAAGATACAGACCCGCAATGGGAAGCTGGTGTCCGAGTCTTCTGACGTCCTGCGCAAGTGAACAGCTGCGGCAGCCCCTCCCAGCGTGCCCCTCCTGCGGCTGCCCCAGAGCCCGGGAGGGAGGCCACTGTGCAGGGGAGCACAGGCAACAGGAAACCCACCCGAGGCTCAGCCCCAACCCTCAGCCCACCGCGGGGGACCCCCTTTGCCCCATGCCTCCAGCTACAAAACAATTCAATTGCTTTTTTTTTTTTTTTGAGACGGAGTCTCGCTCTGTCGCCCAGGCTGGAGTGCAGTGGCATGACCTCGGCTCACTGCAACCTCTGCCTCCTGGGATCAAGTGATTCTTCTGCCTCAGCCTCCCGAGTAGCTAGGAGTACAGGCACACGCCACCACGCCCAGCTAATTTTTGTATTTTTAGTAGAGATGGGGTTTCAACATATTGGCCAGGCTGGTCTTGAACTCCTGACCTCATGATTGGTCTGCCTCGGCCTCCCAAAATGCTGGGATTACAGGCGTGAGCCACCATACCTGGCTTTTTTTTTTTTTGTCCAAAATAAAACCTCAGCTAGCTCTGCCAAAAAAAAAAAAAAAACCTTATTAAAATTTTGTAAAAAAACAAAACAGAACCACTAGTTAGAAATCTGACATAAGAGAAACAATATATAGGACTACAGGGACAAAGTAGACAAGAATCCCAAATAGCTATTTTTTTATTTTTGGAAGATACAAATGAAGAATTTTCATTTGGTTTTACATTGTTTTTACAGTGCTTATATATTTCTGGTCTTGACCACATCTTGTAGTCTTGTAGTATGAGGAAGGTACTAGTATTATTATCTCTTTTCATACATAGTGACTAAGTTACTTGTCCCAAGTTTCAGAGGTATCAAGGAATAGTGCTGGAGTTCAAATCTGGCCAGTCTGGATCCCAAATCCTTGCTGTAAACCACTATGTTATGTAGCCCCTGTGCCTATGTGGCATAAATTAAAGGCCAGAGCAAAGCAGAGTCCTTTCTAAAACGGAAGGCATCAGAGCTGCACATATCCCAGATTATACACCTCTACCTGCTGCTACTCACCGGAGCCACATTCTTCCCAAGGCAACAGGGCCAGCTTGCGTATTAGAGTCTGGTTAAGGCCTTGCTTGACTCCCCTTATTCCTACCTCCTGGCTCTTCAGGCCACATGGAGAGAGATGGCCATCAGTCTCCCTTCTCTTTAGGGACTCATTTTGTGAAGGAAAGCCATTTCCCACATAGTTTATGGCAAAGACAGGACAGGACTAGTCTTAGCCACAGTCACAGAAAAGAGAAAATGTCTTTGTTACTTTCTTAGCTAGCAAAACCCATTTCCCAGCCTCTTGATGTACTCAAAGCCTAACCTACTCTTTTTTTTCCTTTTTTTTTTTTTTTTTTTGTGATAGAGTCTCACTCTGTTAACCCAGGCTAGAGTGCAGTGGCACAATCTCGGCTCACTGCAGCCTCGGCCTCTCAGGTTCCAGCGATTCTCCTGCCTCAGCCTCCCGGGTAGCTGGGATTACAGGTGTGCACCATCACTCCTGGCTAATTTTTGTATTTTTAGTAGAGACAGGGTTTCACCATGTTGGCCAGGCTGGTCTCGAACTCCTGACCTCAAGTGATCCCCCCGCCTCGGCCTCCCAAAGTGCTAGGATTACAGGCGTGAGCCACTGCGCCCGGCCAACTTCAGTTATTTTAATGAATTCTGGAATATGGCAGAGAAACAAACTTGTACCTTGAGGCCACTATTATCCTGTAGTGTTTTTGTTACTTGCAGGCAAATTTAATGTGCCCAGCCAACTTCACTTATTTTAATGAATTCTGGAATATGGCAAAGAAACAAACTTGTACCTTGAGGCTACTATCATCCTGTAGTATTTTTGTTACTTGCAGGCAAATTTAACGTGCCCAGCAGACTTCAGTTATTTTAATGAATTCTGGAATATGGCAAAGAAACAAACTCTTACCTTGAGGCTACTATTATCTGCAGTATTTTTGTTACTTGCAGGCATACTTAGCCTATTTGCCCTCTAGTGTGTGTGTGTGTGTGACAGGGTCTCACTTTGTCACCCAGGCTGGAGTGCGGTGGCGCCATAACGGCTTGCTGCAACCTTGACCTCCTGGGCTCAAGGGATCCTCCCACCTCAGCCTCCGGAGTAGCTGGAACTACAGGCGTGCACCACCATACCCAGCTAATTTTCATATTTTTTGTAGAGATTGGATTTCATCATGTTGCCCAGGCTGGTCTCGAATTCCTGGGCTAAAGTGATCCTCCTGCCTCGGCCTCCCAAAGTGCTTAGATTATAGGTATGAGCCACCGTGTCAGGCCTCTTTCTACCATTGATCAGCAAGACTTGTGGCTTTGCTAACATAAACAGAAGAATATCCTCTCAATAACACGAAACTTTTGAGTCGGTCCCTCCTGATTCAGCAAGTGATATATTAAAGGGGGAAAAGGAATTTAGAAAAAATCATATCTTAAGATAAAAACTCAGCTTGTGGCCAGGTGAGGTGGCTCATGCCTATAATTCCAGCACTTTGGGAGGCTGAGGAGGGAGGATCGCTTGAGCCCAGGAATCCAAGATCAGCCTGGGCAATATAGTGAGACCTCATCTCTGCAAATAATAATTTTAAAAAATTAGCTGAGTGTGGTGGTGCACATCTGTAGTCCCAGCTACTTAGGAGGCTGAGGTGGGAGAACAGCTTGACCCCAGGAGGTCAAGGCTACAGTGAGCTGTGATTGGGCCGCTGGGCTGCAGCCTGGGCGACATGGGCTGCAGCCTGGGTAACATGGTGAGACCTCAAAAAAAAAAAAAAAAGAAAAGAAAAGAAAAAAAAGGAAAACTCAGCTTGCTTGCAAGGCTACTGACATGCATAATACTATTTTGTTTTCAGAAGCTGAATACCATGTAACATTTTCTTTTTGTATCCTTTCCATATCCCAGTTCTGCCAGCCTGATCAACATCTCTGCCAACTAGAGCAAAGATTGGGCTCTGAGAAAAGCAAAAAAGAAACTAACAAGAATGGTTTTCAAAACATTATGTTGTTACAATTACCTGAAGGAAAAGAGTTTCATTCCTTTGCATTCCTTAGGCCAACAGTCCCCAATCATTATGGTACCAGCGATGGGTTTCATAAAAGACAATCTTTCCATGGACTGGGACAGTGGGTGGGGGGATGGTTATCAGGACTATTCAAGCACACTACATTTATTGTGCACTTTATTTCTATTATTATATTGTAATATATAATGAAATAATGACATAAATCACCTTAATGTAGAATCAGTGGGAGCCCTGAGCTTGTTTTCCTACAACTAGATCGTCCCATATGGGGGTGATGGGAGACAGTGACAGATCATCAGGCATTAGATTCTCATAAGGAGCATGCAACCTAGGTCCCTTGCATGTGCAGTTCACAATAAGGTTCAGCCTCCTATGAGAATCTAATGCCACTGCTGCTTCTGCTGATCTGACAGGAGGCGGAGCTCCAGTGGTAATGCAAGCAACGGGGAGCAGCTGTAAATATAGATGAAGCTCCACTCTCTCTCTCTGAAATAATAATTCAGTCAAATACAGATGAACCTCCTGCTGTGCAGTTTGGTTGCTAACATGCCATGGACCAATACTGGTTCATGGCCTAGGTGTTGGGGACCCTGCCTTAGGCCATTTCCCATCTACACAGCTGCCAAAGCTCATCTTTTTAAAACGGCTGACAAATTTGTAGAAACAGAAAGCAGAATAGAGGTTACTAGGGCTGAGAGAAAAAGAATGGAGAATTATTACTTAGTGGGTACAAAGTTTCTGTTTGCAATGATGGAAAGGTTTTGGAAATAGAGAGTAGTGATAGTTAGACAATATTGTGACTACAATTAATGACAATTGTAATTCTAAAATACTTAAAATGGCACACTTAATATTATATATTTTTACCACAAAATAGATAAAAGCTAGAAAAAAAGCCTCTTAAAAGAATACAGGAAAAGATGCCTATCCCAAAACCCTTTAATCATCTCTGTCTATTCCTATACCGACTTATTCTAATTTTTATGAAAGCTTTTGGAGGCTGCAGAACGTGTCTAATATATGCTGTAATAGTAACCAGAATATTTGTTTGCTTAGCTGAATAATTACAAATAAAAGCACTTTACTTGGAGACCAGGGGCAGTGGTTCACTCCTGTAATCTCAGTACTTTGGGAGGCCAAGACAGGAGGATCACTTGAGGCCAGGAGGTCGGGACCAGCCTGGCCAATATGGTGAAACCCAGTTCTCTACTAAAAATGCAAAAATCAGCTGGGTGTGGTGGTGGGCACCTGTAATCCCAGCTACCCGGGAGGCTGAGGCACGAGAAGCACTTGAACCTGGGAGGCAGAGTATGCAGTAAGCCAAGATTATCCTACTACACTGCAGCCTGGGTGACAGAGCGAGACTCTGTCTCAAAAAAATAAAAAATAGTCGGGCGCGGTGGCTCACACCTGTAATCCCAGCACTTTGGGAGGCTGAGGCAGGCGGATAACCTGAGGTCAGGAGTCTGAGACCATCCTGGCTAACATGGTGAAACCCCGTCTCTACTAAAAATACAAAAAATTAGCTGGGCGTGGTGACGGGCGCCTGTAATCCTAGCTACTCGGGAGGCTGAGGCAGGAGAATCACTTGAACCCAGGAGGCAGAGGTTGCAGTGAGCCGAGATGGCGCCACTGCACTCTAGCCTGGGAGACAAGAGCAAAACTCTGTCTCAAGTAAATAAATAATAAAAAATAAATAAAATAGCATTTTACTTGGTACATGTTTTTTTCCATTTTATGATGTGGGGGCAGAAGTAACTCTTTAGCAGCTCATACCCAGATTCCTTTTACAGAGAGAGACCGTTTACTTGAACAGAGCTCTAAGGTAAACAAGAGTAACAAAAAGAATCTCGACTAGGGAAGGATTCTGCTTACAGTAATCCAGGGGAGGAGGAATACCTGAATCATACTTGAGCCTGGAAAATCTAGATCCTTGATTTTCAAATTATTTGTCATCTAAGATTGTGTATAACTTTGTATAAGATATAGGCTTAGCAGTGTCCCCTTCATATTTACTTATTAAAGAAAACCAAAACTTCCTTGATTACAAAAACTGAAGTATATATTTAAAAAGTTGTTAGTGGGAAGAAAAATGATGCCAGAGCCCAAGAAATTAATTAAGGCAATAATAGCAAGAGGACCAGATGAACCAGAAGAAAGGAAAATACAAAGAAATTAAAATCAGCAAATAAAGCAAAAGTATTCTAAAATCTAAATGGGAATTTAAGTAAACAGAACAAAAAGGGGTTGAGAGGTTATTGAAAACACAGGCAACCTTAAATGTCTTGCATTCTTTAAGCCTTTACAGAGTGTTATTTTTAAATTATTATTATTATTATTATTACTATTATTATGAGATGGAGTCTTGCTGTGTCACTCAGGCTGGAGTGCAGTGGCACGATCTCGGCTCACTGTAACCTCCACCTCCCAGGTTCAAGCGATTCTCCTGCTTCAGCCTCCCAAGTAGCTGGGACTACAGGTGTGTGCCATCACACCCAGCTAATTTTTGTATTTTTAGTAAAGACAGGGTTTCACTATGTTGGCCAGGCTGGTCTCAAACTCCTGACCTCAAGTGATCCTCTCGCCTCGGCCTCCCAAAGTGCTGCGATTACAGGTATGAGCCACTGCGCCCAGCCCAGAGTGTTATTTAAATTTCGCACATTAAATATCTCTTGAGCATTACTAGACTCACAACAATATGAAAGCATTAGTCCTTGCTTCCACAAGAAAGGAGATTTCCTAACTGTCGCTCAGGTAATTTAATCTCTACATTCTACCTTGTTTACAGCCATATAGCTGTAAGATTGCAGCCTGGGCCAGAGATCTGTACAGCAGAATTGGAAGGAGCTATCATGGTGTGACTTGCTGAAAGAGTTTCTGTCCAAAATCAAATTCTTCCACTGACTTGCTTCACTGACTCTTATTCCCACCATTTGAAAATGTTTGCTTTGGGTTAAGGTATTATTGTCACAAGAAATTTTCTTAAGACATAGATCTCCCAGGGAGAGCTAAGATTCTGGGATTCATTTGTTAATGTGAACTCAGCAGGACACAAACGAACAAGGCACAGAACAGCTCAGTTTCTGTGTGTGGAGGGTCCCGTGGATCTGTTTTCTTGCTCACATCTCAGTCAGAAGTCTCATGTCACTACATACTAACATATTTTCCTCATTTAATATCCGATATTGCTACTGATGAGTATTTCCCTTTAATGAATTACATTTGGGTTACAGTTATCTTCACCATTCCTACACAGATAAGCAGGCCTTAATTTACAAATGAGCCAAACATTCATACAGTAATTTTGGTCTCTCACTGCCAATTAATTACAGAAAACAATGGAGCTTTTTTGTAAATCTGGGGCTTAAATGTGAAGGAAGAAAAGACTCCCAGGTCGAGATGTGCCTACGATGGCTGACTCCAAGGACAATCTTGCTGGCAGTGATAGCCTACCTATTTAGAGGCCACTCTGTCCCTTTCCTCATCCCCAAATCTCTTCCAAATGTTGCCTAAATTCCACCATATAGAGTTTGTTTTGATTAATAAAATTCATATGCACCTGACAGAGAACTCAAAAGGACATAGAGGCCAAATTTGGGGCAATTTAAATATCAAAAGGAATAATGACTGCAATTGATTATAAAACAGTGAATAAATAAAAACCCATGAATCTATAGTGATACTCAAAGAGAGAGAGAGAAAAAAGATAATTTGCCACCTTTGAAGGTGACTGTTATACTAACTTCTTATTCTGAAAATTGGTAATTAAAGTACCTACCCTGTCTTTTAAGGAGGAATTGTAGTTCATTCCCAGTTGGTGAAGAGACATTTTGTGTGTGTGTGTGTGTGTGTGTGTGTGTGTGTGTGTGTGTGTTTACAAATGCTAGCTAATAAATGTAGAAGAAATGATATAATTAGAAAAGTCATCATTCTGTCATCCCCAATGAAATAATAATTCAGTCAAGGGTGATCAAAAATGCTAACACATAATGGGAAAGGTTGTTTTGGGGTCCAATATTTGCATGGGACCAAAGTACCACCTCAGAGATGACCTTCTCATTACAAAGGAGGGTTTTACCACTTTGATGAAATTTAACATCACAAATAGCGGGACAATCTGATATTGTGTGCCGCGTAATGTGACACAACAATCTAAACTACACATCATCACCTCTGATATACTCTTGCTCAACCTGATTAATTTGAAGTTAATAAGAGTTTGGATTTAACCTTCCAATTTATAGGAAATGAAGGAGACAGAGAATCTAGTTAAATCGCACCTGCAGAAAACAATCAAATAAACCCAAAATGTAAAGCATCCTACAAATTCATTTGTCCTGATCTCTTCAAAAGGTCAATTTTATGGGGAAAAAAGTGGAGGTGTGACACCTTTCCTTACCCATTGTAAGGGTCATGGCCAACACTCTTATAACAGAAGACAAGTTAGTAAGAGAAAAGTGTAACTAATTAATTTAATCAAAGTTTTATGTGAAAGTCATTTGTAAAGCACCTACTAAAAAGATTTCAGCCTTTTCAGACTTCCAAATTGGGATTTGTCTGAAAGAGAACGTAAGTCCCTGTGAATGACTCCTTAATACTTTTTGTATCAAATTACCTCCTCAATCTCTAAATCATTCAACTGTGGTGTGTGTGTGTGTGTGTGTGTGTGTGTGTGTGTGTGTGTGTGTGTGTTGGGAGAAGGAAGTGATATATCTTGTCATCTTAACAAATACACTAATCAGGCCTAACCTCTTCTTTAGCTTCCTAGGAGGCATGTACAAATCCCCTGAGAGTTCTCACGCACTTACACCACCTCATACTTTTCCCAGGGAAAGTGGCCACTCGTAGGAGAACAATGGGTGCATTTCACAAAGTTTCTCAGGAAGTTCTATACCTCAGTGTGACAAAACCTTATGGAAACAAGAGGAGAGAGAAAACGAAAAAGGGAAGGATCCAGAAGGAAGCAGTGATGAACTAAAGGGAAAAACCAATGTCCTTAATAAAGACAAAAAAGGAAAACATCAAAAAGAAGCAACAGGGCCGGGTGTGGTGGCTCACACCTGTAATTCCTGCACTTTGGCAGGCTGAGGCAGGTGGATCACCTGAGGTCAGGAGTTTTGAGACTAGCCTGGCCAACATGATGAAATCTTGTCTCTACTAAAAATACAAAAAATTAGCTGGGCATGGTGGCGTGTGCCTGTAATCCCAGCTACTCAGGAGGCTGAGGCAGGAGAATCACTTGAACCTGGGAGGCGGAGGTTGCAGTGAGCCGAGATCGCGCCACTGCAATCCAGCCTGGGCAACGAGAGCAAAACTCCAACTCAAAAAATAACAAATAAAAATATATAAAAATTAGCCAGGTGTGGTGGTACATGCCTGTAATCCCAGCTACTTGGGATGCCAAGGCAGAAGAATCGCTTGAATCCAGTAGGCAGAGGTTGCAGTGAGCCAAGATCGTGCCACTGCACTCCAGCGTGGGCAACAGAGCAAGACTCTGTCTCAAAAAAAAAAAAAAAAAAAAAGGATGAACAGGCAGTAATGTTGATCCCTAGGTCAGGAAGGATTAACATTTAAGAATAGGGATATTAATTTGACAGATAATCATTTGTGACCTTGGAAAAACAATTTCGATAGCCTGTGGCAGAAACTAGGAACACTTAAGAAATGAGTGGCAGCCTGTGACAGAAACTAGATTAGGAACACTTTAGAAATGAGTGCTGACAAGAAAGTGGAAGTAAATACAAGATGGCAAGTGAATAAATTTCTGAAAAGAGACCAGGTACCTGCTCTAGACAGGGCACTGTACTGGGCACTGTGCAGACTTCACGGGCATATGACCTTTGCAGTTGCACAGAGTCCAGCACTTATAAGGGTCCTGGCTTGGCTTAATACTTTGATGTCATGTCTTGAAATTCTTAATAATTTTTGAACACGGCACCCTGCATTTTCATTTTGCACATGGCTCCACAAATTATGCAGTAGGTCTGTATTAGTTCGTTCTCATGCTGCCATGAATACCCAAGACTGGCAATTTATAAAGAAAAAGGTTTAATTGGCTCACAGTTCCACATGGCAGGGGAGGCCTCAGGAAACTTACAATCATGGCAGAAGGCACCTCTTCATAGGGCAGAAGGAGAGAGAATGAGTGCAAGCAGGGGAAATGCCAGATGCTTATAAAACCATCAGATCTCCCGAGACTCACTAATTATCATGAGAACAGCATGGGAGAAACCACCCCCATGATTCAATTACCTCAACCTGGTCCCATCCTTGACATGTGGGGATTACAGGGATTACAATTCAAGGTGAGATTTGGATGGAAACAAAGAGCCAAACCATATCAAGGTCCAACAGGGCACTGAAGGGGACCCAAAATATGTCATCCATGATTCATATATCTAATGTTGAATATTCCATAAATAAGTGAATTGCCTACTACAGAGCCAATCACTGTAGTGGTCTCTGGAAACATAAGAAACATAGTGAACAACACAAATGTATGATAGATTTTTAAAGAAAAGGTTGTTACCTTCAAGAATATTAAAATGTAAATACAGTGATTATATGACATTCTAATTCAGCACTTTACTTGCAGGGCCTATATAATTTTAGTCAATGTATTCAACTTTCCTACATCCCAGATTAGGGAGAATTTACCCTCCTAAGTTTATTAAGGGAATGAAATCAGGAACATAATGTACGTGGCCCATTACAAGGTATACAGTAGTATTCAATAATGTGAGTGACTATGATGAATTTCCAGCACCTAGCATTGCCTGGCACATAGTAAGAGTTTGGTAAATAACTTTGTTAAGTGGAAGAGAAAGGAAATTTCAAATCAATCTGGATAGTTAGACATACATTGGTAAAAATAAAACAAATATGTTTGTTTCATATATATAAGCATTGATTAGGCCAACAAGAAAATGTGAGAGGATATGTAATAAGTTGTTGATCATGGTCAAATCTATGTAATAGGATTTTGTGGGGAAAGACTTTTTGTGTGTGTTTTACTTTATAAACTCCTTATTTAAAAATCAAGATTTTAGAAAATAAAGCTTTGGTATATTCTGAATATAATGGCACATAACAAAGCTTATAGTTTATTACAATTCCTCCCTTTTAAGGGTTACCTTCTTCCCTCATGCCTGTAATCCCAGCACTTTGGGAGGCCGAGGCGGGTGGATCACAAGGTCAAGAGATGGAGACCATCCTGGCTGACGTGGTGAAACCCCGTCTCTACTAAAAATACAAAAAATTAGCCAGGTGTGGTGGTGAGCGCCTGTAGTCCCAGCTACTTGAGAGGCTAAGGCAGGAGAATCACTTGAACCCGGGAGGCGGAGGTTGCAGTGAGCCGAGATTGTGCCACTGCACTCCAGCCTGGTGACAGAGCGAGACTCTGTCTCAAAAACAAACAAAATGAGTTACCTTCTTCCAGCCAGGCACAGTGGCTCACGCCTATAATCCCAGCACCTTGGGAGGCCAAGGCGGGCGGATCTCTTAAGATCAGGAATTCCAGACTAACCCAGCCAACATGGTGAAACCCTGTCTCCACTAAAAATACAAAAATTAGCCAGGCGTGGTGATGCACGCCTGTAGTCCTTACTACTTGAGAGGCTAAGGCAGGAGAATAGCTTGAACTCAGGAGGCAGGGGTTGCAGTGAGCAGAGATCACGCCACTGCACTCCAGCGTGGGCGACAGAGCAAGAGACTCTGTCTCAAAACAAAAACAAAAACAAAATTAGCCGGGCATGGTAGCATGGGCCTGTAATCCCAGCTACTTGGGTGGCTGAGGCATGAGAATTGTTTGAACCCAGGAGTGGTAGGTTGCAGTGAGCCGAGATCATGCCACTGCACTCTAGCCCGGGTGACAGAGTGAGACTCTGTCTCAAGAAAAAAAAAGTCTAGATCAGAAACTGCATAAAGCCACTTCAACCATAAAACCTAATATCAAAATGTATTCACAGGAACAAGTTCAAGTTGATCACTAAAAAACACGGAAAATTTTAATTTGAAAGTTTTATGCAAATTCAATATTTAATATCATTCCTAATACTTTGTATTTTATCAAAATCAGATGCTTAAAACATTACCACCACTTAGATGCCTCCAAATATCTTCTAGTTTACCCTACTATGCTGTACAAAAATGATTATTTTCTGTATGTCATGATATAAAGGAGAGGGCCTGATATAGATTATAAAGTTTGTCTGCCACCCATCTCACCCTAGGACCCTCATTCCCTCCTCCCATCCCATACACTCCCTTTCTCATATCAAAGAGTCAGGGCTGCAAGTGCAGACCATAGCCAAGGTTCAAGTCTGTGCCCTACAGGGTCAAGGACTGGAAAAGTGGTTTTTGTACCTGAGACATAACTGGACCTTAAGTTTATTTATTTATTTATTTTTTGAGATGGAGTCTCGCTCTGTCACCCAGGCTGGAGTGCAATGGCACGATCTCAGCTCACTGCAACCTCCGCTTCCCAGGTTCAAGCGATTCTCCAGCCTCAGCCTCCTGAGTAGCTGGGACTACAGGCACCCACCACCACACCCGACCAATTTTGTATTTTGAGTAGAGACAGGGTTTCACCATGTTGGCCAGGCTGGTCTCGAACTCTTGACCTCAGGTGATCCGCCCGCCTTGGCCGTCCAAAGTACTGGGATTACAGGCTTGAACCACTGCGCCCAGCCAGCAGCGTGATCTCGGCTCACTGCAAGCTCCGCCTCCCGGGTTCACGCCATTCTCCTGCTTCAGCCTTCCCAGCAGCTGGGACTACAGGCGCCCGCCATCACGCCCGGCTAATTTTTTTTTTTTTTTGTATTCTTAGTAGAGACGGGGTTTCACCATGTTAGCCAGGATGGTCTCGATCTCCTGACCTCGTGATCCGCCCGCCTCGGCCTCCCAAAGTGCTGGGATTACAGGCGTGAGCCACCGCGCCCGGCCTTTTTTTTTTTTTTTTTTTTTTTTGAGGCGGAATCTCGCTCTGTCACCCAGACTGGAGTGCAGTGGGGCAATTTCAGCTCACTGCAACCTCCGCCTCTTGAGTTCAAGTGATTCTCGTGCCACAGCCTCCCAAGCAGCTGGGATTACTGACGTGTGCCTCCATGCCCGGCTAATTTTTGTATTTTTTTTAAAAGTAGAGACAGGGTTTAACCGTGTTGGTCAAGCTGGTCTCAAACTCTCCACCTCAGGTGACCTGCCTACCTCGGCCTCCCAAAGGCCTGGGATTACAGGTGTGAGCCATGGCGCCCGGCCAGAGCTTGTTTAGACAAAAGCATAAAAAATAACTAATGTCTAAAAACAGCATACAGTCAGGATGAACAACAAATCTGGACCAATACAATAGGGAGGACAAAAAGATGTGAATAAATGGGCTGACATTTCATGTTCCTGGAGAGAACTTAGTATCCCATCCCACATTGTTTCGCGATTTAACATTAACATTTATACAAAAGTTACTAATTAGAACAAAAGTTATTGATTAGAATTAACTTATTAGAAAAACCTGGACAAACATACCCTAAAGTGCAGCCAGGTGATCACTCTTCTTGATCACCTATGTAATGTCTCATAGAGTACTCTGGTGTGAATAGCAATTTCCAAAGGTCTTTCACTTTGCATTTTTCTTTGTATCCAGAATCGATAAAGTTACCAGGACTATTTCACAGTAATTAGACTTACAAAATCTTAACACTAAATAGACGCTAAGGCTATACATTCTTCCAATGTCTCAAGTCTATTGCTGGCCATCAGGAGCACCTGGATACGTAGAACATAAGAAAGTTTGCGAAAAAGGAATCAAAGCAACAGGAGGAGTCTGGTTTGAACGGTTATTTCAACCAAATTACATTAAGGACTGCTAACTGTTTTCTGCCCCACAAAAATACCCTTTGTAAATGTTTCCAAACTATAACACAGGTCCTCCTGGAGCAACGGCTAGATAAATTAACAAACTTTTAGACTTTACGCTCCCCTTTTCCAAACTCCAAGTCGACCACTCCCCATTTGTTAACAGAAACTTACTATAACTGATTAGATTTCTAACCTTTCCTAGGGAGAGCCAGTTCAATTCTAAAAGGGTTGGTCACATGGGTTGCTAAATTAAAATATAAAGCATTTCCTAACAGGGAAGGGAGGCTGGTCAATTGTGGTTATTTTTATCAGTAACTTTAAATATGGATCCATAGATTATCAATTTATGGCTGTCGTGGGTGTTAGAAGATGACCTAATCCCATCCCCATTTTCATTTAAAAAACTGAAACTAAAGCTCTGTAAAATCAAATGATTTAAAATCATCTGACTAGGCCGAGAAAGGATTAGCTCTCTAGAGCATTACGGTAACAATCATTCGCAAACAGGTAGCATTATCTGGCGACCCTGCTTTTCTGGAAATCTTGTCAATTATTCAGTTCCTTAAATTCCGTCAGCTACAACAGATGCATCAGCTCTTTCCACACTAACTTGAAAGAAGCACATTAGAAAATAGTCCTGACTTGTTTCTTGAGATCAGTAACTAATGAACTGACCTCCACCAGTCCTGCCTCAGGTCGTTAATGGTAAAAATTCTGTATGTCAGCCGCGTTTTGAGGCCTGTCCAAGGTGCTTGTGAGTCCCACATGTTGGAGTCGCAGGGCTTTTCAGTACATGCCCTCAGGCAGGCGGCGCAGTCACAGACACTGGTCCCCGGCATTTGGAAACAGGAAAGATGGTCCGAGGGGCCGAGGAGTTTTTCTTGCAACCTTTAAATTACAAGCAAGAAAAACGTGGGTTTTATTTCGGGCACAGGAATAGAATGAATTCTGAAATGGAGAACTAGAGGCCTGCGTGGGGAATGAGGGACAAGCGCGAGAAGAAAGGGAAAGGCCTTTCTCTCTGGTGACGCGCGATCACAAGGCGTTCCCTCTACGTGGACGCTCACCATTGGCGGAGACCGCACTGACGTCCCGGAACTCGCCCTGACGCGAACGGCGGCAAAGGCCCTCTTCCCCTGAAAGCTGGCGAGGCGCGCGCGCTCCCGCGGCACGCCGCGCCTCCGCCCTCCGCCCGCCAACCCGCTGGTCCAGTCCCTCTTCGCGCCCGCTTGGCTCCGCCCCCTTCCCAATTCGCTCCTCCCCCAACAGACTGGCGGCGCGCGGAAAACGCGTCACGTGACGACTGGCCCCGCCTCTTCCTCTCGGTCCCATATTGAACTCGAGTTGGAAGAGGCGAGTCCGGTCTCAAAATGGAGGTAAAACCGCCGCCCGGTCGCCCCCAGCCCGACTCCGGCCGTCGCCGTCGCCGCCGGGGGGAGGAGGTATTAGGGGGAGAGCGGGGGGTTGGTGGGGAATGGCCGGCGTTGGGGGCCTGGTTCGGTGGGAGCGGGGAGGCCGGGTGGACCGGGTCGGCCGTCCCGCGCTCTTGCGTTGAGACAGGCTGTGGGAGGGGGAGGGGAGCGAGAGTTGGAGACCTCCTTGGGGCCCCTCGCCCGCCTCGCCTTCACCTTCGGCTGCACAGGCGGCCCCTTGGAGGCGCGGCTTGGTCGGGGAGGCCTCGGGAGGGAAGCCGGCCTGCCGGCTGCGCGGCCTCCGAAGCGAGGCCGAGGGCGGCATGGCGGGCCCCGGCGGGAGCGGTTGGGAGGAGGTGGTGGGGGAGGGGAGGGGACGAGCAGGCACATCCGGGCGAGCGAGCAAGCGGGCGGCGGCCACATTGACATTGATCCGCCGCCGCGTTACGAAATGGCGCATTGGCCCGCAATGGCCGCCGCCTCGCTCTGCCGCCGGGAAAGCGAGCCTGGGATTGGAGGGAAGAGGGCGGAGGCGGCCCGGCAGAAAAAGCCGCAAATGGCCTCGAAGCATGGGGAGGTAGTGCTTTCGCTGAAGTTCTGCCGACGCTTTTCTAGGCCTTTTACGGGTCCTCTCCGCGAGAAGTCGATAATTGGCCTTTTCTTTTTTTCGCAGCATCCTGTTGGAAATACGAGATTGTTAAAAACTTTGCTGCTTTAAAATACTTCCTGATATATTTTTGCTAAAGTACTTACATTACACTTCTTAAACCGCCATGTGGGCGAAGGACTTAATTTTTGAGAATTTGAGTGTAGATGTGAAAAACAACCCAGCCAGCTCCTTCCCGGCTCCGGCCGCTGAGGAGGGTGGGTGGAGAAGAATTTGAGTATAGTATGTTAAGGAAGAATTTAGAAATGTTTTTTATCTTCATGTTTTCCCATTCTTTGAGTCGGCTCTGGTTGTAGTTTCCTGGAATTTTATTTAGAGGACTGCAACCAGAGTTGAAATTTTCACGTTTTTGCAGTACATTTAATGTGGATCCTAAATATTTTTGTCGATTTCGTTATTGTCAATCGAATACATTTATCCAAGACTTGAAAAGATGAGATTACATGAATTAATGCTTTAGGCTATTAACGTTTTTTTCTAGCATGTGACAATCTCTTCACATTAAACGGTTTAACATCTCTACCTCTAGGAGACACAGGAAGACATTAGAATGTAAATGTGAGCCCCTTATTTAAGAACTTCGGGTGAAGGAAACCTTAATGCATGCATTAAATGACAGTTCATGCAATGTGTTAAAAAGTCTTGACTAAAGTATAAAACAATTTCAAGACATCTTAATTCTTAAAAATCTCAATTTTTGTTTTGCTGTACTCCGTTCTTATAGTCAGACAATACATACCATTCCTAATGTAAGTCCAACTTGCCAGTTAGTTGTGACTCTTAAAATTGAGTTGTAAATTGCAGATTTTTGCAGCATATAACAAACATGGGTTATAGAAAGCTATTTGATCGGCTTTTTTTTTTCCTCAGTTTTTTTGGGAAATGCTGGTTTGGCTTAGGAATGCCTGTTTTAAATTAATTTGCTTGAAAGCAGTGAGTTTCTGTAAGTTTGACATTCAGAACTTTTAGATTGTTCTTCATCACAGTTTTGAGTTTAAATGTATGGGCCGGGCGCTGTGGCTCACGCCTGTAATTCTAGCACTTTGGGAGGCCGAGGCGGGCGGATCACGAGGTCAGGAGATCGAGACCATTCTGGCTAACACGGTGAAACCCCGTCTCTACTAAAAATACAAAAAGTTAGCTGGGCGCGGTGGCGGGCGCCCGTAGTCCCAGCTACTCGGGAGGCTGAGGCAGGAAAATGGCGTGAACCCGGGAGGCGGAGGTTGCAGTGAGCCGAGATCGCGCCACTGCACTCTAGCCTGGGCGACAGAGCGAGACTCAGTCTCAAAAACAAAACAAACAAAAAAATTAAATGCATGTTGGGTTGTAGACTGAGAAGAGTTGAAATGGGATAGATGCAACACTGCTTCTCCAACAGTTTAGTGCCTTAGAAAATGACTTACTAGCAACTTCTAAAGTAAAGGTTCTCAGACAGTTGTAGCTTTTAAAAAATGAAGCGATTTTTTGATTCTGGAATTGTCTTGGATTTCAATTTAGTTGAAGTGATGCTGGCATTTGAAAGGCTGGTTATAGGTTTCCTTGACATAAGTTAGCCCCTTTAACAGTTGAAGTCTTATTTCTGGTCAAAGTTTTTGTTGTTTTGTTTTTTTGAGACGGAGTTTTCGCTCCTATGGCCCAGGCTGGAGTGTAATGACATGATCTTGGCTCACCGCAACCTCCGCCTCCTGGGTTTAAGCGATTTTCCTTTCTCGAGTAGCTGGGATTACAGACGCCCGCCACCACGCCCAGCTAATTTTTGTGTTTTTAGTAGAGATGGGGTTTCGCCGTGTTGGCCAGGCTGGTCTCGAACTCCTGACCTCAGGTAATCCATCTGCCTCGGCCTCCCAAAGTGTTGGGATTACAGGCATGAGACATCGCGCCGGTGTCTGGTCAAAGTTTTAACTGGACAAAGTGTTAACTGTCACAGGAATTTGATGTTGATTTTATTACTTACCGTACATTAAAGGCTCTTCGTGCATCTTAATTCATCTACTGTAAGGTAACTTAAGAGTATTGGTTCTTTCTCTCAGGGCCATGATCCAAAGGAACCAGAGCAGTTGAGAAAACTGTTTATTGGTGGTCTGAGCTTTGAAACTACAGATGATAGTTTACGAGAACATTTTGAGAAATGGGGCACACTCACAGATTGTGTGGTAAGTTACTAAGAGAACAGAAGGGTTCTAAGGGGTGTAGAGAACCGGTGGAGGTGTTTTCAACGTTATAAAACTTTTTATTTTGTAGGTAATGAGAGACCCCCAAACAAAACGTTCCAGGGGCTTTGGTTTTGTGACTTATTCTTGTGTTGAAGAGGTGGATGCAGCAATGTGTGCTCGACCACACAAGGTTGATGGGCGTGTAGTGGAACCAAAGAGAGCTGTTTCTAGAGAGGTATTTTAATAATACATTGTGTAATATGTGAAATTGTTGTGAAAGTTTGTTTCTTGACTTAATATATTACTTTATTTGTAGGATTCTGTAAAGCCTGGTGCCCATCTAACAGTGAAGAAAATTTTTGTTGGTGGTATTAAAGAAGATACAGAAGAATATAATTTGAGAGACTACTTTGAAAAGTATGGCAAGATTGAAACCATAGAAGTTATGGAAGACAGGCAGAGTGGAAAAAAGAGAGGATTTGCTTTTGTAACTTTTGATGATCATGATACAGTTGATAAAATTGTTGGTAAGTAGCAATTTATGGTAACTTGAATGAGAAAGTAGAACTGGTTTTTCTGTTTTGAACTAAATTTGCTAAATTGTAATTTTCTGTTGCGTGTAATGGCATTTATAGTGTATAGTCAATTTTCATAGTGTCTGCCTGTGTAATCAGTATCCAGATCAAGAAATAAACATAAACATCTCAGAATGCTCCTTCATTACCAGAGTCACTACCTGATTATGTCTTAATGGGTTACATAATGACAGAGGGTATCTCATATATGTGCTTTTCCAAACATAAAATAACTTTTTGTTTTGTTTGATTGAAAAAAAATTTAGTTCAGAAATACCACACTATTAATGGGCATAATTGTGAAGTGAAAAAGGCCCTTTCTAAACAAGAGATGCAGTCTGCTGGATCACAGAGAGGTGAGTAGGACCATACACATGTATACAGTGGATATGAGTGGTGTTTGTAAGGTTCTTAAAAATCTCCCTTGCCTGTATTAAAGGTCGTGGAGGTGGATCTGGCAATTTTATGGGTCGCGGAGGGAACTTTGGAGGTGGTGGAGGTAATTTTGGCCGTGGTGGAAACTTTGGTGGAAGAGGTAGGCTGTTTATCTTCTAAGTACATGGATACCTGACATTTTGGTAAGTTGAATATATTATTTTAATTCATTTCTTGTTTTTCCTCAGGAGGCTATGGTGGTGGAGGTGGTGGCAGCAGAGGTAGTTATGGAGGAGGTGATGGTGGATATAATGGATTTGGAGGTGATGGTAGGTGGCTTATTTTCATTGATGTTTGATATTTTAACTTTCTTTACTTATTGAAAATTATTTATTACACTTTTCTAATTTTAGTTAAAACTTCAGTGGCTAAATGGTTAAGGTGTATTTCCAAACTGTACATGGAAGAACAGGAACCCTTTTTCCCCTGGAGAGACATTAGCTGCTCTTTTTCAGCAAGTAGTAGGGGTTGAGCTAGAATTGTTCTATTAAGTCTGAGACTATATTTTTCTTAGTGAAATTTTGTAAAATGAAAACTGATTTTCTTTTTTACTATCAGAAGATGGGTTACACATTTATTTTTCATTCTTACTAGTGCAGATACTTGATACTCTATTATTATTAGGTATTACCAGGCTTCAGAGTGCTAAATCAATTCATTGGCTTATTTGCCAGTGGCTTAAATGTAATATAAAACCAGAGTTGAGTAATTCTAGCTATTCAGGAGGCTGAGGCAGAGGGGTTGCTTGAGGTGAGGATTTTGAGACTAGTCTGAGCAACATAAGGAGACCGTATATCTAGAAAAATAAAATAGGGGAACATGGTGGCACATGCCCATAGTCTAGCTACTCAGGAGACTGAGGTGGGAGAATGGCTTGAGCCCAGGAGTTCAAGGCTGCATTGCTGTGGTTGCACCACTGTACTTGAGCCCGGGCAACAGAGCAAGACCCAGTCTCTTACACACACACCAGAATTGAATAACGTGACTATACACTTAAGTTTTTGTGTGGTCTTGTTATTTGTTGTTTTTTTAGGTGGCAACTATGGCGGTGGTCCTGGTTATAGTAGTAGAGGGGGCTATGGTGGTGGTGGACCAGGATATGGAAACCAAGGTGGTGGATATGGTGGAGGTGGAGGATATGATGGTTACAATGAAGGAGGAAATTTTGGCGGTGGTAAGCATTCACTTGTTTTATTTAAATGTTAAATATTCAGTGTTGCTAACAGTTCCCATGACACATATTTGGAAAGTGTTAAAAGCGTTTGATCAAATTTTATGTTCTATAAGAAAAATACTAAAATGGTTGGTAGTTCAAACCAAATTTTCTTGACTTTGCTGGTTATTTAGTAAAATGTACAAATGTACTCAGCTCTCTTTTTTCTTTTTTTTTTTTTTTTTTTTTTTTTTTGAGATGGAGTCTTGCTCTGTTGCCCAGGCTGGAGTGCAGTGGCGTGATCTCAGCTCATTGCAATCTCCGCCTCCCGGGTTCATGCGATTCTCCTGCCTCAGCCTCCCTAGTAGCTGGGACTACAGGCGTATGCCAGCACGCCCGGTTAATTTTTTTGCATTTTTAGTAGAGATGGGGTTTCACCATGTTAGCCAGGATGGTCTCGATCTCCTGACCTTGTGATCTGCCCGCTTCTGCCTCCCAAAGTACTGGGATTACAGGCATGAGCCACTGCACTCAGCCAAATGTACTGAATTTTTAGTTGAGTAGTAAAAAATGGACATTTACCAGTATTCAGTACATGTTTTACGTGTAAAAGATTGGGAGTTTATTTATTGCCAAAATTTTACTTAACTCCTTGGTACTTTTAAACTGGACAACCGGGAATAAATTGTTTGAATACTCCAGACGTGTTGAAGTGAGCAGGTTGCCATCTAGGGCCCAGGTTAACAAAGTACTTTGGGTCTTAATATAATATGTCACAGGTAGTTGAAGCGTTTAAGCAAGCTAGTGTATGTAGGTCATTAAGCCACAATACTGTTAAAAGCTTTCTTAGGAATGCACTGTTTTATTGGACCTAATTAACATGTCAATGACAGATGAGTGGAAGTTTTAACAAGTTAGAATGCCTTCTCATTGTTTTAAATGTTATACTGCTTCAGAATCATAGTGAATGGAACACTGGCAATTTTAATGGTGTTAATGGTAGAGAGAACATGCGCCTAGAGGACAGCATTTAATATAAACAAAATGTTGATGGTCTTTTAATATCCTGACATCAGTTACCCCAAGTGGTGCTACCACAGTGATGTGTATAAGCATGCTACCATAATTCTCAAAAGATAATAGTTACATACGTTAAAAGGGGAAAATGATGATTGTGTAGGTAAACCACACATAAAACCTTTCTGATTTCAGGTAACTATGGTGGTGGTGGGAACTATAATGATTTTGGAAATTATAGTGGACAACAGCAATCAAATTATGGACCCATGAAAGGGGGCAGTTTTGGTGGAAGAAGCTCGGGCAGTCCCTATGGTGGTAAGTACTTTCTTAAATCAATTCTTTAGAGCCTTTTTAATTTAAAAAATGTGCATACTTCTTTTAAAATACTATGTATATTTTCAGGTGGTTATGGATCTGGTGGTGGAAGTGGTGGATATGGTAGCAGAAGGTTCTAAAAACAGCAGAAAAGGGTAGGTATCTTTAAATTTTTATTATGATGATAAAAGAATATGTGGAACTGTTCACTGAGTGTAATAATTTTTTTATCCTGTATTATTCAACAGGCTACAGTTCTTAGCAGGAGAGAGAGCGAGGAGTTGTCAGGAAAGCTGCAGGTTACTTTGAGACAGTCGTCCCAAATGCATTAGAGGAACTGTAAAAATCTGCCACAGAAGGAACGATGATCCATAGTCAGAAAAGTTACTGCAGCTTAAACAGGAAACCCTTCTTGTTCAGGACTGTCATAGCCACAGTTTGCAAAAAGTGCAGCTATTGATTAATGCAATGTAGTGTCAATTAGATGTACATTCCTGAGGTCTTTTATCTGTTGTAGCTTTGTCTTTTTCTTTTTCTTTTCATTACATCAGGTATATTGCCCTGTAAATTGTGGTAGTGGTACCAGGAATAAAAAATTAAGGAATTTTTAACTTTTCAATATTTGTGTAGTTCAGTTTTTCTACATTTTAGTACAGAAACTTTAACAAAATGCAGTTTCGAAGGTGTTTCCTTGTGAGTTAACAAGTAAAGAAGATCATTGTTAATTACTATTTTGTATGAATTTTGCTAAAGTTAACTGTAAAGAAACACCTGCTGACTTGCAGTTTAAGGGGAATCTATTCTCCCCATTTCCAAACCATGATATGAATGGGCGCTGACATGTGGAGAGAATAGATAATTTGTGTGTTTGCAATGTGTGTTTTAGATAAATAGGATTGGGTATTTAAATTAGCATTTGTGAATTTAATAGCATTAAGATTACCTTCAAATGAAAAAAAATCTCAAAATTTCTATTTGGTTTTTGTGCATTTTCTTTTAAAATGTAATCATATGATTTTAGTGTGTTAGACTTGCTGAGTCCTAGCTGTGTTTAGAACATCTCTATTCTACATTTACCTTGGTCAAATTTGAACTGCTGCCATAGGTTTTGGGTGTAAAGAATGTTTACTGCCCTCCATTTAAATTCTGAAAAGGGATGGTGGATGTTTTCCCTCTCCTACGTTAGAAACCATTCTTAAAAACTTTTGAAAATATAGAACCATTAAGCCTGCTATATCTGAGCAAATTAGTGGGTACCTTTTTTTTCTTATTTAAAGCACAAGAGGCCCATAAATCTTGAGTTACTTTAAATTCTTTTTTTTGATACAAGTTTTCAGAGCAAGAGAATAAAAATCATGTGTTATTAAACCCCTAACTGGCTGGCATGCTTTCCTGTTTGTATTCTATACATTTTGCTGGATGAAACCAAGGATAGTTCAGGTATAATTGTCCAAAATAACCTAACTGCAGCAGAAATGTAGCACAGTTGCTTAGTACAGGCTTCTCACTTCCTACAGACCTGAATTCAAATTTGGATAGTCTGAGTTCTTAAATTCCCAAAGAACACACTGTTATTTCTTGTGTATATTTCAACATAAATCATGTTGTTACCAATTTGTTTGGAAGGCCCTGGTTGAGAAGAGTTTTAGTTAATAAGGTCATATATACATATATTAATATAAACCAATGTCTACTGTTTTGCTCCAGCTAGTGCTTACAGTTTCATTCGAGCCCTGAGTATGTGCCCTGCTGTTACTCTCTTTGGTAGTTGAACGTTGAATTCAAGTCTTTTGTTTTAAGAAGTACTAAGCAAACAAGCAATAAAAAGGGGAATGGGGTGTGCTAGTGTTTGAATATGCTCTCTTGTTGCTCTAATTCTGTGCCTCTGTGCATTAATATTTGGATGCATGCAATGCCAGCATGGAAATTGGTCTTCACACATACTGCAGTTTTCCAGAAACATTCACAAACCAATAAATGTAACAGACATTCCATTTGTTAATGGGCATATATGTGAAAAGCAGTGTAGAAAATAGGCTAATATTAGAAAATGGTTAAGTCCTAAATAACTTCAAGTGTGGTTATATAATGGACACTGTCAATGTTCATAACTTAAACCTGGGTACCTGGTCAAAATAATGCTTGGGAAACATTAAAATTGAGCTAAATTGTCTCAAGTTCTTTTATTCATATAAATAAAGTTTAAAGGAATGGGGGAGATTAACATTTCCTGTTTTATGTTTGTGAAATTGTTTGACACAACCTTGACAGTATCCTTTAATGGCATGAGGTTAATTGTACTGTTAACCAACTTTCTATGTTCTGGAACTAGTATTATAGTGAAAACATTTACAGTAAGTTGATGTTTACAACCTATAAGCAGGTGAAATCTGTGTATGTGACCTGTTTATAAGTTGTATTAGCTTAGCTCTTGTGAACAGTGTGGAAAAGTAAGCCATGAGGAGAGCGATTTAACCACCTTTAAAGGACCTAAGATGTGCTTTTTAAGCACAGTGTGGATCACAGAAACTCACTAAGACAGGACTTCAGCAGCCTTTTGTGTTTGGACAAGTCAGCATAAATAAAGAATGACAAGGCAGCAGCAAGAGCTTCAACTACAGAGAAGTGAAGGCATAAGATACTATGATGATAGTGAGCAACTTTCCAAAAGCTAGTTAAATCTGCTTATTACAACTGAAATATCGAAGAAAGTCTAGCAGGAAGGAGCTCTTCGCCTTTTGGAACATCAATGAGAGATAGTTGCCACAGTCACTAGGTCTAGCATTTAGACCTGCAAGGAAGGGCAATAAGCATTAGGTAAGGCTTGAATTTGAATTTTTTCACTAATTAAAGAGTAATTTTTTGTAAAGCAAGGTAAGAGTAATCTTTTTGATTTGCAGGTTGAATGAGAACCCTACTTGCCTAAATGAGGAATGTCTTTCCTACCATCTAAAATACGAAGGTTTCTGGCTGGGTAAGGTTTGTAGTTGACAGTAAAACCTGATGACACCATTTGTTTCCCTGCAAGTCTACATTACATATTTCACAACTTTGTCCCTCTCTAGTAGGCACATTGGAAAAATTCTTCAACTGAAAACTACCTTGGTACCATGTCCTACACGTTTTAAACCTTAGTTTTAAAAATTCCCCTGCGAAATAGCCATAAGTATTCATATCAAGTCAGTTGTGACTCCTTGTGTATACAATTCATTTTTTGTGTCTTCAGGGTAAACTCAATTTTTGGTAAAGTGGTTTCAGCTTTTGTGAAAACCGTTTTGGTGTGTAAGCATGACACACAACAGACTCAGTAAGCTGCCCATCCTCATACTAGGAAAACACCTTCAAAGGAACATTAAAAGTTACCAGGGCCAGGCACAGTGGCTCACGCCTGTAATCCCAGCACTTTGGGAGGCTGAGGCAGATGGATCCCAAGTCCAGGAATTTGAGACGAGCCTGGGCAACATAGTGAGAGCCTGTCAACAAAAAATAGAAAAATTAGTTGGGCTTGGTGATACACATCTGTAGTCCCAGCTATTTGGGAGGCTGCCTTGATATCAGGCAGTCGAGGCTGCAGTGAGCTGACTGCCCCACTGTATTCCAGCCTGGGTGACCCCATCTCAAAGAAGAAAAGTTACCAGATGTCATGGGTAAAGGTTGGTCTTCAAGTGGCCTCATAAGTTGTCTTGCATTTAAATTCAGGGAATTCATTGGACCAATAGGTTACATTTTCGTTCCTTTTTTGTTTTGGTTCATCTGTTAAGCAGTGGGGGCCTAATTACTGCTCCTTTGTAAAAACACATTTTCCCAAAGAACACTGAATTACCGTTCAAACTGGTTGTTGATGGGTAATAAGGGCTGTTTTTGCTGCCCCAAAAGGGCTTAACAATTTAGTCGGATAGTTTACTTAAAAAAAAAAATCCTTTGGAGACATACTGAAAATGCAAACTAGTTTCTAAATTATCAATTCCCTACATGAAGAAGCAGTTTGCCAGAGTTTAGTCTCAGAAAATGACTGGTTGGCTCTATTTAAATCAGAACCCAATTTCTACGCGTGTTGAATAAGGTAACAGCCTTTGATGAATTTCCTTCACAACATGGTTTTAGTGAAGCAAACATTTTTTTTTTAAGGGCATTGTTCTTTCTAGTTTATTTCTTTTTATGAAATAAAATTATTTTATTTAAACAGTTCCATTGTCGTTTCTGAAAACTACAGTATTCTCAGAAGTTGTAGCAGCAGTAAAAAAAAAAAAGTTGTTATATAAGTGATTGGGGCAGATTTAACTGATTTTGTTAAACCAATTTGTAAGTTACTGCTTCTAATATTACACTTCTAAAAAGCTGAATTTATACTCATGTCCTAAAGGAGAATATGTGGTAATAAAGTATATTTGTTAAGTAACTAATTGAAATAGGCTTGGTTTTAAGAGTTCCAGTATATAATAATCACAAATTGAAACCTGACAGTATCTTGGGAGTTCCAGTAATGTCACAAATTAGTGAATAAGCATGCCAGTGTGCAAGGGTAATGTAAGGATTGTTAGCCTATCTAAATATTCAAAATTACTTTAAAACTTAAGTATGTTTTCTGATTTTTAAGAATTCAGAAGTGTTCTGTAATGGATTCAGATGTTTCATTTGTAGTATAATGAAATGTTTACAGAAAGATAACTTTTTCATTAAAATATTTTTAGAAATGTGTGTGTTGTTTTGTCACTTCACAATGTTCATGTGACTTAAACACTATAGGTGAATATTTTGACTTATTTTACCAGTAAGTAATAAAACAACAGGAAACTTGGAGTGAGCCTTTATCAGTTATTTTTAAAGATGTGGATTCTATTATATGGGAAACAAGCCATGGGAAATAGGCATGGAAGGAAAAATAATTTTTAAAGTTATCAACCCTTGTTGCCTAAAATAGGTCTTGAAAGACAATATATGAGATATTTGGGTGATACATGTGAGGAATCTATGAACCTTTGAGGGGGAAAAAAGGATAAACGAGTTAGTAAATAGAAACAAACTAGGAGAAAAAAGTGGTTGCTAGGAGGGAGAGGACATTACAGATGTTGGAATTACCTAGTTTGATCTTGAAAGGCAGTGGAGTGGTTCAGTATTGTATGGTGAGAGTAAGTTGGGGAAAACCTTTCATGAAATTTAGTAGTCTTAAACGACACTGCCGTTTGACACAAAGGGAAAAGGGTAAGGATGATGTGGGTAATGATCATCCGTTTTGTTGGATTCATTTGTGGGGGTAGGTCTTTTGATAATTTATTTTTTGAAATGTGTGTATTTGGATTTCTAGCCTTAATAGCTATTAAGCACATTTTCCCAATATAGTTTTTTCAAGTGAAATACTTTATAAGTTGAAGCCAGCTGAGGATTCTTCGCTAGCTGTTAGACTTAATGCATACTCATTTTGCTTGTATTCAAACACTGGTTTCATGTTCTGTGCAGTTAAGTAATCTTAAAGAATGGCGTGTCTAGGCTGGGTGCGGTGGCTCACACCTGTAATCCCAGCACTTTGGGAAGCCAAGGCGGGTGGATTACAAGGTCAGGAGATCGAGACCATCCTGGCTGACATGGTGAAACCCTGTCTCTACTGAAAGTACAAAAAATTAGCTGGGCGTGGTGGTGGGCCACCTGTAGTCCCAGCTACTCGGGAGGCTGAGGCAGGAGAAGGGCGTGAGCCCGGGAGGCAGAACTTGCAGTGAGCAGAGATGGTGCCATTGCACTCCAGTTTGGGCGACAGAGCGAGACTCCGTCTCAAAAAAAAAAGGCATGTCTAATAATTTCAGTTTAATACTTAGGTCCTGGAATAATAAAGGACAGGTGTGGACTTATTTCCAACAAAAGTATATTTACCCTTGTTTTCTTAGAATAAAAGGACATTCTTACATAAACTGCAAAATATTCAGAAAATGATGAAATTTGAGTCTGCATGTGCATGTCACAGACGTAAATGTAAGGATTGTTTTGCAAAAATTGGATTGTCAAATACATTGGGTTGATTTTAATTTTGAATTGAATATACTACAATGCCAAGGTTTAGGGGGATGTAAGGGGGTAACAGGTAAAATAAGCCATTTTAAGCTTAACACATTTTCAAAGACCCTAACACCAGGTAATGGTAAGGATGCATTGAAGTGTGTACATTGTGCACAGTTCTGAAAGCTAGCTAGGAAATGGGAATTAACCCATACTGTTCAACTTTTATTGGTAAAGAAATAGTAACTGGGTGAAGGGTATACACAAGGATGTTGACAGCTTGAAAATGCCTTAAGATACATGAAATAGTTATATTCACTACATCCGTATATATAGCCGCTAATTACTTAAAGCACTTGTCATCGTACATTAAGGAATTGCGTAAAATGTTTAGCTGTATCTGTAGGCTCCAGGTAACTTAATTTTTTAATTGTATTACTATGATGTTCAGTAAATGCTGAGTGAACTTACATTCTTTAAAATACATCAAAAGAGGCTGGGTGCAGTGGCTCACACCTATAATCCTAGCACTTTGGGAGGCCGAGGCGGGTGGATCACGAGGTCAGGAGCTCGAGACCATCCTGGCTAACCCGGTGAAACCGCGTCTCTACTAAAAATACAAAAATTAGCTGAGCGTGGTGGTGGGCACCTGTAGTCCCAGCTACTTGGGAGGCTGAGGCAGGAGAATGGCGTGAACTCAGGAGGTGGAGCTTGCAGTGAGCCAAGATCACACCACTGCACTCCAGCCGGGCAACAGAGCAAGACTCCATCTCAAAAAAAAAAAAAAAAAACATATATATGTATCAAAAGAATTCTGATGGTTTGTCTATTTGAAGTCAGTGGTCTTATTTCTCTCAATAGGTACTGAAAGAAAACTTAATTTGTAGGTTTTTGTTACTCTGATTCTTGTGTCAGATTTTGTTTATCAGTAAGAAATGTAAATACAGAATGTAAAAGCAGTTTTGTGAGCTTGGGCAGGTTACTTGGTTCCTTTTTAATCCCGTGCGCTCTGGCAGATTGGTGTGCCAGCAGGCCCCTTGAATGTTGATTTTTTACATGGTGTGAGATACAAGTGAGATTACTCAAATGTTTCATGAAAATAATTACCAGAATAATAAGTTTATGACTTAATGTACTTGAAACACTAAATTAGGTCTGATGGTGGGTCTGATTTCTAACATTGAAGTTGTGATGTATAAGTGATAATGTGGTTTAAATTGTACTTTAAGACAAGTACAGTGAAATGCCAGTGGTTCATTGCCTGGAATATTGAAGGAAATGTTATGTGTTAGTAAAAATGAAGAAACTTTCTTCCCATCAAAATTGTCAGACCTAAAATCTATACAGGTTAAGAACTCCTGTTTTTAACCTGATTTCCTCCCCCCCACCTCCACACATGCACACACACACTTTTTTTTTGGTAAAATGGATTTATAATTCCCTCCCTTCAGTAAATCAGAAGGTTAAATTCAATAGCTTAAAGAACTTAGTACCTGTCTTATGGACCCTAAAGATAGTGTCTTGGTAATGCTGGATACTGTCTTACAAGGATATCCTGAAGCATACCTAAAATTTTAATGGGTGATAAAAGTTATGTCAATGTCTTAAGCGTTTCTCCCCCACCCCCCAACATAGGATTGAAGTTTTCTTTTGTTTTTTGTTTTTTTGAGACGGAGTCTCGCTCTGTCTCCCAGGCTGGAATGCAGTGGCGCGATCTCTGCTTACTGCAAGCTCCACCTCCCGGGTCCACGCCATTCTCCTGCCTCAGCTTTCCGAGTAGTTGGGACTACAGGCGCCCGCCACCACGCCCGGCTAATTTTTTGTATTTTTAGTAGAGACAGGGTTTCACCGTGTTGAACAGGGTCTCGATCTCCTGACCTCGTGATCCACCCGCCTCAGCCTCCCACCTGGGATTACAGGCGTGAGCCACCACACCCGGCCCTGAAGTTTTCTAGTCTTTAATTTTTTTCAAGTTCTCAAGTGTCAAAACAGCATCAACTGAAAACAAAGTGCCCTGGTAGCTATCATCTTTAAATTGGAATGAGAATTATCTTGTATATATTCTGAGGCTTAGTCACAAATATAGATATGGCAAACATATTTGAGCAGCGCTCCCCTCAAAAACAGGAACTTGGGAAATCTTGGCAAGAAGAAAGGTTTTTATACAAAGTTGTGCAATTACAGTTTGATAGTCAAATTTGAGGACAGTCAGGTATAAAGCTCTCAATTCAAATGCAGATCAAGAGAAATGAACACTTGGTTTTATTAGTCATGGCATAGTTGAGATTTGTTATTTGAAATTTGTAATTTCTCACAATAATTTTTTATTCTTCACTGTAATATTTTTAGGTACCATAAGTTTCTATGGCCAGTTCCCTCGTATGAATTGGTCAGAATACGTTGAAGTTTACTACCAAAGAATGTCTGTTTTTGTCTGCCCAGCAATGCTCTTCCCCCTTCAAATATCAGTCAATGTTAGGTGCTCCAGATAGCTGCTGCTGAGATTCTTGCCACCATCTCTGCACTCACAATTTGGTCTAAGAATAGACAGTTTGTTCAAGACCTGGGATTATGTTCTGAGTTTGGAAAAGTGATGTCTTCTCCCGAGATTCCCCATCACCACACCATCAGAGGAAGGAAGTTCCTTGATAGCACGTGAAAAATATTCAGGACCCCAAATCTTCACACTTGGCTTGGTGTGGTGGCTCCCGTGTAATCCTAGCACTTTGGGAGGCCAAGGCAGGCAGATCACTTGAGGTCAGGAGTTCCATACCACCCTGGTCAACATGGTGAAACCCTGTCTCCACTAAAAATGCAAAAAAAAAAAAAAAAAAAAAAAAAATTTAACCAGGTGGGTGGCAGGTACTTGTAATCCCAGCTACTTGGGAGGCTGAGGCAGGAGAATCACTTGAACCTGGGAAGTGCGGGTTGCAGTGAGCCAAGATTGTGCCACTGCACTCCATCGTGGGTGACAGAGTGGGACTCCATCTCAAGAAAAAAAAAAAATCTTCACATTTGAACCCTTAGATTCATTAGTCCTTGAAGTCATTTTCAATCCTGAACTTTAACAGTGAAATTCTCTAGTAAGCTAATTTGACTGGATTCACTTGTAGCCAAAAAGCATAATACAAGACCAAAGGAAATTGACAAAACACCCATCATTTATGCAATGTTTACTATGAGCTAGGCGCAGTGCTTTTTGTGGGGTGACCCACTGAGTACCACTCTGCTTTATAGATGAGAAAATATGCTTAAGAGGAGGCAGGAGAATGGCGTGAACCCGGGAGGTGGAGCTTGCAGTGAGCCGAGACAGCGCCAATGCACTCCAGCCTGGGTGACAGAGCGAGACTCTGTCTCAAAAAAAAAAAAAAAAAAAAGTGCTAAAGTGAGTTGCTAAACGCCATTCTAGGAATTAGCAGCAAGCCCATGCAGTGTTGCTAGGAGTCTTCACTGAATAGTTACACATGCAGTGCTTATTTTAAACATACTTAATGAATCTCCATTTCCTCACTTTAAAAAGGCAAAACAATATGAACAAGTGAAACCTGCTTAGGTGAAGAAATAATCGATAACTGAATGGCTCGTTGGAAAGCATGCAGATTTTCAAAGGGTTTTGAGGGGACTTGTTTTTGTACACTCTAGTTAACGTCTAATAGATCTCTCGGTATGTCCAAAAAGGAACTGATTTTCCCACGTGGGTCTCCCTCTATCCAGTCTTCTCCATCCTCAGACAACTCAATTCTTAAAGATGTTAAACTTCTTGACTCACATCCATTCTACCAGAAAATCCTTTTAGTTCTCTGAGACATGGCAGAATCCAATGTCCCTGACTACCCCTCTTCTATCACTCTAGACCAAGCTGCCATCATAATGCATGAACCTCTCAATTGGTTTTCTACTCCCATCCTTACCCTCTATACTGTTCTCAACACACAAGCCAGAGGAAATGTTAAAAGTTGTAGCTCTGAGGCATTTTATAGAAAGTTGATACTCATACACATAAAAAGTAGTAGGAACCTAAAATTCATCATACATTGATTTCATTTTTGAGCTTGACGTAGTAAATCCTTAGCTTCATTGATTTGGGTTGCTATATAAGGAGATCCTTCTTTGGGCGATTTAAGATCATATTTGTTACTGAGCATCTCTTATTTTTCCTTTAATGGCAGTAAGGCTTAGAGGTAGTATTGCTGCTTCCCATTTTGTCCTTTTTAGTTCAAGCCCACCTCTCTAATAGCCACCGCTGAAGGCAGATTTTGGTAGACTTTGAAAATCCTGTTTTACTTCAGGCTATATGTGCTTCCTGACTTGCAAAACCTGCAGCAGAAATGGCCAGTCCAGCTGCCACCACTGTACTGACCGTGGCTGCAGCTCAGCTTCTTTCACCTCCATCTGGATTGGTACAGCCACCTGCCACTAACTACACTCCTTTACCAGAAAGCTAGGCAGCCACTGCCAGCAGTCACAAACCCCAGAGGGAACTTTAAAAAAACAGTTGAGTGTTACTCCTGAACAGCACCATTAGCGCCCCACCTCACTTACGTAGACTTACGAGGCTCTGTCATATTCCACCCCCATCCCTTTCTTCAGCCACATTGTCCTTGTTTTTTCTCAAATGTGGTTCAGCCTTTGGACCTGCTGTGTCTTGTCTGCAGTGTTCTTGGCTATGAGAACAGCTTCTCCCACACCTTCAAATGTTGCCACTTCAGTAAGGCTCTTCCCATTTACAGCCTTAAGTTGTGACGCTTTTTACTGGTTTTCCCCGTCCAGTTCCTTCTAACATAGTGGAGTATGCTTGTTACCTCCCCTTCGCTAGAATGCAAGTTCCAGGCCAGGCAGGGATATTGGTTTTGTCCTTTCTACTTCAAACTCTGCCTAGGGTATAGTGGGCGTATGTCTACTGATGGAAATAAATGAATCAGTGCTTTCATGTCAGTGTGTAACATTTTCTTGGGTTTAGATGTACCTGCTATTGAAGAGGCAAAGTATCCTCTTGATATACTTTATTTCTCTGTAACCCTGGTACTAGAAATGTAGTATAAAATTATTTTTATATTTTCAAATAAAACATTCTGAAAATGCAAAACATCTAAATTAAATGGATGATTATCTTATGGAAAATACTGTGTGAATAAACTCAAAGGAATCCCAAACAAATAATTTAACAGTCATAATAATCCTTTATTAGTACCAGCTCTTAAAATTTTTTTTTTTTGCCAGAGCTAAACAATTTAATATAAAAAATGCCATTTTTTGTCCATACAGTATTTATAAAAAAGTACATAGTGGTTAGTTTTGCAATAATTTCTTTTTAGCCAGATGTCATATCATCATATAAATCTATGAATATAACAAATGACATAAGAACAGTATAAATAAGTTTTTGTAGTATTTACACTTACACAGAAACTAGCCCAAATGGTGTCCTAAGAAATTGTTTACAGTTAAAGTGAAACTACTGATTCAACATACTGACACTCCAATGCTTTTTAAAGTTTCGTATTATTTTCTATACTAGTTTTGGCTATGATTTTGCATAGAATTACTTATAAAGTATGAGCATTTCACATCACAGTAGGAGCTTTTAGTATAATAGTACAAAAAAACTAGCTCAGAAAAGGTCAAATCCTCCTAAATCTAGTTTTTCTTAACATCTGGCTTCTTACTTTTGGGAACAAGGAAAACATTGCCATCTCTTGTTTGCTGCAGGGAGTATTCACTAGGAGAATAAGGTTTTCCATCTTCATCACGTAGCATGCTGAAAACTTCGAGATATAAGGTGCTGAGTTGTTTTTTCAGTAGGTGAAGGCTTTTGTCATTTTCTCCTTTTTCTTTGAGCAATTTTTCTTTTTCATCTTTCAAATGATCTAAATCTTGCTCTAGTTCTACTATATTTTCCAGTTTTCTTTTTCTGCAATTCTGAGCAGCCACTTTATTCTTACCCCTCCTACGTATATCCCGAATTAATGCAAGTTGAGCTTCATTGAACTGCTCTTTGGACATCATTTCGTTGAAGTCAACAACAGGGAGGTTAATGATTTTTTCTACAGGGAATGGGATATGGAGAGCTTTTGCCCTAAGTTCATCTCTTGTGAGATGAGCCTCCAAGCGGCTTGAATGTTTGTCTTTTGTGAATGGGGTTTTCCGATGACCAGGACTTACAGGCAATTCTTTCTCTGGTGTGTTCTCACATTGGGCATCATGCACGTGAGTGCTCTGCCCCTGAGATGGTGACAAGGGTTGTACCATATCCCCAGAAGAATGTACTGGTGTTTTAGGACCATTCTGTTTGACACTTCCAGGGGCACTATCTAGCTCTTCCACTTCAGAATCACTGAGGCCAAGTAGTGTGTCTCCATAGCTGGAAGATTCCACTGAGTGTTCTGGTGATGCCACACTGGGACTTGTGTTTAGTGAAATGCCGGAGTCAGAATCATTGAATTCTGCTGTGCTTTCAGGGTGGTTTTGGTTGAAAGCTTTGCAAAGTGATAGATCAGAAACATCAATGGGCCCATTTAGAAGTTCAGAGAGTGAATGGCTTAAAGTAGCAGGTGAGGGCATGCTGTTGCTGATACTGGGCTCAGCTATGAAAGCAGAATAAAATTCATCACCAAAATCTGTGTTGACTGTGGCATCTGAATTTAATGAGTTCACTGTCAACTGGTTGGGGTCTTCTGTGGAGAGGATGCTGCTGAAGGAATCCTCAAAAGCATTAAGAAAATGTGGACTACAGTTACCTACTTCTTTTTCCATTGAGGGTATAGATGAGTAAAAATGATAATTGTCAACTTCTGTCAGTTTGGCTTCTGGACTTGGAACCATGGTAGTCTCAACCAGCTTGTCATTTTCAATATTAAGACACTGCATGAGAAGGAAGTTTATACTATATAAATCAAAGTTAATCCATGATAATACGTGATAAATTTAGATAAACTCCCTACCCACATTATCTTCAGGCTTATCTCTATAATTTATTATCTATAATTCAGAGATAATTCTCATTTCCAATACATATTTACGCCTAAGCGTTATGTATTATTTTCAGAGTTCCCAGATCAGACGTCAGGTTTATAACATTCTATCCTCAAGATGTCCAACCAATTTAACTAGCATGGGCAGTACTCATGACTAAGTTAATAGCACCCTCCAATCCTTCCTATAAATAGGTGGTATATAAATAATCAGAATGACTAAAGGCACTGAATATAAAAAAAATCTCCAGTATTACATTCTATTTTAGTTACCTGTAACTCAGGAATGGATAATAGCTCCTCCCAAACTTGCTCAATGTCCTGTTGCATACCGTCTAAATCAACAGGGGCTACCTGAGCAACAGAAGTTTCAGGTGACTGAGCCTGATTAGTAGCAATGAAGACTGGGCTCTCGATGTGACCGGGAATATCAGGAACAAGTGACTGAAACGTAGCCGAAGAAACCTAAAATTGATAAGGCATTGATTTATGAGTCTTCCACCAACAGGGGATGAGTAAGCTCTAAGGCACCACTACAAAACAAAATGGAATCAGCTGCAGTTCTGTGTCTCTCTACTTACTAACCAGTCATGACCCCGTTTGTAAATAACAAATCTTTTTTTCCTACCCCACTGACTCAAATTTATAATTTGCTGGTCTGTTTCAGCTTAAGCATTTGAAAGTAAACTTTAAAATGCGTAAGTACAATCTTTAGGATTTAGTTTATATAATATCTAGCACAGTGGTACTAGATAAAACAGATTTATTAAAATTGTTAACTGAACAAGTCTTCGTTTATTGCCCAGCTGGCTCTTTACTCACCAAACCTCTTAGATACTTGCAGCAAATGGGTTATTTGTTTCCATGGTTATGCTGTCCATGTTTCTGGCTATGCAATAGTCAATGGTTTTGGTTTTGTATTGTGTGAAGGGTTTTTTTTTTTCTTAATTGTAAAGTTATTTATAGGCTAAGGTTTCCTTGACAAGAGTATTTCCTTGGTTAAAAAATTTCCTCCTAAAAATGTTTTTATTCTTTTAAATGGAGATTCATTGACGGGACTTACATAGAATAGATTGTTATTTTATAGTTATGATGGAGTTTTTCTATTAACCAGGTTATTTTATACCTCACCTCATTGTCATCTACAAACGGGAATGTCTGCGCCAAAAGCTGCATGCAGTCATCAAAGTACAAAGCATCTGATTTGGGAATGTGGGCAACCTGATAAAAGGGAATGACACAAAGGAAAACAAAAATGGTTAAATATTCCATTGCCAAGCTAAATATTCAATAATTGATGTTCATAAAATATTTATAATCAAGTTAAGTAAATATTTATCTTATTTCAGAGATCACTTTGATGCACAATTTGAACTAGACCACATGGGTTCAGATCTTAGCTCCTCCAATTTTCTGAGTGATCTGGGCAAATTATTTAACCTTTGTGAGCTTCAGTTGCTCATCGTAGATAAAACAGGGATAATGGTAACTAATTAATATAGTTGTGTTAATTAAATCAGTCAGTATATGTTCTTAAAACAGTGCTTGCCACACACAGTAACGCCAGTAATCCCTGCTACTTGGTTCTCCTGCTACTACTTCTGTTGCTGCTACTTGATCCTTACAGGATGTTTCTATACTTTACAAAACTCTTTGGTGTAACTTAAGTCTTCCCAATCCTCACAATAACACTGTTAAGATCAATAGGTTGGGTACTGAACTCAGGTTAGGTACTGAACTCATCAGGAGGCTGAGGTTGGAAAGTAGATTTGACAAGGTTAAGTAAAAGAAAGGCAAAGCTGGAACTCAAATCCAGATATTTTAATTCCTTGCTCAGTGTTTCCTTAAACCTGCCATAACTTTCCCAAGAACTGAGTACTCTGTACCTGGGAGTAGTTGGCAGATCCACTGGTTTCTGACTGGATGTGCTGGGCTGGCTGAATTGGGAGAAATTCACCTGTCTCTTCATCTAGTTGTAACTGAGCGAAAAAGGCTTTCTCTTGCTCCTTTTGGAGTTGTTCTTGTCTTTCCTTTTCAAGTTTTTTCTGTTTTTCCAGCTCATACTCTTTCCGTCGCTGACTGAAGTCAAATACTTCTCGACTTACTCCAAGATCTATATCTTGCCTCCAAAGTATGTCAATCAAATCCATGTCCTATGTTTAAGACAAAAAAAGGAAGGAGAGAGCTCATGTTTTTTAAATGACAGATACCACATAAATTAATTCACATTATGCCACTGTTGATGGTGGGAAGTGGGGAGATTACAAATACAATCTAAATGAGAACACAGATCCAATGTTCTAGAAGAGCACAGTTAATTCCATTCAATGAATCTATTCATTAAAGACAACAAACAACCTACAAACACATAGCCATCCATTCTAATCACTTGGATCATTAATGATAGGGTGATGGTAGAGGTCACTAAAGGGCAAAGTCACAAATGGTTTGAATGAGAAGAAATCCCACCCTTGTTTAATGGAATATAGAAATTAGAGCAAGCACTCTAAGCCACTGGCTTATATAAGAGAAGTGGGGTCTGGAAAACATTACTGAATACATGGAGTTTTCTTTAAACTTTGCTCAGCAAATATCCAGTTTATAGAGGGATAACTCTCAAGTTAAAGTGTCAATCTAGCAGTTGTGAAATATCACCATTCTTTCCATCTTTCCTACACTAGATTATCTTCTCCCCATCACTGCTTGCTACTCTTATCTCTGTGGCTTACCTATATGCCTGTAATCCCAGCACTTTGGGAGGCCAAGGTGGGTGGATCACCTGAGGTCTGGAGTTCGAGATCAGCCTGGCCAACATGGTGAAACCACGTCTCTACTAAAAATACAAAAATCAGCCGGGTGTGGTGGTACGTGCCTGTAATCCCAGCTACTCAGGAGGCTGAGGCAGGAGAATCGGCTTGAACCTGGGAGGCAGAGGTTGCAGTCAGCTGAGATCGCACCACTGCACTCCAGCCTGGGCAACAGAGCAAGACTCCATCTCAAAAAAAAATAAAATAAAAGCAGACAGGGACAGGTGCGGTGGCTCACGCCTACAAGCCCAGCACTTTGGGAGGCTGAGGCAGGTGGATTGCTTGAGCCCAGGAGTTCGCGACCAGCCTGGGCAACATGGAGAGACCCTGTTTCTACCAAAACAAAAACAAACAACAACAACAACAACTGGTGTGGTGGCGCACACCTGTGGTCCCAGCTACTCAGGAGGCTGAGGTAGGAGGATCACTTCAGTCCAGGAGGTCATGGCAGCAGTGAGCTATGATCGTGTCACTGCACTCCAGCCCGGGCAACAAAGTGAGACCCTGTCTCATAAATAAATAAATAAATAAATAAAACTATGGCTCCAGGGAAGGATTAAAGGTATTAAGTTTTAAGACATAGGAAGAATCTTACAAAGAGGGAATGGTTTTGATGAGGAGAGGCTGAGCTTGGTGACTCAGGCCTGTAATCCCAGGAGTTTGGGAGGCCAAGGCAGGAGGATTGCTGGAGCACAGGAGTTACTAGCCTGGGCACCATAGTGACACCTGTTTCTACCCAAAATCAAAACAAATTAGTTGCACGTGGTGATACGAGCCTGTAGTCCCAACTATTAGGGAGACTGAAGTGAGAGGATTGCTTGAGCCCAGGAAGTCAAGGCCATGGTGAGCTGTGATTGTACCACTGCACTCCAGCTTGGGTGACAAGACCCTGTTTCACACACACAAAAAGATACATGGGGAGAGAATTTATATGACTAGGCTAGGCATAGGAACCACATCCAGATTTTCCTAACCAAAAATGTGTCAATAGCAGTTTTTCTGATTTGTAATTTTAGTCTTTGGAAAAATCTAAATAGGTAGGAAATCTAAATCTGTTTCCATTCCACAAATCACCTATAGGGGAAATAATTAATTTGAGAATGGAAAAAAATCAAGATGGGGGAACGGGAGTTGGGACTTGAAGGCCAGTGGGTACAGTGTAGACACGTCACACTTTGCATTTCATTCTGCTGACAGCTGGCAACGCCAGACTTAGAGTTCTATTACTTTCAGCTTCCCAAGGACGCAAATAACATGGTGGTTGTTTCAGTGAGGAGTCAGGCTATTTTTATCCAACAGAGGAGCAGGCCACCCAGCCTGGAGGCAGCGCAGCTAGCTAGATGGCACAGGCCACCTGTGTCCATGATTGAAGGTTGGCGTTGGAATCTTAAATGCTATGAAACCCTGCTCATGGGGCTCATTATTCTAGCCTTGAACAATATATATTGTAAAGCACACAAAGTAGGCATAGTTAAAGTAGCACTTGTAGTTAGGTATACCTCACTAGGACATACCTAATTATCTTTAAGCCAGTATCTATTAAGGGCTTCCTATATGCTATGCACTGTTCTAAGTACTTTACATATAGAAACTATTCCTCAAAACAGCCTTATACAGAGAAAACATTCCTGTTATACAGTATAAGAATACTGAGGTTAAGAAAAAAGATACTACCAGAAAGTGGCTGAACAAAGACACATACCCAGGCAGCTTCAGTCGGGTTCATGCTTTATTAGCCATGAGCCTACACTATTATAAAATGGCATGGCATTTGCTGCAAATAACCTATGCATATCCCTTTATATACTTTAACTCATCCCTGGATTACTTACAATACCTAGTAAAGTGTAAATGCTGTGTAAATAGTTGTTATACTGTATTTTATGTGTGTATTGTTATTTTTTCGGGTTTTTTTTCCACTTTTTTCCTTTTGAAATTTTATTATTTATTTACTCATTTTGAGATAGGGTCTCACTCTGTCACCCAGGCTGGAGTGTGGTGATGCAATCATGGCTCACTGCAGCCTTCACCTGGGCTCAAGTGATCCTCCCACCTCAGCCTCCCAAGTAGCTGGGACTACAGGCACATGCCACCAAGCCCAGCTAATTACTTTTTGTAGAGATGGCGTCTTGCCATTTTGCCCAGGCTGGTCTTGAATTCCCGGGCTCCATTGATTTTCCTGCCTCAGCTTCCCAAAGTGCTAGGATTACAGGCATGAACCACTCCACTGTGCTTGGCCTTTTTCCAAATATTTTTGAACCAATCTGCCATTGGTTGCATCATGGAACCAGAGGCTGCATGGGCCGACTGTATATACACTTGGCTTTGGAATCTTGGTAGTATGAAGCGGCCAGTCTGCAGGTCAGATTAAGTCTGTAGGTCACCTAGATCAGTTTCCTGGCCAAGAGCAACAAAATAGCAACCACAGAGCATTCAGTCGACTATACATGGCTATCTTCTCAGGGGGATTCCCACTAAAATAGGTATGAGAATAATTTCTATTTTAAAAAATGATTTGTTTCCATTCTGATGGACATGTTTACCCAAAGGTTATCATGGGAGACAGAAAATTCAAAGGTATAGAGAAACCTACTTTATTTTATTTTTTTTTGAGACGGAGTCTCGCTCTGTCGCCCAGGCTGGAGTGCAGTGGCACAATCTCAGCTCACTGCAACTTCCGCCTCCAGGGTTCAAGCAGTTCTCTCACCTCAGCCTCCTGAATAGCTGGGATTACAGGTGCGTGCCACCATGCCCGGCTAATTTTTCTATTTTTAGTAGAGACAGGATTTCGCCATGTTGGCCAGGCTGGTCTCGAACCCCTGACCTCAAGTGATCTGCCTGCCTCGGCCTCCCAAAGTGCTGGGATTACAGGTGTGAGCCACCACGCCCAGCTGAGAAACCTACTTTAAAATTCTGATTAGCTTGGGCCGCTTCTTCTCAGTAAATCTAGATACATAGCAGGGTATCCTGTCTAGACTTTCTGCAAACTGGAGCTATCTGCCCAAGCAAGGTATTAAGTGTTCAATATGTTCCCATCTTCTAGGTACTAGCACCAAAAATGAAAGGAATGCATGATCCTGCGATCTTAATTGAACTCTGTAAAATAGGCAGTCCATGTTCCCACCCATCTCAAGAAGTGATGTGCAAAGTGTGCAAAGCTCTTTGCAAAGTCAATCAAAGAAACTCAAATACTTGTCCCTGTACGTGGGGAAAAGTGTACTTTGACACATCCCTGCCTCACCCTAGACTTCCTGGGCCTGAGGTTTTTTCTTGTTAAGGAGATCCCAGGATAAAAATCAGTAAAAGGTTGTGACTTTTTCATGCAACTGAAGCAATTTAGGTTGCAAACATCTTCTGCTCATAAATCTGACTTGCAAAGTATCCTTACAACCAACCCTCATGAGCTGGAAGAAAATATTGAATGGAATTTATAATTGTCAGTGTCAATCATGCCAAGAATTGAAATAACTATTTAATTTCCTTTCCCCCCCTTTTCCTTCCCATCAGATGATAATATTTGAGGGGTTTGGATGGCTTTAGCTATACATTGTTTAATTATTCCATCCTACCCAAGCATACAGATGTTAGTGGATCAAATGAGGCACGTGAAAAGTATCTCTCTATAAATGTAAAATATGCAAATGTTTACATGTTGACAGTGATAGGCTCTACTACTTGCTGTATAAGCGAGACCAAAGTCCAGGCCAATGGATAATAATGAGGTTGTGGACCTAACTAGGGGGAGCCTAAAATAATGTTGGGACTACCTAGATGGTCAGAAAGAATGAGCCAATTAACTTCTAAAATCATGGACAGCTTCATTGCTTGGTTCTTCCTCAGGGCAGGTCTGAATTAGACTACTATTAACATGTTGTAATAAAAAAGGATTTTGATCTCAGAGATTCTGAATTATTTACAAATAATAAAGCAAATTAATAAGCAAATTAGAAGTTTTAGTGGATATTGCTCTTGATGGTGGTTTTGTTACTGTTGGTGGGGGTAATGGTGATGGCAGTGGGCACGCCCATATACATTTGCATACACTCTAATATAAATGTTTACAAACATACACACACACACATTCAATTGCCACTCAATTCCTGCTGTGAGTACCCTTCAATGGACAGCTCCAAACCAATTCAATGTTTTTTATTTGAATTTCCCTTGACATGACCAGAAAAAGACATCTTTATGAATCCTTATCAACAAACAGGAAAAATAAGACATGAAGCATTATTTAGACTAGCTCTTGAGCATCCTGTTCACGTTACCTGAAACAATGCTGGACCCTGGGAGACTAAGCAGCTCCTGCGGCCCTAGCTTACTGTCTCCACCAAGAATGCCACCAAATGACATCTAATTGCTCTTCATTAGGCTGGGGGACATTCAGTGCAATCGTAATAGGACCAAAATAGGTTTCAAAGTGTTCTGAAAGGTTTTCCTGTGTATTTTTAAGTTTATATTTATGTGGCCAGGCATGGTGGCTCACGCCTATAATCTTAGCACTTTGGGAGGCCGAGGCGGGCAGATCGCTTGTGCTCAGGAGTTCGAGACCAGCCTGGGCAACATGGTGAAACCCTGTCTCTACTAAAAATACAAAAATTAGCCGGGCGTGGTGGCATGTGCCTGTAGTCCCAGCTACGTGGGGGACTAAGGTGGGAGGACTGCTTGAGCCCAGGAGGTCGAGGCTGCAGTGAGCCAAGATCGTGCCACTGCACTCCAGCCTGGGTAACAAAGTGAGACCTTGTCTCAAAAAAAAGTTTATGTAATGTTTTTTCTTGCTATGAGAGGTCTCAAAACAAAACAAAACAAAACTGCTTCATAAAAGAAAAAAGCTAAATTTGAAGCAACTATTTTGGATTCCCAAAAACAGACATCTTGATCAAATTTAGAATGCAGCAACAATAGGTTTATTGTTATGGCCTTAATGTCATACTCTGTGCTACTCAGATTTTCACATCTGTTTCAGCAGGCAAAATCCTGCAGAGATTTGATACTGTATGAAACATTCAAAGCTTTATGTTAAAAAAAAAAAAAAAAAAACAGCAGAAGTTAACTGAAGACTCACTGTTGGGGACCACAAGCTCACTACTGTATTTTGTGCTAAGCTAATATGCACCAACCATTTCCTGTAAGGAGCCGTGTGACTGGGCACATGATTTATTCCACAAATGACCCAGCTCTCTGCAAGGCTCACACATCATCTAAGAGGAAATAATCGTCTGGGTGGAGCCCATAACAAACAAGAACATGACACTGGACAGGAGGAAAGGGAAGTGCCTAAGGAAGAACTAAAACTGCTCTTCTGCACAGAAATCCAGGGCTTTGAGGAAGTGCAAGTCCCCCATGGAGGAAGGCCACAGTACAAAGTGTTAGATAAGTAGGGTTTGGGTAGAGAGAGGAAAGCAGGTAGATGGGTTGCACAGCACTGCACAGATACTTTCTTACAACGGGTGAGAAAGCTTCCCAAGGGCCATGCGAGCACTGGCCAGGAGCCTTTGCATGGCATATGGAGCAAATGCCGTCTGCCACTTGGTGTCTGAATTTTTTTTGCTCTTGTCCTTTAGTGATTCCTGAGTGTGTTCCAAATTATGTTGCTAGCTTGGCTTAGACAAAAGAAGACAATTTGATAAGAAACACAAATGTTGGACAATTCATGTTAAATCACCATCTGGCCTAACAGAAATATTCATGTTTAAAAAATATATATCATCATTTGCCAACTGGGTAATCTGTTACACATTTTAGGGAAATCTGAAGTTGGACAATTAACTCATACCACTTTAAAACAAACATCTTTGTACCAGGATAAACAAAGAAGAAAGGACTTGAACACAGAATCCATATTAAATATGTCTTTTGCAAGTCAATTTTAGTGCCTTGAATAAACCAGCATCTATCATGCTTAGATGATCCAAAATATTGGAAAAGATAAAGCAAAGATAATACAATCCCTGTCCTAAATTAAAGCTATTCAGTAAACTGAGACAAAGTATTTGAAATGAAAAGTAATCTTTTAGACACTCAAATGTCTAATTAAGGCTTGCACCTCCCATTCCCCCGAGTCTCCCTTCCCTCTCCTACCCTCTATCTTGCCCTGAGAATGACAGGAAGGTGGTGGGAGATTTCCTTCTAAAAATAAATTTCATCAATAAACTGTTAAAAAAAATTAATTATACACACTACTAACTCTCAACAGAAAGCGAAACTGAGCCTTGCTCCAAAGAGAAAACTGATCCTTGATCTTTTTACTTTCATGTAGTATAAAGTTGGAATGTCTTAAGTTATTCCTTCTTAAAATCATGTATTTCCATTTAAAAAAAATCTTATTTTAATGTTATTCCCCTGAGATCCTTCCTTCATCCAAATCTTAGTTACCAGCATTCAGAGTCTAAGTTACACTTGATTATATTTTTCTTTCTTTCATTTCATTCTTCATATTATTCCCAGGTGATTATATTATTTACCTAAAAGCTAAATCTGGTTCAATGTTTTTTTCCATAGACACTGTCTAAGTATTTCTGAAGAAAACCAGGTGGAACATGAATCATATCCTACCATCTGGATGAATATAAACCAAATTAAGAGCTATATGAGGCTGCAAAAATATTTGAGGGCATGCTTGAATTTTGAGGAATTGATAAAATAACAGCCAGGCACGGTGGCTCACACCTGTAATCCCAGCTCTTTGGGAGGCTGAGGTGTGAGAATCACTTGAGCCCAGGAGTTTGAGACCAGCCTGGGCAACACAGGCCTCAACTCTACAAAAAAATTTAAAAATTAGCCAGACATGGTGAGACACTGCTGTAGTCCCAGCTACTTGGGAAACTGATGTGGGAGGATCACTTGAGCCCAGGAGATGAAGGTTGCAGTGAGCCATGATCATGTACTGCCCTCCAGCCCTGTCTTAAAACAAAACAAAAGCAAAAACAAAACAAAAACAACAGAGATCTCCTTCATTTACAAATCTCTGCCTTGCAGTCGTAATCCTTATTAGATAAAGCAAAATGACACCAAGCAGATGTGTTTTTAAAATACATCTTGCTGATGACTAATTACATTTCATAGATATGTATCTGCCTATTTACTTCTCTGGCTTCTCTCACACTGCATTACAAGAATATAGCAATACCAATTGTTTTCTCAGCAAGAATTCTAGGTCATTCTTTCTATTTCCCACATTCCAGTACTTTTGGTTTTATTAGACTGATTTGCTATCTTGATTGTGTTGCTACAGTAAGTGTAAAGTAGGTGATTAAAATACAGAAACACAGAATACTGGAGACAAAAGGGGCCTTACAGCCTATCGAGGCCAAGTGTAAATGTTGCCAGGTTTATTTCTATGTAACTACAGTGCCTTAAAAAAAATAACTGGCCTAGCAACATGTTGTATACATCAGCAGAGACATTTAAGAGGTAGCAACAGTTACCACGAATCCAAGTTTTCCTTTCCCTTATCTTGAATAACTAGAGACTTTTAACAGCATAAAAAAGCCCAAATACACACAAAGACGTATTATTCAACAAGTTAAAACCCTAGTTCACAAATTTACCATTCCCTGAGTTATAGAACCATTTTTCTGCCCTTTTATCTTTCCACTAGAAAGTGGTCCGGTTTCTTCAATCTGGCAGGTTACTATGTGCAGCCATTTTCATGGGCTGCTTCCTGTTCCCAAACAAGTTCCTCAGTCATGACTCAATCTAAGAAATATGATCCAGCCAATTTACTGGAACTCTCACCCATTATGCTTGTCTGTAAACTGCAGAGCATGATGCAAAGATAAAGCAAAACTGGAAAGTGAAGAAAGCAAGAATTTGGATTATTTTCTCAAGAGGCACATGCAGAGTTCGGTCAAAAAGATGTCAGAAAAAAAGTTAATTTCCAAAACAGCAGGTGATCCTACCTGCTACAAAAAGCACATGGTACTGAATTTTCCATGAGAGGTTCACATCTGAGTCCCCAAGGAGGTTTTGTTTTTTTTTTGTTTTTTTTTTGGTGGTTTGTGTTTGAGTAGGATACTGCTGCTAGGCTTCAAAGGACTTATGTAAGGGTTTCACTACTTTGCTGAGAGAATGGCTTGGTTTGACAAGCAAACATTAGGATAAATTTTTCTAATCTCTTCCCCATTTTTGAACAAGCCATGTATGTATTGAGTTCTAAATGCTGTCCTCCACAGAGAGGAACTTCTCACCTTTGGGATTAGGTCTTGTACTGCCCTTAGAATGATCCAACCCTCCCCACACCCGACCCGACCCCTGCCATATTACCAACAGAAACTTCAGGAACATTGGATCCAACTCCCTAACCTACTTTACCAAACCTCCATAGAAATTAACTGGGCATGGACTGACCAGGTGGCTCAGATCTCCACCTTGAGGTCAAACAGCTTTGCTGCCCATGCTGGTGTACCCTCATCCTCCAAGGAAGTCCCCCATGAGGGTGGGCACACACAATCCAGCACATTCACACCGTAAGGCTTCTACAGATACTTCTGCCACTTCTAAACTCCCCAAGTGATCCTTTACCCTCTCTTTTGATCCTGGATTTGTAAAGATAAATGTAAAGATAAAGTTCAATCCTTGGGGTCCTTTTCAGATTTTTTTTTTAAAAGAGATTAAGAGTCTTGCTCTGTTGCCCAGGCTGGAGTGCAGTGGCACCTTCCTAGCTCACTGCAGCTTCTAATTCCCAGGCTCAAGTGATCCTCCCACCTTGGCCTCCCAAGTAGCATGCATCACCATGCCTGGTTAATTTTTATTTTTTGTAGAGATGGTTCTTGCTATGTTACTCATGCTGGTCTCAAATTCTTGGCCCCAACTGATCCTCCTGCCTTGGTCTCCCAAAGTGCTGAGATTACAGGCATGAACCACTGTGCCTGGTCAATTTTCAGATGTAACTACCTACAAATAGCTAAAAGTAATAATAAGTCAGTATAGTCAGTCATCCAGGCTTGGGGGCTAAGTAAGTACTAAATGCCATTTACTGCTGCTAGCCGGAGACCTTGTGTGCTGGTGGTATGAATTTTAGATACATTTTATTAACAATATTATTATATGTATAAAACACTTAGCTTTAAAAAAAAAAAAAAAGATCCTTGCTGGGTGCGGTGGCTCACGCCTGTAATCCCAGCACTTTAGGAGGCTGAGGTAGGTGGATCACAGGATCAGGAGATTGAGACCATCCTGGCTAACACGGTGAAACCCCGTCTCTACTAAAAATACAAAAAAATTAGCCAGGCATGGTGGCGGGTGCCTGTAGTCCCAGCTACTCGGGAGGCTGAGGCAGGAGAATCGCTTGAACCCGGGGAGGCAGAGGTTGCAGTGAGCCAAGATCGCGCCATTGCACTCCAGCCTGGGTGACAAGAGCAAAACTCTGTCTCAAAAAAAAAAAAAAGTTAAAACTTGTAGAATGGTGGTGGTTATAAAGGTAGTAGTCAAGATCAACAAGATTAGTGTAAATACCCTAAGTGGATCACTAATCCATCTACCCATCAGATACCACCCCCTCAGATGCCAGGGATACAAAGATGAGTAAGACACAGTCTCTGATCTGAGTTATGAGACAAAGTGATGAGAAGCAAGTAGAAGCCCAGGCAGCATGGAGGAGGTGCCACTAAATCTGCACAGAAAGACCTCACAGAAGAGGTAACGACTGCCACAAAGTGTATAACTGGCCTACTGTGTGAATATCCTTCCAATAAACAAGGGTTAAATCTATTTTCCAAAGGCCCAGCCCAAGTGGGCATTTGAAAGCAAAGGAGGCTATGGAGATGGCAAGAACACACAAGAAGTAAATAATCTCGGCTGGGTGCGGTGGCACACGCCTGTAATCCCAGCACTTTGGGAGGCCGAGGCGGGCGGATCACGAGGTCAGGAGATGGAGACCATCCTGGCTAACGGTGAAACCCCATCTCTACTAAAAACACAAAAAATTAGCTGGGCGTGGTGGTGGGCGCCTGTGTCCCAGCTACTTGGGAGGCTGAGGCAGGAGAATGGCGTGAACCTGGGAGGTGGAGATTGCAGTAACCCAAGATCGTGCCACTGCACTCCAGCCAGAAGGACAGAGTGAGACTCTGTCTCAAAAAAAAAAAAAAAAAAAAAAAAGTAAATACATCTCCATTCTCTTTATACATCCTTCGTCTCCCTTCTTGGTGGTGGCAATGTTTTCCCTCATCTCCTCCCCAAGAGGCTCTGAGTCTCTAGCTCAAGGAAAATTCTCATACATAAAGAGACTTCTTCCTCGTATTTTGACTTTTCAGTTAGTATGACTCATCCATCTCAGCCAAGATGGGAATTACTGTTAATGCCACACTGTCACGGAACGCTACAACTGGAAGGGACCACAGGAATCACCCAGACAGCCCCTCTTGTTTTGCAAATAAGGGAACAGGTCTAAAGGGTGAGATCATTTGTGCAGGGTCAGAGGTCAAAGGATTATCAAACTACTAAGGGTCTACTTTTCTAATTTTACAACTCTTGCCAAGTTATTTGGCAGAGGGAAAAGATCTTTGCTTCACCTTAATTCTTTTTAAATTAGCATCTCTTGCTCTTGTCTGCTGGCCTCACAGGTACCTAACAGCTTCTATTACACCTGGTGTTTGCATACTTCATGGTTTACAGGAGTGTTCATGGGTGCTATCTCATTTGAGCCTCACTACAGTAGCATGAGGGAGTTGGGCCAGGTATTGTAGTCTTTTTTTTTTTTGAGACAGAGTCTCACTCTGTTGCCTAGGCTGGAGTGCAGTGGCACAATCTCAGCTCACTGCAACCTCCACCTCCTGGGTTGAAGTGATTCTCCTGCCTCAGCCTCCCGAGTAGTTGGGATTACAGGCACCTGCCACCATGCCCAGCTAATTTTTGTATTTTTAGTAGGGATGGGGTTTTGCCATGTTGGCCAAGCTGGTCTCGAACTCCTGACCTCAGATGATCTGCCTGCCTCAGCCTCCCAAAGTGCTGGGATTACAGGCATGAGCCACTGCGTCCAGCCTGTAATCTTCATTTCTAGATGAACACGTTGAGGCTTCGGGGATTAAGCAACCTGCCCCAAATCACATATTCACCAAGTAGCAGAGGCAGGACTCCAGTCCAGACCTTCTGACCTTGAGCCTGGGAAGCTTGTCCACTGCTCCTTGGTGTTCACACCACAACAGACACGTTCTGGAAACCACTTTAGCCCTGTGCCTTCTCCCAAGGCAGGAAACTAAGAGTTAAAGGTCTGCCCTCTGGACACTCAGACTTGCCTGCCCCATACGACTTAACAGGCAAATCAGGCCAACGTAACTTGCCTAAAGAGAGCTTAGCATTGAAATCAGGACAACTCCCTTGCATAGGGAGAGTTTTGCATTGAAATCAGTCTTCCCATAAAGCCAGTAATTACCCCATACTTTGTATGTCTTACAGGATTTTCTTACTATGGTCTGACTAAACTCATTTAGGGCATGAAAATGGCTTTTTAAAAATAGATACCAGGTGTACATGGTATAAGATTTAAAAGTTGCAAAAGTAATTTCCCAGTTACCCTCCTCCAAGGCAATCACTAGTATCAGGTTTTTTTTTGTTTTCTTAGGAAGCCATTAAATACACACAATCGCATATAAGCATAGTATCCCACACTCATTTAATATATTTTGGAGATGGTTCTACATCAGGGCACAGAGTTGTAAGTTGTCCCTTTTTCTTTTTTTTCTTTTTTTCTAAGATAGGGTCTTGTTCTGTTGCCCAGGCTGGAGTGCAGTGGCAGAATCACAGCTCACTGCAGCCTCAACCTCCTGGGCTCAAGCAATCTTCCCACCTCAGCCTCCTGAATAGCTGAGATTACAGGCATGTGCCACTATGCCTGGCTAATATTTTACTTTTTTTTTTTTTTTTTTGTACAGACAGGGTCTCACTATGTTGCCCAGGCTGGTCTCAAGCAATCCTCCGGCTTCAGCCTCCCAAGGTGCTGGGATTACAGGCGTGAGCCACTGCACCCAGACTTTGCCTCACTATTTTTAATGACTGGACATTATTTCATTACACAGATGTACTGAAACAGTATTACTTAATAACATAATTATTTAATCAGTCCCCCATCTGACTTTTGTTTCTTTTTGCCATTACAAATATTGCTATAATGAATATCCTTGTATATAAATCATTTCATAAATGTGTGAGGGTATCCCTAAGATAAATACTTAAAAGTGGAGTTGCTGGGTCAAAGAGTATATACTGCCAAATAGCCCTACATAGAGACTGTACCTTTTACACTCGCACCAGCAGTGTGAGCGTGCATTTCCCCATGCCTTTCCCAACTCATGTGTCCTTCACACCTTGTATCATATTGGCACAGGGTACCCACTCAATAAATACACATTAACTGCTTATACAAGGCCTCCTACATTAATTCCAGGATCATTTCAAAATTGGGCCCTTCCCACTATCTCTTAACAATAAAATTGAGGCCAAAGAAAGGAATAAAGGCCGGGCGCCGTGGCTCAAGCCTGTAATCCCAGCACTTTGGGAGGCCGAGGCAGGTGGATCGTAAGGTCAGGAGTTCAAGACCAGCCTGGCCAACATGGTGAAACCCTGTCTCTACTAAAAATACAAAAAATTAGCCGGGCGTGGTAGCGGGAGCCTATAATCTCAGCTACTCCAGAGGCTGAGGCAAGAGAATCGCTTGAACCCAGGAGGCGGAGGTTATGGTGACCCAAGATCGCTCCAAGCCGAGATCGTGCCATTGCACTCCAACCTGGGCAACAAGAGCAAAACTCTGCCCCACCCCGCAAAAAAAAAAAAAAAAAAGAAAAAAGAATAAACTTCCACTCCAGAAGTGTCAGCCAGCAAACAGCATTTCTTTAACCACTGGTGTGTGCCTAGCCATGCTCCAGCCAAGCTAATTTTCATTTGTGCCTTTGGAACTGGCAGCACATTTTGTAGGGGCAAGGAATGCAGAGGCTGGGGTACCCGCAGATAAGACCGAGGCTGGGCAAAGTCTCAGGAACACTCAAACGTGACAGGCAAAATCAGTAAGCTCAGCCTTTCTAATAGACAAGGCAGACTTGAAAAAGCAAGTCCAGCCAGGTTGACCCATCTACCGGCTCCTTAAAGATGTATCACTCAGGAACAGGTGTTTACTGGCCACTAAACTACATTTAGAACAACCAACTGACTAAGGAGAGCTGACAGTGATCGTGGAGACCGCAGTTCAAACCCCAGGTTTATAAATGAGGATCCTGAGGCCTGAGATGCTAAATGGGCAACTGGCCCCAGGTCTGACCTAACTGAGCAGAATCCAGGGGTGGGTGGTTGTCACCTGGTCAACCTAACACAAATTAGATTTCAAGCTAGACTTTCCTACTGCAATTTCTATCACTTAAAAATTCATTAAATATTAGGAATTACTTTGGAAACTGACCCTTAGAGAACTGTTGTGTGCTATTCAAGTCTGTAACCAAATTAATGGCCTATGAAATTGTTATGAGAAAATTGCCCAATGTCTGACCTGTACTCTGTTTCTTTTTTTTTTGAGACAGAGTTTCACTCTTGTTGCCCAGGCTGGAGTGCAATGGCGTGATCTCAGCTCACCGCAACCGCCGCCTCCCGGGTTCAAGCGATTCTCTTGCCTCAGCCTCCCAAGTAGCTTGGATTACAGGCATGCGCCACCATGCCTGGCCAATTTTGCATTTTTAGTAGAGACAGGGTTTCTCCATGTTGGTCAGGCTGGTCTCGATCTCCTCACCTTAGGTGATCCGCCTGCCTGGGCCTCCCAAAGTGCTGGCATTACAGGCATGAGCCACCGCCTCTGGCCTCTGTACTCTTTTTTTTATTTTTCAGAGGACTTTCCTTCTCCAACCCACAAGCTCTGAATATTGTGTGGTTCTGTAAGACTGTGCCTTTGCTCTCAATACTATAGGAATAAGAGCCTCCCAGTTCTCAGCCCTTTCAGGCAGATCATGTCCCCTGCCCAGCCTCCAGCATTACATTATCAAGCGCAAACCTGGCTCAAAATTAGCGTGGGCCCCTAAAAACTGCCAAAACAGGCATGATGGCTCACACCTGTTATCCCAGCACTTTGGGGGACCAAGGTAGGAGGACCACTTGAGCCCAGGAGTTTTGATATCAGCCTGGCCAACATGGAAGACGCAGTCTCTACAAAAGAGAAAAAAAAAAATAGCCAGGCGTGGTGGCGCGTACCTGTGGCCCCGGCTACTCAGAAGGTTGAGGCATGAGGATCCTGGAGCCCAGGAGGTTGAGGCTGCAGTGAACCATGTTTCTGCCACTATACTACAGCCTAGGCCACAGCAATACCCGGTCTCCATAAATAAATAAATAAATAAATAAATAAATAAGGCATTTTCTTCACTCCGGATCTGGTAGAAGTTCTCTGCAGCTCTGATGTCTGCTATGTTTCCAAGTAAAACCAGGATCCAAGGCAAAGGCTATAAAGCCACTGGGATCCAGTCCCCATCTGGGAGGAGGTCAGTCATTTTATTGTAGCCTCTGGCCTTGGTCTTATCACTTGCAAAATGTTGGAGCTGGATTAGGTGACCCCCAAGATCCTTTCCTCTAAATACCTCTGATTCTATGAAGTCCATAAGTCTGAAAATAATGATTTTTTTTAAATAGGCTACTTGCAGCTAAAGCAGCACTAATAGAAATATAATGCAATCCACATGGGTAATTTTAAATTTTTTAGTAGCCTAGCCTCACCAACAAAAAAATAAACAAGTGAATTTAATTTTAACAATATATTTATTTAACCCAATATATCCAAAATTATTTTAACATGCAACCAAAATAAGAAAATTATTAACGAGGTGACAAAACACAATACACACTACAAGAAATCTTACCCAGCATGGTAACACGAAATGTAGTCTTGCCAACACTACAAGGTATATTTAACAGAAAAATATTTTATACTATTTCTGTTTTAAAATTTAAATCAAAATTTAACGAAATTAAAAATTCAGTTCCTTGGTTGCATGAGCCAAATTTCAAGCATGAGGGACAGTGCAGTATAAACCTACAATGTGGTCCTCCACACTCCTTAGGGGTGACTTTGACGGAACCAAACTCTTCGGTTTTGCAAATTACCTCCTAAAGATACACTGAAATCAATGGGAAAATTCACCCTTCCAAAATACCTGAGACAGTATTTGTACTGTTAGCAATTATTTGTAAAAGCTACTCAATAACCTGAAAGAACTGGTGTGAGTCTGAATTACTAGGAAGGCTCATGATGGCTAAATGGATCATTTTGATGTTATTCAACAATGTTATGGTGCAGATGCTATTCAATTACCATGATTATTGCAAAGGTCATCTGAAGAATGGATAGAAGTGAGAGGCCTTAGGTGCTGGGAGGGTACTACCTGTTCCAACTAAGGATATAAATTAACCCGGAGTTCAGAAATTGTATTTCAACTGCTTTCACATGTATGAACCCACTAAATAATTATGTTGGGGTAGTGTTTACCTGGTAAGCTTTCATATTAAGATCTGAGAATGAAAGATCTCAGTGTCAAGATTCTAAGCCCAGATAAAGACAAGTATGATATAGTCTAAGTAGTAACATAATGGCCACCATTTATCTTGTACTTTCTATGTGCTCAACACTCTTCCAACCACTTGTCCCCATGACCTCCTTCATATGCACACCAATCCACCCAGGTGGGTAGTAGTATGATCATTACCATTTTGGAGTAAGGAAACAAAAACAGAGAGGTTAAGTACTTTTGCCTGAAGACATCGCCCCATCTGATAAATGGTGACAGTGAGATCCAACTCAGGTTTATCTTAAAGAACCAGAGTTCCTATCCACTCGAGGCTTCCTCAGGGAGGCTGCACAGTGCGATGTGCTTAGGAAGCCAGGGGGTGCCAGGTGGGGCCTCTGCTGCTACCTAGCTGCGTGGGTAACTGTGGCCTAGCCACCGAACCTCCCTGTGCTGTTCCTGCAATGGAAGGCCAAGATGATACCAGCCCTTACGGAAAAGTTTTCCATATGAAAAACAAAGGATGTAAATGCCCCTTAAAAATATCGGACAACCCAAGGATGTCCAAGGATGAGGTATTAGTACTATTAATAAATTCAGCTCCTGTTGCAAATGCCAAATGACCATGAGAAGCATCTACCTTTTAGGGTTCTGGGTCTAACCAGTAAATAAAAGAATAGAAGATGAGGCCATTACTTGTTTATGTATCAGCTGTGCATGGCAACAACAAAGGTGGTAAAAATGTAAAACGTTCGGCTGTCATCTCCCTCAAGGGTCTTAGATTTTCTTTCCCTTCACAGCTCTGGCCAAATTTAGTTGGGGTAGTTATTACAAAAGAAGTGTCTTAAAGCCTTTAAAGGGTTACGAAGATGGCAAAAGGACAAAGCCACCCAGGCCAGCTCAGTTCCTGTTTGGATTTAGCCTTCCACTGATGCATTCCCACTTTCTACAAACTCTCTCTGTCCCTAGACCTTGCCTATGGACACTGGGTTTCTAGGCCCAGAACCTCAGAGTAAGAAATGCTGCCACAAGTGAAGGGCTGAGTCTGGAAAGGAATCCTATGAGATGGTTTAACAATCCTCATAAGTACAAGGAATCCAGCAGACAGGCTGGAGGGTCTTCCAGAGGAGCCGGGGCAACGTGTGGGGCCTCTGCCATTCTAGGGCACACACCAGGCCTGCTATGGGGTTGGTTTTCTGTCTCAGAAGACCTCAGTCTCCACAACAACCAGGACCTCACACAAGGACAAGAAGACCAAGGAGAATGAGAGGTTTATAGCAAACAGCAAAAAAGGGCGTGAGTGTTTACACTGGAACTCGAGGGATTTTTGCCAGGCGTGGTGGCTCATGCCTGTAATCCCAGCACTTTGGGAGGCCGAGGTGGGCGGATCACGAGGTCAGGAGTTCGAGACCATCCTGGCTAACACGGTGAAACTCCGTCTCTACTAAAAATACAAAAAAATTAGCCAGGCGTGGTGGCCCGTGCCTGTAGTCCCAGCTACTCAGGAGGCTGAGGCAGAAGAATGGCGTGAACCCGGGAGGCGGAGCTTGCAGTGAGCCGAGATCACACCAGTCCAGCCTGGGCGACAGAGTGAGACTCTGTCTCAAAAAAAAAAAAAAAAAGGGATTTTTTTCAAGAAGAAATGGAATGATGAAAATGATCACAACCACCATTTGCTGAAGGTGTGCCATGTGCTATTTCCTGTGCCCAGTTCACTTTGTTAATTCTAGGAAGATGATGTCACAGTAACATCAATCTAAAGATGATGAAACGGAAACACACCCTATTGTGAAATCTAATGACATAACCTCTCTTTGCCTCAGTTCTTCACCTACAAAACAGGAAGAATACTCCTCACCTCACAGGGCGTAGTAAGGATTGCAAAGGGCAGAAGAGTTTGTCAGAGCACTTTGTACCGTGCCCAGTGTTGCAGAGAGTCCAACGGACTGCAGCTGTTGTTAACAGCATTGCTAGATGTCCACATCTGTCTGCTTGGGGCTCACAGGAAAAGCTCATAGGAGAGAAAAGAGAGGAAATTGTTTTTTCTTGTCTTGGGCAAATATTGCTAATCATTGTAATTGGAAGCAAGGATCAGACTGTTAGAATTTACTAAAAATAGTAAATCAATCTAAGAGAGGGGCAAAAAGAGAGAAACTCTCTCTGTGCCACCTTGAGGAAGAAATGAATCCATTCTTTAAGCAAAATGGCAACTTCTGGCTAGTTTTTCCTCCCCTTTCATCAGTGACCACACTGGTGGATGAGTATTTTTAAAGCACAGGAACAGCGGAGCATGCAAGCTTGAGCACAATCCACTTCCCTCCTTAAAAACGGAGGCTCTAAAAAGTTATTTTTACATGTCTAACAAGGATACAATTTAGAGTTACAATGACAGATCCTCAATCTGTGTGCTGATGTCAAACCAACTAAGCCGTCACAACAATGCTCAGACCTACACCTTGGCAGGAGCCCGCTCACCATCTCCCTGCCTCCAACCTGTCCATCTTCCAATTCACCTGCCACAGTAACTTCCTATCCACATCCAGTTTACCTGCCCTGCCCTTTCCAGAATCTTCTTCCATGGTTTCCAGATGCCCTGTACAAACTTGAAACAGTGCACATGAGCACTGAAGGCCCTCTATGGCAACCCCCAAGTTAACCTTGTCAGCCCCACTGGCCCAATAGTCTGTCATAGTCCAGCTCATATCTGCACCATTGCTTGGGCTTCCAGCTGAAGCCTGAACCAAACAAAATCTACCTGCTTAAAAGAAAAGTCTAGTTAAAATGGCAGTTCCTCCAGGATATCCTCTCTGAGCACCCCAGTTAGAAGTCACATTTTCTCATCTGCACTGTCACAGCATTGTCATGTATCACAGACTAGTTTATATTAAATATCAAGCTCCTAGAGGGCAGTTAATGGACTCACCCTCAAACTGACTGAGCAACTATTACGTAAGCACCAGGCATGGCGCTAGACATCAGAATTACACAAAAGATTAAAATACAGTCTTAGAGGAACTCATATCCTAAGCAGAGGAGACACAGAGGAGCAATTTGAAAAACAAATGTCCCTCAAGGGGGATACGTGCTGCATTATCTTGGAAGATTAAAACAGCTTCATGCCCTGAAAGATTCCTAGGGTGTGTAGATACCTAATAAATATTTGCGGAATGAGTACGTGTATATTATTTAGACTAACAATTCAGTATTTTCATTGTCTACCTAAGATATATGGGGTTAGAGTTCAAATTACTTAAGTAACAAAGATACCATGTTTTATATCATATATGTCCCAACTACTAGTCATAGAAAAATTATTTAACATCATTCCCATTAACAATACTTCTAAATTATTTCTTGGATATGCTACCGGAAATAAAGTACGATATCTTAAGAACTATTAACACTCACCCCTTCAAATAAACAATACAATAGATTGTAAGAGAACAAATGTGATAATATCTTCAAATATCCTTTAAAGAATTTTGCAATGTGGACAATATAACAATCAATCAACTGCTGATTAAGTGAATTTTCTTAGCGGATTCTAGTTACTTCCCTCAGGCTGATGGTCAGAAAAAGGATGAGAAGTGGGCAAACTTACTTTCCCCCCTTTACTCTCCTATCTCAGTATTCAGACTTCTTCAAAAAGTGCCCAGCAGAAAAGGTGGCTAAGCCCCAGAGAGATATGACATATATGATTTTAACTTCATCTCCTTGAAAATTAAAATAGTAACAATGTTTAGTTTATCCTTTTGTTACCAATTCCTTGCAGCTGTAGGTCCGAGAAATGGCCAACTTCAGCAGTAACAATTACCATATTAAATGTTGCTCTGTGTGAAGGGATCTGGACAAGTCACTCTACCTGCATAAATAAAATATACCCAGACTCTACCTTTGTGGCACTTTCATTATATTCGATGACCTCTGTCCCATCACCTGCTTCAGGTTAGGATAAAAGGTATAAACAAGCTGCCACCTGGTGAGATGGCAGGCTTCCCTACAAAAAACAAGAAAGTAATATTCTGCCATTTCCTAAGAACAAGCAGCAATGTCCTGGCTTCAAATGGTCTCTAGAAGTCCATGCACCACCGTGCTTCCACTGGGGCGGTTGTATCACCCAGGAGCATTAGGAATTGTATGGAGGTGGGGTGGGGCACTTTCTGCTTGTCACAGCGATCCGTGGAACAGGACTCTGCTCCAAAGAGAAGTCCAGCCCCATGCGTCAACAGCGCCCCCACTGGTCCACATGGAAGGAACTCCTTAAGTAGCGACACTGTCCTATCAATCTTTATAAAGGAGTCCCTCATTCTTTAGCAGCTGACAGAATGTCTGTAGGTCATTAGACAATGAAAAAAGAAAGAAGAGAGGGAAGGAGTAAAACAAGCAGAGAATAGGGATTATGGACAGTCAAAATCCCAGTTCTGCTACCTGCAAGCAGTGTTGTCCTGGCCAAATGGCTTAACCTCTTTGAAAATATTCATTACTTTTCCCTTTTCTTCCCCATAATCTTGCCAGTTCTGTCTGTATTCAGATGTCTCCTAACTCCAAAGTCTGGCTCTTTTCACACCATAGGAAGTGAGCTGGTAACATGAATGAAGATGAAAGACTAATTGTTTCCTCAGTCTCCATTACTGCACAATTTACAGCACAATTGTACTGTTATCAAGTGAACTTTGGAAACCTGTAGCACAGAGCAAGAGCCGCATACTCCCGGGGACCCAGACTTCCAAGAGTCCTGCAGAGGCAGAAGGGAGGGAGATGAATGAGCTTCTATCTAGGCGAGTCATGTCTACCCGCATCTCTCTGAGGAGGAAAGACTTTACTTCTCAGGATCAACGAGAAGAGATATGAGCTTCCCCCAACTTTTCTTAAGATACATTCCCCCTCCTTCCTGATCCTCCCACCAAGGGTGGCCCCTGGATCACAGTTTGGAAGTCACTGCCCTAAGGATTTCACCAAACAGGCAGTGTGGTAAAGAAGTTTCTAACAGAGGGTGAAGTGCTGTCTCTGGAGGATAAGATACAACCTGCACCCACAGGATGATTCTCATTCTTGGTTCTGGTCTCTGCTTGGGAACCAGCAGGAGAAGAACATGTGGGTTGGCGAGTGGGGGCACTGCAGCTGACACAAAGTAAACCAGCCCTGTTCCAGTCCACTAGGGTTGATTTTTCTTTTTTTCATTGAGACATGATCTTACTCTGTTGCCTGGGCTGGAGTACAGTGGCATGATTATGGCTCACTGCACCTTCAAACTCCTGGGCTCAAGCTATTCTTCCACCTTAGCCTCCCAAATAGCTACAATTGCAGGTGTGCACCACTGGATCCAGCTAATTTTTTTAATTTTTTGAGGAGACAGTGTCTCAATATGTTGCCCAGGCTCATCTCAAACTCCTGGTCTCTAGTGATCCTCCCACCTTGACTTCCCAAAGTGTTGGGATTACTGGTGTGAGCCACTGCACCTGGCCTACGGTTGTTTTTTCTATGTGTATTTTAATTATGTCTCATTGAGAATCATCAAGAATAAAAATAACTTGAAAAATTGGCAAGTTTTCCTATTGCAAGTAAAAAACTCTCATTTTTTAAGGAAAATGAGAGTTTTTTACTTGCCAGAGGAAGTCACTACCAGGAATTTTAATGGTTAAAAAAATTATTTTCTTTTTGCGAAATATTCATGGTTCTTCAACACTCTCTAGACACAACAGCAAGGCTCCCTGGCCCCAGTACTGCAAAACAAACCAAAAAAAAAGTACAGGTCCTTAGTCAGCCCTCAAACACCTCAAGAAGAGGTATATAATTCCATCATGCATCATACCTCTGTGCCTGTTACCTTCACAAAAGGCAACAAAGAACTATAGTCATTCTTCCCTCTATTCTAGTCCCTCAGGCAGGGAATAGGTTGGGTTTTACATCCATGTGCAGTATTATAATTTTATGCGGAAGCAGAGCAGACAAGAGATTGTCAGGTCTGAAATAAAGCAAAATTCTATATGCCTTAACAGTGGGCCCCCTAAATACACAGTCAATATTGTCCTCATATTAAGGTCATTTCTTTCACACAGACATTGAAGGTACTAATCTACTCTGAATGTCAGCTACATTCTTGCAAAAAAAAAAAAAAAAAAAAAGGAAAGGACATTGAATGAGAAAATGCAAGAAGTGTATGTTGCATAGAGCCTAAATCTTAACTGAAGTCCTTCTGTTTTGAGGTACTTGAATCACATTATGTACACCATTCAATACGAAACTCCTAAGTAAAATAACAGGATACCATTTTCAAAATCTTAAAGCAACAAACTACTGATGACTAGAATTAGAAAAGCATGCTTCCAGAAAGGTGACTAAATACACCCCCCCAACACAAAGGGGCAACGGTCAAAGACAAGACTGGAATTGGGCCTTGCGAGCTCTGCCTGGCAACCTTGGCTGTGGAGGCCACAGTGGACAGAGTTACCCACTCTCTTCTGGGCTTGTTCCCACCATCTGTGGGGTGGGTGTATAGGGCTGGGGCTAAGCCAGCTTCAGAAGCCCCCCAACCACCACCACACCATCAAGTCTCTCAAGTGGGACTGCTGTGCTGTGGCACGCACACCCACACACAAGTTGCCAACAGTTTGGAAGTTAGCCCCAGTTTCCAAATATGTCAACCCAAAAGCCATTCAGGTAAATATAAGTGGGAGCCACTACAAAGTGGGACTTTATCAGGCAGATACAGAGAACCAAAAAATGAAGTTGCTGAAAGCTGCTGTGGAGATTTAAGTCTTTTGTTTTTAACGGAGGAAGATAATGAGGCCCAGGAACACAGCTTCCTAGAGTAAGACAGTGTTCCGTCCTGGCCTCCAGGATGTTCAACACCTATCCCAAGCTTCTGAGCATTCTGTCCTCACTGGCTTCTCTCAGTGCTATTTCCAAATAATCTAGATTGCAAGTTATCACAGGCCACATTCCTGAAAAAACACAGAGCAATCCTGCTGACCCACTTCAGGGAAGCCCTTTCATAACAAAGTTACCCAAATCTTCTGGAGGGGTTTAATGAGCCCAGGTTATATATATTTAGTGAGTTTCAAACACTCGCCAGGCACTTTGAAACACAGTTCCTGAATGTAGGTGTTAACTGTAAGGCTGTGAAGGGCAATGATCAAAGACAAAAGCACTTGCTTTCATGATTTAAATAAGACATCCTAACCAGATTTTCTAAATCACTATATACTTCAATGGATACCAAGCACTGAGGTGGGTCCCCTAGGGCAGGGGTCCCCACCTGCTGGCTGCGGAGGGGTCAGTGGCCCATTAGGAACCAGGCCGCACAGCAGGAGGTGAGCAGTAGGCGAGCATTCCCGCCTGAGCTCCACCTCCTGTCAGATTAGCAGCAGCATTAGTTTATCAGAGAAGCCGGAACCCTGTTGTAAACTGAGTATGCAAGGGATGTAGGTTGCCAGCTCCTTAGGACAATCTAATGCCTGATGATCTGAGGTGGAACAGTTTCATCCTGAAACCATCCTCTACCTCCTTCTATGGAAAAACTGTCTTCCACAAAACTAGTCCCTGGTGCTAAAAAGGTTGTGGACTGCTGCCCTAGGGCACTGGCTCTCAAACCTGACTGCTCGTTAGAATCCCCTCAGAATCTTTAAAAAATAGTGATGCCTGGGCCCCACCCCCAGAGATTTTGATTTCATGAGGGATATGGCCTGGGCATTAGTTTTTTAAATACTGATGGTGAGTCTAATATACAACAGTTTGAGAACCACTGCTGTAAGAAACAAACAGAAACATAAAAAGTGGAAACAACTCAAATGATCATCAACTGGATAAATAAAATGTGGTATAGCCATACAATGGAATAGTATGCAGCCATAAAAAGGAATGACGCTATTGATATACGTTGCAACATTTTTAAACCTTGAAAACATATTGCTGTGAAAGAAGCCAGCAACAGAAGGATAAATACTGTATGATTCCATTTACATGCTATTCCATTTACATGATATGTCCAGAATAGGCAAATCCATAGGTACAGAAAATAACTGAGTAGTTACCAGGGGCCAGGAGAGTTGAGGGGAAATGGGAAGTGACTGCTAATGGATATGGGGTTTCTTTTGAGGGTGTTGAAAATTGATTACAGTGATGGTTGCATAACTCTATGAATAAACTACTAAATTCATAGGGTTGCATAACCCTGAATTAGATTAAATGGGTAAATTGTAAGGTACGTAAATTGTATCTTACTTTAAAATACATATATATCTATAAATTCTATCTACTATAGAGGAAAAAAAAACAGATACATAAGTAAGACAAGTATCAACAGAGATTTAAAATGCCATTAGAGAGGATCACCTAAGTAATACAGAAGGTAAACACTATAAACTCAGAGGAGGCATCAAAGCCTAAGTGATCCATATTTTTCTTTTCTTACTCATTTTTCTTCTCTGATTTGAAAAAGCAATAGAGTTCAGAGCTTGTCAGTGTACAGCTGATAATACAGGCCCTAAAGTCTCAGTTCTCACCTTATTTGGAATGGCTATTTAGCATTGTCTTAGAATTAAAAACAAATATTCAGAATACAGGCTGTTGATGGACTGTAATGACTCTCAAGAGTCAATTATCAACAGAGCCTTTGAAAGATGGACTTGGAGGTCAGGCGCAGTGGCTCACGCCTATAATCCCAGCACTTTCGGAGACCAAGGTGGGCACATCACCTGAGGTCGGGATCAGCCTGGCCAACATAGTGAAACTCCATCTCTACTAAAAATACAAAAATTAACCGGGCGTGGCGGCACACACTTGTAATCCCAGCTACTTGGGAGGCTGAGGCAGGAGAATCGCTTGAACTCGGGAGGTGGAGGGTGCAGTGAGCCCAGACTGTACCAATGCACTCCAGCCTGGGTGACCGACTGAGACTCTGTCTCAAAAAAAAAAGACGAACTTGGTGCTGTAAGTCCTACTTATGCCCTGGACTTGTCTTTACTAGTACCAGCAGTTTGGACCAAATAAACTTACATGCTCAAATACACAAAAAGACTTTTAAATACCAGGATTTGCAACACACAGGTATTATAGTACATATGCCGTAAAAACGAATGATTAAACGTGCCTCCCCTACTCAAAGTTCTTAATATACTTAATAATCATAGTTAAGAGTTATTTATTATGGCAGAAACTGACACACAGAAGGCTCAAACTTTAGGTAGCACAGGATTTTGTTTAACAGTCTTGTTTTCATGTCTAGGGTATAGTCTGGTACAAGAAATCCATCTAGGCCAGGCGCGGTGGCTTAAGCTTGTAATCCCAGCACTTTGGGAGGCTGAGGCAGGCGGATCATGAGGTCAGGAGATCGAGATCATCCTGGCTAACACAGTGAAACCCCATCTCTACTAAAAATACAAAAAATTAGCCAGGCGTGGTGGCGGGTGCCTGTAGTACCAGCTACTCGGGAGGCTGGGGCAGGAGAATGGCGTGAACCCGGGAGGTGGAGCTTGCAGTGAGCGGAGATCATGCCACTGCACTCCAGCCTGGGCGACAGAGCAAGACTGCGTCTCAAAAAAAAAAGCCATCTGTATTTCTCCAAGTTTCTGAATGTTAATATTTAATATTATACACTTGAACATATTTTTGCTTTCATTTACAGAAAACATACCATTAGCAATTGAATAAATCTTGGCCTATACCTTAAAGCCCTTTTAATAAATGTTTGTTGGCGCTTATTTAAAAGCAGGTAGCAGTGAAATTTCAATAGCTCCTAGAAATTAGATGATCAAAGAATAAACTCTATTCTCTATTTGTGGCAAACTTATAATGAATATACATTTCTACAGTCAGAGATGAAGACAAGCAGGTTAAAAATGACATCTAGTAAACTTGTCCTCCTCTACCCTGCTGTGCAACATATTTCAGTCAACTTTCAGAAAGTGGCTGGACCAAGCATTTAAATGCCCTGAGGTTGACCTGGACCAACTTTTAGGCAAATCATCCATCAGATCCTATAAGTCCTGCAGCACACTTAATTCAGACAAATAAGACAATAATTCCAAAAACAACTTAACAATAAGGACTAAGAAAGTGTTTAATTTTGAGATGTACTATTCTCAAAGACCCAAGTAAGCTTCAACTAGATAAGAGTTGAGCCCTTATGCTTGCTATAGTTCAGAAGTGCCAAAACATGAGATTAGGGTTGAATTTGCGCCATCAGCTTTCTGCTAGCTGTTTTCAACTCAAATTTTCCCCATTCTGCTCTCTTTCCTTCAGCCTGGTTTAACCCTGTCTGTCACACTCTTCACCATATTCTTACTACCAAACTTATTTTTGAGCACTACTTCAAAACAAAAAGAGCCAATGGAACAGAAGAAATGTACCAAGTAGCAAGGCAAACAAAGGCAAAGACTCCAGTAGCTAAGAGATTTAATTAAGAAAAAAGGCAGTTTCTGAAAAATGTGAGGCAGAATCTTGGACATTGCCAAACATCAGAAATTTTTAAAACTATTATTATATTAAGAAACAGACTGGCGCAGTGGCTCACACCTGTAATCCCAACACTTTGGGAGGCCGAGGCGGGTGGATCACCTGAGGTCAGGAGTTCGAGACCAGCCCAGCCTGGCCAACATGGTAAAACCCCATCTCTACTAAAAATACAAAAATTAGCCGGGCAGTGGGTGCCTATAATCCCAGCTACTCGGGAGGCTGAAGCAGGAGAATCACTTGAACCCGGGAAGTAGAGGCTGCAGTGAGCCAAGATCAGGCCACTGCATTCCAGCCTGGGCAACAGAACAAGACTTCATCTCAAAAAAAAAAAAAAACAAAAAACAAAAAACAGTCCTGCCTTTCTAAATTGAATCCACCGAGGCCTCTGTGTCTTCCTTAAAAGGACCACAGTGGGTACCATTGATGGATTGTATTCACTCTCCCTGTATTTAACAAGGTCCACCTCCCCACGTCACATACAGTGATTAAATGTCTTGCTAAATGGAAAAGCTGCAGACATTAATCTTTTATATTCCGGCCTCTCCTTCCCCCAGAATAGGCAAATCTCAACTTACCCACTTTTTAAAGTGTGAGCTTTTCTTCCTATTTAGAGTTTAAGGAGTTTTGGTACAGTCTGGAAGTGGTGATTAGAAGCCCCCAGGAGTCAAACCTGTTTGAATGCTACCTTGGCCACTCAATAGTATGGTCACCTTAGCAGGTCCTGGCCTTTCTCTATGCCTCTCTCCTAACCTTTCCTAACCTAATGCCTGATCTAACTATTATGCCTGGTTTTCCCAACCTGGAAACCAGGGATAATAATATTTCCCGTGAGGTTACTGTAAAATTATGCATGTGAAGCAATTATGTCTGGCACCCAGGGACGTGCCCAGTAACTTATCTATTATTATCTTAGTGCCAAATTCTTCCTGCATACTGAAAAGTTAACCCAGGCTTGAGGAACAGTTAAGGAGGAAATATTGACACAAAACCCCCTTTAAATGTCTTCAGTCAGGACAGAGGAAATTCCCAGAAAAAAAAATGTACTTGTTGGGTTCCTTTTTTTCATGCAGCTTTGTTAAACATGATTTATCCTCAATAAAAACAAATATTAAGAAAAATGATGCATTTGGCTTTCAACTTTTCCTGGTAATCCTAAAGACAGAGTCAGTTTTCCCCCCAACATTGCTTATAAGAACCCAGGGCAAGAAAGAAAGATTTCAAAATGGCCCAAGTTATTTTTAATGCGTAAAAGACTGATGTGAGTTATGCATTTATCCTCCTACATGCTGCTTCCACAACCTCTCAAGAGATTTTTCACATATCTAAAAAGTCAAGTTGTTCTTTGCTTAACATTCATTCAGGAGATGAGAGGCCTGTCCTATTTTTCTTTTGTTTGACTTAAAAATAATCTCATCGGTCTATTTCAATATCAACTTCATCCCTCATCTAGGAAAGTGCTTTATCTCTCCAAGACACCCTTGAAAAGAGTAATGGATGGTTCCTTCCACCTAATGGAGATACTGAATCTAAGGCTCTCCTTACTGCCCTGTTTATCAACACATCCTCTGCACAGAAGGTGAAAAACTATATCCTACTACCACTTCACACCTGGAGAGTTTTTTTTGACAAAAGGTCAAGAAAATGTTTGACTCTGTTCAAATCTTTATGGATGACAACAATCTAATATGAATCATAAACAAAATCAATTCTAAATTTTCTTGTTCTTTTTCTGTTTTCAAATATGCAAATCGATGTCTGATTACAAAGGTAGAAAAGCAGTTATTTTTATCAAACGTAATTGGAAAATACACACTTAATGCGGTACATATGTTTCACGCATTTTTGTATAAGGAATGTTATATTACACAGCAAAGAAAGAAAAATTCAAAAATAATAGAGGGCTGTAGACAATTCCGGAAATCAGAAAAACTAAAGTTCATTTTTATCATATATCCTTCAGTCAAACAAGCATTCCTATAGATAACTCTTGAACAGCAGCTATTAAATAAATCGGAAGGTACAATTTAATTCTTCACTAGTTGGAACCAGAAGAATACAATCCCAATGAAGACTGGGGAAAAGTTCAAGACAAACAACTTTAAAGGGGGAAAAAAGCACAATTAATACATTGTCCATAACTTAAAACTTTACAATAGATCTTTGGAATTAACCGAAAACTTTACATTTAACAGCATAAACGTATTTACTGTACATCAAGTACACATTTCCTTGAATTCCAATTTTTTTCCTAAAATTCATTTACAAAAGAAGTTAGAAATATAAATATCTACTTTTAAAGTTTCTACAAAGGATGAGCAGAAACTTCTTTTCACTTTTATAACAATTCACAGAAATTAGCAAGTGTTTTGAAACGCAAGCGTTCCACTCTCTGCCCCTGCAGAAGAGGGGGAACATGTTAAGAAATTGAGGCAAATTCTCAACTGAAAAGGAAACATATATAAAGTACTCAGGGGAGAAATAATAGCTGAAAGCAAAAAATTACTAACAGACTAAAAGCAACAGAAATTCTAATCTACACTCGCAACTCTTACCCTTGACAGCACAGAAGAGAATATCCCGTCTTACACATTTTGGAATTGCAATTCTGAAACGCTAAATCCAAAGACAAAGCCGCTCTGGGGAAAATAGCAATTGCGCAACAGATCAACAGCTCCAACCTGTCCCTTGGCCCTGGCGCGGCGAGGTTTGCACGCTATAAAGCAGGAAAGGGCCAACCGAGGGCTGCTGTGACGGCCAACCGAGCGCTGTCACGGAAGCCAAGGCCACGCGCGCGGTGAGCGCCACCAGGGGGCACCGCGTCCGAACTAGAAGCCCCGGGTGCCGCCGACTCCGGCCTCAGAGTCCACTGCCCTCGCCCGCACTTTCCCGCGGCGTTACGAGGGGCCAACTCCGGGTGCCCGAGCCCGAACCCCTCCCCGGCCGAGAAAGTGCGCGGGGCCCGGCTCAGCCGCCACACGTCGGGGCTTCTGAGCCCGCTGGGCACTTAAGGCGCTCCTCCCTCGTCCCGGGGCTGGGCTTTCAAGAGAGCTCAAGGCTGCCAGAGAGTGATCCGAGAGATGGATGACTTCGCAAAGCCGCGCCCACAGACGGCCCAGCGGGGTGAGCGCGTCGCAGCCCGCACTCAAGGAGGTCTTGGGGCGCGGCGAAGGGGCTCCGGGTCCCAGCCCGAAGGCGACCTCAGTTCCCCCGAGAGCGGCCCCGTGACTAGGCACATTTTTGCCGGCACCGAGGCGGGGGAGCCGCGCAGCCCCGGAAGGGCCGGGCCGCGCCGGCTCAGACGGCCAGCGTCCGCCCCCTCTTGCCCCGCCGCCCACCGGGCCGCTCAAACTTAGGGGCTCCGGAGTCCCAGCTCTCGGGCCCGGGGACGCGGCTGGATTCTCCCCCAAGGCCCACGCGAGCGGGCTCAGTCCCCAGACCTTCCCGCAACTTCCCACCCGTTCGCCCTCGGGCTCGTGGTCGGTCGGATCACCCGGCCGCGTCCCCGCTGCCCCTCCCCGCCCTGCCCCGGCGCAAGCGCGGCGGCTCTACCCAGCGCCGCGGTCCTGGCTCTGGCCAGACGTGGGGGAAGCCGGTTGCGGCTGTCCCTCCCGGGCCGCGGTTCCCTAGCTCCCCCGCCCCCGTCCCGGCACCACCGCAGGGCCCAGAGGGCCGAGGCAGCACCTGCTGGGACGGGAGTCCCGGCGGCGGCAGCTCCAAGTCCATCATGATGAGCTGTGGACCGTGTGTTGGGGCTCCCCGACGGCGGCCCTGTTCCGGCTGCCGAGGCGCGGCGCGGACAGGGCGGCTCTGGTGGCGGCGGCGGCGGCGGTGGCGGCTGCGTCGGCGGCTCCTCCGGGCTCCCCGGCACTCGGTAATCGGCTACACGCCGGCGGGCCCCTGCCCCGCTCCGCCTCCCGCCCCACAAGGGCGGGGCAAGAGTCCGGGCCCTTCCTTCCCCCGCCGGCCGCGCGGGCTGAGCTTCCGAAAATCCCCCACCCGCGCCGGGGCTGACGCAAGAAGCTCGCGGTCCGGGGGCGGGAAGGGACTGCCAGCTGGGGTCCCAGCAGGCGGGGGACCTAGAGGAGGTCTCCGTTAGCTCCCCGGTGCCGGCGTTCAGTTTGCCCTCCCCCGCAAATAAGGGCAGCGCTCTCGCCCGCGAGATAAAGAGTTGTTTGCGAAGGTCGCTGGAGTTCGGACGCTTTGAAACAGTTTAAACAGTTGGAACAAACACACCCGGAGCCCCGGAAAGGCGTTGGTGTAGGAGCTGCGCCTCCCTGATTTGGAGTTGCAGAACCTTGCCCTGCTTTTATCTCACTTTACCGCCCGAGAATGGCGCCAGCCGGGGTGGGGGGGGCTAAAGATTTGGACCCAGACCGTGCCACTGCCAACTGCCCTCCCGCCCTTGCTCCCTTCCCGGGCTGGGGCCAGTGGGCCCTGCCTAGGGGAGATGTGGACAGCTCCGGCAGCTCGTGTTCGCAGTCACCCTGAACGCCCTCCTCTGAACTCCCACGTGTCTCCATTCTCCTAAGCTCAGGTCGTCAAAGGCAAACGGAGAAGCCCCTTTAGGTCGGAGAGTGGTCAGTATTGCCCACCCAGAGCTGGGAGAAAAACGGGAACCCCAAGAGAACCTCTTCCCACCAAAGCGCAGCCACCACGCCACAGATGGCGCCCTTCAACAGTGTGTAATACCACAACATGCTGTAATCGTTTACTCTTTACAAATTTCTTTTTCACGTACTCACAAAATAGTACAAATTAAAAAAAGTTACAAAAACGTTTGTATAGTATTGGCTCATTTTATAAAAACGTGCCTAGAAAAAAATTGAAGGTTACCAATATATTAAATGCTGTGGAATCAACGATTTTTATGTTTCTCCTTGTTACTTCCAAGTATGCTTTAAATCTGCAGTGCGTATGTTTTATGTCTTACATTAAAAACAATTATTTAAAAATTAATCATTGCCCAGAGAAGACTTCAAGTATTTGAAACGAGGAATATTGTGAACTCTTATAAGGGTTCAAAGAGGATAGATAAATGGTTTAGTTTTGTTTTTTTCTTCCTCTTCTGCATTTACAATCTTTCTAACTCTATACAAGACTGGTTTTCAGTTTCTAGCTTCCTGGAATTATTCAAAACCAGGTGAAGTAGATAATACTGGCAGTGGTTTTGCTATTTCATTCAAAAACCACACACACACCCCTGACTATAGCAATCAACGCCCAAAAAGCTGCAGAGCTTACTTTCTCTAGGTTGCATAATTTGACACTCCCAGGATTTATGTGTAAATTTGTATATTCAGATATTCCTTGAGATAAGTGAAGCCTAAATTAATTACTTGTAATTGAAGCAAGCTTCTTTAACTCCTATTAATTCCTTTCAGCTGTTATGTGAAAACCCTGCAACATGATCTGCACAATGAAAACAAGTTAGGAGAAAACTGTTTGCAAAGGACCTCACATGAAAGATGCAGAGACATAATAATAAAATAACATTTCTGAGTCCAAGAAAAAGACAAGAGTAAATTGTTAACAATTCAAGTTACTTATTAAAATTACGACATCAGAGAAGGTAGACAATGAGCCTAGTAGGTAGGAGATACCAGAGTCATATGACATGGTTACTGCTCTAAAGGAGTTTATAAAGTATTTGGTATTTCCTTGTTAAGCCACAAAATTTCCATTGAGTTTAGACTGAATGAAATAACCTTCACTTTTCCAATGCTGCAATTTGCTGAGAGTGTGTTATTTCAGGCATCTGCAGAGTACATATTTTCAAAGGGAGGGGAGCAATATGATAAGAGTTTGAACTTGTTTAAGAAAAACAAACACTAAGGAAAAGCTGTTTGGCATTTGGTTTAGCCAAATAAAGGGAACCCCATTCTCAAGACCACCCACGTCAAGGAGGTGCCCAATCTTGGCAGACTCTGGAATGTGATTGTCTTCATATGAGAGCCTGAGCCCTTGCTTTGCCCTCCAAACCTGCCTATTGTGTTAGGAGGGCACAGATAATGCATGTTGAGAAGCTCTGGAGGAGCAAGAAAGAACAAGAAAGAGGAGGTGCTGGTTTTTCTCTCCTGTCTTGCTGCCATGGGATCCTTTTTTGCTGCCAGGCTCTCCTCGCTACTATTTGGGAAAAATACCCTCCAATTGGTTTTATGTTCTATTGACTCTTGTACCTTTTCATTGATTCCTGAATCATTTGCTGTCTTTGGGAAGACGGCCTTCCCTACATGCTTGAGATGTGTCAATTGTGATACCTTGCTCCAGATTGCTCATAAAAAATAAGCATCATTGGCCAGGTGCTCTGGCTAACGCCTATAATCCCAGCACTTTGGGAGGCCGAGGCTGGCGGATCACGAGGTCAAGAGATCAAAACCATCCTGGCCAACGTGGTGAAACCCTGTCTCTACTAAAAAATACAAAAATTAGCTGGTTGTGGTGGCATGCGCCTGTAGTCCCAGCTACTCAGGGAGGCTGAGGCAGGAGAATTGCTTGAACCCAGGAGGCGGAGGTTGCAGTGAGCCGAGATCACGCCACTGCACTCCAGCCTGGCGACAGAGTGAGACTCTGTCTAAAAAAAAAGTATCATCAAGTAAGTCTTCTGGGTATAAGAAGTCTGGATAATGGTGATGCATTGACCCCTTAGTTCCACCTCCTTTGTGCTCCAATCTGCCAAGTTGCAAGGTGCAAGAAAGTACCGATTGTTTCAAAATCCTCCATCACTTTGAGGCTTCTTCCTCTCTCTGTCACTTCCTCTCAATTGTTCTCCATGTTTGAGCCAGAAAATATTCATAATCTTTTAGAATTGTAGTTGAAATTCTACTTTGTCCAGTGTAAAGTATAGAAAGCTTCCAAAGATGGCACCCAGTAAACCACCTCTCCTGATATTGAGGCATTTGTCTAGTCCCCTCATATTGAAACAAGCATGGCTGGCCCTGCAACTTGCTTTAAGGTATGGAAAGAGGCCAGAAGTGACATTATGCCAGGTTTTAACCTAAGCTTGAAAAAGCCCTGACAGCTTTTAATTTTATACTCTTGGAAGTCAGCCATCATCCTAAGAGGTCTGACTACCTTGATGGAAAGAGAGGCCATGGGAAAAGTCATGGAAGATGAAACTCTAAATGGAGAGAGAGAGACTATGTGAACCAACACACCAGACATGTGAATGAAGAAACCATCTTGGACCTTCGAGCCCACCTATTCAAGCCCCCAAAGAACTCCAGCTCCAGCTGCTATATGACTGCAGTCACATACAAGAGACTGTAAGCAAGACCGGCAGAAGACTCCCTGGCTAAGCTAAGTCAACACCAAGAACTGTGAGAAATTATAATAAATCACTTTCAGCTATTAAATTTGGGGGTGGTTTGTTTCATAGCAATTGATAACCAAAACAGCATACTGTATGTATGGTGACTATCAAAGGCAGGGTTTCCCCTGGCTGCTCTTTGTTTGTTAACCAACATTGGGAGCACAAACAGGGAGATGATACTTGGTGATTTAATAAAACTCAGACTCTCAGAAGAAAATGACTTCCCTGGGAATGAGGAAGCTGTCTTTCCCATAACATATCTTTGTTGCTACATACAAAGTAAAAAACCTCATCACACCATGCATAAGTTTCATTTTATTAGACGATGGAGAGATAGTCTCCTTATCAAAATACACTTCACGAACACAGACATTTTATCAATGAAGTAGATGGAGGGATAAATGCATACAGAGGTTCTGACCGTGATATGACCTCATTTGTGCCAGTTATGTAAGATACTCGCTGAATATCTGCTTAGGGAGTTTGAACTTGAGCAACCTGCCCAGTGGATAAACTAAACTCCAGTATAGGCCAGGCGCGGTGGCTCACACCTATAATCCCAGGGAGGCCAAGGTGGGCGGATCACCTGAGGTCGGGAGTTTGAGATCAGCCTGACCAACATGGAGAAACCCTGTCTCTACTAAAAATACAAAATTAGCTTGGCATGGTGGTGCATGCCTGTAATGCTAGCTACTCAGGAGGCTGAGGCAGGAGAATTGCTTGAATCCGGGAGGCGGAGGTTGCAGTGAGCCGAGATCGCGCCATTGTACTCCAGCCTGGGCAACAAGAGCGAAACTCCATCTCGAAAAATAAATAAGTAAATAAAATAACAAACTCCAGTAAAGCAGTGTTCAAAATATTTGGTGTATTAATTTCAAAACACACCCGCATCCTTGGTTCCCTGGGGTGTACACCTCACTGTGCAAACTACTGGTACAATGAGCTGTACATCTCCAAAGCCAGTTTTAACTTGTGTAGTTTCCTGCTCATAAAGAAAAAGTATCCTGCAGCAACAGCAATGCAGTGAGTAAAGAGAAAAATGTTTAAAAGAGTCCTTTGAATTTTATGTGTTGATACCTATATAAATATATATGCACAGAAAAAAAAGACAGAATGCATATACTCCAAAATGTTAACCGTAATTATTTTGACTAGATGGAGACTGATGACTTTTTTTTCTCATTTTTCCATGTTTACATTGTTCTAAATAAATAAACATACTTTTTTTTTTTTGAGACAGGGTCTCGCTCTGTTACCCAGGCTGGAATGCAGTGGTGCTATCATGGCTTATTGCAGCCTAGACCTCCTGGGATCAAGTAATCTTCCCACTTCAGCCTCCTGAGTAGCTGGGATGACAAGCATGCACCACCATGCCCTGCTAATTTTAAAATTTTTTGTAGAGGGGGTAGTCTCACTATGTTGCCCAGGCTGGTCTCAAACTCCTGGCCTCAAGCAGTCCTCCTGCCTCAGCCTCCCCAAGTGCTGGGATTACAGGCATGAGCCATTGTGACTGGCCAGCATACATTACTTTTATAAGAAGAAGAAAAAAGGTGGGAGTAGGGTGTGGGAGTAAGGAAAGAACGTTGCTTTTCTCCCATGCCACTGGATCTGTTTTATTTTCAAATTGAATTATAACCACAAGCTTTGTAAATCTTTCCATTTTGTATTTATTTGAGTGGAGCCTGGAGAATTTTACCACATCTTTAAGTGTAGTTGTTGTAAGGTTCTAAAGATCCTTTCTCTTCCAATTTACTGCTATATTTGCAACGTTTAACTCAGCAGAACAGGAATTACCAAAGACAAAATTTTATGAATAGAGATTAAGAACTGCAGCCTCTCAGTAACAGGCAAAGTAGCCCAAACGTAACATCGCTTTGTGGGGAAAATAAAATACAGAAAAACATTATGCCTAGAGCTATGTCTTCAAGGACAGTTCTCAAATATTAATAATGGGAGTAGAATATCAGATAATTTTCATTTCCATCTTTGTATTTTTCTGTATTATTCAAATCCTTACAGAAAGCATTTTTAGAATTAAGGGATAAAAACAATTAAACTATTTCCACTTTGAACAAACAAAAAGCAGACTACAACGAATGGAAGAGCAGAGCATCCTCATAAACAGACCTTACAGATAATCTATAACATTCTTGGAGGCTGGAAAATAAAAAAGGGAAATGAGATTTGCCAACATAATTGTCTCCTGACACTTTCTATTCCATGGACTCTCATTTTGCCCTTTGAGTAATATTAGAATTAAAAAAAAACCTTAGACGTCTTCTGGCCCGGAGATGGGAAGCAAATTTCACTTTGATTGCCAATTCTGATACATTGGTAGTGGCTGCCTACAGTGCTTTGCTGAAAAGTATTCAAAAACAGCTTCCCAATTTGGTAGAAAAAGTTCAATGATTGATTAACAATGTCTGCCATGGGCACAGAATTATGAGTGGTGGCACATATCAGGTATGTTTCTTCCTTGATATAGTCCAAATTCCTACTTTTACATTTGAGGAAACTGAAGAGTGAAGTGGTTACTAATGACCACAGAGGTAACTACTGGCAGAACCAGAAATAGAATAACATTTCCTGACTCATGGTATTATGTTCTTCGCATACAACAAATTGATTTGGAATTTTTTTTTTTGATACAGAGTCTCACTCTGTTGCCCAGGCTGGAGTGCAGTGGCATGATCTCGGTTCACTGCAACCTCCACCTCCCAGGTTCAAGCGACACTCGTGCCTCAGCCCCCCAGTAGCTGGGATTACAGGCATGAACCACCATGCCAGTTAATTTTTGTATTTTTTAGTAGAGACGGGGTTTCACCATGTTGGCCAGGCTGGTCTCGAACTCCTGACCTCAGGTGATCCACCTGCCTCAGCCTCCCAAAGTGTTGGGATTACAGTCGTGAGCCATGGCGCCCGGCTGACTTGGACTTTTAAAGGCAAATCTAGTACTGGGCCAGACTTAAAGGATAAGGTGTAAATTTTATTGACATGTTGGCACATTATTTTTGGAGGGGATTAATAATCCAGTTTATTAATGATAATAATTATTGTACATATTTTATAAACACTCCCCACAAATCAGGGAGATGCAATTAGGCCCAATATTACAAAAATCAGAGGTGACAAAACAATTAAGTGACTGCCTCAAAGCTCAAGGAAATGATTATCTGACAATGGCCCAGGCTTCGTCTACTCTAGGTCAGGTCTCTGTAGAGTCTCTTGGCTTGTGCTGTATTTACTGAGAGTACTCACAGCAAAACTCCCTAAAGATTACATTTTTCCACATTCTGTTTAATGAATTCCCCAAGGACAAAATGATGAAGTATTTTTCACTAGAGAGAAAACTTGCAAACAAATAGGAGAACAGGATTTCTGCATTTAAGAACTTCAGTGTGAAGGGTAGGGAGAAAGTAAATGAGCTGTTTGCAACTTTAGCCTCTCTACGTACCAGCAGGTTTTTAATTTTTCTTATTTAATGAAAAGGTCTAAGAGCAAGAATCAAAATGTACTGAGAAGACTATAAGGTGTTAAAACCCTTTTGCTTCTTCCAATAAATTAAATTTCTCTAATTGTGTGATTCTAAAAAGCCTAATATGCAGGTAACTTTAATGTCAGTTTAGAGCTATCCCTCCTGTAAGATTCAGGTAACTTGTTCATCACGTTTTCTTTCTCCTGATGAAAGATGGAATATTTCAGTCTTTGGAGTTCGTAAACTTTCAAAAATTTGTAACGGTCAGTGTATTAATTCACTTGTCTTTTTCCCTGCTAACAGTTCTTGTATGCTTACTATGCATAATAACCCGAATTTTTAGATTCTTTATTTCTCTACAATATATTAGGGATATGGAAAGCAATAACAACACAACAAAAACAACAAGTATTTATTGAGTGCTAAATATGGCCCATGTACTTTATATGGGTTATATCATTTAATCCTCTCAGAAAATCCAAGACAGGTCCTTTACAGTCCCATTTTAGAAATGAGCAAACTGAGGCCTGGAGAGGTGAGATAATTTTATCTATGGTCAGGTGGTTAGTAAGTAGCTGAACAAATCACTGACTTTAAAGTTCTTAAGCATGAAGATATGCTGCCTCCCATGCATAGTTCAAAAAATCGTAAAGGTTCATTAGGGAATTTAGGTAGAAATGTTTTCTGAAATGTTTCACCAAAAACTATCCAAGCAATTTATGTTTCATTTAAAAAACAACAGTTGAATACTTAGTGAGAGAGTTTGAAGGAAGACTCAGTTGAGTTAAACATGGATTCTACTCTGAAGGTCCTTACAGTCCAGTAAAAAAACATCACACTTGCCCATAGCCAGGAAGTAGCTGATGATGCAAAAGAGGCAGGCAGTTAATGTAGCCAACCTGATAGCTGAGGTCAGGGGTTTCTCTTTTCATTTTCTGCAAAATTCACATAATATTTTAAAAATAGCTTTAATGAGGTCTAATTGATATAAAATAAATTACATATATATAAAGTACACAATTTGATAAGTACACACACACAATTGTAGTTATGATTTGTATTTTTCTGATGACTAAAGATGTTGACTATCTTGTCATGGCACTGAGGTTTTAATACATAATGTAATACTTTCTATACATTGACTGAGAGGAAGGTATGTACCCCTAAAATATGCTTTATTGTTAGAAACTTTGCTGGTTACATAATCAAAGAGGAGTTATGGTGAAACAATATTATTAACTATGGATAAAATGACACCAAAATTCCAGAAAATATAAAATATGCAACTCAACAAAAACTTGAGTTCTTACAAAAGGAAACTATAAAATACCAAGCTTTTACTTTCAACTGGTGCCTGAGAATTTCCTCTGCTACCACACGCTGGTGGACCTACTCATGTTTTCTGAACTGCATTGAGATGCAACAACTATTACCTGTTTCTTTCTTTTTCTTGACTGTTCTCCCCTAAATTCCTAGACGACACCATTAACAATTTAAATCAAATTGGTTAAAATATCTATTACCTAACCTAATAAGGTCACTGTAGTTTTTTTATTTTTTATTTTTAAAAAAGCTCTAAACACTGAATAAATAAATGTTTTGTGACAACACGGATTCATAAACTAGAGGGAGATTTTTTTGTACACTATATATGGAGACATTTCTTGCTAAAGTTTGCCCAGTCTAGCCTCCTGGGAAAGTAAGTACTGTATTAGCAGGAAATACATCTTTTCAATTGTCCGCTCTGGTTGGAAGATTAGATAATATGAACACTTGATCTCCTTATAATCAATTCAATTTAATTTAAGAACACTGTTGTGTACTGTGTGAAGTGCCTCAGGTAAAACTTGAGTTTATTGAGCATTATGTACAAAGCTCTCCTTCCAAACACTTTGTATGTGTCATTACTAATACTAGCAATAGCCATTTTACGGGTGATAAAGCCGAGTTCAATCTGATTCAGTAACTTGGCCAAGATTCCATGGAAGAGCTCATGTGAAATTCTAGATTTGGCTGTTTCAAAACCTTTGCTCTTTTCACTGGGCTAGGCCCCAAGACACCTCCCAATGCTTTGTGAATGATTAAACATTGTAGGGATCACGTTCTATATGATAGTACTTGCCATAGACCTCATTTAATTGTATGTCATTATTTGAAGGGTGAAGTATAATTTTATGCAACTGAGATATCATAAAGTTGTATAAACTGTGCCATAATTTTCATGTTGGAATTCAATTTAAGATTTCCATGTATTTGTTTTTTTTCTTTCTTGATTAAGGCTTACTAACCCTCTGCTCTTGATCCAAATCTGCAAATACATAAAACAGAAAGTACGAGGGCCCCCAGAAACCTCTCTCTGATTGCTAGTGGCTCATTGGAAGAATATCACTCTAAGATTTTGCAGTCTGATTCTGTGGTACAAGGTCTTCAAAGCTGACAATCAGTACCAGATTCTATCAAATTATCATATTCAACTTAAATTATCTCTTTTACTACAACTCACCTTCATAATTTCAAAAATGTGTACCCTGCTCTGAGCAAGCTATGCATTGATCATTCACTATGAGTGAATGTCTTGTTTTTCAGAAGGCTTATGTGGAAAGAGTGTGTTAGGAGGAGAGTCACACCAATGTGGCTAAAAGAAGAAAGATTAAGTATCTTTTAAAAACATAATAATATAATATAAAAATATTATGGTATCTTTAAAGATATAATAGATGATATGGATAGTAAAAAGATGTATAGCAAAGCAGTTCAAATGAACAAAAGATAAGGCTATAGGAAGGTTTGATGATAAAATGTAAAGAAATACAATTGAAATAGCAGTAACTTCACTTATATGTTTTCATTTTAATGTACAATATTGTAATGACGGAAACCAACAGTCACCTGGTATCATTTCACAGTCTTATGAACCTCGGAAACACATTGTGTTTACTGTCATAGTATACTTTTCTCTAAGAAATCATCTGTGAAGCAGCTGAGGTTTTAACAAATGACAATCATGTAATTAATACAAATTACAATTTCTCTAGCCTACATTTCTACAAATCCTGCTGTTTACTATTGTGTAGAGAATATAAGTGTGAGACAGGCACACCTGAGTTTAGATACTAGCTGTGAGAGCCTGAGAAAGTAATTCAGCATGACTGACAAAAGTTTCCTAGTCTGTAAAATGAGGGTTGTTGTGAGGCTAACTGGATTAATGTATTTAAAGTTATTCATGAAGATGAAGAGCAGTCAGATCCTCTGAAATAATCATCTGAAAACAAAAAATGACTATGTGAACAACATTGATGGAAGAATAGACCACTGCCAACCCACAAATATAAAATATTTAGTTCTTTTTATAAATGCATGATACTTGACATAATAAAAAGTTATGGTCTGAACTTGAGAAACCTAGAGATTATTTGATATAAAAATAAAAGAATTGGCTTAGACTTAAATTCAAGAGCCAGAGATGGTGCTATTCATCTTCTTATCTCCGTTACTTTTTACTTTACCTGCTATGTGGAGATACTTGGTAAATGTTCCTTAATTGAATGAACAATTGCATGACTAAACTTTCTAAGGTTTGTTCCAACATCAACAGACTGCTTTTATAAGATGACGGGAAAGAGTGTGTTGCATAAACACTGTTTTGTTGTGTTAGGGCACATGTATTAAAATATCAACTGCTGGTTTAGCAAGAGACCTTGGTATTTATGTTGAAATAGGAAGGCTGCATATTTCATTTTGTATATATTTTTGTTAATAAATATTTATAACATTCATATTCTACTCATCAAGGAATTTTCTGAGGCAAAGGAACAGGATTGCGAGGAGGTCTCAGTAATGTGAGGCTCGCTTTATTGCACTAGTGAACTAGCAGGCTCCATCTAGAATATATTTTTAAAATTTTTAATAATAGCAGTGGAAAATAAAGAATGATTCTTTGTGTTCTTTGGGACTCTTTATGTTTGTAACTTAGGAGCCCTTACTGGCTGAATTCTGTGGTACTACTGCCAAGAATTTTGCAGACTGCACAAGCATTTTCATTTACTGAAATGTTAATGTCTTAATTTAAAATCTACCATCATACTTAATTTAGTGGCGTTAATGGCCTCTACCGTTCACTTTTAAAATGCCACCTAATTCAGAATTATTTTCTAACTTCTTATTTTACATATAACTGAACTCCCGTAGGATTGGGTGAAGTCTCTTGAGAGCAGCTCACTGTGGGCGTGCGGCAAGAGATCAACATTTATCTCAGCTGCTTATATGTGGTCTAAGTGGATTTGGTAGTGCCAGAACAATGTGACTGCCAGGACCCAGAAACTAATGCTTTCCTTGCCTAATAAGTAATTTTTTTGAAGTCTCCTATCTGTTTCTCAATGACTAAATCCTGTAAGGTATATAACAGACTACTCATATTGGTTTTCTCTGAGTGGCAGTTTTAAGGGTAGAGGAACATTACTTCTTACCTTACATATTTCTGTATTGTTTGATTTTTTAATAAGCACTTTTTATGTATTTCATATTTAATCCTCATGATTTGAATATTTAAAAAATATAAAAAGTAAAAAGTTAACCTCCCCACTCTATCTTCCATTCACTAAATCTCCTCACTTTTCCCCAGAAACATATGTATAAGCAAATATATACTCTCTATATACAAATACTATTGTATTACATATACTATAATATATACTATCTATATATACTCATTTGTATATATAAGCAAATATATACATCCTAAATACTATCATATTATATATACTATAATATATATTCTGTATAAATATACTCATATGTGTATATATATATAAGCAAATATATACTCTATTTTTCTCATTTTTCACACAAAAGGTAGCAAACAGTGCATATGGTTCTCCATCTTGTGTCTTTCATTAAAAATGTCTTGGAGGTTTGTACTGTTTATCAATATACTATGTGGTACATCTTCACTCTCTATGTATTTCTTTCTTCCTTTTTTTTTTTTTTTTTTTTTTTTGAGACAGAGTCTCACTCTGTCGCCCCGGCTGGAGTGCAGTGCTGCGATCTCTGCTCACTGCAACCTCCGCCTCCTGGGTTCAAGCGATTCTCCTGCCTCAGCCTCCTGAGTAGCTGGGATTACGGTGACCACCACCACGCCCAGCTAATTTTTTGTACTTTTAGTAGAGACGGGATTTCATCATGTTGGCCAGGCTGGTCTCCATCTTCTGACCTCGTGATTCACCCACCTCGGCCTCCCAAAGTGCTGGGATTACAGGTATGAGCCACCTCGCCCGGCCCCCTCTATGTGTTTCTTTCTAAAGCTGCATAATATTCAATTACATGGATGCATCATGATTTATTTAACTAGTTTCATATTGATGAATACTGGATTGTTTCTAATCTTGCTATTACAAGTCATGCTGCAATAAGTTACCTTGACCTTGACCTGGGTCATTTTTTAATGAATTTTTTTTTTTTTTTTTGGAGACACAGTTTCACTCTGTCACCCAGGCTGGAGTGCAGTGGTGCGATCTCGACTCACCACAACCTCCACCTCCCAGGTCAAGCGATTCTCGTGCCTCAGCCGTCTGAGTAGCTGGGACTACAGGCATGTGCCACCACACCTGGCTAATTTTTGTATTATTAGTAGAAATGGGGTTTTCCCATGTTGGCCGGGCTGGTCCCAAACTCCTGATCTCAGGTCATCCGCCCGCATCGGCCTCCCAAAATGCTGGGATTACAGGTGTGAGACACCGTGCCTGGCCATTTTTTAAATGATTTTTAAATTTTTATTTTAATTGACAAATGATAATTGTATATATTTATGGGGTACAATGTGATGTTATGAGATATATACATGCACACACGAGATGATTAAATAAATCTAACTATTAATAATAGGTCATTTTATGTGTTAAGTATATTCACAGGATAGAGTCATTGAAAAGTGCCTCTTGGGTCAAGGATAAGCACTTATAAGACTGACAGATCTTGCCAAATTACCTTTCATAGAGTCTTACCAATGTATAATACCATAAGTTAGATTGTCAAAACTTTTAGATTTTTGAAAATGTGACAAACATATTCATATTACTGCCCATGTTTCTATTGGGTTGTTGATTTTTAAAATCTTATTTATTTCTAGTGGTGCTTTGTATATAAGGGATATTAGTACTTTGTGACATGAGTTGAAAATACTTTTCCCAGTTTGTCATTTGTCTTTTAACTTTGATTATGGTGATTTTGTTTCTTTGCCACACAGACATTTTTTATTTTAACATAATTGAATTTATCATTTTTTTTAATGGCTTATATATTTTAAGTCACATTTACAAGGACCTTCCAAGGTTATAAAGACATTTTCTCATAGTTTTCCTCTAGTAATTTTAATTTGGTTTTTCACATTTAAATATATGATGTCTTTGTAATTTCGTGTATAGTGTATAGATCCAGTTTTATTCCAGATGGCTGCCTAGTTACAGCCTGCCTAGAACTAGGCTAACTTGTTACAACTAGTTCAATACAATATATTGAATAGTCAGTCTCTCTTTTCCCTAGTGATTTGCAATGTCACCTTTATTGTATACAAATTCCTGCGTGTATCTGGGTTTATATCAGAACATTTTCATCTGTTCTATTGATCTGTATGTCCATTTATGGATCAGTCTCACATTGTTTTAACTACTGAGGCTTTATAATGTGTTTTAATACTTGATAGGGCTAACCATTCCACATTCTCCCTCACACATATACATTTGAGAAATCTCTTGCCAAATTTGAAAGGGAAAAAAATGGTATTTTTTACTGGAATTGTGTTAAAATGTTAAATTAACTTAGGGAGATATGACATTTTAACAATTTTTATTTTTCCTACCCAGGTATGTTCTTTCTATTTATCCAAAGCTTGTTTGGGTTCCTTGGTTTTATTTTAAAGTTCTCTGCATATAGGGCATACACATTTCTTGTTAAATTTGTTCCCAAGTATTTTATTTTTTCTATTGCTACTTTAAATAAGGTCCTTCATCCTTATATCCTCCAGTAGGTTATTATTTGCACATATAAGATTGATTGGTTTCTGTATATTAATTTTCCACCTTTATACTTTACTGAATTGTCTTATTGTTCATAATAATTTTTCAGTTGAGTCTCTTGGGTTTAAAATCGGAGTCACATCATCTACAAATAATGAAAATATTTTTCTTACTTTCCTATTTTTATACTTGAAGTTTTATAATGCCAAGTCATGATTGCTAGTACCTTCAGTAAAATTTTACATAGTAATTATGATAGTGAGCACCCCGTCTATTCCTAACTTTATTGGGGCTACCTCTAGACTTTCCCCATCAAGCATAATGCTGGCTAGATGTGTTGTATCATGTTAAAGAAGTATGCATCTGTTTCTATTTTATTGAGTGCTTTTTACCAAGTTGTTGAAATCATGAGCATTTTAATAAACACCAACAAGAATAAAGCTACTCTTCTGATCTTTCTGTCTTCCCACCATCTGATCTCTTATTGTTGTTTCCCACTGGCTGGCCCTAATCAGAATCCAGAAAGGAAGGGAGTCCATAAGGGGTCAGCTTCCCAGAGCATAGAGCAGGACAGAGAAGGGTAGAGAGTAGATCTGGAAGTATAGACAGGGTATAGCTGTCGGCTATATATGGAAGCCAATAGCAGACAACAAAACAGCCTCTGTCTTTATTAGTTGAAAACAAAACATTATGGGTGGCAAAAGCAATTTTCCTGAAGCTGGTAGCATTATCTTTGTTCATTAAAAAAAAGTGAAAGAAAAGTGTGGGGTCTTAGTCTTAGGTATTTTATTTTATTTTTATTTATTTATTTATATATTTATTATTTATTTATTTTTGAGACAGAGTCTCACTCTGTCTCCCAGGCTAGAGTACAGTGGTGCAATCTTGGCTCACTGCAACCTCTACCTCCCGGATTCAGTCAATTTTCATGCCTCAGCCTCCCAAGTAGCTAGGACTACATACAGATGAGCACCACCACGTCCGGCTACTTTTTTTATTTTTTGGTAGAGATAGTGTTTCACCATCTTGGCCAGGCTGGTCTCGAACTCCTGGCCTTGAGTGATTCTGCCCACCTCGGCCTCCCAAAGTGCTGGGATTACAGGCGTGAGCCACCATGCACAGCCAGTGTTAGGTATTTATATATGGAAAGCTAGTTGTACTAACCTTTTCTAGATCTAATATATTGCATTTCCTGGTCTTAAACTCACATTCAGGATTGAGCTTTTTGAATGTAATTTCCCCTACATCTACTACCTTATTTTTAAAATCTTGCACTCCTTCCTTAGGCCTAAAAATAGTGTGCTAGTGTGGTAGATATTAGGTCAATTGTCAGCACCAGAACTAGACACTTTATGTTCTTGGAAGGATCTAGCAGAACACACCCACTTTACTGGCACCTTGGCCAGTCTCTGGGCATGTTCCATTCAGGCCTGCCTTGGATGCCCCCAGACATCAGCAGGGCTGGCTTTGGGGGCAGCAGTTTCACCTGACTATATTGTGCGATGCCCTCCCTGAAGGGCTGGTTGCCTTCTGCCAGAATTTGGAAACTTCTGAACTCCACAGCAATCCTGCCCGTCTACTGCACAGGCTGCATATTTAGGAGGCATCACAGGTCACAGATAGAACTGCCAGGTAAAATACAGGACGCCCCGTTAAATTTGAATTTCAGATAAGAAATAATTTTGGGTATATGTATATCCCAAATGTTGCATGGAACATATTTATACCAAAAAATTATTTGTTGTTTATGTGAAATTCAAATCCAACTGGGCATCCTGTATTTTTCTTTGTTAAAAAGAAAAAAGAGCTTATCACAGAGCTCTTCCCAAAATAATCCTCCACTATGCTTCCTGCCACTACCTGCCCTCCCAGCTCCACAGTTCCTCCATAAGAACTACATTTATTAAAGTGTTAAGATAGCCTCGGCAGGATATTAACTATAAAGGTCAAAGTTAAGATTCACTTCTGAGGGCTGCACCTCTAACTTTAACCCGCATCATCAGGGATTCATTTACCAGATCAGTAAACTTGTTATTTGGGCACTAAGGACATTTTAGTGATGGTTGAGAGCAAGGGTGGACCATGAAAAGTTTAGATTCTCGTAGATGTGTGTAGAGGTAGGGCTGGAAGTGGAGGTGGGTTTGGGGGTATGTTAAAGCAATGTATGCAGGAAAGAGAATATTAAAGAGAACTTACACTGACAATTTTGCCTGGCTGGGATTCTTGTGTTATTCCTTCCTTGCCTCCTGATTTCCTTCCTTTTTTTTTTTTTTTTTTTTTTTTTTGAGATGGAGTCTCTCACTGTGTCACCCAGGCTGGGGTGTGGTGGCATGATCTCAGCTCACTGCAACCTCCGACTCCCTGGTTCAAGCTATTCTCCTGCCTCAGCCTCCCGAGTAGCTGGGATTACAGGCATGTGCCACCACGCCCAGCTAATTTTTGTATTTTTAGTAGAGACAGGGTTTCACCATGTTGGCCAGGATGGTCTTGATCTCCTGACCTCATGATCTGCCCGCCTCAGCCTCCCAAAGTGCTGGGATTACAGGCGTGAGCCACCATGCCCGGCATCCTTCCCTTCTTTAGTTTACACACATAGGCCCCAGGTACAGGGCATGAGCTAGAGCTGGATCCCAGCTGAATGGAAAGCAGGAGGCGCTATATTGGAAACAACTGCCAAGCAACCAAGGACTGGGGACAAAATAGCCTGGGAGGAGAAGTAAAACCAGGAAAAAGTTTAAAATTAGGTGCCTGACATTTAAGGGAAAAAGTCCAAAGTTAATCAAGGATGACCGCTTATTGCAAGATTCAAAACCTCTAAATGACAAAACTTCTAAAAAAGGAAATGATGATAGCACGGGGAACCCTGCTGATCCATCTCCCTGCCCAAATACTTCTCCATTCCCAACATCTGTGCAGCCATGTGCAGCAGAGACAAACAGCAGCAGCACTCCACCCCCAAGCTTTGAGAACCGCAGAGCTGTGGCTGACACAGTGGTCCTATCTCTGTGAAGTACACAAACCATACCACAGCCTTATTTTCTGAGACCATCTCTATGTAACCAGCTTCCCTAAATGCTGTGGCCCAAGAGGCTAACACTTTGGTCAGTCATGGGGCAATATGGCTGCTCCCACATGGCATCCAAGTCCATGCTTAGAGACTGAAGGGGAGCCAGCCTTGGTAAACCAGGTCTGTGGTCATTTCCCCACCTGGCATTTTTGAGCTGTACCAAGCAGCCTAGGGGTTCTTACTGCAAGGGCACGCTCAAACCTGACTTGTCCAGACAAGCAGAAGAGTTTTGGGCTCCCAATCGAGCACGGTGGTCAGTCTGTTCCAGTTTGTCTGGGACTTTCCAGGTTTGAACACTGAAAGTTCTACAGCCAGGAAATCCCTCAGTCCCAGGCAAACTGGGATGGTTGGTCACCCTGAAGTCAAGACACCTAGGCTTTGGCACCTAAACATCAGTTTCCTCATCTGTAAAATGCTGGGACTGGCCAGTACAGCTTCTGATGTTACTGCCACATCTAATAGTCCATGATTCACTCTCATGCTCCTGACCTTACCCATCTGCAGCCCAACTCCCAAACAAACTTCACTTGATCCAAGATCGAGTTCATGTAACCTGATAAGCTAATCATTAGTGTGTTAACAGGAGAGGATTATAGGGTTCACAGTTGAATTTTAACAATGGCTCGGGTGGAAGGCATGTGGGTAGCTGAGTCGTTCTAATGGTGGGAAGTTCAGCTGGGGAGATGGAGTGTATGGCTCTGTGCCATCTGAGAGAAAGATATTTTTAGGCAGGCAGGTTTTGAGGCAGCCAGCCTGAGAGAGCTGGTTTGATGGGCTGCTTTTAGCTGCACAGCAGGAACAGGCCACAGGCAGGGCAGTCTTGTCTGACTTGAGCCAACTTTCACACTATGACCTGAATAAAATCAGCAGTTGAAGCCACAGACTGGAGAAGAAAGGATGTAGTCTGCTGATAGCAATATATATGTATATAATGCATTTGCTTTGAGCCTGGGTCTGTCATCTATAATACAGATATGTAGCTATGATCCTGGGTAGTTGAGAGTTCAGACTCTGGGATCACCACCTACCAACTCTGTGATATTGGGCAAGTTGTAGACTGAATAATATGCATTTGCTGATATTTAACCTTTTTGATCTACACACACAGGAATTCCACGTGGTTTAGCCTAATAGCTTACTCTCTTTTTCCTTGGTTTCCTCATGTGTGAAACGCAGATAGCCACCAAACTTTTCAGGACACTGTGAGGACCAAATGAGAGGGACACATAAGGTGGTCAGAACAGTCCTAGCCCCACAGTCCATGTCAGTGATGTCAGCCACCACCATCCTACTGGTGAAGAGGCAGGCATACAGGGCCATTAGACTCCATCAGCTGAACCTAGGGTAGCCCAGACTCTTCCTGTCTTCCTGAGACATGGAACATGGATGAACCAAAGTGAATTGGTCACCTTAGCTGAACTGTAGAACTTCATTCTAATCCCAGGGTGAGGAAAGGGGAGTAGGTTCATACCACAGGTTTTTCAGGTCATTCCAAGACTGAATGTTTGTTTTTCCTCCCAATACAATCAGGTCCTAAGTATAAAAAAGAGCTTTTTATCATGAGGTTTTGCTCTAACACCATGGAGCCCTTTCTTTAGCCTTACATCTGTCTGTAGCGCCCACACATGGCCGTCTTCTTCAACTTAACTATATACACACACATACGCATACATTGTGAAGCACATAAGGAACACATGAGACAGCCTCATCATTATCAGATTACAAAAAAGTTACACTGAATTTCTTCTCTCAATAATTAACAGGGAGCAATTCAAAAAGAGGAAACAAAACATATGCTGTGGCATTATCATTATAATTAAATCACATTTATTAACTGAAGCAAATTCACTTGAGCTTTTTATAGGATTCTAGGAAATAGATTCCTTACATATAATGAGGACGTGCATCTTTAGGTCTTTTCATATTTTTCTTCCCTGTAACAGTCCTATGTTTGGTCTTTTCTCGTCAGGTTCATTCCCTTGACACTAACAGAGAACACTGTAATTCTAAAGTAAAATGATAGCTGGGGAACCATGGATTCCAAGGCCAGTACCTCCCCATTGTGTGGATCCCACAGATATGAAGTCAGAAATCTAAAAAGAAAGAAAAGAAAAAAACCTTGAACCTGGCTTGGTTTAAACTCTCTTTAAGCAGCCCTCTTTCACTCAAACGTGAGAAAGTTCAGCTTTCAACATGTATTAACAAAAGATGTTTACAACAGAATACCTGGTTGTGCCGAATAATGGCTTTGCTCTTTGAATTAATTTTTTCCTGGTGACAAAGGCTGAGCTTTTGAACTTCTGGGTAAGGCTAGGCTGGGCATTTTTGCTTGGCTTGGTTCTCTTAAATGGTTCGAAAAGGGTTGGTCTGGCACCTGGTATTTTGTGGCCAGTAATTACACTACAGTTGTTACTATGCATTACCGAAACTTCATTTTTTGACCAAAAGCCAACTGTATTATTTAAACAAACATCTTTTGAAAGCCGAATGTGCTTTGAAATGATTTTAAAATCCAGTTAATGAATAGGGTTACTATTGAATTTCACAAATACAAATCAGAATTTTTTTTGATGCTTCATATTTTTTTCCCCTGCCCTCCCATCCCACCCTTGGTGATGGTTGTACCCATTTGAGCATTTCTGAGCACATGATAAGTCAGAATTTTTTTAAACGATGTTTTGCTTTAGCATGGTGTCTCTCTAGTACAAGCCGTATGTGACCTTTCCACTTAAGCCATCTTAATGTTTCCTTTCCTTTCATCAGTGTGGATGTACAATGACATGCCCCTTCTATTTCCACCCCCAGGGAACAGATTTACTCTAGGGTGTGTGTTGATAACTGAGGCAGGGTGACTGATAAAGACTTAAATAGCCAGAGAAAGGAAAAATCTTTTCTACATCTAGAAGACTAGTAATCTACGGCCAGGCTTTCACAGCTGTGGGGCTTCTGAGCCCAGATCCTAATTCTTTTTTTTTAAATTGGATTAACTAGCTCATTATCACCCAATTCTTAACTGAAAGCTTGATCACCGAGACAGCAGGATCAAGCCATGGGGATTGAGGTGGGTGGGTTGGGATGGTACATTGAAAGACCAATCAGGCAGGAGAGGCCCTCACCTGCGAGTTCCCAAATATATTGTAAGAACTCCTATCAATGCTTTGTCCCCTCACTGTTAGTTTCAGAACAATGACACACAGATACTCACCTCACAAGGACCTGATAAAGTTAAATGTGGTACACATGTGATCGAGAAATTTTTTTTTCTTAGTATTCCCCTACCCCTTCCTCCCTGCCTCCGTGCGCTGGACAGCAGGCCCTTGTCCTGTTGCCTCAAGGTAGAGAAATAATGTGACAAGATAAACAGCAAAACAACAACACAACTTCTGTAAGTTGTGTTTTGTGTTATAAAAAAATCTCAGAGGACTAGAGAGGATTTGGAATAAAGCCAAAGTATTTGGAAGAAAATGGTTTGAGGAGAGAGGAGCTTCCCTGGAAGACTAGAAACACATCCCTCCACTGGTGGGAAGAAGGATGGATGAAAAGTGAGAGGGCAAAGGCCTGGGTACGGTAGGTCCTTTCCTACTTCTCTACCTCTGTGTCTCAGGGAGGCAGCAAGCTGGGGAGAAGAATGACTGTATGTTATAAGCCTACAGAACTTCCCAGACCCTGGAGTGGCCCCAAAATAGCAGGGAGATGCTGGGCACAAATGGGCCATGCACACAGGAAGGAGGCACAGGTGCATCAGTATCGGTAAAGGAAGGCCAGAAGGAACTGTGGACATCTGGGTTGGTGCCTCCTCAAACAGCTGACATGAGGAACAAATGGATTTCCCAATACCTTGGCCCAACCTGACCACCTTCCCCTCCACCAAACCTTCATCCCACCCCAAATGTAAACATATCTTTAAAGGTAGAGAAATACCAAAGTGATCAAATTCATTGCTGACACCTTCCAACATATAAATTAGGTATATTCATAAAAGAATAAAGATGTATTTCTTGCATACTTGAGTTTGTACACTGAGGGCTGGGCATCCAGTTTGAGCTTCTGGGGAAGACAATGTGGCACAGCAGAGAGACCACTAACCTCAGAGTGAAAGAAGCAAAGCTCTGTCACTTAGCAATGTAAACTAAAAATAAATCCCAAGGCCCCCACTGACTAAATGGACCCCCTTGTGGCCAAGAGGACCCCAGAAAAAAATTTAAAGACTTAGTTCCCAGCTATGATGAGAGGTCAGACATGCCTAATTATACTCTCCTTCTCTTTTATGGTTTAGACACAACAACTGAGCAGCATTAATGTTCCAATAGAGATCACATGACTCACAGAACAGATTCTTTGTGGCAATAAGATACCGAATTATAAACAGGACCTAAGGCCATGCCAGGTGAGGGGAAGTCATGTACTCCTACACCTAAGGAAGAAACTATGCTCTAACTGCCACAAGGATTTTCTTTTTCTCCAGCAGCTAAACAAGCACTGGCCTCAAGATAAGCAATATTTAAACAATTGCAAATCATCCTGCTCATAGACTCTGCCCAACTGAACCCCTGTTCCACCAGCCATAACTACAGCTTTCATTGGATGAGAGACTAATTTTAGTAACTTTTTCCTGATAAGACCACCAACCATGGACTGGTTCTGACTAGTTTACAGAGATTGTGTACTTGTGAGCTTTTGTGTCCTGAAATGACCTTTTGATGTGTAGGGCCTAACTGTAATACATTGAAATGTTAAGTCTCCATCCCAAAGTGAACATGGGTCATGTGTTACATGTATGTTTGTTCAATACGCATGTGTCAGGACCACCCTCATGAATATTCATAGCTCCTCCTGTAACCTGTTGAATATGTATATTTAGTCAACCTGTTCAGCATAAAGCTCCATCCCAACCCCTCTGCCTTCAAAATGCTTGTCTCTGGGCTTCTGCTGAAGGCTGAGCTTCCCAGCCTGTGAGATAGCCACTTTGAAGGCTATAACCCTTTATAAGAAATAAAGTCTCCTCTTTCTTTGTCTAAATTTATAAATTGTGTTTTTAAGTTAACAGTACTATGTAACTTTGGACAAGCCATGTAACTGCTCTGGGTCTCAGGGTTTCCGTCCATAAAGTGGGTGATAAAACTTCTGACCACTCCTAGTCCTGTTGTGAGGAATGGGATGCTGCATGTGGATGTCACAAAATACAGCAGGACTCAACAAGGCAGTCTACATAGTATCAAATGCTAAGCATGATCAGAAGAAAAATATAGATAATAATTCCAACATGTAGAAACTTGTAGCAAAGACTGGCTAGATACTTGTCGATTTCATTTTCTTTTCCTGGCATACAAGAAGACCTTTCCCAGGCTTCCCTTGCAGTTAGGATGGGGCCATATGATTGGGTTCTGGCTAACGGGATTTGGCAGAGGTGACAGCAGTGCTTGCAGACCTAACACAGATCCTGCAGTGTGGTCTTATACATACTCTCTTCTCCCTCTCTGGCAACTGTTGAGGCCAAATGCTGAAGATGATGGCATTTTAAGATGAAAGGAGCCTGAACCTCCAAGTCACCACTTAGAGATGTTGTGCTGAGGAGAGTCCCTGCACTGGCTTCTGATGCATAATATAAACTTCTATTTGAGGGTTTAATGCAGCCTATGTAGCCTATCCTAACACTGTGCTATAATAAGAAAAATAGAATATGTTATTATGACAGAATATATACATTCATGTATGTATCCATATAAATACATATGAGATGTCTTGAGGCATAAAGAAGTGGCTCAGTCAATACCTTTCCTTCCATATTATGAAGAATGTAAAAGTTCAATTTGTGCTATTCTTGGGGAAAGATGTCACAGGCACAGATTGTGATGACATTCAAGTCTGTGTCTGGCTTGCTCAGTGGAAGCACAGTTACCTAGAAAGCTGGGGAAATCTTCCGCTTGGAGCTGACAGACACCCAGGCCCTCTGCTCTACTTCATCACAGCTGCTGAGGTTTTACTTTGCATGATCTGCTGCACCAGTTTCAGCTGGGAGACAGGCCTCTTCTTCCTTATGTTAAACTCTCCATGGACATTCAGTATTCTAACAGGAAGAACCCAGGAGATGCTCTTGGATCCAGGCAATAAGAGAAACCTGTTCTGTAGGGAACACATCTGTTAAAAAAAAATCTCAAAGCAGTAGGTTTTGCATATTTGATTATTCCTATGTCTATTCCCTAAACAGTTCAAATATGCACACATTTTCTGCCTAATTTCTTCTAAAGCCATCAGAACAGTTGATGCCATTGACCGTACTCAGAGACTGAAACCTCAGTGCAGCCCTGGAGGCTGCCCAAGTGCAGATAGCAGGACAGTGGTGTTTTCCTCAAAAACTACACTCTCTTTGTCCAAGGCTGGCAAAACAGTCTAGTTATGTTTGAGCTCTTGGGCTTCAAATTACCTGTGCTGCATGCTTTGTCACCACCCCTCTCTGGATAAGGCTTTATTCTAATTCCTTTAAACCAGTAGGAAGGATCCCTAGGGAGGGTTGTGTACCTCGTTCCTCAATTTAACAAAGACTACCCTCCTTTGGACCAGTGGCTGGCTGCAATCCATGGCAGAGAATCCTGCCCAGTGGGCTTGCAAACTCTGGCCATTGATTATACAGGGCAAATGAGGAGTCATGAATACAATGGGAGATCTGGACTGGTGAGGTGACTCACGCCTAGAATTCCAACACTTTGGGAGGCTGAGGTAGGAGGACTGCTTGAGCCCAGGAGTTCTAGACCAGCCTGGGCAACACAGGGGGACCCTTCTATGTCCCAGGGAGGAGACTTGGAAATATTTGGCCACCAGCTTTAATGACCACTATACCCACTTTTCCTTTCCTGCCTCCATCTGTTTGTTTGTTTGTTTGTTTGCTTGTTTTGAAACAGAGTCTTGCTCTGTTGCCCAGGCTGGAGTGCAGTGGCATGATCTCGGCTCACTGAAACCTATGCCTCCCAGGTTCAAGTGATTCTTCTGCCTCAGCCTCCCCAGTAGCTGGGATTACAGGGGGACGCTACCATGCCCAGCTAATTTTTATATTTTGGGAGAGACAAGTTTTCACCATGTTGAGCAGGCTGGTCTCAAACTCCTGACCTCAAGTGATCTGCCCACCTCAGCCTCCCAAAGTGCTGGGATTACAGGCATGAGCCACTGTGCCTTGCCTCCATCTGGGTTTATAGTCTCTTTCTGGTGACATTCAGCTCTAGCACCTGATCCTAGCACATTTATTGTCAATGGACTTTCATGCCAAGAGTTTCACGCCAAGAGCAGCATTGGTAGTAAGTTGGACACTGGACGCCAAAGACAGAATCAGCCTCTTCATCAGTGATATCCATTCATTTATTGATTAATTAACAGATTAATTTATTAGACAAATGCTGACTGAAACTCTGTTATACTGGAGATGTGCTATGCGATATGATACGACCTTCAGTACAAAATATATAAGCCCAGGAAGGAGTGAGCTGATAATATTAAGCTTTTACTATGCCATTTATAGATCTCATTTCCTCTATTACATTATTCTCTAGGCAACTTGATATTTTCTCTCCTGCATCTTCTCAATACTCACTAAAGACTGAATTTATTGGCTTAAAGTAAGAAACATGAAGCTATCAAAACTAACGAGCTCACACCTGCTTAGCCAAGGAGGATTTTTCACCCATACCTCTCGGTTTAGGTGCAGGGTTTGGGGAAGGGGAAAAGACTTAAAACTGGGAAGTTGTGATGTCCTCACATAGATGGCTAGTCCCTGCAGCTTGTCTTTATGCCGTAAGTGTGACATTAGCCATTCCCAATGAAAGTGGCTGCTTCAGAAGGTGCAGGTTGCAGTGGTCTCCATTTATGTGGGGAGCTTTACAAAACCCATGACCAGGCTACATCCAAACCAATTAAATCAGAATCCTGGGTTGGGGTGAGACTCAGGCATCAGTGTGTTTTAAATGTTTGGCAGGTGAAGCCATTAGCCTAGGACAATGGTTCTCAAACTTTAACATGTATCAGAATTACTTGAAGGGCTCATTAAAACACAGATGGGCCAGGCATGGTAGCTCACATTGGTAATCCCAGCACTTTGGGAGGCTGAGGCAGGAGGATTTCTTGAGGACAGGAGTTGGAGATCAGCCTGGGCAACATAGCAAGACCCTGTCTCTACAAAAAATAAAAAAAAATCAGCCAAGTGTGGTCGCACATGCCTGTAGTCCCAACTACTTGGGAGGCCAGGGTGGTAGGATCTCTTGAGGCCAGGAGTTCAAGGCCCTCCTTCAAAAAACAAAACTGAAACCAAACATAAAACCACACGGATGGCTGGTCCCATCCCCAGAGTTTGTGATTCAGCAGGTCTGGAGTAGGGTCTGAGAATCTGCATTTCTAACAACTTCCTATCGGATAATGATGCTGCTGGCCTGGGCACCACATTTTGAGAAGCACTGGTCTAGGAGACCCTTGGCTACCTTAAAAACTGAATGGAGTGGGGATGGAACAGAGTAGGGGAGGCCTATTTCAGCCTTTGATTACCACTGGAGGATCTGTTTTGGTTGCACTCTTGGCTCAGATCTACTTGATAGTAATCTGCAAAATGTAGATATAATAAAACTACTTTATACATAGTTGTGAGGGTTAAGTGAAATGAGGCACGGAAGTGGCCACAATGTTAACCTGCAGGAGTCTTCGTCGTCGTACTTCAGGAACTCAGACTGAATCAGGTTTCCCTAGAAACCCAAAGTGAACAGGAACCTTTGAGGAGGGTCTGAAACCTCCATACCACCAATGAGTGTTTTCTTACTTCCTCTCTCCTCTCTCTCTTTTTTTGTTTTAAGACAGAGTCTCACTCTGTTACCCAGGCTGGAGTACAGTAGCACAATCTCGGCTCACTGCAACCTCCATTACCCAGGCTCAAGCGATTCTCCTGCCTCAGCCTCCTGAATAGCTGGGATTACAGGTGCACGCCAGCACACCCAGCTAATTTTTGTATTTTTAGTAGAGACGTGGTTTCACTATGTTGGCCAGGCTAGTCTCAAACTCCAGACCTCAAAGGATCCACCCACCTCAGCCTCCCAAAGTGCTGGGATTGCAGGCACGAGCCACTGCACCTGGCTATTTTGCAATATTTTAAAAAATACATCTGTCAGTAGTGAGCCAGGTTAAAAAATAAAAAATAAAAAATACACAGTTTTGCAATGTTCCTTTCACTTCAGAATATATCTTGAGGATAGTTTCACATGAATGCATATAAATCTGCATTATTCTTTTTCTTTTCTTTCTTTCTTTCTTTCTTTTTTTTTTTCAAGACAGCGTCTTGCTCTGTCACCCAGGCTGGAGTGCAGTGGCATGATCTCGGCTCACTGCAACCTCCACCTCCCTGGTTCAAGCAATTCTCCTGCCTCAGCCTCCCAACTAGCTGGTACTACAGGCACGCACCACCATGCCTGGCTAATTTTTTGTATTTTTAGTAGAGACGGGGTTTTGCCATGTTGGCTAGGCTGGTCTCGAACTCCTGACCTCAGGTGATCCACCCGCCTCAGCCTCTCAAAGTGCTGGGATTACAGGTGTGAGCCACCGCGCCCAGCCTGCATTATTATTTTTCTTGAGTCTGCATCACCCTGTTGCAACAATATAGCATAAACTATTTAACTAGTTTCCTATAGGTGGATGTTTACCTTTTTTTCTTTTGTCATTATAAGCAATTCAAACAGCAAGTCAAACAGATTTGTTACATAAATTCATTAAAGTGAAACTGTTGGATCACAGATTATGTCCAATTCTCATTTTGGCCCAAACTGCCAAACTCCCTGGAAATTTCCAAGAGGTAGTATTATATAATAGCAAGGGTTCTGCTGCCAGACTGCTGTGGTTTGGCTACTGGCTTAGCCACTTACTAGTTGTGTAACCTGGGGTAAATTACTCTAAAATGCTGTACCTCAGTTTCTTCATCCATAAAATGGGGGAGAATAGCAGCTGTTTCCTCACAGGGTTATTATGAGGTTTAAATGAGAGAATACATGTGAAACAGTATAACACCCGACACAAAGCAATTTCTGGGTAACTCTGACACAAAACAGAAAATCAAAAGTCAAAACAAGACAAGTAGAATCCCTCAGACAATGGGGAATGACCCAGATTGACCCATCTTGGTTTGGGTCCCTGCTTCCATGTAACACTAATGGTTCCAAATGACTCCACACTGGGGCTATGCGTTTAGGCTGCACTGATGAGGCTTGCGTAGGTACAGGGCATGGTATGCCTAATGGTCTGGCCATTTCACTAGGGCCAACATGACTTCCCCGAGGGTCAGGCCCTTGTCTTTGCTTGCCTGGCATAATAGCTAATACAGAGTTAAGTGTGGGGTTTCAACACTAGAGCCTCCAAATGAGTGATGTGCCCAGAGTGAGATTTAATGCTAACAATGGGTGTAGGAGGCTTACTTGCAGAAACCAATGCTGGAAGAATTGACTTGCCTAAGATCACACAAAAGGAAAAGATGGAGGTGGCATTAGTATAGGAGAAAGCATTCTCTTTCCACTGTACAACACTGTGTCCAGCTACCTCTCTGTAAGTGACTAAAGGAATGGAGTTGGCCATTTAAAGAAATGATGATAATGACAATGATGTTGACTATGACAACAGCTGCCTAACTAACGTCTATTGAACACAATGAGCCAGGCACTGTTAAGTGCCTAAGCATTTTATGTGGATTATTTTACTTAATTCTCCTGACCATATGGTTGAATGTTTATTACTGGTAGTTACTGGTTGAGTGTCAGGTGCTCTTCTAAGCACTTTACACATTCCGACTCATTTCGTTTTCACAACAATTCCATGAGGTAGGTACTAATATTACCTCTGTTTTAAATGAGCTGAGGGAAAGAGAGATTAGCTAACTTACAAAAACCTAGTGGGTAGAGGATTCGCACTTTTAATCCAGACATTCTGGCTATTCTTGTTCTTTTAGACTAAAGATGCAGGAGGTTGAATTAATAATACTCCTCATTCTATAGTACCCTCTCTTCATCAGTCTCTTCGCGGCCTCTCTCTTGTTCTATTTATCCCTATCTATTGATTATCTATCTATCTATCTATCTACCTATATACCTATCTATCCATCCATCCATTTTATGTTTCTCCTCTTATTCTCCTCCCCCTCCCCAGAAGTGACCATTCACCGTACTCAATTAAATGTGCATCTTTTTGTTTGCGTAAGTTGTACAACCTGTGTTGCCACACTATGCAAGTCTGTGGCTATAGCCTGCTCTAAAATGCTTGAACTATTCTACTACAAAAGTTAACTCATACGCTGCACACTGCCCTCTCTCTGTTGTTGAGCATAAGCCAGTAAGTGAGTCTGAGAACATGGAGATCGTATAGTCTTGGTTCAATTTCCAACAAACAGATTTGAGTTAATATAGTTACAACAGATCTTGAAAGGTCAGCAAGATAAAAGGATAAGCTAGAGACCAACGCAAGTCCAAGGGTTGATTGGGGGTCTGGCTTCCCTAATCTTCATTAGCTCCCCTAATCCCAGATTGCCCTAAGTAATAACAAACCATGTAAACATGATGAGCTTGCCATAAAGCACAGCTTAAGACAAGTCCCCAAGCTTCTCACTTCCAACCAGATTAGCACCCCAAGCCTCTGGAGAGGACTGAATCCATCTACACTGGGACTTTAGTAAAGCATTTAACTCACATATCCAAGTAAAGTCCTGATGGTTAAAAAGTGGTGTTCTAGGCTGAGTGCAGTGGCTCATACCTATAATCCCAGCACTTTGGGAGGTCCAGGCTGGAGAATTGCTTGAACCCAGGAGTTTGAGACCAGCCTGGAAAACCTAGTGAGACCCTATCTCTACACAAATCAAAAAAAATCTGGGCATAGTGCAGTGTGCCTGTAGTCCCAGCTAATCAGGAGACTGAGCCCAGGATGTTAGCACTACAGTGAGCTATGATCACGCCACTGCACTCTAGCCAGGACAACAAAGGGAGACCCTATCTCAAAAAAAAAAAAAAAAAAAAAAAAAGTTCTAAAACTGGAGGCACAATTAAATCTGCATGAACCAATATAGTTATCCTAAACTTGGATCAATTTGAGACCAAAGCCACCTCCACCATTCCTGAGTGTTGAGAATTCCACCCTGTACTCCCTGCCACTCTGACCAGCCCTTAGTCCCTCCTTCTCCCCCTACAACACTCAGCTCTCTTCCCTGCCATCAGGCCTGTTGCAGGCTGAATTTTGTGCCCTCGGTGAAATATGTTGAAGTCCTAGCCCTCAGTACGTCAGAATGTGAGCTTATTGGGGGAAATAGTGTCATTGTAGATGTAACTAATTAAGATGAGGTCATACTAGAGAAGTAGAGTGGGCCCTTAATCCAACAAGACTAATGTCCACGTGAAGAGGGCCATGTGAAGATGCAGAAATATAGTGAGAACATCATGTGAAGATGGAGACAGAGATGTGAGTGATGCATCTACAAGACAAGGAATACCAGCAATTGCCAGCCACCATCAGAAGCTGGCAAAGAGGCATGAAACAGATTCTCCTTTGGAGACCTCAGAAAAAACCAATCCCGCCAATCCCTTAGTCTTGGACTTCTAGCTTCCAGAACTGTGAGAGTATACATTTCTGTTGTTTGAAGCTGCCTGGTGGTACATTTTTATGGCAGCCTAGGAAGGGCTGCAAAAGGCTGGACAGCCATTTCTGAGCCTGGGCTCCATGGGGAGATATTTAGCAAAGGCTTTGACCAGCATGCTGGTTTCATCATCCCTGGCCCATGAGCCAGTCTTGCCATTCCCAACTCTGAATAGGACACCATCTAATTTCCCTGCTCCTGGACCTAGGCTGTCAAGGTAATAGCAAAACTAGATGAATTGATTATGTTGCAAAGTCATTGTCTCCAATCATAACTTGCCCCTTTCTGAGCCTGAGCAATCTTTCATCACATTGAATAAGTATCATAGAGATTCTCAACTAGTGGGGAGAGAAGGGCTCATGGTTTGAAATAAAAACTTTGCCTCATTGCTTTACTTCATTTAAAATTTATTTCGAATTTCTAAAAACATCAGAGGAGGATAGGTAATTTTTCTTTTTTGCAGAGTAGTGTAAAGGTGGATCCATATTCCCCTTTGCTTGAAATTAGCACAAATGTGCATAGGTGGTGGAGTTGTGGTACAAATGAATAAAGCAGCCTGCCTTTCTAACCACCACTATACAAGACACTCTTATGGTTTACTAGATTGGAAGCTCCTGAATGACAAAAACCCTTCTATGTTCCCTCTGTGCATCTTCCCAACTCCCTAATGCCATTCATCGCACTTTAAAGACATTCAGTAAAAAGAGGCACAGACGGCCAGGCGCGGTGGCTCACGTCTGTAATCCTAGCACTTTGGGAGGCCAAGGCGGGCGGATCATGAGGTCAGGAGATCGAGACTATCCTGGCTAACATGGTGAAACCCCGTCTCTACTAAAAATACAAAAAATTAGCCAGGCATGGTGGCGGGCGCCTGCAGTCCCAGCTACTCGGGAGGCCGAGGCAGGAGAATGGCGTGAACCCAGGAGGCGGAGCTTGCAGTGAGCCGAGATTGCGCCACTTCACTCCAGCCTGGGCGATACAGCAAGACTCCGTCTCAAAAAAAAAAAAAAAAAAAAAAAAAAGGCAGACTTGGGCAGAGTTTCCTATTCTCTCAGCAGTAGGTGGATAAATTAGTGAATTAGTGACTATTATATGGTGTTTGATGCAAATACTGCAGTTTAATTTCCTCACTGCTCCCTTTCCCCTCTTTTTCTCTTTTGTCCCTTTTTTGCCCTCATCTTGTAGAGAAGGAAGGGCACAGGGGCCTCTTTCTACACTAAGGAAATCTCAGAGGAGTTATCCCAGGTCCATAGAGACTTCCTGAGTAGCATTCAAGCTGCAGTTCTCTTCAGCTGGCAACTGTTCTACAGTTTGCAACCTCAGGTCATTCCAAAGAACGAACCTCTTGAAATAAACACAGAGGAATGGGGCCTTTTATTATCTCCAGATGGGATTATGCGGACTTGGAAGCTGTTGAAATAATTCTTCTGTGCCTGAATCAAACTTTTGTTATCTTCCAAAAGGAAAGAAAGAGAGGAGTGGTAAATTGTGTTAACTGAAAGCCAACTCGGGTTAAATTCTGCTGATAGGTCCCCTTCCCCCACTAAAACCCAGGTTTTTAAATTTGCTTTTTATTTATTTTTGCATCCCTTTTTCCCTTTTACAATAAGATATTAAGCTGGGTTGGAATGCACACACATACACACAAACACAAAAGGACAAAATTGTAAAACCGTTGTTTTTGTGTTATCCAAGATTTAGATGTTGTTTTTTTAAAACGGGGATGAAATCTGAAAGTGGAAATACATGTTTTTTAGGGTATTACTAGAAAAGAAAGTATGATAAAGCGTGTCTGTAATACTTTTATTTTTACTCTGGTGGTAGTGGCGAGCTGAGAAGTTTCTACATACATGGAGTCCAGTAAACATCTATTGAACAAACACCATCAATATGTACAATTTTGGGCTATATAATTTTAAAATTGATGGTGCCACCTATTGGTGATGACATAAAGTGTAAAATGATCACTTACATAGTAAGTTATTTCATGTTTTCCAATCATGTTACTTATTCCCACAGAGATTCTGTGAGGAGCTGGAAGGCAAGCTTGGTTCATGCAGACATGAGGCACTAATGTTTTCAACTGGGTTGCTCTCCACTGGATGCCTATTAAATGCTCAGCACTTTGGAGTATACCAGAGAAGTAAAGACATGGCCCCTGCCTTCAAGGAGCATTTTATCCAGTTGGTAAGAGACCTACCTACCAATATAACAAAATAATAAATAGCCTTGGGAGGATGAGGCCGGGAGGATCCATTGAGGCCAGGAGTTGAAGGCTGCAGTGCACTATGATCGCGCCCTATGCATAGACACTCCAACCTGGGCAACATAATAAGACCTTGTCTCTATAAAATAAAGAAATAAAACAAAATAATAAATAGCTTGACATTAAAATGTATAATGCTCCTTCTATATATATATGGCTATATTTTATATAGTATATGGTAATCATACTTTCTAAATCCTCAGCGCAGTGTCAGGACTCAGGACATGTTACTCCAAAGTATGGCACCTCACTTGGCTGAGTACTTTACTTATTTATTTACTTATTTTACTTATTTTTTTTTATTTATTGAGAGGGAATCTCACTCTGTCGCCCAGGCTGGAGTGCAATAGTGCGATCTCGGCTCACTGCAACCTCTGCCTCCTGAGTTCAAGCGATTCTCCTGCCTCAGCCTCCCAAGTAGCTGAGATCACAGGTACCCGCCTCCATGCCTGGCTAATTTTTGTGTTTTAGTAGACAGGGTTTCACCATATTGGTCAGGCTGATTTCAAACTCCTGACCTCAAGTGATCTTCCCGCCTCAGCCTCTCAAAGTAGTGAGATTACAGGTGTGAGATACCATGATCGGCCCTTGGCTGAGTACTTTAAACTGAAGGACTCTGGAAGGACCTCGGAATAAAGTGTTCTCTGACCCTCTTCTGCTCTCCTGTCTCTTGTCTCTTTTTCTTCTCTAAAACAAGGATAGAAATCAGAATTCCTCTATGCCAAGACAGGTCCTAGACACTAGGACCACTCTTCTGCAAAGCAAGCCATAAAACCTCTGGGTCATTCTTTCCCTTTTATCCTGGAGACTCTCATTCCAGAGGGGTCCTACCCATACTCAGGAGGAAGGAATGCTACATAAAGAGACCCAGAAGAACCTAAACAGAAAGGCAGGCCTTGCTGGGTTTCCTCCTCAGTCTATTACAGTAAGATCATACTCTCTTGTCCAGTCACATTTCTACATGGCTGTCCATTCTTCATCGAGCCTCAGCATAAAAACACAGTTTTCCTTGCATCTTTGGGTATTCATTTCTTTTTTTTGGGGGAGGGGGGCTATTCATTTCTAAAGGCTCCCATTTCATGTAAAACTTTGGTTAAATAAATTTGTTATGCTTTTCTCTTGTTAATCTGTCTTTTGTTATAGGAGTGTCAACTGTAACGCTTATGATGGATGAAGAAAGGTACTACACCTTTCTGCTCCTATAGCAGGAAAAAGTCTGTTTTGCTCACGACTTACTCTAGGCCTAGTACACCACAGTTCCTGGCACTCAGTAGGCAATTGATAGAATAGTTGAATTAAGTTGGGTCTCATGGTTAGATATATGTGGCTTATAGAATATTTTATTTTATTTTATTTTATTTTATTTTATTTTTTGAGACAGTCTCATTCTGTCGCCCAGGCTGGAGTGCAGTGGCGCTATCTTGGCTCACTGCAACCTCTGCCTCCTGGGTTCGAGCGATTCTCCTGCCTCAGCCTCCCTAGTAGCTGGGACTACAGGCGTGTGCCACCATGCCCAGCTAATTTTTTGTATTTTTAGCAGAGAGAGGGTTTCACCGTGTTAGCCAGGATGGTCTTGATCTCCTGACTTCGTGATCCACCTGACTCAGCCTCCCAAAGTGCTGGGATTACAGTCGTGAGCCACCACGCCCGGCTGTCAAAATATTTTAAATCAATACTGGCAAAACAGATCAGAAAATATGTGTAAACACGGGAAGTAGGGCTAGAATTGGGTCCTAGAAAATTCCTCAAGGGATTTATAACCTAATACAGATGAAGCCATCAGTGCAGGGAGGCATCTTGCAGCCTTAAATTTGGTTAGAACTTGAGATTTTTGTGGTTTGCTGTGCCAACCCACACTTTTTCCTTAGGCAAGTACTGGGTTTTTGCTCAAAGTCCAAAAGCAAAGGAAGAGAAAAAGGCAGATGGTGGGTAGTTGCAAAACTATAAACATGTTTTACTCCTGGAAATCTTACGGACAGGAGTAATTCTGGGAGTATGAAAGTAGCTTAGAAAGATTTTTGCTTCCTCTCACCCTCCAACCTAATTATGTGCTGCAAAGTATTCCTATAATACTTGGCAATATAAGGCTGGGCATAGTGCCTCACACTTGTAATCCCAGCACTTTGGAAGGCTGGGCAGGTGGATCACTTGAGGTCAGGAGTTCTAGACCATGGCCAACATGGTGAAACCCCATCTCTACTAAAATACAAAAATTAGCCAGGCGTGGTGGTACACACCTGTAGTCCCGCTACTCAGGAGGTTGAGGCAGGAGAATCACTTGAAACCGGAGGCAAAGGTTACAGTGAGCTGAGATTGTGCCACTGCACTCCAGCCTGGGCGACAGAGCGAGACTCTGTCTCAAAAACAAAACAACAACAACAACCACCACAACAACAACTTGGCAATATGTATCAAGAGTCTTAAAAATGGTCATATCTTTTGATCCAATACTTTTCCTTCTAAGAAAATATGTTAAGGAAATAACCAGAAATGTGAACAGAGGATTTTTAGAACAAAGGGGAAAAAAACCTTTGTACTCAATATGAAAAGTTGTTTTCTAAAAATTTTACTTAAGTAATTTTGCTCTAGATATAAGACAATTCTTATGTAATATTTAAAAATATGGCACAAAATTGTGTATATATAGATTACTCCTGAATAGAAGGATTACAGGTTGTTTTGATTTTACTCTATTGTAAGTAAAAATGTTAAAACCTTTGAAATGTAGTGGGTATCCTAATTAGTGCATCCATTCATTTCTACTTTCATTGTCTTTGACTAGTCTTTGATTAGACTATTTATAACTCTGTAGAGAAAGAGGTGAAGATGTAGAAAATTGACATTAATGCAAATGTTTCCTGTTATAACTGGAAATGATCCCTGTTCATGTCAATGCAAATAAATTTTGTCTGGCAGGTAATATAGATCTCTGTAAATCAAATCCATTTGAACCAGCTATAACACCTTACTGGTTTTCTCATTAATTAATGAGTTAAATAAAATCTTTGATGTGCTCATTTTATATTTATATATGACAGTCATAATGTTTCCTTATTTTGAAAACTGTTTTTTAACACTATATAGTTTCTATTTTCTAGATTTCCTATCATAAGGATGTACAGGTAATTTAGTAAACTTTTTAAGGATAACATGCATGCAGAAAAGTAGGTAAGTTTACAGTTCAATGAATTTTCACAAAATCAACACCTATGTAACCTATGTGAGTATGATCAAGGAAAAGAACAATATTACCACCCAAAAGTAGCTCTTGTGCCTTCCTCTTGGTCACTACTATCTCCACCATCCCAACAGGTAAACACCATCCTGACTTCCAACATCACTGATTTATTTTGTCTGATTTTCAATTTTATATAAATGGAATCATATAATGTGTTCTCATTTGTGCCTGGCTTACTTTGCTCACCATTATGTTTGTGAGATTCATACATGTGATTGCACAAAGTTTTAGTTCCTTCATTCTCCTTGTTATGTAGTGTCCGTTATATGAATAGGTCACAGGTGATCCACTCGCCTCAGCCTCCTAAGGTACTAGGATTACAGGCGTGAGCTACCATGCCTGGCCTGATTTTAATTTAAAAAAAAAATTTTTTGAAGACTTGTTTTGTGGCCTAACATATGGTCTATCCTCAAGAATGATCCATGTGCTGAGGAGAAGAATGTGTATTCTATAGCTGTTGGACGAAATGTTCTGTAAATATCTATTAGGTCTATTTGGTCTATAGTGCAGATTAAGTTGGATGTTTGTTGATTTTCTGTCTGGATGATCTGTCCAATGCTGAAAGTGTGGTGTTGGAGTCCCCAGTTATTATTGTATTGGGGTCTATCTCTCTCCTGAGCTCTAATAACATTTGCTTTTTTTATCTGGGTACTCCAGTGTTGAGTGCATATACAATTGTTATACCCTCTTGCTGAGTTGACCTCTTTATCATTATATAATAATCTTGTCTCTTTTTATATTTTTCTCTTGAAATCTATTTTATCTGATAGAAATATAGCAACTCCTACTCTTTTTTGGTTTTCATTTGTGTGGAATATCTTTTTCCATCCCTTTATTTTAGGCCTATGTGTGTATTTATAGGTGAAGAGTGTTTCTTGTAGGCAACAGATTGTTGGGTCTTGTTTTCTTTTCTTTTTTTTTTTTTAAGTTTTTTTTCTTTATAGAGAGAGAGTCTTACTGTGTTGCCCAGGCTGGTCTCAAATTCCTGGGCTCAAGCGATCCTCCTTGATAACCCATTATTTAAAACTGATGACAACTTAACACTAATCGCAAAAAACAAAGGAGAGAAAGTTAATAAAAACTCCACACCACATTGCCCCCACTTTTTAACATTTTATGGTTTCTATTTATGTCTTATTCTACTATCTATGTCTTGAAAAGTTGTAGTTACTATTTTTGATAGATTCAGCTTTTAGAATTTCTGCTCAAGATATGAGTAGTTTACATAACACTATTATAGTGTCATGATATTCTGTGCTTGTCTGTGTAGTTAATATTACCAGTGAGTTTTATACCTTCAGATAATTTCTTTTTTTTGAGACGGAGTCTAACTCTGTTGCCTGGGCTGGAGGGCAGTGGCGCAATGTTGGCTCACTACAACTTCCGCCTCCCAGGTACAAGTGATTCTCCTGCCTCAGCCTCCCGAGTAGCTGGGATTACAGGCATGCACTGCCACGCCTGGCTAATTTTTTTTTTTTTTTTTGTATTTTTAGTAGAGACAGGGTTTTGTCATGTTGGCCAGGCTGGTCTTGAACTTCTGACCTCAGGTCATCTGCCTGCCTCGGCCTCCCAAAGTGCTGGGATTACAGGCGTGAGCCACTGCACCCAGCCCCTTCAGATAATTTCTTATTGCTCCTTAACATCATTTTCTTTCAAAGTGAAGAACTCCCTTTAGCATTTCTTGTAGGAGAAGTCTGGTGTTGATGAAATCCCTCAACTTTTGTTTGGTTGGGAATCTTTATTTCTCCTTCATCTTTGAAGGATATTTTCCCTGGATATATTATTCTAGGATAAAAGTTTTTTTTTTTCTTCAGCACTTTAAATATGTCATGCCACTCTCGCCTGGCCTGTAAGCTTTCCACTGAGAAGTCTGCTGCCAGACATGTTTTTTATTTTTATTTTTGTAGAGACAGTGTCTCACTATGTTGCCTAGGCTGGTCTTGAACTCCTGAACTCAAGCAATCCTTCTGCCTGGCCTTCCAAAATGCTGGGATTACAGGTGTGAGCCATGGTTCGCAGCCAGAGTTTAAAATTGGATATGACAGTTGGACTGGTGGGTTAGAATTCCAGTTTCTCCCCACTGAGGCCAGGGTCCATAATCTGAGCATATCTAGTTCATCTTCTCCAGATCAGTTTGGTGACTCCCTACTCAGTCTCCATCTCAGAAGTAGGGACAGAAGGAAGAATCTGAAAGCAGGAGGACCAGAAAATATGCTTTCAATACCTCTTTTACTATCAAATATCATAGAGTCTAAGGGACACATTAAAGGGCTATCATGAGTGATTAAAGGCCAAAAAGAGTGGAAATGACTAGCAGGGTTTACACTTGACTTTCTGCAAGTGAGCAGTGATCCAACAAAGATGGTGAGGTAGGGTGGAGTGGGTGAGGGTGGTGCGGAGATTCAGTACAGGCCCAGCCCAGCAGGTTTAGTGGGGGTGAGGCATGGGAATAGTGGTGAAGATAGTATTGGAGTTACTGTGCACAATCCAAGCTGGAACAAAACTTTAGTACACCTAAGAATTTGGGGTAAAATGGTGCAATGGACAGAATATCCTAGAGAAGTTGTGTTGAGTTTGGGGGTATAAGTGGGACATCAGGTAAGGAGGCTGCTGCAGTGGCTTAGCAGCCAGCCTGAGATCTTGGAGATAATGAACAAAGAGACCAAGTTGGCATGTCATCAGGGAGCTTGGTGGATCTGGGGAGAGAGATTTTCATCTCAAGAAGGATTTTCAGAATTTATATCTGGACTTGTGCTATTTGAGATCTCGAGTTTGGTTCAGCAGAGCTTTCTGTAAAGCATCCTTAGGAGCCCTGACATCAGGTGACAGGGGAGGTGGCTGTGATCTTTGGATAGCCAGGCAGAGTGGAATTCCTGTGAGAACCCCTGACAAGTACTCTTCTAAGTCCTTTGCTTCAGTGCCGTGAGGAAGGATTAAAGCTGATCCATGCCAACTCTGTCAATGGGCTCACCCTGGCTTGTTGGCATATTGTTGTTGACAGCTTCCAGGTGTATGTTTTCTTAGAGATGGATTCCATGCAAGAAAAATGCTATTCTTGTTGCCTAGGCATTAGTTTAATAAGTAAACAAGTTACAAAATACTAAAGGAGAACACGAAGGTCTTTCCAGGCTTCCCACTGGGCTCCTCAGGAACTGCTTATCTACCACTTTTCACACTAAAAAAGACCCAACAACTGTACTATAGACAGGATGTATTTTATCCTTTTTATCTTAATAAATGTTTTAAAGGTTGTTCTTATCCATTAGGACCTCAGCACTGTATACCTATAGGGAGCCTCTCATTTAATTTGCAGAATAAACAACATCATTTCCATTTCAAATCTATAAAAATAAGAGTCCATGAGATTAAAGAAATTGTTCTGCATCACATCATAAGGTATTAAAAGTGGGTCCCTAGCCGGGCATGTTGGCAGGTGCCTGTAATCCCAGCTACTCAGAAGGCTGAGGCAGGAGAATTGCTTGAACCCGGGAGGCGGAGGTTGCAGTGAGCTGAGATGGCGCCACTGCACTCCAGCCTGGATGACAGAGGAAACTCTGTCTCAAAACAAACAAACAAAAAAACCAACCAAACAAACAAAAACTGGGTCCCTAACTTGTAATTAAGTATCTATCCAAGTGTCTATCTTCCACAGAGAACACACAGTCTTGGAGTCTCACTTTCTACTGATCAGGACCATTAACCCCGCAACCTAGTTAGGCTACCAGGTTGGGCAGATTTCTATAGGACCTGGTCCCCTAAAGAGTAAAAATCCCTCAACTGCTCCTTACTCCCTAACTTCAAAAGGATCCAAAGGATTTGGTTACCCGACAGGCCTGAGATAAAGGCTTGATTGTCTTTCCAGGATTTCAAACCTGTTCTTTGGGGATGGCCCAACCCCACTTGTTCAGTTTTGCAGCCAGAAGCATGGATTCATCATCAGTATGTGAGTTCTTCATCTACACTATCTGAAGTTTCTCGGCTGACTTTTAATTTATATCATAAAATAGTAGTCTATTTAACATTTTTGCTACAAACAACACTTTTCTATGTATATTTCAAATTCTGAAGAAAAAGTCTTACTGATTAATATAAATTTGAGTTTCTTATAATTTCAGGAAGCACTTTACACAAGGAAAAAGAGAAAATCATTTGAGGGGCTGGTTATAAATACTATTTGACACAGATTGGGACTGAGTGGGTTTTCTAACTGGATGGATAGCAGGTGCAAAATTGTGATGCTATGATTTCTTATCACTGAAAAGTGCTCCACTTGTGGTAGAAGAAGGAAATGAGATGCCTATGAAAATAGAGTTGAGTCATGAAAAGAGAAGAGAGTCCCTGGATGCTCATCATCCAGGTGAAGTTGCAATAAGAACTATAGCTATCATTTCAAAAAGTTTTTAAAAATACATAGTTTTCTGGCCCAGTGCAGTGGTTAACACCTGTAATCCCAACACTTTGGGAGGCCAAGGGGGGAGGATCACTTGAGGCCAGGAGTTCAAGACCAGCCTGGCAACATAGTGAGACCCTGTCTCTACAAAAATAAAAATAAAAAATTAGCCAGGCATGGTGGTGCATACCTGCAGTCCCAGCTACTCAGGAGGCTGAGGTAGGAAGATTGCTTGAGCCCAGGAGCTCCAGTCTGCAGTGAGCTGTGATCGCACCACTGCACTCTAGCCAGGCTGACTAAGACCATGTCTCTGAATAAATAAATAGGTAGATAGATACAGATATAATGTTATTTTATTTTATTATTATTTTTTCCCTGGATGGTGTCTTGCTGTGTCGCACAGAGCTGGAGTGCAATGGCACCATCTCGGCTCACTACAACCTCAGCCTCCTGGGTTCAAGCAATTCTCCTGCCTCAGCCTCCTGAGTAGCTGGGATTACAGGCATGTGCCACCATGCCCGGCTAATTTTTGTATTTTTAGTAGAGACTGGGTTTCACTATGTTGGCCAGGCTGAGTCTCAAATTCCTGACCTCGTGATCTGCCTGCCTCAGCTTCCCAAAGTGCTGGGATTACAGGCATGAGCCACCGTGCCCAGCCTAGTTTTCTTACTACAAAAGGAATACTTATTATCCAAATTGAAAACAGAACTAAAGAGAGAGAGGAAGAATATTAAAAACACCTGAATTCCACCACTGATTACTAATTTCTGCACTGGCTTTCCATGTTACTGAGAGTTAACCACTAAATTAAGAGGGGAATGGGATTACCCCTGAAAATACCTTAAATCATTAAGTTTGGAATAGCACCTTGGAGCATGTAGAAAACCCAACACATGTGCATGATATAAGCTTTGTTAGTTGAGCAACTAATGAAGTAGTTATATTTATAAGCCATGCTACTTAAATGTATATAAACAAATAAAAATAAAAGGACCTGTTAACAATAGAATCACACTTAGCATGACAAGATACTCAACGTATGAAGAGCACACAGGACCAGAAATAGATCAAATTCACATCAGCTCTTTCAGAGTTATTTTGGGTTAGATCCAAGCTAATTGAAAAGATCAGATACTATTGCCTTGGGAGGCCAAGGTGGGAGGACTGCTTGAGAACAAGAGTTTGAGACCAGCCTGGGCAACGTAGCAAGACCCCGTGTCTGTAAAAATAAAAACAAATTAGCCAGGTGTGGTGGCATGTGCCTGTAGTCCCACCTACTCAGGAGGCTGAGTGGGAAGGATGGCTTGAACCCAGGAATTTGAGGCTGCAGTGAGTTATGATCATGCCACGGCACTTCAGCCTGGGTGACAGAGAGAGATACTGTCTCTTAGAGAGAGAGAGAGAGAAAGAAGAAAGGTCAGGCAGAAATCACAACACCATTTAAAATGTTCTCTCTTGCACTCCCTTTCTTCCTCTTTCTCTCCCTTTTCTCTTTCCTTTATTCTTTCTCGTTTGCCCTCCACCCTTCCCAAATTTAGGTGAAAGCTAGTTAAGCTAAATGCAAAATGCTGTGATGCTACTGTATTACCACTTTTAAATTTAGCCTTCAATAACTTTAAAAGTTACAAAAATACACAGTACTAATGAAAGCATCAAACAGTACAGAAAGTATTAAAAAAAAAGTCAAAATCTCCTTTTCCCATTCTTTTGTCTTACTCCTCAGCATTCTTCCCATTTCTAGAGATGGAGGCAAGACCTAGAATTTGGATGGGGGGTAAAGTCGGGGGAATTTCTTTTCGTACTTTTATACAAACTGTGTTCTTTGTGACTGTATGTGTGTGTATTTTTATATCATGTTAGTGAGATTTAGAGAGCAAGGGGAAGTTAAATGCATGTAGTCAATCCACCACCTTGAACCAGAAACCCTTTAAGAGCTTTTAAAACCATATGCATATACTCACACATGTATTTATTTTACTGAAATGGAATCATCAAGTACATATTGGTTGGTCACCTGTGTTTGTCCTTAATATATTTTAGACACCTTACCACATTAATAAATATGTATCTATAACATTATTTTAAATATGAAAAATATAACATTATATGGATGTATTTAATTAAACTCGTATTGTTGGACACTTAGGTTGGTTTTCTATTTTTTTATGATAAACACAGTTTAGATGATCTGCCTAGTAGTTTAATCTTTGCACACATGCTTAATAACTTCCTAAAGATAGAGTTATAAATTTGACATTGGTCAGCGAACAAAATGTGCACTTTTAAGGCTTTTGAATATACTGGACACTTCTGTTTCTTACATTTTAGCTGTGCAGTCTCAAATCTAACGATGAATGTAACTTCTTTTCTAGGGTGGGACGCTACTTCAGACTGCTTTCATGTCAAGATCTGCCTCATCTTCCAAAGTGGGAGTTCCCAGCATTAGGCTTGTGGGGGTGGAAGCTTAATCCGCCTCCTTCCAAAAACTGAAGTGAGTCACTACCAACCTTGTCTCTCCACCCTTTACTGGGTCCATACACAGCCCTGCCTTTTTTTAAGGAGGTGGAACCCAGCCTAAGGTCTCCATTAATGTGGAATTGAGAAAGGGCATCTGTTCTGGGTCATTCTGACTTCCAGACTAGAATTTATCTCAGCTCTTAAGACAGAGCTATCTTAAGATAAGTTCTTAAGAGCTAACTTAAGAAATCTTAAACAGTTTTACAGAAGTGGGTAAAATCTCTGCAAGTCTTTGAAGAATATTAGCAATGAAAATGGTTGTTATTTTTTCAAAAAATAATAACATGAACTTGGAATGGATAGTTATTTTGGCCAGAAGATTAACATGAATTCTCTGACACCTGGGCAGATTCCCCATCTGATCTGTGCTCCTTCCCATTTGAACATTGGATACCTTTGAGAAACCTTCTTGGAGCATGTAGAAAAGCCAGTACATGGGCATGGACATACACATACCCCACCCTTACATTCTTCTTTTTGTTTCTCTTGCTATTGCTACTATCATACCACCACCACTGAAATCTAGCAATGGTTTTAAGATGTGTAATGTGGTTGTTTTTGCTGGTCAGAGTACTTTCTAGGCTAAAAAGCAAAGGAAATATAAAGACAAAATTTCAACAACCTGCAGTGTTATATGCTGCTTTAGTTTATAAAGCAAGGCCGGGCACTGTGGCTCATGCCTGTAATCCCAGCACTTTGGGAAGCTGAGGTGGGTAGATCACTTGAGCTCAGGAGTTTGAGACCAGCATGGACAACATGGCAAAACCCTGTCTCTACAAAGAATACAAAAATTAGCCAGGTGTGGTGGTGCCAGCTGTTCAGGAGGCTGAGGTGAGAGTATTGCTTAAGCCCAGGAGGTCGAGGCTGCAGTGAACTGTGTTCACTGCAAAGCAAGACCCTGTCTCAAAAACAAACAAACAAAAAATTTATAAAGCACCTTCACATATCCTGCAGGTGCTGTGTCCAGGGAACTCATTCTACTAAAATTGCTCTTAGTCTAAAGGGGAAGCAATGAGATGAGCTGATTACGCTCTGGGGTTAGGGATTCTATGTTTCTTGTTATGAAGTCCTGATATTCTGCTATCAGAATGATGGACTGTTTGACTAGACCTACCTGACAGAGTAGAGGAAATAGTTCTGATTTTCTCCTCTCTAGGAAGTGAGAATGACATAGAACAGATATCCTTCTCCAGGGGAGAAGGAGACACTCATGGTCACAAAAATCTAGGACAAAATATTTCAGTAAAACTAGCCCCACAGTAAGTTTTCTTACATTCAGCCACTTAGGGATTAATTTTCAAAAGATTCCAGATAAGCAAGGGTAATTTGAACTTTGTAAAACATTGTTATAAACTCTTCAATGGTCCCTTCCAGAGAGCTCTGTCTGCCCTTGAGTAGCTAGAAGCACAGTTTTGCTCAAGTCAAGAGCTGGTATCAGGACAGAAATATCTACTGTCTTCTAGAAGAGTAAAAAGTAGAGAAAATACTAGAAGTTCACTGTAAAGTGGTCAAGTTTTTAATGATTAAGGTACCAATAAATATAAGGAATATAACATGGTTCTTAATTGAGGAATATAACCATACTGGGTTTTAAATTGTTTTTTTAGGGACATGGACATAGATTCCTTTAAAAGCCTTATATTTAGTGGTTAGGTACCAGGTTCATCCCTAAAACCTACTAAAACTATATTGACTCTGAAATGGCACTTTCAATTTCCTTAAGATTCCATCCTCATCCTACTCCCAATGGAAGCCTTCAATTTATTAGATAATTGGAAAATTGAGACTTGAGGCCTACTGAACCATGGGGGAGTGAGGGGTGGGTGAATGTGGGCCCTTCTGGGTTTAGTAGCACTCAAATTAGCATAAGAATATGCTATTTCTGGGAGATGACCCAGAAAATAAGGCCATCAAGAACAACAATGTTCATATGTCTGAGTCCCAAGTATTAAATCTATGGGTTAGTGACTGAAGGACTTAGGTTTCTTTCTAATTTAGTTAAATTCCATTAGATAAAATTGATAACTTGGACAAAATTTGCTTTTAAGATTTCGACGAAAGGGACTCTTGTGCTACTGTAGCTCCTTAGCCCATTCTGTCATCAGAACTTGTGCTGGGCATATAGCCAGTCTCTAGAAATATTTGCTTCATGAACTGAATATGAAGATTAACTAAGATGACTGGCATGCCTTGGTGTAATGGGTCTTTGCAAAGATGAATTCTTCAAGGTGATGACAAGAGGTTTGTCTAAGATTTGAGAAGCACAGTGAGTGTGCCAATGGATTATTAATGAGCACTCACACTTTTAAGAGTAGAGAGTCAATCCACAGCAAAAACTTCAGCACTACTGAGATATAAGGGCTTCGGGCATATTACCTAACCTCAATGTCCTCATTTATAAAATGTAAATAATAATAGCAACACTGTCATATAGGGTTATTATGAGGATTAAATGAGACAATGCACATGGAGTAATTAGAAGAGTGCCTGGCAAGTAGGAATTAGGGGAATGACTATGCAGATGCATTTATGCAGATGAACATAACTCAGAAACAATAGGGTAACTCAGAAATAATAGAAGGTCCTAGACATAAAGGGGCCATGGGACCCCTACAATGTATATGAATCTTGGCTGAATCATTGTGAACTAGTTAAGGACCAGCTAAGATACCTGCCCCATTCCAGAAGCCTTGGCACTGTGTAAGATCCTGCTACTATGTGGTATGAGTTGAAAATATATCGTAAAATGATTTTTCCTAACAGCCCAGAGATATGTGGCCATGGAACAGAAATTGGGTTGAATAATAAAAAAGTCATATTTCACAACCCACTTCAGCTATTATTATTATTAGGGAACCAAATGATATATCCAAATATCAAAGGAGAGAGCGGGGATAAGGCACAAAAGGGTTGAGAAGAATCTTGCTCTAGATATATTTTACTGTTCCAGTAGCCATGCCATAATTTCTAGAGGAGCCTATGGGGAAAAATCTGATTCTGAGGAAGGTAGGGAACTCGCTTGAAACCTCTTTTGTATAACTTTTTTTTTTTTTTTTTTGAGATGGAGTCTTGCTTTGTCACCCAGACTGGAGTGCAGTGGTGCGATCTCGGCTCACTGCAACCTCTACTTCCCAGGTTCAGCTTCCTGAGTAGCTGGGATCACAGGTGTTTTCCACCATGCCCAGCTAATTTTTTTTTTTTTTTGTATTTTAGTAGAGATGGGGCTTCACCATGTTGGCCAGGCTGATCTCAAACTCCTGACCTCAGGTGATCTGCCCACCTCGGCCTCCCAAAGTGCTGGGATTACGGGCATGAGCCACTACACCCGGCCTTGTATAACATCTTATATAAGATTGAGAAAACATCAGTTGCTCCACATGAAAAAAACACAGGAAGTGGTTGTGCCTGCAAGTGAGGAGAGGTAGGGTTATGAGCTTGTTTAACCTCTTAGGAGAAACAACTTTTCCTCAAGCCTTTTAGAACAATGCCTTGTACTTAATCACACGACCTTAGATTATGTGGTAAAACTATATTTCTTTAAAAGAATTCTAATATTCACATTTTCCCACCAGTTCTAACCCTGGTCTTCTTTTCATTTATTTGAAAGCAGATCTGGCCAGACGCGGTGGCTCACACCTGTAATCTCAGCACTTTGGGAGGCTAAGGCAAGTGGAGCACGAGGTCAGGAGATCGAGACCATCCTGGCCAACATGGTGAAACCCCATCTCTACTGAAAATACAAAAATTAGCCGGGCATGGTGGCTTGTGCCTGTAATCCCAGCTACTCGAGAGACTGAGGCGAGAGAATTGCTTGAACCCGGGAGGCAGAGGTTGCAGTGAGCCAAGATCCCACCACTGCACATCAGCCTGGGCGACAGAACCAGATTCTGTCTGAGAAAAAAAAAAAAAAAGAAAGAAAGCCAACCAATTCTTGCTGTAACTTCTGAAAAAGAACACAGTGCTGTGGCAGCAATAATGATGACATTCTTCCAAGGGGCAGGATAAGAAAGAGGCAAAACAGCTGCTGGAGGTGGATTTTTGGCATTAGGGAAGTGTGAAATGTGAAAAATCGCTATCACAGAAGATCAAAGGAGTTAAGAAAAACTCACAATTTAGAGCTACCTGTTTGTATTAGTCTGTTTTTATACCGCTATAAAGATACTACCTGAGACTGGGTAATTTATAAAGAAAAGAGATTTAATTGACTCACAGTTCCACATGTCTGGGGAGGCCTCAGGAAACTTACAATCATGGTGGAAGGTGAAGGGGAAGCAGGCACCTTCTTCACAAGGCAGCAGGAGGGAGGGAGAGAGAAGCAAAGTGGGAAGAGCTCCTTATAAAACCATCAGATCTATGAGAACTCACTCATTGTCATAAGAACAGCATGGGGGAACCTCCCCCATGATCCAATCACCTCCCACCAGGTCTCTCCCTCAACACCCGGGAATTACAATTCAAGATAAGAGGCCGGGCACTCACCTGTAATCCTAGCACTTTGGGAGGCCGAGGCGGGCAGATGGCCTGAGCTCAGGAGTTTGAGACCAGCCTGGGCAACATGGTGAAACCCCATCTCTACTAAAATACAAACAACAACAACAAAAATTAGCGGGCGTGGCAGCGTGTGCCTGTAGTCCCAGGTACTCAGGAGGCTGAGGCAGGAGAAGTGCTTGAACCCTGGAAGCAGAGGTTGCAGTGAGCTGAGATCGTGCCACTGCACTCCAGCATGGCGACAGAGCGAGACTCCATCTCAAAAAACAAAAACAAAAACAATTCAAGATGAAATTTGAGTGGGGACACAAAGCCTAAACATATCACTGTTTTACAGCGTAAACAGTCACCTAAGTTAACTGTGTTAGATATGGTTTCTTGCATACATTTTCACTACCTTCTCTATATACTCCATTTTTACTCTACAGAATTATAGAAACTGGAAGGCTCAAAACTATATTTCCCACTTTTCACCATCCATAAAAGTCACAATTGTAAATCTAAGTGGGACAATAACAGTTTCACAAGAAAACAGAAGAATACTCACGATTTTGGAATCCACAAAGATTTCTTAAACTGGAGACACACAAAATAAATAAGCCATAAAGGAAAACATCTGATAAACTAAACTAATTCAAAATTATGAATGTCTTCTTCAAAATACACTATTAAAAGAGTGAATAAAATAAGCCACAGAGTGGGCTGGGCACAGTGGCTCACGCCTGTAATCCCAGCACTTTGGGAGGCCGAAGCAGGCAGATCACAAGGTCAGGAGATTGAGACCATCCTGGCTCACATGGTGAAACCCCGTCTCTACTAAAAATACAAAAAATTAGCTGGGCATGGTGGCGGGCACCTGTAGTCCCAGCTACTTGGGAGGCTGAGGCAGGAGAATGGCGTGAACCCGGGAGGAGGAGCTTGCAGTGAGCCGAGATCACGCCACTGCACTCCAGCCTGGGTGACAGAGCAAGACTCCATCTCAAAAAAAAAAAACAAAAAACAAAAAGCCACATAGTGGCAAAAGATATTATCAATACATATACCCGACAAAGGACTCATATCCAGAATAAAGGACTATAAAAACAAGAAAAGGCAGACAAGCCCATAGAAAATCACACAAAACACATGAATAGGCATTTCACAGAAGAGGGTACCCAAATGGCCAATAAACAATTAAAAAGGTGTTTATTTGATATCAGAAAAATGAAAACAACAATGAGATTCAATACACTGCATTAGTCTTTGAAGAGAATGGCTAAAATTTAAAAGATGGAAAAGATCAAGTTTTGATGAAGATGTGAAAAACTGTTGGGCAGTACTACTCAAGCTGAACCCCATGCATCAGAGAAATTACACTTTTATATATCCAACTGAAATATGTGTGTGTGTGTGTGTTCACCAATGTTCACAGTGGCACTAGTTGCAGTAATCTCAAATTGGAAACAACCCAAATGTCCATCTTTGGTAGAACGTATAAATTGTGTTATATTCATACAATGGAATACTACACAGCAATGAAAATGAAGATACTATTATTACTCTCAACATGAATGAATCTCACAAATAGTTGAGTAGGAAAAGCCAGTAATAAAATAATACACACTGTATCATTCCATTTTGTCTAATGTTTAAAAATAGGCCAAATTGGTCTAGGGTATTAGAAGCCAAGATTACAGTCAATTTGAGGGAGGATAATGCCTAGAAAAGATAATGAAGGGAGCTTCTGGTATGGTAGTAGTTTCTGCCTCCCAATCTGGGTGCTAGCAATATGTAGGTGTGTTTACTTTATGAAAATTCATCAAGCTCTCTGATTATAATTTGTGCATTTTTCTGTCTGTATGCTATACTTCAATAAAGATAGATTTATACTGAGTTAGGAACAAAGCTCAATAACTATAATTCTAGGCTGAGCTGCTAATAGGATTTGTTAAACAATTTAAACTGTGCCAGTCAGATATAATGATGCGAAATTAGAAAGGTAAAAGGAAGAGAGAGGCTATTTCCCCTGCCTATTAGTTTTCCTTCCTTCCTTCCTTCCTCCCTTTTCTTTCTCTTCTTTCTCCTTCCTTCTTTCTCTTTCTCCTTCCTTCCTTCCTTCCTTTTCTTTCTCTTCTCCTTCCTTCCTTCCTTCCTCTTCTTTCCCTTCCTTCCTTTCTCTCTCTCTCTTTTTACCTTCCTCCTTCCCTCCCTCCTTCTCTCTCTCTATTTATTTATTTTTTGAGAAAGATTCTTGTTCTGTCCAGGCTGGAGTACAGTGGCACAATCACAACTCACTGCAGCCTAGACCTCCTGGGCTCAAGGATCCTCCCACCTCAGTGTCCCAAATGTTTGGGACTTCAGGCATGCACCAACATGCCTGGCTGCCTATTAGTTTTCACTGGTAGTTGTTGATGTACGTGCAACATTAAATGTGGTTTTTAATGACCAGACTTTCTGTGCCTCTGCATTGCCACTAACTTCATCTGTGAGAAATGACTGTGATGCCAGCAGTGGACTTTATAGCTTCCTGACCTCTAGATTGTAGCTGTGTGGACTGAACTGCGAGCCCAACAGCATCCCTCTTAATGCTCCTACCATTAGAAGGGCTGGAAGAAGGCATCTCCCTCAGCCTTCTTCCAGCTCTTCTAATGGTAAGAGCATATAATTTTTAAGCATATAATTCTTAGCATTCAGTACCTAGAGAAGTGTCTGCACTGAACCCCAACTGATATATCAGTTAATAACACAACTGATAGGTTATCTAGTAGGTTTATGGTTGGTTGTAAGAATCTTTGGGAAAGAAAATTACCATTGGCAATCCTACCACCTAGGATCATCATTATCATGGGAAAGTTCTGCTTTAGAGGCAACCTAAATCTATTTTGAGGTCCTGAAAATGCATTTACTTCACAGGATATGCTGGTTTCTGCTGCCATTCAAAAATTATTCTTAAGGCATTCTTTGTTCTCTTTTCACTAGCTAAATAATGCCGTGCTTTTAACTTTTCTTTATGTGTTCAGCAGCTTTTCCCAGTTGTGGATATTTGAAAAAAGTATTCATATAAATACTGCCTGTTCTGGTAGGATTAGCTGTCCCTTTCTTTTGGTTATATTCCCAAGTTCATTCTTGCTTATCTAACCAAAGCCCTACATTGCTGACTCAAGTTTAGTTTATGGTCCAAGCCCAGTATCATGTTACTATTAGCCAAGATTTCCCATGGGTTGAGGCAGACTTGTAGAAGATTGAAAAATAAAACTTACTGGCCATAAGTAAGACTTTTTATCTGGCCTTCCAGTACAGAACATTCTCTAATATAGCAGCTTATAAACAATGAGAATCAGAAGCCTAAAAAAATTAGTTAATAGCCAAACAGTGACTGAATCATGGAATTGTACAGTTAGAATGGACCTTAGAAGCAGTCTATATAAGCCAGGTATAGTGGCTCATGCCTGTAATCTCAGCACTTTGGGAGGCCAAGGCAGGAGGATCTCTTGAGCCCTGGAGTTTGAGACCAGCCTGGCCAAAATGGTGAGACCCCATCTCTACTAATTTTTTTAAAAAGTCTATATACATACCAGAACACAGAGCTCAGATATGTATGCAGGATTCCAGTCCGTGCTGAATACTCTTCCAGTATGAGTACTCTTCCTACTCCTCAAGGTGTGTGGCCCTCAAAGCAGCAGCATCAGCACTTACCTGGGAGCTTGTTAGAAAGCCAGAATCTCAGGCTCCAACACCCACTGAAGCAGAATTTGCATGTAACACCCCCACCCCTTCTTGATTTGTATGCATGTTGAAATTTGTGGAGTTAGAGACAAAAGCACCACAGGTGCATGTCTTACTATTTAAAGTCTTGCCTAATTATATAACATAGAAACCTGATCCCTTCTGGACAAGGCCTGTATTATTACAGGTCCTGGTCTAATAGAGTATTTGAATAGCTGGGTTAAAGAAAAAGAAAACTCTCTTTAATAATCTTTGGAAAAAGAGGACATTTATTTGAGCTATGCTAGTTTTTAATGTACCTATTCAGATTTTAATCCATTAGAAAAATTAATAGCCTATTTGGTAGTAGCATGTCCTGAAAAAATAAGCTGAATAAATTGAAAGTATTTAAATGGATATTTAAACTCTGCAGCCATCGGTGATTTAGTTTTCAATTACATAAAGGTAATTACACTAGAATCCACCTCATTCACCCTGCCGTGAGAAAATGCTGGAGTGTTGTAATAAGCCAATGCTTTCAGGCAGTGACTGGTCTCCACTCCTTTTTGGCTGGGACCTGAATTCATTTGCTTTAAGCAGTTTAGGGTGTATGCTAGGAATATAAATTATAGAAACACCCTTTGTGACCCTTTTTACAAATGAAGTTGCATCACTATGAAGGGTGTATGTGAGGCTATAGGCCCAGCCTCTCAGATTGGGAATAGCTGACACTGCATGCAGATTTGGCCTGCTAGGTAAAGGCGGGACGGTGGTTTAGGACAGTGCCCCAGCTGGGCTCTTCCTAGACCAGTGGTTCTTAAAGTGTGCCTGCAGAGGAGGCTTCGGGGGTGCTGGTAATGTTCTGTTTCTTGATCTGGGTGCTGGTTACATGGGTGTGTTCAGTTTAGGAAAAGCCACTGAGCTGTTCACTTACAATAAATACACCTTTCTATATGTATATTTCAATAAAAAGTGAAAAGTGCAGAAGGTTAGAGTGCATTAGAGCAGATTTCTGTCCTCCTGTCAATCACAGGTAGGTGGTCTGTGTCTCCTACTTTGAGAAACACTGCCCAGAGCAATCTAAAAGGCTACGATCAGGGAAAATTGATGAACACACTTCATTAACCCAGCATGTTCATTGAGATGGACAGGTAAAACCAAACAAATAATGCCTAATGCAGGGTATACTTGTTCTAGGTGTTACATAAATACATTCTTCTGGTTTTCCTAACATCTTTGAGAGGACAATATTAACTACATTTACAGATGAGGCAAATGGCACACATAGAAGAGGCTGAGCTGAGAGTCCATGACAGGTCTGTAGGACCAAAGTCTATTTTATTTTCACCAGCGCCACTACTGGGCAGCTTGAAGGAGCAAGTAAGTCACAAGGACAGATTGAGGGATTGAGAATGGACAGAGAAGAAACCTAGGCCTTTTTGCCAACATAGTAGATAGTCTTGAAGAACAGACTGCAAATAGGCAACTCTGGTCTTTTCAGAATCTCTGGCAAGCAGATGGCAGTTTCTCAGAGGCAATACCCCATGGCCAAACCCATAAGACCTCCAAGCATCTGCAGAGTCCTGAAATCCAAGTACAATCATGGGCAACACAACAACATTTCAGTTCAACTACGGACCTCTTATATGATGGTGGTTTCATGAGATTTGAATACTGTATTTTTACTGCACCTTTTCTATGTTAAGATATATTTAGATACACACATACTTACCATTGTATTACAATTACTTACAGTGTTCAGTACAGCAACATACTGTACAGGTTTGTAGCCTGGGAGCAATAGGCTATACCACATAGCCTAGGTGTGTAGTAGGCTATACCATCTAGGTTTGTGTAATCACACTCTATGATGGTTCTACAATGAAGAAATTACCTAATGACACATTTTTCAGAACAAATCCCTGTCATTAAGCAATGCATGACTGCATTCTGGACTATGACCCAAATATGACTGGACATCAGAATCACCTTGGGAAGGTTTCAAACATACAGATTTACAGGCTCCACACCAGAGATCTAAATTTAGTAGGTTTGGAATGAGGCCTGAAAAGTTCTTTACAAACCACCCCAGGTAATTCTGATGACAAGCTTGGCTTGGGAAACACTACCCCAGCCACACTGACTCCATGAAAGAGTCAGACCTGGATTGACCTTGGTAGTAGTTCATCACAAGCCAAATGGAGGGAAGTAAAGGGCCCGTTATAAGATGCCCTCAAACTGAATAAATGTAACCAGATATCAAGACAAAAAACAAAGCAGAATAAAAGAAAACTTGCTTTCATAAGATGGAAACTTGTGACTAGTTTAGGCCTGCAAATAAAAGGCCTGCACTTGTGTCCCATGCATTACGTGTAACTTGTTTTCTTCCCTCCAGCCTGTTCACAAGGAAATCATGGCATCTAAAGTTTGTTTTACTAAAAAGCATTATAAAATAAATCATAAACAATATAGCACTTTGATATCTTAGATCTCAATATGAAATCCTTGGTCTAGGGTGTTTTTAGTTTAGAAGTTTGAGAATTTTGAAGACAGCAAAAATGGACTTTGCAAAATTTAAGGAGACAATATTGCAAAGATAACAAGATCCAAGGACACTCTCTTCCTTCTCCCATCAACCTGAACTGGTTTATTCTAGATTTAAACTATGAACTTTAATAACCTAGACTTCAATTTGACCCTAGTGTTCAGTGGTGAAAGTACATAGGTGATTATGTACAGTCAATAACTACCCTATCTCATCTGTCAAGTAGAATAAATAGCTAAAACTGGTAAGTTGATAAAGTGTTTTTATTTTGGAGAGTTAATAACTTACTCTAAAGTAGATTTTAATTACTAGACCTTGCTAACAACTGACATATGAATTAATTACTTTAAATCACTATCAAGTTCAATCTCCATACAAGTTTCAAGGAGAACTGCACAGCACTCAAACATAAAGGAAATATTAATGACATAAATGATGGAACACAATCAAGTCTATTATTCATTAGTATGAATGAAAACAAAATACAGTGAGCGATAAAGACAGACTAGAACTAATATCATTTGGGTTTACAAAAACCATCTCAAGTCCAAACATGTTCTTGTCCAAAGTCCTTGCCTCATTTCAGGAAACAACCCCATGCCTCACTTGTGAGATTAGAGTACCATGTTTTCTTTCTTTCCACATGTGGAAGTGGGGTAAAGAGATGTTTTGGCCAAAAAATACATTCTAGACCCAAACACTAGAGATATGATCAATCTCCAGGAATTTTATAAAAAGGTAATGTTGTATTTCTGGATAAAAGGGAAAAAATGAGCACAAAAAGGATACATTAGACCACATATCCAGAGATTAAGGAGACCCTCTGTGTATCCTCAGTTTCCCAGCTTATTTAGTTTTGTGTTTCCCGTCTTGGTGAAATACCTTTGAAGGGAAAGCATGCTTTTATCTGCAAATAGAGTTTATTAACTAGCTCTGGGGGCATTAACTAGCTCTGGGGGAACAAACAATTTTGAAAGTAAATTCTACTTTGAACTTTTTGACTTGAATCATTGTAATCTGAGATGTGACCTATAACTTATCCTTTTAGAAAATAAATTATAAATATCACAGAAGAGGTATTTTAGCAACTCATACACCTTCACATCTACAGTCAACTTATTTTTGACAAGGGTGCCAAGATAATCCAGTGAGGAAGAACTAGCCTTCTCAACAAGTGGTTCTGGATAATTGGATATCACATGCAAAAGAATGAAGTTGGATTTTTACCTCACACCCAATATAAAAAATTAACACAAAAAGATCAAAGACCTAAATGTAAGCACTAAAATGATAAAAATCTAGAAAACATAGACATAACTCTTTGTGGCCTTGGATTGTGCAATGGTTTTTTGATATGAGATCAAACACACAAGCAACAAAAGAAAACATACACACTTGACTTCATCAAAACGTAAAACTTCTATTCCTAAAAGGACACCAGCAAGAAACCTACAGAATGGGAGGAAATAGTTGCAAATCACCTATCTAATATGGGATGTGTGTCTAGAATAAACAAAAATTATTCTTAAAACTCAGTAATGAAAAGACAAATAGCCCAAATTAAAAATGGGCCAAGGACCTGAATAGACATCTATATAAAGAAGAGACGATAAGCACATGAAAAGATGCTCAAAATCATTAGCCTTCAAGAAGATTCAAATACAAATCACAGTGAGAAACTACTTCACACACACTAGGATGGCAAGAATCAAAAACACAGATAATAAGTGTTGGTGAGGGTGTGGAAAAATTAGAAACTTCATACATTACTTTTGGGAATGTAAAATGGCACAGTCATTTTGGAGAGCAGTCTGGCAGTTTCTCAAAAGTCTAAGCATAAAGTTATCGTATGATTCAGTAATTCCTTTCTTAGATATATAACCTAAGAGAAATGAAGACATACGTCCATGTAAAAACTTGCATATAAGTATTCATAGCAGCATTATTCAGAATATCTAAAAAGTAGAAATGGCTCATATATCCATCAAGCGATGAATGGATAAATAAAATGTGTTATATTCATACAATGGAATATTATTCAGCAATAAAAATGAAATATTGAGAAGGATGCAACATGAATGAACCTTGAAAACATTATGCAAAGTGAAAGAAGACAGTTACAAAGGACATGATTCCATTTATATGTAATATCCAGTATAGGTAAACCTATAGAGATAGAAAATAGGTTAGTGGTTGCCTAGGGCTGAGGTGGAGGTGTTGAGGGAAAATTGGGAATGGCTGTTAATAGGTACAGTGTTTCTTCTGGGGGTGATTCAAATGTTCTAAAATTGAGTGTAGAGACGATTGCACACATTTTGTGGATACACTAAAAACTACAGAGTTTTACACTTTATTTTAGCTGAAAAATTTTTTTTGAGACAGTCTCACTCTGTCACCCTGGCTGGAGTGCAGTGGCACAATCTTGGCTCACTGCAACCTCTGCCTTCAAAACTCAAGCAATACTCCCACCTCAACCTCCCAAATAGCTGGGATTACAGGTGCGTGCCACCACACCTGGCTAATTTTTGTATTTTTTGTAGAGATGGGGTTTTGCCATGTTGCCCAGTCTGGTCTCAAACTCCTGGGCTCAAGAGATTCACCCCACCTCAACCTCCCAAAGTGCTGGGATTACAGGTGTGAGCCACCATACCCAGCCGAATTTTATGCCTTAAATGAGTAAATTATATGATACATGGATTATATTTTAATACACTTCTTATTTAAAAAAAGTAGAAGAGACATTTACTACATCCACGTAGAAGCATTTAAGATCCAGCACATGATTCTCTCTGCTTTCTCTTTCTCTGCCAAGGAAATCATAGAAGAACACATTGATAAGATGTCAAAAAGATCAAAGCAGCTGAAATATGGAGCCAACACATGGAAGAAAACTGTCCGCAGATTCATCCATACCCATAGCTGACTTTGTGTAAAACAGAAATAAAATTTTGTGTGTTTAAAAAACAAGAAACACCACATTTAAATGTTAGTGTTGAAAGAGAATTGAGATAGTTCATATAGTCCAGAGTTTTTCAACCCCTTAGAATGATTGGCATTTTGAGTTGGATAATTCTCCGTTGTGGAGGGCTGTCCTAGGCATTGCAGGATGTTTAGCAGCATCCCTGGATCCCCAGTTGTGACAACCAAAAACGTCTCCAGACATTATTAAATGTGTACCACATGCCTGTTGAGAACCACGGATCTGGCTAACCTTTCCTAAAGAATGTTCCTTAGAACATCAGTTTTGCCCAATGCTGCAAAAGAAAAAGTTTCCACAGTTTAGTAAGTTTGGAAAACAGGAAATGAAATAAATTCTCCCTCTCCACACTCCTGCCCACATTCTATAAAAGGAGAAGCTCAGGAACAGAAAAGTGAGATGATTGCCTTGTGTCACTCAACCAACAACCTAATCAGAACTCTTGAGTTAGGAAATGGAGGCTTCTCAAGCCTAGATGAATGCTCTTTCCTGACTCTTTGGAAACTGAACCTCCCACCTCTCAAATTGATATCAACCAAATAAGGCTTCAAGATTTGTTGGCAGATTGTAAACTACTACTAGAAGGGTACTAGCATAGACTCTCCCAAGAGGTTATCCCCCATTTCGAGATTCAGATGTAGTAGAGGGCTTGCCAAGGTGCAAATGGATGAGGACTGTGGGTCAAGGCAGATGATCTAACAGCTGCCTCCCCTTCCTTCACTGTGGTTTATGACCAAACATTTTCAGTGTCACCTGATTGAGATCTAGGCTGGGTGTAGTGGCTCACACCTATAATTCCAATACTTTGGGAGGCTGAGTTGGGAGGATCACTTGAGGCCAGAAGTTCAAGACCAGCCTGGGCAACATAATGAGACCCACGTCTCCAAAAAAATTAAAAAAAAAAAGAATAAAAGATCTATTAATGAAGGTATGAAGATACAGTGCAGATCTGTGGGACAAGTCTCAAATCTAGCAGTGGTCAGCCTGAATGTATCAGTAACCATCTGGAACTTTGGAACTTATGAAAAAGTGATAAATAACTGTCAAGATCTAAAGGGATGTACTGAAGATATGTTTGATGTTTACTTAGTTGATGGGACTTATACTCAAGGGTCAGCTGCGTACCTTGAATGTCACAATAGAATAAAAACACTCACAATTCTTTTAGAAAATTCAGCTTAAATATAAACATTAATAAAACAGGAAAACTTACTCTCTAAAATGACATGAAGTGATATCAAAAATTGGGGAAAGAGTTTAGGCTACCAAAACTTTTTTAGAAATCCAAAGAGGATTGTTAATGGATTGTTGTTTTTTTACCATGTTGTAATACAATTTGGACCTATTATGTCAAACAGACTTAGAATAATACTTTTGAAGGGCTATTCTTTACAACAGGTAAATAGTACATTGCAGGAGCCAGGCCTCTCCCTAACGTTTGTGGGGCCAAGGGCAAGAGTACAAACGGAGGCCCATATTCCATGTGTCTAATGATATAAAAGTTATAAGTTGGCTGGGCGTGGTGGCTCATGCCTGTAATCCTAGCACTTTGGGAGGCCGAGATGGGTGGATCACAAGGTCAGGAGATCGAGACCATCCTGGCTAACATGGTGAAACTCCGTCTCTACTAAAAAATACAAAAAATTAGCCAGGCGTGGTAGCAGGCGCTTGTAGTCCCAGCTACTCGGGAGGCTGAGGCAGAAGAATGGCATGAACCCGGGAGGCAGAGCTTGCAGTGAGCTGAGATTGCACCACTGAACTACAGCCTGGGCAACAGAGCGAGACTCCGTCTAAAAAAAAAAAAAAAAAAAAAAGAAAGTTATAAGTCAAGTCAAACTGTTAAATAAAATATGTTCCATTTTCCTACCTTGATAACTCTAACTTCCAAAAGACCTGAAGGTCAGGTTTGAATGTGCAATGCTTGGAATCCTTAGAGTTCTGCACCAGGACAAAGAGGCATGGAGAGAGCTGGACCCCAACCTGAAACGTTCCCCTCTCCTCCCATCCTTGACTCTGAATGAGAAGGCCCTCTCATGCATGCATGTAGATGCCCCAGTTCACGCATCCATACCCTGTGCATGCCTCTGCAAATAGGCTATCCTTGGCTACCTCTCAGGCTGACCACACACACTAGTGGCATGGTTTGCCCTTGGGAGGATGGGTCTGGAAAAGAAGTCTAGGCAGGCCCTGGAAGTGGGCTTGGGGCATTTGAGCAAGGAATCCTGAGGTGGTCCAAGTTATCCAGAGTGTGGTCTAGAAGGGAGCAATGTGGTAATGTGGTTCTGAGTGGACACATCCCCTAGGTGCCACAGTCTCCTCACCCTGTAGTAAGGGGTGCAGCCAGGGAGGGTAAAAGCACGGCCTTCTAAAAGCCTAAAGGCAGTACCAGCAAGAGCCGGTATGTGGAATGTGAGTATTAGCATAAGACATGGAATCCTGGCACACACCTCAGGCCTGCTTCAGCAGGAGGAAGGAGGCTGGATCAAACTTGTCCAGACAGGGAAGATGGATCATGCTCACTCACCCTGGAGGGGTCACAGAAGTTTATCAATTCCTGGCAAAACGGAACAGCCCAATCTGGGAGAGCCTGCCCAGATCTAAGTGCCAGTTTAGTTAATGATTTAAAGGGGCATTTACCTTTTCGCCTTATGGAGAAAGTATCTGGAAGATTCTGGTGTTATTTTTATTGGGGCCACTGAACTTTCTGTTTGTGCTCCTCCTTATGAACCCTGCTCCCTCCTCCTCCACTGTTCTCACAGTGCCAAGGGCCCATCAGTCCTCGCTTGCTTGCCTTCCTCTCAGCCAGTTAACTCCATAAGGATTTCAGCAATAATCCTGATAGGTGCCCTCACGCACTTGGTTCTTCATCCATTCATGTCTTCCAAATCTCCATCCTTCAATGAAGTCCATCATGTACTTTCTGTTTCTGCTCCCAAGCAAAAGATATTGCTGAAAATTAAATTAAAAATGTAAAAATCTGACCCAAGCCAATATCAGCTGACTGGTCCCAGCTGAGCCTTTACTACTCCCAGGTAATTCTCTGATTTTTCAAAATTTCCTTCCTTCCACAGTCCTCACTTTTCCTTTTCTAAATCCTTCCTGTTTCCTTCAAGCCCCAGTCCCACTGTATGCAACTTTCTCCTTTTGCTTAATAGAAGAAATCAAGATTCTCCAATGTGGGTATCCTCTCATTGCTTTTTCTCTACTGAGAAATACTTAAAGATGATATCTCTTTTTCTGTTTCATTTCAGAGAAGGAAGAGTAACTTCTCCTTTCCACAATTTGTTTTCCTTTTGGGTCCTGCATCCTATGGACTCCTATTTCCTGTAAACATTGCACCAGGCATGGCCCCTGCTCTTTTATCCCCACCCTCCCCCCTCAATCTGTCAGCCCCATCCTGGCTCATTTCTATCCCTGTTGAGCCTAGATGCCATTGTCCATCACTTTGAACATTGTTTTCATAAAATCATCCATCATTTCGCCCCTTGATCCTTCTGCCCCATCGTCTCAGAAATCCCAAGTCTTGGATCAACCTACCACCCATTTTCTCAGCTCTTACCATTGGCAGCCCAAGTTATTAAAGAAAATCACACAATTATTTCCCTTCTACCTGGGTTGCCAACCTGCCCCTTTACCCCCATCAACACACACATACCCAGACAAACACACGCACACCCCACCTGACTCTTTTGTCAGTAGAGTGGAAAGCAAATTAACAATTGTGGAGATCGTCTGACACTGAGAGGGACCCAGGCTCTACATTACACAATTTAAATACTAGTGCCCATACCAGTTTTGGTCTCTAACCTGTTAGATTCTCAGGTGATTATAATCCTTATACTGGTCCTTCTCCACTTAATTCTCTTTTATACGTCCCTTGGTAATAACTCTAATCCTATGGAACTCTCAACCCCTACCCTTTTTACTCTTCTCTTCTTTTCTTTATTTCTCCTTTTGCATTCACCAAACCTTGACACATGCCCTATATTCCTCTTTCTCTTCTACTCCAATCCAATCAGTTCTCACATCCTATTGATCTTCCCTCCCAAACATCTCCTAAACCCACCCCCTCCTCTTCATTTTGTCATTTTCTTTTCCCTTTTTAAAAATTTCTATTTTGTAGAGACAGGGTCTCACTATGTTGCCCAAGCTGGTCTTGAACTCCTGGTTTCAAGCAATCCTCCCACCTGGGGCTCCAAAGTCCTGGGATTCAGGCCATTTTGTCATTTTCTTAACTCAGGCCTTCATCATCTCTGCCTGGCCTCATTAAATTGTCTATTAAATGGAACTCCCTGATACTAGCCTCACTTCTCTCCGATTCATCCTCCATAGTCCTCTCAGAGTGATACTGCCTAGAAAAGGGAAGTAGAGGCTGAGTTGGGGGTGAGAGAATGGGAGGAAGGGAGGGTCAAAAGAGAGGAAGACCCAATATCTGGAAACCAAAGAGGAACACTGAGGGGAGAATAGAAATGTCTCCATTTAAACCTCCTTTTATGTCTCCTCATAAAATTGTTGGTCAAATCCACATTACTCACCTCTACTCTGTGGAGTTTATTTGCTTTTGGGGAAACACAATAAAGTACTAAGTCCTGCTATAAGACAGGGCACATGAAGCCAGCACCTGGCTTGCACATTCAATTTATTCTTCAGTCATTCATTCATTTATTATTTAACGATATTTATTGAGTACCTATCAGGTGTCAGATACGTGCTAGTGCTGGAGAGTGAACACTGATCGAGACAGATATTCTTGTCTTAAAAGCATTAATAGTCAAGTGGGAAAACAAACAAAATAGTTAGAATATGATAAGTGCTATGATATGAGAAGGTTATGGGTGTGCATAGCAGGGACAAATCAAAGTCAGAGGTAGGAGGGAGGTCAAGGAGGACTTAGGGAAGAGGTGGTGTTTAACTGGAGATCAGAGGAATGTGCAGGAATTAGTGAGGTGTAGGGAAAAGTTGAAGAGAATTTTCTAGGAATGTGAGACAGTCCAGAGGCAACAGAGTACAGTGAACCCATGGAACGGACAGAAGAGAGGAAACTGTGGCAAATGAGGTGGGAAAGGTCATCTGTAAACAGATCTTAACTTGTAAATCAAGTTTACATGTTTAGACTTTATCCTAAAGGCAATGGGGAAGCTACAGATGGCTTTAAGCATCTGTAAGTGATGCTTACACAGTGAAAGACCTGTTCAGATTTGTGATTTAGAAAGAACACATGACAGGATAATATGTGAAGTATTAATGGAATGTATTCTCTCCACTCATTTCTCTACTTGGGCTCTGGGCTGCCCATCTGCTCCTTGCCTGCCACCAACATACACATACATAGACAAACATGCACACACCCCACCTCACTCTTTCGCCAGGAGAGTGGAAAGCAAATTAATGATTGTAGAGATTGTCTGCTGCTGAGAGAAATCTAGACTCTACATTGCACAATTTAAATACAAAGGGCTCTGCACTTTAACTCAGAAATGAAACAATTAAAATGAAACCAACTCATACAAATGTGTAAATGTGAATTGGTTTTTCACCTCTATGCTGTGAGGGGAGAAGAAATGATCTGATCAGAAAGCAGATGTGCAGGGCAAAAGGAAGGAATGTTCCTGGATTACTTCGTGGCATTATGGGGGACATGGCTGCCCCTTTCTGAGATGAAGCTACATGGGACCTGCATGTGCACCCAGACAGCCCATCCCCACCCTTCAAAGCTAGCAGGATCTGGTACTTTAGACAGCACACTGGGGCCTGCCTGTGCTGAGAGCATAGGCAACAATGGTATTAGCGGCTCAGGCTAGCTTTAGAGTGACCCCAGAAATGACTAGATGGACAGCTCCCCCAGCCCCACCCGCTACTCACACATGGACCTCCATCTTCTTCCCCACTTCCCTTGGGTAGCCAGCCCCAAGAGGCCCAAGAGTAAGAGGCAAGAACAGGGGAAGGAAGGTTTGAAACTGAATTCTGAACTGAAGTATTTATGGAATCTCAGTTGACAAATCACTGAATTCATTTAAGATAATCTAGATGAAGTTGTCCACCAGGAGGAAGGCTGGAGGTTCAGATTCCAAAATCAAATTTACTCCAGGAAAAAACATCCCATGACTGCACACCTGAGGGTTTGTGGACTCTTGCATCTGTGAGACTCCTTGCTCATTACACTCACATGGCTACTGCATGGTGAATGGTTTGAGATGAAGATTGGAAACAGGGGTTTAGGTGAGACCTGATGAGAGTAGAGGGGAAAGAAGACAAGAAAAAAGGTAGGAGAGGTATTCAGGTGGCAGGATCAAGAGTTCTTGGTGATGCAATTGGACATGAGGTATGATGATGAGAACAGTGAGGAATGATACACAAGTGACTAGCTGCAGCAATGAGTCCATGGCAGTGCTTGCTACCTCCAGGGGGAACTCAGGAGGAGATACACAGATTTGAAGAGAAAATGAGTTCAGTTTGAGTTTAAGATGCCTGTGGAACCTATAGGGTCTGAAGCTCAAGAGAAGGGTTGGAGATGGAGAGAGCTATCTGGGAGCAGGTAGATAGTGCCATAGATACTCAGGAAAGAGAAAGTATCAAAAAGGAGGATATGTTAAATGCTGCCATCAGGTCAAATAAGGAGAGAACTGAAAAGTGCCCCTTGAATTTAGCTACATGGAGATCATGGGTTATTTTGGAGAGAGGAATTTTGGAGAGTGAGTGGGAGGTGAGGAAGTTAAAACAGTGAGTGGACAACTTTTCCAAAAAGTTTAACTGGCAAGAGAAGAGAGGACGGTAGATGGAAGAGGATGTGGCTTTTTTAGTCTGAGAAGGGAGGAGCCAGTGGAGAGGAAGGGGTTGAATATAAAGGTAGGAGTATGAAGGAATAACTGAGAGAGTGAGGTCAATGGGAAGTCAGAGAGAGATGGGACCCAGAGCATCAGGCCAAGAGATTGGCCTTGGATGGAGGTAGGGGGAGTTTTTCTGTTATAATAAGAGGCAAGGTCAAAAAAATGTATAAAGATGCAAGTAAGTTTATAGGTTGTGGGTGGGTGTGGTGGCTCATGCCTGTAATGCCAGCACTTTGGGAGGCCAAGGCAGGTGGATTGCTTGAGCTCAGGAGTTTGAGACCAGCCTGGACAACATGGGAAATCCCATCTCTACAAAAAATTAGCCAGGTGTGGTGGCATGCGCCTGTAGTCCCAGCTACTCAGGAGGCTGAGGTGGGAGGATCACCTGAACCCAGGAGGTTGAGGCTGCAGTTAGCCATGATCATGCCACTGCACTCCAGCCTGGGCGACAGAGTGAGACCCTGTCTCAAAAAAAAAAAAAAAAAGTGTATAGGTTGTTATGGAAAACTGAGACTGCTCACATCTCATAACATCCACACCCACCCAACTCTGATATGTGGGGGAAAAAAAATCACCAATTGAGAATGAGAAGGTAGAGAGGCCAACATAGGGAGGTGCAGGAAGAGGCAAATCCTTGAAATAGCCCCTCTGGAGGCTGAGAAAACAAGCAGGCCGGGGAATAGAGTAGGACTGCAGGCAGCAGTGAGGTCCCACTTGAGGTTGCTGAGCATAAATTTAAGGTAGCCCCAATCTGTGTGACAGGGTGATTTTTTTCCTACAGTGCCCAACAGCCTAGGTAAAGGAATGGCCAAGACAGACAGCTGGATTCAGGGTATACACTCTAAAATTTGTCAGGCAGATAAACCAGAAGAATAATGAAGTAATGGAGTTGAGAACACCGGTCAGAGGCCAATGTTATGAGTCATGGAGTCCTTCCTCAGTAGATAAGGAATAGGGGACAGCAAGCTTATTATAGATAAAGAGAAAGGAGAAAGCAGAAAGACTGCAGATCTTAATAAGTTTGGAAGATAAACGTAGTGAAAATAACCAAATGAAAAGAATTGGAGGACTTAAAAGTCAAGGGTTCAGAGGTGCTGTGGTTTGTTGAAGACATGGCCTAGGGGTGGCCATGGGATTGAGTGATTGAAGCACAATGGAGAAGGTAATTGGAGATGGAATCAAGAAACTGAGAAGTCAGGTATGTTTCACAGAAATACCTAGATAGCTAAAGAGGGGGAGGGATAGCATTAGGAGAAATACCTAATGTAAATGACGAATTATTGGGTGCAGCACACCAACATGGCACATGTATACGTATGTAACAAACCTGCACGTTGTGCACATGTACCCTAGAACTTAAAGTATAATAATAATAAACAATGGTCATTGAAGAGGCTGGGTGTATCAGGGAGTTTGCTGACGATGGAATGAGATTCCCAACGTCATAGAGGAAAAGTTTTAGAGGAAAGGGAATGTAAGAGATATAAGAAAAAAAGTTTTTCGTAATCTCACATACTCAACCAATACAACACTTCCAGTCACCAAAATGTCTGGAGGTTTTCCTCTACCTACAACCAATTCTTCAGTGGACATAATTATCCTATAATTTAACACAATTTTCCTATAATCACTATCTACGTGGAGATAGCATTAGATCCCACAGGCAGAAGGCTCAGTCTCCCAAGATTGCTTCCACTTCAGATGCCAATTCCAAGTAGTAGGTTGTTACCTATACTTCTGACGACTGGTCATAAATTGGGGGTTCCTATGAGGATTCTGCTCCTCGGGTTCAATTAGTTTGTTAGAGCAGCTCACAGAACTCAGGGAAACACCGCTTACATTACCCATTCATCACAAAGCATGTGATGTGGTTTGGATCTGTGTCCCCACCCAAATCTCTCATCGAATTGTAATCCTCAGTGTTGGAGGTGGGGCCTGGTGGGAGGTGATTGGATCATGGGGGCGGATTTCCTCCCTGGTGCTGCTCTTGTGACAGTGAGTGAGTGCTTTCAAGATCTGGTTGTTTAAAAGTGTGTGGCATCTCCCCACTCTCTCTCTTCCTTCTGCTCTGGCTATGTAAGATGTGTGTGTTTCTTCTTCTCCTTCCACCATAATTGTAAGTTTCCTGAGGCCTCTTCAGAAGCAGAAGCTGCTGTGCTTTCTGAACAGCCTGCTGAACTCTGAGCCGATTAAACCTCTTTTCTTTATAAATTACCCAATCTTAGGTATTTATAGCAGCGAGAAGGGACTAATACAGGATGTTACAAAGGATATAGATGAATAGCCAGATGGAAGAGATGCACAGGGCGAGGGATGGGGGAAGAGGCATGAAACTTCCCTGCCCTTTATAGACATTCCACCCTCCAGGGACCTCTACATGTTCAGCAACCTGGAAGCTCTCAGAACTCTGTCCTTTGGGTTTTTATGGAGGCTTTATTAGGTAGGCATGATTAATTACATCATTGGCCATTGGTAATCAACTCATCTTTCAGCCCCTCTACCCTCTCTAGAAGTTGGAAGGTAAGGCTGAAAGTCCCAACCCTCTAATCATGCCTTGGTCTTTCCGGTGATCAGCACCCCTCTTGAAGCTATCTAGGGCTCCCCAGCCACCAATGTCTTATTAGCATACCAAAGGCACTCTTATCACTCTGGAGAGTCCAAGGGTTTTAGGAGCTGTGTGCCAGGAACCAGGGGAAGAGACCAGATATATATTTCTTTTCCTTTTTTTTTTTTTGAGTCACCCTGTTACCCAGGCTGTAGTGCAGTGACGCAATCTGAGCTCACTGCAACCTCTGCCCCCTGGGTTCAAGTGATTCTCCTGCCTCAGCCTCCCGAGTAGCTGGGATTACAGGCTCCTGGCACCACGCCCAGCTAATTTTCGTATTTTTAGTAGAGACAGGGTTTTACCATCTTGGCCAGGCAGGTCTTGAACTCCTGACCTTGTGATCCACCTGCCTTGGCCTCCCAAAGTGCTAGAATTACATGCATGAGCCACTGCGCCTGGCCCAAAAATATATTTCTTGTCACAATACCACAGGGTGGAATGGGAAACTGAGTCTAGTATGAGGATGAGAGTTCATAAAAGGATAACTCATTGAAAGAACTCCCTCTAGGACACACATTAAGGATACTGAGGGTCTGAGGGATGGTGGGTTTAGTGGGCTGCACAGATGCAGAATTAGTGGGAGTGGAAGAACATTTAGGCCTCTTAGCCTTCAGCTTTGTCCTGGGTGTGTCATACTTCCAAGGCTCCTGAGTCTCTGGAAGGAGTGAGCTGAGTATTGATTCCAGGGATAGGTTCAGAGCTGAGGGTTGCTGGTGTGTAGCACTGGACTGGTGTGGTCTTTGAGATGAATGCAGGCCTGTCCCAGCTCCTTCACTCCCTCATATGCCATACTGTCTCAGTACCTCTCTGCATGTTCATTTTAGGGCTTGATTTTGTCTCTAAACTTAGAGCCCAGGAAAAAGTATTCAGTATCCTTAGAGCACTAGGAGTTGCGTTGGCAAAGACAGATAGCCTGACCCATTATAATATTAACTAATTTCAACCCACACTAATTATCAAAGGTACTCATTTAAGGAAAGATGTGGTGTTTAGAGTAATCTTGTGGAAAGACTGCTTTCACTTAAAAAAAAAAATGGGGCCAGGTACAGTGGCTCACGCCTGTAATCCCAGCACTTTGGGAGGCTGAGGCAGGAAGATAACGAGGTCAGGAGTTCGAGACCAGCCTGACCAACATGGTGAAACCCTGTCTCTACTAAAAATACAAAAATTAGCCGGGTGTGGTGGTGCATGCCTGTAATCCCAGCTACTCAGGAGGCTGAGGCAGGATAATTGCTTGAACCCAGGAGGTGGAGGTTGCAGTGAGCCAAGATCACTCCATTGCACTCCAGCCTGGGTGACAGAGTGAGATTCCATCTCAAAAAAGAAAAAACAAAAAGGATAGAGACAGAATTTAAAAGTTCTCTGACACAACAAAAATTGATTTTTTTTCTTAAATATGAAAGATTCACTTAGTTTTTTGTTTTGGCCTCAGGTTGGTTTATTTATGCACTATATTTGTTTTTATTGCCATGGTGATCTTTTCTTCTTTCTTTTTTTTTTTCTCCCCTGCAGTTCAGTGGTGCCTTCTTGGCTCACTGCAACCTCTGCCTCTGGGGTTCAAGTGATTCTTATGCCTCAGCCTCCCGAGTAGCTAGGATGACAGGAGCACACCACCACGTCTCACTAATGTTTTGTATTTTTAGTAGAGACTGGGTTTCACCATGTTGGCTAGGCTGGTCTTGAACTCCTCACCTCAAATGATCCGCCCGCCTCGGCCTTCCAAAGTGCTGGGATTAAAGGGGTGAGCCACCGCACCCGGCCGTGTCTTTTGCTGTTGCTGTTTAAAAGACACAGGTCACCTTTTAGCTTCTGTCCAGTTCATTACACATGAACAATTTGGTTTTCTTTAGAACACTCTTGAGCCCTTGAAATGTCATACATTGTAGGGGCCAGTTTTCTTATGTTTTCCCTGTCAGCAGATTTTGTTAAAAACATCTTGCTGATAGACCCTATTTTATTAATGATGAGATTCAATGAACCCCTGCAGGGTAAGGTTTTTTTTTTTTTAAATCTCTTTTGATGGGGTTTGATGTAAACCTCAAAGGTCTTCTCTCTATGTCTGTTCTATTCCTTTTCTCTTGCATTATTAATTCACCCATAAATTGCAAACTTCTAATGAAGTATTACCTTCATGCTAACTTCCTAAGTTTCAGGGCAGCATCTGGTGACATAGGGATCATTTTACAGCAGTGTCACAGCATCAGTTGACAAGAGGGTCAGTAAATAGCATTGTTATGGATCTTAAATGAATCCAATACTTACAGCAAACCAGGTGGCGTGGAGTTTGGCTGTATCAGACGTGCAGGATAATGATGCAAATGACCATGCTTACACAACCCCTCTGCATGACTTAGGAACAATGCCTACATTATCTTTAAGATACAGAAAACACAAGTAACATGTAAGAGACACTGTTAGAGTCAGTTCCCCTGATCACTAATATCGGTGTGTCGTCAGTCATTTTTTGTATTCCCATGTAACTGATTAAATCTATTTGGGAAAAAGTGTCGGCCATCGTATCTTAGATTCTGTTTCTTAAAAAAAAAAAAAAAAAAAGGAAGAGTGAGTTGGGGGAGGGCTGTTGATGGCAGTTTGCTGCCGCTGAGTCTGGCCTGCTGTTTTTCTGGCATTTTTTCATCTGTGCTGCCATCTAGAGAGGAGAATTGGAAACACGCAAAAATAAAGTCCCAAGATGGAGTTCAGGGAAAGTGGATACTGTGTATTTATTTGTAGAAAACTGGAAGAAACATCATGAGATTTGGGACTATAAATTTATGTTTTTCTCTTCTCTCTCTCTGTCCCTCCAAGATCCAAAACAGGACTTGGATATCTGTTTCTCAGTTTTTGTGAGGACATTCCAGGCATTGCTGGGAAGCCATTTCCTGGATTCGAACTGACTCCTTACATACCTAAAATTCAATTGTATAAACTTTCTGGGACCTCTAAATTGTCAGAAAGTGGTCTCACTTTTCTACAGTTGAAACATTGCTGGAAATGCTCACATTCCCAGTTCTGTAGGATTTGGAAATAAAATGGCAGCTTTTTGTGTGTGAATTAACAAGAGAAAGAAGTCCTTTCAACACAGTGGAGCAGTTTCCTGAAGTCTGTGCCTTCCACAGAATCTACCAGATCTGCGGGATGTTTATAGGTGAAACGTTGGTCAAATGAATTTGGGGATTGCAAGGTAAAACAATGTTAAGCAGTTTTTATAGGCTTTAATTTACCAGTGTCCACTGCCAGCTTGCAAGAGAGGAAAATGCTGGGCAAGCTTTCCCAAACTTGTTTGACCTTGAAACCCTGGGCTTTTCATAGACCTGGTGTTGTGTGGCGCTTACATTCGGAGCTATTACAACAGGGAAAGGACATTAGCCTGCTGCATGCACACTACGCAGAAACACCAGTCCTCCCTGACCCCATCCTATTCCTTCTCTCTGTGTCTCAATATTTTTGAAGTTTTGTTTTGGTTTGAGTAGAGACTGGGGAATTTAACTACTTTTTTTCTCTAGCAGGATTGTAACAGGAGTAGGATCTGTTTGATACTTGCTACTCCCAGGTAAAACAAAGTAAGTTTACCTACAACATATGCCAAATTTTCTCTCTCAGCTTACATGTCAAACAGCACATAGTAAGATAGTCTTTTTACTCAGAACACATTTAGTGTGCTCTAATTCTGTGTAAGGTACCACTGGGAGGGGAGAACAGAGAGAAATAAAATATGATCCTTGACTTAGTCAAATCATTAAATAGATGGAGTGATAAGCTTATACACAGATTACTACAAGATCCCTTATACAGATAAATAATGGTCATACTAGATTTAGTCATCATAACTGAAATAATAGGGTTTAGTTTATGTGGAGCAAGGCCATGGAAACTATCCATGGAAAAAGAAACTAATAGCCTTACAGAAACTCTGTTATAGTGGCATCCATTGTTAGAGCATTTCACCTTATTTAAAAAAAAAAAGAAAAAGTCAATGGCAAAGAATATCTGTCTGTATTAATTCTGGAAAGTGACATTCTTGATGAAACTAAGTGAACAATATTAATAATGCTTCTCTTTAGATAATTTTTCTGCATTTTAGGAGATGGACCATATAATTCATAGTTTTGACTCAAAAAGTAATGTCTCTATTTAGGTATTAATAAGGATATGATCCCTTACAAGGGATACATATTATTTCCACTTCATGAAAACAACAGGGGCTCAGAGAATAAGCTTGTTTAATAGCTTGTAAAGGGCAGGCTTGGAATTCAAATCCAGTTCTGTCTGGCCCCAAATTGTTATTTTTGTTTCCCTTTTTGTGGGGCAGAGTAATTTTAGAAAATGTTTGCGTACTTTCTGATTTCTATAGCCTAAAAATATGATGCCAAAGAAAAATGAGGAAAACAGCTTTCCTGAGCTTTAGAGAATTACACATACACAAATAGGAGACTATAAGCTTTGTGAGAGCAGAAACCTCAAGGCCATATCTGTTCTCTTTGCCACACTAAGCACAGAGCTTAGCACATACCTGGCATATAGATCCTCATTAAAGATTTGCTCAATGAGGCACATATGAATGATAGTGTTTGAGATTAGGTGGTAGGCACTCATGAAAACTTTCAATATCTTCTTGTATTTTTTGCAAGATAGTCCACAGTTTTGAATCTGCAAAGGAGAAATAAGATTAAGGTTAATGCAGGCCATTTGAAAGTATGCCTTACCTCCTCATGAAATGGTCTGAATCTGATCAAGGGCAATTTTCACATTTGTGATTGTACTTTCCAGTTAAAACTCAATAATTAATTAATCATATTGTGAGTCAATTTGTGGATGATTGAGAACCTTCCCCTGCATAGTTGTTTGGTCATTCCCCAACAAATTCATTCCCTGAAAATGGCTAAAAAAATTAGGCTTGAAGTAAAACTAGATTTGAAGGCAACGACTAAATCTTCTTTATATCTGTATTCCTAGAACACATTCCTAGAATATATTGTGCTTTATAATAAGAGCACAATATATTTTGAACTAGGAAGGAAGAAAAAAGAAAGGGTAGCAAAAAGGAAGAAAAATGAGAGTTAGGAATCTTGGATTTAAGCCTTGGGTTGACAATGTGAATTTGGGCCAGTCATTTCTTCATTTTGTTTCTCAGTTTCCCTTTTTGGAAGCCAGAGGAGTTGACCTAGTTGACCACTAACACACCTCCAGATTCTAATTGCCTGTGGAAGAGAGACTGGGGTCATTCTTGGTATAAACATGCCCATGCTTCCTTTTTTCCACTAGGGGGCACTGTAGTACTAGCGCAGTGGCCTCCATCTTCCAATTTATTCAATTCTGTTGACAGTATTTTTCCTGTTTTAGTCCCCTGGAAAACATTCTTTACCTTTAACTTTCAAACTCAAATTTACACTACAAAGTATGAGATTTAATTTGGTAAGGAAAGCTGGATAAACATAGGAAGAATGTAGTTCAATGATTTATATTGCTTAAAAGAGAAATTAGAATCACAGAGCTATTTGCATAGTTAGGTTATAACACGTTAAGATTTTCTGTGGTCCAAAAGGGGGGCTTTGAAACTCTTTTAAAGGAAAACAAAGTGGAAAAAATTGTAATTACCAGAATAACAAAAACATAAACTTAATAAGTATGTCAAATCTATGTGAAGACAACTATAAAATTGCCAAGGCTTAAACAGAGATATACCATGTTCTTGGATAAGAACACTCGGCATTTAAAAATTTTTTAATTATTCCCCAAATATATTCATAAATATAATACAATTCCAATGGAAATGCCAATGGAATTTTTTTTGAAACTTTACAAAAGAGTTCTGAAGTTCCTTGAGAAAAGTTAAACTGAAAAGAGTCAAGAAAAAAAGACAACCATTTGAGAGGAAGGAGGATTTTAACTGCTAGATTTTTTAAAAAAGATAAAACAGCTGAAATTAAAACAGTAGCATAATGACAGCAAAATAAACAAACAAACCAATAAAACAGTGAGTCCAGAAACAAACCCAAGTATGGTGTCCTGGATGTGTTTGTGTGTCTGGGGTTTGTGTGCTTTGGTATTTGGCATCTCAACACTTTTCCTGTTATAGGAACTGAAAAAAGGCATATCTTCCTCTTCTAGACAGCAAGGACATCAGCACATAACTGAAGTTTGTCCAGTGGGATTCCCACATTGAATCCAGAAGGAGTGATGCAAAGATGCAGAAACCATCAAGCTATCTACTGAGACAGTGATGATGTCAGTAATTCAGGAGAAGAGAATGTCTGGTGGTGGCACTGTCCTTAGTTTCTATTTAGGCTCTTCCTATAACAGTTCTTCACCAAGTTCTGGCAGCATTCTAATCAGACTATTCCTTCAGTGGTCCTTGGCTGATTCATCTGCTGCCAGCCTCCTTTGGCTCCTGTCTGATTTCTGAGCCTGATTTTTAACTTTCCCAAATAACTTTGTATATAGATACTGTTACTCTTTCAGTAAATTCCATTCTATTTAATCTACCTAGAATTGGTTACTAATGCTGGCAAATAGGAATTCTGACTTGTACAGAAACTGGTAATGGGGATTCGGTTACACACAACAGACTTTCAGGGAAATCAGGAGAATCTGGGTATGCAGACTCATTGTGTTTGAAGATAATAAAAACCAATTAATATTCAAAGATGAGACTCTGGAAACCCACAGCTTATAGTAGTAAAATAGCTAATGAAATTAATGCCTGTGAGCATTAGGATTGAGTTGGGTATTAAAGACAAGACCATGGGGGAGAGAATTGCTGTTGTCACAGAACAGTATGAAGGAAATGAGGAATTCAAGAGCTGGGTGCTAAGGCTAGCTGCTTCATTTGAAGACATTAACAAATGAAAATCTCTAAATTCTCATCTTAAAACATGAACTGAAACCCAAGCTGTGAATTTGTTAAAAGAAACTTTTATAGCCCTAGGATGGAGATAGCTATAAACCAATATTTGTTCTTGTTGATTGCTGATTTGCAAATCAGTCGAATTCACCTCCTTACCTGGGGTCTTAGAAGAGCATATGTTAAAGTGCTGATTCCGAAAGAGTAAGATCTTTAAAATTAAAATGCTATATAGGGGAGAATTTGAAGAACGCAGAGATTCCTTGCCCCCAAACTCTCAGCCTTCTTTGCAGCTGAAGCTTTTATTATAAAGCTATTTCTCCTTTGTTTGAAGAGGCTGAAACTCCCTAGTTTGAGGGAGTTACCTTATAGGAGGTTCTCTTATACCCTACTCTTACTCTGCACTATCTCCAGATCTGTAATTAGAGTCAAACTCGCTGGGCGCGGTGGCTCACACCTGTAATCCCAGCACTTTGGGAGGCTGAGGTGGGCGGATCACCTGAGGTCAGGAGTTTGAGACCAGCCTGGCCAATATGGTGAAACCCTGTCTCTACAAAAAAATAACAAAAGATTAGCCAGGGATGATGGCAGGTGCCTGTAATCCCAGCTACTCGCGAGGCTGAGGCAAGGAGAATTGCTTGAACCCAGGAAGTGGAGGTTGTGGTGAGCCAAGATCACGCCACTGTACTCCAGCCTGGGTGACAGAGCAAGACTCCGTCCCCCGCCCCAACCCCCAAAAAAATTCTACTGTGCTTCAAGAGGCTAGTTTACAAAGTGAAGCTCAGTAAGATATATCTCAAGCACCAAAGAAATTGAAGAACTTTGCTAATTAATCTGTGGGATGTGAGTTAGAATTGATTTTAAGAATGTTGAATGAAGAAGAAGAGGACATGATTTGAGATTGGGTTGAATTTACTAATAGGGCTTACAAGAGATTCTGGATTATTCTAGTTTGAGAAGCTAGGAATAATTCTGTTTGCTCTGCTAAATGTTCATTGACATTTAGACTGAGGGGTGAGTCATACAAAATAAAGTTGAGATGCAAATCTCTTAGGTAAAATGTAAATGAACAAAATTTTAAATTTTAGGAGACAGGAATGCTGGATTAGATTTGTCATATCTGACCCAACCACCCACCTCAATTTTGTCTTCCAAAAAAGGGTCTAGCCAGTTGCAGTGGCTCACACCTGTCCCAGCTACTTGGGAGGCTGAGGTGGGAGGATCACTTCACCCAGGAGTTTGAGGCCAGCCTGGGCAACATATCGAGACCCTGTCTCTAATTAAAATAAAAATCATAAGAAGGTCCAGAAAACACTCTTTACAAAGGCCTTGAGAAACAAATCTATGAGGGAAGGGTCAGTATAAAAGTGATTTAGAGAACGTTTCACGTAGACCAGCGATGATGCTGAAAAAAGGCTACAGTTGAATTTGGCTTACTGAGTTTCAGAGGGATGGCAGGATCCCAGAGTGACATGGTCTAGGTAGCACATTTGCATGGGGCTAAGTTGAAAGTTAGTAGGTCAGTGTGAAAATTAGAATGCTCTGACTCATGGATTCTTGGGAGGTGACTAACTGATCATGGAGTCCCCAGGACTGAAATAAATAAGCAGTCACTAAGGTTCTACTTGATTTGTATAGCAAACAAGCAAACAAACAAAACCTTTATGTCTAGAAAAGAGAGACGGTATCCAATTTCCAGATATGAATGCGTTCTCAGACACAGTTAAAGGAAATCTGAGTACCCTCGAGGAAGTGCCTACTTGAGTCTACCTCCTGGAATACAAAGGGACTTGTGGCCATTTATTAGGACAGTTGTGAATGATGAAGCAGAGATAGTTCACTTTCATCTGGTACGGACAAGAATATAGCTTTACCTTCTTGCCACAGGATTACATCACCTTTTGGACCCTGGGTCAAAATGAAGTCAGCAGAAAGCTTCTTATTTCCTCATTTCACATGATATCAGATTATTCATCCTATACAAGTGGGGACAAAAGAGTAGAAAGCAATAAATACCTTGGATACCTTGAAAAAAATACATGAGCGCTCGAGTGGGAATTTTTCAAGGGTCCAGTGGTATACAGAACATGTTTGGCTATAATTCTAAAGTGAGAGATAAACTGTTGTACCTGAGCTCCTTACCAATATGAAGAGGTACTATTTTGGTGGACCTCTTTGGATATTAGAGGCTTGCTACTAGGTCCCAGTGGAACACCTAACCCTGAGACACCAAGTGACTTTGCGTCGTAATTGTCTATCAGGATCCAGGTGTTAATTCAGGCTCATAACTCACCAGGCCTGGATAGTCCTGAGGATGAGTGAGTTTAGTGAGCACGTTGCTTGTATTCTCCTGCTACTTACGTCTGTCACACTGCTGTCCCTCTCTAGCTTACGTGTGAGTGTCTCATGGGGTATTCACTATGTCCAATTGATTTGAGAGGAAAAAATTAAAATCCTGGTTTACAGATCCTTTTTTCTTGGCTTGAAGTGGGTTGCTTTAGCATTTATAGCTCACTCCAAGACCCAGAAAGACCAGGGGAAAGGACAATCCTTGACCGGGCATGGTGGTTCATGCCTGTAATCCCAGCACTTTGGGAGGCTAAGATGAGAGGACTGCTTGAGGCCAGGAGTTCGATACCAGCCTGGTCAAAATAGCGAGACCCCATCTCAATTTATAAAAAAAAGAAAAAGAAAAAGAAAAAAAGGGGCAATCCTCAAAATGGGCAGAAACTGAAATAATATGTATCTCGTTGTTCAGTTTGCCTGGAATTAGCAGTGGCTAATAGTTTGGTAACTTGACCAGTGACTTGGAAGGGTTAAGATTGGTCACAAGGAAGCCTGAGTAAAAAGTACGTGAAAGGACCTCTAGAAATAGGCCAGAAGGTGTGAACATTATACCTGATATTATCATTGAAAAGGAAAGTAGATATGATCAAATTATCTAGTTATTATGTTTAAAATTTTAATTAGCTCTGGAACTTACACTGAAGATTAATATATACATCCAATGAACTTGATCCAGCAGTGGTTGAATCTGCCAGTGTATGTGTGTGTATGTGTGTATGTATGTGTGTGCATGAAAAATTCCACCTAAATCCTTCCTCACTCTCACTCTTCCCATATAAACCCTTACGTTCCCCAGAGTATGGTTTAAAAGCCACTGAACTAGTTCAATTTCATTTTAGAGAATAAGAAAATATCCAAAAAATTGACTTGATCTGTCTCAGGCCATATAGTGTCTACCAGAATAAAGGCTCAAATCCTCCTCTTAAACTGGCACTCTCTCCAAAATAGCACGTGACTTCTATAATTCAGAATAAATTCAATATAATGGCAACTCCACTCTTCCCTATTATCTAATCCATTACTCAACATGACAGAAAAGTATCACCATTTTCCATTCTTCAAAGCATGGAAAACTGAATGGCAGGATAGATGCTTGAATGAAAAAAGATTAAATATTAGAATGCATATTTGTAATTTCCATCATATTACCTTTCTCCCTTAGACTTGGAGTGGCCTTCCATCTGTAAGTGGCCAATAGTGTAAAGGACATTGTATTCATTGTTAAATTAAGGGACAGGCAGCTTAATTCTTTCAAAGATGTCTCCAGTTGTGACTCATATCTAAGGTTGCACTATCTAATATAGTAGTCACTAGTCACATGTGGTGATCAAGTTGAAATCTGGCTAGTTTGAATCAAGATATGCTGTAAGTCTTCAAAATCTGGTGTAAATTTACCAGATTTTGTATATATAGATAGATATATACCAGATACATATCTATCTATCTATATATTTAGATATATAGAGAGATATATAGATAGATAAGTATCTGGTGTATATTTAGAAGACTTAGTATGAAAAGACAATGTAAAGTATTTAATTAGTAATATTAAATATTGATTACATGTTAAAGTAATCACATTAAACAATTTTGGTTAAAGAAAATACAGTATGAAAATTAATTTCATAAAGAAGCCAATCTGAGAAGGCTGTACATACTGTGTGATTCCACCCATATGAAATTCTGGAGAAGGCAAAACTCTGGAGACAGTAAAAAGATCAGTGGTTGCCTGGGGTTAGGGTGGAGGGAGGGATGAATAGGTGGAGCACAGAGGATTTTTAGGGCAGTGAAACTACTCTGTGTGATACTATACTGCTGGATATAGGTCACAAATTTCTCCAAACTCATAGAATGCACAACACCAAGAGTGAACCCTAAAGTAAACTACAGAATTTGAGTGTTCCAATGTAGGCCCATCAGTTATAAAACATGTACCACTCTGGTGGGAGATATTGATAATGGGGTAGGCTATGCACGTGTGGGGGCGAGGGGTATATGAGAAGTCTCTGTATGTTCCTCTTAATTTTGCTGTGAACCTAAAACTGCTCTAAAAATAAGTTTTTAAAAAAGCCTATTAAAATGTACTTTACATGTTTTACTTTTAAAAAATATGGTTATTAGAAAATTTAAAATCACAAATGTGGCTTGCTTTATATTTTTATTGGTCAGTGCAAAAGAATGGAAACCAAACCAAGCAGAATTTGGCCAGTGTTTCCTGTAGCTCATTAGTGTTGTCAGAATTATAAAGATGTTAGGTACTCACACAAGTGTATGTGAGCTACTAAGGTTTCAATTTTGGCAAAGTCACCATCTGCAAATAGGAATTTCACACTTTCCAAAAAATACTGGAATGATAGTGAGCTAGTCCTCAAGGATAAGGACTGTGTCTAGTTCTGTTTTTAACACAGAACAAGTTACATTGCTGGCATTTGATAATTTTGCTTTAGAAATCAGGTGGACAAGAGCTTTTAGTTCTTCAGGGAAAGTACAGGGAAAGTGGCCCTCTGATGAATTGCTTTGAACACAGAAATATTTACTTTGAAAATGTAAGCCTCCCATTACTTTATCATATCTATCCAATTTTATTTCACTATAAAATTTTAACTCCTCTGCCCTTAATCATGAAAGTAGAGGAAGGCAGAGTAGACAATGAGTTAATGGTATTCTCTATATGTGATATACAGAATTTTAAGTTGGCTATAATTACATTTAATTCTATTCATTAAATCAAAGATTTCTCCCAGATCAGTACACACCAGCATGTGACAGAAATCACAGTTAATGCCTTCCTCATCAGAGACCAAGTAGGACTCCTAAGTTCCAGAACGTAATGATTACTTTGGCATCCTACATTATGCAGCAAATCCAATAAAGTACAAACAACCTGCCAAGATATAATATGAGTGTTACAATGGGACATCATACGTTTTAGCTCCATACCTGCTAGAAGTATCATAAAAATGAGTGGTGATACTCAGTAAGAATAGTGTCTTCTCAAATCTGTTCCTCCTCCTTTTCTTGTGTTGATGGCATCCCCATCTAGTCATAGTCCTTCTATATTTCCTCATTTTCATCCCCTGTGTCCAAGTGGTCATTCAATAGTACCAATTCTGTCTTTCAAATGTCTCTTGAATCCTTCCATTTCCCGACAATTTTCAGCGTAACTTTCCTAGGCGATTCTTTCATCAACCCTGCCTTGGACACCTGGAATAATCTTTATGTAATTAGGTTTCCAGCACAAGCACCTATTAAGCTGTTTTCATTTTTCCCTCATTTTATTGAAGCTCCAAATTGCCACCAGAATTATTTATCTAAACATATCCTTCTCCTGCTTGAAAACTTGCCAAATGGATCCCCATTACCTGCAGGATAAAGTCTAAACTTCACATGACATTTAAGGCCCTATATATTCTAATCTCAGTTTACCTTTCCAAACTTATCTCCTGCCTCTCTTACCACACCCTAGACCCTGAAAGTCCAAGTTTTTTTTTAAATTACATAATCAAAAAACCGTGAACATTCCAAATTTTTAAAAGTTGATAATAGTGAGGGAATTGAAAAGATTTGTATACAATAAAATGAACATGCCTCAAATATAAATCTGTTACTTGTGGAAAATTTATTCTATGCATTTCCTTTTGTCAATGAAGTGGGAATTCTTTTGACAGCAAGTGATAGAAACCTAATTTGAATTTCTTTGGCAAAAATGAGAAATTATTGGCTTATGGGTTCCAAAAAAGGGTTAAAAAGCCAAACCAAGAGATAAGCAGAACTATAGTTCTACCTCAGAAACCCCATTGCCATCAGAATTCCCTTTGACAACTGGCTTGGCCCGTCTCTGCATATCAGCTTCATCTGAGACAGAATCTGCCCGAAGCAGAAAACATGATTACCTACAGCTCTTTGGGTCAGTGTCCTTTAAGAACCATATGGCTGTCTCTCTTTCTTCATTCCAGTCTGAAAAATCCAGAGGAAGGCCTCTTATTGTACTGGCTTAGATCAGGTGCGCCTATCCCTGATTTATCAAGTGTGGCCAGGAAAGAAGGATCACGTAAACACAGAAAATTTCTGGCTGCAGCCATGTGGATGGTGGTGGGAGATAGGGCTATTACTCCTTAGGAAAGAGTGCTATTAGTGAAGGCAATAGCACAGATATCTGCCAGAGCAAGTAATTCTTAAGAATTTTAGTGGAATTAAATCAGAAGAGCTGAAAGTTATATAATTAATTATATTTAAATTATATATTTAATTATATTTAACTTCACTTATAATTACTAATTGATCCAGGTCTGCTAGCACTGTAGCTGGCGCCACCACAATAGATTTTTAGACTTGTTTGGCCTACAAGTTTGTACTCATAATTTGCTTATTCTAATTTTTTGTTAGTTTTGTTTTAGGTATCTAATTATATTTGTTCTAAATGCTAATAATTTTGTTTCCTAATAGTCATAACTCATATTTCTATTTTGTTGTTTATTTTACTTGCCAGAACTTCCAGAATTATAGAAAATAATCATTTGTGTTATTGTAAAGTTTATATGTGTGTGTGTTTATGTATATAAAGACTAGTAGTGTAAGGAAGCAGGAAAAGGGTATCTCCATTAAGTGACTATTTACATTCCTATTGGAGCTAGAATGGAACTTAAAGATACCAGGGTTTGTAACAAGCCAGTATGCAGAGGATGGTATTCCCAGTTTTTGAAACAGGCCGGGTGTGGTGACTCACGCCTGTAATCCCAGCACTTTCGGGGGCCAAGGCAGTAAGATCGCTTGAGGCCAGGAGTTCAAGACCAGCCTGGGCAATAGGGTGAAACCCCATCTCTACAAAAAATTAGCCAGGTGTGGTGGTGCATGCCCGTAGTCTCAGCTACTGGGAGGCTGAGGTGGAGCCCAGGAAGTTGAGGCTGCAGTGAACCGTGTTCACACTGCTGCACTCCAGCCTGGGTGACAGAGCAGAGACACCGTCACAAACAAAACAAAACAAAACATTGAAATAATGTTGGGTTGTTAAACAACATATAGGTTGGTGAACTACTGCTGCCCTGAGATATTACCTTTCCCACCCCTCATCTTTACGGTCCAATAACTAAAGGGTTAGATCATAGCAGGGGGCTGTCCATTCTGATTGGTTTTAACTAACTGTTTTAATATTTTGATTATCAGTGATATTAGAACACAGTAATTTGGCTGTATACCCCTAGTGGAATATACTACCTTGGGATACAAAAAAAAAAAAAAAAAAACTTCAAGAAAATCTTAAATTATCTTTAATGACCAAATTGTCAGAGAGAGAGAGAGAGAGATTACAAGCCGCCTCTAGCTCACTGAGCTCCAGTGGAAGGAGAAGGAGGTGAGAAAGATTTCTATACTATGGCCTACAAATCTATCAGTGGTAAAGCATTCAAGAAGTCACTGGATACAAAAGTCACCTGCAAGAGTTCACCCTCTACTGGAGTGCTGAAGAAACTTCATCATTGAGGTACTGCTGCACTGGTACTGTGGTACTCTATAAAATTAAATATTATCAGAAGTCCATAAGCTTCTGATCTGCAAACTTCCCTTCCAGCACCTGGTGCAAGAAATTTCTCAGGACTTCAAAACAGATCTGTGCTTCCAGAGCACAGCTATTGGTGCTTTGTGGAGGCAAGGGAGGCCTATTTGGCTGGCCTTTTTGAAGATAACAACCTATGTGTCCTCTATGCCAAATGTGTAACAATTATGGCAAAAGACATCCAGCTAGCACACCACATATGTGAAGAACATGCTTAAGAATTCACTGTGCTGGAAAACATTTCATTCTTCTCTCTCTCTCTTCTTCCTGACACTGGTAGTTGTGAATGTTAGATTTCTTTTTCCCATGAGGTCAAATGGTACCTACATACAATGATTGCAAGTGGAAAAACAGAAGACAGAAATCAGGTATTGGCAATTTCTCCATATTCATTTGTGTATGAATTTTTAATATAAATGCAGGGACACAGATTTGATTATATGAATGTATCAAATTTTCACATGTATGATAAAAATATGCACAACTATTGTGTATCAATAACAAATTTTAAAAATGCAAGGACACAAAGCATTAATGCAAGTCAAAATGTTTCAGTGAACAAGTTTCAGCAGTTCAACTTTTTTTTTTTTTTTTTTTTGAGACGGAGTTTCTCATCACCCAGGCTGGAGTGCAATGGCGTGATCTCGGCTCACTGCAACCTCCACCTCCTGGGTTCAAGTGATTCTCCTGCCTCAGCCTCCCAAGTAGCTGGGATTACAGGCACCCGCCACCATGCCCAGCTAATTTTCATATTTTTTAGTAGAGACAGGGTTTCACCATGTTGCCCAGGCTGGTCACGAACTCCTGACCTCAGGCAATCTGCCTGCCTCAGCCTCCCAAAATGCTGGGATTACAGGCATGAGCCACCACACCTGGCCAGCAGTTCAACTTTATAACAATATAAATAAACCTGTTAAAATGTTCTGGACAATGCCAGCATTTGGACTTTTTAAAAACAAGCAAATTTCTTATTGATGGCAACTAAATAATGTTGGTAGCATTTGATAATACAGTCGATTCTGTGCATTCACTGTACTTTTCTGAGTTGTCCTACATGCAAGTACAGGTTTTTAATGTTGTCTGTCTTCTGTGCTATTCCTGTAAGTTTGCTATTAAAATATATTAAGCTATTTTTTTAGAAGGAGAAAATGAAAGAAACACAAACATTGGATATTTTATGATATTAAGGAATTCTTGTTAATTTTTAAGGTATGCTAATAGTATTGGTATTTTTTCTTGTCAGACGGGTAATGTGCTGACATCATAACAAGGTTCAACAGCGGCACATCTCACACATGCATGTGAACACCCAATCATCACGCTCATGAACTACAAAAGGATCAGGATTATGTTTTTAAAAGGTCTTTCCCTTTCATGATAAATACTAAAATATTTACAGATCAAATAATATAGCTGGACTGCTTCACAAGAATCCATTGGGTGTTGAGGTAAAGGGAAAAGTGAATGGGTATAGATGAAATAAGAGTGGTTATGAAGTGACGATTTTTGTGGCTGTGGGATTGGTCACTGAATTAGTCTCTCTATTCTTGTGTATGATAAAAATTTTCCATTATAGGCCTGCTGTGGTGACTCATGCCTGTAATCTCAGCACTTTGGGAAACCGAGGTGGGCAGATGGCTTGAGCCCAGGAGTTCGAGACCAGCCTGGACAACATAGCAAAACTCGGTCGCTACAAAAAATAGCCATGATCACACCACTGCACTCCAGCCTGAGTGACAGAGTGATATCATGTTTCAAAAAAAAAAAATCCATTATAAAAAGTCAACAAAAAAGTTACATTTATTTACTATCACTCCTGCAGGTCACGTAACTAAATCCCCTAACTTTATGATTGGAAAAATTTGAGTAAAGAATTCCCCCAGGACTCTTCACAAAAAAGCACTTTGGAAAGAAGCACTTGCTTTTTGGAAAAAAAGCAAGGACTTTGGAATCTCACTTACTATACCAGCTATGTGACCTGTGGCAAATTACTTAACTTCTTCAAATAACATTTGAGTTATCTGTATAATGAGGCTAATAGCATTTATCATGATGGGCTTTGTGAGAACTAAAGGAAATAGCACCTGTAAAGGGCCTAGCACAGTGAGCAGAGAGTAGATGCTCAGTAGGTGGCAACTGTCACTATTATAAAGTGTCTAAGATCATACAGCTTGTAGTAGTACAGTCAGATTTAAAGCACAGGTTTCCTGAGGCACAATTCTGCCATATTAGGTTATTTCTTTTGAGTAACAAGCTTTTAATAGGTACCAGCTGAACTGAAGAAAACAGAGAAACACCTGAATGGAAATTAATAACAACTGATAAGAAGATTTGTTTCCCTAGATATGATATCATATCATATCTTCAATAATGGCATCAATCTTGTTTCTCATTGACAGTCATGGCCTGACTGTATCCTTCCCATGACAACATTTGGTTCCATGAGGGCTGATTTAAATAAAAGGAATTTGCTTTAGGAGGGTTTCTATTTTTAAATCTGTAACAAGAGGCCCCATATGCAGCACAACTACCTATAGATGATAATCTGACTTGACCAAGGTCACCCTGCTAGACAGAGGAAGAAATGAGTTTAGAACCTATATTTCCAGGTCTGTATATTTGCTTTCAGTAAATATGCTATTTTTATTTATTTATTTTTGAGACAGGGTAGAGGGTAGAGTGCAGTTGCATGATCATAGCTCACTGCATTCTCAACCTCCTGGGCTCAAGCAATTCTCCTTGCCTCAGCCTCCTGAATAGCTAGGACTACAGGTATGGGCCACTGTGCCTGGCTAATTTTTAAATTTTTTTTTGTAGAGACATGGTCTCACTGTATCGCCCAGGCTGGTAATGAACACTTGGCCTCAAGTAATCCTCCTGCACTGGCTTCCTAAAGTGCTGGGATTACAGCTGTGAACCACAGCGCCTGGGCTGAATATATTATTTTTAGATGTTTACACATTAGGAAAAATAATTTCCACTATAAAGCATACAATGTATGGTACTGTCTTTCTAAGAATCGACAATAAGGAATGTTCCATTTATCACTACACAGACTATTGCTTTTTCTTCTTTCTTTTTTTTTCTTCTGAGACATCAGTTTCAGCAGATGCCCTTTGCCAGATGCTCCTGGCACTCTGAACTTGTTATCATCTGATTTGAGGAAGAGCTGCAGGGCTTTAAACAATATATGTATTTATTGGCATTATTCTCTTTGTTCTCTACTTACATAAGGCTCCTCAGTACTTTCTTCTTTCTCAGTAATCTTGGAAACCTTTCATAGGAAGGGAAAAGAAAATAGGATCTTTATTCTCTGTACTTCTTGGTGGAAGCGAGGGAGAATATATGATGGAATTGATGAATGGAAACAATAAAACTAAAGGACTTTAGCCCAGTCACTCTGCTACTATACTAATGAAAAATTTAATTGTGTTTAATAAACACCTAACATTGTGCTAGATGCTGAGAATACACAGGTGATTCAGACATTTTAACAGTTCAGTGTACCTGCCCTCAGACAGCACAGAGTTTAGTAGGTTGGGTAGATGGGTATCAAAACAACTATAATAAAAAGCTAGAAAATATAACTGTTAGACAGAGGTGAAAGTGAAATGCTTTAGCAAGAAGAGAGAAGTTCTGACAAGAACAGATAGGCTTTCAGAGAGAAAGTGGCGTGTGGTTGGGGCCACAAGGGATCTTACTTTAGCCGACTGAGAATCAGAATTTAAGACTTGTTACTCCAAGACTGTTGGTGGTTACCGCATATGAAGGAAATTGGAAAGGACAGGGTGTATTCTGAGAACACCGGTGTGGCTCCAACTGCCAGAGGCAATCCACTTGAGGGTTCTTTCTTGCCTTTACAAAACAAAATGTAAAAACACAGAGGATAAAAATAATCAAACCAAACCAAAGTTAAAAGAATAACAATACGATACGGGACAGGCCAGGTTCTTTCTGTTCCAGAACCCACGTGTCAAAGAAGAGGCCATATGTATCTCTACAACATGAATGTTGCTATCCATTCATCAAATATTTAATGAACCCCATTGTGTGCTGGGCATTGGGATAAATGCTGTGGACAAAGCAGTGAACAAGACAGCCATAGCGTCTGAGTTCACAAAGTTTATATTCTGACTAGGGACACAGTGTTTAAACAGCAACTAATTACATAACTACAACTGTAATAGGCAGTGTAAAGAAGTGAAGATGCTAGGGGAACAGCTAACAGTCTGGAGTATTAGGAATTCTTCTTTGAAGAAGTCACATTTGAACTGAGTGCTAAAGGAAGAGTGAGGGCAGGAGCTGGAGTTAGGGGTTGAGGGCAGGGGAAGAGTGTTCAGGGTAGCACCACCAGTGTGGGTGGCCAATGAAGAGTGAGAAAGCTAAGCAGGTGGGTGAAAGCCTCTTTGTGCATGGCCTTGTAGGCCCCATTCATGATTTGGGTCATTACCCTCACACACCAGGAAGCAACATAGTTTTGAAAGGTCAGTTTGAGTGCAAAATGGAGAAAGGATCAAAGAGAGAAAAGAATAGATGGCAAAGACCAGTCAGAAGGCTACTGGGACCTGCCTAGAATCCAGGCAAAAAAATGAGGGTGACTTGTATTAGGGTGGAGACAATGGGGATAGAGAGAGTAAGGAAGAAAGTTTGGGAGGAGGAGGGCAAGAGCTGAAGAGAAAGTCTGGCTTGACAGATCAGCTGGGTGGTGTGTGTGTGAGTGTGTGCATGTGCGTGTGAGACAAGATCAGCTGGGATGGTATGTTTGTGTGTTTACAAGATCAGCTGGGATGGAGTGTGTGAGTGCAAGTGTGTGAGACAAGATCAGTTGGGGTGGTGTGTGTGTGAGACAAGATCAGGTGAGGTGGTGGGTATGTGTGTTTGTGGGTATGTGTGTTTGTGGGTGCGTGTGTGACACAAGATCAGCTGGGGTGGTGTGTGTGTGTGTGAGAGAGAGACAAGATCAGTTGTGGTTGTGTGTGTGTGTATGTGTGCGACAAGATCAGCTGGGGTGGTGTGTGTGTGTGAGAGAGAGACAAGGACAAGATCACCTGGGGTGGTTGTGTGTGTGTGTGTGTGTGTGTGAGTGAGACGAGATCAGCTGCAGTGGTGTGTGTGTGTGACACAAGATCAGCTGGGGTGGTATGCATGTGTGTGTGTGTGTGTGTGTGTGTGTGTGAGAGAGAGAGAGAGAGAGAGACAAGACCAGCTGGGGTGGTGTGTGTGTATAACAAGATCGGTTGGGGTGGTGTATGTGTGTGTCTGTGTGACAAGATCAGCTGCGGTGGTGTGTGTGTGTGAGACAAGATCAGCTGGTGTGGTGTGTGTGTGTGTGAGACAAGATCAACTGGGGTGGTGTGTGTGTTTGTGACAAGATCAGCTGGGGTGGTGTGTGTGTGAGACAAGATCAGCTGGGGTGGTGTGTGTGTGTGTGTGTGAGACAAGATCAGCTAGGGTGGTGTGTGTGTGAGACAAGACCAGCTGGGGTGGTGTGTGTGTATAACAAGATCAGCTGGGGTTGTGTGTGTGTGTGACAAGATCAGCTGGTGTGGGGGGTGTGTGTGTGTGAGACAAGATCAGCTGGGGTGGTGTGTGTGTATAACAAGATCAGCTGGGGTTGTGTGTGTGTGTGACAAGATCAGCTGGTGTGGGGTGTGTGTGTGTGTGAGACAAGATCAGCTGGGGTGGTGTGTGTGTGTGTGACAACATCAGCTGGGGTGGTGTGTGTGTGAGACAAGATCAGCTGGGGTGGTGTGTATGTGTGTGACAAAATCAGCTGGGGTGGTGTGTGTGTGTGAGACAAGACCAGCTGGGGTGGTGTGTGTGTATAACAAGATCAGCTGGGGTTGTGTGCGTGTGTGACAAGATCAGCTGGTGTGGGGTGGGGTGTGTGTGACAAGATCAGCTGGGGTGGTGTGTGTGTGTGAGACAAGATCAGCTGGGGTGGTGTGTGTGTGAGACAAGATCAGCTGGGGTTGTGTGTGTGTGTGTGTGACAAGATCAGCTGGTGTGGGGTGTGTGTGTGTGAGACAAGATCAGCTGGGGTGGTGTGTGTGTGTGTGAGACAAGATCAGCTGGGGTGGTGTGTGTGTGTGAGACAAGATCAGCTGGGGTGGTGTGTCTGTGTGAGACAAGATCAGCTGGGGTGGTGTGTGTGTATAACAAGATCAGCTGGGGTTGTGTGTGTGTGTGACAATATCAGCTGCGGTTGTGTGTGTGTGAGACAAGATCAGCTGAGGTGGTGTGTCTGTGTGTGTGTGAGAGAGAGAGAGACAAGATCAGCTGGAGTGGTTTGTGTGTGTGTGTGTGTGAGACAAGATCAGCTGGGGTGGTGTGTGTGTGTGTGTGTGAGATTGAGAGAGAGAGAGAGACAAGATCAGCTGGGGTGGTGTGTATGACAAGATGAGCTGGGGTGGTGTGTGTGTGTGAGAGAGAGAGAGACAAGATGAGCTAGGGTGGTGTGTGTGTGTGAGAGAGACACACAAGATGAGCTAGGGTGGTGTGTGTTTGACAAGATCAGCTGGGGTGGTGTGTGTGTGTGTGTTTGACAAGATCAGCTGGGGTGGTGTGTCTGTATAACAAGATCAGCTGGGGTTGTGTGTGTGTGTGTGTGTGTGAGACAATATCAGCTGCGGTTGTGTGTGTGTGTGAGACAAGATCAGCTGGGGTGGTGTGTGTGTGTGAGAGAGAGAGACAGAGAGACAAGATCAGCTGGAGTGGTGTGTGTGTGTATGTGTGTGAGACAAGATCAGCTGTGGTGTGTGTGTGTGTGAGATTGAGAGAGAGAGAGAGAGAGACAAGATCAGCTGGGGTGGTGTGTATGACAAGATGAGCTGGGGTGGTGTGTGTGTGTGAGAGAGAGAGACAAGATGAGCTAGGGTGGTGTGTGTGTGTGTGAGATTGAGAGAGAGAGAGAGAGAGACAAGATCAGCTGGGGTGGTGTGTATGACAAGATGAGCTGGGGTGGTGTGTGTGTGTGAGAGAGAGAGAGACAAGATGAGCTAGGGTGGTGTGTGTGTGTGAGAGAGACACACAAGATGAGCTAGGGTGGTGTGTGTTTGACAAGATCAGCTGGGGTGGTGTGTGTGTGTGTGTTTGACAAGATCAGCTGGGGTGGTGTGTGTGTGTGTGTGACAAGGTCAGCTGGGGTGGTGTGTGTGTGACAAGATCAGCTGGGGTGGTGTGTGTGTGTGTGAGTGTGACAACATCAGCTGGGGTGGTGTGTGGGTGTGTGTGTCTGTTCCATAGCAGTGAGAGGAATCAGAGTATCTCTAAGCAGGGACCAGATTTTAGACTAACAAATCTGCACCACTTTTAGTTATATTCTCTTTTCCATTACACTAGAATCCCCACACTCTCGAACCAAGCCCAAAGTCAGACCAGAACGTCAAGAATCAGTCATCTTTTCTTAATCCCCATATACTGAAACTGTGCAAGATTTGGCTTGTGGGGTCACACCCTAAGCATTCCTCAATTCTTTCCCAGAACCTTGTGCAAAACTTTAAACAGAGGGAACAGACAAGGATACCAGGAAGACAAAAAAGAAAAGAGGAAACCTGTAATCAGCTAGAAAGAAAAGGATGATAAGTAAATATGTGTTAGCTGTACTGAGTTAAAGAAATATATTGGCTGGGCACCGTGGCTTGTGCCTGTAATCCTAGAACTATGGGAGGTCGAGGTGGGCAGATCACCTGAGGTCAGGAGTTTGAGACCAGCCTGGCCAACATGGAGAAACCCTGTCTCTACTAAAAATACAAAAATTAGCTGTGCGTGGCTGCATGCACCTGTAGTCCCATCTACTTGGGAGTCTGAGGCAGGAGAATTGCTTGAACCCAGGAGGCAGAGGTTGCAGTGAGCCAAGATTGCACCACTGCATGCCAGCCTGGGTAACATGACAGAACAAGACTCCATCTTAAAAAAAGAAAGAAAGAAAGAAATATATTGGTACAAGTTCCCAGGCCTTCCTGTTTTGGGTGGAGATGAAATAAACCTTTAGAGAGAATCTTAGCTGCAACTATGTTTGAGGCCCTTATCTGCTGGAGGAACAACAACTTAGTAGTGCTAAGGCTTGGACATTGTAGTTACTTAGTAAATATTTGTTGAAGTGAAGCATAATAAAGGTTCTGAGGGTTATATACACTCAGTGAAAATTATTTCGAGTCCCCAACTTCTATCATTTCATTACAAAAAGGAGAAGGAAACAGGGAGCAGATAGGGTTTGGCTGCTGTTGTGGAAACAGGAACTTCATGTCATATGAAGTAAGCTCTGGGACAGGAATTTTAGTAATAACGGGTTGACGCTTGGCAAGTCTGCACCTTTGTTTTCTCACTTAAAGTGAGGAGATTGTATAAGATGGAGATTTTCTAAGTGCAACTTTTGGTCTAATATAGTATGGAAAGCAAGGTCCAAAAGCTTATACTGTATAGATTTGAGTGGGAAAAAAAGCAAGCAAGCCATTTACTGAAGGCAACAGGAGCCTTCTCTGCTACATTTCAAAGAATCTTATTAAACTGAGACAGGATCCAAATGTGGATTCCTTTCTCTGGGCTCCCGACTAGGAATTGATTGCCACCACCTGTTTTTGTTCATACTATCATCTGTTATTGTCTAAAACAAATATTCTCCCTTCACTACAGTCCTCAGTTTCTCAACAACTTTCCTAACAATTCAGGAAACCAAGCACTCTTGCCAAGGACGTGGGTTCATGTAAGTTTCTTCAACCACAGCCGCCTAGGATCCTTCCCCAGGGCAGCCAAGTCTCAGGCTTCTTTTCCAGACACCTCAGTTTTCTATAACAAGGGGAATTTTTTCTTTAACCATAGAAATAAATATACCTTTATAACTTAATTTTTTTTCCTATAGGTTACGGGGGTACAGGTGTTATTTGGTTACATGAGTAAGTTCTTTAGTGGTGATTTGTGAGATTTTGGTGCACCCATCACCTGAGCAGTATACGCTGCACCCTGTTTGTAGTCTTTTATCCCTTGCCCCCTCCCACCCTTCCCCCCAAGTCCCCTAAAGCCCATTGTATCATTCTTAAGCCTTTGCGTCCTCATAGCTTAGCTTCCACATATCAGTGAGAACACAGGATGTTTGGTTTTCCATTCCTGAGTTACTTCACTTAGAATAATAGTCTTCAGTCTCATCCAGGTCATTGCAAATGCCATTAATTCATTCCTTTTTATGGCTGAGCAGTATTCCATCATATATATTATATATATATAAATATATATATTTATATATATATAAAAATATATATAAATATATATATTTATATATATAAATATAACAGTTTCTTTCTTTTTCTTTTTTTTTGAGATGGAGTCTTGCTCTCGTCGCCCAGGCTGGAGTGCAGTGGTGCGATCTCAGCTTACTGCAAACTCCGCCTCCCGGGTTCAAGCGATTCTCCTGCCTCAGCCTCCTGAGTAGCTGTGATTACAAGCACCCGCCACCATGCCTGGCTAATTTTTGTACTTTTAGGAGAGACGGGGTTTTGCCATGTTGGCCAGGCTGGTCTCAAACTCCTGACCTCAGGTGATCCGCCCACCTCGGCCTCCCAAAGTGCTGGGATTACAGGCATAAACCAGTGTGCCCAGCCTATATCACAGTTTCTTTATGCACTCGTTGATTCATGGGCATTTGGGTTGGCTCCACGATTTTGCAACTGCAAATTGTGTTGCTATAAACATGCATGTCCATGTTCTTTTTCGAATAATGACTTGTTTTCCTCTGGGTAGATACCCAGTAGTGGGATTGCTGGATCAAATTTTAGTTCTACTTTTAGCTCTTTAAGGAATCTCCACACTGTTTTCCATACAGGATGTACTAGTTTACATTCCCACCAGCAGTGTAGGAGTGTTCCCTGATCACTGCATCCACACCAACATTTACTGTTTTTTGATTTTTTGATTATCACCATTCTTGTAAGGTGGTATTGCATTGTGGTTTTGATTTGCATTTCCCCGATCATTAGTGATGTTGAGTATTTTTTCATATGTTTGTTCACCGTTTGTATATCTTCTTTTGAGAATTGTCTATTCATATCCTTAGCGCACTTTTTGATGGGATTGTTTGTTTTTCCTTACTGATTTGTTTGAGTTCATTGTAGATTCTGGATATTAGTCCTTTGTCAGATGTATACATTGTGGAGATTTTCTCCCACTCTGTGGGTTGTCTATTTACTCTGCTGACTGTTCCTTTTGCTGTGCAAAAGCTCTTTAGTTTAATTAAGTCCCAACTATTTATCTTTGATTTTATTGCATTTGCTTTTGGGTTCTTGGTCATGAAATCCTTGTCTAAGCCAATGTCTAGAGGGTTTTTCCAATGTTATCTTCTAGAATTTTTACAGTTTCAGGTCCTAGATTTAAGTCCTTAATCCATCTTGAGTTGACTTTTGTATAAGGTGAGAGATGAGGTTCCACTTTTATTCTCCTACATGTGGCTAGCCAATTATCACAGCACCATTTGTTGAAAAGGGTGTCCTTTCCCCACTTTATGTTTTTCTTTGCTCTGTCAAAGATCAGTTGCCCGTAAGTATTTGAGTTTATTTCTGGGTTCTGTATTGTGTTCCATTGGTCTATGAAAAAAATTTTTTTTTGATATATTGTCTTACTCTGTCAGGCTGGAGTGCAGTGGTGCAATCTTGGCTCACTGCAGCCCTGACCTGTCAGGCGCAGGTGATCCTCCCACCTCAGCCTCCTGAGTAGCTGGGACCACAGGCATGTGCCATGAAGGCTGGCTAATTTTTTTTTTTTTTTTTTTTTTGTAGAGACAGGGTTTCATCATGTTGCCCAGGCTGGTCTCAAACTGCTGTACTCAAGCGATCCATCCATCTCGGTCTCCCAAAGTGCTGGGATTACAGGTGTTAGCCACCATGTCCAGCCCATAACTTTTAATGATTCTATTGTCTCCACATAGCAATGAAGGTAGGTATGAGGAGGCTGGCCAGGGATCTTCTGCATATCTGCTCTTGCAAATGGTGGCCTCTGCAGCTAGTGGAGCTCACCAGGATTTGGGCTAGGAGTAATAGTTAACCAAGGCCCTGGAAATCACAACCATTCCAAAAGGGGCATGGACAATGGTTGGACTCCCTTAGTGTTTCAAACGGGGCAGAAATTAAGGGTCAATGGTAACATCTCATCATAAACTTCTTTATTTGAAACACTGATGGGAAGCTTTCTTTCATCTTTTCTGCTTTTTCTTTCCTTTTCTTTCTTTTTTTTTTTCTTAATAGAAACATATCAGAAAAGTCAGCAAGCATAATCCCAAGGAAGGATTTCTGACAAAGAGCCTTTAGATAAAAACATATTTATCAAAAAACAAATTTTTCAGTCAAGGGCCTTTAGACACTGTATCATTTTCTTTCCTTATAACAGATATTCAGACTACTTCTTGGAAGGGCCCCAAATGCCTTGCCTAAGAACAATGGACAAAAGTCGCAGTCTCCTAATTCCATTAGTCAGAAAACATTGTGGTTTCAGAAGTTTTTGCTTATAGGGCATTTTGTAGCGGTATCCTAGACAGGGGTTGACATGGAAACCTGTGTTTCTCCAATAGGGTTTCCATGGCAATTCTATAGATTTTCTCATTTGTTAATAGCAATAGCCTTGGTCTTGATAACTAATATAATAGACCTGAGATTAAAAAGGTGAATCACTCTACTTGGATGGGGTTCCCTTGTCAGGGTCAGAATAATATATTTGGCAACCAACCAGCCTCTGCACAGAATCATCTAGAACTGTGTTAACTAATATGATGTCCATTATCCACATATAGCTATTTAGATTTAAATTAATTAAAGCTAATAAAAATTAAAAATTCAGTTTCTGACTTTCAAGTGCCATTTTTCTAGTGCACATGGGGCTAGTGGTTACCCACTAGACAGCACAGTTATAGGACATTTCTATCATCATAGAAGTTCTGCTGGACAGCATTGATGTAGAAGAATCATTTATCTGTAAATGTATCACTCATTCAATTAGTAATTCATTTAAATTGAGATACCTTCCTTAAATTTTTTCAGTCTCACTATAAACCAGAAACAAAGCAAGGCCGGACATGGTTAATACCTGTAATCGCAGCACTTTGGGAGGCCAAGGCAGGCGGATCACTTGAGCTCAGGAGTTTGAGACCAGCCTGGGCAACATGGTGAAACACCATCACTACAAAAAATATAAAAATTAGCTGGGCATGGTGGCATATGTCTGTGGTCCTAACTACTCAGGCAGGATTGCTTGAGCTCAGGAGGCAGAGGTTGCAGAGAGCTGGTAACAGGCCACTGTGCTCTGGGCTCCAGCCTGGGCATCAGTGCAAGACCCTGTCGAAGGAAAAAAAAGAAAAGAAAAGAAAAGAGAGAAGAGAAAGCAAACAATCCCAGCACCCAATCCTTAAAAGGATTCTTGGCTATTACATTTCATTCAGGGCTTGTAGTAACTGGGGGTAGTGTTTTTGTAACTTGTTAAAAACTATGTTCAAATGTAGCTCCAAGTAGAGGGAGGAAGAGGTCCTTATTAGTGGTGTTTGGGGAAAGGCCCATATTAAAGACATAATCCTCATTGTTCCAGAATTTGAAAATACTCTTGGACAAAGGTTCCCCATATCTCGTATGAATTTAGGGAACCTAAGAAAGTCCTCTGTCTTACTCCCTAAATACATCTTCTCCACCTACTCATCGTGAAACATAAAATTCTCACATATAAGTGGGAGCTAAGTAGTGTGTGTACACATGAACTTAGAGTGTGGAATAGACAATGGAGACTCAGAAGGGTGGGAGGGGAGGGGAAGAAGGATGAGAAATTACGTAATGGGTACATTGTAACATTATTCCAGTGAGGGTTCCACTAAAAGTCCAGACCTCCCCAGGAGGTAGTGTATCCATGTTAGCAAAACTTCACTTGTACCCCTTAAATTTATACAAATAATTTTAAAATAATTTTATATAAATGGAAAACAATTCCCTCAATAGGGAGAAAAAACTTTTATTAGAAAATTAGATATAAAACTTTAACATAAATATCCTTGGGAGAAACACTTAGATATTTAGAAACACTTATGTATTTACTAAGCTGTAAATATCTACCACTTACCAATAGGTTTTCACAGACGGAAGAGAAAGTTCAAAGTTGCTGACTTTCTGGATTGAAATAGAACTGATTGGGGAGAGAAGGATCAAAAGGAGAAAGATTTGCAGTAAGGGTAGATTTTTACTGCCCAACTTTGCCAAAGCTTAGCCTTTGGTATTTAGGGACTATAAAGTGACAATTGGATTGACAGAACAACCATCTCTGGTTTCCATTTGCTTTGAAATTGGGGTCCCCCCAGACCCTGAACAAATTCACTAATTACTCTCAGCATGAGAATGATCAACACTGGTCTAGGCATTTGACTTTTGGTGACAATAAATTACAGAATTTCAGAGTCTGAGGAACTTTGGTAGCATTTTGTCCACTTCATTAGGCCAAGAATTTGAAAATTATCTTCTTCTAAACTTCAGGGTCTATTTCAGGGATATCATAAAATTTTACCTAAATTTTCATTTCTAAATTGCAAAACCTACTAGATTAGATTAGAAGCTTCCTGCCCATCATCCTTAGTCTCCAGCAAAGGGCAAAATACCTTATAATGTTTGTGCATCTGCTGAGCTGCAGTCTCCTATTTTAGAGATAAAGAAAATGAATCCTAGAAAAGGAAAATGTTTTTCCCAAGGTCATGGAGTGAAGTAACAGTAAGACAGTACTAGGACCAAGTCTTCTGTGTGTTCTTTCCACAGCACTGTGCTGATTTCTCACAACTGTTTTCTTTCTTCGAATACTTAGTTGTGGAGGCTGGTACAGCTTCCCACAGTTCAGTTGGGTGCAATTACTGTTTCTGTCTCTTTTATTTTAGTGTTTTTAATTCATTTACTGTCTAGCAGTGCTGAAAGCATCAAATGGGAGTACTTTCTTGTCCTAGGCAAAGATAGTGTAGCATTAAAGAAAAATTACTAGGAAGAAATACAGCAAAATATTATCAGCATATCTCTTGGGTAGTAGAATTACAATATAAATTCAGATCATATATTTAAATAATTTTAAAAGTAAAATTTTTTTAAATTTTAAATTTTTTAATTTTAAAATTTAAAAATTTTAAAAAATGGTTAATTTTACTAATAATATAAATATTTTATTTTCTTTTTAATCTTTTTGTATGCCCATTTTTTTCTAAAATGATCATTAATTTTAAATATTTTATTAATATTTTTCTCATGAATTGCTTTATAATCAGAAAAGAACATTCTACGTAATATATGTATGATATAATATTACAATATATATATGATCTCCTTCTCCTATTTGTATTGTTTGAAAGGATCCTAACTTCATTTACATAGAGCGAAGCAGTGGGCTCCCATTAAAAAGGGTGAAGGATACTTTAATTATCTTACAGATATTTGGACAGTCAAGGAGGGCATTTATTTGTGCCACTCCTTTTCCCGTATTTTCAGCTGAAAGAGCAGACTATTGTCTGAAATGATTGCTGGCTTTGCAGCTGAAACCAGCTCAGTCCCCCTTTTATTCTCAGGCTCTCTGTCTTTTGGCTCCCTGAAAATGTGCAGCCTTTTTTCATTCTCGCCAACGTACTGATTTCCATACATATCATACACATATATATTTTTTTAAATTTTAATTAATTAATTAATTAGAGATAGGGTCTGGCTCTGTTGCCCAGGCTGGAGTGCAGTGGCACAATCTTGGCTCACTGCAAACTCTGCCTCCTGGGCTCAAGTCATCCTCCCATCTCAGCCTCCTGAGTAGCTGGCACTATAGGTGTGCACCACCATGCCTGGCTAATTTTTGTACTTTTTGTAGAGATGAGATTTTGTCATTTGCCCATGCTGGTCTCAAACTACACATATCTTTTTTTTGGAAAAAATCCTTACTTATCCACGTAATGCAAGACAACAAAAAAGTATAAACTATTAATCGTAGGGGTAGATTTTGTATTTCACTTAGCAGGTAAAATGTTATTGAGTTAATTTCCTTAACATTGCACCTCACCCTTCTAAAACACATAAAAAGGAGTATAATCCTAGGCTTTTGTATGCTAGAAATAAAAATAAATTAAAAATGATCCTCAGAAACTATTGATGTGTGTGTGTGTGTGTGTGTGTGTGTGTGTGTGTGTCAGAGAGATACAGAGAAAAGACAGGATGGCTTTACTCTTCTGTGGGTCAGCCTAGATATGTTTTAAGGTGTTTAAGGTGTTTTTCTGCATTCATTAAAAAAATTCTAATGAAATTCCATAAAATTTAAATTCTGTCTCTTTCAAAAGACAGAAAATATAGAAAATTTGAATCTCTCAATTATCATCTCATGTATTTATGTTTCTTTCCCCTTTCAGCTTCCTTCTCCTTTTCTGAACCCCAACCACCCTCACCATACCAGTTCCCTGATGCTACTAATCAAAATAAAAAATCTGAAAACAGCATCTGTTTTGCTACTTTTCAGCTATGCCCAGATATTAACCATTAACCTATTTATGCTGGAGATTGCAATTTTTTTGTGTGTGTGAAAAATCAGAACTTGGCGATGATCTTGAGCAGTAGGATATAAATAACTCCCACAAGCTTAGCATTCCAATAATGGAACACTAGGCATACATATTAGGAGTCTAAGAAGCTGTGCCAATTTGCTACTGACATTTTTCTACTTAATAGTGTAGGTAATATATATTGTAAAAACATACACATTTTACCCAAGGGACTTAGTAAAATAAAGCTATTTCATTTGGGTTTTAAAAAAATGCAGCCAAACATATTTTCTGCCAAAGCTGTCTCTCATGCAAAACCTTGGCTCACCAAGCCAGATATGTCCTTCCTCGTTACATTTCTTTTTTTTGCCATAAAAACTGCTTTCTTCAGTTTCTTATTCTCCGGGGCCATGTGTGAAGGTCAGAACCTATCCAAGACATAATGGAGTAGACTATCCAGTTCAGCTAATGATTTCAATGTTTTTTTATGGAAAAATACCTTCTGGAACCCCATGTTAGTAACTCAAATAAAGGAGGTGTCAGGACAAAGGCAGCCAGTGAAGGAGGCCCTTCCTTTCTTGTTTTCCCTTTTTCTTGCTCCCCTTTGCCTCTTGCTCTCCATCTACAATTTTTTTTTTTTTTTTGAAAAAGGGTCTGACTCTGTCACCCAGGCTGGAGTGCAGTGGCATGATCATGGCTCACTGAAGCTTTGATCTCCCAGGCTCAGGTGATCCTCCTACCTCAGCCTCCCAGGTAGCTAGGATCACAGGTGTGCCCCACCACACCTGGCTAATTTTATTTTTTGTACAGACGAGCTCTTACTATGTTGCTCAAGCTGCTCTTTAACTCCTCAGCTCAAGCAATCCACTTGCCTTGGCCTCCCAAAGTGCTAGGATTACAGGTGTAAGCCATTGCACCTAGCCTGAGTTCTTTTAGACAGTGTTGAAATTGTATCACTGTATCCTTATTTCATTATGATGAGTGGTATTGATAAATAAGGTCTAGGTTCACGTGTAGGTGCAAATGTAGATAAAGGATGTGGCACCTAACTATCAATTCTTTATACACTTAGCAGATATGGTTGAGGTGCCTTTTGCCTGGTCTTACTTCCAGGGGTTAATTCCTAACGTATTCTTTGGTTGCCTTCTCATTGAAGTTTAGCTGTAAGCCTAGGATTTAACTAGACACAAAGATACACAGTGTTTAGAATTTACTACAAAACAGTACGTGAATTTTCTTTTACAAAACTGTTACTTTTGGGTTTCTTTACATTTAAAATAGATTTTGGGGCCCGGCGCTGTGGCTCACGTCTGTAATCCCAGCACTTTGGGAGGCTGAGGTGGGGAGTTGCTTGAGTACGGGAGTTCGAGATCAGCCTGGGTAACATAGTGAAACCTGTCTTTACAAAAAAATACAAAAATTAGCTGGGCATGATGGTGTGCACCTGTGGTCCCAGCTACTTGGGAGGCTGAGGTGGGAGAATTGCTTGATCCTGGGAGGTTGAGTCTGCAGTGAGCTGTGATTGCGCCACTACACTCCATCCTGGGTGACAGAGCAAGACCCTGTCTCAAAGGGAAAAAAAAATAGATTTTGAGGGCAAAGAGGGACATGCGAGATAATGTCTCTGGGAGTGGGAGAGCACTGTACAATAAAGTACATTGAAGGCAGCAGAAAGGTAAAAAAAAAAAAAAAAAACAGTGAGAAGTTAGCATTCATTTCCCAGGGCCTTGCCCAGTCATCTTGACCTTGCCATTGAGCCCACAATACTTTTGCTATAATCTTCTGCAAGGCTGGATCCAGGCAAGCTTGTAAAAAGAAAAATAAAGTTAAACTTTGTTTTTGCAATTCCTCCAAGTGGCCCCTCCCTTCCTTAATCTTAAATCCTTCATACGCTTCTTTTGCAATCTCCTAATCACTCCTAAGGGCTACCTACATCAGTAACCCTCTACCAACTCCATGCCCGAAAGCATCCCAGGCTTTTCTTCCTCTTCTGTCTTGATTTCATTGCCAGAAAACTCTGCCCTGGTGCCTAGTGGTACCCTTGTATCTGTCCTTATCTGTGATGAGGTTGCGAGATAGCTTTATGATATCTTTACTCCCTCTGCATGCCAGCAACTTCATGTGTGAAGCTTGAACTACTACCTGTAGGTGGTAACTTCCAAATCTAAACATTTCTATGTGTTACAACTGTAGGCATCTCAAAATCAATGTCTGAAAACTGAACTTATTGTTTCCCCTGCAAACATGCTCTTCCTTTTCTGATGTTAATTCATTTCTCAGTAGATCAGGCTTGAAAACTGCTAAAATTTTACACTAGTAAAAGTTTAAATGTTATCCATATCCTCAGATTTCTCTAATTTCCTATCAGAATGAATCCCTCTCCATCCACTGTACCCTGGCAGTACTTTGCTTATATCTACAGTAGAGCATCTGGGATCAATCATCTTGTATATATTGGTAGTCATTTCTAAGGATGTATATGCTTCTTTGTAAAACCCTGCAAGTCTCAGTCTATCTTTTCCCAGCCTTCCTAACTAGATCCTGGCATAGCAGATGGGGGTGGCAGGGGCGGGGTGTCACAAACTATAGAAATTGAAGCCTCAACTGAAGTATGTGCTTCAATGTTGGCTAGGTTCTCAAGTATGTCTTTACTTAGCACACTCTCTCATTCTCTTCTGCAACTATTCCAATCGTGACTGTTCCGTTCCTCAGACATCCTTCCCTTGCCACCTCCCTGCCTCACTCTCAGCAAATAGTCTTGCTTCCTCCTTCAATTACTTCAATCAGAAAAATTGATAACACCAAGGAAGAGCTTCTTTCTAAGAAAGTACTCACTAGGCAAGAAATCTTTCTTTACCTGACTTGTATCTTGACTCCATTAGACCTACTGCTCTTTCTTCATCTGTAGAATTGGGATGATATTAGTGCCTACCCTAAAGTATTACTGTAAGGATTAAATGGGACAACCTATGTGTTGAGTGGAATACTGTGCACTAATTCAAGAGGAGTACTCCACTTTTTCCCATTGCACCTTGACACAGGAGTTACCAAGGAAAACATAACATAACCCTTTACATAGTGAAGGGTTATGTTACATAGACAGTGAAGAGACAGTGCAAGATCAACTGCAACAGTGTGCCTCAGTCCCCCGTGGCTAGACCATCTCTTCCAGCAGAACAATGTGCCTATGTGCACTCCTTCCACCTATCACAGAGGCAGGACTCCTCCTTCTCCTGTGTGGAGTCTGAAATATTGAAAGCCTGGGATGCGTCTGAGGGCCACTGAGATACACACGTCAGCAGAGGCCAGGAATATTCATGGAGTCTGCAACAGGGAAAGATACTCCTACACAAGGTGATAAGCCCAGCACAGGCTGCGTAGGCGGTTCATCTCTTGGTTAGGAAGTGTTCCAGGCTCAAGCCCATCCTTATGTGGCTGAACGGGGATCCAGAGACTGCACGAGACTGCCTTTCTCAACACTCTGCAAACCACTTAGCACAGTGCCTGGCATAGAGCAGGTCCTCATAAATATGAATTAATGATATTACTAATAACTTTCTCTCTCCTACCCTTTTTTCTTTGTTCCTGCCCAGTAGAAAAGGTCGCCCTCTTTCTGTCTGTGGCTAATTCCACCTCACTGTGATTTACCTCCCCTCCTCGCTGTCTTTTCAGTTACTGAGTCTAATTAGGCACCCTTCCCTCAAATTCCTGTCTTAACCTTTCCTCTCTATTTGGCTCTTTCCCCTTAGAATATAACAAAGAGTTTCAAATCTCCTCATTGCCAAATAACCCTCCTTCAACACCGCATCTCTCTCTGTCCCTTCCCATGTTATTCCCATCCCTGCATAGCCACATTTCTCAGAAGGCCAGTCTATACTTATTACTCTTACTTCCTCACAGCCTCAGTCCACTGCAAGCCCCCTCCCTCCCAATGTTGCCCTGATAACACTCCCACCAACGTCTCTAATAACCCCTTGATTGCTAAATCCAGTGGACATGCCAGTTTTTCATTTGGGGCTCTGATGTTTCTGGCCAAACCCTCCTTGAAATTCTATCCTCTCCCTCTGATCCTGGTTTTCTGTTTTGTTTTGGATTTATTTCTACATCCCTGGCCAGTTCATCTTAGCCTCCCTCATGGGCCACTCTTTTTCCATTCCACACTTAAATGTTGATACTCTTCTCATCCTTGGCTGTGGCTGGCCCCTCTGTTCTTTTCCCTCAATTCCTCAGTGACTTCACCCATCCAGAAGGTTTCAACTACTACTTTTCTCCTGATGGTTAGGAATTTTATATTTCATACCCTGGGTTTCCCACAGGTTTCTACTGCAGGACTCCTCTTAGGCATTAGCATGCTAATGGGCTTTGTGGCTCTTTGGGAGAGGGAGTGACAGTGATCAGAGTTTCTCACATTTATTTGACCATAAAACTTTTTTTTTCCTTGGGGAATCTTACAGGACTAGCACTCTGGGAAACACACCTTGGACAATGATGTTCTGTCCTATTTCCAGTCTGATTTCAAGTGTCTCCCCTGGGTGCCCTGAAGCACCCGTGCATACTTCTCTCTAGTCCTCACCATGATGTACATGTCTGATTCCCCCACAATATCCTTCAAGGCAGGACATACATCTTCGTATCTATTGCCTGGCACAGTGTCTTGCATACGGAGGTTGCCTTAAAAATGTCTGATGAGTGAATGGATAAAGGAATGAATGGTAACCTACCTTTTCCTGGCACAGATCAGAATATTCTACTACAGTTAAAGTAGTCCAAATTGGGTAGGACTTGAATCTGAGGATTGATGTTGAACACCTTGTGTTACGTGTTACAGTAACTGCAAAGAAATATGAGACAAACTCTTTTTCCTCAAGGCAGACAAAATGAACTTAAATGAAACTATCTGAGAATGTTTAAATGTTAAGCTGTATGGATATAATTGTAAATACTATGGGTACTCTTAGTTCGTAGAGGTCACTGAGATCTATGGTAGTTAGATTGGCTAGAGAATATTATAAATGGTGCTTTAGTAAGGTTATTTTGACAGGAATGCATGCAAGAGTAATTCAAAATGGGGAGCCTAGAGAAGGCTAGATTGTCCAGGAATGAGGAGATGTGGTCTGGCATAGGCTATGGCTGCGGAATTAGCAAGGAAAAGGAGATTCTGCTTCTGGTAAAACTTGGTAATAGTTGGAATAGATGTGAAAGGATAGGAGACAAGTCAAGAAGGCTTTCAGGTCTCTTTCTGAGAACTTCACTCTGTCTACAATGCTGTTGCGAATTCAAGCTAAATGTCAAAGACAAAGCTACTAATCTTCTCATCCCAACTATATACTTGCTTCTTCTACTTTACTATTTGTTTAATGTTTAATTATAATTTTGAATTCTTATTCTTTTATCCAGGGAATTAGCAAGCCCATAAAACTTGGTCATTCATTTCAATTACAGCTTCCATGTATAGATACACTGAACTTATATGTGTAAATGTGAGTGTTTGTGTGTGTAATAAACTTCCTGGGTCTGTTAAAAAGGCTCAATTTTGTCCAATTGGCTGAATTTATCTTATGGCTAGTACAAGAAGTTTTTATTACATAGATTTAGCTTAGTATCATCTTCAAATGTTATAAGAATGTGCTCCCATTACCTTCAGTTGGGACCTTAAAAAGAGGCAATGAATAACTTAAGCTTCAGACTGGACACAGTGGCTCATGCCTATAATCCCAGTGCTTTGGGAGGCCAAAGTGGGAGGACTGCTTGAGTCCAGGAGTATGAGACCAGCCTGGGCAACACAGTAAGACCCTGTTTTGATAAAAATAAAGGTAAAAAATTAGCCAGGCATGGTGGCACACACCTGTGGTCCTAGCTACTCAGGAGGCTGAAGTGGGAGGATCACTTGAGCACAGGAGTTCAAGGTCACAGTAAGCTATGATTGATTATCCCACTGCACTCCAGCCTGGGTGACAGAGCAAGACCACATGTTTAAAAAAATATTTAACTTAAGCCTCAGGCTAATCACTCACTTTAGGTCACCATTCACAGAATGATTTATCAATGATCATTGTCCTTTGAGTGCTAGCCTTGGTGATTCATATCTTGAGCACTTGCTCTATAGGACCTTATCATTTAAGCTAATATATCCCAAAAGTATAGAAACAGGTACTGGGGAAAAATCATCCTGTGGGTGAACACATTGTATTACACAAGCTTATGCAGAATTTTTAGAGCCTTTAATAAGCTAACGGGCAATGTGACTTTTCAAGGGAGCAAGGTTAGAGTGGGAAGTGCTTCCCAAATTCATTTAACAGCAGAACCGTGGAAACATGCCCTGTCCCTAGAAGTGCAAGCATCCTACAGAAATTACAATGGAAAACCTCGATCTAGCTAAATTTCTAAAGTGGCAGATTCTTGTGATCCACATTCTTCTTTTCTCCCCAAGGGAAAAGTGCAGAAAGTTCAGCATATTCCACAGGTCTCTGGGAAATGCCCATTTGCTGTCTGAGGTTGGACCAACTTTCAATAGAGTACCAGAGCTAGATGTACAATTACCAAACAAGAGTCTTTAGTTCTAGGGTAGAATGAAGGAATACTGGCTTGTAAAGAGTTCTTCCTAATATATTACACTTGGTTTCTTGTTGTGTGTGTGTGTGTGTGTGTGTGTGTGTGTGTGTGTAGTACTTTACAACTATCTTCAACTTTAAAAAAATTTTTAATATTTAATTTCCCATTTATCACTTTAGATACCCTTACACTTTAGCATAAGGCTAAAGCCAAAAGCTTTGCTTAAACCAATAAACAATTATTGTCATAGGCTGAGAAGAGGAACGTGAAATAGAGTGTAAAGATTGATTCGTTTTTCTTTAACCATGTTAAATACTTGTAATCATTTGAACTGTAGCTGAAGCAGACTTACCTGTTTTTCCTCCTTATGTGAGTAGCCTGTTATCATGTCATGAAATGAATTTCTTTGGTGTCATTTCTCTTGAAGAAGCCATTCTAATTGCTACCTGAGCCAGGAGTTGGTACTTTCTTAGAGGATTAAGAGTATATTATTTTGTTGATTTGTTTTAGTATTTTTATGTATATCAAAATCAAATTAAATTGGGGTTGTCCTTTCCATTCTTGCTAGCATCAGGCATTAGACTGTCCCTTTTGCTATTTGTAGGAAGTTGTGTTTATCTTCCAAGGTATAAAACAGAATGATGAATGGCATGTACTTAGGAATACTGATATTTTTATAGAACTCTTAACTTTGAAAAGCACTTTTATGTGCAAGTTAAATAGATGAGAAAGGTGAGAACAAAAGTTTTGCCTCTGGTTAAGTGGCACAAGCAGAACTACAATCTAGGTATTGTGACTCACAGCTTTGAGTTCTTTCTATAAGAGCAGGAGGTTTTTCTCCCTCTCTGGGACCGTGAGGTGTACACCATTAGGCCCTAATGCTAAATATATTGAGTAATTAAAAATACATAGCAGCCATTTCCATCCCTGACCCAATGTGTCTAGCTTTCTACTCTACCTCAGCAAGACCAACTGTTGTACATAAATTATTTTATAAAATTCAGAGATAAAACCACCACCACCCAGAACCCATTAAAAAAGAAAAACAATAACTTTTACATGGTCAACTGTAATTATTTTTCCTTTCATGTTTGGGAGTGTGTATGAGATTTTCCTCTCTCCCCTTTAAGTGTGTATAATTGCAGAATGTTTTTTTGTTAACCTTCATATCCATTTTAGATTGCATCTCTTCTTTCTTTTTTGTTTTTCCTATTATACTTTAAGTTCTGCCATACATGTGCAGAACATGCAGGTTTGCTACATAGGTATACGGGTGCCATGGTGGTTTGCTGCACCCATCAACCCATCATCTAGGTTTCAAGCCCCGCATGCATTAGGTATTTGCCGTAATGCTCTCCCTCTTCTTTCCCCCATCCCCTGACAGGCCCTGGTGTGTGATGTTCCCTTCCCTGTGTCCATGTGTTCTCATTGTTCAACTCCTACTTATGAGTGAGAACATGCTGTGTTTGGTCTTCTGTTCCTGTGTTAGTTTGCTGAGAATGATGGTTTTCAGCTTCATCCATGTCCTTGCAAAGGACATGAACTCATTCTTTTTTCTGGCTGCATAGTATTCCATGGTGTGTATGTGCCACATTTTCTTTGTCCATTCTATCATTAATGGGCATTTGGTTTGGTTCCAAGTCTTTGCTATTGTACATAGTGCTACAGTAAACATATGTGTACATGTGTCTTTATAGAGAATGATTTATAATCCTTTGGGTATATACCCAGTAATGGGATAGGTGGGTCAAATAGTATTTCTGGTTCCAGATCCTTGAGGAATCGCCACACTGTCTTCCACAATGGTTGAACTAACTTACACTCCCACCAACAGTGTAAAAGCATCCTATTTTTCCACATCCTTTCCAGCATCTGTTATTTCCCGACTTTTTTTTTTTTTTTTTTTTTTTTTTTTGAGACAGAGTCTTGCTCTGTCGCCCAGGCTGGAGTGCAGTGGCACAATCTCCGCTCACTGCAAACTCCAACTCCTGGGTTCACGCCTTCTCCTGCCTCAGCCTCCTGAGTAGCTGGGACTACAGGTGCCCGCCACCACGCCCAGCTAATTTTTTGTATTCATAGTAGAGATGGGGTTTCACCGTGTTAGCCAGGATGGTCTCCATCTCCTGACCTCGTGATCTGCCCGCCTTGGTCTCCCAAAGTGCTGGGATTACAGGCGTGAGCCACCGCACCTGGCCTATTTCCTGACTTTTTAATGATTGCCATCCTAACTGGCGTGAGACAGTATCTCATTGTGGCTTTGATTTGCATTTTTCTAATGAATAGTGATGAGGAGCTTTTTTTCATATGTTTGCTGGTGCATAAATGTCTTCTTTTGAGAAGTGTCTGTTCATATCCTTAGCCTGCTTTTTGATGGGGTTGTTTTTATCTTGTAAATTTGTTTAAGTTCCTTGTAGATTCTGGATATTAGCCCTTTGTCAGATGGATAGATTGCAAAAATTTTCTCCCATTCTGTAGGTTGCCTGTTCACTCTGGTGATAGTATCTTTTGCTGTGCAGAAGCCCTTTAGTTTAATTAGATCCCATTTGTCAATTTTGGCTTTTGTTGCCATTGCTTTTGGTGTTTTAGTCATGAAGTCTTTGCCCATGCCTATGTCCTGAATGGTATTGCCTAGGTTTTCTTCTAGGGTTTTTATGGTTTTAGGTCTTACATTTAAGTCTTTAATCCATCTCGATTTAATTTTTGTATAAGGTGTAAGGAAGGGGTCCAGTTTCAGTTTTCTGCATATGGCTAGCCAGTTTTCCCAATACCATTTATTAAATAAGGAATCCTTTCCCCATTGCTTGTTTTTGTCAGTTTTGTCGAAGATCAGATGGTTGTAGATGTGTGGTGTTATTTCTGAGGCCTCTGTTCTGTTCCATTGGTCTGTATATCTGTTTTAGTACCAGTACCATGCTGTTTTGGTTACTGTAGCCTTGTAGTATAGTTTGAAGTCAGGTAGCATGATACATCCAGCTTTGTTCTTTTTGCTTAGGATTGTCTTGGCTATATGGGTTCTTCTTGGGTTCCATATGAAATTTAAAGTAGTTTTTTCTAATTCTGTGAAGAAAGTCAATGGTAGCTTGATCAGAATAGCATTGAATCCATAAATTGCTTTGGGCAGTATGGGCATTATCACTGCCCATAGGAAGAATATTGATTCTTCCTATCCATGAGCATGGAATGTTTTTCCATTTGTTTGTGTCCTCTCTTATTTCCTTGAGCAGTGGTTTGTAGTTCTCCTTGAAGACGTCCTTCACATCCCTTGTAAGTTGCATTCCTAGGTATTGTAGCAATTGTGAATGGGAGTTCACTGATAATTTGGCTCTCTGTTTGTCTATTATTGATGTATAGGAATGCTTGTGATTTTTGCACATTGATTTTGTATCCTGAGACTTTGTTGAAGTTGCTTATCAGCTTAAGGAGATTTTGGGCTGAGACGATGGGGTTTTCTAAGTATACAATCATGTTATCTGCAAACAGAGACAATTTGACTTCCTCTCTTCCTATCTGAATACCTTTATTTCTTTCTCTTGCCTGATTGCCTTGGCCAGAACTTCCAATACTATGTTGACTAGGAGTGGTGAGAGAGGGCATCTTTGTCTTGTGCTGGTTTTCAAGGAGAATGCTTCCAGCTTTTGCCCATTCAGTATGATATTGGCTGTGGGTTTGTCATAAATAGCTCTTAATATTTTGAGATATCTTCCATCAATACTTAGTTTATTGAGTGTTTTTAGCAGGAAGGAGTGTTGAATTTTATCAAAGGCCTTTTCTGCACCTATTGAGATTATCATGTGGTTTTTGTCATTGGTTCTGTTTATGTGATGGATTATGTTGGTTGATTTGCATATGTTGAACCAGACTTGAATCCCAGGGATGAAGCCGACTGGATCGTGGTGGATGAGCTTTCTGATGTGCTGCTGAATTCGGTTTGTTAGTACTTGATTGAGGATTTTCACATCAATGTTCATCAGGGATATTGGCCTGAAATTTTCTTTTTTTGTTGTGTCTCTGCCAGGTTGTGGTATCAGGATGATGCTTGCCTCATAAAATGAGTTAGGGAGGAGTCCCTCTTTTTCTATTGTTTGGAATAGTTTCAGAAGGAATGGTATCAGCTCCTCTTTGTACCTCTTGTAGAATTCAGCTGTGAATTCCTCTGATCCTGGGCTTTTCTTGGTTGGTAGGCTATTAATTACTGCCTCAATTTCAGCACTTGTTATTGGTCTATTCAGGGATTCAACCTCTTCCTGGTTTAGCCTTGGGAGGGTGTATGTCTCCAGGAGTTTATCCATTTCTTCTACCTTTTCTAGTTTATTTGCGTAGAGGTGTTTATCATATTCTCTGATGGTAGTTTGTATTTCTGTGAGATCAGTGGTAATATCCCCTTTATTATTTTTTATTGTGTCTATTTGATTCTTCTCTCTTTTCTTCTTTATTATTCTGGCAAGTGGTCTATTTGTTAATCTTTTCAAAAAACTAGCTCCTGGATTCACTGATTTTTTGAAGGTTTTTTTTGTGTCTCTATCTCCTTCAGTTCTGCTCTGATCTTAGTTATTTCTTGTTTTCTGCTAGCTTTTGAATTTGTTTGCTCTTGCTTCTCTAGTTCTTTTAATTGTGATATTAGGGTATCAATTTTAGATCTTTCCCGCTTTCTCCTGTGGGCATTTAGTGCTATAAATTTCCCTCTACATGCTGCTTTAGCTGTGACCCAGAGATTCTGGTATGTTGTGTCTTTGTTCTCATTGGTTTCAAAGAACCTATTTATTTCTGCTTTAATTTCGTTATTTACCCAGTAGTCATTCAGGAGAAGGTTGTTCAGTTTCCATGTAGTTGTGTGGTTTTGAGTGAGTTTCTTAATCCTGAGTTCTAATTTGTTTGAACTGTGGTCTGAAAGACCGTTATGATTTCCATTCTTTTGCATTTGCTGAGGAGTGTTTTACTTCCAATCATGTGGTCAATTTTAGAATAAGTGCTATGTGGTGCTGAGAATAATGTATATTCTGTTGATTTGGGGTGAAGAGTACTGTAGATGTCTATTAGGTCCACTTGGTCCAGAGTTGAGTTCAAGTTCTGAATATCCTTGATAATTTTCTGTCTCGTTGATCTGTCTAACATTGACTGTGGGTGTTAAAGTCCCTCACTATTATTGTGTGGGAGTCTAAGTCTCTTTGTAAGTCTCTAAGAACTTGTTTTATGAATCTAGGTGCTCCTGTATTGGGTGTAGATATATTTAAAACAGTTAGCTCTTCTTGTTGCATTGATCCCTTTACCATTATGTAATGCCCTTCTTTGTCTTTTTTGAACTTTGTTGGTTTAAAGTCTGTTTTACCAGAGACCAGGATTGTAACCCCTGATTTTTTTTACTTTCCATTTGTTTGGAAAATATTCCTCCATCCCTTTATTTTGAACCTATGTGTGTCTCTGCACATGAGATGGGTCTCCTGAATACAGCACACTGATGGGTCTTGACTCTTTATCCAATTTGCCAGTCTGTTTCTTCTAATTGGGACATTTAGCCCATTCACATTTAAGGTTAATACTGTTATGTGTGAATTTGGTCAAGCCATCACGATGCTAGCTGGTTATTTTGGACATTAGTTGATGCGGTTTCTTCATAGTGTCATTGGTCTTTATATTTTGGTATGTTTCTGCAGTGGCTGGTACTGGTTTTTCCTTTCCATATTTAGTGCTTCCTTCAGGAGCTCTTGTAAGGCAGGCCTGGTGGTGACAAAATCCCTCAGCATTTGCTTGTCTGTAAAGGATTTTATTTTTCCTTCTCTTATGAAGCTTAATTTGGTTGGATATGAAATTCTGGGTTGAAAATTCTTTTCTTTAAGAATGTTGAATATTGACCCCCACTCTCTTCTGGCTTGTAGGGTTTCTGCAGAGAGATACACTGTTAGTCTGATTGCTTCCCTTTGTAGGTAACCTGACCTTTCTCCCTGGCTGCCCTTAACATTTTTTCCTTCATTTCAACCTTGGTGAATCTGATGATTATATGTCTTGGTGCTGTTCTTGAGGAGCATCTTAGTAGTGCTCTCTGTAGTTCCTGAATTTGAATGTTGGCCTGTCTTGCTAGCTTGGGGAAGTTCTCTTGGATAATATCCTGAAGTGTGTTTTCCAACTTGGTTCCATTCTCTCCATCACTTTCAGGCATACCAATCAATCATAGGTTTGGTCTTTCCACATAGTTCCATATTTCTTGGAGGCTTTGTTCATTCCTTTTCATTCTTTTTTCTCTAATCTTGTCTTCATGCTTTATTTCATTAAGTTGATCTTCAGTCTCTGATATCCTATCTTCTGCTTGATTGATTCGGGTATTGATACCTGTGTATGCTTCACAAAGTTCTCGTGCTGTGTTTTTCAGTTCCATCAGGTCATTTATGTTCTCTAAACTGGTTACTCTAGTTAGCAGTTCCTGTAACCTTTTATCAAGGTTCTTAGCTTGCTTGCATTGGGTTAGAACATGCTCCTTTAGCGCGGAGGAGTTTGTTATTATGCACCTTCTGAAGCCTACTTCTGTCAATTCATCAAACTCCTTCTCCATCCAGTTTTGTTCCCTTGCTGGCAAGGAGTTGTGATCCTTTGGAGGAGAAGAGGCATTCTTGTTTTTGGAATTTTCAGCATTTTTGTGCTGGTTTTTCCTCATCTTCATGGATTTATGTACCTTTGATCTTTGATGCTGATGACCTTTGGATGGGGTTTTTGTGTTGATGTCCTTTTTGTTGATGTTGATGTTATTGCTTTCTGTTTGTTAGTTTTCCTTCTAACAGTCAGGCCTATCTTCTGCAGGTCTGCTGGAGTTTGCTGGAGGTCCACTCCAGACCCTTTTTGCCTGGGTATCACCAGGAGATGCTGCAGAACAGCTAAGATTGCTGCCTGCTCCTTCCTCTGGAAGCTTCGTCCCAGAGGGGCACCTGCCAGATGCTGGCCAGAGCTCTTCTGTATGAGGTGTCTGCCGTCCCCTGCTGGGAGGTGTCTCCTAGTCAGGAGGCATGGGGGTCAAGGACCTACTTGAGGAGGCAGTCTGTTCCTTAGCAGAGCTCAAGCACTGTGCTGGGAGATCCACTGCTCTCTTCAGAGCCAGCAGGCAGGAATGTTTAAGTCTGCTGAAGCTGCACCCACAGTCATCCCTTCTTCCCCCAGGTGCTCTGTCCCTGGGAGATGGGAGTTTTATCTACAAGCCCCTGACTGGGGCTGCTGCCTTTCTTTCAGAGATGCCCTGCCCAGAGAGGAGGGATCTAGAGAGACAGTCTGGCTACAGCAGCTACATCGGTGGGTTCCGCCCAGTCTGAACTTCCTGGTGACTTTGTTTACACTTAGTTGGAAATGCAGAAATTACCTGCCTTCTGCATTGGTCTTGCTGGGAGCTGCAGACCAGAGCTGTTCCTATTCGGCCATCTTGTCAGGATCCTGCATGTCTTTTCTCATTTATGTTTCTCTCATCTTGCCTCTATACAATGAAGACCGTCCTTCATGTTAGCCTGATTACCAAATTTTTTTTGAAGATCTGTCTTATTTTTTTAAAGGCTTTTTGTACAGTTTTGTTGTTGTTGTTGTTGTTTTTTCTTTTGAGACAGAGTCTTGCTCTGTTGCCCAGGCTGGAGTGCAGTGGTGCTATCTCTGCTCACTGCAGGCTCTGCCTCCAGGTTTAAATGATTCTTTTGCCTCAGCCTCCCAGGTAGCTGGGATTACAGGTGCATACTATTATGCCTGGCTAATTTTTGTACTTTTAGTAGAGACAGGGTTTCACTATGTTGGCCAGGCTGGACTCAAACTCCTGACCCCAAGTGATCCACATGCCTTAGCCTCCTAAAGTGCTGGGATTATAGGTGTGAGCCACCACACCCGGCCTCTTTGTACAGTTTTTAAAAACCATTTTGTTCTTGCAATGATTTTATTACCTGACCATTTGATGTCACAAGAACATCAAACTATTTTCTTGTGGACACTCTGCTCCTGTCCTACTTTCATTAACACTCTAGAGCAGTAGTTCTCAAACTTTAATGTTCATCAAAATCATCTGGAGGGTTTGTTCCAACACATATTGCTGGGCCCCATTCCCAGATTTCTGACTTAGTAGATGCAGGGAAGGGTCTCAGAATTTACATTTCTTACAAATTCCCAGCAATGCTGATGTTGCTGGTCTGGGGACTAGACTTTGAACCAATGCTCGTTAGGATTATCTGGACAACTTTTAAAACATACATATAGATGCTGTGATCCTACCTCCCAGAGATTTGAATCAAATAGGTGTTAGGTGTGGCACTGCTCTTTAAAAATAATTCCCTAGTGATTCAAATAAACAACCAGTATTGGGAACCACTGACCTAGAGGTTGATGAAAATTAGATTTTAAAAAGCCAGCATGCCTGCCTCCCTACCTCTTGCAACGCTTTCCTTCCACGAACATTTGCTAAGTATTAGTAATGGTAAAGGTATCCTGCAGAGATTATGCACATAAAAGAGTTGCCTATGATACGGTTGTTGTCCTCTAGTAGTTACTATAGTATATGGTAGATATAGATGTATACATAAACATCTACAATATAAGAAAATATAAAATCCATACAGGCCATTTGGATTTGAATCAAACATATGAACCAAACAAAGTATGACAGAAGAGTGCAGGGGTAGGGGGGTAACTTCTAGATAAACGAGGAGGCATTATGAATGGCGGTTGTCGGGGAGGTGTTTTCTACATAATAAAATGGTTGGCAAGAAACCCTTTTTGTTAGGGGAATAGTGCATGAAAAATCTTGGAAGGTAATTTGGGGGCAAATTTTGAACAGCCTTATATGCCAGAAGACAATAACGGTAGTATTGAATGTTTTCAGCAGAGCTGTCAGCGTGGCAAGAATTTACAGGATGAAGTGGAAAGTGAAAAACAAATAGAAGCCTTGTCTAGGTATTAGAGACAGTGCCCTGATTATGGGGGGTAGTTTTCAAATTAGAGTTTTTTAATTAAAAAATATGAAAAAGAGTTTTACTTAGTTGATAACAGTTTTGAAGTAATAAGATGACAAAGTATTTGCAAATATTCATTTTAAATTTCTCTGTAAGTTATTGGGGGAGGTGTACCCTTAGGCAGAATTTGGATAGAGGAACACATGACTGATCCTGGATATAGGTTTGCTCTGTCTGACCTCTCATAACCCCCTTTTAGGTGCCTAGTGTTCTGATGGTATCTCCATTCTGACCTATCAAAACTCGCTCTTAGGAAAAAATGTGACATCAATCATTTATTCTCTGGACTAGAGTATTTGAGGTTTCTCTTACATGTTTGTATAAAACAAGATTTCCTACTCTCCCATCACTGCCCCCTACCTCACACACACATACACAAATCATACAGAACAAACTTCTTTCTATGGTTAAGGCCAAGCCAGTCTGTCGGAGTTCCTCAAAAATAAATATATGAGAAAGGAATTAGACCTACTGCTATGATCAACAATGTCTTTCCCTGGGGGGAAAAGTGTCTGCTAAAGTGAAACTAAAAAGAAGACCCACATAATTCACCAGGTAAATATAATAATTCAAAGTGTGAGCCCAAGGGGCTCAATATCTTGATCCTAAACTATTTAATTCTCTGTTAAAGGATAACAAAGATTTTAATTTTTTGGGTGATGTTGTTTAGGGGCTTTATCCTAGAAAAGTACCAAAAAAAAAAAAAACTCCTTTGAAGATATATCAATGAATTATCTTAACAAGAAAACACCTGACAACACTATAATTCCATATGTTCTGGTAACATCAAGAGAGAGCTCAAAAAGGAATCTGCACCTCAGAATTGTAGGATATTGAGAGTACTATTGAGTTGGGAGGAGATAAAGATTGATAGTGACGACTATTAGACTCAGAATGAATGGTCATATGCATCAAACTTTTTCCATTAAAGAGAGTTAATTTATTATCTTACTGACTATAAAAATGAGTGATTATATTTCTCTTTTACCAATAAGTAAAATTATTAGAAAGATGATTTCTTTCACAACTGTTATGAAAGTGAAAAGATGTCACTTATCTTTTCCTTTCCCTTCTTCTACCTAAATAATCATCCTTTAGTTTGCATAGTTAACCATTTTTAGGGCTACTTTTGAGTATGCTATTACTCTCTTTTTATTTAATGTGTTTTATTCATAATTGGAGACTCTCCATCACTCATTCCCCCTCAAGAACAACTATAATGAGACATCACTGGACATGAAAATTACAGTAAGGTAACCCAGAAACAGCAGTTACTATTATTGTAACCTGAGGGAGAGCAGCATCCAAGAAGTCTTACAAAAGGTTTGTGTCAAACAATAAAAGCAATCTCCGAGGGACCAGATCACTGATTGATGAAGTGCTTTGCCAATTTAGGCAGTAAGAAGCTGTTTAATTATACCAAAGCAGTATTGCAGACTACCTCAAGCTGTTCTCTATTTTTGATGAGATGATATCTACTTGCCAATAGAGTGCATGATTTACTATTATAATCTGATCAACATCATAGTTGAACAAATATGATTCTCCTGGTGGACTGAAATTTATCTACTACTTCAGTGGTTTACCCATATCAATTACAATGAAGTTATTGGATTGAGGTTGTGAGCAAAGTCACATTTTGTTCTGCACTGATGACCTGCATTCTGAAAGTATGGTAGGAAATCCAAAATATTTTCAAAACCACTTGTGCTAGAAATCACTACCTAAGTGTAGTTTTAGAGATGAATACAGAGAAAGAGATTGAAACATAACTTTTAATATATTCTGTATAAACTGAGGCCTAGGGATAGCTAGGGTCTTCAGTGTTTAAAGTTTCTGTTTTTTCCCAAGGCCTCCAGTTGAGGGTATGGGAGATCATTTTCTTCTTGAGTTGAGATTTTAAGATTGCTGAAGGCAGAAACCATATGTTGTATTTCTTTTCTCTTCTACCATGATTCCTTGGTTGAGGTGGTCAAGGTTAAGAATAAACAAGGCAGGCTAGAGTATTTGTGCCATGTCAGATTGAAGCCTACCAGGAGTGGGACTAGAAGCTAGGAGCTGAGCTTTGCACACATAACCCCATCTGGGAATGGTGGGGATAATACAAAATTTAGCAGCCATTGCTATTGTTCTTCTCTACATCTATGAATACAGATAAACTCAGCAAGCCCCTGGTTTGAGTGCTTGATGGCAGTACTCCGCTCTTACATTCAGATATTTATAGTATTAAAGCATTTTGAAAGTTTTACATAATTGGAAGTCATTGTTTAGCTCCCTATCTTTTGACTTTAGTAACAAAGCCATCTCAGATAGATTGGGGTCCAACTATAATTCTTTTAAAGACAATCCTTGCAAATCTATTTTCATATATCTTATCTCTAGTATTTAGAAGTTATTTCTTTTCTTTTATTCCACCTGTAGTAGCCAGTCTTCAAAAGGTCCCCAATGATTTCTGCCTCTTGAAATTCACATCCTTCTATTGTCCCCTCCCACAACCGACTAAGGTTGATGTGTAATGACCAACAGGATAAGACAGAAATGATGGTATGTCACTTCTAAGACTAGATTCCAAATGACCGAAGCTTCTATTATGGACCCTCTCTCATTTACTTGCTGTCTTAATTATCTTTTTTCTCTCACTTCTCTCTGTCTGATGGCTTACTCTGTGGGAAACCAGCTGCCATTTCATAAGGACACTCGAACAGCCTATGAAAGACCCTTGGGGTAAGTAACCGAGGCTGGTTAACAGCCTTGTGAGTGAACTTGGAAGTGGATTATCCAGCCCCAGTTAATCCTTGAGATAACTGTAGCCCTGGATAACAGCTTGATTGCAACTTTTTGAGAGACTGTGAGCCAGAACCACCCACCAAAGTTGTTCCTGGGTTCTTGAGTCTTAGAAATGATGTAAGATAATAAATGTTTGTTGTTTTAAGCTGCTAAGTTTTGGGGTAATTTATTACCCAGCAATAGTTAACCAATATAACATAACTGCATTGAAATGTAACATACTGGCTTTATGGTTAGGTTGAAGAAATGACATCTCTTGCTCTTTTCTGCAGGTGGCCGTTAATTGCTCACCAGTGCTTTGTCAAAGTACTTTGCCACTTTGCTTTTTGCAAAACTACTGAACACAGTAATTGACCTGATCATATCTTGATTCTCTGAAAGAGTTCATTCAATTCATAGAGGATGAACACATTACTCTAAGATATCTATTTACTTACATTGGTTTACCATTGGCTTGTCCCTGCAATTATCAAAACTGCTAGGTGATTAAATAGTATAATGTGTTTTATAGCTGTTTTCCTCATCTCTCACTTTCACAAATGTGGGGTAGTATTAGTATCAGTGAATACTGGAGAAATCATGACATTAAAGTTACTGACTAGCTGAGGCCACTAGGATGACTGATCAATTTACATTTATGGAGTGGCATGGTTAGCATATTTGATATCTGAGTGATGGGACAGGTCATGCATGCTAAAATTTTTGCTCTTTCTTTATACTCTACTATCCTCTCTAAATTTTTTTTACAATATTCACTGATGGTTTTTGAAATAGTAATAAAAGGACAGGCTAAGTTAAAAAATTATTTTAATTTAATTTTTATTTTTGAGACAGGGTCTCGCTCTGTCACCCAGGCTGGAGTATAGTGGCACTATCTTGGCTCACTGCAACATCCACCTCCCAGGTTCAAACAATTCTCCTGCCTCAGCCTCCCAAGCAGCTGGGATTACAGGTGCATGCTACTGCACCTGGCTAATTTTTCGTAGTTTTAGTAGAGACAGGGTTTTACCATGTTGGCCAGGCTGCTCTCAAACTCCTGACCTCAAGTGATCTGCCTGCTTGGCCTCCCAAAGTGCTGAGATTACAGAGTGAGCCACCACACCCAGCCTAAGTGAAACATTTAAATACACTTTTACATTTTTTATTATGGAAAACTTGAAAACACACCCAAGTAGAGCATACCCGAACCCTCATGTATCCATATCCCGGCTTTCACATGGCCATTCTTGTCTTGTTTATCCTCTAATCCACTTGCTGTGTTCCTTGCTAACTACCTGCATTGGATTATTTGGATGCAAATCCAAGACATCCTCGTTTTCCATAAGACAAGGTAACCAATATTCTTAGTACAAAGCTGGGAAGCAGGAGCTCACCTGTTGTTCTCACTGATGGGTTCTAAGGAAAGTGTGAGTTCCCATAAATATGTTTGTATTTCAGGCACGTTACATGACTGATCATCAACCTATATTATTTCTTCCAAGGTAAAACTCAATTTTCACAGAGTTTTATGGTGATATTATAAATTCACATTCTGAATTTTGGGTTTGAAGGTAAATATAACTTTTTTTCCTGAAATTTTAAGATCCACCAGGGAGCTGGAAGTTCCACAGATTGGTTTTAATAAACAAACTCCCTCAATGATGAGTGGTCTTTTGAAGAGCATGGTTAGAACTTGGGATTGTGCTTCTCATGACTACAAATGTACTTGTAGCTTAGGTGCAAAAGGGTAGGTCAGTGGGTAGCTAACTACTGAGGATTGATTTTCCTGACGCTGGTGTTTAAGTGTCACCCAGAACTGGCATATAAAGTGGCTCATTCACCCAAGTATCTTCCTTTCCTTTTTACAAAATCCTTGGCTGTTGTGGGGCCTACATCTCTTCATGATTATTATTGCATCTGGTGTCATGTTTTTCCAGCTGGTGTACTGCTTCCCTGTAGGCTTCTTGATGTTCACTCCTCCAGCAGCCTCCTGCCCCCTCGAGGGAGCTCATCCTATGACCCTGCTCTACACAGGCAACCTTTCTAACCTGAGCTGTGATTACATGGATAGGTTTAGAAGCTGTTTATGGATCATACATATGGCTCATCATAAAAAAAGAGTGTTAGGATTGATTAAAATTTCAGTTATGTGAATTTCGACTTTTCTTCTCCCCAAACATCACATACAAACAAAGCAGTATATTACTTTTGATCCAGTAGCTTTGGCTTAAAAAAAAAAAAAAAAGAAACGAAGGTGCTGATAGTCCGTGATACTTGAATGCCTTCAAAACAGAAATAAAAAATTAATATCTAACACTTTCAAACATACCATTATTTTGCATAAACACTTAAAACAAGCTGGATCAAGGACGTATTTTGAGGACTATATGCAGAGGATCTGACAATGTCCTGAAAGAGTGTATTTTATAAAAAGAATCCCCTTTAGCAGAATTTGTTGGCCTCCTAGTGACCATCCTCATGTTCCTGCCTTGCAGTCTGGCTATGAGTGGTTCTATGCATGGCTCTATTTTGAGGTGTGTCCCCTGCTTTGGCTTCTCCTAGGAGGACCTTCTGGAATTAGCCTCAGCTGTCTTCCCATGACTTTGTCTCTTGGCTCATAGACTGACCCTCATTTTTCTCTTCTCATTTCTCTCTAGTCCTGCATCATACTGACCCAGGTTGAAAAAACAGGAAAAAAGATGAGCCTAAAAGAAAGGAAAAACAAGAAAGTGAGGATGTTAAAAAAATGAAAGAAATTAAGAGCGTGAAGAAGCTACCATATTTCTTTGCTTAAAAATCTAGTCATCAAATATATCAACATTAAAAAAATAGATTTCAAAAACAGATATTGCTTCTTTCAGTAGCAGATTTAGGGACGCAGTGGGAACACTGCATGGGTGATTAACAGGTCATTTTAAACATTTGATTCAAAGTAGCTTTCATGCTTTTTCAGGCTTCAGGATTATTATTGCTTGTGGTAGGAGGTGGTGCCATGGTTCAGTTAGACTAGAGAGAAAACTTATTTGACTGTGAAAAAATAAGGATGGGATGACCATTAGAGGTATGTGTACTCCTAATATACTCACAGTAGCTTTCTTACAGCTAAGCTAAGCAGTGGGGAGCAAAGTCAGCTTCCCCTTTCAGAAAAGAAAATAATGGGAAATGGTGACTAGAGAGAGAGCTAAGGGCCACTTGGGAGGATTAAGCAGGCAGGATACTCTCTCTGTAAATTCTCCTGAATAGAGAATAGGGAGTCCTAAGAGAGTCTATAGTCCTGAAATAGTCAAAGGCAGAATTAGTAAGAGATGATTATAAGCCTCTGAAGACCACTGACTTTTGCCACATCCTCAGACCCAGCTTTCTCTGGGGCTCTGGGGGAGTCTTAGCGCATGCAGAGACTTGGTTCATCTCTTTGCCCCAGAAGAATACTTTCAGTCAATGGAAAAAAGCAATTCCTATCATATCTGAATTAAGATAGAAAAGACTTGCCTTTGAGAATATCACTTCCTTTTGGGTGCTTGGTAGTTATTGTCTACAAAGGATAAAGGTGGTCAGATGAAAAGAACTAAGAAACTTGGAGGTATGAAAAGGCCAAGTGCTAGGATTTATGAATAAACAATTTCCAAGCTATGCTCTCCATAGCATTAAAAAAATCATCTTGGGAACAACTTACCCAGAACATCTTTTAACTATTTACCACTGATCTAAATGCAATGATAAAAATAACTTTGTGACCCTAAAATGGAAGTGAATCAGATCTTACAAAGTAACTTAAATCATGCTATATCACAAAAGTCACACTAAATTCAGCTATCCCGTTTATAGGAATCATCATGTTTGTGTTCATATCTGGATTGGATTTGGAAATTTGATTTTGAAGTGTAGGAATGACTTTCAATATGTGATTGCTTATGACTTTCAAAATGTGATTATATGAAATTGAAATATACATATATTTCATACATATCAATATGTGAAATTATTCCTTAAATAGTTTTTGCAACTTTGTTTTATTAATAGTGGCATTATATATTACTTCTGGCAATTGGTTGTCTAGAGCTTCCTCAATGCATGTTTTAGCAGATGTTTTTAGAAATATTTCAGAGCTGCAGTTCTCAAGATGTCATCTGGAAACCCCCGTGGGTCCTTGAGACCCTTTCAGTGGGTCAGCAAGGTCAAAACTATTTTCATAATAAGACTAAAATGTTATTTGTCTTTTTCACTCCCATTCTCTCATGAGCGTAGAGTGGAGTTTTCCAGAGGTTACACAGCGTGTGATATCTCAAAAGATGAAATTCAAAAGCAGATATGAGAACCCGGCTGTCTTCTACTAAGTCAGAAGCCAGGCATCAAAGATATTTCTGAAAATGTAAAGGAATATCATTCTTCTCATGTTTTTTTTCTGGAAAATATGTTTTTTTTTAAAAAAATAAAGCATGTTATTATAATATGCATTGGTTTATCATTCTTTCTAAGTAAATTGATAAATCAAGACTTTAAATATTTTTCAATTTTAATTTCTAATATGTTATAGTTGGATAGATGTAAATATAAACAGAAGCTCTTTGTGGGGCATGGTGATCTCAATTTTTTTTTTTTTTGCAAAAGGGTCTTGCTCTGTTGCCCAGGCTGGAGTGCAGTGGCGTGATCATGGCTTACTGCAGCCTCGACCTCGTACCTCACTACCTCAGCCTCTCAAGTAGCTGGGACCATAGGCAGGCTCTACCATGACTGGCTAATTTCTTAATTTTTTGTAGAGGTGCAGGTCTCCCTATGTTGCCCAGGCTGACCTCAAACTCCAAGGTTCAAGTGATCCTCCCACCTCAGCCTCCCAAAGTGTTGGGGTATAGGTGTGAGCCACCACACCTGGCTGGGTCTCAATTTTTAATATTATAAAGGGATCCTAGAGACTAAAAAGTTTAAGAATTGCTGCTTTAGAGGTGTTTTGTTGTTGTCATTGTTGTTTTGTTTTGTTTTTGAGACAAGGTCTCGCTCTGTCGCCCAGGCTGGAGTGCAGTGGTGTGATAATGGCTTATTGCAGCCTGAACCTCCCAGGACTAAGCAATCTTCCCGCTTCAAACCCCCCACCCACCCCTAGTAGCTGGGACTACAGGCATGTGCCATTATCCCTGGATAACTTTCTGTATTTTCTGTAGAGGTGTGGTTTCGTCATTTTGCTCAGGCTGGTCTTGAACTCCTTGGGATCGAGCCATCGGTGCAGCTCAGCCTCCCAAAGTGCTGGGATTACAGGTGTGAGCCACTGCGCCCCGCCTGTTTGAGTATTGATATTGGTAAATATCAAATCTTGATTATATATATTCCAATAAAAATAATTATTTTAAAGTGATTTTTGACTTGGGTTCCCAAAATACTTGTGCATCTATCATTTTACAATAAATCTGAGATGTAGGCAAGTCAGAAATTATTCCTACTTAAAATATGAAAAAAATCAAGAAATCAAGAATTTTAGATTGCATACTAAGTTAGCAGAAGAGAAATTATACATAAGGTACTTTCAACTCTCTCCCAGTTATTTGGCTAATTTTAAAATTAGCCTTTTGCCCTGTACACTTCAGTGTAATTGTGACATCCAGGAGCACAGTGAATGGCATTGTGACACAACATGGAACTACCTGCAGCCACTTTCACATTAAACGTCTTCACCTCCTGAGCTAACTCACTTCCCTTTACTGCAACAGACAGCTAACCATAGTTCAATGCTTTCCTGTCATTCAAACACTGTAATCTTCTTTCTGTAGTTGTTTAGGTCTTCATCCTTTCTCAGTACAACTTTTTACAATGGCCAACAGGTTCTCGGGTATACCCAACAGGTTGACTTCCACTTGGGAGAAAATTCCAAAGTAGTGATCTCTTCAGGCTTGTCATGCTAATTCCATGCTCAAGAGCTTCTAAAAGCTCCCACCAGCAAAAGTTTTTACTCTTTTGCTAAGTTTTCAATGCTCCCACGGTTGGTCTCACCTTACCCATTTAATTTTATTTCTCTTCCCTCTACCAATAATTAATTTTTTCCAGGAAGACTGTCTTCCTTATACTAGCTTCACTTCCCCTTCAATAATAGCACTTAGAATTTCTGTTTTTGCTCATTAATCCTTTAATGCTCCTGCGAACCAAGCCCAGGATCAAGACAACATATTTGGCCATGGTAGAGCCAATATTCAAACCTAGGTGTGTGTAGCACTGAAGCCACTGCTCTTAGCTATTATACCAACTATATTAGTAATTCAATTACATTAAAATGGGCTAAATGACCCACGATTGTATGCTCAGATTGGTTAAAAGAAAACATCTAAATGCATTTACAAGAGACACATCTAAAATATATGGATACAAAAAGATGAAAAGTTATAGGATGGAATTATAAACACACTCACAAAGCTGGTGTAGTTAAACTCTAAAACAAAAACCATTATTAGAAACAAAGAGGGACACTTGATAATTATAAAAGGTTCAGTTTGCCAGAGAAATATAACAATTTTGATATATCTAATACATAGCTTCAAAATAGAGAAAATAAAAATTAGCAGACCTACAAGGAAAAATGAATAAATCTATAACAGTGGAATATTTCAACATACTATCAATAACTAATAGAATAAGTAGATAAAATACCTTTGATTTAAAAGATTTAAACAATATAATCAGCAAATTTGAACAGGCATTATATGGAACTCTATACTCCCAAACAAGAAAGAATACTTATTCTTTTTAAATACAAAAGTGAATTATTTATAAGTGAATAATAGTGAAAATACAGTTATTAAAACTTGAAGGAATAAAGTGTGTTGCTTAGAGAGAAATTTATACCCCATAGAGATATAGTCTCTAAAAAAAAAAAACTGCCAGAATGGTAGCACACACCTGTAATTCTAGCTACTCAGGAAGCTGAAGTGGGAAGATTGCCTGAACCCAGGAGTTCCAGGTTACAGTGACCTATGATCATGCCACTGCCCTCCGGCGACAGAGTGACCTTGTCTCAAAAAAAAAAAAAAAAAAAGTAAAGAAACAACAAACAAGTATAAATAGAAAATCCAAATAGCATTATGTTATTTAATCTATGAATAAAAACCTTCCCATAAAGAAAACTCTAGGTTCAGATTGTTTCTTTGGTGAATTCTACCAGACATTTAAGGAAGAAATAATGATCAATCTTATACAAACTCTTCTTGACACTAGAAAACAAAGGAGTACTCATTAGCTTGTTTCATGAGGTCAGCAAAACCTGACATGAATATTACAGAAAGAAAAATTTCTTTTAAATTACTTTTAAATATAAATATACTTTTAAATATAAATACAAAAATCCCTAAACAACATTTTAATATACTGTATTTAGTAATATATAAAAAGGTCAATATCTCATGACCAGGTTGGGTTTATGCCAGGATTACAAGGTTTCCTTAACAGTAGAAGGCCAATCCTTATAATTTACCTTACTAACAGAGTAAAAGAGAAAAATCATATGATTATCTCAACAGATACAGAAGCCACCCCTGCCACCAGCCCATGCTTTTTTTTTTAAGACAGAGTCTTGCTCTGTCACCCAGTCTGGAGTGCAATAATAGCACAATCTTAGCTCACTGCAACCTCCGCCTCCTGGGTTCAAGTGATTCTCCTGCCTCAGCCTCCTGAGTAGCTGGGATTATAGGTGTGTGCCACCAAGCCTGGCTAATTTTTGTATTTTTAGTAGAGATGGGGTTTCGCCATATTGGCAAGGCTGGTCTTGAACTCCTGGCCTCAAGTTATCTGCCTGCCTCCGCCTCCCAAAGTGCTGGGATTACGAGCGTGAGCCACCATGCCCGGCAAGAAAAAACATTTGCTAAAATTCAATATCCATTCATGATAAAAACTGTTGGCAAACTATGATCAAAAGTGGAGTTCCTTAATCTGCTAAAAGGTTTATTAAAAAAGCAAAACATCAGAACCCTACTTCAAACAATGGCAAAATGTGGAGAGATTTCCCTTGGAAATCAGGAACATTATAAGGTTGCCATCATCTAAACTTCTATTCAACATTGTACTGGAGGTCCTAGCCAGCTGGGTAAGGCAAGAAAAAGCACAAGATATAACAATTGAAATGGAAGAAATCAACTGTCATTATTCACAAATGATATAATTCTATGTAAAAGATCTAGAAGAATATATAATAGTTAAGATAGTGTGATACTGATACAAAGTTGATAGATAAACCAATGGAACAGAATAGAGAGCCCAGCAATACATCAGTGCTTATATGGACACTCGATCTATGACAGAGGTGGCAATGTCAAACAAGAGCTTTTCAACAAGTGGTGCTGAGACAACCCCCCATACCAATGTGGGGGAAAAAAAAAAAACTTGACCTCTACTCCATAAACACCAAAATCAATTCCAGGTGAACTATAGATATAAATATGAAAGGCAAATCGATATAGATATGAAAGTCAAAAAAGCCTTATAAAAATAAGGCTTCTAGAAGATAATACAGGAGAATTACCTTCACTACCTCAAAGCAGAAAAAGATATCTTAAACAGAACACAAAAAATGTCAAATAAAGGAAAAGGTTGGTAAATTTGGTCACAATGAAAGTTAGATCTATTGCTCTTCAAATATCACTATTAGGCAAATAAAAAGGCAAATCACATAATGAAATTAGAAATTTGCAATACATCTATCTGAAAAAGGCTCATATCTGAAATATATAAATAATTCTTACAAATCAATAAGACGATGACAGGTAACCAACTGAAAGATGAATAAGAGCCTTGAACAGGAGTTTCACAAATAACGACATCCAAATAGTCAACAAACACATAAAAAGGTGCTTGATCTCATTAGTAATCAGGGAACTGCAAATTAAAACCACAATAAGATAATAGTACACATCTACCAGAGTGACTGAAACTAACTAGATTGACAATAACACATATTAGAGCAATGGGAACTTTCATATACTGCTAGGGCAGCAAATTTTGTAAAATCCCTTTGGAAAATAGATTGGTGTTTCATTATCTATTACAGTTAAGCACAGTTAAACATATGTACACTTTCTGACCTAGGAATTCCACTCTTAGATGGATACTCAACAGAAATTCACATGCCTGTACACCTAGAGACATCTACAACAATGTGCATAGTAACGCCTATCCATAGTAGTATGAAACTGGAAACACTTCGAATGTCCATGTCTATTAATTGTCGAAAAGATAAACTCTGATATATGGATTTAATAGAATACTATACAGCAAATAAAATAAATGCACAACTACAACGTTATTAAAACTCATAAAGATAATGTTGAATGAAAGAAACCAGACACAAAAGAACATATCATAATCTTCTATTTATATAAATGCAAAAAACAGGAGCAGGTAAAAGATATATGCTTAGTTGATAAAACCATAAAAAACAAACAAGGAAGTGCTTATCATACATCTAGGACAATGGTTACCTTTGGTGGCAGGGAGAGTGCATAAAGTGATTGGGAGAGAGCATAAGGGGGACTTCTGGATTCTGTAATGTTCTATTTCCTGACCTAGATGGTAGATTAAAGGTGCTTGATTTGTGATAATTTATGCTTTGGTTCACTTTTCTCTGTGTTATATTTCACAAAAAAGGGTATAAAAATCCAAGAATTCCTATATTTAGGGATCACTCAGAAGCTCAGAAGACAAGTAATGAAAATCAGAGCAATAAAGAAATTTGGTGCATGATTCCAGGAGTTAATCTATCCTATTTAGACTTTTTTTTGTGCCTCAAGTTAGAAGATGTCATGAATGCAAATAAATCCACTCCATTGAAAATTACAGGTCATACATTCACTGCTTGTTTCTGTGCATGTGGTCTGTTCTCAATTAAGAGCCAAGTGTCCCAGGACTCAGAAAGGACAGGTTTGTTGAGATGGCCCACCTAAAAGTGATATTCACTGAGGTTTTAATTTTTGTGGAAATCACAAGAATCTCGATGGACTTGGCTTCATATGAAATATCTGTTCCTCTGGTAGCATGAATTCAGGGTATCCTGCTTGGGTTCTACTTTTGTATGGAGAGGTGGTAGGAAACTCTTCATCAAGGTCACCTTCATCCTTATTCCCACTAATAGTATTACATAATTTTTTTCCCACTTACGGACTGACTTCTAACTAGCCTGATTATACCATGTAAATGAGGCATTGGCTTAAACACTTTTGCATCTCATAGCACCTAGTAGTGAATTAGGTACATGATAGGCTTTCAACAAATGCTTTTACCGTCTATATGTTTTCATTATTGTACACATATTTAAAATATATACAATCAGTAGTTTTCCTACTGGTACATAATTTTGGTTTACATTAAGCTTTTCATCACCCAGAAGAAAGCTTTTTGTTACTCTGTTAATATCTGCAAAATTTATAAATTTTTGCCTTCTGAGAGTTGGCAAGAAGCATATCTATAACTTAATTTGGACAAGGAAGCAGTTAACTACATTTACATTTAAAGTATTTTAGTAGTGTCAGATTGAGCACTCCAGGGAGTCAGGCAAAAATTAACAGATCCTTCCGAGCTTGACTGGATAGTGCTCGAACAATCGCTTAAGATCTGGAGATCTAGCACAAAAATCAAGTCCTCCTCATTGTCTGCCTTTTCTCAGAACCATTAAATAGTTATTTTACATTAGTCAAACAACTCTTAGAATGTCTTAACTTTTTTACAGAGCCTGTGTTACAAAGGAGGTGGTGAATCAGAAAGGAGGTAACTGCATAGGCTTGGAAACCTTACAGAAACCCTTTTTCTTACCATTCCCAAAACTTACCTTTGACTTGCACATTACATAGAAATAAACTTATTTCTGATGGTTGGATCTGCAAGATGGCTTGTAAAAGCCTATCTAATCCATAATGTACTGGAAATGGTATTATTTTGACCACACCTAATCATTTATAGCATTTTTTTTTCTGACAAAAATACATTTACAGCCCTAGGTCAGTATGCAAGGGACAAATACTTCTCGCATATTTTTCTTCTCCATACCCCAGTGTGGGTTATAACAGTAGTATGGGAAAAGTAAGGTTGATATCTCCAGGCACCAGTAACTTAAACTCTACAACTGTGCTATCAAATATAGTCACCATGATCCACATAAGGCCATTTAAGTTTAAATTAATTAATTAAAATTAAAAATTCAGTTTCTCAGTTATCCTAGCCACATTTCAAGTGCTCATAGTCACATATAACTAGCAGTGACAGTACAGATACAGAACATTCCCATCATCTTGGAAAGTGCTCTTCTATGAGGTAACTTTCTACATTAAATATTAGCTAGGCATTTTCCCTTCCTTCCTTCCTTCTTTCTTTCCCTTTTCTTTGCATTTTTTTTTTTTTTTTTTTTTTTTGACAAGGTCTCACTCTGTTGCCCAGGATGGAGTGCAGTGGCACAGTCTCGGCTCACTGGAACCTCCATTAGCTAGGCATTTTCACATGGGCGAAAAGAGGAAAACAGTTCCTATGGGGACTGTGGCTCAGTGTCTCTCCCCAGATTCAAAGTGACGAGTCACTTATAAATTAAGTATAAGTCTCAGATTCTTATGTGGGATATGAACTCTGTCTTCATGGAGTTTATGGCCTACTGGGAGTAACAGACATGAGTAAATGAAAAGTTAATTAACATATAAAGGCAGTATATGATAAATGATAAGCAAGAGGATAAATTCTCAGGGAAAGAATAGATTTAAGAGACACAGAGGATAATGTACTGTTGATGTACTTAATATAAAAAGCAAAAGAGGAAAAGGCTGAAAATAACCCTGAGGTTGATGGAACAGGATGACAGTGGCACTTTGGTGGACTATAGGGAAGCATAAAAGGGAGGGGAAAATGAGCTCAGTTTCTACCCCATTCAAGGAAGCACATGGAGAATCACGGGATTACATTCTTGCAAAAACAAAAAATGACCTACTGTATCAAAGGCTACAGGACATCTCAATTCAATAACTGATAGGTCTAGACAGCTGTTATCATATTTCTCTGCAACAACTTCATCAGTGACATCTGAGATTGGATTCTAAAGATACAGGAGGAAGTAAAACATGAGGAAATGGAGGTAATGCCTAGATGAACTGAGGGGATAGTATACAGGAATAATTCTTGGCTCATTAATTATTGGATTGAGCCACCTCCATCTATCTGTTTTGGAGACTGCTTTATCAGGTCAGAGGAGATGAGTGTGACTTTCTTCAGATTGTGCAAGACAAAAAGAACACCATTAGAATTATGTACATGACACTGGAAGGCAAAGTGGGTTTTAAAATTTTAAAATAAGAGACAATTCCTCTAATTGACAACAAAATCAAGTAAAGGAAAGGAAGCTAGGATTTTTCTTCTGTTATCAAACATGTAGGAGCATATAGCCACTTTTCTGGTCATCAGTTGAATACTGAAAATGTCAATCAGGTGCAACTTCTTTGTTGTGAGGGTAGGCAACAAAGTATGCAAAAGCCAGAAACTAGTGGCTTGCAGGCTTTGATATTTAATTTTACAAGATCAACTAAAGATTCTCTTTTTTCAGTCATAAATACCTAGGAAAGTGCTATATGTGTTTCATGTTCTTGCACCTCATGAATGAGGTCGTGATAGCTGTGGTGGCAATCTCTGAAATTCTTCCCAGAACTCAATCCTTAAGAACCAGGAGTATAGTTTATAATTAAAGTGAAAATTTATTTTAGAAAGTTCAATTTTAGAATCTATAAAATAAAAAACAAAAACCCCAAGCCTACGTAAGTAATTTTAACGTAAAATGTTAATGGCCCCAAACTCTAATGGTGGAATAAGGACAATAACATGAAGTATATGATATTTGAGATAAAATATAGCTATTTAAGAAAAGCTTCTTACTCTCCTTGAGCCTTCATCTATAAAATAAGGATAATAAAACTGTGTCATTGTGTTACTGCAAAGATTGATTAAATAGATACGTATAAGATGCCTAGGTTATGGCCATTTTTTATATTTAACAAATTCCTAATTCTTTCTTGTTTCTACAACTGTACTAAATTATTTTAATAGCTGCAAAAGTATTTTAACATATTGACTAACCATTTCTCTGTTGCTAGACATTTGGACTGTTTTCAATGGTTTGGTATCTCTTCGTATATAAATTTCAGAAGACATTCGGACCTCCTGTAAAGGCCAGGTAATACATATTTTGGGGCTTCTGGGACCACATAAGGTCTCTGTTGCATATTCTTTTAAAAAATTTCTTGTTTTCTTTTAACAACCCTTCTCAAATACAAAAACCATTAGCATGAGGGCTGTGTAAAAACAGGCCACAGACTAGAGCTGGCCCTCCAACAGCAATTTGCTTAGCCCTTAATTGAGAGTTTTTAACCAGTCTGGGCCTCTTTGGAAGTTCACTCTAAAGGCATAATCTCAATTTTAGAAGCTGGCAACACCCAAGAGAGCAATTGTTAGTCTCTAGTCCCATGGATGTGGTGTTCTTCAGATTCCTCTGCCAATATTTTTCTTGTTAGGAAAGCATGATGTGAAAGTGGTGACAGGATGGAGAATGACAATGGCCAGTGTATGTGAGTTTTTGTCTAAGCTAATTCTTATGCAAGACACCGGCTGAAACAGGTGAGGAGCACTTTTCACGTGCTATCTTCCAGAAATGAATTCAATCTGTAAATAACTGAGATGTCTTCACAGCTCTTGGGTAATTTTTGTCTGTAGCAATAAGAAACTTTATCTCTATTAAAGTTAGGAAGGGGTTAGGATCCAGTAATGAATGAAATGAGAACTTAAGTTGCAACTCAGTTTCTGTACTTACTTGTGATCTAGCATTAAACACAGTGCCAGGCACGAAATAGGTGGTGAGAAATAAGAAAATGATAGAGCTATTTGCTCTAATGGTTAGAGGCAATGATGGTCAGCTTTGAGTTACTTTGGTGACCCCGCAGGGAGGAAGAGCACAGGTGGAACATTAGAATCTCTTTCAGGAAAAGGATGCCGCTGGATCCATCAGGTCCAGTAGCACTGCCCATTTCTCCTGCTCCAAGGCATCTGCCCTCGAAAGCCCCCAGGCCACACCCGAGGACACCACCCAGGGTTCTAGGACACCTCGAGGGCGGACGTGGTTTGGCTCTCGGTCCAGCTGGACCGGGCTGGGCCAACCGGGAGTCAGCTCGAACTCACCTGCTTGGCAGGTGCGCGCTTCCCGAGGCGTGACAAGGGAGCGCCGGCGCGGTGGGTGGGGGGCAGAGAATGTGAAGCTCCAGACGCATGGCACCCGCCGCCAAGTCGCCGCGGTGGCTGCCGGGATGCGCCGCAGCGAATGGTCGCGCCGGGCGCCGCTCTGAGTGACCTTTCACCCGCGCCCAGCGGTTCCGGGCGGCAGCACAAGGCGGTAGCCATGGCGGAGGCGGCGGCTGCAGCGGGTGGGACTGGCTTGGGCGCGGGCGCGAGCTACGGGTCTGCAGCGGACCGGGACCGGGACCCGGACCCGGACCGCGCCGGGCGGAGGCTGCGGGTTCTCTCTGGCCATCTGCTGGGCCGGCCCCGGGAGGCTCTGAGTACCAATGAGTGCAAAGCGCGGAGAGCCGCGTCGGCGGCCACGGCAGCGCCCACGGCCACTCCCGCCGCGCAGGAGTCGGGCACCATCCCAAAGAAGCGGTGAGTAGCGGTATGTGGAAGGAGTTAGCGTCGAGGGACCAGGCCGGGCCTGTGCTGCAGGAGGGCACAGGCGAGGTGGGAAGGGAAGTGACACGGGTGGGCGGAAGGCATCCCGGTCCCTGAAAGTAGGGACCCACCTCTCTTTCGAGAGAGTGGACTAGACCCTGGATTCTGTCAGGAAGGGGGCGGGATGGGATGGTGGATTTTGGTCACTATGTGAGGGTAACAGGCTTGAAGAACTCTCGTTGGAGAAGGGTTTAAAGGATTCCTTTTTCCTGAGCTTTTAGTGCCAGGAATTCATTTTTTATCTTGAATTAATACTTTTGGTGCTGAGGTCTTGGAATGGGTAGCAGAGGTTCTATTTTTCTCCGAGGAGATATAAATTTGTACTAGATGATAGATCATAGGAATCTCTCTCATTCGCGAAAGCCTGCTGTGGGGGAAACTGGTGGTGCCCTGGAAAAAGGTGCTGACTGGTTTCTGTGGGGTAAGTTCCACTTGCTTAGGATCAAGATGTATTGACTTTGAGGGAGGAAACCGATGAATGGTAAGAAGCCATAAACTGCAAACACTAGCTAGTGGTTTAAGGTGTGGTGGTATAGCTACTGAGCTCTGTGTAACCAGAAGCTAAAAGACAAGAGTCTAACCGATGAGGGATGTTTGTAAGAGATCTTGACTTTCGATGTTTTTGGAGAAATCTTTTTTTTTTTTTTTGTATTTTTAGTAGAGACAGGGTTTCACCGTGTTAGCCAGGATGGTCTCGATCTCCTCAATCTCTGATGAAGGCTATTAGGAGAAGCTACTTTCTGACGTGTGGCTTTGTCACCGTGGATAAATGGATAAACCGAGAGTGAAAAAAATAAGTAGCTAATGTTTAAAGTGTACTTTTAAGTGTGCCAAAGTGTGCTAAATCCTTTGTTTCTTCCCAAGCTATGAGGTATGTGCGGTTTTCTCCCATTTTACAGATGAATAAATTAAGTCTGCTGGAGTCTTAGCAGATATGCTGTGTGACAGGTTAGAATTTGAAAGCACATCAAATTGACTTCATGGCCAAGTTCCTAAGCTATACTTGCTTCTGATGAATTAATTCAACATACATGAGTCTTTACAAAATACACACTGTACCAGCAATACAGAAATTTAAAAATACGGTATTTACTCTTAAGGAAGGAATAGCTTAGTAGGTAAAATTATAATACAGCGTTATAAGAAACTTAACTGGGAACTATACCACCTGGTCATTTAACCCAGTTTTGGGTTTGTGTTTGTTAGTGCAAAGATGTTCCAAAGTAAAGATTGTCTGAGTAAATTTTGGATGTTTGCATTACTAATAGTTTGCCAAAGGGGGAAATTGTTCTTGGCATACAAACAGTATGTTCACAGGTAAAGAAGTGAGAGACAAATTAGGGAACTGCTGAGACTCAAGTGTAGTAGGAGAGGGTGAGAATGACAGGGGACGAAGACTGGAGAGGTGAATCTTGTTTACAGGATTTTACGTGGGGCAATACATGATTAGATTTACCTTTGATAAAGGTCACACTGGGAGCAAATTGAAGACAGTTGAGCATTTTGGCAGTATAATGGCTGGGAACATAGACCTGGATTTCAATTTCCACTACACCGTTACAGCTCTATGATCTTGGGCAAATCACTTAACCTCTGAGAGTTTCAGTCACCGTCATTTGTAAAAACGGGAACAGTAATCCTGTTTTGCAGTGTTGCTGTGAGAATTGAAAAAAATAGAGTTAAATGATCAAGTGTTTAGTGCAATGCCTGTTACATAACCTTTCAAAGAATGGTAGCTGCAATTTTCACAGTGTCTAAAGGCAGAGAGACTAGGAGACTATTATTCCAGGGAGAAATGCTGGGATTCTGAACTAAGGCATATTATTGGGAGTAGGCAACTTAATTGAGAAAATGCTAGGAGGTAAATTTTCCATAACTTGGTTACTGAGTGGTGGGGAGGGGAGGAATAAAGGATTTCATCTCGTCTCCTGGCTTCAATTGAGGTTATATTATTAATAGCTGTCATTAGGTTTAAAATTTTCTAAATGGTTTCATGTACATTTATGTGTTCTCATTTGTATGCATATATGTGATTGTACATTTTATGTAGATTCACACTCTTAGAACCAAGTAAGGAGGGCAGGTTTTCCTTATGGTTAGATTTAATGGCTTGGTTTACAGCATTCAGAGAAAAAATAGTAACGTTTGTAAGGCACACCAAGATGATGGTTGAAGGTGACTGGTCAGGGATGCCCTGTGTGGCTGCTCCAAGGACTGAAGGCATCGATAGTTCAGGCACGACTGTAACCCATTTGTTGCATAGGTTACAGCTGGTGGGAAGCCCTGGTCTTTGGTTCGGGGTTAGACGACTAGTGGTAAAATCTAGTCCTGTACTGGTACTTTGAGATTTTCATCAAAATATGAGGGAACACAGAAACTTGTATTAGATGACACATCAAAAGCTTCCACAGAGGGTGATATACTTGATAGATAATCATGAGGAACCCAAGTCTCCCTTCTACTTCCTACTTAGCTGGGCCTGCAGTTGCCAGCTACAGAATCCAGCCTAAAGGGAAGATAAATGATAGAGGAAGAAGGAACCACAGTATATATCTAATAAGGTGTGAGTATGCCTATATGTCAATTATTTTGGAATAATTTTGTGATTTGTGTATTATTCCTTCCCTTTTATTACTTTGGATGATAACATTGCTTGTAATTGTTTTATCACATGGTTGTTTTATCACATGGTTGGTTATATCACATGGCCTGGAGTAGTGACTTCTTGAAATGCCATATTTTCATTCCTGTTACAGAATAGTCATGCATATGTTTCAACATTTATAGAGTAGTTGCTTTATGAAGGTCCTGTCCTAGGCATTGGAGGTAAAGAGATGAATAAGTAGTCTTCAGCCTCAAAGAGTTCACAATCTAGGAAGTGAGAGACACAGTGCAGTTTGATTAGAGCCACTGTAGATACAGGTACAAATGTAGCACAAAGGAAAGACTGACTTACTCTATATGGGGGTGGGAGGGTGGGGGTGGTCAGAGGAAGCTTTCTGGAGAAGATTTTAAAATGTGGATGGTATTTTGAGAGTTTATATTCCAGGCAAAGGGAACAGCATATGACAAAGCAAGGGGCCATGAAAGTGCATATCGTATTTACATAACTAGGTGATTTAGTATTGGTAGAGGTGAGAATAAAATGAAAGGAGGGCAGTGGCAGGTCATGGAGGTCTTTGGCTTGTGGGTTATCAGTCCATTCGTTCATGCATTCATTCATGCTTATAAAATATAGCAGTGAACAAAAACTCTGCCCTATGGAACTTATATTCTAGCTGGAGTGGAGACAGTGAACAAACAACTAATATAGTATGTCAGGTAGTGATAAATATAAAGAAAAATGAAGCAGCTGAAGGGGCTTGGTGATAGAGAACCCTTGAAGGAATTAAGCTGGGAAGAGACATGATCAGATTGGGTTTGGGTTTGAGAGAAGTCACTCCAGCTACAGTGTTAAGAATGGATTGGAGAACGGTAAGGATGGACATAGATCAGTTAGAGGAGATCAGTTAGAGGAGGCTGTTGTAACACAATAGGCGAGAAATAATGAAGAATTAAACTAAGATGATGGCAATGAGAATAGGGAGGAAATGATGTGTGTGAGAGTTTTAGAAGTTCATTAGGTGACACCATTAAAGTTTAATCACACTTTAAAACTATGTAACTAAATTAATGCCACAGGAGTTTGGAGACTGAATGACAATAGAAAAGGGATGACACAGTCCAGAGGAATGTGGACATTTCAGAGGGCTGACCAAACAAAACCTGCTGTTTACTTATCACATGGTCTCCTATGAAGTTGGCACCAATTACTTCTTTTTCTTTTCTTTTTTTTTTTTTTGCTATGGAGTCTTGCTCTGTCTCCCAGGCTAGAGTGAAGTGGCGCGATCTCAGCTCACTGCAACTTCCTGCCTCCCGGGTTCAAGCGATTCTCCTGCCTCAGCCTCCGGAGTAGCTGGGATTACAGAGCCTGCCACTGTGCCCAGCTAAGTTTTGTATTTTTAGTAGAGATGGGGTTTCACCATCTTGGCCAGGCTGGTCTCGAACCCCTGACCTAGTGATCCACCCACCTCAGACTCTCAAAGTGCTAGGATTACAGGCATGAGCCACCACGTCTGGCCGGCTCCAATTACTTCTATCCCGGAACATATGTTCTCATTATTTGAAGTTGCTGAGCAGAGTATTGAAGTGACAGTTTACTCTTGGATCCTCCCTTTTTCCTTAAGTGCATGTTACCCATGTACAGTTTTTCTTTTGACTTTGCTTCTAAGTGCAATTTTAGATCCTTAAAAATCATAGTAAATGTCAATTACATATGTGACACTTTTACGTCTTGGTTTTGGATTTTTTTCAGTTTTTTTTTTTTTTAAGGCTCTTGTGGTCTTACGAAAAAGAGAAGAAAAAATACCATGTTAACTTTCATTCTTCCACACTGCTAACCTCTTTCCCAGTTATAACTTTGGCTCCAACCTCATTGTGGTTTGCATTAGTCAGAACTGCTCAATGGCAGTTTTTACGGAGGTTATAAATGTTCAGGTCAAAAGAATGATTAAGAACGCCACTAATTGTTTAGTCTACTTGCTTATAATGTCACTTACAAATGCCATTTTAATAAAAAGCAGTATATTAACGTCGGGCATGGTGACTCACACCCCATAATCCCAGCACTTTGGGAGGCCAAGGCAGGCAAATCACTTGAGCCCAGGAATTCAAGACCAGCCTGGGTAAGATGGTGAGACCCCATCTCTACAAAAATACAAAGAAAGTTAGCCTGGTGTGGTGGCACAGGCCTGTGGTTTCAGCTACTGGGGAGGCTGAGGCGGGAGGATTGCTTTGAGCCTGGGAGGCAGAGGTTGCAGTGAGCTGAGATTGCGTCATTGTACTCCAGGCTGGACGACAGGGCGAGACTGTGTCTCAAAAAACAAAACAAAACAAAAAAGTATTATTTAACATCTGCCGGAAGCTTTGGTAGATATTTTCCAGAAGGAATACAGCTGAGTTAACCTCTTGTAAATATTTCCCAAGAGGGTATCCTGAAGCCTGTAAGAGCTGATACAGAGCAAAGGTTATTTGCACAAGTGACCTGGCTTAAAACTTAACATCGTTTGGCAAAATTCGAGCTTATTTTGGTAGTTATGTTGAATGAAATATTTACCCTATTTTGAGTTCCTAGCTAGGAATTCTAGTGATAGTAGTAATAGGAGTTTTAATTGACTAAGTCCTAATATGACAGGAACCATGCTAAAGCTTATGTACATTATGTCATTTAAATCTCACACAACAGCTCTGAAAAATGAGTGATACTATATGTACATTACAGTTGAGGAACTAGAGGCTTAGAGAAGTTAATTTATCTAAGGCCTTGCATTTGTGAAATGAAAGAGATGGCATTTCAACTCTGTTCTTGCTCCAGAGTCCATATTCTTTCCTCTATGCTGGATTACCACATCTGATGTTCCCGGGGAGATATCTACTTACTATTCATCAAGTTGCTGTCTTTGTCATGCTAAGTTTCAAAGTTTTTGTGATTAAATAGATCATGATCAAATACTTTGTCATATAGTTAAGAAGGCATTAGTTTATGTTGTACTTAATAAATTATAAAACATCATTCTGTCAAAATGAAATTCATAATAAGAAAATGTAATGGGTGGTTTAAAAAGGTAGACCAGCCAGTTTACTTTTGTGAGTGCATTTTGCCATTTGACTTGTGGAAGAAGACAGTGTTTGGAATGAAAGGGAATTAGGAAGAATGTGGAAGACCCAAGATCAGAGAAGAAAGGAGGAAAAGAGAATAGGTCATGGAGGGTTTACTGCCTAGTTGCAAACTGTCTTTGGACTGTGAATGAACAGGAAACTGAAGATTTAATCGCTGTGGTTATTTGTTAATATGCTTCTCTAGATTGCATTTTAAGATGGACCAGACCTTCTCTACATAGACTTTTTTATGTTGGGAAGTTACTATAGAGCCATCTACCCTTGTGGTCATTTAATAAAAATACCTGAGAATGAATTAAGTGATCTGTTTTTAGGCTGCAGAGAAATGGATTGCTGTTGTAGTCAGATGAGATACTTTATGGAACACTTTAAAAGCAAGTGCTAAGCAAATATTACTCCGTTTGATTTTATTTCCTTATTATTGAGAAGATAACTTCTGCTGTTATTCCGATTAGTATGTTAATTTCAACCCTAAACCAAATCAAGGGATCATGACTAGAGTCTACCGTTGTAGCATAAAGTATTAATAGCTCTCTGCCTATTAGTGTTCTCTTTATTTGTTGGGTCTTGGGGGTGATATTTTGTCATATCCTTGTCCCAACATCTGGGCTCAGAATCAACTGAGAGATAAGACACAGGATACAGACAGAGAGGTAAAAACATTAGCTTTTTTACTGATAATGCTGGTTGGAGATCGTGGCTTAGATCTGTACTACCTAATATTTACCCTGAATTACACTCCATCACAGGCAGTGTACCACAGAAGGCCTCCTCTGCAGGTGTAGAGCCTAACACATGCTACCAAAACAGTAGAGAGAGAACTTACAGCATAATTAACTTTTGCAGAATGAACACATCTATTTTATCTGTATTTAGATTAAGAAACAGCATTACCAGTACTCTAGGAAGCCCTCTTTGTGCTCATCCCAGTGGCTCCTTCCACCAGGATAACCACTACCTTGACTTCTAACATATAGATTTGCCTGTTTGAACTTCATGTAAATGGAATCATACAGTGTGTACTTTTTTGTGTTTGGCTTCTTTCCTTCAGAGTATTATGTTTGTGATATTCCTCCATGTTGCATCTAGTCACATTTTGTTTATCCTCATCGATGAATAGTATTCCATTGGGTAGATATATACCACAATTTATCCATTCTGTTATTGATGAACATTTAGGTGGTGGTTACTTTTGGTCCGAATAATTACTTGTTTTAATATAAAGTGCATATCAAACTAGTGTTTTTATAGATATTACTGCATAGGAAGAGGTTAAAGTAATTAAAATAGTGTTTAAGAATTAATATATTTACTTTTCTTAAGTACATCAATTGTTTGAGGTAATAAACAGAATGCTCCCAGGTACTAAATCATTTTTATAAATAAATTAAATTGGATTTTTAAACAAAGTGACCTTGCAGTGTTCACATATTATTTACGAGCTTATAAGATTTCAGCTTAAAATCATAAGTCCAACTCTATTACTCAATTACACATTTTAAATTTGAGTTACAAGTCAGTCATTCTTAAAGACTAGATTCTCTTAAGTTTTGTAAATATATAAAATATCAATTTTTTGTATAGTTTTCTTAAAAACATTAACATCTGTCTTTGGTTCTCTTAAGCATTTGTATATTTAATTCTGGATCTTTCAGTAGTTGAAATACGCTTACTCATTGAAAAAAACTGCTACTATTCCAGTAACTGCAGTTACTTTTGATGAGAGAGTTTTGCCTCCTGGGTGAGATTCGGAGGGGTAGATATCGTCTTGTCATTCACTAAGAAAACTGTTATATGATTGCATATAACATTTGTTCTTGCCAGCATGTTTGAAATTACTAATCAGAGATTTGGCCAGGTTGCTGACCAGATTCTTGTTGTTGACCTCAGTGGGACTCTCCAAATTCTATTTATAGTTGCTGTGTCAGAGACCTCATCCTATAAGCAGGGGAATGCTCAGGTATCCCAGGACCTTAGAATCAAGTAATGTGAACTATTTAATTTGCTATAATCACAGAAGTTCGCATTTCCAACTCAGATTGATTACCTAGTTGGGTTTTACATTTTTTCTAAAGGTGCTTGAACTAACTGTATAGGAATCCAGCCTAAGGAATATTAAAATGACACCTACTTGAATTCTCTTATCACTTTAGTCACATATACTATGGAGTGGATATTTTGCTGTCAACTCAAATTTTGTAGGTCGACACTATCCAGTAGAGCTTTCTGTGATAGAAATATTCTGTAATCTGTGTTATCCAGTATCATAGCCACTATGGAGCTGACTTTTAAATTTTGTTTAATTTTAATTTAAATAGGCACATGTGGCTAGTGATATACCGTGCTGGCCAGTACAGGTGTAGGTGGAAACCTAACTCATTATCTTCTTTCTCATTCTCTAGAACTTATTTATCTGGGCTTTCTCATATCTCATAGTGTTAACACTAGTCCCACAGTCACATCCTTCAATCCCTATCTTGAACTTCTTTTCATTCTTTTAAGATCGAACTTTCTTTTGAATTTATTCAAATTAATAATTAATTCTGCAGTCACTCTGCTGCTCTCATACATGTTTGTGTCATCTGATCCTCACAACTGCCCATTTCACAGATTAGGAACTGAAATTCCTAGATACTTGCCAGAAAAATATATTAGTCAGTTTCTAGCTACTGAGTGGTAAAGCTTAAATTTGAATCTAGATTTTTTAATTTTAATTTTTTTTTTTTTTTGCGACAGAGTCTCGCTCTGTTGCCCAGGCTGGTGTGCAGTGGCACGATCTCGGCTCACTGCAGCCTCCACCTCCCAAGTTCAAGTGATTCTCCTGCTTCAGCCTCTCATGTAGCTGGGATTACAGGTGCACAGCACCACGCCTGGCTAATTTTTGTATTTTTAGTAGAGATGGGGTTTCACCCTGTTGGACCATGCTAGTCTCAAACTCCTGACCTCAGGTGATCTGTCCGCCTTGGCCTCCCAAAGTACTGGGATTACAGGTGTGAGCCACCGTGCCCGGCTGATTCCAGATTTTTAAAACATCTCAATTCTAGAGCTTTTTCCTTGATATTATATTGATATCACCCAGCCCTGTTCATTTTTTCCTTCACAATCTTTCACATTCATTTTGTGCATTAAACAAGTATTTATTGGTTACTTATGTTCTAAGCACTTGGGCTATGTCAGTGAACAAAATGGAGAAAGATTTTTATTTTCTTGGAACTTACATTCCAGTGGGTGAAATGGAAAATTAAACATAGTAAATAAGTAAATTATTAAGTATGTTAGAAGGTGATAAGTACTGTAGAAAAAAGAAAAAGTAGAGAGGGTAAGGAGGTAGGGTTCAAATTTTAAGAAGGATGTCAATGAAAACATGACATTTGAGCAGATATTTAAAGGAGATGAGTTTAGTCATATGGATATCCAGGCAAATGAGTGTTCTAGGCAGAGGAATAGTATGTGCAAATATCCTAAGAGGAAATGCACATGTGGCATATCAGGAAAGCCACAAGGAGACTGGTGCAGCTGGACTCAATTCATATCCCCTCACCTCTAACCGCTGTTTAAAATATGTAGCTTTTAAACTTCAGCTTCTGATTTACCTAGCTCTTCTACTGTTCTAGGCAGAGTCTCTTATTCATGCCACATTTTTCAGCTTTTACACCTTTTATTGTGCCATTGTCTGGAAGACCTTTGCTTGTTGATTGATCCCATGTTTCAGAGTCTCTTGTTTTGGGGATCTTTTCTTTTTACTTTTGAGAACTGGGGAAGCATTGATCTATCTCCTGTTACCTTTTCCCCACGATTTCTCAGGTTATGAAGAGTAACTTTAAAACATACGGTTAAGTGCTAAGTGTCATAGGATATAATATGTAGGTCTAGAGCCTTGAATTCATTTAAATCACCTAGGTACTCTTCAGCCACCTCACCCATTTGAAACTTCGTCTACTGGCTGGCCGCGGTGGCTCACGCCTGTAATCCCAGCACTTTGGGAGGCTGAGGCGGGTGGATTACCTGAGGTTAGGAGTTCAAGACCGGCCTGACTAACATGGTGAAACCCTGTATCTACTAAAAATACAAAAATTAGCCAGGCGTGGTGGTGCACGCCTGTAGTCCCAGCTACTCTGGAGGCTGAGGCAGGAGAGTCACTCGAACCTGGGAGGTGGAGGTTGCAGTGAGCCGAGATCATGCCACTGCACTCCAGCCTGGGTGACAGAGCAAGACTCTGTCTCAAAAAAGGAGAAAAAAGAAAAAAAGAAACTTCATCTACCCAGGTTTGCAATTACTTTGTGTCTTCCATATGCTAAGCACTGGGGAGGATTATTGACACATGGTTTTTGCCTACTGGGACATGTAGGTCTACTAAGGAAGACTGATGTGTCTTCTATTACTGCAAGATGTAAGGTATAGGAAAGGAATGGTGACTACTACAACAATGGAAGGGCAATTTTATATCAAAGAAACCTAGTCTAGAAGGATTGGAAGAGTATTGTTCTATGTCAAGATGTTATGCAAAAATTCTTAAATCTGAGGGTGAAAATATTGATGAGAGAGAGCATTTGGATGAGAACAGAATCAGAAGAATTAGGGTAGGAAAATCTGGGCAATGTAATAAAGTTTATAAAACTGGTGTGGCAGTTTGCTCTAGTAATGATGGTCTTTCAGCAATCTGGATAGTGTTTAGAAGTGTCATTCTGCTAGGAGCTGAATGTCTGGCAGTTACTTTACAATCATAAAGAAAAGGGAAAATAATTTTGGCATTCTAAAATGTTATGCATTTTGTTGCAGAAAAAAATAGAAAATAATAATCAAAATGAAGACTAACATTAAGAGATAACCGCTATAGCACATTGGCTTAGATCCTTTCAGACATAAGCATATGTGTGTGAGGTCACGCCATAATAATGTCTTGAAATTGCCATTTTTCACTCACTGTCTTGTGTATACCTTTCCTTATCAAGAAATAATAATGTGTAAAATCATTTTCAGTGACTCAGGAAGTATTGTATTATATGTAGGTACCATTTATCTGATGAGGACGGTGTTATATTTGTTTCCAGTGTTTCCCTATTATAGAGAATGCTGTGGTAAGCTTTTTACAATTAAATCCTTAATAATTTCCTTAAGGCACATTTTTAAAAAAGGGCCTTAATGAGTCAAAGAGCATTGGAATACATCATTCGCTGATCTCATTGGGCGTGGACAGAAATAAGGAACGATTGCTTGTTTGGACTTAATTCTGACAAGTAATAAAAAATTGAAAATCATCGGAATCTTTGGAGAACGACTACATCATATTTGAGCAAGTTTGTATCTTCTAATTTAGGGAAGCAGCTTTCCAGAAATTTAGATAAAAGGAAATTAGATGTTCTAGCCTGAGTCTTTAAAGGGGAAACCAAAACATGACCACAGGGAGCCTAAGGAATAGTGCTTAACCCTGCCTGGGTCTATGGGGGTAATGAGAAGGAGGGAGAGCTAAGACGACTGGCCTAGATGTATCAGTTTAAACCACTTATTGCTATCAGTAAATAATGTACATTCCGTGCTTATTCAGATGGCTCCTATTTACTGTTCAGGCAAATCTTGTTACATGGAGTGATGTAATTTAAGGATTATGGTGTCAGCAGTTTTCATTCCCTGCCGCCCCCCACCCCAACATTTTGCATGTATTTAAACATGTTGCAGAATTGAACTTCACAATACTCATTAGTGTACCATCCACCTAGATTCTACTGTTAACATGTTACTGTGCTTATCACATATCCATTAATCCATTCTTTTTTCCACCTAATATTAATCTATTTTGTTTTGATGCATTTTAAAGTAAATTGGTAGTTTCATTTTTGAAGTTAAATCTCCTTCAGAAAGGTTCTGCTTTTTTCTTTTATATCAGTTGGCTTTGATTTCCAGATAGTATTTGTTTTGCCTTCACAAATTATTTCTGGCTTTACAACTATTAGACTACTATTCTAATTTTGATTTTATTTCCAAGTTCATACCTGCCATCTGCCATTATTTTCAGAAAGTACATTCTAGTTTGCCATGCCTGCACTCAGATTTTATACAATTGGTAACTTAAAAAAATTATCATATTTTGGTATGTATACTAATGAGGGATATTTGTTATAAGTATTAATCTGAGCTAGGTTAAAGCAGAAAAGGGAAATTTATTCTAAGAGTACAGGGGTGCCAAAGAACCCAAGGGTAAGAATGGAGCTTGGCCTCAGGATGGAATTAGAGCCAAGAACCAGAAAGCCATCAGGTTTCTTACTAGTATCACTTCTTGCTACTATTTGCTGCAGGCTTCTCTAAGTGGATCAGCTTTTTCTGCTCTTCTGTCCAAATGGTAAAATATGGCTGCCCCACTCCTTCAGGAATTCAGCCAATAGCACAGAATAATTGAACCCCTTGTTTCCAGTCCTGGGTTACATGTTTACATTGCTGCAATCAGTTATTGCCTGGAAGGAAGTGGTGGTAGTCATAGGACATAGGTAGCTGCCCAGGCAGCTAAATGAGCTGAACCAACTCTGGTTATCATGCATTTAAAGATGATACAACCAGATTATCTGCTCATTGTTTTTGATGATTCCTTCTCTATAATCCTGCTCCATGAATTATTCTATTGATTTTCCTTGAGTCATCAATCTTTTTCTCTTTGTTGATTTTTCCTGCTGCTTAAAAGCATGCTCAGATAACGTTTTGAAATTTTCCACACGTATCACTCTTTTGAAAAGGCCTTAACAGCCATGAATAACCTAATTATAAAACTTTTAGCCTCTTAACCAATTCTGGTACCTGGTAGATGTTCTTATCTCTTCTTAGCTTCCATGTTATTGCACTATTCTGTTGTTTTTTTTTTTTTTTCCCACCTTCCTGTCTTTCTGACCATGGTTTTGCTGACTTCCTTCTCTTCCTAAGCTTAAAAATCCCTAAGATTAATTTTTAGTCATTTCTTCTGCATTTTCTTCCTTAATCATTTCATCTACTTGAACTGTAATAGCTTTTACCACTGTTGGGGGAACTTTAAGTTATTATCTCTAACTCTCAACTCTCATTTTTACATTTTTAATTATTGGGTATTTCTATCTGAGTATCTTGCTGGTTTCTCCAACTCAGCATTCATGTGTAAGGTCATTATTTTAGTCTCCAATCTCAGTCCTCCACTGTTTCTCTTCACTTCCGCCATTATTTAGATGCCCAAGTCCAACAACACCTGAGTCATGAGTTCTTGCTGAGCTCCATCCCCCATCCCTTATTTGGTTCATTGACAAATCAGATGGACTCCAAGTCAGATGGACTCTATTATCGACTCTCAAGACACTTTGCTTTTCTCTCATTGCCACCAGCCTAGATGAAATCTTAATTGTCTCACTTCTAGCCTGGTCTCCCTTTCTTTTGTTTCCCGCCTTTAAATGATTCTTCATTCTATTACCAGACCAATCTTTGTTCAGAGAAAGTGTCAGTACTTGCTGCCTGCTTGTGCTGTGCTACATTCTAACATTGCAAAAATGATTGACAGTCAGTGGAGATATATAGATATATAAAAGATATGATGTAGCTGTAGTCATTGTATGCAGAAGAAAGAGCCATAAATTCTTGAAGAAGATAGGAAAAGGCTTTATAGAAGTGACTTTTAGACTGGTTGCCTCCAGGGAGAGAAGGGCATTTTAGACAGGGGATATATACAGGAAGACATAAGAGGACATGGTGTGTATAAGGAATTGTCATAACTTAATGTGTCTGGGAACAGCTGTTAAAGAAGGTGAAAATGTAGAGTGGTGCTGTGTTTAAGAATTGGGATTTCATCCACATTGGAGAATCAACAAAGTTTTAAAGTACACACTGCTAGATTTTGACTTTTGGTAGAAGCAATGAACATGGAAAATACTGTTTTGATTCTATTGTTCTCTATTGATTATTGAAGTAATAACAATCTCTTATTTGGCATTCAAGGCTTTCAGCTGTTCTCTATGACTTCTTGAATGTGCTTTATGCTTCAGCCAATTTTATGCTGCTTATTAGATGGGAAAATCCTTGTGCTTTCTTCCTCTGTTTGACTATTGAAATTTTACCATCTTCCAAAGAAGGGAAAGTTTAAATGCCTCCACAATGAAGGGTTCTTTCAGCTAGAGATGAACACCACTGAGCTCTTGTAATAATTTGTACTCCTTGTGTGGCCATCATTGAGTATACTGAAATCTTTGCTTCCTAGTTAGGAGTGTTGGAGCCAGACAGTCATGGTTTAAATCCTAGCTGTATCATGTACTGTTCCTGTGACTGGGGACAAGTTACTGAATCTTTCTGGACCATTTTTTTCATGTTTTAAATAGGGGTAATGACACCTACATCACAGGATTAAAGTGAGAAGGAAATAAGGTAATGATTGTAAAGCCCTTAGCTTTATAGTGTTATGCAATACTGTCATTGTTGCAGTAAACTACATAGAAAGGAGTAATAAGAATAGAGTGCTAAAATAGTTTCTATATTAGACCATTTTTGCATTGCTATAAAGAAATACCCGAGACTGGATAATTTATAAAGAGGTTTAATTAATTCACGGTTCTGCAGGCTGTTCAGAAAACATAACTCTGGCATCAGCTTCTGGGAAGACCTCAGGAAGCTTACAATCATGGCAGAAGATGAAGTGGGAGCAGGCACTTCACATAGCAAAAGCAGGAGCAAGAGTTGAGGTTGGGTGTGGGAGGGGGAAGTGCCACACATTTCTAAATGACCAGATCTCATGAGAACCCACTGTTGTAAAGACAGCACCAAACCTTGAGGGATCTGCCCCCATGACCCAAACACTTCCCACCAGGCCCTACCTCCAGCCCCGGGGACTGCAATTTAACATGATATTTGGGCAGGGACAAATATTCAAACTATATTGGTTTCTGAAGATGGAAGCACAGCAAGAAGTAGGAGGTACTCAGTGGCAATAATGACATTTTAATAGAGAAAACAAATTTCCTTTTTTTTTTTTTTTTTAAAAAAAAGAGGTGGGGTTTTGCTTTGTTACCCAGGTTGGAGTGTAGTGGTGTGATCATAGCTCACTGTAACCTTGAACTCCTGGGCTCAAGAACCATTGTCCTGAGTAGCTGGGATTATAGGTATGTGCCACCATGCCTGGTTATTAAAAAATTTGGAGCAGAGTCTTGAGGTATTGCTCAGGCTGGTCTTGAACACCTGGCCTCAGGTGGTTCTCCCACCTCAGTCTCCTGAGTCGCTGGGATTATAGGCACAAGCCACTGTGCCTGGCGAGAAAACAAATTTCTAGTAAATGTCACCTTATGCATTAGGAAGGAAGGTAAGAACCCAAAAAGTGTAGAACATCAGCAGTTTCTCGTACTGTGTTTTAGGCTGATTGTCAGTATCACACACATGATGTTTGGTCATTCTTGTGCTATTTCTGGTTTGAAACTCTTCTCCATGACTCTTAGTAGTCATGGCTCACCATTGCTTGCTTCTATGTGTGATATGTGGCCTTGGTGGCCACACATTGGAATTTGAATAAATATATTCTTGTGCTAAAGGAAAGTTATTTGATAAATAATTGTTTTAATTTTTATACTTTTTAAGACTTTTATAAACATACATGAACTAGGCAAATTTCCATAGCGGATCAAACTTCCTAAAATTTGCATCAGAAAATATGATCTCTGTATAGCCCTCATTTCTCCTTCCAGATAGTCCTTTGTAAGATTTGGGTATAGATTTATGCCACCTCCTCTGTCATGTAATCATATTTCCATTTCCTGTTATCTCTTTCCCCTGTCTCCCACATGGTGAGTGCTGCCACTTTGCCCTCTTGCTGCCCATTGTTTTCTTGCGGAATTCTACTCAGGGCCATCCTCTCCTATAGTGAAGTGAATTTAAAGTTTTTCCTTTCCGTTTCTCTCTCTCAATTCCAGTCTCCTGATTTTGGTAAGGTTTGGGTGAGAGCAACTTAATTGTAAACAATTTACATTAAAGCTTTGTATTCCTTTGTGGCTATTCAACAGATGAGGCTTCTATTCTTAACTTTTTCTCATGTCTTAAGGTAATGCTTACCCACATGTGGTCTGTGGATGACCCTCATCAGAATTTTCTGAGGGTGCTAGAAATTGTAATCATGGGCTGGGTCTAGGGTGGCATCCAAGGACTCTGCTTTTAAAGTAAGTACCCAAGGTGATGTTTATACTCCCAGAAAGTTTGAGAACCTCTGTTGTTGTGATTGGGTCCTGCTTTTAATGCTTTCTTCTCTTCCCCCAAACTTTATGGGGTTCATTTTTTCCATGGGTTTGCCGGAAGCAAAGATAGCAATCCCAACTACCTGTCACTTAAAGTAGAAGGGGCTACTGCTGATTTTTTTTTTTAATCATTATTTTAAGTAAAACAAACCAAAAAAAACCCAACTACTGTTTTGTTTTGTTTTTTTTTCTCACAATTGCAAGATTTAAGAGTGAAAACAGAGCCCATACAATGGGAGGAGACCCAAAGGGGGTTGCCACTCCCGGCAAGAATGCTTGGGGTTTATATCCCAATCATTGTCCCTCCCCCTATGCTCTCAGGTGATATATGATTTGACTTTTTTTTTTTTTTTTACCTCCTGCTTTAGCCTAATTTGTATTTTAGTGAGCCCTCTTTACTATCTGATTGGTTGGGTGTGAGCTGAGTTACAAGCCCCGTGTTTAAAGGTGGGTGCGGTCACCTTCCCAGCTGGGTTTAGGAATTCTTAGTCGGCTTAGGAAATCCAGCTAGTCTTGTCTCTCAGTCTCGGCTCTCAACAGGAAAACTCAAGTGCTGTTGGGGAGGTTGGCCGACGACCGCTCTTAACTGCTTCCTGCTGAATTGGGGGCATAGTAGGGGTCATGCAGTTCAGATTTCCTTGGGAGGGGTGCCTTCGATCTCATCAACATTGGAGCATGGGCTAGTAGGCCGGTCTAGGGGTCCGCAGTAGTTCAAATGCATCAGGGGCTCCATTTGAAGAACCATTTATACTTCTACACCTTCTATTCTGGAAGAGACAAACTTAACAAGGAGGTTAAAGATACAGGGATTGAAACGTATGGCCTGCAGTGCAGGGGATTATTTCTTTGGCACACTTCACAGGCCCTGACTATCTGCTTGATAGTTTTTAAAAGGCCTGGTCCAGTAAATAATGATTTAGCCATCTGATGGGTGCTATCAATGCCTAAATGAAAGGTTTGGTGAAGGGTTTTAAGTAATTTCCATTGGTTAGCTGCAGGCAAAAGTATTTTTCCTTCTTCAGTGGCTAGCCATCCTGAGGGGAGGAAACTTGTCCTCATGAGGGTCCCCATTCTGTTTCTCCTGCCGAGTACTGCAGCTTGGTTTCCCGGAGGGGATTACCCCATACTAGGGGTCCTTCTGTAAGCATTTCTAATGGAGGGTCCTGCCTTGCGGCTCTTTTGGCTTCAATATCCGCTTGGCAGTTCACTTCTATTTCCCTTTCGTTTCCTTTCTGATGACCCTGGCAGCATAAGACTGCCACCTCTTGAGGTTTCTGTACAGCCAGTAGTAATCTCCTAAAGGCTTCCTGATGTTTGATAGGTGTTCCCTCGGAAGTTAGGAATTCCCTTTCTCTCCATATTGCTGCGTGGGCATGGAGGACTAGGTAAGCATGCCTAGAGTCTGTGTATATATTTACCCTTTTTCCTTCTCCTAATTCTAGTGTATAATGGCCCCTCCTTTTGCTAGAATGTCTCTCCCTAACAAAGGAGTGGGGCTTTCAAGCATAATTAGAAAGCCATGTGAAAAGAGTAAAGTTCCCCAGTCACAACTTAGTGGCTGGGAGAAGTATTTAGTGACTGCCTGTCTTAGGACCCCTCAGATAATGACAGATCTGGAGGACAGTTGTCCGGGACAGGGAGAGTAAGACTGAGAAGGCCACACCAGTGTCCAGGAGACAGTTAACCTCCTGGCCCTCAATGGTCAAGCATACCCGGGGCTCTGTGAGGGTGACGGCATGGGCTGGCGCTTACCCCAGGCACCCTCAGTCCTGCTGCTGGATCATCTGGTTAGTGGCTTCTGACTCAGAGATCCTTCATCCCCTGGGGCAGTGGGCCTTCCAGTGATTCCCTTGACATAAGGGGCATGGACGAGGGGGTAGCTTATTTCTATTCGGACAATCTTTTTTAAAGTGTCCTTGTAGGCCGCACTGGAAGCAAGCCCTATTAGGCATTCAACTTGCCCAGCCTTTCGGTGTTCCAGAGCCTCAAAGTCCGCTTACCTGAGGGCCATGACTAAAGCGGTGACCTTTTTCTTAACTTGTTTGTCCCTTTCTGCCTGCTCTTTCTGATCTCTATTATAAAAAAACTGAGGTTGCCAAGTTCAGTAGGGTTTCTAAGTTTTGCTGCAGGCCTAAGGCGGACTTTTGAATTTTTTCTAATGTCTGCAACTGACTGAATAATAAACTTACCCTTTAAGATTAGTTGGCCTTCAATAGAGTCAGTTGACAGAGAGCTATGCTTCCTCAGTGCCTCCCTTAGTCTCTCCAGAAACGTGGTAGGATTTTCTTTCTTTCCCTGTGTTATAGTGGACAACACTGAATAATTTATAGGCTTCTTCCTAGTTTTCCTTAGTCCTTCTAGCACGCAAGTTAGTAAATGTCTGCAGCACCAATCTCCATGTTCTGATTCTGCATCCCAGTGAGGGTCTACACTGGGAACTGCCTGCTGGCCTGTGGGGAATTGTTCTTTCCTCTGTTGTCATCCTATCATTGACCTGACTGAGATACCAGAGATCGCCAAACTCTCAGGTTGCAGTTATGGCAGCACTTTTCTCATTTGGGGTTAGTGTCTGATCTAGCAGTAACATTATATTTTTCCATGTCAGATCAAAGGATTGTCCTAACCCTTGTAAAACATCAATATAGCCATCAGGGTTATCTGATAATTTACCTAGGTCTATTTTAATTTGTCTCTCTCTCTCTGTCTGTCTTTCCTCTCCTTGACTTACTCAATTTGCTTTTATCCTGTTCTATTATGTTGTTGTAGACCCATAGTACTGGGTCATCAGTTCTAAGGCCCTGGCCAAGGAGCCAAGGCTTGGAGATTGTATTGCAGAGGGATAAGCTGGGTAGAAATCGGGGGAGGAGAGCATCTTACACAATGGGAGAGCAGTCCTCCTAGCCATTTACAAACTTGGGGCCCTGGCAAGTTGGTGGGGAACAGGTCCCACATAACGGTCGAGAGCTGTGTGGCTAAATTGGGAGGGACACGAGGGACAAGACTCACTGGGTTGATAGCCTAGATGCCTAAGGACACAGCATAGAGCTTCATTAGATCCCTTTGGAGATACAACTTGCTCCAATACGTGGGAAAGGAAATGAAAGTCTGAACCATTAGTATCTAGGAGGCAGGGATCAGAGGAAGTAGATTCAGAGGTAAGGAGAATTTTGGGGCTACACTTTCAAGAAAGTCATGGTCAGGACCCAGGAGGTATGGGTCAGAAGGAAAGGTGGGGTGCACGCATGGGTGACTGTTGAGTAGAGACTTCTGGCTGTACCATGATGTCAACCGGCTAATGCTGGGAGTTCGGGACGACAGCTTTCTGCCTCTAGTTGGCCCTTGGCTTCCCCAGGAAAATTGAAAGCGCAAGCTGGTTCCAGGCAGATCAATGCTCCCAACCCAGAAGGTTTGGGGGTTGTTAGAAAGCCTTTTCCCAGATAGCCTCACATCTGAGTCTTAAGTCTGGCAGCCACGCTAATCGTTTTTTTAACTGGCCGACAAGCACCCTGTATTTTCCTCTGATTCTAAGGAAGGATAGCAAGCGAAAGTAGTCCAATATTACTCACCGCTTTGGAGAGTCCCTTCGTGGTTGCCAAAATGTTACCAGGGTGTCCTTGCTCCTAGAGCTCCCAAGATGTTGGCGGCCACTTCCAAGATGGCAGCAAGCCTCTTGTTCTCTGACCTGGGGTTCTTGGCCTCACGGATTCCAAGGAATGGAATCTTGGGCCATGTGGTGAGTGTTATAGCTCTATTAGAAGCCATGGGTCATGGAACAGAACCGTGGAACCCAGCGACTAGTGTTCAGCTTGATTAGGATGAACTTGGGCACTTAGCTGTGCAGGAACAATGGCAAGCCTTTAGCCCGATCGGGAGTGGCAATGGGTGCCTCGCTGGATCAGGAGCACAGTGGACACCCTGCTGGATCTGGAGGGGTGGAAGTCAGCATCAGCGGCGGGTCTGCGATGGCGGCAAACAACAGTGGTGGATGGCAAGTGAAAGCACAGCTGGAGCCATAACAAACACAGACCAGAAGAGTATGCAGTTGCAAGATTTAATAGAGTGAAAACGGAGCTCCCATACAATGGGAGGGAACCCAAAGGGGGTTGCCCAACAATTACGGTTTACAACAAGAATACTGTGTACATTAAGCCGGTATGGATTTCAGTCTTGGTATTTTTAGGGTCATGCCAAGGGTATTGTTGGTCTGTCCCCAAAGGACAGCAGGGGAAGGGAACTTAGGCTTGGTTTCAATGCTAAAATGGCATATAGATTTTTGGAGACATTTGTATTTTCTTTGTCTGTGTTCAGTTTTGTAGTTTCTACAGAAATGCAAGGCTCTACCAGAAATGGCTTTGGTCACTTATGGATTGGTCAGTATAATAAGCTTGTGATACAATTCCTTTTTTAATTACTAACAAGCATGGAGTGAGCAATGAAAGTGAATTGGCATTTTCCCAGTTGGTGGTAGAGACAGTCTGGGGTTGGTTGCCAAAATTGCCATATTGGGTAGATTACAAGTGGACAATGAAGGGAAAAACCATGAAATTTAAAGTACAGTCCAGGGAACACAAGAGTCCAAGTGAAGGATATATCCTTTTCTCTTTGTCCTTTGCTATGACAACCTCCTGATGCAGATTTGGATTGTTTTCCTCATTACGTAGATCAACACCTGAGGGTAAAGGGTAGGATGGTTGTTTCTTTCCAGGCTTCCAGAATGGCAGGTACCAAGCTTGTGTGAGTGGATATGTGGGTACACACCTGCCCTTACCACAAAATATTTGTAACATACACTACTAAATGTATGAATGACTAATAGTGTGTATTTCCATTTTCAAATGCGTCATTCAAACAGTAACAAGTTTCTAATTGGTAGATTATGGTGTAGTGTGTGAGAGAAGTGTGGGAGTAAAGAATGGCACCCCAAGAACCTGAAGTGATTAGTGACTGCCCAGAGTATTCTGTCAATGTGAGGTAAAGCTGGTCTTGCCTTATTTGCCCTTCTTGCCCCCCGCCCCTTTCCTGTGCCTCTGTTTAGAATTTTTCCCCTTTATACCTGTATATTACTTTTTCTTTCACTCATTTATTCATGATAAATGTAGTAGGAATTGGACCTTTGGGACGCAGTTTTTGAGCCTTGAATTCAAGTTTTAAAAGGTTTCTTTCTTTTCTTTTTTTTGAGACAGGACCTCACTCTGTCACCCAGGCTGGAGTGCAGTGGCAATCATGGCTCACTGCAACCTTGAACTCTTGAGCTCAAGGGATCCTTCTGCCTTGGCCTTGTAGTAGCTGGGATTACAGGCTTGCACCACCACACCTGGCTTTTATTTTATTTTATTTTTGAGAATTAGGGGTCCCGCTGTATTGCTCAGGCTTATTTTGAACTTCAAGGCTCAAGTTATCCTCCCACCTTGGCCTCCCAAAGTGGTGGGATTACAGGTCATTGTGCTTGGCCTTAAAAAGTTTTTTAGAGTGCTAGTTTCTTGTGGACTATAAAAAGTTGACTGTAGGTAGTTAAATGTATATTTGGTTTACCATATAGTTGAAGCTGTTTAATTCATAATGGAATTCTATCATTCAAAAAAATTTGTAGCTATTGCTAAGAAGCCCAATAGATTTTATAATAAACCATCATGAAAGTTCTGTGTATATATGGAAGAAAGAATTATTTTCTCAGAACAGAGAGAAACTGCACTGAGATTCAAAGGCTGAGCAGCGTATTTGCCTCAGGTTCAGAGAGTTGTGGTAACATACATTTTTAATGTATGGTATTTGTGTGAGGCCTCTAATTTTCCTCCATCTCTGATTACTAATTTCATCTGCCTATCCCATGGGTGCCTATGAAGGTTCGTGTGTGTGTGTGTGTGTGTGTGTATAATGTATATAATATACATATATGATGAATGCATTATAAATAATATATCTGGATATATTATATATAATATTTTGTGTTTTGTGAAATATGCAGTGTTATTTAGTGTGTATATTTTTAATTCCCTTAAATGCTGTTTTACTATGGATTTTATTGTTTCTCCTTTGTGTTTACCACTGTTTTAAACATTTCATCGTGTTTCTATATGCATATCTATTCAACTTACTGCTTTTGATTGCTGCATTAATATTTCATGGAATGCATTTTCCACATTACTTACCTGCTTCTCTAGTGATGCCTCCAGCTACTCTTACAAACAATGCTCCAGGGAATATATCAAATGTGTTCCCTTATGGAATTGTATATGAATTTCCTATGCAATATATACCCAGGAGTTGTATAGTTGGGTCATAGAATTGGCATTACCTATGAAAGCTTACTACATGATTGCTCTGTGGAGTGGCTTACCAGTATGCATGTGGATTCCTTTTCTTCATGTTCTTGTTAACAACTTTCTGTGTTCTCAAATCTCATATTTAAGCCACTTTGCATTATCACACTGCTAAGAATTATCACATTGATTAATAACTTATTATATCACAGGGTCACATTTTTATTCTGGCAACTAGAGCTGAGAAACTTACAATGGGGATATTGAGGGAAGATTGAAATTCTTGTTGAAGTTTAAAGTGTTGCATGATAATGTTCAAGAAGGCTCACTGTCTAGAGGACACAGATTATACCTTGTTGACCCATCTAGAAACATGATCTTATCAGAGTCCTCAAGTTGATTACATTTAGATAGTCTGACTGCCCTCACCAGTTACCAAAGTTAATTAACAAGCCAATAAACTAATTCATGATGAAAAGTAAAACTGTAGATCCTTTTGGCCATTTCAGTTGTCCTTTTTTTTTTCTCTCTAGGAAATCACAATATTATCAGATGAAGGTAGCTTTGTGAGTTTTATATCAGGGCAAGAGGAAATATTGATCTGAAGAGTGAAGCATCTTTTATTAGAATTTTGATTATTGGAATTTTATCAGAAAAACTTTTATAAAAGTTATTAGATAGCTGAACTTTTACAGTTGTTAACCCAGAATGAAAGTAGCCAAAATCATTTTTTCCTTTTCCTTATTTTCTAGTGAAAAATATTATGACTATTATGATTAGAAATAGCAATGTAGAAACCATGCATATATATCAGGATGTTTGCAGTTTATTACTAGTAGAGGAATAGTAGTGTGACAACCAGTCTGTAAACAGAGACTTCAAAGTGAAAATTTCCCATTTTAAGAATAAAGAAACTCTTTATGGTTTTTATAATAGTAAGGCTAAATCTAAATATTTCACCTAAAGATTGTATAATAACAGCCCTGAAAAATGCAAAATGCTGAATATGTACATCATGTACATATCATGGGAGAATACTGCCACCTTGTGCATATAGGATGCTATTTTATGCCTCCATTTTCTTTTGTTACACCAGCTAATACTTGCTTTTTCAGTTTGGTACTGTGGTTAGATGTGTAAATGTGTAAAACATTTATTTTTTTATGCAGTAAAATCAAGCCAACTATTCTTTCGGCAGGAGGAGGGTTTTTTTTTGTTTTGTTTTGTTTTTTTGAGACGGAGTCTTGTTCTGTCACCCAGCCTGGAGTGCAGTGGTGTGATCTCGGCTCACTGCCACCTCCGCCTCCCAGGTTCAAGCGATTCTCCTGCCTCAGCCTCCTGAGCACCTGGGACTACAGGCATGCGCCACTACACCCAGCTAATTTTTTTTTTTAATTTGTAGTAGAGATGGGGTTTCACTATATTAGCCAGGATGGTCTTGATCTCCTGACCTTGTGATCTGCCCACCTTGGCCTCCCAAAGTGCTAGGATTACAGGTGTGAGCCACTGTGCCTGGCCCGGTCTTGTTTTTTGAAAGATGTTAAATTTGGTATAGTTAGCTCTAAGAATTGGAATGTCTGAGATCATACTGGTTAATTGACCTCTGGGGTTAGTTGAGAATTGGATTCTTTTATTTGAATCTTATGGAAAGTTGATGATTCTTTAATCATTCTTCATTTTAGTGCTTGCAGTACTTTGGGGTTATTCTGAATGGCAGAATTCATTACACTATCGGAAGTATAGGGAATTTGGCTTCTGACACAAACATATCCCTTGATTTTTAAATGTTTTCCTTCAGCTGAAGTGCAGAAGAATTACTACAACACAGGGTGAGCATCCTTAATTTGAAAATCTAAAATCCACAATGTTCCAACATTGGAAACTTTTTGAACACTGTCATGAGATAGTGATTCCTTTGCTTCCTGATAGTTCAGTGTATGCAAACTCTGTTTCATGCACAAAACCATTAAAAATATTGTATAAAATTACCTTCAGGCTATGTGATAAGATGTATATGAAACATAAATAAATTTTATGTTTAGACTTGGGTCCCATCCCCAAGAAATCTCATTGTGTATATGTAAATATTCCAGAATCTGAAAAATATCTGAAATCTGAAACACTTCTGGTCCCAAGCATTTTGGATAAAGGATACTCAATCTATAGTAACATGTAATAGTTTCTTGAAACAGTATTGATGTAAATCAAAAAATGAGTTCTTTCAAATATTCTGGTTATCTGACAGCCTGACTTAGATGGGTTTCAGATATTATTGCCTCTCTGAAGAGGAAGAATTATGAGACTGGAAGTCAGCCTTTGGATACTCACAACTAACTTAGCTGCGTGACCAGGGATGCTTCTCTGGGCAGTTTCTTTATCTGAAAAATGAGCAATTGAACTGGATGGGTTCTGAGGATCTTTTTAGTTTTCAAATTCTGTGACTATATAAAGTTTTACTCTAATTTTAAAATGTTATGCTGTAATACCGTTCAAAATACTTCTATGTATAAGAAGTTATTAAAAAATTTAATCATATAGTTATATTTAACTATCAGAGTATATACTAGTAATTTGGTGGGGATGGGGTTAGAATATGTGTACATAAAAGTTTAAAACTAGAAGCCTGGGAAATTTACCTGTTTTTTATTTAACACCTGGGGTACTTGAAGATATCAGAAGATTGGTTTGGGGGTAATCTAGATTTTAATTGTATATGATTTATGCATAATCCTGTTTTGGGTATAAATGCATTCCAAATGCCTACATTCAACTTCTGAGAAGACTCCAAAAGTTGATATAAATATGGTAAAGTCCATTTCATAAGCCCAATTTTATGACTGGGATGAAAAGAGAGAAAAAGGTACCTACAGTTGAAAATTTGGAAGTTCTTTAGAATATTACCCAACTTGAAAATTTAAGGCCAAAGACTCTTCAGGATGTAAATCCCTTCATTTTATAGTGTATAACAGCAGATCTTTCCTGCTATCTTGATTCATTTCCTCATGAAGTGCTAAGAATGAACCCATGTGACCAAGTTTAGCTTTTTACTTTGGGGCCATCTGGGGATAAGTTTTTAAATTCTAGGGATAATTTTAAGGAAAATGATTTTCGTTGTTAAGCTACATAAACATGCCAGATTCAACCTCTGTACTGAAATGATTTCCTTGTGCCTTGCCTTGAGATTTTTGCATTTATTTTGTGTAATACCAAATTACTATTTTGTAGAGAACAGAATTATAATAAATGTTGAAATTCACTAATAAAATGCAATCACATAAAATCTATGCATATTATAAGCCATTAAAGATGTTAATGTATTAAAATATACATTTATCCTTCTGATTATTGAAATATAAGAAAATACTAAGTAAATTATACTTCATAAAAGTGAAGATAATTTAATCATGAAAAAAAGCAAAGTGGAAAATATCCTAATCTGTTTTTAGAATGTGAAAATCTTATGGTTCAATCCCAAGTTTTGGCACCAAAAAAAAAAAAAGTAAAATCTTAAGAAAATGTGTGTGTCACTGGTAACATTAGTCGTGATGTTTCTCCATAGAGATTTTTCCAAAAGCTCCGTTCCAAAATCTCTCTCTGCAATGAGGTAGGAATGTTATGGGATTAGAAAAAATATTTGGTGTTAGTTTATAACTAATCTACAAATCCAGTCTCTGGATTGATACTCTTCAGATATTTTGAAGTTTTTGTAGAGGGACTGTAGCTTTTATTAATAGCAAATCATAGTTGTAAACAGAGCATTCCTAGTTTCTTTGTCTTAATTTTATGTATAGATGGAGATTTCAGCTCATAATTAATTACCTGTATCTGGCTTAGTTGTATTATGTTCATGTTCATTTGTTTGAAAAGCCTTTGAACTAGAACAAGAATTATGATTGTAATAAAAAAACTTGCTTGTCAGTTGTTATTTTCTTCTTTCTTGAGAATTACAGAGAATAAGAGAACACTTTCTAATGCGTGCATCTTTATTTTGAAATTTTAATGCAGCAAATAACTTTCAAGATAGAAAAGGGTTTTTGTTAAGTTATTTGCACCATAAACTGCATAGTTGAATTTGTAGTAAGAAGACTCACCACCAATTTATTTCAGTAGCCAAGATCAAACTAGGGTACTATGCCAAAACATGTAATAAAAAGTGATGCAATACTTCAGCATGATTGCTTTTTATGTTTTGTACAGGTCCAGACCTATCTATTCTTACATGATGTGCAAAATTGAATGATTCAACCATTGATTTTGATAAATAAGGATTTTTACAACTATGAAATATTGGTGTTTTGCAAATTAAAAATAGCATGTTATGAAATATTGGTATTTTGGAAATTAAAAATAGCATGTTATTTTGAAATATTGAAAGTGAGTATGGCCATTAACTGTTACAATATGTAGGTCAAGGTAGAGATTGGTAGCTATATGGAATTTGAAGAATTTAGAATGTAAACCCAGCACTGAGATTTTTAATCTACTTTATTGTGTCTACTACTAGTCAGTCTACTTGGTAAATTGGTCTTTTTTTAAAAATCGTAGCAGAAGGTTAATAATTATGATTTTTTTCTCATGTGTAAAACTTTGTTTCCTTAGTTTTAATTGCAAAGCTTTTTAGGTCATTCTACAGTGTAAACCCAATAACATGTACAAAATGAGACATTTATATTTTAAGCATATCTTCTTCCTTTTTGCAACTTTTTATTTCTTCCTTTGAATGCATTAAATTTATTGGTTGTAGCCCTCTGTGAAGCAGGTGCTGCTCATCAGAGTGATTCTATATTCAGAAATATTAGTATATGGACATTTTAATGTGTGCTAATTTTATTTAACCTTATACAATATTTGTGGGCATAAGGTATTTTAGATGATTGTGAGTTAATAATCAATGATATACTGTACAGTTTTAAGATGTTTAGCATTGGTCTCACTTATATATATTTTCTTCTCACTAGGCAAGAAGTTATGAAATGGAATGGATGGGGATATAATGATTCTAAATTCATCTTCAATAAGAAGGGCCAAATTGAATTGACTGGGAAAAGGTAACCCTGGTTTATTTCTTCTTTTGTTCCTCCTTTAATTCTTTCTTTCTATGAAAAATTTTAAACACACATGAAAATATAATGATTCCTCCTTGAGTTTAAACATTATCAACATTTTGCCATAACTGCTTTTTGTCTCCTGGTAATATTTCAAATTCTGATGTTGTCATGTCACCTCTAAATATATGTATTTGTGTGTGTGTATATATATATTATATGTCTTAAAAAATAAGGACCTAATATAACCAATTATATAATATTATATATCCAAAATAGCAAAAAATTTTTATTTAGTTATCCAGTTCATATTCACATTCTCCAGTTGTCTCACAAACATCTTTTATAGGTAGTTTATTTGTGTCAGGATCCAAATAATGTCTATAAGCCACCCACCACCCAATTCCCATGCCATTCAGTTTTTTGAAAGTAGCTTCATATTTAAATCTGGTAATTTACAAGGAGTGTGGGTTATTATGAAAGGTGAATGATTTTAGGTCTGTGTGAATATAAATAGTATTTTAAAAAATTAGCTTCTGAGATAAATTAGGAAAGAAGTGATAGGGAAAGATCAGTCATTTTTGTGATAGCTTTTCTATGTCTTAAATGTGGTTATTTGTTGATAAGAATTACAAAGCATATTGGTTCAATCATACCTCAGTAAAACTGGAAAAATATTAAAAAGAATTCTAAAGGATATTTGTGTTATTCCTGTTTGTTCTAGATATGGTCAGAATTGTAAAACGAGTTCTTTGTTGGTTTTAAGCAATACTGCCTTTGCCAAAGCTCTGTTTTTGGTTTGTCTGTTGAATTTTGATACATTTGAAAGGGCAGTGAGTACAAATATGTAATACTTAAATGCTGGAACCAAAAATAAAAAGAAACTGAGACTAAGTAAAAAATTGGATCAGATATATTATGAGTCTATTCCAGTATTGTACCCTGATTTAATATCTATTGGACATTACTATACTTAAGTTAATGTTTTTAAAACATGTGCTATATCAGTATATTAAAATATCAGCAAAGTAAGTTTCATTCCTTTGGAGAAGTTATTTATTTCCTTTTCATTGCAATGTATTAATAATTTTTCTATTTTTCTGACATTAATATTTTGTACCTAAAATAAAACCTCAGGAATAGTAATTTGAAAGTAATTTTAATGAAGTTCTGAAGATGTACATTTGACTTTTTTTTTAATTAGGAAAATAAATATTATCTGTGTTCTCATTCCCATCCTTAATTGTGACTGGGTAGCAAGCAATGGAGGCTTAGTTGAGAAATTGTGTAATTCAGGTAGAAGGGATTTCTGGTTAATATCAGATTTACCAGTGTTCTAAATGTGGAATCTTTTATGTTTTATTTAAATAGAATAATGCCTAATACAATAGAAACATCGATGTAGAGATCGGCTTTTCAAAATCTTCTGAAGGAGTAAAAATTAATCTTCTGAACTTAGAAAACCGAATTTCTCTCTTCTCGGACACTGTCCTCATTTCTCCTTCTCTTTTTCTCTGTGTTTGGACCTTGAAGGTATACAGTATTTCTGTTTTATGGAACAGGGTAGATAGTCACTTGTATTTCAGCAAAGTCTTCTGTACAGTACTGTAGGCCATGTAATGGTTTATATGAGAAGGTGTGTGTGTATGTGTGTGTGTGTGAAATGAATGACTAGTCATAAAACATCACAGGTAATTATACCTTAGTGGGTCCCATGTTTTCAGGATCTCGTTCTTATTTTGGGTGTTCTGGCACTTGATTTGTCAGTTTCCTGGAAGAGATGAGGCTGTAGGGGTCTGACACACATGCCACACTTCTAAGAAACTGATTTAAAAAATTAGAACCTCAGTGTATTCATTTATGGTTAGATTATTGCTTTTTCAGGGTATGGAATACTTGTTAGTGCCCTTTCTGATGTTAGGGTATCTAGAGAACAACATTTGCAACTTAGATATTCTTTGGAGAGCATACATTCAGAACAAAGGAGATTTGATGGTCTTGATAGAGATTTTTATACAGGCTGTAATAGAACCAGAGAATTTATCTGTTGGTTTTAATGGGTTACTACCACTCCTACCAGAATGCATTCCTTAAAGGCCTCATTTCTTTGCATTGTTGACTCCTAAGTCAGAGTCCAGTGGGGGAGAGGGAGAATAAGGGTTCATCTGACTGGAAGAGCCTGCAAGGGAGACCAGGAAAGTGAATATCTGGCAAATTTGCATTAGTGGAGGGTAGCTTTTGCCTTCCTTCAAGACTTACAAAAAGGATAATTCCCCAAACGTATAAATGGGATTTAGGTGCTCTGAGATTAAATATATACTAAACAAACAATAACTAAAATGAAATAACAAAACAAAATTCAATTCCCATTTTGGTGGGAAGCACCAGTACCTTGTCACAGGATAATAAACTGGGTTGAATTGAATCATAACTTTCTCTATATCTAGTCTGTTTTCCTAAGAATAATTGGTGAATGAGTAGGTTTCTCTGATTTTTATCAGAAAACATTTACAAACACTCTTAAGATAATAATATCTACTATTTATTGAGTATCTACTGAGTTACCTTACAATAACCCTATCAGATGGATAGAGTTACCTTCTTAAAAATAATGAGGATGAGGAAAGTTAAGTAGCTTACCTGAAGTCACCTGCATAGTGGTAAATTGGGATTAAAAACCAGGTGTTTTTTTAAACTTCATTCTTCTGCAGTTTCTATTATACTGTGCTTCTGAGTTATTTCTGTAGATAACTAAACTCATCCACTGTACTGATCTTGTTCTGTCTTCAAACCCTGGGAGCACTACACTCTGTATACCAGCACGGTAGAATTAGTCATATTATAAAAGGTTATCTTGTGTCAAAAATTCCTATTGTTACTGTGAAAGGCAAAGGGGAGAAGCGTAAGAAGATTGTGATATTCCTGAAAGAGAAAATGGAATTCATGACTACGAAGACTGAGTACAAGAAAACACTGTTTGGCTGAACAGTATTAATTCACTCTTATTTATTAATAATATTAGATGGTAAGGACAATTTTTGAAATTTTTTGTAGAGACTTTCTATTCTGGCAGTGAGGTAGACAGAAATAATTCAGGCCCCTCGCCTTCTATAACCATACAGAAAAGTTGGATAAAATATTAGAAGAAAGAAATATAACAGAGCTGGAAAGAAAGAAAGGGAAATCCCAGGTGCCAGAAACTAATGTGATTATCAGTGAAAATTGATGAGGTGTGGGGTTTTCCTATTTCTGATCCAAAGAACATTGAAAAGGTAGATTTTTATACGGAAATGTAGTTGATTGTCTATATTTTGCAGGAGGGCGACTTTGACATTTCAAGCCCAGGCATTACATTGTAAGCAATTATTAGAAGCTATTATAGAATAACAGCTTTTCCCCTATGTTAGGAGAAGAGTCTGAAATTTTTTTCTGAGCAGTCTATCTTCTGAACAGATTTATAATTTATCAGTTTATAAATCTCTAGATTTATCACTTACCACTCTTATTCCTTCTAAGTATGAGTGAATTTAGTCCTCCTGGGTTTAAGCAGCATAAGGCAATACTCTGGAGCCAATTCTAGAGATTTTTTTTTTCCTTCAGCTTTTAAGTTCTGGGGTACATGTGCAGGATGTGCAGGTTTGTTACATAGCTAAACGTGTGACATGGTGGTTTGCTGCACAGATCAACCCATCCCCTTGGTTATTAGGTTATTAAGCCCACTATCCATTAGCTGTTTTTCCTGATGCTCTCCCTCCTTCTACTGCTCCCCTTGATGGGCCCCAGTGTATGTTGTTCCCCTCCTTGTGTTCATGTGTTCTCATTGTTCAGCTCCCACTTATAAGTGAGAACATGCGGTGTTTGGTTTTCTGTTCCTGTGTTAGTTTGCTGAGGATAATGGCTTCCAGCTCTATCCATGTCCCTGCAAAGGACATGATTGTGTTCCTTTCTATGGCTGCATAGTATTCCATGGTGTATATGTACCATATTTTCTTTATCCAGTCAATCATTGATGGACATTTGGGTTGATTCCATGTGTTTGCTATTGTGAATTGTGCTGCAATGAACATATGCATGCATATATCTTTATAATAGAATGATTTTTTTTTTTGCCTGTACAACTATTTAATGTCTGTATGCCTCTGAATAGTAATTAGGAGAAAACATATGGAAATGAAAATTATTTCAAATTTTAAAATCTTGAAACAGAAAGCAATATTTATAATGTATCTATTCCTTTGTGTATTTACCCAGTAAGGGGACTGCTGGGTCAAATGGTATTTCTGCCTCTAGATCTTTGAGGAATCACCACACTGTCTTCCACAATGGTTGAACTAATTTACAGTCCACCAGTGTAAAAGCATTCCTTTATCTCTGCAACCTCACTGGCATCTGTTGTTTCTGGACTTTTTAATAATCGCCATTCTGACGTGAGGTGGTATCTCATTGTGGTTTTGATGTGCGTTTCTCTAATGATGAGTGATGCTGAGCTTTTTTTCATGTTTGTTGGCTGCATGAATGTCTTCTTTTGAGAAGTGTCTGTTCATGTCCTTTGCCCACTTTTTAATGGGGTTGGTTTTTTCTTGTAAATTTGTTTAAGTTCCTTGTAGACTCTGGATATTAGACCTTTGTCAGATGCTCCGATTGCAAAAATTTTCTCCCGTTCTGTAGGTTGTCTGTTCACTCTGATGATAGTTTCTTTTGCTGTGCAGAAGCTCTTTAGTTTAATTAGATCTCATTTGTCAATTTTGGCTTTTGCTGCAATTGCTTTTGGCGTTTTTGTCGTGAAATCTTTGCCCATGCCTATGTTCTGAATGGTATTGCCTAGATTTTTTTCTGGGGTTTTTATAGTTTTGGGTTTTACATTTAAGTCTTTAATCCATCTTGAGTTAATTTTTGTGTAAGATGTAAGGAAGGGATATAGTTTCAATTTTCTGCATATGCCTACCCAGTTCTCCCAGCACCATTTATTAAATAGGGAATCCTGGCCGGGCGCAGTGGCTCACACCCGTAATCCCAGCACTTTGGGAGGCTGAGGCGGGTGGATCACCTGAGGTCAGGAGTTTGAGACCAGCCTGACCAACATGGAGAAACCCTGTCTCTACTAAAAATACAAAAATTAGCAGGGCATGGTGGCGCATGCCTATAATCCCAGCTACTCATGAGGCTGAGGCAGGAGACTCGCTTGAACCCGGGAGGTGGAGGTTGCGGTGAGCCAAGATCACGCCATTGCACTCCAGCCTGGGCAACAAGAGTGAAACTCTGCCTAGAAAAAAAAAAAAAAAAAAAAAAGGAAATCCTTTCCCCATTGCTTGTTTTTGTCAGGTTTGTTGAAGATCAGATGGTTGTAGGTGTGCAGTCTTATTTCTGGGATCTCTATTCTTTTCCATTGGTCTATGTGTCTGTTTTTGTGCCAGTACCATGATGTTTTGGTTACTGTAGGCTTGTAGTATAGTTGGAACTTGGGTAGTGTGATGCCTCCAGCTTTGTTCTTTTTGTGTAGGATTGTCTTGGCTATACAGGCTCTTTTTTGATTCCATATGAATTTTAAAATAGTTTTTTCTAGTTCTGTGAAGAATGTCAATGATAGTTTAATGGGAATAGCATTGAATCTATAAATTACTTTGGGTAGTATGGCCATTTTCACAATATTGATTCTTCCTATCCATGAGCATAGAATGTTTTTCCATTTCTTTGTGTCTTCTCTGAGTTCCGTGAGCAGTGATTTGTAGTTGTCCTTGAAGAGGTCCTTCATTTCCCTTGTTAGATGTATTCATAGGTGTTTTATTCTCTTTGTAGCAATTGTGAATGGGAGTTCATTCATGATTTGGCTCTCTTCTTGCCTGTTGTTGGTGTATAGGAATACTAGTGATTTTTGCACATTGATTTTGTATCCTGAGACTTTGCTGAAGTTGCTTATCAGCTTCAGAAGCTTTTGGGCTGAGATGGTGGGGTTTTCTAGATACAGGATCATGTCATCTGCAAACAGAAACAGTTTGACTTCCTCTCTTCCTATTTGAATTTTCTTTATTTCTTTCTCTTGCCTGGTTGCCCTGGCCAGAACTTCCAATACTATGTTGAAAGTAGTGGTGAGAGAAAGCATCCTTGTCTTATGCCGGTTTTCGAGGAGAATGCTTCCAGCTTTTGCTCATTCTGGTATAATATTGACTATGAGTTTGTTATATATGGCTCTTATTATTTTGAAGTATGGTCCTTCAATCCTTACTTTATTGAATTTTTAACATGAAGAGATGCTGAATTTTATCTAAGGCCTTTTCTGTGTCCATTGAGATAATCATGTGGTTTTTGTCTTTAGTTCTGTTTATGTGATAAATTACATTTATTGATTTGCATATGTTGAACCAACCTTGATTGTGGTGGATAAGCTTTTTGATGTATTGCTGGGTTCAGTTTGCCAGTATTTTATTTAGGATTTTTGCATTGATGTTCATCAGGGATATTGGCTTGAAGTTTTCTTTTTTTGTTGTTGTGTCTCTGCCAGGTTTTGGTATCAAAATGATGCTGATCTCATAAAAGGAGTTAGGTAGCAGTCCCTCCTTTTCAATTTAGTTTCAGTAGAAATGGTACCAGCTCTTCTTTGTACCTCTAGTAGAATTCAGCTGTAAATCTGTCTGGTCCTGGGCTCTTTTTGGTTGGCAGGCTATTACTGTCTCATTTTCAGAACTCATTACTGGTCTATTCAGGGATTCAGGTTCTTCCTGGTTCAATCTTGGGAGGGTGTATATGTCCAGGAACTTATCCACTTTTTTCTAGATTTTCTAGTTCATGTGCATAGAGATGTTGATAGTATTCTTTGATGATTGTTTGTATTTCTGTAGTGTCAGTGGTGGTATCCCCCTTATCATTTTTGATGGTGTCTGATTCTTCTCTCTTTTCTTCTTTATTAGTCTAGCTAGCAGTCTGCCTATTTATTTTTTCAAAAAACCAGCTCCTGGATTCATTGGCTTTTTGAAGGGTTTTTCACATCTCTATCTTCTTTAGTTCTGCTCTGATCTTGGTTATTTCTTGTGTTCTGCTACCTTTGGAGTTTGTTCTTGGTTCTCTAGTTCTTTTAGTTGTCATGTTAGGTTGTTAATTTGAGATCTTTCTAGGTTTTTGATGTGGGCATTTTAGTGCTAGAAATTTTCCTCTTAACACTGCTTTAGCTGCACCCCAGAGATTCTGGTACTTTGTTTCTTTGTTTTCATTAGTTTCAAATAACTTCTTGATTTCTGCCTTAATTTCACCCAGGAGTCATTCAGGTTGTTCAGTTTCCATGTAGTTGTATGGTTTTGGGTGATTTTTTTAGTCTTGATTCTAACCTGATTGTGTTGTGGTCTGAGAGACTGTTATGATTTCAGTTATTTTGCATTTGCTGGGGGGTGTTTTAATTCCGATTACGTGATCAATTTTAGAGTAAGTGTTGTGGCGATGAGAAAAATATATATTTTGTTGTTTTTGGGTGGAGGGTTCTGTAGATGTCTATCAAGTCTGCTTGATCCAAAGCTGAGTTCAGGTTTTGAATATCTTTTAATTTTCTGTCTCAGTGATCTGTCTAATATTGTCAGTGGGATGTTAAAGCCTCTCACTATTATTGTGTGTGAGTGTAAGTCTCTTTGTAGGTCTCTAATAATTTGCTTTATGGATCTGGGTGCTCCTCTATTGGGTACATATATATTTAGGATATTTAGCTCTTCTTGTTGAATTGAACCCTTTACCATTATGTAATGCTCTTCTTTGTCTTTTTTGGTCTTTGTTGGTTTAAAGTCTGTTTTGTCAGAAACTAGGATTGCGACACCTGCTTTTTTCTGTTTTGCATTTGCTTGGTAAATTTTCCTCCATCCCTTTCTTTTGAGTTCATGTGTGTCTTTGCATTTTACATGGGTCTCTTGACAGCATGCTAATGGGTCTTGACTCTTCACCCACCTTGCAATTCTGTGTCTTTTAATTCGGGCATTTAGCCCATTTACATTTAAGGTTTTTATTATGTGTGAATTTGATCCTGTCATCATGATGCTAGGTAGTTATTTTGCATACTTGTTTATGTGGTTGCTTCATAGTGTCACTGGTCTGTGTACTTCAGTGTGTTTTTATAGTGGCTGGTAACCATTTTTCTTTTTCATATTTAGTGCTTTCTTCAGGAGCTCTTGCAAGGCAGGCCTGGTGGTGATGAATTCCCTCAGCATTTGCTTGTCTGGAAAGGATCTTCTTCTTCGCTTATGAAGCTTAGTTTGGCTGGATATGAAATTCTAGGTTGAAAATTCTTTTCTTTAAGAATGTTGAATATTGGCCCCCAATCTCTTCTGGCCTGTAGGGTTTTTGCTGAGAGGTCTGCTGTTAGTCTGATGGGTTTCCCTTTGTAGGTGACCTGGCCTTTCTCTCTGGCTACCCATAACATTTTTTCTCTCTTTTCAACCTTTGAGAATCTGATGATTATGTGTCTTGGGGTTGATCTCATGGAGTATCTTACTGGGGTTCTCTGGACTTCCTGCATTTGAATGTTGGCCTGTCTTGCTAGGTTGGGGAAGTTCTCCTGGATTATATTCTGAAGTATGTTTTCCAACTTGGTTCCATTCTCTCCATCTCTTTCGGGTACCCCAATCAGTCATAGGTTCAGTCTTTTTTACATAGTCCCACATTTCTCAGAGGTTTTGTTCATTTCTTTTCATTCTTTTTTCTCTATTCTTGTCTGCCTTGAAGACTATAGTCTTCAAGCTTTGAGATTCTTTCCTCCACTTGGTCTATTCTGCTATTGATACTTGTGATTGCATTGTGAATTTCTTGTGTTGTGTTTTTCAGCTGCATCAGATTAGTTATGCTCCTCTCTAAACTGGCTCTTCTGGTTTTCAGCTCCTGTATTGTTTTATCATGATTCTTAGCTTTTTTGCATTGGGTTAGAGCATGTTCCTTTAGCTCAGCGAAGTTCGTTATTACCCACCATCTGAAGCCTACTTCTGTGATTTCAACCATCTCAGCCTTAGCCCAGTTCTCTGCCCTTGCTGGAGAGGTATTGTGGTCATTTGGAGGAGAAGAGGCCCTCTGGCTTTTTGAGTTTTCAGTATTTTTGCATTGATTCTTTCTCATCTTTGTGGGATTATCTAGCTTCAATTTTTTGAGGTTGCTGACCTTTGAGTGGGATTTTTGTGTGGTCTTTTTTTTGATGCTGTTGTTGTTGCTTTCTGTTTGTTTGTTTTTCTTTTAACAGGCCACTTTTTCGTAGGGCTGCTGTGGTTTGTTTGGGGATTGCTCGTGACCCTATTTGCCTCATTTTTCCCAGACCTGGAGGTATCACCAGTGGAGGCTGTGAAACAGCAAAGATGGCAGCCTGCTTTTTCCTCTGGGAGCTCCGTCCCAGGGTGGGTAGTGACCTGTTGCTGGCCTGGATGCTCCCATAGGGTGTCTGGAGACCCCTGTTGGGAGCTCTGACACAGTCAGGAGGAACAGGATGGCTGGGTTTTGGTGGAGCAGCTGTGCCATGTTGGGGATAACCCTTTCATGTCCAGACTGCCTGGACTCTTCAGAGCCAGCAGGCTGGAAAGGCTGAGTCAACTGAACTGCAGAGACATCGGCTGTGTCTCCCCCAAGGGGCTCTGTCCCAGGGAGAGATCAGAGTTCTGTCTGTGTCACCCTGTCTGGAGTTGCTGAAATTCCCACAGGGAGTCCCCACCCAATGAGGAGCAATGGATTGGGGTCCCACTTAAAAAAAAGCAGTCTGGCCACAATCTGGCATAGCAGCTGTGTTGCATTGTGTGGGATTCCTTCTCATTCAGACCACCTGGACTGCCTGGAGCTGGCAGGCTAGAACAGCTGAGTCAACCTAACCACAGAAATGGTGGTTGCTCCTCCTTCAGGGAACTCATCCATCTCAGGCAGTCTCCAGATTGTTGCACTGGCTGGCTGGAATTCCAAGCCAGTGGGTCTTAACTTGTGAGGTGCTGTGGAAGTGTGGCCTGCAGAACAATGTTGCTTGGATCCCTGGATTCAGTCCCCCTCCTAGGGGAGTGAGCAGATGGATCTTCCACCTTGCTGGGATTCCTAGGGTGGAGTCTGTAAAACTCCTGGGTTACTGTGCGAGCCTGAGTGACTGTTCTTTTGAGACACGGCTCTGTGTATTGAACCCAAGGCCCTGGTGGTGTGGGGTCATGAGGGGATCTCCTGATCCACAGGTTACAAATATGGAGTGGGAGAAGTGTGGTTTCCCTGGTGGGGTTGCACAATCTCTCACTGCTCTGCTTGGCTGGGGGTGGGGGTTCTTTTGGCTCCATGCTTCTCCCACTTGGATCATCACCCCACCCTCCTTTTCTTTGTTCTCCATGGGTCCAGCTGTCTGCCTAGTCAGTCCTGATGTGAGAACGTGGATATTTTAGTTGAAGGTGCTGAATTCAGTTGCTATTTTCATTCTTCTCCATGACAGCTGCGGATCACAGCTGCTTCTAATCAGCCATCTCAGTCCCTATAGATTTCTATAAACTAAAATTTTTGAAAAATGTCACTATTTTTGACTTTATGGGTATTATACATTAGTTTGGTACTTAGAAATCACAAGTTAGTATATAAATGAAAAATTTGAGTTTGTTAGACTTTGTCTTTTTGATGGCATAATTTTTAATTGAAGCTTTATCTGATTATAAAAAGGCTGTTAAATTGCTTAGCAATTGTGGAACTCACCCTGAGGCTAGATGATTGTATATACTTATCAGGGGAACCCACCCCCAGTATTTCAACATAGGTTCTATTTTCCCTAAGTGTCGGCTGGTCTGAGAAATAAACAGAAAGAGTACAAAGAGAGGAATTTTACAGCTGGGCCGCCGGGGGTGATACCACATTATCGGTAGGTCCATAATGCCCCCTGAGCTACAAAACCAGCAAGTTTTTATTAGGGATTTCAAAAGGGGAGGGGGTGTACAAACAGGGAGTAGGTCACAAAGATCACATGCTTCAAAGGGCAATAAAGATCACAAGGCAAAGGGCAAAGTAAAGATCACAAGGCAAAGGGCAAAATTAGAATGACTGATGAGGGTCTGTGTTCGGCTGTGCACGTATTGTCTTGATAAACATCTTAAACAACAGAAAACAGGGTTCGAGAGCAGAGAACCGGTCTGACCTCAAATTTACCAGAGCGGGATCTTTTCCCCACCCTAATAAGCCAGAGGGTAATGCAGGAGAACAGGGCGTAATTTCAGTCCTTATCTCAACTGCATGAGACAGACACTTCCAGAGCAGCTGTTTATAGACGTCCCCCCAGGAATGCATTCCCTCCCCAGGGTATTAATTATTAATATTCCTTGCTGGGAAAATAATTCAGCGATATCTCTCCTGCTTTCACGTCCTTTTATAGGCTCTCTGCAAGAAGAAAAATATGGCTCTATTGTGCCTGACCCCGCAGGCAGTCAGACCTTTGGTTGTGTTCCCTTGTTCCTTAAAATTGCTGTTATTCTGTTCGTTTTCAAGGTGCTCTGATTTCATATTGTTCAAACACACATGTTTTACAGTCAATTTGTACAATAGTGGTCCTGAGGTGACCTACATTCTCAGCTTATGAAGATAACAGGATTAAGAGATTAAAGGCAGGCATAAGAAATTATAAGAGTATTAATTTTGGGAACTGATAAATGACCATGAAATCTTCACAATTTGTGTTCCTCTGCCATGGCTCCAGCCGGTCCCTCTGTTCGGGGTCCCTGACTTCCCACAACATATACTAATATTTTTGCTGCTTCTTATGTGCTGCCCCAGAGTGAGAGTCACTTTGCTTTTAGTCATTGTCAGTCCTGATGTGCACTTCCCTCTTGGATAATTTTTGTCCACAGAATTTTTTCTTTCCATGTAGAATGATTTCATTGGCCTTGAAAACTTGTTCTGGTTCTGTATCTTCTATAATATAGTCTATTTCAGCCCTATGGGAAAGTGATAAATTGATCTCACCTTATATTTTACAACAAAAGCCATTTAATATTCTCAAACTAATCTTCAGTCATGGAAAAGAAGAAGATCCATTCAGTAGTCACTGTGATTCAACAATTGGTATAAGTGCTTAACTTTCCCTTTATCACATCTCTGGTTAAAGTTTCATGTTCTCTGCCCATGTGTTCATCTCACAAATTAAATGTTGCTGTAGCTTTGACTAAGCTAGGTTGCAAGTTTCTTAAAAACAGGAGTCATAATACCAATTCCATGTATTCTGCAATGCTAAGTACAGTCTTCTGAGTGTTAAATAAATATTGTGCATTCAGATATAGAGATATAAAGACTTTATTTTAGTGATAGAAGGTAGTTTTAAATTTTATACATGATAGTAACACTAACTCTGTATCTGTAGTTTCAAGTATCTTGAAGGTGGTCACCTTTTTATTTTATGGGAATACCTGAGACTGGGTAATTAATAAAGAATAGAGGTTTATTTGGCTCATGGTTCTGTAGGCTGTGCAAGAAACATGGCATCAGGGTCTGCTTCTGGTGAGGACCTCAAGCTGCTTCCAGTCCTGCAGAAGGGGAAGGGGAGCTGGTATGTGCTGAGATCACATGGTGAAACTGAAAGCAAGAGAGAGATGGTAGGGAGGTGCCAGGCTCTTTTTAAACAACCAGCTCTTGAGGGAACTAACAACTCACTCACACTTCTCTCCCTTCCCCCAGGGCATTAATCTATTCATAAAGATATACGTCCATGACCCAACCACCTCCCACTAGGGGATCAAATTTCAACATGAGGTCTGGAGGGTTTGGTGTCCAAACTACAGGACTCCTTTAAGAGAGTGAAAGGATAAATCACAGAGTAAGAGAAAATGTCTAATATGTGTATCTTTCATTTTATAAATATATAAAGATTTCTTACATGTAATTGAGAAAACAATAACCCAGGAGGAAAATGAGCAAAAGACTTGAACTGGCTTTCAAAATGGAGGATATCCAAATGGACAATAGTTATAGGAATAGATGCTCAATTTCATAAGTACTCAGTAAAATTCAAATTAAAATTGTAATGAGATGCCAATGGAATGTCTCAGATTCAATTATAGAATTTCTGTTGTGTTCTTTTTTATAGTTTTTTATTTCTCTGCTAAGATTTTTTTTCTAATATTCACCAGGAGTACATTTTCCATTTTGTCCATTGGCGTAGCAACAATAGCTGCTTTAAAACCCTTGTGTGCTACTTCCAGTATCTTGGGTCATTTTGGGGTCAGTCATCATTAATTGTCCTTTTTCTTGAATATGAGTCATACTTTCCAGTTTGTTCTTGTCTAGTAATATTGGAGTGTGTTTTGGACATTGTACATGATATGATGTAGGAGCTGTGGATTCTGTTATATTCCTCTGAAGAGACCTTTAAAAGACTTTTTTTTTCTTAAATCAAGCAATTAACTTGACTGATCTGAAACTCTAAATTCTGTCTCCCTGTGGTGAGCAGCTGAATTGCCTGTCCAGTTTTTTTTTAAGCTTAACTGGGCTGCCTAGAAGATTCCAGTATGTATTCTATACATGCTATTCAGAGTCAGCCAGACATTTGGAGAGAGCTGATAGATTGGTTCCTCTCTTACTTGCTTCTTTCTGTGATTTCTCGGTATGCTTTCCAGATGCAGCATTCACCCCAAACACTGTGCTCTGGTTCTTTAAGCCAGGAAGACTGTAAATTTTCAGCATTTTTATTACCTTTTGAGGCACCAGCTGGGGCCTGCCATAAGGCTAAAACTTATGGAAAAAACAAAACCAAACTGGAAACTTATGAACTTATGTAGTATTTTTTCCTTTTTTCAAGTGTAGCACACCCTTCTCCCCTATTTTTGACTGCTTTTGGTCTGTCTATACTGCCTTTAGATAGCTGGGTTTTGTTTGTTTTGTTTTCGTTCAGAGTTTATAGTTACATGTGAAAGTGTTGGTTTGATAGTAGCTGCTTGACCATCACTGGAAGCAGAATTTAAGCTTTAAATTTAAATGAAGATACTTTGCTCTAATATTTTTACTTTCTTTGTACCTTAGGTACCCTCTTAGTGGCATGGGTTTACCAACATTTAAAGAATGGATCCAAAATACCCTTGGAGTAAATGTGGAGCATAAAACTACCTCTAAAGTAAGCAAACAAAAATTATTACTAACTCATTTAACTGTGTTTTTAAAACCCAAATTAATTTGATTTATCTTTGTAATTCATTATATTGGATTTACTGCAACTGTCATGTTTTTTGTTATAAAGCCTATTAATTATATTGGCCTTGTTAGACTGTTAGCGGCAGTTATTCATTGTCACAGATATAGACCTTAGTCTCAGAATTTATTTGAGATTTATCTGGCAAACTTTTTATCCTCTCTGAGCCTTGGTTATTTTTAGAATTGGGAGTAATAACTATTTGTTCTGCCTATCACAGGGTAGTAGTGAAGTGCAGATTATTTACTTCCTTAAAGAGTGCTTTGTTACAGAAATATAAGTTGCTATCATGTTTAGATTATTTAATAGACTGACTGTAATCTAGGATTAATAGAGAATAATTTAAAATAAAAATGTAAAATCACATTTAGTATTAGGATATTTAGAATATTTGAAGAATTATAAAAAGTAAAAATTTGATTAAGATATGAGTGATTGAGGATTTTAGTTTGTTCATGTAGTTTCACTTTTCTGAAAGTGGGATTAGGAAACTTTAAACTGTAGGTATATATATATATATATATATATATATGTATGAAACTAATGAAATATTTAGCGTTTCTTTTTATTATTTTTGTTGTGTTTTTATTATTGTTGCATTTCTTTTTATTATTTTTGATGTGTTTTTATTATTATTTTGCTGTAGCATAGTATTCTGTATGTCTCTCTAACTGGATATAAGTTCCATAAGTACAGGGCTATGTCTTATACAATATTCTCCACTGTATCCAACTTGTTGTTAAGTGGTATAGGTATTTGGTGAGTACTTGTTGGGTTTATTTAAAAATCCACAGTTATTTTACTCTAGTTATTAAGTTAGGCTGAACAACTAATTCTACCCCTTCCAAGCCATCTTTTAACTTTTCCTAGACGTCTCTTATCTCTTAAATTCTCTCTCTCTTTTGATCTCTTGACTATTTGCAATTACTTGTTTTTGACATTGATACAATCCACATACTATAGTTAGAAATTTCACCAGGTTTTGAGCCCTTTTCAATTCTTAATGACTTAAAATATTAATATATTTTGTTGGAGTTCTTTTAGTATTTCCTTCTCCTATGGGATAAATTGCACAGGGTCAAAATTTTTTTTTCTGTTTAACTCACTGTTGTATCAAGACCTTGAAGAGTGGCTAGCTTATAGCAGCCACTCAGTAAGTATTTATTATGCAGTATCTTAATAAGAGATTAAGATAATATGCAAGTATCATATTTGTTCTTTGCATATTCTTATATACTTTCTTTTTTCCAAATACTGTATGATAGCTTCCCTCAATCCCCCGTAGCAGATTTTACTTGGCCAGCCGTTTATAGACTTCTTCCTATATTCTAGCCATGCTATTAGGTGCTTTTCACAAAAATTATCACATTTAACCTGCCTTCCTTATAGTAGCACTATGGTGACAATGTCATTTAACAGATGAAGAAGCCAAGGCTCACAGAAGTTGGGTGACATGCCCAATGTCTCATAGTTTTAACTTTGAAGTTGAAGATTAGATTTCAAGTTACCTGTTAGGTGAAATTGAATATCAAGTTTATAATTATGTTGTGAGTTTTAAAGCAGCTCTATAAAAATGGATTTATTACTTATTTTGAGGCTTTCTGTTGATCACTTTAAAATGGCAATTGAAGAATAAGAAATGCTGAATTTTTTTTTTTTTTTTTTTGCGACAGAGTCTCGCTCTGTCTCCCAGAGCTCTGTCGCTCTGGAGTGCCGTGGTACAATCTCGGCTCACTGCAAGCTCTGCCTCCCGGGTTCATGCCATTCTCCTGCCTCAGCCTCCCAAGTAGCTGGGACTACAGGCGCCCGCCACCACGCCCGGCTAATTTTTGTATTTTTAGTAGAGGCGAGGTTTCACCATGTTAGCCAGGATGGTCTCAATCTCCTGACCTCGTGATCTGCCCTTCTTGGCCTCCGAAAGTGCTGGGATTACAGGCGTGAGCCACTGCACCCGGCCAGAAATGCTAAATTTTATCGACAGGTATAAGTGTAGATAGTGCGAAAGTCAAGTAGCTTTCTCCCAGTCTCCTTAATCTGAAATGGAAGATTTAATACTTTGCTGTCTTCCCTGTTGATTACAATCTTTAGAAATTTGTAATTTGTTACTCTCATAAAGCTGATTTCTATATATGTTGTGTTGTATTTTCCTATGCTTCAGCCTTACTTTGAATGTTTAAAAAAAAGTCTACATTTTATAGTCATTCTCTCTAACTGAAGTACCCAAAATTCGTTGTCTAAAAATAAGTCAAAGAAATCAATTTTATTTTCTAGGCATCCTTAAATCCTAGTGATACACCTCCTTCTGTTGTAAATGAAGATTTTCTTCATGACCTTAAAGAAACTAATATTTCATATTCACAAGAGGCAGATGATCGAGTATTTAGAGCTCATGGTAAGTTACTTTATATTAGCCCTATTTATTTTTAACAAAAAAATTCTATATTTTAAGCTGTTTTTGTGTTTTTCTTTTTTTTAACCACAAAACAGGTCATTGTCTTCATGAGATATTTTTGCTCAGGGAAGGAATGTTTGAGCGAATTCCTGATATAGTTTTATGGCCAAGTAAGTTTTCCCCTCCTCGTATCATTAATTTAGTATTGCTAAATTTTAGGTAAATTTAACATTGGAAATACGTACTTTTTGGCATATGAGTTGTAAAAAATATAAATTGCTGTATTTTTAAGAGAGTTTACATAACAGTCTTGAAGCTCTTTCTTGACTTGGTTGTTCTGAACTATTGGTTTTAACAATTCATTTTGTTGCTGATAATTAAATCATCATTTTAAATGTAAATAATCATATTTGAGATGTCAGTGGAAAAACATATTTTTGGATAATTTGGAAGCTTCATGAAATTAGTGTCAGTAATACATTCAGATATATAGAATTATTAATATAATTGAGTACTGCAAACTAATATTAGTAATAATTTGTTGATATCAGCTTGTGAGCTTTAAAAAGCCTGGTCAAACAAGTTTTATGTATTATGTTTATGCATGCTATGTTTAAAATGAATAATTAAATTTTGAGTAATTATTAGGATTTGGCTGGGACAGGGGATGGATGAGCTTTCTGTTGTAATTTTGCTCTTAGTGAGTAGTAGGTACTATATTTATAAATCTGAAGTTTTTACCTATCTCTTTTAGCAGGTAATTTAAAGCAAGATGGGTATATTGTTCCTTGCTGTCCATTATTGCATTTTTTAAAGAGTTCTATTGATCTTCTGATTCATTTTCTCTTCAGATCTTCCTTTTCAGAGTGTATATTTTATTTTTTAATAAATTGGCTCATTCACGGACTCTCAGTTCTTAAATGAGATCCTTCTACTTTGGAGGGACTGAGAGAAAAATTATACTTTAATGTGGGGGCAAGAGGCAGGTGAGATACACAGAAGGAAAATCCAAGAGCATATGTAGCAGAGATGAAGTTACTTTCCTGATACTTGTATATTAGTCTATGCATTTGGAATATTTATGAAATGTCTTTCATCTCTATTAGTTTAGTATAGAAATTTTAACTGTTCCTGAGGAAAAGATATTCTCCAATAGAAGAAATATTTTTGTTTTGCTTCCTTGCTTTTTAGTAGCTTTAGGTTACTTCTCTACCAAGATTTGGAGAAGGTTTATTCCATTTATTACTGGAAAACATGAAAGCAAAATTTATCAATTTTCACTTCCCACAAGAAACCTAATAGGCCATCCTTTGATGTATCTTAATAAGAACTTCCAAGTGTACCTTCTAGGCATTTTCTTCATGTCTTTCAATATTAAAATACTTAGAGAGTTGGGCTTGGCAGTGCATGCCTGTAGTCCCCGTTACTCAGAATGATGACGCAGGAGGATTACTTGCCTGAAGTTCGAGTCTAGCCTGGACTAGTGAGTCCCTCATGTCTTAAAAAACAAAAACAAAAACAAAAACAGAATAATATAGTGGAAGTATATTTTGCTTTAAGAAATCCAAATATTCTCAAAAACTCAGATGTAGTAAACAATATTTCACAAAAGTTTCTTTGCTTTGTAAAATCCCTCCCATTTTATTGGTTCCCTTGCACCTTTGCTCTTCCACTTTTTTTCATCCCAGTTTCCAAATCAGTTCCTTCTCAGTGTATATCCAGGTTTTTGTGAAGCCATAAGGGTTTTCATGCCGCATGTTTCTTGCCCCTTAAGCCTCCCATACACCGTTGGGAGATTAATTCAATAATCCTTTTGCCAACTTCTTCCATACTTCAAGAATCTGTATGAATGGTGTATTCCTGGCTGAATCAAGTTTATAATTTTATTCTGTTCAATATCCTAGTATAATGACTTCTTTGGAAATAGTTTCCCGACAAGTTATTAAGTCACTGAGGTCTTTATTTAATTTTAATGTGAATTTCCTACTGGCGATGAAGTCCAAGTTTTTCTTTGCAGGAGGCCTAGTTTTGAGACAATGAAGAAATTTGAGGCAATGTGGTATTCCATAGAGTGGATGTGGCTGTCTCATTCTTGCAATACACACACACACACACACACAACTGGAAATCTGTTGTAGTTGTCTTTAAGTCTGGCTTTGATCTGAATCGGAATTCTATGTGTTGCTTAATAGGATGCTTAGGGCTTAAGAGTAAGGACAATTACTTCACTTATTAAATTTAGTATTTATGCATTATTTTCAGTGGCTTAAACACCAGAACTTTAGAACTGTGAAAATACAGGCTAGGTAGTTGAGGATAAGCAGTGAATAAAACAAAAATCCGTGCTCTCAAGTGCCATACAATTTACCGAGGGGAAACAGATAATCCACAAGTAAATATGTAACATATTGGGTAGTGTTAAGTGCTGTAAAGAAAAGAAAAGCATGTAAGAGGGTAGTGCGAACAAGGATGTGTAGTGGAATGGGGGTGCAGTTTCAGATAACATGGTTAAGGAAGGCTTTTGATTAGGTGACATTCCTAGAAGATAATTTTGCCTTGTTGAAGATTTTTTAATAGACATCTTTGGGTGTTTTGTGAATTATTAATTAATGAGTATTCTATTTAGTAAATTTACCACAGATAGCAAGCTTTATAAGTTTAATCCAAAAGCTTGAAAATAGATATTTATTAAAAATCGGAATGAAACAAATGACATGTTTTCTTAGCTTTACACAAACCTTAGAAAAGATAATTGCAACTTTTATGGAACTATTTTTGCTTTCATAAATGGATATTCATTTGCTTTCCTCAGCATTCTTATTTCCTACTAAGTCCTTAGGCTCTTAGCAACTAATACTGGAGTTTTGCATAGTTTTCTTGCCTCAAGTCTCGCTCCTCCATGCCATCTCTTATTATATCAGGAGATTGACTTTTCTAAAACAATCTCTTTGCCATCTTGTTCCCCTCCTTAAGAACCTCCACTAATGTCCTATTGCCAGTCAAGTTGAGTCTTAGCACCTCTTGCTTGGCATTTAAAATCTTCCAGTCAGGTTTTTGTTACTTGTATAACTTTTACAAGCATAAAGAGAACCCTTTAGTTCTGTACAAAGGAAAGGAATTATGTGCAGTGTATTTTGTGCAATATTGTAAACATTTGTTTAAACAATAAATCATCAATGGTGCTAAAATTAGTAGGTGAAAGTATGATGAGAATCATGATATTTTACATAGTCTAAGATATGTAAATACTGTGTCACTAGGTTTTCCCACTATAAGGATACTGTGTTTCTTGTTGAAATTAATAGGTATTTAAATAATAGGTATTTGAACAATTAATACCTATTAATTTTGACAAGAAACAGAGTATCCTTATAGTGGGGAAACCTAGTAACACGGCCTAACCAAATGCTGTATTAATAAGTTAACATTACTGGAAATGAGACATGTTCATATCATGTGCCTCTAGATGTAATGCACTGACAAAGATGCAACATCACTTCTGTGGAATTACTCCCAAAATATATAACCTGAACTTAATCATGAGGAAACATCTACAAACCCAAATTGAGGGGCATTCTATGAAATAACTGACCATTGTTCTTCAAAACTGTCATGGTCATGAAAGTTAAAGATACTCTAAGGAAATGCCTATTTTTAAAGAAGACACAAGGCAACTAAATGCAGGGTGTGATCCTGGAGTTGATTCTGGTCCAGAAAAGAGGACATTAGTAGGACAATTGGAAGTATTTGAATAAGGTCTGTAGATTAGTTTATTGTATTGTATCAGTGTTGATTGCTTGGTTTTGAAATTGGACTGTAGCTACATAAGATGTTAGTATTTGGGGATGTGAGATGAAGGAAAATTTTCGTACTATCTTTGTAACTTTTTTGTAAGTCAAATTATTTCAAAATGAAAAGTTAAAAAGGTAAAGTGTTTTAGTACTCAATTAACTCATTGTGTTAATGAGCAAATGAATGAAGGAAAAGTTTAGATAAAGAATTTCGTAGGTTCTTATTTGCCAAGGTTATCAGATTTTATTTATGCCTCTGTAATTAATTTATTTTCCCTTTTTTCAACAGCATGCCATGATGATGTAGTTAAGATTGTGAATCTAGCTTGCAAATATAATCTTTGTATCATACCAATTGGTGGTAGGTATTGTGCCTTTTGAATTTTAATATGTAAATTTGTTCTATTTAAAATATTTGTATTTTAAATATTTGCGTCACCCTACTGAAAACAAACATTATTGTAATTGTGATGTGGTTATTCTCAAAAATTGGTCAATGATGCTCATTTTTGTTCTAAGTAGGATTCCTTAAACTGTTTGAGACATGGTATACCTTAGTTCATGGCTTTTTCCTCTATGGGCCCTAGTTGAAGCTGTAATTTAATGCCTGAATAACAAAATGTTTCTGCTTTAGTAATTACTTTTTAACCTGTATATTTATGGAGAGAATTTTCTTTTTCAAAAGCTAAATATAAATATGTCCTATATAAACCTTTGAGATTAGCATAGGAATGGTAATAAGACTCCCAACAATTCTAGAAGCTCCATATTCCCTCTTCAGCTGATGCTTTCTGTTGAATTTATGCAAAAAAGGCACTAAAATGCCATTTATTATGAAATATTTTTCTAATTCCAAATGACTGTGACAAGCAAATAGTGGTTACTGATCACAGGCATCACGTTCTTAACCAACAGTTCATGAACTCACTTTGTAAAATTACGCTGAACCTTACAGATTAACACCCCCTGTACTTCTTGTGGAAGGTGACTTTCACATGTTTTCTTTCATGCAGAACTTATGGAAGTATCAGTCAAGAATTTATTCGATATATGGTGATTTAGATCTGGTTAAGAACAGAGAACATTGTTTTGTTCTTTAATGGTATCAAGAAGGCATTTTTCCTTTGACAGTAAATGTTAAGACAACAGTGTGTTTAAATACTTCTATGTATTATTCTATATTAAAATCACTTTTTCACCAAAGAACATATAAATGTTTTTAAATACCTCATAATCTAGACATTTTAAGCTTGTTTCTATTCTAATTTATTAAAGCTTTTTTGTATAAGAATATAAGATTATTTTAAATGATAAATGAATCTCATAATTGTGGTAAAAAGGAAGTAATGATGTCTCTAGTTGTATAGGATGGGTCTTTTTTTCTTTTAAGCTACCTCTCCATGGTAATTATCTGCTTAGAACTTTTCTAATCATGTTTTTGGAGTTCCACAAATTGCTAGGGGCTTCACTTGAGTGTGGCATTTCCAGGGGATGGAACCATAGCCCATTGCTTTCAGTTCCGTAATATTGCTTCATTTTGGCACTCAGCATAAAATAAAGGTGAGTTTGCTTTTAGTGTGTTAGCATTTGCAAGTTGTATTTTGCAAAGTATTAATAGGTATCACTTTTCTAGTGGCCCTATCTGTATACTTGATATGAGGGATTTGCCATAGAAATATAGCTAAAAACAGAATATTTAAACATAAAAGTTGTTGTTTCCTATTTTGGCAGGAGGAACAAGTGTTTCATATGGCCTGATGTGTCCTGCAGATGAGACAAGAACAATTATTTCTTTGGACACTTCACAAATGGTATTTAATAATTTGAGATATATTTAAAACATTTTCTTTATTGGCTCCACCTTAATTGTCATTAAAAAAGAATCTAGCCACTGGGCGCTGTGGCTCACGCTTGTAATCCCAGCACCTGGGGAGGCTGAGGTGGGTGGATCACTTGAGGTCGGGAGTTCGAGACCAGCCAGGCCAACATAGCAAAACCTCATCTCTACTAAAAATACAAAAATTAACCGAGTGTGGTGGTGTGTGCCTGTAATCCCAGCTACTTGGGAGGCTGAGACATAAGACTCGCTTGAACCCAGGAGGTGGAGGTTGCAGTGAGCCAAGATCACACCACTGCACTCCAGCCTGGGTGACAAAAAAAAAAAAAAAAAAAAGAATCTAATATCCATTTTGTTTTAAATGTATTTCATCATTACATTTTACCCTTGTATTCAGTTCTCCAAAAGGTAGGTTTACTTTTACCCTCAGGTATATATGTTGATGGCTATTTTACCAAATTTGAATTTTTTTTTCAAATACCTAAGTAGAGAGAATAGTTTACCCATTTTTTAGATGAAGTCGTTATTAACATTTTGTCATACTTTCTTTATCTTTCTTTTTTTTCTAGTAGTTTTAGAGCAAATTCTGATACAATGCTACTTTACATGTAAATATTTCTGTATAATCTCGTTTAAAAAGGACATTTTCTCACATAACTATTATTATCACTCCTGGCAAAATCAAAAGTAATTCTTTATGTTATTTAGTAGTTAGTCTACATTAAATTTTTGATAAAAAGTGTCTGTTTTATAGTTCATTTGTTCAAATGGGGATCCAGACAAGGCTCACATTTGCTTTCCATTGTAGCTCTTAAGTCTCACTTTATGTAAAAGCTTCATCTTACTCCCTGTTTTTTTCTTTTGAATGTTATAGACTTTTGAAGAAACAAGGTTATTTGTAGTATAGAATGTCATATTTTGAATTTATCTGTTGCTGCTTCTTGTCATTTAACTCTTTATCTAAGCCCTGTATGTCCACTAAATTAGAAGTTCCATATAAAGTCTAGTTAGATTCAGGCATTGCCTTTTTTTGGTTTTGTTTTTACAGCAAGAATCCCTCATAGATGGTAATGTGCTTTTAAAAAAATGTCACATAACATCAATAGAGGTGTGTAGTAGCTGATTGTCTCACTTTTAGTGATGCTAAAATTGATCAAGTTCAGATGGTGAACACTTTATTTTATTGTAAGGTTCCCCATTAACCTATCTCCTTATCCCAGATTTTAAGAAAAGGCAATTTATTTCCTCAGAAGATAGCTGAAGAATAGCCTGTTCTGGAATGTTAACATGGGTTTGGTAGTATATATGGGATGTAATAGGGTAGCCTATATGTTTTCTTTAGGTTTTTCTGTGAGTGCCTATGAAGTTTTTTCTGCTTCTTTTAATTTCCTTTTTCTACCAAAAGATATGTTTGAACTCTTGGTAGCTACAAGGTATATATTTAGAATGAGTATGTAATTGCCTCAAGGGCCAGTCTGTTGGGGGAGAAGATATATATATAAGGTACCATCAGATCAATAAATTCTTTGTCTTTTCATTCTGCAATTTAATAATACTGTCTTTTGTTTAGCTGCCAAAGGACCAAAAGCCTGATTATACCATAGTTGTATTGAAGTTACTGTTGTCAGCCAGGCGTGGTGGCTCACGCCTGTAATCCCAGCACTTTGGGAGGCTGAGGTGGGCAGATCATCTGAGGCCAGGAGTTCTAGACCAGCCTGGCCAATGTGGTGAAACCCTGTCCCTACTAAAAATACAAAAATTAGCCATGTGTGGTGGCGTGTGCCTGTAAACCCAGCTACTCAGGAGGCTGAGGCAGGAGAATTGCTTGAACCCAGGAGGCAGAGGTTGCAGTGAGCCAAGATCATGCCACTGCACTCCAGCCTGGGTGACAGAGCAAGACTCTGTCTCAAAAAAAAAAAAAAAAAAAAGAAAGAAAGAAATTACTACTGTCTTATAGTGAGAGTATAATTATGAGTTTTATGTAACATAAAACTAAAAGTGCATTCACATACATCATCTTATTTAATGTTTTTCACAACGCTGTGAATTAAGCAGTGCAGTTATTTGTATGTGTTCAGATTTGGAATGTAGGCAGCAACTGCTATTTTTGTATTGTATTTTGTATTGTCTGTTGTGCTCTTTCCTTTTTATTATTAAGTAGATTTATCTATGTTAGTTATTGCCGTGAAATTGAGCATATGAAAGTAGAAAGAAAGCTTCCCTGGGATCCAGAAGAAGGTTCTATATGTTACCCAATTGCTCAGCCAGATAGAAAGGGGAAAGAAGTCTGCTCTTAATAGTAGAAAGTAATTCATGAAAATTCATATATGTATATAAAAGTTAGGTCAAATAAGAATGCCAAATAACATTTTTTATTGGCAGTCATACGTTTGGTAAGTTGAGCCAGATGAAATTTAGTTCCTTCTTTTGAGCCCGAGGCAGGGATTTGCTTTGTTTTGTACATGGGGTCTCTGGCCCTGTTTTGAATTAAAAATAAAGTAGGGATGCCATCTGCTATATTCAAATGTCCTTGCAGATTGTTTTTTCTAATCTTATGGTCATATTCTGATATTCTTAAATTAGATAGTGATTGCTATGTTAACACAGTGCAGATAGTATTTGCACAATGCCAGGACCTGTATATGCTGTTTTTTTACATGGAGTACCTCATTTAATTATTGTAGCCAACACTTTATGTATTATTACTATTTTACATTTTACAAATGAGGAAACAATAAGCTTAGACAGTTAAATAATTTGCCTAAGGTAAGAGAAGGAATTTAAATTAACCTCTGAATAAAGACAGAGTCTATGTTTTAAGCCAACCCCTGCATAATATGCTGCCTTTGTTACTATGTTGTCATGTTGTATAGTCTGGGATAAGTGGACTTGGTTTCCAGTGTGGGTGGTTGAGGGGAACCCTTCTTGCTTAATCACTGTCTTACCACTTGTTGCTTTGAATTAGGAAGTTATATTTCCTGAGAAAATATTAGTAGTTCCTGGAGATCAGATTTCTTTCTTCCTTTGCAACAGAATCGAATTCTCTGGGTTGATGAGAACAATTTGACAGCTCATGTAGAGGCTGGCATAACAGGACAAGAGTTGGAAAGACAGGTATGTTATTTATTTTTCTTATTTTTTTAAATTAACTTATTCTAATATCAATTCTGATGTTATTTCTTTAATGAAAGTTTTCAAAACTGTATCCCCTCTATGAATGAAATACCTTTTATGATACATTCATTCACTCAAAGAATTTGTTTAGTTTCTATTATGGGTCAAGCATTGAGCTAGATTCTGAGGACATGATAGTGAATAAGGCATTGTCTGCTACCTTCAGGTAGCTTAGATTAGGACAGAAAGTTCGATAAATAATTAATTATTTGGAGTGAAAATTGCTATGTGGATGCTAAATGCAGGGTATTATGGATCATCAAATGGGGCTAGGTGGGAACGAGTTGGGCAAAGAAGGTATCACATAGAACCTGGCATTTTTTTTGTTGTTGTTAGTACTGAGTCAGTGGCAAAGGACACAGCATTTAAAATGAGACTTCAGGATGAGTCTGAGTTAGCAAAAAAGGAAAGAACAATCCAGAGGAAGGAGCATACATGCAGGGCTTCTCAGGGTGACTGTTACTTTTTTTTTTTTTATTTTTTTTGAGACGGAGTCTCACTCTGTCGCCCAGGCTGGAGTGCAGTGACGTGATCTCGGTTCACTGCAAGCTCCGCCTCCTGGGTTCATGCCATTCTCCTGCCTCAGCCTCCCCAGTAGCTGGGACTACAGGCACCCACTACCGCGCCTGGCTAATTTTTTGTATTTTTAGTAGGACGGCGTTTCACCGTGGTCTCGGATCTCCTGACCTCGTGATCCGCCCGCCTCGGCCTCCTGAAGTGTTGGGATTACAGGCGTGAGCCACCACGCCTGGCCGACTGTTGCTTTTGAGGGTCTGCAGATAGCTGAATATGGCTGAAGGCTAGTGTGTGTATGGGAGAACATGTCTTCTTGGTATTTGTATATTGGGTGGGTGTGGGTACAGTAGTGGTAAAGGATCAAGCCAGGAAAACATGAAGAGTTCAGATCATAAAGGGCCTTATAAAGCCCCTTTTAGAAGTTTGAACTTTACTTTTTTACTGGTATTGTTCTGGCTGCTGTGTGGTGAAATGGGTGGTCTATGTAAGGGTGGACTAAGAGACTGCAACAATAATTTAGGCAAGAGCTGAGAGTGACATGAAGTAGTAGAAATGGAACAAAATGGAACAGTTTGAACATGGAATTCTAGGATCTTGGTGATATATTTCATCAGCTGGGTGAATATTGGTATTCATTGAACTTTTCAGTGTGCAATTTCATTGACAACTACTCATTTCATAAATTCATGAAATTCTTGGAGTTCTTATAGTACCTTTTTGGGATCCTAATGAATTTTTGGAAAACTTTAGGTTTCTTTCATAGATTCTAAGCAGGTAATAGTGAAAATAAATTGGTTCCTTCAACTTCCTCAAACATAATCAAGATAACGATAACTCAGCTTTTGTAAACAAAAATTAGAAAGTCCAATTTGTTAGTGATGTACTGACCATTTTGTTCAACTTGGGTTATAGAGACCCCTCTCCTCCAAACCTTTAATAGGAAGAGATGTGATGTGATTGTTATCTTATTTTGTTGTTGTTTTCTTTTCTTTCTTGAAAAGTTGATTGACATTGATCTGCTCCTGACCATTTCTGGATGATAGGCTTTGAAAAAAAATGATTAAACTATTTATTTTTTATTTAATGCAGTCAGATGCAGATAACTGGAATAAAATTGAACTTATTTGTTGAGACAGTGTTAAAGATCCTCAATAAATTAAGGTTTTATATCAGATAAATAGATTTATCAATTATTATAGTTTATAATGAACTTTAGTGGGCAGAATAATAGTATTTAATGAAAAAACCTCTAAAAAGTCCTGTATCAGTATTCCATTATGCTTAAATGAGGCATTATCAGCACAGCACTTTTTTTTATAACAAAGAATGGCCTTTTATGTCACCAATTTTGTATCTTTATTATAGCATTTGATGTAGTATTTTAACCTTTCCAAGTTTTCTTTTTTTTTTTTAAAGGTTAGAATTAAAATTCAAGGAACATATTTCCTTGAAATTTAAATGACATTTTCCCAGACTAGGAACTTCTGATATTTTACCTACTAGTTCATTTCCCTAAATGCCGATATAGAACTTTCTTTTTTGCCTCCAGTAGGCTATAATGTAGTTCCTACAGCTATTTTGATCCCAGTAAAAGTTCTTCCTCATTAAACTTTTGTGTCCTTCAGATTCTACTTCAGTTGAGGTAACCAGTTTAAAACATCCTGGCTTTTCTTTCTGCAAGCTTAAAATGACACAAATACAGTAGTTGGGTAGCACAGATTTTAATCGCTTTAACTTGTAAATCACATTGATGTTAACATGATAAAATTTAATGGAAGCTGCTAACATGTCAATTATGGATTTGGAGAATTTTTCCTACGTTTATTAAATCTTTGGCTACTTTTATTGGTTAATAGTCTGAGGTTATCTGACTCGAATTTTTTTTTTTCTGCTTAGGCACATCATCACTAATAACCTCACATTATCTTTCTTTGTTTCTAATAGCTATTAGCTCTCACTGCAAACCTCAATATAGCTCCTAGCTGTGTGACCTTGGGCAAGTTACTCACCTTTAAGCCTCAGTTTCTTTACCTATAAAGTGGGTATCATAATTCCTACTTCGTGGGGTTTTTCATCAAGATGAAATAAGTTAATAATGTGAACTACTTAGAACTTTGATTCATTCCACTAATTTTTATTGAGCACTATTTGCTTCATTCAGGCTAACAGACTTTAAATATTCTTTTTATGTGCTGTAGACTCCAAAATTTATATTATCATCCTAGACTTCTTTGCTGAACTGATATAGCCACTTGCCTAATTGATATCTCCACTTGCGTATTTACAGACATTTCAAACTCCGCATTTTAAAAACTGAATTTTTAGAGGAAAAATTTGCAATCTTGTCTCCAAAATGTGTCTGTTCTGTAGCCGCCTTCTTCTCTTCAGGAGATGGAAATTCAATTCCTTAGGCAGCTTGGACCACAATCTTTGAAGTCATAGATTTTTGTTTTATATTGCTTTATAATAGCTTGAGATATAATTATGATCTAATATGTACAATTTAATGTGTACAATTTGATAAGTTTCGACATATGAATATAACCATGAAACCATCATCACAATCAAGATAATGAACATATCCACCAACCCCAAAAGTTTTCCTCTTTCTCCTTTATAATCCTTTCCCACTCCCACCCACAACCCTTAAGCAACCCCCCAGGAATCACTGATTTGCTTTCTGTCACATAGATTTGCTTAAATTCCCTACAATTTTAATAAAGTGGAATCCTACAGTATGTATGGGAGGAGGGTCTGGCTTCTTTCACTAGGCATAATTATTTTGAAATTCAGCCATATTGTTGCATTTATCAGTAGTTCATTTCTTTTTGTTGCTCAGCAGTATTCCATTGTATAGATATGCCACTGTTTTGTTTATACATTCACCTGTTGATGAACACTTGGATTATTTCTAGTTTTGGGCTATTACAAACAAAGCTGCTATGAACGTTCATGTGAAAGTTTTTGTATAGACATATACATTTGTTTCCTTTCGGTAAGTAACTGGAAATGGAATGAATAGATCAAAATGGTAGGTATATATTTACCTTTTTGAGAAACTATGAAGTTTTTTCCCAGAGTGATTATATCATTTTATATTCCCACCAGCACTGTATAAGAGTTCCAGTTTCTCCATATCCTTGCCAATACTTTGTATTGCTAGTCTTTTTAATTTTAGTCTAAACTTTAGTAGGTACATAGTAGTATCTTATTGTAGGTTTGTTTTGTTTTGTTTTTTGAGACAGTGTCTCATGCTGCTGCCTGAGCTGGAGTGCAGTGGCACGATCATGGCTCACTGCAGCCTTGACCTCCCTGGGCTTAGGCAATCCTCCCACTTCAGCTTCCTGAGTAACTGAGACCACAGGCAAGTGCCACCATGCCTGGATAATCTTTATATTTTTCTGTAGAGATGGAATTTTTTGCCATGTTGCCCAGGCTGTTCCTGAACTCCTGGGCTCAAGTGTTCTGCCCACCTTGGCCTTCCAAAGTGTTGGGATTATAGGCTCGGGCCCCTGTGTCTGGCCTCATTGTAGTTTTAATTTATATTTCTCTAATGACTAGTGATGTTGAACATCTTTTCATGTGCTTATTTGCCATCCATATTCTTTATTGGTGAAGTTCTCCTTAAATTATTTGCCCAATTTTTTTTTTTTGAGATGGAGTGTCGCTCTGTTGTCCAGGCTGGAGTGCAGTGGTGTGATCTCGGCTCACTGCAAGCTCCGCCTCCCGGGTTCATGCCATTCTCCTGCCTCAGCCTCCCCAGTAGCTGGGACTACAGGCGCCCACCACCATGCCTGGCTAATTTTTTGTATTTTTAGTAGAGACGGGTTTTCACCGCGTTAGCCAGGATGGTCTTGATCTCCTGACCTTGTGATCCATCTACCTCGGCCTCCCAAAGTGCTAGGATTACAGGTGTCAGCCACCACGCCCAGCCTATTTGCCCAATTTTAAGATTGGGTTGTTTTCTTATTATTGAGTTTTGGAATTCTTTATTTATTCTGGGAATAAGTCTTTTTTCAGATATATGCTTTGCAAATATTTTCTTTCAGTCTGTGGTTTCTCTTTTCATTTTCTTACACTATCTTTTGAAGACCAGCTGTGTTTAATTTTTATGAAGCCCAGTGTATTAATTTGTCTTTCTATCATGCTTCTGCTGTTGTGTCATAATGCAAGGTTATAGAGATTTTCTCCCATTTGAGTTTTATAATTTTTAGTCTTAGATTTAGGTCTCTAATCAGTTTTGAAGATTTCTGAGTTATTATTTGTATATGGTATAAAATTGGATTGAAGTTAATGATTTTTGCACATGGATATCCAATTGTTCAGCACCATTTATTGGAAAAGATTATCCTTTCTTCACTGAGTTGACTTTGCACCATCATTTAAAAAAATCTGTTGTCTATATATGTCTGCTTCTAGTTCTGGACTCTATATATGTCTCTGTGCTAATACTATACTGTTTGGATTACTATAGCTTTATCACGAGTCTTTTTCAAAGTTGTTTTGGCTATTCTAGGTTCTTTGTATTTCTATATGAACTTCATGTTCATATGGAAATGTCAGTTTCTGTTAAAAAAAGAAAAAGTCCCATTGGGATTTTGATTGGGATTGCATTGACTCTATATATCAGTTTGAGGAGACTGACAGCTTAACAGTTTTGATTCTTCTGACCTGACCCATGAACATGGTATATCTTTAGTTTTTTGTAGGTCTGTAATTTCTCTCAGCAGTGTCTTACGGTTTTCTATGTACATGTCTTTCATATATATATATTTTAGAGACAAGATCTCATTCTGTTGCCCAGGCTGGAGTCTAGTGGCACCATCATAGCTCACTGTAACCTTAAACTCCTGGGCTTAAATGATCCTCCTGCTACAGCCTCCCCGGTAGCTAGGACTACAGGCATGTGCCACCATGCTTGGCTAATTTTTTAATTTTTCTGGAGACAGGGTCTTGCCATATTGCTGAGACTGGTCTCAAACTTCTCGCTTCAACCTACCACCCTGGCCTCCCAAAGTGTTGGGATTATCGGTATGAGCCACCATACCTGGCCTCGTATATTTTTAAAAACAGGATTTGTCCCTAAGTAGTACATATTTTTTGGTGCTGTTGTAATTGGTATTTTTAAAAATTGTCAGTTTCTGGTTGTTCTTTAATAGTGTATAAAAATACAGTTTTTTATACTGATCTTATATCCTGCAACTTTACTAAATTCACTAAATTTTAACTTTTTTTTTGTAGATCTCATTGGATTTTTTACATAGATGACTATGTTGTGTGTGAATAAAGACAGTTTTCTTTCTTTCTTTCCAATCTGTTTGCCTTTTTTTCTTTTTCTTACCTGATTGTACTGGCCAGATAATGTTGAAAAGAAGCGAGACTTGTTTCTGATTTAGGAGAGATGTGTTCAGTCCTTTAACTATTAAGTATTTGTTAACTATAGGTGTTTTTTGTAGATGCCCTTTATCAAGTTGAAGAAGTCCCTTTCTTGTGTTAATTTATAGAGTTTGAATTAGGAATGGATGTTGGATTTGTGAAAAAAATGTTATTTTGTGTCTTATAGTTGAGGTTAAGTTGAAGTAATTTATTTGAGTTCAGTCTTATTTTCTAAAGTAGAAAATCAGTGCTGATTTTTTCCCAATTGTTGCTTTAGTGACATGCCACCAATTTTGATATGTTTATTTTCATTAATTTGAAAATATTTTCTACTTCTTTGATTTTTTCTTTGATCTATGGTTTACTCACCATGTATATATGTTATTTAGTTCCCAATTATTTTGGGATTTTTCCAGATATCTTTCTGTCATTGATTTCTATATTAATTTTGTTGTGTTCAGAAAACATACTTTATATGACTTGAATCCTTTCAAATTTATTACTACTTGTTTTATGGCCCACAGTACAGCCTATTTTTAAAATGTTCCATGTGCACTTGCAAAGAATGTGTTTTCCTGCTGCTGTTTGGTGAAGTAGTCTTTAAATGTCTGTTAGGTCAGATTGACTTATAATGTAATTCAGGTCTCTTATATTTTTTATTTTCTGTCTACTTGTTCTGTCAGTTATTGAAGGGGGGTATTAAAACCTCCAACAGTAATTGTAGATTTGTATATTTCTTCTGCAGTTCTATTTTTGCTTGGTGTATTTTAAAGCTCGGTTATTAGGAGGATAAATGTTCAGGATTGTTATGGCTTCTCGATTAACTGACCCTTTTGTCGTTATGAAATGACCTCCTTTATGTGTGATAACATGCTTTGCTCTGAAATCTGCTTTTTCTGATACTAAAATAGCTATTGGAGTTTTCTTAGCATGGTATATCTTTTTGCTTTTTCCATTATTTTACTCTTAATTAGTTTGTATCTTTATATTTAGAATGTTTTTCTTATAGGCAGCATATAATTGGTTCTTTTCTTTTTATCTAAGTTGACAATCACTACCTTTTCATTGAGGTGTTTAGATCATTTACCTTCAGTGTGATTTATTGTGGTTTAGTTTAAATCTGTCATCTTGCTATTCATTTTCTGTATTTCCCATCTGTTTTTGTTCTTCTTTCCCTCTTTTACTGCCTTTTTGGGATTTTTTTTTAAATGATATGCTTTATCTCTTTAGTTTCTTTAGTAGTTTTAAGTTTTTGTTTTGTTTTAGGATTTGAAGTATACATCTTTAACTTGTGTCAGCTACCTTTGAGTGATATTGTAATACTTTGCAGTATCATTTAAAAAATTTAAATAATATGAAAGCATCTTGTGTATTTACCCATCTAGTTAACCTTTCCTATACCCTTAATTTTGTCTGATGTTATTTGCCTTCTGCTTGAAGGACTTCTTTTAACATGACTTTAGTGTGGGTCTGCTGTTGGCAAATTCTAATTTTGTCTGAAGAAGTCTTTATTTCACCTTTGTTTTTAAAAAAGATATTTGAAGTGAGTATATAATTGTAGATTGATATTCTTTCAGCAGTACAAAGATGTTGCTCCACTGTTACCTACTTCATTGCTTTTCATGAGAAATCTGATATTATCTTTGTCTTTGTTTCTGTGTATGTAATATGCTTTTTCCCCCTCTGGCTACTTTTTTTTTTTTTCTTTGAGACAGAGAGTTTCACTCTTGTTACCCAGGCTGGAGTGCAGTGGCCTGATATCGGCTCACCACAACCTCCGTCTCCCAGGTTCAAGCGATTCTCCTGCCTCAGCCTCCAGAGTAGCTGGGATTACAGGCATGCCCCACCACGCCCAGCTAATACTATATTTTTAGTAGAGATGGGGTTTTACCATGTTGGTCAGGCTGGTCTAAAACTCCTGACCTCTGATGTTCCACTGCCTCAGCCTCCCAAAATGCTGGGATTATAGGCATGAGCCACCACAGCCAGCCTAGGTTGCAGACTTTACGACACTTAACTTAAATACATCAGCACCATCTCCTAAAGACAGAAGAATAGTGTTCTTCTTTATAACTATAATACCATTATCATGTCTAAGAAAATCAGTAGTAATTTTTTTTTTTTTTTTTTTTTTGGAGACAGAGTCTTACTCTGTCGCTCAGCAGGCTGGAGTGCAGTGGTTCACCACAACCTCTGCCTCCCGGGTTCAAGTGATTCTCCTACCTCAGCCTCCCAAGTAGCTGGGATTACAAGCTTGAGCCACCATGCCCGGCTAATTTTGTATTTTTAGTAGAGACGGGGTTTCTCCATGTTGGTCAGGCTGGTCTCGAACTCCCGATCTCAGGTGATCCGCCCACCTCGGCCTCCCAAAGTGCTGGGATTATAGGCGTGAGCCACTGTGCCCAGCCCCCTCTGGCTACTTTTAAGATTTTCTTGTTATCACTGGTTTGAGCAATTTGATTGTCATGGACCTTGGTGTAGTTTTTCTCTGTGTTTCTTTTGTTGAGGATTCGTTAAGCTTTTTTGATTTGTGGCTTTATAGTTTTCATCAAATTTTGAAAAACTTTGTCCATTATTTCTTCAACTATCCAATAAACCCCCCTCCCCGCTGACCTTTAGGGACTCTATTTACTCACTTATTAGGCTCTTTGAAGTTCCACAGCGCACTGCTACTCTTCTCATTTTTTTCTTTTAGTTCCTGTTGCTATGTCTTGAAGTTCACTACTGTTTTATTTTGCTATGTCTTTTCTGCTCTTAATCCCATTAAATATATTTTTAATCTCAGACATTATATTTTTCATCTCCAGATGTTTAATTTGGGCCTTTTTATATCTTGCATGTCTCTACTTTTTGAACATATAGAATACAGTTATAATAACTGTTTTAATGTTCTTGTCAGCTGTGTCTAACGTCTGTGTTAGTTCTGGATTGGTTTTGATTATTCACCCCATAATGATTATGGGGTGTTTTCCCGCTTCTTTGTAGCTTGGTAATTTTTATTTTTATTTTATATATATTTTATTTTTATTTTTAATTTTATATTTTTAATTTTGAATGGTAATTTTTGATTAGATGGTAGCCATTGTGAATTTCGATGTTTTTCAGTTCTACAAATATTCTTCAGCTTTTCTCCTGGGATGCACTTATGTGGAAACAGTTGATCCTCTAGTTCTTGCTTTTATGATCTTTTGCTTTTTTCAGTCTGAGACTAATTACTTTCCACTACTGTGGTATGACATTGTTGGATATCCTACCTAATACTCTGTGAATTAATAGTTTTCTCAGTTGGACTAGTGGAAACAGGTACTGTTTCTGGCCCTCTGTGAGTGCTGGCACTATTCTCTAATCTACTGGTGTCCAGCCCTTTGAATGTGAGGACTTTTTTGGTGGCAGATATCATGAAAATTATGCATAGACCTTTTTTTTTTTAAGCTCATCAGCTGTTGTTAGTATTAGTGTATTTTATGGGTGGCCCAAGACAATTCTTCTTCTTTCAGCGTGGCCCAGGGAAGCCAAAAGGCTGGACACCCGTGCTGTAATCCATCTGGAGTATATCTTCCTCTGGTCTTTGGTATTTCACTCACTTGCATTTACTTTTCAGTACTCTGCTGAAGACCTGAGGGGCACACTCTGCAGATCTCCAGGCACCTCTCTTTGTGCTGCTTTTTTCTGTACTTTTTCCTGTGAACTCTAAATGCCTTGATTGCCTTGACTGAGCTCTATGCTCAATCTCAACTCAGTGTTTGCCAAGTTGTGCCTGGATTCTGTTTCTGTGGAGCGCTAAACTAGGGTCAAGTCACAGTGCTCATCACCTGTGTTTACTTTCTCATAGGATCACCGTCCTTCCTGACTGCAAGTTCAGTGTTTGAAAACTTTTTTTTTTTCTTTTTTAAAATACAAGGATGGAGTCTCGCTATGTTGCCCAGGTTGGTCTTGAGCTCCTGGCATCAAGTGATCTTCCTGCCTCAGCCTCCTAAAGTGTTAGGATTACAGGTGTGAGCCACCATGCCTGGCCTGTTTCTTCTATTTTTCTGTGTTTTAGTCTTATTGGGTGGGAGGGTAAATCCTAGCTCCTTTAACTTCAGTTTGGGTAGAGGGGGAAGTTCCTGCTCTGCTTTTTATTTTTTTCATCACACTTCTAATTATTCTGTATAATTTAATTATGATTCTTAATTTCAGTTTCCTTTACTATTTCTCCTGTTTTTTTTTTTAGCAGCATATACATTTTTCTCAATATTGCTCTATAATATAAGCACCATAATTTAGGGATTTTTTAAGGAATATATCTGAAGGTCAGCTTGTAGTCCGTAAATATTTGTTGTTTCAGTATTGAATTGGAACACAAGTGAGATAAAGCTTTTATTCCCCTAGAGCTTCATGGCACATGGTAAATAAACACAGTTATTTTTATCTAGCGTCATATGGGGCAGAGATGTTATTTTATTAAAAAAGAAATCTTGAGTCAGACATGGTGGCTTATGACTATAATTCCAGCACTTTGGGAGGCCAAAGCAGGAGGAATGCTTGAGCCCAGGATTGGAGGCTGCAATGAGCCATGATTGTGCCATTATACTCCAGTTTGGGAGACAGAGTGAGACCCTTTCTTGGGGAACGTGGTGGGTGAATATTTGATTAATTGTATGAGTAAATCTGTGGACCTTTCTTCAGCAAATTTTTCTTACCAGCTAATGGCATTAACAGAGACACAGACCTTATAGGAGAAAGCGGCTAAATGTATATGATCTTAGATACCATTTATTAAGCACTTACTATGCACCAGCAGTTGTTTCTCACTAAATTTGCATATTGTGGTATACTGCGGTATGCAAATTTTCTAGCAACAGTAAATGACAAATTTCAAACCCAGGGATTTTTGTTTGTTTTCTTAAACTTTTTGGCAAGAAAAAACCCAGGTTTTCAACCATTACACTTTCTTCACTTATTTAGTAGGAAGTTAGTAAGATTTTAAATGAAGTAAATTTAAATTGGTGTGGTAGAGCTCATTCAGCATGGGGAACATCTGGTTTTTTTGGTATCTGTATCTTTTGCTTTACACAATTCCTGGTATATAGTACCTGCTTGTAATTGGAGAAGATAATGAAGTAACCTACCTGACAAAAGAAACAAATTAATCGTATATATAATATTGGATATACTGATAGAAATAAAGTGTAACACCGCACTGTTAATACTAGACAGATCAACGAGACAGAAAATTAACAAGGATATTCAGGACTTGAACTCAGCTCTGGACCAAGCGGACCTAATAGACATCTACAGAACTCTCCACCCCAAATCAACAGAATATGTATTCTTCTCAGCACCTCATCACACTTATTCTAAAATTGACCACGTAATTGGAAGTAAAACACTCCTCAGCAAATGCAAAAGAACAGAAATCATAACAAACAATCTCTCAGACCACAGTGCAATCAAATTAGAACTCAGGAATAAGAAACTCACTCAAAACCGCACAACTACTTGAAAACTGAACAACCTGCTCTTGAATGACTACTGGGTAGATAACGAAATGAAGGCAGAAATAAAGATGTTCTTTGAAACCAGTGAGAACGAAGACACAATGTACCAGAATCTCTGGGACACATTTAAAGCAGTGTGTAGAGGGAAATTTATAACACTAAATGCCCACAAGAGAAAGCAGTGAGGATCTAAAATTGACACCCTAACATCAAAATTAAAAGAACTAGAGAAGCAACAGCAAATTCAAACACTAGCAGAAGACATGAAATAACTAAGATCAGAGCAGAACTGAAGGAGATAGAGACACAAGAAACCCTTCAAAAAATCAGTGAATCCAGGAGCTGTTTTTTGAAAATACCAACAAAATAGACCGCTAGCCGACTAATAAAGAAGAAAAGAGAGAAGAATCAAATAGATGCAATAAAAAAAGATACAGGGGATATCACCACTGATCCCACAGAAATACAAACTACCATCAGAGAATACTATAAATGCCTCTACACAAATAAACTAGAAAATCTAGAAGAAATGGATAAATTCCTGGACACATACACCCTCCCAAGTCTAAGCCAGGAAGAAGTCAAATCCCTCAATAAACCAATAAGAAGTCCTGAAATTGAGGCAGTAATTAATAGCCTACCAACCAAAAAAAGTACAGGACTAGACGGATTCACAGCTGAATTCTACCAGAGATACAAAGAGGAGCTGGTGTACCATTCCTTCTGAAACTATTCCAAACAATAGAAAAAGAGGGACTCCTCCCTAACTCATTTTATGAGGCCAGCATCATCCTGATATCAAAACCTGGCAGAGACACAACAAAAAAAGAAAATTTCAGGCTAATATCCCCGATGAACATCGATGCGAAAATCCTTAATAAAATACTGGCAAACCGAACGAATCCAGCAGCACATCAAAAAGCTTATCCACCACAAGCAAGTTGGCTTCATACCTGGGATGCAAGGCTGGTTCAACATATGCAAATAAATCAATGTAATCCATCACATAAACAGAACCAAGGACACAAACCACATGATAATCTCAATAGATGCAGAAAAGGCCTTCAATAAAATTCAACACCCCTTCATGCTAAAAACTCTCAATAAACTAGGTATCGATGGAACGTATCTCAAAATATTAAGAGCTATTTATGACAAACCCACAGCCAATATCATACCGAATGGGCAAAAGCTGGAAGCATTCTCTTTGAAAACTGGCACAAGACAAGGATCTCCTCTCTCACCACTCCTATTCAACATGGTATTGGAAGTTCTGGCCAGGGCAATCAGGCAAGAGAAAGAAATAAAGCGTATTCAAATAGGAAGAGAGGAAGTCAAATTGTCTCTGTTTGCAGATGACATGATTGTATATTTAGAAAACCCCATCGTCTCAGCCCAAAATCTCCTTAAGCTGATAAGCAACTTCCACAAAGTCTCAGGATAGGGTGCAAAAATCACAAGCATTCCTATACACCAATAACAGAGAGCCAAATCATGAGTGAACTCCTATTCACAATTGCTACTAAGAGAATAAAATACCTAGGAATCCAACTTACAAGGGATGTGAAGGACCTCTTCAAGGAGAACTACAAACTGCTGCTCAAGGAAATAAGAGAGAACACAAACAAATGGAAAAACATTCCATGCTCATGGATAGGAAGAATCAATACTATGAAAATGGCCATACTGCCCAAAGTAATTTGTAGATGCAATGCTATTCCCATCAAGCTACCACTTACTTTCTTCACAGAATTGGAAAAAACTACTTTAAACTTCATATGGAACAAAAAAAGAGCCCACGTAGCCAAGACAATCCTGGACAAGAAGAACAAAGCTGGAGGCATCATGCTACCTGACTTCAAACTATACTACAAGGCCACAGTAACCAAAACAGCATGATACTGGTACCAAAACAGATGTATAGGCCAATGGAAAAGAACGGAGGCCTCAGAAATAACACCACACATCTACAACCATCTAATCTTTCACAAACCTGATACAAGCCATGGGGGAAAGATTCCCTATTTAATCAATGGTGTTGGGAAAACTGGCTAGCCATATGCAGAAAACTGAAACTGGACCCCTTCCTTACACCTTATAAAAAAATCAACTCAAGATGGATCAAAGACTTAAATGCAAGACCTAGGACCATAAAAATCCTAGAAGAAAACCTGGACAATGCCATTTAGGACATAGGCATGGGCAAAGACTTCATGTCTAAAACACCAAAAGCAATGGCAACAAAAGCCAAAATTGACAAATGGGATTTAATTAACCTAAAGAGCTTCTGCACAGCAAAAGAAACTATCATCAGAGTGAACAGGCAACCTACAGAATGGGAGAAAATTTTTGCAATCTATCCATCTGACAAAGGGCTAATATCCAGAATCTACAAAGAACATAAACAAATTTACAAGAAAAAAACAACCCCATCAAAAAATGGGCAAAGGATATGAACAGACACTTCTCAAAAGAAGACATTTATGCAGCCAACAGACATATGAAAAAATGCTCATCATCACTGGTTATTAGCGAAATGCAAATCAAAACCACAATGAGATACCATTTCACGCCAGTTAGAATGGCAATCATTAAAAAATCAAGAAACAACATATGCTGGAGAGGTTGTGGAAAAATAGGAACGCTCTTATGCTGTTGGGAGTGTAAATTAGTTCAACCATTGTGGAAGACAGTGTGGCAATTTCTCAAGGATCTAGAACTAGAAATACCATTTGACCCAGCAATCCCATTACTGGGTATATACCCAAAGGATTATAAATCAGCCTACGATAAAGACACATGCACATGTATGTTTACTGCAGCACTATTCACAATAGCAAAGACTTGGAACCAACCCAAATGTCCATCAATGATAGACTGGATTAAGAAAATGTGGCACATATACACCATGGAATACTATGCAGCCATAAAAAAGGATGAGTTCATGTCCTTTGTGGGGACATGGATAAAGCTGGAAACCATCATTCTCAGCAAACTATCACAAGATCAGAAAACAAAACACCACATGTTCTCACTCATAAGTGGGAGTTGAACAATGAGTACACATGGATACAGGGAGAGGAACATCACACAGTGGGGCCTGGGGCGCGGTGGGAGGCTAGGGGAGGGATAACATTAGGAGAAATACCTCATGTAGATGATGGATTGATGGGTGCAGCAAACCACCATGGCATGTGTATACCTATGTAACAAAACTGCACGTTCTGCACATGTACCCCAGAACTTAAAGTATAATGATAAAAAAAAATGCAAGTAAGAGGTACCATTTGGGGAACCATCAGTTAAAACAAGTGATTTAACTGTTTCCCATCTGTGAAAATAGGAATAATAATAGTGTCAGCTTCATATGGTTGTTGAGCAGATTAAATGAATTAACACACTTAAAAAATTAGTTAAAGTGTGTACTTAAAGATTTGCTTCTGTATAATGTGAAGTTTGTTTTGTCATGACAGTATGTGAAACCTCTCTTTTCAGTACCTGGTACATCTTAGGGCTCCATGAATGTCTTTTTTTCTTTTCCCAATTTCATAAAATTGAGTAAAAGTTTATGTTTTAAAAGAAAATTGAGTAACAGTAGTGTTTTAAGAGAAAATAATTCATAGTATTTTGTTTGGAGATGGAGTTAGGGAAGAAATATAATGTAACAGTCTGATAATCTTCATTTTAACCTCTTCAGCCATTTATTTAAGCTTCTTTTTAATAGATGGATATTAATCTCTTAAAACTAAATAATATATTGAATATTTAGTGGAGAAACTTTTATTATATAACAGTTGATGTCTTTTAAAATCTTGTTTTCCTAGCAGCAAAATTAGAATAGATAGAGAATTTGTATTGCTGATATGCAAAACCTAACAAATTATATTTAACCTAATAGGCTTTCATATTTTGGATTACAACTTTCACACCATACTTAAATACAAATATACAGACGTGGCTGACATATTCTACATAGCTGTGTGGCTTACTTGAAAAATAGAACAGTTGCTTAACTGGATGACTATCAAAATGGTCAACACAGATTGATGGGCTTGAGTGTAGCAGACAGCGGGTATGCAGATGGTGGTGTCTGTACCGTTTGAGAAGAGATGGCTGAGTCTTTAAAATGATTTCATTGGAATGGCTTTGGTGGTGTTGCAGTAAAGGGCATCTATTCAATCTCAGGTGCTGTGCAGATGGCAAAGCCAAGATAATATAGAAAAATGAGAAACAAGTGACTATTTAATGTATAGTAATGCATGATCTGCATCACAAATAAATGACGTTATTACATGCAGGAAACCTATCCAGATGCCTGTACATTAAAACACATGACTCCTTGAGAGAATTAAGTACAGGCAATTTGCTCGGATTTTCTGCAGGCCTGCTGCATATTACATTAGGGTAGAGAGAACAAGAGATTAAGTGCTTTATTTATTGAAAGTGTTTAGGTAAAGTTGGCTGTTATTTAAGCATAATCTGATCTCCATAAATATTTAAACTATCTCTTTGTAGAAAAAAAAAGTGGGGAAGGACAGCTGGCCTTAAAACAAAAGGATGTAAGGAGTATGATTATCTGGTCAACCTGTGAAAAATAGAACTTCTTTTGGCCTACATTTTTTAATCTTGTAACATTTTCCACTAGGCAAAAGCTTAAAAAAATTTTTAGGACTAGTGTGATAAAAGTATCTTTTTTTTTTTTTTTTGCTATGTAGGAATTAATAAATTCAAATATCAATGACATGGAAATTTTAAAGTGGGAGGAGTTAATGTGTTGAGTGCTGTACGTAATGGGACCATTTTCACTGTAAAATGTTAAATTTTTGTTTTTCAGCTTAAAGAAAGTGGTTATTGTACAGGTCATGAACCAGATTCCCTGGAGTTCAGTACTGTAGGAGGATGGGTATCTACTCGCGCATCAGGCATGAAGAAGAATATCTATGGCAATATCGAGGACCTGGTAAATATTTTTCTAGTTATTATGTAATAATTGATTAGTATATAGATATTATTATAAAATGATTAGAAGCCTTTAAAAATTAAGAGTTGGGCCTGGGCGCGGTGGCCAATGCCTGTAATCCCAGCACTTTGGGAGGCCGAGGCGGGCGGATCATGAGGTCAGGAGATCGAGACCATCCTGGCTAACAAGGTGAAACCCCGTCTCTACTAAAAATACAAAAAAAAATTAGTCGGGTGTGGTGGCGGGCTCCTGTAGTCCCAGCTACTCGGGAGGCTGAGGCAGGAGAATGGCATGAACCTGGGAGGCAGAGCTTGCAGTGAGCCGAAATTGTGCCACTGCACTCCAGCCTGGGCGACAGAGCGAGATTCTGTCTCAAAAAAAAAAAAAGAAAAAAGAAAAAGAGTTGGATGGTAGATTCCCCCCTCCCATAAATAAACTCCTTTTGACTATAATAACATTGGACATGTATAGTAGAAAGTTAATCAAAACACAACTGTGGTCATTATTTAAGGATGCCCCTTTTCAGGTGACTACATTTTAAGCTTTGTAGATGTTTCACAGTATCCAGCTCATAAAATACGGTCAGCTCTCTATATCCACTGGTTTCGTATCCACAAATTCAACCAAATGCAGCTCAAAAATATTTGGAAAAAAAAATAACAATACCACAAGGAAAATAATACAAAAAATATAGTAGAACAACAATTTACATAGTATTTACATTGTATTATTCATAAATATTCTAAAATGATTTAAAGCATGTGAGAGGATGTGCATAGGTTTTATATAAATACTGTGCTGTTTTATGTAAGGGACTTGAGTACTATGGATTTTGGTATCCTCGAAGGTCCTAGAACCAGTTCTATGGGGATACTGATGGATGTCTGTATACAAATATTATTTTACAAGCCTCGTGGAAATGAAGTCTTCAACTCTACCGTGATTTTAGTCCATTTACTTAGATGATTTCGTTTTTGCTACTCTGTTTCCTTAGGAGATTTTGCATTTTTCTGAAAATAATTTTTCCTGTATAGAATTAAATAGGCTGATTGAAATTGTTCTACCAAGTAGTGGTAAGACCTGTCATGTTTTATGTGCACACTGCTTTTTGTAGCTGATATGGTGCCACTTTGCTGGGAGTTAGTATAATAATAGTATATAACTCTGGGCACCCTAGTTAGGGATTAGGTATCATTTGTTGCTTTTTCAATGATTAGTTGTGTGAATTTGTACAAATTGGTTTACGTTTCTAAACTTCAGTTTCCTCTTCTGTAAAATAGAATAATGATATTTGCTGCATAGAATTATTGTGAGGAGTAAAGGACATAAAATGAAAACTCAAAATCTCTGGTGTGTAGTAGGTGCTTCATAAATGTTGTTTCCTTATCGTCAATATTTTCATAGTAGTTTAAAAGAACTTTAATTTGAGACTATTAAAGTGATGTTCCCAACATTATTCCTGGAGCTATTTAGCTTTGCTTTTGAAATCTAAAGTTTCCACATTTTCATCAATATCTTTGTTATTAGGAATATTAAATCTTTAATAAAATATATTGGTTCTTTATAGTTAACACTGAGGAATTAAAAACTTTTGTCTATATTGTGAATACTTTTTAAATATTTTCATTATCCTATTTATTTTTCTTTATTCAAGGCATTTAGAAAAGCACATTTTTCTTTTTGCAATTAAAATAACCTAAATTCAGTTTTGGGGAGAAAATTTGATCCTTTTGCTATTGGATTATTAAGGACTTTATCAGAGTTAAGCAAATATTTGGTAAACAGCTACATTTAGCACTGTGAAATCATGTAGTTTATTTTAATCATTTTTTGGAGATATTTAAGGGATACAAATTATAAGTGTACATCCTAGTGTAATTATTTGCATTAATAATTACTTAGTGCATTTTATTTTATTTTATTTTATTTTGTTTGTTTTTGAGACAGAATTTCGCTCTTGTTGCCCAGGCTGGAGTGCAGTGGCACAATCTCAGCTCACTGCAACCTCCGCGTCCCGGGTTCAAGCGATTCTCCTGCCTCAGCCTCCAGAGTAGCTCAGATTACAGGCATGCACCACCATGCCCAGCTAATTTTGTATTTTTAGTAGAGATAGGGTTTCTCCATGTTGGCCAGGCTGGTCTTGAACTCCTGACCTGAGGTACTCCTCCTGCCTCGGCCTCCCAAAGTGCTGGAATTACAGGCATGAGCCACCGTGCCCAGCCAGCACGTTTTATTTTTAACTTAAATTTTTAACTCTGCAATATATAGTATCCTCTGAAGCTGTCTTAATTTATATTGTTTGCTTTTATGACAATTTTTCTAAAGTTGATATTCTTTTAATACATGTGGCTACAATGGAACCTGTGAAAAAATTAAAGAACGTGTTAATATATTTCGTAACATTAGTGCATATTTAATTAAAGCACAGTAACGATGCTCATAGCTTATTTAACTGTTTGAAAAAAGTTGAAGATAGTTGTTTAGTCCAAATTTTTTAAAAATTTAAAAGTTTTAACATCTGAAGAGTCAGAAGTCTGTGTACAATGGGATATACTTTTCATCTTAAATTCTGGTTCCCACTTGTTTTCAAGATCATTTTAAGGAATTCCAACTATAGTCCATCTCAAATACTTCTCAATTTAGTGAATGTCTCTTCACTAACGGATTTCCTGAGCATATCTGATTACACTTTCTTGTGCTAGTGTTACAGAGCTGAAGCTCATCGCTATTAGCGGTAATCCACTGCTTCTATGAAAGGAGCCTTGCTACATTCTTCAGTTATGAAGCACTGTTAGAAGGAAAAACATTGAACTCTGTAGTGACAAAACCAAACTAAAAATTCTGGATCTTCACAAAAGAAAGTAAAGTATGATGCAGTGAGCATTTCATTTTCTGAAGAAAATGCTTCTTTTAAAATTATAATTGGAATAGACAATTCAAGCAATTAGAAACTTATTTTTTATTTAAAAATATTCATTACAGAAGTATAAAAAATGTATGCTATAGCTGGGCATGGTAGTTCACACCTGTAATCCCAGCACTTTGAGAGGACAAGGCTTGAGGCCAGGAGTTGGAGACCAGCCTGGGCAACAGAGCAAGATGTCATCTCTACAAAAAATTAAAAAATTAGCTGAGCATGGTAGCACATACTTGTAGTTCTAGCTACTCAGGAGGCTGGAGTGGGATAACTGCTTGAGCCCAGGAGTTTGAAGTTACAGTGAGCTATCATCCCACCACTGCACTCCAGCCTGGGTGACAAAGCAAGATCCTATTTTTTTTTTAAGTGTCCTGTGTATATTAAATACATATCATTTTGAACACTTTTAACATCTTCGTATTCATCCTTCTGTCATGGGATTCTTGGGGTGTCACTTTTTTAGCCAGAAACTTCTGTCTGGCGGCACCTTTGCCCAAGTTTTGCTTGGGCCCACTGGGCTTGTTCAGCCCACTCGGCCTGGCAGGCTGTGCTTGGCTCACGCTGCTGGTCTGGATCCCATGCTTGCCAACGGCGAGCCAGGCACAGAGTAGTGAGGGGTGTGTGAATGAGTGAGTGTGGAGTCTGGCCACAGCGCACAGTCAGGCACGCCAGCTGTGGCAGGACGGGCAGCTCCAGGCATCAGCTCCCTACAAGGCTGCTGCTGGACCAGGCATACTGCAAGCAGCTTCCATTGGTGGCACCAGGGAATGTGGTGGTGCCTGGAAGCTTGGAGACGCCAGGGACTGCAGAGCCCCAAAGAGTGAGCCATAGCCCTGGCTCAGGGAGCTCCTAGGTCTGGGCTCCTTGAAGGGCCACAGCTCTTCTCTCCTTCTCTTTCCTCTCTTTCCCTCTCGTTGCCCTCCATGGGGCAAACAAGGGGTGTGTTTCAGCCCTGTTTGTGTTACAGCCCTTTCAGCTCCGCCATTTAGCGGGTCCTGAGTTTTTGTCCCACATCCAGGAAGAATGAGGTATGCGGACAAGTGGAGGGTGAGCAAGGTGAAGGAGTGCTTTATTGAGTGACAAAACAGCTCAGAGGAGACTCATATTGGGTAGCTCCTTTCCGCAGGTAGGCCATCCTGATGAGCATCCAGCTCTCAGCAGAGAGCCCACAGAGGGTAGTTCCTCTCCACAGGCAGGGCATCCTGATGAGTGTTTAGCCCTCAGGAGAGAGGAGACACACAGTGGGTAGCTCCTCTCCATAAGCAGGGCATCCTGATGAGTGTCAGCTCTCAGCAGAAAGGAGATCCACAGTGGGTAGCTCCATTCTGCAGACAGGTAATCCTGGCATCTGCCTAATTCTGGCTGAGTCCTGGGTTTTTATGGGGTTCAGAGGGGAGGAAGTTTGTGCTGATTGGTCCATGGGTGGTTATGGGCAATCCCGGAAAAAGCATCATAAGTTCCCACTCCAGTCCGTGGAACTGGCAGCCCAGCCCCCAGGCGTCAGGCCCTCCCTGGCTTGAAGGTGGGGTTTCACCGGGGACCGCCCATTTCCGCCCAGGAGCCTGTCTGCCTCCTGCCACTGTTTATGGTGCCCAGATGCCCAGGCTGTTCGTGCTAAGGGCCTCCTGCAGGCCAGTGCCAAGCTGCCCTCAGCCAGCACTTATCCTCCCTTCTGTGCTCATTGGTGCCCAAAGTCTGGAGGGGGCTGAGGCAGCAGGGTGCTGGCATGTCAGCACTGCCCTGAGCATGCGCACACCCGGCTGGGTTGCAACAGCACGCAGGCTCGGCCTCAACTTTTCTCCAAGATTGGAGCAGGCACTGGAATGGGGAGAAGCCAGGCGGTGGAAGCAGACACTTCCGAGCCTGCAGGGGCTGGGGGCTTCCCAGGCCCCCAAGAGTGTAGAGATGCCTGGGTCTGCAGCCACAGCTGGGTGGCTGCAGCTGTGTCCAGGAGGGTAGGATTCCTGCGTGCTTCCGGCCCCCAAGAGCACAGGGATGCCTGGATCCAGAGCCACAGCTGGGCTGCCACAGCTGCACTCAGGAATGCGTGGCTTTTGCTCTGCCAACTAGGAAGGGGGTGGGGCTTCCACCTGTTTCCAGCTCCCGTTGGCTCCATGCAGTGCACAGCCCTGGTCATGCCACCCCCACTGCAGCCAATGTCTTTGCAGCAGCCACTCCAGATGGGCTGCTGGTGCCATCACTTCTAGAACTGTTTCTAGGCATGCAATAAGCACATGAATGTATCTAGTTTTTAATATAAAAAAGAGGACCATATGTGTTTCATCTGCTCTTTAAATTATGTCATCAATATATTAACATGTAAATGAACAGGTTTGCACCATTGTTTTTAAAGAGTTATATAATTCTTTTATTGAGAATGCATGGTTTATTTAACTCCCTCTTAATGAACATTTAAATTATTCTTGATTTCAGAATTACAGAAAATAAAGGAAAAATATTCTTTTTAAAATTTCTTTGGTATATACATCTTTAATCATTTTCTTTGGGTAAGCTCCTTTAGTTGATTTGTTGGATCAAGAAGTTTATACATTTTAGACTTTGGATCCTTACAGCCAAATTGCCCTATAAAAATTTTGTACCAATTGACATTCTCACTAACACCATGAGAATCTTTGTAATTTACTGGACGTCTTATTTATGTTTTTGTATTTTGTTAATTGCTAGTGAATGTAAACTTTTAAGGGGTCCTCATTGGCAATTTTTATTTTGTATTTTGTGTATTGCTTATTGATGTTCTCTGCTCATTTCCTTCAATAATAAATAGACTGTTGTTATTTATCGGTCCAAAATTCATTCTAAAAATATTTTGGATTTTTACCTAACCACTTCTGATTCAGATCTCAGGAACTATTTTTAGAGTGATCCTACTTCCCCAGTATACTTACTTTCTCATTTGTATGATGAGTCACACATCTCTTTCCTTCTCTTAAGTTCAGTCATTGTTTCTACTGCTTCATCCCAATTTGACCTGGTCATAATTAATATTTAATTCTTTTCACTGTTTTCTACTAAGTGGGATTGAAGGTGGGGATAAAGGGAGAATAATTTTTTTCTTAGAATTCTAAGTGTCTAGAGCAGTGCCTGACATGAATAATATGCTTCATAAAGGTTATGATTATTGCTTAGTTTTTGAGTCCGTTAGTTCTGTGCCATATGGATAACCCTAAATTTGGTTTAAATAAATGTGTTATTCTGTTGTTCTTAAGATAATAAATAAACCACTTTAAATCAAGAGATGTACAATCTTAGAATGGTTTTTCCCTCTTTTAAGGTTATATACAAATTTAACTTTAGTCTAAAAATTACTAAAAGATACTAGAATTCTTAAAAGCATCACAATTTATTACTTAACCCAATACTTTAAAAGTAGGTTTTACATAAATATATATAAATGTCTGTACATAGACACACATTCACTAACAGATGTCTAGAATTTACATCGTGTATTGTATTAAACAGGTGGTTCATATAAAAATGGTAACACCTAGAGGTATAATAGAAAAAAGCTGTCAAGGACCTCGTATGTCAACAGGCCCTGATATCCATCACTTCATCATGGGATCTGAAGGTAAATATAACTGTAAATTTATTAAGAAAAAATACAGGTTAGTCATGCAGTTTTGTGAAAATCTTTATATTGTGACATCAGATCTTTGAAAGACATGTTTTATATGTTTAAGGAATTTTTTAAATTTTTATCATTTTAAGACTATAAAGTTTTATTATGAGAACATCTGATTAAACTTCCTCTTACATTTTGCTTTTTTATGTTTCTAGAGACAGCTTGATCTTTTAATTTTTATTTTAGAATTTTTAATGAATTTCAGGAAAAGTGGTCATTAGGATTTAAAATGGTTTATTTTGACATTTTGTATTATAGTATTCTTAAATCTTGTCAGAATTATCGGAGGAAAGGATTGATAAAGCATTATCTTATTGTCTTGTCTTTCTGTAATTATGTATTTTATAAAATTAATTACTATTAGAAGTGGAATTTAAAATTCTGGTTCACATATATTTTAAACTTTTGTTGGTCTTTTAATTTTTCACTACACAAATAGTATCATTTTCTTGGTTACTTAATGCTGGGTGGATTTGAATGTAGTTCATCTCGTCTAAAACATTTAAGTCCTGTGCAGATCTGGAAAGAAGTAACCTTAAAATAATTATTATGTAGGCATGGTGAATTGTATGGATAAAGTAAACATGGGCTTATTTTTCAATTTTTAGGATGGGAGAGGGACATTCCTTAAATTCAGAGAAATAAATTAAAATAAACAAGTGTTTCTACATTAACAGAGGAGCTCATTATTCACTTCAGAAGGTGGTCCAAGCTGCAGAAGATATATTTTGGTAACATTTAGCTATATTCATGAATAAAAGAGCAGGTACAATAAACTAAGATGTTAGGCATAAATTCTATTCTTTGACAGTAACATCAAAGAGGGAAAGTATAATAAACTATGTTTCTTAGTGATGTGGTAGAGATCAGTTGTTTGGCTGATGACCAGTAGTATTGCTTAGATGTTTTTCATGGTAACCAATGACAGACCTTTGTCAAGATATCTCACCAGTTTACTCAGTTTATTCCTTTTCTGATCAGCATACTCTTCTATGAAAAAACAAAACTATATTTGTAATAAGAAAAATAATCTTAAATTCATTTAAAATAATATGGTTACTTAATATTATTCTGGGACTTCTTATACTAATGCATCATCTACAAATTAGAGGAATGTAACTTTTTGCCATCAGAAGTCAAGTTGAATAACGAAAATAGCTATTAAAACTCATAATTTTTCATTACATTATTGATATTTACATAATTGGAGTCAACTCTATAAATATAAATAATTTTTTTTTCAAATAGCCACATTATACTTTTTTTTCTCCCATCAGTTAGCCTTTTAAAAATTCTAGTTGCTAGATATTATGCTGGGACATTTGAGACAGATAATAACAGACAATTATACAACAGCGTGACAAATTACATGATCAAGTAAAATGCAGAAGAAATATGAACAAGATGAAGTTGATAGGTGCTTACAAAGGCTTCCCCAGGGAGGCCATACCTAAAGTGGTCTTTGAGGTTGATAAGAAGAAAATAATTCCAGGTCAAGTTGAGGGAAGACAGAAGAGGGGAGTTGCCCTGCAGAGTGACCATCATGTTGGTGGGCTTAGAAATGAGAAAGGGCCATGTCTGCCTCATTATGAGGCTGCTGGTTTTTCAGTATGACTGGAATGTAAGGTTTAATTGTGGAGTAGAACAGGCAGCAGGTCTAGGAGCAGAATGGTAAGGGCTACAGGGTAGTTCGAGAGATAATTTGGTCTTTTCATGCCTTTTAAAATGATTTGAACTTTTATCTAAAAGACTGGGCTACCTCCGTAGGTAGTCACTAACTGTATGAATTTAAGGAAGGGACAAAGTTATTATAGTAAAGTAAGCAAAGAACTATAAGAGATTGGGCTGGGCGTGGTGGCTCACACCTGTAATCCCAGCACTTTGCAAGGCTGAGGCGGGTGGATCACTTGAGGTCAGGCATTCAAGACCAGCCTGACCAACATGTTGAAACCCCATCTCTACTAAAAATACAAAAATTAGTCGGGTGTGGTGGTGCATGCCTGTAATCCCAGCTACTTGAGAGGCTGAAGCACAAGAATCGCTTGAACCCGGGAGGCAGAGATTACAGACTGCAGTGAGCCTAGATTATGCCACTACACTCCAGCCTGGGTGATGGAGTGAGACTTTGTCTCAAAAAAAAAAAAAAAGAAAAAAAAAAGAAATATTTAAAATTTATGAGTCTAAATTACCATAGTTAAATGAGATTTTATTACAAAGTACATGCAACATAGCATACTGATAAAAGAGCATGAACCATGAAGTCTTTATCAGATCTGGATTTCCATCCTGATTCTACTACTTATATTTCCATGACTTTGTATAAGTTAGATAATTTTCAGTGCCCGGTGTCCTCAGCCATAAAATGGGAATAATAAAATTATTCATCTTCGTAAGTGTGTTATAAGGATTAAGTGAGATTATGCTGAACAATTTAGTGTAGTAAATACTGTTGTAGCTGCTTATTATTTTGATATCAGTGATCTTTACAATTTATGGTCCCTAATCCCCATTTCAGTTTGTGAATATAGAGTTATTTTAATATAGGCCAGGAGACAGCATGATTGAAATAGTAAATTTATATGAAATCATATTCTTACGTAAAATGTATTTTATCTGCTACTTTGACCTACCTGTGTAATAACTTCCTGCCTTAAATGTGAATCATAAACTTTTCTTGAGCTTTAAAAAAATTTCTTTCAGTTAAATCATTTGATGACAACCTTGAAAGTATTACTATCCAAAAACCTATTTTCTCCATCCGACTAAGCTCTATACGTGATTAACCATATTAAGTTTAATGTGTTTGTCTTGTTTTGTGTTATGAATTTTTCATGATTTTTTTCAACAAGTAGCTTTCTCCTATTTTAGATGCTATAACATGATCAGTATAATGAAAAATGTAATAAATATTCAAGCATTTGAAATGCTTTCCATTCTGTTTCTATATATGGTATTTACTATATATGGATTTGCTCTTTTATTTGAAAAACAAAGTACATTTTTGTTTTTTAACCCATGACTCACCCTTCTTTTAGTCTTTGTCTACAATTAAAGAGATGGAATACTCAATGTCAGTTCTTTTGTAAAGTTTCACTAGTTATTCTTTGCTTAAATGAAGATCATCCTTTGGTAGTTTCCTCAGGAAAGGCACATTTATATATCCCCAGAGTTCTGGAATGTTCCAAACTGGTTTTCTGTGGCTGTGATACTTGAAGGACAGCTTGAGTGAATATACCTTTTGGTCATTAATTTCTTTAAGTTTCTTTAAAATGCTATTTCCACTGTTACTTTGTTTTATATATTATTTTAAAGAAATATGATACCTGTTTAATTTTCTTAGTAGGCTAATTTTCTCTTTTTGCCTGGAGGCCTTGAGGATTTTTTTTCTTTATTGCTAAAGTCTAATACTTTTGCAACTTAGAGTTGATAGTCCTGGGTTATTTTGCTTCAGCACCCAGTGGACCCTTTCTATTTGTAGATTCAGGTCTCCTTTTATTTCTGTGAAGTTTTTTTTTGGATAGTAGTGTTAAATATTAGGGTTTTTTTTTTCATTGTTTCAGTTTTCATCCTCAGGGACATTGATTATACGTATGTTTGACTTTCTTTGCTAGTTTTCCATTTCAGTCACTTTTTCTCTGACCCTTTTTCTCTGACTTCTTAATTTTCATTCTCTTGATTATTTTTCTGGTTTTTTTTTTCAATGCCCTGTATTAAGTTTTAATTTGAATCTATTTTGTATTCTCCTTTGGGTAGTTTATAACATAGCCTTTACTTTTTACGTGCCTTTTTTTGGTTCTGTTTCTTTCCTCAGGTTAGTCAGCTCTTGTTTCATTTCTTGTTGTTGGTTTTTGTTTGTTTGTATTTCTGATTCAAGGTATTTTTTCATATCCCTGTTGCTTGATTGATGATATTTAATTCATGTTGTGTTACAGCTTTCTTCAGGATCGTGGCTGGTTTTAGGGTGGAGACTTTTCACCAATAGTAATGTTTTTATTGGCGTTTTCTGACTTTTGTAGTTGTTTTGTTTACAGATCTGATATGCCTTTTTCTAGTCCTATTTGTTACTTGGAAAGGGCTCCTATTTTGAGAGTGTTCTTTCCTGACACTTCTACCCTCTGCTATGCTATTTGTTTATAAATGGTGGTGTTTTTAGTGAAGGAAGAATTGGCATGTCTTGTTTCTCTTTCATTTCTATAGGGTCTTTAATTTCTCTTTATTATTTTATTCTTTCTCTTTACTGGCTTGTCTGCAAGGAGTCCACATACTTTTACGTGTGTACACGTGTACACATCTTGCTTCTCCAAGGCAGCCATTTCTGGTTCCTTCCATTTTCAAACTTCTTCCCATAGCCAGGGCTATGGACTACCAAGTCCTGTATAATATTTTGGCATTATTATTGCACTTTTGTTTTCTGGGAGTAATTTTGGCTGTACTTCCTCTAGTTCCTCTGTTACTCTCTACTTTTTGTGTGTAGTCTTTTAATAAGACTCCTTTTATTTACTTTTCATACTTATAAGCTTATAGCAGCTGGAAGGCTACAGGAAATCTGTTGGAATTTTTTCTTTTTATCTCTACTTAGAGGTAATTTGAAAGTTGCAGTGTTTTTTGTTTCCTTGTATGCTGAAGATCTAGGTCCTGTGTGGCTTTGTTTTCCTTGTTGATTATATTTTGGGGAGTTGAAGAAAATAGAGGGAGAGAAAAGATTCATAATCAAATGCCTGCTGTGCTTAATCCTTAAGTCCTGAGAATATATTTTCAAATTATGAGAGTCACTTCAAGCAAATACTTGCATTTTATATCAAACAGCATTTGAAGCCTTCAGTTTTCTTTGAGAACAAACATATTTGAAAATTATGAAACAGAAAATTCTGAAGTTTATTGACACTATTTTTTTTTAAGCAGAATGGAAAGTGAATGACATACAAGCCTCTCTGATGTCACATTGCCATGGAGTTATTTGGAAACAATTATACAAAGTGAATATAAAGTACTGGCATAACATACATATAATTAAGTAATAAATAATTTAAGTAGTTTTATATCACTCTGTTGACATAATATTCCCAGAAAAAAAGAATCAATAAATACATTAAAACTCTACATAAATGGGCCTTTTGATGCAGTGAATTTGGAATATCCATTTGTGATTAGCTGAGTTTGAACTTAAGTCAGAATGGAAGCTGCCCCTGTCAAACTGCATTTGGGACCTGGATGGATTTTTATCTTACACTGGGACCATGCAGAATTCCTAGCTGGCTTGTTGCACAGACTCACCTTGGTCATTTCATTAACCTTGCAGTAATGCAATGCCTCGTTTTATACTACTAATTTTTAAAAGTCTCATTTATAAATTTATGGTGAGTTTCACTACTTTAGATTGCCTGCAGTATATATATGAAGCAATATACAGAAATTTAAGTCATGATGCCTTCTTACTAGTACCTTAGAATTTTGATGTAGAATGAGAATTTTAAAGAAAGTTTGTTAATGTAACAGTATATACATTTAAGAATAAACTTTTTGAATAAGTAATAACTTGTACATTTATAAAATTTGGATATGTAGAAACATGGGAAATTCAAAAGTTACTCAAGAATGTTATAGGGAAAAATTTGCCTCCTATCCCTGTCTTACAGGCATCTTCCCTGTCCAAAGGCAACACTATTGCTACATATAACTGATGCAGGATTTTTGTTCCTTAGCTCAGCTAAAATCTTGTTGTATGACTAGGAAAAAATTAGCCATGCAGACACGTTGAAAGGTGAGGAGGGCGGAAGTTATTAAAAGAAAGCTCTCAGCAAAAAAAGGGGTTCTGCCAACAGGCTCCCACCTCACAGATTGAATACCAGGCCACCACATGCACAAGCTGAAGAGCCCAGGCTTCTTCCCCCTGCACAAGACACACATTCCTGGTGACTGTACCCCACTCTTCCAGTGCACAGGCGGGCCCCCAGTCTGCTGTGGGCATGCCCAGACAAGGCCTTGGTTAGGTTCCCTCATCTGCACAAAAGCATCTGATGTAAACACTTGTGGAGCGGGTTAGAGATTCTCTGGGACCCTCCCTTATCTGCCTCCTGTATCTACCATAACCATCTATGTATATATTTTTTAAAAAACAAATGGGAGCTTACTATTCTTTGCTCATCACATTTAGAGCCAGTTCATTCTTTCTGACAGCTGCATGATATTCCATTCATTGAATATACCCTGATGTATTTAACCAAACCCCTGTTGGTTGGCATTTAAGTGGTGTCCAATTTTGTCTTTGGCTTATATTTAGATTACAATGCTGTGATTCAAATAAATATTCTCAAATGTCTTCATTTCTTAGAACTTAGGAAATATTTCACCAAAAGCTTAGAACTTGGAGTTTGGTTCTGAATAGAAATGTTTTCCTGGTTAAAGTCAGGGTTTATACTCACCTTCTTTAATGAATTTCAATCTTGTGAGTTTTGAGTTTGATCAAGTGGTTATTAAAGTTTTCCATAGTCTATGGACAGATAAGAGCAAATAGAAGAGATGATTCATGCCTTAGGAATTTCTGCCTGACAAATTTCCAATTTATTTGTAACAACAACTAACTGTGAACATGAGATGTTAATTCCAAGATACCAGGAATTTCTAAAAGTGTTGAAAAGAGTGGAAAGAATGACAGATAATCTTAGTGATATTGTCAGTATAGTGGAAGGAAATTCGCAAATTAAAGTGATACTACTTGTCTTGGTGAGAAAGAGTAGGTGTGGTAGATAATTCTGTGTTAGGGGGTAAGACAGCATAGTACTAATAGGTAACCTGTCAACCCTTTGCCTCTTCTGACAAAGTTTTGGAAATTCACCTCAGAAAGAAACTGTATCTTTTAGCTATCACCATTCCTCCTTCCAGCTCCCCAGCAATCCTGCCCCAAGCCCTAAGCAACTACTGATCTTCTTTTGATCTCTATAGATTTGCCTGTTCTGGAAATTACACAGACTTGGAATTATATAATATGTAATCTTATGACTGGCTTCTTTCACTTACCACATTTTAAAGATTCAACAGTTGTGTGTATCAGTACCTCATTCCTTTTTTTATAACTGAATAATATTCCACCGCATGCATATTCTACATTTTGTTACTCCATTCATTACTGAGATTGTTTCCACATTTTGGCTGTTATGAATTGTGCTGCATTAAACATTTATGTACAAACTTTTGTGTGACATATTTTTATTTTTGGGGGTTTATAGCCTAGGAGTGGAGTTGCTGGCCATATAAGTCATAACCCTATGTTTCACCATTTGAAGAATAGCCAGACTGTTTTCTAGCATGGCTGCACCATTTTACATTCCCACAAGCAGTAAATGACGGTCCCATTTTCTCTAAGTTATGTAATTTATTGCTATACAGTTGTTCATAGTGTTCCTTTATAATCCTTTTTATTTTTGTAAGATTACTAGTAATATCCCCTATTTTATTTCCAGTTCTAGTGATTTGTGTCCTGTCTCTTTTTTTCTCGGTCACTTTAGCTAAAGATTTGTTAATTTTATTGATCTTTTTGGAGAACTACCTTTTGGTTTCATTGATTATTTTTTATTGGTTTTCTATCCTTGATCTCATCAATTTCACCTCTAATCTCTAATAATTCCTTCTGTCTGCTTGTATTAGATGTAGTTTGCTCTTCTTTTTCTAGTAGCTTAAGGTAGAAGGTTAGGCTATTTGAGATTTAAAAAAATATGTACAGATATTTACCATCACAATTTCTCTCTAGGTATTGCTTTACTTTATCTGATAAGTTTTGGTATATTGTGTCTTCCTTTCCATTCTTCTCAAACTGTTTTCCAATTTCCCTGTTGATTTCTTCTTTGACTCGATTATTTAGTAGTGTATTGTTTAATTTTCACATATTAGTTAGCTTTCCAATTTCTTTCTTATCAGTTTCTTATTTCATTCCATTGTGGCTTGAGAACATACTTTGTATTATTTCAGTCTTTGAAAATTTGTTCAAGTTTATTTTATGACCTCGCTAGCATGTAGTCTGTCCTGGAGAATGTTCTGTGAGCACTTGAAATAAATGTACATTCTTCTGTTGTTGGGTGGAGTGTTCTATTCTGTTAGGTCTAATTGGTTTATAGTGTACAAGTCCTATTGCCTTCTTGGTCTTGTGCCTAGTTGTTGTGTCCATTATAGAAAGTAAGGCATTGAAGTCTCCAACTGTTATTGTTGAATTATCTATTTCTCCCTTCATTTCTGTCAGTTTTTGCTTCATATATTTTTGTGCCTTGTTATTAGGTGCATTCTGTTTATATTTGTTGTTTTGTCTTCCTGATGGCTTATCATTATAAAATGTTCTTCTTTATAGCTAGTAATATTTTGTTTCAGTCTGTTTCGTATGATATTAGTATGTAGTCACTCTAGCTTTCTTGTGTTTGCTGTTTGCATTATATATATTTTTTCTTTCGATCTAGTCGTATCTCTGAATTTAAAGTGTAGATTCTGTAGATGGCAAATAGTTGGATCTTTTTAAAAAAATCGTCTCACTATCTTTGTCTTTTCTTTTGGTTGTTTAGTCCATTCACATTTAATGTTATTATTGGTATGGTCGGATTTATGTCTGCCTTATTTTCCCCCCCTCTGTGGGTCTCATGTCTTTTTGTTTCTGTAGTTTGTGATTATTGCTTTCTTTTGCCTTAAGTGAGTATTTTCTAATGTAGCATTTTAATTGCCTTAGTGATTTTTTTCAGTATACTTTTTTGAGTTACCTCCTTAGTAACCTCTATAAATGTTACAAACCAACAATACATTGCTAACATTACCACTATATATAATTGGCTTTCAAAGAAACTGAAAGAAGAAAGGAGAGCAAGTACAGGTTGAGCATCCAAACATGAAGATCCAAAATCCAAAATGCTCCAAAATTTGAGACTTCTTGATCACTGACTTGACACTCAAAGGAAATGCTCAGTGGAGCATTTTGGAGTTTGGATTTTTGGATTTGGGATGCTCAACTGGTAAGTATAATGCATATATTCCAAGATTTAAAAAAATCCCAAATTGAAAACACATCTGGTCCTAAGCATTTCAGATAAGGGATATTCAACATTTCTAGACATAGAACTTTTTTTATATTACCCATTTTGTTTATCTTTTCTGCTTCTCTTCATTTGTTCCTGTGGGTTTACATTACCATCTGTAATCGTATCCTTAGCCCAATAGAGCTTTACTTTCACTCACTTCTTTTGTGCTAGTATTGGCACATATATCACATTTGTATATGTTATAGATCCAAAAATACATCATATATGTATTGTTTTATACCAATGCTTTTTAAATCAGATGTGAGAAGAAAGGAGAAGAAATATGCATTAATACTATCTTTGGTATTACATAAAATAGAAGAAGACTCAAAAGTGCTCTTTTTTGTATATATTAATTTGAATTACTGTTTGGGGTCACCTTTGGTATTTATTTTAAGCCTGGTTTTCCAGCAGTGAAGTCCTCTCAGCTTTTATCTGGGAATGTCTTTATTTTGTTTTCATTTTCGAAAGATAACTGCTGGATGTAGGATTGCTGGTTGACACATTTTTCCCCCTTTCAGCATTTTGAATATGTTATCTCACCACTGTCTGACTTTCATTGTTTCTGCTGATAAGTCAGCTGTTAACTTTATGAGTTTTCTCTTGTGATTGATGAGTCATTTTTCTCTTGCTGTTTTCAAGATTTTTCTCTTGCCTTTGACTTTTAGCATTCCTACTACGATGTGTCTGTTTGTGGATATCTTTGTGTTGCTCCTGTTTGAAATTTGTTGAGCTCCCTTGATGTATAGGTTATTGGTTTTTAATAAATTTAGGAAGTTTTCAGCCATTCTTTCTTTGAATAATTTTTTCTGCTCCTTTCTCTGTTTTTCTTCCAGTACTCCCATTACACGTAAATTGGTGTGCTTAATGGTTTCCTGCATTTCTCTGAGGCACCATCCATTGTTTTCTCTGTTCTTCATGTTGCATAATCTCTATACATCTATCTTCAAGTTTCATATTCATTCTTTTGCCAGAGACCATCTGTTGTTAAGCCCTTGTAGTGAATTGTTCATTTCAATTATTTTGCTTTTCAACTCCAGAATTTCTATTTGATTCTTCTTAATAGTTTATCTTCATTTATAATCTTTAATGATGTGACATTGTCATCAGAATAATCCAGAATAATCCAATCAAATTCAGACACTTTAGAAGGGATAGTTCTGGAGATTAGTGTTTGGGATTTTTAGGGGGAGCGCAAGAGGGGTCCTCCCCATTGTCTCCCAGGCAAACTAGATGGCCTACATTTTAGGCTATATCTCTAGTGAATCTACCTGTGTCTTCCCAATTACCTTTTTACCACATCATTCACTGTTTTTGAGAATGTCCTTGGACTTGGACTTCACCATGCTCTGTTGCAAATAAAGTCATTTCCATTGGAAAGAGATTAGGAGCTATCTGTCTTATGGCCTGTTTCTCTCCCCAGAGAGAATCTCTGAACCACGGCTCAGGAGTTAGGGGTGGGGACAATGGCATGTTTCTATCTAAGTAACACCTCTGCTTTAGGAGCTGAATGCTGGGAGAAGGTGGGGAAGGAAATTAGGTTATCTAGGTTTGCTTCTCCTGGCAAGAAACCAGCCCTTTATGAGCCAGGACAAGGGGATTGAAACCCCAGTTTTAGTGTGCTACACTCAAGGTAGAGCTTTTGTCCCACAGTTGGGGCCCGGAGCTACAGGGGAGCACTACCTCCCAGCTGCACTCACCTGGAACTTAGCCTTGGGAAAAGGTAGCTGGGATCAGGATATTATATGGAATAGGATCAAAATTTTTTCTGAAATTAAGAAAGTCTTTAGATATATATTCAAGAGAAAGGAAAACATGTGTCCAGAAAAAAATTGTACATGTATGTTAATTGCAGCATTATTAATAGTAGCCAAAAAGTAGAATCCCATATGTTCATCAACTGATGAGCAGATAAACGAAGTGAGTTATACTATACAATGGAATAATATTTGGGAATTAAAAAGTAATGAAATATTAATACATGCTATAGCATGGATGAACCTTGAAAACATTTTGGTAAGTGAAATAAGCCAGTCAGAAGGCCAGATATTATGAGATTCCTTTTACATGAAATGTCCAGAATAGGCAAGTCTGTATAGACAGAAAATAGATTTGTGGTTGCCTATGGCTAGGGTGTGGGAGTAGAAATGGAGAGGGTTTGTTTAGTGGATATGGTTTCTTTTTTGGGATGATGAAAATGTTCTAAACTTAGATTGTAATGACAGTTGCACATGTCTGTGAATATAACGCAAAACATTGTATTTTGGGGCCGGGTGCAGTGGCTCATGCCTATAATCCCAGCACTTTGGGAGGCCAAGGCGGGTAGATCACCTGAGGTCGGGAGTTCGAGACCAGCCTGACCAACATGGAGAAACCCCGTCTCTACTAAAAATACAAAATTAGCCAGGCATGGTGGCGCATGTCTGTAATCCAGCTACTCAGGAGGCTGAGGCAGGAGAATTTACTTGAACCCAGGAGGCACAGGTTGTGGTGAGCCGAGATCATGTCATTGCACTCCAGCCTGGGCAACAAGAGCGAAACTCCATCTCAAAAATTTTAAAAAAATACCATTTGACCCAGCAATCCCATTACTGGGTATATACCCAAAGGATTATAAATCGTGCTGCTATAAAGACACATGCACACGTATGTTTAGTGCAGCACTATTCACAATAGCAAAGACTTGGAACCAACCCAAATGTCCATCAATGATAGACTGGATTAAGAAAATGTGGCACATATACACCATGGAATACTATGCAGCCATAAAAAATGATGAGTTCATGTCCTTTGTAGGGACATGGATGAAGCTAGAAACCATCATTCTCAGCAAACTATGGCAAGGACAAAAAAGCCAAACACCACATGTTCTCACTCATAGGTGGGAGTTGAACAATGAGAACACTTGGACACAGGAAGGGGAACATCATACACTGGGGCCTGTTGTGGCGGGGGGAAGTGGGGAGGGATAGCATTAGGAGATATACCTAATGTAAATGATGAGTTAATGGGTGCAGCACACCAACATGGCACACGTATACATATATAACAAACCTGCACGTTGTGCACATGTACCCTAGAACTTAAAGTATAATAAAAGTATATATATATAAATTTAAAAATTTAAAAATAAATAAAAAATAAATTGTATTTTACACTTTAAATGGGTGAATTTTGTAGTCTAAATTATGTCTCAGTAAAGATGCTAAAACAAAAGAGAACGTTTAGTCACTTTTGTTATCTTTTAAATTTTGTAAGACATATCTATTTTGTATTAAAATATTTATCAAGCCAAACTTGCAGAGCTTTTATGATCATACAAGTCATAAGTTATTTTATAACCTCAGTAGGAAATCATGTGTATATGTGGTGAATATATTGTGATCTAATGTAATTTGCTTTTCATAGACTTGTCATAGTTTTTAATCCTGTGTTATATATTGACAAGTTGTTTTAATTATATTGTAAACTTACTGGAAGCTTTGGTTTTTGCGAAACTTTTAAATTTCTTGCGTTATGAAGATGTGCAGTTTCAAGGATTTCTCCCCGTCTTTACTCTTTTTTAAAAATGATGCTCAGAAAATTTACTAATAAAGTTATTAATTTCTAATATTTGTACATCAGAAACCATTCATTTGAAAAGCTTGGCTTTGTGAATATAATAGTTTAACTTATTTTTTCCTCTCTAATTAGTCCCTCTTATAATAAAGAAAAGAGCATTTCTTTTTTTAATCTTTTTTTACTTTTTGTTTTGTTTTGTTTTTTTGTTTTTTAATTTGTGTGTGTGTTTTTATTTTTTCTTTTTAAAGAGCATTTCTTTTATTGGTGGTCATCTTATGTTAGATATTTATAATGACTACTTTGTCTCCATCTGGTATTTTTTGTTTCTTAAAAGGGCATCTCAGTAATGCCTTTATCTTTTCTCTCTATTAATTCTTAGGAAAAAAAGCAAGATAATATTTCCTCAGATTTCTTCTATCATCTTAGATTCTCATTGAAGGTTAGGGTTTTTTTGCCCAATAAATTGTTTTTAAGACTAAAAATAAGCACAAATATCAAAATACGCTTTTGTCTGAATACATATGAGACATAAGAATCCATTGTTTTTCAATTTTTTTATTTTAATAAGTTGTAATACTTTAAAAGCCATTTAAAAGTAACCTTCTTGGAGAAAGTTTACTTTAAAATGTTGAAAAATATTTGTACATGACTAATTAAAGCGTATTCCTAAAGCTTTTTTGAGAAATTGTAAAATTTGCTTAATTTTATAATTTTTTCTAGAATGACTTGAGTAGCCATTATTCCCCAGGTAGACTTGATAAATTTAAATGTGCATAATAAATTGAATTAATAGATTAAATAGATTTAAATATGATTTAGAAAATTGTCATGTGATGTACTGGATTATTCCCCCTTCTTTTTTTCAGGAACTCTTGGTGTAATAACAGAAGCTACAATAAAAATCAGACCAGTCCCTGAATACCAAAAGTATGGCTCAGTAGCTTTCCCTAATTTTGAACAAGGAGTAGCCTGTTTAAGAGAAATTGCAAAACAGGTAAAAGAAAAAATATATATATATACATACATACATATATGTTTATGTATTTATATTTTTCAAATTCTACTACATAGTTGATTGTGATATGTTACAACTAATCTTCATTTTTAGTTGTATTATATTTGTGGTTTTTACCCAGTTCTATATGAAAAGGTAGTGTTGTACAGTCATCCTTTAAGTGCAGTTACTATTTCTTTGAGTAAGTATATTGCTATCAAACCTATTTCTTGGTCTAGATGGCTATATGATTGTAAGCCAAGGTAAGATAGTACTTTGATTGGTAGCTTCAGATGACTTTGCCTTTTATTGACTGTTATGTGTCTTAAGTTATTTTTGGGTAAGATATTTTATGATTAATTGAAGTGATATTTAATTTAAATTGAGACATTTATTGAAATTAAAAGTAATGGCTAAATATCAAAGACCCCAAAATTTAAATATAGGTAATTCAACTTCATCAATTCATAGAATGTGCTGCTACTAGGCTATACTTTGTTTCATAATATTATCTAAGCTATAGCTTAAATTAAGGAATATACTATGTGTAATAAGCTAAAAAGAATTTTTATTTTCTCCCCTCCTTAAAAAATATATTATTAAGATTTTTTTTAAGACAAGATAATGCTAAGTAATTTTATTTATGTATTTAGTTCTGTCAGTATGGAAATTTCTACGTCTCTCTCGGCATTTGGTTTATTGTTTAAACTACAACTGTCTATGAATAATTCTTAATTCAACTTTTCCCAGCAGGGAGGAAGTCAAGGGAATGTACTCTAGCCTCTCTTTTTTTTTCTTTCTTCAAACTCCTGAAATTTTAATACTTCTATTAGCTATACCCAAGTAGAATCTTGAGGACAAGGGAGTTTTTGATGTGACCCATATAGGTCAGCTTCCTGATATCCAGAGCAGTGTGGAGGAAGAATCTGTTGAGGCAAAGGAATCATATCGAGCAAGTAGTCTATGTTTATCTTGGAATTTGTAAGGTACAGAAATGTAAAATGATGAAGAGTCTCTCATTTTCCCATCATCTCAAGACAACCACTATTAATGCTTTAAAGAACTTTAAAATGAGAAAAAATATATACATTATTTACTCACATATATATATCATTCCCAGTGCTGTTTATTCCATACACTCATAAAGTTTTACTTTCTAAGACACTCTTTCTGTCTGGCAGCTTCCCACTTTCATGAAGTACAGCTATATGACCACCTAATTCACCAGCTGATGTGGTAATTTTTGTAATTTTCAAGTAGCTGCACTTACTTGTCAGTTAGATTGCTAGACTTAGTATAGGTCCTTTGATCTTGATTGCTAGACTACTCCTGGGTAGGGAGAGGATTCAAAAGGAAGTAGGGTCCTGGAATAAGCATTCTTGGACTTGTGGCAAGTTACTTTGGTAGTGGTAAGGCAGAAGTGATTAGTAACAGTTGAAATCCTTACATTAGAGGCCCTAATTCACTAGAACTTTGGGAATACGATATTATGGTTAGGGAGCTAGAGTATATAGTATTAACACCATGTTAGCTAAAATGACGAGGTGGCAATAATATTTAAAACATTAAAGGATTATTAAGTAGAGGAGGATTGGAGATAAGTTTTTGGAGTAAATAGTATTTGTTATACTAAAGTAACATCTGAGCACTGAGTGGTGACATTCCAGTGTGTTCTGGTACTTGTTTCTAAAATATTCCATCATTCAAAGGCAGAGGAAAGGAGTTTCAAATTAAGATACCCCAGATATTAAGAAGTAAAAGAACTTGCAGAGCCTTATGGTTTTGCCTATGAATTAATACATAAAAGAACAGGAAGCTAGGGTGTTTTTTTTTTTTTTTAAATGACCAGAAGTTCACTAATTGAAAAATAAAACACAGATGTTTCCATATATATTTTCATTAATTTCAGACTGTTCTTAATGAGGAGCTTTTGAAATTTCAAGTGTTTTCATTTTGTATTATGATTTATCCTTGTGTAATGATTTTGGATTACAGTCATTGGGTGAACATCCTAAGAATTTTTTAAAATGAATAAAAGGACAAGTTTTACTGATTTGTGTAAGGATGAAGGAAAATTCCATCCCCTGCTTGTCTTAAATAGTTTTATTTTCCCTCTGTCTTTGATGAGCTTCACTATTCCCCCCACAAAAAGTGTGGTTTTTTGTTTGTTTTTTTAAGATGGAATCCTACTCTGTCTCCCAGGCTGGAGTGCAATGGCGCGATCTCGATGCGCTGCAACCTCTGACTCCCGGATTCAAGCAATTCTCTTGCCTCAGCCTCCCGAGTAGCTGGGATTATAGGCGACCACCACCAAGCCCAGCAGATTTTTTTGTATTTTTAGTGAAGATGGGATTTTGCCGTGTTGGCCAGGCTCGTCTCGAACTCCTGACCTCAGGTGATCCGCCCGCCCCGGCCTCCCAAATTGCTGGGATTACAGTCGTGAGCCACCATGCCCAGCCACAAAAAGTGTTATTAAAGAATTGTAGTTCATGTCATTTCTTGTTCAAGTCTTGAATGACATAATTCTAATTCACCATTATTGCCTCTAATTTTATGAAAAAAAATATGAATGCCAAATTAGATTTTTCCTTTCTGAGACAGGGTCTCACTTTCTCATCCAGGCTGGAGTGCAGTGGCACAATCACAGCTCAACGCAGCCTCTCAATCTCCTGGATGCAGGTGATCCTACCACCTCAGCTTCCTGAATAGCTGGGACCATAGGCACACACCACTATACCTGGCTAATTTTTTTTTAAACTTTTGTAGAGATGGGATCTCCCTGTGTTCCCCAGGCTGGTCTTGAACTCCTGGACTCAAGCGATCCTCCAGTTTAGGCCTCCCAAAGTGTAGAGATTGCTGGCATGAGCCACCATGCCCGGCCCCAAATTAGATTTTTTAAAAAATTACAGAAGTTATAAAAGTAGTTTGGATTTGTATTTATTTTCAACAAAAGATCTCAGAGAGGTCGTGTTCAGTCTGTATTGACCAACTCTGCCCCTTCAATAATATCTCCCCTCTATAGAACACAGATTTAGTACACTCATAAAGCTTTTGATTAGATGTGTGCATATTTTGTTTTCTTGATGCTCCATCTACTTTTCCACACTGCAAATACTTACATGTAAATCTATCTTAAATTTCATTAATAAGAAGTGATGTACAAATGTATCAAAATACTAAGTTTATAATTTCATTACAATGGAAATGTTGATTTCCAACATTTCCGCCATAAATAGTTGGTGTAATCTGATACAGTTTTTATTACAATTCGATATGCCCCTGATAGAAAGTGACACAGAAGACCTACTTGTGCTATTGAAAAGCAAGTATGGAATTTTCCTTCATCCTTGCAGAAATCAGTGAAACTTGTCCTTTTACTCATTTAAAAAAATTCTTAGGATGTTCACCCAATGACTATAATCTAAATTCACTACACAAAACTATAGTGAGCCAGGTGCGGTGGCTCACATCTGTAATCCCAGCACTTTAAGAAGCTGAGGCAGGCAGATCACTTGAGCCCAGGAGTTTGAGACCAGTCTGGGCAACATGGCGAAACCCTGTCTCTATAAAAAATACAAAAATTAGCTGGGTATGGAGGCATGTGCCTGTAATCCTAGCTACTCTGGAGGCTGAGGTGAGAGGATCCATTGAGCCCAGGAGGTCGAGGCTGCTGTGAGTCGTGATCGTGCCACTGTACTTCAGCCTGGGCAACAGAGCAAGACCCTATCTCAAAAAACAAACAAAAAAAACTGTATTAGCTATATATCTTGGAACAAAATAAAGATAATGATTGATAGACAGTGCTACCATGTGGTTAAAAAAGCAGGTCGTAAAGAAAGGTCCTTTCTAGTCTATAGCTATGACAGTTCAGTTCTATGTACTTAATAATTGACAGTTTTTAGAAATACAAATATTATGGACTAGAAAGTTTGTCTTACTTGAAACTGATTTTAAAAGTCCAGATAGATAATATTCTATTCTCGAGCATTGCTCTTAATAATGGAGCAATTGCTAAGAGTAGTTACTGGGATTTGGATATCTAACAGTTTTGGAAACCTACATATTTTACTTCTATTATAATGCACATGTAGAGAGGCATTAATGTTTATCTTACCTGGAAATGGATAAAAGGTTTTATAATGGTTTAGGGAAAGTTGTATATTAGTTTGTAGAACATACAAGTCTCATATGTCAAGAGTGGTACAGTATTTGCTGCCTTCCTTTGTAATAGTGTTTTCAGGCAGAAAAATTGAAAAAATCAGGTTTTGGAACTAGTCATTGTTCAATTTGGGATTTGGAATTTCAGTTGATAGCAGGGGAATTAAGATCCATTAAAGTAGATGGTACATGGCTTATGATTGTGCCAAATTCTTGATTGAATAATGAATTGGTTGCTTGTAATTCTTCACTGTCATTTTATAGCACTTCCATCTTTGCAATATTTTCAGATTCAAGTTGCTTTTGAAATGGGAAACTGTAATTTTGGATAAATATCTTTTGGGAAAGAACATACATGACTGTTCACAAATAGCAAAGTGGGCTATATGTATATTTTTATTACTATTCTTACTGAAGGAAATAAATTAAGCAACCTTATACTAGCATTAGAAGGATTCTACTAAAGTCTCTCATCCGATCTTTGTCCATGTGAGCAAGTATCCTCTTTCAATACTTCACTGCCTTGTGAGAAGCTAGAAAGGAGGATTTAGTGGAAGATTAATGTGATTCTTTCTCATAAGTGGCAGTCCAGTATAATCTCCTCCTTTATTCAGTAGATGGGTAAATGATTTTTAAGACGTTCTCAGAAAATACATTTCCTGCTGTAGCCTATGAAGAGGAGGAAAATAATGTTTTTTAATCAGCATATCAGTGTTAGATATAACGTGTTATTATTCTCTAAAAGAGATAAATAAAATTGTTAGTTTGGAAATAACGATGTCTTTACAAGGTTAAAAGGAAAACCGAGTGTTAAAACAAGCTCAGAAGCAGTTTCTGAAGCTTGGGTTTTTTTTGTTTGTTTTCAATAAAAACTTAGGAGTAGTGCCCTATGGTATTTTGAGAGGAGCATTTATTCCAACAAGAGGAAAAACTGTATTTGGTATTGATTAGTACTCATTCCTCTCAAAACTCTTCTCAGTAAAACCTAGTTTCTTCGAACTAGGTTTTTAGAATTATAGATGAAAATGCAGCTTTTCTTCCCACTACCTTTTGATGGAGGGTAATTTTTCCTTCCTTCTATCACTTTTATTTTAAACAATTTTAAACTGATGAAGGTTTGGGGTTTTTTGTTTGTTTGTTTTAATGATTTTAGATTATAATTTGGGAAGACATAAATTTTATGAATTGTTCTGTTTTAAACTTAATTTATCTTGGAGGAGTTCAAATAAATTAGAAGGAGTCAGGTTTAGCACTTACCTTATAAAACACTTAAAACTTCTTTTTATTCAACAGTAATTCTTGGGAGTATTTATTACATAGAGAAACTGAAATTATTTTAAATCATTTTTTTTGTGTCATGCGTTTTTTTCTCTGAAGCAGAGAGAATAACCCTAGTCAAGTGTTTGGTTAATTGGATCATTTACTGTTTGATCCAGCAAAATTAAGACAGTTATGAGACATGTTCTCTACCAGAAGCCACTCAGAACAAGTTATTATACCTTTACTAAACTGAAAAACTATAAAGTTATAATTAGGAGACTGGCATTATCTTTTGGTCTTTTCCTTAATATAAGTGGAGGGCAATATTCACTCCCTATTATGTATTATTTTATTCTTTAAAACCAAGCAACAATTGACTTGTCAAAATAAAAAGTTCTTATTGTTTATCATACGGACTCCTAGCTGTAAGTCAGTATGTCATCTCTAAGATGACCAACCAGTAATAACTGTAGCCTTAAATAGTCTATCATTTCATCTGTGATACCAACTCTGACTTATTAGTTAGAAGAAGAATTTGTCTACATTTTAAGTTTTTATGTCCAGAAATTCACATTTAACAGATTATCTTTTTTTACATAGCCTTTTTTGAACTTTTTTTTTTTTTTGAGACGGATTCTCTCTCTGTCACCCAGGCTGGAGTGCAGTGGTGCCATCTCAGCTCACTGCAAGCTCCACCTCCCAGGTTCATGCCATTCTCCTGCCTCAGGCTCCTGAGTAGCTGGGACTACAGGCGCCCGCCACCACGCCCTGCTAATTTTGTTTTTGTATTTTTAGTAGAGACAGGGTTTCACCGTGTTAGCCAGGATTGTCTCGATTTCCTGACCTTGTGATCCACCTGCCTCAGCCTCCCAAAGTGCTGGGATTTGAACTTTTAAATTAATCAATTTTGTTGTGTGCCTTATTTGAGGTAGTGTGCTCTTAGCTTGATAACCAACATAATGCAATGGATAGTATGCAGTTATATGTGGTTCCTCACTTCTAGTGAGGATGTTGCATATTATGATAATTTTTTGTGCCCAAATTTTTGTATAGCACATGGAGTTTAGTATTGAAGCATTTGCTTCTGATACAACATGAGATTGATAGTCTATTTCCAAGGTAGTCTCTAGGCTCAAGAATTTGGGCTGTTCCAGAGTCTACATAGGATGTGGATTTACCCTTTGAGGAAACAAATGTTTTCAATCAAGTATAATTCATTCCTTAGCCATGGACCAGAGTTACATGGCTGCCATTCAATGCTTATACTTTTATAGTTTATCCTTATGACATTACGTTAGCAGAAACCCCTCAGACATGTGAAATATATGTTAATGTTGAATTTATTTTGCTGGTAACTAGTCTTTTAAGAGGTGCCTTCTCAAATATGTCTCATCTGAATTGCAAGTTCTGATTTTTTCTGTGACAAGTAAGAGCTATGACTTAGTTTTAGAAAAACCAGTTTTGCAGAATATTTTGATGTTTCTTTTTTTTTTTTTTTGAAACGGAGTCTCGCTCTATTGCCCAGGCTGGAGTGCAGTGGTGCGATCTCGGCTCACTGCAAGCTCCGCCTCCCGGGTTCATGCCATTCTTCTGCCTCAGCCTCCCCAGTAGCTGGGACTACAGGCGCCTGCCACCACACCAGACTAATTTTTTGTATTTTTAGTCGAGACAGGATTTCACTGTGTTAGCCAGGATGGTCTCGATCTCCTGACCTCGTGATCCGCCTGCCTCGGCCTCCCAAAGTGCTGGGATTACAGGCGTGAGCCACCGCGCCTGGCCAAGGAAATATTTTTAAATAAAATGATAGGATTGAGAAATATGTTGCTTTTTAAGTTAGTGCAGAGAGTACTAAGTAAATAAGACTAATCAGAATAGTTTTTACTATTCAGATTATGCAATCAAGTAAATTCCTGGTTGTAGCATCCCTAAAGGGAAGAAATTGCCAGCAATTTGACTAAGTCAGTCTTGTATCCATGTTGTGAAGTCATCGTGGTTATTTATTTCATTATTAAAG